>NC_000009.12:25010000-30010000 GCF_000001405.40 Homo sapiens | reverse complement strand
CCAAGGAAGAAGGAGCCCTTTGAGTTCAGGAGTTTGAGACTGGCCTGGCAATGTAGTTAGACTTTATCTCTACAAAAAAATCGAATAATTAGCCAAGTGTAGTGGTGCACACCTGTAGTCCCAGGGACTTGAGAGACTGAGGCAGAAAGATGGCTTGCACCCGGGAGATAGAGGCTCCAGTGAACTGTGATCATGCCACTGCACTGCAGCCTGGGTGACAGAGTGAGCTGCTGCCTTAAAAGGAAAAAAAAAAAAAAGAAGATTTAAGAGCAAGCAACCTAGTATTATAGTTTTAACTTATATATTCTGTCTATAGAGTCCTTATTTACAATAGTAACACTCCCACAAGATGAAATCACAAGGAATTATTTTATGTAGGATGCTGATAAGGTTAATATATAGTCACCTGAATCTATTCATATATATTAAAATATATTAAAATTTTTAAATAAATGATAGTAAATAATCAGGATCAGAAAACTATTACATTCTTTGAAAAGTTTTCTTTGAATATCCAGTTCATTCTTTAGAAGAAGCAGTAAAACTTATTTTCTACATTTACTTTTGTCCAGATGCAAAAAAGTACTTCCTGAGAGCTGGTTACATTTTTGTACGTTTTCATTATACTATTCTTTGATAAAAGTTATTTACCTTTTAAAAGGGTAGAATTTCTAATAATTATTCTTACTTGCTCCTTTGTATAACTTATTTATTGTCCTTCTAAATCTAACATGTAATCATTTCTCAACATTATGCATCTATAATTTATGCATGCATATTAATATAATGAGCAGTGCCCTCTCACAGCTTTTTCTGACACTTACTGCCTTTCATAAATTTAGGCCCAAGTTCAAAATAATAAAACTGTTAAGGTGACTTTTACATAAAAAATTATGTTCAGTGTTTCCCAGATGGCCACTAAGTAGCTCCAAAGTCTATTTATTCACCTTACAAGAGGAGAATTAATATGCATGTGTTTTTCTTCATATATTTTATTAGCTTAACACTTTGTAAAAGTTGTCTTGTTTATCAAGCTCACGAGAATGAAAAAGCTGTTGATTTAAAAAGATAAATGCCAAATCTCTCAGAGATCTATTGTATATAGATTCAAAATTATTAACATAAATAGGATTCAGAGGTTTCTATTCAAATACTTTAGTATAGACAGAAGCATACTCATGTTAACATTCAGAGTAACATTGTAACTGTTAATAAATTAATATTGAATAATTTATCCTAGATTTGAACAATTTTAATTATTTTTGGTAGTTAACACATACTTTTCTGGGTGGACAGGGGGCCTTGGAGGTTTGTTCATGTCCTACAGTTTATAATGTGTTTTTAGCTGAAGGACAATCTTGACTTAATCCTTATTAAATAGTTATATGCCATATATCAAAGAGAAAATTCCATTTGCCTCCATTCTGATACTATTGATTGCTGTAATAAATTAGTTAGAACCATTCAATTTTATCATCAATAAGTGGTTTCTCATTTTGCCTCATGCTAGCCCGAAGTCCTCTTTTAAAACATGCAGGACAAAGAAAAGAAGCAATAAAATAACAATAATTCAGTGAAGTGCTATATTTACCTTTGACTATTGCTACTATAGGAAATCGATTCATGAATAGATCTTTCCCAATGAAAGCTGACCTCTATACCATAAACAAACTTCTTCAAACTATTTAACAAAACTGAGTCAGAATTTCCAAAATTCTTTTAGTTCAAAGCTGATGATAGAGTGAAATAGCTGCTAGGTAAGAAGAAGTTATTTAAATAAGTAAAATTATGCAGATTTAAATGAAACATATAATAAAAATAAAATTCTGCCTGTTTGTTTAAATATACCTTAACATTTTTATGGGTATATAAGCAAAAATATGTTTCTCCTTGAAATATATAACAAATTAATTTGGTTAAAATCTGTACTTTAGAGTTTAAAGTTGACTGAAAGATAGTTCTAGAAAATTAAAACTGATCTTCATCTTTAACTTAGGCTAGTTTCTCACTCTGACATAAAATATGTCACATATGTTAGCCCCAAATTGATTAATAAAAATCTTGCATTATAATCCATGATAAGCCATGGGATTACACAACCATGTAAAACTCTTCTCTTGTGGAGATAAACCAGGATATTCTTGTGATAAGCTGGAATATATTTTTGTCATTTTTAAAATCATAATCAGAAACTAAAAATGCATACACAAATTTTATCCAAGTGTAATCTGGTTTGAATTGACACTGTCATATATAATTTAAACTATGCACACTGCCTTTATTTTAATTCTGCGATCTCAATACTTTTGAAATACAAAAATTTGACTATGCAATATGCTATACTATTGCAAGTGAGAAAAATTAAGGCTCTAAAATTGTCTTTGGATTTGTCTACCAAGCAAATACATGTATATTCAAATGTCCATAGACTTTTAATCTTTGCATGAATAAGCCCTCTGAAGCCCAATCCTGAATCATGTTCTTTGTTTCCCAGGCTAAGAAAATCAACAGACTAAGTTAGTTAAATTACATTAATTTTCTAATCTTTTTCTCTTAACCGTAGAGCATGTTTAAAAAGTGGAGAGCAAGGGCTTGAAGTCTGGTTGGTCAGGTTTAATTGGTATTTTCTTCCCATGGGAATTAGGCTGTTTCTTACTTTTCCTGTTCTTTACTCTTATCATTTCTAAGATGGTAGTATAATGGAAACTATCCAGTGAATCTTATGGACTATGAATGGAGACAATCCATGAAATGCACTTAGAACAACATCTGACATATAATTGGCACCTGAGCTTCAGTCAACAACTTTCATTCCAGGCTTATTTGCTGCTCACTGCCAGTATCTTCTCTGATTGGTTGGTTTCCTTGGCATATTGATTATTGTGCATTTTCATGTCATCGCTATTAATTTATTATTAAATTAGCTATTGTTATATGGTCCCAATTGCAGTACCTGTTACATATTAGCCATTAATAAATATTAGCGCCTCCCTTTCCTTACCCAACCTCTCCAATCCCTGTCTCCATAACATCAGTTTTAGCAGGATAAATGAGTGTTAAATAAAAGGTACTTTGCTTTTTGGCTTTTACAAATACTTTTACTTCAAATTACATACATTCAGCTACTACATTATTAACACAAGTAATTATACAATGTCAAGTTTTACTAAAATAATTATGGCAAGTATACAAAACTGAAAGTCTCTCCAAACAATGTCCATATCAAATAAGAGTCATTCAGTATTTAGGATTGAGATAAATGGTGTGCCAACTGTGCAAAACAAAAAATTGTGGTGCGTTATTTAAAAGAAACATTTAGTTGAGTAAAGAGATTTCAACCAACTCAGCTCGCAAGAATTAGGAATAATATGAAGAACATAAACCCTAAAGGTATGTTTCTTTACTCTGATTCATTGTGAAGATTGCACACCAGCCAAGACTACTGTAGAAAATTAGTATTTTTTTCTTTTTATATCCTTAAGTATTACTGTTATTTTGTGGGATTCAGAGAGCAGAGATTAACTCTTATGTTCAGCTTATTTGTGAATAGCTATGATAATTAAGGGGAAATAATAAATACAATGTAATAAATAATATATTATTGTGAAAGAGAAAGCAATTCCCCCAAAAAGGATATTCATAAAATCCATCAATTTATAGAAATATGTAGATATTGTATAGATATTTTTCCATAGTTTAAGCTAACCTGCGATTCAATGTTACAATTCAACAAGTTTAAATAACCTGTACATTTCATTATGGTACCAAAGGTCTAATTACAAAATTCAGAAAATGTTACATATGAAAAGATGATTGGTTTTGTTCACAATGACCCACCCGAATTTGAAGCCATAATTGTAAAAATTGTTAGGCACTGATACAAAGTCGTGTGTTTACATCAGTTCAGCTGGTTGAAGAAATCATACCTTCTAGCATATCAGCTACTATAACCACTTGAAGTGAAATATTTTTAAAATAAGAGTTTTTGAAACTTCTTTATAAGAGATTGCATACAATATAAAATATTTGTAATTTGAATTTTTCAAATTTCAAAAGTAGAGAGTAAATTAGTCCAAGTTTATTTTTCAGATAGCAATGGCAAGATAGCAAACCCATACTATGCTAGTAAGTTTAAAATTAATGCAATCTGAATGTAAAATAAAGTAAGAAATAGCTTAAAAAGATACTTGATTTTTTAAATTTTATAAATGACATTTTATTAAAAAGTTACAGAAACAATTAAACCACCAAATAGAATCCTGTTTTGAGAAACATCCTTAAGTGTGTTTGAGTATTTATTTATTTTTCTACTTATTTTATCTTCAAGTGTGAAAAAATAGTATTTAAATAAAAGGCTTTATGTACACTTTTACATATCTAAAATAATAAGAATTGTACCAAAAACTGTTAAAAAATAGATCATGAATTTAATAACATTGAAGGATACAAAATCAGCATACAAAATCAGTAGTGTTTCTGTACACTAATAAACTATCCAAAAAAGAAATAAAGAAAACAATCCTATTTGCAATAGCTACCAAAAAAATAAAATACTGAAGAATAAATATAACCAAGGAGGTGAAGGATGTGTACCCTGAAAACTATAAAACATTAAGGAAGGAAATTAAAGAAGACATAAAAATGAACAGATATACCATGTTTGTGGATTTAAAAAGTTAATATTGTTAAAATATTCATACTACCCAAAGCAATCTACAGATTCAATGCAATCCCAATAAAAATTCCAATGGCATTTTGGAAAGCAATCCTAAAATTCGTGTAGAACCACGAAAGACCTTAATAGCCAAGGCAATTGAGCAAAAGGATAAAGTCAAAGCCATCATACAACCTAGTTTCAAAATATTATTTGAATTTATGGTAATCAAAACAGCAATGTATTGGCAAATAAATAGATACAAAGACCCATGGAACAGAATAAAAAGCCCAGAAAAAAATCCACACATTTATGGTCAACTTATTTTCAACAAAGATACCAAGAACATACAATGGAGAAAGGGGAGTCTCTTCAATAAATGGTGTTGGGAAAATTATATATAAAAATGCAAAAGAATTACATTGGATCTTTATCTCACTCTATGTGAAAAATGACTCAAAATGGATTAAATACATAAATGTAAAACATGAAATTATAAAACTACTAAAACAATATAAGGGAAAAGCTTCATGACATTGGTCTGAGCAATGATTCTTTGAATATGACTCCAAAAGGACAGGCAACAAAAGCAAAAATAGACAAATGATATTACATCAAACTAAAAATATTGTGCAGAGCAAAAAAATAGCAGAATGAAAAGACAATCTATGGAATGGGAAAAATATTCGCACAGCATATATCTGATAAGGGATAAATATCCAAAATATGTAAGAAATTCAAATTAGTCAATAGCAAAAAATTAAATAACCTGATTTAAAAAATGGGCAAAAGACCTAAATGGAATGAGGGCAAACAAATGGCCAACTGGTATATTAAAAGATGCTCAACATAACTATTTGTGAAATGCAAATTAAAACCACCATGAGATGTCACCTCACACCTGCCAGAATAGCTACTATCAAAAAGATTACAAATAACAAGTGTTGTCAAGAATGTGGAGAAAAGGGAACCCTGATACACTGTTAGTGGGAGTGCAAATTAGTACAGTCAACATGGAGAACAGTATGCAAGTTCCTGAAAAAGTTAAAAACAGAATTACCATATGATCCAACAATCTCACTTTTCAGTATATATCCGAAGGAAAAAAAATCAGTATGTCAAAGAGATATCTATGCTCCCATGTTCATTTCAGTGTCATTTACAATAGCCAAGATACAATGTCAACTTAAGTGTTCAGTAATAGATTAATAAATAATAGAGTAATAAAGTAATAGATTAATAAATAAAATGTGTGTGTATATATATATATACACAATGTATGTATATAGTATTTATATATATACAGTGCATGTGTATATATCTATACATACATATATATACACACATATATATATACCCACACACACGCACACACACAATGGAATACTATTTAGCCTTAATAAGGAGAATTCTCTCATATTGCAACAACATGGGTGAACTTGGAAGATAGATATAGAAAGACAAATATCATATGATCTCACTTACATGTGGAATATAAAAAGGTTAGACTCATAGAAGCAGCAAGTGGACCTTAGGGTGAGAGAAAAGGTTAGGGAGATGTTGGTCAAAGGATATAAAATTTCATTTAGAAGGAGTAAGTTTAAGATATCCACTGTACGACATGGTGACTATAGTTAATAACATTGTCTTATATATTCCAAAATTGCTGAGATAATAGATTTTAAATGTTCTCATCACAAAAAAATGTTAAGTATGTGAGTTAATGCATATGTTTTAATTAGCTTGATTTAGGTATTCCACAATGTACACATATATCTATGTATCGTGTTGTACACTATAAATATATAAAATTTTTGTTTATTATTTAAAATAACTATTTTAAAAGAAGAACTATTGTGTTTTTTTCCTGCATTACTAAATATCTAAGTTAATAATTATTTTAAAAAGATTTCCCTTAGGAATTTTGAGTCATTTAATGGGCCTATGAAATAGCTAAGCTTTCGTTTTAGATGAAAATAAAATTATCTAAAAGTATCATTGGTAAAAAATCAAAAGTGACACATATTTAACCTTCCTAATTATTGTTATTTAGAATAAGGTCAGTATTCCTTAGTGTAAAGAAATGTAAAACCTTCAATTATTTTGAAAGATAATGTATTAGTCTATTTTGTGCGGCTATAACAGAATACTTGAGACTTGGTAATTTATAAAGAAGAGAAAACGATTTCCTTACAATTGTGGAGGGTGACTAGAAAGTCCAAGATCAAGCCTCCAGCATCTGGTGAGGACTGCCTTGCTGTATCATCTCATAGTGGAAGGCAAGAGGACAAAAGAGGGTCAGAGAGAAAGTAAAAAGAAGGCCAAACTTCCCTTTTGGTAAAAACCCACTACCACAATAGCAAAGTCACTCTCACAAATTAATCTATTTTGCGGGGGTGCTGCTCCCATGATGCAAACACCTCATCTCTCAACACCACCGCACTGGGGATCAAGTTTCCTATACATTAACTTTGGGGTGATACATTCAAACCATAGCATTCTGCCCCTGGTCTTTCAAATGTATGTCCTTTCTCACATGCAAAATATATTCATTACATCCCAGTAGTCCCAAAATGTTAACTTATTCCAACATCAACTCAAAAGTTCAAAATCCAAAGTCTCATCTAATATGAGTGAGAGTCAAGGCATGAGTCATTCGGAGGAAATACCTTTTCAGCTATGAACCTCTGAAATCAAAACAAATTGTCTACTTTCAAAATACAGTGGTGGGACAGGCATAGAGAAGATAGACATTCCCATTCCAAAGGGAAATAGGTAAGAAGAAAACAGTAATGGGCCTCAAGTAAGTCCAAAATCCAACAGGGAAGACATTATATATTAAGATTTCAGAATAATCTTTCACTTAATATGCTGCCTACTGGACACACTAGGATGGAGACTGGACCCCTCAGGCCTTGAACAGCCTCACTCCTATGGATTTGCTGGGCTCAGCCCATGTAGGAGCTCTCATAGGTTGAAGTTTTTTTGGTTGTTTTTGTTTATCTATTTATCGACAGCCTTTTGAAGAAACGTTGAAGTCTTTTGTGCCTGCAGCTCTCCCAAGCTGGTGTTCCATGTTGATAAATCTACAGTACCGAGGTCTCAGGTGTAGCCTTGCTCCCAGGGTTCCACTAGGCATTGCCCTGGTGGGGACTCTCTGGTGGCTTCACTCCTGTGACAAGCCTCTACCTGGCCACCTTGTCTGTGTGCTGCATCCTGTGGGTATACCTGCCCTAGTTAATTGCTCTTGAGCTTCTGCACAGCAAAAGAAACTACCATCAGAGTGAACAGGCAGCCTACAAAATGGGAGAAAATTTTTGCAATCTACCCATCTGACAAAGGGCTTAATGTCCAGAATCTACAAAGAACTCAAACAAATTTACAAGAAAAAAAACAAACAACCCCATCAAAAAGTGGGCAAAGGATATGAACAGACACTTCTTAAAAGGAGACATTTATGCAGCCAACAGATACATGAAAAAATGCTCATCATCACTGGTCATCAGAGAAATGCAAATCAAAACCACAATGAGATACCATCTCACACCAGTTAGAATGGTAATCATTAAAAAGTCAGGAAACAACAGATGCTGGAGAGGATGTGGAGAAATAGGAACACTTTTACACTGTTGGTGGGAGTGTAAACTAGTTCAACCATTGTGGAAGAAGACAGTGTGGCGATTCCTCAGGGATCTAGAACTAGAAATACCATTTGACCCAGTGATCCCATTACTGGTTATATACCCAAAGGATTTTAAATCGTGCTGCTATAAAGACACATGCACATGTGTATTTATTGAGGCACTGTTCATAATAACGAAGACTTGGAACCAATGCAAATGTCCATCAATGATAGACTGGATTAAGAAAATGTGGCACAGATACACCGTGGAATACTATGCAGCCATAAAAAAGGATGAGTTCATGTCCTTTGTAGGGACATGGATGAAGCTGGAAACCATCATTCTGAGCAAGGACAGAAAACCAGTCACCGCATGTTCTCACTCATAGGTGGGAATTGAACAATGAGATCACTTGGACACAGGGAGGGGAACATCACACACCAGGGCCTTTCATGGGGTGGGGGGCTGAGGGAGAGATAGCATTAGGAGAAATACCTAATGTAAATGATGAGTTAATGGGTGCAGCAAACCAACATGGCACATGTATACCTATGCAACAAACCTGCACGTTGTGCACATGTACCCTAGAACTTAAAGTATTATATATATATATGCACACACACACTCAATTAAAACAATAGTAAGACATTTCTTGCTTAGCCGATTGCCACCGATGGAAAGAAAAAAAATCTGTCCTCCTGTAAAATCTAAATGGAGGAAGCCACGCCCCCACAGCTCTTGCATTCTATGTACCTGAAGAATTTGTGCCACATGGTTGCTGCCATGGATTACCACTTACACCCTCCAGAGCAGAAGTCTGAGCCACAACTGGGGCTACTTGAGCCACAGCTGAGTGGCTGAGAAACACTGCAGCAGAATGAGGTGAAGAGAGTCCTGAAGTTACCCTGGGCAGCAAATCAGTGGAGGGATTCTTGGCCCTGTCCCCCAAAACCATTCTTTCCTCTTAGAGCTTTGGCCTGTGATGAGAAGGTCAGCCTCAAACAGCTCTGAAATGCCTTTGAGATCATTCTCCCATTGTCTTGATGAATAGCACCTAGCTTCATTCTATTTATGCTAATTCCTTTTTCAAATATTCCCCTCGCCCCAACACACACACACACACACACACACACACACACACACACCCTTGCATGCTAGTTTTTTCTTTAGATGAGCAGGCTGCAAATTTTACAAATTTCTACATTCTGTTACTCTATGAATCATGAAGTTCATCTTTAACTTGTGAGAGAAAAATAAATCTTGGGGCCCCCAAATCACGAAGCTGAGAACTGTTTAGGGCCAACTTGCGTCCCATTTTATTCAAAGTCACTGAGATAAATGTTTATCTGATTGCCTCCTTTGGAGAGCTAATCAGAAACTCAAAAGAATGCCACCATTTCTCTCTTATGTACCTATGACCTGGAAGTCCCTTCCCCGCTTCTAGTCTTCCTGCCTTTGCTTTGAGCTGTCCCGCCTTTCCAGACCAAACCAATGCTCATCTTGCATATGTTGATTGATGTCGCATGTCTCCCTAGAATGTGTAAAACCAAACTGTGCTCTGACCACCTTGGGCACATGTCATCAGGACCTCCTGAGGCCATGTTATGGGTGCGCATCCTCAATCTTGGCAAGATAAACTTTTTAAATTAACTGAGACCTGTCTCAGATTTTCAGGGTTCACAAAATTATTTCTCTCCTCTCTCATTTTACTGTATGCAGTGAAAATAAGCCATGCAAACCTTTCTGTATTTTGCTTAGAAATTTCTTGGTCCTATATTTGTTGATACTCTCCTCCAGCATATCTGTTTCATTTCCTTAGCTCAGTCTTTCTCATCCCACCTTATCTGCTCCCCACACCCTACTGCACCTTGGTGTTTACAATTTAAATTACAAGCAGTAAATGAGTCCACTTAGCCAAGCACCCAGTACATTTGGTATGTGTTAATGATTATCTAATGGCCTTCCCATGTGTTAAACTCACAGAGTTAATGTTAAAGTTTCATGTCACATAATCTCCTTGAAGGAATTTCCCAAGTTTTTTTTGCTTACCTCATATAAATGAACTTGTTCTTGGGTTACGGCGAAGATCAATAACACATTGTTTTGTACCAGTTTATCAATGAGTTGTCCAATTGTTGGATATTCCTAAAATTAACATATATAATTTTGCATCATCTCAATAAAATAATGTAAAGAAAGGAAAAAAAGAAAAGAAATTTCTTCCATCAGATACCCTAGTTCAGCAGTCCCTAAACTCTTTGGCACCAGGGACTGGTTGTGTGGAAGACAATTTTTCCACAGATGGGGATTGTGGGGGAATGGTTTTGGGATAAAACTGTTCCACCTCAGATATCAGGCATTAGTTAGATTCTCATAAGGAGCGCGCAACCTAGATTAGTCACATGTGCAGTTCACAATAGGTTTCAGGCATTTATAAGAATCTAATGTCACTGCTGATCTGGCAGGAGGCGGAGCACAGGCAGTAAGGCTCACTTGCCCACTGCTCAACTACTGCTGTGCTACCAGGTGCTGAACAGGCCACGGATTGTTACTGGTCTGTGGGCTGGGGGTTGGGTACACCTGCCCTTGTTTGTTGCTCTTAAATTCTGTCTTCCATAAAGTCCTAGTGCATACACACAATTCAACGAAGTTTTTTGCCAATTTTTAAGAAGGATGAGCTTTCCTCCAGTTTCCAGTAAGACAGTCCTCATTTTTGTGTGAAACTTCATCAAAATGACCTTTACTTTCCATATTTCCTTTTTTTAATTTTATTATTATTATACTTTAAGTTTTAGGGTACATGTGCACAATGTGCAGGTTAGTTACATATGTATACATGTGCCATGCTGGTGTGCTGCACCCATTAACTCGTCATTTAGCATTAGGTATATCTCCTAAAGCTATCCCTCCTCCCACCCCCTACCCCACAACAGTCCCCAGAGTGTGATGTTCCCCTTCCTGTGTCCATGTGTTCTCATTGTTCAATTCCCGCCTATGAGTGAGAATATGCGGTGTTTGGTTTTGTGTTCTTGTGATAGTTTACTGAGAATGATGGTTTCCAATTTCATCCATGTCCCTACAAAGGACATGAACTCATCATTTTTTATGGCTGCATAGTATTCCATGGTGTATATGTGCCACATTTTCTTAATCCAGTCTATCATTGTTGGACATTTGGGTTGGTTCCAAGTCTTTGCTATTGTGAATAATGCCGCAATAAACATACGTGTGCATGTGTCTTTATAGCAGCATGATTTATAGTCCTTTGGGTATATACCCAGTAATGGGATGGCTGGGTCAAATGGTGTTTCTAGTTCTAGATCCCTGAGGAATCGCCACACTGACTTCCACAATGGTTGAACTAGTTTGCAGTCCCACCAACAGTGTAAAAGTGTTCCTATTTCTCCACATCCTCTCCAGCACCTGTTGTTTCCTGACTTTTTAATGATTACCATTCTAACTGGTGTGAGATGGTATCTCATTGTGGTTTTGATTTGCGTTTCTCTGATGGCCAGTGATGGTGAGCATTTTTTCATGTGTCTTTTGGCTGCATAAATGTCTTCTTTTGAGAAGTGTCTGTTCATGTCCTTCGCCCACTTTTTGATGGGGTTGTTTGTTTTTTTCTCATAAATTTGTTTGAGTTCATTGTAGATGCTGGATATTAGCCCTTTGTCAGATGAGTAGGTTGCAAATATTTTCTCCCATTTTGTAGGTTGCCTGTTCACTCTGATGGTAGTTTCTTTTGCTGTGCAGAAGCTCTTTAGTTTAATTAGATCCCATTTGTCAATTTTGGCTTTTGTTGCCATTGCTTTTGGTGTTTTAAACATGAAGTCCTTGCCCATGCCTATGTCCTGAATGGTAATGCCTAGGTTTTCTTCTAGGGTTTTTATGGTTTTAGGTCAAACGTTTAAGTCTTTAATCCATCTTGAATTAATTTTTGTATAAGGTGTAAGGAAGGGATCTAGTTTCAGCTTTCTACATATGGCTAGCCAGTTTTCCCAGCACCATTTATTAAATAGGGAATCCTTTCCCCATTTCTTGTTTTTCTCAGGCTTGTCAAAGATCAGATAGTTGTAGATATGTGGCGTTATTTCTGAGGGCTGTGTTCTGTTCCATTGGTCTATATCTCTGTTTTGGTACCAGTACCATCCTGTTTTGGTTACTGTAGCCTTGTAGTATAGTTTGAAGTCAGGTAGTGTGATGCCTCCAGCTTTGTTCTTTTGCCTTAGGATTGACTTGGCGATGCGGGCTCTTTTTTGGTTCCATATGAACTTTAAAGTAGTTTTTTCCAATTCTGTGAAGAAAGTCATTGGTAGCTTGATGGGGATGGCATTGAATCTATAAATTACCTTGGGCAGTATGGCCATTTTCACGATATTGATTCTTCCTACCCATGAGCATGGAATGTTCTTCCATTTGTTTGTATACTTTCCATATTTCTATTGACATTCTCTAAGAAATAATCTCTAAGAAGTTCTATCGTCCTCCTACAGTTCTTCTCTTCTGGCTTTTCACCAGAATTTCTCTTAAAGTTCTACTCATGGCAATCCAGGCTTTCTCTTGTCTGCTCCTCCAAATACTTTTGGCCTCATCCCATTACTCAGTGCTGAAGCCCCTTTGGCATTTATAGATATTTGTTAAAGCAACACCCTACTTCTCTAGTACCAATGTTCTGTCTTAGCCCATTTTATGTTGCTATAACAGAATACCTGAAGCTGGGTAATTTATTATAATAAAATATTTTCTCACATTCCTGGAGGCTGGGAATTCCAAGATCAAGTCCCTAGCAACTGGAGAGTCTTCTTGCTGCTTCATTCCATTGTGGAAACCAAGAAAGCAAGAGAGAGACAAAGAAAGAAAAGAAGGCTGAAGTCGTACTTGTAAAATGAACCCGCTCTCATGATAATCCATTTTTGAGAGTGGTGCCTCCTTGACGCAGACACCTCACATTGGGTCCCACCTCTCAACATTGCCACACTGAGGATCAAGTTTCCAACACATTGGGGCATATGTCCAAACCAGATAGGTGGTCTGCAAACTACAAGAAACTTTGTTTTAGGGACCATAAATAAGCCAATATTTAATGCAAAGTTATCTTTATACACTGTCTCAGCAACATAGCCTTTTAATTCATGCTTGTAACAGAAGTGTGAATTATAAAATAATTAAAGCCTTCTGAAGTAGTCTTTGGATCTGGAGTGTGGGAGAGTGTGTATGTGTCCATGTATTTAATAAACATGGTAACAGTCTCCAGAGTTAGAGTATGTGAATATTAATCTCAATTTGGAGTGTTTTTCTAAATGTGAGACTTTAGCCTATTTCTCAATCTTGAGAATTGGTGCCTTTTCTATAAAGCTAGTGATTATAGAATAATCCATAAAATAGCTTAGAGAATTAAATTATACAGTGTATTTAAATATTTCTGTTATTGGATCTTGGTAAGTGAGTGCTTAGAGAATGAATAATCTATCAATGTTAGATTTTGGAAAGTGGATAAGCAATGTTATGTTTTGCATACAGGCTTAAAATAGTAAAAGGTAGTACTATTAGCAGAAATGTCACTTGTTAATATCACTTATGAAATGATTACAGTGTTTTTCTATAAATGCCAATTATTAAAAATTATATACTTACATATTAACCTTATGTATGCTTTAGGCTCTTTACCTCCCCACATAAAAAGGTTCCTGAAAAAAGTAAATTTTAGCTATGCTGTCATTAGATTTATGGAGTTGTCAAATATTAGGATATTTAATCTATTAAGAAGCCTAAATCATTTCTGAATCCAAATCCTTATTTTATAAATGAGGAAAGCTAAGTTATCACTAAACATATTTTAGCCATAAAAATAGCCATGATGTAATTTTAGACTTCTGAATTTCTACCACAGTGACAGAATGTATCTTTAATGACTAGCCATTCAATATATTCACAAGGCAGAAATTTATGTGTAATATGTTGCCCTCAGAGACATTTGATAGATTTGTTTTCTTCTCCACCAACACTTGGTTGTTAATAATTTTAGGGTTGGTGAGCCACTAATTAACCACCATTAGATTAATAAAACAGACATAATAAGTTTGGGATGAGCCAATTTTGTTCCTTGTATGTATGCATGTGTGTGTCTGTGCCCATACAATAAATACACACTCATAGTAAGGAGCAAATCTACTCACACTAATCCCAGGGTCATACATTTATAAATTAGAAGAAGAGGTTTGCAACACATACAAACAATCAAACTTGAGATTCCCAAATGTACATAGAAATTCTATAAACCATTAAGAAAAAGAGAACGTTTCTTGAAGCACTATAAATAGTAGTTAAGATAGGGAATCAACTTAAGTGTCCAACAACAGATGAGTGGATAAAGAAAATGGGGTCTATATACACAATGGAATATACTGAGCCATAAATAATAATAAAATTCTGTCATTTTGCAACAACATGAATGAACCTGGAAGACATTGTGTTAAGTGAAATAAGCCAAAAATAGAAAGAAAAATACCACATGCTGTCACTCATTCGTGGAATCTAAAACACTTGAACTCATAGAAGCAGTGAATAAAACAGTGCTTTCTTATTAAAACATACAGTTCCCATCTCAGTTTAACTGAGGAGAGAGTTAAAAGACATACATATGATTTTCTGTCCTAACATATCAAAATATAAAGTCAAAAAGGATAGAAAAAGTTAGAAGAAAAAAGAGAATTAAAGTTGAGAAGATAAAAAAGTGAATATAACAGAGCCCACTCCATTGCCTGGCTCATTGGAGGTGCTTAGTAAATGATAAATAGTTTAAAATGGAAATATGTTTCACTTGATTTTTAAAAGTCATATTCAAATTATTTATCATTTTCATTTTGTTTAAATTTAATTTAAAGTTAAATTCTAATTATCTTAAATTTACTCTAAAATTTTAATTTTAATTTTTCACTTATATTTTTAACTTTTTTATTATAATTTACTTTTTCAAAAAGATTATTGCTTTCCAAATGCTGTTACAGCCTGATATGGTTTGGCAGTGTCCCCACCCAAAATCGCATCTTGAATTGTCATCTCCGTAATCCCCATAATCCCCCCATGTCAAGGGATAGACCAGGTGGAGGTAATCAAATCATGCTCGTGGTTTTCCCCATGCTATTCTCATGATAGTAAGTTCTCCTCAGATCTGATGGTTTTATAAGTGTGTGGTAGTTTCTCCTGTGTCATTCTCCTTCCTGCCACCTTGTGAAGGAGGTCCCTTGCTTCGCCTTCGCCTTCTGCTATAATTGTAAGTTTCCTGAGGCTTTCCCAGCCATTGAGGTCCCCATTTCCCTGTCATCTGTTAGCCAGGAACGGGTCTCTACTCCTAAAGAACACTCTCTTTCCTTCTCATGCTTTCTGTGTGGCTCCCAGTCATGCTGAAATGAGAGTTAGTTAAATCTTTTTCCTTTATAAGTTGAATCTTTTTTCTTTATAAATTACCCAGTCTCGGGCAGTTCTTTATAGGAGTGTGAAAATATACAGCCCTTATTAAAATGATGTATATAAACAAAAATTTAAAATTAAGAGTCAAATATATAAATTGAATATTTTTCACAGAAATATAGCTAATTATTCAATGGACTATTAAAGAGATAAATAATTGTCTTAAAAACGAGTGATTAGTTTAATAATATGAAGCTATGCATTGACATTTTAAGTTAGTAATTTTACTTAATAGTAAACAAGCCCTACCTAGCTTATTTTTATTGCAACACACATGTGAAGAATGGGTACTGAATTTTTTCAGCTGAAGATGATATAACTAAATGATAAAATGAAAAAAAGAATTTCTATTCTTATAATTCACTGACATGTAAAATAGAGTCAGGTCATGCATCACCAGTTCCAAGAACTTTAAAAAAAAACGTTGGGACTATGTAACATTCAGTTTTGAAGTTAACGGTTTCTATATCATGCCATTCATTTGAATAATTTGCTAATGAAAAATAAAAAAAGAAAAAATATGACCATCTCTCTTCCTACAGTTCTCCCTCTTCACTTCTGCTCCGCCTGTGTATTTAAGAGTTTTCTTTCACAGTATAATCTTAGTCTCTTGTTCTGGATCAGCTTAGATTCAGAAAAAATACACACACACACACGCACACACACGCATTTAATCAAAGTTCTCTCATTACTTCTAACAAAGCTTATAAAATTCCCAAGACTTTGGAATAACTCATTGCCTACTACTTATCCATCAGATATTGTCCATCTCATCCAACCTTAACCATTGGACAATCAAGGTCAATTGGAAGTATCTTTCTTTTTGTGTCTTATCTGATAGTGGATGACACAACCCCACATTTAATTTGGAAATGAGACATAAGAGATATAAAATTTGAGTTATGCAAGTGAATAAGTTAAAGAGATCTGCGGTACAACAAGACTAGAGTGACCAAAACAGCATGGTATGGGTACCAAAACAGATATATAGACCAATACAGAACAGAGGCCTCAGAAACACCACCACACATCTACAGGCATCTGATCTTTAACAAACCTGACAAAAACAAGCAATGGGGAAAGGATTCCCTATTTAATAAATGTTGTTGGGAAAACTGGCTAGCCATATGCAGAAACTGAAACTGGACCCCTTACTTACACCTTATACAAAAATTAACTCAAGGTGGATTAAAGATTTATATATAAGACCTGAAACCATAAAAACCCTAGAAGAAAACCTAGGTAATGTCATTCCGGACATAGACCTGGGCAAAGACTTCACAACTCAAACACCAAAGGCAATTGCAACAAAAACCAAAATTGACAAATTGGTCTAATTAAACTAAAGAGCTTCTGCACAGCAAAAGAAACTATCATCAGAGTGAACAGGCAACCTACAGAATGGGAGAACATTTTTGCAATCTATCCACCTGACAAAGGGCTAATATCCAAAATCTACAAGGAACTTAAACAAATTTACAAGAAAGAAACAAACAACTCCATCAAAAAGTGGGCGAAGGAAATGAACAGACACTTTTCATAAGAAGACATTTATGTGGCCAACAAACGTATGAAAAAAAGCTCATTACCACTGATCATTAGAGAAATGCAAATCAAAACCACAATGAGATACCATCTCACACCAGTTAGAATGACAATCATTAAAAAGTCAGGAAACAAAAGATGCTGGAGAGGATGTGGAGAAATAGGAACACTGTTGGTGGGAGTGTAAAGTAATTGAGAAGTTTTAAGAGTAGACTTGTCTTTTTATAATGTCCTGGTCCATCTACTCAAACTGCATATTCTATTAATGCTTTCTTTATATTGTCATTATGCTCAGGGTTATGAAAAATGTTTTCTAGTGGGCCCAGAACCATATTTTCATGGCTTTTCAATAGATGAGAAAATAATTCCTTTATCTAATGTATCTAGAAGAAGATCCTATTTAGGCCACTTATTGACCATGATTAAGTAATGTCTCCATCTATAAACACAGATATAAAAATTATGATAAAACCTTGTTCTAGCACAGCTTTGATTAACCTCATGCCTTGTTTAGAGGAAGTTAATGGCCACAGTGTTCATGGACAATACTCTGAATATTACCTGTCATTTCAAATTTTGAACATTATTAATATTTAAGTCTTGGTTACACTCACAAAAAATATAGTCTATAAAAATAAGAATATTATACATAAACACATAAAAGGAGCTTATTTAAATGTTTTTGTAGCAGCAAAATGTTAAATAACCTGAATTTTTATAATCATAGGAGTATTTCAATAAACTACACTTACATACACACATGCAAGTATATAGAGAAGGAGATTTTGTGTGTATAGGAAAGGACTATAAAGGCATACATTAAACTGATAGCTTTCTTTATCTCAGAGAGGAGAATTGGATTCAGTGAGGGGAAGGTTATTATATTTTCCTTCATGCATTTCTAGGTTGCTTACTTATTCTAATGCACCTGTATTCCCATACAGTAGGAGAAAGAAAAAATAGCATATGTATTTATATACATGGAAAAAAATGAAGAAAGTAATGTTCCTTCAGTGTTTTACCAGATAGAGAAAACAGACAAGAGTTGACATTAAGGAAAAATATTAATACAGTGTTTCAACAAGAATATATACATATATGAATTGGTATTATATTGTATATATGGAATGGGACTGTTAGTCTTCATTTTATATAGTTAATATCTTCCTATTTATGTATTACTGAACATGTCATAGAATATAATGGGATAATATATTTTCTTACATCAATAAACTGAATTCAGGCAACTTTCTTCTAAATTTATATTTCTAGGCATAGATATCCCTTATTACAGAGACTTGGGGATTTATATCATTCTATAAACTGGTCACATTTTTTTTCTTCAAGAATTAGGAGTACACTAATTGAGTAATATTGAATTATTATCAGATGGGTTAACTTTATACAACAAAAATCCAAAACTTTTGTAAATTGCTTAAATATATAATTTCTTCATGCATGAAATTTCAAAAACAATCAGATATTGTAGACAGCACATTTCACAAATATATGTTCATGCCCTTATCCTTCAAACATGTGAGTGTGTTATTTTACATGGCACATTGGACTTCGGTAGCGTAACTAACACTGTGGACTAAAATAGGGAGACTATCTTAGATTATGTAGAATGAGCTCAAATTAAGCACATGATCCCTTAAAAGTAGAAAACCTTCTCTGGTTGAATTTAGAGAGAGACAGTGGAAGAATTTAGAGAGAATTGAAGTAACAGATAACTGATCTGGTGTTGCTGAAGGGAGCCACATGGAGAGCATGAGAAGGAAAGAGTGTTCTTTAGGAGAAGACACATGTTCCTGGCTAACAGATGACAAGGAAAGGGAGACCTCAATTCTACAACTGCAGGGAACTGAATTTGGCCAACAACTTGAATGGGTTTGCACCTTCCCCAAATCCGCTAGATGAGAATTGAGCCCAGCCAACACCTTGATTGAGAAGAAGTGACAGCTGAGTCACTCTGTGCCTGGGCTTCTGACCCACGGAAGTGTGAGATAATAAATGGGTGTTGTTCCAAGGTACTGTGTTTATTGTAATTAGTTACAACTGAAATTAAAAATTAATACATCTGATGAAATCATCCAGTTATATGGAGATAATTAATTTGTCTTAGAAAATTTACCATGAATTTACATTGCTAAAATTAACTGTAATTGTTACTTGGTTAGTATTTTCTAAATTGAAAATTATTTAGGCTAAAATCATTTGCATCATAGTATTTACGGCCTTGTAAAACTGTGTATCTATGTATTAGAAAATACTCAAGTGACATTCATGAGGAAAATGTTGTCCATGTTCACAGACATTTTCTTAGCCCGCTTCCAAACTGAGAAGTGGTGGATCTCAAGATACCTATGGTTCTTCCCTATGAGAAGGAATACCTCACTAAAGAAAAGAGTAAAATCAGTATCACCTCAGATATTCCAATGTTTTATTTCCTCCCAATTCAATGTATTAACAATCATTGATGGAGTATATCTGAAGTAAGAAGTACGTTTATAACCCTTTATCTACATAGCTTAAAATTAGGCAGCTAATTAGAAAGCTGCAAAGGTAAAATTGGTATTTTAGTCACTTACAAAAAATCATTTCCCAACAAGGGATACTTTTCTATTGCCATTTACTTCATCATAAGGTATTCATAAAGATTTATGCAATAAATGTTCTTGGATGTCAGTAGCAGGGAGTACTTAGTTTGTTTTTCCTGTCAACCCTGTAAATCACATAACACATAGTGTGTCCTTATTTGCTTTTGCTGTAATAATGCTCAAAACAGTATTATATTTTAGCTATATCATTTGAATAAGATAATCCTGCATGCATTGTATGTAGTAAGGTTATCCTGAATTGACGTTAGTTTGTTATGTAGCCTTACATTTTTTAAATCTGACTTTATTATTTATTATTTTACTGTTTGTCCATATTTAGGAAAGTGTTTAGAAATAAACTGCCCTCTAACTCCTGGATACATCTTTGAGTATCATAGCATTCATGCAATAAGGGAATGTTTTTTCCCATTTCTCATTAATAAGGTTTGGCTAAATACATTTTATCACCGAGTATATATGATTTATTTTCTTATTTCAGTGATCTCTTATAACAACAGGTTGAAAACTGGAGAAAACTCTTCAATGTTGAATGAAATCCTAAGATAAACCTAAACCTCATGGGACTTCATATAAAGATTTCATAACCCATCATCTGATTAATCAGCTAATATGGTCTGAAATAGGTCTGATTAATTAGCTTAATATGAAATCGTGTGAAGTTTAGGTTTCTCTTAGAGTTTCATTCTTGATTCCTCGTGTCTTACCTTTTTAGTCATAGCTTGAAAGTTCAATCCAAATGTAGAGTTAAATCAATCTTTTAGGTATCCATTGCAAAGCTGTGATAATTGATTTCTAATAATATGTTAAATCTCAAAACCTTCTTAAATAGAGACTCAGCATCACAATGACATAAGATGTAATAGCACTGTATTTGTTAATGCTCTCAGACACAAAATACAAATATATAGCACACTATGTCTATGAAGGTAGGGAAGTTAATCAATTACAGCTCAATATAAATTCTAAGGCATGGAAAATAATTATCTCCAAACTTAGGGAACAGTCAACGACAAAAATTTTCTTAAAGAGAAAAGCCAATACTGCAACAATATTACTCAGTTTTATCAAAATAGTTCTGTTTTAACTTATGTTCACCAATGTGAATCTGACAAACATTGCAAAACAAAGAATAATACATGAAGAAAAACTTCAAAGAGCAGTGAAAAAGGAAAAAAAGTCTCCTAACCTTTTTTGTAGACCTAAGGTTTTGTGCCTTGAGCCATACCTTTCAATTATTAAATAGAGGCATCGTATTCAGGATCAAAAATATCAGATTATGAGACGTTTTTTACTTAAGAAATGGTAGTGCAAAAAAAATATGTTGTAGTAGTACCAGAAGTCAAAGAGATATGCTTTGAAATATCTATTTATGAAAAGTAAAAGCAGGGCCTCTTAAAGTCTACAGGTAGAATAGTATAGCTCAGTTGCACCTTTCCATTAAGTTGAATACCATGGAAAAATCAAACTCAATATCACACAAAATATTTTCATTGATAGAAGAATTAAGTTTTTCCTATCCTCTCTGTATGCTGCATAATTTATAATTGTACCTTTATGTCTGTGGTCAATATATCTGCTGGAAGGATTGGTTGGTCTAATATTCCATAGAGGAGTTACACAGTTTTGTGAAAAATCCATGCCACTGGCATTCAGGTCAAGTTGGAGTAAGGAGTTCATGCTTTGATCACCCTCTCTGTTCTAAACACATAATAATGATTGATAAAATATTAAAAAGGAAAATCCAAAAGGCATTGCTGGGCTCAAATACAAGATAAAAATCTCTGCGTACCAGAAATAGAATAAAAACAGAGTAATGAGCCAGACTGAAGCTGCAGGCTTACTGAGCACTAGGCCCAAAAGAAGGCAGTGTTGGCCAGGAGTTCAGCTCCTGCAGGGTAAATGCTGCTAAATTGCTTCATGTAAAATAAACAATTCTGAACTGTACTAACAAAATGAAGCCAGGCAATGCTAACTGGACACCCCTACTCCATAAGCTTTTGAATGGAGACAAAAAATTAAGTAACATTAAATATATGATATCAATCACTTCCTGTATCTATAAATTCTGGGGAGCTTCAAATATGAGGAGGTGAGTGGATAAACAAAGCCTCCAAAAGGGAGTTGAGCCAAATTACTAACTACCTCTATGTCTGAATTTGTAATATTCCTATTATAGTCAAAGGATAGAAAATCTAAACTTCATTGAAGAGTTGGTTTTTTATTGTGGTCCCGTAAAGATGAGCAGAGGCAACTGAAGTATGGTTAGAAAGAAGTGATCTCAGGATGGTGGGGAGAAAGAACCAATCTCCAAACTCCAAAAATTGTTAAGTACTGACTCATGATAAAACATTTTAAAATAGTCTAGTGCAAAGATAGCCAACAACATCATAAACTGTATTTATAATAAAAACTTTACAGTATAATTTTATAAGATTCTTACAGATGCTTTTTTATAAAAATATTCAAAAAGAAATATAGGTACATTAATTCCTTTTTTTAAAAAAAGTAATTTTTAAAGAAAAACATGAAAAAAGAAAAGGTATATATGAAACAAGAAATCTTTAAAAGGAAGAAGTTATTAAAAATACAATATGTGAGAAAAATTCTAAAGTTAACACAGTTGAAAATAGAACAGTGAATAAGAATTTATCATTGAAGAGCTTATACAGAATGCAACAAAGAGGAAAAACAAGCAACTTAAAAACAAATATGAACAAATAGTTAAGAAACCTGGGGGTAGATTGTGAGACTCCGTTTTAGAATTATGGTTGTCCCAGAAGAAAAGAAAACAAGTAATAGCAGAAGCTTGGCTTCCTAGCCTCGAGAGGTTCTAAAATCTGAGATTTCCTATATGATCAATGAGGAGAGAAAAAGTTATGCTTCTAAGGAGAACAAAAGTATACCTGTTATTAGATTGTAACCCCATGCATAATTTAGAAGTTCTTTTTATATGCTGGTAGATTGAACTAGATCCTGAATTCTCCTAATTTTCTTCAATGTTTGGCTACAACTAAATCCCGATGATGTTTCCTGGCCCTCTTCTTCCAATCCAGGGTAGGGATGCTCCAGGGACATTCAAGGGATTTCTCCCTCCTAAATCTAACCGACTATGGAAATTAAATATTAAAACTGGGGATAAACTAGACCCATGAGATATTATGGTCAGAAGTTAGATCTATTGCTCAGGGACTTCCTTCTTGTTTCCAAGTAGTTGATACTGTCTCTTCCTTTGTAAAAACCACAGAGAAGCTAGGCACGAGGTCACCTTTCACTGTGTTCCATACTCTGTTTAGGCTCTCCTCAATTCACATCACAAGCCACCTAGCAAACTATGAGGTTACCTGCCGAAACACTGTTAAAATGGCCCAAGGGGAAAAGCAAAATTTTCAGGGCCCCTCTCCCATCAGTGTCCACTGGGTATACCAACTATATAAAATTTGTCCAAAATACAGTACTGAAAAAAACATTACATTCCTCCAAGGGCCGCTTCCCATTACTGAATGGTCCCTTTGAAGTATGGCAGCAAGATTTTATTTGGCTCCCCACCTCTCAGGAAAACCAGAATATGCTAGTTATGGTTTACATAAAGCTTGTCCAGCTAGTGGTGCGTGGCCACATGCAGCCCAGGAAAGCTTTTAATACTGCCCAACACAAATTTGTAAACTTTCTTAAAACATGAGATTTATGCACAGACCTTTGTTATTGTTGTTGCTGTTGTCGTTAAGCTCATCAGCTATCATTAGTGTATGTTATGTGTGGCCTAAGACAATTATTCTTCCAATGTGGCCCAGGGAAGTTACATGTTTTCAAGTTGGGTTAAAGCCTTTCCCTGTTGACAGGCCATAGGCAAGGCAGTAGCTAAGGCCCTATTGGAAAAATTATACCAATCTGGGGAGTCTCTCCAGAGCCTCACAGTGACTGAGGAACTGATTTGACAGGTAGAATTATTTAAAATATTTGTCAGATTTAGCCTATTTATCAACATCTCCATTATGCTTACTACTCCCAGTCATCTGGGCAGGTGAAGCAAACCAATGGGATAATAAAAGTCCAGTTGGCAAATATCTGTGCAGTGTTTAGCCTGGAATGGCCCGAGATCCTTTCATTAGTCCTCCTTAACCCTGGCACGCATTCAACGCTCCCTTCCCAGAGTTTTGAATTCATGCAGATAGTCGAGGTAGCAAACAAACCTATGAGGATTTCTAAATCTGTACTGATCCCCTTCTAACTAGGACCTCTGACTGACAATCATTGTTTCTTCTTTCACCAGAACCCCTGACTGACAATCATTGTGTCTTCTTTTACCATCAGTCTTCATACAGCTCTGGGGAAGGGACTTCTTAGAAACATGCCAGGTCCATGTTTCCTGCTTCCAAAATGGGAGATAATGCTTAAGTTATCCTCACCAGGAGATTTTTCCACAGAAGCATCTTTTATCCAAATTTCTATCTATTCCGTTAAGCTTACGAGGACTACCCTCCCTCCTCTCCAAGAGTTACTTGAGAGTCTTGGGGCACAATCCAACACTGATGATAACCCTTAGATTATAACTGGGGAAACTTTCAACAATGCAATTTGCCTGAAGGGACTAACTCTAGTGAGGAGCTAGATTAGGAAGGTTTCTGAGGTCCTGGTTTTGACTAGGTTCTGCTTGGAATAAATATATGGTCAGAAATCTTTGCTTCACTGTTGACAGAATTGCTCACTTTACTGCCTGAGCCACCAAGGAACAACAGAGGTCCCTAGACTCCCTTGTTCATGTGTCCTAGACAACTACATTGTTTTGGGCTATCACCTCACCACACAGGGTGGTGTTCGTGCTATTGTTAACTTTGCTACTGCACCTGCATAAATAGTTTTAGTCAGGTTGAATTGGGAACATCTAAGATCTCAAAACCAGCCAAATCTCTAGAAGCAACACCTTCAGAAAGCCTCCTGGCTGAACTCACTGGGTTAAATTTTCAATGACAAGATATTTTCAGCTGATTTCCCCTGGAAGAGGATTTTCTTGTCCTGTGGTCTGCCATACAGGTCTCAGTGATCCTTTTCATATTTGGCCTAAGAAGGTCTTAATGATGCTCCTCACATTTGGGCTAGGCTCCTCATTAAAATTGTTTTAGCCTGTTTTAAGAGATGTCTGCAGGAGACCCCCACCAGAATTGTGCTGACCTAATCCTTGAGACTTTAAACTCACCTCAACTGGAAACTGGAACTAACTTAACTCAAGGGACTTTGATTCAAATCTAATAGGCACCTGAGTGCCTCTCGTAAGTATAATAAATGGCTTTAGTTGCTCAGTTGGCCACTGACCTGCTACTAGGATCCATGTGTGGGACTAGACGGACTTAAAGCAGGTTGCTTGTGCCCAGAGCAAGTTACTGAAAGAACAAGTTACAGCCATAATGAAATGTAGTGATGTCTGGGGACAGGTTTGAACCAATTCTTCGAGATAGGTTCTGAGTGGCTAACTGGGCCTAAATTTAAAATAGAGCAAAGCAGCCATTAGCTAACTGGAGGTACCACACATGCTCTGAGTTCCCGAAAGCCCACACCTTTTATCTTTGGGACTTTCAGGACTCACCTAAAGGAGTCAATTAAAGCTTATCTGCATCAGCCAGACAGGGTACTGCTGCATGGACCAATCAGAACTACTGATTTTCAACTTTCAGTCCTTCATTTGCTTAAGCAGACTTGATTAGGAATGTGGGTGGAAACTTTGGCTAGAAAACCCAAGTGTTCCCTTTGTTCTCTTGAAAAAATAATGTTTAAGTTGTCAACTCCTTATGACTTTCCCTAGAAACCAGTCAAAACAACTCTATCTGAAACATAACCCTGATATCAGGGAACAACTACAGCAAAGTGCTAAACAATTTTATTCCTCTAAGCGAACCAAAAGGAAATAGCCCCAAATCAACAGGAAGTAGCTAGAGTAATTATTGCCCATCTTTCCTCAAGACTGAGGAATGGATATAAAACAGGGGGGTTTGTAGCTGCACCAGACTAATTTGGTTTATGTAATATGTTTGTAAGTTGTTTTTCAGTTGTCATGGATGCTCAGGTCACATAACCTGAGCCCACCCAGATAAAGTATGCAACCACATGGGGAACCTAAGTGCTCGGAATGAGGTGTAGGAGCTGAATTAAGAAGTAGACATCACATGGCAGGATGCAGGATCCAATCAGATTATACTCTGCCATCAGCCCCTGCAGGATTCAGTTATATCATGCCTCTCGACATCATCTCATTGAAAGATCTAATCAGATCACAACCCCATTATTCTATGCTTATAAAACCCAACCTAGTCCCCATCTTGGGGAGACAGATTTGAGCATTTTTTTTTCTGTCTTCTTGCCAGTCAACTTGCAATAAACTATTCTCACTGTAAAAATCCAGTGTTTTGGCATCTGGCTTTTTGTTATGCACAGGCAAATAAACCCAGTTTGGCTCAGTAACAAAAGTCTAACATGAGCTTGCCAGAGAAGGAGAGATACAGAAAGGAGCAGAATCAATATTGGAATATCTCAATCAAAGATTTAGTAATTCTGACAAGCTCTTAAAATGATAAATGAAAATAAATATCAATACCAAAACATATCAGAAGTAAACTAGAGAAAAGCCAGAATAAGAAGAAAATCCAAAATGGAGCCAGCAAGGGAAAAAAAGGCAAATTGCCATTAAAGGAGCGGCAATGATACAACAGAGGACTTCTCTGTTCAAGATGCGAGGAAAAGACAACACAAAGATATCTTCACTCTAATTGCTTTGTAGAACTCTAAATTCAGCAAAACATTTTTTAAGAATTTTTTAAAATTTCAGGAATTAAGGCAAAATTCAGACAAACAAAAATGAAGTTTCCCACTAAAAGATATAGATTAAAGAATATCTAAGGAATGTACTTTAGTCAGGAAGGTAAATTTCCTAATTAATTCTGTAATATAAAAATAGAGGAAATTAAGGAATTAATAGAAACAAAGATACCTCTGTAGTGATACTTTAAAAAAATCATATAAATAAAATGGTTTGTGAAGTTTCAAATATATACATAAATATATTTTATATGTGTTTGTATCTATACACATATAATAAGAACAATATTATATAAGCTCAGAGGTTAAAAACTGAATTGAAGTATTCTAGGCTCTTTTCTTATCTGTTGAGAGGACCAGATGTTTACTATCTTTAATTTAAGGATGCAGGTTGTACTTTGGAAGGTAAGCATTACAAAAATAGTAACAATACCAAAGTATGTATGTTCTGAAATGTATATGTTCTAAACCATTGCAAAAATAGTAATAATAAACTGTATATATTTTCAAGACACACATGGATTGACAAAAAATAGAAAATCTAAAAATAAGAAATTAGGGGAAAATAAATATAGAGTGGAAAGCACATAATCAAATGTCAGATTTGAACCCAAGTATATTACTATTAAAGTAAATTTATTTAGAACCACTTCAGTCCACTATTTTCTGTCTAAAAAAAAAACAAATTTAAAGTGTAAGCACACATAAAGAGTAAAAATTAAGAAATGGAGCAAAATCTAACATACAAAAACTATCCAAAATAAATTTTGTATAATTACCCTAACATTAGAAAACCAGATTTGAAGAAAGAAGGATTTCTACATACAGACAGGCTATTGACAATGATATTTGTTTTTTAATTTTTCGGGAAGATATAAGAAGTCTAAATTTTTATAAATGTAATTCCATAGCAGTACTGTCCAACATAATTTTCTGGAAAGATAGAAATGTTCTATATCTGCACTGTCTGATATAAAAGCCACTTTCCAATATGTAGATATTGAGCATTTGAAATCTGATTATTGTGAGTGAGACCTGAATTTTAATTTTAGTAGACACATGTGGCAAGTGGTTACTATAATGGACAGAATAGTCATATCGCATTTAAATACATAAAGCAAAAATCCAGAGAAGTCAAAAAAGAAATAAGAAAATCAAGAATTATAACTAAAGGTTTTAACACACCTCTGTCAGTAACCGAGTAGTAAGGGAAAAGAAAAACCCACTAAGTGTTAAGATTTGAACACCACAAATTATAAATTTGTTCTAGTTGATATGTAGAGAGTACTACATCTTCAAATTAGAGAACATGCATAATTTTCAAGTGCAATTTTTATGAAAATTGATCATATGCTGGAACGTTAGCAAATATAAATTAAGTCATGCAGAATATGTATAAGAAAACTGCAGACCTATGGATTTAAGAAAGCAATCAGATAATTAGAAAAAGATCATATTTTAGAAATTAAATAATGCATTTGTTTGGGAGGCCAAGGTAGGTGGATCACCTGAGGTCAAGAGATTAAGACCATCCTGGCAAACATGGTGAAACACTGTCTCTACTAAAAATACAAAAATTAGCTGGATGTAGTGGTGTGTGCCTGTAGTCCCAGCTACTTGGGAGGCTGAGGCAGGAGAATCTGCTTGTACCTGGGAGGCGGAGGTTGCAGTGAGCTGAGATCACTCACTGCACTCCAGCCTGGGCAACAGAGCGAGACTCCATCTCAAAAAAAGAAAAAATAGTAATAATAATAGTAATACTTCTGTAAATAACACACATGTCCAAGATAACAACAATGCAAATCAGAAAGTATTTTAAACAGAAATACAGTATAGTAGTCCACCTTGTCTGAGTTTTCACTTTCTGCGATTTCAGTTACCTGCAGTCAACCATGGTTCAAAAATATTACTACATTGAAAGTTTTAGACATAAACAATTTACAGGTTTTCAATTGTGCACCATTCTGAGTAGCATAATGAAATTTTGCACCATCTGGCTTCACCCTGCCGTGATTGTAAATCATCCCTTTGTTTAGCTTGTCTACACTGTCAAAGCTACCCACCCGTTAGTCATCCACATCATCTGCTCTAAACGTCCAGCCATCAGCATGGTCATGGCTAGATAATCCAGGATCACCCAAATTAGATAATCCTCCTTCTGGCATATGGGCAGAAGGTCAATAGTAGCCTAATGCTATGTCAAAATGAGTATGTTGTTCACCTCACTTCATCTCGTCACAAGAACACTTCATCATCTCACAGCATCATAATAAGAAGATACTCTGCAATAAGATATTTTGAGAGAGAGAGAAAGCAAATTCACGTAACTTTTATTACAGTATATTATTATTGTTGTTCTATTTTATGATTATTGTTGTTAATCTCTTACTGTGCCTAATTGATAAATTAAACTTCATCATCGGTATGTATGTAGGAAAAGACATAGTCTATGTAGGATTTGGTACCATCCATGGTTTCAGCCATCAGCAGGGTCTCTTGGAATGTATCTCCCATGGATAAGGAGGGGCTACTGTATAATCAAACTGAAACATGTCAAAATAAATATGTTGCAGTTGAATCTTGCCTCCAGGAAAATTTTTAGTCTTAAATGCACATTCAAGGAAAGAAGAAGGGCTGAAAGTAGCCAAGGATTTAGGAAATAAAATTTGAAAAAATGCAGATTAATCCAAAAAAATTAATGAAACCATATTAAATGGAAAATTAAACTCAATAAAATAGAATAGAAACTATAATTTTAAAAATTAATAAAGCAGAATCAGGTCTTTGCTAAAACTATCAAAATTAACAACAGCTTGTGGAGACGTGTTAAGGAAGAAAAAATGAAAGAAAATGTACAAATAACCAGTTTCAGGAATATAATAGGGAAGAGTACTGTAGACTCTGGAGTGATTCAAAAGCACATAAAAGAATAAAATGACTTTATCCCATTCACTGGAACATTTAAATAAAATGTATGAATTTCTAGAAACATGTAAATAACCTAAATGTAAACAAGAATGAATCAAAATTGTAAATTGTTTCACATTATATTTCAATAGCAATATTCATAATTAAATATTGTAATAAAAATATTACATGTTAATTAGGGTAGATTTAGTCATCCCACAATGTACATACATACTTTTAAATGCACTTGTAATTTTATCTGTCAATTTAAAATCAAATGAAATATTAAAAAATAAAATAGTGGCCTGGTGCGGTGGCTCACGCCTGTAATCCCAGCACTTTCAGAGGCTGAGGCCAGGTGGATCACGAGGTCAGGAGTTCAAGACCATCCCAACCAACATGGTGAAACCCCGTCTCTACTAAAAATACAAAAATTAGTCAGGCATGGTGGCATGCACCTGTAGTCCCAGCTACTCAGGAGGCTGAGGCAGGAGGCTGAGGCACTTGAATCTGGGAGGTGGAGGTTGCAGTGTGCCGAGATCATGCTGTTGCACTCCAGCCTGGGCAACAGAGTGAGACTCCATCTCAAAAAAAAAAAGAGTAAATAAAAAATAAAATAAATAAATACATAATAAAATAACATAGAAAAAGATGTCATAACTGTAAGGACTAAAGAGATTCATTGAGAGTGTAAATAAAAATCTCACAAAAATAGAAAATGCCAGGCTATCTACTAACGTTTAAGGAAGAAATAATGACAGTCTTACGCAAAGTCTTCTTGGGAATAGACCAAAAGGAAAAAAAATTACTACTAGTTTCCTGAGAACAGCATAATCTTGATACCAAAATCTGACAGAAGAAAATTACAGACAAATAGTATTTATAAACCCAGATGCAAAAATTCTCAACAAAATATTAGCAAACCCTGTCTAGCAATATATAAAATCTAAAAGACATCATGACTATGTCTGGCATATCACAGAAATGAAAGGTGAACTTGTGAATTTACAAAATATGTATTAAAGCATTTTTAAGAAAAAATAATGGGAATAATCTCAACATACTAACAGGAAACTAGAAATATTTTTAAAATGTTGTTTTCGTGGAAAAATGCGTCATTTTAAGTTAATGAATTACAGCAACTATCTACCAACAGACAAATCTCAAAATATTATGCTGTTCTTAAAGCAATTTATGTATAAAACATTATGTAATGCCATTTGTCTAAAATGTAAATACTGTAAAACGATTTTATTTAATATTTGAGGATACATAAATACGTAGTAAATGTGCACAGAAACAACACTGCTGCTAGAGGAAAGAAAGGTGAGACTGGGGAGAGTGAACAGGTGGCTTATACTATCCTTTTTTTTCTCTTTTAAATAAAAATGTTAAAAGTTGTGCCTTAGTCTTCAGATTTTTATAACACTGTGATACATATTGTTTGTCTACTATTTTATTATCTATTCTTACCTGCATGTATGAAATTTTCCACAGATGGTAAAAATAATTATATAGGTAAAAATATAGATGCTATAATTTACCAGATAGCACCATCATTATTTAGAATTGTCAGATAGTCTAGTCATATTTCAGTTTGGAAGTTGAAAAAACTATTCGGGGTAGTTCCTATGTTTCCTGATGATATGAAAATCTTTATATGATAAAGGCAGTTCAAGCATATGTTGATATTATCTGAATTTAGTGTTCATTAAGTTTCTCAGAACAGTTGTTTTCATTCTTGGCTAAGATGATTGACGTAACAGTTCATCTTCAGTTTTCCAGAGGAATCTAGCCTCTTCTGCCTCACAGACCTTAAGATTGTATCATTTTAATTCAAATCAATTGGCCATTTGTCACTAAAAAAAACCCTGCTAGATATTATTCATGAAATAAATTGATGAAAGCATAATTTTAAGCTGTTTACTGATAGTGTTTTATTATATTTACTTCCTACATAGTATAAGCATTGAAATTAGAAAGAGAGAAAGGAAACCATTTTCAGTTTTCTTATTCACTAATAACTACGGGCTTATCAGAACTGTGCCCTTATTATCAAATATAATGAACTTATTTTATTGCATATTTTAATGTGTTTTTCTTGAATTTTGGCACTGAGGACAGTAGATATAGAGAAATTGAGTACAACGGATAGTTAACACAATATTAATTAAAAATGCCATGCAAATGTGTTCCAATTAAATGATAATATACATTACTGGTTAAATAAAGTCAATTGATATTTATCAGAATCAGTCTCGATGGAATGACTATGGCCTTCATGATCAAAGATATAGCATGACTTCTATGGCAGAGACATTGCTATTTATATGAAGACAGACCTTTGATTAAATTGGATCAACCTACAATACAAAGAGGTTAGAATTCAAATCAAGTAATTACTAACATTATAAAATTTTAGATATCTTTAAAAATTGGGAAAATGTAATTGTATTTTTTGAGGTATTCCTGCATGATAGGGAAGCCCAAACAATAGGCAGTATAAGGCTAGGGTTCAACGATGACCACCCTCTCCTTCATGAAGTCCTATTTCATTGACATCCTGCATAGTTTTCAGTATATAACAGAACCAGAGGCATTGAAGTAAGAAAATAAATTTTAATAGCAATATTGAAATAAACTTAGTCATAGATTCATTTGAACTTGTTAATATTTATATACATTCCTTTTGAAATAATTTTCACATGACAAGAAATTTACATTTACTCTAAGAAATATAGGGTTCATTAATTGTAAGGGTTTTAATATTTTAACAAAGTAATTTATTTTACCAAAACAAATATAAAATTTAATATATAGCTGATAAAAATGTCACAGTTCTCTAAACACTTAATTTGGTTCATTTTCTTTTTATTATTTTTATTTTATGTATTTTCAGAGAATGAGATATTTGATTTTTCCCTATATAAGATTTATATGAGAAACATAGTTCAAGAGATTTAAGCTCTTTAGGATTAAGAATATTACTTTCATAGAATATATGCTTTCACAGAGTTTTTAGAAACAAATATTTTTTCTTCAATAAAAGAAATAGTTTTCTTTTATGTCAAACTCACTAGAGTAAAGCATTAGCTGGGATTGCTTTTTCTTATTACTGATTTCAATGAAGACAGATTTTGGTATGCACCCCCATGGCTTTCCCTCGCACACTCTGCCCTGAGGGGCTTATCTCAGTTAAACCTTTTATGCATCCTAGCATAACTGAATGTTTTATCTGCTTCTCTAGGGGAGAGCTCTGCCTTTGCTAGCAAAGGGAGGCTTCCTGTGGTCCTGCGTGCCCATGACCGTGCAGGTCAGTAAGCCTGACGCTAGGGTTCAGTTAGCAGATGCAGTGGTTCCCACAGTAAACTGCTTCTTCCTACCTTGCCTTTTTTGGGGGGTTAAGTTAATATACTAACCCCAGTCTTCTATTTCTTCTTTTATTTCTCAATGTATTCATAGCTGAATTGCAGAAGAGGACACTATTAATAAGGACCACTTTATAGAGTCCAACATAAATGATGAAAACAGAAAACCAAGTCATGTAGGCCTGGGTTTGAATCTCATCTTTATGTCTTATGTCACTCTCTTGGGCAAACCAGTTTCTCTGAACTTCAATTTTCTCATCTGTAAATGAGATGTATTGTACATAATATTTAGTCAAATATATATACTTTTTAAAAAATGCAAAGTATAACTAGATAATGTATAATTATGCATTATTGTTAAAATGAAAAGTTTTTAGATAAATGATAAAATAGTTTTTTAAAAAATACATGAAAGATATTTAAACTACTGCGTTTATATGATACATAAGGCAGAAAACTTAGTACAATAATTTAAACATAATAGCTGAGTCCCATAGTATATAAAGAATCAAGCACTGGAGGGAATACTAGGGAAAAAGAGGTTTTAGGATAAAATAAAAAAAACAGTTCCTTTAATACTATGCTATGACCTGTAATGCTTGTTGAACATGTTTCTTAAATATTCCACCTGTCGATAAGAAGAGGTAAACAAACAAGAAAGAAATGGTATAATTCAGCTTTTAATCCTAATACCACTTTCTCTTAGTATTTCTTATAGTTGTTATTCTCTCTCTCTCTTTTTTTTTTTTTTTTTTTTTTTTTGCTTTTTCAGAAGGGAAAGTTTTATATGGCAACTTCTGGTCTACTTTGGTTCCACTGCTACTGATTAATTTTTGGTTATTTGTAATGTAATCATTAGCTATGATTATTGAGATCATTAATGGAATATATATGTGAATATTCATCTAAAATGAGATGGAACTTTCATGTATAGGTGATGTTGATAAATTAATAACTTGTATTAGGTAAGTGAATGGCTAGTGGAGATATCCCTCCAATTGCAGAAGTAAACAGATTAAATACATAGCTTCAGCTGTGGCATGAGAAAACAAAATGGAACACAAGCTAGGTTAGAAACATCAAGCCTACCTAATGAGATGAAATTTGTTGTGTTGTTCATACAACAGATGACATAAATAAAATAATGATGAACATTTCATGAGTCATAGGACAGTTCCTTGAATATCTTGTGGATGTGGACATGCTCTAGACAGTGAATAGTAAATTAATATTTATTGGTTGTCATCTATGGGTTTCTCTTTGGTCTATTGAGGTCATATGCTTCTTGGTGGATATTCATATGAAAGAAACTGATGCAATGGTTGATGATTACCACCTTTAACATTCTCCCTATTTTCTACCCAATTCCGACATTAAATTTTTTCTCTGTGGTTAGCTGATATCATACCTTGCTCTACTGATAGTGCTGCAACAAGCAAAAAAACAAGAATTTATGGTAAGTGGTGTGACAAAGATATAACTTCACATGGGTAAAGAATACACTTTGTAAAACTTAAGATATTCTCCCAAAGCATGTAGGTTTTTCAGTTATTTTATTTTATCTATTATCACATGTAATAAAGAAAGTCTCTTTGACAAATGGTGCTGGGAGCATTGGATTTTCACATAAAATAAAATGAACATTGACTCTTTCCTCACATTATGCTAAAAAATTAACTCAACCTGATCACACACTTAAATGGAAAAACTAAAATTGTAAAGTTTTTAGAAGAGAACATAGGAGGAAATCTTTGTGCCGAGTAGCAAAGATTTCTTAGGACACAAAAAATTGAGCTATAAAAATAATACATGAACGATGAGCAAATTCAAAACTCATTCTTCAAAAGTTAGTATTCAGCAAACAAAAAACAAGACCCAGAATAAGACAAAATTTATATATATATATTATATATATATAATATATATATATCTGACAAAGGACTTGTATCCAGATTATATAAAGAATTCTTACAAGTCAATAAGCATGTAGTTTTAACAGTTACTGTACTATATATACTATTACATACAATAAGGAATTCCCTGATTTTCAAAATAAATAAAAGAAATTATGACTAAATGCTGTACAACTCCCTACAGTCCAAAACATTCCAAGAAGTAAAATATAAAATTCATGACTACATAATCATATTGTGCTTTTCAAAAAGCTATTAGATGGTGAATTAGATGATAAGTAAGGCTCTACCTGGAATGATGTTTAAAGATAATAAAGCTATGTCTCAAATACACTTTATGAATATAGTAACTTATTTTTAAAGATGAAATTCTCAAAGATAAAAGGGAAAGAGCCTAATATGAGATTTGAAAATGGAGTGTATCTCATGTATATTTTCTTAACCCCCAAGCATAGCATATTTTCTATTTACTTAGAAATGAAAAATTTAAATTAAATATATATGTGTGTATATATATATGTGTGGAGAAAGAGAAAGATAGCGTGAAATAATATCTTTATCTCTGTATGTGTGTCACATTCAGTAAGGATACACACACACACACAAAGCAAGAGAATAATTGAATGTGTAAAAAGTGCCTGGGGAAGTTACTCTGTGAACTGTCCTCTGTATTAGTCATTCTTAGTCATTTCATAGGAGTTAATCTGCTGTCCCAAATTATATCTGTTTTTATAAATATGAGACAGAGACTTAATTACACTACATATTTTCTTATTAGGATAAACAATAGCTAACTGTGATATGATGTTAATTCAATATGATGGAAAACATGTAATGAAATAAGACTTTCAAATCATATTAATGTACATGTGCTATGCTTCATAATTCCTTTTTTTTTTTTTTTTTTTGAGACGGAGTTTTACTTTGTCGCCCCGGCTGGAGTGCAGAGTGCAACGGCATGATCTTGGCTCACTGCAACCTCCGCCTCCCAGGTTCAAGCAATTCTCCTGCCTCAGCCTCCCAAGTAGCTGGGATTACAGATGCTAATTTTACATGCTCAGCTAATTTTCATATTTTTAGTGAAGACAGCATTTCACCATGTTGGCCAGGCTGGTCTCGAACTCCTGACCTCAAGTGATCCACCTGCCTTGGCCTCCCAAAGTGCTGGGATTACAGATATAAGCCACTGCGTCCAGCCCATGATCCTTTTCAACAGCATTATATTCAGTGGTTCATGACATGCACATCCTGGAGAGAAAGCATATTTTATTTGATCATGTGGGTTAAGAACTGACAAAATAGTGCAGTCCTGAGACTTGATTGCTGCACACATTCTTGTTACTTGCTGGTTACTTAAAGAGAAGCTTACTGATTTCTTTAAGGAGACTAATAGGAAATAAATGAGTTCTCAGAGTTTATCAATTACAGAAGTAACAAAAATCATTCTAGTCCACATACTCTTCACAATACCAGTGGGTGGTAATGTAAAGGTGGAATTAACTGAGCCATTTCATAATCACAGTCAAATACATCATAGTGTGATGATGTCTAATGTTAAAAGTATGAGCTGGTTATTTAGATTAGATTCTGCGTTATTTCTGCAGATCAGTTGTTTATTTCTTTGTAAATGATAACCCATATTGACTGAAATGGAGCTAGGAATCCAATAGCTTAAAACACATGAGATGCTCTTGTTTAAAAAGTATGTGAATCCAGTATTTTTAGCTACCTTTATCCAGGACTCATGAGGGAGCAGCACTTTACAAGTAATGCTAGAGCTTCTTGAACCAGTTGAAAATTTGCACTTCTGAAAGCTTCGTGTTTAGTAGCTTAAATAACGCTTTCACATCAGTTGTATATTTAATCACACTCACTTTTTAATGTAAATTTTCTACATTGGGTCAAAAATTTTTAAAAATTACTTTTATGTTTTACTATGTGTGTGAGCATGTATGTGTGTGTGTATTTGTTGAAACAGAGTCAAAATGTTTAAAATAAACATGTGTTGTTAGACTGAGAAATTTAAAAAAAAATCAGTTTCCAGACTGGATTTGTTTTTATTTTTTATTTGATTCCTTAACAGGGCTTCAGTGTTCATGTGAATCTTTGAATTTGTAGGTAGAAGAATACATTTGTGTGTACTTTTCTGAATATGATTTCTGTAGCTTTTATAAAATTATTAGATGGAGTTTTGATCTTCAAATATTACAAACTGTAACTTTGGAATCATCCTACCTTTTCATAAGACCTTACCTTTTCAAAGTTAAAGGATCAAATTTGATGTGAAAATATCTGTAAATTAAAAACTTGCCTGTCTACTAGCTGCATAGCTAGAGCTTCTAGAATGACAAGTGTCCACATTCTGACAGTCAGCTATATCTTCTATAACTCCATTTATGTTGAAATCAAATTTCACTTCAAGCATTATATCATTTTTGTTTCTCTGCTGAGCTTCCATCTTTGTTGACCAATTCCTTTTCTCAGTTATCCATTTTTGTAAAATGTCATATTAGTTTATCACTGAGAGACAAAAAGGCAACACGAATACATGTGTTGGTTTCTGTACTTGAACTGCACAATAGAGGTCAAGTGATTAATTACCGAATTACTTGAAAGAAATGATGTGATTTGGTCACCAGTCATAATATGCATCTGTTATTTAAATAGTGATTTGTAGATTGAAGAAATAAGAATAAAATTAATACTTTAGGAAATTACATTTAATATACTGTAAACACTGAAACTTAAACCATGTTGTGTGGCACTGGTATTATTTAATTATGGTAACTGAAATTCAAACATACCAGAATCACATAAAGTGAGGACTGTCTGTATTCAATATCCGGTAAAAATATTATTCAAAAATGAAGGCAAAATACTTTTTTCAGAGCAACAGAAGAGGAGAGAATTTGTAACTGCCAGAACTTGTCTCAATAGAAATATTGAGGAGTGTTTTAGGGCTAAAAGGATATGATACCAGCCTAAGTGTAGGGAAACATACAACTACAGGAAAGAAAGAATAACACTGGAAGGGTTGTCTACACAGGACAGTAACTTTAAAAGAATATATAAATGTTCTTCATTTAATTTATCTAAAAGTCAGTTGACATTTTAATGCAAAAAAGTCATCTATTATGACGTTTATAGCTTAGGAAGATGTAAAATATAGATTTATATAATACTGCCAAAAATTTGGTTGTGTAAAGGAAATTGAACTATTCTAGGTGCTTATATTTTACATGAAGTTGATATCACCTGTAAGTAGATCATGATAAAGCCAACAATATAATTCCTACATTAACAATTAAAACATAGGTAAGGGCTGGGGGCGGTGGATCACGCCTGTAATCTCAGCACTTTGGGAGGCCGAGGCAGGCGGATCACGAGGTCAGGAGATTGAAACCATCCTGGCCAACATGGTGAAACCCCGTCGCCACTAAAAATACAAAAATTAGCTACGTGTGATGGCATGCTCTTGTAGTCCCAGCTACTAGGGAGGCTGAGGCAGGAGAATCGCTTGAACCCCAGAGGCGGAGGTTGCAGTGAGCCGAGATCGCACCACTGCATTACAGCCTAGTGACAGAGCAATACTCCGTCCCCCGCCCCCCCAAAAAAGAAAGAAAAAACAGAAAACTAGGAAAGTATAGCTAGAAACATCAATAGAAGAATTAAAAGAGAATAAAATTTTTGATTAATTCAAAAAGGCAGAAAAGGAGGAACATAGAAACCAAAATCAGATAGGAAAAATTGAACAATGGACACTACAAACCAATTCCCATCACTAATTCCACTAAATGTAAACTGAATAAATAGTCCCATTAAAAGTAGATATCATCACAGTAAATATAATAGGCAGTCTCAAATTTATGCCATCTAAAAGAGATTAATTTGAAATATAAAGGCAGAAAAACATTAAAAGAAAAAGGGTGAATAACAATATGCCATTCAAAAAGTAAAAATAAGGCTATTTTGTCTACATTAATATAAATGTAAACCTCAAGATAAAAACTATTAGCAGAAAAAGAGATAATTTAAAATAAAGATCAATTAATAAGAAAGATATAACAATCATAAATGTGTATGCACCTAATTAAAGAGGTACAAAATAAAAAAAAATTTATGAACTGTAAAAAATAAAGGGAAAACTGGGCAAGTTCATTAACATAATTGTGGATTTAAACACATCTTACCCTTGTGACCTCGATGATGCTGCCTCATCTCTGAAAACAAGTACCTTGTTCTAGTTCAAATAAACACAACACTGCTTCTGTTTTAAAAAGTGAGACTTAAATTAGATAATATGTACAAAGTGCTTATCACAGGACTGTAGAGCACATAATACTATTTCTATAAGGAGTAGATGTTAATGTTTCTTGGAATTGTAATAGTCCAACATATAATGAAGAAAAATCCATTCTAAAATCTTGGCATTCTATATATGAAAATAACTTTCTTGAGCATTGCCATATTGTCTTGTTTCTTTTGATTGCTAAAATCTTCTATTTTTTCCAATAACCCTTCTACCTTAATACTTTGCACTTTGGATTTTGGTCCTTACATTCTCAGAAATTGATCTCTGAAAGGTTGTGATGGCAGCAGGGGCCATCTGGAGCGGCCTCTGCCGTGACACCAACTGCAGTGTGGAAGGCGCCGCAGGGGCTGCATGCTCCACAAAGTAGTACAGGAGCCGGGAATAGGTGGAAGCCCCGTCTGCTTCCAAGTTGGAGGGACGGGAGCCCCGCCCCGCCCTCCCCGCCCCCCCCACCCTTTCCAAGACACAGCTACAGCTGCTCAGCTGTAATGCAGACCTGGGCATCTCTGCACTCTCAGAGGCTCAGGAAGCCCCTTTGCTCCCACAGACTTAAAAGTGCCTGCTCCCACTGCCTGACCTCTCCTCACTCCTGGCACCCACTCTAATTTTGGAGCTAAGCGGTGGCTGAGCCCAGGTGCTGTCATGACCTGGCTGGGTGTGCACACACTCAGTGCAGCACTGACACTCCAGCCCCCGCCACCTCTGCCCCCTGTGAATTTTGGGTACCTACGAGCATGGGAGGGAGACCGAAGGTGGGTTGAGTGTGGCTTGGCATGGTTCCTGCAGGCACCACTAGGCACAAACAGCCTGGTGCCATGGGCACTGTGGATGGCAGGTTAATGGTGGCAGGAGGCAAACAGGCTCCTGGGTGGAAAGGGATGGGTTCCCGGTGAAACCCCACCTTCAGGCCAGAGATGACTTGAGGCCTGGAGATTGGGCTGCCAGTTCCACGAACCAGCGTGAGAACTTGTGGTGCTTTTATGAGTTGCTAGTGGCACCTGTGGACCAATCAGCATGCAATTCCTCCTCTCTGAGGTCCGTAAAAACCCTGGGCTCAACCAGACTGGGGCAGAAAACAGGATGACCTGCCTACAGAGAGGAGCTACCCACTGTGAATCTCTTCTCTGCTGAGAGCTGAACACTCGCCAGGATGCCCTGCCTGCACAGAGCTACCCATTTTGGGTCTCCTCTCAGTTGAGAGCTGAGCAGATGTTGGGACTACCTGTTGTGGGTCTCCTCTCTGCTGAAAGCTAAATGCTCTTTGGGATGCCTTGCCTGCAGAAAGGGGCTACCCACTGCAGGTCGTCTCTAAGCTGTTCTGTCACTCAAAAAAGTACCTCTTCGCCTTGCTCATCATCCACTTGTTTGCGTGCCTCATTCTTCCTGGTTGCAGGACAAGAATTCCAGACCTGTCAAGTGGCAGGGCAAGAGCTGTAACACAAATAGGGCTGAAACACACCCCTTGCTCACCATGTTACAGGCAAGAGAAGGAGAGAGAAGAGGAGAGAAGAGCTGCAGCCCTTGAGGGAGCCCAGACCTAGGAACTCCCTGAGCCAGGGCTGTGACTCCCTCTTTGGGGCTCTTTGATTCCTGGCATTTCCAAGCCTCCAGGTGCCACTATATTCCCTGGTGCCAGCTGGGGAAGCTGCTTGCGATATGCCTGGTCCAGCGGTAACCTTGCAGGGATCTGGCACCTGTGCCAGTGCCTGGAGCTACACACTCTGCCACCGCTGGAATGCCTGGCTGTGCCCAGTGGCTGGCTCCCATGCTCACTTGCTCACACACCCCTCACTGCTCCATCCCTGGCTCAATCTTGGCAGGTGTGGGATCCAGCCTGGTAGCATGAGCTGAGTACAACCTGCCAGGCCAAGTGGGTGGAATGAGCCCATCAGGCCAGAGCAAAACTCAGGCAAAGGCACCATTGGCTATAGAGATTTCTGGCTTGAAAAGTGACACCCCAAGGATTCTGTGACAGTGGTATCATCTTTTCGTAGACAGATTTCATTTCTTACTCTTTATTTTCTTTGATGGGTTGTTCACAATAGAAACTGAGCAATCCATCAGAGAAAATAAAGTGAATGAAGACAGCGTTTCAAAAGAAGAAAGGACTGGGCGTAGTGGCTCACGTCTGTAATCCCATCACTTTGGGAGGCTGAGGCAGGTGGATCCCCTGAGGTCAGGAGTTTGAGACCAGCCTTGCCCACATAATGATACCCCATCTCCACTAAAAATACAAAAATTAGCCGGGCGTGGTGATGCACACCTGTAATCCCAGCTACTTGGGAGGTTGAGGCAGGAGAATCGCTTGAACCCAGGAGACAGAGGTTGCAGTGAGTCAAGATCACACCATTGCACTCTAGCCTGAGTGACAGAGTGAGACTCTGTCATAAAAAAAAAAAAGAAAGAAAAGAAAGGATGACTCTGCAGGCAGGTTGTCCTTTCTTCTTTTGAAATGCTGTCCTCCTTCTGGCTCTATATCATTCAGCTCTTTGAAATGCTGTCATGTCTTTGAGATTCTTCTCTCAGCTATTTTACTGTTCCTATTTTTTTTCTCACCTTGGGATGATGTCTCTTTAGGGTCTGATTATTTTGGTGTGACTTTGTCTTTCAAAATATACACTTGCAGATCTTATGCATTCCCATTATCTATATGATCACTTCACTCTTGATGATTATAATCCAAATGTTCAGCTCCAAAGTATAAATTTATTCATTCATCTTAATCTAAAAATAACATATTGTTAGCACTATGATTCACTATGCAAGAAGTTATCCTTTCTCTTCATTTATAGCAGACAAATTTAAATGTTACGATAATTTTTTTCTTTTACAATATTTTTGGAATCTGTCAGCACTGATTATCTTGTTGACACCTTCATCACTGTTTCTATATTATGACAATAGTTCCTTTTCCAAAATCTAATTTATTATTTCCTTCTTCCTTCCAATCGATCCTATAACATGTACCCATGTCAGTCTTCTTTAAGCAATATCTACCCCCATAGTACTAGCCTCCTTTACAAACATCAATGGCTGCATAGTAAAAATATCAATCCAAATTACGGTGTGATGTTTTCAGGTTTTCATAATCTAACTCAAGCAGTTTTATCTGCCTAACCTTTCAAATATAAATTCCCACAATTATTCTTGGTGGTCCATGTATCTTAGTTTTCTCTTCTTGTGAACCAGCCCTCTCCATGATTCTTTTTCCTGGCTCATCCCAAGCTTCTGCCCCATACTATAAAATCCTTGCTCACTCTCTCAACTTCAGCTCAGGGTCCCCTCCTATGAAGCTTCTGCTTATTTTACTGCCCTTATTTTCTTATTTAAGTTTACCTTCTGTGTCACATAATAGACTATTTTTTCCAAGATACTCTGATTATAACTCATTTTCCTATACTTAGCAAGGATTCTGCGAGTCATATTTTGGCTTTGCTCATTGGCTGCCTCTTAGTTTCTGCCACTGGAGATGCTAGAGGAAGACTGAAAAGTCAGAAGAGGGAGAAGGGTTTTGGATCTTATTGTTTTGCTCCCAGTGTCAGGACTGCTTTGTGGTTTTGTCAGCATCATCATGGTGGCACATCTTGACTTTGGTGATTACAGTTTACTCATGGCAGTTGATTTCACTATCAGCTTTTTTTTAACACCCCAGATCCAGCCTCATAATGACCTCTTATTGGCATCAGAACCATCTTTCTTGTAGTCCTTCCTCAAATCTGAGTATGAGATCTATGCAGTCCTTCCTCTGAGGTTCTGTGGCATCTGTTCCAGGCATACAGTGCCCCCTTCTTACAAGTCAGAGCTCCAGCTCCACAGAGCTTCTCCTTTGGGCTTTTAAACATCAATAATTTTAACCTTTTTCCTCTGTTAGCTTAGCCTAAGGGGTTGTTAAGTGCTTCCTGCAGTTACTGCTACTATGACACTTTAATGTTCCTCTGTTTGCTGTAACAGTTCTCCAATAATGTTAGTAATTGCGTTCATTAAAATATACCTGATAAAATAACTGGAGTAGTATCTGTCCCCTGACTGGACTCCATTTACTAGACCTCATCTCTAAGCCGTCTCTCCTCCCTATATGCTCTATTATGCCATCTGCTAATTTATTTATTTATATTTGAGTTTTCTCTCAAAATGGACTGAATTTCTTGAAGGCAGGATACTTCTTTTTAGTTTTGTACTCTCAGAATTCAGAACATAGCCTGATGCACTATATTTGTCAAGTGAACAGAAGAATAAGTGACAGCATTAAATTATCCCAATTCTATGTCTGTCATGTGGTGATGAAGCATTCTGGAAGCCTAGTTTTGTAAACTCCATCTCAGAGCAGACCAGGAAGCTGTCTAGCTGGAAGGAGCACCAGCTACCTAATCAATGACTCACCACTTACTTAGGTTTCCGTCACTGTCTGGGAAAGGACAGAAAGATAACTTTTTTCATCTCCTGCGAGTGTGTGCTACATGAACTCTTCTGAGGAAGAGATCTTATACCTTCATCCATTTAAAAATGTTTTTAAACTCCTATGATTAAAATATATAACATGATATATTACTAATTAATGAATAGAAATTATACTCAATTGGTATTTGACATGGTTTGGCTCTTTGTCCCCATCCAAATCTCATGTCGAATTACAATCACCACATGTCAGGGAAGGGACCTGGTGGGAGGTGATTGGATTATGGGGGAGGTTTCCCCCGTGTTGTTCTCCTGATAGTGAGTGAGTTCTCACAAGATCTGATGGTTTAAAAGTGTGTGGCAGTCTCCCGACCCCCAACTCCTGCTCCACCATGGTAAGGCATGTTTGTTCCGTCTTCACTTTCTGCCATGACTACGTTTCCTGAGGCCTCCTAGCCATGGTTTCTGTTAAGCCTGTGAAACTGTGAGTCGATTAAACCTCTTTTCTTCATAAATTACCCATTCTCAGGTAGTTCTTTATAGCAGTGTCACAGTGAACCAATATAGTATTCTTTAATAAACATTAATCATGTTATGAAAACTTAACATCATTATGCATTATTATAATATTTTCTACAATAGTCATTTTTATTTCCTATGATTGATCATTGAATAGAACACATCAATTTAGTAGCCTTATCTGAGATTCTAATTCTATATTTATTTTTGAAACAATCTGAGTTATTTTAAAAATTTTATTTTCTGAGAAGAAAATATAAAAACATAATTTTTATATTTGTCAAAAATTTGTTTGAAATTTTCTTTCAATTACAATAAAGTAATATTTATATATATATATGGTATTAGCTCCTTGGACCACACAGACTGCCTAAATAAAATATTCATGTGCAATTTTCAGAGAAAATCTTTTAAACATTTTAAATAAATAGTCAAGAATATAGATAATGAGAAAAAGTAAAAGCATGGTTTTTACAGAACTATTTAAATATGCACAAAATTGCATGAATTGAAGCAGTTTACACTCCTCTAGGCATTTTAACCCAAAGCAGACGTGAAGGGATATGCATAGTACACTCTTAACACAATTATATTATTCATGTTATATCACTATTTTTTGCTAATCTTAGTTTTCTTTCTTAAATCTGACTCTTCCTCTTTCCTTTTTCATGATCCATGTGCATAACCAACCTATAATTATTTGTTAATCTCTTATTGAGGCTGAATATTACACAGAGAGAAGAAAGTGCCATTTTATTAGGAAATGCATTTTGTTTATTCGTGGCCTAGTCTAAGAAGTTTTTCTCAAATAACATGAAAAATTGAGTGTACACTCTATTCAACAATGAACTGATTAATCTTTTCTTCCCTCACAAGGGACGATAGCCTGTGCAATTCATCCTCTGTTTTGTATGGGCCCAACACTACCTTTCTAGGAGAAAAGTCTCAATCAATGTCATCGGACCTAAGAGTTCAGACTTCTTTACTCTGGAAACAATTGACTACAGTTATATATCATCTACATTCTTTTTTTCACTGCTGTGATCTCATTCTTCTGATAACTAGATTTCACACAGTAGGATTCAGCAAGGTCAACAGTTAGACACCTTGAACTCATCCAGTAGTCCACAGGATTGTGATTTGATTAAATGATAAGGCATAAAACACATTATTAAGAATCTAGAGAGGTAGAGAGCATAAAAAGGAAAGGCACAAATTACAACATCTGTAAAAATCAGTGCAACTTGTTCTAAAAAATCAGTATTAGGCAGCATGTGGCTAGGAAAATAACATTCTTCCCCAGGGATTGCTAAGTGTAGCATAATGAGTGCAACCTTTATAGCCAGCAATTAGTCTGCCATGCAATGCCTTCAGCGGAAAATGGAATTACCAACAAGACTCCACCCTGATCAAGAAGCCATATATGCTGGTAATGAGCAGCCTATATCTTTTCTTTCTTATTGTCTTTTTAAAACCAAAGGAAGCCCAGGTTGAATTGTGTTAAGTAGAGAGAAAGTGTTGCCTCTGCTTGGAGTAAAGAAGAGTCAGTCAGTTGTGATCTGTGGCTAAACTTTTCTAATAGCTATTTAAACTCTTCTTATGTTTTCTTATCAATTGATGAGACAATACTTTGACAATTTAAAAGAAAACATATATCTGAATCTAAGTTAAGTGTTTATGATATCATTCTGCGGCATTAATGTCTAAGCCAAATCTTTTTCCTTTGTGAGCAAGCACAGCCCTAAACATAGTTGGAAGAGGAAGAAATATGCCTCCTATTATTTACTTATTTTCCTTATGTGTTTCCTTTATATTATAGATATCAGTGTTGTCATTCCACATCAGTAGAAATGGTCTGGGAGACGGAAGGTAAATTATTCACACCGTAATGTCAACAGTCAGCAATGCATGGTAATAACACAACCTTTTCTTTTTGTATATTTTCCATGCATTGATCCATTTTTCTAGAATGTTCACTCTTGTCTTACGTAATTAGAAAAAAAAAAAAAAACTTGTCCTTCATGTCTCAGCTCTAAGTTCCACTTACCTGTTCAGGATGGGTGTGGTGGCTCACGCCTGCAATTTCAGCCCTTTGGGAAGCTGAGGTGGGAGGATAACTTGAGCCCAGGAGTTCAAGACCAGCCTGGGCAACATGACAAAACCCTGTCTCTATAAAAAATACAAAAACATTAGCCGGGTGTGGTGGTGTGCACCTGCAGTCCCAGTTACTCAGGTGACTGAGGTAGGAGGATTGCTTGAGCCTAGGAGGTGGAGGCTGCAGTGAGCCGTGATCATGCCACTGAACTCCAGCCTGGGTAACAGAGTGAGACCCTGCCTCAAACAGAAAAGAAAAAAAAATTCCTCTTACCTGTTCAAATTGCTGTGTGGCCCCTATTCCTAGGCCAAGCACAGATAGGTGTTTACACCTTGAGTGTTACTGTGCTTCACCTTTAGCACTGTCACCTGTAGACCTTAAGTTGTTCAAAGTTAGGTTAATCGTCCATGTGTCTTTGTATTCACTAGGCTAATGTAGTATCCTATGCGTAGTGAGCACTTCATAAGCCCACTGAATGATTTCATATGTTAATAAATTAACACGTATAAAATTACTTAACCAGATTTATTTTCAAAAGAGACAAATAGATTTCAGAATTTTAGCCACTAGAACACTTTACTGAGAAAATGTATTGAGTATGAGGAAAACCAGCCAAGCATCCATGGAATCTCAGCTTTCCTATATGATTATGCTTGTTTGAGATATACTCTTATAACTTGTAACACTGAATCATTGCTCAGGTATTGCGCTTGTCACTAGACTGAATTTGTTCTCCAAGACACAGCCTTCTAGTCCTTCTGCTGGGCTCACCCCTCTATCAAAACATCCCTTTACTGTCTGACACTTCAGTATGGGTCATCATTGTGTGCCCAGTTCAAGTTCTGGGTTTCTGTTTGTTACACCCCATCATTTGTACTTCAGTAACCTAAAAGTAAAGGTAGTCTTTCTTCACTACCACTTAATCTCTCCATAAAACTCTATTTATGAAACTGTAAATGATAACTTGATTTTTACTGCTCATTGACAGTCTTCTGTCTTCTATGTTATTTCTCATTTTGAATGATACACTGCTTCTCCTAATAATCATGTTATTTAGCTTTCTGAAATGTAGGGACTGGTGTTTGCAATATTTTGCAGAAATCAGGTCTTGCCGATTTCTAAATCAGGCCTTGCTGAATACTAAATTCCTGCTTTCAGTATGTGTGATTAGGACCCTCCACCTAGGGTAGGCAAGTCTAATGACAAGCCCTGGCACTCTATTTCTATCCCAGGAGTCATGATAGGTCCTGGACACTTCAATCAGCAGAGGCTAAGAATCATTCAGGTAAAAATCAACAGCGGTAACAAAAGTGAAAGAAAATTCAGTTAGAAAGCAAATTAAGGGACTTCTTTTCTTTTTTAACCTACATGATAAACTCTGTAATGGCAGTGAAATATTTTATTTGTCTCTGCAATTTCTGTTCGTAATGAGTACCTGACAAAGTGTCAGATATTTTAAATTAAATTTTAATTTTGACTTTACATTAAAAGTCTATATTTCTTAATTATTTAAATCTTCAGTAGTTTCAGAACTTTCAGTATATTTGTTACTAATCATCAATTCATAGTTGAATATAATTATAAACAAGTAGGAATTTTTTAATAAGCAAATAAAACATATTACAGTGGAATATTTAGTAGCTTACTTAGGAAAATTTAATACGATACTCATGCCTCTCTAAATGTTAGCAGTTGCCATTTTCTTTTTATTAATTCAGGCATTATTCTTCAGGCTCCATAGATACCCAAGGAGTTTCACATACTGAATCCAGGGAGTCTATGGACATGAAGGCAGGAAAAAAAATCATATTTTTTTCAGTAACATTTACTTAAATTAAGTGTTTTATTGGGGTTCCCTATGAATATAGGCAAGAAAGTATAGAGTATTAATAACTGTGACTTAATCATCAGAAGATATTGCAGGTATTTCTATTCCATGTTAGAGGTGCTGTATATATAACTTATGATTATCACTAACTTGGGATTTCTTTAGTTATAAACCAAATTCCTCATCAAGGTTCAACTCATTATTTCTGTCTACAAATATTTGATCAACACTAACCTCCCAGTACTGGGAAAACTCCACACCTAGGAGTCATTTAGCAAATTAAATCTTGAAATCATGTGTTCTTACAATGGTTATATAGATAGATATGCCACATTCAAATACTCTCAATTCTCAATTGTTTATGAATATATGGAAAGAGGTGAGTAATTATCATTATTTGTCGTAAAACATGAGAGTTCAAATGAGAATGCTTAACTCAGAGAGTGTAACCTTTTCTAAGACATATAGACGTGTAGATTAGAAGAGTTAGCAATTTTCACATAGGCACGTCTTTAAAAAAACAAAATTTAAGTTTAAATTGCCAATATTTTAAATGTGTTACTTTGTAATCAATTTATTAAGATACATGTTACTAAATAACAAATATGATTTTACACTATTGATAATATGTTTTAGTATAATTGATTTTGTAATCTTATGGGATTTTATATATTTAAAAGTATTATTCTAATAAGATGGCAGGGGGTCCGTTAGCTTCACCAGCTATCCATAAGAGTCCATGGAACAAAAAAAATCTAGAACATCAACTCTAATGCTTTTTTTTTAATAAGTGTATCTAGCAATAATCCCTAGTTTCATCCCTGCATATTAAAATTTATCATGGGTACCTTGAATGTTTCCTCTTAAAAAATTCTCAAGAACCAGATTAATACAATGTGCTACTGATTTCTTTATACTTTCTGGATGTTTTAGTGAAGCAAAAGATATTGTGAAGTTATAAATTACATTCCTTGAAATTATATTCAATATATCATAATCAAACTTTTATGTAGGAAGAATGGAACATAATCATAGAATTCACAGGTCTATTATATATAATATATAATACACATTTTATAATTGAAGCACATAATGATTTGACAATTATTCTACCTTCTGTCATAGCTCCAGCAAACTAATAGCATAATCTTGCTTCATCAGAGAATTCTAAGACTTTTGTTAACTCATCCATTATTGCAATTAAAAATGGAATATCAAAGTAACAGCAAAACAAAATAACAGCTAATATAAGTTCATGTACTGAATCTGTACATTTTCATAGTTTTCTGAAGATTCTTGTAAATCATATGGGTAGAATAACATACAAAACATATTGCAGACAGACATATATAATATTTAGAATAACATAGAGTAGCAATATTTTATTTGTATATTAGGACATCTGTTGACACTTCCTACATCATATCTTGATCTAGGAAATTTTTAACGATTGTTTCTTCTTTGAGGGTCAGTATCCACCACATTGCTTGGAACTTTCTCTAAGTCCTATGCCTATCTTTGGCAGTTTCTCTAGATTATTACTGGGCTGCCGCAATTTCTCTAATGTGAAAAAAGTGAATTTCTTTTCTCATTCTATAGAGACATGTCGATTTTTTTCACTTCTAGCCAATCTTATTATGTTCTCAATGTTATGACTTCAGACTTCACTTTCCATTTGTGTGATTTTAAGCAATTTAACATTTTTCTTTCTGCATTTTAATTTTGTCATTTGTAAGATGAGAATAGTACTTATTTCAAAAGTTAATGAAGTTAATAAGTTAATAAATGTCAAGCACTTAGAAAAGTGCCAGCACATAATAAGTACTACATGAGCATTTGTTATGATGATGATTATTATTATTATTATAAATAGCATTTTGGAACATGAATCAACATGGCTTGTCTGGGAATATTGAAATTCCTGTGCTGTCTAAAAAAAGGATTATATTGGTAAGAGTTAAAAGATAGTTTGATGTAGAACAAATAAAGATAGACAGGGAATTAGAAAACCTGGATTTTAGCCTTCTCCCCACTACTATGAGGAGTGTGATATTTCTTTTTTATTTCCCCCTGGATCCCAGATTTCTTATCCATAAACAAATACTGTCTCTTCAAGCATCATAATTATAAAATAAAAGTTATGAAATTTGAAAGGTTTACAGTAATCTGGGAAATATTAATATCCTAATGTCAAATGAATAATTTGATTTTATTGGGTAATGCAAATAATTCATGAGTTCTGAATACAGTTAGACTTGAAGTCTGGTTACTCTTCAAATATGTGACATAGTTCTAAGGGCAGATACATGAAGTAAATATGCTTCATGGATATATGGTTCCGTTTTCACAAGTTTTGGAAGTAGCTTCAATTATTATAATTTATGGTACAATTGCGGGTATTACATTTAAGATGATGTATTAGTCAGCTTGGACACCATAACAAATGCCACATCATAGCTGCTTAAACAACATAAATTTGTTTTCTCATCATTTGGGAGCCTTTCAAAGTCCAAAATTAAGGTGTCATCAAGGTTTATTTCTGGTGAAGCCTCTCTTCCTGGCTTGTGGATGGCTGCCTTCTCTTTGTATGCTCACATGTCCTTCCTCTCTGTACATGCAGAGTTGGGTGGGGAGAGAGAGGAAAAAGAGGGTGTGTATCTCTTCTTATATGGACACCAGCTCTTGGATTATGGTCCCACTCTTATGATGTCTTTTAACCTTAATTCCATAAATACTTAAAGATCTTATTTTCAGATTTAGTCATATTGGAGGTTAGGGTTTTAACATTTATATTTTGGGGGAGATACAATTCAGTCCATAATAGATAATATCTTCCCCTCCTGGACACTTTTACTATGATTCATGTAAAGCGTCACTAGGTGCCCTCGGTGCCTTGGTTAACAACATTTTAAGTTTTTTTATAGAGTAATATTTTGCAATCTTTCAGCACATAAAGAAGCTTGTGAAATTCGTGTTATACAAAGTAAAATGTATAAATGATTTTTTCAGTATTTTCAAATTACTAAAATATTTAGACTGGATAGTTCTTTTTCCAGAGACTGAGCTACTTCTAAGAAATACTAGGGGTTCCTTGAGTTCAATTTGCTAAACTTGTGTTCTTCTGGCGTTATTATAGCTGCATTCTTGTCTGATCCTATGCACTACACTAAAATAATCTTGTCTTTTGGGACATCATTACAGTTTATATAACAGCAGTCTAGTCTATAAATCCAATTCACAACAATACATAGATAGTTATCAGCATAAGTAGATTGAGTGGCATACCAAGTGTGGGAAATTGGAGCACTCCACATTCCCAGTGTTGGCAGTAAGAGAATATAACTCTCCAACCGACTTAGTGGTTAGAGGTGACCTTTTCTGCCAGTAAGAGGACATGGGGCATTTTCCCCTCTAAGTTGTAAAAAAATGCTGTGGTAACTATTAATTATATTAATACATGAGCTTTGACTTACAACATGATTTTTGCTTAGTATTTAATAAGCATTGTACTCAACAAAGATGTTACTACAAATACTAATTATACAATAGTTCCCTCCTGGCTTCTCCAACACATGCAGACTCTGAGTCATGCATCTTCTGCAATAGTAAATTTTCAATGGTTGAGAAGGGCTCAACCAACCTCTGCAGTTCCTGTCTCAAACCCCTGTGATACTACATATTAAAAAGTAGATTCAAAATAAATAATAAATAATAACACAATGAATATAAACAAAAGAAATTAAATCTGGGTTATGTCAATTCTGTCATTCTATGTGACCGTTTGTAGTTTTTGTTTAAAACTTAAAAGAATGAAACAGTAGAAACTGCAAATTTTACCAAAGACGAAATATTTAAGGGAATCTAAATAATACACTTAACATTAAGTTTTGGTGCATGATTTATTCCTTTTAACTGACTTTCATCTTTGCTGTAAGCCAAGGCTTTGAATTACAGCCATTTCTACTCCTGTTTGTATACCATGATACCGTGAGCTTTACTAGGTCAACAGCCATGTCTTATATGCTTTTGTCTTCCACAAGTTGACACAGGATTTGCACTTGAATTATTATATATCTTTCCTGTAAAGAAGATAGAATTAATTATCATTAGAAATTAATCAACTATTCAATATCTGAAATAAGAGTGAGAATGTGGAACCTCAGTATCTCTTCCCATCCAGACTATTATAATATTTTTTCTATGTGGTCTTCTTCTTTTTTATTTCTCCAACTGTCATTTTCCTGATCCAAAAATTAATACCCCCAAAGTCTGGTTGCATTAACTTTATTAAGAAAATCCATTGTTTGTCAATTATCTTCTTGAAAGCAATCACAATACACAGAATTTCCCTAGCATAGTTCTATTTTTTCCTATATTTCCTATAAATCTTTTTCTTTCCTGACTTACCTCCTCCAAAGACACTGCACTCTAGCACCTAAAGCTGCTTGCTTTCCCCAGTGACTTACCATGTCCCTATGACTATATATTTGCTCCTTAATGGGTAGAATGTCTCCATTGTTCTTTTGCTGCCCCTTCATTCAAATGACACTACCTTGGTGCCCTATGCCTTATTTGAATACTTCCAGCAGCTAGCTCCACATTTTATTGCTCCATTAACACCTTGAATGAGCTGTTATTATAGCACTTATATCCAGTTACAACAAGAACTACTTTTGGGTAAAGCTTTGTCTGTATTTTTTTAAATATGATCAGCAATGTAGAACTGTGGTTGGGAATAAGTATAGAGACAAATTCACAGTGAACCCAGGATGCCAACATGAAAATAACAAATTTTAAATGAAGGTAAAATAAGAGAAAATATAGCTGTATCTGAATGTGACATAATGAAAGCACTGAAAAATAATCTACTTGGCTTTTCATCTCCGGAGTTTTCTGTGCTAAATCACTATTACCATCCTGATTTTACCCTTGCAGCAGCTATAAATAGACAAGCCCACAACTTTTAAAAAATAGCCTCAGGAAACCCAATCACTGGAGCAATAATATTTCAATATTTAAATATCAGTGCCCTATAAAATACTTGAAATTGAGCATTTATTCAACTTTAATATGTGATTATTCATACAATTTGCTGTTACATCAATAACTGCCTTCTTACTTCTGTGTGGAGTGCTTTTTTGAAGATTTGACTAATAAAACTCAAGGAGAGAAACTATAAAGAAGAAGGCTTAAATAAACCTATTAATTATATTAGTGTAAAGTGGCTTGATATTTTTATGACATGAACGTATTAAAGTTTGAATTTTTATGATATGTGGAATTCAAGGGATTATCTTTTCAGCTACAGTGCTGTTTACACTTCAAAATTCTATGATGTTTAGCAGAAGGGGGGGAAATATTTGCACAAAGGACTAACATTCAGAATCTACAAAGAACTCAAACAAATCAGCATGAACAAAAACAAATAATCCAATCAAAAGTGGACAAATGACATGAATAGACAGGTTTTAAAAGAAAAAATACAAATGGCCAACAGACATATGAAAAATGCTTAGCATCACTTATCATCAGGGAAATGCACATTAAAACCACAATGAGACACCACCTTACTCCTGCAATAATGTCTGTCATTAAAAAGTCAAAAAATAATAGATGTTTGCATGGATATGGTGAATAGGGAACACTTACACACTGCTGCTGGGAATGTAAATTAGTACAACCTCTGTGGTAAACAATATGGAAATTTCTCAAAGAACTGAAAGTAGATCTACCATTTTATCCAGCAATCCCACTACTGAGTACAAAAGAAAATAAGTCACTATATTAAAAAGACACCTGCATGCATATGTTTATTGCAACACAATTAACATTGCAAAGATATGGAACAAACCTAAGTGCCCATAAACCAATGAGTGGATAAAGAAAATGTGGTATATGTACACCATGGAATACTACTCTGAAAAGAAAGAATGAAATAATGTACTTTGCAGCAACTTGGTTGGAGCTTGAGGCCATGCTACTAAGTGAAATAACTCAGGAATGGGAAACCAAATGCCATATGTTCTCACTTATAAATTGAAGCTAAGCTATAGGTACATAAATGCATATAGAGTGGTATAATGGGCCATGGAGACTCAGAATGGGGAGGGACAGTGCACTAAAATCCCAGACTTCACCACTATGCAACTCATTCATGTAATTAAAAAAACACATACCCCAAAAACTATTGAAATAAAAAAACTTAAATGTAAATAAATTTTTAAAATATAACCATATTCCTTTTCCAAAATATTTTGATACTAGATTTTAGTGTTTAGATTTTTTCAAATATTTATCTAAGTCATCTAGTATAAAATTTCTCTTTCAAACATTCCAGCTTTTCAGAGAATCAGCTTGCTATGACTACCCTGGCCTTGAATATAGGACTCAAGTCATTAAAAATCAGCTAGGTTGAATGATAAGATACAGTTCTTGTAAAGCCAGGATAAGATACAGTTATTGTAAAGCCAGGATTCTTTCTATGCCTATTGACCAAGAGGACCCCAACATTTCTCTCAGGTTGACTAAACTTAGACAGTTGGTTATTGTCCTGATTCTAGGACCTGACCTCCCTTTTCTTAGACCAATTTCCTGAGAAAACTTGTAAGTATTTTCTTTGATCTTTTGAGGTATACCTCTTTTTAAATGACTTCTACTAGTTTTACAACCTAGGAATTTTGTTTGTTTGTTTTTCAAAGTCCTAGGAACCATCTCTTTGAAGTGTAATCATCAGGGAAGATAGCCTCCCCATCTCCTACTGTCTATGAGAGAATAAGAGCCTCACTTATGTAGGCGGTGGGCATTTTCTCAAAGTTCTAAAACTACCTTCTATGATGAGGATGAGAGACGACCAATTAGCCAATATAAATGGCCTAGAAACCCACCTCCCCGCACATACACACACCAGCCCTTAAAAACTCTGCAACTCTTTATTTCAGCAGAGTTGACTACATTCTCTCCCTCCTCATTGCAATAGCCTTGAATAAAGTCATTCTTGCCTTTTCAAACTGTCTAGTAAAAAATTTGCTTTTATATTTATACAGGAAAATACAAATATTTTCTTACTCTGAGTAATGGATTCATTACCCATAACGTAATTCTGTGCAGAAATAAAAAAAAAAAACCTATCCTAAAAATCATGTGGAACCAAAAAAGAGCCCGAGTACCCAAAGCAATCCTAAGCAAAATGAACAAAGCTGGAGAATAACACTACCTGACTTTAACATATTACAAAGCTATAGTAACAAAATCAGCATAATATTGGTATACAAGCAGACACATAGACCAGCGGAATAGAGTAGCGAACCCAGAAATAAATCCACGCATTTACAGCCAACTGATTTTTGAGAAAGGCACCAAGATTAAACATTGGGGAAAAGACATGGTGTTGGGAAAACTTCAATACATGGTGTTCAGAAAACTGGAAATTTATATGCAAAATAATACAAATTTATTAGGCAATTATAATTGCTATGCTAAAAGGGGGTAGAAAATTGAATCATATAAAATGTTAATTAAAACACTAGAAGGCAGTAAAAAGCACAGAAGAAAAAGAAGAAATAATGAACAAAGACAATAAATAGAAAGGAGTTACAAAGTTGGTATATGTTAATCAAACTATATCAATAATATCTCTAAATGTAAAACTTTTAAATGCACTAATTAAAAAAGAGAGTGTCATATTAGATACAAAAGGAAGATTCAACTATATCTTGTCTAAAAAAAAACCACTTTATGTTAAATGCACAGATAGAGCAAAAGTAAAGGGATAGAGAAAGATATTGCATGCTAACACTAATCAAGTCAAAGCTGGAGAAGCTATATTAATATCAGGCAAAGCAAACTTCAGAGCAAGAAAAACATCAGGAATAACAAGGAACATGGCATAATAAAAAAGGGGCCAATACTTTAAGAAAATATAGTAATCCTGAATTTTTGTATGTCTAACAACACATAATCAAAATATATGAGGCAAAGACAAATATAATTGCAAGGAAAAATAGCTGCATCCACTATAGTAGTTGTGACTACAAATCCCTTTAATTAATAATTGACAGATCCAGTAGGTAGAAAATCAATGTGAATATATTTGAACTGAACAGTCCTAGCAAACAGCTGGATCTAAATGGCATTTATAGAATATTTCATCCAACAGAAGAACGCACATTCTTCTCAAGCTCAATGTATAATTCACCAAGATCATATCTGTACCATGAACCATACTTTAACAAATTTAAAATACTAGAAATTTTGCAACGTATTCTCTCAAGATAATTAAACTAGAAATCAATTATAGAAAGAAAGATGGAGAAGCCTAAAATATTTGGAGATTAAAACCGTACTTCTTAATAACACATGAATCAAATGAGAAGTCTCAAAATAATTTTAAATATTTGAACTAAATTAAAATGAAATATAGAACCAAGTCAAGTGAGTGATTAGGAGGAAATGTATATCATTGAATGTGTATATTAAAATATCAGAAAGATGTAAAATTAGTAACAAGGTTCTACCACAACATAATTAAAAATTAAAGCAAATTATAGCTAAATAAACAGAAGAAAAGAAGTAATAAAAGTCAGAACAAAAATAAATAAAAAAGAAAACAGAAAAATAGAAAAAAAATCAATGAAACAAAAATTTAGTTTTCTGAATAGATCTCTAAAATTGAGAAGCCCTAACCGTAGTAAGAAACAAAGAGAGAAGATCCAAATTACTAATATTGGCAATGAAATAACAATTACAATTGATCCCGTGGACATTAAGAAGAAAATGAAAAAACATTATTAATAACTCCATGTGCAATATTTGATAATTTAATTGAAATAGAGCAATTCCTTGAAAGACACTACCAAAACTCTCAAATGGAGAAATCTATAATATGAATAGGTATTTATCTACTAAAATAATTGAATCAATAATTAATAAGTTTCCAGAATAGAGAGAATCAGGCACAGATGTTTCCTCTGGTGAATTCTACAAAATATTTCAGAAAGAAATAATATCAATTTATTACAATCTGTTCCAGAAAATATGAGCAGAGGAACACATCCTGATCATTTTCTAAGGCCAACATTACTGTAATACCAAATAAAACATTACAAGAAAGGAAAACTACAGACCAATAGCTCATATAAATTTAGATTCAAAATTTGTTGACAAAAAGTAAACAAACTGAATCCTACAATATATAAAAATAATTATAGGCTGGGTTGCAGGTACTGAACTAGCTTTCCAAAGCACTAAGACTCATTCAGAGTCAGTTATATAGAAATACAATCAGCAACATCATGAGAGACCACAGCATCTTTCTCAGATCTTCATCATGAAAACCTGTGTCTTGACCTGATGCCCATGAACATGTGGATGCCTTTAAGAGGGCAGCCCAAACATATTATCTCTGTCATGCTGTTCCACACTCAGCCTCAAGCAATTCATTGTATTTATTGTTGAAACTTTCCTGCAAGTTTATGTCTGCAGAAGCCACTGGTTTGGAAACAAAGACAGTCTACTAAACCCACCTTATACCACAATCAAACCCCCAAGGGTATCAAAGAAGATTAAAGCAAAAAACCCCATCCAAATGAAACCAACTTCAAAGAATAAAGGAATATTTGCCCACACAGATGAGAAAGAACAAGTGCAAAACTCTGGCAACTCGAAAAGTCAGACTGTCTTCATACCTCCAAAGGAGCAAAATAGTTCCCTGATGAAGTTTCTTAACCAGATCAAAATGGCTAAAATGACAGACATAGGATTCAGAATATGGATGGGAATAAAATTCATTAAAATTCAGAAGAAAGTCTAAAACCAACCCAAGGAATTTAAGGAATATAATAAAACAATAAAAATACTGAAAGACAAAATGGCCATTTGAAGAAAGATCCAAATTTATCTGATAGAGCCAAAAAACTCATTCAAAAATTTTATAATAAATAGGCAAGTATTAACATCAGAATAGACCAAGCTGACAAAATAACCTCAGAGCTCAAAGATGAGTTCTTTGAATAAAATCACTGACAAAAATAAGAAAAGAGAATAAAAAAGAATGAACAAAACCTCTGAGAAATATAAGATTATGTAAAGAGACCAAATCTACAACCCACTGACATCCCTGAAAGAGAGAGAGAGAGAGAGAGAGAGAGAGAGAGAAAGCAAGCAACTTGGGAAACACATTTGAGGACATCATCCATGAAAATTTCTCCAGCCTTACTAGACAGGACAACATTCAAATTCATAAAAAGCAGGCAACTCCTGCAAGATACCATGACAGAGGACTATTTGACACATAGTCATCAGATTCTCCAAAATCAGAATGAAAAAAAAAAGTTAAAGGCGGCTAAAGAGAAGAGGCAGGTCACCTACGAAGGGAACCCCATCAGGCTAATAGTGTATCAACAAGCCAGAAGAGATTGGGGACCTAATATTCAGCATTCTCAAAGAAAAGAAATCCAAACAAGAATTTCATATCCAGCCAAACTAAGTTTCATAAGCAAAGGATAAATACGACTATTTTTAGACAAGCAAATGCTAAGGGAATTCATTACCACCAGACATGCTTTACACAAAGCCTTTTAGGAAGTGATAAATATGGAAAGCAGAGACCAATAATGGCCACCACAAAAACACACTTATATACATAGACATTGGCACTAGAAAGCAAATACACAATCAAGCCTGGATAATAATAAGCTAACAACATGATGACAGGACAAAATCTGCACATATCAATATTAACCTTGAATATATATGGGCTGAATGCCCCCAATTAAAAGGCACATTGACAAGAGTGGCAAGTTGGATAAACAAGCAAAATCCAACTGTATGCTGTCTTTTTTTTTTTTTTTTTTTTTTTTTTTTTGAGACGGAGTCTCGCTCTGTCGCCCAGGCTGGAGTGCAGTGGCGGGATCTCGGCTCACTGCAAGCTCCGCCTCCCGGGTTCACGCCATTCTCCTGCCTCAGCCTCCCAAGTAGCTGGGACTACAGGCGCCCGCCACTACGCCCGGCTAATTTTTTGTATTTTTAGTAGAGACGGGGTTTCACCGTTTTAGCCGGGATGGTCTCGATCTCCTGACCTCGTGATCCGCCCGCCTCGGCCTCCCAAAGTGCTGGGATTACAGGCGTGAGCCACCGCGCCCGGCCTGTATGCTGTCTTAAGGAGACCTGCCTCACAAGTAATGACATCCATAGGTTCAAAGTAAAGGGATAGAGAAAAACCTACCAAGCAAAACAGAAAACAGAAAAAAAGAGGTTATTAGTCTAATTTCAGAGAAAACAGACTTTAAGCCACCAAAAATGAAAAGAAACAAAGAAGGGCACTGAATAATGGTAATGGGTTCAATTCAACAAGAAGACCTAGCTCTCCTAAATATATATGCACACAACAGAGGAGCACCTGTATTCATACAAAAATTCTTAATGACATACTAAGAGACTTATATAACCACACAATAAGAGTAGCAGATTTTAACACCCCATTGATGGCCTTAGACACATTACCAAGGCAGAAAACTAACAAAGATATTTGAGACCTGAACTTGACACTAAACCAAGTGGACATAACTGGCATCTACAGAACTCTCCATCCAAAAACAATAGAACATACATTCCTCTTATCTGCACATGGCACATACTCTAAAATTGACCACACAATTGGCCACAAAATGATTCTCAGCAAATTAAAAAAAAAAAACCACAAAACCAACAGAACCATACCAATCACACTCTCAGACCACAGCACAATAAAAATGAAAATCAATAAAAAGAAGATTGCTCAAAGCTATATAATTACATGGAAATTAAACAACCTGATCCCAAATGACTTTGAGGTAAACAATGAAATTAAGGCAGAAATCAAGAAGTTTTTTGTAACTAATGAAAACAAAGATACAGAATACCAGAATCTCTAGGACACAGCTGAAGAGATGCTAAGAAGAAAGCTAATGGTACTAAAAATGTAGATAAAAAGGTTAGAACGATCTCAACAAGCTAACACTAAATCTAGAGGAACTATAGAAACAAGAACAAACCAACCCCAAAGCTAGCAGAAGAAAAGAAGTAACCAAAATCAGAATGGAACTGAATAAAAATGATATAATGATATGTGAAAAAATACAAAATATTAATGAATACATGAGTTGGTTCCTTGAAAGTATAAATAAGATTGATGCACCACTAGCTAGACTAATAAGGAAACAAAAAGAGAGAAAATCCAAACAAACACAGTCAGAAATGACAAAGGAAACTTTATAACCAGCCCATTAGAAATACAGTAAAACCTCAGAAATCATTATGAACACCTCTCTGCACACAAAATAGAAAACCTACAAGAAATGGATAAATTCCTGAAAACATTCAACCTCCCAAGGTGGCACAAGAAAAAAATTACATACCTGAACTGACCAATAATGAATTCTGTAATTGAATCAGTATTAAAAAAACATACCAGCCAGAAACAGCCAAGGACCAGATGGATTCACAGCTGAATCCTACTAGACATACAAAGATGAGTTGGTACGATTCCTACTGAAACTATTCCAAAACGTTGAGGAGGAGGGACTCCTCCCTAACTCACTCTATGAGACCAACATCATTCTGATACCAAAACCTGGTAGAGACTCAACAAAAAAAGAAAACTTTAGGCCAATATCCTTGATGAACATTGATGCAAAATTCCTCAAAAAATGCTAGTAAACCCAATTCATCAGTGCATCAAAAAGCTAATCCACCACAATCAAGTAGGCTTTTTCCCTAGGATGCAAAGTGAATACTTATAAACTACTGTTAGAAATGTAAATTAGTTTAGCCATTGGGAAAAGATGTTTAGTTTACTTCTCAAAGGACTTAAAATAGTACTACCATTTCACTCAGTAATCCCATTATTTGGCATTCCAAAGGAATGCAAATTATTCTATTATAGAGACACACACATGCCTATGTTCATCACAGCACTATTCTCAACAGCAAAAACACGGAATCAACCTAAATGCCCATAAACACTAGACTGGATAATGAAAATGTGGTACTATACGCCATAGAATACTATGCAGCCATAAAAAAATGAAATCATGTCCTTTGCAGCAACATGGAGGGTGCTGGAGGTAATTATCCTAAGCAAACTAATGCAGAATGAAAATTACCACGTTTCCACTTACAAGTGGAGCTAAATATTGAGTACACATGGACACAAAGATACTGGAGCCTGCTTAAGTGTGGAGGGTGAGAGGAGGATGAGAATCAAAAAACTACCTATTGGGTACTATGCTTACTACCTGGGTGATGAAATAATCTATACATTAACCCCCCGTGACATGCAACTTACCTATGTAACAAACCTGCACAAGTATGCCTGAACCTAAAATAAAAGTTAAGATAAAATATATAAATATATAAAAATTGTATATTATACATCACAACCAGGTGGGATTTCTTCAAAATATGCAAAGCTTATCCAACAGTCTAAAATCAATTAACGTAGTCTATCACATCATTAGGCTGAAAAAGTCACATGATCATATCAATAATAAACAGAGCATGTAACAAAATTTACCACTTATTCTCTGTAAAAACTCTCAGCAATCTGGCAATAGAGGAAAGTTTCCTCAACTTGATAAAAAGTAGGTACAAAAAACATTACAGCGAACATCAGTCTTAATGATGGGAATGTAGAAGATCTTCCACTATCCCCTTTCACCATTCCAATACAAGATTGTACTGGAACTCACAGCTAATGTAATTAATCAATAAAAGAAAAGAAAAGAAATACAAATTGAGAGGAAAAATGTAAAACTGCTTTTGTTCATAGAAGAAATTGTTTTCTTTGTAGAAATCTCAAATAATAAACAAAAATATCCCCAAAGTACTAAGCAATTATAGTAAATTTGCAAAAAAAGTTAATATACAAAAGTCAGTCACGTGCCATTGTATCAGCAATGAACAATTGTAACTTGAAATAAAAAGCTTGCCAAAATTTACATTATCACTAAGAATAAAATAAAATGCTTAGGTATAAGCCTAACAATATCTGTATAAGATCTATGTGAGCTAAACTACAATACTCTGATGAAGGAAATTATAGATCTAAATAAATGGAAAGAGATTCTATGTTCAGAAAGATTCAATATTGGTAAGATGTCAATTTTTCCAACTTGATCTATATGTCACTGAATGGCACTCAAAATCATAGATCAACAGATTGATTCTGAAATATATATGCTCAAGGAAAAGACCCAAATAGGCAGCACAGTGTTGAAGAAAGTAGGAGTACCTGACTTCAAGCCTCACTATAAAGCTAGGGTAGTCAACATTATCTTTTATTGGTGAAAGAACAGAAAAATGGATGAATGGAACAGAATAGAGAGTCCAGAAGGAGATACGTGCAAGTATAGTCAACTGATACTTGCTAAAGAAGAAAAGACAATTCAATGGAGCAAGGATGGTCTATTTTAACAAATAAATGATGCTGGCACCACTAGACATCCAGAAGCCAAAAAAAAAAAAGCCCCCCAAAAAAGAAAAACAAAAGCAAAAGCCACAATATAGACATGAACCTTACACTTTTTACAAAAATTTACTCAATATGTATCACAAAGCTATCACACTCCTAAAAGATAACACAGGAGAAAACCTAGGTGACCTTAGGTTTGGCAGTGAGCTTTTAGATACAACATATTAAAGGAAAAGTTAATGAGTTGGACTTCATTAAATTTAAAACTCCTGCTCTACAGGGGACAATGGTAAGTGAATAAAGAAACAAGGCACAGACTACGATAAAATAACTACAAAACACATACCTAGTAAAGGACTGTTTTCCAAAATACACAAGAAATTCTTATCACAACAGTAAGAAAGCCTACAACCCAATTTAAGAAACAGGCCAAAGCTCACAAAACACGGCTCACCAAAGAAGACATACAGATGGTAAATAACCATGTAAAAGGTGCACAGCACCATAGGTCATTATGAAATTTCAAATTAAAACAATGAGATACCACTACACACCTGTTAAAATGGCCAAAATCTGGAATACTGAAAACAGCAAATGCTGGTGAGGATGTGGAACAATAGAAACTTTGATTTGTTGATTGTGGAAATGCAAAATGATTAGAGCCTTTTTGGAACACAGCTCGGCAATTCCTTACAAAGTTAAACATAGGCTTACCATATGATTAAGCAATCACACTCCTAGGTATTTACCCAAATGAGTTGAAAACTTACGTTCTCACAAAAACCCACACACAAATATTTTTAGCAAGCCTATTCATAATTTCCACAATTGCAAGCCACCAAGATGTCTTTCAATAGGTGAATGAATAAATAAGCTGTGTTACATTCATATAATGAAGTAGAATTCAGGGACAAAAATGTCATAAAACTACAAGATTAAATATATATGGCTAAGTGAAAGAATCCTTTCTGAAAAGGCAACATATTTTTTGATATGAAGTGTATAACATTCTAGGATAGATACAACTATAGAGACAGTAAAAATATTAGTGGTGACCAACAGTTCAGGGACACTGAGGTGGAGAGGAATGAATATATGGAATGCAGAGCATTTTTGGGGTGGTTAAGCTATTCTTAATGATATTATAATGGAGGATTCATAATATTATCCATTTTTTAAAACCCATAGAACTGTATATCATAAAGAGTGCACCCTAATATAAATTATTTTTAATGAAAAATAATTTATCAGACTCAGTACATAGATCAATTGTACAAGTGTACCACAAAAATATATGATATTTACAATAGGGCAAAATATATGTGTGAGAGAATGAGTATACAATAACTCTCTATACTTTCTGTAAAACTAAAAATTCTCTAGAAACGAAGTCTATTGAAAATACATCTTCAGCAAAATGAATATGCAAGCACTGAATAGATTAAGATATTCATAATACATATATCTGACAAAGAAGTTGTATTCAGATTGTATTAAAAACTCTTACAAATAAATACTAAGAAAACAAATTGCACAATAAACAATGGGAAAAACTATTGAATAGGCATTTCATGAAACAATACACAGATGGCTAATAATTTAGTGAATACTCAGTATCACTATTTATCAAGGAAATGAAAACTAAAATTACAGTGAGATAATACTACACACCTATTAGAATGTTTAAAATAAAAAAGAGGGACAATACCAAATATTAGCAAATATGTGGGGCAATCTGAACACCACAACGAGAATTATAAAAATGATTTTTTAAAAACCATCAGAATTTAGTTTGGCAATTTCTAATAGAAATGAATAATTGCACGAATGCTATTAACTGGCAATTATATTTTTTATATTTTCCAAGATATAGAAATGTATGTCTATAAAAACATGTTATACCCAAATATTCAACTTCTGCGTTATTCATAATAACCAAGAACTGAAAACAACCAAAATGTTTATAAAGAGGAAAATAAGTTAAAATATTATAATTTATTTATACAGTGGAATAATATTCAGCAATCAAAGGGAACAAACTACAGGTACAAGCAACAATGTGGATCAACCTAAAAATTGTTTTAGGCAAGAGAAACCAGACATAAAATATTATATACTTTTTGATCTCATTTAAATCAAGTTCTAGAATAGGAAAAGATTATAGGGAAAAAAATGACAACAGTGACTAATGGGTTTGATAGTGGAGAATAGGAAAGGATTGTCTGGGGAGTTGCAAAAGGAATATTTCTTGGGTGATGAAAACATAGACATTAGTTGCGTAACAACATTTTGGTCAACAGTGGACCACATATACAGTAGTGGTCCCAGAGGATTATACTGGAGCTGAAAAATTCCTGTCTTCTAGTGATGTCTTGATGATTCTGTCCTTGTGTAGGCCTAGGCTAATGTGTGTGCTTGTGACATAGCTTTAACAAAATGTTTAAAAAATAAAATGAAATAAAATAATTTAAAAATAGAGAAAGCTTATAAACTAAGGATATAAAAAACAAAATGTTGTGTAACTATCAAACGTATCTGTGTACTAAGCTATGTGCTATTACAGAAGAGTCAAAAAGTGTAAAACAATTTAAAAGTTTGCAAAGTAAAAAGTTGCGGTCAGCTAAAGTTAATCCATTATTGAAGAAAGAAAAATATTTGTATAAATTTAGTGTAGCCTAAGTGTACAGTTTTTATAAGGTCTATAGTAGCAGACAATAATGTCCTAGGCCTTCACATTCACTCACCACTCATTCACTGACTCCCCAGGGCAACTTCCAGTCCTGAAAGCTCTATGCATGGTTAAGTGCCCTATACAGGTGTACCATTTTTTAATCTTTTATGCCATGTTTTGACTGTACCTTTTCTCTATTTAGATATGTTTAGATACATAAAGACTAGTGTGTTACAATTGCCTACAGTATTCAGGAGAATAATATGCTGTACAGATTTGTAGCCTAGATGCAGTGGGCTATACCATATAGCCTAGGTGTGCAGAAGGCTATACTGTTTAGGTTTATGTAAGTATGCTCTATGATGTTGCATAACAATGAAATCGCCTTATGACACATTTCTCAGAATGTAGCTCCATCATTAATCAAGGCATAACTGTATTCCACATCTTCACAGAGGTGCAAGGTTTTTTTTTATGTTTCAGATGTGCAAATATATCAGTTATCGTTACTGAGTAGGCATGGTGCTATTGTAACCTAGTTACACAGGTGATGTTAAATTAAGAACCTCACCCATACTAATTTGCACTGCAATTGTCATATATAATATATATAATCTAAACACATTAAAAATTATATTGTTTTATCTTATAACTATTAGTACTAGGTGATACTATCATTAAAATAGAAAGAGGTGAAAAAAGTAATTTTCCTACACTATTATTCAAAAAATTGGCTGTCAAACAGTTATAAAAGAGAACATGCTAAATAAGTCTCTCTCATTCAGACTAAAAAAATAGGTTATTTGAATCATAAAATTTTAAAAAGATGTATTTGTAACTTAAGCAAAGTTTTTAATTCATTTTATATGACACATTAGTGAATGAAAAAGAATGACAATTATCACATTAGCTTTTTGATTAAATGGTTATCTGAAATTTTCCTTAAGATTTTTTAAACATAGCCTCATCCCTGCGTTTTGTTTTTATTTTTTCCTTAGAATTTGTCTTTAAAATTAGATTAACTGTAAACTTCAGTTCCTCCTAGACCTACTCAAATTATAAAAATCCATTTAAAAATATCAACCATTAAGTGTCAGGTGTCAAAATACTCACAATTAGCATAAAAGAGTTTTAACTGCCCCCAACCTCCCAAATTTCATATTGAAAGCAATGGTGATATTTTCTATCTTCTGGTTTTTGATGGATGTGTAAATTTCAAGACCTCCATCACGATTGCCAGGCAAGGCATATATATACTTAGGGCAATTCCATTTCCTAGATTTGGCAGGTTATTGAAAGGAATTTGTTGAGAAATTTCAATTTAGATATAACCACATCACTGTTCTATTATAAGAACTTTGTAGTATTTATGACTTATTGATGGTCTTCTCGCTACCTGAATTTTTCCTCCATGCCCTCCAATCCATTCTTTGACTCAAATTTAAATTCTCCTTCCACAAATCTCTTTGGGTAATAATTGCATCTTTCTTTCCTCTGTCTTCTTGTTTCACTTACTTCGTATCTAACATATATTACTTTTTGAATACTGCCTTACATTTTGGTTAATTCTTACATGTTTTTAGGGGCATTTACTCATTAAATCTCTGGTGATTGCACTGTAGACTTGTGCACACAAAACTCCCGCCATTGCTATTGTGAAGTAAGTGCCACTATGCCTCATCACTTGAAACATTGCTTTAATTCAGCCTTAATGCCTTTTTTTTTTTACATTCCCTACTTAAGCCACTTTTAAAGTAAAACACAAAAAAAGAACAAAAATACCATGAAGCCCTTATTCACAAAAATTACAAAAGTTCGAATAACCACGGGAAGAAATGAAAGTCTTAAATGTTAAAAGTTTAATTTTCTTATATCCTTGACCTGAAGGCCTCATCCCTGTTCTCCAAATGTGAAAGCATTTTACAAAATTAATTTTTACTAAGCACTAGAGGTCATTTTCAAGAAGCACTAGAGAATTAGTACCAAATACGTTATATGAACTTCAGTGATTACCAAGAAGGAAAGTCAATTTTCAGCACTAATATCTAGGAATTTAATTTGATCACTCCTGTAATTAGGAGTAATATTGCTTGAAGGCGAGTAACTTAATCTATACAAGAAGAAGGGAAAATTAAACCCCCGTAATTTACTTATCAATAAACTACATGAATGCCATACCTTGTATTTTTCCTTGTGGTTACAGTTAAATCATGAAAACGTCAGGTGTATTTCAGATACACATCCCCCTCTAAACTGAGGGGGGGAAACGTGTGTGTGAGTGGGGCTTTGGGACTTGCTGGATGGGCCACAGTTGTGTGAGTTCTTTAATTGGTCCATATGCACAGACTATAGACAGATAACATTAAGAGAAGAAACAATGCAATTGGAATAAGAAAATTTACTTACCAACAGGTGACGTGTAGAAAATTCTTTAGTTCCTCTGAGCTTTTATTTCCTTTTCTGTGAAATAGGAACATCCACACCTTTTTCACAGAATTGTTGTGGTAAGCGTCTCACTGTAGATGTGTGGTATGTTTTGGCTGCTGCCTGCTGCCTTCAAAAATTAAGAAATAAGTTAGAGGAATTTTCAACTTTTGGTATTTTTTACCTTTTTGGCTTGCTTTATTTAAATTTCCAGAGGCCAGCATGATGGGAAACTGAGACCTATATCTGGCTCTATTGCTCTTAACTGTTCATTTGAGGAATCAAGCCATTATTCTCTAAACTCCCCTACTATATGAACCTAAATAAATAATTCCCAGTTCAATTCCTCCAGCAGGAACCAAAATTCAGGCATTTATATGAAGAAAATAGACAGGATTCAAATCTCTACTCTACCCACTTATTATCTAGTGACCATAAGATCTTTCTCTGTCTCAGTTTCATGATGTATAATACCATATACTTTATTGGATTGCTGTGAAGCTTCAAGAGATAATGATATATATTCAAAGCAATTAGAGGGAACAGGCGTGGTGGCTCAAGCCTGTAATCCCAGCACTTTGGGAGGCCAATGGAGGCGGATCACCTGAGGTCAGGAGTTTGAGACCAGCCAGGCCAACATGGTAAAACCATGTTGTCTTTACTAAAAATATAAAAATTAGCCAGGCGTGGTGGCACACACCTGGTAATTGCAGCTCCTTGTGAGGCTGAGGCAGGGGAATCGCTTGAACGAGGAGGTGGAGGTTGCAGTGAGCTGAGATTACACCACTGCACTCCAGCCTGGATGACAGAGCAAGACTCCATCTCAAAAAAAAAAAAAAAAAAAAAAGCAATCAGAGGAAGTCCAGGAAGATTAGTTACCACTATATTACTTTTCTTAGGCATTGGTACACTCTCTGAAGCTGGTGCCTCTTATCATATCCTCTTTCTAGTTCATCAGCTGCTCTTTGGATAAAATAACATGAGGAAAAACAAGTGGTTCATAATAGATATTAAATAAATGTATGTTATTTTATTTTTTATTTGCACATACATGCATACAACTTCCTAAGCTTGAAATTCTTACACAGTTTAGGGAAAAAATCAGATGTTTGGAACACAAATTAATGAGAAATACATTGTAATATTTTACTTGATCTAAATGTGCTATAAATTTGTGGATAGGCATCTTGGGTTTTTAATTTCACCTTTACAGAAAATTTAAAATGTGCAATTAGCATTGGCATGTTACAAAATTCAAATCATATTTTCCAAGTAAAATATTTTATTTATCTATCACATCAAACTCATTTTATTGGAAGATGTAGTTACTAAAATGAATGTGAAACAGGAATGAGTTTACCCCCTGGGCTCTTATTCTTGCTTTCCTTTCCTCTATTGGCTTAATGGGTTTTTTTTTTTGCTGGTTATTGTTACTTGCAGGCCTGCAATTATCTGCTTTCAATCTTACTGCTATTCTGTATGTAATCCTCCAAACTCTCAATTTACCTACCCACAAAAATCCATGGACAATTTCATAGGGAAGGAAAAAAACTAAAGTTTCCAAAGACATTAGGGATATTCACATTTAACATGATTCAGATCACGGTTAAATTCTTTTGAATTAAGATATATAATATAGAATTAAGATATAGATATGTCATATATATATATATATGCCCAAATAAACTGTATTTATTTATTCATTTTTGAGATAAGTTCTCACTCTATTGCCCAGGCTGAGTGCAGTGGTGTGATCGTTGCTCAATGTAACCTCAAACCCCAAGCTCAAGTGATCTTTCCATCTTAGCCTCCCATGTGGCTGTGACTACAGAAGAATGCCACTGTGCTCAGCTAATTTTTAGTTTTTTTTTTGTAGAGACAAGTTCTCCCTATATTGCCTAGGTTTGTCTTGAACTCCTGGACTCAAGCGTTTCTCCAGCTTCGACCTCCCAAAGTGCTGGAATTATAGATGTGAGCCACCATGTCTGCCCCAACTACATTTTTTACAGTCACAATCAATTTATGATTATGTCTGTATTAGTCTGTTCTCATGCTCTTGATAAAGGCGTACCCAAGACTAGGTAATTTATAAAGAAAAAGAGGTTTAATGAACTCACAGTTACACATGGCTGGAGGGCCTCACATCATGATGGAAAAGGGAAAGGCACGTCTTACATGACAGCAGGCAAGAGATAATGAGAGCTAAGTGAAAGGGGAAATCCCTTATAAAACCATGAGATCTAGTGAGACTTACTCACTACCATGAGAACAGTATGGGGGAAACCGCCCCCATGATTTAAATATCTCCCACCGGGTCCTTCCCACAACACGTGGGAATTATGGAAGCTACAATTCAAGATGAGACTTGTGTGGGAACACAGGCAAACCATATCAATATCTAACCAGCATTTTAGGATATAATGCATAATGAGCTACCTCAAAACTTAGATGCTAAGTAGCAACCATTTACTTAGTTCACCATTTTGTAGGTTTACTGAGCAGTTCTTCAGATCTGGACTGCCTTAGCTGATTGTTGCAGTCAGTTTGTGGTGTGACCGGGGCACAGTTGTCTAGAATGTCCTCACTTACACTACTGGTGGTTCACAGCCTCGTTGATTTTTAGAGCCTCAGTGAATTTGACTTGTTTCTATTTCATGTGGTTTTACCCTCCAGTAGGCTAGCTGAAGCTTCTTCGTATGATGGTAGAGGGTTTCCAGGAGTGACACTCTTAAAGTGAAAGTGCTTTTCAAGCCTATTTGCACCATGCTTGCCACTATTCCCTTGGCCTGAGCAAGTTAAAACACCAGCCCAGATCAAAGTGGGTGGAGAAAGACTCCACTTTTTAATGAGAAGAGCCTAAGTATTGTGCTCGGTGTTACAATCTCCATAATCTCTATCTATACACATATGTACACACATACAAATATATATATATGTATTTTATATATCACATACACAGATCAAACTCATCTCACATATGAATATGTATATGTGTGTATGTATATGCATATATATATTTAAATACACATGACCTTTGATTACAATATTTAGAAACACATTTCCAAAGCAAGAAAAAATCAGTTCATGTCTTTGTAGATGTACCTGAAATCAATTAGTGTATACATAAACAGAGAGAAATAAATCAAGGCATGGTATGCTACTACATAACTTACTACCAGCAAGTCAAAGCCCTGTATTTTTCTTTGGTGAAATTTAAGCGCTCCACTGTATGGTAATGTTTTCTGTTTGTTTACATAATAAATTATCACCAACATAATGTACTGTTAGCCTGCTAGCCTGCTATGTGTACATAGAACCCTATGTTAGGCACTAAAACGTGAACCCCCAAAAGTTTTAAGATTAAGTAGTTTAAAATCCAGTTGAGGTGAATCTGCAGATACATATCTGCAATTCGCCCAAACAAATTCAAAATAAGTTCATTCAATTATTGGCACAGGACTTTCAAAGAAGAAAAAGACAAATATTTAATGGAGGGATTTGAGGAGGAAAACATCTGGGAGAGCTATTTTGTGCGATGAGTTTCTCACAGTCAAAGAATACAAAGATTAGGGATCATGGCAGACAGGAGGCAGGACTAGACTGCAGCTCCAACTCAGACAGACAGAGCAGTGTGTGGAGGCTTGCATCATGAATTTTTGCTCCAAAACAACTGTTGGAATACATCAGGACCCGAGAGGACCCCCAGACCCTCTGAAGCAAGCAGATTGCTCCTGCAGGACCCCGGAGACACCCCCCAAATACTGTGAGTGCCCAAACTGTGGAAGTGAGAAAGAGATTATCTGCCCTCTAACACACACCTCCACTGGAGAAACTGAAGGTCTAGATTACAGTAGAAGATTCTCACCTTACTGGGAGCTGAGTCAATTGAGAGAGCCAAGTGAAATACAAGAGTAGAAGAAGAAGCAGGAAGAGACCTGTGAGCTCCCTGGGTCCCCTAGCAAACCATTTCTGCCTGGCCTCACAGGGGTCCTTCGGGAGGGTAAACAGAGGCATTGGGAAAAGGCCACAGGGAGAAGGAAATATCTAGATGAACTTGGTAACAATTTGAAGTCTCCTGGCCAGAACTCAGGTAAGGGTATGAATCTGGTACACAGACTCCACAGGCTGGGGAAGGAAAGTCATACCTGCTTTCTCAGCTGAAAGGTGGGTAAAGTTCTCAGGTGAAAGCCTGGGACAAGTTCTCAGCCCTGCTTGCTCACTGCCTGGAAACAGACTCAGTGCTATTGGTGGGGAAAGCATGGTGGGAGTGAGACTGGCCTTTCAAATTCCATGGGAGCTAGGCGAGGCCTGTGACTGCCAGCTTTCCCCCACTTTCCTGATCACCTGGATGACACAGTACAGACAGCTATAATCCTTCTAGGAACACAACACCATTGATCTGGGAATCTCACTCCCATCCCCTAGAGCAGCTGCAACAAGACCCACCCAAGGAGAGTCTGAGCTCAGACATGCCTAGCCCTGCCCCCACCCAGTGGTCCTTCCCTACCCACCTAGTAACTGAAGACAAAGGGCATAAACTCACCAAACCTAAGACTAATCGGCATTCTTGAAGAGAAATCTAAAAGGTTGGAAAACATATTTTGAGGAATAATCGAGGAAAACATCCCCTGCCTTGCTAGAGACCTAGGCATACAAATACAAGAAGCACAAAGAACACCTGGGAAATTCATTGCAAAAAGACCATTGCCTAGGCACAGTGTCATCATGTTATCTAAAGTTAAGATGAAGGAAAGAATCTTAAGAGCTGTGAGACAAAAGCATCAGGTCACCTATAAAGGAAAACCTGTCAGATTAACAGCAGATTTCTCAGCAGAAACCATACAAGCTAGAAGGGATTGGGACACTATCTTCAGCCTCCTCAAACAAAACGAGTATCAGCCAAGAATTTTGTATCAAGCAAAACTAGGCTTCATATATGAAGGAAAGATAGTCTTTTTTGTACAAACAAATGCTGAGAGAATTTGCCACTGCCAAGCCACCACTACAAGTACTACTAAAAGGAGCTCTAAATTTTGAAACAAATTCTGGAAACACATAGAAACAGAACCTCTTTAAAGCATGAATCTCATAGAACCCATAAAGCAAAAATACAATTTAAAAAACAAAAACAAAAAACAAATCCCCAAGGTATAAAGGGAACAAATAGCATGATGAATGGAATGGTACCTCACAGCTCAATACTAACATTGAATGGCCTAAATGTTAAAAGATACAGAATTGCAGAATGGATAAGAACTCACCAACCAACTATCTACTGTCTTCAAGAGACTCACCTAAGACATAAGGACTCACATAAACTTAAGGTAAAAGGGTGGACAAAGACATTTCATGCAAATGGACACCAAAAGTGGGCAGGAGTAGCTATTCTTATATCAGACAAAACAAACTTTAAAGCAACAGCAGTTAAACAACAAAAAGGGATATTATAGAATAGTAAAAGGCCTTGTCCAACAGGAAAATATCACAATCCTAAACATATATGCACCTAACACTGGAGTTCCCAAATTTATAAAACTATTATTGATAGACCTAAGAAATGAGATACACAGCAACACAATAATAGTGGGAGACTTCAGTACTCCACTGACAACACTAGACAGGTCATCAAGACAGAAAGTCAACAAAAAAAAATGGACTTAAACTATATCCTGGAACAAATGGACTTTACAGATATATACAGAACATTCCACCTGACAACTGTAGAATATACATTCTATTCGACAGCACATAGAATTTTCTCCAAGATAGACCGTACGATAGGCCACAAAATGAGCCTCAATAATTGAAGAAAATTGAAATGATATCAAGCCTCGGATCACAGAAGAGTAAAATTGGAAATCAACTCCAAAAGGAAACTTCAAAACCACACAATTACATGGATATTAAATAACCTGTTTCTGAATGATTGTTGGGTCAAAAGAGAAATCAAAATGGAAATTAAAAAATTCTTTGAGTTGAATGACAATGGTGCTAAAAGGAAAGTTCATAGACTTAAACACCTACATCAAAAAGGCTGAAGGAATGCAAACTAAGGTCACACCTCAAGAAACTAGAGAAACAAGAACAAACCAAACGCAAACCAAGCAGAAGGAAATAACCAAGATCAGAGCAGAACTAAATGAAATTGAAACAAACAACAACAACAACAAACAATACAAAAGATAAATGAAACAAAAAGCTCGTTCTGTGAAAAGATGATAGATAGACCATTAGCAAGATTAACCAAGAAAAGAAGAGAGAAAATCCAAATAAGCTCAGTAAGAACTGAAACCGGAGACGTTACAAGTGACACCACAGACATACAAAAGATCGTTGAAGGCTACTATGAACACCATTATGCACATAAGCTAGAATACCTAAAAGAGATGAATAAATTCCTCTAAAGATACAGCCCTCATAGCTTAAATCAGGAAGAATTAGATACCCTGAACAGACAAATAACAAGCAGCAAAATTGAAATGGTAATTAAAAAATTACCAACAAAAAACGTCCAGGACCAGAGGATTCACAGCAGAATTCTACCAGATATTCAAAGAAGAATTCGTACCAATCCTATTGACACTATTCCACAAGATAGAGAAAGAGGGAATCCTTCCTAAATCATTCTACGAAGCCAGTGTCACCCTATGAAGCCAGTGTCACCCTAAAACCAAAACCAGGAAAGGACATAACCAAAAAAGAAAACTACAGACTAATATTCCTGATGAACATGATTCTAAAATCCTTAACAAAATACTACTTAACTGAATCCAACATCATATAGAAAAGATAATTCACCATGACCAAGTGGGTTTCATGCCAGGGATGCAGGGATGGTTTAACATACAAGAAAAGAGAAGGACATAAAGGGCATCCAAATTGGTAGAGAGGAAGTCAAACCATCACTGTTTGCTGATGATATGATCGTTTACCTAGAAAACCCTAAAGAATACTCCAGAAAGCTCCTAGAACTTATGAAAAAATTCAGCAAAATTTTTGGATGTAAAATTAATGTACACAAATCAGTAGCTCTTGTATACACCAACAGTGACCAAGCTGAGAATCAAATCAAGAACTCAACCTCTTTTACAATAGCTGCAAAAAAAAAAAAAAAAAAAGAAATATACCGAAACAAGAAGGTGAAAGACCTCTCCAAGGAAAACTACAAAACACTGCTGAAAGTAATAATAGACTACACAGACAAATGGAAACACGTCACATGTTCATGGGTGGGTAGAATCAATATTGTGAAAATGACCATACTGACAAAAGAAATCTACAAATTCAACGCAATTCCCATCAAAATACCATCATCATTCTTTACAGAATTAGAAAAATCAATTCTAAAATTCACATGGAACTAAAAAAGGTCCCTCATAGCCAAAGCAAGAATAAGCAAAAAAAAAAAAAAAAAAAATCCAAACAAACAAGCCAAAAAACAAATCTGGAGGCATCATATTACTTGATTTCAAACTATATTATAAAGCCATAGTCACCAAAACAGCATGGTACTGATATAAAATAGGTACATAGACCAATGGAACAGAAAAGAGAACCCAGAAATAAACCCAAATACTTATAGCCAACTGATCTTCAACAAAGCAAACAAAAACATACAATGGGGAAAGGACACCCTTTTCAACAAATAGTGCTGGGATAATTGGCTAGCCACATGTAGGAGAATGAAACTGGATCCTCATCTCTCACCTTATACAAAAATCAACTCAAGATAGATTAATGACTTAAATGTAAGACCTGAAACTGTAAAAATTCTAGAAGATAACATTGGAAAAACTCTTGTAGACATTAGCTTAGGCAAGGGTTTCATGACCAAGAACCCAAAAGCAAATGCAATAAGAACAAAAATAAGTAGCTGAGATTTAATTAAACTAAAGACCTTTTGCACAGCAAAAGGAAGTCAGAGTAAACAGATAACCTACAGAGTGGGAGAAAATCTTCACAATCTATACATCTAACAAAGGACTAATATCCAGAATCTACAATGAACTCAAACAAATCAGCAAGAAATAAACAAAAAATCCCATTAAAAAGTGGGCTAAGGACATGAATAAACAATTCTCAAAAGAAGATATACAAATGGCCAACAAACATATGAAAAAAATGCTCAACATCACTAATGATCAGGGAAATGCAAATCAAACCCACAATGCAATAACACCTTACTCCTGCAAGAACGGCCATAATAAAACGATCAAAAAACAGTAGATACTGGTCTGGAAGTGTTGAACAGGGAACACTTCACTGCTAGTGGGAATGTAAACTAGTACAGCCACTATGGAAAAGAGTGTGGAGATTCCTTTAAAAAGCAAAACTATGATTTGATCCAGCAATCCCACTACTGGGTATCTATCCAGAGGAAAAGAAGTCATTATACGAAAATATACTTGCACATGCATGTTTATAACAGCACAATTTATAATTGTGAAAACGTGGAACCGACCCAAATGTCCATCTATCAACGAGTAAATAAAGAAACTGTGGCATATACGATGGAATACTACTCAGTCATAAAAACGAATGAAGTTATCGCATTTGTGGTGACCTGAATGAGATTGGAGACTATTATTCTAAGTGAAGTACCTCAGGAATGGAAAACCAAACATCGTATGTTCTCAATCATAAGTGGAAGCTAAGTAAGCTATGAGGATGCAAAGGCATAAGAATGACACAGTGGACTTGGGAACTCAGGGGGAAAAGGTGGGAACGGGGTGAGAGATAAGACTACAAATAATGGTCAGTGTATACTGCTTGGGTGACAGGTGCACCAAAATCTCACAAATCACCACTAAAGAACTTACCCATGTAACCAAACACTATCTGTTCCTCAATGACCTATGGCAATGAAAATTTTTTTTAAATTCCAAGAAAATATTGTGCCAAGCAACTATAATCTGAAGCATGAAGCAAGTTAAAATGTGGCATGATTTTGAACAAGTGATGGAGAATACCAAAAAAAAAAGAAAGAATACAAGTATTAGCAGAAAGACTGAGTGAGGAGGTAGTGTGAGGAAAGTTTATTGAAGAAAGCAGGAAGCACGTAGAAAAGGAGCTCCTGTGACATTGAATTAGGAAGTTTTGATTTACTGTCATAAGCAAAGGAAAGTTATTGAATGTTGTTAGGAAAGTCATAACCCAATTTGATATTCACATTTGCAGGTGACTTCTTCAATCAGCAAGCCTCCAAAGAATTCAGGAATACAAACTTCCACCTTAATCAACCTTCTTCAGTTGGTTTAAGTGAAACTACTTTTAATAATTTTAAATTTGTGCAAAACGTATCATCAGATGTTTAAGTATGCATATCAATCTAGTTTCCTCTCCCAGTAATACATATCTGTAAGTAGTTTAAGAAATAATTAATATAGACATGACTACTAAAATGTGTTCCACAAGTTAATAAAGCGTATTATAATTATCATTGAAGTAACAAAGTTGAACACTGATTCTTAGTCTTTCTTAGTTTTTGTTTTGTTTTGTTTTTTATGACCACAGTGAAGGTATGGAATTTGAATTATGGGTCCTAAGGTCTCTTTAGGGGTTGACCTTTTGTAACATAAGATCAAGTGTAACTTTTTCTACTGTTTTGGAATATCTTTGCTTTTGGCAGTGGCTCCAATGGGCAAGAAGACGAGGTGCTACATCATAAGCAGAACGTTGTAAGACACTATAAAACTAGTTATTTATCAAACTCCAGCCTCATCTTTCCATGAGGGGAGAAGAGAGGGATGGTAAAAGTAACTACAAATTGGGAATTTATTTGGAGTGAAAGCTGTTAATATTTTGTGCATTCCTCTTCTACGATGAAGCCATGTGCAGAGAAGATTATGGAACCATTTAGAGAAGTTATGTGATTTTTGGGGTTTTTAGGGACATAATAAGTGTTTCCTAATTCAAACCTGAAGAAGGCTAGAGGCTTGAATGACCTGTGGTAGTGGCATAAAGTTAGCTGCATGGAAAATAGAGAGAACTTCTAGAATCCTACCAGGCAGTTTCTTATGGGCCGAAGTTGGAGTTTGTGGAAGGGAGCATGGACAAGGTGACCTCAAAAGAGAGTGGAGCAATAGGGTAGATAGCTAGAAGCTATAGACTGGAGGAGGGCCAAGTCATAAAAATCTGATACGATTTGAGTACATGTTGAAATGTGGTCTCCAGCATTGAATGTGGGGCCTAGTGGGAGGTATTTGGGGCATGGGGGAAATCCCTCGTGAATGGCTTAGCACCATCTCCCTGGTGATAAGTAAGCTCTTGCTCTGAGTTCACACACAAGATCTGGTTGTTAAAAAGTGTGGGGCACCTCCAACCACTGACTTGCTCCTGCTCCTGACATGTGATATACCTGCTCCTCCTTCACTTTCATCATGATTATAGGCTTCCTTAGGCCTCCCCAGAAATTGACACTGGCACTATGCTTCCCATACAGCCGGTATAACCGTAAGCCAATTAAACCTTTTCATATAAATTACTCAGCCTCAGATATTTCTGTATGGCTAGACAAGAACAGTCGAACACAAAGTCTAATCAACAGAAGCCTCCTCTTCATCGGGGAACTACAGAAAATGTTGTCTCTGATGATAGTTATCTTGGAGAACTCCCAAATTATCTTTGGTAGGCAGAACTGCTACTATTTAAGCGTTAGACATAAAGGTGGTCCTGATGTCATGTTACAGTTATGCTGGCCACGTAACAGTATGCTTATTTCCTATAACCTACCTCTTTCCCCTAAGTCAGAATAGACGTAATCATCCACTAGAATGCAGGAGATAAAGCAAACAGAAGAAGAAAGAAGCTAAATATGAAGTACATGAAAGTTTCTTTGACGTATTCAGGTCAAAGCTGCCTGAAAAAAAATAGCTTTGAATCAAAGGATACGATAAAGTTTTGCCATTAGACCAGAGATGACTTTTAAATACTGGAATGTGATTATAAAAACTTTGGGATCTATTTTATACAAGGATGAGGAAGAACAATTCAACAGAGCAGTTTAAAAGTGTAGAGATGAGAGTGAGTGAAATTGCTTTTTTCTTGAACTCACTGAATCCAGCTCTTTTAATAAACCAGTTATACCCTAGGTCATTTAATTTTAGGATGTGTACACTTTAATCTTCTAAAGATACAGACACTAGGTTGACAGATTAAGGTTAAAATATATTGATATGTTAAGTATATATTATATTCATCTATCTTATGTTGCTATGCAGAATACCTGAGACTGGGTAATTTTTAAACAATAGTAGTTTATTTGGCTTATAATTCTGAAGTCTGGGAAGTTCAGCATCAGATCAAGGGGCCACATCTAGTGAGGGCATTGTTGGTGCATCATCCCACACTGGAAGGCATCACATGACAACATGGCAAAAGAGGGCAAGAGAGTGCCAAGCCCCCTTTATAATAAGTCCAATCTTGTGATAACTAACCCAATCTCCTCATAATGACATTAATATATTTATGAAGGCAGAGCTGTCATGACCTGATTATCTCTCTCTCTTTTTTTTTTTTTTTTTTTTGACAGAGAGTTTTGCTCTCTTGCCTAGGCTGGAGTGCAGTGTTGTGATCTTGGTTCACTGAAGCCTTCACTTCCCGAGTTCAAACAATTCTCCTGCCTCAGCCTCCCAAGTAGCTGGGACTACAGGCGTGCACCACCACGCCTGGCTAATTTTTTTATTTTTTTTGTAGAGATGGGGTTTCACCATGTTGGCCAGGCTGGTCTGGAAATCCTGACCTCAAGTGATCCACCCTCCTTAGCCTCCCACAGTGCTGGGATTATAGGCCTAATTATCTCTTATTAGGATCCAACTTCCAACACTGTTGCATTGAGAATTACATTTTCAACCCAAAAACTTTGGGGGATACATTGAAACCACAACACCCATACACACACTAAAAGATCTGATATACCCAGTAAAATATGGTGACATCAAAGCAAAATTAATAAAATATTTCAGTATGGGGGCATTGGTCAGTCTGAGTGCTACTGAGAAGTAGATTAAGAGGACAACTGTTAGGTTATTTCCTAGGGTAAATGCAAACTATACTTCTTTTTGCAAGAAAAATTGTCTTTAGATATGATCCTAACCTATTTTAAAATGCTAAGTCTTTTAAACTATATCAGCCAGGTCATAGTGGCCGACTATTATCAGGAAAACCATAGTCCTGTGCCAAATATTTTTAAAACTCTGGGTGAACCACAAGTTTTTCTAAAACAGTCTGACAAGTATTTCTATTATAAACACTCATATATTAGAAGCCAACAATTCTAACAATGTTTAAAAATTTTAAAATTTGAGGGAGAAAGCTCTTTGTCTCCTTTGGTAAACAGACAGGTAACACCTGAACTTTATTATGACAAGTTACAAATTTGAAGCTTTAACCAAACATTTTCAGCAAGGCATATGTTAATATAGTATTTCCTTCCTTAGCTTTCTAAACAAAGGTTAATCGCTAGCACATAGCTCAACATTATCAAAGCACTTCTGTCACCACCTGATTTACTCAAAGTTTTCCTCTATGTTCTTTCATTAACTGAAGGTTGAAACCTGTGGCTTATAGTTACAACCATGATATCAATCAAACAAATCTCTTCGGGACATGCAATATTGTTTCAGGAAATATCTACGGGTTTCTCTCAGCAATATTAACCTGTTAAGTTGCAGACACAGAGAAGGAAGATAGTTATCTTTAATTATAATCAGGGTTTTTCCAGGCAAGTATAACAGAGGTGTAGGGAAATCATAAAGACTAAAGGAGTTGGTAAACATGCTTTTATAATGAAGACCCATGGAATAGTACCTGGGTAGCTGAAATGAGTGAACCATATGGAGTAACAGTACTTACTATACTGATTGGAGGTATCCATACATTTTAATAGTTGTCTTAGGAGCAGTAGAAGAGGTGAGGTTGAAGATGAGGGGTTGCATAACTGGGTTCTGGTCAGGTAGTATTCTGGACACTTAGGGCTTTTCAATCACATGGGTGTTTTGGCCACATTAGTAAACTGACCATATTATGGAATTACTTACACAGATTTATGCCTTGCACCAATTGACGAAGTGTCCTCTATGATCCAAAACAGGCAGGATGCTAATAATTTCCTTCACTTTTGTCTTTACTCTGCACAAGTTATCTAGTTACCTTTATGTCACTTGCTCCTTCACAAAAGGTAGACAGCATTAAAAACAAACCGCCTACCTCAAAATTTGGCCAGGGTTTACATTGCTTACCAAATCCATTTGGAAGGAATTTAATGTAGAAAAATTGGATCAAGAGTTGTGTGGAAATGATTTTTGTTCATCAGATAACAAGCAATAGGGTCCTTAATACTTTCTTTATGGAACGTGGTTCTTGATTCATAAGCTTGTTTAAGAGCTGGGTGCAGTTGTTCACATCTGTAATCCCATCACTTTGGAAGGCCAAGGTGGGAGGATGCTTTAGCTCAGGAGTTTAAGACCAGGCTGGGCAATGTAGTCAGAGGCCATTTCCACACACTTACACAAAATAGCCAGGCATGGTAGGGTGTGCCTATAGTCCCAGTCCCAGCTGCTCAGGAGGCTAAGGTGGGAAGATTGCTTGAGCCCAGGAGGTCAAGGCTGCAGTCAACTGTGATTGTGCCAATGCACCATTGCACTCCAGCCTTGGTGACAAAATGAGACCCTGTCTCAAAGAAAAAAGAAAGAAAAATATAGTGTGAATACTATTTCACATTCCAAAGTACATTCAAGAACAATTTCCTAGTGAAATCAATTGAAAATAGAGACTTTTTTTTCTCAAAATAATACACAGTATCTAGGCTTGGAGATAAGTCACATGTTAATAATTGACAACTATGACAAATTTTATTTTACAAATATGGCTATAATAACATCTATCACCTCATGAACTCCTTTGTAGTATGAGCTTTCTATTCATCTAAAAAGTGGAGTCTAAATCCAACCCTTGAATCCGGGTTGGCTCTAGTGACCTACTTGTAATTAGCAGAATAAGCAGAATGAGGCTGAAGTGACACAGACTAGGTCAGTGGGAGTTCTGCATCTGCCTTGGTCTCTTAAACCACCTGCTGTCTCTATGCTCTCTCTCTGGTAACCATCTCAAAACTCAGCTGCTGTGCAGTGAGAACTCAAGCCACGTGTGCGGCCATGTGGAGGTGCTCCAGTGCACAGTGTTCAGCTGAGCCCAACCTTTTGGTCATCCCAGCCTATCAGCCAGACTCTTGCATGGAAAGCTTTCAACAATTGTAGCCCGTAGCCATTTAGGTCATCTCTGACTGATTGATTTTTCCTAACTGGGTCCCTAGACATAGTGAAGGAGAGCAAGCGATCTTCTCCTGTGTCTGTCCACATTCCTAATTACATAATCAGTAAGCATGATATAATTTTTTTGTTGTTTTATACCACTAAGTTGGGGTACTTTGCTGTGGAGCAAGTGATAATGAGAATAGAATTTAGTATCTCAAACTACAGTATCAATAAACAAAACTGAAAACATCAGGCATTGGTTCGGAGACTTGGTCACAAGCATAAGCCTGAAAGACCTTGAAATGGCTGTCAGTAGGGGATTCAAAGAAAGTAGAAAATAAATGTTATTCAGCTGGAAGAGGACCCTTATTATATAGCGACAGGAAATTTGGCAGTGCTATAACCTGTGGTAACAGGAAAAATAAAAATATAGCTAATAAACTATTTGAATTTGCTAAGGAGATTTCTAGGCTGAATTTTAAAAATGCCAGCATCTTTCTTTTAGCTGTGTATAAGATAAAAATAGAAAAAAAATCAGCTGAAAAGTTATTGTTCATTTTTAAAGCAAACTTCAGAGAAAACATGAAGACAAGACTTGCTGAAGTTTGGAAATACGACTATTTTTCATTCCCATTCTTTTCAGTATGTAAAGGATTTTCAAAAGAGTAAAGGGGCTCAGGGAAAATATCAGATCAACAACATTGTCAGGAGTCTGTGGTCTCAGAATAAAGATAAACCATGGGTGTGATTGAAAATCTCTTTATTAAATCTTCCAAAAAATTTTAAGTGATGCCTCATGGTCTCTTTCAGAGAGGCAAAAGGCCATCTAAGTTCCTTCGGTGTGTTTCAGAGACCCTCTCTCTTAAAGAATAGTCTAATAACCTTAAAGAATATTCGATAATCCTGTGAGGGTCCCATGATTGCCTCACAGGAAGCCCAAGTCTGAGAGAGCTTATTGCAAAAAAGATCTGTGGTTATGGCTTTCATTTACTGGAGTGTATTATAAATTGATATATAAGACACTCAGAACTTTAAAAAAAGTTATCGGGTTGGACTGAAAATGACAAACGCAGTTCAAAATGAAGAGTCCTTTGGAACTGGCAACATGTCCCGAGAAAGACTGCAGAATTGCTGTAGAGCAGTGAGCTGTGAACCTTCCATTTCCCCTCCTTCAGTGGGAATATGTATGTAACGATTCCAGACTTAATTCATATCATATATTTTGTTTGTTGGAGGAAGATAACTTGTCTCTAGTTTACAAGCATGTGGATGGAGATAAGACACATGAGAAAAACTGAACAAAAAGAGACTCATCTGTATCTGTCTCTGATTTAGATGATGAAATCCTAGACTTTAATCTACTGCTGTATGAGATTAGACTTTTCAGGCCTTCTGAAGTTAGTGAGTTTATTTTGCATGTGGAAGGATGCGAGTTGTAGGCAGAGGACAGGCTGGGACAGGTTGTGTTTTCCAAAGATTATGCTAATAATATCCCCTATCCCACATGTTCCTCTGCCACGTAGTCTTGCCACTCCACTATTGAGGAGAAGTCCAATTACCCTTCACTTGTAGCTGAGCTAACTTAAAAACTCACTTACAATTAAGAGAACATAGTTAAAGTGACTCTAGGTGTCTTCTGAGGCTAGGACAGAAGAAGCTGTTCAGCTTCTACCTTGTTCTTTGAGCGCTCTCTCTGCACACTCACTTTCAGAACCCAGTTTCTCAGGCTCTGAAAAACCCAAGCCATGTGGAGAGATCACACATAGGTGCGCCATTCTACAGCCTAAGCTGAGATCAGCATTTAAGGAATCTCCACCTAGACCCAGGCATGTTAGTGAAGAAACCTCCAGATGATTTCAGGACCTAAACATTTGAGTTATCTCAGCTGTTTCAATATTCTCAGATGAAGGAAGCTTCCGGAATCATGAAGCAGAGAATAAGCTGTTTCTACTATACGTATCTGTCTGAACTTCTCACTCACAGAATTCATAAACTTAATAAACTGATTGTTGGTTTACACCATAAAGTTTGTGATACAACAACTGATAACTGAAGCACCTGGAAGTGCATTTTTAAAAATTATTTCTCAACTGTTTTTGTAATTTCTATTTGATATTATGCTCATTCATTTGAAGATTGATCATTTTAAGAAAAGAATGTCTTGAAACCAACACTGACAAACTAAAACCAAAGCAAGACAAAAAATAACCTCATAGGAAGGTGAGAAAGAATAATTGGAGTTGACAAAAATATAGTTGAACCACAGGAATATATAGATTAAGGACTTAGCGGGGCAGTGCAGGCTGTCTTCAAATATGTGAAGGCTGTCATGTGGAAGATGGATTAGACTTGTACTGAGGAGCTCTAGGGAGCAGAACTAATGCCTTACATTGGGTGGTCCAAGGGAAGCAGATTTTATACCTAAGAAGTGGAAGTATTTTTCAGTAATCAGAACAATAAAGTTGGGGACCGCTTCTTGAGGAAGTAAACTGTAATTTTTCTTGAGGAAAGCCTGGGTATTGTAATAATGGTAATTTTCTAAAAAAAAAATCTCTTGTTTTGGGTAAAACATTGGAGTGGATGTTCTAACATATTCCAGTCATAAAGTTGTAAGAATCTATCAAATAGCAATTTTTTATAATAATCTACATCTAAAGGTTAGGTATATAGGCCAGTTAGAAGACAGAAAAATAGACACAGGTTTTCAATGACTTGTGCTTTCAAGGGCAATAAAATATCTAGTAATTACAGTATGTTACATAACAAATTAAATACATATTTAATATATTAGTGAAACATCTATTTTATATTATATTATATTATATATTATGCCAGTGCATAAAAGCATAATGACACTACAAATTGATGCTCTTTTATTTACATATAATTCCATTGTATATAAATATATATGCGTAAATATTTTACATATACATTTATACTCACACACATATATATGCACATATACATATCGTTTTGTATTACTGTCTCATTCCTCCAAAGATTTGATGGAGCCTCTGTAAATATAAATAACATATTAAAATAGAAAAGAAAAAGTGGGATATGAGTAATTTAGATGAAATAGACTAATAGAAATTATAGTAAAGTTAATGTGCAGATATTCAAGGCAACATCTGATTATAGTCAAATAGGAAAGGAAGAGAATAGGAAGTGATTAAAAGAAGAATTCCATCATAATTATCATTATCATCACCATCACATCATTATTCCATTATTAGTGTCTTTAAATTGGCTGCTATTTATTCATCATTCATTGTAACAACACAATCTTGAGCATATAATATTTATTATCTCATTTAATTGCTTACTGAAATTATGAAGAAGAGAAATAATATCTACATAAAAAGTAGGGCATGCTTAAGTTTATTCATTTAAGTGGATAACCTGGAAATGAACCCAGATCTTTCGTGATGACCAAGCCCAGTATATTACGCTATCGACAGTGTTAGTGCAAACGAGATCTGTATTTTTAGGTAAAGACTTTAGTCATTAGAAGAGGATGGATGTTTTATCTATTAAGCCCTCCCCAATATCTTCCCTACAATAATACACATTTCCTGAAATTACACACTTTCCTTTAGTTTTTGATTCAATAGAAAATGTCTGTGTTCTCCGTTTATTTGTGAATAACATTAAGAGGGATCAACCAATACAGTTGGCTAATAGCTAAAATATGGATTTACCACAGTTTACGGAGGACGAAAGGGGTGACTATTATGGGGTGTCAAAAACAAAGGAAGATTATGAAATCGAAGTTGAAAGACTGGCTGCCTAAAACAGATATTGTCTATTTAATATTTCCCACATGAAAGACATCTTCCAAGGAGATAAGGAATATAGAATTGCCCACTTTAATTTTGAAAACATTAATCTTGGGACTAGCAAGTTGTCAACTGCTGACTAACACAGTAGGGAGGTAAATTTTTATTCTACGGAAGTGGATATTTTTAGAAAATAAGAAAAGAACATAGCCAAAGTGCAGTAAAATAAATAAATAGCTTTGAACTTGTAGAAAGAGTCAAGGTAGGTAAATAGACACTTTCTAAATTTCAGATGTGATTGACTAATCACTAGAGAATTTCAAGGAGGACTGATGAGAATGTATAGAGATTTAAAGCAGGAGCGAAGAAAGTCAGGTGAAGATAATGGAGCCAAAGAGAAATCAGTTGAAATATTTTGCTTTTCTTTGAAGGTTTTCTGAAATCTTTTATACTGTGCACAACAAAATTTTCTTAGTTGGAAGGAAATGAGAGTAAATCATACTCTTTTATTAGTTTGGTATGACATTACTGATAATAAAAATTTTATGTACGGATGCTAAATGACAGTTTATATAAAGGCCAAGATTCATGAGGCTTGAGATATTAGATTTAGTTGGAAAATGATATGTGGAAGGAAGGTCTTTATGTAATTTGCCTAGCACAGTGAGTTCAAATTCAACTATTTGAAGTTCAAATTTTATAATGTAAAATTATATTTTAGATATTTTTCATAGTCTAAAAAGCAATCCCTCACATGTAATTTAAATTTATAATAAACTCCATGATAATTAAATTTAAAGGACTAAATTTAAATTAACTAAATGGCTCTAGTTAGGAAAGGAACTAATATTCAAAAGCAATTATTCAGATATTTTTCTCTCCTGTTTCTGTTGATGACCCCTGACAAAAATTCTCTTTTGGACAAAATCCTAGTCAGTCTTCTCTGAGTCCTCTTCTCAACTAATTCTCAACCTTGGCCCCTTAAAGACTTGAAAAAAAACACGAACATAGTTTTTAACAATTCAAGGCCACATACTTATAACAATCCTACTCTCCTTGAATTGCCTGAGAAAACTCAAGGCTGTCAAAATAATTTACTGCTTGTTTCTGCCAACATCTGAGGCTAGGGCCTCATCTTCCAGTCTCTGTGGAAGGATGGAATCCTATCATTGATAATTGCTAGGTAGCAGGCACAGCTGGCTAATCACATTAGGATTTACTAACCCTTTCATAATTTTTCATTTCACTGAGCCCCAACTCACCAATCCTCTGTCTTCTTCCATTCTCTCTTTAAAACACCCATTCATTCCTGTACCAATCAAAGGTGAGTTTAGTTCATGCTGAACTATTTTTGCCTATTGCATTAGTTATTACTAATTAAAATAGTTATTACTATTACTTTAGTGTCCAGTTTTGTTTATCTTTGACACTCCGTTCTTCCTTTACTGAAACAATTACAGATTACATATATAATTACAGAACTGAACTAGTTGTGTAGATGCAATTTCCACACTTGATCTTACCCAAAAGACCAAGAAGAAATAGATACAATTTCCATCCACACTGTAATACTTCTTATTTATGCCAATACTTACAACAATAAGAATAACCCATTTATTTAAGACTTACTATGTATTGGGCACTCTGATATCTGCTTTACATTCAGTCTGTCATTGGTGTTCACAACAATTCTGTAAGGTATTTACTATTGACATATACATTATTACAGATGAGAAAATTGACAAAATGAAACTAGAAATCACATTTTTTTGAAAAATTAAGTTGGCTTTGGAAATATTATTTTTCTTAGATGAATTGACAGGTCCAAATCACCAAAGTTTGATTACATTTTTTCAGTACAGAAAAATAGAAAAATATGTCTTAATGAGTCCTTTACTTTTTAAAATATTGACATAGTGGTTTAAGTTGATCATCTATCTCTTGAATTGAAGAGATTTCACAAAACTAATTTTCAGGGAATATGTACAGGTCCTAAATCAAAGGACTTAACAGATGATTCTAAATATCATCTTTAAAATTCTAATTTCTATAGCACATTTCACATTCAATAATCAGGCATCTTTAAATTCTTATGAACATTTTTACTATAGTGCATTTAATAAAATGAATTAGAAAAAAATACCATGTATAGGCCGGGCACAGTGACTCCTGCCTGTGATCCCAGAACTTTGGGAGGCCGAGGCAGGAGGCAGGTGGATGGATCACTTGAGCTCATGAGTTCGAGACCAGCCTGGGAAACATGGCAAAACCCCCTCTCTACTAAAAATACAAAAATTATCCAGGCATAGTGGCACATGCTTATAGTCCTAGTTACTTGGGAGGCTGAGGTGGGAGGATGGCTTGAGCCTGGGAGTTTGAGGTTGCATATAGCCAAGATCATGCCACTGCACTCCACCATGGGCAACAAAGCAAGACTCTGTCAAAAAAGAAAGAAAGAAAGAAAGAAAAGAAAGAAAGAAAGAAAGAAAGAAAGAAAGAAAGAAAGAAAGAAAGAAAGAAAGAAAGAAAGAAAGAAGGAAGGAAGGAAAGAAAGAGGGAAGGAAGGAAGGAGAGAGAGAGAGAAAGAAAGAAAGAGAGGAAGGAAGGAAGGAAGGAAGGAAAGAAAGAGAAAGAAAGAAAGATAAAGTATATGAAATAAAATAGGTACTGAAAATTCCAGATATACTTTAACCTGAAATTTAATTTACCTCAGTAATGACTATCAAGGTATTATCAACTTTCTTGAAGGAATATTAGAAGTAGATATACTGGCAAATTTCTGGAGATCTCAAAGTCACACATAGAATATTAAACGTACCCAGTATTTTTTTTTTCCTTCTTGCCTGAGTCCATATACCTGCTTTAAAGGCTCTTTACTTCAGAGAGCAGCATAGTTTATATTTATGGTTAATATTATACCAGGAAAATAACAAACATTTCATAATTATTATTTTATTTTGCCTTCACAATAAACAATAAAATGTCACAAAACAACATTGTAGAAGTGACATAATTTGTCAGCAGCCAGCAACAGAAGAGTGATTCAAGCTCAAGCCAAGCTTCCTTTGATTCTAGCGCCCTGACAAGGGTTCAGTACAGCCTCCTAGTTGTAGGACTGGTGCCATTAGTTTGTGATCTTTCTGATTCTTATTTAGACCCTTACAGAACTACTCCCTCACTATGAGTGACGTCTTCTGTTTTCTTTCCCTCCGTCAGTCTTCCAACAATACATCCCTGTGAATGAGTCTTGATGTATTTAGTTTACTAACAAAGAAAAAAATGGAAAAAATAAAACGTTTAGAATCAAGAGAATTCAGTTACTAGCATGTCCCATTTTCAGATAATACACAGCGTAACATTAAGCCTGATATTTTATGTTTTGTTATTTCCAGAAATGATTATTCAAAATCTGCAAGCTGTGTATTTAGACAAAATTAATATTTCTCAAACTGACAGTGGCTGTAATGGAAATAATAATAAATGTACCATTGCCAAATGTTTTGACTTTGTACCAATGGAAGATAAGGCTGAGTAAAACTTTTTCTTGTCACATCCCTTATGAAGAAAAATGCTCACAACTTCAAAGCAATCTTCTTATTCTGTAGTATTTTGTAAATGTAGCAAAACATATCTATCATTTTTTTCTTGGAAGTACAGAAATTTTGAATGAACAAAAATCTTAAAAAGAGATAATATTTCTTGCATCGATTGTGAGAAAGTAGATACTAATAAATAAACATGAAATAGTTCTTTATTGTATATTAAATTAAGTTTTGGAATAATAATTTTTCCTTGGCCTAGTACACCATGGGGATTTAGGTCAAATTAGCTTTGCACAGTTTTCTAAAATTATATCTCCTATATAGCTTTCATTAGGCTTGAACAATTAGCAATTGTAAATTGCCCTCTTACATCTACACTTTTTATTCCCTTCCAGCAAATAAGTGTACTATATCAAAATGAAATTATGCAAAAAGCCAAACAGGTTAGACAAATACGAAACATTGGATTAGCGCTTATATAGTCCATTCTTAAATGTTTGTTCCCTTAATTGCAAAAGTTTTATTAATTTTCTAATTATTAATGTTGCTTTAATTTTACCTGGAGACAATTATATATATTATAGAAATTATATATAAATATATACACACACACACGTTAGGTAATTATATAAATTACCTCTTGAGTGTGTGTGTGTGTGTGTGTGTATGTGTGTGTGTGTGTGTGCTTGTGAAGTATTCAAACTTGAGATTAAAGCTTGGGATCATCTTGAAGCTAATTTATTTTTACATCTTGCTCAAACATCTTGAGAGATATTGAGAGAGTTATTCACATTTCTCCAAAGTCCAAAGCAGCATTTGATATTACTTTCTTGTCTTGTCGTCTAGTTTGTTCTCCTAAAACTGTTAAATTGGTTATTTTAAATTGATTTTGTCCAACTAAATCTAATTATTTCATTCTAGTTCTCACCTTTTATGAGATCTTGTAAACTCCTTCTCTTGAAACTCCAACATCAAGTTAAGTCTACACCACTACAGAGTTCCGTTTCCCTTTCTATAGTTTTCTTTCCCTGGTTTTGTTCTCCATGTATTCAATGATGAAGTTCCAATATTTTAATTTTATCTATTTTTAAAAATTTACACACATTCTTTGGGCTGCATGCTTTTTTCATGGTTTCAACAAACACCTATGGCCATAGGTTTCTATACTAAAAAAGTGTAGAAAAATTATAGTTGCAAAAGACAGTGGTCTTAAATAACTTTGATTAAAATATTATACCATTAATGATTTTACAAAGAAATATGATTGTGTACACATATGTCTAGGGCCATCACTATGGTCTAGGAAGAAGCCTGTGGAAACAAAGGATTCGGAAACTTAAGTTACATTTACTTCATCATATATCATCGTATACTTCCCCTGTCTCTTCTTTTCCTGTTTATGTTCCATGCTTCTTACCCAATACACTGCTTAAATAAATCTCTCTTTACTCCCCACTATTCAAATAATATCATGCAAAAAAATGAAGCACAGCAGAGTCCTTAAAAATTTATTTCAAATAATATTTAAACATTTTGTTATACATCTAGTTTTCCCCCCACTAAATTATTAAAATTAAGAAGACAATTAATAACACAATTGCAATTTAGCTTCAGTGATATGCCAGAGTTGACTCACACTGGTTCGTGACAGCTGATTATGTAAATCTTCCCAACTTCACTTTCAGTGACATGATGATGGTACACCAACATTACAAATCAAGACGTATGTTTGGAGACCTGGCTGTTAAATATTTACCAGTACAGCACTAGCAATATATTTTTTACTTAGAGAAAATAGGTAAATTATAAAACTCTTAGCATGGGAAGGGTAATATCAACCACATGTATCTCAAGCAAAATATAATTTTCTTTCAATATGTTATTATACATTTACAGAGTTCATTAATTACATTAATATACAATTTAATTTCATTTTATTTAATTTGATGTAATTAATTGGTGTGATTAACTTAATTTAATGTAGTAAATTTAGTTAATTACATTAATAGACATTTCAGATACAGTTTGATTCAGCACTCTTTTAATATGACCAAGCCATGAGTTCTCCCTTTTCATTTTCTTTTTCAGTTTTTGTTGTTTTAACTGGCTCCTTTATGAAGTAGTTTTTCTCCTTTTGGTCTCAAGGTGGTTCTTAGCAGTTCTTATTAACTTATTTTCAGCAGAGAGAGAACTTTATATGGAGATTATTTCTTGGGCTCCACTCTGGTTTGAAAAAACTTATATTTTTGGATGAATGGCTCTGTTCACTAGGTTGGGATTATATTGATTAGATTTGGTACGAGTTCTATTACCTGTCACAGATGCAAGAAATCAGTTTCCGTCAAAAGACAGACTTTTTAGTAAAACAGCACATGAATAAACTCTACTGCAGCATTAAATATAATAATTATATTTATATAGCTCTTGCTTTAGTGACGGAGGCCAATTGTTAAAAACTAGATTGATGCTATCGAGTTGATGAGACTTAAAAGAAAAATCATTTTTTAAAAAAGAAAAAATAAAAACAAGTCTGGCCATCTCCAAGTCATGAACATACTAGGAGCCTTCATGCAATGCATTGTGTACTAGCCTTTGTCAAATCAACTTTCTGTCAGGAAAATAAGTAAGGTACAAGTGGTTTAAAGTATGTAAATATAAAAGGTAGCGAGGGTTTACAGAGGAATGTATATTTTAATGATCTTATTGTTACCTATGTTCAATGGCTACATTAGAATTAAAACTTTAATATTGGCTGTAGTTTAACCTCTATAATTTTCAGTATGAAGGAATTTTGCTTGACACTATTAGAATTCAAATAGACATTGCACACAGAAGGAAAAATCAATAAAAGTATTTAATGTCATTTGAGTTACCTTAAATTGCAAAGTCCTCTACCCAGATTTGAAGTTAAGAAAATGGATGAGATATTCAGTTTTTATCAATGTGCATTAGAATAAGGTGAAGAATAAAGGAAAGAGTTAGGTTCCAGCCACACACTGAGAAATCATTTCAAATTGTAATTTCCGTATGAGTTCTAGGTGTGATAAAATTTATTGTGCAATTCTTAAAATGTCAAAGAGAGTTTTGGAACATTTGGGACTATCAGGTCAGTAAAAATGTCTTCTACAAAATGGCCTCACATTCTCACATTTGTATTGTATGTTGCACATCATTTGAAGATGAATCTATTTAAATGCAAATGTGCAGTCACAAAGCAGTGAAACCAAATTATATGCAAACAAAGCTAGTTGAAGAAATTGAGTAGTTAAGCATTTTTCAATCAAATTCAAAGGAAGATTTGTTTCCTTTCAAAAACCACTACTTAGCAAAGTTTAAACATGCCTTTTCAGAATTGTTATTGAATTACATTAACTAATATGCCTATAGCATTATAGTCATATTTTGAGCAAGTTCTCATGCATTTGACATATTTTATATTCCAGGCATTCTCTAACAGGAGAAAGACTATTCTATTAAATCCTTTTTATTCATATTATTTTTAAGGATGCTGGATAGTAAAAAAGGAAGGAATTTGGTAGCTTTAAACAAGACATATCGATTTCCAGTGAGATGCATTATTTTGTCCAATGCTATAGCACATTAGATGAGATATAAAAACATCTCTGAAAAAAGAGGTTGAAGGGTAGACCAATATTTAGCATTATGAGGAGATAAAGATATGATATACAAAAGGGGATAAAATATTGCAAATAATTGAAATAAAAATGATCTAATGTATATTAAATGAATAACAATACAATTATTGCCTTTGAGTTTCCAAAGTGAGAAAAAATATATTTGATAAAAACATGATGTTCTTTAAAATAATATTTACTAATTAAGATCATAATTATTTCTGAATTAAAATATCTAACTCAATAAATATGGAATAACTGAATAAAAATTAATAATATGATGACAACTAACATTTATTGTGAAATATGTGCTACTGGGAAACTATTATGGAAATATTTTAAGTATGAATTCAGTTTTTTAATAGATTCAAGGTTATTCAGTTTATTCACCTTGAGTGTGCTGCAGTAATTGAGTTGCTGTCTTTCAAGGAACTTATACATTTCATCTACGGTCTAGAATGTATTGCATAAAGTTTTTTCTAATACTATCTTATTATACTTTTAATATCTGTGAGAGCTGATACCATAGCTCCTCATTATTCTTGATATTAGTAATTTGTATCTTCTCATTCATTTTAAAAATTGAATTTCTTAATCTCTTAAAGTACCAACTTTTGGTATTATTTATTTATTTATTATGTTTCTGTTTTCAATTTTAGTTATCTCTGCTCTGGTCTTATTTTCTTTTTCATACTAGCTTTGAGTTTAATTTAGTGTTTTGTTATTGTTATTGTTGTTTTAATTTCTTCAGGAAGACTTTTAGAGTATTCATTTGAGGCTTTGATTCTTACCTAATATGAACATTTAATGTAACATTTCCCTCTGATCACTTTTTTATTTTGAAATGATATTTTTCATGTTTAAAAACATTCACAAGTATCTAGAATATTGCATAAGATATATCTGTGAAATATGAAACAAATTCCAAAAGTAAAGATCTCCATAACTTCAGAAGAAAAAATTCCAACGATTTGCTTTCTTCATTGTGCAATTCCCAATTTCCTTCCCCACAACAGGGGCATGAAATGGATTTGTTGAACATAAAGTATTGTTCTGTGCTGACTGAAATTGGATAGAAAAATTCTTTTTTTTCTTTTTTTAATTATACTTTAAGCTCACTTTTTAAGTTTTATTCCATAAATATTGACCAGTTGTGTATGTATTTTTATTTATTTTAGTATATTTTCTACTTGCCATTGCTATTTCTTCTGCAATCGATAATTTATTTAGAAGTATGTTGTTTAATTTTGAAATATTTGGGATTTTTTCTGATATTTCAAATTTAATTTCAGATGATCACATACTGTTGTATGTATAATTTCAGCCTTTTAAATTTATTGAGACTGATATTATGACACAGAAAAATGTCCATCTTGCTGAGGGTTCCATGAACACTGGTAAGTAATGCGTTTTCTGTTATTGTTTGTGGCATGTTTCAAAATGTCAGGTCAAATTTGTTGACTTTTTTTTAGTATTCTATATTCTTACTTATTTCTATCTACTCAATCTCTGTTACTAAAAGAGGATTGTTAAAATATAACTTTATAATTGCTCATTTATCCATTTCTCCTTTAGGTTTACCAGCTTTTGCATCATTTTTTTATGGTCAGTTATTTTCACATTCACTTAGAATTATTATTAACTACTTGGGAGAAAAAGTAGAAAAAAATAGAGACCTACAGGTCAGTACCCCTTATAAACTTATGCAAAACATCCTTAACAAAATTTTAGCAAAATGAACCTAACATTGTATAAAAGACTAATACCTCATGACCAAGTTGAATTCAATCTCAGAAATGCAAGCTTAACCTATAAAGATTAATGTAGTTTTAATTATTCTTAGAAGAAAATGTTTTAAAAACCATTATTATTTTGGTATCTAAAGAAAACAATTGACAAAATTTAATCCTATTTAATTATTAAACACTTTTAGCAAATTTGGAATAGAAAGGATATCTTAACCAGATAAATGGCAGGTACAAAACATGTACTACTATAAACATACGTACTGATGGAATACTGAAGGTTTTAATACATAATCTCAAAAAAGGAAAGATTCCCATTTTCGTCACTTTTATTTGACATTGTACCATAGGTCTTAGACTTTAATAAGACAAGGAAAGATTTTTAAAAGCATAGAAATTAGAAAAGTGGAAGTCATTATTTGCAGATGAGATTTTTGTCTACACAAATTATCTTAGAAATGTACCAAAAAAATTACACGAAGTAATGAATTACTTTAGAAGGTTGCAGAATACAAGTAGAATAAAAAGATTAATTGTCTCTTTTGTTTCTCGGTAGCGGTGAAACATTGAGAATCTAAATATAGAAAATATTATTTATATAAAACAGTCACGTATATGAAATATTGAAAAATATATATGCAATATCTGTACACTGAATATTATATAATGCTGAGAAACATTTAAAAAGACAAATAAATGAACAGACAAAACAGATTCATGAATCACAAGATTCGGTGTTGTTCAGATATCCATCCTCAAAGTATTCATGTATAACCTTCACACAATTCTCATCAAATCCAAGCTGACATTTTTGTAAAAACATTAATTAAAAAATTCTAAAATGCATATAAAAATTCAAATGGCATAGAACAGGCAAATGATCTTGAAAAACAAAGGTAAACTTGAAGATACATTGTTTGAGTCCAAAATTTACAATAAATCCATATCAATCAAGATCGTAGGTGTTAATGAAAGGATGGAAAAGAATGATAGATCCCCACATATATAGTCAGTTGATTTTCAGCAAAAGTGCAAAGGCAATTTAACAGAGATTGCATACTATTTTCAATATATGTGCTGGCAAAATTGGACATCCATACTTTTATAAAAAATAAACCTTGACCCAATAAACAAATATTAATTTTAAAGGCATCATATTGCTATCTGTAAGAGCTAAAACAATAAAACTCATAGAATATAACATAGGAGAAAATACTTATGACCTTTGATTAGGTAAATTTTTTCAGATAGGACATACAATAATATATGAACCATAAGAGGAAAAAAATAACTTTTTCTCTTTAAAAGCCACTGTTAAGAAAACACAAAGATAAAACACAGACTGTGAAAAAATATTCAAAATACATACATCTAATGTGTATTTATATATGCAACATTATTAATTAATATTAGTATTTAAATATTAATACATATATCTAATAAAAGACTCTATAATATATATGCATGTATCTTACATGTAAACAAGATATACACATATATGTATAAATATATATCTTATATAAAAATATATAACATATATACAAATATATATCTTATATATAAATATATATTATATATAAATCTATATATCTTACATACACATGGGCTAGAGAGATAACTGTTACAACTCAATAATAAGGCAGCCCTATAAAAGCAGGTAAAATATTTTAACAGTGACTTTACATAAAAAATATGTATACAAAAGGAAAATAAGCCAAATCAGCACATGAAAAGCTGTTGAACATGATTAGCAATAAGATAACATGCGTTAAAACCAAATGACATATTCCTAATCAAGAATAAAATAGCTAAAATTAAGAGTAGATGGACAATAACCAGTTGTCAAGAATGTGAAACAGATCTCTCATACATTGAGACTGACAATCTAAAATGGCACAGCCACTTTTAACATCTGAAGAGTAGTTGTTTAATAAAGTTAAATACATACTTATACAGGTAAACACAGCTTACCCTATGATACAGCAATCCTATTCTTAGAAGTTTACTCAAGTGAAATGAAAGCATATGCTACAGAAGAATGTTTATTTTAATATTTAAGGTAGCTTTATTCATAATGAATATCCATCAACTGGTGAAGAGATTAACACATACGGTATATCAATACTCACCAGTGAAAAGAAACAAATTATTATTAAATACAACACTGTGAAAGAATCTCATAAATACTGTGGCTAATGAAAGAAGCCAGACACAAAAAAACTGTATAATTCCATTTATATAAAGTTATGGAAAAGTAATAACTAAAATGATAGAAAGCATATCAGTGGTTGTCAGTGCTATGCGGTGAGGTAGAAGTTTGACTAAAAGGGGAGAATGAGGGAATTTTTGGATCTACCCTACCTGATATAACACCAACACAACAACAATGAAAAGGAAGTGAATGAAAATTCTATAAACATGTGGTGATTACATGAATATTTATAAAATCTCGTCAAATTTTTCACTTATAACTTGTCCTTAAAATTCATAGAAAATAGTTCTGATTGACTTGGTCATTCAAATATATATAGTAGATTACATAGACCATGTAAAACCTGAGCCCAAAGGCAGCCTTTTGGCTATCTTTGGGGTGGGAAAGGAAGAAACCTACTGCTCTTATACTGCAAAGACATGTAGTATTTCTGTGAGTAACAGACATGAACTTTACAGCATTACACAACTATTGATTCCCCAGTGCTCTAGGAAACAAAAATAACCAATTACTGTTCTCCAGTAACAACAACAAAATCTTTGAACCAATAGGTATGTGTGGGTATATTGTTGATCACCTTTCTAACACAGCCATGATTTAGCTCAGGTAGTCATTCTCTGGGAATTTGACCCTTCCTCAATTCTGAGAAAATCCCAACCTGTCTGAGGCCTCATAATAATTCCATTTCTCTTGCCAATTTCTTGTTTAGTGTTGTCGTATATCCCAGCTCTGCCAATAAGACTGAGGGAGAGTTACATGAGAGTGCTAAACATCTAGTAAATATCTTGGAAAATGCAGCCTTATTCTTCAGCAGAGGAAAAGTATTTTTTTCTCTCTCTCTCTGACCACTGCTATGTTTGGATGTGATACTTGAAAAAGTAGCAGTCTTATAAAGAGTAGGACAAGCACACGGCTGACAAGGTAATGAAATGAAAGACGGATTGTTGATAACATCACTGAGTCAGTAAATTAATCAGTCTTGAAGCTCGAATACCTTGGATTTAATGTTACACAATACAGTAAATGGACTTATTGTTTGAGCCACTTTGAAACGAATTACATGTTATTGGGCAAATACAATATCCTACTTGATATAACACTAACACAACAATAACAATGAAAAGGAAGTGAATGATCACAATCAAGATTTTTAACTTTTCTACAGCATTGTGCATTTGACAAAACAATTCCGAATGCAATCTTTAATTTTAACCTCGAAATAAGCCTGCATATTACCAGAGTTATGAAAATCAAAGGTGTTGAATGATTTACCTGTCATCCAGGATTTTGAAATATCTACTCTAGTGGTTTTATTTTTCCCTTTGCTATTTTAAAATAATTTTGGCTAAATACTTAATGAATTTTTAAAACAGGTTAGTCTTTCTGCTTTGTTGCTGATGATTAAAATGAATTTTAATATGTCCAATTTTGGTTTGTTATATTTACTTTCTATACCTAATATGAGTAGTATATAAAATTAAATTTTCTAACAAACTTGCAAAATATTGAAATAGGGATTGTTTTTCCTTTCACAATAGCCATTTCAAGAGGATTTTAGACACTGTTCAAATATTCTAACGGTGCTTAAATTTTTTCATTCTTCCTGTGGAATTGCCATCAGTCCTAGTTTTTAAGTCACAGACACACAAATCACTTATGTTAGTTTTCAGTCACACTTCAATTTGATCAAAAACAGCATTTCACACCTAGAATCTTTTGCCTAATTTGCCATACTGCTATTAAACTGGGTCTTACTATTTTCTCAAATCAAACCCATCCTCAATGGGTGAAAATTTCCTATCAATCAGCGATATTATTTTTAAAGGATCCTTCCATGGCCTCCATAGACAATTTTAGCAGAAGGCTTTAAAAGTTTTTAATCAAATTCAATATCATTTTGGTATTTACTTAAATATGAATAAACTGTAGTATACAGAATTAATAAAATTTTGTAATTTTCCAAATGTTAAAAAAATTGCATCATAGAGCTCCTGTAATAAAAAGCCTCAATTTTGGCTCAGTTAGATTGATCTCATTAAAATCTGCCATTGAGCTTTTGTAGTTAATTTTTAACAGTTCATTTCTTCCCTTGCTCTAGCATTGTTTTATACTCAGTGCAATTTACTAAGCAAAGACATTTTCTACCAAGAATTTTAGTAATCCTGCTATCAGAATGAGAAATTTAAAGTACATAGGAAAATCATTTTATATGCCTTCAGTTACTCTTCTTATCCTTTGAGACCCAACCCAATTTCCACTATATTCATGATGCCATCCCTTAATGTGTATCCAACAGAGTAGCCTTTCTTTAGTTTGATATGAGAGAAAAAAAAGTGCATAAAGTCGTGAGATTCCAAGTCTAGAGCCTTCTATAGAAGAATTAATGGCAACAAATCTCACCCAGGAATGATTATGTATTTCATACATGGTAAAACTTGTTCTCACAATTATATATCTTCTTTTTAAATATTATTGACTTAATTTTCTCATTTGCTTTTTTTTTTTTTTTGCTTACAGTTTTCCTCTCCTGGTAATAACTGTTCATCCATTAAAATTCTTGACTTATTCCTTACATAAAACTTGATGTTCATACTATATAGTTACTAATCTTCATTTCCTAGCATTTAAGCAAGTTCCTGTATTCTTCCCCTTGCACTCTGCATAGCACCTACCATTAAGATGCACTCTAGATAGAACATAGTTAATGATTCTAATTCTTGCCTGCAACAACTAGAATATAGCCATAATCTTATAATAGGTCAGCTAACAGGGATTTAGGAATACATTTATTTATAATCTCTTATTTCATATAAGATCGCTAAAAAAGCGGAAATTATTTGCTTATGAATGCTAAATTGTAATTCGAAATAGGCACTCCATTAGTGTAGTGGAATAAACATGGATTTTGAAGTCACAAAAACACAGAATGTAAAACCTGACCTATTTAGTCATTGGTACCTGGATAACCACTTTTACTCCTCTAAGACTTGCCTTTCACCTATGATATGGAAATACAAATGGCAATCTTTATGAGTTTTGAGAGCATTAGATGAGCTATCATATTGAAGAAGACTAAAGTTCCTAGAAAATAATAAAATAATAGGTACTCAGTAACAAATGGTTACTGGATGGCTTATTTCCTAATTGGTGTGTATGTTTACATGTGTGTGTCAGAGAGCAAGAGAGAGAAAGAGACCTATTTAGAGAATTATATCTACTGGACATTACTATCAGACTTTCACAAAATTGAACAATTTATAAGCATTGCCTTTGTCCGGTATATATTTGTTTACTTGATGGTATATCTGAGATTTTGATTAAATTGACCTTTCAGCCTCTGCCAGTTACACCTGACAGTTAATTAGGAGATTCAGACAGACAGCTATACATTTTTCTATACAGAAAAATTATATTTCAGTGCTATTTGAGTCAAGGAATTTTGGTGAATCTCTATAAGGTACATTCTATTTTACTTCCAAAGTTGGTTAAATTTCATAATCATCTAGAAAACAAGTGATTACTTGCTCTAGCCAAGAGGTTATAACTTAATTGGTTTAAGAAAATTGATAACTAGCTTTTGGATGTACTCTAAATAACATGGGATTTAAAAACTAATATTCTGAAAATATGGAGCAGCATTAGAGATAAAACAAATCAATGTTCTAAATAAACCTCTGCCATTTAAAAATTCTGAGCACTAAAGAAACCATTCAAAGAAACTCCTGAGAAGAAAAAACTTTCAAACTCTTTCCATGGGTACATTCTCAGAAACATACCTTCGCCTGGCCTTGTGGACTGTTACTTGTCACGTGCCCCAAATCATATTTTCATTGCCTACAGTCCTTGGTACTCATAATAAAACTGTCAACATGCATGTCAATTAATGCCAGTTGGGATGTGAACACCTATTCACTAACAATTTGACTGAAACCACCTACTAATTTCACATAGGCCAGTGAACAGTAATGACTTTCCATCACTTACAACGTGAGCTACTTTCAAACTAGTGACCCAAACATAAAAGGCTCTGTATCACATTATCATTTTCCTGGAAAATACTGTTCCCTTGAGTTCACTTATTTCTAAAGAGTTCTAAAATGCTTTATTGGCTTTAACAGGCTGTATTAGTGAGGCAGAGAAATGAGAATTTCATTAAAAATTGTATTGAAGACATTTGATAGCAATAGGCTAAATTTCTATTGGTGTTTTCTATGGCTGTATCTAGCTTCACATTTCACTGAAGTGATGAAAAATAAAATGTACTCTGACATACAGGAGACAGTAATGCTGTCAACCTTAATTCTCAAACACTTTTTTCAAACATACATTTAAGTCTTTGAAGTAAATGTTCATTTAAAATAGTTGGACAATATCATTATATAAAATGTTAACAATTACATGGAGATAATAGTAGCATATACTAGTGAATATGCTTGTGTGTGTGTTCATATTGCTTTTTTTAATACAGATGTGTTTAGCTCCAAATAACTGAATATTGTCCAAGTAATTGTATGAGTTTTATTCATTTTACATAGATGAATCTAGTGGCTAACAGTGGCTCAATGCCAAGATGCAAAGCTTCTGACTTGACATCCCGTGTTTCTCAGATGATTTCCTTACCTTGGCAAGATACTTCTGGAGCCCCAAACGTGGCAACCTTGGTTAAGAAGATCCCAGCAGGGAGGAAGGGGGATGTGGCAAAATACTTCAACCGTGTAAGAGGGACTATGACTAAAAAGCAAGAAGTGGTAGTGGCTGTTGGATAGGCAGTAATTGTGTTCACTGTTCTGCCATTATTCAATGTTCTCTCCTTCTAATAGGTATCCAATTTACAATTATAAATATATTTCTGTGATTATTCAATTAATTTGTGTTTCATCCACTAGATTCTTAGTGTACAGAAGAAACCGTTTCTGTAATGAAGCCTCGTTGCCTAAGTATCTGCCGTCATTCAGCCACTATTGGCTGAGTGAATGGGTGCTGAATAAAGCCTTTTCCAAAATGCTGAAACTGACAATTTATTGGTTTATTTCAGCTGAAGTGGTGCCAATTCATGACAGATTACTACTTATGCATGTGTGTAAATTAGAGAATATTTGAGTTATCTTGCCATTTTTGCAGTCTACTTCTTTTGTCATATTGCATATTCATTTTTTGTCTAAGGTCAACTGAAATGTTTTGCAGTTTCTAACCAGAATAGTTATATCAATCATTTCCATTACATTATTCTCTTTTTAATAGCCCACTGTTATAATCTGATAGCCAGCATTTCTTAGGTGCTTCTTTTGCACATTCCAGTATATTTAGTATTTTTTAAAAAAATTGTTTAGGCACAGACTTATAATACCATTAATCTGTATACCCATGTTCCTTGCAGCATTGTGTACTAAAAATTTGCAAGGTAGAAAGATTACTGTGTTAAAGTTGCATAAAATTCTTTATATTATATAAAATTGATTAAATTACATAGCTCTCATAGTATGTATCATCAATCATGTTTTCCTTTTCGTGTTTTTATTGTCATGAATGTGATAATTACTTCACCCTGAAAGAAGCCTAACAGATCCCAAGCCTATAATTCACCTTACTTAATTGAAATATTCAAATAATATCTACATTCCATTTCTACTTAAGAAGAAATAGCTTGAGTTTCTGCTGACCAATGTTCTTGCTAAAAACAACTAGAAAAGTTAGGTTAGAAACACACACACACACACACAAACACACACACACACATAAAACCAAGTTTGTATGAAGAGAGAAGACAGCAGGGAACTTTTGAATTACAATTTTAGAAAGAAGGGATGTTCACTGAGGTATGGTTCACATTCTGTATACTACATTCCTCTTCAGTTACTTTTCTGTTTCTCTAAGTGGCGTGGTACAAGCTATAGAAGTTGTAGAGAATCACCAGGAAGAAGCAGGGACACCAGCATGATCTTTTGTGATCTGATGATGATCAAAGGGCAAAATTCAAATGTGGGCTTGCCAAGTCCATGGAGCTGAGATCTGGAAGAAAAACAGAAAACTGAAAATACAAACTCTGTGCCAACTATATCTTTCTTTATTTTTGTTAGTCTGAGTCTTTTCAATCTGTGGCCTATATCCTTTTTATGTAGGTTTTATAAAGGGATAACATGTGTTTTATAATTTAAGAAAAATATCTTATTCTTTCCATAAACATTTATTAATCCCCTGTTATATGTTCACAACTATGGATGATGGTGGCCCAATCACTGAAGAGATGTGATGCTGTCCTTGCCTTTATGGAATCTATAGTTTAAAATATGAGATTAAAATGTGTTTACTATTCAACAACTATTTATCGAATACCTATTGTGCTCCAGGAAAAGTCCTGGGTAGCAAATGATTGCAGTAAAACAAAAAATGTCCTTCTCTTCTGTGGTGATAGAAGTGTTCTATATCTTGACTGAACCAATGTCAATATCCAGGTGGTTGTATCTTCCTATAATTTTGCAAGAAGTCACCATTGGGGAAAACTGATTAAAGGAACACAGATCTATCTGCAGTCAATTTTTACAATGGTATGCGAATCTCCAATTATCTCAAAATTTTTAAAAATAGAAAAAATCCTTATTTTATGAAGCATACATTGTATTGGTGGAGCACATAGACAACAGCATCAAACAAATAAACTTTTTTAAAAAATTGTGGGAACAAAGTATTATGAAGAGAAACTAAAAGATGGTAAAAATAGAAAAAGTGACATGGTGGGAATAGGCCTATTTTTGGCGAAATGATTAGGAAGGATCTCTGATGAGGCCATGTAAAGAGGGGGACAAAGGAATAAACCAATGATATATCTAAAGGAAAATATGTTAAAAGAAAAGACCAGAAAAGACTGGTATGGTAGTGCCAATGTCCTGGAGTAGCAGAAAGAGGCAGAGTACAGAGGTCAATCTGACTGCAGAAACATGAAAGTGAGAAAGGTGGGAAGAAATGAGATCAAAGGGATAGCTGGAAGCCAGGTCATGCAGCACCTTACATCTATAGTAAGGACTTTGAGCTTTACCCAGAGTGAGAAGGAAACCCATCAGAGAAAGGTCAGAGACATTATAAAACAATGCCATCAATGAGATACTAAATTAGAGTGCATACAGAATACTGTAGAGCCCTAGTATTGATAATTACTCCTGACAGGAGGGTTCTTAGTAAGATATCACAATGGAGGTGATCTTGTGTTGATCTTAAACGATGATATGGAGCTTTCCAGATAATGAAACAATAGAGGAAAAATTGAAAAGATCTTTCCTACTAGAGGAAACTATAAAAAGTTGGAAGTCTGCTTTATGTTGGCTTTTTGTTCTGTCTCTATTATGCGCTGAGGAGATTCAGCATTTTTGAAAAGTTGAGGAGTACAAGGTGAGCAGCTGGTTGGTGCAGGTACTCCAATCTCAGGCTAAATGACAAAGACATCTTGGAGAATACGTTTCTATTCGGTATTACTTCTTAGATTTCTTGAGTTTTCCTTTAGGCATCAACGTTGAGAAATAGAACAGGTGGTTCAACATAAATATGCAACTACACAGTTTATATTAGCTAAATTCAGCAGACAAGAAATGGATCTTGAGTGCCTAGATACACTGTGAGATGGAAGATTCAAATTAACATTTTCATACAAAACTGAACTTCTTTGTTGACATTGTTTATTTGAGGCACAGTCCTTTTGCAAAGTCTTGCACAGATCTTACCACAAGTAATGCTAAATGTTTCTGTTTGACTTCAATTCTAATTATGATTTACCTAATTCCATTGTGATTTTTTCACCATCAAGGGTTGCTGTAGCCACCACAACTGTAAGTGGAGTACCTGCAGTGCAATTGCTGATTACTTTTTACCTTCTTATTTACAATTTTTCATTTTTGATGACCTTCACTTTTATAGGGGCAAGGATACTAAAGTATTTTATTGTTTCTGCTTTTCCTTATTTTGTTCTATTTCTTTCTATAAATTATTTCTTACTGCAGAAATTTTTCTGTATTTCTGACTAAAATTAGTAAAGTGACTGCTAGATTATTTAGTATCTTCCTCTAGAGTTGGATTCTATGGAGCTTCTATAGGGATTGAATGCCCTTTGTAACTCTCCCTTTGATCAATCCTGCCTATTCAATAGTGTGTTTCAATGCAGTAGATGTAGTACATCAGCTAAGTCTGAATTTATGTACCAGACAATGCAAGACCAAAGCAAGTTTTAGAATAAGTAAATGACTCATGTAAGATACATGTCGCCACGTTATCCCTTTGGCAACAGTATGGATTGGAGAATGAGTGTAATCGAGATAAGGACAAAGAAATAAATTATAAGGATGTTAAAATAATCTGGATATAGGATGATAAACACAATTAAAGATCAAAAATAAAAATACACAATAAATATATGAGAAGTGTGAAAATTAATATCAGAAAATCATAGGGAGAAAATAAAAACAAACATTATTGACTTAAGATATAAATAAATAAATAGCCGGGCACAGTGGCTCATGCCTGTAATCTCAGCACTTTGGGAGGCTGAGGCAGGTGGATCACTTGAGGTCAGAAGTTCGAGACAAGCATGGCCAACATGGTGAAACCCCGTCTCTACTGAAAATACACAAATTAGTCAGGTCTGGTGTCACACACCTGTAATCCCAGCTACTTGGGAGGCTGAAGCGGGAGAACTGCTTGAACCAAGGAGGGGGAGGTTGCAGTGAACAGAAATCACACCACTGTCCTCCAGCCTGTTCAACAGAGCAAGACTCCATCTCAAAAAAAAAAAAAAAGATGTAAAATAAACAAATAACTTTTCAACAGAAGCATCTGTTCCTCAGGATTTCAACCTTAAATGATAAGAAAGGGGACACCTGGGAATCAGAATGTTCAATAATGTAACTGTTCTAAGGTCAACATGAGGAAGCTTAACAAAAAAATTACCAAGTCATTAATTTTGGGTTGAAACACATAAATAATTGAAAAAAGCCACAAAGGATATTAATTATATCATCTAGAAGTTAAAAATTGGTTTAATGTTATTAAATTCATGTCTTTCAAACTGATAAATTGAGTTCCCTGAGTCTGTATGAAATCAAATGCAGGGGACACAATATTTTGGTGGTGGAGTAATTTTAATGGGAGAAGTTAGGATTAAAAAGAGGATACAAACTAATGTATTTGGAGCAAAGTTGACTTCATGGGCAGGGGACCAGTGAAGTTATACGGAACCTCACACTCAGCAGGGCCCCACATGTGGTGGAAGACTGTTTTCAACATCTTGAAGTTAATTTTACTTTTAAATTTGTGTTTTGTCAGTGAAATGGGATGAGATAATGGAGTATAGATGTTGAGCAAAGGAGATAGCCACAGGATCCATGTGTAGAGTTCCTTGACATCCCACTCACATATAAGGATTGCAGTGTCCTCTGAGCACAGAATTGTGGTGGATCCAAAGTACATGTGAATGGGAGTTCAGTGAGACTCAAAGTAAGTACAAAGAATGCATGTTACTTCTACCACTGGGTAAGTGAAGGTGCTGAAAGTCTGGATAGGCCACATTTCCTTTGGCTTCCAATGTTCTAAGAAGGTAATAGTGTTCTATGAAACTTGAAAAATCAAGGAGCCCTGTCATATCCTATCTTACTCATAATTCTTCCCTGTATTTAGTCAACCACTTATGCTGAAGATGATGACCTAGAAGGAAAGGCAAAGAAACGGTAGTTCGTTGTTCATTTTATTTTTAGTCCTCACTTACTCATCAGTAAGCCTAAGATCGAGGGTATGCATGTCAAATTAAATGAAGCAACTGAGTTTTATTCAGCATTTCCACTGTTCTGACACGGGTAAAATACCTATGTATATATGAGTTATAGAATACTGATTGGCATTGAAAAATATAAAGAGGAATTTAAAATTCATGCTAATCATTTTAATTTTTGATTTTTTGTTATTTATAATATTAAACAGCAAATTAAAAACACATGACAAGCTGAGAGATGAACTCCAAAAGAAAGCAAAAACTTTTATAACTTATCACCTTTATCATCACATTTTTCCCGCTTTTTAAAATGTTATTTTGATAAAATACACATAATGTAAAATTTACAATTTTAACCATTTTTAAGTGCATAATTCAGTGGTGTTAAGTACATTCACAATATTGAATCACTATCACCACTGTCTAGTTCCAGAAATTTTTATTACCCCAAATAGGAACCACATATCCATTAATATCCATTAAGTGGGCATTCTTTGCTAACCACTAATCTGCTTTATCTAACTATGGATTTGCCTATTCTGATTCTTTCATATAAGTGGAAACATACAATATGTGTCCTTTTTTTCTTGCATTTTGGTCAAAGAATTCCACATTTTCATTTTGCACTAGGATCTACAAATTATGTAGCTAGGTCTAGTTTCGGAATATATTAAAGAGCAAAACTAACTAACTGTGTCCACCTTATACTAGGGATTGTCAGGCCTCTGAGCCCAAGCTAAGCCATCATATCCCCTGTGACCTGCACGTACACATCCAGATGGCCGGTTCCTGCCTTAACTGATGACATTCCACCACAAAAGAAGTGAAAATGGCCTGTTCCTGCCTTAACTGATGACATTATCTTGTGAAATTACTTCTCCTGGCTCATCCTGGCTCAAAAGCTCCCCCACTGAGCACCTTGTGACCCCCACTCCTGCCCACCAGAGAACAACCCCCCTTTGACTGTAATTTTACTTTACCTACCCAAATCCTATAAAATGGCCCCACCCCTATCTCCCTTCGCTGAATCTTTTCGGACTCAGCCCGCCTGCACCCAGGTGATTAAAAAGCTTTATTGCTCATACAAAGCCTGTTTGGTGGTCTCTTCACATGGATGCGAGTGAAAGGGATATCATTATTTACATCAGGGAGAGATTAAATATCTGGACTGCACTCCTTTAATTGACGAAAGAAAAAAGTCTCTGAAATGATTAAGATTAGTAGTTATATGTGCCCCAAAATTCTAACTTACTGAAGATGTGACAAAGTAGATCTTAAATTGGACAATAGTGAGCATCATTGTCTTGTTCCTGATCTTAAAGGAAAAGATTTCAGTTTTTCTCCATTGAGAATTATATTAGCTGTGGGCTTTTCATATATGACCTTTATTATAGTGAGGTAATTTTCTTCTATTTCTAGTTTGTTGAAAGCTTATCATGAAAATCTGCTGAATTTTGGCAATTGCTTTTCTGTGTCTTTTCAGATGATCAGGTGATTTTATCCTTTATCCTGTTAATGTAATATATCGCATCAATTGATTTTTGTATGCTGAACCATCTCAGCATTCCAGGGATAGATTCCAGTTGCTCATGGTGCATACTTCTTTTAATGAACTCTTGAATTCAGTTTGCTTATATTTTGTTGAGGATTTTGTATCTATATTCATCAGGGATATTGGTTGTAGTTTTATTTTCTTGTCTGGCTTTGGTATTAAGGAAATACTGGCCTTATATAAAAGGTTTAAAAGTGTTTCCTCCTCTTTAATATTTTTGGAAGTATTTGAAAGTCATTAACTTTCATTCTTCCTTAAATGTTTGGAAGAATTCACCAGTGAAGGCATCCAGTTCTGGGATTTTCTTTGTTGAGGTTTATAATTATTAATTTGATCTCTATACTATGTTACATATCTATTCATACTTTCTATTTCCTTATTATTTAGTCTTGGTAGCTCGTATATTTCTGAAAATTTATCAGTTTCCTCTAGATTTTCTAAGTTGTTGGCATATAATTTTTCATAGTAGTCTCATAATCTTTTTTGTTTCTGTGCATCAGTTGTAATATCTCGTCTTTTAATTTCTGATTTTATTTGAGTTATTGCTATTTTTTTGTCTACATAAGAAGTTAGTCTCCAAAATATATAAAGAACTCCTGCAACTCAATGGTAAAAAAACAAAACACAACAAAACACCAATAACCTAAGTTTTTAAAAATGGCCTAAAGACTTGAGTAGACATTTCACCAATGAAACATACAAAAGACTAACAGATGCATGAGAAAATGCACAATGCCCCTAATCATCAGGAAAATGAAATGTAAAACAAACAAACAAAACACAATAATGTATCACCTCACACACGTCAGGATGGCTATTATTTTTTTAAAAAGTGTTTCTGAGAATATCAAGAAATTGGAAGCTTTGTACCCTGTTGATGGAAACGCAAACTACTGCAGCTGCTATGAAAACCAGTTTGGCATTCACTCGAAAGATTAAACATAGAACTAAAGTTATGATCCAGGAATCCCATTTCTGGATGTTTATCCAAAATAGTTGAAATTGTTACAGGTAGTTAGTCAGGCATGAGTAGGGCAGGAGAGGGCTCTCCGCTGATCCACTAACAATGTCAAGTGATAGTTCAGTAATTATCACATTGCCTTTCTAAAAGTGATAAATTGGCAGCTGGTGCCAAGGTGAGGCCATTTCCTGATGGTCTACACCTATCGCACTAAAGTGTTAATTGAGTGCAGGCACCAGCAAAATGGCCTTCTGGCGGCACTACACCAGAAAAGGGGAAGAAAGCCTGAGATGGGCATGCGTACAACTTCCTAAATACAATGCACATGCTCACTTCCCAAGGGTAAGGAGAACACTGTGCATGTAGGCAGCCCACCCTAAGGGAAGAAGTATGGCAAAGGGGCCAACCTATAAAGTCCTAGGAATAAAGGTTAAACATCGCATTTGTACTTCAAGTCACCTGCTTGGGTCTCTTCTAAACATATTTTCCTTTCTTTCCTGTTCTAAAGCCTTTTAAATAAACTTCCACTCCTGCTCTAAAACTTGCCTCTGTCTCTTTTTTATTTTTATTTTTTGCCTTATACCCCTCAGTCTAATTATTTCTTCTGAGGAGGCAAGAATTAAGGTTGCAGCAGACCCATAGGAATTCACCACCAGTAACTCAGATACCTTCTACTGGTAACAAAATCAAGATCTTAAAGAGCTATTGACATTCTTGTATTCATTGTAGCAGTAGTCATAGTAACCAAGGTGCGGAAACAACCTAAATGTTCAACAACACATGAATGGAATAGATGTATAAAGAAAATGTGGTATGTACTGCAAACAACAAAGTGTCTTAGATAGGTCTCAATCCATTTTGAGGTTTATTTTGACAAAGTTGAGGAATTCCCCAGGAAAAAGAGACACAAGTTACAGTAGAATCTGTGGCCTGTGCTTTATTGAAAAAGCATTTTGAGGACTTTAACATTTAAAGGGGAAAGAGTGGGCAGGAGAGGAAAGAGAACAGTCAAGTATGCATTCATCTCACACTCAGTAAATATGCATTTTACATAAAATAAAATAAACGGAGTAGTGGAAAAACCAAATATACCTTTGTCTCAGAGTCAGAGGAATGATTTCTTGTCTTTGTCCCCTACCTGTGAAAATAAGCTGTTAATTTATATTTTCAGGGTGAAGAAGGATGCCTAGGGAGATATGTGGCCTTCTATTTGGTAGCTATCTGATTAGGAAGAACAAGAAGTTAGTTTTTTACATAACTCATTCCCCAAGCTTAACTTTTCCCTTTGGCATAGTGAGTTTGGGGTCTCAAGATGTTATTTTCCTTTTCAATAGGTACATTGGAATATTATTCAGACTTAAAAAGAAAGGGAATTTTGTAGTATCTGACAATACAGATGAACCTTGAGGATATTATGTTAAGTGAAATAAGCTATCCACAGGAAGACAAATATTTCATGACTCCATTTATGTAATTTGGTAGATACATGGAATCAAAGAGTGAGATGGTTGTTGCCAGGGACTAAGAAGTGGGAAATAGGGAGTTACTAATCAATGAGTGTATAGTTTTAGTCAAGCAAGATGAATAAACCCCTAGAGATCTGCTGCATAACATCGTACCACAGTTAACAATAATGTATTTTACACTTAAAGTTTTGTTAACAGGGCATATCTAATATTAAGTGTTCTTACCAAAATAAATAAAATATTCCATGACCACATTAAGGTCTATGATTTTAGATTTGAACTGACCATGAACCTGTTTCAGGACTTTGTTGAATTGTGAGTGTGTACCCTAAATTATACCAGTACTACACAGTACTAAAATGTTCTTTATAGTTATATGGGACACCTTTACCAGCTAGTAAAGGCAAACAAAAAATAATATTTGGTTGGGTGATTTTAAAGTGGATTTTTTACAGGAGAAAACTGTTTTGGTATGGACAAATTTATGATATAATAACTTTGGTTTAGTTGGCTCAAAGTGTTGAGAGTTCTTAAGCGCCTGTTGATGAGGAAGCTGTTTAGTCATAAAGGAGCTGCTACTTACCTATAGTATCTTCTGGAAGCAGGCATTTCCTAGTGCTAGCAGTTAAGATATATTGGCTTGTCGCACTATTTAATGTAGGGGCAGGAAAATATATCTGGATCCTGCCTTGTTTAAGATAAGGACACTTTGTATAGTCCCAGTATTGTTTAACACAAGAATAAGGAATTACGTTTGCTTCGTTTAAGAGGGACATGATGGTACTCTGAGGCATGACGAATGAGAAAAAATATAATACTATTTGTTTGCTGGTGAAATTCTTTTGACGTATTTCAACTCGCAGTATTTAAAGAAATCCTATGCTGCCTACCCTATGGCTGCTTTTATAAGAAATGTTTACATTGAAAAAGTACCAAAAATGGTGTTTTGACCTTGTATTCAATTATAGTGTTCCATTATAAGCTTCCCTGTTTAAGACTCCATAAGTGAAATTAACTCACATGCTGCTTAAATTGGCACTTTTTAAATACTGACTCCCTAAATTTTTGTAGCAAGATTTAAAAAAAAATGCAGGTTAATTAATATCAGCAGCATATGGTATCATTTTGTGTAAGTGCCCTCACTTATAATGAATAGTTAAAATACAGGATTTACTGTATTGTTTCTTACAAGAAAATACAGAAAGCTGTATACAATGTCTACAGCTTTTGGTTGAATCAGCAGTCTCACTTCCAGATTTCTTTTAGTAGAATTTATTTCCTTAGAGCGGTTTGAGGTTTATAGAAAAATTGAGCAGAAAGTGCACAGGATTGTCATATACTCTCTCCACATCCCCTCTGCCCTGAGTTTCCTCTTTTATGAACATCTTGCTTTTGGTGTGGTACATTGGTAACAATTGATAAACTTATATGAATACATCATTGTTATTAACTAAATTCCAAAGTTTACATTAGGGTTCACTTTCTGTGTTGCACAGTTCTATGAGTTTTGGCAAATGCATAATGTCATGGATCCACCATTAAGGTAACATGCAGAATAGTTTTCAACCCTAAGGGTCTCCTGTGCTCCATCTATTCATCTGTCCCTTTTTCTCTCTGCCAGCCCCTGACAACCATGGATGTTTTTACCTTTTTACCTTTAAAAGTTTTGCTAGGTGTTGTGGCTCATGCCTGTAATCCCAGAATTTTGGGAGGCTGAGGCAAGTGGATCACCTGAGATCAGGAGTTCGAGACCAGCCTGGCCAACATGGTGAAAACCCATCTCGACTAAAAATACAAAAAAATTGCCGGGCGTGGTGGCATGTGCCTGTAATCCCAGCTACTTGCAAGGCTGAGGCAGGAGAATCGCTTGAACCTGGGAGGTGGAGGTTGCAGTGAGCTGAGATTGTGCCATTGCACTCCAGCCTGGGCAACAAGAGCAAAACTTCATCTCAAAAAAAAAAAAAATACAATAAAATAAAATTTAAAATGTGTTGTCTCTTCCAGAAATTCATATAGTTGATACCAGGCAGTATCAACTTTAATCTTTTTCACATTGGCTTGTTTCATTTACTAATATGCATTTAAATTTCTTCTGTGTCCTCTCATGTCTTGATAGGTCATTTCTTTTCATCCCTTAAAATTATTTGGTGCGTCCCACTGTATAAAGGTACCACAATTTGTTTATCCATTCACCAATTAAATGATTTCTTGGTCGCTTCTAATTTGGGGCAATTGTGAATAAAACTGCATAAACATTTGTGTGAAGGGTTTGTGTGTGTGTGTGGTGTGTGTACATAAAGTTTCTATGAATTTGGGTAGATATCAAGAAGCACAATTTTTGGATTGCATGATAAGCCTCCATTTAGCATTGTAAGAAACTGCCAAACTGTCTTCCACAGTTGCTGTACCTTTTGCCTTCTTACCAGCAATAAATAAGATTTACTGATGCTTCACATTGTTGTCAACATTTGCTGGCATCAGTGTTTCAGATTTGAGCCATTCTAATGGATATAAAGTGTCATCTCATTGATGTTTTAATTTTCAATTCTCTAATGATGTTCGATGTTGCTATTTGCTTACTTGCTGTCTGTATACCTTCAGTGATGTATGTGCTGAGATTTTTTTGCATATTTTTAATGGTGCTTGTTTACTTGTCAGTGAGTTTTAAGAGGTTTTTTTTGCATATTTTTGGATATAAGCCATCTATAACATCTATTTTGCAAATATGTTCTCCAAGTCTGTGATTCGTTTTTCATTCTTTTAATTAAAGATGTCTTGATGAGCATAAGTTTTAGATTTTGATGCAGTCATTTTTTAACATATTTCTTGCATTTATGCTTAGAGCTTTCTGTGTTTTATCTAAGAAATAATCACTGGTCCCAAGGACAAAAATATTCTATATTTCACATGTTGGAACACTTGATATGAGTATGTTGGGCTTGTCTAAAACTATACAGTCAAAGCAAGCAAGACTCACAACTCCCCACTATATCTATGTTTCACCCTGACTCCCACTCCCACTGTCTCCTGAATATCTCATGGCCTCTTCTACCTATTCATCTATACATATTATTTCAAATTAAATTTTATATTGCATTGTAAATATTGGTTGAGATCAATAGTTTCCATGTGGATTGCTAAATGACCTGGCAACATTTGTTGAAAACACTTCATTTTGTTACACCAATGAATAGCTTTGGTGTCTTACTGAAAATTCATTTAAACACCTAGGTGTGGGTCTATTTCTGAGTTATTTATATAGATGTTTACTTATCTTCCCATTTTCATGCTATTCCCACATTGTCTTGGTTACTGCAGCTCTGTTTCTATTTCAACAAGACCACTGAAGTTGGTTTGGGCTCTACTATTTGTTCTATATACAGAAAAGAAAGTACCTTCAAGCATAAATTTAGAGCCATTGTGGGTCTCACCATATTTGTTTCCATTATCTCGGGAATCACAACCAACTCTCACAGGCATCCAATATATAATATGTTTGTTTCATATAATTTATCCATTTTCATATTTTATTCACAGCAGGAGGGCTAGACCAGTACAAGATATGCCACTATGGCCTGAGTTAGAGGTCTTTCTATTGCGCTTTTATTTTCCTTGCAATATCCAGTTCTTTCAATCATTGACTTAGTTTCTACTAACTACATTTTATGAGCATTATAATCATTTAGATTTTATTTCATGGAGTCTATGATTTCTGGAAATTCATTGAGAACTCAAAGTAAATGCATTACTAATGTGTTTTATATCACTTTTTTTTCAAAAGAATGCATAGATTATATATAGTGTACGGTATTACACTTTGATATTTTGGCATCTTCTTAGAGCTCTATGTTCTTTTCAGTCAATAACTAATATATAAATGAGAAAAGGCCAGCAGCAATATTGACATTTGAACTAGATAAGGGCTTTGCTGCATATTTCTTTGACTGTCCTCTTTATATTCCCTTCCTAGTGCCAACCCTGAGTTTTTTGATAACTTCCATCATAGGCTGAGATGCCTACATATTTGCTGTCTCCTACTCATTTTATAGCATTTATAGAGGAATTTTATAACAAGTTTAAAAATAATTTAGCAGTATCTAACTCATAATGATGATCAATTTTGCATAATCCCTCACTGAGTTCTCCTCTACTCTTCAGCTTTCTATTTTTATTGGCTCTGTGGTACTTTTATATTCAACAAAATACAGAAGTAAAATTTTATATTCTATTACTGCCTCTGAACATGTTCCGTTTCTGGGCACTATGGACCAGATATCAATATAGAAAAAAATGTGAATGAAGGCAGAATGCATAGAATGCATTATATTATATGTGTTATAACAGGACATATGAAGGTTCTGACTATCTCAGAGGCAGAGTAGACAAAGAGGGTATGTTCCTATGCTATTTTTTTCCTCATGAAAGAATCTGCATATCAGAGATAGTGGAATTAGTTAGGTTTTCCAGAGAAATATAGTATCTCTCTCTCTCTCTCTCTCTCTCATAGATTTTCTTCAAGATTTAAGTCCAGAATAGAATCCCCAATAGAGAATTTCTTCATAAAAATATGGAGACATAAACATATATACTCAGCACAAGAGTTACACACACTCACATATAAACATATCTGTCTACCTATACCTGTATCTGCATATCTGCATATCTATATCATCAATAATATTGCTTTGGCTCTTAATCTTTGCAAAAAAATCTTGTACCACTGGATTTTAATATTTAGAAAGGAACAACATGCACTATCCTTTTTTAATTTTCTTTTTCAAATTTTTTATCTGTTTTAAAAATAAAATGGGATACATGTGCAGAATGTGCAGATTTGTTACATAGATATACATGTGCCATGGTGGTTTCCTGCACCTATTGACCCATCCTATAAGTTCCCTCCCCTCGCCTCCCAACCCTCAACAGGCCCTGGTGTGTGTTCTTCCCCTGTCTGTGTCCATATGTTCTCATTGTTCAACTCCCACTTATGAGTGAGAACATGCAGTGTTTGGTTTTCTGTTCCTGTGTTAGTTTGCTGAGGATGATGGCTTCCAGCTTCATCCATGTCCCTGCAAAGGACATGATCTCATTCCTTTTATGGCTGCATAGTATTCCATGGTGTATATGTACCACATTTTCTTTATCCAGTCTATCATTGATAGGCATTTGGGTTGTTTACATGTCTCTGCTATTGTAAATAGTGCTGCAATAAACATATGTGTACATGTGTCTTTATAATACAATGATTTATATTACTTTGGGTATATATTCAGTAATGGGATTGCTGGGTCAAATGAGATTTCTGGTTCTAGATGCTTGAGGAATTGCCATACTGTCTTCCACAATGGTTGAACTAATTTACATTCCCACCAACAATGTCAAAGCGTTCCCATCTCTCCAAAGCCTTGCCAGCATCTATTGTTTCCTGAATTTTTGATAATCGCCATTCTGACTAGCATGAGCTGGTATCTCATTGTGGTTTTAATTTGCATTTCTCTAATGATCAGTGATGTTGAGCTTTTTTTCATATGTTTGTTAGCCACATAAATGTCTTCTTTTGAGCAGTGTCTCTTCATATGCTTTGCCCACTTTTGGATGGGGTTGTTTGCTTTTTTCATGTAAATTTTTTCAAGTTCCTTGTACATTCTGGATATTAGCCCTTTGTCAAATGGATAGATTACAAACATTTTCTCCCCTTCTGTAGGTTGCCCATCCACTCTGATGATAGTTTCTTTTGCTGTGCAGAAGATCTTTAGTTCAATTAGTTTAAATTGTCAATTTTGGCTTTTGTTGCAATTGTTTTTGGCTTTTTTGTCATGAAGTCTTTGCCCTTGCCTATGTGCTGAATGGTATTTCCTAGGTTTTTTTCTAGGGTTTCTATGGTTTGGAGCTTTACATTTAAGTCTTTAATCCATCTTGAGTTAATTTTTGTATAAGGTGTACGGAAGGTGTCCAGTTTCAGTTTTCTGAATATGGCTAGCCAGTTTTCTCAGCCCAATTTACTGAATAGAAGACCCTTTCCCTATTGCGTGTTTTTGTCAGGTTTATCGAAGATCAGATGGTTGTAGAGGTATGCTGTTATTTCTGAGGTCTCTCTTCTGTTCCATTGGTCTATATATCTGTTTTGGTACCAGTACTATGCTGTTTTGGTTACTGTAGCCTTGTAGTATAGTTTGAAGTCAGGTAGTGTGATGACTCCAGGTTTGTTCTTTTGGCTTAGGATTGTCTTGGCTGTACAGGGTCTTCTTTGATTCCATATGTAATTTAAAATAGTTTTTTTTCTAATCCTGTGAAGAATGTCAATGGTAGTTTGATGGGAATAGCATTTAATCTATAAGTTACTTTGGGCAATATGAACATTTTCACGATATTGATTCTTCCAATCCATGAGGATGAAATATTTTCCATTTGTTTGTGTCCTCTCTTATTTCCTTGATCAATGGTTTATAGTTCTACTTGAAGAGGTCCTTCACATCCCTTGTTAGCTGTATTCCTAGATATTTTATTCTCTTTGTAACAGTTGTGAATGGGAGTTCATTCATGATTTGGCTCTCTGATTGTCTATTGATGGTGTAAAAGAATGCTTGTGACTTTGCACATGGATTTTGTATCCTGAAACTTTGCTGAAGTTTCTTATCAGTTTAAGGAGTTTTGGGGCTGAGATGATGGGGTTTTCTAAATATAAAATTATGTTGTCTGCTAACAGAGACAATTTGACTTCCTCTCTTCCTATTTGAATACCTTTATTTCTTTCTCTTGTCTGATTGCCCTGGCCAGAACTTCCAACACTATGTTGAATAGCTGTGGCAAGAGGGGGCATCCTTGTCTTATACTAGTTTTCAAAGGGAATGCTTCCAGCTTTTGCCCATTCAACATGATATTGGCTGTAAGTTTGTAGCTCTTATTATTTTGAGAGATGTTCCATCAATACCTAGTTTATTTAGAGTCTTTAACATGAAGGGATGTTGAATTTTATCCAAGGACTTTTATGCATTTGTTGAGAGAATCGTGGTTTTTTCTTGGGTTCTGTATATGTGATGGATTATGTTTATTGATTTGGGTATGCTGAACCAGCCTTGCATCCCAGGGGGTGATGCCAACTTGATCGTTGTGGATAAGTTTCTTGATGTGCTGCTGAATTCAGTTTGCCACCATTTTACTGAGGATTTTCACATCGATGTTCTTCAGGGATATTGGACTGAAGTTTTCTTTTTTGTTGTGTCTCTTCCTGGTTTTGCTATCAGGATGATGCTGGCTTCATAAAATGAGTTAGGGAGGAGTCTCTCCTTTTCAATTATTTGGAATAGTTTCAGAAGGAAGGGTACCAGCTCCTCTTTGTGTTTCTGGTAGAATTCAGCTATGAATTCATCTGGTCCTGGGCTTTTTTTTTTTTTTTTTGGTTGGTAGGCTATTAATTACTGTCTCAATTTCAGAACTTGTTATTGGTCTATTCAGGGACTGGATTTCTTCCTGGTTTAGTCTTCAAAGGGTGTATGTGTCCAGTAAGTTATCCTTTTCTTCCAGATTTTCTAGTTTATTTGCGTAGAGGTGTTTATAGTATTCTCTGAGGGTAGTTTGTATTTCTGTGGGGTCAGTGGTGGCATTCGCTTTGTCATTTTTTATTGTGTCTATTTGATTCTTCTCCCCTTTCATTAGTCTAGCTAGCAGTCTATCATTTTTTTAATTTTTTCAAAACACCACCTCCTGGATTCATTAATTTTTTGGAGGGTATTTCATATCTCTATCTCCCTCAATTCTTCTCTGATCTTAGTTATTTATTTTCTTCTACTAGATTTTGCAAAGGTTTGTCCTTGGCTCTCTAGCTCTTTTAATTGTGATGTTAGGGTGTCGATTTCAGATCTTTCTAGCTTTCTGATGTGGGCATTTATTGCTACAAATTTCCCTCTTAACACTGCTTTAGCTGTGTCCTAGAGATTATGGTATGTTGTCTTTTTGTTCTCATTGGTTTCAAATAACTTCTTAATTTCTGCTTTAATTTCATTATTTACCCAAGTCATTCAGGAGCAGGTTGTTCAATTTTCCTGTAATTGTGTGGTTTTGAGTGAGTTCCTTAATCCTGAGTTCTAATTTGATTTCACTGTGGTCTGGGAGACTGTTTGTTATCATACCATTTCTTTTGTATTTACAGAGGAGTGTTTTACTTCCAATTACATGGTCAATTATAATAAGTGCCATTTGGCACTGAGAAGAATTTATATTCTGTTGATTTGGGGTAGAGAGTTCTGGAGACATCTACCAGGTCCATTTGATCCAGAGCTAAGTGCAAGTACTGAATATCCTTATAAATTTTCTGTCTTGATCTGTCTCATATTGACAGTGGGGTGTTAAAGTCTCCCACAGAAATTGTATGGGAGTCTAAGTCTCTTTGTAGGTCTTTAAGAACTTGTTTTATGAACCTGGGTGCTCCTGTATTGGGTACATATATATTTCAAATAGCTCTTAGTTGTTCCATTTACCATTATATAATGGCCTACTTTGTCTTTTTTGATCTAGGTTGGTTTAAAATCTGTTTTGTCAAAGACTGGAATTACAACCCTGCTTTTTTTTTCTTTCTTTCCTTGCATGGTAAGATTTCCTCCAACCCTTTATTTTGAGTCTACGTGAGTCTTTGCACGTTGAGATGAGCCTCCTAAATACAGCACACCGATGGTTCTTGACTCTCCAATTTGCCAGTCTGTCTATTAATTGGGGCATTTAGCCCATTTACATTTAAGGTTAGTATTGTTATGTGTGAATTTGATCCTGTCATCACGATGCAATTTTTTATTTTTCACACTAGTTGATGCAGTTTCTTCATAGTGCCATTAGACTTTATATTTTGCTGTGTTTTCACAGTGGCTGGTACCAGTTTTTCCTTTACATGTTTAGTGCTTCTTTCAGGAGCTCTTGCAGGGCAGGCCTGGTGGTAGTGAGATTCCTCAGCATTTGCTTGTCTGCAAAGGATTTTATTTCTCCTTTGTTTATGAAGCTTAGTTTGGCTGGATATGAAATTCTGGGTTGAAAATTCCTTTTTTTTTTTTTTTAAGGAATGTTGAATATTGGCCCCAATCTCTTCTGGCTTGTAGAGTTTCTGCTGAGAAGTCTGCTGTTAGTCTGATGGGCTTCCCTTTGTAGATGACCAGGCCTTTCTCTCTGGCTGCCCTTAACAGTTTTTCCTTCATTTTGACCTTGGAAAATCTGATGATTATGTGTTCTGGGGTTGATCTTATCATGGAGTATCTAAATGGTGTTCTCTGTATTTCCTGAATTTGCATGTTGGCCTGTCTTGCTAGGTTGGGGAAATGCTCCTGGATAATATCCTGAAGTGTGTTTTCCAGCTTGTTTCCATTCTCCCAGTCTCCTTCTGGTACTTCAATCAATTGTAGGTTTGGTCTTTTTATGAAGTCCCATATTTCCTGGCAGCTTCATTCATTCATGTTCATTCTCATTCTTTTTCTCTAGTCTTGTCTGCATGCCCTATTTCAGCAAGGTGGTCTTCAAACTCTGATATTCTGTCTTCCACTTGGTCGATTTAGCTATTGATACTTGTGTATGCTTCATGAAGTTCTTGTGCTCTGTTTTTCAGCTCCCTCAGGTTGTTTATTTTCCTCTCTAAACTGGTTCTAGTTAGCAATTCCACTAACCTTTTATCAAGGTTCTTAGCTTCTTTGCATTGGGTTAGAACATACTCCTTTAGCTCAGTGTAGTTTTTTATTACCCACCTTCTGAAGCCTACTTCTGTCAATTCATCTATCTGGTCCTTCATCCAGTTCTCTGACCTTGATGGAGAGATGTTGCGATCATTTGGAGAAGAAGAGGCACTCTGACCATTTAGGTTTTCAGAATTTTTACATTGATTCTTTCTCATCTTCATGAGTTTGTCTAGTTTCAGTTTTTGAGGCTGCTGACCCTTGGATGGGGTTTTTGTGGGGGCTTTGTGTTGTTGTTGCTGATGGTTTTGTTGTTGCTTTCTGCTTGTTTGTTTTTCTTTCAATGGTCAGGTCCTTCTTCTGCAAGGCTGCTACAGTTTGCTAGGGGTTGACTTCAGGCCCTATTCATCTGATTCACTCCTGCACCTGGATATGTCACTCAAGGAGGCTAGAGAACAGCAAAGATGGGTGCCTGCTCCTTCTTCTGGGACATCTGATCTTGAAGGGCACCAACCTGATGCCAGTAGGATTGCACCTGTATAGGGTGTCTGACAACCCCTGTTGGAGGGTCTCACCCAATTGGGTAGCATGGGAACAGGACCTGTTTAGCAAAGCACATTGTCCCTTGGTGGAGGGGGTGTGCTTTGCTGGGGGGTAATCCACTCATCTGAGCTGCCTGGATTCCTCAGAACTACCAGAAGGAAAGGCTAAGTCTGCTGGTCTGCAGAGGCTGTGGTCACCCCTCCCCCTAGGGCCTCAGGCCCAGGGAGATCGGGGTTCTGTCCCTGAGCCTCTAAATGGAGTTATTGGACTTCCTGCAGAAAAGCCCCACCCAGTGAAGAAGGATGGGTCAGGGTAAGGCCTGAAGAGACACTCTGGCCTCAGACTGCCACAGCTGGTATGTTGGGCTGTGGGAGACAAGTCTTGGGGGACCAAGCCATCCAGCCTCCCTGGCTCCAGCAGGGGAAAAGTGCAGCCTGGAGCTATAGAGATGGCTGCTGCCCTTCCCCTGCCCTGTAAGCTTAGTGTGTTAGGCAGTTGTGAGTCCCAGTGCTGGCTGCTGCCCCTCCCTCAAGGAGCTCAAATGGCTTAAACAGCAGGCAGCCACACCTAAGGTGCTGGTTGTCCCTCCCCCCAGGAGTTTGGTATGCTTACGCAGATTCTAGCTGAGATGCTGCTGAGAAACTGTGCATACTGGGGTTTGGACGCTAGGCCCTGGTGGCATGGGTTTGCGAGTGGGCTCTTTGGATCTGCGGATTGCAGAGTTCCATGGATAAAGCACGGTTTCCCTGGCTGTGTAGCACACTCACTCACCACCTCCTTTGTGTGGGGAGAGGGGGCTCCTCTGCCCTCTGTGGCTTCATGTGGGCTGCCACATTGCACTGTTCTTCCTTTTCTCCATGGGTCACAGCAGCCTTCTAGTCAGTTCTGATGAGACAACCTGGATACCTTGGTTGCCAGTGAAGGATTCACATGCTTATTATGGTTTTTTTCTATGAGAGCCTTCAAATGCCACTGTTTCTAGTCAGCCATCTTGGCCCCGCCACACTATCCTTTTTTCATGTGATATTTATAAATGAAATAAAAGAGATATTCAAAGAACACTTGATTTTACAAACTAGTATTTTATGAGAAAATGTTTCTTCATTGAACTTGTTTTTTCATAGTCAGTAGGGAAAATTGCCTAGCACCTATTTGTCACACTGCAGTTGCTAGCTAGGCTAGTGCTTTTTATTTTATCAGTTTTTTTTAACTGTACTCTGATAGTTCTGCTTCATGACACCCAGAAGGCAGCAAAATCACATGCAAAATTTATAAAATCTTCCATCCTTTCAGCAGCAAGACGTTTATGTTGTTGAACATAACACCAATATTACTATGTCCAAATATTCTCAAACTATTTATGACTCTACAATTCTAAAGAATTTGATAGAGTGATTTAGCCTAAGCTGAGTGCATTAGTACAGATAACTATAGTTGTTGCAATACCTAAATTTTAAAACCCTAGTGGTTTGATAGATATTTATTTCTTGCTCACATAAAGTTGAGTATCATGATCCTTATCTATAAGTGGCCTTCTACAGGGACATTCAAGCCCCCGGACCCTGTCCATTATATGGAAATGACTACTTCTGGGGCATCAGATTTGTCTACATTGATCATGTCCATAGGAAATGGAAAAAAAATGATGAATGGATATCTGCTTCTGAATCACTTTGATCTAGCACTGACATATATTTCCTGTATTCAAAATGCACTGGTAAGAATTATTTACATAGTGTTATCCAGATGAAAGAAGAGAGGAAATTGGGGCCAGAATGTCATTTCTAAACATATCTCTACCCCATGGTAGAGAGCCACAAAATTCTGATAGATATCTAGTCATCTCTTCCATACTAACTCCAGCACAATAGAATTATTCATGTGAATAATTCAACATACATTTAAGTACACAAGTACTATGCAATTGTGCTTTAACCCTTTCAATGTCAAGGCAAGAAGACATAGCCAAAAGCTATGTCCAGTTCTTTTATCGCATAAACACTGAGGAACATGCACACAGATACAGAATTGCTGGGACTCATATACTAACTTGCTTTTTAAAAATGAATTTGAAAAATTGATTTCCTTGGATCATACACCAAAAAGGAGTGATCTTTGGAGTTTAGACACTTTATTTAGAATTTAAGTTTCAGAAATCATCCTGTTTTATGGTCAATTGGGCTGTTCAGCAAAGTCACTGAGCCAGATTTCTTATCTGGAAACAGTTCAATAAAAGTATACCTTTCATAATTTTTTAGAGGAACAATGCATACTGGTAAATTGCATGCCATCCTGTGCCTTTGCTCATGAACTTCTAACTCCAGCAGATGCCCCATTTACCTGTGTTATACACAGCTAAACATTTCAAAAATAGTTGTTTCTCCTTCCTTACTAGATATCTTTACTCCATTGGGTTCTCAATTCCACTGCTCATTATTTCAGCTGTTATAATCTACATTTTGGCAAACACAGTAGTCAATTCCCCATCTCCATTCTACATGACTTCTGAGAGGCACTTGACACAGTTCACTACACTCTTATTTGAAACATTTTTCTTGAAAGCTTCTGAAGATGTCTCAAGATTTTTACTTTTCCAATGGGAATTATTTTCCACTTTTCCTTTCTCATTAATTCTTTGTTACAGACTTTTAAATGTTAGAGTACCCTAAGGAGCTCTCTGGTGAACTGCCCTGTTTCCTTTGTCCCTAAGTAACCTAATCTAATTACAAGATTCAAGGAAACAAACTGAGAGCATTCAAACTTACATATCCTCTCTCTTGACTTAGACATATAAGACTTAAGCATCCAGCTTACTACATTACATCTCCATTGGGATGTATAATTGAAAGCTCCTATTTCATGTGGCCAAAATCTAACCATTGATTTCTTTTTCCAAATCGTGTCAATAACATCCACCTAGATTTTGTCTGTTTGAAAACCTACATCCAATCTTTCAGTGGACATTTCTGGGACTACCTCCAAAATATATCCTGGATAAGACCATTTTTTTTTTTTCTCCATGCATCTCTGTCGATACAACCCTGTTCAAAGATGTTATCATCTCTCTCATCATCCTTCATAGAACAGTCATCTATGGATTAATATTTTAAAATTTTAATCAGAGTTGTTATTTACCTTTAAAAATCCTCCAGGTTTTCTTTTTTGTTTATTTTGTTTGTTTGTTTATTTTATGAGACAGGATCTTGCTCTGTAGCCCAGGCTGGAGTGCAGTGACACAATCATAGTTCACTACAGCCTTGAACTCCTGGACTCAAGCCATCTTCCCACCTCAGCCTCTGGAATGGCTGGGGCTACAGGCATACATTACTGGCTAATTTTTCAGTTTTTTTTTTTTTTTTTTTTTTTTTTTGGAGAGACAGGGGTCTCGTTTTGTTGTTTAGGCTGGTCTCAAACTACTGGCCTCAATGTACTAACCTCAAGCAATCCTCCTGCCTCAGCTTCCCAAAGTGCTGGGATTACAGGTGTGAGCCACCACCTCAGGCTGTCATGTTTTTTATTGTTATTATTATTATTACTATTAAAATAAAGGAAAACTCTTCCCATAGCCTATGGGCTCTGCATGCTCTGGCCACTGCCTACCTGCCTACCTGTCTAAACTCACCTCTCTCCTGTTTCTCCTTTCACCATGTTCCAGCTACAGAGATCTCATTCCAATGTATTTAAAGCTCATTCTCTCATTGGTTACTCACTCCTCCTTTGTTCAGGACACTCTTTACCTAAGTATTTGAATAGATGCCTCTTTCTCATTGCTTAAACATAACTCAAACATCGCTTCTTCAGAGTGTCCTTTTATGATCACTCTAGTTAAACTACCCATTAAAATTGTAAATAAAAGTGATTTTTAACCTTAAAAAAGAATTATTAGAGAGGAGTTATAGAAGTAATAGGAAACATACAGGAAGCAAAAATTAAGAAGCACTATATTGGAGGCCTGATGTCTTATAACCCAGCTCTGTTCCTAATTTTCTGTGTGACTTTAGGTAAGAAATAATATGTTTTAAATCTCTAGAAATCAGTTTTCTAAAATAATTAGAAAACTATATAAATTACTAAAGATATGTCTAGTTAAAATATTCTATAACTTATTCTGTTTTTCTTATATTGGGAAGCCTAGAATATAATTCTTTAAATTTCATCACTTCAAATGTCATTCTTAAGATAAACACAATATTTATCTTAAAGAAAGGGGAAGGGAGTGAGGACAGTTTATCAGGAAGTGGCCTAAGCTGGGAGACACCACACCAAAGAGCAAGTGTAGAGGATTCTGTGATTCAAACAGTAATATTTTGTTATGATAATTTCTGAATCTTTTACAAGAATATGGATCAATTTCCCAAGAGTAATTGATATTAAGCAATATGTGGCCTTTTGTCTCTGGTTTCTTTCACTTAACATAATGCTTTCAAGATTCATCCATGTTGTAGCAGGTATCGGTACTTTTTAGGGCTGAATAACACCACATTGTATGGTTATACCACGTTATATTTATACATTCATCTTTTGATTTTAGAAAATATAAATAACGTTTTAGTTACTGCACCAAGATCATAAGACCATTGATTTTGACTGAATGACTATTCTTGGTTATTTCATAAATCATGGATTTTATTTTATTACTAAATATATTAAGTTGTGTGTTTTTTCGGTTTTAGGAAAAATATTTAAATATAGCAGATTTCACATTTTTGTCTCTCTCTCTTAGGAGTGCTGTGTGACTACATTGGACGTAATTGTGACAAATTCTGAGTGACTATTAAAATTTCTTCCATGTCTTCATTTTCTCAAATAATTCTGAAATAAGTCACTGATTGAGTCTTAGAAATTGTTTATTGTACCTCATAGAGTTAATGCCAGAGATTCAATAGATTCTCTTATATAGCTTGTTCTCAGGTAGAAGTGAGAAAAAATAGGTTACCATTGTTTTATTTCAGCATATTTTTATTATGGTAAACTACAGGTAATATAAAATCTACCACTTATTTTGAAGTATAGAATTCATTGGCATTGTGTACGTTCACAATGTTGAGCAACCATCACCACTATCTAGTTCCAGAATTACTTCATCAATTCCAAAAAAAGGCATTAAGCAATCACTCCCTATTTTCATCTTACCCCCAGCCCCTGGCAAGTACTCATTTGTTTTCTGTCTCTGTGTAATTGCTTATTTGGGATACGTCATATAAAGATAAACAATATGTGGCCTTTTGCCTCTGGTTTCTTTCATTTCATATAATATTTTCAAGGTTCATTCATGTTGTAGGAGGTATCAGTACTTTTTGTGGCTTAATAAAATTACCTCGTTCCTGTATTTTGTTACCACATTTTGTTCATGCATTCATCTGTTGATGGGCATTTGAGTTGTTTCACCTTTTGTTTATTGTAAACAGTGCTGCTATGAACATTCATGTACAAATTTTTATTTGGATATCTCTTTCCAATTCCACCTAGAAGTGGAATTTCCGGGCCAAATGGTAATTTAATGTTTAACACGTTAAGGAACTACCAAACTGTTTTCCAAAGTGACTATATATATCATTTTCATTTTATGACAGTTTCAATTTCCCCACATTCTCTCATACTTTTTATCTCCTATTTATTTCATTACACCACTCTAAAAGGTGTGAAGTGAAATCTTATTGTGGTTTTGATTTGCTTTTCCCAATGACTAATGGCATTGATCATCTTTTCGTGTGCTTATTGGTCATTTGTATATTTTCCTTGGAAAAATATCTATTCAGGTTATTTGTTCATTGTTGAATATGGGTTTTTTTTGGTCTTTTCATTGTGGAATTTTAAGAGTTCTTTATATATTCTGGATATTAGATACTTATCAGTTATATGATTTGCAAATACTTTCTTTCATTTTGTGGGTTGTCTTTTCATTCTCTTGATAGTGTCCTTTGATGCACTTTTTTTTTATTTTGGTGAAGTCCAACATATTTTGTTATTGGTTATGCTTTTTGCATTATATTTAGGAAACCATTGCAAATCCAAGAGCATGAAGAGTCACTGTTATGTTTTATTCTAAGAGCTGTAGAGTTCTAGCCATTACATTTAAGTTTTTGATCAATTTTGAGTTAATTTTTGTGTATGATACTATTTAGTGGTCTGAGTTAAATATAGGACAAAAAAGGATGCAGTTAATCTATGATAAAGGTCAGTGATTAGAAGGGGAGGAGGTCTTGTCTCTCCTAAGTCATTTACAGAACAAGAAAAATGTGATAGTTAGTTCATCTATAATCTAAGAAGCAGAAGTTGCAACTACATACTACGTGACTCAAATCACAGTCACATCTCTCTAAAGTCTGAAAGTGTTTGAGGGGGTTCCAGCAGCTTTTAATTTTTTAAATTGATTTTCACACCAGTTACTCATACTCCAAGTGTTGCCATCTCAAAACTAGCTACCATGCCAGAAAGGGAGAGTGGGCAAAGCTAAGTCAAAATGCTACAGAACTCTCTCACTCCATTTAAATTATCTTTCTTCTGTTTAAGAATTCACACGGTTGCTATAAACATTGGACTCTGTTCCAGAGTTCTGATATAGTTCTGACAATTGTTGTCAGGTTTTTCAGTGTTTCTGGAGTGGGACAAAACATTAGAGGGGCTTACTTGACCATTTCTGCTGACATCACTCCTATCATTGGTTCTTGATGTAGAATGTAAAATTAATTGGAAATTCAATATTTTGTATGATAGAGATATAAATAGATATATAGATGTGAATAGTTATAGTAGCTTCCCTAATCCTGTGTAACAAACATTGTAATATGAAGTTGTCAAACACTATATATTTTTAAAAATATTATCTTGATGTTTATTATTTTGCAGATGAGTGTGGTGTGTATACTCTTTACCTGTTTCTATGGTCAGCAGTGAAATCGAGTATATGAATGGCACTTTACACTTATGCGCCTCAGTGTAGACAAGAGAGGTAGATCAGTAAACAAGCAGCTATTTAGGTGATGTGAGTTAGGAATTGGTGTATATTTATTTGCTTATCTGTTTATTTTTTGGTAGGAAACAAATGCTAAATTCTTGTCCAATTAATCACCATTGCTTTTCTCTGAAGAATTTTATACAAATTAAGCAACAAATATTAATAAATGGGTCATCATAAATAGCTATGCAAATATTTCACATCTCAAAAGCAATGATCTGTAGCTCAGAACTAAAGACTTAGAGGCTAAATGTGGGCCTTCTACATATCTGTAAGTCAAAATCCAAAACTTTGTATCTTATTTCCTTTGTTGATCCACAGGGGAAAACAAAAATAATAGCAGGAAGAACCTCACCATCAGCTCAGGGGAACAGATGGAGTGAAAATGCTAGTGCATCCTGTTATTAGCCGACCTTGAATCAAGTTATACACCCAATCAATGGAAAAAGAGGAAGAGAACAAAAGAAGCGGAGATTGCTATAAAAGCCTCTAGGTAACTTGGAAATGTAGCATGATTCAAACCTATTTTATACTTTTTCTAGATAGTCCTTAGGGCCATAAAAGCACATTTTTGAAATACACCAACTTAGAAAATGAACAGATATGTTCCTGCACATTGTACAGCTGCACTTACTCCCCTCCACATGTATACATATACACACAGAAACACACACACATATCTGCTTAAATATTAGGAAAAATATTATATCAAAAACAATGAAATACAAGGTCATTGAAGCCCCATGTAAAACTCTCATGTTGCTACATGAGGACATTTAAGGACAGTTAACTTGGCACTCACTTAGATTCTTCACAAATGAAGTTTACTTTTGGATGAATGGGATCATTAAAAAAATACTAACTGCAACATGGTGGCAATTAAAAATAAAGTAACTGTGCAAACATGAGGCAAGCTTTCAGCGCATCTTCTACCATGACATTATTAATAGTATGATGTAATACACAGGAAGAGTAATTTCTCTAAGATGCACAAGTGTCAAAAGTACATCAAGTACAAAGAGCATAAAGATCTATTGCTAAAAAACTAGGTAAGTTGATACTAAATATCCAGAATACAGATAGAAAGCTGATTGGCGAGTTCCAGGGGCTGGTGGAAGAGAGGGAGTGACTGCTTAATAGGTAACAGGTTTTCTTCTGGAGTGATGAAAATGTTTTAGAAAAGATAAAGAAGGGACCGGGCGCGGTGGCTCATGCCTGTAATCCTGCACTTTGGGAGGCCGAGGCGGGTGGATCACGAGGTCAGGAGATCGAAACCATCCCGGCTAACGTGGTGAAACCCCGTCTCTACCAGAAATACAAAAAATTAGCCAGGCATGGTGGCGGGTGCCTGTAGTCCCAGCTACTCGGGAGGCTTAGACAGGAGAATGGCATGAACCTGGGAGGCAGAGCTTGCAGTGAGCTGAGATGGGCCACTGCACTCCAGCCTGGGCGACAGAGCGAGACTCAGTCTCAAAAAAAAAAAAAAAAAAGGATAAAAAGATAAAGAAGGGAATGATGGTACAATATAATGAATATACTAAATGTCACTGAATTGTGGACTTTAAACTGGTTAATTTTAGGTGATAAAATTTTTTTTCAATAAAATATAAGTATAATATAAAACATATATATGAAATCGGTTGCAGCAGAGGCTACTTTTAGTTTATAAAAATAATGTTTCTCTTGATGTCCCCTTAAATTACATACATAGCTGTACCTGTAAAACCCTGTAGGCAACCTATTAACCTTTGAATTAGTATCTTTATCTCCCCATTATTCTTCTCACCCAATAAGTTCTCAAGTCTGGTTGAGTCTAACAATGCACCAAAGGTAGAATGCTTGCTCTTTAATTTAATACTCCATCAGTCTGAATTCAACTCCTCCAATTTAGTGACTGGTGAAGCAAGAGATTGAGATGGGAGAGGAAGACCATCTTGCATTGCCTTATTTTCCTTAGGTATCCAAGCTCTCTACCTTTGCCCTTGCCTACTCCTTACTTGTCCAGTAATCCTGTAATGATAATATAATGAATTATTACATGGTACAGGAAATAAAATGAAATACTTTCAAAGAATGTTTTTCTTCATAACAATCCATAGAAAAAAATAAAATCTTTATAAAAGAACACGTGTTCTCAAAATCCAGAAGAAAGGAATGGCATTTAATCTCATCTAGTACAGTTTTTGAGCTCATCTGTGTAGAATTTATATAATGGCCTCTTAAGGATGTTTAGATTTTATAATAGCTGAAACAAGGCCATGTAATTGTTTTGTCTTGAGAATAAACAAACAAATGTACATGAAAACTAAATGAAGAAAAACATCAACGCAAATAATACATTGTATAGAATGTTAGAGCCAATGAGATCTGAGAGACTATTAAAATCTAAACAAATTGTTAAAAGGAATCATCTGACATCCTTTATCAATCTGGTGGTAAGACAGCCTGAAGTAAAAATAATTATTTTCTTATTTCAGTAGAGCGCTTCCCTTACCTGAACAATAATCTATTACAGTTCTGCAGGAATTTATGGTTTGCAAAGTAATGCACTAACCCTGCCACCTTGGAATTTATGACAACTTTTGAGTCAGTCATGACCAATATTGCAAAGATGAACAAGGTGAAGCAAATCTGACTTTTTTCTCCATGCACAATTTTTGAGAACTAACAAATGAATAAAAAATCTCAGATAAATTAAGTTGTTTGCAAGACATCATATAACTAGTAAATGGTACACATTTTAATTTAGGTTTTCTGTCTTCAATTGCATACCTTTCACAACACCATGCCCACTATTGACACAGGTAGGGATATTTTCCCCCAATGCTTATCATGTCTCATTATTTGATGGGATCATTTTATGACAGTGATGAGGCTTTAAGTGAATATTTTGTTTAATCAGAAAAAACTTTAAATCAGACCCAAACCTGACTTTACCATCATTAGCACTAAATAATTAATTAGCTGAAACTTCATCTAAAAGTTAGCTGAAAATTAGCTGAAAATTAGCTGAAAATTCAGCTAGAACTTTTTGCTTAATTACTTATAATACATGAATTTATTAGAATATAAATAATGAATATCTATAAAAAGGAAAGAAGCTTGCAGTTATTTCTTGTCAACAAATTACAGTATATTTTAATTATAAGAAATATGATGAGTATTTAATCCCTATTTTTGAAATGAGGATGCTGAGATTCACGGGTTTGTTGTGAAGTCTACATAACATAATGGACAAAAGCACTCATCACATTATCTGGCACATGAAATAATATAACTATTTTCAATGGATGTTCTCAGTATAGGTGCCATTCTTGAGCAGAAAGAGTATACATTACACTCAAAGTTCTTAGACTACATTTCATCAAAGGCAAAACCAAAAATCTGAATTTTTCATGATTAAAAATACAGTTAGTTTATAATATATTTCAGTAAATTCATACTCAGATAATTAAACTTACCTAAATATATTTAAAAGAACTAAAGTAGAAAAACATAAATAGGAAAAATCTAGTTATACTAACCAATATATTTTATGTCAGTTTGAAAAGATGGAAAAAATGTGTACCACTATTTGAAAAAAGTGTTACATAAGAGTCTCAGAAAAATAAAGTATTTTCAACAGCAAATTTGTTTTTTTTTAATTAGGAAATATTACAAAACTCTTCCTAATACACTACTTGAAATAATGATAGACTATAAAGTAAATCAAAACTTAACAAAATATGTAGTACTAAAAAAAAAGAGGCAGTCTCAAATTGTTCTTATTTCTACTTAAAACCTCTCAAATTATGTCATAGGTAAGATTATTAATATCAATACACTATTAGCTACTTTATAGACATTTGATTTTTAACTATATATATATACACACATGCACATATACATACATATATATACACACATATGTACATACATACGTATGTATATGTATATGAGGAAGGAAGATTGTTTTAGGCTGGTAGCTCTAGACTGACCTGGGCAATATAGCAAGACCCCATCTCTGCAAGATAAATAAATAAATAAATAAATAAATAAATAAAATATCTTACTGATCCACATCATCTCCAACTATTATTATTTTAATTGTGCCAGTCAAATGGCAAAAACACTGCAAAAAATTTTGCAAATTTACAAATAAGTTTATAGTTCAATGAAATTTCACCGAGTAAACACATACAGAACCACCAAGCGGATCAAAAAATAGGTTCTTACAGCAGGATATAAAACACCCCTGCCTCTCATTACTACCATCCACTAAAAGATAACTGTATTCTGTTATCAAACATCATTGATTATTTTTACTTATTTCAATATTACATTACAGAAAACATACAGCGTGCATATTTTTATCTGTTTTGTTCAACTGTATGTTTGTCTTTCACTAGGTATGAATCATTCTTACTATTTCATGTGTCAGGCATCATTTGTGCTTTATGTTATTTTATATGATGACTATTGGTTTGACTGTTGAGACAAATTTGGGAGTTTTAGTTATTGGCTACCAGATAAGAATTTATGTTGGATACATACATATGAGGTGACTTGCTGGGTCTTGGGAAATGATGATCCAGGTTTTATAGATATTATCAAAAGTTTTCCAAGATGCTTGAGTAATGTACTTTTCATAGTAATTTGAAGAAATTCCTTATATATATTTGGAATACTAGTCCTTTGTCAGATACATGCATTGCAAATATCTGGTCCCTTATTGTCTTATTACATTCCTTTTTCACTGACCCAGCATACAGTATTCTCTTTCATTTCTACTCTCATTTTTACTCTTACAACTCTTATTGATTCTTCAAGGACTAGCTCAAATTCAACTACTCCCTGAAGCTTTTAATGAATAACCTGAGTTTCGAATTATATTCTACTTCAGATTGTAAAAGATTTCTCATAATTTTTCACTCAACTATGTCTCATATTAACTTTTGCCTAATATTTTTGTTTTTCAAGTAAATTGTAAGTTTTTAGAATGTAGTGGAATTTTCTTATAATTTTTTGTTTTATGTAACATCAAATAATCTTGAGTACATAATTGATGTCGATTTTTTTGAATGTTGGTTAATTAACATATAGGACCTGATCATAAAAATGAATAATTTCAATTACTATATTAGTTGATCATAAATAAATGATTATTTCAAATAGAGTGTGGTAGATGGAATAATAGCCCACAATGGTGTCCACAACCTAATCTCCAGGATCTGTGAGAGAGAAATAAAAATACTAGAGTTATTTTCATCTTAGTAGCTTAAGATATAATCTATTTTTTTTTCTTCAGTCAGATGGACAGAAGCTAAATCACACCCTGAGATACACACCGTATCAATTCTCTCATCTCAGTCTTTTCTATTATTATTACAGAAGTTCATTCTTTTAGACATCTAATCACCATCAAGTCATAGTTTTGTTCAAACAATGACTACATTACTATTGTGCTTTTCAAATATCTTCTTGTTAAGCTAGTGGAATGTTAGCATTTACCACCATATTTTTGCCACATATATCAAATGTTTATGGAGGCTGAGGGAAATAAAAACAAATCACATTTTCTACTGTAACTAAAAAAAAAAAGTCGACCTTTAAAACATTAAATGTGATAACAAGAGATCATCTAAATTTACTTCGTTTTTCTAATACGAATATTTGAAAACAACATTATGATTTTATGTAATGATTGGAGGAAACTGTTTTCTGATAAGGGGCAAGGAATTGACATCAAGGAGCATCTTTCCTCATAACATTATTTTCAAACCTTAACATAATGTGCAAAAGAAACTCTTTAGGGCTGATGCTCAGCAAAACTTGCTCGTTCATTGCAGCTTTATCTCCTTTTATGATATTTTCTGAGAATTAGTTATGAGAAGATATTTGTAAACCTAAAATCACAATTTCACTAATCTTACTAACACAGATTAATGATCCTTTCTTTTTTCTTTTTCTTTCTTTTTTTTTTTTTTTTTTGAGACCAAGTCTCACTCTGTCGCCCAGGATGGAGTGCGGTGGCGCAATCTTGGCTAACTGCAACCTCCGCCTCCCAGGTTCAAGGAATTCTCCTGTCTCAGCCTCCAGAGTAGCTGGGACTACAGGTGTGCATCACCGCGCCTAGCTAGTTTTTGTATTTTTAGTAGAGACGGGTTTCATCATGTTGGTCAGGTTGGTCTCGAACTCCTGACCTCAAGTTGTCCACCTGCTGTGGCCTCCCAAAGTGCTGGGATTACAGGCATGAGCCACCGCTCCCAGCCACAAATAATCTTTTCTGAACCAAATTGTTTGAACTTTCTGAATCCAAGGGCAATGAAACATCTTGTTGTAGAGGCTATGATTCACCATTCACACTTTAAATGCTTTGCAGCATGTTTAGTTTAATAGGTTCTAAATATTTAGTAAACATCAACTGTAGTGCTTTTGGCAGCAATACTTATAAATGTCCCCCAGTGGCTTTAAAGAGTTAACATGCTTCACTAAAGAGTAAGATTATTATCAAATAGCAAAATGACAGTCCCACTAATTAGGAACTCATTCTCCCACTAAACTGGTTCTTTTAGAGATTACAATATAATTTTCCCATTAAGGCCTCTTTGATATGCTTGAAAGAGGGCTTATTTGAAATTCCTTTTATATTGAGGATAGCGAACTCTATGCAGTCTAGTCTTTGTTATAGTGTTTTTGAAATGCAAAAATGATTGACTATGGCAATGGTGATGTATGTTGTTTGCATATGAATTGCTGCACTTCAACTATTCGTATTTCATCTGCAAAGTACAAATTAACCACTAATACTATTGTGCTCCAAATTACTAAAGAAAAATTTAAGATGGTTATATTTAAAGCAATAAATATTGCTTAAATAGAGCTTCAGAATCCAAGTATTTATTAATCTATTATCTACCTATCTATTATCTATCTATCTATCTATCTATATCTATCAATATATTCTGAAGCCTTTTTTACCTCTTTAAAATTTGGCCTTAATAAAGGAATCTCAGTGATTGAGTTGAATATAAAAATAATCACATCATATAATCTGTAATTTGTATAATCCTATAGAAAACAACCTTGAAGTATCAGGATTTGTTAGGAAACTAATGTTAGGTTTAATCAAACTAGAGACAGACTCCATATTTTGTAAAATGTTTGGGAACACTTAATGCCTGCTAGTTCTTCCAGCTGTCTGATGAACTGGGAATTAATATTTGCTTTTGTGAACAAAGACTGTAGATTAAAATCTCAGGAGCGATTTCAGCCTATGGAAGTATTTTGAGGTGCCATAATAGGCTAGTGCCTTATGAAAATCACAAAGACGAATAAGCACACATAAATAGAGCTTGTTTAAAGTTCATAAGCAGATACAGAATTTTGAGGATTGTGATTTTTTAATAGGACAAAAGTAATCAAATATCAGAAATTGTATTTATCATATTTTGTAACTATTACCAGTGGGATAGAAAATTTAGACTAATTTGGAATAGGTACTGTAATAATATTTATTATGCTATTGGTAACTATCAATGCTAACTCAACTAATAATCTAAGTAACACAGAATTTACAATTATATGTGATTAGGTCAGCCTTTGGCTAGATCTAAATTCTGGGTACACATTAAAATCACCCAGGGAGATTAAAAAACAATTTTATTTTCTGATAATCATGAATTAACTGCTACCAAACTTATCTTCTTGGCAATAACAATTATAAAGTCTAATCAGCCAAAAAAATGTTTGGACGCACTTTATTGTGAGCAGAGTAGGCAGGAATTATAAAGAATAGGGAATCAAAATATTTAAATTGTATTGCCCATGATTGCATGCCTAATTTTGAAGGCCCAGCCATGGAAAATAAAGCTCAGTAGAATTAGAGTTAAATATTGAAGTCTGGATGTCTTATAGTGGCATGAAACTGAGCAGGAAGATCCTGGTGATAAGCAATCCCCAGAGGGGGAAGCCCTAAACTGCAAGGTCAAATCTCCCCAAATTCTTAACTAATTCCTAACTATCAAGGTTTAGGGAGGAAAATCCAGTGAACTCATGGACATCAAATGCTGGAAAGCTAAAAACCCAAGCAAAAATTACAGGAGATGAAAAGACAGAATTCAGAGTTTTAAGTCTCACTGTAATTGCCTAAGAGGTTCTTCCTGCCAACTACAAAAACAACATCAAGTCACTGAGATCACTGCATTGAAGTAAAGAAAGAGTTTAAGGGACATGAGGCTGACCCATGTGGGAGAACCAAATTATTACTCAAGTCCGTTTCCCAGAAAACTAGAATGTTAGTGGTTTTCAAGGATAGGCTGGTGGGCAGGTGGCTAGGGAATGGGTGCTGTTGATTTGTTAGGGATGCCATTATAGGGGTGTGGAAATTGGTCCTTCTATGCAGAGTCTACTTCTGGGTGGAGGGCCAAATGACTAAGTGAATCATGAGTTGTGGATCCCAGTGGGGTCAGTCTGAAAAACATCTTAAGAGACCAATCTTAGATTCTGCAATAGCAGTGTTATCTACAGGAGTAATTGGGGAAGTTACAAATCTTGTGACCTCTGGAACAATGGCTGGTTATCATTTAACTAAGCCTATATGTTGGCAGAATCCAGGCTCCTCTCATAATTGTATCCTTGTGGGCTTTTACTAGTTTTACAAAGGCAGTTTAGTTTTGAGAAGGGCTATTATCATCCTTGTTTTAAGGTTAAACTGTAAACTAAATTTCTCCCAGTGTTAGTTTGGCCTACACCCAGGAATAAGCAAGGCCAGCATGGAGGTTAGAAGCAAAATGGAGTCAACTATTTCAGATTTCTCTTACTGTCATAATTTTGCAAATGTGGTTTCATCACCAGTATAGTTGGGCTTTATAACATCTTTCACTACATTCCAGACTGTCTATCAAAATGAAAGAAGAGCCTCAATTTTGGACAAAAGAACAAAACCCAGGATTATTAGCCACAGTCTAGAAATTAATTAATGCATAATAACTTAAATAAATGACATAAATAAATAGAAACTTCCTAAAACACTTAAAGCCAAGCCTTCACAAGAGGACCCATGAGTCAAATTAGCCCTGCTGCTGGATTTTCTGCAGTCTACAAAATAAGAACATGTTTTACACTGTTAAGTTAATAAAAATAAAGAATAATACTATTCCATGACATGTAAAAATCATATAAAATTAAAACCAGCCGCTAAAAATGAGAAGTATAGCATAATTGCAACAAATTGTGAATCTACAAAGAATAAATGTTGAATTTCTGGCTTGTTATGGAGAAAGTTTGCTGATCCTTGCTTTATAGAATCATTGCTACCCACCAATAGTTTACTTACTAAATAAAGTTCAACATTTTTCACTGGATTATGACAAAAATCCTTCACACAATGGAAGATTTACAATGTAAAATAAAATAAAACATTACTGACCATGTAAGGAAGCAGGTAAATTTGACACAAAAATTTAGATAACATAATGGTGATTTAAAGTAAACATTAGAAAATCCACATCTTGGAATTAGGGCACTCCAATAAGTTTTACAAACATATCAAAAAATTTACCCAAAATATTCAGAAACGGGTATTAGGGAATGCCAGGAGAGAAAGAGAGAGAGACAGAGAAAGAGAGAGAGACAGAGAGAAAGGGAAATCATAGAACCGAAGAAAATATATAAGAAATCACAAATCCTTTTGGTGGATATAACAGCATATTGGACTCTGTAGAAGAAAGAGTCAGTGAAGTTAAAGATGAACGAAACTCACAGCAGATGGAAATCTGTATTAAATGAAGGATAGAAGAGCAAAGGAAAGGGTAAAATTGTGTGTAAATATAAAATATTTTTCTTATGTTTTTAACAATGTAATGACTATTAAAACAAGTCTAACAACAGCATATTGAGAGATCTGTAACATATGTAGTAGGAGAATATATGATAGCAATGCCATTAAGTGTGTTGGTAAATGAAATTGTGCTACTGTAACATCCTTGCATCATACGTAAAGTGCTATAATATTAATTCAAGGGATGCTGTAATAAGGCTAAATACATATTGTAATTCCCAGGAAAACCACTAAGAATGGCACTAAGATGTATAGACAGAACCTCCAATAAAGGACATAAAGTGGCGTACTATAAATATAAATACCCAATTAAGCCAAATAAGACAGAAAAGGAACAATAGTAGTAGCAGCAAATGGATGAGACAAACAGAAAATTAAGAACAAGATACTAGGTTTAAAATCAATTATTTCAATATTATATAAATGTAAATGAACTAAACACTCCAATTAGAAAAAGTTGATTGTGAGAAAATTAAACTAAAAAAATAAACAATACTCAACCATGTATGGCTCATGAGACAAATAATTTAAACATAAAGACAATTGGAAATAAATTGGAAATAAAAATCTGGGGAAAAAATATATGTATATATATATATGCCACACCAAACATAAAAGCTGCCATGAATATACTGGCATGTGATAAAATAAAAATTATAAGAAACTGGCTGAGTGAGTTGGCTCACACCTATAATCCCAGCACTTTGGAAGGCCGAGGCCAGCAGATCACTTGAGCCTGGTCAACATTGTGAAACCCCATCTCTACAAAAAATACAAAAATTAGTCAGACATGGTGGTGCATGCCTGTAATCCCAGCTACTTGGGAGACTGAGACAGGAGAATCACTTGAACCTGGGAAGCGGAGGTTGCAGTGAGCTGAGATCACAACACTGCACTCCAGCCTGGGCGACGGAGTGAGACTATGACTCAAAACCAAACCAAAACAGAACAAAATGGAAAAAGGTTATGGGAAACAAAGTGGATCATTTTAAAGTAGTGAATGTATCAGTTCATGAAGAATAAAAAACAATCATATTCATAAACATCTAATAACAAACTCTTAAATATATTAAAATACAGAAAATATATAAAGCAAAATACAGTCAAGCATTGCTTAAAAACTGGGATACATTCTGAGAAAAGTATCATTAGGCAATTTTGCCATTGCACAAACATCATAGGGTACACTTCCATAAACCTAGAAGGTATAGCCTACTACACACCTAGGCTATCATGATAAAGCCTGTTGTTCCTAGGCTACAAAACTGTATAGCATGTTACTCTTTTGAATACTGTAGACAATTGTAACACAATGGTAAATGTTTGTGCATCTAACATACCTAAGCAGAGAAAAGGAAATGCATTGCACTACCATGTTACAACAGCTGCAACATCACCAAGCAATAAATTTTCAGCTTATGGGATCATCATCATATCTGCAGTCTAATATTGACAGAAATTTTGTTACATGGTACATGACTGCAATACATTTTAACACTTCTTTATTAGTAATTCATAGAATAAGAAGCCAAAAATATCAATAAAGTTATAGGAGATTTGAATATTAGCCCTTTGTCAAATGGATAGATTGCAAAAATTTTCTCCCATTCTGTAGGTTGCCTGTCCACTCTGATGATAGTTTCTTTTGCAGAGCAGAATCTCTTCAGTTTAATTAGATCCCATTTGTCAATGTTTGCTTTTGTTGCCATTGCTTTTGGTGTTTTAGTCATGAAGTCTTTCCCCATGTGTGTGTCCTGAATGGTATTGCCTAGGTTTTCTTCTAGAGTTTTTTCGGTTTTAGGTCTTATGTTTAAATCTTTAATCCATCTTGAGTTAATTTTTTTATAAGGTGTAAGGAAGGGGTCCAGTTTTAGTTTTCCATATATGGCTAGCCAGTTTTCCCAACACGATTTATTAAATAGGGAATCCTTTCCCCATTGCTTGTTTTTGTCAGGTTTGTCAGAGATCAGATGGTTGTAGATGTATGGCGTCATTTCTGAGGCCTCTGTTATGTTCCATTGGTCTATATATCTGTTTTGGTACCAGTACCATGCTGTTTTGGTTACTGTAGCCTTGTAGTATAGTTTGAAGTCAGGTAGCGTGATGACAAAGGGCCAATATCCAGAATCTACAAGGAGCTTAAACAAATTTGCAAGAAAAAAACAACCCCATCAAAAAGAGGGCAAATGATATGAACAGACACTTCTCAAAAGAAGGCATTTATGCGGCCAAAAAATACATGAAAAAAAAGCTCATCATCACTGGTCGTTAGAGAAATGTAAATCAAAACCACAATGAGGTACCATCTCATGCCAGTTAGAATGGCGATCATTAAAAAGTCAGGAAATAACAGATGCTGGAGAAGATGTGGAGAAATAGGAACGCTTTTACACTGTTGGCAGAAGTGTAAATTAGTTCAACCATTGTGGAAGACAGTGTGGCAATTCCTCAAGGATCTAGAACTAGAAATACCATTTGATCCAGCAATCCCATCACTGGGTATATACCCAAAGGATGATAAATCATTCTACTATAAAGACACATGCACACATATTTTTACTGCAGTGCTATTCACAATAAATAGCAAAGACTTGGAACCAACTCAAATTCCCATCAATGATAGACGGGATACAGAAAATGTGGCACATATACACCATGGAATTCTATGGAGCCATAAAGAAACATGAGTTCATCTCCTTTGCAGGGATATGGATAAAGCTGGAAATCATCATTCTCAGCAAACTAACACAGGAACAGAAAAGCAAACACCGCATGTTCTCACTCATTAGTGGGAGTTGAACAATGAGAACACATGGACACAGGGAGGGGAACATCACACACCAGGGCCTGTCAGGGGTGTTGGAGGCTAGAAGAGGGATAGCATTAGGAGAAATACCTAATGTAGATGATGGGTTGATGTGTGCAGCCAACCACCATGGCATTGTATGCCTATGTAACAAACCTACACATTCTGCACATGTATCCCAGAACTTAAAGTATAATAATAAAAATAAATACATAAATAAAAATTTAAAAAAAGAAAAAAAAAGTTACAGGAGATTTGAACACCATTAACTTGACCTGACATTTAGAGAAAAATACATCAAACAACTGCAAAATGAACATTCTTTTCGATGGCATATGCTTATAAATATTTTTTGAAAGTCTTAATAAATTTTTAAATATTTAAATATTTTAAATATTCGAAGTTCAAAGAAACAGCTCTGGTTTTCAGAAAAACAGTAACCTTGATGCTGCTGGAAACAGGACTCTGGGTAATCAAGAAACATAAGAGTATGCAGAATGTTATTTCAGAAAAGAAGAAACAGAAAAAGCAAAAGGAGAATAAAAAATGGAAGGGGAGTATGGGATTACCTGGGATGGATGGTTCATTTTTGTAACATTATGAATAATATTTAATGCAAAAAAGAGTGGTTCAGATTTTATGAAGTGGCATGGAGTGTGTGTAGGTAATGATATTCTGAATAACAAGAATATATATATTGTTTGCCAAATGCGGTAAGGTTTGGCATTTCTGAACTGTTACTGTCAGCTAAAAAAAATACTGCAGCTATTAAAAATAGTGGACATTGCCTTGAGGAATGCTAAAGAAGCAAATTTAGACCAATTCGTTTTGCTTTCCACCAATGCAAAAATAATCCTTATTATCCAGTGAATACATTTTGTAGAAAGGTAAAAGTTTGGGAAGTGAAGAAAATGGTGAATTGGAAGCGTATCACAAAGGAAAAATAATGTTAGTAATTGGAATATATTACCCAAAGACAAAATAGATGCCATTTAATTCTATAATGTGTCACACACCCAAGAGAGAGGAATTATGGTGTTCTTTACCAAAAAACAAACAAACAAAAAATAACTAACTATATATATCTAGAGTTATATATTATATGTTATACATTATATATCATATAATACATATGTTTATTATAAAATATATAATATATACTGTATGTTATAAAATATATAATATATAATAGAATATATATTTTATATAATATATTATGTTTATTATAGAATATATATAATGTTTAATACAATATATATATTTAATACAATATATTATATATAAATACATAATATATTAATATATAATATATATTATATATTTTTTATTATATATTTATATATAATATATATTATGTATTTTAAATTATATATTTTATATATAATATATGTTACATATTTTATATATAATATATGTTACATATTTTATATATAATATATGTTACATATTTTATATATATGTTACATATTTTATATTATATATTTTATATATCATATATATGATATATAAAATATATCATATATATTATATATTTTATATTATATATAATATGTTATATTATATATTTTATATTATATATAATATGTTATATTATATATTTTATATTATATATAATATGTTATATTATATATTTTATATTATATATAATATGTTATATTATATATTTTATATTATATATAATATGTTATATTATATATTTTATATTATATATAATATGTTATATTATATATTTTATATTATATATAATATGTTATATTATATATTTTATATTATATATAATATGTTATATTATATATTTTATATTATATATAATATGTTATATTATATATTTTATATTATATATAATATGTTATATTATATATTTTATATTATATATATGTTATATTATATATTTTATAATATATAATATAAATATCTATATATAGTAGATGTTTTATATCTACTATAAAATATATAGTATGTATAGTAGATATTTTATAATATATGTGTATGTATAACATTTTGTAATTTTTAGAACTAAAGGAGAGGAAGAGGAGTAGTTTTAAATTTAATAAATATCTTGTAGGCAATTAGTATTACTAGGACCCAGGTAGGGGTGGGAACTGAAAATGGATATGTTGAAGTCATAATTGTAGGAATGTGATGGTTACATATATGAAAGTACATGTACTTTTTTGAGAAGTGAAGTGGAATTAAACAAGAGGATGAAAATAAAAAAGGAATTGGTAGTGAAGTAAGAGGATAAAATTGAATAATAAGATGAGATTAAAAAGAAATGCTAAGAACTGTTAAAGGCCATTTCAAAACCTGAGAGGCTTTGATTGACGAGGGAAATAGCTAATATGCCAAAAGTAATGTAAAATGAGCAAATATTACCTTTTATTACATGAATGCTCAAATGAATTTGAAGACAGATTTCTGAAGTACAGAATTTATTAAATATGTTAAATGAAGAAGAAATATCCATATACTGAGACATTGATTAACGATTAAAGATATTATGATAGATACCTATCGACTAAGTTTGAAAGTAAATATACATGCATATATGTATGTGTATTCCCTTTCCAGACATATTTCATACACACATTCCAAACATGTTAGCACAATTATTGTTGTTGATAAATGTATGTAATCATCAGTTTAAAGCAGCTAGGAATTCTAAGAATGAATTAAACAAAAACATAGACATCTATTCTTCTTTCACACTCAGGTACATCTCCCCTCCCACAGAAACAGTATTCCTCAATAAAACTAAAATATGAAGCATTAGCTAAAGTTAATATGTCATATTAAAAAAAAATACCCTGCAGAACAAGAAACGGAAGTAACCGGGCACTTAATTTTCACTTGAGCATTTTTGTTGTTGTTAATCTTTAACTGTTATTAGTCATTTGGAGAAACGCTTCTGTAAACTTAATTTTGGTACACAAACACGTCATGTTATTATCCTCCCTACATTCTAAAGTAGAAACCAGACATTTAACTCAAAAGAATACTCTGCTAGGAGCAAAAGCCCCTTGGAGCAATATTTGATCCTAGGTTCAGCATGTCTGGGAGGCAGAACACTTTTGTGTCCAGTATCTTAGTGGGTTGCTTTTGTCAGTATCTCCTTCCTCTCAGAAAAGAGGCCTTTCATCTCATACTTGGAGCCTATCAGAAAGAAGCTTTAAAGAGCTTTTTCACACACCTAATTAGCACTCTGAGCATTCCTTCTGACTTTCTAGCAGTTTCCCTGCTTGCAAGAAAACCAACAAAAACAGAGAAGGAAAAACTGTGTCCCAGTGACATAATGCAATTGTGCATGATCTTTTCCTACTTACCTCCACAACTACTCTGCCTGCTAAATTCATTTCTTCAATATCAGATCTCCACAAATGTGTGAGGCACGAGAATAGGGTCTGGAGGTAGGGAACTTAAGGCTGATTTGCTGACTTCCTAGAATTAAATCAAAAGGAAAACCCCAACTTTCCACGCCCAAGTAACAAAAGGATAAGAAACTGCTCCCTTTGCCCTTTGCAAACCCCTGCTACCCATAGTTTTTTGCCTTGTACATGAAAAATGGAAAGTATCTCTGATTGGTCCCCTCCAATCACCAATCAGATTGGTCATGGGCCTGTAACTTTGTAACTTCACTTCAGCCTCTGATTGGTACCCTCCCACAACCAATCAGATGTTTGATGTTAGCATAGGATGTAACTTTGTAACGACTCCAGCCTCCAATAAGATGAGTTGCTGGTCACTTCTTCCTTTACATAGGGTGTAACCAAGTAAACGATGGGAAACCTCTAGAGAGTATTTAAACCTTAGAAATCTCTGTAACTGGGGCTCTTGAGTTGCTTGCTGGAGCCTGCTTCTACTCTGTGGTGTGAACTTTAGTTTCAATAAATTTGTAGTTTTGTTGCTTCATTGTTTGTTGCTTTGTCTGTGTATTTTGTCTAAGAACCTGGATGACTTGTAGTCAAGACCCTCCCCATCTGTAACATGTGCATCATAATGGTCTTTTTGCTAGCCTCTGCAGATTACTTGGAATTTGTTGTCAAGGATCGTAATTCCTTTCTCTCTAAAACATAAATTATCAACCTCAGGTAAACAGAAATAAACATGGATTAAAAATACATACCCAGTGATTTTTCTCGAGTTTTCCTATTTGAAAGAATGAAAGTTTCTCAATTTTTAAAAATTTATATTTTATTACTTAGTACATTTTAAAATACTTTTTCTTCTTAGAAGGATTACATAATTCTTAAAAGTTTTGATATAATGTAATATAAGTGTACCTGTATGTAACAGTAATTCAAAATAATATTGGTTTAAGGAAGATAGAATATTTTCTTTCTTTCTTTTTCTCAGAATCCACTCATGAAAGATTAGAAAAAGGAAAATGAATATTTAGGTCTGTCTGGAAATCTTCCACTGACTGAAACCTTTTGATATAATGGAGACAGTACCAGCATCAAAACCTATAAAATGAGAGTCCATGTGTTAGAAAAATATCCTAAAGATGGTGATATGACATTCTTTAAAAAGTGTCACATTCTTAATGTTCTTGATAGTACAGATGATGATACAGTGTGGTAAGGCTGCGTCCAAATGATTTTAAAATAATTAGACAATGGTGGGATATTAAAAATTTCTCAGCTCCTTTTTGCATGGATTTTTATTTTTATGTAAGCAAATAGTGATACATGATAAAGTTTATTTAAATTAATAAAAAAATTTTAATCAGTAAAATTATTATTATTATTATTATTATTATTATTATTATTATTATTGAGATGGAGTCTCACTCTGTCAGTCAGTCTGGACTGCAGTAGCACAATCTCGGCTCACTGCAACCTCCACCTCCTGGGTTCAAGTGATTCTTGTGCCTCAGCCTCCCAAGTAGCAGGTTTATACCACCAAGCCCAGCTAATTTTTGTATTTTTAGTAGAGACGGGGTTTCACCATGTTGGCCAGGCTGGTCTTGAACTCCTGACCTCAGGTGATTGGCTGCGTTGGCCTCCCAAAGTGCTAAGATTACAGGCATGAGCCCCCGCGCCCAGCCTACTCAATAAATAATAATAATAATAAATATCTGATTAGAAAATATTGGGCTATAATATAATTGCTGGCGTTTTGTTTTATTTCTTAGTGCCACATAAAATGGCATCTTCTAATCAATATAGTGTTAGGTTGAATAAAATGCAGCATATCTCCTGATTTGGAGATTCAATCTTTGCTACCCTTCCCCACACATCCCCATATACATTCACCACCCTTTTTTTCCCTGCTGTCTTTTGTGAAAGAATCCTTTGCCCTCTGCCTTCCTCTTGTGTTGTGTTTTTGTGGAAAGCACACTCAGGAGATTTTGGAGTGGGAAGAGAAGAGAAGTGGATATATTTATTCCTGCACCTCCATTTTACCTATATTCTGACAAACAGTGGCTGTCTTTTTTTTTTTTGACTGCCAGAGTCTTTCCAGTGGTTTGTGGCCCTAGTTTTCACTGGACGCCATTAACTCTAGTCTAACTCCCTTGGCCCTTCAAAATGAAATATGTATTTTCTTGAATCTAAGTGAAATCACGTACGACTTTTTGCCACTATTACTCATCCCAGGGAATTTAACTATCCCTGTTGGTTTTCTTTTTCTCTCTCTCTTTCCCTGTCTCTCTTTTTTACTTTTTTGAGACAGGATCTCCCTCTGTCATCCTGGCTGAAAGTTCAGTGGCATGCTCTTGGCTCACTGCAACCCTCCCAGACTCAAGCCATCCTCCCATCTTAGCCTGGGGTAGATGGGACCACAGGCACGCACCATCATGCCTGGTTATTTTTGGAAAAGATGGGGTTTCACCATGCTGCCCAGGCTGGCCTCAAACTTCTGAGCTCAAGCTTGATACCCGCCTCAGCAACCCAATGTTATGGGATCACAGGCCACCACACCTGGCTCCTGTTGATTTTCTTAACATGGCCCAGATCCTTATAAATATTGTAGTCCCTTCTTCCAATCTTCTATTAACCTCTTTTGATTGTATCATCTCTTTCCTGCTAGACCTCTAACTAACACACAACTCCACTCTTTCAGCGGGTTTTCTGGTAATGTCAGCTGGAATCAATCTGTTAATGTTAAATATTGTTTGTGTGTGTGTGAGTGTGTGTATGTCAAACTCAGCAGAGATTGGCAGGTGTTTTACATTTGGTACTTAGTTTGTAATATTCAGATATAAGGGTTAAGTGGGCCTTTAAAAGGAGTAGTAAGTATTCTTCCTTTTTCTATATTCTAAGACAATTTAGTCATCATGGGAACTATGTACTATGTTAAACTTTGAAGATAATGACTTGTGGAAATGTGTGGTCCTGGGATATTGAACAAGGTGGATTTAATGTTCCCCTCAGCTTGACTAAACTTTAGTCTTCTTCTTAACCCTTGCCTCCAGCTTCCCTTTTGATAGAGCATTTACTTTAGACAATTTGTAACTGTGAATTCTTACCCTGCGCCCTTGAGATGTAAATCTTTTAAAATTCTCTTGCCAGTTTTATAACCCAGGACTGTCTTTCTCAAGGGCCTGGGGGCCGCTAACTTCTCTGGGAGCCTAATTCAAGTTACAAAACTACCTCCCCTAATGAAGATAGGGAGAAAGTTTACTTCTCTTTGTGATAAAGCCAATTAGCAAACACAGATTTCCTAAAAATTTTTATTACAGCAGAATTGAGATCAGATTGCATTCTATCTTCTCTTCCATACTACAATAACTTTTAGATAAAGTCTATCTTGCCTATTTAACTTTGGCTGGTGAAGTTTTTGCTTTAAAAGTATTCTCCTGCTTCTCTTTAGACCAACTATTAGTTTATATTTTTCCAAGAATCACCTCTTACATTTATTATAATTATGTTGCCCAACTGTTTTTCATTTCAGCATTTCTGCTTTTCTATTTACACGTTATCATTCTTATTTTTTGGTACTTTTTGGTATTTTTTATATCAAGTTGAATGTATCTTTTACTATTTTTTCTATGGGTGATTAATGAAAGGCTTTAGGTGGTTAATTTTCCTCTCAGTAAAATTATCATTATATCTTATAATTTTAGATAAGTACTAATAATTATTTGGCAATTTAATTTTGATTATCTCAAGTATGCCACAATTGTTCAGAGAATAAATGAACAAATTTTCATGTCCCTGAGATAATTTTTATTTGTACATTTGCAGTTTATTTACAGTGCTTAATATGGTGTGACTAGAGAATAATTCTCTACATTCCCTTTCTATTTCTTGGAATTTTACAATTTTTCTTTTTATTAAACATGTTATTAAACACTGTATATATTTTATGGATTCAATAAGAAGATATATAGAAAATTTGTAGTGTTTAAATGTATTTATGTATGTTTTTCAATGTTTTAGATAGATATAATTTCATAAATTGAGTTACATATATACTATAGCCTGCTTTATTATTATTATCATCTTGAATATCAATGCCAGAGAAAAATGTTAATAAATTGCATTGTTATGTAGTTTCTGTAAATTTGTCTTTTACTCATAAACTAATAGTAGGATATTGGCTGCACACAGTTTTCTGAACACTATGAATTAACTGCCTAACGTAATAATTTTTGCAATGAATTAACTATTTTCTTATAGTTTTATTTAATTATGTTATCATTGTAATTATTAACTTTTCTCTGTTGTCCACTTGGGCACTTTTCATACTTTCCCTTTCAATCTTTTTGAGTGACACTGCTTGGGTTTACCTTTGAAGATCATATAGAGTTGTACTTTTATGACTAAATTCTGACTCATTTTTTCTATGCTTACATTTATTTCACTTACATTTATTATATATAAGATGTTTTCCTCCCTCGTGCAACCAATTCTCCAGTAATTTGGAAGTTTTTGAACTTGTTTTCACTCTAGTTTAGTACTTCAAATAGTATCCTTAAATGCATAAAATACATTAAATGAGAATGGTAAAAGATTATGTACTTACCCTATGATTATCTCTCATAAAGCTGAAGAAATAGGTTGAATCATCTTTCGCTTTTTATCTCCATTGCTCCTATTAGCCTTAGTTTTCCTCTATTTGAGAGCTACATTTGTCTCATTAAAATCTTATTTTTCACTATTGCCTCTCAAAGATTATCAACATTATTTCTAATATTTTATAACTGTGTATTTGAAAACATATTATGCAATAATTTGCATTTTTCAACTTTATTGGTATCTAGTATTATTAAATATTATTTGTAATTAGGCTTTGCGTGTGTGTGTGTCAGACAGCGTATGTATCTATTTTTAATTATGTGATAAGCTTGATGGGAATAACAGCCATGTTCCTCATTTATTCTTCAACACTCCCACAATGCCTAGCACAATGCTTCTGTACATGGTTATTCAGGAAGATTTTTCATCTTACTATTGAATTTAAAAGCTTGAGGGAAATATGCTAGGCAGAAAGAAATCCTCAGGAGCTCTCATCAGTCGGCACTAATATTTTTCATCTGTTTTATCTTTTTTTGAAAACAAAGCAAAGTTTCACATTATTAAAAAATATTCTTAACTTCAAAGACTACTCTATGCCATTTTATTTACCAGAGGAAATAGCAAGATGGTTAACAATTGGTATTAGAGATTCACCTGTCCTGATTCTGAAGACAAAAAATAATAATAATTTCTGTTTGATGTATAAGAGATCCTAAAGATTTAACTTAGTGAAAGATAATAAAGGACATACTCCATTAGCACATTCTTTTCTCACTGCTCAGTACTATTCTCCATACGTAGTAATAAATGTGCTGACAGGATAGTGGAAAAGAAGAGATATTTTTAAGACAGATTTATTTAAAACACCTTGGAGAATATTCTTAGTTTTTAATTACTGACTAAATGTACTGCTTGTATTATCTTCATTATAAATGTTGTTACATACTCTATAAATCAACTCATACAATCAAACTAAATAGAAAGAAGCATAAAGATTAAACATTTTTCACTGATAGTTGCAAGTCCCCTAAATGTTCCTGCCCAATTCTGCTACACTGACATTTCCTGACCAACAGTTGCTATACCCTAATTTCATTCTTCTGTGCCTACATACTGACCTATGATTAACCCAACCTGTTTTCCATGCCTTCCAGGGATTTGAATAGTGAATAATTTTTGAAATAAGGGTTTAACAGATCTTCCTCAATTAAATACAGTCTTTTTAGTTACTTGCCCCTCTCTTCAAGAACACTTAAGTTGTTTTTACTTGCAATGTATAATCTTGAACTAATTGTTTTGTTTGGATGTTTTCTTTCTTACACCTTTTAATAGTATCATTCATATTGGAACGAGACTTCCCCCTGACTAGCCCAGAAAGCTTCAGTGAGGATAAAGTATGCTGAAGACCCTTTGCTATCTCCCCTTTTCAGGATATTCATAGTGGAGCCTCTAATAGCAGTAGTTCTACTACAGTCAGCCCTTTTGTTAGAAGGATGTTGGAGTCTTTATTACTGTTACTAATATTATTATTATCCTTGGTTGAGATACCACCACTTCATTCTATTACTGCTATGAGTTTTTATGAGTTAGGTAAAAGTGAAGAATTGGTTTTGATAATTTGAGACCTGTAATTACATTGTTTTTCAACTATAAAAGGCAGCCATTATTTCATAAACTTGCTACCAAGAGAGTTTCTATCTGCTTAATTGTATGGATGCTAATAGCACAAAATATTTGAATTCTTGAAAGGATCTCAATAAAGGGAATCTGGAATTACAATGGCCAGTTTTAGAAAGTTTGGGCATAGAATTTTTACTTTAGAGGCACCTTAGCACAAAGAGAAGGAAAGAATCTAGTTTTATTTGTCTAAAAGAAAGCACACTTAGGAGAAAGTTTACTTCATGTAAGTGAGCTATAATAGCTGTGTGTGTGTGTGTGTGTGTGTGTGTGTGTGTGTGTGTGTAAAAATAAGTTTCCTGCATCTATTTTTTCTCTCCTTTATGTAAAGGGAGAAGAAATATCTTGACAATTATAATTTCACATTTCAGTGAGGCTGGATCCCTCAAACTTCTTTTCATTTTTTTTTTTCTCTCATTTTATCCCCTCAGTGGAGAAATTTTGGAGACTAATTAATCATAAAAAAAATTGTTGGCATCTGTGCCTCCTAAAAATATCTAGTCCAGATAGACATAAATGGCCTCCTAAAAACTGAAAAAAAAAATTAAGTTGAATTTACTTTGCTTGAAAAAATGTGGGCTATGTATAAAAACCTGCAGCTAGGAAAATTTAGTGACTAATGGACTGACTTACTAAGAGAGAAAAGAAGATCTCTGTTTCTACAAAATGAAAAAAGAAAGTTTAAGTATAATTTAAGGAGTCTTTATAAAATTTAGCTTTTAAACACATGGACTTAAAATTGTATTAAAAACAAGTGCATATAATATTTCAAATAAGTAGGTGAATAACACTGGTTAACAAATCCATATGACTTGTATGTTTTCTATGTAAATTAATGCCAAAAAATCTTATTTTATATATGATTATGTTAAACATTTTGTGATGTAAACTTTTCAAATTTTCCAACACTTGTTTTATGAGTCAAAGAGGCTATCGTTGTTCCCACAATAGTTTAGGATTTCAAATATATTAAATGGTGTTTGAAGAAATTTGTAATAAGAGGATATCTTTTAAAATGTTTAACCTCATAAATTCAAATAATATTATGGATAATAAAGGATTAATGTGTTGACTTTAGTTATAATATCCAAATTTTTAATTAAATTTAAGACCTTAGACTAATATTAAGTTGGGTTAATAAATTATTTTTGGTTAATTGGATAATTTCAAATAAGAAAAAATAGAAACTTTGGCCATTAAAAATAGTTTTACTTTACATGTTTTCTATACATTATAGAATGTGAAAATACCTTTGCATGACATATATGTGTCACGTATTTTGCTGTAATAGAATATTTGAATATGCAAAATATTTTCTCATAAAAATAGTTTATGAATTACTTATTATTTGTTTCTGTGTCTGAGAACCTTCATAGGAATTAGATGAAGCAAAGCTAAGGATTTCATGAGTTGGCTGTGTGTGCGTCCAGCTTGAGTCACTTAGACTTTCTCAACGAAACAAATATCAGGATGTGTATATGCTGCCGAAGCTAATCATTGTTCATTAGATATGGTTAAGCAGGGATAAAAGGAAGGTTGGAAAACACAACAGAAGAAAATGTTGATAATCATTTCTTAGAACTCAGAACCTTTGTGAATAGCTTTGAGAGACAACCAAGAAACATTACATTATAGATGTTGCAAGATAAACTTTTTTTTTTTTTTTAAGATGGAATCTCCCTCTTGTTGCCCAGGATGGAGTGCAATGGCAGGATCTCGGCTCACTGCAAACCCTGACTCCTGAGTTCAAGTGATTCTCCTGCCTCAGCCTCCCAAGTAGCTGGGATTACAGGGGCCCACCACCATGCCCAGCTAATGTTTTTGTATTTTTAGTAGAGGCAGGGTTTCACCATGTTGGTCAGGCTGGTCTCGAACTCCTGACCCTAGGTGATCTGCCTGCCTCGGCCTCCCAAAGTACTGCGATTACAGGCATGAGCCACCACTCCTGGCCAGGATAAACTATTTTTAATGATCAGTATAGGAATTTATCTGCAGAGTTTTAATATATGACTTTTCAATGAAATTTAAAGACACATTTTATATTCTTTTTTTGGTAATTTCTCATGTGAACTTAAACATTTATTAAAATTTGTTTCCTAAGTTAAAAAGTATTATATAGAAAGCACAATTGTCTTTGAGGAGAAGTTAAAGATAAATTATATTAGTAAAATTACAACTTTTTATTCAAACATTTATTTAAAATATTTTCCTCTACATAAAGTGTCTTAAGGTTATTCTTAACATTATTTCAGACTTCTTTCGAACATCTGTCATACACTAGGATATAGTGTGCAACAGCATAGCACACGTGAAAGCACAAATATTAGAGAAACGAAAGTATACAATGCATATTAAGTTTCAGCACATTTTCAGGGTATGAATTATTATACTTAGGACATCAATTTCATATTTATAATTATTTACTATGTAAAATTAAAGGTATAGGGCAAATACCTTTAATTTTTTCTAATTATTACTAGAATATTGTACAAGCACTTCTTGAAAATGTTAATGGCTTCTTTTATTTTACTGGCTGCCTTTTCCATTCTGTGTAAAAAAATCAACTTCAATATGTCGAAGATATTAGTGAGTCAAATAGGCATGTAAATTAAATAAAATTGGACAGCTAGGGTATGCAAAGTAATTAATGATTGCTAATATCTGAGCTATAATGACTTCTAAAATAATTGGCATAGTTGCAGTATAATTAGCTGAAATCACTTTTATAAAACTAGTAATTGGTTTTGAAACAAGGGCAATATTTTAAAAAATCTACATGGTATTCAATGCATGTACTCTGACTTCATTGAAATCAAGACATTCTCAATATAAGAGGAAAATAGTGGAAAAAAGTATATGCATGTAACAGGTAAAATACTATAATGGCCTATGTATGGGAATAATTGAGTTTTCTTTCAAGACAAGAAGTTCCTATTTTCAACTAGTAATTGCACATTTACTTTTTGAGCAATTAAAATACCAAATAGAAATACACTATTTTTGGTATAATGTAGGATATACTGTGTCCTATCACCTAGTTTCATTCAAGTCTTGATTATCACACACAAACTACCTGTGTCTGACATATGTTAGTAACTAAGCCCCCTTTTATGCCATCTTCTTGGACCTAATCTTTAGCCATGCTCAAGATGAGGGTGATAGTGAGGAGACAGTATCCAATAGTTCAGGTCTTATTGCATGAAGTAGAAAACAGCTGAACTGATCACCTAAGGATACATCAGATAACCCATGCCCACAGCACTATATAAAGCAAGTTTCTTTATAAAATTGTTTTAGATGGAAAAAATGCCCAGAAATATTTTACTTCAAACTGTTATCTTTGATAGCTTGTAGAAATGACAGTTTCAAATGAGATCATGTATGACTTACTTTTTACAATTATGTTGCTAAAAATTGTGATGTCTTAATCTCTTTTCTGTTAGAATACTTGAGACTGAGTAATTTATAATGAACAGGAAAGTATTTAGCTCATGGTTCTGGAAGCTAAGAATTCTAAGAGCATGGTGTCAAAATCTGGTAAGGGCCTACTTGTCCCACAATAACATGGCAAAAGGTCAAGAGCATGCATGTGAAAGACACCATAGGGCAAGTTTAACTTGTTTTATAATAACCTGCTCTAGCAAGAACTTACTCCCGCAATAAAGGCATTAATCCATTCATGAGAACTTTTCCTACATGACCCAATCGTGTCTAAAGGCCCCACCTCGTAATAATGTTACTTTGGCAATTAAGTTTCCAATGTATGAACTTTTGGGGTACATATTCAAACCTTAGTACAATATATGTTACAATTTTAATTATAGTATATATTATTTTCATCATTCAAAAATAAAGACCATAGAAAAAGATTTTTGAAATATTAAAAATAATTCCAATAAAGCATTATATGGGATTCCAACATTCTTTCAAATAGAATTAATAAATTATACACATTGAAGTTATTAAACATGTCTGGTATGATAGACACAAAGTTACGCAGACAGAACAATGTGAATAACCCTGTTCTTAAAAAAATACTATATATCTAAAAATTAATATCTAAAAAACTAATAGTATATATCTGTCATAATAAAATAGGATAGTGTATGTGAAAGAGAAAGCAGTTACAAATTATTTAATTTTTACACTTTATAAAAACTAAAAATCCTGTTTTATAGTCTCTAAAATTATGTTGAAAATCTAAAGCATAAAAGTATCCTTCAGTATACTGAAGTATAAAAGTATGAAATATAAAAAGCCAAGTGTTAAACAAAGCATGGATAAAGAAATCACTCTATGAGTTTATTATTCATAAGAAATAAAAGCAACATGTATCTCTCAGAGGAACTCACAATAGAAACTTTCAGCCTGGCAATTTTTAAGTTTAAGACATTTAGGAGAAAATTACAATATTTGACAAATTGCAAGAGTTAACTAAGCTTTTGTAGGACAGGCAAGTTGAATGTCACCCAAATAAGCCTCAAGTAAGTATCTATACTAGAATCTAATATTCAGGTAGAGTATTCAATAAAAACATTCCATTTGCTGTTAGCTGATGATATATTTTATACTCATATGTATTTTTTAAACTGCATTGCTTAGCGAATAGAGAGAGAGCATACAGCTTATTAGTGAGCAAAAGTAAACTAGTTGGAAATTTGAATATGTACATATTTAGCAGACAAATATTTACGATATTAATTATGACTTTTCCACTTGAACTCTAATATGGTTATTTTAATGAATGCAATGGTTAATGTAATATTTACATTCTTATCTCAATATCAATTTATCTTGTTCATATGAATACTCTTCCTTTAGCAAAACACACATTTATTGATTCTATTAGTGTTTTATTGTTATAAATTTTACATTTTATCTTTTAGGAACTAATTAATCATGAATTCAACAATATTTACTTAGAGTTTACTATATACTAGCTACTGTGCTACTAACATTGCAATGAATGAAATATAGATGGTTCCTACTCTCACTGTCTTTCTATTTTATCTAAAACAAAACTCAGCAGATTCCAGTTTAGTTTAAAATGGCATGCAATTTTATAATGTCAGATTTGTAATGTTTAGGTTACAATCTCAACATTTACACAATTTTTTGACATGGTGGAACACATAAAAATTGGAACTAGGCAAATGGGAATTATAACAATTTTAACTATCTGAAAACATGATATTTTGACTAGGATGCCTCTAACATATGCTGTACTAAAAGATGTTGATTTCTGGGATTTACAGATAAAATTGTTCTATAATTAATACATCTTCCAGCAAGGCAAACTAACTGGTAAAGATACTCTTCATATTTTTCCTAAGCAGTAGATGAATGAGAGCAGAGTTATTAGTGTTCTTTGTTCCCTGGTGAGATGATGTAAACAAGTGAGGAAGGTTTGTTACAAGAGATAGCTTTGAGAATGAAGAAGTCTTAAGTTGAGCAGACTTAAGTGAAAATAGTAATTTACACTTATTGAGTATTACTGAGTGCCAGAAAATATTTTGTAAACATTGAATAAATCTCAATAGATTCTCAGAACTTCTCTGAATTCAGTATTTTCATCCCTCTTTGTAGATAAGAAAACTGAGGCACAGTACATTTAACCTACCAAAGTCACATATAATTCATGGCAAAATCAGGATGCAAAGATCAGCAGTCTAGTTATCAAGCTTTCTTTTTGTATAACCTTGTAATGACACTCAGATTGGCATCTGCTTCTCAGATTCCAGAAGGAGGGCCAAGAGAGAATATTTCCAGCACACTGTCTTTCAAGCAAACAGTCAATAAGTAGTGGAATCATGCATCATATAAACTTGATACTAACTGACCTTTAAAATTCCTTCCAATTTCAACATTAGATATTTCTATGAATGTCAAATTAATGAATTTCGCTAGACTTCTAGGCCTAGAGCCATGATACACTAAGAAGTAGGAATGTGTAAAGAGGCCAGTAAGTGCCTGCTCTATAGACAGAAAAATGTATTGAGAGTGTCAGTTTCCAGTAGGGAAGTCCAAGAACTGAGAAATGCACCCACAACCACTTAGGTGTCAGTGGAACCCCTGCAGGCAAAAGAATATCATTTATTGTTCAATCTCTGGTACTTGAATTCAGTTTTTCTAGTCCATTACCTTAGTGGGTGGTCATACATTTTTCTCTTCCTTTAGATAATCAATTTGATATCTGTCTCAATCTCTGGGAGAAACCAAATTACTGAAATCTCTAAGCTTTGTATGTATGGCAAGCTCTGCTTGAGTCATAGGAGCTATTTGAATACCGTTGTGACCCATTGTTAAGTCAAGGACATGGGGTTAATTTTACAGCTTTATACTAGTAACATATATTTGGGTAATAGAATGACATATATCTATTATTGTGAGAATAGCTGAGATAATATAGTATATATTATAGTATATTACAGTATACTATATATAGCATACTATATTAGATATAATAAAATATATATTATATAAAAGATAATTATATATTATATATAAATATAATAAAAGTATACATATATACACACAATGACTTGCCTGGCTGCTACAGGAATCAAGGCGAGGGTAACAGAGTTTCTACCTAAAAATACTTGATAAAATTTTTTCCTGGAAAATGTGAGATATAGATAGACAGATAATGAAATACTACACAGCCAGAAAAGAGAAAGAAATCACATCCTTTGCAGCAATGTGGGTGGTGCTGGAGGTCATTATCTTAAGTGAACTAAATCAGGAGGGCTGGGGGAACACATGTTCTCGTTTGTAAGTGGGAGCTAAACAATGGGTAAACACGGACTTGAAGGCGGAAATAATAAACGCTGGGACTCCAAAAAGGGAGCAGGTAGCGGGGGCAAGGGTTGAAAAAGTACCTATTGGGTACAATGCTCGCTATTTGCATAATGGGCACACTAGAATCCCAATCCCCACCAGTATACAATTACCCATGTGAGAAACATGCATATGTACCCCCTGAATCTAAAATAAAATTAATTTTCCTAGAAAATCAGTTGAATACCAAATACATGGTTAAATTAGTGTAGACTAAGTGGGAATGAAGATAGAGATAAAAGTTTTTTTATATGTATAAAGCTGTTAAAGAATATACACATTCTGGACCTTCAAGTGCACCTATGACCATGATATGAGCCCTTTCTGATGGAGAACATTTGGGGTGCTGCTTTTAGAGAGGTAATAAGAAGACTATTATAAAGTTGAGCAGAAGAATAAATGAATTTGGTATTATCATCCCTTTTTATATAAAAATATTTTATTTTTTAATCAAATATTACCTAAATAATATTTTATTAAATTTAATGACCAGGAATTAGGAAGATTCATTTGAGGCAGGTGATCTTATTAAAGGGTGACAAATCAATTGAATCCATTTTATTCTGGTGATTCTAATAATTAAGCTTAATTATTGCCCACCACCAGAAAGTCTCACGGTATGATCAAAAAGTGACTCTTGCCTTCAGAATCAGACAAGAAAATCTATAAAGAACAGCAAACATATGAATCTACTGTAGTTAGAGTGTTCTGAAAAGTCATGATACCTCATGAACTATGTACTTGTACCTGCTACATTCTGTCCATAGAAGGTCACTCACTCTCTTTACTCAAATATTTCATTTGTCTTTCAGAAAGGACCACAAAAACCATCTCTTTATTAAGCTTGCACTCAAATACCAGCATGGGTTATGTGTCCCTTCCTTCTACTGCCAACAGAAGCTTATGCATTCCTCTATCATGCCAATTAGTATGTTTTATTGAAATAATTTGTTTATTTGTCCATTTGCCTAACTTAACTGTGATATCCACAAGGGCAGAAACTAATTTGTTGTCTTTGAGGTGTAGAAAAATACCTAATAGCTGAATATAATTATTTGTTCTTTGATGTTAAAGTTGCAGTCCCTCCCTTAAGTCTGTTTCTAATCAAGCTGTGGGCAGTTTTCTCAGTGTAAAATATAAAGTAATGGAAAATTATACTGATAAGAAGGATATACCAAAGGACTTCCCTAATTAAGATGCTTTTGGATGCTTAGACATTTCTGTGGTTGTTTATTCTTAACCCTCTGAGATTCTCTTTCTGCTGATTTTTAAGTTAAAATAATTCACTTAACATTTCACTGACTAAATAATTGACAGTTGCCCCAGTCTAAAGATGTAACCCAGATTTGTAATTATTCCTCTTGATAAAAAATGTCAGTGCAATTGTATTCAGTAATGATTAATTCTTTATATTTTATGCTGTCTCCAAAATTATAGATCCAGCATTTTGCTAGCTGTCCTCTTAAAACCCCATCTTTTTTATTTTAAAGCTACAGATTTTCGTATATTAATTTAATATGTTGAATAAGTAAAATATACAGTTGAAGTTTTATCTACAGTTTCATCTGACATAAAAACTGTTTTCTTAAAATTGTATGCTCCAGAGTTAGGCATAGGTGTTGTAATTATGATGTGAAGCTTGACGATGACTCAATAATTTCATTTTTATTTATAAATCTATATTTTAAAAATCTTATAGCTATAATGAATACGCATTTAATAAGATGACAATAATTGCTGTTGACTTTATCTTTGTCATATTTCAGGAGTTCCTTTAAAAACAATTGCAACTTTCGAAAGAAACAATTTTGTTTTAATAATACAACTAAGCTTTCATTTTTAGCAGACACAGATGAGCATTCAGAAGAGACGATTTATAAAGCCAGTATATATATTTGTTTTCCCATCCAAACTCATTGTAGAACATGCCTCTGTTGCCTGCATCACATTCCCCCTGCCCACCTCTGTTTTTTGCCTGAGCTGTGGTGGAAAATTTCATGTAAGTCTGACTCACCTTGGTCTGCTATTGTTCAAATTTAAACTCCCTGCATCTTCCCATATTCTACCCTAGAGAAATTTATTTTGATATGGCCAATGGGAAGCCCAGAAGTACAGGGATGACTACATCCCAAAGGAGAAATCCTCAAACAATGAAGAATAGAGGTTGTTGGTTAAAGACTCCTGTTTCTCTTATTTTATAGATGGACCATTCTGAGAGGCATTTTCACTCTCCAAATGTCCAGGTGGAATCTGGAGTCAAAGCCTGGAGCAATGACCCTGATAATTCACCCTTATATTAGCTTTTTTCCCTTCCCCTCACATGTTATGTTTCCTCACTCCTGCACCCAAGTCCTTGTTTCAGGATCTATTTTAGGTGACTCCAACTAAGATACTCACTCTAGCGGTAGAAAGCAATATAGTCCTGCTCAAAGTAAATCATTAAGTGGTAATCCTAAGCAAATCAATGAGAGGTTACATCTTTTAACATCTTCCTGAACAAATTGATTCCATCCCTGCTTTTTAATTCACAATTTGGTTAGTTCAACTAAATATATATTGGAGCACTGGAGTATAACTAAAACTATTCATAGAGAAAAATTTTGGCACTTCCCGAACAGTTAGGAGCCAAGCATTTAAATTCTTCAAACAAAACATTAGTGATGACACCTGCATCTAAAGCATGTAGCTCTGCCTACAATCAATTAATTAGAAATCTCTTCTTCAAGACAACCACACGTGTCAGTCTTAACTTTTTTCATAACTTGACCCTAAAAACAATCATTGAGGTAATTTGTGGGATATTTAGTCCAGAAAAGACATGTTAATAATTTGCAATCTTTTTTTTAAATTTTATACTGGAGACGAAGGGTCAGAAATTTCATGCCTCAAATATATTGTGTACACCTTAGAAATGTCTTCTGTAAGCCATGAGCTGACATGATTCACTTTATCCTTAGGATTCATCACACAAACACACACACACACACACACACACACACACACATACACAATTACAAAACAAATGACCACATGAAAACCATGACTTCGTCTTTTATAAATTGCTATGGAAGATATTACCCATTAGCCCTTCTCTGGTAATCTATAAGATCAATTAGCTGAGAATTTTGTGCTGATAAAAATTAGTATATAAACTATGTTAATAAATTGATTGGCAACTTGATATTTATAAAATTTAGGTGTGTCTTTTTTTTTTGTCTTTATGTATGATCTGCCAGCCAGCTCAGAAGAAAGTTTTATCTTTAAAGGTAATTTTCTTTCAATTAAATCTTTAGTTTAAATGCCTTCCCCTCTTCATGCAGAAATATTTTATTTGTTTTAATTATGCCTTTTAAAAGTAGTGTTAAGCAATTATTGGAATAATAGAATAATAATAAAAATGTGGTTCATTTCATTCCTCCATTACATTGGCAACAAACTTTCCTTTTTTTCTCACATTCATATTTAGCAAACATAATTCTGTAAGGGTATAATAAATTTGGACCTTTCTGGTTGGAATTCCATTATTAAAAAATATCAATGTGCATGTTCCCTCCCTCCCCCAATTTGCACATTATTGTAATAAAATGGAGCATAGGGAGTGATTTCAAATCTAAATTTTAGACACTCTCCTAAAAGTTCCTCATCTAAATTAACTGACAAAATGATGAAGATACAGTGTTATGATTATATTCTGCTAATATAATCTCTTTTACTCATCTTATTCTGTCTTATCAGATTCTTAGGAAGAAAAATAAAACCTAAAGCAACATGATCTATTATACTATCTTTCATCCAGTGACCCTATGTTCAGGTTCCTATCATGCTGAGAGAATACAAAATGACAGCCCATTGTGAAAGGATTCACGATAGGATGTTAAATGTTGCTTTTGATGTTGGGAGGACTTTCTTTTATTAATAAATATTAATCCTATGGTAGCAGAATGGAAGAGGTAAAAATTTTCTATAAAATGGTAATGTCTGTTAATTTTCAGAATATTATTTCTAGGCAGTAAAATGATATGTTTTTACTTTTATCCTGCTTGTATTTCTGCTATTGAAATGAATATAGTGTGAGGGCTAATAGATCTTCATTTTCTGTACATGAGAACATTTGCACAGCTGATTTAAGCCTACAAAAGCACGTTCATGTTGTTATCTCAGTTTTTATGATTATTTTTAAATGGAAATTTGATAAATAAAAGAAAATATACCGGAGAAAAGAATAAAACAGTTTTAAAATAAATCTTTCTCACACTGCAGAGTTAGAAAGTAAAAGAAGAGTATAATAATAGTTTTTTTAAAGAAGTGTTTAAGTTGTTAGGCCTTACCTATTCTTTAGAAACTTCATTTATCCTTAAAATCTTGGAGGCAGTACAGAATCCCTTAGCTATGTAGATCATCTGGTAGCTCTCTTTTCTCCTCCTCTAATGTGCTGTATGTATATTTATATTATTTCTGGATGCAAAAAATGGAAACTGTGCTAACAAAGCTCAGAATTCATAGCTTTACACCTGAGCAAAACCCCTGCTTTTCCCTGCTTTTCCCCTGCTAATGAACATCCAAGACTAAAGATGCTAGAATCACTACTAATACTGCCAACAAATTATCCATAGGCATTACAAAGAAATTGTTTGTATTATTCCTACTAATTCTTATTTTATCTATCTCACCCTATGTTTCTAATAAAATCTATAAGGATGGGGCCAAGCACCTAATAAAAATTGATAATATTATGCTGCATTAGAAATAAATCTTGCTTCTAGCTGTTCTTGAACAGAATCTGTATACAGTTTTTCTTCATAAATATTCCCTAGAATGACTCTTTTTTATTCATGAAATAAAGTAAAATTATTTGTTAAATGTGAAAATTAAATCCACTATACTTGATCCTCTGCATATCTAGATAGATCTAAAATTTTTCAATATTCAGAGTGAACAAAACTTAGGTTCCAAATGTGACCTCTTTCTTTTCATTCTCCATAAATGAGATGATCATAAAACCAAATAGGAGTTCCAGCAGGAAGAGGTCATCCATGTACTTGAGAGTCTTGGTGCTGCTCTCTTAAATTCTTGTATAGATTCCTCTATAGGTGTTTTCTTGCAAAATTTTCCCCATAAAAATCTTGAGTTCCATGAGGCAACTACGTGTATCTTATTTACCACTGAATTCCAAAAAGCCTAGAACAATGCTCAATCCTGGTATATGCAGGAGAAATATGATTTAAATACATTTATGTCAATATAGTAATGGGGCCTCTGCTTATACTCACAATTATCTATAACAGTGTTTGTCAACCTTGGCACTACTGGCATTTTGTGCCAGATTTTATATATATATATATATATATATATATTTTTTTTTTTTTTTGGAGGAAAATGTCCTGTGCATTTTAAGATGTTTAGCAGTATCCTTGGTCTCTGCCTAATTGCTAAAATTCCCAGGAGAAAAAATCAATCAAGAATCATTAATGTATGCATAGATTTGCATCAACATCTCTATTTATCTACCATGTATACAGTCCATTTGTGCAGCCACGAGTTTACAGCTGCTAATATTTGCCAGTGATTATGTTTTATTTCAGACCTCATAATAAATTTATCTTCATTGAATAATCTTTGTCCATACTACTTGGAGACTTCTGTGGAGATTTTTGAAGAATGCAGGTAGTATAGCATTCTTTTGTGACATTCCAGTACATAATTTAATATGTTTCAGAAACAACTCATGAGACTTCACTGCGCGATAACAGAAGTAGAATTATTCCCTTCTTGAACCCTAGTGCATTCTTCATGGAAATGTAAATTAGTACAGCTATTATAGAAAACATTATGAGGGTTACATTGAAAACTAAAAATAGAACTGCCATATGCTCTAGCAATCCTGTTGCTGGGTTATATATCAAAATGAATTGAAATCAGTGCATAGATGATATATCTACACACTCATGTTCATTGTGGCTTTATTCACAATAGCTAAGATGTGGAAGCAATTTAGGTGTCCATCATGGGATGAATGGATAAGGACAATGTGGCATTTATACACAAAGGAATACTATTCAGCCTTAAAAAGGAAAAAAAAATCATTCATTTGCAATAACATGGATGAACCTGAAGGATATAATACTTATAATCAAATTAGGCAGATACAGAAAGACAAATGCCACATAATCTCACTTATTTACGGAATCTAAGGAAATCAAGCTCATAGCAATAAAGGATAGAATGGTTACCAGTGGCTGGGATCAGGTGGATGAGGAAAGGGAAGATGTTGATAAAAGGGCAAAAAATATCAGTTACGCAGGAGTAAGCTTTGGTGATCTATTGCACAGAACAGTGATTATAATATATAATAATGTATTATATATTTCAAAATTTCTAAGAGTAAATTTTAAATACATTTATTTTTGCTAACTTTTATGTTCAAGGATACAGATGCAGACTTATGACATGGCTAAACTGCATATCCTAGGGGTCCTGTGTATGGATTATTTCATCACCCAGGTGATGAGCATAGTACCAAATAGGTAGTTTTTCAGTCCTCATCCTCCTCCTACCCTCAACTCTCAAGTATTCCCCAGTGTGTATTGTTCCCTTTGTTGTGTCCATATATACTCAATGTTTAGCTTCAGCTAAGTGAGCAAAGTGGTATTTGATTTTCAGTTCCTGCATTAATTCACTTAGAATAGTAGCCTATAGCTCTATCCATGTTGCTGTAAACAACCTGATTTCATTTTTTATGGCTGCATAATATTCCACAGTTTATGTGTACCACATATTTTTAAAATAAAGTCCACCATTGATGGGCATATAGGTTGATTCCTTGTCTTTGTTATTGTAAATAGTGCTGAGATGAACATATATGCACATGTGTTTTTATGTTAGAATAACATATATTTCTGTTGGGTATACATATGCTGGGCCAAATAATAGTTCTGTTTTAAGTTCTTTGGGAAATCTCTAAACTGGTTTCCAGAGTGGCTGAACTAATTCACATTCCAAACAGCAGTGTATAAGCGTTCCCCTTTTAACACAAACTCACCAGCATAGGTTATTTTTTGACTTTTTTTTCTTTTTTCTTTTTTCTTTTTTTTTTTTGAAACGGAGTCTTGCTGTCTCCAGGCTGGAGTGTAGTGGCACGAACTCGGCTTACTGCAACCTCCGCCTCCCGGGTTCAACCAGTTCTCCTGCCTCAGCCTCCCAAGTAGCTGGGACTACAGGTGCACCCCACCATGCCCAGCTAGTTTTTGTACTTTTGGTAGAGACGGGGCTTCACCATGTTGGCCAGGATGGTCTCAATCTCTTGATTTCATGATCTGCCCGCCTCAGCCTCCCAAAGTGCTGGGATTACAGGCATAAGCCACCGTGCCCAGGCTTGACTTCTTAATAATAGTTATTCTGACAGTTATGAGATGGTTTTCATTTGCAATTCTCGAATTATTAGTGATGCCAAGCCTTTTTGCAGATGCTTATTTGCCACATGTATGTCTTCCTTTGAGAAGTGTCAGTTCCTGTGCTTTGCTCATTTTTTAGTGGGGTTGTTATATTTTTGCTTGTTAATTTGTTTAAGTTCTGGGTAGATGCTAGATATTAGACTTTTGTCAGATACATAGTTTGCAAATATTTTAGATTGTCTCTTTACTGGGTTGATAGTTTCTTTTGTTATGCAGAAGTTCTTTAATTGGGTTTCACTTGTTAATTTTGTTTTCCTTGAGTTGATTTTGGAGTCTTCATCATGAAATCTTTTTCAGGAACTATGTTCAGAATGGTATTTCCTATGTTTTCATCTAGGGATTTTATAGCTTTGTAGTATATTTGAAGCAAGATAGTGTGATGTCTCCAGCTTTGTAATTTTTGCTTAGGATTGCTTTGGCTATCTGGGCTCTTTTGATTCCATGTGAATTTTAGAATACTTTTTTCTAATTCTGTGAAAAACATTGTTGGTAGTTTGATAGGAATAGCATTAAATCTGTAAATTGTTTTGAGCCGTATGACCACTTTAAAAATATTGATTCTACTTATCCATGAGCATTGAAAGTTTTTCCATTTGTTTGTGTCATCTATTATTTATTTCAGCAGTGTTTTGTAATTTTTATTAGAGAGCTCCTTCACTTCCTTGGTTAGCTACATTCCTTGGTATTTTGTTATTTTTGTAGCTATTGTGAATGGATTGCATTTGTGATTTGGTTCTGTTTGGACATTATTGGTATATAGAAATGCTAGTTATTTTTGTACATTGATTTTTTATCCTGAAACTTTGCTGAAATTTTTTTACCAAGTGTATGAGGCTTTGGCAGAGACTATGAGTTTTTCTATGGAGAGAATGATATTGCCTTGAAGAGACAAGAGTTTGACTTGCTCTTTTTCCATTTGGATGCCTTTTACTTCTTTCTCTTGCCTGATTGATCTGGCTAGGACTTCCTGTAATAAGCTGAATAGATGTGGTAATAGTAGGTGTTCTTGTCTTGTTCCGGATCTCAAGGAAAATGCTTCCAGCTTTTTCCCATTCAATATGATGTTGGCTGTGGGTTGCTCATAGCTATTATTATTTTATTATAAAATAGCTATTATTATTTTAAATATATTTCTTTGATATCTAGGTCGTTGAGACTTTTTAACATGGAGGGATGCTTACTTTTATTAAAAGCCTTTTCTGCATCTATTGAGATGATCATGTGATTTTTGGTTTTAGTTCTCTTTATTTGCTGAATCACATTGCTTGATTTGCACATATTTAACCAAGCTTGCATACCAGGCATAAAGCCTACTTGATCATGGTGGATTAGCTTTTTAAAGTGCTGCCGGATTTGGCTTGCTAGTATTTTGGGGGGATTCTTGCATCTGTGTTCATCAGGGATATTGGCCTGAAGTTTTCTTTTTTCATTGTCTCTCTGCCAGGTTTTGATATCAGAATAATGCTGGCCTCATATAATGAGTTGGGGAGGAGTCCCTCCTCCTCAATTTTTTGGAATAGTTTCAGTAGTACTGTTACCAGTTCTTTTTAATAAGTCTGGTAGAATTTGCCTGTGAATCTGTATGGTCCAAAGCATTTTCTTGTTGGTAGGCTTTTTATTACTGATTCAATTTAAGAATTCATTATTGGTCTGTTCAGGGATTCAATTTCTTCCTTCTTCAATCTTAGCAGATTGTATGTTTCCAGGAATTTAACCAATTTTTTTCTGGGTTTTCTAGTTTGTGTGCATACAGGTGTTCATAATAGTCTGAGGCTTTTTTGGTATTTCTGTGGGGCCGATTGTAATATCCTCTTTGCCATTTGGATCTTTTCTCTTTTTTTCTATAAAAGTCCAACTAATGGCCTATGAATCTGATTTATCCTTTCAAAAAACAGACTTGATTCCATTGATATTTTGTTTGTTTTCTTGTTTCTCCATTTCTTTCAGTTTAGCTCTGATTTGGGGTATCTCTAATATTCTACTGGCTTTGGGGTTGGTTTGCTCTTGTGTTTTGGTTTCCTCTAGATGTGATGTTAGGTTGTTAATTTGAGATCTTGCTAACTTATTGATGTGGGTGTTTAGCACTATGAACTTTTCCCTTAATACTGTTAAGCTGTGTCCCAGAGATTCTGGTATGTTATTTCTTTGTTTTAATTAGTTTCAAAGAATTCATTGACTTCTTTCTTAATTTTATTGTTTACCCAAAAGCCATACTCCACTGTAGCTGTTCTTACACCAAATCCTCTGGGTTCCACATAGGCTGGAGTCCTGTCCCTGCCACCTCTCTAAGCATCTCTTCCTACCTACTTAAATGTCTCTGGAAGTTGTGGGGTCTCCTGCAGCTAGGTTTCCAGAGTTCCGTGGAAAGGGTGAGCCACTCCTCATCTGTTTAACCTAACACCTTCCCCAGCATACACTCAGGGCCAGAAATGAGTCTCGGTGCTTGACAATTCCGTGCACGTTTGCCAGCTTCCTACCCCTTCAGCCTAGAGTCTGTGTCCTCCCTCCATCCACTCTCAATGCCTTTCTTCTGAAGATCTGCTTGCAGTGTTCCAGTCTTCTTGATTATCTGGTCTCTTGGTGGGAGAAGCTCTTCCTGGATGCTTCCAGTAAGCCATCTTAATTTTAAATGTTATAACCACACACACACAAAAAGGTAAGTATGTTAAGTGATGAATTTGCTCATTAGGTTGATTTAATTATTCCACATTAACATATATTAAAATATCACATTGTGCCCCAGATATATATACTATATAATTACAAATAATACAAATTTATAACATATAATAACAAATAATAATTTTCCCTTCTCAAAAACAACAAAAATAACAACAAATATAAAATAATAATATAAGTAAAAAGAAAATTTTGTGAGAATTAGTGTATTCAATAATCAGATTATATTGCTATGAATTCTTAAGATGTTCAATCTGTATTGGTATCTGCCTCAGTAAGTCTACATATGAGAAATATTTTAGTCAATAAAGATAAAAATATCCCCCTAAATGTATAATTTTTAAATGTAATGGTTTCTGTTTTGCATAATTTCAGTTGAGAACAGCATGTAGTGAGGAAAAATACTGATTAATAACTTAAATTATAATTATTGGTCTTCTACTAGTTTTGAATTTAGACAATTATTTAAGCATCCTTAGGCTTCAACTCTACTGTAAGTAACATGCTATGATTAAATAATTTACAAGGCACCTTTCATTTGGAATGCATAATTTACATGAGCTGCAGAGTTCCACTTATGGAATGGAGCACAAGGAGCTCTGTGATCTCCTTTTCAGTGAAAACAACATACCTGGTGAAAAGTATTTTTAAAAAATTGAAGTTATAAGATGTAATAGGATGAATAAATTCTGAAGATCTAATATACATCATAGTGATTGTAGTTAATAATAACGTATCACATTCTTGAAATTCGCTAAGATAGTAGATCTTAAGTTTTTTTCAACAACTATATATACAAAAAAAGTAATTATGAGAGGATGAGTATGTTAATTAACTTGATGGTGATAATTATTTCATAATGTGTATAAAAAATCACATTGTATGCCTTAAATATATATAATTTTTAATTTTCAATAAAGCTGGAAAAAATACTTCCACAAAGGAGAGCAAACTTAATTGAGTCAGGCTGTAGCAATTTATATCCAGGGCATTGTCAATTACAACAGAGTAATCAACTAGTAATTTATAGAGCCTAACTGGAGTGTGACTGGGAAATAATACCACTAAAAAGAGTCCTGCTGAAGCTACTCTCATCCCTGGATCGCTGTGTGCATGCCAAAGGCTATGCCGGCTAAGGAATGACTTCAGGGATTTCTGATAGATGCTGTGGCTGGTGGTGGTGGATAGACTTCATTAAAAAAATGAAGACATGCACAACCACAGCAAACTCTTAAGTAGAAAAGTCAACATTTAGACTTGCTGTATTTTCTAAAATATCCACTTTTAACAGTAAGTAATGAGACAAACCATGAGACAGGGAATTGTGACACACACATAAGAAAAATAGCTGACAGGAAAAACTGCTTGAATGAGGGTGCAGATACCTAATTTAATAGGCAGAGTTTTCAAAGGCAAACTGCTTGAATGAGGGTGCAGATACCTGGTTTAATAGGCAGAGTTTTCAAAGGCACCACTACAAACACTCAAAGAACTAAAGAAAGCCTTTCTTAAAGAGTTAAAGGAGGGCATGGTGACAATGTTGCAGTAAATAGGAACATAAATAAATATATAGAAATTATAAAAAGGAAACAAATGAAAAGAAGTTGAAAGGTGCAGTAACTAAAATAAAAAATTCACTAGAGGAGCTAAAAAATAGTTGTGAACTAACGAAAGAATCAATGATATGAAGATCGATTGATTTCAATTATGCAAACTTGAAGAAAAGAGAGAAAGAATGAAGAAAATTGAACATTGCCTGAAATAAATGTGGGACACTATTAAATGCACCAACATATACATAGATAGTTAACAATGATGCATTAATATTGGCTAGTCAATTTTAATTATGTTATGACAAATGTCATGTCAATAATAATGCTAATGTCATATATCAATAATAGGGAAAGTTGTAGGGAGGAGAGGATTAAGAGAACTTAGTATTTTCTGATCAATTATTCTGTAAGCCTAACACTGCTCTAAAAATAGTCTTAAATTCTATCAATTTTTTAAAAAGTTATTTTATTCAAATGGACTAAAGTATCTTTAAATAAAACTGTGTGACTTATTGCAATCCTGAGGTAAATTTGATTCCATGCCAACTTAAACACACACACAGACATTCTGACCTCAAGAGATAAAAGAGCAGTTACTTAAAATGTTATTGTTTTGCAAAGCAAATAAATTTAAGTCATTTTAAAATGGTACACATAATTTCTAGGCCAGCTATATTAGGAATTATTACTTTAATTACACTCACATTTTTAGATTTTTTAAGCTCTTGTGTCAAGATTTTATTTGCACGCAGAGTATATATTCTAATGCAAAGATCCCCAGCTACAGTTTTAGGACTATGGCACAAAACAGAACTGATTGTTTTGTGCTAATATAGTTTGATATATATAATCAAGTCCACATATATTTTCCACTGTGGAGACATCTGATTCAGATTCAAATATAGATTTAAATGTGTTCCTTGTAATTCTGTTTAAATTACTGAAAAGTAACATGAATAGGTTGTAACTTTCCAATAATTTGTTTCTTTGCCAGTATAGATAGCAGGTAATTGCATGCCCACTGAACTGTGTAAAAAGCAGGAAAATAATAAAAAATCTATTAAAAGACACTGGAAACTTTTCATGGAAGGAAACATGACTAGATAATAGTATTAAATAAAAAGAACTCTAATATTCTTTCATTTGAGTTCCTGGGTCTTTTTTAAATAAGAAAAGAGTAGAATTGGTTCCCTAACAGCTGAAAATTAGAAGACATATAGTTAAGCAGCTTTATATGAAACACTTTAAGGTGAAAGTTTATAATATTAGAAATAATATTATAGGCTAATATTAGAGAAAAACATTTTAAAATATTAAAAGCTATTGAAATGTGAAAATTCTATAGCATCAAAAGTTTGCTATATATGTCCAGATGCGGTGGCTCACGCCTGTAATCCCAGCACTTTGGGAGGCTGAGGTGGGCGGATTACAACATCAGGAGTTTGAGACCAGTCTGGCCAATATGGTAAACCCCATCTCTACTAAAAAAAAAAAAAATACAAAAAATTAGCCAGATGTGGTGGCACTCGCCTGTAGTCCCAGCTACTCAGGAGGCTGAAGCAGAAAAATCGCTTGAACCCAGGAGGCAGAGGTTGTAGTGAGCCAAGATCGTGCCACTGCACTCCAGCCTGGGCAACAGAGTGAGACTCTGTCTCAAAAAGAAAAAAAAAATTGCTATATATTATGAATGCAATGTTTATAACTAAGAGGATTTGCAATATAATTAGTATTTAAAGAAACTGGAATTTTAAATCTTTATCTACTATCTATTTTTTTCTTTTTGATATAATGGAATTTCTTATTTCACTCTTTGCTTTCTTCACCCACTTACTCTCCCTATATACTTTCAGTGATCCACACTTTTTCTCCTCTTTGCTCAGTGATTTTGGAAACACATATAAAGTTACATATGCATTTAGTGAATTTTGCCTGTATTTAGTATCTCTGTGTAACCTATGGAGATGTTAAAAAGAATGAGAGAGAGATTCATTTAGTTAGAACTCAATGATCATATTATGATCCAAAAAAATCCTTATTTTTATACAACATTCTATGATAGGTGTCGAAAATTCATTTTACTCTCAACAGCTTTACCACTAAGCACTTTGAAGTATTGTTTCTACAATAACAATAGTGTTTAAAATACTGGGTCCATGTAAGGAAGAGTTATGATAGTAAGGATTCTGCAAAAGAAGTTTTATGTGCTTATAAAAAGACAGCTTAAATAGGAAAACATTTCCAAAAATACAGTGCCTGGTGTCAGCATCCTATTTCAGTTTGTTTCACGCTAGCTTGCCACCCTTTACCATTACTCATAAAATAAATGCATACTTCATTTTATTACCTTTTGCTTCATTGTGCTTTGCAGATATTTTATTTTCTTACACACTGAATGTTTCTGGCAATCCTATGTCAATCAAGTCTATAAGTGACATTTTTCCAAAAGCATGTACTCACTATATGTCTCTGTGTTGCATTTTCATAATTCTCGCAATATTTCAAACTTTATTATTCTTATTATTACTATTATATCTGTTATGACATGCTTTGATCAAAGATCTTTAATGTTACTATTGTAAGTGTTTTAGGGCACCAAGAACCACACTCATATAAGGTGGCAAACATAATCAATAAATGTTGTTTGTGCTCTGACTGTTCTATGCATCAGCCATTCGTAGAACCCTATCTCTCTCTCTCCCTCCCTCCCTATTCTTTGAGACACAACAGCATTAAAATTAGGCCAATCAATCACCCTACAATGGCCTCTAAGTGTTCAAGGGAAAGTAAGAGTCACACATGTCTCACTTTTAAGCAAAAGCTATAAATAATCAAGCTTAGTGAGGAAAGTGTGCCAAAAGCCAAGACTGACTGAAACCTAGGTTTCTTGTGCCAAACACTTAGCCAAGTTATGAATGCAAAGAAAAAGTCCTTTAAGGAGATTAAAGGGCTACTCCAGCAAATACATAAATAATAAGAAAATGAAACAACCTCATTGCTGATATGGAGAATGTTTGAGTGGTCTGGATAAAAGATCAAATAAGCCACAATGTTCCCTTAAGCCAAAGCCTAATCCAGAGCAAGGCCATAACTTTCCTTAATTCTATCCATGCTGAGAGAGGTGAGAAGACTGCAAAAGAAAAGTCTGAAGCTATTAGAGGGTGGTTCATCAGGTTTATGGGTAGGAAGCCATACCTATAACATGAAAGTACATGGTGAAGCAGGAAGTGTTGATGTAGAAGATCTAGCTAAGATCATTGATGAAGGTGGCAAACAACAACAGATTTTCAACCTATGCAAAACAGCCTTCTATTGGAAGAAGATGCTATCTAGGGCTTTCATAACTAGAGAGAAGTCAATGACTGGCTTCCAAGCTTTGAAAGACGGGCTGACTCTCTTGCTAGGGGCCAGTGCAGCTGATGGATTTAAGTTGAAGCCAATGCTCATTTGTCATTCCAAAAAATCTGCGGGCCCTTAATAACTACGCTAAATCTACTCTGTCTGTGTTCTGTAAATGGAACAAGAAAGCCTGGATGACAGTACATCTGTTTACAGCATGGTTTACTGAATACATCAAGCTCACTGTTGAGATCTACTGTTCAGAGAAAAAAAAAAATCTTTCAAAACATTACTGCTTATTTGACAATACACCTGGTCATCAAAGAGCTCTGATGGAGTCGAGATGAGAGCTCTGATGAGTCGAGATGGAGTCGAGATGACCATGCCTGCTAACAGAACATTCATTATGTAGCCCATGGATCAAGGAGTAATTTTGAATTTTGAGTCTTATTATTTAAGAAATATATTTTGTAAGGCTACAGCTGCCATTGATAGAGATTCTTCTGAAGAATTTGGGTAAAATAAATTGAAAACCTCTGGAAAGAATTCACAATTCTAGGTGCCGTTAAAAATATTTGTGATTTATAATGGAGATCAAAAATGCAACATAAATAGGAGTTTGAAAGAGGTTGATTCCAACCCCTATGAGTGACTTTGAGGAGTTGAAGACTTCAGTGGAGGAAGGAACCACAGACATGATGGAAATAACAAGAGAATAGATTGAGAAATAGAACCTGTAGCTGTCACAGAATTGCTGCAATCCCATGATGAAACTGGACAAATGAGAAGTTGCTTCTTACAGATGAGCAAATAAAGTGGTTTCTTGGGATGGAATCTGCCCTTGGTGAAGATGCTGTAAACATCATTGAAAAGACAACAAAGGAATTAGAATATTTTATGAACTTAGTTGATAAAGCAGTGGCAGGATTTGAGAGAAATGACTTTAATTTTGAAGGAATTTCTACTGGGTAAAATGTTATTAGGCAGCATTTCATTTTACAGAGAAATCATTTGTGAAAGAAAGAGTCAATCAATGGGGTAAACTTCATTGTTGTCTTATTTAAATAAATTGTCACAGACATCCCAGCCTTCAGCAACCACCACCCTGATTAGTCAGTAGCCAACAACAGGAGGCAAGTCCCTCCACCAGCAAAAAATTAGGACTCCCTGAAGGCTCAGATAATCATTAGCATTTTATAGCAATAAAATACTTCTAAGTTAAAGTAGAAAAAAATGTTTTAAACATAATGTTATTGCACACTTGATAGACCATAATATAGTATAAACATAAATTTTATATGCCCTTAGAAAGCAAAAAATTTGTGTTGCTCTATATCATAGTGGTCTGAAATCAAACCTGCAATATCTCTGAGGTATGTTGGTATAGACAAAATTCCTTTCTATATAGTATTCTCTGGGAAGTCAAGTTCTCTTGTTCTTATGGGTACTTGGGGACATGAACATTTAATGTTATTTTTTATTGAGTTCACAAGTATATTTTTGGTTATTGCTGAACATATTAAAAATGTTATTTTGAGAAAACAATTCAGCAAATCGTACAGAAACATATAAAATAGATTACAAGGGCCGATTAGCCTTTAATGAAGGCCAGCTAAAATTGAATAGGTTGTAATAACATTTCCTGATAGCTACATTCTGAAGGGTTGGGAAAAAAAAGCACCGATAAAAACAAAGCAGAACTACAGATTCAGAACCACAGTAACTGCCCTAGAAGTATTTCCCCTAGGAAAAATAATTCTGGCTACTAGGCTAATTTCAACATCTCTTTTTCTCCTCTTTTCAAAAATAGTGTGATTAGGATCTTGTACTCTGTTTTTAAGTATAATGTTTAATACCTCATTTCAAATTTTTCAATCTCGATATTTACTATTTTACCTATCTAATTTGATTTCATCCAAATATTGATACTCCCCATTCAGATAATCCAAAACAAGTCATTCTCATTCAGTTACATTTTTTTCTATTTAGTTTTTTAAAACATTATTTTCATTCTGAATACTCATCTGGAATAAAAATGAAAATAAAAGCATATTAGTCCATTCTCACACTGTTATAAAGAACTGCCTGTGACTGGGTAATTTATAAAGGAAAGGTTTAATTGACTCACAGTTCTGCACGGCTGGGGAGGCCTCAGGAAACTTACAATCATGGCCGAAGTTACCTCTTCACAGTGCAGCAAGAGAGAGAATGAGTGCCCAACAAAGGGGTAAGCCACTTGTAAAATCATCAGATCTTGTGAAAACTCACTCAGTATCATGAGAACAGCATTAGGGAAACCAGCCCCATTCTTCAATTATCTCCACCTGTTCCCACCCTTGACATGTGGGAATTATTACAACTCAAGGTGAGATTTGGGTGGGGACACAGAGCCAAACCATATCAAATAATAACAACCAAAATGCCAAAAATACAAACTCAATTCTGTAAATGATGAAATCAGAATATTAGGTCATATAGGGTTTAACAAAAGTAAAAAAATGGCCAGGCACAGTGGCTCATGTCTGAAATCCCAGTACTTTGGGAGGCTGAGGGAGGAGTATCACATGAGGCCAGAAGTTTGAGACCAGCCTGGGTAGCATAGAGAGACCCCATCTCTACACACAATTTTTAAAAAATTAGCTGTGCGTGATGACATGTGCCTCTAATCCCAGCTAGTCGGGAGGCTGACGTGAGAGGATGACTTGAGCCCAGGAGGTCAAGACAAGCTTGGACAACAAAGTCAAACCCTGCCCCTGACCCCAGCAAAAAATCAGCTGAGCATAGTGACACAAGCCTTTGATCCCAACTACTCAGGAAGCTGAGGTGGGAGTCTCACTTGAGCCAGGTAGTATGAGACTGTAGTGAGCTATGATCCTGCTACTGCACACTGCAGCCTGGGCAACAAAGTGAGAGACTGTCTCAAAAAAAAAAAAAAAAAAAAGAAAAAGAAAAAAGAAAAAAGAAAAAAATTAAAGAAAAGGTCAAAAAGAACAAGTATAAGCATTAGACTTATCTGAGGTTTTAGTCTCAATAAGAGCTGGGAACATTTCTTTAACCTCCCAGTCATGAGTTTCTCAAATTAAAATGTGCTAATGATCCCTACATTACTGTATTTTGGTAAGGATTTATTTATTGAAAAAAATATTTATTAAAATCTATTACATATCTAGTATAGTTCTAGCTAATGGGATATGAATGAAGCTGGAAACCATCATTCTCAGCAAACTATCGCAAGGACAAAAAACCAAACACCGCGTGTTCTCACTCATAGGTGGGAATTGAACAATGAGAACACTTGGACACAGGAAGGGGAACATCACACACCGGGGCCTGTTGTGGGGTGGGGGGAGGGGGGAGGGATAGCATTAGGAGATATACCTAATGTAAATGACGAGTTAACGGGTGCAGCACACCAACATGGCACATGTATACATATGTAACAAACCTGCATGTTGTGCACATGTACCCTAGAACTTAAAGTATAATAAAATATATATATATATAGCCCTTAATGAGTTTACATCTAGGGCATCAAGAAAGACAAATGTATACAAATCCATGGACAAACCTGCAATGGCGACTGTGATAGATACGCAGAATTCAACAGATAAAGAAGGGTTGATTACTTCAAGATGGCTTTCTGGAAAAGACATATCTTCCACCAGACAAAGATGAAAGGGGTTGCAAGGATTTAACCTGCTGAATTACAAGTTTATTTAATGAATGGCAGTTAGTGTTATTATTGCACAACTTCACTTCAACGTTTTGCAAAGTGATGAAGTTGTGATCATGTCCTGAATTGTATCATCGGGAGTAAGGCTACAGCATGGGATTTGGTGGAATGTTGAACAAAGAGGACTTGATGCCAAGATTTATGTGAGGACTGTCTAGGAAGAAAGAGGATTGCAGAACTTTGCAACCTATTACAAAGCAAAAGTAATGGAAAAGAAGTACCAAAGTAATGACTCAGCAAGTAAGAACACACACACACACACACACACACACACACACACACACACACACACACCTTGAAACGGTATCAAGTGTAAAGAAAGAACTGTATGTGTTGAAGGCCAGCAAACATGCAGGTATAGAAAATTATTTCCAACATAAAGCTCCCATGAATCAATGTGCAACAATGAGGGCTCCGAGGAAGAAAAATTCAAGATACTTTTTAAATAAATGGAAAGTATGATTGCCTTACAATGAAATGTTAGTGTTTTTGAATGCTGAATTCCTTCCTCTGGGATCCCTGGCTTTTGGGTCATGGGAGATATGTTGGTAAGAGTGCAGAGTATGCAGAAACTTTATTCATTTATCCTTTTTATATGTGAGGCCAACAAATTTAGATCATTTCACCTGTAAAGAGAAGTAAGCAGATTTGTTTTTTAAATAACCTAGCAAAAGCCTTTTGATGTAAATAAGTAATTATCTTTCTAAAGCCTGGAAGCAAAGTAAGAGAGGTCAAGTGAGAAAAACCTGTTGTAATTTAGATTCCCACCTTGGTTTTCAAAAGCCTAATGTGTAATTGGTGAACAGTGTAGGAAAGGACGAAAAGATCAAGCCAATTACTCACTTGTCCAAAGCCCAGACTTTATAGATAACTGTTTAAATTTTTCATGCTCAAAAAAATTTATTTTTGCTACTTTGAATCAACAATCATGTAAAACTTACAATGAAATAATATTTTACTCTCATATTAAACAAGTAAAACAAATTCACTTTTTAGTAGTCTAAATTAAAGTCACATATATTATCTAGCAAATCTAAATAATTTAAACAGGTTCTAATAAAAATATGGTTACATAATTATAGATTAAATAAATAATATACATATACGTACATATGTATCTATATGTATTTTTTTTCAAAATAAGACTGTGCTCACAGGTATTGTGCTTTGAGATAAAATCAGCTCAATCACCTTGTAGCATTGAATTGACAGTTTGCTCAGGTGAAACCAAAACATTTCAGCAAGAATTTTTAAACAGATTTTTCCTCAATTCTTTAAATGTTGTTTTTCTTGTCATGGTGCTGATGGCATTTTTGTTATTTTACAGAGATATAGGTAGGTTGCCTAGTGACTATTACCCGTCAGTTAATTTGTTACAATTTTGTTCATTTGTTTGCTTCTGTTTTGCTTCTGTGATGACTTATATACAAAATTAAAAACAAAGTGTTTTAGAATTCAACCTCTGTCTGCAGTTAGCATGTTTTGAAAATTATAAGGGGGTTTTGATGAACCTCCAGACACATCCAACATATCCCCCGCCCCCCAGAAAAACTAAGCCACAAATAGAGCACGTTTTCCTTCATTTCCTAAGTCCTTGCAGAGCTCAGCTATATAGCTCTTCTGTTGGGTTACTTTGGGGAAAAAAAAGCTGCTTTGTTATTTAAAATTATGGTGTCATTATTATTATTATTATTTTAAAATGTCTACTTTTCTCTGTCAGAAATAAATGAGAAAAAAATCAATCTGAAATCTTTACTGAGTTAGAGAACAGATAAATGCTTTAAATACATATGTGATTCTGCTTTGATGAAAAAATGTTTCCTTTAGTCCTAGTTGTAATAGAAAATAGTGACTTTTTTGTAGTAGGAATCTCTTCTTTTTATAATAATCTATTTTGAAGAATTTGGCCTCTATCATTAATTTCTGGCTCTTAAATTACTTTCAGGCACTCAAATAAAATAGATTTCCAACATCAACATATATAATAATGCAGCATTTAAAAATGGAAGTACTTGGACATGCAATGTGAGAGTTGAGAATGCTGCTTAAAGGAGGAGTAAAAATAAAAATGAACAAAGCACAAAGTCCGTCAAATTCACTTTGTTTTGAATCACTTATATTTGAAATTACAGCTCCATTTTTTGCACTTAATATATGTTTTATAATCGTCAATTTAGGTTGAAGAAGATGGTCTGCCATCCTAAATCTCTATTTCTCTACCATAAAAAGCCTTTTCAATAATAGAATGCTTTTCAGTAATAAAATATAGGCCTTATTTTATGTGAGTATAATCTAATCATTTGCTTTAAATTAATACTCTTTATTATAAATAAGCATTTGTGATCAGAACTGTAAAAACACAACAAGAGATATGGTTTCAATTGCTGCCTTCTTATCTTTATGCCAACTTCATCCCCACATTAATTTGGACAGATAGATGTCTCTCTTGTTTCTTAAGAAATACAAGGCATCAGACTTAATATTTTTTAAGAGAATTGTGCTTCTTGCCCCACCAACTTTGACTATCCAATGCCCCCTTCTTCATATTTTACCTAAACACTTTCTTTGGATTTTTAACATCTTTTTTGATTTTTTGCCTACAGAAGGTAGCATACACTATTTTAGGCATAACCATAATCTTGTGTTCCTACTTACTGTAAATTGTAATTAGTTATGAAAAGTGTGTAGCCAGGGAAATAATTGTAAGCTGTAAACTCACAATAAGCCCAATCATATTCAGCAGGGGTAGGTGAGTGAGCAGAAATGACTGCCTGGAAAGGCAGAAGGATCAATTCTATCTTCCAGAACTTCAAGGTTTCAGAGTAACTACAGTGTATTTATGGGGCTGACAGTGGCAGATAACTGTAAAATAATATTTCTTGGTCTCCCAATTTACACATCACTCTTTTACCCTGAATACAAATATTTTCATCTTGACATATTGCCCCAAAAGAAAACTGTGAATGTGGAGAGTTTCACTTGAAATTTCCTTTATTTCAAGGACTCTAGTCTTCTAAAGAGATAAAACCTTACAAAAAAATTTCACAGTTATCTTGGGAAGTCCACTGCTTTGTCCCATTTACACCTTACCCTCTTTGAGAACCACTTATTTTGATTTTTTTTTCTTTCCTATGATAACTATCCCAGGTGATGTCCATTTCCATTTGGTTCTTTTTACCTAACGAGATACTTTATTTTAAGATTTTAATGCAAACAGACAAACATGACTGGTAAAAGAAAGTCAGAAGAAATATTAGGGCAATGTAGATGCCTTTCATACTCTGCCATATAAGTACTAATTTTGTACGGTCCTGACGTAAGTCTAATGAAAGAGAAAATACCATACTTGGACCAGCATGAGATGTACTCTATATATGGGAAAATAAGCCATCTTACATCTTTATTGCTAATTAGTCCCTGCTCCACTGTCCTTTTCCAAAAAGGAAATGTTGCTGCCGCCAACGTACCTTTAACAAGTAGAGGGCTCCCTCCTGTGGGCAAGTAGCTGAAACAGTATCCATGGCAATAGACAACTCCAAACTTGGCCATCAAACACTGGCTGAGAAATCCCATGATGTTAGAAAAAGAAAATGAGAAATGGGAAAGAACCTAGAAAAGTGAGAAGTGAACCTAAAAAGAATGGTAATGGAGACTTTTTTAAAAAAGCCACGGAATCGTTGCTAGAATGAAGGAGGAAATGCACCAAGCATGGATATACTAATTAGATAATGGAAAGGGAATGAAAGAGGATGTGATCGGAGAAGTGATTAACATATTAACATGGGTACATGCTGAAGTCTATAACCATAAAACACTTAGTCATGTAAATGTATGATGGTAAAAATTTAGAAATGTGAAAAAAAGTGATTGTTAGTGCAATGAACACGTTAAATATTGAAATAATTATTAGCATTTGTGTAATGTTTTTCTGGTATTGATCACTCTATCATATCATTCTCACATATACTCAAAAGAACAAAACGTCTGCATTTTACTGATGATGATAACATTGAGGCACTAACACTAATAACAGTTTCTAATCTAAAATATCATAACAAGTGATAACTATTATATTACTACAATGGGTCAGGCACTATTCTAAAAAAATTAGTGAATTATCTATTTAACAAGGTATTAATATACAGCAAGTAAAAGAGCCATAATAGAGGATGGAGTTTGGCATATTTAACATTCAGCAAGGAGGTCTGTGACTAGGGGTAAAGACCAAATGTGTAGTAGGAAAATGAGGTTAGATAAACAACAAGGCTAAAATAAGTAGGGCTTTAATAAGTTCTTGTAAGGTCACAACTTTACTCTGAGCAAGTGTAGTCTTTGAAGCACTGAATGAAGAGTAGTGACATGATACAACGTGTCTTTTTAAAAAGCATCTTTCCCCTACATATGGAAAATAGATTGTAGATAACAAATATGAAAACAATGGGACCAAATAGAAGGATACTGAAAAAAATACCAACGAATGTTGATGGTGGTTTGAATATGAGAGATTGTGGTGTGGATGGAGAGAGAGGGTCATTTTCTAGTTGTATTTTGAAGGAATATACAACATGATTTGCTCATGATTAAATGTGGAAAATGAGAAGAAGAGCATAAACAAGAATTACTTCAAAATCCTGAGCACAAGGCCCTTGAAAAATGCAGTTGCCATTTAATAAGATGGGGAAGACACTAGAAAAAGCAAGTTTAAGGAAATAAATGGTTTATATATTTGACATATTAATGACTTTTATCGGACATCTACTTAATATGGGATTTTCAGAAATCAAGAGCTTGAAGCAAAAGTTTATGTGTAAATGTGTTCTTAGAAAGTGCAATCATTGAGAAGCAAGTGTGAAGGAAAGGGGAAATAAGGTATGAAAGGAGCAAGAGCAAATATCAGGTGCGTAACTAGATTATCTGATTCTTGGGTCAAGCTCCTGCCAATAACTCAAACTCACAGCACTTCCAAGAGGTCATATAATACAAAGCACTGCAAATGAGAGGTCCAGGAGGAAGAAAGGTTATGAATTTATCCACCAGTTCCTTGTCTCCAATCACAGATTCACCTGAAGAGTAGTAACTACTTGATACCTCCAAGTTTTGTGTTTATGCACACTAAGAATATGATATATGCTTCAGAAATAGTACAGAAGCCCTGGGATGGGAAACAAGGCATAGCATTAAGGGCAAGTGGTAAAGCACTGTCTGGCTGTTCTCATAGTGAGTTTGTTGCCTCAGCCATTGACCGGGTTAAAATCAGACTAACTTGGTGTATTAGTCTATTCTCACACTGTTATAAAGAAATACCTGAGACTGGGTAATTTATAAAGAAAAGAGGCCTAATTGACTCACACTTTTGCAGACTATATAGGAAGCATAGTGGATTTTGCTTCTGGAGAGGACTCAGACAGTTTCCAATTATGGTGGAAGGCAAAGGGGAGCTAGGAGCTTCACCTGACTGGTACAGGAGGAAGAGAGAGAAGGGGTAGGTGCTACACACTTTTAAACAACCAGATATCATGAGAACTCACTATTGTGATGATAACACTAAGTGTGGGTGATGTTAAATCATGAGAACCCACCCCCATGATCAAATAACCTCAGACTGGGCCGCAACTTCAGCATCGAGGTTACATTTCAGCATGAGATTTGGGTGGGGACACAGACGCAAACCATCATTCCACACCTGGCCTCTCTGAAACCTCAAGACCTTCTCACATTTCAAAATACAATCATGAATTCCCAACAGTCCACCAAAGTCTTAACTCATTCTATTATTAACTCAAAAGTCCACAGTCCAAAGTCTCATCCAAGACAAGGCTAGTCTGTTCTGCTTATGAGCCTGTAAAATAAAAAATGAGTTAGTTACTTCCAAGATACCTTGGAGGTAAAGGCATTGAGTAATTACTCCCAATCCAAAAGGGAGAAATCTGTCAATTAAAGGAGCTACAGGTCCCATGCGTGTCTGAAACCCAATAGGACAGTCATTAACTCTTAATGCTCCAAAATAATCTCCTTTGACCCCATGTCTCACCATGGCATACAAGTGCAAGGGGTGGGCTCCCAAAGCCTTGGGCAGTTTTACTCTTGTGGCTTTGCCAGTTTCAGCCCCCACAGTTTCTCTCAAGGGCTGGCATTGAGTGCTTGCTGCTTTTCCAGGTGCAGGGTGCAAGCTGTTGGTGGATCTACTCTTCTGGGGTGTGGAGCATGGTGCTCCACTTCTCACAGCTCCAGTAGGAAGTGCCCCAGTGGGGACTCTGTGAAGAGGATCTAACTCCAGATATTCCCTCTGCACTGCCCTAGTAGAGATTTTCCATGAGGGCTCTGCCCCTGCAGCAGGCTTCTGCCTGGACATCAGGCATTTCCATATATCCTCTGAAATCTAGGTGGAGTCTTTCAAGCCCCAACTCTTGCATTCTGCGCACCCACAGGCTTAACAACAGGTGGAAGCCACCAAGACTTATAGCTTGCACCTCTGAAGCAGTGGTCCAAGCTGTACCTTGGCCCATTTTGGCTATGGCTGGAGGTTGAGTGGTTGGGATGCAGAGAGTATCCCAAGGCTGCACAGGGCAGTGGGGCCATGAGCCTGGCCTGCAAAATCATTCTGTCCTTCTAGGCTTTGTGGCCTTTAATTGGAGAGGCTACCACAAAGGTCTCTGAAATGCCTTTGAGGTCTTTCCCTATTGTCTTTGCTATTAGCACTCGACTCCTCCTTACTTATGCAAATTTCTGCAGCCTGTTTGAATTCCACCACTGAAAGTGGGCTTTTCTTTTCTATGAAATGGACAGGCTGAAAATCTTTACCCTCTGCTTCTCTTTTAAATAGAAGTTCAGTTTCAGATCATTTCTTTACTCAGGCATGTGAGCATAGATTGTTAGAAGCAGCCAGTTCACATCTTGAGTGCTTTGCTACTTAGAAATTTCTCTCACCAGATACTCTAAATCATCACTCTCAAGTTCAAAGTTCCACTTATCTGTAGAGCAGGGGCAAAATGCAGTCAGGCTCTTTGTTAAAGCATAGCAGAAGTAACCTTTACTCCAGTTCCCTATAAATTCCTCATTTCCATTTGAGACCTCCTCAGCCTGTACTTCACTGTCCATATCACTATCAGCATGTTGGTCACAACCATTCAATAAGTCTCTAGGAAGTTCCAATCTTTCCCTCACCCTGTCTTCTTCTGAGACCTCCAATCAGATCTCATAAGAACTCAGTATCATGATGTCAGCACCAAGGGGGAATGGTGTTAAATCATAAGAAACTGTTCTTCTGTTCCAATCACTTCCCACCAGGCCCTACATACAGCATTGGAAATTACATTTCAACTTGAGATTTGGGTGGGGACAGAGTTCCAAACCATATTATTTGATAACTAATGTGAAAGTATAGAGACAATTGACCAAGGGCTCTGTATAAAGTTAAGGCTGGCATCATGTGAGATTAGACATTAGAGGGATCAGTGCAATATTCAAATGTAGATAACATGCAGTTAAAAGTATGAACCTGAGAAAATAGGACACCACAGATACATTCAAAAAAGATTCCATGAATGAAAATGTTGATGTACTTCACTACATCAGATCAGTCATTTATGGCTAATAGAGTAAGAAAAAGGAAAAGAGAGAAAAATATTTGGAACAGATAATGTAAAGTTTCAATTACCTTAATTTATAAAGAATTCGTATGAATTAATTGAAAGTGGCAAATACCTCCAATAGAAGAAAAAAAATTTAAAAATATAAAAGGAAAATTTACGTTTAAAAAGATCTAGTAGGCCGTGCCCACCCGGCCCTGCACCCTCTCCTCACCGGCCGCTCTCACCGGTCTACCTCAGAGTGTGGGGCCTCCCGCGCCAGTGCGAGTCTGAGTTGGCGTGGACTCCAGGAGGCTCGCAGAAGGGGAGGGCCCGGCGGCGCGAGAGCTTAGCATCGCCAGGGCGGGCGGCAAAGCGCTGCCTCTTTGCCCACAGCACCGCCTGTTGTGGCGCCAGACCTCTGGTGAAAGAAAAGATGTTGTCCGGGTTAAGCGTAGTTTCCACCACTTGTACTTTGGCATGTCTACATTTACACATAAAAGAAAAAGGCAAGCCACTTATGCTGAATCCAAGAACAAACAAGGGAATGGCATTTACTTTACAAGAACGACAGATGCTTGGTCTTCAAGGGCTTCTACCTCCCCAAATACAGACATAAGATATTCAAGCCTTACGATTCCATAGAAACTTGAAAAAAATGACTAGCCCTTCGGAAAACTATATCTACATAATGGGAATACAAGAAAGAAATGATAAATTGTTTTATAGAATACTGCAAGATGACACGGAGAGTTTAATGCCAATTGCATATACACCGACGGTTGGTCTTGTCTGCTCCCAGTGTGGACACCTCTTTAGAAGACCTAAGGGATTATTTATTTCCATCTCAGACAGAGGTCATGTTAGATCAATTGTGGATAAGTGGCCAGAAAATCATGTTAAGGCTGTTTTAGTGACTGATGGAGAGAGAATTCTGGGTCATGGAGATCTGGGTGTCTATGGAATGGGAATTCCAGTAGGAAAAATTTGTTTGTATACAGTTTGTCCAGGAATATGGCCTGATAGATGCCTTCTGGTGTGTATTGATGTGGGAGCTGATAATATCGCACTCTTAAAAGGCACATTTTACATGGGCTTGTACCAGAAACGAGATCGCACACAACAGTCTGATGATCCAATTGATGAGTTTATGAAAGCTATTACTGACAGATATGGCTGGAACACACTCCTTCAGTTTGAAGGTTTTGGACATCATAATGCATTCAGATTCTTGAGAAAATACCAATAAAAATGTTGCACTTTCAATGATGATATTCAAGGGACAGCTGCAGTAGCTCTAATAGGTCTTCTTGCAACACAAAAAGTTACTAGTAAACCAATCTCCGAACACAAAATCTTATTCCTTGGAGCAGGAGAGATTACTCTTAGAATTGCAAATCTTGTAGTATGTCTATGGTAGAAAATGGCCTGTCAGAAGAAGAGGCACAAAAGAAAATCTGGATGTTTGACAAGTATGGTTTATTAGTTTAGGGGCAGAAAGCAAAAATAGATTGTTATCAGGAACCATTTACTTACCCAGTCCCAGAGAGCATACCTGATACTTTTGAAGATGCAGTGAATATAATGAAGACTTCAACTACAATTGGAGTTGCAGGTGCTGGCCGTCTTTTCACTCCTGATGTAATCAGAGCCATTGGCTGTATCAATGAAAGGCCTGTAATATTTGCATTAAGTAATCCTACAGCACAGGCGGAGTGCAGGAGTGCACGGCTGGAGAAGCATATACACTTACAGAGGGCAAATGTTTGTTTGCCAGTGGCAGTCCATTTGGGCCAGTGAAACTCACAGATGGGCGAATCTTTACACCAGATCGAGGAAACAATGTATATATTTTTCCAGGTGTGACTTTAGCTGTTATTCTCTGTAACACCCAGCAAATTAGTGACAATGTTTTCCTAGAAGCTGCAAAGGCATTGACAAGCCACGTGACGGATGACGCGCTAGCCCGAGGGAGACTTTACTTACCACTTGCTAATATTCAGAAAGTTTCTATTAACATTGCTATTAAAGTTACAGAATACCTGTATGCTAATAAAATGGCTTTCTCAATACCCAGAACCTGAAGACAAGGCCCAATATGTTAAAGAAAGAATATGATGGAGTGAATATGATTCCCTGCTGCCAGATGTGTGTGAGTGGCCAGAATCTGCATCAAGCCCTCCTGTGATAACAGAATAGAAGCATTCCCCTGATAAATACTTTCTGTGCTCCAGGGAACCCCTTTTTTCAGACAAGAAGAGATAATGTCCTCAGTTTTATGGTGTTTTCTGTGTTTTGTTCTCCTGACCACTTTGGTTAACATATTTGTTCCATATGTCTCCACATCTGTTGGGGTAGACATGTTGATGGATTGCATTGCCCACCAGCACCCTACAATCAGTTAATTGTGATGCTTTAATTCTAACATAAAGACCATACCACATCCAGGAGATGGAAAAAGGATGTTTGTGAATGTCTTCACTTGTACTCTAATTCAGACTTGCCAAAGTACTTGCTATTTACTATTATGGGTAATAATCCTCTCTCACCTAGTTCTTTTAGAGCTACTAAAATAGAAATTTACTTTTATGTATAGAAGTGCAGAATTTGGGAAAGAAACTAAATTTTCACCAAATTCAAGGAAAAATGGTCAGTATCTAAAAATGTTCTTCTATGTCTGCTTCATCTTTCCTTCATACTCTGAAATTCTCTTACAGAAGACAGAGCTAGAGAAATATTAAAAATTTACTCTATTTATTTTCTGGAACTAAATCAAGGCTTGGCTATAACATTATGAGAGTAATGGGAACTACTGCTGCCTTTAAATAAATAAAAGTCATTGTTTTCAACAGTGTATAAAAATCACAGTGAGGACTGGGACCAGTGGTTCACGCCTGTAATCCCAGCACTTTGGGAGGCCGAGGCGGGCAAATCACGAGGTCAGGAGTTCAATACCAGTCTGGTCAATTTGGCGAAACCCCGTCTCTACTAAAAATACAAAAATTAGCTGGGCATGGTGGCGTGTGCCTGTAGTCACAGCTACTCAGGAAGCTGAGGCAGGAGAATCACTTGAACCCAGGAGGCAGAGGTTGCAGTGAGCCAAGATTGCGCCACTGACTCTAGCCTGGGCAACAGAGTGAGAGTCCATTTCAGAAAAAAAAAAAAAAAAAAAAGCAAAACCAACCAACAAACAAAAAATAGTGTAATCTTTTTTAATTAAATAAATTTTTTTAAAAAAGATCATTTTTATACCCTCTTGGTACATATGTGGTGTTATCAATCTCGATATCTGAGCCAAATTTGAGAGTGTAGGCATCTATTCTGTCTCTGGGGAGTGGCCACAATAGTTGTTTAAGCCTTCTGTTTTGTGGGGATCTTCCTACTTGTTCCATCTAGTATTGAAAATGAGTATTGAAGTCACTAACAATTTTTTTTTCAATTGTTTCTTCCTCCTTCAATTCTGTCAGGTTTTGCTGACAGAATTTGAGGGCTTTATTAAATGCATTTGTAGTTATTAAATCTTAAAGGTAGATTTACCCCTTTATCATTACAAAATTTTCTCATTGTTTACTAAAAACTTTTGTCTTAACTCTACTGTCTTAGGGTAGCACTGCAGCTCATTTTTGTTTACTGATTGCATATTATATCTTTTTCATCCGTTTACTTTCAACCTCTTTGTTTTTTGAATCTAAACATCTCTTGTAGGGATCATAGAATTGAAACATAACTTATTTATTCTGTGGATCTCTGCATTTTGATTGGATATGGTGGGGTTTACATCTACTTTGTTATATGTTACTATATGTATCATGTGTTTTTACCTCTTTTCCTCTATCACTATCTTTTTTTATGTTAAATAGTTATGTTCCAGCGTACCATTTTAATTGCTTTGTTTATTTACTAAAAGTTTGAGGATTTTCTTTTTGTGGTTGCTATGGGGATGAGAATTAGTATCGTAATTTTAAAAGGTCTAGTTCAGAATAATGGTAAATTTTCATAGTATGCAAAAACATACTCCAATATATCTGTTTTCTCCTTTTTTTTTTTACTATTAATGCTGTACAAATTACATGTTTATACATTATAATCTTTTAACTGTGTTTTATAATGATTGTTTTGTGCAGCTGTCATCTAAAACAGAGTAAGGCAAGGAATACAAACAAAAGCACATTTACGCTGGCTTTTATATTTATCTTTGTAGTTTTCTTTTCCTTTTCCTTTTTTTTGAGACAAGGTCTTGCTCTGTTGCCCAGGCTGGAATGCAGTGGTGTAATCTTGGCTCACTGCCACCTCCGCATCCTGGGCTCAAACAATCCTCTGGTCTCACCACCTCCAAGTAGCTAGGACTACAGGCACGTGCCACCATGCCTGGCTAATTTTTTTTTTTTTTTTTTTTGTATTTTTTTGAATAGATGAGGCTTTTCCATGATGCCCAGGCTGGTCTCCTCAAACACCTGGGCTCAAGGAAACCTCCTTCCTCAGCCTCCAAAGTGCTGTGACTACAGGTGAGCCACTGAATCTAGCCTTCTTTGTAGTTATTTTTTGTTGCACTTTACTCCTTGATGTGAATTTGAGTTTCATAAAGCGTTTTATTCATTTCAGCCTAAATAACTTACTTTAATATATCATGTAGGGCAAGTCTATAAGCAAGAAATTCTCTTCTCTCTCTCTCTTCATTTCATTGGGCATGTCTTAACTTCTTTTTTATTTTTGCATGAGATTTTAGCTATATATAGAATTATCAGCTTACAGTCTGAGACATTTTGAACATGTCATTCCACTGTCTTCTAATATCCAGGGTTTCTGATGAGAAGTCAGTTATTACTTTTACCAAGGATCTCTGCAATAGGTTAAGTTAACCCTTCTTGCTGCTTTCAAGGATTTGTATTTTTCATTTATTATCATCGATTAACTTGTTAGACTTATTCTACCTGGAATCTTAGGTAAATTTATTCTATCTGAGCTTCTTGAATTTGAAGATTAGTGTCTTTTATACAACTTGGGAGTGTTTTGGAAAATACTTCTTTAAAAATTTTTCTAGTCTTTTCTCTGGTATTGCATTATGTGGATGTTGATACAATTTGTACGGGCCCACATGTCTCTGAGGATCTGTTCATATTTTTTTCTGCTTCTCAGACTGAATAGTCCCTATTGACCTATCTTCAATGTTGTTCATGAATTCATCTGCCAGCTCAAATCTGTTGTTGAAATTTTGATAAATTTCCATTTCAGTTATACTTTTAATTACTAGAATTTCTGTTTGATACTTTCTTATAATTTTATCTCTTTACTAATATTCTCTATTTCATGAGGCAGCATTCTTATTTTATTTTTAGATATAATTTATTTTGTTCTATTAATATATATTGATAGATCATTTAAAATCTCTATGAAGCCTAAAATCTAGGCTTTCTCAGGGTCATTTAATAGCTACTTTCCACTACCCTGTGTTTCAGGCATATTTTCCTGTGTCTTTGCACATCTCATATTTATTTCTAAAAACTGAACAGTTTTGGTAACATATTGTAGTAAATCTGATACACACATCTACCTAATCAAAGTGTATTCTTGTTCTTTTAAAATTTGTTGTTATTCTTTTTTTGGTTAATATTATTTAAAATTTATAAGCAAAGTTGAATTTTATCAAAAGCTTTCCCTGAATCTCTACTGAGATAATTATACAGTTTTTCTCCTTCATTCTATTGATGTGATGGATGACATGACATTTATTGATTTGCATATGTTGAACCATCCTTGCATTCCTGGGATAAAACTCACTTGATCATGGTGTGTTATATTTTTGATGTGTTGTTGAATTCGGTTTGATAGTATTTTGTTGAGAATTTTTGCATCTCTTCTATGTTCTGTGGAGATATTGGTCTGGGGTGTGTGTGTGTGTGTGTGTATGTGTGCGTGTGTCTGGTTTTGGTATCAGAGTTATGCTAGTGTTATAAAAAGAGTTAGGAAGAATTTACTCTGCTTCACTTTTTCATAATAGTTTGAGAAGAGTTGGCATAACTTTTTTTTTTTAAGATCCAGTAAAATTCAGCAGTAAAGCCATACAATCTGGGACTTTTCTTTGTTGGGAGGCTTATTACTGATTCCATCTTGTTAATTGTTATTGACCTGTTTAGGATTTCTATTTCTTCTTGGTTCAACATTGGTAGGTTGTATTTGTACAGGAATTTATCCATTTCCTGTAGATTTTCTAGTTTGTTAGTGTATGGTTGTTCATAGCAGTCTCTATTAATACCTTGTATTTTGGTGCTAATAATTGTGATGTCTCCTTTTTGTTTCTAATTTTATTTATTTGTGTCTTTTTAAGTCTATCTAATAGTTTATTGATTTTATTTATCATTGCACAAAACCAATTTTTTGTTCTTCTTTTGCATTTTTTTCTTAACTTTTTGTTTTGATTTCTGCTCTAATCTTTATTGTTTCTTTTCTTTTACTAATTTTGGGTTTTTTCTTACTTTTTAAAAGAGATATTATTAGGTAATTTATTTGAAATCTTACTAGTTTTTTGATGTAGTCATTTATCACTCTAAACTTTCCTCTTAGTGTTGTTTTTCTTCTGAGTCCCAAAGGTTTTGATGCATTGTGTTTCTAGTTTCATTTGTTTCAATAAAATTTAAAGAAATTTTATTTTTAATTATTCCCTTCACTTATTTATCATTCAGAAGCATGTTGTTTAATTTCTATGTATTTATATAGTTTCAAATATTTCTCATTTTTTTGGTGTATGGTTTTATTCCATTGTTGTCTGAGAAGACACTAGATGTGATTTCAATTTTTTTTAAATGTTGTGGAGACTTGTTTTGTGTCCTGACGTATGTCTTAACCTTGAGAATGCTCCAAGCGCTGATAAAAATACATGTGTTATTTTGCAGCTGAGTGAAAAGTTCTGTAAGTATCTTAGGTCTATTTTCCCAATGGTACAATTTAAAATCAATGTTTCTTTGTTGATTTCCTGCCTAGATAATGTGTTCAATGCTGAGAGTAGGGTGTTAAGGACCCCAGCTATTATTGTATTGAGGTCTACTTCTCCCTTCAGTTTTAATAATATTTGCCTTACATGTCTGGGTCGTCCAATGTTAGGTGCATATATACTTGCTAAATATAATAATTGCTAAATTGATTCTTGTATTATTATATAATTTTCTTCTGTGTCTCCTTTTACAGCTTTTATCTTCAAATCTACTTTGATAGAACTATGGCTGCTCCTGCTCACTTTCCATTTTCATGGAGTATGTTTTTCCATCCCTTCTCTTTCAGTATATATGAGTCTTCTGAGGTGAGATAATTTGTTATAGGCAGCATAGGTTAGGTCTTGTTTTGTTTTAATCTGTTCAGCTATTCTATATATTTTAACTGGGGAATTTAATCCATTTGCATTTATATTTAAGGTTATTATGGATAGGTGGAGACTTACTTTTGTCAATTTATTGTTTTCTGGTTGTTTTGCATATACTTTGATTCTTACTTCTTGTACTGTTTTTTTTTGACTTCTGCATTTGGGTGATTTTCTGTAACTATATGTTTTATTCATTTCTCTCTCTTCTTTGTGTATCAGCTCCACCAACTTGTTTTATAGTTTTACATACTTTAATAATGATAGTTATTATCTTTATACTTCCAAACATGACTTCCTTTAGCATTTCTTGTAAGGCTGGTGTAGTGATGATGAATTTCTTTCATTTTTACTTGTGTATGAAATATGTTGTTTCTGTTTCATTTCAGAAGGATAGTTTTGCTGGATATAACATTCTTGAGTGACAGGTTGTCGTTTTCTTCTTTCAGTACTTTAAATATATCATCCCATTATTTCCTGGCCTGTGAGGTCTCTACTGAGAAATCCACTGTTATCTTAAAAGAGATACCCGTATGTCTGACCTGATGCTTTTCTCATGTTGCTTTTAAATGTTTTGTTTGCCTTTCATTTTTGACAATTTGACTATATGATGCCTCAGAAGCGATCTGCTTGGCTTGAATCTATTTGAGATTTTTTTGAGCTTCCTGGATGTCTATCTTCCTGAATGCTCATTTTTCTCCCAGGACTTGGGAAGTTTTTTGCTTTTATTTCATTAAATATGTTTTCCTCACCTTTTCATCTCTCTTCTGAAATTTCCATAATATGCATATTTATTTGCTTAATGGTATCACATAAATCCTTGATATGGTTTGGCTCTGTATCTCCACCTAAATCTCATCTTGAATTGTAATCTCCATGTGTCAAGGGAGCAACCTGATGAGAGGTGATTGGATCATGGGGCAGTTTCTCCATTCTGTTCTCATGATCGTGCAGTAGTTCTCACAAGATCTAGTTGTTTGATGAATGCCTGGTGCTTCCTCCTTCTCCCTCTGTCTTTCCTGTCACCAAGTAAGATGTACTTTGCTTCCCCTTTATCTTCCACCATGATTGTAAGTTTCCTGAGGCTACCACAGCCATGTGTAACTGTGAGTCAATTAAACTACTTTCTTTTGTAAATTACCCAGACTCAAGGATTCTTTACAGAAGTATGAAAACTGACTAATACAATCCTGTAGGCGTTCTTTATTTTTTTCATTATTTTTTCTATTTTGTCTGCCTGTGTTTTTGGAAAAGACTATTTTCATGTTCAGACATTCTTTCTTCTGCTTGGTTTAGTCTGTAGTTGGAGTTCTCAATTGTAATTTTTATTTAATTCATTGAATTCTTTAACTTTAAGATTTCTATTTGGTTCTTTTTGTATCCACCTCTTTGTCAAATTTCTCACTCAAATTATGAATTGCATTTTTAATTTCATTGAGTTGTCTACCTGCCTTTGCTTATATGTCCTTAAGATTATTATTTTGAATTATTTTTCTGACATTTCATATGTTTCCTTATGATTGGGTTTGGCTACTGGAGAATTATTATTTACCTTTAGAGGTGACACATTTCCTTGCTTTTTCATGATTGATGTGTTCCTAGATTGACTTCTATACATCAGGTGGAAAGTTGCTGAATGCTTCCAATTTTATGGAGTAGGTATCATATAAAAAGATGTATTTGTATGAATGGGTCTTGGGGTGTTGCTTTTGTGGGGTGTGTTGGTCTTGGTTCTAGGTAGAGGCAGTAGTGTAGTCTCCAAGTAGTTTCTTCAGCTATAGTCTACATTAGTGGCATAGGCTAAGAGAACCTGTGGCAATGGTGGTGTGGCCTTTCCAGGAGTTGGCTTACTGGGCTGTTTCTCAGGTCAGGGGTGTAAGGGGATCATCTGACTTACGATCTGGCTCACTGGGGTTGGGGCAATGGAGCTGCTATTCTGGCTGGAAGCACAGGCACACATTTGAATGACCTAGGGATGTACCTGCCAGGATTTCTTGGCTTGCCTGAGGGTGTGTCAGCTAGGAACAACTCATAAGGCTGTTTCTCAGGCTTAAGACGTAGCTGCATAGTTACTCAGCTGGTCCCAGGGCATTTCTGTAAGGAGTAGCCCATGGGGCTGTTTTTCAGGCTTGAGATATTGCTGCAAGGTTGCTCAGCTAGCCCTGAGGGTGTGTGTGCTTGGGGGCAGGCATAGGGTAGTGTGGTGGCCCACGAGGCCATTTCTTAGTTCTTTGATTTTGGAGCATGGCTGCTTGACTGGCGTGGTGACACATACACTTGGGGCAGGCACAGGGCTGTTTCTTATGCTCCCAATACAGCTTCATGGCTGCTTGGCTGGTCTGGAAGCATTCTATGGGGCTGGCCCACAGGACTGTTTTGTTGGCCCAGGACATGGGCACAGGGCTGCTTGGTTGGCCTGGAGGCATGCCCGCTAGATGTGGCCCACAGTGCTGTTTCTCAGATCTTTGAGGTAAGTGCAAGGTTGTTTGGCCGGTTCAAGGGTGTGCCTGCTGGGGGCAGCCTGTAGGACTGTTTTAAAGGCCTGGTGTGCAGATTCACAGCTGATTGGCTGGCCTGGAACATGCCCTCCAGGGTTGTCCTATGAAATTGTTTCTCAGACCCTTATAGGTGTATAGGGATATTAGACAGGCTGAGGGCATGTCTGTGGGGCACAGTGGTGCTTGGGGCTGTTTCTTACATCCTAAGCATGGATGCATAGCCACTCTGCTGGTGGAGGGGCATATTTGCTACTCAGAGGCTCTTGGGCCTCTTGGGTTAGAGTGTGCAGCAGTTCATTTGGCTCAAGGGCGGGTTCACCTTGGGCAAGAAAGGGAGACTGCTTCTGTGGCTGGTATCCCTGCTGTACAGGACCAGAGTCACAACCAATCTTGGGCTCAAGCTCCATATAGCTGGGGTTATAGTGTTCAGGCACCCATATGGGCTTGGGGTAATGAAGATGGAGCCCCAGTGCTGGAGAAGTGTGGTCGCTACTGGCCCTTAGGGCAGGGCACACTCCAGAGGTGGCTTTGATATAAAGATGGTGCTGTGCTACTTCAGCTTGGCTCATAGTGGGAAGGTTGGGGTCAGGAGTATACACTTTATGCCCCTATTCTGGGACAATCTCGTTGTGTGAATTTCCCCAGCTCTTCATATTTGGTTCAGGGTTTGTGCAGAATGTAGGATTGTCCTGTTGTAAGAACTGTAAGTGTTTTCCTTGGCAATGGGGACCGGTGGGGATCTTCTGCTTATCTTTTCCCCACAAGAAGTTCCTCCTGATTCCATGCAAACACAATTTAAGTGAGGTAGATGAGGCTGCAGAGGCCAGGTGCTTCCATGATTCCCTTCTGAAATTCCAGTCACCACAGGTGCATCTCCACTCCTATGCTGCACTCCAGGGCTCTCCATTTGACATGCCAGAGAAATCTGACTGTTTATTTGTTGCCGTCTTCCTTTCCTGTGGGAGTGGGGAAAATGCCAGAAGTACCTAGACAGCCATTTTGCTGATATCACTTTTTGTTGTTCTTATTTTTCTTATTCTTGGTGATTTGTTTATAAACTTTCCTGGGCTAATTATCTAGATTATTCACTCTCATCCCTTGTGTCCATTGAGTTACATGCTAACTTTTCATTTTTTAGTTTTTGGGGGATTATTTTTAAGTCCCAGCTCTGTAGGGTATCACACCTCAGTATAAATTGCTGGCCAGCCAGTGATTGGTCAGAATATTTTCTTAAAATTATGCCTATTTGTTCTTCACTTTTTGTCAAAGGAATCAGCGTGAGAAGCCAAGTGCTCAAACTTCAGGAAGTTCACAAGACAGCCTTGGCTTTAACTTTGCACAGGGCTTCAAGGTCAACAAGTGATGACTAAATGGGGCCTTCTTTTTCAGGTTTTTTCTGGAAATGTGAACATCTTATTAGATCCCCAGGGACATGTCAGAGATTTTTTTCAAAGTCCCTTATGGTTGTCTAATTCTCCAGACTCTTGTCTACCTCAATTGAAATCATAATCTTAAGTGGTTTCGATATAGCCAGCATATTGTTAAGTTTTATTAATGCTCTGGAGAAGGGCCCTTTCTTTTGATCTGACCCTGAGTCAAAGCAAATACCCATACATTATTGGAGTGGAGACTTTTCATGGACCTGCAAATTTGGACAAAATAATAATGATGTTCTGAGAAGTGCGCTTTCAACACAGCTCCAAACTTATTCTTTCTGCTGTTTACTTCAAGGCTGCTGCCTTTTGGCCACCATACCACTGAGAAGGAGAGAAAGAGAAGGTAAAAGAATATTCCCAAGTCAAAGCATTTCAGACTCCACTGTCTCACTGAGGGTTTATAATTTCTTTTGGATAGATGATTTTCACTATGTCGTGTAGTTTTGATCAATTTTCAGAATTCTGAACTGTTGGATGTTAGTGGTTTTGCTCATAATTTTACAGAAGAGTGAGTTTATTTAGTTCTTAATTATCCAGTCCAGAAACAAAATTATTCCATCAAGGGAGTTCATTTTTATTGTGAAATTTTATTTTCACTTGATAAAGATCTTGTCAGTCAACCTATAAGTAAATTAAAATTAATAGTATCTTATTGCTATTGAAATGGCTTTTTCTTATTTCTAAAATTAGTACTGTTACAGAGGGAAAATAAATCAAATTTTAAAATTTAAGTTTAAGAAATTGAAAATAGAAAATAAAATTATAATTTCAAAGGAACTAAATTATTACTTGGCCTCCATCATTGCAAAATTTTAAAATTTTTGGTTTATTTGAGAAACACCATGCGTTATTTAAGTGTTAAATATTAGTTGAGCTAAGCTATGTGTTTTCATATTTTCCATAGCCTATATTATATAAAATAATAAATTATGACTTACTAGATATATGGGAAATTATTTTCAAAAAAAAATTAAATGAAAAAAATTTATTGCTCTTTCTGTCATGTTTTTAAATAAAAGCAAGCATACCTTAGTAGTTTTTTTATGATATTTTGGCTACTAAGTTCTCATAAATCTTTTAAATGTGATCCAAAGAGAATTGGGTTTAAAATGTTTCACTAGATGATGGGATTTTACATTGATATTTAATTTTTCTTTTTTCAAACTAAAATACATGTCTCTCAGTCAAAACTACATTTTAAAATTATAAGCATTAGTGAAGTTAAGCTGTTTGTCTCATTACTTATTGAACATTTTGAGTTTTTGCTTTACAATATCTTGGAAAGCATGGCTGCCAACAATTCTATTTTAATTTTGACCTTTGTTACTAGCCAAAAGAATCATGAGTAAATTACTTTACTTCTGGATACATCAGTTTCCTCATCTATAAACTGGAATTAATACTACTACTTACCTCAAGGCCTGGTGCAAAGTATAAATATTACGTAAGTTAGCGTGTTTGGATTTATAGAACATTCAATGATAATGTATATACCATGCCTAGCACATAATCAATGCACAATAAAGAGTAACATGCTTTTCTGAATTGAGAATGGATCTTTTGCTCTCTACATTGCAACTATTTTTTTTTAGCATAAAATAGGGCGACCTTGAGTTTCTGTCCTTGGAGTCATATTAATTAAATTTTGTAAAATCTTATCTCTATCCCAGATATTGACTTGATGTGAGTGGCACTATGCAGTATTATATTTTAATTAAAACCACACTAATATTTACAGGTGTTTTATAGTAAACTAACTCCTTTGTTGATCTTCTCAAGGCATACTGCTTCCATAATGGAATGTTGAGTGGTGTCCTTTATATTTTCTAGATTTTCCAGTCATTGTTCACTGGGTTCAAGCAGATCATTGCCTACTCACTTTATTTATATAGTAAGGACACAGATAACAATTGAGCCACTGAAGCAATGGAGCTGTGTACACATTATAAATACAGACTTATCACAGAATGCTGACTTGGTAGGACAAATTCATTGTATTAAGTTATTTATAATTGGTCTTTTTTTTAAAATGCTTTGGATGTCTTCAGGAGAAAGCGATTATTCCTAAAGTAACTGAAAATCTCTAAGGGCCAAAAAATATGAAAGGGTTATTTTGAGAGCATCAGTGTATATAATTCAAATATTATTTTCTTTTTATTGGATTTATTTTATTTGATATTTGTGGTATACAGCATGATGTTTTGATATAAATTTTTGATAAATATACATAGTAAAATAATTATAGTCAAAACGTTTACATGTCAATCACCTTTCATAGTTACCTTTTGTGTGTATGTGTGTTACGAACACCTAGAACTAACCCTTTTAGCAAATTTTCAGTATATAATGCACATTATCAACTATACTTCTCATGTTGTACATCAAACCTCTATATTTATTTATTCTCCCTGATGGCAAATTTATGCCCTTTGACCTATTTCTGTCCATTTCCTCTCCCTCTCTGACCCTAGTAAACACTGCTCTATTTTCTGTTTTTATGTGTTCCACTTTTTAAAAATTTCACATATAGGCAACATCATATAGTACTTTTCTTTGTTTCTGGCTTATCTCACCTAGCATGATATTCTCCCGGTTCATCCATGTTGCTGCAAATAGCAGTATTTCCTTCTTTAAACCTGAATAGTAACAGTCCATTTTATATATATAGGACTATTATACATATATATAAATTTCTTTTTTTTTGAGATGGAGTCTTATCCTGTCACCAGGCTAGAGTGCAGTGGTGCGATCTCGGCTTACTGCAACCCCCGCCTCCTGGGTTCCAGCAATTCTCCTGCCTCAGCCTCCCAAGTAGCTGGGAATACAGGCACGCACCACCATGCCCAGCTAATTTTGTATTTTTAGTAGAGATGGGGTTTCACCATGTTGGCAAGGATAGTCTCGATCTCTTGACCTTGTGATCTGCCCACCTCAGCCTCCCAAAGTGCTGGGATTACAGGCGTGAGCCACCCCACCTGGTCACATATATGTAAATCTATTTATCCATTCATTTGTCAATAAATACTTAGGTTGTTTCAATATCTTGACTATAACAATTCAATGAACATGTAAGGGCAAATATCTCTATGAGGTGCTGCTTCCATTTCCTTGGGTATATGCTTAACCAAGGGATTTCAGGGTCATATTAAAGTTCTATTTTTAATTCTTTTCAGGAACCTCCATACTGTTTTTCATAATGGCTATACTTATTTATATTCCTGCTGACAGTATACAAGAGTTCCATTTTCTCCACATCCCTATCAATACTTGTCATCTTTCAACATTCAGTTACTAGTCATTTAATAGTTTTGATGTGATATCTTATTGTAGATTTAATTTGCATTTCTCTAAGGATTAGTGATGTTGAGCACCTTCTTATATAACTGTTGGCCATTTTTATGTCTTCTTTGGAAAAATGTCTATTCAGTATCTTTGCAGTTTTAATTAAGCTATTTGTTATTGCTTTTGCTTTCTATTGGTTAAAGTTCCTTACATAGTTTGGATCTTAAGCCTTTATCAGATATACGGATTATAAATATTTTCTCCCAAACAATAGGCTGCCTTTTTCTTGTAATTCTTATTTCTTTTGTTGTGCAGTTGCTTTTCAGTTCGATAGTTCCACTTCTTTATTTTTCTTTTGTTGCCTGAGCTTCTGATATTAAGAAAAAACTGTTGCCAAGGCCAATATCAAGGAGATATACACCTATGTTTCCTTCTACAGTTTTCTAGTTTTAGGTTTTACATCTAGGTTTTAATTTATTTTGAGATGATTTTGTGTATTGGATAAGATAAGAATCTAGTTTCTTTCTTTTGCATATAGATATCCAGTTTTCCCAACATCATTTATTGAAGAGACTATCCTTTTTCCACTGTGCCTCCTTAGTGGGTGTATTGGTCTATTTTCACACTGCTATGAAGAACTTCCCTGAAACTTGGTAATTTATAAAGAAAAGAGGTTTAATTGATTCACAGTACCACAGGGCAAAGGAGGCCTCAGGAAACTTACAATCATGGCATAAGGGGAAGCAGGTACCTTCTTCAGAAGGCAGAAGGAGAAAGAAGAGAAGGCTAAGGGGGAAGAGTCCCTTTTAAAACCATCAGCTATCATGAGAAGTCACTCACTATCATGATAACATCATGGGGGAAATAGCCCCTATGATCCAATCATCTCCCTCCCTCTACAAGGGGGGATTACAGGTCCCTCCCTGGACACATGGGGATTATAAATTGAGATGTGATTTGGGTGCACAGAGTCAAACTGTATCAATCTGCCCCAACTCCTCACAAACCTCATGGCTTTTACATTTCAGAACCAATCATGCCTTCTCAAGGCTCCCCCAGAGTCTTAACTCATTCCGGCATTAACTCAAAAGTCCATAGTCGAAAGTCTTATCTGAGACAAGGAAAGTCCCTTCTGTCTATGAGCCTGTAAAATCAAAAGCATGTTAGTTATTTCCCAGATACAATAGTAGTACAGGCATTGGCTAAATGTTCCTCTTCCTAATGGGAGAAATTGGCCAAAAAAGGGGGCTATAGTCCTCATGGAAGTCTTAAATCCAGCAGGGCAGTCATTAAATCTTAAAGTTCCAAAATGATCTCCTTCAACTCCATGTCTCATATTCAGGGCATGCTGAGGCAAGGGGTAGGGTCCCATGGCCTTGGGTAGCTCATTCATATGCTGACATTAAGTGGCTGTGGCTTTTCCAGGTGCACAGAGCAAGCCATCAGTGGATCTACCATTCTGGGATCTGGAGGACAGTAACTCTCTTCTCTCAGCACCACTAGGCAGTGCCCCAGTGAGGACCCTGTGTAGGGGTTTCAACCTCATTTCCCCTTTGCACTGCCCTAGCAGAGGCTCTCTATGAGGGCTCTACCCATGCAGCATACTTCTGCCTGGATGTCCAAGCATTTTCATACATGTTCTGAAATCTAGGTTGAGGTTCCTAAACCTCAGTCCTTAACTTCTGTGCACCTGCAGGCCCTGCACCACATTGAAGCCACAGAGGCTTAGGGTTTGCACCCTCTGAAACAATGGTCTGAGCTGTACCTTGGCTCCTTTTAGCCATAGCCAGAGCTGGAGCATCTGGGATGCAGGGCACACTACAGCAGGGCCCTGGGCCAGGCTCTGGAAACCATTTTTTCCTCCTAGGCCACCTGGCCTGTGGTGGGAGGGGCTGCCGCCAACATCTCTGACATGTTCTGAAGATATTTTCACCATTGTCTTGGTGATTAACATTCCACTCTTCATTAGTTATGCAAATTTCTGCAGCTGGCTTGAATTTCTGTCTAGAAAATGGGGTTTTCTTTTCTATCACATTGTCAGGTGGCAAATTTTCCAAATTTTTATGCTCTGCTTCCCTTTTAAACATAACTTCCAATTTCAGATCATCTCTGTCAAGTTAAAAGTTTCACAGATCTCTAAGGGAAGGGAAAAAATGCCACTAGTCTCTTTGCTAAGAATAGTAAGAGTGACCTTTGCTCCAGTTCCCAAGAAGTTTTTCATCTCCATTTGAGATCACCTCAGTCTGGACTTTATTGTCCACATTACTATCAGCATGTTGATCAAAACCATTCCACAAGTCTCCAGAAATTTCCAAACTTTCCCACACCTTCCTGTCTTCTTCTGAGCCCTCCAAACTAGTCCAACTTCTGCCAGTTCCAAAGTCACTTCCACATTTTCAGGTTATCTTTATAGTAGTACCCCACTCTCTGTGGTACTAATTTACTGTATTAGTCAGTTTTCACACTGCTGTGAAGAACTTCACTGAGACTGGGTAATTTATAAAGAGAAGAATTTAATTGACTCACAGTTCTTCATGGCTGGGAAGCCCTCAGCAAACTTACAATCATGGCAGAAGTGGAAGCAGACACCTTCTTCAAAAGGTGGCAGGAGAGAGAGGAGAAAACAAAGGGGGAAGAGCCCCTTATAAAACCAACAGGTCTCCTGAGAACTCACTCACTATTGTAAGAATTGCATGGGGAAAACTTCCCCCATAATCAAATCACATTCCTCTCCTGACACGTGAGGATTACAGGTCCCTCCCTCAACACTTAGGGATTACAAATCAAGATGAGATTTGGGTGGGGACACAGAGCCATATCAAATCAGTGGGTTTGCTGAAAATTAGTTGACCCTCTGTATATGCTAGGTTTACTTCTGGATTCTCTATTTTATTACAATGGTTTATGTGTCTATTTTTATGCTAGTATCATATTGTTTTCATTACTGTACCTTTGTAATATAATTTGAAATCAAAAAGTATGATGCCTCCAACTTTATGTTTGTTTTTCTTTCTCAAGATTGTTTTGGTATTTGATGTCTTTTGTGTTTCAAACGTATTTTAGAATTGTTTTTTCTATTTTTGTGAAAAATGTCATTAGAATTTTGATAGGGATTGCATTGAATCTGCATATTGCTTTGGCCAGTATGGATTTTTTTTTTTTTTTTTTGAGGCAGAGTCTCGCTCTGTCACCCAAGCTGGGGTGCAGTGGCACTATCTCAGCTCACTGCAAACTCCATCTCCTGGGTTCACGCTATTCTCCTGCCTTAGCCTCCTGAGTAGCTGGGACTACAGGTGCCCACCACCACACCTGGCTAATTTTGTTTTTGTATTTTTAGTAGAGAAGGGGTTTCACCATGTTAGCCAGGATGGTCTCAATCTCCTGACCTTGTGATCCACCCACCTCAGCCTCCCAAAGTGCTGGGACTACAGGCATGAGCCACCATGCCCGGCAGCTAGCATGGATTTTTTTAAACAATATTATTTTTTCCAGTCCATAAACATGGAATATCTTTTTGTGTGTGACTTCTTGAATTTCTTTCATGGATGCTTTGTGGTTTTCAATGTGCAGATCTTTCCCTTCCTCTTTTAGATTTATTCCTAAGTGTTTTATTCTTTTGATGCTGTCATAACTTGAATTGTTTTCTTTTTTTTTTTTTTTAGCTAGATCATTGTTGGAATAACAAATTGCAATTTGTTTTTGTGTGTTGATTTTCTATACCGACACTTTACTGAATTCATTTATTTGTTCTATCAGGTTTTTTTTTTCTGAAGTCTTTAGAGTTTTCTGAAAAAGTATAATGTCATCTGGAAACAAGTATTATTTTACTTCTTTGTTTCCAATTTGAATGCTTTTTATTTCTTTTTCTTGTTTGATTACTCTGGCTAGTTCTTCCAGTACTATGATGAGTGGATATGGTGATAGTGGGCATCCCTGCCTCATACCAGGTATTAGAGGAAAAGCTTTCACTTTTTCCCCATTGATTGTGATGATAGCTGTGAGCTTTTCATAAATGACCTTTTAAATATTCTTACTTTCCTTTAGAAATCTGTAGAGCCCTAATAACAATAATTTCAAAAGTGGAAGGAGAGTTTCGTTCCTGTATTACTAAATGCCCATGTGAGGAGATGGAAACAGAGAATTTAGGATGCAGAAATCTGGGAAATTTTGGATATAAGAATATATGTAGCCTTTTTTATGCAGAGTATATTTATATGGTCAATATAAGGTCTTGAAGACTATTTGGGTCTTCAATATTATAACCTACTTAAGATTAAGCGAAATGTCAGAGAACCAACTTGAGCGATGCATCCATTATTGGAAATAGGAAAAATAAATAGCACAGAAGAGCATGCTTGCAGGGAATTGTGAGTATTAAAGTAAGTAAAACTAGAAGACAGAGGGGAGCAGATGAAAGAGATGGCACCTCCCATGACTTCCTGAATTAGCCAGGAAGGATTTCATAGGAAGTTATGTTCTCCTAACTCCATGTGTAGTACCAACACAATCTTATTTCTTATTGTTTGCTGTGTCTCTACTGAGACTGCAGATTGGAGTGCCCCATTTAATGTAAACTACTTTTTAAAATCATGTATTCTCTCATTTTCAGGCAGTTTCTCTTTCTACTTTTATTCTTAAATACTACCAAAGCATTCTTTCTAAATAATTACACATTAAAATAAGACAAAATTTGGGGATGTTAAAAAAATGAGAGATCCTTCTCTTATGGGCATATAAACCAAGAGCATTTTGGTCATTAAGTAACCAGACATATTTTTAAACTTAGCTAAGAACTCTTTCTTTCCTCAGGAAAAAAAAAAAGGATTTGAAATCGAGGGCATAAAGAGTACCTACTGAATTTGGTCATTCTTTCTTCTCTAAACCTTACCTTGTGAGTCAGAACAATTAACCAAATGAATGGTTACAAAGCTTTGCGTTCCTGACTGACTGTAATGAGTCAAACTGCATCACAGTGGGATTAACCAGATGCTTAGAGAGTAGAATACAATGTCCAATACTTTGAGCTCATTCATCAAAGGCATTTACTCAAAGGCTGTAAAGCAACTGTTTTCTAAGAAAAACTCCTTAAAATATGCTGCTGCTCTCTCTTTCACGGTGAGAGATAAATTGTTGCCTAAGTCAGATGAATTTCAAAATGCAATTTCTTGCTGAAATATCCATTGTCTAGTATCAGAATGACAAGCTTTTATGAATGGTCACATTTAGAACATTATTTAATGCATGCTTTCTATTTTTTCATTAGTGCCTAAGAAGTACATTATCTTGGGTTTCAGAGCAGATGCACAAAGTGACTTCAGTGGAGTGATGAATAGCATTTCTCTACATAATACATTCAAAAGAATTTTGCATCTTATACATTTATTAAAAGGAAGAATAGTTTTTTTATATGAGTGGAAATATGTGCTGTAGTAGACAAGGATATCCAAAGAAAAATAGCACATACATAAAGAGAAAGAGAGAGAGAGACACATAGAGAGAGAGAGAGAGAGAGAGAGAGAGAGAGAGAAGAGAGGCTGATTTTAAGGAATGGGCTCGCATAACTGTAGAGGCTGGCAAGTCCAAGAAAGGTAAGCCAGCAAGCTGGAAACTCAAGAAGAGTTATAGTGTTAACTCCAGAGGCACTCTGCTGGCAGAATTCCTTCTTTTTCTGGAGAAGTCATTCTTTTTCTATGAAAACTTTCAAATAATCGAACAAGACTTGTCCACATTATGAATGATTAAGCTGTATTACTTGAAGTCTATTGATTTAAATGTTATCAATCTATTAAATATTTTCACAGCAACATCCAGATGTGTATGATCAAATATCTAAGACAGCCTAGTCAAGTTGACACACAAAATTAACTATCACAGTGACCTTTTATGTAACATAAAGACTCCTGGTCTATTGCTAAGCTCACTCAATGAATAGCCACAAACACCCTGATCATAGTTATTAAGAAGTTATTTCTTTACTAGAATGCAGAAATTTCATTTCTGCTATTTCTTTGATAAATGTAATTCTTGAGGGTCAATGTGATTCAACCATATTTTTAGTCTAGTTTTGTGGCCAGTGGATGAAAACTAGATTTTCAGCCAATTATCACTTCATCAGATTTAATCATGTGTTGCTCATATGCAAAAGTCAAAATACTATAATTATGGTATTAAAGAAAACCACATTGACTTTGGTAGCTTATTTCAGCATTATGAAATATTTTAATATACATATTATCTTTGCCATTATCTTGTCTTTTTCTCAGTTATAGAGATATACAGCACTTATTCTCAAAGAATATTCAATTTAACTTTCAAAGAGTGTTAAGAGGAGGTAAGTGAATAGAAAAGAGTTTCTGTAGTCAATTAAGTCTGGGAAACATGGATTAAATCCTATAATATTTACTGCCTTACTCCTATAGACAATGTTAGTGTGCACTGCACATTTTTTCTAAAAATGCAACTTACAGTATACTACTTTTACCACACTGGGTTGACTACTAATCCTTACTTTTCTGTAGACTATGTTGTTGAACCAGTGTTGCAGAGATATATTTTGAAAACTTCTTTCCTGCTTTAAACATTTATTCTTCTTTTTAAAAATCGCTTTGGGTATTCTCAAGTATCCAATTACCCACATATGTTTTAAGATTATTCTTTCATTGAGAAAGACTGCTTCTGTTTTGATTGAGATTATAGGCAATTAATACAGTCAGCTCCCCCATACCCATGGGTTTTACATCCATGGATTCAACAAGGATCAAAAATATTCAGAAAAAAAAAACAAATGTTTGCATCTGTACTGAACATATACAGACTTTTTTCCCTTGTCATTATTCCTTAAACAATATAGTATCACAAATATTTTTGTGGCATTTATATTTTATTAGGTATTACAAGTAATTTAGAGGTGATTTAAATTATATAGGAGGATTTTGTGTAGGTTATATGCAAATACTACAGAATTATATATAAGGATCTTGAATATTGATAGATTTGGGTATCTGAGGGTGTTCTGGAATCAATCCCCCACAGATAGTGAGGGATGATTGTATATCAACTTGGGTGAATTGCCATCTTAACAATATTGAATTTTTTGTTCATTGAACAAAAATAGCTTGAGAGCAAGCTATTTAGGTATTTTGATTTTTCTTTCAGCAATGTATGGTAGTCTTTAAAAGAGAGGATTTGCACATTTTGGTGTTAAGAGGATTTGCACAATTTGGTGTTAATATATAGATACTGTTTTTTATTTACTTGTTACTAGTATTTAAAATTTGTTTTATTCTCCATTTGTTTGCTATCAACATATAAATACACATCTGACTGTTAGTAATAGGAACAGGAGGCAGGGAAATTCAGGGCAGAAAAGGGCAGGTCCCCAGCAAGGGTCTCACCTTCAAGCCATGAACTGAGGCCGAAAGAGAGAACATACATTCCTGTTTTCCTGCTTGAATTTTGCCTTTTTGAAAACCCCCTTGGTCTGCCTTGCTCCTTCTTCCTGTGCCCATAAAACCCCCAGGCTCTGCCCACAGAGACAGGAGAGAAAGAGAAGAGGAGAAGCAGATGGATGTGGGAGACCATGGCTTAATGTTGGAGAGAAGCAGCTCGACTTCAGAGGGATGGCTTGACGGTGTGGCTTCCCACTCCATCACCTTTCAGCTCTCCTGCCTGCTGAGAGCCACTTTCATCGGAAATGAATTTCTCCAAATTCACCACCTTTCAATTTGTTCTTGCGACCTGGTTTTTCCCACTCACCTGCATCCTCTCTCCCATGAGAGGTTGAGTACAATGGGTTCCAATAAGTGGAGTTTGCCCCTGTCAGCACCAAAGCAGCTGGCTAGCCCCAGCGCCTGCACTCCAGTTTCCACCTGAAAAGGGATCAGGGAAAATTTTCTACTCCATTTGTACTGACTTTGTACCTTGCACTTTCCTTAATTACCTCAGTTCTACTGCTAGAATACCACTTGCTACTAATTAATACTGCTAGTATTAAAATACTTTCTGTAGATCTCTTAGGATTTTTCTGTAGGCAATCAGGTTGCTCGTGATTAGAAGCAATTATTTTGCATTTTTTACACACACACAGATATATGTACATATAAATGTTATGTTCATATAAATTATACATAGTATAGCAATTATATAAATGATGCAATTCTCTCCTAGGCATTCGTGGCCTCTTTCTACTTTCCAGGACCTGCGGTGCTTGGATGGGTCTTTCTTGCCTACCTTGATGAACCCTTCTTATTTTCCTTATGAGTATATGAGGAAGGACTGTGGGAAATTGGTGATGGGTGGGTAGAAATTTCTTTTGCCTTTCAGACTTCCCTAGAATGTTAACACTCATGCTAGTCCACACATAGTCTTAAAAAGTTATAGAAAATATTCAGCTGGTTTCTCCTCGTTCCTAATAATGTCAACTTCTTCCTTTTTCACTGTTCTGCCCAGGGAAAAAAAGCAGCAGTGGGTCTCTTCTGCCCTAGAAGGGGATCATTTTCTGGATTTTAATTTGTTTAAGTTTGTTTAAATTCTTAAAGCTTTCAGAAATTTAAATACAATTAATATTGTTTTGGTTATCTACCTTGTTATGTTTGTTAGGGTAAAGAAATTATATATATTTTTTGCATTAACAGTAGAAGCATTCTTGTTTATATATGTCTATTCAGTCTATCAAAAATGTTTATAAACATGCTACTTTTGCACAGTAATTTCTTTCCTTCTTTTTAATTCCTATTGGTGATTTTCTTTATATATTTTATGTAACTATATACAATAATACAACTATATTTAGATTTTAAGATAAATTACTACTTCATTGAGAAATTGGATGAAATGCTTGACATATATTTGTTAATCTCATTAAACTGAGGCTTTAGAAAATGTACCATATTATTGATAAAAGAAAAGTATATATCAGCAAAGCATAATAGGTAATTTAGAAATAACATCACCATATGTCAAGAATATATAATAAAGTTATTAATTTAATTATTTAAGTAAATATGAAGTGTTTGATTAATATACTGGTGAAAAAATGGACAAACAAAAACCTGGAACCCTTACTGTGAAAGCCATATATAGGAGAAAAATGGGAAGTAGAGAGAAAGTACTGTAAAAATCTACTAAATGTGACATAAACATAACTTTGTATTTGTTTAAAATCCCATGTGTGATGGTTGATACTGAGTGTCAACTTGACTGGATTGAAGGATACAAAGCATTGATGCTCTGTGTGTCTGTGAGGGTGTTGCCGAAAGAGATTAACATTTGAGTCAGTGAAGGGATTCACATTTGAGTCAGTGGGCTGAGGAAGACAGGTCCACCCTTGATCTGGTGGGCACAATCTAATCAGTTGCCAGAGAATATAAAGCAGGCAGAAAAATGTGAAATGGAGAGACTGGCCTAGCCCCCGGGCCTACATCTTTTCTCCTGTGCTGGATGCTTCCTGCCCTTGAACATCAGACTCCAAGTTCTTCAGTTTTGAGACTCAGACTGTCTCTCCTTGCTCCTCAAGCTTGCATACAGACCATTGTGGGACCTTGCAATCATGTAAGTTAATACTTAATAAACTCCCCTTTATAGATATGTGTATCTATCCTATTAGTTGTGTCCATCTGGAGAACCTTGACTAATATACCATGTGTTTGTGTATGTACTAACGTTATACAACACACAGCATGATTAAGAGTTAGCTCCGGAAATAAAGGTGCAAGGACAACAGGAAGGGTGTTGCAGAAAGTAGGGGAATCAAGTTTAGACATGAGCAAAGACAGGGTTTACATATCTAAGCAGGTTAACAAAACAGAACAGACACTTCTCAAACCCACGATTCAAAACAGGATTCTGTGATCTCAAATTCCATTCTGTTTTTATGGCCCTGTACTGTTTGACTGAAATTGTTGGGTGCAAGGCTGTTAGAGAGATGTATACCTGTGAGGACAGTGATCAACTCCACCAGGAAGTTCTAGGTGTAGATCACCACCTGTAACGCTGATTTGTTACAGCTGCTTGGCTGGTGGCTCCTTTGAGAGTTTCAGCTATCTCACTCAAAATTAAATCTCCCTGACTGAAGCTTTTAAACTCAGACCTTTTCATATACCTTGCAAGATAAGGGGGGAAAAAAAGGAGGAGGGATTCAATGACTCTGAAATTTCTTCCAAATGGTAGCTCAAAAAGAATACTGTACATGCATGTGTGTGTGTACATATGGCTGTGTGATGGGAGGAGGAAACTGATAATCTTTCCACAGCTGGGAATATCAAATAACTGTTTCTTCATTGGCGAGGCAAAAGTACTCAAAAGATTCTCTATATGAGGAAGAGTATGGGTTAAAAGAGATTGAGGCAGAAAGATGGAAGGAAAGATTGAAAGAGATTATAATTCTCATCAATTCAAGTAAAGAATACTTTAGAACAGACTATTCTCAGATGAACAGAAGTGTGTCTGTAGAATTATTACTCATAAAGTAAGAACGCTGTAGGCTGGAAAAGTTAAACATTGTTTATTCTATGTAAAAGCAATTGCAGACCTATATTATATATGTTCTTATACTCCCTCTCCTCCAATATAGCATATTTTATTGCACAACAGATAACTGGTGTGTTGCTGTAAATGTACTACTAGGAGGGACATAGGTGATACAGAGACTTCATTTCTGAACCATGAGTTTATTCCCCTAAACTGTAGGCATTCCAGTGGAGGCAATGATGGCAGCATTTTCTTAATTTCATCTGTCATTTATGTTTTGTTTTGTTTGTTGTTGTTCTAACCCACTTTGAAAAGATGGTGGAAGAGATTGCAGAGGGAGCGTATAAATCATCCATCCTGACATTAGGTTCTGCTTCTCAAGACAATAGAGCATGACACGTGTGTCCTGCTTGCGTAGTTTGTGCTAATGCGTCCTGTAGATTTAAGCTACCTTTTTGCCATTGTATTTTTAAGGCAATGCCATGTCAATTTAGTCAGTACTAAAAGGCTCTTGGTAAAAAAGATAGTTAAAGTAACAAAAGTATTAGTAAGACAACATTTATGCATTCATTGTGTTGACTTAAAACAATATATTTTTTGGAATTTTAGTGCAAACAAGAAGCATTTTAATGAATAAATTTACAATTAAAATTAATATAAAAGATGTAACAGGCAATACTTGTCAAAAATAACACATTGCATTACAGGCAAATCTTCCAGCAAAACAATCAATTTTCAAGGAAAAGAAAATGATATTCAAGGCAAGGAAAACATTCATAGTCTATAATGTTGAAATGCAGTGAGTTTTTAAGGCAGCAGCAACGTAGAGGGTTGATGCCTGGGCTTTGTTCTTAAGCATGTACCAAAATTAGGCTAAACAGATGGAACTCCATCTGCAGTATGTCTATATCTGTGTAGTGATGTTCTATAATATGCTGATATATAAAAACTATAAATAGAAAGCTGTGTAAATTAGTTTGCCTTTTATACATTCTAACTAGTTGAAAATCCTAAAAATCCTAGCTAATTGGTAAAACAAAAAGAATGTCTGTTCACCTTATGGTTCATGGTCTTTTTTGATAGCAATACCAACATGTTTACCATGATTCCTGTCCTAGACTAGTCTGTGAAGTTAGGAAGAAAAAATGGGGAGGAAAACAGGGAAAGCTAGACACTTTATTAAAGTACTTGGGGTCAAAAAGTTGGAAATGTTTTCCACCTGAGGAAAAATTAATTGCAAAGATTGAGTTTATTTATAAGGTAAAATGACGCTGGCTATTGGTTTTGAAGAATGGAATGTTTCTACTACTTTATTTTATTTTTATTAAGAGGATTGAAAGGCCCATTTTCTGTCAGTACATGTATAATTCATTTTTACAAGTAATAGAAATTTCAATAAAAATACATTTTCTGTAAAAGATAGCTCAAATTTCATATAGAGATGATCATTAGTGATTTTATTTTTTTTCTAAGGAAACCAAAAGGAAAATGACTTGGTAGATTATAGAAAAACTTACAGTTTAGAAAAATTTTCTTTTATATTCTGTATACATCAATATTATTTTCATCAAATATTAAGTATCCACAGACAGGCTAGGTGACCTTGGACAATTTACTTAGTTTCTCTTTATCTCAGATTCCTCGTATGCAAAAGGGGGATTATATTTATTCAAGGGGTTATTATTAGAATTAAATAACTTAACACATGCAAATAACTTAGAGCTAACTGTCCCTGACATATGATAAGTATTCAGTAAATATCAGATATTACAATATGGAGAATACTCTTTGTGGCCCAAATATTAGCGAAAATCTTCTCCAAATGGTTCTCTAGTACAAATCTAAAAAGACATTTGTTGCCCTGTACTCTAAAAGTTGTTTACTTTATTTAACTATTTTTCTCTAATCATAAGGCACATATACCTCTGTGCCTGAAATTAGGAATTTACAGGGCAGTTTTGAGAATGTTCTTTGAATTTACCTGATTAGAGTCCTGCTATGATCTGGACTTCTGTCACTTTTCTGATTAGTGAAATAAAAACCATTTCATGATTTTTTTTCTCGGGTTTTTTGTCCATTTTTTAAAGCTCTTCTCTCCTCAGAATGTCATTCTCGCCCCATGATCTTGCTGTGTTTCCAGTCTCTCTTGAATTTAAGTTAACGTGATCTATTTCTTCTAGTTACTCTTTATGGCTTTCCCTTCCTCTTATACAAGAAAATCTTCCACTGATCAATACTTTTCACCTCAAAAGCATAATTATTTCTATTAACGATGAAAAAAATGAAGCGGAGTGGTCAAGTGTATTTGTCAGTTTAAATGTGGGCCTGACTTCGAAATTCTGTACTTTTCAATTACTTCTAAGGCTGTCAATACATAATTACAAAAAGTTCTGCTACTCCCACACATACAAACAGATGAAGGGATGGGTTAGCTGTATGCATTGTCAGGCAGCCCAACAGGCTAGTTTAGGCTTGTTATGTCCCCAAATACCTCATTCCTGGAAGCCTTTTCTAGAGAGTCCCACCCCTTTTCAGACAATGATGTTGAAACCAAGGTGAGTAAATGTTAACATTTGTGTTGTATATTTGCTTTAATGTAATGGGGTAGGTAGTTGATTTAAATGGTTCAGAAGATCAAAGTTTGGAAATAAATTAGGGATGCATATGTTCAAACAGTAGTTCAGGTTTTAATAAAAATGTGGAACCACTTTGGAAATTGTTTAAATAAGACTTCCTATTAATAAAAAAGGCCAGCCATAATTTTCCATTGGTCAAGAGTATGGAAAAGGAGAGATATTCTTTATATTAATTATTATCCTAAATCGAAAGGAAAAACTACAATTCCCCAGTTTTTGTATTCTGCAACAAGTTAACAATCATCATAAAAATTAAGAATGAATAGGGCAAAATCACATATCATAAGAACTGAACCGTTCTTACTGGAGATAATTATACACACTTCCAAAAGGAGAAAATGATACTAATAAATAGGAATTTATATAGCATCTATTTATTCTCATATTATATTGCATATCTGTTTTTTCATAGAGTTTTTCAAAAACACAAATACTTGGGCCACACCCCAAACCTACTGAGTCAGAATTTTCATCTACTATTAATTACTGTGTGCAACCACATTTCAGAAATACTGCTCTAGGCAATAAACTGCTGCTCTTCAAAAATACAAAAAAAAAGTTATTTTAATGCATTCATTATACAACAATTTGAGTAATAGGAATACAAAATAAATAAAAATAGTAAGAAGCCATTTTCACATCAAATTTATATTATTGTCATATTTTAAGAAAATAGTTTATTTTAAAATAAATGTTGGGGAGGTTTGGAGAAAGCAATGAAATCAAAGCTCACAACTTATTGCCTAGAATATTTTAAATATTTTGTTAAAAAATTATAATGATTGCAGAATGTGTGATAAGCTATATCAAAAGCTGTTTTGAAGAATTTCCATTTATTTATCTCTACCTTTCAGCATTTACTCAAAAATAATATGTAGGTTATTTTAAAATTATTTTACTTTATTTGGCAAAACATTGATTTGCTATGATTTCAAACATCATATATTTTTATAACAGTATGTGTTTACTTGGCAGTTTCAAATTTGAGCTATAGAACATTAGTTAATTTCCCAGACCCTGGCTAAAGTAAAGCTTGTCTTATGACAAGAAAAATTTACATTCCTAAAATTTCATTTATTCGGACTCTACTTTCTAATGTTTTATTTACATTTTGTAAGGAGCTTAGCTGAAGCCCAGTTCTACTTTGCTAATGTATTAATGGTATCCTCATCAAATAAATTATGAAAATAATTTTAGGAAGCATATCTCCTGTCACATAATAACTGTCTTCAATCATTATTTTCAAATCAAACTTTTATGTGAAAACCACGATCGAATTGTTATCAATGTGGGTCAAAGCTAGTTGAAAAGAAGTGGGAAAACTTTTCACAGTTTCCAAAATTATGAAACAAAAAATGATACTGATTTTTGTGTAGCGAAATATAGCCTACATATATAAATATGCATGAATCAAATATTTAGCAAAATATTTCCACAAAACAAACACTTATGTAACCACCACTTGCGACAACAAATGAAATGTTTGTCAGCATCTTAGATTCTTTAATTGGCCCATCCTAGTAATAACATTATTTCTTCCCTCTAAAGAATATCACTATTCTGAATTTTATGGTAATCACTTCCTTGTATTTCTGTATATTTCTTATTTTATGTATATATTAACTCTCTATATAAGGTTTTATAAACAATCTTGTTTAGGTTTTCTTATATGGGTATTATTCATAAGGGAAATTGCAATTCTACATTCTTTTGTTATAAGCTGCTTTCATTCAAAAAAAATTTTTTAAAACTCAAGCATATTTTTGCATGTAGTTCCAGTTCAGTAATTTTCATTGCTTAGTACTCTTTTTATGAAGATAAACAATTTTATTCCTTGTATTGTTAAAATGCATTTGGGATTATGGCTTATTCAGGTTTTGACTTATGAATAATGTTGCTAATAACACATCTTATACATGTTTTCTGGTGCACACATGGACACATTTTTCTAGGGAATATGCTTAGGAGTATAATTGTTGGATTTTAGTATATGCCTATTGTACTGAAATACAATTATAATTCTAACTATCTGGATTTAATGCAAATCCCAGGAGCTCATGGCATTATCACCATTAGGAATGTTACCACATCAGATGCCAGCAGCAAGTTTAGGGGTTCCCTAGTCTCCCCTGTTTCAATAATGAAGTTGAACCACATTTCTGACTTGCTTGCTACAAATCCAGGGGTGTTCCCATGAATGATTCAGTTTTGAAAATTCACCAGAACAACTTGCAGAACTCAGGAAAGTTCTATACTGACAGTTTATTTATCCTGATACAAATCAGGATCAGTCAAATGAAGAGATTTCTAGGACAAGGTATGGTAAGTTCCCAAATGCAGATGTTCTGCGCCTTCTCCCCATGGAATCAGGGTGCATCACCTTCCCACAACATTCATGTGTCCAGTAAGCAGGAGGTCCACCAAACTCCAGTGTCCAGGGTTTTTATTTGGAGATTTATTACACACTTATGATTGATTGAATCATTGACCATCTGACTGAAGTCAATCACCCAGACATCCTCCCCTGCCTGGAGGTTGAACTGGCTCAAAGCCTCAACCTCCTAATCATATGGTTAATCTTTCCAATGACCAGCTCCCATCCTAAATTGTCCAGCTAAACTAAGGTGTATCCCAAGAAGCCAATGAGTAATAAAGACACTCCTGTCACTTGGAGTATTCCAAAAATTTTAGAAGCTTTATTCCAAGAACTCAGAACAAATACCAGAACAGTTCTTGATATGCAACACCTGTCTTTAGAGTCTGTAAATAATGTGAAACTGGTATTGAAAGTGGTTAACCAAATCACTCCCCCACAAGCTGTTTATGAGCTCCCGTTTCTTCACATACCAAAACTTGTGGTTTATTTTTTGTTGCTGTTCTTTTTATTATTTTTTTCTTCTTTAAAAAAATTCAACTTCTGGTTTATCCATAGGGATATCACACTGTAGTTTTAATTTATATTTATCTATATAATAATGAAGTTGAACCACTTTTCATATATTTAATGACTGGGTATCCTCATTTCTTTCTTTAAAAATAGTGCTCAAGTCTTTCGTCCATATTTCTTTTAGGATTCCTATCATTTTTTAAATTGATTTGTAGACCCTCGGTACATATTCTGGATATAAACTCTGTTAGTTTTACGTATTTCAACTATATTTGTCATATATATTTTATATAGACAGATGTAAAATAGATGTTTTGCGAGTTCTCAGACTCAGTCTACAGTCCTGATGAAAGCATTTACAAAAGCTCAGAATGCGTCGATGTTCATCATGGATGAATCAGGAAGGTGGAAACCATCATTCTCACCAAACTAACACAGGAGCAGAAAAACCAAACACCGCATGTTCTCACTCATGAGTAGGAGTTGAACAATGAGAACACATGGACACAGGAAGGGAACATCACACACCGGGGCCTGCTGGGGGGTGGGGGGCTAGGGGAGGGATAGCATTAGGAGAAATACCTAATGTAGATGACAGGTTGATAGGTGCAGCAAACCACCATGGCATGTGTATACCTATGTAACAAACCTGCATGTTCTGCACATGTATCTCAGAACTTAAAGTATCATAAAAAATATAATAACAGTAGAATTGTAGGGCCAATTTGACCTAAAGCTAGAGCTCAAATCTTAATACTCTTGCCTGCCTGCCTGAAATAAAAATAAAAAATTTTCTGAAAAAAAAACTCGGAACAAAACTTTTTAAATCATCTAAACACCCAAATTTGCCTACAGAAATAGATTTGAGTATTTTCCTGTGAATCAGGATTATAATTAATTCTGATACTATAAATTAATTCTGTGACAATATTGAGTGGATACTTTTTCCTAATTAATTACCAATCAAGTAGATACAGATATTCAATGAAAGAAAATAATAAAAGGTATATATTTATGGATTGAGAAACTATATAGCCGGTGGTATTTACAATCCACAAAGAATACTGAAGAGACATTGGATGCCTTGTAGAGTGTTGCAATGATGAATTGAGGACTCAAAAGAATATAAAGGAAGTCAGATGACAGAAGAAATGAAATTGACCAGGGAACATACATACTAATAATTATAGTATGAAATTGAGACTAAAGCACCAAGAAACCTTCAAATGTCAGTACACTGAAAATCTTGAAACAAAACAGAACCAAAGCCTAAGTCAAGAGGAGAACCGAGAAAGCTCTTTTCATTAAAATAAACCCCCAAAAGAACAGGGCATCAGTGATTAAAAATGTCAGAAGATACAGCAAAGAAAAGTAAAGTAAGGATCATGATAGCAAAACTCAATAATGTCAAGATCCTAAAGGTAAGAAGAATTCTGTTCCCCATTTGTGACTGGGCTATTATGAAGATGATTTGAAATTTAAAAGTTATTTTTTTACCTTTTTCTGTTAGAACCCTAATCTTTCATGATCAGGTTAATATAGAAGTGCTAAAGAAAATAGGATTGAAAGCAGATAAATGCATTTTTATTGAATGAGAGTGTGTTGACCTAATTTTGGTATATTTGAGTACCTGAGTCAGTCTATAATATAAATTGCTGTGATAGTTAAGTCGGTTATTTAGGAATGTTTCCTCTGCCTTGCATGTGATCATATATATTTAAGCATTATCGTTGATTCCGTGTGAGTATTTGTTTGTTCATAAATTGTCCAAAGTGCAACAATAACACTTTTTCTAAGACATTTAAAAATCACCTATATTTTTCTTACTGAAATAATAAAACACCAAAGCAATTGAGAGAAGGCTTTTTTTCTCCAATTAAAACAAGGTAATGAACATTATTTTCACACTCTGTTATGAGTAGTGAGTTGGAAAAAAAAATGTTAGGACTAGATCTTTATTTTTTCTAACCTGATGGGCTGATCCCAATCATCAGTGTTGTGTAACTGTAATTAATATCTGTCTGATTATCATCAGGAAAGTAGGGAGCAGAGGACTACATAAGTCATAGTTTAATAATAGTTTATGCCTGCTGAGGTTTTGTTTTTCAGAACTAGTTTTGAAAGAAACATCTACATTCTTCCTGGTTACCTCTAGGTTGACTGCTACTGAGTGAAGAAACAACCTATGTGTATAGCTTAGCAATTAACATTTCATTTCTAATTTCAGATGTCAGTAACATAAGTCAAGGAGACATTGAGTGTAAGGTCAGAGATGGTTATGAAGAAAGCTAGCCCAAAATAGATCTTGGTCAGAAATCTTGTCATCAATTTTGAATGGCATTTCTCACCAGAACACAGAGAACTCACATTGATTCACTTGTTGGGGATTCTTTTAACTCATTCTCCAGCACGAAGCTCATATACTGGGCATGTTTGAAAGCCCCTTTATCTTTTCTACGATATATTATTTAAAAATGTCAAATCTGTTTTGCTGTTCCTGGAATCTAAATGATTCAGCATGAACTGCTTATATATACACAGAATCACTCCTAAATATTTTTTAAAATTATGTGTTGTTACCCTGCCAGTAAGAAAATGCATTGCCTTTACTCTATGCATAGCACTGTTCTTCTCTTTCTACCTTTTCTTGATCATATTGTCGTAGTTATATTGCTGCGTACTTTCACTTCTGTCTTGCAATTTGAAAGAAAATGAAATGGCTTAATAAATAATGATAGTGAAAATAATATTGGCTCAAATTTTTTTTGATCTCAAAGGATATTAATCTTTCTTTTCAGTTGTGTTAACAGCCCAAATCCATAATACACTGTGGGATTATTAAGAGGGAGAGAAAGTTTTACTTGCCACATTTGTTTGACCTCAGGGTCCCCTCTAGTGATCTTACTCACTTCTTATAAGACATTGGACATTTGTGATGTATGGGATCAATTTATTTGCACTAGGAATACATCAGAAGAATCCCAGAAACCCCAATCTCTTCATAAAAAAATACTAGTTTCATAACTACCCTCTCCAACATCTATTATCCTCGTTTTATAAATACCAAATTTCCCTACTCAGAAATCTCACAATATCCCTATTATAAATAGGAGACTAAGAATATTTAAAGTGAACAAAATGCAGAATATCACCAGATGGCTCTATCCAAAAACAGTATCACACTTAACCCTGGGCAATAAAAGCCACTCGCATAGTCCTACACTTCAACTGACCCCCAAATGTTACATACACACATTCACATACATGCACACATCCTATGTTAAGATACTTATTACTTGGAATTTGACAGTTAGTACTTACACACAGCAAACTGTAATTCTAAATATATATTCTTAGTGGCACAGTTCAGGCATCAGAGAACCACTTCATACCTCAGGCTCCATATCTTCAAAATAAAGGGTGTCTGAAATTGAGTGGCCTCTAGTTTTGTGGATTGTTCCACTGCTGTAGAGACAGACACTGATTCAGAACATGAGAAGTGTTTCAGCAGCAAGTGCACTTAAGTCAGTGAATAGAACATACAGTAAATAATAAAAAAGAACCCACGAAAATAAAGCTTGAAATATAAAAAGAAATTGAAAACCATTCAAGAGGTTATCACTCATATTTTTAAAAACTAGGGAACAAAGAATGTTGCCAAATTTACACAAACACACATACACAGACAGTTACTAAATACAGACAATAAAAATACTGAATAAATACCAATATTTCAGTGAAGACAAGTTACTTCCAGTATAGAAATTGAAAGGATGTTCATAAAATAGATATATTGAGTATTCTGCCAGTAATAACATTTCTCAATGTATTAAGAACAATTTATAGAAAACAATGTATATAATTTTTATAGAAATTTTATAAATGTCTATAGAAAATCCTAAGCTAAGTAGAATTAATCTAAAATTTAGTTCTCAAATGGCCAAATACAGAAGATGACTAAAAGTTAATAAAACAATTAAAAACAAATGATCAGTATATAGCATAGAGAATTCAAAATGAGATTATAAACATAATGGACAATAAAGTGAAGCAAATATCATAAATGAAATTTAAAGTATATATTGATATATTCAGATAAATTATACCAGTTACATAAGGGATGTTGAACACCTAACATTTATCATATACTTTGGACATACCAGAATAAAGAAAATATTATTCCTTTTAATACATTTTTAAAGAGTTTTGACTTTTTATTAATATATCAAGATTCTGAATTAGTATGAAAACAAATTTGGCTTTCTAAGCTTACTGTCACCAGAGCAATAGGATAAATCTGTTCAAGAATATCTTGAATATAATTTATTTAGAGTTCTTTGGAAATTTTTTTGCTTAGATTCTCCATAGAGATATAATAATGAATATATTATTTCAATGGATGTGCTTTTATTTCAAAATGTTCTATTACAAATGGTATTTAGATAAAAAATATTTATACATAGAAACTAAAACTGAAGATATAGCAACAGGTAGTGAGACAGAAACTATTCTTCATTTCTACTTAAGTTTTCAAGGCCAGAAACCTTATTTTTTGAGAGAACTAACCTTTCTGGAACACTGTAAGTCAAAACAGGTTCCAACAGATGAGAAGCAAATGAAAAGGAGAAAAGGGAATTTCATGTAGATATTTGAATAACTGGTAGAATGCATTAAGTAAAAATAGAAAATGGCATATGGTATATTGTAGCTGCTTCTCATGAACTAATATTTTAACATATTTAATAAAGCATGATTAAATATCAGGGCCATATAAAGGTTGCATATACTCTGCTTACAATGATGAATGTCTCCTTAATTCTAGACATTTTGAAGGTAAGAGCAATGTAGTAGAATTAGAGTCAATGGAAACTCTCTTCTTTTTCTCCTATATTCCGCCTGTCCCAAGTTCTCTAATTTGTCCAGTAAAATCTTTCTAATATCTGCATCTCCTTTTTATTATTCCTTCTCCCAAGTAGAGTTATATACCTTCTTACTTGAGGTATAATATACACAAAGTAAAATGCACAACTTTTATTTCAGGGGGCTTTGACAAGGTATATGAACATCTAGTTAAAATAGCAAAAATAAAATATGGAGGATTTCTATTATTGCAGAAAGTTATTTGTATTTCCCCAGGAATTCCACACCCTCATTAATGGTAACTACTGATCATATTTCACGATAGCATAGTTTTGCATGTTTAGAATATCTTAACACAGTAATAACATATTTTTTTGCGTGTTAGGATTAGTTTACTAAAAATACTGTTTTGTATATCAGTAGTTTATTTCTTGTCATAGCTCAGCAGTACTTCATTGCAATAGTAAATCAATTTGTTTAATAATTATCCAGTGATGTGCACCTGGCTGGGTTCTTCCTTTAGTCTATTAGGAGGAAAGCTGCCGCAGTATAAACATTGTTATATGAGTTTTGTTTTTTTTTGTAAGCGTATGTTTGCTTTTCTCTTAGATAAATATCTAAAAGGGAAATAGCCGTATCTTCCTGTAAGTTTATGTTTAATTTTATAAGAATTGCCAAATTGTTTTCAAAGTGGTTTTACCATTTTCCTTCCTCACCAGCAATCACACCATCACAATCACTGTATTGTTAATCTTTTAAAAGACACCCTCCTGATATAAAGTGACATCTAGTTATGATTTAATTTGCATTTCTGTGATGGCTAAATATATTAAGCATCATCTTGTATGCTTGTTGGTCATTTGTATAACATCTTTTTGTGAAGTTTCTGTGTCAAGTTATTTGTACATTTTAAACTCTCCTGAAAAATCTTTAATTATTGAATTATAGAAGCTCTTTATATATTTTGGATAAAAATCCTGCCATATGTGTGTGTTTTTGTGTGTGTATCAATTTCTCTCAGTTTGGCTTTTCATTGACTTAATGATATCTTTCAAATAGTAAAAATTTTTAATTTTGACCAATTTAAATTTTCCAGTTTATTGCTAGTACTTTATGTGTGCTTCAAAAGCTCCTGACTACACCAAGATTATACAGATATTTTCCAATATTTTCTTCTAAAGTTTTTATTACTTTAGCTTTCACATTTAGACCCATGATTCATCTAAACAAATGCTTTTGTACAGTATAAGATAGAGGCTTGATTTCATTCTTTTTCACTCAAAGATCTAGATGTTCTTCACTCTTTCTTTTTTTACTCACTGTAGCCTCAACCTCCTGGGCTCAGGTGATCCTCAGACCTCAGCCTCCTGGGTAACTGGTACTACAGGTGTGTGCCACCACACCTGGCTAATTTTTTGGCAGTTTTAAAAGATTTTGTAGAAATGAAGTTTTGCCATGTTGCCCAGGTTACTCTCCAACTCCTGGGGTCAAGCTATTTGCTGGCCTTGGGCTCCCAAAGCCCTTATACTTTCTTATCTTGCCTTATACTGGTTGGATCTGAAAATACAATGCCAAACGAAAGTGGTAAAAGCAAATATCCTTTCTTGTGTCTGTATCTCTTTGTTAAGCCATTACTTTAGACTCTTGTTTTTTATGTGAATTAAAGAAAGAATGCTTCCTTATCAATTCCACTTCATCTTTACCCTTATACATTATTTCACCAAATATACACTGATAGCCTATTATGCCTGAGGATCTTCATTGTGAAGAACGCTGCTAATACAACAGTGAAATAATGGCCACTGTAGAATTATGTATATGTCTAGATTTTACCATGATGCACATTATTTCTTGCGTGCCTGTATGTTTCATCCCAATAGAGTGTGAAATACTGAAGAAGGTGTTTCATGTCTCATGATTATAATCCATGCTTTCACATGAAAGCTTTTTCAAAACAATGACTGAAAAAGATAAAGATGGATTCTAAAATGTAAATAACAAAACAAATGTAAATAAATAAAACCTATAAATTATGGCATAAAGGAATATTACTTTATCTCATTGGAATTTTTTATAATGGATTATTATTAATTGCTTGGTTATTTTTAAAGGTGATATGATAAAAAGATATGCAATTGAAATTTAAATGAAAATGCCAGAGACTCTGCTTTTCTTCTCCCTATTCCAATTACTTTTAGTAACGTTAAACTTACTTGTTTTCTACCAAAACACTGAATAAAGCCTTCCCTTTTCCTATTCTTCTTTACTCCTTGAAAGTGATTATGTTTATTTCCTGCATTTATACCTCCCTTCTGTCATAGTTAATATAAAAACCACTTCATTTAATCTGTAAAAATTGAAATTCTCACCAGTGGTTTGTAACATCAGAGGGCCTTTTGTTTTTTCTTCTAATAATTTGCATGTGTTAATCTCCAATTAATTTTTCACAGTTAATTGTGTCTTAGCAATTTTCAAGAGCTAGACCAAATTGAATTGTTTATCATATTATTACTTGGTATAATCAATTATTATAAATAATAGAGTACTATTAATTATTTAAAATAATTACCTTATATAATCTGTGCTCATGCCTCAAACTGAATCTACCTACAGGGGGCCACTCTTTCAAAACAAATAAGTTGAGTCACAATAAAATGTACTATTCATGGTTTGACACTAGCATATATGGCAAGAAATGGACCACTTTCACTCAGCATAGAGATCACTTTGATAATTTACAAGTAATCTAATGACTCTATATAGAAGTTGATACTCATCTTTATTTCTCAAAGAACATATATCCAAAGAAATTTTAGCCAAGTGGCAATATTATAATTGATATTTTGCCTCTGATTATTTTTTCTGAACAGGAAGATAATTTAGGGTAATAGGGTTTAAACCATTGCTATGAATTAGAATCTTCTTGGGTTTCCTTATACTCCTAACTTGATAAAATGTCAGTCTCTGCAGAATAGAATCAATTATTGAAAAATTTTTAAGCATTCTTAAGGATTATTTAATTTTTGATTAAGGAATATTGTTAAGATAAAAAGTAATTTTACAATTTTGGTTTACATATTCTTTCAAATTCTAGCAGTTTTAATTTTGTTTTTTAGGGGCCTTATCAATTACTTAACATTCTGGGCTCAGAAAACTTGGCTATGATTATTATCTACCCCTTTTTATCTTTTTAGTTCAAAAGATCCACTGAGTTCTGTCAATTATTTTGTCAAATATCTTTTAAATATTTCTCTGTACTGTATTACATATATTCATGATTCTTCAGGCTCTCATAATCACATATGTAGAGTATCTCCTAACTCTTCATCTCTAATTTCTCTCCATGATAATTTTCACTATACTTCCAGAGAAGGCAAATCTTTTAAAACATTGTTTTCATGATGTTATTCACTCTCTATATGTAAAAGGTTTAATCCCCTCTGCTTGCACTGCTCACTCAAGATAGATCACATTCTTCGTTTGCCACAAGCTAGGCTGAATCTAATTTTCTTTTTTTTTAAATGTATGTGGGTACATAGTATATATATAAATACATGAGATATTTTCACACAGGCCTGCAATGTGAAATAAGCACATCATGGAGAATGAGGTATCCATCCCCTCAAACATTTATCGTTTGAGTTACAAACGATCCAATTACATTCTTTAAATTATTTACAAAGGTACAATCAAGTTATTATTGACTACAGTCACCCTTTTGTGCTATAAAGCAGTAGATCTTATTCATTGTTTCTATTTTTTTGTGTACCCATTAACCATCCCCAACTTCCTGCCAACACCCACTACCCTTCCCAGCCTCTGGTAACCATGCTTTTACTCTCTATGTCCATGAGTTCAATTGTTTTGATTTTTGGATCCCACAAATAAATATGTTTTTCTTTCTGTGCCTGGCTTATTTCCCTAACATAATGATCTCAGTTTCATCCATGTTGTTGAAAATGACTGAATCTCCTTACTTTTTATGGTTGAATAGTACTCCATTGTGTTTATGTACCATGCTTTCTTTATCCATTCATCTTTTTATGGACACTTAGGTTGCTTCCAAATCTTAGCTATTGTAAACAGTGCTGAAAAAAAAAAAACATGTGAGTACAGATATCCCTTCAAGATACTGATTTCCTTTCTTGTGGGTATATATCCAGCAGTAGGCTTGCTGGATCATATGATAGCTCAATTTTTACTTTTTTGAGAAATCTCCAAACTGTTCTCCATGGTGACTGCACTAATTTACATTTCTATCAACAGTATATGAGGGTTCCCTTTTCTCCATATTCTTGCCAGCATTTGTTATTGCCTGTCTTTTGGATATAAACTATTTTAGCTGGGGTGAGATGATATTTCATTGTAGTTTTGATTTGCTTTCTCTGATTATCAATGGTATTGAGTCCCTTTTCATATGCCTGTCTGCCATTTTTATGACTTTTGAGAAATGTGTATTCAAATCTTTTGCTCATTTTTTCATAGGATTATTAGATTTTTTTTCCTAGAGAGTTTTTTGAGCTCCTTATATAGTCTGGTTATTAATCCCTTGTCAGGTGGGTAGCTTGTAAATATTTTCTTCCACCCTTTGTGGTATAGAAGCTTTTAAAATTTATGTGATCCCATTGGTCCATTTTTCCTTTGCTTGCCTGTGCTTGTGGGGTATTGCTCAGGAAATATTTGCCCAGACCAATGTCCTGAAGATTTCCCCCAAGGTTATCTTGAAGTAGTTTCATTGTTTGTGGTCTTAGATTTAGGACTTTTAGGTCTTTAATTCATTTTGGTTTGATTTTTGTATATGATGAAAGACAAGGGTCTAGTTTCATTCTTTTGCATATGGATATCCAGTTTTCCAGCATAATTTATTGAAGAGTCTGCCTTTTCCCTAGTGTATGTTCTTGGAAACTTTGTCAAAAATCAGCTCACTAGAGGTGTGTGGATTTGTTTCTGGGTTTTCTATTTTGTTCCATTGGTCAATGTGTCTGTTTTATGCCAGTACTATGCTGTTTTGGTTACTGTTACTCTGTAGAATAATTTGAAGTCAGGTAGTGTGATTCCTCCAGTTTTTTTATTTTTGCTTAGGATAACTTTGGCTATTCTTGTTCTTTTGTGGTCCCATATACATTTTAGGATTTTTTTTTCTGTTTCTGTGAAGAATGGCATTGGTATTTTGATAAAGATTACATTGACTCTGTAGATAACTGGGTAATATGAACATTTTAACAACAATGATTCTTTCAAACCATGAACATGAAATATTTTCCCATTTTATGGTGTCCTCCTTAATTTCTTTAATCAATGCTTGTTAGTTTTTATTATAGAGCTCTTTTACTTCTTTGGTTAATTCCTAGGTAGTTAATTTTATGTGTGGCTATTGTAAATGGGATTACTTTTTATTTATTTTTCAGATGATTTACTTTTGGCATAAGAGATGCTATTAAATTTTTTATGTTGATTTTGTATCCTGCAACTTTACTGAATTTGTTTATCTGTTCTAATAGTTTTTTGGTGGAGTTTAGAGTTTTCCAAATATAAGGTCATATCATCTGAAAACAAGGATAATTTGACATCTTGATTTTCAATTTGAATGCCATTTATACCAGTCTCTTTTCTGATTGCTTTAGTTAGGACTTCCAATACTAGGTTGAATAACAGTAGTGACAGTGGGCATCTTTGTCATGTTCTAGATCTTAGAAGAAAGGCTTCCAGTTTTTCCCCATTCTTTATTATTCTAGCTGTGGATCTGTCATATATGGCTTTTATTATGTTGAGGTATGCTCCTTCTATCCCCAGTTTTCTTGAGAATTTTTATCATGACAGATTGTTGAATTTTATTAAATACATTTTCAGTATCAATTGAAATGATTATAAGGTTTTTATCTTTCATTCTCTTGATATGATGAATTACATTGATTGATTTACATATGTTGAACCATCCTTGCATCCCAGGGATAAATCCCACTGGTTATGATGAATGATCTTTCTTACCTATTGTTGAATTTACTTTGCTAGCATTTTGCATCAATATTCATCAGAGATATTGGCCTGTAGTTTTTTTTTTTTTATGTGTCTTTGTCTGGTTTAGGTATTAGGGTAATTCTGGCCTCATAAAATATTTGGAAGTATTCCCTCCTCCTCTATATTTTGGAAAAGTTTGAATAAAATTTGTATTAATTATTTTTTAAATGTTTGGTAGAATTCAGCAGTGAAGTAATCAGGCCCCAGGCATTTTTTTTATTGGGAGAGTTTTTATTATGGCTTCAATCTCATTACTTGTCGTTGGTCTGTTCGTGTTATGGATTTCTTCCTAGTTCAATCTTAGTAGGTTGCATGTACCTAGGAATTTGTCCATTTCTTCTAGATTTTCAATCCTATTGGCATATAATTACACATAGTAGCCACTAATGATTCTTTAAATTTCTGCCATATAAGTTATAATGTCTCCTTTTTCATTTCTGATATTTCTTATTTGGATCTTCTCTCTCACTTTCTAATTCTGACTAAAGATGTATCGTTTTATTTAACTTTTACAAAAACCCAACATTTTGTTTTATTGATTTTTTTCCATTTCAGTCTCATTTATTGCTGCTCTGATTTGTGTAAACTACTTTTATTCTAAGTATAAAGACTAAACAATGAATCAATCAAAAATAATAACTACAATAACTTTTCAAGACACTGTCAGTACAATAAGATATAAATAGAAACAACAAAATTTAAAAAGTGGGGGGACAGAGTTAGGACATAGAGTTTTTATTCATTTTCTTTTTGCTTATTTGTTTATGCAAAAAGTGTTAAGTTGTTATCAGGTTAAAATAACGAGTTATAAAATAGTATTTGCAAGCTTCATGGTAATCTACAAACTGAAAAAATGGAATAAAATACCGCAAATATGCGTTTTTTTGCTAAGAAAAAATTTAAAGATGCCAGTCATATGCTTAATTATTAAACTACGAAGTTCAGAATTCTTATTCAAAGACTAATTATGTGAGAGTAAGAATTATTTTAAGAATTTATTTTAACAATGTCTCTTCTTTTACATATTAAAATACCTATTTTCCAATAAATAAATAAATAAGAGTTAGTCATATCTTTGTTTGAAAATGCAATCCTACAATTCTTGTCAAACCCAATAGGATAATGCTGATTGGAGTATAAAATGAAAATACATATGGTTAGTTACTATATATACTGTATAAAAGATAATGGAATTTTCTTTGACTTCTGTACTAGTATAATACTTCTAACTTGTTGATAAATGTACTAGAAAATCTGTGTCATTATTTAAGACCTGTCATTACTTGTGTCTTTTATATAGTCATTTTAGATACAATTCTTCACAAAAACTAGCTTTCATACAACAAAAATGAATGGCTATGTTTGGTTCTCTTCCAGTTTTCAACATCTCTTTGACTTACAAATATTTAAGAAATAAAATTGTTACTGCAACAGTGCTCATGGGTTCACAACTGTAAGTTAATATACATACAAATTCTTGGAAAAAAAATATATTAGGAACAGAATGTGCTTACTACAAGCAAACAAACCATGGCTCCCTCCTATTTGATTTTAACCCAAATATATTTAAAATAGACACAAAGATGAACTACATGCAACATATTTTGTGTACATTTAACAAAGAAATATATATTCGTTAATACAAATGGCCATTCTTGCATTGCTATAAAGAAATCCCTCAGACTAAGTAATTTATAAAGAAAAGTGGCTTACTTGGCTCATGGTTCTTCAGGCTGTACAAGAAGCACAGTGCAGACATCTGCTTCTGGGGAGACTTCGGGAAACTTTTACTCATGGTAGAAGACAAAGCAGAAACAAGCACATCACATAGCCAAGGGCAATGCAGGAAGAAGAGAGAGAGAGAGTGGCAGGCGAGGTGCCCACACTATTTAATGATTGAATCTCATGTGAACTCAGAGTGAGAGTTCACTTATCACCAAAAGGATGGCCCAAGCCATCCCCAGAGCCCAAACACCTCCCAGGCCCCACTTGCAAACATTGGGGATTAGTTCAAGTTCAACATGACACTTGACAGGGACATACATTCAAATTGTATTAACATTTAACTTTAAAGAGATCATAGAAATAAATATATAAATATTATTGGTGATTACCTTCTACTTTGCTGTTATGTGATACTTGCTTTTTCAAGAACATGATAATATTTTATTTTATATCACCAAAATAGTAAATAAGACAGTGATATATGCCACACAATGATTTTTGTGAATGAAACTAGATTTAAATTAAGGAGTACAAGAAATATGATTCAACATGAAAGCAAAACCAGATAGGATTTATGACTAGCTTTTCTGTATATAATAATAAATTGGTCTGTTCAAACTGAACAGAATATCTTACATATAAATGATATCAGTGTGAATAAGTAATGCTTTTGTAGATAACTTATGTTTTGTATTGCAAATAGCCTATATTTATAGTGATTATGTATCAAGAGAAATGAAACAGAGCATGCACTGTTGGTAAATGTATGCAAATTATTAGTTTGGGCATGAATTCAATTTATTTGTCATATTGACTCACCAGAATATGCTTGGTTTATGCAAAGACTTTATTAGTCTGGAGGAGAAACAGAGTAGCTGTGTTTGTCAGAATTTAAATTTAGAGTTAAAACTTTCTATTGTAATCATCTGTGGCCAACACTGAAGTACATTTTTTTCTGAAAACAAGTATTTCTCTCATCATAAAAAAAGAAATAAACTAATATAAAATAAATTAATCAGAATTTATTTTATGACACATGGTAGGAGACTGATTTGTATAACTTATGTAAGACATGCTAATCAAGAAATAATTACTTTTAAAATATTGTGATTCTTTTCCTCTTTACTTCCTTGTAGTACATGTGGCCCTATTCACTCTTATTTTTAAACAGTCATTTAAAAATGTAATTCCTTGTAAGAGGGGCCACATCAAGAGGTGTCACAAAAGAATTCAAATTCCATACCTATTAAAATAGAAGAATACTTTAAAGGATTTTAAATCTTTTTTATACTCAGTAGATTACAAATGAAGCAAATCATAAATCATTTAAATTATAATTATGAACATTATCTTTTAATTAGTGTTCTAGAAATTAGTTTATAAAGAGTATTTTGTTTAAAAACAATCTTTTAAAGTCTATCAATAGAGTGTGGGAGGACTGGAATATGGGGAATAATATATTCGATATGATTAAAAATAAGCTTTTAATTCAATTATGGATATTAATTGTAGATAACAAACCTCCACCTGCATTTCACATATTATCTGAGAATTTTGCTTCAGATTTGGCTGAGTAGCTCCTATCAAAACAAACCTCCTAAAGATGACTGTAAATTAGAGGACAGGGGGCCTATTTGAAGACACTAGAGGGGGGTTTGGGGAGCACAGCCAGAAACTGGAAGGGAGTTAGCTCTTATTACAGAAAAAGAGAATGGCACTGGGTAAATGTAAATTTCTCATATTTTATTGTTTTTAGACTGAGGGTAGGCTCAAGTCTGCAACATTCAGGGCACTTAAAACTCCAATATATGCCACAAAACAGCTGTGCTGGTTTGAAGAATCAGGGAATCGAGTGTAGAGCAACTACAACTATAGAAAAGTAAAGGAGGAATTTCAAAAAGATGAAGTCCCAGAAATGGAAAAGCCAGATAGTGAAAGTACCAAGTTCTGTGTCTAATCACTGCTCAGAAGTCTAGCACAGCCCTGGACCATACATGAATGGAGCTGACATCAAGCAGTTCAGATAAAAGAACTGAATTGAAATTTGAAATCCATCCTTCATGGGGGAGACAAGTTTTGTAGGTTGATTTCAGCCTGCTTAAAAATCAAGGGTGACTAGTCTTAGAAAAATGATAACAGAATCCAGATTTTCTACAACACAAAATTCGCAGTGTGCAAGATACTGTACAAAGCTACTCAATATACAGGGGAAAAAGAAAAGAAAAAACAGGAAGCATGACCTATTTACAAGAGAAAACACACTCAACAGAGACCAACTTCCAGATAAAGCAGATATTAGAGTAGGCTGACAAGGATTTTAAGGCAGCTGCTATAACTATGTTCAATTTCATAAGGTAAAATATGCTTGTGATAAATGAAACTATAGATCATCTCAGCAAAAATTTAAAAATTGAAATTATAGGACTGAAAAAATATCTGAAATTTTAGCTAAATCATAAAACACATAAATCTTAGATCCGTAAAAGTATTAAAAAATGCTGTTTCATCTCAGAAATCTAAAGGTAGTTTATATGATCCTAGGCAAAGTTTACTAACTTAATGACCCTATCTTAAAACTGCATTCTGGAAATAGTAATATAGATGGCATAAAAAATAAGGCAAATATTTACCCAATTCCCCTTTACCCTTAAAGACAATGAATGACAAACTTTCTGTTTCTGCTTATCAATTCAAGTTAAGTTCATGTGACCAATTGCTCAGTTTATCAAATCACTTTTGCTGTAGTAAAATAAAAAAAAAACTCAGGAGATTTTTCCAACAAATTGTTAGTAACTGATTGTCTGTGTTACTGCTCCAGGTAACGGCTCTACTCCTCATGTCTTATTATCTCCCAGCTGAGATTAAAGAATAAAATATTTTTAAAAAGTAAAATGAAAAGTGAGAATGCATGATTGAGGTAGGATGCAGCAGATGTTTGTATGGAAGGGGAAGGAAAAGAACTAGGTAAATGCTAATGATAACAATATAAAATATTCACTGAGTAATCCCACAGGAAAGCATACCACCAAATATATATCACAATATCATGGTCTAAGTGTCAAATGAATACCCATACATGTGGGTTAATAGGAAATTTTTCAGGAAAAAGCTGAGTGTGGGGAGGGAAACTGAGGCAGGGCTTGCATAATGTCCTCTGAAATGTGTCTAGACTTCCTGGCTCCTTGCTTCTAGCCTCCTAGGCTCCTATTCCCATTATCTCAGGTAGCAGAATATGTTTCATATAAATGTTAAACCGTCACAGCTGTAAATCATGTGCTTGATGCAACGTGTCCTTTTGACCTCCACATTCTGCCCACCTGTTTCTTTGTTGGATTACCAATAAATACCATGGGCTCCCAGATCATGGGGCCTTCGCAGCCTCCGTACAATAGCGATGGCCTCTGGTATACCACCTTTTTCTCTGTGTCTTTTTCTCTAATCCTTTGACTCTGCTGGACTTTGTCACGCCCACGACCTACCTGGTGTTGGGTCTGATCACTCTAACATTCCCGGCTGCCCAACTTGGGGCGACAAAGACCCCGGTGAAAGAACGCCAGAGCGTGCGAAAGTGGGGGATGCATTATCAAAGGACACCCGAGGAAGTCTAAAACGAAGCTCGGTGGGAAAGCTGAGCGCTGGGAGGAACCAGGGTAACAATGGGACAAAGTGAAGGCATTCTGCTTACTTAAATTTCGTAAGGCATTTATTATGAAGAGGGGGAGTGAAAGTTAGCACTCAATTTATCACTCACTCTTTAGTGTAGTAAAGTAGTTTTGCCCATGGTTCCCGGAGCAAGGGACTACGGAGTTGGATGAATGGGAGATAATTGGCAGATTTTTAAAAAGTGTATAAAGATAGAACAGAAAGTCCAGTCTTGGTTTGGTCAGTGTGGGTGCTAATAAAAGTAGCTCTTGAGCCATTTCAAACAGATGAGGCAGGTTCAAATGAGGAAAAGGAAGATGAGCGTGGAAAACTAACCTCAGATTCTAAATGTGAGGAACCGAAACCAGAGGAAATTAAAAGGGAAACTGAAAAAAGCATGTTTTACTAGCCCGTTAGCTCTACCTGCTGAACTAAGTGAAAGGCCAACTCCTCTTTCGCCTCTTAATGGGCAAGAAGATGAATTAGCTACAAAACGTACAGCTCCCGTAGCTGCAACATTAAAACCTGGAGCAATTGGTGGTGCTATACAAAATTCTATTCAAAAGGCTAGAGTCCAGGGAGATCTCGAAGCATGGCAATTTCCCATAACTATAATCCAGCAGGGAGGACAGCAAACGTCCTCCCGCTGTGTTTCCAAAATCCACCTACAAAGGAGAAAGATATAGAAGTAGTTTTTTTTAAGTGTACCCTATTCTTTTTAAAAGCCAGGGTAAATTTAAAACCTATAATTGATAATCGAAGGTCTTCTCCGTGACCCTGTAACACTCCAATACTACCTTGTTGTCAGTGTAAACAAGGGCGTAGCCCGAAAGCACTGAGACCACTGACAACCAGTAGCCTTCCTAAGAAAAATCCTTACCCAGTAACCCGCGGATGGCCAAAATGCATTCCATCAGTAGCGGCAACTTCTTTGCTAGCAGAAGAAAGTAGAAAAATAACTTGTAGAGGAAACCTTGTTGTGAGCACACCTCGCCAGTTCAGAACTATCCTAAATTAAAAACAAAAAGGTAGCTTACTAACTCAAAGTATGGGGCTACTCTATTACAAAAAGGCGATTTAACGTGCAGGTTTGTGCACATGTACCCTAGAACTTAAAGTATAATAAAAATACATATATATTAAATCAACTTTTTTTCCTTTTAACATTAACCACTGAAAATTCCCTTAACCCAGCAGGTTTCCTAATGAGGGATTTAAATCTTAATTACCATACAAAGGTCTGACCAGACCTAGGAGAAACTCCCTTCAGGACAGGATGATAGATGGTTCCTCCCAGGTGATTGAGGGGGAAAAAATACAATGGGTATTCAGTAATTGATAGGGAAACTCTTGTAGAAGCAGAGTTAGAAGAATTGCCTAATACTTGGTCTGCTCAAACATGTGAGCTGTTAGCACTCAGCCAAGCCTTAAAGTATTTACAGAATCAAAAAACTCTCTCAATCCTGACTCAAGATGTTACCTACACTCTCTGAAATGAATTTGTGTAAGAACTGTTTATGGGAATGCGTCTTAATGGGGCAGCTGGGTTATGAAATAAGAACCCAGCTCAGCTCTATAATTCACCTCTGAGTGCAAAGGCAATGTTGGGCACGCTGGTAAAGGACCACTAGAATCTAGCAGCCCGGACCCCTTTCTCTGTGGTCAAGAAAGGCGGGAAAACAGGTGCAGGACTGCTACATTGGTGAGCATAACTAATCCGATAAGCAGAGGTCCACGGGTGGTGACACACCCTGGAAAAGAATAAGCATTAGGACCATAGAGGACGCTGTAGAACTAATGCTCATCAGAAAATGACTAGAGGTGCTGGCATCCCTATGTTCTTGTTTCAGATGGGAAATGTTCCCCCCAACCCCAAGGCAAAACCCCCCCTAAGATGTATTCTGGAGAATTCGGTCCAGAGTGCATGAACCTTTTTCCGTCTCAGACTTGAAGCAAATTAAAATAGACCTAGGTAAATTATCAGATAATCCTGATGGCTATACTGATGTTTTACAAGGGTTAGGACAATCCTTTGATCTGACATGGAGAGATACAATGTTACTGCTAGATCAGACAGTAACCTCAAATGAGAGAAGTGCCGCCGTAACTGCATCCTGAGAGTTTGGCGATCTCTGGTATCTCAGGTCAATGATAGGCTGACAACAGAGGAAAGAGAACAATTCCCCACAGGCCAGCAGGCAGTTCCCGGTGTAGACCCTCATTGGGACACAGAATCAGAATATGGAGATTGGTGCAGCGGACATTTGCTAACTTGTGTGCTAGAAGGACTAAGGAAAACTAGGAAAAAGCCTATAAATTAATGATGTCCACTATAACACAGGGAAAGGAAGAAATCCCTACTGCCTTTCTGGAGAGACAAAGGGGGAGGCATTGAAGAAGCATACCTCTCTGTCACCTGACTCTATTGAAGGCCAACTAATCTTGAAGTTTATCACTCAGTCAGCTGCAGACATTAGAAAAAACTTCAAAAGTCCACCTTAGGCCCGGAGCTAAAACTTAGAAACCCTATTGAACTTGGCAACCTCGTGTGTGTGGTTTTTTGTTGTTGTTGTTTGTTTGTTTGTTTTTTGAGATCAGGAGCAGGCAGAACACACTGCTTTAGTCATGACCCTCAGGCAAGCGGACTTTGGAGGCTCTGGAAAAGGGAAAGGCTGGGCAGATCAAATGGCTAATAGGGCTTGCTTCCAGTGCGGTCTACAAGGACACTTTAAAAAAGACTGAATAGAAATAAGCCTCCCCCTCGTCCATGCCCCTTATGTCAAGGGAATCACTGGAAGGCCCACTGCCCCAGGGGATGAAGTTCCTTTGAGTCAGAAGTCACTAACCAGATGACCCAGCAGCAGGACTGAGGGTGTCCGGGGCAAACTCCAGCCCATGCCATCGCCCTCACAGAGCCCCAGGTATGCTTGACCATTGAGGGCCAGGAGGTTAACTATTCCCTAGACACTGGTGCGGGCTTCTCAATCTTACTCTCCTGTCCCAGACAACTGTCCTCCAGATTTGTCACTATCTGAGGGGTCCTAGGACAGGCAGTCACTAGATACTTCTCCCAGCCACTAAGTTGTGACTGGAGAACTTTACTCTTTTCACAAGCCTTTCTAATTATGCCTTGAAAGCCCCACTCCTTTGTTAGGGAAAGACATCCTAGCAAAAGCAGGGGCCATTATACACTTGAATTAGAAGGAAAAAGGGTAAATATATATACAGCTCTAACTATGCTTTGCTAGTCCTCCATGCTCACATAACAATATGGAGAGAAAGGTATTCCCTCGAAAGTTAGGAATTCCCTATCAAAATCAGGAAGCCATTTAGGCCCCCAAATTCTCCTTACCTCTGAGTCTACTTCCTCCGATCCCTGCCCAAAGACAATTTTATGGGAAAGAGGATTTGCTTGTGTCTCCCCAGGTGACAATCAGGTGCCTATGTGGGTGCCCACCAAACATCTGAAGATCTATCATGAGCCACAGCATCTAGTGGTACCACCTGTACAGTGCAAATTGAAGGTTTGAAAAGCCTCAGTTTTCTTTCTCTATGCCTTCTGTTAATCAGAAAAGACCTGTTTCTCATTATTGGTGGACTCCTGGCTATAGCCACAAGTTTTTTTTGCTTCTGTTTTGGTAGATTTACTAACGTGGGCATATGAGGGTATGCTTGTGTTTTTGCAGGAGATGAATGAACTGTGTGGATGCCCTCAAGATGTGTATGACCATGGAACGGGAGACTGGAGGGATCCATGGATCCCAACCATGCACCAGGTTCCCCCAGTATGAGCCATGAGCCAGTTGAATCTGAATGCTAAGATGGAAGGAGGACCAACCAGAGTCAACAATGCTTAATGGATCAATGCTTTCTAACTCAGCTCCTCTCTACCCTGAATACAAGAGACCCTAATAGTTAGGCAGGAGTATCATCGCCCCTATTCAGCATGAAGTTACAGAAGACGGAGCTTCATCCTCCTGCAACCCCTAGGATTAAGGGTCCTCTTGTAAAAGGAAAAGGGGAAATATGTGGGAAGCATTCGAACCAGAGGTGACTCCAGTCTGAATAAGCGCTAAGAAAAATGAAGCTGGATCACCAACTGGCAATTAAGGGCTGCACAGCCTGCAATTGCCTTGTTCAATTAAAAGAGGCCACCTCTTATGCTAGTAATAATGATAGCAATAATACCTTCTCTTTTACTAAAAAGAAAGGGGGGGCATGTTGGGGAAAAAGCTGAGTGTTGGGAGGGAAACTGAGGCAGGGCTTGCATTTGTCCTCTGGAATGTGTCTAGACTTGCTGGCTCCTTGCTTCTAGCCCTTCTAGACTCCTATTCCCATTATCTCAAGTAGCAGAAAACATGTTCCTTATAATGCTAAACCGTCACAGCTGTAAATCATGTGCTTAATGCAACGTGTCCTTTTGACCTCCACATTCTCACCACCTGTTTGTTGGATTACCAATAAATACCATGGGCTCAGAGCTTGTGGCCTTCGCAGCCTCCATATAATAGTGATGGCCCCCTGGTGTGCAACCTTTTTTTTTCTCTCACTGTCTTTTTCTCAATCCTTTGACTCTGCCGGACTTTGTTACCCCCACGACCTGGTGTTGGGTCTCATCACCCCAACAAATTTATAGTTATTCTCTAACTCTTAATATTATGTAATAATTGATAGCACATTTAAATGATTTGCTGATTGTCACACTTGCTCATTATAAACCTTAGGTTATTACAATGATAATGACATTGGAAACCAAAGGAATTGCAATACTGTGTTTATTCTTTGTGCTGAGTTTCAAGAAAACTTGTGTCACAAGGCATGTGGAACATTCTAAAATTCAGCTAGGCAAATGGACCTTTGCCTTCACTATATCTCCAATGACCACCAAGCACTATATAGGGTTGTGATGGATAATGCATTACTTACCTCTCAGATGAGAAGCACGTAAACCTTGGCTTTCTCATAGAGATTATTTTAAAAGCTGTTCTGGGTCACAAGCTGATGAGGGACTCTCAACATAAAAGTAAAGAAACATGTTCCATGCAGTTCTTTAGGAAATTTGCTTCACATTTACAGCATCTAACATTAGGAATTTAAATAACCTATTACATTTTTTACCAAAAGGACCTTTTTCTCTACACTGATCCACTACAGAAATGATTGCCTGTCATTTGCTTTATATATCTTTGAATTTTTACATTTTCTTCCACAAAACTAAGATATAAGCTACTCAAGAGAAAAAAATGTTTTTTGTTATAACCCTATCAGCTCTTAAACAATAGTATTCTCTTCAAAGCTGGTTAAGGTGTATTTGTTTTGAGTGACTGTTTGATATATACTTGCTCTCTAATGCCTACATACTGAGGACCTGCCTCAGGATGAATCTAGGTGTCTACTCACATTTACAGAACATACCAAGAGCCAATTGTGTATATTAAGTATAAATTTACACAAAAGTCTTAAAAATAACAAGCCCAAATCTGTTTGCATAAATCAAGCCATAACTTTTATAAAGGTTATAACATTTACGTTTCTACTGAAATATGTGCCAAGTTACAGCTTAGATATTTTTACTATACATTTAAAAAATAAACTTTCCGCCATCCATTAGCAGACTTGAACAATAAAAAGTGGAGATCATATGAAACTCTGTTGATATGGTCTTTCCTCCCTTTTGGCAAAGAACGATTAATCAAAAAGTGAGGTCTATACTCATCCTTGACAATGATTGAGCTTGTGAGAACTTCGAATAGAGGAATAAAGTTAAAAGTTACACTTTTGATATCAAAGGTCATGCAGCTTTAGCCTGCTTCTCTTGAGATTCTTGCCCTCGGTGAATACAGCTGCTATGCAAGAAGTTTGATTGCTTTGAGACAGAACTGGTAAAAACACCTTGTACTGGTCTTCTTATCAGCATTACCCAGTGAATGCCTAAGCAAGAGCCAGCCTTAGCTGTGAGCTATATGTGAGGGAATTATCTTGAGCATTCCATCCAGACAAGCCTTCAGATGACTGCAGTCCTATCCAACATCTGAACACAACTACGGAAAAGATACCAAGTAATCTGCAACCCTCCTGAAGTCCTGACTCATGAAATGATGTCCCTAATGTTATTTTATGTCTCTACATTTTGGGATATTACTTTATGCTGCAATATATAATCTCCAGAGCTTTCCACCATGCTTGGATATAACCTTTACTTTCACTTTGGTTATGTACCAGCTGTACTCTCCAATTTACATATGAGGAAGCTGAGACACAAAGAGGTAAATTTACTTCCCCAAAGTCTCACAGCTATGATAGTAAAAGGAACCAATGGGGTGAGTCACATAAAATTCTCAGCACAATACTTGACACATAAGTTACATGGTACATTTTAAGCCATTATTATGACTATCATTTTTCAAATTGGAAGCTTGAAGTGGTAGTTGTACATCAGGCTGCAATTTAGAGAGTGCTTTGCAGGGGAGAAAAAGTGGAAAACCTTGTACCTCCCTTGAATTATTAAAATAACTAGAGGATGTTCCCCTGCTATTTGCAGTACTTTGAAGAAAAATTTGGAAATGCCTTGCCTCTTCCTTGAAGTAATGAAATAATCAGATGAGAGTGATTCAGGTCATGTGCTCTTGTCTGGGCTTTGTCATTTACTTGGGAAAGTCCCGGGACTTCTCTGCTTCTTGGCTTTTTCATCTATAAAATGAGACAACCAGGTTCCTAGACAATCTGATATCCTTTTTATTTAACATTTTCCAAGATTGTTTTATTTAATAGACACAAATATTCCTTGAATGCAAAACACAGTGATTCCACCTCTTGTCCATCACTGGTGAGATCTCAGAAAATACAAGAGCACTGGACACCTCGAGAATAAACATAGGTAATGGGAAAGGAGTAAAGTGGTGGAGAAACCAATCGATCAAAACACTTTAGCTTCAGCTACTTCTCAATGTTCTCATACCTCTTGGAGCCCAGGTGCAGAACCAAAATTGCTTCAGACTGTGAAGCAATGTTAGTGAATTCTATAGGTGAGAGTTTTAATGAAACTGAGACTACACAGATCACATATACAGGAAATCAGGCCTGCCTTAAGAGGGAAAAATAGTATGCTGTCCAAACCTCTCACTTTACAAGTGAGAGACATGAACTCCATAGAGAATGGGTTTACTAATGATTACCTTGGTAGCAAGGCTGGCAGGAAGACCTAGAATCCAGAAATACGTGGCATTTCATAACTTCAATTTATGGAATTTTGAGGCAGTTCATCAAGTGGTGGCTTGGGGAAAAAGCCATGATAACTGTGAAACTCCTTCTAAAACTTACCAAATAAAGATGGGATCTGGGGGTAATGGGGGAGCAGAGTGTTTGCTCTGCAACATACATTCTTAACAAATCCCCTATTCCTCTCACCTCCAGATGGATTTACACCTCTGTGACATATTTATATTGAAGGGCTGTCAGCATTTTTTTTTTCCCCTAAGGGCCCAGATAGTAAATATCTGTGTCTTTGCGGGCCACATGGTCTCAGTCACCACTACTCAACTCTGCTGTTGTAGCATGAAAGCAGCAATGAACAATTTGTAAGTGAATGGTCATAGCCACATTCCAATGAAACTTTATTTACCAAAATGGACAACAGAGCAGAGTTAACCCACAGGCAATAGTTAGCCTATGTGGAATTTCTTTGTGTATTTGTTATATAGCATATAAATATTCTTGGGCTAGATGTTTGTTAGACACCCATAATTTGTATTGGGTAAGTTACTGGAAAATAGAGCATATATTTTCTGAATCACTTTTGTAAAACCCCAATATGTTTTGAAAAGACACACATTTTAATTGATTTTCTAAAAGTTAAATAAGTACCTGATATAACTTATAATCATCTTGTAGAGTTATCACCCAATTTAGTGGATTTTATTCATTCATTTACACATACACAGAATTTATTCAGCTCCCATGTAATGTGAAATAAAATGACAAATCCATTTCTCAATATACTTATGATCTAATGCATTTTTTTCACATAGAAGAAATAGGGAAATAATACAACTCATTGTGTCCTGATGGAAGAAAGTGTCCACCCACCTGACATCAGGTGACAGAAGGAATAAGGCTTAGTAAAGGAGCTGGCACTTCAGCTACAGTTTGATGATTGAATAGGAGTTTATCAAATGACTAAGGAGGAAAGCATTTTTCAGGCATAGGCATCATCCTATATAAAGGTGCAATGAAGGAAACTTTGATACTATAAATCCTGTAATTCTCAAGACTGATTTGCTCAAACAGACTGACATTTTCCTTGCACCTACTGTTTCAATATCATTTTTCTTGTCATGTCATGCCAAAATTTAGTCTCATCTTAGTTTCACATACAATTCACCTACTCACCAATTTTGGAATTAATTGGAAACTAGCCTGTCAAAAATCCTCTTTTAATACAAATTTAATTCCAGAAATAATCTTGGCTTAAGTTTTTCGGTGGGATAACAATCATTGTATTTGATGTCAGGATTGGTAAATTATTTTCTGCATCTACTTTATCTGATCAGAAAACACATACACACAGCACTGAGTAGTTGAAAGTGTTCTTTCCTCCATATCCTGATAATCTTTGTAATACTGTGTTTTGTCTTATTTCTTAACTCGTTTTATGTCGTGTTTTTTTTTGTTTTTATTTTTTCCTTTGTCTATTTGCGGTCTCTGCTACTGTGTTATAATTTACATAAAATAAATAGTATCCATTTCAAGTCTATAATATGATGAGTCAACATGAAATTACTACTACAGTCAGGACACCAAACATTTCTATCATGCCAAAAGTTTCCTCCTGCCTCTTTGTAGTTCATTACTCCTTTCAACCATGCTGGTCCCAGGCAATCAATAATCTATATTTTGTCCCTGTCACTCAAGATGCTTTCAAGAATTTTATAAACATGGAATTGTACAGTATGTATGCTTTTGCGTCTAAATTATTCCACCTAGGATAATGACTGAGATTCATTTATATCATTGAGTGTATCAGTACTTTATTCATTTGTATTGCTAAACGGTATTCTATCGTATCAGAGGTTTTCGTCAGACAAGGAATGGAAACTAAGTGTCATAGCATATCTTATACCTGATTGCTAGCAGCCATGTGGTTTATTGCCTTGAAAAGTTCTGGACTACCTCTGGACCCAGAGATAAAGAGTTCTGTCTTTGATTAGCAATTTCCATGATAGATAATAAAGCGGGAAGTGGTCGCAAATGTGTTACATATTTGCAAGCTATGGCTTAGGTGCTACTGATTCCGCATGGACTTTCCCTATTGTGTATTTCATATTTTCACTCTTTCTTTGGTAACAAGCAATCCACAATTGCTCAGTTTCCATGTTTTCATGTGGTTACATATTTTATGTGCTAATGACAAGAAAAGGTTAATTGCTAATACTACCACCTAGTTCTACAAATTCTCCCTCTTCCTCTCTTCCCCTCTCCCCCACTCTCCACTCCTCTCCCCCCACTCCCCTTCTCCCTTTCTTTTGTCTCAGTCTGTTGCCAGGCTGGAGTGTGGTGGTGTGATCTTGGCTCACTGCAACTTCTGCCTCTAGGGTTCAAGTGATTCTCCTGCCTCAGCCTCCCGAGTAGGCGTGCCTACTACAGGCATGCACCACCATGCCTGACTAATTTTTGTATATTTAGTAGAGATGGGGTTTCAACATGTTGGCCAGAATTGTCTTGATCTCTTGACCTCGTGATCTGCCCACCTCGGCCTCCCAAAGTGCTGGTATTACAGGTGTAAGCCACCGTGCCTGGCCTTTCTGTCTTATTGGAACTTTGAGTCTCCCCGGTACTTCATTTTGAATTTATCTGACTAGACTAAGAGTTACAATACAGAATGAAGCAAAGTCAATGAATTCATCTGAGTAAATCATGCTCAATCTTATTTCAGCTGCTGTAAAAGTAAAATGAGGATCTGTGAGGACTTATTGCATAGTCTTAGATCATTCAACTAAGAAGGTTGCAGCTTTCAATAATGAGCTCATTTTAACTGTAAGCACTCAGAAACTATCTTACAGATAAAAAGATGTGGAGTAAGAAACTCTATGAAACAAACTGGAGAAACTTCTGAGGTTTTACCACTATATCAAAGTAGATGAAGGACAGTGAGAATGAGTTCTTATAAATCTTCATTGCACTAACAAATACACTCTATGGTATTTGAGATATTTCACTTATACATCAAATGTGATAGAATCAGTTTAAAAAGGTAACTTTCCAGGAAGATTAATTATGTAATTCAACAGATTACATGTTATGCATATCATTTTGATTTCCATCTCATATCTTATTAATATTATTGCCTAAGATTTCCTTTTGTAAAAACACCTATTTTCCTGAATGAACTAAACTTGAGCAGATCTATTAGATATATTTTCAGTACTTTTTCTTTCTCACTGCTGGTTTTGCCGCTAAATTAGCCCACTCAATCGGTTGCACACATTTCATTCAGATTATTCATAGCTGTTTGAATTTATTCCTTGGCCTCTGCAGTTTTCTTTCCCACATAATGTGTCTACTAGTCTATAACTTCATTAGAAACCTTGATACCAGAGTCATCATATTAACTGATAAGTTTAGAAATTTCTGACTTTTTAAAGTATTTTTTTCCTGTACATTGACTAGCACTCATATGTTAGAATTACTCAAATACTTATCTTCATTTTCCAAGAGTATGAGTAAAAATATAAATGTAACTGCGTGAATATTTGGACATTCTGACAGAACATTTGAGTACTAAATCATGACTTATATGACATTTATTTTAATGAAGTTAAAAGGTAGTATGAATTGGGCATGGTGACTCACATTTATAATCCCAGTTCTCTTGGATGCCAAGGCAAGAGGATCAATTGAGGCTAGGAGTTCAAACCAGCCTAGCAGCCTCATCTCTACAGCATTTTTTTTTTTTAAGCTGGGCTTGCTGATGCATGCCTGTAGCCCTAGCTACTTGGAGGCTGATGCGGGAGGTTTGCTGGAGCCCAGGAGTTTAAGGTTACAGTGAGTTATTATAGTGCCACTGTACTACAGCCTGGATGACAGTGAGACCCTGTCTCTAAATTAAGAGCAAGCAAAACACAGTATGTAATCAGAACATTTTTGAGTGAGTGACAACCACTGTAACATTGGAGAGAGAAGGTTGGATTGACTTCCTGGGTAGGGGGATTTGCACTTATAACTTCTCTAGAGCTAGTGTGATCAGGAAAGAGGGAGTTGAAAGCAAGTATCTTATATACAGTGTTTGTTTTTCATCATAAATGTCCACCTTTACCAGAGAATTTATCCATAATTGAGTGAAAAAGCATGGGTTTTAGAGTAAAGATGCCCTGGATTGAGAACTGGTTTCACTAGTGAATGACCACGGGAACGTACACCATTTTATGAGACTCGGTTTAATTCTATATTAGACTGCATGTGAGGTGATGGATTTGTTGAATAGCCTGATTTAATCATTTCATAATAAAAATAAATATTGAAACATATTGTATCCTATAAAATAAATACAATTATTATTTGTCAGTTAAAAAAAATTGTTTCCTGAGTCACAAAATTGTCGCCAGGATTGAGATGCTCCCTGTAAATAGAGTGTAGTTTTTGACGGAGTGACTTTGGAGTGGATTTATAATACCATACACAGTTAAAATTCCATCAATTTTAAACTAAAATAAAAGTTTGTGACCAATAAGTGATAATTTAAATATTTTCTCAGTATTGAGGAATCTTAAAAGTACTACTTTTTTCACTACCTCTTCTCTCTTCTTTTATCCCATTTCATCCCATTTTACTGCCTATTTAGAGCAATTTATAAGCTATTTAAGACACCAAAGCTATTCACATTTTTATGTGATTTTCTTTAAAATTCTCCAAAAATAAAATGTAAATTGTGTTTCTTGATATTTCTACGCTTGTGTATAAAAATATATGAGTAGAGGCTCTGAGAACATGTCGAACATAAGAAAATGTCAGAAGTATCCTGATTGGTAAATTAAAATGAATCAACATTGGAAGATAGCTACAAAGGAGCAAATAGATTCTCTTTTATTCTGCAATTAAACAGGTAGTTATCTAGAAGTGTATATGTGCAGTCAGAATGGTGACGATAACTTTTCTCTGTGGATTAATTTCATTCCACTTATTGAAGTATGGCTCTGGATGTCACAGGTAGAGAAATACAAGGAGACTAAAATATGTTCAGAGGACAGTGAACAGTTTTAAAAGATCATGAAACCAGGTTAATATAAGAAACTTATCTTTTGGAGATAAATATCAAACATACTGATGAAATAAATCACGTGTGCAATTTACAAAAATCAAAGTTGTTTAGTGTTGGCGATAATATTTTTTAAATTTTTTCCATAAGTTATTGTGGTACGGGCGATATTTGGTTACATGAGTAAGTTCTCTAGTGGGGATTTGTACGATTTTGGCGCACCCATCACCTGAACAGTATATACTGCACCATATTTGTAGTCTTTTATCCCTAGCCCCTCTCCTACTTCTCCCTGTAAGTCCTCAAAGCCCATTGTATCATTCTTATGCCTTTGCGTCCTCATAGCTTACCTCCCACATATCAGTGAGAATACACAATGTTGGGTTTTCCATTCCTGAGTTACTTCACTTAAAATAATAGTCAACAGTCTCATCTAGGTCACTGTGAATGCCGTTAATTCATTTCTTTTTATGGCTGAGTAATATTTAATTGTGTAAATATACCACAGTTTCTTTATCCACTCATTGATGGGCATTTGGGTTGGTTTCACGATTCCACAATTACGAATTTTGCTGCTATAAACATGTGTGTGCAAGTATCTTTTTCGTATAATGATTTATTTTCCTCTGGGTAGACACCTAGTAGTGGGACTGCTGGATCAAATGGCAGTTCCACTTTTAGTTCCTTAAGGAATCTCTGCACTGTTGTCCATAGTGGTTGTGCTAGTTTACATACCCACCAGCAGAGTAGAAGTGTTTCTTGTTCACTGCATCCATGCCAACATCTACCGTTTTTTGATTTTTTGATTATAGCCATTCTTGCAGGAGTAGGGGGGTATTGCACTGCGGTTTTGATTTTCGTTTCCACGATCATTAGTGATGTTGAACAATTTTTCATATGTTGATTGGCCATTTGTATATCTTCTTCTGAGAATTGTCCACTTTTTGATGAGATTTTTTTTTCGCTGATTTATTTGAGTTTATTATAAATTCTGGATATTGGTCCTTTGTCAGATGTATAGATTGTGAAGATTTTCTCCCATTCTTTGGGTGGTCTGTTTACTCTGCTGACTGTTCCTTTTGCCCATGCAAAAGGTCTTTAGTTTAATTAAGTTCCAGGTATTTATCTTTGTTTTTATTGCATTTGCTTTTGGGTTCTTGGTCATGAAATCCTTGCCTAAGTCAATGTCTAGAAGGGTTTTTCCAATGTTATTTTCTAGAATTTTTATAGTTTCAGGTCTTAGGTTTAAGTCCTTAATCCATCTTGAGTTGATTTTTGTATAAGGTGAAAGATGAGAAATCAGTTTCATTCTCCTACATGTGGCTGGCCAATTATCCCAGCAGCATTTGTTGAAAAGGATGACCTTTGCCCACTTTGATCTTTGACAAACAAAACAAAAAACAGTGGGCTGTAAGTATTGGGATTTATTTCTGAGTTCTCTATTCTGTTCCGTTGATCTATGTGCCTATTATACCAGTACCATGCTGTTTTGGTGACCGTGGCTTTATAGTGTAGTTTGAAATTGGGTAGTGTGATGCCTCAAGATTTGTTCTTTTCACTTAGTGTTGCTTTTGCTCTATGGGCTCTTTTTTGGTTCCATATAAATTTTAGAATTTCTTTTATAATTCTGTGAAAAATGATGGTGGTATTTTTGATGGAGATTGCATTGAATTTGTAGATTGCTTTTGGCAGTATGGTCATTTTTACAAAATTGATTCCACCCACCCAGGAGCATGGGATGTGTTTCCATTTGTTTGTGTCATCTATGATTTCTTTCAGCAGTGTTTTGTAGTTTTCCTTGTATAGGTCTTTCACCTCCTTGGTTAGGTACATTCTTAAGTATTTTTTTTTTTATTTTTTTGCAGCTATTGTAAAAGGGATCGAGTTCTTAATTTGATTCCCTGCTTGGTTGCTGCTGGTGTATAGAAGAGCTACTGATTTGTGTTCATTAATCTTGTATCCAGAAACTTTGCTGAATTCTTCTGTGAGTTCCAGAGCTTTCTGGAAGAGTCTTTAGGGTTTTCAAGGTAAACAATCATATCGTCAGCAAACAGTGACAGTTTGACTTCCTCTTTACTGATTTGGATGCCCTTTATTTCTTTTTCTTGTCCGATTGCTCTGGCTAGGACTTCCAGTACTATGTTAAAGAGGAATGGTGACAGTGGGCATCCCTGTCTTGTTCCAATTCTCAGAGGGAATGCTTTCAATGTTTCCCCATTCAGTATCATGTTGGGTGTGGGTTTTCCATAGACAGCTGTTATTATATTGACGTATGTTCCTTGTATGCCAATTTTGCTGAGAGTTTTAACCATAAAGAGATGCAGGATTTTGTCCAATCCTTTTACTGCATCTATTGAGATGATCATGTGATTTTTGTTTCTAATTCTGTTTATGTGGTATATCACATTTATTGCCTTGTGTATGTTAAACAACCCATGCATCCCTGGTATGAAACCCACTTGATCATGGTGGATTATCATTTTGAAATGTTGTTGGATTCAGTTAGCTAGTTATTTTGTTAATGATTTTAGCATCTATGCTCATCAAGGATATTTGTCTGTAGTTTTCTTTTTTGGTTATGTCCATTCCTGGTTTTGGTATTAAGGTGATGGTGGCTTTACAGAATGAATTGTGGAAGGTTCCTTTTTTCTCTATCTTGTGGAATAGTGTCAAAAGGATTGGTACCAATACTTATTTGAATGTCTGGTAGAATTCTGCTGTGAATTCATCTGGTCTTGAACTTTTTTTGTTGTTAATTTTTAATTACCATTTCAATCTCACTGTTTTATTGGTCTGTTCAGGGTATCTAATTCTTCTTGATTTAGGGTAGGAGGATTATATTTTTCTAGAAATTTATCCCTCTCTTCTAAGTTTTCTAGTTTATGCACATAAAGGTGTTCATAGTAGCCTTTATGATCTTTTGTATTTGTGTTATCAGTTGTAATATCACCTGTTCATTTCTTTTTTGTTTTATTTTCACTTTTTTAATCCCCCCAAAATTTATTGTTCTAATTTATAATGCCAACAATACTGTATGTCACTTTCACTGAAATCTTGTCAGCACTGGGTATTAGGATTTTTCATTTTCACTAATTTTATAGATACTCAAAATGATACCTCCAGATCAGTTTAATTTGCATTTGATTGTTAGTAAGGATGAACTTTTCTCATTAAAAAAACCTATTTGCATTTCTTTTTTGATGAATTATTGATTCAAATTCCTTACTCATTTTTCAACTGCAATCTTTATTTGTTCTTGTATATTAAAATTCTAGTATATTTGATGGAAATACTTTTCTACTCTGCCATTCTCTTTCAAATATCTTTTCTAAGGGGGAAAAGTAACCCTAAGCATTGACAGGAAAAAAAAAACTATCTCTTTAATTTTCTTTTTTAAATTTATTTGTATAAATTTAAGGGACACAAGGGCAGTTTTGTTACATCAATATATTAATGAGGTTATTAGAATTTTCTCTCTTCTTGGTCTTGCTAATGGAGTATCAATTTTATCTTTTCAAAGAACCAGCTTTTTGTTTCATTTGTCTTTTGTATTTTATGTTTGTTTGCTTCAATTTCATTTAGTTCTGCTCTGATCTTGGTTATTTCTGTTCTTCTGCTGGGTATGGGTATGGGTTTGGGTTTGATTTGTTCTTGTTTCTTTAGTTCCTTGAGGTGTGACTGTAGAATGTCAGTTTGTGCTCTTTTAGTCTTTTTGATGTAGGCGTTTGGGGCTATGAACTTTCCTTCTGGCACCGCCTTTGTTGTATCCCAGAGGTTTTGAATAGGTTGTGTTGTTATTGTCCTTCAGTTTGAATAATTCTTTAATTTCCATCTTGATTTTGTTTTTGACCCAGTGCTTATTCAGGAGCAGGTTGTTTAATATCCATGTATTTGTATGGTTTTGAAGTTTCCTTTTGGGGTTGATTTCCAGTTTTATTCCACTGTGGTCTGAGAGAGCTTGATATTATTTCAATTTTTTTACATTTGTTGAGACTCATTTTATGGCCTTTCATATGGTTTATCATGGAGTTCCAGACACTGTGGAATAGAATGTGTATTCTGTGGTTGCTGGATGAAATATTCTGTATATATCTGTTAAGTCCATTTGTTCCAAAGTATGGTTTAAATCTGTTTGTTCACTTTCTGTCTTGATGACCTGTCTAGGGCTGTCAGTGGAGTATTGAAGTCCCCCACTATTATTCTGTTGTTGCCCATCTGATTTCTTAGGTCTATTAATAATTGTTTTATAAATTTGGAAACTCCAGTATTAGGTGCATATGTTTAGGATTGTGATATTTTTCTGTTGGACAAGATCTTTTACCACTATATAATGTCCCTCTTTGTCTCTTTAACAACAATTGTTTTAAAGTTTGTTTTGTCTAATATAAGAACAGGTACTTCTGCTTTATTTTGGTGTTCACTTGCATGAAATGCCTTTTCCACCCCTTTACTCTAAGTTTATGTGAGTCCTTATGTGTTAGGTGAGTCTCCTGAAGACAGCAGATAGTTGGTTGGTGAATTCTTATTCATTTTGCAGTTCTGTATATTTTAAGTAGAGCATTTAGGCCATTTAAATTCAATGTTAATATTGAGATGTGAGGTACCATTGCATTCATCATATTTGTTGCCTGTGTACTTTGGTTTTTATGTTTTTGCTTTTTAACTTGCATTTTGGTTTTATAGGTCCTGTGTGATTTATGCTTTAAAGAGGTTCTGTTTTGATGTGTTTTCAGGATTTGTTTCAAGATTTGGAGCTCCTTTTAGCAATTCCTGTAGTGAAGGCTTGGTAATGGCAAATTCTCTCAGCATTTGTCTGTAATAGATTGTATCTTTCCTACATATATGATGCTTAGTTTTGCTGGATACAAAATTCTTGGCTGAAAATTGTTTTGTTTGAAGAGACTGAAGATAGGTCCCGGATCCTTTCTAGTTTGTAGGGTTTCTGCTGAGAAATCTGCCATGAATCTGACAGGTTTTCCTTTATAGGTTACCTGGTGCTTCTGTCGCACAGCTCTTAAGAATCTTTCCTTCATCTTAACTCTAGATAACCTGATGACAATGTGCCTAGGTGATGATCTTTTTGCAATGAATTTCCCAGATGTTCTTTGTGCTTTTTGTATTTGGATGTCTCGGTCTCTAGCAAGGCCAGGGAAGTTTTCCTTGATTATTCCCCCAAATATGTTTTTCAAACTTTTAGATTTCTCCTCTTCCTCAGGAACACCGATTATTCTTAGATTAGGTCATTTAACATAATCCCAGACTTCTTGGAGGCTTTGTTCATATTTTCTCATTATTTTTTCTTTATCTTTGTTGGATAGGGGTAATTCGAAGACCTTGTCTTCAAGCTTTGAATTTATTTCTTCAGCTTGTTTAATTCTATTGCTGAGACTTTCCACAGCATTTTGCATTCTATAAGTTTGTCCAATATTTCCTGAATTTTGGATTGTTTTTTCTTTATCTATTTCCTTGAATATTTCTCCCTTCACTTACATTATCATTTGTTGGATTTCCTTGCACTGTGCTTTCCCTTTCTCTGGTGCCTCCCTGATTAGCTTAATAACTAATCTCCTGAATTATTTTTCAGGTAAATCAGGCATTTATTCTTGGTTTAGATCCATTGCTGGTGAACTAGTGTGAATTTTGGAGGGTATCGAAGAGCCTTTTTTTGTCATATCACCAGAGTTGGTTTTCTGGCTCCTTCTCATTTGGGTAGACTCTGTCAGAGAGAAGAGATCTGTGGCTAAAGGCTGTTTTTCAGATTCTTTTGTCCCATAGCGTGTACCTTTGATGTAGCACTCGCCCCCTTTCCCTATGCATGTGGCTTCCTTTGAGCTGAGCTGCAGTGATTCTTGTCTCTCTTCTGGGTCTATCCACCAAGTAAGTCTGCCTGGCTCCAGGCTGGTGTACTGGGGGTTGTCCACACAGAGTACTGTGATGTGAACTGTCTATCAGTCTCTCAGCCATGGATATATCACCACCTGTTCTGGTGGAGGTGGCAGGGGGCTGAAATGAACTCCATGAGGGTTCTTAGCTTTGGTGGTTTAATGCTTTACTTTTGTGCTGGTTGGCCTCCTGCTGGGAGGTGGCTCTTTCTAGAGAGCATCAGCTGTGGTAGTATGGAGAGGAACTGACAGTGGACAGGGCCCTAGAACTCCCAAGATGATACACCCTTTGTCTTCAGCTATCAGGGTAGGTAGGGAAGGACCATCAGGTGGGGTAGGACAAGGCATGTCTGAGCTCAGAATCTCCTTGAGTGGGTCTTGCTGAAGCTGCTGTGGGGGATGGAGGTGGGATTCCCAGGTCAATAGTGGTATGTACCTTGGAGGGTTATGGCTGCCTCTGCTGAGCCATGCAGGTTGTCAAGGAACTGGGGGAAAGCTGGCAGTCACAGGCCTCACCCAGCTCCCATGCAAACTGAAGGGTCGGTCTTACTCCCACCATTTTCTCCCTAAAAGCACGGAGTCTGTTTTCAGGCAGTGGGCAAGCTGGACTTGAGAGCTTGCCCCAGACTACCCATCTCCAAGCTGCAAAAGAAAAGGGCTTGGTTCTTCCCGAGCCTGTGGAGTCTGCACAGTCGATTCATGGCCTCCCCCAAGTTCTGGCCAGGAGTCTTCTCACCCCTTTCAAATTGTTAGAGCTCAGCTGAAGATTTCCTTTTCCCTGTGGTATTTTCCCCCCACTCCTCTGGCCGCCCTCCTGATGGATCCCTGTGGTGCCAGGCAAGAATGGCCTGCTTGGGGATCCAGTGAGCTCCCAGGGCCTTTCTGCTGCTTTTTGTACCCCTGTATTTTGCTCGGCTGTCTAAATTGACTCAGCTCCTGGTAAGGTCAGAAACTTCTCCCTCAAACAGGTCTTCAGTTTCTCCAGTGGGAGTATGTATTTGGAAGAGGAGGATCTCCCTTTCCCACTTCTGCAGTTGGGCCACTTAACAGTATTTGGGGTGTCTCCTGAGTCCTGCAGGAGCAGTCCACTTCCCTCAGATGGTCTGTGAGTCCTCTCAGGATTGCTGGTTTGTTATCGCAGTCGATCTGGTCCCAAATTCACAACGCGAGCCTCCGCACACTGCTCTGTCCATCCGAGTCAGAGCTGCAATCTAGTCCTGCCTCCCATCTGCCATGATGATTCCCTCGCCGGTGGTGATAATATTTATTTAGCAATACAATCCATGCTTTCTTAATTGTTGAAGCTAGCTTTTTGGACCCCAATATATTATTCTCTCTTCTTTTTCATGTGTTTTGATAGTTTTTAGTTAAAATAAAAATGTAAAAGATGTAATTCAAAAGGGAATTAATAATTAGAAAAGATCAGCATAGAGAAGAAATGATTCTCAGTGAAGTTTGAAAAACCTATGAAGGAATATATTCTGGAAATTATTGGAAAGTTGTCATGGACCAAACATTCTAAAAGGTGATGTTAGAGTTTTAAGGTGCTATAAAAACATCTGGGATAAAAGGAAAGAAACTGTAAGAAAGTGTATATTTCAGTTTAATGTAATGTGTATTTATTTTTCATCAAGTATTGAGCACCTCTTATGCACTGGGACATTTTACTCTGGGTAGAGCAGTGTCGGGTGTACTTATGAATCAGGTAACAGAAAATGTATTCCTAAAGAAGTTAGAGCTTGAGCAAATTCCTGAAAAATATATAGCTATTCATAATGCTAATAAATGTGGGTTATATCTAATTAGCAATGATGATATTTAAAACACTTAAGCAAGAGAAGAAGGGATGGGATCAGATTCACATTTTATTTAGTTATCTTTAGATATTGCAGAGAAAGTGTTGGAGAGCTATGGGACTATAAAACAACCAACATTTTAAAATACTATTTCAATTGCCAATGCAAAATACAATGCATCCTTAAACTGCAGCAGGAGAAGATAGAATATAGGGTATGAATACAAAACATGTTGAAGGGCAAGAATCAAAAGGACTGTTACTGAATGAATTAAAATGTAAAGTGATTTATGCTTTTGTTTTGGATGATTGCATAGATGTTATCATTTACCAAGACAGTAACCAAAGAAGAAACAGATTTTTTAAAAGGAAAAATGGGTTAGTTTGGGATGTACTCCTTTTTGAGAAATCTGATACTACCTGAGCAAAAATAATGAAACAAAACTTTGGAAGGAAATTTCCTATAGCCACAATTTATAGAACTTACTGAGAGTGAGTCAACTTTCATTCATGTTTCAGTGTTTGAGTACCCACATGGACCCTAGATGCATTCCTATACAGGTTTCATTACTTAAACCGAGGGAAATACATTTGCCAGTCTCGGTCAGGAGAAGACTCCCAAAAGTTTGGCCTAGCTTTAGTCTGGAATTGTCCCCACATAAAATTTGCTTCTAGTGGTTAAGTTTAGCAAGCACACTCACAACAGGGACTACTGTGACCTCTCTTTCACCCATCCCTTGAGGTTTTAAATATTTTAGTAAGGTTGAAGTCTTTTTTATTTCCTTAAATTGGAGCGAATGGTTACCTTACACAAACCATCTGCACCTGAGATGTGTGGTCTGGCCCCTGTCAATGTTGCATTTGTCCAAAGATCAAAGAAATGAGGTTGGGCCCTAAAGCTACAGGCAGAAGGATAGTGGCAGTGCTCTGATTACCTGTGACACTTGCAGGCTTGGACCACTACAGATCTTGATGTTAACAATTCATGATTGCCAACCCCCACCTAAGTAGTTATGAATTCAGGGACCTTATGGGAGAATAAAACAAAGTATTGCACTAGCTCTGAGTGCTAAAAGAAAATACGACACTTTGTGTTTTCTTCACCTATTCCTCTGACAGTGAATTTAATAATACATTTGGGGCACATCAAATGTCTTCCCCCATTCAGGGGAATATTGAACACACGTTGAGAGTTTAATGCACCTGAAATCCACAGGCAAGGTTGTCTACAAAAGATATGTCAGAAAGGACAAATGGGTTAGAAAGGAAGCACCTACATTAATCAGGAAACCATCCTAAACTACACAGGTTTTTCTCAAATATGAAATATTTATTTTTTTCTCAAATTCACCCATGCTGCCAAAAATATCTCTGAATTTCTATTAAGAATTTTGTATGTTCTAGTTATAAATCTCTAGTAGCTGTGAAATGGCAACATATGTAATGCATGATAAATTGAAAAATGTTCTAATAGTATAACTGAAAGAATCTCTATTACTATACTTTCAAGTCATAAAATGTATTATAAAATGTAAACTGCAGAGACTTCTGCTCTAATTCAAAAAGTTGTATTACAAAGAGTTCTGCTAAAAAATTAATATTTTATCCCCACAATACTATAGTTAATATCCTTTAAACTTGACAAGTTATTTCTAACGCATATCTATCTACCCTCCTGAGTTATGGTAAAAGTAGAAAAGAAAAAGAAGAGAATAGTAGGAGAGTAGAGGATGTAAAACAGGGGGTTTAATTCTGGGGTGTTTTTCTACCCTAAAGAATTGAGACCACAGGAAAATTGGACAGAATTCACCAAGTTATTTTTGCATTTGCTTAAAATTTTACTTAGTAGAGAGTGGGGACATAAAATAGAAAAGTGTTCTCTTTCAATCAGACTTCAGCTTTGGAAGCAGAAACACAAGCAGAATTTTTTTTTTACTGTTACTGTTGTTGGGTGAAATATGTCAAAATTAAAACTTTGACAAAAGTTATGTTAGTGAATGGGAAACCAAGTGGGCATTGCAATGCTTAAGCAGTGCCAAAATATTTTCTGAGATTTTAGATATTGCTTAGGCTTCCTTAGAGGGTCACAATGCACTGAGCAGTAACCGAGAAAATGGTTTAGCAAGCTTGAGACAATTCCTTTTTGTGAAAGGAGCATGTGATACATAATTGAACTTCCATATCCATGAGTTTTGCTCTTTGGATTCAACCAATTGCTGATCAAATTATTTGGGGAAAAAATTGCCTCTGTCCTGAACATGAACAGATACTTTTTCCTTTTTTTAAAAAAAAAATACAAAATAGCACCTATTTACATAGCATTTACAAAATACAATGTATTACAAGCAATCTAGAGGTGATTTAAAGTAAAAGGGAGGATATGCAGAGTTTATATGCAAACACTATGCCATTTTATATCGGGAATCTAGATCACCTGATCATTGATTTTGTTATCTACGGAGGGTCCTGAGACCAATCCCTTATGGGTAGAGTCATAGTGACAGATGACAGTATTAACATAGTTTTAATTCAACAAGCTATCATTATTACAGTTATTTTATGTAATCTAACGGATGCCTCTTAATGTTGTTTATGGGCAAGGTTACGCTGAATTCTTCAAATGTCTAAAGAAAATGAACTTAAAATCTCTCTTGGAATTAGTGCCTGGTACTTAAACAAAATCAGCCCAAACTCTCTGTTGAGAGGGCCATATATGTTGTTTTTCATGATAGTAATAATTGATGCTGATGTTTTACTTAAGGATTAAGTTGGAAGACAGGGGTAGTACACTTCAGTGGCTATAGAGCACGTTTGCACATTTTTTAAAAGCCTCTAACACAACTTTGTGTTTGTGTTTATAAAGCAAAACCTGTGTGTTATCTACTAGCAGGTCCTACAGAAGGCCAAATAGTAACAAATATGTGAAAGCCATAATTTCTGACTTGGTCAACAGATACAGCTCTAAGTCAAGTCCAGTTGTCTGTCATTACTCAAAATATTGCTCAGTTAAATAAAAAATCTGTTTTTTCTAGGCTACCTTTCAGTCTCCTTCACAACTTTCCTCCACCAACTTCTTAATATTGCAGTTCCATGGGATCCTGCTCTTTTCTTTTCTTATGTCATGTTCTTTCCCTGAGAGAAGTCTTTTGTGCTTGTCATTTTATTAGTCACGTAAGCCTAATTCTAAGAAATTTTTTTATTCAAAACTATTTTCCACACTTATATTAAATGCCTACTGTAATCTTCACTTGGATGTGTTTCAAACTCATATATCAAGGAGAATACAGATGTCTTCCTCCATTCCACATGAAATAGATTCTCCCAATCTTGAGTAGAACTACTATCATCTGGCCAGTTTATCCAAATTTGAAACCTGAGTGTCAGTCTAGATTTCATTTGTTCTGTCATACCTAAGAAATATAAATCTCCCCAGCCATCTTACTTGCTACAACTTATTTACTCTACTATAAATAGTATAGCTGTTTATTTTGTAAAACTTATGTAATTTCCATGTGTTTGGTTTTAGGTTTGTTTCTGTCCCTTGTTTTTATCTATGAAGACTTCCTGACTGTGGTCAAATTGTTTGATGTATTTTTCCTTGTTTTATTAACTTGGTGGGCATGCTTATATCAAAACTATTATGGCATTTTTATTATCATTTTAATTGGTTTACATTTCACTCTACTGTGTGAGTCTATAGGTTTCTTTAAGAAAACAACTAGATTGTAATCATCTTTGTAGTCTCGGAACTCAGCACAATTTCTTGACTATAAGAGGGCATTCAGGCTGGGCATGGTGGCTCACACCTGTAATCTCAGTGACCTGGGAAGCTGAAACAGAAAAATGGCCTGAGGCCAGGAGTTTCAGACTAGCTTGGGCAACATAGACCCTGTCTCTAAAAGATTAAAAAAAAAAATTAGCTGGGCATGGTGGTTGCAAGCCTGTAGTCCTAACTACTGGAGAGGCTGAGGCTGGGGAGGATTGCTTGAGCCCAGAAATTTGAGGTTACAGTTAGCTATGATAATACCACTGCACTCTACCTTGGGTGACAAATCAAGATCCTGTCTCGGGGGAGGGAAAAAAAAAAAGAAGAAAAAGCAAGCAAGAAAGACAGAAAGAAAAGAGAAAGGGAGGAGAGGAGAGGAAGCCCTTCAAGACATACTTGGTAAATAAAAATGAATGAGTGAATTAATAGACCCCATTTGTTTATTCATTTACAGCCTATTTTTTATCATATTTCAAAATATTTGACTTCAATGAATGAAGTGACACAAGGTCTTTGTTAGGGACTAAATGTTTGTATCCCTCTAAGTTTTATGGTTTTAAAATGCTTATAAAACCCTAAATGCTAATGTGGCTCTATCGGGAGATGGGGCCTCTAAGGGAGTAATTAAATGTAATCAAAATCCTAAGGCGGCAAAGCCCTGATCTGAGAGGATTCAAATCCACATAAAAAAAACCAGAGAGCTCATTCTCCCCATGCCCCCTCCCCCCACCCACCTGCCCCTTGCACCTTGAAAAGGTGTGAAAGCATAGCAAGAAGGCTATCATTTGTGAGCCAAGAAGAGAACTCTCACTAGAAGCCTCATCAGTAGAAACTTGATCTTGGACCTCTAGCTTCCAAGACTGTGACAAAATTTCTTTTCGTTAAGACACTTAGTCTGTCCTACTTGGGTGTGGAAGCCCAAGCTGCCTAATACAGTCTTCTGTCAGAATTTTTTTCTATCAGGAAATGCCATACAAAATACATTTGTGGTAGTGCTGTGATTATCTACTACACAGCCATTCCCAAATAATTTTTTTCCATGTATGTCTCCCACAATAGAGATTAAAAGTGTCAGCTTTCCCAACCTCTTTCTTAACTAAGAACATGGCCTAGACGTGGCCAGTGAACCACAAAGGAAATCTTCTGGAGCTGCAGGGCAAAGATCTTTACCTGCAGTTTCCAAGCCCATTTTTTTCCTGCTTTGCTACATTGCCCCGTGAACATGTGGTGCTTAGAGAGACATTGCATCAAACAGAATAAGATTAAACAAAAGAATCAGAAAACATTGGGTCCCTGCTGTCATTCTCTAGTTACTGAAGGAACTTTTGGATTACCTGCCTTCTAATGTCCTGAGTCATAATAGTGCTTATGGTTTAATCAATTTTCAGTTGGGTTTTCTATTACTAGCCAAAAAAGCATCCCAAGTGACTCAAATGTTAGATGAATTACTAAAGGTAGCTACTTCTTTATATATCATCTGATTGTTTCTAGTCTTGTATTTGGTAGTTTCAAAACAAGTTAGAATTTAAGTTTAATCTTTTAAACTTGTTGGTGAATTATAACCCACTTATCTTCAAATGCTGGACATTTTTTCATTTAATTCTTTTTTTTTCAGGAGGATGGTCCTTGTGTGCGACTTTTTATATTACTTTGTCCGAAAATTCAGCATGCCAGTGGAAACTAATCAACTTGTCACTGGGTACATGGAAAGATAAATAAAAAATCTGAATACCATGTCTGTATGTGTTTGGTCTCTACTGTGCTGATTTTTTTATCTTTAACTTTTAAGTTCATGGGTGCATGTGCAGGATGTGCAGATTTGTTACATAGATAAACATGTGCCTTGGTAGTTTGCTACACAGATCACCCCATCACCTAGGTATTAAGCCCAGAATTCATTAGCTATTCTTCTTGATCCTCTCCATCCCCCCACCTCCCCAGCTGACCCCAGTGTGTGTTGTTCCCCCCGTGTGTCCATGTGTTCTCATCATTCAGCTCCCAGGTATAAGTGAGAACATGCAGTGTTTGGTTTTCTGTTCCTGCATTAGCTTGCTGAGGATAATGGCTTCCAGCTCCATCCATGTCCCTGCAAAGGACATGATCTCATTCCTTTTTATGGCTGCATAGTATTCCATGGTGTATATGTGCCACATTTTCTTTATGCAGTCTATCATTGATGGGCGTTTAGGTTGATTCCATGTCTTTGCTATTGTGAATAGTGCTGCAATGAACATAAGTGTGCATGTATCTTTATAACAGAATTATTTATATTCCTTTTGGTTATATACCCAGTAATGGAATTGCTAGGTCAAATGGTATTTCTGCCTCTAGATCTTTGAGGAATTGCCATACTGTCTTCCATGATAGTTGAGTTTCTCAATTCCTATTGGTCCTCCAGTTCTTTACCTGGGAGGGAAAAAAGAAATAACAATTGTTTATCAGAATCACAGAAAACTTCTGGAGGATAGAGGGTAAATTCTTCTTCTGCTTCACAGACCTGGCTCAATACCAATGTATGCATCTGTTGACAGATTAATAAGAGAAACCATAAAAGAAGAAAGAAAAATTTATTTAAAAATTCCCTACACTGTTGAAAATTGCTGATCTGGTTCTTTCCATCCCTAGTTAATTGAGAAGTCATAGAAAAGCTAGGAAGACATTGAGATTTTTCTTTTAAATTATTCAGTCCTTATGTAATTTTATTAATTATATTTAGACTAAAGGATAACATGTGTTAGAATGATGGTATAGAACACACATCTGGTTATATATCCAGCTAGCTACATATACACATGTAAACATAAATGGATAGATCATCTGCATGTTTTGAGCATATTTAACATAATATCTATGTTAAGTATATTAGTTTATTTAACCCTCAAAATTGTTATATGCAGTATCATAATTGGCACCTTACAAATTAAAACTGAAATTTAAAGGTGTATTGTCTCCTAAAATCATAAAGCCAGCAAACGATGGAGTCAGGGTTTGATCCCATTCAGCCTGACTTGGCCTACATACTTAATCATTGCATTGTACACACCAAATAATCGGAGAAAGTTTACTTTCTGATATTACTTTCTAGCCCCTTCTCACTAAGGAGGTATCAATCTTTAACCAGTGGATAGGAGATTAGTCTTGGTTTGGCCATATTTGAAAGTAATTATTTAATGTAAACTTAAAAATGAGTTTCAAAGATTTATACAAGTTTTGAGAAGTGAAGAAGCCCGATAGTAGTTCTAATCTTTAGTTTCCAGATTATTTCTTCTTTTTTTTAAGTAATACATTGCTTTCATATTCATTTTAGATTTTAACTATCCAGAATGGAGGTTTTGTTCACTCTAATTTGGAACATGTAAATGAAGTTATTCATTTTGCATGTACTACAATTAAATTATAAATAGATTCTCACATATATAAATAAATGTGATATTTATGTGATATGAGAAAAATTTAAATAAGGTATCTACCAGTTGTAGGCTATTTATTAGATGGCATCCTGGGGAAGCTTTTAGCATTTATATGTCTGTGTAAAAGCTAATATCAATAGAAGAAATAATGATTCTTCCATTATTTAAATGGAGTTTATATCTAAGAGCTATTTTAAGCTGTATTTAAAATTTCAAAAATTAGCTCACATATCCAAAACTTCATTGAATATTTATTGATTTTTGCCTGATCAGCATCCCTTTCTTTCTATTCACTCTTCATAGCACACTGCTTTCCCCTTGCTGGTATTATAAATCAAGATGTCAGCCCCCACCATCAACACCTAGTCATGGTGGCAAGCAATGACACAAACTAGACAAAGCACATTGACATATTTGAATTTTAAGGAAAGCTACCCAATAATAAAAAACTGTTGGAATTATATCATCTTAATGTCTATAAAGCAAAGAGACTGCCAGTTAGTGCCCTCTACATAAATCATATGAGCTTTCCTGGTACTTATCTTTCTTAAATGTATTTCTTTAATTTTATCTTTGATTATGAAAGTTTAAGTTACCCATAGTAAATTTATCTAGAGGAAGTATTCAAAATTACTGATATGAAAACTCAGAATGAAATTCAAACAACAGATCCTCAGTGAAATTTGGGGTATTTATAATGGTTTATGGCATTGAAATGCAAGAAATGACTTTTGAGATTCCCATTAGCATTCCAGAAATGAAAATTAACTGCCCCAAGGTAATCAGCAGTGAAATAACTAATTAAGTATTTCCCTGTGGTCACCTGGAACCATGCGTCCAACAAAAGCACAGCGTTGGGTTACTAACTGCTGTCAGAAAAGCTTAGAGAAGTTGAATAATTCTGCAAGCATGGGTAAGGAGAGTTGTTTCTGACAGTATTAGATATTTTAAAAGCAAAGCAAATGAATGACAAGCTCAAATCTTAAAATTCTTGCCTCAAGGCATGGACTGAAACTCAGGGTCTTTCTGTGACTGTGTTGAAAGAACCTCTTCTGTCTTATAGTTTTAGGGCTAAGATCACTGAAAAAAACAACTTCAGAGATTAATTTTGTACTGTGCTGAATTAAGTCAGTCAAATTTACAACCTTTTTAGCTCTCTCATGTAAAGTTCAGGCACAGCTCTAGAACTAATATAGCCCCAACAATTGGAAGCATTAGAGTGCAATATATGGGAAAATAAGATCAGTTGGAGAACTCTGATCCCTCAAATCCTTGTGATATATCCCCTTATAGAAAGAATCCATCTTCTCTTGCAAGAGACATCAAATAATCTTTGTATGGAGAACGTTGTAGCCAAAATCAGGAATATATACAGATACTGAAATACAGAATTCAAATAGTGAAGCTAATAGTCCCAGAAGGATTTATGGGAATTTGTTAATTTCTATACTTAAAGCCCGGAAATTATTTGTAAGATTGGATTTTGAGAATGCTTAGTCAAGGAGGGGTCTGGGGATTATGATTTTGGATCAGACTGGATTTATCACAGTAGTTACTCTCAGAAGAGTTCTTGCATTCAGTGAGCTAGTTCAAGTAGCCAGCTGCTGATCTGGTTTAGATAAAGCAAATCTGGATCCAATTTGCTAACTGACATTGGAAGACCAAAAATCTCTCTTCATGTTTAGAGGAGGTATTGTCACAAACTTTGAGATGCTGGAAGACTGGATGGAATCTTTTATGTGTATCCATTTACTCACTGTAGTTTTCATTTTGAACACGATAGATTGAAAGATAACCAGATCACATGGAAGGTTAAGATCTGCATACATCTGTGACAAAGAGCCAGTAGACTACTAGAAATAAAATTATTGTCTCTTGAAGAAAAAGAAAACTATACATACTTTACATCCAGAAATATATACTTTGAATCCTTTGTTAGCCCTCTGTAAAGAAACCTGTATCAATATCCATAACAACCTTATACTGGATAAAGAGAAATACCTGAAACTTTCAGAGAACACTGGGTACATAAAGGTCCAGAATATCACTGTGGCCTGCAGGTAAAAGTGGTACTGGCTAATGGGGTTCAGCAGATAGAGAATGCCTGATTCTGACCCCAAACCGATCTGTGTTTCGTTTTGTTCTGTTTTTCTCATTTTCCTGAGAGTAATAATCTAAATACAAATTATCAGGAAATGGCAGAATCCTCCATTGACGATATAGTAAGAATTATTATTGAGGGAATGGTCAGGAGGAAGCCACTGGAGACACCTCTTCCTACAAAAGCAACAACGCATTCTTGGGTTATTTGAAGATATCAGAGCCACCATAAAAGACCTAAAAAGTACATCAGGGTGAATACCTCCAAATCATCTATATACAAATCTTTCATTTGTCTTGAAAAATTTCTAATCTTAGAAAAATTATTGGATTCTAGAAACTTAATAAAGAATGCTCCAACTATATCCACTATCGCTAATGCTGTTGCCTTACTGGGATAAACTAAGACAGCTCCTTGTTATTGGTATTGGCTATTTAATAACTTAATTTTTCCCAGTAAAACCAACAGTATCCTTTTACTCTTTGTATTAGTTTTCTACTGCTACTTTAATAAATTACCACAAATGTGGTGGTTTAAAACAAAAAAAAGTATTAAAGTCCCGGATGTCAAGTCTAAAATGGATAAGCAAGGCTACATTCTTTCTGAAGAAAATCATTTCCTTTGTCTTTACCACATTCTAAAGGCTGTCTGAATTCCTTAGCTAGTGGCAACGTATCATTCCAACCTCTGCTTCCCTCATCATATCTTCAGTCTGACTCTGAAATTCCTGGTATCCTCTTATAAGCACCCTAGTGATGACCTTCTGGGCACTGGGTTAATATAGGGTAATCTCTCCATCTCAAAATCCTGAACTTAATCATCTCTGCAAAGACTTTTTTGTATGTAAAAAATGTATTTCCAGGTTATAGGGATTACAGTGTGGATGTATTTTGGAGCTGTCAGCCTCTCACGCTCCTGTATCCTTGCTCTGTATCACAATTTCATTCCTAGTGTGGCCTTACTCTTACAGTGACCATCATATAACAATGAGAATATTATGATGTTAATCCTAGAGGAGTATTTTATGTTACATATAGATGTGTACAAACAAGAGTATTATAGGGTGGGAGACAACCCAGCAAAACAGAAGGTCTTATAAGTATTTTATTTCAGGAAAATTTCTGGAGTTTGAATGTTCGGTAGGCTGATCAAGATATGACCTCTGTAGTAAGTGAAATGCTATAATCCCAGCACTTTGGGAGGCCCAGGTGGGCAGATCATGAGGTCAAGAGATCGAGACCATCCTGGCCAACATGGTGAAACCCCATCTCTACTAAAAATAAAAAATTAGGTGGGCATGGTGGCACGTGCCTGTAGTCCCAGCTACTCAGGAGGCTGAGGCAGGAGAATCGCTTGAACCCAGCAGGCAGAGGTTGCAGTGAGCAGAGATAGTGCCACTGCACTCCAGCCTGGCAACAGAGACTCCATCTCAAATTAAAAAGCCTAATATTTGGAAAGCTACTTAGGGTTTTAAATACAACAAGATGTCCTGCTATAACCCATTTATCTGGTGCAATAAAAAACTGTGAAAATTGTGGGTCACACAGTTAGACAAAGCAATATCAGGTTACATTGCTGATGGTTTTTCAACTAGTCTGAAGACACGACGGAGGCAGTGATTCTCAAAGTGTCTATGGCCAACTGGAGATAGTCTTTGAGAAGCGTTGCTCTCACAGTTGGAGAGTAGGATCCCACGTTGAGAAAGAAAAGCCATCCTTTTCGTAGTTAACCTCAGAGAAATATCTCTTGATGTGCTACTAGACTCTTATAAAAGTTTAACAAATGATGGTGTGATACCAGACACTGTTATCAACACCTTTTGGTCTGGGTACTGTTATGGAGGATATGCTGTATTTTCTAAACCATTTATCTGTATGGTGCTGTTTCTCTTAAAGCCAGATTATATAAGACCAGGAGCCAAGAAATGGATATGGGAACGTGGGAATGGTGACTGTAAAGTACATTCCTTGTTCTTCTCTAAAGTAAATCCCATCTTTGCCACTCTAGAGTCGGCTTCCAATAGAGCAAACAAACATGGTTACATTACATTGGAAGTTGATAATGCTATGGGGCCATTTTAGGCATTTCATGGTACCAGATCCATAGACAAAAAATAATTTGAATTGCTGGTAAATAGCTTTTCTGTTAGACAAAGAAAGTAAAGAAAAATGTAAGATTGGGGGTATGCTATTTTAAACTAACATAGCAGTTGTAAATTTTAAAAGATTGTAAATTCTAAAGTGTTATTTAGGCTGGATTATTTCAAGTTTTTTCAAATAGTTTTAGGCAAAGTATTTCAAACAGCTAAGTTATTAGACACGAGGAAGAGGAAAGTAAGGGCAGGAATACTGTAAATACAAGTTATAGATTTGTACAATTGTGGAAGTATTATGGTGTTTCCTTATCAGGTTCTACTAAAATTAGTGTATATTTCCTCTTTATACTGCTAATAAAGGAAACACTGATTGTAGACACATGTTGCTGTAAGATATCTATAAAGAACCCTCTCCCCACCCACTCCCCAACAGACCCCAGTGTGTGATGTTCCTCTCTCTGTGTCCATGTGTTCTCATTCTTCAGCTCCTACTTATAAGTGAGAGTATGTGGTGTTTGGTTTTCTGTTCCTGTGTTAGTTTGCTGAGGATAATGGCTTCCAGCTCCACCCATGTCCCTGCAAAGGACATGATCTCGTTCCTTTTTATGTCTGCATGGTATTCCATGATGATTATGTACACAGTTTCTTTATCCAGTCTGTCATTGATGGGCATTTGGGTTGATTCCATGTCGTGGCTATTGTGAATAGTGCTGCGATGAACATTCACGTGCATGTATGCTTGTAATAGAATGATGTATATTCCTTTGGCTATATACCCAGTAATGGGATTGCTGGGTCAAATGGTATTTCTGGTCCTGGATCTTTAAGGAATCGCCATACAATCTTCCACATAATACCTAGATGATGTGTTGACAGATGCAGCAAACCACCATGGCACGTGTTGACCTATGTAACAAATCTGCACATCCTGCACATGTACCCCAGAACTTAAAAATATTATTTTTTTAAAAAAGAACAAAAAGAATTCACATCATTTACAGATCGTGAAGCTTCTGCAGAAACTTGGAGTTTGGGTTGACGGACTTTTGGGGAGGGAAGGAGGATATATATATATATACATATATATATATATATATATATATATGAAATATATATTTGTCATATATGACATGATAGTACAATAGTATATAGTAATATGAAATATATACACATATGTATATATAAAATAGAAAGGATGCTAAGTAAGTTGTTAAAATAAAACAAAATGATTTTGTGTTTATGTTGAGAAGCCAAGGAATGCAGTGGGTGAATAAGTGTTGTTTTTCCAAGTATATTTTTATTTCCAACCTTTTTTGGTAATAATGTCTTTTGGAAAACTACCCTGCCCAGACTCATGTGGGCTGCCCCTGTTTCTACCTGGTCAAATTGTGAGTCTATGACCCAAGCTAATTCAACTGGGCACTTTCTCCCATGAAAGTTAAACTTTACAAGAAAGACACAACAATATAACTTATTTGAAACTGGGATATTCTAATGAAAACATATTGAAGAAAATGTACATTACTTCCTTCTACACAAGTTTTCAGCCTGCCCTTTCTTAGATCTTATGATTCTCTTTAGTTTTTTTTTTTTTAGCTACCCAGTTGCCTTCAAATTTATTTTATAAATAAGTTAATCAGAAATATTTTTATGTTCTTTATCAAAAAAGCTCTAGCTTATATTTGTATTATATCTCCAAAACTATAAAATAATTTATTCATAAAATTATAAATCATCTCAATTTAAATGAGTATAAGTTTTTTACACTTGAATAAAAAAATTCTAAATGTACTGAACTTCATTTTCAGTCATTCTCTCTTCCTTCCTTACTCATTAAACATAATATGGAACCAAGTATTTTTAATACCCCATGTAGTTTCTCCTGCTTTTCTTGACTTCCTGGCAGATGGCTATTCATCATTCAAGACAAAACTGCTTTCTCTGCTTTTGAAGCAGAATTAATTCTTCCCTTCATTTTATTCTTATGGTAGAATACGTATAGCAGATGTTATTAGTATTACATGTTTGTGCACTTGTCTTTCTCACCAGACTCAGTTCTATAAGGGCTTTACAACCACATTTTCATCTCTAATTTCTAACATACGCTTCACACAGAGTTAATAGTCAATAAATGATTATGTAACTGAATATTGAGAATTGGCTAATTTCTTATCAAAATAGGAAAGCCAGAATTATTTCAAAAATATGTCATTGTAAAGAGGTTCATACAAATTGCAAAGAAGAAAAGAATACCCAGAAGAAACAGGCTGATTTAACCTCTTTACTGATGTTATCCATCCCATAGAAAGAAAGAAAAATGCAGGAAGAGAAATTTGCTTATGTAATTTATTCATAGCAGATAAGAAAAAAAGCCAAAGATATTACATTATATCAGCAATTGCAATATTTCAAAGCAAGTTGGCATAGTTTAATCATTTTTTCTTGTTTACTACCCGAGGGGTAACATTGATCCAGGAACAAGAAAGCAACATAGAAACAAAATTTTCTTTGTTGCTCTTCGGTTTGCTTTTTTGCAAAATACCAAAATTTTTCAACTGGTAAAGTCTACGTATGCAGAGGTCAATCAACCCAGAAGAATTGAAGAAAGATATAAACATTCACATCACTGACCTTGTGACAAGGCCAAGAAGCTTACATTAGAGCAGTGCTCTCCACGTGGAGTCAGTGCATTCTAGAGACTATGAGAACGTCCACTGAAATGAGGACAGAATATACAATATCAATATCTCTCCCTATATATGTATTTTTAAAAGTTAAAGTTCGTGTATAATTAATAGAAGACTTCACACTGAAAACCCCCATAGTTATTATGTCAGATGATCCTGTGTCAAATATGTCACTTGATGAGAGGAATTCTGATTAAAGAAGAAAGATCTACCACTCAAGAGTTTCAGAGGCTCATACTCACTAATAAGTTTTTTAGTGTTATTGGGATATCACAACTTATAAATCTCAAATTAAAGGTATTTCTAGACAATCTTATCTAGTTTTAGCTACATTTACCCTCCAAATAATGGCTTTCTTTTACTTTTCTTTTTTTTTTTTTTTTTCTGAGACGAAGTTTCACTCTTGTTGCCCAGGCTGGAGTGCAATGGCTCGATCTTGGCTCACTGCAACCTCTGCCTCCTGGGTTAAAGCGATTCTCCTGCCTCAGCCACTCAAGTAGCTGAGATTACAGGCACCCGCCACCACCCCTGGCTAATTGTTTGTATTTAGTAGAGATGGGGTTTCATCATGTTAGTCAGGCTGGTCTCAAACTCCTGACCTCAGGTGATACACCTTCCTCTGCCCCCTAAAGTGCTGGGGTTATAGGTGTGCGCCACCACTCCTGGCCAGAATAATGGCTTTAAATGATTCCTTTAAAGGCATACGGATTGAAAAATAAAATATAAAAGCAAGTAAATAAAAATACAAAAGCATAATTGAAAGTTTTCTTCCTACTCTCTGCTATGTTATTAGTAATGTTATTAAGTATAGGTTTGTTGATTAATGATCTATTCATGTATGAGCAAAGGTTGGGTAAAAAACAATCAGGAAAAATTAGTAGAGCAGTACACACACACTTCTAGAGAGAGAGAGAGAGAGAGAGAGGCACTGAGTGGAAGGGACTCAGTTGACTAACTCGGTAGAGAAAATAGAGTAACCAGCTACGTACAAAAAAATACAGCCCATGGATGGGTAAAGGATGAAGTATCATAAGAGAGCACATGGAAAATAGACTTAATGTAGTCTTGAGATCAGCAAAAAAATCTGAATCAAGAGCAGGACCAAAGCAATTATCTTTGTTTAGTGGAGCAAAGACTTTGGAATAAGATTTGTATTGGAAAATGATTGTTGCTCCCTTTAAGGTATACCAAAAAGCCAAAAATGGAGAAAAGTTGAAAAGAATAATATCCAAGATTTGGCCTGGGATGTTTTCTTATTTATTCATAGCTAGTGTACATTTAACAGCAGCTTAGTGAGACGAAGTTAGTGGAACATGATCAGAATCAAACTAATGCATTATCCTTGTTCATATTTTAAGATTGCTTTATTTGTATGTATAAACAATATGATTGGATCAATTTCAGATACTATATTAAATTTTGAGATCCAATTAAAAGAGCCCTATTTTGAAAAAGAGTAATCATTTCCTTTGTATATAGAAGAATGACTGCAACTCCACAAGCTGTAGGAAATGACATTTTATGTGGTACTCAAGGAAAGAGCCCATCTTTTCTCATCGCTTATTTTGAGCAGAAATTTCAGTAGTAAGTAAAATTAAATAATTATATTATTTAGTTGTTTATAGAATAAGGATATGTTTTTAGAAGTATTAAACTCATATGGAATAAGCCTGGTGGAATTTATATTTTTTCAAGTTTAAATGACATTGCTTTTCTTATTTTAATATATCTAAAATTGGCCTACATCTTACTATGTGATTACATGTTATAGTTACTCTTGGTCTGGTCATGGACATGATGTACTTATTCCTTGTATGTGCACAAACTTGGTTATTGATCCTGGTTATCTGAGCAGAAAAATAGAATTCTTCCATATTTCAGTAAAACACACACACACACGCCCACACACACAACTCAGAAACCTATAGGAGCTTTGTTTGTTGTCTGATTACCTTCTGTTGACATCTCTTAGTGAGAAGAAAGAAACAGCACCAATATACCAAAAAAAAAAAAAAAAAGACAGCAATGTAAACACAAACACAATAGTAAGCATTGTTTTAAGAATGCTGCATTACCAACTATCTTTATGTCCTAGAGAACAATAATGTGCAGCAATTATAGAAATTTCTTACTTCAAGTCAAACTATGTTTCAGAAAACTTGAATTAGGAAGAAAGTTTAGGAATCATTTGACTACTTAATTTTTCTTACATTTCCTTTTTATATATGTTCAAGAGTGGTATACAACAAATATATTTGCCAAAATATGTACAAAAACAGACACTTCTCAAAGAAAAACATACAAGCAGCCAACAAATATATTTAAAAAAATGCTCAAGACCACTAATTATGAGAGAAATGCAACTCAATGAGATACCATCTCACAACAGTCAGAATGACTTTTTTTAAAAAGTCAAAGAATAACGTGTTGCTGGGGATGTGGAAAAAAGGAAACACTTATAGGCTGTTGGTGGGAATATAAATTAGCTCAGCCACTGTGGAGAGTAGTTTGGAGATTTCTCAAAGAAGTAAGATTTGAACTAGCATTTAATCCAGCAATCACATTACTGGGTATATAACTAAAGAAAAATTGTTCTACCAGAAGAAACATGCACCCATATGTTCATTACAGCACTATTCACAATAGCAAAGACAGGGAATCAACCCAGTTTGCCCATCAGTGGTGGATTGGATAAAGAAAATGTGATATGTATACACTGCAGAATACTATGCAGCCATGACAAAGAACAAAATCATGTCCTTTGCAGCAACATGGATGCAGCTGGAAACCATTATCCTGATCAAACTAAAGCACAAACAGAAAACCAAATTTTTTGTGTAAGTACTTAGTGGGAGCTAGGCTGAGCATGGTGGCTCACACCTGTAATCCTAGCACTTTGGGAGGCCTAAGTAGGCGGATCTCTTGAGCTCAGGAGTTCAAGACCAGCCTGGGCAACATGGTGAAACCCTGTCTCTAAAAATATATATAAAAAATTAGCAAGGCGTGGTGGCACCTGCCTGTAGTCCCAGCTACTCAGGAGGCTGAGGTGGGAGGATCGCTTCAGCCTGGGAAGTCAAGGCTGCAGTGAGCTACGATTGCATCACTGTACTCCAGTATGGGCAACAGAGCAAGACCCTGTCTCAAAAAAAAAGTAGGAGCTAAACATTGAATGCTCGTGGATATAAAGTTGGGAGCAGTAGACACTGGACAGGCAAGGGAGAAGGGGGACCACACATTGAAAAACTACCTATTAGTTATGGTGCTTACTCCCTGGGTGACAGGTTTAATTATACTCCAAAACTTAGCATCACACAATATTACCTTTGTAACTAACCTGCAAGCACGTATACCCTGGTATCTAAAATAAACCTTGAAAATAAAAGAAGGATGCAAAAATAAAAGGCTTTTTAATAATAATAAAGTAACATTTTCAATTGATTAGAAAGTGCTTAGTAAAATTGGTAGTGGTAACTTAAAATTGATAGTATTTTAATTGAGAAGCTATACAAAATTTCTACTTCTTCCCATCAGATATGATGTGAAGATATCTCTTGGGAATACATCAGCACTTTTCTATTCAGTAATACCTTGTTGACATCTAGAAAATCTTTCTTGAATTCTTATTCACACTGTATTACTAAACAAGCTTTTACATTTCCATCTTCTTAGATGCTGGACTCCTGGACTGACTCCTTCATATTCCTTCTTTCTATTGTAGTTTCCTCTCTGTGTTTTTATGGCAGGAGCTTTGAAAAATAAATGCGAAGGTGTTGTAGAAACATGACTGGGCAAATACATCAGAAAAGTGGAATTGCAATGGAAAGAAGACTTGTACACATTTAGGTTATAAATTATAAATATAAGCTCTTAAAAAAATAAATTCCTTAGAAAATATACCTTGTCTACTTTTTAAAGTGAAAGCAGAGAGCTGCTAAAAATTTATATGAAAAGCATGCAGCAACATCGGCAATGATTTCTACATATCATAATATCCTCCAACATACATTTTATTAGAGGTTTATATTTTAAATTTTATCTAATCTCCCTTGAGTCTATATAAAAGCCCATACCATCTAACATTAAGAATGCACTAAGATTTATTGTATCTTATCAAAATTTCCATTTCAATATGCCTCATGCTAATATAATTATAAAGTTGGAAAGAATGCATGTTCAATGTACCCAAAACCATTTTACAACGTCAATTGCAATAGAACCATGTGCAGAATATTTCATGCTTCTATTTTCTTAAGAATAACACCTTTAGTAACTTTCATATGTCATTTAGTTAACAAGACAAACAAAGTTGAGGATTTCAAGCCCAATAACAGAAGTGAATGATTTTGATTGACTGGTACATTATAACTCTTATTACATACTGTAGGCCTAGGATATTATAATAATTAGCTTGTCAAGTCAATTGTTATTCTTCATTAACAGTGAATATAAGGGAGCAATTAATCTTACAACTTTAGCTTCATTAGGACATTCTGTTTTCGTAGTTGGTTACAGTTCAGTGTCTCAATCTAAAGAATGTATCATTTTCTAATAGAAGGTTTCACCTTCATTATTTTGATTATGAATTCAAACTGCAAATGTAAGCTTATGTAATAACTTGGTGAAAGTTCTGAGTTATTTATAATTTGCCTTTTGAAATTCATTATAGATATGACATCTTTTTTTCCTCTTTTTCTTCACCTTAGCATTATGAGACTGTGGACTCACAATGTCACACTCCTTGAAAGTGATTCTACCCTATGTGAATCATGTTTCTGAAAATGCTGACTCCCACATAAATAGACAAGGCTCAAGGACTTTTCTACAAGCCCAAGAAACATTAAAAATAAGTGAAATCAGAGTTGAGTTTTTCTTACATAGTAAAGGTTAGATGAGTGACAATAAAAAATTGCTTATTGGTAATCAGTTTCCAGCTTACATTGTGGATTGACTATCTGCTTATGGTGTCTGAAAACTTGGAGGTGAAACATGTGGCACAGATCCCAGAAATGATATTGGTTCTGCTCTCTGCCTTCTAATGAAATAAAGAGAAAAACTAATATTTAAAAATCAGTTCCTGCCTTAATTCACTGACAAATAATCCCCTCAGTTGGAAAATTAAAGAAAGAAAAAAGTCTATGTGTCCAGTAGATATTAGAAGAAAACATTGAACCATAGATGAATGAGCCCTGAAACATGGGCCATTTTGTCAATTCCTCCACCCTTACTCAACCTTGACTTACAAAATTCCATAGAGAAAATGTTATGCTCTCCTTTGAGAATATATAAAAACTTCCATCATCAACAAAGTGTTCCTCATAATACCCTGAAGATATTACTGCTGCTGTTTTTGTGAGCCAACATGGTGAAACAGGAAAGAGCATTTACGTAGATTAAACAGATCTATGTTTGAGTCATGTTCCCCACTTCTCCCTGAGTTGGTTGACCATGGACGAAACACAGATACTATCAGCTTCATTTACCAAGTGCTTTATCTCACTTGAACAGCCATAACCAAATACTAGAGAATGTGTGACTTAAATAAGAGAAATTTATTTTCTCACACTTAGGGAGGTGAGAAGTTCAAAATCAAAGTATCAGAAAGTTTGGTTTCTTCTGAAGCCTCGCTCCTTGGCTTGCTGATAGCTGCCTGTTTGCTGTGTCTTCTCTTGGTTTTTTTTCTATTAGTATATATACTGGAGGCTCTATGGGTTCAAATGTCCTCTTTTTATACAGCCAGTCACATTGAGACAAGAGTAGTACTGGGTGGTTGGTTGCAGGCGGGTAGAAAAACCTAAACAGCTAAAACAAAAACTAAGCAAAGAAACTACAAGATGAGAAAATCCAAAATAAGACAGATAAGATGGCCCAACCCCTGGTCACAGTGACATGTCTCTGTCTCTTCCAGGCAAACTCAAGTAAGAGAGAAAGGGATCAGTAACTTGGGGTTTCTAAAATCTCCTCCTTTTCTGGAATACCTAGTGATTATTCCACTCCATAATTAAAGAAATATCCAAAAAATAGGAATACTGAATGGTCACAGGAGAAGTGGGAAAATATCAAACAGCCATTTCACATAGCAAGAAAGGAGCTGTTAAAATTAGCTATAAAAACAAGGATAAGCCTGGGCTGATAAGACCCTAACCAACAGGATCTGGGCTAAGCTGGTTTAAAACCATCTAGGTCCAACATAGTGTTGGATTGGACTCATTCCCTGCCCCAGACCTAATTATATGCTCATTTTCATACTAAATCACACACCAACCAGTGCCATGACAGATCTGAGCATGTCCATATTTAATATAAAAATGGGTGGCACCTCAATTTTAAGAAAGCTCTACCTTTTATCCTAGAAAACCTCATGATTATTCTACCTCCTAATTAAAAGAGCCCATAAAACTAGAAAACCAAACTCTATTTGCAGCTCACTCTCCTGAGTATGCCCACGCTCCTGCTCTTGAGTGTGTACTTTGGCTTTGCAATAAAAGTTTCTTGCCATTTGCTTTATTCTGACTTGTCCCTCAGTTCTTTCTTGCAATGGTGTTAAGAACTTGGAACAGCAGCTGGTGCTGGGGTCTCATCAGTATCTAGAGCCCCACCTAAGCCCTCAGGCCATAATATTAAATTAGTGCCCACTCTACTTGCTTCATTTTAATTTAATCACCCCTTTAAGGGCCCTATCTCCAAATACAGTATATTTATCAGATCTAGGAATCATTTGGAGGAGTCATTAGGGTTTTCTAAAATTATATCATCACAAGCCCTCCTTCTTTCTGTAACCTCAAGGTGGTATATAAGCTTCTGTTACTCATTAGAAAGTTGGATCTTCCTTCTGAAGGCTCACGTGTATACATATTACATAAATTTGTATGCCTTTTCTTCTGTCAATCAACCTGCCTTATGTCAGTAAATTTTCAGTAAACTCTTAGGGTGCCAATAGCCTATGGCCTCCACAGGACTCAACAGAAAAAAAACTGGGAGCATTTAGGCCATCAGAAGATGAAAATAATTCTAAATATTTTATTGTTTGGCAAGAGGAAGACATACTAGTCCTTCAAAGAAGTTCATTAAGGGATAAAGAGCAAAAGCACCAGAGGGGAGGAGATAACAGTTGACTGAACATCACGGGAACACCAAAAACAGAATGTTAGACATGTAGCTTGCCAGAAATGCAACTGTCCCTTGATATCCTCAGGGAAATGGTTCCTGGACCTCTTGTGGACCAAAATCCGCTGATACTGAAGTTCCTGATATAAAATAGAGTAGTATTTGTATACAACCTATACACATCCTCTTATATACTTTAAATAATCACTAAATTACTTATGCATCTAGGATAAGTAAAATATCTAGAATACCTAATGCAATGTAAATACCTCATAAATAGTTGTTATACTATATATTTTAAAAAGTTGTTTATTGAATATTTTTGATCCAGGGTTGGTTAAATCTGCAGATACAGAACATGTAGATATAAGGGACCAAATGTATTTATCCACAGGAATTGGACCAATCTGGGATTCAGAAACAACTCCAGGAACTTCAAAAGCCTAGTTCAGAAGAAATTGCCAAGATAAGATCACGACCATAAGGAATGAATAGTTGAAATGGGTTAAATAAATTCATCAGTGAGTAAATAAATCAGCCACTCACCTCTGTGCTAACCTTGTAGATGCATTGATTTATTAACTGTCAGTATAATTTTAAGTGTGGAGTTTAATTTTTACTTTTAGAGATTTAAGCTTTGTGAAGACAGGGCCCATGACTACCGTGCTCACTATTTATATTTATAGAACGAAACAAAATGCCTGACACATGATGGGCAGTAAATAACTGTTCATTGATTAGTTGACAGGCTATTCATTCAATCTGTGGTTGAATGATAATGCTAGGAATTAAACCAAAACTGTAAATGAAGTCAAGACATTAGACCAAGAAAATAAGATAAATAAAAATAACATAATTATAAGTGTATGAGAAATAAAAATGAAAACAACTACATGATTAAGAAGACATTTATGGAGCCAACAAACATGGGAAAAAAAAAGCTCATCATCACTGGTCATTAGAGAAATGAAAATCAAAACCACAATGAGATACCATCTCACGCCAGTTAGAATGGTGATCGTTAAAAAGTCAGGAAACAACAGATGCTGGAGAGGATGTGGAGAAATAGGAACACTTTTTTTTTTTTTTTTTTTTGAGACGGAGTATTGCTCTGTTGCCCAGTCTGGAGTGCAGTGGCGCAATCTCCGCTCACTGAAAGCTCCGCCTCCCGGGTTCAGGCCATTCTCCTGCCTCAACCTCTCCTGAGTAGCTGGGGCTACAGGCACCTGCCACAACACATGGCTAATTTTTTTTTTTTTTTTGGTTTTTTTTTTAGTAGAGACGGGGTTTCACAGGAACACTTTTGCTCTGCTGGTGGGAGTATAAATTAGTTCAACCACTGTGGAAGACAATGTAGTGATTCCTTAAGGATCTAGAACCAGAAATACCATTTGACCCAGCAATCCCATTACTGGGTATATACTCAAAGGATTATAAATCATTCTACTATAAAGACACATGCACATGTATGTTTATTGTAGCACAATTTACAATAGCAAAGTCTTGGAACCAACCTGAATGCCCATCAATGATAGACTGGATAAAGAAAATGTGGCACATATACACCATGGAATACTATGCAGCCATAAAAAAGAATGAGTTCATGTTCTTTGCAAGGACACAGATGAAGCCAGAAGCCATCATTCTCAGCAAACTAACACAGGAACAGAAAACCAAACACTGCGTGTTCTCACTCATAAGTGGGAGTTGAACAATGAGAACACACGGACACAGGGAGGGGAACATTACACAATTGGGGCCTGTTGGGGTGCGGGGGGCAAGGGCAGGGAGAGCATTAGGACAAATACCTAATGCATGTGGGGCTAAAAACCTGCATGACAGGTTGATAGGTGGAGCAAACCGCATGGTACATATATACCCATGCAGCAAACCTGCATGTTCTGCACATGTATACCAGAACTTAAAAAAAAGAAAGAATGCTGCATCCCAAGTGGTCAATGTCATCATCATTCATACAGATGTTTTCTGGCTTTCACAGTATTGTTCATGGTGAATATTTTTGATATCTTAGTTTTTTATTCTTCCTTTATCAAGCATATGCATGCAGACATCCATATTATCATGAATTTTTGTCAACATTTCTAGCAGTTTTTGGAAATGATGTCTATGTTTTAGGACATCTTATAAATTTGAGTTGTGCAACCCTAAGGGAGAAGTTGGATAACTTACTCTTTTGGCTTTTTTATAGCTAATAGAGTGTAGGCATGGAAATTATGTTCTGCCAATCAAGTGCACCTATCTGAGACTTTACTTGGGAAAGGAGGAACAAAAGTGGGTGAGGATGAAGGTGGAGGTATGCAGTCTACAGGCACAACACAGTGAGGGTCATGGGTGGGGACAAGCACCAATGATGCCTGTTGCATGTCTGAGTCTTTGCTGGTGCATTTCTATGATATAGTTGGGAGACTTTTGGCTGCATAGCCTCTAAGCCTGAATCTCTAGCAGTCATAAATATGCTTTCAACTACATGTATTAGCTACAATGGTTTCTATTGTTAGCAACTATTATGAGTGAGACAGTGTCTCTCAAAGGTATATCCATTAACTTTATCACAGATTCAGCTAAAACCCATAAGTTAATAACCACCAATTTTTTTTCTCTATTTGAAAAAAAAGACATTTGAGTTTCAGACTATATTTTCACTTGTTTATTGGACATCTCCACTAGGATATATACCACAAATACTCAAATTAAATACATTTAAAACTCACTACCTCACATCCAGAGTCAGATGTATATTACCAGTCAGACTAAGCAAGTATCTATTCTATTGAGGTTTTATTCACCATTTCCAGACATGATTGAGTTTGGTCTGAATTTCATTTTATCTTTTGTATCTGCTCCATCTAACAGAAATGTGGGTAATGATGAAAATGTTCTAAGTCTTTGCTGTCCAAAATGGTAGCCACTAGACTTCTGTGGCTATTGATACTTGAAATGTAGTTGTTGCAACTGAGAAAATGAGTTTAAGTTTAAACAGCTGTACTTGGCTAGTAGCTGCCTATTGAACAATGCGGTTCTACATCATATTCTTCACCTTTGGTTTAATTTTTGGATGTATCAAATAATATTTTATACAAATTCTACTTCCACAAATTTTTACAATAGAAATGAAGCTGAATGTGTACTACATTCTGTAAGCCAGAATTTTTATACTGATAATTCTTTGGGTATTATCCATTAACCAGTTATACAGCCACCCTAAGTGTAGTGTCTATAAAGTGATTATCTGGACTATTGATGTGTCCCAAGTAAAAATGAATTAATAAACTCTCTGAAGTCAAGAGCTATGACATATGCATTAGCAGAGTTGATCATCAGAACCTGCCAAGTATATAAACTTTGTATCAACTGATAGAACAGATGTTTACCTTGCTTCTGGATAAATCTGTATAGTCCCTGTCTAAAATATATTTGCTAGTACATTCCAAAGCTGGAACTTATCCATTTTTTAACATAGTTTGAGTAGCAGCGTTTCTTAGTTCAGGCATTGGGGGGCAAATTACAGATTGTGCTTACTTGGAACACCTGGATCAGCTATTTTTAATTAATTGCACTATTGAAAACAGTTGGAAATTTAGCTAAACAAGCAATTTGATGAGTTTTTTTTCTCAAAATTGACCAAATTTACATGTGTTTTATTATTCTATAGACAGGAGGTTGGCAAAATTTTTCTCTAAAGGGTCAGAATGAAAATATTTTATCCTTTGTGGGCCAAAAGGCAAGATTGACAACATTAAGCACCTGTATAGTCATTCAGAGATGTAAGAGCCATTTTCAGCTTGTAGAGCATATGAAAACAAGGAGGATAGATATTGCCCACAGACTATGGTTTCTCAACCCCTCTATTGTCTCTGAATTAATAGTAACACATGATTTTGACTTAATGTATATGACCCAATACGTAGTCATTATCCTTAAAAGTTTTAGCAATTATTTATCTCTGATTTTACATTTATAATTCTGGATGAACTTGGTAGATTTTAAATGCCCTGATAAAAGTTCAGGTTCATCAGGCATAGTTATATGAAATGTGTATCATGTGCTCAGTGCTGCAAGTGTTTTAAACATCACAACATACATTAATTTTTTCTAAATGTTTATAGGAAATGAGATGTCAGTTTGAAATTTCAAACGACAGTAAAAGTCTCTAATGTTTTTTTAAAAATTAATATTCATATTCAAGAAAGTGACCCATGCATATTATTTGGAAAACTGAAGTAAGATTATAATAAAATATAGGGCCCACTTTCGTTCCATCCTATCCCTGATTTTTACATTTAAAGGCAAATATTTTCAGTTTTAAAAAAATGTTACCTGAGAAATTTTCTTGCTTTTAGTCACTTCAATACAAGATCTTTTTATTTCTTAATACAGGAAGTGAGAATTTAGCCTTCATCATTCCCCACCCCCCACCAAGCACTTGAAAATACATATGTTTTTGTTTCTTCATTCTGTATGTAAGAAAAAATACGGTTGAATTAACACAGTCTGTTTAACAGCCCAGCTTTTCTCCATGTCTTTTTTTTTTTTTTTTTTTTTTTTTGAGACGGAGTCTCACTCTGTCGCCAGGCTGGAGGGCAGTGGCGTGATCTAAGCTCACTGCAATCTCTCCGTCTCCCAAGTTGAAGTGATTCCCCTGCCTCAGCCTCCCGAGTAGCTGGGACTACAGGCAAACATCACCACACCCAGCTAATTTTTGTATTTTAGTAGAAATGGGGTTTCGCCATGTTGGCCAGGATGGTCTCGATCTACTGACCTTGTGATCCCCCCACTTCAGCCTCCCAAAGTGCTGGGATTACAGGCATGAGCCACCACGCCTGGCCCTCCATGTCTTTTAATATGTCTCCTATCATATGCCATGGTGTCATTCATGCTCCCTGTATATTCAACATTCTGCAACATTTTCCCTTGATCTATGCCCATTGATGGATTTAAATATGTTGTAACCAACTCAAATTCAGCTGCTTGCCACTGAGAGGACAGAACCTGAGAAACAAGGTGTGATGAAAAAGAAGCAACTTTATTCAAGTGCTACTACTTGGGAAATGGCAAGGCTCATGCTTCTGAAAGACAATTTCATATTTGGAGCTGAGTAAGTGGCTGAAGAAGGGAAACTTGGTATATGAGAAATATGAGGGAGTAGTGCAGAGTACAGGGTCTATGTGTCTTGTGTGTCTTGTTCCAATGGCTACATTGAGTTGTTGTCCACCTGAGGTGCAAGCTAGTGAGCTAGTGCCATCTCAGTGGTAGCAGGGTTGTACTTTTTTTTTTTTTTTTGAGACAGAGTCTCACTCTGTTGTCCAGGGTGGAGTGCAATGGCCTGATCTCGGCTCACTGCAACGTCTGCCTCCCAGGTTCAAGCGATTCTCCTGCCTCAGCCTCCTGAATAGCTGGGATTATAGGCGCTCGCCACCAGGGCCCAGCTAATTTTGTATTTTTAGTAGAGACAGGGTTTCACCGTGTTGGTCAGGCTGGTCTCGAACTCCTGACCTCGTGAACTGCCCGCCTCAGCCTCCCAAAGTGCTGGGATTATGGGCATGAGCCACCGCGCCCAGCCAGCAGAGTTGTACTTTAACTGCCTTGAGATAATCTCTAGATGGGGAGGATTCTGCAGCTGGGTCTCCCTGTCTGGCTTCTTTCAATATAGCCCTTGGAATTTATAAGCAAGCACAATTCTAGATAAACTGGCACAGTGCAAGGAGGATCCAGTGGGAAGAGAGGAAAACAAACAATTTCAAAGTATATTTCAAGGCTAAGACTAGAAAGAAGGAAACAACATTTAAATGCATTTTGAAGCTAAACTACTTGTTTACAACTCCCCACTGTCAAATTCCATTCAATTTCTATGGAGAGTGCGCAACACAGTCAATCTGGCTAATTCCTGCTGAAAAGGGGCACAGTTAGATGACACCAGAATGGAGTCTGTACATTTGGAGTAGAAAATAATTCCCAGTTCCCAAATTCATAATAGGAACTTGCTGGAATATTAATGTGTGCGGACCTAGGAACTTCTGCGAAAATCTATCTTGCATCCCCATTCAAAGCATACAACAACAATAAAGTTCATAGCAGCTGAAGAGGTCAATGAACAGAATAGCAATCATGCTGTATATAAGTCTTCTATGCATTAAGAGTGGCTAAACCATAATGTTACAGGCTCCTGGGAGAGGGTATCTACAGAAGAAACATGGGTCTCCAATGCATGCATAGCTTGGATTATATCATGAGAAAAATCTGATATATATAAATATATAAATATATAAAAAATAAATATATAAAACATTTAGTCTTAATGCACAGTGCCACCTTGGATCCCAGGATATTTAAAGCCATATGCGTTCAATCTGCTTATAGGGCATTACCTGAGTGGATATTGCCCTATTCCATTTCTAGTGCTATTCTGGCCAAATTGGGTGCCCTGTTTGTTCTTGGAAGGGGATATCATTTCAATTACCTCATTTTCTTGGAGTGGGGCTGTCACTACCCCTTCTAGGTCTAGAGCTTTGTATTGCAGCACCAAGGTAGCTTGGTCTGGCACAGTGTTTGGCAATAGGTCCTTGTATGGTGCTGCCAAGGCATCTTGGGCCAAGCGGTTGGTGCAGACATTGAAAGGCTTACTGGGGCAATGGTAAGAGTAGCTGGAACAGCAGCCACAACCAGCAGGGCCACTGCCGCTGCTGCTAGAGCTACTGCCAGAGGAACTGGTGGAGCAGTGGCCAGAGCCATGTCATCAAACCTTGAGGCTGAAGCAATGGCCAGAGAAGCCCCTGGGGAAGCCGCTAGAGTAGCAGCTGGAACAGCAACTGGGAAAGCAGCCAGAGTGGCAGCCATTGAAGCCAGATCCAAAGGGGGCAGGTTCAGAACATTTAGGAGGCTTGTTTCCTCATTGTCTTTTTTTTCCTGGGTTCTACTATCAGGTTTGAGGAAAGCTTTGTTTTTCATTGCTTTGTTCTTCATTGCTTTGTTCAGTCTGCAGCCGATTTTCCCCTTAACCTGAGTCCTAGTTAGGCAGTAAGATAAAAGCCTGAACATAGGATACTTTTGCCCATTTCCCAAACCCTCTGACAGAACAATTCCAGCGGTGATAGTTTATAATATTGGGTGATTCCATTCACATGACAAATTTTATCATCCAATTTGTACAGTTGCTAAACAGTGTTGCAATAAGAAATCATTTCTTTTTAGACATGGGCTCATAGCTATAGGCTCTCCAATTAGCCAAGATATATCCCAGGGGGATGTCATGTGGAATAGGAACCCTGCCACCAATTTTATGTCTATATAGAGCATGTCACATGATCAAAGGTCCAGGGGTAAGATGAGCTCTCTTGGGCTGGGGATAATGTCACTCCCAGTCCCAGTAGGCTTGCTCACTTAAGTCTCTCCATACAGCCATGACAGCCAGCGATGTCAAGGAAAGAGTTCCTCATGTGGGCCAGTGGCTAGTAAGAGTCTGGATAGCTTTCTCTATCTCTTCAGCTTTGCACCGAGTCCAAGTCCTCCTGACCCACCAACCATAACAAATAGAAACAGAGTGATAACAACCAAGGCAGACCAAAAGAGCAAACAGGTTAGAGTGAGGATTATGTGAGGACTGAACCCAGGTACTATTGATATTATTTTCACATTAGCAGCACAGAACTCAATCAGCACGGTGGCAGGCTCATCTAGAAAAGTTCACAAGCCTTCCTCTCCCCATAAGTCTCAATGTGAATATCCAAAATTTTTGATATTTATTAGCCTAGAATTTATTATCAGAGAGAGTGGCCCAGGATAATAAATTTTGCCTATTTCCTGAAAGGGGAATGCTCTATCTTGCTGCCTTCTGACAACCAGATGTACCCGATCTTTTTAGTTAGTGGGACCCTGCTCTACAGATAGACTAGATTGGAAACTGTGCTGAACACCCTCAGAGACAGGGAAAACATTAAACATAAACAGACAGAGGGATCTTATTGCAGACAGACCATTGTGAACCAATCCCCAAAGAGAGGAGACTGAAGAGAAGTTCTTCAATCATATCTCAAACCCAGTAGGCACCATGGAATGACCAGTGCTAGGTTCAGATAGCACCACAGATGACCTATACTAGGTCCAGATGGCTAGAGAGTCCACGTGATAGAGTCAGGATTTCCGGGTGCACTTTGGTTGACTTACAAAGTTCTTGAAGCCCATCACCTTCCCATATGTTGCTTTCCTTACACCAACAAAGCATTGCAGACACCTGATGCCATGGGAGAGGTGGGGGAAACAAATGGGAAAATCTCCAAGGCAAAAGCATCCTCAGCAGCTGCTGTGAGTCCCCTGGAGTTCCCAGCTGTGGGGTCAGCCAATTACTCCACTTATTGGAAAACAGACAGACAAGTAAGGCCACTTGAAACACAGCTTCTCGCACAGGGCACCACATTTGTAACTGACCTAAGTTCAGCTGCTTGATGCTATGAAGTCAGACCACTAGAAGTGAGGTGTGGTGAAAGAGAAGTAACTTTATTCAAGTGCTAGCAGTTGAGAAATGGCTAGGCTCCTGCCTCTGAAAGATCATTACATATTTGGGGCTAGGTAAAGGGTTTGAGAAGGGAAACTTGGTATGAGAAACATGCAGGAGAGTGCAGGGTATGGGCTCTAGGTGTCTTGTTCCAATGGCTATCTTGAGCTGTTGTTCATATGAAGTGTGGGGTGGTGCCATCTTGATAGTGGCTGGTTGTAAATTAACTTCCTTGAGGTAATCTCTGGATGGGGAGGAATTCACAGCTCGGTCACCACACCTGGTTGGCTTCAAGATTAACCCCTGGAATTTCCAAGCAAGCATATAATTAGATAAACTAGCACAGCATAAGAGGTTTCCAGTGAGAAGTGAGTAAAACAACAAGTTTCAAAGTATATTTGAAAAAAAAAATCTAGAAAAAAGAAAAAAAAGTTTTAAAATACATTATGAAGCTAAGTTATTCAGTTACTATATTACACTGTTTTCCCTAATATGAGTATATGTTAAAATCTGATGATGTCAATTCCCTATCTTGTGTTTTTTTTTTTCTCAATTGCTTTGGATCTTCATAAGCTTTTAGTGATATTTTTATCATTAAAAATGATATTTTTATATACTGAGTATTCAAATCCCCAAATGCACTAGTTTGCTCTATTTATTCAGGTCACCTTTCCTGTCCTTAAAAAAAATCAAATATATTGAAAATCTGTTAAAATTTAATGTTTCATATGGAATTTTTGGCATTTAAGAATCAAATACATTCTACACGATTCTAAAAATTTCTTATAGCTGGTGTATCATAAGGCCATTAATTACTGCATATTAGTTATGTTTCCAACAATCATGATAAAATTTTCTTATATTCTTCTAGTTTATTTTTATATTGATTTCCCATGAAGATACTCACATTAACTTTAAATAATACAGATTTTATTTCTTCTTTTTCAGTTTATATATCTTACTACAATGCTGATTTCTAATACCGTGTCATAAAGGGGAAGGAGGGCTTCCTTAGCTTCTTCTTGACTTTAATGGCAATGTGAGTTTTACCATACATATGTTAATGTTCTTTTATAAAATTAAGGATGTTCCTGGCTATTCTGATATAGTTAGAAATTTTGTTTAATTTTGTTTGCTTGTTATCTTAATCATGAATGAATGTTAAATTGTATATTCTGTTGAAAGGTACAGGTTATAGCCTTTAAGCTACTGATTTAATAGATTACATTGATCAAACTTTTGATATAGTTCTATATCTTACATTCCCAGTATAAAATTTACTTGATAATGTATAATATAGGCAACAAATATCTATTACAAAGTTGTTAGATTTGATTTGTAAATATCTATTTAATTTAAAAATACATATTCAAATGAAAATTAAATTTTGATATGAGAAACTTGGCATTTGAACCAGTTTACAGCCTCACCAACAGTGTAAAAGTGTTCCTATTTCTCCACATCCTCTCCAGCACCTGTTGTTTCCTGACTTTTTAATGATTGCCATTCTAACTGGTGTGAGATGGTATCTCATTGTGGTTTTGATTTGCATTTTTCTGATGGCCCCAGTGATGATGAGCATTTTTTCATGTGTCTGTTGGCTGTATAAATGTCTTCTTTTGAGGAGTGTCTGTTCATATCCTTTGCCCACTTTTTGATGTGGTTGCATTTTGCTTTTAAATTTGTTTGAGTTCTTTGTAGATTAGCCCTTTGTCAGATGAGTAGATTGCAAAATTTTTCTCCCATTCTGTAGGTTGCCTGTTCACTCTGATGGTAGTTTCTTTTGCTGTGCAGAAGTTCTTTAGTTTAATTAGATCCCATTTGTCAATTTTGGCTTTTGTTACCATTGCTTTTGGTGTTTTAGACGTGAAGTCCTTGCCCATGCCTATGTCCTGAATAGTATTGCCTAGGTTTTCTTCTAGGGTTTTTATGGTTTTAGGTCTAACATTTAAGTCTTTAATCCATCTTGAATTAATTTTTGTATAAGGTATAAGGAAGGGATCCAGTTTCAGCTATCTACATATGGCTAGCCAGTTTTCCCACCACCATTTGTTAAATAGAGAATCCTTTCCCCATTTCTTGTTTTTGTCAGTTTTGTTAAAGATCAGGTGGTTGTAAATGTGTAGTATTATTTCTGAGGGCTCTGTTCTGTTCCATTGGACTATCTCTGTTTTGGTACCAGTACCATGCTGTTTTTGTTACTGTAGCCTTGTAGTATAGTTTGAAGTCCAGTACCATGATGCCTCCAGCTTTGTTCTTCTGGCTTAGGATTGACTTGGCAATGCGATCTGTTTTTTGGTTCCATATGAACTTTAAAGTAGTTTTTTCCAATTCTGTGAAGAAAGTCATTGGTAGCTTGATGGGGATGGCATCAAATCTATAAATTATCTTGGGCAGTATGGCCACTTTCATGATATTGATTCTTCTTATCCATTTTCTTTCATTTCAACCTTGGAGAATCTGATGGCTATGTCTTAGGGATGGCCTTCTTGTGAAGTATCATACTGGGGTTTTCTGCATTTTCTTAATTTGAATGTTGGTATCTCTAGCTAGTTTGAGAAAGTTCTCATGGATGTTATCCTGAAATATCTTTTGAGGTTGGTTCCATTCTCCCCATCTCTTTTAGGTACACCAATCAGTCGTAGATTCATTCTCTATACATAATCCCATATTTCTATGATTCTTTTGTTCATTTCTTTTTATTCTTTTTTCTCTATTCTTGTTTGACATTCTTATTTCGGAAATCCAGTTTCCTAGCTCTGAGATCTTTTTCTCTACTTGGTGTATTCTACTATTAATACTTGCGATTGAATTATGAAATTCTTCCGTGTTTTTTAGCTCTGTCAGGTCAATTACATTTTTTTCTATACTTTCTGTTTTGTTTGTCTGCTCTTGCATTGTTTTATTATGATTTTTAGCTACCTTACATTGGGTTACAAAATACTCCCGTACCTCAACGAACTTCATTCCTATCCATTTTCTGAATTCTGTTGCTGTCATTTCAGCCATCTCTACCCAGTTAAGAACCCTTGCTGGAGAGGCAATCCTATTTGGAGGAAAAAAGGCACTTTGGCTTTTTGCATTGTTACCATTATTTCACTGATTCTTTCTCATCTATGTGAGCTTATCTACCTTCAATCTTTGAGGTTGTTTACTTTTGGATGGTTTTTTGTGTTGTTTTTGTTTTTATCCTATTTGAAGACCTTGAGAGTTTGATTATGGTATAAGGTGAATTTAGCTGACTGGCTTCATTTCTGGAAGATTTTAGGGGGCCAACGTTCAGCTCTTAACTCCTGGGCAGTGTGCTGTAACTCTGGGGGACTTGTATTGGACCCTAACTTTGTTCTTTGGCTTCTAGAGGTCTGGATTACACTGTGCTGGGAGGAAGTTGAGGTGTGGCAATTTGGCAGAGTGCTAGCAGATGGTGAAGTGTCTGCCTCCATGTGGGCACTCACCACAGTGGCAGAGGCAATGCAACTGGGAAAGATAGGGGGCCCCTTGTGGAGAATTGTGCATAGCCACACTGGAGGTAGTATTGGTTTGGGGGTGTGACACTGGAGAGCACAAGTCCTGGTGCCTTTTCTGTACCTGGCAAGCAGGAGTGATCACTCAGGTTGGGAGAGGATCACTGTTCTTTGCTCAGTGTTAGCACAAGGACTGTGCACTAGTGAGGGTGGGGTTTGCTGGCTCTATGCCCACCAAGGCTTCATCTGCAATGTCAGTGGTCATGAGGAGGTGAAGGCAGACTGCTCTTCTGTGTGCTGGCAGGTAAAAAAAGCAAAACCCATCCACCTGAAGACATGCCAACAAAGCAATGTTGGGATGTTGTGAGCCCGTGGAAAGCTGCAGTATGGGGAAGGAGTGGGCAGGCTGCTGCATGGCTGTAGGGGCTGCCTCACTGGAGCTCTCCACCAGTCAGGCATGGTCCACTGGCACAGAAGCTATGGTATGGGCTGCCAGGGCACCAAAGAGTGCCTGGCAAGCAGGCTTGGCCAGGCTTGGGCCCCAGGAGAGACCAAGGTGTGCTGAAGTGAAACCAGCCTCATCTGATGGGCAAGACTGCCCTCTAGAAATCCCCTAGGGCTAAAGTCTCTATGAGAGGAAGTAGAACCTAGGGGGAATGGCTGTCCCTGGCCATGTTCCAGTACCAGTGCTTCCACACTGAACCTTCTGGGCTCCACATCAGCTGGCTTGCTGTCCTTACCACTGTTCTAAGCAGCTCTCCCTGCCAGCTTGAGTGCCTGTTGTAGTCGAGGGGTCCTCTCCTGCTGGGGCTCCAGAGGCCCATGGTGAGAGTACGTTGTTCCTTGCCAAATCAACTCACCCATTCCCCTGAGGCTGCTGTGGTTCAGACTCCCAGTGTGCCATAGCCCTGTCCAGGGTTCCCAGCTTTCTCTCCTTTCACCCGTTTATGTGTCTTCCCTCTGTCCACTCTAGGTACTTTCCCTCTGAAGATCTGTAAAAAGCACACCCATCTTTCAGTGAGTGCTGTTGCATCTGGCTAGTTGTTCATCTTGCCCTCTCCCCTACCTAGCCAACTTTCAAATGTTTTGCATGTTCTACGTTTATGTTAAAACAACATATGATTTCGTTTGTTGGACTCGGCATTGTAAACTGATGCTTGTGCACTTTTTATTGATAACTACCAATATTATATTTTGTTATCAGGACCATTATTCCTTTATTTTATAGCTTCCAGAACTTAATTTATTTTAAAATCATTTTGAGGTTGTTCTACAAGTCTAATGTATCACAGTTGATGTTAATCGTTGATGTCCTTCTTAGTTTCTCAGGAGGTTTTGAATTTAATCAGCAGGGTCTAATTCTGTGGAAAGATTTTCTTGTGAAATTTTCTCCTCGATGTTTCTATTAACCTTTCCCCTTTGGAGACTTTGTGGGCACTCCCTGTGGATGACTTTTCAGATTCAGATATTCAATTAGTGGCTAAAAGCTCCTGTCTCAGTTATATTGGCAATATTCCAGTTCCAGTTATACAACCAAGGGGTGACTTGACCCAGGCTCCCTCTGCAATGATTTCTCCTGCTACCACAAGCACACTGATTGAAATAAGCAATAATTCAGTCAACATTCCCAACATTTTAAGCTTTCTTGATTCATATAGTAGTCTTACTGCGGTTCTCTGTCATTCACGAAGTTGTTTTGATTCCTGCTACCCTGAGGGTATCTGTGTTTCCCTAATGCCTTGCCCCTCCATTCCCAGAATTTATAGTCCATGAAAAGTTTTATTTTTATGGAGCTGTGTTGTTTTACTTTGTATTGTTATAATGTATTTGAACATTTATATTGTAATTCTCACTGCTTAGTTGTGGGCAGGGAGAAATTCCCAGTGTAACGTTCATGTCCTCAACGTCCATGTCCTCAATTTTAACAAGTTTTTCAAAACTTATTGAAAGCAGACATGAATATAGCAACTTTTAACTTTGAATTGCATTCCTTTGTAGAGGAAGAGTAATTCTTCTGTTTAGCTTTCTTGTAATTTCTCTGCAGTAGTTAGAGCCTTCTTTCTATAAAGGACAGATGCAATGATTGGAATTGTTATTGTGTAAATATCTATCATAAACAGTGTCAGCTGGTATACAATGTCAGTGAGACAGTCTCTTACCTTCGAAGTAGGTTGTGCATGAAGAATGGGTCTATTCTGCTTTTTTAAAACATTTATTTTGAAGTAATGACAGACTCACAGAAAGTTCCATAGAATGTAGAGAGTGGTCAACCTTCTTTTGTAAATGTAATATACTACTAGATTCTTGTATTAGTTCATTTTTACACTGCTGATAAAAACACACCCGAAACTAGGCAATTTACAAAAGAAAAAAGGTTAATGGACTTACAATTCCACATGGCTGGGGAGATCTCACAATCATGGTGGAAGGCAAGGAGGAGCAAGTCACTTCTTATGTGGACAGAAGCAGGCAAAGAGAACGCCTGTGCAGGGAAACTCCCGTTTTTAAAACCATCAGATCTTGCGAGACTTATTCACTATTATGAGAACAGCATGATAAGACCCACCCCCATGATGCAATTACCTCCCACTGAGTGCTTCCCACAACAAATGGGAATTCAAGATGAGATATGGGTGGAGAAACAGCCAAACCATATCAATTTTCTTGCATTTTCTTTGCTATCTTCCATATTACTTTTCAAATATTTGATGTATATTTGTACATACAGATAAATGGATTCTCAACATATTTGCTTTTAAATTTCAACTTACTTCTTTAAAGATTTTTTTACATGGTCAACATTTTGCTTTAGCCGTGGAAAAAAAAATTAGTAAATGTTCTGAAATATTTACTATTTAAAGACTTTTTTTATATAGTTAGATAGGCAAAATAAAACTTTAATTTCACACATGTGCACACACACACGAAATGTTATTGGAATTTGCACAGAACACAAGCAATAACTATCTTATAGCATAGTGTTCCTCAAAATTTGAATTGCTATTTTACAGAAGACCTAGATACTGAGAATATCACATCTTCTTGTGGACTTCTGAATATAAACAACAGGATCTTTGGCTTCTGTATATCCTGGCCATGGGCCATTTCTTTCATATTGCTTGTCCTGATACCAAAGCCTGGCAGAGACACAACAAAAAAAGAGAATTTTAGACCAATATCCCTGATGAACATCGATGCAAAAATCCTCAATAAAATACTGGCAAACCGAATCCAGCAGCACATCAAAAAGCTTATCCACCATGATCAAGTGGGCTTCATCCCTGGGATGCAAGGCTTGTTCAACATATGCAAATCAATAAACGTAATCCAGCATATAAACAGAACCAATGACAAAAACCACATGATTATCTCAATAGATGCAAAAGAGGCCTTTGACAAAATTCAACAGCCCTTCATGCTAAAAACTCTCAATAAATTAGGTATTGATGGGACATATCTCAAAATAATAAGAGCTATTTATGACAAACCCACAGCCAATATCATACTGAATGGACAAAAACTGGAAACGTTCCCTTTGAAAACTGGCACAAGACAGGGATGCCCTCTCTCACCACTCCTATTCAACATAGTGTTGGAAGTTCTGGCTAGGACAATCAGGCAGGAGAAAGAAATAAATGGTATTCAATTAGGAAAAGAGGAAGTCAAATTGTTCATGTTTGCAGATGACATGATCGTATATCCAGAAAACCCCATCATCTCAGCCCAAAATCTCCTTAAGCTGATAAGCAACTTCAGCAAAGTCTCAGGATACAAAATCAATGTACAAAAATCACAAGCATTCTTATACACCAATAACAGACAGAGAGCCAAATCATGAGTGAACTCCCATTCACAATTGCTTCAAAGAGAATAAAATACCTAGGAATCCAACTTACAAGGGATGTGAAGGACCTCTTCAAGGAGAACTACAAACCAATGCTCAATGAAATAAGAGGATACAAACAAATAGAAGAACATTCCATGCTCATGGATAGGAAGAATAAATATCCTGAAAATGATCATACTGCCCAAGGTAATTTATAGATTCAATGCCATCCCCATCAAGCTACCAATGACTTTCTTCACAGAATTGGAAAATACTACTTTAAAGTTCATATGGAATCAAAAAACAGCCTGCATTGCCAAGTCAATCTTAAGCCAAAAGAACAAAGCTGGAGGCATCATGCTACCTGACTTCAAACTATACTACAAGGCTACAGTAACCAAAACAGCATGGTACTGGTACCAAAACAGAGATATAGACCAATGGAACAGAACACAGCCCTCAGAAATAATATCACACATCTTTGTACACACTATCTGATCTTTGAAAAACCTGACAAAAACAAGAAATGGGGAAAAGATTCCCTATTTAACAAATGGTGCTGGGAAAACTGGCTAGCCATATGTAGAAAGCTGAAACTGGATCCCTTCCATATAGCTTATACAAAAATTAATTCAAGATGGATTAAAGACTTAAATGTTAGACCTAAAACCATAAAAACCCTAGAAGAAAACCTAGGCAATACTATTCAGGACATAGGCATGGGCAAGGACTTCATGTCTAAAACACCAAAAGCAATGGCAACAAAAGCCAAAATTGACAAATGGCATCTGATTAAACTAAAGAACTTCTGCACTGCAAAAGAAACTACCATCAGAGTGAACAGGCAACCTACAGAATGGGAGAAAACTTTTGCAATCTATTCATCTGACAAAGGGCTAATATACAGAATCTACAAAGCACTCAAACAAATTTACAAAAAAAAAAAAAAGCCATCAACAAGTGGTCGAAGGTTATGAACAGACACTTCTCAAAAGAAGACATTTATACAGCCAAAAGACACATGAAAAAATGCTCATCATCACTGGCCATCAGAGAAATGCAAATCAAAACTACAATGAGATACCATCTCACACCAGTTAGAATGGCAATCATTAAAAAGTCAGGAAACAGGTGCTGGAGAGGATGTGGAGAAATAGGAACACTTTTACACTGTTGGTGGGACTGTAAACTGGTTCAACCATTGTGGAAGACAGTGTGGCGATTCCTCAGGGATCTAGAACTAGAAATACCATTTGACCCAGCCATCCCATTACTGGGTATATACCCAAAGGATTATAAATCATGCTGCTATAAAGACACATGCACACGTATGTTTATTGTGGCACTATTCACAATAGCAAAGACCCGGAACCAACCAAATGTCCAACAATGATAGACTGGATTAAGAAAATGTGGCACATATACATCATGGAATACTATGCAGCCATAAAAATGGATGAGTTCATGTCCTTTGTAGGAACATGGATGAAGCCGGAAACCATCATTCTCAGCAAACTATCGCAAGGACAAAAAACCAAACATCATATGTTCTCACTTATAGGTGGGAATTGACCAATGAGAACACTTGGACACAGCAAGGGGGACATCACACACCGGGGCCTGTTGTGGGGTCGGGGGGAGCAGGGTGGGATAGCATTAGGAGATATACCTAATGTAAATGAAGAGTTAATGGGTGCAGCATACCAACATGGCACATGTATACATATGTAACAAACCTGCACATTCTGCACATGTACCCTAGAACTTAAAGTATAATAAAAAAAATTGCTTGTCTTATATCTCATCATATTTTTTTTCTCTTTTTCCTTACCACTACCTTCTCTAACTTCCCGGTATTCAGTGTAAGGTAATTACTCTACTGTTTTCTCAGTGTAATACTACTATTCCATCTTTTCTGAATCAGCAGGTCACATGCCTAAAATGTCATTTATTTATTTATTCATCAAAGAACACTGCATCAATCGTTTAGTCAACTACTAGGTATTGAAAGTCTCACTAAATCCCACATTGAGCTAGGAAAAAATGGGGCCAAAAAAGAAAGAAAGGAAATACAAAGAGAAAATCTCCCTATTAAAGTATTTCGACTTACAAAACATGAAATCTATGCCTGTCAGAATATATGACTTTAAAATTTCATGTGAATTTTTGAAAGCTTTTGCCTTATCAACTTTTGCTCATTATAAAAATTGTGGGTTTTAAAAAATATTTGTTCTTGACAATATTGCTTCTAAATGGTCCTGTCTTCCTACAATGAATATTTGCCCATCTTACGTAATAAAAAGGAAAATAAGCTTAAAAAGCTAAAAGAAAGGTAAACCAGAAAGACAGTAATATTTGATTTTTTTTAAAATAAGGAAAAATTAGGGTAATTTGTGTTGTTAACAATTCTCCTTCTCTGTATAGATATCTAATCATGTTATTTGTTTCCAAAATGTGGCTGATAGTAGATACTATTATAGGTTGTTCTTAGGCTTACAAATGTCTAAAAATTGTTTTAGCAGTATGCCAAACAAAACTTTAAGTGATATATACTATTTCAAAACAATATTTGAAAACGTGTTTCAAACGTTGCTTTCATAAAAGTTTTCTTATAGATAAAAATTATCTTAAAGAGGATGCATCTCCTAAATTTCTAATACACATAAAATAGTTTAAATTTCTTTTTCTACTTTTTTGTTCCCTTGGTCTTTATTTTCTATTTTATTAAGAAAAAAGTCATTGCATTAAGACATCAACCCCAAAAGAAATAATTAGAAATGTTAATCACAAATAACAGATGTTGCTTTCCTTGTGCGTAAGGCTTAAATTACCAAATGATTTGTTAATGCACAAAAAAATTTTCTATTGTGTTTTTGTTTATTCATGTATTAACTGTGTATATATTTCTCTTCTGACATCATCACCTATTTCTCCTGAACACATCTGAAATTATTGGTCTCTGAACTTGTGTAAAGGAAGTATTTCTGCCATTAATTTTTGTACAAGAAAAGGTATTTTTTTATTTTTGAAAATAATGCTGCCTTGAAAAATATATATAGATATGCTTACAGGTTTTTGAAATGGCCTTGCAGTTTATATAACACATACACATACAAGATTAAAAATCTCGTAAGATAAATGGGTTTGCTGGCAACATAAAAATATACTCAAGACACGCCAAATGCATTTATGTAGGAAATAGTTGTTACAACTGTACCCATCTCAGCAATATCCTCTTTGCTGAGGTAGAAAATACCAGAGGCTAGCATACCTCATCTCAATACCCACTGACTGGTACAAGGGTATCAATCATTTTTAAAAAGTGATTTTTCTTTAAAAATATTCTACCACATAGAAACCAAAAAAGGGCAGAAGAAAAAAGAAAACAGGCTCAGAAGTCAAAGTTTGTATAACTTTACTTTTATCTGCAATTTAAGGTAACCGCTACCTCCTCTAACTTCCCAGTATTCAGTGTAAGATAATTTTTCTACTGTTCTCTCTCATAGTGCATAGTATTCTATCCAATTTTTATTAACTGATCATTTCGATTGAAATACTAAGCTGAAATGAATAACTGATTAACAAAATATCCAGTTTTTTAGTGCATATAAATGTCTTTTAATTTTTACTACCTAAAACGACAACCTCAGACTCTAACCTACGTTCTGCTAATCAGCCACTGTGGATGCCCTCTACGAAAAAGGGTAAATTATCTGATCACCACATGTAAGCAGTGGTAAGGGTCAGGGAGTGTCCAGTTGAGAAACGAAAAGAGAAATATTGTTCATACCTAAGGCCTATGCTTCACCTCTGTAAATGAGCTAATGATTATTTTTTACTGGAAATTATTTTACAACAATATTCCTTACACCCTTTCACTTGTGGTAACTCAGAGTTTCAAGGATTTTAAAATGTTACTTTTGTTTCTTAATGACTAGTCATTGATTTAGGAAGTTGTCCTAGAGTACCAAGCCTGGTAAGTTTTTATGAATTTGGAATTAATTTATACATTATCACATTACCAAAGGGGAAAATAGCCTTCGATATGAGTGTTTCAAATGTGTTTTCATCTTTTCATAGGAATATTAGAAGAATACGCTTCTCACTTTATAAAGTAGAGTGCCTAATGTACTCCCAATATAAAATGAAGAATGGATAGAAGAAAAGTATCAAAACAGAGAATAGAGTTCAGCTCACATAATCTTAAGAATGTCAGTGAACCAAGCTGTTTATTTGTGGTAAATCATGTGAAGCAAAGTCTGGGACCTGGTATTGTCCTGGGAATATGTTTGAGCCCAACTGACTAGAGGTTCAACTGAACAAAAATGACCATCCTCTCCCATCAGGAGTTAGATGAATGACGATCTTCAGATGTCCAAGAAACAGCAAGTGAACCTTAAAGCCATCCTTGGAGGGTTCTAGCGCAGATATAAACAGAGGTTCAGGGGCATTGTTCTGAATCTAGGGGAGGAAAAGAGGTTCAGATAAGAAGGAGATTTTGGTGGTACACAGGCCACTCAAATAGCAGCTTAGTTCTGACTGTAAATTGGGACACACTGAGGGACCTGGAGCTCAAGAGTTCATAGGACGTCAGACCTCAAACTTTTCAGAGAATCTACATTAGTAAGGTCTAGCTAGTAAAAAAGACATTAGACTGGAAACCATAGTTGAAATCTAATTTTAAGTACTACACATGTGGGTGTGGCCAAAAGTAAGGAATGCAACTAGGAAATTTGGATCAGGGAACGGCCTAAGAACCAGCAGCTACCCTTCCCCATTGCACCACCCCCGTTCTATGTTGGAATAAGTTAACAGTGCTGTCAGGTTTTGGGGTGGCTGAACCTGACTTTGTTTCTGCTTTTGTGAGTCCTATTTGGCCTGGGAAATGGAATGATACTGACCCTGCAGGGAAAGAGATCAGGAATTGAATGTGAACATCTTGGGGTGGCTGAGTCAGGAGCTATGAGTCTGGAAAAGGTTTATTCAGTGCAAGGACATTTTCAGAAACGTATAGACCTGTATGGCTCTGTTTCTACTTACTACACATGTAAATATAGCACATGTAGTTCTGTGTGTGTGTGTGTGTGTGTGTGTGTGTGTGTGTTTGTGTGTGAAGTTCCAATTAATTAGTTCAGGTTATGTAATATTTTATGAATGTTTAATCATATACTCTTTAAACTTCTCAGTTTTGTTTTCTTAGTTCTGCATTTTGAAGTAAATACTTTCTTATTTTTTCAATTATTTTGTAGGCCTGTGAAATCTTAAAGGACTACACACTATACTGAAAATGCCTAGTGGAAAAAAGACGCCATGACTAACTGATTAAGAATCCACAGCAGAGACACTTTTCAAAAGAAGACATACAAGTGGCCAAGAAATAAATGAAAAGATGTTCAACATCACTAATCATCAGAGAAATGCAAATCAAGGCCACAATGTGAAACCATCTTATAGCAGTCAGAATGGTTATTATTAGAAAGTCAAAAAAACAGATGCTGGCAAGGATGTGGAGAAAAGGGAGGGTTAATACACGATTGGTGGTAATGTAAATTAGTTCTGACACTATGCAGAGCAGTTTTGATTCCTCAAAAAACAAAAATGGATCTACCATTCAACCCAGTAATCCCATTCCTGGGTATATAACAAAAAGAAAATAAATTGTTCTACCAAAAAAAGACACATGCACTCGTATGGTCATTGTAGCACTATTCACAATAGCAAAGACATAGAATCAACGCAGGTGCCCATCAAAAGTGGGTTAGATAAAGAAAATGCAGTACATATACATCATAGGATACTATGCAGTCATGAAAAAAAATGAAATCATGTCTTTTGCAGCAACATGGATGGAGGCCATTATCGTAAGTTAATTAATGCAGGAAGAGAAAACCAAATACCACATGTTCACACTTACAAGTGAGAGCTAAACATCGGGTACTCATGGATGTAAAGATGGCAACAATAGACATGGGGGACTATCAGAGAAGGAGGGATGGAGTGGAGCAAGGGCTGAAGAACGAAGTATTGGATATTCCTCACTACATGCGTGATGAAATCATTCCTATTCCAAATCTCAGCATTAGGAATCATTCCTATTCCAAATCTCAGCATTAGGAAATACACCCATGTAAGAAACCTACACATGAAATCCCAAAGTCTACCCCTTGAATCTGAAATAAGAATAAAGAGTAAAAAAAAAAAAATTAACAGCACCATAGTACCTTGTACATGTGAATCTACTTCCCTTTCCATCTTTTACTTACAACAATCCTTTGATATAAATTTCCTTGTGTATTCAACTCCATTTTCTATAGTTGATGAAATTTCTCACAGATTATGGCAATAAATGGCTTACATATCTAGTTTTTAAAGTTTTGCTGTGTGTTTCACACTTTTTGTTTGTAGCTGCACTGACATTTTCATGGGAAGTTGGAAGAGGATTGTAATGACTTGCTGGCCCAATGTTTTCTTAATAATTCCTCTTGCTTATTAATTTCAATTTCTAAAAAGGACAGTAAGCCAAACTAATAATATTGTAGTGTTTCCCAGCTTATTGCTTTTTTAATTCCTTTTAAGCTTGTTTGCAGAATCCCGAAACAAGGACTAGAGAGAGCTAGAGAAGTTGTAGATTGTAGTGCTTAAAAACCTGATGCTGGATCCCGGGAATGGTGGCTCATGCCTGTAATCCCAGCACTTTGGGAGGCCGAGGCAGTTGGATCACTTGAAGTCAGGAGTTCGAGACCAGCCTGGCCAACATGGTGAAACCCCTTCTCTACTAAAAATACAAAAATTAGCCAGGCATGGTGGCACATGCCTGTAATCTCAGCTACTCAGGAGGCCGAGGCAGGAGAATCTCTTGAACCCCAGTGGGGTGGAGGTTGCAGTGAGCAGAGATCATACCACTTCACTCCAGCATGGGCAAAAGAGTGAAACTCTGTCTCAAAACAAACAAACAAAAACAACTTGATGCTGGAATCAAGCTGTCTGGATTCAAATCTCAGCTTGGTTCTTTACTAGATCTTCAATAGTGGAGAACTTGGGTATGTTTATTAGGTTTTCTGACCCTTAGTTTCTTCATCTATCAAATCACATCATTGAGGGTGTAACATATAGCAATTTAGGGGAAGATTTAGAGCAGCACCTGGTATCATACAGTAACACGACTAACACTATAGGGCTATTATCATTCTTGTCTTTGAAGACCAAGAATATAATCTTATACCAATTTTTTAAAAATCTGCATTCAGTATTTTTATTACACTTTGATTATACTTGTGGCAACAGAAGCGAAAGGTATATGTCTTTCTTGGTAAGTTTTTAAATTATACTGATAATTCTAAAAATGTATAAATAATGTTTTATTAGTATAGCAAGGTATTAACTTTATCAGTGGGCGATAAAGCAGTTATGAATCTAGTGGCTCGATAGAGTTAAATCAAAACTATGCTCATGACCAATCAAGATACCATGTGCTTTACTTAAAAAATAATGAAATATTAATATCAGAGCTAAATATATAATTGTTAGCGGCTTTGCTGTCAGTTTACTAAAGCTCATCTCCAATGTGTTCAGACATAAATTTATAATTATTAAACCTAACTGGTGCTGCATAGTTTGAAAGCAAAACAAGTGGCTCTGTTCGATTTTTTGTGTGTGTGATTTTTCTTCTTTTTATTTATTTTACATATATTTATCATTACATATTTTTATCATGTTTGACATTTTTCCTTTATGCCTGAACTTTACTGCCCTTGATGGCATTGGGCCAGAAAGATGAAATATACAGAACAAGATCTCTAAAACACTGATGCTACAAGATTAAACGTGTTGTTTCTGAGGTCTAGCAGACGCTGGGAGGAAAGAAAATAGAATCCTTGTTGTCTCACCATTGATAGAAAACTGAAACCATTGGTATGGAGAATGAAATCCCTAAGTCTACAGACTTCTACCCATATCTTATTTATAACAATGCATCTACATTAGGCAAAGCCTGTCTCATTTTTTATGACTTAATTGCTTTCCTCTCTTTGCATTTATAACACCAATCTACTTTCTGTCTTTCAACATACATCCCAGAGAAAGGAAACAGAAAATAAAGCACATTATTCAGTAGGATTTCATTGTGCACTGAGGGTAAAAAGCAGGCATGTATAAATGGAAATGCATTTGAAAGCCTTCCCCACTGAAATCTGGCAGGAGGTAAAGCACTTCATTAGGATTTGTAACATCACTGGTGAACTGCTTCACACAAAGTGCTACATTTGCAAATAAGGCACAAAATTGACTGTCAAGGAGAGGTAAGACTATAGCAGATTCCAATCCGTTTTGCACAAAGTGCTCTGTGGAAATACAGTACGTTTGCAACTCTAAGATTTAGATTTCATAAACTGTTGGTAGAGATTCACCATTGGATCTTCATAAGGTCCTGAAATAGGCCTCTTAACAACAACATCATGTGAAGGGCACAGCTGAATCCGGGAAGTCAATGGGCATTTTATTGATATGCTCCAAAAATTAATGTAAAAGAGTAATCCACATTCACTAAATTTTAAATGGAGACAGTGCAGTGAAACATCCTAATATTGTGATTATCATAATAGATGTTACATAGCAAATTGTATGGTTAAATATATTAAAGTAGCATTTCAAAATTCAGTTTCAGACACATAAAAATAAAGCCTCAGATCTTCTGTTTATATTAATTTCCATTATGGGCAAACTTATTAGCATGTAATAGGTATGTTTGCTTGCTAATTTACAGACACATAACTTGTAAGCACCTTTTGAAACAGATCCCACTGTTCAGTATTTATGTTTGTTTACTATTCCCTTCTTCTAGAACACTATTCTTCCTCCTCTTTTATATTTTGTTCTGGTAAATGTCTAAAACCTTTAGGAATGAACCTGTTATCTATAAATATAAATTATATTTATAATTAAATGATCATTACATTTATAATGATAAATATAATTTATGTAATTTGATATTCATTATCCAAAAAAAAATTTAATTCTTCACTGTGTCCAGGGTGAAACAAATGTTGTTTGCATATACCTCATTTCCCCTCTCCGCAAAGAGAAGTATATGAGTTGATGTGTTTCCTTTTGACCTTGGATTTGAAGAAACTTAAATTTAATTACTATGCTTACATGTAGTATGAATCTCATAATCTTGTATGAGATTCTTTGCATTTCTAATTCTCCTTTTCTGAAGTGTTTGGATCTTCATTTTTACCTGGGTTTCAACTATGCTGTCAAAGTATGAGCTCCTCAAGGGCAGAAAAGTTGTTTGATTCTTCCATATCCCAAATTGCTATAATGTCTGTAGCACAGATGTATTATATTTTATGTGTGTAAATGATAAATATAGTCTTTCTTAGAAAAAGGTATAGCTATATTTGTAAAAATGCATGAAATTAAAAGGGTTATAATTAAAATGGCTTGGAGAAAATTATTTGTTATTTCTAGGTGGTATTTCACCACAGGCCTAGTTCTAGGTTGTTGTCCTATGATTTTGAAATGTCCCCGCAGGCAAGAATCACTTTGGATACTTGTCAAACATACAGATTCTACGGAATCAGTCTATGTAACAGAGAGGTTTGGTAATGTTAAATTTAATCCATACCCAAGATGATTCTTATCAGGAAAGTTAGAAGCAACTTTGAATAGTGCTTACAGAGAAATATTGAAATATGCAATGAAAGAAGAATTTGATGTGAATGCAACCAGGAATTGAGGAAGAAATAAAAGTGATTATGAGAAGCAGCTGGGAGCTGCTGCCTGGAGCAGTAGCAATCATCATATTTCTGGGAGTTTTCATTATAAGGAGAAGCTGACAGACCTCTTGAAATCCTCTATTGAGCAGTTCTACTAGAAGCAGATGGAGTGTCAACCTGGGAGCACCATGAAAGTCCCTTTTCCTTTTTGTATCCGGGTGAGTCACTACTAAAACGTACTGTGGGAATGAATAAAATCGGAGCAGAATAAAAGGTGATTGGGAAAGTAGAAACTACAGGTCTTTCAATATTCACCTTCCTGAAAAGAGAATAATCATAATTCCACCAGAATATCTGGAACATGAGAAACCAGACACTTAACAAGTGCATAACTCAAGGCTGAGAGTATTCATAAAAGTAGTTGTATTAAACTAAAAACACTTAAGAGGGCTAAATATAAAAAAACTCAACTGAATTTAGACCCAAATTTTTGTGATGGGAAATGCAGTTTAAAACCCAGGATCAAAGTAGAAGTGAGCGTAATTTGACAAAATCTTAACACACTGAGGGAAGGGCAACAGCTTCACTTAGACGGCTTAGGAAAGCAAGAGTGGCATTACCGACGAGGCTTACCATTGACCTTGTCACACCTGGGAAGAATTCTGTGCCTTAATAATTTCCTTAAATGATTTTCCTTCATCACACCAACCTCAAACTTGTGTGGCAGAAAATGTTCTGAACTGTGCATTCTCTTCATCCATGTCATCTTAAAAAATTTCCTCCGGCTTTAATCAGCACTGATTATTACCATTCCATATTCTGTCCCTTCTAATTTCATGAAGGAACTTTGAAACCATGAATTTTTTTCAGTCATTTCTTTTTACCGTTACTACTTCCATATACATTATTGATTTTTAAGGAAATTCAAATTATGTTTTATTGAAAACTGTGTACAATTATTTGATGGTATTTTAAGATACACATTACTTAAAATTTCACAACGAATTGCTGATAACTACAATATGGTTTATTCTATTTCACATGTTTATTTTTTGTGATTTATTTTTTGCTAACTGTTCTTTTACACATTTTAATTGAGAGATATTTTTGGTATAAAAATAATTTCTAAAATAAATGGGAACTTGTGGATATTAGCTCCTGCTTCTTGGCTGAAGCAGTAATAGGTGAAATGAACTCAAGCACAGTTAGTGTGATTTCAAGATACTGAAGAAAACTAATAGAGGACAAGGGTATAATGAAATCAGAATTGTCTGTGTTTCTGAATCTTTTTCCTGCTGAGGAAATGCAGTTAGCTGTTCTATACAACATGGGCATAAGATAGTCTCATATACAAATGAAAGTTCTAATAATGTTTTTTTATTAGCAGTTAAAAGCACATAAGCATTTATCAAATTGTGAAGAAAAAAGATGAAAAGACAAATAAAAAATATTACTAATTTCAGTTCAAGGATAGAAACAATGAATAGACAATGAATATACAAACCCATGAGATTTCCTATGAGAGAGGAATAAGAGAAACAATAGATTTAAAGAACTAGTGAGAGAATTATGCAAATGTGAACTAAGTTTTCTTCGGAATACTTACAATAAGATACAGATTATAAGAGATAGTCAACAATCACACAAGACTAGCAACTGGTAACTCAGACCAATAATCACAACACTGTTGAATTTATTTTTCTATTGCTACAAAAATTATTGGCTACATTTGTTTAATACAACACCCATCTATTATCCCACAGTTTTGGTAGGCTTAGGTACAGGTTAGCTGGACTTCTGCTCAGATTTTACCCGGCTGAACTTATGGTTGTAACCAAGTCTGTATTCCTTTCTGGTGATTAGAGTCCTTTCTCAAGCTCATGTGACTATTAGCAGAATTCAGTTCCTTACTCCTATAAGTCCCTTTTTTCTTTGTACTGTCAGCTAGGAACCAATCTCAGCTTCGAGTCAGCCCTCAGAGCCTAGCCATGTGCCCCCTTCCACAGGCAGTTCGTAACATGGTATTCACTTTATGTCAGGCCAGCAAGAGAATTCCTCTTCTAAAAATTTACCTGATTAGGCCAGCCCCATCAAAGAAAATCTCCTTAAATGCCAACTGATTACAGACTTTAAACTGCCAACTGATTACAGACTTTTATGACATGTGAAACATGGCTTTATCTTTGACATATAAGGTGACCTAATCATAAGAGTAATATTTCTTCACGTTTACAGGTTTTGTACACACTGAAGCAAAGACCATAACATAAAATATATATATGTTTAAAAGACCATAATATAAATGTGTATATATATTTAAAAGACCATATATAAAAAAAAAATATATATATATATATACACACACACACACACATATACACACACATGCACACACATATCTCAGATATGTTTGGCCATTTGTATTTTTTTTTTTTGAGAATTGTCTGTTCATGTTCTTAGCCAACTTTTTGATGGGATTGTTTGTTTTTTTTCTTGCTGATTTGTTTGAGTTATTTGTAGATTCTGGATATTAGTTCTTTGTCATAGGTATAGAGTGCAAAGATTTTTTCCCACTCTGTAGATTTTCTGTTTACTCTGCTGATTATTTCTTTTGTTGTGCAGAAGCTTTTTAGTTCAATTAAGTCCCATCTATTTATCTTTGTTTTTGTTGCATTTGCTTTTGGGTTCTTGGTCATGAAGTCTTTGCCTAAGCCAATGTCTAGAAGGGTTTTTCCAATATTATTTTCTAGAATTTTTATGTTTTCAGGTCTTAGGTTTCAGTCTTTGATCCATTTTGAGTTGATTTTTGTATAAGGTAAGGGATGAGAATCCAGTTTCATTCTTCTACATTTGGCTTGCCAATTATCCCAGCATCATTTGTCCAATAAGGTACCCTTTCCCCACTTTGTTTTTGTTTGCTTTGTCAAAGATCAGGTGACTGTAAGTATTTGGCTTTATTTCCGGATTCTCTATCCTGTTTCATGGGTATTTATGCCTATTTTTATACCAGAACCATGCTGTTTTGGTGACTATGGCCTTATAGCAGAGCTTGAAGTTGGGTACTGTGATGTCTCCAGATTTATTCCTTTTGCTTAGGAGTTGCTTTGGCTGTATGGGCTCTTTTTTGGTTCCGTATGGGTTTTAGGGTTTTTTTTCCCTAGGGCAATGCAAATCAAAAGCACATTGTGATACCACCTTATGCCAGCAAGAATGGCCATAATAAAAAAACAAAAATAATAGATGCTGGCATGGATGTGGTGACAAGAAAACACTCTTACACTGTTGGTGGGAATGAATAAAAGACAGTCTGGAAATTCCTTAAAAAACTGAAAGTGGATCTACCATTTGATCTAGTAATCCCACTACTAGGTATACCTGGAGGAAAAGAAGTCATTACGCGCAAAAGGATACTTGCACATGCATGTTTATAGCAGTACAATTCACAATTGTAAAAATATGGAACCAGCCCAAATGCCCATCAACAAGTGAATAAAGAAAATGTGATGTATATATACACACACACATACATACCATGGAATACTACTCGGCCATAAAAAGGAATGAAATAATCGCATTCACAGCAACCTGGATGGAATTGGAGACCATTATTCTAAGTGAGTAACTCAGGAATGGAAAACCAAACATTGGATGTTCTCACTTGTAAGTAGGAGCTGCGCTATGAGGATGCAAAAGCCTAAGAATGATATCATGGACTCTGGGGACTTGGGGGAAAGGATGGGAGGCAGGTGAGGGATAAAAGACTACACATTGGGTATAGTGTACACTGCTTGGGTGCTGGGTGCACCAAAATCTCAGAAATTACCACTAAAGAACTTATTCGTGTAACCAAACACCACCTATTCCCCAAAAACCTATTGAGATAAAAATTCTATAAAAACCCCTCCAAAAAACAAAATCAAACAAATATATATACAAATATATATTATATATACAAATATATATAATATATACACACATATATATAAATAAATATAAAATATGGCTCCCAATATTCCTGCAACATATGGCTCCGAAGATTCCTGCAACAACCATACCTGATATGTGTATACACATATGCACATATATATCAGGTGGCAGGAATCTTGGGAGCCTTATTATTATTCCTACCCATAGTCTGCCCTCTGGCCTGCAAGGATTCACATTCTTCCCAAGTGCAAAGAACATTCACCTCTCTCACAATTCCTAGTTTCATCCTAGCACAGTATTCGCTCAAAATTCAAAGTTCATAATCAAAATCTAAATATCATTAAATATTGTATCTTCAACTCAAAGTCCAAAATTAAATCAAAATATTGTCAGTTCAGAGTCCAAAATCTAAATTATTTTAAGTCATGGGCAGATGAAGCTTTTACATACAATCCTTTAAATATAACTCTTTGGGGCCCTTTTTTTTTTTTTTCATTTATTTCTTGCACCTGCTCCCATCCATAGATCCTCTAACAAAATAGCAATTTGCTTCAACTTCAAGGTTAGCTTAAGAACATCCCTCTGAGTTTCATCTTTTTCTTTCTTTCTTTCTTTCTTTCTTTCTTTCTTTCTTTCTTTCTTTCCTTCCTTCCTTCCTTCTCTCCTTTCTTCTGTCCTTTCTTCTTTCTCTCTTTTTCTTTCCTTCCTTCCTTCCTTCTTCCTTTTTCTTTTCTTCCTTCCTTCTGTCCTTTCTTCTTTCTTTCTTTTTCTTTCTTTCTCTTTCTTTTTCCTTCCTCCCTCCCTCCTTCCTTCCCTCCCTCCCTCCCTCCCTCCTTCCTTCCTTCCCTCCCTCCTTTCTTCCTTCCTTTCATTCTTCCCTTTCGTTCTTCCCTTTCATTCTTTCGTTTTTTGTTCTTTCATCTCACTCTGTTGCCCAAGCTGGAATGCATTGGCATGATCACAGCTCACTGAAACCTCAAACTCCTGAGCTCAAAGTATCCTCCCACCTCACTCTCCTGAATAGTTAAGACTACAGACATGCACCAACACACCCAGCTAATTTTTAAATTTTTTGTAAAGATATCTCAATTTGGTGTCCAGGCTAATCTCAAAATCCTGGCCTCAAGTGATCCTTCTGCCTTGGCCTCCAAAAGTGCTTTCTACTTCTTTCAAAGTGTTAATTTGATTAGGTCAAACCCTCTGATATGATTTGGCTCTGTGTCCACACCCAAATATCACCTATAATTGTAAGGGAGTCACTGGGAGGTAATTGACTAATGAAGGTGAGTTTTTCCCTTGGCTGTTCTTGTGATAGTGAATAATTCTCATGAGATTTGACGGTTTTATAAAAGGGCAGTTTCTGCACATGCTCTCTTGCCTGCCACCATGCAAGATGTGACTTGCTCCTCTTTGCCTTCTGCCATGATTCTGAGGCCTCCCCAGCCATGTGGAACTGTGAGTCAATTAAACCCCTTTCCTTTCTAATTACCTAGTCTCAGGTATGTCTTTATTAGCAGTGTGAGAACAGACTAGTACCCTCGCCATGATATCTTCTTTTATTAAATCAGAAACAATCTACAATAAGGATTAATAGAACTTTTAAAAAGTACAGAGGAAAAGAGGATCAATAAACCTTGTGTGGGTTATGAATGCCAAACAACGGTTCTTAAAGAAAGGAGAAACAATTATAATTTAGATGGATCCTGCTGCAAAAGACAAAGATGTATTCAGATATCTTGTTTAGGGAACAGTAGAGCAGGTCCATGTAACATCTTGGTGGGTGGCAGAATATTGTCTGCTCAGTCAGGTTATGAAAATTTCTGTCATTCTTCACAAGTTAGATATTTTCCGGTAGGCAATAGCTTTAAAGCTCTTCAAGCAGCACATTTTTTCTTTAAGCCTCTGAAATTTTTCTGATAAGATCTCATAGAATTTGGAATAGATCAAGGCAAAGCTGTAGATATTTGGAGGCTCTTAGAATCCCATCTGGGAAACTTATTTGTTATCTCAAAGACAAGAAAAGAAAAAAGACAAGAAAAAGCTCATGTGTGGATGCACTGATTAACAAAGTTCCGATGTCAAGTACATATATTTACTTAATAGTCTGGATACTAACAAAAATATAATGATATGATAGTAGGTTTTTTTGTTAAAGGGATTGCTTAGCTCCTAACAACCCTCACTCACATTGGGTTTTTTTCTGACAACCATACCTGATACCCAGGATAACTTCCAGAGGCCATATCTATCTTGTGTAATCCTTACCACCTGGCAGAGGTCAATAGATCCAGGAATAAAAGACCAACTCACAGTAAGAACATAAGATAATCTTTCTTAAAATTTTAAACTTTGAACAAAGAGATTGAATCTCCTTGAGGGTTCTGGGCAAAGCTGGGCCAAATAAAGTGGACAGATGAAGGCCCATGTGCCATATCTGCCACATTCAGCCTGTTTTTGTGTTATGGTCTGATCCAAAGGCAAGGATGGATTTGCATTTTTTAAATAGCTGGAGGAAAAAAGTCAAAAGAATACTTTATGACACATGAAAATGTGATGATATTCACACATCAACATGCAAAATATATACGGGAATAAAGCCACACTCATTCATTTATGTTTTGTGTATGGCTGCTTTCATGACACAATAGTAGAGATGAGTATTACAACAGGGACTGTATCTCCTGTAAAACTTTAATAAGTTACTATTTGGCTATTTATGAGGGAAAAACAAGTTTGCTTCTTATTGCTCTGGTCTAGACCAATGGACCATTAAGTATTTTAAGCTGTTCTTGTTGGATTTTTTTGTTAAGTCTGGTTTACTCAACTATTTCTGTTATTTCCATTTTAATGTCTTGCCATTAAGGTTCCTGCCTTGTGTGAGCTAACACAGTCAGATTTCACTGCTTGCAACCAAAAGAACATTAAATAATATAATTATCTAATGACTTAGTCCAAGAAATCCATTAGCTTTGTGTAATTATAGAGCCGGATAGACTATCTCAAGTAAATTTACCAGTGAATTAGTGAAAACAAACAAGCAAAATATTCATTTTTATAAATGCCCAACATAGTGAAAAAAAATTGCTTCAATTTGTCTTAAATGGATGGCTGAAACTGTTAATGGAATTTATATTGTATGCAAGGGTTACTGTGATGTTTGTAATTATTATTGCCATTTTCAGAAAAGCGATGACTTCAGGGGATTCGGATTTAAAAGGAAAGCCTATAGTTCCTGTATGAAGTCTGTCAGGACCACACAGGGGAATGGGTGGACATAGCATGTGAATGCCACCTTTTTAGCTGTGCTAGACAGAAAAGCTGTGTTTTCAGTTTTGTTGGATTTTGAGCATGAACATTAGTAACTCTTTTGATCATCCTAATTGAGATTCTTTTTCTTACCTTATTTTTATCTGACTTTACCTTTGCACAACTAATTGAGGGTCAATGGGCTACATGTGGCCTGTACCGCCTGCCCTGAGCACACACATACCATACTCTACCCCTTTTCTCATCCTACCAGCATCATGCTCTCATCAGGCTGCCATTATGCTTCTTGCTTAACTTTAATGTTAAATTTTAGGGCACAAATTAGTACTCTGTTTTGCTCATTCTTCTTTCTCACTAATCCTGTTATAAAAGTTTTATCTATTAGATTGCTTTCTTTTTATGATAAATCAACCAATTTCTGATTTTATTTCTCCATCCAAAAAGCCTGAACCATATAGTAAGCCATAACAGTGGTGCATTTGCTAGCAGCAGCGATTCCCTCTCTCATTCTAATAAAAATTGCCTTTCTAATTCCTACTCCCGGGTCAAACGTGTCTTTCATTTCTTCACATCTGCTCCTTCTAAGGGCAGAGTAAGGGACACAGGAAACATGTAGTTCCCAAAGGTGCCAGTTAATAAGGAGTACCAAAGCAACACCTGTCTCTTCACTGAATCCTAAAATGTTTTTAAATAGAAGAAGAAAGAGACGCAAAAGAGAGAGGAGGAAGAAGAATTGTTATCAGAAATCTCAGAGAAAGTCATACATGTATTTGGATGGACTTCTCTTTTAATCTGATTATTATGGGGCCAAGACCCACAAATATAAACTAATTTTTTTTTCCATGGAGAGTATAGTTGCTTAATGTAGGTTGCTATTTCCAGTTCTCTCCACTGTCAGTGGACTCAACCCTCTTGGGCTACCACAAAAACCAGGAAAGTGATAAAAACAATATGCTTTCAACACTGTCTCTATCTCAGAATGCTTCATCCAAGACTAGAAATGTCAGCATTTGACTTTTTCCACTTTATGTTGCTGGGTTTGATTCTAAGCAGTGATGCTAAACAAATTAATATAGCAAAAGTTACCATGTAAAACAAAATTACATAATTTATTACATGATGAGTCTGACAAGGAGAAGCAATATATTGCAGTATATAAGAATTCTGACATGACAGTTTGGATTTACGTATTTGCACAGTATGTAAACACCACTGATTTTTTTCCTTATCTGACCAGTTTCATACCTAGAATCCCTCTTGTGGTATTCTAGGTTGCTATTTAACTTGGAATTATATTAGGCCCGTTCTTCCTTTTTTATTTTTCTTGTTAAATCCTTCTAACATAAAAACTGAATATTTAATTTCCATTGTCTCTTGCTAGTGGCAATTGCTGTTAATGTTTTTGCACTGGTAGAAGCATAATTTGACTAGATTAATTCTTTTGTGTGTCTGCTCTTTTAAAAAAGTACTGTAAGACTGATTTATATGTTTCAAAATTTCTCTCAATTTCAAGGCTTTTGTTTTATTGAGTGAGATCTGAAATGCTGGACCAAGGGGAACTGCCCAGGTCATAAATGGACAGCCCCTTTTCAACTCCTTCCCCAACAGGATTGCACCTCTGTTTCAGATAATTCTGACCAAGAACTCAAAACACTTTTTTTCTGAGATTCTTAATTTTGTATAGCAAAAATATCAAATTATTAACCAGACTTTTCCATCTTTATGTCTAGAGCTGGCCTGGCTCTCTTTCAGTTTATCACTTTGTCTCCCAATTTACTAAAATAACAAAGTTATTTCCCATTTTTGTCTCTCCCCCACAAAATGTATGCTTTTTCACTGCTCAAACCTACTTTCTGTGTCTGGGGTGTATGTACCCTTCCTTTTACCCACAGGCAAAATTTCTATTTTGTTACTGACTCTACCCCATCTCATTTTGTAGAAGGTTATCCTATCTGTTAAAATAATATAACTGATGTGTTTATTAGCTTGGTATTCATTTCACAATGTATCTATTTGTGTACATGAAACATCATATTGTATGCTTTGAAAACATAAGGTTTTTATTTGTTATTTATACCTAAAAAAAGTTGGACATCTTTGGTTTTTAAAAAATCGCTCCCTTTTGGCCTCAAATCAAGCCATTCTACCAATTTCATTGCTTCAGTCCATATTTAGCAATATAAATCTAGACTTGATCCTAGATCTATCTTTCTACCATACTATGCTGCTTTTCAAGTTTAGTAAACTTTTAGTCAATACTTACTATCATATATTCAACTAAATCAAAAGCACCATTGATTTTAGGGTACACTGATATATATTTTACTCTAAGAAGTAAAAAAAAAAGCCATTAATCTATTACATGACCCTGATTGCAAGATACAGTCCAATTATCAGAGATGTTAAATTACTACAAATGTGCATTTTAAATTGATGAAGTGTGCATATGCTCAGCACTGCACAGTACCGGACTTATAGAAATGACCAAGATTTTGTCTTGGCTCTTGAAGAGCTCATGTACCTTCATTTTTACAGACAATGAAAATGTTGAAAATTGAGAAATATTTTATTCCACAAAGACAATTAATTTCTAATTGTGTATTTGTATTATATGAGTTTTACTGAGTAATTTTTGTTCAACTGCTCCAAACTCTTCAGACCAATTTTGATCTATGCTTATTAATTACGATAAGCGTAAGTCACATTTGTATAGCAACGTACGCCTATTCACAAAGAAAGATCCTATTTGATATTTAAGCAAATTGGGTTATTCACTTAGCCAAAGATAATTAGGAGAATAAGTACACTGAAAATAAATTTTAAAAGCATTCCAGTTCCATGCATTTACATCAGTCAGAATTTTTACTCATTTTTATTACTTAAGGGGAATAGAAGTCCCCACTTATGCTTGAATTTGCCAAGTGTAAGATGTGTGGCTATTGAGCTGATGGCTTATGTTTTACTTTGAAAAATATGAAAATAATTTCACATACTAGAAGAAATTCTCAGTATAAATTGTGCTGTATGCTGACACTGACTATAGCTCCCATTGGAAAAAATATTTAAATATAGGGATGCAATGATTAATCCCATTTCAATGCATGAGTGATAAAAGAATAAGAAATTTCTTATTTTGTCTACCTTTTTCCCCACCATCATAGACACATATACAGAAAATAAACTACGTCACTCTACAGTGTTATACAACTAAGTTAAAATGGGATTGGTCACAGACTGGTTGCGTTCATATTAATCCTTTTCCTAATACTGGTAAGTACATGAATACTTTTTGATTACTGCTATTTGTGACAATATGGGCTAAAGTAGAAAATTTATTGAAAAGTAAGAAATGGATACCCATGAGTAAAGTCATGAAATCAAAAAAGATTAGCAGTGGCTGAAATATCCTCTTCAGAGTCTCTTTCAATTCCTTGGGCCCAAGGTGAAACAGAAGAGTTTTGAAACTGGTTTAGAGCAAATCATTATTACAGAAAAAGAATAAGTTAAATCTTATGGATTTTTGTTTTATTTGAACAAGGCAGAACTAGCAAGAGAATGGATCAATTTAAAATTTAAATTTGAAGATAGAGTGTCTCAAACTATGGCTAACATACTTCTATACCTAATGTCCATTATGTATATATATATTGTTTACTGATATCAGTGACAGATAAGTATATTACAGTGGATCATCTCTTTATTTTTCTGTGTATATGTATAAATATAGTTGAACAAGTTTCGGCTTTTAGCTCCACTGATAGTAACTCATCAGATTTAACAAAAGTGAATGTCTTTGGTGAAACTACTGATATAATTGATTAACTTAAGGACTAACAAAATTCATGAAGTCAAACATTTATCAAATCATAACTTTTACAACTGAAGAACTTTTAAAATAGCATGTGGCTCTTTATCTCAAGATATGACAATACACTTACCTTGACTTTTAAACTATGAAATGAATGGTTTTTATTTAATATTATCAATAAAACTCAAATCTATGTTAACATTTTTGGCATTTGACAAAGTAATGATGCATTTCTGATCTTTTATGGTAAATTATTGTAATGCTTTTAATTTTTCTGTCAGTATATTTGAAGCAGTATACTATGATCTCATTCCTCAGTCTATATTAACTCAGCAAAAATGTACATACTTGGTTGCCAGCTACACACCTATGCTCAGGGTAAACTTAGGAAACATTGACCAACAGTGCAAAGACATGCAATATCATTCAGCTCCTTTTTCTTAGTTCTCCTTGAAATGGGATAACTGGCCCAAGGACACTTATTTTTCCCTCACTGAATTTTCTATAATGTTCACATTTAATTTCTCTAAAAGGAGTTACATAAACTGAAAGGTTATATCTGGGGAAAAAAATAAGACAACCAAATTTGCTTCTGGGTGAGGGTGGTTGGAGTAAATTTTTAAGATCAAAAACAAATGGATGCTCTTGAAAAGTCCCTCTCTGGAAAGAAATATGTTCTCTTTTTTTTTGGCTACACTGTTCTTTAAATTAGATGAACTGATGTCTGAGTAATTCTGATAGCAGAAATCAAGTAGCAAAGTTGCATCAGATACAAGCCTGCTCTATGTGTGTTTTGTTTGTCTGTTTAGGCAGCTCAGCTTTCACGTGACTGTCCTTGTATAATCTCTATTTCCTTTTGAGAAATCACCACCTATTGTGTGTAGTTTTGATGGAAGGACAAATCAAATTGCCTGTCTTCCAACACAGAAATTATAGAAAATAGATTCTGGTTTTCTTAATCTCAGAAGCCAGAGTAAAACTTGACCAAGTTCAGTCAATTAGATGCTTGGTTTTAAAATTAAATTTTCACTTGAGGGAAGAAGGTAAATCTGGACATCATTCATGGCCAACTGACATGCAGACAAGATCATTCTTTCTATAAAACTATTGTTTTATTCCTTCTTCCTTAAACATCTAATACTCCACTGATATGAATAAGCTTATCAGCTCAATATTTCAACTCTTATCCATTGTGTAAGCCTCTGATCTTCCTAATAATTTTGAATTTTGCCAAATTGGCCAGTTTCTGCTATTTTCAAGCTAACACCTCTTATATAATCTATATTTCCAATTACATAAATTTTCTATGGCATTATACAATACCTAAATGTTCATTCCAATAACTAACCAGCAGCAGATTATGACCATAAAGAAAAAGGCTTGGCCTGCTGACTTTCCTCTTGGTCTGTGTGATATTTTTTCTTTAGGAAATTATTTCTTCCTATGCTTAAGAGTTTGGATCGTTTGTTTTTAGCCATCAAATGGAGGAACTTTTGTGCAGCAAAGCTGAACTGCGTATGTTGATCTCTGGTAAATTCCAGAAAGTGTGTTCCATGGGTGAAGGGATTTTGTTTGCTTCGATCTCTCCTGTATTCTGAGCAGCTAGATAAAGCCCTTCCAGCACATTTTACTCACCAAACAATTTTTTCAGTAAATGAATAAATATACGAGATAATAATTAAATGTTCACATACATAACCAGAACACATTTTTCTCAATTTGAAACCAAATTATGTTAGGTCTGCACTGGCATATCTAATGATAAAATTTCTGCTTTTGATAACATACGACAAATTTCCCTAAAGGCCAGTGACAAATTATCTAACTTTTGATGTTTACATCTTATTTATTTGTCTAAAAATATTTTTGCAGTGAAATTGAACTTTATTGTCCAATACAACTATTTGAGTAATTGTAAAAATATAAAATAATTTAAACAATATTAAATGATTCAGTTAAACTCATAAGTTTTTATCCACAGAAATTATGAAATGGCTAAATTTACTTCTGAATGGCCTACTGTTATAGCAAAAAAAAAATCCACATAAAATGGGAAAACTGGCCAAAGTTATCTCTAAGTACAACATAATATATTTAAATGGCAGCTTGAGGGAAAAGTTTACAAAAATTTTACATATTTTTCTGTCAAGAAATCAGAACCACTATATTTTCAATAGTTAATCTTATTAGTGGTTCTTTATCCTTAAGATGTAGATCCACAATCTGGTCCTCGATTTATTTTAATCCTCAATATAACTGTGACTGGGGCTGCCATCAGTTTCTTTCCAGATTAGCAGAGGTTACTATGTCCACATTAGCTGTAATCAGATTTTAAAAAAATTTTTTTCAAATTTTATTTTAGATTCAAGGGGTACAGGTGGAGGGTTGTTACATGGGTATATTACATGATGCTGAAGTTTGGGGTATGATTGATCCCATCACCCAGGTAGTGAGCATAGTACCCAATAGTTAGTTTTTCAACACTTGCCTCTATTCCTTCCATTCCCCTCTAGTAGTCCTCAGTGTCTATTGTTGCCATCTTTATATCTGCGAGTACCCAATTCTTAGTTTCCTCTTATAAGTAAAAACCTGTAGTATTTTTTTTTTACTGTCCCTTCATTAATTCACTTAGGATAATGGCCTCCAGCTGCATCTATGTTGCTGCAAAACACGATTTCATTTTTTCATGGCTGCATAATATCCCATGGTGTATATGTACCAGATTTTCTGTATTCAATCCACTTTTTATGAGCTCCTGGGTTGATTCCATGTCTTTGCTATTGTGAATAGAGCTGTGATGAATATATGAGTTTAGCTGTATTCCGGAAGAAATTGCTTTTATTTCTTCCAGAGATCTTTCTCACTAGTTGGTCCAAACGTTGGAGGCCAGAATCACTCTAACCTGGCTAGATTCTTGAAGAATGAATGTGCATAAAGATAAAACAATAACAAAAACAACAAAAAAAATATATAAATAAATAAATAAGGCTTTAAAAAAGTTGGAAAACTAACATACAGAATTTTCCCAGCCTAAAAAACATTCCTCTTACTCTCTAGTCCTTTGCCTTGCCTTATTTTTTCACTGAGGTATAAATATTTACCTACTGGTTTATCTGTTTACTGCCTGTCCCACAAAAATGCAGAATCTATGAGAATGGAGAATTTTTAACTAAGTTTTGCTTATTTCTCTATCCATTATACCTAGAATGTAGCCTGGAACGTGTAGTGGTTGCTCAAAAAATACTCAAAGGAAAATATGGATTAAGGGATTTGAGTTTAAATTATTATTAGGAACACATCCTCTTTCCCTGTACCATAAAAATGTAAAATTCAATCCATATCTGTATAAGAGGCCCTGAGATAAGACATCAGTAACAACTATAAAGACTGATCAGCAAACAACATTTTTCATAAGGGAAATTATGAAGGCATGTTTTCCTATTGATTATTGAAAAAGCTTTCTAAGTTATATTATTATCCTAGTAAAATTTTCCATGTGTTTTTAGATTTTAGAAAAAGTCTCTGGCTTAAGATCTGGTTTTCAAATTTAATATAATTTAAATTATTACCATACCATAAAAACTCACTATCTCCATATCCTTTAAATCCTCTCTTAAAATGTGTCAATATTTTTTAAAAAATTCACCTAGTAATTGTTTCCAAGATTTAAGATAGACTGAAAATACAAGCTATATTTTTAAATTGTAATCCTACATTTACTTTTATTGTCATTTAATTTTTTTTAATATAACATTTTAGTTCTGGTGACATAAATAGAAACAAATGGTTTATTACAATATTAATTTTAAAAATTCTTATTCTTGCCAATTTTCAAAAACTGAATTTTTCCCAAGTTATTCTTTTATGTTTAGACAGATGGGTTTTAGTTTGACATTTAGCTACTTGACATTCAAGAACTAAAAAGCTACTAGAAAAACCAGGGTGGGCAACTACAAAATTTCTGAAAAACAAACACTAATCTTGATTCATGTGAAACTAATCTACAGCTTATGCTCTCATCACTTCAAATTTTATTTTAATAAGTTAATTATATTTTAGGCATAGTTAATATAATACCTATTGACCCATCAAATAAAAATTATCTTATTATTACAAAATGGTGATAGTCTAAGGAAGTAACTGTTTTTAGCTAATAATAATAGAGACAAAACAAATACAACAAAGTGTAAAAAAAAATGATGAAAATAACAAGTATCCTAAATGGAGTAGTTCAGTTTATCCAATAAGCTGAGGATTCAGGCCCTACTCAAATTAGATATTCCTCAGTAATTATTTTGAACTTCACTTCTAGTAAAATAAGTAACTTTTGCTTTATTTTTCTACAAATTAATGGTCATTCATGTACTATGGTACAGAAAGCTATGATTTTGTTCACATTTAATGCTTATTTGGACACTTGGGCAAACCTAGATCGCATTCTTAAGAAAATGTCCAGGCTTTCCTCTGGCCCAGAACTCCAAGATGAGACTACAAATCAAAGGCTTAAATTATCCTAACAAAATCTTCATCTTGTTCCTTTGACATCTGATGTCCAGAATAATTTTCCTTCAATCAGCAACTCAGATAATCTCCAAAATTTTAAAGGCATGTTCAAGGTTGAAAATTTTACAGGCATGTCCAATTGATAGGCTTTAACAAAATATATTTTGTTTTTCCTTAGAGAATTGCCTTCACTGAATAATATTTTAATATGATTCCCTTGGATTTTATTGGGTATCACCTAAAATTGATGCTTGGTACTTGAAAATTCATTTTCAAATTAAGACCTAGTAACATGTTTTCCACCAGATAAGTCATGTTTATATTTAGAAGTCATGCCAGTTTAGAATCTCTCTTCTTATCTTCCTTTTTCTTGGAACCTATGAAACTCAGAGTCAATTATAATTTCAACTTTTAATAAACATATTAATCTGGGCTTTTGCCTTATTTATTTTTAACTTAATCTCCATTTTTAAAATTTCTAAATCTACATTTAGAGTCATATTGCACAATATGTTGCCATATGCCACCTCAATAATGTTTAAAGTGGTTATAAAATGAATAACAAATTGAAATATAACCCATTAATTTTGTGCTTTTAAAATGTTTTTATTGAAGTGCCTCTAAAAGCTAAGTGAATGCATGTTCTGACCATTTAAAGGTGTAGTTTGAAGTTTCTACTATTGGTAAAGAGTATTTTTGAACACTATGTCTTATTTTAGAAAATGCAGGCAGATTGCATTTCATTCCATGACATATTAGGTGTCATTTATTATTAGCATAAAATTAATGTTTCAGTTGTTTTATCTTCTCAAAGTGGATGAGTCAACGTGCATAGTCATTCTTTTAGTATTAAATACTCCTAGCATGTCACCAGGAAACTATGATCAGAACATAGTTTGAAACTAACAACTGTCTTAGACATTCAGTAAAGAAGGCAGGGAGAAAAAAATATATTGTCGAAAATGACTAGATCCAAAATATACTTCAGGTCTGCTGATTTTGTTAATTATTTGCAAGTGATACTGTGACAGGTAAAACTAAATTCAATTAAACATAGTGTATATTATACTAATACTATTGCATTAAAAATAGGGGAAATCGTCTAGAGTCACACTGCATTCCAGTCAACATTATGTGAATGAAAACAGCAACATAACAGTATTTTCAATCTTTATAATAATTTGTCATAACACTAAACTGCCTTTGACTTCTACTGGAAAAGCAATTCAAATAGATTTCCTTTGAGTCATAAATGTCATTATTGTACATGGGTCATCCATAGCAAGTCATATAACATTAATTAGTCCCACCATCATGCCATTGGAAAAAATACTAAGCAACACCACTTACTGCCCAAATAAACTTGATTCATCAAGCATCTACTATGTCCTCTGTTGGCTTATAAAGAAAGTGCCCTAATTCATTTAAATTTCAATACTATCTGCCATAATCTGAAGGGTAGGAGTGAACAGGTATAGAAAATGTTGAAACAAATTAATATCAGTTCAAAAATTAATGTATTGAATTTCTACTTGTGGCAGTGTAACAGATGAGACATTTTGAACAACTCATGCAGTGCAAAATAGCTAAATGTTGAATAAAATAAAACTTTTTATCTCATTGTGGATATATTTTCTCAATCATTACTTTGCCCTGTTCTCTATCATAGTCATCTTGGAATCAAATTGTACATATATTAGACATAATACTACCACACAATTCACTGAGAATCTTCAGATTTCCTTATTCTTCTTGCTCTAGGGTGTGCTCCATTCTATTAGGAATGTCTTTATTTTGGGGTTTAGTTTGAATGCACTGGGTGCTCAGTGAGGGCTCTCCACTACCACTGGGCTAGAACTCAAGAATGTCCCCATAAGGCATAATTTATGGTATCACCAGTCAGTTCACAGCCCAGAAGTAGATGATGTATATTAGATGTCGTGAAGTCTTTGCCTACACTTGAGTAAAACAACCTTCACTCTAGTAACCTTGGTAAATTTCCATGCAAATTCTATATACCATCATGCGCTGCCTTATCTCTGGAACCTTTTCATTTTTGTGAGAAAGAACTCTAATTTCTGCCTCCGTAGCTCAGCTATGGTTCTCCTTAACTCCTATTATACAAGCCTTCCCATAAAGACGTGTAAGGTAATTTGCATGGGGCTTAACTTCTGTGTTTTCCTTTTTGCAATAATTATAGTCCTATTCTATCCATTGCTCACTGCCTGAAAACAGTTTCTGCATTTATTTTGTTTAGTATTATAGTTTTTTTTCCTGGGAAAGCAAGTTAGTCCCAGTTACTGTGCCATGGATGGAACTAGAATGCTTCTGACTGTTAATTTTTTATGTAAAATTATGTATTGGCATAATTTTCATTATATAAAATGGCAAACATTTTTGTATATCTTTGCTAAGTGAAACTCTCTTGGCATCATCAGAATTCTCCAACAAATAACTACAGTCTGTACCATCTTGTAAGTATGTTTTTTGACTAAACTAACTAAACATTATTCCTCATTACTGCTGTTTTCCAAACTTTGTCAAAACTGTATTTTTAATCTAGCTGCATATAAAAAATAAAGCTTAAAGGACAAGAATCATAATTTTACTGTTTAAATTTGTGGACCTAATGGTGTTTCTCTAAATTTAGCTCATTACAAATAAAATAAAATTTATCCTACTAAAAACAAAGTGAGCATATTTTCTGCTGTTCTGTTTCAGTCACAGTCCATCGAGAAGTGTTGACCGTCCCAGGCATTGAATTAAGTTAATAGTTGGAAAGGTCATTTAGTTTTCTTCATTAAGACTATGAAATCAAATTGGATCTAAATGTTTGCTCACTTAAAAATGGTCAATCTAAGGTGATATTTATAAGATAATTTTAAAGAACCTCTAGATCACTTATGTTGAATTATTATTATTGATCTTATTGTGTGACTAATTATCTCACTTGAAATAAATATATATAAGATAAAATATAGACACTTTGCTACATTCAAAACATAGGGTTCTAAATGATTACTTTTCATGACCAAACAAAACGATTCAAAGGCTGGTTTGTAACTTTATAGTTAATACTAATTAGATATTTACTGGTTTATTTTATTTTATTTTATTTTATTTGAGATGGAGTCTTGCTCTGTCACCCAGGCTGGAGTACAATGGCACAGTCCCAACTCACTACAACCTCCGCCTCCTGGGTTCAAGTGATTCTCCTGCCTCAGCCTCCCGAGGAGCTGTGGCTACAGGATGTGCCACCGCACCTGGCTAATTTTTGTATTTTTAGTAGAGACGGGGTTTCACCATCTTGGCCAGGCTGGTCTTGAACTCCTGACCTCGTGATCGGCCTGCCTCGGCCTCCAAAGTGCTGGGATTACAGGTGTGAGCCACCACACCCGGCTGACTGTTTTTTAAATTGACAGATAGCATTGTATGTTTTGGTCATTTATGATGTAATGTTTTGAAAGACATACATTATCAAATGCTTAAATCTAGCTAAATAACAAATGCATTATCTCATACAATTATCACTTTTGTTTTAAGAGCACATAACATCTATGCTTTTTATATTTTTCAAGAATACAATCTATAATCATTAACTATAGTTACCTTGTTGTACAATAGATCTCTTGAAATATATTCTTCCTAACTGTAATTATGTATCCTTTGACCAACGTCTTTCATTTCTCTTCCCCCACATAACCACGCAAGCCTCGGTAACCTCCATTCCTCTGTTTTTATGTGATTAACTTTCTAGATTACACATATCACTGAGATAATGTAGCATTTGTCTTTCTATGCTTGGCTTATTTCACTTAACATAATGTCCTTCAGGTTGATCCACGTTGCTGCAAATAGCAGGACTTAATCTTTATAGCTGAAAATTCGATTGTATATATATCCCATATTTTCTTTATTGATTCCTCCATTGATGGACACTTAGGTTGATTTCACACATTGACTAGTGTGAATAATGCTTCAATAAACATTAAAGTGCAGATGTGTCTTTGACATATCAAATCCTTTCTTTTGGATATATATCCCATAGTGAGATTGCTGAATCATATGGTCATTCTATTTTTAATTTTTTTGAGAAAGCTCCATGCTGTTTTCAATAATGGGGGTACTAATTTACATTCCCAAAAACAGTGTACAAGGATTCTATTTTTCCCATATCCATGCCAACACTTGCTATCTTTTGTCTTTTAATAATGGCCATTGTAACTTGGATAAGGTGATACCTAATTGTGGTCTTGGTTTGTATTTCCTTATTAGTGATGTTTAGCTTTTTGTTTACCTGTTTGCCATTTGTATGTCTTCTTTTGAGAATGGTCTATTCAGGTCTTTAGCCAATTTTTAAAAATAAGGTTATTTGTTATTTTTGGTGTGTTGTAGTTTTATGATCATTTGCCACAATAAATTTTTAAATTTCCCTTTTGATTTCTTCATTCACAAACTGGTTGTTTAGGAGTATGTTGTTTGCTTTCCATGTAATGTAATGTTTCCGAGTTCCTCTTGTTATTGATTTCCTATTTTATACCATTGTGGTCAGAAGAGATACATGATATGATTTCAATCATCTTAAATTTGCTGAGACTTAATTTGAGTCCTAACATATAGTCTATCCTGCACAACGGTCTATATGGCATTGAGAAGAATGTGCATTTGGTAGCTGCTGGATTGTCTGTAACGCCCATTTTGTCTAGAGTACCAGTGAATAATATACCCTCAGACGTTTCTGTGTTTCTTGTCAGAGTCTTTACCTTTAATCTTGAAGAACTTTCTTCAGCATTTATTGTAAGACATGACTGGTGATGATTAACTCCCTTAGCTTTTGATTATCCAGGAAAGTCTTTATCTCTCCATTTCTGAAGATCAGCTTTGCTAGGTATAGTATTCTTGGTTGACTGCTTTTTTTTTTTTTAGCATTTTGAATATACCGTCTCACTCTTTCCTGGCCAATAAGGTTTCTACTGAGAAATCTGCTTCTGCTGTTAGGCATATTTGCTTTCTTTCTCTTAATGTTTTCAGGATTCTTTCTTTGTCTTTGATCTTTGACATTTTGATTATTATACATTATGGGTAAAATTTTATTTGGATTGAATCTGCTTGAAAACCTTTGACCTTCTTGTACCTGGAATTTACATCTTTGGCTGGGTTTGAAAGGTTTTTGTTTTTTCTTTAAAGAAGCTTCCTATGCTTTGGTCTCTTCTTCCTCTTGATCACCAATAACCCATACATTTGCCCTTGTTATTGTTATTACATAAATGCCATAAGCTTTCTTTATTCCTTTTTAATTTTTCTTCTATGAATGTTTGTTTTCAATTAACCTGTCTTGGAGTTCACAAATTATTTTCTCTGCTTGATCAATTGTGCTGTTGATGCTCTGCATTCAATTTCTTTATTTTGTTCATGTATTCTTTAGCTTTAAAATTTGTTATTTTTTAAAAAAATTATTTTAATCTCTGTAAAATTTATTTGATAAATTTATAAATTCTTTTTATTTTATTCATATTTGCATAGTTTCCATAAAACAGTTATTTTGAATTTTTTTTCAGGTGGTGCCTACATCACCATCTCTTTAGGATCAGTCACTGTCACATTATTTTGTCCATTTATGATGTCTTATTTCCCTACTTGATCTTAATCCTGTGGCTGTGCATCAAAGTCTGTGAATTGATATTGGTACCTAACCAAGTTTTCACAGCATGGCTTTCTTTGGGAGGTTCCTTTGGCAATAGTGCTGTCCATAGATTCAACGCAAGTGAGGTTAGGTGACTGCGAGGTCTTTAAGTTGTTGAAGCACTAGGGGGCCCCCTAAGCCTAGGACCTCTGCAGCAGGAATCCTTTAACTGCTGAGGCTGACATAGTGCTGGGTCTCATTCGAAGTCCATGATCCCTGAGACCAGCATAGTATTGGGGTATACCTAAGGTCGTGACCACTATGGCCTGCCTGCCACTGAGGTTTGTTCAGTGTTCAAGGTCATTGTAGTCAGCCAGTGATGATGTGGATTAGATCTTGATTCTCTCTTGCCATAGCCACAGGTTCCTGTCTGGCACTGTCACGTGTCTAGAGGCTTTGCCCATTGGTGCTGGCCTGGGGATCTGCCCAGCACTCGGTTTTACAGCAGTGGGGCCTCTACTGATTCCAAGGCGAAGTCCTGGTTTATTTTTATTTCCTTCTCCACAGGCAGCTGGTGTCTATCTGTGCTGTGCTGCCTGGGGTTGGGGCAGGGGTGACATAGCTAATGTAAAACTTCTTCAATGAATCTTTACTCATTATTATGCTTAAACCAGGTACTGTGAACTCACATCTTGTTTCCTTAGCTCTTATGAAGGTTTTCTCATGCATGGATAGTTGTTCAAATTGATGATTCTGTCAGTGGATGATTTTGGAGAGTCTCACTCTGCCATTTTACTCCACGTCTCTCTGAACTGACTTTTTTTATAAATAGATATTTCATGTCTTAAAAACTAAACTATTATTCAAATTCAGGTATGCTGGTTACTGGAAACATGTCGTCTAATTAATTTGATTTATGGTAGTTTGTGAAAACAAAAATAATCTAAATCTAATTCTGTCAGGGTGCAACCAGAGAAACAGAGCCAGTAGAAGACATTTGTTTACCGAGTTATTGCAAGGAATTAATGTGTGCAATTGTGGGAGCTGGCTAAGAAGGTCTGAAGTCCATGGGGCAGGTGGCCAGGAAGAGCAGGTCAAATCTTTCATGTGCAGGTTGAATCTGTATTTCACAGGCAGAATTTCTTCTTTTTCAGGGAAGCCCCAGTTCTGTTCTTAAAGCTTCTCAGCTCATTGATTCAAGACCACCCAGATTATCTGAGATGATTTTACCTAAAGTCAGCAGATTATGGACTTAAACTATATCTATAAAATGTCTTTACAGCAAGACATAGAATAGTGTTTGACTTAATAACTAAAGACTGTAGCCTAGACTATGCCTGAGCATTCCAGCCTGCTTTTTATGAAGGACTGCCTTGTAAATTTGGTTACTATTTTGTTAAGCATTTGAACCCATATTCATAACAGATATTGGTCTGTAGTTTTCATTTATTGTGAGGTCTTTGTCTGGTTTGGTTTCAGATTAATAATGACCTAATTGAGTTGGGAAATACTATCTTCTCTTTTACTCATTGGAAGAGTTTGTCAAGAGTTGGTAAAAGGACTTTTTATAATGTCTGGGAGAAGATAGTAATGAAAGCTCCTGGGTCAGGCTTTTTCTTTATGATAGGTTTATTATTGTTACTAATATTATTATTAATCAATTAACTTGTAAGTCCTATTAAATTGCTTATTTTTGTTGAGTCAGTTTTAGTAATCAGTATGTTTCTTTAAAAATTGTCTATTTCATCTATGTTATATAATTTATTGGCATACAATTGTTTATAGTATTCCTTCCTGATATTTTATTTCTACATGATTAGTAGTAAAAACCTTTTATTTCTGATTCTATTCACTTTTTTTCTTGATCAGTCTAGCTAAAAGTTTGTCCATTTGTTGATCTTCTCAAAAATAAGATTTTGCGCCCACTTATTTTGTCTATCATTTTTCTATTCTCTCATGAATCTTAGCTCTAATTGTTATTATGTCCTTTACTATGCTTGATTTAGGCTTACTCTGCTCTTTTGTTCAGTGTCTCAGAGTGGAAGTTTGGGTTATGGATTAGAAATTTCTCTTCTTGATATATCCATGTACAGCTATAAGTCCCCCAATAAGGACTACTCTATCTGTACCCCCATTAAATATTGTTATGCTTTTTCATTTTCATTCATTTCAAAGTATTTTCTGATTTCCCTTTTGATTTTTTTTGACCCAGTAGTTATTTAAACATTTCTAAATGTTTTTCAATATCCATGTATTTGTGAATTTCCTAATTTTTTTTCCTTGATTGATTTCTAAATTTATTCCATTGCAATCACAAAACATATTTCACATTATTTCTATCCTTTTACATTTATTAACATTTGCTTTATGGCCAGGATATGGTCTATCATGGAGGTGTTCTATGTGCACTTGAGGAAAGTGTACATTCTATTATTGTGATGTGTTTTATAGATGTTTTCCAGGTCTAGTTGGCTTATAGTGCTAAATTGTTTATTTCCTTTATTTTTTGTCTAATTGTTCTATCCATTACAGAAAGTGGTGCATTGATGTATGCAACCATTTATTCACTTTGTTTTTTTCTACTTTCATCAGTTTTCATATAAATTGGTGCTCTGTTACTATTGATACATACATATTTATAACTATTGTATCTTCTTGAATTAACATTTTATCGTTACGTTTTTATCATTATAAAATGTTTCTCTTAATAAAATTATAGAATAAAATTTTATAATGATAAAATTATATATCATTTTATAATGATAAAAAATATGGGCCAGGCGTGGTGGCTCACAGCTGTAATCCCATGACTTTGAGAGACCAAGTCGGGTGGATCACCTGAGGTCAGCAGTTCAAGACCAGCCTGGCCAACAAGGTGAAACCCCAGAAAATTAGCTGGGCATGGTGGCAGGCACTGTAATCCCAGTTCCTTGGGAGGCTGAGACAGGAGAATCACTTGAACCTGGGAGGCGGAGGTTGCAGTGAGCCGAAATGGTGCCATGGCAGTTCAGCCTGGGCAACAAGAGAGAAACTCTGTCTCAAAAAAAAAAGTTATTAATAACATATTTTGTTTCATTATCTGCCTAGAATTATTATAGCCACTAATTCTGTGGTTGCTGCTTGTATAATATATCTTTATTCATCTTTTTACTTTCAATAAATTTATATTTTAAATCAAGGTGCTGTAGACAGTACACAGTTAGAATTTTAAATCCAGTCTTACAATAACTGTCTTTTGATTACATTTTTTATTCATTTACACTTAATGTTATTACTAATAGTGTTGGATTTGTGTCTGTTAATTTTTGCTTTTTACGTGTCTCATGTATTTTTTTCTTTCTGTATACTTTCTTTTTTCTTTCTTTTTTTTTTCTCAAAAACGGAGTCTTGCTCTGTCACCCAGGCTGGAGTGCAGTGGCGTGATCTCGGCTCACTGAAACCTCCGCTTCCCAGGTTCAAGCAATTCTTCTGCCTCAGCCTCCCGAGTAGCTGGGATTACAGGTGTGCACCACTACACCAGGCTAATTTTTGTCTTTTTAGTAGAGACTGGGTTTCACCCTCTTGGCCAGGCTGGTCTTGAACTCCTCACCTCATGATCCACCCACCTCAGCCTCCCAAAGTGCTGGGATTACAGGTGTGAGCCACCATGCCTGGCCTATACTTTCTTTTCTTCAAAAACTTTTTTTAATTGGGTGAATATTATTATTATTATTATTTTTTGAGATAGAGTTTCCCTCTTGTTGCCCAAGCTAGAGTGCAGTGGCATGATCTTGGCTCACTGCAACCTCCACCTCCTGGGTTCAAGCGATTCTCCTGTCTCAGCCTCCCTAGTAGCTGGGATTACAAGCACGTGCCACCACACCCAGCTAATTTTTTGTATTTTTAGTAGAGATGGGGTTTCGCTATGTTGGCCAGGATGGTCTCGAACTCCTGACCTCAGGCGATCCACCTGCCTCGACCTCCCAAAGTGCTGGGATTACAGGCATAAGCCACCACGCCCAGGCAAATATTATTTTATGAGGCATTTTACTTTAATATTTTTTACTTTGTGTAAAGGTTTGAGGGTTTTTTTAGTTGTTCCAGAACTGTGTGTGTGTGTGTCTGTGTGTGTGTGTGTGTGTGTGTTTGTGTATACACATATACATATATTTATCTATTTATTTATAAGCTAGATTAGTCAATCTAGCTAAAAGTTTGTCCACTTGTTGATCTTCTCAAAAAAGAAGCTTTTGGTTTTATATATATGCTTATGTATGTATTCCAAAATCACCTTCAAGTTTATACTAGCTTAATCTCAGCGATATATACAAATATTATTCCTGTATATTTCTATTCATTTGTCTTCCTTTTATGGTATTGCTATATATATTTATCTCTAAACATTTTCTCAGTCTGATACAGCTTTTCTCCCACTGACATCTTTTGTTTGTGTCGCTATTGGCAAATATTAGTAAAAGCTGCAGCTTGATATAAGCCTGACAATATATTATATACATATAATTTTATGCAATTTCTTTTGAAATCAGTTAAAGAAGAATTTGCATTTATATTTTATTATAATTACATAATTAACTTTACTGTTCCTCTTTATATTTTCGTGTGGAATTGAATTACTATCTGGGGTTACTTACTTTCCATCTAAACAGCTTCCTTTAATATTACTTATAAGGCGGGTATGCCTGCAAAAAAAAAATCACTTAGTTTTTGTTTATCTGAAAATGTCTTAATTTTACCTTCATTTTTTAAATAAAGACTTGCCAGTTGACAATTTTTATTTCATCAGTTGAATAGATTAGTCCTCTGCCTTCTGCCCTCCATTGTTTCTGCTGATAAGTTAGCTGTTGTTCTTACCGAATTTTTCATAGGTGACAAGTCATTTATTTCTAGGTGCTTTCAAGAGTTCCTGCTTGTCTTTGACTCTTGGCATATTTACTATGCTGTGTCAGTGGATCCATTTGATTTTTTTTTCCTTTTTGGAGCTCATTAAGCTTTCTGGATACATACAGTATTGCTTTTCAATAAATTTGGAAAGTTGTGAGTAGTTATTTCTTAAAATTTTTTTCTGTTTTTTTTCTACCTTCTACTAGTACTCCTATTACACATATATTGGTGCATTAATATTGGCAAAGATTTCTCTGAAGCTCTATTTTTCTTCATTCCGTTTTCTCTCTGTTTTTCAGATTGCATATCCATAGGTCTATATTCAAGTTTGTTATATCTGTTTTCTATCAATTAAAATCTACCATAGAATCTCTCTTGTGAATTTCTCATTTTAGTTATTGTGATTTTTAACTACAGAATTTTCATTCATTTTTCTTCTAATTTATATCTTATTAGTAATATTCTCTATTTTATGTAACATCAACACCATACCTTCCTTTGCTTCTCTCATGGCATTCTTTGAATTCTTTGAAAATATTCATAATAGTTACTTATAAGTATTTTTATTTTATTTTGCTTATAAAATTGTTATTTTACTTACAAGAATACTTATGTATCTGTCAAATCTTACTTCTGGTCTCTTTCAAAAGCAGTGTGTATAGCCTGTGTTCTTTTTTCCCCAGTGCAGTGCTTGTGTTATACTTTCTTTATTTCTTATCTTGTCTTTTTTTTTTTTTTTGCTGAAAGTGGACATTTTATATTATATATTATATCCACTTTTACTACTCCCTCTGGACTATGTAATTGTTATTTGTTTGTTTATTTGTTTAGACATTGGCTAAGTTATTCTAGTGAAGTTTATTCACCTCCCCTTTCCCCAACCTCACTGCAGTAATAACCGTATGGCGTTTTTCCTCAGAAGATAAAGCTGTAGTCACTCTGAAATAAAAATAGTTTTGACAGGGCTTTCTGGGTCTCTTGCTCTGATCACACACTGATGTTCATCTACGCTGCTCGCTGTTGATATTATCTTCAACAATGCCCTGGGAAATAAATTACTCTAATTTTGGCTCCTTTAAGGGAATACTTCCTTTAGGTGTTTGATATTTTTTTCTGATAGCAGGAAGGCTCCCCACAGCTGTTTTCTCCCTCTCCCTCCCCCTCCCCCTCTCCCCCACTCCCTGCCCCTGCCCCTCCCCCTCCTCCTCCCTCTCCCCTCCTCCTCCTTCTCTTCCTTCTTCATTTTTATTTTTTTGGCTCTCTCCTGCAAACTGGACACCCTACAATTTGTCCTGAATCTTCATTAGGCATAAAGTGTGGAAATCTCCTCTTAACTGCCTTTTGGCTCAACCTCCACTGTTCTAGGGAGCACTCTTAGGCTTGGACTTCTCCAGGTCCTATTGCAAATTAAATTACTTCCTTTGGGAAGAAATATGAAACTATTTATGTTATGTTTCTCATTTCAGAAAATATCTCAGTGCCATGGCTGTGGATCTGGACATGGGAACACACTTTTCTTTGAGTGATGCTCTCACTTTTGATGCTAAGAATTAAGGGAGCAAATAGAAAGTAGCCTGGGGTCTTCTTGGTTTGTCTCTCCTGGCAAGAAACCACTAACTTATAAGCCAGGGCAAGGGTACTTGGGAATCACTCATTTTCATGGTGCCATGTGTAAAGTCTCCATTTCATAAGTGATATCTGGGCAAAAGGAAGAAGTCTCATGTCTCCACCACATTTACTCAGAACTTAGCCATGGCAATAAGTAGCAGAGGGCAAGTTGAGAAGTGCAAATGTATTGTTCCTCCTGGGAAGAAATTCTTTTGACTTGGAGCTGGCAGGAAATGAAACTGTATGTTCTTGGCTACATTAGTCTGGAGGTTTTGTCTTAGACTGAAGAGGTAGAGGAAGAACACATTCTTGGTTTGAGTACTACACATTTTCCCATTTACCTGATTTTCAAACACTTTCTTGAATAGATTTTTTTAATTTGTTGTCTTCCATTAGAATAATTTCCAGAGCTTTGAAATTATTGTATTTGTTAAAAAAGAAACACACTAATGATTTTTACCATTTCACTGGGGAGCTGGTCTGAAGGGCTCCTCATGCTATTATACTATGAATTTATCAAGTGTAAAATTTTAAATTTTCATTTTTGAAACAATCTTGGCATTCTAAAACTATACACCTCACTTACTTAAACAATGTGAGTCAATTTTTCAAAGAAAATCTTGAAACTACATATTCTTATTGAAAAAAGTTACATTTTTTGACCCAGGGCTTATTTTTCCGCCTGGAGACACATTTCTCCATTATCTATTTGGCTGTGGTTTCATTTCCTTATTGACATTTATATTCCTATTAAGCTCTTTAGTAAGACAAATACTTGTATTAAAAGAAAATGAGAAAGTATGGGAGCGACTCTAATTAAATTTAGTGAGGTTTCTCTTTTTCCAATCACATAAACCACTTGAGCTTTGTACCATTTTTTGAATGAAGTAGGAAATAAGTCACTCCATTTGCCCTCATTTATTCTTCAAGAAATAATTCCATAAAGAAAAAGAGACATTAAAAATCTGATTCATTAGGTCAGAAATGAGTCAAGTCTATTTTCTAAACAGAGGTGTAAGAAGTCTGTATTTATTATACTCTGGCTGAAATGGCATAATTTTCTTGACCTCGTGATTTAGTTACTACCTATCTGAACAAATAGATTCTATATAACATTGCTTTGCATAATGCTCAGCATAATAGTATGTCAAACATAAGGTGACAAAACTATTCTCAGTCAAAGTCTTGCACTAACTGAATGTGTTTCCTTACTCTCAAGACCTCCAGAGACAATATTGATATTTAGGCAACAAAAATGAAAGCCTCTACCAAAATTATGAGTATCTCTATTATGTGAATTTTAGGATGAATATAATTCAAAGACTCTACTAAAAATACCAAAATTGCAATGAGAGAATATACAGAAAAATAGCAAAGACAAGAAAATTTTCTGCAAACAATATTATCATTACCTAAACATGCTAATTTTACCCCAAACTCTTTTCAGTTTCATTCTATGGCAGAATCAGAATTTCTGTATAGCAAATGTCCAGACCTGTAACTGCATTAAAAAGGAAGTAGATGATTTTTATTTGAATTTTATTTTATGTGTGAGAGGTTTCATAAAGTTGATTTAATAAGCAATTAAAATGAGGTTAAGGAAACATTCATTGTGTATAAAATATTATTGTTTAGTACTTTATTTCTTTAGCATGTTCTTCACTGTTTTGTATACTGCTTTATTTCTAAATTACCTTAATATTATTATTTTTCTAAATTGATAATAATTTTTAATCCTTTCTCATTGCTTTCCCCATATGACTATCCCTATTTTGTTTCTTGAACATACCCTGTATAGTCTAACATTTACAATTTATCACAGGCCATTTATTTTCATTTATCACATCCTTTCACTCAGTTTGGCTAGTAGAAATATGGTTCCAAGGTTCACTGTAAATGCTCCTTCTAGAAAAAATATCTCAATATATTTCATAGTAATTTATCTTTCTCCCATCCTTGTACCCTAACTGGACTTCTAAGATAGCTTCATTGTGCTTTGCAATAAATTGATAGCCATCTATATAGCTGTAAATTAGCACATATTTAGTAAAATGACTTGTACATCTGTGTGTTAGTCAATTTCTGCATCACTATAAAGGAGTAACTGAGATTCAGTAATTAATAAAGGGAGATTTGATTGGCTCACGGTGCTGCCGGCTGTAACAGCATGGCTTCAACATCTGTTTCTGTTGAGGTCCTCAGAAAGCTTACAGTCATGGCAGAAGGTAAAAGAGCAGGCGATGTCACATGGTGAGAGAGGGAGCAAAAGAGAGAAGGGTGAGGTTGCAGACTCTTCTAAACAACCAGGTCTCACATGAACTAACTGAGAACTCACTTATCACCAAGGGGATGGTATTAAACCATTCATGAGGAATCTGCTCCAATAATCCAATTACCTCCCACCAGACCCTACTTCTAACACTGGAAACCATATTTTAACATGAGATTTGTACTGGATAAACATCCAAACAATATTATTCTAACTCTTGACTCCCCAAATATCATACCTTTCTCACATTTCGATATACAATGATGCCTTTGCAATAGTTCCCAAAGGTCTTGACTGGTTCCAGAATTAACTCAGAAGTCCCAGATTTCAAGACCCACGTCCAAATTCTCATCTGTAGATAAGTTCCTTCCACTTATAAGCCTGTGAGATCAAAAACAAGTTATTTACTGCCAAGATATGATAGTGCAGGCATTGGGTATATATTACCATTCCAAAAGAGAAAAATCATCCAAAAGAAAGGGACAATTGCTTCCACATAAGTCTGAAATACCATAGGACAATGATTAAATACTAAAGCTCCAAAACAATTTCCTTTGACTCCATGTCACACATCCAGGGCATATTATTGCAAGAGGTGGGCTTCCAAGGCCTCAAGCAACTCCACCTCTGTGGCTTTGCAGGGTGTTCTTCCCATGGTTGCTCTCATGGGTTGGAATGCAGTGCCTGTGGCTTTTCCATGCTGATGTTTCAAGTTGCTGATGGTTCTACCATTCTTGGGTCTGGAGAGTGGCAGCACCCTTCCCACAGTTCCACTAAGTAGTACTCTGGTGGGGCCTCTGTGTTGGAGATCCAACTCTATGTTTCCCCTCAGCATTACCTTAGTAGAATTTCTTTCTTTTTTTTTTTTTATTATACTTTAAGTTCTAGGGTACATGTGCACAACGTGCAGGTTTGTTACATATGTATACATGAGCCATGTTGGTGTGCTGCACCCATTAACTCATCATTTACATTAGGTATATGTCCTAATGCTATCCCACCCCCTCCCCTCACCCCATGACAGGCCCCGGTGTGTGATGTTCCCCTTCCTGTGTCCAGGTGTTCTCACTGTTCAATTCCCACCAAAGGATTATAATGCTATAAAGACACATGCACACGTATGTTTATTGCAGTACCTTAGTATTTCTATATGGGGGCTTCACTCCTGTGGAGGCTTCTGTCTGGGCAACCAGGCTTTCCCATACACCATCTGGAATCTAGGTGGGAGCTACCAAGTCACCTTTACTCTTGCATTCTGTGAACTTGCAGGTTTAACACTATGTGGAAACTGTAAAGGCGTTTGGCAGCTTTTGTTTTTCACAGTGGCAGCCTGAGCTGCACCTGGGGTCTTTGAGCCTCAACTGTGCCCAGAGTGGTCAGGATGTGGGGAGCAGTATCCTGAGGCTGTACAGGTCAGTAGTACCCTGTGCCTAGACCCTAAAACTACTTTTTCCTCCTAGGCCCTTGGACAGTGATGGGACGGGCTGCCTTGAATATTTACGAATTATCTTCAAGGCCTTTTCCACACTGTTATAGATATTAGCACTTGGTTCCCTTCTAGTCATGCTAATCTCTCTAGTAAGTGTTTTCTTCACAGCCTGCTGGTATTCTTTCTCTATCACAGGGCCAGGCTGAAAATTTTCCAAAGTTTTATTCCCTGCTTCCATTTTAAATATAATTTCGAACTTTAAGCCATTAATTTGCTCTTGATCATGGGTTGTTAGATGCAACCATGCCACTTCTTGAATGTTTTGCTGCTTAGAATTTTCTTTCTCCAGATATTCTAGGTTATCACTCTTAAGTTCAAACTTCCTCAGAGCCCTAGGTAATGGACACAATGCAACCAAGCTCTTCACTAGGGCACAACGGAGTTGTCCTTTACTCCAGTTCCCAAAAAATTCCTCAATTCCATCTGAGACCTCATCAGCCTTGCCCTCACTATCCGTGCCTCTATCAGCAATTTGGTCACAGCCATTTAACCAGTAATTAAGAAGTTCCAGTCTTTGATTTATCTTCCTATCCTCTTTTGAGCTCTCTAAAATCTTCAACCTCTACCTGTTACCCAGTTCCAAAACCACATCCATATCTTCATGTATCTTCATAGTAACACCCCACTTCTAGTACCAACTTTCTGTGTTAGTCTATTTTTGCATCACTATCAGGAAATATCTGAGAAAGAGTAATTTGTAAAGAAACAAGTTGTAATTGTCTCACAGTTCTGCAGGCTGTGCAAACAAGGCTTCAGCATCTGCTTCTGGTGAAGACCTCAGGAATCATGGTGGAAAGTGAAGGGAAAGCAGGCAATGCCACATGGGAAGATATGAAGCAAGAGAGAAAAGAGGGAGGTCCCAGACTCTTTTGAACAAGATGATTTCATGTGAAGTAACTCAATGAGAACTCAAATATTACCAAGGGGAAGGTACTAAAACATTCACAAGGGATCCTTCCACATGATACAATCACCTCTGACCAGGCCCCAATTCCAAAATTAGGAACCACATTTCAACATGAAATTTGGAAGGGACAAATATCCAAACAATATCAGTTTGTCTTCCTCATTTGGGTTTAAATTTCTTGAGACCAGGGCCTTGGTATCTTCTATGGTATTGCTCAAAGTTTTAAAGTAGTAGACACTGAATAAATATATTTATTGAATTCCTTTTCATTTGATTTACTTTAAAAAGAGAAGACTACAATGTATGCTCCCTTGAATACATTTGGTTGTATTTATAAATAGGCAGTGACTATGTGATGTTTTGAGGAATATTAAAATAGACCACCTGCATTAGTTAGCTAGGCTGCAATTAAAAAGTACGACAAAATGAGTGTTTTAAAAAGCAGAAACTTACTCTCTCAGTTATGGAGGCTAGAAGTCTGAAATCAAGGTGTCAACAGGATTGGTTTCTTCTAGCCATTGGAGAAGGATCCATTTCAGATCCTTTCTCCTTGGCTTATAGATGGCTGTCTTTTCCCTATGTCTTCAAATTATCTTCCATTTTCTCATTTGTCTATAAAATGTCCTCTTCTTATAAGGATACAGTCATATTGGGCTAGGGAACACCCTAATGACTCATATTAACTTATAATCTTTGTAAAGACCCTACCTCCAAATACAATCACATTCTCAGGTACCAGGAATTAGGACTTCGACATATGAATGGCAGAGGTGTAAAATTCAGACTATAACAGCACAGTCCAAAAATTCTGTTATGTGCACATTTATGAATGTAAATTTCTTAATAAAATTAACAATTTAGAATTCGAAATACGATGGTAAAAACCACTGGAAAACTTAATATATAGACTTAAATAAATACATAAATGTATATATATACACACACACACACCAATGTGTGACTTAATATATTGACATATATATACATACATATGTACATATATGCATACATATATACACATATATATGCATATATATATATATATATATAAAGCAATGTGTGACTAGTTAGAGATGCTACTGGATAGGATTTGATAACTTGTACAGGAAAAGGGACAGATTAGAAGAATAATAAAAACACAAGCATTCTAAATCCTTTGAAGAAATGGAAAATGGTGCCATGCAGTGGGCAAAACTGAGGATAAAGACACAGAAATGGGATGTTAGAGCGCTACATATAACTTAATGGCCAAATTTCCCTAAATTACATCCTGATTACATATTCTAATTGTAATATAGCAAAAAGAAAATAGTTCAAAGCTATCTGAGACATTTTAAAATATCTAAACAGCAAATATTGTGATAGTCCCTCTCCTTGAAAATCCTCCATGCCAAATAATATCACTATTATTGGTTTGATATAACCTGTTTTCTCTTGAGAGATAACTTCAATTATGGCCAACCTCTAACAACATTCTTGGAAAATGTAAGACTCTGGCTACCTAATCTTATGTATGTATAATTCCACGTGGATTACAAAATTTCTGGCATTGCATTGGAGCAAACAGCATCCTTTGTTTAGAAACAGATTACTCTGTTGATACATTTTTCTATGCCAGTCTTATTTCTGCTTCCTCCCTCCTAAGGCTCATCTTTAGCACTAATTTGTTGCTCATTAGCACCTCTGTCAAAGGGTAAATACAGGAAATAAAAGAAGATGAAACAGTCCAATTCAGTCCTCCTCATGGACCCATAAAAAGTTTAATGAGAGAAGATGTTGAATTTTATAGGATGGATAAAAGTAAATGTTTATTTTTCAAAAATAATTTCTTTTAAAATTATGAGTGACTTATAAATAAGATTGGATAAAAAAATTTATGAAAAATATGTTAAACCCCACTATGATACAAAAGCAATAGTATTAATTACGGCTTCTGAAGATACATAAAGTCAGTATTATTAGTAGTAGTAGTAATATTACTACTTCTAAATGTAAAAGAGATTAAAAATAGATTAATGCGAATTTCCTAAAGTGTTGCAAATGGTATAAAGGTATTTATTGCCTGTTACATGTTTACATCATTTACAGTTACTATTTTCAACATTTTCAGAAGTCTTGGCCATGTCAATGCCCAAAGAAGTGTCCTCCCACAAATTAGGTCCACCATTACTAACATGTATTTGCTACAGATTTTTCTCTGGATAATCCCATTATTCTGCAACTGATAACAATATATTGAATTTCTATGACATCAAGTAGTAATTTTCAAAGCTAGGATTCTCTGAAAATATTAATGGCATTACCTGTTTTTCTCAAGATGGTAAAGTAACTTACAAACATATTCATGGAGACTTCTATCTAAGTGAATTTAACAGAAATCAAATTGTGTTGTAAAGTTCTTTTAAAATAAACGGTAAAATTTAACACATAAATTTTGGGGTTGAATTAAAGTGCTACTCAGTATATTTCGACAAGTATTTTGAAAGCTAAGGCATATTACATTTTTGAAAAAAGCTATAAATTGATAAAGGCTACTTCAAGACATAACTTTTTGATACTATTGAGATGATGATACAGCTTTTAATGGTTTTCACTGTAGTTGCAACTATGGGCAATTTCTCCCTCCTGCTATCATCTACTGGTAAAAGGAATTCAATTTGAATTAAAATAGTAATTGTGAACAGTTTTAATATGCTATGATGTTCCAAGAATTGTTTGAAGGATCTTAAATGTATAAACAATTAATCTTCCCAACAAAGAAGGTGCTACTTTTTTAAATATAAGAAAACGGAAGCAGAGAAAGATAAATAACTTGCCTGATATTACTGTAAGAAACATAATGCTCTGAGGAATTTTCACTGTGACTCTTGCAAGTCCGTATCTCCAATATTCTCTCTTCATAATAATGTTAATGAAAGACATATAAAACAAAATTTGCCATCTCGACTATTTTTAAGTACAGTGCAGTATTGTTGAGTACATTTACATTGTTTTGCAACCAATCATCAGAACTCCTTTCATCTTGCAAAACTAAAACTCTAATCCCATTAAACAACAGTTCTTGTTTTCCTTTCTACCAGCCTGTTAATTACCATTCTACTTTTGTCCCCATGGATTTGACAATTTGCCATATCTTTCTATAAGTCTTTTTCTGACTAACTAAATTAATCGAATATAATATTCTCAAGGGTTCAACCATGGCGTACCAAGTGTTAGAATTGAATTCATTTTTAAGGCTAATACTCCATTGTATGTCCATACCACATTTTATTTATCCTTTTACTTATCAGTGGACACTTAGGTGGCTTCCACCTTTTGGCTATTATGAGTAATGCTATGAGCATTAACAGGGGTATACAAATATCTCTTCATTACTCTTCTTTCAATTCTTTAGGGTATATACCCAGAAGTAGAATTGCTGGATCATATGGCAAATCTACTTTTAATTTTTTGAAGAACGATCATACTGTTTTCCACACATGCTGTACCATTTTACATTTCTATCAATTGTCTAATTTCTCACATTGTCACTAAAATATTTTATCTTTTTTTTTTTTATAGTAGCCATGCTAACGGGTGTGAGGTGGTATCTCACTGTGGGTTCAACTTACACTTCCCTAGTGATTAGTAATGTTGGGCATCTTCTTACATGCTTCTTGGGCAGTTATCTTTTGTGGAGAAATGTTTATTCAAATTATTTGCCCATTTTTAATTACAGTGTATGGCTTTTGTTGTTGCTGTGTTGTAGATCTTTATATATTCTACATATTAACTTTGTATTAGGTATATGATTTACAAATATTTTCTTTCATTCCATAGCTCACCTTTTTACCCTATTGGCTAAACCCATTGATGCACAGTTTTTAATTTTTACATAGTCCAATTTATTTATTTTGTTGTTGTTGCCTTTGTCTCTCCACCAATGCGTGCACATTATTTTAGTCACTAACTCTTCTGATTCCCTGTGATCAAATCTAAACTGTACAAGCAATGGCTAATATATCATTAAAAAAATCCCTTTTCCTGAGAACTGTCCTTGACCAACTATTTCTAAAATGAGCTAAACTCTGTTGACCATGTCCTGTTAAATCCTATAAAAAAAATGTCCACACTTCTCCAAGATGGAAGGTTCACTTAGACTTATAAATTTTGTGAGCATGGATTTGCACCCCAAGAGTCTGATTCTAGAATCAGTTCTCTTAACTACTGCATTTACTGTGGCCCCATTTATAATCAGCATTGAAAAGAAAATAATTGCTGTATTACCTGCAAAACCTAATATTTAAAACTACTTTGTAAAAAAGATAAAATAGAATCCTTTAATTTCAATTTACAACAAATAGTAAATTAAAATAGAACTGTTTCCTTTAAATAATTATACATATTATTCTAATACTATAACAAAATAATTTAAATGTTGTTTTGACAATTGCATGAAACGACATGAAAAAATATACTACAGAAGTGTGAGATGATTTGAAGGTGGTTCATGTTTCACTATTTAACAACCATGTGCTTAATTTCCCTTTGTGAATAATATTACAAATCATCATTCAGCATTCAGATATAGTGGTAAACAAAAGCATAATGCATATAGTTTGACTATGTGAATAGTTTGACTAGAAATGAATTCCTTGTCTATTACTTATTGTGGAAAACATGCATTAAAGTGTTAAAATATAATTAAGTTATTATATTTTAATTCAACAATTACTAAGCACTCAATCTTACGTGACGTGGTAACATTAACAGAAGGATTGTGTTTGTTAATTTCAGTGTGCATATACTGTATTTTAAAATGTATTTTTTAGGAATTAAAATAAAAATTAAATAATTCTAACTTAGATCACCCTGAAAATTTCCCTAAATAAAACATTCCCAAGCTGAATGCATTGGAATTAACTATAACATTTGTATTTTACTTTAACATTATGAAAAGCATACACATGTATAATTTTGCATGGTAAGAGACAATAACTGAAAGCCTTTTTAGAAGAAATATTGTTATTCCTATATTGAAGATTTGTGGCACACAAGAAAAGACTGAGCTGGCATTGCACAGAATTTTATCCATACAGTTCACAGCATGAATTACTTTCCTCCAAACCTGCAGAAGAGAAATGTAAATCTTCATAAAGCTCAACTAAACAACTTGAACATAAGCAAGTTCCCCAAAAATTGTTCTCCTCAAATTCATAAAACTCACCTTTTTGCTTATATAATATTTTAATCAAAAAGGAATAATTTAAAATCACTTGAAACTAGGTTGTACCTTAGAATTTCTTAATACTTAATTAGGAAAGCTGTGTGGGTGTGACCTGCCATAAAAATAATTAATTTAAATCTGACTCTTTCTGTGGCTACTCTCTTTATGGGTTCCATCTTTATTTGAGATCTAGCATGCAGTTCTTCATTTAGAAGAGATGAATCCTTTGCCTTGGCAAGTGGAGTCTCTTTTAATTATTAATACTAATTTCTAATCATTTCAGACTTTTTTGGAATATAAGAAATTTATATTATTTATATTTTTGAAAATTTTATGTGTACCTCTTTCTTTAGTTAAAAGTTAGATTCATAAATTAGTGGCAGATAACTTTATGAAATTCTCACCAGCAATCAGGTTCCAGCCCCAGCCCTTCTATCCACTATCCATAAAACAATTAGTCTCTGAACCCTAGGTTCCCAAATCATTAAATATACATAACGACAAAAATTTTCCGATTTTCTTCTTATATAGCTATAGATCGTTGAAAGTATAACATTTGCCTATCACCGTACACATAATAGCTACTTTAATTCTGAGAATAAAATATCTGACACTATAGGTATTATTCCATTTTACAAACGTGTCAAAGACACCACCAAAGATAGCATGGTTATTCTATATAAGAGCCTATGTTTGGAAACAGATATTTCCAGTTCGAAATTATCTTCCCACCGTATTATGCTGTTTCCTTGTTTTTCTGAGGGTCACCTGAGCCAAAATCTTTGTCAGCACTTTGTTAAACTGTAGTTACAGTTCTCAGTAATATAGATGTCCAACACACTTACTTTTCTACTCCTATCTAAAAGTAGAATAGAGGTAGCCTGTTAAATTATAGTAAATAACATTGGAGTAGAGATTTGAAAATATTCCACTGAAAAATGTTCTAATCCTGTTAGCTTTCAATGGCTGCTGTAATAAATTATTCCAAAATTGATGGCTTAAAACAACATACATTTATTTCCTTACATTTCTAGAGGTCCAAGTTTCAAAATCAATGTCACTGGGTAAAAATCTAATCAAGGTATCAGCAGGGCCTTGCTTCTTCTGGCGGTTCAGAGGGCAAAATGCTTTTTCTCGTGTTTTCAACTTTTAAAACAGCATTCCTTTTGTGTGTGGGTGTGTGTGAGAAAGGTTCTCACTTTATTGCCCAGGATGATCTCAAACTCCTGGGCTCAGGGATCCTCAGACTCTCAAATCAGCCTCCTTAGTAGCTAGGATTACAGACACAGGCCACCACACCCAGCCCTTAAATTTATTTACCCAAAAACCCTTCTTCCACATTCAGAGCCAGCAGTGTGGCATTTTGCTTCAGTGATCACATTGCCTTCTTCTTCTGTACCAGTCTTCCTCTGCCTGACTCTTGTAAGATCCCTTGTGATTACATTGGGCCACTTGGATAATTCAGAATAACTTCTTCATTTTAAGATCCTTAACTTAATGAAAACATATCCCATGTTCATGGATTGGAAGAATCAATATTGTTAAAATGTCTATACTACCAAAGAAATCTACAGATTTACCTCGTTTGCTTCTTTAAAAATTATATTCAAAATAAAATGAATGTGTTGGACTAAAATCAACAGTTAAATAAATAAAATCAACCTGGAGAGGCTGTTGTATCTCTCAATGCTATTACTGGTTTCTCAAGAGTTCATCTTCAAAGTTTTTAACTGACTTATTACAATAACCTTGAAACATATCAAATGATCTCAAAGAGTTGAAGAAATTGGGAAAGAAGATTGTTTTACTGTCTACTTCTTGTAGGGCTCCTACAACCGGAATTAAATTTTATTGGTACTAATGGTCACAGCAAAGTGCTCTTCAAATATGTCCCAGTTATGATATAATAAAGAAGATATATTCACATTGAAATTAATTGCGATGCCAGATTTTTTCACTGTTTAGAATATTTATGTTCATTCTCCCAAAAGCCTTATGTGGTAGTTACTATTACAATTTCCATTCCATTAAGATGAAAACAAGACATTAGTAAGTAAGTTTCTTATCTTGATTACTGTCAAGTAATATGTTGGAGGTAAAGATTAATTTTGAACTCAGGATTTTGTTTTGTTTTTTTTTGAGACAGAGTCTTACTCTGTCACCCAGGCTGGATTGCAGTGGGTGATCTCAGCTCACTGCAATCTATAGACCCCAGGTTCAAGTGATTCTCCTGCCTCAGCTTCCTGACTAGCTGGGATTACAGGTTCCCACCATCACACCAGGCTAACTTTTGTATTTTTAGTAGAGACGGGGTTTCACCATGTTGGCCAGGCTGGTCTCGAACTCCCGACCTCAGGCGATCTACCCACCTTGGCCTCCCAAAGTGCTGGGATTACAGACATGAGCCATTGCGCCTGGCCTGAACTCAGGATATTAATGCTTAGCTTAATATTTCACTTCCATACAATATTTCCTGAAATTATTTAAATTTCTTTTCCGGGCAAGGGACTCATTTCTTTTTCTTTTGACCAGGGCGATAGTCTTCACCTGTGTATTAATAAGACAATCTATATAGACAAAATGCTGTTTTGATTCACAGCCACTTAGTGATAAAAATTTTATTCCCTAATAATTTATTTTAGCCCATTGAATAAATCAAACTGCTCACTCTGGATGTGACACCATTAGGTAACATTGAAATTCAACTTATATGAAAATTCAAAATCCTTCCAACTAGGAAATCCCTCCAATATTATGGTTGAAACAGATGCCATGGTGCTGAGATATGGCACCATGGCAGGAATGTCATAACTGTACTGTTGATTTCACTTATAAATTTCGTAAAATTAAACTCTGACCATGAGCTTTGTAAAGGAATCTTTAGTAGTCTTCATAATCTCCACAAACATTCTGGACTTACAGAGAAAAATAGGCTTAATGAACGACCTTCAGGGAATTTCTGTGGCCCCAGAGATCAGTATGTAAGGAATTATTTCCTCTTCACAAAGAATACTCTACAAAATAGACCATATGTTAAGCCATAAAACTAGTACACACAAATTTAACAAGACTGAAAGCATGGGATACATATTTTCCAACCATGATGGAGTTAAATTGGAAATCACCAATGGAAGGAAATCTGGGAAATGGACAAATATTTAAAATTAAATAATTTTAAACTTTATATTAATATTTAACATTTAGAAATTTAAACATGCCTAAATATCCACAGGTCAAAGAAAAAGTTATTTTAAAAATTAGAAAAAAAATGTTTTAGGTTTCTGAGGAATCACCACGCTGTCTTCCACAATAGTTGAACTAATTTACACTCCTACCAACAGTGTAAAAGTGTTTATTTTTCCCCACAGCCTCACCATCATCTGTTATTTTTTGATTTTTTAATAATAGTCATTTTGACGGGTGTGAGTTGGTATCTCATGGTGGTTTTGATTTGCATTTCTCTGATGATCAGTGATGTTGAGCTTTTTTCCAAAGATTATTGGCCACATGTATCTCTTCTTTTGAGAAGTGTCTCTTCATGTTTTTTGCACACTTTTTAATGTTTGTTTCTCTTGTAAATTTGCTTAAGTTCCTTACAGATGCTGGATAAATGCAGAACTACCATTTGACCCAGCAATTCCGTTACTGAGTATATACCCAAAGGAATATAAGTCATTCTATTATAAAAACACATGCACGTGTATGTTCATTGCAGCACTATTCACAATATCAAAGACCAGAGAGTCAACTCAAGTGCTCATCAATGATAGACTGGATAAAGAAAATGTGGTACATATACACCATGGAATACCATGCAGCCATAAAAAAAGAATGAGATCATGTCCTTTGTACAGACATAGGTGGAGCTGGAGGCCATTATAATTAGCAAATTAACACAGGAACAGTGAACTAAATGCCCCATGTTCTCACTTATACATGGGAGCCAAATGATGAAAACACGTAGACACATAGAGGAGAACAATACACACTAGGATCTATTCGAGGGTGGAAGGTGTAAGGAGGAAGAGAACCATGCAAAATAACTAATGGATAGTAGATGTAATACCTGGATGATAAAATAATCTTTACAACAATCCCCCATGACACATGTTTACCTGTATAACAAACCTGCACATCCTGTACATGTACCCCTGAACTTAAAAGTTTAAAAAAATAAAAATAAAGAAAAATTTTATGACATCAGAAACATAACATAACAAAATTTATGGGATGCCACTAAATTAGTTCTCAGAGAAAATTTATAAATTTAAATGCCTATATTTGAAAAGAAAAAAAATCTCAAATACATAGTTTAAGAATTCACTTTTAAAATGTAGAAAAATAAGGGCAACCAAGCTAAGGACAAACAGAATGAAGGGAATAATAAATATTAGAATGGAATTTAATTTGATAGAAAACAGTAGCAAAAATTAGTGAGCCCACTCAGGGCTAATGATTATAAGTAACATTTATATGTATTAAAAAAAATACTGAGCCAAATATTCTGCCAAAAAAATCAGTAACTTAGATGAAATGGTCAAATTCCTAATAAGCCAAGTATTACTAAAACTGACCCAAGAAAAAATATAAAATCCGAGTAAATCTATAGTAAATAAATTGAATTTATAATTAAAAATTTTCCCATGAAGTAAAGCCCAGATCCAGATGGTTTCAATTGTTAAATTTTATTAAATATTTAAAGAGGAAAAATACTAATACTCCATAAAATATAAAAGGAAATTATATTTTCCAACTCATTCTATGAGACTAGTAGTATATACCCTGTACCAAAGCTAGATGAAAACATCATAAGAAAAGCAAACTACAGATCAACATCCCTCATGAATATAAATGCAAAATAATCAACGAAATTTGGTTTGTATTTGCAAACCAAATTCAGCAATATATTAAAAGGACTATTTATCAATAACAAATACAGGTGGAATTTATTCCAGGGGTGCAAGGTTTAACATCACAAAGTTAATGTAATGAATCATATAAATCACCAATTATACAACTATAAATATAAATTATGCAAACACATTAATAGATAAAGAAAATATTTAACAATATCCAACACCCATAATGATCTAACTTTTTTTTTCTGAGAAAAGTGCTCACTGTGTTGAACAGGCTTGTCTTGAACTCCTGGGCTCAAGCAATCCTCCCAGCTCAAATCCTCCCACTTCAACCTCCTGAGTGGCTGCAATTATAGGTATGCGCCACTGCACGCCTGTACCTGGTTTGTGATCAAACTTCTTAACAAACATGAAACAGAAAGAACTTTTCTAAATCTGAACGGCAGCATCTATGAAAAATCTATAGTGAGTATTATACATAATGATAAAAGATTGAATGCTTCCCCACTAAGATCAGGAACAAGGCAAGAATGTCCACTATCATCTGTTCTATTCAACATAGTACTGAAGGTTCTAGCCAGAGCAATCCGGCAAAAAAAAGGCACCCACATTGTAAAACATTTTTATATTCACAGACAACGTAATACTATATATAGAAAAGAGTAAATTATACATGCACACATGCACAAAAGAAAATATTAGAATTAATAAACAGCAAGAAAACAAGACACAAGATCACTGTGCTTCTATTTATGACCAATGGCAATCCAAAACTGAAATCAAGAACACAATTCAATTCAAAACATCACCAAAAAGAATAAACATACTTAGGAATAAATTTAACGAAGTATAAGACTTGGACTCTGATAATAGTAACACTTGATGAGGTAAATTCGATAAATTCTAAATAAATGGAAACAAATTTTACATTAATGGGTTGCGAGACTCAATTTGATTAAGATGATAGTTTTTCCTAAATTAATCTACTAATTCAGTGCAACCTTGTCAAAATTTCAGTAAATTCCAGGGTGTTTTTTTTTCTTTTTTTAAGTTATTGACAGGCAGATTCAAAAATATATATGGAAGTACAAAGCATATCAATTTGCCAAAACAATTTTTTTAAGTAATAACAAGGTACAAATACTTTTACTTTCCAACTTCAATACATACCATAAAGCTACAGTTATCAAAACAGTGTAATACTAGCATAAGGGTAGTATATAAATAACAGACAAAAATGAAAAGTATAAAACTAAGTTTTATTTGTCTACTCAATTAATTATTGGCAAAACTGCCTGGCAATTTATTATGGGAAACACAGTGTGTTCAGCAGATGGTGCAGAGGACATTCAGTATACACACGCAGAAAGATTAACTTAGACTCTCACTTTACACCATACACACACACACACACACACACACACCTTAAAATAGATCTTAGGCTGAAATGTAATAGCTAAACAATAGAGCATTTAAAAGAAAACACAGAAGAAAATTTTTGAGAGCTAGGGGCTATACAGAGACATTTTAGCTCAGACACCAAAAGCATGATCCATAAAAGAAAAAACATTGAAAAATTAGGCCTCATCAAAATTCAAATATGTTTTGTACTGCAAAGACACCATAAAGAAAATGAAAAGATAATTAAAACTCATATCTAATAAAAGACTTGTATCCAGAATTTGCAAATCTACAAGCACTATTGCAACTCTATAAGGAAACAACATAATAAAGACAGCCAAAAATCAAAAGACATCCACTCATGAATATATACCAATGGCCAATAAGCACACGGAAAGATGCTGAACATATTGTCAGTAGGGAAATTACAATTAAAATCTTAATGAGATACTATTTTGCACCCACCAAGATGGCTATAATAAATTAGATAGAGAGTGACAAATTTTGGTGAAGATGTGGAGAAACAGAAAACTTCATACTTTGCTATTGGGAATGAAGAAAAAATGCAGCTACTTTGGAAAAATGTTTGGCAGTTTCTCAAAAAGTCAAACATAGAAGTAACTTACAAGTTAGCAATGCCACTTCCAGATAGCCACTCAGGAAAAATAAAAACATATATAAGAAGATAAATGCTCCATTGAAAAAGGACAGAATGTTCACAAATAAAGATGTTTAAAAGGCCAATAATCACATTGAAATATTTACATCATCATTAATCATCAGGGACATGCAAATTGAAACCACAAGATACCACTTCACACATGTTAGATTGGCTAAAATTAGAAACATTGAGCCATACCAAGTGTTAGTGAGGGTGTGTAGGAACTGGATGTGCAGCAACTCTCATGAATTGCTAGTTAAAATAAATAATGTCAGGACACCTTAGGAAAATAGTTTGGCAGCTTCTTAAGAAGTTAAACATTTATTTACCAAAAGACACAGAAATTCCACTCTTAGGTATTCGCTCAAGAGAAATAAAAACATACATCCTATCAAGGACATACGTAAATATTCATAGCAGCTTTATTTATAACAACAAAAAACTGGGCCGGGCACGTTGGCTCACGCCTGTAATCTCAGCACTTTGGGAGGCCGAGGCGGGCGGATCATGAGGTCAGGAGATCGAGACCATCCTGGCTAACACGGTGAAACCCTGTCTCTACTAAAAAAAATACAAAAAATTAGCCGGGCATGGTGGCGGGCACCTGTATTCCCAGCTACTGGGGAGGCTGAGGCAGGAGAATGGAGTGAACCCGGGAGGTGGAGCTTGCAGTGAGCTGAGATCGCGCCATTGCACTCCAGCCTGGACGAAAGAGCGAGACTCCATCTCAAAAAAAAAAAAAAAAAAAAAAGAACAAAAAACTGAAAACTACCCAAATTTCCATCTACAGGTGAATCAATAAATTATTATTATTCTTAAAATGGAAAAATATTCAGCAAGAAAAAGGAAGAAACTACTTACACATGCAAAACCACAGATAAATTTTTGACAAAATTATTCTGAGCCAAAAAAATGCATAAAATATGATTTCATTTATATGAAACCATAAAAAGTAAAATATCAACTATAGTGGCAGACATCAAATCAGGTGTAACATAAAGTTAGAGATGGGGTGAGTGATTACATGTCCCCTGAGCAAACTTTTTAGCATAGTGAAACTATTAAATCTATTGATATATTTACTATGGTGGTGCTTTCATGGGCTTATACTGTGTCCAAAGTCATTAAAATTCATTTGAAATGAATGAATACATTGTTTGTAAATTATATCTTCATTAAAAACATGAGAACAAAAAGTGAAGTGAGAGCAAAAAATGGTTCATTTTGTCAGAAGTGAGGGAATTCACAACAGGTCACTCACCTGGTGAACTATCCTGTCTCTGAGGACTACATTCTTTGTTATAGAAATATTTTTCTAACACTGAGAAAATACCCGGAGAATGTCTAGTCTGCAATATACTACCCCATATATTATATGACCTAATTCTTGCATTCTCTCTAAGAGTTATCAGTTTTTAATGCAAATGGAAATTAGTTTTAATATGCAAATGATTATTAGAATTTAAATAAGATGCTCAAAGACACATAGTTCAAATTTGGCAACCGATTGATTACAAGACCAGAGAAGATTTTATCACATAGTCCATATGAAATCCAATGTTGCAAAAAATGTGTTCCATTGTGCTCCACTACTGCAGAAGTTCTTGATCCTTCATATAAACCAATTGGGCTTTGCTTATATGAGGAAAAGAATCAGAATAAAGAAGTTTTATGGGGTGATTTGGAGTTGTTAATTTAGAGTCTGGTATGCCAATTTTAATGCTTTTAGAATGAAGAAGGTTATGACATAAAATCTGTGAATTATAACGTAGGACATTCTCCACAACAAACCTAACGTTTTCTTCCGCAATCCTTGCTCAAAAATAATTGATCTCCCTTTAAACATTAGAAGAAAAATAGAAGGCTGACTCACACATATTTACTGGGAACCCACTGTAAATTCAGCACCAGAATATAACCTAATCATCACTCTAGCTTTTATTCATTCTATATAGCACTATGCATACTTAGGTATGCCTAACATATGCTAAAGAATAAAAATAGTTTATGCATAAAAAGAGTAGTTCATGTTTTGTTGTATCTTCTCTCTGTAGTGTTTATTAATAAACCATTAAAAGCAAGGTAGAGGGGCACAGTTCAATTTAATGGTCTTATAAATATGGATTTTCCTTTTAATTTTTTAAAACATTTTACTTTTCAGAAACCACTATCCTTCCAGTATAAAAAAAAAACTCAAAAAGAGGCAGATTCATTAAATAAATGTACCATTTTTAAGATTCTGAGTTTGTTTACATAATGCCTTCCACTTTTTCTAAACACTGGTGAAAATTTAAATCTTGTAGATTTTTAAAATGTTTATTACTCCTAGACTGGAGTGTGTGGACTCCTTAAAAGAAAATATTAATCCTTGACTAAAGAAATGTGTTATCAAAAGAAGCTCAACTTCTACAGAAAATTTGAAAAAATAATAACTTAAAAATGGAAAGTACTTTATTTGTGGGACACTGAAATATTTTTTTTTAATTTTAATTTTAGATTCAGGGGTACATGTGCAGGTTTGTTACAAGGGTATATTGGGTGATGCTGAGGTGTGGGCTTTTATTGAACCCATCATGCAATTAGTGAACATGGTATTCAGTAGGAAGTTTTTGAGCCCTTTCCCCCTCCCTCTTTCCCTCCTTTTGGAGTCCGTAGTGTCTACTGTTCCCATCTTTATGTCTGTGTATACCCAAGGTTTAGCTCCTACTTACAAGTAAGAACATGTAATATATGGGTTTCTGTTTCTGTGTTAATTTGCTTAGGATAATGGCCTCCAGCTGCATCCATGCAGCTGCAAAGGACATGATTTCATTCTTTAAATGGCTTCCTAGTATTTGATGGTGTATATGTACCACGTTTTCTTTATCCAATCTACTGTTGATTTTGTGTCTTTGTTAATGTAAATAGTGCTGTGATCAACATACGAGTGAAGGTGTCTTTTTGATAGAACAATTTATTTTTCTTTGGGTATTACCCAGTAATGGGATTGCTGGGTTGAATAGTTCTATTTTTAGTTCTTTGAGAAGTCTGGAAGCTGCTTTTCACAGTGACTAATTTACCTTCCCACCAACAGTGTATAAATATTCCTTGTTTTCCACAGCCTAGCAAACATTGGTTGTTTATTGACTTTTTAATAATAGCCGTTCTGACTGGTGTGAGATAATATCTCATTGTTTTGATGTGCATTTTTCAAATGATTTGTGATATTGAGTATTTTTTCATGTTTCTTCGTTACTTGTAGGTCTTCTTTTGAGAGGTATCTTTTCATGTCATTCGCCCACTTTTCCAATGGGGTTGTTTGTTGTTTTCTTGTTGATTTGTTTAACTTCCTTATAGATTCTGGATATTAGTCCTTTTATTTGGATGCATAGTTTGTGAATATGTGCTCTCATTCTGTAAGTTGTATGTTTATTTGTGGTTTCTCTTGCTGTGTAGAAGCTCTTTATTTTAATTAGGTCCCACTTGTCCATTTTTGTTTTTGTTGCCATTGCTTTTGAAGACCTAGCCATAATTTCCTTACCTGGGCCAATGTTGAGAAGGGTATTTCCTAAGTTTTCTTCTAGGATTTTTATAGTTTGAGGTCTTATGTCTAAATATTTAATCCAACTTGAGTTAATTTTTGTATATGGTAACAGGTAAGTGTCTAGTTTCAGTCTTCTGTGTATGATTAGCCAGTTTTCTGAGCACCATTTATTGAACAGGGAGTCCTTTTCCTGTTGCTTATTTTTTTCTAATTTTTGTTGACTTCGTCAAAGATTGGTTGGTTGCAGGTGTGCAGCTTTACTTCTGGGTTCTCTATTCTGTTCCATTGGTCTGTGTGGTCGCTTGCATCATCTATGATTTCTTTCAGCAGTGTTTCATAGCTCTCCTTATAGAGATATTTCGCCTCATTAGTTAGATATATTCCTAGATATTTTATTTTTTGTAGCTATTGTAAATGGGATTGTGTTCTTGATTTGACACTCAGTTGAAATATTATTGGTGTCTAGAAATACTACTGAGTTTCGTACTTTGATTTTATATCCTGAAACTTTAATGAAGTCATGTATTAAATCTAGGAGTCTTTTGTCAGAGGTTTTGGGGTTTTCTCAGTATAGAATCATAGCATCATTGAAGAGAAATAATTTGACTTCCTTTTTTCCTATTTGAATGTGTTTTATTTCTTTCTCTTGACAAATTGCTCTGGCTAGGACTTCTAGCAGTCTACTGAATAGGAGTGGTGAGTGGGGGAAACCTTGTCTTGTTCCAGTTAAGAGGAATGCTTCTAGCTTTTGCCTATTCAGTGTAATGTTGGTTGTGGGTTTGTTATAGATGACTCATTATTTTGAGATATGTTCCTTTGAAGCCTAGTTCATTGAGGTTTTTAACATGAAGGGATGTTAAATTTTATCAAAAGCTTTTTCTCCATCTATTGAGATTATATGAATTTTGTTTTTAATTTTTCATGTAGTGAATAAGTGATACTTTATCTTTTGATAAGTCAGTTTTATAGATCCGTCATATTTTCATAAACATGTTTGTAGTATTAATTCAATAATGATCTCCTCTTTTAATATTTGGAAATGGCTTACCATGGCCCGAAGAACCAACGTCTAATATGAAGAAGACATTTACAATGTATCTCACTCTCTATAGTCATATTTCCTAGAAATTTTAGAAATATGAATAAATCCACCTCAGACAAGATAAGAAGGAGCTACTTCCTCAATGCACAGGAATCCTTCTATGTGTCTTTACATGTACTATTCCCTCCCTTTGAATATGTTCTCCTTTCTCCACCTGTTCAAATCTCAATTCATCTCATGTTAGCGTACACTCTTGTACAAAGCCATCAAAGTCCACAAAAACCCACAGTAGCCTCTCTGTTATATAAATTCGTACCACTGGGATGAGTCCTTCCATTTAACTCTTGTCAGATATATCAGTGCCTGGATCCTTTAACAAATTGTTAAAACTTAGTGATGTGACACCAATAGGTGTGCAAGTGAACTACATTGATTTATTGTAGGAGAAACTGATTTATTATAGGAGTCCTCTCCTCTTCTCTCCTCTCCTTTCCTATCCTCTCCTATCTATTCCTCTCTATGCTAGAAGTCTACTTTAGCATATCTACTTCTCATATAATTTTTCCTAGGACCACTAATTAATGGGTAGTGGGCCACATGACACTAGGCTCTGGCAAGTGATGAGAAATGGGATAAAAAAATGACTCAAATGCAGGAATCTGCACATGCAAGTAGGGTACATAAAAGCGATCTTTAGAGAAAGAATCAATCTTACATACAGAAAGAACAGAAGGAAACAACACCTGTAACCAAGATAGAGCAAGAGAGAGAATTTTTTGAGATGTATGAAATTCTTATACACACATTCAATATACCCACTTACAGATTTTCAACATACCCTCCTTTATACCCTATTTTGCTTAATGAAGTTGAGTCAAAAATATATAACTAAGAAATTTATGAAGTGCATTCTTTAAAGTGAGACATAAAGACTCATATTTTAGACAATAATTTCATCAAAGAGTAGCAAAAATAGACAGTAAAGTCAGAGAGATGGTTGTCGAAAGGCATCTATTCACCTATTTTTTGAATTACTCAAAAAGGGCTTGAAAATTTGTTAAAAATAATATTCTCAGAGTTAAAGTTTTAATCATTTCAATGTGGGTTAAATAAAAGTTTAAAAATTTTTACTGATGAAGTAAAATGTTCCTATTTTAACTGGAAAATAATATTAACAGGCTAAGAAAAGAATGAAAAAGTCAAGTGAGAGGAGTCTATGGTCCATCCAGGAGAAAAGAAAAAGGAACGCTATAAAGGAGATGACAATGTTCAACAGAATACTTCAAAATTTAGCCACATTTTTAAGGTCATCTCGAATATATAGAACAAACTAGTGCCACTACTATGTAATACATAACACTAGAGCATTTTATTCTTATTACATGTCCATCTAGCGGTTTTATAATTTTGTTTTTATTTGCTATTCTCTCTACAGGAAGAGAATGCACTAGTTGTGCATACTAGGAATACGCTGGTTCTGTAGGCATTATATTCCTGTTTTAAAGTGCTGGATAAATTGATATTCTGAATGTATGTATCAGTTTTATGTGTTTGGTTAGTGAGTATCTGATCCTGTAGGGTAGAACTGCTTTCGAGGATTTGAGGAAATTACATTATCAAACCTGTAAGAGTGAGGAACAATCACTTTATTATAGAGAGAAAAACTCTTCTTAAATTTCAATGTTAGAAGGAAAAGAGTAATACAAAGATAATATACTCTATATTTAGTGTATTTTTTAAAAAAATAAAAATGCTAGCTCAGAGGAATATTTCTTAGGAAATATCAATTATCAGCATCACCCAAAAATAGCATTATAAAACAACTATCAGTATGCCAGTTTCTCCTAGTCACCCCTAGTTAACAGGCACAGCTCTCAGAGGATTCAGACTTTATAGCCTAACATGGAATATGTCATAAAATACATAAAACAACCAAGCATGAATATTGAAGCCAGCTTTATTGTAACAATTCTCAGGATAAAATAATGAATTGGCATTCTTATCTATAAACAACTCTCTTATGAGTTTTACTTTATCAAATTGGGCCCCAGGGAACTGACTTGCTCAACATTTTTCCTAATCCTAAAAAGCTAAAAACCAGGTCTTAGACCCCAGTATGGCATAGATTCCCTGAGAAATCAGCTTAATACCTCTAGTTCATCTAATTCTGATGGTCATGAACTGCAAGCAGTTCTTAAGAGCCTGGACTTTGTAATTTAAAAAACCTGGGTTTGATTCTTGATCCTGTCACTTCTCAACTATGTGACCTTAGAGGTGTCTTAATTTGTAGAAGGGGGATATGAATATATATCAGGGTGTTGATGCCGAAATGGACTGTGTATGTTTCTGATATGTGGACCACATATAGCAGCTATTATTATAGTAATTATTATTGCCATTAGAACTCTGAAATAAACAATATAAATCTGCCTTCGATTATTATGTTACTTCAAAATTTTGTAGAGCCTTGAGTTAACATTATGAATATTAACCATTATTTTACTACAGATGAGTAAATGAACTACTACACGGAAATTTGTCATTAATATATGCTAGATCAGTCAGATTTTACTTGATGTATATGACTGTTAGGGAAAACAGATTGGTACAAGAAAAATTGTTACTAATATGTTTTTAATCACCATATAATGGACAGAAATATTCAAAATTAAACATGTCTTTCAAAAATATTTTTATGTAAATTTAGTTGTAATATCTGGTGCAGAAAAATTTCTTAAAACTATAGCAAACATATTTGAGTCATTTTAATTGCCAATACTTAGATTTTAGTCATATTTATAAAAAGATATTTTTAATTGAACAAACACATAATGTTTTTAATACATGCTAGATAATGTCTAGAAACTATAGATTTAGGAATGAATAACAGACAATGTCTGCCTTTGAGGAACTTACATTAATAAACAATCTGCAACTTGGAATGGTTATTTCTTTGCATTATTATGGATAAATTATACACAATGACTTATAGGGAATTAAATAGGGAAAGCATTTTAACTTTTCCTAGCAATGCAAGAAAAGCACAGAACACTGAAAATATCTTTTTATGTAAGATATGAGTAGTTGGCTAGGCAATGTGTATATTGTGAGGAAAAGTGGGAGGAGGGGGAAAAATATTTAAACAAGAGAAATATCCTGGTCCAAAGGAATAACACTGCATGGCATATTTGAAAAACTGATAGAAGTATTGGAGATAGAATAAAGTAGGTAATAGGAATCAGGAGTTAGGAAGAGTCGGATTATTTGGTGCTGTAAGAAGCATGTGCTCAATGAAACAACATTTTCTATGGAAAGAAAATGTTTGAGTCTAGGTGGGTTTGTAATGGTGGGCTGGATCATTGTGGTGATGGGCTTATATGGATGGATTTGAGAAAATATAGCAAGAAAAATTCTAGGAGTAAAATATATTGGAATGGAAATTATGTTTATTAATGCCTTCTTACTTTAGTTATTTAAACCCAACAATCACTCAATTAAATTGTAAATAAAACCAAAGGCTTTTATTTATTGGTCTCCTAGAAAACACTAAGTCTTTAGAGCACAGGATTGTGTTTATGCTTAAAAATACTACAAAACAAAGAAGTAAATGATAATCCTGAAAATATAAGAAAGAGTATAACTCTAAAAACCATCATTCACTATAGAAACCAGAGGAAGAGCATAGAGAACTATCGGCATCTGTAGTAGAATTCAAGGTACTGGATCTGTATATATAGCAGTGAGTCCAGGAATCATTATCATAGATGAGAGAAACTGGAGGCTGGATGAAAATATATCATTTGTTGCTGTCCTAGGACAAAAAAAAAATTGCAGTTGAAAATGATGATGATAAAAACAAGAATCAACAATGCCAAAACCTTAATTGGTGATATGCCTCAGTGTCTTAAAGATTTGATGAAAAATGTATATTTGTTTATCCAAATTTTAAGTATGATTGGATATGTAATAAATCACATTGTTTCTATATTCTTGCAAATACAGAAATCTCAGGATAGCCTACACAGCTGGCCTGTGAATAAAGTAAAACCTTATTCTGGTAGCCAGCTCTAATATTCCCTCATTTTAAGGAAAAGAAAATTTGCTTCAATTATCCAATTTTTTGATAAATTCTTCTTAAACATTTTTAATTGACAATTATATATATTTATGAGGTACAATTTGATGTATGTAGATATATAAATTATATACACATACATACACACATTGTAGAAATATAAAATCAAGGTAATTTACATATTCATTTCCTCACCTACTTACCTTTTTTTGTGGTGAGAACATTTAAAATCTAACAGGCAATTTTGAAATGTAGGATACATTGTTATTTAGTCATCATATTGTGCAATAAATCTTAAAAATTAATTCTTCCTAAGTAAAACTGTTGGGAAAAAGCTGAGTGTTGGAAGGGAAACTGAGGCAGGGCATGCATGTCTGACATAATGTCCTCTGGACTGTGTCTAGACTTGCTGGCTCCTTGCTTCTAGCCCTCCTAGGCTCCTACTTCCATTATCTCAAGTAGCAGAACATGTTCCATATAAATGCTAAATTGTCACAGCTGTAAATCACGTGCTTAATGCAACGTGTCCTTTTGACCTCCACATTCTCACCACCTGTTTCTTTGTTGGATTACCAATAAATACTGTGGGCTCCCAGTTCTCAGAGCCTTCGCAGCCTCCACTATAGCGATGGCCCTCTCTAATGTATCACCTTTCTCTCTCAAACTGTCTTTTTTCTCAATCCTTTAACTCCACTAGACTTTGTCACCCCCATGACCTGGTGTTGGTCTGATCACCCCAACATTCCTGGCTGCCCAATGTGGGGTGATAAAGACCTCGGTGTAGGAACGTTAGAGTGTGTGAAAGCGGAGATATATCGTCAAAGGACACCCGAGGACGTCTTTTTAGAAGCTCGGCAGGAAAGCTGAGCGCTTGGAAGAATCAGGGTGAAGAATGGGGCAAAGTGAAAGCAGATATTCTGCTTACTTAAATCTCTTAAGGCCTTTATTATGAAGAGGGGGAGTGAAAAAGTTCGGACTCAAAATTTGTTATCACTTACTCTAGTGCAGTAAAGCAGTTTTGCCTATGGTTCCCGGAAAAAGGGACTATAGAGTTGGATAAATGGGAGAGAATTGGCAGAGATTTAAAAAAAAGTATAAAGATAGAGCAAGAATTCCAGTCTCGGTTTAGTCAATGAGGACGCTAATAAAAGCAGCTCTTGAGCCATTTCAAACAAATGAGGCAGATTCAGATGAGGACGAGTGTAAAAAAACCACAGATTCTGAATGTGAGGAATAGAAACCAGAAGAAATTAAAGAAAGGGAAACTGAAAAAAGTATGTTCTATTAGCCCATCAGCTCCATCTGCTGAGTTAAGTGAAAGGCCACATCCTCTCTCTTAATGGACAAGATGAATTAGCTACAAAACTTAATGCTCCTGTAGTTGCAACATTAAAACCTGGAGTAATTAGCGGTGCTATACAAAATTCAAAAGGCTAGAGCCGAGGTAGACCTTGAAGCATGGCAATTTCCCGTAACTATAATCCAGCAGGGAGGACGGCAAACGTCCTTCCGCTGTATTTCCAAAATCCATCTAGAGAGGAGAAAAATGTAGTTTTTAAGTGTACCCTATTCCTTTTAAAAGCCAGGGTAAATTTAAAAACCTATAATTGATAATTGAAGGTCTTCTCAGTGACCCCGGAACACTCCAATACTACCTTGTTGTCAGTGTAAACAAGAGCATAGCCCGAAAGCACTGAGACCACTAACAACCAGTAGCCTTCCTGTCAAAAATCCTTACCCAGTAACCCGCGGATGGCCAAAATGCATGCCACTGGTGGTGGCAACTGCTTTGGTAACAGAAGAAAGTAGAAAAATAACTTGGAAGAAACCTCGTTGTGAGCACACCTCACCAGTTCAGAGCTACCCTAAGTAAAAAGCAAAAAGGTAGCTTACTAACCCAATCTTAAAGTATGGGGCTATTCTGTTAGATGATTTTTAAGATTAACCACTGAAAATTCCCTTAACCCAGCAGGTTTCCTAATAAGGGATTTAAATCTTAATTACCATACAAAGGTCCTACCAGACCTAGGAGGAACTCCCTTCAGTACAAGACGATAGATGGCTCCTCCCAGGTGATTGAGGGGGAGAAAAAACACAATGGGTATTCAGTAATTGGTAGGGAGACTCTTGTGGAAGCAGAGTTAGAAGAATTGCCTAATAAATGGTCTGCTCAAATGTGCGAGCTGTTTGTACTCAGCCAAGCCTTAAAGTATCTACAGAATCAAAAAAGTCTCTCAATCCTGACTCCAAAAGGTTACCTACATCATCTCTGAAATGAATTTGCCTAAGAACTGTTGATGGGAATACATCTTGATGGGGCAGCTGAGTTGTTATGAAATATCAGGAACCCAACCCAGCTCTAGAACTCACCCCTGAGCACAAAGGCAATGTTGGGCATGCTGGTAAAGGACTACTAGAATCCAGCAGCCCGGACCGCTTTCTCTGTGGTCAAGAAAGGCAGGAAAACAGGTGCAGGACGGCTACATCGGTGAGCGTAACTAATCCGATAAGCAGAGGCCCATGGGTGGTGATGCACACTGGAAAGGAATAAGCATTAGGACCAAAGAGGATGCTCTAGGACTAATGCTCATCAGAAAATGAATAGATGTGCTGGCATCCCTGTGTTCTTTTTTCAGATGGGAAACATTCCCCCCAAGGCGAAAACACCCCTAAGATGTATTCTGGAGAATTCAGCCCGGAGTGTATGTACCTTCTTCCCTCTCAGACTTGAAGCAAAATAAAATAGGACTAGGTAAATTCTCAGACAACCCTGATGGCTATATTGATGTTTTACAAGGGTTAAGACAATCCTCTGATCTGACATGGAGACATACAATGTTACTGTTACATAAGACACTAACCCCAAATGAGAGAAGTGCCGCCATAATTGCAGCCCGAGAGTTTGGCGATTTCTGGTATCTCAGGTCAATGATAGGATGACAACAGAGGAAAGAGAACAATACCCCACAGGCCAGCAGGCAGTTTCCAGTGCAGACCCTCACTGGGACACAGAATCAGAACACGGAGATTGGTGCTGCAGACATTTGCTAACTTGTGTGCTAGAAGGACTAAGGAAAACTAGGAAAAAGGCTATAAATTATTCAGTGATGTCCACTACAACACAGGGAAAGGAAGAAAATCCTACTGCCTTTCTGGAGAGACTAAGGGAGGCATTGAGGAAGCATACCTCCGTCACCTGACTCAATTGAAGGCCAACTAATCTTAAAGGATAACAGTCAGCTGCAGAAAAAACTTAAAGTCCGCCTTAGGCCCAGAGCAAAACTTAGAAACCCTATTGAACTTGGCAACATCAGTTGTTTTTTTTTTTATAATACAGATTAGAGGAGCAGGCAGAATGGGACAAATGGGATTTAAAAAAAAGAAAGCCACCGCTTTAGTCATGACCCTCAGGCAAGCAGACTCTGGAGGCTCTGGAAAAGGGAAAGCCTGGGCAAATCAAATGCCTAACAGGGCTTGCTTCCAGTGTGGTCTACAAGGACACTTTAAAAAAGACTGTCTGAATAGAAATAAGCCTCCCCCTCATCCATGCCCCTTATGTCAAGGGAATCACTGGAAGGCCCACTGCCCCAGGGGACGAAGTTCCTTTGAGTCAAGCCACTAACCAGATGACCCAGCAGCAGGACTGAGGGTGTCCAGGGCAAATGCCAGCCCGTGCCATCGCCCTCACAGAGCCCCAGGTATGCTTGAGCATTGAGGGCCAGGAGGTTAACTATCCCCTAGACACTGGTGTGGCCTTCTCAGTCTTACTCTCCTGTCCCAGAGAACTGTCCTCCAGATCTGTCACTATCCGAGAGGTCCTAGGACAGGCAGTCACCAGATACTTCTCCCAGCCACTAAGTTGTGACTGGAGAACTTTACTCTTTTCACAAGCCTTTCTAATTATGCCTGAAAGCCCCACTCCTTTGTTAGGGAAAGATATCCTAGCAAAAACAGGGGCCATTATATACTACAATTAGGAGAAGGAAAAAGGGTAAATATACATACAGACTCCATGCTTCCCTAGTTCTCCGTGTCCACGCAGCAATATGGAGAGAAAGGGAATTCCTAACTTTCGAGGGGAACACCTATCAAACATCAGGAAGCCATTAGGCCCCAAAATTCTCCTTACCTCTGAGTCTACTTCCTCCGATCCCTGCCTAAAGATAATTTTATGGGAAAGAGGATTTGCTTGTGTCTCTTCAGGTGACAATCAGGTGCCTATATGGGTGCCCACCAAACATCCGAAGATCTATCATGAGCCACAGCATCTAGTGGAACCGCCTGTAGAGTGCAAATTGAAGGTTTGAAAAGCCTCGATTTGCTTTCCCTGTGCCTTCTGTTAATCAGAAAAGACCTGTTTCTCATTATCAGTGGCCTCCTGGCCACAGCCACGAAAGTTTTTGCTTCTGTTTCAGTAGATTTACTAATGTGCACATGAGGGTCTGCTTGTGTTTTGCCAGGAGATGAACAAACCGTGTGTATGATCATGGCACGGGAGATTGGAGGGATCCATGGATCCCAACCATGGACCAGGTTCCCCCAGTAAGAGCCATGAGTCAGTTGAATCTGAATGCAAAGATGGAACAAGGACCAACCGGAGTCCCGATGCTTTTAATGGACCAGTGTTTTCTGACTCAGCTGCTCTCTACCCTGAATACAAGAGACCCTAATAGTTAGGAGTATCATCGCCCCTATTCAGCATGAAGTTACAGAAGATGGACCTTCATCCTTCTGCAACCCCTAGGATTAAGGGTCCCCTTGTAAAAGGGAAAGGTGGGGAGGTATGTGGGAAGCATTCAAACTAGAGCAACTCTAGTTTGAATAAGAGCTAAGAAAAATATAGCTGGATCACCAACCAGTAATTAAGGGCTGCACAGCCTGCAACTGCCTTGTTCCATTAGAAGGCCACCTTCTATGCTAGTAATGATACCTTCTCTTTTACAAAAAAAAAAGAGGAGGGGCATGTTGGGAAAAAGCTGAGTGTTGGAAGGGAAACTGAGGCAGGGCATTCATGTCTGACATAATGTCCTCTGGACTGTGTCTAGACTTGCTGGCTCCTTGCTACTAGCCCTCCTAGGCTCCTACTTCCATTATCTCGAGCAGCAGAACATGTTCCATATAAATGCTAAATTGTCACAGGTGTAAATCACATGCTTAATGCAACGTGTCCTTTTGACCTCCACATTCTCAGCACCTGTTTTTGTTGGATTACCAATAAATACCGTGGGCTCCCAGAGCTTGGGGATTTCACAGCCTCCACGATAACCCCCTGGTGTGCCACCTTTCTCTCTCAAAGTTTTTCTCAATCCTTTGACTCCGCTGGACTTTGTCCCCCCCACGACCTGGTATTGGGTCTGATCACCCCAACAAAAACTTTCTACCTTTTAACGAATATCTCTTCTTTCCCCCATTCTCCCCTCCCGTAGCTGCTGGTAATATAAGTTCTACTCTTCCTTTCAATGAGTTCGACTTTCCAAGATTTCACATATGTTATCATGCAGTATTTGTCTTTCTCTGTCTGTCTTCTTAGCTTAATGTCCTGCAGGCTTATCTACATTAAAATGATGGATTTTTCTTTTTAAAGACTAGTATTCCATTGTGTATACATATTACATTTTCTTTTTTCTTTTTTCTTTTTCTTTTTTTTTTTTTTTTTTGAGACAGATTCTTGCTTTGTTGCCCAGGCTGGAGTGCAATGGTGTGATCTTCACTCACCACAACCTCTGCCTCCCATGTTCAAGCCATTCTCCTGCCTCAGCCTCCCAAGTAGCTGGGATTACAGGCATGTGCCACCACACCTGGCTAATCTTGTATTTTTAGTAGAGATGGGATTTCTCCATGTTGGTCAGGCTGGTCTCAAACTCCCGCCCTCAGGTGATCCACCCACCTCAGCCTCCCAAAGTGCAGGGATCACAGGCGTGAGCCAATGGGCCTGGCCTATATTACATTTTCTTTATCCACCCATTCTTTGATGGACACCAAGTTTGCTTCCATATCTTGTCTATTGTGAATAATTCTGAAATAAGCATGGGAGGGCAGATATCACTTTGACATATTAATTTAAATTCCTATGTATGTATAACCCAGAAGGGGGATTGATGGATTATATGGTAGTTCTAGTTCTTTGAGGAACTTCCATACTGTTTTCTAAAATAGCTTGGATAACAGTGTGCAAGGGTTCCCTTTTCCCCACATCCTCCACAATAATTTTTAGTCTTAAAAGTAGTCATCCTGACCCATGAGTTAATATCTCATTGTGGTTTTAATTTGTATTTGATGATTAAAGACATTGAACATTTTTCATATATCTCTTTTAAAAAATGTCTATTCAAGTTCTTTGCACATTTTTCAGTTACTTGTTTTCTTGCTACTGAATTTTCAGTTCCTTATATTTTATTAGCATGTTATCAGATGTATGATTTGCAAATATTCTCCCATCTTATGCACTATCACTTCAGTTCTTTTGCTGTGCAGAAGCTTTTTAGTTAGATTTAATCCCATTTATTTCTTCTTTGTGTGCCTGTGATTTGGGGTCATATCCAATAAATTTTTGCTCAAACCAATGTTGCAGAGATTTTCTCCCACTTTATTCTAGGAATTTTACAGTTTTTCAGTCTTGCTTTTTTTTAATCCATTTTGAGTTGATTTTTGTAGGTGGGTTAGATAAGTGAAATTGGGCTCTTACCTTCATGTGTATATCCAATTTCCCCAAAACTGTTTATCGAAACAGGGTAAAAGGGCAGTATGTTCTTGGCACCTTTGTTATAAAGAACAATTGATCTTAATTCCTGGGTTTAATTCCAAGCTTTCTATAATTTGTTGATGTCTGTTTTTATGCCAGTAAAATACTGCTTTGAAATCTTATCTGTTCGCTGATGGCATAGTGTTGTATATAGAAAACCCTACTTATAAATTAGTGAAGTTGCAGGATACCAAGTGAACGTAAAAAAATGTACAGTGTTTCTATACATTAATAACAAACATCCAAAATAAACAATGCTATTTGCAAATAGCATCTAAAAAATAGGAGTAAACTAAGGAGCTAAGACATATACTGAAAACAACTATAAAACATTGAGAGAAACTGAAAATGACACAAACGGAAAATAGCTTGCATTTATGAATTTGAAGAATTAATATGGTTAAAATGTTCCTACTACACAGTGATCTACAGATTCAAATTGCCTCTTATAAAAATTCTGATATAATTTGTTTTCACAGAAATAAAATAGTCCTAAAATTTGTATAAAACCACAAACTCAAATAGCAAAAGCAATGTTGGTCAAAAATCAAAATTGAAGGCATCACACTTTGTTTTCAAAACATAAGGCTATTATAATCAAAACAGCATGCAAATAGATACAGCAAACAATAGAATGATAGAAAACTTAAGAGTAACCTAATATGTTAACACTCAGTAAAAATGACTTCACTGTTTGTCTTACGAATGCCAACACATCATGTCTTGAACTGGATTTAATATCAAGACCTACCAGACAGTGTTTCATATATTTTGAAAGTTCCATTTTATTGGTAAATTATATTCTACGGAATGTATCAAATCTTTTAACATTGGGAGAGATAACATTTTCATACTATGAGAGAAAATGTTCAAAATAGTTATTTTCTAAAAATTACTGTTTTTGTTTACTCACAAGAAACCCCAAATGTCCAAAATTCAATCATTGAGAACACTTAAAACTCTAACACAGTAATAGCAAACCTACACTAAATAATATGAATCTGCTTTCAGAGTGGTTGGCTGCTAAGAAAATTAGTAAGTTTAGTCAAAAATTTAAAACATACCCATGAATATAAGCATTGATTTTGGTACAAACAAGTGATAATTAAATGTGTTTAGAGAAAAGTCAGAGCTGATCACAAGATTATTTGAATTGAAAATACTCAACAGTACCTTGAATTATTAGATAGAAGAAAAGCTTTTTGAAATATTTTAGTTCAGACATTATGAATTATTAAAAAGTCTGTCATTTAATTTCAGAAGAATGATTTATCCGTTACCTTGACTCCTGTGGTGTCCAGCAGGGCATCGTGACAGCCATAAATCTCCTAATCAACTACATATAAGTTCAGATTATCTACTTTATTTCAGGTACAGAATGTTCCAGAACCAAGAAGGCAAAGGATCAGAGGTACTTCAAACCTCTAAAAGAAATGACCAAAAGGAGAGAACATAGCAGCACATGCACATGGTGAAACATAAGTATTAAACAATCGCTTAAGAAAATAAAACATCTCCATTCCACCATTCCCCACCACAATACCTGCTTCTCACAGGCAACGACTTTTATCAGTTTGGGTTTTTAACTCTTCTGGTACTTTCCCCAAAATAAAACTTAGTTTCAGACATTATTTTCGTCCTAAATAAAAAGTGAGTTAAATTTTATTACCTTGTTCCTCATCAGATTTCTTCACCTTCAAAATTTCGAGAGTTAAATTTTTGCCACTCTTTTGATTATAATAGTCATTTTAAACAATATTAATGTTTCAGTACTCATTAGGAGCAGGAGAGCAGTCTAGTGCTGATGATTCTCCACTTTCTTCACCTTACAAACATAGGTGACAATGTGCATTTTCAAAAGTTCCCCCAATTTTCACCATTAGTGAGAAGAACCTAGGGATTTCTGGCAAATTCCCGATAAGATGTAAATGAACAGAGCAGGGGGCATTCAAATCTAGCAGAATTGCTGCAAATAGCTGTTATGGTGTGGTGGGATACCATGCGGGAAATAAAGAGCTCAAGTAAGACCTGGAGAAAGCAGTCCCCAGAGAACACCAGCAACCAAGGCTAAAACACACTCCCAGGATGAGAACATCCCTGTTCTTAGTGGAAATTGATTTAGCCAGTTCTGAGAATAAACAGAGTAGCAATGTTGTTCTGTAAGTGGCTGAGTGGAAAAAAGTATGAAGTGCAAAGAAGGTGAGTTAAGGGGAACTCATTAAAGAAACTACACACACATCACATTAGCAAGTGTGTGTGTGTGTGTGTGTGTGTGTGTGTGTTTTAAGCTGATTAAATTTTTCCTGTGCTCTCCAACCTCCAAGGAAACCTCCTACTGACAGCTGGTTCGTGAAAATACAAGATATAAATATGAATATATGTAAATACAAATACTGATTTTTAAAAACATTCATAATATATTTTTATATTGTGTAACGACATGAGATCTACCCACTTAAAAAATTAAGTGTGCAATGCAGTATTGTAAATTATAAACCCTATGTTGTACATTAGATGTTTAGAACATATTTATCTTGCATAACAAACTTCTTATCCATTGAAGAAGTTTCCAGTTCCCCTCCCTCTAAGCCCTGACAGCCACCAATCTACTTGATGCTTCTCTGAGTTTGACTATGTTAGATTCCTCACAAACGTGGAATTGAAGAGTATTTGTTTTCTGTGATTGGCTTATTTCACTTAGTATATTATCTTCCAAGCTCATCTATGTTGGTGCATGCAGCAGGATTTCCTTCTTCTGAATAATGTTCCATTAAATTATACACATTGTAAAATATTTGTTCATCCATCCATGGACATTTAGGCTGTTTCCATATCTTGACCATTGGGAATAATGCTGCAATGAATAGGGGAATGCAGATATCTCTTCAAAATCCTGATTTTAATAGTTTAGGATATACACCCGCAAGTAGGATGATTGTATTATATAGTACTAGTTTTAATTATTTGAAGTCCCTACATACTGTTTTTCATAATGGCTGCACCATCTTACATTCCAACAGTGTACAAGGGATCCCATCCCTCTACATTCTTGCTTTTTTGTTTTGTGGATAACAGCCATCATAATGTTGCAGGTAGCTCGACAGGAGTAAGCAGGCAGGAGAAGGCTCTCCCCAACCCACTACAACTGTTGGGTGACGGTTTGGTAATTATCACATTGCCTCTCTAAACGTGCTAAATTGGCAGCTGGCACCAGGGAGAGGCCATTTCCTGATGATCCACACCCGTTGCACTAAAGTGTTAGTTGAATGCAGACACCAGGGAGAAGCAACTTCCCAGGCATGTGCATTAAGAGACAAAATGGAAAAATACGACCTTCCCGAGCACCCCACTGGAAAAGGAAAAAGCCTGAGATGGGCATGCATACTTCCTAAACACACTGCATGTACTCAATTCCCAAGTGTAAGGAGAGCACAGCCCATGCGGACAGCCCACCAAGGGAAGAATCATGGGAAAGGGGCCAGCCTGTGAAGCACTAGGATCAAGGTTAAACACCACACTTGACCTTCACAAGCCCACTTGGGTTTTTTCCAAGTGTACCTTCCTTTATTTCGCGTTCTAAAGCCTTTTAAAATAAACTTCTACTCCTGCTCTGAAACATACCTCAGTTTCTTTTTCTGCCTTATGTCCCTCAAATTCTTTCTTCTGAGGAGGCAAGAATTGAGGTTGCTGCAGACCTGTACAGATTCACCACCAGTAACTCATATTTGGTGCCGTGAGACTCAGATATTTGCCACCCCTAACAATGAGAGGATGTTTTTCTTGCTCAAGATTGTTTTGGGTATTCAGATCTTCTGTAATTTCATATGAATTTTAGGATTTTTTTTTCTATTCAAGAAGTACATCCTATTTCCAACTACATAAAATAATTTGGATGACATTACACTATAAGTGAAAGTAGCTAAATAAAGTTCTCTGAAAGATCAGGATGTTGAATGCATGCTCCACTACTCTCTCTCCCTCCTCAGAAGTGTCAGAGTTGCTTATCTTTCCCAAATCTCTCAAAGCCTTGTCAGTTGAAGAAAAGCTACTTGTACATTTTCTTTGTTCCTTGCTGCCCTCAGACCTCCACCCTAAGCTGGTTTTCCCAATGCTCCAGGCTGAGGCCAGACAAACAGGCCTCTCAGGCAGCATCCCAAAAATCTTGGGATGTTGGAAGCATGCTCCACTCACCTGCTTTCCCTGCCCCCAAGTCACAGGCCAAAGCCATCTTCCTTAGCTCCCAGTTGTGCTGGCTTGGGGAAACAGCTGATGTCGATTAAGTGAAATTGCTCTTCTGACCTGATTCAATGTGGGTGCTCTAGTTTTCTGCTGGATTTGGATACCGTAACCATTTAACCAATTCCAAACATCTTATGTAGGTATTTTAGTCTGTACATTACTGTTAAATCAGTGTTTCTGTTGGAGGGAAAGGGCTGGAACTTCCTACTGCAGCATCTTGATGATGTCACTCCTTATAAATATTTTAAAAATTAAGAATAAATTCAAAGATTCTCAGCAAGAAAAATTAAATTAAAAAGTAAATATGAAGCAAAAGAAAACAGCAACACCTATAAATTCAAGTTAATATATAGACATATCAACATTGATATTTATATATATCTAATATATATCCATTGCACCTATGGAAAAATAACAAGAAACTAAAATAGAGGAATTCAGAGATTAAATGGCCAGAGGTCTAGAACAGCTCATTTGTTAACATCTCCTTTATTTACATGACAAATATATATTTAATGAGTAACACTAATGATCAGAAAATACATTTAGACAGTATTTTATTGAAGTTTGAAGCATAACTAGTCCAGTAAAAATAAAAATATAACAAAAGTAAATGGATTAATACTTTTAAAATATATGAATCCATGTGGGGATTATAGGAACTACAATTCAAGATGAGATATGTGTGGGGACACAGCCAAACCATAAAATTCTTACAAGCAACATGTGTAGCTGAGTCTGCATGTTTTCAGCCCAGTTGTGTAACAGAATTCTCTAACTTTCAATTATAAAATACTACTAATGATACATAATATAAATGCTAATATGAGGCATGTGTATGTTTACATGTCTAATTAAAACTCAACAATAACTACAGTAATTGTGTAGAATATTTCAAAATTAGACTAAGAAAAGATTTGGAAGGGTAATTTCTTGCTGGCAATATGAAAATTGTGAGCACATGGTGAGAATAAAATGTAGACCATGAGTTAGTAAATGTAATTATTGCTTACAATTTTTGTACAGAAAATGTATTCCTTTACCCCCTACACCCAGATCACACCACTTTTACCATACTTTCCATGGAATTTCATTGAGCAGGATTTATTCTAAGAATTTAAATAATAGAAAAAAATCAATACTTCATTCAGTAGTGTTTTTGTTTATTGTAATATCAGCATTTTTATTGTGGAACTTTTTATAAGGTAAAGCAAATTAAGCAACCATGTTAGTTACATTAGGAATAAGTTTATTCAATATGAAAAAGATGCAACTATAAAATCAAATGGAGTAAGTGAAAATACTAAATGATAAAATTACACTGAAAATAAAATATTGATATATATTTACTCTAAAATATAGTCTAAAATAAGTATATTCTCAGTAACAATAAACACTACTAGTATTAAGTCTGTAAAACAATTACTAAATAGAATCTAAGATTCTCAGATAAATGCCTAATTACAGGTCCTGACCAGGGAAAATTCAAAGTGATCCTGATGTAAGGCAGGATAACAGAAAGAGGAATGCTATCTTAGTTTGTATTGCTCTAACAAAATATCCGAGACTGGGTAATTTATAAAGAACATAATTTTATTTTCTAACAGTTCTGAAGTCTAATAAGTTCAAAAGCATGGTGCCAGCATTTAGTTTCTGGCAAAAGGGTTGTCCTTTTTCCTTCTGGGGTGATGCCTGTTGCTTCATCCTCTGGAAGGGATGAACTCTGTGTCCTCAGATGATGGAAGGAAAATGCCCACCCCCCCACCCCAAAAAAAAGCCTATTTTATAAGAACCTTAATCTCATTCACAAGTGGGAATCCCCTTGTGAGGGGGAGCCTGGTGGCCTAAGGCTCTTACCAAACAGGCCTATTTCCTGTGGTCTAATCACTCCTAAAGGACATACCTTTTGATATTATTGCATTAACTGATGTTTCAACATGAATTTGGAGAGGACACAAACATTAAAACAATAGCAAAAGCCTTAAAAAAAACAGGAACATAAAAAATATCATAAGAGACTGTCTGAATTCATGCCATTGTGAAAATGAGCAAAGGAATTGTTTTTATAATTGACACACAGGGACTCTATGAAAATCATGAGTAAATATATTTTTAAAACAGAATGCTAGGGGAAAAAATCTTTCGTAAGCATTTGGGAAGCCAGTTGAATAGGCGGTTTTTAAAATTGTGAAAGCTTTAACATATATCCAGTTTTTCTATTAGAAAATGGTCCGACTTGATGATTAAATAGATTCACATTTAAAAATTATTCCATAACACTGACTGATCCAGGCAAAGGTTACCAACTGTTGTTGAAAGCATGTGGTGTGTGGTCAAAAGAAAAGGAGACATTCATAAGATATCAAAATAATATTAGGCAAGTTACTTTTTAGTTACAAGTTGACAAATAAAACTGTAATGGAGAAGTTAGAATGTCATGATCATAATATAATGATGTAATTCAGAATCAATTATAAATGTTCAATCAGATATTTGTGTGTCATGATGTTAATGCAATTTGAACTTCAAAATACTTGCAATGCTTAGCACTTAGGAGCTATTTTATCCACATTTAGTATATAAAAACATCACATTTTTAGAACTATTTCTAGGTTACATGGAAACAAGGGAGTGGGGAAAAGCTACACACCACCATAATACCTAGACTATTTGATAACATTCATCACACTTTATCATACCTGTTTATATCCAATTTTCTCAAATTGCTGGTACATTCATAAAAAAAGGAAATATTTTTTTCTGTTCAATTTCTTATCTACATCTGGCCCATGGCAAATGCTTAATGCTTAGTTGTTAAATGAAAAAGTAGAATGGAATCCTTAACCTATACATTGCCTTTCTATTTGAGAATAATATTTTACTTAACAAGTATTATAAAGGAAATTATCTTTTTAGAGGAAATCCTTCATAGGGCATGGATGGTATCAATCAAGTTCAAGTGAAAAGGTATAATCTTGATTTGATTATTGGAGTCTCTATTTTGTCACCCATCACTTATACTTGTAAACAGGATAATATTTCACAGAATTATTTAGAGGATTACATGGCAAACCATCATCTGACTTATATCAGGAGTATTCTACCTCTTGGATTGCTTGAACATATCTGTATGGATCTAGAGTTATAGAAGCAAATTATTTCCTACAGAGTTTAGAATCATTCTAAGCAAAAAATGTGAATTACCTGTGAAGTGTTCAGATTTATAAATAATCTTAACTTAGTCTACTACTAGAACTGGAGATAGAGGACACTTTTGGCCAACATTCTGTTTGATATTGGCCAACAACATCAAACATTCAAGTGTTAACTATGAACTCTCCACACGCAGAAGCAATAAAAGAGGAATGTAAAAGTTGTCTCAGTTTTAAACTCATGTAGATGGCACCTACAGTCCACGTGGTAGGTGTTTTTCAACAGAAGTCAGAAACATGTCCTGTATTAGAATCAGGAAAGTGTCATCTTAGAATAAATTCCTTGCTTTTATTTACTTACCTTTTGTCATTTTTGCCTTGCCTGGGAAACAAGGTCACTAAAACTTCACTTGATCCATCTTCTCTAGCAATGTGTAGTTTATGACAAAGCAAGGTTTTATGGAGCTTTTGATCTATAGAGTTCTGTTTGATTGTGGGAAGCCCAAACTCATGTTTGGAATACAGATTAAGACAGAGATGAAATACCTGTGAAAAGATAAAAACTAACCATTGAAATAGTGCTGTACATTTAGAGCTGGGAATAATCCTTCATAACAAAATTATAAAATCATATTCTAAGAACTAACTTTATATACTCCCAGTTTTCCTAAATTTATCATATATTAACATATTACCATCTTAAATAGATTTTCTGACCACAACATTTGATTCTGGACTAAAACACACTCTAAATGACTTTGGATAATTTACTAAAGTCGTCTATGTCTCAGCTTCCTGTAACATAAAATGGTGGTGATAATAGTAACTACTTCCAAAATTTATTATAAAAAATTAAATAAGATATGAATAAATCAGTTGGAAAAGTGCCAATAAGAGTAACATTTTCTACCATTCTCTGCTATGCACTCCTGGGTCCAATCATGGCAGATTACAATGCTTCACATTTGGTGTGCTATAATCTCCAATGGTTCCAGGCCTTTAAACAAGCTGCTTCATACACCTAGAATTCCCTACTTGTTCTGGCTCCCCTAGCAAACATTGTCTCATATTCAGAAATTAGTTAATCCTTCTGAAAGCCAGGAAGCCCCATCTGGCCTTCTTAGTCCGCATTTTATACGATGTCTTCCAGGATAGTCTATAATTCTCATTAATCACTTTGGTATCAAATGATTTATCTGTGCTCTCTTGAAAAAGAGCCACTCACCAGCCTGCAAATATAATATCCATATTCCCCTGAAATTCAAAGCAGTAATAACTTAGAAATAGCAAGAAAAATATAATTAACATTCAGGACACAATTTACAAGAATGATGTAAGTAAAACCATGATAAGTACACATATGTAAGTCTGAGAGATGTATTGTCATGACTTATTATTGATATTCATTGAAAATATGTCATTTGGATTTTACTAGTAACTAGAGAAGACTGAAATAGAATTGAACAAAATTAAAGAAAAATAAAAATGGCACACTATCATAAGCAGACACATAAAATTACATAATGAACAAAATATAGAATTGTCATTATAAAAGTAAATTGGAAAAGTAACTCACATCTTTAAAAGAGTTAAAAATCCAGCAATGGCAAAAGTTTAATAAACAACTGGAAAAAAAATGACAGGTAAGCAATATTATCAGACAATGTAGAATTCAAAACAACAACAAATGATGCAAATAAAGTTGTTTTATATTAATAAAAGTTATAATTTATAAAATACATGACTTATGATCCTCAGTCTTTAGCATCAAAGTGTGTGGAGCAAAAAGTTTTTAAAATTAGAACAGTTTGAGAAATTTATAATCATATTTGCTAAGATGATTGTCTCAGAATTTTATAGATTAAATTAGGTAATCTGCATCCATGTAATATTTGATATTACCAACAAATGTGATTACAAACATACGCACCCACATCCATATAAATAATAAAGTAGTCTGACATTCATGACTATCACTCTTTCAAAAGTAATCTTACGATCGATAGCAAAGGAGGCCTCAATACTACAAGAATAACCAAATATAGCCTTTATACGGGATAGTGGAAAAGAAGGAAATGCCACCTTATAGATTCAGCTTAAACATAATAACAGACAGATTTCAGTGTGTGTGGTTTCAATTAAAAATATTGAAAAGATATGAAGCATTCATCTAAGGAAAATATAAAAATTAACAAATTAGTAGAAAGAAAATAGAAAAAATTAATGAAGATATAAGCAGATAAGGAAATATGGTAAAAGTGGTAAAACAATTGTTCTTCTCAAGTAAAACATAAATAAAATGTACTGTGGAAAATGTGATTAAAAAAACACAAGGACACCACAGCACTTAGTAGCCAATACAAAGAAAAAGTAAGGTTAGCAATATTTGCATAATGTATAATTCATCTACACATGAAATCAAAGAGTCAACTAAAACTTTTTATAACTAATAGTTTACCAATATAGAAAATACAAAATATATAAAAAATAATTAGGTTTTTAATGTGAGTAATAAACACCTGGAAATTTTAATTTAAAAAAGTGGAACAAAAGCTATAATATACTTTGATGTAAATATAATTGTTGCAAAAGTATCAAATTATAAACATTTTGAAATGTAAAAAAAGCGAATGAATGAAAAACTATACTGGAAAAAATGTAAAATTTCTCCCTCATTTAAACATTTGATTTATTTCCACAAAATTCACCACGTTTATTTTTTTGTTTGCCCACATGTAAGTGGAGGAGTAGATTGGGGAATAACTAACAATTGATGTCTAAAATTTATCTAAGATCATGTGGAAAGAAGTAATAAACCAGCTGTTTTAAACCTCAGCCTTTCTCTGCAACTTTTTGTTGAATCTGAGCTCCCATATTACTGGAACCTCCCTTACAACAAAAGTTTTTTTTTTTTTTTTTTTTTTTCTCAATTATGTTTTGGGATGTGTTTATGTTGTATATTTTCTTCCATCACGCTGACCTCATTTGCTGTCTTCCTGGAATTGCTCAAAATTTATGTTCTAATGAAGTTTCAATGTTTAAGCTTTTCCCCATAAAAGTTTTTATTTTGAGATAATTGTAGAGTCACATGTAGTTGTAAGGAAGGGTATTTTAAAATCTCAAGTATCCTTTACTCGGTTTCTCCAGTAACATCTAAAAGAACAATATAATATCACAACCAGGATATTGACATTGATACAGTTAAGATACATAACATTTTTATCACCAGAAAGATCTTTCCAACACTTTAAGAGACACAACCATTACCTTCCCGCCTTCACCCTCTTCTTAAACTGAACTGAAGCAACCACTAGTCTCTTCTCCAGTTTTATGATTTTGTCTTTTCAAGAATCTGATATGCATTAATCACACAGTATATACTTTTCTATTTTATATTTTTGCAACACTATGATTCTCAGAAGACTTGGATTTTTCAGTGTGTGTATCAATAGTTTTTATTATTGCTCAGTAGTATTATGTGGATGTAGAACAGTTTAACGTTTCACCTATTGATATTTGGATTGTTTCCAGTTTTGAGCTATCAGAAATTAAGCATAAACATTTGTGAACAGATGTTTATGTGAACATGTATCCTCATTTCTCTGAGATAAATGCCTCTGAGTGCAATTGTTGGGTCATTGGGTCATATGGAAGTTGCATGTTGAGGGTTTTTTTTTTAAAGAAACTTTCAAAATGTTCTATATATCTGTATCATTTTTCATTCCTACTTACCATGTATCCAAAATGATCTAGTTTCTATCTTCAGAAGCATATTATGTTTTCACTATTTTTTTACATTTTAGCCATATCAATAGGTATATAGTGAAACAGATCACTGTTGTTTTAATTTAGCTAATGGCTAATAATACTGAATATGTTTTCATATGCTTATTTGCCATTTACTTATTCTGTAAAAATCTGTTACATATTTTAACCACTTTTGAATTTGTCTGCTTTTTACTAAATTTCAACATTTTTAATATTCTAGATATTAGTCCTTTGTCAGAAATTTGGTTCGCAAATATTTTCTCCTTGTTTGTAGCTTGTCTTTTTCCCCTCTTAACAGAGTCTTTTAGAGCATTTAATAATTTTCTTGATATATTGCAATTTACCATCTTTTCCTCTTATAAATTGTGCCTTTGGTGTCAAAACTAAGAACTCTTTAAAAGATTTTCTTTATACTTTTTAAAAAGTTTTATTATAGTTTTATGTTTTATGTATAACTTCATAATCCATTTTGAAGTTTTTTTTTTATAAGGTAAGAGACAAGTCTTGATTAGTCTATAGATGTCAAACTGCTCCAACACCCTGTGTTGAAACAAAGGTTGAGCATATATTGTGGATTGATTTTGGTGTCTTTATTCTGTAATATTGATTTCTGAATCTGTACCTCTACCAATATCACAATTTTGATTAGTGAGCTATGTATACATCTTGTAATTGTTTAGGGGTTCCTTATACTTTATTCTTTCTTTCCAGAATATTTTAAATTATTTCTTGTGCCTTTCTATATAAATTTTGAAATAATGTCTTTTATTTTTACAAAAAAAATATGCTGGGAAGTGGGGACTATGTTAAGCCTGTCTATCAATTTGGAGACAATGGGTATCATCACTAGTTGAGTACCACAAACCATGAACACATTATGTCTTTCTCTTTATTTTCTTTTTTTGCCTGATTTCACTGGATATAAATTTTAACAGTATGTTGAATAAGTTTGGTGAGAAAGGACAACCTTGTTTAGTTCTCAATCTGGAGGGAAAGCATTCGATCTTTCATCATTAAGTATAATGTTAGCAGTAGGTTTTTGATAGATGCTTTTTATCCACTTAAGGTAATTTCCTTCAAATTCAAGTTTTGAGAGTGTTATTATGAATGGGTGTTAATTTTGTCAAACGCTTTATTTTCAGTGTTTGATATAATCATATGATTTTGTTCTTTAGCATGCTAATGTGCTGAATTGTATCTTTTGACTTTTAAGTACTGTATTCTCAAGGTATATAATTTTTTGCTAAATTCTATAATAATGTTAAGAATGTTTGCATCTGTATTCATTGTTCTACAGTTCCCTTTTTTCCAAATGTTTGGTTTTGGTATCAGGGGAATATTAACTTCATTAAATTGGGAATCATTTTTGTACGTCAACTTTTCTGGAAGAGATTGTGTAGAACTGATGTTAATTCTGTTTAAAATATTTGGTAGAATTCTCCAGTGAAACCATATGGGCCTGAATACTTCTTCAATTGGAGTTTTAAGATTATGAATTTTAAATACAATTCAAATTATCTATTTCATATTTCAAGAGTGTGGTAGCTAGGGTTATGTGAGGTATTTATCTATTTTCTGTAAGTTATTAGTTTTTGTGCGTAGAGGTGTTTGTACGACTCCTATTATCCATTAGATGTTTACAAACTGTAGACATGTTCTTTGTTTCGTCCTTAATCTTGGTGATTTGTGATTTTTTTTTTTTTTGGTGTTGAGACTCAGTAAATAGTACCCCAAAATGAAGTCCACAAAAGCAGCCTCAGAATAAGTTTTCCCTGATCTTCCCCTGCCCTTTTGACTGTCAGTCTCATTCTTCCTCAAAGCTAGCCATAGAAACTAGAATCCCTCTTACCCAAAGTGAGTCATAAGAAACCAGAAGCTCTTTTCACCAAAGCCAGCCATAAAACCTTAAAAATATTACTCAGACTTACTCGTCCACCTTTTTGTGAAGAAACTGGCCTTGAAGAAATTGTCTGACCTACGATGATTGATTGTAAGTCATGAGACCCCCATTCTAGACAGTGTCCAGCCCCATAAGCAAAAGGAAGTAATATATGCTCCACAAGGCCAAGAAACATCTAGACAGCCAGGTCTTGCTGGGTTTCGCCAATCCGGCTGTTAACATTAGATAATATCCTTTCTGTCCAATCAAATTTCTGCATAGCTGTTCATGCTGTTAAACCTAAGCAAAAAAATAGATAATTTCCCTCTATCATTGGATTTTCAATCTGAAGGCTCCCATGCCATGTAAAACTATGATAAAATAAATTTATGTGCCTTTTTTCCTGTTAATCTGTCCCTTCTCAGTGATTTTTCAGTAAACTTTCAGAAGGCAAAGAGGAATTTTTTTCTTGACCTTGATGTTGGTTTTGCTACAGCTTTGTCAGTTGCTGTGATCTTTCCAAAGAACCAGTTCTTTTATCGATTTTTCTCTATTGCTTTTTCCTTTGCAATGTCATAAATTTTGGCTATGTACAATGTTTCGTTTCTTCTGTTTCCTTTGAGTTTATCTTTAATCTTGCTCTTCTAAGTTTTTTAAGTAGGACCATAGATTTTATCAATTTAAGACTTTTCTTCTTTTGGAATGTGTATGTCTACTTACTGCTGTAAATTTCCCTCACAGCATTGCTTTACCTGTGTCACATAAATTTTGATATATTACATTTTAAATTTCATTTATTTCACCGTGTTTTAGTTTCCCTTAAGACCTCCTCTATAATTCATAAATTTAGAAGTTTCCTGTTTAGTTTTCAAAATTTGGAGATTTTTCTTTTATTGTTGGTTTCTAGTTTGATTCTATTGTGTTTGGAAAAAGCATTCTGTATAATTTAAATTACTTTTAAATCTGCTTAGATTTGTTTTATTGTCCAGGGTACACTCTATTTTAGTATGTTTTGTGGACCCTTGAAAACAATGTGCATTTTGATGTTTTTGTATGGAATGTTGTATGAATGCCAATTAAATCTTATGGGCTGCAGATGTTACTGGATTATTTTATGTCATGTTGATTCTGTCTAGCTGGTCAATCAATTGTTAAGAGAGAAGTGTTAGTCTCCAGTTCTACTTGTGGATTTGTATTTCTCTGTTGGTGTTTTCAGGTTGTTAGCAAATCTAGGCCTAAGTTCTAGGTTATATGAAGCCCAAGAAGCTCATTATCATGTCATTCTTTGGATTCTGGGGTCCCTAGCAGTTTTCTTTTACTGACCTTTCAGAGAAATCTTATTTTGTGTGTGTGTGTGTGTGTGTGTGTGTGTGTGTGTGTATACATACATATGTGTGTGTGTGTGTATATATATATATATATATATATGTCAAGGCTCTCAGCTCTACTTAGTGAGAAGACTAGGAAAAAATACATCTACTCCATCTTCCTGGAAAGATTTTTTTCTGCTTTCTTTTTTTACTTTTCATCTCTGGTGTGCCACAATCCCCATAAAAATACTTTTCCGCCATTTTAAGTAGCGTTCTCAACTTTGGTGGAAGTTTGAATTATATGGGGATTTTGAAAGTTACTAATATCACCCCCTTATATATTCTGATTTAAGAGTTTTTAATTATTGCTTGGATAGAGATGTTTAGAAGTTCTCTCTATAATTAAAATGAAAATATTAAAGATGAAGAAACACTATTTAAAGAAATTTGTGAAGGACAGTAAGTATCCTCATGCGGTCTACTCTCTTGATCCACCCATTTTGATCTCTTTTTTTCCTATAAGATTGTAGGTCAAATTTAAATATCCGAATCTTCTCACTCTGCCTGAGCCACTGAGCTGAGTACATCTTGGTGTATCATCATCTTCCTTCCTAACTGGAAGCAAAATACATAAAAATTCAGACATATCCACCTGTTAAAATTTTGTACTTGCTTTGGTAACTATGTTTTTTTTCTAACATTTCTTATAATTAACTTTTGGAGCTGAACCAATAAATTTCTGAAAATATGGGATGTTAAAAATATAAAATCTCAGCTAAGTGAACATTCTAAGTTTCAGTCATTTTTATGTTTGACATACCTGCTCAGTGACAAAATATTCATTGCTCCTTACACTCCAATGTCTTTGATGCCCAAAGGTCTTTTGAAGTTATGTTAACAGCAATATTTTGATCTTATAATCAGGGGAAATGTCATATAAATGCAATGCTCTTGGGCTCTGAGTATTGGTATGAGTAATATAAATCAGTAGGTAATCGTTTCTATTGGATTGTGTTTTGGTAAATTTGGATCTCTTTTTGCACAACACAGTGAATAACTTCCTACTACAGAGAATGCCTAGTCCATAACTTGGTATTAGATATTCACATACCTAGACCATATTAATCACTCTTAAAATTCCATCTATCCACACTGTTGTATTGAAGATTAAGTTACCAGCACATGCTTTCTGGAAGACCCATTCAAACCATAGCATTTTGCCCCAACCTTAAAATTCAGGTTCTTCTCATTGCAAAATACATTCCATCCCAGTGTCCCAAAAGTTTTAACTTATTTCAATACCAACTCAAAAGTCCTAAATCCAGAGTCTCTTCTGAATCAGATATGGATGAGACCCAAGGCAAATTCCAAGACAAATTCCTCAACTGTGAGCCTATAAAATTAACAAGATACATGCAATGATTTATATATGTAAAAAGTAAATAAGACAATTTGATCAAGATTCTAGATTAGATAGGCTTGTCAGGGGAACTTCAGAAGTTATTCTGTAAGTTCTACAAAAAACAGAATTTAGCTTTTCTCTGATAACATCTAGACAGAAGTGAATAAAACACATTTCAACACTTCAAATATAAATGAAAGCTGAAACTCCAAGTTTTTTAATTTAAGTATAAAAATAAAAAGAACACGGGAAGATTTAAAATGCAGCACAGAAGACAGTAAATTCCCATCTTTGTCAATGTGTGTTTGTTTAAACAATGACAGTATACATAGTAGGGATTTATTCAGATTAGAAGAGTTACTCAGAGTTTATTGGATGCAATAAAATTTTTACAAATCAGTCTTCATTTCTAAGGACGCGTATGTGGAATTGTTTGTTGTGTCTTTTGCACATTTTGTAGTTTGATTTTTGTTTTTGTCTCCACTTTTGAGGTTTAGAGTTGTTTATATGTTCCAGACATTAGCCCTTAGTAGACTATGTGGCTTGTAAATATTTTCTCCTGATTTACCTTTTCATCTTCTGCAAGGGATTTTTTCACAAAGCAAATGTTTTTCATTTCAATGAAGTACAATTAATCAATATTTCCTCTTTACGATCATGCTTTTGGTGTCAAGTCTAACACCCACTTTGGCTAAATATTAATCCTGAATACTTTCCCTAATTTTTTCTAAAGTTTTATTGCTTTACATTTTACATTTAGGTCCATATTAATTTTTGTATTAGGTGTAAATTGAGTTCTGTGGGAATTTTGCTGTTGTTATTTTAGCTTTGTTCTGTTTTGTTTTGCTTGGCACCGTGAATTTTAATGTCTCTTCTTTGGAGAAGGAGAAGGTCACATTACCGACTTTTGAATACATCCCGAAGTTTATCTGGCACAAAGAGAATTTTGTTCAGTTTTATGCTGGATTAGGATACAAAAAGGAACATAAAGTTGGTGGCTCAAACTTCTCTGAGTCTAGGTGGATAGAAGGTCGACCTGGATGTGTTTTGGGAGAGACAGAATTGGGTGCCTGCTTGAGTTTTTGTGACCAAAGCAGTTGGTCCTGATGGGATGCTTGGGTGATCAAGAGCTGTCAGGCAGGGTAGGCACTGCTGTGATGGCCCTCCACTGCCCAGTTCACCAGCTCACTGCTCTGGTACCAACAGCTGGATATCTCTCTGGGACCCATCCATGGATTTCCTAACACGGATGATGTTCCTGCTAATGTAGATGCTGAAGTCTCCCACTGTGGTCCCCGGCAGCATCAGCTGAGTCAGTGAGTCCTATCATGACCCTGGAGGCATGAACCACATTGTACCCTTTCCAGACGATGGCTGCCATAGCTCATGTAAATGATGAGGCCTACGTATAAGAGCTTCCTTCACAGGTACCGGCAGTGCTTAGCAAGGACACTCTCTGGTGCCTTAAGCATCTTCATCCACACCAACTTGGAGCCCTGCCTTTCAAAGCACAGGGAGGAATAGGCCCCAGCACTCGAGTCCTGGAGCCCGAGTTTCATGTGTTTATAGATGTTCCATTCTTCCAGCACCATTATTTGAAAAACTTTCTTCCATTCAGTAGCTTTTACACCATTATCAAAAATCAGCTGAGCATATTTTTGTTGGTCTGGTTTATTTTCTGTGTTCTTCATTCTGTCCCATTAATCTGTGTCTGTGATCTGCCAATACCTTAGTCTTGATTGCTTTGGCTATATAGTAAGATTTAATATCTGTTAGTGATAACCCTTACTTTATTATTCCTTTTCAAGGTGATTTTAACTATGCTAGTGCTGTGATTTGTCTATTTTGATCATATATCCTGCAGGCTTGCTGAATTCAGTTCTTCATTCTAGGAATGCTATTTTGTATAGATCCCTGTAGAGTTGCTAGGTAGAGAATCATGTCATCTGCAAACAGGAACAGTTTTCTTTCATCCTTTCCAAGGTTTTCTATTTTTAACTTTTATTTCTTTATTTTCCTTTATTGCAGTGGCTAGAGGTTCCATTATTATTACTATTATAAGTTCCAGGACACATGTGCTGAATGTGCAGGTTTGTTACGTAAGTATACATGTGCCATGGTGGTTTGCTGCACCTATCAACTCGTCATCTAGGTTTTAAGCCCTGCATGCATTGGGTGCATTAGGTCCTATTTCTCTCCCTCCAACAGGCCCCGGTATGTGATGTTCCCCTCCCTGTGTCCATGTGTTCTCATCGTTCAACTCCCAATATTATGATGAGAGCAGACATTCTTGCCATATTCATGTTCTTACAGTGAAAGTGTTGCCTTTCACAATTAGTGTGATGTCAGCAGTAAGTTTTTGGAGATGTTTTTCATTAAGTAAACTTTAATGTCCTTCTAACCTTAATTTGCTGTGAGCTTTTATGATGCATAGGTATTAGATTTTTTTCAGATGCTTTTTTTCTGCATCAATTGACTTTACTATATGATTGTTCTTCGATAGCTGTCATTATGGAGTTGTTCCTTGGTTAGTGATAGTGGACATGAAGATAATTTGATTTGATATTAATTTTGGAATTAAATTTGATAGTTCTAGCTAATTTAGGAGGCATTACTAAAACATGCTTCAGAAAGAAGTATTGTAAACATTAATAAAATAGGTGGTTAAATTTTGTGATCTAGAAAAATGATACCAACATTTTCTGTGTTTTTAGGATAATATTTTTTGGGTCATTGTATAAACTTTCTTAGTTCATTTTACTTTTTTGGGGACTGATATATATGATAGTTTAATCTATAAAAATGCAGATATGTACCTAAGCTAAGTTCCATACAAAAATACAATTATCATTCTCACCTTCCAACATCACAACTCAAAGAAAACAAAATATTATGGCTACTCATGGTAATCCAATAAGGGTGTGTGTTATTTGATAATGAACTACTAGATTATAGGAAATACCACAGAAGGATAATTTGCCTTTTCTAATGTAAATTGCTGGGGCTGTGCCAGCTATTAAAACCAAACAATTGACTGTCAAGGAGACAGTACTAGAAGTCCAGTTATTTCCTGCCTTAAGTCTAAGCTTTCATGTTGCTGTGATCTTTCATCAGATCCTATTATTTCATTGAAAGTAATTATTTTTCTCTTGGATTACTTATTTTTCTCATTTGAAAATACACAAACTTCTTATAGAACTTATAAAGATCTATAAGCATATAAAAATTACATGGTACTGCTAATACTAATTTTAGTTGGGTGATATCTAAATCTACTAGGCTTTGAAATGCAGTTTTTTTCTCTTTGATTGTTTATGCCATATGCTCCCTATCATTTTAGCACAAATATAAGTTTTAGATGATTCCATCTTCATGAAGCTCTGAGTAATCACTCTTGCTTTTATCTAACTTATACTACTGAAAAGTTCTATGAAAGTTAAAATAGAAACATGAATATACATGGTGTGAAATGTTGGAATAAAAAAATAGATACACACTAGTGTACTTGCTTAAGTACACAACTGTCTCTGGTTTCTTGAAAGGAATACACAGACTCTAATTGGGTTAATTGAACCTTAACTATTGGGCCATCAACTCTCAGCAGATAGGGTTTCAAAATCATTATGCTGTTGTACTTTGGGAAATTTTAACTTTTCCTCATGAAATCTTTAAAAGTAGTAACAGTTGAATGAATTGCAGGGCTAGGTTAGGCTGAAGAATCTCATGAGTCTAGATCCATTAACATTGTGAAAGGTGAACACGGATACTTCATTCAAAGATAGTACTGGTCTGTTGGGTGCTGATTCTGCATCTGGCTATGGCATTGATGACTGGCAGTTACTTTAGGTTCAAATGTCATATCTACAGCTTATGGAAAGAAATCTCTTTCTTATTGGTCCTATGATATGGCAAAACATTTTTAAAAATACTAAAAGTATGACTTTTTTTTCCAAAAATGTTATTCAAATTGAAAAATGTTTTCCTCAGAATCTACAGAAAATTCAGAAATTGAAACACATAAAATTAATTTAAATGTATTATTGAAGAAACCTTCTTCTGTTTTGATAATTCATCTTTCTCCTGAAAGTATTGGATAATTTCCTCATAATACCCAATATTCTCGTTTCAGTTTCTCTAAGTCCAGCTTCTTCATATTACTTCTCTTATTCTCTTTGTAGGCCCTTTAGTCTCTTCACATTGCTAACTCATTTTTTTCTCGCCTGTGTTTAGAAATTAAGTTTCCATTAAGAATCCTGACTCAATGTTATGTATCTTTTCCTCTGCTCTTTGTATTCTTTCCTGCTACTCATTTTATTCAATGTCAGTTTGATGACATTTTCGCATTCTTGTTAAAACCCAAATTTATTTGTCCATCCCTATGACAAACCACAGCTAATTATCTGTGGTCATTTGACTTATTCTGAAATAATCTCCTTCACTTTGTCTTGCCATCTCTTTCATTTAAACTTGTCCAAAATCAAAGTTCTTCATTTCTCTTTTCTATTACTTTTTTTAAAATTTTCCCTAATTGCTCTCCTGATTGCCATATCCTGGAACTATCTCTTTATTTTTTGTTTTCCATTTAGCAGTGTCCACTTACATTTAGGTACCATCCTATGGTTTATTAACAGTAGTACTTATAAGGCTGTCCCTTAAATGTCAGCTTCCATCAAACTATATTTTAGGAAAATAAGAAAAACAGAATATGGTTAGTTACTAGTCAGGCCTTGTGACTTAAATTGTTGGAGTTGCACAATCACAGTAAAGTATCTTGAAAGAACACTCAGTTACGAGTTATTCCTAAATATCTAACTCCATTCTTTAAGTCTCAAATGACCTCTCATGTTGTTCCTGAATATGAAAATATCCACTGAGTGATAAATACCTATTAGAAATGTAGCAGTTCTCTGGTTAAAAAAGACAACACAATAGGTTTCATCTTCATAAAGACTTCAGTCAATTTGTAGTGGCTACATGGATTATAATGTTAGGAGGAAGGCTGAGGTCATAGTTAGGATCAGCTAGAAATATTACTGTTAGCAATCACAGATACCTGCCTTGGACATGGGAACTGAGACTGATGTCTAAGTGCTGGCTTTATCATTCTATATATAACAATAACAATGAGAGAAAAAACTGAGGTCTTTATGAAGGGAAATTGTAAATGACAACACATGTGTGGAAAGTTACAAGGAGAACAGAAGTTTTGAAGGCAAGGGAAGTCATAATAAAACAGTTGCAATAGTTCTGATCGAGCAAATAAATAATATGTTAAGAAAGATGAATGAAAATGAAGAGGGAATGATGAATCAAAGTATTTTCACCATTACAATGTATTGTAGTTAATCACGGGTTAGGTGTGGAGGAAGAGAAAGAGATGGAAGTTAAGAAAGGCACTTAGACTTATTGCTGAAATAATAGTGTGGACTGTAACACTGATTAAAATATTTAAGAAAAAGTACCTTCAAAGGAAAGACAGATGTTTCATTTTGAATATCTCTATCTTTTTTGTTTCCAAGTCGCTTTATCCTTTCAAGACACTTTGGTTTCTGTTCATTGTGTTTTATGATTTTTATCAGTCTTTACACTGTTCTATAAATGCTGTGAAATGAATACAATACAGTACAATAATGACTAAAGTCTCCTCACTCTTCAGTCTGAAATCAAGTGTTTACCTCCATTCCCCAGAGATAATCATAGTTACCAGTTATTTATTTTACATGGATTTGCATATATTAGGGATTCTGGACTTTTGGTTTCCAGTCCAACTTACAAGGAGCTGAGAAGTAACCACTGGATCCTAAAAAATAAATTGAAAAAATCAAACCCTGCCTCAAAAATTGGAAAGATGGACAGGCAGATACAGACAATTACAATTGACTGGAAAAGAGTCCCATGAGCAGAAACCTCTAAGGGAACCACAGTTGGTGTAGGAAAACCTGAATAGCAATTATAAATTGCTGGAGGCTGGATGTGGACAAGTCTGAGAGTTAAACTCAAGGGGAGTGATCCAGTCACAGCAGGACCCTCACACTTGTGAGTTTTACCTTTAAGGGTGTGGCCAAGTTCTGACCATGAAGATGAGAGAAAAATCTTCTTGTGCTTCAGGCAGGGAAAAGGGAAAATAAGCCAATTTGGAATGAGTCACAGCATTCTGTTCTTCCTGTCTTCAGGAGAAACTGTTTTGTGGAAGCCTAACCTACCTAGGGAAAGGGAAATGCTTAATTCCTTCTAGCCTCCCTGTCCCATTTAAGAGGGATGGGGGAACTGAGAACTACTGATAAAGTTCATAGTCCAGGGGCACGGGCTCACGAAAAGGCCGACACCTAATCATTTGACTATAAAATGCTGTTGCTCCCTCCATACCTTACCACCACATCACTTAATGGCCTGTTTACTGCGTTTCCTTTTAGCCAGTACATCTTGTCTGAATTTCAACAAAAAATTACACAGCATATGAGAAAGCAAGAAAACACAATTTGAAGAGACTAAACAAGCATCAAAATCAGAATCAGATATAGAAGGAATGTTCGGATTAATCAGATTAGGAATGTAAAAAGTAAAACCTATTATAATATGCTAAGGGCATTAATGTGAAAAGTAGATGACGTGCAAAAAGAGATGGAAAAGGGTAAGCAGAGAGATGCAAATTATATGAATGAATTGAAAGGAAGGGTTAGAGATCAAAGCACTGCAACAGAAATGTAGAATGTTTCTTGTAGGCTCAGTAGTAGACTGGACATGGCTGAGGATAGAATCTCTGAGCTTGCAGATATAGGAATGGAAAATTTCAAAACTGAAAAACGACTGACAAAAACAATATTCAAGAACTGTGGGACAGCTGTAAAAAGTTAATATATGTGTAATGGGAATCTAAGAAGAAAACTGAAAGAAGCAATATTTGAAGCAATAATGACTGAGAATTTTCCCCAATACTGTCAGACACCAAACCACAGATCCAGGTAGCTCAGAGAAAACTAAGTGGGATTAAAAAAAAAAACAAACGAAAAACAAAAATATAAATTACTTCTGACTTTTCCTCAGGAAAGATGCAGTTGAAGAGTAGAGAATATTGAAAGTGTTGAGAGAAGAAAAACAATCATCAACCTATATTAGGGTTTCTTAAGTTCACTACCATTGATATTTTGGACCAGATAATTTTTTGTTATTGGAGGCTGTCTGGTACATTGTAGTGTGTTTAGTAACTTCCTTGCCTATTAGAAGCCAATATTAAATCCCAGTTGCGACACTCAAAAATGTGGACAAATGTCCCCAGGGGAAAAACTGCCCCTAGTTGAGGACCATTGATATTTACACATCTGAATCTATAGAAAATATATAGTGAGTGTATTTGTCTGTTCTTGTGCTACTAATAAAGACATACCCAAGACTGGGTAACTTATAAAGGAAAGAGGTTTAGTGGACTCACAGTTCCACATGGCTGGGGAGGCCTCATAATCATGGCAGGAGATGAAGGAAGGGACATATTACATGGTGGCAGGCAAGAGAGTTTGTGCAGGGGAACTCCCATCTATAAAACCATCAGATCTCATGAGATTTATTCATGCCCATGAGAAAAGTAAGGAGGAAACCCCCCATGATTCAATTATGTCCACCCGCCCAAATCTCATGTCCTCACATTTCAAAACCAATAATGACTTCCCAACAGTCCCGTAAAGTCTTAATTCCTTTCACAATTAATTCAAATGTCTGCAGTCCAAAGTTTCAACTGAGACAAGGCAAATCTCTTCTCCCTATGAGCCTGTAAAATCAAAAGTAAGTTAGTTACTTCCTAGACACAATGAGGGTACAGGCATTGAGTAAATATACTCCTCCCAAATGGGAGGAATTGGCCAAAATAAAGGGGCTATATAGGCCCCTTGAAAGTCTGAAATCCAATGGGGTAGTCATTAAACCTTAAAGTTTCAAAATAATCTCCTTTGACTTCATGTCTTACATTCAAGTCATGCTGATGCAAGAGGTGGATTCCCATGGTCTTGGATAGCTCTGCTCCATGTTTTTGCAGTGTATAGCCTCCCTCCCAGCTGCTTTCTTGGGCTGGCATTGAATGTCTGTGGCTATTTCAGGCACATGGTGCAAGCTGTCAGTGGATCAACCATTCTGAGGTCTGGAGAACATTGGCTCTCTTTGCACATTTCCACTAGGCAGTGCCCCAGTGGGGACTCTGTGTGGGGGCTACAACCCCACATTTCCCTTCTGCACTGCCATAGCAGAGGTTCTCCATGAGAGGTTCTCCCTGCTCCTGTAGCAAACTTCTGCCTGGACATCCAAACATTTCCATACATCCTCTGAAATCTAGGGTGGAGGTTCCCAAACTTCAATTCTTGACTTCTGTGCCTTGCAGGCTCAACACCATGTGGAAGCTGCCAAGACTTGGGGCTTTCACCCTCTGAAATAACTGCCTGAGCCATACCTTGGCCTCTTTTAGCCATGGCTGGAGCTGCTGGGATGCAGGGAACCAAGTCCCTGGGCTGTACACAGCAAGGTGGCCTTGGGCCTGCCACATGAAACCATTTTTAGCTCCTAGGCCTCTGGGCCTATGATAGGTGGGGCTGCTGTGAATGTCTCTTACATGCTCTGGAGACATTTTCCCTGTTGTCTTGGTGATTAACATTCCACTCCTTGTTACTTCCACAAATTTCTGCAGCAGGCTTGAATTTCTCCCCAGAAAATGGGTTTTTTCTTTTCTATTGCATCATCAGGCTGCAAATTTTTCAAACTTTTATGCTCTGCTTTCTCTTGAATGCTTTGCTGCTTAGAAATTTCTTCTACCAGATACCTTAAATCATCACTCTCAAGTTCAAAGTTCCACAGATTTCTATGGCAGGGACAAAATGCCACCAGTCTCTTTGCATAGCAAGAGTAACCTTACTCCAATTCCCAAAAAAGTTCCTCATCTCTGAGTCACCTTGGCCTGGGATTTATTGTCCCTGTCACTATCAGCATTTTGGACAAAACCATTCAAGAAGTTTCTAGGACATTCCAAACTTTCCCACATCTTTCTGTCTTCTGAGTGCTGCAAGTATCTTGGAAGTTTTGAAATTTTCCACATTTTCCTGTCTTCTTCTGAGCCCTGCAAATTGTTCCAACCTCTGCCTGTTACACAGTTCCGAAGTTACTTCCACATTTTCTGATATCTTTACAGTAGCACCCCAGTTTCTGCAATATCAGTTTACTGTATTAGTCCGTTCTCATGATACTAATGAAGACATACTTCAGACTGGTTAATTCATAAAGAAAAGACATTTAATGGACTCACAGTCCACATGGCTCAGGAAGCCTCATAATCATGGCAGAAGGCAGAGGAGAGGAAAAGACACATCTTACACGGCAGCAGGCAAGAGAGCTTGTGCAGGGGAACTTCCATTTATAAAACCATCAGATCTCATGAGAATAATTCACTACCAGGAGAACAGTATGAGGAAAATAGTCCCCATGATTCAATTAACTCCACCTGGCCCCATCATTGAAAAGTGGAGATTATTACAATTCAATGTGAGATTTGGGTGAGAATACAGCCAAGCCATATCAGTAAAAAAAATTCTGTTAAACAGAAATGTGGAAAATAGCTCATTCAATTCCATTCCAATAACCTTGCAATATTCCTCACTGCATGTTAGTAAATGGCAAGCTAAAAGCCAAATTTCCAAGACTTCATTACAGTTTAGATTATTATCTAGATTAAAACATCCCAAAATTACCAGCATTGGAGTTCAAAGGCAAAAAAACAAAAAACAAAACAAAAAAAACAAAGCAAAGATAAGCTCCCGCTAGTAAGCATGGTCTGTATGAGCTGTATCAGAATCCAAATTCAAGAACCTAGTTTCATGGCTGTGCAGAGAGATGGGGAAAATATTTTCTTGGACCAGTTCATGGCAGACAGTGTGGTCCTGGAGTCAGCAATAATGATGGTGGTTTCAAAAGTCTGTAGTATCCCAAACATCACAGACTTAGCATCTTCCTCAGTGGTCTTGTTCAGCAGTGTTGCTCAGGGAGCTCATCAAGAGCTGCTTATCTAGCCTTTTCTGTGACTCTGTAAGCCACAAAATAATTAATAATGTATATTCAATCCTCCTTCTACTGATTCCACTTAGAGGGCATCTGATGGTCAGCATGGAAACAGGCTAATGCTCTGCTGCCTTCTAAAAATTTAATAATGAAAACAAAGATTTTCAAATTGCATATTTACCATTACAAAGAGAACAGGAGAGGAAAATATAGTGGATAAAAGATATGAACAAATTTTTAATGGAATGTGGATGAGGCATTAGCACATTCAGGAAGCTGATTGTCAAGTGCCTGCAGAGGACAGTGCAAATGAATAGCAAGAGTATTAATAAACTGCAGAACTTTGAAAAGATTCAGAAATAAGAGGCACTGATGTTATGAGGTGCGCTGTATGTGTGGAAGTGGAGACTGTACATTACATGTGGGGTTAAAATCAGAAGACTTGATCAAAAGTATGAGCCGGGCGCGGTGGCTCACGCCTGTAATCCCAACACTTTGGGAGGCCAAGGTGGGTGGATTACGAGGTCAGGAGATCAAGACCATCCTGGCTAACATGGTGAAACCCCATCTCTACCAAAAATACAAAAAATTAGCCGGGTGCGATGGCACTCACCTGTAGTCCCAGCTAGCCAGGAGGCTGAGGCAGGAGAATCGCTTGAACCTAGAAGGCGGAGATTGCAGTGAGCCGAGATCGCACCACTGCACTCCAGCCTGGGTGGCAGAGCAAGACTCTATCTCAAAAACAAAAAACAAAAGTATGCTGTGAAATAGATACATCCCCAGTTTGCTTCCTCATTCTATGCATCCCAGTAAGTGTTCCCAAACATAGGTTGTTTACCAAGGAACCGAGAAAATTGAATCAAAGACCCTGGCCACTGGCCACTTCAGAATGAGAGAGAGCTGCACGCAAAAAAAAAAAAAAAAAAAAAAAAACCAAAAAAAAAAAAAAAAAAACAAACATTAAGTGAAATTCAGGTTATGGGATGGTAGGACTTCCAACCCCCTGGAACACGATTAAAATTCTAGAATCCTGGCACCCAAATGTATACACTCCAAGCATGAGATAGGTGGATCCTGCTATGAAGACACTGGATAAACCTAGTAGGAAAGATTCATATATGCTCTTATTTAGAAGTCCCTCAAGTAAATAGATGGGTCTGCCATCTGCCTATTTGATCTTTCTGCATAGAAAGCCACCAGTTGACAATCTTCTTTCCCCAACCAACACAGAGCTTCTATCAGTATATTAGTGTCCTGTACTTACATATGAAATGTAACATAAAATGCAACATTCATGTCCATGTGTATGTGGTGGGGAAGGAAGATTTGTGGGTATCCAGCATTTTGAAAGACGGAGACAAAAACAATGAGAGGAAAAAATAGTAAAACTAGGAAATTTTATTATATCAAAATATATCATCTAAATATGTGAGGGGAGAGAGAGAGAGAGAGCGCCCAGAGCCTGCATCTCCATTTCTAGACTGGACTCCATGACCCAGTGCTCTAGGACTCCCTGGCCTAATGACTGGGAGCCAGCCTTCATATTCTGCTGCTTTTCTTCTCTGGGTTGTTCTCCAAAGGCAAACCATGTCACAATAGTGGTAGTTACTTGCTGATGGTGGAGGTACTGTGTGCAAGGAGCTTGAGTAGGTTGTACTGAATCACGATGGTATGCCTAGGGGGAATACCTAGGCATACATGTGCTGTGCCCTAGATGAATTCAAGATAGGAAGAGAGAAATGGATTTGGCTAAGAATCTGGAGCTAGTTGTTTATTCTCTTAGCTCAGGCACTGCAATTTAACGTTAGCCATGGGGCCTGTATTTACTGCTAATAAACCTCATGTAACTGAATGTGTGACCCACGGCAAATCTTTTAAGCTCCATGGACCTCAGTGCTTTCATCTGTAAAAATGAAGAGCTTGAACTTGATCTCAGAAGATGCTTCAAGCACTAACATTTTATTATTTTTTTCAATTCTGTTGATGCTTTATCTTTTGTACCCCCATAACATATAGCTATTTGCAGGGTCACAGAAACAATAATTTTACAGAATGTTTCCGATTTATTTCCGAAAGACATTGTTTAAACACACATAAAGCAGCAGATTTAAAGTCACTCCTGTGCCTTTTATTTTTCTACCCCCTTTAGAAGCCTTTACCTAGGTGAGCAATAGAGCCCCCATTGACCAGAGGGGCATCTGGCAGTGACTCAGCATTCTCTGGTTCATTTTTTTTCTTAGATGAAGTTAAGGTGCCAAATCTAAAACAATTTTCCTATGCGAGATTTAGCATGGAAGGAATTATTGAAACCACAGGGTGGAAATTAATGATTAGCTTGAGATGCCATTAGCATACCAGCAGGAGAAAAGACTAAATGAGCTATGATCTGAAGTAAAATATGTCATCCTGGAAATTGCAAGTGATATGATGGAGAAACAATGCTGGGTAATAGGGAGGAGAAGAAATGAGCTATTAGACTGAGAGGCAAGGAGACAAGCATTTAAATTAAGAGGACCAGACAAGGAGACAGCTTGAGTTAACGTGCAAGATCCCAGACTAAAAGACACTGTGGTTAGTGATTGCAGACAGGAAACAATCCATCAACTGAGGGAGAATGCAGCACTAAGGACACTAGGCAAGGAATATGATACAAAAGTACTTTCCTACTAGGATAAAATAAGCAAACATAAAATTCATTCTGAGCACTTCCTTCCTTAAGCAATATTATTAAGGGCTGCCAAAAGCAAAGTCTCACTACTCAGAAAATTACTGAGAAAAAATGAGGTAAGGAAATATGAAAGAACTGAGACTAATGGATAAAAGTTAAGGATAATCTAGAAAAAAGTGAAAGCCAATCTTCATCATATATATACACAATTTATGTTTATGTATTTATAGAGAACTAACAAACTTGCACTGAGCAACCTTTTTTAAAAATCTACCCAGGCTTGGCCGGGCGCGGTGGCTCACGCCTGTAATCCCAGCACTTTGGGAGGCCGAGGCGGGCGGATCACGAGGTCAGGAGATCGAGACCATCCCGGCTAAAACGGTGAAACCCCGTCTCTACTAAAAATACAAAAAAATTAGCCGGGCGTAGTGGCGGGCGCCTGTAGTCCCAGCTACTTGGGAGGCTGAGGCAGGAGAATGGCGTGAACCCGGGAGGCGGAGCTTGCAGTGAGCCGAGATCCCGCCACTGCACTCCAGCCTGGGCGACAGAGCGAGACTCCGTCTCAAAAAAAAAAAAAAAAAAAAAAAAAATCTACCCAGGCTTATGGATTCAGCCAGATCACCTCATCAAGAACTGATTCCTTTCTATGATTTTTTTTTTGCCGGGAAAAATGTGAGTTTTGTTGTGTATATACCATTGTTACTTTCACCGTGATATGCAAGCTTTGACTATAGCATATCGTTATACCCTATGTGTCTGACCCCAGGAGACTTGGGTGGGGAAGAGGAAGAAATATTTTAAGCTTGCAGCTAAGCCAGAGGAAATGGATATTAGATTTTTCAATTTTGTGTGTTTGAGAATAGTTAATAAAACTAAGAAATTAGATCAGTCTCTTTGGGAGCATTTTTTTAAACTATGAAATACAAAGCTATGGGTATGGATACCGAACCAACATTTCTGAATCCCACGAATTTCCAGGTTTAAAGTTGGGTTACAGATCACAGCAAATTCTATTTAATTTACACCAATCCTAAACCCAAAAAATCAGATTTGCAAATCTCAGAACCTCTGTATCCAGACATTAAATATTTTTGCTGGTTGCTTGAAAATTGAGACTACTTAATTTTATTCCTAGCTTTTTTATATTAAGCAACAAAGAATTAAAGGTTATCAAAATAATCATCAATATAATTTTTTAAAGCTAAGCCTTAATTTGTCATTAGTAGTTTCAATCTGTTTTATTCATAAACAGGCTTTTTGTTTTTAAGTTCTATTTTCAAAAATCAGGGCTACTCATCAGAGATGAGTGGGAAACAGTCTGTTTCCTTATGTAGTCACACATTGATATGGGAATCAACCTTTTGCAATGAGTAAGTTCAGTGAGAAGTATGCTGCACTATTAATGCATATCAGAAACAGTGAGGAAGCTAAGATGACACCATCAGCTTTTTTGGGTGATAAAATAATTCTTCGCAAAGAAGATGCCTGAGCTAGAACCTGGAGGATAAGCAATGTTTGCCAATTTGTCAAACTGTAGGTCTGTTAGGGCTGACACCAGCATCTACATGGGCTTGTTAGTTTAAAACAGTCTGGCCAGTGGAACTATAAATGTTTCGATATGGTTGGAGCTTAGACTTGAGGAAGACAGCTAATGAGCAGTAGGTAGGGGCTTAACCAATATTAGAATAATGAAACAACACAAAGATATAATAAAATTACCTACTTGCCTGAATGTACCACCAGTTTAACAAGTCAGATCTTATTTTATTACAAGAGCATGTGAGCTGCTTTATTCTACCTGATTTGGTATTGGTGATCAATGATCCTATACATTGCTGTAAAGTAAGTCAAATTTGTTATCACAGACTAGTTTAATATATTGATTTGCTTTTTTACCAGTTCAGCTAGTCCACAGAATGTTTCAGAAAGGGCAACTAAAATAAGTCCTATTTTATATTCAACGTAAATATCTTGGAATGGTGTCTTTTGATAATTGGGCAAATTTTAGTTCTTTCATCCTTCCTATTTTTAGAGTTTAGAAATTTCTCAGCCCTTCACATGCCTTTATTAATTGGTGAAAATTATTTTATTCAGACAGATGGCTTATTTAAGGAAAGCGGTTACTTTTATATCCCTTGGGAAACAGCCATCTGTTCTGATTGGGGTCTGGGGCTTCCAGATGTTGCCATTTCCCCATAACCTGTAGAGTCTTCGTTACCCATTATTTCAAGGATGATATAGTAATCCCTAGGGAATAACAGCAGATTTACATACTGGATTGAGACCAAAGTTTTTAATCATATCTCTCCTGTTCCTTACCTATTCTCATGTTTTGGTTCAAAGAGTAAAGCCCCCATTATTGAACTAGAATGGGGGAAAAAACAATTAAAATGGAAAAGAATATTTGGTTAGACAATTCTCCAAAGAAGATAGGAAAATTGCTTGTAGACGCATGAAAAAAATGCTCAACATCACTAAATATGAGGGAAATACAAATCAAAAACACAATGAGATACCACCACACAACTTCAGGATGATAATTATATGTATGCATATATATACATATACACATACATACATATATACACATACACACACACACACACACACACACACATATAGAGAGAGAGAGAAAGTGAGAGAGAGAGAGAAAGAGAAAGGGTCTCCCTACATTGCTCAGGCTAGTATCCAATTCCAGAGCTTGAGCAATTCTCCTGTCTCAGCCTCCCAAAGTGTTGGAATTAGAGACATAAACCACTGTGCCTAGCCTCAATGAGATTTTAAGAGATATGTGGAGAAAGTGGGTTACTCAAAATCTGTATTCTTATGCTAAAATGATTTTGTAAACTTCTAATTTTGAAAGTGTTAGACTAAGAAAAGTTGCAGAAACAGTACAGAGGATCCTACATATCTCTCATCAGCTTCTGCCAATATTAACATCTGACACAGTACACTATCAATACCAGGTAATTAGCATTTATACAATACTCTAAACTACAGATCATATTCAAATTTTACCAGATTTTCTGTTAATGCCATCTTTCGGTTTAAGATCCAACCCAGGATTCAATGTTGCATTTTTTTTTTTGCTTTTTGAAATTTCTCTTTAGTCTTTCTAGTCTCTTCCAATTCCAATCTGGAACCCACCCTTCCTCCCTTCCTCCCTCCCTTCCTCCCTCCCTGCCTCCCTCCCTGCCTCCCTCCCTGCCTCCCTCCCTGCCCTTCCTCCCTCCCTTCCTCCCTCCCTTCCTCCCTTCCTTCCCTCCCTCCTTCCTTTCTTTCGGTCTTGCCAAGCTGGAGGGATGGAGTGCAGTGGTGTGAACTCAGTGAACTGCAGCTTCTGCCTCCTGTGCACAACTGATCCTCCCACCTCAGCCTCCCAAGTAGCTGGGACTATAGGCACATACCACCATGTGCAGCTATTTTTTTTTTTTAATTGTTTGTAGACACAGGGTTTCCTCATGTTGCCCAGGCTAGTCTTGAATTCTTGAGCTTTCAAGTGACCCAACCACCTCATCCTCCCAAAGTGCTGGAATTACGAGCATAAGCCCCTGCACCCAGCCAGCAACAATTTCTTAGTCTGTCTTTATGCATTTTATTTATTTATTTATTTATTTAAGTTCAGGGGCACATGTGCAGGTTTGTTGCATAGGTAAACTTGTGTCATGGGGGCTTGTTGTACAAATTATTTCATCACTTAGGTATTAAGCCTAGTACACATTAGTTATTTTTCCTGATCCCCTCCCTTATCCCACCCTCCAATGTCCCATAGGCCCCAGTCTGTGTTGTTCCCCTCTCTGCATCCATGTGTTCTCATCTTTTGGCTTCCACTTATAAGTGAAAACATGCAGTATTTGGTTTTCTGTTCCTGCATTACTTCGCTAAGAATAATGGCCTCCCGCTGCATCCATGTTCCTGTAAAGAACATGATCTCATTCTTATTTATTTATTTTTTGAGATGGAGTCTCACTCTGTCGCCCAGGCTGGAGTACAGTAGCATGATCTGAGCTCACTACAAGCTCCGTCTCCTGGGTTCACGCCATTCTCCTGCCTCAGCCTCCAGAGCAGTTGGGACTACAGGTGTCCGCCACCATGCCCGGTTAATTTTTTGTATTTTTAGTAGAGACAGGATTTCACCATATTAGCCAGGATTGTCTTGATCTCCTGACCTCGTGATCCGCCCGCTTCAGCCTCCCAAAGTGCTGGGATTACAGGAGTGAGCCACCGCGTCCAGTCCCTGATCTCATTCTTTTTATGGCTGTGTAGCATTCCAAGGTGTATGTGTACCACATTTTCTTTATCCAGTCTATCATTGATGGGCATTTAAGCTGATTCTATGTCTTTGCTATTGTGAATAGCGCTGCAATGAACATACACATGCACGTGTCTTTATAATGGAATGATTTATATTCCTTTGGGTATATATTCAGTCAATAGGATTGCTGGGTTGAATGGTATTTCAGTCTTTAGGTCTTTGAGGAATCATCATACTGTCTTCCCCAATGGCTGAACTATTTCCATTCCCACCAACAGTGTATAAGCATTCAATTTTCTCCACAACCTTGCCAGCATCCATTATTTTTTGACTTTTTAGTAATAGCCATTCTGACTGCTGTGAGATGGTCTCTCATTGTGGTTTTGATTTGTATTTTTCTAATGATCAATGATATTGAAATTTTTCAAGATTGTTGACTGCATGCACTCTTCTTTTGAAAATTGTCTTTTCATGTCCTTTGACCACTTTTTAATGGGTTTTTCTGTATCATTTTTATGATTGACACCTATGAGTGGTACTACTATTTCATAAAATGTCCTTCAATATGGGTCTGTTTTATGTTTCTTCATTATTGAACTGAGCTTATAAATATTTGGCATATATAACAGAAATGACAATATGTCATTTTCAATGTATCATATCAAAATATCCATAATATCAACATGTCATATTAGTGGTGATGTTAAATTTGATCATCAATTAGAATGGTGTTTGCTAGGTTACTATCTTTGCCTTTGTAATTAATAAATATCTTTGGATAGATACTTTGAGGATTATATTAGTAACCTGTTCTCAAGCTTTCTCCTACTACTTTTCACATACATTAATGGATCTTGTCTGCAACAATTATTTCTGTGGCACTTGCATATTGGTGTTCCACCGATATGCAATTTGAATCTGCAATAGGTAAAATGTGCCTACATTGAAGAAAGCACATTTTTTCCTTCCTCAGATCCTCAATGTCTATAGGGAATGTAAATGTATCTCTTTATATTGTTATTTTCTTAATCACTGGATTCCATGAAAAAATGTACTTACCTTCAGCCAATAACAAACAGCATCTCACTTTTCTCAGCCACTTTATTTAATTTGAAGCTAGATTGGAAAATGGAGTTAAAAATAAGACCTTGCACCATGAACCATATCAATCTGCTTCCTCCTTAAATACTGATAATAGAGGGAAACAACAGCAGTCTTATTTTCAATAGGATAGATGTCAGCAACCAAAAAACTTCACTGATATTAGGTATCCCTGTATTTGGGCTTTTAATGAAACAAATTTCATTATATGTAATAAAAATTTATTCCATAAAACAAAGGTTCTATTTGTTTAATTATTGTCTACCCCTCCCTAAACTGTTGTTTTTTCAAAATAATTATACTAATACTAATACTGAGGTACTATGTTCCCATAAAACCAAAGGAAAATTTCCCTAAAAGACATTGGGAGAATTAAGTGACTAAAAGTCTTCCCATCCTCCCACTCCATTAAGAAAAGGAGCTTAGGAGAAGTAAATTACAGAGTATACTTGGCTATGCCTTTGAATATATGTCATAGAGGAAGTCGTAACTTCCTTATATTTTATTTTCTCTAAAACTGAAGACTGGCAGACAAGTGATCTCTAAGATATCACATTTCAAGGAGCTTTCAAAATATTATTTACTTAAACAGTATAGTCAAAATATAAATGATACAGTTAAGCAAGCCCATTAATTTTCCTAACTATATTTTAATGCATTTAACTTATTAATAACGCTACTTTTTATTACACTTACCTCCTTGTCAGAAATTGCCTCTGACAAGTATTAAATAGGTTGAGAAAATGATTAAGCCTTATAATCTATATATGAGTAGGTTTGCTTTTATCATTTGCATATTATGTGGCCATCTCTGTATTTTCAGAGCTTGTACAGTACTGTCATTTAGAATATGTTTTGTTGACTCAATAGAATTAAATAGAGTTGAATGTTAAGACCATCCCTGGTTAGAAATGAAAGATCTTGACATGGTAGCAGAGAAACCCAAGTCAAATTACTGCTCACTCACTTCAAAAATATGTCAGAGAGCCAGTTTCTTCAGTTTCTTGACTAAAAAAAAGCAGTTAAAAACGCTTTCTTATAGATTTACTGTGCAGATTATATAATGCCATACTGAACCTCCTCTCCTATGATAAAATATATTTTCATAATATGAAAAGGCACCACTAGTAAGCCAGAAAATTAAAGAATTTCCAGAATATGTGATGCAAATGAGATTAGATCAAAAGTGAACCAAAAGCATCATCCCCCAAAACATACAACGCAAGCTGGAGCAAATTTCACAAGAGGAAAAAGAACTCTCATTATACAGCAAGTACTGAGTAAAAAAAATAAAAACTCTTAAAAGCTAGACCTATGTTAACATGGTATAAACATTTTCTTTCTAAAAGCATTGACTGTACCCACAAGAAAGTCTCTCGTTCAGGAATTAAGACCTGAAGAAAGAGCACAGCTAGACCTTCCAAATAAAAAAAGAAAAAAAAATATGTTCATAAAAGAAATTTACTGAAGTACCACCCACCTTCTTATTTTGAAAGCAGTTCAGTGCCCAACTTGTCTGCAACATAACACACTTCAGCAGAACCTACTAGTTGGCATGTTCTGCAAACTCATGCAAAACCTACTTTTTATTCTCATCCAGGAGAAGGAAATATTGGGAAATCAGACCCACACACCTCACAGAAAACAGAGCAGCAATCTCTACTGAACAGCATGACTATTTAAAACTGTGAACGAACAACTCTGACCACTTGACAATTTAGGAGAAGAAATAAACTAGTCAATAAAGAAAGTGCAAGGTGTGCAAACAGCAAAACTGACTTACACACATAATATAAAACTTTAAAAAGTTTACTCAGGATTCTCAGGAAGATATAGTTACTAAGTCTATAAAACAAGAAGTAAAGAAGCATGGGAAATATTTATTTTGAGTTAAAAATATCATAAAAATTAAAAATGACTAAAAAATAGAATCAATGGAACTACATACCTAATTAATAATCACAAATTAACTTGGGAAAATAATCCCTAGAGTCCAAAGCAAAAGAAAATTATGGAAAATATTAAGATATATGGAGAATTGTTCTATTTAATAAGAGTTCTAAAAAGAGAGAATAAGACAATTAACAATGTGATAGAAGTGTATTTCCCTTATCTGAAATATCTTAAAATTTTCTTTCAAAATTCTAAGAATAAATAAAAAATAATATTCTAGACAAGTTAGAACTCCACTGATATTTCAAGGAAGATGAAATTGCTTTACATACAAATTAGTATAAATTTTTACTATGAATTCCAGTCATCAATACCTACAGATGGAAGATAATATGAAATATCCTTTAAAATACTGAGAAAATTATTTTGTTATATCTAGTCAAACTAGCATCAAAAACTGTGTGTGTGTGTGTGTGTGTGTGTGTTCAGTAAAGTGAATCCCTACATATTTTCCACTTTTGAAAAAAATTACTGAATATCTTATGACTGGAGACTAGAAAAGAAAACAAAAAAGGTCAAAAATTAAATATCACAGAAAAAAAACTGTAGTTGAGTATGGCCCATGAGGCATCAAAAATTATGAAAGGAATGAAAAGACATTTCACTTTACCTTGAAGACTGAAAAATTCTCCTTCAAACAGTACATGTTTAGTGTTACAGTATTGTCATTTACTTTTCTGTAGATATAAGCACACTGATTATCATGCATTTTTTATTTATATGATCCATTAAAATTGTCTTACAAACTCAGTGTCTGAATGAAATATTTCCAACAACCTGGATTTATGTATAAATGTTATAACTGCTCCGAAATTAATTGTTAATTCTGTCTGTTCAGTTATAGCAAATCAATTAATCCTGCAACAGTGAAATCCCCCTCTCCACAGCACTTTCACAAAAAGAATAAAAGGCTTAACATTCCTTTTGTGGAGAACTGATCTGTCAGCATTTTTACAATATAAGTATTTCAGTCAAATCAGATGAGATAAAAGAAGCAATTTCTTTTCAATTCAGTGAAAAGAAAAACCCTCAAGAAGAAAAGCTTTATAATTACAGTCAATGAAGTACCTGTTACTATGAAAAGGACCAGCTAGACCCAGTCACGTTTCATATACAAAGAAAAACATAAAGTAATAAAGTGAATATAAATTATTTGTACCTATAAAGAAGTACTCCCAATTTCTTTGGTATGATTTTAGTTCTGTTATGAAGTAGAACATTTGTAACATATATCTAATGCTTTGAGTTAGGATTATCTACATGTAAAAATCAATTAGCATTTTCATAAAAGTGGATTTTTTTCTGTTTCAAGTGTAGTGTAGAGAACACGTCCCAGAGAAGAGCCCGTATTGCCTCCTATCACTTGTCCATCACCACATTTTCAGTTGCCGATTTAAGCCTTTACTTCCTCTCACTGGTATTTCAAATACTATAACAGGTAATAGTTGAAAGATGCCGTACCATATTTCTGTTACCACTGTAACAAATTTCTATAAAATTAGTGGTTTAAAACAATGCAAGTTTATCGTCTTATAGTTCTATAGGTCCCATTCGGCTGAAGTTAATGTGCCAGCACAACTGTGTTTCTTTCTGAGAAGCTCTAGGAAAGAATCTGTTTCCTTGTATTTCCAAGTTCCTAATGGCCAACCATAGACAGTCCTTGTTCCCTTCCCTTTATCTTAAATTCAGCAACATTGCATCCCTCTGACCATTTTTCCTTAGTCACATCTCCCGCTCTGACCATTGCTTGGAAAGGCTCTCTGCTTTTAAAGAGCTGTGTGATTACATTGGGTCCACCTTGATAATCCAGGACAATATTCCATTCTCACCATCCTTAACCTTAATCACATCTGCAAAGTCCCTTTTGTCATGTAAAGCAACATGCACACAGTTTCTGGGGATTAGGCTGTTGACATCTTTGGGAACCATTTTTCTTCCTATCACAGGTAATCTCCTCTGAACAGACTTGATCACTATGAATGGCATGTTTTCTTCTTCCTTGAATTTTTGTTGCCCCAGATCTACGTTTTTATTATCTTGTCAATGACCAACTGTGACCGTTTGTCTAGCCATTTCACCAATTACTCTTGCTCAATCCCTGTGGATCTCCTGTAGCTTGCAACAGATACGGAATCATTATTGTAAATCCTTTTGAAGGTTGGGTTTCTTGGAAAACAGAATGTGAGATAAAGAAGAAATTTTTGAAAGTTTGTTAAGAGTATGTTCTTGAACTATATTGTCTGATGGTTCTATAGGTCTCATTGGGCTAAAATAATTGTGCCAGTAATTACTATAGAGGATTACTTCTATAGTAATCTTTTTTTTATTATAGAAGAGAAAAAAAGGAAGCAGCAGAATTGGGCAGAGAACAAGACTAGTCTTAACAGAAGCCTCAGCTGACTGTATGTTGTAGAGAAGTTTCTGAGGCCAAGATATCTCTATTATCTTGTGTTGCAGTAAGAGAACCAGGCTTTTATGCTATAAATGCTATGAGACACTGAAAGCAGGCTGCCCAGTGAAAAGTAAGGCGACTTCTCCAACAAAGGGCAACTTCCAGAGAGGGCTGGCAGCAGAGAGCCATCAGGCAGTAGCACTCAGAACAACTGGAGAAGTAAGATTTTCCCCCCTCAGTAGGGATCTAGAAAGTTCACCATTACCATCCGCTGCTCAGCTCTGATCTTGTCTACATGTACTCTGGCAATTTGATTCTGTGGTCATAATCTTTGCTTGAACCCCTCATAATGCTGTCACTCACAATTGTTTTAAAAGCAAGCATTTGTTTATTTGTTTATATACACCTTTCCAGCTCCATTTTAACCCTTCTGGTAACAAATACCTCCAAATCAGTCCTGTCTCATTTGAGTGACAATAGACTGGAATAATTTGGATGGAGCCAAAGAATGTAATTTCCCTTGGACAGAGATGCCTGTTTATTACAATAACCCAACTTCTGTTTTATCCATAAAATGGGGCTGTAAGGGGGAGGCCAATACTTTACAATTTTAAGTTACATGCAGATGAGAACTAGAATTGAGAATCTCCCTCTTTTATTATCCTGTGCAGTATGACATGGGTGGATTAAAATTTAAGCTTCACCAACTTCTTGCTTTTGTGATGGCAAAAGATCTTAACTACAGTGAACCCTGTTTTCTTTATTTGCAAAATTTACATATTACCCACTTTACAAGGTAGTTTATATGTGCTGAAAACCATAATGATGTAAGATCTTTTTTTTTTTTTTTTGAGACAGAGTCTCGCTCTGTTGCCCAGGCTGGAGTGCAGTGGTGCGATCTTGGCTCACTGCAACCTCCATCTCCCAGGTTCAAGCAATTCTCCTGCGTCAGCCTCCTGAGTAGCTGGGATTACAGGCGACTGCCACCAAGCCCTGCTAATTTTTTTTTTGTATTTTTAATAGAGACGGGATTTCACCATGTTGGTCAGGCTGGTCTCGAACCCCTGACCTCGTGATCCACCTGCCTTGGCAAAGTGCTGGGATCACAGGCATGAGCCACTACGCCAGGTTGATGTAAGATCTTTAAAGCACTGTGGGTGGTACATAATTTTTGTTCAGGATTTGTTAATTTTGGCCTCTTTCTCTAGGTCATGAAAAGGTCATTAAGAGTCATCTGTCTTTCCCATATCTCTCTTCCCCCTGTGGTTGCTGTCCTCACTACTTAATACATCATGTATCTATTATAAGAATAGAAATATAATATTTAGATGAATTTTAACCTGTAAAATTGTTTTAAGGAATAATAAACTATTTTAGGAAAACTGACATATACAGTACACCATTTCCACACTGTTGGAGTTCAAATTTAGTTTCATTTTCAGGAAGATAAATATATTTTGTATGTAACTCAAGTAGAATCTAAATTTATTTATTTTTTAAATTGAAAGATAAAATTGAATATTTTTATCATGTACAACATATTGAAGTAAATATGCATTGTGGAATGATTAAATCTAGCGAACTAGTATGTGCATTACCTCACATAGTTATCATTTTTGTGGTGAGAATAATTTACTTACTCTCTCTTAGTGAATTTTTCAAGAATACAATATCACTACATTGCATAGATGTTCTTCCTAACAGAAATTTGGTATCCTTTGACCAGTATCTTCCCTGTGCTCCTTCTCCAAATGCATCAGCACCCAAAATCCACAATCCTACTTCTATGAGATGAGCTTCTGTAGATTTCAATATCAGTGAGATCATGTGGTATTCATCATTTTTTGCCTGGCTTATTTAACTTAACATAATGTTCTCCAGTTTTATCCATGTTGTTGTAAATGACAGGATTTTCATGGTGTATGTGACTGTATTTTCTTTATTCATTCATCTGTTTACAGACATGGGTTGATTCTATATCTTGCCTGTTTTAAATAAGACAGTAAAACACAGGAGTGCAGATATCTCTTTGACAACTGAATTCATTTCCTTTGGATATATACCCAGTAGTGGAATTGCTAAATCACATGGTGTTTCTATTTTTAGTTTTTTTGAAGAACATTCATACTGTTTTTCATAACGGCTGTGCTAATTTTCACTCTCAACAACAGTGTATTAAGAGTTCCCTTTTCTCTACATCCTTGTCAATACTTATCTTTGTATTTTTGATAATAATCATTCCAACAGGTGTGAAGTGATGACTCCTAGTGGTTTTAATTTGCATTTCCTTGATGATTAGTAGTGATGAACATTTTTCATCTACCCTTTGGCTATTTCTATGTCTTCTTTTGAGAAATATACACTCGAGTTCTTTGTCTATTTTTTTTTGCTTTGAGTTGTTTGATTTTCTTAAATATTTTGAATATTTATCTCTTATCAGATGTGTAATCTGGGAACGTTTTCTCTCATTCTGTAGATTGTCTCTTCAGTCTGTTGATCATTTCTTCTGCTCTGCAGAAGCTCTTCAGTTTGACATAGTACCATTTGGCTACTTTTGCTCTTTTTGCCTGTGCTTTTGGGGTCGTATAAAAAAAAATCATTGCCAGGCTAATGTCATAGAGCTTTCTCTCTGTTTTCTTATAGCAGTTTCATAGTTTTGAGTCTTAGGTTTAAGTCCTTAACTCATTTAAAATTGATTTTGGTACATGATGTCAAATAAAAGTCTAATTTTATTCTTTTGCAAGTGGATATCCAGTTTTCCCAACATCATTTATTGAAGAGATTTCCTTTTCCCATTATGTGTTCATGTCACCTCACTTTTGTTGAAAAGTCAATTGACATTAAGTGCATGTTTTTTCCTTTTGTCTCTATTCTGTTCCATTGGCCTATGTGTCTGTTTTTATGCCAGTGCCATGCTGTTTTGGTTACTATAGTTTTGTAATATGAGTATTTTGAAGTCAGGTAGTGTGATGCCTCCAGGTTTTTTTTTTTTCTCTAAATATTGTTTTGACTATTTTGGGGGGTCTTTTCTGTTGCAAGCAAATTTTAGGATATTTTTAAAATTTCTGTGAAGAGTGTCGTTTGTATTTTGAAACGAATGGCATTGAATCTGTAAATCACTTTGGGTAACATGGACATTTGAACAATATTCATTCTTCCAACCCATGAATATGAATTTTTTTTTCCATATATGGTCTACTTTAATTCCTTTCATCAGTGATTTTTACTTTTCAGTGTAAAGCTTTCACCTCCTTGGTTAATTTATTCCTAGGTGTTTTATTTTCTTATAGCTATTTTAAGTAGAATTGTTTTATGATTTCTTTTTCAGGTAGTCCACTGTTAGTGGAAATGCTACTGATTTTTCTATGTTGATTTTGTATCTTTAAATGTTACTGAATTTGTTCATTATTTCTAAGATCATGTCATAAGCCAACAATTACAATTTAACTTCTTTAATTCTAATTTAACTAGGCCCTCCAGAACTACACTGACTAGAAGTGATGAGATTGGGCATCTTTGTCTTGATACAGAGCTTAGATGAAAAGCTTTCAACTTTTATTTACTGAGTATGATGTTAGCTGTGGGTTTGTTGTATGCAGCCTTTATTATGTTGAGCAATATTCTTTCTTTGCCTAATTTGTTGAGAGTTGTTTTTTTTGTTTTTTTTTTTTTTTTTTTTTTTTTTTTTACCATGAAGGGATGTTGGATTTTGGCAAATGATTTTTCTGCATCTATTGAAATGATCATATGAATTGTGTCCCTCATTCTCTTAATGTGATATCACATTTGTTGACTTACATATGTTGAACCATCCTTGGATCCCTGGAATGAATCTCACTTGATCATGGTGAATTATCTTGTTAATGTGTTGTTTAATACAATTTGCTAGTATTTTATTGAAGATTTTTACATCTGTATTCATCAGGGATGTTGGCTATAGTTTTTTTTTTTTTTTTTTTTTTTTGGTAGTGTCTTTTCTGGCTCTGAAATTAAGGTCATGCTGGCCTTATAAAGGGAATTTGGAAGTATTTCCTTCACTTCAAAATTGTGGAAGAGTTGGAAAACAATTGGTATTAGTTCTTTAAATGTTTGTTGCAACTCAGTAGTGATGCCATCAAATACTGGGCTTTACTTTGATCAGAGACTTTTCATTACTGATTAAATCTCCTTATTCATTATTGGTCTGTTAAAATTTCTATTTCTTCTTAATTCCATATTAGTTGGTTATAGGTTTCAAGGAATTTATACTTTTTTTCTAGATTATCCAATTTGTTGGTATGCAATTTTTTATAATAGTCTATTATTATCTTTTGTATTTCTGTTGTACCTGTTGCCAAATTTTTTTATTTCTGATTTAATTTGTCTTCTCTATTTTTTTAGTTCATTTAGCTAAAGGTTTGTTAATTTTGTTTTCAAAAAAGCAACTTTTAGTTTTGCTGGTCTTTTCTATTGCTTTTATAGTTCCTATTTCATTTATTTCTTGTCTGATCTTTATTTCCTTCTTTCTACTAACTTTGGGCTTAATTTGTTCTTGTTTTTTTAGGCCTTTGAGGTGAAACATTAAGTTGTTCATTTGAAATATTTCTTTAATGGAGGCATTTATTGCTATAAATTTCCTTATTAGAACTACTTTTGCTGTATCTGATCTGTTCTGGTATGTTGTGTTTCCATTTTGATTTGTATCAAGATACTTTTTAAAATATCGTTTTGATTTTTTCACTAACTCATTTTTTCACTAACCCATTGATTTTTCAGGGCCATGTTGTTTAATTTCCATGGGTTTGTGAATTTTTCTAAGTCCCTCCTGTTATTGATTTCCAGTTTTACATAACTGTGGTCAGAAAATATATTTGATGTCGCTTTATCTTCTTACATTTGTTAAGACTTGTTTCGTGGCCTAATGTCTAATCTATCCTGGACAATGTTCCATGTTTAGTTGAGAAAAACGTGTACTGTGCATTTGTGATATGAAATGTTCTGCATATGTCTGTTTGGTCCATTTGATCTAGGGTATAGTTTACGTCCAATTTCCCTTACTAATATTCTGTCTGATGTGTCCCTTGCTAAAAGTGGAGGGTTAAAGTCCTCTGTGATTGAATATTGCAGTTTATCTCTCTCTTCAGATCTATTAATATTTGCTTTTTATATTTAGGTGCTCTAACATTGGGTGTATGCATATATATATATATTTACAATTGTTATATGATTTTTCTGAATTTATCATTGTGCAATGACTTACTTTGTCTCTTTTTATATTTTTATACTTCTAGTCTATTTTATCTAGTGTAGTCACTCCTGCTCTTTTATTTCCTATTTGCATGGAATATTTTCTTCCATCCCTTCACCTGAAGTCTATGTGTGTCCTTACTGGTGAATAAAGTTTCTTACAGACAGAATATAATTAGAACATAGTTATAATTGAACTTTTTTTAAATAATCACTTCAGCCACTCTATATTGATTGGAGAACTTAAATCATTTGCAGTCAAGTTAAGTATTGCTAGGTCGGTTCTTACTATGGCTTTGATTCATTGTCTTCTAGTTGTTTTCCACATCTTTCACTAATTTTTTTGTCTCTTGCTGCCTTCCTTTGTGAATTTTCTTTTGTGTTTATATTTTGATTCCCTGCTTTTAATTTTTTGTTAATTTACTATAGATTTTCGCTTTGTGATTACCAGGAGGCTTACAAAAACAATATAGTTATAATAGGTTATGCTAAGCTGATAAAAATATTTTAAAACCTTTACACTTTTACTCCAATCTCCACTCCACATTTTGAATTTTTGCTGTCAGTTTATATTTTTTATATTATGTATAGTGTAACAAATGATTGTAGCTTTTTAAATTTTGCTTATCTTTTAACCTTCATACTTATAAGGATATAAATGACTGACACACCACCATTACAGTATTAAAGTACTTTTTGAAATTGGTTTTATACTTCCTTTTACCAGCCAGTTTTATACTTTCAGATGATTTTATGTTACTCATTAGTGTCCTTTACTCTCAGCTTGGAAACTCCCTTTACCATTTAAGACAGATCTGGTGGGAAAAAAGCTCCTTCAGCTTTTGTTTGTCTGGAAGTCTTATCTCACTTCCACTTCTTACGAGATTTGCTGAGTATAGTATTTTTTGTTAACACTTTTATTTCTTCAGCACTTTTAATATCTCATCCCACTCCCTCTTAGCTTGTAAGATTTCTGCTAAGTCTGCTGCTAGTCATATTGGAACTTCCTTATATGTTATTTGTTTCTTTTCTGTTGCAGTTTTCAGGATTCTCTCTTCATCTTTGATCGTTTATAACTTGATTATGTCTCAGGGTAGTTTTATTTGGATTGAATTTGATTGGGGCATATACCAGGATATTTATATGTTTCTCCAAGTTTGGAAAGTTTTCTACCCCTGTTTCTTCAAATAAGCTTTTTACCTCCTTATTTTTTTCTTCTTAAACAGTCAGAGCTTAAAAATTTGCTCTTTTGATGCTCCATAAATGTCATGAAACTTTTTCCTTCCTTTTCATTCTGGTTATTTCCTCCCCCAAACTCCCCGACTGTGTGTAGTCAAATAACCTGTCTTTGAGTTCATAATTCTTTCTTCTGTTTGATCAATTATGTTATTGATGCTTACATTGCATTTATGTCACTTATTGTATTTTTTCAACTCCAAGATCTCTATTTGACTTTTAAAAAAAAGTCATTGTTAAATTTCATATTTTAGTTACATATTGGTTTCCTTATTTCTTGGAATTGTTTCTCTGCATTGTCTTTAAGTTTCCTGAGCGTCCTTAAAATAGTTATTTTGAATTCTTCATTAGGCTATTTATACATCATTATTTCTTTAGTATCAGTCACTGGGACTTTATTTTGTCTGTATGATGACACGTTTCCCTAATTGTTCTTTTTCCTTATGGTCATAAATTATTGTTTGTGCATTTGAAGAATTTACTGCTTGTTCTAGCTTTCAACGACTGTCTTTGTCTGGGAAAGACCTGTGGCAAGCAGAGAGCTGCAATGCACCAGAAGCTGGAGGCAGCTACAATTGACATGGCACTGGGACGTGGGAACCAGAAGCCCAGGGCCCACTGCAGCCAGCACAGCACTGGACAACAATAGAAGCCTGGGGACTCTAAAGGCTGCCTATGGCTGAGAGTTTTCCAGAGCTTGGGTCCTCTGAAGGTAACTCAACAGTGATACAGGCCAGAGGTTAAATCAGCAAGACTGAAGCCTAAGACTGTGTAGCAATGCCTGGTAACAGGGAAGGTCAAGAGGTTGTCTGTGGCTGCTAGCCTGAAGGATGGGGCAGTGGGTTCTGTCTAGTGCTTGGTTTTACTAAGACAGGCTCAGTGCTGAAGTTCAAAGCAAAGTCCTTTACTTATATTTTTATCTTTTCCCCAAGTGGGTGATGTCTCCCTCCATGCTTTGCTGGATTGAGTTGGCTGGGGTGTGATGCGAGTAATGCCAAAATGTTCTTCTGACCCTCTTAAATGCAAATTTCCCTTTAAAAATTGTTTTCATTTTTAATTATTATGGATAAACAATACTTGCACATATTTATGGACTACATGTGATATATTGATATAGCCTACAATGTGTCACATTCAAATCAGTGTAATTGGGGTATCCATCAGCTTAAGTATTTATCATATCTTTCTTTATGTTAGGAACATATCAATTCTACTCTAGTTATTTTGAAATACATGATAAATTGTTTTTAACTATAGTCACCCTATTGTTCTAATGAACACTAGATCTTTTTCCTTCTAAGTATATCTTTGTACCCATTAACCACTTCCCCTTTATCCCCACTCCCGACTATTCTGCCCAACCTCTGGTAATTATCATTCTACTCTCTATCTCCATGTGTTCAATTCTTTCTTTTTAGCTCTCATATATTTGTGGGAATGTGTGATATTTTCTTCCTGTGACTGGCTTATTTCACTTACCATAGTGTCTTCCAGTTTCATCCACGTTACTGCCAATGACAGGATTTCTTTATTTTTATAGCTGAATAATATTCCATTGGGTTACCGCATGTTCTTTATCCATTCATCTTTCGATGAACACCAGGGTTGGTTCCATATCTACACTATTGTGAATAGTACTTCAATAAACATGGAAGTGCAGGTATCTCTTATATAGCAAAATTATTATTATTATTATTTTTTGCTATATACCCAGCAGGATTGTATAGCAGTTCTATCTTAAGTTTCTTGAAGAAACCCCATACATTTTTCCATAAAGACTGTACTAATTGTTACATTCCTACCAACAGAGTATGAGAGTTTCCCTTTGTCCACATCCTTGTCAGAATATGTTATGCTTCTCTTTGGTTAAGAGCTGTTTTAACTGGGGAGAGATGATATCTCATTGTATTTTCACTCGCATTTCTCTGATGATCAATGATATTGAGCACTTTTTCATATAACAATTGGCCATTCGTATGTCTTCTTTTGATAAATGTCTATTCAGATTCTTTGCCCATTTTTAATTGGATTGTCTTTTTTCCTATTAAGTTGTTTGAGCTTATATATATACTGGTTATTAATCACTTGTCATATGGCTAGTTTGCAAATACTTTCTCCCATTCTGTGTGTTGTCTTTTAACTTTCTTTTCTTAGCTGTACAGAAGCTTTTTAGTTTGATGTAATACCATTTGTCCATTTTTGCTTTGGTTGCCTGTGCTTTTGAGTTATTACTCAAACATTTGCCCAGATCAATGACCTGAAGTGCTTTTCACATGGTTTATTCTAGTAGTTTAACAATTTCTCATCTTAGATTTAAGTCTATAATCTTTTTAAATTTGATTTCTGTATATAGTGAGAAAAGGCGGGGGTGGGGAGTTGTTTCATTCTTACTCACATGGATGTCATTTCCCCAGCACCATTTATTAAAGAAATTGACATTTTCTCAATGTATGTTCTTGGTACCTTTGTCAAAAATGAGTTCACTGTAAATATGTAGATTTATCCTGGGTTCTCTAATCTGTTTTATTGTTCTATGTGTCTGTTTATAAGTTAGTTTCATGCTGCGTTGGTTACTATGGCCCTATAATATAATTCGAGGTCAGGTAACATGATTCCTCTAGTATTTTTTTTCTTTTTGTTCAGGATGACTTGGTTTATTCTGGGTCGTTTTTATTCCATTGTAATTTTCTTATTGATTTTTAAATTTCTGTGAAGAATGGTTGTTGGTATTTTGATACAGATGACATTGAATCTGTAAACTGATTTGGGTAGGATGGACATTTTAACAATATTCTTCCAATCAATGAATGTGGAATATGTTTCAATTCTTTGTGTTCCCTTCTATTTATCTTACTACCTTTTATAGTTTTTATTGTCAAGATCTTTCACTGATTTGGTTAATTCCTAAGTATTTCATTGTATTTCTAGTTATTTTAAATTTTGCTTTCTTGCTTGGTTTCTTTCCAGGTTGTTCATTGTTTGCATATGGAAATGCTACTAATATTTTTATGTTGATTTTGTATCTAACGCATAAAAATTAAACAGTATGCTCCTGAATGACCAATAGGTCAATGAAGAAGTTAAGGAATTAAAAAAAAATTTGAAACATATAAAAATGGAAAAACAACATACCAAAATGTATAAGATATAGCAAAAGCAGTACGAAGAGGGAAGTTTATGGTAATAAACACCTATGTCAGAAAAGTAGTCAAATGTCAAATAAACAACATTGTGATACGTCTTTTTGCAATAAAAAAGCAAGAGGAAACCAAACCCCAAATTAGAGGAAGTGAAATAGTAAAGATTAGAGCAGAAATAAATGCAGTAGCCACTAAAAACTACAAAGATCAAGTAAAATAAAAGTTCAGTTTTTGAAAAGATAAGCAAAATCAACAAATCTTTAGCTAGACTAACAAATAAAAAAGAAAGAAGATCAAAATACATAAAATCAGAGAGGAAGAAGACATTACAACTGATACCACAGAAATTCAAAGAATAATTCGATACTATTATCAGCAACTATATGACAATAAATTGAAAAACCTAGAAGAAATGGATACATTTCTAGACATATCCAATCTACCTAGATTGAACCATGAAGAAATCCAAAACCTGAATAGACAAATAGAAACTAACAAGATAGAAGCTGTAATAAAAAGTCTTCAATCAAAGAAAAGTCAAGGACCTGATGGAACCACAGCTGAAAAATAATTAATATCAATCATACTCAAACTATTATAAAAAAATGAGGAGGTGGGAATACTTCCAAATTCATTCTATGAGGCCAGTATCACTTTGATTTTAAAACCAGACAGGCACAACAAAAAAGAAAACTATGGGTCAATATCTCCTGAACATAGATGCAAACATCTTTAATAAAATACTAGTAAATCAAATTCAACAATACATTAAGATGATCATTCATTGTAATCAAGTGGGATGCATTCCAGGTATGCCCAGATGGCTCAACAAATGAAAATCAATAGGGTGCATATTATTTATCAGCAGAATGAGGTACAAAACCTTATAACCACTTAAATAGATGCCATAAAAGCATTTGAAAAAATCTCAACATATCTTCATGATAAAAAATCTCAAAAAGCTGAGTATAGAAGGAACATATCTCAACATAATAAAAGTTATATATGCCAAACTCACAGCTAGTATCATGCTAAACAGGGAAAAACTGAAAGATGTGGAATAAGACAAGAATGCCACTTGCACCACATTTATTCAACATAGTACTGGAAGTCCTAGCCAGAGTGTGAGCAGACAAGAAAAATAAAAGGCATCCAAATTGGAAAAGAAGAAGTCAAATTATCCTTGTCTGCACATGATCTGATCTTATATTTAGAAAAACCTAAAGACCCCACTAAAAAGTTATTGGAATTCATAAACAAGCGAAGTTGCAAGGTACAAAATCAGCATATTTTCTTATTATCGTGCTACAAATTTGTGATCACTTACCTGCTAGCCCTTATGAAGGCATTTTCATATGTGAATAATTTACCAAATTGATAGTTCTATGAGGGAACAATTGCTGGAGAGTTCTACTTTGTCATGTTCAGAACCTAAATTTATATAAAAAACATGTAAGCAATTATAGTACATCTATTTGCAAAATAGGCATATAAATATAAATTATTCTATGTTATTTTACATTTTAAAGTATATTCATCCCAAAACTACAAACATGATGGAATTTGCTTTGGAATAAGTATGTCTCAAAGTTTTTTATATGATAACTTTACAAGTATTTCAAATGAAGAACATAAAACTTTTTCCTAGAAAATGTGCATGTACAGGTTTCTAATGACCATTTCGAGGCCATATGAAACCTGTGACATATAATCACAGACTCACACAGTGACTTTCAAACTTTATATTTATAAATATGAATATGTTTCAACAGCTGTGTGCATGCACAGATGCGTATGCACACATACACATTAAAGAGAATGTTCTTTAAAAAAGCCTTACACTCTATTATATGCTGTGCATTATGATATTTGCTGTTTTGTTTTACTCTATTCTACTTAAAAAATAAGTTTGTTTCCTAGCCTTCTGGGAAACCAATAACTTAAAGAAATGCCTGCTACACCATAAGATATAAATGGGCCAATTCACAGTTTGAAACATCCTGCTTAGGGCTCACAGGATTCCATAGTCAAAAGCAATACTTGGCGTTTTGGATAAAAACGCAGCTATAAGCTTCTGTGCCAAAAGTAACTAGACGTATCTTAGTTGTATTCGTTTTATAATTCTTAGAAAACACAGGGAAAGGGTGGAAACCATCATTATTAAGTGAAAGTCAGGCAGTTTATCTATTTAGTAGCCATAAAATTTAAGAAAATTCAGAATCATTTTTGAAAGTGCTGTAGAGAAAAAATCCAATGCATACAATACTCTTCAAATAGAACTTTGTCTAATTTCAATTCTTGAGCTATTCTATTATTATCATATTTATTTTGATGTCTTAAAATTATATTCTCGAACTTTAAATGAAATAAATATGTGTGTATATTAAAACCCATTTATTTCTAGCAATGGTGTATATTTTGACTTGATGTATTCCTGAACAGCAATTTCATTCATTTTCTTCAAAATAGAAGGAATTAAAAGCATATAAGAAGCAACGTCAGGGCCTGTTTTCATGCACTCACTTTGTTACCAGGTATCAGGACACACATGTATGACAGAACTGCTGACTGCATTTCTAATTCATACCTGGAAGGGGCTCCAACTATGCATCATTTGAAAGTGCTATTGTATCACAAGGCTGGTTACTGTAGTATTATAATTAAATAACAAGCCATAAGATTCAGGACTAGTCTAATATCACACACATTTTACGTTTCTGCCTTTCTTCTAGATTTAAGGTATCAGCAGCATATTATCTAACTAGCAATTGTATCATTCCTGAATCCTAACCTCAACAGTTAATGACTGTACATAGGGACAAGGTCTATGCAGAGCCATTGTCTGAAAATATTTACTTCTCACAGCATTTCTTTGTGCTTTGCTTCCAGTAGAATGCATTATAAATGTTATTCAATAAACTCTATTTTCCTCATCTATGAGGGCTTGGTAACATCTCAATGCTTGCTACATCTTTTAGAAGTTTTACAGATCTATAAAAAGATAGCTAGAAGAAAATTATTTTATATTAATATACTATTATTACTTTATTATGGTACTTTTTCATTTAATAAGGACTCATAGCACTTACAGTCTGTTACTGACTATTCTAAGCTCTTTTTCATCATCAATATTATTATTAATATCTTCATAGGCTAGGCGCAGTGGCTCACTCCTATAATCCCTTCACTTTGGGAGGCTGAGACAGGAGGACTGCTGGAGCTCAGGAGTTTAAGACCAGCCTGGGCACCATGGCGAAACCCCTTCTCCACACACACACACACACACCCCCACATACAAAATACAAAAATTAGCTGGGCATGGTGGCGTATGCCTGTAGTCCCAGCTACTCAGGAGGCTGAGGTAGCAGGATGCCTTCAGCCCTGGAGTTGGAGGTCGCAGTGAGCCATGATTGTGCCACTGCACTCCAGCCTGGGTGACAGAGTGAGAACCTGTTTCAAATATATATATATAAACTGTATCAAATAGATATCTTCATATCAGCTCTATAAAGTAAGTACTGTTACTATTAGTTATCTGTGTATCATAGAGCATAAAGTAAGTGACAAAGCTTTATGCATTTTATGACAGTTTTAACATCATGAGTTAGACTTAAATACCTACGACCATCTTGTTTAAGCAGCTGAACAACCTTAGATTTCATTATCAGCCTTTGGAATTCTTCCTATCTCAGAGATATAGATAGCATCCAAAAATTTTTTAAGCTTGTTTTTTTCTGGTGTGGCTTATAGAATTAAAATGACATTGTTAACCATCTCAATGGCTCAATTCTATCAATAATTGATTCATATTTCATGGCTCAACGTGCTTCTCAAGAAATATTTGTGTTCATGCAAACAATAAAGATGTGTATTTGTAAAGAACAACCTGCTTAATAACGAGAGGCAGTTAACATACTCATATTTTATCTCATATAGGAAGTAAGTATTGCAAATTTGATCACGTTATATACTGGTTACAAATTTCAGGGATTATAGCAAGTTTATTTTTTGTCTCCACCACTTGTCAACTTGTAGCATTCTATGATTTTCTCCCAAGCAGAATAATGTGGTTAAAATTCCTCAACAAGATTCCTTTGAGGCCCTTCACGATTCCATGAATTCTCTGGTAACAAATATCAAAATTTCCTAGAAATTTGGTTTATCTGGTTTCCTGGAATAATTATTGTACAGTAGATGTCATAAAAACTGTGATACAAAGTATTTTAAATCAGAAGTTACAAAAGTGTGAGTGTGTGAACTAATTCTAGGAAACGCTGCATGCTAAAACTGAATTTGGATAATAACAATATTTTTTAAACCATTAAAGGTTATATGAGCTCCTGCAATCAATAATACAAATTAAACTAGCATTTCCCGCAACTTCTTAATATACAGTCTTTTCTTTTTGCTATGTATAATTTGTGTTATCTCTCAGAGATTCCAGAGTGCAGCAGCATCTCAGATCCTGCAATAATAGAGGGAGGGGCTACTAGCAAAATATGAGTCTATTCTAAATGCTGGAGACCTTCATCAAAATGAAACCAAAACTTCGAGGGACCCCTGTGTGTATCAATAGACTGATTATGTTAGTGGGGAACTGTTGTTTTAGTTTAATGTTACATTAGGAGCATTATCTGTACAAAAATGAGTTATAAATAAACTGTACTAAAATACACAATAAAAACACAAAGTTTAAAAATCTTAAAATCAACGCTGACTTCTCCATTCTAGATATCAGCTTTATTCATAGCTTTTCCATAAATTTGCATGAATGATAAGTCATTCCACACCATCCTCTAGTTGGCAATTAACTAATGAAATACACCATATAGAGAGAATGTCAGTTCAACCAGCAAGTGCAGAACATGTTGTTTGCCTTCAAGAAGATGACAATTTAGTTGTAGGACAGCTAACATACAGAAGCATGCAGTTATATACTGAAATATGACATACATTTACTTATTTAACTGCCTGAGCAGATTCAAGTAGAACTAAAATGGTTGGATATGAGTTCATAGAGAATGCGAATATAAATTGGGTTCTGAAAAAGGGTTAGGAACAGAATAGGAATCTGTATATTCATAATGATGTCATGTATCACATTAGACAAGCTAAATAAATAATTGCATTCAGTGTAATTCCGTGTGTTGTGTATGTTGAATGTCAATACTACTTTTTAACTATGGAACAGCACAGAAACTGTTCTAATAGAAGTGTGAAAAAATACTGTCTATGATTTTGATTTGCTAAGGTAAAAGTTTAGGAATACTGTAGCCAAAAACCAGCTGATTTTTGAATTGTCTTCAAATTTCTCAAAGAGAATTCCACCTCCAAAGGTGGAACCCTCTCCATTTTAAGCCCATAATGGAGGCAAGGAATCAGAACAAGTTAAGTATGGGATATTGTTATTTGTTAAATTATCAACATAAATAATGCCATATCAAAATTATACACATTTGGTTTTACTTAGTAAATTTAAAATTTGCTTTCTACATTCCAGAATGATAAATTAAAGTGTTTATGCCTATTTTTTAATTATTCAGATGATTTGCTTTTTTTCTGATGGAAACAAAATGTAAGGATAATTGGATCAGGGATTATAGTATTAGGGAAATATTTGTTCTCCTTGTAGATGTCTACCTGTATTATTATTCCTCTGTATTATTTTACAGAAAATGTGAAACAGAATTTTATTATTATATCAGACAAGATATCTTTGGATAATATTGCTACATAGAAAATTATGAGCAACTGATTAATTAGATTTACGTTTTCAGTTTCTTGCATTGACTTGAGGCTGCCTATTTGAGAATTTTAATGATGTGCATTCATACACATACACGCAATAATCAAGGATGAAACAGGGATTAATTTTCACGTAATTTTGACATCTAGATACTTACTTTACAGAATTTTAAAGTAAACAGAATAAAATAATAAGCTTAAGACTCAGTTGCTTTTTGTGACTATAATGTTATGGGTACCAAATAAGTAGTGGCTGATGAGTTATTAAATGTATGGTTAAACACAATAATTAGATGATTTTTTTGTTAACATCAACTGAAATCTGTTTAAGTTCAACATGTATTTTTATTCCTATTTTTAAACAAAATTATAAATTGTTCTAATCAACTCAAGTAATAAAGAAATACAGTAAGAAAACCAAAATGTTCCCCCGTTTGCCTAATCTCACTTTGCAAATGAAACTACTTTTAAATACTTAGTGTATATTCTCCACACTCTAGTTAAAGCCTAGAGCAACAGGAATATACGAGTATACATTTTTATGAATTTACACATGCACATAATAGATTTTAAGCATGTAAACTACTATAATACAGGTACCGATAAAGATCTTTTTCTATGCCATAATATATTATAAACTTAAAAAAAGTCACTATATTTTTAAACTTACTAGAATATATATAGAGGTATATATACATGTGTGTGTGTTTGTGTGTCTTTGTCTCCTTTATTCATAGATACTTAAATATTTCTATTATTACATCATAAAAACATTACAGTAAGCATTCTTACACAAATATCTTTGTGCACCTATGCCGCAATTGTGTTATTTGGACAAGCATAGAATCTTTAATTGGCCTATGTAAGAAATAAGATTTAATATATGCTGACCTTTCTTTCTATGAACCATGAACAAGGTACAATCTTTTCACAAAACACTTCTGCACATGCTACTTCTCCTTTCCTCCTATACCAGCTCCTCCTACTCAGTCTGTGGATCCTAGCTCTTATATCACTTCCTGATGTTGCTGCTTAGATTAGTTACCCAATTGTATTTTCTCATAGAACCCTGTATCTTCCATCTTTCTTGCCTTTGTCAGAGAAATACACAGACATAGACACAGACATACACACACACCCCTCAGCATGTATATAAGCATGTATAATCTTTTAAAGTTTTATCTTCTTCACAAAACTATAACCTCAATGTAAGCAACACTATTTCTATTTTTGCTTGTGATTTTATGTCTGACATGTAAATCAATGCTTATCACATAGTAGGAGATTAATAGCTATACTGATTATAATGATTATAATAAGAGTAAAGACTACAACATTTTAATTTTGTTGCTTAGAATTTATGGATTAATTGGGGAATAATTCATATGTTACCATATGTATGCAAGCTTTTTTATATTCTTCCCAACAGTTTGAGTTTTGATTTATCAAAATTCTACAGGCTATATTAGTTTTCTATTGCTGTTGTGATAAATTACCACAAGTTTAGTGGCTTAAAACATTACAAACTTGTTATTTTTCAGTTCTAGAGGTCTGAATTCTGGGTGACTGAGAGGGTTAAAATGAAGGTTTGGCATAACTGTGTTTTTTTCTGGAAATTCCAAGTGAGAATTCATTTTCCTGTGTTGTCCACCTTCTAGGGGCCATTTGCAGTCCTTGGGTTGTGGACCCTTCCTCAGTCTTGAACATGCATCACTCCAAACTGTTTCCATTGTCACATCTCCTTTTTCTGACTTTGACCCTCTCGCTTCCCTTTTATAAGAATCTTCATGATATAATCACATTGAATCTAACTTAAATAATCTATAATAACAGATCCATCTCAAGATTATTAACTTAATCACATGTAAATTTCTTTTTGCCATATAAGGTAGCATATTCACAGATTACAGAGTTTAGGGTGTAAGCATCCTTACAGGGCCATTATTTTCTCTACCACAAAGACTTTGCACATTTTTTTGCCACTAAGTGTGTGTGGGTGTGTCGTATTGTTACTAGTTTGTGTGAATAAAATATTTGATAATATATCTTCTCATTAATTATTGTTGGTATTTAAGTTAGATGTGATTTAGGACAGGCCACTTTACTGAATCATTTTATGACTTACAAGTTGTTCTCTTTACTGGTTTAACTTGGATTTCTTGAAATATTTAAGGAAACATGTATTCCAAATACAAATTTTCTTTTCAACTACATGATTTCTGCTATTCATTGAATCAATTTATTTTTTTAAATAATACCTTAAATGTTTACTTAATCTCTAATTATTTTTATTAAGGTATCCTGTTCTTGTATTACCAATGTAAAATCTTCTTGAATTTCTGACAATACAAATTAAACATACATTTTTAAATTTTATATTTCCCTATTTTCTTGAAAGTTGATTTTTTAATTGGGCTTGTTATCTTTATTTTCCCCTCTTCATCTGCCTAATATATCTGATAGTAATTCATTGTCCATTCGTATAAATAGGGTGATTGGTGATAATAAGCTGTAATAAATGATCAGTGCAGCAAACTAATGATTTTGTGCTATTAGCACAAAATGCTGTTGCTAATAGGAAACCCCTGGTTTTGATAAGTGGCTATGATGTGCTTCAGCCTGTGAGCTGTATAAATTTTGAGGGGTAAAGTTATCAAAAATACCACCTTTTCTTTCTAGCTCTAATATGCTTTGCGTATGGCATACAAAAATCATTCATTTCTGAGTAGAAAGCTGTTCATATGAGTTTTATTTAACCTAGGAACAAAGCACAAATAAAGCTATTGTTTTATGCAGAGCAGAGGATTGGTTAAGTTACTTACCCATTATGACACCATAAAGCACACTCTGCAAGTTTCCTGGGTTACCTTGTTAAATCAATATACATTTCTTCAGTAGCCCCTATAATAGTTCTGGTTGTTGATTTCAATGGCTGCATTCAGTTTTGTTGTTGAACAACACAGCTCTTTAATTTGTATAAACTCTCCAATGTAACTGTTGAGTTTTCTAACTATTAGGTATGCTATATATTTGTTTTATCTTCTTCTTTTGGTGAGATTTCAGAAAAAGGCATTGAACCCCATGCTTTCCATCACACACGGTGAGTGTTAGTAGTTTCAATGTATGTACATGCGGATTCATAGTCACTGATCCAAGCTAGCCCAGAGAGGAAACAGAAAAGATAACAGATAATCAACCAGGTAGACTAAATGCTACCTACCAAAGTGAGAAACATGATATAAATATAACAAACAGATGGAGGACTAAAGCCAGCCTGAATATTTGGAATAGTTCATAGAAGAAGAATGCTTAAACTGATTAAGAAAAATGTATAGATTTTCAACAGGCAAAGAGGGCTGAGGGAGACAGGATCCAGAGACAAAAGCTTCAAAAATAATATTTTATATGGAAAATGATATGATAAAAATTCCCTGAAAATCTTTTTATTATTCACATTTAGTTGCCACAACTAGAATAAAATATTCACGGACAGAGGGAAAGAGAGGTTAACAAACTGGCCTCTGGCCACTCTTACTTTCTTCTTCAGTGTTCTTAGCACTGCAGTATTATCTTTTGATAAGGCATATTAGTGTCAGAGTGATGCCATAAAGCACCTAAAACATTTTAATGTCGGTGTCCAAATGAGCACAGCTACCATGGTCTTTTGAAAGTCATTCAGCCTTATAATGAAAAATGTCAGCTGATTAATTTTTGTAGTTATGCCTCTCACTTTGTAACACCGCAGATGTTTCCTTCGCCTCAATTTAAACACTAAACATTCTGCAAAGCGTAAACATATTTGTTTTCCAATGTGCAATTAAAACTGCCTGAACTCTAGAGACGATAAGCAATATTATTTGACCTTGTATGGACTGTAGCTACAATATTCACCAACCAAATTACAATAAGACAAATAAGAGGTTAATGAAATTGCTTTGCTTCTTTCAAATTAACAATAAAGTATAATGCTAATCAAATGTTCCTTTCTACTTCCTTTCCCATTCCTTCTCCCATTGTGTGCTACATTTACATTGTCCTTAAGACTCATTTTTTTCAATACACTTTGCATTAGTATCTCTATCATATGTTTGTGTGTATGCTTCATATAATTTTTTTTAGTTTTTTCATTAATATGTAATTTTTACTATTAATATTACAAGGACCTCACATGCAAGGATTCAGTTTTGAATAATAATTTTCACATATTCTAAACAGTTTTGTTGAGGTATAATTGCACACATTTAAAATGTACAATAGTATAGGTGTTGACATATGTGTATGTTCAAGAAACCACTGCCACAATAATGATAAACACATCGAGCATTCCCAAAAGTTTCTACATGTTTTTTTTTGTAATACCTCCTTCCCTCCCCTCCATGGCCAATTCCCTTCCTCCACCCGCAGGCAAACCACAGAGAAGATTTAGGCAAAGTTTTCCTAGATTCATTTGCATTTTCTATTGGAGTATTTTTAATAAATGGAATCGTATAAGACTCCTAACTTGTTTCAGCATATTTATTTTTAAATATATTCATGTTATGTATTAATAGTTCCTTCCTTTTTGTTGTTAAATAGTATTCAATTTTATAGATACACTACAGGTTATTTACACATTCATCCACTGATTAACATTTGGGTTGCATTCAGAATCCAGCTATTACAAATAAAGTTGTCAGGATCATTTAGGTACAAGTCCTAATATAGACATATGCTTCCACTTATCTTGGGTAAATATCTACTAGTGGAATGGCTAGATTATATACAAGTGTATGCTTAATTTATTAAGAAACTGTCACACTTTTCCTGATATAGCCATACCATTTTATGTCCCCACTATCAATGTATAGGAATTCCAGTTCCTCCCTATCCTTGACAATATTTAGAGTCGTTAATTTCTTTAATTTTTGTCAGTGTCATATATGTGTAGTGGTATCCCATGGTTTCCATTTTTATTCTTCTGAAGATTATTCATATTCAGTATGTTTTCATATGCTTATTAATTGTAAATCTCTTGTAAATCGTTTAAATGTTTTGCTCATTTGTTTTACATTAGGTTGTATTAAGAGATATAAGTCTTTTATCAGAAATGTGATTTGGAAATATATTCTCCCAGTATATAACTTATATATTGAATATTTTTACAGTATCCTTCAAAGATAAGACATTTTTTATTTTTTATTTTACTTTTTCTGAGAGTCTCACTTGGTCGCCCAGGCTGGTGTGCAGTGGCACGATCTTGGCTCACTGCAACCTCTGCCTCCTGAGTTCAAGTGATTCTCCTGCCTCAGCCTCCTGAGCAGCTGGGAATATGGGTGTGCACCACCACTTCCAGGTAACTTTTGTATTTTTAGTAGAGACGGAGTTTCACCATATTGGCCAGGCTGGTCTTGAACTCCTGACCTTGTGAGCCACCTGCCTCGGCCTCCCAAAGTGTTGGGATTACAGGCATGAGCCACCGTGACCGGCCACATTTTTAATTTTAATAAGGCCCAATTTATCAATTTGTTCTTTCATGGACATTGCTTTTGGTATCACATCTTAAAATATGTTCATATAACCCAAAGTCACCAAGGTTTTCTTCATGTCTTATTCTGAAAGTTTTATAGCTGTAGATTTTACATTTTCATCCTTGATTCATTTTGAGTTAATTTTTGTGCATAGTGTGAAATATGGACCTAAGTTTATTCATGTATTTTGCATGTAGATATCAATTGCTCCAGCTACTGAATTGCCTTTACACATTTTTGTCAAAATCAATTGACCATGATTGATTCCACACATTTCAATGTGGGAATGTTCTTGGAGTCTGTTCTATTTTCTTTCACTGATGTATTTGTTGGTCTTCACGCCAATTCCGTAGTGCCTTGATGACTGTCCCACTGTAATAAATGTTAAAGTCATGTAGTGTTAGTCCTCCTGTTGACATTTTACAAAATTGTTTGGCTATTTCAGGTCCTTTGAATTTCCACATGAATTTAAATGTAAGTGTATAACTAATTTTTAAAATAATAAAGATTATGCATAATATGCATCTAATAGTGCAGGTACACACAAAGTAAAAACTAGACTGTAAACACTAGTGGCATAATTTCAAATAATTGCCCCCGAAAAGCATAAAGTATTTGAAATTCCTTCAGTTACAAAATTGACATAATAAATGCATTAAATTGGTCCCTTGTTTCTAAAAGGTATATATATTTTAAACAAATGAAGATTTTGTCTACTAGAGAGTTATATCTCAGAGCTGAAAAGAGTGATCAAGTTCAACTTCCTCCTAAGACTCAGGGAAGTCAAGAGATTTGCATAGAATTAAAACACTACCATCTTCAGTAGGCAAAGTTAGAAGCTATACTGACTGAAACCAATCCAATGTATTTTTCATTATACTCATCTGACTCACCATACGGCACTCAGTGAAACAGACTGTATTCCTGAAGAAATAAATGCACAAGTTATTTCTGGTGGTACATTTTGCTTTATGCAATAAAATTTACCTATATTTGCACTATTAACCTACAATGGAAATATGTTTTTATCTTCTGCCATAATGTGGTATCTCTTCATCTCCCATATCATCACTTTGTGAAGTTTATTTTACCTTAAAATTTGGAAGGATTTGTTCAATGTCCTTTGTCAGACTCTATCTCACTCTATGAATTTGGTCAAATCATGTTAGCTAGAGTGTTCATTTCCATATCTGAAAATGCCAGCTTTAAATATTAAGGTATTTATTAGCACCCAAAATATTAAAGTCTATAGTGTCTATTGGATATTTGAAATCAATGGATGAGAAAGATCAGTCAGTATGTTGAGAATAGAAGTATTGAAGTTATTCAGGTAATGCCTGAGCAAAAGGAAAAAAGAACCTTATCAAGAAGAGACTAAAATGTTTTTACTTCCTATATCAGGTTCTTCATGCAAGAAAATACTGCTATGGAGTCCTCTGCAGTAGGAACATTTCCAACCTTGAATGAAACCAAACTATCCATCAGAGAAAAGACTAATTAAAATAGACTTTGCTCTGGAGATTGAGATAGCACGCTCATGGGCCAAGGGCTTGTTAACTCTAGAATCCATCTTCAATTCATTTGTAGTTTATTAACTTCATAAAAGGCCATTGCTTTATTTACGAAATGATTGAAGGATTCTATGAGAAAAAATATCATAAAAGTAAGCAACCACTTTAATACTATCTCTCTATGCTACTAACATTGGTAAAAGAAATGTAATGTTCATGTCAGCCACCAAACATTCTTACTCATTAACCCAATAGTGACAGATACTGTCCAAGATCCAGAGCCACTCTTCTGTAGCTATGCCCTTTTCTGCTAATCCCCTCCAAATGACCTTTAGATAGTCCTGTTACAGTGCTTCCCAGATTATTCTCCAGTGTATGATATTTAGGGTGTACTTGTCACATCACTGAGAAGTTTGCTAGTAAGAAATATGTTTTTCAGAACAGCAAGTACAGTACAAATAAGAAGGTAGCAGAACAACAACACTTCCATCTCTAGAAGTTCACATTTTTGTTAACCTGAGGAAAATATTGTTTTGCCAAAATTTTATTATGGTATAAATCTTGCTATGTGGTAATTGATGTGATGTAACAGAAGACTAAAAAAATTACGTAATAATAATGTGGTAATATAGGTTGAGTATTACCTTATGTAAAATGCTTGAAACCAAAAATGTTTTGGGTTTGGGATTTTCCCACATTTTTAATATTTGCATATACCTAATGAGATATCTTGCGGATGAGAGCCAAGTCTAAATGTGAAATTCATTTATGTTATATATACACCTTATTATACACATAGGCTGAAGGTACTTTTTTTTTTAACAACATTTAAGTAATATTGTACATAAAACAAGTTTGTGTAAGTTACTTATGTACGGAATTTTTCACTCGTATCATCATGTTGGCACTCAAAAGGTTTTGGAATTTGGATCTCAGATTTTGGATTCTTGGATTAAGGATCCTCAACTTGTAAAATATAATATTATTAGTTGCATTGTATATCATATATAATAAACAATTTTAATAGCTAAACTGCAATAAGTTTTTACTATGTAAATTGATAAATGTAAAAAATTTACATTTCTGTTCTTTTACATACAACTCCTCTTTTTTAAAAAGCCATCTTTGTGATTCAGCTATTAAGGAAAGTTTTCAATTCCTCTGAGAGTAGCAAGGGCAATATCAAAGCTCTCTTTGCAACCTGGGAGTTCTTTTCATTCCGATAAATAAAATGAATTAACAATATTGCAGCAATTTTTAAAATTTGCTAATTCACCTTTCCACTATTGGAATTTTGTCATGAACATCAAGGAGATTTTTTAAAAGACACCAGTAAACAATTCTAAATGACATGTCAATTCAGAGACCTCAGAATCATGAATTAATAGTTAAGCATATTAATAGTGTTTAGAATAAAGCCTGTAGTCCAAAAAATAAAATGAATATTATATTGTCTGTTGATTATTTTTCCAAAAGTTGTATTGCAAATAGAACATTTCTGAAATTTTCAGATTCCCACATGAACTTTAAGGTGATCGAATACAACTGTTTCTAATTGTCTTTATATGAACAAAGATCTATTTGAAGCATATAGTTAAATATTTTGATAAGAAAATGTATAGTCATTTTATTCTTAAATTTAAATTTCAGTAAATATGTATTAAGTCATTATAGTGTTGCTTTAACTGGGTATGGCTTTATTAGCTTTTAAAATTTACTTTTCAAGGCAAAGAAAATAATCTTATTAAAACTGCAGGGAGGAAAGTAGGTAGGCAGAAGTAATTATAGAACTGGAACTTCTCCAGAACACTGGGGCTAACATCCTGATTATCAGAGCAACATTTTTTTATGGCTACAAGTGATTTCAGATGAGCCTAATTCATCAGTTCCTGCTTCCCCAAAGGCCACTTCTAATTCCTGCTGGAGCAATGGCCACCTGGTAAAATAGGTGATACATTTTCCTTTCAGTACACATTAACTTCCAAAATCCATATGTGAAGCTATACCTCTCATTGCTTAGGCAGTCTAAAATGGTTGTCAACATAAAGCATTCTATCCCGTTGTCTGAGGACTGCCTAAGACAGTTACCACAGACAGATGGGGTTACGAGGCCCTGAGAGAGTCAGATTTTCTAAGATAGCCCTTCCAGTGCATTAAGGAGAAACAGAAAGAAGGTATTGCCATTAAAATAAGATAGTGAATTCTATAGTTCAATGAGGTTTTAATCCTAGGGAAGAAAACTTCAGTTTTCTAGCTTTCATTTATTAAGTTGGACATTCACCATGTCTAAGATGCTATAGCACAAAAGTTAAAAACATGTAAAAACCAGGAAGACCACAGTATGAAAGAAAATCTTTTTACTTCATCCTATAAAAGCTAGCATTGAAGCAGGGGGCAAACATTTATCTGTAGAACCCCTCCCCAGCATATTATGTATAAAACATAAATAGATATTTGTTAGCGAGTGAATCCTATGAATCGTGACATGGGGATCAGTTCTCAGGATGGTGTGGGAGTTCAATCACAGGGGACAGAATAAAGAACTTAAAGAGACTGAAGTGGCTAAAATATGATTAAATTTCATAGGGGAAGCAAGGTAGAAATATCAGAATATGCTGTCAGGTCATTTTTCTAATTTGTAAACATTCAGGTCTGAATGACCTGAACTACTGCATAAAACTATTAGAAAAATTTGGTAAAAGTGAATCATCACCTTCACACTGAAAAAAAAAAATGAATGAATAAGTGAATAAAATGTATATTTATAAAATTAAAAGGCAATAATGTTCTCATGTTATCTACCGCTCTCAAGCTCCTGTCTAGAAGATGCCAGAATTAACACAATTTCAAAAAGTCACTTAAACCAAAAAAACAAAGAAGGAAAAACACACCTACCAATTAACACTTATCTTACTAAATTGCCTTTATGTGTTAGTTCTGAATACATGAAATGAATTCTGTTCTTGTACAAGTCACTGTCCCCTAAGTTGCAATCCTGTACTTACCTTTGTTTCCAGGAGGAACATGAAATAGCTGCTGTAAAATTAGAATGAGTATTTGCATCCAAGTCTCAAAGCAAACATTCAGTTGTAAATGATTATGGAAATTCGCCAGGAAATGCTAATTGGCTATATTTTAAAAATTTCAAATTTCAAAGCATACATCTTTATTGCATGTAACCAGAAAGCTGTCAATGTCATTCGGCATATCAAGATTTTGACATCAAACAGAGCTCTGTTTGTATTCCCACGTTTGTCACTTATTAAAAGAGTATGTTTTTATGCTATAAGTTTTCTAAATTTATTTTGGCCATGTATTATATTTTATTGTATTGCATTGTGTTGTGTTTTAACTTAGTCTTGTCATGAGAAATGGAAAATATAAAAACTTGGGGTAATTATGAGGATTAAACTATACAACAAGATTAAATAATACAACAAAAATAATACAAATACAGAAACTAATATATATTATATATATGTATATATGTATATAAACATTAGTTTCTTAATTTCTACCTTGTTATCCCATTTTTATCTCTGATACCTGCCTTACAAATACCAAAGTATCTATTCCTAGAAATTAATATGTGAATATAAAATAGAAAATGGAGCATAGAGATCTTCCAACCAAATAATTTATCTAGAAAGCCAATCCAAGGAACACAATGAGTAAAAAGAGAGTGTAAGTTCCACATTTCTATTGAGGAGTGACATGGAGGTTATTGATTAACCTTTCAGAATAAACTGACTATCTATTTTTTCTGTAACAGAATTTCACAAGAGATCATGAGAATTATCACTAGGTTGTCTTTAGTTTAACAGCCAAACTGATTTTACACAGTGTTATTTACAAACTGTGAATCTGAGATCCAGGATTGGCATAAGACTAAAGAATAATCAACATAAGCAAGAGGTCTTTTTCATACTATTTACCACACTTTATTGTAAATACTGGTGCGGAGAGCTTTCTTCCTGCCTAGTTGCTAACTTAGTCTGTTTGTGTTGTTAGAAAGAAATATCTGAGGCTGGGTAATTTATAGAGAAAAGAGGTTTATTAGGCTCACACTTCTACAGGCTGTAGAAGAACGTTGCTGGCTATTGCATCATGTGAGAGCCTCAGGCTGCTTCCACTCGTGGCAGAAGATGGGGAGCCAGCATGTGGAGAGCACATAGAGACAGAGAAAGCGAGAGAGAGAAGGGGGAGGAAGGTGCCAGGCTTTATTTAACAACCAGCTGTCCCAAAATCTAATAGAGCGAGAACTCACTTATTGCCACAAGGATGACACCAAGTTAACTACGAGGAATCTGCCCCATGACCTGAACACCTCTGATTAGGCCCATTGGGGATCAAATTTCAACACATAATTTGGATGGGTCAAATATTGAAACTATTTGCTAAATATTTTGAGATTAGGGACCAGACTTTTTAGTTTTACTATTTCTTTATATGCCTAGCACAGTGTCTGGCATGCAGAAAGTACACAAGAAGTGCATGGTAAATTAAATTACATGGGAAGATTCATCTCTGGGTTCCTTTTTCACACCAAAGTCATTGAATTCAGATCTATTTGACTTATGGTTGTAGAATTCAGGTACCTATCATGTGTTCAAACTAATAAATTACCCTAAAGAAAGCAATCCTGTGACTATCATCTGCTCCATAATTAGTAAAGGTCAGCCTCATGATTTTGGTAATAAAGAATCCTTTGTAGTCCTCACTGCTTCAAAAGCATTGGCACCAAAACATATTTCCCAATCTTACATGTTTGGAATAAAAAGTAAAATGAAAAAATACTGTAATAACAACTGTGTTTCAGAGTTTCGAGTTTGAGTAGAAACGTAGAGAAACATCAAAAAGATACTGGAGGTCATGGCCTTAGATGTAATTTAGATACAAGAAACTTCTGCATTTTGTTTAAAAAATTTTGTATGATTATTTAACATAGCATTTCAGAATCTTTTGCAGAAAATGCATCAGTGTAAAGGAATAGGGAGAAGAGACAGCCATATGCCTACTTAATGATGAGTAAGTACCTCGTACTCTGAATAGGATGTCTTAGAAATTTCATGCAGGTGCAAATTGGTAAATTTTAAAAATTAAATGAAACTTCAATTTTCAAGCATACCAGTTTGAGTACTAAGGAATCAGGATGTCAGGTACTAATAGAGATATTGTTTTGAAATAGTATGAGTTAAATAGAACACCCGTAGTACTTTCTGCAAATGGAATTAAATTACACAAAGAATATTCATTTCTCTTCAGATAAAATTACTTACTCAGAACAATGCTTGTAACAAGTCTGCAGTGGTAGAAATGAAAAAAATTAGATGCGTGTCCATGTACTTAAAGAACTATATAACTCAAAAATAGATTTTTATAATACTAAGAAACAGGAATAAAACTCAGATTATTCTACATTTTTTATGATCCCTAAATAAAGTGAACCACATAGCTATTTTGTTCCTATTACTTTTCTTTTTCATTTTTTATTTTGAGATAATTGTGGTTTCATGCATAGTTATAAGAAATAATATGGAGTGATTACTATACCATTCATCCAATTTACTCAAAATCGAAGCATCTTTCTTAAACCTGCTATAAGTCACAGCAAGGACATTGGCATTCATGAAAATCATTTGACTTTATTTCAGACCAACTAGTTTTACATGCACTGTGTGTGCATGTGTGTGTGTTTGTGTGTGTGTGCGTGTATGTGGCTGTTTTGTAATAAGCTATTTTATCATGGTTACATTTATGTGACCATCATGTGAGTATGTTTCAAAATCATTTTGTCCCACCTGTTTTTCTCTTATAGCCACAGCCACCACCCTCCACCACCACCTCCAACCCCTGGCAACCATTAATCTGTTTTCATCTCTACCTTGTTGTCATTTTAAGAATGCTGCATAGGTAGAATAATAGCGTATTATTTTGAGATTGGCTTTTTATATTCAACATAGTTTTTGAACCTGGATCTATGCATGCTGTTGTGCATATCAATAGCCTTTTAAATGCTAAATAGTATTCCATGACATGGGAATACCAAAGTTTTTTTAACATTCACTTATTAAAATTTCCAGTTTATGCCTATTACAAGTAAATCTGTTATGAACACTTCTGTATAGGTTTTTTTGTGACCTTAAGATTCCATTTATCTGGAATAAGTGCCTAACAGTGCAATTGCTGAATCCTATGGCAAGTGATATCAGACATATTTGTATGTGCTTTTTTCCACCGGTATATCTTCTAAAGTGAGAAGTATGTTGATTTATTTTGATCATTTTCTAACAGAATACTTTTTTGTTTTAACTAAATGTGGAGTGTTGTTTATATATTCTAAATAAAAATTATTTTTTAAATTTTAGATTCAGGGGTAGATATGCAGGTTTGTTACATAGATATATTGCATATAGGTGGGGATTAGTCTTTGAGTGTACCCATTACCCAAATTGTGAACATTATACCCAATTAGTTATTTTCAACTCTCATACCCCTCAAGCCCTATCCTCTTCTGGAGTCCCCTGTGTTTATTATTTCTGTCATTGTCACCTTATGTACCCATGTTTTAGCTTCCACTTACAAGTGAAAGCATGTGGTATTTGGTTTTCTTAGTTCACTTAGGAAAATAGGCTCCAGCTCTATCCATGTTGCTCCAAAAGAAATGATTTCATTCTTTTTTATGACTGAGTAGTATTCCGTGTTGTATATATACCACATTTTCTTTATCCAGTCAACCATTTAAAGACACTTAGATTAGTTCCATGGCTTTGCTATTGTAAATAATGCTGCAGTGAACATACAAGTTCAGGTGTCTTTTGTATTTAATGATTCTTTTTCCTTTATATAGACACTCAGTAGTAGGATTGCTGGGTCAAAAAGGTCTTTAGTTCTTAGAGAACTCTCCATACCATTTTCCATAGAGGTTTAGCTAATTTACTTTCCCACCAACAATGTCTAAACACAAATTCTTCATCAAATATGGCCATGTGACACAAAATGACATTCAATCAACTATTGACTGCATCCCCCAGTAGAGTAGTACATTTGTTACAACTGATGAGCCAACACTGACACATCATTATTGCCCAGAGTACATAGTTTAGGCTCACTCTTGGTGTTGTGTGTTCTATGGATTTGGAAAAATTTGGAACAACATGCATCCATCACCATAATAAAATACAGAGTAGTTTCACTACCTTAAGAATCCTGTATACCTATGTATTCATCCCCCTGCTCTTCCTCTAACCACTGGCAACCATTGATCTTTTTGCTGTCTCCATGATCTTGTATTTTCCAGAAAGTCATATGTTCCAAATATACACATTCCAATTTAAGAGAAAATGCATTCAACATTTCACCATTAAGTATGATGTTTACCATAGGCATTTGTAGATACTCCTTTTTTTCATTATACTTTAAGTTCTGGGATACATGTGCAGAACGTGCATGTTTTTTACATAGGTATACATGTCCCATGATGGTTTGCTGCACCTATCAACCCGTCATCTACATTAGGTATTTCTCCTAATGCTATCCCTTCTCTAGCCCCCCACACCTGACAGGACCCAGTGTGTAATGTTCCCCTCCCTGTGTCCATGTGTTCTCGTTGTTCAACTCCCACTTATGAGTGAGAACATGTGGTGTTTGGTTTTCTGTTCCTGTGTTAGTTTGCTGAGAATGATGGTTTCCAGCTTCATCCATGTCCCTGCAAAGGACAGGAAATCATCCTTTTTTATGGCTGTACAGTATTCCATGGTGCATATGTGCCACATTTTCTTTATCCAGTCTATCATTGATGGACATTTGGGTTGGTTCCAAGTCTTTGCTATTGTGAATAGTGCTGCAGTAAACATACGTGTTCATGTGTCTTTATAGTAGAATGATTTATAATCCTTTGGGTATATACCCAGTAATGGACTTGCCGGGTCAAATGGTATTTCTGCTTCTAGATCCTTGAGGAATCGCCACACTGTCTTCCACAATGGTTGAACTAATTTACACTCCCACCAACCGTGTAAAGGTGTTTCTATTTCTCCACATCATCTCCAGCATCTGTTGTTTCCTGACTTTTTAATAATTGCTATTCTAACTGGCATGAGATGGTATCTCATTGTGGTTTTGATTTGCATTTCTCTAATGACCAGTGATGATGAACTTTTTTTTACATGTTTGTTGGCCACATAAATGCCGTCTTTTGAGAAGTGTCTGTTCATATCCTTCACCCACTCTTTGATTTTTTTTTTTTTTTTGTAAATTTAAGTTTCTTGTAGATTCTGGATATTAGCCCTTTGTCAGATGGATAGATTGCAAAAATTTTCTCCCATTATGTAGGTTTCCTGTTTATTCTGATGCTAGTTTCTTTTGCTGTGCGAAAGTTGTTTAGTTTAATTAGATCCCCTCTTCAATTTTGACTTCTGTTGACATTGCTTTTGACGTCTTAGTCGTGAAGTTTTTGCCCAAGCCTATGTCCTGAATGATATTTCCTAGGTTTTCTTCTAGGATTTTTCTGGTTTTAGGTCTTATGTTTAAGTCTTTAATCCATCTTGAGTTAATTTTTGTATAAGATGTAAGGAAGGGGTCCAATTTCAGTTTTCTGCATATGGCTAGCCAGTTTTCCCAACATCATTTATTAAATAGGGAATCCTTTCCCCATTGCTTGTTTTTGTCAGGTTTGTCGAAGGTCAGCTTGTTGCAGATATGCGATGTTATTTCTGAAGCCTCTGTTCTGTTCCTTTGGTCTATATGTCTGTTTTGGTAACAGAATCATGCTGTTATGATTACTGTAGCCTTGTAGTATAGTTTGAAGTCAGGTAGCATGATGCCTCCAGCTTTGTTCTTTTTGCTTAGGATTGTCCTGGCTATACGGGATCTTTTTTGGTTACATATAAAATTCAAAGTAATTTTTTCTAATTCTGTGAAGAAAGTCAGTGGGAGCTTAATGGTGATATCATTGAATCTATAAATTACTTTGGGCAGTATGGCCATTTTCATGATATTGATTCTTCCTATTCATGAACATGGAATGTTTTTCCATTTGTATGTTTCCTCTCTTATTTCCTTGAGGAGTGGTTTGTAGTTCTCCTTGAAGAGGTCCTTCCCATCTCTTGTAAGTTGTATTCCTGGGTATTTTATTCTCATTGTAGCAGTTGTGAATGGGATTTCACTTATGATTTGGGTCTCTATTTGTCTATTATTGTTGTATAGGAATGCTTGTGATTTTTACACATGATTCTGTATCCTGAGACTTTGCTGAAGTTGTTTATCAGCTTAAGGAGTTTTGGGGCTGAGACGATGGGGTTTTCTAAATATACAATTGTTATCTGCAAACAGAGACAGTTTGACTTCCTCTCTTCCTATTTGAATACCTTTATTTCTTTCTCTTGCCTGATTGCCCTGGCCAGAACCTCCAATACTATGTTGAATAGGAGTGGTGACAGAGGGCATCCTTGTCCTGTACCGGCTTTCAAAGGGAATGCTTCCAGCTTTTGCCCATTCAGTATGATATTGGCTGTGGGTTTGTCATAAACAGCTCTTATTATTTTGAGATAGATTCCATCAGTACTTAGTTTATTGAGAGTTTTTAGCATGAAACGTGGTTGAATTTTATCGAAGGCCTTTTCTGCATCTATTGAGATAATCATGTGGTTTTTGTCATTGGTTCTGTTTATGTGATGGATTACTTTTATTGATTTGTGTATGTTGAACCAGCCTTGCTTCCCAGGGTGAAAGCCGACTTGATCATGGTGGATAAGTTTTTGATGTGCTGCTGGATTCGGTTTGCCGGTATTTTATTGAGGATTTTCTCATCGATGTTCATCAGGGATATTGGCCTGACATTTTCCATTTTTTGTTGTGTCTCTGCCAGGTTTTGTTATCAGGATGATGCTGGCTTCATACAATGAGTTAAGGAGGAGTTCTTCTTTTTCTATTGTTTGGAATAGTTTCAGAAGTTATGGTAGCAGCTCTTCTTTGTACTTCTGGTAGAATTTGGCTGTGAATCCGTCTGGTCCTGGGCATTTGTAGATACTCTTATCAACTTGAGGAAGTTCTTTATTCTTATTTTGCTAAGATTTTTGTATTGAGAAGGTTTTAAATTTTGTAAAAGGATTTTTCTGTGTCAGTTGGTTATAATGACATAATCTTCTTGTATAGCCTGTTGATATGGTGGATTCTATTTATTCATTTTTGAATGTGAAACCAGTTTTGCACACCTGGAAGAAAGCCCAATTGTTCATGGTGTATTCTTCTTTTTTACATTGTTAGATTTGATTTGTTAATGTTGTCTTAAAGATTTTTAAATTTAAGTCTCTGGGAGTTTTTTTTTTTATTTTTCATTTTCTGGACTGTCTTTCACTGGTTTTACATTTAGGGTAGCAGTAAGCCCTCATCATGTGAGTTGGGGAGTGTTTCTTAGTGTCTTTTCTGAAAAAGATTTTGTAAAATTGGTTTTAATTTATCATTAAATGCTTGTGTGCATTCTTCAGTGAATGCATATGGGCCCAGATATTTCTACTTACAAGGTTTTAAAGTACAAATTCAATTTCTTTACAGGTAATAGGACCCTTCAGATCATTTCTTTAATTTTGATTACTTTTGAGGAATTTCTGATTTTCAAGTAATTGAAATGGGCGTAGATTCTGTCATGATAGCTTCCCCAATTTGATTGATGTCTTTATTCTTATTAATTTGTCAATGTTTCTAGAGATTTACCAATTTTATTTATTTTGACGTAAGAATCAAACCTTTGATTCATTGATTTTCTCAATTGTTTTGCTAGTTTTGATCTTATTGATTTCTGCTTCCATTGTTTTCTTTCTTGTGCTTTCTTTGGGCTTATTTTCCTCTTCTTTTTCTGGTTTCCTAAGTTAAGATATTATATTATTGAGACCTTTACTCAAGTTTTTAGTGATATAAATTTTGCTTTTTAGTTATATACATTTTATAGCTATGTCTTGCATACATTGATGTCTTGTATTTTCATTCAGTTCTATGAAGTTTTGCTATTTTTTTCGCAATTTCCTCTTTGACCTGTGTATTATTTAGAAGTGTTTTATTTATTTTCCAAGTGTTTAGAGTTTTAGCTGTTGTCTTTTTGTTATTGTTCCCTAGTTTGATGTCACTGTGGTTAGAAAATACAAACCATATTATTGCAAATCATTGACATTTGTTGAGGCTTCATTTATGATTTAAATGTGTTCCATTTTGGACATTTTCCATGAACACATTAATACTATGTGCATTCTACTGCTGTTGTATATTCCTTAAGTGTTGATTAGATCTTATTGGTTGATGATGTTTATTTCATCCTTTCTAATATTCTGTCTGCATATATCAACCATTGAGTGGGGTGTTGAAGTCTCCTCCAATTCGTATTCTGGATTTTTCTATTTCTTCTTTCATTTTTTTTTTTCACGTATTTTGTAGGTCTATTGTTCAGTGCATTCACTTGTAAGATTGCTTATACCTCCTTGGTGGATGGACCTATTTATCTTGTTAATTGTCTTTTCTGTGAAGTAAACTTCATCTCACATTAAGATAGACACTCTTGCTTACTTCTGTTTGCATGGTAGATTTTTTCCAACATTTATTGTCATCCTACAGACACCATTGTACCTGAAATGAGTACTTTTCTATACAGAAATACATATAATTGGGTCATGCACTTTTTTTCTAGCTGTTGATTTCTACCTTTTAATTGGTATGTTTAGGTAAATAACCTTTAATGTTATTATTGGTATTTTAACATAATTCAGATAATTCTTTTTTATTTTATATATTTAAGGTATATAACATGATGTTTTTATATACAATATGTAGTGAAATGATTTCTCCAATCAAGAAAATTATCCTCTTTATTATCTTCCATAGTTACCTTCTTTTTCTTTGGGTGAGAACATCTAATATCTAGTCACTTAACTAATTTTCAGTATAAAATACAGCATTATCAACTACTATACTCATGCTGTACATTAGCTCTATAGACTTATTTTTATCCTACGTAACTCCAGGTTTATACACTTTGGCCTATAACTTTTTAAGTGAACATATTTTTTCAATACTCCCGGTTAGACATATGGGAGTGAAATTCCTGGGTCATCTGATTTAAATTTTGAGAAAATGCCAAATTGTTTACTACAGTGCTGCAACATTTTATATTCCTACCAGCAATCTAAGACCGTTCCAATTTCTCTACAACCTTGCTAATGATTGTTATTATCATTAATTTTCATACCCATCCTAGTGGATATGAAGTGGTATCTAATTATGAATCTCATTTGCATTTGCTTAATGACTAATAATGTTGAGCATCTTTTTCTGTGCTTGCTGAGAAGGATTAGTATTAATTCTTCTTTAAATGTATGGTAGCATTAACCAGTGATTGCATCCACCCCTGAGTTTGTCTTTGTTGAGAGATTATTACTGATTTAATATTCTATTATAAATATATTCATATTGTCTATTTCTATTCAAATCAGTTTTGGTAGTTTGTGTGTTTCTAGGAGTTTGTCTATTTCATCTAAGTTTTCTAATTGTTAATAGCATTATTCTATAATCAGTTTCTATGCGGTCCATGATAATGCCCACATTTTCATTTTTAAAATTAATAATTTGAGTCTTCTCTTTTCTTCATGGTCCGTCTAATTGAAGATTTCTGAATTTTGTTGATTTTTTTAAACCAACTTTAAAAAAATTTTAATTGACATATAATAATTGAATATCTTTATTGTGGAACATATGATGTTCTGAAATAGGTATATACTGTGCAATGTTTTAGTTGAGCTTACTAACATATGCATTGCCTCACATACTTACCATGCTTGTGGCTGAGAACAAAATTATTTCTTTGTGTTGTGTTCAATTTTCTCTTTGTTCTAGTTTATTAAAGTGAATGGTTAGATTATTTATTTGAAATCTGTCGTCTTGTTTAATGTGTGTTTTTACCACTATAAATTTTCATTTGAGCACTGCTTTCTCTACATCCCATATATTTATTTTTGTATATTTTGTTTTCATTTTTTGTTTATCTCAAAGATTTTTATATGGGCTGAATGTTTGTTTCCCACCAAAATTTTTATATTGAAGCCCTATCCCCAATGTGGTAGAATTGGAGATTGGGGCCTTTCATAAGTGGTAGTTTATGAGGGTAGAACCCTCTTTATAGGATTAGTGCCTAATATGGTTTGGCTCTGTGCCCCACCCAAATCTCATCTCAAATTGTAATCCCCATGTGATTGGATCCTGGGGTTAATTTCTTCCAGGCTCTTCTTGTGATAGTGAGTGAGTTCTCACAAGATCTGATGGTTTAAAAGGTTGCCACTTCCCGCCTCACTCTCTCCCTCTCCCTCTCTCTTCTGCTGCCATGTAAGACATGCCTTGCTTCTCCTTCACTTTCCATCATGATTGTAGGTTTCCTAAGGCCTCCCCCGCCCTGCAGAACTGTGAGTCAATTAAACTTTTTTTAAAGTAAATTACCCAGTCTCAGGTAGTTCTTTATAGCAGTGTGAAAATGGACTAATAGTCACTTATAAAAAGGGACACAGAGAGCTTGTTTTCTATTTCTATCACTTTGTGCCATGTGAGAAAATCAGTAAGACAGCTCTTACCAGGACCCAACCATGTTGGCACCTTGATCTCAAACATCTTACCCTCCAGAACTGTAGGAAATGAATGTTATTCAAATACCCAGTCTATGGTATTCTTCTTATAGCAGCCCAAACAGGTAGTAGTTAATAATTTTCTTTGTGATTTCTCTTTGGAAACTTTAGTTATTTATGAATATGTTGTTTAATTTTCACCTATTTGTTAGTCCCCAAATGTTCTTCTATAATTTATTTCTAATTTATTTCCATTGTGGTAAGAGAACATTATTTATATAATTTCAATGGTTTTAAATTTATTGTTATTTGTTTTGTGGCCTAGCACATGGTCTGCATTGCAGAACAGGCATATTACTAATATTGGTTGGCGTTTTCTATGGATCTCTGTTACTTTATCTTGGTTTTTACTGTTCTCAGAGTTTTAATATTTTTGTTGATCTGCCCCTCTAGTTTGTATTCATTATGTAAAGTGGGGTATTAAAGTCTCCATCTATTAATGTTAAAATATTTCTTCTTTCAATTATGTCCATTTTTACTTCATGTGTTTTGAGACCCTGTTTTTAACTGTATGTATATTGATAATTCTTATAGCTTCTTGATGAATTGACTTTTTTCTTTATAATGTCCTTTTGTGTCTCTAGTAAAATTTCTGTCTTAAATTTTATTTTTTCTGAGATATATTATATTCATTCCAGGTCCCTTGTGGTTATGTCTTGCCTAGAATATCTTTTATCATTCTTTCATTTTCAATCTATTTGTGTCTTTAAATTTTGAATCTCTTATAAGCAACACATAGTTGGATAATGTTCTTTTTATTTTACTTTTAATTTATCCTGTCAATGTCTGCCTTTTAATTAGAGATATTATTCTACTTACACTTAACATAATTACTTACAGGGAAGGACTTATTCCTATTATTTTGCTATTTGTTATTGTTTATCTTATTTCTTGTTCTTCAAATTTTCCATTATTTTCCTCTTTTGTACTAGATATATTTTAATTTTCTTTTCATTGTTTTTATTATGATTTTATTTTCATAAACTACATCTTTATACATTGTGTGCCCATCAACATATATTTGTAATTATTGATATATGCAATTATCTGTTAAATAAGATAGGAAAAGAGAAAATACAAAGGCTATTAAGGCAGTCTTTTATGTTTACTTAAGTAGTTATCCTACTGTTCTTTATTTATTTATATGTATTGAGCATACTATCATGTGTCCCTTCATTTCAGCCTGAAGGACTTCATTTAGCATTTTTTTGTAGGAGACATTTGTTAGCTCATATGGTTTCTTACTTATTTGGAATATATTTCTCCTTTTTAAGGACAATTTTATTGGATATTGTAGGTTTATGGGTTTTACTTTTTCTTTTAACATTTTAATTATATCATCCCACTGCCTCTGGACACCATAGTTTCTGGTAAAAATCAGCTATTGAAGATGTTTTGTACCTGAGTTACTTCTCTTTTACAGCTTTCAATATTCTGTCTTTGCCTTTGGCTTTTGACAGTTTGATTATGATGCGTCTCCCCCTCCTTGGGGTTTGTTTTTACTGTTTTCTGCAGTCATTGTTATTTGTTTGCTGGCTTTTCTGAACTAATTCTGGAAAATCTGTGTTACTGTTATGTGTGGCCACTGAAGCCAATGTTTAATTATCTAATGATCAGCCAATGAAAATAGGCAAAGATTTTCTTAAATGCCTAGACCCAAAATAACTCTATCTTTTTCTATAGGCTGTGTGTGTGTGTGTGTGTGCACGCTGAATTACACCCTCAACACTCAGCTAGGCAATTTACAACTTTGCCTTAGCCTTCAGCTCCTGATTGCAGAAATTCTCAAGGTCTGCCAAAGATGACATCTAGGGCTTTCTCAGTTCTTTCCTGAGCACGCAGGAAGGACAGAACCTCAAGCATTCTAACTGACATTCTAGGCTCCCAGAAATATGCCAGAACTTTAAGAGTTTTTATTTAATAAACCATCTCACCCATAGACTTTCCTCCTAATATTTTTGATTAATCCATTGTTTGTTCCAGTGTTCTTCATTACCTGATGTAATAGCAACCGAAACATTTGCATTTAAGTATTTTTGACAAATTCCCTCAGGCAGCAGCTTTATTAGGTGAGTTCTGAGTTATGTGAGGTAAACGCAAGCCTTCTGAGTGGGCCTTCGAGAAGTCACCAGATAGATCAACTAAGTTCATTCTGTTCTCTCCACCTATATGAAGAAGGTAGGCTGTTATTTTCAAGGTTACCAATGAACTGTGGAACAAGAGATGGAACTAGGATCAGTTAAAATTACACAAATGTTGCTGCTCTTTGATATTTGGCAGGTTTTATTGAATAAACACTCTCTAGGTTGCCATAAGCTTTTAGTTAATTTTCAGAGTTTTGCACTATTGGTTTATCTGGGTTACTGGCTTCTCCAGTGGCAAATATAGGCTATGTGAGACAAAAAAGAAAACTCAAGAAACTGACTACTGTGTTATTATTTGAATTCTGAAGTTCCTAGCCTGTTTGACTTCTGATTGACTTTTGACTTTTCTCCAATTTTCAAGTTTTCTTAAAAATATTTAATATATAATACATAATATATTTGATACTAAATATTAATATGTAATATAGCTATGCTTAGTGGTAGAAATAGAGAAAAGTATGCTCAACCCATCTTTATGGAGGGAAAAGTCTTTTTAAATGTTATTTTAGGATCTTTTTTTTTTTAGAAATTATATACACACAAACATCCACACACATACATAAATACAATTCAGCCTTTAAAAATGACAATAGACAGTGCAATGACAAAGAGTGTGAGGGCTAATCGCCCGTACCAAGCTTACTGCCTTGTGAGGAAGATCAATAAGACCTAAGAAAAAATGAATAGCATACACAAAAAATTAATTTAAAATAGAAAAAATAGGATACATAAAAAATTAAGATTAAAGTTGACCTATTATAAAAGATTAAAAAGCCACTGATTGATGTTGACATGAATATAAGGGCGATGCAGGGGTGTCTCTGTAGGATTTCAATGCAAAGATAATTTTTTGAAATTTTTAATTTTTGTGAGTACAGAGTTGGTATATATATTTATGGGTTACATGAGATGTTTTGATACAAGCATGCAATGCATAATAACCACATCATAGAGAATGGGGTACCCATTCCCTCAAGTATTTATCCTTTGTGTTACAATTATACTCTTATAGTTACTTTAAAATGTACGAATAAGTTACTAGTGACCGTAGAAGTTAGTATAGTATTGGAGACAAAGGAAGACTAGAGAGTCAGGCGCCTAGTGAGCAGGGAAACAACAGAAAAATGAGCACCTTATTAATGTGAAACGTATCTATGACTATCGATAGAAATACAATAGGTATAGATAAATTTCAGGAATTGTGTTTTCTGTAAGGGCAGGGATCAACTATGTTACAATGATTTTCTCTAGGTCTTGTTTTGGCATGACTTGAACTTCTTGGCTTTTTTTGTATTGCTTAAATTTGACAATAAAAGGTATAGAATATTTAATAATAAATAGTATACTATTTTGAGAAAAATAATTTTAAAATTATTTTCTAGCTTGTTTATACCATTCAAATAGCCTTCCTCAGCCTCGTTATAAATAAGTTTCAATTTGTTTTGGATCGACAATCACCATAATCAACTATCAGGAGATGTATTGGCACATCATGTTATGGTGATTGAGGGGGAGAACTGGATAGATTACACTGGTTATAGGATAATTTTCTAGTTTTGTTCCAGTCAATATGAAAACTCGTGAATTTTTTAAAAATGTAAGGAAGATTATGAAAGCTTGAGTTGAACTATAATATATTACCCAATATTGCACATCATTGGTTAGAAAGCAGGTGTAAGAACAACAAGAAAAAATGCTTGGTATAAAATTGTAAACTTTAACATACAGAATACCTTGGAATTATTTCACTGAATCTAATTGTACCATATGCATATGAACCAAAAAAGAAAACGACTTTTGTTACAGAATTACACACTGTAATTTAGCAACCTGCAGTTGACTTAATAGAATCACTTAGAATGGATAAAAATATTACTCTGTATGTAAATTATCAGCACAAGGAGTATATGCATGAAATTATTTGAGCAAGCAATCGGCCAGATTTTCCTAGGAGAACACCTATCTATTTGAAGCATATTTAAGTAATTATCTATGACATGCCTCTACTTTCCTACAGTGACAACACTGAAATAAGAGCAGAGAGATCACTTTCTAGTCCAGATTTTGTCAATGACTGGTTGGATAAATATGTATTTCCTGCTGCAGTTTTTTCATTTATTTCTTCTTTCTAAGTAAAAGGAGGATTAGATAAATAAAAGTAGGATTCAGAGTAAGTGTCTGCATATCCTCAGACTCTTAAAGATAAAAGCATAGCATTGTATTTTTTAAATTTGCAGTCAAGCAGTGTTTTAAATGTGGCAAAATGGGTACATGGTTCACTGCCTTCACCTGCATATCTGTGGTAGAAAATATTTTTCTCAATTATTTACTAACCCTCCTTAAAAAAGCACATTATATTATCTTCTTTTTGCCTTGAATTTTAACAAATCTATTTGTGATAATTTTTTGATTTATATATTCAAGGCTGATCACAGTTCAGCTTAAATATACATTTTTTTCCTGACAGATACCTATTGTGACCTTCACAGTAAGTAAATATACTCAACAATGCTGCTCCATGCAGCGATCCATCTACTAGTGCTGTAACTTTCATAATCTGGTGATTTGTGCTTATGCATCTGGAGCTACACTTGTGTGTCCTGTATAATTGCCAGTTTTCAGAAGAGCAGAAGGTAGCCAAGAACAATGCATGAGATGATTGTTGTTGCCTCTTTTAAGTAATAAAGTACATCTGACATCAGTAAAAGATTCAACTTAAATGTTAAGAATTGTAGGCTGATGAACTTACTTAAATATCTACAGCACAGTCATGAATAAATTTATATTTCAATATACTCTGAAAGGAGAAATCATTTAGAATTTTACCTTTTCTTTAATAAAGTTGTCTATCTGATGGCACTGTTTTTTTTAACCAACACATTTCTGAGAACCCGAGGGAGCTCCAACTCTGCATATTTAATCCTGAAGTACCTTATAAATCCTTGTTTAATATTTGAACATCTACTAAGTGTTCACATAAGTTCATCTTCTCTGAAGTAGATACATCTCTAAGAGGGTGCACAATAGCAGCTTAGCTGCAAAATGTGAAAATGAAATTGTCATGTTTAATCACTTCTCTTCCTAAGAAGAAAGATTTAAGCATGTGGAAATGGAATCACTCAAGTCAGAATTAGGCCAACTGCTGTTACTAATATAGCCATGATGAAACAAGCTTGTTCATTTTGTATTCCAAGCACCTGTCACAGTATATAAAACATAATAGATACCCAAAAGTTCCTTATTAAAAGAATGAATGAATTAATAAGTGGAGGGACAATCATTTTTTCTCGAAACTAATGAGTCAATAAGTGAAGAAGCATCTGAAGCATACGCTAAAGTGATAGACCATCATAAAAATATTCAATAACAGAGAAGCAGGACATGTCAGGAAAGAGCATGGATTTGTTAAATTACATAAATTTGTGTTTGATTCTTGTCTCTTTCACTTACTTACTGTGTGATTTGAGAAAATGTCTTCATCATAGTTTTCCTTTCTGTAAAATGAAAATATTTATTAGCTCATTAAGTTGAATAAAAAATGTTTCTACACAAGACTCTCTACCACAATTGGCACTCAGTAAAAATCTATTTCCTATCCTATCCTTAGAGCAAAACTCTTTTAAAATATGACAATGCAACATGTTTACTAAAGAAAACTATAAAAGCTTTTATTTTTGATATTTAAATCATTTAGATGCTGCTGGATAAAAGAGGAAGCTAACCAGTAACTATTTTGTACTCTTCCCAAGTCCGATGATTATTCCTCAGACGTCATATTGATCAGTCCTAGCTGGAAGCATTGTTAATTATCAACCTATATGCTCAATCTTTCACATATTTTTATGCCAATATTAATTAAGTAGAAACAGCCTCAGATCTTGAACACTTATTCCCAGGCAGTGGATTTTTACAATTATTTTATGTGTACATTAGGTAACAGAAGGCAGATTGAGTACTTTCCATTCAAAGAAATAATACACTGAACTAAAGTTGAATGTTTAAAATTTTAACTATCAAAAAAATGCATATATAGAGGTGAAGTATCATTTCCAAAATATATTTGGACTACTAAAGATCAAAGGTGAGCATCAGGAGCCAAAAGGTACTCTCCTTCCCTTCTTCCTTTTTCTCGCTTCATTTCTTATACCTTCCTTTCTCCTTTTACCAAACTTGATTTCATATAACATCTGAATTAATACGTTTACTAATTCAATGTTCAAATTTTGCACCTAACTTCTTGACAGCAATAATTAGAGGGAGATAGTGTCAGTTATATTATTGGAAAATAAGAAACCCACCTGATACTCAGCAAAAGCAAGATTTGTATATCAGTCACTAAAATAATTTTCTTCTGTAGAATTTTATGAAGGAGAAACTAAGAAATATCATGAACAGATTATTGAATAACATCCTGTAGCTAATATAATAATGGGTTTTGTGTGGTTACTCCTTATAGTACTCTTGAATAAACATATATACCTTAATATTCATCTGCAAATCAGGGAACATGGTTCTTTGAGCAGGCCAAGCATATGTTATCACAGTGGACTGGCTTGAAAAAGTATAGACCATAGAAATAACTAACACAAAATGGATTAACCATGTATTTCCAATATGTCCTATAAATAAAATTTCTTTTAGCTTTAGTTCTGATAAGAGCAGATTGGTGCATTCTATGACAAGGCCTGGTGAGCTTATACTTGGACTTACTAGGAGCAAATGTATGAGAGCAAATGAGAGAGAATTTCATTTTATTTTTATTTTTATTATTATTTTTTAAGATGGAGTCTCATTGTGTCTCCCAGGCTGGAGTGCAGTGGTGCGATCTCGGCTCACTGCAAGTGATTCTCCTGCCTCAGCCTCCTGAGTAGCTGGGATTACAGGCATGTGTCAACACACCTGGCTAATTTTTGTGTTTTTAGTAGAGATGGGGTTTCACCCTGTTGGCCAGGCTGGTTTCGAATGCCTGACCTAAAGTGAACCACCTGCCTTGGCCTCCCAAAGTGCTGAGATTACAGGTGTGAGCCACTGCGCCTGGCTGAGAGAGAAAATACTGAGATGTTGACATACTTTTGTAGCAATTAAGAAACCTAACCACGATGTTGTCTTAATTGGAGGCTTAATCATATACTGCCTGTGACATCTGGCATATAATTGCCTTATTCTGTTACTTAATATTTCATATGTGGATATCAAATGCACAATCAGAATAAAAATTTCTGGAGGGCACATGTCAAAAGTATTATATGTTTAACTCACCCACAGTTTCTAATCATGAACATGCTTGATAAATGTTTGTTGCATGATTAAACCAAGTAAAGAAGCTTCATCCTAGTCAATTAGCCAGGATCACTAGACATAAAAGCATTGAGGGGCTTAAAGGTGCCACATTCAATAGTATGAAAGTAGCTATGGCAGCCTTATTACAACAGTTATGGAATCTACATTAAGTGGCTCAGCAGTTATATTTGGCCAACAGTCCTAAAGATGGGTCATTGGAAGGTACACCTCTTATTCTGCCCTAATTATCATGCTTACCTGTAACTGGGTCTGTTATACCCACACATTTCAGAAATAAAACCTATAGGTACCTTCTGTGTCCATTTTGGTCACAAGTGGAGAGAAACAGAGAAAAAGAAAATTTGAGTTTCTCTATATTCTCCACCCTAAGCAGGAAACTAAGCTTTCATTCCCACAAAAGTCAATCTCCTATTTTAATATATATATATACTTTTGAGTCTGGTGTTCTTTGCATAACCCATGCATCTGCACAAAACACACACACAATTGTGGAAATAAGGACCAAACAAATGAGAAAAGCAATGCCTATTTATTCTGAGACTGATGTAGCAAGAGAGTCAGCCACCGTCAATAGCATTTAGCGAAGACTGAAAGGCAGAGAGAGAAGTATAAGCTATATAGTGGGAAATGAAACAGAGGCTTCAGATATGCCCTGATTAGAGGTTGTTGGCCTGGAGAAGCTGGATGCTGACTAACTGGAAGCAGAACATCGTATGTGATTGGTCCTAAGCTGAAACCAAGGACAAAAATTAGTAAAGTTGTCAGTTGTTAATCAAGATCTGGCCATTTGGAATCAATTGTTACAGAAGTTGTTGAGCTTTCTTCATTGTCAATATTGTCAATAAAGGCAACAATTTGGTTTCTTGAAAGTCTGTCTTACACCATGCTGGCTTCTGAATTATTATAGGTAAAAGTATTGTTTTCCTAGGTAGGTTGCTGCAGGTTGTGAGTTAAAGTTCTATTATTTTTATATGTGTCTTGGCCATTGTTATTTGTATATTCAGTCTTTCAACACACAAACACACACATTTAAAAATTCAGGAAATGAAACTGATCTGCAGGCCAAAAGAAAGGGCAACAGTCCAACCAAGATCAGGAGTTAGTTGAGATCCAGGCAATAATTTCCGGGTCTAAAATGATACTCAATCTAAACACATAGAGCAGAATCTCAGTACTGAAAGGACAGAGAACGAGAGGTAGAAATAACAATTATACAACTAATCTCATGAGTTGGTATCAGAACAAGGTGCCTGAAAACAAAGATGAAATCTGAGCTTATTGGGATTGGTCATAGGCAAGAGCCAACGGGCTGATATGCCTGAGGCCTTTTACTGAGAATACAGAGACTGGTCTTTGCCCTTGGCTCTTACAATCAAATAAAGATGCTTGCCGTCTCAGTGCTATCAAACATAAAGAAAATTTTCCTATGAAAAAGCTTCACTAGGATTTTTAGGGAATAGGATGCAGATATGATACCCATGTATGCAGACAATGAGGGGAACAGGTGCAGACTCTTAAATTAGTGTTGGTAAGCCCTGTTATGTAGCTAAATAAAGGTGCTAGAATTATATTATTTGACCTAAATATTCAGATGACTATTCAATATTTTGGTTCTTTTTGTTTGATAGGTTATTTTTGTTTGTTTTTCTATAAAAGCTATACTCTATCTAATCTATATATCTTTCTATCACTTTTATCTATGTGCCTATCATTCCATTTAAAGGAAAGAGAGATATAAGGTTCTGAAGAGAAATCAGTATGTGCATGTAGTCTTGACTGTCATACAAGTTTGGAGACTACTGTGGAATGTGTTGGATCAGATGACTGAAGAGTCAAATCAAGGTTTAGAAATTTGAAGGAAGGATTTAAGGGACTGGTTAAAGAGAACTGCTTTTCACGTGTGCCCATATTTTGGGTGCAACAAGGATGTTTAAAAATGTTTCCCACTTTATAAGTTTAATTGTAGTAAATGCACAGAAATTAATTTTCTCTCAAGGTTAAACAGTAAAAACTATTTTAAAAAGGAAACCGGCTGCTTTGTTTGCCCTTTAAATCTGGGCAAGTTTTTCATAAAATGTGAAATACCCTCAGGCCTCACATAGAAGATATATGCCCTCTAAATGTAACAAATAAATAATGCTTTCAATGGTAGGTAATCATAAATGACATCTTTGTATATATTACATAATTTTCCTCTCCTGAAAGATGTAGTCAGAAAGTTAGAACCCTAACTACACTCTCACATAAAGTACTAATTCAGAAGTGAAGTTTATAAACTCTCTCAGAAATATTTTTCTTTTTGTGAAACTCTAGACATTTTATTACATTTATTTCTCTTTGCTGAAATTTAGTCAAATGATCAGTCTGACTAATGTGTTGATTCTCCTTGCTTTGATACAATGAAGAGAGGTGTTACTGACACATGGAAGAGTCAGTAAGAACAGAACCATCCAAATATCCTGCTTTAAACAGGAGTTTTGTCAGTAAAATGACCATATCCTATAGTGTAAAGTGTATGCATGTGAATTCAGAAGAGCTAAGTTAAAGTCCTGGCTCTGATACTAACTAGTCTAGTGATGTTGGTCAAGTCACTTAAACCCTCTTGTTCTTTTCCTCACCTAGCGAAATGGCAGAGTTAAACATAATTAGATTTTCCTTCAGCTCTTAATTTTGGAATTAGATGGTTTTTGCTAAAAATAGACATTAAAAACAGAAATTTCAACAGTGGGTAATGACTGAGTTGAACATTCATATGAGACTAATCAAAAGGCACTAGCTTGTGAGTTCAACTATGTCATGGTTTTTTTAATCACAAGACTTGTAAGATGCAAAGGAAAGGAAACAAACATTTAATAAGTGCCTAATTTGTATCAAGAATTTGATAAAGGTTTTATTTTCATTTTTATCAATTCTATGTAACAACCAAATGAGATGATTATCAATATCCACTTATCAATTACAAGGAAACCGAAGAACAGAGCATTTAGATAATATTCTCAAAATCATGTAAGTATTTAGGAACAGTGCAAGAGTGATACAAGCTATTCCTGTGTGAATACAGCACTAGGGCCAGCAGTTACTGAATTTCCACAATCTATTGCCAATCACTGCCTAGCGTTGGTGGATTTTATTCCATTTGGTCAGTTTTATGTTTCTATACTTGTATGGTGTATGCATATCTTCTTTCCCCTTACTTAACATGTTTTGTGACCCATATTTTTCCTGCAAAAATCAAAGGGATTTAAATTATGTCAACAAAATAATTATAAAATGCAGCAAAGTTCAAGATTAAGCCTTTAGCCAATGAAGCTGATGTTATTTTTTTTTCAGCAAAATAAATTGTTACTCTGCCTCTTACATATAGTGGATACTTAATAAGCATTCATTGCATAATTAGAGGAATAAATGTATTAGGAAGAAGTTAGAGTGCCTCATCGGTAGACTTGATTATCCTCCGACTATGTGAAAATCAGAACTCAACTTTAGCATTTATCATTTAGTCTGTGTCTATAAGAATTAAGAGTGCAAGAAGACCGAATACTTATATTGTTTATATAGGTTACACAGGCTGTTGATAAAAATAAACCTGGTTCAAAAATAAAGTATTCCAAATCCACATTTCTATGACCAGAAGATTTTTCTTTTTCTCTTTTTCTTTTCTTTAAGTAGTCTAGATAATTGCCTCAACATTATTCTTTGTTTTCTTTGTAAATATGCAGAATAAATGTAACCTGACTCACCACTCCTATTTTGGGCTAACCTGCATGATACTTCGTGACTTTATGCTTCATAAGTAATTATCACCTTTAAGAAAACCTATTTGTTACTAATATATAGGAAGCTGCGTTATATAATTAATATCATAGCTTTCAATAGAAAGTCCAAACAGCAGGGTTCACATCAATATTCATTACATTGAAACAAAATATTTCTGTCTGAATTTTTCCTGAGTTTCCACATTTTTTCATCATGTTATGTAGAATGCATTGGAGCGTTTGAATTTTTCTTTACTAGATTTCACTTGATTTACCTTAATGCTCACCTCAAATCCCAAGTATAGGATTATATCAAAAGAGTATCACAAAAGGACTCTGTTGGGACTTGGCTTGGGCAAGGCATAACTACCCAAAATATATCTCATAATGCAGATTTAAGTGTATTCCCATTATTTCCAATATTCAATAATTACAGTTTTAGGCTATAATTTGCAAAATGCCCACAAAAGTTAAATATATCTAGTCAGTTCAGTGCCCATTAGGCAATTAATTCTTCTCACATACTTATTTATATTTATTTAACATATATTTACTGATCATCAATGGCATGACCTCTGAGATATGCACTAAGTTTACAAAGAGTAAATAGCTTTTGCTCCTTAAAGGAGCCACATTATTTTGGATAACCAAGATAGTAATTTAGACAACTAATTGATATAGGGAGAAGATATTACAACAACTTATACAGGAATCTTGGACCCCATACACATGATTTGGGCACAAACTAACAGGATGATTTTATTCATATCTTTAAACGCCAATTAACTTTTTAACTATCCGAAATGAACTTAGTGTTAAATCATCAAAACATTAGCAAATTACCCTTTATGACTCCCAATAGCTAATGCAGACGTATGGAAAGAAGACGTTTCCTTCTGCAGAGTCAAACTAATATGTTCACCTCCTTAATGCAGGCATAATATAACAAATGATAATTATGGTTTTAGTTAGTGGGTGAACAACTGCAGTGAAATGGAAAAAGTCAGAGGATAGGAACAAAGCGAGCTAGCTCAGAAATCTTTACCATGCCAAGTATATTTAACCCATATTTAAAATTAACCTAAAATAAATTGTGGAAACCTTGGCTATCGTATCTGGCTTAGCCAGTTAGCAACCTTTTCAAATATCTAGATTCTGGTATGTCTGACCAGTTTTACCAGGAATGCTGGCAAAAAAGGAGAAGAAAGATTGGAAATATTTTCTGCTGGGGTTACATTTGTAAGTTATGTTCTTTATGCAAGTTTAGGAAAATTTTAGCTAGCTAGAATGTTCCAGGTAATCAATGTTCACTTTAATATTATTATCTGGAAAATAGTATGCATTTGTTATAAGTTATATAATAAAACTTTTTTTAAACTTCAGAAAATCTTTTTAAAATCGAAGTCATCATTATATAAAATGTATTACACATTACCTGAATAACTACGTATGTTGACTTTCTTCAGAAGTATCATTCACATCATTAATCTCATTGTAAAAGAAAGACAGCTTCAGACAGTTTAATAGATGAAAGTGAATGAGCAACTACTCTTGGTAATTCCCTGACACATGACTAACAAAGCTTAAATTGCCTACAGAAGTTTACTTTCATATGACTTGTCTTTGTTCCAAAAGTAGAGAAAGGGCTGGGCGCGGTAGCTCACGCCTCTAATCTTAACATGTTGGGAGACGGAGGATTACTTGAGGTCAGGAGTTCAAAACCAGCCGGGCCAACATGGTGAAACCCCGTCTCTATTAAAAATACAAAAAAATTAGGGCATGGTGGCGGGTGCCTGTAATTCCAGCTACTCAGGAGGCTGAGGCAGAAGAATCGCTCGAACCCGGAAGGCGGAGGATGCAGTAAGCTGAGACCATGCCACTTCACTCCAAACTGGGAAACAGAGTGAGACTCTGTCTCAAAAAAAAAAAAAAAAAAAGGTAGAGAAAATGTTTAGGCTATATGAATTTTATAATCAATTACATTTCATAGAATGTCTATGTATTTCTAAATTTTAAATATTCTATATCAAAGAACTATAACATTTTCATAAATTTCACAGGATTTCTTTAATCAAATGTTTAACTTTTACACTTTTTAGTTCACAATTATAGAGCAATTTTATTTAAATGTTGAATCTAGAAATTATCATAAATACTATTTTCTAAGGAAAACTTTTCATATAGGAACTAGAAGTCAGATAAATTTTATAAGATCAATACATTTTTCATGAAGCATTATTACATCTACTACCTTAGTTTATTCAGAAATAACAACTCTATTAAGAATATTTAAGCCAAAGGATAAATAATATTTTAAGCAAATTTCATTGCTTATGTACACAGGATAAAATTAGAAAATAAAGTATAAAGCCATACTCAGAAATGTTCCGTTTTCTCATTATCTAGTGATAACCACTCACAACTTCTTCGGTGTATTTCTTTCCATTGCTTTTCTCTGGATGTGTATGTGTCTACACAATGAAGTTTATATTGCATGTAAAATTTATTTTATTCAATATTATATTTACTCAATATCACTATTTTACTCAATATTGTATCGTGTCTGTTACCTTATGATATTAACATTTTCTCAAAATACCATCTCAAGTGCTACATAATATTCTACTTATGGCACATATAGACATGTCATAATCCATTTAAATAGTTCTCTAAGGATGAACATTTATGATTCAAATATTTTCTATTGCAAATAATGCTATAATGAATATCTTAGAACCTAAATATAATATTGCCTATTGATTTATTATTTAGGATATATTTATAGTGGTATAGTTTTAATAAAAATTTGAATTAAATATTATAGAAGTGTTAAAAAGCTTCTCATAGGTCTTTAATATTACAAATTTTCATTAAGGTACTGTAATCAATGTTTTGTATTGAAAATTAAATACATGAAATTATTATGCATGCTAACATGTCTTTTTGGTAGTTTAGATAAAATGAAGGGAAATCAAATGAACTCATATATAATTTGTTGATTAAACAGTGAGTTTCACTGTGTGGCTTTGTAAAAGTTACTTAACTTGTCAGTGCTTCAGTTTTCTTATTTAAATGAAGATTACAATAATAGTTTATAGAACTGTGCATGGTACAAAGTAAGAAATGATAGATAAATAGGCAATGAGTTATAGCTATTATGATTGTTTTACTTATTGTTGAATCATTGGTCTGATGCCTGTAATCCTCAGGTTTCTAAGAGACATGAATAATTTCATTCTTAGCAAATACATAGCTTTTAAGATTTCTACCCAAACGATTCAGGATTGCCTTCTTTCTGCTCATATGTAATATAATGAAGGGAAAAAATATTATCTATTAAAGCTAAGGCTGAAATAAATGCTGTATAACTCTGAGTAGGAGATAGCAAAGAAAATGCATCATCTGGCCTTTCCTTTATTAGCAGTAGTGAGATATAAAGGCCTTTGCATCATAGTCGCTCCTTGAGGGAACAAAATAAAGCTAAGGAAATGGAACCTTCCTCCTTACTGGTCCTCATGATTTATGACTATAATAAACCTGACTACACAAAAGCACACATTGTTTCAAGGAAATGCTAAGTGTCATCTCAACACACCCAAAAGCCTGCTCTTCATAAGAAAAAAATGTTACAACAACCAGTGATTCACTTCCCTAATCATTTGCTTACAAGAAGCATCCTACTGTGTTCATCATCAAGAAACACTATATTCCTTTGACTATCTCCTTAGGAAAGAGGGTGGGGAACAAACACAGAAGAAAAGAGTAAAGTGAGAATGAGGCTCTAGAGCAATAGAGAGCTTTTGATGAGGAGGCCAAAATATTGAGTCTGTCACTGTTCTGCTAGTTGGGAATTTGAGGCAAACTACTTGGCTTCCATCTTTTTAGCTATGAAAAATTAAGTGATTGAAGTAAACGATTTCTAAGGCCTTCTCCATCTACAACATTCTTGAAATTTGTATAATCTTATTAATAATAGAGGCCAGCATGGCTGAAATGGAAGCAAAAGAGTGAAGAAGTTAAAGTACATCCTTCAAAAATTACCCTGCTGAGAAAATTAACATTGAACACAGTAACTGTAATTATGAGACAAACTGCAACATTTGACACCAGTGATCACTTCAGCTTATTTTCCTCTCTTGATTTCTACTCTTTCCCCGTCTCTTCTGGTATTTTGTTGTACTTTCTTTGTTCTTCTCCCCCAAGGTTTTAAGTAAAGAGACTGATAAATTATCTCATTCAACCCCTCCTCTGCATTGTTCAACCTATGCAAATGCACCCATCAGCTGAAATGAACATAATGAAAGAGACAGCTAAAAGACTAGTTTAATATGCTAATGAATGTTGTATTAGTTCATTTTTACACTGCTATTAAGAACTGCCCAAGGGTGGGAAATTTATAAAGAAAAGAGGTTTAATGGACTCTTAGTTCTGCATGGCTGGGGAGGTCTCAGGAAAATTACAATCATGGCAGAAGGGAAGAAGTCACATCTTATATGGTGGCAGGTGAAAGAATGAGTGCAGGGCAAATTTCCCCTTTTTAAACCAAGAGGTCTCATGAGAACTCTCTCACTATCATGAGAACAGCATAAGGGAAACCACCCCCACAATCCAATCACCTTCCACCAAGTTCCTCCCCTGACATGTGGGGATTACAATTTGGATTAAAGTTTCAGATGAGATTTGGGTGGGGACACAGCCAAGCCATATCATTCCACTCCCAGCACCTCCCACATCTCATATTCTCACATTTCAAAACACAATCATGCCTTCCCAACAGTCTCTCAAAGTCTTAACTCATTCCAGCATTAACCCAAAAGTCCAAAGTCTCATCTGAGACAAGGCAAGTCCCTTCCACCTAGGAGCCTGTAAAATCAAAAGCAAGTTAGTTACTTCCAAAATACAATAGGGTTACAGGCATTAGACAAATGTTCCCATTCCGAATGAGAGAAGTTGGCCGAAACAAAGAGGCTACAAGCCCCATGCAAGTCCAAAATCCAGCAGGGTAGTCATTAAATCTTAAAGCACCAAAATAATCTTCTTTAACTCCATGTCTCACATCCAGGGCATGCTGACGCAAAGAGTGGGCTCCCACGGCCTTGAGCAGCTCCATTCCTGTGGCTTTGCAGGATTCAGGCCCTACTGCCACAATCATGGGCTGGCATTGAGTACCTGAGGCTTTTTCAGTTACACAGTGCAAGCTGTTGGTGGATCTACATTCTGGGGACTGGAGGATGGTGGCCCTCTTCTCACAGCTCCTCTAGGTAGTGTCCCACTGCCTAATGGAGTAGTGAGAAGGGGACTCTGTGTGAAGGGTCCAAACCCACATTTTTCCTCTGCATTGCGCTAGCAAGGTTCTCCATGATGGCTCTGCCCCTGTGGCAGACTTCTGCTTGGATATCCAGGCATTTTTATACATCCCCTGAGACCTAGGCAGAGGTTCTCAAACCTTAATTCCTGACTTCTGTGCACCCACAGGCCCAACACCACATAAAAGCTACCAAGGCTTGGGGCTTGCATCCTCTGAAACAATGTCTCGAGCTGTATCTCGGCCCTTTTTAGCCAAGGCTGGAGCTGAAATGGCTGGGACACAGGGCACCAAGTCCTGATCCTGCACAGAGGAGTGGGGTCCTGGGCTTGGCCCATGAAACCGTTTTTCCCTCCTAAGGCTTCATGCCTCTGATGGGAAGGGCTGCCTCAAAAATCTCTGATATGCCCTGGAGACATTTTCCCCATGGTTTCAGCTATTAACATTCACCTACTAGTTACTTACTTTATGCAAATTTCTGCAGCCACATTGAATTCCTTCCCAGAAAATGAGTTTTTCTTTATTAGCACAGATTCAGGCTGCAAATTTTTCAAACATTTTTGCTCTGCTTCCCTTTTAAGCATAAGTTCCAGTTTCAAACCATTTCTTTGTGAGCACATAAAACTCTAAGCACTTTCAGAATAATCCAGGACACCTCTTTAATGCTTTGCTGCTTAGGAATTCTTCTACCTGATACCCTAAATCATCCCTCTCAAGTTCAAAGTTCCAAGTTCCACACATCTCTAGGGCAGAGGCAAAATGCTACCAGTCCCTTCGCTAAAGCATAGCAAGAGTGACCTTTAGTCCTGTTACTAACAAGCTCTTCATCTCCATCTGAGACCACCTTAGACTGGACTTCATTGTCTATATCACTATCAGAGTTTTGGTCAAAGTCATTCAACAAGTCTCTAGGAATTCCAAGCTCCCCCACATCTCCCTGTCTTCTGAGCCCCCCAACTTGTTCCAGCCTCTGCTCATTACCCAGTTCCAAAGTCACTTCCACACTTCCAGGTTATCTTTATAGCAGTACCCAACTCTACCAGTGCCAGTTTCCTGCATTAGTCAGTTCTCTTACTGCCATAAAGAACTACCTGAGCCTGGGTAATCTATAAAGTAAACAGGTTTAATTGACTCACAGTTCTGCGTGGCTGGGGAGGACTCAGGAAACTTACAATCATGGCGAAAGAGGAAATAGGCACATCAAACATGGTGGCAGGTGAGAGAAAGAGAGTGAGCACAGGGCAAACCATCAGATCTTGTGAGAACTCCCTCACTGTCAAGAGAACAGCATGGGGAAATTGCCCATCACCTCCCACCTGGTCTCTTCCCCAAAATGTGGAGATTACAATTTGATATGAGATTTGGGTGGGGACACAGCCAAACCATATCAAACCTATCTAGAAGAGTAGTGAAAAGAAAACAAAAAAATATAGATTGGAGTTCTACACTTCTTTTAGAAATAATAATATATGAAAGTATGGAATTATACATAGAGAATCAAATTGCAAATTTGAAAACATTCCTCTGAAGACTAGCCATTTGAATCAGAGAATAGAGATGGTCAGTATTTTAATAAGCATAGAAATGACAACTTGCCTGGCAAGTCAAAATATTAAATATAAGGATGTTTTTGTTTTATATATCTTAGTTTAGCATATGGATCCTCACCACAGATACTCTTGATAATCAATTAAATAAAAAGAGAAAGCTTTGATTTAACTTACAATGTCAAAAGTATATTTAATTTAAGGTTTAAATAGTGACACAATCACCTTACTGAACACTTGACCACAAACTGTCAATACAACATGCTGAAACAACCTCACTGCTAAAAAGTTATATCAGTTGTTTCAGTTATCTTTACAAATAGAAAAGAATGGATTTAATGCTTACACTTAGGTAACAATTATCTATTAAAGTAGCCACAAGATAAAAACAACAATTGCTATAAAACAAATAGTTGGCCTGGGCGTGGTGGCTTATGTCTGTAATCCCAGCACTTTGGGAGGCTGAGGCAGGTGGATCACCTGAGGTCAGGAGTTCCAGACCAGCCTGGCCTACATGGTGAAACCCCATCTCTACTAAAAATACAGAAACTTAGCCGGGCATGGTGGTGGGCCCCTGCAATCTCAGCTACTTGGGAGGCTGAGGAAGGAGAATTGTTTGAACCCTGGAGACGGAGGTTGTAGAGAGCCGAGATCATGCCATTGTACTCCAGCCTGGACAACAGAGTGAGACTTCTATTAAACCTTCATATTTTGTCTCCAACAAATATGCCTCAGTGATAAGTCTCTGTAAATATATGAATCATTAGCTGGGTAGAAGTCTGGCCTATATTATTTTCATTTCCATTTTGTTTACAAGATAAGTAAATAAGGTTTATTTGAATCAGAGGAAGAGATATTGATATATTTGGATAAACTTGATAAAGGAAAACTACACAAAAAGATTAAAGCTCATAATTTACTATCAGTGCAGGTAATAATTTTCTGAAAATTTAACATCAAGAAGAGATAGAGAATTTATTGCTAATAGTATTTTTAACAAAACCTGATCATCATTCTGTGATTTAAATAAGTATATTCCAAACTGTTCATTGCAGTACAGTTACTGAATACATTATTTTTTTGTTTTAAAAAAGTGGGGAATACATTATGAAAATATTTTTGATGTATTCAAAATATTTTTCTCTTACACAAACTATCAATGCACATTAATATACTGAGGGCTCTAAGTTGTTCTACAGCAGAGAAATCTTCAACTCTGCAACTTAACATGACCTAGCTGATGGTCAATTTTACGCATCCACTTGATTGGGGCATGGGGTGCCTAGACATTTAGTGAAACATTGTGTGTGTGTCTGTGAGGGTGTTTCTGGATGAGATTCACATTTGAATGGATAAACTTAGTAAAACGTTGGTCTCTTTAATATGAGTGAGGCTTTTCCAATCCTTTAAAAGCCTAAATAAAATAAGAAGGCTGACCCTTCCTCAAGTAAGAAGGAATTCCTCCTGTCTAAGTGCCTTTGAGCTAGGACATTGGATTTTTCCTGCCTTTGGACTCTGAAATGTTTGGACAACCAAAATGTTGACTCCCTCTGGGTATCAAGTCTACTGGCCTTCGGACTACAACTACAAGACTGGCTCTCTTACCTTTCCAGCTTGCTGACTACAGGTCTTGGGATATGTCAGCCAAAATAACTGCTTGAGTTAACTTTTTTTTATAATAGATTATCTATCTTTCTATCTATCTGTCTATCATCTATCTATCTATCTATCTATCTATCTATCTATCTATCTATCATGTCTATATATCCTACAAGTTCTGTTTCTCTGGAGAACACTGGCTAATACATCTAGTAATACTAAAAAAATATTTAACGTATAATTTTCTTTTTATTTGGGGTGAGCACTAATAGCATCCTGTAGATAAAAAATATTTAACTATACAGTTTAAAGATAACAATTAAACAAGATTCAACCCTTTCTTAAAGGTATTAATTTTCAAAAAGCAAATGAATATTTTGATTTTTTTAACTAAAAAAGATTCTAAAGAGTTTGAAAATCATAAATTTTAGTTGTCTTTGATATATTTACAAGTACTAAATGCACAGAAAAGATACCAAACTTTAAGTTCTTTTTTAAAAATCTGATCCTGGGGCTTGGAAAAGGAACAGCTTATAAATAAAAATAATGTCATTGTAATTATTTTGGTCAAGTTAAGGAACAGAAGTAGATAAAACAAACAAATGACAATTGAACTAAACTAAATATAAATGAATTATCAAAAGTAGATTAGGCATTGATGACATTGAATGTAATATTTTCATCTCCTAAAAAGGGCAGTGGATATGAGGCAAAAATATATCTCCGATTCAAAATATGCATATGTCTGTGTGTATGTTTATATTTTTAGTTTGACTTATGCATACTATACAAGTACTGTAGAAAAGAAATAAAACTAAAAGCTTAGCCTCTGTTAGAGTATATATTACACTCATTAACTGATAATATCAATGTTACTTGAAAATTTATTTGTCTATAAAGACTTTGAATTTCAATATTTTTATTGTATAATTCCAGATTATTATGAAGGAATAAAGTATAAAATACAAAATACAAAGGAAATTGTGTAATTTAAAAGACATATGATTATCAATATAAAAACCAAAATGTTAATTAAAAATTAATTTTAACTTAATGTAAAAATTTAAAATTGATTAAAAATTAGCTTAATGAATGAAATGGTGAAATAAATTGTCTGTATAAAGTAACAAATGTACAAAGTAAAACAAGTTTACCATAGTTCCAAGATCCAAATGACAACTAGAAATAAGTATCAATAAGTATATTGAATCTGCATGCAGAAAGAAATAAAATCATTGAAATATCAAAAACTAGAAACAAATTGAAGACTTAAAATGTTTTGATGAGCAAAAGTTACCAGATACATTTCCTTTAAATAATACCTGAAAATAGGCAAAAATAATCCCTGGTGATAAGTGAGAAATAATTTGTTTTGGGTGGTTGTGGAGGTGGCCTTGAATTAACTGAAACTGAGCTAGAGGGATATTCCTGGGTAACAGATGTGTTCTGTATCTTGACTGGGATGGTGGCTGCAAAGGTTCAATTATCAGAGCACATCAAGTTGAATATTTAGGAGTTGTGCATATCATAATATGTGAATTATTTCTCAATTAAAAACTTAATGATTAATAATAAAATGTTCCTTGAAGATACCATTCATAACAATGTTTTGAGAAAATGAAGACTGTCTGGAAGTGACATACCAAGGGAGGGGAAGAAGTGGGAGTCATGTGCCCCAGCATGAAGAATTGTTTTATCACTGATATTATTTAGAATTATCAGTGTATGGCGATTAATAAAAGAAAGACAGACTACTAGTCAGTGCTTTTGTTATGTATATACATACCCATATATATATACAGACAATGCACCCTCTTATTTCCTGCACCTGGGTCAAAATGTAATTAAGATTGGAATTTTCCAACTTGTTAGTGCATAATACACAAACTTGAGTGAAAATGGTTGCAAAATATTTAACCAAAATTAGCCTTGAAGACATGCTAAATGATACCAAAACAAATATATTTAAAGAACAAGGTAGGAGAAAGAGCAAAAGCTTATAGAATAAGTTACAAAGTACAAAAACCAGAAGCGATATTCCAGAAAACAAACAGACTTTATGAAACCCAAAATCATCTCCTATCTGTGAAGACTCAAGTCTGCTTGAGTGGCAGAAAGCACTTCCAACTTGAAGGAGTAAGTCAAGCAAACCAAAACCAGAAATGCTTGGAACACCTGCAGCCATAAATACTGGTATATTCCAGGAAGATGGGATCATTAAATATTTCTAGAAAAAGCTCTTTTATATCAAAACCTGTTTTAAAGCCAGTAGCATTTGGCAAAATTTCCTCCTTCCTATCAAAAAATTGCCAACTTTAAATCTAACTCTCAATAGTGATCTTAATTCCTAGCTGCTTTAAGTGGAGCTGGAAATAGTATTTACTGAAGTACAGACTTGGTTCAGCTACTTAAAGAGCTTTCTGAATTTCCGTCCTTCCAGTATGTGTTTCATAAGCCTTTTTTATTTTTGGTTACCTGACGGTTGTTTCTTTCCTTGAAGTTGAAAGGGCCTAATGAAAATCTGAACCAGATTTCAGATGGTAGGGATTGACATAGGAGTCAAAAAGACTAGGCTGAAAAGTACTCCCTTTATTTTTTGTCCCAGGTTTATATACATTTCCCCAAATCTGAGCAAATACACACTTGCCCAGACAGCTTCTCCTGTAAGCCTCTTCCTTTTCAGGAACCTTCTGGGATTTGTTGTACCTTTTCTTGTCTTCCTATGTGTTAAGCTTAGACTCTTATGTATGTTTTCAGCCAGAATACAGGTTGTTTTTGGAATGGAATGAATTTCAGTTCCTTTTGCTTACCCTTTCCTCAAGCTTTGCATCCCAACAAAAGAAAAGAATTGTAAAATATTGTGGACAGAGAAGATAGGTGAGTGGAGGCTGATCCCTGATTCATTGTTTTCCTCAGGAGAAATGAAGCAATTGAGTTTTTATAAAGCGGAAATGACTGGCCCTGGGAATTTAAAATCTAATCAATGTCTATTACTATCCTTTTTCTAAGAACAGCAGAATACAGATGAGGTTCTCAAAAACATACATAAAGATCTACTCGAAGTATTTATGAGTTTTATATTTATCAAAATCCAAAATAAAATTGTAGAATATTTCTACCATTTTATTCTTAAAAAACTTATTTTCTCCTGCTGGTAAAGGCTTACTAAATAAAAATAAAATTGTATTAATTTATCTTGAGAGTTGTAACAATTTACCACAAACATAAAATTTATTTCTCCCCTGCTGTTCTGGAGGCCAGAAATCTAAAGTTTCACTGGGTTGAAATCAAGATGTTGGCAGAACGGTACTCCCTCTGGTGACTCAAGGGGAGAATTTGTCCCTTGACTCAGCATTCCTTGGCTTGTGGCCACATAACTGCAAAATCTGCTTCGGTGGCCACGTTGCCATTTCTTATCTGACTCACATCTCTTTCTGCCTTTCTCTTAAAAAGAGACTTGTAACTGTAATTCAAGCCCTACCTGGATATGCCAAGATACTGTCCCATCTCAAGATACTTATCTCATTTTTTACCATATAGGGTAATAGTCACAAATCTCAAGGATTAGGATGTGGATCTCATTTGAAGAGCCATTATTCAGTCTGCCTCAACCATATTTTGAAAGTTTAGCAAAGAAGAAGTATTTAGACATAGAGAAAAATAAATTCAAGTACAATGAATATTTTAGCAAACAAGACTAAATGGAACTATTTAAAATACTTGAAAAGAGTAATGTCTTGTTTATATTTTTGTTATGAGGTAAAAAAAAAAGCTTAAAAGCTTTTTTTTCCCTTTTGTTCAATAATAACTGTAGGACTTTGGTTAAAGAAAAGTATCACAAATAGTCTTAAATCTGAAAATAAGCTGTATTAATTGCAAAGTTAGAATTAGAAGTTTATCAGAGAAAGGTGGTAGACATATTTTTGTTTTGACAATTTTATCAAACAATTTTAAAATAGCTTCGTCAATCCAGACTTTTACTCACAATTTAGCAATGCATTTTTTAATTGAAGACCATAATATTTAAAAATATTCAGTGTAGATTAGACTGAGATAATAATGGAACTTTGAATCTGAAATGGAACCTCTTAGCTAAATATTGGCATTAGGCCCAATCCATTTGAAAAACATTTTCAAGTAACCAGTAGACTATAATTTTCACCTCAGGAAACATACTTCCTTCCTCTTTCTTAATCTTTTAGATTTCTATAAAGTAAAATAGTCAGAAATGTTATAGAGTTTTGGAATATAATGTGGGTTTTTATGAAGAAACCTTAGTGAGTTTTAAGATACATCACATTTTACAAGCTTGTCAGAATTGTCATTTTCCCTTTCCAGTGAATACTAAAGGAAGGTAATGGATGGTGGTTATAGTCTACTTGAGTAATCATCATGTTTCATAGTTAAATGATAAAAAAAAAATGCTGCTGGAAATTAGCTACTTTGGATAGTTCTCATTTAAAACTCAAAAATTTCTTTGTTAGTAAAATTTTTCCTCCATATCATATACTGAGTACTAGATAAAACCAATAAGCTTAGACCCTTATGAGTTTTACCCCTAGAAACTAGCCTTTTTTTTTTTTTTTTTTTTTTTTTGAGACAGAGTCTCGCTCTGTCGCCCAGGCTGGAGTGCAGTGGCGCCATCTCAGCTCACTGCAAGCTCCGCCTCCTGGGTTCATGTCATTCTCCTGCCTCAGCCGCCAGAATAGCTGGGACTACAGGCGCCCGCCACCACGCCCGGCTAATTTTTTGTATTTTTAGTAGAGACGGGGTTTCACCGTGTTAGCCAGGAGCCTTTTTTCTTTAATAACCATATTAAACCTCATAAACAGCTTTATGTTAAAATTCCGTGTAAAGATTTTGTCTACTGTCAGCTTTTCACTGTTAAAGAGTGCAGCTAATGGCAATTGATTAGATTTTAAATATATAATTTCTTAATTTTAAAAAGAAAAATTTGGAAATTAACTGGTTGAGTTACTAAAAGTTGTAGCACCATTAACTTAAAAGAGTGACTATGTGTTCATCATATCAAAGTTGAAGCATTCCATTTACTTTTAAACATAAATTGAAAATGAACAGCTTCTACATCCAACATCTTGACATTTTATTTTATTAGTTTTGTTCTTCAACAAATGCTTATGGGTTACTCCTAAGCATAACGAAAATAAGCGTGATCACTTGCCCTAAAATAATTTACAGAATATCAAGAGGGTAAAAGCTGAGCATAACCAGCTGTCATACAAATTAGCTGTGATCACTTAGAAATACGATAGACTCTTGTATTAGAGTTAGAAAAAAGTAGGAATTTTGTTAGCCAAGGAAGTGTTACAGGAAAGGACTCCCGATCTAGACCCTAAGAGAGGGTTCTTGGATCTTGCACAATAAAGAATTCAGTGTGGGTCTGTGGTGAAAAGTAAAACCAAGTTTATTAAGAAAGTAAAGGAATAAAAGAATGACTACTCCATAGACAGAGCAGCCTGAGGGCTGCTGGTTGCCCACTTTTATGGTTATTTCTTGATGATATGCTAAACAGGGGGGGATTATTCATGCCTCCCGTTTTTGGACAATATAGAGTAACTTCCTGACATTGCTATGGCATTTCTAAACTGTAATGGTGCTGGTGGGAGTGTAGCAGTGAGGACGACCAGAGGTCACTCTCATGGCCATTTTGGTTTTGGTAAGTTTTGGCCAGCTCCTTTACTGCAATCTGTTTTATCAGCAAGGTCTTCGTGACCTGTATTTTGTGCTGACCTCCTATCTCATCCTGTGGCTTAGAATGCCTTAACCGTCTGGGAATGCAGCCCAGTAGGTTTCAGCCTCATTTTACCCAGCTCCTACTTAAGATGGAGTCTCTCTGGTTCACATGCCTCTCACATATCTACCCTTTCTTTTATAAGAGAATGCTGAAACCTAAGGGTGGCAGAGTGACAAAGATCCATCTTCTGCAACTTCTTCAGGCTGTATAGGGGTGATGATATTCCTGCCTAACTATGAGGGTCTCTTGCATTCAGGGTAGAGAAGTGCTCGGTCAGAAAGCGTCAGTACGGCAAGGGCCATTCATGACTCTTGAGTTTCGACAAGAGGTGATATCTGGAAGATTAATAACTGTTTAGTTAAGAAAACATTCAGTAAGCTTGTTCTGTATTCCCACACAAAGAGCACAACAGCAATATATTCCACAAGAATAAAGCAAAATAAGTAAAGTTATTCTGAGTAAACTAAATTAGAAGTCTTTTCATGAACTGGGAAACTGTTGGAACTAAGCTGATAGGGGGTTGTCAGCTGATTGTAATGTGCCCAGAATTAGAATACCGATCCAGATTTTCACATCACCCATCCCTCTTGTTTCTTCTGAACAGCAGTCAGAGATCACTGGTTGGTTTACATGAATAAGCAGGGTTAGTCTAAATTGCAGAAACAAACTTAAAAACAACTAACGAGACTAGAATTTAATAGCAATTGTACCATAGTTTTTGAAATATAATATTTCTCTCTCCAGTTTCCCATTTTTACTAAAGACAAATCATGATAAAACTGATTTGCTTTATTATACTTCACCTGATTATTTGTATAAAGTGCAGCAAGAGTATTCATTTTTAACATAAGTTATTTTTAAATTGGTGTTGATGGAACTCTGTTCCATAGAAGGAATTTTAGATAAGACTTTTTTAAAGCTGAGCCCAGCCACGGGTTTGTCCCATCAAATACCTGAGTTGGGTAAATTTCTCTGCTTTTGAGGTCTCAAGATAACCTGGGGCTCCTGGACCTGTGAGAAAGTGACATTCTTTACTTACCATAGGTCAGAAACCCTGTACAGGGACTGTGTAGGTGAGGTATGAGGCCAGTTCTCCAAAGGGCTTTTACTGGCTTTAAAAGTCAAGTTTGATTCCTTAAAGGAAAGCACACCATTCCAGTTAAGTCCTCGGTAAAATAACCAACTTTTCCAATTGTGTCCTGTTACAAAAGAAAACAGATTCTTGTTGCACTTATGCAAATAACTATGTTGCCATAAGTTAAGAATACTCACAACTAGTTTCCAAATTCTGAAGAAATCGGGTAGAGAGAAACAAATGTGTTCCAAATTTTGTTCACAGCAGTATACTTTATTTAATTGCTGCAAGCTGTAAGTAACTCAAAAGAAAAGTTTCCTTGACTCTGAAAAACAAAACAAAGGATCAGAAACATTTTATGCAAAGTTAAAAAGATTTGACTTCTTCAGTTTAGTCTGTGTAGTTAACTTCTGTTTGATAGTTATGAACATTTCAGCTCTCTATGAGAGTTCTGAAAGTTTTTTCCTTTATTCTGATGTCATAATCTTCAAAGTTATTAGAAACCTGCATTTAAGAACACCTGCTAGAGTTCTATTGTTGATTATAAACCACCTTCTAAAGAGGGTTAAAACATGGCAACAATTGTCTATGGATGATAAAAAGTTTTAGGACAGCCACTATTAAAGCCACAATTGATAAGGAAATTTGGTTACTTCTGTGGCACACAAAATTTTACACAACAATGATAATTATCAATAGCATACGCTAAGTCATATTAGACTTATAGGAGTTTCCCTTAACTTTGGAACATATACCAATAACACATTTATGCAAATATAGTTCAAAGAAAGCAAAACATGATTTCACACTTGATAGTGCCTCCTGTGTGATTTTTATACCAAATAAACCAAATTTCACCTTTACATTAATGTACTATTAATGTTAAAACTAATTTTTAATAAAACCTTATAGACATATTTACTCAATTTTAATGTTTCACCCTAAGGTAAGATTCTTACAACCCTTTTTTTTAATAACCCTTTACATTCTTTTGTGAAAGAGCAAATCAGTACTCTAAGGAAAACCTGTTGTGTTTTTATTCCAATGTTTAATTTATGGAAAAACCTGAATAATACCCCTTTAACTTTAGCCAATATGTTCACACACAGAATATCTTACAATTAATTTTTATAAACCTTCCACAACTTGCTTAAATTTTAGATTTTTTTCTTACGTAAAGCAATCATTTAACACTTTAGGCAGAAAGGAAAAAAAAAAATCCACATTTCCATGGCTTCTTATAATCTTTCACCAAAAACACATTTTACTTTCTTTACACACCTTTGCATGTAAAATCGTTTCTTTAGTAGTTTTAATTTCATGTTATAATATTAACTCTCAGCAACTTTTATTTTTGGTGAAAACCTTGGTAAGTAAGAGATTTTAATTAGGTACTAAGTGTGGAGCCTAGCCTAGCACACACCAGGAAGAAATGCAGACAAGAGCTGACTCTCCAGGATAGCTAGGGGCTTGGCTAACTCCACATGTCCCCAGGTCTTACCTTACTTAAGCAGGCAAGTTGTACGACAAGAGTTATAGTGGCATTTTATGAAGCATTTAGGAGGTCTAACAACCTTTGAATTGTACAACATTTCTTCCATAAATTCCCTTTCACAAATCTTTTCATGACTCACATGGACCGTATGAGACATCCTTGTACTTTCTGACTTGCCCTAAAATCCCTCCTTTTAAACAACTGGTCATTTTACTTTAGGACAATAATTTACCATACAAGATCCTTTCTTATATAAAATCTCTTTCTTTATAATCTTCTTTATATAGCTAGAGGGCATGGCTAATTCCACGTGTTCCCAGGCCTTATCTAGGCTCTAATGGCTTTAAGGTATATAAATGGAACAATTTTTAAAAGTTAAAGAAGCAGTTTGACCTTAAAGCATTTAGCAAATGTGATACCTGACCTTAATTTAGACCAAACGTCTACATTTTCAAGCCATTTTATTTTACCAATAGTCTTTAAAACTATCTTTATTTCCAAAATATTACTAAAGCTTTGTGACAAAAAGGTATTAAAGTTTCTATTTTTCTACAAAATATTTGATTTAAGCACTTATTTTTCTAAGCCAATTAATTAGAGCTCTCTTATATATAAACATATAACACATATAAATAGACAGAAGGTTCAGCACTTGTAAGATTTTTCATTTGCCAGTTTCTTAGTTGGATTACTGCCTTCAGGGTGCAGCCATTGGAGGAACACGGCCAGGAAAGCCTGTTTTTCTAGGGTCAAATAAGGGCAGCAAATAAGCAACTGAAGGCAAAGACAGGTCTCCAAAATTAAGGTTGCCATTTTATACTTGTTCCTTGATCCCCAAAAGGAGGGAAATACTATAGGAGAAGACAGTGCAGTGCTTCTACTCTGCATTTCATTGCAAGGCAACCCAAAGCCAATCAGCCCATTTTGTCATCAGCCCACCACCCCTCATGGGAGTCTCATCTCCCAGTGGGGGATGAGGATGTTTCCTTATCTTCCAGATGGCCGAGAGCATGCGTCTCTGATCCAAGTGTGCAAAGGGTCAAGTATCCCTCCGTAACTATTATTAGTCATCCTTTAAATTATATTTCTTACCTAGTTATTACACACCAAAGCTCTCTTATAATGGGAAGTAATTTCTGATACCCCCAAAACTCAAAACCATCAGATAACACAAGTAAAACAGGAACAGAGCCTTTGATTTTGAGAGGGATCAATCTGCTTTTAATTCCTGGGGTTTCATGAGGAAAACAGAGGGTTTTTCCAAAACAGGGTCTGTGGCGCCTCCTCTGTTTTTCCCAATTAGTCACAGGCTAACAGAAGTTATCTTAGGGCCTCCCATGTGTCCGTTAAGAGTGGCAAGACAAAAAATATGGAGAAAAATAATCCAGTCGAATGAGAAGAAAAAAACCTTTTTCCAGAAAAACAAGTTCCAAGAAGAGAAAAACGTAAAGGCATTTTAAATATATCTAAAGCTTGTTTATCCACTTTTAATTAAACTGACTTTTAAACACAGTGCTCTTTAAAAAAAATCCTTTCAGATCTCTTATTACCCTACTTTATCCATGCCAAGCAGTCAATATTTCTAGCTTCTGAACTTCACCAAAGACAACCACCGAGGTGCTTAGAGAAAGGAAAATTTAAGACAGTCCATGGAGAAGAGAATAGACAAGGTCACGCACATATTAAACCAGAAAGAACTTACTTCCTAGGTGGAGAATCAAAACCAGACCGCCACTGTGAAAGTGCAAAACTTTAGCTACTGAGCTGCAGCATGGGGCTGTCCCCATTGTCTTTCCCAGAAGAATTCTAGAGTAGTTAATTTGGAGCTTGCAAAGGCTTTTAATTATTTAATATGATTTTTGTTTTTATTTATTTTTATTTATTTTTTGAGATGGAGTCTTGCACTGTTGCCCAGGCTGGAGCACAGTGGCGTGATCTCCACCTACTGCAACCTCTACCTTCTGCGTTCAAGCAATTCTCCTGCCTCAGCCTCTTAAGTAGCTGGGATTACAGGTGTGCGCCACCATGCCCAGACCATGCCCGGCTAATTTTTGTATTTTTAGTAGAGACTAAAGTTGGCCAGGCTGGTCTTGAAATCCTGACCTCAAGTGATCTGCCTGCCTCGGCCTCTCAAACTGCTCGGATTATAGGTGTGAGCCACTGCGCCCAGCCTAATATGATTTTTAGAGCTGACTAGCACATAAACCCTAAAATTCCTGTTCCCTGGAAGGCAGAGACCAAGAGAAGGTACAGCCACATGGTTAAAGGTCAAGCTCCCGCTGGGCACAGTGGCTCAGGCCTCTGTAATCCCAGCACTTTGGGAGGCTGAGGTGGGTGGATCACCTGAAGTCAGGCGTTTGAGACCAGGTTGGCCAACGTGCTGAGACCCTGTCTCTACTAAAAATACAAAAAATTAGCTGGGCGTGGTGGTGCATGCCTGTAATTCTGGTTGCTCGGGAGGCTGAGGTAGAAGAATGGCTTGAACCCAGGAGGCAGAGGTAGCAGTGAGTTGAGATCATGCCACTGCACTCCAGCCTGGAAACAGGGTGAGACTCCGTCTCAAAAAAAAAAAAAAAGTCAAACTCCCAAGGACATAAAACAAGATAGAGACTTCATCCAGTTTTTTGGTTTTTTTGTTTGTTTGTTTCAGGGACCTGCAGCCAAGTTTGTTACTGACCAGCTTGTTGTCTTTTTGAAGAGCAGGCTTACAGGTGTTCTAAGCCCTTGTTTTATCCTAAAGTATCCCTCAACACAGAAAAATGAACTCATAGCACAAAGTACACCAGGTTAAGACTAGCATTAGAATTTTTTTTGCATTAATCAAAACTTTAAAGAGGAGATAAACACTGATTCTTTTTTTCCATTCATTCAACCATTTGCACAGAGAGAGAGAATCCAGAAATCTGATGTAAGAAATTCTTATGTTTTTGCCAGCATGCCAGGCTTCTGGGTTCCCTTTCCCTGAGCGGCCCTAGTGATTTCGCTTGCAGCATCATCACCCTGGGAGCCAAAACACATCATAAAGGAAAAATTTATTTATTTTTTCATTCTGGCCAGAGCAAAATACATGTGATAAAACACAGACGTTAACCACTCTGCTTAGCACCCAGTATCAAACCAGCAAGGCTTAAATTTGCCCCCAGATGTGCCCCATCATCTTTAATCCAACCTCCTTCTAGGAGTTTCAATGCGTGGTCTCTGGGCAAGATGGTCACCCTGAGTAATACAAAATCTTTTGTATTAAGAAAGCAAAAGGGGAGAGAAAAAAGCATTGCCTGTGGTAGGGTGGGGAAGGCGAAATGATCAGAGAGGCCAGAGAAAGACCCACCCATTGCAGTGGCACTGAAAATTTCAGTCAGCTGCTTCTTGGTACAAAGGGATCTTTTCCAGTAAGCCTATTAGCTCTCAAGTTTCCCCTATTAGGGAGGAAAAAGCTCCCCATGTCCCACGATCCTGAACATGCCTAACCCTGTCACCCACAGCCATCAGCAAACAGTACAAGGCAGATTAATCCAATGAGAATAGCAGTTAACATCCCATAGTGTCAAATGTATTCTTAGCCGAGTGGGACTTTACTGAGACAGTCTTCTAACCCCCTAAATCTTAAAAGGGACTCTAACCCTCCTAAGTCAGGCCTCTAACCCAAGGTCAGTCAAGCATCCTTGCCTTTTATTAAGAAGGGCCTCTTACCTACTCTGTCTTAGGAGAGACTCTTACTCCCCTAAGTTGGGCCTCTAACCCAATCCCATTATTTACCCGGGTACCACACCACTTACCCAAAGTCATTCAATCAGTGCTGCAGTCTATTTCCTTTGGGTTAGGGGGTTTCTTCTGTATTGTCCCTTCTGGGTTTGCCAGAAAGATGTTACAGAAACCCAACACTTACCCAAAGGTAGCTGTCAGGTCACGGTTTCTGCACTATGGTCCCTTCGTGATTGCCAGAAATATGTTACAGGAAAGGGGTCCCAATCGAGACCCCACGAGAGAGTTCTTGGATCTTCTGCAAGAAATAATTCAGGGCAAGTCCACAGTGCAAACTGAAAGCAAGTTTATTAAGAAAGTAAAAGAATAAAAGAATGGCTACTCCATAGACAGAGCAGCCCCGAGAGCTGCTGGTTGCTCATTTTTATGATTATTTCTTGATGATATACCAAACAAGGGGTGGATTATTCATGCCTCCCCTTTTTGGACCATATAGTGTAACTTCCTGACATTGCCATGGCATTTGTCAACTGTCATGAAGCTGGTGGGAGTGAAGCAGTGAGGACGACCAGAGGTCACTCTCATGACCATTTTGGTTTTGGTAGGTTTCGGCCAGCTCCTTTACTGCAACCTGTTTTATCAGCAAGATCTTTATGTGACATGTATTTTGTGCTGACCTCTTATCTCATCCTGTTACTTAGAATGCCTTAACCATCTGGGAATGCAGCCCAGTAGGTTTTGGCCTCATTTTGCCCAGCTCCTACTTAAGATGGAGTCTCTCTGGTTCACATACCTCTGACAGAAGAGCAAAAGTGTATTGACTATTGAGCTATATCTCCTTTGTAACTTTGTAACTTTGTAACTATCTTTAGTAGTTTCTGGAGCATTCCTCTGTGTAGTGCCCTTCTTTCCAGTACTCTCTTCCAAAAATTCTAGCCATCTTAGCCATTTTCTGTCTTTTTGCTTAGTGATACCAATTGTGCTTTGCTTGAATTGCTCTTTCCTGAGTCAGGCAGAAAGCTGTGTAATAATAGGTTTTGCTCCAACTGTAACTTACAGTAATACAGAAAATAAAAGGGGTAATTAATGAAGCTTGCTGCTTCCCAGTTAAATCCCAGTTAAAGATTTCCAACTTTTTTTTTTTTGGCTACGTATGATAAAATATAACACAGGAGAGATACATTAAATAAACTGCTTGATCTTGAGAAGAAATCTGAATAAATGTAAAGAAAATAGTAGATCATAGTAAAAGGGATAAGGAGTGACAGATAGGATGTGAAAAAGGGGGATGGCACAGGTTACAGTATTACTTGAGTAGTCAAGGAAAAGCTATCTGAGAAGATGAGACTTGACCAAAGTTGAAGATGACTTAGCAAAGCATGTATCTTGGGGAAAGTAGCTGCAAGCAGAAGAGTAGAGCAAGGTCACTAGGGCAAGATGTGCTTGGAGTATTGCAGGAAGCTCCAGGAGCTAGGGGAACATGTGTGGGGAAGAAGAGAGGCAGTCTAGAGGTAATGGGGGAAGGCCATGCAGTTCTTTTAGACTGTATAGTGATTCCGGCTGTATACTCTGAAAGAAATGGAGAGCCATCAATGTTTTGATCGGATTTCAGTAAAATATTTGGAGTTAGGTTTTAAAATATTCCTTCTGGACGTTATTTGAATAATAGACATTAGAATTTCAATGTAAATAGAAGACCAAATTTACAAAGAAGAAAACCATTTATGAGGCTACTGCAATAATTTAAAAGAAAGTTTATGATAACTCCAATCTTCCAGTAGTAGTACAAGTAGTAATAATTCAGTTTATAAATATATTTAGAAAGTAACCATAATGCCATAATGTCCTGAAGATTTGATTGAGGAGTATGAGAGAAAGAGAAGAATCAAGTATGACTCCAGGTATTGTGGCCTGAGAACTGGAAGAATGGGGTTGCTTTTAACTGAGATGGAGAGGACTGTGGATGGAGCATGTTGGGGTTGGAATGCAACGGAAATATGAGTTTCAATTTGGAAATGTTAACTTTGGGATGACAATTAGAATTTCATTTTGGTATATACTCAGTAATGAGATTTTTTGGTTGAATGGTACTTCTATTTTAAGTTATTTGAGACATCTCCAAATTATTTTCCACAGTGACTGGACTAATTTACATAGCCACCAACACTGTATAAATGTTCCCATTTCTCTGCAACATTGCCAGCATCTGTTATTTTTGGTCTTTTTAATAATGGCCATTCTAATGGTAGCACTATTCACAATAGCAAGACATGGAATCAACCTAGGTGGCAATTAACAGTGGACTGGATAAAGAAAAGGTGGCATATGTATGCTGTGGAATACTACACAGCCATAAAAAGAATAAAATCATGTCTTTTGCAGCAATATGGATGCAGCTGGAGGCCATTGTCCCAAAAGAATTAATATAAGAACAGAAAACCAAATGCCACATATTCTCACTTATAAGTGGGAGCTAAACATTGAGCACACATGGGCATAAAGAAGAAAACAATAGACACTGGGGACTGCTAGACTGGGGAGAGTGAAAGGCGGACCAGGGTTGAAAACTCCCTGTTGGCTATTATGGTCACTACTAGGGTGACGGAATCATTCATACCTCAAACCTGAGGATCACACCATACTTCCATGTAACAAATCTGCACCTGTACCCCTGAGCCTAAAATAAAAGTTGAAAACAAAAGAATTTCAAGTGGATATTTTAATATCTGACAATTTATAAGGCTGATTGATTTTCTAATGATGGATTTAACCTCTAGATTACATGATGTTAATGGACAATAACCAGGGCATGTTTATTTTTAATTTGCTGTGGTATCTAGCAGGGAATAGACTATATTGTAATATCCAAAGCCTCTCAGACTAATATTTCACTGTATTTCTATAGCATTTTAACAAATGACTCTTTAGCTTTAAAAAAGTTATAAAGATATTTAAGTGCCTTTAAAATGCAATGTAAAAAATGAAAACAAAGCAGTTTAAAGTATGAAATACACACCAAAAAATATACAGCAGGAAGCTTCTATGACTGAACATGATTTCCTTGGAATAAGCCAGCTTTGTTTTAGTAAGTCAGAGCATATCTATATAACAGTACTAAAACACACATCTTTTGTATGTTTCTATTTTGTGAAGTTTCTTTTCCGGCCTTTATTATTCTATATATAACTCTGTAAGCCTGCCACAGAAATTTTCTTTTGAATTTCTCAGAACCCTATAGAAAATACATTATTTAAGCACATTTACATGAGACTACAGAATTATCAAAATTATAATGTTATTTAAACAACTTCAGCACTTTTGTTTCTCTTCATGGCTTATGGTGAGGACACTGTAATCTTGAATATGAAAATGGAGTATTATCCATACAATTTTCAAACAAGAAATCAGAGTTCATGTTATAGAATGGAGTAAATATTAACCTTTTTAGATATGAATCCTTACATGCGTATCAAAATATATCCCCAGTAATTCTTCTAAGTAGGATTTTTTTCTCACCAACACATTAGAAATTATATCACAACATGCATTATACTCATAATTACACTGTTTCTTGGTCCAAATTTTAAATGTACTGTGGCAAAATTAACAACTCTTCTTAAAAAATGTTTGCTCCATTAGATGTTCATTTAAATATTATTTTGCTACGCTCAGTAATAAAACTATAATTTGTCACCAGTAAGGTATATTTTAAATCAAATCAATTACCTGTCATATTGTCTGCATATATTATATCACAAAACCAACTTGAGGGTCATTCTCTAGGCTACACAATAGAAAACAAGTCCTGTAATGGTTATCTGTGTTTGTTATTGAATTACACTATATATAGTCATGTATATTCCAAATTTGAACTAGCACGCTGCCTAACTTACAAGATATTTTTGGCTTAAATGTAAAATATTAACATGACAATATTTTTAGGAAAAATAATGGCCCACATCAACAAAAAAATTTTCTAAGTTACATTACTTTGCTTATGTAGGAAAACGGAAATATTTGTTAAAAATCCACATTCTTACTATGAAGTCAAAAAACTGATGATTTTGGAACTTCAAAATAAGTAAAAAACAAAAAAGCAGGACAAAAGTTCTGAAGTGACACTTCACTAAAGAATATATACAAATGACAAATAAGCATATGAAATTTGCTTGATATAATATGTTATTAAGGAATTACAAATGGAAACGAGATACCACTGCATTACTGCTATAATGATTAAAATCCAGAACACTTACACCAAATTCTAGAGAGAACATGGGACAAGAAGGGTTCTCACTCATTGTTGATAGTATTACAAAATTGTACAGCCACTTTGGAAGACACTGATAGCTTCTTACAAAGCTAAACATAGTCACACCTTTTGATCCAGCAATCATGCTCCCAGACATTTACCCAAATGAGCTGAAGACTTAAGTCCACATAGAAACCTGAATATGGATGGTTATAGCAGCTTTATACATAACTGCCAAAACTTGGAAGCAACCAAAATGTCCACCAATAGGCGAATGAATAAAAATCTATGGTACAAACAATGGAATATTATTCAGCAATAAAGAGAAATGAGTTATCAAGCCCCCCCCACACCAGAAAATGACATAAGAGAATCTTTAATGCATATTGATAAGAGAAAGAAGTAACTCTGAAAAGGCTACATAGTGTGTGATTCCAAATATATGACATTCTGAGAAAGCAAATCTATAGAAGCAGTAAAGGAATCAGTGGTTGCCAGGGGCAGGAACACAGGGGATTTCTAGGGCAGTGAAACTACCCTGTTGATAATGTAATTGTGCATACATGCTATTATGCATTTGTCAAAACCTCAGAACTGTAAAACACTGAGAATAAACCCTAATACAAACTATAGACTTTATGTAATAATAATGTGTCAATATTGGCTCATCAATTGTAACAAATGTACTACACCAATGCAAGGTGTTAATAATAGGAGAACTGAGGGTGCGGTGGGGCATGGAAAGGAAGTATAAAGGAATTTTCTGCTAAAATTTTATGTAAACCTAATACTGCTCTAAGCAATAATGTCTATTAATTAAAATAATAGAAAAGAAAATTTTAAAGCAAACTTTTTTATTGAGAAAAATATAGTTTTGTATATAAAAGATCTATTAAAAATGTCAGTAAATATAATTTTTCTGAGTTGCAACTTTTGGATGACATTATATAGGTAGATGATAGATAGGTAGATAGATAGATGACAGATATGTTTATATGTATTTCCTGATATTTTAATACTGTAAGTGTTACTTTTATAATTAAACATGAAAGAATAAAATCATATATCTAAAAATTTCTGGTGTCTGCATGTGTATTTATATATCCAATATTCTGAAACAAGAGCAAACTCTATGCTTATTCCTTTAAAATAAGTTTTGTGTTTCACAAATATCTGCTAGGTACAAAGAATATAAACACTTATAAATGTTTATACTGACCAAAAAAAGTTCAAAATCTCCATGTGAAACAAGATCTATTAACTTACCCTAATATAAAAGAGAAGACTATTTGGGGTACAAACGAGATGCCAGGGAAGATTGAGGAGTTAGAGTTATTCATTCCAGACAGTGGAGTAGAAGAAATTTTTGACTTGAGCTTTTGTGTGAGAGTGATTCCAAATATTCTAGATACAGGACATACAATGGCCATGGAGAGTAAAGGTAGGTGCTCTTTACAGAGATGGTAAGAAAGTTAATGTGATTAGACTGTCGAACATCAGAAAGACTTTGTTTCTTAAAATGCTGATTCCTAGGCACCATCTGATAACTAAGAATTTAAATATTTGTAGGTAGGTCTTGGGAACCCGAATTTTAGTAAAATTTGCAGGAAAATTTAACATGGAAGTATCATGGAACTGTCACAGTTTCCTAACCACAGAGCACTATAATCTTGTGTGTGTGTATGTGTGTGTATTTAATCAGTGTCATGTGAATCCAGAAATGATATAATAGAAGAAAGACTGGGGATTGGAAGCCCAGTTAAAACATTATATTTTCAAAATAGTCCCAGTAAGCAATAATGAAAATGGATACTGCATTTGTGGATACTTTCCACAACACAATTTCTGACAGCCACACTGACCTCTGTTCTTATGTATGTTTGTGTGTATTTTCTGATATTCTAATATTTTAATTATTACTTTTATAATTAAACATGAGATGAAATTTGGGTATAATAAAGTAGAATCATATAATGTGTAATAAAAACTCAGAGTATTTATTTCTGGTTTTCTCAAATGTAAAACTAAAGACACACTGCCTACACTAAGGCAACAAAAATGTGAGTTAATATAGATACATAAATAAGGACAGAGAGATGGAGGCAGGAAGAGCAGAAAGGAGGGAAGAGGAGAGAGAAGGAGAAAAGGGAGGGAGGGAAGGAAGGAAGGAAGGAAGGAAGGAAGGAAGGAAGGAAGGAAGGAAGGAAGGAAGGAAAATATTATTAAAAGCAGCATGACAGGAAAACAAGACTTTGGTTCAGATGTAATCACAGAAAGTAAGAGTGTTTCCCCACAATGTATAACCTAGGCATTAGTAATTGACTATCAAAGCATCACCTAAATATCTAGGCCAATAACAACTCTTAATAAGTGGTAGATGTTATCCATCTTTAAATATGGAGAGAGAGCTAGCTATCTCCTTAATCTATTCTCTCTCTCTCTTCAAAAGCACACTAGCTCTCATCCTAGTCACCTTTGAATAGGTACTGAATGTTGACTCTAAAATCCATTTCTTCTGTGCTCTCACCCTTATCCACACAATGGTGGTTCATATAAACAAGCATAAGAAGGAAAAAAAAAAAGTTTTGGGAGCATTAGAATCATAGCAGAGGTAAAAGGAAACCATCAATAAATCAGTAGATTTAGGCAGAAGGATGAGGAAACTGTTAATAAAATATATATCGCCAGATGCAGTTTACTACTGCATGTATAATCAGCCAAAAAATATACTCAGCTTTAAGTACTCTCTGAAGTGCTTTCAAAAGCTTGTGCAAACTTATATTTTATGCAAATCAAAGCTATCTATTTAAAATATATCATCATCTTAATTTTCACAAGTATTAAAGCGAAAGTAAGATTGAAAACAGCACATTGTTTTGGGGGAAAAGGGGGAGAAATATTAATAATATCCTTCTATAGTAATATTCTATAGTAACACTAATAATATCCTTCTATAGTAATTATTTTAGGTACAAAAAAACTTTATATAGAGTAGTACTTGATATTCTGTGATTTTTTTTTTTAGGAAAAAGGTGACTGTAAGTATAATGCATATAAATGTAAAAATCAACTTAGCTGAATAGCTTGCTTATTTCTCTAAAGAATATTCAGCTGCATTTGTTTAGGGAATAAACAAAAACTTTTTTGCAGGTGATTGCTTCTTTCTTAATTTTCAAGTTTTCCCAGGGTCCTTTATGTGATAAGCAAAAATCTATTTAAAATCTTCTATAAAAGTTTAAAAAGAAGTATCTGACAAAATAACCAGCAAACAAATATACACATGTATCTACTGCTATATATGCTAAAAAGCAATATAGTATTCAATATAAAAACTATAGGTGATCATCAGTTTAATGAGTTGAATTCACTATGCATGTACACATGTATTCATCCATCCAGCTGTTTGTTCCTCTAGTCATCTATTCATTTAAACATTCAACATTTATTACATGCCTACTATTTTCAGGCTCTATATAAATGTATCTAAATCCCAAAGGCAGAAGTTATTAAATTATTTTAGCAGATAATACACAGTACCTCTTTTTGAAATATAGTATTTTCCTCGGCAAGTAACATAAAATTTATCACCAAAATTATATCAAATCTATTCATTTCTTTCCATTTCTGCTAGCATTACTCTAGACTAAAGTACTAGTGTCTCCTATAATAGGCTGATAATTTGTCTTACTATTAACCTTTTGCAGTCCTCATTTTCCATGCCTATTTAAATCCCTACAAACTTAAATGCATTTTCTGCAAAGCAGCCACAGTAGAAAACATAAGATTTAATTCTAGTCATGTCACTTCTCTTCATAAAACTATTTATTGCCTTTCTATTGTACACTTTTTGCACTTACAAAACCTATAACACAGTCTTCTAGAGTTGAACTCTTGTGTCTGTAACCCTATCGCCTTTTTAAAGGCAACAGCTTTTATTTGGTTAGTCATCCCCATACAACTTTGTATAGTCTCATTTATTTTAGATACTTATCCCACATGTTTTGATTGAATAAATGAAATACGTTAAAGCAATATATAAATATATTCAATTCACAATGCTAAATACATATGCCAGAAAAGAAGGGGATGGGGAAAAAAACCTAAAGTTCAGTTTTACATGTTTGTGAGATACTTAAGTGAAGATATTATGCAGTTTATTGAATATACAAATGAAGTTAATAGGAGCTATCTTTGCCATACACACACGCATATACACACAACACACACATACACAATGTAGGCACACACCCACATCCATATGAAGGTTTTGACACAGTACAGGAGACAGTATCTCTCAGGAAAAAAAAGCAGAAAAATAGACTGTGGACCTAATCCTAAAATCCAGATAACTACCCCATTATGCCATATAGAGGTCATATAAAGATGGAGAAATTATAATGAAGATTTAACATAATTGTCCAGAAAAATAAGAGAAAAAACAAGTAGGATGTGGTGATAGGAGGGATATTTTGAGAAGTGAGTAATCAATTATACCAGGTGTTGATGAATGCCGTTCAGCTAAAATGAGAATGTCTCTTGTGGATCTGACGGTATGAAGTCATCAATGATCTTGACATGAACACTTGTCTTGAGCAACTTCATCAGATTAAGGAGAAAAGACTGGATGGGTATAAAGTGGGAAGAGAGGAGGAAGCTTTTGTTAATGTACTTTAGGAGAGGTAGTACATTATGCTATTTTGGAGTGATACAAGCAAAAACGGAAGATTGTTGATGCCAGACAGTTGAAATTAACAAAGAACGAAAGTCCTTTGGTTACAAAGATTAGATGTAAGTTAATTGGCTAGAATATACCATGTGCTCAATAATGATAACACACAGTCTTGTTATGAGAAAGAGCAAAGATTATTTTAGTGAGTTTTAAATGCACGTTTTTATGGTAAAATGAAACATTGCTTTTGTTAAGTTTTGACTACCTAAATCATAACAAAACAAATGTGACCATTGGTTCTCCAGTCTAACCAGTTGGAAAATAAAGCAATAGCCGTAAAATAGCATTTCACTGACACTTTCCCATCCTCTCTACCACAAATCTGGTTTTCTACTTGTTTCTCCTAAATTGTTCTAGTAATAGCAAATAGATGCTTTATGAGACATTCAAGGATTAACTAATTGCCTTGAACACCAGATAGTATCTATTTTCCTTCTCTATTGCTTCAGGGATGTCTCTAATTATTGCTATTTCCAAAAGGAAGAGTTGTATGGCCAGAGTTACTACCTACCAAAAGCACCACAAATACCACCGTAGCAATAATCAAGAGTGCTGTCTTTGGTCATAATACCTAACATTGAAGGCAATGAGGCGTCACATTTGGTACCCTTGCCATTGCTAACTATCACTACAACTGCTGCATCCATCATTGCTAATCCTGCCACCATGTTTGCCAATGCTTTTTCCAATAACTCCAGTAATATTCCCAATGTATGTGGCTCTCAGTGTCCCAGGAGAATTGCAGAGCAGCATTCACCGAGTTTTTATTTGCCCTTTTATTAACATCTTTTTGCTCTAATAATCAGTTGTGAGTTCAATGATGCTGCAGTGAGAGACATTGTGGTATTCTCAGAATTACTTGGACTTTCCAAATGCCCCCCTTCCCTCAATTTTACTTATTTTTGTTGTTGTTGGTTTCGCTTGCATTTTAAGAAGTCAAAGGAGATTCTCAGTTTGTTATATGAATATGTTTGTATCCCAACTAAACTATTCCTATAAGGATTTTTCTAGCATGGACACAAATTAGGACCCAGATATGCTAATTCACTTTTCAAAAACCATGAGATGGTTAACACGTGACTTCTTGGTTTTCTGATATGTTCTGTACCATACCTGGGGACAAAAATGCAATGAATGTTTAAGATGTAATTTAGAAAGAGATAGAAGGGAAAGAGAAGGATTCAGAAATGCTTTCCTTCAACAAATTTAACATATCAGTTATTTAATTTATAAAAGTTACCCAGAGTCTAAATCTATTTCTAAAATAATCCATGGACTCTTCACAAGCATCTCCAAAATCTAAAGTTAGAAAAGTATTTTAAAAATCAGATATGTCCTGCCTCACATTACCTAATTTACTCAATTTTTAAAGTGTTTTCTTTTGTAAATTTTCCTTGAAATCATGTCAGATTGGTACCACAAGTATAGTAATCACACATATCAAACACTTATTACCCAAATGTATTGGTACATCAATTGGCCCCATAGCATGCAAAGATCCCAGATAATGGTGATGATGATAATGGTGCTGCACATGGGACATAATGGGAGTTTAATATTTATTTCAAAAATTGATAAATGAATACATTATAATTTGTGTTTTTGTAAAACAATATGAAGCATTTTAATACATATTAGCTGATTTTATTTGTAAAACAATCATCTGACTTGAGTAGGGTTTATCAATTCTACTTTAGTGATGAAACCTAGAGTGATTAAAGAATTTTGCCAATGACTAACAACTAATAAAATAATTAAAAGCATGGACTTCCTGCTCCACATTTTTGCCTTGGTTATTTAAAATAAAAAAAAATTTAGAGAGGTCTAACATAGTTTCTGTTTATTTCATTTCATTTTATCTACGTATTATTTATTATAATTATAAAAAGCAAGTTATACATATTAAATATTACATAATATATTATTTTTTATGGCTGTGTGGTGTTCTATTATGTATATGCACCACATTTTCTTTATCCAGTCCACCATTGATGAGCATCTAGGTTGATTCCATGTCTTTGCTATTGTGAGTAGTGCTGAGATAAACGTGCATACATGTGTCTTTACAGTAGAATTATTTATATTCCTTTGGATATATATCCAGTAATAGGAATGCTGAATTAAATGGCAGCTCTGTTTTAAGTTGTTTTAGAAATTACAAAACTGCTTTCCATAGTGGCTGAACTAATTTACATTCCCGTAGGTAGTATATACACATGTCATTTTTTCTGCAACCTTGCTAACATCTGTTATTTTTTGACTTTTCAATAATAGCCTTTCTGACTGCTGTGGATAGTATCATAGTGATTTTGATTTGCATTTCTTGAATGATTCGTGACGTTGAGAATTTTTTTTAAATGCTTCTTGTCCATGTATATGTCTTGAGAAGTTTCTCTTCATATCCTTTGCCCATTTTTTAACAGGATTGTTTTTTGCTTGTTAATTTGTTTAAATTCCTTTTATATTCTGGATATTAGATTTCTCTTGGAGGCATAGTGTGTATTTTACCCCATTTTGTAGGTTGTCTTTTTACTCTGTTGATCGTTTCCTTTGCTGTGCAGAAGCTCTTTAGTTTATTGAAGTTCAATTTGTGAATTTTTGTTTTGTTGCAACTGCTTTCAGAGTCTTCATCATGAAATCTTTCCCAGGGCCTATATCTGGAATGATATTTTCCTAGGTTTTCTTCAAGGGATTTTGTAGTTTTAGGTTATATATTTAAGTCTTTAATCCATCTTGAGTTAATTTTTGTATATGGTGAAATGAATGGGTTCAATTTTTATCTTCTGCATATGACTAAGCAGTCATTGTAACATTTTTTAAATAGGGAGTCTTTCCCCTATTTCTTGTTTTTCTTGACTTTGTCAATAGTCAGGTGGGGGTAGGTGTGAACCTTCATTGTTGGGTTCTTTAACCTGTTCCATTGGTCTACGTGTCTATTTTTGTGCCAGTATCATGTGGTTTTGGTTACTGTAGCCTTGTAATATAGTTTGAAGTTGGGTAGTCTAATGTATTTGGCTTTGTACATTTTGCTTAGGATTGCTTTCGTTATTTTAGCTATTTTTTGGTTCCACATGAATTTTAGAGTAGTTTTTTCTAATTCTCTGAAAAATGTTGTTGGTAGTTTGACAGGAATAGCATTGAATCTCTAAATTGATTTGGACAATATGGCCATTTTAACAATATTGATTCTTCCTATCCATTACATGGAATTTTTTTAATTTTTTTGCATCATCTCTGATTTCTTTTAGCAGCGTTTTATATTTCTTGCTGTAGAGGTCTTTCACCTCCCTAATTAGCTGTGTTCCCAGGTAATTATGTGTGTGTGTGTGTTGGGGTGGGCGGTTTGTTCTTGATTTGGCTCTCAGCTTGGATGTAATTGGTGTTTAGAAATTTTACTGATTTTATACATTGATTATGTATCCTGAAACTTTCCTGAAGTTGTTTACTAGATCTAGGAGCCTTTGAGCAGAGACTATGGTATTTTCTAGGTATAGATTTATATCTTCTGTGAAGGGAAACTTCTTGGCTCCCTCTCTTCCTATTTGGATGCCTTTGACTTCTTTCTCTTACCTTATTGCTCTGGCTAGAACTTCCAGTACTATGTTGAATAGAAATGGTGACAGTGGGCATCCTTGTCTTGTCTCAGTTCTCAAGAGGACTGCTTCCAGCTTTTCCCCATTCCATATGATGCTGGTTGTGGGTTTGTCAGAAACGGCTCTTAATATTTTGAGGTATGTTTCTTCAATGCCTAGTTTGTTGAGGGTTTTTAACATGAAGGGAAGTTGAATTTTATCAAAAGTGTTATCTTCATCCATTGTGATGATCATGTGGTGTTTGTTTTTAGTTGTATTTAAAATGTGATAAATCACGTTGATTTGCTTGCATACGTTGAACCTAACTTGCAACTCAGAAATAAAGCCTACTTGATCCTGGTGGATTAGCTTTTGGATGTGCTACTGGATTTGGTTTGCTAGTATTTTCCTGAGGATTTTTGCATCTATGTTCACCAGGAGTATTGCCCTAACATTTTCTTTCTTCATTGTTTCTCTGCCAGGTTTTGGTATCAGAATGATGTTGGCCTAATAGAATGAGTTAGGGAGGAGTCCTTCTTCCTTGACTTTTTGTAATAGTTTCAGTAGAATTGATACCAGCTCTTTTTTGTACAACTGGTAGAATTCAGCTGTGGATATGTCTGGTGCAGAGTTTTTTCTGGTTGGTAGGCTTTTTATGACATTCTATTTTGGAACCTGTTATTGATCTATTCAGAGTTTTAATTTCTTCTTAGTTTAAGCTTGGGAGGTTGTATGTGTCCAGGAGTTTTTCCATTTTTTCTAGGTTTTTGGGTTTCTATGCAGAGAGATATTTATAATAGTCTTTAAGAATTGTTTTTATTTCTGTGGTGTCAGTGGTAATTTCACCTTTGTCATTTCTGATTGTGTTTATTTGAATGTCCTCTCTTTTTTTTTCTTTTAGTCTAGTTTGTAGTCTAGTAATCTTATGTATTATTTCAAAGAACCGAATTTTGGTTACATTAATCTTTTGTATTTTTTTTGTGCCTAAATTACATTCAGTAAGCTCTGATTTTGATTATTATTTTTCTTCTCATAGCTTTGAGATTGGTTTCATCTTGTTTTTCTAGTTCCTTTAAGCATGTTGTTAAGTTGCTGAGATCTTTCTAACTTTTTAATGTGGGTGTTTAACACTCTAAACTTTTCTCTTAACATGGTTTTAGCTGTGCCCCCAGAGATTCTGGTATGTTGTATATTTGTTTTCATTCGTTTCAAATAATCTCTTGATTTCTGCCTTAACTTTATTAGTTACTTGATTTTATTAGTTAGTCATTCAGGAACAGGTTGTTTAATTTCTATGTAATTGCATGGATTTTAGAAATATTCTTGGGTATTAATTTTCAGCCTGAGGGCTGAAAAACCGGACTGCTGGTCCCAGATGAAGCCCTCCCTTTCCCAACTGATTCTCTCTGAATAATGCCCACTTGCACATTGGAAGGACAGGGTGGAGTCTCAGGAAGTTCATGTCATTTGCAGTGGGGAGGAGCCTGGCCTCTTCAGTTCCTGGGTGGTGACCTGGGATTCAATCAGTGAGGTGGGAGACCTGCTAGCAGGACTCTCTCTCACATTGCTGAAAGTTCCTCTTTCCTTTTTTCTTTTCTCCCATTAAACCCTCCCCTAATCACCCTACAATGTGTCCACACGTCTAAATTTTCCTGGTCCTGTGACAACAACCTGTTTTTCCTACAACAATGTCAGTGAGATGTTGAAGACTCCCACTATTATTGTATTGTTATTTAAGTCTCTTAATAAGTCTCTAAGAAGTTGTTTTATGAATCTGTGAGCTCCAGCATTGGTTGCATACACACACACACACACACACACACACACACACATTTAGGACAGTTAAGGATTCTTGTTAAATTGAATCCTTTATCAATATGTCATGCCCTTCTTCATTCTTTTTGATATTTGATGGTTTAAAGTCTATTTTTTATGAAATACCAATAGCAACTCCTGCTCTTTTTTTTTTATTTTTCTTGATACATCTTTCTCCATCTCTATACTTGGATTCTATGGGTGTCATAGCATGTGAGATGGGTCTCTTGAAGACCGCATACAGTTGGATTTTGCTTCTTTATCCAAATTGCCACTCCATGCCTTTTAAACAAGTGGAATCAAGACTGAAAAACTTTTTTAAAGATTATAACAGGAGATGAAACATGGCTTTATTAGTGTGATCCTGAAAACAAAGCACAATCAAAGCAATGGCTACCAAGAGATGGAAATGGTCCAATCAAAGCATATCAGATGGGTCAAAAGCAAAGATCATGGCAACAGTTTTGCTGATGTGCTAGACATTTTACTGTTGAATTTCTGGAGGGTCAAAGAATGATAATATGTACTTATTATGAAAAAGTTAGCTAAAGCTTTAGTAAAAAACAAATGTCCAGGAACGCTTAACCAGAGTCCTTCTCAACAATAACAATGTTCCTGCTTATTCAACTTATGAAATAAAGCAATTTTGTGTGAGTTTCTATGAGAAAACACCAGAAATCCAACTTAAGGTCCTGATTTGGCTCCTTCTGTATTATTTTCTTTTCCTAATGTTAAAAAAATCTTTAAAGCCCACCTGTTTTTCTTCAGTTAATAATGAAGAAAGACTTCATTGATATGTTTAAATTCCAAAGATCTTCACTTCTTTAGAATTGGACTAAATGGTCTGTATCATCCCTTACATAAGTGTCTTTATCTTGGTGAAGCTTACATTAAGAAATAAAGTTTATATTTATATGCTTATATTTTAATTCCATTTATCTACACACTTTTTGAAGTAACCTTGTTTATTTTTATGGGAACACTATCTTATATGCAATCTGTTGTTGACCAAAATGTTGACTACCTAGGCAAATGTGTAAAAGAAGGATTAACATATGTGAGAACTCTGAAGTAAAAAAAAGGCAAGGGAAAGCAAAACTAGGAAGAAAATGAAGAAAGTCACTGAAAGAGTCAGAAAGTGGAGATGTGTGAGACTGATTTTAAAAAGTAGAAGGAAGTACATGCACCTGAAATACAAAGACCTAAAAGAAAACATATAAGTAGAGAGAGGAAGGACCCAGCCATGAAGTCTTGTAATCCATTAAAATGATTTTGGTTTATAGCCTAAAGGTCTATATAAAACTCTAAAGTATTCTAAGCAGAAAAAATAATAATCAAGTTTATAGTTTGTAGTTTTTATGGTCTCCTCATGGAGAATGTATTAGCTGGAGCCAAATGTACCTATGAAATAACTTGTGAAAAGTATATGACTATCTTTCAGGAAGAGCTGATAGTAGCCTCATTTAAAGTGGCGGTAGTAGTGACAAAAAAGAGAACTGAGCAAGATATCAGAAAAATGGTCGGGTAGGGAATTTCAGGGTATACTGTCCCCCAAGAAATATGTGCCCCCCTAAAAACTATAAACTGGTAAAAGTGAATTTACTTTACCAGAACTCTGGAAGATGGTCAAATGTTCATAGCAATAAATAAAATGTTCAATCATGAGAAAGACTACTTAAACCTAGTGGAAAAGCTTTGAGGAGTTTTAATTTACCCTTGTCACACACAATTCCCTAGTGTGATGGCAGTCCTGAAATCAGCAACCTGCATTCCTGGTGTGGGTTCCTGGTTCTGTAGGCAGCAGAACAGACCTTATTCCAAAGGAATCATGTTTGTATATTTTGACCTGCGTGAGTCTGCCTAAATGACTGACACAAGAGGCTTGACTTTATTTTGCCTAACTCAGATCTCTGTTAGGGTGAAGAAACAAATTTGGGAAGGAAGCGCCTTCAAACAATCAAAAAGCAGATGAACAAGCCTCTGTTACCTGGAGCAAGAGATAACAGTTGGGCAAAAAATAGACATGCCAAAAGCTTTGAAGGAAAGGTTGTGGAGTAAAACACTTCCTAAAATACGAGCTTTAAAAATCTCCTGCATATACTGGGGAATGTGGAAAACCAAGAAACAAGTAGAATGGAATGCAGGCTCAAAAATGATCTGAGACTCCATAACCTTTCACTTCTGGCTCATGTATATGTTCAGCAGAAGTAGGAAATGAAGGGTCAGGTAGCATCAGAAATAACCAACTAAGCATGGAAGGAGTGACCAAAACAGAGTCAATAGGCAAAGATTTTAAAAATGTGTTTTTTTTCTTTTCATTATAAATTTCTTACCCCAGAAGGATGAAAAAATATGTTAAACCACTAGCTAACCACTTCACCAAATTAACCAAGACTTCTGAGACTATACATAACAAACGAATTCAGTCTTCAAAAAATAGGTTACAACTTAAAGTAATCAATAATACCAAATCCTGAGGTGTGGGGAGAGTTTCATTTTCAGATATACCAAATCATAATTATACAAATGCCCCAATTTAACAAAAAATTATGATGCCTGCAAAAAAGAAACAATAGCCCTTTCACAGAAGAAAGAAAACCCAAAGAAACTGATAATAATGGAGCACAAGTTTTGGTACTATAAAAACATTATAGGCTGGGTGTGGTGGCTCACACTTGTAATCCCACCACTTTGGGAGGCCAAGGCAGGCAGCTCATGAAATCGGGAGATCAAGACCATCCTGGCTAACACAGTGAAACCCTGTCTCTACTAAAAATACAAAACATTAGCTGGGTGTGGTGGCACGCACCTGTTGTCCTAGCTACTCAGGAGGCTGAGACAGGAGAATTGCTTGAACCCAGGAGGCGGAGGTTGCAGTGAGCCAAGATCACACCACTGTACTCCAGCCTGGGCTACAGAGCGAGTCTCTGGAAAACAGAAGAAAAAAAAAAGACTATAAACCCACTGTCTCAAATATGCTTAAAGGGTAAAGGACTAAAGGACACTGGAAAAAAAAAAAAAAAAAACTAAAGAAAACTAGAAGCACAATGACTCAACAAATAGGGAATCAATACAATGATAGCAATTTAAAAAGGAACCAAAAAGAAATTCTGGAGTTGAAAAGTACAATAACTAAAACGCAAAATTTACTAGAAAAGCTCAACAGAAAATTTAAGCAAACAAAAGAAATAGTCATTCAACTAGAAGATAAGACGATTGAAACTGCCCTGAGGAGGCAAAATAAATTTTAAAAAAATAAATAATATTTAAGAGATCTCTGGAACACCATAAAATGTACCAATGTATGCACAATGGCAGTTTCAGATGGGTAGGACAGAAAGAAATGAGCAGAAAAAACATCTTTGAAGACATGATAATAAAAACTTTCCAAATATGAGGAAAGACATGAGTCTCTACATCCAATGCATTCAATAGTCTCCAAGAAGCATAAACTCCAAGAGATCCGTACTGAGTTATAGTCAAAATGGCAAAGGACAATGACAAAGAGAATCTTGAAAGTAGTAGAAAATAAGGAAGTCAGCAAGTACAGTTGATTCTCACTAACAACCAATTTTTTGTAAAAATCCATAAAGGCCAGAAGGCAAAAAGATGATATTTTTAAAGTATTGAAACAAACAGAAAGATCTGTCAATCAAAAATTTTATGCCAAGCAAAACAATCCTAACAAAACAGTAAATAAGATATCTTCAAATAAACAAAATATGAAGGCATTTGCTACTAGTACACATCCTCTATAAAACATGCTAATGAGAATCTTTCAGGCTGAAATGAAAGGCAGCAAATATTAAATCAAAATCATGCAAAGAAATGAAAAGAAACATTAGCAAAGGTTACCACATAGGTAAATATAAAATACAGAATTATTTTATTTTTGTTTTATATTTCCTCTTATTTTCCTATATAACATAAAACAATAATTCTAAATCTATGCTAATGAGCATATGGTCATTTTCAAAAATACCAACATATAGGAGAAGTAACAAAGATGTAAAGGAGCAGAGATTTTATATGTCATTTTAACTAAGATGGTATTAATTTAATAATAGGCTACTTTAAGTTTATTATGTTAATTGTAATCAGTGAGATAACCACTGAGAAATGAAATAATAGATAATATACAGAGAGGAATCAAAACAGTACAATACAAAAAATCAATTGAACACAAAAGAAGGCAATAGTGAAAGAATTGAGGAACAAAAAAGATATATGACATATAGAAAACAAATAACAAAATGGTGCGAGTAAATGTTTTCTTAGAAATAAATGATATAAATGTAAACGGATAAAAATCTCCAGTTGAAGTCCAGAGATAGGTAGAATAGAGCAATTATATGATACATCTATATGCTGTGAACAAGAGACTCACTTTGGATCCAAAAATACAAATAGTTTGAAAGTAAGTCATTTTTCAAAAGCATTCCATAAAAAATAGTGATGAAAAGAAAATTAGAGTGCATATAGTAATTTCAGGTATAATAGATATTGTCAATTATTGTTTGCAACAGTCAAGGCCAATCCACCCATAATAGATAGCAATTAAAAACATATACCCACGCAAAAACATGGCCCCCAAACATATAAATAATTAAAAATGGAGAAAAGAAAGAAGTTCTATAATAAGATTTCATAGTCTCACTTTCAATAACAGGTAGAAAAACTAGCATAAAAATCAGCAAGTAGATTAAGATTTGTACAACCCTATAAACCTGTTAGAACTAATGGGCATATACAGAATACTTCACCCACATAACAAAAGACCAAATATTAAGTACATGTGGAACCTTTCCCCAAATAAACCATATGTTAAACCACATAACAAGTCTCAATAAAATTATATAGATATTAATTATACAAAGGAATCTCCTCTGACTATGATGCTATGAATCTAGAAATTGATAACATAAGAAAATTGGGAAACTTCAAAATATATGTAAGTTAAACAATACACTCTCAACAATGGGTCAAAGAACTTACCACAAAAGATTTTAGAAAATGTCTTCAGACAAAGTAAAAGGAATAAACAACTTGTAAAAATGTAGAGTTTTAGTAAAACCCATGCTCAGAGTAAAATTTATAGCTGCATATACCTATATTAAAAAAAGAAGAAAGATCTCAACTCAATATTCTAACTCTACACCATAAGGAACTAAAAAATGATAAGCAAACTAAATCTAAAACTAGCAGAAGCAAGGAATTATCATGATTAGAGCAGAACTAAATGATTCAGAAAATAAAAAATCAATAGAGAAAACCAAATAAGTCAAATGTTTGTTCTTTGAAAAAGTTTGATATAATTGACAATCATTTATATAGATTGAGAAAGGAGACTCAAATCATTAAAGTCATAAGTGAAAGTGGACATATTACTACAAAACCTGTACAAAATAAAATGTAAAATAATGTTTTGGACAATTGTATGCCCACAAAATAGGTAAATAAATGAAATGCACATATTTCTCCAAAAAACATGAATTACCAAAGCTGAATCAAAAACACATGGAAACTATCAAGAGATCCATTATGAGTAAAGAGATTGAATCTGTAATAAAAACTCTTTAAACAACGACAATAAAAAAGGCCAGGACCAGGCATTTTAAATGATGAATTCTTTTAACCATTTTAAAAAGAATTAGCACCAATCTTTCCAAAATCCTTCCAAAAATAGAGAAGGAGGACAAAGTTTCTAAATCATTCTATGAAGCCAGAATTACCCTGATACCAGTACCAGAAAATAATATTAGAAAAGAAAATAGCTCACCCATATAACTAATGAATATAGATGGAAAACTTCTCAGCACTATATTATCAAAACAATTCCAGCAGCATATTAAAATATTTATGAATCATAACTAAGATTTATTCAGAAATGCAAAGATGGTTCAACATATGGAAATTAATGGCATATATTTTACCAATGAAATTATGAATAAAAATTACATCGTTATCTCAAGTGGTATAGAAAAAGCACTTACAAAAATCTAATACTCTTTTTTGGTTTAATTTTAAAACCTTTAACAAATAAGAAATAGAATGTAACTGCTTCAAAGATAAAAAGCGTCTTTAAAAAATCATTGCTAACATGCTAATTAATAATAAAAGCCTGGAAACTTTCCTCCTAAGTACGCCATGGATGACTGTTTGGCCAGTACTATTAAACATTTTATTGGAAATCCTAGCCAGAGGAAGTAGGCAAGATAAAAAATAAAAGTCAATTTAAATGGAAATGGAAAGTAAAAATTGGAAGTAAAACTATGTATATTCATAGATGGCATGATCTTATATAAGGAAAATCTTAGGGGAAAAAAACCTATTAGACCTAATAAGCAAATTTATCAAAGTTGCAGAATATAATACAAACACACAAAAATAAATTGTGTTTCTATACAATATCAATGAAGAATTTGAAAAGAAAAATTAAGTTCCATCCACAATAGCATCATGAAATAAGATACTTAGGACTGAATTCAACCAAAGGCATTCAGGACTTACACACTGAAAATCATAAGACATCACAGAAATAAACTGAAGTTCTAGGTGAATGAAATCTTGAATTGCAAAGGAATTTGAATGGTCAAAACAATATTGAAAAAGAAAAACAAAGTGGGAGGACAAACACAAAACTTTTGTAAAATTTCCTACATATTTACAGTGATCCAAACAGTATGGCACTGTCACAGGATAGACAATATTGATTAATGGATAAGACTGAGATTCTAGAAATAAATGGTAAATCTACAGTCAACTTATTTTCAACAAGGTTGCTAAGGCTGTTCAATGGGAAAAGAATAGTCTTTTCAACAAATTTATGTTCAGACAAATGGAAATCCACATGCAAAAGAAAAAAGTTGGGCCCTTGCCTCACACTAAATACAAAAATTCCAAATGAATCAAACACCTAAGTATGAGAGCTAAGCCTATAAAACTCTTAAAGAAAAACATTTAGGCAATTTTTCACAACCTTAGATCTAGCAATAATTTACTAGATATGATACCAAGAGCACAAAGCAACAAAATAGAAAACATGAATACATTAGACTATCGATTTTTTAAAAAATATGCAACAAATGACAGTATAAAGAGTGAAAAGACACGATTGTCTTTGGGATAAAATATTTGAAAATTATATCTCTCAAAAAGGTTTAGTATCTAAAATATATAAGGAATCCTTACAACTCAGCAAGAATAGAACAACCCAATTAAAAATGGGCAAGTGAATTTAATAGACATATCCACAAATTGTGGATACGTGCTATGCAAAGTGAAAGAAGCCAGACGCAAAGGCCACATATTGTATAATTTCATTTATATAAGATATTCAGAATAGGCAAATTCAAGAGATAGAAAGCAGATTGGTAGTGGCCAGGGACTAAGTGGGTGTTGGGGAGTGACGGCTTAATATATATGGATTTCTGTTAGGGGTGATGAAAAAGCTCTGTAACTATATAGTAGTCAGAGTTGCAGTACATTGTGAATGGTCTCAATGCTATTGAATAGTACACTTTTATGATTGGGGGTAAATTTTATATTATGTATATTTCACCACGATATAAACAGTGGACAGAGTCAATATATATTCAGTTGTCAGGTCTGTAGGAAATGGAAATGAGAGAAATCAAGATGAGTGCAGTGGTGCGATCTTGGCTCACTGCAACCTCCGCCTCCCAGGTTGAAGCTATTCTCCTGCCTCAGCCTCCCGAGTAGCTGGGACTACAGGTGTGTGCCACCATGCCCGGCTAATTTTTGTATTTTTAGTAGAGATAGTGTTTCGCCATGTTGGCCAGGCTGGTCTCGAACTCCTGACCTCAGGTGATCCACCTTCCTCGGCCTCCCAAAGTGTTGGGATTACAGGCGTGAGCCACCGCACTCGGCTGATGTAAACATATTTCAAAACATCATGTCGTGCACCATAAATACATAAAATTTTGTTTGTCAATTTAAAAAGTTGATGCCAAGATTTCAATTTGAAAACAATAAGTAATGGTCAAATTAATGAACTGGGCACATCTTTGCAGAAAGAAAGGAATATGAGTTTGAATTTGAAATTTTAAGGCTGAGACTTTCCTAAAACATAAAGATGACAAGTATCAGTGGGAAATACAGGTTTATAGCTGAGAAGGCAAATCTGGACTAAAGATACAGGTTAGTAAATGATAAATGGTGTTAAAGGTATGAGAGTAGATGAGATCACCAAGGGAGTATAGGGTCCTATGAACTTCATCATTTAAGTGTTAGAGGAGAAGAAATGAGAAAAATGCCAAAACTATCTGGGCAAAATAGACTAAGGTAAAAGGATAACCAGGAACTTAAAATTGATTTCAAGGAAACGCAGTGATTTAACGAAAGAGAGAGTAGTCAAAAGTATTGACTGCTGAATATACCTCAAAAATGAAATAAGATGTTGCAGTGGTGTGAGTCTGTAGTCCCATCTACTCAGGAGGCTGAGGTGGGAGGATTACTTGGGCTCAGTAGTTCAAGGCCAGCCTAGCAACATGAGAAGGCCCAGTGTCTCAAAAAAAAAAAAAAAAAAAAAAATATATATATATATATATATATATGTATATATATATGGACTAAGACCTGAGTCATGCAATTTGGATTTATCAATATGAACTTAATCTACTTTTCAAATAAAGCAAGATTAGAAATCTGATTGAAATGGTTGAAGAATGTGTTGAGTTGGGGCAGAAAATGGAGAACAGTGGTAACATAAAATTCAATTGAGAATGTTGTCTATGAAATATAATGGAGAGTATTAAGTACATTTTTAAAAAAGCAGCATACCTTCATTGAGGTAAATTGTCATAAACTTAATGCTTCTTAGATGCTGGGAAGTGAATGCAGAAGAATTCTATAAAATATATTAAAAGGATTAAATCAATATCAGAGTAGTCTTATGAATTTACTGTTTCTGAGACACAAATCTATTCTTCTGAGAATTTATAATATTTCATAATTATGTAAAATCTAGCCTAGGTATCTTTTATTATATTAGATTAGAATGATCTCATTTCATGAAGGAAAAAATTATAAATCTGTTAAATATCCACTTTTGTTGTTCCTTAGAATGAATCATTGGCATTAATATATCAACATGTACTTACATGCATTTTATAGAATTCAAGAGCTATATTCATTGACTTTCTAATCAAATCACTTCATGTTTAAAAACGTCATCCAAAACCCTTCCATTGAAATCCAGAAAGTAGCAATGCATATAAGCCTATTACTGCTGGTATATTTAATGAGTATTTTGCTTTTTGGGTGTTAAACTTGGGATTTTTATGCTAAACATGATCTTCCTTGTATTCAAGGTATTTGCAAAGAGAAGGAAAATAACATAAAAATAACAAAAAGGAAATGACTGTTTTTCTTAAGATATAGTTTATGTACATAATTTAAAATAAAAACACAATCATGAGTTTAATTTGACAGATAATGTGACACCATCTGCGAGAAATAGAAGAGGATGATTAGCATACATTATTTACTTCCACGAGGGTTGCATTTCCTAGTGTGATCTGATATATTTGGCTCAGCAAAATGTTTAAAACACATTTTATAAATATTTAAACATTAGAACTACTGAATTAAAAATTCGACATCAGATAATATAATATTTTACTACAAGGTGAAAATAAATAATAACTAGTTTTCAAACTCCCCAAATTATATAGAATTAGTGTACATATTTTTTCAAGATAAAGTATTGTAAACAAATAAATAATGTCTGGCATTTTAAAAGTATTGCAGCTTCTTGAATGCTGGTACAGAGCACAGGCTATAAAAAGTATAGGCTAGGAACATAAATTTTAATGTCAGAGTCATGGCTGTACACACTAAATGATATTGAACAAATAATACCTACCCTTAAATCTCATTTCTCATCTGTAAAGAGGGTCAATAACAGCAGTACCTACTTTATAGCTTTCCTTTGAGTATAATTTATCCATGACTTTATCCTTGATTTGTTTTTCAATTAGTCCACAGGTATTTATTGAGAACATACTACAGTCTCACAATTCATTATTTAAAGTCTTTGGGGCTAGGCACGGTGGCTCACACCTGTAATCCCAGCACTTTGGGAGGCCAACGCGGGTGGATCACTTGAGGTCAGGAGTTCCAGATCAGCCTGGCCAGCATGGTGAAACACCATCTCCACTGAAAATACAAAAATTAGCCAGGCATGGTGGTGGGTGCCTATAATCCCAGCTACTTGGGAGGCTGAGGCAGGAAAATTGCTGGAACCAGGGAGGTGGAGGTTGCAGTGAGCTAAGATTGCAGCACTGCACTCCAGCCTGGGTGATAGAGTGAGACTCAGTCTCAAATAAATAAATAAAATAAATAAATAAATAAATAAATAAATAAAGTCTTTGGAACTGAATTTATCTTGAAATTCAGAATTATTTTAGGAATATTTGCATATATCTTACATTATCTGACACACCCAGTAGTTACCTTTTATTTTTAAAATTTATATTCCTACAGTGAAACACATGAATTTTTACACTGAGAGGGATAAGTAAAGACTGGAAGTAGCCAGATATTGGTTTAGGTCAAATTTGGCTATCAAATGAATGACAAAAATTACTCTTTGGTTTTCACAACATTTGGGGTTTTGAATTGCAGCTAAAGTGGAATAGACACTAATATTAGCTCATTACTTATAATGCACCATACTCATTGTTGAGGAAGAAACTTTGAGTAATTTACATTATCTTCAGTAATACAAATATCATATAGGAATAATAATAGAAGATATTGTCAAGGCTTTCCTGAGCATCAAACTCTGTTTAAAGCATTCTGCAAACATTAATTCAGGAAAGATAAGGAAACCGAGGCAGGTTATAATAATTCCCGTCAGACTTCTCTATTAACTTCACTATTTTAAATTAATTACTTATACTGTTGGAATATTCCTATACCTGAAAGTGAAAAATTTTTTACTACAGTTATTTTGCCTAAAATATTTCACTTTTTCCTTCATAGTTTGTATGATTCATAAAAACTTCTAAGGAGGACAAGATTAAGTTGTCACTTGGATCTCTGTCAGGCCTCACACTTTCCATTGTATGCATCTCACCCAACAATCAAACCATGCTATTAGTGTTTTCTGAAGTGTTTTTGCCCTTTTTAAAAAAATCTTTTACCTTTACATATGACACAAGGATTGATGTAGAAGAATCTAAAGGTAAAGACAATAAATTTGAAACAACAGCAGAAGACTATAATAATGCAAATATAAACTATAATTATAGAAGGAACATTGTAGAGCAAAAATAATTGAAAGACTGCTAAATAGTTAAGTTTGAAATTTAAAAGAGAGAAAATAGTAATGACTAAAATATCCAAGCTTGAATAACTGGAAATAACCAGGATACAATAATACTACTTACTATGACATAGTAGGTTCATTAAGGAATACCTATCTAAAATTATAGCTTTATTTCTGGCAACAGTCCAACCTAAACTTAATGGCACAGACATGTGAAAATACTGGAAGTTTCCAGAATATGCCTTATCACATCTCTTAGAACTTATCAGATACCTCAAAATACTGCTAAAGTATCTTTCGCTTCTTGGTCCATGACTCATATATTCATACATTTTACAATGTTTACTGAATGCCCATCACATTGTGGGTACTTTACTAGATATTAGTGATACAATGTGAAGTAATAACAAAGTGTTTGTTTGAATTAATTATTCCCAAATTATATAATTACAAGTGGAGACAAATTCTATGATAAAGCAACATGGGGCATTGGGAGCTTACAACAGAGAAAGTGACTTCTCTCAGTAAGAGATGATTAAGAAAATATCTGAAAGACAAATTTAAGTTAACTAGTAAGTGTGGGGTAATAGGAGGTATCTTCTAGCTAGAGGTATCTTCTAGCCAGAAAGAGGAGCATATAAAAAGGAGAAAACTATCTTGGACTACTAAAGAAAGGCCAGTATGGCTGAAGAACAGAGAAGAAAGGGCAAGAGTAACAATGTATGACTCAGCAGACCTGTTGATACCAGCCCAAGCAGAACTCTGTATACCAACCAACAAATTTTATTTTTTATCCAAAAGGCAATTGGATATATTTGAAAAATCAATGAATATACTATGTTAATAGAATAAAATGCAAAAAAACACATGATCATCTCAATAGACACAGTAAAAGCCTTTCACAAATGCAACACTCTTCACGATAAAGACTATCAACTTATTAGGATTAAAAGGAATTTCATCAACCCGATAAAGGGCATCAACAACAATAAAATAAGAAAACCTACACATACCATCATATTTAACAGTGAAAGACAGAGTGCTTCTCCCCTGAGATCAGGAACAAGACAAGCATGACCACAATCACTTTTTCTATTCAACTTTATACTGGAGGTTCTCTCAAGGTAAGAAAGAAAGAAAATGAAACAGAAGGCATTTTGTTTATAAAGGAAGAAATAAAAAACCTCTATTAACAGGCAATATGATTTCGTATATAGAAAATCCTGCAGAATCCACAAGGCCAACCGTATTTCAGAGCATAAGATCAATTTTTAAAATAATTATATTTTTATATACTAAGAATAAACAAAATGCAAATGAAATTAATTAAATCACAATAACATCAAAATAATGAAGTACTTAGAAATAAATTTAAGAGAAGAACTGTAACAGTTAACTGTAAAAGCCTATAAAACATTGTTGAAAGAGATTATGAAATGTTAAATAAACAAAGAGATATATTTACAGATTGGGAAAGGTAATATTTGGGGGGTTATGTAAATTTCCCACAAATTAATATATTGATTCAGCAAATTTTTAATCAAAATCCCAACTGATGTTTTTAAAAAAGTTATCAAGCTGGTCCAAAATTTATATGAAAATTCAAAGAACTGAAAATAGCCAAAGCAATCTTGATAGAGAAATATAATATTAGATAAATTACACTATCAAATTTCAGAACTTACAATGCAGTAATCAAATATGATACTGACAAAAGTGTAAACATATATATCAATGGCCTAGAATTGGAATTCCGAAAAAATCCTTAAATTTATGGTCAATTGATTTTCTCAAAGGTGCTTAAGCAGTTCAGTAGGTAAGGATACTTTTTTCAATGAATAATTCTGGAACAGTTAGATATCCTCATGCAAAAAGATTAAATCAGAACTTTATCTCATACCGTGTACAAAAAGTAACGCGAGTGGATTATTGTGCAGCAAAGAGTTAACATAGCAGGCCTGAGAATACTATCATTAGAAAGTCATGCTTGCTAAATGGGCCCTTGGCTAATGCCTGAGAATGAATTTCAGGAGTATTCTCACCATTCCTTAAATGATAGGCATGGCTCAATGTGCCTAAGTGGTTTGTATGAAAAATATAATTTATTCTGAATACTTGTCTTCCTTCTGGTAGTCTCGAGTTTTCATAGATGCTAAGGACAGGTTACATTATAATACCTGCCCCCAGGAAAAACCATAGGCCATAAATCTGTAATAATCTTTCCTAATATGCAACATCTTACATGTGTTGTGACAATTAGATCCTAGAGGACTTAAATGCCTCCTCTGTGATTCTACAATTACTCTTGGAAGCTTGTACCTGCTTTTTCTGAACTTCAGCGCCGTGTATCTTTTCCCTTTATGGCTATTTATTTGTGTCCTTTTACTGTAACAAATCTTACTTGAGTGTATGACTTTATGTTGAGTCCTGTGAGTCCACCTACCAAATCACCAAACTTGGTAGTGGTCTTAGGGAACCCCAACACAATTATAAACCTAAATATAACAGTTACAAGAAAACATAGGAGCAGCAAATCTTCATAATCTTAAGTTAGGCAAAGATTTCTCACATGTGACACCAAATCACATGGAATTTTTAAAAATTGATATTTGAACTTCATCAGAATTACTACTTTTTCATTTAAAGTCACATTTAAAAAATACACAAACAAGCTACAAAATGGGCTGAGAAAATACTTGCATCAGATATCTGATAAAACATTCTATCATGAATATATATGTACATATTTCTGTGTATATATAACTATATATATATATCCATATATGTAATATAACCTAATAAGACAAACCCAATAATTTTCACAAAGTACTTGAATAAATATATAATGAAATAAAATTTATGAATGACTTGTAGGCACAAAAAATGGTCAATTCAACATCATTAATTATTAAAAATTGAATCCACAATGAAATATCATGTCAAACCCTCCAGAATGACTGTAATCCAAAAGACATACAGAAACAAGCATTGGTGAGGATTACTACATCTGTAAACTCTAGCTACCTTGGTCTCTCTGAACTCTAGTATCCATCTTGTCACCCTAGATAGTCTCCTATGTTCTCTATCCCTGTGTTTTGTCATGGAAACTCTTGGTAGACACTAAGGTGAGACAACAGTAGTGCTGAAATTGTTGGTTTCCATCTCTCAAGGATCATTGTCCTTCATTGTCTAATGTCTAATTCAAAGTCTTCTGAAACATTGTTGCATATATTTTGATGTGTTCCTTTATTTTTCTATTTTTCTTTTTTTGTCCAGAAACAGAAATCCTCCAAATGTCAGGATCTTGAAATATATTTATTGAAGGCTTTTAATCAATAAAGTCTATTTGTCTCCTCTTTTCTTCTTTCCCTGAACTTGTATTATTTGAATATTTTAATGACTTTATTTTAGGTCCACTGTTACCTTATTTACTCTAAATCTTTGTCATATTTTTTTAGCGGTTGTTCTAAGGAAGTGATGTTCAAGAGAAATGTAGTGTGATCCTGATAGGTAATTCTAAGTTTCTGATATTCACATTAAAAATAGTAAAAATAAAGTGGTGAATTTAATTGTATTGATATATATTATGTAACCAAGTATACAAAATATTTTCAAATTCTTTCCATATACTTTCAATTATTTCAATCTATGTAAATTATTAAGACACTTTAAAATTTTCATACTAAGTCTTTGATATCTGGTGTGGATTTTATGCTTATGGTGCATCTCTATTTCAATGTTAAATTTTAATTGGAGATATTTGGCACATTTTGTATTCATAAAATATACAGTTTAAAATGTAGATTAATATAACCAACTTTTAAAAACATATGTAATTATTTTTTAAAAACTAAATTGAGCCTGGGTGTGGTGACTCACTCCTGTAATCCCAGCATTTGGGAGGCTGAGGCAGACACAGAAAGACAAACTTTGCATGTCCTCACTTATTTGTGGGTGTTAAAAATCAAAACAATTAAACTCATGGAGATAGAAAGTAGAATGATACTTACCAGAGGCTGGGAAGGGTAATGGGGGAGTGGGAAGGGAGGGGAGATGGTTAGTGAGTACAAAAATATGTATAGTTGGCCAGGCACGGTGGCTCACACCTGTAATACCAGCAGTTTGGGAGGCCGAGGTGGGTGGATCACGAGGTCAGGAGTTCAAGATCATCCTGGCCATGATGGTGAAGCCCCTCCTCTACTAAAACTACAAAAATTAGCAGGGCATGGTGGCAGGCACCTGTAATCCCAGCTACTTGGCAGGCTGAGGCAGGAGAATGGCTTGAACCTGGGCGGCAGAAGATGCAGTGAGCTGAGATCATGCCACTACACTCTAGCCTGGGCGACAAAGTGAGACTCCATTAAAAAAAAAAAATAGAAATAATGAATAAGACCTAGTATTTGATAACACAACAAGGTGATTATAGTCAATAATAATTTAATTTTGCATTAAAAAATATCTGAAAGAGTATAATTGGATTGTTTGTAACACAAAGGATAAATGCTTAAGGGGATGGATGCCCATTTTCCATGATGTGATTATTGCTTCTTACATGCCTATATCAAAGTATCTAAGGTAACCCATAAATATATACATCCATGATGTGTCCATAAAATTTTAAAAATAAGTAAAAATAAAAATTAAAAAACTATGAAACTCTAAATTTATAATTGCCCATAGAGTGGTCTTTGATTTTTGTATTCACCATATGCATATGTGTATAAAACACTGTAAATCACAACTAAAGTCATCTGCATGTTGATTTACATTAGAAAATGTGTAAAATTATCGATTTCTATTTTGAAAATGTTCCTTTTTAATATATATTTTATATCTGTCAATTTGAATAAAAAATAAGCTTTTCCTTTCTTTGAGCTTCAAATTGAACTCAATTCACATTCGGTGTGATATCTACAAGAAAATACACATTACACTGTCATGTTTTGTCTTTGATTATTAAATATTTGATAGACTTTGTAGTTTCAAGAAAATCTGCAATTGGAATTAAGAGTACAGTAAATAATTTTCTAGAAAACTCTTCTATGTTGAACCAGAAGTAAGTAGCAAAGAAAACAAGTTTATAAATTTAATATTTATTATCTTCTATTTCTTCTGCAAGTTCGATAAACTCTTGAGGATGCATAGCATCTATCATATAGACTGCACAAGTCTCACAACTGTATACATGACAATTTAATAAGTTGGCCTCAGAAACCAAGTACAAATATTTTCAATAAGTGTAATACATTAGAATGAAATAATGAAGGAAACATTAGTTTCCTGTTTCAGCATTCTAATAATTATTTATATTTTTGACCTAAGATAGCTGTCAAGACAAAAATTTAGTTCTTTCATGTCTAGTTTATATTCTTCTTTAACAAAAATAAAATATAACTCCACCACAAATTCAAATTTTTAGATTGCAAAATGATGACAATTATTTGTGAATTATAAGTTTTGAATGCAAACTTTTCTTACAGATATTAATTGCACATTCTCTGTTGCATTACCCAAATCAACTCAAGCTAAAGAAAGTCCTTATAATTTTTCCATTTGGAATCTCCTAGAGAAATTCGTAACATACTTTCAATGTCTTCTGGTTTAACTTTTCATTTGCACTAATTTATTTTGCATTTGCACTTTTGGTCCTGTACCAGTACTATGGTTTTCTTCTAAATTTCAAAATTTGTTCATACATCTTTAAAGCTGACAGAATAATTTGATCATATTATAAATAATATAATAATTATGTAAGTTTAAAAGCTAATTATAATTTGCAATGATATTGTTATAACTCATGCTGTCTTCATGAATATTTATATAAAGCCTTTACAATGATACATTGGTGCATATAAAATAAAAGCAATTTAAATAATCAACTTTTAACTGGAACTATAATGATGATATGTTTATATGTAATACTAGAAATGATAAATATGCCCAACATGCACACTCCAATTAAATATTATTTTTCATGATGCAACAGATTTGTGTTTAATAGAAATTATTTTACATTGATTTATTTTGTAAATTTAACATAAAATAAATTAAAATCAAATAACATTAAGAGTTTAGCTCCTGAGTTACACTCATCATACTTCTTTTTTTAACTTTTATTTTAGGTCTGAGGGTACATGTGAAGGTTTGTTATACAGGTAAACTCATGTCACAAGGGTTTGTTGTAGAAATTATTTTACCAACCAGGTATTAAGCGTAATAGCTAATAGTTATTTTTTCTGCTCCTCTCCCTCCTCTGCCCTCAAGTAGACCCCAGGGTCTGTTGTTACCTTCTTTGTGTTCATAAGTTCTCATCACTTAGCTCCCACTTATAAGTGAGAGCATGCAGTATTTGTCTTTCTGTTCCCGTATTAGTTTGCTAAGGATAATAGCTTCCAGCTCCACCCATGTTCCTACAGAAGACATAATATTGTTCTTTTTCACAGCTGCATAGTATCATTCATCACTTTTCAAGTGCTCAGTAGTCACATGCATATAATGGCTTACTTGCTGGAAAGTGTGGTTCTAGATATTAACATATATACCACTTACGTATCACAATCCACCTTCAAATAATGCTGTGCCACTTCACATCAAACTTCAAACATCACTTCACTGTCTCCCCCTCCATTTTTAAGCTATTACTTTTATGTATTTATGCTACATGCTGATATATTATAAACCCCTAATACATTTTTATTGTTTTTCCATGAACAGTTAATTACATTTTAAGGATATTTTTACATGAGCAAAATATATTTTATGTTTACCCACATAGTGACCATTTCTGGGTTTTGTTCATTGCTTTGTACGAATCCAAATTTCCTTCTAGTATCATTTTTCTTTGATCTGAATAACTTCCTTTAAAATTTCTTGTTTCTAATTTTCTAATAAATTCTTAACTTTTCTCTCACTTAAAAAATTTTAAAGAGCCTTTTTGAGATACAATTTACATAACATAAAATTTCCCCATTTTCCATGTATAATTCAATGATTTTTAGTATATTTGCTGAGTTGTAAAAGCATCACCTCAATGTTGATAGGGACAGGAGGCAGAGACGTTCTAGGCAGAAAAGGGCAGGTCCTTGGCAAATCCCCACCCTCAAGCTGAAAAGCCCGAGACCACGGCCCAAAGTGAGAACTTATATCCCTGTTTTCCTGCAAATGTTGCTTTTTCCAAAACCACCCTGGCCGCCCTGCCCCCCATCCTGTATCCATAAAATCTCCAGGTTCCACCTGCAGAGCAGGAGAGAAGAGAAGCATCTGGACGTGGAGAGAAAAAGCAGCTGGATGCCAGGACAACTACGGGTGGATGTCCAAGAGAAGCTGTTTGACGTAACTTCGGAGAAGAATCTGGCTAGAGATGGAGGGACTTCAGGAGAAGATTACCTACAATCCCCCATCCTCTATTCCACTCCTCTTCCTGCTGAGAGCCACTTTCACTGGCAGTAAACTCCCCTGCATTTACCAGCCCACTGAACTGTTAACACTTGAGCCGTCTGCGGACAGCAGAACTAAAAGAGCACTGTAACATGCCCACTGGGGCTTCGGGAGTTGCAGGCATCCCCACAGATGCTGCCACAGGGCCTGCACAGAATTTACTCCGGCCGGCGCCCAGAAGTACTTGCCCTGATTCCTGCACCGGCTCGCCTGTGCACTCCCTCCTGCGAGGGGTGGAGCACAGCAAGTCCCAGTGAGTAGAGTTCCCTCCTGCTGGTGCCAAACTGGCCAGCTGGTTCCACTGCTCATGTACTCCAGTTCCCTCCTCGTTCACTCACGTGCTCCCTCCCATGAGGAGTTGAAAGCAGTGGACTGAGTAAACGGGGCACCCCTGTCACCAGTCTTGAGAAGGAGTCAGGGAAATATCCTGCTTAAATGTGATCTGAAAACATTTTCTTCAACCCAAAATGAAATCTTATGCCCACCAGAAGCCACTGTGTATTCTTTCCTTCCCACCCTAGTAACTCCTAGTTTCTGTCACTATAATTTCACCTAATTTGGACATTTTACATGAATATAATGAGTTTTTTTTTTCAATCTGGCTTTTTTCACTTAACATAATATTTTTTTTTTAATCTGGCTTCTTTCGCCTAACATAATATTTTTGAGGTTTATCTATATTGTAGCATGTATTATTTCCTTATTGGTTTTTATTGCCAAATGCATTTAATTGTAGGATATAACAAATTTTGTTTATCCATTCCTCAATTGTTGGACATTTGGGTTATTTGTCAGGCATCCCCATAGAAACAAAACAAAGAGGATATTTGTTCTGCATGACTCTCTCTCTCTCTCTCTCTCTCTCTCTGTGTGTGTGTGTGTGTGTGTGTGTGTGTGTGTGTGTATAAAGAGAGAGAAAAATTATAAAAAATTATGGAGGCTGAGAAGTCCCAAGATCCGCAGCTCAAAGGTCTGAGAACCAGCAGAGACAAGCGTCTAAGTTCCGGTCCAAGTCTGAAGGCAGAGGGAAAACAATATTCCAGCTCAAGAGCATCAGGCAGAGAGTCTTTTGCTCAGCTTTGTGTTCTTTTCAGGCCATTAACAAATTGAATGAGGCCCACCCACAGTGGGGAGGGTCATCTACTTTACTCATTATAACAATTCAAATGTTAATCTCATTCAGAACTGCCCACACAGGCTCACTGTAAATAACATTTAAACACATATTTTGATACCTTGTAATCCAGTCAAGGTGCCACATAAAATAACCATCATAAAACCTGCCTTTATCAACCTGACATCCATATGCATCACCTTATACCATAGTGAATAACAAGATAAGATAATAACAAGTCATAAGAACCATAACTTCTTCTAACATGTTGCATCTATCCTGCATGCAACAAAAGTGAATTAACCCCTTCCCTAGAAGAGGAGGTACATTCCTTGAGTGATGTTTACTGTTCTTGATATCTTATAAAGTAAATACTATGATGGAAAATCAATGCTACTTAAATACTATGATACAAAGTCAATACATCTTATGTTACATAATAAGGGAATAAGAGAGAAAAGAAAATATATATACATATTATATAAATATATGTGTGTATATATATAATATATATATACAGGACAATAACAAAATAAGGAGAAATATTCATGATAATTAATTTTTTGTTTCTTTTACTGACCATGTGGTCATAGTTGTTATTTGTAACTGGCTTCTTTTACTATCCATTCTGTATTCCTTTGGCCTTCAGCAAATGCCTCAGCTGGTAGTAGTTTTTTACCTGGTGGGGTGACCCAAATCTTTATTTGTGAAGAGTCTGAGCAATTAGTAACTCAGACTGAATTGAGTTGTAGTCTTCCATTGATTTTAATCATAGGGCATGGTAAGAAGAGGTAACCTACCGTGATGACATGTATTTCAGACATACTCTTTCTTACCTCTATGGTAGAGTAGTAGTTCGATTTCCCCTTGGTAATCAGAATCAACTCCAGCCAACATAGTAATAATGCCTTTAATTGCCTGTTAATTCAGAAACACGAGGAATCCAAAGTAGCTTGGTAGCGGTCTTAACATCCAATTTAATGAAATCATTGTTGCGACTCCTGGTGGAAGTGTTTCTCCCTTTGAAAGTAAAACCTCTAGGCCAGCAAAGTATAAGACTGTGCAGGCTGGGCTCGGTGGCTCACGCCTGTAATCCTAGCACTTTGAGAGGCTGACGTGGGCAGATTACGAGGTCAGGAGATTGAGACCATCCTAGCTAACACGGTGAAACCCCTTCTCTACTAAAAATACAAAAAATTAGCCGGGCATGGTGGCGGGCGCCTGTAGTCTCCACTACTCAGGAGGCTGAGGCAGGAGAATGGCCTGAGCCTGGGAGGCGGAGCTTGCAGTGAGCAAAGGTTGCACCACTGTACTCCAGCCTGGGCCACAGAGCGAGACTCCATCTCAAAAAAAAAAAAAAAAAAAAAAGATTGTGCAAACAGGAAGAAAAAATTGGCTAGTGGGTCACCAGAGGGAATTGTAAGTGGTCTCACTCCTATTTCTACCCCTTGATTCTTAGCCCCACAAATCCTGGTTATAGGAGAAACAAGACCAAGTGTTGGATGCTGATTCATTATCCCATACCCTTATCCATTATCCCGTACTCTTAATATCCATTCCTACACATGTTCCCTGGACTTCTGCCAGTATATATCAGAAAACTCAAGTAGTTATATTTTTGGAGGGTAGAGTATGCACCTCCTCATGGGTCATACTATGTATTTTAACTTTTGAATCCTGCTGAAACTTGAGTCTAATTACAGGCTTACAATCAAAGAGGGGTAGTGTGGGTGGTTCCTGAGGACAATCAGCATTGTCTTGCATTACAATTGCCTCTTAGGAGGACATTACAGTGTCCCTATGCAATGCAGGGCTAATCCTTTCAGCTGCAAGTAGAGAGGGGTTAGAGAAGCTGCTACTACCGGGGATGAGGAGGCTACTTTTACTGGGACTTGGGAAGCTTCTTCCACCAGCAAAGAAGACATCAGAATTTAGGGTCCCAATGTCCCCAGCCTTAACAGGATTTTCCCACATGTCCACATTTCAATTTACAAGATCCTATTCTTTTCTAATCAATGCCCTCACTTTAACAATAAATACCCTTTGAAGCTAGAAGTTAAACATTCATTGTAATTCATCTGATACATACTGAGATTCTTTGTTAGATTTTAAGCATTCTCAGCCCTGCAGCTATAGAAAATAAAAGTGTCCTTCAGGCCACACACAGAAGCTGTTTGGTCATTTACACGGTTTGGCTGTGTCCCCACTCAAATCTCAAATTGTAGCTTCCATAATTCCCACATGTCATGGGAGGGACCCAGTGGGAGTTAACTGAATCATGGGGGCAGGTCTTTCCTGTGCCGTTCTTATGATAGTGAATAAGTCTCACAAGATCTGATAGTTTTATAAAGGGGAATTGCCCTGCACCTGCTCTCTCTCTTGCCTGCTGTCATGTAAGAAATGACATTACTCCTCCTCACCTTTTGCCATGATTGTGATGCCTCCCCAGCCATGTCTACTGTGAGTCTATTAAACTTATTTTTCTTTATAAATTATCCAGTCATGGGTATGTCTTTATTAGCAGTGTGAAAACAGACTAATACAGTACATTGGTATCAGTAAAGTGAGGTGCTGCTGTAAAGATATCTGAAAATGTGCAAGTGACTTTGGAAATGGGAAATAGGAAGATGTTGGAAGAGTTTGAAGGGATCAGTAGAAGATAGAAAAAGGTGGGAAAGTTTGGAACTTACTAGAGACTTGTAGGGCTCAGAAGATAGGAAGATGTAAGAAAGTGTGAAACTTCCTAGACACTTGTTGAATGGCTTTGACCAAAATGGTAACAGTGATATGGACAACAAGGTCCAGGCTAAGGTGGACTTGGATGATGAGGAACTTGTTGGGAACTGGAATAAAGGTCACTCTTGCTATACAAAGAGACTGGCAGCATTTTGCCCCTGCCCCGTGGAACTTTAAACTTGAGAGAGATTATTTAGGGTATCTGGTGGAAGAAATTTCAAAGTGGCAAACTGTTCCACAGGAATCAGAACATAAAAATTTGGAGAATATGCAGCCTAATGATGCAATAGAAAAGAAAAACTCATTCTCTGAGGAGAAATTCAAGCCTGCTGCAGAAATTTGCATGACTAATGATGGGCCCAATGTTAATCACCAAGACATGGTGAAAATGTCTCCAAGGCATATCAGAGACCTTTGTGGCAGTCCCTCTTATCACAGGCCTGAGGGCCTAGGAAGAAAAAATGGTTTCATGGACTGAGCCCAGGGTCCCCTGCTCTATGGAGCCTCTGAACGTGGTGCCCTGAATCCCACCTGTTTCAGCTCCAGCTGCAACTACAAAGGGCCAATGTATAGCTTAGGCAATTGCTTCAGACGGTGCAAACCCCATGTGGTGTTGGGCCTGTGGGTGCACAGAAGTCAAGAATTGATGTTTGGGAACCTCCGCCTGGATTTTAAAAGATGTATGGAAATGCCTGGTTGTCTAGGTAGAAGTTTACTGCAGGGGCAGAGCCCTCTTGGAGAACCTCTCCTCAGGCAGCGTGGAAGGGAAATGTGGGGTTGGAGCACCACACAGAGTCCCCACTGGGGCACTGCCTAGTGGAGCTGTGAGAAGAAGGCCACTGTCCTCCAGACCCCAGAATGGTAGATCCACCAGCAGCTTGCAACATGCACCTGGAAAAGCCACAAACCCTCAATGGCACCCTGTGAAAGCAGCCAGAAGGAGAGAAGTACCCTACCCTGCAAAGCCATAGGGGCAGAGCTGACCAAGGCAGTGGGAGCCAATCTCTTGCATCAGCAAGACCTGGATGTGAAACATGGAGTTGAAGGGAGATTATTTTGGAACTTTAAGGATTAATAACTGCCCTAATGTAATTTGGAGTGGTGTGGGCCCTGTAGCTCTTTTGTTTTGGACAATTTCTCCCATTTGGAATGGTTATATTTACCCAATGTCTGTGCCCCTATTGTATCTACAAACTAACTAACTGGCTTTTGATTAGACAGGCTCATAGATAGAAGGGACATGCCTTGTCTCAGATGAGACTTTAAACTGTGGACTTTTGAGTTAATGCTGAAAATGAGGTAAGACTTTAAGGAACTATTGAGAAGGCATGATTGGTTTTGAAATATGAGGACATGATATTTGGGAGGAACCAGGCGTGAAATGATATGGTTTGGCTGTGTCCCCACCCAAATCTCGAATTCTAGCTCCCATAATTCCCACATGTCATGGGAGGGACCTGGTGGGAGGTAATTGAATCATAGGGGTGTGTTGTTCCCGTGTTCTTCTCATGACAGTGAATAAGGCTTATGAGATCTGGTTGTTTTATAAAGGGGCATTCCCCTGAACATGCTCTCTCTCTTGCCTGCCTCCATGTAAGATGTGACTTCGCTCCTCCTTTGCCTTCTGCCATGGTTGTGAGGCCTCCCCAGCTACGTAGAAGTGTGAGTCCATTAAACCTCTTTTTCTTTATAAATTACCCAGTCTCAGGTATGTCTTTATTAGCAGCATGAGAACAGACTAATACAGTCATTTACATGGCATTTGAACTTAGAAATGGAATTCCTGAGTCTGTCTTTTTCTTGCATCTATTTGTCCAGTTACAGTTGGAGCATCCAGCCAACTTGTCCTATGTGACTTCTAGAAGTAATTATTTTACTCTCTTCTTTCCAATGTGCTTAACTTTGTTTCTCATTCATAAATTAGAATTTCAGCAAAGACTTGAGAATACCCTATTTTAGCGTTCTCTCCCTCTTTCCCTCCTCCCACCCCCATACTACCACCCCCAGTTGTCTTCTTTCTAGGACTTGATCCTGCAACTTCAAGTTGTAGCTACTCTGGTATCCCTGAAATATAACCTCTGTCTTATATACTCAATAAACACTGTCTTTTGTTTCATTTCTCATTTCTTGTGCCTCAAAACTGCTTCCAGGCAATAAACTGTTAAAATCATGGAACTCACCTTTTTTGTTTTCCATCTATCAGGAATTGCAGGCCTATATTGTCTGTCTAAAAATTGTTGTTTCATATATTTTATCTGTTTTACTGATTTATTGGGGGGGCGGGTAAATGCAATCACTATTCAATTTGGCTGGAACACACACACACACACATTCTTTGAGTGTGTGCATGTGTCTACATAGATATGTAGGTAGGCACCTACAAACAAACAGATTTGTTACCAATATGAGTCCTTTATTTCACTCAGATATTTACCTTGATGGGGCTTTTCATTCCTTCCTTCAGATGCAAAATTTCAACATCTGAAGGAAGGAATCTTTTTCTCCAGCCTAAAAATTGTTATCATTTTTTTGTGAGGGACTTCTGATGACAAATTATTTTAGCTTTGATCTGTCTAAAAATGTTCTTAATTCACCTTAGATCTTGAAGAATATTTTTGGTAGATATAAAGTTCGAAATTGATATTATTTTCTTTGAAGGCTATGAAGGTTGAATTTTATTTGCTTCTAGCTTTTATTGTTTCTAATAAAATATTATCATTCATATAATTTGCCCCCATGTATAAGGTGCATTTTTTTCTTTAGATGCCATTAAGATCCATTTTTTATTATTTTTATTTATTTGATTATAGTATACTTAGATGTAGTTTTTGTTTTTTGTTTTTTTTTAACTTGCCTTATGTTTACTCATCTGCACTTTGATGCCTTTCACCCTGTTTGGAAATCTCTGCAGTTATCTCCTCAAATATTTCATATATCCCATTTTTTTCTACTCCCCTGAGCCTTTAATTATGACTCTGTTAAATAACTTTATATTCTCTAAAAGACTGCTTATGCTTTGTCTTTGGACACTAATGTCTTTTGTGATTAAATTATATCATTGTCTATTGACCTGTAATTAGTCTTCTAACAACCCCATCATTTTTTACTGTTGTTTTATTATAGCAAGCATTTTCCTTAGGATATTTTTGTTAGTTTACATAACTCTCCTGGAATGCTTTATATCTTATCCATGTTGTTTATGCATTCAGCTAGACTCCTTAACAGTTTCTCATAGGTATTTGAAAGTTCATGATTGACAATTCCAACATCTGGATTCTTTTTGTGTTTCATTCCATGACTGTTTCCTCTCAAAAATATGTATCACATTTTCTTGCTATTCCATGGATTTTTATTTTGTGCTATACATTTACATAAAAATTCAATGAAGACTGAAGTGAGTTATTTTTATAGCCAGAAGAGTAACAATCCTGCTCCTGTCACTTCCTTATTGGAAAACCTGGAATCCTTGGAGAGTTTCTCTCACTTTTTCTTTCCTGCCTCTGTTTTTATGGTGCAACCTCCAGGATTCTGTGGAGGGTGGTGGATTAGCATTTTGAAGGACATCCAGTTTTGCTCTTGTCAGGAAATCCTCTTACTCCAGTCAGCCAATCAACACATTGTAATTAAAATTTTAAAAAATTAGACTGATTTTCTTTAAGCTATTGCAAATACGTTGCCCTTTCTTTGTTTCAACATGGATAAGAGTACCCCTGGATCTTTTCTCCTTTCATTCTCTGGAGTTTTGCTCATTTAGTTCATTTATATTTTATTATGTAATGAATGATGAGAAAAAATAATGACAATAACTAAAAATATGTGATTTATATAGCTTACTTTTGTTATTAGGAACAAGTGCAACATTTTTTACAGCTTTCTACTTCTGAAGCAGAGATATTCATTTTAGCTTTTAATTTCAACAATAAATATTTTATTTCTAAAAGTTTCATTTTATTATATTTAAACTCTCCCTGGTCATTTTGTAGTCTTTTGTCACTTGCTCTTTGTTTTACTTCATTGACTCTAATATGTTGAAAATTTGAGAGTCTAAACTGTGGATTGTTCCTAGAGAGATAACTTAGTTTTTCTTTGCTCTTCACTAAGGGCCAGAGACCAGAGGGCACTATTTTATTGCCTTTGAATATTTTAATCCTTGCTGTATGTGTCTGTATATATATATATGTGTATATGTGTATGTACATACATACACATATACAAATACATACCCACATGATATATATGTAGCATATGTATAGTATGTGTGTACTATATTGATACATGCACACACACATAGTATACACATACTATATATATATACACACACATGCACACATACATATACATAGTATGTCTACACACATATATATGCATATATCCAGGGCAACCTAAATTTTCTTTTTGTTTATGCTGCATATGTCCTATTTAAGACACCTGTTCCTTTTGTTTATTTATTTGGCTTCATTTTAGGGTATCTTAGAAAAATTAGGGTTTCATTGTATCTTAGAAAATTTCTCTAACCACCTGAAAATTCATATATTTAATTCAAACAAATGTTGTGACAATTTATTCAGAAGCTAGTTTCATGGCATGCTATGGTAAAAGCCTAGAGAGCATTTTATTCATCCTTGATTCTATTGCAATTATCACTGAGTCTCTTGATATACAGAGTACATTCAAAAAGTGTTAATAAAATTGAAAAGCGATGGTTACATAAATATTAAGTCAAGTAACATATCAATCTAACGGGAAAGACTATAAATTACTAAATCTATTATAATCTCTTGCACACACTTGTCACTAAGACAGATTTCAATAGAGCTTCATTTTAGATATATTTTGTTTGATGACTTAGCAAGGAAGCAAATATCAAATAGCTTAGATAAGTAGGATGAAATCTGGTGTTAAAATTATAATTAATAGTAAAGATTCCAGGATCAATTAATGCATATCAAATTTGTGAGAGGGTTGTGCTTTCCCTGGAAATATAGTAGCAATTTTAGTTTCTTAATAAATGTTCAAATATTGAGGTTGAATTACCAGAAAAGAGAAATGCCAGGAAGGCCAGAACAGCACTGTGAAAGAAGACAAAGAAAAAGAGAATTATTTATAGCCATCATACTTGAGGTGTCATTGACACCTATTTGAGATGTTCTCCCATTAATGAGTTCAAGTGTTCTCTTCAACGAATTCTCTATCTTCAACAAAATATTTCACTGTGAAAATGTCACTGGCCCCATTTCAAACTTTTCACAAATCTTAGCTAAGTATGCAGAAGTAGTAGACCTTTAAAATTGTGAATAAGTTCACCCCCAATTTGGAATAGCTAAATTATAAATAATGGAAATTTAGACTGTTGATCAGCATTCTTAAACTGAACTGGGTTTTTTCTTATATTCCACATGGGATAAGATTTTAGCACTTTGGGCCGGGCGCGGTGGCTCACACCTGTAATCCCAGCACTTTGGGAGGACAAGGTGGGCAGATCACCAGGTCAGGAGATCGAGACCATCCTGGCTAACATGGTGAAACCCCTTCTCTACTAAAAATACAAAATATTAGCGTTCCAGCTACTCAGGAGGCTGAGGCAGGAGAATGGCCTGAACCCGGGAGGCGGGGCTTGCGGTGAGCCGAGATCGCGCCACTGCACTCCAGCCTGGGCGACACAGCGAGACTCCGTATCAAAAAAAAAAAAAGAAAAAAGATTTTAGCACTTTGAACACAAATCTAGCTTCCTAAAATATATCACTGTTCAAAACTTCAAGAACTAGAAATGTTTGCATTATATGCACAAATAATAGCAAATATAATTCTTTTTCCAAAAAACCTCTTCTTTAGCACTTAGTGTGAAACTAGCTATATTTCAAGAGGCTTGAAAGCATTCTTAAAACAGTACTCATCCCTGTACGCATCCCACCTTGCCCATTAGGACTTTCTGAGAGAATGATTTGAGATGAAAATATAGGGCTTGCCTTGCGTTTGTTATTTTCTTTTTTATCTGTGCCCTAATTTTGAAACACTATGGAAGTTTTAACTTCTTCCCCAAGGGCTATCTGAAATCTGCCACAGGGATTAGAATTTGAAAGCATGAGAAGGCAGGATTTGTAGGTGTGAATGAGAAACTAAATGCTTTTTTTTTTTCTTTCAGAATTGAACAAGAGCTTATTATTCATCTGAGGTTTGTGTGTCTAACATACTGGTTCCCAAACTAATAGTGCAATCCTGTAGATCAAGCTTAATGCAGATATGGTAAAGACTGTGGTCATTTATAATAGGTGGTTAGCTGTCCCAGCCATTTAAATAGCAGACAGCAATAAGTGCTCAGTGATTGAGATGGAAAATAGATGTCTCATCTAAAATAAAGCCAGGCAGTTCATTAATGTGTGCCCTTTTAAACCCGTAAATGTTTTGTAATTCCTATATTTTAGGGAAGTTTTAAAAATCTGGTCTAAAATGCCACCAGCACATTATCAGAAACACTTAGAGCTGTTAGAGGCTTCCAGCAGATTGTATTATTTATTATACGCAGGCTCTAGAGGCTAAGAGTAGCTGAAAGGATGGCAGTGCCAACAGCTGAAAATGAAGATTCCCTAAATAAAGGTCTGGTTGCCATTCAGACTGATGTGCAAAGAACTGAAAATATAGTGGAACTCCAATTCAAACAAAATTGAGTTCTGTTATTTTTGTGTAACTGAAACTAGAAAAGTTTGTATGCTGTTTTATCAAAGGGTATAATTAAAAATAGATCGCTTTCTCCCTTCATGTTTGAAAGAACTTTGATGAACAAATAATAATCAATAGATATGAAAGCACATTTTAGATTACAGAGTACTCTGCAAAATGTATGTTTTTCTTATCATTAATATGATCATGTAAAATAAACACTATTCATATTTAGTTAATATATAGGTGAATTCTATAAATTCTTAGGAAGTTTCTGAAAGTATTCATTTCTTTTCAAAAATGGAAAACTGTGCTTCTAGTCAAGTCCTTACATCATTCTTAGGTATGAAGCACTATATTAGGCTTGACATTATGACATAAAGATATTACAGTAGGTAGCTACTCAGACATGAGCAGGGCAGGAGAGGGTCTCCCCAGCCCCACAAGGAATGTCAGATGACCATCCGGTGATGCTCAGGCAGTTGTTACACTGTCTCTCTAAAATAATAATTGGTCACAACCAACAATCGGGAAAGGCAGTCTCCCAGTAGATAAAAGGCAGTGCCCCAATAGATAGAAACATCTGAAGCTGGTGATCAGTGACCTCCCAATAACATCTTAGAAGTTGGGCGAGTGGGCTTAAGCACGCTAAGAGGTAAAATGGTGATGACCTTTTGATAGGAACACTGGACTGGTAAGGGAAAAATGACTCAAATGAGCATGCCTACAACTCCAGTAAACACCCTGTGCATGTGGCCCCTCCCAGATGCTAGCAGGCCTCTGCACATACGAACCTCCCCACCCCAGGGGAAACATCAGGGGAGAAGGAACACAAGACCCCAGAAGTATGCCAGTGTATAAAACCCCAAGTCGAAAGGTCAAACTGCCCACTTAATCTGTCAAGTAGCCTGCCTGGCCCTCTTCCAAGTGTACTTCCTCTCATTCCTGCTCTGAAACTTTTTAATAAACTTTCACTCCTGCTCTAAATTGGTCTCCACTTCTGCCTTATGCCCCTCAGTTGAATTCTTTCTTCTGAGGAGACAAAATTGAGGTTGTTGCAGATCCATATGGATTCGCCATCAGCAACAAAGGGTTGTTGAGGCAATAAAGAAAATATTGTTCCTGACTTTCAATTAGCTCTAGACTCTTTGTCTAGGCACCACAGGAGTCATAGGAGGATGGCCCCAACAAACTTGTTCTTTGTTAATGCAGTTTTTTTCAGTATCACTCTAACCACAACATTCTCTGGATTTATCATTTGGGGTGTAGATAAGACCACATGCCTGAATCCTTCACATTTCCAGATTAACGAAAAGTCCACTCTATCTCAATTAAGTTTCGAAATGCTCATTGTCTTAAATACATTTGTACACTTGCGTGTGTTCGGTGGCGGAAGTCTGGGGAGAAAAAAATGGGTACACCAGCTGAGCAACAATACAAGGAAGAGGATTGGGGGAGGTAGAAGAAGCCCTGCTTATTCCAGAAAATGTGTTAGAGTAGACGAATGCTGTATGAGCCTAGGAAATGCCACAGCTGTGGCCTTCTGAGGGAATCAGTGTGGCAGCTAGTGTAGAGCAAGTCTGGAAGGACAACTTTCTCCCTGCTAATACTCAGTTTACAAAGACTTCTTTGAGGGAGAACCATCATATCACCCAGAATAATATAAGGGTAAGGGAGTTCTATGGTTTTAAGGACCTGATTATGGCTGTGTTATTTTATTTATTTTTGACAGAGAACTAATAGTTGTATACATATATTTACTGGGTACCATGTGGTGTTTCCAAGCATGTAAACATTGTGGAATGATTAAATCAGGCTAATTAGCCTATCCATTACCCAAAATATTTATTGCTTTGTGGTGAAAGCATTATAAAATCCTCTCTTTTGGCTATTATGAAATATACATTATTGATTAACTCCAATCACCATGCTGTGCAAAAGATGAATATAATTTACTCCTCCTAACTAAAACTTTGAACCTTTTGACCAACATCTTTCCTTTCTTTCCCCATCTACCAAGCCCCCAGTCCAGCCTCTGGTAACAACCACTGTAATTCCCTCTGCAGCTCTGTAATGACAAAGAACAGGGGACTTTCCATGAAGATATTAAAGTTTAAGTTTTACAGTCCTTCACTAGCGCAAGTGTCTGGGTTGTGTGATGTTTGTAGTATTAATCATTTTTTAAATGATAATTCCTTTTCTCATTCTTATGAAATATTTGCTGCTATATCTAATTTTTGTATATTCCTTAAAGTATATCTGCAAACTGCAATAATGTCATCATTAAAGAAAGAAAGCTATCTAATGCAAGAAAGAATGTGCCCTTTCTCCAAGGGATACGTCCTGTGCTCTGTCTCCTGCCTCAGACATGAGCAGAATCCTGCCCTGGCCATCAGTTTTGTTCAAGGAATAAAAATTAATATTTTGTTATATTCAGTAGTAAGAAACTCAAGCCAAATTGATCAAGGCAGTGTTCAGATTCACTCACACAATCACTGCTAGGGTGTTTGATTAAATTTCACCTATCTTTGTAAATCCTTGATTATTGATTTTTTTAGCTTTAGGTCTTTTGCTGTGTCCTGGGGTTTCCTGCAAGGCTTCCGCCAGTGATAAAAATGTACTTTTATTCAAAGTGCAGACTGCATGTCTGGAGGAACCATACCTCTGCCCCAGGGAAATGGTTTCCCTGGAAAATTACACAAGTTTCTTCAATTATATGAATTTATCAGCACTCCAAATGTAGTCAAGGGAAAGACACAGGCCTGGACTATAAAGCATTGGTCCCTGATGGAATTCCTTCTATAGAATGAGGCTGTGGTGTGTGATAAATATAATAAGAAAAATTCTCAATAGTAGGACCATTGTTGAGAGGTGTTGTTCATTGGTTTAAAGTGGATATTCTTCTCAAAGGTAACTGGGAGAGAAATCTTTCTAGTCTTATTATTGGCAAGAATCATATTCCTTAGAAAAATATTAATTTTTATCATATAAATTAGTAAATAACATAAAACCCATTTTACCCTCTTTATGACAGCCATTTAGAGTCAAATGGGAGGCTCACCCTTGCAAAGATTATACTTAGTATTTCATAGCATGGTTTTTGTGTATTGATCTCACTCCTATTTTCATTTGTTTTCCTGTTGCCTCCTCTTTCTTACCTACTTAAAATGTTGTCTTATTTTTTTGTAAGCTACAATAAAGGAATTTTTTAGAAAAGAAAAAGAAACAAATCCACTTACATTCTAATATGAAAAAGTAAAAGTATAATAGCAATATCCCATAAACTCTTAAGAAAGATAACACAGAATAATGATCCATACAGGATATAGCCAGATGTAGAGGAAGTGAAATTTGTGCCTGGTATTTATGCAGCACCTTGCACGTGGTAACTCTTTGCCCCTAATAAAGGATATAAGAAAGGTGTAACCTAGGTGAGGCAATAAATATAAACATATTAAAACTATCACCAAATATCAGAACATAACCAAACTTTTTATTAAGGCTAAAATAAGTTACTCCGGAAAGAAAAGGCAAGTTTATATGATGGATGTTTTCTAAAAAAATGAAAAAAGGGTGTCTGATTTCCTCTTTATTTTATCAATTGTTTATAATATTTATAAACATGTACTATGTACCAATTATTTTGGAAGTCATATGGAGACAACAATAACAAAATAAACATGATTTATGCCTTCATGGAGTTCGAAGAACAGAGAGAGGGAAAAGAGGGAAAGAGAGAGAACAAGAATGTTCATATAATCATACAAATTCATTATTATACAATACATATGCTGGAGTAGCTTCTAACGCCAACTACTGTGTATATGCTGGGATATAGCCATGAACAAGATAGACAACATCCTGTTCTCATGGTACTTTCATTTCAGTGGGATAGGTGGGAAATAGATAAGTTTGATGGTAAATAAATAAGTACAATTTAAATATTGCATCAAAATTAGAGGATAGAGAAAAACAAGGTAAGATTTTATTTTGGTTATAGTAGTAGATAATAATGTATATTTTCTCTACTAGGTTAGAAATATCTTCATCTTAGTCCATTTATTAACTTCCTTTAGCGCATTGTGTCATTAATAAAAGAGTCCCAGTGCTGAAGTGGGAGGGAAGTGGAAAATGGACTAGACTTTTTATGATATTTATTTAAATTTTTTAAAAAGTATAATTTGATTTTATCTTCACAAAAGTAGAATTTACAGACGTCTAGGTATAGATATTTATAAATACTGCAAGGATCTATGCCAAAATGCTAACAGGAATCATTTTTTACACAACTTTGAATCTGATATACTTCTAAATGAAAAGTCAAGCACATAGAAGATACTCAACAAAGTTTTTTGAATAAATAAAGAACTAAGAATTAACATTTACCATAGCATTGCAATTCATAAATTATTTTAAATGGATGTACTGTTTCTCAGACTTGGATTATTCATAATCCTTGCTTTATGACACTATATTATCATCATTGAGCCAATAATAGTCTTATTTTAGTTACTTTTATTTTATAATATGCCTAGCAAGCCATAGTTGACAAAATTTCACGTAATATTTCTCAATAACTCTGTGAGATACGTGTATTATTTCTGTTAACTGGTGTGATAAAAGACTTCAGCACATTAAGTAACTGAATGAAGCTGCTCAGCTAGGAAATAACATATCATGGTCTGCTTAGTGCCATAGTGTAGAATGTTTTTCATGGTTCATTCCCAGGTTTCAGTGAGATCCTGGTAGGTGGTTGATATGTATTAAATATCAAATTCAATGAGATTTCCATCTGTGTTTAGATAGATTGCCAGCATAGATTATAAAATCAGATAGTTAAAAGAGTGACAGATTGAAGAGGACAAATATGAGCCAAGTCGAAAGGTATATTGGGAGGAGGGGAGAATATAAAGAGTTGGAAGGAGATAGGAGGATTAAAGAGTTGGGGTAAATGCAAGATGTGAACTCCTGATACAGACAGCAGGGAAATGGGTGTGGAGTCTCATCAGAAATAGCACCTGAAAGCCTAAAGCAGGTAGATCTTACAGTCCAGTAAGTGGATGTGTCTTTTTGAGGCTGTCAGGATTTAGTTAATGTAAAGAGATGGAAGGCAGAGGAAAGCAAACAAGAAGCACCAACAAGGCTAACATCTGTGGATTTTCTCCAGGATTTCTGTGTTTGGCAAACATCTAAACTGCTAAGGAATCCCAAGATACTCTAAAGGAAAGTTGGCTGTAAGTGGATGCTACCAAACTGAACAATTTCTATAAAAATAAAAGGAAATTAATAAATTCATGTAAAAATTACTAGGAAAAAAAAGAGCTTTTAATGAATCTTCAACCCATGAGCATAGGTGTCCAGAAGAAGAGTATGCAAAATGGAAACTGACCTGCTCTTTGGTTTCACAATATGTAAAAACTATGTTTGGTTAGATACCTAAAATAAAGTATGTGTCAAATGAATTAAAAATTTCTTTTCTGACTATCCATATTGATTCCTTTTCATGAAAACTGTTTTTGAGTAGGAATAGTAATGCTGGACTTTTTCCTATATCTCAACTTCATTGCATTCCTAAACTTTCCTATGTGGTACACAAACACTGGAGTCAGAGCAAACTTTCTTTTCTCAAGTCTTTTATTTCCTTCACATGTAATGTCTACAAGGAGAGAAATAAATGGAAATTTCCATTTATTGGGCAATATCTGAAGTCAAGTGGTATAGATATCATCCCATTTATATATTAAACTACCCAAATTCTAGTTTTCTCTTTCATAAATGTAGACAATAAACTGTATTTAATTCATAATGTAATTGTGTGGATCCTATGAGACAACATATGTAAAGTGATTATATCAGTGTTAGGCCCATAACCATATGACTGTTTAATGAAATATCATTTCATATAATGCATTATAGCGCAGAGTATGGAAACAGGTGGCCCAGGTTCTAATCCTTGCTCAATGATTTTGGGCGTATTACTAAGTCTCTATGACTCAGTTATAAAGTGGATAAAAAACTGGAGCCTACTTCATGACATTGTTATAACAACTAAATGAGATATATGTAAATCACTAATACAAATGCTTGATACTAATTAAGTGACAAATAAGTGGCAACTCTTATTAGCATATTGTGAAAGAATATAATGATAATTTTATACATATGCAGTGATTCTTAATTTTTGTATGGTTATAGATGCCCTCTGCTAAGTAAATGAACTTTAGGGATTCTTCCACAGGAAGGATAACAATAAAAATTATATTTATAAGCACATTCACACAACATTTTTTATATAATTTAAGCATTCATGAGCCCTTTGATGACCATCTGTGGATTGGCAGGTTACAACAATATTTTGAATATATTGAATTATTGAATGATATTTTTTACAAACTACTTTATAAATTATAAAAATTACAAATATATGTTTTATTTATATTACATATTGTGGAATACTTCAAAAAATATTTCACTTGCTTTCTAAAACATATTTTTAAGAGAAAATTAAAAATATAAAATAATATGGAAAGTTTATAATTGATGTCATCTATTTACAGAAAATAGTCTCTCAAAAGTTATCAGTTGCTAAATTTCTGAAATGTAGTTTTACTGAGGAAAAGAACAGCATGGCACCATGTGACAAAAATAATACACTATTCTACTCCTCAAAACATCCAATACTTCTCATAGTAAGCAACATGAATATGGGAATTTTGCCAGCATTAAATTATTTACAACGGTTCACAAGTCTCTAGAAGAGTCCCTCAATATTTAAGTAGTAGAATTTTAATATAAATATTACATTGAATAATAATATTTTTTTCTTAAAGAGATAAAATTTAAATTTAAAGTGTTATTATCATATAAACAAGTAATAACCACTTATTCTATTATTTAAAACCTCAAGATATGATTTGGTTATACTTCAAAATACATATTAAATTTGCTCAGTGAATTGAACTGTGTTTTTTAACATGATGTGAGTTCTGGATTTTGAACATGATGTGAGTTCTACAGTGCAATTTTCAATTAGTTTTTAATGCTGACAATTCCTTATATAACTTACACAGCAAGTAGAAAAACCAGTGTTCCTGTAATAGGTGAGAAACCAACATGTTTTCTAATAAGAGAAAACCATCATAGTACCTGGGGGTGAGAATGATCTATGAACTTGAGGGGAATTCTGATTGTGGATTTGTTGAAATTCACATCTTTGACACACTAGGGCTCTGTTTAGTTTTCTAATTGTGGAAAATGTCAAGATGGGGCAGTTGAAATGGTCCTAGAATCATGAGGTAAGTAATGTTTGTTTTCGTGAGTTATCCATCTCTCTTTTCCACTTTTCTCATCTTCCCTGTGGAAGCCCTTTTATATCAGAGATGCAATTCCATCCTCTGCACACAATACAACTGTTCCCAATCTTGCCTTGGCCAGGTACACCCCCCATCCCCAAATCCTTCTTTACTTGGCGAAATACCTTGCTTCAATACTAATTTAAACAAATTCTTATCAAAAGTACTAATAGATGGTAACTTTATCAATTACCACTCTCAGAAGCTTACAAAAAGTCAAATAATTGTGTTTATATAATAATGTATAGGAAGATAATACTAAACTACACCAACCGGTTGTTATTGCAAATGAGGTACTATATTTATGACACTTAGAACAGTGCCTCGTATGTAGAAGATGCTCAGTATGTGTTAACCATTATTATTATTATTGCATATAATAGAAGCTGTGGAAAATAATGGAAGCTAGAGTTTAAAAGAAATAGTATGGCCTTATCACTCATTCCAGTTAGAATATAACTTAATTTTATTATTAGTTTGCTGATAATTGCTCATATTATGCCATTTATTCATCTTAATTTTATTCATATATCACCAAGGATACAAATGATCATAAGGAACGAAAACATAATCAAGTGTGAATAGTCCAATATAGCTCTCATTAGGAAAGGAATAATGAACACTTAAAAATTGATTTGAAAATAATTGACATATTAACAATCAGTGCTGTCTGAAAATGAAGTGGGCTATTAGTAGTTTACCTTACTTGTAAAGATGAGCAAGTAGAAGTTTAGACAACTGATTATTAGGTGATATTTTATCGATATATATACAACATTAGGATACTTCTAGAGTAGTTCTAAACTTTTCCTCTGGTATTTGTGTCTGAAAATATACATCACCAATCAGATCAATAAATACTTATCAAGGGGCTCCTATGTGTCAGGCACTGGGCAAGACAATAGTAGTGAAATGATGAATTACATAGATTGGTCTCCTGTCTTATGTGGCACCAGTTATAAATGAATAACAAATTTGTTATGCAGTTGTGAAAATGTATTAAATTATTACAAGAGTATGATGCACTAAATTAGATTTCAAGTATGACACACCAGGGAAGGTAATAATCTGGAAGGCACTGGCTTTTAGAAAGAGATAAAATGTGGAATTTGGGACAGTCTTCAAACACAGGAAATTGCGAAGTTGTGGAATTTAATTTTTTAAAAAATAGGTTTACTAAGAAGTGAGGGTAGAAAGAGGCACTCTAGCAAACCTGGAACTGAGAAAATTGAGGAGAGTGTGCTGAAAAGAGCTGAAGAGGAAGGTAGTGTGATCTGATCATAGAAAATCATGGCCACGGTACCAACTACAGATTTTTTCCTAGGACTAAGCCATTGCAGAACACTGTAAGAGAACAAAGTAATAAAATGTGCACTTATAAAATATTTCTTACACATGAATATTTTATAGTTTAAAGAGTATATATTATTCATTATTACCATTAATGTATAGAACACATTTAGGATTTATATCAACCCATAGAATGTCAAAAATAGAAATAAGTTTAAGTAAAAGTTAACTTACCAAAAGGATTCAAACTATTCTGATTGGAGAATGTGCTTTAGTTTTAGAATAGGTTTCCAAGCTAATAAAGTGTTGAAATATTTCTATCCACAACTCAGATGTACAGAAATCTGAAAGAGTATTCACACAAATTAGGAGGCAACAGATATTTGGAGGGATTTGGAGATGCTGAAAGGGAGTGAAGTCAACAAAAAAGATGTATTGTTTTGATGGGAAAAAAAGTTCAAAAATGAAAATGGTGATGGTGATGTCTCACATAAATTTTGGAAACATTTTTTGGATTCATCAAAAAACGACTACACCCATTCTCTCTCTTTCTCTTTCTCTCTCCCCTCCCCTCATGTGTGCACCCGCACACACACACACACACACGATATTCTTTTGATACATTTATTCCAGGAAATCAAACTGAAAGCCTGAAAGAGTTACTCTTAAGATGTCTTCTTGAATAATACTGTGAAGGGAACCCACAGGACAAGAATGAAACACCTATATGATGTACATTACTGAATTTCCAAAACTGTGTTGAGAAAACATGACATTTTCATGTTACAAATAAATTGTAGATATAAGCTAAGGTTTTTTTGGGCAGCTATTTGGTGGTACTTTATTTTTTTAATTTTTATTTATTTTTTACTTTAAGTTCTGGGATACATGTGCTGAACGTGCAGATTTATTACATAGGTATACATGTGCCGTGGTGGTTTCTACACCTATCAACCCATCATCTATGTTTTAAGCCCCACATGCATTAGGAATTTGTCCTAATGCTCTCCCTCCCCTTTGCCCCTACCACCCAATAGGCCCCAGTGTGTGATGTTCCCCTTTCTGTGTCCATGTGTTCTCATTGTTCAGCTCCCACTTATGAGTGAGAATATGTGGTGTTTGGTTTTCTGTTCCTGTGTTAGTTTGCTGAGAATGACGGTTTCCAGTTTCATCCATGTCAAAGTGAGTATAATGACTACAAAATGAGTACAAAGGACATGTACTCATTCATTTTTATGGCTGCATAGTATTCCATGGTGTCTATGTGCCACATTTTCTTTATCCAATCTATCACTGATGGGCATTTGGGTCGGTTCCAAGTCTTTGCTATTGCAAATGGTGCAGCAGTAAACATACATATGCATGTATCTTTATAGTAAAATGATTTATAGTCCTTTGGGTATATAGCCAGTAATGGGATTGCTGGGTCAAATGGTATTTCTAATTCTAGGTCCTTGAGGAATCACCACAGTGTCTTCCACAATGGTTGAACTAATTTACCCTCCCACCAACAGTGTAATAGCATTCCTATTTCTATGCATCCTCGCCAGCTTCTGTTGTTTCCAAACTTTTTAATGATCACCATTCTAACTGGCGTGAGATGATATCTCATAGGCTAAGTTTTAAGAAGTCATTTTGTTTCATGTCTCTTTTTTAGATAGAAGCTTTTTACTTTTGCTCCCAATTATATACAGATGGAAAATATGACCAGCCTTCAAAATTTGATCTTTGGTTTCTATCATGCTTCTGTATCAATAATGCTTCATAAATTTGAAAGAAAAATAATCTAGTTATAATTTCATAGATTTTGCAATTTTAGTAACTTTTTTATCCATGGATTTCAAAGGATGTTTATAACATTAATTAAGCTTCAAATCACCAAGTATTCTTACTACACACATTTCACAGATGGTTAAGTCATTGTACTGAGATGTTAAAGGATTTTCACATAAAGTCTGCAGTTGGGAAAGGTAGGATATAAAAATCCTGATGTGTGTTTGTAGTAACTCCTAGACATCCCACATTCTGAAAAGTGGTCATAAAGCCAAAAAGATTTTTTTTCATCTCGTTATGAAATAACTTAAAGTCTTTATTATGTAATGTCTGAGAGAGACCTTGAGGAATAAGGTTATTATCATATCTAGTGATCATAAAGTAAATGCAATAAAATAACACATGTTTATTTTTACTAATAAGTATTAAAACAGTTTTTACGTGCTAAAAACTGAAAAATATTACAGAAAAAATGACAATATTTTATCAACCTCTTTGGTTCAAGTTGATAGAGAATTATATTTGTTTTCTATAGGACTTTCAAAACTAGTAAAATGTAGTATAGTGTTTGGTTTGTCTAACCCTCCCCAAAGACAGGTGCAATAGGAGCAATTTTATAGAATTTTGAAAAAGCATATATAGTGTGCACATGTAATATATTATTTCTAACTACTTGAATATCTTTGAAATAGAATCTGAAAATAGAATGTTATTGTAAACTGGCTAGGTCAAAGTTGTTTACAGAAAACGTTAAATATTCTAACATAAAATGGTTGAAGGCTATAATGACCAAATTGCCAAAGAATAATAACATGGCCAATAAGCATAAATCAAAGTTAAAGCAAATTTTTAAAAATTAATATTATTTTCACCTATTGTTGATGACATAAATATATATGTATCATTATGTACAGATAATATTTTATATTAAAACACATATTTTAATGATAATATTCAGTGCTTTTTAATGTATGAATTTGTGAGACAAATTTCAAATATTCCTAGTGGGACTATAAATTGGTATAATGCTCCTGACAGCAACGTTTTTTTGTGAGATGCAGTCTCACTCTGTCACCCAGGCTGGAGTGCAGTGTGCAATCTCAGCTCACTGTAACCTTTGCCCCCCGGGCTCAAGAGATTCTCCTGCCTCAGCCTCCCAAGTACCTGGGATTACAGGCACCTGCCACCATGCCTGTCTAATTTTTGTGTTTTTTAGTAGAGATGGGGTTTCTCCATGTTGGCCAAGCTGGTCTCGAACTCCTGGCCTCAAGTGATCTGCCTGCCTTGGCCTCCAAAAGTGCTGGGATTACAGGTGTGGGCCACCGTGCCCGGCCAAGACCAACTTTTGGATATACATCAGAAAACTAGAAATATGCCAAATTTATGACTTACCATTTGCATGTCTAGAAATGTGTCCTGAATAAGTATAAGTTTAAAGAAAAGTCTGAAAGAATATTTTGTGCAGCTGTATTTGCCATAATAAAAATCAGAACCTAATTAAATGTCCACAAATAATTTCTTTAGTAGTTACGGCACTTGCATATGTTTCACTCTTACGTAAATATTTAAAATGATATAGAAGAATATTTAATGAGATGATAAAATACAATGTAATATTTTTAAAGTCTATTATAGGACAATATTTCTTACATGCATGAAAAGAAAGAAAAATGTGTATACCAAAATATCAACAGTAGTTCTATGTGTGAAGAATTATTCATGCTTTTTGAGTTTTTATTTATGCTTAATTTTCTACAATGTTCTTATGCTTTAAAATTTTTTGGTTAGCCATGTTTATTATTTATATTTTTCATTATTTTTCAACTTTGAGTTTTTTCTCTTTCAAAATATTTTTAAAATTTTTTTTGAAATAATTACAGATTCACAGGAAGTGACAAATAAATGTGCAGGGAGGTACCACAAACCATTCACTCAGTCTCCCCTCAGTGTTAACATCATGTAGAATTACAGTACAATATCAACACCAAAAATCTGGCTGGCATTAGTTCAAGTCCAGGGTTTATTGAGATTTCACCAGCTACACGTATACTTGTGTTGGAACGGGGGCAGTATCTGAGTATGTGTAGCTCTATGCAATTTTATCACAGACAGCCTTGTGTAACTAAAACCACTATTAAGATACATAACTGTGCTATCACAATCACCATAATTCTCCTTGCAACCCCTTTGTAGCTGTTCAATCTCCTGCCCTCAGCACCTGGCAACTACTAATCAGCATCCATCTCTCTGCTTATTTCACAAATATTCTATAAATAGGATTATACACACAGTGTCTATTCTTTTGAAATTTATATTTTTAATCACATAATTTTCAGAAGTTCATTCACAGTGTTGCATGTATCACTAGTTCATTTCAATTTATTGCTGAGTAATATTCAAATCGTGTGAATGTACCACACAGTTTGTTTAACCATTAACCACTGAAAGATATGTAAGTATTTTCCAATTTAGGGCTATTACAAATACAGACCTATGAAAATTTATGTGCAAATTTCTGCTTGAAAATAAGTCTTCACTTCCCTGGTATAAATATCTGAGAGTGCAATTGCTAGATTTTAAGTCAAATAATTTTCCCTAGTGATTAGAGCACCTAACATTACCAACAGTAAAGTACGATGAATTGTTTCACCACATTCTCACTTAGCAGTTGATGTTATCCCTATTTTTTAATTGTATCCATTTTAATAGGTATATATTGCTATCTCATTGTGGTTTTAATTTGCATCCTTCTAATGGCTAATGATGTTGGACATATCTTCATTCACTTATTTGTCATTTTTATCTCTTCTTTTGTAAAATATCTACTCATGTCCTTTGCCCATCTTGTAATTGGAATTATTGTTTAATGTTCAGCTTGTAGAGTTTTTTACATTCTAGATACAAGCCCTTTGTTGAATATGTGGTTTGCAATTATTTCCTCTCCATTTATAATTTTCCTTTATATCCTCTTAAGAGGATGTTCACAAAGCAATTTTTTAACATTCTATAAAGCCCATTTTATAAAATTTTCCTTTGACATATTATGCTTTTTGTGTCTAGTCTAAGAACTCTTTGCCTAGTCTTAGGTCCCAAAGATTTTCTTAATTTTTTTCTAAATGTTTTATAATTTTACATCTTACAGTAAATTCATAATCTTGTTTGAGTTAATATTTGCATATGACTTGAGGCTTAGGTCAAAATTTATTTCCTTTATTCATAGATGTGCAATTCCTTTTGCACAATTTATTGAAATAGTGACAAATTTATTGACATGGTTATTCCTCTTCCAACGAATTGCCATTGCACTTTTCTCAAAAACTTGCTAGGCATATTTGTGGGGCTATTTCTAGGCTCTCTACTCTGTTCCATTTATCTATGTTTATTACTTTTTAAAACATTATATAATATAAAACTTAGAAATAGTTTGGAATGCAAGGGCTCTGCCTTTGCCAAGTATGTGTTTGAGTTGTAATTACATAGACCATTACAAGGTATTTGTAACATAATAATTCATTTGTTCACTTACTCAGTAATTTATTCAACATACTTTAAAAATAAAGAAGACAGGAGATTCCTCTAGAATATAATGTTATGAAGAGATTTTTTGAAAATCTCTTCCCCAAAAAGTAATGTTAGAAAATGACAAAACTGTCAAAGACAGCCACTGTAATGCATTGGAAATTGAACAAAGGCATACAGAGAAATATTGAATTTCAGGTAAGAACAGTAAGCCTCTATGGCATTTTGAACTAAGGTTGCTCTCGTCACCTCTGCAGACCTGTGAACATGAGAGTTCAATCAGAGTAGGTAAAACTATGAAATTCTGTATCTTCCTTGTCTTTGTGGGAAGAGGTGCACCTGATTGGAAACTGTCTATAAATGTGGTACTTTCAGTGGCAAGCCAATGGGAGGGCCCTCTAGATCTGCCACCCTGAGTTTGTAGCCTGCTTAAGGTAAGCAACGGTCCATTGGACTAGGTAGGTTATAAAAGGGAATTCCAGGAAATTAGATAAGAATAGAGGACCTGATAACTTCTCCAATTCTATCAGTTTGACCAGAAACTATATACATGTCTGGCAGAGACCAGAGCAGAATCAAACCACCCAAAAAATCCATGACATATGGAGTACATGTGAACACACAGATTAGGGGAGAGTCCTAAAATCTTCCCACATTTGAGGAACATATAATCTTGAAGCTCAAAGAATCTCAGAATAAGCACAGAAGGATTCAAACTAGCTACATTATTATCAAGCAGTCCAATGTCAATGACAAAGATAAAATTTTGAAAATAGCAAAAAAAAAAAAAAATACTGACACATCATATACAGGGAAAACAATAAAGTTAACAGCAGATTTCTCATCAAAGACAGTGGAGTCTGGAAAACAGTGGAGTAATAAATCCAAAGAGCTGAAAGAGGCTAGTATTATTACCCTGATACAAAAATTAGTTAAAGGCTGAATTATATCCCCTTGTATGCAGATACCACATTTTCTTTATCCATTCATTCATCAGTGGACATTTGAAGAAGGATATCCTACCATATGTGACAAAATGAATGAATCTGGAGGACATTGTGCTAAATGAACTAAGCCAGTCACAGAAGAAAAATATTTCATGATTCCACTTCTATAAGGTATCCAATATTGTCAAACTCATAGAAACAGTAGAATGGCGATTTCCAGATACTGAAGGGTGGGAGAAATGGAAAGTAGCTGTCCAGTGAGTCTAAAGTTTCATTTGTGCAAGATGAATATGTTCTGGAAGTCTGCTGTAAAACATAGGGTTTATAATTAACAAAACTGTATTGTACATTTATATTTTTAAGTGAGTAGATCTCATGTTAAGTGATATTACTCCAATAAAAATTTATATTCTCATTATTTTTAAGAAAATTTGTATTTATGTTTAAACATGAGTGTTGGATTTTTGTGGACCAGTGGGAGGAAACTTGGACATGCAGGGGCGAAGCTTTTTCAGCTCAGTAACTGTTTTTGTTGCTACAGTGATAGCAGTTTCTTTAATATGACTCCCCTCTAACTCATTTTCTCTTCCCTTCATCATACTTTCTCCACTTAGCCACTTACAGCACTTGTTTGCTACCCTGTTTATTCTCAGAATTGGCTAAATCAGTTTCCACTAGGGGTGGGGATGTTCTCTGGGTGCTGCTTTCTCTAGGTCTTCCTTCAGCTTCCTAATTTCCCCCATGATGCCCACCACACCATCACAGCTATTTGCAGTAATTCTAGGTTTGAATGTCCCCTGCTACCTGCTCGTTTACATCTTAAAGGGAATTTGCCAGAAATCCCTAGGTCCTTCTCACTAATGGTGTAAATTGTGGAGATTTTTTTTCATTCCCATTGTTCTTGCCTATTATTTTTAAGTGAGGAAGTGGAAAAGCTGTGATGCTTTGCTGTTTTGCTCCTAATGAAAACTGAAACACTAAGAGTACTGTTTAAAATAACAATTATAATCAAAAGAGTGACAAAAAATAACTACCAGCATTTTGAAGAAAAAAAGTATACTGAGAAACAAGGTGGTGAAATCTGACTCACTTTTTATTTAGCGAGAAAAAGGTTAATGTCTAAAATTAAAATTTATTTAGCAAGATGGAGGTAAGCACCAGAAGAGATGAAAATTCAAACTGATAGCAGTTATTTGCACGTGGGAAACAAGTATTGTGGTGGGGAGTGGTGTAATAAGGGCTTTTAAATTTTCTTCATAAGCTAAAGAAAAATATAATGAAAAATCAATTATATTTTTTATCAACATAAAATCTAACAATGAAAGTTAAAAAAAACTATAATAGCTTAAGAAAGAAAAATATACCTAGGAATAAACTGAATAAAAGAATGATACAATTTGTACAAATAAGGACAACAAAACTTTACTGAGAAAAATTAAAGACATAAACAGACACTTCATGTTCATAAATTGAAAGTTCAATGGAGTTAAAGTGGCCTTCCTCCCCTAAATAATGTATAGATAAAATACAACGTGTCAAATTCATAGGCATTTTTTGAAAGAAGTTGAGCTGAGTTGAAAAGATATGGAAAAATGACTCTGAGAAAGAACAAAGCTGGAGGACTTTGATCTCAAAACTTATTGTAAAACTACACCGATCAAGACAATATGATAGTAGGATGAGGGTAGGCTTATATGTAAATGAAAAATAAATGAGAATTCAGAAATAAACTCTTATATATTTCTGGTCAATTGATTTTTGACACAGATGCCAAGACATTCAATACATAATGGATAGTCCTTTTGCTAAATGGTTCTGAGACAATGGAGTAGCCAAATTAAAAAACAACAACAACAACAAAGAAACCCTCACACCCCTTTCTAAGATTATACACAAAAATTAGCACAAAATACATTAAAGGCATAAATGTAAGAACTATATTTTCAAACTTCTGGACAAAACCATAGGTAAAAATAGTCCACAGGAAGGGAGAATGTGTTTGCAAATAACATATCTGATGGATACCTTATATTCAAAATATTTAAAGAACACTTACAACTCAATAAGACAACTTCAACAAGAAAATGGACAGAAGGCTTGAGCAGGCATTTCACCATAGGTATACAAGTAGCTGATGTATGTAAATGGAAAGGTTTCATATCATTCCTTAGTAAAAAATGTAAATTAAACCACAATGTGATAATGCTACATACCTGACAGAAGATTTATAATAAAGAAGATAATACCAAGTACTAGCTGGGAGGTGAAGAAATTGGAACCTTCATACATTGCTGGCAGAGATGTGAAATTACATGTCACTTTGGCAAACATTTTATTAGTTCTTTAAAGCAGGTGTCCCCCACCCACAGGCCATGGACTTGTACTAGTCCTTGGCTTGTTAGGAACCAGGCCACACAGCAGGAGGTGAGCAATGGGCAAGATAGCATCACCACCTGAGCCCCACCTCCTGTCAGATTAGTGGTGATACTGTATTCTCATAGGAGCAGGAACCTTATTGTGAACTGTGCATGTGAGGGATCTAGGTTGTGTGCTCCTTATGAGAATCTAATGCCTGAAGATCTGAGGTGGAACAATTTCATCCAAAAACCATTTCGCCATCTGCCGCTGCCCCATCCATGGAAAACTGTCTTCCACAAAACCAGTCCCTAGTGCCAAAACTACTGGGGACCATAGCCTTAAAGTTAAACATAAATCTGCTCTATGACCCAGCAATTCCACTCCTAGTATTCTACCCAAGAGAAATAAAAACTATGTCCACACAAAGACTTGTAAATAAATATCCTTAGCAACATAATTTTTGTCAGCCCAAATCTGGAAACAATTAAAATATTCATCAGTTGGTGATTTCATAAGCAAAATATTGTATACTGTACAATGAAATACTCTTCAGCAATAAAAAAGATGAAATAGCGAACCTCAAATAATGAACCTCAAAAACATACTACATTCAAAATATTTTGTATTGTATGATTTAAATTATAGAAATATACAGAAAAGACAGAATATGTATGCTGACTGAAAAGCAAACCAAAGGTGCCTAAGACTGAAATTAATTTAAAATGAATAATATAAATTAATTTAAAATGGTATCAACATAATTTTTAGAGTGATGGAATTATTGAAAAACTGGATTGCAGTGATGGTAGTAAAATTTCACTAAAATTCTTAAATTGGAAATGACATTGGCAGAATTTTATGAGGTACCTTATATCTCAATAAAAAAATTTATAAAAAGTGATATGTGATTATTTTATGTCAGACATTATTGGGGGAAATGGAGCACTAAAGTGGTTGAATATAAGCCTAAAGAGGTAGGCAAGAGACAAATTTTTAATGTCAGGTGCTATGCACTGACTGATTTTTGTGCCCCCAAAATTCATATATGGAAGCCCTAATCTCCATTGTTATAGGATTGAGCAGTGGGACTTTGGGGAGGTAATTAGGTCATGAGAATGGAGCCCTTATGAATGGGACTAGTACCCTTTTAAGAGGATACAGGAGAGAGATTATCTCTGTCACGGCCATGTGAGGATACATCAAGAAGGTAGCCATTTTGTGAGTCAGAGATAGGGATTTAACAGACATCAAGTCTGTTGGCACCTTGGTCTTGAGCTTCCCAGGCTACAGAACTGTGAGAAATAAATATTTGTTGTTTAAACCACCTAGTAAAATTTGCTTTATGCCCCAGCATATGATTCTTTTTTGTAAACATTCTAAGTGCACTTGAAAATGTGAAAATGCATTCATAGATTTGCATTCAGTATTCTATATCTGTCAAGAAGCTTAATTTAGTTAGTCAAAATATTTCTTACTTAAAAAAACATAAAAGAGTAAAACAAAACAAAAAATCTATGATTCTCCAATTATATTTAACCTCTAGCTATTCCATCTGCCTACAATGCCTTCTTCTACCAACATTTATGAAAATTCTCCTAGTCTTTTCAGGTCTAACTCAATTTGCATCTTTTCTAGAGGGCTTTTTGTTTCCCCAGTTGGAAATACTCTTTTCATTTTCTAAAATCTGTAGCACTTTATTTATATCTTTATCAAATATTGTAGACATTTATATGTCTATTATTCACTTAATAGATTATAGCTTCCTGAAGGTCTGGAGTGGGAAAAATTGATATTTAATTCCCAGAAACCCTTGCCTTGAGTATGCCTCAAAAAAGTTTTTTATGGTTGAATGAATGAATATAATAGAAAGACTCAGGTCTAAGATGGAGATCAATAATTCTACTTGTAAGTTTTAGCCCATGTTTATAGTCTATTCTTACCCTTCCCTTTTCTCATCTTGAAAAAATATTAACTTTATTACTTAAAAACTGGTCTTATTTTTTAAATTTCTCTTTGGCCTTAATAAAATCATAGTTGTGTAACTCAAACCCTAAAGCTACCAGATTCTTTCAAAATAACTGTATTTGAGTTGAGCCGCCAGTAAAATAAACTAAAGAATATTGAACAGGTCTCACAGCTTTGTAAAAAGTCATGTAAAAGCGCTAAATACTACATCATTTTGTTAATGAATTTAAAGACCTAATGAGAAAAGAAAATGGAACAAATGAATATATTGCCATTTATAAATGCAAAGTTTGTAAATGCAATGGAGATCAGTAGAGCAGAGGGACGGGACCTTTTTAAATAACTAAAACGGCTCACACCTTAGTTTTTAATCTAAGAAAATCTTTTAGGTAGAAAAGCCTTACCATCCACATTTACATGAAGCCTTTGCTTGAAAAATAGAATCTATTAGTAAAAATGCTAACATTAAAATCTGCCCTTTTCAATTTTTTTTGAATCATTAGGAAATACTAAAGGAAAATTGTCCTGCATGAAAGTAAAGTGCACATTAACTCAATAATTCATTTTATAATTAACTTATTGAAGGAGTTTAGAACATTAAGTCCTCAATTTTTTCCATTATTCTTTCATATTCCCTAGAATTTGATTAGGTGTACTGAGATTTTGAATTCCACGCAACCTTTTGGCTGGAAATGTCATAAAGGGTGTTTAAGATCCCAATTATGCCATGGAACCATTATAATACTACATACTGCATATTCAGTCATTAATTCTGGGGCATAAAAGTACAACCTAGTGTAATTTTTATCTGTGAAAAGTGTACAAGAGCAGACAAAGCTGTAGCCAACCCATATTTAACCACATTTCACCAAAGCTCAACTCCATTTCAGTTGAACAAGGAAAATTTTCAGTCAGGGTTGGGATGTTAAAATTTCACCATCCCAAGTTGGATAATCCAAATGAGAAAACCTATAAAGTGTAGTTAACCAAAGAAAACATAACAATGAGAAAAGAAGAGCTCAAGAAAAAAAATATGATCTGTGAACAAACTGTTCCTCCAGGAAACACGGAAACAAATGAATAAAAATAGGCACCACTGCTCTGAAAGGACCTAAATCAACAAGCAGACATGGGAGAAATGTTGTATAATTTAAACAACTAAACCCATTGTTGAAGAGTGAAAATAAAACTTATGTGTGTGTGTGTGTGTGTAAAACTATGTGTGTAAGATCATACGTTAATATGTGCAAATCAAAATTGAATTGTTTTGCTATCTAGCTGGCAATTTTCATTTTATCTTCAAAGTATAAAAAAGAACCATAGATACTCTGTGTAATGACCAATGTTGGGCAATATGTTTTATTAATTTTTTCAAACAGAAAATGCTGGAATTCATTTAGCACCTTCTATGTCTCTGATACTGACTTTGTTACTGTAACTAGATATAAGGCAATTTAAAATGCACTTTCTGTCTTTTGGTAATGCAAAAGACAGGCATGTTTAACAGAATTATAAAACTCTACTGTGCATACTTTATATTTTAAAAACAGTTCTGAATCTACATGCTTATCTCTGCATAAAATTCTTTTGTTAAGTTACACACACACAGATGTTATGCTTTGAATTTTAAGTATAAAATCTACAGGAAATAATTATACAAAAGTAATCACTCTATTTTTTTCAACATATTTGTCTCCTAACTACTGTTGACATTCTCTTATCAATAATTAAAAAATACCACATGAAACACTGTAAAAGCAATACCACATGAAAAATGTACTTTGTAATCAAGAGCTATGAAAATATTTTCTCAGTGATTATATTCCTCTTTTATACTGTGTCTGAGGAAAACTCTGAGTTCCATTAGAGACTTAATCATTAAAAATACCATGACACTGGACTTTTCTCACTGAACTTTTTGTCCACATCCGTGTTCTTTCCTCCATATCAGTGATTTTTTTAACTTCTTAAAGGATCTCTTCCTTGCATCTGTTAAAATTCAGTCAATTATTTTGTGCAAGAAGATAGGCTATTTTTTCGGAAATAACTATAATAAGGTGTAAGTGCAGTAATTGAGGTGTGAAGAGGGTGCTGTGATAGCCAAGGGTTCATAGTGACTCCTTCTGCCCTTGCAGATCAGAAGGCTGGAATGTATTTAGGGAGTGAGTGACTGGGAAAAAGCCTTGGGAAATGGGCGAAGATTATCAGAAACAAATGTTATGAATGTGAAGAATATTCCATTAAAGTAATGACCTGCCTTCAGATAGAAGACAGAAGTCGAAATATGACTTGGTAAGAATGCACATGAGAAGGCATTTCTGATGGAAGAATGCAGCCACTTAACTATACAGTTCCAGGACCAGGTCTAAAAAATGAAATAATACAAACAATATCATTTATTTTAATAAGTCAAGATTATATTTAACCATTAAAAGCTTATTTTTGCTACTACAACACTATTAGTAATAATGAAGTTTTACCTATTTTTCACCCCACCCAAATTTTCCACCTGTATTTTTGTTCTGCATTAAGCCTGTATTAGTCAGGGTTCTCTTAGAGGGACAGAACTAATAAGATATAGATAGATAGATAGATAGATAGATAGATAGATAGATAGATAGATAGATAGATAGATAGATAGATAGAGATAAAAGGGAGTTTATTAAGCATTAACTTACTGGATCACAAGGTCCCACAATAGGCTGTCTGCAAGCTGAGGAGCAAGGAGAGCCAGTCTGAGTCCCAAAACTGAAGAACTTGGAGTCTGATGTTCAAAAGCAGAAAGCATCCAGCACAGGAGAAAGATGTAGGCTGGGAGGCTAGGCCTGTCTCTTTCACTTTTTCTGCCTGCTTTATATTCATTGGAAAGTGATTAGATTGTGCCCACCGGGTTAAGGGTGGATCTGCCTTCCCCAACCCACTGACGTAAATGTGAATCCAGACACAACCGGGATTAATACTTTGTATCCCTCAAACCAATCAAGTTGACAATCAGTATTAACCATCACAATGCCATTATGGAAACCCTTTCGTCTAAGACAACCTAAGCTTGTAATAATTATTAGCCAATTAAAATTTTAAACAATACAATGCAGCTATAATTTTCATTACTAATGGACAAATGAATTGTTTCTCTAAAAATACAAAAGCAGTTTTAAATAAATATTTCATTTTCATTCTTTTCTCATATATATAATTTTTTGGATAAAGCAAATTTGTCACTGAAATACATGTGCCTTCTGCACTATCAATATGAAAATTTCACAGAAAATTTTTTAAAAAATATTAAAAGTCAGGAAACAACAGATGCTGGAGAGGATGTGGAGAAATAGGAATGGTTTTACACTGTTGGTGGGAGTGTAAATTAGTTCAACCATTTTGGAAAACAGTGTGGCAATTCTTCAAGGATCTAGAACTAGAAATACCATTTGACCCAGCAATCCCATCACTGGGTATATACCCAAAGGATTATAAATCATTCTACTGCAAAGACACATGCACACGTATGTTTACTGCAGCACTGTTCACAATAGCAAAGACTTGGAACCAACCCATATGCCCATCAATGATAGACTGGATAAAGAAAATTTGGAACATATATACCACGGAATACTGTGCAGCCATAAAAAAAGGATGAGTTCATGTCCTTTGCAAGAACATGGATGAAGCTGGAAACCATCATTCTCAGCAAACTAACACAGGAACAGAAAACCAAACACTGCATGTTCTCACTCATAAGTGGGAGTTGAACAATGAGAACACATGGACACAGGGAGGGGAACATCACACACCGGGGCCTGTCAGGGTGTGGGGGCCTGGGGAGGGATAGCATTAGGAGAAATACCTAATGTAGATGACGGGTTGATGGGTGCAGCAAACCACCACGGCACATGTATACCTGTGTAACAAACCTGCACATTCTGCACATGTACCACAGAACTTACAGTAAAATAATAATTAAAAAATTGGTTTTATTGCAGAATTTAAGTACCTATATATCTTATATTGCAAATGTTTCCCTGCCTGACTTTGTATTTAACCACAACATTAATGAATAAATATACAATTTATTTTTTTGTTTTGGCCTTAAGTCACATTTTATTTTATTAATATTTGTTGTGATACTACTGCTTTAAAATATTTTATTCTCTTTATTTTTGCAACTATAAGTTGGAGGCTAAGAGGCAAGTTTAAATGCTGAGGGAGTAGTTTCAGGTAAAACATCATCTATAATCATCACATGATTATATTTATCTAATGGCCTGACTTTATAATGGTTGAGCCGAAACTTAATTATCAAGAAAATTAAAAAAAAAAACTACTACCATGTTATCTCATCCACTACCCTGACATTTCTGAATGGTATGGCCAATGGATATTCCCCATCTAAAAGCTAAGCATGCCTAGGTGACTGCTACAGTGTTTTCCAGGTGGCTCATGTTTAAATATGTTTGAGAAATGATAACTATTATGATCATTTAATATTGGCAATATGCCGATCTATTAGAATCTCTAAATATTGTTTAGCTTTATTTTACATAAAAATTGCTAGACTTAAATGACTTAGTTTACCCCCAAACACATATTAACATCTAAAGCACAATCTGGGAAACACTGTCCTAAAATCCTTTAAATGTTTAATCTGATCGATACAAGGGACTGTTCTCACTCTTTTGTCCTAATTCTACTCACTGACATTTTATTAAGTGAAAACTACTCCAAGGTATTTTCCTTTACTTCCATCTTTACTATTCTCTTCCCAAGACACAATGATCAATAGTTTACAGTTAGTGCTTAAATAGAAAACTGTCTTCTTTATTTCCATTCTTCTTTAAGTGTTCTCTCTCTCTCTCCATACACACACACACACACACACAAACACACACACACATTTATTTAGCCAGAAAAAGGAAAAGGAAAATAAGGAGGGTTAGAGGGATACAGCAGATAAGGAGGGAGGAGAAAGGGAAAAGGAAAGAGGGGAAGGAGAAGGAAGAAAGAAAAGGGAAGAGGAGGAATAGTTTGAAAGTCTTCACATATGACGAACTGTGGAAAGTGAAGAAAAATAACAGCCTAACTTTGAGAGACATTCAATCTAGATGAGGATATGTAAAGATAAGTGCTATCTATAATAGATGAGAACAGAGAAAACACAAAAAGGCAAAGCCAAGGGAAGGACCTGAAAGATTGATGGCTTTTCATGTGATAAAGGAGAAAAGGAAAATATTAGAGGAGAATCGAGAATGATCTCAGATGCTAAATCAATGAACAGATGCTATTGGACTTAACAGTTTGACCCTTATAAAGTCACTAAATAGCTGGGTAAGAACAGTTCGAGTAACAAAATTCCAGCAATTCAAGTCCAGAAACATATTGAAGGAATTATATACCATAATAAAGTATAATTGATCTCAGGAATACAAGGCTAGTTTAACATCCAATGTCAATAAATGCAATACACTATAGCAATAGAATAAAGGACAAAAACTAACATCTATTGAAATGAATAAAAGGCATTTGACAAATTCAACACTCACTTATTAAAAAGAAAAACTCAACAAACTAGGAATAGGAAGGAACTTCCTCAATCTTATAAAGGATATCTATGAAAAATCCAAATCTAACTTCATACTTAATGGCAAAAACCAGAGTGCTTTCTCCTTAAAATTAGGAGCAAGACAATGATGTCTGCTTTTGCTGCTTCTATTAAATATTGTACTATAAGTTCTAGTCAAAGCAATTGCCAGGGATATTAAAGATTGAAAATGAAGCAGTAAAACTATCTCTCGTTAAATACATGACCTTGCATATAGAAAATCCTAAGGAATACACATAAAAACTAGAACAAATAAACAAGTTCAGCACGGTTGTAGGATACAAAGTCAATGTTTCAGATATACTAGTATCTTGAATACATAAAAGGCTCCCAAAACTCAATAGAAAAAAAAAATCAGTTACAAAATGGGCAAAAGACACAGTTTACTGAAGAGTATAGATAGATGGAAAAAGGCACATGAAGAGATATTCAACACCACTAGCCATCATCAAAATGAAAATAAAAGCCATACTGAGGTATCACTTCACACCTGTTTGGATGATTATATTTAAAAAGTTAGACAATAATATGTTTTAAAGAGGATATAAAGAAATTTAAACCCTTGTATACTTCTGGTAGCAGTGTAAAATAGTAAAGCTCCTTGTAAAATACACAGTTTATTAAAACATAGAGTTGCCATATGACACAGCAATTCTACTTCAACATAAGCACTCCAGATAAATAAAAAGTTATGTTCACATGGAAACATGTTATGAATGTTCATAGCAGGATTATTTATAATAGCCCAAAGTGAAAACAATCCAAAAGTCCCTCAAATGACAGAATGAGCAAAATGTGGTATACCCATACAACAAAATGTTACTTGGCTGGCCATACATAAAAAGGAATAAAGTCCTGATCTATGCAACAAATAGATGAACTTTGAAAACTTTATGCTAAGTGGAAAAAGCTAGTCACGAAAAATCATATAATTTATTTTATCTGAAATATCCAGAATAGAAAAATCTACAAGTGATAAAAAGTATATTACAGCAGGCGTGGTGGCTCACTTCTGTAATCCCAGCACTTGGGGAGGCTGAGGCGAGCAGATCACTTGAGATCAGGAGTTTGAGACTAGCCTGGCCAACATGGTGAAACCCCATCTCTACTAAAAATACAAAAATTAGCCGGGCTTGGTGGGACACGTCTGTTGTCCCAGCTACTCAGGGAGGCTGAGGCAAGATAATTGCTTGAACCCTGGAGTGAACCCTGGAGGCAGAGGTTGCAGTAAGCCAAGATGGCACTACTGCACTCCTCCAGCCTGGGTGACAGAGTGAGACTCCGTCTCAAAAAAGAAAAAAAAAAAGGTAGATTACTGGTTTCCTAGAGCTGAGAGGAGGTGAGTTGGTTGTGGGGAAATGGAGACTGCCCACTAATAAGTAGGTTTCCTTTGGAGGTTATGAGAATGTTCTAAAATTAGAGAGTAGTGATGGTTGAATAACTCTGTGAAGACACTAAAAACCATTGAATGATGCACTCTAAATGGATGAATTGTTTGGTATGTAAATAATATCTCAATGCATCTGTTAAAAAATAACAGTTCAGGTAGATTAAAATAGGCTATGATATATATGACAAAAGAAGATGTGAAGATTCTACTTAAGGCATTGATCTCTGTTCTAGTTCATTGAATATTTACTACCCATTTTTCTTTTCTTTCGGTTCTGCAGATCTATACCAAGCAATGATGGCAGTGGTTATGGTAACTTTGTAGGATAAACAGTCTACATAATGCTCCTTTGTGGGTCTGTGGTATTGGCTATTTTGAAACTCTACCAATTTCTGACAGATGAGTACTTGCAAACTTTAATTTTAAAATATCTTTAATAATAACTCACCTTTTCCCAAGTTTAATGTATTTGAGCCTTAATGAAATTATAGACATACAATGCAGCTTTTTTACATGTGAAAAACTATCTGGCAGGTGGTCTTCCTGATTTTCAGTTGAATACTTACTATCTGTTCAAAGTACAGAAGCTCATTCAGCCTACTCAGGAATTCATATGTCTTATCTCCATTTGAAGCACTACTAATAAATTATGAATTTAACAAGTTTCTGTGAGCCAAATTGTCTTCTTTAACTTATTTTCAGGGTATCTTTGGGAATACATTTCTGTAAGAAATGTTTCATAATCGGTAACTATAAAATTCTAACTCATATTGGAATCAGTATTCTCTAAAATGATTCCATGACTGTTCCCCATGGGCCATGGCATTCTGTGAAGGGGCTGGGTTTCTGCTGGACTTCTCAGTAGGCCAATGTATATTGAGATTCTTCAGAATGAGGATAAAATGTGTGTCACAGTTTTAAAGCACATAAGATTTAGAGTTGGAAAGATCCATGGTCAAATTCTAGTTCTTAAACTCACTAATTGTGACAGTTTACAATTAAAACTTAGTTACTTTGTCTGTTAAATTGGGAAAATAATGATACCTAAGGCATATGTATTATGAGAACGAAATACAACAATACATTTGTCCGCTCAGGCTGCCATAATAAAATACCATAGACTGGATGTTTCAAACAACAGAAGTTCACTTTTTCACAGTTCTCTAGACTGGAAGTCCAAAATCAAGGTGCTGGCAGGGTTGATGTCTGCTGAGGGCACTCCCCTGGGGTTGCAGAGTCCTGACTTTTGGCCATGTCCTCTTCTGACCTCCTCTTTGTCAGTGTGCAGAGAGTGAGGGAGTGAACACTTTGCTGATTTTCTTATAGGGACACTAATCCTATTAGATCAGGGCTTCACCCCATGACCTCATTTAACCTTAACTACTACTTCCCTAGAGGCCCCCCTTGAAATACATCCATATTGAGGATTAGGACTTCAACATATAAATTTTGATGGGACACAAACATTCGGTTCATAATAAATAATATTTAGAATGTACTTACAGTTCCTGGCACGTAAGTCCTAAATTAAGAGCAGTTTTCATAATTATCATTATTGTTATCACAATTTTCATTATTACTCTTAATAATACCATTCACACAGGAAAGACTATATATACATATATATCCCAGAAATCCTATCCTTCAAAATAAATTAGTAGGTGGCAAGTTTGATGGTTCTGGAGTTAGGCAGACCTGGATTCCAGTCCTAGCTCCACCACTGACTATTTGCAGAAGAAGCATTCTGAGCCTCAAATTCCTCATCTATAATAATGGAGTAATGATTGTCCCTCATTCATAGGCCTATTAAGAGGACTAAACGAAAAAACTTACGTAAGTGCTGAGAGAAATACCTGACAAACAGTGCTCAATGATGATAGCTTTTACTATCACAGATACAACTTTGGTAAATTTCTACAGTGAGTCCTTGTAGGCACACCTCTAGGTTTATTTCCAATTCTTTACATTGGAGAAAACTGAGAATTTGATTCTAAGTACTGGAGGACATATATATAACTCACTCTGCAGCACCAATGCATTTTTAAATGAAAAATGCAAAACACATCCTTACTTTTTGTTGTCCAGTGTCAGATAACTACTCTTTCTGAGTCTGACTCAAATTGCTTCTAAAATGCAAGTTAAGTGCCATACCCTATGCCTAGTATTAAGCATGGCACATATCCTTTACACCTGCATCTGATCAGAGCTACTACAGAAGTCTCTAAGCTCTTGGAGACCAGGGCTATAACTACTCTCATATTTGAAAAGGAACTTTCCATTGCTTCTTATAGTAGAAAGCAGGGTGGTAAGGACTAATAGCTTTCATAAAATGGCCATTTTTTTTTTCCTGGTAAAGTTATCTTCTTGCCTCTCAGACAACACACTGTCTGTTGCAATACGTATGGTTTTCACATGGCTTTTTCTTATCTATGCTGAAAGTTTTCACATCTCTTCTGGCAAACATAAGCCTGTCAGAAAGTCTAACAAATGAATCTACCACATACAGATCTGTCCAACTAGATATGTCAACAGGATTATATCCATCAGATTAAGTGTACCAACAAATATTTAAAATGCTTTCCTGTTGCCCATGTTTTCCTAATGCTGACCTCTAGGCTCAGTCCTGCCAATCTGTGGAGTAGATGACCATCTGCAATTCACTCTGCTAACAGGTAGATTCTGGTAATTTTCTTATCTAGACTGCCCATCGTCAGTTTCCAATACATTATTTTAGATAAACATAGCCTGGGCATTATACTTTCTTAGTATACTCATTAGACTTCAGTCTGAGTGTAAAGAATTCCTAGATGTGCTAATGGCCCCTGGCCCCTACACCCACACCCACCTTTCCACCAACAAGGAAAGAAGTCATAGCTCCAACTATAACCAAGTTCGTCAGTCCTTTAGTCATTGGAAAATATATTCATATTTATGTTTTAAGATAGTAATTCTATTTCTGCTTGATTGTTCCATTGTTTATATCAATGATACCCCTCACCCCTGCAAAAACGCTGCATCTATTAGTTTCAATGGATGTGGAATACACAGTTCCTTTAAGTACTTAGTAAACTTTGCGAATATTAGGTGCAGAGTTTGTGCTTCCATTATTCACTTTCTTTTCTTCTTAATATTCTGGACCTATTAAAATGCTGTTCAAAATCTGAAAAATAGAATAACTCTTTCTGTAAAAACTTACAACTGTGGTATTTATTAATATTCAGGGGCATGATGTTTCTTTTTCTTTCTTTTCTGGGATATTTTAGAGAGTGTTAATTCTTCATAAGGGGCCTATTATGTTTTTCAGGTTGTGAACTGCTGAGATTCTCGGCATCTTAAAAAGACACAGTAATCCAGGAACAAACAGATATTTAAAGAGAAGAATGCTTATTACACTGCCATGTGGCCACTGGGTACTCATTAAATATTAGTTGATGTTCAACAAATTGAGTGGAATGTAGTTAATTTCTGTATAAGGAGACTGCAAAGTAGAACTTTGGTTATGCTTGAAACTAAAAGAGAAGGTTTAAAAATGAAGAATAAAGGCCTTCTCATAAAAGTTAAATTGGTATTCTGGCTGTCATAAAATGCCATAGAGTATCATTGCGATTGTGACACGATACCAATCAAAATATGATATATAGACACTGGATATTTTGAAAAATATAGGGCTTGTCCAAAGTTGAAAAAAAGCCTTTTCTCATAATATTCTGATCACTTTAATCTTGCAGTTGATTTGAGGTAGGAGTAAGATGGTTAAAATAACTGATCTATAAATAATCTATAAAATTATGTGTTAGTAAATTTTCATTTCAGTGGAGCCTTAGCTACAGACAGACCGTTAAAGTGACTTGCTTCTGTAAGGATTTGTTTACGCCACAGACTGGTCATTGAAACTGATTAACCATTGAGCTAGTGTTCATGGCCTCATTTTTCCACAAAAATATAACTGCAATATGCAATGATTACATATAAAGTTATAATTGTAACTATCATAGTCTAATATCATGTATCCTCCTGGAGTACAAGGAACTTTTTGACATCTGCTTATTCCCTGTTTATATTCACAAAGCAAAAAAGGCCTGTAAATGACTTCAAGTACTATCCTTCTCTGTCTTCCTTAGGAAAGGCAGACTGCAGGTTTGAAAATGTTGCTTGTGTCATTATGATGAATGGGTGATACTCTCACTGTTGGGTACAAGGTTCTATATGTGCTCCTTAAATCAAACTTGTTAGATGTGTTGTTCAAATCTTCTGTATCTTTGCTATTGTAGTGCATATTCAGAGGAGACAGTGCTGTTGGTGATACCCTGGACATTTATCTCCCACCTTTGATCTACTATAGGTTCCTGCCTACTTTCCAAGCCTTATTGTCTACATATACTACCAATTCTGTTGTTTCTTGCATCTGAAACAAGAACCCTATGCAAACAAGAGAAATTGTTTCGGATGCAAAGAACAGCCTTTGAAACCAAGACTACATGGTAGATAGGAGATTTAGAGTAAAATGGAATAAATGCAAGCTTGTCTGCTATCACTGCTAAGGACAATGAAAATCCCATTATCATGAATGGATGGGCAGCTGGGTGCACATGACAGTTATGAAATAGAAAATTAAAGTATTCCCTGTGATAACCATGATTGAAGAACTGATTGAAAGCAAGTTTGAAGCAAAGGAGGGCTCCTTGTTTTTGCCATGACAGACTTGTCTGATGGGTAAAAATAATTCAAGGAATACAGCATAAGGTGGCTGTCTCTAAGGGCACTGAACGATTTAAAGAAAAAAATGACAGGGTCAAATCTGTACAATTTGGACAGGGATCCAAGATAGTTGATTAGAAGCAGCTGTGGTGCACAGCCCTCACAGAGAGGAATGAAAGGTGTGAGGGAATTCAGCACTTCCAACTGAGATATAGAGATTCTTGCACTGAGATTGACTAGGCAAACAACTTGACCCACAGATAAAGAAGAAAACTAGGGGGGTAGGCAGGGCTGGGGGACAGCCCACCAGAAGTGGCATGGAGCCAAAGGAATACACATCCCCAGTCAAGGGAAATGATGAGTGATTGTACCCCCCCACCTGGGAAACCATGCTTCTACAGATCTTTGCAACCCATTGATCAGGAGATCCCCTCAGGAGCCGTGCAACTAGGGCCTTGGGTCTGATACACACAGCCATGTGGTGTCTTGGCAGAGTAGTCGCTCAGGCACAAACAGAGATCCAGGAGTTTTACATACTCTGGCCCCAGGATTCTTGGTAAGGTAGGAAATATATTTGTACATATCCCTAGGAAGGGGGCTGAATCCAGGGAGCCAGGCAGAGTTATTTTGCAGGCCCCACTTCCACAGCACCTCACAAGTTAAAGCCCATTGGTTTGGAATCCCAGCCAGCCAATGGCAGTGGGTGGAGTCCGCCTGAGATGGGTCCAATTTCCTGGGGCAGCTTCCATTTCTGCTGTTGCATTGACTCACCTGCTCCAGCCTGCTGGCTGTGGATAACACAGATGGTCTGGATGAGGAAGGCTCCCTCACAACACAGCACAGCTGCCTTGCCAGATCATCACCAGACTGCCTCTTTAAGGAGGACCCTGATCCATTCCTCCTCACTTGGCAAGACCTCCCTGCAGGGGCTTCAGCCAGTCCAGCCAGGATTCTACAGACAGAGCTTTGATCTCTCTCTGGGACACGGCTCCTATGGGAAGAGGTGGCCCCCATCTCGCAGTATGGTTGACTCAGCCACTCCAGCCTGCTTGCTTTGGAGAATACAGGTGATCTGGACAAGGAAGGATCTCCCTCAGTGTAGCACACATGCTCTACCAAAAAGCAGCCAGACTACTTCTTTGGGTGGATCCCTGACCCCATTCCTCCTGACTGGGTGAGACCTCCCAATGGGGGTCTCCAGCCACCTCCTACAGGTGTGTATGGGCCAGCAACAGGTCAGTACCACCCTGGGATGAAGCTTCCAGATGAAGGAACTGGCTGCCATCTTTGCTGTTTTGTGGGCTTTATTGGTGATACCTCCAGGTATGGGAGAAACTGAGGCAACTGGGCTCTGTAGCAGACCCCCAGCAAACGGCAGCAGCCATGCGGTGGAGTGGCCTGACTGTCAAAAGAAAAACAAAGAAACAAAAAACAAGAACAACAACAAAAACATCAACAAAAAAACCCCACAAAATCCTTGTTAAAATGTCTACAACCTCAAAGATTGAAGGCTGATAAGCCCACAAAAATGAGAAAGAATCAATGCAAAAACACTGAAAACTCAGAAAGGCAGAATGTTTCTTCTCCTCCAAATGACTGCAACATATCTTCAGCAAGGACACAGAACTGGGCTAAGGCTGAGATGGCTGAATTGACAGAAGTAGGTTTCAGAAAGTGAGTAATAACAAACTTTGCAGAGCTAAAGGAGCATGTTGTAACCCCATACAAAGATGCTAAGAATCATGATAAAACAATACAGGAGCTGATAGCCAGAATAGCCAGCTTAGGGAGGAATATAACCAACCCAATGGAGCTGAAAAACACAACATGAGAACGTCACAATGCAATCACAAGTATCAATAGCAGAATAGATCAAGCAGAGGAAAGAATCTCAGAGCTTGAAGACTATCTTTCTGAAATAAGGCAGGCAGAAAAGAATAGAGAAAAAATAATGAAAATGAATGAACAAAACCTCCGAGAAATATGGAATTATGTAAAAAGACTGAACTTATGACTGATTGGGGTACCTGAAAGAGATGGGATGAATGGAACCAAGTTGGAAATCATCCTTCAGAGTACCATCCAGGAGAACTTCCCCAACATAGCAAGACAGGCCAACATTGAAATTCAGGAAATGCAGAGGACCCCAGTAAGACATTCCACGAGAAGATCAACCCCAAGACACATAATCATCAGATTCTCCAAGGCTGAGATGAAAGAAAATATGTTAAGAACAGCCAGAGAGAAAGGCCAGGTCACCTACAAAGGGAAATCTATCAGACTAACAGCAGACATCTCAGCAGAAACCCTAGAAGCCAAAAGAGATTGGGAGCCAATATTCAACATTCTTAAAGAAAAGAATTTCCAACCCAGAAATTTATACCTGGCCAAACTAAATTTCTTAAGTGAAGGAGAAATAAGGTCTTTTTCAGACAAGCAAATGCTGAGGGAATTTTTCACCACCACACCTGTCTTGCAAGAGGTCCAGAAGGAAGCACTAAATATGAAGGAAGGAAAAACAGTTACCAGCCACTACCAAAACACACTGAAGTACACAGACCAGTGACACTATGTAGCAACCACATAAAAAAGCCTGCAAAATAACCAGCTAGCATCATGATGACAGGATCAAATTCACAATACTAACCTTAAAAGTAAATGGACTAAACACCCCAATTAAAAGACACAGAATGGCAAGCTGGATAAAGAGCCAAGGGCTATTGGAATGCTGTCTTTAAGAGGCCCATCTCACATGCAAAAATTCACATAGGCTCAAAATAAAGGGATGGAGGGAAATTTACCAAGCAAATAGAAAACAGAGAAAAGCAGGGGTCATAATCCCAGTTTTGGACAAAACAGATTTTAAACCAACAAAGATAAAAAAAAAATGACAAAGAAGGGCATTACATAATGGTAAAGGGTTCAATTCAACAAGAAGAGTTAACTATCCTAATTATGTAGGCACCCAATATAGGAGCACCCATTTTCATAAAGCAAGTGCTTAGAGATCTACAAAGAGACTTAGACTCCCACACAATAACAGTGGGAGACTTTAACACCCAACTGTCAATATTAGACAGATCATCAAGACAAAAAATTAACAAAGACATTCAGAACCTGAACTCAGCTCTGGATCAAGTGGACCTGATAGATAGCTAGAGAACGCTCTACCCAAATTCAACAGAATATACATTCTTCTCATCACCACATGACACTTACTCTAAAATTGATGACATAATTGGAAGTAAAACACTCCTCAGCAAATGCAAAAGATAACTGAAATCATAACAGTCTCTCAGACCACAGTGAAATCAAATTATAAGTCAAGATTAAGAAATTCACTCAAAAGCACACAACCACATGGAAATTGAACAACCTGCTCCTGAATGATTCTTGGATAAACAATGAAATTAAGGCAGAAATCAAGACGTTCTCTGAAACTAATGAGAGCAAAGAGACAACATGCCAGAATCTCGGGGATACAGCTAAAGCAACATTAAGAGGGGAATTTATAGCACTAAATACCCACATCAAAAGCTAGAAATATCTCAAGTTAACAACATAACATCTCAATGAAAAGAACTAGGGAACCAAGAGCAAACTAACTCTAAAGCTAGCAGAAGACAAGAAATACCCAAGATCAGAACCGAGCTGAAAGAGATAGAGTGCATAACTGTTTGATGTTGGAGGAAAAGCAAGGATGTTGAAGGAGTCCCACTGATTACCTGAGGTCAGATACACACAGAGCCTGCCTAATATTGAGGCAGAATTCTTCCTACATGAGTCTTCTGAATATAGAGTGATAAGAACACATACATATATATGCACACATGTATATGTATACACATATGGGCCAGGCGCAGTGGCTCATGCCTGTAAGGTCGGGAGTTTGAGACCAGCCTGGCCAACATGGTGAAACCCCATCTCTACTAAAATTACTGAAAATTAGCCAGGTGTGGTAGCAGGTGCTTGTAATCCCAACTACTTGGGAGGCTGAGGCACGAGAATCACTTGAACCTGGGAGGCAGAGGTTGCAGTAAGCCAAGACTACACCACTGCACTTCAGCCTGGGGAGTCAGAGTGAGACTCTGTCTCAAAAAAAAAAAAAATACACACACACACACACACACACACACACACACACACACACACACACCATTGGGAAAGGGGACGGAAGCACAGAAAAGAACCCCATTATGGTGTAGAAATGCAGTGCTTGCTGAAATCTAATGAAGGAACAGAATACAGAAAAAAAAAAACAACTCTTTGACATTACAGGCTTCACACTAAAACAAAGTATGAACAGAATATCACTTCAAAAATTCATTGAAACCTGTAGTGCAACAAAGCTAAGTATAAAGCAAACTTGTATACAAATTAGGTTGATTCAACCCTCCACAATAACACCGTGACAGAATAAGACACTTTCACATTTCTGGGCATAACTATTATTTACTTTAGTCTCTGGTTTTGTTAAAAGTCTGGCATTCAATAAGAATTGTGAAATACAAAAAATATCAAACAAATATCATGTGTTACCAAAAGATAAAATAGTCAGAGGGAAAAAATTCAAATGTGGCACAGATATTGGATTATCAGATGGGACTTTAAAATTATTAAATAGAAATATTATTTGGCTAAAATGTTAGGGATAGATGACATGAAGAACAGATAGAGAATTTCAACAGATAGATAAAAACTATTTTTTAAAATCCTGAGATACTAGAAATAAAAATAGTCAGAAATAAAGAGTTTCATCAAAAACCTTATCAGCGCATAGTTTCAATACAAGAAAGGATCAACTAAACTGAATACAGTGCTATTGAAATTCACTAAACTGAAATACAAAAAGCAAAAATCATGAAAAATTGAATGAAACATTCAAGATCTATGGGACAATATATAACAATCTAGCATGAATGCAAAAAGAGTCCTTGGTGAAGAAAAGAGTGGGTAATAAGATATTTGAATTAGTAATAGTCAAAAAAAATTTTTTTAAATTATCGGCCAATAATAGCTCACATACTCCAGAAAATCAGAGAACCCCAAACAGAATAAATGAAAAGAAAAACAAATCTAGGTACACTTTAGTCAAAGTGCCAAAAATCAAAGATTAAAAAGAAATCCTGGAGGCAGCCAGAGAAGTCAGGAACACTCCATAGAGATGAACAATGATAAGAGGTATGGTTTACTTCTCATGAAAAAGACTGAAAGCCAAAAATAATTGAGTGACATGCATAGTGTTGAAAGATAACATACACGTGGCTGAAATAGTCTTTCAACATGAGTTTTGAACGTGAGTTTTCTTCTGGCTCCTGTTTCAGATGTAGAAAGCTGAATAGAGCATTACTCCTACATAGATGACAACAACAAAAAACACACTGTATAATCTAAAAAGTCAGAACTTTTCTTGAACCCATCAAAGAGTTGTGGTCACAGGAAAAACAGCTAACCCAAAATCTAAGAAAGACAAGTACAGCCAAAGAGAGATAAGACATAGTAGTTGCTACCTTGGAGAAGATGACAGATTCCATACAAACTGCTAATAAAAATTTAGGTAAATGTTTAACAAAGGCTGCTAAAGGTTGAGCTTGGGCTAGAAAGAATACACAGAACTCCTATGAACCACAGACACAAAGGAGGTTTTCAACCACTTGCAGATCCTTCCTCAGAGATTTTACCCAGTGCTCAAAGGATCAGGGACAGGGCAAGAGATCTGAGAAAACCTCCTTGTGGTGCAGTTTTGGGAGGAAGGAACAGCAACTATTGCTGGAAAAGTACAAAGCTTCACCTGAATTACTCTTCTCTATCTTTCCAGAGAATAAAAGGCTTACATTTCGGAGGAAGGGGTGAATCTCCCTTAGGGTACAAATGAAGACCCACACAAACTGAAACAACCAAGATGCCACTCAACTGAGTAATGGATAAACTATAGTATAGGCATACAATGGTATACTTCCCAGCAAAAAAGGAACAAGTGGAATTGATACAGCAACAACATGGATAAAACTGAAATGCATTTTGCTAAGTGATAGAAACAGACTTAAGTAGTCACATGCTGCAGATTCCAGTTGTATGACTTTCTTGAAAAGGTAAAACTATAGAAAATAATACAGATCAGTAGTTGCCAGGAATTAGGGGTGGCAAGATAAATTGACTACAAAGGGGCACAGGGTAATTATGAAAGCTGATAAAATTGTTCTCTATGTTGATTGTGGTGATGATTACATGATTATAAGCATTTGTCAAGGCCCCCAAAACTGTATGATAATTAGGGTGAATTTTGTTGTATGTAAATTATACCTTGTAAAAGCTGATAAAAGAAAACATTAAGTAATTTAGGTAAAATAAATAAATTTTAGATAGAAATAAATAATTCCTTTTATTAATGTAAACTAAAAGGAATTATAAAACAAGTACTGTAGGCTAAAGGGATATACAGTCATGTGCCACATGACATTTGATCAACAATGGACCACATGTATGAAGACATTGCCATAACATTATAGTGGAGCTGAAAATTTTCTATTGCCTAGTGACATCATAGTCATTCTAAATGCATTACTGAACTGTTTGTGGTAATGCAGGTATAAGCAAATCTACTTCACTACCAGTCATATAAAAGTATAACACATGTAAGTACATACAGTACATAATACTTGATAGTGATAATAAATGACTGTTACTGGTTTTTGTATTTACTATACTTTTAATCATTATTTTAGAGTGTACTCTTTCTACTTATTAAAAAGAAGTTAATTGTAAAACAGCCTCAGGCTGGTCCTTCAGGATGTGCTCCAGAAGAAGGCATTGTTATCACAGTAGATGACAGCTCCATGCGTGCTGTTGCCCTTCAAGACCTTCCGGTGGGACAAGCTGTGGAGGTGGAAGACAGTGATATTGATTATGTTGGCCCCGTGTAGGCCTAGGGTAATACGTGTGTTTGTGTCTTAGCTTTTAACAAAGGAGTTTAAAAAGTAAAAAAAAAAAAAAAAAGTGAAATATTAATTTTTTTAAATCAGGAAAAGCTTATAGAATTATGATATAAAGAAAGAATATTTGTGTACAGCTATACAATTTATTTGTGTTTTAAGCTGAGTGTTATTAAGAGTCAAAAGGTTAAGAAATTAAAAAGTTTATAATGTAAAAATGTTACAGCAAGTTAAAGTTTCATTATTGAGGAAAGAAAAATCTTTCTTTGTTGAAAAAAAATTGTTTTATAAGTTTAGTGTGACCTAAGTGTCCAATGTTTATAAAGTCTACAGTACTGTATAGTAATGTCCCAGGCCTTTGCACTGACTTACCACTCACTCACTGACTTACCACTCACTCACTGACTTACCCAGAGCAACTTCCATTCCATTCCTGCAAGCTCCTTTCATGGTAACTGATTATACAGGTGTACCATTTTTATTGTTTATACCATATTTTAACTGTACACTTTCTATTTTAGATACACCAATACTTACCATTGTGTTCCGATTACCTACAGCATACAGTACAGTAATATGTTGTGCAAGTTTGTAGCCTAGGAGTACTAGGCTATACCATATGTCCTAGGTGTGTAATAGGTTATACTATCTAGGTTTGTGCAAGCATATTCAGTTATGTTCACACAATAATGAAATTGCCTATGGACTCATTTCTCAGAATGTATCCCTGTTAAGCAATGCATGCCCAATAACTGTTTTTTTTTGTTGTTTGTTTGTTTGTTTTGTATATTGACCAGAAATCCCATCGTCTACTTAAGTTAACTTATTAAGCTGTCAGTTTCATTTTTGTAGATTGCTTAGAGTTTCCTACATGAATAATCGTCATGTACATGAACGGAGTCTTTTAATTTTCTTAGGGTTAATCAATTAAAAACTACATGAGATCTAACTAGGTTTTATAAAAATCACTTTGAAGAATTAAAAGAAACAACAATCATTATCTCAAAGTGAGCAGAGTGTCATAATTCTCAAGTTGTAATACCTTACAATTTAAATAAGCATTATAATTTATTCTGGAAAAAACACCTTTAAAAATTTTTAATAAACAACAAACCCACAAAACGTCCTTGATATTTTTTCCCTGTCTTCTGTTTAAATTTTTGCTGTGTCATTTAAGACATGTATCTGGCCCAAAGTATATTTTCAGAATATTTTGGCTGCACTAGGAAATTATCTATGCAATCAAATAATTCATCTCCTTTTTTGATATTTTCAGCATTCCCTGATCTTGCCTAACATGGAAATGTTTCAACAGCAATGATATTATTGGGATTTATCAGTTTTCCTCTGAGATATTTAACAGGTCTATCAATATATCACATTTTAAAAGATGCAATGAACAGTAACTTGGAAAATGTACCTATACTTTAAAGGTTATTTGGAATTTCCAGTTGGATTACAAGCAATAGGAAGAGCTGACATATCTCCTACTTAAAAATCAAGATATCTCAAGGCTGGAAGATTGTGTTAATTAATTCTCATCTGAGGGCTTGAATCAAACCACAAACCTATCTACTATCAATTCAGCAATTACTAAGGCATTCTTAATTTTTATAAATTTAAGTATTCAAGCTCTAATTTTTGAGAATAAATTGCAATAATTAAACCAATTTAGCTTGTAAAAAGAATCCACCCATTAACCCTCGTTTTATCTATAAGAATTCCATAGGACATGGATCTTTTATAGACCTATCATGATATATAGCCATTAACATATTTATAAATAGTAGCTTTTACTTAATTACTAATTAGAAAAATATGTATTTTTGAACATTGAAATATTATAGTTAAAAACCATTTGCCATTATATAATGCCCTTACTTGTCTTTTTAGATCTTTGTCGGTTTAAACTCTGTTTTGTCAGAAACTATGATTCCAACCCTTGCTTTTTTCTATTTTCCATTTGCTTGATAGATTTTTCTCTATCCCTTTATCTTGAACGAATGTGTGTCACTGCATTTGAGATGGTCTCTTGAAGACAGTATTCCCCAGTGGGTCTTGGTTCTTTATCCAGCTTGCCACTCTGTGTCATTTAATTGGGTCATTTAGCCCATTTACATTTAAAGTTAGTATTGGTATGTGTGGATTTGATTCTTTCATCATAATGTTAGCTGGTTATTTCACAGACTTGTTTACGTGGTTGCTTTATAGTGTTTTTGTAGCGGCTGGTAAGGGTCTTCCCTTCCCATATTTAGTGCTTCCTTCAGGAGCTCTTGTAAGGCAGGTTTTGTAGTAACAAATGCCCTCAGCATTTGCTTGTCTGAAAAGGACATTATTTCTCCTTCATTTATGAAGCTTAGTTTGGCCAGATATAAAATTCTGGGTTGGAATTTCTTTCCTTTAAGAATTTTGAACGTTGGCACCCAATTTCATCTGACTTGTAGGGTTTCACCTGAGAATTTTGCTGTTAGTCCAATGGACTTCCCTTTGTATGTAACCTGGCCTTTCTCTCTAGCTGCCTTTAACAGTTTTTCTTTTATTTCAACCTTGGAGAATTTGATGATCATGTGTCTTGGGGATAATCTTCTTGTGGAGTCTCTTACTGGGGTTCTCTGTATTTCCTGCATTTGAATGTTGGCATCTGTAGCTAGGTTGGGGAAGTTCTCATGGATGATATCCTGAAATATGTTTTCAAAGTTAGTTCCATTCTTCCCATCTCTTTCAGGAATACCACTCAGTCATAGATTTGGTCTCTTTACATAATCCCATATTTCTCAGAGGTTTTGTTCATTCCTTTTGATTTTTTTCTGTATTCATATCTGCCTGTCTTATTTTAGAAGCAAGTTTTCAAGCTCTGAGATTATTTTCTCTGCTTGATCTATTCTGCTATTAATACTTGTGATTGCATTATGAAATGTTTGCAATGTGTTTTTCAGCTCTATCAGGTTGGTTACATTCTTCTCTATACTGGCTATTTTTTCTTTCAGTTCTTGCAATGTTTTGTCATGACTTTTAGTTTCCTTGCGTTGGGTTACAATGTACTCCTGTAGCTCAATGAACATCATACCTATCCATTGCCTGAATTCGACTTCTTTCACTTCAACCATCTCAGCCTCAGCCTGGTTCCAAAGCCTTGCTAGAGCAATGATGTGGTCATTTGGACGAAAGAAGGCACTCTGGCTTTTTGAGTTTTCAGCGTTCTTGCACTGAATCTTTTTTTATCTTTGTGGGCTTATCTACGTTCAATCTTAGAGATTTTTGACCTTTGGATTTTTTTTTCTTTTATCCTATTTGATGACCCTGAAGGTTTGATTGTGACATAAGGTGAATTTAGCCAACTGGCTCCATTTCTGGGTGATTTTAGGGGCCCAAAGTTCAGCTCCCAACTCCTGGACTGCATGCCCTAATTCTGGGGGCTTATTTTGGTCCCTGACATTGTTCTCTGGCTCCTCAAGGTTTGGAGTCCCCTGCACTGCAGGGACTGAGGTGTCACAACTGCAGCAGAGTGCTAGAGGATGCAAGGATGCTGCCTCCCTGCAAGCCTTCACCACAGTGGTGGAGGCAAGGCAGTTGGGGGGCAGATGAGTGGGCCTGCTGGAGACTATGCGCTGTCGCACTGGAGGTGGTATTGGCTAGGAGCTAGATGCTGTCTGGTGCCGGTCTGGGTGCCTACTCTGTGTCCCACAAGCAGGAAGGGTCGTTCATGATGTGGGAGGATTCTTTGTTCTCTGTGCAGTATTAGCTCAAGGACAGGATGTTGGTGAGGGCAGGGTTTGCTGGCTCTGTGCTTTCCAAGGCTACATCTGAAATGATGGTCAGGGAGTGGGGTGAGGGGGCATTACTGAACTCCCTCATGCTGGTAGGGCAAGTAATGCAAAACCCACCTGTGCAGATATGGACCAGCAATTGCTGTGGGCTCAAGGGAAGCTGCAGTATGCAGAAAAAGCTTTTGATAAAATTCAACATCCAATCATATTAAAAACTGTCAATAAACTGGGTATTGAAGGAACGATATCTCAAAATAATAAGAGCCATATATTACAAACTCACATTCAATATCATACTGAATGGGCAAAAGCTGAAAGCATCCCCCCTTGAAAACCAGCACAAGACAAGAATATCTTCTCTCACCACTCCTAGTCAACATAGTATTGGAAGTCCTGGCCAGGGCAATCAGTCAAGAGAAAGAAAAAAAGGGCATCCATATAGGAAGAAAGGAAGTCGAACTATCCCTGTTTGCAGATGACATAATTCTATATGTAGAAAAAACATAGTCTCAGCCCAAAAGTTTCTTAAGCTGATAAACAACTTCAGCAAAGTCTGAGGATACAATATCAATGTGCAAAAATCACCAGCATTCCTATACACCAACAACAGTCAAGCCGAGAGCCAAATCCGGAATGAAGTCCCGTTCACAACTGCCACAAAAATAATAAAATACCTAGAAATACAGTTATACAAGGGAAGTGAATGACCTCTTCAATGAGAACTACAAACCACTACTCAAAGAAATCAGAGAGGACTTAAACAAATGGAAAAACTTTCCATGCCCATGGATAGGAAAAATCAATATAATTAAAATGGCCATACTGTCCAAGCAATTTATAGATTGTATGCTAGTCCTACTAAACTACCATTGAGATTCTTCACAGAACTAGAAAATGTATTTTAAAATTCATATGAAAACAAAAAAGCCCAAATAGCCAAGGCAATCCTAAGCAAAAAGAACAAAGCTGGAGATATTATGCTACCTGATTTTAAGCTATACTACAGTGCTAAAGTAACCAAAACAGCATGATACTGGTACAAAAACAGACACATAGACCAATCAGAATAGAGAAACCAGAAATAAGACCACATACCTACAACTATCTGATCTTCAACAAACCTGACAAAAACAAGCAATAGGGAAATGATTTCCTATTTAATAAATGATTCTGGGATAACTGGGTAGCCATATGCAGATTGAAACTGGACCCCTTCTTTACACCATGTACAAAAATTAACCCAAGACAAATGAAAGACTTAAATATAGAACTCAGAACTCTGAAGACCCTGGAAGACAGCCTAGGCAATACCATTCAGCACATAGGCATGGGCATAAAGATTTCATGAAGAAGACACCAAAAGCAGTTGCAACAGAAGCAAAAATTGACAAATGGGATCTAAGTAAACAAAGGAGATTATGCACAACAATAGAAAATATCAACAGAGTAAACAGACAACATATAGAACAGGAGAAAATTTTTCGCAAACTATGCATCTGACCAAGGTCTATTATCCAACATCTATAAGAAACTTAAAAAATTTACAAGAAAAAAACAAATCACCACATTAAAAAGTGGGCAAAGGACATGAACAGACACTTCTCAAAAGACATACATGTGGCCAACAATAATATGAGAAAAAGCTCAACATCACTGATCATTAGAGAAACACAAAACCACAATGAGATAACAATTAACACCAGTCAGAATACCTACTATTGGCTGGGCACAGTTGTTCACCTGTAATCCCAGTACTTGGGGGGCTGAGGCAGGTGGATCACTTGAGGTCAGGAGTTTGAGACCATTCTGGGCAACATGGTGAAATACCATCTCTAGTAAAAATACAAAAATTAGCTGGGTGTGGTGGCATGCACCTGTAATCCCAGCTACTCAGGAGGCTGAGGCAGGATAATCACTTGTACCTGGGAGGTGGAGGTTGCAGTGAGCCAAGATCATTCCACTGCACTCCAGCCTGGATGACAGAGTGAGAGTCTGTCTCGGAAAAAAAAAAAGGCTATTATTAAAAAGTCAAAAAACAACAGATGCTGGTGAGGTTGTGGAGAAAAAAGACCGTATGTGCGCTGTTGGTGGAAAATTAGCTCAGCTTTTGTGAAAGACAGTGTGGTGAATCCTCAATGACCTGAAGACAGAAAAACCATTCAATTCAGCAATCCCATTACTGAATATATACCCAAAGTAATATAAATTGTTCTATTATAAAGACACATGCACAAGTATGTTCATTGCAGCACTGTTTACAATAGGAAAGACATGAAATCAACCCAAATGCTCATCAGTGATAGACCGGATTTTAAAAAAATGTGGTATATATACACAATGGAATACTATGCAGTCATAAAAAAGACAAGATCATGTCCTCTACAAGGACATCAATGAAGCTGGAGGTCATTATCCTTAGCAAACTAACACAGAAAACGAAATATTGTTCTCAAGTATAAGCAGGAGCTAAAGGATGAGAACACATGGACAGATAAGGTGAACAATGCGCACTGGGGCCTATTGGACGGTGGAGGGTGGGAAGAGAAAGAGGATCAGGAAAAATAAGGAGTACTGGGCTTAATCCCTTTGTGATGAAATAATCTGAACAACAAATCCCCATGACACAATTTTACCTATATAACAAACCTGCACATGTGTCCCTGAACTTAAAGTAACAATTAAAAAAAGAAACATAGGGCCAAAAGCAATCTACAAATTCAGTGAAATTCCCATCAAAATACCACCATCATTCTTCACAGAATTAGAAAAAAAAATTCTAAAATTCATATGGAACCAAAAAAGAGCCCACATAGCCAAACCAAGACTAAGCAAAAATAATAAATCTGGAAGTATCACTTTACATGATTTCAAACTGTACTATAAGGCGATAGTCACCAAAACAGCATGGTACTGGTGTAAAAATAGGCACATGTATCAATAGAACAGAATAGAGAATGCAGAAATAAACCCAAGTACTTACAGTCAACTGATCTTCGACAAAGCAAACAAAAACATAAAGTGGGGAAAGGACACCCTTTTCAACAAATGGTGCTGGGATAATTGTCTGGCCACATGTAGGAGAATGAAACTGGATTCTCATCTCTCGCTTTATACAAAAACTAGCAAAAAATGGATTAAGGACTTTAAGACCTGAAACTATAAAAATTCTAGAAGATAACATTGAAAAAACCCTTATAGACATTGGCTTAGGCAAGGATTTTATGACCAAGAACCCAAAAGCAAATTCAATAAAAACAAAGATAAATAGCTAGGAAATAATTTAACTAAAGAGCTTTTATATGGCAAAAGAAACAGCAGAGTAAACAGACAACCCACAGAGTGGGAGAAAATCTTCACAATCAATACATCTGATGAAGGAATAATACCCAGAATCTACAATGAACACAAACAAATCAGCAAGAAAAAACCAACAATTCCATCAAAAACTGGGCTAAGGACATGAATAGATAATTCTCAAAAGAAGATATCCAAATGGCCAACAAATGTATGAAAAAATGCTCAACATCACTAATGATCATGGAAATATAAATCAAAACCACAATGCAATACCACTTTACTCCTGCAAGAATGTGCATAATAAAAAAATAAAAAATAGTTGAGTTTGGCATGGATGTGGTGAACAGGGAACACTTCTACACTGCTGGTGGGAATGTAAACTAGTACAATCACTACGGATAACAGTATGAAGATGCCTTAAAGAACTACAAGTATAACTATCATTTGATCCAGCAATCTCACTACTGGGTATCTAACCGGAGGAAAATAAGTCATTCTATGAAAAAGATACTTGCACTTGCATGTTTATAGCAGCACAATTCGTAATTGCAAAAATATGGAAGCAACACAAATGCCCATCAATCAATGAGTGGATAAAGAAATTGTGATATATATATATATGATGGAATACTACTCAGCCATAAAAAGGAATAAATTAATGGCATTCACTGCTACGTGGATGTGATTGGAGACTATTATTCTAAGTGAAGTAACTCAGGAATGGAAAACCAAACATTGTATATTCTCACTCAAAAGTGTGAGCTAAGCTATGAAAATGCAAAGGCATAAGAAAAACACAATGGACTTTGGGGGGAAAGGGTGGGAAGGGAATGAGGGATAAAAGACTACAAATAAGATTCAGTGTATACTGCTTGGGTGTTGGGAGCACCAAAATCTTACAAAGCACCACTAAAGAACTTACTCTTGTGACCAAACACCACCTGTTCCCCAATAACCTATGTAAATTTAAAAGTATATATTTTTAAAGTTAAAAAGTATATATAAAGAAAGAAGGAAAACTTTAAAATAACCTGTCATTCTGATAAACAGTAATATCTGCTCAATATTTTAATAAATTTCAAATATTTGTTTCCAAATTTTTCCTGTATACATATGTTTTCATGGGATTTGAATTATACTGTACGGTTTTATCTACATCTTCCACGGAATGTTGTGATCATTTTCTCATGTCATTTAATATTATTGTAATGATTGCATACTTCAGGTGTCTCTGTGTGTGTGTGTGTGTGTGTGTTTGTGTGTGTGCACACCATGCACAATCTATTATTTTAACATTTTATCTTTCTTATCTAATATTTAATTGGTTTAAATTTTAAATTCTAAATCATCTGAATGATTATTTGGGTTATTTTTCTCTACTAGTCTCCTTTAATCTAGACTTCTGCATGTGCTCTTACTCTCATTTTCTTGCCCTTTCTCTCTCATGTTAGTACTTAGAGTATTACTGGTTATATAGTAAGTAAATAAAATAATGTATGACCTATCATTAAATACTTATTCAGCCTATCTTATTTTATTCAACTCAATCCTTTCATATGCTCTGTATTTTGAACACTTTAGGTATCTTTCTGCTTGAGTTAGTCAAGCAACCAACCTATCTTATGCCTTATGTCCTAAAATCCCACTTTATTTCAGTACATCTTGACAATGTTCAACTTTGTCCCTAAAGGTGGAAGCCACTCAATGAAAGGTTGGCACTGTCATAAGATTACATTGCCCAGTCCATGGAACAAAAATATGTGTGTCTATGAGGTGCATTAAAGAAGAGCAAACTGGCTATTTGACTACTTTTTAAACACACTAATCCTGCCCTCACTCCAGAATGACGACTTGGCCATTCTGACCAATGCTCTTTATGACACATCACCAAGGAAGCAAAATGTATGGAGACAAATCTAACAAAATCCCTTTAAAAAATCAGAAAAGAAAAAGCATACAGAAAGAGAAAGAACAACCCGGAAACTACCACCACAGATGATTTAAGCCCATAAGAGGAAAGGAGAGAAGAGAATAAGACTGGTCAATGCTGACAAAGCAGTAAAATCACAGCCTTCTGTCCATTGTTTTTCCATTTTCCATAAAACGATGACTTTAAAATGTTATTAATCTCATCCAAAGACACTCATTCATTTGCCACCCTTCTCCCTTTGTCTTCATTTCCAAAGACTCTTTCTTCCTTACTCATCTTTTGTAAAAAACACTCAAAATAATTCCAGTCCCAAATGTTGAATCATCCCCATGATTCAAGTCTTCCTGGATAAAGTCCCAGACACAGTGGAGCAGAGAAAGTTGTCTCTTTAATCCAGTTCCCAATTTCTGACATACCCTGCCTCTAAGCATGAAAAAAAAAATGATGGTTTTAGGACACCAAGTTTTGGCGTGATTTGTTATGGAGCAATAGATAACTCATAACATTTTCTTGTCGGTATCCCTGTATTAACTGTGAGTTCTGTGTTTCCTTTACAGTTGGCATCATACTATAGATAACAAGAACTGGGATGATGATGATGATGATGATGATGATGGTGATAGCGGAAGCAGAAATATGTTTGCCTTTCATTAAACGCTTCTTGAGTTCCAGAGACTTTGCTAATGGATTCTCATGTACTATCTCATTTAATCTTGATAACAAATATTTAAGGTATGTCTTTTATTATTATTATTATACTTTAAGTTTTAGGGTACAGGTGCACAATGTGCACGTTAGTTACATATGTATACATGTGACATGCTGGTTTGCTGCACCCACTAACTCGTCATCTAGCATTAGGTATATCTCCTAATGCTATCTCTCCCCCCTCCCCCGACCCCACAACAGTCCCCAGAGTGTGATGTTCCCCTTCCTGTGTCCATGTGTTCTCATTGTTCAATTCCCACCTATGAGTGAGAATATGTGGTGTTTGGTTTTTTGTTCTTGCGATAGTTTACTGAGAATGATGATTTCCAATTTCATCCATGTCCCTACAAAGGACATGAACTCATCATTTTTTATGGCTGCATAGTATTCCATGGTGAATATGTGCCACATTTTCTTATTGCAGTCTATCATTGTTGGACATTTGGGTTGGTTCCAAGTCTTTGCTATTGTGAATAGTGCCGCAATAAACATACATGTGCATGTGTCTTTATAGCAGCATGATTTATAGTCCTTTGGGTATATACCCAGTAATGGGATGGCTGGGTCAAATGGTATTTCTAGTTCTAGATCCCTGAGGAATCACCACACTGACTTCCACAATGGTTGAACTAGTTTACAGTCCCAGCAACAGTGTAAAAGTGTTCCTATTTCTCCACATCCTCTCCAGCACCTGTTGTTTCCTGATTTTTTAATAATTGCCATTCTAACTGGTGTGAGATGAAATCTCATTGTGGTTTTGATTTGCATTTCTCTGATGACCAGTGATGGTGAGCATTTTTCATGTGTTTTTTGGCTGCATAAATGTCTTCTTTTGAGAAGCGTCTGTTCATGTCCTTCGCCCACTTTTTGATGGGCTTGTTTGTTTTTTTCTTGTAAATTTGTTTGAGTTCATTGTAGATTCTGCATATTAGCCCTTTGTCAGATAAGTAGGTTGCAAAAATTTTTTCCCATTTTGTGGGTTGCCTGTTCACTCTGATGGTAGTTTCTTTTGCTGTGCAGAAGCTCTTTAGTTTAATTAGATCCCATTTGTGAATTTTGGCTTTTGTTGCCATTGCTTTTGGTGTTTTAGACATGAAGTCCTTGAACATGCCTATGTCCTGAATGGTATTGCATAGGTTTTCTTCTAGGGTTTTTATGGTTTTAGGTCTAACACTTAAATCTTTAATCCATCTTGAATTAATTTTAGTATAAGGTGTAAGGAAGGGATCCAGTTTCAGCTTTCTACATATGGCTAGCCAGTTTTCCCAGCACCATTTATTAAATAGGGAATCCTTTCCCCATTGCTTGTTTTTCTCAGGTTTGTCAAAGATCAGATAGTTGTAGATATGCCGCATTATTTCTGAGGGCTCTGTTCTGTTCCATTGATCTATATCTCTGTTTTGGTACCAGTACCATGTTGTTTTGGTTACTGTAGCCTTGTAGTATAGTTTGAAGTCAGGTAGCGTGATGGCTCCAGCTTTGTTCTTTCAGCTTAGGATTGACTTGGCGATGCGGGTTCTTTTTTGGTTCCATATGAACTTTAAAGTAGTTTATTCCAATTCTGTGAAGAAAGTCATTGGTAGCCTGATGGGGATGGCATTCAATCTATAAATTACCTTGGGCAGTATGGCCATTTTCACAATATTGATTCTTCCTACCCATGAGCATGGAATGTTCTTCCATTTGTTTGTATCCTCTTTTATTTCATTGAGCAGTGGTTTGTAGTTCTCCTTGAAGAGGTCCTTCATGTCCCCTCTAAGGTGGATTCCTAGGTATTTTATTCTCTTTGAAGCAATCGTGAATGGGAGTTCACTCATGATTTGGCTCTCTGTTTGTCTGTTATTGGTGTATAAGAATGCTTGTGATTTTTGTACATTGATTTTGTATCCTGAGACTTTGTTGAAGTTGCTTATCAGCTTAAGGAGATTTTGGGCTGAGACAATGGGGTTTTCTAGATATACAATCATGCCGTCTGCAAACAGGGACAATTTGACTTCCTCTTTTCCTAATTGAATACCTTTTATTTCCTTCTCCTGCCTAATTGCCCTGGCCAGAACTTCCAACACTATGTTGAATAGGAGTGGTGAGAGAGGGTATCCCTGTCTTGTGCCAGTTTTCAAAGGGAATGCTTCCAGTTTTTGCCCATTCAGTATGATATTGACTGTGGGTTTGTCATAGATAGCTCTTATTATTTTGAGATATGTCCCATCAATACCTAATTTATTGAGAGCTTTTAGCATGAAGGGCTGTTGAATTTTGTCAAAGGCCTTTTCTGCATCTATTGAGATAATTGTGTGGTTTTTGTCTTTGGTTCTGTTTATATGCTTGATTACATTTATTGATTTGCGTATATTGAACCAGCCTTGCATCCCAGGGATGAAGCCCACTTGATCATGATGAATAAGCTTTTTGATGTGCTGCTGGATTCAGTTTGCCAGTATTTTATTGGGGATTTTTGCATCAATGTTCATCAAGGATATTGGTCTAAAATTCTCTTTTTTGATTGTGTCTCTGCCCAACTTTGGTATCAGGATGATGCTGGCCTCATCAAGTGAGTTAGGGAGGATTCCCTCTTTTTCTAATGATTGGAATAGTTTCAGAAGGAATGGTACCAGTTCCTCCTTGTACCTCTGGTAGAATTCGGCTGTGAATCCATCTGGTCCTGGACTCTTTTTGGTTGGTAAGCTATTGATTATTGCCACAATTTCAGCTCCTGTTATTGGTCTATTCAGAGATTCAACTTCTTCCTGGTTTAGTCTTGGGAGAGAGTATGTGTCGAGGAATTTATCCATTTCTTCTAGATTTTCTATTTTATTTGCGTAGAGGTGTTTGTAGTATTCTCTGATGGTAGTTTGTATTTCTGTGGGATCGGTGGTGATATCCCCTTTATCATTTTTTATTGCGTCTATTTGATTCTTCTCTCTTTTCTTCTTTATTAGTCTTGCTAGCGGTCTATCAATTTTGTTGATCCTTTCAAAAAATCAGCTCATGGATTCATTAATTTTTTGAAGGGTTTTTTGTGCCTCTATTTCCTTCAGTTCTGCTCTGATTTTAGTTATTTCTTGCCTTCTGCTAGCTTTTGAATGTGTTTGCTCTTGGTTTTCTAGTTCTTTTAATTGTGATGTTAGGGTGTCAATTTTGGATCTTTCCTGCTTACTCTTGTGGGCATTTAGTGCTATAAATTTCCCTCTACATGTTGCTTTGAATGTGTCCCAGAGATTCTGGTATGTTGTGTCTTTGTTCTCATTGGTTTCAAAGAACATCTTTATTTCTGCCTTCATTTCGTTATGTACCCAATAGTCATTCAGGAGCAGGTTGTTCAGTTTCCATGTAGTTGAGCCATTTTGAGTAAGTTTCTTAATCCTGAGTTCTAGTTTGATTGCACTGTGTTCTGAGAGATAGTTTGTTATAATTTGTGTTCTTTTACATTTGCTGAGGAGAGCTTTACTTCCAAGTATGTGGTCAATTTTGGAATAGGTGAGGTGTGGTGCTGAAAAAAATGTATATTCCATTGATTTGGGGTGGAGAGTTCTGTAGATGTCTATTAGGTCTGCTTGGTGCAGAACTGAGTTCAATTCCTGGGTATCCTTGTTGACTTTCTGTCTCGTTGATCTGTCTAATGTTGACAGTGGGGTGTTAAAGTCTCCCATTATTAATGTGTGGGAGTCTAAGTCTCTTTGTAGGTCACTCAGGACTTGCTTTATGAATCTGGGTGCTCCTGTATTGGGTGCATATATATTTAGGATAGTTAGCTCTTCTTGTTGAATTGATCCCTTTACCATTATGTAATGGCCTTCTTTGTCTCTTTTGATCTTTGTTGGTTTAAAGTCTGTTTTATCAGAGACTAGGATTGCAACCCCTGCCTTTTTTTGTTTTCCATTTGCTTGGTGGATCTTCCTCCATCCTTTTATTTTGAGCCTATGTGTGTCTGCATGTGAGATGGGTTTCCTGAATACAACACACTGATGGGTCTTGACCCTTTATCCAATTTGCCAGTCTGTGTCTTTTAATTGGAGCATTTAGTCCATTTACATTTAATGTTAATATTGTTATGTGTGAATTTGAACCTGTCATTATGATGTTAGCTGGTTATTTTGCTCGTTAGTTGATGCAGTTTGTACCTAGTCTCGATGGTCTTTACATTTTGGCATGATGTTGCAGCAGCTGGTACCGGTTGTTCCTTTCCATGTTTAGTGCTTCCTTCAGGAGCTCTTGTAGGGCAGGCCTGGTGGTGACAAAATCTCTCAGCATTTGCTTGTCTGTAAAGGATTTTATTTCTTCTTCACTTATGAAGCTTAGTTTGGCTGGATATGAAATTCTGGGTTGAAAATTCTTTTCTTTAAGAATGTTGAATATTGGCCCCTAATCTCTTCCGGCTTGTAGAGTTTCTGCCGAGAGATCTGCTGTTAGTCTGATGGGCTTCCCTTTGTGGGTAACCCAACCTTTCTCTCTGGCTGCCCTTAACATTTTTTCCTTCATTTCAACTTTGGTGAACCTAACAATTATGTGTCTTGGAGTTGCTCCTCTTGAGGAGTATCTTTGTGGCGTTCTCTGTATTTCCTGAATTTGAATGTTGGCCTGCCTTGCTAGATTGGGGAAGTTCTCCTGGATAATATCCTGCAGAGTGTTTTCCAACTTGGTTCCATTCTCCCCGTCACTTTCAGGTACACCAATCAGACGTAGATTTGGTCTTTTTACATAGTCCCATATTTCTTGGAGGCTTTGTTCATTTCTTTTTATTCTTTTTTCTCTAAACTTCCCTTCTCGCTTCATTTCATTCATTTCATCTTCCATCACTGATACCCTTTCTTCCAGTTGATCGCATCGGCTCCTGAGGCTTCTGCATTCTTTCAGGTACACCAATCAGACGTAGATTTGGTCTTTTTACATAGTCCCATATTTCTTGGAGGCTTTGTTCATTTCTTTTATTCTTTTTTCTCTAAACTTCCCTTCTCGCTTCATTTCATTCATTTCATCTTCCATCACTGATACCCTTTCTTCCAGTTGATCGCATCGGCTCCTGAGTCTTCTGCATTCTTCACGTAGTTCTCAAGCCTTGGCTTTCAGCTCCATCATCTCCTTTAAGCACTTCTCTGTATTGGTTATTCTAGTTATACATTCATCTGAATTTTTTTCAAAGTTTTTAACTTCTCTGCCTTTGGTTTGAATTTCCTCCTGTAGCTCGTAGTTTGATCGTCTGAAGCCTTCTTCTCTCAACTCGTCAAAGTCATTCTCCATCCAGCTTTGTTCCATTGCTGGTGAGGAACTGTGTTCCTTTGGAGGAGGAGAGGTGCTCTGCTTTTTAGAGTTTCCAGTTTTTCTGCTCTGTTTTTTTCCCCATCTTTGTGGTTTTATCTACTTTTGGTCTTTGATGATGGTGATGTACAGATAGGTTTTTGGTGTGGATGTCCTTTCTGTTTGTTAGTTTTCCTTCTAACAGACAGGACCCTCAGCTGCAGGTCTGTTGGAGTTTGCTAGAGGTCCACTCCAGACTCTGTTTGCCTGGGTATCAGCAGGGGTGTCTGCAGAACAGTGGTGTTTCGTGAACCGCGAATGCTGCTGTCTGATCGTTCCTCTGGAAGTTTTGTCTCAGAGGAGTACCCGGTCCTGTGAGGTGTCAGTCTGCCCCTACTGGAGGGTGCCTCCCAGTTAGGCCGCTCAGGGGTCAGGGGTCAGGGACCCACTTGAGGAGGCAGTCTGCCCGTTCTCAGATCTCCAGCTGCGTGCTAGGAGAACCACTGCTCTCTTCAAAGCTGTCAGACAGGGACATTTAAGTCTGCAGAGATTACTGCTGTCTTTTGTTTGTCTGTGCCTTGCCCCCAGAGGTGGAGCCTGCAGAGGCCAGCAGGCCTCCTTGAGCTGTGGTGGGCTCCACCCAGTTCGAGCTTCCCGGCTGCTTTGTTTACCTAAGCAAGCCTGGGCAATGGCAGGCGCCCCTCCCCCAGCCTCGCTGCCGCCTTGCAGTTTGATCTCAGACTGCTGTGCTAGCAGTCAGCGAGACTCGGTGGGTGTAGGACCCTCAGAGCCACGTGTAGGATATAATCTCCTGATGCGCCGTTTTTTAAGCCCGTCGGAAAAGCGCAGTATTCGCGTGGGAGTGGCCCGATTTTCCAGGTACCCTCCGTCACCCCTTTCTTTGACTAGGAAAGGGAACTCCCTGACCCCTTGCACTTCCCGAGTGAGGCAATGCCTCACCCTGCTTCGGCTCCCGCACAGTGCGCTGCACCCACTGACCCGCGCCCACTGTCTGGCACTCCCTAGTGAGATGAACCCGGTACCTCAGATGGAAATGCAGAAATCACCGGTCTTCTGCGTCGCTCACGCTGAGAGCTGTAGACCGGAGCTGTTCCTATTCGGCCATCTTGGCTCCTCCTCTAAGGTATGTCTTATAATCCGTATTTTATATCTTAGGAAACTGAGGCTTAGAGATGTTGTATTATTTGCCGTGTTTGCTAATGTAAACCATACATCCCTTTTCATCATAGATCTTTCATTCTAGACAAAAATGTATATGCAATATTTAGAACAAAAATTAATACATAATTTCTGATTATGGCAAGTGCTATTAAAAAACTATCGTGATAATGTGATAGAAAGCAACAAGGGCAGAAGAAAGTGTGGAATTTACAGAGAAAGTTCGGTAATAAGCAGTCCTTAGAAAGTGATACTTGAACTGAGAGCTGACAGAAAAAACGGATTCAGCCATGTGAAGGGCCAAGGGAAAAGTGAGTTAGTACAAAGTCACTGAAGCAGCAAAGAGCTTAGCCCATCTGGATACAGAAATCAGGCTTTGGGATTAGAGCTTAGTTACCTGGGGGAAGGATGATACTAAATGCTGTGGGTATGGTTGGCAGGAAAATCTAAGATATGGTAAATCTTGTATTGAGAATTTTGGATTTATTTCTAATTGAATTGATAAGACTTTGAATGTTTATACAGGAGAGCATTGCAAAACAAGATTTTTATTTTTAATTTATCCTTGGCTGCTATCATTAAAAGAATGCAGGTTTATGTTCTAAACAAGTACAAAGCTTATTCTCTTATCTGGAATTATTCATTATTCTCCTGGCATTTATCATTCATCATAATGCAAGCAATTTCCAACAATTACTCCTGCTGGGTGTAGCCCACACATAACTTTCCAATGTCAGAGAAATATTTTCAAACTATTTTATGATCCTACTCTGCTTTTCTGACACACCCTTAGATAGGTAATACTGCCTTCACAGAGAACAGTACATACACTAGGCATAGATCTCCTTTCATTTTAGGAAATGCCATTCTAGTCACACTCTGTCATCCATTCACTCTAGAGATATTTATTGACAATCTAAAATGTGCCAGGCCTTCTACTAGGTAAACAGGAGAGAATAAAGGGACATGGATCCTATTTCATGAAATTTACAGTCTGCTGAAAAAAAAAAAGAAAGCATGTAAAACCACATACACATGCACACACTCACACACACACACACACAGTATCTTAAATTTGAGAAAACGAACAAAGTATACTGTGAGAATAACAAGAGAAAACATATTTAACTGGTAGGGTAGGGTAAAAAAATGCATCTTTGGGAAATTATATCTAAGTTGAAGGCTACGCAGATACAGGGCATGACGAAATAGCATTCTTGTTAAAGGGAACATCATATAACAGATCCTGAAGCATTTGAAGAACTCAAAGACAGCTCACTGTTTTAGCACCTAACAAACAAGGTGGTACACCATGATATTGAAGAGGAAGCAGAGCCAGATCACGTTGCACTTTGTAGATAATGTTTAGGATTTGTAAAGTTTTTGTTTTAAAAGCATTTTATTTTAAGTGCAATGATATTCTCACAGAAATTGTAAGATGTTGGGGATTTTAAGAAAGGAACTGAAACTCCCCAACTTTAGCACAAACCATCCTCACTTTGCGGGTATAAACTGGTTATAGTGAGATCTGCTTCCCTGGTAGCTGCATACAGATTTACATTAAATGTGCAATCAGTGTAGTGAAATCTTCAAATTAACACCAAACTTTAATAACAGAAGAAAAAGAAACATGTTATTGGGGAAAAAAGATGAAAAATTGGCAAGTAAACTGAGAAGAAAGCTTATTTTTATCTCTGTGTTTTCTCTGATAGTTTCTTATTTAGTTGTAAACTAATAAGTAGTTAATATGAATAGCTACCATTTAATAAGTCCTTAATGTATCCCCTTTTGTCTGATCTACAACTGTATAAGAAATATAATGTCAGCACAATTTCATGGAAGAAGGCATTAAAGATTATCCAAAATATCAAAGATACAAATGATGGTGCCAGGAGACAATGCTTCCTTTAGAGCCTTCAAATTTCCAGGCCAATTCATGAACAAATATTTTCGGTTTTACTATTTCTAACTCTGGAATAATTTAGAACTTCCACCGAATTTCTTTGTAAGCTTAAAGCTTAACTTTTTTTTGAGCTTACAAGACTTCCTCTTATTCATCTTTTCTCGGGGAATTAAAGAGTTTGAGGCTGTTCATCTCAGCGTTTTTCCTATTCTTGCAATTTTCCGGGTCAAGGTATCATGGAAACAGAACCTCAGTGTTATATTATTTGGCAGCCTCTGGAGTGAACGTACAAGGGCATCATCAACAGAGTCCATTGAGGAGTAAAGATGAGTCTCTGGTGTCCCAAGCCACTAAGGATCACTATTCTCTTCATTTAAACTCAGTTCTTTGTCTCACGTCGACTTCATATACAGCTCTCCTCAGCAAATTGCAGGGTCACCACGATTTCCTGATTCACCCTTAATATGCAGCCTATCACTAAATATATGAACAGGGCCACTGACTAAACAAGGAAAGGATGTCACTGACCAGGTCCTGTTAATTTTTTTTTTGAACTAAAGCCACATATATTTCCCTTCAGAACTTAGAGTTGTCTAGATGGAGAATTCTGAGTATCAACTCTAGTCCTCCCCAGCCACTCAACACTCACACAAAGTCATTGGTTGTTATTCACATATTTACTCAGTAAGTCTTGAATTTAAGGACAAACAGGCTCACATGTCTTAACCTCAATAGCTTGATGATTCTAAGCAGTTATCCACTTTGAAAGTGTTACTTAGACAAGTGTCACATCTATAAATACTCACACAATAAAAATGTAAGATTCAGTAAGTAATGGTGCCACATTTTCTGTATGGAAAAATGGTGATATTCAAAGCAGCTCTGGGGAGGCATGGAGGCCACCCACAGATGAACACAGATCAGAGACAACAAGAATTCCAAATATCGACCCAGATACCCTCTTCTTCCTGTTCTCACTCTACTCATGGATAGGTTTTCCTGAGTGAGCACTGATAACAACTTCACAAACCAGAAGTTACTTTGAACATGAAATCACGCAAAAAATCTCCACACTAACATCAGTATAAATATAAAATAAATAAATGAGGTGGAGGACAAGATCGAATTAATCCTCTAGAGTCCTTAGAATAAATCCCCACTACAGTTGTTCCCGTAACAGCTTCCCAGATCCCTTGTTTCCTAAATGTTCTGCTGTTGCCACAAAGCCTTTGGAAAAACACTCTAGAGAGGAAATCTCAGCTCTATTGCCATTATTCTTGCTTTAAATTCCCATTAATATTTTTATCTGACTGACAGTTTCTAAGTAGTCTCCACAGTGTCTTACTACTACTTGATTACTTGCATTCTCTCTCAGAAAACACGCAAAGACCCCATAGGGTAAGGTTCTTAATATTTCATAACCCCTATGAGACTTTGAACTTAACTTTTCATAGAGGTATCCATTATACAGGGAAAATCCATTGTCAGAGAAGAAATAAGTCCATCTTGAGATTATTGTGTAGACTTTCTCCAGAGCCTCTCATTTTCTCCTTCCTGAAGCAAAATAACAATAATACAAATAGGAGCTACCGGCCAGGCGCAGTGGCTCACGCCGGTAATCCTAGCACTTTGGGACGCCAAGGTGGATGGATTGCCTGATCTCAGGTGTTCAAGACCAGCCTGGGCAACACGGTGAAACCCCGCCTCTACTAAAATACAAAAAATTAGCTGGGCCTGGCGGCGTGTGCCTGTAGTCCCAGCTACTCGGGAGGCTGAGGCAGGAGAATTGCTAGAACCTGGGAGGTGGAGGTTGCAGTGAGCTGAGATCACGCCACTGCACTCCAGCCTGGGTGACAGCGTGAGACTCCGTCTCAATAATAATAATGATAATAATAAAATAGAAGCTATCTTTTCTGCAGCGGTGGCCACCTCTCCTCAGAGTGCAGATAGCATCAGGCTAAGCTTCTTCGTCTGCCTTGGCCTCAAATACTGGGCTGGCCTGGAAATTCCTAGTCCCCAGATGAACCAGATATCTTCGTAAGTAGTCAGGTGTGTTATATTAGCAGCTAAATTAAACTTTTCATCTCTCTTCTCTTCATCCAGAAATAGAAGTTGCAGGTATTAGATTTAGACAATTGTTTATTCCCGATTTCCTCTCTGTAACACCTGCTTTCTTTCAGAGCATGGGTCAGCAAGCTGTGGTCTGCAGGCCAAATACAACCATGCCTATTTTATAAATAAAATTTGATTGGAACTATACCACTCCCATTGATATACATGCAGTCTGTGGATTTTTCTCAATACAAGCACAGAGTTGAATAGTTGTGACCATATGATCTGTAAACCTAAAATACTTACCGACCAATTCTTTAGAAAAAAAAGTGTCCTGATCCCTACACTAGAGGATTTTTGTATCGTTTAAAATCTTTTTCCTCTTTGCATTGACTCCCTAGCAATCTGGTACTCTTCACTGCTCAGGCTAATTAAGCTTTCTCTACTCAGCAAATTCCTCCAGAGTTCTAGCCAACTTTGTGTTTTTTGACTTCTGGAATCCAACTAGTCAGCATGAACAGGGACTTCTCATGTTCTAAGAAGATAACCTTATTAAAGGAACCCCAAATAATAGCCTGCATCAAACTAAGATGTAATCCCTAAATCCCTTACACCTCTGATGTCCTTGTATTCCATAATACGAGGTTAATTGAGATACAATTCATGTTCCAAAAAATTCACCCATTTAAAGTGTACAATTCAATACTGTTTAGCATACTCAGGGATTTGTGCCACCATCACAGCAATCTAATTTTAGAAAATGTTCATCACCCCAAAAAGAAACCCTGCCCTCTTTAGCAGTTCATCTCAAGTAGCCTACAGTACCCTAAGCCATAGGCAAACATTAATCTATTTTCTGTCTCTCTATTTTGCCCATTCTGGACATTTTACATATATGCATTCATATACAATAGGTGGTCTTTTGTGACTAGCTTCCTTAGCATAATATTTACAAAGTTTATCCGTGTTGTTGCATGTATCAGTATTGCATTTGTTTTTATGTATGGCTGAGTAACATTCCATTGCTAGAGATACACTACATATTTTTCACCCATTCATGGGTTGGTAAATATTTAGGTTATTTCACTTTTTAGATTATTATGAATAATGTGGCTATGAACATTTGTGTATAAACTTTTATGTGGACATACATTTTCATTTCTCTTGGGTGTATACTGAGAAGAGAAATTGCCAGGTCATATGGTAACCATATATTTAACATTTTGTGGAGCTGCCAAAATGTTTTTCAAAGTTGCTACATTCCCACCAACAATGTAGGAAGGTTCTATATTTTTTCCATCCTTACCAACATCTATCATACTATTGCTTAAATCTTTCTTTTATTATAGCCATCCTTGTGGGTATAAAGTAACATCTCATTGTGGGTTTGACTTGCATTTCCTTAGTGACTAATGGTTCTGAGCATCTTTTCCTCAATACCATTGGTCAAATGCTTATTGGCCGTTTTAATTTTGTATTTGGAGAACTATCTACTGAAATTCTTTGACTATTTCTTAATTGGGTTATTTCCTCTTTTACGACATTGTGAGAGTTCTTTATATGTTATGAGTATAAGTTCATGATCAGATACATATTTGCAAATATTTTCTCTCATTCAGTGATGTATTAGGCTGTTCTTGTATTGCTATAGAGAAATACCTGTGACTTGGTGATTTATAAATAAACAAGGTTTAATTGGCTCACAGTGCTACAGGCTGTACAGGGAGCATGATGCTGGTATCTGCTCTGCTTCTAGCGAGGCTCCAAGGAGCTTTTTTACGCACAGTGTAAGGTGAAGTGGGAGCTGGCATCTCATACGGCAGAGAGCAAGCAAGAGACAGAATTGGGGCAGGGAAGATGCCACACACTTGTTAACACAGCCATATCTCATGAGCACTCACTATCTTGAGGTCAGCACCAAGCTATGAGGGATTCACCCCCATGACCCACATACCACCCACCAGGTCCTACCTTCAACATTGGGGATTACAATTCATCATGAGATTTGGCGGGGACATATATTCAAACTATATCAAGTGAGTTGTGTTTTTTACTCTCTTGACAGTATCTTTTAAACTGCAAAAGTTGTTTTAATTTCAGTAATGTCCAATTTATCTATGTTTTCCTTGGTTGTTTGGGTTTTAGGTGCCATATCTAAAGAACTATTCCCTAACCTATGGTCATGAAGATTCACTTCTAAATTGTTTTCTAAAATGTTTAAGTTTAAACTCTTATATTTAGGTCTTTCATCCATTTTGAAGCAATTTTTGCATATTGTGTGAGGCAGGTTTTTAATTTCAGTCTTCTGTATGTAGATATTCATATGCGGCAGCATCATCTATTGAAAAGCCTGTTTCTTCTATTGATTTTTTTCTATTGAAAAATCTTGGCACCCTTCTCCAAAATGAGTTGGCCTTAAATGTGAGGATTTATTTCTGGACACATAATTCTATTCCATTGATTTATAATGTGTCTGAGATGTGAGTTCTCCAAATTTTTTTTTTCAAAATTGTTTTGGTTATTCGGCATCCCTTGCATTTCTATGAAAATTTAAAAAATTTTAAATCAGCTTGTCAATTTCTGCAAAAGATCCAGTTTTAATTTGATAGGTTTTGCTTAACATTATGTTTTATACGCTGTCTTTGAAACTTAAGATAACTTGCTGACATAATACATATGTCATACTGGATAACTGATGGGGTCAGCTACACGAAGCAGAAAATATAAATTTTGCAAAGACTGTCTGGGAAGGGAAATGTTGAGACCTCTGAGTACCACAGAAAGATTCTTGCTACCTAGACTGCTAGGAGACTACTCTAGAATCACTCCATTAGTCTAGGAAAATCTTATTTCAACTTAACCAATTTATCATGAGACATTCCTTTTCTCTCTAGCATCTCACACTGTCACTTTACTACTACACTGCAGTACAAATAATAGCATTAGCTGCTGCATACAGTGCCAGTCATTGCTTAAAATACATTATTTGTGCAACGTATTTAATGCTTACAATTATATTATTGGGTAAGCTATGTAAGTTTTGCTATATCAATAAAGATATAAAAGGTCAGAGGATAACAGCTTTTATTTAGGTAGAAAGTATTAGAAATAGAATTTGGACTCAAACTCAGCTACCTCTTAAAGTTAAGCTCTTAATCAGTATTTACAATTTCTTCCCACAAAGTAGCCAGTTAATAAATGTCTTTAGAATAAATAATCAATCAAGACTCAATCAGGTTTCTGTAGTACCAATAATTTGTGCTGCCTTTCTAAGCTTTCAGAGTGACTGTGACACAGAAAATATAAATCCACAAATTTAATGTAGTTAGAGACCTGAAAGGCCTACATATCATTTACAAGAGCACCTAGAAGTATTTATCACAGTAAAATTATGTAATGTATTGGATGTGTTTCAAAATAATCTATGGAGACTAAAATTAGAGAAGGGTGATAATGAATCAAGGTATGTTGAAAAGCATTGCAGATAGTGATTGATACAATAGATTCATTGTATTATTTTATCAGCTTTTGAAGATCATGATAATGTTCACAGGAAAAGTTATTTTTTATTAAAATGTCCATCCCACCCAAGGCTATTTATAGATTCAGTGCAATTCCTATCAAAACTCCAATGTCAGATTTCACAGAAATAGAAAAACAATCCTAAAATTCAAATGGAACCAGATAAGCTGCAGTTTTACAAGCTTTTATTTCAAATGTCCTTGGCTAAATAATGTCTCTTACAAAATTAGTAACCCTGAGGAAAAATAAAATAAAATAATACATAAATCAAAGTAAATACATGAATAAAGCCAACAATAACACAAAATTATTTATGTGAAATATATTTAAAAGTGATGATCCCAACATCCTAGGTCATTTTAAAGATTCTAGTTTTTTCTCTTCTGCTTGTAAAGGTCATAGCTGCCACTGGGTCACATGGCAGTGCAAACCAGCTTCAGCCATGTTCTAGGCCCAGAATCATTTCTCTCTGCTGTTGTTATGAGCTGCTTATCAACCTCTGTGTGATAAAAATCATTTTATTGATGAGTCTGAACTTGACAGAGTTCAAGCTTTAATTTTTTCCCAATGTTTCCATCAACCATGCTCTGTGAAACCCTCCTTTACTTTCTTTTAACTACTGAAATGGCCATGAGAATGTTTCTCATAGACTTTCAGCTGCAGAGGACATAACAGACCAAGAGCCTCAGGTGCTGTCATTTGAAGTCCATTAGCTTTATTCTGAAGCCAGGCTTTCCACAGGCTGCTCTCACCCAATGATGCAGTGCAGGAGGAATACTAAAGCAAGTCCATTCTTGGAAGACATGGAACTCATCTGATTGGCAACTTTGGCTCAAGGACTCTCCAAGCCCCATGCTGAACCTTCCCTAGACTTCATAACTGATTATGATATTTCCACCTAGCCTTCCTCTCCTGCCTCCTTCACTAGCAGTTAGTACTGCATTGTCATATGATGCCTTTGTCTCCCAGCTTTGCCAGGCTTCCTCCCCAGTTTCTCTCACAGGTGCTTCCCATAATACAATTCTACTTTGTTTTATTTTTTGAAACAGAGTCTCCCTCTATTGCCCAGGCTGGAGTGCAGTGGTGCAGTCATGTCTCACTGCATCCTTGACCTCCCGGGCTCCAGCGATCCTCCCACCTCAGCCTCTCAAGTAGCTGGCACTGCAGGTTCATTTCATGCCACCACACCTAGCTAATTTTTGTATTTTTGGTAGAGACAGAGTTCTGCCATGTTGCCCAGGCTGGTCTCAAACTCCTGGCCTCAAGTGATCTGCCCACCTCGGCCTCCCAAAGTGCTGGGATCACAGGCATGAGCAACTGTGCCTGGCCACAATTCTTGCTTGTTTAATCACCTTGGCAACTGATTCTTGGAGGACTGCTATTAACACAGCTACATATTGGACACATTCTGTAACTTCCAGTCACTTTTAAGTATAAACTCTTTTAGACTTATTTAGATCTTTTGTCTTGTGTGATATTTAATGTTTATCTCTTTCACCTCAGACTTCTGAGAAAGAGGCTTGAGTAGAGAAGGGGTTGTAGCTCTTTAGTTCTCAGGCTGCTTTTAGAGCCCCTTTCTGCTGTACCCTTTCATTAAATATTGACTTTAGCTCAAGGGTCTCTGTTGTAAGTGTAAATTAGGTTCATGTGAGCTCCTTGAGGGACTTCACCCAATGCAAAGTTCTTTCAAAGGGAAGATCTCATTCTAGTTTAATTTCTTTCCACTCTTTGCCACAGCTCCCGCCTCTGTTGATGGAACTGTTACCAGATAGGCATCGCAGTCCAGACCCCAAGAGACAGTTCTCAGATCTTGTGCAAGAAAGAATTCAAGGTGAATCCACAGAATAAAGTGACAACACGTTTACTAAGAAAGTAAAGGAATGAATGAATGGCTGCTCCATAGACAGAGAAGGTCATTCCCAAAAGCAGGAGGAGGAATGAATGCACCTTAGGTACAATGCTTGTTTATATATAAGATAACAGAGCAAAAAATCATGGGGGAGATGTGCTCCACTGCAAGGGTTTGTGACAAAGGATTGTTAATCTTTGTGTAACCACTGTCTTCTGTAAGAATCTGTATGATTATCTTTAAAACGAAAGATTCTTAGGCTAAGAATGCATTTGTTCTTAAGATATCAGGGCATCAGGACATTTCCTGGGTGTGAAATTGGCTGGGTCTGTTAAGTCCAGGGTCTCTTCAGTAAACATTATTAACTTGCTTCCTTAACTGTAAATACCCTGTGACTAAGAATGCCTAAACTCTTGGGAATGCATATACCAGTAAGTCTCACTCGCATTTTACCAAGGCCCTAATCGAGATAGAGTCGTTCTGGTTCAAATGTCTCTGACAGAACTGTTATCTCAAGAAACAGTCTTCCTGGGTGAGGAGCCTGCAGACCAGCTCAAGGTCACCTTCTTCCAAGATCCAATGGACCCACAAAACCGCGCATGTTTTTGCATCACCAGGCTGACTGCTACAGGGCTGTCCCAAAAGGTATATATGTCAGTCAGATCAGCACATCACTTCCTAAGAACACTTCCAAAGAGAAACTAAATGTCAGTCTCCCTTTCTTTCAGACATTCTTCATCTCTTAAACCATTTTCTCAGAACCACATTCACTCAGCTTGTGGGTGGGAAACAGGCTCTTCCTCTCTCACAGCAGGAAAGGGTATCGCAAGCCACTCACTCCCTTCTTGACTCTTCCAGAGGACTTCAAACAGGTTCTCTGAAAAATCTGATGACTCATTAGTTATCTCATGTAAGCAGGGTAAAGGACATAAAACCCGACAGTTTGAGTGGAAGAGTTAATCTGACCCAGTCTGACTAAGTCCTGAGAAGATGACTGGTCCCAATTACTTTAGGCTTTCTTTAGAACATGGGGATTGTTTGAGACTTCTTTGACATCAGTTTAAATTCCCATATTTAATTTCCAGGAATTGAAAAAATTCATGAAATATTCTGTGACACTAATTTGCTCCCCTACAAAGCTCAGATTCAACCCCCTTTCATAGTGCACCCCCTTGTAATACCGCTGACATTTAACACCATATCTCTGGCCTTTAATTCTACCTTGATGCAGTTCACAGGGGTTCTCTTTAATAACATAGCTTCTGGATCGGCCACTCCTCTGGTCTAACCCAGGAAATGGATGGAGAAAACTTAGAAGTTTGCTAGCATGAACGTACTTCCTTCATTAGTATTTGAATGAGACTTGAGTGATTATTAGTTCATCATTCCCTATCCATTTTATTTGTCTTGTATTTCATCAAAATTTGACAGCAGAATTATTTTCAAATTCAGACATATTTGCCTTACAACACCCATGCAATATTTTCAAATATCCGTTCTACTACCATAACAAATGATTTTTCTGTCCCAGGTTGTTCTGAGTGCCCCAGTTACTGCTTCAGGATTATTTTTTTAAGGAAAAAATGTTTGTTGGGTTGCATGATTCTAACACTAAATGGGGCTCTCCCCTTTCTTACATGCTATTTCTCAGTCATCAGTGTGTCCTGAAAGGTTGTTGTGTCTTCTATACATGGAACGTTTATTGCAAGGGGCCCAACTCTCACAGAAACAGGTGAAGCAACAGGCTTAGCCGCATCTCACTGCTTATCAAGACCTGCTATCTATGTCTATAAAGAATACTGATTGCTATTATACTCCATCTGGTCTCAAATATATTTCCCTTATTTCTATTCTTCCCAAAATTGGTAATTATTTACCTTTTAATGATCATTTAGAAATACTATAATTCAAGAATCTAAAAATTCACTTTTATTCTATCAGACTTGAACTCCTAACATGTATATAAAATGATAATGTAGGGATGTTGGAAGTCCTGAAGAGGAAATGAAGAGACAGGCTTTCTACTAAAGACCATAATTTGTGCCCCTTATCATTCACTGAGCTCCTGTCATCCTTCCCAATACATGAAATTTTCTTCCAATCGAACCTACAAGTGAGCACCCCACTTAAGTTTAACTTCAATAGGAAACCAGTGAAGTGAAATTTTCACAAGCAGAAAGAGAGCAATATTCACAACACAAAATGAAAGAGAAAGAGATTTTATAGTTATGGATGCCGTACTTCATGCCACTAGTTTTATGAACATTTTAGGATAGAAACTTTTGTCCCTGGTTGAAAAATTACATCTCTATAGACATTTTAGAATAAATTTTAGTTACCAGATTTAGTTCTAGACTGATAGTTTTCTTCCTTTCTTTTGTTTGTTTGTTTGTTTGTGATGGGGTTTTTCTCTTGTTGCCCAGGCTGGAGTGCTATGGCACAATCTTGGCTCACTGCAACCTCCACCTCCCAGGTTCAAGCGATTCTCCTGCCTCAGCCTCCCGAGTAGCTGGGGTTACAGGCACCCGCCACCATGCCCGGCTAATTTTGTATTTTTAGTAGAGACAAGGTTTCTCCATGTTCGTCAGACTGGTCTCAAAATCCTGATCTCAGGTGATCCGCCCACCTCGGCCTCCCAAAATGCTGGGATTTCAGGCGTGAGCAAACACACCGGCCAGTTTTCTTCCTTTCTAATGCAATCTTGAAAGACAGCATTTGGAGTCTTGCTCATGGTACACAGTAATATGGAATCTAATTTGTGACTGAATTCTAGTCACAGAGAGAAGCTTTGGCACAGGCTTTCCTCTCTATGCATTCTAGGAGATGTCTTGCAAGACCATATTGGCTGTCTCACCTATTTGCTCCTGAGACACAGCTCATTCCATGTCAGCCTTTTCCCTTTTAGAAACACTCTGGAATAGTGTTTAGTGGAGCCGGAATATTCCTCAGTCAACAACACGTTTATTTCTTGCCATAGGCATTCTGGAGTCTTCATTGAATTTTCCTTAACTTGTTGCCTTGCATAGCTTAATTTCTAATGTTGAAAAAATACAAAATTGTAATGGACCCAAAAATTTATCTTAAACATAACCAAAAGGAAATTATCAGATAAAAATAAAGACAGTAGGAAAGGGAGGGAGAGTTAGGGAATGATAAAGGTCACATCGAAACACTAACAGACAGTGACACTGACAAAGAGAAGCTGCAGGGCCAGAGAGGTAAAGGATTAGTCCCTGATGCAAGAAGAAAAACATCCTCCTTTGATGCTTCAGTGATCAGTGGGTGATGCATCTCAGTGCGTCCGGCCCAGAAGGAGTCTCATTGTCACTGTTCACCTGTGACTTTTCTTCTTGAGTTTCATCACTCTTCCTGTCAATAACTACATCTCTGTGTGTGTATTGCAGAGGGGGAGAAGGAGTGTCAGCTTAGTATTTCAAGAAGAAACCACTTCCTATATATTTTTCCACAGGTTTCAAATATACTGACAAGAATTTCCACTTGCCTAATTAGTTCAACTTCAACATAATATTTATTATATCTTCTCTAACATATTATTTTAGGATGCATGTATACTAAATATGGTACAGTTTTATTTTCTTAATATTTTATCTTTGTAATCTTCCCAGGGTCTATATTTCTTTAGGAAGCATAATAAAAAATGACTATACTTACATTTACTGAGTCTGTGCCCACTGCCAGGCACTCCAAGTAGTTTACAAGCATTGTTTTGTTCAATCCATAATGTAACTTTATGAAGGAAACAATATTTATTCCATTTTATAAACTGCAAAACTAAGGCACAGAGGACAAAAAAAAGTCGCAAATAACGTTTTAGAGTTTGAAATGTTTTCGCAAGGTTTTCTAATTACCTGTACATTTTTTGATACACAGACTTATCTCCTAAAAAGCAATTATTTAAGTTTACTTTTCCTTTTCTTAAGAAACTTGAAAAAGTTTACTTAAGCATATTTCCTCAATCTCTAGTCTATCTCACATAATTAAGACACTTTTGTTCATATTAGCTAAGAAATTCTAAAGCTTAATAAAATGCATATGTACATTTATTATCCCCAGATCTTGGGGAATTCACTTGAAATCATGTCCTCTAAATTAATGTCCTCATCTTCAGATTGAAACCCCTAATAGCCACAAAAAAATAGCACGAAATACTAATGTAGACAATGGACAAAGCCATCTGCCCAGTGCAGAAACAGAGTAGGTCAGAGAAGGGCGAAATGAAGTTTCTCTTTTCAGTACTGAGCGGTGCCTGGTCATCCAGACCATAGAGGAACTGGAATCTGGGTCCTCCTCATATCTTTTCATCCTATTCTCACTCTGCTTCAAATCCTGACATTCCTGATTAAAATTCACTTAATAACAACACCACACACATTTTTTCCATGATTATACAGCCCGTGGAGTAAAATATTTACCATATAACTAGCACTAACTGAACAAACTCATCACAAATCCAGGAAAGGGTAAAAGCAAGAAACAGAAATAATACAAGAAAGACATCAATACTGACACTATCTCTTACTATAAAGGGGAAACAAAAACACCAAAAATGTGATATCATTTCTGAAATGTATGCTTCCCCTGTCTCTTGCAGGTAAACAAAACAAAACAAAAATGAAAAATATATACGAGTGGGAAGCACAGCTCAACTATACTAGAGATAGGCACCTTCTGTTTATTATAAGAAAATATGCTCCTATTTACAACTCCTACTTCCTACTAAGACATCTACGACATCTCAGATCCTCCTGCAACATTGTGTTATTTTTTGTTAGGCTTATTTTCTCTTAGAAGATGTCTATTATGAAAATCCATTACTATAAGTTTGTTAATATTTTATGGTACACTAGAAAGGTTTACATTCATCATTCAACATAATGTGACACTGTGGAATGAATGGGCTCTCCTTTTGTGTTCCCCTTTCTCTGGCTTGTATTGCAAGTAAACAACGTCTGCCAAGTCTGCTACATACAGCTCTAGCAGGTAGCTAAGCTTTCCTCCTCTGTCTAGTTAGCAAATGGATCTGCATGTGTACATAATGGACTGTGGGTGGGTTTCCTGGTTCCCATACCTATAAGTGTTTACCCTCTTTCCATAATGTCCCTTATTTGCAGACAGTCCAAAATTGTTATTAATTTTTGCACACATTTGAGTGCTCAGAAATTTATTTTTCTCTCCAACAAAACTTGAACAGATTTATTTGGGGTTTTTCTCTGGAATAAGGTTTCTTGATGAAATTCCTCTTAACATTAAAAATCCTGTTCACAATGCAGGGCTTAAGCATAAAAAAAATATAGGCCCAAGAGTCTTATTAGAAAAGCAGGGGATTGAAGTAATTATCTCAGGAAAGCATGGAGCAGCTACATGGACAACACAGAAAAGCTCTTGAATACCAGTCTCTAGGAAATGTCACTCTGTTTAATTTCCCAGCTACCAGCTTTCTTCCCTCATTTCCAATCCATGGATCATTGTTTTCTGAGTAATCACTGGTGACTACTAGACAATGGAAAATCTGAGTAGGAATCCAGAATATTGAAACACACTGTTTTGAAAATGAATATAATTAGATGATAATACAAAGAGAGACTAACAGAAAGTAGTCGTTAAATTAGCATTATTGTTTAGAGCAGGGGTCCCCATACCCCTGCCATGGACTAGTACTGGCTCATGCCATTAGAAACTGGGCCGCACAGCAGGAGGTGAGCAGTGGGCAAGGAAGCATTACCACCTGAGCTCTATCTGCTGTTAAATCAGCAGAGGCATTAGATTTTCTCATAGGGGTAGGAACCCTATTGTGAACTGAGTATGCAAGGGATCTAGGTTGCATGCTCCCTATGAGAATCTAACTAATGCCTGATGATCTGAAGTGGAACAGTTTCATCCCCAAATCACCCGCCGACCCTCCACTACCACCATCCATGGAAAAATTGTCTTCCATGAAACTGGTCCCTGGTGCCAAAAAGGTTGGAGACCGCTGGTTGAGAGTCAGTTTCAAAAGCTACCTTATAGCCTTTCCTTGGGGTCTCTTGCTTTAAAAAGTAGATTCCATAGAGTGTTACTGCTAGGATATAGTCCATTTATACATATTTCCATATTTCATGAGGACTTAAAATCTTTTTGTGAGGGGCAGAGGGAGACAGGGTATCACTCTGTCACCAGGCTGGAGTGCAGTGGTAGGATCATAGCTTACTGTAGCCTCCAACTCCTGGGTTCAGGTGATCTTCCTACCCCAGCCTTTGAAGTAGCTAGGGCCACAGATATGTGACACCACACCCAGCTAGTTTTTGTATTTTTGTAGAGATAAGATCTTCCTACATTGCCCAGGCTGGTTCCAAACTCCCAGCCTCAAGTGATTCTCCTGTTTCCGTCTCTAAGTGTTGGGATTATAGGAGTCAGCCATGTGCCTGGCATTTTACATCATTTTAAAAGAACACTTCCTCTTCTCTGGTATTTCATGCCAGTTCTCCGGATCTAATATTCCTGAGATTTATAGCAGATTGATCGCAGCTAAGATTTTTAAATAAACCAGATTTTCTGGGTACTCTGATGTTAAAGCACACTCAGTTTAACTTGGGTTTGGAGATCTTATAGCTACCATACCCTATATGGCTCACCAAACAAAGAATGTGCTTGAAGTGAGGGAGGGGGGTTGAGAGAGAAAGGCAGATTGAAAGCGGGGGGAATTGTATTGGATGAGTGTCAAATCAAGAAATCAAGCCAGCTGTCCTTATCCAGCTTGTGAATACTCATATGGAGTCCCCTCCCTCAACTATTTGCCCACACTAAAACCTCTTTCCACATTCCCTAATTTGTTCTTTATTTTCTCTATTCTTTGATCTTAGATCAATGAATATCAACCTATCTTCTTTTCTAATATACACATGTAATGCATTTCTCTCTAAGAAATCTCTTAGCAGTAACCCACAAATTTCATATGTTGTTTTATTTATCATTCAATTAGAAATACTTTTAAAATTTCCTTGTGATTTCTTTGGCACAGTGGCTATTTAGAAATACGTTGTCTGTTTTCCAAACATTTGGGGAATTTTTAGGATATGTTAATGTTACTAATTTTAAAATCAATTCATGACATGATACAAAAGCAGCAAACAAAAATCAGTTGCAGTTATTTACACAAATAGCAATGTATCCGAAAAAAGAATTCAGGAAAACGATCTCACTTATGGTAGTATAGAAAAAAATAAAGTACTTAGCAATAAATTTAACTAATGAGGTGAACGATCTTCCTGTGCTAACCAAAGTTATATGCAATTCAATACAATCCCTATCAAAATTTCAATGATATATTTTACAGAAATAGAAGCAGCAATTCCTAAATTTGTATTCAACCAAAAAAGGCCTCAAATAGCCAAACCAATCCTTAGAAAGAATAACAAAGTTTGATGCATCACATTTCTGATATCAAATTATATCTACAAAACTATAGTAACTTGGAAACAATCAACAAAGTGAAGAGACAACCCACATAATGGAATAAAATATTTGTAAAGTACTCATCTGATATGATTTGGCTGTGTCCCCACCCAAATCTCATCTTGAATTGTGGTTCCCATAATCCCTACATATAGTGGGAGGGACCCAGTGGCAAGTGATTGGATCATGGGTGCAGTTTCCCCTACGTTGTTCTCATGATTGTGAGTGAGTTCTCATGAGATGTGATGGTTTTATAAGCAACTGGCATTTCCCCTACTAGCACTTCTTCCTCCTGTCACCTTGTGAAGAAGCTACCTTGCTTCCCTTTCACCTTCTGTCATGATTGTAAGTTTCCTGAGGCCTCCCCAGCAATGCAGAACTACGAGTCAATTAAACCTCTTTCTTTTATCAACTACCCAGTCTTGGGCAGTTCTTTATAGCAGTGTGAGAATGGACTAATACACCATCTGACAAGGGATTAATAACCAGAATATTTAAGGAGCTGAAACAATTCCATAGGAAAAAATCTAATAATTTGATCAAAAACTGGGCAAAATATTTGAATAGACATTTCTCAAAAGAAGACATACAAATGGCAAACAGGCATTCAACCTCAGACATGCAAGTCAAGACTACAATGAGATATTATCTCTCTCGAGTTAAAATGGCTTATATCCAAAAAACAGGCAATAAAAAATGCTGGCAAGGATGTGGAGAAAAGGGAACACTTGTACACTGTTGATGGGAATATAAATTAGTACAAAGATTGTGCAGAACAGTTTAGAGTACAACTACTATGGAGAACAGTTTGGAGGTGCCTCAAAAAACTAAATATAGAGCTACCAAATGATCCAGCAATCCCACTGCCGGGTATATACCCAAAAGAAAGGAAATCAGTATATTGAAGAGATATCTTCACTCTTATGTTTTTTGCAGCACTGTTCACAGTAGCTAAGATTTGGAAGCAAACCAAGTGTTCATTAACAGACAAATATACATATTTTAATGTGGGACATATACACAAGGAGTGCTATTCAGCCATTAAAAAGAATGAGATCCTGTTGTTTCCAGCAACATGGATGGAACTGAAGTTCATTATGTTGAGTGAAATAAGCCAGGCACAGAAAGACAAACACTGCATGCACTCATTTATTTGTGGGATCTAAAAATCAAAGCAATTGAGCTCATGGACATAGAGAGTAGAAGGATGTTTACCAGAGGCTGGAAAGGATAATAGGGGGCTGGTCAGGAGGTGGGAATGGTTAATGCATACAAAAAAGATTAGAAAGAATGAATATGACATACTGTTTCATCACACAATGGGGTGTTTATATTCAATAATAACTTTATTGTACATTTTAAAATAACTAAAGAATTGTAATTGGATTGTTTGTACTTAAGGGATAAATGCCTGAGGGAATGGATACTCCTTTCTCCATGATCTGTTTATTTCACATTGCATGCCTTTATTGAAACATCTCATGTATCCCACAAATATATGCACCTACTATGTACCCATAAAGGTTTTAAATAATAATAAACAGAACTATAATAATCACAACAGCATGGTGCTGGTATAAAACACACACATAGACCAATAGAGAGCTCAGAAATGAACCCAAGAATACATGGTCAAATAATTTTTGACAAGAGCCATAGGAAGACAGTGGGGAAAAGGTATGACCCAAAATTAAGGGAAATAAATTAATAGAAGTCCACTCAGAGATGGTCAGTTCTGGAACTAGTATACAGAACCTTTAGAATAACTATTTTAGTTTTGTTAAAAATTACAGTGAAATTCAGTATATGGTGTTGGTAAAACTGGATATTCACATGCAAAATAGTGAATTGGACACTTATCATATACCACATACAATAAATCAACTCAAAATGAATTAAAGACCCAAACGTAAAACCTGAAGCCATAAAACTCCTGGGAGAAAACATAGGGGAAAATTTTCTTGACACTGGTCTTAGCAGTGATTTTTTTTTTTTTTTTTTGGATTTCACATAAAAAGTTCAGGCAACAACAACAACAACAAAAAATAAGTGGGACTACATCAAACTAAAAAGTTACTTCACAGGAAAGGAAATAATCTGCAAAATGAAAAGGCACTCTATGGATTGGGAGAAAATATTCATGAACCATATAGCTAATAAAGGGTTAATATCCAAAATATAAAAGAAACACAAACAACCAAATAGCAAAAGACACAAGAAAAGATTTAAAAATTAGCAAAGAACCTAAGTAGACATTTCTCCAAATAGAAAATAGAAACAGTAAACAGGCATATAAAAATGCTCGAGATTACTAATCATCAGGGAAATGCAAATCACAACCACAATGGGATATCACCTCACACCTGTTAGAATGGCTATTATCAGAAAGACATGAGGCAACAAGTATTGGCAAGTGTGTGGGAAAAAGGGGAACCTTTACTCTGTTGGTGTGAATGTAAATTGGTGTAACCATTATGGAAAACACTTCCTTAAAAAATTAAAAATAGAGCTACAATATGACCCCAGCAATTCCTCTTCTGGGTATACACCCATAGGAAAAGTAATCAGTACCTCTTAGAGATAACCATACTACCATGTTCATTGCAGCATTATTCACAACTGCCAAGATATGGCAGCAACTTAGGTGTTGGTCAATGAATGAATGGATAAAGAATTTGTGAGATGCACAGGTGTATACACACACTCACACACACAAAAATATTATTCAGACTTAAACAAGGAGATCCTGCCATTTGTGACAACATGGATGAAACTGTAGGACATTCTGCCAAGTGAAATATGCTAGACAAAAGAAAAACACTGCATGATCTCATCTATATATGAAATCTAAAAGAAAATCAAATACATAGAAGCAGAGACTAGAACACGGTGACCAGTTCATGGGGTGGGAGTCAGGCGGAAGATGAGGAGATGTAGGTCAAAGGCTACAAAGTTGCAGTTATGTAGAATGAGTAAGTCTATTCATCTAATGTACAGCATAAGGAATATAGTTAATAATATTGCACTGTATACTGAAGAGTAGGTTTTAGGTGCTCTTACCACACACAAAAAAAAGGTGATTATGAGATGATGAATATGTTATTTGGTTTAACTATAGTAATCATTTAATTATGTATTATGTGTCTCAAAACAGCATGTTATACACCCTAAATATGTACAATTTTAGAAGTTTCACTGTGGTCAGAACACATACTCTATGATTTCAGTCATTTGACATTTATTGAGATGTATTCCATGACCTAGCATATTATCTACCTTAAAAAGCATCTTATTTGCATTTGAAAAGAATGTATGTTCTGCCTTTTTTGAGTGTGGAGTTTCAAAATATATAATAGATTATTATAGTCACAATGTTATTTAAATCTCTCATATTCATACTAGTATATTTTATCTATCCTTTCAATTATTGGGAAGAAATATTAAAATCTCTAAATACAATTGTATTTGAGTTTATTTCTTTTTATATGTGTTAAACTTTGCTTTATTTACCTTGAATGGCTGTAATAAAAGGTCTATACATTTAGAATCTACTGTTTTCTTAATCAAGCACCTCTTTTGCTATCATGAGATATCTTTTCCTCTGGTAACACTTACTTGAGGACTGCTGTATCTAATATTAACATAATCATATTATAATGAGTATCATTTTCATGTTTTTAAAAATCTTTCTACTTTTAACCAACTTATCCTTTTATATTTAGAAAAAAAACTTTTTTCCAATGCCATACAGTAGAATCTTGCTTTGTATCAGATAAAAAGATTGTATCTGACAATCTCTATCTTTGAACATAATTGATTAGGTCACTTATATTTAATGTAATTTGTAATATTGTTGAACTTACGTTGGCCATCTTACTAATTGATTTCTATCTATCCCTTCCGTGCTTTGTTTCTTTTTCCCTCTTTGTCTTCCTTCTTTTGCATTGAGTAATCTGTAAAAATGATTCATGTATATTTCTTATTGGCTTTTGAGCTGCACCGGTTTGTAAATTTGCAGTGACCACCATCATAATTAAAACATTTCTTTTCAATTTATGAGTATGCCCTGAAGTAATATTACACTACTTTACATCAATGTAATAAAACCTTACGACAGTGTATTTTAGTTGAACCACATAATATCCTTTATGTTATTGTCATATTCTTTACTTCTACGTATTTAGTGCTTTAAATAGTTAATTTTCTTTAAAATAAATTCTTTTATTTATTTATTTTTTTTCTGAGACGGAGTTTCACCGTGTCTCCCAGGCTGGAGTGCAGTGGCAATTTTAGCTCACTGCAACTTCTACCTCCCAGGTTTAAGCGATTCTTCATGCCTCAGCTTCCTGAGCAGCTGGGATTATAGGCACGGACATTCTTTCATTATTATTATCATACTTTAAGTTTTGGCATACATGTGCAGGATGTGCAGGTTTGTTACAAAGGTATACACGTGCCATAGTGGTTTGCTGCACCCATCAACCTGTCATCTACATTAGATATTTCTCCTAATGCTATCCCTCTCCTAGACCCCATCCCCCAACAGGCCCCAGTGTGTGATGTTCCCCTCCCTGTGTCCATGTGTTCTCATTGTTCAACTCCCACTTATGAGTGAGAACATGCAGTGTTTGGTTTTCTGTTCCTGTGTTAGTTTGCTAAGAATGATGGTTTCCAGCTTCATCCATGTCCCTGCAAAGGACATGAACTCATTCTTTTTTATGGCTGCATAGTATTCCATGGTGTTTATGTGCCACGTTTTCTTTATCCAGTCTATCATTGATGGGCATTTGGGTTGGTTCCAAGTCTTTGCTATTGTAAATAGTGCTGCAATAAACATACACATGTCTTTATAGTAGAATGCACATGTCTTTATAGTAGAATGATTTATAATCCTTTGGGTATATAACCAGTAATGGGATTGCTGGGTCAAATGGCATTTCTGGTTCAAGATCCTTCAGGAATCACCACACTGTCTTCCACAATAATTAAGCTAATTTACACTCCCACCAGCAGTGTAAAGGAATTCCTACTTCTCCACATCCTCTCTAGCATCTGTTGTTTCCTAACTTTTTAATGATCGACATTCTAACTGATGTGAGATGATATTTATTGTAGTTTTGATTTGGATTTCTCTAATTACCATTGATGATGAGCTTTTTTTCATATGTCTGTTGGCTGCCTAAATGTCTTCTTTTGAGGAGTATCTGTTCATATCCTTCACCCAGTTTTTTGGGGGTTGTTTGTTTTTTTCTTTTCAATTTGTTTAAGTTCCTTGTAGATTCTGGATATTAGCCCTTTGTCAGATGGATAGATTACAAAATTTTTTTCCCATTCTTTAGGTTGCCTGTTCACTCTGATGATAGTTTCTTTTCCTGTGCAGAAGCTCTTTGGTTTAATTAGATCCCATTGGTTAATTTTGGCTTTTGTTGCCGTTGCTTTCGGTGTTTTGGTCATGAAGTCTTTGCCCGTACCTATGCCTGAATGATATTGCCTAGGTTTTCTTCTAGTTCTTTTATGGTTTTAGGTCTTACGTTTAAGTCTGAATCCATCTTGAGTTAAGTTTTGTATAAGGTGTAAGGAAGGGGTCCAGTTTCAGTTTTCTGCATATGGCTAGCCAGTTTTCCAAACACCATTTATTAAATAGGAAATTCTTTCCCCATTGTTTGTTTTTGTCAGGTTTGTCAAAAATCAGATGGTTGTAGATGCGTGGCATTATTTCTGAGTCCTCTATTCTGTTCCATTAGTCTATATATCTGTTTTGGTACCAGTACCATGCTGTTTTGGTTACTCTAGCCTTGTAGTATAGTTTGAAGTCAGGTAGCATGATGCCTCCAGCTTTGTTCTGAAAATAATAAGAGCTATTAATGACAAACCCACACCCAATATCATACTGAATGGGCAAAAACTGGAAGCATTCCCTTTGAAAAGTGGCACAAGACAAGTAGTTGCCCTCTCTCACCACTCCTATTCAACATAGTACTGGAAGTTCTGGCCAGACCAATCAGGCTAGAGAAGAAATAAAGGATATCCAAATAGAAAGAGAGGAAGTCAAATTGTCTTTGTTTGCAGATGACATGATTGTATATTTAGAAAACTCCATCGTCTTAGCCCAAAATCTCCTTAAGCTGATAAGCAACTTTAGCAAAGTCTCAGGATACAAAATCAATGTGCAAAAATCACAAGCATTCCTATACACCAATAATAGATAAAGAGAGAGCTAAATCATGAGTGAACTCCCATTCACAATTACTACAAAAAGAATAAAATATCTAGGAATACAACTTACAGGGGATGTGAAGGACCTCTTCAAGGAGAACTATAAACCACTGCTTAAGGAAATAAGAGAGGACACAAACAAATGGAAAAACATTCCATGCTCATGGATAGGAAGAATCAATATCGTGAAAATGGCCATACTGCCCAAAGTAATTTATACATTCAATGCTATCCCCCTCAAGCTACCACTGACTTTCCTCACAGAATTAGAAAAAACTACTTTAAATTTCATATGGAACCAAAAAAGAGCCTGTATAACCAAGACAATCCTTAGCAAAAAGGCACGGAAATTCTTAAGAGTGAATGGTACTTCTTTATATTTGCACAAATCTTACAATTTTTCACTCCGTAACCTTGCAGTGAGATACCATTTTCTATCTGTTACTTTTTTGCTTTAGCTTCAAGAATTTCTTTCAGCATTTTATATAGCCCAGGTAAGCTTGATACACATTCTCTTACCTTTTTAAAAAATATAAATATTTTTCTATTTGCTTTTACTTGTAAAGTATATTTTCACTGGATTAAGAATTTAAAATATATTTTTTTCTTTCAGCAATTTAAAATTTTTTTATTATTTCCTGTCTTTCTTTGTTTTAATGAGGAGCTACCTAAAATTCATGTTGGTTGTCGCTGGTATTTAATCTGTCTTTTTCTCTGGATGCTTTTTGTTTGTTTGTTTGTAGTCTTTTCTTTTTACTGTTGGTTTTCAACTGTTTGGTTATTATGGATATTTAACCTAATTGATAAGCTCTGAGTTCTTGGATAGGTGAGCTAATATTTTCCCTCAAATTTGGAGAAGAAAATGATACTTATATTTAAAGAGAGTCTGCTTATTCTCTCTCATACTTCTCATTATGAGACTCCAATATTATGTATATTAGGCTGCTTACTACTATCCCACAGATTGTGATCAATTTTTAAAAATTATTTTTGTCTATATATTGCAGTTTTGATAACTTCTATTGGCCTACTTTCAAGTTCAGCAATCCTTACTTAGTCTTTCTCCAGTTTGCTTTTAAGCCCATCCAGTACATTTCTGGTATCAGATATTGTCTTATTCAGTTATAGAATTTTTAATTCTATTTTTAGAATTTTCATTTCTGTATTGATTTTACTCATTTTTACTTATATATTTTACTGCCATTTTTAACAAAACTAAAAATAACTATTTTAAGGGTTCTGTATGCTAACTCCAGAATGGTTCGTCTCTGAGTAGCCTTCTAATAATGGTGTTTTCTCTTATTTGGGTCATAGTTTTCATAAATCTTCATACATCTTTTTGTTCTTAGATTATTCTATACATGTTGTAAAATTGAAAAGACAGAAATATGTTAATATTTTAATTGTTTTGTTACAAGACAATTCATTTCCCTATATTTGTGTATAAGGAAGGGTTTCTCCCTCCCATCAAGTTGAGATGACAACAGGAACAATTTTAACTAGGCTGAGTTCACCTCTCATTAGCCTGACGTACTACCTCCTGTGGCTGTGCTTCTGTTTTATCTTGTCATTATTTCATTTGGGAGAAATTGGGGCTGAAGTTTCCTATAATTTTGGATCACATTTAGATTTAATTCAGAGCCTCAGAATCCAAGTACAATGAGAAAGCCCAAGACAACATTATTTCTCTCCATTCTCCAATCCCTTCTCCACTGTTGCTTTCAGAGTGAAAGGCAAAAGTGACAGTGTCATGTGAATTGTTAGGTCTAATGATACGCTTTTGCTTTGGGGGATCTTCAGGATTATACTCTATCCTATCATAATGCCATTCAGTATTCAGTGAATATAGCCTGTCCTTCTAAAGTTTCCCCTTTTATGACATGTCCATTACTTCCTCTGCACATTTCCAGAGACACCACTGCAATTCTCTGCTATTCCATAAGGAGTTTTGTTTTTCTGTGGAATTTAGTTCATTAAAGCTTCCTTGAATGCATTGCTCTTATTAGTCTCATATAAAAATATTTTGTTGCCGTTTTTGTTCTTATATAATGGATTAGAATATTTTGAATCCTTTAACAACCTAATCTAAAGCAGAAGTCCTCTATCTATATCCTTCCAAAATTTATTTTAAGCATTTTTCACTCTCCCATAGTCATTCTGTCAATTTCAGTCTCTTCATTGATTTTACCACTAAAGATTTCTGTTACTCAGAAATACTTACCAGATAACTAATATTGAATTCCAATAAACAGATTAAATGACTATTTTTCAAGCTCTAAATTTAAAAAATTATTCTATTTTATCATAATTTAATGAAAACATTATTTAATATACTTTAACGAATCTTCAGGACATCTCTAATTCCCTAGGTTTCCTTGAGTTAATAAGGCCTTCAACTTACATTTACCTGTACTTAGAAATCCTAGAATTTAATGCCTACTCTCTCAATCAAATCTTGATATTTCTTTTTTTAAGATATTCTTTCTTCAGTGCTGTTCCTCAGAGAATAGCCTTTTCATGCACAAAGTATTCTATGCAGAGGACAAATATATTGGCTTGAGTAAGACTATCTGATGGTATGGAAAGTCATGGTGTGAGATTATTTGTCCAGTAAGGTTATTAATGTGGCCCCATGTCCACTGAAGACTGGAATCCAGGTACTAAGACCATAGAGACATCTTTATAGCCATTCTGTGGATACCATCTTTCTGCCCTCACCTTTACTCCATGGATGGTTTTCCTGACATGCATGCTAAGATTCAGCTTGTATATGCTACCATTGGAGTGAAAATTTATTCAAATATATACATAGTTGCATAGGAAGGAGCAGACAGTGAAAGAGAAGGAGATAAGGGCAGAAGTAGCATACTATTTACAATATTACATGAAATCATGATAATTCTCATTCTATGAAACTTGGCCAGTGTACCGAACACTAAATGCCACAGACAATAGGTGAGCATTTGCAAACCACAGACTTCTCCTTCCGGCTTGCAATTTTCCTGCTCTGAGCATTTCATTGGACAATCTAAGACAACTCCTTGGATTTTTTTTTTATTAGCAGAGAAAAATTTTAAAATCGTTTCTGCAGGGATGTTGACTACTTCTAAGTGAAAAGGGTGATTTTAACTCATTTCTTTTGTCCCTTGTCCTTGTTCTATGCCATGTCCTGTATCTCTTTATATTTAGCATTATGGGCATACATTGGCAGTGATGCTTCTACTTACCCTACTCATTTCTCCAAAGTATCAGTAGTCCTTCCCATATGTGAACTTGATTGTTAAACATATACTTTTCAAGGTTTGGGTTTGAAGTTATGTGGATCATGTATCTACCAGTGTTTCATGTCTTTTCAATATTGAAGACTAACTATTATTCTATTATTAAGCACTCAAACAAATTGGGAATGACACTCTGTAAACTCCCTAGCTGCCACATACTTGCCTTTATTATTTTGGGCACTAGCCTTCTTGAACCATCCCACAATTTACACAAAACACGTGAGCAGCAAAGTAAGAGAAAAAGAACATGAGATTCAGAAAAGAAAGAGAGGAAATAATAGGAGCAAAAAGGTAAACTATAAATTTGTCAGTACTAAGAATAGTGGTTTTCTATTAATAATAGTACCTGCTTTCCCCATATTCATATGCACAAACATGGATATTAGAAAAATCTGCCTATCAATTCTTGACCATATTCTTTTCAATTGAGAAATTTCAGGAAATACAGTTAGACTATTAGAATAAAAAACACTTCAAACACAAAAATATCACCTTTCAAAGAATAAGCAAACAGACATAATTAAGAAAGATAAACAAAGGTAGAATGAGAGTACATTTATAGCTATAAAGTCAATATTGTTTTTTGATATCTTTAAATTTTTAAACACAAACTCCTGTTATCCAAAATCTACTCTTGTGACACACTAAGAATATGTACAAGCATAAGGTTTATTACCTTGGTTTAGGATTTATCTATTCTCAACCCTAGATGCCACATGGCTTAGTACATATTTCCAATGTGAAGAGTAGCTTTTATTTTATTACCATGACTTTTTTCTTTGTTCTTTGATGTTTACTTCAAAACCATTTAAAAACTGTGCAACCAACATAGCCCATAGCAGTAGGTAAGCTATTGCTTCCCAGCTGGATTGTCAGTGAGTTTCCACAATTGAAGACTGGAAAGCTAACCATATTCAAACCAAGACTTGATAGGCAGCCTCTCATCCAATACTTCCCTAAGGGAAGTAAGTATAGCTATGTTAAAAATCTGAGTGCCAATTAAAGCCTCCTCCCCATTTTTTCCAGCTGATTTCCGCAGGGACATTCTATGACAAAATATCAAGGCTCCATGTTATTAGGGTTTGTTTGTTTATTTGTTTGTTTTTTGGAGTTTTTCTAGTAAGAAGTGGTCATTCTAATCCCCAGTGCCTCTAATTCCATCCATAAGTTGTTCATTTAAAAAAAAAAATTTATCCTGGGCTCGTTTAATGTTTCAAAAGTACACTTTTTTTGAAAAAAAAAAAAAGGCCAGTAATAATAGAGGTTGAAACTGTAGTAATTAAAAAGATAGAGAGAGAGAAAGAGCTAGAGCTAGAAACAGGTAGACAGCCATAGAGAATATATAGCCCCAAAATGGAAATAGCCAGCTGGCACCAGAGGAACTGTTTTATTGTTCAGAGACTTACAGTGGTGACTAGCTACCATGTGGCTTTGCTCGTGAATGATCACTTCCTCAAAAAGGAAGAGTCTCAGCTCGCTTTATCTAATATAGCCACACAGCTTATCTTGTGAAGATTTCTCTTTTGGCACAGACTTCAAAAACACACAACATATCCTCTTTTATCAAACGTGTGTTCACCATCCACAGTTCTTAATATTTCACATTGAACTTAAAGATTTTGTTTTAACTTTCAGTGAGAGCACTTAAGTACTTAAAAATGTTTTTGAGCCCTACCTACGGGTCACTTGTGGAGTGGTCCCCAGGACTCTCCCTAGTATCTATATTCTCTCAGTGAAGCAGAACAAAACAATATTGATGCATATACTGAGCGCAGTGTGTGCAAAATGTATATACAATGTCCCCCTTAAAACTTCATGTGGGGATTAATACCTAGGTGATGGATTGACAGGTGCAGCAAACCGCCATGGCACACATTTACCTATGTAAGAAACCTGCCTATGTATCCTGGAACTTAAAATAAAATAAAATTTAATTAAAAAAAGAAAAAAATGCACTAGTTAGCTAATATAGAGTCTTTTTTAAGAAAAAAAGATCTGCTAATAAATTATTCAATGCCAAAAAAAGAAGAAAAACCTTCCAACAAGATACGTGGTAGCTATGATTCACTCCCCTTTATTGATGTTGAAACCAAGATGCAGAAGTTAACTCACTTTCAAAGAACTCAGTTGTTAAGTGTAAGAGCTGTGATTTGGATCCAACTTTGTCTAAATTTAAAATCATGGTTCTTAAGCATTGACACACTGTTGAGAGGTACAGAATAGGTTTCTAATTAATGTCTGTCGATTGAATGAATAAATCCATCAAACAATCAATCAAACAATGAGAGTCTCCCAGAAGAGTGACCTTGGCAGCCTCTTCAGTCACATCCATGACTCCACACCAAAAAAGTGTGTCTTACCTAACCAGCTTGGTTGTGTGAAATTTCAAAGCAGGAAGCTGTATGCAAATGGGTCTCCTTTACTGGAAAATAGATTGCACAAATTATTCTGAGTGGGCCATCACACGCTGTCAAGTATTTCCAAATTTTAAGTTTTTACTCCATTACTAATGCAATGCCTTTGTCACCTGGCTTGTCCTACAGCTTTTCCCCTTGTCAATGAATTCTGGAATACTTGTTATAGAGCTACCTCTTTCCATATAATAGCTTGGTTATAAATAAACCTGTTATTACATGGTCTGGTCTGTTATTCACAACCTTGTCAGCACAGGGGCTGTATATTTCCTGTTCACTATACAAACTAGTTGATGACAAATGCTGAAATTTGGATATATTTTAAGTGTCAATTCAAACCATGTGACTTACCTGCTAAAGTAAAACATTCAGTAATTCTCTCCAGAGCTATCCCTTAACCCTATATTATCACCAATGTTTCTCTTCATTTCAGAGTCTGTCCTTTCTGCTAGGCCTGTTCACAAGCACTAGATCATTTGTTATTCACTATTCAGTCTTTAGCAGGTCCAGTGTCAGTGGATAGTCTAAAATTCTGAGTGGCATCTACTGGCTATCAAGCTCAGCCATACTCCATCAATAACCTGAAAGAGAAAGTCCATAATCTTTATATTCCTCCCATGTCCATTTCCTATTCACTGTCTTCTACAATCCAATGGCTGTTTAGAATTCTTTTAAAAGCTTTCTTCCATTTGAAATGTAATTTTTCATTCATTTTACAAGTATTTGTTGAGTACCTGCTTTGTGCCTAGTATTTTTTAGTTTTGGGGAATGCAACTTTGAGAAAAACAGGTGACTATCTCTACTCTAATGGAGCTAATGTTAGAAGGAAGAAAATAAGTAAAACAATAAAATAGTAAAATAGACCTTATATTAGATGGTCATAAATAACATGGAAAAATAAAGCAGGGAAGGGAGATAGGAGTGAGTGGGTGGAAGGATAGATTATAGTTTTCAATACTGTGGTTGGGGAGGACCTTATTAAAAATGAAAAAACATTTGAACAAATTGCTGACAGAGATGAGGGAGTGATCCATTATACTCTCTAAAGGAAAATTATTATTCCAGGAAAAGAGAGTGACAACCTTCATTCTCCTCATATCATTGAGCTGATACCTGCTTTATATCTCGTTTAAATGAGTTTATTTTGAAATAAAAGATAGAATACATTAAACATTTTATAACATGCAATAAAGTACTTACTTTTACTAGAATAACAAATTAATTTATGTATGATGATTTTATCTATTACATTTTGAAAAATGCAATATTTCAAAAAGTATTCTACTTACATTTAAAACAGTGTTTCTCAACTTCTGTACTATTGACATTTTAGGGAAGGGAGGACTGTGCCTTGTGATATGTTTAGCGGCATCCCTGGTCTCTGCCTACTAGACGCCAGGAGCACTCCCTCCCCCTCCTCACATACACATATACACACACTTATGACACCAAAATATGTCTCCAAGAATGCTTCCAAATGTCCCCTGAGGAGCAAAATCATCCCCCTTTATGAGTTACTAGTTTAAAAGAACCAAAGTAAGTGGATTCTACAGCTTCTGTTGTTAGGAATTCAGTACTTTTTTGACTTTAGTTCCACTTGTCTGATATAAGTATAGCCCCATCTGCTCTTTTTTGGTTACCATTTGCATGGAATATCTTTTTCTATCCCTTCACTTTCAGCCTTTGTGTCCTTAAATCTAAAGCGAGTTTCTTGTAAACAGCACATAATTGGGTATTGTTTTTTACTTCATTCAGCCTCCCTGTGATTTTTGATTGGGAAATTTAGTCTATTTTCATTCAAAGTAATCATTGATAGGTAGGAACTTACTTTTGTCACTTTGGTAAATGTTTTTTTTCTGTGTTGTGTTTCTCTCATTCCTCTCTTCTCTAGTTTTCTTTCTTTGTGATTTGATGATGTTTTGTATTGGTGTGCTGTCATTTATTTCTTTATCTTTTGTGTAGCTACTATATAAATTTTGTGGTTACAATGTGGCTTGCATTAAACATTTTATAGTTCTAACAGTCTGTTTCAAGCTGATAACAACTTAACATCAATTGTATACAGGAACTCTACACTTTATTCCCCCTCACCACAATTTATGTAATTGATGTTAGATTTTAGTTATTTCTATATTTTGTTTCCATTAACAAATTTTTATGGTTATCGTTATACTTACTACTTTTGTCTTTTAAATTTATTTACTAGTGTTAAAAGTGATTTTAAGTGCTACCATTAATGCATTACAATATCACATGTTTGTTTTTGTTTACCTATAGCAGTGAGATGTATACTTTTACATGCTTTCTTGTTTAGCATCTTTGTTGATAAACCTGTATGATATTATGCCAAGTGAAATGTCAGACACAGAAAGAAATATACTGCTTGATATATCATATATGTATATGTGTATATATATGTGTGTATATATATGTGTATATATATGTGTGTGTATGTATATATATATGTGTATATATGTATGTGTGTATATATATGTGTGTGTGTGTATATATGTATATATATAGTCAAAACCACAGGCTGCAGGGAAGAGAAAATATGAGGTGTTGGTCAAAGGGCACAAAGTTTCATTTATGCAAGTTAAATAAGTTCTGGAGACCTACTGCACATCATGGAACAAGTGATTAGCAATACATACTGTATTATATACTTAAACATTTGCTAAGTGGGTAAATCTTATGTTAGGTGCTCTTACCACAAACGGGAAAAAAAAGCAAAAGGAGATGGAGGAAGCTTTGAATGTGATGAATACATTTACGGCATCAATTGTGATGATGGTTTCACAGGTATATACCTGTCTTCTAAGACAATAAATTGTATAGAGTAAATATACAGCCTTTTGTTTGCCAATTGTACCTCAATAAAGTTTTTTTTTTTTTAAGGAAGATAAGGCAGTACATTCAAATAAGGAGTAAGCTTCACCCAAGAAAAATATATAAATAGGCAAAATCTGTAAGTTCTATTGTTTAGAGTGGCTTGAAAAGTCATTAATGGAAGCTTCCCCCAAATTATTGCTACCGCTTGCACATTATCCCCTTATCACCAAAAGGATTTTACATCCCAGTCAATGTAACATTATAAGATTTGGGATAGGTGGGGTATTGTGCCTTTATGTACCAAGTGCAAAAACCTATAATGTGAATGAAGGCCAGTTCTAAGACAGTTTTAAAAACATTGTTAATGAAAGTTCAGAATCTGGAAATGGAGTCCCTCAAAACTATTCACGTTGCATCTTCCACACTTACTATCTAATTTATTTTTCAATAGCTTTATATCCATCCACAGGCACTTCTTCAATCATTTCAAAATTCTTCTTTCTACCACAATGTCATCCAAATAAGTTAACCCTTGTCTCAGACTAGGCCATGAACACTTTTTATCAATTGGATTTATTATATCCCACTGAGTTCTTACACATTTCCTCAACTTTAAACTGTCCTCAACTTTATTATTGACTTCAGCATCTGAGCTAAGATTTCTCAAAAGTATCACTTCCTAGCTTTATAACTTATTAAAAAATATTGTCTTTCAACTTGGTATCAAACATTTCTTAAAGTTTTGATTTTTCTCAAATTCATAAAGACCCAAACATTTGTTTCCCTTTCATCATATTTTAGAATTCAATTTTAGGCATCTATTTCAATTCACCTTTCTCAGCTCTCTTCAACCTCACTCAAAAGCTATCCAGCATCTAGAAGAATAATAGGTCAAATATCCCATTGTGCAGAATGTACTAGTTCTGAAGAACAGGTTCTGTAAAGTACCATAGCCCAGGCAACTGGGGAGCTGTCTCAGTAGTCACTTTCTACACCCCACCTGTCAGCCCCTACTTTTACCTCCTCAGCAATATGACCTATTTGAGTTTTGACCAATATTTATGATTTCATATTAAATGTATACTCAGTAAATGTTAAATCTCTTAAAGCAAAAAAAAAGAGCAGACAAGAGAAAGAAGAAAGAGAGAGAGAGAAAGAAAGAGAAAGGAAGAAAGAGAGAGAAAGAAAGGAAGGAAGAAAGGAAAGAAAGAAAGAGAGAGAAAGAAAGGAAGGAAGAAAGGAAAGAAAGAAAGAAAGAGAAAGAAAGAAAGAGAGAGAAAGAAAGGAAGGAAGAAAGGAAAGAAAGAAAGAAAGAGAAAGAAAGAAAGAAAGAAAAAGAAAGAAAGAAAGAAAGACTCTGAAGATCCTAAACCTTGAAGAAAGAACAGAATAGGACACAGGGTGAACGAAGGGCCTCTGTTTATATTTCCAAAGAATACTTACCATGTAGCCTAATCAATCTCTCCACATACCAAGATCCCATTGGGTAATATCTAAAATATAACTCGTTCTTGAAAGTCTTTGTCTCTCTTCTTAAGCCAACAGAAGCATCCTGGGAAGAAGAGCTTAGGTCAATTTCCTCCTAGCCAATCCTGTTCTCTGAATCACACAAAGCTATGCCTTATTAAGTAACATCACTATTGATTCCCACTCTTAAACTTCCAGCTAACGGTTAAGTTTCATCAAACACAACATACAGTGGAGTTTACAGAATGAGTAAAGCAAAAGAGATGGTGAACAAGATAAAGAGAATAGATTTCAGAGTATAGAGAGTAAGTGGTTGTTCCTGACATTGGAGAACCTCCCTCTTAATGCTCCAGACAGGGACAATGGACTATAATCATGGTCCCCTTATGAGCGTCTTCCCTTTAGCCCTGGAAGGTGACATCATTTGTCAAAGTTCTATTACTCTGGTCCTCTCTGGTGATGTCGGGGGAAGAAGAGGAATCTCAACTGCCATTTTCTGCCTCCTCCCAGGATACTGCAGGAATTCTTACTGAGGTTTTATCTGTCCAACAGGTCCTGAATATGCTCAATATCCTTCTAGTATTATAATCCTTCTAGTATTATATTATACTTTAATTGCTAAACCTCTCTCAGAGATCCCACAGTGGAAGGTTCTGAATATTTTATAGTGCATGGAAGAATTTAGGCTAAAATTTACTTAGAGACATTCATTACTTTAGACTAATCTGGTAGGTGCCCAAAATGTAATCACTCATAAGGAGCTCCCCTATGCTTTCTTGTGGATCTTACTGAAAAATAAATATTCGAAATGAGTTACATGCTGAGTAAATGATCTTTACTCATATGTTCATTTGTTCATCAGATTATACCAATAGAAATAAAGAGGATCCTCTCATTTACATTATGGTCTGGGAAAGCCTGTAATGTAAATGAAAGTGATTGGTAGTATAAATTATTGTACAATTGTAAAATGGAATGACTCATTTTTTAGAATGAATCATATCAGTATGTTCTGATATACAATTATCTCTGAGATATTTTATGAAGCCAAAAAATAAGTGCAGATGTGTGTGGGGGGGGGTGTACATATTCCTAGAGAGAGAATATATACTAAACTAGTATGAGTTGGAAAAGTGGGCAGACACAAGACTATAATGACGCTTTCTATGCAACCATGAGGAAATTGCACTTGATCCTACAGGTATGCTGTCGGAGAAGAAAATTGAATAGCAGTGGGAAGGAAACATAATTTATTGTGGTCCCTTTTGCATTTGATTATTTTTCAATGCATGAAATACTTGTTCACACAATAAAGAAATACAGTTTAAAAGTACTATATTATACTTGGGTTTATGCTCTGGTTTCTAAAAGTATTCATTAGTTTTTACAAACCCTGTTATGTGCTTAGAGCCTGTGGAGTTAATGGCTGTCTATTTTATAAGTAGGTAATTAAACTGAGACTAGTACCCTTAATATGGGCATAATATTCTTATTTGTTGATTGGTTTTGGTCATATGCACAAAATAATCTGCTTACAATATGACTAAAAAGGAACAAACACAGTATACATTAACATATCCTTAAATTCTTATCTTCTGTGTTATGTTTATTTTGTTAGTCAGGAAAGGTCTGAAGGCTCTCTGAACAAATTCCTTAATTCTAGGTTTTTCATCTTATTTTAAAAGTTGGCACAAATAAAATATTCTTATTTTACTTTTAACTGTGCATAGATAATGGTCTCTTCAGAATGCTAATCCAAATTCTTAATATAATTTAAGCTTTTTTCTTATTCTGTCTCTTCTGGAGATGGATGCTAAAAAGAAAAAACACAATTCTCTTTATAAATCTCTTCAAATAGTTGCAGTGGGTTAGCATCCTTTTCTTTTCTAAACTGGTCTATACCAACTCATTATATCTTCCCTCATATGAGTCCAGTTGTCAGTACTTTATGTACTTTGCTCATACTTTGAAGGACCCTTTATAATTTTTTTCAAATTCTTCATAAAGGTCAATTATAAGAATTGCAAAGCTAGGTTCACTGTTGTGACCATATGAGACACTTAATAATTTAAAATTATTTTGTGTTGGGGTCATATTATATAATCCCAACTCTGTGATGTATGTTAATCAATAGTTTTTTATCCAATAAGCATCTATTGAAAGTCAAACAATATCAATATAAAGTACCATTAAAGAATGTAACAGACACTGAAATAAAGAGCTAAACACCATATAAGAAAAGCTTCAATAGAGTAGTATACATGATGTCATAAGCAATAAAAGGACAAAACACATCATTTATCCATAGGTAGGATAGAGAGTGATTGATGATACTCTTAGAAAATGTCGCTTTGCCTAAATTTTGAAAGATGAAAAATGTTAACTAGGTAGATCAGGAAGACAGACATTCGAAACAAAGGGCATATGAAAATTTTAAAAGGCAAGTTCGAGTAACCAAAAATAAGTTTAGTGTATATGGGGCTAGATTAGTACTGAATATATGGCTAGAAAAGAGGCAAGAGACTAAATAAAGAATTGCAGAATGAAATTAAAGGAATTGTGATGTGCAACAGATTATAAAAATATTACGTGAAAGATTAGCAGATTAACTGAGTTAGATAAATATATATCAAAATTAGTTGTCAAATGGGGCAAGCAGATGGAAGTGTCTAATAATAGATATATGTCTGACCTAGCTCAGTAATTTGTATTTTGCCAGAACTATTAAGATCATCTTTTAACTAATGTCCCTAAATCCAGTTTCAAACAGGTTGAATTCATTATAGGACTAAAAGCAAAATTTCGATTTGGATGTCATTGATATACAGGTAAAAACTAAAGAGAATGAGAGTAAAGATACTATGATGGGTTCCTTCCCACACATTACTATTATTTCACAAAAACATTGAAAGACAGATATTTTTACCCTCATCTCCCACAGGAGGAAAGTAAACCCAGATAGACTAAATTATGGTTTTAAACTGGTAAATTTCAGAGCTGAAATTTGAATGCATATCTAATTTAAAGCATGCTCTATTGTAGGTAGCATGCTGCCTTTGATCCTAATTGGTTGTGGAGTAAAAAGGAAGAATCAAAGGTGATTAAGGTTTCAAAGGCTTGTGACTAAGAAACTTTTAATATTAATAAAAATATGAAATGAAGAAGATGAATCACTTTCACTTGAATACTGATGCATTATCCAGGTATTATCTATGTGTAGCAACATTCACTGCATAATTCACTTTAGATTGAATTTTGGATTTTCTGTGATACCAATTCTCTATCTCAGCATCTCCCCCTTCAGTTGGTGAATGTGTCACATCATTTTGAACTTGTCTTTGTTCATTCACCTCAGTAATCTGACCCCATTCCTATTTAACTGCTCTCTCCAGCATCATGAAAGCCAATGCAGATAACTGCCTTACATCCTTCATATTCATGCTACTCCTGCAGAATGTGACTCTATTGACCAATGCCTCATTTTTCAAATGTTCCTTTCTGAGCTTCCACTGAACCAGGGTAAACTGGAATTATTACTCTTCTTTATTCTTTGTTGTGCCTTTCTTCTCTGCCCATTTACATTTCAAGAGTCTGTCTCCTGTACTTCCATACCATTTTTTGAAAACCTGTCATTTAGCCAGGCACAGTGGCTCACACCTATAATCCCAACATTTTGGGAGGTTTAAGTGGGAGGATCCCTTGAGGCCAGGAGTTTGAGATGATTCTGGGCAACACAGTGAGATCCTATCTCTACTAAAAAAAAAAAAAAATTATTTTTTTAATAAAAAAAAATTTTAATAAACCTATTATTTAATTATCCTATTTATACCCATAGCATCACCAGCTATATCTGTGTAGAATAGTCACAAATCCAGCTTATGATCAGCAGATCATATTATATTTTTGAATTCTCAAATAATAAACACCAACTTGGACATTTTTCCCCACTGAAACACAAAATGATGTCTAATCAATGACGCATTGATTTTCTCTTCCCCCTACATGTTTTTTATGCATTATTATGTATCACTATTTGATGCACTATTATTTTTTAGACACATAGGTTTGAAATGTCAAATTGCTTTAAGATTTTCCTCTCTCTCATTCTACAGTCAATAAGTTAAAATTTTAAAAAATATTCTTTCCTTAACCTGGTTATTTATTCTGTTTATTGCTTCAAACTGATAAATTCCTTTTAAGGAAATCTATGATTAATTAAATATTAAAGTGAGCTTGTAACTTGGTCTTTCTAACTTTTGTTTCTTCCCCACTTTATCATACACGTCTTTCCTTAAGACTATTATAAACATGCTATGTCTTGCTACAGCACCTCCAATTATTCTCCATTACCCACAGAATAAAGTATGCCATAGAATGCATTCTTAGCTTGATATCCATGAGTCCCTGTAATCTGTCCAAAAAAAGTTTCACTACTCATATTCCTATTCCATTGTTCACATAATCAAATTTGTCTTTCTAGTTAACCTGCTCAAAAAGTTGCCATTCATTTCCGTGCTTTTCTATTAATGCAGTCTTTTATACTTTGAATGTCCTAACTCTTATTATGCCTATTAGAAATCCCTCCTAGCCACAAAGAATAACTTCAGTGTACCAACTTTCACAAATCTTCCTGATTAATCTATTCTAAATTGAGCCTCTCTTTGTGTCTCTCTTTCTCTCTGTGTGTTTGTGTATGCACATTACATAGCAGATACAAATACATTGCTTATTTAATGAATAAACTCTATATTTTAAACCAAATTACACCTATGACTTTTAAAATACGTTGCTTTTTTCAATTTTAGGAAACGAAAACAATCCCTGAGCACATTGTTTTCATAGATTGTTAATAGATTAGAAATATTGCTCTGAAAGAATAAATGCACTCCCCAAACAACTGTCAGGGAGTGATTCAGAAATAACAGAGAAGCTATCATTTTTGCATTTGGGAAGATTAAAATAAAACAGATTCTTAGTAGTACAAAAATGTGTGATAGTAACTCAAGAAACTTCGTATCTGTGGATATGCTTTAGAAATAGACCACTAAAACAGTAGATAAACTGAAAGTATCTGTTTAAACGCAGCCCTTTTTATATTAATTAATAACAAGTATGTTTATAACTTGTATTATACATGTGGAAAACTGTAATCTAATGTGAATGATAAAGTATTGAAGAATCTTAATATATCATTAATAAAAAATAGCTTTTCATGTGTGTGCCTAGGTATGTGTCTGTAGTATATGCAAGCAAGTGCTAATCCTCAAGTGTTTTGAAGTCTTCCATGATGCCCAAATCCTGAAATTTTTCTGGATCTATTTCTCTTCAATGTGATTGGGTAATACCAATTTGCCTAAGGCAATTATGTCGTTTTCTTTCCCAGTGATTGAATCATAGAAAACCACGTGACCTTCTGGAGGGTTTCTAGAATAGTTCCTGTCATATTTAAAGAGACACAGAAATGTAAAAAAAAAAAAAGAAAAAAGAAAAGTCCTTTCCATTCTTGTCTCTGGATTTTAGTGTGACACAATATGATATTTAGGGATGTCATCTCATAAGTGAATGAAGCTTGGCAATATACTGAAGATTGCACCTGAAAATATGGAAATACAATTCTGAGACTTGATTACCTCTTATACCACTTAATTGCCTAATTTTATAGCCAACCTAGCATTGCACTTATTGCTTTATAAAAACAACTAATTCCCTTAAAGTTTAAGCCATTTGCAATGGGCTTTTTGCCTCTCATGGCCAAAAGCTTCCTCCTTTACAATAGAACTTGTATTTAACATGTGTGCATTTGATTCTACATATTTCTCCTTCTTCCAAAGAAAAGACAAAAACACAGACAAGGATAATAATGGGGAGATGGGATGTTTTAAAAAGTTATAATTGAAACAACATGGAATTATGCCTGCTTTTCCCTTTTATGTCCTGTGGCCTGAAATGAGTGTGAGATGGGAGAAAGGAATCAATTTTTCATTCCACTAGTTATCAATGCCCATATGTCTATCTACGTGTAGGTAGCTAGCTCCACTGAGTGTGATTTTAATGTTTGGTGCATATTTTTCATACATCATGAACCTTAAACGAAAGTCAACTAATTCATTTGGTGCTCCTCAAATAAAGTAGTAGCCTTCTTTGACATTGAGGAAAATACTAGCGACCCTAGACTTAATGAAAAATGGTACTATTATCTTCTACTTGGGTAAAATCTCTGGAAAAGTATGAATCAGATTCATCAATGCAGTTCTGTGTGTTAGCTTACCTATTAACATTCTCATTGTGTTCAGAGGATTGTTCACAGCACTGTGCTCACTATTATTACCGAATACTTTCAGCAACATTATACGAAAGGCACTATACTAAGTGCTTTGCATAGATTATTTCACTAAAGTTTCACAACCATCTTAAAATATATAGTTATTAACCCATTCTTATAGACAGAGTTACCAGCTAAATTGAAGAATCTGAAATTAAAGATGCTAGGCAACTTGTCCATGTTTGTATAGTTACTAAGTAGTTAGATATAAGCAAGCATATGATTTGTTTTCTCCAGTTTTTAGAAATAAAAGATAATATAAGAAGGTCAATGACTGACTAGTTTTCAGGTAGGAAATTGGTTCCTGCTATGACAATTTCATTGCCTTTCAGCTTATAGAAATTAAGAAGATACTAGTAGATTTTCTATCATCCTGAAGTTATGGAGCCAAAGGGAGTAATATATTTTGATGTTGCTGTGTTCTTGTTATCATTGCCTTAAACCTAAGAGCTCATGGGCCACTTGGCAATAATATGCTTAACTTGTTCATCATTGCATGTAAGTTAGAGCAAAAAAAAAAAAACAAGCAAACAGATATATGTGCAAAGATAGGCACATAGAAAGACAAACAGGAAATTATGTGTAAGTGTGTTTGTGTGTGTGTGTAATATTAACATTTGAAATACCTATACATAATTACTACAGATGCCAAATCTTTCCATAGTAGGAAACACGTTTTATATGAAACACAACATGACAAAGGAAGCTTTTTGCTTTTTCCAGGTTGTATCTACAAGTTACCAACATAGAGTGCTTTTTGGCAGATTTTTTTTAGGTGTCTCCAATGGTGCGCAGTCAACCAAGTTGACCATAGAATGATTCAGAATTGCTATTAAGAAACAAACCTTAGGTGAGCTGCTTGACCTTTATGAAACTTTAAAGACTGGCTTTCCCAAGGATTAATTCCTGACCCTTTGAAAGTTGACACACTAAGGCACTCTATCAATGTAAAATTTCACTGAGGTGTGTCGCTTTGATGAGAGTTGAATGCAACTCCATTTGACATTTTCTTTCAGTGAACAAAAAAACCTCATTCCCAAAATTTGAAATTCATAGGAATTAATTTCACTACATCTCTATTTTCTTTTCATTGTTGTTGTTGCTATTGCTATTTTGGATAAAATGTACGCATTTGTAAATTTTTGAATACAGAACTACATGGCAGCTCTCCCTGTGCTAATATTTTCAGTATGTATTACTCTTATTTCAGGCAAAAAAAATTACTTTCAGGTTGAAAGATAACAGACCATAAATAAATGCATGATACTCACACATAACTGGAGAGAGTTGGGTACTTAATCTTCTTTGGAAGTGTAATAAATACCATAAGTAATTTCAAGACTGAATTCTTTAGAACGAGTAATAAAAAGCAGTGCAGAAAGCATCCGAGTGAATTCTCTCGGATATTATCTCGGTATATTATCTCGGTATATTATCAAGTTAGATGACATATATAGAATTATTTCTGTAAGAAATATATCCAGGTTATATTTACGTCTTGGTCTGTTTTGTAACTTCAGGAAAGAAAAAAAATCAAATATTTTAATATCATTAAAGTGTCAGTTTTGTTAATTTATATATATATGTTTAATGATATGTTTACATTGTAGATATTTGAGTGAACTGTTGAACCCTTGAAGTGATTATGAAAAAAACACTAAAAGTGAATTCCACTTAGAACTCTGCAAAAGACTAGATTATTTTCACAACTTTTAATTTAAAATTCACATTTTAACTATTTTTCTCTGAAGTTATCATTCTACCCCAAAGCAGCTGATTCAGTGTATAATTTTGGCTTCAATGTCACCCTCATTAAATAGGAAAACAAAATCATTTTAGCCAACTCTTACAATTCTGACTTTTTTTTTTCTGAATTAGTTGCCACTAATATCATATACATGCATTATCCTTACCAACAAATAAAACTAGTCTCAGTTGATATCTATATATCTATTCTTAACATAACATCCCAGTGAGTTGAATTCCATGTGATTTAAGAAGGAAGTTTATCATCTGTGTTTCAAGTCAAAAGACAGTATTTAAAACTGTCATATTTTATAGAAGAGTATATTTAATGGAATTTTTCCCAGTATCTGGGCATTGCAGCTCCGAATCATGCCTGTGAATAATGAGCAAAAAGAAAGCCTAAAGGAAGTTCTAAAGACTTCCAATTGTCAGGGCTAGCCACTTCCCCATAGAAGTTCCTGAAAGGTACTTTGTGGAATCTAGGATGTCTTATGCATTGACCCACTTCATCACAACAGGTAGGGAGGCTTGTCTTCCCTGTGGCCAAACAATACGAAAAAAATGGATATCTGAACCACATCATTTCCTACTAGGTTGAAAACGAATGAACATCTTTCCTATAAATTTCCTGAATTTCTTCACCAACATCGTACCAGATTTTGCTGGGACATGCAGAATAGCAGGGCTGGAATAAGGTGAATCCTCCTGCACTTCTACCACTTAGCCTGGTTTACAATAAAGTGACTGGTGTCTCTATTGTAAAAGACAGAAGCTCTCTCTTACAGAGACTAAAGTAAATGAAGAAGGTAAAGTACTCAAGCTGTAGCTTGCATACCTGGAAAATGTGTCTAGAAAGAGAAAGGATATTCAGGATCTTAGTAGAATAAACTACTGTGCTTCACAAAAGGGGCGATATTTGGCTACCTGGTACCCAGAGGGAGCAGGTATGACCAAAGTCTGTGAGTTAATGTGCAGGACATGACAACATTGCCCAATCCAGTATGGAAGCCTCTCTTTTTTCCTTTCTCAATTTAATCTGTTGCAACACCAGAAAAATTTCCGTCCATAGAGCTGGAATTAAGTTAACTAGTACTAGGAAGAGGGGGGAAGAGGATTACATCAAAATTAGATATTTTAGTTGCAAAATCAACAGGACTGATCAGCAGTAAGAACCAGAATAATACTCTTTGAACAGCCAAAAGTGAATGCAAAATCATAGGATTGAACTGAAATGGCATTAAGCATCTCTGTTTATTTAGTGGGAAATAGGAGCTCAAAACAGCATGATTAGGAGTGGTTATTATAAAAACATTTTATAGCATTAGTAGATAAAAATTTATAAGTAATCCAGTTATATTTACTGCATGCTAGCATATTTTGAAAAGACAATATTATGTATTTGAATGAGTATAGGATTTGGAATTCAATCCCAGTTCTGCCACTAATTATATATTCTTGAGTAGTTCACTTAATCTTCCAAAACTTAAAACGTCTATAAAAGGATATAGAAAGTCTTACTTCCCTAATTCACAGAATTATTTGGAGATTAAAATAAGATAATGAATCAGAAAATACCTTATAAACTGCAATACAATTGAATAGTCCTAATAGTAATGGGAGAGCTATTTGGAAGCTATGTACTGAAAAACTGATTCTATGGCAGACATGAGTGTTTTCCTCATTTCTTCATTGCCCTTTATTTCTGTTTTCAGAACACTTGAAAAATTTCAGAAACGTAAAAAGCTTAAAATGTACATTAGCATGATGTATACTTCACAAAAAAGCGAAAATTATGGGATAATCTGACAGAAAAGACAAGAGAAGACTGAATTATGAAAACCAAGATTGTCCTGTGTTGGTATTTCACATTAGTTGCTATATTTTACCCATATTTAGTCAGTGAATATGTTTATTGTACTACATCTGGGAGAGCTTATCTAGTACTATACTTAGAAGTTCCTATTGCCTCAAGGTAATTTTCATATGACAGAGAAACAGAGAAATAAGGCAAAAGCTGGAGGAATGTGGGGATTTTAAAAAGGGCAATAAAGAGGAGAGGTAATACAGCATTATTATTTACTATTAGTAATGAACCATTAGTCAGGGCAAATGATACAAAATATAAAGAGAAACTTACATATTCACACACACACACACACACACACGCACACACACACCCTATACACAAATATTCATTGCAGCTTTATTCATAATATCCCCAAACTAGAAACAACCTAAATGTCTTTCAATGAGTTAATGGTTAAAAACAAGTGTTACATCTGTATCATGAAACACTGCTTAGCAAAAATAAAAGGAATAGATAATTGATACATCTGAATATTTTTAGCAATCTCAAGAGAAATATGCTCAGTAAAAAAAAAAAAAGCCAATCCCCAAAGATAACATACAATTCCACCTGTATGGCATTCTTGAATGCTTCTACTTATGATGCCACTTATATGGCATTCTTGAAATGACAAAATTATAGAAAAGGAGGACAGATTAGTGGTTGTCAGGGTTTAGGAAGAAGGGAGAAAGGGAGGGAGGGAGTTGTTACTATAAAAGTGTAGCACAAGGGAGATTGTGATAAAAACTGTTCTGTATTTTGACTGTTGTGGTCATATAAATATACACATGTGATAAAACTGAATTCAACAAACATATATATACATATACACACATATATATGTATATATATACACAAATGAGTGCATGTGGAATCTGAATAAGATCTGTGCATTTTATCAATATCTACTTCTTGGTTGTGATATTGTACTATGGTTATACAAGATTTTACCACTGAGGGAACTGAGTGAAGGGTGTATGTGATCTTTTTGTATTCTTTCTAACAATCTCTTGTGAATCTACATTTTTCTCAAAATAAAACAGTTTAAACATATATACTAATAATCAATAGAAAATAGAAAGTGTGAATATGTCTATTTAAAGATATTCTATGTCTATTTAATAATATTATATTCGTAGCTAAAAACCTTCCTGCAAATAAATCTCAAAACTTGGATGATTTCACCAGTGAATTTTTCCAGCAAAGAAAGCAAAAGCACTGATTTTAAACCTTCTCCTGTAGAAAATAATAAGGAAAAACTCTATTAACATATACATTAAAGTATTTATGGGTAGAGTGTACTGATGAATACACAATGTAATTCAAAATGCCTCAATTAAGAGATAAACTGAGAGATTAACATAGAGATGGAAAGATACATGATAAAGCAAAGACAATAAAAGGCTAATTACAGAATCTAGATCATGGGTATATGTGTTTTTACTGTACAATCCTTTCAAATTTTCTCTATGCTTTAATATTTTCTTAAGAAAGTGTTGAAAAATTAGAAGGCAAAAGTCAGAGACCATGAATACAAACAACACCTAGATGGAATTTTAACACAAAGGGGTCTTGAGTAGGTGAGAGAAGTTAGTTTCAGAAGGCAACTTTAGATGATAATATAGATAGTTAATTTATGATGCTGTGTATGAATATGGGCATAAAAGTAATCAGTTCAATTAAAAGCATTAAAAATAATAAAAATGTTATATAATTATCTTATTAAAGTTAGAAAAATTGTGATAACATTAAACAATCTTTCATGATTAAGACTGTCAGCAAATAGGCATGTAAGAGAATACCTCAATTCTAACAAATAGATCTACAGAATATTGGTTGCAAACAAGCCACTTAACAATGAAATATTGAGTGCTCTTCATTTAGGTTGGGAAAAAGTCAAGATAATCTGAGATCTTTTTTTTTTTTTTCTGTTTAACATTGTACTGGAGGACCTAGCCAGTAGAGTAAGGTCAAAAACAGTTCGTATTTTCTTCTTTAACTTTGATTTAGTCACTTCTTTTTTACTACAGGAAAATACTACCTTTGATTTATTATATAGTCACAAACAAATATGTCAATTCATCCTGTGTACTTTTCAAAATTAAATAAAAACACATACTTAATACATAGTTAAATGGTTTCCATTGAAGTAGAGCAAAAATGTAAAAATACAAACTTATTTATTTCCATTGTTATCCACCTTAAAATTATGGTAAGACTTTATGATCTCATAGGTAGACACTTAGCTCTGGATACATATAGTTAATTTGGTAAGAGACTGAAGCTAGCACAAAGGAAGTGCTATAAATAGCTAACGACCTTCCTCACTGTTAGAAGCTTAACAGGTATCTCCCTGAATTCTTCAATCTTTCCTGCAAATCAACTGGTGAAAAACCAAAGCAGAAAAGGCAGCATGGTGTCCATGAGGCTTCACAGATTAAAACCATGTTAACATCTGATCCAGTCCTTATTAAGATGGTAATACATGACCTTTCCTTTGATATGAACTGTGGATGTCATATAGCAATTATAACAGTGCCTCCCAGAAAACAGCTAAGTATACTACAGCCTGCAAGTGATACTTACTATTTATGTTTATGGACTATTTCAAGGACTCTGTCAGCTGGAGGTCCTCGCAACTGCTCACCAATAGGCCGGGACTCAGGCAATAAAAGTAGACATTATATGAAGACATGTAGATGAGCAACAGAATTACTGACATTTAGAGGTAGAAAAGATCCCCGAAATCAGCCACTTTTCTTTTTTAATTGAACACACACGATCCACAGTGGAGTACATCTCATGGTCAAGGTCAGAGACCAAAGAGAAAGCTGTGGCAAAAATCAGGTTTTCTTATGTCCATTCGATGTTCAGTACTAAATAATCAAGTGGCAATGCCAATAACCACATGCAACAACTCATATGTAATTGCAGAAAATCATCTCATGAGTTATTTGGCATCTGTTAGCTGTGGTTGTGGTGTCTTCATTCAGAAGTTTTCTGTTCTATAAAATATTGAAGAGGGACCAGGTGCTGCATTCAGATGAATGATTTGAGCAATATATTTCGGTACAATCATATCATCACAGATCATCCAACCTAGAATGCAGTGAATTGGCAACTAGTGCTGTCTTTGAAGAGTGACTGACTGATGAAGCAGAGCTTCACAGAATGACAATTTTCACTTGAATACAGCAAAGAACGGTGTTTTGGCCAGTGATTGAAACATGCTGGGACATATTCACATTATAGCTATCATTTCCATTTGACGGAAACTGAACCCATTCAATGACTGAGTGATAAGTTAGTTGAAATTTATTTTTGGAATGTTCAGAATCTAAAGAGACTATTATTATATAATTGCACAAAATATATTGCTTTCCATTACCTCTGTCTTGTGTTATGTCTACAGGGTGAGAGTGAGAAGAGATGCAGTATGACTTTCACAGGCCCTAAGCACTTTTGACTTCATAGGCCCCTTTCTTCATAAAAATATTAAAATTACATTTTTAAGGTGTATTGGCATAAAATAGTCATATATTAAAACATTTTTCCCCTAAAAGTTTATTTTTCTAATAAAGTTCTTAAAAAGTTAAAACATTTTCATGAGATCCTAAAGTTGTTGTGAGGCCTAAGCACTGTGTCTAGGTGTTTAACAGTAATTTGGCCCTAAGAGTGAGGATAGACATCATTTCATAGGTGCTGCAGAGATTCCTTGGATTTCACAAATTAGCAAAGTCAGGATTGCCAGTACTGGCTTAGATATCTCCAATTTGTCAAAAGTAGGAACATCTGCTTACTTTTAGAGGCCATTTTTAATAGACGTTCATAATCACTATATTCAGGGCTTAAAAAGGACTGAAAAAAAACAGAGGGGTTGGTTCTGTAGATAGATGTTCCTTGGAAGTATGCGAATCTCATGTGCATTAGCTCTTGGCATAGGATTTCACTCTTTTTCTCAGTGAAATCACACCTTATTTAGAGAATGAGAGAACAGTTAAAATTACAAATGTTAAATTTACCAATAAAAAAATCCACAGTGCTTTGAAAAAGATTATGCTAATATAAATCTTAGATATTATCTTTCCTATAACAGAGTCATTTTATTTTATTGCATGGTAGTCATGGAGGTAGAAGAGAAAAAAGTTCTACGTGTGAAGATTTAGAACGAAAGTTAAACTAATTTTTATCACCAGCCCATCCATCAACCATATACTTTCAGCAGTTTTTTTGGTCACGTCAAGACTAACTGAACCAGAAATAAGATCACATTAGAATAAAACAAAGGAGAACTATAAAAGAGAAAAATGTTGATTTGACTTCTTTGGAGTCTATAATTATCAATGTTTCACATAAATAATTGAGAATCCTATTATATTTGTTTATGAGAGTTTTCCAGCTTTTTAAAATAACAGCAACAATAATAAGTCTTACCTCTAAAAATATAAAATATCAAAATTCACTGCTTGAACACTTCAAGATACTAACTGGAATTCTGTGGGTGTTTAGATAAATGTGCCCAAGCTGTTTGCCTTTTTTCTTTAGATTTATATAATCCCAAGTATATTCACATAAGTAGAAGAGAACATGGTAGTAAATGCTTTACTTTTTTAATTTTTGAAAATTATTATTTTCTCTATTAAAACAATTTTATAGCCGATAATTGCAGTTTCAATGGTACAGGGTGATATGATGTTGCATAAAATCATCTCTGAAGGTGTTTTGGCTTCTACTCCTATGGTAGCAGCTCCAAATTTCTCTAGTTGTCTGTGTCATAAAATATTTAACTGGAATCAGGTGCAGTAATAAGTTGAACTTCTGGCTGAATGACACTGAGTAATTCAATCCAGAACCCAATCATATTCAATTCATTAAACTGAAGAGTGCTTTTCAATCTTTCAGATAAAGTCCATATGGAAGTCTAGAGGATGGATATTCACTCTAAACTCTGCTATTTCTTTGACCTTTTTTTCTTTGTTTCTTCTAAAAGTTAATCTGGGATCTAGGTCACAAGTTATAATCTCCTATTTTGCCAGTATCCTAAAGGAAACGGATCAGTAAGAAAAAGGATGAAATTGAAGTAGGGATGTATAAAATAAAATAAGTAAAAATCCCATACTTCATTGAAAAGAGTCTGGTTTATATCTCAATTCAATCACATCCATTTTGCTTTGGTTTCCCATCGTTAGGCCTAATGTTACCAATGTACTTACTATGTTGTTTTTATTTAAAAGAAATGTTTTGCTTCCCATTACTTGATCCACAATGACTATTTTTGGGTAAAATATTGAAACTCCAGTTTTACAAATTGTTACTGTAATTCCATGACAAATTTGTAGCATGAAATATTAATATCAGCTTTTCATAATGACCACTATGTACCATGCTAGTTGGTTAATTGAATAGCTTTGGCATTTACACGATGGTCCACGTATATGGAAAACACATTGAGATGAGGAAAATAATGAGGAATATTTGTCAAAAAAAAAACAACAACAAAACAAAAAAACCATTAGTTCTTCCACCATGTCCAGGTAAATGTATATGTCTGATGTGCTTATGGAAAGGGAAAATATGACTATTTACTTTTCTGTTACTGAATATTCCCTGCTAGTTTAGGAAATACTTTCTCTCTGATTCAGTACACAATGAACAGTAAGTTTGGTTTTCAGCTGTAGCTGATGTGCATCAATAGGTATGCATTCTATCCCTAAAGAATATTCTCATGTATTTTTGTTTGTTGGTTGGTTTTACTTCTCCAGTTTGTGCCTCTAAAAAAAAGATGTGAGAGTTCATCCTCAAAATCTGAAATGTTTCAAAACGATTGGAGAAAAGCTTGCTGCAATCTCATTGGACAAGTAGAATGCCTACCAGATTTCTTTTATTGTTTCCTATTTCCTCAGAAATTTGCTGCAATCATTTCACAGGTTGCCTTACTCTGGTTTTATTTTACTTTTTATGTATTTATTAATTTATTTTGACAATTTCAACTTTTATTTTAGATAAAGGGGTACACATGCAGGTTTGTTACATGAGTGTATTGTGTTACGCTGAGGTTTGGGGTATGATTGATCCCATCACCCAGGTTTTAAGCATAGTACTCAATAGTTTTTCAACCCTTGCCCCTTCTCTCTCTCACCTCAATAGTAGTCCCCAGTGTCTATTGTTGCAAACTTTATGTCCATGAGTCCCAGTGTTTAGCTCTCACTTATAAGTGAGAACATATGGTATTTGGTTTTCTGTTCCTGTGTTAATTCTCTTAGGATAATGGCTTTCAGCTGCATCCATGTTGCTGCAAAGGACATGATTTCATTCTGTTTATGGCTGTGTAGTATACCATGATGTATATGTACCATATTTTCTTTATCTAATCCACTGTTCATGGGCTCCTAGGTTGATTCCATGTCTTTTATATTGTGAATAGTGCTGCAATGACCATATGAGTTCCTGTGTCTTTCTAGTAGAACAATTTTATTTTCTGTGGGACATATACCCAGGAATGGGATGTGGGGTCGAATGATAGTTATGCTTTAAGTTCTTTCAGAAATCTCCAAACTGCTTTCCACAGTGGTTGAACTATTTTACATTCTCACCAACAGTGTCTAAGTGTACCCTTTCATCTGCAGTCTCACCAGCATTTATTTTTTGATATTTTAATAGTAGCCATTCTGAATAGTGTGAGGTGGTATCTCTTTGTGGTTTTGATTTGCATTTCTCCGATGATTAGTAGTATTCAGGACTTTTCCATATGTTTGTTGGCCGCTTGCAGGACTTCTTTTCAGAAGTATATGTTCATGTCTTTTTAGTGGGGTTATTTCTTCTTTCCTTGTTGAATTGCTTAAGTTCCTTTTAGATTCTGGATATTAGACCTTTGTTGGACGCATAGTTTGAGAATATTTTCTCCCATTCTGTAGGTTGTCTGTTTGCTATGTTGATAGTTTCTTTTGCTGTACAGAAGCTCTTTAGTTTAATTAGGTCCGACTTGCCAATTTTTGTTTTGGTTCCAATTGCTTTTGAGGACTTAGTCATAAGTTATTTCCTAAGGCCAATGTCCAGAATGGTATTTCCTAGGTTTTCTCCTAGGAGTCTTATATTTTAGAATAGAAAGATTTAAGTACTTGAGCTCAGTTATTGGCCTTAAATGGAGACATTCCTTGAATCTTATCCTCCAGAGTATTGGTGGGCTTGAATAGTTGAGCTGATTCTGAAAACAATTTTGTGTTTGGAGGCCTGGTTTGAGCAGAGCTTTACATTTCTATTTGAGTTTGATATTCTGTTTCTGGTATGAACTGGTATGGATAATTTCTGTGCTTCAAATGTACATACTGGCTAAGTAAGGCCCAATTGAATAATCATAGATATTGCAGAAATCTTAAAAGCCATTATGGTTTGGTTCCCTGTCAAGTTTAAACATTGCCTCTACTACAAACTTAGAAAGTAATTATCCAGGCTCTATATAATAACATGACAATAAACATAACCCTGTCTTAAGAGTTAAATATTGAAACCCCAGTGATAACAGCTAGATAGATATTTAGCCACCACTTTCCTATTGCTGTGGGATACCCAGAGGATAGAATTCAAGACCCTTAAAGAATACAGGAAGAAAGAGGAAGGGAAAAATGTTTCACTGCCTTTTCTCCCTAGAATAAAAGGAAGGATGCTTTTAGAAAAGAAATATTGAAGGATATAAAAAATGTTAGGTGAGGATAGCCATAAGTGAGGCCTGAACTTTGAGTAAGTCTCAACAATGAAATGAGAATTTGATGTGTTTTAAACGTCTTAATACAAAAATCATTCATTGCATGTAGGAGGAAAAAAATTAATATTTAACATTGGAAGAAAATGATAATTAGATGCCATAAAATGGATAATTCAAGAAATTTTGAAAGAAGATAGATTACTGAATTCCTTTAGTCTGAGTAAGGTAACCAATTAATTTGAATGTCAAAATAGGAATTTAATACCAGTATAATGCTTATTATTAGAACTTAGTAATTTCTATTTAGTAATTAAGATTACTATATTTGTACATGTATGTGTGTATGTATGTGTATAATATAATACCTGTATATATCATTATACTTAAAGAAAATGCTAGAAAAATCAAATATTTCTTATTCATTGAAATGTTCCACTCATTTAACTTACCCAATTTGTTGTATTTTTAAATTTTTGAAGTAAACATCTAACTCAAGTCCTCTCTGATCTATATTTTTCCTAGTTCATACTTTTGTTCAATATTCTGGTACCCCGAGTTTAGTGATCAGTTAAGCAGCACCTTGTGACAAGTTTTATCATTGTCCATGTCTTTGTTTTGATTCTTGGAGGAATTCGGAAATTAATTAACTCCATGGTAGCTCCGCATGTTGAAGACAGTACCACCAATGTGTACATTTTGCTAGAATTTGAAGACCAGGAAAACTATCAGAGATATCATCCCTAAGGATGGTGCCTGTGGAACAAATTCTGGACATTCCCTCAGGAAAAAAAACATATATATGACTAAAATGCTTCCATAATTATTTTGAAGTAGCTACAAGTTACCAAAATACACCTAAAACTTGCAAGGCTAAGATTCTTAAAGAAGTGATATGTTGGGCCGGGAGCGGTGGCTTACCCACGCACTTTGAGAGGCCAAGGCGGGCGGATCACGAGGTCAGGAAATCGAGACCATCCTGGCTAACATGGTGAAACCTCGTCTCTACCAAAAATACAAAAAATTAGCCGGGTGTGGTGGCGAGCGCCTGTAGTCCCAGCTACTCCAGAGGCTGAGGCAGGAGAATGGCGTGAACCCGAGAGGCTGGAGCTTGCAGTGAGCCGACATCGCGCCACTGCACTCCAGCCTGGGCGACAGAGCGAGACTCCGTCAAAAAAAAAAAAAAAAAAAAGTGATATGTTGTTTATAGAGGGGAAAGATATAAAAGTTAAAGATATTTAGGAGTATGCATTACATGAGAGAAATAAATTGAACACTGAAATTGAAACCGAATGTTAGAACATTAAGTGTAGTAATTATGGCCTCCAAAATATACTGGAGATGTTTGTGTAAAAACAGAGAATAATTATCTCCTAAAAATAAAATATATATATTAGTAGAGAATATCTGGGGCCAGGAAACCAAGAAATGAATTTCCACTTTGTCTTTGCCATTCACATTTTATTTGACTTAAGGAAAATTTCATACCATCTCAAAGATGCTAGGGAATTATTAAATTTATGATAAGGTATGATATTAAAGTTCTTCCACATCAGGAATGAATCATTTCAAATAGTTATACAGTAATGGTGGAGAGGAAATTTTTTACAGCTCCTGAAAGGAGAGCTTCAAATGGTGTCAGCAAGTTGACATTAGTGCTCCTTTCAAGTACCATGTAAGTTGTAGCCAAAGTTTTAGAAGCTTTTCTTTCTTTCTTTTTTTTTTGTTTTGTTTTTGAGATGGAGTCTCACTCTCTTGCCCAGGCTGGAGTGCAGTGGCTCGATCTCCGCTCACTGCAATCTCCACCTCCCGGGTTCACGCCGTTCTCCTGCCTCAGCCTCCTGAGAAGCTGGGACAACAGGCGCCCTCCACTACTCCCGGCTAATTTTTTTGTATTTTTTTTTAGCAGAGTCGGGGTTTCACCGTGTTAGCCAGGATGGTCTCGATCTCCTGACCTCGCGATCCGCCCGCCTCAGCCTCCCAAAGTGCTGGGATTACAGGCTTAGAAGTTTTTCTTCATTAATTCCTTGTCTAGCATATATTGAGAGTCTCATTGAGATTGTAAATGATACTCTTCATTGATTGCTGCTTTAAATGTTAATTTCACTGGCGTTGCAATTCACATTTCTACTGCTTTCTTTTTGCTACTCCATGACAAGTAATAACACTGCACTCATTTACAATTTATTGTTAACTGCATTAAAATTTCATGAAATGACACTATAGTTGGTTAAACCATGGAGACAGCTTAGTTTGGTAGAGTTTCACATTTTCTGATTAGGAGAAATACCTCTGTGCAAACTTTCTGTGATAAATAAAGGCTTAACACAACACATTAAATAAATATAACGCATGTTTATGTTCCTTTTACTAATACCTGTGATGTTGAGCAATATCCAAGGGTAATTTCTCATGAGTGCTGAATGTACTGTAACGGAAATATCCCAAGAAATCCAGGAAAGATAAATATAAGTCATTCTTACTCCAGAAATCACACATCCGTCATACTGCAGTTAAAATGTTATTTCTATATTACAAATCTGATTATGCAAGTCTCTTGTACAACACTTTGGAGATCAATTTTTAGAGTCATGTCTATGGTTATTTCACCTACAGACATGAAAAAAAGAGAGTAGATGACAGCCTGTATATGGAAAATTTCATAAAATGTGTATTTCCATGGTTAAAAACAAAAGGAAAGTGAAAGTTATAATGAATTTCTTCACTTTGATTAAGTTAATTATAGTAAATTTTGTATGGTAGAACATTTAGAATTACCCTATTAATATCTGCCTCAAGATAGTACAGATAAATGTACTGTAATGTGCATTGTAATTGGCACATTGTTTTCTAAATAAACCTTTGGCATAAAATAAGAAAGCATTAAAGACCACCAGCAGCCCTTTCAATAATGACAGTCTCATAGAAGACAGAGCAATGAAGCATGGATCTTGCTTATTTGAACAGGAGAGGGGAGAATTACGTACTATCAAATTTATCGATGTGCACATCTTGCTCATTGGGAATTTTTGATGTAGTTCCAATGACGCAACAACAAAAATTGAAATGTAAGACCATGTCCACAGAAGTCTTTAAAAGAATGTCCATGATCTGCCATATCAATCTGGAGGAAAAAAATAATATCTAGATCATTATATTTCTCTACTTTGAGCTTCAGCCTTGAATACAGGGCTGGAAGACTTGGGGGAATAGGCAAATTGTAACACTATACAAAACTGCTAGTCAATTTTACTCAATTCCAACAAATTATTGGGTAGAATGGATAAAACTAGCCTTAAATTCCTTTAGCTATCTCAGAAGTCATTTGTAATAATCATCCCATTGTAATGCCCCTCCCCCAAAAATGTCCATGTTCTAATCCCTGGAATCTGTGACTATGTTAGCTTATATGGCAAAAGGGTTTTTGCTGATGTGATTAAGTTAAGAATCTTAAGATGAAGAAATTATATTGGTCCTTAAAAGTAAAATAGAAACAGAGGAGGGCTCAGAGTCAGAGAAACACGAAGGTGTTACGCTCTTGGCTTTGAAAATGGAGGAGAAGGACATTTGCCAAGGAATGCAGACAGCCTCTAGATGTTGGAAAAAATAAGGGAACAGATTCTTCAATACAGCTACCAGAATAAAAAAAAAAAAGCTCTCCTATCACCTTAATTGTAGCTCAGTAAAACTCATTTCAGACTTCAGACCTCTAGAACTATAAGATAATAAATTTGTGTTATTTTATGGCATTAAGGTTGTAATAATTTGTTATAGCAGCAATAGAATACTGATTGATATAATGCTGCACCATCCACCATCAGTTGGAAAATAAGTTTCACACTTTATATCATGAACTTCAAGTTCTACTGAGCCTACATATTATTTAATTCACATTTCCTGATATCTTTCAATAAGCACTTACTCTCTAATAATAACAAAGTACTTACACTTTCCAGATTACCTTTTCTTGTCAAGTTAGCTTTTTATTTTTAATTGTAGATTTTTATGAGGTTGTAAGAAATAAGAGAGGGCTTCCATTATCTTTTGCCCAGTTTCCTCAGATTGTAACATCTTGCAGTACTATATCACAACCAGGATATAGGCATTAATATAGTCAGGATATAGGCATTAATATAGTCAAGGACATATTCTTACCATAAAAATCCATCATGTTGTTCCTTTATAGACACATCCAGTTCCCTTACATCACCACATCCTCCTTAACTGCTGGCAACCACTCATTAGTTTTCCATTTCTATAATTTGGTTATTTCAAGAAGGTTACAAAAATGAAATTATATATAGTATGCAAGCTGTTTGGATTAGCTTTTAAATTGGTATAATAATCTAGCAATTCATTCAGATTATTGTATGTATCAACAATTTGTACCTTTTCATTGTTGAATAGTATTTTATATTACGGATATGTCACCGTTTATTTCACAAGTAACCTGTTGAAGAACATCTGAGCCTTTTTAGTTTTGTGCTATTGATATAAACACTTGTGTATAGATTTTTGCATATACTTAGTTTTTATTTCTCTGGAAAATAAGCTTAAGAGTGCAATTGCTCAGACATTTGGTAAGCCCATGTTTAATTCTTTTTAAAAAATTGTCAAACTGCTTTCCAGACTCGCCATGTCATTTTACATTCCCACCAATAATGTAAGGGATCCAGTTTCTCCACATTCTCATCAACATTTGGTATTGTCAGCAGTTTTTAATTTTAACCATTATGATAGGAATATAGTAATATCTTATTGGGATTTTAATTTGCATTTCTCTAATGGCTAATAATGTTAAACATCTTTTCACAGGCTTATTTGACATCTCTATGTCCTCTTTGGTGATATGCCTCCTCATGACCTTTGCCCATTTCCTAATTACATATATATATGTTTTAATTATATATGTAATTGTATATATATAATTTGTTTACTGTTGAGTTTTGAAATTTATTTGTATATTCTCGTTACTAGTCCTTTATTGGATATGTTGGATATCTGATTTGCAAAAACTTTTCTCCTGATCTGTAGTTTATCTTTTCATGCTATAACACGGTCTTTAAAAGCCAAAATTTGCAATTTTTAAGAAATCAAATTGATTTTTTTTTCCTAACATGGATTGTGTTTTTGGTGTCAAGTCTCAGTTGTTTCTTTAGAGTCAACATGTTTCTTCTATGTTTTTTACTAAAAGATTTATATTTTTACACTTTACATTTTAGTCTATGATCCATTTCCAGTTAATTTTTGTATAAGGTGTAAGACATATGTCAAGATTTATTATTTTGTTGTTGTTAAGGATGTCCACTTTCTTCAGCACAATTTGCTAAAAAGTCTATCCTTTCTCCATGAATTGCTTTTGAACCTTTTTCAAAAAACTGTTTCTTTGAGTCTATTTCTGGGTTTTCTATTTTGTTTCATTGATGTTTCTATTCTAGTAATATCACCCAGTCTTGAATAATGTTGCTATAAAATGTCTTAAAAATGTATAGGGTAACTATTTATTCTTTTCCAAAATACACCGAACAATTCTAGTTTCTTTGCCTTTCCATAAAATTTTAGAATAAACTCATCTATATCTACAAAAAAACCTTTCTGGAATTTTGATATGAATTGTGTTAAGCCTGTAAATCAATTTGAGGAGAACTGATATATTGTATTTCCCATGTTGTGTGTTCCAATCCGTGAGCACAGTATTTCTCTCCATTTATGTAGATTTTCTTTAATGAAATTCACCAGCGTTTTGTAATTTTCAGCATAAAGATCTGTACATGTGTTATCACACTTATATCTAATTACTTCATTTTGCTTTGAATAGTCATCAATTTTTTTAATAATTGGGTTTCCACCACTTTATTTGTACTATAAAGAAATGCAATTGATTTTTGCATGGGATCTTGTTTCCTGCAATCATCTTAAACTCTTTTTTTTTTTTTTTTTTTTTTTTTGAGACAGAGACTCGTTCTGTCACTCAGGCTGGAGTGGAGTACCATGATCTAGGCTCACTGCAACCTCTGTCTCCCAGTTCAAGCAATTCTCCTGCCTCAGCCTCCCGAGTAGCTGGGTGCGTGCCACCACGTCTGGCTAATTTTTATTTTTGTATTTTTAGTAGTGACGGCGTTTCGCCGTGTTAGCCATTATGGTCTCGATCTCCTGACTTCATGATCCACCCACCTCTGCCTCCTAATAAACTCACTTATTAGTTGTGGGATTTTCTCTATAGGTTCCTTTATGTTCCCTATGTAGACAATCAATGTATTTGCAAATAGATGTAGTTTTGTTTTTTTTTTAATTTTTAATCAGTATAACTGTTGTTTCCTTGCCTTGCCTTATTGTGCTGACAACAGCTTCTAGTAATTTTTGAATAAGGTTAGTGATCGTGGGCATCCTTTCCTTGTTCCTGATCTTACATAAAAAGCATCTGGTCTTTAACAATTAAGGATGTGGTTGGCTTTAGGTTTTTGGTAGATGATCTTTCTCAAGTAGAGGAAGTTCCTGGCCCTTCTCCAATTCTACTTGGCTGGGAATGTTTTATCATGAATGTGAGTCGTATGTTGTCAAATGCTATTTTTGAGTTAGATTTTACAATTTCAGTTCTTATGTTTAAGTGTAATAGAATTATGTGATTTTTCTTCTTTAGCCCATTGATGTAACAAATTACATTTTTGGTATTTGAATTTGTAACCAGATTTACATACCTGGAATAAGTCCCAGTTGATCCAGGTATATATTATTTTTATTCATTGGTAAGTTAGATATTTTGATTAAAAGTTTTTCATCCAAGTTCATGAGGGATAATAGTCTATAGTTTTTCTTTTCTTTTTTGTAGTGTTTTGGTTTTGTTGTGAGAATAATAGTAACTTCATGAAATAAATTGGGAAATTTTCTCCCTTATTTTCTGGAATAGATTGTCTAAAATTGGTGGGAATTCATCGAATGTTTGATAGACCTTTACAATAAAACTATATGGACCTAGATAGTTCTATGTCAGCCAGTGGTTTTTCATTATAAATTCAGATTCTTTAATGGTTATAAAATTATTCACATTGTCTTTATTATCTTGGTTGAGCTTCTGGTAATTTTTAGTGTACAAATAATTGATCTTTTTCTTCAACATTATGAAATTTATGAAGATAAAGTTGAGCATAAATTCATGAGGATAAATTTCCCATTATTGTTCTTTTCATTACTGTAGAATCTGTAACGATATCATCTATTTTATTCCTGATGTTGGTGACTTGTGTCTTCTTTTTTCTTTGTTATCCTCAATAGAGGTTTATCAATTTCATTAATTTTTTGAAGAACCATATTTTTTCCAGATTTATTGAGGTGTCACTGACAAATACAATTTTATAAATTTAAGTTGTACAACATGATGTTTTTATATATGTAAAATTATAAAATGATTACCATAATCAAGCTAATTAACATATCTATCACTTCAAATAGTTACTATTTTTGTGATTCGTGAGAACCTTTATGATGTACTCTCTGAGTAAATTTCAAGTATATGGTACAATATTGTTAACTATAGTCACATGCTGTACATTAAATCTCCAGAACTTATTCATCCCATATAACCAAAGCTTTTTACCCTTTGACTAACATCTCCCCATTTCCCACCCTAAACCCCTGGAAACTACTATTCTACTCTCAGCTTCTATGTGTTCAACGTTTTTAGATCCCAAATATAAGTGAAATCATGCAATATTTGTCTTTCTATGCATGGCTTAGAACATGCATCCATGTTGTTACAAGTGACAGGATATACTTCTTTATTAAGTTTAAATAATATTCCATTATGTTTACACACAACATGCATACATATATTTTCACACACATATACACATGTGGGTGTGTATGTATGTGTGTCTGTGTATACATAATCACTTTCACATTTTCTTTATCCATTTATCTACAAATGGACACCTATACTGATTTCATATCTTGGCTATTGTGAGTAATGCTATAATGAAAGTGAGAGTGCAGATAGCTCTTCAAGATGCTAGTTTCACTTCCTTTGGATTTACACCCATAAATGGGATTCACGTATCATATGGTAGTCCACAAAAGATGTTGAATATCCAATGTAATCTTGAGCAAGAACAAAGCTGGAGGTATCACACTACCTGATTTCAAAATATATAATAAAGCTATAGCAAATTCTATGGTACTGGCATAAAAAGTAACAAACACATAGACCAGGGAAAAGAATAGAGAGTCATTAAATGAATCCATACATTTATGATAAACTGAACTACAAAGTTGCCAAGAACACACCATGGGGAAAGGACAGTCTCTTCAATAAATGATGTTCAGAAAACTGGATATGCACATGCAGAAGAATGAAATTGGACCTCTCTTTCATGCTATACACAAAAATCAACTCAAAGTGAATTAAACATTTAAAGGTAAGACCTGAAACCATAAAACCGCTAAAAGAATATGATGAGAAAAAGCTTTTTGACAGTGGTTTAGACAATATATTTTTTGGAGATAACCCTGTGAAATTGTAAAATATATATTTAATCTTCATCCCCATTCCCCACAATACAAGTCCAAAAATCCTTGAAGTCTCCAAAGTGCTGTCTTTTTGTATGCTAATGTTGACTGATAGTGATAGAGAGAGGAGGCAGCCAAGGGGCCCTCTGGCAAAACCCCACCTTGAAGCCTGAAAAACCAGACTGCCAGTCCTGATATAAAGCCTTCCCTTTTCCCCACTGATTCTTTTTGAATAATAGCCACCTGCGCACTGGGAGCAGGGGGTGGAGATTTGGAAAATTCACACCATTTGCAATGGGGAGGAGCCTGGCCTCTCCTGTTCCTGTTCCTGGGTGGTAACCTAGGATTCAGTTGGTGAGGTGGAGAGCCTGTTAGCAGGACCCCATCTCACTTTGCTGTGTTGTTTTTTCCTTTTTCCTTTTTGCCCAATAAATTCCATTCAGCTTCACTCTTCAAAGTGTCTGCCAGCCTAATCCTTCCTGGTCATGTGACAAGAACCCACTTTATAGCTGAAATAAGGAGAAAATCCTACAACAGTAGCTTCAAGATAAGGCTGGTCAGTAGAAAGACAAAGACATGATTAGAGTGTTAGGACTTTCAACCCTACCCCCCAACCTCTGTGGAGAGAAAGAGAGCTAAAAGGTCAAGTTGACTACTAATGGCCAAGGGTTTAATCAATCATCAATATGCAATGAAACCTCCATGAAAAAAAACCAAAACCAAACTACAACAACAACAAAAAAAAACAAGAGGACGGGGTCTGAGCACTTCCAAATACCTGAATGCAGGGAGACTTCCGGAGGGTGGTACACCTGGGTAAGGGATAGAAGCTCCATGTCCTCTCTCCCAGACCTCACCCTATTCATCTATTCATTTGTATCCTTTGTAATATCCTTTATAATAAGCCAGTAAACTTAAGTAAATATTTTCCTGAGTTATGTGAGCTGCTCCAGTAAATTAATTGAACCCAAAGAGGAGATTGTGTGAAACCTAATGTGAAGCTGGTCAGTCCGAAGTTTTAGAGGCTCAGATTTGCAACTGTCTGAAGGTAGAGGGCGTTTTGGGGACTGAGCCTTCAATCTATGGGATCTGGCACTGTCTCCAGGTAGGTAGTGTCAGAATTGAATTGGGGGACCCCTAGTTGGTATTGGCTGAATAACTGATTGTTTTCATGCTAGTGAGAAGAAATCCCCACATATTTTGGGATCACAAAAGCCTTTCGTGTGGGTGATTGTCATGGTGTGAGATCAGGGGAAAAACATGGATAGAGTTTTTTCTCAACAGACCCCAAGCACAGGCAACAAAAGCAAAAGACATGGATTTCATCAACTAAAAAATGTCAGCAAAGCAAAGAAAACCATCTACAGAGTGAAGAGACAATCTATGAAATGAGAAGAAATAATTGCGAACCATATATCTGATGAAGGATTAATATGCAAAATATATAACACATTTAAACAATTCAATAGCAAGAAAAAAACAACACAATGAAAATATGAGCAAAGGACCTGAGTAGACAGTTTTCAAAAGAAAACATATAAACAGTGTACAGAGTGCTCTTGACATAAGTAACTCCAACTTAGAAAAAGATCCCATCCTACATTTCATAGGAAACTTTGCCAAGAGAGACCAGATGTTTCACCTAATAAATAAAGACTGCATCCAACCACATAAGGACATAACCAAGCACACTCTTTCACTATCAGTCCTCAGCAGAGAACTCTGTGGCCATAAAAAGAGAAGGACTTCAGCAGCTTAAATCAGTTGTTTTAACAGACACTATTTTGTTATTACTCGTGATAAGTCCCTGGCACCTGCCATGAAAAGTTCTGCCCACACTAAAGACTCTTCCTTTCAAGACCAATGGACACCAGGGTTAAACCAGGATATTCCTTTTGTCCTTACTGGCTTGTTAATCCTTTTTCCTATCCCCTTTCTCTGGATGTTAAATGTTACTGTTTGTTGTGGAATGTTTAATCTATAACAGTTATATACTTATTAAGTATACCATTATGTATGGTTTGCAATATTGACTGACCTGTGGAGTGACTTGAGCTTGTGTGCCTCCATCTCTAACTACAGAGTAAAAGGGAAATACTAAGTAGAATCGCCTTCTTGAGAATTCCATATAGCTCATGGCTTTTGTGATTGAAATAGCATCGATAAAAGTCTGCCATTGTGGGAAGACAAAAGGTATATGGACCTGGTTATCACTGACATTGTACCATTAATGAGAATTGGCCAACAAGTATATGAAAAACTGTTAATGACTATTATCAAAAAGACACTCCTTGAGGCCAGGAGTTTGAGACCAACCTTGGCAATATAGTCAGATTCCTGTCTGTATAAAAAAAATAAAAAATGGATTCCTACAGTCTCAGCTACTCCAGAGGCTGAGGTAGGAGGATCACTTGACGCCAAGAGGGTGAGGTTGCAGTGAGCCAAGATTCCACCACTGCACTCCAAACTGGGCAATAGAGTGAGACACTCTCTAAAACAACAACAAAAAAAAGACAAAAAATAAGTGTTGCAGAAGATGTGGAGGAGGGGAACCCTTGCATACTGTTAGTGGGAATGTAAATTAGTATAGCCATTTTAGAAAACAATATGGAGGTTCTCCAAAAAATTAAGAACAACCATATAATCCAGCAATCTCACAAAAATGGTAAGTATGTGAGGCAATACACACGTGAATTAGCTTGATTGAACTATTTCCTAATGTACACATATTTTAAAACATATTATCCACAATGAATATATATATAATTTTTATTTTTCAATTTAAAAACTTATTAATGTTAGTTTATCAAAAAGATCAACAAAACTGACAAACCTTTAATTAGACTGACCCAGATTTTAAGAAGAGAGAAGAATATAATCATTAAATTTAGGAATAAAAGTGAGGTCATTATCTCTGACCTCACAAAAACAAAGAATATTATGAACAATGAACAATTATACACCAACAAATTAGAAAACTTAGATGAAATGACAAATTCCTAGAAACACACAAACTACCAAAAGTGTCTCAAATATATCTAAACAATGTGAATATATAATAAAAGAGTGAATTCATAACCAAAAACCTCCCAAAAACAAAAACCCAGGACCGGATGGTATCACTGGTCAATTCTCCCAAACATTTAAAGATCTAATGCCAGTCCCTGTCAGTTGGCACAGGAAAAATGCTCAACATCATTTGTCATTAAACAAATAAAATTCATAATTAGATACCACTTCACACCCAGTAGGATGGGTATAAGAAATAATGATAATAATAGTTGGTGGCAAGGATTTACAGAAATTGGAAACTTCATGGATTGCTGGTGGGAAAGTGCTTCAGTACTACAGTAAACAATTTGCCATTTCCTCCAGACGTTAAATATAGTTACCATATGACCTAGCAATTTCACTCCTAGGTATATAGCCAAGAGTATTGAAAACATGTGTTTGCTCAGAAATATATAGGTCAAAATGTACAAACTTGCAGTTATGTAGAATAAAAACTCTAGAATGTAGGATAAAATATTCTAGATATCTAATGTACGGCATGAGGATCATAGTTAATATCATATTTTATATTGAAAATTTGCTAAGAGAGTAGATTTTAGGGACTCATTAAAATAAAATAAAGGTGACTATGGAAGATGATAGGATAATTTGCTTGACTGTAGAAATTATTTCATTATGTATATCAAAACATCCTGTTGTATACCTTAAATATATATAATCAAAAAAATTTCTTAAAATATCAATAATAACATTAAACATCAGTTTTCTAAGTATGCCAATTAAAAGCAGATTGGTGGGGAAAAAAGCACATAACCCAATTACATGTATTGCTATATACAAGAAACTCATTTTAAATACAGTGGTGTAGGTAGGGAAAATATAAATGTTGGAAAAAGATCAGCCATATGAAAAGAAGTAAGCAACAGTGACTATGTTAATATGAGATGAAGTTTATTTCACAGCAAAGACAATTACCAAAGACAGATACATTTTATAAAGATAAATGGGTCCATCTACCAGGGAGGTATTTGCAATTTTAAATGTGTATGCACTGAACAATACACCTACAAAACATGTGAAGCAAAGCCAGAAAAAACTAAAAGGAGAAATACACAAACCCAGAATAATAATCAGAGAATTCAACACCCTTCTCTCAACAGTTGATAAAAGTAGCAAGAATATCAACAAGAATGAAAGAAACACCACCAACAAACAGGTTATAATCAATATTTAAGAATACCCAACAGAATGCACATACAACACCCTTCTAAATAATCCAAAGATCAAGGAGGAAGTTGCAAAGGAATTAGCAAAATTATATAGAACTGAATCAAAATACAAGATATGTAAGACACAACTATATCATTTTTTAGAGGGAAATTCATATGATAAAGACTTAAAAAAAGGAAAATTTTCTAATTAACTACTTTTTTACCTCAAGAAACTAGGGAGAGAAGAACAAAATAAACTAAGTGTTAACATAAGGAAGGAAATAATGAAGAGAAATCAATAAAATTAAAGCCAGATGAACAATAGAGAAAATAAATGAATAAGAAATTTGATTCTTCCGTCAAAATGAATAACATTGATAAACCTCTAGAAACACTGACAAATATAAGAAGCATAATGACATAAATTAGCAAATTTAAGAAGCTAAGAGAGCATATAATAGTTACCAAGTTGAAATCCCATTTCAACACCTTTAAAATCAGAAATTCCTTAAAAGTAATAAAAATGAAATACAAAATCTGAATAGGTCTATTATGTTTAAATAAAATAAATTTGTAATTAAAAATCTTCCAAATAGAAATATCTGGGCTCATGTGCTTTCAATGGAGAATTCACAAAAATATTTTATGAAGAATTAGCATGAATTTTACAAAATCTTTTCTGCAAATTAGAACACTAGAGAACTAATGATATAACCAGAGAGAGACAGTTCAAAAAAGAAATCTATAGACCAATATTTCCCAGAAACTTAGATGCTAAAATCCTTAAGACAGTATTGGGAAATAAAATTCAATTATGTCTAAAAATAATTATATACCATAAACAAGTGGGATTTCTTCCAGGTATGCAAAGCTAGTTTAATATTCAAAAATCAGTAAATGTAAGACACCATATCAAGAGGCTATACAAGAAAATAATGTGATCATAATTAACTGACATTAAAAAATCATTTGACAAAATTCAATACTTTTCATTACAAAAATTCTCGGCAAACCAACAATAAAGAATTTCTTCAAATTGATAGGAGTCTCTACTCCTAATTGCTTCCTTTACGATCAGACAACATACTCGGTATGCTATCAATTTTTTTAGTTTGTGAGGGGTTTTTAATGGCTCAGGATATAGCTTATCTTGGTGAAATTTCAGTGTATGCTTCAAAAAATAAGTGCACTCTGCTATAGTTGGATTAAGTGTTATACATATGCCAATTGGATTCTGTTTGAATTTTCTCTTCTAAAAGGTTGATGATCTGTCTACTAATTATATTAGTTGCCAGTGTGAGGTACTGAAGTCGCTAATCATAATTATGGATTTGTCAATTTTTTTATTTCAGCTATATTAATTTTTTGATTCATATATTTTAAAGCTGTGTTTTTTTATGCATACTCACTTGGCATCATTCTATCTATGTGACATATTGAGCCTTTTATTATCTGCAACAATCTTATTTTTTTAAACTATACTTTAAGTTCCGGGATACATGTGCAGAGCATGCGGGTTTGTTACATAGGTATACACGTGCCATGGTGGTTTGCTGCACCCATCAACCTGTCATCTACATTAGGTATTTCTCCTAATTCTATCCCCCTCCATAGCCCACCACCCCCTGACAGGCCCCAGTGTATGATGTTCCCCTCCCTGTGTCCATGTGTTCTCATTGTTCAACTCCCACTTATGAGCGAGAACATGCGGTGTTTGGTTTTCTGTTCTTGTGTTAGTTTGCTGAGAATGATGATTTCCAGCTTAATCCATGTACCTGCAAAGGTCATAAACTCACCCTTTTTTATGGCTGCATAGTATTCCATGGTGTATATGTGCCACATTTTCTTAATCCATCTATCTCTGATGGACATTTGGGTTGGTTCCAAGTCTTTGCTATTGTAAACAGTGCTGCAATAAACATATGTGTGCATGTGTCTTTATAGTAGAATGATTTATAATCCTTTGGGTATATACCCAGTAATGGGATTGCTGGGTCAAATGGCATTTCTGTTTCTAGATTCTTGAGGAATTGCCACAGTCTTCCACAATGGTTGAACTAATTTACATTCCCACCAACAGTGTAAAAAGTTCCTGTTTCTCCACATCCTCTCCACCTCTCCAGCATCTGTTGTTTCCTGACTTTTTGATGATCATCATTCTAACTGGCGTGAGATGAAATCTCATTCTGGTTTTGATTTGCACATTCTTATTTTTTTTATTACTTTTCTTTGCTTTAAATTTTACTTTACCTGATTATTTTTATTAGTGCTTGCATGGCATATCTTTTCCTATCCTTTTACGTTCAGTCTATCCATATTGTATTTGAGGTGATTTTCTTGTAGATTGCATTGTAGCAGGACAAGCCGCAGACAGAAGCCCTCAGACACCGAGTTAAAGAAGGAAGGGCTTTATTAGGCCGGGAGCTTCAGCAAGACTCATGTCTCCAATAACCGAGCTCCCCGAGTGAGCAATTCCTGTCCATTTTAAGGACTTACAACTCTAAGGGGGTCCACGTGAGAGGGTCATGATTGATTGAGCAAGCAGGGGGTACATGACTGGGGGCTGCATATGCTGGTAATCAGAATGGAATAGAACAGGACAGGGATTTTCACAATGTTTTTCCATACAATGTCTGGAATCTATAGATAACATAAGTGGTTAGGTTGGGATCGATCTTTAACCAGGCCCAGGGCGCAGTGCCAGGCTATCTGCCTGTGGATTTCATTTCTGCCTTTTAGTTTTTACTTCTTCTTTCTTTGGAGGCAGAAATTGGGCATAAGACAATATGAGGGGTGATCTCCTCCCTTATTCCCCCACTTTGAGAATCTCACTCATTAGTGGGAGTTCTCACTTTCATTCTCACTACCCATGTCTTCCTGTAAGACAGATCAATGGTGATTCATATAGTACACTTGTGCTGAAGCATTTTAGTGAACTAAGGTAGCAATGAAGCTTTTTGTCATTTAAAGAAGTACAGGTAGCAAACAAGGGAGCAGTAAGCAGGTTTCTATTACTATTATAACTCCTATTATAAGAGTTTCAAATCTTTTTAGCACTGGGAACCATTTTCCAAACATGGCCCCAGGATCAAATCCATGCCATACTTGCACGGGCACATGTGCCAGTTTTGTCATATTTCTAACTATGTCTTTAACTACTTGCCCTTGATCATCTATGTATAGACAGCAATTAGTAAGGTTCAATTTGCTACAGACTTCTCTTTCAGCTGCTAGCAAGTAGTTGAGAGCCAATCTATTTTGATAGATAGCATTTCTCTTCTGAGTTTCTTGCCAGGCCAGAATAGTCAAGGCTCTGCCGGTCTTAGTGATTATTTCTAAGGGAGCTTGTAACCGTATGATTTGGTTGAGCATGTAAATGGGGGTCCAGTATCCCCACAAGCCGTCTTGTGCCCTAGTAGCAGGCCCAAAATATTGTACGATTCTCTCAGGAGGCCATTCATTATCTTTCCCATTTTCTATAGCTATACTTCTCTTTCCGTGGGAAGCATAGACAGGGAAGCCCAGGAGTTCGCCTGTCTTTATGGGCAGTAAGAAGAAAGATGGTTTAATAGTGCCAACAACACAACTACCTATCCACTGGTCGGATAATTTGGCGTAAGCTCTATGCCCACATATCCAGTATAATCCAGTGGGGGCTGTCCAGTCCCTGTGGGACTCTGGGTGGGTCCAAATGGTTTGCAACTTTGGGAATTTACTAAATGGATTTTTCTTAGTATGGTTTGAAACTCCACTAGGTGGCTGTTTTTGTGGTACTATTATACAGTTTTTGCCCAAGGCAGCTGAGTCTTCCCACAGAAGAGTGAAGTCCTTCCCCACTCTTGCTATACAGTATTGTCTAATGATTGAGACTTTCAGGACCCAGAAGTTATCAGGGTGATTCTTTTGAGCCAGGAATTTATCAGGAACTGGGTCTGTAGGTACTAATTCTCGGGCTTCCCATGGTTATTGATCTCCCATTACAGTTCCTCCACATACATAACATAAAGTGACATTGAGAGACTGGGCTACATGCTCAGCTAATTGCAAAAACAAATTTCTTGTTTTTCCTGGAATTTCTGGTACTGGCGCATTCAGTTCATCATAGAAGTTTTGAAATACTGGCTCAGGAGAACGTTTATAAACTGCTCCTTAAACCACAATATTTACTTGAGGATCCAGTCTAGCCCCATCAATTTCTAGGGTTACATGTTCCCCCTTTCTTCCAGCGAGGATTAAGGGGGTTGGTTATTACTAGTTCTAAGGGGTTACACTGACCACTGGTACAGGAAGGGCCACTTTTCCCTTTCTGAAGGTGGACAGGATTCTTTTCATTTTTTGTCCAAGTAGCCTAAATGACACAAGACCAGTATCCCCATTTATTTCCACACAGTCCTAATTCATGACAAATGTACTTATTTTCTGCCATATAGCCTCTTTCTTAATTAAGAGAACCACATCCTATTCCTAACTTATTACTATTAATGACAGCACAGGCATCAAATTTCAAGGTGGCTTGTTTGGGCACCCCTTTTTCTTCTGTTTTGGCTAACACTTTACTCGTATTGTTTATAAGCCCCCACCGGCCCTCAGTCTGAGGAAGGTCAGTTGAAGTCCTTACTGTAAAAGTCCAAATTTTAAGGAAAATGGGTCCTGTGATGAGTTTTCTCATGCTTCAGCCATGCGTGGACCAGTCAGCTTCCAGGTGTGACTGGAGCAGGGCTTGTCATCTTCTTCAGAGTAACTTTGCAGGGGTTGGTGAAGCTGCTTCCGTCCATGTACAGCTCACAGTCTACTGATGTTCAAAGATGGTCTCAGAAGTTGGGACTGCTAGAATAAACTGAGTCCAACACCTCTACACAGTTATGTTCAACTGGGCTCTCTGATACCAGGAGCAAGGTGGTGGGGTTTAGGTCAATGGTTATGCAGGGATTTTCACATAGCAAGATTTGGTACTTGGTTAATCTAGCATTTGTTAACCAGTGATGTCCTTTGGTAGCCATTAAAGTTACCTTACCACAGCATGGGGGGCTTTATATTCAGGTTTTGCCCAAGGTTATTTTATCTGCTTCTTGTGCTAACAGGGCCGTTGCTGACAGGGCCCTTAGATACGGGGGCCAGCCTTTGGAAACCCCATCTAGTTGTTTTGAGAGATAGGCCACTGGCCTTGGCCAGGGCCCCATAGTCTGGGTTAAAACTCCAACTGACACTTTTTCTCTTTCTGACACATAGGGCATAAAGGGTTTTGTCAGGTCAGGTAGACCCAGGCCTGGGGCCAACAAGAGTTTTTCTTTTAACTCATGAAAAGCTTGTTGCTGTTGGTTGTAATAGATGTAGTACATCCAATCTACATTTTAATTAACTGTCACCCACTAAAATATTGACTCAAATCCTGCAGCTATTTGATTTCAAGCTTTAAATTGATCTGGTATTCCCCGTGGGACTTCAATTGCGTCTAAATGGACATGAGAGTCGAAAGACCCGTAAGGGGCTTCTCTCACTTTACGATGTCTTATTTTTCCTCCCTCTGATTGATGAAATGCCAGGGTGAAAGGGATAGCCAATTGGACTGAAGTACAAGTGCCACTCCAGTTATTCGGCAGAGTGCCTAGTAAAAGTCTGCCACAATACCACCACACATCCACTCGGGGATGAACGAGGGCTGACTGATTGATAAGCTCTTGAAAATTCTTAAGCTCACTGCATCCCTTCAGGTCTCCAAGGAATGCTAAGTTTCCTCCCTGTCGTGACAGACATGAAGTGAACTTAGTATTGGGAGATGGAAGCTGGATGACCCTCAGGGGCTGACCCGCAGGGTGCTGGACTTCGTGATATAGCAGAGGGAGAGCTTGGCACCGTTTGTTACTCCAGGCTGTAGAATCCTGGAAAAGAGCTACCATGCAGCCTACACCTGGTCACCTGGAGGACCACCCTAGTGGAAAGGGGACAACCTGAGCCACTGGCCTGCTGTGCGCACAAGCATAACAATTGCTTTTGTTCAATGTGTGGAAGGAATATTTGATCCATTCCAACCAGGCATTTGCAGCTTGGTATCTTGTCTTAATTGCCAAAGTTTGTTTTAAGTCTTTAACTTCTATGATCCTCTAGTAAAATGAATGTATGCTTTTAGGAAATTATAAAAACCAGTTGGGGCAGTCCATCCTTGCTCTTTAGTGGTCCACAGAATGTTGGACCAACTATGGCATAAAAAACTCTACATTGTGGGGCAAGACTCCTGGTTGACACTGGAATCTTTATTGAAATTTCCCCGGATTAAGTTGTCTTAATTTACTAATGCCCAGTCTGAGGAGAGTCAGGAGGGACAGAGGTACTTTTCTGAAGTCTTTGACTTGGCAAGTCCCCACAGGGTATAACAAGGCAAGCATTAAATGCAATAGTTTGAGGTGAAATTGACTTGGTTATGTAAATACCTAGATGGTCAGCAATAGAGCGAGGAAAGAAGAAAAAGTAATAGAATAGATGAAGGGTTAAATTTTTCTTAGCTTTAGTTTGGTAGGGTTTTCCCCTGGGACTATGGCCCATGACTCTGGAGTGGGTGGTGCTTTCTTGACTCGGGTGTGATGAGTCCATCCTTTTTTTTGCTGTATGAACAGCAGTCTCGGGGGTTATCAGCACAAGGTAGGGTCCTTCCTAGGCTGGCTCGAGTTTCCTTTTTTTTTTTTTTTTCACCTTTTAATGAGAATGTGATCTTCAGGTTGGTGCTGGTTTACCAGAAATTCTAGGGGTGGTACATGTGCTAAAAGACTTTTAGTTGTGAGGGAAAGGAAAGTAGAAGATAAACCAAGTATATAATTTTTAAGAAATTGACCTTTTGTTTTAAATGTGGGGACATCAGCAGTGGACTTTATAGTCCTTGGTGCCTTTCTACTGAGAAATTTCCTTTAGCATCTATTTTTTATTAGTTTTTAGACCAAAGAAGCCAAACACCATTTTATATTTGACAATGCTTCCTGTATGATTTTTATACCAGATAAGATCAACTTCACCTTTATATTAGTGTGCTATTAATGTTAAACTTAGTTTTAATAAACCTTTGTAGACACATTTATTCAATTTTTAATGTCAGACCATAAGGTAGGATTTTTATAGACTCTTTTTAACCTTTTATAATTTTTGTTAGGGAGTAGGTTAGTGCTTTAAGAAAAACTCATTGTGTTTTTACTTTAATGTCCAGTTCACAGAAAAACTGTATGGTACCCCTTTAACTTTAGCTAATGTTTACACACAGAATTTTCTTTACAATTAACTTTTTAAAACTTGCTTATACCTTCAAAACAATTTTTTTAACCTTTTAATGTTAAGGTAAAAATCCACATTCTTATGCCTCTTTATAATCTTTTTACCAAAGGTATGTTTTACTTTCCTTATACACCTTGCATATAAACTGTTTCTTCAATAGTACTCAGGAGACCTTATTACTTTTAAATTATACAACATTTCTGCATAAATTTTTTATAACATTTTTCTCTTTCACAACTTTCACAGACAATTCCTCAACATGCCTCAATTTTCTGACTTATTACAAACATCTCTTTCTTTAAACAACCAGTTAATTTATTTCAGGACAAGAATTTACCATATAACATTCTTTTTACATAAATTCTGCCACCCCCCCCCTTTTTTTCTATTTTTTTTTTCGAAGGTGATAACCATTCTTTTCCAAAGTGAACTTCCTTTATGTCTGTGGATTAGACTAAGGCCACAAGATTAGAATACTGTAATACATGTTACACTGTTAACTTTTAGCAAACTTTACTTTTGTTGAAAACCTTGTAATTTGGGATTTCAATTATCCTTTGCTATTAATAAGACCTTGTTTAGTCCAAATTAACTTAGAATTGGTATAGATGGCTTTTTTTTTTCTTTAATTACCTAGGAGGAACCATCTATCCTCCTGTCCTGAAGGCAGTCCCTCCTAGGTCTGGTAGGACCTTTGTATGGTAATTAAGATTTAGATCCCTTGTTAGGAAACTTGCTGGGTTAAGAGAATTTTCAGTGGTTAATGTTAAATCATCTTTTTTTTTTTTTTCCCTTAGGATACTTCTGAACTGGTGAGGTGTGCTCACAACGAGGTTTCCTCTAAAAGTTATTTTTCTACTTTCTTCTGTTAGCAAAGCAGTTGCTGCTACAGATTGAATGCATTTGTACCATCCGCAGATTACTAGGTTAAGGATTTTTGATAGGAAGTCTACACAGGTTGTCAGTGGCCTCAGTGCTTTCGGGCTACGCCCTTGTTTACACTGACAACAAAGTGGTATTGGAGTGTTATAGGGTTATGGAGAATACCTTTAATTATCAATTATGGGTTTAAATTTACCTTGGCTTTTAAAGGAATAGGGTACACTATTTTTTTCTCTTAACTACTTGTATATCTCTCTCTTTCTTTCTCTCTTTGATTTTCTATCTCTTTTTCTCTTTGACTTTCCTTTTGCCTGTGTCTCTTTCTCTCTCTCTGCCTCTCTCTCTCTCTCTCTTTCCTTGACTTCCTCTCTGTCTCTCTGTCTCTTTCTCTTTCTCTCTCTGCTGGTCGTTCCTTGCCTCTGCCAGCCCCTTGTGCTGCTTTTCTCTCAACCACTGTTTGCTGGTGGACAGGGTGGTGGGGTGGGGTTAAAACTAGCTGTAACCAAATGTCTATGTACGGGAACTGATCTGGGTGCCCTGGTTTACAGGTTACCCTTGTGCCATACCTTTGAAACAAGGGACCTGTCCAGGCTTCCTTCTGATGGCCAACCCACCTCTAACGCTGGCTAGTCTATTTCACACAAAGTTCTAAGTTTTCCTGATGTCATCATAACACTGTAATCTCCCTTAAATCCTTTCCTGAAATTTTTCAACATAGTTCCTAATGGGGCGGGCTTACTTTGTGCCTGACCCATGCTTCTTCGAGGCAAAACACCAAGCTCCCACCACACGCACACCACAAAACACAGAATGGGTAAAAAAGGGCACACACACACTTTTACAGTTTACACCAAACCAGAATCAAAACCAAAATCAGAGTATCCAGAAATCCAAGCCAGGTCAAAACCAAAACCAAAGTATCAAGCAATCCAAGTCAAGTCAAAAACAAGAACCAAAGTGCCGAAAAAGGCATGCCATGGGTGATCAGGCCACGCTTCCACTCAAAGGGAGTGGGCAAGTTCCAAAGACAGTCTTACCAAGTTTCAGATGTCTGGACTCCAAGTGCCAGTTCTTTCCTGGTGTTCAGCCACTGCATTGATCCTCCACGGGGGCCTGCCATGCATCACTCTGATGAGGCATTCCACCAGGGCAAATGCCTACCTGGGAGCACTCCCAGGATCCACATCACTCGAGCTGGCCAGAGTCCTCCATAGGGATGCTCCACAGGGCAGACCTAAGCCACCTAAGGGGCTGCCTCAACCATCCTTTAATCACCTCACTTCCTGGTTAGGGAACCAAGAAATGTAGCAGGACAAGCCACAGACAAAACCCCTCAGACACCAAGTTCAAGAAGGAAGGGCTTTATTTGTCCGAGAGATTTGGCAAGAATCGTGTCTCCAACAACCACGCTCCCTGAGTGAGCAATTCCTGTCCCTTTTAAGGGCTTACAACTCTATGGGGGTCTGCGTGAGAGGGTTATGGTCGATTGAGCAAGCAGTGGGTACATGACTGGGGGCTGCATGCACTGGTAATCAGAACAGAACAGAACAGAACAGAACAGAACAGGACAGGGATTTTCACAATGCTTTTCCATACAATGTGTGAAATCTATAGATAACATAACCGGTTAGGTCAGGGGTCGATCTTTAACCAGGCCCAGGGCATGGCACCAGGCTATCTGTCTGTGGATTTCATTTCTTTAAGTTTTTACTTCTTTCTTTGGAGGCAGAAATTGGGCATAAGACAATATGAGGGGTGGTCTCCTCCCTTAGCATATTATTAGATCATGTTTTTCTTTGTTTTGCTTATATGCTCCATGCATCTCTGATATATTTTAATATTTACACTACTTACATTTAAGGAAATATTCGTGTTAGAGATTAAATCTGCCATTTTGCTATTATTTTTCTTTTGCTTCCTCCATTTCCCATTCCTGTTTCTTTTATCTTACCTTCCTGTGGACTGTTAAAACAATTTTAGTAGTGGTTGGTCTTGGGCTTCTCTCCATCAGCTCCAACCCCTGCCCTGTGAATGGGACTCAGCGAAGAGCTGAGTATTCATCTCTTCTTGCCATCAATGATGTGGCAAGGCCCTATATCAAGCAATTTCTTCTGCCAGAAATCTCTTTCCCTTTACATTTGCCTGGACAACTTTTAGTTATCCCCACCAATAAATCTTTCCTGAATTTTGAAACTAGAAAAACTTACTCTATCTTGGAAATCACATGGCATTTGTAGCTTAGGATATAATTATTTTTTTCTCTTTATGTGTTTGTTAGACTATAAGTTCTTCAAAACTAGTTTATCCAGCCACAGCTCATATTAAGCATCCAATATTGAACTGAACTGATGGTTTTTTCTTGAGTTTTAAAGATTATATAAAATTTACTATTCCTTTTTTTAGTTGTGGTAAAATAGTCATAGGTTCTTGTAAGTCAGAAAAACTATTATGTAGGGTAAAATAGGTGAGGTTTATATAAGCTTTTCCCCCTTGATTAGTTTATCCCTAACTGTGGCCCAACTATCACTAAGTGAGAAGATGCTTCCTCGTCCTTTTCTCATAAGAGGTGCAGAACGATACGGTCTTAAGTAGTTTATAACCTTTTTTTAGAGCATACCTGAGGAAAACAAAGATAAGTGATGGGAATAACAAAAATTGAAGGAATCATATTTTTTAGCAAAATTAAAGAATTTTTATTATAAATCTTTGTAAAAATAATATTTAATTAAGTTGTTCTTATATTGTTCCTCAAATTTACCCCTCTGCAACTGTTTTCATTTCTAAGAACAACGAAGTTCCAGGTGACCAAAAGAATTTAGTGTTAACCCATTGACAAAATCACATCATTACAGTTCTTTTAAACTGAGGAATTCATGCTGCTGCCACTTTCTTGGATCTGAGATTCAAAGGCAGAAATATGAAACTGCTGTTGCATTTGACTGGATTACAAAATAAGCAGCATCGTTAGCCTGGTTGTCAGAAAAAATCTTTAAAGTTCTGGAGGAGAAAATTCATGCCTTCGGGGGTTGCTCTAGGAATTTAGTCTGGGACCTGCCAAGCATATATAACAGAAAGAATTTATGCTTTTCAGTTATAAGGAAATTACAGGAGAAGTGTAAAATCTTGACTCCATTCCCACATTGGTATGAAGTTGATCATATTTAAATTCTCAGCTTCAGTTTTCCTCTCTGTAAATAAAAATAATACAAATTGACTAGTGTTATTCCTAAGCTAAAGTGAAATAATATGAAAAAGTGATGTGTCCCAAATTTACTATATAGAAAAGTGCTAACAATACAAGTTAACATCATTTTCTCAAGGCCCTCTCAAGGGACAGCATCAGATGCATTCTCAGAAAGTGAAAACAAAAGATAAGAACAATGACAAACCCCATGTACACATCAAAAGCTCCACATCCCCTCAAGGAATAGGCTACATAATTTTTAAAGACAAGAGAAGATTGTGTAAAAGCCTTCGGTTTTCTGGAACTTATGCTGAGATCAAAATGAGACAACTGCAAAATAGAAGGCCCTAATAGTCACCATTCATATAATGAGGGTAATTAATAGTATGGCAAAGGATGTCTTCAATGAGAGTGTTGGAACCTGGAAGATGAGGCTATCAAGATGTTGCATGGCTCCTATATAGTATCCGAGGGCACATTGAACTTGTAAAGGTGATAGAATTCAAATCATAGCCAACATGGTATTCTTAGGAGGGCCTCTTCCATGCTCTCTCTGCTCCAATTATAACCAGAGATGCTCTCTTAGCTAAAATTTGTCTTTTACGTTGATGGTATCAAAATATATCTCAAATATGACTACCTTTCACTATCGGGATACCTCCCACCCTATCTAATAAAAGCCACCACCATCTCTGCTGGATCTGAATTCCAACATCAACTGGTTTGCCTGCTGCGATTTTTGTCCTTTTCTTCACAATGCAGCAAAAGTGAGGTTTTTAAATAAATCAGCTTCAACATTCCCTGGCTCAACACCTGAGAGGTTTATATCACATAAAACACAAAATCCTTTTCACAGCCTGTGGAGACTTACATGAACCAACTACTTACTCTCTTTGTTTCTAACCTTATCTCCAAACCTGTATGCCTCCTTCATACAGTTCTAACCACACTGTTCCTCCTAACGTACCTCAAACACAGCTGTCTTGCCTCATGGTAATAGCTTCTTGGCTATCCAGAAGACTACGCTTTATAGGCCTTCCTCCCCTTACTTTATTTGTGTCACTGGTCAAATACCTGCATTTCAGAGAGCTCTTCCTAGTCAGTTTAATTAAAATGGCCACATTTCATTCACTTATATAGTAATTTATTACTTTTTAAATTGACAAATACAATTGTATGTGTGTATTCTGTATAACATGATATTTTGAAATATAGCTACATAATAGAAATAACTAAACATACCTAAATAACATATGTATTACCTCATATAGTTATCATTTTTGTGGTGAGAACACTTATACTTCCACCTTCGAGCAGTGGACATTCCATCCACTTTAAAAGCCACAGTTTTCTTCAAAGCACCTATCACTACATATTGTTTATGTTATATATTTGTATCCTTGTTTTTCATTGTCTGTCTCCCCTACTAGGTTCTAAACGTCATGAGGATTAGACTTTGTCTCTCTCACTCACTGCTATAAACCCAAAGCCTACAAGCATGCTGGCATATAGAACCCTATAGTCGTGACAGCCACCTCTCCACCTCTTGGTTTGATGCAGGTTTGTTTTCTGGCTTTTTTTTTTTTTTCTGGAAACAGCCCTGGTACTGGCTTACTTCATAGAAAGAACTTGGTTTGGGATCCACATATCTCCGTCTGTCAATTCTGTCCAGGCCACATTCTAACTGTGTAAACTTGGACAAAAACATTAAACTTACCTCTGAGTTTCAGGTCTCTTCTAGGAAAATTAAAAATAATAATAATAATGCCTATCTCAAAGAGTTATTTCAAACATTAAAAATTTACCTTTAAACTGTCTGCTTTTTTCTGGGCTTATGGTATTGATTCATTAAAATGGCATTACCTTCCTCATCATCTTTCACTTCAACACTGAACTGTATCGGTTCCTGTCCCCTAGCTGGGCTCTGCCCTTCCTTCCTCTAGAGATTCTCTCACCTCCCAAAGACACCCACCTTTTATGCTCGTCTTAGACCTTCATGTTTCATTTTTGATTCTTCTGGCTAGGCCCAATTGATTTACATATATGTGTGTGTATGTGTGTGTGCGTGTGTGTGTGTGTGTATACATGTATAAATATCATTTATATATATTGATATATATTATATATATATACATATATATATACATATATATATATATATATATATATATATATATATATATATATCCTTTTCTAAATTTGTGTATGTTTGCATCTGTGTTTCTACATGGTAGATGCCATGTCTGCAAAGCATGATGACTTTGTTTGGTTAGCATATGGGGAAGTCCCAACAATAGTGATGATTTCTTATCTTCTCAGTTGTTTGCTGCTTCAGAAAAATAAGTAAAAACAAAAAGATGTTCAATCTCTTAAGCTCAGCACTTGCAGTCCCATTTGTAACAATTAAACACATCTAAAAGTAAATGTTGTTACTAAAGTTATTATAGTCTAAGCAAACTATCTTTTAAAATTTATATGGCAGTCATTTTAATTTCATCAGTAAATCAAGTAGACTGAATATAATTTTATGCTTTGAAACTAAAAAAATGACTAGATCTATAAATGAAATTAAGATACATTACTTTTTGCTGTTTCTCCATAGTTCTTTAAAATTTTTATTTCTCTACAAATTCAAAATGTTCAGAAATGTTTTACCTTTTTTCTAGAACGTCCTGGGCCTGAGGTTAAGCTTCGAAATGAGCCTTGTGTTTGGGGAGGCTGACTAACCAATGAGATGAGTGGGTCAGTGTGGGACCCTGGGTTGCAGGAGGTATCACAGAGGCAGGATTGGGAGGCATTTTGCTACTTTGCTGAGTGCCTAAGCCTATAGCTAGCAGCTGCAGGGCATGGCTTGAACATTATTTAATCAAATAATTTGTGTTTGTGCACTATCAACATACACCGCTAAGTAATATACATTTTTGTTTTCTGGATTTGCTTTGTTTATGTGCCTGGTAGAATTCCTAGAAATTATGAAGAACTAAGTACAAAATATGCTTTTTTAGCTCTTCCCTTAAGAGCTATTATGTTACAATACAGTACTAAATAAACATAGATGAGTATATATAAGGCATATTCAAAACTTAAAGTACTTGAATGATAGCAGAGGGTGGAATAACACAAAATGACAATGAAGAGCTAGACAATTTATCATGGTTTGGGAAAGTTATTTGAAGAACAGACTTTAAGCTGAGAGCCATAGGTTAAACTTTTTCCGACAGAAACAAGACTACAAATCATGGCATTGAGGTGAGAAAATGTTTGCCAAATATGAGAAAGTGAAAGAAGCCCAAGGTGTTAAGAATATACTCAGAAGAGGGAATAGAATGAAAGAAATTTGAAAGGTGTTCAGAGATTAAATTTCATAATCTGATAAACTATGGTAAGAAACTCATTTGCAATGGCAGGTGGCTTCATATAATGGGAAGATATTTAAGTTTTTTTAAAGAGAAAAACATTTTTCAATTAATAATCTAAAAATATTACTCTGATTCTATGGTTAAAAAAATGTTTAAATGAGGTTAAGACTTGAAGGTGAGACTGGTTAGGAGGAAAGATATAAGCTATAAGTTTAAGCAGTTTGAACTAAAATAGTCACAGAGTGGACAGAGATAAATGAATGGGCATGATCTATATTTGGAGGGCAGAAACAGTAGGAGGTGCAGATTGATTCACTTGGAAGATAAAAGAAGACACTAAAGTTTCCAACCTGAGTTCTCGGTGGGTGATTTTAACAATTACTGAAGTGGAGAAATCCAATAAGAGGACCAGGTTTGTGGAAGGAAATCAAGGGACTTTTTATGGAAAATATTGTTTAGTATATCTATGAGGCATCCATTTGGAAATGTCTAGTCCAGTGACTATATGAGTTTAAAGGTCAAGAAAAAACTGTACAGAAAAAATGATATTACGAGTTATTGATATCAATAGAAACTACATTCTCACTGCTGCCTACTCTTTTTAGGTTAGCCTTCAAAAGCCAAGTCTGAAAGGTATGAATTATTTATGTGTTGATTGAGGGAAATTCAGAAGGAGTTATAAGCACCACTCCTAATGGATTCTCCTCTGGTATTATCCTTTCAGCAAGTTCTCAAGTTAGAAATCCGTCCCAATGGGCCGGGTGTGGTGGCTCACGCCTGTAATCCCAGCACTGTGGGAGGCTGAGGTGGGTGGATCACGAGGTCAGCAGATCGAGACCATCCTGGCTAACACAGTGAAACCCCGTCTCTACTAAAAATACAGAAAATGAGCCGGGCGTGGTGGTGGGTGCCTGCAGTCCCAGCTACTCAGAAGGCTGAGGCAGCAGAATGGTGAGAACCCGGGAGGCGGGACTTGCAGTGAGCTGGGATCACACCACTGCACTCCAGCCTGGGGAACAGAGTGAGATTCTGCCAAAAAAAAAAAAAAAAAAATATATATATATATATATATCTCCCAATATCTCAATGCTTTGAAGTAACCCCTGGAATGAATTTACTAACGGCAAATCCAAAAAAAGTTAGAACAACTCTGGTAGATACCTCTACTTATTATAATAGCTGCATTGACTTTAGAATAACTTGAAAGCATTTAATGTTAAATTTAGTGTAAGCCTTAGGTCTATTTTTTATCACCAGATTTAGTCACCAACTAGCTGAGTGATAGTACATCTTTATAGGAAGACATCCCTTACCTTTATGCTATCTCACCACCTTTAAGCTGTCTCACCACCTTAAGGCATCCTGCATCCCCACCATCTTTTCTTTATAGGGAAGACAACCTTTACCTTTAAGCTGTCTTACCTTTACACTGTCTCACCACCTAACCAAGAGCGAGACCTGCTTCACTTGAAATAGTTACAAGTTTGAAACAACTGATTTAGTAGTATCATTTTTTCTATAATCATCACATTATTCATCATTCCATTTCTAGTAAGTTGTACAGTGTCTGACACCTAATAGCACATAATTGTTGGATGAATACATGTACCCTAAATTAAGAATAGCACATTTTATGAGACCCAAAACTAGTAAGTTAAATATGGAAACTTTATATTGTACAAATTTGCTTCTCCTTTTTATTCTTTTAGTTCTTATTTAATCTCAATGAAAACTACTGTTCTCATAGAGTTTATACCCAAAAACCCTTTAAACCTATCTCTGTGATAACCAATCTGTGTGTGAGTTGCTGAGTGCCTCCAGAAATCAGCCAATTCTCAAATTTGTTTTCATATTTACTCCTCACTTGTCTCTGTCATGTACAGATTCCCAAGATAGACAGGAATGCATAGAAAGTTTATCTGACTATCCTATGTCTATGTCTCTCTTATTTCCAGAATCTCCTAGCTGTTCCAGCATTTATCCCAACCAGATCACGATCTCTGGCTATCAAAGTTATTATTTTACTCTACTTATATCTTACTACACTACTTTCAGATTCAAAGTCTTGTGTTTTCAAATTTTACGTAAAATTGAATTCATGCTCCCTGGTAACAGAGCTGCAGATTTTGGCAGCCAAACCAATGATGAAAAATTAACAATTTTTACCTATTAGATCCTCAAGGATCTAGAACTAGAAGTACCATTTGACCCAGCAATCCCATTACTGGGTATATAACCAAAGGATTATAAATCATTCTACTTTAAAGACACATGCACACATATGTTTATTGTGGCACTATTCACAATAGCAAAGACTTGGAACCAACCCAAATGTCCATCAATGATAGACTGGATTAAGGAAATGTGGCACATATACACCATGGAATACTATGCAGCCATAAAAAAGGATGAGTTTGTGTCCTTTGCAGGGACATGGATGAAGCTGGAAACCATCATTCTCAGCAAACTAACACAAGAACAGAAAACCAAACACCGCATGTTCTCACTCATAAGTGGGAGTTGAACAATGAGAACACATAGAAACAGGGAGGGGAACATCACACACTGGGGCCTATTAAGGGGGTAGGGGGTTAGGAGAGGGGTAGCATTAGGAGAAATACCTCATGTAGATGACGGGTTGTTGGGTGCAGCAAACCACCATGGCACGTGTATACCTATGTAACAAACCTGCACATTCTGCACATGTACCCCAGAACTTAAAGTATAATAAAAAAAAATATCTCCAAGATGGGTGCTACACCAGTTCTGACTTCTGACTACACAGCACAGTTACTCTAAGTATCTCAGTGCTGGAAGTAGAAGTTTCACGTTTATCATATACCCACTGGGGAATAACTCCTGGATGGAATGCTATAATGAGAATGATAAATTCTCCTTAAATCTTAATAACAACCTCATGAAACACCTATTATCCTCTTCATATTACATATTTACCTTGGACACAGAGCTAATATATATACCACAGCCAGATTTTTAAGTCCATTTGCTAATCCCAATGCCTGTGAGCTTTGTACAATGCTTTCACTCTGGACAATTGCATTACAAATCACCTAAAAAGTTCAAGCACTATATAAATACAATTTACTATTACTTGAAAAGAATGATGAAATCCTTAAAAACCCATGAAGATTTACCCAAAATGAGTCATGCTATACAATCCTTATTTCTTCTTTTGATAAGTTTTCATTAGCCTGAGAAAACACTTGGGCACTTTAATAGTGTTCATATACGTTAGTAAATGTTTATGAAATATGAATCGGGCAATATTGTTACATGAACTCACAAATGCCTTAGGAGTCATACCTAGTGTCAAATAAGACATTGATTTCAACCTTGGAATAAATCTCTAGTGGAACATGACAAACTTGTGTGGCCTTATTTTCACCTGTCTAACATTTTTAATATGTGCATTAGATGAGAATATAAAAAGATATTTATATTTTCAGTAGACAACAAATTAGAGAACTAATAATATAGTGACAAAAGCAGGATTTAATATGACAGTGAGAAACTAAATTCCTAGGCTAATATGAAGCCAACAAAATGTACCCTTAGTACTTTAAAGCTGAAAAATAACTAACATAAGTTTCAGAAGGAAGGAAAAATACTTAACATGAAGTAATATAAAACTTATCTTATCTCCAAGTCTTCTAGTGAATTCATGGTGTGAGATGGTTGCTTACAGTAGTTAGCTAATTTTTGGAGCCTAAATAGAAGTTTAATTGCCCTACAAGTAAGACATAGCAGACCAACTGTACTTTCTGCTATACGAAACAAATTTGGAGTACTAGGTACAATTAAACATCATTTAAATACATTGATAAGCTAGAGTGAATTAAGAGAAAGACGAAATAAGAGATAAAGTTAGTAAGGGACCTGAAAACATCTCAAATAGATGCTAAGTGTACAAACTTCCATGTATCTTAGAAAAAAGAATTGAACAAAAGAGGAGGCATGAAATTTACTTTTGAAATATCTAAAGAATTTTTCTATGAAAGATAGAATAGTCTTACCCTGTATAGCTCCCAAGAGCAGAACTAGGATTGCAAGTGGAAACGTGAGAATTAGATTTTTAATTAACATGACAATAAAAAGGGGTAATTTTAAAACTGCTTTAGAAAATAACGTATTGCCTTTAAATACAAGGACTACTCTGACATTAAAGACATGTTGAGAGAATACTATCATGGTCAAAGGGTGTTTGAATCACCAAACAAAACTTCTTGAATAAAAAAAATAGCAAATAATAATAACCACAACGATAATGGTTTGCCTAGTTTTCATCTTTTGAAATACCTGCAAAATATTTCTGTAGGTATCATCAGAGATACATGAAGAGCATGCTCAAGCCTCAGTCACTGTAAACTCCTCTTTTATGTCTTGCATCCAACTCTTGATAGTACTCTATGGCTTTCCTTTTCTGGGTCAAGCTTCTTAAAAGTAGTTTAATCTCACTGACTCTAGATACCTTGATACTTGCTTCTGTCTTCACTATGCTGAAACCACTCAAGCGAAGATCACCATAATTTCCATGCGAATACATTTCAGCTCTTGTTTCATCGGGTCAATCTATTGACTTTGACATTGCTAACCATTCACTGTCTAAAATTCCTTACCCCCTTGGATTCTCTGAAACTAAAGGTGTCTATCTCTTGCTCTCCAAACTCCTGCTGGCTAAACTCAGTAAACAAATAGACTCCTATGGTAAAGGATACTTTTTCTCATTTTTAAATTCTCCTTTGTGTCCTTGTTTTTCACTTTTTCATGGACTCATTCACTTCTTTCTGTTTTTCATTTCTAATTTTTTAGGATTTTTCCTTCTGTGCTGTTACTTTCAAGACATCACCTGTTTTCCTGGGTTCAAATACCACCTAAATAATAATAACTCTCCAAACCATATCCCTAGCATTTGCCTTTCCAATCAGCTTCTGATTTAGCTTCTGACTAATATATTCACCTTGCTGCTCATCTGACCCTTGTAATATTCCCAGAAACCTCAAACTCATCTCAGCTTGTCCAAAATTGAACATATCTACCTATCTCCTTCAATTCTCTCCTTGTTTCCTGTCTTAGTCATGGATCTCATCATCAACCTAGTCACCCAATCCATAAAACAGATGGTCATCCCAGATTTGTCTCTTTTCCTCATATTCGACAAATGATTGAAACTTGCTCAATATGATAACTGTTGCAGTTAGGCCTCATATTGATGATTACAACCCTCTAAGTGCTCTTCCTGCTTCTTTCTCTCATTCTGACCTTCTTCAGACTCTAGTCTTTATCATTGCCAAGTTGAAGATGTCATGCCACAGATTAAAATATGTTAATAGTTTCCTCTGATGTAGAAACCAATAGCAAGAGTAGGGATAGCAAGGTCAAGGGCCTACTCACGCCGGATAAAAACAAATGCTAACCAGGTGCAAGTGCATATGTAAACTTTGTGTAAGGGTTGCCCACAAAGGCACAGCAGAGAATATGTACCCCGAGCAGAAGTCTTCTCATCTCCAGGAAATTACTGTCATGAGAAAATAAAGAATTGATGCTGCCAGAAAGCTTTGTTAAGAGAAGCCAAATATGTGTTTTTAGTGAAATCTCTAATTTTTAATATTGATTCAATATGTACAAGAGAAAGACACTATCTGTAGAATTTTTTTTCTTTTATTATTATTATTATACTTTAAGTTTTAGGGTACATGTGGACAATGTGCAGGTTAGTTACATATGTATACATGAGCCATGCTGGTGTGCTGCACCCATTAACTCGTCATTTAGCATTAGGTATATCTCCTAAAGCTATCCCTCCCCACCCTCCCACCCCACAACAGTCCCCAGAGTGTGATGTTCCCCTTCCTGTGTCCGTGTGTTCTCATTGTTCAGTTCCCAACTATGAGTGAGAACATGCGGTGTTTGGTTTTTTCTCCTTGCAATATCTGTAGAATTTTTATTTTCGACACTTGATCTACAGAATCTCCTTCCTGTCCAATCTCTTTATGTCTGCTTAAAAAGACTTTTGCATCCTAATATTCACCCCTGTCTTCCAATTCAGGCTCTAGTAATAGCAAAACTTTCTGGCAGCATCAGTTCTCTATTTTTTTTCATGGCAGCGATTTCCTGGAGATGAGAAGACTTCTATGCTGGTTCTTTCCTTGCAATTTTGCTCATATTGTTTCCTCTGCCTAGAGACTCTCACCAACATTTTACAGCTGGTTACCTCCATAAAATGTATCAAAACAAATTTATGTTTTATATCCTCAGGAAAGTTTCCTGAAGTGCTCAAATTGGAACAAATCATCTCCTCTTTTCTATATCACATTGTTCTCATTTTCCATATAGGACATATAATGTGATTTTTAATGAGTGGGTTTACTTGAGTGTCTGCTTCAGAAGATGGTGAGCTTGAAGACAAGAATCAGTTCTTAGTAATGCTGCATCCCCAGCACCTGAAATAACAATAATAAGATAAAGGGTAGAGAAATAACAAATATTTGTCAAATTCTTGAGTCTCAGATTCTTTACCTGCCCAAATTTCAAATGTTTTTTCACAGCTTCTATAGAAATAAAATGCTAGTATGTCATACTTACCTTCTTTTTGACTTAGTAAAACTCCATATGGATTAGAAGTTTGGGTGTACAAAAGTTGTTTCAAAAATTCAAGGCAACTTCATTTTACTCATCAGCTCTGAGCAGAGAATCAGAAAAATCAATTCACCATTTGTTCCCTTAGTATATCTTCTCTCTCATGTCTTCCTTCTGTCTTCCTTCATTTTTTTTTAAATTTCTGGCTATGTTTCTCACATGGCATAATTTATCTCTATTTCTTTGAAGAGTTGCCTGCATCTCCATCTTCAAATGACTCCTGAAGCTTCCCTTCTTGTAGTGAGCATTTTTGAATCATCCCTGTATTTTCCCAAAGACGAATGGTTGTGCTGCTGTCTGTTTAGATTTCCCCAGAGCTTCTGCTGTATGTTCTTGCACTCAACAGCAAATTTAACTTGTATAATAAGGTAACATTAAGGCCTAATTTAATAACAGTTGCCTAGCATGTCACTAATCCACAATGATGCTAAAATCTGTATCATAGGCTTACCCTTTCCAGAAGGAAGGAGAAGCACATATATTGCAAATTTATGAAACTCATTTTTTATTGTTACTGTGTGTTTCAGTTGTTTTAATTTCCTCATGTGTTGAAAAGCTTTCTGATATTCCCCTAGTTTTATTTTTGTTATATTACTACTATTATTATTATTCCTAAAGTAATCCAACTTAGTTGTAAGCCGATGTATGCACTCAATATACATTTTAAAGTTGTTTTGGTAAGTCTATTAAGTAGTAGAGAAAGAATAACATGGTAACTCACATAGTGTCTACTGTTTCCAATATACTAATCTCTACATAGTTGCTTAATTTCATATCAGTGCTGAATAATAAGCATTAGCTCATTTTACACATGAATAAAGAGATGCTCAGTATGATTAGGTAATTTAACCAAGGTTATGATACTAGCAAATAGTTGTCAGGATTCTAAAACTAATACCATTACCACTAGACTTCTATACTCAGTATCTATAAGTAATAAGCCAGGGTGCAGAAACAGGGTGAATGAACAAGAATGACCACAAAGGAGGGAAAAGAAGACAGATGTGCTCTAGAAACCATTTCACAAGACATGGCATTAAATATACCTTCAAAAAACAATGCCTCTCTCTTCTCCAGTTTTATGTGCAAACCTGTGCTTATTAGCATGTGGTTATGCCAGGAAGAGAAATTGTTGTAGAAGGAAAGAGAAATGCAATGAATGAAATATTCAGAAGCCCTGAAGGGTGAGAAGAAGCAGTATCACAGAAAATAAATTATTAATATATCCCGTTTTCAATCTCTGGAATTGATAGAGAGCTTCTAATGGGGGCAATGTCTCACAATTAGCAATGTGAGACATTAAGGTTTTCTCCCTTAGTATCTAACATGCTATATTCTAATTATTTGTTTACAAATTGACCCTGCCTTTTAGACTGTGGGAATATCAACAGTAGAGAAATTATCCAAACCTACATCTTTAGGGTTTGGCTGAGTACTTATTAAATAGCATGAAGAAATAAATATGCAAATAAATAAAAGAAAGAAGAAATTATTTATTTAATTTCATTATCAGTCTTCGCTGATCTGAAAATCACTAAGAAACTGAAAAATCCTCATAACAACTCAGAATTCAATGGCTGTTAATCCAAGAAAGATGAATTTTAAAACAAAAGCATAAAACAGATAGGATTAATCCCATCAATTTCATAGAGATAAGAGTGAAGCAAGGGCTATGAGAATTCACCTAATAACAAAATGATATTAAATATTATTTTAAGTGAATAAACATCTGTAATTTCACTGTGTAAAACATTATTTATACTTCAGTCAAAAAGAGCAAAACTATTCTTCTTAACATTTCTTGGCATTACTGCTGATAACCCCGATGGATTATTTTAAGTTATTATAAGAAACTATAAAATAAAAGAGTATAAATTTGAAAGAAAATAAAACTTTCAAAAGGACAAAAGGTTAATAATAATGAGAGGGTCTGTAAAATTTGTTTAGAGTTGATAGTGTCCAACAAGTTAGTGAGAAGAATATTCACTAAGATAAGTTCTTAGTAGTAAGTGAGCTCCATATGAGAATGTTTGGAAGCAGGTAATAGATGACACATGGAAGCTGAAATGACCCATCAGAATAGTACCATTGTATATAGGATGGGTGGTAAAAAAGATATGCCTTTGACATTTTTGGAGTGATGGTAAAATTATGAAGGTGTGCTAGCTCCTTAAGAAACACAGGTGTAAGGCAGACTTGACCCAATAGATGTCAAGATAAAATTGAATACAAAACAATAGTAAGGCTCCGTTTGTCAGAATGAGTAGTCTTTTTAATTGTGATGCAAAAACATGCTAGAGGTTATCATTGCCCCACTTACCACCAGCAGTGGAATTCACATTGCCATTTTGTCAGCAAGTTATTCAATTACAGAAATCCATCCTGAGTTCCATGTCCTAGGATAACTCCTGCCTTTGTGTGCTTCCCAATAAACTGATCCAGCAAAAAAAGCATTCAAGTTTAATTGTTTTATTTGAAAGATGATTCTAGAAAACACAGGTAGGAGAGTAAAAAAATGAGAAGGGAAGGGGAAGACAGACAATAAAACAGGTGCATCAATGAAGCTATCACTTACAGAAACATAGCTTAATCCCACTAGAGAGTTGTGGGGGCCACTGTACAAAGTTTTATCTCAGAGATACCCCATCAGAGAGGAGAAGGAGCTGGTGCATTTACACACAAACTACCATTAGCTGAAGACCTCAGGAAGGAAAGCAAGCATTAATCTCCAGACACTGCTAGTTTGTCAAATGGGCTGCAAAGTCTCCAGTGGATTATAGGACCACCTATAGGAAAAAAAAAATGCAGGTGCTAGAAGTTGGAAGTCAAGGCTCTGTACTCTGACACAGAAAAGACACAAGTGATATCTGTTCTAGTGTGCCATAGCTTTCTGGTTACCATGCTGTAGATGTTACTTGAGCAAAGACTTTTCCCTTCAGTTACTTCAACTTGTAGACTTTCCACTCAAAGTTACATATACTAACCTCTTTAATCTTCATCTTAAATATTGTGTTGCTTTGTGTTATGTGCTTCAGTTTCACCTTCAACAAAATGAATTTCCTGCTCACTGATTTTACAAAGTTTTATAAAAAGCATATTTTTATTATTAATTTTATTCTATTCTACTATGAAGTGTTTCATGTAATCTAGTATGGATTTGATTACATAATGTCTCATGAGACAGCAAAAAAGAAATATATGTGAAAACACACATTATGATTAGAACACTTCATTATCAAGTTAAATGTGAAAGACTATGAAATGTAGTAGCTTCATTACCAAGCAAAAAGAAAAAATTAAAAACATTAGTACCGTATATATGAGGCAGATATTGTCTCTGCCCCCTGCTCACATTTAAAACTGATATACAATATTTTAATCAGTAATAGGTAAGCTAAATGTTTTTACCCACTAAAATAATTGATAAGTAATTAAAATATTTTTATAAACAAAATGCTAAAATCAAATAGTTTTATCTATGTGTTCTAAATAACATTTAAAGATTAGGTAAATCCAAGCTTATACAAAATTGTCCAGAAAATAGGAAAGTAGAAACTGCTCAGCATGATTTGTGATACTGTCTTTCCAATCTTAAAAACAGAAGCAGATGGAGAAATATAAGAAACAAATACTTCAACATATGTATTAAATACACATAATATTGCAGATGAAAAAACTCTAAACAAGATATTGGCAATAAAAATGTATCACAAACTCATCTCAATAGATGCCACAAAAACATGATATAAAATACAGCATTTAGGCCTTATTATTAGCAAATGAGCAACAGAAGGGAATACTTTAATTTAAAGAAGGGAATTGATGTAAAACCCACAGCAATTATTATACTTAACAGCAATGAGTTAAAGTATACTCTAAGAACAGTACTAAGACAAAGACACTTACTCTTACTGCTATTCTTGAACATCGTGATGAAAGTCCTAGTGAGGAAAGAGGAATAAGAAAAGAAAATGAAAGGCATAAGGATTAGAAACACAGAATAAAATCAGCATGTGGGAGAAAAGTAACACCACAGAGAACTGAAAAATCTATGGATAATTAGTACAATTCATAACATAATTCAAGTTTTTGTGTTCCAATTTTTTTTAATTAATTGCATTGCATAACCATACATCAACAATGAGTATGTAGAACAGGTGATTAAAATAAACTGGCCAGGTACAGTGGTGTGTGCCTGCAATCCCAGCTGCTGAGGAGGCTGAGGCAGGAGAACTGCTTGAATCTGGGAGGCGGAGGTTGCAGTGAACCGAGATCGTGCCACTGCACTCCAGCCTGGGTGAAAGAGCAAGACTTCATCTCAAAAAAAATAAAATAAGGTAAACCATCTATGATTATAAACAAAAATATAAGTAAATGTAAGCACCTAGGAATAAATGTAACTATAGAAATGCATGAAATTTGTGAAAAAATATAAACTATATTGAAGACATTTTAAACACTTTAATAAATGGAAAAGATACCATGTCCATGGACATGTTAACATAGTTTAGATACCAATTATCTTCATATTATTCCCTAAAGGCAACAGAATTCTGATCAAAATGTCATCATAGATTTGTCTTATATTTCTTTGTTTTTTTTTTTTTTTTGAACTATTAAGAACCAAGAAGTTCCAGAACACTCCTGAAGAATAAGAACAAATTGGAGCACTGTCCTATAAGAGAAAACATTTTATTTTTAAAGTATGGTAATTAAGACAGTAAGAGATATTAATAAGTATGGTGAAGATAGACAAAACAATAAACTGAGTATGGAAATTTGACACCTTAAGCAAAATCAATCTCCAGAATATTTAAAGACAAAAATATGATAAGCAATATTTTAAAACTTTTAGAAGGCAGTATAGAATACCTGTATGACCTATAGTTAAGAAAGGATTTTAATCTAACACAAAAAGCACACAATATAAAGGGAAAAGGCAGATAAAATAAACCATTTAAAATTAAGAAATCCTCTTTGTAAAAAGATGTTACAAATAAATTGAAAGCATGAGACTCAAACTGAGATAAGGTATTTATAACTCATGAACTGATAATGAAATAGTACCCAGGTCATAAAAAGACTGAAAAACTAAAAGTAAAAAGTTAAATGGGGCATTTAGCCCATTTACATTTAAGGTTAGTATTGTTATGTGTGAATTGGATCCTGTCATCATGATGCTAGCTGGGTATTTTGCACATTAGTTGATGCAGTTTCTTCACAGTGTCATTGGTCTTTATATTTTGGTGTGTTTTTGCAGTGGCTGGTACCAGTTTTTTCTTTCCATATTTAGTGCTTCTTCAGGAGCTCTTGTAAGGCAGGCCTGGTGATGACAAAATCCTTCAGCATCTCCTTGTCTGTAAAGGATTTTATGTCTCCTTCACTTATGAAGCTTAGTTTGGCTGGATACGAAATTCTGAGTTGAAAATTCTTTTCTTCAAAAATGTTGAATATTGGCCCCCACTCTCTTCTGGCTTATAGCGTTTCTGCAGAGAGATCTGCTGTTAGTCTGCTGCACTTCCCTTTGTAGGTAACTTGACCTTTCTATCTAGCTGCCCTTAATATTTTTTCCTTCATTTCAACCTTGGAGAATCTGACGATTATGTGTCTTGGGGTTGCTCTTCTTGAGGAGTGTCTTCGTGGTGTTCTCTGTATTTCTTAAATTTGAATGTTGGCTTGTCTTGCTAAGTTGGGGAAGTTCTCCTGGATAATATCCTGAAGAGTGTTTTCCAACTTGGTTCCATTCTCCCAGTCACTTTCAGGTACACCAATCAATCATAGGTTTGGTCTTTTCACATAGTCCCATATTTCTTGGAGGCTTTGTTCATTCCTTTTCATTCTTTTTTCTCTAATCTTGTCTTCATGACTTATTTCAGTAAGTTGACCTTGAATCTCTGATATCTTTTCTTCTGCTTGATTGATTCGGTTATTGATACTTGTGTATGCTTCATGAAGTTCTCCTGCTGGTTATTCTAGCTAGCAGTTCGTGTAACCTTTTATCAAGATTCTTAGCTTCCTTGCATTGGGTTAGACTGGTCTCTCCCAGTCAGGAGGCACAGGGGTCAGGGACCCACTTGAGGAGGCACTCTGTCCCTTAGCAGAGCTGGTGCATTGTGCTGGGAGAATCCGTCTTGTCAGGATCAGCTGCTCTCTTAAGAGCTGGCAGGCAGGAAGGATTAACTCCGCTGAAGTTGTGCCCACAGCCACCCCTTCCTCCAGGTATTCTGTCCCAGGGAGATGGAGATTTCATCTGTAAGCCCCTGACTAGGGCTGTTGCCTTTCCTTCAGAGATGCCCTGCCCAGTAAGGAGGAATCTAGAGAAGCAGTCTGACCATAACTACTTTGCTGCTCCCAGCCCAGACCTCCTAGCCTCCTTAGCACTGTCAGGGGAAAACCGCCTACTAAAGCCTCAGTAATGGTGGATACCCCTCCCCACAACCAAGCTCGATCGTCCCAGGTTGACTTCAGACTGCTGTTCTGGCAGCGAGAATTTCAAGCCAGTGGTTCTTAGCTTGCTGGGCTCTGTGGGAATGGGACTCACTGAGGGAGACCACTTGGCTTCCTGGCTTCAGCCCCCTTTCCAGGGGAGTGAATGGTTCTCTCTCATGGGGTTCCAGGTGCCAATGGGGTATGAAAAAAATATTCCTGCAACTAGCTCGGTGTCTGCCCAAACAGCCACCCAGTTTTGTGATTGAAACCCAGGGCCCTTGTGTGTAGGCACGAGAGAATCTCCTGATCTGCAGATTGCAGAAACTGTGAGAGAAACATAGTAACCCAGCTGGGTAGCACAGTCCCTCACAGCTTCCCTTGGCTTGGGGAGGGAGGTCCCCGGCTCCTTGCATTTCCCAGGTGAAACGCCCACCCTACTTCTGCTCACCCTCCATGGGCTGCACCCACTGCCTAACCAGTCCCAATTAGATGAACTGGGTACTTCAGTTGGAAATGCAGAAATCACCCACCTTCTGCATTGGTCTCGCTGGGAGCTGTAGACTGGAGCTGTTCCTATTCAGCCATCTTGGCTCCATCAATGTGCTGGATGCAGGAGACCCATCTCAAGTGCCAAGACACACATAGGCTCAAAATAAAGGGATAAAGGAATATTTACCAAGCAAATGGAAAGAAAAAAAAAAGCAAGTGTTGCAATCCTAGTCTCTGATTAAACAGACTTTAAACCAACAAAGACCAAAAAAGACAAAGAAAGACATTACGTAATGGTAAAGTGATCAATGCAAGAAGAGCCAACTATCCCAAATACATATGCACCCAATACAGGAGCACACAGATTCATAAAACAAGTTCTTAGAGATCTACAAAGAGACTTAGACTCCCACACAATAATAGTGGGAGACTTTTACACCCCACTCTCAATATTGGACAGATTAATCAGACAGAAATTTAACAAGGATATTCAAGACTTGAACTCGGCTCTGGACCAAATGGATCTAATAGACATACACAGAACTCTCCACCCCAAATCAACAGAATATACATTGTTCTCAGTGCAACATAGCACATATTCTAAAATTGACCACATAATTGGAAGTAAAACACTCCTCAGCAAATGCAAAAGAATGGAAATCATAACAAACAGTCTCTCTGACCACAGAGCAATCAAATTAGAATTTAGGATTAAGAAACTCACTGAAAACCACACAACTACATGAAAACTGAACAACCTGCTCATCATCTGGGACACAGCTAAAGCAGTGTTAAGAGGGAAATTTATAGCACTAAATGCCCACAATAGAAAGCTGGAAAGATCTAAAATCAACACCCTAACATCACAATTAAAAGAACTAGAGAAGCAAGAGCAAACAAATTCAAAAGCTAGTGGAAGACGAGAAATAACTAAGATCAGAGCAGAACTGAAGGAGATAGAGACACAAAAAACCCTTCAAAAATTAATGAATCAAGGAGCTGCATTTTGAAAAGACTAACAAAATAGGCGGACAACTAACTAGACTAATAAAGAATAAAAGAGAAAAGAATGAAATAGACACAATAAAAAATGATAAAGGGGATATCACCACTGATCCCACAGAAATACAAACTACCATCAGAGAATACTATAAACACCTCTACGCAAATAAACTAGAAAATCTAGACAAATCTAGATAGATAAATTCCTGGACTTATACACCCTCCCAGGACTAAACCAGAAAGAAATCCAATCCCTGAATAGACCAATAACAAGTTCTGAAATTTAGGCAGTAATTAGTAGACTACAAACCAAAAAAAAAAAAAAAAAAAAAAAAAAAAAAAAAAAAAAAAGCCCAGGACCAGGCAGATTCACAGCCGAATGCTACCAGTGGTACAAGGATGATCTGGTACCATTCCTTCTGAAACTATTCCAAACAATAGAAAAAAAGAGACTCCTCCCTAACTTGTTTTATGAGGCCAGCATCATCCTGATACCAAAACCTGGCAGAGACACAACAAAAAAAGAAAATTTCAGGCCACTATCCCTGATGAACATTGATGCAAAAATCCTCAGTAAAATACTGGCAAACCAAATCCAGCAGCATTTCAAAAAGTTTATCCACCATGATCAAGTCGGCTTCATCCCTAGGATGCAAGGCTGGTTCAACATATGCAAATCAATAAACATAATCCATCACATAAACAGAACCAATGACAGAAACCACATAATTATCTCAATAGATGCAAAAAAAGGCCTTTGATAACATTCAACATCACTTCATGCTAAAAACCCTCAATAAACGAGGTATTGATGGAACATATCTCAAAATAATAAGAGCTATTTATGACAAACCCATAGATAATATCATACTAAATGGGCAAAAGCTGGAAGCATTCCCTTTGAAAACCAGTACAAGACAAGGACACTCTTCTCACCACTCTTAGTCAACATAGTATTGGAGGTTCTGGCCAGGGCAATCAGGCAAGAAAAAAGAAATAAAGAGTATTCAAATAGGAAGAGAGGAAGTCAAATTGTCTCTGTTTGCAGATGACATGATTGTATATTTAGAAAATCCCATCGTCTCAGCCCCAAAACTGCTTAAGCTGATAAGCAACTTCAGCAAAGTTTCAGGATACAAAATCAGTGTGCAACACTCACAAGCATTCCTATACACCAACAATAGACAAGCAGACAGCCAAATCATGAGTGAACTCCCATTCACAACTGCTACAAAGAAAATAAAATACCTAGGAATACAACTTACAAGGGACGTGGAGGATCTCTACAAGGAGAACTACAAACCACTGCTCAAGGAAATAAGAAAGGACACAAACAAATGGAAAAACATTTCATGCTCATGGATAGGAAGAATCAATATCATGAAAATAGCCATACTGCCTAAAGTAATTTATAGTTTTAATGCTATTCCCATCAAGCTACCAGTGACTTTCTTTGCAGAATTAGAAAAAAAAAGCTACTTTAAATTTCATATGGAATTTAAAAGAGTCCATATAGTCAAGATAATCCTAAGCAAAAAGAAACAAGCTGGAGGCATCACACTACCTGACTTCAAACTATACTATGAGGCTACAGTAACCAAAACATCATCATACTGGTACCAACACAGATATATAGACCAGTTGAACAGAACAGAGACCTCAGAAATAACACAACCACATCTACAACCATCTGATCTTCTAGAAACTTGACAAAAATAAGCCATGGGGAAAGGATTCCCTATTTAATAAATGGTCCTGGGAAAACCAGCTAGCCATATGCAGAAAACAGAAACTGGATCCCTTCCTTACACCTTTTACAAAAATTGATTTAAGATAGATTAAAGATGTAAATGTAAAACCCAAAACCATAAAAACCCCAGAAGAAAACCTAGGCAATACCATTCAGGACATAGGCATGGGCAAAGACTTCATGACTAAAACATCAAAAACAATTGCAACAAAAGACAAAATTGACAAATGGAATCTAGTCAAACTAAAGAGCTTCTGCACAGCAAAAGAAACTATCATCAGAGTGAACAGGCAACCTACAGAATGGGAGAAAACTTTCACAAGCTACCCATCTGACAAAGGCCTAATATCCAGAATTTACAAGGAACTTAAACAAATTTACAAGAAAAAAACCAACAACCCCATCAAAAAGTGGGCAAAGGATATGAACAGACAGTTCTCAAAAGAAGATATATATGTGGCCAACAAACATATGAAAAAAAGCTCATCATCACTGGTCATTAGAGAAATGCAAATCACAACCAGAATGAGATACTATCTCATGCCAGTTAGAATGGGGATCATTAAAAAGTCAGAAAACAACAGATGCTGGAGAGGATGTGGAGAAATAGAAATGCTTTTACACTGTTGGTGGGAGGGTAAATTAGTTCAACCATTGTGGAAGACGGTGTGGCAATGCAATTCCCCAAAGATCTAGAACAGAAATACCATTTGACCCAGCAATCCCATTACTGGGTATATACCCAAAGGAAGATAATTCATTCTACTATAAAGACACATGCACACGTATGTTTATTGCAGCACTGTTCACAATAGCAAAGACTTGGAACCAACCAAAATGTGCATCAATGATAGATTGGATAAAGAAAATGTGGTACATATACACCATGGAATACTATGCAGTCATGAAGAAGAATGAGTTAATGTCCTTTGCAGGTACATGGATGAAGGTGGAAGCCATCATTCTCAGCTGACTAATACAGGAATGCAAAATCAAACACTGCATTTTCTCACTTATACATGGGAGTTGAACAATGAGAACACATGGACACAGGGAGGGGAACATCACACACTGGGGCCTATCAGGGGGTGGGGGTCAAGGGGAGGGAAAGCATTAGGAGAAATACCTAATGCATGTGGGGCTTAAAACCTAGATGACGGGTTGCTAGGCATACCAAATCACCATGGCACATGTATACCTGTATAACAAACCTGCACATGCTGCACATGTATCCCAGAACTTAGCTGCACATGTATCCCAGAAAGTAAAAATAAAAAAATAAATTAAAAAGTTAAATGACCAAGTAGAAATCTGGTATAAAAAAAACATAGATAAATTAAGATGAACACAACTACACAAATAACATTAAAGGATGCTGAATGATATTAGTAACTGGGCAAATGTAAACTAAAGCCACAGTGGCATACTATCTTACACCCAAATTAGCATAGATTTTGCGATATCAACTGCTAATGTAGATGTCCAGGAATTAGAATTCTTATTGCTGATAGAATCACAAATTTGTTATAGTACTTGGATAGAGTTTTGCACTGTCTAGTAAAACTGAAAAGCTACTTGCTCTCTGATGCAATCATTCCACATTTGGTTATATATTCTAGAGAAATTATTATATATGTATATCAGACATATCTATGTATACATTCTCACACACCAGGAATGCTCATAGAAATGCTTATAAGAGGAAAAACTAAAAATAAAAACAAATTTCTAAATAAAATGGAGTACATTTTAAGTTCAGATATTTTATGACATGGAAATGAATCAACTTCAGCGAAAATCATTAATGTGGGTAAATCTCAAAAACATAATCTTTTAAAATAGAGAAAGTCCTAGAAGAATATATACAGTGTGTTTCCATTAATATATGCTTCAACGCTTGAAAAACTAGACAGCATATTATAAGAACATATTGGATTAAACAATAAAGAAAACGAATAAATGCAAATTTCAGCATAGTGGTTACCTCTGTGAGGGTGGGGAGAGTGATGGGTTTATGTAAAGATTACACAAGGGTTTTGAAAGAAACTACTAAAATTCTATTGTTGAGTTGTTACATAGCTGTTCTTTTTAATTTTTTTAACATTTCACTTTTGTTTAAATGTCACTTTTTGTTTCCATACTTAATAAAGCTATTCAAATATGAAGCCAAAGTAATTATAATATTCTTCCTAAATAAATATATAAAGAATACTTTTTTTTTTTACATTTAAGAAACATACATTTTGGGACAGCCTTAAGTTCTGTAAAAATCAATAATATGGCAACACACAGCCTTGAGGATGAAAATTCATTCTTTTCTATCTTATAGCAAGTGTACCTTTCCACTTAAAAAAATGAAAAGTGACTATCAAATAATAGGCTCATGAGTTCAGTAACTCTCTGTATTAATATCTGGAAGCTAGACTCATCTATGATTATTGTCTACTGCCATAATATTAATCTCCCAGCCATTAGCTGAGACAAAAGTAGTGTATTCAGTGACCTAAAGTGGGTTGTCTTAAGTGTAGTTATCTCTAGTGCAGTGATATATTGAAAATAAAGACACATTTAAAACAAAGTCACCATAATAAAAAGTTTCTTGGTAGTAAAATCCTTAAAAGCACTGTAGAACTGTTGAAAAATATGTTGCTTTCTAAAGAAATGAAATATTAGATACAAACAATAGTTTATCTATTGTGATGTCCTGGAATTTTACACTTCATAGGCACAAGGTCATATTTTAACAATTTCTATTACAGAGAATTTCAGACTTAGGAGTATTTTTTAACTCTTACATTCCCATCACCTAGCTTTGACAATTAACAAAGCATAGCCAATTCTTTCCTTCTCCATAACCTCACACATTCACCCTCCATTTCATTGTTTTGAAACAAATCCCAGAGCACATTATTGCATCTATAAACATATCAGTATATATGTCTAAAACACAATAGCTACCTTTGAAAACATAACCAAAATATCCTTATCACACTCTCCCAAAATAATTTCTAATATCACCAAATATGTAGGCAGTAGACACCTCTTACTGATTGTCCTACAACTGTTCTTTTTATTTTTACAGAATATTTGGTCAAATTGGGATCCAAACAAGTATCATACATTTTGATTAGTTAATTTGATTAGTTGTTTTCAAATAGTCATTTCAGACTATTTGACTATTAGTCATCACTCTGTTTTTTTCTTCTTACAATCTATTTTTAAGAAATCATTTGGGCTTAATACCTAGGTGATGGGTGGATAGCTGCAGCAAACCACCATGGCACACTTTTACCTGTATAACAAACCTGAACATCCTACACATGTACCGCAAAACTTGAGAAAATCAAATAATAACAAAAAAAAGAAATGGGAGTATTTTTTGTCTTGTGATTTTCCAGTAATCTGAATGTATTACTTGCATCCCAGTGACATCATTTAATGTGTTCTTCTTTCTCTTATATTTCTTGAAAACTGGTGATTAGATTGACCATTTGCAGCACTGTTTGATAGGAGGCATTTTGTACTTCCTTTACAAGAAACCTAACATCAAGTTGTCTCGTTTTGTGATGTCAGCAGCCATCAATGTTTAGTGTTTGGATCCAAATTTCACTAAAGCTGCAAAATATTTACATTTTAATTAAATTATTTTTGCTTCATGTATAAACTGGGATATTTTTATAAAGGTCTACTACTCCTTATCTGTCTTTTTGTTTCTCTGAGGTACTATTTATAGAAAAGGCAGAATAAATGCTTGTTTCTTTTTTTTATAGACTTTTCATATGGGTTAATTCCTTATTACTTGCACTAATGGTATTAAATGAAGTGTGTGTGTGGTGAGAAAGCTTCTTTTTTTTTAGTATCATAATGAGTTCATGGAGTTAAACACATTTGACATGCTTTGGTTTATCACACTTATTATTTTTACAGATGCTCAAATTGTCCCATCTTTTACCAGTAGGAGCTTTTTTAAATTGGTAGCTTGAAATCGGTTGTGCTGACAGTATTTACACCACTGAAATCAGCAAACACAAATTAGGGCTTCTGTTTACATCACATACTATACTTATACTGTCTCTCTCTCTCTCTCTCTTTTTTTGTTTTTTGTTTTTTTGGGATGGAGTCTTGCTCTGTCGCCCAGGCTGGAGTGCAGTGGCGCGATCTCGGCTCACTGCAAGCTCCGCCTCCCAGGTTCACGCCATTCTCCTGCCTCAGTCCCACAAGTAGCTGGGACTACAGGCGCCCGCCACCATGCCCGGCTAATTTTTTGTATTTTCAGTAGAGACGGGGTTTCACCATGTTAGCCAGGATGGTCTTATCAACATCAAGTTTTAGTTGTGTGGAAAATATATAGTTAGTGCCCATTTCTAGTCCTTATGTTACTTTTTTTTTAGTCATTTTGGTTGTCTGAAGTGTGTTCTCTACAGATATAATCAGGAAATGCTAATGAAAAATGCACCCTGAGTTCTTAAGTATTATTGATATTTTGTCTGTGGCCTTTATATTTTTAAAATTAGATTTTCTGGCTAATAATTCCTTGGATGATCTTTTATTTCTTTGAACATTTTTTAAAAGCAATTAAGTATTTATTAATGCCATTATTTGTGTTCTTCAATGAACACGAATTGTAGTCATCTTCTTAAAATTCTCTCTTCCACCTCCATTCTTCTTGCACTTCACTTGTATTTCATCCCATATCTGTGCCGAAGATTCTTTCTTCATGTCGCATTTTCAGCTCTTCACCAAAATTTCTCATTCTTGCCCAAAGTAGGATGTTCGTTCACTTATTTTTCTTTTTCTTCTGTTTTGAAATTAATTAATATCTTAAGTAAGACTCTCTTTTTTTTTTTTTTTTTTTTTCTGGAGTCACAGTCTGCCCGCAGGGTTTCTACTGTCGTTGTTGTTCTGGTGGTGGTGGTGGTGGTGGTGGTGCTCCTAACTGCTGATGGGGATGAGATCCTGGCTCTCTAACTTCTCTACTTGGTCATCTCTGACACCCACTGGTAAGGTCTGGGGTCTTAGGGTGCCTAGCTCTAAAGTGAATAGGGTGGCTTCTTGGCTCATAAGTGACATATGGATGTGGGGCCACATGTTTTTCTATGATGCTTGGCTGGAGTTTTGTTTCTTGCAAGACTACCCTATTCCTAGTCCTTTAGCTAAGGAGAGCAAACATTTGTTGGGGCTTTTTTTTTTTTTTCATCTGCTGGCATTTCTGGGTTGCTGGCTCCTTTAGCTCTAAGTCTGGGATATATGAGGCAAAACAAAAAATCCTGGGAACACCTTACCACGTCATTTTTTTGGATCCTGAAGTCCCCAGCCAGTCTGCCTTCTCTCCATCTTCCAAAGTCTTCTTATGTTTGTTTTACATAACATCCAGAGGTTTTAGTTGTACTTAAAAGGAGGAATAGGAAAGAGAAGTTCTTCTCCATTTTCCTAGAAGTTGAACCATAAATTTCATTTTCACTTAATTATTTTTAAAAACAACTTATGTTCCATGTTTGAGAATTTTTATCTATACCTGTTATGAGTAGTTTAGCTTTAAAATACATTTTAAAACTTTTTCCTTTCCTATTTTCTTCCCAGTCTCAATCTGTAACCTTGACATAAACTGCAGAAAACTTTTTACCCCTTTTGTTCCATTGTCTTAAAATATAGCCTTAAAATGTACTTTGAAAATCCAATCCCTTCCCTTTCCCACTGTATACCCCCTTACCCCATGCACGTTTATCTAAATGTTATTCATATAAATAACATTTATATGCCTGTTAAGAAATTCCAGCGGCTAATTTGAAATGAAGTAGGCATGAAGGCCCAGCTGCAGAATTCTCCCCGACTTAAAGAGGCCTCAGGATGGATAATTCACAACCTAGCCACTGTCAAGTTGGTGCCAGCCCATGCTCCAGATGAGCCATAACATAAGATAGGTATCAGAGGCAGACACACAGCTCCTGCACCCTGCACAACTCCCGCATGCCTCCCATATCAAGCTTCCCTTTTTTAAACCCCTGCCCTCAACCCAAACTTTTGAACAGGTTTCTTGAAGTGTGAGCCTGGTTGCTTCCCCACAGCTTTGGAAATAAAGTCATATTCCTTCCACTCCACTTCATCCTTGTTATTGGCTTTGCAAGTAGTGAGCAGCCAAGACTGTGCTCAGTTACATGCCCTTGGTCATTGAATACAAATGTTGTCTTTCTTTCAATCTTTTGTATGTATCACTTGGGTATTTTCTTCATGTAAACCACATCCCTATTTTGGCTTTTCCTTGCCTTTTTATTTCTTAATGTTTAAGCTCTTGTTCTTTTTTCACGTTTATCCATTGGAATTATTTCATACTTCTCCTACTTGTAAGTAATGCAACTTTCAGTGAATCTATTCATTCATTTGATTTTGATAAATTTGTTTACGTGGTTCTCGATTTGTTTATTGGATCTGCAATTTTTGCTCTTATGTCACTTTCATTAGCCTTTTTCTGCTATAACAAATTGTCACAAATTTAATGGCTTAAAACAACACAAATTTATTTTCTTACAGTTCTGTAGGTCAGAAGTTTGAAATGGGTCAGCAGTGCTGCATTGCCTCTGAAGCAAATAGCAGAGAATGTTCCTTGCATTTTCCAACTTCCAGAGGCCTCCTGCAATTCTTGTATTCTCCTCTTCCATCTTCAAAAACAGCAGCATAGCATCTTCAGATCTCCCTCCTTCTCTGTCTCTGACTCATTCCTTTATCTTTCCCTCATAAGGACCTTTGTGAGTACATTGGACTCATAAAATAAATAAATCCATTCCAAGATAATTTCCCTTTCTGGAATTTCTAAACTTTAATCACATCTGCAAAATCTCTTGGCATATAAGGTTACGTATTCACAGTTTTCATGGATCAGATCTTGGACATCATTCAGGGGCTATTACTCTGTCTACCACATCATACAACTGTTTTATCACCTTGTCTTGTTTTGGAGCTCTTGTTTTATGGATTTTATGTTGTTATTTAGTTGCCTTGTATGATTAAGTGATTGTGGGAGGTTTCTACTCTAGAGTGAGTCATTTTCCTCTGTATGAAAATAATTGTCATTGCATAGTTTATTTTTTTCTTCCCTTTGAATTGGGTTGTCTCTTAATTTTTATAATGCATATTCGGCTATTACCAATCGTTTTGTTCATTTTGTTCTTATCTGAGATAATTTTATTTTTTTCTTCAAAGACCCAGTTTAAAGGATCTGGATGTTTTCTGCTCTATCCAATGTTTTATAATTTGCGGGAATTGTGGGGGAAGAAAACACACTAAATTGAGGTTGCAGTTTGAAAAGCTGGGCCCCTACAATCTTGCTAAATGGCCCCACCACCATTCTTTGCATTAGCAGGAGGAGGCACTTTCTCAGGGGGTGATACCCTCCTGGCTCTGGAACCAGAGCCTAATTTAGTGTTTGGCATTGGAAGCGTCATTTCAATTAAAAAAACCCTCACCTCCCTTGTTTGTTATCTCCCTTTACTCTTTTCTCTTCAATAGTCACCTTCTGTACTCCTCTTTTGGTAAAGGAAACTGTAATATAAAGGATATCAACTCGATTTTCTTTCCTACTGACTACATGCAGAGTTTTGCCAACATTTTATTATGGAGGAAAGGAAGAACAAGAATTAATCTATGCAGCACCTTCCTCTCTGTTTCAGATGTTTCTTTATATTTACTTCCAGTATAGATCAATAATTTTTGTAGTTTATTACAATTGGATTATATTTCTTGCTTCATATTGTCACTTTCTTTGCTAGTGTCTTTCGGTATATGAGTTGTCGTTGTTTTGTAAGTTATTTTTGGTGACTTTGTTATATTTTGGAAGTGTAAAATTCTGTGATGCTATTGAAATCAATTTGCTTCAATTCAGGATTAATTTTCTGGACAATAAAAGCCGTGATATATTAACAGTTAAGTATCATAAATTTTAACCTACATATAGCATTTTTTCTTTCATTTTTAGGATTTCCATTTTAGTTTTAATTGTCTCATGAGAGTACAGTGTAAATAGGGGCTAAATAATACTTTTAATCGTTTTTATAATTAGATACAAATTTTAATTTTGTACATATTATTCCCTTTTTAAAGATTGTGTTTGAATTTTGGTTGAAATGGCACTTGTTATTTCTCTGGAAATGAAATGGATCATTTATAAAATTACAGATATTCAAACTTGAAGAAATTCTAAAGGACATATGATTCAATCATTTTTGAGATTGTAGAATATTCTCTGTAGAATCTTTGCCAAGTATTCATCTGAATATGGTTTAAATAGCTAATCACTTCTGAAGCAGCCAACTCTGCCTTTCATCTGATGTTATAAAAGTATGTCTTATATTCATATAAAATCTTTCTCATATTGGCCCATGCTTTCCACTTCCTCCATTAGGGTGTCAATATAATTCTTCTATGGAATAACATTATCTATATTTGAGGAAAAGTCCAATATCCTCCCTTTCTCAAACTCCAATCCTGGGCGTTGATTCATTTCAAAAGGATTTGAGTAGTACTTTTCCCATTCTAGCATCTCTAACTGGAACACACCTGGCAGGAATAACACCCTGTTAAAATGCAGGTTTAAATATGAACATCATACTTAAATTATGGCATCATCAAAAAAGAATATCAATCTCACTCTAGATAAAAAATATGTTTTTTTTCCTTCACTTTTCCTTGTAATCATTGCAGGCTAAGGGTGTGTAGCACTTCAGTGGTTATTTCATATTGTTAAGTAAAATTATAGTCACTGCTGACTAAAATATTGCTGCTGAGAAACTTTTACAATCTCATCCTAAATTTTATGCAGTTGGCTTCATGTTCCAGTTTTCTTTCCCACATGCAGTACTGTTGAACTTTATTTTTAAAATTTTAAACATCAGGATAGATTTGAAGTCATATTCTGTCATCCAATTCATTTGTTATTCTTCTAAACTTTATGGTATACCAGAACTGAAGTATCTGTAATCAGGTATCATTCAAATCTCCTATAATGAGAAGAGAAATAAAGAGAGAGGAAAAAAAAACATTGTTATAAAGAGCAAAGGGAAGGACATAAGGGAAAAAGATGAGAAAGAAAAAAATGAAAGGAAAGGGAAGCAGTCAATCACGTATAAAAAGGACTGTATACTTCAGTCTCTTCTTATGTAACCCAAATTCCACAGGAATTTAGCAAATTTAACAACAGAAAAAGGTGCAATCTAATTAAAATAATTATAATATCATCTCACATTTCTTTTGGAAGAAGCTATAAAGTATAAATAAACAAATATATAAATACATTGTTGCCTCTATATTTACTTTGCGTATTTCCTCTAATTGCTTAAGGTGATTATCACACATCTTATTCATTATCCTCACACATATATATATGCTTCAAGAAGGAAACAATTACTATATAGATTATTTTCTTTAAGTCACAAGATTCAGGAATTCCATTTTATTAAAGATGATACTGGTAATACTGTGATAGTTGGAAAGGTGATGAGCTGATAATTAAAATTAATTTAAAATGTTATGCAAAACAATAATTACAATAGAGCAGAAGTAAGCAGATCACCAATTAGACAATGGTAAAGATTTAAATTAAATATAAACAAACAGGATTCTCTGAAGATAGCTGTGACAGAAATGTAGACTCAAATCTTTTGAAATTCTTTGCAAAGCATAGCTACAGCGAAAGGATAACTTCAAGAACCCTAAAATAAAAGCAGATGAAGACAAACTAGCAGCAGCAAAATGACCTACTTAATACCAGACACTCTACTAGAAAAGGTAGAGAGAAGGCAAAGAGCTTTCTCACAGAAAAATCCAGAGAACCCCAAAGACTCACTGCAAAGTCCATTCAAAGTATAGCAGCAAAAGCTAAACATGGACATGGTGACCACCAATTTGGGTGAGGATTCAAAGAACTTTCGGAATTTCTGAGAGTGATAAAATTATCTGGAAGTCTAGGCCCTTTAAAACTAGAAACCAAAACACTAAAGTATCTTTTCAAGTCTAAGTCCTATATTGAGGAGATATCGCTAGGAGTACAGTCCAAATTAAACAGATTACAGCCAGTAGGGGCAAAGGAAAGAGGAGATTAAAAGGCTAGAGAAGGCTAAGGCAAGAGGGAAATTGTGAAGGAAGACCCCAGAAAGTTGAAGCTTTTTTTTCTTTTTTTTTTTCTTTGATACCTTAAAATCATCTATAGTCTTCAATTCTAGGAATATATCACCTCCCAGAACCATTTACAATGACATAAAAAATAACAAAGTACTTAGGAATAAATGTAACCAAGGAGGAGAAACATCTGGACACTGAAAACTATATACAACGTTGATGAAATAAATTGAGGACTTATTTGTGATTAGTTGGTGAAAGCAATAGATTAGGGGGCTCTGAAGTGGTAAAACTACAGTAAATATCCCTACTAACACCTCTTTCCCAAAAATCACAAGATAATCATTTCACCTACAAATGTTTAACAGAGAAAGTTTGCAGCAGAATCTCGTACAAAGTTGTTATAATAAAAAAGAGAATAGGAATCCGAATAGCAATTATATATATTATGAAAACATGCCATTAACATTTAATCACATAGCAGATAAAATTTGTTGTTTAATATTTCAAAATAAGAAAAAAGAGATTGAGAAAAATTATAGAAGATTAAAAGATTAAGTCAGCAAACATACCAAAAGAAAAAATTTCAAATGACAAATATTTAAAAGAATCACAAATCAGAAAAAGAAAAAAAATGAGGCAATTGGTAATAATAGTATTTAAAATTATCAGAAATACTATTATAACCCAATGTATAAATCAAATACTTGTAAGTTCAAAGTGTTATAAATAAATGATGAAAAAATAGAAAAATGGCTAAAATAGGCAAAATAGTCTAAATAACCTTTGTACATAATCCGCCCTTAAGGAGATTTAGCACAACTTCCCATTCCTTAGGTCTGGACTGTGCATAGTGACTTCGTTCTATAAACACAGTAAACAAAAAAAAGGGGGGGGTGGAGGGGTGGGGTAGTGGGGAGAATAACCTACAGTACAATAAGAAACCTGGCAAACACTATCTCAGTCAGGTGATCAAGGCTAACATCTGCAGTGATGTCACGTTTCATGTATGTACTCTCAATATGAGGTGGAGAAAATGGCACTTAACGTTTGTCGTCTTCCCCCACTTAAGACTTATAATACATATTGGAAAAATCTCAAAGGAGGGATATTCCACCAAATACCTGACCAACATGACTCAAAAACTATCAAGGGCATCAAAAACAAAGAAAGTCTGAGAAACCATCATAGCCAAGAGCAACCTAAGGAGGTATGACAGTTGATTGTAATATGGTATCCTGGAGAGGATCCTGGAACAGAAAAAAAGGATATTAGAACATAAAGTACGGACTTTATTTAATAATAATACTGTATCAATATTGGCCCATTGGTTACAACAAATGTACAAATTAATACATGATGTTAATAATCGAGGAAAATGGGCATGGGCTTATAGGAACTCTCTGTACTATCTTCTGAATTTCTTTGCAAGTCTAAACTTGTTCTAAAATAAAAAGTTTATTTTTTTTAAAAACTAACAATTATTTCAGACATGAAGACTAAACCAAACAGAATATAAGAACAAATATGGACAATGAATGGACTGTAAAAGAAATAGAAGATGTAAAGAAGAAAATTTTAAAAGCCAAAAATAAATGAACAGATGCAAAGTATATTAGAGAAAGGGGTAAATACAGAAGACAGGCAGACATGTATAAGAGTGGTACTCAGTGAATACCAACAGGGAAGAAAATTTAGACTAAGCATAGGAACACAATACAAAACACCATAGCATCCCACTCTCTTCCAAAGCACTCTTGGAAATTACATATAGAAATTCACATTATTTACCTGGGGACAATCTCTCAGAATGACTGACTGACATGGAAAAGATTTATATTTGGGGCATTAAGGGTCTTGTGATAGAAAACAACTTGAAGGCAGCTAACAATCCCTCTCTATATGCTTACAGTGTTGGAGGGGCCTAGTCAAGAATTTTACCACCATTCATCAGTAAGAAAGATAACCTGTCTTGGCAGTGTCAATAGAGACCAAGAAGGGGCAGACTAAGCTTTCCTAGATCTTGCAGCCAAGGAGGTATTAGTGGAGACCTAGTGGGGAGACAGAACTCAACTCCCACTGTGCAGTCCAAAGAAGCACCCCCTCATGTGTCAGTGGAGGCCAAATGGGAAATTTGGATTTCTTCTAACACTTGGCAGTAGGAAACCACTATTCCCCTGCAAGAGCAATTTCAGAGGAAGCCAGCTAAAATATGATGTTGAAATAAGATCTAGAGTTTCATAATATAATACTCAAAATGTCTATGTTTTGATAAAAAAATTAGTTATCGTACCAAGATCTAGAAAAATCTTAAACTCAATGAAAAAAAGAATCAATAGATGCCACTATTAAGATGACAAAGATGTTACAATTATCTAACAAACATTTCAAAGCAGCCATCATGAAATGTGTCAATGAGTACTTATGAACATGTTTGAAACAAATGAATAAACTAGTCTCAACAATGTATAAAAAGTCTCAACAATGAAATACAAGGCAAAATGAAAAATCCAATGGAAATTTTAGATCTTAAAATACAATCACTGAAATGAAAAACTCAGTGGGTGAACTCAGCACCAGAATTGGACAAGAACAAATCAATAAACTAGAACATAGAACAATAGAAATTCACCAGTTTGAGCAAGAGATAAAAAGTAGACAGAAATAAACAGGGCCTCGGGGACCTGTGGGACAATAGCAAAAGGTTAAAATTCATGTTATCAGAGTCTCAGAAAGGAAAGAGAATGGGGCTTAAAAAGTATTAAAAGAAATAATTGCTGAAAATTTTCCAAATTTACAAAAGACATACAAGGTACCTACTTATTCAAAAAGTTGAACAAGCCTCCAAGCTCTGGGGTAAAAAATGTATAGAATTTAATGTGTGTGTGTGTCTATGTGTGTGTATATATATATATATATATATATATATATATATATATATATATATATACACAGACACAACACACATATGAGTATAAGTAAAATTGAAAGAAATCTGAATAAGATTGGTGGATTGTCTCAAAGTCCAGGTTGTGATATATAATACTACAGAAGACTTTTATAAAATGCTACCTTTGGGGGAAACAGCAGGGTGCACAAGAGATTTCTCTGGAATATTTCTTATAACTGCATGTGAGTCTACAATTATCTCAATAAAACTTCAATTAAAAATGTCTTTTTTGAATTAAAAGTAGAACCACCATTCACTCTGGCAATCCGACTTCTGGGTATCTATCCAAAGGAAAAGAAATCATTATATAAAAAAGACACATGCACACACATGTTTACAGCAACACAATTCACAATTGCAAAGATACAGAACCAACCCAAGTGCCAATCAACCAATAAATGGATAAAGAAAATGTGGTCTATATGCACTATGGAATACTACTCAGCCAGAAAATGAATAAAATAATGTGTTTTGTGGCAACTTAGCTGGAGCTGGAGGCCATTATTCTAAGTGAAAGAACTCAGGAATGGAGAACCAAATATCATATGTTTTCACCTATAAGAGAGAGCTAAGCTATGAGGATAAAAAGGCATAATAATGATATAATGGACTTTGGGAACTTGGGGAAAAAGGTTAGGAAGGAGTTAAGGGATAAAAGACTACAAATTGAGTACAGTGTACATTGCTTGGATGATGTGTGCACCAAAATCTCAGAAATCACTAAAGAAATTACCCATGTACCGCAAAAACTGTTGAAATAACAAAAAGTCTTTATTTTATTTTTGCAATTAGCTCCCAGGTTTGCTCTGCTCTCCTCTCTCATTATCTTGTATTTAGAAAATCTATAAAGAAGTCAGGAGTAGGAGTATTTGATGTTTTCTGTATCTTGAAATTACATATAAAATGAAGAGTAGATTATGGTTGCCAAAGGTTAAGAAGTAACACGGATTTTGTTGTGGCTACTAAAGGGAAATATGAGGCATTGGTGGTGATGGAAATCTTCTATATATTGTGACTATTAAAGGGTAACGTGAGGCATTGGTGGTGATGGAAATCTTCTATATATTGACTGTATTGATTTCATTACCCTGGTTGTGATCTTTTACTGTAGTTCTGTAGGATGTTACCATTTGGGAAAATTGGAAAAGGGTACATTACATCACTCATGATTATTTTTAAAAAATGCATGTGAGGCTAGGCGTGCTGGCTCACATTTGTAATCCCAGCACTTTGGGAGGCCAAAGCAGGTGGATCACCTGAGGTCAGGTGTTCGAGACCAGCCTGGCCAAGATGGCGAAACCCCGTCCCTACTAAAAATACAAAAATTAGCCAGGCATGGTGGTGTGTGCCTGTAATCCCAGCTACCTGGGAGGCTAAGGCAGGAGAATCACTGGAACCCCAGGAGGTGGAGGTTGCAGTGAGCCAAGATTGTGCCACTGCACTCCAGCCTGGGCAACATAGTGAGACTCCATCTGAAAAAAAAAATGCATGTGATTCTGCAATTATCTCAAAACTTGAAAGTTTAATTAAAAATGGATTTGAATCAATTAACATAAATGTAAAGAAACTATATAAATGGCCAGTGATGAGTACTGAATATATTAAATGTAGAACTAATCTTATTACTAAATAACTAAGGGAGTTGGAATTTTAGAATACTCTAAATTGAGATAATGTAAAAATATGACAAACAAAAATTTGGAAGTAATAGGGAGGCAATGAGAGGGATTTTAAAAAGCTAAACTCAGCCAGGCGCAGTGGCTCACGCCTGTAATCCCAGCACTTTCGGAGGCTGAGGCGGGTGGATCACGAGGTCAGGAGATCCAGACCATCCTGGCTAACATGGTGAAACCCCATCTCTACTGAAAATACAAAAATTTAGCCGGGCGTGTGGCGGGTGCCTGTAGTCCCAGCTACTCAGGAGGCTGAGGCAGAATGGTGTGAACCCGGGAGGTGGAGGCTGCAGCGAGCCGAGATCGCGCCACTGCACTCCAGCCTGGGCGACATAGTGAGACCCCGTCTCAAAAAAAAAAAAAAAGCTAAACTCGGCCAGACGCGGTGGCTCACCCCTATAATCCCAGCACTTTGGGAGGCTGAGGTGGGTGGATCACGAAGTCAGGAGTTCAAGACCAGCCTAGCCTAGATGGTGACGCCCCGTCTCTACTAAAAAGACAAAAATTAGCCGGGCATGGTGGCGGAAGCCTGTAGTCCCAGCTACTCCAGAGGCTGAGGCAGGAGAATCGCTTGAAGCCAGGAGGCAGAGGTTGCAGTGAGCCGAGATCTGCCGCTGCACTCCAGCCTGGGCCACAGAGCAAGACACTGTGGGGAAAACAAACAAACAAACAAACAAAACACCTAAACTCGCTGTCTTTCACAGAAAAGAGTTAATTTATCAATTGTCATTGAATAAAAATGAATCATGTAGTTTAGAAGCATGTCATTAATATCTTAATAGTTTTATTACATCTTTACAGACACTTCTTAGGAAGAATATTTCTTCTAGAGAAAAAATATGTATTTGATTTTTGAAAGTTTATTTTGTTGCATTGCATTTAAATACAATTAAATGTAACATTATCTAATAATTCAGTACAGTGACAGATATAATGTCCTTGGATCAGTGAAGGAAAGTAAGTGGTAATGGAAGATTTAGTATGATCATTAACACTGTAGATATTTGAATTCGTGTTTTTGATTTTGTGTTTATAGTCTGAAAGTCCTAGAGTGGTAGGTATGAACTTTGAAGCTTAGTTTTTTCTTTAAACTGTGGCTAATACTGCTCATCTCATAAGATTTTGTAAGGATTTTTGTAACATAATATAGGTACGGTTGGAACACAGTCTTTGGAAAAGACTCTGTTGTGGGCCTTGAAGTTAAAAATATATATATTTCTCAGTAACAGTCAGTTCCTTCCTATCCCTCCCCCTATTGTGCGTTGTCAGTATATTTTGATTAAGGTAACATGGAATTACACAGCAGATTGAGAATAACTTGTATTCAAATTGGCTAAATGTTAAGAAAAGAATCAGATTCCAGTATTTGCTTTGCTTCACTGCCTGAAAATCCCAGAGACCCTCAAGCACACAGGCTTGTCTGGTTATAAGTTACAGTATCTTTCTTACTGAGAATTTCGTGAAGCTGCTCAGGTTTACCAGGGATAATTTTTCTTGTTGGAAAACATATTGAAAACCCCTGATATGGGTAAACAAAAGATAAGTTTGGAAATAAAAGTGTCAGTACTGACACAAGATACCAATTTGCTTTTCACTAGTGGACATTAGGTTTTTGGCAGGGATTAGCCAAGCAATTTATATATTTCTTACTTCCAGTCAGGCAGCATCTGGTTTGCAACGGGAGACTGAACATTTGTCTGCCTTCTCTACCCCCAGCTGTCCTCCCCATATGTACTCACAGAAATAAAGAAAACTTCTAAACCAAATTAATAAAATCACAGACCATTAGGCAAAATATGATACATTTTTCTCTCATTAATCATGGGTTAAAAACAGTAAACAAACCTGCTGGCAGCGCAGGTGATGATGCAGGCAAAACAGCAATCCCTGTTAGCCCACTGCCTCTGTTATGTACCTCCATATAACCGTGGTGCACTGCCATACTTAGCCATTTACTGAGGGCAAACTGGTAAACTTGCTTTGGATCCAGTGACTTGTTTTCTCAGAAGGAGATCCACCTGACACTATCTTGTGAGGCCATTATGAAAATCATCTGTTTGGAAAAATATTTAACTATGAACAGGTAGTCACAGCCCTACCAGGCGAAGTCAATGTAGGAACCACCTGCCTACTTAGGGAAAGTAGCCTGGGCAGATTCAGTAAATGCCTCTTACTAGCAACTAATCTACACAACAGTTGATTAGTTGGCATCACAAGTGACACATCCTCTACTAGTCATGATAAAAGTGTGTGTTTTCATAAAGCCTGTGACCTAGAGTCTCGAAATGCATGTAAAATCAGGTTAACCTATAACTTAAGATAGAATTTTTTTTTAAATAAGAGTATATGGACAATTTTTTGAAACTGCAAATTACCTTGACCTAATTAACATTTATGGACTATAATACCTATGTGCAGAAAACACATTTTTTAAGAACATAGATTTTTAATAAAGTAGACCATAATGAGGGGCTAAAATAATTCTCAGTAACTTTCAAAGTGACTGGGCACAGTGGCTTACACCTATAGTCCCAGCACTTTGAGAGGCCGAGGTAGGCAGACTGCTTAAGCTCAGGAGTTCTAGACCAGCCTGGACAACATGACGAAACTCCATCTCCACAAAAACAAAAATTAGCCGGGCATTCTGACACGCACCTGTAGCCCCAACTACTTGGCACTCTAAGGTGGGAGAATTGCTGAAGCCCCGTGGGTCGAGGCTGCAATGAGTCGTGATCATTTCACTGCACTCCAGCTTGGGCAACTGAGTGAAACCTTGTCTCAAAATAAATAAATAAATAAATAAAATAACCGTCATAGTATTAAATCTAACAATGTATATTTTCTGAAAACAATGAAACTAAATTAGAAATCCATTAAATCTGATATGTAGAAAGTCAGAAATAATTGGAAATTGAACAATTCGGTTCCAGATGCCATGTAGGCCAAGGGAAAAAAATCACAGTAAAAAAAGAGAGAATAGTCTGAAGTGAATAATGATGAAAATACAACATGTCAAAATTTGTGAGATGCATCTCAAGCACTGTTATAGGGAAACTTATAGCATTAAATGCTAATATTAGAAAATAGTAAAGGTTTACTATTACTTATCTACATTTCCACTTCAAGAAGATAATGAAAGAAGAATAATATCAAATAAGTAGAAGAAAGAAAATAGTGAAGATAAGAAATCAAATGGCAAAGAGAAAAGCAATAGAGAAAACCAACAAAGACAAACTTTGGCTTTTTTGAAAAGACTAAAAATTGATAAATCCCTGTCATATCTCAGGAAGACACAAATTAACATTATCAGGAATAAAAAAGAGAATGTCACTACAGATTCTACAGAATTTCAAAAAGGAAGAGCAAAATTCAAAGAATTCATTGTCAACAAATTAGATGCTATGGGAAAATTCTTGGAAATCATAACTTACTAAAATGGACTCAAGAAAAAAATAGAAAATCTTTTGAAGAAACTGAGTACATAATCAACAATTTCCAACAAAGAAAATTCTGGTTAAAAAGTATTTTACAGAAAAAGATCCCAATTCTATACAAACTCATTCAAAAAATATTAAAGGAAGGAACATATACCAAATCATTTTATGTAATCAACAAAGTACTGAAAAAAAACCTGAAATTACATAATGATAAATTTACAAGTGAGTATTCCTCAGCACCCCAAACACAGATATCTTAATAAAATGTTAGCAATGGAATCTCATGATTTACAAAGCAAATAATGCATCATGATTTAAAGTTGAACTCTTCCAGGAGTAAAGCGATAGGTTAACATTTGAAAATCAATCATTGCATTCCACCCTATTAAATTAGAAGAGAAAATAAAGATAGAAAAACACGACAAAATTCTAGACAACATCCATTCATGGTATTAATAGAAACTTCTAAAAAACTAAGAATAGAAGGAAACAATTTGTTAAAGGGCATTTATGGAATATTTACAGTTAACATCACTCCTTGTGGTGACAAATTAACATTTTTCCCAGATATTGCCAAAAAGATAAGGAGCTTGTTCTTATTGATTCTAATTAATGCTGTGCAAGAGGCTATTTTTACAGTTAACATTTTTTAATAGAAGGAGTAGAAGTACACTCAAAAATAATGTTAAAAAGTATAGTATAGTAAATTAATAAACCAGTAACACAGTGGTTTGTTATCATTATCAGGTATTGTGTACTGTACATAATATTAGGTGCTGTACTTTTCTTTGACTGGCAGTGCGGTGGGTTTGTTTACACCAAAATCACCACAAACACGTGTATAATGCATTGCACTATGGTATTATGACTGCTACAATATCACTATGGGATAAGAATTTTTTAGTTCTATTATAATCTTATGAGACCCCTATCATATATGCAGTATCATTGACCAAATTGTCATTATGTGCACATGATTACACAAGCAAATACAATTATTCCCCTGAAAAGAAATATGATGAAGTCCTCAAAACAGAACTACTGATATATAAATCTACATGGATGAATTAAAAGATAAATTGGCAAAAAAAAATAATAAAGATCAGATAACAAGTGATAAAGAAACCCCCTCAAGAATCTTAGCAGCAATATAAAGCAACAATACAGTAATGATAGCAATATTACTGTGTGTTCACTGTTCTAAGCTCACCACATATATTAGTCTATTTCATCTTAATTATAAATATATGATATGTATTATTATGATTCCCATTTTATAGATGATACATTTGGGAAATAAAGCTGTTAGTATCATGCTTGACCCAAAAGGGAATTAAATAGCAGCTTCATGATATCAGCCCAGTTCTTTCTGAATTTTAAACTCTGCCCTGGAGACATATTCCACTAACCCACAACACATTTCTACTGTTGCATCAGTTGCTTAATCAGATATGCAACTTAATGTGTTTCGATTCCAAGCGAAGCCATCCTCCAATTATCCTGCTTTGGAGGGAAACAATGAGAAGAGATTGTCACTCTTTGCTTGTATATAGACGTTTAATGACCACATTTATTAATTGGGATTTTTAAAATGTAAAATAATAAAAGTAAAGTCAAAAATATCTGATATAGGAGTCAGATTGACAAGTGCTAAGTTTATGCCGTATATACCATATATACTCCAAAGCCAACTTTATAATAAAAATAATAAATAATAATATATCATCATTTGTCTCAATTCAAACAACTCCTTATTGGAAACATCCACCATAATAAATTATGTGTATGTATTTCAGTGTATTTTTATTCTTTTGCATCTATATATGTCACAACAAATAATATATACTTTTTTGTGATAAATGGAAGTGCTGTATTATAATTGATGAGGCAATTTCTTGGCTTTTCTTGAATGTGAAAGCACTTGGCGTGTAGTTAACTGCACTCTTTTTTTAAATATATAATTCTTTTTCATAAACATCTATTTACCAAGTATTAAATATTAATCTTTCTGTAATAAGTATAACCCAAAACACAGTTTTTTTTGACTTGGACTCCTTGTATCCCAATGAGTTCATCTATGGTCTTTATAGCATCTGTGAAGTCCTCATAATAAAATGAAACATTTTTGTCAACAAATGATTATTTTTCAGCATTCTTATTTTGTGAATATATAAACATTGTGTTGATAAATTTTTACAAACTTGAAGTAGTTAATATCTTCTATACAATTTTAAAATAGAGGAAAAATAGAAATGTAGAATAATTTTAATGTATCCTAACCCACAATTCAACTGCTATTAATCAATACTACTTGTAGTTCCACAATTCTAAAACACTTTTTTTTACATCTTACTTATTCTGTATTCAGGGCTTCATAAAATGTATATGAATTCCAAATGTACTTACTTTTTTTTTCCTGAAAACATGATTTCAGTATGTCAATGAGGTATTGTACTCTTGACGGAATTTTTATGCCTAGGGTATATCATCAATTTATTTTTTATTAATTATTCTTTATTTAGAATTCACATATAATTGTACATATTTATGGGGTACAATGTGATGTTTCAATGCATCTATACATTGTAGAAAGATCAAATCAGGATAATTATCATATGTATTACTTTAAGAACTCGTCATTTCTTTATGGTTATAACATTCAAAATCTTCTCTTTTAGCTACTTGGAAATATACGGTACAATGTTATTTGCTATAGTCACCTTACTGTGTAATAGAACAAGAAAATGTATTCTTCCTGTTTAACCATAACTTTGTAACTTTGTACTCATCGACAAATCACTGACCAATTTCTTCCACCCCCACCCCAACCTCACCTCCATACCACCCCCAACTTCTGGTAACCACTATTCTAATCTCTACTTCAGTAAAATCAAATTTTTTAGATTCCACGTATGAGTGACATCATGTAGTGTTTGTCTTTCTGTGCCTGGCTTATTTCACTTAAACTTTCATCCTGGTTTACCCATGTTGCTGCAAATGACAGGATCTTATTCTGTTTTATGGTTAAATAATATTTCATTGTAAATATTCACGTCACATTTTCTTTATCCATTCATCTGTACATGGACATTGAGGCTGAGTCCATATCTTGGTAATTGTGAACAGCACTAGATACCAATACACATGGGAGAACAGATATTTCTTCAATATACTAATTTCATTTCCTTTGGATATGCCCTGTAATGGGAATGCTGGATCATATGGTAGTTCTATTTTTAATTTTTTGACGAACTTCTATACTTTTCTCCATAATGGCTCTACTAATTTACATTCCCATCAACAATGCATTCCTTTTCCTTTGTCTACATCCTTGTCAACATGCATTTTTAGACTTTTTGACATTAGTCATTCTAACAAGTCTAAGGTTGTAACGCATTGTGGCTTTGATTTGCATTTCCCTGATGATTAGTGATATTGAGCATTTTTCATATATCTGTTGGCCATTTGTATATCTTCTTTGGGAAAATATTTATTCAGGTCTTTTGCTCAATTTTTAATTGGATAATTGGGTTTCTTCATTTTTGTTTTATGTTTGTTTGCTTGCTTGTTTTGCTGTTGTTTGAATTTCTTATATATTCTAGATATTAGTCCCTTGTCAGATGGATAGTTTGTAAATACTTTCTCCCATGCTGTAGGTTGTCTTCACCCCATTTATTGTTTCCCTTGCTGTACAGAAGCTTTTTAGCTTTACGAGATTACATTTGTCTATTTTTGCATTTGTTGCCTATGCTTTTCAGGTCTCATTTAAAAAACCCTTTCCCAGTCCAATTTTATGATATAAATAATTTTTAAAATTGTAATTGTTTTGTCATAAAACAAAGTATTTAGCTTCTTTCTCCATATTTAGGGTATTCAATAATTCTAAGTTTTGTCCTAACTTTGTTTATAAAATTTGGATGCCTTTCTCTAATTAAAATTTCTCCAGAATTTTATTGCAAATTACTACAGCAATTTGTTGTTTGAGTTTACTTCACCTAACAAGGTAACCAGAGACCTTATATAGCCTTTGTATTTTTTTTTCCTCATTACCTTTTTATTTTTATAAACTTGCCGTTTAGTACATCGTCCTCCTTCACACTTTCCTTTTATGTGCTTTCTTCCAAGTTTAGAAGTAGAAAAATATAAAATGTTATATCTGCATCAAGCTGTGGAATGGCATTGTGATTAAAAGTAGAAGCTCTTCACTGCAACTACCCAGATCCAAATCCAGACTGTGCCACTTACAAGCTAGGTGGCCTTGGGAAAATTTTTTATTTTCTAATCTTCAGTTTTTTTCACTGAATGTCTGTAGGGAGATAATAAAATTACCATAAATATATAAAATATAACAGGTTAACCATGCAAAGTTCAGGCACTGTGGTTGGCACCTAGTGAACACTCAGTAAAAGCTAGATTATATTACATCTATAATCAAAAGACAACTTATTTGGTGACCAAAATTTTAATATTTCACATTCATTCCTTTTTTTTTTGAAGGTATAATGACTATTTCAAAATTATTAATCAGCTTAATAAAACTGCATTTTTGAAATCCAATTTATAATTACATAAATGCCATTATATTATTGAGACCAAATTTTAATAAGTCAAACATTTTGAAAATATGTACATTGCTGCAGAATTTTTTTGACAGTAGTCCTCTCATTTTCCACTGCTTCACTTTCTGTCATCTGAGTTACCCATGGTCGACTAAGTTCTGAAAATATTAAGTGGAAAATTCCAAAAATATATAATTCATAAATTTTAAGTTGTGTGCCATTCTGAGTACTATGATGAAATCTCATGCTGTTCTCCTTCATTCCACCCAGGATGTGAATCATCCCTTTGGATATGAATCATCTCTTTGTCCAGCATATCATGCTGCGTATTCTACCCACCCATTAGAAATCAAAATAGTCTCCTGATATCCAACCATTTTCAGCCTCATAGCTTGATGACCCAAGATCACCCAAAGCAGGGGATCCTCCTTCTGATGTATCCTCAGGTCAATAGTAACCTAATGTTAAATCACAATGCTTATGTCCTTCAACTCAATCTCATCATGTAGGTATTTCATCATCTCCCGTAATTATAAGAACGGTGAATACAGCACAATAAGAAATTTTGAAGCCAGGTGCAGTGGCTCATGCCTGTAATCCCAGCACTTTGGGAGGCCGAGGTGGGTGGATCACCTGAGGTCCAGAGTTTGAGACAAGCCTGGCCAATATCACAAAACCCCGTCTCTACTAAAAATACAAAAATTAGCCAGGCGTGGTGGCACACACCTGTAATCCCAGCTACTTGGGAGGCTGAGACAGGAGAATGGCTTGAACCCAGGAGGAGGAGGAGGTTGCAGTGAACTGAAATGGGCCACTGCACTCCAGCCTGGGTGACAGAGCAAGATCTCAAAAAAAGAGAAAGAGAGACCACACTCACATAACTTTTATTACAATATATTGTTATGATTATTTTATTATTAGTTATCATTGTTAATATCTTACTGTGCCTAATTTATAAATTAAATTTTATCATAGGTAAATATATATTTAAAATATATATGTGTGTGTGTGTATATATATATATATATATGCTTCTGTACTATCCATCATTTCAGGCATCCACTGCAGATCTTGGAATGTATCCCCCATGGATAAGGAAGGACAACTGTATTTCTAATTTTTACTTATTTTTCTCTCTTCTTTGCTTAACGTGATTTGCCAAGGTTTTTCTATTTTGTTTTTCTAAAATTAGCCGAAGGACATATTTATAATTAACTCTACTTTTTATTTTCTAATGTAATCACTCCTACTTTTATCTTTATTGTTTTCTATTTTTGTCTTTCATTGCATATATTTAATTAATTTTTCTAAATTGAATGTTTAAATTGTTTTACTGAATAATAGGGTAAGAACTTCAGAAATATATGAGTGTCTTTTTTCCCCTGAGGTCTGATGTGTTTTCTTCAAATATGACATTGATTTCCACTTCTCTTCCAGATGTCCTGATTCATCATTCAGAAACACCTGTAAATGTTGAGATGGGTTTTCATTACTTGTATTTTGTATCAGTTACCTTCAGTAGGAGATCGACTTATTGGTCCCAAATTTTATTCTTCCCCATGGTCACACACTTAGAGTTACAATTTTACTGTTGTAGAGCCAGTATATTTCCCTACCCTTGAACTTTAGGCTCAGTCCTGTGCATTTCTTGGAACAAAGGTAGCTAGCAGAAGAAACACAAAGAATTGATATGTACTAGGCAGTTGGGCCTTCATTTTTTCTACGTACATCAAAAGAACTTGTTTTGGTGAGCTCACTGAACCAAGCCCAGCCTGCTACAGTTGACGAACTCAGCTGATATCTGTTAATCTTAGTTGACTCACAAATTCTGCAGCAAAAATATATCAGTACTACTTTAAGCTATTCAATGTCAGATAGCTTTTAGTCCGCATTGATGTGCAATAGTTATTCACTCAGAAATTGGTACCTAGCTATGCAGTCCTGCTGTAATAAATTCTTAAAATATATAGCAGTGGATTTGGGACCAGGTGGTACGCATTGAAGAAACAAAGCAGCTGTAAAATTGGCAAACTGTATTATGGAGTGAGAAAATATTTGGTTAGGATCTACCACCTGTGATAATGTGGAAGGGAGAAAATCTACCTAATGGACTTGTAGAGTTGGGGGAGGTAATTTGAAGGAGATTTTGAAAGAGTGTGCTGTTACCAGATGCATTTGGTAAGGTACTACAAGAAAAAGTTAAGCTCAGAAAGGAACTGGCCAGTCAGAAAACAGAATGTGAAGAGAATATAGTCAGGCCAGAAATTTGGGGGATGGAAGATAAAACTATTTCTTACCAAACTAACTTTAGAGGAGAGACCAAATTTGAAGTGGTGCCATGGAGATAGGACCAGTAAGGCATGGCCTCAGAAAAAGACAAAACCAAGGGTGTCCCTCTAACATCCTTTTATAAGAACTCTGAGTTAATATAAGCACTTAGTAGATTCTCTCGGCCAAAGATGATTACAGAATGGCTAAAGGTGTGGTTCCACAGAAATCTGATGTACCCGATGCTCTTGTAGATATAATAGAAACTCAGTGGAGTTTATAAGAAGGCAGAACTAGCATAAAGCCCTGCCAGCCTGGACTAAAGGAGACAGAAAATTTGAGATGTAAAACCTCCCTGGACCTCCAAGTTTCTATAGGCAGAAAGCAGATTGTGAAATCTGCCCAGGCACCAAAAGGAAAAAATATATATTTTCTACAGGGCTGTGGAGTCAAGAGCAATGGTTAACTATGGAAGTCATTACCAGGAAGTAGATGTCAGGCTCAGTCAAGGCAAATTCCCTAGCTCTAGGGCAGCATTTGACACATTTTAATGTGAAGATAGTAAATATTTTAGGCTTGCTGGCCACGTGTAATGTCTGTATATCCTTCTTTGTTTTTGCTTTGTTTTTAAACTTCTTTCAAGCATTAAAAACATTATTTAGCTCCCAGATCATACCAAGAAGGAGTGTCTGCATGCGACTCCATGGGCTATCCTGTGCAGACCCCCTAGGGCCTGACATTCACCCAGGAAGACTCCAGAACTCTAATTAGCCAGTGAATGCCCTGTATCCCACAGTCTTCAACTTTTGGAATGGGAAGTCTTGTCCAATTTATTTTATCCCTGTTCCACTATTATACATTCGTTGTTCAGGGAACAGATAACTTGTTTTATTAGTTTTGTGGGGGTTTTTCCTTTAGTTCACTGGTCTCTGAATTAAAGGGAATTGCATCTGTACCTAAGGTAAATCTTGATGTCCTAAAATTTGAGCTTAATGCTAGGATTGGATGAGAGATCTGGGATTCCTGGGAAAATCAGTGAGGGTTACATGACGGTAATTTGGGAACATGTGATGAAGGTGGCAAACATATATAACTATCTACCCCACTTCCTTATGCTACCCTGTAACCACCCGCTTTTCCATGTGAACTTGTTCTTTCCAGTAAAAGAAGAGTACACCTCGCTGCTTGTCATTCAGTCCAGATGTATAGTTTACATTGTCCAATGGAAGGGAGGTTAGTAGATGTGACAAAAGCAGAGGCATGAAATGTTCTGGCATGGTTGGGCTTGCCATCTTGTGTTTCTGCCACCAACAATACGATCATACCCCAGAGAGCCTGTTAGTCCACAGAGGAAGGCAGACATTTCAGCAGACCTGGACTTTTTGCCAAGCCACTCAAGTCAGTCTAAGCCAACTTTCAGATGACTTACAGTTCCATGAACAAAAGTAAATTATTGCTATTATAAGCCACTTTGTTTGGGGGTGGTTTATTAAGGCACTAACTTACTTTTATTTGTTTTAATCTTCTTAATGTGTCCCTCTGAAAGTATCTCAAATTTATCTTCCATATTACTGACTAAAATTTTTCTTTATGTTTCTGGTGTAGTTTTTAATTATATTCTTGGTATCACATGCAATTTACAAATATATTTATTTTCCTTTAACATTTTATTTTTATTGTAGAACTCTCACACATATACAAAAGTGCAGCAAATAATATAATGAAGCTTCATGTACCCATTACCAAGCTTCAACAATTATTAACTCCTGGTTAATCTTATTTCATTTCTAAACCCACCTGCTTTCCCTTTACTCGCTGGATTATTTTGAAGCAAATCCAAGGCATCATATCATTTCATCTGTAAATATTTTATTATATATCTCTAAAGATAAGTAATATTTTTAAAAACATAATTACCAGTCTATCATTGATGGGCATTTGGGTTGGTTCCATTTCTTTGCTATTGTAAATAGTGCTGCAATAAACATACATGTGCATGTGTCTTTATAGTAGAATGATTTATAATCTTTGGGTATATACCCACTAATGAGATTGCTGGGTCCATGGAATACTATGCAGCCATAAAAAAGAATGAAGTCATGTCCTTTACAGGGATATGGATGAAGCTGGAGGCCATCATTCTCAGCAAACTAACACAGGAACAGAAAACCAAACACCGCATGTTCTCACTCACAAGCGGGAGTTAAACAATGAGAACACGTGGACACAGGGAGGGGTATGTCACACACCAGGGCCTGTCAGGGGGTGGGGGCCAAGGGGAAGGAGAGCATTAGGACAAATAACTAATGCATGCAGGGCTTAAACCTAGATGACGGGTTGATAGGTGCAGCAAACCACCATGGCACATGTATACATACCTATGTAACAAACCTGCATGTTCTGCACATGTATCCCGGAACTGAAAGGAAAATTTAAAAAAATACATAATTAATTTTTACCATTACACTTTGTATTAGTCAGGGTTCTCCAAAGGGACAGAGCTAATAGGATAGATGAATATACAAAGGGGAGTTATTAGGAGAATTGACTCACATGATCACACAGTGAAGTCCCACAATAGGTTATCTGCAAGCTGAGGAACCAGGAAACCAGTCCAAGTCCCAAAACCTCAACAGTAGGAAAGCTGACAGTGCAGCCTTCAGTCTGTGGCTGAAGGCCTAAGAGCCCCTGGTAAACACTGGTGTAAGTCCAAGAGTCCAAAAGCTGAAAATCTTGGAGTCTGACGTTTGAGGGCAGGAAGCATCCTGCATGAGAGGAAGATGGAGTCTGGAAGACTCAGGTAGTCTGCTCTTTTCATGCCTGCTTTTAATGCTGAAAGGTGATTAGATGATGCACACCGAGATTGAGGTTGGGTCTGCCTCTCCCAGTCTACTGACTCAAATGCTAATCTCCTTTGGCAACACCCTCACAGACACACCCAGGAGCAATACTTTGCATCCTTCAATCCAATCAAGTTGATACTCAATATTAACCATCACACACTTTTAAAAAGTTAACAATAAGACAATCAAATATTTACTTTAAGTCTAAATTTCCTTCCCAGTCTTTAAAACATTTTTCTAATATTTGGTTTGCTTAAATTAAGATCCAAACAAGATCTATACATTATCATTAGTTTATGTACTCTTAAATCTCTTTTAATCTATAGTTTCCTTCTCCCTTTCCTATTTTGTCCCACAGGTTACTGCCAAAACAAATTAGTTTATTTGTTCCATATTCCAGATTCTGTACATTCCATTGATATATTGTTAACCTAATTACAAAATTTATTTTATTATATATTCCATAGGTGTATGTGTCTATAAATATATGTACCTATGTACATATATACACATATATATTCATAGACACATACATTGTTATTTCAAAATAATAATACCAATGTTGTAATTTATTATATCACTGAAAACAGTTTGAAATATTTTCAATTGCCTTGTCTTTAAGTTATATTCCACAAGGATGTATAGTCAATTACTATGTTTTAAAATAAATATAGTGATTTAAATAAATCAATGTCACTAAGATAAATACTTAGATTCATTTGTGACATTTCACATTCAATTTTTAGGGATTTCTGTTCAATTTAATTTTTAAACTAATCATATCAAGCATATAAAAGTATTGCCAGAAAAAATATATAGCTACATGAAAAGATGATATTGGATCTGTATCTCATATTCTACTTAAGCAAATTAAAGTCATATATAAAAAGCAAAACTTCAAAAATATAGGCTGGCTCACACCTATAATCCCAGAACATTGGGAGGCTGAGGTAGAAGGAATGTTTGAGACCAGGATTGCAAGACTAGTCTGGCAAGACAGTGTGACCCTGTCTCTCTCAAAATAAAAAAATTAGCCAAGCACAGTGGCATGCATCTTTAGTCCCAGCTACTCTGGAAGCTGAGGCAGGAGGATCACTTGGGCCCAGGAGTTCAAGGCAGCAGTGAGCTGTGATCACACCACTGTCCTCCAGCCTGGGTGACAAAGTGAGATCCTGTCTCTAAATATATATATTGTGGTTGCAATGCAAAGGAAGATTTTTTCAAATAAAATATCACAAAGTCTATATGAAATAAAAATAGAGTTTTCTACATTGAATGGTTATTTTCTATTCTTCACAAGACTGATATACTAAGCAGGTAGATACACCTGTACCTGGAGAAAGAAGTGTGTTACACATAGCCAACAAAGGGTTAGTATGTTGAATATATCGGGAAAGTCTAAAACATCTGCAAGACAAAAAAAAAAAAAAAAACAGAAATGAGCAAATAATTTGATCAAGCAATTCACAGAAAATGAAAATATGCAGATCCACTAAGCATATGAAAAGGTGGATGATCAATCTTATATCAGTAAAATGAGAATTAAATTTAAAATGAGATGTAACTGAACAACTATCATGATGAAAAAAGTAAACAGACAACTGAAATACCAAGTTATGACTAGAAATTACAATAACAGAATTTCTCATACACCGTTGATGGTAAGGTAATTGGAAAATGTCAAAACAAAAATTGTACCAGACATAGTTAAACAGGCAAGGAAAACCTTATTTAAGGTTACTGCAGTAGAAGTGAGAGGCCAGAGCTCAGCTTGAACTCAACTCCACTGAAGAAAAAGAAGGTACAATGGCTGGGATGAGGGTAATCATAGGACATCTGTGTTTACTAATTGGCTTTATTCAAAGAAAAAGTAAAGTTTCTTGTACCTTCCTGACAGAAAGTAGGTTTAGAACTTGGAGCTACATGCCCAGTGACATTAGGCTTCTACCCTGCCATAAAGACTGAAAGAAAGTTCTTCTGTCTTCCTTTCCTATCACATTTCAAAGGAATGACTTTCAGGTCTTTGAGAAAAATATTCCTGGGTTGTAAAACTGGCAAGAGGCTTTTACAAGATTTACATCTCAAAGGGGCAGAGAAAGAATTTATAATTACAGGTTTTCTTAGGTAAATTTTCTAAGAAAAGGAAGGGGAGGAGGGACCTCCATGGTTAGGCCATCAAGATTCTCTAAAGGTCTGGATGAGAGGAAGGTTGGAGGCCCAGAGGAAAGAGGAAACCTGTCTAAAGTTTAGCCAACTTGAGGAAAACATTTAGGCTGTCTAGGTCAAAAACAATTCAGCATTATAATTAGCAGTTAAATATGTGCATAAGCTGTCCCTGCAAATCTACTCCCAGGATATGCTCTAGAGGATATTGTTACATACAAGCAAATGTAACTGTAGTAACACATGAGGTAAAACCATAAAGTAGATTTTTTTAGAAAGCAAAATTATTTTTGTCTTTCTGCCCCTTTCATATGATCTTTTGGGCTAGCAAATCCCCTGCCCTACAATGAAGATTCCGGCAAGCCCCATTAATTTCTGATTACTTTTACACACTATCAAATGTTCTCAGGTCATTTGAAGGCTAACAGGTCAGCCACAATTTAGTCATTAATATGTCCTGTCCCATGTAATAGTCGAAGCTTCAATCTTTGTTTAAAGTTAAAACTCCCCCTTCTCTTCCATTTGGAAGAGGGATTTATAATTGGCCTTTTTCTCTTATCTTCAGAAAATATACAAGGAAAGGGAAAAAGAGGAGTAAAGGTATTAGTTAAAAATTTTCTCAATGATGGATAACATGGAAATTTGGCTTCAATTTTCTCTAGAAATAGAATACATTTAAAACTGTCTTTTCCTCTAACAGATTACTTCACTTGCTTTGGAGGGTCACCAGTACCACGGTTCCTTTTCCTATTCCATCTGCTGGCTGGACGCCTAGTCATTTGACAGTTACCCTTCTACTAAGGATGAAGTCTCCTCTTGCCAGAAAAACTTCTGTGACCCTCTAGAGTTGGAAAAAAAACAAAGGGTAATAGACAGCAATGACAACAAAAACCCCAAACACGTATTTTTGCCTACACTTTCTAGGTCAATGGAAAAAAGAGTAAAAAAAATTTAGCTACATTCTATTTGATTAAATGTTTTGAAGAGAAAGGAAGTGGAAGAAAAAAAATAGTATGGGGACCTGGACAGAAAGATAAGACAATAGACACACAAAACAGAGAGATAAATAGAAAGGATGTAGAGGTTTATCTGATTCTGCAGGATATGTTAATTAGTTTTTATGTCACTCTCTGCTAGTTCTTTAACTGGGTCACAGAATATTTATCACCTTAAAACACTATTCTTTGAAACTGCTAATCAATCAATTAACCACTGTTCACAGCTCTTTAGCTGCTACTTACCTGCTAGAAAGGAATTTTTCCAGAAAAGTTTCTATCCATTTTTGTTTATGACTGCATTTTTGTGCCCAGTACTTCTGGTTTATGTTAGCTACACATTTAAAATAAATGTTGTGAATTGATAAATGAATAAATGTATCTTTCAACCTGCAGGGAAGGAAGTTACTCTCTAATCTCTATGACTAGCCTGCAATAGTATGGCCAGATGAATAAAGTAAAGGTAATATCTTACCCACAGGCTAAAGATATTTTCATTGCTATAATTCCCCAAACTTTATTGTGCACCCATTAAATGAACCTGAATTTCAAAACCCATCTTTGCCTCAGGGTAAAAGCTAGTATCACAATAGTACTTACACAAAGTACAAGAATTCCAGCAGTTTTAAAAAACACTAGTCTAAAAAATAGAGAGTCAAACTGTCTTGCTTCTAATGCCAGCTCTGTCACATGCTAAATGATCTGGGGCAAGGTGCTAGGTATCTCTGTAATTCTCATCAGTAATGTGAGAAAATAATATTAGTAATGACTTCATAGGATTACTAAAAGATTAAATGTTAAGTACATACTAGGTATTCTGAACATATTATCTATAAATATTGTTATTTCACTTTAAACCCTGCAGAAATTATAGAGGTTGTTTCACATATTTACAAAAACAAGATTCTCACAAGCACTTCACAGACTACACCCTCCCTCCCTTTCCTCTGTGAATACCTATGTTAAACCACACTTTAGGTTTTCATCAAGAGCACCAGAATGCTCTTGATGATGCCTACCAGAGGTACTCCATTGTCTGCTAATGCCTAGACCAAGGATGCTAATGTCCAATGTTTGCTTATTTCAATATTAAGGGTGTTAATGACCTTCATTTATGAATCCCAAAACACTTTTTTTTTCTGAGACGGAGTCTCGCTCTGTCGCCCATGCTGGAGTGCAGTGGCGCGATCTCGGCTCACTGCAAGCTCTGCCTCCAGGGTTCACGCCATTCTCTTGCATCAGCCTCCGAGTAGCTGGGAATACAGGCACCCGCCATCACACCCGGCTAAGTTTTTGTATTTTCAGTAGAGACGGGGTTTCACCGTGTTAGCCAGGATGGTCTCGATCTCCTGACCTAGTGATCCGCCCGCCTCGGCCTCCCAAAGTGCTGGTATTACAGGCGTGATCCACCGCGCCCTGCCCCAAAACACTTTTTAATCTTTGGACAAAGGTCTAGCGCAGTTGTCTTTCAGACTAGAAGTCACGAATGTTGAGGCTATTCATATCTTACACTATCATTTTCTCCCAGGGAAGTCCAACTATAAGACATTTGATGTTCTTATTCACTTTTCTTAGTCCTTTATCCTAAAGTTTCAAACATTAACTCGTGAATCATGACTAGGAAGTATTTGAGAAAGAGATAATATTCTATGAGTATATTCTCTGCATTGGTTGGATTTCATCCATCGACCACGAAGCAAACATGCTTCAATTCTCTCTCTTCTTAGGAATTGTTTCCCTATACTCCCACATCCCAGAGTTATGCTCAGTAACTCATGCAGATAATAACTTTGAAATCTCCCCCACTACCTGTTCTTCAGTATTAGAGACTGAATGTTTGTGTCCCCCCACCAAAATTTATATGTTGAGACCCTAACCCTCAGTGTGGATGTATTTAGAAATGAGGCCTCTAAGATAATCATTAAGGTTAAGTGAGGTCATAATGGTGGGGCCCTGATCAAATAGGATTAGTTTCTTTATAAAAGTAAACAACAGAGTTTTCTCTCTCTTTACCTGCATACCCACCAAGAAAAGGCTATGTGAGAACATAGTGGGAATGCAGATGTCTGCAAGCCAGGAAGAGAGAGCTCTCCCCAGAGGCCAACCCTGTTGGACTTTGATTTGGAACTTTTAACCTCCAGAACTACGAGAAGATGAGTTTCTATTGTTGAAGCCATTCAGTCTATGGTAATTTGCTATGATAGCCCCAACTGACGAATACATCCATTCAGATATGGTAAAATTTGTCACAATTTTGGGGTAGACACAGCTCAATCTCAGTAATGGATGAGTCATGTGCCAATGACTCAATAAAATAGGAGCAGCTGAGATTAGGAGCAGAACATTGAGTTGGGAAAGGAGAGAGAAGCTTGGAAGAACTTAGAAATGCTTATTAGGGGCTCTTAGGGACGTGAGAAAAAAAAATGATGATTTGTAATGGCTGAAACTACTTACTACCATATCCTGAAGGTAAACACAATGTTCATAATATATAAACTGCCCATGTTTTAGAGAAAAAAAGTGGTTAGTAACCAAGTGCTGAGGTGGAGTTGAAGTCTGCAAAATACCACATGCTCTGAGCAGCAACTTGACTCAGAAGTTCCACCTAGAAACCGAAACCAAGTATGTTGCTTTCTCAAAGATAGACAAATATAAATGACCTCAAAAAGGATGACTTTATGCCAGTGAAACAGACTGTCCACTTTTATCAACTGTTTCCAACTATCCTATTAAGATCATATATGGGTAGTCAAGTGTTCTACAAAAAGAAATTAAGTTTGACAAACTTTCCATACTACTATATTTCCAAATTAAAGATTCATTTCCTGATAAATTAACTAGGACACAAATGCAAGTTTGAGAAAATTACTTTGGAGCAGATATGGATGTGAATTTATTCTCTTGAGTAATATTTATCAACTCATCTTTAAAATTGGTCATGATCCTGCATGTCAATAGTGTAAACTTTATAGTTCACACTATAGTTTACAGCAATTAAAAGGCATTAATATTTACTCTTCATGATATTCCTAGGGGAATTCTACAATAATCCCATTGAGGCTATTTTCTATACCTAAAGGTTATTTATCTATTTGATTTACAAATGGATACTCTTATATAGCTTCAGGCTTTATAACATTTACATCATTGGATAAAAACCCAAAGAAAAACGCAGCATCAATGACAGCAGCACATGGTACAATTTTAGATTTTGAAATGATCTATCAGTTAAGAGGCGTTGATTTATAAGCAACAGAAAACTCAAGCACAAAGTGGCTTAAAAATTAAGGGCATTAATTGGCCTAGGTAAATAAAAGTAAAGAGGCCAACCTTTGCACTTAATTTACTTGAAGGACCACAGAATATCATCAAGAGATAGCTTTTCTATAGCACTCTGCTTTACCTTCAGTAATATTACCATTATTCCCAAACTGCCATTTCTTTCAGTTACAAGTTGAAAAGTTATACATTTCTTCTTCTTTTTTTTTTTTACATCAATTAGGTAAGAAAGGCTCACTTCCAGAAACTTCCTGATAAGCCAGAAGATCCCTATTTTCCATCACATCATAACAAATATTTTATTTAGTCTTGTTGGGCCAAACTGAGTGAAGAATGACAAATTTTTCCCATTTTTTAGATTACTGCCATATGGAAAACATTTTGTAAAATATTTTGTTTCCGTTTCAATATATTCATTTAAAAATGTCGTAGTGCTAGAAATTAATGATGTTTAAGTATGAATTATGCATTATTGATTATGCAGAACATTTTTTTCTATCCCCTCCTTTAAAATGTTGCCACATTCATTAGCTGTCCAAGTTTTAAAAAATCACATGGTATCCATTTATTATTCTTCAATACATTTTTATATCTGCAATGGATTAATCAGGTACTGGTGAATATAATAACTTGAGAAGAATTTAAACATTGAAATGTTTCAGGGAGCACAGTGATTTAAAACCAACCAGGAGAAAAATTCCCTCAAAATATTGTTTTATATAATTTTCTGTCTATTACCAGAGAGCAAAATAAAAACAGTAAACAGCTTGTAAAGAAAAATAGAAAATATTTCTCTTTTGCTGCTCCTTTGAAACCACCATTATTATTAGTGTTCAGGTAAAGAAAGTAACACTTTAATTTTGGGAATGGTGGAATCCTTCATAAGTAAAATAATAAACTTTATCTCAGTTGTATGACATCTTATTTAGAAAAGAAGATTTCTTCAGTTCAAAGTATTATAAAAAGGTTCATTTTTGCATGAAAAGTGAAATTTAAAGTTAAAAAATTAGCAATTTGAACTAACAAATCACCAATTAGCTCATTTTAGTATCTTTAACAAATCCATAATGATGGAAAAATAGAAAAGATGTTATTTTTCCAAAAATTGTTCAGATTAGCTATGAATTACTATGCAAACCATAAAGCACTCTGAGCCTTAGAGTCTTCACCTATAAAATGAGGGAACATGATTAAATGCCCTTTAACCTCCCTTCCAATCTACCAATTTAGGTAGTAGCATTACCATTTTAAATAATCCTTTAAAGAGTGAGGGTTTCACCTCAAAGTATTTTCTAAATATATGAAATTCCCCTTTTAAGTTGCAAACCTTTGCTATCAACATTTACAAGAAATGCATTATTACTTTCCTGTCACACTAAAAGAGTGTGAGGTATCACCCACAACACCGTCCCCTGACTTCACAGCTCTGCCTGTAAAACATAGCACCAAATAGAACAGATCAGCACACATAGGCTTCTGTACCTTGGCTCAATTATCTGTAATTTTGAGACAAGCTTTGCTTCTCAAAATGAGGAAGATAGAAACGTTCCTGTCTATCTTTCACTGTTTTGAAGACCAAAAGAGATTACCATATCGATGCAAATGATTATCTTTGTGATGAACAATTTTGACTTTTCCTGATGAAAAGATCTAGAGACTATATAACATATATCTTCTTTAAGGGCACTTATACATTTATGATTTAAATCTTTCAGTTTACTGATTATTCTGTAGTCATTTTGTTTCTTTTCTAACTTGCTGCTTTGTCCTCTAATTGCATCAGCCTGGGATACAGTTTGTTTCTCCCCAAGAGTCTAGAAACCTGACCTTTCAAAAAGTGAAAGTGAAAACCTATAGATCTCTCTGTTACTTTAGCAAATTTGGTATTGCCATTAATTTTAAAACAATGGCTTCCTAGAGCAGGAAAACTTTTTTGTTGTTGTTTTTTCTTGAGATTCCTCCACTCCACTCCAGCCCTAGAAATTCTGATTGAGTATATCTGGGCAGGATAAAGGAAATTTCTGTTTCTCAAAACTCCCTAGTTAATTCTGAAATTGGTCAGTTTGGGAACCACTACTTTGTTCTCTGTTTTAGGCCTACTATAACATTTTCCTCCGACATTAATCACAACACATTCAGAGTAGATTTTCAGAAATCTGTAGAGAACTACTGTAACAATCTTTTTCAGGAAAATTTTAAAATGGTATATTAACTGCAGAGCTAAGACAGTTCAGGTAGACACTGAAAAGTGGGTGGCTGTTCCTCATGGGAAAATTGTTTTCCACTTTACTTGTAATCATTCACTGGTAAACACAAAGACTATCTTATAACAATTGTCATTACTAACTATAACATGAAAGTTCTCCAAATAACAAAAAGATGGCTGAGTAGTTAATTGGTATTATTGGGAAAATGTGTCTCGTAGACTAAATAAAAGCATAAAATAAACTGCTTTCTATAGAATTTCAAACTTTTCTCATGCCTCTGGAGTTTACCATAAACAGGACAGAAAAGTTAACCAAAAATACTATTATTGAAAAATAAGCTCAGTTAGCTGCAAGAATATAAGTTAAAAAAATACGTATAATTTTCTCTTTGAGGAGTTTTAAGACATGCATAGATTTCAAATTCCATTTATTATACCCAGAATAACTAATTATGAAAATGATATTTAAAATATTTGGTATCAAGTATGGACACCACCCCTTCCAAACTTAATATAAAACCCACATTTTTTTTCTTAGGTGTCCTAGATGTCTGTAGCCACTGAAGAATGTTTTTATACCTCTTTGTTGTCTGCTTGGGCTGCAAGCATAAGCCTCATGGTTGATATTGTCCTGCATCTACGCAGCTGTCTTATATAATGAGGAGTCTAATGTGGACAAATACATCTGCCACATAACCCTCTAGGAGACATAGCTTTGGTTCTCATTGAAATATTATACATCAAAGCATTCGTTGGTTAATCCATAATTCAAACCAGCCAGGAGTGCTACTCCAGATATTTCTGCAGGAATCTACATGAATACATGTGGTTGAAGAATCTGTGATTTTCCTTCAGAGGCACAACACTTCAACAAACATTCATATGTGTCCAATCCTAACTACCTGCTATGACATGAACTTGGATAGAGGGTTAAACACATTTTGTCAGTATAGTGTCCCATGATTGCTCTCATGTCACTTAAAAAGTTCAAACTCCCTATGAGAAAGACAAGTGGTACAAAAACCACTTGGATTAGCTGTTCTGGTGATTTGCACTTAGTTCTCCAACTTTAATTTTAGGAGAAATAATACAAAACAAATTGCACAGATCGTTAGCATTTTCCTAGCCATCTTTTAATAATTTTAGCTAACTTGCAATTTATATTAAAGCTTCCAAAGCATTTTGATTGGATGGAATTATCTTGTTTTTGCCACCATAGAATAAAGAATAGCAAGTTGAGTAACCTTACAATCAAAATGCAACTCATATCGAAATATCCAAAATGTAGTTAACATTCTGGCTGGTGGTGGGAATATCCCCAAAGCAATCCTGTATATATTTTATTTTTTTAATTGACAAACACAATTGCATTGCATATTTCTCATGTACAACATTTAATCACATTCTGAGCTATGCCAATGTCCTTGTGTCTTACAGATCCTTATCACCATGTCTATGAAAAAAATAAAGACCATTAGCACCCTCAGCATTTTCGTCCTTAAAAATTAAGCAACTTCTGAAGACTTCTAATATTCCAGCTCTGTATCAGTTGAGCTGATGATGATGTTCTGAGATTATCAGAAGGAGACTATTTCTTTAATTATATTTGCTATTCCCATGGCCAACCCTGGCCTGAGATATGTGAATGAGGTCTTCTCAACCCCTCTCCCAGATCCAAAAGTTGGCAAGAAGCATGTGTAAAAGTCAAAAGGCCATATATTTCATTGAGCAGAGGGCAATTACAAGGACCCAAATGAGTCCTCAGGGTCACAGCCATTGCTGGGGGAATAAAGATTCCGAAGGTGCCACTGGGGCTTGGTGCTGAGATCCCTGAAGCTGCCATCCCAGCCCTCAGTGAACCCTACACCAGGAGCCCAAGCCACCTGCAATTGGTTGCCACCCTTCTTTGAACCAATAATGTCTCCAGAAGATGAGTTTATGCTGAAATATTTTAGCCTGAGCTATAAGCCCTGTTTTTAGAGTCAGGAATTAGGTTTACCAGAAAGGATCCCCAAATGAAAACTAGGACTATTACCAAACTTAATGGAGTGGATGAGAGGGAATAAAATGATTTCTGCCAAAAATGGGTTATTGGTTTATGATTGAGCTGAACCTGGTATGGTATACTCAGGAATTTTCTCCTGCCAGTGCCTACCAACATGCTTTGTAATACCTCGGTTGTCTATCGTTGAACAGCATCTTGACCAGACCTCCTATCTCATCTCTTTCTACATCCAGTGAACTCTAAAACAAAAATTCTGCTTCAAATCTGGCTCACTGCTCTTCCCCTCTTGCTCGTCTCAGGCCCGCCTCATGGCTTGTAGACCTGCCTGTGGGGAAAGGAGTTGTAGAGTTGGTTTTACTTTCCAATTAACTTTTCTGTTCCTTCCCACCTGTCTTCTACATCCAGCATTGGGAATATGAATAGGAAGAGAGCTTTGAAGGAAGAAGGACAAAGCATATGCTATGTGTCAAATGTTTTGTTTTTGTTTTACTTTGTTTTGTTTGTTTTGTTTTTACAATGTGGCTCTCGGTGCCCTCCAACACAGTCGTCATCCAAAAGCTAACTTTCTATTTTAAGGCCCATTTGTGTGTTTTTTGGAGTGTCCCCCTTCCCTCCCTCCCTTAAGGGAGTTTTGCACTGTCCCCTTCTCTAACTTTTTGATATATTACCTACCTGATCACTTATACCCTGCTCCATCTCTTGTCCCTGGCAGAAAACTCTTAGCTTCTTTCTGCTAAATCTCACCTCATTGGCCAACCCACTTGGGTGAATTTCAAGACAGCTGCTATTCCAGGTACTATGTAGCCCTTAGGACCTCACACTTCCTTTACTACCAAATAAAGCAATTATAGACATTTTTGTTGCTGGATTTCCTTGCCTTATCCTGCAAAAGTAAGACTACTCCAGCCAATCTTTTACCTTTGAAACTACCTAGGCAAAATTCAACCACTAACTTCTAAATTAAAATTAAATTAAATTAAATTAAAACTTAAAATTCTAAATGTTGGGGAATAAGAAGTCTCTTGCATTAATCACCAGTTGCAACATAGTAAGGACTAGGAAATTACAATTTAACAAGCATCTAGTCCAAAAATAGAATACCTGTACACCTTCTTGCAGTCAGCTGAATTATTTGGAGTAATTTTAGGGGGCTCCTTCACTAAGCTTTATTTGGGAAGAAAGAGGGTACACCTTTCTTTCTCTAGTCAGAAGGAAGGGGAAATCCCACAACTTCTTCCTCCTATCTATGAGTTTCCTCCAAAGAAGGTTTTCTCAAAAATCTCCAGTCTTCTGTACATATTGTGTGGAGATAGGCAGTGAGAGCAGCTGCACTGGCTATATCAGACTTTAAGATGTTCATGATACACATTCTCAGATTAAAAGTTTCAGGCTAAATTCTGAGACACCAGGAATTTAATAAATAAGCAGAATTAGGGATACATTTTCCTAATTCATTCTGTCACCCACTTAGTACTGCAGCTGAGGCAGAGAACTGACTGTTCTTTCCCCTATCTTGCCCAATTGTCTATTGGAAAAGAGCAAAATGTGGACAGAGGGAGGAGAAGATTAAAAAGAACAGGGAATACTAAATATATAACTGCTTCTATGACCCTACTTCCTGAGATCTGAGCTGCCGCATTCATGAAGGTTTAACCGTACTCTGTGATAGAACTATTGAGCGCATGTGATTCCATTTTATCTAAAAACAGAGATTTCTGATGAATGTAGAAGAACTATGTTATTATTTTAATATTTAAGTCTGTATTCAGTGAGATTCTAAAACGTTGAAAACTTTCTCATCACAGGAAAAATAAATCAAGGGCCTGTATTTAATATCACACAAGGCAGAAATAATCCAACAAAAAAAAAAGGAAGGGAAAAAAGCACTCTTACAGATGTACTATGTTAAATAGATATGCATGGCTTTTATCTTCAGAAGAACCATTGAACAAGTGGGAAGTGTAATAAGCTTTTTTTTTAACCCAACATAAGACGGAAGACACCAAGAGTAAATGTGGAATCTTATCAAATATAGCAACTGACTTTCAGCTTATTCACTCAGTACAAAAGGCACTAAAGCCCACAGAAAAATAATTCCATTTTGATTATGTGCACAGATAAAGCCAGTGCGAAATTGTTTTCAATTAATACAGATATAGCAGTTTTTCTTTTAAGTGGAACACATAACAGAGTTGAAATAATGTGAAAAGAGGAGAAAGAAAGATTAAAATCACCATTATGTCTTTGAATGGAGGAACTAAATATAATACAATAAATTATTTATTAATAAGAAACAGGTAATTATAATAAAAATCTAGTCACATAAATTTTTTCAAACCAAATATGGTTTTTAGATTTTTAGATGACTTTAAAATAGTGTGTGTCTCCTGGAAACATTACATTTAGATTTTTAATATTTAATGATTTTTTAAAGATCATTGACTTATGACCACTACAATATGATTAACACAACAACGTTTATGAAAATTAAGATTATAGTGATTTCTGGAAAAAATGCTTTGTTTTTACAAAAAAAAAATTATTACTCCCCACTGCACCTGAAATGCAAGAAAAAATCATCAAAGCTGTTTATTTTTATTAATTAAATTGAAGGTTGAAATCGCTTTACTTTGCTCAGTTTGTAGAGGTGGAAGAAGGCTTTTTAATTAAATGTCCCAGAAGCAGAAAAAGCATTGAATTATCAGATAATCATAAAAACAGTCTCCAAAAAGAGATTGTACAGTTAATAGCCTAATCTTTTCGATGAAGAGAGCACTTAATTCTCAACCACCTTTCTGTAGTGATGACAACTAATAGAAAAGCAATTATTATGTTAGAATTATTCTTATGCCTGCAGAGCCTGACTGACCCTTCATGTTTCCATAGGGAATCCAATAGGGCTTGTGATGAACTGAGGTGGGGTATTGCATTAACTTTCTTTGAAGCTAATTGTGTTGCCGTCTTTACCAACACTAGTACAATAATTATCAGAACAAGCATTCTTTGTTATGAGCAATATGTATAAAATGTGGGCAATCAATAATAACTAGAAAATTGAGCTGGCAAAAGGAAATTATTATACATGAGTTGAAGTTGCACTCAATTGTATAATAAAAGATTCACCTACATGAAGACTTGTGTTAGCACAAAATTTTATATAAAAAATGTTTCAAAAAATCAGAAGATAATGTATAATCCTTGATTAATGTTAAAAATGCCACTTCACATATAACAATGTGAGCCTTCTATATGATGTTAAGGAGAAACTAGTTCTCCTTAACATCATATAGAATATTTCTTATAGAGTAACTGCTCCTAAAGATGTCCATCCTCTTAAGACAGAAAGTCAGGATCAAATGATCATATACATGGAGGAATAAAAAGCACCTTCTCTCTCTCTCCTCCCTCCTTCTCTTCCTCCCGTTTTTTTCTGCATTTTTTGGGTGTGTAAGTGGGGATAGGGCACTCCCTCTGAAGTTTGAAAATGAAGCTTCTATTTCCCAAGCCTATTCCAAATTTGAAATAATAGTTGGAATTATTATTATTAATTATTACATACAGCCTTAATAATTCCTTCTTTTAAGATTAGAACACTGTTGTTTCAAATTTTGCTATTAAAGTAATGACTATCTAAATTAGTTCAAATTACATACATTTAATAAATGCCTTATATGTGGCAAGCCACAGTGCTAGACACTATAAAGAATATAAAGAAGAAAGAATGTAGCTCTTGAGCATATGAGGCATAAAGTCAAAGAGCTGAATACACAATATAATTTTTAAAGGAAAAATATAATAAGTGTTGAGTGAACTAAACAATAAGTACTAAGCAGACATAAAAAGACTGAAGAAAACAAAAGAGAATATAACTTGGAGTTCCTGCTTGATAGAGAAATCCTTCATGACATGCACAAACTCATTTAGTTCTCAAAACTGCATTTTGAAGAAGGAATTATTTTCTCCATTTACAGATGAAGAAGTTGAGGCTCAAAAAGTTAATTAATTTGCTAAAGTTTTCACAGCTAATAACTGCTGGGTTTTATACTTAATCTCAAGTCAATTTATTTACAAATTTCATGTTATCTCTCTGTTTTATGGAAGTGAATACAGGGGAAGAAATGAGTCAAGAGTTCATTTTTTAAATTGATCAAAATGCAATAGGCAGAAATCCAAAACATAAAAGTGGGTAGAGAAATATGTTGAGTATGGACGTAGAGGCAGGAGACTGAAGAACATTAGAAAATGAGAGGTTCACCTGCTGACTAGTGGGCAAGTTGGCTGTTTCCAACTTTCAATTCCCTTCCCCATGAAAGGAACTGTGCGTACTTTAGATTAAATGTTATACCTTGAGTATACGCATATGCAACATTTGAGCACTGATAGTACCCTAGTGTGCCATTTTAAGCTGAAAGAGCAATAAATGTTTTGAACTTGTCTCGTAGGTGAAAAGGCACTCTGGAGAGGCTCTTAAAAATTCAACGTTCAGGACATACTTTTTTTTCTCCTCTGAAAGTGAACAAATTCTCAAAGGAGATAAACCAAAATAAATAAGTAAATAGGCGGTGGGGAAAATAGTAGAGCAGCTAGTCAGATGGTGTTAGGAGCTTGGCAGTTTAATAAATTCAATTTTCTGAGCATACACAATACAGAGTAGGAACAAATGGAGCAGGTCAAGGAGAGCAAATTTCAAGAGCTGTTATACAAAAGATATCAACACAGGAGTGTTTATTTTAATATTAATGGAGCTTAATTTCAAAGCCTCCTCATTTCTACTGTTTTCATCCAAGGCCCTGGAAGGGGCCTCAACAATGTGATCATACATCTTGCAAAATTTTCAATAGTATATTATTTAACCAAAATTATTAAAGATCACTGTTGTTTTCCTCTCCAATTTGCACTACCACATGACCACTCCTGTCAAGGCTGTGGACTACTCTCCATCATTGTTGGGATCATCTAGCTAGAGGGAGGTTTAATTGTAGATTTATTTATTTATTTATTTATTTATTTATTTATTTATTTATTTATATGGAGTCTCTTTCTGTCACCCAGCCTGGAGTGCAGTGGCGCAATCTCAGTTCACTATAACCTCTGCCTCCCAGGCTCAAGCAATTCTCCTGCCTGAGCCTCCCGAGTAGCTGGGATTACAGGCGCCCACCACAACACCTGGCTAATTTTGTGTGTGTGTGTATTGTTTGTGTGTGTGTGTGTGTGCGTGTGTGTGTGTGTATTTAGTAGAGAGGGGTTTCATCACGTTGGTCAGGCTGGTCTTGAACTCCTGACCTCAAGTGATCCGCCTGCCTCAGCCAGCCAAAGAGCTTCGATTACAGGCGTAAGCCAGGGTACCCAGCATTTTTTTTAAGGGGGATATAATGTCCGTGATTTTTAGTTACTTCTCTGTAGAATAATTGTTAAAGTATTTCTAGCCTTCTTGGTGTTGCAGTTACATCCAGAATATAAAACCACTTACTGTATCAAATTTTGTATTTATAGTTTTTTGTTTTTTTTGTTTAAAGAGGAACTCCCTCCACTCACCAATTTGTATAAGGTTCATGCCCCACAAAACCATGGGATAAAACATTTTTCATATGTCTGGAATGGAGAAGTTGACAAATGATTTGGAGACAGAGAACATATCCAAAGAAATCAATATGGTATAAAAGCTGATACAACATGACAGTATTAATAACTCTGGGTTGGGAATCAGGTTACCTAATTCCTAGTCTCCAAACTGTATGAATCTAGGTATTATAGTTTCAGCTATTTTGCCATCAGTTATATTATCTGTAAAAATGAAAAGGTTGATTCAACTTATGATTTCCATACACCAGTCCTTGAATTGTTACTCATTCGCACTAAAGTTTTTAAGGACAATTAGTTCATTCACATATGTCTACTATTGTGTTTGCGGCAGGGGCTCTTCGGCACTGGAGATACCAGAACTCTGCCTTCCTGAAGCCAAGAGACTAGTTCAGGAGTGGAGTGGGGGGAAGACATTAAACAAATAATCATAGAAGTGAATATAAATTCCATACTGCTTACATAGTTTACGTACTATGAAGATAAAATAGGAAGAGCCACAAGAGAGTATAATAAGTAACTTCTGGAGATCAGATAAATTCTTCTAAGAAAGTGTCATCTGAGTTGAGATTGAATGAGCAAGAGTTAAGTAATGAAAATGAGGGATGAAAGGGCAAGCCGGAGAGCCTTTCAGGCTGGAGGCAAAGAATGAACACTGTCCTGAAGTAGGAGGAAACACAGCTAATGGGAGCAGTAGTCTCCAAACTTTATTTTGATCATGTACAACAGTTTAAAAATTTGACCATACTATGAATACAGTACCTGTGTATTTATGTATTTTTTATTCATAAACAGTATACATGAGATGTCTCTGTAATCCAAATATCTGAGAACCATTGCTTTATGTGAAATTGTGGTCTCTAGTCTCTAAGATTCTGGGGTTCTATGCTTGCAGAAAAAGACTGAACTCCATTGTGGAAACAAACCTGTACATTTTTTTGTCATTTTGTTATTGTTTAAAGAGGAACTCCCTCCACTCACCAATTTGTATAATCTTCATGCCCCACAAAACCATGGGATAAAACATTTCCCATATGTCTGGAATGGAGAAGTTGATAAGTGATTTGGAGACAAAGAACATATCCAAATAAATCAATATGGTATAAAAGCTGATACTACATGACAGTAATACAGATACAACATGACAAAATAACAAAAATAACTTTCAAGATTTTTTAAAAGTGAAACATCACTTAAATGTTTCAGCATTTCCAAGTATTTATTATTCTAAAAGCTAGAAACCCTGGCAATTGAGCAAAAGCCAGATTTTATTTTTACATGTCTATTGTTGTATAGACAAATCCTAAATAAGTTTAGTAATGACGCTCTAAAATATATTTATAGATGTTATTCTCTGACACTATCCATGAAAACAAAATGTCAAATTTTCATGAAACTTCTTGTTTTTATGGTAGCTGATATTTATCAAATTGTCAACAAAAGCAGAAAAATTGTAATGCTTGATTGTTTTTTAATTCAATAAATCCATACATATAATACTTTTTAGAATAAATCCAGACACATTCTTCTGTCAGGCAGGAAGGATTTCATTTACACATAGCTAGAATCAGGTTTATGTTAGTAAGGCCTTATTATTTTTACCAAGTATCTATGACACGTACTTATCTAAAACCGTATTAGAGATAATTAGAAGTAAACTTCACTTGTCAGAAAAGGTGTTCAAGGAATAGTGTGTCCTGATGTTATTTTTTCTTTACAGGAACAAATATAGAAACTGATATGAATTGCCATTATTTTTTACAAGTGTTTACATTTATATTAAACTGTGCCTTTCCCAAAGCTTTTCACAGTCCCCATCAAAGATTTTTCACAAATTGTATCAGTTATGAAATATAAACCCTCAAATTTTAAGAAGATGCACAAATGTATAGTATAAAGAAATTTCAAAAGGATAAAAGTGTATATTATTTGAAGTGCAGTAATAAAAGCCATGTAGCTAAAATCCCAGAGTAAGCTGTAAGCCTTTCTAATGAATTGCATCCCAATTTGCATATTTTAAGAAAGGTTACAAAGTAGAAAAACATTTGTCTTTCATCTAGTTATAGACTCAGAAGACACAATATATTAACCTATGCTAATAAAATATTTAAAACATATTAAATGAAAATTTATTTAAAATATTTAGCATTTTAAAAGTAGTAATATAAGTAATATATAGTTTAATTGGTATAGCTCATTCATCAGAGCATACAATTGGAATTCTTAAAATCCATTATGTAAAAGCCCTTGAATTCTTTCCTTTTTCCAATGGAGAAATAAAAGCAATAAAATATAAGTACCAGTTTTGGGGAGAAATGAATTAATTTTGTTCTTTCCATCAGTAATGCAACTGAACTGGAATTTTCCAGACCATGCTATCCTCAGTGTTGGATGTTCCATCTCACAAGAAGATGAACTATTATTATACTCATTAGTGAACTCAGTAGTTCTCTTTTACACAAATCTCCCTTTTGAATGAAATGTTTCAACATGTTATAAATATATGGGTAATTAGGTGGATATGAATACATATATCTATGAAAAAATATTTAATAAGTAACTCTAAACTGCAACATATTTTAAGATATTACATTTTTAAAACTTTAGATCCACAATGGCAAACCACTGGGTTCTATTCGGTTGGTACTGGCACTAATGGGAGTTTATGGAAATTAAGGAACTGAAGTAACTTCTACCAATGGCAACAGACACTGAAACACTAAGTTTTTGTATGTGGTTTATAGTCTTAATATAAGACTGATCTTGCCTAGGATCATTGTATTTTTCAAACATTTTAAGGATACTCTTCACCTACTCCAAACAATACTAAAATGGTCTTTCATTTGGTCATATTGACCTTTAGCATTTCTGAGCTTAGTATTTCTGAAGCACAATTGAGCAAGTTATGCTGCTTGAGAAGTAGAAGATTGCTTAATGGTAAACTAAATCTTTCAAAACCAAGGATTTGAAAATTTTCAAATTTTACCTATAATTAGATTATATTTTCATTCTTGATGATTCGGGTATTTGAATCAATCAATGTTGATGCATGTAAATACATTTTATCACCAGTAACTGTTAATTAAGTTGGACACGCAGGCTGTATAATTTCTAATATAATCTTGGAATCAAATGAAAACACTGGGGTCTTCAGCACCAGTTATATGATGCCACTATGGTGCTGAAAATATCAAGGACCATTAAGTATTGCCTATAGGTTTTAAAATAAGTTATATTTTATTTGAAGGACATAAGAAGTGAATAAAGAAGCCTTGTAATAAAAATATTTGACTTCAAATAATTTGCAGGGGGAGAAAATTAAACAACCTGCTAATTCTTTGTTTCTTGTCTTGATCATATTTGCTCAGTTCAAGTCTGAGAACCAATTCATAAGAGAATGTAAGATTAAAGAAAATACATGATATGGTTTGACTCTGTGTCCCCACCCAAATCTCACCTCAAATTATAACCACCATAATCCCTGTGTATCAAGTTGGGATGAGGTGGAGGTAATTGGATCATGGGGGTGGTCTCCCCCGTGCTGTTCTCATGATAGTGAGTGAGTTCTCATGAGGTCTGATGGTTTTATAAGCATCTGGCATTTCCCCTGCTGGCACTCACTCTGTCCTGCTGCCCTGTGAAGAAGATGCCTGCTTATCCTTTGCCTTCTGCCATGATTGTAACTTTCCTAGGGCCTCCCCAGCAATGCAGAACTGTGAGTCAATTAAACCTCTTTCCTTTATAAGTTACCCAGTCTCGGGTATTCCTTCATAGCAGTGTGAGGACAGACTAACAACAAAAAAAAAACAACAACAAAAACACTTCCTCTAAGGAGGTGGAAAGCACTGAAAAATAAATTTAAATTATAAATTAAGTTGCAGTATCATATCTACTACCTTTATTCTCTGTGAGTCAGTACGCAAGAGAGAGCTTGAGAAGACTGAAGAGAAAGGGTAGTAGAAATGAGATTTTGAGCTAGATGGAATCCATTAGAACAGAATAAAATAATCACTGGATAGTAGAAAACATTCACAAGAGAATGAATGTATATATGAAAGGGAATAATATTTTTACATAAGCAAGCATACATAGTTCCTTCAGCAACCATCCACATAGTCCAAAAGGTAAAAATTTTTGCTTTTTTGATCAGCCACCTACTGTCACTTTTGTTCCATAGGGTCCAGGTTATTTGTTAAGAGAAGAGAAAACAAAAATTAAAAGACAATAAAAGAATGTGTTGATATTTGCAACAAATAGCCGATTAGAGGGGAAAGGGAGGGAAAAGAGAAACTGGAGAAAGATTAAGCTTCATGTATGAGGAAGCAGTGACCAATCATGTGAAAAATATAGAATACAGCATTAGGAAGGAAGGTTTATTGCTTTTGATTTTGTTTTTTAGTAAAAACCAACAACTCTGAAGGTAAAACTTTGTAAACTCAAAGCAGATAGAGAGAATGTGGAAGAAGGAATGCAACCAGGCTGAGAGTTGGTATTGCAGATAAAGAGAAAGTGATAGAGGGTTGTGGGAGTCTAAGGTGTCTTTGAGAATGTCATAGAGTCAGTAGAAAGACTGATATGGTTAGCAGCCTTCATTGGCATAGCTAAGACTTTGTTAAAGGAGGTCTGTGGGAAAGCACTTCCAACAGGTACAGGAAAATTGGGCATTTGTCAGGTAAAGATATTATCATTAATAAGTTTGTGAAAGTCATTCACTTTTCCCCAAATATCAGAGATTAAAATAGGTGTAAACCTCCAGTGCATGGCTGTGGAGGTCTTCTGAGTGTAGGACTTTAATGGGTCATTTTGGTTGATATGGAGATGCACCATTCAGATCCAACTGCAAAGAAGAACTTTTTCCTCCATCTGCTGCCAGTACTCAGTGGACAACCTTTACTTGTGAGCTTCTTCAGGGATTGTCTCAGTTGCAGAGAGCTGCTGCATCCAAGGTCATACAGTTCTAGGGGTGGCCTATCATGCAGTGACTAACTGAAACAAGATTTTAAAGGCCCAGCCATTTTAGCTCAAGAAAGGGTAACTCTGATGGGCCATTTTATTTTATTTTTTTTATTTTTTTTGGAGGGAAGTGGGATGTAATTTTATTTTATTTTATTTTATTTTTTTCTCTTTCTCTCTTTTTTTTTTTATTATACTTTAAGTTTTAGGGTACATGTGCACATTGTGCAGGTTAGTTACATATGTATACATGTGCCATGCTGGTGCGCTGCACCCACTAACTTGTCATCTAGCCTTAGGTATATCTCCCAATGCTATCCCTCCCCGCTCCCCCCACCCCACCACAGTCCCCAGAGTGTGATATTCCCCTTCATGTGTCCATGTGATCTCATTGTTCAATTCCCACTTATGAGTGAGAATATGCAGTGTTTGGTTTTTTGTTCTTGCGATAGTTTACTGAGAATGATGATTTCCAATTTCATCCATGTCCCTACAAAGGACATGAACTCATCATTTTTTATGGCTGCATAGTATTCCATGGTGTATATGTGCCACATTTTCTTAATCCAGTCTATCATTGTTGGACATTTGGGTTGGTTCCAAGTCTTTGCTATTGTGAATAATGCCGCAATAAACATACATGTGCATGTGTCTTTATAGCAGCATGATTTATAGTCATTTGGGTATATACCCAGTAATGGGATGGCTGGGTCAAATGGTATTTCTAGTTCTAGATCCCTGAGGAATCGCCACACTGACTTCCACAATGGTTGAACCAGTTTACAGTCCCACCAACAGTGTAAAAGTGTTCCTATTTCTCCACATCCTCTCCAGCACCTGTTGTTTCCTGACTTTTTAATGATTGCCATTCTAACTGGTGTGAGATGATATCTCATAGTGGTTTTGATTTGCTTTTCTCTGATGGCCAGTGATGATGAGCATTTTTTCATGTGTTTTTTGGCTGCATAAATGTTAGCTCAAGAGATCCCTCTAGGGTGGTTTGAGGCTGTTAGATCTGCATAACAGCTTGATTTATCCAAGCCCATTTGCCAGCCCTGCTTTCTTCCCCTCTCTCCTATGGGTGTTGACCAAATAGCTGCTCCCAAACACTAAAATTTGTGTCAGTGTCTGCTTCCCACAGAACCAACACTGTGAAATTCATCAATAATGACAGTAACCAATAGGAAAAATTTTTTAAATGCAGTTGAGTGGCAGATTGGGAGGAGAAAAGGGAAATAAGGTACATCTTTCAGTTCCAAGATTTCCAGAAATCATAATAATTTCTTTTTATGTCACATAAATTCCCACATATATCTTCACCTCCTTGTAAACAAATTTCCTTTTTTTTCAAGCTTTTGTTGTAACAAATCTGTTTATCTTCCTTGCCTCGCCACTTCTGTTTTGTGTTTTACATGCTAATCTCCAGTTCAAAGATTCCCTTAGTATTTTTTCCCTGTGTTCATCCTGTTCACTTACTTGTATTGAATAAAAAGACTCAGGAAAATAGATTAGCCATTTCTATCATGCAATGCATCCCCCTTTATCTGGAGAATTAAAACATTGTTGTTCCATATCAGTTTCTTATTTACATCTTTTGAAAAAGCAATTGAATGATTTCTGCACAAATTAGATGGGGATTTTAATATGGCACTTGGCATCATTTCAATTCATAAGAAATTAATTCCTTTACTGCAAACCTCAGAATTTGTCCCATGTTTGATCTTGTTCATTTATGTTGTAATAGACATATTTACTATGACCTTTTAAATTATAATGATAATAAAATAGTTACAGTTGAGTACTTACAATGTGGCAAGGTTTGTGCTAAGTGTTTCAATAGCATTACCTAAAATAATCCTTAAAATAACAACTTAAAGTAAACACTATTATTATTTTCTTCTTATGGGTAAAGAATCTAAGTCTAGGTAGGATACTTAACTTACTGCTATGGTTAGGCTTTGTGTCCCCACCCAAATCCCTATAATCCCCAAAATCGCCACGTGTCAAGGGAGAGAGCAAGTGGAGGTAACTGAATCATGAGGGTGGTTTCCCTCATGCTGTTCTTGTGATAGTGAGTGAGATCTCAGGAGATCTGATGGTTTTCTTTTCCCTTTGTTCAGCACTTCTCCTTCCTGCCACCCTGTGAAGAAGGTGCCTTGCTTCCCCTTCTCCTTCTGCCATGATTGTAAGTTTTCTGAGGCCTCCCCAGCCCTGCTGAACTGTTAGTCAATTAAATGTCTTTCTTTTACAGATTATCCAGTCTCAGGCAGTTATTTATAGCAGTATAAAAATGGACTAATACACTTACCCAAGAACGCAATATGTGTGACAGTTCTAGGGAGACAGCCCAGGTCTGCCTGATACAAACCCATAGATAAAGCTAGTAGACAACACTACAAGAAGTCACCAAATGGCCAGCTAAGATCTAAAATACGAAAGTCTAGGAAAAGTGAAAGAATAATGTCAAGGTATATACTTTTGTATAATTTGACATTCCTAATGACAGGGTCAAGCAAGCTAACAGAAGCATCTGTATTAAAGAGCAGTGGGACAGTAACAATTGACCAGTCTATATACAGTAACATATGCCTGCTAATTAACATACATAACTTACTCCTTAATTATACTTCTATTTTTGTTTATTAGAGATCATTGTCTCAGTAAGGAAGGAAATCATTGTCAAGACTAATGCTAGTAACCCTTGAAATAAGTTAATGTCATTTCTTGTTGAAAAATACTATTCATTTGAATTGAAATAAACATTTAAAACCATAGGAAGTTGATATGGTTTGGATTTCTGTCCCTGCCCAAATCTCATGTCAAACTGTAATCCCCATTGTTGGAGGAGGGGTCCGTGGGGAGGTGATTGGCTCATGGGGGCAAGTTTCCCCCTTGCTGTTCTCATAATAGTGAGTTCTCATGAGATCTGGTTTAAAAATATGTGCACCTCTCCCTTCACTCTTCCTCCTGCTCTAGCCCTGTAGGAAGTGCCTGCTTCCCCGCTGCCTTCTGTCATGATTGTAAGTTTCCTGAGGCCTCCCCAGCCATGTGGAACTGTGAGTCAATTAAAATTCTTTTCTTTATAAATTACCCAGTTTCAGGTATTTCTTTATAGCAGTGCAAGAACAAACTAATACAGAAGTATTAGAAGAAAATGAGCATCAATTAAACATTTATAACAACATCTAAATAAGTATCTAAGGTTACCATGATACCTTGAGAAGAATATGAAGAGTAAAAAATAATTATATCACTAATTCATTCAAAAACCTTTCACAGAGCATCCTCTGAATATAAAATATTTTATAAATTATTTTATTTAATCCTCATAACAATACTTTAAGGTAGATATTACTACCTCCTTATAAATACAGAAACAAAGCCTTAAAGACTTTAAGCAATGTGCCTGTGGTCATACAGCGAGGAAATAGCAGATCTGGCCTTACACTGAGGCTTGTCTGGCTCCAGAGCCTGTGTTGTATGAGTGTTTCCTAGTAAGGTAAATTCACATGAAGTCTAGTGAGAGCAGGTAAAACAATCCCTAAGCAATCTGCATACACCATTCCTCCTCTTCCTCCCAAGGACAATCTATGGGGAAACTCTCATGGGCAGAATGTCACACTGTAGGGCAGAATGTCACACTGTATGGCAGAATATCAGCTTAAAAGGTCAATAAACTTCACAGTAAAGCATTCTACTCATCCATGGAAAATAAATTGCTATTTCTGCTTAGTAAACAAAAGAAAGCTAATTTATGATGTTTACATTTTGGGTAAATTTTCTCAGAACCTAAAAGTTAATAATATATAAATCATAGCAGTCTGACCAGTTATCATGTTTTCTAAAAAGGTTTTTTAAATGATGTTAACAAGAAATGAGAGCTTTAAGCACTAAGGGAAACCAAATAAATATGAATCAAATGAAGGAAATACAAAGAAGTCAAACTAAGGTGATGAGGACACAAATGAGTTATGCTATGAGGAGAATATCTAAGAATAAAGGGTGCTGCCGTAAAAACCCAAGGAATGAGCCAGTCTGCAAAGGCTAGAAGCAATCAATAATTAGCATGATGTAAGAAAGACTGACTAGGAGAAAACTGAGAAGGAACCCTTAGAATGGATTCTCAGGAAAGATTGCTCTGACTATTAAACTGTGAGTTTTTAGAACAATCTATTTACCACAGGAAGCTGTGAAACTGCCATCATTTAGGACAAACAGGCATTAGACTCTTAGAACCACTAAAAGCAAGTGCTAGCAGATACATTAGTGGGAAATGAAAAAAGTCACCTTCCTATTGCTTACTCCTTTCTATACAACTTACAAAGTCTTCTTTGTCCTTGGCTGAAAGTTCATGTTTGTTAAAAGATGCATATTTTTACCTAGTTGACTGATTTATACTCCTTTTGAACTCCAGAGTTTCTGCAGGACTTGCTTAACTCTCTCTAAATGTCATGAAGTGTCACAGGTGTTGAGCTTGTGATTGTGACAGAGACTTTTTTTGAAAACATACTCTCATTATGGAAAAATCAGAATATACAGACAAATAATTCAATATTACCAATATCATAACCACCCAAGGATAAATATAGTAACATTTCAGTGAACAAACTTTCAAATATTTCACACTTGTGTGTGTGTTAACATAGATTTGTGTTTATGAAGATTATCATTATACTGTATAGACTCTTCCATAATTTGCTTAAATTAACACATGAAAATTATCACCCACATAATTAAATTGTTTTCTAAGTATTTTTTTAAATTTTATTATATTTTAAGTTCCAGGGTACATGTGTAAGACATGCAGGTTTTTTACATAGGTAAATGTGCGCCATGGTGGTTTGCTGCACCTATCAACCCATGACCTAGATATTAAGCCCAGCATGCATTAGCTATTTTTCTTGATGCTCTTCCCCACTCCGCCCTCCCCCAACAGTCTTCAGTGTGTGTTGTTCCCCTCCCTATATCCATATATTCTCATTGTTCAGCTGCCACTTATAAGTGGGATTATGTGGTGTTTGGCTTTCTGTTTCTGTGTTAGATTCCTGAGGATAATGGCTTCCAGCTCCATCCATGTCCCTGTAAAAGACATGATCTCATTCCTTTTTGTGGCTGCATAGTATTCCATGGTGTTGTATGTACCACATTTTCTTTATCCTGTCTATTATTGGTGGGCATTTGGGTTGATTCCATGTCTTTGCTATTGTAAATAGTGCTGCAACAAACATACACATGCATGTATCTTTATAATAGAATCATTTATATTGCTTTGGGTGTATACCCAGTAATGGGATTGCTAAGTCAAATGGTATTTGCTGTTCTAAATCTTTGAGGGATTGCCTCACTGTCTTCTACAATGGTTGAACTAATTTACATTCCCACCAACAGTGTAAAAGTGTTCTTATTTCTCTGCAACCTTGGCAGCATCTGTTTTTCTTGAGTTTTTAATAATCGCCATTCTGACTGGTGTGATATGGTATCTCATTGTGGTTTTGATTTGCATTTCCGTAACGATCAGTGAGGTTGAGCTTTGTTTATATGTTTGTTGACTGCATGTATGTCTTCTTTTATCTGTTCATGTCCTTTGTCCACTTTTTAATGGGGTTTTTTTTTCTTGTAAATTTCTTTAAGTTCCTTGTAGATTCTGGATATTAAACCTTTGTCAGATGGAGAGATTGCAAAAGTTTTCTCCCATTCTGTAGTTTGTCTGTTCACTCTGATGATAGTTTCTTTTGCTGCACAGAAGCTCTTTAGTTTAATTAGATCCCATTTGTCAATGTTTGCATTTGTTGCAATTGCTTTTTGCAATTTCATGATAAAATCTTCCATGCCTATGTCCCCAGTGGTTTGCTAGGTTTTTTTCTAGGGTTTTCATAGTTTTGGATTTTACATTTAAGTCTTTAATCTGCATACACAGTATTGATATATAACTATAAATTATCTATTGCTGGACACTAGACAGTTTCTAATTTCTTACTATTGTATATAATGCCGCAATGTCTACTTTTGTACCTAAGTTTTTGTCATAGCTTTAATCACTTCTTTAAGAGAAATTCTGGAATTGTTGGGTCAGTTTGCATATTTAACTAATTATTTAAGAAACCTGAGAATAGAATGTACCTTTCTCCTGAAAGTAGTACATTGTAGGGTCTGGAGTCAAGAACCATGGGCTGATTCTATGTGGCTCACTTTCCTATCTGTAATATGGAATTTATAAAATTACTTCATACAATCATGGTGATTATTTAATACATGAAAATATGTAAAATACTTAGAATAGTACCTATCAGAGATGAAACTCTCACAAATGTTTGTTTTATTCTTCTTGTTATTATTATTATTACCATGATTATTTCCAAATAACATTATCATCAAAAGTCATTTACCTTCAACCTAGATGACAATATTATCACAAAAATAGTTATTACTATTAAATTTGAAATTTAATAGAAGGGTGAAGTGGATCGTGCCTGTAATCCCAGCACCCTGGGAGAATAAGTCAGGTAGATTGCTTCAGTCCAGGAGTTTGAAACCAGCCTGGGCAACCTGGCAAAACCCTGTCTCTACTAAAAATAAGAAAATCTGTCAGGCATCGTGGCATGTGCCTATAGTTCCAGCTATTCAGGAGTCTGAGGTGAGGGGATTACCTGATCCTGGGAGATTGTGGTTACAGTGAGCTGTGATCGCACCACTGCACTTCAGCCTGTGTGAGAGAGTGTCTTTAGGTACTGTTTTTTTGAGACAAGGTTTCAAAAAAAGTTATTGCTATTTTAATTTTTATTTCTTTGATTAATAGTAAGGTAGGATGTTTCTAATACGTTCATTGGCCATTTTTTTCTTTTTCTTTTTTTTTTTTTTTTTTTTGAGACAGAGTCTCGCTCTGTTGACAGGCTGAAGTGCAATGGCTCGATCTCAGCTCACTGCAACCTCTGCCTCCCAGGTTCAAGCGATTCTCCTGCCTCAGCCTCCCCAGTAACTGGGACTACAGGTGTGTGCCACCATGCCCAGCTAATTTTTGTATTTTTAATAGAGACAGGGTTTCACCATGTTGGCCAGGATGGTCTCCATCTCTTGACGTTGTGATCCACCCAGCTTGGCCTCCCAAAGTGCTGGGATTACAGGCATCAGCCACCACACCCAGCCTCATTGGCTATTTTTATGTTTCCTCTGTGCCTTGTCTGGTCATAGTCCCTGTGGTTTACTTTGCTGCTGTAGTTTTTTTTCTCTTTGCCTACTGATCTGTAATGAGGCTACTTCTTTCCTGTCTAATAGGACAACCTTTTGCATAATTTCAAGCCAATGTCTATAGCTTTAAATAATTTCTAAAATAAAAATACTCATACATTTCCTCTTGCATTTTCCCACTGAGTGCTATTCTCAGAGACAAAGTGTTTATACACTAGGACACTTTTTACAATTTTATATACCATTCCCCAAATGTGTTTTTCCATCTCTTTAATTTTCATTTGAATTCTAATACCTTTCAGCTCTTTGGCTTAGTGAGTTCTTTTTAATAGCTTATATTGCTACGACCTAAGTTCAAAATGGTGACTTTTTTTGGCCTCTAGCCAAAAAAAGAAAGAAAGTTCATCTATATAAAAAAAGCTTCATATTATTGACACTACTCTTGAAGTCTTTACTCCCTTGGGCTAAATAGGCCAAATGCTTTGCTTTTTTCCTCATTACACTAACTTCCCAAATCTTTAATGACTCATAATACAGCATATAATTTAAGGACATAATCTTTAAAATCAGATATGTACTCAAATTCTAGCTCTACTCAATGAATTTGTGCAAGTCACTTAATATCTCTGGGCATCATTTTTTCTTACACATAAAATGGAAATAATAATATATATCTCAAAGGAGCAGTAGGAAGGTTACATGAGATAGAGTGTGTGGCAGTTTGGATGCTTAATAAATGAGTAATAATTTTACTTTTAATCATTATCATTGTTCTTCAATGAACATTTATATAGTTATATAGTTATATGATTATATAGTTATCAGGTATCTAACAGAAAGCTTGGAGCCATCCTTAGATTCTTCTTCTTTAGCATTCCCTCCCCTCACATCTAATTTGTCATCAAGTCCTATCAAGTTAACACCTAAATATGCTTCACATGCATCCACTCAGCTCCATCCCTAATGCCAATACACTCACCCAGATCCTCATCATGACTTCTTTGACTTGTTAGACGGATTAGCACTTTCAAAGTCCATTTTCGAAAAAGGGTGTGAGACTCTGTCCACTTCCCCCCACCTCCTCAGAACAAAGTCATGGATTCCATTATCTTCCTCCAGTTTTGTTCCTTCTCCAGCCTCAGTTCTACCAGGTGTCAGGACTCCTTGGGGGCCCGATGGAGCAGCCCTCAGCCTGTGAGTGAGGCCACAGAAACTTTGCCCCACTGCTTCTTACCTCACAGGGGTGGTTTTCAGGGATTCTTTGGGACAGAAAAAAAAAAAAGTCAATTTTCGAGAACTGCTGTCCAAAGGCTATTTCTAAGTCATAAATGTTAAGTATGGCACTGGTAAACTACAACGCTTTCCACAGTTGCTCATTTCTTAAAAGAAAAGTCACAATTATTGAGCATGAAAGTCAAGGTCTTTAAAAACGTACACTCACTCTATCCCTGCAGCCTCATTCTTGTCCTACTTTCCTGCATCAATCGCCCTTTTGAAATATTTTGTACTAGAATCACAAACATTTTTGCCATTTCCAGAATATTCTGTGGGCCTTTGCTCAAAAGAATATTAGGACCTTTGCTCAAAATATTCTGCCTAAAATACCATTTAGTCATTGATTCATTCAAAATTTATGGAAGAAAAACTGACACCTACTAAGCTTTCAATAAATTCCAAGTACATTTAAAAGTTAAATAATCCCGTGAAGTAAACATTTTTCATACTATTTTACAATGGAGAAAATTATGTATTTTGCCCAAGTTCATGCATGTAAACTACAGAGCTGGGATTTTATTTCTTTCCAATACTTCAAAATATTTATTGGATTCCTACTGTCTTTACTATATTGGAATATTATGGACATAAAGATGAATTAAAAGCAGATTTTTATACAAAAAAATCAGTCTTGTAGGACAGCAGCTCAGAAATCCCTTATTCATGAAGACATTCATGTTTTCATAAGGACTGTTAGGGGCATAGTCACATTCTGCAGATTAGCTAATAAACCATGGCTGCTCCATTTCCTGACGTGGTTTCTCTCTTCACACTTCCCTGCCTGGTGTGGTACTTTCAGAATCTTTAAGAAACTTCTCAATTTAAATAGAAAAGTAGCGTCCTTACTGCTTTAAGCAGCTTAAGAAAAGACTTCAGAAAAAAATTAGGGGGTTGAAATTCATGGCCAAAATAGGACACATATATATAGTCAGTATCACTGAGAATTAATTGAAAGGCCATTATTTTCTGTTCTATGCTTGAGAAATCTAATATAGATAAAAGGCAGACTATGTAAATAGGAGAAAGAACAGAAATGGAATTCAAGCACTTGAATTCTTAGTCTGTTGTTTTTCCATCAAACTTTATTGTGTCCCTAGTCATAAAATTATAAAACTAATTACAGTGGTAGATAGATAGATGATAGATAGATAGATAGATAGATAGATAGATAGATAGATAGATAGATGATAGTTAAAGACAGATGCTTTTGTATTTTTTATAATTAAAAAACCTAAAGCACTAAAAAAAAAACTATCCCATACCCTTGCATAAACATGACTCCAATTTAGGTGAATGTTTCTACTTATACTTTTGAAATGTAAAACTCTAGGGCGCTGAGATTTCCAAGGGGTCCTGAGCCAACTTTTGCAAGCCACTAGTGTAGCAGAGGGAATACTAGATTGAAAAACAGAATAACTAATTTTAACTAGCTATCTGACAGGTGAAAGTCATTTCAACTTTTTTATTAGTTTTCTCATCTTAAAAATTAATAGTAATAACGTGCATCTTGAAAAATTGGCAGAATAAAATAGAGCATATCAAAAAAATTATAAAAAATGAAACACCATCAAAGTTTCTGATATCATTTTTATGAAACTAAAAATTAGAAGATAATTTAGATTAGAACTAGAAAGGGCTGTAACACTACAATCTCAGTCTTCAATTTAGGACACTGAAGTTCAGAATAGCTAAATGATTTCCCTAATGTCATACAGTCATTGCTTAAAATGTTACATAAGTGTATGTTCTATTTAGTTATAAACACTGCCATTTATTTAAACAACCATTCTTATTAATATCTGTACTTTAATAAAGAAAAGTATGAGTGATACGGACAGGAAGTAGGTACAGTTATATTCAAATATCAGTATACATTTTTAAAAATGCATTGAATTAACTGTGTCTGTATTATCTACATATCGAGAATCCCTAACTTTAAAAAGAATGAATTGATCAGACTTAGAGAATGTGTTAGTCCATTCTTGCAGTGCTATAAATAAATGCTTTAGGCTGGGTAATTTATAAAGAAAAGATGATTAATTGGCTCACAGTTATGCAGGCTGTACAATAATGCTCCAGCAACTGTTCCTGGTGCAGGCCTCAGGAAGCTTTCAATAACGGAGGAAGATGAAGAGGTAGTAGTTGCGTCATATGGTTAGATTGGTAGCAAGAGAGAGAACAGGGATATCCCACTCTCTGTTAAATAAACAGATTTAACATGAACTAACTGAGTGAGAGAGAACTCACCTATCACCAAGGGGATGGTGTTAAGTCATGGGGCATCTGGTCCATAAAACAACCACCTTCCAATAGGCCCCACTTCCAACACTAAGAATAACATTTCAGCAGGAGATTTGGAGGGGACACACATCCAAATCATGTTGGAGGAGTAAATGTGTTTGTAGAGATAGAGACATAGATTTAGATATCTAGATCAAAATACATAACTAGATTTATTGGTTTCATGTACCAAGAAAGTGAAGCATAGAATAAGTAATTTTTCTAGGATGAATCACACAGATAATATATATCAGGGACATGACTAGAGACTGGGTTTTTCTAACTCGAAACTCTTTCTTTTAATCCTTAAAATAAATAGTACTATATACTGATCAATATTCTAGGTTAGTCTCTGTATAATAGTAACTAATCATGGTTAATTAACAAGGAGTTCCAATTCTATTGGAACTTAAGTAGGAGAATTATTTAGAAGTTGAGAAAAGATGCTGCAATTTCAGTTAGTTTTAAGGATAAGTAGGATGGAAAGGTGCGCAAAGAATACAAGAACACTCAAGAGAAAATTTCAGTGGCAATGTCATGATGAATGAGAGGCCAAGACATTTCTAGAGGTTAAAACATTCCAATGTGCTAACTTTGAATTTAGTGAAACTTTACCTATTAAATATTCTTCATCTACTTCCTTGAGGTGTAAAGTTAGTTTGTTTATTTGAAATCTTTCATTTTCTTTCATGTAGGCATTTATAGCGATAAACTTCCCTATTAGTACCACTGTGCTCTATCCCATAAGCTTTGGTAAACTGTATCACATTTTTATTTGTCTGAAGATTTTTTTTAATTTCCATTTTAATTTCTTCTTTGGCCCCTTGTTTGTTCAGGAGTGTGCTGTTTAGTTTTTACATATTTGTGAATTTTCCAATTTTCTTTTTCTAAATGATTTCTAGTTTTATATCATTGCAATCAGAAAAGATACTTAATGTGATTTCAATGTTCTTCAATTTATCAAGAATTGTTTTGTGGCTTAAGATTATCTAACTTAAAGAATGTTCATGTGCACTTGAGAAGTGTATATATTCTGCTGCTGTCGGGTGGGATGTTTTGTATATATGTGTTAAATCCATTTGGTTTATAATGTTCAAATCCACTGCTTATTTATTTTCTTTCTGGATTTTCTATTTATTATTAAAACTGGGGGTTTTGAGGTCTCCTATTATCATTTATGGGAGTTCATATCTCCTTTCAGTTCTTTTATTGTTTGCTTTATATGTTTAGGTGCTCTGATGTTTGCTGCATATATATTTACCATTTTAATATCTTCTTGATGAACTGACTCCTTTATCACTATATAATGGCCTTCTTCATCTCTTGTGACTAATTTTTGTTTGCTTGTTTGTTTTGAAACAGAATCTTATTCCATCACCCAGGCTGGAGTGCAGTGGCACAATCTCGACTCCCTGCAACCTTTGCCTCCTGGGTTCAAGCGATTCTCATGCCTCAGACTCCCAAGTAGCTGGGATTTACAGGCATGTGCTAGCATGCCCAGCTAATTTTTGTATTTTCAGAAGAGACAGGGTCTCACCATGTTGGCCAGTCTGATCTCAAACCCCTGATCTCAAGTGATCTACCTGCCTTGACCTCCCAAAATGTGGAGATTACAGGCATGAGTCTTGTCACTAATTTTCACTTAAAATATATTTTCTCTGATATAAATATAGCTACTCCTGGTCTCTTTTGGTTACCATTTGCATTAATTTCTTTATGCTTTTTACTTTCAGCTTATGTGTGTCCATAAAACTAAAGTGAGTCTCTTGTAAGCAGCAAATCACTATATTTTAAAAATTTATTCAGTCACTCTATGTCTTTTAATTGGGGAATTTAATCCACTTATTTAAAGTTATTCATAAGTAAGAACTTGCTATAGCTATTTTATTAATTGATTTCTGACTCGTGTAGTTTCTTTTTTCTTATATTCTTCTCTTGCAGGCTTTCTTTGTAGTTAGATGACTTTGTGCAGTGGTATACTTTGATTTATTTCTCTTAATCTTTTGAGAATCTGCTACAGGTTTTTCCTTTGTGTTTACCATAAGGCTTACATGAAATATATCTCATAGCATTCTAATTTAAGCTTATAACAACTTAACTTTCATTGCATATAAAAACTCAATAATTTTACTTTCCCCCTTTCTCATATTTTATCAATTTTAAAAATTATATCTTTTTATATTGTGTATCTAATAACAAATAATTATCTTAATACATTTATATTTTAACTTTTATAGAGTTGAAAATGATTTACGCATCAATATTACATTATTAGAGGATTCTGACTTGACTATATTTTTATTTTTACTAGTGAGTTTTGTATGGTCATATGTTTTTATGTTGTTAATTAGCATTGTCTCATTTCAGGTTGAAAAACAATCTCTTTAGAATTTCCCATAAGGTTTAATATTTAGAATACCATAGTGGTGATGAACTTCCTCAAATTTTTTTTGTTTTTTAAAGTCTTCGTTTGTCCTTCATTACTAAGGAGAGTTTTGTTAGGTATAGTGTGCTCAGTTGGCAGTTTTATTATTTCAATATCCTGAATATATAATCTCACTCTCTACTAGCAAAGTTAGCAGAAGAAAGAATATAATAAAGATTAAAGTAGAAATAAATGAAATAGAGAATAGAAAAAAATCAACAAAGCTCAAAGCTGATTTTATGAAAGATAACCTGGGAAATGCCATTCTAGACATAGGACCTGGCAAAGACTTCATAATGAAGATGCCTAGAGCAATTGAAAAAAAATAAAAATTGACAAATGGGACCTAATTACACTAAAGAGCTTACCTACAGAATCTACAGAATGGGAGAAAATATTTGAAAACTATGAATTCAATAAAGTTTCGATATTTAGAATCTACAAGGAACTTAAACAAATTTGTGAGAAAAAAAAACCCCATTAAAAAGTGGGCAAATGACATAAACGAAAGCTCCTCAAAAGAAGACATGCAGGCAGCCAACGAGCATATGAAAAAATGCTCAACATTACTAATTAGAGAAATACGAATTAAAACTACAATGAGGTGCCATCTCACACCAGTCACAATGACTATTATTAAAAAGTCAAAAAATAAGAGATGCTTTTGAGGCTGTGGAGAAAAGAAAACACTTATACACTGCTGGTGGGAGTGTAAATTAGTTCAGCTATTGTGGAAGGCAGTTTGGCTGTTCCTCAAAGAACTTAAAACAGAATTACCATTCGACCTAGCAATCCCATTGTTGGGTATACACCCAAAGGAATGTAAATCATTCTACCGTACAGACATATGCTCTCATATATTCATCACGCCACCATTCACAATAGCAAATACATAGAATCAACCTAAATACCCATCAACAGTTGCCTGGATAAAGAAAATGTGGTACATATATGCCATGGAATACTATGCAGCCTCACAAAAGAATGAGATTTTGTCCTTTGCTGCAACATGGATGGAGGCATTATCCTAAACAAACCAACACAGGAACAGAAAACCAAATACCACATGTTCTCACTTATAAGTGGGAGCTAAACAAAACAACAGACACTGGGGCCTACTTGACAGTAAAGTCTGGGAGAAGAGTGAGGATCAAAAAACTACTATGCCTTTATTCACAATAGCAAAGACTTGGAACCAACCCAAATGTCCAACAATGATAGACTGGATTAAGAAAATGTGGCACATATACACCATGGAATACTATGCAGCCATAAAAAATGATGAGTTCATGTCCTTTCTAGGGACATGGATGAAATTGGGAATCATCATTCTCAGTAAACTATCGCAAGAACAAAAAACCAAACACCACATATTCTCACTCATAGGTGGAAATTGAACAATGAGAACACGTGGACACAGGAAGGGGAACATCACACTCTGGGGACTGTTGTGGGGTGGGGGGAGGGGGGAGGGATAGCATTGGGAGATATACCTAATGCTAGATGACAAGTTAGTGGGTGCAGCACACCAGCATGGCACATGTATACATATGTAACTAACCTGCACATTGTGCACATGTACCCTAAAACTTAAAGTATAACAATAATAAAAAAAACTACTATGCTTATTTCCTAGGTGACAAAATAATCTGTACACCAAATCTCCACAACACACAATATACGTATATAACAAACCTACACATGCATCCCTCAAGCAAAAACAAAAGTTAAAAAAAAATTTAAAAATAAATGCAAAAAAGACAAACAAAATTTGTAAGCCTTTAGATAAACTAACCAAGGAAAAGAGAGAGAATGCACATAAATAAAATTGTGAATGAAATAAGATCCATCGTCACTAATACCACAGAAATGCAAGGGACTGTAAGGGATTACTATGAACAAATTATAAACCAAAAAACTGAATAACCCAGAAGAAATATACATCCCTAGAAACATACAACTTACAAAGATTGAATCATGAAGAAATAAAAAATCTAAATAGACAAACACCAAGTAAGGATTGAATCAATAATAAATTTAACCAAGAAGATGGTTGCCAGGAACTAGGGTGTTGGAGGAGATAGGGGATACATTGATCAAAGGGAACAGGTGTAAGTTACAAGATGAGTAAGATTTGGGGCTCTGACATATAGCATGGTGACTATAGTTAATAACATATTGTATACTTAAAATTTGCTAAGAGAGTAGATATTCAGTATTCTCACTACACACACACACACACAGACACACACCCCCCCACACACACACGATAACTAGGTGAAGTGATGGATGTGTTAACTAACTTGGTGGTAATAATTTCACAATATAGATGTGGTGTATCAAATTAAAAAAACAGTCTAGTGGGTACAGTGGAGACTAGAAGCATAGGGGAATAAAAGATCTAGGAGGAGAGGAACTGTGTGTGTTTTGTTCAACCAAATATTACTAGTGACTAACAGAATGACAACAAAACTGATAGATAAATGAATGAAGTGGAGAGGAGGAAAGGTAGAGCTTCATTAAGAAAGATCCTGAATTCCACGCTAAAGATTTCAGAAATAACCTTTGTATTTTGATGATCAATTTGAAGCTTTTAAGGAGATCTGTGACAAGGTCAGGCTTGTATTTCAAATAAATCATCTGGTGACAGAGAATAAAATTGAGAGAATTAGATATAGAGACAGCAAATCAAAAACATGTCTGCAATCAATTAGAAAGAGAGAGGGAATGACAACATGCTATACACTTGGTGATGTGTTTAACCAATTTTCAGAAAGAAATTTTTGAGAAAGGCAAGAAAAATACTGGTTCTATTGAATTAGAAGTGCCCACAATATCACAATACATTTTGATAGCACATTCTACAAAATGCATACCTGTAAGTTAAAGTAATCTGTTACTTATGTAAGCACCTAGAGAAAATGCACAGAGCTAGCAGAGAAGAAGTAAAAGGCAGAAATACAGGAAAAATAGAATTCAATAGGAATATAGAGGGAAAAGATTATAGATAATAAAGGAAAGTGAGATAGAATGATCAAAGAGGAAACGGGAATAGAAGACAGTTATATCCTGGAAACTAAGTTTTCAGAAAAAGGAAGTAGTCAACAGTGTTAGGCCCTTCAGAGAGACTGAAAAAGAGGAACACTGATAAGGAGTCACTTGATTTAGCAATTAACATACTGTTCTAAATTTTGAGAAGCCAGTTGCATATGAGTGGTGAGAGTGGAAACCAGATATTAATATTCTAAAATTGAGCATGAGATATGGGAAAAGAGTTAGTAGAGAATAGATTTTTCTTCCCAAAATGTTAGCAGAAGACAAATGAAGAAAAGCAGTAACCATATTAATTAACTACATAATAAATTATTTTATTTAAAATTGATATGGAATATATTATTATGACCATCTAGGTATCACATTATTCACTGTAATACCTAGGTATTATAGATACAAAGATGATTCTGACACAGACTCAGTTCTCAAAAAGGCTTGCAAATAATTAGCACAGGGTTTGGTGTTGATGGGTGGCATTGGGGAGGAGCACCAGTCAAATGGGAGAGAGAGAAAGAAGGAGGAAAGGAAATATTTTTTGTAATTATATCTAAGAGTCTTAAAGGATAAGCAAAATTTTGCCGGTATGTCTTAGTTTGAGATCCACCAAAATAAGAGCCTGAGACTAAAACTTGTGTGCAGGTACTTTGGGGATTGATCCTAAGCATTAAGAGTAAGGGATAAGGATAACAAAACAGGGAGAGAAAAAAAGCCACTATAAATACATATTATCAGGTTCATTACCAAGGTGAGTGGTGCTTTATCATGTAGAATCTTCTGAGGATCCTTTTAAAATATTATCAAAACCATCCACACAGAAGAAGAAATGATGTTGTAAGAATACTCACTCTGAATCAAGATATGGTGAGACAAGAGACTGGTGAAGTAGTTTGAGCTTTAAATGCCATGTAAAGATATTTGGAATTTATTCTATAATCAATGGGGAATAAATGAATGATTTAAAATAGTGTAATTCTTGCAAATGGTTCAAGAATCAGGATGAAAGATAATGTTTTAAAGCAATAAATGAAAGGGGAGTGTTAAATCAAGTTTAGCCTAATGATGCCTCCTTACATGTTTTAAGTTTGGCCTAAAGGTTTCTCTGTACATTGTGAATTATAACAAGTGGAGATGTAAACAGACTGTACCCTACAGTTGTGCAACTAACCGAGTTTTGGCCAATCAAATGTAGCCAACTGTTTGAACCATATTCAAATAAGGCAAACACCAAGCTGTAACCCATCCAGCTGTTTCTGTACCTCACTTCCGTTTTCTGTGCATCACTTTCTTTTTTCTGTCAATAAATCTTCCATCACATAGCTGTGCTGGAGTTTCAGACCATACTCTGGCTCAGGAGGCTGCCCGATTCACGAATCAGTCATTGCTAAATTAAATTCCTTTAAATTTAATTTGCCTAAAGTTTTTATTTTATCAGAAGGAAGAAAATAACTATTTGAAAGGTGAGATTTCTGCTTCAGGAAATGTTGTATTAGGTCAGTGGCTCTGAAATGGGAACAATTTTGCCTCCTAAGGGATATTTGGCAATTACTATACACATTTTGGTCACAACTGGGAAGGGGAGGGTGCTACTGAAACTACTGGGTAGAGAACAAGGATGCTGCTATATATTCAATGTACAGAACAGCCTACCACAACAAATAATTATCAAGCTCTCAAAGTTAATAGTACCAAGGTGGAAAGCCACAGCTTGGGTGTTTTGGCCCAGTTAAAGGATATGCACATACACATACAGACACATACATATACACATATACATACACATACACATACACATACACATACACATACACATACACATACACATACATAAAGCTTGAAGGCATTGGAGAAATAAAAAGTAGTAAAGAATTATCAAGATCAAGCACAGAAGAAAACTTAGGCTAAGGATTTTTATTGTGATGGTGTTGAAATAAACTTGTTGAGAACACACGTCTTAACAAGAGTTAGTTTTTCAACCCATGAAATGTATTCTAAATGTATTTATGCTTTCTGTGAACTTCCTCAGCAGTGACTTGTAGTTTTCAGTGAAGAGATCCTTTTGTTATTTAAAAATATATATTCCTGAGTATTTTTAGTTTTATGATGCTCTTACAAATGATTTTTAAAGTTCATCTTCCAAATGTTGTTAGTAGTATGCAAATAAAATTGACTTTGTATTGACTTTACTAAATTCACTTATTAATTCTAGAATTACAAACCTTTACATCTAATTTCTCCAGTGGATTTTAAAAATAATCTTATTTTTGGACAATTGAAGGCATCCTATTCAACCCTATAATTATTATTCACTCTGACTGACTATTTATTTTCAGACATTTTTAAAGGAAAAAAACCTTCGTTCAAATGAAATTTCGACTGGTAACCCAAAACAGGAATCTGATAAATGCACACACACACACACACACACACATATACACACACACATATATATATCTACACACACACATATGTACATATTATATACACACACACCCTGACATTAGAGATGAGGTCTCACTATGTTGCCCAAGTTGGTCTCAAACTCCTAGACTCAAGTGATAATCCTGTCTTGGCTTCCTAAAGTTCTGGGATTACAGGTGTGAGCCACTGCACCCAGCCTGGGTGACTTTGAATATAGGTAAAACTTGGAGTAGTAATCAAAGATAGTTGATAATTCCAGGAATACAAATGTCATATTAAAGTCATGAAAGGAGAAAAAAATAAGGAGGGAACACACAAACACAAAACTTCTATCCCTAGAAAGATAGAAGTAGTAGAAGTTTTCTGAATTAATTTGTAAAATTTTAATCCTTGTTCAAATTTATACTATGACGTGACCTTAGCCAAATACCTGAAACTCCCAACCCTAAATTGGTTTATTTGTAAAATGAGCTTCTTTGAGGTTATGTAAGTAAAACACTTACTATTCTGTCTGGCAGTCAGTAACAACTTAATTAAGGGTTTCTTAAAAAAGAAATTTTTTTTCCTTTAATTCAGCATTATTCTACACTAGGTTACTTCACCACAACTTTAGATGTTAATGGTGACCTTGTGTACATTGGATTTTTACAAATTATGGCGTAATAGCAAAAGCATTCATGCCATATAAAAAATCAATTTCAGGTAGATTAAAAACCAAAATGTGAAAGGCAAAACCATAAAGCTTTTTGAAGATTATATGGAAGAATATATTAATGTCCTTTATAGGAAAGGATTTCTTAAACAAAACGAAAAAAAGCAGTAACCATGAAGAAAAAGATTAATAAATTCAACGCTGTTAAAATTATAGCCATAATTTTTTCTTCTTCAAAAGACACCATTTAAAAAGAAAAGTAAAAAGCCATAGAACAGAAGAAGCAATTTGCAACACGTACAGCTGATGAAGAACTTTTATCCAGATTTTGTATGAAGAAAACTTTGAAAAATCAGACATCCCAATAAAAAAATGTTTAAAAGACTTAAAACAGGCTTTTAAGGCTTAATACAGGCTCTATTTTGCCATAGAGGAAGTCAAAATACCAATAAATATGTATAAAGGTGCTAAACTTCAGTACTTATTACTAAATAATAGCATTTTTCTTAATATTAAAATGTATTAACAAGGATATAGAGCTACAAGAATTCTGTATGGCTGGAGGGATTGTATTAATACATTGGTATCACCTCTTTGGTAATCCATATTCCATAATCTAGAAATGTTGACAATGTATTCCTTTTGATTCAGAAATTTCACCCCTGCACATAGTTCATAGAGATAAAAACAGTGATTTGCAATAAGTAAAAGAGTGTTTAAAAGGCAATTTTTCAGTGGTGGTGCATGCTTGTAGTTCTAGCTACTCAGGAGGCTAAGGCAGGAGGATTGCTTGAGCCCAGGAGTTTGAGGCTTCATTGAGCCATGATTGCACCACTGCACTCCAGCTTGAGTTACAGAGTGAGAGCCTGACTCTAAAAAATTATATATATGTAATATATTATATACAATACATATATAATATATAAAATATAATAATATGTATCATATAATTATATATATATATATATATATGCAATTGCTCATACTTGTCAAACACTGGCAACAATCCATGGAAAATACATTGGGGGTATGTGAATAAAGCAGACCATATATACAGCAACATTAGGGTTTCTAGAATACATCATTTTGAACAAAAAATAAATAAAAACGATTACAGACTGAGTTTACATAATGTTCTAAAAAAGGCAAAATGAAACTATGTTGTTTAAAAATATATTCGTAGGTGACAAAACTATAAAGGAAATCAAGACAATCTTTATAAATGAGTCAGAATAGTGGCTGCCTTGAGGGTAATTGGGAAAGGCATTTTGATTTTCAAGGTTTGTCAGTCGGGATCTAAAGAGCTATACCAGAGGAGTAATTATAGATATGTAGGCAGAATTCTGAAGAATACTGTTGGGTTGAGGGAGAGTAGTTATGGAAGGACGGACTTGGAAAGGAGTACCCCTTCTCAAGACTGGGTTCATCGTTGGAGAAGGTGTAGTTGCATCCCACAAGATAGTAACCTTACTAAGTTTTCCAAGCCAAAGTTAGCCCACAATCACTGGACAACCCCTCTGGAGTACAGGAAGGCCAAGGCCAACATTGGCTCATAAATGCAAAGAGGGAGTCCAGGAACCACCATGTTCAGAATCCTCTCATCATCAGGGTGGCACATATTTACAAACCACACAGTAGGAGCAAGAAGCCAAAGGCTTCTTGGCCTTTGGAATCAGAAGTCCCTTCCTCCCACGAAGTTCTTCCAGTGCCCTCTATTGACATCGCTTAATATTGTGCTTGCAGCAAAGAAAAAAATGCTTAAAACTTCCTTGTGGCAGAGCAGATAAAACAGGGTGGGTTTGATTGAAAGTGTGAGGAAATTAACTGATAATTGGCACAGAAAAGGGACAGAGGAAGACCTCCGGGAATGGTCTAGTACTTCATCTGTGTGATAGTAACAATAAAAGGGTTCTCATTACATCTATTATTAAACTGCAAAGTAATATTTATGCACATATACTATATGTCATAATAAGATGTTGATTTTTAACAGTTATATCATGTGAGTCCCAAATTTCTTAAAAAATGGAAAAAATAAATAAAAAACAAGGTAATATAGGCAAAATTGTTTTGAATGACATGAAAAATGTATAATCCAATATAAGGAATTAAGAATTTGCCATTAGTTTTGAAAAGTCCACTTTTTGGAAAAAAAATATATAGTCAGGGTTCTCCAGAGACACAGAACTAACAGTATGTATCTGATTGGATATATCTCTTTCTAGATATATACTATGTATGTCTATATACACACATATATATCCTATTGATATATCTCTTTCTTAATATCGGTATCTATATTTATACACATACACATATATACATAGATGCAATTGTTCCTTGTACAACATGGGGTTGCACTACCTGGGTTTTCTTATATGTGAATTTTTTTCAATAAAAGTTACACCAAGTATACCCACCTCTCTTGCCTTCTCTTTCATGCCCCACCCCCCACCTCTGCCACCTCTGCCACCCCTGAGACAGCAGAGCCAACCCCTCCTCTTCTTTCTCCTCCTCAGCCTAGTGAATTTAAAGACAATGAGGATGAAGACATCTATGAAGATCCACTTCCATTTAATGAACAACAAATATATTTTCTCTTCCTTATAATTTTCTTCATAACTTTTTTCTCTAGCTCACTTTTTTGTAAGAATACTGTATATAATACATATAACATAAAAATATGTGCTAATCAACTGTTTTGTTATGAGTAAGGCTTCCAGTAAATAGTAGGATATTAGTAATTATGCTTTTAGGGAGTAAAAATTTGTGCATGAATTATTGACTGCATGGGGAGCAGTCAGCACACCTAACTCCCACATTGTTCAATGGTCAACTGTATATCTAGTAAGAGATTTATTATAAGGAATTGCCTCACATAATTACGGTGGCTGAGGAGCCCCATAATCTGCTGTCCATAAGCTGGAGACCCAGGAAAGTTGGTGTATTTCAAGTCCAAGTCCAAAGGCCTGAGAACCAGGAATGCTGATGGTGTCAGTCCCAGTCCAAGGACAAGAGAGACCAATGTCCCAGTTCAATAAGTCAGGCAAAGAGAGTGAACTCTGCGGTCCTCCACCCTTGTATTCTATTCAGCCCCTCAAAGGATTGTACAATGCCCACCAGCATTGGGGATAGCAATCTGCCTTACTCAGTCTACCCCATCAAATGCTAATTTCATCCAGAGACACTCTCAGACACATCCAGAAATAATGTTTAGCCAGATATTTGGGAACAATCATGCTCCAGTCAAGTTGACACATAAAATTAACCATCACAAAAGCAAATATTTACTTATAAAGTGATATTACTGCCAAAACATTCCAAGAGCTTAAAAATCTGCTTGTATTTCACTGAGAACAAAGAGCATGTACACAATTATTTACTTAAAAAGTAAGCAGTCTCTTATTGTTTGATGAATAATATTTTAAGCTATAAGTGACCTAATATTATCTAGTCCAATTATTAATGTGTAAATATGGAAATATTGATACCAGAAATATTAGTGTTTTCAGCTAGTAAACATCAGGGTCAGAATTGGAAACCAAATCTCCTTACATATAATTCATGTTCTTCCCTGAAGACTGTGTTTAGGATCTTAAGAAATCCCCCACGGGTGCAGAAATTTTATGAGTTTGAATGGAAGCAATGGTTATGGTCTGCTTCCATTTTCACTCATTTGATCTTTCTTCTTTTGAGTGGGTTTGAAGCTGAGCTGTATTACAGATCGGTAGCCTCTGGCAGTGTGAGAGGAAGATGAGCCTACCATAGTGGAATAAAAAATGAAAAGTGTGATAAGATGTAATAAAGTAAAATAAAATCCTTGCTTAATGCCCCAATAAACTGTCAGAGTTTGGGTATGGCGGCTTGTTGGGCTGTGCTTAGATGGGAGCAAGTGAGATCAGCACAGTGTTGAGCGAACATGCTGTTATTTAAGTTTTCAAAGTCATTTGAGTTAACAAAAAGAATGAATAACAGCACAATGTGCATCTCATTATGATATTTAGTTTTGATTAAAATCCAGCTTAAAGCAAATATTTGAAGCAAAGTTTTAGTTTATCTTATATTTACTTACATTTTAAAATAATAAATTCTGAACCAATTCTGTCATAGAGTTCATTAATTGTTTAACAATATGCGCTCAGACAATTATTACTATATTCTCATTGAAAATTGAATGCAGGCTATTTGAGGGACTTAGACAGAAAAACTTTTTCTTACTGAAAATCAGAAACCATGAGTCCTCTGTTGAGTTTTGACTTGTGAAGGAACCGTTTCCCTGAAATAGCTCTGACATCTTTCATTACCTGTATAATGTAAAATGCAGCCATTCAGCAGCTGGATGACAGTGATAAAGTGCAAACTAATAGTGTTCACCCTCTGCACTAACCCTGATGTACCTGGCCTTTTCAAAACAGGGAGGCTAATGTCTAACAAGTCATGTAAAAGTCAGAGTGAATGAACCTTAAAGTAAAGGCAACATAACATCCTTTGCATTGCAGTTTCCCTTGAAATAGCATCACTTTAAGTTCTATGTCAAAGCCAAAAGGCAGCGATTCTGGCTAAGTTTTGAAATGTGTGTTAACTTAACCAGAAAACAATCCAGTAAAAAGAAGGTTGAATCACTTACTGTCACTTGACAGTTTTAGCAGTCAGTTTTTGCTTTGGTAATCCAAGTGCTGGTACTGGCTTCAATATACTTTCCCTGAAATTAGAAGTAAGTAATTTTCAGTCAAAAGCCAGAGCAGAGGTTTATGAAATCATAAATTATTTTCATTGTAAAAGATACTGGGAATGGGAGACTTTCTTCTTGAATACCTACTAAGGACTGATGTTTTTGCATTTATTATATGCAAAATGAGTATGCATAACCTTGAAAAGTTCTTACTTTTTCTCATTTATCCTAATTATCCCACTGACCAAAAAAGCAACTGAAGTTCAGAGAAATAAAGGAATTGCTCAAAATCATGAATTCAGTAAGCGATAAGTCTCATATTTGTTCATATTTTTGTTTTAAATATATAGCATAACTCCTGATTTAAAAATGAGATATTCTGCTAATAACTATATTTAGAGCAGTAAAAAATACATAGTACATATATTTGGTTGGTTAGTTTAGTAATATTTTGCCTCATTCTCTAATAGAATCCTGGATCTACATCACACTTCTGAGGTTAAATGAGTAGGAAAAGGAGAGATTGTCAGAAGTGATACACTAGAGAAGAAAGGGTGATTGAAAAAATGGAATAGACAATTAGTAAATCAGGACTTAGGTGATCTGAGATTTAAAGCATATCAGCCTAAGAAAATACAATTAGGAGAAAAAGATTAGGACTTCAGAGAGGAAATAAAATGCTTCCTCAGCTCTGACTTAATCAGCCTGAGGGTTGTATAGTCATGATTTGTTTCTCTCCACTTCCTTCTTTTAGAGACCTCTTAAATATTTTAAAGGCCTTACACATTCTCCTTTAAACAGAAACTCCAATAGAGAAAAAGCTAGGGCTTGATCTTTCAATAATTGTAAGTTACCGTTTGCTGCCCACATTCTTAGGACAAAATTTCGAGTTATATTTCCTTAGGGTGAAGATAGAACATTATTTTCTTAAGGAGTCTGGTTCTTCAAGAGGTAGGATTTTTGATTGGCTAAGTGTTGTGTTTTCAGTATGCCTTATGCTTCAGAGTCCTTCAAAAGGGACCATGGTAAATGTTCTTCACATTAAACTTTAATGTTATGACTATTAAGAATGAAATTTTATATTTTCAATGAGCCCAACCATGTACATTCCTCAAAGCACCCATCCAAAGGATTAACAAATAAACAATTAAACCCCATGTGTTAGAATGGAATTTCATACATTTTAAAGATATACAATATTTGATATATTGCTTAAAAAGGTAAGAACTTCGGATCATCAATCAACAAAGTTAAGGGTGAGAACAGTGGTTCTTAATTTGGGTTAATTTTGCCCCTTAGAGACTTTTAACAGTGACTGGAGGCATTCTTGGTTGTCACTAACAGAGGCTTGTGGTACTAGCAATTAGTGGGTAGAAGCCAGGAATATGGCTTAATGATTGTCAAAACACCCCTCCCCTCAACACAGACCCAAAACGATCTGATCTGAAATGTCAATAGTTCTGAAGTTGCAAAACCAGGGTCTAGAGGATGGTTAAAAGATATGTTTCCAAGGTACACAGTAGCACAAAATTGCAGACTTCATTGGGACTGTGGGCTGTGTCTAGGCATCCTAGGGGCACTGTTCCCACGGAAAAACCTATCACTAAGTTGACTGAAATCAAAGGGTAAACCTTGAGGCTGCTAGTCCTAACTGGCAGTGGAACTTATTTAATTAAACATACAAGCAGAATTGGAAATAAGAACAAATAATATGATGTGTAGGCTATAGGTTTATATCAGCTGTTACCAAGTTGTGATCCATGAGTCAAATGGAGCTCACAATATGGTCTTCAATTAAATTTCAGTATAAGAATTTAGAAAGCTGCCTCCTTCTTGCTAATTTTCTAATATGAAACACACAGACACACACACACAATTTTTTTTTCCATTAGAAGTATTTTGTACAATAAAGTTATTAGAGTTGTATACATTTAGTTTTTCCCTTTGGGAATTAGTAAAGTAAAAGAGAATTGAATATGTTTTTGTTTCCTGTTAAATGATACGCTCTCTTGGTATTGGTGTTTTTTTTAATTCTATTGTAGTGTTTAGATATTTTTAAATGATCATTTATCATTTTTTAAAAGATATATTTTAAAACTATTTTGTTAAATGTCACTTTAAATAGTTTTATTTTACATAAATTGGTTCTCATGCAAAAAATGCTAATTAAGGGTATAAATAACTATGAGTCATAGGAATCAGTATCTCTCTTAGGTGGACCATTAGAGGGGAAAAGAATACCCCAGTTTTAGGATAATAAACTTATTCAGTTTAGTGATGGCAATAAACTAGTATTTCCTGGAAATTTCCAACATTTCTATCTTTCTGTTTCAACTTTTATTTTAGATACAGAGGGTGTATGTACAGATTTGTTACATGGGGATTATTGCATGATGCTGAGGTGTGGAGTACAGATCCCATCTCCCAGGTATTGAGCACAGTACCTGATAGGTAGTTTTGTAACCCAGCCCCCGCTTCACCCTCTAGTAGTCCACAGTGTCTCTTGTTCCCATATTTATGTCCATGTGTACTCAATGTTTAGCTCCCACTTATAAATGAAAACATGAAATATTTGGTTTTCTGTTCCTGTATTAATTTGCCTGGGATTATGACCTCCAGCTCCATCCATGTTGCTGTAGAGAACACGATTTCATTTTTTTTTATGGCTACACAGTATTCCATGGTGTATATGTATAACATTTTCTTTACCCATTCCATCATTGATGGACACCTGGGTTGATTCTATGTCTTTGCTATTACGATGAGTGCAGTGATGAACATACAAGTACAAGTGTCTTTTTGGTAGAATTATTTTCTTCTGGGTACATACCCAGTAATGGGAATGCTGGGTTGAATGGGGTTTCTGTTTTAAGTTATTTGAGAAATCTACAAACTGCTTTCCACAGTGGCTGGACTATCCCTCATGAACATAGACACAAAAATCCTCAACGAAATACTAACAAATCAAATCCAGCAGCACATCAAAATTAATATACCACAATCAAGTAGGCTTTATTCCTGGGATGCAAAGCTGATTCAACATACGCATATCAATAAATGTTGATTTATCATTTATTTTATTGATTTACTACATTATTTACCAATTTAATGATTCACCACATAAACCAGAATCAAAAGCAAAATCATATGGTCTTCTCAATAGATGCAGAAAAAGGTTTTAATAAAGTACAATATCCCTTCATGATAAGAAACTTTCAACAGACTAGGCATGAAATAAATATACCTCAAAATAATAAGAGCAGTCTGGGTGTGGTTGCTCACGCCTGTAATCCCAAAACTTTGGGAGGTTGAGGGGGCAGATTGCTTGAGCTGAGGAGCTCAAGATCAGCCTAGGAAACATGGCAAAACACTGTCTATACAAAAAATACAAAAATTAGCTGGGTGTGATGGTCCACACCTGTAGTCCCAGCTACTTGGGAGGCTGAAGTGGAAGGATCGCTGGAGCCCAGGAGGCCAAGGCTGTGGTTAGTGGGGACCATCATACTGCACTCCAGTCTAGGTGACAGAGTGAGACCCTATCTTGAAAAAATAAAAATAATAAGAGCCTTCTACGATAAACCCACAGCCAACATCATATTGAATGGGCAAAAACTCTAACCATTCCCCTGGAGAAGTGAAACAAGACAAGGATGCCCACTCTTACCACTCCTATTCAACGTAGTACTGGAAGTTCTAGTCAGAACAATCAGGCAAGAGAAAGAAATAAAAGTCATCCAAATAAGAAGAGAAGCAGTCAAAGTATTTCTTTTCACTGACAATATGATTGTATACCTAGAAAATATTAAAGACTCTACCAAAAGGCTCCTAGAATTGATAAACAACTTTAGTAAAGTTTCAGGATACAAAACCAATGTACAAAAATCAGTAGCATTTCCATATACCAATAACGACCAGGCTGAGAGTGAAATCAAGAACACAATCCTATATACAATAGCCACAAAAAATTGAAATACCTAGGAATACAGCTAACCTAGGAGGTGAAAGATCTCTACAAGGAGAACTACAAAACACTGACAAATGGAAAAACACTTCATGCTTATTATGGATAAGAAGAATCAATATTGTAAAAATGGCCATACTGCCCAAAGCAATTTTCAGATTCAGTGCTATTCCTATCAAACCACCAATGTCGATCTTCATAAAAATTTTAAAAAACTATTCTAAAGTTCATATGTAACCAAAAAAGAGCCTGAATAGCCAAAGCAATCCTAAGCAAAAAGAATAAAGCCAAAGGCATCACATTACCCAACTTCAAACTATATTATAAAGCCACAGTAACAAAATCTGCCTGGTACTGGTTTAAAACAAAAGCAAAAACAAAATAAACAGACACATAGACCAATGGAACAGAATAGAAAACTCAGAAATAAAGCCACACACCTACAAGGTGATCTTTGACAAGGCTGACAAAAACAAGCAATGGGGAAAATAATCCTTATTCAATAAAAAGTACTGGGATATCTGGTTAACCACGTGCAGAAGATTGAAGCTAGACCCCTACTTTTCAGCATATGCAAAAATAAACTCAAAATGGATTAAATATTTAAATGTAAGACCTCAAAGTATAAAAATCCTGAAAGACAACCTAGAAAATACTCTTCTCAGCATTGGCATTGGCAAAGAATTTTCAACTAAGTCCTCAAAAGCAATTGCAGCAACAACAAAAAAATAGACAAGTGAGACCAATTAAACTAAAGAGCTTCTGCATAGCAAAAGAAACTATAGACAGGGCAAAAAACCTACAGAATGGGAGAAGATATTAGCAAACTATGTATCTGACAAAGGCCTAATATCCAGAATCTATAGGGAACTTAAAAAAATCAACAAGCAAAAAACAAATAACCCCATTTTAAAAATGGACAAAGGACATGAATAAACACTTCTCAAAAGAAAACATACAAGCAGCCAACATACATAGCTCAGCATCACTAATCATTAGAGAAATGCAAATAAAAACCACAATGAGATACCATCTCAAACTAGTCAGAATTGCTATTATTAAAAAGTGAAAAAACAGCAGGTCCTGGTGAGGCTGCAGAGAAAAGTGAATATTCCATAATTTTTAAATGTTTCTTAACCTTCAGACTATACTATTTTTTAACCTTCAGACTATACTATTTTTTAAAGAATTACAGATATCTAAGTTTCTGGTTATATCATGCTGCACAAGTACACGTTCCAAGGTATTTTGTTTGGATGGGGAGTGTTTGAATTTAGTTTTCTGTTTAGCTTTCAACTGAGGGGAAAGAAAAAATATAGAAGCCATTTCAAAATTGCACAGGGAAAAATACAGAGAAGTAATAAGAAGTGCCTGAAAAATTGATGTTTAAGTGATCTGGGTGAATCATCAACACCAGCCTAGCACATTTTCTTCTGCTTTGACAGGAATTGACAGAGTATTAGTGAAAAGGATCACACAGTTACACTCAGAGTTGTTGATATCCCATCAAGAAATAAAAACAACCATGTTCTTTCTTTATTCAGTTAATCATTTTTAGTTTGATGTATAGGTTTCCAAACACATACAATTCCACCGAGAATCTGTTTCTACAGCTTATTTTCTAAAGTGAGAAGGATTTTGAGTTTGGCCTCTCTCAGGTAGAAAATTAGTTTCTCAAAGTTTAGGAAAAATCTATAGAACAAAATATCATTATATAAGCATTTCTTGGAACAAAATTATATTTAAATACATCCTTTATTAATTGTCATATGTTCAGCTCTTTGTCTGTGCTAAGTGCTCTACATCTGTTACTTCTAATCTTGTAAACATGTGAAAAATCAAATACATACTATTATTATTATCTTGACATTGCAGATCAAGAAACCAGAGTGCAGAAAAGCTAAATTACTTGCTTAATACCAAATAGCTAAGTGACAGAGCCAAATATGAACCCAGGTCTACCTGATTCCTGAATCCGCACCCTCACTGTTTACACTCTACTGCCTCTCAAGGGAGAAGCATGGCTATGGATGTCAGTACAGGAAAACAATCTGGATAATACCTGAAAGCTAATTAATGTGTAAGAACTGTGCTATAGTTATTCCTATTAATTGAGGTATCAGAGAAACTATAATAATTGCTATATGGAATTCTTAGGAATGAATATTTATATAATGGTATAAAGTTTAGTCATTTTCAGAAAAGCAAGCAATTTCAAATTCACATCCATGTTCTCTATTCTTTGTATATTAGGACAATTTTTACTAATTAAAAATGCTGTAGGCTGGTATGGAAGCAAAGATTATATATCTAAATTTTTAGAGAAAGAAATGGTATCTAACCAAGGAAAGATGGCTACAACATTTGGAATTCTGGCTTTGTTCTATTTTGACCCTTTGCCGCATCAAACTGCTACTTCTACCCTGGATTTCTGCCTCTTCTTGGCACTAGTCTCCCTCCCCCATTCCTGATTCTGCCTTAAAATCCCGGAGAACTAGAATCAGATATTACACAAACCTCTCCATCAGAAATTTGCACATTCAAGACAACGCTCTGTTGTTTTATCAGTATGCGTGAATAGTAGATAGCAGCTAAAGAGTCATCTAAGTCTCTTTATATCGCTAATAAACTTTCAATTATCAGTGCAACCAAAATTCATATCCATATTCAAGATATTATGAACACATACCAGAGGCAAGATATGCAAAAAAAGCTGAATTTCGATTTTCTTTTTTTTTTATAATTATACTTTAAGTTCTAGGGTACATGTGCACAACGTGCAGGTTTGTTACGTATGTATACATGTGCCATGTTGGTGTGCTGAACCCGTTAACTCGTCATTTACATTAGGTATATCTCCTAATGCTATCCCTCCCCTCTTCCCCCACCCCACGACAGACCCCGGTGTGTGATGTTCCCCTTCCTGTGTCCAAGTGTTCCCATTGTTCAATTCCCACCTATGAGTGAGAACATGCGGTGTTTGGTTTTTTGTCCTTGGGATAGTTTGCTGAGAATGATGGTTTCCAGCTTCATCCACGTCCCTACAAAGGACATGAACTCATCATTTTTTATGGCTGCATAGTATTCCATGGTCTATATATGCCACATTTTCCTAATCCAGTCTATCATTGATGGACATTTGGCTTGGTTCCAAGTCTTTGCTATTGTGACTAGTGCAGCAATAAACATACGTATGCATGTGTCTTTATAGCAGCATGACTTATAATCCTTTGGGTATATACCCAGTAATGGAATGGCTGGGTCAAATGGTATTTCTAGTTCTAGATCCCTGAGGAATCACCACACTGTCTTCCACAATGGTTGAACTAGTTTACAGTCCCACCAACAGTGTAAAAGTGTTCCTATTTCTCCACATCCTCTCCAGCACCTGTTGTTTCCTGACTTTTTAATGATCGCCATTCTGACTGGTGTGAGATGGTATCTCATTGTGGTTTTGATTTGCATTTCTCTGATGGCCAGTGATGATGAGCATTTTTTCATGTGTCTGTTGGCTGCATAAATGTCTTCTTTTGAGAAGTGTCTGTTCATATCCTTCGCCCACTTTTTGATGGGGTTGTTTGATTTTTTCTTATAAATTTGTTTGAGTTCTTTGTAGATTCTGAGTATTAGGCCTTTGTCAGATGAGTAGATTGCAAAAATTTTCTCCCATTCTGTAGGTTGCCTGTTCACTCTGATGGTAGTTTCTTTTGCTGTGCAGAAGCTCCTTAGTTTAATTAGATCCCATTTGTCAATTTTAGCTTTTGTTGCCATTGTTTTTGGTGTTTTAGACATGAAGTCCTTGCCCATGCCTATGTCCTGAATGGTATTGCCTAGGTTTTCTTCTAGAGTATTTATGGTTTTAGGTCTAATATTTAAGTCTTCAACCCATCCTGAATTAATTTTTGTATAAGGTGTAAGGAAGGGATCCAATTTCAGCTTTCTACGTATGGCTAGCCAGTTTTCCCAGCACCATTTGTTAAATAGGGAATCTTTTCCCCATTTCTTGTATTTGTCATGTTTGTCAAAGATCAGATGGTTGTAAATGTGTGGTATTATTTCTGAGGGCTGTGTTCTGTTCCATTGGTCTATATCTCTGTTTTGGTACCAGTACCATGCTGTTTTGGTTACTGTAGCCTTGTAGTATAGTTTGAAGTCAGGCAGCGTGATGCCTCCAGCTTTGTTCTTTTGGCTTAGGATTGACTTGATAATGCAGGCTCTTTTTTGGTTCCATATGAACTTTAAAGTAGTTTTTCCAATTCTATGAAGAAAGTCATTGGTAGCTTGATGGGGATGGCATTAAATCTATAAATTACCTTGGGCAGTATGGCCATTTTCACGACATTCATTCTTCCTGTCCATGAGCATGGAATGTTCTTCCATTTGTTTGTGTCCTCTTTTATTTCACTGAGCAGTGGTTTGTAGTTCTCCTTGAAGAGGTCCTTCACATCCCTTGTAAGTTGGATTCCTAGGTATTTTATTCTCTTTGAAGCAATTGTGAATGGGAGTTCACTCATGATTTGGCTCTCTGTTTGTCTGTTATTGGTGTATAAGAATGCTTGTGATTTTTGGACATTGATTTTGTATCCTGAGGCTGCTGAAGTTGCTTATCAGCTTAAGGAGATTTTGAGCTGAGACAATGGGGTTTTCTAGATATACAATCATGTCATCTGCAAACAGGGATAATTTGACTTCCTCTTTTCCTAATTGAATACCCTTTATTTCCTTCTCCTGCCTGATTGCCCTGGCCAGAACTTCCAACACTATGTTGAATAGGAGTGGTGAGAGAGGGCATCCCTGTCTTGTGCTGGTTTTCAAAGGGAATGCTTCCAGTTTTTGCCCATTCAGTATGATATTGGCTGTGGGTTTGTCATTAATAGCTCTTATTATTTTGAGATACATCCCATCAATACCTAATTTATTGAGAGTTTTTAGATGAAGGGCTGTTGAATTTTGTCAAAGGCCTTTTCTGCATCTATCGAGATAATCATGTGGTTTTTGTCGTTGGTTCTGTTTATATGCAGGATTACATTTATTGATTTGCATTTGTTGAACCAGCCTTGCATCCCAGGGATGAAGCCCACTTGATCATGGTCAATAAGCTTTTTGATGTGCTGCTGGATTCGGTTTGCCAGTATTTTATTGAGGATTTTTGCATCAATGTTCACCAGGGATATTGGTCTAAAATTCTCTTTTCTTGTTGTGTCTTTGCCAGGCTTTGGTATCAGGATGATGCTGGTCTCATAAAATGAGTTAGGGAGGATTCCGTCTTTTTCTATTGATTGGAGTAGTTTCAGAAGGAATGGTACCAGCTCTTCCTTGTACCTCTGGTAGAATTCGGCTGTGAATCCATCTGGTCGTGGACTTTTTTTGGTTGGTAAGCTATTATTGCCTCAATTTCAGAGCCTGTTATTGGTCTATTCAGAGATTCAACTTCTTCCTGGTTTAGACTTGGGAGGGGGTATGTGTCCAGGAATTTATCCATTTCTTCTAGATTTTCTAGTTTATTTGCGTAGAGGTGTTTATAGTATTCTCTGATGTTAGTTTGTATTTCTGTGGGATCAGCGGTGATATCCCCTTTATCATTTCTTATTGCATCTATTTGATTCTTCTCTCTTTTCTTCTTTATTAGTCTTGCTAGCAGTCTATCAATTTTGTTGATCATTTCAGAAAACCAGCTCCTGGATTCACTGATTTTCTGAAGGGTTTTTTGTGTCTCTACCTCCTTCAGTTCTGCTCTGATCTTAGTTATTTCTTGCCTTCTGCTAGCTTTTAAATGTGTTTGCTCTTGCTTCTCTAGTTCTTTTAATTGTGATGTTAGGGTGTCAATTTTAGATCTTTCCTGCTTTCTCTTGTGGGCATTTAGTGCTATAAATTTCCCTCTACACACTGCTTTAAATGTGTCCCAGAGATTCTGGTATGTTGTGTATTTGTTCTCATTGGTTTCAAAGAACATCTTTATTTCTGCCTTCATTTCGTTATGTACCCAGTAGTCATTCAGGAGCAGGTTGTTCAGTTTCCATGTAGTTGAGCGGTTTTGAGTGAGTTTCTCAATCCTGAATTCTAGTTTGATTGCACTGTGGTCTGAGAGACAGTTTGTTATAATTTCTGTTCTTTTACATTTGCTGAGGAGAGCTTTACTTCCAACTATGTGGTCAATTTTGGAATAAGTGCAATGTGATGCTGAGAAGAATGTATATTCTGTTGATTTGGGGTGGAGAGTTCTGTAGATGTCTATTAGGTCCACTTGGTGCAGAGCTGAGTTCAATTCCTGGATATCCTTGTTAACTTTCTGTCTCATTGATCGGTCTAATGTTGACAGTGGGTTGTTAAAGTCTCCCATTATTATTGTGTGGGAGTCTAAGTCTCTTTGTAGGTCTCTAAGGACTTGCTTTATGAATCTGGGTGCTCCTGTGTTGGGTGCACATATATTTATGATAGTTAGCTCTTCTTGTTGAATTGATCTCTTTACCATTATGTAATGGCCTTCTTTGTCTCTTTTGATCTTTGTTGGTTTAAAGTCTGTTTTATCCGAGACTAGGATTGCAACCCCTGACTTTTTTTGTTTTCCATTTGCTTGGTAGATTTTCTTCCATCCCTTTATTTTGAGCCTATGTGTGTCTCTGCATGTGAGATGGATTTCCTGAATACAGCACACTGATGGGTCTTGACTCTTTATCCAATTTGCCAGTCTGTGTCTTTTAATTGGAGCATTTAGCCCATTTACATTTAAAGTTAATATGGTTATGTGTGAATTTGATCCTGTCATTATGATGTTAGCTGGTTATTTTGTTCGTTAGTTGATGCAGTTTCTTCCTAGCATCAATGGTCTTTATAATTTGGCATGTTTTTGCAGTGGCTGGTGCTGGTTGTTCCTTTCCATGTTTAGTGCTTCCTTCAGGAGCTCTTGTAGGGCAGGCCTGGTCGTGACAAAATCTCTCAGCATTTGCTTGTCTGTAAAGGATTTTATTTCTCCTTCACTTATGAAGTTTAGTTTGACTGGATATGAAATTCTGGGTTGAAAATTCGTTTCTTTAAGAATGTTGAATATTGGCCCCCACTCTCTTCTGGCTTGTAGAGTTTCTGCCAAGAGATCAGCTGTTAGTCTGATGGGCTTCCCTTTGTGGGTAACCCGACCTTTCTCTCTGGCTGCCCTTAACATTTTTTCCTTCATTTCAACTTTGGTGAATCTGACAATTATGGGTCTTAGAGTTTCTCTTCTCGAGGAGTATCTTTGTGGCGTTCTCTGTATTGCCTGAATTTGAATATTGGCTTGCCTTGCTAGGTTGGGGAAGTTCTCCTGGATAATATCCTGCAGAGTGTTTTCCAACTTGGTTCCATTCTCCCCGTCACTTTCAGGTACACCAGTCAGATGTAGATTTGGTCTTTTCACACAGTCCCATATTTCTTGGAGGCTTTGTTCATTTCTTTGTATTCTTTTTTCTCTAAACTTCTCTTCTCACTTCATTTCATTCATTTGGTCTTCCATCACTGATACCCTTTCTTCCAGTTGATCGCATCGGCTACTGAAGCTTGTGCATTCATCGTGCAGTTCTCGTGCCATGGTTTTCAGCTCCATCAGGTCATTTAAGGACTTCTCTACATTGGTTTTTCTAGTTACCCATTTGTCTAATTTTTTTGAAGGTTTTTAACTTCTTTGAGATTGGTTCGAACTTCCTCCTTTAGATCAGAGTAGTTTGATTGCCTGAAGCCTTCTTCTCTCAAATCATCAAAGTCATTCTCCGTTCAGCTTTGTTCCATTGCTGGTGAGGAGCTGCATTCCTTTGGAGGAGGAGAGGTGCTCTGATTTTTAGAATTTTCAGTTTTTCTGCTCTGTTTTTTCCCCATCTTTGTGGTTTCATCTACCTTTGGTCTTTGATGATGGTGACGTACAGATGGGGTTTTGGTGTGGATGTCCTTTCTGTTTGTTAGTTTTCCTTCTAACAGTCAGGACCCTCAGCTGCAGGTCTTTTGGAGTTTGCTGGAGGTCCACTCCAGACCCTGTTTGCCTGGGTATCAGCAGTGGAGGCTGCAGAACAGCGAATATTGCTGAACAGCAAATTTTGTTGCCTGACCGTTCCTCTGGAAGTTTCGTCTCAGAGGGGTACCCAGCCGTGTGAGGTGTCAGGCTGCCCCTACTGTGAGGTGCCTCCCAGTTAGGCTATTTGAGGGTCAGGGACCCACTTGAGGAGGCAGTCTGACCATTCTCAGATCTGAAACTCCACACTGGGAGAATCAGTACTCTCTTCAAAGCTGTCAGACAGGGACATTTAAGTCTGCAGAGGTTTCTGCTGCCTTTTGTTCGGCTATGCCCTGCCCCCAGAGGTGGAGTCTATAGAGGCAGGCAGGCCTCCTTGAGCTGTGGTGGGCTCCAACCAGTTTGAGCTTCCTGGCTGCTTTGTTTACCTACTCAAGCCTCAGCAATAGCAGGCGCCCCTCCCCCAGCCTCGCTGCTGCCTTGCAGTTCAATCTCAGACTGCTGTGCTAGCAATAAGTGAGGCTCCGTGGGCATGGGACCCTCTGAGCCAGGCGCAGGATATTACCTCCTGGTGTGCCGTTTGCTAAGACCGTCGGAAAAGCACAGTATCAGGGTGGGAGTTACCCAATTTTCCAGGTGCTGTCTGTCACAGCTTTGCTTTCCTAGGAAAGGGAATTCCCTGACCCTTTGTGCTTCCTGGGTGAGGCAATGCCTCGCCCTGCTTCAGCTCACGCTCGTTGTGCTGCACCCACTGTCCAACAAGTGCCAGTGGGATGAACCCGGTACCTCAGTTGGAAATGCAGAAATCACCCATCTTCTGTGTCGCTCACGCTGGGAGCTGTAGACTGGACCTGTTCCTATTCGGCCATCTTGGAACCGCCCTTAATTTTGATTTTCTAAAAGACTTAGAGAACCAGCATGAGCAAACATGTTACTTTCTAAAATGTTTAAGGATCTTAGTGCCTAGACTTGGATTAACAGTAATCGAATTGATCCACACGTGGCCTTCTTTTATGTATGTATGCATATGTTATTGAAAGTTATGTGATTGTTCACGTTAATTTAATAAACATTTGTGAACATACTACCCAAAATAAAGGTCAAGTTCTTGACTGTAATTCATTTCTGGCCTTATGGCCTTCACCTCTGCTTCCTCCATCACACCTGCTTCCTCTTCTCCTTCATCCAAATAAATCATTATCTGCATTCTTGAGTTCATCATTCTCTTACTTTTCTTTTTATGTTTTTTTAACTTATATGTTTCAATAGAGTATATTATTTTATTTGTTTTTAACTTTATTAAAAAGGATACATTAGTATGGATAACAATTTAGGATAATTTTTCATTTCACAATATACTATCCATGTTTTTTATATAATAAATTTTGCTATAATTTGTTCAAATTGTTTTTCCATATTCCATCATATAAATATGCAATATATTCATCAACTCTCCTGTTGATGAGCATACATGTTGTTTCTAAGGTTTTGCTGTTGTGAACAGTGTTGCTATAAACATTCTTGTACATGTCTTCTGGTATACATGCATCTGAGTTTCCCTTGGCTTTATAGATAGAATTGTTGGTTGGTTCATAGAATATGTCAACATCTAAACTGATAAGATAACGTGAAAGTGGTTGTAGCATTTTACAGCCCCGCAAGCAATTTATAAGAGATAGAAGGTGTATATGGCTTCCAACACTGCATACACTCAAGCTTTTTAAATTTTTGCCAATATAATGTGACTAAAGTGAAACCTCATAGTAGTCTTGATTTACATTGCCCTCACTTTGGATGAAGTTAAACATCTTATAACATGTTTACTAGCCATGTGTGTTTCCTCTGATGTGAAATGCCTTTTCATGCATTTGCCCCATTTTTTTTCTTTGAGTTGTTGATTTTTATCTACTAATTTGTATTTCTTTAGCTAGTCGTCATAAAATGTACTCGTTGGCTGTGTTTATTGCTGATTACTTCTCCCCATTTATAACATGTTTTCACTTAGGATTATTTTTGACAAGCCAAATTTCTTAATTTTAATATTGTCAAATATTGTCAGTGCTTTTTTGTGCTTAAAATATGTTCACCAATATGTTCTACTAAGATGCTCACAGTTTGTTTTTAATATTCAAGTCCTTAATTTATCTGGAGATGATTTTATTTTTGCAAGATAGCCATTTTTCCTGTTCCATTTTTTGAATCCTCCCACATTTTCTTACTGATAAGACAGGCCACTTCTGCTGTACCTAAATGTGAATGCATAAGCTTACTTCTTGATTTTCTGTTCTATTTCATCAGCCAGTTTTCTATCCCTGTGCCACTTACATACTATCTTTATTAGTAGAGTTTATAATTAAGTCCTGATAACTTGTGTGAAGGAAGATACAATACATTGTTTATTTATAACATAAAATATGAAACAAGAATCAAAATAAATGAATTATAGCTACTTACAACTATAGGTGTATATGTATACATATGTACAACTATATGTGCGTATATATATGTGTGTGTATATATATATATATGTATATATATAGTTGTAAGTAGCTGTAGCTTTCACCTCCAAGCAAAGAAAACTTCCCACACATTATTTTTTTCTTACAAGGGATAAAAGAGATGATTGTTTCTAGTAAAGGTGATGGGTACTTTTAGGTTTGAAGCTGAAGGCTGCATGTAGTATGATTAGATCTCTCAATGGATATTACAGCTTGACCTATGTGTACCTGTAGAATGGACAGTCTCAATGTGCAGGATAGTGAAGATGGATGCATCCTTGGGTGAAGAGCCCCAAGCACTGGGAACACTACCAAAACAGTTTTTGGCCAAGGCTTTTCCTTCAGCAGAGACAAGCAGCTTTAAGAGTCACTTCTGAGATTAAAATTCACTGGCCATGAGCAGTTGGAAGAGAAGTAGGGAAGGTAATTCTTGATGCTAGTAAATCTCTATCTATTTTTCTGGGCTCTTAGTTCCTACAAGACTGCTACACTGTGTTATTTTAGTCCTAAAGACACCTAGGTGAGCAAATGTGTCACCAAATGTGAGGGTAAGCATTGATTATCTCACTCAAAATACCTGATGGGAGGAAGTACGGGCAGAATTCTAAGAACACTCCTTTATTTTATTTTTTCTTCTTGAGAAGAAAGTATTAATCTGATCTTGTCAGGTACTTTCTATTCCTCCTTCTCCAAAAGTTAACCCCAAGGAAGGGCAGAGGATCAATTAGCTAAGATGCTGTATCTAACTACTTGGTACTCTCTCTCTCCCTCTCTCTCCTCTTCCCCACATCCACCCCTGCAATCTATTCCCCCAGCATAAAAAGAACATTATATTTCTCATTCTTTTATGGTAGAAACTGTTCTTAAGTCTTACGTCTTATTTGACCTTGGTAGTATTTGTTCTTCTCATTGGTAAGGCAAGTCCTTATGTCAAAAACTAATCATCATGGCAGAAGAAAAATACTGATAAGGAAAAAAATCTCGTAACACTTTAAAACATTATCCCACTACTTAGGAAGCAAATGTCTTGTGATACATTTTATAACTGTTTATGGTATGCTACTGTGTGGAAACATTATAGTTAAACACCACTGAACAAGTCCAACACCTTCATTCTCTAATGAATTAGTTGGGACCCTAAGAGATAAGGTAGAGTGATTCTCCCAATACTTCTCCATTTATTCTGTATTGCCTTTTCTCCCCTCCATTGCACCAAATTTTCTAAGAGGTGTGTCCAGATATCTGTCTACTGGGCCAGTTAAAGGCAAAATAATGAAATCAGTAAAACAAATATGACTGGCCTTCCCAGTTCATATAGCCTCTGTCCCTCCCTTTACATTTCCGTTTATACCAGCTATTTGATACCCTCAAATTTCAACACATACCTCTCTCCCAATCAAGCTATTTTCAAAACATTACACTACAATTAATAAAATCTTACAATGCAATATATTACTTCAAACTAGAACATTTTCATGAACATTTTCATAAACATTTTGCATTCCAAAAATTCAAATAAAATGTCCTGACATGGCTCAAATTTGAAGTCAGTGCCAAAAAATTTACTGCAGCCCGACAATTTTTGTGCTGCTGTCATACCTGGGAGATATTGTGGGTTCAGTTCCAGACCACCACACTAAAGTGAGCCACATGAACTTTTGATTTCCCAGTGCATAGAAAAGTTATGTACATAATATGCTATAGTCTATTAAATGTACAATCACATTATATTTAAGAAACAATTTAAGTACCTCAATTAAAATACTATATTGCTAAAAAAAAGCTAAGTATCATCTAATCTTCAGTGAGTCATAATGTTTTTGCTCGTGGAGGGTCCTGTCTGGAGGTTGATGTCTGCTGACTGGTCAGAGTGGTGGTTGCTGAAGGTTCTGGTCTCTGTGACAAATTCTTAAGTAATGAAACAATGAAGTGTGTCACTTATTGACTCTTTCATGAAAGATTTGCCTATCATTTGTGAAGCTGTTTGATAGCATTTTTATTCACAGTGGAACTTCTTTCAGAGCTGGAGTCAATATTCTCAAACACTGCTGCTGCTTTATCAACAAGGTTTATGTAATATTTGAAAGTTTTTTGAAGTCGTTTCAACAATGTTCACAGCATCTTCACCAGGAGTATACCACTTCCTTTTCTCAAGCATAAGAAGAAACTCCTCATCCAAGTTTTATTATGAGATTGCAGCAGTTCAGTCAGATATTCAGACTTCACTTTTAATTCTAGTTCTCTTGCTATTTCCACCTTATCTGCAGTTACTTTCTCCACTGAAGTCTTGAATCTCTCAAAGTTATCCATGAGGGCTGGAATCAACTTCTTTAAACCCTTTAATGATGTTGATATTTTGACCTCCTCTCATGAATCATGAATGTTCTTCATGGCATCTGGAATGGCGAATCCTACCCAGAAGGTTTTCAATTTACTTTGCCAGATCCATCAGAGGAGTCACTATCTATGGCAGCTATAGCCTCATAAAATGTATTCTTAAAGTGTCAGTCATAGAAAATCAAAATTAATCCTTGATCCATAAACTACAAAATGGATATTGTGTTAGCAGGCATAAAAACAACATTAATCTCCATGTATATTTTCATTAGTGCTGTTGGGTGACCAGGTGCATTGTCAATGAGCAGTAATATTTTCAAAGGATAGATATGGACAGTGGACTTAAAATATTCAGTAAACCATGCTGTAAGCAGATGTGCCATCATACTGGCTTTGTTTTTTCATTTACAGAGCACAGGCACTGTAGATTTAGCATAATTCTTAAAGGCCCTAGGATTTTCAGAATTGTCAATAAGCATTGGCTTCAACTTAAAGTCACCAGCTGCATAAGCCCCTAGCAAGAGAGCTTGTCTTTTGAAGATTTGAAACCAGGCACTGACTTCTCCTGTCTAGTTATTAAAATCCTAGACAGCATCTTCTTGCAATAGACCACTGTGGCTGTTTTGTCTACATTGAAAGACTGTTTAGTATAGCCACTTTCATCAGTTCTTTTAGCTAGATCTTCTGGATTACTTGATACAGCTTCTACATCTCCACTTGCTGCTTCACCTTGCACTTTTATGTTATAGCAACAGCTTCTTTCCTTAAACTCATGAACCAACCTCTGCTAAGTTCAAACTTTTCTTTTTCAGGCTCCTCAACTCCCTCAGCCTTCAGAGAATTGAAGAGCATTAGGGTCTTGCTCTGGATTAGGCTTCGGTTTAAGGGCATGTTGTGGTTGGCTTGATCTTGTATGCAGACCACTGAAACTCTCTCCATACCAGCAATGACTGTATCATGTTTTTATCATTTGTATGTTCACTGCAGTAACATTTTTAATTTCCTTCAATAACTTTTTTTTTTTTTTTGCATTCACAACTTGGCTAACTGTTTGCTTCAAGAGGTTTAGCCTTCAGCCTGTCTCGGCTTTCAACATGTCTTCCTCACTAAGCTTAATTATTACTAGCTTTTGAATTAAAATCAGAGATGTGCAAATTTTCCTTTCACTCAAACACCTGGAGGCCTCTGTAGATTTATTATTTGGCATAATTTCAGTATTCTTGTGTTTTAGTGAATAGGGAAAGGGAGAGAGATGGGGGAACACCCAGTCAGTGGAGCAGTCAGAACATACATAATATTTATTAAGTTCACTATCTTATGTGGGTCCAGTTTGTATCACCCCCAAATAATTACAATAATAATGTCAAAGATCACTTATCACAGATGACCGTAACAGGCATAATAATAGTGAAGAGATTGAATATTGTGAGAACTACCAAAATGTGACACAGGAAGTGACCACATGATGTTGGAAAATGGCCACAATAGACTTGCTTGACACAGGGTTGCCATAAAGCATCAATTTGTAAAAATGCAGCATCTGCAAAATGCAATAAACTGAAGCACAATAAAACAAGATATGCCTGCCTTTTCAGGTCACACATATACTCCAGTCATATTTGTAACAATTTTAATGTATTGGAATTACAGATTTATCATAGCCAATTCTAATACAATAGAAAGTTTCATTAGATATTTAATTATAATATTAACTAAATGGATACTGTCCCAACTAAAATAACGTTATTCTTGAAATATAAATTCATTTAGAAAAGAAAGATCTGCTTTTGAGATAATAGGGTACTTTAAATTGTTATAAATAATTTTTTAAAATTAATATAATACCTATAAATAAGAAATTTAGTAAACCTGATTTTACAATAATTACAGTAATGAGCAAAGCAGCCCTATCCTCTTAAACATTTACAGGCTTGGAAAGAATTGTTTTGTGAAGGGTTGTATGTTAATTAGAGACTTGTAGCACATTAAACATGATGCCTTACAAACATATGTTTTAGTTTTTTCTTTTCCCACTTTGACACATTAATATGATAGTAACCAGAATTAGTAACATAGAAAGCCAAATTTAATAAGCCAAAGTCAAATTAGACTAAATCAATCAAATATATTCCTAATTTTAAAAAAACTTATATTTGCTGCTATATATTTTAAAATACTACTTAAAAATACTTGTCTATTGCTTTTTCACCTATTGCTCTTCTTTTTCCATCACTGAAAATCAGGGCCAGTCACTGTGATTTTATGATTGCTCTTCTAAAAGTTTCACAGGATAAAAGCACTTGACCTACATTTTCCTTTAGGCTCTTCCTTCTGAAACCTGAAAAAAAAAAATCAGAGTTCACAGTAAGAACAATAATTGTTCCTGCACCACCTATACCTTTATTCTCAAGGTTCTGCAATCAACTGTGATAGCATTTGAAGATACTAATCAGTCAGACTCTGAGATAATTGATTCCAGAAAAGATGCATGAATGACTTCCTTTCCATTTCTTTATATCTGTGTGTAGCTCCAAATAGAAAATTCAGTAACATCAATGACCCAAAACTCCTATGAATAGATGTGTTAACTCATAATATATAAAAAAGTAGAAAGCATGATGGAATTTGTGTTATACCATTAACATTTACACTTGTTTTTGAGAGAGGCTCTGGTTCAAGACACACTAGGCACAAAAGTTCTCTCCTTTCCTATCAAGAACCAAAGAACTTGAGGGTAGTGAGGATCTGGCTACAGGCTCTCCCACAGTTCTTTTTTGATTAGACCCTTTGATATGCCAACTTGAACCCTAAGAAGACCAGCCTAGAGATCTACATCTGAGACATAACAGAGATTCATGTCTCATCATGTACACAGGAATCACAGACCAGTATAAAATATACAGAATCTAGGTCTGCATAAAATATAGGTAATGAAGTTTTCTTACTTCTTCCATGTAAGTCTCCTAATGAAAGAACCTCAGGGTGCCATGTACACTCTCTTGTATACTACAAGCCCAGTTTAATTTTGGACATAACATTCTCATGAGCAGCTAATAATGTGTTGTCTATATTTTATTTATTTTTGTATTCCCAGCCCTTAATGTAATGAGTGCCACATAGTAGTAACATAAAGTTTAGGCAGAACTGAACAAAATAGAGATGTTCGCATATGCTATGGAATCACAAAGAATTAAAAATTACAAATATCTCTGCATTACAAAATGCCACCCAATCAATGAAATTATATTTATAAAACCCAAGGTATAAATTCTTAGCTGGAACATCCTCCCTAAAGGGAGAGTGAGTTATGATTTTTGAAATACTTGGGAGTAAATATTTTTAAAGTAGTCCTTATTTTATATGAAACAATCATATAGAATACTTGATACTAAAGTCAGAAGTAGAAAGAAAATCACAATGGAAATTCATAAAACCCACCAGTTTATGTAGATTTATTTATTTATTTATTTATTTTGACATTTTTTTTTTCTCCATGAAATCTCTGTTGCACTTGGAAAGGCTGTTACCTATCTTTAGGCAGGAACTTAGTGGTGTTCTTAAAAGAAAGATTGTCTCTGGGCACACAGAGTGCTTAGTTTGCCAGGATGGTTGACCTAACAATAAGAGTCTGGATAATTACACTCACAGTGTATTCAGCCTTATAATTCTCTGCATTGACAGGAAGGAAAAATAAATGTTTTCTGAACCAGTTGTCAAAAAGTTGCTCTCTTCGAACAAGCATAGTTTTACCTTAGCGCAGTTTTGAAATAGAAGGTAATACACTTTAGAATTTTCTTTACTAAGGTCATTTAGAATTAAGACAGTTTCTTGTCTGTCTGGACTTGTTTAATTCTGGCTTTACAAAAAAATGAGACAGAAGGTAGAATGCCATTTAGACAGCTTTTTCTACCCCAGTATATACATGACATTGTACCACCTATATCTCCCTTCAAGGTAATTTGTTGCCCAGATACACAGTGCAGTTGGCAGATGGCTTTCATCTGTCCCATCATTTAGGGTCTATCTCAGCTGCACTGACATACCTCAGCCTGATGAGGAACAACTCGGAGAGGCATGAATCACTGCCAGGTTTCCCTCTGAGTTAGCCAAGGCTTTGGAGAGCCTTCATCACAACTTCGCCCTCTGTCCAACAGTTCTTCTTCTTTCCTTTCGCAGGTATTGATACGTAATAAACCTCTTGAACCCTATAGTGTCTCAGCTTCCATTTCAGAGAAACTCAAATTGAGATCAGAGATATCAAAACTGGCCCAATAAAGTGGACAATAAGATGAGGTTTTTGGATTAATCAGTGTCCTGTTAAATGAGGACCCTGTCACTGGTGGTAGGGGGAACACACATTGTCCTGGATGCACAATGGTAGTCCAGCTGTTAAAATGTTTACAGGGGTGAGTTGGGATGGTGCTGGTAGGATGGGATACACTGATGAGTTTTAGTATAGAATGGCTGTTTATAAATGTTATTGATGCATTGCATAAAGATAAAGAACAGATGAGGGTGAGTAAAAGGCAATCGAAAAGCAAGGTGAAAACCAAATGATCTTGGTTGCATCAAAGCTCTCATTTCCTGCAACAGAAGAGCAAAGGAAGCCGAGAACCATGTCTATGATATAAATGTTGGAGTGACAGAACTGCAAAGATAGTTAAATGACAGATAAAGTCAGGTCTATTATGCCAAGGTCAGGACCTTTGTTAAGACATTTTGAGATTTTGCTATTTGGGTGGATGTCTCCGAATGGGATGATGATGTCTGAGTGGATTTCTCTATTATATTTTAACTCCCCATTCTCCTCCCAAATTTCTGAGCCTGAAGAAGTGCACACACGTGCACACATACACACAAATTCATACACACACACACACACACACACACACACCACCTCTTATCCTCATGGTGGAAGAAAATGCAGAGTCTGTAAGATAACAGGTCTTACCTTCCCAGGATTTGACCTCACCTCTACCCATGGCCTCTATGCTAATAACTGGGGTTAAGTTACAATGTGACCTTCCTGGGGCATTGTTGGGTTTGATGGTAGGGGGAAGACTATATCACAAAGTAATTGGAAGACCTAGCTGTCACAGAATGGCAGGGGCCAGGAGAGTGAAGAAAGAAATGGATTCTGAAGATGCTTAATAAAGGTCATTTGAATATACAATTAGGTCAGGAAGAATGCATTTATTTTGGAGGGCACCCGGAAGACACTAGATTTAACACTTGGCAAGGAGTCAGGGAGAGGTGGCAAACTTGCTACTAGGATGATGTTAAGCATAGGAAAAGTGATGACCCATAGAAAGGAAGTTGAAAGGGCAGAATTGCCACCGCAAATAGTAAAGGAACAGATTGAAAGGGGTGGATGTTTGGAAATAGATATACAACATATGTCCCCAAAATCCTCCAGATGATTGTATTCCATTGGAGACACCACCCATATCAAGGCCATAAGGAATGCAATGGTGACAGGAGCATGAGTATCATTAAAAATGTTAGTGGTGGCCTCTTCTCTGGGCCAGTGTTGGTGGTAGGAGAGGCTGTTACAGAACTTGTCTCACTGATATCACTGGGGATAAAATAACCCCCCAAAAGTAGAGGCCAGATGATATTGCTTCAGAACAAGAAGGCAAGGTGTTATAATGAATTATAAGTTTGGAGTGACAGCCAAGGTTTTCTGACCTGTAGAGAGAGTTACTGACATGATTAAAAGAAAATCATTTACTGAGAGGCAAAAATAGGTAGACACCCTTGTCATCAGAGGAAATAAGAATGAATAAGTAGCTTACAGAAGTCACCCCAATAAAAATTATGGTTCCTTTTACAATTTTAGATTGAACCTGTTTTCAGATATGGAATTCATTGACTAATTTTTTTCCAATTTTTTATGAAGAAAAACATCACAGTATTGATTTCTCCACTACTTTTCCAAGTGGCCTATGGCCATTTTCTCAGGTACCAATATATTTTTAAAAGGAGGGTACTTACACATTTGGAGACTGTTGGACACAGGGTTTGAGTTGGCATTGGTAACCAGAATCTTCACCATCATTACAGTCCCATAAGAGAGGTGTCATATGTGGGCTAAATAATAAATAGAATCCTAGTCATGGTTATCCAGTGGTTCCACTGGGTTTACAGATCTACTCAGTCTGTAGTCACCCCCTGGTCTCCATAGGTATATTTTGGAGTTATGTATTTGGCAGCTGGTAACAAAGGTCATGGCCATCCAGTGGTTCCACTGGGTCTACAGACCTACTCATTGACACTTCCCTGGTCTCCCTAGGTATATCTTGGAGTTATATATTTGGCAGCTTGTAACAAGCCTCATTTTTTTTTTTTTTTGCCTTGGCATAAAAGCTATAATAGTGACAAAGTAAAGTGGACACCTTTGAAATTGCCCCACTCTTAGCCATCATGGCTATCATGAAGGCATGATAGAGATTTGTGACCCCAATAATCTAAACAAAGTAGGGGTGTGGTCTCTATCATTTCCCCATTTAATTCCAAATAGATGGATTATGGAAAATGACAGATTACTCAAATTAAGTGAAGTATTAGCCTGACTGAAACCACTATGACAAATGGATTTCTTGGCAAAAGCAGATTAATATGGCCTCAAAAACATGATATCTGGCCTCTGATTTGATAAACACATTCATTTCTTTCCCAATCTGAAAATATTATAGACAATTTTCATTCATATGGAACATACAACAGTATATATTTACTGGCTTGCCCCAAGGCTAAGTTCACACACACACACACACGTGCACACACACACACACACTCTCTCTCTATATATATATGTGTGTGTGTGTGTGTGTGTGTGTGTGTGTGTATATAAAATAGCATAGTCTAAAGAGATTTGGATCATCTAGATATCTGACAGAACATTACATTAGTCCATTATGTCAATGGCATTACGTTCATCAGACCAAGTGAGCAAGACAATGCTAAAGATCTCAATAAAATACACATACTCCAGAGGGGTTGGAAATAATTCTACAGAGAGTGAAGAGCCCAACACATCCATACAACTTTTAAAGGCCCAGTGGACAGGTGTATGCTGAATCATCCTCTCCAAAATAAGAGAAAAATTATTGCATTTTGCACATCCTACCATGAACAAAGAATAGTACTGGTACATTTTTTAGATTCTTATGGCAGCATCCTACACAACTAAGAATACTGCTCAGGCCCACATACTGCATGAAATGAAATGCTGTTAGCTTTGGAAAGATCTTACAGCAGAAAACAGCCCTACAGCAGATCCAGGTTACAGTGAAAGTAGCCCTGACACTAGAGTCTTATGGTTTTGCAGACCTTGTGGTACTGGAGATATAATGGCTAGTAGAAAAGAGGCAGTGTGGAATTTGTGGCAAGTCTCAGTGTAAGAATCATAATGTGGGCCCCTGGGATTCTGGAGTAAAGCTATGCCATTTTTCAGAGAAAATCATATGCCTTTTGAAAAATTCCAAGAGTTCTGGAGCAAGATCATGTCAAATAAAGCAGACAATTACATATCTTTCAAAAACAACTTGTGGAATGCTCTTAGGCTCTACTATAGACAGAACAGCTGACCATGTGTCTGGACCTGCTTGTCAAGAGCTGGGTCTATCAGCCAACAAATTTATAAGTGATGGGCCTAGCAGAAATTCAGCATAAGACGGAAGAGGTATATCCCAAATTGCACACGAGAAGGATCACAGGGCATAAGAAAGCTGCATGAGTAGGAAACCCAGACAACAATGGCATCCACCATCGTTGCCCTAGTGCCTGCCCTTGAGTTCACAACTCTGGCATAGTTGGGTCCCCATATGACCAGCTGAAAGAAAAAAAAATTCAGACTATGAATGTGTTGGCTTAATATGTGGGTGCAAGCCAAAAATGGATTTTAGCTGCACTGTAACCTCACTTAGAGATGGCCTTGAAAGACTGCCATGAATCCTTCCTATGGGCATAGCTTCATAACTTTGGGCAGTGTCCCTGGTCCTATACTTTGTGTTGAGAAAGAAGCTTCCTGAGATTAGAATATATAAGCACTTATGAGTAGCAGTGAATGGCCTAGAAAGCTGATCAGGGCCCTGGAAGGGAAAAAAATGCAAGGTCAAGTATAAGCACACATCTTGAATAGCATGTGATTAAACATGTGAGAGTTGGCATGAAGTGCAGATTTTTATGTTACATATTAGTGGCCACTAGAAAGCATTAACCATAAAAGAGCACTAAATAAACACCTGATATTGTCTGTGATTTTTGGCAACAGCCACCTCAAAGTGGATATAATAGGTATATAAATGGGGTGACTGTGGTGGTAGATATAGAAACTATGCATGGATCCAACAACATGGGTTTCAGACTAGCAAGGCTGATCTAGCTTCTGCTACCAACTAATGTTCCACCCACTGGCAACAGAGAACATCTCTTATCTTCCCACATGACAAAATTTCTTGAGGAGACCAAACGGGCTCCATTCATACTAGAAGGTCCAGTCATTTGTTCTCATAGGAATAGACAGCTATTAGAGTATGGATTTCCCTCACTTGCTGACAGAACTTCGGCAAACACAACTATGTAAGGTCTTATGGAGTGACTGATCTTTTGGAATGGGTGTCCAAAGCATCACACCAGAAAAAAAAAAAAAAAAAAAAAAAACAAGAAAACACTTTACAGCAAAGAAGGTGTGGTAGTTAATGATGCCCACAGGATCCACTGGATGTATCACTTCCTCCACTACCCAGAAGTGCTGGTCTGCCAGAGTGATGGAGTGGCTGTGAAGGTACAAATAGAGAACTACCTGAGAAGCATTATTCTGAAGAATGGGGTACCTTCCTCCAGAATGCAGTATATGCATTAAAAATTTTATATGGCAAAGTGTCCCCAATAGGATAAATACACAGGTCCAGAAATCAAGTGGTGAAATAAGCGATCTTGTTTATCTTCACTCCTGATGACCCACAGGGGAACTTTGTGCTTTCTGAACCTGCAATTTGTACTCTGAAGGGTTAAATACTCTGCTCTACAAAGAGGTAACCTTTTACTAGCAAATACAGCAAAAGCCTCATGGAATTATTAACTATAGCTGACTTGATTTGGCCAACGGATGTTTCTATCCTAATCTGAAAATTAGGGGCTCGCTGTTTGCAAGGACTGGCACTTTCTCCTCAGGAAGAGAAGCCCACAGAAATCCTTGAGGAGTAGCTTTCTGGTTGTATATGGAGAAGAGGATATGAGAAACCCCAATTAGGACTACTGTAGACACAGAGATTAACTACTCAGATCTCTTCTCAAAGAAGAACTTGTTCCCAGTTGTAGGGAGTGCAGTCAGCAGACAGCCTCCAGCTCTCATCCCCTTCAATGGCTGTCTCATCTACAGAGAGTCACTTGAAGAGACATTATTGTCCCAAGAATCTCACACCTGCTGACTAAGCGTGGTGAAGATATAGGGGCCTAGAAATTCTGACCCAACCTGTGCCAAATGTGGGGATGATGCTCAGAGTTCTCCATCAGTTAGGCTAGGTGTTGTCAGGCTTGCTTCACAGTTCATCTACTCCTCTTGCCCAATCCTGCTTCTTCCTTTTCCTTTCACAGGTGTTGATAACCTAAGCAACACCTTGCAGCACAAACTCTGTCTCCACTTCTGCTTACAGAGACTCAACCTACAAAAACTTCCAAGCCAAATCCTCCTTCTGTGATTATTAATACTTACATTTCACCACTCCTTAACTCAGCATTTCCAAGAGTATCTTTCTAGGAAACAAGATCCCATCAGAAATTAACTTTTATTCTACCATAATATAAATTCATGATGAAATAGCTTGATAAATGATTAGTAAGACTAAGATAAATGGACTTTCTTACTGTATCACCAGACCATTTGACCTGCAAAGGTACTTATCATGAATGAATATTTTCCATCTTGTGAATCCCTAAAACATCAATCCTCCTCCACCCATTGCCAGTGATAAACTCTTTGGAAAATAAGAGGTCATATGGTGAATTTTTCTTATATCTTTCCAGAAGTAGAAGAAGTAAGACTTCATAAGTACTATAAATCATCAAACTAACTAAAAATTAAAATCACTATTTGTAACAAGAGTTATAAGGCTACATTATAGCAGCTATTATTTTTACCTTTTGGAGACCAAATAGAAAGAGTGAGTGATCTGAGCATAAAGGAAGCTTGAGGGAAATTTAAATAGTTTCTTATAATCTTTTGGTATTATATATCTTCATTGATAGGAGATAATTTAATTACAAAACATGATTAGATATCCAATCAATTCTAATGCAATCAAAGTTTTTAAAATTGCATCTTTTAGAACATGAGTTACTTAACAAGTTTTCAGTAGAAGATTGCTATTTTGCATATACTCTTAAAATTGCAAAGATTCCATCATTCATGTATGGTTTTTAGTGCCCAAATGAAAGCCATCTGCCCTTTAGTTTTGAAAGAACTAATAGATAGAAATTTTATACTTTTTACAAGGACATCCACCCTCATATATACTTTTTGCTGCCCAAATCATCTGTGGTTGGCTAAATGGTTAGCTTAAGCCAATCATATTCTCCTTGCCACTCTACATTTAGAAAGGGGCATATAACCAAATGCAAGACAGCACAATGTGAGAGAAGTTTTCTGTGGGACTTCTGGAAAGTAGATCCTCATTGCTAAGAAGAAGACATAAGAAAATATGAACTCTTCCTTCTAATAGACATTCCCAACTCTAGCTGTATCACCTGCAATTGGAGTAGAGCTAACAGAACTGCAGAGAAACTAAGTCACAGCTTCCATATTTTATACCTTGATCACGTCTTACACCTTGACTTCTTCTGACATGAGATAATACTTTTCTTATTAAGACTATTTGTACTGGGGGTTTCTGATACATAGAGCAAACTTGTCTTTGTTGATAGGAGGTTTCTAATTCTTTTAAAAAGAAATCTTAATGATCAAAGACTGATAATTTTCCATGATAAAAACTGGTAAAGTTCATTATAAAGAATAGAATTACTGAATATTAAGATAAACATAGTACATAAATTAATAATTAGGAAGTGGAGTTTTCATAAGAAGTAAGCAAACATACATAAGTAACCTATTGTTGTTTTTCCTTCTGAAGAAAAGAAATTTGTATATTGATAAAGGTAAGAGCAAATTTACGATGTTTATATTTTCAAAAAGTCCTCGATGAGGCACTACAGTATGTTATTATTTTGTTTTATGTATTTATTTTTACAAAATAAGTTATGATTGACCCAGTTTCTGAGTTTCTAAACAAATTATGGGTGATTAAAAACTGGTGATTATTCGCTGAAGATGACAGTGGAATAGGGACTTCAGAGTGGTGATCAATATGACCCCTACTCTAAAGCCAGCTTTCTCACATGATTCTGTATCCCCTTCCTGAACCCTACCTCTTGACTCTAATGCCAGAATATTATTAAGAAAGAAAAAAGCATAAGTAAAGATATGGGGGAAAGTATATATAAAATATGCTTCTCTAAATAGAAAAATGTGACTTGACATTGCCCCAGAATGCATTTAACTTAGCCTCTTTGTAACTGATCTGAATAAGGAGTAACTGATCATATTAGTAGATAGCTGTCTCTTGTCTCTTCTATGAGTAGTGAAATATCTGGTGAAAGTTCTCAAGAGAGTGTGTGAGTAGACAGGAATAGTAGGTGAATTGCAATAGTGATTGTTCAAGGTAATGCATTGGGAGAAAAGTAACTGAAAATTTACTTAGAACAAGATGGCCCTGATTTATCTACTAAAACACAGGAAATAGATTCTAATGCTATGATTTGGCAATGCTCATTGAAGAGCAGGTAGACAGCAGAACCACAGTAATCAGAGGTTGACATGAATTAAAAGCCTACAGCCTCAGCAAATAAACTACCGGAACCAGTTCAGCAATCAGGCAACTGCAATTAACTTTGTAAAGGAGCCAATGAGACCTTTTAAAAAGACACCTCCAAAATTATCGTGATGGCCACAAATCTTGGAGATCTTTCTACACATCCAGCTCCTATGTGAAGATCAGAATATGCCTTATGAATTTGTAGCCTCCAAACAGGCTCTGAGGCAGACCTGTAGCATCTCTGGGAAGATCATAGCATTCTCTGTAACTACCAAAGAAGGAAAGTGACTTGAAGCTGAAAAGCAGATCCATTCTGTCAGCAGTTCATTAAGAGGTTCTTGGTCGAAACCTGTGGTCTATGTGTAGTTTTTCAAATTGACCCTTCCCCATGGAGAATCATGGGTGAGTGTGTGTGTGTGTGTGTGTGTGTGTGTGTGTGTGTGTCCTTAAGCAGTCTTCGGGTTAGCACACAATGTTTTCAGCTAATTATCTTTGTTAGAAATTGCAGTACTAAATCTAGTTCCTTGATTTCTATATTACGTTTTCGTCTCTTCTCCTTCCCTTTTGAAAATGCGTTGGCCACATCCAGAGTCAGAAAAGACCCAGGAGAAGGTGTGCTGAGCCACAGTAGAGAAATTCTCTATCCTTTTATCAGCCAACTCTTATTGGACACCTGTATGCAGGAGTTCACTGTGCACAAGTACAAAAGGACATACTATAGTAATTTTTAGCCCATGTTCTCCGTCTAAAATATCTTTGGACAGTAAACAACCTTATTTTTGTATTCCTTGTCCCTAGCATACCGAGGTATTTTATGAAAGTATATTTTATATTATAATGCATTATTTTATTTTTAACTTTTGTTTTGGATTCAGTGGGTACACTGCAGGTTTGTTACATGAGTATACTGCTTGATGCTGAGGATTGAAGTACAGATGATCTCAACACCCAGGTAATGAGCACAGTACCCCCGAGGTACCTTTTCAGCCTGTGACCCCTTCCCTCTCTCCCCGCTTTAGTAGTCCCCCAGTGTCTGTTGTTCCCATCCTATGTTACTACTGTTCAGATCCCTATGTCCATGTGTACTCAGTGTTTAGCTTCCACTTATATGTGAGAACATGCGGTATTTAGTTTTCTGTTGCTGTGTTAATTGGCTTAGGATAATGGCCTCAAGCTGCATCCATCTTGCTGCAAAAGACATTATTTTTTATGGCTCGTAGTTGAATACATAAATTAATGAAGGGTTCATTTGTTCTCTACGGGATATGTGTCATTTGCGGAGGAGGCATGGGTTCTACCTATAAGCATTTTTTATATATATATTATATATAATATGTGTATATAACATATGTATGTGTATGTATATATGTGATAACTTTATATTTTATTGATAGATTTTATATAGTGATCTATAAATATATGTACTCACATATCCAGTTACTAACAAATATTCTTAATGTTTTTCTATGTTGATGTAATTTCATAGTCTCTACTCACTCTTTACTTCTGAGGATGGTGGCAGACACACAGAACTATCAAGCTGTGAATTTTAGAGGGGACAGGGGCTAGCAAGACACACAAACAGTTGACCAAAGCCTGAAAGGAAGCATGGGACTTAGACAGCAGAGATGGGGCAAAGGCCATTGGATGTCTGTGAAGTGGCACCTGTTGCTGGGATAGAGCACTCTAGGAAAGTCATGAAGAACTAGTTGGAACACTCAGCTGAGGTTATTAAATCTGAGGAAACATCTGGGTGATGATTTTCTTTGGAAGGTATTTTGTGCTAAAAACTTCATCCTTGATTCCTGTGCTAATGTGTCATTCATTTCTGTGAGCAACCTAATAAAAATATATTCATGTTCCAACTTACAAGAGTACTGGAAATATATACATATGTATGTGTATTTTTCCCCAAAATTAGGATTCACTTACACTTAAAATATCATACTAAATTGAGGTAATCAAATCTGTAATGTGACTAACACTTACTGTGAGAATGTTTATCTTCATATTGAATAAAATCTTGCCTACTATCAACTGTCAGCCACTAATTCTTGTTCTGTCCTCTGCTGATACACTGGAAAATATCAACAATTTTTCTACACAACATCTTTTCATCATTTCACAAATATCTACCACATTTATTTTTCATCTCTTCTGTAAACTAACTAAACAAACAATTATTTCACTATGTTGTTTTATTTCTTTCTATGCATTTCAGAATGTTTAGATTTTCCTACACATTTTCATGGGTTCTTCCTAATCCATAAGCAGAATTGAGGATAATGTATAGACTTTCTAATTGGCACATTACATAAAAGAAATTATTCTGAGAGCAGAATCAGGACATTATATTTTTGTTTTGATTTCTTCAAATGTTGGGGCATTGCAGGTTTTATAGTTATGTGGATACTTACTTAGATCTGGCTGCATAAATATTTTAAATCTGTTAATGTTTAGTAGATTTATAATATAAAATTTTAGTCAAGGATTCTTAGAAATTTTTAATTTTGATGAATAACACAACCCCTTATAATTTTATATTATTATCTTTTGGTGTTTACTACTTGGGAACCCAGTAAAATGCTTCCTACAAACTTGTAATGTTATGAACTACAATACATAACTGGTTAGGAAAAAATATGTCAATTTACTCAAAATACTCACATCTGTAGGGCTAAACTGAAATGTTTATATAAATATTTTAAAACAATATGACAATCCAAGAGGATTGGGCTACTGTAAACCACAGGCTTGATTCTTATATGTGAGATATGGGGGAAAGAGAGGCATGGAAGGTTGGGAGAAAAATTCTTCAATGCTCATGCAGTTCTTATAAAGTTTCAGCGAGGCCAGCGGGGAGTCCAGCACTCAAACCCATCTGTTACAGAAATCCTTCATCTCACGGGACTTGCCCTAGTGCTCTCTATACAGAGTTAACGACCCATTGTAGTGGCCTTGGTATAAACAAGGTGGTGAAATCATTGTAGTGGCCTTGGTATAAACAAGGTGGTGAAATCAGTGTACAGCAGCTACGGTCATCAATCAATTATAATCCCCTAAATAGGAGATCTGAGAGGTACATTTTCATGGCCACCAGGTCAAGTCACGTGGACTTTGAATATTTATGTGATGTTCACATTTCAGCTTAAATGGACACATTGGCATTATTAAGTTAATACATAGGAAGAGAATGAGTTGTTCATGCACACTTCAGTATTCTGATTCCTCTTAGGTATATCAACTTTAATTAATCAATCTGGTTTATATGTCATTGAACTTGTTAAATTTGAAACTGCTTTTAAAATTTCATCCTAGCTGTGCTGACAAAATATAGTATCTGCATGTGAAAAGCTAAGCAATAGTTCCTGGGTGATGATTTACCAAGATTGCTATTGATACTCTGTGTTATGAAACAATAGGTATAGAGTATCCCTTAGGAGGACGTTAAACAACACTTTAAGAACAATAAAGCAAATACATTTCCTGATGTAGAAAATTAATAATTAATTATGAGTTATTTAAAGTAAGCACCTTTCAAAGGGAGAAAACGTTCAGAATAAAATGAAAAATAATACAATTTTCTCCATAAAATTAGAGAATAACATTAAATTTTGAAACCGAAATAAAGAAATCATCACTGTAAGATAAGAGATCCTATGAAGCAACTCTTCTTAAGTTTTTTGAATGTGTCACAAGGAATTTATAAATAGCCAGCAGGCAACATGACCAAGGACTCTACTTATTTGTTTCTTACTGAAATGGTCTCAAAAGAAGAATCCAGAAACTTTGTGCTCATAAACATCATAAATTAGGAGACAAAATAACCTAGACAAAAAATGAATATTAAAGAAGTGACAGAATGCTTTATTTGGCTGCTTAGCAAATTGTTAGTTGTGGGGCTCATCTCTGTGACACTGAAGAGACCATCTTATTTTTGTTACAACAGGTTAACTAAGTTTATCTCTGTTATGTGAGTTTTATAACTCATGTAGCTCACCAGTACAGAAAAAAAAAGTCATAAGGCTCTTATGATAAGGTCAATGGCTGTTTTATTTATTATGTACCTAAAGGAGTAAGAAATATTTCTCTGTGATAGTTTTATAATTTGCAATTTCCTAAAAAGGAGTAGGGAGAATTGAAAGGTGTGCTGCTAGTTTTGTGATCATAAGGATGTAAATCAAATAAGGTGGGGTTTTTTTCCACCTTTTAAGAGTTCTTCACAGTTTTCCTTCAGTCATTTTCTGGTCTACCTTATGCTAAAAATTCGTCTTGCAAAAGTCAAAACAGAACTCTTTATTCACTGTACATTTGTTATTGAAGCTATGTTTTTAAGTCTATAAAGATTAATACAGTCTGTCCTTGTTTTATCAACACTGTTGAGAATGACCCAGACATTTGAATGAACCACTATCTTCAGAGATGCTGGTCACCTGGCATTTGGAGACGGCACTGAAGAAGATACCACTAAAGACCAAATATTTTATTCCCATATTACAGATGGTGAAAAACTGCAAAGTTAATAAATTTTCCTAAGGGGATGCAATAAGTTGATGGAGAAACTTAAAACTAAACTCACATGAGACTAGTCATTCTGGTTTCTCTGCTGTGTGTCATAAAAATGCCTTAATATAGATTTCAGAACTCAGCTTTAAGTGCTTGGATTATCAATTCCTCTGCCTTCTTGTATGCATTCTTTAAAAAGAGATACAGTGTCACAGTAATTTAAGTAGAATATTTTATTCATGTTTCACCATGTCTAGTTGTAAGCTCTACTAACTTAGATTTTTCTATTGTGTGACTTATTTTAACTATGTTCAATTGAACATAACTGCTAAAGTTTTGTTTGAATGGTAGTAGCATCAATATCTCATAATGGCTGTAATAAGAATTTTTGTTTGTTTGTTTGTTTGTTTGTGTTTTTTCTGAGACGGAATCTCGCTCTGTCACCCAGGCTGGAGTGCAGTGGCGTGATCTCAGCTCACTGCAAGCTCCGCCTCCCGGGTTCACACCATTCTCCTGCCTCAGCCTCTCCGAGTAGCTGGGATTACAGGCGCCCACCACCATATGAAAATCATTTCATATAAGAGAATTTCAGTTAAATGAGCTTATTTACGTTGATACATCACACAAATAATTGCATTTATGAAGAGAGAAAGTAAGACATTTTCAAGTGGGTTTAACATTTAAAACTTCATTTGATTACCTGTTACTTATGGAGTATACAGTATACTCAATTCACATTCTGTCTAAGTCGGTTTGTCCTCATAAGCTTGGTCAAAGTTTATTTACACCAAATATTTCTGGCTTCTGACTCTGGAAAAAGAGTGGGTGTAAAGAAAGTAGCACAAAGCTCTGTCCGGGATTTACAATGGGTCTTAAACTTATTTTTTAGGGAGGGACTATGATTAGTTTCTTTGACCCAATGAACAATGGATCCCATAGCCTCCAAAGTCTTTAGAGAGAATAACTGGTTCAGAGAACCTCAAGACTAAGGGTTGCTAAAAATCTTTATTAGTTTTGGTATTTTTAAACATTTCCTTATTTGTGGAAAAATGTAGAAAAGGAAATGCCCCTATAGTGCATTTCATTCTTAAGACCTTATTACATTTTTAATGTCTATATTTTTAAATATTATTCTGAGTGCAAAATAAAGTTTCCAGAACAGAGCAGATTATTATTTACTTCAACAAATACTTCAGTTCCCCATGTACCACTGATATCTGCTTTCCAAGACAAAACAATGAGATCCAAATGAGATGTCATCCTATGCATATCGGTTTGTACTGTGGGAGGTGGTTGCACAAGAAAAGGGGAAGGGCATCTATCCCTTCTCCCTTACCGCACTTGGTAATTAATTTCCAAACACAAGAGATAAAATACAATTAGTAAGTTGAGGGCATTAAAACTAGTTTTTTTTTTTTTTTTTTTGGTAATTCGAAGTACAACAAACCATTATAGATTCTCCTTTCTTTCTCTTTCTTTCTTTCTTTCTTTCTCTTCCTTTCTTTTTCTTCTTTTTTTCTTTCTATATTTTTAATTTTAAAAGGTACATTGGTAAAATACTTAACTTTTAAAATATGTTTTCTTTATAGTTGTGAATACGTTTGGTGCTGCTTATGTGTTTCAAAATGATAAAATAAGTATATAGCTAATGATATGTGGATAATGGTTGCTAAACATGAAGATCGTAAGTCTCAATCCAATTTGAGGTGCTATAAAGGACTCTCAAAGATACTTAGACAAATCCATAGAATATATTCATAATGTTATTCTTCTCCACTATTACCACAAAATATAAAATTCTAGCCTAGATTCTAAGCCTTGTGCACTAATATTGGTATCCTGGGAAAAATTGAACCTCTTTGGTGACTTTGATTTAGATTAGAGTTTTTCTCTGTAAACATCACTTCCCTTCCAGCTTTTTATTTTATGCACTGGGAGAACCCCACTTCTCCTGCAGGAATAGTCCTGTAAACCAATTCTCATTTCTAAATCAACTTTGTAAACATAGAAACCAATTATTTGGGGTACAGCACTTAAACAGGGCAACCTGGTCACCTTCTTATGACCACTGTCTAAAACAGGATATTTTAGGCCAACTAAATAGCATGGGTTCTCTGACGCAGAAGACAGCAAATGTGAAGACATATACTCTTTTCTAGACATATCCTGGATCTTTGGATTTACCAACTCAGCAATTGCTATCTCAGTGAAAGCACAAAAGGCTGTTCCCATAATGCTCCTGTAATCTAGAGTTGTCCACTGTGAAAGCTTTTTTAGCTGACACAGAAGATTAAATGCATACTTCTAAACGTTAGCAATTGAGAAAGTTTGGCAATTGGTCAACGCCCAGCCTACTGTTTCTACAGGGATTAGATTGGCAATGACTATTGGGAAATTCCTTTCTTATTCTTTATTAAAAACTGACTTCCAAAGACTGTTTCAGTGAGGGCTCCATCAAAAAAGCAGAACTCTCATGAGTGATACAAAACAAGGGAGTTATTATAGGGAGTAGACCTTACAGAGTTCATGAGAGGCATTTGTCTGTGCATAGGGTGATGGGCTTGAAGTGCCTGTAGATGACAAGGGACAGCAGTCAAGATGAAAAGGTGGATGTGAAGCAGTGGAAAGAAATAACAAACTGCTACCCACAAAAACAAACTGAAACTATGTCCAATTGCAATGAACTGGGTAACCTGAAGAAAAAGCTGGGACTTACCATAAAGCCGCACAGGTACCTGATCCAAGATTAGGAGAAGTTGAAAAGGAATATCTGGTGGAAGCATAGGGAGCTGCAGGCTTGGCTGCTGCCCACATCAAAAATGTGAGTCACCAGCTCACTGACAATTGGCACAAGCTGCAGTGGGGTCTGGTGTCCTATAACAGCCTTTAGTATATGTCTTATGCCCCACTTCTACCTTTTTTTTTTTTTTTTTTTTGAGATGAAGTCTCACTCTGTTGCCCAGGCTGGAGTGCATTGGTGTGATCTCGGCTCACTGCAATTTCCGCCTCCCGGGTTCAAGTGATTCTTCTGCCTCAGCCTCCCAAGTAGCTAGGATTACAGGCTCCTGCCGCCATGCCCAACTAATTTACCTTTTAAACTTTTACAAATTTTGTTTTTCCCCAACTCTAACCTGAAGCCATAAAGAGACAGAGATTCTGGGGGAAGGTTTGGCTTAATCAGGCTGAAACAGCATAAAACATCTAGTTTATCCTTGTTGAAGTGACATCCATGCAATCTTTTATCTATATTTAACTTCCAAATAAAGACATTAATAAAATCTAACTTGATAAAACCATTTGCTATACAACTAAAAATATGACTTTACTAAGTGATAAATTCCTTATGGTATTTTAACAAACTTTGGGAGTTGTTCATTTCTCTTCTGGTTAAGTCACACATACATAACTTAGAAGTTAGAATCTGTTGTTGGCAAATTAAGGCCTGAACAGTGGCTGCAGTCAGATTGGCTTTGAAGAGTGGAAACCGGTGTTGTTTAGCCCGTGCATAACCTCCATCCTTGCCACTATGAAACTTTGTTCAAGAGTCCATTGGGCAAAAAAGTGGTGGCTGAGAAAAGAAGCTGACTAATATCTACAGAATTGATCATTTTGTACATCAGATTGTTAAGGTCTTCATCTGCCCGTTTGCTCTCTGAAGAGCATTTACATGAAGTACACATAATTCTGCTGTCTTTGTCCATTTGGACAGATCTTTCCACATATCTGTGCCCTATAACTCCTTATCACTAAATTACCCGTTGTGTTCCTAAGTCCCTGATTTTCCATAAAATATTTAGTTTATACCTACGAATCAGTGTAGATCTATACTTCAGCCATATCTCCAGGCATATGTCCTTCTACACAGAGTGAACAAACAAATTTGCTACTTTCTATTCACTAAGAGAATTTCCCTTAACCACCCTTCTTTAGCACCCATATGTGGAATTATAATGCTGCTGCCACCCACTTTTGGGTGACGCCAGCATGTCATGCAGAACCATCCATAAACTAGCCACGAGTTTTTTTCTTCCTCAGTAAATGGATATAGAGGGGCCCTCTACGTAGCTAAGTGTTCAAGTTGTGAGCAAGAAAGCAGCATAGAAGGAGGAGGGGCCATGAGCATCTGCACCACGTGCTCATGTAACTTAGTTATGACTTTTGACTTGTTTGAGCTCAGTCTCTTGCCTGTCACATCTGTACAATGATGGAATCCATTTGTGCATGCCCAGCTTTAGGAATGGATATGTCAGGAAACATCTACTTCATGACAGGCAGCTCAAGTCACATCAAAACATAATGGCCCTTGGTAAAACAATCTCTACAATGGCTGGGCAGTAGGCCAGAAGCTATTTCTCAAGAGAGAAGTTAGACAGGATGCCATGAGTTTGTACGAAAACTTAAAGAATTGGCCCTGTGATTCAATTATGGGGTGTGACAATCCTTGCGTCCATGTGCGTGTGCTAGAAACAATGAGAGGTAGGGAGGGTCGGTCCTAAGAAGGACTAGTAGTCTTTTTATAAAACTGTTCAGATTCTTTTTCCCAAGACTGGGGAGAGAGGGCTCCTTCTACTAGCAAAAGATACTTGACAAAATTTAAGGGTTCAAGGACACTAGCTTCAGATTTTCTGACATAGCCTCAACCATTTCCAGGGTGCAACTCTTTCTCAATCAACGCCTAAATCTAAAATAAGCGACCCTATGAAGCTATGAATTCGATTTACTTTAATCAAATCCATTTACTCACATAATTTGAGTCTGGTTTTCATTTTGGTTTAGTTTCATTTCAAACTTTGGTGCTGGAGCCACGAAAGATAAAGTTAAGTTTTGTTTTGTTTTGTTTTGCTTTGCTTTGTTTCAGAGCAGTCATAGGATATTTCTGCTTCTTTACTTGGATCTCGTGGTGGGAATTGAAAGCCTTTAGCTGACTATTTCCTCTCCCCAAGTGTTCTGGCACATTTAGAAGTAACCAAGCAACAGGATCATCTTTATTTTTTATTAAAATGCCCCATGGCAGCAAATACTTGGCCACTCAAAGATTTTCCTTCTATAGGCACTTGATTAAAGGTATCAGCATGTTGTTGCAATTCAATAAATTTTGTGTCACTGCACGTCATAAGCTGATAATGTCCTCTTTACCACTAGCAACAGATTTACTAATGCAGTTAAGTCTGCTCAGGTAAAAACAGTTCCAGATAACCCAGAATCAATTCACATAAGCCATCCATAAGTTATTTCCTCTGGAACCACTTTGCTTAGCTCATTTCTGTACCAATTAAGGTTTCATCAGGAAGTGCATTGCTAGAATGGTATGGAATAAGAGATATTATAATAGAGATTGAACCTTACATAGTTGTAGAGATTGATGAAAAAGTCTACACAAAGCTATTTTCTACATCTAGTGGTGGGCCTTAAATTGTTAAATGTAAGCAGGACCAGCTCTCTGAAAGCAAACCTGGACATAAAGTGTGTTGGGGGAGGTGAGAAGAGTAAGGACAAAGTAGAATCCATGAAGAAGACAAACCAAAACCATCTTCCTCCAGCCTGAAACTCAACAACACAAGTGATCTTCAAAAGAAACTGCAACCTTTTGCCACAGATGATCTTCAAAAGAAACTAAAGTTCAAGCTTCACTTAGGACTCAGAGAAATTGCAAGAGGAATTCCAGGTAGGAACTGAATTACTGCTGGGTATGGCCAATAAGGTGAAAAGGCAAAGTAGCAACCACTCCTTTAAGCTGCAGCTTGTTACCCTAAATCAGCCTTCAAAAGGTAAGGGTTGTTGTTTCACGTCTTGCCTTCTAATTCTCATGCTAGTTTTTCTGGTGGCCAATCCTAACCTAGAAATTTATAGGAAGGGAAAGTCCAAAGAACATAGTTCTAGTTTAGCTAAACAGACACAGTACAAAATTACCATGTGCTTGGTTTTAAGTATGTCCAGCAAGTATTTTTGTCTATTGTGTTTACTTAAGACAATGAAATGCATTTAACAAAGGAACCCTTAAACCCTGTACCATATAATATTCCACAGCAGAGGAAAGCACTATGTTAAAAAAGAGAGAAAAGAAGAGAGAGATTGAGAGAAATTGTTTTCTGAGTTTCTAATTTCATTCCCCGTAAGATCATCTTATTTTATTTCTCATCTTTGCATGTCCATGAAATTGCCTGTTGTATTCTTACCAAAAAAAAAGTTCACAGTCACAAATAAGATTTTATTCCGAAATTCCAAATGAACATAAAAACCTTGCATAAGACCCTGACTGTACTTAATTAGATAATGATATGAATCCTGAATTTTCTTCTTTTCTCTCCTATAAGCTTACACCCAGCCATAAGTGCCAGTTCTCTTGAACTGGAGAGAAAACAAATGTCCTTAAAGGCTTCTGAAGTCCAAGGTGAAGAAAGTGAGAGAAAGATAAGGCGTATGGATACTTTACAGTTTTAAAGGAGAGGAAAAGCCTTTTACAAATATGAAAATTTCTTTAACATCATTAATAATCAATTAACAAGATCTAGTTTACTTTTTGAATGAATGAATGAATAGATGAAAATAATATCAGCTTGATGAATATGCATATGTGTCAATTCATTTCAGAATTCTGTTTTTATAAAGGAAAAAATTATTTTTACTTAATGCTGTGAGTTTTGTTCATCGTCTGTATAAAATAACCTTGTTGTAACTGTCTCCATTTTTCCTTCTTTAGTTTTTCTTTGATACCTTCCCTCTGTGCTCACCTTTCTTTCTCTTTTTCTATTCCTTTTGTGTTTTCTCTGGAGATCTGCTTGTAGAAGATGATGACATGGATAGTGAAGGCTATAAGCCATTACACCACCTTATTCTCACTGAAGTTTTCTCTCTTTGTGTTTCATATCCCATTTCAAATATCCTACCTGCCTTGTCTTTTTTAAAAATTAAACTTTTATTATAGATTAAAGGGCACACATGCAGTTTTGTTTCATGAGCAAATTGTGTGATACCGAGGCTTAGGGTCCCAATGATCCTGTCACTCAGGCCATAAACATAGTACCCAACAGGCAGTTCAGGCTACAACCTCCTCTCTCCCACCCCATCTAGGGATTCCCAGTGTCTACTGTTCTCACCTTTACAATCATACGTGTTAAATGTTTAGTTTTGACTTATAAGTGAGAACATGTGGTATTTGGCTTTCTGTCTCTGTGTTAGGTCACTGAGGATAATGGCCTCCAGCTCCATGTTGCTGCACTGGGCATGATTTTGTTCCTTTTTATGGCTGTGTAGTGTTCTGTGGTATATATGTACCACATTTTCTTTAATCCACTGTTGATGGGCACTAAGGAAACCAAACCGTGAATTGAGTGGGATTATTATAATTTTGAGATTTTAGTATTTACATACTGGAATGCCAAGAGAATACAAACTGAAATAGTCTGTGGAGAAATGCTGTCCATTTCTCCAAATGAAACATAATAATAATAATGATAATTTTATCTTTTTCACTAATTATATGGCACAAATATTAGCTTGAGGAAAGAAGCATCTTCTACAATGTTTATATATACTGATAAAACTTCACAGGATTTGGAATAATTTGATGATCTGCAAGTGTCCTGAAAGTAACATTGTTAAACCTTCTAAGCATTAAATTCACTGCAAAAAGACTGGGCACAAGGCGAATGTTAGAATTAGCATTGAATGAAATTGTAATCATGACATAAAATATAATAAATTACTATGATTAAAGTCCTTTTTAAAGCATCACCTATGAAAGGGGAAAATAAAGTAAAAATTGGCAATCATATGAAAATCAAAGCAATCAATACATTAATTTAGCACTGATATTATTAATATATGGCATTGTCTTAAAATTTACAAAAGTTTTGGGGATTGTTCTTGCCTTCGTCTGGGTTCAATCCACTTAGAAAATACTAACCAGGATTTAGAGCATAATATACTGCAATGTGTTCTTTTGTTGAACAAGTCACTTTGTTAGCTGAGTGATTCCCCTGTATGCTTCTGAATTAATACAACTTACACTGAAGAGAAGATATTTCTATTATTCTGTATCAGAACAAAGTCTTAGTTTTGTTTGCTCCTTGCAATGAAAAAGTTAGGAATCAACTGTGTGAAAATACCATAGATTTGAGTTTATTTTTTTTAAATATTTTTATTTTTCCTTAAAGAGATGCAAGGACCTCAAGATAAAAAGAGGTGGTTTCTGTATAAATAGTTGTGTCTCGGAGGAGCATATCAAGACTTGTCCTCTGCAATCTCAGTGCTAATAAAGTGACACCATTGGTCTTTGATGATTTATGATAATCATTGCATTTCACTTGTCTGAAACCAGCATTGCCATCCATCACCCTCCTCTTAAACAGGAAAAGCTATTTATCAGCTTTGCCTGATGAGGCCTGAGATGACTCAAACTTCAGCTGGCATGTAGATTTCCTGGTGCTTGGACTTGTTGCCTGTGCTTTTACTGAGCAAATATTCAGCAGTTTAGTGTCAGACACACACCCTCATGTGCTATTAATGGGAAATTTAAATTCTTATTTGTTGTTTGGTTCAGGTAATAATTTGTAGTGTGCTTATGTTTATGTATACCTGAAACAAGCCAGTGTTGAATGCAAATTTTAGTATAAAAATTTATGTATGGCCCCTGAATTTCCTAAGCATGGTACAATACAGCAGCAGTGGGAAACTGAGAACAAAAGAAAATTGCATTGTGTTAAAATATAAGGACGGTGTCAGAGATAAGAGGCCCAAAGACTCACATAAGTGTTAAAACATTGCTTTTTGTGTGTGCTTGGAGAATAGCAGGTAGTATCCTTCAGGTTTTTACTGTTTGCGCTATTTGGAGTTGATTTATATTTCTATGTTACTTCGGTGGGGTTACTTTTTTAAGCCGAGAAGTGAAAAACTCCTGATAAAATGAAAGAAATTGATTCAGCAAGTTTTTTAAGAGCAAATACTGTTTGTTCAACATTGTGTTAGATTTGAAGGGGACTGTAAATACGGTATACCTGTGAGAAATCTCCTGCCCTTTAAAGACCCCACAAATCTGGGGACAATCAAAGTTAATAAACATGAATATACCAACTTAAAAATAATCAAGGAGCTAAATGTGTGGTTCTGAGAAAACATATGCTTTCCTCAAGGGAAGCTTCCAGTAGGACATTAACACTGAAGTTTAATCAGCTGCAGGGCCAGATCAAAGATGACTGAAGTCTACACTTAACACTTCCTTTTGGAGTGTCATGTCACAGCTATCAAAAGTGAGCATAAGCAGAAGAAGAAACAAGCGAAAGTCTCAGCAACAGGACAGAAATGACATCGGGACATAGACCTCTTTAATTTCTGTGGCTTTCTTTTCCATGACACCTCCCACTTTGGACACTGTGCTGGATGCATGCCCATTTAGGCCACTGCTATCTTCTCCCTTCAGACATGTGACCAATTCCTGGAAGTTCCTTTTTTGATCAGGGTACTTCCTCAGAAGGACTCCCCCAAATTGCAGGCAACTGCCATTGTTCTTTTCATGTCCTCTTCAATATCCTTTCCCTAATAATTCTAATTTAAGAAATTTTTTTTCCTCAGGTAGTGCCCAATAAATATCTATTGACTAAGATGTTTAAAGGAGTGAAAAGTCTTCAATATTATCAATAGTTTTATTACATTTTCTTCCCTTGTGGGTCCATAGTGCTCTAGGATTGAACGTTTCACTTTGTGTTGGGAATCAGAATGCTGGTTAGGAGAAAACAATGAAGTGGGGATATAGTAGACACCAAAGTTAGATTCTCAATGCCAGGAGAACCTCCTAGAAGTCTGGATTTCAGGTTGTGACAAAACTTTTTCTACTTACTCAAAACTCCATTTGGTGGAACATACAGTTGCAGTAGATGCGGTTGGTGCCTTGGTTAGATGCTATTTCCCAGAAGTCCTCAGTGGCATCCTTCTCATGAGAATGGTCTATAGTAATGCCTCACCCAGAAATGCTGGGAGACTATGCTCCCCTCTCACGGTTGGTCTGCAGCCAATAACTAATTCACAGGAAATACAAAAACTGCCTTAATTGCCTCAAAGAGAGATAAGTCTGCAGTGCCATTTATGCTCCAGGGTTCTCTGTAAGAGCAGGCTGAGGTTAGACTTTAGATAGGCCAGTGATTCTCAAATTTTAGTGTGCATCAGAATTACCTGAAGGGCTTGTTAAAGCAGAGATTACTGGGTCCCATCCTCAAATTTCTGATTCAGTAGATCTAGGCCTGAGAATTTACATGTTAAAAAGTTCTTAGGTGATGCTGATGCTGTGGGTCTGGGGACCACATTTTCAAAACCACAAAGCAAAACTCACATCTTTGCCTACCTTCTCCCCATGTTCCACCTGCTGCACTAAGTGTCATATTTTTCACCTGAGAGCCCCCTCTTGCTTCATTTGCATAAAAATTTATATCTGAGGCTCTGCTTCTAAGGAACCTTACCTAAAACAATAGTCTATGCTGAATTAGACCTGTATGAATTTAAAAGAATGTCTTTTTGCATATGTAAATGTGTATACATGGTGAAAAGCAGGAAAAAATAGTGCCATCTATATATATTCAGAGCTATATCTGCCCTTTGTACAAATGACATCAAGTTAGTAATAATAACAAATGTTTCACTCGCTTAATGTTTCTCCTTCCTGGAGTTGTTTCTGTGAGTCCTTCTCAGTGGCACCAGCACCAGTGCACTGAAGCATCTACAGTTGCTAAGGAACATGGAGCTTAAAGAAAAGTGTGGGAAGGGGAGATAGGAGCAAAAGCCTCTCTCCCATTTGTGCTAACTCTGTGAGAAGGATCACAAAGCACTGTTACAGGTGACTCCACATTTCACGGAGCTTTTTGAAACTGTTCTTGCAGAAATTAATGTCAGCCTCATTTTCCTCAATCCTGGAGATCAGTCAGGGCAAGAACACAGAAAAGTCACCAACCTACTCTCAAAATTCTTCTTTTCTCTGACAACTAAACCTTTCTTCCTGGATCAGGTTTTTTTTGCCTCTTATTTTTTTAATTTCAGGTTGAGTTTTCGCAGTGTCCTTCATTGTTCATGTGTTTCTTACCCATGAATTATTGACTTATGGTAAGTTCCTGATTAAAATAAACATAAAATGAGAAGGTAAAATACATTATGTTAAAAAAATATAGATAGATAGATAGATACAGATGTAATTCCTAGAATACCAGAGCTATTTTACATCATCATCTTGGTTGTCAGTATCATCCTTAATGAGTAAAACATGAGTTTTCATACTCCATAAGGCAGCTCACTACTTATGTTCCCTTCCCATATGACTGCCTCATGACTCTGTATTCACTCCAAGCATATAGTGGCTTTTTATAGATTCCACATATAAGTGATTTTATGCACTTTTTCCTTTGTGTATTTGAGTAATTTCACCTTCCATAACATCTTCCAGGTTCATCCATGTAGTTGCAAATGGCAGTATCTCCTTCATTTACCAGGGGCAGGAAGAGGGAGGAAATTAGAAGTAGATCAAAGGGTACACACTTGTAGATATGTAGAATGTGTAAGTCTAGAGATCTAAGGCACAGCATGAACATTATAGTTGATAATATTTTATTGTATACAGAAAATTTCCAGAGTAGATTTTTGGTGCTCTTACCGCAAACGTACAAAAGGTAACTATGGAAAGTATCGGATAAGTTTATTTGTTTAACTGTAGTAATTATCTTACCATGATTATGTATTATTACACAACCATGTTGTACACCTTAAATACATACAAAAAAATAAATTTAGAAAAATAATAATTCCTTTAAGCCAAAGACAACACTTAAAAAATTAAAGAATGCAGTGGCTAAGATAATAAATCTCCCTCTCCGTGCATAGCAAGGACTCTTAGAAATTAGTTTCTTCTACATTAAGGAGAGGCCTGGACCAGCAGAAATAAGTCCTGAGCTCATAAGGACTATGGAGAAATGACAGAAACCTTAAAAAAATGCTTAAAATCCCCATTAGCATTAGTTGTTCTTTTTTAAACTTTACTTTGGCTCCTTACTATAAAACTTTCCTCAGGACAAATATTTGGGCACCAAGAACATAGCATCAGTTAAACTCCAAATTAATTCACATATATTTGGTTGCAGAACTTTTAAAACTTCAAACCACTTCGCCCGTGGCAATAAAGTAGTCTCTAATTCCACTCTAAGAAATCCACTAAAATCACTAAGATATGCTTACTACAAAATACAAGGGGCCTCGGAACTGACGTAAATGGTATAATTCAGAACATGATTACATATAATTTTGTTTCAGTCATCCTTAAGCCTTATCCAGGATTGGAAGATCCAGGCATTCTATGATATTTGAAGTCTCTAATCAGGTAACAAATAGACTAACATTCCTGAACAACCTGCTACATAAAAGAGAACTCTTTCACTACTTGTGATATTTAGCAGTTTTTATGTCTTCACCACCAGCATTCTTGCTCTTTTTGTTTAAATGAATTTGTGATCATATACTGCATTGATATAGTAAACATTATAGCCTATAATAGTTGACTATGCTGTCACATAGATTAAAAGTCTCTATAGTTTAGAATTTAGAGAAGCCAAATTAGGGTGTCATGAAGTAATTCATACAATAAAAGTAAAAATTTAATAAAATATCATATTAACACATATTTTTTTACATTTTCACAAAGTTTGTGTAAAACTCAATTTTTCCAACCATGTACATGAGCACAAGCCTGTTACTTTTAGTCTTCACAATCTCAGACTCTTTAGGTGTTAAGTTCAAGTAAAAACCATTCTGTATTACCTTATTTTGTATTTCACAGGCTGAAGGGGCCACACTTTGTTTAATTGAATTACATTATAAATCCAATCTCTATAACCTTATTACAGATTACGATATGCCAGCCTAGGGACTATACTGGAGAAGAAGTCATAAAAATTATAAAAAGCATGACGAAGTAACTAAAATGTCAAGTTAGCTCTAGTTGATTTGGGAAATATTTTGATGTTCCAGTACACTAATTCAATGAAATATATCTTATGTTCATCATGACTATTCATAAACTTAAGTTCAGGGAAACATGAATTTTCCCTTTTACAGAGAAAGATTGAGGGATTAGGTTTCAGGACTGGCTACAGAGTGGTGAGACATTATCTCATGGCTTACTGTGATATAAGTTTCACCAACTGAGGTAAAAGCTATTCCCTAAACTTTGAAACTACCCTCATTTTATTTAATTTTGCTTAAATTTGCTTTCATTTTATATGCGTTGCTACATAAGTATATATGACAAAGACTTTTGATTTCCTCTCTTCTTCAATAGAGTTATCCATGAATAGACTTAGGAAATATCTGTAGGTGTATGAAAAGCCTTTTAAACACTTTACTTCTCCTATAATTTATGAGTATACAGGCAGAATTTTCATTACAAACTTGAATTCACAAAGACTCTTTAGATAGGATTCAATAAAGATGAATGGACAATTGTTTATATTGAAAAAAGAGAGAAACATAATGGTGTGGAATCAGACCTGGACCTGATATTGGTAAAGCATATTGTGTTTTATGATTTCAATAAGCCCAACTATGATAATGGTTCTCTATGTGGTGGTGGCAGTTCATGTGGACTTCAGTGGTATCATATTTTATTATTTAGACTCATGGTTAATAAACTGGAATATAATTAGCTTGTTTGAATAAAAAACCTCCTTTTTTAATTGTTTCAATTTTAGTTATAATATCAATTTTCAAGCTATATGTAATGTCAAAAATAGCTAATTTTGAAAATGATGACTTCTTACTGCAGCTCATAGTTTTATTTTAGGAGATGCTTGAATATTTTCAAAATAAGAAAAATATGTCATCCTAAAAATAATTTATAAATAGAAAAATATTTTGTTTAATTCTAAGGATAGTTTATAATTGATAAAAAATTATTGGCATGGATTATTGTTATTGTATTATTTCCTTGAAAATTACACAATCAAAATAGTTAAAGATAATAAATTATATAATCATATCAAGAATTGATTCCTTTTTTCAAAGAAAATAAAATATTTTAAGATCTCTGCAAAATGTTAAAATGATCTTATTTAAAATTCACTTATTAAATATTGACCATGTACTAAGCACTGACACAAAGATAAAATGGTGAAAATTTGTGGTCTCTGCTTTCCATGAGTTTTCAGTTAAGTGAAGGAGAATAAAATAACCTGAAAATGGAGCAAGTTAACTAATAAAGTAGGGTAATGTGCAGTGAGGCACAAAAGAAGAAATCATCAGAGATTTTCTGGTAAATTTAGAGAAGACTTCACAAAGTAAATGAATGACATTTGTATTCAGAGAGGCAGCATGCGTTAAAGTTAGAAAAGCCTAGATTCTGGTTCTTGACAGCTTAGGTTAGATTCTCTGCTCTACCACTTACTAGCTGTGTGATGGGCTAACTTACTAATCCTTATGACACTCAGTACTCTGAATTAAAGAAACTCAGATAAAAATAGTAATACATTAGTTAAAAGAATAGTTATACAATAGTTGTAAGAATAGTTATTACAAAACCCCTCATGAGTTTTGTAGGATTAAATGCATATATAGATACATATAAAATATGTAAGACAATGTCTAACACATAGCATTAAGTGTTTGATATTATTATTATTTGAGGGATATGGAACAGTTTGGTGTGCAAATAATTGTAGGAAAATATTCCAAAGAAAGGCAACAACATAAACAAAGATAAGAAGCAAAGGGCTGATATGAAGGATCTAAAGATCTGTGCAGAAGTTTGAGATATTTATCTTATGGGTGTCCAGGAACCATTGAAAAATTTTAATAAAAAATGTAGATGTGAAGAAGCTCATTGTAGGACCATTTTGAAGCAAAAATTGGGGGCTGTTGAGAGGGTCCAATTAGGAAACCATAATGTAGCAAAGGGATCTGAATTAGGGAAGTAGGGAAGAAAAATTAAGGCGGGGGGGAAAGAAAATTTAGCAGATAGAATAACAACATGATAACTCTTCAGAACCGGGGCTAAAGAAGAAAGAAGGATGTAAAATGGATATTTTTCCTGACTAAATTCATTTTATTAGCACGAATAGAAAACTATAAGGACTATAAATAATGAAATAGAAGTTTAATTACTAAATTAATGAGAAAAAATAAAATTGAGGCCTCATAATGTTTCAAATGAAAGAAAAATAAAGGAAAGTGCATTAGTTAGCTAATCCTGCCATCACAAAATACCATAGACTGAGTGGTTTAAAAAACAGAAATGTATTCCGTCACATTTCCAGCGGCTGGCTAGTCCAAGATCAAGGTGCCTGCTGATTTGGTTTCTGATGAGGGCTGTCTTCCTGGCTTACAGAAAACCACCTTCTCACTGTGTCATCAAATGACAAGGAGAGAGAACTCTGGTGTTTCTTTCTTTTCTTATAAGGCACAAGCCCTGTAGAATTAGAGCCTCACCCTTACAACCTCATTTAACCTTTATCATGTCCTCACAAGCCCGTTCTCCAAATACAGTAACGCTGGAGGTCAGGGCTTCACATATAAACTTGCAGGAGATACAGTTCCATTCATAACAGAAGGACTGACTGAACTGCCTATTTAAAATTAGGACCTCTTTCTTTTTTAATAATTAGTATTTAGGTAAAAACGGTGCATTGGTTGGAAACTTTATTCTGGAACCAAGTATGAGTTATGTAATTTAATAGTTTATCCATGTAGTTTAAGCATTTGCATGAATTCAATCATATTGTCCAGTTGGGGCATTGCAAAAAAAATGACAACTTAAAATGCTAATTTACAAATCCAAAAATTTTAATTACAGCTGCAAAGAAGGAATTTGTCAGTAAACACCATGATTCATAAATTCAGGAAGTATTGAATTGGAAAGAATACTTGAATGTGTCAAACTCCCTGTCTGCCATTTTACAATAGGAGAGAGGCATGAAGAAGCTAGGTCATGATCTAATCACATAGCTTGTTGGTGGCAGCGTTAGAACCAGCCTTAGAAACAGAATTTATTTTCTCCTAGTCCAGTGTTTTGGCCAGCATACCACATGTCATGAAACTCTAGCTACACTAATGGATATTTTGCTATGAAATTGATATTCCCTGATAAGAATTGCAAGTGCTAGCTAAAATATTTGTTCTAAATGTTCTTTAAACTTCAGTTCCTTTGCTGAGTGTCTTATAAACCAAATATCATCATTATAATGTTGATTTAATTATTTATTTTAACATCACTATCCAGGGTTACTACATTTCTCTAATATAATATAAGAAAGATGTTAGACCTAACTGATAACACTGACATTAATATGGGTCATATTTAAATGCTTTGGGAAGTAAAAAGATATACCTCCTCAGAGGATCACTTGAGCCTGGGGAGTGGTGGCTGCAGTGAGCCGAGATCACACCACTGTACTCCAGCCTGGGCAACAGAGTGAGATGTGTACTGCCTCATGTTGCTTTTGTGTCTCGCTGTATGTATTTCATGAAATTGCTGACATAGCCCATTGGGAATTAACTTTCCTCAATGAAGAATCTACAGTGAAAATTGAGCCAGCCTTCTATCATTTGGTGCCTTCTTTTCTGAGCAATCCTGAAACTAGAATTACAATCAAATCATTTCTTGTTATTTCTTTGGGAACAGAGAAAGCAAGAAAGAGAAGTAGGTTTTGAACTCAAAACTATTTTAACTTGGCAGCATTAAATGTTTCAGTTTTCCTGTAAAATATATGTGAAAAAATAGGTGACATTTCTGATTTAAATTAAATATAATAGAACCTTGTATAAATAAAGGCAAGGTATAAGCACTTCCAAGATTCTTCTTCTTGTATTTGCTTAATCTAACTAGATGCCTAAACAAATATCAGCGGCCCCCAGTCAGGTGTTTGCTGGAGCCAGCTTGCACTAGCTTGGAGAGTTGATTGTTGATCATCTTCTCCCAACTTTTTTCTTCCTAACTGCACTTTTATTGATGACAAGTTGGTAGCTTGGGATTGGCTATAGTAGGAGTATTTGTACATGAACACCAGCAGTTGCTACAAATTAGGATTATATTATTGTTTATTTTTTCTGGCATAGTGCTGAACATATTTTGTCTCAACTTAACAATGGACTCAGAATTCTCTAATTTAACACAATATTGGCTTTCAATACATTAAGAAGAAAAGTTTCATCATCTATTTACAATGCTATCATGGAAACCAAAGCTGTGGAGACTTTTCTGTGTTTGGGACTTATGAAACAATATCACGATCTTTATCTTCCTTTACTTTTAGAACCATCCATCCTATGAAAATAAGACATGGATGGAGAGGGTCAATAGCATTTGAATTTCATTTTTTTTATGTAAAGAGGAGCTTTATTAGGAGGTTCGTATGTCTTATTTATTCTTTATCTGTATTAATAATACTCAGTATTTGTTGACAGCTTTGTCTTGTATGAGAGTTAACTTTTTTCCTATTTAATACTCAGACCTGTGAGGCATATATAATATTCTCAATTTATATATGAATGTAAAGGAAGTTCATAAAATGTACACATGATATCACATTCAAGATTTCTATCTTCATGTCCAGTGTTCTTTCCACTGTACCACAATCATTGCCTACATACATTATATTACTTAAGCATGTGGTTGTAGGCATACAAAGAAATTAGTCTGATTTTTTGCTGATAGCTGGTACTATCCTTGCATTCTAAAGAAAATACAATTTGTATCCTGAGTATCTAGTAAAGAAAGTACATAAAGGAGAGACAGAATATCATAGTGATTAAGAGCACAGACCTGGAAATAAGATCCCCCTGAACTTTGTTACTGACTCTATTTTGAGGGAGCGAGGTGCTCTAAGGAAAGTACTGACTTAAGACATCTTTGTCCAGTTTTCTTGTGTATATAAAGTGTGGTTTATAATGGTACCTACCACATAGGTAATAATGCATGAAAGCTCTTTTTGTTTTTAGTAAGAAAATCTAAAGAACTATTCACAATGTCATTTTGAGGGCTTTTAGCCACGGCATAGTGCATTAGGCAAAATTCTAGATCAAATTATTAATTTGTACATATTTCAATTTATGAAACTGTGAAGACAAGCATTTGAAAATAACTTTGCATTATGAATGGCATATTTATTAATATTTAGGCATGTTTAGTCTTTCATCCTTATGTGCTAATGTCCTTGAAAAGCACCTCTTGTAAATATATGCTATGCAGCTTGGTTTCTAAAGTAATTTACACAATGATACATCTTACTTAATATGTATTGTGTGCTGCTTACTGAAAATCTATACAATTATTAAAGTGATGAAATGCTTTAGCCATACTGTAGTTACCTTAGCAACTTGTTGCAATGTGGGTTGTAAATAAACACCTCTTTTATATTCTAATCCATTTTTTTTAAAAAAAAGCCATGTAGACTACTTTAAAAAAATGCTTGAAAAACACATATTTTTGTATTTTAGCTTAATAACAGCAATTTTAATTTGGCTGTAACATAGTGTCATTTTGGCAATTTTATAGTTATCTTATGTAAAAATAATCTACCACTAACCCAGTTACATTTTAGAAAATGAATCATGCTTTTGTATACTCACTTGTTGAAAAAAAACCCGGAATATTTAGCTTTCTGTTCTGCAAGGCACTGTCCTAAGATAAATAAATAAAATGACGAAACAAGGTCTCTGCCCTTTTGAGATTTGATTTCATTGTAGGAGACAGAACTAAAACATATACATGTTTTTAAAAGAAAGCAAAATACAATCATAGAGAATGACCTGGGCTTGGGAGTGGGGAATGTAAGGAAGTTTGCAAAAAGGCAAGTTTTCTATTTATAGAGTAGACCAGAAAGGCCTATTTCAGAGGTGACATTTCAACATAGATCTAAATGAAGTAAAGGCATTAGAACATCCTGGGGTGATTTACTCCAGGCAAAGGAATAAGAAGCTAACAAGATCCAGGGAACAGAATGAAGGCCAGTACAGCAAGAGGTTAGTGTAACATGAATAGATAGAGAGTAATCTGGTTTAGAGTTTTCAAAAATGTACTATGGCTATTGTGTGTAGAAATAGAGCGCAGTGGGGAGCAGGGAAGGAAGGCGAGGCAAGAATGGAAACTGAAGAGCAGTCAGAATCACACTGCTAGACTCTAAAGAAAAGTAATGGCAATGATACTGGTGGGTTGGGGGAGGTCCCCAAATGCCAGTGGGGCGTCCACCCCAGCTAGTGTCTAAGCTCTTGACACCTCCGTGAGAATGAATTCAAGGATGAGTTGGTAAATTGTGACAGTAAAACAACTTATAGCAAAGGGAAAAGTATACACTCAAGAAAAGGGGCAGGGCACAGTGGCTCACGCCAGTAATCCCAGCACTTTGGGAGGCCGAGATGGGTGGATCACCTGAGGTTAGGAGATCAAGACCAGCCTGAACAACATGGCCAAACCCCGTCTGTACTAAAAATACAAAATTAGCCGGATGTGGTGGTGCATTCCTGTAATCCCAGCAACTCCAGAGGCTGAAGCAGGAGAATCGCCTGAACCTGGGAGGCAGAGATTACAGTGAGCCGAGATCGCGCCATTGTACTCCAGCCTGGGCAACAAGAGCGAAACTCCATCTCAACAACAGCAACAACAACAACAAAAAGGGAGTGGGGGCATACTTAAGAGAGAGTCATGCTCAAGAGGGTTTGCGGTTGCTACCTTTATGAGTTTCTTTAATCAAGGTGTGGAATATTCATGAAAGTTATTGGAAAAAAAGTGTCACTGTGGTGCCACCCATTTTTATGCCAAATATGGGTATTCTTGGAACTGTTAGGGCTCTGGTGGCTGTGTGATTTGCATAATGAGGTTCTAGGCGAAGCCTAGGTCAAATCCAATGTCATGTTGAGTCCAGTTGGTTTAACCAGCTTCACATCCTGGTTTTTCAGGATCTTATCAGCACATAATTTCTGCAGCTATTTCAACAAGCTATTTTACTAGTCATGTGAAACTGCTGCCTGGAATTTTCTAATCTCCTGCAACCACCCTGTATTATTCCTGTCTCAGTAACATAGTAAGGGATCATAATAAAAGCATGGATAATTAGCCTCTTTCAATGTATATTCTGGAAGAGATTCACAGGTCTTGATGACTGCTTAAATCTAGGATCACAGGATCTCTGGAGGTCTCTTTTACAGATGGCAGCAGGTAGTGCTTTCTGGAGCAAAGTTTATTACTTTGAAAGTGTGGGCATTGACTTCAAAGGTCGTCTCACCCAATCTCAGCCGCATGTGGATTCTCCTTACATCCTACCTGTAGGTAGTCATTCAGTCTTTTCGAATACAGTCGTAAAGATCTTTTATTTTTCTTAGATTGAACTTAAAATTGCCTGATTCTCCCTTTGAAACGGGGCATAGAACAAATTTTTACTTCCTCTATAACCATCGTTTCTTCTTACAGTGTATTTTTTTTTTACCAGAGTTTAAAAAAAAAAACAAGAAACAAAAAACGTTTGGTGGAACTCCATGGTTCAATAATATGGGAAAATACTTCTTTATATCAACTCCTTAAAATGTCATCAAGCACTTTATCAAAAATTTGAGGTGTCCTACAGCAAAGAAACCCTTTCGTTTTGATTAGCTTTTATTCAAGCATGGACTCTTTACATATTCATATTTCAGAAAATTAGTACATGTGTCATGCTATTTGTAATGGTGAAAGAGACTCTTCAACCATTCCATATATGACATGATATTTAGATTCTCATGCAATGCTGGCTAGCTTCCTCTGCAGAGACAGATTTTAACACTATACACCCAAAAATATAACAGATAATTTAACAAAACAATTCAGATATGGTCTGAGTAGCAGCATATTTTCTGTATCTATTACTTCATGTAAACCTGAATCCGTGTTTCTTTTGAAACAATTTAAGACTATATTAAATGTGTTGTAACATTATCACATCATCGATTGGTATAAACACAGATGTCCCCTCCAGTGAAAGGCATTTCTTCTCTATGTATTTGATGTTTTTAGCATACTGGCTGGGCTTTAAATTCCTGTTGAATTTCAATAGGAATGAAGAGATTACCAAATCATTTTCACTCTGGATTCTATTTTTGTTTTTATTGGCAATGTCTCCCAGCTTTGTGTCATCTGCATCCTTCATATGTTTTGATCTCCGGCATTGATGCAATCTGAATAAAAAGGAAAGCCAACAGAAAAAAAATTACATCAATTTACTTCTGCCCTCCCATCAGTTTGATAGTAAGTTATTAACAAAAATTCATTGAGTATTCTGATACCACTAGTTTTGCATGCAAACAAAATGTCACCATCTTATCTCAAAGGAGGTCATTTGAATTACTTTTTTGAAAGTAAAATATACCTTTATTATGTTCTCACCTGATATACCAGGCTTTCTGCTATTTAAAAAGTATATGTTCACACATTCTTAGATAATATATGTTGATTCTTAGTGCCTATAGTTTCTAAATTTTCTTAAAAATCATTAAATAAAAAATGTCTATTTTTTTCCATGGTTGAGTTTTCTCTTAATCAACTTGTATTTCTCAAGGTTCATCCTTGCTGCCTTTTGGAAAAGCAAACCATTTGCTAATTTCCAGTTTTAATCTCTCATAGGTCCTCTATGATTTCTCAGAGTTCTCCAAAGATAGTCCTGAAGTCACATTTACAAGTACTTTGATAATGTAATTCATGAACTAACAAATTAAGATCCCTTTACAACTGAAGCTGAATTCCTGCATGTAGCTATACTGAAGGTGGAAGGAGCCCACATAGCTAAAGGGAAGTGAATAGGCAATTAGAAGCAGTTATAATTAAACTATTGCAAAAAGAGAGCAGATAAATGGACACTTTAGATAAAGAAGATGCTGATTAATTTAACTATTCAGATTTTGACAGGGTCAATTATAAGCAAAATAGGTGTATCGCACACAAATTCTACTAAGGTTTTGATAAACTCTGCCTACAAAACATCATTCTGTCCCACCAAATGTGTAAGAGTACTAGCAGTGCTGTGTCTAATTAAATATACCATAATTTTTAGGATCTGTCATTTTGTTGTTTTTGCATATGCACAATAAATAATGCAAAAGTATGAAATTATAAAGTACGGTTGAAGGGAGGTCTTCTCACTTTGAATGGTATTACAAATCATTAAAAAATTTATCAATTCATAAGTTGTTGTATCTGCATGAAGGTTGGTCATCCCAATCATGGTACATAAGACTTTTCCAATCATGCCTGTCCTGACCCTTCCTATCAACATAGGTTACTTATATGATTGGATAAAATAGAAGGAGCAGTGATCATGATAAACTATTTCTATGAATAAAAATATACAAAGAATGTCAGCTATGTACATTTATGAGGATGCTGAAAACAAATCTAATTATAACATATGGCAGATAAACATTAATTTGGTTAAAGAGTCATTTAAATACTCAATTAGCACCTGCTATGTGCCAATAATTTTGTTGGGAACTGGAGAAACAAATATATATGTATTATTATCTCTGTTCAAGAGTCAACCTAATCTAAGAACTAGACATTTAAGCAAGTACATTCTGAAAGTAAATTATAAGAATAACAATAGATACCTACTTAAGATATAGAAGTAACTCGGTTGAGCATGGTGAGCATGCTCAACTGTGCCAGGAAAGGCAGGAACATCTGAAGAAAATATTTTTGCATTTACATTCCTATAGGGAAGCATATTACTTTCAAACAAAATGAAACAAAAACTTTTTCACTGAATACATTAAAAAATGAAGAATAGATATTACAAGTTATTACAGTTAAGCAGAAAAACAAAGGTAGAACAAGAAGAAATTAACCATTTTCTTTACAAATTAGGAAGTACTCAAGTTAAATGAGACATAAGTATTAAAGCCAGAGAAATTTATGTTTGCTAATTTTGAATTTTTATGTAAGAACATGGAATCTATGTAACAAATTATCTTCCCCTCTTAATTTTTTTAAATTTACTTTTGTTGATATCTATGTATAAACTAGTTCCTAAAATCTTAAGGCACTGAATAAATAAAATTAATACAAAGCCTAGTATTATCTATATTACAGAATAAAAAATTTTATGAGAAGTTGAGATTACTGCCTATCTAGGTAGGTATTAAACCATGACACATGAAGATAGAAAAAGAGATCTTAGGCAGGAAAGGCAAGATGTGGGTATTAGGTCTGAGATTTTCTTAACATGTACGAGAAATAGACTCCTGCAGGGTAAAATCCTAGTACACTATTTTTTTAGACGAGTTCTCAAAAAAGCCAAAGATTTATTGCCCCAGGAAAAAGACTTAAGATAGCATAGATTACATTTCTATATTCAAATAGAAACTCAACATATTGTCTTTTATGTTGCTATGGTTAAGGTAAATGGCACAATATTATCAATGTTTACAAATTTTGCTCTACATAGTTGCTATACCACAGGAGATATAATTAATCATAACAAGCAGTGACAGAGGCAATGGTCTGTTGTATTATAGAAGTAATAAACATATCTCTTTTCCAAAGATGTTTTATTTGGAGCAAAGTTGTCACTGTATGAGTTAGTGTAATAATGGCTATATTCATATTCTTAAACTATGGATCCAATCATGAAAATTTTGAGCATTTATGCATGTTTCCTGCTTGAGTTGGCAGCTTGCAATGATTGATTTCTAGTTATTACAGCACTAATCTTTTTTTGATTATCTCTGAGATAAATGAAATATAAAATGTCACAATATTTGATGTGGCATTGGTTTTGGTAATACTGATAAAAGAGTCGCAGTTGTCCCATTTAGTGGTTTAGTTCCTTTTTGAGCTTGGATCATTTATTATGATCATTTCAGGTTAACAAAATATTAAATGAGAAAAGGGTAAATTAATAGGTGAGATGAATTACATGTGAGAAGATTTTGTATTTGTACTGACAAAAAGAATCAGATCTAAGAATATAGAGAGAACTCCTACAAATCAATAAAAACACAAACAACCCACTAGAAAATGGGCAAGAATCACATGTAGGCACTTCATAGAAAAGGGAATAAGAATGACTAACAAACATATACAGATGTTGAGAATCATAACTGATCACAAACATATACATAAATCCCACATTAAGTTACCATTTTGTACCCTTTTGATTACAAAATTAAAAACATCTGAAAATAAACTTATAATGGAGATGTTGTATATTCACATGCTATTTTATACATTGCTACTAGAAATGTAAATTTGTACAAACACTTTCAAAAGGAATTCAAAATTTCCTTCTATTGTTGAAAAAGCATATCCTCTATGATCCAGCTGGTCTATTTGTACATGTACAGCAGGGGACATATGCAAAAATGTTCATAACCAAATTATTCACAATGTTAAAAAATGTGGAAGTCACCTAAATGTCCATCTTGGGAGAATAGATGAATATTCACATAAGAGAGCAGTTTAAAAAATGAACTATCATTCTACATATAGATAATATAACAATACATGTAAAATTCAATGAATAAATAAAAAAACTAAATTATCTTTTAGAACAGATACAGATATAGGAAAACAATATAAAAAGGAAATAAATGATGAACACAGGATTTTTTTTTTTTTTACATGGAGTCTCACTCTGTCACCAGGCTGGAGTGCAATGGCCCAATTGCAGCTCACTGCAACCTCTACCTCCCAGATTCCAGCGGTTCTCCTGCCTCAGCCTCCCGAGTAGCTGGGACTACAGGAGGGCACCACCATGCCCAGCTAATTTTTGTATTTTTAGTAGAGACAGGGTTTCACCATGTTGGCCAGGATGGTCTCCATCTCCTGACATCATGATCCGCCCGCCTCAGCCTCCCAAAGTGCTGGGATTACAGGCATGAGCCACCATGCCTGGCCGAACACAGGATTTAAAAAATGTTGGAAGAAGAAAGGAAGATAGGTGAATTAAAGGATGAGAAGATTTACGGTTAGATATATATTTTTTTCACGATCTCAACTTTCATTATGAGTCATGGGTTTATGTTGCTTGTTACATTCTTATAAAAAGTTAATTATATTTTTTAAAAAATAGGCAATTCATAGAACAATGATGAGGTCTGTCATGAGCCAATTGTTAATATTAATAAAATTTTGTGTTTCCGTATGTGTGCAAAATGTACAATAATGAAAAGATAAGATATTGTGCTAAATTACCTAGATCAAGCTTATAAATTAGTATGTTGTTTATGGCATATGCCTAATATCCTCTTCTCTGTCCTGTCAGGGAAGCAAAGTACCATATAATCTTGCTTAAGAATTAAGGTTAATATGGTCATCATGCTATACATTAGCTGTCTTTTCATCCTACGTAACTGAAATTTTGTACCCTTTGTATCCTTTGACCAACATCTCCCCATCTCCCTCCTACTTCTACCCTCTCTCCTACCCCAGCCTGTTTGATAACACTGTAGTTTTCCAAGAGAGATTTCAAGTGCTCATATATATGTGTGTGTGTGTATACATATATATGCACACACCTCTTACATAGTTACTTTATATATATACACACACACACACACACACACAAACAGACAGGTATATACTTACATAGTTACATAGTTATATATGGTAACTATGTAAAAGGAGATGAATATGTTATTTTATTTGGTGGCAGTAATCATTTCACTATGTATATGCATGTCAAAACATTGTATTGTATACCTTAAATATATATAATTTAAGAGCTCTAAAAAATAGTTACATTTGGCTGGGCACGGTGGCTCATGCCTGTAATCCCAGCACTTTGGGAGGCCAAGGCGGGCAGATCACCTGAGGCCAGGAGTTCAGGATCAGCCTGACCAACATGGTGAAACCTCATCTCTACTAAAAATACAAAAATTAGCTGGCATGGTGATGGGCACCTGTAATCCCAGCTATTTGGGAGGCTGAGGCAGGAGAATCGCTTGAACCTGGGAGTTGGAGGTTGTAGTGAACCGAGATTGCACCGCTGCACTCCAGTCTGGGTGACAAGAGCAAAACTCCATCTCAAAAAATAAAAAATAAAAATAAATAAAAAATAATTACAGCTAATTCATTTCTGGATAATTTAGACTGTCCTATATTTCACCTAGTCAACCAGTAACCTCCTCTCTTATATTCCACAACCAGTTCTTGGTGGAAATAATATGAGCACTGTTAGAAGGGCCAAGTTGTCTTACTATTATTATTTTGATGAAGGAAAGAAAGAGCAAATCATAATTTCATTGCTAATGAGGTCACCTACTATTTAAGACTTTGTGGATTACGTTGCAATTCAACAATTGAACTCCATTGAGAAACAAGGGACAAGAAATGGTCTGTATGATATTGTTGATCAACTTGGGTAGGAGATTCAAGCAAGTACTACCCTCTTTGTATCTATTGCTTATATAACAGAAACTATTTAGTACCATTTAAATAAATTAATAAATAATAACAACACACAAGAAACCCTGTATCCCAGAAAGATAAATAAAATGCATTAACTAAAATTGTACCATGTACTCTTTTTTTTCTTTCAAAAAGTTCCTGTTTTGAACAAGTGGGTCATTGCTTTCTTGACTCAACACAGTCAGTAACTGAATCTATCTACGATATTGCTTTATCTCCCCACTAAGAACATTTGTGAGTTGGCACTCTTTCAGAAAGACACATTCATCTAACCGTAAGTATAGTTCTTGGAACAGAAGCTCTACTTTGTCTTCTTGATGTTTGAAAAGCTTCAAAAACCCAATGTCAACTGGAAGAGGATTGAAGCATGTTATATCACATTCAATTTAACAATGAAATTTTTCATTGATGTTTTATGTTATGTTGCTGGCTTTTGAATACAATTTTAGCAACAATTTCTTCAGAATTATATTTTATTAAGAGATAAGTCTGAGTGCAGGAATATGTGAAAGGAAATTACAAAATGTTTTATTGGTTAAAATATTTTGGAAGCTATAGATTCTCAAGGTGAAAAAAGTTTACTTTTGTTCTACTTTGTATTAATACTGACTACACGGTATTGTCACATGAAGATTTCATTATTTTAGACTTCAGGTCACATTGTTCATTTAATTATATTGTATGCATGAAAACATTATAAAATATATTTTTATATTTACATGTGTGCAAAACCAGAAGCATGCAAAACCAAAATATCCTATACATTAATATTTGGTACTATTTAGGTAATATGAAGTTTTAGTGAGAAGAAAACAGTTTATAATTTGAAATAAAAGGACACAAAAAGTAAAAATATTTAGTATCCAGAGAAACTACACGACAATAATAAGACACAAATAAATCTTCCAAGAAGAGGAATTTAAACCAAAAATAACCATTAGCAGAGTATGGATAGCCTTTATCTTGAACATTCATTTTCTCTTTAGCTGTCAATAAGAGATCTCCACTTATCAGCTGGGAATATTGCCATAGAGCTAACAGAGAACAGTTCCTCAGCCTGCCTTACAGTTCTGTGGCCAGATGATTAAAATCTGGGTGAAGATATGTTGGCAGAAGTATTGTGTGGGACATTCTTGATGTTGCCTTTTTACTCTCTTTCAACTTATTCTTTTTGATGATTGGTGTTTCTGCTGAATTCTTGGATCATAAAATGACCTTGGGAATGGAAGCCACATGTAGCAGAACAACAGTATAGGACAATCTTTGAATGACAAAATATAACCTCTAAGCTGCTCATCTCTAAACTTCTTTCCTACAAGAGAAATAAACAGCTATATTGCGTAAGTCACAAATTTACTGACAACTGTATCCTACCCCCAATATAATCAAGATAATTAAAACCCCACATGCATGTCAGAATTCAAGACTCTACAATCTCTTTCAAATTTAGTTTTGAAACCACTTCCAACTATATTTTTCCACTAATCTGTTTGCCTAACCTGTTTTGCTTCCTGTGTACAAATATCTTTTATATACTCCCACAATATCTTGGTTCATTTTACTCACTTTCTCTCTCTGTCTCTCCATTCAACCTCACAAATCTTGCTTCATTTTACTCTTTTTCTCTCTCTCTCCATTCAACCTCACAAATCTTGTTTCATTTTACTCATTTTCTCTCTCTGTACATTCAGCCTCACATTCTCAAATATTACATTCTTAAAAAACAAGCTCCAACCTTCAGGAATTCTTTTTTCATCTTCCAGTTTAGGGAATCCCATTTCTCCGTGTTTATAAGCCTAGTTTGTTAAACAAGCATTTGTACCTAATTGCATACAGCTTTAAGACACATGTTATATTGTTTTCCTACATTGGTATTTAATGTTTGTTTTGAGCATTTTATATGTTCATTTGTATTTGTCACCACAACTCTGATTAAATCATCTAACTATCCACCAGCAAAAACATAACAACAAAAAATTTTCCCTCCTTTACCTCTTTTCTTGTTTGTAAAAGGATACTATCCTTCAGTTCTATACTTCTCCCACACCACTGCTACTCGCATGAAATCCATCTCTAAATTATGTTATTTCTGTCTTATCTCTCTGGATTTGTCTCTTTCTTTTTCCATACCTATGCTCATTGTCTTAGTTCAGGGAATATCTTTAATTGCTAACTGGCCTTGCCTTTCCTTCTTCATTCTTCTTCCTCTGACATGATCTTATGAGAATGAGCTTATTAATGTCCAGGCTTCAAGCTGACTTCTCCAATCTCATCTATTAGTTGCTTTTCCCTTCTTAGTTTTGCTAGAGCTGTCATAACAAAGAACTGCAGAGTGGGTTGATTTAGCAACATAAATTTATTTTCTCACAGTTCAGGAGACCAGAAGTCTAATTTCAAAGTGTCAGCAGGGTTGTTTTCTCCCGAGTTCTCTCTACTTGACTTGGCTGCCCTCTTGCTGCCTTTTCACATGGCCCACCCTTTGGGCACAGGCAACCCTGGTGTCTCTCTCTGTGTCCTAATTTCTTATTTTTATAAGGACATCAGGCACATTAGATTTAGACTCACCCTAATAGCTTCCTTTTTACTTAATCACCTCTTTAAAGGCTCTTTTAATATAGTTACATTCTTAGGTACTGGGAGTTAGTAACTACTTAAATTTTAGCTTAAACATCTGTCTGCAGTTACCACAATGACAGATGTCTCTTCTCTTCCTCCTACCCTCTGTCCCTATCTCATTTTTGAAAACTTTACACAGCTTTCGACCTCTTTGTTTGCATATTCAGGCTTCTGCCAAGTCTTCCTTTGCAATTCTGCTTAGAATATTTTTCTCTGGGTAGCATTCCCTGAACTACCCTGTCTGATCTTTCCCTGTTCCCATGTTCCCTAAAATGATTCAGAGGGCCCTCCTATGTGCTTCTACAGCACCCTTGTCCTAGACCTAGCAAGTCTCAGAGCCAGAATTCAAATCCAGGAGGTCTAACTCCAAAGACTGCAGATTAACCATAACACAGAGATGCATGAATTTGCAGATAAATTGCTTATAAACTGCCCATTATCATCAAGGTGAATTTTAAACTCCTTGTCCTGGTATGTGAGTTCATCAGCAGCTGGCCCCTAGATGACAGCTCCAGTGTCATCTTTCAACTGCCATTGCAAGAACTGCCTTATGTTTAAGATTTAAGGAAAAGGGAAATTTGAACCAAGGTAGAAGTGAAAGCTTTCTATTGTTGTTTCATTTTTATAATGTGCAACAGAGAATGGCATTTTGAAATTTTATAGGATGGCTTATGAATCCACTGACTGACAAATGGAGAGACAGTTGAAGAAAACAAACACCACTTCTTTGTAACAAATCAAATGGGCCAAAGTTGTTGTAAAAAGAAAGGAAAATTTATGATTCTTTTCCTGACCACACTACCTTGTCTGATTTCCTCCCTTGTCAAAAAAATATCAGAAATAGTCACCAGGACACCCACTTATATTAGGAGGATGACAAGTGGTAAATCACTGACACTTGAGTAGTTTCTTCAGCAAAACACTCCACTGCTTTGAAAGATATTTATTCAGACTCTATGTTTGATCTGTTTATTTCATTGTAGCATGTGTTTTGAACACTAGAATAATGACAGAATTGTAAGCAAGAGACTTAATTACAACATAATATTATTGTATAAAATAATAGTTTAGGTTAAAAGCAATGTGGCATAATGGTACTGAGTTGAGATTCTGTTTCTGTACTGAACCACTGCGAGACTTTGAGGAAACAATTAACTTCATGTTGATCATTAGCAGAGTAATAATAACATTGCCTAAGCCATGGAGTTGTTTTAAAAATTCAATAAAAGGCTGGGTTTGGTGGCTCATGTCCGTAATCCCAGCACTTTGGGAGGCCAAGGCATGTGGATCACATGGTCAGGAGTTCGAGATCAGCCTGGTCAACATGGTGAAACCCCATCCCTACCAAAAAATACAAAAATTAGCTGGGTGTGGTGGTGGGTGCCTGTAATCCCAGCTACTTGGGAGGCTGAAGCAGGAGAATCACTTGAACCCGGGAGGCAAAGGTTGCAGTGAGTGGAGATCACACCACTACACTCCAGCCTGGGTGACACAGTGAGACTATGTCCCAAAAAAAAAAAAAAAAAATTCAACAAGGTAACATACATAACGCAATTAGCACAGTGTGTGGCAAACAGGTATACTAAGTTGTCTCGCTACTGTCCATGGTTTTTATCCAGTCAGGATCCATGTACCGTTTTTGGCCTGTTGAGCCTGTAATCAACAGTAAAGCCAAGTCCCTGTTCTAACAGACCTTATAGCTAATATAGAACCTTCTGGTGTAGGTTAAAAAGCTGTGATCTAATGTTAGACAGCCACGGTTTAAACCCTGACTGTACCACTTAAGCAGCTATGTGACCTTGGCAAGGCTTTTTGACTTTTCTGTGACTGTTTCTTCATCTATACAATGAAGATAATTATTATTAGATTTGTTGTTAGGATTAAGTGAATAAATAAATCTAGTTCTCCTAGAGTATTTCTGGTACCTAAAAGGTGTCATTTAAGTTGCTTACTTTTTGAATTAAGCCATTTTTCACGCTATTTCTTAAGAGTGAATTTCTCAAATCAGACTAACATGAATCAGAGATCATAAGCAGTATTAGCCTAAACTAAATAATTTCAAAGGTACAAACAAAAGGCTTATCAAAAGTTTCAAAATAATGGCTCTGCAGGTCTTTCTTTCCTGTGAAAGCCACATCTCTTTAGCCCAGAATACATAAAGCCTCCAAGTGAGGCGTGCATGGTTCCTCATACAGTTGGTAATGCTTCAATTATAAAACATCTCCATTTTATACCCCAGCACTGCAAACACTATATGCCATTTTCCAGGAAGCCATCCCTTATAAATTCTGGTTCTATCTATTATAGGTAATCCTTAGTCAGATATCCTACTAAGGGCCCAAAGACAACCCTCTTCCTTCTAGCAAATACCATTAGTCTATTTACCCAGGGGAGGTAGAATTGACAAGGAGATTAGACCTGCTCACTTGTTATGGACTAAACGTTGTACCTTCTTCCCACCCCAAATTCATGTGCTGAAGCTCTAACATCTAATGTGGTGGTGTGTAGAGATGAGACCTTTGGGAGGTAATTAGGGTTAGACAGGTCATGTGAGTGGGACCTTCATGATAGGATTAGTTGCTATATAAACTGTGGCTGAAATGTCTCTGTTTCTTTTTCTCTCTTCCCCCCAACACACACTGAGAAAAGGCCATGTGAGGACATAGTTAGAAGGCAGCTGTATGCAGGCTAGGAAAAGAGCCATCACCAAGAACCAAATTGGCTAGCATCTTAATCTTGGCCTTCCAAGAACTGTGAAAAATGTTTCTCACAGAACTCCAGAACTGTGAGAAATACATTCCTACTATTTAAGCTACCCATGCGGTGGTATTTTGTTACAGTAGTCTGAACTAAGAAACCCCTTTTTGCTTCTTTCCCTCAAGGTCTCTCCCTGGCAGGAGTAAATGAGCAAATGTATTGCAGGCCAGGTTATTTCACAACTTTCACCTACCCTTTTTAAAAACAACAACAACAACAGCAACAAACATCTTTTTTAAGTAAAAGGCGGAGATACATCTGTTATACTTTTCTTTCCATGCAACCCCTCAAAGGCACTCTTTTATTTTATAAGGTAAAACTTACACACGGTTCCAAAATCAAAAGAACATAAAAAGTCTAACCTCTACCTTTGATACCATCTGCCCACTTACACCATGACCCCAACCAATTTTATTAATTTTTGGAGACAACACCTTGCTTCACCTTGCAATTTTCACCTAAAAATATCATGGAGACCTTTTTATACCAATTAAGGAGAATTTCCTCATTATTTTACATAGCAGCTTAATCTTCCATGATATGGATATTTTGTATTTGTACTGTAATGATCCAAGGTATAAAAGATGTTTTATAATATGAGCTGTTGAAATTGACAACTATAACACATTTCTATGGCATGTTCCTATGTCATTCTGTATTCAGTGTTGTCTGTGTTCTGAGGCTTTTATTTTTATTAGTTTTAAAATTGTGGCAATTAGCCAACATGAGATCTGTCCTCTTAATACATTTTTAAGTGTATAATACAGTATGGTTAATTATAGGCACATTATTGTACAATAGATCTCTAGAATTTATTCATCTTACACAACTGAGATTTTATAATAGCCTCCTCTGTTTTACATAAGAGTATCAACATGGAAGTAAACAATAAAAAGTTTTCTATATCCATAAAATTCCCAATGGCCTGACTCCCCTCTCTGAAAGGAAACCCATAACTCAGCATTTGGCATTCCCATGAAAATAATGCCAAGAAGACACTCTCCTATTTTAACCCAATAAGAGAAGTAAACTGGTCCTGTGTTTTGATACTCAAATAGATATTGACTCGATTGCATGAGAGGTAAGGAACTCATTTTTAAATTTGCCTCTTTTTAGCATTAACAACATATAAATTCCTTTTAGCCTTGAATAATTGAAAATGTGGGGACCTGGCTATTTGAACAGAGCAAAATGATGAATAGTGCAGGCTTCAGAGTCAGAAAGATACTGTGTAGGTTCCATACTTAATTGTGACAAAACAGATTTGTCACCTTAGGTAAATTTGCATAAGCCTCAATCTCCCTGTAATTTGAGGACATAAAATTTAGGTAAGCAGGTTGTAAACAGGATCAACTGATATAATGTACATAAATCACATTACATAGTCATTAAGTCATTACTCAATACATGGTCGCTTTCATCATCATCATCATCATCATATACATCTATTTTATTGTGTACTAGATTCTGTATAGATTCTGGGGAACAACAATGTAAATGACAAGATCCGTGCTCTCAGAGCTCACAGTACAGTAGCAAAGGCATACCAGTAAAGAAAGAATAGCTTTTATCTATGAAAAGACAGTACACCAATAGACTGAATGCTATGCTCTAGAGAAGTAAAAGGTGTTCTGAAAATGGCAGTTTGTAGAGAAATGATCTTAAGGAGGGAAAAGGATCAAGATGTTTCCATTGGAAGAGATATCATATATTTCAAATTCAATTATCAGAAAACATAAATACATAGACAACACTGGAATAATGCTGTAGTTATTTTAATTTGGTGGTGAAATCAGATTCTTGGATCTGACAGTATCTTTGAGTCTCAATAGTTTCTTTTCAATTCCATAGATAGACCTAAGGGTAGCGGGAATGGGGTACATCCTCTGATCCTGAGGTTTGCTCTCCTTGTTTGTTAAATAATTTCCCCCATAAAAGCAAAATGTAAAAGGCGAGGGGGAAAAGGGTGATCCTTATCCTCTTCCATTTTTTGAACAGGATCCATAAATCTACAGGTTTTTATTATTTTTTTTGAGGGTGCTTAAATGTCAAGAATATTATGCTATGGATTACCACTACTGCATACACATCGCATACATCAAAAACTCAAAGCAAGTAAAAAGACTTCGCCATGGCTGGTACAAGACTTTCCACAACATTTCCTACCACTGTAAGGCACCCTTCACGTATTAAAGTTAATGAATATGTAAATAACCTATGTTTACTTTAAACAGAAACTTCAGTTGCAGACAGTGGCCTGCATACCAACAGCAACCAAGAAAGGAATTTGAAGTCACAACCTTTTTGGAGAGGAGTCGCTCTAAATTCTGAATTTTCTTGAACCAAGTGAGTCTCTTCATTACAGCTCTGCAATTCATGCCTAATAGTCTGCAGAATATTTTATTGGTAATTGATAGGCTTATACAATCAGAAATCATAAGTTAAAGATGGCCTTTTGTTGGAAATAGTTTATTATAATTCTTATTCCCACTTCATTATCAGGAACAGTCATTTATTAATTAGGAATAAGAATTAGAACTCGAAGAGGCATCAAATATTGCGGCACGCAGACAATGTATAGATTCATACCAGGTTCCAAAATACTGCCGAACATCCTCCTCTTGAAAGGCTGCAAAAGAGTCACTGTCGAAGATACATTTTAGGACATCAAACCTAAAAACTCAATCCTGGCAAACTAATACACACGCAAACAAAATGCCTCTTTTTATTCCTTAGCACCTCATCACCGATTTCATTATTCACTTCTTCAGGCAAGCTGCGCGGGTTAGCTTCAAGCTCTTCCCTTAATTGCACCAGAAGTTAAGTCTGGGCGTTGGACATACACACTCTAAATCCTTACGCGTGGGTCTGTCTGTGAACAGCCCGGAGCAGCGGAGCAAGTTAGTGGGAGGGTATCGCCAACTGTCTGCTCGCTCCAAGTGGCAGCCTTCATGGATCCATCACCCCTAAACCCACAGCCCCTGTCACTGCCTCTGCACTGAGTCGGCTCAAACAGAATCCAAAGCAGGTTCATCCCTGAAATTCAGACTTGCGCCTGAAGTTACCGGTCCGGAGCCCCTGGGAGCCGCAACGCTCACTGTGGAATGCTCTGGATCGATTTCAGAGCTGTGAGTAGCGCTGCTAGAGGTCATCCTACAAGTTTCATCTTTTGTATTAAATCTTCACTTCTGCGCTCTGCGACTCCACGTTTGCCGCTCAGGAACTCGGTTCCCGGCAAAGTCAACCGCCTTCCAATTTGGAGAGGGACAGTCAAGAACTCCCTTGATTTTGAGGAGATTCTCGATGGAGACGGCGGCGGTGGGTGGCGGAGCGGAGCATCCAGCGCCAGAGCAAAGGAACCTGGTGCCATCTCCAAGCTGGGCAACTTTGCGTTTTCCGCTAGCAGGTCCGAAGCCATAGATATTCGCGAAGCCCCAGAGGGCAGAAATCCTCAGCAATCCTCTGTCTCACAGTTGAAAAGGCAGAGTAGCGCTCTGTTGCAATAGAAACTACGCGGAGCACAAATGCAAGCTTTGGTTAAAAAAAGCACAAAAAACAAAAAAACAACGGGCAAAAGTTTACTCTCTGTAAGCAATTAATTCCTGCAGCCCATTCCGGGTAAAACAAACTCCTCTTGGGAAGCTCCTTTCGTGGGAGTTGTGGATGACACGGGGGCGCTTCTGAGAGCGAAGTCTCTCCTGCCTGGGACGCCCCAGCGGTGTAGCACCCAGTGATCCCTCCCGACCGTCGAGGGAAGAAAAAGAAGTTGGGACAGGAGCTAGCCAGAGACCCGGACAGCTACTCCTGGTGCAAAACCTTGGAAATGGCTGCTAAAGGGGTTGGGTCTCCAGACTCCTAATCCCTCCCCTTTCTCCAGCTGAGCCGTTCACCTGCTACCGTCCAGTTTACAATATAAGCGTAGCACCTAAATTAACCCAGTTCCAAAAGCTAGGCACTACAATTCCCTAAGAAATTCATTTTCAAAACATCTAAGCGACTTTCGGGAGCTCCTTGGGGGAAATGTTACGAAGGGAGTGGGCAGGTAAAGACGGGATGCGAGGGGATTATGTTCACGAAGCGATGTGTAGGCTCCTCTATTCGAAGGACCTCGGGGAGCCCCTCAGCTCCCAGGAGAGCTGCTGCAGCCACTTCAATTCTCCACTACAGAAGGGGCGGAGGTGGCCCCTGGAGGGTGGCGATGGGAACGGGGCTCATCTTTAGTCTGGTGGCCTCTCGCTGGGTGTCGAGGGGGTGTAACTGGCTTCAAGAAAAGAGCTAGGGAGTTGAAATGCCAGACAGGGCAGAGAACGGAGAGGTGGCCCAACGGACTTAACGGCGTGCGGCGAGGAACTGCCTGCCGGCAATCCGCTAACTAGTGAGGATTGATTGACTCTTTCTGTCATCAGCATCCTTGGAACCCCTACCCCTCCTCAGGACTCCCGACTTTTCGCTCGCCACTGGCCGGGGGCCGCGGGCGCAGGGCTGGGCGTGCGTGTGTAGCTGCGCGCGCGCGGGTGTGCGCGCCTGTGTGTGTGCGCAGCCCGAGCTCTGAGCCCGGCTGCCAAGCCCCAGCCGGCTATCCTGCGTCCCGCCTTGCAGCCGCCTCCTCAAAGCCTCCTCACCTGGCGCCGCCGCCCGCCGCCCGCCCAGCCCCGCACCGGCGCTGCCTCCCCTGAAAGTTTCCCCAGCGTAGACACCTTCGCGCTGCAGCAGCCCAGGGAGACGGTGTTCCGAAGCTGTGCCTTGGAGTGGCTCTTCTTACACCTTTCCGCCTCATCCCCACCTAATTCGGGCAGGGAGTAGAAATTTTTCCAAATTAAGGGGAGAAAGGGGGGAGGGGCATTATCGAGAGAAAGCAAGAGGAGCGGCCGCAACTGAGAATATCCTGCCTGATGCCAGGGAATTGACTGACGTGTCTGTGGGGTTACGGAAGAAAACTGAATAGGCAGCCAAGTTGGCCCAGGAGGGGCTGGGAGGCTTCCGGGTGCCGGGAAGGTGGTCCCGGTCTCCATTTCCACTGGTACGAAGGCTTGGAGGCGCCTCTATGGTGAGGGCTTTTGAACCGCCATCCCCTCCTGATCCCTTGGAAAGGAGGAGCCTTCAGAGCTGAGGAGGGGGAAGTCCAGGAAAAGCCCCTGGACTTGTGTGCGTCGCATCCTTGGCTTGGGATTTTAAGGACACGAAGGAGAATTAACAGCGCCTCAAGGTAAGAGGCAGCAAAGCTGCTGCTTGAATTGCCAGAGACAATAACTTAAAATAGATGTTGGGGATGGGGTGGGGGTTAAGTCAAGTTAGGAGGATCTCTCCGGGCGTCGCTACGCGATCGCACGACCCGCCTGGCAAGTCAGGGAGTAGCCGGTGCGGCGCTGCCCAGCTGCGAGGCAGGAAGCCAGAGGAGTGTCCTGTCCTCACACTTTCTGAAACCTATTGGAAAACGATTTCGGACTGGGTTCTCTGTGGAGGTTGATATACAGCGTGGATTTGGGTTTTGGGTTTTCGTTTTTTTACCAGAGAGGTTTTTTTTTTAAATTTTTATTAGCACCGCAGACCCACCCCCAATTGCCATAGAGAGCTGTGGGCACCGGTGAACGCAACTAGGACGCGGTGGCAGGTGAGCCTGGCGCAGGTGGGCAGGTGGGGGCGGCGGCGGCACCCGGCCTGCGGACTCGGGGGCGCGCGAAGCCCACGCTGCCGCTTGGCCGGCTCCCTGCAACCGGCGTCGGAACCTGGGCGCCGCAGGTCGCCTGCTGTTCCCTTCGCCTCCGCTAGAGGCTCCCAGCGGGCGCCGCGGAGCGGGTGGGTGTGGGGGCGCCAGGAGGCGGCGGGGTGAGCGCGGAGAGCCAGCGTGCTCGCGGGGTGGCGGAGCCCGCGCGGCAGGGGCGGGGGACGTGAGCGGCAGTCCCGGCGCGCTTCCGAGCTCCGCACCGCGCCGCGGGGACGCAGGTCCGAACCCGGCTGAGCTCTGGAAAGCTGTGCCTTGAACTGGAGCCACTTCGGGGATGAGATCCTGACCCGCACCCTGAGGGCAGCCCCGGGAGGTAATGCCCTCTTTCTCCTCCACTCTCCTTTCGCCTCTTGGTTCTCTGTAAATTCTCAGTCAGATACTCAGGGTGGGAGGGAGTGAAGGGTGAGAGAGAGTCTATAGGGTCTGTATCTAAAAAAGGTGCCTTTCAGTGTTGCTCCGTGGTGCTCTGTTGTATGTGTATTCGAACTAATGCCCAATTTCCCCCGCCTCCCTTGAATATTTGGCTGCTTTAAGGGAAGTTTTTTGCGGAGAACGCTGGGTGGTTGGTCTGGGCCAGGCTGCTCCGAGGTGAGCTAGGGGACCTGCTGTGCCCGCTTTGAGCCGCAGTAGACTGGAGTGCAAGACTCCAGGGATGGGGTGTGGTGGAGAAAACGAGTACCACACCCTCTTCTTTTCCTCTTCACCTGCTGGTGAAGTCTCCCCATTCAGCATTTTGCTGATTTCCTTTTCCGAGGGATTGGCTCAGAGAACTGAGGAAAGCTGCTGAAATACTTGGAGGGAGGGAGGGAGAGAGAGAGAGAGAAGAGAAGAGAAGAGAAGAGAAGGATGAGAAGGAAGTCATGGTCTGAGCATCAGAAGAGGAAGGAGGGCGAAGTTAAGCTTGTGTGTTTGAGGTGGGGGAGTGAGTGCTGGGAAATGGCCTTGGAGTTCAGTTTATTTGATGAAGTCAGATTCACTTCACATTTCACACTTTGACATAATCCAGTTTGCTGAAGCCACCTAACAGATATTATCTGTGCTGTGTACTGCCTTGGGCTCAGTGGGCACTGAATATGTTTGATGAGTGTGTCTAAGCAATAGATAAATAAATAAATGAAAGAGTGCTTATTGTGTTTGCTTGGTGTGATTACCCCCGTGTCTGTCAGCCGGTAATGTATGTATTTTTCAGCGTGCTGTGCTGTGTTTGTGCATACCATATGTGGTCATTTTACACTCAGTAATGCAGTTTCAGGGTCTTGGAAAGGTGGCTCTTAACAAAGACGAATATTTAGAATAATACTAAAGGAAGACCAAAAATTACCATCGGGTGTGGAATATTCCAGGAATACTGAATAGAAGCTGAGATCCATCATTGGTGAAAATATTGGGCCACATACTGAAAGGGCAAAAAATATTTTTCAGAAATTAGAAGCAGTGGTTAACATTTTAAAAGAAGGAGATGTTCTTTAGGGTTCTGTCACCATCACCCAGTAGCATGCGTTACTCCCAATACAGTTGGAGTGTGAGGAAGAAAAAAAAATGTACTTCCTGTTCAAAACCAGTAAAATGTTTTGAGATCTGCCAGGTATTTCACCTTAAGAATTTAAATGGAATGGATTGCCTATTGATGGCAGAAGTGGTTTAGTTATGTAAGGCATCTATTATTTTTGATTAAGGTACATATATGTTAATATTTTTATATAATTTTACTGTAGTGGGAATGGAAGCAGGACAATTTATTGATGTTTTTCATTGCTGAATAACACATAGCATTATCTCAGGGAAGATTTATATAAAGTTTGTCATTCATGTATTATAGTGGATGATGCTCTGTGTGGAAGGCAAGAATATATATCTTGATGAAGTCCCAAAAAGGATCGTTTGTGTTCTTAAAATACAGTATTTTAGAAATTTTTATGGTGTGAAAAAGTGATACTCATCTGAATATAGGTACAACTTATATATACACTAATCATTTATTTGTTGAATTAAATTAACAAAGACATACATATTTAGGGCTCAAATGTATTTCTGAAAGACACCTCTAAAACCAAAGGAAGATCTGCTATTAAGACTCTGTGTATATGATGTATAAGGGAAGTTTTCTTTCTTGACATTTAATCTAATTAAACTGGTGAGGCTGGTTTGTAATCTCGAGTCAGTTTTAGGACTCCATCTCTAAAGATGCTTTCCTCTCTAATAAATGTGATTTTAAAAGAGACCAAACATTAAAATGTTCCACAGCTGTCATGGACCAGAAAACCATTTGAGTCCTCTGCAACTTCATGTCAAGAATAAGAAGTGATAGGAAGTTGTCACAAATTAATTGGCTTGATACTTCAATTAAAAACTGATTATGATCTGGCTCTGGTAGTCATTATGGTTGATTTCGTTTGGTCTCTAGATATTCTGTGAAAGGACTCTAGGTGGAAATGTTTTCCTGTAGTACAAGGAGAGGAGGTCACTATATGCAAAGAGGTTTGTCAGTTACTGATTCTCCAATTTGGTTGTGTTGTATCCTTAAGGAAGCATGTTAGATTGAAAAAAAATCCATTTTCTCAATTTATGTAAATATTTCTCTTTGTCATAGCCCTCAACCAACCTCTGAGTACTGTATTTATAATTTTGTTGAAATATGTCACCAAGCCTCTTCCCTTTATGGTTTAGGGGCTACTTTGATGTTAATAACTTTAAAAACTATTCAAGCATAAAATACCGTATTTCCTGAAAGAAAATAAATTAAATTTAAAAAGGGTTTGGGGTAAGGAAATTAAGGGAGAATATGAGGGAAAGGTTAAATTCCAGGTATCAGGCTTACCCATCTAATGGCATATACTTCTGTGATTTTTCTGTTATGCTTCTAAAGAAATCCTTCCTTCCTTCCTTCCTTTTCTTCTTCCCTCTTTTTCCTTTAAAATATTTCCTTCAGAATTAAATCCATGCTAATTTACAGTTACTTTATAATGGTCAGTCCATAATTTACTTTTAAGTGGGTGATAGTCTTAAAATACTAAGATTGTTGCATTTATTTTTTAATTTTATACAAAAATTGACTAGAAGGTGGGTTTGGGTCTTTAGGGAGTTCGAGTCATCAGTTTATTATCGTCTCTTAAATTGTAAATGCATCTTGTGTCTCGCTGCAACTTCACTGCCTTTCGTTTCTGGAAAGTGTAAAAGCATGGATAGGTATTCATTTGACATAGGTGGACAGCCTAAGAACATGGTGCGTTTGTGCTTTGAGTGGCTTATTTTCATATGATTAATACTCTGTGAACAAATTGGCCAATGTAATCAAATATGTAATGTTCATATTCAGCAAGTAGTAGAGTGACATTTGTCAGTGTATATTGGTTCAGAAATAAGTATCATATTTTAGGAAACCTTAGCTTCATCTAAACCTTCATAAAAGTTACTTTTTAAAAAAAGGATTATCACTCAACAGATACAGTTGCTGTATCTATTCTTAAATGTCCTCAAGAGAGAAGATCCTAGTTCTAAAAATCTCCCAAGAGAAACTAATCCAGTGCCACTGGGAGGCAGCATGAATAAATAGAAAAAGCAGTGGATCTGACACCAGAAGACTTGAATTCCACTGTGTTTCTCATGACTAGCAGTGTCTTCTTTGAAAAGCTGTCTTATTTTTTCTAAGGCTCAGTGTTGATTTCTGTACAATGGGAATGTTTAATATCTACCTACTCTATGTTTAAAAATTGATAACAGCTAGCTTTAAGCATTGGAAAAAGAAAAACAGAACTTTCAGGTGCCAAGTAAATGTAGCGCTTGATAGAAGAATAAATAAAATATATTTAAAGAATGCTTGTAAAACTTCAGTAATGCATCATGGATTTTGATATGCCTTTGATGAGAGGAATATTTTCTCTGAATGAGATATTAACATGTGTCATGAAAGTCAAATTTAAATTAATATTTATATATGGGAGATGATTTTCTCAAAGTTATTATTAATAAGGCACAAATTTTGTGATGTATGGAAATCTTGTAATGGTTATTGTATGGGCCATAAAAGTTCATTTGGGCATTTGTGCTGTTCTTAAAGAGTTTTGATAACAAAGAGGCGGCAAGGAAAAAGAGTTAAAATATCATTTAATAATAAAGTCTCAGTTGGGTTTCTGATTTTTTTATTTTTTAGCAATTCTACATTTTTCTTCTTCTTGTGAGTATACTTAATATGACACAGGTAGGAACTGTCCCTTGCTTTCATTATTGTCAGGTCAGTTACCCAATTTTTATGAACACTAAAAATATTTAGCTTGTGGAATATTTTGTTCAGTGATTTAATCTATGAAATGGAACACAAACCTAATATATTATCTTAGTTTTTTACAGTGGAATTTGCCCAGGACCACTGGTAGACCATTTGTCCTATTTTATTTTATTGGCTTTAATGCTAATAATATTAGTTATAAGTTATTTTCATTATGTGAATTAGGAAGAAAATACATGGTAGATATTAAATGACTCATGGATTTGAATAAAATTTTAAAAGCTCCATTGAAATAATTATGTGCTCTTATTATAAAATATGAGGTTCGCTAGGATTTGACTAGAATACATTTTGTTAATTTTCTAAATGTATTCACTAGTTAATGTCAAGAATAGCCTGTCTTTACTGGCTGCAAGGGTAAGTTAAATACCATTTCCTTCCCTAGAGTTTTGGTGTCATTGTCAGTAAAAACTATAAGTGTATTTTCTCTAACAAAATGAGTAAGACTAAATGCAAACCTGGGAACCTAGACTAGAAAACAAATTACATTTTTTGTTGTTATAATAGAACATTATATCAAATTGCCTATAAAGGTAGAATTATTGTCTTTACAAATATCATACCTGAAGTTCAGTGTAACAGAAATATGTGCAAAAATATAAGATTCCCAGCACATTCAGTTTCTAGGTAGCACCATAGAGTTTGTGAAATGGATTCTAAATTGGACGACATAAGAGGATTTTGTGTCTTCAGACAATCTCATTCTATTATAATGTAACTATGGTTAGCTGCAAGATACTTATCTACTAGCCAGCATGAAGAGAAATAATTAGCATAAAAACTGTATTGCTCCAGGTACACCAGGAGAGTCAACAACAGTGCCTTGTGATAAATGTTGATTTTGAAACGGTGAGCTTCATTTTTCAAAAGGAAAGTGCCTTTATTTTCTTAACAATTTTTGACTTGACCTTTATATACATATATACGTATATGTACAATATCATATGAACACATCTTCTTTATATATACTTTATATATATATATTCTGTCTATGTATATAGACAGCATATGCATACATAGGGAGGGAGAGTCTCTATGTATATATGTATGTACATATGTATATTTACATATATATATGTACACATACACACACACACACACATATAGCCTGATGAAAGCAGTCCTCGTGAGGTGAGGATGTGACTGTCACCTGCTGGTTAAGCTTATGATTATGGATTGCAAATGTTTTTTCTTTATTCAATTTTATTTGCAGGTAATGATAAAAGCCTAGCTTTGGTCTCGATTAGTTAAATTCACATCAATTAATATGCAAATATTTATTGTTGATAAACTAATTTTCTATTTGATATTCAGGATATCATGGTACATGAGAATTTGTTCTTGTTCTTAAGAATTCTGTGTTCTTGTTAAGCAGAGAAGACAAAAATCGGTGATAAGCTAACAAAAATAGAATAGAGCATCACCTCATTCAGGATATTCTTATTAAATATCTGTTGTTCCCAAGGCTATACAAAATAACAATACAAAAGTTGTGTCACCAGGCAATTCAGAGTAGGGTGAAGTGTGAGTGGTCTGAAAAAGATTCATGCAGGGGGAGGAAACTGGGCTGAGAGTGAGTATAACACTGTAAAAGTAAACAATAAATATATAAACTCTCTAGTAATTAAAGCAATGCAAAATAACACAATAGTAAGATAGTCTTTGCTGCTGAGTTGGGACAAAGATGAAAACATCGATAGACTCCTTGTGTTGGCAAGGGAGTGGGGAAATAAACACTCAATACATAATTGGAGTCATTGTAAACTGGTTCAGCTCATCTAACATGCAATTTAAGTAATTATTACTTGGATATATATTAAATTACAAATGCTCATAATAATTGTCTTTATAGTTCCTCTTTTAGAAGTTTATCCTTAGAAATGCTCCCATGAATCTCTAGCAATATATCATGTACACACAAGAAGAAATAGACAACTTGAATGACTCTGTCTTTTAAAGAAATGGTATCTGTAGTTAAAACTTTTCCACACCAAATTAGCAAATGGATAAATAAGGTATATCCATACTATGGAAAATGTTCATCAGTGAAAAGGAATGAAATACTGATACATGCTACAACATGGATATACCTTTAAAACAATATGCTACTTGAAAGAAGCCAGTAACAAAAAACACCATGTGATATAATTAGGTGAAATGTACAGAAAAACATATCTATGGAATTTAAAAGTAGAGTGGTTTTCATCTGGCACTGGCAGTGGGGTTGGTGAGTGACTGCGTATGGGCACAAGGAATCTTTTGGGACAATGGAACTATTCTGTAATGGGATTGTGCTGATGGTTGCACAAATCTGTAAATTCACTAAAAATCATTTAATTGTTCACATAAAAAGAGTAAATTTCATGGTGTTTGAATTATGTGGCAAATCAGTTGTTAAAAACCCAAACACAAAACAAAAAATCTTCCTACAAAGTAAACTGAAGGCGCAGATGACCTTACTAATAAAATCTTCCTAATATTTAGGGAAGAAATAATACCAGATCTATATAAACTCTTTCAGGAAACTGTAGAGGAGGGAAGATTTTCCAACTATGAGACCAACATAAAAGTTATCATAAGAAAATAAAACAACAGGCCAATATCCTACAGAACATAGATGTAAACATTATTAATGAAATGTTAGCAAGTATAAATAGCAATGGCAAGTAAAGATAATACATCATGAACAAGTTAGGTTCATCCCAGAAATGCAATGTTGGTTTAACATTAGAAAATAAATTGAATAGTTCACCATATTAACAGAGTAAAAAGAAAAACTGGCCAAGCATGGTGGCTCACACCTATAATCCCAGCACTTTGGGAGGCCGTGGTGGGTGGATACCGAGGTCAAGAGATCGAGACCATCCTGGCAACATGGTGAAACCCTGTCTCTACTAAAAATAACAAAAATTATCTGAGTGTGGTGGTGTGTGCCTGTAGGTCCAGCTACTCGGGAAGCTAAGGCAGGAGAATCACTTGAACCCAGGAGGCGGAGGTTGCAGTGAGCCAAGAATGCACCACTGCACTCCAGCCTGGCGACAGAAAAAAAGAAAAAGAAAAACCATATGGTGATCTCAGATGCAGAAAAATCACTGGAAAATACAACAATTATTCTTGATAAAAACTGTTAGCAAGTTAGGAATAGAAGGCAACTTCCTCAACTTGATAAGGAACATCTGCAGTAAACCTAGAGCTAATATCATACTTAATGGTGAAACACTAAGTGCTTTTTCTCTAAGCTTGGAAGAAATGTAAGAATGTATGCTATCATCACTTTTACTCAACGTTTATAATGGAAATCATTTAAATAAGGTGAGAAAAAGACTCAGGCAGAGAGATTAGAAAGGAGGTGCAAAACTGTGTGAACATGATTTTATTAAATAATTGAAAAAACTCCAAATGTCCAATAGGAAAATAGATAAACAAATGTTGGAATATTCATGCAGTATGTTTCTGGTTTAATAAGACGGTAAGTGAAATGTTGTAGTTCTTTAAATACCATCATGAGAAAATCTCCAATATATATTTTTAAGAAGGAAAATATGGTTGTAGAACAATACTTAGTCTATAGTGAATTGACTGATTAATTCTTCAGGTGTTTATTGGGTACCTCTTTTGTGTTAAGCACTGGAGTAGGTAGGCCCTGGGTCACATATTGTCTGTGGGAAGGGGACAGATATAATCCTGCCCTTGAGAGACTTACAGGCTAATGAGAAAGAATTTACAAGCAACTAAAATAAATGAAATTCATAATGAGAAATTGTGTTATGTGCATATAAGAAATGAAGTTGAATGACAGGGATTTATCCATGAGTTTGAAAGATAGAAAGATTTTCCTAAGAGGTGTCTGGTTCCTAGTGAGCATTCAGCTGAGAACTATTTTTATAATAGATTAATCCAAATCATTCATCTTTCCTATTTTACCTAATTTTGCTTCATATCTGGTAAACTGAAGGAGTACATGCTATACTTCCCTATCACACTAACTTTTCCTGTGTCATTATACTCTTTTCTTACTTTGAATAATTCCCATAATCATCATCTGCATTCTTCTAGCACCTACTGTGAACAAATGCATTATTTTATGTGCATTCACAGTTGCATAAGGCACATCTTATTACATTCATTTAGTCTTGAGTTGAAACCTGTTTCTTAATGTGTAATTTTTATTATTTTTTCCTTTTTCTTTGGTTACAAAAGTAAAACATTTGCATCATAAGTGTATTTAATATCATAGCAATATATAATACACAAAGTGAAGGAACTTCCTGGGGCTCCCTTGTTCCTAAGGTTTGACAAAATAGGAAGCTATGTTGCACAAGAAATGTCAGAGTGAGTAAGTGTGAAGAGTGAGACTAAGTGCTGTGTGGATAATAGGCAAGAGGATTAAGTGGCCAGGGACCAGAAAACGCTTCAGAAGATAGATGTCCAATGGAATTTTTCAGTTACAACGTTGTAATCTGTGCAGTGGTACTGCTTCCTGTGATCTCAACATCTTCAACAAAGTCACATATATGTTAGTCTTAGTAACATTAGTGTGATTGGATTCCTGGTAGTGGTTGGTGACAGAATTTATTTTTTGTCAGAGTTGGGGTAGCAGTGTGAGAGAGGGAGCTTGTGTAAATAAGATACATGGGTCATAAAGCATGTAAATAAGACATGGGTCATAAGAACATGAGTCATGCTCTCTCTTGTATGTTTTCTGTAAGTGGCCTTAACCATCTAGTTCATTTACCCATGCCTTAGATACATTCCTTGCAAAACATTCCTTCCAAGTAGTTGTGTAACATAACCTTAAACACTGAAGTCTGTAGCAGATTACTTTGTCTGGCTGTACATGGTTTTAATTGATATTTTTATTTTTTTCCTTAAAACCTCATTCTATCTAACTAAAGTAGATTGATGGTAGTCCATTACCCCTTCTTTCTAAAGAACTTTTTGATTATAATCAGCGAAGATCATTCTAGAACATATTCATGAGTTCCTGATCTTACCTTATTTTTGTAGATGATTAAATTAAGTGGAAGCATTTGCATATATATATGGTTGGTTCTGAATTCAAGATTCTTCTCACAGGTACTGCATAAACTCAGTAAAAATTTAGTCTATTATTTTGTCTTTAATTACACTTAAAATATGTGTGAACAAGATTGATGAAATAAATGTGAATTGAAATACATTCCACATGTTATTTATAGGTCCTTATGTAGCCTAGCAAAATACTTAGGTATGGTTGACTGCTAAAAAGAAGTGGATTTGATGATTGTTCTGTTGGACCTGGAGCTTCTGGTCCTATTCATCAGTTCATAGGAATGCTTACTGTGGGTTTTACAGAGAGATTAGGAGATTAAAACTAAAAGTATTACTAGCTGACCCAAAAACGAAGGTTCCATGATTATGTTGAAGTAAAGCTCAAGGAAGGGTATGAAGTTTGATTCAATAGAAATAAATGGTTTCAAATTACAGCTTGAGAATATGGATGATAATCATATGTTTTGTCTGTAATAATGGTAGAAAACCATGGGAGTTATTTGCATGTTGGGGAGGATAATTATTCATCTTTCCATTTAGCTCTCCTTGTGGAATTAGAAAGACTATAGATACATCAAGTATAAGATCACTTTATAAGAATAAAGTGCTAATGAATGTAATTATTAATTTATACTCAATTTTTAGATGTTGGAAGCAGTATTTAAAAGTAAAATAATCTGGTACTTACTAATAAAGCCACTCAATTTAAAAATATGTCTCCGTGGCTTTGCACGTTGGGATTCATGCAACTGGAATAGTCTTTTTCAGATCACATGGGAAGACTCCTACTTATACTTAAAAAATGAGCTTAGTATCATATTCTCAATAAATCATTCCAAAATTCCTGGAATCTCTCTACTTTTACAAGCTTCTGTTTTTATATGTATTATTTAATATATTATTATTTTTGTTCATTGGCCTATTTATCTTTCCAAATCATGTGGTCCTGGAAGACAAAAATTATATCTTATTTATTACCATTAAAAATATCTTTGGACCTAGTTCTTACTAAATATTTTTGAAATGAATTGAACTGTGATTTTTAGAACATTTAGACAGTTTTAAATCATATCCAAAACCATAGTAATACTGTTTCCAATTGGTAAAAGAGGTAACATGCAGTGACTAAAAGTTTAAGATTTGGTTTCAAATTCTGACTGCCATTGATTTCTGGTTATTGGACCTTGAACAATCTCTTCGTCTCATGACGTGTTAGTTTCCTAATATGTAAAATAGGGGTGAAAAACACTTTTCTGGCCTGCATGTCTTACCTGAAGTTTACGATGATAGGATAAAGCATGGGTGTAAAATAAATTTGTGTGCTCAGTACCTACACAAAGTCATTCCTGTATTAAGTATACAATTAAAAGCCACTAATAAAATAATCTTAAATGAAATAATTTACATCACTTTTCTAATAATGAGAGGTTTGTACAGAAAAGTAAAGCCAATGAACTTGAAATCTCTTTCTATTGGATTTTCCCTGCCTTTTTATAACAGTTTCATTGCATCTTAATATAATATGAGTTTGATTTTATAGGTTATAGAACAAAGATAACAATACAAATTGACTATTGTAGTTTAAACACATGGTTATAGATGGCTTAATTGATAACTTTCATATAGTAATTTAGACCTGGATTGATGATTGTTGAGCAACTCTTTGTATCTGAGTAAGCACTGATTTTTACCATCTCTTCAAATTAGAGCCAGTTTAAAGTGAGTAAATTGTATGATATGTGAATTATATCTCTATAAGGCTGTTATGAAAATTTGTGGAATTTGTGCCTAAAATATCCATGCGTTCATGCTGATATAAACACATGATCAAATGAATGAATGAATTGGGAAGAATAGGCAAATCTATGCAAAACAATTTCAAATAATTTATGTAGATACTTGCCCTGAAGGAAGTGGAGTATAATTCTCCACTCTTTAAGCATGGCTGCACATAGTGACTTCCATCTAAACAGTATGCATAGAAAGGAGGAGGAAAAAGTAATGTTACAATGCAGAAACCAGACAAACATGACCTCAACCAAGTGACCAAGGTCAACATCAACTGTGGTGATCATAGTGATAGAACGTACCCTTGATATAGTGAGAATGATGGTTTACCTCTGTGGTCTTCCTCCCAGAAATGCATAACTTTAGTCCAATCATGAAAAAAAATAGGCAAATCCCAACCAAGGAACATTATACAGAATATCTGATCAGTACTCCTCAAAACTGTCAAGCTCATCAAAAACAAGGAAAGTCTGAGAAACTGTCATAGCCAAGAAGAGGCTAAGGATATATGACAACTAATATATGGTATCCTGTATGGGATCCTGCAATAGAAAAAGGACATTTGATAAAAACTAAGGAGATCTGAATAAAGTATGGACTGTAGTTAACGGCAATGTAACTTTTGTTTGTTCATGAATTGTGACGAATGTACCATACTTATGTAAGATGTTTATAGTAGGAAAAACTGGGTGTAACGTAGATAAGAACTCTTTGTGCTATGAAATTTTTCTATATATCTTAACTTGTTTAAAAAGGTCTTTTTAAAATTAAAACATAGCCAATTTACATAAAACAAACAATATTTTACTCATTTTTATTTTGAATATTTGATCTCTTTAAACATGCATATCCGATTTTCTTCTTTGATACTTTCTGTATCACTGAAAAAGAAAAATTCAAAGATTAAGATTGAATAGTTACTGATTTAATGGTAGTTTCATCTGGGAGTTCTATTAATGTGTTCTGATACTATAAGGGGTTATCACTCTATACCTAAATCTAGTTTGTTGGAAATACATTACGTTTTTCGTCTCTGCCCAGCATTACTATTTGGCCAATGTTACAGAGTCTAATCAGATTTTCTGCCATTCATTTTGCTGTGATGGAGCATTTTCCTAGGTGTTTCTGACTTAAGTCAGATTTTCACTGCATTTTTATCTTTAATTTTGGTTTCATGTATCCGGGAAAAACTCCAGGGTAGTCTAGCCTGATTTCTAAACATTTTTCCTATTTCTGTAATAGCTTTTTATCTTAATGCTTCTGAGATTCTCTTGGTGATATGTGATAATTTCCTGTGATATTCTTAAGGCATTCTGATAGTTTTCGTTAAGCTTCACTTTGAAGCTTTTTTTTTCTCTCAATACTTTTTTCCTGTTTACCATTCACTGAAAATTTACTCATCTAGCATGAGCTGTTTTTCATTTGTCCTTATTTAAGCCAACTGGTCTTTCTCCACTTTGCTTTCACTATTTTTCATTCAAACCTGCGCTATGGGGCTAAATATTTTCTTGCTCATGAATAAAATGTCAGATAGGCCTCCTATTTCATTTACTATTAGAGAATAAAATGTTCAGCAATTACTGCTAATCACATGAATAGTGACATTTCTTTTACATACTATTCATATAAAAAGGAGGTCTTAAATCTATTTAATATGAAAGTTTTCCCAGCATTTTTCTGGCCACCTCTATTGGGAAAAGGGGAGTTGGTCAGCCTTTCCTGTGTTTCTCCCAGTTCGCCTCTATGCTTTCTGTCCTGTTCAAGGATGCTGCCTCTGACTCTTCTAGGGTTAAGCCTCAGAAAGGTAGGAGAGGTAAAGGTGAAGTGTGACTTGACTGACTTAAATGTAACCCTGGATAAACTTCCCCTGGGTTTGGTGGATTCTCTTTCTTTTTCAATGATTTTTTTTTGTTTTATCTTCAAGTGGTACAGTGGATGTGAATGCTATAAAAAATTTCTGGCTGTGTGCCTCTTGGACACATGGTAGGACTGAACTTCCTGGCTTTCTGTGGTTGGGCAGGGCATTTAACCAGTTCTGATTAATGAGTTTTGAAGTTTTGAACAAAAATGAAAAATGTCAGTGATAGGCTGAACTGGGATGGGAGTCTCCAGAGATCTTTCTTTTCCTTTAGACACTGCAGTCTACAACTGTAGAGGAGATGCCTATTGTTTCATCATGACATCACTGAAACTTCAATGAGAGGGGCCAGCTTCTGCCTCCCACAGGCCCGCAACAACCATTATACTTGAACAAGAAATTAATCCTTGTGGTTTTACGCCATTAAAATTAAGGGATTTTTTGTTACCACAGCCTAATGTAGCCTATTGAGACACAGAGATATCTGTATTTCTCAGAGGCCCCTACTGGGACTATTTGGCTGAATTTTCTATGATACAGGAAATGCATTTTCGTCCAGTTACATGCGTAATATTTCTCCCCCAGCCCCTGGAAATCTGGAAATTCATCCCCTATGTTGGGATTATTCCATTCACCTATGCATTGTTCTTGAACAGAATTTGAAATGTCTTTCAGCAGATTGTTTCTTCTTAGTTGCCCTCTTTAGTCTTCAGGAAACATTTACAGAATCTTGCCTCTCCCAGGGAGACTGTAGCTAACAATTCACTCTGCTCAGCTAGGAATACAGTGTTTTAATTCAATGTATGTATGGCTTAAAAAATACGGAATGACACAAACTATGCTCTACTAATCCTCTGGAATTCTCCTACAACACTGGTCTTAGGAGAGGACTTCTAAAATGCATATCAGACATTAACTCTTCTGTCCCCGAGCATCAGTGTATACACATAAGCTTCTGAAGCAGTCTCCCTGAAGTTTCTTCAAAGTTTGAGGTGAAGTGATACTTGAGGGATTATAGCAGCTCAACAATTTCCCACCCCTGCTCCCAGCCAAAAATATTTTTCTTTCTTGTTTCCAAACTGTCAGCCACTTACGCTGCAAAGGATGCTGGCTTATAAAACTGGTGGTTCTTGAAAGCCACTTTTACAAGTTCTGCATAGATGACCTAGCATTTTGATTAAAAATGTGAAGGTTCTTGTCAACTATTTGGTTATTGCATTTTGGGTCTCAACTGAAACCAACACAGAAAATGCCTCCTTTTAACATCTTGTTCTACAGACCATTGTTCCAGAGGACTATTAGAGCATAGTTTGTGTCCTTTAGTATTTTTTAAGCCATTTATAAATTGAATTAAAAATACATTTGCCTACTACTGCAGAGTCATAGCCTCTTGGAAGGAATTACAGTATGATTTATGGGAAGTCCTGGCATGTTATTATTATTTTTCTTAAAATCAATATGGTACTATGCACAAATAGTTAAATTCACTCACTACTCATTAAAGCTATTTCATGTTCCTTCATGTGCTACTAAATGGAAATTACTGAAGATACTTAAGTAAAGTGTATTTATTCTTTCCATTTTCAGAATACCCATGTGAAAACTGTTGCTGTCAGTTACTGTACATTTATTTCAAAAGATTGCTCCAGCTTAAACAGTGAATCAATCTTTTAGACTGATTGATTACGTTATAAGTAATATGAAACACTCTTGGGTTTGTGCAGCAAAGGACAGTGAAACTTTACCAAAGCATAAGGCATATTATATATTAATAATCTTAGCCAGTATTCACTATAAAAGTTTAAATTTAATGAAACCTTGAAAGGAGTTGCTGCATTTTATTACCCTGAATTGAAACACTTAATTGCTTTAGTTAGCAAACACACCTCAAATAAGGAACCATTCTGGCGTATAAATGCCATTATAACTTTGAAAATATTATCTATTATTATTATAATTTTATCTCTGTCTTCTGATTCACAGTCCCTCATGTAACAAGTATAATCACATTTCAAAGATCTACGCCAAGTTGATGATCAGAAGTAGAAATTATCATACAGAATACTTTTGAACCATCCTCTTGTCTTTGAGGATGATCTAATTAACACTTGATGAGATTGAGCAGTACAAGATTTTGAATAGGTTTTTAATGGGACATTTTAAAATTCTGGTCCAAGCTGGGCTATCCTATAAATGATAGTTATATACAGTTGTAAGTTACTGTCTTCCAAAGGATGCTAGATATTTAAGCTATACATTTCTGAACACCAGAAATCTCTTTGTAATGTTTGTAGAGTGTGACTACTATTACATACAGATGACTTAATGTCAGAATTGGACTTTGTAAAATTCCAACACTTTGGTCTACAGCCTAAAGTTTTGAGGTTACCTATTAAAACAGCTTAAGTGAACTTAAATGGACTTGAGGCAGAAAAAAGTAAAATTTAAAAAAGAAGGTATTTCTATGGCCAGTTGGAACTGAGAATACCTCACATATCTTGGTAGTGAGAAGAAGAGTGAGTTATCTAACCTGGGATAATAAGAAAGTGTGAGGAAGAATGCACTATAATACCAGGCAAAGACTGACATATTTTCCGTTATTTCTGACATCTTTTTCAAAGTTTTCTCAGCCCCAGCCCAGAATACCAAGCATTTATTTTCTGCCATTTAGAAAATTTTTCATATACTACTCATTAAACATCAATTACATTTATATGTTCATAGCTTTTGCATTGCTTTTTAATTAGTTACTTTGGGTTAGTATTTTATCTCAAATTAGACTATAGGCTTCTTTAGATTTGTTTTGCATGTTTAAGTCTGATCACACTTAAGAGTGCTCAACCTTCACTTAACACTGGTGAAAGGTTGTCTATCAATATAACGGTGACATTTGGGAGACTCTTCCATCATGCTAACCATTTTGCAAGGTGAGAAAAGCAAACCATTATTTTAAATATTTTTATGTATAACATATCCTTATAACTTTAAAAATCTTCAAGTTGCATATATTAAATATAATGTTTAAATAAGACGGTGATGCTATGAACAGCTAATAATACCATTTCTTTAAAGTGTAATAAAATATCTGATGCTATTGTAGATGTCTTATACATGATAAATAGAAAAGAAAGGAAGTCATCAGTCAAATTAAATCTATTCTAGCAACAAGGGGGAACAGTGGAAAATCAGGTCTTTTGTGAAAATTGGAAGTTATGTGGATAGGAAGCATATGTAAGTAAGTTCCAGACATTTTCTTGACAGCAGCTAGTCACAAGATGCTCTGCAATCCCAGGGTCCAATTTAATAACTTAATGTCATTTCTTTGTTAGGACGATTAACAAGAAAAGAATAAACTACAATATGTCCAAAACCTGTAAAGTATCAAACATTTTCCTTCAGTCTTTCTTAGCTGAATATTTTCATCTAAACTGGAGCACATGGAAATGATTCGTGTGATTTTATTTTCTAGGTTTCTCCAAAGATGGTTGATAACTAGTACCATTCTAGATGCAGGGATAACTTACATTCACTGATGTCTTAGGGCATTAGTACATAATTTGATTATAAGTGTCTGTTGAGGTAAAGTATCTGTGGTATTAAAAATGCCAAATTAATGTTTTTATAACACAGGACTGCAAAGCAATTGATATTCTCTTGCATATCTGACATCTGTGAAAGAATCTTTCGTCATAAAGTATGTCCAGATTAAATTTAGCTGCTTTGCTAGTGATCAAAATTCAATATTAGCAAAATATTTTTTTCTATTTGATACTTCATAGATCTTTCCCTCTTGACTTTAAATTTTTCTTATTAGCTATTAAGCAATGATTAATAATTACTAATTAGTTGTGGAGAAAAGGGAAACATAATACACTGTTGGTGAGAATGTAAATTGGCACAGCCATTATGAAAACAGTATGAAAGTTTCTAAGGAAGTTAATAATGGGAAAAATTGAAAAAAATTGGAAAATAATTTGGAAGTTTCATATAAAATTAAGCATCTCCTTAATGTATGACCCAGAAATTGGATTCTCAGGCATTTATTACAGAGGCATAACACACACCCACACACACACCCACACACACACACACACAATATTAAAGTGTTAATTACAGATTTCTTTATGATAACAAAAAATAAGGAAACAATAAAATCAATAAAATGTTCTCTATTAGGTGACTGGTTAAACAGACTGTGGTATCCACTGCGTAGAATACAACTCAGCGATAAAAAGAGATGACATATTGATTGACCATTTATAGGAACCTCCAGGGAATTATGCTGAATAAAACAGCCAATCTCAAAAGTTTACATACCGTATGGTTCTATTTATGTTTGATTTTTGATATGACTAAGTTGTAGACATGGAAAAAAGATTAGTGCTTGACAAAGTTTGGGGGTGGGGGTGGGTAGGGTTATAAATAGACAGCACAAACATTCCTTGAAGTGTTGGAGCTGTTCTGTATCTGGACTGTGATGGTAGATGGCAGATACATGATTCTACTCATGATATAAAGGTGTATAGAACTAAATACACATAAAATCACAAATGAGTACAAGTTATACTGAGGAAATTTGAATATGATGAGTAGCTTTTTTCAATGTCAATATCCTGGTAGTGATATTGTATTATTATTTTGAAAGATGTTAACATGGAGGAAATCTTGGTAAAGGGAACACAAAATTGCTTAGGAGATATTTGAGGGTGAATTTCAAAGGGTAAATGTACATCCAAATCTACATTACAAAACTACTCAGGGATCTCTTGCCACCTTGTGATCAGAGCATAGTTAGTGGGGTGGAGGTAAGTGTTCGGAATATTTGACCTTTATTCCTTGGAATTTGGAGATCATAGGGACTATTGCCTGAACTTTACTTTAAAAAATCAAAGGACAAAGTCCGGCTAAAGCTATCTGAGATAGCAGATCAAAGACAGAAATCTGCCTTGAAAGGAGACTGTACTTACAGTTGATGCACGGGGAACAGGATGTCCTGGTCTGGTGTACTATAGAGAGCATCAGAAACATAGGACTAATCAGTAGCAGGGTGAGAGGACCCCAGAATGAGAGTCTATATATAGCAGAACATAGCAGTAGGGGTTGGTAGCAATAGGGGACAGCCTGTGGCCTCCTGAACAGCAGTTGGCTCATCTGTTTATTTGGACAATAAACATGGGCTCCGGGGGGTGCTTCCCCAAAGGAGGTGCATGACTTGGATGCCCCAGCCACCCTGAATCAGTAGTGCTCATTAATGAGCACCTACTGTATGTAAAAATCATGGGCTCAGTGATGCGTAAGCAAGACCTTGTTCAATCCTTATGCAGCCCTAGGAGGGATCAACCCATTTTACAGAGAAGGAAGCTGCAGCTCAGAGAGGGGAAGAGTGCCCAGATTACTGTGGTGGAGGCTGGACTCCAGAGGACAAGCCCCCTTCCATTCATTCACCACTGCTGTTACCTGACTTGGCACACTCATCTCAGACTGCAGTGATTTGAGGGGTAGCCTAGCTTTCTGGGATGGTCCCCACAAGCCTGCAGTAGAATTGCCCCTTTACATGGCATCAGTGGATGCATGGGTGCATGGCCCATAGCAGTGAACGTTACAGGAGAAAGACTTCAGCAAACTGAGAGTGGTTGTGAAGAGTGGACTTCAGAGTCTCACAGAAGCTCTCCTTAAAAGAGCCAATAAGTTTCTAACTTGGGAGAGACCAGAAACAACACAGTGAGTGACAGGGGAAGACTTGAAGAATGAGACAGGGAAAACAGTAAAGATGCCACTTCCCAAATCTTACCCAGTCCCCAGCCCTTTGCAGGTTTCCAAGCCTGAGACAAACATGACTAGGGGAGTAGAAGCAGCTCTAAATTAAATGTAAAAATGAAGATTTGGAATAAAAATTATACTTATTATTAATACCTCAAAGGCATACAAATCTACTCCCCTTGAAAGTCAATAAGCTAGGCAGAAAAGAAGTGAAGGAATAGAGGATGCCAGGTACCAGGAGCACACCAGGAGGATCATTATGACTGGAGAGGATATGATATATTCAGGTTCACAATGCCTATGATGGGACTGAGTGGAGACAAATGGAGTGGGTGAGCATGGTGTACCAGATTTGAGGCCGAATGGTAAGCAGAAAGTAGGGAAATAAATTAGACTCTGAAGACTCAGAGAGCCTAAAGGAAAAACTATTTCATAGGCAGTTTCAGGTCAGATAATATTTGGTCCTAAACAAAGGCAGTGGTAATGGGACAAAAGAGTTAGAGATACATTTTGGTGTGTTTGGATGTAAATAATGAGGGCAAGGAGGGAGTCTGTTGATTCTAGTTTCATATCCTCCTCCAATTCTCCACCTACCCCCAGAAAAAGGTGAGGTTGTTGTTAACATATATAGTGCCTTCTGAGAATTACTGAAAGATTCTGCCTCTTGTCAGATGAATGGTAAAAAGTGAGCATCCCTGGGCACAAAGTTGCATAGAAGTACACCTTCCTCTAAGATACCACAACGCCTGTCAGTCCTGTAATGGGGCACCGCATAGTTTGACAAGTGGAGCAGTAAGGACTGGGTTTCAGTCCCTACTTGTCCCCACAGCCAACATCCTTTGTGAAATGAACAAACTGCAGAACCATGGGACTATGCCCTGACTGCTGCCAGAGAGATGGAGTTTCTTAAAACCTATGACCCTGCCTGGGTTTTTATAAAAGGAGGCCTGTGAGGTACAGAAAATCAAACAAAGTAATATCAAATAAAAATATTTTACCTCTGCTTGGCCGAATTGAGATGTATTAACAATATATAGTCTCTAGTGTTCAGAGCGAAGAGATGTTTATCAAATGTTATATCACTGGCAAGTTGTTTTTTCCTAACAATTTGAGGAAATATGTTAATAATATTTCATTAGAAAAATATTTTCTTTATGTATAAGAGATTAGTTGTGTTTCTGTATTATTTCCATTACATTCTGGAGCCATCAATACTTCTGTGGAAATCAATCTCCATTTTAATACTGGAGATTATTGTGAAAAGGTAATGTGAAGAATATAAATGTAGTGTTGAGCTTTACAAAAGTGCTTCTGTTTGTAGTATAATTTTAGAATAATAAAAAATGTATGTTACAAGTTATCTTCAAATTTCCTTTCATATTTATTAGCAAGTTGTTAGGAGCTTTGAACTATAGAACAGGCCCTAAAACAAGGTATAAATTAACTGGATGCACATATGGTAGGGGTATCTAATTCAAGTAATTAAACTGAAATCCTGTAGCAGAATTCATAATATGAATAAATTTGACAACCCTAATATAAATGCTGCCAGTACAATTTATAACATTGATTCTGTAACTGGGAAGAGGTTGGAGGGTGCGGGTAACTGTATCATAGATAGTATATTAGTAATTAGTTTAGGTAATCCCCTACATAACAAACCCCATGGGGTATTTTACATTAATGTTGCTTCTGTTTTAGTGGGAGAATAAAATTACCTGGAGATACTTACATAATCCTGGATTTAAAGGTGAACTCAATATTAAGAAAGCTTGAAAAAAATCCACAGAAAAGAGATATGATCAGGTTCGTAAGAAAAAACGTTTACAGCGTAATTGTAACTCATCATAATGTACTGCTAATATTTAATCTTATTCATCTTTATATCCCTGGGACCTAGCACTGTGCCTGATAATAAGTGCTTCAAAAATGTTAAAGTAGTGAATAGCGAAACATGCATGGCAGATGATTTGTCTGGTTTTTGAGTTGTGCTATCCTGATTATGGTATTAATGATGTAGAGAAACTAGACAGTGAAGCAACCCCAGAATGTTTCGTGTTTTCATAAGCTTAAGCAGTTTAAGACCCTGCAGATGAGCTGACAGATGGAAAACAGTGAGAGTAATAATAATAATTAGCACCCAGATCAACAAAACTAAGTCAAGAGTGAACAGGAATGGTTATTTAAAATCATTGCCGCCAAAAAAAAACAGAAACAAAACCTAATAACCTGTCATAATAAAAAATGTATATGTATATTATGACTAAAATAAGAAAATCTGAAAATATAGCTCAAGTTTCTATTTATTAAAAGTCTATTTGGAACTGAAATGTAAAGAAGCCTTATGAATGTTAGAAATTCTTAAGTTCACAGTTTGCTTTCAAGTTTTTCTTGTATATACCAAAGTCATAGCAATAATGCATTTAAATGCACCTAACAGACTGAATACGCTTATATTAATTTTGTATTTCTTATTTCTACTTATGTATTGAGGGTCTTGCTTAAATTTTATCAGGTGTCCTATTTTCTTATTGACTAAGAATGTGATCCAATGGCATTTGAATATCTGCAATGGTGGCAAATGTGTGGTATTTCTCTCTCACACCGTGGTCTAGTGGATTTTTTCTTGTACTTAATGTTTTTAATCATTTAGAATCTCTTATTACATTGTTCAAAATTGACACTCAATAAATATTAGCCAGACTCTGTTTTAGAGACCTTATGAAACTTTCTCTTCGATGTTGATCTGTTCTTCATTTGGTCTCTGTCTATCCAAGACCAATACACCTATGATTAGCACTGGAAATCACATCATATTTAAAAAACTGGAAATTATTAAAATTGGAGACAATGCCATACCAGTTAATTGGCATATATTTGGAATGCTTGGAAAGTTAATAATTTTAAAATTGTCTTATTTTTTCATAATATGGAAATTTTGAACAAAGGGCAAATATAATTTTTTAAATAAACAACTTTTAAGGTTATGGTGTCCTTATTGGTTGCTTTCCATTGATATTTGTTTTATACTTTTCTTTGAATTGTTTGAAATCAGCATAAGCCTGGGTAGTTACCTTGTTGCCATATTTTATTTTAATTTATCTAGCAGCACTTCTTACCTATTTTAATCATATGAACTAGAAAATAGTTGTTTTCAGAAAAACACTGGGAATAACTAAATAAGTAATATTACATTAAATTTCCTTACACTATTTTTGAAACATTTGTTAGCTTTTTATGAACCATAAGGATATGTTTTGAGATCCATTTTATTGCCAGGATATCAAGTAGAAGTGGGTATAAACAAGTCAGCTTACTCAAATTTGGTTATAATTAGTTTTTAAAGTAATTTACAGTAATTACTAGCAATTAAAATATTTAATTATTATAATCATATATTTTGTACACTTTATTGTAGTTATCTTGGCCATCTGTCTGATGACTTTTTAATCTGTTGCTTGTGCTAAAAATCTCTAGATTATGATTCAACACTGACTGCTCTTTAATAAAGAAGAAACATTTTTAAATATTTTTAATTTTAATGCATTTCTTAAAGTATGAAGTTGATAATGAAACTGATTAAGTACAATGTTGTAAAAATTGAAATGTAGCTCCCCCTCCCCCTCCCCCTCCCTCTCCCTCTCCCTCCCTCCCCACGGTCTCCCTCTTCCTCTCTTTCCACGGTCTCCCTCTGATGCCCAGCCAAAGCTGGACTGTACTGCTGCCATCTCGGCTCACTGCAACCTCCCTGCCTGATTCTCCTGCCTCAGCCTGCTGAGTGCCTGCGATTGCAGGCGCGCGCTGCCACGCCTGACTGGTTTTCGTATTTTTTTGGTGGAGACGGGGTTTCGCTGTGTTGGCCGGGCTGGTCTCCAGCTCCTAACCGCGAGTGATCCGCCAGCCTCGGCCTCCCGAGGTGCCGGGATTGCAGACGGAGTCTCGTTCACTCAGTGCTCAACCGTGCCCAGGCTGGAGTGCAGTGGCGTGATCTCGGCTCGCTACAACCACCTCCCAGCCGCCTGCCTTGGCCTCCCAAAGTGCCGAGATTGCAGCCTCTGCCCGGCCGCCACCCCGTCTGGGAAGTGAGGAGCGTCTCTGCCTGGCCGCCATCCCATCTAGGAAGTGAGGAGCGTCTCTGCCTGGCCTCCCATCGTCTGAGATGTGGGGAGCACCTCTGCCCCACCGCCCCGTCTGGGATGTGAGGAGCGCCTCTGCCCGGCGCGACCCCGTCTGGGAGGTGAGGAGCGTCTCTGCCCGGCCGCCCCGTCTGAGAAGTGAGGAGACCCTCTGCCCGGCAACCGCCCCGTCTGAGAAGTGAGGAGCCCCTCCATCCGGCAGCCACCCCGTCTGGGAAGTGAGGAGCGTCTCCGCCCGGCAGCCACCCCGTCCGGGAGGGAGGTGGCGGTCAGCCCCCCGCCAGGCCAGCCGCCCCGTCCGGGAGGTGAGGGGCTCCTCTGCCCGGCCGCCCCTACTGGGAAGTGAGGAGCCCCTCTGCCTGGCCAGCCGCCCCGTCCAGGAGGGAGGTGGGGGGGTCAGCCCCCCGCCCGGCCAGCCGCCCCGTCCGGGAGGGAGGCGGGGCGGTCGGCCAGCCGCCCCGTCCGGGATGGAGGTGGGGGGGGTCAGCCCCCCGCCCGGCCAGCCGCCCCGTCTGGGAGGTAGGTGGGGGGGTCAGCCCCCCGCCCGGCCAGCCGCCCCATCCGGCAGGGAGGTGGGGGGGTCAGCCCCCCGCCGGGCCAGCCACCCCGTCCGGGAGGTGAGGGGCGCCTCTGCCCGGCCACCCCTACTGGGAAGTGAGGAGCCCCTCTGCCCGGCCAGCCGCCCTGTCTGGGAGGAAGGTGGCGGGGGGGTCAGCCCCCGGCCTGGCCAGCCGCCCTGTCCGGAAGGTGAGGGGCGCCTCTGCCCGGCCGCCCCTACTGGGAAGTGAGGAGCCCCTCTGCCCGGCCAGCCGCCCCATCCGAGAGGGAGGTGGGGGGGTCAGCCCCCCGCCTGGCCAGCCGCCCCATCCGGGAGGTGAGGGGCGCTTCTGCCCGGCCGCCCCTACTGGGAAGTGAGGAGCCCCTCTGCCCGGCCACGACCCGGTCTGGGAGGTGTACCCAACAGCTCATTGAGAACGGGCCATGATGACAATGGCGGTTTTGTGGAATAGAAAGGCGGGAAAGGTGGGGAAAAGATTGAGAAATCGGGGCGGTTTCGTGGAATAGAAAGGCGGGAAAGGTGGGGAAAAGATTGAGAAATCGGATGGTTGCTGTGTCTGTGTAGGGAGAAGTAGACATGGGAGACTTTTCATTTTGTTCTGTACTAAGAAAAATTCTTCTGCCTTGGGATCCTGTTGATCTGTGACCTTACCCCCAACCCTGTGCTCTCTGAAACATGTGCTGTGTCCACTCAGGGTTAAATGGATTAAGGGCGGTGCAAGATGTGCTTTGTTAAACAGATGCTTGAAGGCAGCATGCTCGTTAAGAGTCATCACCACTCCCTACTCTTAAGTACCCAGGGACACAAACACTGCGGAAGGCCGCAGGGTCCTCTGCCTAGGAAAACCAGAGACCTTTGTTCACTTGTTTATCTGCTGACCTTCCCTCCACTATTGTCCTATGACCCTGTCAAATCCCCCTCTGCGAGAAACACCCAAGAATGATCAATAAAAAAAAAAAAAAAAAAAAAAAGACTCTGTCAAAAAATAAATACATAAATAAATAACTTTTTATTTGGAAAAAAAAAAGAAAATAGTTGGAAAGGAAACAACAGTTTTAAATGTAAACTGTCTCAGTCTTATGCTGACATCAGCTACATTTCTGGTAAAGTGATGGTGTCATGATACAGGTTATATTAAGAGTTAAAACCAGTTTCCTTCTGGCTTTCCAACTGACATAATAAGCAAAAAAAAAAAAAAAAAAAAATTGAAATGTATACTTTCCCATTTTCAGATGACATTACATACCTAGACCATTGAATTTACAAGGCAAATGAGATAGGATTAATTTTTATATATGTACACCAGAGTTTTCATTTCAATAGAAAATAGATTTGATGTATTTCCCACTTAAGCACCTAACAATATAATGCAAAGTTATAGTTTGAAACCTGTTTTGTAAAATTCTATTAGTGTTGGAAAAGGCTAAAGAAAATTAATAAATTCATTATGTTTCTAATTTGGAACTGTTAGATATTTCTATGAACTAGGCACAAATTGGATTGAAAAATTTAATGACAGAGTGAACGACCAGAGGTTTGAATATAAATAGTATGCTTAGAGATTAAAATATTACCAGAATATAACATTCTAGATTTTGATTTTGCTTATCAATAGATATCAGGTTAAATTGTATTCTTGTTTTCTTATAAGATGCAATGGAAAAAGATGATTCACTTCACAGGAATTTGATTTATAATTGTTTTTGCTCAGTTCTCCAGCAGGGTGATCCATGTGTATATATTCATTTTTAAAGATGTAATTAGAATTTCACTGGACTTATATGTAATTATCTATGAAAGTGAATTGATTGTGAAGGAAAATTTTATTGTAGGACTGTGATACAGCAGGGAGAGTACTCGACCTGCTCTCAGAAATCTTGGTTCAGATTTTAGCTCTACTATTTTGCTAGCTTTGTGAGTTGGTACAAGGAACTTAACCTCATTTGAAACTCTGGGGAGACAACAATGATTTCTCTGTCTGTAGTTGAAATTTGTGTGTGTATAAAAACCAAATGGAGTCTATATGAAAACCGTTTAAAATTGTAAGCTACAATTTTATTATTATTGTCATACACAACAATTTGCCATTTTTATGGTCTTTCTTATGGGCCAAGTGCTATGCTGTGTGTCTTATCTCATTTAATTCTCAAAACAGCTATATTCGGTAGGCATTGTTAGCAGCCCTATATGATAAATGAGAAAATTGGCATTGCCTAGAAAGTGGTGAAGCCAGGATGCAGACAATCTTTCTAAAACCCCTGACTGTAGCTAGTATGCCTTAGTATATAATGTTACTTTTAACTTGTTGCTTAATGCTAAGATATTCTGGAAATGAAGCGTCAACCATACTAATAATGAACTATCTTAGTGCAAATGCAGGTCTTTCCAATCATTTTAGAAGTATTATTCTGATGGCTAGTATCCCAGAAGAACAGCAATTTTCTGGATCTTTTTACTTTCTGGGGGGTTATTTTAATTTCATTTTGTACATTAGTTATAAAATTTCAAGTTTGGCAAGGGTGAGAAGGTTGTTAAGTTTCAGCGTGTTTATATTAATCCCTGGTTCTATATATGTGACCCGAACCATTCCTATTTCACCATGTAAGATGCCTTTATGGATCACTTAAAATAATAAATGGAAGTTGCATTTCCTTTTCTTTATTTTTTTGGTGACATAAATTGCAGCATTGACAAGCTGTAAAATTGAAGAAAAAGCAGAGTTATAGAGTTTAATGGTAATTTAAGTGGAATTGTTAAAAATAGTAATAATTGATAATTTTTATAGGTGTTGGTTATCTACAGTTTGAGAATAGTCTGTAAAAGTGCTCTTGAAGTCTGTATAGTTCAGTTTGCTCATTTTATAAATGAGAAAATTGGAATGTGAGAAATAAACTAATTTTTCCAAGGTGAAATGGGAACTTACTATCATAATCTGGTTGTGTTCAAAGGTGGGTGAAAAAAAAAGTGATTGACCTGGAAAGTTTGGTTTGGGCTAATGAAGATGAACATACATTGTGTTTATTTTTTAAAAAGCCTTCAGGAACTTGGTCATTTGGTGTTAAGACTTCCACATAATCTAGTGGTCTTTTTTGGATTACTTTCAGCAATATCAGCTACTTTTGAGATTGTGACATATATGTGTAGACCTATTTGAAGATATACTTTGGTTCTGTGGTGTTTGGAAATGCTGCAAGTCATTATTTACTTTGGGATTATGAAGCAGCAAGATGTGGAAGGAGCACTGGTCATGGAGAGAGAAGACTGAAGTTTTCCCAATTCACTCTACCTTTCTAAGTACCATTTGTAACATGGAATACACTCTGCTTTGTCTAAATTCCATTGTCTAAATCCCACTTCCATTGTCTAAATTAAAAGGAGAGATTATACAAATGACCTTTGCAAAATGTAAATTGATTTTTTTCTTTTTATGAAGGTTAGCTGTGTGATATTAGAAGGTTATCATCTTACTTCCTTAAGCATTAATTAACTCTTCCTATCCCATGGGGTTGTGTATATTTTAAGCAATGCGTTTAAAGTATGTAATGTCTTTGGAAATAATAGGCATATGTGGCAGATGGAATGCCTAAATTGCCCTAGTTTTTTATATTTTGTTGTATCCATGCCTCTTACAATGTGATTTGCAATTTTTCCTATCAAGGGGTGGAATTATTTCCCACCCCTTGAGACTTACTTTGTTCCATAGAGTACTATTCTGAGGGGTACCATTTCTGACCTTAGTGTTGAAAGGCCTAGCATGTTCTGTACTCTCTTTTGGATTCCTGCTGCCACCATCAAGACATGCCTGGAATTACCCTAGAGGTAAATGAGACACTCTGTGGAATAGAGCCTAGTCATAGACTAGGCAGGCCCTTACCAGTCTGTAATGGTTGTATGAGTGAACACAGTTGAGATCAGTTGAGCTGGGCCAAGATCATTGGGACTTCCCAGCTGAACCTGGAGAGTCTATTTAGACTTATGAAAACAACAACAACAACAATGAAAAGATTATTATTTTTAATCACTGTGTTTTGGGGGTGGTTTGTGACAGCTACAGCTAACTGATAGCACATGCAAAAAAGTAATGGTATGTATTATTTTTATTATGGTTTCTGTATATGTAATAAACTTTATGACAATGTTTACTTATATTTGGAAACATTTATTTGGGCTTAAGTGTAAGGTAATTTTTTCTAGCTTTTCAATTAAATCCATTCTCCAGACAAAACCAGAAAAAGAGAGAGAGAGAGAGGAAGGGAGAGGGAGGGAGGAGGGAGGGAGGAGAGAAGGAAGGAAGGGAGGAAAGGAGGAAGGGAGGGAGAGAAAGAAAGGTAACTAGAGGGATTCTTGCTACATAAGAATATTCAAAACATAAATGCATGAAGTGTAAGGTAATGGGTAATTGATTCAACTACCTAAATTGGGAGATGTATCCCCCTTCTAGAGAGACATATATATTCTGAAATTGTCTCGTGCTTTAGTCATCAACCTGAATAATGATGCTTGGAAGCAGAAGCATCCTCCCCTCTACTTCTTCCCCCCTATAGAACATGAATTTAATGTCCTTTAAAATACATTTACTTGGCAGCCCAGTAAAGACATTAACTAAAACATATAGCATGATGTTGAGAACATATTATGTGACACTCCCTGAGAGTCAATATGAAGTTTTTTTTTTTTAGTTTTTAAAACACAGATTTTTTCTTCTTTCTTTATGATGAACAGTTAGCCAATTGCAAACACAGCTGGCTACTTTCAGTTTAAGGAAAGTCTTCAACATAAAAGGGACGTGGTTCACTGAGCTTGCCCTGTTCAAATTTGGCATTTAAACAGTTTTTATGACAGCAGAGCACAGTTGAGCAAGAATGTTTCCATATGAAAGTATATACTTGTCCAATTACTTTCTCTATCCTTGTTACTCATGTGTGGTGCTTTAGATAAGAGCGTGTTCCTTCACTGCAATCTTCTTATTAAATTAACTTTATTTTCAAGAAGCTCTAAAGATGAAAAGCACTCCGGATGTTAAATATCATTTAAATATTATATGAAGTGCATCTCAAGTGTTACATTTGTAGGTAGCAGAAAAAAAAAAAGAAACAGGTAGGCAGTGTGAACGGAAGACTGAGGGAGCAACTTAATGTCAGGCTTAAAATTTTGGAAGGCATCTCAAACAGCTATTCTCTGTTGAGATGCTACATCTTTGTGTAGCATCTCAAACAGCTATTCTCTGTTGTTATGAGGGACTTTATGTGAACAGAACATGAGGAAATGGCATTGAATAGCAGCAGAGGAGATCAAGGGAAAAATAATTTATTCTTTTAACATATGTAAGACATGTCACTGAGTGCCTACTGGTTAAGGCCCTATTCTAAGTGCTCAGAATAGAGGAATGAATGAACCCGAGAAAAGTTCCTGCAGTCCGTCTGTTAACTATCACTTCTTTCTCAGATAATAGAGACTCCAAAGTCTTAGGTTTTAACCTCAGATCTGCTTCTGGCACCTGACCTTGCCCTTACTTTTTGAACTCCAAAATAAAGTTGAAGGTACTGTGGACACTATCAAATGATGCTGGGGAATGTTACTGGCACCATCCGGCTGGTCTTCCAAGGTTCTGAGTTGTCTCCACCCATGGCTTCATTTCTTCATGTGATCAGAGTGATGTTGGGACATAGTTCTTTCACTGTTCATTGAAGAGTTACTGGTTAATTTTTTCATTCAAAAGGATATTTCTTTGGGTAAATAATTTCTTAGCTTACTCAAACAAAATCTCTTGTCTCTGGGCTGTGGCAGTTCATCTCTTTGTTGCATTGGAAATAGAAAATTAATTGTCCCTGGCATTCTAGGTACTATTTTATCGTTTACAAGTTCTCATTGCTTTTCCTTTTATTTTCTTTCTGGTAATATGAGCATACTTCACATCCTGGGTTTATTGTTTGTCATTTGCTAGTTTTATTTTGCATTGTTTTTTGCCCACATGCAGGTTTTGCACATATTTCTGTCATGGATTTCTTAGTCTGCATATCCTAAGTAGGTGTCACTATTCATTGAGATATGAATAGCTCTAGTTTTGTATCTCAGTATGTTTGGATGGTCTGCTAATTTTGGTGGATTTTTATCTCTTCTTTAATCTACTTCCTTGAAGGAATGATTTAAAACTCTAAAATCAGTTACACTATTTTGTTGAAAATATGAAATGCTGTAGAGTTGTCTTCTGATGCCATGTTACTCATAGCTATCGATGAGCGAGTCACAGACTAGATTAGTGGAAGGAAGGAAGGAAACAAATGAAAAAAAAAAAAACCTACAGATTTACTTCTTCATTTCTTTCCTTGGCTAACAGGTGGAATGCTTAAACCAAAAAAGAGTAATCTGTTGGCCCACCTTTGATTCACTTGCTGGCTTTGTGATATGTGAAGGTCATTGGTCAGCATTTTTCCCTGTTAAGAGAGTTAGAGAACTAGTGAGTTTATTTAGTCATCCTGGGAAGAGCCAGTTTTAACATCTGTAGTAATTACCTTTTCCAGCCTGGCCTCTCAACTTAATTTTTTTTTCTAGTAGTTCTAACTCAAGCTTTGTTCTAGGCTTATGTTTATTATTAATCTTATATGCACCTCTTGCTTAAATCTTACCATACCTAACACTTGGATCCTACATCTTGGTTCCTGCTGGACAGGTTCCTATCCATGAGGCTTTTTTTCTAACTTATTGTTATTTCTAATCTCTGGCTATGTTAGAGATATGTTCCTGAAAAGTTACGTTCCCTGTGATGTTTTGTAAATGGAATCATTTTAAATGCGTTGTGGGTACTTGCCATTTAAAGACTACTGGTCATATGGTGTTTTATAAAATGAAAGCCTTTTGCAAGGCAAATTATGATACTCACCTCAAAATTCATCTTTCTATTTATTTTCTTTCTATATTCTGTATAACAATTTTCATAGGTGGGCGCACTCAGGGCCACCCCCATGGCCATGTAGGCTGTGTACTATGCAGCTCCAGGGGGTGTTATTCACAGAGACCATAGTGTCAACAGCCCTCAAAACTGCATGGAGTCTGGCATTTGAAATATTTACTTTTTCTTTCTTTAACCTGACTTCAATAAATGCATTACTCATTAATGTGTTTGTTTTTCTTTTGTTGTCTATGGTAATTAATAGATAGCTCACCTTTTTTTTAATACTCAGAGGAATACAAATTCAAGACAGGGGCTGTTTGTCTGGGCTGTGTGGTACGTCACATTGGCTGGCTCTAAAATCTTGTGGACTGTCTCAAGAAAGTCTATTGTTTGATTTCTTTGTTAAGTCTATTTCTTGATGTACTTTGTTTCCTAGTACATCAGTTTATTTCAACTTCAGTTGCCTCTTCTCTTTTTCCTTCTAGGATTGTTTTTGGATTCTCACTAAACTCAAAGAATCCTTTCAACTTGTTTTGTGGTCCTCATATTATCATGGAAGCTAAGAAAACTGTAATGTCTGACTGATATTTATACTTTTCATATGACACTTTCCAAGTAATAAATCATCAAACATGAAAATGCTGGAAACTTTTTTTTTCAAATTTAAAGTTTGCTACGTAAGTAGTTTTAATACTTTGATGATACGTAAGTGATGGAGTCAACTTAAGCACTATAATAGAAAATATAATTTTAATAATAAAGTCACTTTGTGTTAGAATGTCTACTCTTTTCTACAAAGAACCCATTGGTGATTTTCATAGTAACTCCATAAGGTCAACCTTTTGCTTCTATTTCATAGATAAGGAAACTACGCTTTTTGTACATATGATAAATTGTTCAAAGTCACGCTACTAATTAGTGGCAGAGCTGGCATTTGAATCCACTCTTTGTAATTCCCAAACTCATTCTTTCTATTACATCTTGCTCTGTATAAATGCTGTCCAATTTTTAATACACATAGCAGTTACTTTCCCACTGTGAATACAAAGTATTCCTTCAGCATATGTTGATCTTGCATTTAAGGAGTAAATTCTAACCAGAACCACCATATCAGGAAATTAATAGAATAGATAAAATCCCAACCAATTTTACAAAATGTACGTAACCTTTTCCTCTCTGAGAAATTTTGTTTTGTTTTGTTGTTGTTTGTTTGTGTTTGGTTATTCTTTCTTTCATTTCTTCCCTTACTGTTATTTTGCGATCTTGGATATTGTAGTCATAATATCATTAAACACTTGTACCACTGATTTTGCTTTCTTTGCCTATTTTCCCTTTAGTTGTTATTTGATAGAAATGAACGAGATGTTTTCAGATACCTTCAGCATTTCCAAACTTCTTTATAATTAAGAAGTGATTCCTTCATGGGGGAAGGTATGTGTAGGGGAACACGGTTTAAAAGCTTTGAAAAAGTGTGTGATCACATATAGGGGGAGAAACCTAGAGACACAGGACATCTTTTTTATCCATGATATTTGATGCTGTAGGGTGATTAAGAATGCAGGAGAGACATATAGGATTTATATGGTGTTTTGCCTGCTACAGTAGTCTGGATTTTAGAATTATTGGTTTCTGGACCCATTGTTAACTTGCTTAAACCAGGATAATGTCTGTAAGGAATAAAATGTAGAAGGATATACATTCAACCAAGCTTGAAAATATATTTGCCTCGCATGTATAACGTGGGAAACTATCACTTGCTAAAGGGTCTAAAATCTAATAGATGCATATATGCATTCCTGTTGATGATAATCTTGTTTCACAGAGCCACAGGCTCCAATAGTCATTTATTGATAGGGGTAGAAAATGGAAGCGAAAAATCTACCAGATATTCTTGTTGCTCTCCATTGTCATGTTTATGTATGTGAAAGAGGCAGGGGGCAGAGTGTTTTCCTTGGTGCTGAGATAAATGATTGAAATTGCAATTATAAGGTCCCCACTATATGCCATCCTTCTGTTCTTTACTGCTGCCTTCCTCCTATCTACCTACTTACTGATCTTTTTGAAGTTTTTATTCACTCAAGTTCATGAAATAAATGTGTTTTTCAATAAAGGCTATTTAACTGAGTTGCTCCCTTTTAACTGCTAATTGAATTTTAAGTTTTGATTTTGAAACTAAATCATTGTAAAACTTCAGAAGTTCCTATTATAGCAATGACTTGAAAATATAATGTGGAGTTTTGCCAAGGGCCAACTTTATTCTATATTTTAAGATGTTATAACTTACTGTATTGTAAGCTACCATGGAAATATACTGCAAAAATATACATTTTTTAGGATATATATTAGGGAATTAATAGCACATACAAGCACTCAGAAATAAGTGCTCATGGGCCAGGCACGGAGGCTCACGCCTGTAATCCCAGCACTTTGGGAAGCTGAGGCGGGTGGATCACCTGAGGTCAGGAGTTCAAGACCAGCCTGGCCAACATCATGAAACCCTGTCTCTACTAAAAATACAAAATTTAGCCAGACATGGTGGCACACATGTGTAGTCTCAGCTCCTGGGGAAGCTGAGGCAGGAGAATTGCTTGAACCCTGGAAACGGAGGTTGCAGTGAGCCGAGATTGCACCACTGCACTCCAGCCTGGGTGACAGAGTGAGACTCTGTCTCAATAAATAAATAAATGCTCAGAATGACTAGGAACTAAGCATTCTATGTATTCCTTAGAGTCCTAGAAAGATATCTAGGTTAATTGAGAATGCAACTGTGTTTTTGGGGGAAACAAGCCTCCCTGGGACTATAGGCAGCAATACTTGCCCAGAAGTCCACCTTGTCAGCCTGTTTTGCTTAAAGGCCATGAATAATAGAATCATGGAGCAAGGAGTGAAACATATATATATATATATATATATATATATATATATATATATATATTTACAGTAAGAAGGAACATTTTATCACGTTACTTTTCTAGTAAGTAAAGACCAGCATCTTTAACAAGGTCTCTTGGCCCTAAGTGGTTTAATTTTTGCCTATGTCAATAGCCTCAACCAGCTCAGCCTATATCCCTTTGAGTCTAGCCACAGAAGCCTTCCTCTGGGTAATTAATTAATTAATTAATTAATTATTTTAGAGATGGGATTTTGCTATGTTGCCCAGTCTAGCCTGAAACTCCAGGGTTCAAGTGGTCTTCCTGCTCACTTCCATTTCCTGAGTGGCTTGGATTATAGGCACTCATTACTGAACCCAGCTCCTCTGGTTTTTAATTGTGATAATCCTTTGATCTTCTGGGTTTTACTGTTTCCTTTCCTCTTCCTGGTGGCTCTAACTCTGTGCTTAGTTAATTCCAACACATCCTTTAGAACTCAGCTCAAAAGTTACTTATTTGAGGAAGTTTCTCTTCACTTGTCATCAGAGGAGGTTTCCTTCCCTATATACATAGTTTCCAAAGTGTCTCGTATAGTTCATAACAATTTGTGTGTTCAACAGTGGAAGTTATACATACATTTTGTTGTTGATTTTTTTTACTGTCTTTTTTTTGCTACAGTATAAGATAATGAAGGCAGTGATGACTGCTGACTTGGTTCACCAACACTCTCCTCTATGCTTAGTACAATGATAACATGTTATTGGTGCTTGGTACATACTTGTTAATTGATTGAATGAGCAAATAGATAGATAAATATATGAATGTATAAATAAATTCAAGGCCAGAGCAATGAAGAGAGAATAAGGGCTTAGACTAGGAAAAAAATGGGCCTATAATCCCAGCACTTTGGGAGGCGGAGGTGGGCAGACTACTTGAGGTCAGGAGTTCGAGGCCACTCTGCCCAACATGGTGAAACTCCATCTGTACTAAAAATGCAAAAAATAGCTGGGCGTGCTGGTGCATGTCTGTAATCCCAGCTATTTGGGAGGCTGAGGTGGGAGAATTACTTGGACCCAGGAGGCGGAGGTTCCAGTGAGCCAAGATCACACCACTGCACTCTAGTCTGGGCAACAAGAGTGAAACTCCACCTCAAAAATAAATAAATAAATAAATAAAATAAAAGTATTAGGAAAAAAGGAGCAGAGAAAAAAAAAATGGAAGGGATAGAATAGAAATACCAAAAGTGGAAGAGAAGGTGAGAGGTAATTGTGGAAGAAGATGTTTAATACTTGTAAACTGTTTAGAAAAGGATATGATTATGAAGGTGTGGAGCTTGGTGAGAAAGAGAGAAGGGGTCAATTTTAATGTAGCCAAGTACTATTCCTCTGTCAGAGAATTTGGGGACAATTTTCAACATGATGATACTGACACTATATTCATCACTGTTCTTTGTAGGGCCCTTAGGAGATAAATCCCTTTTATCCTCAACCTAAATATTCCAAGAGACTAAGAATACCTAAAGTATTATGGTTTTGGGAAAGAAGAATCAACATCATGATTAGTGGAAAAGAAACTAAGAAGTAAAAACATAAAATCTTCTTAAATATTATTTTTCAAGTCTTGGATTTGGGATAAGATTTGGGTAATGGTTTCACCTCTGGGGACATATCCATGTTTTTTTTCTGGGTTCCTGAAGATTGTACATTTTGGGAGCCTTCTTTAAGAATGCTAATACAAAATTAGATACAGGACTTTGTGAAAAGTCAATGAAAATAAGGCTCCTGAAGTTTAATTAACTACCGTAAAATTTTGACTATGCTCAGGCTTGTTCTACTGGCTGTGCAAATTTTGAAAAGCACATTAACTTCTCTAAACTTCAGTTTCCTCTTACATAAAATGGGACAAACTATAAATTCCAGTGAAAGATTGGTCTGATTTTGTAAGTATATATTCTATTGGGAAAAATTTTTTGTAATCTAGAAGTGCTATAAAATTAGTCATAGCTGTGATTACAATATTTACTAATTCATTTATCTTTATGGCTACACTTACTACATCACATTTTTTAAGTGGAAGAAACAGGTTATTTTCTTTTTAGTGTAATATTTATCCTGAAGAACTAAGACTTGCTGACCTATACTTTAATGCTCTGTTCATTGACCCTCATTTATTTGTGGTGGTCATGCTCATTAAGCATTGAGCATTTATTATATATGTGCTGAGTCAGAGGTAGACTTTGGCCAACTGACTGGCTAGGGCTAAAACACCCAATCCTTTTCGGTGTTGCTTAAACTTTTCTCTTGATTCGAATTCTTCCTTGTCAGTCAAATGATAAATTTTGTCTTCAGAGAAAGGAATTATTTGATAACTCCTTTTCTCTTACTGCTGCTGGTTCTTGTCAGTCTGTCAGAAAGCAAAAGTAAAAAGTTGCATTGAAGCTTATAGAAATTTCATGTATATTTTTCTATACCATCTTTACCTTGATAGTTGTCTCATACTTCTGTACTTCCTAGTACATTGCCTAGGGGCTGAAATTCTTACAAACAAATTATTATATTTTTACTTCTTTCTTAGATGCTAGATTTCCTGCACAGAATGTAATTAGATAAGCTCTTTCCTGTGAGCACAACTATAAGGAGAGACACACAAGATTAAGCACAGTTTGCATAATACAAGCTTCTTACCCACTTGGGACATTGGAGAGAAGCTCCATGCTCTTAGTCCTATTCTTAGCCCAACTGTGAGTGTGTGCATGTGTAGGGGACAGGGATTGTAAAGAGGGAGAACAAAGTCAAAGGAAGGGGAGGGAAACACATGTCCTTACCACGTGTCTGTTATTTCACCACCTTCTCTAACTAGCTATGTTTCGGGTATTAGCTCAATTTTAGTCTCAACAAAGGACATCTGTCTCTGAGATCACCAAGATCAGTCTGGTAGCAGGATCAGGGGAAAACAAGAGTGAGAGAAGATAACAGAAAACACTGTGGAGGCAAGGTGACTTTTGGTTAGTTGTCTGTCTTCTCAGAGCCCAATTTTTCTCATGTATAAAATGGGAGTAATCATAATTACCCAATGGATTGTTATGAATATGAAATGTGATAATATGTTTAAAATGCCAGAAACTTCCTAGGTGCTCAGTAAATATCTGTCTCTCACACAAAAGATTTTTGGATGGAGTATGTGCAGATCGAGGACTTGGTGCCAGCCTGAGCCATAAGATGTCCTCAGTAAGGATTCCTGAATAAATACCAAGGTAGAGGGACTGCTGCCTAGGGTTTAGTGCTTTACCTCTGTGAAATTAAGCATGAAAAATAAGTTCAGGGAAAAAGAAAGAAAGTGGCATGCTGTGATAAAAGAATTTAAAGATTTACTCTTTTTTAAAAAAATATTATTTCCTTTGAAGTCCTCATATACGCTTTTTAAAAAAATTATCGGCTTTGGGAGGCTGAGGTGGGTGGATCACGAGGTCAGGAGATCGAGACCATCCTGGCCAACATGGTGAAACCCCGTCTCTACTAAAGATACAAAAATTAGCCAGGCGTGGTGGTGTGTGCCTGCAATCCCAGCTACTCAGGAGACTGAGACAGGATAATCGCTTGAACCCGGGACGTGGAGGTTGCAGTGAGCCGAGATCGCTCCACTGCACTCCATCCTGGGTGACAGAACGAGACTCCGTCTCAAAAAAAAAAAAAAAAAAAAAATCTCGGAGATACGATCTAAAGAAGTTGGTTATGAGCAGCCTCTGAGCACTCTGTGAGATGCCACTATTTAATGTTACATTTTAGAGCAGGTGCACAAAGTGTTCAATAAAGCATGCAATCTTCTAGAAGCAGTGAAACCGCAACAGAATTAGGATTGTATATAGTAATATTTTTATATCAACAAAGGATAATATAAAATAGTAGTCCATTGATGCCAGTGAATAATGAACACTGAGATATGTTTTGCCTTTATTTATTTATTTAGAGATGGAGTCTTGCTCTGTAGCCCAGGCTGGAGTGCAGTGGCATGATCTTGGCTCACTGCAACCTCCACCTCCCAGGTTCAAGTGATTCTCCTGCCTCAGCCTCCCGAGTAGCTGGGATTACAGGCATGCACCACCACACCCAGCTAGTTTTTGTATTTTTAGTAAAGATGGGGTTTCATCATGTTGGTCAGGATGGTCTCTAACTCCCAACCTCATTGTCCCCTCACATCGGCCTCCCAAAATGCTGGGATTACAGGCATGAGCCACTGCACCCAGCCCACCATTATTTTAATGAAAGGCTCAGAGAACTAAAAGATCTGACACAACTAAGATTCAAACCCTGGTCTGGCCCATTCCATAACTACTACACTGAACTGTTTTAGATTTTTAAAATATACTAAAAGTTATCCAACAAATTTTTCTTTGCCTTTTAGCCAGGTTCTTCATGTGCACGTAGACACCATAGGCATCTGAATTACATCCTGACATGTATTTATAAACTGGTGTCTCTTGATCCTGTATCCAGGCCTTTGTGAACTTTATTTCCACATAATTATTTTCATTCCATTTAGTCATGGTCAGCAAATAGGAAACTTCAATAGACTTTTAAATTTTATTCTGGATAAATAATTGATAGGTTCTGTTCCCATAAGACATAAAAGGGAAATTTCATGTGACTGCATTTAAGATTATGTATTTTCAAAAGCTTAGTTGAAAGTCTTCAATTGAAATTTCTGTTAAGTAGTTTTCAAAAAATCTGTCTAGTCCTAGGACGTAGCATGAAATGCTATTCATAGAGTTATATATTTTTCTATAGACATAACATGAAGGTTTGAGAACAGTCAGACCAAGTATATTTTACTCTGTTCCTCAGTTCAAGAGAATTTGATTTCACTTTTTCACAATATGGTCCACATGAAGGATGCCAGCTGGTAAAACTTACTTCTTATTTATCATCTGTGCCTTAGGGAGTATAAACGATGAGACCCAGGGAGAAAATGAAAACACATGGCATACAGTTTTATTTCAAATAATGTGAAACTTCAAAAATATAGTGTGAGATAGATCATCATCTTCAATTTCAAATGCTTGCTCAAAACCAGGAAAGCGAGTATCTTTTTACATTAATTTTTTTTTTTTAGACAAAGCATAACCTCATTTTGAAGTTTTATCTGTTATCTCAGAAATGTAAAATTGATGCTCTATTCTGTTTAATAGTTTTTTATAAACAACATGGTAAATCCTTTGTATATTTGTTTTCAATTCTAATTCCTTGACACAGTAAAACACACATGCATTGAAGGGAAAAATATTCTTGAAAGAATGGCAAAACATGAATAGTCTTAATCTGTGTGCCAATGTTGTAAAATAAGGTACAAATTTACTCTTATTTTCTGAGATTTTATTTTACTTCTTGCCTTAGATGAATATTCTCATGAATTACATATTTATAATTAATTTTAATGATTGTTTCACAAATATGTATAGGCCCTTTCTGGTTTATCTATGTAAGTAGTTTTATTTGAGATTTTAAACTAGACCTCATTCTTTCTTCATGACACTTAATTTCTTTTTAAAAGAATGAGATTAACATAGCCACTGTAGTTTAGTAGAATTAATCTCACACATGGTTTTCCAATGGCAGATATTTAAGACGAAGAGACATACAATTTGTGGAAATTGCTGGAAATATTTTTCTTCCTAATCACTTTTGATTTTTCTTCTCCTGCCACATCAAGAAACCAAAATCTCACAGAGATCAAAGCAACTGAATACAAGGGACTTGCTCCTACATAGCAGTAAGTTGCTTTTAGGACTGCAGTGTAAATCGGTAAATTCGTTGCCATAGCTTTTACTTTACAGTAATTCTAGTTTTCTATCTGCCATGTGTATAAAAGGAAGCATGTCTATTGATGTTAATATAAAGCTGAAATGAAGCATACAGGGTTGGAGAAACTCTAACATAATTACTACAGCATTAGAGGTGATACTTTCTTATTCTTTATTTCCAGAAATGTCAACTGAGTTGACTCTTGGGATAGTAGTCAGGACACTCTATTCCAATCTTGGTTCAATTTTCTCCACCCACTATACCACAGCTGCACCCAAAGGTTGGGTGAAAAGATAATTGCATAACTTTTCTTCACCTTATTTATCTAGCTATAAAATGGAATGGAAATATAGTAGAATCACATGGGGTAACATCTTCAGACCCCAAATTGTGATTTTCTCAATTCAGGTTTGAGACATGCTTAATAGAATAACATTATACTAGACTGTTTAGAATAAATCAACCCAGAAAATATGAGATTGTATGATACAGTGTTGTGTGTGTGTGTATGTAAGTATAAGGGTTTGTGAAGACAGACTATGACTCTTAAGTACAGAATAAGGCTGTACATGTCAGCAGAAAAAGAATATCAAATTTAATTGCCATGTAAATAAGTCATGGATGGTCCATGTGTTCAGGTATTCCTCTATGGATCTTTTATTTTTTTTTCTGATTGTTTTTAATAAAGATTTGTGAAAGAAGAGTTTAATTACAAGTAGTAATAGTTAAAACACATTGATGTCAACTATATGTTCTCTGTCATTAAATTGAATTAGAATCAGTGGCACTAAGGAGATTATTTTTCTTCTGTAGTTTTGCATTGTTATATTATTGTTCAATTTTATTTATATTTAATTTCAGTGATTATTAAATGTTTTATAAGTGACCGAAATTTAAAACCTAATCATTTCATGATATATTTATCTCATGTTAAGACAGTGCTTTCTGAATCCAGAGTTCTTGTTTTAAATTACTTAATCTGACTAAATAGTACTATTCAAAGGATACATTAATTTAAACGAGTTTTAAATTTCCTGGGAATAAATTTGAGTTCTGATTGTAAGTAAACTGAGGAGAGTCATCTTGATAATTCAAAATTAATGAGACCACTATTTGGGTAGGTTCATATTAACATAAGTGGATAGATTAAAATTATCTATGTTTGCTAAATTATAACAAAACTGGCTATCATCCTTTATTATAGCATTTATAATAAAAATGAATAACTATCAAAAATACTCTAATCACATTTTATAATTCTGTCAAAAATCTGTCAAGATTTAAAAAATAGGATTTACTTTTTGCAAGTACATTACATTTAATGAGTTTAGACATAGTCCATAAAGAGAGACTTTCTCAACTGCCACCTGCCTTTTGGTCAAATATACACTGTTTTATTAATTTTAAAGAAATCAGTAGTATTTTCTCATTATAACAACTTTTATTTGAAAGGAAAATGAGCTTGCTTATACTTTTGTATGTTTATTACACAGGTAATACATTAACATGTATTATAGAATTCTCACAATGTATTTTGAATAAAGTATGACATTGTCTGAATTTTTACTTTCTTATTCAGAGATAAGAACTGTAATCTAGTCATATGTATCTTTGTAGTACTTTTCTATCAATTATATAATGTTGGGATATATCATATTAAAAAATATGGTAGATGTTGTATTGCAATTCTACTTTTTCTTCAATATATGTGGAATATTTTTCCGCCAAGTGATATTCCTCTACCTTATTATATTGAATACCTGTTTGATATTATATTAATGAATCATTGCTTATTAAGCCAGTCTCCTTTGGATGATCATTTATGTTTATTTCCAGATTTTTGCTATTACAAGTTATTTAATATTATATATACCATATATTATATGTAGTACATTCTGCAAATATGAGAATATTTGAGTATATCAGTATATTTTCAAAAGCAACTGACGGAAATCCAAATACCAAGATGCCCAAACAAAGAAAAATAAACTAGTGGCTATACGGGAAGTTTCTGTTGTATACAAGTTTAAGGTATGGAAATACTCAAGTTCTAAGACTTTAAATGTCTCTGAATCTTTGTTCTCCTCTCCTCAGTGTGAGGCTTATTCTCAGAGAGGATCTCTTCATGTTCCAGAAAACATGCCCTCAGTTGGTTTAGGTTTATGTGGTCCTTACAAGTATGAACTTAAATGAAAATGTTTAAGGAACCATATGCAAATTTTCAGGAACCATATGCAAATTTCTCAGTAGAACTTTACTGACTTTTGTTATGTGCTTAGCTTTAGACATATTCAAAAAAAGGAGAGGGACAAGGAATCCATAGTACTGCATGTCCGGTACTACAATTGAGACCCTTTGCCATAACCACACAGGATAGAAGAAGTTCTTCAAATAAAAAAAGACAAAACAGTAAAGAAAAGAAAAGGATTATTAACATTTCAAATTTTGGGAGATATAGCCAAATTACACTTCTAAAGCAATTTATACTGCAACTAAAACATGTGAAAAAGTTTATCTGCATCAAACCAGCACATCATGTTAATCATTTGAATTTAATTCACTAAAGAAAAAAGTGTCATATTTATTTTATTTGTATTTTTATTTAATATTAGTGGAGTTTTTATATTGTTTTCATTTTTTTGGTCATTTATATTTCCCCTATGGAGTTTATTTTGTTGAGTAACTTGTCTTTCTTACATTAATTTTCAGGAAATATTGTATGTCATGAATAGTAATTCTCTCTTACATAGGTGACAAATATGATTTCTAGTCTACATGATGTCTTTAAACTTTTCTATAATGTGCATGATCCAGTATTCTTTTTCTTTTTTTAATTTTTATAGATATAGGGGATACAAGTGAGTTGTGTTATATAGATATATAGCATAGTGGTGAAGTCTGGGCTTTTAGTGTACTGTTTACCTGAATAGTATACATTATACAAATAGGTAGATTTTCATCTTTCTTCCCTTCCCACCTTTTATAGTCTCCTATGTCTGTTATTCCACTTTGTATGTCATGTGTACCCATTGTTTAGCACCCTCATATAAGTGAGAACCTGTGATTTTTGCCTTTTGTTTATGAGTCATTTCACTTAGGATAATGGCCTCTGGTTCCATTCGTGTTGCTGCAAAATACATAGTTTTATTCTTTTTTATGGCTGAGTAGTATTCCATGGTATGTATATATACAACATTTTTAAATCCAGTCCATTGATGGACACTTAAGTTGATTCTATGACTTTGTTATTGTGAATAGGGCTGCTATAAACTTATGAATGCAGGTGTCTTTTTGATACGGTGATTTCTTTTTCTTTGGGTAGGTACCCAGTAGTAGGATTGCTGAATTGAATATTAGTCCCATTTTTAGTTATTTGAGAAATCTCCATACTGTTTTTTGTTGTTGTTGTTGTTGTTTTTTGTTTGTTTGTTTTTATACAGAGTCTTGCTCTGTCCCAGGCTGGAGTGCAATGGCGCGAGCTTGGCTCACTGCTTGAGCCTCCCAGGTTCAAGCCATTCTCCTGCCTCAGCCTCCTGAGTAGCTGAGACTACAGGCGCGTGCCACCACACCTAGCTAATTTTTGTATTTTTAGTAGAGATGGGTTTCACCATGTTGGCCAGGATGGTCTCCATCCCTGACCTCGTGATCTGCTGTCTGGGCTTCCCAAAGTGCTGGGATTACAGGCGTGAGCCACAGTGCCTGGCCCATACTGTTTTCTATAGAGGTTTTACTAATTTACATTTTCACCAACAATGTATAAATATTCTCTTTTCTCCACATCCTTGCCAACATCTGTTGATTTTTGACTTTTTAATAATAGCCATTATGACTGGTGTGAGATAGTATCTTACTGTGGTTTTAATTTGCATTTCTCTGATGATTAGTGATATTAAGTATTTTTTTTTCATATGTTTGTTGGCCGCTCGTATGCCTTCTTTTGAAGAATGTCTGTGTATGTCTTTTGCCCACTTTTTAATGGGGATTTTTTTTTCTTGTTGAGTTGTTTGAGTTCTTTCCAGATTCTGGATATTAGCCTTTTGTCAGATGTATTGACAGTCTTTTTATCACCTTTGATTACTGCATACTTCTCACAAAGGCTTGCCTCTTACTAAGATTATTAAAATAGTCTCTAACATTTCTTCCAACACTTTTGAAGTTTTTTTGAAACAGAGTTTTGGGGCCGGGTGTGGTGGCTCACCCCTGTAATCCTAGCACTTTGGGAGGCCAAGGTGGGCGGATCACCTGAGGTCAGGAGTTCAAGACCAGCCTGGCCAGCATGGTGAAACCCCATCTCTACTAAAAATACAAAAATTAGCCAGGTGCGGTGGTGCATGCCTGTAATCCCAGCTACTCAGGAGGCTGAGGCAGGAGAATCACTTAAACCTGGGAGATGGAGGTTGCAGTAGCCAAGACGACACCATTGCACTCCAGCCTGGATGACAAGAGCGTCTCAAAAATGAAACAAAACAAAAAGAAAATCCAGAGTTTTAAAACCTTATATCTTTAATATTTAAAAACAGGACAGTGATGACATATTGTAATACATGCTTCAATAGATAAGTAGGCAAATAACTAAGCTTTGGCTGGTACTAGGGAGCAGACTAAAGTTTCCTGTGGGAGATATCACAGCTATTCCTTCCTAATCACATTCATCAGTAAGGAAGTATCTGTCTTATCAGTGTCATCTGGGATCCACTTTCTTTTCACCTTTCTGTTTCACTGCCCTTACATATTTGCTTTTGTTTTCCAGTTTAACTTCCCTAAGTCACAAGTGCCAGGTTTCACATCTTCACTTGATGGTGTCCAAAATAAAAAGAGAGAAAATGCAGATGGTGGATGAGAGGATTTCCTTACATAAGGCTCTCTCCTTTATCAGTGAAGAAAATATTTTCCAGAATACTTCATATTACATTACCTGCTATATTTCTTTGGCCAGAATGGTATCTCACAACCACCTCTGCAGAACAATCCTAGGCAAGTGTGGGTGTGATTCCTATGATTGGCTAAAATAAATCATTTTTCATACCCTGGCCAGGGCGTTGCTACTTAAGCACATTTTTTAGCAAGGAAAATGTGAGACAATGGCTAACAAATAGGGAAATAATAGTCTATTACATCAAACATACAAATATAATACTTTAAATTTACAGAGGTTTTTTTTTTCTTATATTAGCTTGTTTGGTTTGTCTCACATTTATGTAAGAAAAGTCTTCCTTCCAGTTTTAGAGATGAGGAAACAGGTCTAAAAAATTACATGATTTGGCTGAGTATTACAAAACTGATAAGAGACATGAGGAAATATCATTCAGGTCTTTCTATTCCTAGTTCAAGACTTCATTTGCTATAGATTGTCTATCATTAAAAAAAGACAAATAAACATGTCTTCAAAACAATAACAATGTACTAGTGGATTTCGATATATAGATGAATCATCATTACCAGAAATCTAATTTCCTTTTTTTCCTTAGGTGCTAAAGTTGTCTTGGGAGTAGCTAACGACTGTGGAGTGGCCTCTTGGTAGAAAGAAATGATGGCCATGTAACAGGGTACATAAGCCATTTCTCATGCAAAGGAAACTTGCAATTATTAAAATAGGTGGAATAAGTCATTTTTCACAGATTGTTCTGAACAAGCAGGAAATGTGAATTGGGTGATTTCATGGAAGATTTTCATTTTTATACAAATGAGATACAAGGTAAGACACCTTGTGCATCATTTCACTTAGCTCAACAGTATGTAGTGAAGATTCTGTTGCTGTACAGGATTCTAATGGCTTTAAGATATTGACAGGTTTTTGTTTTGTTTTTGTTTTCCTTTATCTCAATAGTAGAAAAATAGCAGAACAGACTTGGTTTTGTGTATAGTCTCTCTCTCAGATACTTCTTTCTTTTAAGGAATATCATTCAGATGTTTTGCTGACTGGTGTAGGAATTAATTCCAAAGCAATCTTGTCACACTTAAGCTCACAAGACTTTGGTTCTCTCTTATTTTGTGATAATTCAGTACTAAGAACTTTAATGTCTGAGGATCGCTTCTGGTGACAGCCAGTTTGATATGCTGGTTCAGATAAACCAAATTTAAGTACGAAAACAGAAGTGCTACATTTCCTGCATTATGAATATTCTTAGTACCTGAGGTAATAAAAGATTCTTTTCACAGATACTTATTATGTTAAAGTTATTTGATTTTATTCAAAGCATTCTTATTCAGTAGACATACTGATTTTCAGAGATGTTAAATTATAATTCCTTTGATGTTTTATGGCCTGTTCTTGAATATCTGAAAAGTGATGAAGAATAAAATCCAACTTCAATTATTTGTTTATACTATACAAAATAAATAATTATTGTTTACAATGTATATTTTGGATTTCTTTATTTGCAAGGAATCAAGCAATTAGTTTTATAAATAAAAATTTCGCTAATTTAGTAAGACACCTTCTAAAACCTCTTATTAAAAATAAAGTGAGCCCTCTTTCTCATATCTATCTATCTTTTGGGAATTCTCTCTGCCTGCTTATATTTTTAGTATTTTATCCATTTCATGATTATAAGAAAGAGCGTTCAGTAATATGAGCATCTAAATGAATTTTGAGGTGCTGACAAGTTTATAAATGATTTTAAGGTACCTATAATAAATTTAGAAATGGCTCATGTGAATGGATTTTTAAGAGTTCAACAAATTGGAGAGAATAGCTGAAGTTATGTAAGGAGTTTATAAAACATTTCAGTTTATCAAACATACTTTGGACTGGAAATTCCAGATTGCAGTATAAATTAGAACTAGTGATTAAAATATCCATTAATATATTAACATTTTCTAAAATACCACTTACAGAGTAATAACAAGAACCTTGTGTGTCTGTGCCTTGGATAGTTATCTTCTCAGACTAGTTTTTCATCTGTAAGATGATGAGCTGACTAGACAGGGTCATAAACTCAAATGCCTATTGGGGGCAAAGTGAATGAGGAATGGCTGAGACTCTATAACTGGAGAGTTCGTGTTCTGTCCAAGATGGTTTCTGTCTTTCTCTCTATATACCTCTATGCACACCTACTTGCTTACCCACCTAAATATTCTGGCTTAAGTAAAACGTGTAGGAGTTGAATGTAGCCAATGGGGATCCAAATTGCAACTTCTGAAATAACAGAATAACTAAGATCACATCCACCTTTAAAAAATGGAATTTTTTGAGAAGAGGAGAAAAAGAAAAGTATATAAAAAGTGGAATTTTTAAATAACCACATAAGAGAATCATTTATTTATTCTAAACGTCTACTTGCCTAATTCGTGTTACCCTTAAAATTTGACACTGCAGTTGATCCCAAATTCCTAGCTCTATTTGAATGTTATAAGAGCAATGATGAAATAAATTGATTATATGTATATGTAATTATTAAACGTATTACTTGATATACATATGTACACACACAGACACATACACTAAGTATACACAATTTTATTTATTTCCTGGAGAAATGGATCCTATCACTGACTTTGGAGTTAGATAATATAGAACTTTTAAAATATAAAATGAACCTTGATGGATTCTTGTGAAGAAAATCAGACTTCAAAGATCCAACAGAAAGGACATCTCCCATTACATGAGAAACTGGCTTTTTCCTTTGCACGATTTTTCATTTCATCCTTTCTTTTGCCCGATCAGTTTTTTTAAACTTTAATCATCAGTAAATCACAGTTACTTAATTTAGTTCTTTGTAAATACTTAATGCAATAAAAAGAGTAGATCCATTTTACAAAGGATTTTTTTTCTCCTGCAATTCAAGTTTCTTCTCCTATTTTATAGTCCTAGTAGTTATGAATCTTGAAAAGTTAAGCCTGAGTGCTTAGGACTGTTTAGAGAAAATCAATTATAGCTTATCCTAGGCTCAGGAGACAATATAAAATTCTGGTGATGTTCAGGTTTAAGGTTATGGCTGGATCATTAAATTATGTTCAGTATCAAATCCATGGGGGAAATAGCCAATTCTGGGTTATCCAGCTTACCACAGAGAGCCAACATAAGGTTTTGGATTTCCCAGAGACTCCATGAGAACAGACACTTTGCTCTTTTCACTGCCGTATCTCCAGTGCTTTGAGTCATTATTCTCAATGTTTAGAACAGTATCTGGGACATAATAGTTACTCAATAAATGTGTATTTAAAAATTATTGAAATAAGTTTGGGAAAATATTTTAGGAGCCAGATATAGATATAGATTTGATGTCTATTGATACAGATGCCAAATATAGATATAAGTTTTCCCATTAAGAGCAAATATTAGTACAAGGGAAATATAATACAAGAATTGAAAAATGTTTTCTTAGTAGTTCTTTGAACTATGGGATAAACGTTTTATTTTTCATTGCTGTAATAGTAATAACCAAAAGAAGTTTTGAAGGTTAAAAGAGATTTTCATTTTCTTAAAATTTCTAACAAAAATCTAAGAGGCTGAATTAGATATTGACCTCAGTTGTAGTATTGAATTAGGTTTGCAATAGATAATATTGATTAAAATACCCTACTATAACTATTATATAGTTAATAGATCAGTGAATAAATGAGTTAACTGTAGCCATATTCACTTATTAGTGTCAGCAATAAGATAATTATGGAATCTTATTTCATTCAATTCTTATACTTTGCAGATATACACACACGTGCATATATGCATATATATGCACATGAATGTGTGTGTTTGTGTGTGTGTGTATGTGTGTTATACAAATTGACTGAGGCAGGTTATCTAGTTTTAATATTTGTAGAAATTCTGCTTCTTAATTTTGTTGTCTGTAATCTGCACTGCGTAATTACGTTTTTATTATTGTTACCCCCAACCCCCCACCCAACTGCAGGTCATTTAAATTCTGTTGACTTCTACTTTACAACTAATATGTTTCAAGTAGTATCCCTTCATTAATTGATAACATCGTATGATTTTGAGTTATGAAAATAACTCACCAGGTGAGAGAAATGCTTATTTCAAAACAAACACCAATTCATATTTATATTGCTGTGTCCTCATTATTTTATTTCATGCTTGTAGAGCAGGACAATGACTAGAGATTTGTATGTTATCTACTACGGCATCAGATACTATCCCCACTTAGTAGCTTAGAAGAACAATTACTTGTGTTGCTCACGAATCTTCTATTTAGGCAGTATTTGGCAGAATGGTTTACCTCGGCTGCGGTAACTAAGGTAAGGGGTGGATAATCCACTTTATGATAACTCACTCACATGATTGACACATTATGACTGAATATTGGCTGGAAGCTCAGCTAGGGTTGTGGGTGAGAGGCCCCCTTTTTTTTTTTTCCTCCATGTAGGCCCCTTCATCAACTGCTTAGGTTCCCTCACAGCATGGTGGTTTCCTTTCAGTAGCATACTAAGAAAACAAAGTGTAAGTGTATGGTGTTTTTGTGACCTAGACATGGAAATCACATAGCATCACTTAATCCATACTTTGTTGGGTGAGGTAGTCACAAAGGCCCACTTAAGTACACCAGGTGGGGAAATAGACTCCCTCCTTTGATTAGCAGTTAACAGGGTTCTAGAGTAACATGTAAGATGGGAGGTACTGTTGCATTCACCTTTGGAAACTATGACTTACTATTAAAAAATCTATTATTTTAAGTTTTCCAAACAAAGTCTTCTGGAGAAGTGTTTTGACTCAGAAATGAAAGTGTTGCATTTGTAATCCTGAATCATTGTGTATGTATTTACATGGCTGTCTTCTCAATGGGGATTTTCATAGTCTTATGGCTTAGAACCTTCTTCTGTATTAATACATTAGAAGCCAGAGTATATGTCTACTATGTGTGAAGAAATGGATAAATACTTTTTGATGCCATCATTTTTTTGAAGCTTTCCTTATACCTAGAAAGGACCTTTCCTAGGATATAGTAGAAATCATGAGAATCAATCATGAGCATGTTTCATGTTTCCTGTGTATTATTAGACTCTAATCTCTTTTTCCTACTCATTGTTTTTCTATATCAACAACTGCATGTACACATAGAAGACTAAAATTATTTAAGACTGGAACCTATATAAAAGGATTTGCATCAAAGGAAGAGTTAATATTGAAAGTTTGTTAACTGGAGTAAACGGGAGAATTAGAACTTTTCTGTAAACCCTATTTTAGAACAGTTGAAAAATAATACATCAGACATTTCTGATGTCAGTATTGATTTCAGTTTGATTTTGATCTGAGCTACATCCTCAGCAGTTTTCTGGCAAAGATGACATTTTGGCATGATGAGTATTCTAGTTAGTGTTAAGATGTAGTTTTGATATTCATGACTTCAAGATATATTAAAACTTTAAAGCAAAGCTTAAGAATGATTTATGCCGTCACAAGTTCTTTGTGTTTTATACTGAGGGGGAAATAAAATTTAGATAATATGTAATGTTCAGTCTCTCTTTCTCTTATGCTTTCTCTCTTTCTCTGTCTCTTTGATAGAGTCTGTAAGAACAGTGAAACCAGACATTTTCTTTTTGTAAGAAGGCAATTATGAAACCCAAGGTGCAGTGAAATAATCTTTGGGGTAAAATTCTTTGGAATAGTCTGTTTGCTGCTAGTTTCAAGTAGAAAAATAGTAGGAGTATTTTTTTCTCCAGCTGCACTTTTAATAATTCTACATTTTGATTTGATTTGATATTAAAATTGAACATAATTCTATTTTATATTAATTATTTTATAATGGATGTTTATCCAAATCACAAACAATATTTAGTTTGATTCATATTATACATTAGCTTCTTTTTTTATATACACCATCCATTTCTGGAAGAATGTTTAATGACTTGGCTATTCTGTCCAAATGTCCCTTTCATATCCATTGATTCATTACTTCATTCTTATATTTATTCATCTATTGTGCCTTTCATGACTATTCATTTGATGAACATATACTGTGCTCTCCATGTGCTTGGGCAAGTGTTACCTGTAAAGTTAAATAAGATGCTGTCCTTTCTCTGAAGTTTATAACCTATTACAGAAGGTTATTGATTTTTATTTTAACTGCAAACATTGATATATTCAAACATGAATTCATAAAGTGGCTTCCTTGGTAACTGTCTATTGAAATATATTCATTTTTATATTAATCACAAAGGATTTCTATATGAATTTCTTTCTTTGTATTCTTCACATTATGTGGATGAATGGTTATCTTTTTATGCTATTAAAATCACATCTCAAGGCCGGGCATGGTGGCTCACACCTGTAATGTCAGCACTTTTGGAGGCCGAAGCAGGTGGATCACTTGAGGCCAGGAGTTCAAGACCAGCCTGACCAACATGATGAAAGTCCGTACCTACCCAAAATACAAAAATTAGCCATGCGTGATGGCGGGTGCCTGTAGTCTCAGCTACTCGGGAGGCTGATGCAGGAGAATCACTTGAATCCAGGAGGCAGAGGTTGTAGTAAGCCGAGATTGTGCCACTGCACTCCAACCTGGGCAACAGAGCAAGACTCTGTCTCAAAAAAAAAAAAAACACATCTGAAGAATAATAGAATATTTTCAGCCCTACCCAATGAACTGTGATGAGGTTAGTATTATTAACATTTCAATAGCACTAATATGGTATATATTCAAGAAAGTAAAACCCTTATAGTTTTTATTGTTACTATATAGTGGCTTGTTACACAGGAACTGTTTTCTTTGAGTTATCTAGTTTTCTATGATTAGTATCCTTCACCATAAGGGAGTGGTTTTAAAGTGTTATTCCTAGATCAGCAGTATAGGCATCATCTGGTAGATTGTTAGAAATGCAAATTATCAGGCTCTACCTCCTACCTATTGAATCAGAAATGCTGAAGGGGCAGCCCAGCAAACTATCAAGGCCCTCCAGGTGTTTCTGATGTACACCAATGTTTGAGAATCACTAAGAATTCCAACACACTTATTTATCTACAGGAAAATTTTGAGACATTCATAGGATACTAGGGGTGCAGATATACTTGCTTTACCTAGTTAAAATTGAGTGGAAGTTAATAAGCTTATGTCAGGTTCAGGGCTATGACTATGCCTGCTTGGGATCAGGTTCCAGCCTCAGCTGAGGTCCAAGGGGAGTGGGTGGATGGGTGATAGCTGAAAGAACACCCAGGGGCTGTGGGCAGGTGAATATGGTTTTATTCAGCAGCTCTCTCAGCAGCAGCTTTTTCACACTAGCTCCCTCACACTGTCTACCTTTATCATGGCTGTTTGCTGTGGCTCTGCGCCTCCTCTCGGCAGCCTGCTTTGTGCCTCCTGTGGTCCCCACACCTGCAGCTGCACAGCTGTCTCTCCCTTGCCTTCATGGTCAGCAGCTTAACTCTTTCCCTCTGGGCATGAGTGTGAGCATGTTGAGCCCTGTTGTGCCCTGGCTCCTCTCTGTCCATCTGTAAGACAGACAAAGCTGGTTCTCTCTCTTTCTTTGGGCGCCAGCCCGAGCCATGCTGAACTGAGCCCTGTGCACAACATCAGCAGGGCATTTATACCTTCTGCAGACAATAGTGGCTCAGAGACTAGTGTGAACTTACACAAACAGGTTATATAACAAGTGGAGTATGCGCCTGGCACCTTAAACTCACTGAGTCATGCAGGCCTGGATGTCTGCCTCGGCATAATCTTGACCAAAGCACACCCATATACCTTATAGCTTAATTTTTCTTCAAAGAATCTGTGTTATAAAACTATCAACATTTGTCAAATTATCTCTATTCTTTAGGAGAAAAATCAAATATATATCTGTCCCTTAGCATTAGTTTGATATTTAAATAATCAAATCTATATGTAACTTTATAACTTCTTCTGCAATCGTAACATTCTCTCTGGTTTATAATCAAATGTTACCATTGGAATGTTGGCCTAATTTAGAGAAACTTGAGCAGGATAAAGCAATTCTCTAATACTCTAATACTATGAGAAAAAGATAATATTTAATGGTCACTTATTAATTTTAGACCATTTCAAATATGTTATCTCAATTTTCACAAACACTCTGAAATAGTTATTATTGCCCCCCTTTAATTGATCAGTAAACCAAGGAACAAAAAGAAGTGTTAAATAACTTGCCACAGCTAGTAAATGGTGGAACCAACATTTGACCCAAGTGTTGTCACTTCAGAAACAACCTTAACTAGTTATGCTTCATTGCTGCAGTGGAAAGTATATTGGGTCTGGTGTTAGACTTCGGTCAATGGTGCTCAAAGCATGGTTTCTGGATCAGCAGTATCTGCAAGATCTGGAAACTTGTTTGAAATGCAATTGCCTTAGCTTCATCTCCTCCCTACTGAAGCAGGAACTCTAGAGGTGGGGGCCCAGCAATCTGTGTTTGAATAAACTCTTTAGGTGATTCTGATATACTATAAAGATTGAAAACTATTCATCTAAATTCAACACCAGATTCTATTATTTACTTTCTCTAGAATTGGAAACCAAATAATTTGTAAACAATTGTAAGTGAAACAAATATTTTAAGTGGGATTCTTCATTTTTAAAAGGAGAGTAATAGTAAACCCTACATGTTAGGTGGTTGTGAAATTTCTGAACTATTGAATGAGAAAGTTTCATGATTCACAAAGTACTCTTTTTTTTTTTTTTTGGCCCAGGCTGGAGTGCAGTGATCTTGGCTCACTGCAACTTCTGCCTCCTGGGTTCAAGCGATTCTCTTGTCTCTGCTTCCGGAGTAGCTGGGATTACTGGCGCCCACCACCATACCCTGCTAATTTTTGTATTTTTTAGTAGAGACAGGGTTTCCCCGTGTTGGCTAGGCTTGTCTCGAACTCCTGACCTCAGGTGATCTGCCTGCCTCAGCCTCCCAAAATGCTGGGATTACAGGCATGAGCCACCGCACCTGGCCCACAAAGTACTCTTAAAATGTTACTTGGTATTAATTTATCACATCAGCTTGTGAAGGTGACTGAAAGTTTCATGATAAGTTATGCTTTTAGGAGTTTTATAATGTCTTAGGAAACTTGTATAACTTCTTAATCAACAGCTTCAATAGATTAAACTTGATTAGTATGTCATTGTAGATTGCTCTCTAATGAAGCAAGCCTGAAGATCATGAGATGGGATGAGAATGAGTGGGAATAATCTACCTAGAATACCTACTTTGGAAGGTGAGCTTAGTAAGTAGGTAACCGTGAGGAATTGTAGAGTTTATGGGAGAGTAGGTCAGGAAGAGAATTTGCTGAAATACACTAGTGCCAACCTATTTATTTTGGTTCTGCCCATTCCTGATGCTTAGGGTTCCAGTCCATCTTTTTTGTGTAGCTCAGATAACTCCATCTTCAGTATGAATCAGTAGCCCTGAGATTTGAGTATAGTGCAGGAGAGTATGGAGCCATTTATGGATGGCTCCAAGAAGGGGACTCTAGCTCAGAGTCGAACAAGCCCATGTGATGATTTGAGCTCTGAGAGAGCTGCTAGGAGGAAAATAAAGAGTTAGGCACTGAGGCTGGATAAATCTATGAAGGCTTCTCTTTCATAACTCTTAGTAACATTTAGGTGTAACTGCAGGGCTCAAAAGAAATGAGGACATGGGATGCTCTTAGAATTCAGAGGGATAAGGGTTTAGGATATTCTGTATGTGTGTGTCTCTTTGTTTCTGTCTGCCTGCCTTTCTCTCTCTTGCTCTCTCTTTCTCTCTCTCTCTCTCATACACACACATATACACACAGACACAAACACACACTTGCACACACAGACGTATCTCCTTGAGTAACTAAAATAAAGGCTGAGTGGGAAAAATGTGGTAATGGCTGAGTAAGACCTTAGAGAGTTGTAGTATAACCCACTGCCGGGTTCTTTTCTCCCTTCTTCCACAATAGAGATGAATGTCAAGAGAATAATTCTGAGATGCTTTGGAGAAAATTGACTTGAGAGCTTTGGAGAAAATTGACTTGAGAGCATATTATTTTATGTTCTACTCAGACCTTTTCTCCAGTCTGCTGAAGAGTCTGTCCTCCAAAATCTTTTTCAGTTGCTTGTTCTCATTTAGTTATTAATAGAATGAGTATCACTAAAGTTATAGAAGGAATAAAGGATCTCCTAATCTTTTTTATTTTTATTTTTTTGAGACAGGGTCTTGCTCTGTCACCCTGGCTGGAGTGCAGTGACAGGATCTCAGCTCGCTGTAGCCTTGACCTCCTGGGCTCATGCAGTCCTCTCATCCCAGCCTCCCAAGTAGCTGGGACTACAGGCATGAATCACCATTCCCTCCATTTGTTTTTTTTTTGTTTTTTTTTACTTTGTGTAGTGTCAGGGTTTTGCTGTGTTGCCCTGGCTGGTCTTGAACTCGAGCTTAAACAATTTGCCCACCTTGGCCTCCCAAAGTTCTGGGAGTATAGGCATGAGCCACCATGCCCAGCCTAGAATCTCTTAATCTTATAAACAATTTTTAAAATTAATCCAGATGAATCCAGAAAGTTGCATCTGAATCATGTAGGGAACAAAGTATATAGATATAGCCTGGTATATAGTCTGGTATATTTTTTTATACACATTCTGTATGTTTTAAAGCTTAGAAAACATAGTATATTATTGTAGGGGAGTAAGTGTATAGTACTGTTTCATGAGGAGGTCAAAATAATGTTTCATGAGGAGTCAAAGATTACCGCATATTCAAAATTTGAGCTTGCTTATGGATTTAAATTGGGAAAATGGAGGGAATTATTGTATTATACAAGCCGAGATATTATTGTTTTCATGGAGCCAAAAAACTGCTTATTGACTTCAAAGGAGAAAAAAAAGGAGACAGTGTCACATTACTGGTAGATTTAAATGAGTACTTACTTGTCCACTTATATCTTTGAAAGTAAAATAGAGTTTTTTTAGTCTGATATTATTTTTTAGGTTTTCCCATATGCAATGTCTTACTACATCTAGGCCTAATGGAAATTGCAGTGTGTGAGATTCATATGCCACAATCTGTCTTCAGTTTACTCTTGACTTTCCATACCTTTAAGCACTAAAAGTAACTATAAAGTTGGAGTTAATATATTTTGTTTCTCACATGTTTTCAGAATGATGCCTGCTCATCTTTAGTTGTTCTTGGCATTCTCTATCAGAGTTCATTGTGTTGACTAGAGAGGTTGACTATACAGAACAGTGTTTTTATATGTGTAGAACACCGTACTTATGTAGTTGAACATATCAAATCTTATTGTAATTATTTATTTATGAGTCTTTCTCCTCAACTGCTGTCCACTAATTGTGAAAATATATTGGAAAGGCACTGTTATTCATTTAGCTTCATGGAATGGTAAATATCATACGCTCAATGACATTTTGTGGCATTTTAAACTGAATATTTCTTGAGTAGAATTCTTTTTTTTAACTTTTGTGTAGGTGGGGATGTTGGAGATTATATGCAATTTAGTTCTTAATTTTTCTATGATCTTATGAGATCATAGCCAACCAATGGGAATGTCTAAATAGATTACTTTGCTTGCGTAAGTTATTACTATTATTGTTTATTCTGCCTTTGTTTCATTCTAGAGTAAATCATAGATTCTAGGAAGAAGGAAAATTTGAAATTTTGGGCTTAATATTTAGATCTAAGGTACATTAAGTGATACCTTACCCTCCTGAAAGAGTGAATATATTTGGTTTATTCTCAGGTAATAATTTGGGAAGTGTAAGAAAATATGGATGAGTGAATTTCCTACAACATTGTAGTAGAAGTATCATGTGAAATTGATACTCAAAGACCTGTCTAAGAAGGCTAGCATTTTATAAAGTATTACGTTAGTAATGAAATGTTACCTTCCAAAGACACAAATAACTTTTTCATGTACTTCAGTCTTGGAAGTTATCAGAAGAAACATAGTGGCATAAAAACTGTGCAAGAATTTTAGCCTTATTTATTGATACTCCATCTATATGCACAAATGAGATGTAATCATGTACCAAAATACATTTATCTACTGTTTCTTGTTTAGGAATAGGTAAGAAACCCAGATTTAAATGAAAACCATTTGTTTTATCTTATTTTCTTGCCTAAAGCAAAGAGTTGATTGACTGCTATAATATGAATTTAGAGGTAACTAAAATCCCAATATTGTTGAAACTACACTACTATATAACTTGTCAGTTCTTAGGGATGCACATAAAAGCCAGATACATTTTCACTTGCTCAGTGTATTGTGAAAAGTCTAATGGGGCTTTTTTCTCTCTTGAAAATTCTTCATGGGCTTTGAGTTACATCTCAAGGGCTGTGTTGTGGTTTTACAATTAACCTCTTATAGTGAAGAGTATACACAGATGTTTTATAGTAGTTAACTCATTGTATACCATATTATTTCAGTGTGTATGTGCCCAGAGCAATCTATAGTAGCAGTAGATAAAACAAGAGCAAAGCTTTAATTCTAAGGGCTACTTTAGTATTCCCTGTATAATTTTTGTTGCTATCACTTCTCCTGGAATGTTATGGTAAGAAAGCTTCCAGATCCCTAGTTTATAATCACAGTTGCTTCTGCTTTTTTCATGCTGTCATGGTTCCTTAATGAAGGTGGGTGTTTTTTTGTTTGTTTTCATTTTAGTTTTTAACATCACGGAGATGAATTCTTCTATGCTCTTAGCTTTCTTGAGATGGCACTGTAAGCTATTTACTCCAGAATAAACTGTCATTTTTTCAAAAAAGGAAACACAAACATAGCATTATTGACAGTAACATACCTTGCATTGTTTCAGAGTTTTAAAAGTTTATAATTTTATAAAAGCTAATTTTGTACTAAATATTACTCTGTTAATTCCTTTTTACAGTAAATTATTCCAATAAAATAGTAATTAAATGTTTCTTTTAGAGGAGATTGATTTTCATTTTCTTCTTTTTTTCCTCATTTATTTTTAGATTATTGTAAAAAAAAAAAAAAGGAAAACCCTCACAGTTTTCTAAAAGAATATAATGAAAAATATCTAGGTCACATATTTATTTCTGCTAAACTCTGATCCCTGGAAACTTGTGGGAGAGAATTGTAGTCAGTATAGTTCATGATTATTAGCAACAATATCACATAGGAGAAAGACAGTAATTTTTTAAAAATGACTAGAAAAGTAGAGATCTATCATTCATGTACATAAATGACAAACACCCCTACTTTAAAAAATTTATTTTCTAGAGTTAAATATGTTCTGGAGATTTTAAATTTATAGAAGAAAAAGATCATCATATTCCTAGCTCCAAGGAATAAGAACACATCATTTTGTGCCAAGAAAAGAGCAATGTGAAAACCTTAAGGGCATTATTTCTTCTTTCTGTGGAAACACAATGTTGGCAAATTATCCATTATTTTTTCTCACAATGAAATCAGAATAATAATAAAAAGAAAAAAATATTGTATGCAAGTCCCTATGATAAATGCTTTATGTGTATTGTCTCATCTAATATTCTCCAAAGCACATGACATTATTACTATTGCTCTTTTGTTGCTGAGGAATTAGGTTTGAAGGAATTTATGTCATTAGGAAATGGCATGTGGAATGGGGTGAATGGCCCAGTCAGTGGGACTGTAGAGTCTGAGGTGTTAACTCTGAAGATGTGGATTTTTGTACTAGAGGAGACAGTAACATCAACACTTCTTTCATCTTTTCTATCTCAGAATTTTTGCTTTCCCCTCTGCTCCTCTTCCCTACAAATAAATATTTTCTACTAGTGATATTATAGTAGCAGCTTCCTTTTCTAATCTAAAGTTAGGAGCAGATAAAGCTGTGGTACCTGGATTCCATAGCACAAAATGCATGTATATTTGTTTTCCTTATAAAATATTTACTAACAAAGTTGATTACATTATATAGTAAATTGGGCTCTTGAATAAAGTTTCAAAGGAACTCCACCAGTTGACTGTACTAACCAGAGTTTATTTTATGGCATCCTACTTTTAGTATAGCGCTTCCCCTTTTATTAGAAACATGCTGTTGCTCTTACAGATTCCTATTCAGCCTTTGGAGCCAATGTGAGATTTTTTTTTTTTTTTTTTTTTGAGACGGAGTCGCACTCTGTCGCCCAGGCTGGAATGCAGTGGCGCGATCTCCGCCCACTGCAAGCTCCGCCTCCCGGGTTCACGCCATTCTCCTGCCTCAGCCTCCCGAGTAGCTGGGACTACAGGCGCCCGCCACCACGCCCGGCTAATTTTTTTTTGTATTTTTAGTAGAGACGGGGTTTCACCGTGTGTTTGCCAGGATGGTCTCAATCTCCTGATCTTGTGATCCGCCTTTCTTGGCCTCTCCAAAATGCTGGGATTACAGGTGTGAGCCACCGTGCCTGGCCCCTTGTGAGATTTTTAAGAGCAGTTTCTTAAAGGTGATTTTTAGTTGCTCACTGAAATACTATTAACTAAAACTATTAATCCAAGTGTAGTATAAAATTCTTAAGCTGCTTAATTCAAATCAGAGTGACTCTTGTTTGTCATGGGCTCTTATAACTCCATCAGCATCAGTTGAATAGAAGTGTGTTTGTGTCCATTTTAGTGGAGAGAACTTCTATCTGGATCTCATGGGGAAAAAGTCAAGGTTGAGGCAGTTGTTCTGAGCCTTGATCCGTTTAACATTTGTTCAGTTTTCTAAAGACCTGAGAATTACATGGGCGTTGATCTGTATCGGTTGCTATTAATAATCTTGGATTATTTTATTTTTGCATGAATAAAAAAACAAATATGTGGAGTAAAGGCTGATTTCAGTATTACCAGTTTGATTGCAGAGATTTATATTTCCTCAGTTTCAAGATTAGAAAAATAAGTTCAGCTTTAAAGAATAATTTTCCTTGTATTTGTTGGGTGTATTTTTTCAAAAAGAACTTGTAATGTTTTTAGATGAGCTTGGTAAACATGTACTTTGAAGTAATATACACAAGATATAATATCTATTTTTAGTTCTAAAGTTACTGTCATTTGCAAGGGCATGTATTTCCAAAAACAAATAATAAAAAACTTTTATTTTCATAGCTATTAAATTGCATAACAGTCTTCTTTGTCTACCCAGTAGTTACCTAATTTCCATCCAAAATTACGGTTCTAGCAATGTATGAGAACTGGATAATTAACATTAGAAATAAAAAATGAAGAAATTCATTGGAATGAGTCATGTTACCTTTAATAAAAGCTTGACAAAAAATGAATTCTGCCTACTAATATAAATGGCCTAGCTAAATGAGCAAACAACTTTCTCTTCTTAGAACAAGTAGAAAACATATAAGGAATAAATAATATAGAATTAGATAAAAGTAAGCTAAAAATAAATGAAAAATATACAGTGGTGAAATAAAATTATCAAGAATCTGAATAGGCACAAATAAAACTAGATTCTTTAACTGTACTTTCCATAGTGCTATAAAACTTAATCTATTCATTAATTTCTTTATATTTTTAACACTGTATATTTATTAAATAACCACTAGTGTCAAGAACTCTGTAGTCGTATGCCTACAAAGATATATTCTTTCCTTATAAAGGGAAAATAACTTGTATTAAGTCCTTTTTGCTATGTATTTTTACATATGTTGTTTCACTTAATCTTTAAAAGTGAATTTGATAATATTTCAAAATACAATTTATATATAATCAAATAGTGACTCAGAGAAAATACCCGGAAGCTAGTATTTTATTATTAAATCAATTTTTATTTTAAATATGTTCAACTTTTAATTTTCATTCAGGGGGTACATGTGAAGGATTACTACATAGGTAAGTTGTGTGATGCTGAAGTTTGTGGTACAATTATCCCATCACCCAGGTAGTGAGCATAGTATGCAACAGGTAGTTTTTCAGCCTTTCCCCATTTCCTCCTATAGTAGTTTCCAGTGTCTGTTGTTCCCATCTTTATGTCCATGTGTATTCAGTGTTTACCTCTCACTTATAAGTGAAAATGTGTGGTATAAAGTTTTCTGTTCCTGTGTTAATTCACTTGGGATAATGACCTCCAGTTGCATCCAAGGAGGACACAATTTAGTTCTTTTCATGGCTTTCATATTCCATGGTGTATATGTAACATATTTTCCTTATGCAGTCCACTGTTGATGGCACCTAGCTTGATTCCATGTTTTTGCTATTGTGAATAGTGCTGCAATGAACATGAAAATGCATGTGTCTTTTTTGCAGAACAAATTATTTTCCTTTGGGTATATACCTATTAATGAGAATGTTGGGTTGATTGGTAGTTTTGTTTGAAAATCTTTGAAAAGTTGCTAAATGGCTTTCCTTAGTGGCTGAACTTTCATTCCCACAAACAATGTATAAGTGTTCCCTTTTCTCTGCAGCCTTGCCAGCATCTATTGTTTTTTTGCTTTTTAATAATAGCCATTCTGACCAGTGTGAGATGGTATTTCATTGTGGTTTGGATTTGCATTTCTCTGATGATTAATAATGTTGAGCATGTTTTCATATGTTTGTTGGCCACTTGTATGTCTTCTTTTCAGAAGTATCTGTTCATATCTTTTGTCCACTTTTTAGTGGGATTACTTGTTCAATCTCAGAACATATTGGTCTATTAACATTTTTATTTTCTTCCTCGTTTAATCTTGGGACGTTGTGTGTTTCCCCAAATTTAGTTGAGTGTTGAGTTTAATTTCAGAATTTATTTGTTTGTTTTCTGCCTCAATGATCTGTCTAATGCTGTCACTGGAGGTATTGAAGTTTCCCACTATTACTGTATATCTGTCTAAATCTTATTGTAGGTCAAGAATAATTTGTTTTATGAATCTGAGTGCTTCAGTGTTTTATGTGTATATATTTAGAATAGTTAAATTTTGTTGAATTGAACCTTTTTTAGGTAATGCCCTTCTTTTTCGTTGATCATTGTTGGTTTAAAGCCTGTTTTATTTCACTTAAGAATAGTAACTCCTGCTCTTTTTTATTTGCTGTTTGCATGGTAGATGTTTCTCCACTCCTTTACTTTTAGCCTCTGGCTGTCATTATATGTGAGATGGGTCTGTTGAAGACAGCAGACCATTGGGTCTTGTATTGTATTATTATCCAGCTTGCCACTTTATTCCTTTTAAGTGGGGCATTATACCATTTACATTCAGTTTTAGTATTGATATAATAGCTTTTGATCCTGTCATATTGTTAGGTGGTTGTTTTGTAGACTTTATTTTATAGTTGCTTTATAGTGTCTGTGTGCTATGTGCTTAAGTGTGTTTTGTGGGAGCAGTTATCATTCATTTCTGTGTTTAGCACTCTCTTAAAGACCTTTTATAAGGCCAATCTAGTGGTAGCAAATTCCCTCTCTGATTGCTTATCCAAGAAAGATCTTCTCCTTCAGTCATGAAGCTTAGTTTGGCATGATATGAAATTCTTGGTTGAAATTTTTTTTTTTTCATAACAATGCTGTAAATAGGCCTCCAATCTCCTCTGGCTTATGAGGTTTCTGCTGAGAGGTCTGCTGCAAGCCTGATGGGACTCACTTTGTAAGTGCCCTGACCTATCTCTCTAGATGCCTTTTAATATATATATTTTTTTTGTTTGCATTCACCTTGATGACTCTGGTGACTCTGTGCCTTGTGGATGGTCATATTGTATAGTATCTTGCAGGGATTCTCAGAATTTACTGAATGTGCATGTCAACCTCTCTAGGGAGAGTGGAAAAATTTTTGTGTACTACATTCTTACATATATGTGCCAAGTTGCTTATTCTCCCTCCTAATCTCTCAGGAATGTCAATGAATCATTGGATTGGTCTCTGTATGAAATCCCGTATTTCTCAGAGGTTTTGTTCGTTAAATCAAAAAAATTGACTGTTGATTCAAATAACTGGTCTTCGAGCTCTGAGATTCTCTTCTCAGCTTGGTCTGTTCTGGTGTTGATATTTTGAACTGTATTATTAAGTTCTTGCCGTGAATTTTTCAGTTCCAGACATTCAATTTGCTTTTTTTCTTAAAATGGCTATTTCATCTATCAGCTCTTGGATCGTTTCACTGGGTTACCTGGATTGGTTTTCAACTTTCTCCTGAATCACAGTGAGCTTTCTTGCCATCTAGATTATGTATTCAATGTATGTCATTTCAGTTCTTTCAAACTGGTTAAGAACCATTATTATAGAGCTAGTGTGCTCCTTTGGAAGTAAGGAGACACTCTGACTTTTTAAATTGCCAGAGTTCTTGCACTGATTCTTTCTCATCTGAGTAGACTGTTGTCCATTTCATCGTGGTATAAATGGAATATATTCAATTGGCTTCATTTCTGGGTACTTTCGGAGGGCCAATGCTTTGTATAGGATCTTTATTTGTGGCTAGATTTTTGCCCTAGTATTCACAGACAATGAATGTTGGCAGAATATTTTTGGTATTGTGATTTGGGCTGCTATCCTGTAAATTGTGCTTAGGTAATGGCCAGCACACGGGCTCCTACTCAGCAACATGGGTCTTTTGTATTTCAGAATGTTCATGGCAGCACTCTGTGGTGGAGTAGGGAGATACAACCCCTTTACCAAGCCTGCTCCTAGGCCTTGGGGAAGCCCCCTTCAATAACTGGCATCAAGCCAGTGGGAGCGGTCAGACAGTGGCTTTAGGAGGGCTGGTGGGCAAGAAGGTCTGCAAAACACACATGCTCCAGTCCTGCACGAAAGTCTACCCTGCTCTCTGTTGGCCCTGCGGCCAGCTCAGGTTAGAGCTACTCAGAGGAAGATGGGGGACGTTAGCGGATGTGCATCTATGGCTTCGTTCTGCTGCAGCTGCCCCATGTATCAAACCCCTTTGGGCTCCACGTACACTGGAGAGGTCTTTGTGTAGTCTCCAGGCAGTTCAAATGTCTGTGGAGGTTGTGGGATCTCCTGTAGCTAGGATCCTGGAGGCCCGTAAGGAGAGTAGACTGCCCTGCTATCCCTTCACTCACCTCTTCCCTAGGAGCTGTTCAGGGGTGGAAACTAGCCCTAGCATTTGGCAACCTTGCACAAGGTTCCCGACTTTCTCCCTCGTCATTCTCGGTGCCCGCGTTGCCTCTCTATCAACTCTTGGTGTTTTCTTTCCAAATATCTGTTCTCTATCAACTCTTGGTGTTTTCTCTTGAAATATCTGTTCAAAGTGTGTTGGTTTACTTGATATTTTGATCTCTCTGTGGGAGGGGCACTTCCTGGCTGCATCTAGTCAGCCACCTTCTCCTCCTATTTATTTATTTCTTGAGGTGGAGTTTGGCAGTGTTGCCCAGGCTGGTCTTGAATGTCTGGCCTCAAGCAGATAAGTTACTAAAAAAATAAAATGAACTATTAAACCAAAATGTAGTTAAAAATTAAGAAATATTAAAATAAACTAAATTTTTCTTATGGGTCAGAATTGTCACTATGATATTGTTACTCCCAGTGTGCTTGTATTAGTGAACTTTACTAAATGAACTGTGGAGCTTTGTGACTCTATTAATTCTCTGAGGATTTTATCTAGAGATGTTTAGGAATTAGGATCCTCCTCTGTGACAACCGATAATAACACTCAACTTCCTGAAATTCTTACATTAGATGAGGAGGAATAATTGCGTATGAATAATTTTATGCATAAAACACTTTTTCCTATTCAGGTACAATATAATAAAGCCTTAAATATTTGAAAAACAGTTGGCCCTATAGCTTTATGTATTGTTTTATTTGGTATGTGAATACTTTTATTTTGTTATTCCTGTGGGGCAAAATCCCGTAATTATCACCCACATTTGTAGAGAAAATTGTCTCCTTTCCCTCCAAACATCATAATAGCTATAAAAAATAGGTTTAACCAAAGGAATAAACCAGTAGAATGAATGTCACTGTATTTATGTTTATGATTAAGTGTGTTTAAATGTGATTAAATATGTTTCTATGCTCCTTGTTTCATTAGTTTTTCATCTTGGAATTGAAATGTAAGGAATAGTCCAAATTAACAGGGAATAAAAATATTTGCTGTAAAATGATTGCTAAAGAAACAGAATATGGCACAAATGTTTTGAATTGTAGGAGGTTGGCACTATAAAATGAACAGATTATAGGGGGGCCACTATAATCATAGACACCAAAAGTGTAACTCCAACTCTGTCATTTATTTACTTGGTAAAACTAGAAAAGTTACTTAGCCATCAATCTCTTTACTCATTTACCTATGTGGAAAGGTGATACTGAATAGGGCCACATGTGAGAAATGCTTTGGCGATCAGAAGATACTTCAAACATATTAACTGTTTTCTCTTAGTGAAATGGTTTATATCCTATAGGAAGGATCAGCTTAATGTGTACATTTTCAGGATGATGGGTGTTATTAATTATTTTTAAAAAGACACATTTAGAAATAAAGTAATACGAAATTTAAAAGGAGACATACACATTGAAACATATAAAGAATTTTCATTAGCAGCAACATTGTCATTATTAGATGTTATTTTAGACCACTGTGAATGCCATTAATATTAATATGTAAAATAAATGCACTGTAAACATCATTGTTACAAAATTGGCTACTCTTCAGATATAGCATCAGATTAAATAAGTATTTTTGTAAAATATAATTTTGCTATCGCTATACATAATATTTAGAAATGTTTGTTGGAGATTGGCCAATGAATCACTAAAGAATTATAGGGATAATCAGGTTTATTAAATACCTTATTTTGTTTACTGGAATCTGCTGTACATTCATTTAGTTTGCAGATGGTTTTAATTTGTAGTGGTTTCAATAAAAAGAACTGTGAGCTGTTCAGTTATAAACCAAGTAATGAACAATATAGCTATAGGAAATTTATGGCTTGTCCTCAGAAATAAATGTGATCTGGAAATTTTAATATTCTAAATATCAAATTTATCAAGCTAGTTTCAGAATATGAAGGGTATGTTTATGAGGCTTTGGATATATTTGGAAGATAATTACTGATTCCTATCAAGCTATACTGTGACTCAAAAGCTTGGATTAGAAAAATGTATAGGCATTGTTTCTGGAGCATGTGAGCATAAATAGGTCTGAAATTATCAAAGCTCATTGCTTTTTGTGAGGCATCTTGCATATAGATTACTCAGAAGTCTTGGTGAAAGTGAAACAAAAGGAGAATGCTTTTCCTAAATTTGTGTGCTAATTAAGCTTGGAGATTAATAAATATACCGTAAATTAAAGCGGGGCAGTTTCAATCACAGATACTTTATGAATTAACATTTTTACAAAACAAGAATCATAAATCCTACACTATATAGTGACACAGATATTTGAATCACAAATATTTATTATATCCAAAGGTCTCACAGGTTGCTTTGATGGTGTGTAGCTGATACTCTGTCATCTTCATTTATTTTATATTTTTATTTTCTTTCATAAAAACATTTAATACTAAATATGCAATATGAAAAAACATTTAATTTGGAAAATATAGTAAGAAATGTATATTTCAGATGTGTACATGCTTTACAATTCTCATTGCCAATTCTGTTTCATTTTCTGGATTGAGGTGATAACTACAGCAAATGTTCAGATGCGTGTTTAACGTGAAAATTATCCTAATTTTTTAACAAAAAATCTAATTATTGTGTTGATGCAGATTATAATTTGAAATCATTGATACTTTTTCACTGGAGTTTATAATTTTAATATTGAGAAATATTTTAAAAGTTGTACAGTGTTTTAGAGTTGTTTTGTGTATTTCTCCATTTAAAAATGCCAATATTTGAAGAATTACCTTATTTCTGGAGAGTCCAAGTTTTCTGCCACTTTGTCTTTGGTTCAGAGTTACTCCACTTTGACAGTCCATTATAAAGTCATGGTAACTTACAAAAAACAATTGAAGGATGTATTAATGAGATAAACATTTTCTTCCCTAACTTAGTAGAGTGATAATAAACAAATATATTCCTTTCCCTTACTTCTGCCACATTTTTCTTTTAAAATAGATGTTTAAAAACTCAGTAGTTTCTTACATGGTTTCTTCAGATGCTAAATAGCTGGTTTTCTATAAGAATTATTGAATGAATAGCTTGATATAGTCTTGCAGCAACACTTAATGATTATGTTCATGTTAATATTAGGTTGGTGCAAAAGTAATTGTGGGCAAAAGCAGCAATAACTTTTGCACCAACCTAAGTGGTAATTATTAAGGCCCACAGAAGTCTTAGCTGGTTTTTTTTTGTTTGTTTGTTTTGTTTTTTTGAGATGGAGCCTTGCTCTGTCGCCAGACTGGAGTGCAGTGGTGTGATCTCGACTCACTGCAACGTCTGCCTCCTGGTTCAACCGATTCTCCTGCCTCAGCCTCCCGAGTAGCTGGGATTACAAGTGCCTGCCACCACGCTTAGCTAATTTTTGTATTTTTAGTAGAGACGGGGTTTCACCATGTTGGCCAGGATGGTAAGCTGCAGTTTAATTTCACATCCAAGTGATACTCTAGTGCAGCTTTATTATTCATTTTTTTATACCTTACCAGTAAGAAGTATAAAAAATTGATAACTGACCTTTACATGCACTAGTTTTATATTTGTTCACTTACCAATGTATATGTGTGTGCATGCAGATAGTTTTAACTTGTAATGGTTTCAATAAAAAGAACTGAGATGTTCTGAATTATAATATACATACACATATATAACTTACATGCACACACATATAACATAAATACATATCTTTGTGTGTGTTTATATAGAGATTCTTCTATAATATGCAATTATTTAAAATGTATTCTTCATTATGGTTTAACATGAAGAAACTTACTTTTCAAATGAAATGGAAAACAAAATCAAACAAAACCTAATGTTCATGGAATTTACATTACACTTTCATATGCTTACTCTTTATATTAAATCAAACAACTCATGATTTATCACACTGAAGAAACAGGTTTTGAAATATCTAAATTATTTAAATTTAGTTGGGAAAATTGTTTCTATGTCATGAGAATATATTTTGGTTGATTGCTTGGCTTAGGCTAAAATTTAATTGTACAGAGACAGATAACTATCATGAATATGGCATTTACAGTTATTTTTTTAAAATGGAGTACAAATCATGGTAGTATGAATTTTTTCTCTTATAATTCTGTTATTGACAAAATAATGTGTTAGAAAATGGCCACCAAAGGAAAAAAAAAAACACTAATTTTTTCTGCCTTCATTTGGAAGAACAATAGAGCTATCATAGCCTCTTGGAGCTGGTTCAATATATTTCTTGTTCAAATATAGACAGAAGAAAAAACAAACTATCTCTAGTAACAGCAAATATAATTGGCCAGATGGACTTCCATCTCTACACCTGGATCACCATAATGTGTGCCCAGAACAATCAAAACGCATGACTGATGACATTTGCACAATATGAAGTTATAATTACATGTAGGGGATTCTTAGGATGATTTATTGCTCTGAACAACAGCTGCTAGAGCTTCAATTCTACTTCATGTAAATTATCTAGAAATACCTGTAAAATTAAAGAAATAAAACTAAACAAGCTATTCTGACATAGGAACCAAAAACCTCAAAGAAAATATCCAATATTATACTTTTTGTTCCAAACGCATCCAAAACAAAGCAGATAATGAAATATCAGTATCCAAAACTTGGTAAGCCTTCTTTTAAAAAATGAAAAAAAGCAATAAAAACTGTTGATGCCTGCAGCAAAAAAAGCCACAGTAATTTTCAATGTGTTAGATACTTACAGATGTTTTTTGCCTGCCCAATTTTTAATTTCCCCTTCTTAGTAGTATCTTGGTGGTAGAGTAATTCCTGATGACTAACTACTGGAAACTAGTCACTCATATTATCTCTCCACACTACATAAAGGGGCACTTGAGATAAGCTCAGACAGTCAGCTGTGCTGTGGTAGGACTTAGTCTCTTTAACTGGTGATATGAGGAAGAGAGGAGTCACCCACAGTAGTGGTGATGAAGGCAGTGAATTCTGAGTGGACCACCCTGCCTCTGAAATTACTGCTGTGGTTTTGCTTCCATCTTCCAGAGCTGCCTTGGGACCAGGCTGTTACTCAACTGGTTCTCAAGCTACAGCATATCCGTGAGTTAAACTACACATCTCTAATATACTTCCAGTATATTTTTTTTTCCAAAATAAGCCAGATTCCATATGTTCTGTTTGCAAGTAATTACCTTAACTGATTAAATTTTAAATTCGTAGACAGGAAGAATCAATATTGTGAAAATCACCATCCTGCCCAAAGCAATTTATAGATTCATTGCTGTTCCCCATTAAACTTCCACTGACGTTCTATACAGAATTTTAAAAAAGCTATTTTAAAATGTATATGGAACCAAAAAGGAGCCATGACAATCCTAAGCAAAAAGAACAAAGTCGGAGGCATTATGCTACCTGACTTCAAACTCTACTACAAGGCTATAGTAACCGAAACAGCACGGTACTGGTAAAAGAACAAACACATAAACCGATGGAACAGAGTAAGAGCCCGGAAGTAAGACTGCACACCTACAACCATCTGCTATTAAACGAATCTGACCAAAACAAGCAATGGGGAAATGATTCTCTATTTAATAAATGGTGCTGGGATAACTGGATAGCCATATGCAGAAAATTGACACTGGACCTCTTCCTTATACCATATACAATAATCAGCTTAAGATGCATTAAATACTTTAATGTGCAACCCAAACTATAAAAATCCTAGAAGAAAATCTAGGCAATACAATTCAGGACATAGGCACGGACAAAGATTTCATGACAATGACACCAAAAGCAATTGCAATGAAAGCAAAAACTGATAAATGGGATCTAATTAAACTAAAGAGCTTCTGCACCACAAAGTAAACAATCATCAAAGTGAACAGACATCCTACAGAATGGGGGAAAGTTTTTGCAATCTATCCATCTGACAAAGTCTTTAATCCATTTTGAGTTGATTTTTTAATGTGTATTCTAGGAAAGGCTTTCATTCTTTTGTTTGCAGATATTCAGTTTTCTCAGTAACATTTGTACAAGAGACTATCCTTTCCCTATGGGTACTCTCGGTACCTTTGTCTAAGAGTATTTCATTATATATGTGTAAATTTATTTCTAGGCTCTCTAATCTGTCCCACTTGTCTATGTATCTGATTTTTCACAAGTGCATACTGTTTTGATTACTGTAGCTTCATAATATGTTTTGAAGTCAGAAAGTGTCAGGCCTCCAGCTTTGTTCTTCCAAGATTGTTTTTGTTATTTGGAATCTTTCTGGTTCAATATGAATTGTAGAATTTTTTTCCATTTTTGCAAAAATGCCATTGGAATTTTGATAGGGATTGTATTGGATCTGTAGATGATCTTGTGTAGAATGGACAACAGTAACAATAGTAAGTCTTCCCATCCATAAACACTAGATGTGATATTTGTGGCACACCATGAAAAGACTTCCACTTATTTGTATGTTTTTAAATTTATTTCAGAAATGTTTTGTAGTTTTCAGTGTACAAGTCTTTACATTCCTTGGTTAAGTTTATTCCTAAATATTTTACTTTTTTTCTCACTACTATGAATGGGATTGTTTTCTTAATTTACGTTTTGGATTACTTATTAGAGAATTAAAATTCCACTGATTTTTTAATGTTAATTTGTATCTTGCCACTTTGCTGAGTTTGTTAGTTATACCAGTTTTGTGTGTGTATGTAATCTTTAGAATTTTCTGTATACAACATGTCATCTATAAACAGAGACACTTTTACTTATTCCTCTCTCAATGGACGCTTTTTATTTTCTTAACTTCTTTATTTTTTTAAATAGCTCTGGCTAGGACTTCAGTACTATGCTGAATAAAAATGGTGAGGGGACATTCTTGCCCTGCTTCTAATCTTAGAGGAAATGTTTCCAGTTGCTTACTATTGAGTATGATGTTAGCTGTGGGATTTTCATATATGGCCTTTATTATGTTGAGGCAATTTCTGTTCATTCTTAGTTGTTGATATTAGTGTCTTTTATTGTTACTACTGTTTTTAGATTCTTTATTGCATTTATTTCTGCTTTAATGGTTGTTATCTTTTTTCCTGCTAATTTTGAACTGAATTAGTTTTTCTTTTTCTATTTTTTTAAGGTATAAAGTTAAGTTGTTTATTTAGGGTTCTTCTTTTTAAATATGGGAATTTAATAAAAACTTCTCAATATAAACTTCTTTCTTAGTTCTGGTTTTTCTGCATCCCATAAGTTTTGATACTTTGTTTTTGTTTTGTCTCAAGATATTTTTAAGTTTAGTTGCTGTTTCCTCATAACCTGTGGTTGTTCAGAAGTATATTGTCTAATTTCTACAAATTTTTAAATTTTCCTGTATTCCTTCTGCTATTGATTTTTAGTTTTATTCTACTGTATTTGAAAAAGAAACTTGGTATGATTTCAATCTTTCTGAACTTTTTATGATTTGCTTTGTGGCCTAACATGTCATTTATCCTGGAGAATGTTCCATGAGCTCTTGAGAAAAATGTGTATTCTGCTGCCATTGGGTGGAATATTCTGTATATGTTTCTTAGGTTCATTTGGTCTAGAGTGTTGTTCAGGTATTCTGTTTTCTCACTGATTTTCTGTCTGGTTTTTCTATTCATTATTGAAAGTTAGTTACTAAAATATACTATTATTATTTGTCATCTTTTCATCCTTCAGTTCTGTCAATATTTGCTTCATATATTTAGTTGCTCTGCTAGTGAGTGCATATACATTTATTATTGTTATATATTTATAGCTCCTGATGAATTGGCTTTTTATCATGATATAATCTATTTATTTGTTTCCCGTGACAGTTTTTTTACCTCAAATCTATTTTGTCTGATATAAGCAAGGTCACGCCTGTTCTATTTTTGTTAACATTTGTGTGGAATATATTTTTCCATCCTTTTGCTTTTAGCCTATGTGTGTCCTTAAATCTAAAGAGATTATCTATAGACAGCATATTGTTAGGACTCATTTTTTCATCTATTCATCTACTCTATAAATCTTTTTATTGGATTTTAAAATCAATTTACATTTCAAGTAATTACTGACAGGACCATTTTCTTAATTGTTTTCTGTCTTTTCCCTTTGTTTTTGTCCTTTTTTCCTCTCTTACTGTCTTTCTTTTCATTTTGTTATTTTTGTAGTCATATGTTTTGATTCCTTTCTTATTTTTTCTTTAGTGTATCCTCTGTAGTATTTTCTTTGTAGTTTCCATTAGGCTTCGTAAAACATCTTGTAGTTATAACTCTTTTAAGCTGATAACAATTTAACTTCAATCACATACAATCACTTCTCTTTTGTTTCAGCCCCCTTCATGTTATTGATAACACAAATTACATATTTATATAGGGTGTGTCCATTAGAATATTTTATAGTTATAGTTTTTTTATACTTCTGTCTTTAAATTTGATACCAGTGTTTAAAGTTATTTACATACTACTGCTACTGTATTACAGGATTCTGTATTTGTCTAAATATTTACCTTTGCTAGCAATCTATGCTTCAAATATTTTTGTGTTGCTATCTAGCATCCTTTCATTTCAACATGAAGGACTCCTTTTATCATTTCTTGTAAGGCAAAACCAGTGGTGATGAACCTCTTCAAGAGACATTCCCCTATGTTTTTCTGGGCACATCTTTATTTCACTTTTATTTTTGAGGGACCAGTTTCTGGGGTACAGTATTTTCCATTGGCAGGTTCTTTTTTTCTTCTAGTACTTTGAATGTATCATTTTACTACCTTTGGCCTCCATGGTTTCTGCTGATAATTCTGCTAAAATTATTATGGAGCCTCCCTTATATGTGAAGAGTCAATTTTCCCTTCCTGCTTTCAGAATTCTCACTTTATCTTTTATTTATTAGAATTTGATTTTAATTTGACATGATATGATCTTCTTTACTTTCATTCTAGATAGGGTCTGTTGGGATTCTTGATTCTGATGTCTGTTTCCTTCCCCAGACTTGGGAAATTTTGCCCATTTTTATTTATATAAGTTTTCTTCCCCTTTCCCTTCTCTTTCTGAGACTTCCATAATATATACATTTGTATGGTTGATGATTTTTCATATGTTCCTTATGATCTCTTCATTTTTTATTTCTTTTTGCTCCTTTAAATAACTTCAAATGGCCCATCTTTGAGTTCACTGCTTCTTTCTTCTGCTTGATCCAATTTGCTGTTAAATCCCTCTGTTGAGCTTTTAAATTCAGGTATTTTATTCTTCAGCTCCAAAATTTTGTTCTTTTTAATATTTCTTATCTCTGTTGGTATTCTCATTTTGTTCTTATATCATTTTCATGAGCTTCCTGAGTCTTTATGATAGCTATTTTGAATCCTTTGTTAGATAATTCATACGTGCCCATTTTTGAAGGTTAAAATCTGGAGATTTATTTTGTCCCATTAGTTAATGTTTCCTGGTTTCTTTGTGTGACATGTTACTTTGTGTTGAATTCTATACATTTGAAAAAATAGCCAACTTTTCTAGTCTTTACAAACTGTCTTCATACAGGAAAGACCTTCCCCAAGAGGTATACTAGAGATTCTGAGGGCTTCCCAAACCTTTTCTGTGGATGCATGTTGTCTAGATTTTTGCATGTAAATTTCAATAGAGATTTTTGCCAGTTTCTTTTTTCAAGAACTCGTAATCTCTTGCTCCTTCTTGCTGTCTGTCTATGGCTCTGCAGGTTCTCTGCATCTGATGTCTGCTGCTCAGCTTTTTTGTTCTCAGTGGTCCCCAATCAGCTTTCTCACACAGGCAAGACAGAAACTATTTCCTTGGGCAGCCCCCTCAGAAGCCGGAATTTTAAACACATGTTCCATCTCTTTCCCTCCTCACATAGAAGCTAGGACTTGGGAGTTTCCTTCCAATAGTACTGTGATGTGAAGGGGGATGAACTCTGACTAATAAGCACCACTAATTTACTTACTGGCTTTGATGCATCTGGTTTTATACTTTCATGGGGTTCAAGAGCCTTTTAACTGACTTCTAATTTTTTTCCAAAGGGAATTGATCCATATGTTGTTGTTGAATTGGTGTCTTCATTGGGTAACAACAGTATGGGACTTCATATTTTGCCATCTTCCTATCCAGATTTCAATTTTCTAATTGTCTTAAGTGTTAACAAAGTGGAAAATAGTCTCATATAGCATTGTCTGTAACCAGAAAAAATATATTAATATTTATATCTTGTATTATTTATTGCTACATTACAAATTACCACAAAACTAAGTGGTTTGCAATAATTATGCTTACTATCCCAGAGTTTCCATAGGCCAGGAACCTGGGCATGCCATATCTGGGTCATTTAGCTGCAGTTTTATCACAAAGCTGTAATCAAGGTATTAGGCTAGGGCTTCAGACATCTCAAGGCTTGTCTAGGGAATGATCTGCTTCCAAGCGCACTGGTTGTTGGATGGATTCAGTTCTTCATGGGTTGTTGAGCTGAGGATCCAAGTCTCTTTCTTGATGTTGGCTGGAGGCTACGCTCAGTTTCTTGCCTTATAAGCGTCTCCATAAAGGCTGCTCACATAATAGCAGCTGGCTTTGTTAAATTGAATGAGTGAGCAAAAGAGTGTGCAAGCAAGTCAGAAATCACAGTATTTAGTAACTTAATCCCGGAAGTAATATGCATTATTTTGCCATACTCTATTTGTTATTAGCAAGTCACCATGTCCTTTCCATACTCTGGAGGGGATTATTCAAGGGTATTAATAACAGCAGGTGGAGATCATGGTTGCCATTTTACAAGCTGTCTACCACAGAACTTGTCTAGTTATTTTGGATTATCTAAGCAATATCAAAGAGAATTATATGACGCATTAGTTGTGCTATTGCAAAGTTCGTATGATACTGAATTATTTATCCACACTGAGGCCTACACTGTTCCTATGCAAAATGGAGGTAATGATGCCTGCCTCATAGGGCTACGTACCATACCTGAGAAAGTTTTTAAATTTTAAAGCATCATACAAATGACTGATGGCTACTACTAATGTGCTATGTACTTACCTGGGTTTCATGATTAAGTAGAGTATTGGAATGACTACCTCATACACAGTATTTGATAAATAAATACATGTCAAATATAGAAAAGTAAAGTAAAAATGTTAGATAAGAACATAAAATATATACTCTTTAGTCAATAACTATATAGGAAAACATGGGATGAGTGTGTGAACCTGCAAGTGGTTCTGTTTAACTATATTGTATAGTGAGTAAAGGGCAATGTCAGAGGCAAGGTCAGGAATGTACTTTTGGGTCTAAGTTTCTGGCCGGTGGTCTGGGATTTTTCCAGTGAAAAAGAAGGGAACTTTTAAAAGTTTTCGAGCAAAGTAATTGTGTAATTTAGGCAGATTTATCATATTGACTGTGTTAATTGTACATTAAACCTATTACCACATTGCTATTATTATATATAGGTTCCAGTTTTGGAAGAGTTTTATTTTCATATAGTACTGTTTGATTGAGACTGCAGCAGAACAAGACTGTGTTTGCAAAGCAGCATAGTATAATCCGTAATTGGCTTTGATAAGCAAACTATAGAAGTAGAGCTACTAGATTAATAAAAAAAGAGAAACTTCACCCAGTGCTAAATAATATTACATTTACCAAGAATGTATTATTTCCTAGGTACTGATTGAAGCACTTTACATGATAATATAATTTTATCTTCATAACAGTCCTATTAGTCCTATATTATTATTTTCTCCATTTTACAGATCAGAAAATTGAGATGCAGATAGTTTCAATACCTTGCCTCATATCATATAACTAATATGTTGAGAACACAGGAAGGGAGCCTGCCATTTGGTTCTAGAGCCTTACCACTAAAAATGCCATTTTCAAACCAGCAGTATCTCATCCCACTATTAGAGGGAGATTGGTGAAAATTTATAACCTCAGCCTTCACTCCGAAAAGATCCTCAGGCTAATTGCAGGCCAAATTTGAGCCCATGCCCTTAAGTCTTTTATTATGTTGTAGAACAAATTCAAAAGAAACAACACTTGTTTAGGAGGGTAAAAGATACCTGACACTTGTCATGAAGTTACTCCAAGAAATATTTTGTCTCTTTGGACCCTGTGGCTGAAGTTTACCTAGAGCAGTAGTAATGTGATTTTACTTACAAATCATTCTCCTCCCCTATACACACACCTTATTTGAACCTTTGATTTAGTTTACTTTAAAGCAAGATATATGTGATAAATGATGTTTTATTACCCAGGCAGGGAGATGTGTATGATAGTGCCTTGTGAACTGTTAAATAATGAAGATTTATAAAATGTAAAAACGTGAATAATAATTAGAGCTTAGTTAACCTATCCTGCAAATTACTGATGATGAACCTAAAGTTCCAAAGGGGAAAAGTCCCTACTTAAAGTCATGGTTAAGTGGTGGTATACTGTCCGGAAGTCTCAGACTACAGTGTCATCAGTACCCTTCTGAAAACATCAAGTGAAGGGGAATGATATAAAACAATACTCAGGACAAGATTCAGACAGTAGAAATTGAGGTACTACAGTACTGCATCTTTGGGTTTGGCATGTATTTTTTGGGGGGCTGGGCTTAGTATGTGTTTTCTTGGACTAGACAATGAGAGATGATTTTAGTGAGATACAATAATTGGAATTGTAGGATAGATACCTCTCTCTGTATATAACTATATCATTCATTTATTCATTTATTCACAGAATAAACTTTGAGTTCCTACAAATGACATGCAGTACAGTACATTTGAGTTTGAAATGATTTTAAGACAGGTGAGATGACATGGGTATCAAATGAGCAGTTGTATTTATGGAATGGAGATGAGAATTTGAAACTGAACAACATTTGAAGCCGTGGTTATGGACTATATTATGCATTAGTATGTAAGACTATGCAGGGTGATAAGGCAAACAGCCTGTTGACTGACACCTGGGAAACAGCAATATTTAATAAGTGGAAGATTAGGTGATCATAGATATAACTGAGAAGAACCATCCAGAAAGGAGGAAAATTAGCAGAGAGAAGTGCTACAGGAGTCAATGATGAAGAAATATTTTAAGAGGAAAAGTATAGGCAAACATCCAAAATGCTCATGAGAGTCAGGTAATAAAAATATTAGATATCAATTTGATTTTACAAAACAAAATGTTACCTTGGAGAAAATAATTTCTGAGGAGTGATAGATACAGAGGGAATGCATGGGAGATCAAGAGGTATAGATAACATTTCTAAACTAAATTTTTAAAAGTAGATTTGTTAAGAAGATAGAGAGGGTAGCAGCTAGAGAGAGATTCCAAGAAAGAAATTTCTTTTTAAGTTTATGAGATTAGGGAAATTCGGGCAAATAAGCTAAAGGGAAAAATCCCATCAGAAAGAAGTTGAAAATTGTTAATGATGGTAAAATTCAAGCCATGCCTGCCTGTCTACCCAAATTTCCATTTTGGATTAAAAATGGATTTAGACATTTTACTTGAAATTGGGACAAGTGATGATTCCTAGTGAAAGAAAGTGTCAGCCAGAATGGGGAAAGGAGTGGATGGGAAGTGAGAGGCATCTCAAACTGTGATAATTGGGAGAGATTTGTTTCAGTAGTGAGCTGGCCATGTTGGGTCATCCTAGGGACTTTTAAAAGTTAGATGTCTAAGCCTTATAAAGGAAGGAATTCCTGACGCATGCTATGATATGGATGAACCTTGACGACATTATGCTAAGGGAAATAAGCCAGTCACAAAAAGACAAACACTGTATGAGCTCACTTATGTGATGTGTGTAGAGTAGTCAAATTAACAGAAACAGAAAGCAGAATGGTGGTTGCTAGGAGCTAGTGGGAGGGAAAAATGGGGAGTTGTTTAATGGGTATATAGAGGTTCAGTTCTGCAAGATAATTCTGAAGGTTGGTTGCATAACTCTATTGATCTGTACATTTAAAAATAGTCAAGATGGCAAATTTTGTGCTATGTGCATTTTATTAGAATTTTAAAAGAAGTTAAATGTCTAAATGTACACTTCCATTGGAATCTGTTTGGAAGACAATCTCTATTTTTTTTTTTTTTTTTGGAGATGGAATGTCACTCTGTCACCCAGGCTGGAGTGCAGTGGTGCAATCCCGGCTCACTGCAAGCTCCATCTCCTGGGTTCAAGCAATTCTCCTGCCTCAGCCTCCCAAGTAGCTGGGACTGCAGTTGCATGCCACCATGCCTGGCTAATTTTTGTATTTTTAGTAGAGACGGGGTTTCACCATGTTGGCCAGGATGGTCTCAACCTCCTGACCTAATGATCTGCTCGCTTTGGCCTCCAAAAGTGCTGGGATTACAGGAGTGAGCCACCACACCCGGCCTGACAATCTCTATTTTTTTACAGTGGAGAGGAAGCTTTTATTTCCCCATGTTGGGAAAGAGTATGAGGTTTACCTCTTCTTGTGCAGAAAGGGAATAAATTAGTAACTGAAACAATTAATACATGAAAATTATGTCTATGTACATATACAGTAGCTATGAAGAGTTCTTACCAAAAGCAGACAATATAAGCAAATCCAATAGAACAATATGCTTATAAATATATTTGCTTTCATGTATAGTTTTAAAAGTTCAAACTAAAACAATAAAAAAAATTAGAATCTATCAAACACAGACAGATTAGAATAAAAAAAACTCTGTTGATGAGGCTATGGTTAAACTCTATATCATGATTGGAAAAGTGAGTGGATGCTATTAATTTACCATTTCTGGAAGATAATATAGCTATAAATCAAAATCTCTTAAAGATTTATACCTTTACATTGTAAGTTCAAGGATATATATATGAATTCATATATATTTATATTAAGGAAAACTATATTAATAGGGATATTCCTCAGTGTTATAAACCATATTTTATAGATTGAGTACCTTTGTAAAACATACAATAAGAGAATGGCTAAATTACTATGAATAATGGATTATTATACAAACATCAGATGTAACTTTCTAAGAATGTTTAATGGCATTGGAAATTCTCATGATACAATCTTCAGTGAAAAAATGTGTCTGTCAGTTCATCGATTGGTCTTTCTATCCACTCATCCATCTCTCCTTTCATCTAGCTAATTTTGTTAGTCACTGGCTATTATATATGTGGTTTCATATAAACACATAAAATACAACCAACAAAATATAAAAAAAATCACATGGTTATTTCAAAGTTGTGAAAAAAATGTATATTTTTCAAATTTTAGACAATTGGAAGCATTTCTTTGAATAAAAAAATGTTTATTTTGAAAGTTTTAAGTAGCAAGTAATTATAATGTGTGAGAGATTATTGACAAGGACAGCTCCAGTTATAACTTTTATCAGACATATTTATTTGACTGTCTCCTGTGAATATACCCTTTATTATTACTGATAAATTGATATCAAATAAGAATATTAGTTGGAACACAAAGGATTTTATGTAGCTTTATTTGGTTTTACAGACTTGGACAGATTAATGAAATAAGTAAGCCAGAATTGTTAGTTCTTAGATTATTAGAGGTTGACTCAAACCATATTGTTATCAAGGAAAACAATAAACTCATCATTCCTATTTTATGTCCTGCATGGAAAACTATAGAGATTAAAGCTATTAAGTATAGAGCCTTATATTATTACTTATAATGGCAACAAATCTTCCCCTTTAGATGTCTGTGTCTTTAGTGAGGGAAGGAGGGAGGTCTTTTCATACCATACACATTTAGCAGATGGGACATTAAATAAATCTCATTGTATAGCGTGACCAAATTGAGCTTTTGTGTGATCTTGATACACGTGACCTCTAAAAAATTCTGTCTTTTGTTGAGAACAACAAAAACACCTATTTATGTTGCAATGGTAGCATGATTGACAGTGATGGATTGGAAAGTTTCTTAGCGTGTTCTTTAGCAAGTAGAAGTTAATGTGGAGCTATTTCTGACAAATGTTTCACTATTGTTGCCAATAAATAAATGTGTCAGTTATGTGAGCTACTAAAGAGGATACTATTTCTTTGAAATTTTGCATTTTAAAAAAAATGATGGACTAGGGGTCAGGAAAGGATTCTTCAGTCCTGACCATAATACCAAGTTCCTGTGTGACACTAGGCAAGTCACTTAAGTTATTTTGCCCTGAGTGTCCACATTTCTAATAATTCTTTTTAGGACCAAATGAACTAATGTTCAAGGTTCTTTAATATACTGAGGAGAATATATAAGAACAAGGTGTTTAGTGATAATGATTAACCCACATTATGTTTAGAAATCAGTTGATTATTATATGGACCAGTAAAAAAATAATATGAGAAATAAAGTAGTATAGCATCCCAATCCCTCCCTGTCCCACCACCACTTTGCTTTTAATTCTAGCATGAATGCGGAAAAATTTATTCTTATTATGCCTAAACATGCTTTTATAGAAAAAGTGACCAGTATTGTGTCTTTATTAATAGAAGATATAGAAGATGCTTATTGAGTACTTATCAGTGTTTTGAGAAAGTGAATTTGACTGTGTCATTATTGATAGACTGGGAGTGATGAAAAGTTAGAGACAGAAAACCCCAGGTAGGAGGCTACTGACATAGTCAATTTGTTAAATAATAAATACTTACATCAGGCATGATGGTGTGTGCCTGTAGTCCCAACTGTTAGGGAAGCTAAGGCAGGAGGATTACCTGAGCCCAGGAGTTTGACTTCAGCCTGGGCAACAAAGTGAGACCTCATCTCTTAAAAAAACAGTAAAAAAAAAAGGATTACATGTTGCTAGATAATTTACCACAATAAATTCAATCAATACATGTTTGTTGAAATTCTATGTGTAGGGCATTAGGCTAATGGTGGTTCTTATCATTCTGAGAAGATCTGAACTAGCAAGTGTTACGGGTGGATTGTCTTGACTACAAGTTTTCCAGGTTGTTGGCATTTTCAACAGAGAATTGGACAAAATGCACAAACAAAGCAACGAAAGAATGAAGCAAGGAAAGCACAGATTTATTGAAATGAATGTACACTCCACAGAGTGGGGGAAGGCTCCAGCAAGTGACACAAGAACGCTGGTTACTTTATTTTCTGTGGCTTAAATACTCTCTAGAGGTTTCCCATTGGTTACTTGGTTACACCTGATGTAAATAAATAGTGACCTGTGACCAGTCTCATTGGTTGTGGAAGGCGACAAATCAGAGGCTGAAGTGAAGTTACAAAGTTACACCCTATGCAAATGTCTGATTGGTTGCAGGAAGGGACCAATCAGAGGCACTTTCCATTTTTCATCTGCTACACAGAAAGGTGTGAGTGGATCCTTTTGTTACTTGGGCGTGGAAAGTTGGAGTTTTCCTTTTGATTCATTTCTAGGAAGTCAGCACAAATCAGCCTTATGTTCCCTGCCTCCAGACCTTATTCTCCTGCCTCATTTCCCCCCCTCGAGGAACGTGATACCCTTTGATCTTTATGGGAGGCAGAGGGACAGATGGTCTTTCTTCTGTAACTGCTTCATGCTGACTTGTGGCACACTCCCTACCTATTGGGGATCAAGGGACTCTCATCATGCTCTGTCTAGTGGAGTCAGGGTAGCTTCTTGATGGCCAGCAGTTGTGCCTTCACCTGGACCTGGCTGGAAACCTTGTCACATGATCATCTGGAGCTTGATGGTCTCTAGGCAAGAGGAAATGAATACAACTACCCAGAGGTATTTTTGTACCAGGGAATCAAAGGGCAACTAGATGTCTCAGGATTAGTACAGTCTTCCCAAGGGAAAATGTGAACCCAGCTAGTGGGCTTACCTTGACAGTACTTAGACTGTATATCCTTTAAAGTGCCCTTAACTAGGGATAGTTTCCATGAAAACCATACAGGTTTTTTATATGATGCATTTTGGGTAACTTCATAGCTTACATGATCATGTAGGGGGTTAATCTCTAGGGCATAGTTACATTGATGACTTTTCAAGGTTCCAAGGGCCTGACCAAAATGTCAGCTTCTCTTGATACAAAATGGTACTTGGAATTTTAGCTCTGTTTACATTAATACTGGGTCCCAAATGGTTTTCGGTGTGGATGCAATTCCAGAAACGTTTATCTGATAGGAGTGGAAAAGTTTTACTGCTTGTCCTGTCATTGTAGGGCATTTTTTTCAAGGGCCCAAAATAGAGCGGGGATTGGGATGGCAGTATATTTGGATGATAATGGAGATAAACAAAGCTGACAGTCCTTTGCCCAAGCTGGACTGGTGGTACTTAGCAGTCTTTGTGTTAAATTTAAAGATCTTAATAAATACCCAGAATCCATTAATTGCTGGAGGGGAAAAGTGAAACTCTGTTGTAAAATTAAGCTGATTCCCAGTATGCATGGTCCCGGTATACACAGGCTGTGGCTAACCATTATGAGACCAAAAATAGTTACCTGTTATTTTGTTCCATAGAATGGAAACTTCATGGGTGGATACCTGTGCTGTCAGGAATGCTTGCTATAAAAACGAAATAAAACACTTTCCTTAATTGTTACAAAGGAAGTGGTTCCATCCATTTAGAATAAAGCAATTAAGTTGTAAAACTTTAAAAATGGCTACTATTATCCAGGTTACAGTAACCATGAAACAAAGACACCAAGGAAAGTTGGTAGGCATTAACTTATCTTTGGGCTGTCTTTTGAACAGCTGCTTAAGGTCTTCCACAGGTTCACATGTGTTGTGACGGATGGGTGCTTCAGATTCCAGGTCTCAGGCTTCAGGTATCACAGGCTTGACCCTGGAAAGATGTGTCCAACTATCTAACCTTAGTATTTTGACTTTAGAAGGCATGACCAGCACCACTGAAAATGGTCCCTTCCATCTCGGTTGTAATTGTTGAGCAGTTGATCCCTCCTTCCATGTTTTAACAAGTACCTTATCTCCTGGCCTGATTTGGGGTTGCTGGTTCATTCCCAGTGTGTTGAGCCTTTGAGTTACAAAATTTTGAAAAGTGTGCTAAAATTGTTCCAGGTTAGCTAGATATTTTATTAGAGTGTCTGTTTCTGCATCAGTAATTAGATCACTAGTTTAAAGTGGCATTTTGTGTAAGATTTCATATGAGCTAATATTAATTTTTGCTCTGGGGGAATTATGGATTCTTAAGAGGGCCATGGGCATCAAGTTCACTCAAGTTTCCTGACATAGCTTTGCTAATGCCTGTTTTAGAGTTTGATTAGCTCTTTCCACTTTTGCAGAGGATTGAGGCCTCCATGCTCAATGTAAATAGTATTTGATTCTGAGAACCTCAGCAACCCCTTGAGTTATTTGGGAGACAAAGAAAAGGCTGTTATCACTTTGGAGGCTTTGGGGGTAACCTAAACCAGGGAATTATTTTCTTTAAGATAACCATTATAACTTCATTAGCTGCCTTTGTTCTGATAGGGTAAGCTTCAGCTTAACCAGTAAAAGTGTCTATTAGTACTAGCAAAAACTTATATCCTCTGCAAGCTGACTGATGGGTAAAGTTCAATTGCCCATCTTCTCTTAACTTTAGCCAACATGTTCACACACAGAATTTCTTTTACAATTACTTTTTGAGAAACATTCCACCACTTGTTCAAACCTTTAGATTTTCCTATCTCACTTAAATTGGTTAACCCTCTAAACTTGGGTAAGAATTCCACATTCCTATGCTTTTTACCAAAAGTGCATTCTAATTATTTTGACACAAATCCTTTTCATGACTTACACAGACCATATCCAACATGCTTGGACTTTCTGACTTGTTCTAAACATCCCTCTTTTTAAACAACCAGTCATTTTATTTTAGAATAAGTATTAACCATACAATATCCTTTCTCATACAAAACCACCATCTCTACAACCTTACCTACCAAAAACACGTCTTCATATATATTTCTTCATATCTGTTTCCCCTATTTACTGGTTCCTTATTACTTTGTTTCATAAATAACCCCCTTTTAAAGTCCATAATTTGACTTAACTTTTACGTAACCTCTGAACTACACAAAATCATTTTCTTTCTCACCAATCACTCATCTTTTTTGGCACATTTCAAATACAGAACCATGTGTCAACTAGAATTCTTATCCTTAGTAACCTTAAATTTTACTGAAGCCCTAAAAAGCAAGAATCTCAGAAATATCAGATATGAGCACTTTTTAGTTGAGAAGAATTCCACAATTTTTGGAAACATATTTCCCCATATCATAACGCTTTCTTAAGGGAAATGACCTAGATAGCCAATGAGCATCAAAAGTAATTTTTAAGATTTTAAATTACAAAAAAATTTATTTTAAACATTTATCCCATTTACATGTACTCATTTTTTCATTTTAACAGTTTATCTAGATTACTTTTGGAAACTGAGATATGAAACACTATCATTTAAGGTTTCTTATTTCCTTGTTAACAATTTTTTTAAATAGCCAGTGACCATCACATGCTCACCTAAATAAAAGCCTCAAAAGTAAATACATAGGTATTTTTGCCAATAACTCAGAAGACTCAGCTAACAACATTAAATTAGTCTCATTTGTCAAAGAAGGCACGCAAACCAAGATGATTTTGTTTTCGCTGGGTTAATAGCTTTATAACCTTCTATGCCAAACAATGACATCTCACAGTATCTAGCAAAGGCAAATATTAAACCTAGACAAAAATATATGCTGACAATTCTAAAGACATTTCTTTTTTAATTTTACCAATAATTTTATAGCCAGCTTGTTTAATAAAAAGTTATACTTAATTCACATGAACTTGAAAATTGCTTAGACTTATTTACTTATTGAGTGCTCTTTTAGTTATAAGCCAATTTGGTAGGCACAACGTATAACAATAAGTGTACATGCAAATAAACACATCTAGTCATATATACACACACAAACAAAGATCCAATAGCCTTTACCTTGGAACTCTAGCCATGAGATAGCAAGACAAACTCACTGGTTTTACATGGTTACAATTTGCTTGTCCCAGTGGGTAACCCAATGAAGGCTGTGAACCAAAATTTTGGGTAAAGCAGTTTCCATGACAGTTTGATTTTTAAACTCCAAAGAACATTCAGGCCAAACAGCACCAAAGGAGAGTGTCACATGCTAACCAGGCCAGACCCTGATTAGAAAAGCAGTACAAAAGCCTGTATACATGCAACTCCTTCCCACTTTCCCATTCAACAGCAAACTCCAGATTCCAAACAATATTGGGGCCAAACAATATTTCAAAAGAATATCAAGTGTTTCCTCCTTAGGTTATCAGGGTCAAATTGATTCCAGTGGTTGAGGATGCAGCCAAGTGGGGAGTGAGGTGGAATAGATGCAATGTTTCTCATAGTAATCTGCAAGAAAGAGAAAATTCTAAGGAAGGCTTAGTACTAGACCTCAGAACCTCCATCTAGGGCATCCCCTTTGGAGATGTTAAGGTCTGGAGTTGGATCACCTAGGGTGTCCCCGTTTGGTGTCTAATCTTAGTGTGTTAGACATCTCTGACCTTAGGTGGGCACTGGTGCCACTTTGTATGTTTTCCCTCGAGAGGCAATGGCCTACTAGGAGCTTTTCTTTTGTCCCTGGATGAAGATCTTGACTTATATCATCCTTATAATTTGATAAAGCCATGCTTTCCCATGCTTCCCCTTCCACTAGAGTGACAGCCATGAGCTTTAGTCATAGGAACTGGGTGTGTTTCTTTTGTCCTTAGCCAATTGAAAAGATTGAGTAGGAGAAGGGAGGTCAAATCGCTTAAGAGACATTATCTTCTGCCATTATGGTTAACTCTATAGGATAATTTAGCATAAGAAAAGAGGGTTTAATTCGCCTGAACACATGCAAGTTCACCCTGGACGAGTTGCCACTGCCAATTGCATCACATGTAGGGATCAGGGACTATAACCAGGAAAGACAGAAAAGAGTCCTTCCCCTTTCCATGCAGGGCAGTTGTCCTCATTCACTTTGTGGCCTTCAGGTAATGCCAGAGAGTGGCTCCAGCCGGTTGCCCTCAATTACTAAGGATCTACTAGGAAACAGCTGCTGAAAGATTAAAAAAGAAAAAAGGAAAAGGACTCAGGTCCCTCACCCGAACCTGATGATGATGGTCAGGTGCTTCCACATGAAAACCTTTCAGTTTCACTGCAGAGTAGCCCTGGCCAAAAGCCTGCAGTAGCCTCCATGTTTAGGTGCTGTCCACTGAGCGTCCCAAGTTGGAAAGAGAAAAAGACAGAGAGAGAAAAGAGTTCCCCTGTATGGAGCAGAGAGAAAAAGGGAAAACAAAAAGAAAAGAAAAATAAATCCCAAACTCTGGGCTTACCTCCTGGCTCACTCACCAAAATATGTCACCAGTGGAGGGTCTTGACTACAAGTCATCCAGGCTCTTGGTATTTTGAACAAAGAATTGGAAAAAATGCACAAACAAAGCAATGAAAAAGTGAAGCAATGAAAACACAGATTTCAGAGTACATGCCACAGAGTGGGAACACGCTTGAGCAAGTGGCTGAAGAGCATTGGTTACAGAATTTTCTGGGGCTTAAATACTCTCTAGAGGTTTCCCGTTGGTTACTTGGTTATACCCTATGTAAATGAAGTAGTGGCCCAAGACCAATCTGATTGGTCATGGAAGGTGACCAATCAGAGGCTGAGGTGAAGTAACAAAAATACACCTCTATGCAAATGTAGGCTAGGCCCATGACCAGTCTGACTGGTTCTGGGAGGGACCAATCAAAGGTATTTCCCATTTTTCATCTGCTACACAGAAAAGGGTGGGGGCAGGTACAAAGGGAGTAGCCTCTGATCATTTTGTTACTTGGGCGTGGAAAGTTGAGGTTTTCCTTTTGATTCAGTTCTAGGAAGTCAGTGAAAATCAGCCTTAAGTTCTTTGCCTCCAGATCCTATTCTCCTGCCTCAGAAGGAAGTGCAAAATCTTATATTTCCAGCAGCTTTCAGTTTGAAGAAGCACTTTACATAATTGCGAAGTTCTGTATTTTTTCTTTCCCCCTTTCCCATATTGTCTAAGCTACAGTTAGATGACCATTAAGCCCTACATAAATCATGAAAACATGAAGATTCTGAGAATATAGAAATACCTGCAACAGAAATAGCACATAAGATACTACTTGAACTCATTTATGTGGTATTTAAGATCAATGTATTTGCATGTACATATTTTTAAATGAAGGAAATATTTTATAAATATTTCTGTATTGAGATTAATTTCATAAGTACCCCAAAAAGCTTACTTAGCATCATAAGGTTACATTTATTATTTTTGTGTGTCACACACTGCTATACAGGCTTTATTTATAATATGCCACATGAACCCTATTGTAGTGATGGGGAAACTCAGATCTAGGAAGGCTAAGTGACATTTTCAGGGTCACACATCTGGTTAGTGGCAGAGCCATAATTTAAATCAGGGGATCTGACACTTAACCACATTGTTCTGGCTACTCAATTATATATTTTTTTCTGATTATTTTCTTTTGAAACTATTTTCCCCCTAAGTATTTATTAGCAACATAATTGGGGTTGATTGATTGATAGATTGAAAGAGCCTAAGGGCATGGGATGAGAAGGGGAGGGATTATTTTCAAAAGAGGTAAAGTAGTTCCAAAAATAATGGTGTACCTCAAATAATTTCATTTAAGCAGATTTCTAATAGTAATGTTATATTTGGTTTTTACCATTTAAATAAGAAATAATTGAATCAGACAAATAAGTGGTTTTTATATTTGTTCAAGGGCTGGTGAGATTGATTTTTATATTTTGCTTGATTAGTTATAAGTAAATATGAATAAAAATCCCTTCTGTTACCACATTTAGAATGAACATCTCAAAATAAGCTTTGGCAGTAGTTTTACTAGTTCTAAAACAAACCATATGTTCATGAGCATGTACGCATTACATGTCCTAAAGATACTTTATTAATTTTACATTAATCTACATTCATTTAGTCTTCCACAGTTTAATTAATTTAATGATTTATTTTCACTTAGTAACTGTAAGAAATTTCACAGAATGTTAAATTGTCAATAAGTGTTATATTTATTGGTTGTTCTCACTGTAGCTGTACATCATTTCACCTGTAATCAAAACCAATAAGATTGAACAGTAACAGATATTCAAATACAATGTATAAATATTTGTGTTAACACCTTAACTGTGGATTTATCAAATTTTGTCAGGGAATGACTTATTCTAAACTATTCTAATCTTTAATTGGTTATTAAACTATGTATATATATATATTTTTAAATTTTACTTGGAGTTCTGGGATACATGTGCAGAACGTGCAGGGTTGTTCCATAGGTATATATGTGCCATGGTGGTTTGCTGCACCTATCAACACGTCATCTAGGTTTTAAGCCCCACATGCATTAGGTATTTGTCCTAATGCTCTTCCTCCACTTGACTCCAGCCCCTGACAAGCCTTGGTGTGTGATATTCCCCTCCCTGTGTCCATTTGTTCTCACTGTTCAGCTCCGACTTATGAGTGAGAACATGTGGTGTTTGGTTTTATGTTCCTGTGTTAGTTTGCTGAGAATGATGGTTTTCCAGCTTCATCCATGTCCCTGTAAAGACATGAACTCATTCTTTTTTATGGCTGCATAGCATTCCAGGGTGTATATATGCCACATTTTCTTTATCCAGTCTATCATTGATGGATATTTGGTTGGTTCCAAGTCTTTGCTATTGTACATACTGCTGCAATAAACATACGTGTGCATGTGTCTTTATAGTAGAATGATTTATAATCATTTGGGTATATACCCAGTAATGGGACTGCTGGGTCAAATGGTATCTCTGGTTCTAGATCCTTAAGGAATCGCTACACTGTCTTCCACAATGGTTGAACTAATTTACTCTCCCAAAAACAGTGTAAAAATGTTCCTATTTCTCCACATCCTTTCCAGCATCTTTTGTTTCCTGACTTTTTAATGATCGCCATTCTAACTGGCATGAGATGGTATCTTATTGTGGTTTTGATTTGCATTTCGCTAATGACCAGTGATATTGAACTTTTTTTCATGTTTGATGGCCACATAAATGTCTTCTTTTGAGAATTATCTGTTCATATCCTTCATCCTCTTTTTGATGGGGTTGTTTGTTTATTTCTTATAAATTTGTTTAAGTTCTTTGTAGATTCTGGATATTAGCCCTTTGTCAGATGGATAGATTGCAAAAGTTTTCTCCCATTCTGTAGGTTGCCTGTTCACTCTGATGATAGTTTCTTTTGCTGTGCAGAAGCTTTTTAGTTTAATTAGATCCAATCTGACAGTTTTGGCTTTTGTTGCCATTGGTTTTGGTGTTTCAGTCATGAAGTCTTTGCCCATGCCTGTGTCTTGAATGGTATTGCCTAGGTTTTCTTCTAGGATTTTTATAGTTTTAGATTTTATGTTTAAGTCTTTAATCCATCTTGAGTTAATTTTTGTATAAGGTGTAATAGAAGGGGTCCAGTTTCAGTTTTCTGCATATGGCTAGTCAGTTATCCCAGCATCATTTATTTAATAGGGAATCCTTTCCCCATTGCTTGTTTTTGTCAGATTTGTCAAAGATCAGATGGTTGTAGATGTGTGGTTTTATTTCTGAGGCCTCTGTTGTGTTCCATTGGTCTATATATCTGTTTTGGTAGAAGTACCATGCTGTTTTGGTTACTATAGCCTTGTAGTATAGTTTGAAGTCAGGTAGAATGATGCCTCCAGCTTTGTTATTTAGCTAATATGCCTTTTTGTGAAATAGAAATTGGGTCTTTAAAAATACTTTGTTTAAATAATGGCTATTCTTTTCTTAAGCAAGAACAACAATACATGTATCTCATTTATGTTCCTACTTGACACAGAACACAGGATAACAGAACCCCACTTTAATTCTAGGGAAAATGGTTAATATTTGTTCTGAATTTTATAAATATTTAAGTTTTATTAGTTTTATGTTCATTGTTAGTGTATTTGAGTTAACTGCTACGAATGCATTGTGGAATAAAATATGAAATAATAAGATATTAAAATATAAATTTGTTTTACATTCTTCTTATGTCTTAAATCAGAAATATAAATTTGTAAAAATACATTATTTTAGACTTTTGATAATAGATTTGTCAGCCTGAGAGTCTTGTTTATCTCTTCACTATCTAGGATTTTTTTTTTAACTAATAAGATAGGATTTGGCATAGGAATAGTTTATTTAAAAGCTTATTAAAGCCTCAGGGTAAAACATAATTCTTTAGCTTATTTTGAGCTGGAAGTTACATTTGAAATAATATTCCTAGCTTCTCTAATTTTGATATTTCACTGCTTTGAACCAGTGTCAACGTGTGGAGTGTTCTTTTGTCTATACATGTTCCTATGTTTATTGCCGATGCTCATTTGGTGTTTAAGTGTATAGCAAGAAAGTAGCAGGTAATACTTATCTTGCTGGGATGTCTCGGGGAATATATATGAGTTCTTAGGTTGATTCTAGTTGTCTGTTTCATTGATTGTAAATTAAAAACTGGTGTAGTCTAGTGAGAAATTATGAATTTAGTCTACATTGCCTTCTCCTGTCCTGTGAACCCTAACTGTTCTGTTCTGTCCTGTGTGGGATTGAATGACTGTACACTACAAGGGCTTGCTGATTAAAGTGTGGCTTATGGAGAAGCAGCATGAGTTTCACTTGGAAATGAATTATAAATGCAGATTCTCAGGACCTACCCCCAGAACTGCTGAATGCAAATGTACATTTTAACAAGATCTGTAGGTGATTTGTATGTATCTTTAAGTTTGAGACACACTGGGCTATTACTGAATAGGTCATTTATGTCCCAAGACATGACACAAAATTACTGCCACTTACATATTTGTTGATTGACCTACCACAGTCAGAACATTTGTACTGTGTTGAACGTGAGCTGTTTGGTCATAGTATATGGACAGAGATGAATGACAGCATTTCTCTGTGTCCTTTGTGTTTTCCTATCATTTCTATCTTATTACTTATTTCCAAGCTGACAAAGTCACCTTTGAAATTTTCTCCAGGTGAATAAGAAAAATGTAGATTTTAAAAAGATCTGAGGCTGTTTAATCTTCAAGAACACTAAATAAAAAGATTATGATGTTTTTAACTTACATGATTGCATCTTAGTAAATGCTTAGAAAAACATATTTGATGAAAAGTTACACATTTTATTAGAACGTGATGCTATCTTAACACATTTCACCTTCTGCCTTATATGACAATGATTTACCTCATGAAGTACCATTGAGTTTAATTGTGTAGTCTTATTGGAGCCTAAGCCTTAACTGAAGTCAGTGCATGTTTTTTTTTGACTAAGATCTGCACAAGTAAACGCAATGTGATTTGCATTTTATCTCCCAGAGTAAAAAGTATTGTATACTCTACTTTATTAGTGGTATTACCTTTATGAAGTATCTCAAAATGTATTGAACCAATGAGATTTGTTTTCCTTGAATTGTTTAAATTATTGAACATACGTATTTAGTTTCTCCTGCTATAGGAATGAAATAATGTTATTATAACTAATGAATATTTTTAATTTATTTTCTTTTAAATTATTCTTTTCATGGAGTTTGTAATTTGTTAGTTTTGCTTAAGAGAAAAGTATTTTTATTTTTTAAAAAACAGTAGTACAGAAACATTGACCCTCCTCTATCATGAGTTTCTACCCTTAAGTTTCCATTTTAAACTCTTTTTCTTCTGATACTTACTTCGTATTTCCAAATAATATGCATAAACTTACCTGTCCTCACCAATTACATTCACAATAAAATTAAATAAGATTTTTAACTGAACCTTGACAATTTGGGATACTCTCTTAATCTCTGCTTAGCAGAGATCCCGAATGTTTCCACAAAGGAAAAATTAATCACACATAAAATCAAGGATCAAAATGTCATATGACCTTTTAATAGCTAGAAGGGAAGCTGGAGTGAAATAGTAACTCTGATGCCGTTCTGAGATGTCATGACAGTGTGGCTCATGTGGGTTTCCTTTTGTTGTTGATCATATGGACTCCTTCTGTCTGGAGAGTCTTGATCTTAATTTCTGGTAAATTTTATATTATCCCTTTGCTATTACTATTTCCTTTTTCTCTAATATTTTTAAGCTCCTATCAATTGTGTTTTGGGTTTTCTGTTTTTATCTTCTAATTTATTTAATTGGGGGCAAATTTGAAAATGGAAAAATTGACACAAAATGTTTTATAATTTCAAATTTTTTCCCTATGTGAATGTTTGCTTTGGTATAAGTTTATCTGCTTGGATAATGAGATGATTTAGAAGAATGTGAGAGCTTTTGCTTAATTCATTTTTCTGACTTCATTGCTTAAAAATATAGCATTTGCAGGGATATGTATATTTCTTCTGGGAATTTTAAAATAAATGTTATATAATTTTGACAGTATACAAACTTACTGATTATAAATCTTTGTATGGCTCACTTCAGAGCAACACACAGTTTGACTTACTGTATATTGAACTTGCAACATTTGAGCCTCAGCTCATCTGTGTGCATCAAGAAATCTAATTCCCAACTGCTTCAAACATCTTTATATTTCCAAAAATTTTGTTGTAAGCCTCTGAATTTCTGGCAACAATGTTTAAGTTATTGCCAAATCTAAGTGATTAAGGATATATATTGACCTTTTTTTGATGTATATATCCAGGTCTCAGTTTTCAGGTGAAGATTATGACACTTCTGTATGGTTTTGGACATAAATTTTGTAGTCAAGATTTAGTTATATTGTAAGAGACAACATTTACTGACCACTTATTATACACCATTTATGGTGCTGACAGCATTAGATACCTTATATAGTTCTTATAACAACTCTATCATGCAAGTTCTACTAATGAACTTTATTTTATGAATGAGGAAATGAAAGCTTAGAACATTAAAGTTGCACACATAATAAGTTTTAAGGTCTGGTTCAAGTCCATTTGTGTGACTTTAATGGCCAAGCTCTTTTGCACTATTTTATTCTTAGAAGTGCAGATTTGAACTACCACCTTACAGTGTATTTTCAGTGTCAGGGTGCAAAATTTTATTCAGAAGCATAGCACGTAGGAGGATTATTAACTAAAATCCATTTAATTAGAGCATTGGTTGTTTGAGGAACTTATGACCTTAAGGAAGAAAAATAGAGTTGGACCACAGTTAGTAGTATTTGTATCCTTTGTAGGTTTTATTTAACTGTTTACTAGAATAAAACAATAAGACAATATGACAAATAAAGTGAAAATGATTACACAATTTAACTGTGTGTTTATCAGTAGCATAACATTACCTTTCTTAGACCCGTTTTTGGTTCTACATCCCCCAAATTTTAATGACATGTTCCTTTCATTTTTCAAATTAACATGATTACTAAGGGTTTTATGTGTATATGTGTGTTGTATTTCTGTAGTTTCATATAGTTATTCAATGCCACTTTTATTTTAATTTGTTGAATTTATGTTTGAGAGTTGAAGCCTACTGCCAGGGTCTCACAGTGATCCTGGAAACAGACTGGCTAACATGGATGTCTCCAAGCGAAAAGCCTTGGATATTGGCATTTCTCAAATCTCCTTCAAAATACATGAGTATAACAGCTTTTTCTACCTATGACAAATTCATGACAGGACTAAAAGGCAAAGTAGAATACTCCAACCTGGTTCAATCAGTCCCATTTGCACAACTTGTATTCACTTGTATTCATTCTACCTCTAACTCCCTGCCAAACCTCTTGCATTTCTGAGATTCAAGTTTACCTCTTTTCAAGTAGTTCTTAAAAATATACATATAAAGTTATTATGGTTGAAAACAAAGTATAAAGAATTACAAGCACTTTGGGAGGCCAAGGTGGGGGGATCACCTGAGGTCAGGAGTTCGAGACCAGCCTGGCCAACATGGTGAAACCCCATCTCTACTAAAAACACAAAATTAGCCGGGTGTGGTGGTGTAATTACAGGTAGAGTACCTGTAATCCTAGCTACTCAGGAGGCTGAGGCAGGAGAATTGCTTGAACCCGGGAAGTGGAAGTTGTAGTGAGCCAAGACAGAGCCATTGCACTCTAGCCTGGGCAACAGAGTGAAACTCTGTCTCCAAAAAAAAAAAAAAAAAAAAAAAAAGATGACAACTGTTTGTAATATGATTCAATTAGGGAACTTATTATAGCAATTCTTACATTAATGGACCTATGTTGCATATGCATTAGTATTTCTATTATCAATATCTATTATTATCTCTTTAGTTTCTACTCAATCCACTTTTTTTTCCAGCAATTTCTCAGCAAAATATCTGTGAAGCCAGATAGCTCATTTTTAACTGGTGTGTGTGTGTGCGCGCACACGTGCATGCATATGTGTGCTGTTGAGCTGAGTCCCTTATATATTTTGAATATTAACCCTTTATCACATATATGGTTTGCAAATAATTTCTTCCATTCCATAGACTGCCACTTCACTCTTTTGTTTTCTTTGCCATGCAGAAGCTTTTTAGTTTAATGTGATCATCCCACTTGTCTATTTTGCAAGCCCCTATTGGGAATGCTGATTGTTATGGCTTTCCCTGGCCATCGCATGGGCAGGATTGCCTCCAAACCATGATACAGCAGGGGTAGTACTAGGTCACAGGTTGCTTCAGGGTCCTCAGCCAGGACTGAGGATGGTATCTCTGTTATCAGGGACAATGACATATGTTACTGGGTTTCATGAGCAGGACTGATTCCAGACCATGGTAAAATGGGGCTGCAGTCAGGTAATAGAACTTCTTTAGGACACACAGTAGGGATTGAGGTCAGCGGACCTGTTACTGGGGCATGGATGGGTATGTCTCCCACTGGGTCCTTGGGCAGGCAGGACTGATTCAGAGTCTGGATAGCGTGGGCCCGGAGCCAAGTTATGGGCTGCTTCAGGATCCACAGTTGGGACCTGTATCAGTGGGCCCATTCACTGGGGAGAGGTAGCGAGCATGACTCCTCCCAGGTCCCTTGGCAGTTGGGGCTGGCTTCAGGACAGTGGCCAAGAAGTAGATTTGGAGCTGAGTCCGGGTTGGGGCTGCTTTTGATCTGTAGCTGGGATCATGCTCAGGGAGCCCACCGCCAGGCCTTGGACTGGCCTTCTCAAAGTGTCTCCTTTTGGTCTTGGGCTTCACCAGGGTTCTACAATGTCCTCTCTGGATTCTAAAGCTTCTACAAAGGCAGTTTTGACTATGAACGGCTGCCAGATCGTTGGTTGTGTGGGGGCGATATGAACTGGGGACCTCCTCTTCTGCCACCTTGCTGACTTCACTCTGTGGCCAGATTCTTGATTCAGAAAATATCCATTTGCTCCCTAGTTTGCTGGTTTTTACAGGTGCCATTTTAATGATCACCAAATGTTGAAATCCTAACTGCCCATTAAATTCACATAGTTTGTTGCCATCATCTAGTTGGGATCTGACAGCCATCAAATGAGAGGGTAAGTGAGGTATATAGTGTAATTAGTTAGTGATGAATGAATGCAAAACAGCCCACAGGGTAAGTCAACCTCTTTGGAACCCAAATACCAACAGCAATGAAGAAACTCTCACCCTTTCCCTCTGTATCTCTTCTACCAGTAAGAGGCATTTTTTTGATGTTTGTTTTGTGGCCATTTCCATGGAGATCTTGGTCAACAATTTTCATGTTGACAGTGAAAATTCTGGGGCAAAATGGATAACCTACTGCTTCTTGTTTTATGCAGCGATCTGAGATCCTGATATTTAGAAATATGTGAGAGAAGGAGAAATTAGTTCATTCCAGTACGCTTGTGGGAAAGATACTGGACAACTAAATATTAGTGCTGTCTTTTATTTTGAAGAAAGCTCAAATGTCATCTAGTTATAAGTTGATAGAACAAACTCGATAAAGTACATTGGGACTGCAAGAATCACTTAGAGACATGAAGTACTAACTTAGCTTCATTACTGAACACGGTATTAGATGACAACGCTGCCACACCAGAATTGCCTTCAACAGGCAGAAGCACTTATTTTCCAGCTGCTGTAGAATGTTGGCTGATAGCATTTTCTAGCTGAACACTGCTCCTGAAAATTGCTCTTGGCTGGTGGGAGCCTCTGGAGGTTATGGCCTTTCCCCTAGGTTGTCCCACAGTCGATGACTGACTGATTCTGGTGTATTAAAGTCCAATCTCTTTGACTCTAGGTGGGATAACTCTGTGATGTTCACATTACAGAAATCCTTGTAGGATCAGTCTAAACCAGTGATATGCTGGAGCCAGCTTTCACTGAAGCTGACTTAACATTTCTTTTAAGGTGTGTTCAGTGACATTATGTGGATAATATAAAATTGACTATGGTGGAAATACGTGCTTACACTATAGAAATGGGCAAATACTAACAATCGGGGCTTTTTTTCTCTTTTCCTTCACCCTGAAAGCCATTTACCAGTAAACAACTGAACTGAGCCCACATATCTGACTAGGTTTTTCCCTGCCCTATCCTGCTTCCTTCACTTCTAATAGGTTTTACCTGAGAGCACAACCTCAACAATCATTTATGTTACAATTACTATTACAAAATGCTTCCAGAGAATCTGACCTATGAGAAGTTCCTACTTTGTGCCAGATGCCATACCACTTTATGTAATTGTGTTACATAATTCTTATAGTAATCATATAAAGGAGATACTACTCTCATTTTCTTGATGAGAGGTAAACCTTAGGTAGCTTGCTAAATGTCTCCAAAGCACATGTCCTTTCTAATATATCATAGTATGTCCTTAAGAGAACATTAGACGACCCCTACTGTGTTCTTCTGTTGACATGGCATTATGTAAAATATTCAGTAGGATTGATTATCCTTCCTATTGTAAATAGGTAGAGATTTTAATGATGAAAGTAAATCAGTTTAAGCAATAATGACAGCCACTTAACGATGTGCTGCAAATGAAATAGTGTACTTTGTTCTGGAAAAGATGATTTTGGTTTTCTGCAATATTCTAGTGCTTTGTCAAGACTGTCATTGAAGTTTTTGCTTTTTTTTTTTTCTTGAACATTATCATAAAGTTCAAATACTGTAATTTACCTTGTGGATAAGAAGAAGAAATTCACTGTACTTCTACAGAGATTGTAGTAAAATCAGGCACCACCCAAAATAATTAATGTGATCACCATTTTAAAGTAAAGATGAGTCTTTTCTCAGCCCTTGCAGTGAATGAAAAGAAATAAGGATGTTGTTTGCAGTTGTTATTTACATTCCATTTTTTAAAAACAAGATAAAAGGGAGTATAAATGAATACAAATTATATGGATTTTATGCCATCTTTATGGAAGATTTTATCTTTAAAATAACATATATATTCACTGCCTTACAAATTTGTTGAACAAAGACATGCTTGCCCAGTTAGAAAATTAGTGATAATAAATCTTAGCATTTTGTCAGTATTCTTTTTTCTGCTAGTCAACCCTTAGATATTTTGTAATTTTTTATAGAGTATAGATATGTTTCTTAGGAGTCTATTAGTTAGAAACAAATTGTTAAATATGTTTTGTATTAATCTCTTATCAGGAAAGATATATTTAAATCACTCCTCCATAATGATTAAATCATATTTTTGTGTCTTAAGTCATTCGTTATAGCCCAGCTTATCCTCTGATTTCTACTCAAATTTTTCTATTTTTTTCTAGTACTCCTGAGTCAGCCCAAACCCAAGTAATTAGATTTGAATAATTTTAGCCACAAATGAATTTAGCACATTTAGTTTCCATTTTTGCTATCCTACAATAAGTGATATACAGTTAAAAGTCAATTGGCCAGAATGGATTTGCAGAGAGTATTATATTCTTTGGACTTTTCTAGATATTATTTATTTATGTTTGTGATTGTGAAAATATGACAGGGGAAAAGCAGCTGTGTTCTGAAAATGTGATGTGTGTTTCCAAGAAAATTGATTTTATTGTTCGTATTACTTTTGTATCCATGCATTACATTAGTATTCTTTAATTGCATATCATGATAAAAATACTTTTAAATGTAATGATAGTTTTAGTTCTTCAATAATGTTAATAATAATTACTATAAAATATTAACAATGTTAACCTTTTCATAAAAGGACTGCATATCTTTTCTTTAAAAAAAAACACATTCAATAAAGCCAAGTGAAATCTTTGGCTCACAGTAAGTTTTTTATCTGTTTTGATTTTTTTACAAGTCTTTCTATGGGAGACACCACATTATGTTCTGAACCCCATATAAAATTCAGAAATTTGAGTGGTTTGCTGGAGGTCACACCTACTGGTAAACTCAAGATTGGTGTTTCATTTAAAATAGAAATATTATTTGAACACTTTACCTGCCTCAAAAAATGTAGGAAGATCATTACCAATAAACTATTATTTATTTTTTCTTAGTGGACTTTATAGTCTAAATAAATATTTAGAAAAAAATACATAAAAATATCTAACTTGCTCTGAACTCACCTAAAAATAAGTGAGTTGAGAGCAAGTTAGATAATATTTTTCTATACTTTGCTTGTATTTTCTCATTTTTTCTCTCTTTATATTTGGTAGTTTTAGCAAGTTGTCTGCCAAATGGGTTAGCAATTTGTGCTCCATTGTCAGTTTCTTTGAATGTTAACTCAGGTTGGGTATTAGCTTTAATTTTATGAATTAAAAGACAAAAATGTCTAATTATTAGTGAGGTGGTACACATGAGAACTTCATAAAGTTTGTCGGAAAATAAAATTAAAAGGTAAAAACAAATCATATAAATTTTATTTTCCAACATAAGTTTTATCAAGGTCAAAATACTTTTGTAAGTGATGATACCAGCCACTTAGTTCATCCGTAAAGAACTGAGTGTCCTGGAATTTAACCAGGTCAATATAATCTTTTTTTAAATATATTAAAACCCAAATGTCCAACAATGGTAGACTGGATTAAAAAAATATGGCACATATACACCATGGAATACTATGCAGCCATAAAAAATGATGAGTTCATGTCCTTTGTAGGGACATGGATGAAGCTGGAAACCATCATTCTCAGTAAACTATCGCAAGGACAAAAAAACCAATCACTGCATGTTCTCACTCATAGGTGGGAATTGAACAATGAGAACACATAGACACAGGAAGGGGAACATCACACACCAGGGCCTGTCATGGGGTGGGGGGAGGGGGGAGGGATAGCATTAGGAGATATACCTAATGTAAATGACGAGTTAATGGGTGCAGCACACCAACATGGTACATGTATACATATGTAACAAACCTGTGCATTGTGCACATGTATCCTAAAACATAAAGTATAATAATAATAATAATAATAATAATAATAATAATAATAAAAGAAAAAAATGCTCTGTTACACAGTGAATCAGGCTTAGGGGTGGACTTGGTTCTCTGCAAGTATGCGGTAATCGAAAAAATGCTAAACTTGAAGCCGTGGTACTTTCACTCAATATTGTTTTGGACAACATGTCAATAGATACATACTTGAAGCCACAGTGACTCCACTCAATAAATATATTGCTTTGCTTAAAAAAAATATATATATTATTAACTGAAGAAAAATGGGTGTCATTCACAGATTTTTTTAAGGTTAGGAACCAAAAAAGTCAGAAAAAGCCAAATCAGGACTTTAAGGGGGATACCTAATGATTTCCCCTAGAAACTCTCCCCAAATTATGCTTGTTAGCTGAGAGGAATGAGCAGGAGCATTGTTGTTGTGGAAAAGAATTCCTTTCTGGCAATTTTTTTTTTTTTCCTAAAGCTTTGGTAAATTTTCTCAGATTACCCTCATATTAAGCAGATGTTATTGTTCTTTGGCCATGTAGAAAGTCAACAAGTAAAATACCTTGAGCATCTCAAAAAATGTTTTATCACCTCGCTCTTGACCAGTTTACTTTTGCTTTGACTGGACCACTACCACTGCTTGGGAACTATTGCTTTGATTATGCTTTGCCTTCAGGATTCTACTGGTAAAGCCATGTTTAATTGTCTGTTACAAGTCTTTGAAGAAATGCTTCAAGATCTTGATCCTGTTTGTTTAAAATTTCTATTGAAACCTCTGCACTTGTCTGCTGCTGAGGTGGGCACCACGATTTTGGCAACCGTGAAATGAAAAGATTGCTCAATGTTACTTCTTTAGTCAGAATTGGGTAAGCGGAAACAGTTATGATGTCTGTGGTGTTGGCTATTGTTTGTTCTGTGAATCCTCAGTAGTCTTCAATTAGGGCACAAACAAGATGACTTTTTTCCTCCAAAATTGACATGGATGGTCTGCTCCTGCTGGCTTCATCTTCAACACTGTCTGTTCCCTTCTTAAAATCAGTTATCTATATGTAAACTTCTGATTTCTTAGGGCCATTGTCCCTATACACTGTTTGCAAAGCATCGAGGTTTCACCATTCTTCCACTAAAGCTTCATCATAAATTTGATATTTGTTCTTGCTTCAATTTTATTTTGCTCTGATGAGGGCTTTTTTCAAACTGGTGTCTTATCCTTCTTAGTTTGTAAAACTAGATCATATTCAGACATGTTATAATAAGTTAGTGCAAGTATTTTAAGGCAAAAAATTGAAATCCATGCATGGTTTATTCATGGTATGCGTTTTCCATGAACTTTTTGAAGTTTCTTTGTATTTGCAAGTTATACTTTCTCCTTTGACAATTACGATACTTTGCCACTGACAATCTGTTTTTAAGAGCTTTTACTGCTTTCCTTCAAATTCTAATCCTTTACTTACTAAATGTGAGATCTTGGGCAAGTCACTTAATGAGAGTGGGGTTTGGGATGATATTAGTATCTTCCTTAAAGGCTTTCTGTGAATATTAAGTGGGTTAATACATAGAAAGATTGTAGCATAATTTCTAGTACAGAGTGAATAATATATGAGTGTGTTTTCTTATCAGCTTTCAATGTTAAAGACTCCTTTCAGCCTTATTTACAGTTTGATATTTATCATGGAGAGGAATAGAGAAAATATTCAATTATAATCTCACAGGAATAGAAGCTGTGGAGATGGGGATTATTAATTAGGAATGGAGTAGCATTTTTCCAGTATGTTTTTGACAGTTGGCACTTGGATGTTTTGGGTTATGAATGTGCCAAGAGTTTGCAGTTTTTTATTATTTTGTCATGTAATCTAAAGGTAAAACAAGTGGCACAACTTTTTGAATAGATGCCTTAGGGCTGCTGATTTTGGTAGGATGCAGCCAGAAATCCAACAGCTGGAGCCAGGAGCAAGTGGTCACATGAATTCTTCATTCTTCATTTATTATTCATGGATTGGGAAGGACAGTAGTTCTCAGACTCTATGCATTGGAATCACCTGGAAAGCCCACAAGAGCAGATTCCTGGGCCAGGTCCCTAGAGTTTCAGATTCAGCAGGTCTTAGCTGGAGCCCAAAAAATTGCACTTCTGCCAAGTTCACAAGTGATGCTCATGCCGCTGGTCCTAGGGTCACACTTTGATGAACCCTTGAGTAGCATGCTCAAGCTTCTTAATTGCTCTGAGCAATTATGAAAAATAATTGAGCATATTTTCTCTAAAAATTAGACATCATTTTGGGAGAAGGGATATATTTCGTATTTGATTTTCTATAATATTTTAAAAGATAATAAATTCAGATATAAGTTCTAAAAATACATCATACATATTATATATCATATGTACACATTATATATCATACACACATGCATATGCAATGTATAAGGGATACAGTATTGATACAGTAATATTAAGTTACATTAACATAAATTGCTTTTATTTTAAAAGATTAAATACATTATATATACACACATATATAAATATATGTATATATACACACATATATAAATATATGTATATATACACACATATATACATGAACATACACACCTACACACACATATATATATATATATCTTTAAATCTGAAATTAGCCCATACCCATGGAACTTTAGGTATTATGCCCTCACCACCTTCCGACTCCCAAAATTTCTCTTCTTCACTAATTAGATGTCTGGACATCTAGTCATTCTGCATAGGTAGAATATTTGAGAATATCAATTAGGCAAAAAAAAGCTGATAAGCTGTGAAGAAAATGGCTTTCACATAGGCCACATATGTTATTTTGTGGAAGAGGAAATTAAGTATATATAGGTTGTTATTTAAAAACTGTTTAGTTTAGCAGCAAGTATAAAATTATGCTTTCTGAATTACACATATGTATATATGTGTGTGTATATATATTATATAGATATATATATTTCAAACTAGCTTAACTTTTGCATCGTTTTTAATGAAGAGGAAGTTAGAATTGATGGGAAGGGACTTGTGGAGAGACTACAGATATTGTAAGAATTTTGAGTGAGCAAAGGGCCGTAAACACTAACTGCCATTTTAGAATAACAACCTGTTATTCAGTGAAGGAACAACTTGGTTTAACTTAGAATTGGACAAGGAGAATATTGAATTAAAACATGGTACAGTGATTGACATACATACTGCTGGTGACTGTGTCAACAGAACACAAAACAGGTTACTTTAGCTTAAATGCATTCTATTTTTGAAGGAAATTTTATTTAAAAAATGTATACAGTGATTTTTTAAAAAAGGATCATTCTTACAATAACATTTCAATATCTATAAAGTTCCTTTAAATAGGACCCCTTTTATGGTATTGTATAAAAGAATCAGCGTGCAAACATTTGTTTGACTTTGCTTAGTAACTTATTTTTTAAAAACTAACTTCCAGGCCGGGCGCCGTGGCTCACGCCTGTAATTCCAGCACTTTGGGAGGCCGAGGTGGGCGGATCACGAGGTGAAGAGATCAAGAGCATCTGGGCGAACACGGTGAAACTCCGTCTCTACTAAAAATACAAAAATTAGCTGGGCGTGGTGGCGAGCGCCTGTAGTCCCAACTACTTGGGAGGCTGAGGTAGGAGAACTGCTTGAACCCGGGAGGCGGAGCTTGCAGTGAGCCGAGATCGCACCACTGCACTCCAGCCTGGGGGACAGAGCGAGACTCCGTCTCATCAAAAGAAAAAAAAACAAAGTAACTTCCAGGGACCACTAATTGTACTGTACCTACTATTAAAACTGTAGCTGTGGCCGGGCGCGGTGGCTCATGCCTGTAATCCCAGCACTTTGGGAGGCCCCGAGGCGGGCGGATCACGAGGTCAGGAGATCAAGATCATCCTGGCTAACACGGTGAAACCCAGTCTCTATTAAAAATACAAAAAATTAGCCGGGCGTGGCGGCGGGCGCCTGTAGTCCCAGCTACTCGGGAGGCTGAGGCAGGAGAATGGCGTGAACTCGGGAGGTGGAGCTTGCAGTGAGCCGAGATCGAATCACTGCACTCCAGCCTGGGCGACGGAGCAAGACTCCGTCTCAAAAAACAAACAAACAAACAAACAAAACTGTAGCTGTACAGACATCTGAGGAAATTAGTTATGGCAGGAGATTAAACCTGACATTTCCAGAACTATCAAGACATTTGTTTGAACATTCATAGTAAACCAGTGTATAAGGATTTCTTAGAAGGGCCAGTTACATGATTGGCTAATTACATGTTTAAATATTTCTAAAGTATCCAATTTCCTCAATTTCACATGCACGTCTTGCATATACAAGCACTAACCATGCCTAGTTCTTTAAGTGAGAATTGTTTCTTGTTGTTTTATCACGGCTGAATTTGTTTTCCTGGGTAGGGTATCTGATAATCCTAAATTCTTCTACATCCTCCATTTTTAACTGATAGGAAGTATCTTCTCATCTGTAACAAGGAATGACCTTCGTTTTACACCTATGAATAGAAGAGGCTTCAATGAAGTGGGCAGCACCTTGGCCATTTGCTGAAAGATTATGATCTGTTAGCAGGCTGTTTTCTTCTTCCTAACTCCAGCGGATTATTGACATTGGTGTTTTGGATGTCCAAGCATCTTTAAAAATCACCAACTTAGCTAATACTTCTCTAATGTATACATTTCTAAATTAACTCTATGCGTTGCAAAAGGTACAGAAAAGCAAATTTGTTACGAAATGAAGATGGTATATGGCTACCTAGGCTCATTCACCAAGCTCACTGACTCACTTTCCTGCCATATCCACTTTTAATACCCTGTACAGTATGAAAGTCAGAATATTGAATTGTTTGTGGAATTTCATGAGGCCATGGACTTTCAGACATTTCAAATTTAACTTGTAGGTGCCTAGAGTATCTTATACTTACGCAAACCTCCTTATATATAGGTAATTCATCTGCTTCCCCAAATTGCATGGATCTAATATAATTCAGTTTGGGTGAAGTTTTATAAAATAAAAGATTTATAAGTATACATTGCATTTATCTTGCAAATCATTTTTTCTTCTTTTATAAAATAAAGAGAGCTGGAATACATATAAAGCTTTAGATTTAACATAAAGTATTTTCACCGTAATGGGCAGTCATTGAAACAGTCTACCTTCTAAAGAAGCAAAGACTACTTTGGGCATCTCAACAGATGAGATATGCAGTTGAGCTTTGGAAATTATGCAGGTGGAAATAAATTGATTTAGTTAAGCACTTTATGCAATAGCTTTTTATTCACCAGACTTAAAAAAATTACTCACAAGCAAAATATGTGGAAAAAGCTTATATGTAAACTCAGTCTACACTGATGGCTTATATATAAATATGTAGATTTGCATTCAATTTTATATCAAAAATGAGATTGAAATAGAAAATTGCTATATATTTTAGCAAAATGGTTCTAGCTATTGTGCAAGTAAATTTCATCTAAGTCAAGGATAGAAAAGAAGTTAGAATAAGTGCATAGTGCAGCTTTTCAAATAATTGGGCTTACAAAAATTTTATTTCATAAACAGACTTTGCAATCACACATTTTGCCCATTTGCTTTTATTCATGTCACCTGCTTCATTTCCTGGCTAACCCCCAACACAGTGTTGGTGCCCACTTCAGTAAATTAACAGGAATTCAAGCATCTTCCTGTAGTCAAGCTCATGTAATTAACTCTGCATTATCCATGTGTTTTTAATTCTAGAATGTTTCCCTTTGCATCTATGCATACCTCTAAATGCCACCTTATCCTGTCAGCTGATATCTGCTTAGGGAATGAGATCTAATTTGAATATTTACCAAAGTAATGTATAATTAGCCTAGCTACTAATCTATAATGCAATGCATTTGTGGCCAAATAGAAATAAGCTTTTAATTGGTAGCATCTTTGCTCCTTGCTGTTAGCCTACATTATTGAGAACTTACTGAACCCTTGTAAATGATAGTATTTGGAGGCAAGTTGCTGTATTTCCTTTAGGCTCAGTGACTTAAAGTTTCTAAATCTACTGTTAGAGTTTTTTAAGCCCACACTGATTTATTTTAATACTTGGAACATGCTTACTTTTATAACTAGACAAATGGGAAGTTTCTGCATTCTAGTTATCTAGTCTTCCAATTACTAATTGCTTGATTCATCATTTTCTTCCAATCTGAGATGTATCTCTTGTTTATATTATGTCAAGATTATGTTGGCAGGTGTGTTTTCTCCCAATTAAGCAATGAAATAATGTAGTATATAAATGAATGGCTGACGCTGTGTGGCTGTTGCAGCAGTGACTGTTGGAATAGGAGCAAGAATTCCTTGTCTAATGATTCAGAAACTGACAAACATATTTAGTTTTGCAGTGCCTTCCCTGAGCCTTTATAGTTCTCAGGTGCTAGTGTTATCCATTGATAATGATTTTGTGTGCAGCTGCCTATGTTTTCCTTTTAAAGCAGCTCTAATGTATCTTTTCAATCATAGAATACTCTCTCAGTATTTTGGTTTGTTTTTTTTTTAATTTTCAGGTGGCTAGAAGAGCAGGGCATAAGGGGAGGGTGAAAAGTAGAGATAAAGGTTATTTGCCTTATTTGAAGAGTCACAGTAGATTTGATGCAACATCAAGAGAGACATTGCAATGATTTAGATTTATATGATGTGCAATATAGCTGGATACTTGAGATGAACTATTGGCAAATGAAGATTGCCAAAGGAACAAAATAAAGATGCAGTCATCCTTGGATAACTGTACTTTTCCTCAAGATTTTCATTCAGTTTGAGAATTAACATTTTTTTCTAAATATAAAGCAATAGCTACCTAGACAAGAGGTGTGAAACTTTAAAAGCTTGAATTGTTTCATGAAGAAAAAAAAATTTTAAAAGACAATCATTTTGGGCTTTTAAATGCCTGAGAAACTTTGATAGCCTTTTATATTCTGGAGAAAACAGGAAGAGAAACATTTTGAAGAGATGCATTCCAAGGTGACTCCAAAGCCTTAACTGCAACTCTGAAGCAAAATGCTTCTTTCTTAAAATCGTACGATTCATAATACAAAATGGAGAAACCATGTTGAATTCAAAGTACAAAAATATTATTTTTCAATTACTTATGTAATATAGAGAAAAATCATTTGTTACAAAAGTACTTTTAGGTATATTGTAATCTTTGTGAATTTGTAAGTATGATTGCATAATTTTGTTGAATTTTTACAATAAACATAAATTTTCCTTGCCAGAGCAGGATTTATTATTTTTTCTTCCTCAGAGATCCTTGTTCTGAAAGCAGGGTTTAATTTTATTTATGTGATGTTACATACTTATATAAAGCAATTAGTGATTAAGATAGTATTACATGTAAGAGCATTTTATACTGTGAAATAATGTGTGTGTTATAGATTCAAGGGGTTTTGCCCATAAGTACAAAGCATTGGCTAGTTCATAACTCTTTGTTATTTATTGGTATTGTCTGCCACTTTTCTGTAAGGTCCCCTTGGCATAGTAACTTGAAATCATTGAAATAATTCAAGCCTTAGAGCCAACAGATCTGAATTTGTGTGTGTATCCATCATTTAATAGCTATGTACCTTCATCAAATCACTTAATCCTTCTAAAATTCAGTTCCCTCATTTGCAATGAAGAATTTGAACTTCCTTGCATGTTTACTGTGAGAATTAAAATAAAAGTCTATAAAGGATATATGACATCACAGGGGCTTAATTAATAGTTATTAATACAATTATTATGAATGTTATTTTGCTTAGAGTATAAGAAGTATAATAAACTCTGTGGTTGGCTGATGTTGCCTGTATTCAGTCAGCTAGCAAATACATGTTTAACATCTGAGAGGTGCTTGACAGTGTCTCTGCAGGAAATCAAGGGTAGAATGAAATAAACATAGTAACAACCCTCATTCTTGGTTTATAACAACACCTTCGATTTATAAGAGAATTCCGTGTGTTCCCATGTGCCTTATGCTATGGGAGAAAATGAGGTAGTAACATGATTTCTGGAACTTTAACTCATAGATTCCATTTTTCTCATCTGAAAAATGGAGATGATATCCATGCCATGTATAGCTCAGAGTATTAAATGAGAAAATGTTTAAAAACAAAAGAGTCTCCCCAAATGTAAGTGACAGCACGATTATTTTCTGGCCATTTCCTAGCACGGTGCTGAGTCAAGCATACCATTTCCAATTAAGATAATTCACTCAAGAATATATTAGGTACCCAGATACCTACTATACTATTGTATTTTGAATCTTGAGATTATACAAAGTATAAAAACTTGATCCCTTCCTGTATTAGTTTTCTATTGCTGCATAACAAATTGCCAAAGAAATGAGATGCTAAAAGAAACATAAATTTAATACCTCACATTTCCCATGGTTCTGGCATGTTTTTAGCAGGTCTCCTGCTCAGGACTTTGTAAGGATCAAATAAAAGCTGTCAGTTTGTATGTGTCCTCATGTGATGGTTTGACAGGAGAAAGAGCTGCTTCTAAGTTCTTTCAGACTATTGGCATAATTTATTTCACTATGGATGTAGGACTGAAATCTCTGTTATTGTGCTGTCTCCCCGAGGTGACAGGGAGGACCACTCTTAGATCCTAGATGTTGCCCCTGTGGACCAGCCACATGGCATCCTCCATAGGTAGTTCATGACTCTTTCCCTTCTTCCAGGATAGTAGGAGAAAGTCTTTCTAATATTTCACCTTATATTAAAGGCATGAATTCGTTAGGTCAGGCCTACCACAAAAGAGATCACCTCTCTATATTTAGCTCAAAATCAGTTGATTGGTAACTTAATCATGGGAGTGATACCCCATCATCATCACAGGTCCTTCCCATACTCAAGGGAAGGAAATTAGACAAAGTCTGTGTAACAAAGGACACGGTCTATCTTTAGAGTCTTAGTAAACTGCTCGGATTTTGGTACTTTACTTTTCGATGACTGAATTTTTAAGGAATTTGTCAATGAGCCACATTTTTAATTGCATATAGATAAAGTTGAGGTTACGTAGAAAAATTCATCTTCCTTTATGACATGAGCATACATTCAGAAACCTTCTGTAAGCATTTCTATAATGCCAATGAGTTGCTGTGCTTGGTTGCATCTTGACTGGCTTAAACTGACGTGACAATTTAAATTATGTCTCATGGATTGATAATGTGGATAAAGATTTCTTAAACATGTTATTTACCATTTGTTTTATTTTTATTTTGTAATACAGCATCTCCTCTTACTTAGTCCATTTACTCTTGGTGTTCAAATATTTGTGAAATAAAATAATGAAGATTTGATGAATTAGGTCCCTGCTTAGCTGCATTTGTTTAGTTTACCAAAAAATACAAGGTGTTTGGGTTTAGGGTACAAAAGATCTGGTTTATGTTCATAGCTCTGTTGTTACCTTACACTATGACTAAAGAGAACCCATTGCGTTCCAGAGTCCCATTTGTCCATATGCAGAATGAGGCTGTAAACCTAGAAGATCCCTTTTGAGACAACATTTTATAATCCTCTTGTTATTTCTTACATAAAGTTTAGATTATCTTTTAGGGAAAATTGCTTTCAATATATTCGTGTAGAAATTTGACCTTCATAAGATTATTTGCATTGGAAAACAGGTCTGCAAATGATTATAGATTTCATATGATAGAAGTTTTTAAGATGTAGAGTACTAATCTACAATATTATAACAGAAGAAAATAGGTTGAATAAGTTTCCAAATAAAGAACGTAACTGCAAGATAAGTGATTTTAAAAGTTTGCTATGAATTTTGACCCCAGGAGACTTCTTTGGTATTTCGTCTCCCCAAGCAATAAACTATTATTCTCTGTTTATATTTCACATATTGTGTTAGTCCATTCTCATGCTGCTATAAAGAACTACCCGAGACTGGGTAATTTATAAAGAAAAGAGGTTTGATTGACTCACAGTTCTGCAGGCTGTACAGGAAGCATGGCTGGGAGGCCTCAGGAAACTTACAGTTGTGGTGGAAGGTAAAGGAGAAGCAAGCCCTCTCTCTCCTGCTCTGTCTTACCATGGCAGAGCAGGAGAGAGAGTGAAAGGGGAAGTGCTACACACTTTTAAACAAGGAGATCTTCTGAGAACTCACTATTATGAGAACTGCAAGGGGAAAATGCACACCATGATCCAATCACCTCCCAACAGGTCCCTTCCCCAACACTGGCTATTACAATTCAACATGAGATTTGGGTGGGGATGCAGAGCCAAACCATATCAGATCTTTACTGTAATTCACCCAGTGTATGTTATTTCAGGTGTCACAATTTAAGTAATTCAACTAGCCCTTTCTTTATTTTTCTTATTTCGTGTTGCAATGGAAATTTTGTGCCCAATGTTATTGAGCACTGACTATGTGTTGGGTACTATATTAAGCACCTTATATGCACAAGCTAATTTAATCCTGATAACTGAGTGGTTAGCTGCTCTTGTCCAAATTTAGAGAAAAGAAGCCCAGAAAGGTTACGTGACTTATTCATGAGGCGCAGCTATTAAAAGTTGAAGTTGGGATTTAAATCCAATTCTTGTTCCATAATTTTCTTCCCTCTGCCTCTACTATAATTTGGTGTTAATGTGGTATTGTCTTCATTATGGCCATTTGTTGATTTAAAAATTGACCATGAAATGTGGGTCTGACTGTGTGTCATAAACTTCCCCAATTTCTGGATATTGGTATTGACTAGGAATGGCAAGCTCCTTTAGGACAAGAACCTACATCTCAACCACTTACTTTTAATACTGGGAAGAAAGAAAGTATTGATATTTGGTGTTTATTCCACATATTGATTCTATAATTTCATCAAAAAGTATTTAAATACCTAAAATAAAGAAATATATTTAAAAATATACATTTTAAAAAAGAAATATTATAAACTTATTAGCAAATCTTAAATGTAAAATTATGAAAGATAAATGTAGAGCATAAATTATTATGTTGCTATAGGTTAGCATTGGATAAAATAAATGATCACTCACCAATAAAACTATTAAAATGAAGAAATTTTGATCAGGGAATACTAAAAATAAATAGTGTTTCATCATTTCTTCAAAAATCAGTCTTAAAGTCCATTGATGTCACTGTAGACTAACAAGTGCATTCTTTATAAAGTTTTCTAGCTGCTGTAGAAGTTCTTTGTAACTTGATACAAGTTCAGATAATGGTGAAAGGTTAGTTATAAGCTAATTCTGTGATGCTTTAAAAAAGAAACATAACTCTTGCTTGAGGTGATCTTTAGAATCTCTTTTGGGCTGGTGGTGGTGCTGTGAATAGAATTATATTAGTAGTTATAAAAAGTTGAAGTTATAGTGATGTAGTTTTCTATATAGAAATTCATTTCTGTTTCCCTTACTGTTGTTTTGTTTCTTCAAGTACTGTTGAAGATTTGGTTATATATTGTTTTAGCTTATTATCATTTCCATCTTCAGCTTGTTTGACAAGTTATTAAATCAAAGAGATGTATAGATATAATACATGTTGGTTTTTGAGTTGGCATTTTCTTCCTTTCAATGGAGATTGTGGAAGTAGAGAGAATGCTTTCTAAGCATCCTGTGTTAGATTTAGAATTTTAATGTAACATGTAAATGCCTAAGTGTATCTCTAGATGTAATGTTTAATATTTGATATATTTTAATATACACTGAGAAAAACACTACGATTTATTTTACTATGTAAAAATAGCACACAATACCAAATACTATAAAGTGATGTTGCAGTCACTATTCTCTTCAGACCCTAGCATGGTCTCCTGGAACACACACATGCACAAAATGCCTTCCTTCAGGTTAAGATAAAAACACAAATCCTACACTTTGAGGAACTTTCAATTAAATGAAACTCAAACCTCATTATTCTTATAATCACCATGTGTTCTTTGTTTTTGAAGGAATACAAATTCTTGACAAGTGAAAAAATACATTTAGTACTATCTTCTCTTTTATACGCCAGCTCCCATTATTCTGTTTCTAGAGAGAGCTAAAATTATGCAAACAGATTTTATTTTTTTAAAAAGCTGCAGATGGGCCAGGTGTGGTGGCTCACGCCTGTAATCCCAGCTCTTTGGGAGGCCGAGGCAGGCGGATCACAAGATCAGGAGATCGAGACCATACTGGCTACTACGGTGAAACCCCATCTCTACTAAAAATACAAAAAATTAGCCGGGCATGGTGACGGGCACCTGTAGTCCCAGCTACTCGGGAGGCTGAGGCAGGAGAATGGCGTGAACCCCGGAGGCGGAGCTTGTAGTGAGCCAAAATTGCGCCACTGCTCTCCAACCTGGGCGACAGAGCGAGACTGGGTCTCGAAAAAAAAAAAAAAGATGCAGATGTTAACAGACTTAAGAAAAGCCAAGTCCGTGTGATAGTTTTATCTCTGAAAAGTCAACTATGACTTAAATACTTTTATAAAGCACTATGGAAGCTGGTTTAACCAAAAAATATTTTTGATACAAGGAATCAGCTTTTAATATATCCAGGAAGTTACTGGTCTTCACATATACCATTTTGTCTCAAAGGGCCAGGCTGCACTCCCACATTCATTGCAGCACTATTCACAACAGCCAAGATTTGGAAGCAACCTAGGTGTCCATCAACAGAAGACTGGATAAAGAAAATGTGGCACATAGACACAAATACTATTCAGCCATAAAAAAGAGTGAGATCCTGTCATTTGCAACAATATGGATGGAACTGGAGATTATTATGCTAAGTAAAATAAGTCAGGCACATAAAGACAGACATCACATATTCTCACTTATCTGTGGGAGGTAAAAATAAAACAGTTGAACTCGTGGATATAGAGAATAGAAGGATGGTTACCCAAGGCTGAGAAGAGTGATCTGTGTGAGAAGACACTACACGGGGGAGGGGAAGCCATTTTAACTGGGTAGGGGGATGGTTAATAGCTACAAAAAGGCCTACAGGCCTACCTTCTATCCCATTCCCACAAGGTGGATTCACACTAATCTATTGACAATTTTGTTGAATAATTCTCTGAATGTGGGAATTAAATTTGTATGTCTATGATTCCTGTTATGAATCTCTTTCCATAGATTTACCCTACACTGAATAGTTTCTTAAGTCCCCAACCTATCTTTATTAACTTTAGGTAATATAGGTTGTAGTTTCTCCCCTACTTTTTACTGTCAGACCTAGGAGTTCCTTTGATTAATTCCACTAACGGTGGTATAAATGTTGTATTACTCCTTTCCAAGTGTCAACACTCTTATCCTATAAAGTACGTTTTTCTAACCCCTAATAAATTAAATGACCTTGCTAAAGTTATGACATCTTTTAGGCATAAAGAGAGTGTTACAAGAAATAAATAATATAAGCATACTCTATTAGGAAGAATGGTAAAAACTCTGGGGAAATAATCCTATTTATGAATCTGAGCCTTGTCATTTTCACTTCTCCATTCCTACTGCTACCACCTTAGTACATGACACCTTTGCCCTCTGTTTGCATTACAGCAGTTACTTCCTTTTTTTCTCCGCAGTTTCTTCTGTCTTAATTTTTAATTTTTGTGAGCACATGTTATAGCTAGCTACCTAGATAGATAGTTAGATTTATGGGTTACATGAGATATTTTGATACAGGCACGCAATACATAATAATCACATTAGGGTTAAAAGAGTGTCTGTCTCCTCAAGCATGTATCCTTTGTGTTTTAAACAATCAAAATATACTCTTTCAGTTATTTTTAAAATGAACAATTAAATTATTTTTATACCATGGTCACCCTGTTGTATTAGCAAATACTAGATCTCATTTATTCTTTTTAACTATTTTTTGTAGCTTTTTTTTTTTGAGATAAGAGTCTTGCTCTGTTGCCCAGGCTGTAGGGCAGTGTCACAATCTTGGTTCATTGTAACTTCTGCCTCCTGGGTTCAAGTGATTCTCTTGCCTCAGCCTCCTGAGTAGCTGGGATTACAGGAGTGTGTCACCACCCCTGGCTAATTTTTGTATCTTTAGTAGAGATGTGGTTTCACCATGTTGGCCAGGCTGGTCTTGAACTGACCTCAGGTGATCTGCCTGCCTCGGCCTCTGAAAGTTCTGGGATTACAGGCATCAGCCACCACTCCTGACCTTTTTGTAGCTATTAACCATCCCCCTACCCAGTTAAAATGGCTTCCCCTCCCCCGTGTAGTGTCCTCTCACACAGATCACTCTTCTCAGCCTTGGGTAACCATCCTTCTATTCTCTATATCCACGAGTTCAACTGTTTTATTTTTACCTCCCACAGATAAGTGAGAATATGTGATGTCTGTCTTTATGTGCCTGACTTATTTTACTTAGCATAATAATCTCCAGTTCCATCCATATTGTTGCAAATGACAGGATCTCACTCTTTTTTATGGCTGAATAGTATTTGTGTCTATGTACCACATTTTCTTTATCGAGTCTTCTGCTGATGGACACCTAGGTTGCTTCCAAATCTTGGCTGTTGTGAATAGTGCTGCAATGAATATGGGAGTGCAGATTTCTCTTCAATATAGTAATTTCCTTTCTTTGGCGTATATACCTAGCAGTGGGGTTGATGGATTGTATGGTAACCCTATTGTTAGTTTTCGGAGTAACCTCCAAAATGTTCCCCATAGTGGTTGTAATAATTTACATTTCCACCCACAATTTATGATGTTGCCTTTTCTCCACCTCCTTGCCAGCATTTGTTATTGCCTGTCTTTTGGATATAAACCATATTAACTGGGTGAAATGATATCTCATTTTAGTTTGATTTGCATTCTCTGATGATCAATGATGTTGAGCATCTTTTCATATACCTGTTTGCTGCTAGTATGTCTTCTTTCGAGATACATCTATTCAGACCTTTTGTTCATTTTAAAATTGGATTATTAATTTTTTTTCATATAGAGTTCTTTGCTCTCCTCATATATTTTGGTTATTAATCCCTTGTCAGATGGGTAGTATACAGATATTTTCTCCCATTCTATGGGTTGTATCTTCACTACATTGATTGTTTCTTTGGCATTGCAGAAGCTTTTTATCTTGATGTGATCCCATTTGTCCAAATTTGCTTTAGTTGCCTGTGTCTGTGGGATGTCGCTCAAGAAGTCTTTGCCCAGTCCAGCATCCTGGATAGTTTCCCCAATGTTTTCTTGTTGTAGTTTCATAGTTTGAAGTCTTAGCTTTAAGTCTTTAATCAATTTTGATTTCACCCTGTAGGTGGTGAGAGATATAGGGGTCTAATTTCATTTTTCTGCATAAGGATATTTAGTTTTCCCAGCACTATCGATTGAAGAAACTGTCTTTTCCCCAGTGTATGTAATTGGAATCTTTGTCTAAAGTGAATTCACTGCAGACATATGGATTTGTTTCTGGGTTCTCTATTCTGTTCCGCTGGTCTATGCATCTGTTTTTATGCCAGTGCTATACTGTTTTGGTTACTATAGCTCTGAAGTATAATTGGAAGTCAGGTAATGTGATGCATCCAGTTTCGTTCTTTTTGCTCAGGATAGCTTTGGCTATTCTGGGTCTTTTGTGGTTCCATATAAATTTTAGGATTTTTTTTCTTTCAGTTGCTTCTTAACTGGTCTTTCTTTAGCTTTTGTCCTACTACACTTACTTTAACACGGAAACCATAGACATTTCAAAAATGCAGATATATTTGATAATGGAATTATCCTCATAAAAAGTATCAAAGGCTTCTTATTTCCCCAAATATAAAGTACAATATCAGCAGTATCATGAATTATAAGTTCTTACATGACCTAGCTGGGCCTATTTCACTGTTTCAGCTAATGCCACTCTTCCCCTATATTACACACTCCATCCACAATAGCCTTCTAGTACGTTCTCCAGTTTTTCACGTCTCAGGGACTTCCACATACTGTTGCCTCTGCTGAAAGTTTGTCTACTTCTCTACTTCTTGATACCCCTCATTGATGTGTGTGTATGTGTGTGTGTGTGTGCGCATATGTGTGTGTGTGTGTGTATCCCTCATCCTTTAGGACTTAGCTGAGATTTCACTACTTGAATCTTCCCAAGATTAGATAATTGCCTAGTTATATGCCTTTTGTTTAGCACTTTTTAATTCTACTGTTTAGCACTTTTCATAATTTTTGTTAAATAATTAAAGTGTAAGCAGTGCTTGCTTGCAGTTACACGGATGAGACTCCAGGAGCAATAGTTGTCATATTGCTGCTATCTCCTCAGTGCCAGTTAGATGCTCAACCACTATTTGATAAGTGAATGAACAAATGTTTAAATAATTACTCTATAGTATTTAACTACCATTTTTACTATGGAATTTTGTACCCTGCAACTATGCTAGATAAATTATATAGATCCTAGGTATTTTATTCATTCATCAGTTATAACCTATTATGATCCAGCATTGCATTAAGTCTAGAAGTCAAACATAAAATAAAACCCTGTATTTTATTTAGATAGTGCTTTCTTCTTTTGGGTTTAGGCACATTGTCATGAACACACCATAATCTTTCCAGTGTATTAGTGATTATAATTGTTATGATACAGGTCAAATAGTTGAGGATTATTAGCATTGACCTGACCTGTATCTACAGGCTGCATTCCTCGTAAATCAGATTAGCTATCATAGTATTTTTGTGAATAATAAAAATTCTGGAAGTGCATCCTGCTGAATTATAATCTCTAGTGAAGGGGCATGCATTGATGGAGTTTTTGTTTTTAAATAAATACTACCAAGCGATTCTTACCAACTCTTTTAAGCACAAGAAAAACTGACCACCTGCTTAGGAAGTAGAAAAAAAAATTGCTTATTTTTTCACATCATACAATAAACAGTATTTTAAGTAAAATTATCTTTATTGGTGTAACAGTAAAGTTTATAACATTAATTTTAATAGCATTTTGTTAATACCTATAGCATAGGTAATACCTATAGCATTTTGTTAATATCTATAGCATAGAGGATGTCAACATTTTCTAATTACAGTATTTTAAAATTTACTTTTAATGACTTGTAGAAGAAAGGGCATAAATTTTTAAGGAAAGATTTGAAGATGGCATATGAAATTTGATTTAGGAGCTAAAATACATTAAAATACAGATATAATTTTAATATACTTCATATCATCAAAAAAAGATTAAAACTACTTTATTCTTCCATTTCCACTGAAATAGCATACTATTTACTTATATGTTCTGTTTTGCTTATAAATGGTGAGATAAGGGAGATTGCTTTATGATGTTTACAAAATCCTCTCTAAAGTATAATACATTTAGAATGTGTATAAACTTTGTAACGATATATGAAAAGCAAGAACAGATTTTATTCTTATTAAATACATATTTTAAAATATGAATGTTTAATATCAATTTCTATGCTATAGATACCTTAGAATGCTGCTATCTTGGGAATTTGCAGAATTACCATATTATGATTTGCACAAACTTATAAAAATTTCATAAGGTTTTCTTATGTTTTCTGCCTATCTGTAGTATTCATTTTGAAGATAATCTTAAAATTTAAATTAAATGTTAAAATATGTGACTAACATAAAAAAACTAAAATCAGTATAATGTTGAAAAAATCTCATTATTTCCAGGAACATTTTGGTGAATATGAAAGGAAGAAATGAACAAGTTCATTCAATAACCAGTATTTCCTACATGTACTCACCGGAGATGCACTTGGCATGTTTTGTCCAAAGTGGAAAACCAAATGCTAAAGAACATTTTGTTTTTGATTAAAGATAATAATGGAAACAGACAAGTTAGCCTTTTTCTGGCAGGATCTATGTGGAACAGTCTTACAATCTTTTGAAGGTTCACAAATCTCTATTTAGGAAATGTGAGTTTTAAAGAATGTAGAGGCTGGCCATGGTGGCTCACGCCTGTAATCCCAGCACATTGGGAGGCCAAGGCGGGCGGATCACTTGGGGTCAGGAATTTGAGACCAGCCTGGCCAACATGGTGAAACCCTGTCTCTACAAAAAATACAAAAATTAGATGGGCATAATGGTGGGCACCTGTAATCCCAGCTACTCAGGAGGCTGAGGCATGAGAATCGCTTGAGCCCAGGAGGTGGACATTGCAGTGAGTGAAAATTTCGCCACTGCAGTCCAGCCTGGGCAACAGAGTAAGACTCTGTCTCAAAATAAAAAAATAAAAAATAAAGAAAGAATGTAGACACCATCTAATTCCACTCTTTGAGTATTTGTATTCAGGTTCAGGGAAGAGGTTGGCTGAAAATCACTCTATAGCAGAGCAGACTCCTCCTGTCTTCCAAATCATTCCTTTTTTTGTTTTTTTAAATGCTGTCTTCCATGTCTTAAAATATGCATCACACAAATAAAAATCCAACCTCATCCTATCAACAGTAACATCATTGGGCTTCTGAAAAGAGCTCCTGGACTAGGAATTACCTACACTGGGAGAAATCCAACATGATCCTATTTATTTTTTTTTTGTATACTTTAAGTTTCTAAGGGCTGATCACTATCAGCTACTTCTCAACTCTCATTCCTTGGTATCACTCCAATATGTCCCTCATCTTCACAAGCTCTCAGCAGTTCTTACTTAGTTACTAGAAAATGGAAAAGTGACTACTCTCCCAAAGAAAGGTTTGTTACTCCTATTTAATGAATCAGTATTGGTCAGGAGTGTCTGTCAGGAAACCGAATCTGCATGGGGAGAAGTAAACAGAATCCCCATGATTTGTATGAAGGACTCCCAGTCCCAACACTTGACAATATACCAAGTACTATCTTCCGGTCTTTAAAGAGTACACAGCCTTCATGAATTCACTTATTGTAGAAGCCTCAATTATACTAGGGATTTAAGATAGAAGAATAGTTTTTGGGGAAATGCTTATTGCCTGCCCCTATGAAATGGTTCTTTCAAAATATTGGTTCAGTGAGCACATGCATTGATACCCTGTTGTCCATCAGGTAAAAATGACTTTGAGTTAAGGCTAACCTATTGTGTTTCAGGTGTTTTGTTGTGTTTATTATTATTATTATTATTATTTTCCTTATCCTGAGACCTTCAAATTTACCAGCTGTCAGCTTTTAGGCAGAATACACTTAAATTTTGACTTGTTATATAAAAGCGATTATTTTTCCTTTTGAGAAATCTTGTTAGCTATTGCCATAGTTAAATAAAAAATTTACTCTTATTGGAATTATCTTTGATTATTCTCCTGTGGCAATGAAAATTCAATACCCTCTTTTTCCTTTTAGTCCTTTGCCTTGCAAACATTTATCAAAGTATAGAATAGGTTTTGGACTACTGTGGAGTTTAGGGAATAACATCTTAGAATACTCAAATTAATGAGTATGAAACAAAGAGAAGCACTCCTTGTGAAGGACAGAGTTACAATGAACTTGTAAACATTTCTGATACTCATTTGGCATTTGTTGTGGTATGGTTTTTAGATTTTGTAAGCATAGACTCTTGAATGAAAAACGGGAATATTTTTAGTTGACTAATGAAAATGTATGAATTTCATATAAGAAATTACTGTATGTACTTAGAATCTCAAAAAGAGATATACCTAAAAGAATATAAAATGTAATGGTCTAGAACAGTGCTGTCAGATAGAAATATAATGTGAGCCTTGAATATAATTTAAAAATGTCTAGTAGACACATTTAAAACTGGTAAAATGAAACAAGTGAAATTTATTTTAATAATATATTTTTGATCTAGCATATCCAAAATATTATCTTGCAACATAGAATTAGAATAAAATTATTGGGAGAGATATTTTGTGTTACTTTCTATAGTCAGCCACTAAAATCCAGTTTATATTTTACACTTACAGCACATCTCAATTCCACTTAACCATACTTCAAGTAATTAACAGTACATGTAGCTGGTACCTACTGTGCTGGACAGGAGAGGTATAGAAAAAGGACTGGATATGCTAGCTGTGAGATTTAAGCACCCACATAATTTTTCTTTGCTTCAGTTTCTTCATTTATAAAAGACATGAGTTAGATGAATTGTTTATGCTGTTATTTCCAATATTACATTTTGCTACTCTAGAAATTTATGTCATGCTGCTTAAGAAAAGGCCATATAACATCTTCTTGATAGGGTTTGTGTAATGAAACGTGATAGCTTGTTAGAATAAAATACTGCAGTACTCTGTACATCATCATAAAATGCCTTTTATTTATAAAGAGGGTTAAATCACCTCTGTTCTAAATCAGAGTAAAGGATAATTTTGGCTCTAGACAATTAAATGATTTTATCAATACCCATACTTACTTTTCTAGACTTTTTGTTTTTTAAGGACATTGTTTAATGACAAAATGTTTTATTTGACATTATGTCAGCTTACTCAGATAACTGGATGTTAAGGGATCAAGTAGTGCATGTTCTTCAGAAACTAGAGTATATAGATGGCCTTCCAATGCAGAAATTTATTCTGATTTCAAATATATATTTAAAGTTAAAATATGCAGATTTTTCTTAAGCAAGGTAATTTGAAAAGTCAATAAATCAAGTTTGTCAAATTTGGATATAACTTGCAAAAATGTTGCTTATTTTATATTTTAACATACTGAAATTGTTCTCTGGGGCGGGGAAGATTCCTGTTGTGTTTGACTATTCTTAGAACTAAAGTTCAATTTCCACTATTTTCTTCCTTTCTCATTTATGCACATATTAATGTTCTTATTAAAATTCAGGAGACCTTTATTCTACCTAAAGATGAAAATCACAGAGGTGACCTTTTAATTCTGTGCCTGCTGCTGGATTGCTTGACAAAACAACTACAGTTTCTATTATCAAGATACTTGGAGGTAGGATAGGGATATTATCTTATTAATTATAATTTAGGTGATACTATTTAGGTGTTAATTCTTATATATAATGTGGGGAAATGACAGGCTAATTGATTTTAAATAGAAAAAATTTTCATTAAAATTTTGTATGAAAATTAGTAAATTATAAAATAGAATAGTTAAGAGAGGATAGTATATGGGAAAGTGTTTTATAAATTTCAAAATGATTTACAAATGTTATATATATCTTGTTATTTATTATATATAATAATAATAATACTGATAAAACAAATTAGTATAGGACATCAGATATATTTACCTTGATGTTGGCATCTTAATCAGGTGTAAAGCCTTTTGAATTACCCTACTCAATTCTTGAAAAAATTATTGTGATGATGATGAATTAATTATAATATTTTACTTTTAATGCAAATTATATGAGTTGTTTCTACAGGGAATAATTGTGCTATATTTTTTTCTATATATTTTGTTTGTCATTGTTGCCAAAAAGAAACAAACATAAGTATAAAAAACTATAAACAAAGATAGATATCAATATCCATGTCTCTCTCTCTCTCTCTGTCCCTCTCTCTGTCTCTCTCTCTCTCCATATATATATATATATATATATATATACACACACATTATCATATATATATGTTAATCATTCCTACAGGATTTTGATTTTTTTGTAAAAATTATGGCATATCTTATGACTTTTTTCTAAAATTATTTTTCATAGAATAGGTTATGATATATATCCAATAATATAAAAATAAACATCTTTTTCAAGTTTGTTTTTAAAGACTGAATTATGTTCATATGTACAAATGTTAATAAAGATATCCTAATCTACACCTTATTATATAGATATTTTTGATCTGCCTGTGCCACTATTAAATATCCCTTTGTTGTCAGCTCCACAGAAAACTTACCTATCACTTTGAACTTTAAATGCTAACAGAAATGCTCTGTTGGCAGTCTTTGTTAAGAAAATTCTAGAGTCACAAACATATACACTTTAACATCTTTCAAGTAAAGACTCCTTCACTTTTGAAGACTGTACTTAAATCATGTAATACATGGAAAAATGCATTAAATCTATATGAATTATGGCTTATATATCACTGTATGAGTTAAGTTAGTTGAACCTGATGAGTGAGCATAATATTACATTTTATAGGTAAGTATTAACCAATTTCATTTTGTACTTGGTTTTCCCTATTTTACAGCCAATAATTGGTTTATGTCTACAACCTTTTTATGAGTACCTGGGAAACTTTTTGGTGTGTAGAATATCCTTTTTTGGGGATACGATGGCCTTTGTCTTAGATCTTATTAATTGATTGTGTTGTCCTTGGAACACAACAGTGGTTAGGAACACAAACTTTGGAGCCCAGCACACTTTGATCTGTGCCCTGACTCTAACTTTTATAGTTACGAGGCTTTTGATATATTGCTCAGTCTGTCTAAGCCTGTTTCCTCATCTGTATAATTAAAATATCGTTAGTACCTATTTTATAGGAATGTTATATTAAGTAATACAACTAAGGCACAGATTCTAGCAAAGTGGCTGGAATGTAATATGTACTCAGTACATCTGTATGATCATCATTATTATTTATTTTGCTTATTATTACTATTTTTATAGTCATCAAGGGTTGGACTACCACGTGACTAACTAGGATATCTATTTAGGACCACATATAATCAGTTGCGATTTAGTACTTTCTTATAGTTTTGTGTATGAAGGATGGCTATAACTTTTAATAATAGAAGACAAAATCTAAAACAAAAATATTATGTGTATTTAATCCACTTGTCATGTCTATGGGGCCTAATACAACTTTGTAGACCTTATGTAACCTAAGTGGTTACTTAACTCATGGGCAAGGTGAATGAATCCAATGTAGAATTTAGAGTTAAAATTATTTTGTTGCTACAGACACTCTCCTGTGATTTGGGGAGAACAGTAATTTCTTGGACTGTCCTGTGGACGAGATAGACATTATCCAATTCCAGTAAAGTACCTGGTGATTGAGAGCAGAGAATCTTCACTTCATGAACTGCAAAGGAGGCTTCATTTCTCAGGTGCCCAGATTTGTAGGTCTAGGATAACATCTTAAAAGGCTCCTAGGAGCATGTTGGTAACTGGTGCTGGCTGAGAGCTGTTGTACACTCATCTGACTTTTAAGTTTAAATAAAATAGATTCTGTTTTTCTACTCTTGTAAATGTTTAGCAAAAATAGCAAAAAAATTTTTTTTGAAATATTACTATTCATATGGAATTCTTCCTCTTCCTATTCCTCACAATATTTTATTTAAAAAATAATGTCTATAAATCTAAACATGGGGAGATTCAGTGTTTCCATGGGGGTCCATTGGCACAACTGAGAAGCATAAAGTAAAATGAGTAACTATTTCAGCTGTCAAAAGAGAGCATTCGTTTGTTGCTTTTACTTTTCCCTTACAATAATCCTTTGATAATTTCCCAAGAGATGTCAGATTTGGAACTGCAATTTTCAATTGTCAGGAGTCTAAATTTCAACCAATATCATGAATGTCAACAAGAAGGCTGGACAAATAGAAAAGATGAAAATCTTATTTCATTTTCATGATTACCTTAACTGGGCTCAGAAGAATTTGTGTTTCATGTATATTCTTTTAATCTGGAGAGAAATATAAATAACTGTGCATGTAGGAATTATAATCAGCTGATGTTTCTTGTGGAAGATAATCTCAAGATAATAATTACTGAAAAGTAAGCATCAGAGGGATAGTAAGTTACTCCTAGATACATATAATACCATAATAGAAAATGTTGATATTATTCCTACTTAGCAAATATATAATCTAGTGACATTGAGTAATCAAATCAAGGATAAATAAATAATAAATTTACTAAAATTCTGACTTTAGATTCCATTAAATGTTATATAATTACCCATTTCTCCCCATCCCTGAAATTTCTGGGTTGTTATTTTGGGTGGATTAAATAAATCATAACAAGAATTGGTTTTCTTCATTATAATTACTAAAATATGTTTTCTTTATGATACTTTTTAAGATCTCCCATCTTATGAGAACATATGTTGCTAAATTAATTAATTCATTCAGTTTTCAGTAATTTAGGACTTGATCTGTGCCAATAACTGTATTAAGCTTTTGAGATACACAAATGAATCAGAAGAAGTCTCTTAGGAGACTTAGAGAGATGACAGGGACAGACATGGATATAGACAAGTACTAAATGACGGTTGCTCAGAGGGTTCGTGAAAAGGAGACCCTGCAAGACTGATGCTGAAGGGGAACTGAGGAAGGAATATTTCAGAGAAGAGGAACATTTGAACAGGACTTTATACTATATGGAGTTGGGTGGTAGAATAATGGCACTTGAGGACAGATGAGATGTCATAATGAAAAAGCATGATGTGTATCAGGAATGATGAATATCATTAAAATACATTGTGATGCATGCAAGCAGGGGTTATATTAGCAAAGATATGGGAGAAGAATCTCTCTATATATCAATCACAATATACATTCAATAAACAAAGACCTCCCATATTTCAATACCACTGTAATATATAATTAAGTTATAATTTAATATATCTTTAGAGTGTAATATAATAGGTTTTGTTACTTTTCTGTTTTGTTTCAGTATGAAAAGAGGGTGAGAATTATATGTTATTAACTATTTATTCAACAAATATCAAGAACCACCATGTGCTAGAACCTGATATAGGTATGTAGATATAGCAGTCAACAAAACAGAAAATTCCTTTTTCTCACGGGGTTTACATACCATTCCATGCACCACCATAGGAATCATCAGATAATGATTGACATTCATGGAACTAGTTTCCTTATGAAACTTCTTGTAAGAAGACCAAGCAGATAAAAACCAATAAGCAAACCTGTCTGTCATTCACTCACTAACTCATGAAACAAATATTTACTGAGTTGTATTTAGGAACCAAATTATATTTCCTACCACCTTTTCAGTTAGAAGGTGTTATAAAATTGCAGTAAGATCAAAATGATCATTAAGCCAAAGACCTCAAAAACTAGGGAAATAAATAAGCAGATGGGAGAATGAGAGTATATAAACTTTGGAGTTTATTTGGTTGAAGAAATTGTTTAAAATGTCCTATCATATTAGAGTAGACCTTTGTGTGCATCGTTTCCTTGTTCTGCCTTTTAGTTTATATCATTATTTATGAGAAGATCTTGAAGCAGCTTGGAAGAATGTTAAAAGATAATAATACTATTACTACTACTGCATAGCTGTTGGAATTACCTCAAAAACTTTGAATTGCTATGATTGTTCACTTGACAAAAGGATGTATTATTGTTCAACCAAAACTACTGTGCTCTGTCCTAAGAGATATATTAGTATATAATAATACTATCTAATAATAATACTATATTGCTATAAATAATATTATGTTGATGATATATTAAAAATATAAATAAAGCACACCATAGTGTAAGCCCAATGAATTTAATTCTGTTTTATGCCTACAGTAAAAATGTACTTATTATAATTGCTTTATGAATACTTTTGATGTTTATCATATTTTAAAAATGAAGAGAATTAAGTTTTAAGGACATGTCAGACTACTTCCAATAATAAATATGTTGATTGTCTAAGCCCTGGATCTGTTTTTTGGAGGGTGATGGTTAGCACACGTAGAGAAGAAAGCATTTTATAAAAATTATTTGCTATGATATCAGAAGCACATATTTCAGGATTTAAATCAGTTAAGTTTAACTGAAAGGCATATGTTAATATTGTTGATAGAAACATTTTACTTGGATTTTAGATTGATGAAAAAATTGTTTCACTGTTCCATGAGTCTTTCTCCTATATTGTGAGCATTGCGTATTCCAAAATAATTTTTTCAGATAAATGCAACTATATTCATTTTAAACTGAAGAACTGTGGATTTAAAAGGATTATCTTAGAATCACATTTGGAGTTATATCTATAGTGTAATATATTTGCCAAGGAAAAAATTAGTCTGTGTAGGTATTATTTTCACTAATATTTTACCTAGCAAACTAACAAATTATATTTCCTAACACCATTCCAGTTAGAAGATGTTATAAAATTGCAGTGTGATCACAGTAATCACTGGGCATGGAAGAGATCAAGATTTGTGTGACACTTAAGAGGCCAGTGCAGCATGGTATCTAAGGTGTAAAGAATGGTCCTCTGGCTCATGGATGCCTTTATAGTCATGCCTTTATGGTTTACTCAGAGTCGACTCTTTAGGGTAAGCCTTGGCCACAGTGTGTGTATGTTCTCTGATAGAAGAAGTGAGCAGTACCGGTTTTGCCATGAGCAGAGAGTTGTGTATTTGCTTTGGACACTAGATCCTTAGATAACCAAACCTAGATGGCGTGGATCATAGGAAGATGGAGGACTCAAAAGCTCCTAGGTGTGGTCAATCTTTGTGAGCTTGAAGGCAATATTGCACTCATTATGACATTAATAAAAGTAACACATTATTCAACTTTACTATGAGACAGCACTCTTCTAAGGACTGTAAATACATTTCTCATCTAATCCTCACAGCAACCATTTGACATAGGCCACCTACTATATGGATGAAAAATGAAGTCAGAAAGAATAAAAATAAATGGAAGTATTGATAATATATTTAAAAGGTCTTTTATTCATTGAGTACTCAACATGTGCCAGCATATAACTTATCTCATTTAACCATACACTTAATCTTTATGAGGTAGGTATCATTATTTTGCTATTTTACAAGTGAGGACATATATTTATAGAAAAGTTAAAGAATATTCCCAGGATCCCAGGGCTGGTAAGTTCTAGAGCTGGGATATAAACCCAGACAGTACCAGCTTCCTTTTTTTTCCAAGGAATGAGGGCTAATTTTTCTATTCCTTAGCATCCTACCTTGCCAAAATCCTATATTGGGCATTATATAAATATGAATTACAAACAGAAGACACTTAAGCAAATTCTAGTCTAATTAAAGACTGGGAAAAAAATTAAAAGATTAAGAGATAAGACATTTGGTATAGAGGTCTATGAGCGAGAGAGTCCCAGTCTTGGGAAACAGTGTGGTCTATGGGAAAACTCATAGGCTTTAGAATCCAGTAAAGCCAACTTTACATTCTAGTTTCATTACTTGCTAATTGTGAACACTCATGGGAAAGTTACCTACTATCTTTGAGCTTCTTTTCCTTCAACTGTATAATGTAGTTTCCAAGAAAATGTGGATAAATCAATATCAGCATCAATAGCTTCCATTTACTAGCGGCTTAATGTGTACCAGTCCTGGTTTCAAGAACTCTGCTATATTTATCTCATTTAATATTTTAACCCTTCAAGATAAGCATCATCACTGCCATACCACAGGTGAGTAACTGAGTCTTGTAGAACTTACCCAGGTCACCAGGGAAGCAGTGGAACTAGGATTTAACTCTATGTAACATTAAAAAGATTACTTCTTGGGCCGGGTGCAGTGGCTCACGCCTGTAATCCCAGCACATTGGTAGGCCAGGGCCGGTGGATCACCTGAGGTCAGGAATTCGAGACCAGCCTGGCCAACATGGTGAAACCCCGTCTCTACTAAAAATACAAAAAATTAATGGGGTGTGGTGGCAGGCACCTGCAATCCCAGCTACTCAGGAGGCTGAGGCAGAAGAATTGCCCGGGAGGCAGATGTTGCAGTGAGCAGAGATTGTGCCATTGCGGTGACAGAGTGAAACTCTGTCTCAAAAAAAAAAAAAAAAAAATCACTGCTCTTAATTATTCAACTAACAGCTTCCCCAAAGTAAATGCTGAATCTAACAGTGGTCAAAGTAGTAACTGTGGTATATGAAACCTCTGAGACAAGATTTAGCATATAGAGCGCACTCTGTAAGTTGTAGCTCAAATGATGAACTCATATATCTTATCTGTGTCTGAGAAGATACTTATGTTTGGAAATACATTAATGAATACTGCAAGGAAGAAGAATTAGTGTAATTTAACTAAAATTATATTTCCTTGCTTATTCTTTCAATTTTTTTCACCTTCTCTTACTTTCCTAGAAGAACATTAAATAATCATAGACTTTACGTAGAAACATTTTCATAAGGAACTTGCCCAATTTTTTAATATTATCAAGTGTGGAATTGAGGGTCAGAGTGGATAAGCCTTACCCAGGTCCAACTCATAATGCCTGAACTAAGACTAATGCTCAGGTTTCCAGATTTTTTTTTTGACAGTATCACACAACCTGTATTAATTAAGACCAAAAAAAACCTTGATAAAGAGTAATATGTTTCTTATAATAAATTGTTCAATCATACCAAAAATTTAGGGCTCTATTTCATAGAAATTTCTAAGATAAGTAATTGAAGAGAAATATGCATTCTACTCATTAAATTATTATTCTTAATTAACTCTTACATCCCTCACAAGAGGTCCTCATGAGAAGAATATCAACAGCTATGTTCTCTAACCATGGAACTTCAGAGTCTTACATGTCCTAAATTATCTGCTTTTTGTCTACTTTATTGTTTTGTCTCACACATTTTCCTGCTCTCCCTATGGTCTAATTAGGAAATGAGGAGGTGAGATGAAATAGGCATAGCATCCTTTCCCACCTTTTCCACTGAGCTTTCTTTATATCTTCCAGAAAAACAAGCAAGTACAAGCCTCTGTTGATCCAACGGGCACAAATGCACTTAGCTATGATAAGACGGATTTGGAACTACTAACAGGAATAAGTAGTGTAGAGGCTAAGCATGCAAATCATAGATACAACTAGATTTAACAGATGTATGTTAATAGGGCAAATTACACAACCTCATTGAGTTTCAATTTCCTTGTTGATAAGTAGTGGATAAACATTTATCTAATAGTACTTATAATACTATATTTGTCTCATAAACTTAAATGGTAGACTCTGTATACAAAGTATTGGGGACAAACTAAGTGCTAGAGTAAGTTTAGGTTTTATTAGTGTTAGAGTAGTATTTAGCTTGATAGGGCTTCTAAGAGTAAAATCATATCTTCTAAGCTATTTCTTGATATTGCTCTTTATTCAGGCCAAAACTATTAGAGGTTCTGCTTCAGTCTTTCATTCATGTGGACCCTCAAATTTAGATATAGTACTTCTTTGGTCTTTGATTTTTTTCTTTTCGAATAATTGGAGGAAGGTGATAACTATTTCATAGGATTATTCTGAAGAATAAATGAATTCATAGCTTAGGTTAGACTGTGATACATAGTAACCAATTAGCTGATGGTAGCTGCTATTATTTTATCATTATTTTTGTCTTTCTTAAGACAGCAAACATCTAGAAATTTCCAATGGTTTAATTTATTCTTTTTTTTTTTTTTTTTTTTTTTTTTTTTTACTTACCATAGGCTATTTTGTTGATTCCTGTTGAGTTAGATAAGATAGGGACTTTCTACAACCTAGAGAATATAAGAGGAATTTTTGGAACATCAGTGAACCAGGCTGCCAAATATTAATTTTGAATCCTGCAGCTATGATAATGATAAAATAGATCGATTTAGGAACAAATTCCCACATTTAAATGAAATGTTGTTACAATAAATTTTGTATGGAAAAGGGAGTACCTGTGTTCTAGGTTTGAAAATAATTAGGTGAGTGAATTTCTAATTGAGCAATAAAAACCAAAACAAGTAATACAACATGTGTAGTTGACCTTGTACTTGAGCTCTTTCTATCGAGTTATTGCATTTACTCATTCACTTGTTTATTCATTTAACTGAATATATTGAGTGCTTCCTATGGAGCAGGTACTCTGGATTTCTGGGCACTTGTTATTTAATAATGAACCTATAATTTAGTAGGAAAATTGGACATTAATAAAATAATCACATACATAAATGCTAAGTCTTAATTTTGGTGAGTATTACAGAAGAGAGGTGTTCAGAGTAAGAACAGCTCTTAAAAGCGGAAATTTGATATGATCAAGCAGGCTAGAGAAGGGCTTTCTAAGAGAGATGGATGCTTAGTATGAGATGTAAAGGAGTTTATGTGGAGATCAGGGTCAGATTCTATATCAATTCATTGGAATATGTCATAGGTCTTTATTGCTTAAAATCCCTGAATGATTGTTTTGAAGCAGAAAGTGAAGGAAAAACCTGTCCTAATGACTTTATTGTATTTTACATTATCCCCTGCAAAATGGAAAACTGAAAAGGTTGGAGGTTAAAACTAGTGTAAAATACCTGTGCAGTTTTTCATTTTGAAGAATAATGTAAAATACAATCAAATCATTAGAATAGGTGTTCCTTTTACTGTCTGTTCAAGACAGTCATGGGACATATCTTTCTAGGAACACAACGCCAAAATATCCTTACTCTTTTTGGTTGATGGTCACAGTACTTCATTGTCCAATTTCTCCCAAAGAAAATAAGGATTAAAATCCTAATCACTTTGTCATTTCTCCTTAAAATTTCAACCACATTTTTTTGTAGAATAATCTAGGTTTATTTTTGAAAGACACCTTTGTCATGAATTGAATTGTCTAAAATTTTTATACCAGAAATATATAGAGTTCATAATTAAATCAAATTTATTACTTATACAGTTTTAGTATAGAAAAGAGTCTAAATTACATTTTTGATTTTTTCCTATTTGAATTCTTCCAGAGTAATGAACACATTACCATAGGAAAGATTGTACACCAGGTAGATGATGAAGTTCTTAGGGATGAAAAAAAGTATCAAGGTACCAGGTAAAGGACTTATAATACCTACTATGAGACTTCCTAAAATGAGTTAATATTATGGCTGATCCTTTTATTGCCATCCTGGAAGGTGATGGAAATGATGTTCACAAGTGGCTTTTGGCCAGTGTATCACTTGTACCTAGATGCTTAATGTCAAAACTGGTACAACCCCTTACAAACTAATCCAAAGCACAATTTCTGTTTAAAAGGACTTCAATGCATTTTTTACTTTTTAGTGTGAACTTCAGAGTTCATAAAGCTGCATTTCCATCCCAGCTATTTTTTTTTTCATTTCTGTAGAATTTATTTATCTTTGGGTGCTCCCCAGGTGCATTCTTCTTTTTTTTATTATTATTATATTTAAGTTCTAGGTTACATGTGCACAATGTGCAGGTTTGTTACATATGTATACATGTGCCATGTTGGTGTGCTGCACCCATTAACTCATCATTTAAATTAGGTATATCTCCTAATGCTATCCATCCCCCCTCCCTCACCCCACAACAGGCCCCAGTGTGTGATGTTCCCTTTCCTGTGTCCAAGTGTTCTCATTGTTCAGTTCCCACCTATGTGTGAGAACATGCGGTGTTTGGTTTTTTGTCCTTGTGATAGTTTGCTGAGAATGATGGTTTCCAGCTTCATCCATGTACCTACAAAGGACATGAACTCATCCTTTTTTATGGCTGCATGGTATTCCATGGTGCATATGTGCCACATTTTCTTAATCCAGTCTATCATTGATGGACATTTGGGTTGGTTCCAAGTTTTTGCTGTTGTGAATAGTGCCACAATAAACATACGTGTGCATGTGTCTTTATAGCAGCATGTTTTACAATCCTTTGGGTATATACCCAGTAATGGGATGGCTGGGTCAAATGGTATTTCTAGTTCTAGATCCCTGAGGAATCGCCACACTGACTTCCACAATGGTTGAACCAGTTTACAGTCCCACCAACAGTGTAAAAGTGTTCCTATTTCTCCACATCCTCTCCAGCACCTGTTGTTTCCTGACTTTTTAATGATCGCCATTCTAACTTGTGTGAGATGGTATCTCATTGTAATTTTGATTTGCATTTCTCTGATGGCCAGTGATGATGAGCATTTTTTCATGTATCTGTTGGCTGCATAAACGTCTTCTTTTGAGAAGTGTCTGTTCATATCCTTCGCCCACTTGTTGATGGGTTTGATTGTTTTTTTTCTTGTAAATTTGTTTGAGTTCTTTATAGATTCTGGATATTAGCCCTTTCTCAGATGAGTAGATTGCAAAAATTTTCTCCCATTCTGTAGGTTGCCTGTTCACTCTGATGCTACTTTCTTTTGCCGTGCAGAAGCTCCTTAGTTTAATTAGATCCCATTTTTCAATTTTGGCTTTTGTTGCCATTGCTTTTGGTGTTTTAGAAATGAAGTCATTGCCCATGCCTATGTCCTGAATGGTATTGCCTAGGTTTTCTTCTTGGAATTCTTATGGTTTTTGGTCTAACGTTTAAGTCTTTAAGCCATCTTGAATTAATTTTTGTATAAGATGTAAGGAAGGGATCCAGTTTCAGCTTTCTACATATGGCTAGCCAGTTTTCCCAGCACCATTTATTAAATAGGAAATCCTTTCCCCATTTCTTGTGTTTGTCAGGTTTGTCAAAGATCAGATGGTTGTAGATGTGTGGTATTATTTCTGAGTGCTCTGTTCTGTTCCATTGGTCTATATCTCTGTTTTGGTACCAGCACCATTGCTGTTTTGGTTACTGTAGCCTTGTAGTATAGTTTGAAGTCAGGTAGTGTGATGCCTCCAGCTTTGTTCTTTTGGCTTAGGGTTGACTTGGCGATGCAGGCTCTTTTTTGGTTCCATATGAACTTTAAAGTAGTTTTTTCCAATTCTGTGAAGAAAGTCATTGGTAGCTTGATGGGGATGGCATTGAATCTGTAAATTACCTTGGGCAGCATGGCCATTTTCACGATATTGTTTCTTCCTACCCATGAGCATGGAATGTTCTTCCATTTGTTTATGTCCTCTTTTATTTCATTGAGCAGTGGTTTGTAGTTCTCCTTGAAGAGGTCCTTCACATCCCTTATAAGTTGGATTCCTAGGTATTTTATTTGCTTTGAAGCAATTGTGAATGGGAGTTCACTCATGATTTGGCTCTCTGTCTGTTATTGGTGTATAAGAATGCTTGTGAATTTTGCACATTGATTTTGTATCCTCAGACTTTGTTGAAGTTGCCTATCGGCTTAAGGAGATTTTGAGTTGAGACGATGGGGTTTTCTAAATATAGAATCATGTAATCTGCAAACAGGGACAATTTGACTTCCTCTTTTCCTAATTGAATACCCTTTATTTCCTTCTCCTGCCTGATTCCCCTAGCCAGAACTTCCAACACTATGTTGAATAGGAGTGGTGAGAGAGGGCACCCCTGTCTTGTGCCAGTTTTCAAAGAGAATGCTTCCAGTTTTTGCCCATTCAGTATGATATTGGCTGTGGGTTTGTCATAAATAGCTCTTATTATTTTGAGATACATCCCATCAATACCTAATTTATTGAGCGTTTATAGCATGAAGGGCTGTTGAATTTTTTCACAAGCCTTTTCTGCATCTATGGAGATAATCATATGGTTTTTGTCTTTGGTTCTGTTTATATGCTGGATTACGTTTATTGATTTGTGTATGTTGAACCAGCCTTGCAGTCCCAGGGATGGATGAAGCCCACTTGATCATGGTGGATAAGCTTTTTGATGTGCTGCTGGATTCGGTTTGCCAGTATTTTATTGAGGATTTTTGCATCGATGTTCATCAGGGATATTGGTCAAAAATTCTCTTTTTTGTGTGTGTCTCTGCCAGGCTTTGGTATCAGGATGATGCTGGCCTCATAAAATGAGTTAGGGAGGATTCCCTCTTTTTCTAATGATTGGAATAGTTTCAGAAGGAATGGTACCAGCTCCTCCTTTTACCTCTGGTAGAATTTGGCTGAGCACCAAGCGGACCTAATAGACATCTACAGAACAATCCACCCCAAATCAACAGTATATACAGTCTTCTCAGAACCACATCTCACTTATTCCAAAATTGACCACATAGTTGGAAGTAAAGCACTCCTCACTCAGCAAATGTAAAAGAACAGAAATTATAACAAACTGTCTCTCAGACCACAGTGCGATCAAACTAGAACTCAGGATTAAGAAACTCACTCAAAACCGCTCAACTACATGGAAACTGAACAACCTGCTCCTGAATGACTACTGGGTACATAACGAAATGAAGGCAGAAATAAAGATGTTCTTTGAAACCAATGAGACCAAAGACACAACATACCAGAATCTCTGGGACACATTCAAAGCAATGTTTAGAGGGAAATTTATAGCACTAAATGCCCACAAGAGAAAGCAGGAAAGATCTAAAATTGACACGCTAACATCACAATTGAAAGAACTAGAGAAGCAAGAGCAAACACATTCAAAAGCTAGCAGAAGGCAAGAAATAACTAAGATCAGAGCAGACTGAAGGAGATAGAGACACAAAAAATCCTTAAAAAAAAATCAATGAATCCAGGAGCTGGTTTTTTGAAAAGATCATCAAAATTGATAGACCGCTAGCAAGACTAATAAAGAAGAAAAGAGAGGAATGAAATAGATGCAATAAAAAATGATAAAGGGGATATCACCACCGATCCCACAGAAATACAAACTACCATCAGAGAATACTGTAAACACCTCTACACAAATAAACTAGATAATCTAGAAGAAATGGATAAATTCCTGGTCACATACCCCCTCCCAAGACTAAACCAGGAAGAAGTTGAATCCCTGAGTAGACCAAAAACAGGGTCTGAAATTGAGGCAATAATTAATAGCCTACCAACCAAAAAAAGTCCAGGACCAGATGGATTCCCAGCTATGAAAATTTAAATCTGTGTGACTTTGGCAGGTCACTTACTCCATCATAGTTTCTTACATTTTCCTGTCATTTGTGACTGTTTAAATATCATAAAATTATTGTGAGAAGAAAATGAGTTAATGTTTGTAAGTTGTTTATTACAATGGTTGTCACATAGAAATAATAAACTATTTTTCTTATTATGAAATACATAAAGACATAGCATAGTCTCACTTTATCTGCTGAGCACTTGCTTGTTCATCTTCTATTTTTCTGAACTTTTTTCTTATTTACTGCACTACAGGGTGTCTTTGGTAAAGGACCATATGTCCTTTCATTTTGGTAGGCATACTTTGCATATCTTTCGTTGCTTATATGTTCTGGAGAAGACCTGTAGGCAATGGAGCTCTTTAAGAGTAAGATAAAGGCAAGGATTTCTTTAACCTAGATTATATATGGCCATAATTTTGAAAATATTTTCCATAGGCTTCTCACCTTTAGAACAGAATATATGATATTGGCCTACTTTAGGTAAGCTAGTATGTAGAGAATCTATCAGAGTTTCATGATACCCTTAATAGCTGAAAATGTGTATATCTAGATATTAATATCACAATGTCTATAAATAACTATATTTTATAGGAATCACTGACCTATTTTATAGACAAGCTATATGCCTTTTAGCAGACATTTTCTCCTTTGATATGTGAGTTCTCATTGTTTCCTTTTATTAATAGATATTAGGTGATTGATTCATAGAAGGACAAATTGAACTAAAATTACCTCCTTTTATTTTTCACCATTTGTCCTTGGTTTCATTTTCAATATACCATAAGTAGAAAGAAGGAATACAAGGTGAGAAAGAATTTATGTGGTGCTTGTCTTCCAGCTCATCCACAGAGCACATCTACCGTAGCATTTTTTTTTCATGTCAACATAGATAGTCCTCTGTCTATACCCAAATTAGGAACAAGACGGAATCATGTACTGGTTTATTAGTTGGATGATGAAAGTCATATCTGGATTTGTACTCTCGATCTTTTAGTTGTGTAACAAGGTCATTTGTAAAATGGGGATTTAGTATAATGCTTCCTACTTCATAGGTGTGATATAATGATTTAATGAAATAATTACTCTAAAGCACTTATGCAGCTTCCTGGGCCTTCTAATAATTGTTAAAAAAAATTCAGCCTTGATCCTAGGAATTGGAGCATCTTAAAATCACAGGTGATTCTGATGCAGGTAGTTGGGGAAACATTCTTTAAGATAATGGGACAAATTGCTCTTTGCCAGTCACAGAAGCCATATGTCTATTTTTGTCCACCTGGCTTAATAACTTTCAGAATAAATGAGTACTGTAAACTTAATAGAACATAAATTATAATTTTGATTTGACAAGCACTTGGTTGGCATATATGTGTACGTATATCCGAATGTATATGAATGAAACACACTTTGAGAACTGAAGCTGAGGATTTTGTTAAGAAATGCTGTACTCTTATTTCCCGAAAACCATAGGAGATGACTAATACCAATGTCAGTGAAAGTTGTGACTCAAGGTTTATTCAAGGTTTATTCAAGTCAAAGAGTAGAAGAATTTCTTAAGAATAATTGTGTGCTGGCAGACATTTTCAGGCTTAAGACATTTCATTTTCTAATTTACAAACATGAAATATAAGATTTTTATTACTAGTGTGGTTAGTCATGCTGCTCCAGATGCTAATTTTCATTTCCTAAACAAGTTATTAAAGTGAAAAATCAGTTCTCCAGATTTTCATTTGGTGGCTGTAATTTCAATCCATTCAGCACTAACTAAATGAAAACCACTCTGCCTGTAGCATACTTGTTCTTTTCCTTCTGCCTCATGGTTTTACCCTACAGGTTCTCTCTAATTGCTGCTCCTTTTCTAGTTTTTACATTTTCTTCTTTGCTCCTTAAATATTGGTAAAAGGAGTTTATTCCTATCAAAATTAATGTTAATAATCATCAGTTAAGTATATGCTTACTGCTGAAGAAAGACTAAAGGAGTTTTCAAATCTGTTCTTTCTGTCCCATGCACATGTAATCCTCTAGTACTCTGATTGTACAAAAGCAATCATTTGGATATTCAGAATTTAGATTCCTTTCCAGTATGGTCTTTCTTAATTCTTAATTCCAATTCTTTGGGATCTGATAGATGCTGCTTTTCTTCAGTTACATTTTTCTTCTCTCCAGGCTTTATATTTATATCTAGGTTAGAACTATTTTTTTTTAAATAATTCTGTGTGCCTGTGATTGGTTGATATGTTTCCCCACATTGTTTCATTTCATGGCATGTCAACACTGTTATTATTCATCTGCTCTTAAAAGCCCTGCTCATGAAGGACTGTAAAAAAATTATTTCATGGTCTTTACAACAAATTTATATTCTGTTTCAGTTTTTGTTTTACTTTGATTTTTGTGTCTTTGTTAAAACATAACTAAAATCTTAATGTTGTTCAATTTTGCTTTGTTTTATATTTAAGCTCAATGCAAAAGACATTTGTTAATTTGATTTAACAAGCAGTAAATATTCGTTGAATGTTTAATAAAGTAGCTATAGAGAATAATTCCACAAATAACTTCTTTGCTGTCTTATAGCCTATTGTAGGTTGTATCTGATCTCATTTTTCTGTGTCATATTGACATGAATAGCTATAAATTCAGGACATTTTCTGAGAAGTAGTACCTTGCATGCAGCACATTTCAAAAAAGTCACTTGAGCATAGATTTAAACTCTAGATCATATTTGTTTCTTTCCACTAGTTTTCAGCTTCATGATTTCTTTTTTTTTAAAGTATAGATTAATGTAATCATGAAGTCAATTTATTATCTAAGAAACCTTAATGCCAACATTTTTTCCCTTTTGCAATGATTGTGTAACACAAATAATATTAGATATAAGATTCACATTTGATAGGTAGTTTTTAAAAAAATAAGTAAAGCGATATAAAATACTTTCCTTGGTTTGTTTGCCATTTCCTTATGTTTGGAAGAGCATGGCAATAAATACTTTGTATATCTACCACCACCAGACATTGATAGGAATCAGTAACCATAGTAGGAGGAGCATGGTATTGTAGTCTACAGCAGTTAAAAGCAAAGGCTATTCAGCTTGGTATGGCTTCCTTTTTTGTAATTTATTTTAATTCTTAACCAAACTTTTATATAGCACTTGCTAACTTCCATACATTATTCTGAACACATTTTAAATATTGCCTATCCTTATTACCTCTTTAATTATAAGGAAACTGAGGCATAGAAAAGTTAAGTGGCTTGTCCAAGGTAACAGAAGAAGTGACTGAGCTAACCAAAATGTTGTGTTAGGTTGGTAGGATTAGAATCCTAACCCTGTCCCTTACGTTGTGTGTCTAAAAGGGCAAATTTCTACATCTTTCTGAATTTATTTTATATATATATATTTATTTATTTATTATATCTATTATATACAATTATATATAATATATATATATGTAATATGCTTTCATTTCCATCTATTCAGCACTCACTAAATGAAAACCACTCTGCCTATACCATACTCATTCTGTTCCTTCTGCCTCATGGTTTTACCCTACAGTTTCTGTCTAATTGCTGCTCCTTTTTCAGTTTTTATATTTTCTCCTTTGCTTCCTAAATATTGGTAAAGAGAGTTTATTCCTATCAAAATTATGTTAATAACAGTCAGTTAAGGAAATGCTTGCTGCTGAAGAAAGGCTAAAGGATTTTTCAAGTGTGCTCTCCCTGTCCCATGCAAATATATATAGATAATGGAAATAATCATAATAACCTTATTACAATGTTGCTTTGTAATGAAATATACTTAGATATACTTAGTCAAGTGTCTTCCCAGAACATAGTGTCTTAACGAATGTTTTTTGATTGGGTTTAGTAGCTCACACCTGTAATCTCTGTGCTTTGGGAGATCAAGGCGGGATGACCACTTGAGGCCAGGAGTTTGAGACCATCCTGGGCAACATAGCCAAGCCTATCTCTACAAAAACAACGAAAATTAAAAAAAAAAAATCAGATGTGGTGGTGCACAGAGAGGCTGTGGTGGGAGGATTACTAGAGCCCAGGATTTGCAGGTTGCTGTGAGCTGTTGATTGCACCATTGCATTCCGGCATGATTGACAGTCAGACCGTATGTCCAAAATATAAAAAAAATAAAGAATATAGCTTAGCATTCATGTAGCATGGAGGAGAGTTACCACTACCACTGCATTAATTAGATTTTGATGTAAGGAGCTTTCTTTTTGGTTGACACTCTATTGCCTTTTTTGTTCCCTTTTTTGTTTTCTGCTAGCCTTTGCTAACTCAGTGCCCTTATATGGCCCTTGTCTCTTCGAAGCATACAACTGAAATGCCTCTTTTCCTCTTAAAACACCAGGATTTTAAATTTACCCTTATGCGAATTCTTCTCAAATTAGAGATCATTTTGCCAATGAGATGAGTATTTATTAATCAAAGCAATAAAAATAAAGTTATGAATAGGCTAAATCTGTTTATGCATTTATGCCTTTGAAGAAGAAGAATTCGAAATAAAAGAAACGGTATTGTGGGGAGGGATTTGAGCAGAGGATCTTATTAGTACCAAATTAAAAAAATTAAAGCTATTACATTATTTCAAAATGCACTCCTCCAATCACAGTATATCCATCTGAGATATATTTTGGCCAATGTAAACTTCTTCATGAAAGAATGAAAAGAGAATGTTTATAAAATTGAATGTTCTGGCATTTAAACCTTGGATGTCACTTATTATTCCATAAAGGGGGACAATTGCAGTTTTTTAACAAATCACTTTGAGCAATTCAGTTCAGGATTTTTGGACGTACTTTTGAGTTTATTTATTAATGTTGTTAAATTTGAATATAATGAGTAGAATAGCCTGAATCCTGCAATTGTGTTTTCAGAACTAAGTAATCTTAAATCACAATTATGAATGCTAGTATAAATTAAGAATGCATTTTTCAAAACAGACAATACAATTCCAGGTATCCACAGCTAGTTGACGAAAGCACATAAAATTATGTGTATTTATGAATATGATAATGAAGTTTGAAAGTAATTTAAAAAATGGGCCTGGCGCGGTGGCTCACGCCTGTAATCCCAGCACTTTGGGAGGCCGAGGCGGGCGGATCACGAGGTCAGGAGATTGAGACCATCCTGGCTAACACAGTGAAGCCCTGTTTCTACTAAAAATACAAAAAAAAAAGCAAATTAGCTAGGTGTGGTGGTGGGTGCCTATAGTCCCAGCTACTCGGGAGGCTGAACCTGGGAGGCAGAGGCTGCAGTGAGCTGAGATTGCGCCACTGCCCTCCAGCCTGGGCGAGAGAGCGAGACTCTGTCTCAAAAAAAAAAAAAAAAAAAAAAAAAGTAAGTAATTTTAAAAATCAAGAGCATGTGTAACTTATGTGTTTAGCAGAAAACAAATACAGACAATGATGAAATCTGATACATGCTATCCTCATTTGTAAACCTATGGATGTGCCATTATCTCCATCCGTCCCAGGATGTCCTTGAAGTTAGCTGGACTATTGATGAGAAGATACAGTCTATATTACAAGAAAGTGAAATTATAGTACTAAATGAATACATGAATTCAGAAAAGGAGCCAGAGGAAGGATGTATGAAAATTAGTGTCACTAAAGTAATTTTTATTAGCCCGTTTGTGGGTTCTTTTTATGCAAAATATAATTTTTATTCAATGATACATGTATTTTAAATATTGGCTTCTATGTTATATCAATAGATAAGACATCAATATATAATGATGATAACATTTGATCTATTGTCTCTGTTGATTGACTTCATTTAATTTACATATTGATACATTTATGTAGATTTATCAAAATAAGATTCTGTTTTAAGACTGCTAGTTTTATTCCCAGATTTATGCATGCATCCTTGTTAAAATATAAGGCTACTTGGATAATAAAATGTTCTTTATCTTTCTTGGAACAATTGATTAATAATAACTTCACAAAGTCTCTTTATGATTCTTTATAGAAAAAAATCAAAGTTTGATTTTTAAAGAAAAATTGTGAAAATCCAAGATGTATCATATAGTCATTTAACTCTGAGTATTTTTCTGAATGGTAGCTTTCATAGTTATAGGCCCTTTCTGTACTAAGAACAGGGTATTTAATTTTAAAATACTAAAACTTCAAATAGTCACAATGATTGAGGCACTGCGATATCCAACTTGTCAAATAAACATTTGTGTTTGGTGTATTTGCCAGTAACTCAGACTAATTGATTTCAAGAAGCTTTTTAATAGCAAACACTGAAGCCAGTAAGATTAACCACAAATTATCTTCCATTTTAAACTAAGAGTTGGAATCTCTTTTCTGTAAAAGACTGGACAGTAGTATTTCGAGTATGTGGGGCATATAGTTTCTGTTCCAACTATGGAACTCTATTGTTATAGTTTAAAAGCAGTCATAGATAATAAATAAATGATAAGTTTGGTTGTGTTCCAATAAAACTTCATTTGTTGACGCTTAAATTTGAGTTTCTTGTATTGCAAAATACAATTCTTTAATTCTTTTAACCATTTAAAATTTTATAAACATTTTTAGCTCATAGACTATATGGAAAACAGGTGGCAGGTTGAATTTGTCCCGTGACTTTAGTTTGCCTTCTCCTGCTTTAGACTAAGGGCACCTCAAAGGCAGTGAGATGTACCTGTTTTTTTCCCCCATTACTTAACACATAATAGGTACTCTGCAAATGTATGGCAATACATTATCTGAACGATGTCTTTAGTTACAAATCTAATTTTTATTTTGTTCTAATATCAACTTTATCTTAGCAAATGAAACATATTTCCATGTTAATTAAGGAAAAGAGCATGGAGATATGTATGGGTCTGTATGTATATATACATATATTTTTTTCTTTTCTAATAGTTCACTTTCTAATGGAATAATAGATTTATACAACGGTTGTTTAAAATACAAGATTGTAGATAAATTCAGGGACACAGATATTCACAAGGATGGGGTTGGAGGGGGGTTCTAGCCAAGCTGTGACATGTGGGGTGTGTGTGTGCCCATGGGAGATAGGAGGAGAGAGGGAGAGATGGAGGGAGGGAAGGAGGGGAGGGGAGAGAGAGAAAGAGAGAGAGAGCGCTAGAGAGCTGGAGACCAAGCAGGAGCACATGCCCTATGTGACTATTTCAATTTCAATGAATTAAAACCAAAAGAAATTAAAAATTCTGTTGCTCAGTTGTACCAGCGACATTTCAAAAGCTCTATGGCCATGTGCACTAGTGGCTACCGTATTGGAGAGAGAAGAGGAGACAGAGAAGAAAGAGAAGACAAGAGAGGGAAAGACAGGATGACAAGATGGGGAGATGTGATGATAAGAGGGGGAAGAAGGGCTTCCTGGCTGAGGGGATTCCCAATTATTTAGGACTCTTGATATATATATATATATATCAAAGAGAGACATATATATATCTCTCCCCTAATTATTAGGATCCTTGAGATATTTGTGTATATTATCCTTAATTTTCTTAATATAAAATACACATATAATTAAACAGCTTTATTGAGATATAATTTATGTAGTATAGAGTTCATGTATCCTAAATATATAATTTAGTGTTTTTAGTACATTTACTGAGTTGTGTGCATCCATCATCATAATTTAGATAATCATAATCTAGTTTTTGAACATTCCCATCATCTCTAAAAGGTCTTATGTTTCCATTCGCTGTCGTTCTATTTATATGTATTAAAAATGATCGATTAATATTAGCTTCTATTCTATTACATATATCAAGAAATCAGAAGACAAATTTAGTCTTTATGGAGATATATGCAGGGCTTGTGCTCTTGGAACTTTGCAATTATTAACTTATGTAGCCCTCATTCAATATATATAATGTGGATGTTTTCATTATTATCTACATTCCTTATCTATTGATAAGGAAACTGAAGTAACTTTACCAAGTTTGCCCAACTTTCTAGTGGAGGCACAGGGCTTTAAACTGATACACTATGGCTTCAGAATCCATGATTTTAATCACTCTATTTTAGAAGCCATTGCTAATACTTGCAAGGATAATAAAAAGGTTTCTTCTAAGGGGCAGTTGTAAATTAGCTTTTGACTTACAATTTTAGGCATGTAATCATTTTCATCAGAATCATAACTTTTGTCTCTCTTTTATCCTACCTAAGTCAGAATTGAGAGCATAAATATACTAGGATTTTAGGTGTGTAGTTTCAAATAGTAAGTAGCAGGTAGTTACTCTGCTACTCAGGGTATGTGTGACTTTAATATTTCTAGTGTTATGGAAAGCACTGACTGATGTCCATCTCTCCAATATATATTTTTGAAAAACCTCCTTTGCAAAACTGTAAAAAGCCTGATTTTTCATAGTTGTTCTGAAGTTTTCACCTTAGTGCTTTGCTTATATAAGTAACAGCCTGTTTATTTTTGTCAGTGCTTAAATTGTTCTGTTTAAGATTATTTTACAATTCCAGTGGAATTCTGCTTACTTAATAGGTGTGTGTGTATATACATATACATATATATATATATATATATATATATATATATATATGACCAGTTAATAAGCAAGCAGCAATAGTTGTGTATTAAATTATCTCTAAGCATAGAAATCCTCAAAATGCAGTTTTATCCTTGGAGAAAATGTTAAATGAAATTGTTATATATTTAAAATGACTTTTGCCAGGCATGGTGTTATGCACATATAATTCTAGGTACTTGGGAGACTGAAGAAGGAGGATGGCTTTAACTCAGGAGTTTGAGGCTGCAGTGAGCCATGATCATGCCAACTACACTCCAGTTTTAGTGACAGTATGAAACCCTGTCTCTAAAAAATACAATACAATACAATACAATACAATACAATACAATACAATACAATAATTCTCTGTGATGCAATTGTAGATGTGCATATCATACATATTTAATTATATATTCATCATATATATACAATTATATATTTAGATATAATATGTATGGGTCTGTATGTATATATACATATGTTTTTTTGTTTTCTAATAGTTTACTTTCTAATGGAATGATAGATTTATACAAAAGTTTAAAATACAAGATTGTAGATAAATTCAGGGGCACAAATGTTTACAAGGATGGGGTTGGAGAGGGGGTTCTAGCCATATATATTCATATATATACAATTAATATATATATTCTTTGTTCTTCTAATCATAAATAATAAAAATTCATGTGAAACAAAATTGGCCTTATTTTATTTTAAAACATGTCATAGGAACAAAAAATAAGGAAATTACCAATTTTCAGGTTCTTTTTTTTTTTGGAAAATAGTGAAGTCTTTTAGGGTGAAGTTAATGTTCAGAGAGTTGAGAGAAAACTCACATTAACAACAAGATCCTGTCATCTACTTAAATATTTCACTTAGGTTGTCTCTGGAAAACTCATCTCACTCATGTCTGTCTGATTTCCACCTGGGGGTCTGTAGCACTTTCCACCACAGCCTTTCTGTCAGGCTTCAACCTACCCTGCGATGGTAGCCTTCTTCTTGAGGTATTTAACTGCACTGATTCACTTCAGGTTCTTTCCTCTCCTCTTCTTTGTTCTCATTACCATTGCCATCCATGGAGGATGGGTGACGGGAAGTCCCGAGGTCAATGCATTGCTTCCTTCTTCAAATTTGAGTTGTTGCAGCACTCCTCAACAACTTTACGGTTTTCTTAAAGGGTTGTTCCACCCAATTCCGTCATGATATTGTTCCCTGATGAAGAAACAGGAAATCTGAAGATCTAACTGGGCAGTAGAGTGATGGTTAAAGCTATGTTTTCTCTCTTGCCACAATTTGTTAGCTGTGACCTTGAGTATGTTATCTAATTTTTTTAAGCATCAGGTTCCTCATAGGGAGTCTAATAGAAGATAATAGGAGTTCTTTTGAATATTACATGAGATTTATATATGTGTGTGTGAATATATGTATGTGTATGTGTGTGTGTATATATATATAAGATTTAGCAAAGTACTTTGTACAGAGTGAGCAATCAATGAGTGCAATTCATTGAAAACTATGACTGGTTTTATTTTTGTGTTTTAATCTCATCTATTTAGCAATAACTATCCCGCCTGGCTGTTTTAGAGCTCTTAAACTCTGATGCCACCTGTGCTGTATATCCTGTTATGCCAGTTTGAGTATTTTGATGTTCATTGATTTATAGTCCTGGCTATCTATTAAAAATAGAATAATAAAAATCTTATAACTGAAAATAACTTTGGAGAGAATCTATTACAAACTCCTTCTCAAAGTATCTCTTATGTAAAATCCTTTGCTGTGTTTTTGAACCAAACTCTATTAACAGATTAGTAGTCCTGAGAAGTATTTTCCAAAAGCTTCAGATATTAAAAGGGATATATTGAGAGACTAAATTATTATTAACCAAGGAGCTGAAATCAGATAGCATAGTGACTACTTTTTAAAGAATGTTTCTACAGCACCCTAGACTTGAAAAAGGAATTTCATAATATATGGAACTCTGCATGCAATCTTTTGCTCTTAAAAGAGAGAATGGGATGTGTACTATAAATATTCTGAAATTCCCTTTAATAAAGTGTTTCATACAACTTTTTGGACCTAGATACATTATATAATACTAATTGATATCCCTTTAATAAAGTGTTTTATATAACTTTTCAGACCTAGGATACATTATATAATACTAATTGATATCCATTTTGAGTATTATATCTTAGCAAAAGAGAATCAGTGATAGAAGGCCATTCCGTCATGAGAGGGTTCTTATGATGACAGTATTTATTTCAAGTCAAAATATAACTTATAACTTCTAATTATGCATATTAGTTCTGTCTTCTGGAGCAATAGGAGAACCTGTTTTGGATGTAAGTATCATGTGTTCACTTAAACTTATTGTTTTCTCACTTAACAGGACAGCTTCCTCATGACAATGGATACATATAATTGTCCCTTACCATTCTGGCTTCTCATTTCTAAGCTTAAGAAAATCCTTCTTAGAATGTCTACTCAACAACTGAATGCAAAACTCAGATGTAGCCTGGGAGTAACCAGGAACAGTCCACAATGAACCTTTTTTGGTTCTAGATATGTTTATAGTATTGCCATTATGACTTAACAAGTACATATATTACCCTGTTAGTTTACACTAAATTTATGGTTAAAAAAACAATCATCTGTGTTTTTGTTTTATATGTAAGTTATAATGAGGCCAGATTTTGCTAATACTATATTTGTGCTTCCATTTCTAAGATTAAATGTAGAATTTAACATCTGTCCATGTAATGTTTACTGTGTGTTGGTTTCTATTCATTATTATAAGCTGTCAGGATGAATTTGAATCGTACATTTGAAGTCCATTAACTAAGCGATCTTTCATAGCTCTCCACTGATCAGATAAGGACTACCCATTAGGTTAAAATGAAAACATTAACCAGCACTATTTGCACAGAGTTGCTAAAATTTTACTGAAATATAATATTCAGCTTGTATTTATCCTTGGTGCATATAAGGAGAAAATATGTCAATTGCTTTATTATAAACAAGATATACTTATATTGACATTGAAAGCTTTCTGTACCAATCTAAAACTAGTATAAATGAAGGAGGTTTATATTGCAAGACATTACTTATTGCACATTGGCTTTTAGTATTTGTGGTTTAAAAAAATGATTACCTGCAAAATACATTGTTACTTATTTTTTATATGCGGTGGACATCTATCTCAAAATTATCTCAAAATTAATGGTATATTAGCTATTAGCATCCTTTGCCTACTGATATATCTCTGTACCTCTCATAGTCTCCTTAATTTATTTAGTGTTAATAATTTTATTTATTTGTTTATTTCTGTTTTATTTGCAAGTTCTGATTGCAGACTGGAGACCTGAATTCATTTGCAATGGTTAGAGGCTTTGTTCATATTTTCCCACAACTTTTGTCAGGGAGAATAAAATGCTTAAATGTTTTGTTCAGTCATTTGCTGTCTCATGCTCTTTCATTTTGATGCAGAATGCAAAGTAAAAACAGGATTTTAAAAATTTGAACTTCTTTTGTATCATATCACTATTATATAATATTCCCCCAATCGATAGTCTTATTCTAAAACTAGTTTTTAAAGCTCCTTTTTTGCTCTCCATAGCAAATTTGAGAAAATTCAGCTTGTTCTGGGCTTTAGTCTTCTTGGTAGTATCCTTAAACATTTGTGTCACTCTATTTTCTCTTGCCAATGTGACCTTTGTTTCTTAAAAATATGCTCATTAGCCCTAGTGGGTTTTTTTTTTTTTTTCATTTAAATACTCCTTGTTTTACTTTGGCATCATCTTATATGGTAGGAATTGTACTTCCTGCCTCTCTTGAATTATTTGACTATGATTGTTCATTTTCCCTATCGTTTTCTTTAAATAAGTATTTCCAACATAGCACACTGACATTTATTTTTCTAATTTAAAAATTTTAAATTATTTGCGTGTTCACTTTTCCTTAAGATTTCTGCCGTGTTTTTGTCAAAACTTGATTCTTATTGATCCAAATTATGTTGAGACCACAAGTCCTGCTCATTTAATCTTTCTCTAATACAGGTGAAAATTTTAGCCAGGTAAATTAAGAAATTATAAGAGTTTAATAGGTTAATAGGATAGTTTTTAAAAGTTCCAATGTTTTATGTCCTTTTTAATTTTTTTCTAGCCTCTTCAGTATGGGGAATAGAATTTTCCACATTCTTCTCTTGCAGTGTATCACTACGGTTTCAGCTTTTAGAATTATCTGAATTATCTATAGTGTGTTCCCAGCCTCAGTTTATAATATTTCTTTACTGATCCTATTCAGTTTTGGATTTAGAATTAAGGAATGTAGCAATCCAATGGCTAAGAAATATTAATAACTTATAATACTCTCCCTCATTTATAATACTTGACTTTTCAAAAAGGTGTTACCTTCTGTACAAAGCATATCTCAATGATTCTTTCTCTGTTTTTCCTACATTAGAATATAGTTAACCTTATTCTTTCTCTATTCTCCCTAGATTAGAATATAGTTACCCTTATTCCAGTACACTGTTAGACAATAAGTTGCCCTTTCTAACTAGCTGGGGTTAGTTTTGCTCATTGCTATGTGAGTATTTGAAACTGGTTAACTTAGAAGGTAAGAGGTGTAATAGTGGGGGATCTGATTGAGAAGCTAACATAAAGCAGGTTTTTCATTTCCAAAAGCAAAAGAGTAAAAGAACAAATGCTAAAGAGTGAAGATTTCATATTAAGACAATGATCATACTATATTTTAGGTCTTAAATTGGTACTATACAATTAACTTCTACCTCTCCATCCTTTGTTAACAAACAATGTTGGTTTTCCCTGACACTTTCATTCTCTATATCACCACCCTTGCCTTTAGTATTAACTAGATGCTTGTAAATTCATTTGGTTTGTTACATATAGGGAAGCATTTTACCATTGTGACTTTTCCTCCATTTAAATGTTGAATGTCTTTCTGATTTTATGATTCAGGGATATTAACTGTTATCTCTAGGGTGCCACTATGATCGCAAATACACTGAGTACCTTGGATGCTTGCAATGCAAAACACTTACAGTAACCTTTATATAACCCACTTGGCATAGCTGAGTATGTATCTCTCAAATTCCCTCTTCAGTACACAAGATTATTAAGACTTGGTTATACCACAATAACTTCATGCCAAAGCACATGCTGACAGCATGTTTAGTACAGGGAATAGAATTTTCCACATTCTTCTCTTGCGACGTATCACTGCTGTTTCAGCTTCTAGAATTAACTGAATTCTCTATAGTGTGTTCCCACCCCCAGTTTATAATATTTCTTTCCTGATCCTATTCAATTTGGGATTTAGAATTAAGAAATATAGCAATCCAATGGCTAATAAATATTAATAACTTGCGAGACTCTCCCTTATTTATGATACTTGACTTTTCTCTCCCCTTATGATACTTGACTTAGCTCTCCCTTCTACTGGATAGATTCTGGGGGACAAATTTCAGATCTGAAGTAGCTTTAATTCAGCTCCAGTTTTCTCTCTTCTGCCTTTAACTTTGCTTAAATATTTTGTTGTTTTTCTCAATATTTCCAACAGAAATAACTACCACCACAAAAATAATGAATCAAAAACAAAGTTGTAGAAAATACATGTGGAAGGAAATATTTAATATCTTGATTTTTACAGAACATTTCTACAGCATTCTGAGGATGATTTTTTTTTGTCTGTCTTTTCTTTCAAGGGAATTTCCGCTTATATGGGGAAAACAATTTTGTCTGGAAATTTAGCATATTCATATGAGCTCTTAAATTTAAGGTTCATTGTTGAATGAGGTTGAAGCCAAATTTGGAGAGGGATTGAATAGGTTTAAAGGCAAGCAGACTTCAGTTTCAGTACAGGCACTGTATTAACTAGTCATGTAATATAGGGCAGGTTAAGAAATATAGCCACATACCTACAACTATCTGATCTTTGACAAAATCGACAATAACAAGCAATGGGGGAAAGCATATCCTATTCAATAAATGGTGCTGAGAGAACTGGCTAGCCATATGCAGAAGATTGAAACTGGACCCGTTCCTTTCACTATATAAAAATTAACTCAAGATGGTTTAAAGACTTAAATGTAAAACCTATAACTATAAAACTCTGGAAGATAACCTATGAAATACCATTCTGGACATAGGTCCTGGCAAAGATTCAATGATGAAGACTCCAAAAGCAATTGCAACAAAAACAAAAATTGACAAGTGGGACCTAATTATACTAAAGAGCTTCTACACAGCAAAATAAAATAACAGAATAATTAGACAACCTACAGAATTGCACCATTCAGGTGCCTACTTTTAGTAATGTTAATTGTACTTGGCCATTTTTAAAAAATGAGTATTGCTGTATGTGCTGTTGACTGACATTGTGTAGAGAGAGTATCTTAGGGCTAAATTCCCTAGGGAGCAAATATGTCCTGGATGTGCTGGGAGCATAAAGCTGAATGAAAATGTCATGCACCTCACATACCTGTGGTCCTTTCTCTTGAAGTGTCTTTACTCTTTTAGTACAGCCTTATGCTTTAATGTAATATAGGGACATTCAACAGACAAATTGTAGGCTGAATAATTTCTCTAAGCCTGTCATACTTCATTTATTTATCAAATAAACATAGGGATAAATATGAAAGTATAAATTAAAACAGTGAAAAAAAGACTAGGAGAACATAGATTTATAAGTCAGTCCCTTGACTTATAATAATCAAGTATCACTTCTACTATCCTAGAGTATTTGATATAATCATTTTTATCAATCATCTTAGTTGCTGAAAAATACCCTGAAATTGTTCACTAAAAAGCATAATATCATAACTGTATGTATTATTTAATAAAGATGTTTCAATTATTATTATGTACTTTTCTTTCTACTTCAGTGTGGTCTAGCTACCTGACTCATAGAAACATATGTAAAAGAGGTTAGAGGAGTGTTATCTTAAATATTTGAGTAGCAGATTTTTATAAAAATTAATCAAAATTGAAGTTTCACAGTTGAAATTTTAATTAGATAAACTATTCTGTAGACCATGATGCTGTCACATATAATTCTAATTACATATTTATTGCAACCATTAATCATATAAGAGTAATTATTTTATGTAACATTGAAGTATGGAGATAACAAATAGTGTTGATATTTCAGTCACAGATCTATGAAGGCATTTAAAACTACAAATGTGTAATAGTCTATGTCAAAGATTTTGGTGCTATTTATAAGCTTGCAACTAGATTCCTATACTCATCACAGTCAGGATTTTGTAATCATTTTTTGGTCTTCAAATCATGGTGACTCTAGGAATATACATTAATTTAATTCATTAAAGACATTAAACCATAGCTTGTTTTTAAAATAAATTCCATAAAAATCATGTCATGATTATTGATATTATTTAACCATTATGTAGCAAAAAAATATAGATGTTCACTGCGACAATTAAAAATTGGCTAACTTTCACATGTGAAGCTTCTAATTAAGTCATAAAGCTTTGAAGATGAAGGATGGCCATAGTAACTGACTTTCTTTCATTGAGAACCTTATGTGAGCCAATCATTGTGCCAGGTGTTAAACTTATCACCAATCTTCCTAGCATCTTTGTTATGTAGGTATTGTTATCATTTTATTAAGATTTGTATTTAAAATCACACAATGCAGTATACTAGTATAGATATTTTTAAAAACATATTAAAATTGTAAAAGTATGTACAATGAAAAGTAAAAGCCTGAAGGTCTTACCTTGTAACGGAGAAAGATGACCACTGCCATGTAGGACACAGAAATATGTGGAATCAGGGCCGGGTGCAGTTGACTCATGCCTGTAATCCATACACTTTCAGAGGTGGAGGCAGGCAGATTACCTGAGGTCAGATATTCGAGACCAGCCTGGCCAATATGGTGAAACCCCCATCTCTATGAAAAATACAGATATTCGCCGGGCATGGTGGCAGACCTCTGTAATCCCAGCTACTTGGCTGAGGCAGAAGAATTGCTCAAACCTGGGAGGCAGAGGTTGCAGTAAGCCTAGATTGCGCCACTGCACTCCAGCCTGGGTGACAATAGCGAGATTCTGTCAAAAAAAAAAAAAAAGGTGTAAATAGATTGCTATAGGACTAAAAGTTTCTCACTGAAGAACTGTTGCTTGAAGTGAGTTTAAAGCACTAATAATGGATATGTATGAATTCATACAGTACACTGTCTGATTGAAACCACATCTGTGCTCTGTTGTTTCTGCAGCTGTTGCCCTCTTTTGTTTTCCCCCTTTGGAATGTTTTCAGGGAATTAGGGAAGGATAGTTTCATGTTCACAGGTTCTCACCATAATTCCCAGAGGACTAAATGTCCTCTGTGTTACATTATTTTGTCTAGAACAAAAAGCAAACAAATAAACAAACAAAAAACCTTTCTATTTCTATCAATTGTTTCCCCTCATAGATACGTTGTTCTTTACTGAACCATAAAGCTATTATAAAAAGAATTGCCAGCTTCTAGATATATAGGATGTCCAGTAGGGCTGAGAGAGCCAACCAAGTCTAGAACGTAATCTGGTCTTTGGTTCCCTCCAGGTCAGGGAGTGAGATGGTAGTAAAGAAACAATGGTACAAAGAAACTGGAAAGACATTGCTTCTGAGGATTGAGAAAAGTGTTATCACAAAAAGTCAGGAAAGGATGTGACATATGTAATCATGCTTATTTTCTTTATAATCTTGATAAGGTACTTTTTTATGCAACCATCATCACTATCCATCTCTAGAAATTTTTCATTTTCCCAAATTGAAACTCCATTCCCATTACACATTAAATCCCCATTTCATTCTCTTTACTCCCTGCAATTACCATTCTACTTTTTCTTTATGGATTTGACTACTCTAGGCATCTCATGTAAGTGAAATCATGTACAATTTGTCATTTTGTGGCTGGCTTATTTCACTTAGCATGACGTTTTCAAGGTTCATCCTGTTGCCACATGTCAGGATTTCTTTCCCTTTTAAAGCAGAATTTTATCCTATTGTATATGTATACCACATTTTGTTTATCCATTCATCCACTGATGAACACTCAGGTTGCATCCATCTTCTGGCTATTATGAATAATGCTGCAGTGAGCATGGGTGTGCAAATATCTCTTTGAAGCCCTGCTTTTAATTCTTTCAGGTATATACCCAGAATGGAGTTAGTGAATTGTATGGTAATTCTATTTTTAATTTTTTTGAGGAACTGCAATACAGTTTTCCATAATGGCTGTACCATTTTATATCCCCAGCAACAGTGCACAGGCTTCTAATTTCTCTACATCCTTACCAACACTTGTTATTTTCTGTATTTTCTGTATTAAAATATACTGTCCATCCTAAAATATGAAGTGATGTGAAGTGGTATCTTATTGTAGTTTTGATTTGCATCTCCCTAAGTGATTAGAGATGTTGAAAATCTTTTCATATTCTAATTCCATTTGCGTATCTGTTTTGAAGAAATGTCTTTTCAAGTCCATTGCTCATATTTTAATTACATTGTTTTTTGTTGTTGAATTGAAGAATATTTTTATATAGTCTGTATAATGATCTCCTATCAGATATGTGACTTGCAAATATTTTCTCCCATTCTTTGGTTACCTTTTCATTCTGTTGATAATATACTTTAATAAACACAACTGTTTATTTTGATTAAGTCCAGTTTATCTGTCTTTGTTTTATTGCCTGTGCTTTTGGTGTCATATCCAAGAAATCCTATTGTCAAATGCAATGCTTGAAGCTTTTACCCTATGTTTTCTTCTAACAAATTTATAGTTCTTATATTTAAGCCTTTGATGTATTTTGAATTAATTTTTGTATATGGTGTAAGGTAAGGGTCCAAACTTATTCTTTTGCGTGTGGATAACCAGTTCTCGCGCATCATTTTTGAAAAGAATGTCTTCTCCCCATTGAATAGTCTTGGCTACCTTGTCAAAAATCGTTTGATCTTTTATGCAGAAGATTATTTCTGGACTAGACTCTATTTCATTGGTCTGTATGTATTTTTTTTTAATACCAGCATCACACTGTTTTGATTTCTGTAGCTTTGTAGTAAACTTTGAAATCAGAAAGTGGGAGACCTCCAACTTTCTTTTTCAAAAATGTTTTGGCTACTTTTGGTTCCTTGAGATTTCATGTGAGTCCTAGAATATAATTTTTTTCTGCAGAAAACGTTGGGATTTTGATAGGGATTGTATTGAATCTATAGATTGCTTTGGATAGTATTGATCCTATAGTTTTGTTTTTGAACGGTTTCTATTTCACAGTGCTTTTGAGATTTATGCATGCTGCTGCATGTATCAACAGCTTCTCCTCTCTATTGTTGAGCAGTATTCAGTGATACTGGATGTGCCAATTTTTTTCCTAGCTGCTTTCAAGATTTTACATTTTTTTCCAGCTTGATTATGATGTGTCTATGAATAGTTTCTTTTATCTTGTTTTGAGTCTGCCAGACTTCATCAGCCTGTACTTTTGTCATTTTCATTAAATGTGGGTAGTTTTCAGCCATTATTTCTTCAAATATTTTTTTCTGCTGTAATCTATTTTACCTATCCTGGGTCTCTAAAGATACATCTTAAAACTTCTGATCTTACTGATGGGTTTCTGAAGAAAATTTTTTTTCCTATCATTTTTCTCTCTGTTCTTCAGATTGGGTAATTACAGTTGATTTCTTTCAACTTCACTCTTTTATCTCCATTCAGCTATTGAGTCCATCCTGTAAGTTTTTTTTAATTTCAAACATTGTATTTTCAGTTCTAAAATTTCCAGTCAGTTCTTTTTTAATGATTTATATTTCTCTTCTAAAAACTGTATTTTCCTATGAACTATCTTTCCATTTATTTCAGATATGTTTGGTTTTACCTCATAGAGTAGGATTGTAATAGTTTCTTTAAAGTTATTGTTTTATATTTCCAATATGTGAGTTATCTTCAATGAAGTGGTTCTTGGATTTTGAAAAAATTTGGATTGTGTCTTGGACATTTAAAATAATATGTTGTTTGATCTCTGGGTCTTGTTATAATTCTATGAAGAATACTTATTTTTAGTGTGTTTGTTTTCACAGAAGTTTATCCTGGTTAAATTTTGAGCACAATTTCTGTTTTGCTTCTGTGCTTGGTTTGTCCAATACAAATGCAGCTCAGCAGTGAGTCCAGGAATTTTGTGGGTTCATGTAAAGAATTAGGGAATGTTATTTTTTAGCTTTTTTCTTTTTTGGATGCTCACCATATTCTCTGGTCTGTAGTGGCTCATTTTCCTGAATCCTTTGCCAGAAATATGAGGTTACTTTCTGAATTTAACTTTCTGCACCACTGCTCTGCTCATTTGCTCTGTGAATGGCCCCTGCTGCTGAACAGTCTTTAGAAAAAAGAAGAGTGAAGAAGAAAAACGAAATATTCAATTACTTGTGAGTCATTCTCCAAGTTTAGATTCCTCTCCACAATATGCCTGCTTTTGTTAAATTTTCAGTTTTCTAGAAGTTGAATTTTGCATTTCATTCAGAATTTTTAGTTGTAATCAATGAGAGAGAGAATCTGTAGTGGGCTTACCCTGCCATTCAGCTGTGGCACATCTTTTTATTTACTTAGCATTATCTTTCAAATAACAGAAGTTTTTAATTTTGAGGAAGTTCAATTTATCAATTTTTTATGACTCAAACATTATGTGCCCTGCCTACGACATTTTTGTTTAACCCAAAGTCACAAATACTTTTTGTATGTTCTTCTAGATATTATAATGTTAAGTTGACATTTAGAATTATGATAACGTCAGGCTGATTTTCCATACGATGTGGGTTGTGGGTTAACGCATCTTTAATTTTCCATATAGATGTAAATTTGTTTAAAAAACTCTCCTTTTTTTATAAATTGTGTTAGCTTGATACCTTCGTTGAAAATCAATTGATGATATATTTGTGTCTAATGTTGGTCTTTTTAATCTGTTTCATTCGTCTATTTGTCTGTCTTTGCTCTAATATCATACCATCTCAGTTTCTGTGGTTTATTGTAGGTCTGATATTAGGTATTTTGAGTCCCTTAGTTCTTTTTTATTTATTTATTTATTTATTTATTTTTTAATTTTAATCTTTGTGGGTACATAGTAGGTATATATATTTCTGGAGTACATGGAATATTTTGATACAGGGTGCAATGTATAATAATTTTATTTTGTAATTTTTATGCTGTTGGGTTCTTTTTATTTCCGTATACATTTTAATGTTAATTTCTATTTTTAAAAAAGCCTGCTAGGATACTCATTGCAATTTTATTGCATCTATGGGTGGGGAAAATTGAGATATCAAATATGGAGTTCTCCAATCTATTAATATTGCATATGTCTCCATTTACTTATTTTATTTTTTCTCATAAATATTTTGTAGTCTTTAGCATATAAATCTCTCATATGTTTTGTTAGATTCATCCATACTATTTCATATTTATGCTAGAGTTGTATTTTTAAATTTTATTTCCAATTGTTTTTGCTAGTATTAAGAACTACAACTGTTTTATTTGTAGACAACATGTTTGTATTTAAAATACTAAATATTCTATTAAAAAGATAATACAATAAATGAATTCATCACGATTGTATGATTTGTCTAATTTGTCAATTTTTTCAGGTATTTTTAAATGTAACGACCTATTTTTACTTATTTTTCTTTCAGTACATTAAAATTTTGTTTCACTGTGTCCTGTGTTACGTTGTGTTTGATGAGAAGTCAGAGAACATTCTTGTCATTCCTTCCCTGTATTTGGTTTTCATTTTTCCTTTTTCTGATTGCTTCTAAAATTTTCTTTTTAGTTTTGTCTTTATTTTCAGGGATTTGATTATGATGTGCCTTGGTATGGTTTTCTGTATCTTGATCCTTGTTGTGACTTAATGAGCTTCTTGAATCTGTGGGCTTATATTGTTCTCCAAATTTGAAAAATTTTCATCATTAAAAAAAATATTTTTCTAACCACCTCACCCCTTCTTGTATACCAGTTACACATATTTTTTCTAACTTGATGTTTTCCCATAGGTCACTTTATGTTTTTTCATAGGCCATTTATGTACTTTTTACTTCCAGGTGTTTTTCCTCCTTGTGATTCAATTTGGATATCTTCTATTGTCTACCTTCAATTTCACTAACATTTTCTTCCTCAGCACTTAATTTACTGCTAAATGCAGCCAGTGATGTTTTTACTTCCTAAGATGTCTTTTTCAGTTCTCAACATTCAATTTTTTACATTTTTCAATTCTCTTCTGATTGTCAGTGTTTATTCTCTATTTTGTTTCTGTGTTTCTTTACATATTTAGGTATATTAAAATAGCTAATTAAAAATCTTGTCTGCTAATTTCATTTTCTCTCTTTTCTTAATCTATTGACTGAATGTTCTCCTTGCTATAGGTTACATTTTCTTGCCGTTTTAAATGTGTAGTAAATTTTGATTGTATGTTTACCTTTATGGATGTCTTGTTGTGCTTGAGATGCTGTTGTATTTCTGCGTAGATTATTCAATTTTGTTTCAATATTTTGTTTATTTACTTGAAAGGTAGTTTGATCCTTTCAAGCCTTGTCGTTGAACTCTATTAGGACAGATATAGCGTTCTTTAGGCGTGGCCTTTCTAGGTTTTCTACCGAATGCCCTGGATTTTAATACTTTCCATGCTGATTAGAAGGAACTCTAATATCTCCCAACCCTGTGCAAGCTCAAGGTGTTGTTCTGCTCCCAGTTTATTATGTGGTAGTTGCTTTCGATCCGAAGCCATGGTATCTGGCCCGATGCATGCTCAATTAAGTATTCTGTTACAGACTCAAGGCAGGGCCTCTATGTAGTTTTTTTGAGCTGCTTCTCTGCACAGCACCCTTCTCTTTGACACCATCTCACAAATTCAAGCTGCTTAGTAGCCCCAAACTCAGTCTCTGTCTCCTCACATAGTAAAATCCTCAGGAACAATTTGGGCTTTCCCTCCAGTTCAGAAAGTGACACCAGGAAGAAAGTTAAGGATGATACTATGGCTCACCTTATTTGTTGTTTCTTCTCTCAGACATTAAAGTCATTAACTAGCATGAGCCAATATCCAAAAATCATTCTTTTATAAATGATTGCCTATTTTTTTATTTATTGACACAGGTAGAGACAATTTACTATCAGATACTCTTTCATGGATGAAAACCAAAATTTAAGTCATCCACTTATTTTTAAATTACATTATCAAAATTAGAGTTTATTTTAATACATAATTTTAGATGACACAAACAAATGGAAACATGCTCATGGATGGATAGAATCAATATTGTGAAAATGACCATACTGCCAAAAGCAATCTACAAATTCATGAAATTCCCTTCCCATCAAAATGCCATCATCATTATTTACAGAACTAGAAAAAAAAAATCTTAAAATTCCAAAATTCCAATCTTAAAACCAAAAGAGAGCCCAGATAGCCAAAGCAAGACTAAACAAATAGAACAGATCTGGAGGCATCACATTACCCGACTTTATACTATACGGCTCTAGTCACCAAAACAGCATGGTACTGGTATAAAAATAGACACATAGACCAACGGAACAGAATAGAGAACCCAGAAATAAAGCCAAATTCTTACATCTGGCTGAACTTCCACAAAGCAAACAAAGATGTAAAGTGAGGAAAAAACACCTTATTCAACAAATGGTGCTGGGATAATTGGAAAGCCACATGTAGAAGAATGTAGAAAGATCTACATCTCTTACCTTACAGAAAAATTAATTCAAGATGGATCAAAGACTTAAATCTAAGACCTGAAACCATAAAAATCCTGAAAGATAACATTGGAAAAACCCTTCTAGACATTGTCGTCGGCAGAACTTCATGACCAAGAACCCAAAAGCAAAGGCAACAAAAACAAAGATAAAAGGATGAGACTTAAACTAAAAAGCTTCTGCAGAGCAAAAGAAATAATCAGCAGGATAAACAGACAACCCACAGAGTGGGAGAAAACCTTCACAAACTGTGCATCTGATGAAGGACTAATATCTAGAATCTACAAGGAACTCAAACAAATCAGCAAGAAAAAAATAATCCCATCCAAAAGTGGGTTAAGGACATTAATAGACAGTTCTCAAAAGAAGATATGCAAATGGCCAACAAATATGTGAAAAAATGCTCAACATGATTATCAGGGAAATGCAAATCAAAACTACAGTGTGATACCACCTTACTCCTTCAAGGACGCCATAATCAAAAAATCAAAAAATAATAGATGCTGGCGTGGATATGGGAAAAGGGAACACTTTTACACTGCCTGTGAGAATGTAAACTAGTACAACCACTATGGAAAACTATGGAGATTCCTTAAAGAACTACCATTTGATCCAGCAATCCCACTCCTGAGTATCTACCCAGAGGAAAAGAAGTCATTATACGAAATAGATACTTGCACATGAATGTTTATAGCAGAACATTTCACAGTAACAAAACTATGGAACCTGCTCAGATGCCCATCGATCAATGAGTGGATAAAGAAAATGTGGTGTGTGTGTGTGTATGCATATATACATGTACATATATATGTATATATACACACACACATACACATGGGATACTACTCGGCCATAAAAAGGAACAAAATAATGGGATTTGCCGCAACCTGGATAGAGTTGGAGACCATTACTCTAAATGTAGTAACTCAAGAATGGAAAAACAAACATCGCATGTTCTCACTCATAAGTGGGAGCTAAGCTATGAGGACGCGAAGACATCAGAATGATACCCTGGACTTTGAGGACTCTGGTGAAAGGGTGGGAGGGAGGTGATGGATAAAGGACTACCCACTGGTTACAGTGTACACTGCTTGGGTGGTGGGTGCACCAAAATCTCAAAAATTGCCTCTAAAGAACTTATCAGTGTAACCAAACACCACATATTCCCCCAAAACCTATTCAAATAAAAAATTAAAGTTAACAAAAAAGATTTGAAGTCAGAAACCTGAAGAGATATTCAGACTTTCATGTTGATTACAGCATTATTTACAATAGCCAAAATGTTGGCATAACCTAAATGTCCATAGACCGACAAATGACTACAAAAAATGTGGTGATATGCACGGAGTGGAATATTATTCAGCCTTAATAAGGAAGTAAATCCTGCCATATGCAATAACATGATGAAACTTGAGGACAAACTAAGTCATTTTTCTATTTCTCTTTTATATTCTACACTAGGTATAAGCTACACAAAAACATTTTTCTTTTTTTGTGCTAGATATTTTCCACTGATACATTGTACTTTTGTTGTTGTTGTTGAGATGGAGTCTCGCTCTGTTGCCCAGGCTGGAGTGCAGTGGCATGATCTCGGCTCACTGCAACGTCTGCCTCCTGGGTTCAAGCAATTCTCCTGCCTCAGCCTCCTGAGTAGCTGGGACTACAGGTGCCCGCCACCACGCCTGTCTAATTTTTGTATTTTTAGTAGAGATGGGGCTTCACCAAATTGGTCAGGTTGGTCTCAAACTCCTGACCTCAGGTGATCCACCTGCCTCGGCCTCCCTAAGTGCTGGGATTACAGGCGCGATCCACCGCACCTGTCCTACACTGTACTTTTAAAAGATCGAAGTCTAGTTCAAATCATGGTTTAATACTCAATATATCCAAGAAAAATATCTTGCCTCATCTGATCCTGTCTAATTTTCATTATCTCTGCTTATTTTTGTTTTAGTCTGTTTTCTATTTTGATTTATTTTAAATATATATGTTTGTATTACATGCTTGCTTGTATGTTTTCACCAATGGATATTCTATTACTTATAGATGCCTTTGTTACATTTAAATTATAAAAGCCTCAAGGACAAGAGTTTTTTATTCCTCACTTTTCTAACCCAGGATATCATATTTCATGTTACATAATTGTGAACACAGAAAATAAGATTGTGAAAAGCTTACATTAGTAGTTGAGGCCCGTGTTTCTCTTGATACTATGGCAAACTGCTATTTAAAAGCATTTGTAATTTTGCTTCAGGTACTAAATGAAAGTAGGAAAACAATTCCATCTTTTGGTGCTTTGAAATATATTTATAAAAGATCAAAAGCTCTCCAAAGTGCATACAAAATCCAAAGAAACTTGGAGTTCAAAATAACATGTAAGAAACAATTTCAATACCATTATTCACTTAAGACAGGACTCTGAAAGAACAGTTAGCCACTGTAATTCAGTTCCATTTGTTTTTCTGCTTCATGATACAATATAAGCATTGAAATTTGAGGCCTTTTTAAATAAGTGAAATTTTTAAGTGATGGAAAATTAAGCATATTTAGTTTTGTTGTACAATTGGGCTGCTACTGTTTTCTAGAAATACATAAAATATGAAAGATCTAAGGGGTATACATGTTAACAAATTTTTAGCTCATTAAATTTGAGCTGTGTGTTTTTAGAACCATAGTCCGTACATATGTAATTCTAAATACTTTTCTAGAAATTTCACAGATACACCTCATTTGAGTAAATATAAGACAAAGATACACATTTACCTCATTAAGTTAATATTTATAAATTCTTTTAATATTATAAATATGAACTATTGGCATCTTTCTGTGTCTCCTTTCTTCTCTTTTAACTTACATTAGAATGTAATGTTTTTGTTCCAGAATTCGATGTAGACTGCTGTAAATTATAGTCATTTAATAGAATTTATAGAACATTTGGTAGAATATATTTTCTTGAAAATACAAATTTCATTATGTATTAATAATTTAGATTAGTTTATACTTGAAATACAATGACAATCTATTGACAAAAATGAAAACCAAGTTTTACCACAACATTTATTCATGTAATAATTGGTACTCCACAATAAAACTGTTCATCTGCATTGATTCTGAATTAAAGAAAGTGATGTGTGTGAAAATCATATTCTGTATTACCTTGAAAACTCAGAATATTTTTCTTTTTCTTTTAATTTTATTATTATTATACTTTAAGTTTTAGGGTACATGTGCACAACGTGCAGGTTTGTTACATATGTATACATGTGCCATGTTGGTGTGCTGCACCCATTAACTCGTCATTTAGCATGAGGTATATCTCCTAATGCTATCCCTCCCCCTTCCCCCCACCCATAGGTGGGAATTGAACAATGAGAACACATGGACAGAGGAAGGGGAACATCACACACCAAAAACTCAGAATATTTTTCTAAGCTGAGTTCAAACAGAAACTATCCATATATGCCATTAAAATGTCTCTGATTTTAAAAGCCCAACTGAACTTTCTTCACTAGCACTTCTCAGGCTGAAGGGGATTAAAACAAGTGTATTAAGATTATCATTTTTTTTTCACATTTAGGGATTGATTATAATTGCAGATTTCCATATGTACTTTATTTTACCTTTTATCAAGAGTAGTACATTGTAATTGAATTGCTTGCAACATCCTGACACTCAAAACAGAAGAGAAAGGATATTTTACAACTAAGATTGACAGAGAAATAAAAACTCATACAGATGAATGAAGACCTTTTTTTTAAAATGATGACAGTTTCAGAAATAATTAACTTTTTGTTTTGGATTTCAAAAAAAACAAGCTTCAGTTTTGGTTTGAATTTCTTGACAAGAAAGTTTAGTCTTTCTTTAAGGATTTTTCTGCTCAATGGTGTCATCTAATTACTAATGATACTGTGACTGTGTAATTGACCAACTAATGGTTGGTCAGATACCAGCTAATGTAAATATTGAATGGAGATAGCCTCAAGATCCAGACTGGTAGTACCGGTGGCCTGGGTCAGAAAAGGTGTTAATTTCACCAAAGTCTTCACCCTTCTCCAATCTCAAGGAGTTTGTTCAATGAGATGTGCCTGCTTTTCCTATAGTGGATGATGCCCAGGTGAAGAGAACTGCCAAAAGATAAATGTAACATACCATATGTTACTTCAACAGAAATAAAAGACACAGTACATTTTGAATTTCAAAAACTTACATGATTTTTTAAACACACAAGGATTTCTTCAAAAGTAGATTTCTGAAAATAAACCACTTTCTAAATATAGTATGAGTTAGGGAATTTTGCCAATAAATAATCCACTACTCTCCTGCCCTTGGAGATGCTTATTATGTGACTTCATTATACATGTAAAAGGCCTTTATTATATATGTAAAATGACTTGATTATACCTTACAGTTCTATAGCAGCAATGATCTCATCATAGAAAATTGTTTATGCTGGTATAGAAGTGCTTAGTAACATTTCCAGTAATTATTGGTCTTGGTTGCTAGATGGATGAGTGAAAGGTCAGTATTGAAAAGAATAAATAGTAGGTTTTAGTGTTCACTCTGAGACCCAGTTCTTTTATTCATTGGATGAAGATTAATTTTCCGTAGTTGAGGTTTTACAATAAGATTCTATTGTTATTTATTTATGGAGATACCAAAATATCAGTTATATGGTTTTGTATTAAGTTGAACCATAGGAAATTGCCATTTTGTGGGTTGAGGTTTGTCAAACATCAACAATTTCGTATGGTTCAACCAAATATTTGGAATGATGTAGAATTATATATTCACACACATCTGCTTATTATGTGCCAGATGCTTTGCTAATCACCTTCTAAAGGTGAACACTTTTAATCCTGACAGAAACCCAATTATTAATCAATATTATTCCCATTTTAGAGATGAAAAATTTATAACACAAAGAGGTCCAGTAAATCGAGCTCACAAAATTAGTAATGGGTGGAGCCAGAATTTGAATGCAAGCTTCCTGAGTCCAAAATCCCCAAAATATTTTGCAGTAAACTCTCTTATGTTTGAGATATGAGAAATATTCTTAATGTAAGAAACTAACGGGCCTTATGTAAGAACTTTATGGAAAAGCCTTTCAGAACTCCTAATATAGAGATCCAAAAAACAAACAAGGAAAACATCTCATATGAGATTAATGATGTCCCAGCCTATGAAAAGTCTGGACATTAGGGAACAGAGGAGGATTTAGAACTGTAGGTTTTACCCTTTATCTAGTCCATGTCATAAGAAGTAGTACAGTTAAATTAAAAAGACATTTAATTCACTGCTACAAGGAAATGAATTATCAAGCCATGAAAAGACATGGAGGAAACTGAAATGCACATTACTCAGTGAAAAGCCAATTGAAAACACTACATACTGTGTAATTCCAACTAAGGCAAAATTATGGAGATGGTGAAAGATCAGTTGTTACCAAAGGTTGGGGAGGGAGCAATGAACAGGCAGAACAGGGAAGATTTTTAGGGCAGTGAATATACTCTGTACAATACTATAATAGTGGGTATATGTCAGTATAAATTTGTCCAAACCCGTAGAATGTATAACACCATGACTGAACCCTAGTGTAAACTATGGGCTTTTTGGGTGATGATGTGTTAATGTAGGTTTATAAGTCCTAAGGAATGTTGATAATAGGGGAGACTATATATTGCTTGGAGCAGGGAGTATATAGAAAAATATCTGTATCTTACACTCAATTTTGCCGGGAACATAAAAGTAGCCTAAAAATGTATATTTTAAAAAACACATTTAGTGCCCAACACTTGTCTTTTTGAGGCACAAATATTAAAAGGAGCTATATTTTAGATACTACAAATTAATTATACTAATTGGCTGGAACCATTAACTTCCTTGCTGTATATTTCTTTGAACCACTGATTCCAACTCTTCCTCTCTAAATTGAGGCTTAAAGACATATATGTATGTATAATAGCAACTATTTATATAGTTGCTATTGTCACCAGTACTCAGTAGAAGAAAGTCAACTGTTGCAGCAATGCTGACAGCCTGGAAGAAAAAAATGTATACACTAGCTAATGATTTTTGTAAAATGATAAAAGAAGTAACTAGTGCTGTGAAAAGTGACACTCCTTCTACCTTATGATGTTTCAAGTGCATAGACACAAACATCCACAATTGCTCACATACAGATAAATATATGCATACATGCTTCTTTTGGATCTCCCCTATTCCCACTCACCATCTATAGGTAACCAGTCTCGTTAATTTCTGGTTCATTCTTTTCAAATTTCACTTCACATAAAATCAACAGATACATATTTGTTTTCTTGTGCATCTTTGCTTTTTTATTTTTTACTTTTTAACATTTGTGGATACATAGCAGACGTGTATATTTATGGAATACATGAGATGTTTTGATAAAGGCATACAATGTGAAATAAGCGCATAAGGCTGGGCGTGGTGGCTACGCCTGTAATCCCAGCACTTTGGGAGGCCAAGGCGGGTGGATCACTTGAGGTCAGGAGTTTAAGACCAGCTGGCCAACATGGTGAAACCCCATCTCTACTTAAAATACAAAAGTTAGCCAGACCTGGTGGTGCGTACCTGTAATCCCAGCTACTGGTGAGGCTGAGGCGGGAGAATTGCTTGAACTCAGGAGGCAGAGGGTGCAGTGAGCCGAGATTGTACCACTGCACTCAAGCCTGGGTGACACAGCAATACTGTCTCAAAAAAAAAAAATGTAATAAGCACATCATCACATCATGGAGAAAGGTATATCCATCATCTAAAGCATTTATCCTTTGAGTTGCAAACAATCCAATTGTACTTTTTTAGTTATTTTAAAATGTATAATTAAGTTATTATTGACTATAGCCAACCTAATGTGCTATTGAGTAGTAGATCTTATTTATTCTTTCTATGTTTTTTGTACTCATTAACCATCCTCACCTCTCCTCCAGCCCCTACTGTTCTTCTGAGACTCTGGTAATCATCCTTCTACTCTATGTTAATGAGTACAATTTTTTTGATATTTAAATACCACAAATAAAATCAGTGAGAACATGTAATGTTTGTTTTTCTGGGCCTGGTTTATTTCACTTAACATCTCCAGTTCCATCCATGTTGTTGCAAATGACAGAATCTCATTTTTTTTATGACTGAATAGTACTTCATTGTGTATATGTACCACATTTTCTTTATCCATTTATCTGTTGATGGACACTTAGGTTGCTTCCAAATCTTAGTTGTAAACAGTGCTGCAACAAACATAGAAGTAGAGATATCTCTTTGGTATATTGATTTCCTTTATTTTGGGTATATACCCAGCAGTGGGATTGTTGGACCATGTGGTAGCTCTATTTTTAGTTTTTTGAGGAACTTCCAAACTGTTATACTGATGTACATTCCCACCAACAGTGTACAAGTGTTCCCTCTTCCACTTCCTCCCCAGCATTTGCTACTGCCTGTCTTTTGGATATAAGCCATTTTAACTGGGATGATATAATATCTCATTGTAGCTTTCATTTGCATTTCTCTAATGACCAATGATGTCAGCACCTTTTCATCTGCCTGTTTGTCATTTGTTTATCTCCTTCTGAGAAGTGTGTATTCAAATCTGTTGCCTATTTTTTATTGGATTATTATATTTTTTCCTATGGAGTTTTTTAAACTCCTTGTATATTCTGGGTTATTAATCCCTTGTCAAATGGGTAGTTTGCAAATATTTTCTCTCATGCAGTGGCTTGTGTCTTCATTCTGTTGATTGTTTATTTTGCTGTGCAGAAGCTTTTTCACTTGATGTGATTCCATTTGTCCATGTTTGCTTTGGTTGCCCGTGCTTACAGGGTATTGCTTAAGAAATTTTTGCCCAGATCAATGTGTTGGAGATTTTTCTCAATGTTTTCTTGTAGTAGTTTTGTAGTTTGAAGTCTTAGATTTAAGTTTTTAATCCATTTTGATTTGATTTTTGTATATAGCAAAAGATAGGGGTCTAGTTTTATTTTTCTGCATATGGATTTCCAGTTTTCCCAGCACCATTTATTGAAAAATTGTCTTTTCTCCAGTGTACATCCTTGGAAAATTTGTCAAAAATGAGTTCACTGTAGGTGTGTGGATTTGTTTTTGGAGTCTCTGTTCCATTTGCCTATGTCTCTGTTTTTATGTCAGTAACATGCTGTTTTGGTTACTCTAGCTCTGTAGTCTAATTTGAAGCCAGGTATTATGATTCCTCCAGTTTTGTTCTTTTTGTTCAGGATAGCTTTGGCTATTTTGCGTCTTCTGTGGTCCATATAAATTTTAGGATTTTTTTTTCTATTTCTGTGAATAATATCATTGTTTTTCTGGTAGGGATTGCATTGAAGCTGTAGATTGCTTTGGATAGTGTGGACATTTTAACAATATTTTTTCTTCCGATCCATGAACATGGAATATTTTTCCTTTTTTCTTTTTTTTGGTGTCCTCTTCAATTTCTTTCATTAGTGTTTTATGGTTTTCATTATAGAGATCTTTCACTTTTTTGGTTAATTACTAGGTATTTAATTTTATGTGTGGCTATTGTAAATGGAATTACTTTTAAAATTTCTTTTTCACATTTTTCATTGTTGGCATATAGAAATGACACTGATTTATTTATTTTATTTTATTTTTATTATTATTATTTTTGAGACAGAGTCTCACTTACTCACCCAGGCTGGAGTGCAGTGGCGTGATCTCAGCTCACTACAACCTCTGCCTTCCAGGTTCAAGTGATTCTCATGCCTCAAACTCCTGAGTAGCTAGGATTACAGCTGTGCATTACCACACCCAGCTAATTTTTGTTGTTGTTGTTGTTTTGGGAGACAGGGTTTCACCATGTTGGCCAGGCTGGTCTCAAACTCCTCTTGGCCTCAATTGATCCATCTGCCTCAGCCTCCCAAAGTGCTGGGATTATGGGCATGAGCCACCACACCTGGCCTAGGAATGATACTGATTTTTGTATGTTGATTTTGTATCCTGCAACATTACTGATTTCTTAAATCACTTCTAATAGTTTTCTTGTGGAGTCTTTAGGTTTTTCCAAATATAAGATCATATAATCTGCAAACAAGTATAATTTTTTTCTTCTTCCTTTCCAATTTGGAAGCCCTTTATATCATTCTCTTGCCTTACTGCTCAAACTAGGACTTCCAGTACTAGAATGAAATTGGTGACAGTGGGCATCCTTGTCGTCTTCCAAATCTTAGAGGAAAGTCTTTCAGTTTTTCTCCATTCAGTCTGATACTAACTATGGGTCTTCCTATATGGCTTTTATTATGTTGAGAGCTTTTCACAACGGTTGAACTAATTTATACACTCCCACCAACAATGTATTAGCATTCTCTTATAGACTGCTATTTTTTGACTTTTTGATAATAACCATTCTGACTGCTGTGAGATGGCATCTCATTGTGGTTTTGATCTGCATTTTTCTAATGATCAGTGATATTGAACTTTTTTTCATATGATTGTTTGCTGCATGTATGTCTTCTTTTGAGAAGTGTCTGTTCACGTCCTTTGCCCACTTTTTAATGGGGTTGTTTTTCTCTTTTAAATTTGTTTAAGTACCTTATAGATGTTGGATATTAGACCTTTGTTGGATGCATAGGGGATGCATAGGTTGCTAATATTTTCACCCATTCTGTAGGTGTCTGTTTACTCTGTTGATAGCTCCTTTGGTTTTTTTGTTTGTTTGTTTGTTTTTGGTTTTTTTTTTTGAGACAGTCTTGTTCTGTTGCCCAGGGTGGAGTGCCCGGATTCAAGTGATTCTCCTGCCGCAGCCTACCAAGTAGCTAGGACTACAGGAGCGTGCCACCACGCCTGGCTAATTTTTGTATCTTTAGTAGAGATGGGGTTTCACCATGTTGACCAGGCTGGTCTCAAACTCCTGACCTCGAGTGATCTGTCTGCCTCGGCTTCCCAGAGTGCTGGAATTACAGGCATGAGCCACCATGCCCGGCCCTCTGTTAATAGTTTCTTTAGCTGTGCAGAAGCTCTTAAGTTTAATTAGATCTCACTTGTCAATTTTTGCTTTTGTTGTGATTGTTTTTGGTGGCTTTATCATGAAATCTTTGCTCTTTCCTGGGTCCAGGATGGTATTTCCTAGGTTGTCTTCAGGGTTTTTATAGTTTTGGGTTTTACATGTAATTTTTTAATCAATTTTGAGTTGATTTTTGTGTTTGGTGTAAGAAAGGGGTTTAGCTTCAATCTTCTGCATATGGCTAGGCAGTTATCCCAACACCATTATTGATTAGGGAGTCTTTCCCCATTGTTTTTGTTGGCTTTTTCAAAGATCAGATGGTCGTAGATGTGCAGCCTTATTTCTGGGCTCTCAATTCTGTTCCATTGGTCTATGTGCTGGTTTTTGTACAAGTATTGTGCTGTTTTGGTTACTGTAGACATATAGTAGTTTGAAGCTGGGTAGTGTGATGCCTCCAGGTTTGTTCTTTTTGCTTAGGATTGCCTTGCATATTGAGGCTGTCTATGACAAATCCACAACCAACATTATACTGAATGGGCAAAGGCTGGAAGCAGTTCCCTTGAAAACCAGCATAAGATAAGGATGCCTTCTCTCACCACTTCTATTCAACCTAGTACTGGAAGTCCTAGCCAGAGCAATCAGGCAAGAGAAAGAAAAGGCATCCAAATAGGAAGAGAGGAAGTCAAACTCTCTCTGTTTGCAGATGACATGATTCTCTATCTAGAATACCCTATAGTTTTGGCCTGAAAGCTCCTCTAGCTGATAAACAACTTCAGCAAAGTTGCAGGATACAAAATTAATATACAATAGCTTTCCTATGTACCAACAACAGCCAAACTGAGAGCCAAATCAGAAACACAATCCCATTCACAATTGACACAAGAAGAATAACATACCTAAGAATATAGCCAACCAGGGAGGTGAAAGATTTCTACAGTGAGAATTAAAAACAATGCTCAAGTAAATTGGAGAAAACAAAAACAAACAGAAAAACACCCTATGCTTATGGATAGAAAGAATCAAGATCATTAAAATGGTTTTACTGCCCTAAGCAATTGACAGATTTAATGCTATTCCTATCAAACTATTGATGACATTCTTCACAGACCTAGGAAAAACCGTTTTAAAATTCATATGAAACCAAAGTAGAACCCAAAGAGCCTATCCCCAGTTTTCGAGGGTTTTTTTTTTTTTAATCATGAAGGGATGTTGGATCTTATCAAATCCTTTTTCAGCATCTATTGAAATGGTCATATGTTTTTTATTCTTTTATGTCTCTTTGTATTGCATACAAAAGGTAGCACACTATAGAAAATATTTTGTGCTTTTAATTATTTTTTTGCTCATCAATATATGATGGAATATATTCCATATAAATTCATAGAGATCTTCTTTATTCCCTTTTTGCAGCTCCATAGTACTTCATTGTATGAAAGTACAGTAGTCCCCTTTTGTCCACCATTTCTCTTTCTGCAGTTTCAATTACCTGTGGCCAATTGCGGTCTGAAAATAGTAAACGGAACATTCCAGAGATAAACAATTTATAACTTGTAAATTGCCTGCTTTTCTGAGTAGCCATGATGAAATCACTTACCATGTTACTTCATCCAGCTGGAATGTGAATCATGAATCATCTCTTTGTCCAGTGTATTCAAGCTATACATACTACCTGCCTGTCAATCACTTAGTTGCCATCTTGGTTATCCAATCAACTGTTGTAAAAATCTCATCAGGTAGGCATTTTATCATCTGACATCATCACAAGAAGAAGGATGAATATAGTACAATAAGATATTTTACAAGAAAGAGAGAGAGAAATATTTACAAAACTTTTTAATATACTTGTACTAGAGTATGTTGTTATACTTGTTCCATTTTATTATTATTGTTATTAATCTCTTACTGTGCCTAACTTATAAAGTAAACTTTATCTTAAGGGTGTATGTATAAGAAAAAAGCAGTGTACGTAGGCTCCAGTACCATCTGCAGCTTCAAGTGTCCACTGGGGGTCTTGGGATATCATATCCCTCTTAAATGTGGAGGGACTTCTATATTTTATTTTATTTAATCACTCTACTATATTTAAAAATTTAGGTTACTTGAATATGTTTCAGTTACAAACAACAAAGTAAAGACTAACCTCATTCAAATATATTTTTGAGAATATCCCTTTACAATAAATTCCCAGAAGTAGAATTTCAGGGTCACAGGGTAAATGCATGTATTGTTTTGTGAGATATTGTAAAATTCTCCTACAAGTAATTATACCTGTTTACATTCTCACTAGCAATGTATGAGAGTCATATGCCTTATTTTAACCAGAAATCTTGAAAGGTGTTATCTCCTTTATTTATGTTGCTTAAGCAGAGTATTTCTTTAGTGGAGCTGTGGTTATTGCTATAGACTAATGAATATGTCAGAGTATACAAAATCATAAAATAATTAATTAGAACAAAGGAGGAGTCATTTTTCTGGAGTTTATGCCTGTACCATATGCCTACCCTTCCAACTTCTATTTGCTCCATTCATTTATTTTAATTATTATATACTTACATAACACTCACATTGTGCCATCCATGTTATAATTATTTTAGCAGTATTGTCAAATTTAATTCTCAGAAAAAATCCCATGAGGTAGGTAACCTTATTCCACTTTTACTCATGGGGAAACTGAGGCATAGAACTTTGAAGTCAGCTATTAAAGTCCCCACTCCTAATAAGTGGAAATACAGGATTGAAACATAGGAAACCTGTGTTTGCAAACTGTTCGCTTTATCATTGTTCTTTCATTGGCAGTCAAAAGAAATACACAGTGGCAATAGCTGGTGAATGAGTTAAAAAGAACTCAGGTTTCTTGAACTCAGGTTTCTTGCATTATTTATGAGTAGCAGTGCATTGTTCATTGCATTGTGCAAAATTGCGATGAATGAGGTTCTTTCCAGTCAATCTTTGCATATACATCATGTGATATATTACTTCAGATGATTTGTTTCTGATAGTCACTGCATATAACTGTGTTTTATGTTTCTATAGAAGTAATCAAGGGAGGTCAGTCTGTAAAAATATAAAATAGTATTATTTGTTTTCATTCTTACAACTACCATGTAGTTTACTTAACCTGGCAATCCCTTGCATAAGCATCAGATTTCATAAGTGGCAGGCAGGCACTACTTAGTAATAATGAAATGCATGCCTATAACCAGAAATAAGTTAAATAAATAAATGAGAAATCTCAACACATACATGTTAGAACTCAATTAAGAGTGCAAATATTGCATGGAACCCAGATTCGCAGGATTCAGAAGTTCTAATTTATAGAGATTTTAGTGACTGACTCAGCTTTTTCGATTTTTATAAGATTCTTAAAATTTGTTCATCTAGTTTAATCATAGACCTTATCATCTTCAAGCTTTGTAGAAGATATTGAAGAAGATATTCTAAGTTACTTTCATAAGACTTCCCAGCAGATAATGGAAATGGAGCAGAATCCAAGTTTCTTAACTCCTATGTCAGCACTTTTTCTGTAACATTTGCTTAAATTTCCAGTCTACATCTTTATTGCTAGCTCTCTTTGAGTTTGATAGGCAGTGGTAGGTGAAATAGTATAATGGATTTCCATTGATCCTCCATTGTTTCTACTTATACTGTCTCTGTTCAGTCTACTTTTTCTTGCTGTTGTTTTTGTTTAAAAAACTGTTTCTTGAGATTATTGTAGATTTACATAGTGCTCTAAAATAAATACAGAGAGATCCATGTGGCCTCTCTGTACAGAATATATATATATCTCACAAGGATCCCTTATGTTGGCCTTTTATAGCCATATCCACTACCATTGCTACCCTGACACCCTGATTGCATCCCGTGGCAATGACTAATCAATCTCTTCTCCATTTGTATAATTTTGTCATTTAACTGGTTATAGTAATAAAAACATATGTTATGTAACTTTTTAGGGTTGACTTTGTTCACTCAGCATAATCCCCTCAAGATTTATCCAAATTGTGTGTATTAGAAAAATAAGGATGTGAGGCAACAAATATGTTAATTAAGTTGATTTAGTCATCCCACAATGTGTACATATATTAAAACAGCACATTGTACATCATAAATATATGCAATTTTTCTTTTGCCAATTAAAACACGTTTTAAAGGTAAAAGTTACATAAGATTAAAAGAAATATATTCTTGTTTCTCCCAAGCAAAACAACAAAGGAAAATACATTTTTAATGAAAAAAATTGTGTTTCTTGTATTTTATTCATTTTTAATTGTTGAGTAGTAGTCCATGTTATTGATTGAGCACAGTTTGTTTAACCATTCACCCACTGAAGGACAGATGGGATTATTCACTTTTGGGATATTATTAATAAAGCTGGTTTGAACATTCATATACAGGTTTTTGTGTGAACATCAGTTGTTATTCTCTGGTTTAAATGTGCAAGAGTGCAATTTCGGGGTTGCAAGGGAATTGCATGTTAAATTTCAGAAGTTTCCAGAGTGGCTATATTATTTTAGATGAGATTGGGTGCATTCAGGGTGGTATGGCCGTAGACAAGGGTGGCTATATTATTTTAAATTCACATCAGCAGTGCATGAGTGATCCAATATCTTCATATCCTTGCCAGTATTTGGTGTTGTCACATTTTTTTCTTATTTTAGTCATTCTGATAGATATATAGCAATATTTCATTGTGATTTTAGTTTTCATGTCCCTGATGCCTAATGAAGTTGAATGCATCTATATGTGTTTATTTTCTATTTGTGTATCCTCTTTGGTAAAATATATGTTCATGTCTTTCCCTCATTTTCTAGATGGAAAGTTTTAAATTGCTGAGTATCTAAAGTTCTTTATATATTCTAACACCAGTTCTTTGTCAGATAGAGGGTGTGTGAATATTTTCTCAGAATTTGTATCTTGACTTTTCATCCTTTCAACATGAGCTTTGGCAGAGAAAACATTTTTAATTTTGATAAGATCTACTTATCAATGTTTTCATTTATTGATCCTGATTTCAGTGTTAAGTCTAATAACTTTTTATCCCTGGATTATGAAGATGTTCTTCTATGTTTTTGCTAAAACATGTATAGCTTTTAGTTTGACACCTAAGTTCATGACACATTTTGAGTCCATTTTTGTATGAAGTGAGAGGTTTAGGTTGAGTTACATTTTCTTAATTATGGTTGTCCATTTGCTCTAGGTTGAGCTACATTTTCTTAACTCTGGTTACCCATCTGTCCATATTTGGGTGTCTACTTCTGAGTTTTCTACTATGTTGCATTGATGTATAAGTCTATATTTCCACCAATACCACACTGTCTTGACTCTCATAGCTATATACAGTAGCAGGCCTTACTATCGGATAGAGTAATAATTAATACTTTATTCTTCTTTTTCAAAATATTTTAGCTATTCTGGCTAGCTTGTGCCTTTCCAAGTAAATTTTAAAATAAGCTTGTCTTTGTGTCCAAAAACCCTTCCTTGAATTTTGGTAGAAATTAATTAAAACTATAAATCAATTTGGGGAAAATTGATAGGTTCTATGTTGAGTCTTACAGTCTATGAATGTAGTATGTCTCTCCATTTATTTAAATCTTGATGCATAAATATTTATCATTGCAAGCAAGAGTGAACACAGTAGGTTTAAGTTCTGATTATCCTTAAAATTAAAATCTGTAACCATCTGTGTTCCCTAATTATTAGGTGAACTTCAAATGACTTTTATTATTCTTGAAAGAAGAGTGCACAATAGAAAATATGCTTAAATTAATTTTACCGTTTCTATTTTGAAGGAAGAGGAAACTGAGCTTAGGTCTTAGGACACAAAATTGTTAATGAACTCAGTATGTATATTAATGGACTCAGTGCATAGAAGTTATATGTCAGTGTTAATTTTGTATAATTTGAATTACAATCTTTTATATTTGTATGTAATCTAATTCATGATTACCCATATGGCTCTATTATTATAAACTAATTGAAAATTAAACATTTCTGCTCTTGGATATGAATATTTTAGGACTTTGGTTTTACTGTAACAATTTTAGAAATAACATCCTAATAATTTAAATATGCATTCTACTGATTGTGTGTCATTTTATTAAATGGGTGGATGCCATTTTATTTATACTTTTGATTTTTAGAAACAAGCTTCTCAATGACATATGTCAGCCTTTTGGAAATTATATGATAATTATGTATCTCTTTTTTTTTTTAAAGAGGCGTCTAGAGGTTTTCACAACTATCATACCTTGAAGAGAACCTAAGTTCTGTTATGAACATTGGGAGTAGATAACCAGTATTTATATGTAAAAATAGTATACTATTATGCTGTAAATCAATTTTCTGGATTGTACTCAGTTTTAAAGGGAAAATGGCTATTGTAAACTTATAAAAATTCTCTCAGTTAGCTGTTGGTATTATAAACTTGCAACAACGATAATTTCAGCTCATAATTTAGTTAATTATATGTATTATAAAGATTCCAAATTTATATTTTACCTTTATGCTACAAAATTCCATGGCAATTTTATCAATTTAAAATGTATTTTAGTGACTACTCAAATTCAGCTATCTCTAAGGTGCAGTTGCATAATAATATAATAGATAGCCAAGAAAATTATAAAACAGCTTAGGACGGAAACTGAACAATGAAGATCATATACAGTTGAAGCCATGACCAGAATTAGGGAACAAATAATGTAATTTTCAAAGTTAGCACTTTTCTAGGATATGAATTTCAGAAATATTTCTATAAAAATATAGTTTCAAATTAGAATCTAAAAATGAAACTCTAGATTTTTTCTGTTTTATACTTGACATGGAGAAAAAAATGAAAATTTGACCCAAAAGCAGCCTAGATATCAGTTGAAATGCTATTATTCCTGTAACTGCCAATAATTACTATGCATTTTCACCAGTGCCTGTCCTACCGTTGCTGTGCTTTGATTTTTCAAGCGCTTTGTTCACTGGCTATTACCCATCTTGGATCAGTGGTGGGCACCTCAGTCAGCAGCAGCCAGCCCATAGCTGGCCAGGCATGCTTAGAAAACCAGGCCTGTCCCTGGAATTGAGTTAGCCTTGGGAAGTGAACCTGCAAGTCCTTAAAGTAGATTTAGGTTAGAAAGGTCGGGGTAGCCATGGGCAAACTAAAGTTATGAGGAAAGAGAAGATACTAAAAAGTCAGAGAAAATGCAAAGTAGACAGAACTGGGAATGATTTGTGATCCAACTAGGCGAGAAGAGGCTTCTCAAGAAGTAGATGGTGCTGTGTGTCACCATGGTTGGCAGTAAGCTTTGAGTTTTGCTACATGTAGCCTTACTGTGACCTCCTTTTTACATTAAATATCAATGACTCATCCCTGAAGTGAAACACCCTATTTAACACAAGAGAACAACAAGCTTCCTGCTCATTCTTGTTTTTTTCTCTTATGAACATTATTCTCCTCAGTAGACTTATGCATATATACAAAGACTATATTTCTCCTTATTAGAGATCTAAAACAAACTGAAATTCATTTAAATCTACACTCAGATTTCAGCATCTCTAGGAAATGTATTCTCAGTATCAGTGGATTTGGGGTGTTTCAATTGTTGTTCATAAATTGGTGCCAGATTTCTTGCACAAGCCCATTTTAAGATCTTTCAAACTCTCAGAACCTCACTTAATGAAGCAGTATGAATTTGCCGCTGGTTGTACAGCTGTTGGCCTGCTTATTTAGATCAACCTGAAAAGACAGTCTATAATACACTCAATTAGCAGTAACTAATGATTATTTGAGTAGTCACTGATTGGTACCTGACTAATGTGCACCCAGTTAAAGCCTAATGAGCAATGACAAGAGAATTCCTCAACAATTTATAAAGTCAGTAGACACCATTTATACTGTACTGACTTTTGAGCATTTGCTCGGTTAAGGCGTCTTAATATTTTAGTTTTCCCCTTGCTTCAGTATTGCAATAGTTTACTTAATCCTGCTCTACTTTCTGTTTATACTTTTTAAGATAATAAAATAATTTGAAATTGTTAGAATGTACATGAAAAAGATGTTAATCCTAAAGACCAAATGCAGGATAAAACTTTTTTCATGTTTTTTTTTTTTTTTTTTCTGAGTAGTGAACTCTGTTTAATTAATTCTCTTGTGCCATTGTCCCTAGACAGTGTGCTAGGGATCATTTCTAATGTTCTGCTGAATTCCTATCAGGGTATACATTTTATTTTTCTGTAACTGAATATAAATGCTATATCAGCAAATTCTGTTAGGTTTCATGTGGGGAAAAAAGGTGAGAAACACAGTCATGGCATTCAGGAGCCAATAAAGATGGAAACTTACTCAGTCATTAGTGAACATTCCCTTCAGTGTAAGAAAATAGTCCCACTCCTATGCCAGTTACTTCAGAAAATGGCCAACAAACATAAGAAGATGATCAACCTTATAAGTAAACAGTGAAATGCGTATTAAACTAATGTCAATTATCAGTAAACACTACCAGAATGGCTAAAATTAAAAATTAAAAGACAGTATCTTCTGGAACACTCATGTACTGATGGTGGGAGTATAACCGATACAACCACTTTGGAAACAGTTGGACGTTGTCTACAGAAGTTGAATATATGTGTACTATAACCTAGCAATTCTGCCTTAGTTATATACCCAAGAGAGAATTCTTGCACACATGCATAGAGATATTGACAAGAATATAACATCTTTTGTAATATTCAAAATCTGGAAAAAAATCAAAATATCATCAACATAAATACTTTATGAAGTATTCATATAAGGGTAAACTATACATCAACAAATCATAGCTCTGTACAAAAGCATGGATTAGCTTTTTAGAGAAATGATATTTTTTCTATTAATATTTTCAAGAGCTAATATTTGCATAGTACTTTCCATGCACTATGTGCTTTTCTATATATTGAATATTGTTAAATTGTTTAATTTTTTTACAATTCTATCAAGTATGTGGTTTTAAAATCTCTGTTTTACATGTGGGAAATTGAAGCATAGATATTTTAACCTTTTCTAGGTCACAGAGCTTTTTAATGTAAGAAAATATGTAAAATGGAACAGATTGGTAATGGAACTTCCGTTACCAATACTCAACCTATGAAACAGTACATTAGACAGTTTGGACTTTGGCTGAAATGAGCTGAAATGCATTCCAATTGGATAATATTTTAATCTTCATATAACGTGGAAGCATATGTAAAATAGAAATGCATGATATTACGCAGTATATGAAGTGTGGCATCGCTGATCAATGTGAGTTTTTGAGAAATTCCAAAAGTCTTGACAAATTATTTGTTCTAGAAAACTAGAATCTACTTTGTGATTACATATTTTTAACATAATATAAGCTACAATTAAGTTCCACTAAAACTTCAATTATCATGTCACAATACACATAATACAAATTGACATAAACCACTTATTCATAACATATAAAATTTCAAATTAATAAAATTTCCAATTATTTGGCACTGAAAAATTCAGTCAACTCTTAGTAAAGCTATTGATCCAAAACTAAATTATAATATTAAGGAGTCTCATCATTAAGTCTTCCTGCTTAGTGTGTTAGGAAAACAACTCCAAAAAACCTGTAATTAGTAGATAAGGTTCCACACTTTTAAGGATAACAACATTAAAATTTGTGAGACTAGGCAAGTTATTTGTAGTGGGGACAGACAAAAAAAAGAGTAAGCAGAGAAAAGGTATAGATGAACGTCACTGGAAATTATAAATAAAGGAGAATTACCTGACATACATAGATTTCAAAAATAGCCATTTTCATCCTAACATAAATTATTATAACAAATCTTTTTTGTTACTAAGAAAAACCTTAATAACTAATTTTTCAATTAATAAATTTCATTGGAAGTACAATTTACAGTTTTGTCCTTTTTCAATGAGCCTTTATTGTTTCATGTTCACCATGAAAAAGCAGTATATATATTTTTATTTCCTAACTTAATTATAGTTTGGAAAGGTAAAAACAGAATCCATACCAAGTCTGTCTCTGAAGCTTTCTGTAGTAGCATTGAACAAGTTAAACTTCTTTTAAATAAAAAGGCATATTTTTTCTGATAGATGGAATGAGTGATAGTGATCAGAAACAGAATCATGACCAAGCTAATTGCACTGTTCACTAGATTTCCGATCTCTCCCAAAGTACACTCTTCCATGTTGAATACAGACTGTATTATTACATGCAGTAGGTCTTTCTGGCTAGTATTACAGCATTGGACTTTTTAAATTTCCAATCCCTTTTCCTTTTTAAAAAATGTCATCTAAAATTCTTCATTTTGAAGTCTAATTTATTTCTCATAGTTCAGGTTCACACTACTACAATGATTCATTATTTTTTTTCTTCTGGTTTCTTTGAGTTATTAAGACTTGATCAGAAAATTTTATACTTCCAAAATATGTTAGACCTTTCATGAAATAAATATCACAAATTTCATAGGAGTGTTTGACTTAAAAGCTCAAAAGCCATTCATTTCTTATAATCACTTTTATGCACTTTTTAAGGCTAATATTTAACTCTGGGCTGAATATAAAATGCTCAACGTGCAAATGCCTTGAACAGGTTAATATCTGCTTTTGAACTCGTAGTGTAAGTATTGATAAATTAACACTAATGGTTTTCATTTGGTCATTGAATCCATTTTCATAGTCTGGAGTAATGGTGTTGCAAGCGTCTAAAATGACTATTACTCAGTCTTTTAAATGAGGTAAACTATCCCCACCATTCTGTGATGTGACTTCCCATGTCTTTCTAATCTTGCTTCCCAAATTGTTTCCGCAAAAGCTTCCATGCTTTCTTTATCTCATCTCTAAACAGTTTTCTCCAAGATTTCAATATTTTTCCCTCTTCTTAGTGTATATGTATATCTCTGCCTCCATGACAATTTACCTGTCTCTGTGTTTCCATTTCCTTGTGGGATAAAGTGAAACTAAGATGCCAGGGAACAAATTGGGACTAAAATGCTTATGATTATTTTACGATAGCTCAATACAACTTACAAGACGTTAGGTAAGCTTACACATATGCTTTTGTCTTTGTCTTCTTAACATCATTTATTTTCCTTTCCTCTCTTCTCCATTTCCCCATTTATGAATCAGATATTCTGCATTTTGTTTCCTTCTTCCGATGTACCTTGGTTTTGACTTCAAGCTTCTGCACAAAAGCTTGAAGTCAAAACCAAGGTACACTGGAAGAAGGAATGTACCTTGAGCTCTTCCTTCTCTGACCTTCCATCTCTACCTGCAAAGATGTCAGCTTAGATGCTGCTGTAGGCATAAAACTGGATTCAACCGTCCAAGTCTGAGCTGAAGAAAAGTTTTTTTGTTTTTTGTTCTTAATAGGCTAATGTATCCTCTGGAATTTTCAAGCCAGGAAGAATATTGTCAAACTAAATGAAAAGATAGTGGTATGTCAAGAGCTGAGTTATGGCTACCTGTTCCACTACTTCTATCTTAAATAAGATAAATGACCACAATCTATGTGACCTTCATCTCCTGGACTACAGTTTCTTCATCATAAAATTAGAGGTTTTGACTATGAGGCCGCTGAGGACCTTTCCAGTTCTAACATGATGGTTTTATAATTTTCGAGATATTATAGCAAATTATTACTTTTTTATATTTTTCTTTATGTCTTATGTATATTCCAGAGAGCTTCACGGTTTTATTATTTAATCATCTAAAGAGGCTTTAATAATGCAGTTAAATTGAATATTTGGTTTCTCTGCTTAAAAATAAATATAGCAATAATATTTAACATTTATTGAGGCGTATGATTCCTGACATTTTATATGTGTTATTTCACATTGACTTTTGTTCACCTTTCTAAAGTAGGAACAATAAAAAGTTCACATGAATGTTTTTGGTATTTCTGCACAAGATCAGAGGCAAGCTCATTATGGCATTGTCAGTAAATCGATAGTGCTGAAGGCAGCAGACACGAAGGGTGAAGGACTTACCACAGGGTCACTATACACAGAGACTGGATATTAGTAAAAAGATGATATTCTTCTGAATAATCTCAACTTAGTAATGCTTGATGATGTTTTATTTTAATGATTATAATGATTAATTTATTGATATCTTAAAATAGACACTGATAAATGCGCTTGTGTTCAGAGCAAAATTATTGATCAGAGAAATGGTGAAAATCATAGTCATAGGGCTATTTATTTTTTAAAATAAAATTAGGAATGTACCTCTCCAAAAAAGGAATAACAATAACAGCAACAAAAATATGGCAGAGATTAATTTTCAATTCCTATCTTTAAGCTGTGCTTTGCAAGCTCAAATGCTTACAGTTTGCTGGGCCACTTGTCCAAGGTCACGCAATATGTTAGTGTAAAGCTTGATCTAGCTAGGTTATTAAAATATGAAGTATTTAATGTTAAAATATACCTGAATATTTATGCCATATAATATTATGAATATCATGCTATGTATTCAATACTCTTTTGGAATAAAATAAAATTTAAATGAATGGAACATGTATTTTTAGATACGTGTTTACAAAGATGTTATATGTGTTTATATATACTTATTAATTTAGCAATATTTAAAGTCTTTAACAATTTTGTTGGTATATACATTCATTTATCCATGCATTCATAGATCTATTCATACATCTATTTAACAAATATGTAATGATTATTATGTTTCTTTTTTTTTTGAGGTGGAATCTCACTCTGTCACCCAGGCTGAAGTGCAGTGACCGCAATCTGAGCTCACTGCAACCTCCACCACCTGGGTTCAAGTGATTCTCCTCTTTCAGCCTCCGAAATAGCTGAGATTACAGGTGCGCACCACCATGCCCAGCTAATTTTTTGTGTTTTTGGTAGAGATGGGGTTGCACCATATTGGCCAGGCTGGTCTGGAACTCCTGAGCTCAACTGATCCACTTGCCTCAGCCTCCCAAAGTGCTATGATTACTATGTTTCTGACATGCGAAGTGGCAAATATATGACATATGTTAAGATCTCAGGAAACCAGAATTTTAGAGTAATAACATTTCCATTTTCTCACTCTTCAGAAACACTTATTTTTTTTTTAGTGGCATCTTGCCCTCAGAACTCCACTCAGGAAAGTAATACAAGTATAATTATTTTTATTTTATATATGAAGATGCAATCATGGAATGGATTTGAAGACTTAATCCAAATTACAGAGCAAGATAACACCAATACCAGGAATTAAACCCATATATTTTCACTCAATCTTGGCAACACTTCTATGGATTATTAATGTAATAAGAATAAGGTTTACAATTATTAAACTATTTCAACCCCGTACGTGTGTTGAATGGCAGTCATCAAAAATAATGGTCTTATAGTACAGCAGTTTTATATAGAAGAGATATATATATATATATATATAGTAAAGCAGTTTTATATAGAATCACACATTTGAATAACAATCCAAACCAGAAACTTTTCCTATGTTTTTCTGTTTCACATTCACCAGACAGGAATAACAATAGGTGAGACTTCAGTACTCCATCAAGAAAAGCTCCCTTTTAGCAAGACCTCACATGAACTTTGGAAGTGCATCATGGCAGAATAAAATATTGGCATACATCGTTCACATGAGCTGGTAATTTTAAATAAAATTCAGAAAATAATTCAATTGAAGAATAAGAAGCTGTTCCAATTTAATGACAAGGCAAGAAAATAGCCTGAAATGGCAAGATGAGTGATATGTGAATAAAGCATTAAAGTATATATTATAAATTAACATTGAAGTTTTCTCTTCATCTATATGGCATAATTGTAATCAAATTCATTCCACTAGTCCTCATATTGGTTTAATTAGGCTTAGTTTAACACATTGGAAAATGCATGAGATAGTTACAGAGGAGAGCTCTCTATCAGAACTTTTTCAAATGATGGAAATGTTCTATATATGTAGTCTCTCCAATACAGTAATCATTAACCACACAATATTATAAAGCACTTGAAAAGTGGCTGTTGTGACTAAGGAACTGAATATTTTATTTTATTACAATTGATATAGATTTAAATAGTCACATGTGGCTAATGACAACTGTGTTAATCATTTTTGGTCTACAGGCTTTGGCATCTGTTTCTGAACTATGTGGTATAAATGCTCATTTCATGTAACTGAGTACACAACAGAATCTGAGGCTTGAATGATTCTAAGAGATGATTTACTTCATTCACTTTCAGACTTTGACAGTGACTCCCAGTAAGAAATTAAGTTAAATTTGAGACATTATACACACATATGCATGTATACACTCAAAAGTTTCATGAAGACAACTATTGTCTGTAGTGAGCTGCACACTGATTTTTTAATTCTACTACATTTTAAAAAGTAGTTATCTGAATTTCCAAAAAGATTGCTGAGCTTTGCTGTATGTATTGTCATTTTGCAGATAAAGGAGTTGTGTCTCAGAAAGGTGGGATGACCCTCCAATTACAGCAGGAATGTCAGACATAAAGCCATTGTTCTGCATTTAACATATCACCTTAAAAATAAACACTTGACTTTCCTTTGTCTTCAATTTAGAAATATATACTGATAACTTTAAATAAGCCACTGAATATGCCTTCTGTATTAATCTCCGTCCTCCATGAAGCATGTTTATGGACCAAATGCATTTTTCTTTAGAAAAATTTAAAACGTATGAAGTTTATGCACTACTCTACAAGTTTCCCTTTTGCTGTTTACCAAGTGGAAGACTAAACATGGGATTGCCACTTGGATTGCTATTTTGTATTACAAACTTTGTCTAGGAAAGCCCTTGAGGGACAAAACCTCAGCACATCTGAAATTTTTGACAAATGAGATTCTAATTTCCACTGAAAATTTGAGTCACCTACAATTCACTATTTCCCTATGAAATTGAAACTGGAGCCAATGATTAAAATATATCTCACTCTCTTTTATGTATCCCAAAGATGCTAAAGAAAGAATAAACACTATCAAATAAACAATGACACAGTGGTTTATCACTTAGAGTTTCATACTTATCGGAAGAGCTGTGTTAGACTGCTTTATTCAGTTTTTAAAATTATACTCCATTTTTATTTAAAAATAAAGGAATATATGAAGGAATTCCCAAAACTTCGTAAAGAAAGTTAGGATCTGACATTTTAGAATAACATTTGACTCAGTGTCATAGATATGGATTTAAAAATAACATTACCACCAGCTGGGTGCGGTGGCTCACACCTGTAATCTCAGCATTTTGGGAGGCAGAGGTGGGCAGATCACTTGAGGTTAGGAGTTTGAGACCAGCCTGGCCAACATGCTGAAACTCTGTCTCTACTAAAAATACAGAAATTAGCCAGGCATGGTGGCAAGAACCTGTAATCCTAGCTACTTGAGAGGCTGAGGCTGAAGAATCGCTTGAACCCTGGAGATGGAGGTTACAGTGGGCCGAGATGGCGCCACTGCACTGCAGCCTGGGCGACAGAGAGAGAATCATCTCTAAATAAATAAATAAATAAATAAATAAATCACCACCACCACCACCACCACCACCACTTTGTTACTATGTGCTATTACAAACATTGATATGAACCAAACATGAAAAAGTGCTTATATCTGCTTAATTTTCTTCACAGCTACTGTGTGGTTTTTGTTGTTTGCACCTTCTTGATCTTACCAGACAGTGTCAATGGGAGATTTTCATATGACAACCAGGATTCATGGTTTTTCTTCAATAAATCAATAAATGATTTGTTACTTAAAATGTATAAGGATAGTCTTTGTCCATTCATGCCACTGGAAATAAGAAACAAGTTTGTTTATGTACAGTGATACCTGCACCATGGCTGCTAACTGGTTGATAGCAACAGTGAGGGACCAGCAATTTTAGGATGTATCCTGATTATAGGCATGTTAAATGTTTTAAAAATGCAAATCTCAGTAATAATTGATAAGGTACACTTGCAGTTTGTAAATTTGGTGGACAAATATTAAGAAAAAACAGGTAATGCACCCAGTCTCAAAGTATTTCCCTAAAAGATGTTTATTAATCACAGAGGAAAAAAATCTTTACAGTGGGAAACCCTGTAGATACTTCTCTGAGTAAACACTGTCAATATTACCATTGGTAAGACAGTGACATCATGAACTTCTTGATATAATGGAATGAGAAGAATCTCATCATGAAAACAAATGAGAAAATTTGAATTGAGGAACATTCTACCAAGAGGAAGTACTCTTCAAAAGTGTCATGGTCATGAAAGATAAAATAAGAGCAGAGAACTGTCATAGGTTGGAGGAAACTAAGAATAAAAAGCAATTAAATATAAAATTGGACTCTGGAGAGAATCATGGAACCGAAATATGACATTACTAGACAACAGGTGAAATTTGAATTAACTTTAGGGAAATCCGGATGAGGGGTATATAGGTACTGTTATTTTTCCAACTTTTCTATACGTCTACAATTAGCTTAAAATTAAAAGTATGCATTGTGGAATTGATGAATTACATAATTGGGGCCAGTGTTTCAGTGGAGAGGCATTTTTGAACATTCAGAAATTTTTTCTGATAAAATAATACTTTTCTTAGGAAAATGGCAAATATCTTTAGAAATATGTTACAGCTTAAAGTATTATTATATATGTTTAGACTTGGCAATCCTAAAATAGGACTCAATTCAATACATAAGAATTTATACTATCATTCTATAGAACACCCAGCAATCTTTCACTTTTTTTCCTGAAAGATAACACATTTAAGCTTTTTCTTCTAACACCAGCTAGTACCAAATTTTAACTTTTATAAGTTGCTACACATTATTGTAGCAACTGGTGCAAAGGAATTTCTAAACTAGTCTAATGATTAGAAATACACTTCAGAAGATCTGTGAAATGAGCGTGGAATGTCTTCCAATATGTTTTTCAGAAAAAAAAAAACTGAAAGCTTCTTTTAAATATGATTTATATCTTCTAAATGGCATATTCTTTGAGAATAACTGAGGCAGAAACTTGCTCGAAAAGAGAGGAGAGTCTTGCTGCTTGCCCCAATCCACTTGCTGGTTTGTTTATAAACATATCAGGTGGCTTGAAGAATCCACTAGCTTCTTACATTTCTCTTCAAAGTGATGCATTTTCTTGGCTTTTAATGTATTAAAGTAAATAAGTTAAAGAGATGTCAGGTTTACAGTCTTTATGTAAAAATCTATCACTGTTTTTCTCATCCTCTATCAAACAAGAAGTATTCATTCTAAGTATGACTAATCAAATAATGGGTTTCTGGGGATTACATAGTGAATTTTATAATTGTAGGGCCAGAGATTATAAAGACTGAAGAGTTCTCTGCTACCCATTTTCAAGATTGATTTTGGCATTACTTTTCTGAGCATCTAATAAGAATAATTAGCATAACTATACTTACTGTGCACCAGCATCAATTATTATGCTGCATTATTTAATTTAATATCTGTTAGGCAGATAACATTATTACTACAATATTAGAGGTTATAAAATTTGTGTTTGTAAATATTAAGCAATTTACCTAAGGTCACTCAGGCAGGTTTTAAACCTAGGAAATCTAGTTTCAGGGCCCACAACCTTAATCCCTGCACCACACTATAAGCAGGAGTTTGGCGTTCAAAGATGGATAAAACTGTAGTGTAGCCTTTAAGGAGTTCAGAGATGAAAGGTTAAATCCTCTTGTTTACTTAAACAAGACAAGTATTGTGGAAGCAATGAAGCTTGAGTGCCTCCAGTTAGCCATGAAATTAACTAGAATTTGCATTTCTTCCCAGGCCATGCTATGACCATCATGCTGTGTATACAGCTATTACTGTGTAGCAAACTACCTAAAAAAAAAATTCATCTTCACTTAGTAAATGTTTATGATTACTAGAAATCTGTGGTTTTTCTGAGAAGTGCTTGAGCTTTGAACCAAGCTTGGCTAATCTGAGCTGGCTCACTTATCCATCTAAGTTCTGATAGCCTTGCTGGAGTCTGGGTTGCCTTAAGCCCATGTCTACCTATTGAATAGCTGTCAGCTGGGGCAGAGAGAGTAATTAGGCCTCATGCCTTTCATCATCTAGCAAGCTAAATTGGCCTTGCTCACATGATGTTCCAGAACTCTAAGTAAGAATGCGAGACCTCTTGGGATTAAGGTTCAAAATAGGCAAACCATCATTTCTACCACATTTTATTGGCCAAAGCAAGTAACAAGGGTAGCCTAGATTCAAAGTGAGGATAAATACATTCTACCTTTTGATGGGAGTAGCAGGAAAATCACATTTCAAAGGATAACTGAAGAACTAGAGATATATTTGTAATCAGTTTCTCTCTCTCTCTCTGTCTCTCTCTGTGTCTCTCTCTCTCTCTCTCACCCCCCCCCACACACTACCCACTTAGATAATGTGTCTGTCTTCTACATGGATAGTTTTATGACCTCATCACCTGAATGAAACCCTCCTTCCTGAACTGCACAATATTCCACCTTTTTACTTTTCATCTGTCCACACATATTCTATATATTTTATATGAGAATCCTCTAATATTGATCTGCTTTTTGGACAGGAATAAAAGAATTCAATTTGCAGTTGTAACTTTTATGTTACTGTGAGAGCTAGAAGGTAGACCCTGGAGTATGATTGTTTTCTACCATAGTCTCCAATGTTCTGTGTAGAAATTTTGTGAGTTTGATGATAGTGAGAAGGCCTTTCTGGGTATTTAAGATACACTACAGTCCAGGAATACAGGTCATACTTTCTGTAAGCCTGCTTTAGCATAGCCTATTTGCCTGAATTATCAGGAAAGTTTGGTATCACCTACTTTCCACTGGCTTAATCTCATCTTGAAAGTGGACAAGGTTGATCTGCCTCTACTCCATCTGCTAAGTGCACTGTATTAGTTACTTTATACACAATGCTTTGTGTAATTGCCAATAATTACCATGATTTAGCTACTATTTCCACCTTATGGATGGAAAAGTAAAGTTTAGGGCAGTTAAGTAATTGTCTTGAACACAGTTAATTTTTAAGCAGAGTTTGAACTCAAATCTATTTGACATAAAAGCTTATTTCCTAAGAATGAAGTGGTACTGCGGAAACCTTGGAACAATCAATTAGACTAATTTACAGCTCTGTTTAAGAAAAACAAATATATAAACTCATATCTGGCCTGGTGTGGTGGCTCATGCCTGTAATCGCAGCTCTCTGGGAGGCCAAGGTGAGCTGATCACTTGGGGTCAGTAGTTCAAGACCAGCCTGGCCAACATGGTGAAATCTCTTCTCTACTAAAAATACAAAAATTTGCTGAGTGTGGTGGCGTGTGCCTGTAGCCCCAGGTACTCAGGTGGCTGAGGCAGGACAGTCACTTGAACCTGAAAGATGGAGGTTTCAGTGAGCCAAGATTCTGCCATTGCACTCCAGCCTGAGCAACAATGCGAGACTCTGTCTCAAATAAATAATTAAAACAATAGAAACTTTTAAAAAAGTCATATCTGCCTCACAGATTCAAAGGTTATAATTTATGATTGAAGACAATTCATTATTTAATGCTAGAACATAATTTTTTAATATTCTGAATAAAATCTCGGCCTCAACTTTCTGATGCAGTAAGTTGACCTGTTACTTAACCTAGTTATTTTTGCCTCATTTTATTTATCCTGTGTTGTTATAATAACTATATTTTTTTACCCATTTTCTATATTCTACATTTTCTCCTTACACACTAATCACTGATTTATAACACTGGTTAAAATGTGAAATAACATTTCACCTTTGTGGAGAAATCTCACATCCTGAGCATTCATATCCTTGAAACATATCATTCTTGTTTTGTTTGTTTGTAGTTGTTATTTTATTTAGTTTAAATATATTTATCCTAAGTAATGGAATTTATTTTGGTCATATCATTCAGATATATGGACTGGCAATGATTTGGTTGATTTATTATAGAATGAGGAATTTAGCTCATAGAGGTTGTTAAGGTAAAAGTAGATACCTGTAACAGCTATGTTGATCAGAACAATGAAAAATGTAATGGAATTTTAAAATTAAGTATCTCCTCTGATTACAAAACTATTCCATACTGATTATGGAATTAGTGAAGATTAAACAAAGAAGGAAGAATACAAATAAATTCCAGGAATTCAACATCTAGAAGTAATTCATAATATTTTTGGATATTTTCTTCCGCTATTTCTGTACAATTTTTTTTAATTGCATAGTTGACAAAAATATAAATATCTATACTGTTTTTTCTACATATAATATAGCATAAATGTTTTCAGTATAATTAAGTTAAAGAGTAAAAAATTAAAGACATGAAATGAGGCACACACATAGTATTAAGTTCATCATTAGAATGAAAATTGTATGAACTTCATTTATTTAATTATTTACCAAAGGATCATTTATAAAAAGCCTGCTTTTTAGGCATTAGGACAAATGTGGAAACTTGATTTCTATCCTTTAAGCAACTCATCATGGTCAAATTACAATGTCATGTAATCCCAGCCCTTTAGAAGGCTGAGGAGGGAGGATTGCTTGAGCTCAGGAGTTTGAGACTGGGCAATATTTCAAGACCTCATATCTACTGAAAATCAAAATGATTAGCTGGACATGGTGGTGTGCGCCTGTAGTCCCAGTTACTTAGGAATCTGAGGTGGGAGGTTCACTTGAGTGCAGGAGATTGAGACTGTAGTGTGGTTGATCATGCCACTGCACTCCAGACTGGGAGACAAATCAAGACCTTGTCTCCAAAAAAAAGAAAAGAAAAAAGAAAAGCAATAATATAAATTTCTGCACAATGGAACAGTATTCACTCATAAAAAAGAGTAAAATCCTGTCATATGCAACAACATGGATTAACCTGGGAGACATTTTGTTAATTGAAATAAGCCAGGCACAGAAAAATAAATACCACATGATGCCTCTCAGATGTGGAATCCAAACAAGTTAATCACATAGAATGGTGTTTACCACGGGCAGGGGTGGTTAAGGGTAGAGGGGGGAGATGTTGATCAAAGGATACCAAATTTCAGCTAGACACGAGGAATATGTTTAAGAGATCTGTTACACAACATGGTGACTATGGTTAATAATATATTGTGTTCTTGAAAATGCTGCGTGACTGTAAAGTGTTCTCATCACAGCAATGGTAACTGTGAGGTAAAGCATATATTCACTAACCTGATTTTGTCATTTCACTTCAAAACATCATACAGTATAGAGTGAATACATACAATTTTACCTCTAAATGAAAAAAAATGAATCTCAAAAAGTCATAGAAGTATCTGCAGGGCTCTTGGATAACACAGAGATTAGAATATTGTCTTGGAAATCAGCTATTATTAAACAATAGATGTAACTTGGGAACCTCATCAATCGTGACTTTTTGTATGTATTATTTTGTTTGATAAACAAATACATTATAAACATAAGTTCTCACTGTAATACTTAAAAAAAAGGCCAAATGTTTCATTAAAGACTCAGAGGTTTTAATATTTTACTATTTGCAAAGAAAAGCTATAACATGCACTGACCTAGATGTGATACTTTGCAGTGTTTACGGGGTTCATCTCATTATATATTTTGCTTCTATTCTCAGTAATCAGGGGTTTCCAACTTATTCCTTGTTTTTTTTTTCTGTTTTTTTCTCCTCCTTTTTATAAAGCTGAGTTCCCACAGATGTTTGAAAAACAGATTGCAATCTGTGAAAGGAACATTTTCTCATCCATCAGTGCAGATACTGTGAATGGGCCATCAGGGAATTGTAGTTTGTGTTCTTTTAATACAGGGACTGTTCTGTTTTTTTCTTTTTTGATAAACAATATAAGCCATCGTATGGTTTTAGTAAGGGAAGAGGTCATCTTTTTGGTAAACAGACAGGTTTAATACAGCTAAAGGCAGCAATAAAGTGTTAGAAATGAGGACTTTCAACAAAGTTGAACTGACGTATTCCAGATTGAAACACACATTTTGTCAAAGTGGATTTACTGTTCAGCATACATCTCAGCAAATTCACACAACAGTAGTAGGAAAATTATCACAATGTCACCATGTATTTCTCACTGGGTTAGGGGTTATGTCATTATGCAGGAGACACATTTCAATATCACTCTGCCTTCTCCATCGCTCTCTGATTTTCCCTCCTACTCTAATCTGGGACCAGATAGTTAAAATAGGTCATTTTCTAAAGTTGAGGTTCTGTTTATGGGTAATCTGGTTGTTTAGTGATAATCATTTAGTATCAATAAAATATATTGAAAAGTACATGAGGAAGATTATTGACCCTGCTGCTATAGTCAAATTAGCAGTAACTTGAATGGGAAGTGATGTCATTAAGTCTAAATTTAGCCATGAATAACATTTATACATTCAGGATTGATTTTCACAAACCTTTATTGAGCCTTTACCATGTACTCAATTCTAGTAATGAAATGATGAATAAGACACAGTCCTTTGCCTCAAAGTTCTGTCTATCCATGGTGCTGTGAATACAGGTAGCCATTACATTTTGTTAATATTCCTTTAATAGATATATTAAAGTGTTCTAAGGAATCATGCATGTCACTTGAAGTTTCTAAATATGGGGTTTGGATTCCTGTAGACAGTGATATAACGAAAATTTATATGATCAGATCTATATTTTGGCCAGAAAATTCTAACACAATGTAGAGGGCGGTTTAAAGGGTTTTATTGATGCTGAAATTAGGAAGACTGGTTAGAGGCTTTTGTTCCAGTGGCAGCAGGGCAAAGTGAAGGGTGTATTGGTTGTGGGTGGAAGGAGGACATTAAGTTTACAAGAGAAGAAGAAGAAAGGTTGGAATATTTGTATTTCTCTGAACACATGAAGTTGTTAACATTTGGAAAAAAAAGTGCTTCATAGGAAACATAGATCTGTATTATACATATTATATTTTACTAAGGATCCAAGCAGCTTTCTTAATATTTAGCTTCCTATATAGCTTCCGATATAATTTTTTGGCCTGTAATCTTATAAGATCACAAAAGTTTTGAATATTCTGAAATTACTTGCCTTTAGATTTAATACTTAATTCTCAGGTTAATCTTATGTGTGCTGGTGGAGTTTAGACTAACTTAAGCCATGTAAATATTTTTTCTTGATTAAAATGAATGTAGTTATTCATTTATTGGATTTCCAAAATAAGTATTCTTTTAACATTAAATTTTACCTAAAACAATTTTATATTTAGGTATGATTTTGTACTATGCAAGCACCATTTTGTAACTACTGTATCTGAATTTTAGCCATATTAAGGATTAATTTTAATAAAATCCTTTAAATGAAAGAGTGCTAACTAGATTCAATGACTACAGCATTCATTTATATTTATTATTTAATTTTTCAAATGGAAAGATAATTTTTAAGCAGGTACTCATTATTGAAATTTGCTAAAAAATAAATAGGGACATATAGTGTCCTGCTGTCCTTAAATTAACAGATATTTTTGTTAGATTGTAACATAAATGTCCTCTTTTTTCCTTTATTATGAAAAATAAATTCCATATTAATTTTCCAAAAACTCATTTTGGAAAATGAAGGACAAATGCTTTGTGTATATTATCTAACCCATTTTCAGATTTTCAGATTAAATAACATGACCAACTATAACCTTTTTCCTTTACTTTGGCCATGCGGTTGTGTCCAGGTCTCTCTGGGTGAAGACTCAAGTGTTGAGTCCACTCAAGCTGTTGGATACTTAGTGAGCCAACAAGTATATGTTTGAATGCTGACTATGTAGGCAGCATGGTGTTAATTACTAAAAAATGAGGCATTTCATAATAATTTCTCTCTTTTTTTTTTTTTTGGCTCAAAGAGAGTAGCCTGACCTTGTTTGGTTCACTATTTGAGTTCACTTATTCAGAAATGTGTATTGTGTGCCTACCAAATACCAGATAACATGCTAGATATGGAGAACCTAGCACAGTTAGCAAGAGAAGGGAATGTACGAAGAGAGTAACAATGCCTTGATAAGTGCTGTTATATCACAAGGGAGAGAGAACTCTTTGATCCATAGAGGAGAGTGATTAACTTTGCTTAGGAGAACATGTCTAGTTCTTTATTACTTTAATGTAGTGAAAAATCCACTCCAATACTTACAAAAAGTCAGTGCATAAGGAGGCAAGGCATAGTTAAGAGCATTTTACCAGGAAATGAAATGTGAAAATTTAAGTCGACATTTTAAAAACTACTTGTTTTTTACATGTGTTTTAAATTGTAAGATCAACCGTAAGACCCACATAAAGTGAGTTCTGTATTCATTTAACTCATTGAATTTCAGTCCCTGTTTTGGAAGAAAATCACCTGACAGAGGAAATGTAATAAAAACTCAGCCCCTCAGTTGTCATAAACGATCCAAAGAAGAGAGGTTAATGTGGAATAATTGTATGGGCATAATAACAGAAGCAGCCCACCATTCTGCGTGAGTGTGAGGGAAAGCCTAGCTGCAAATCCTGCAGTAGGCAGAGAGAAGAAACACTTTCCCTGGGACTAGCTGATTTAATTATTATCATTGAGCAAGTTATATAACCAACTCATGCCTTGCTTCCTTTCCTTATAAAATTAAAAATATTTTCAAAATACTTCCATATCCAACATTTTATTATTTTCATTTTAAGAAGGAGAAAATCGATAGGGTTTCAGAAACATTGTCATGTGAGAAAAATGTGGAAGAAAAGTCAAATCTTCAGTAGCAGAATTATTAGTAATTTAAGAAGGTAGGACAATACCCCAGTAATTGCAGAAAAATAAAACAGATATAAGGGTAAATATTTTTCCTTAACTGCTCTGTCTTTACTGCCATAAGAAATGTTATTTTAACCTCAATTTTTGTGATATTTCATGACAAACAGATAATTTATTCTGACCAAGTTATGTATTATGTTAATCTATTTAAAACTTTTATTTGAAATGTGATCCATATTAAGACTAAGGAACTAGACAGTTCAGGAAATATAATATTAAAAAAGAAGGCAAACAAAATATCAACATTTATTGTCTTGATATATGTATATACTTAGAATTACTAGTCAATGCTTTCCTTCCTTCCTTCCTTCCTTCCTTCCTTCCTTCCTTCCTTCCTTCCTTCCTTCCTTCCTTCCTTTCTTTTCTTTCTTCTTTCTTTTTTTGAGATGGAGTCTCACACTGTTGCCCAGGCTGGAGTGCAGTGGAGCGATTTCCGCTCACTGCAACCTCCGCCTTCTGGGTTCAAGCAATTCTCCTGCCTCAGCCTCCTGAGTAGCTGGAATTATAGGTGCCCACCACCACGTCTGGCCATTTTTTTGTATTTTTAATAGAGATGGGGTTTCACTATGTTGGCCAGGCTGGTCTTGAACACCTGACCTCATGATCCGCCCGCATCGCCTCCCAAAGTGCTGGGATTACAGGCGTTAGCCACCGCACCTGGCCTAGTCGATGCTTTTCAAGGTCAATTAATCAGTAATGTAGTTAGTGCCGTATTCCCTGAATTTTACCTATGAGTGTACAGAGGCACAGACGCATTCAAATACCCTTCTTCCCTTTTTCTCTTCCTGCTACCCTTCTGTAATAATCCATTGAGTTTCATCTGATCAAGGAAAAACTGTGCTGTTGTTGGATTTCAAAACTGTTCTAAATATCCTCTGTTCTCAGAGAGTATACAGTATAGTACAAGCCATAACAAATATCTGTACATGAATCAGTGTTTCACCAAAAGCCTCTGAGATACAGTAATCGTTTCTGATTTCTCCTTCAATGTACATAGCTAAGGTAATCTTTCTCTAAGAAAGATTACTTCCTTGATTCCACACCTTTGCCTCAAATCCTTATCTCTTCTTTGACTTTTATTATGCTTATTTTAATTTAGTTTGAATAAAACTAAATTAATAAAATTTAATTTTAAAAATGCCTTGTTTTAAAGTTTATATGTAGCCTGTTGCAACCATATTTTCCTTTTCCCCCCACCCTTTGCTCAAATTAGCCCAGTATCTTCACTGCTCACTGGCTGTCTTGTATACCATTGTCATCATCACCTCTGTGCTATTACTCTTATTTCCCTTCCTTTCTTAATGGCATATATGTCATTTCTCTCAGCTCCAGCTCTATTCTTAGTTCTCTATGCAGTCGTCCATGACCAAAGTGTCTCTTCTGACTTCCTGCAGCCAAGTACCTGGATCTAAACACTGCCTTCTAATGGTAAATGCTGCTTCCACATTGAGCTTGGGTACTTGGCCTTCTCCCTTTCCCAAGCTTTTAGAAGCTTAAAAATAGGGCTTACCTATTAATAAAGTCATATTCTAGAGATCTTTAGAAGCCAAGCCCATACTTACTGTATATAAACTACAAAGCAGTAATCCTTTCTTGGAAATATTTCCACTTGATAATGCAATCATTATACCTGGGTATGGATTATACTTGAAGTAAAATGTATTGAGATTTTTGTGTCTGTGTGGTTGATAAAAAAAATAACTGCCCTACTTTTCATACTTATGTATAACAGTACTATGTGGTATATCGTGTTTGGTTTTTGCCTGTGCAATTCTGTCCATTAGTCCGTTAGTTCTTGTACCTTGGATTCCATACTACATTTCTTTGCCAAGGAGATATATATGCCCACCCAAGAAGATGAATGTCTAAATCATTTTGAGCATATGTTAGCCATTTCAGTGTTTTACCTTAAACATTCAGGTGTAAGTGGAATTTTATATTGGATCTCCCATTAAACTGCAAACGGGAGTATTCAGCAAAACATTTGGCTGCTAAACATATGCCTTCAGCCATCACATGCTATCTTTTTCTAAATTTTATTATTCCTTTTATATAGGTTGCTGAAATTGCAAATTCTTTCTCCAGGATTTTTATCATCCCAGCAAATCCACTGAAAATCTCCCCACTGAGCATTGTTGCTTAAGTTTGTAGTTTCTTTAAATATGATTCGATCTTTGTACTAGAGACTGAGCTTTTGTAACTCATAAGGAATGGAATAGAAAGATATCTGATAATCAATGCATAGAAATATGTCTGTATGCCATTTACAAAAAAAAAATATTTTCTTGTATTCCAGAAGGCATTGTAAATTTTTAACTTTTAATCCAGTGCCACCAACATTTCCCAAACACCTATTATGGTCAAAGTACTGTGCCAGTCGCTATGTAGTGACAGGGATGAGAATGACATGGTATCTGTTCCTGAATAAGCAGAGTAAGTGACAGACTTAGGCTGAACTGTCCAGTTTCACTAGACAAAATGTGACCAATATCACAGTAAGATGATTAGTGGGAGTGGAGACCAGAAGGGAAAGTAATTGGTTCTGCTAGTGCAACCCTTGGTCACCTTTTCATTATGCTACCATGCACAAATGGGGGGTATAAATAACAAAACTGTGTCATAAGTTTAACCAATAAACTGAAAACTGTAATGCCTACACTAGTCTCCTAAAAATAAAACAAGAGTGTTTGCTGATATAACATATAACATATGTGTGGCTGCATGCCCTGAAGAACTAGTATATTTCTTCATTCACAGCATACACCAAAAAATAAAATTTGAAGTCTAAACCTTAAGTATACACCATGTGTCATTTCAGTGGTTAGTAAAACACATGCCTTGCAGTACATGGTGTACCTTTTCTTCTCAATTCTCAAGGCTTTATTTATATTCCCAAAATGGAGCAGAGTATCAGATTATTTTATATTTTTAAAATAGAAAGTCTGAATTAGTGTGTAGAAAGACAGCACAATACACATATATATTTTATATACTTAAAAATACCTCTCAGGTTACGTTTATAGGTCACCTAGTCTAAATACAGCAGGTTCTCTGAGCTAAGATTACCAGTGAAGATCATATTTCAGAAAATAAAAGTGAGAAGAGCTTCTTCAAGTCTTTTTGCTCATACCAGCCCCACCACAGCCTGTACATAGTCCCTGTGAATTTCGTTCTTGAGTTTTCCGTTGACTAGAAAGATGATTTAAGAAACCTTTGTCTTATGCAATTTTTGCTTGAGATATCTTTTAGTACATTCCTTAGTCCAGTGCATAAGAGCTCAAACACTTCGTTCAGATCTAAGTAATAAGAGATGCTGCATAAAATATGGTTAAGAGTGAGAACTTCGGAGCTGACTGCCTTCATTCATAATTCCAGCTCAGCCACTGAATAGCTTTGGGACTTCTAGTAAGTTACTAAGCCTCTCTATCTTCTGGTCCTCAGTTTCTTTATCTTCCAAATAGGGATGATAATGACTATTTTCTAGAGTTATTGTGAGGATTAAATGAGTTAATGTATATAAGGCATGCAAAGCAGTGATTACCCATAATAATATTCTATAATTATTTTTTATAATTTCAAATTGTATTAAGGATTATAGGGTTGATGTAGAAGTTCGTTACATGGGTATATTGTGTGATGCAGAGGTTTGGGGTACAAATGATCCCATCACCCAGGAAGTGAGCATAATACCAAATAGGTGTTTTTACAGCCCATGCTCCCCTTTCTCCCTCCCCCAGCTAGTCATCTTGAGTCTCTGTTGCTCTGTTATTTTAATCTTTATGTCTATGTGTATTCAATGTTTAGATCACTCTTATAAATGAGAAACATGCAGTATTCGTTATTCCGTTTTCTCTTCTTGCATCAGTTTGCTTAGGATTATGAACTCCAACTGCATCCATATTGCCACAAAGAACATGATTTCATACTATATATATATATATATATATAAAATGTATATTTATATAAAGATTTATATATATTTATATATAGATCTCTCTCTCTCTATATATATATATGCAGATTTATATATATTTATCCAGTCCACCATTGATGGGCAGGCACCTAAGTTGTAAGCCTTGTCTTGTGAGAGAGAGTAGAGCAATCTTACTGCTCTTGGGCACCATGACTGTGGCCTCTACTGGGGCTGACGCTGAGCTGTTCTGGGGTCCAAGACCCATGGAAGTCTCTGTAGACTTGCAATTCTCCGTGTCAGTCTAGAGACTTAGGGATGCCAGGTGATTCTCCCATTTGCAGGATTGCACAGGTCCCTGTGAGAAATGTGGATCTCCTGTGGGTTCTCACTTACCCTTTCCTCTTGTTGGGGAGCTTCTCCTGACTTCCTCACTGATCCCAGATAGGCTATTGCCCAGTTTTGTTCTTCTCTGTTCTCTGTCTCACCTTGCTACCTTGATGCATGCCAACGTGGTTTCTTAAATGATTGGCTTGCAGGGTCAGTGTTTACTAGCCACCTTGTTCCCTCTTCATGACAGTGGTGCACATTAGCTGCTTCTAGTCCACCATCTTGACTGCCCTCCCATTATTATTTTTAATATTGCTATTACTACTGTCAGTATGAAATGTCACAACACTTCTTTGCACTTTCTGATAAATAGTATATTTTTCTGAAAAGCATTGAAAATTGTTTTTCTCTTTTTGCTTTGATTTCAAAAAGCTGAGAATCAAAGTCTGTGATGACTTTGGTAACTTGTATGGTTTGAAGGCCTTACATATATGTGCTTGAGTTTCCTTCTTATTTCAATCTTCATTGTTTATATGGATTTTCTCTGGATCTGTTTTTATACATTTATTTGTATTTTTCAATTATTTACTATATATAAGGCAACTCAGAGTCTTCCTTAATTACATAGTATGATAAACAACATGCAAAAAACAGCAAGCAAGCTATTCAAATTAATCCTGATTAATTTTAATAACAACATATTTGGAAGTAAAAATAAAATGTACATGTTTTGAATCTCTAACCTTCTTTTCTAAAATCTTATAATTATGCCACAAGATAAATAGAAAGTGAAGGCATCAGAAATGTTTAGAGATTGAGTGAAGTGCGGTGTCAATCTCTCTGAGTTGTTTTGCATGCCTGTGAGATTCAGGTCACAAAAGCTATGTGAACAAGCTACAGAAGAAAACACAAAGGCACTGGTAAGTTGCAGCCTCTAAAGATGATCTTCTTATATGTAGAAGGGGTAAATCGTTGAGTTTTTGGCTATTAAATTTTGCTGGTCAGTTGTCTCCTTTTGAACAAGAAGCATTTCATTTACATTTTATTATGCCATTTTGAGAAACTGGTTTTATGAAAAGATATAGTTCTTAAAAATAAGATTGATGGCTATTTATGAAGTAGCTATAGATGCTTTTTGTTGGTGTGAAAGTTTGGGTTAATGTAAGAATTTGGATGTTTGTGATCAGGTTATGAATCTTTTTTATAAGTTGGTAAAATACTTGTTTATTTTCTCTTTTGCTGGCAGCCTTACTTGAGTAAAAATATGAAATGTTTTGTTAGTTTATGTCTTTTATTTTCATAATGATCTGTGGTAAAAGGTTGAAAGAGAACAATGATAATTTTTAACATTTAGACATTCTACTTTAGTGTTCCTGGTCAGTGTATACACTGTGAAAGATGAAGCCCACAAGCAGTCACTTGACTGATGGTCTCATATTGAGAGTTATAGTTTATTTAGCTGAAAATTTATGAACTGAGTGACTGATGTGCATCCCTATTCTTCTTGCTTCCTTCCCCTCTGGGGTACCTTGGAAATTCAAGAGTTTTTGGTTAGTAGCAACTACTGTTTAAGGGAAATGAATGAGTACTATGTTTCAAACACTGAAAAGAAGGTACTTTATGTTTTAGGTTTGGAATTCAAAAAATTAAGAATTTATTAGAAGAGCTTGCTTCTGGTTAAGGAATTTATATGTCAGAATCAGAATCTCTGAAGTAAAACATTTTGACAAGACTTACTGAAATGAATACCTTGAGCAAGGCACAATATTAAGGATTGAGAAGGTACACATAGAAAGAGAATAGAGAGCTGGAAGTTAGAAAAGTAGAATTGACCATTGTGTGTTATAAAGAAAATATGATGGCCATGCTTGAGAACGTGATGAAGGGGGTTGAATAATTTTGATGTGCATTAGAAAATCAAAGCAAATAAAAGATTCTAGACTGAGTAGAGAAAATGTTTCATAGACAGTTTTAGATGTATGAAATTCTAATAAAGTAGATGGTAATTAGTGCTTCCAATTATGAGGATAGTGAGCATAGGCTGACATCTCCCTTCTGAAGCCAGAAATTTGGTATGAGACTTCAAATAGAAGAGGAAGCAGACCTTACAAGCATTACCCTATATATTTTTTTAATCTATAGATTGTACTGGTAGAGAACACTTCACTATGGTTGACACTGACATTGTATAGACCAGGGGTCAGCAAATTGTGATCTGTGAGCCAAATCTGACCTGCTGTCTATTTTGTAAATAAAATTTTATTAGAACACAGCTGCATTCATTTTTATATATTGTCTATAGTTGCTTTTGGACTAAAGTGGCTGAATTGAGTGGTTGTAACAGAGACCCTATGATCTATTAAGCTTAAAGCATTTATTGTCTGGCCCCCTATAGAAAAAGTGTGCTGACTCCTGATGTAAAAGCAATGCAGAAAGCAAGTGTTGAATGCTCAAATATATTTAATATATGTGCAAAACTTTCAAGAATTATTTTTTATTTGTATACCTTTATGTGGTACAGATGCAATTTTGTTATGTGCATAGACTGTGTAGTGGTGAAGTCAAGTCATTTAGGGTATCCATCACCCAAGTAGCATACATTGTACCCATTAAGTAATTTATCATCTACCCTCGTCTCATCCTCTCACCCTTCTGAGTCTCCATTTTCTATCACTCCACACTCTATGTCCGTCTTTCAAGAATTATTAAATCCAATTATACTCCAAATTATTCTGCCGGTTCATGAAGTGTGGGTGATACTACCAAAACAAACCAGAGAATCATCCTTAAAAACTATTAAGAGAGTTGAAAAGTGTAGCCAGGACAGTAACAGAAGAGCCAATGGAAGATATTCTTAGAAAGGGTCTCCTTTAGTTTCTTTATTATAATGTATGTCAGAAAGATTGTTGACTCTGATTAAAAGATGTTAGAAAAACAACATAAAAAGAGAATTTAATCACAGGGTCATAACATTTTTTACATTCATACTATTCACCCATATTCCAGGGCCTGCACCCTCCTTCTGTCTGAGAAGTTCCACCGCAGTACCAAGTCCCCAGCTTCCCATCAGTGCTCCTTGATGTGAGAACTTGATAATTACTGTTTTGTTATATCTAAGTGTAGTTGTGTAAATCACACAAATAATAGCATTTTACTATCAGCATTTGACTAGGATTTGTGTCTAGGCCATATTAACTGGGTTTTGAGCAAAACACTTATTCTTTCTTGGCCTGTTTTCTTGTAAAAATATGGCCCTTTATCTAAGTTTTTTTTCTCTCAATCACTTACTTTCACTTCATAGTGTTATAAAGTGAGTTGATACATCTAAAAGTGTTTTGAAGACTATAAAGCTCCATTGGTATCACAATGTTTATTATTAGATTACAGCAATGGCACCTAGGACTAGAGTAACCCTGAGGTATCTAACCCAAAATAGGCAAGTGCAGTGGTGTCATCTGATCTAGCCAGATCCCATGATGGTTAACTTTGAGGAGTCTTTGGGACAAGAAATTTCAATTGTTTATGTCCATTTTAGTGTGGCTTATGCATCCAATTTGAATTTCTCTCCAAAATTGGTGGTGGTAGAGACTCATTCATAAGGATTGAGCTGCAATGCATTTTCTATCATCTGTTTTAAAGATCTGGAGGAAATAATAAACATAGACCTCTATAACATATATGCTGCATAACTCGTAGCAGATAATTTATTTAATTGAATAAGTAACAGAAAAAAAATGAATGGATTTGTATTTACATGGGATTAAGGAGAAGGAAAGTGAGAGGCAGAGAGGGAAAATCAAGAAAGAACCAAAAAAAGAATGTCAAATGTGCAGAAGGCAAGTAAGCAATAAAAATTTTGAGGAGATTATAAAGGAGAGTTAATAAGAGAATGAAGTGCCTGATGAGTTAATATTTAGATGTCTAGATAGTTGATAACACATTACACACTACAAATAAAATGTTTGTGTTATAGTACTTGTCTATTAATGAAAATATATCATGGGCATCCATATAAGATGTTGAAATCTCTGTTTTCCCACTGGAAATAGAATGAGATTTATTTAAGCATAAGTCAATATATTCTGCAACATCAATAAGGATATAATAAATATGTTAATTGAATCTGAGCTGAAGCCCTTTTCATTGTGTCAACTACTAGACTACAAGTTAATTATGAGTTCTTTGTTCTTTTCCCAAAATACAAGCAGAATCCTCATAGTATTATGTTTCAAAGGCATCTAACACTCTAAGTGGCTATATTTCCATGTTTCATAGTCTATGGAATTACACCATTGTTGAAAACATTTTAGGGTTCTTTACATTATTGTCTTGGGATGGTCTATGCTAATCTAGATCATTTTATAGCTATAGCAACTAAAGAGCTATAAAGTGAGCCATGAAAAAAAAAACTCATAATAAAATATTAAATTAGATGCTCTCTTAAGGTATAAGTTGCATCTGAAAAGTGAGTAAGGTACTTTGTTAGGTACAAGCATTTTCAGAACTCACTGGGGTGCCATTTAGCACATTGGAGCAGTTCTTCCAAACTTCCCAAGAGGTCTGAAAAAGTGAATTAGTTTGTCAGAGTGCCTGTTTTTTACTCTGGGGAACAATTGAAGTTATAAGAATCTGGCTGAATAAATTGCATCTTTCTCTCTATGTATTAAGAGAACGATTACAGTCAATACGAGATTTTCCCATTTCACCAGCTAGGGTGGGGAGAAGTAATCTAAAACTTGTGTCTAAGGCTTCCCTTGCCAAAAGCTCTTTTAGCTGTAGACAGTCATCTTGGGATGGCTGATATTAAGAACTTTTGGGAAGCAAGAAGATGAACTAGATGGATGAACTGTGGAGATTTTATCTAGGACTTAATATCTTTCACTAATAGAAAAGAACTTTTTCTGATATCCTAAAATTGCAGGTGGTTTCTAGTGGATCAAAGTCTACTAATGGGTAGATTTAACCACTTTTCCAAATCAAACTAACAAAAGATTACTTCAGGTTACAAAAAGCAAAAGTAGATGTTTTGTGACAGTTACTTTGAATGAAAAATTTCCAGTTACTAGATATATGTAAAATTGCAGCCCCAAAAAATTTCATGAAGATTGTTAAAGCTAGCATTGAATTTTTTCTATTTTCTATAATTAGGGAAGCTATTAATTATGTCCTTGTTACTAGGAATTGTAATTATATCATTAATATTTAATATTACTTACCATTTAGTTGATTACCAATGTTAGAATGATAAAACCTACTAACACATGAAAAAGACTGATAGAACCAAGTGAGAACGGTTCTGCTGTAGAGGTTAAATGTGCAAATTCTGAAGTTCTTCTATCTATGTTGAAAATTTGGTTTTACAACTCACTAGGTGAACTTAGGCAACCGTTTAAGTTCTTTAAGTCTGTTTCTATAAATGTGAATAATATAATTTTTTTTTTTGAGATGGAATCTTGTTCGGTCGCCCAGACTGGTGTGCAGTGGTGTGATCTCAGCTCACTGCAGCCTCCGCCTTGTGGGTTCAAGCTATGTTCCTGTCTCACCCTCCCAAGTAGCTGGGATTACAGACATCTGCCACCACGACCAGCTAACTTCTGTATTTTTAGTAGAGACGTGGTTTCAGCATGTTGGCCAGGCTGGTCTTGAACTTGTGACCTCAGGTGATCTGCCTGCCTCAGCCTCCCAAAGTACTGGGATTACAGACGTGAGCCACCGTGCCCAGCCATTAATATTTTTTAAAGTTGTTTTGATTATTAAATTATGCAATCAAAGTTCTTATCACAGTGTCTGAAACATAGCACTGATAAATGTGAATTAATATTGTCATTACTATCATTATTTGTTATTGTCCTTTTCCCCACGGATTTTCAGAAATGTTGACAAATTTTGCCATTGCCATTTATGTAGTTTGAGTGAATTAAAAAGTGATTTTCTGTTTCTTAGCTAATAAATAGATGATGACTAATGTTTTTATATGAAGAACTACTTCATAAGGTATAATGTTTCTTCTTTAATAAATTCGGGGTTAATGACTAGTAAAATACTGAAGGAAATTTGGCTACTTTGCCTACAAAGCCAGGAAACATAGTATGTCAATGTAGATGATGGATGATAATTTAAGATCTGGTCAGTAATCAGTGGCCAAGGGGTCATGGCCACCTATTAAACTTTTTATATGTTAATGTTTTGCGAAATTGATAATGCCTTGGTGATCTTTCTTGTGTTTCTGGAGGCACATTTGCTACAATATAAAAGATGACCATTGCTTTCTGAAAAATTACATTCACTTTTCACAATTGTATAAATCTTGGGATAGACCTACAGAACACAAGAAAACTCTTCTCATGGAGGCAAACTGAGTTAGGCTTGTCTTTTTCACTGATAAAAAAGGAGAAAGTAAGGATGTCAATTCACAGCCCCTGGGAACAGTGGTGAATGTGTGCTAGTAGGTGCAAGAAAAAGGTATGAAGTCAACACAGGACTGAGACTACTGAAGAAGGTATTCACTCACCTACAAATGGTGCCTACATTCAGATGTCCGTGTACTCAAGGTACTATTTGGTTTTCACCCACAGGTTTGGGAGCATTTAATTTTGCTTCTAATAATTAATTTTTATATATGTACAGTAATGCAAGTTTCATGAATATGTATGAAAAACAGTGATTAGTTTGTAATTCAGAACTGCAGCATATTCTGATTAAGAAACCAATGTTTAATGGAATTTTGAAACCAGTGTGAGCACTATGAGGATAAATGTTGTTCCCATTCTACAGATGAAGACATTGAAGCTTAGGTAGGTTAAGTAATTTGCTAATTGCCACACAATTACTAAATGATAGAGTTCGGCCTCAGAATCACACTCTTCTTTGTTTTCTATTATACCACTTATTTTATTTATTTATTTGTTTTTCTTTTTTGAGACAGAGTCTTGCTCTGTCACCCAGGCTGGAGTGCAGTGGCACAATCTTGGCTCACTGCAACCTCCTCCTCCTGGGTTCGAGTGATTCTGCCTCAGCCTCCTGAGGCACTTTTATGTTTGTGAGGTAGTATCTGTTTTCAAATAAATCTAAATATTTATGGCCTATAACTTAATTTGCAAGAAAAAATTATCTAATTCTATATTGAGTAGTAGTTTTAGATTCTAAAATAAGTACGCAAATTGTCATGAAGTTCAGTAAAAAAAATTGATGTTGTATTTTAGCTATTTTTGGAGCACAAAACTTTACCTGTTTTATTTTTATAACAGGAATACATGTGCATTTAAGAAAGTTGGTAATTTACTGAAAAGCAGACAAAGAATGATAGAGGCTATTCTGTTTCAACCTTCTTTCTGCTTCATTGCCTGTTTCTTATCATCCTTTGCTAATCCACCTGCGTCATCCAGATCTCTGAATGCTGGAGTACTCAGGGCTCAGTTCTGGGACATCTTCTCTTCCCTGCTCACATTCTCTTTCCACATGACTTTGTCAAGTATTACAGCTTTCTCTGTAGATTCTGGATATTAGCCCTTTGTCAGATGGGTAGATTGTAAAAATTTTCTCCCATTCTGTAGGTTGCCAGTTCACTCTGACGGTAGTTTCTTTTGCTGTGCAGAAGCTCTTTAGTTTAATTAGATCCCGTTTGTCTATTTTGGCTTTTGTTGCCATTGCTTTTGGTGTTTTAGTCATGAAGTCCTTGCCTATGCCTGTGTCCTGAATGGTATTGCCTAGGGTTTCTTCTTGGGTTTTTTATGGTTTTAGGTCTAACATTTAAGTATTTAATCCATCTTGAATTGATTTTTGTATATGGTGTAAGGAAGGCATCCAGTTTCAGCTTTCTACACATGGCTAGCCAGTTTTCCCAGCACCATTTATTAAATAGGGAATCCTTTCCCCATTTCTAGTTTTTGTCAGGTTTGTCCAAGATCAGATGGTTGTAAATGTGTGGTATTATTTCTGAGTGCTCTGTTCTGTTCCATTGGTCTGTATCTCTGTTTTGGTACCAGTACCATGCTTTTTTGATTACTGTAGCCTTGTAGTATAGTTTGAAGTCAGGTAGCATGATGCCTCCAGCTTTGTTCTTTGGCTTAGGATTTTCTTGGCAATGCAGGCTCTTTTTTGGTTCCATATGAACTTTAAAGTTGTTTTTTCCAATTCTGTGAAGAAAGTCATTGGTAGCTTAATGGGGATGGCATTGAATCTATAAATTACCTTGGACAGTATGGCCATTTTCATGATATTGATTCTTCCTACCCATGAGCATGGAATGTTCTTCCATTTGTTTGTGTCCTCTTTTATTTCGTTGAGCAGTGGTTTGTAGTTCTCCTTGAAGAGGTCCTTCACATCCCTTGTAAGTTGGATTCCTAGTTATTTTATTCTCTTTGTAGCAATTGTGAATGGGAGTTCACTCATGATTTGGCTGTCTGTCTGTAATTGGTGTATAGGAATGCTTGTGATTTTTGCACGTTGATTTTTTATCCTGAGACTTTGCTGAAATTGCTTATCAGCTTAAGGAGATTTTGGGCTGAGACAATGGGGTTCTCTAAATATACAATCATGTCATCTGCAAACAGGGACAATTTGACTTCCTCTTTTTCTAACTGAATACCCTTTATTTCTTTCTCTTGCCTGATTGCCCTGGCCAGAACTTCCAATACTATGTTGAATAGGAGTGGTGAGAGAGGGCATCCCTGTCTTGTGCCGGTTTTCAAAGGGAATGCTTCCAGTTTTTGCCCATTCAGTATGATACTGGCTGTGGATTTGTCATAAGTAGCTCTTATTATTTTGAGATATGTCCCATCAATACCTAATTTATTGAGAGTTTTTAGCATGAAGCGCTGTTGAATTTTTTTGAAGGCCTTTTTTGCATCTGTTGAGATAATCATGTGGTTTTTGTCTTTGGTTCTGTTTATATGCTGGATTACGTTTATTGATTTGCATATGTTGAACCAGCCTTGCAATCCCAGGGATGAAGCCAACTTGATCATGGTGGATAAGCTTTTTGATGTGCTGCTGGAATTCGTTTTTTTACAAGAAAAAAATCAAACAACCCCATCAAAAATTGGGTGAAGGATATGAACAGACACTTCTCAAAAGAAGACATTTGTGCAGCCAACAGACACATGAAAAAATGCTCATCATCGCTGGCCATCAGAGAAATGCAAATCAAAACCACAATGAGATGCCATCTCTCACCAGTTAGAATGATGATCATTAAAAAGTCAGGAAACAACAGGTGCTGGAGAGGATGTGGAGAAATAGGAACACTTTTACATTGTTGGTGGGACTGTAAAGTTGTTCAACCATTGTGGAAGACAGTGTGGTGATTCCTCAAGGATCTAGAACTGGAAATACCATTTGACCCAGCCATCCCATTACTGGGTATATACCCAAAGGATTATAAATCATGCTGCTATAAAGACACATCCACGTGTATGTTTTTTGTGGCACTATTCACAATAGCAAAGACTTGGATCCAACCCAAATATCTATCAATGATAGACTGGATTAAGAAAATGTGGCACATATACACCATGGAATACTGTGCAGCCATAAAAAAGGATGAGTTCCTGTCCTTTGTAGGGATATGGATGAAGCTGGAAACCATCATTCTCAGCAAACTATTGCAAGGACAGAAAACCAAACATCACATGTTCTCACTCATAGGTGGGAATTGAACAATGAGAACACTTGGACACAGGGTGGGGAACATCACACACCAGGGCCTGTCGTGGGGTTAGGGGAGAGGGGAGGGATAGCATTAGGAGATATACCTAATTTAAATGGCAAGTTAATGGGTGCAGCACACCAACATGGCACATGTATACATATGTAACAAACCTGCATGTTGTGCACATGTACCCTAGAACTTAAAGTATAATTTAAAAAAGAAATAAAAAACAAATATTACGGCTTTCAAGAATATCTGCATGTTGGCTACTCTTAAATGTGTATCTTCAGCCCTTAACTCTTAAGAAATTGTAGATTTTTATGCCTACCTGCATACTCAACATATTCACTTGCACTTTAAACCTCAAACTAAACATGTCCATAGTCAAATTCCTGATCCTTCTTTAGTTGTCCTTATTTTCTGCCATCCAGCTACTAAAATAAAAACACTTTGGATATCACTGAATCCTCTATCATTGGTCTCAGAAACAATTTCTGAGAGTATTGGTTGAGGGCTGCTTCCCAAGACGTGTTCATATTCCTGTATTTGTGACCTGTCTTTCTGTCCTAGCCACCAGGGTTCCAGAAAAAAAGGCCTTCAGTGGCACAGATAACCTGGAAATGAGGCAAGGAGAGTACACTGCAAGGTCTGAGAAATATGGGTAGGTGCACTGCCAACATCTGCTATATATATTTAAACCATCTTCCATTATAAATACATTTGCTATCCTATTGGAGGGTGCTTTAATTATTTAGGCGTATATTTTGGGAAACAAAATATATAATGGAGTACAGAGAAATCCAAAATGAAAATTTCCACAGTCCAAAAGTTTACATCTGGATGTACTAAATAAAGTAACTTATCAATAAAATTCAACAGATGGCTTCTGTATTTTACTGGGGAGTAGTAAAACTATATATGACATGACCTGGGAAGAAATATTCAGTATCAAGTCCATAGTTTCACTACAATTTTGTATATCTTTAAAAACTTCTCTACCATTACCTTTGATAAAGTATTTTAAAATAATAAAGTGGCTGGAAATGTTTTCATGTCAAAAATAAAAATTATACTTACGGTATTGTCAATAAAATTAATTTTCCTCAGTAGGCATGCTTAATAAAATCATTTACAGAGAGTATAACCTCAGATGCTATAGAGTTGCAGATGGCAGTACCATGAGCAGTAGAGTTCAGCATTAATCTACAGTACCCAGCTTCCATCACCATTTCATTACCATTTCACAGAGCTAATGCTGCTAAGGCTGCTGCTATTAAGGCATCAAAGGACCTTGGAGAGCATCTGTTCTACAGCCTCCGTTTTACAGCTGAGATTTTTCGTTCACTTAGCCTTTCCTATGTTTGATTTAGAGTATCTGACTCATTTGATCATGTAAGGTGATACGACTGTACTATGCTTAATGTTGAATATTTAATAAGTAGACAGTTAAGGAAACCCGTGTTTACTCAGTTAAGGTCCACTACTCTGTGCTGTTGCTACAAGAAAAAGAAAAAAGGAAAACAACTGAAATGAAGCAAAAGTAAAGTGTTCCTTAATAGTTCGGAATACATCCCTGAACCATATATCCAAATATTTTTCCCCTTTTATTAATGATTTTTATGTCTCATCTGTGAAGCATTACTGATAAGATACTGGTACCAGATCAGTTCTCAAAGTTCTTAAAAGTCTGTATGCCAGACACTTAGAAACATTTGGACTAATTAAAGAGATGCATGAATTATATGGATCTTCAGACTGTAGGTGAGTCTCTCTTTAGTTTGAAAATAATAACAAGAATTTATGTATATTGATAATACTTGGCATACCAAGCAGAGCCCTTCTCTGGCCGTGTTCTTTTTGTCCTAAAGGCAAGAACTGCAGCAACAGGGCTGTCAAATAATTCCCCGTTTGTTTGAATACTAAATAATAGAGAATACATCATTCATGTTTTCTTGTTTATATGTTTGTGTGTAATTATGTACTTGTCAGTAAATCTGTTGTTTATTGAATATTGAGTATTTGCTAGGCACTATACTAGATATGAAAAAATATGAAACATATATTAAAATAAAAGTCCCTTTTAAATATAATAGCAGCTATCGGTTGATTAATGGTTAGTCTGATCTGAAACACAGTGAGACAGAGATTAGATTAAATTCAAATCTCCTAAAATTGATTACAGTCAGCTATTCCTATCCATTGGTCTCGTATCTGTCATTTCAACCAAACTAAGGACCAAAAATATTCAGAAAAAATAAAAATACAACAATAATAACAATAATACAATTAAAAACCAATGCAGAATAACACCTACAGTTGACCCTTGAACAACATGGGTTTGAACAGCACAAGACCAATTATACATAGATGTTTATCAACCAAATGTGGTTCAAAAATGCAGTATTCATGGGATGCAAAACCTGCATACGTGAAGGGCCGGGTTTTCATATATGTGGGTTCCACAGAGCCACTGCAAGATTTGAGTATGCATGAATTTTGGTATACATGGGTGTCCTGGAAGCAATTCCCTGTGTATACGGAGGGGCAACTATATTAACATAGCATGTATATCTTTTTATGTTTTTATTTTTAATTTTTGTGGGTACATTCGGTATTATAAGTAATCCAGAGATAATTTAAAGTATGCTGGAGGATGTGCACAGGTTATATGTAAATACCGCACCACTTTGTATAAGGCAGTTGAGCATCTGTGGAGTTTGGATTCATTTTGGAACCAATCTCTCATAGATACCAGGGATGACTCTATATATTTTTCTATTAATCTATGTATCTTCTCTGGTTTTCCCATATGTTGTGTGTGTTTGTGTGTGTGTGTATTTAAGTGTGTTCTACAGTGGATAACTTTTGGAAGGTAACCCTGATGTATTATTAAAATTTTATAACTAAACCTTTATAACATATCTACTCCAAGAAACGTTTTTAAGCAAATTATTTTGCTGAATTTGCATATAGTGCTTTGACACATGAAATCTCTTGAAAATAATGCATTTTATATTGGCAATAAAACTTTGTGGTTTATATATTCACCATCATGATAACTCTATGATACATATGAGCAAACACATAGGTAGAGCTTACCATAGGTGTGCAAATAAGATAATACTAGTATTTACACTTACCACATGGCAGATACTTTCTAAGTACAATAGCTATATTAACTCATTTAATGTTTACAACAGTCATACAAAGGATGTACTATTATTAACCCCATTTTATAGATAAAGAAATTGAACCACATACAGATTAATTAAATTGTCCAAGGAGGTACAGGTAATACATGCAGTTGCAATTAATTCAAGGAAACTAACTCTTACGTCAAGAGTTTTAATCATTGTTTTGATTTCTTGATGTTTTGTGTGTGTGTGTGTCTGCGTAGATGTGAATGTTTAGTGTGCATCTAATAGGAAGATGGAAGAGTAGTAACTGCCTGGAATTGCTGTTATATAGACCTGAATTCATATTTTATCTTTTCCTCTTTCTAGCTCTGTAGCCCTGGAAAGTGTTTGCATTCTATGTGTCTCAGTAGATATAGTTGTCCCTATCTGACAGAGTATATAGAATTACATAATATAGTTGTGCCTATCTGACAGAGTACATAGAATTACATAATATATGTATGTGGTAGACTATACAAAGCATGATGTTGTGCCACATAATAGTCAATAAATGTACTTCCTTTCACTTGTGGCATTTCTCAATACACTATATACCCACTGATTAACCAGAATTTCTTGATAATTGTGTTCATGGAAGAATTAATGTAGTTTTAAATTCTGGATTGGTAATTGAAGTCTGCATTTTGATACGTATACAAATAAAATACCATAAAATGTTATGAGATTATTTTTTAGCTAAAAGTATTTTTATTAAAAATCAAAGATAAAGAATTATAAAAAGAGAGAGAGAAATATCACATATAAAGGGTAAAATGAGCATATACTTATGTAAGCTAAAATGTAAAAGAAAATAGACCTAACATATTCATGGATTAATTTCTTTCTTTTGTATAACTTATTTAATTAAATCTTTGTGGGAAATCTGTACCTTAGGCAGTACTTGAAGAGGAATCAGTCAACTGGGCTTTGGCTTATAAAATGAGGCTAAGACATTTTTAGATGGATACGAAAGGGAAGAAAGTGTCATTTTTAGATTGGAATAGAGTCAATTTAGATTTTGTAGATCATGAAATAGATATTTGAATCTATCAGGGAGATTGTTCCAGGGGTAACTCTTCTAGACAAATAATAACAAACACTGTCAAATAAAATCTAGTGATACAGATTCTCTCCCTCAGATAAGTTGTCTTTCTTTTGTGTATGCTCTGGCATTGACTTATGCAGTACATAACCACAGTTGAGTTTGTAACTAGAAAAGAGATTAAGACAAAGGCTTGGCGATTCTCTGGAGCCTGCTGCTGCTTGTAACCTCTTCTCTCTGACCCTAGAGTTGATTCTCATTAAGACCGTATAGTATTCCAGATATAAGCTATATATTTCTTAAGCTTCTAAGTCTCAGAAAAAGTAAACTACAGTCACCTTTCCAACCATCAGCTGCAGAAGGGAGAAACTCAGCTTCTTTGTTCACAGTTATCACTGTATTTCTCTTTCTTTACTGTGTGTGTGTATTTCTTTTTTCTCTTGCTCTCCCCCATTCAGTCCTCTAGTGGTCTGTCTGTTTCCTTGTCTCTTTCTTGTCTACACACCTGTAAAAGTGGTAGAAATTCCTGGTTCCTGTGGGATAATGATAGTCACTTAATCCTAACTTTCCCACACATACTACAGAACCATACAGATCAGTGAAAGAGCATACAAATTCATTATCAAACTTTTATATTGTGTGAATCCACACCGGTATTTGTTTCCTAGGGCTGCTGTAACAAAGTACCACAAACTCGGTGACTTAAAACAACAGAGATTTGTTATTGCACAGTTCTGGAGGCTAGATGTCTGAAATCAGGATGTCAGCAGAACCAGGCTCTCTCTGAAGGCTCTAGGGGAGAATCTGTTCCATTCCTTACTCTTAGCGTCTGGTGTGGACATTCCTTGTTTTGAGGTGCATCACTCCATTTTCTATCCGTATTTTCACGTAGTGTTCATCGTCTTTGTCTGTGTCTTTTTCTCTTCTTCTTGTAAGGACACCAGTCATTTTGGATTTGGACTTCACCCTACTCCAGTATGACCTCATTTGATTACATCTTCAAAGACCCACAGTTTCCAAATAAGGTCACACTCAAAGGTAGCAAGGATTTGGATTTGGACCTATCTTTTTGGGGAATACAACTGAACCCCTAATGACACCTGTGCCAAACTAGCAGGTAAAGGACACTACACAATAATTACAAGTAAGAGGGGAGATTGAAATGGGAAGCAGCACAGCTAGCTTTAGAGAATGTACCTGAGCAGAGTCAGGTCAACTGCACAGAAAACAAGGTGTCGCAGGGTATATATAGTGACAGAGCGCAGGTAAATTTACTTGCAGGAAGAGAGACTCCCACTCTGGTTATAAAATTGCTTATGTCAGATCTGAGAGGAGATTGTTCAACACATGTTAAATTTCAACAAAGTGTTACGAGCTATATCTTCCAAGCTTTGGCTACTTTATGCAGTGGTGCAGATTCTGTTCTCAGTTTGCCTTCACAATGTCAAAGCAGTCACATTTAGTATGTTATCAGCAGGACAGAGCATTCTGCTAACAATCACATCTGTCCTGAGCAAGTTCTTGCTATTTACTCAGATCTGTGTATGTGCTATTCATATGTCAAATTACCTCTGTACCCTCCTGAGACATTTGTCCTACTTCTTGCTTATACAAAATTTTGCTGTTCAAAACATGATTAAATAATCATCAGTGTCATTTCTTGGGATATATAATCAAGGGATACAATAGAGAAAATTAAAAGACACTAGGAATTTAAGGATTAAGCAGTAATGAAGATATTGGAGGATTCTGTGGTATAAGAATATACCCATCTTTGAGACAGAAAAAGCAATGGGGACTTTAATAACTCTGACTAAAAGACTCAGATTGTCTCAGACAGGGGAAAGAAAAAATAACATAATTCAAGCAGCCAAAAAAGGTGAAAGAAAGTACTTGTAGAAATAAGAAACAGAAGTTATACCAAGACAAACCATAGAAGGAATTTTAATACCTGTGTGGAAAACCTAGGAAAAACTTGAAAACCCAGTGATGAAGAGAGAAGCAGGTGGGTGTTTATCCTCAGAGCCAATGCAGAAAATATAGAAAATTCCACCTGTAAGTGGTGGGGAAAATGTATTTGCTATTTGAGGTTGCCAAGGAAATCTTACTGCTTTGTGTAGTTTATTTGCACTTAGTGCCTGATATATATATATGCAATATAGTATTTTTAGTAAATTAAACTTCTTGAGAGAAAATTTATGGTAAAGATCTTTATCCTTAGGTGAGACTCATGAATAATTGCTGTGGATTAAGGTAATGTATGTATAAATAATTGCAAAAGCTGCAATTACTTTTGCACCAAACTAATATATTATTAAAACCTACTTAGTTTGAAAATTTTACTTGACTGTCTTTGCTCTTGCTTGGCCAAATAGCCCAAGTAGCAAGGAAGTGAAGTTGCTGATCTTGTGAAATATTAAATCTCATATTGAGGTCAGCCTCTGTTGTAATTTAAAAGATTCTTATTTTATGATCTTATCTATGCAGTGAGCAGTGTGGTACACTTCTTTTTGTTTAAACTTTGTTAGGAGTAGCATATGCTTAAAAATATCAACATAAAATAACTGAATAAAACATTGGTCACATAAACTACCAAAAATTGTATTATAGTGTGTTTAGCCACAGGAGGGAAAAGCTAGTTTTCACTGTATTAAATGATGAAAAGGAAGTACTACTTTGCCTATAATGATGGAGTAGATTTCACCATTATGAAGGCTACAACGAGATCTCATTTCCTGTATTAAAGTAGCTTTCAAAATTTTTTGACTATGATCCAGAGTAAGTAATGTTTCAACACTGCAGTCTACTTCTCTCTCTCTCTCACGTTCACACACACACACATACAAATATACAAAATCAAAATCTTTACTGAACAATGATTGCTCTTTTGTCGTATGCATGAAATATTGTTTCTTTGTGTGTATGATCTGCTCTATCCAATTATAGTTCATTTTGAGATATAAAAAATTCTGATATTATTCCTTAAATTGATTTCATAACCTATTAAAATGGTTCAAAGTATAACTTACAGTTTGAAATACACTGGTCCACACATGCCCAAGAATCATGGAACACGGTATATGTCCTCCTGTGAATATTCCTCAACCTTAATACAGAGTCTTTGCACAGCAGGCACATAATGGACAATTATTCATTTGAAAAGGATGAAGCAAAATATACCTAAGGGAAGAAAAGAACAAAGTATCTGTAGAGATAATTTTTTTTAATGGTGGGAAACAAAGGTGACATGTACTTCAGAGGAATAAAAGCTCTATGTTTGTATTTCGTATTGCGTATGGAGTAGCTCTTTCAGTACAATTCAGCATAAAGGTATTTCAGAATGTAAGAATAGACACTAACTTCATGACTAGAGTTCTAAACCTCTAATCTTTCTAATTTTTAAGTAAGTTTGTTTTTAGTAGGGATAAATTATAAATTAAATTTATTGCTGGGGATAATTGGTGTGCTCAAATTTCAAAAAGATATTTTAAATATACATATTGTATAAGGGCTATGTTTTCCAGAAAATTCATTCCTAAAAGATGTTACATTTAAAGTGTGTATGCAGACTCTGGGAATGACTTACTATTAATTTTTAATGCAGTGCATAGTAAATTTATATTAAGTCTTTTTAAAAAATATTCTCACAAAATGAATAGAAAGAATAAGCACATAATAAGGGGTCAGTTGAGAACTAATACCAGATTAATTCATAGGAAAAAGAGGTATATTATGTCCATAGGGCCATGCCGAAGAATACTTACCACAATTCCTAAAACTCTGAAATTAGACATATACATGATTGAATCAACAACTGTGGAAAAAGAACAAGTACTCCCTGGAAAATTACGTCATTAATCATACATTCATGGATGTAAACAAAATCACTGTTTACTTTCTACTATCTAAATGAAATATGTATGACATGAGTAACAGGAAGTTAGGGAAGAATTTTGAGAGTTGGGTGAAGTACATTTAGTATATGGGGTTCTTTCATGCCTGAGTGGAAAGAGCCAGATCTAAACATGGATACAGTTATTTAGAAATGTATCGGAGGATTGGAATGTATCAGAGCAGTAAGAGTAAAGCTCCAAATTTGCATAATTTGGTAAAAATGTTTTCTACTGAGAATTTCTTTTTCTTTTTCTAAAGGTTGCATGAAACTGTTTATAATGCACAATATACACTCACCGGTAAAATTATCCCTATTTTTTCCTAACCATGGACACTCTAACCTGTTTACTTTTAATTTATTGTATCAAACATTCAGAAATAGATTTTGCAGGATTTAATAGGAATATTTGCTCCTTACCAGATAAGCAATCCTAGAAATGACAAAGTTTGAAGGAAGTATAGGAGAAACTCACTTCATATAATATGAAGTTATTACAAGAATTCTGAATTAGTTATAGAATGAATAGTTTATTAGTCAATATTTATTGAACTCCTATTCCTCAGTCCTGTGCTAGAAAAAAAAGATATATACAGAAATAAGTCAGATAGTATTCTTTTCCCTGAAAGAATCACAGTTGGCTGAGAAATTCTGATGTTATACTACCAGGTTTCTCTTTTGACTCTCTTCACAGTTTTGCAAGCAACCAAATCACCCCTGGAGAAATGAAGCTTACATGTCTGACAGAGCTAGACAAATAGAATCAGTCATATGTTTGGCTCTGATCAGATAGAGTTATCATTATGCTGACAGCAAACTCCTGGCTTTGTATTTATTTATTTCCTGAGTAATGTCATTAAAACCATGTGTACACTGACAACACTGTATATCATAATTAAGAATCTTGTTCAAAAGTATAATCCCATCTATGGCACCCTCAGGAATAAATGATCACTAAACTTCATTTACCCTGAAATAAAATTCTATTAAGAGTGTATGAGTCTATGTGTATCACAATAACTAGCTCTGTGCCTGACTCATGGTTTGCTTGACTAGTATTTGTTTCATTTTATTTAAAACTGGCCTGTGATTAAAGTATTTTAAATACATTCTAAAATTACGGAAGCGGAAGAAAATTTTAACTTCATTGAACTTAGAGCTTCTCATGTACTGTCCCTAGACCTGTGCTATATATATAATGGTAACCTGAGTGTGAATGTAGTTGGCCTTAAGAATTCCTGTTTTTAAAAGCAGGTGGCTATGATGCATCTGTTTATAACTAAGAGGCCTTTAACTGTAATGAGAAGTTAGCTAACCTCATGACACAAGATCATGTTGAGTTCTCTTTTCCATCACATTTTCTTCTGCCTGCAATCCTTAACCTTGACTAGGAAAGTACACTTTCCTATCTAGGATGTACCGATTCTATTTTCAGTGAACTAGGAAACTATTAATTCAAATTAAATTGTACCTTTAAAAAATTCTAAGGAATTTTTCTTGTAGGGTAATTGTTTCATTTTAAGAAGGATATTTTTATTTTTCCTCTTTGTGTTCTATGAGGGGGAAAAAGGTTGCATTCCAGATAGATCAATAGATTACATATTAATTTAAGAAAGAATAAGCTCTTTGTGTTAAAAAGGGAAAACATAATTAAAGCAAACATGGCATTGAATCAGATCTCAACTTCACTCTCCTAATCCCACATGGCACATATTTCACATTTTGCCCGTCTTATCCCCACATTTTGTTGGCATGATATGGGCTTGAAAGATAGCATGATTCAAGTATGTAACTTGTGGTATTTCTGCTGTTACTTCCTTATTCCACAAACAAAACAGGCATTAATAATCAATCATAGCACTCTTTCCTATTAAGCCTTTCAATATCCTCAAAATAATGTCTAAGGTTGCTTCTGTAGATTTGCCATTTCTGACTCTTAAGTATGGGCTTTGGATTTAAGAGACCTAGGTTCAAATCTGAACCCTGCTATTCACTAGCTTAAGGTTTCTCAGACAGCCATATGGCTTCTCTGATCTTTACTTTACTCTCTTGTAAAGTCTGGTAATAACAGCTACTTCATAAGGCTGTTTGGAAAGACTGAATGAGTTAACATTTGTGAAGCACACAATGGTGCATGATAATTGAAAAATAAAAGGACATAAGTGACAAACGAATTATAACTATTATTATTAGTTTTTGTTTTGTTTTGTTTTTTTTTGAGACAGAGTCTTGCTCTGTTGCCCAGGCTGGAGTGCAGTGGCACGATCTCGGCTCACTGCAAGCTGTGCCTCCTGGGTTCATGCCATTTTCCTGCCTCAGCCTCCTGAGTAGCAGGGACTATAGGTGCCCACTACCATGCCCAGCTAATTTGTTGTATTTTTAAGAGAGACGGGGTCTCACTGTGTTAGCCAGGATGGTCTCGATCTCCTGACCTCGTGATCCGCCAGCCTTGGCCTCCCAAAGTGCTGGGATTACAGGCATGAGCCACTGCACCCGGCCAACTATTTTTATTATTTAGGAGACCTTCTTATGTATTACTGGGGCACCCAGAATATATCACATCATAGTATTTAACAAACTGTTATATTTGTCATTGTCAATAGTCTAATAGCCATAGAATATTCATCAAAGTACAGATCATAATCTTATCCTAGTATTTAGCACAATGCTTGACCAGTGGTTGACACAAAGTAATATTTGTTGAACAACTGTCATGGGCATACCACTCACTTTTTCCACATTATTTTTATTATTTTATGTTATTTTATTTTGGTTTCAGAGACAGGGTCTCACTGTGTTGCCCAGGCTGGTCTTGAACTCCTGGCCTCAAGCAGTCCTCTCACCTTGGCCTCCCAGAGTGCTGGGATTACAGTTGTGAGCCACCATGCCTGTCCTTCCACTATGATTATTATTTAACTCTTGACTTCCAAACAAAAAAATTAGTAGGGTATTTCAATGGCATCTGGTTGCAATAGTAATCTAAACTATTTTCAGATGATAAATTAGGCATATTCAAAATTACTAATATCTAATTTGCAGTCCTTGCCTGGCCAAGGAGAAGGAATACATGTTGGCAGAGAAAGCGTTTAAAAGAACACACACACATACAATGTCCCTAACTTTTAGTGACTCAGTAAACTTAGATTTTAAGATCTTCTATTATATGTTCATAAAATATTTGATTTTGACCAGCTTCCTTACATTGTGATCCTATAATTTTTCTTACGTGCCTAGAAATTCACATTTTAATCTAAAATATAAATATGAGGTATCATTGAATTACAGAAAATGTATGAAAAGAAAACATGGTCATTACAAATCCCTTCCTTGATAAATCTCAGAATTCCTGAATGAAGTTGCAATTCAGAATGAATACTTTAACAAACATCTAACAAACATCAACTGACAACAAAAAGGAAATTAATACAGGAAGAATTATATATACCTTGGCTTGAAAAGTATAGGTGTTCCACTTCTACCTTGGCTGTCTTACTCTGACCCTGCCCCAGAATCTATACTCCTTGAGTTCTAGCCTGCAAAAGGCAATGAAATGTCATAGATGGTTTACCTAGCTCTTGTCTTATTTCCATAGAAGAGTGCCATATTCCCACCTAGAAAATGGTATGATTCCTGATCTGTAGTAGACCTGGTGATCTTCCTTGTATTTCTGAAATCTAGTTACGTAGTTCAACATTCTCTACTGTTTAACATAGTGAATGGTATCCTCAGCCCACAGTGACACAATATGTTATGCATTCAGTATAATTGTGCTAGTTAAGGTAATGCTATTTATTCTAGTAAAAATACTGGAAACTTCAGTGACTTAACACAATAGAAATTACATCTCATTCAGTTCATAATCTTAGATGGCCGAACAGTTTGGCAAGGAGGCCTTACTTCACAGTCCTTTTTTTTTTTTTTTAAAGCAATATATAAATCTTCATTCACAGAAAAGCCTATCAAAAACTTCACATTCTGGAGAAGACATTTTTGAATATTGCTTGAATATTCATTTTTTTTATTATACTTTAAGTTTTAGGGTACATGTGCACAATGTGCAGATTAGTTACATATGTATACATGTGCCATGCTGGTGTGCTGCACCCATTAACTCCTCATTTAGCATTAGGTATATCTCCTAATGCTATCCCTCCCCCATCCCCCTACCCCACAACAGTCCCCAGAGTGTGATGTTCCCCTTCCTGTGTCCATATGTTCTCATTGTTCAATTCCCACCTATGAGTGAGAACATGCGGTGTTTGGTTTTTTGTCCTTGCGATAGTTTACTGAGAATGATGATTTCCAGTTTCATCCATGTCCCTACAAAGGACATGAACTCATCATTTTTTATGGCTGCATAGTATTCCATAGTGTATATGTGCCACATTTTCTTAATCCAGTCTGTCATTGTTGGACATTTGGGTTGGTTCCAAGTCTTTGCTATTGTGAATAGTGCGGCAATAAACATACGTGCGCATGTGTCTTTACAGCAGCATGATTTATAGTCCTTTGGGTATATACCCAGTAATGGGATGGCTGGGTCAAATGGTATTTCTAGTTCTAGATCCCTGAGGCATGGCCACACTGACTTCCACAATGGTTGAACTAGTTTACAGTCCCACCAGCAGTGTCAAAGTGTTCCTATTTCTCCACATCCTCTCCAGCACCTGTTGTTTCCTGACTTTTTAATGATCACCATTGTAACTGGTGTGAGATGGTATCTCATTGTGGTTTTGATTTGCATTTCTCTGATGGCCAGTGATGGTGAGCATTTTTTCATGTGTTTTTTGGCAGCATAAATGTCTTCTTTTGAGAAGTGTCTGTTCATGTCCTTCACCCAGATTTTGATGGGGTTGTTTGTTTTTTTCTTGTAAATTTGTTTGAGTTCATTGTAGATTCTGGATATTAGCCTTTTGTCAGATGAGTAGGTTGCCAAAATTTTCTCCCATTTTGTAGGTTGCCTGTTCACTCTGATGGTAGTTTCTTTTGCTGTGCAGAAGCTCTTTAGTTTAATTAGATCCCATTTGTCAATTTTGGCTTTTGTTGCCATTGCTTTTGGTGTTTTAGACATGAAGTCCTTGCCCATGCCTATGTCCTGAATGGTACTGTCTAGGTTTTCTTCTAGGGTTTTTATGGTTTTAGGTCTAACGTTTAAGTCTTTTATCCATCTTGAATTAATTTTTGTATAAGGTGTAAGGAAGGGATCCAGTTTCAGCTTTCTACATATGGCTAGCCAGTTTTCCCAGGACCATTTATTAAATAGGGAATCTTTTCCTCATTGCTTGTTTTTCTCAGGTTTGTCAAAGATCAGATAGTTGCAGATATGCGGCGCTATTTCTGAGGGCTCTGTTCTGTTGCATTGATCTATATCTCTGTTTTGGTACCAGTACCATGCTGTTTTGGTGACTGTAGCCTTGTAGTATAGTTTGAAGTCAGGTAGCGTGATGCCTCCAGCTTTGTTCTTTTGGCTTAGGATTGACTTGGCGATGCAGGCTCTTTTTTGGTTCCATATGAACTTTAAAGTAGTTTTTTCCAATTCTGTGAAGAAAGTCATTGGTAGCTTGATGGGGATGGCATTGAATCCATAAATTACCTTGGGCAGTATGGCCATTTTCACGATATTGATTCTTCCTACCCATAAGCATGGAATGTTCTTCCATTTCTTTGTATCCTCTTTTATTTCATTGAGCAGTGGTTTGTAGTTGTCCTTGAAGTGGTCCTTCACATCCCTTGTAAGTTGGATTCCTAGGTATTTTATTCTCTTTGAAGCAATTGTGAATGGGAGTTCACTCATGATTTGGCTCTATGTTTGTCTGTTATTGGTGCATAAGAATGCTTGTGATTTTTGTACATTGATGTTGTATCCTGAGACTTTGCTGAAGTTGCTTATCAGCTTAAGGAGATTTTGGGCTGAGACAATGGGGTTTTCTAGATATACAATCATGTCATCTGCAAACAGGGACAATTTGACTTCCTCTTTTCCTAACTGAATACCCTTTATTTCCTTCTCCTGCCTAATTGCCCTGGCCAGAACTTCCAACACTATGTTGAATAGGAGTGGTGAGAGAGGGCATCCCTGTCTTGTGCCACTTTTCAAAGGGAATGCTTCCAGTTTTTGCCCATTCAGTATGATATTGGCTGTGGGTCTGTCATAGATAGCTCTAATTATTTTGAGATACGTCCCATCAGTACCTAATTTATTGAGAGTTTTTAGCATGCAGGGTTGTTGAATTTTCTCCAAGGCCTTTTTTGCATCTATTGAGATAAATCATGTGGTTTTTGTCTTTGGTTCTGTTTATATGCTCGATTACATTTATTGATTTGCGTATATTGAACCAGCCTTGCGTCCCAGGGATGATGCCCACTTGATCATGGTGGATAAGCTCTTTGATGTGCTGCTGGATTCGGTTTGCTAGTATTTTATTGAGGATTTTCGCATTGATGTTCATCAAGTATATTGATCTAAAATTCTCTTTTTTGGTTGTGTCTCTGCCCGGCTTTGGTATCAGGATGATGCTGGCCTCATAAAATGAGTTAGGGAGGATTCCCTCTTTTTCTATTGATTGGAATAGTTTCAGAAGGAATGTTACCAGTTCCTCCTTGTACCTCTGGTAGAATTCGGCTATGATTCCATCTGGTCCTGGACTCTTTTTGGATGGTAAGCTATTGATTATTGCCACAATTTCAGAGCCAGTTATTGGTCTATTCAGAGATTCAACTTTTTCCTGGTTTAGTCTTGGGAGGGTGTATGTGTCGAGGAATTTATCCATTTCTTCTAGATTTTCTAGTTTATTTGCATAGAGGTGTTTGTAGTATTCTCTGATGGTAGTTTGTATTTCTGTGGGATTGGTGGTGATATCCCCTTTATCATTTTTTATTGTGTCTATTTGATTCTTCTCTCTTTTCTTCTTTATTAGTCTTGCTAGCGGTCTGTCAATTTTGTTTATCCTTTCAAAAAACCAGCTCCTGGATTCAGGAATTTTTTTGAAGGGTTTTTTGTGTCTCTATTTCCTTCAGTTCTGCTCTGATTTTAGTTATTTCTTGCCTTCTGCTAGCTTTTGAATGTGTTTGCTCTTGCTTTTCTAGTTCTTTTAATTGTGATGTAAGGGTGTCAATTTTGGATCTTTCCTGCTTACTCTTGTGGGCATTTAGTGCTATAAATTTCCCTCTACACACTGCTTTGAATGTGTCCCAGAGATTCTGGTATGTTGTGTCTTCGTTCTCGTTGGTTTCAAAGAACATCTTTATTTCTGCCTTCATTTCGTTATGTACCCAGTAGCCACTCAGGAGCAGGTTGTTCAGTTTCCATGTAGTTGAGTGGTTTTGAGTGAGTTTCTTAATCCTGAGTTCTAGTTTGATTGCACTGTGGTCTGAGAGAAAGTTTGTTATAATTTCTGTTCTTTTACATTTGCTGAGGAGAGCTTTACTTCCAACTATGCGGTCAGTTTTGGAATAGGTGTGGTGTGGTGCTGAAAAAAATATATATTCTGTTGATTTGGGGTGGAGAGTTCTGTACATATCTATTAGGTCTGCTTGGTGCAGAGCTGAGTTCAATTCCTGGGTATCCTTGTTAACTTTGTCTCATTGATCTGTCTAATGTTGACAGTGGGGTGTTAAAGTCTCCCATTATTATTGTGTGGGAGTCTAAGTCTCTTTGTAGGTCACTGAGGACTTGCTTTATGAATTTGGGTGCTCCCGTATTGGGTGCATATATATTTAGGATAGTTAGCTCTTCTTGTTGTATTGATCCCTTTACCATTATGTAATGGCCTTCTTTGTCTCTTTTGATCTTTGTTGGTTTAAAGTCTGTTTTATCAGAGACTAGGATTGCAACCCCTGCCTTTTTTTGTTTTCCATTTGCTTGGTAGATCTTCCTCCATCCTTTTATTTTGAGCCTATGTGTGTCTCTGCACATGAGATGGGTTTCCTGAATATAGCACTCTGATGGGTCTTGAGTCTTTATCCAACTTGCCAGTCTGTGTCTTTTAATTGGAGCATTTAGTCCATTTACATTTAAAGTTAATATTGTTATGTGTGAATTTGTTTCTGTCATTATGATGTTAGCTGGTTATTTTGCTCGTTAGTTGATGCAGTTTATTCCTAGCCTCGATGGTCTTTACAATTTGGCATGCTTTTGCAGTGGCTGGTACCGATTGTTCCTTTCCGTGTTTAGTGCTTCCTTCAGGAGCTCTTTTAGGGCAGGCCTGGTGGTGACAAAATCTCTCAGCATTTGCTTGTCTGTAAAGTATTTTATTTCTCCTTCACTTATGAAGCTTAGTTTGGCTGGATATGAAATTCTGGGTTGAAAATTCTTTTCTTTAAGAATGTTGAATACTGGCCCCCACTCTCTTCTGGCTTGTAGAGTTTCTGCCGAGAGATCCGCTGTTAGTCTGATGGGCTTCCCTTTGTGGGTAACCCGACCTTTCTCTCTGGCTGCCCTTAACATTTTTTCCTTCATTTCAACTTTGGTGAATCTGACAATTATGTGTCTTGGAGTTGCTCTTCTCGAGGAGTATCTTTTTGGCGTTCTCTGTATTTCCTGAATCTGAACATTGGCCTGCCTTGCTAGATTGGGGAAGTTCTCCTGGATAATATCCTGCAGAGTGTTTTCCAACTTGGTTCCATTCTCCCCATCAGTTTCAGGTACACCAATCAGACGTAGATTTGGTCTTTTCACATAGTCCCATATTTCTTGGAGGCTTTGTTCGTTTCTTTTTATTCTTTTTTCTCTAAACTTCCCTTCTCGCTTCATTTCATTCATTTCATCTTCCATTGCTGATACCCTTTCTTCCAGTTGATCGCGTCGGCTCCTGAGGCTTCTGCATTCTTCACGTAGTTCTCGAGCCATGGCTTTCAGCTCCATCAGCTCCTTTAAGCACTTCTCTGTATTGGTTATTCTAGTTATACATTCGTCTAAATTTTTGTGATAGTTTTTAACTTCTTTGCCTTTGGTTTGAATTTCCTCCTGTAGCTCGGAGTAGTTTGATCGTCTGAAGCCTTCTTCTCTCAACTCATCAAAGTCATTCTCCATCCAGCTTTGTTCCATTGCTAGTGAGGAACTGCGTTCCTTTGGAGGAGGAGAAGTGCTCTGCTTTTTAGAGTTTCCAGTCTTTCTGCTCTGTTTTTTCCCCATCTTTGTGGTTTTATCTACTTTTGGTCTTTGATGATGGTGATGATGGTGATGTACAGATGGGTTTTTGGTGTGGATGTCCTTTCTTTTTGTTAGTTTTCCTTCTAACAGACAGGAACCTCAGCTGCAGGTCTGTTGGAGTTTGCTAAGGTCCACTCCAGACCCTGTTAGCCTGGGTATCAGCAGTGGTGGCTGCAGAACAGCGGATTTTCGTGAACCGCGAATGCTGCTGTCTGATCGTTCCTCTGGAAGTTTTGTCTCAGAGGAGTACCCGGCCGTGTGAGGTGTCAGTCTGCCCCTACTGGGTGGTGCCTCCCAGTTAGGCTGCTCAGGGGTCAGGGGTCAGGGAGCCACTTGAAAAGGCAGTCTGCCTGTTCTCAGGTCTCCAGCTGCATGCTGGGAGAACCACTGCTCTCTTCAAAGCTGTCAGACAGGGACATTTAAGTCTGCAGAGGTTACTGCTGCCTTTTTGTTTGTCTGTGCCCTGCCCCCAGAGGTGGAGCCTACAGAGGCAGGTAGGCCTCCTTTAGCTGTGGTGGGCTCCACCCAGTTCGAGCTTCCCAGCTGCTTTGTTTACCTAAGCAGATCTGGGCAATGGTGGGCACCCCTCCCCCAGCCTTGCTGCTGCCTTGCAGTTTGATCTCAGACTGCTGTGCTAGCAGTCAGCGAGACTCCGTGGGCGTAGGACCCTCCGAGCCGGATGCGGGATATAATCTCCTGGTGTGCCTTTTTTTAATCCTGTCAGAAAAGCGCAGTGTCACCCCTTTCTTTGACTAGGAAAGGGAACTCCCTGACCCCTTGCGCTTCCCAGTGAGGCAATGCCTCACCCTGCTTCGGCTCACGCATGGTGCACTGCAACCACTGTCCTGCGCCCACTGTCTGGTGCTCCCTAGTGAGATGAACCCGTTTCCTCAGATGGAAATGCAGAAATCAGCCGTCTTCTGCGTCGCTCACGCTGGGAGCTGTAGACCGGAGCTGTTCCTATTCTGCCATCTTGGCTCACTTCACAGTCTTTAGCTTGTGGTTTTTAAGGTCGTCGTGGTCATCTCCATGCCCACCAGCCAGAAAGTAGAGAATTTTATGTGCAAACATTTACATATGTTTATGTTCCACTTTCTAAAACTTAATCTCATGGCACCACATAACTTCCAGGGAAACAACATATATAGTTAGCTGTGTCCCTAAGAAGAGGCAGTGTATTTTGGTAAACATTTTGTATTCTTTGTAATAATAAATATATTTTATTTCAGAGTTCTAGAGTCTAAACATATGATCTATATAATAACAATTACGTGTACAGGTAGCAGTGGGTGAGTCTGTAACACAGGCTCCTAAAGGTTAAGTGACTGCCTAAAATCATATAGTGAATTAGTGGAATATCCTAGGCAATCAAGGCTCTAGATTCTAGTCTAATATCCTTTCTAATATGTTACCTGGTGATCGAGTTACAATTTGTCATATTCAGTCACTACCAGAAGCAGTTCTGCAGTGAATGTAAATAGTAAACAGATTTTAAATTCTGCAGTTAATACAAATAGTTATTGTAAATAGGAAGTCTTCTATGTTCACAGAGTTTTATTAAGAATATTTTACAAACATTGTTTTCTCTTGATGCAATGCTAATATTGACACAGCTGAAGCCAATTAGTTTAATTAGAAGTCATCTAAACAACATTCATTTCATTGTTCTTTTGTTTGTTGGTAGTAATTTAGATTGTGAGCCCACTGGACAGGAATGGAATTGAATTTAGCAAGTTTTTGAGTGTCCTTTGAAGGTACTGGTGGTGAAAATAATCTTGATATAATATAGCATATCCATTATAGCATTATTGACGTGTTTTGTATGTTCCACTGCACTGCATGAGTATGGTAAATGAATTTAAAAATATATAATTAAAGGGGAGTGATGTCAGCAAGAACACAGAATAGGAAGGATCAGGTTACACTTCCCTGCAACAGAAAATTCAATGAGAAACTATCCATAGACCAGAACATAGTTTTGAAAATCCCAATACTTAGAAAAAAACCTGAAACACTGGCATGTTCTGCAAAACTGAATGAAAACAAAAATAGAAAAGTTAGAAGAATGGTGTCACTTCAACTGTGCCACCAGTCCCACTCCCCCAGGTAGGCACGATGCCAGATGAAGAGGATTTCCCTGGGCTCATGGTTTCTACAGGAGAAAAAGAGAGCCAGAAGCACTTATCTAGTTTCTTTAGCATTTTGAGATGCTTCCCAAGAAGCCCGTGTTGGTCTTACCCCATGGGGAATATTGTGGGTAACTGTATGGCTAGATCACCTGGGGTAATGTATCAATACAACAACCAGAAAACAGTGAACAAAATGTCAGTATTACAGCCTTACATATCAGTAATTGCTGTGAGTGTAGATGGATTAAATTCACCAATAAAAGACATAGAGTGACCAAATGGATTTTTTTTTTAAAGACTCCACTATATGCTGCCTAATACAGTCTCACCTTACTTTCAGGGACACACATAGACTGAAAGCAAAGAAGTTGAAAATATTTTCTATGCAAATGGAAAGCAAAAGAAAGCAGGGGTAGCTATTCTTATCACAGACAAAATAAACTTTAAGTCGAAAACTGTAAAATGAGACCAAGAAAGCTATTATATTGTATGAAAAGATGAAGTAATCAGGAAAGTATAACAATTGTAAATATATATGCACCCAACATGGGAGCACCTAGATAAATATAACAAATATTAAACTACCTGAAGGGAGAGATACACTATATTGCAATGATAATAGGAAACTTTAATATAACTTTTCAATAAAGGACCATTCATCTCAACAGAAAATTAATAAGGAAACACTGGAACTGAACAACACTTCAGGCCAAATGAACCTAGCAGACCTGCATAAAACAGTTCATCCAACAGCAACAGAAAATACACTCTTCTAAGGCAAACCTAAAACCTTCCCCAAGGTAGATCACATGATAAGGCACAAATAAAGCCTTAGAAAGTTTAAGATTGAAATCATATCAGGTATGTTTTCTGACCACAATGCCATGAAACTAGAAATCAATAGCATGATGAATTTGAGAAAATCCATAAATACATGGAAATTAAACAATATGTGCCTGAATGGATAAAATAATACATTTTAAAGAGGCATTTTAAAATATCTTTAGATGAATGGAAATGAAAATATGACACACCAAAATTATGGGATGTAGAAAAAAGAGTTCTAAGAGGTAAGTTTATAACAATAAATGCTTATATTACAAAAGAAGAGGGATCTCAGATAAACAACTTAATGTTGCTCCTCAAGGAACTAGAAAAAGAAGAACAAACTAAGTCCAAAGTCAGCAGGAAGAAGGAAATATTAAAGAAGAAGGCAGAAATAAATGAAATACGGACTAGAAAAATAATACAAAAGGTCAATAAACTAAGAGTTGGTTTTTAGAAAATATCAAATTAACATGCTTTTATTTAGTCAACTGTGAAAAAATAGAGAAGATTCAAATAAATAAAATTATAAATGAAAGGGAAGACATTAAAGTTGATAGCACAGAAATACAAATAATTTTAAGAGACTACTATGAATAATTGTAAATCAACAAATCAGATAACCTAGAAGAAATAGATAAATTCTTAGACACATACAACCTACCAAGACTGAATTATGAAGAAATAGCAAATACGAACAGACCAATAATGAGGAAGGAGATTTAATCAGTAATACAAAGTCTCCCATCACAGAAAAGCCCAGAATCTGAAGGCTTCACTGCTGAATGCTTCTTATGGCATCTTAGGTATAGAAATCATATATAGAAAACCCTAAAGACTCCACCAAAAAAAAAAAAAAAAAACCTGTTAGAACTTATAAACAAATACAATAATATTACAGGATACAAAGTCAACACACAGAAGTATCATTTTTATATACTAACAGTGAACTATCTAAAAAAGAAATCAAGAGAGTAATTCCAGTTATAATAGCTACAAAAAATAAAATAAAATACACAGATGTTCTCCAACTTGCAATGGCTTGACTTATGATTTTTAAAATTTAGGATTGGGAACTATTTAACCATTCTGTTTTTTACTTTCAGTATATTATTTTATAAATTACATGAGATTTTCAAAACTTTATTCTAAATTAGGTTTTGTGCTAGGTTTAAATGTTCTGAGCACTTTTAAGGTAGGCTGGGCTAAGCTATGATGTTTGGCAGTTTAGGTGTATGAAATGCCTTTTTGACTTATGATATTTTCAATTAACAATGGGTTTATAGGTACATAACCCCATTGTATGTCGAAGAACATCTGTTCTTAGGAATAAATTTGACCAGGGAGATAAAGGACTTGTATATTGAAAACTATAAAACATTGATGAAAGAAACTGAAGAAGACACAAATAAATGGAAAGATGGTTTGTGTTTATATATTGGAAGTATTAGTATTTTTAAAATGTCCATACTACCTAAAATGAACTACAGATTGAATGTAGTTTTTGTTGAAATTCCATTGTTATTGTTCATAGAAAGAGACAAAAGTTGTAAAATTCATTTGGAATTCTCAAAAACCTTGAATAGCCAAGGCAATCATAAACAAAAAGAACAAAGCTGTAGGCATCACACTACCTGAATTTAAACTATTATAATGCTATAGTAATTAAAATAACATGGTACTGGAAAATTAAATTAATTAATTAAACACACACACACACATCAGCCAGTGGAACAGAATAGAGAGCTCAGAAATGAACCAAGGCATATACAGTCAATTGATTTTTAACAAAGGTGTGTACAACACATAAAAAGAATAATATAGCCTCTTCAATAAATGGTGTTGGGAAAGCTAGATATATGCATGCAGAAAAATGAAAGTGGACTCATCTCACAACATACACAAAAATCTACTCAAGATGGATTAAAGACTTAATTGTAATACCAGAATCTGTAAAAACTACTAGAAGAAAACATAGGAGAAACACAACATTGGTCTGGGCAGTAACTTTTTTTATTTGACCCCCCAAAGTGCAGACAGCAAAAGTGAAAATAGACAAATGGGATTAGGTCAAACAAAAGAGCTTCTGCACATCAGAGGAAAGAGCAGTATGAATAAAAAACTTAGGGATTGGGAGAATATATTTGCAAACGATGCATTCTGTAAGGGGTCAATATTCAAAATATATAAAGAACTTAAACAATTCAATAGCGAGAAAATAACACAACAACAAGAACAAAATGGGCAAGGGACCTGAATGGAAATTTCTCAAAGGAAGACATACAAATGTCCAACATATATATGAGAAAATGCTCCACATCACCAATTATTAGGGAAATTTAAGTTCAAAGCAAAATGAGACATTATCTCACCTGTGGGAATGGCTGTTATCAAAAAGATGAAGGATAACACATGCTGGGAATAATGTGGAGAGAAGGAAATTTTGTACCCTGTTGGTGGGAATGTAAATTAGTTATAGCCATTATGGAAAATTGTATAGTGGATTCTCAAAAAGCTAAAATGGAATTACCATATGATCAAGCAAACCCACTTCTGGATGTTTGCCCAAAAGATTTGAAGTCAGTTTGTCGGAGGTGTCTGCACTCCCATGTTCCCTGCAGCGCTATTGACAGCCAAGATATGGAATCAACCTAAGTGTTCATCAACAGATGAATAGATAAAGAATCTGTGGTACATATATACACAATGAAATGCTATGCAGCCCTAATAAAGAACGAAATTCTGTCATTTGCAACAACTTGGATGGAATTGGAGAATATTAGGCTAAGTGAAATAAGCCAGGCACAGAAAGACAAATACTGCATGTTTTCACTTATATGTGGAATCTAAAACAGTCAAACTCATAGAAGCAGAATAGAATGGTGGTTACAGAAGCCTGGAGGATGGAGGCAGTGGGGAGATAATGGTCAAAGGGTACAAAAGCTTAGTTAGACAGGAGGTCTAAGGTGGGTTTCTTTTTGAGGTATGTCACATAATGTGGTGAATATAGTGATGGTAATGTATTGTACATTTCAAAATTGCTAGGAGAATAAATTTAAAATGTTCTCACTACAAAAATAATAAATACTTGAAGTGATGGGTATGTAAATTAGTTAGATTTAATTATTCCACATTGTATTCATGAATGATAACTTCATTTTGTATCCCGTGAATATGTAATTAAAAATTGTCAATTTACAATAAAGTTAAAAAGAGAAAATATTTATACGAGTCAACTTTGTATTAGGAAGCCCTCTTTTTCATTTTTATTTCTTAACTGCTTTTTAAATTTTAGGTGATCTTTTCTATTTTAATGATTTAAAAAGTATCTGTCATTCATTTTATTTCCCCTATCCTGGAAAGCATCCAAACAGTACAATAGTAATTTATGGCCTTTCAAGCTCTGTATGATCCAGTTAAATTCCTGTGCCCTCTGATTCAAATAATTGTTATTTTGTATTTTGATTGACAGGTTTTCAAGTATCTCAAAAGAGGGAGGTAAGAAAAAAAAAGTGATAAAATTAAAACAGTAGATTTTTTTAAGTGTGAACGGAACCAGGTTTAGCATTAGTGTGTTGCAGAACTTTTAGCATTTTGAATAGAAGTTTATGCCACTATGGGAAGTCTTTTATGTTCACAATGATTCTTTTTCTTGAGCACTCTCCACCTTTATGAAAACTTCAAAAATCCCTAACTATTACGAAATGAGCACATATTCTTCCCTGTGGCTGAGCCAGGGGCTAGAGAACGGATTTTGTATTATGTGTTAGAACATTTTGACATTTTATGTAGTATAAGATTACTGCAGACATAACTGAGAAATTCTTTGGGAGGATAAAATGAGAAGAGAGTGAAGAAGGGATTATATTGTGTGCATTTATGCCTTTTTAAAAAAGCTTTCTTCTGAAAAGGAGTGCTTACAGTTGTGCAAAGATAGAAGTGAATATACCTACATATTGGAGAAAACTTGAAGATTTTGGTTGACTGACATTGTAAAGCCTCCAGATACAGACCAAGGATGATAGACTGAGGAGCAAGGTATATCAGTGTATGGTGCTATCTTTTTAATCAGCATTGTTAAGGAGTTGATGCTACGATAATGGAGGGTACCCTTGAACATTATTTTATTTTTTATTAGAGTAAATAAGAGTGAAACCCTTTTATTTAATTTGTTCAGTAAAGATTTTTGAACTCTATGAGCTATATTTTGGACTAGGTACTGTATGGATGCAATCGTTACCCTCCCTATCAAATGGAGTTTGATGTGTACTTAAACACATTATTTAATAAATACTTATTTAATAGAATTTTGTAGTCACTGTTTATTATTATTTTGAGGATCCGTTCATATAGTTTCAGGAAATATACTAGTACTTTCAAGTTATTGAAATTTTATACAAATATTTGACTATGCTCTAAATAGCCCTGTAGCCTTCCATTTTATACTTAAGAACTTTAATTTATTACTATATTATGTATTTCTTCTTATTTGCTACTCACTTTGTATTAGTTTTAGTTCATTATATAACTTATTTACCATTGACAATGAACTTTTCAGCATTGCTGATGGAAAGCAAAGCAATTTGCTTAATCATCAGTTCTTTTTTTTTTTTTTTTGGATACCTCATATAATAAATGGGTCACCACACATTTTATGAAAAAGGCCAGGTAGTATGTATTTTAGACTTTGCGAGACACAATACGTTCCTCATTGCATATTCTTAGTTTTTTCTGATAATAGTTTAAAAATGGTAAAATTATTCTTACCTTGCTAGTAGTCTGAAAACAGGCTGTGGCCCAGACATGGCACACAGATAGCGTTTTGTCTACCCATAATTATAACTTGAAATTGGCAGCATTTCAGCTTCCTCTGACTGTTGAGTTCATGTGATATTTTCTTATGTACCTACAATTATAAAATATTGGGAAAAAGTAGGCGAGAAATGGCATTAAAAAAACAACCAAATGAATTGTCAGTCACTAGCAAACAAAAGATTCATATATGAAAAAACCAAATGGAGATACATTTCAGCTAAACTATAATTTATTTCAAAAGGTTTTAATAGTATTAAGTATGAAAGCTTAGTTATATATTATTGGTGGTATCTGCAAGGTAAAGTTTTTCATTTTCAGAATTATTTTATTCCAAGATATTATAATGCTTATTATTCTATTACATGAAATAATTCTCCTTTGTGATGTTTTGTAAAATGACTACTACATGCAATTCTTTAAAATTTCCCTATATTTTGGTATAATAAGGTAATGATTCATATATTTATTGTGAAAGCTTTAGAAAAATTTTTCTCTGAAGGGATAGCTACCAAATCTTTGTTTTGTTGCAACATTACATTCTATCACTGAAATAAATATGATACCTTATTTTGAAAATATAGAAATCCTCAAATGGATTAAACCACTTGAGCTCTTACCTGGTTTTTGCCACCAAGACAAATCTCCATAGGACTTAGAACACTAAATTTAACTGGCAACTTGTGGCCTTGATCTGCATTGTAGAAGTTGGCTTACACATAATGCAAAACTTTTACTGAGAATAGGAATGTGGGTATTCTCACCCTGAGCATCTCCCTCCATTTTCTACCGCCAAAAGACTTTTTCAATTATTAGTAAAAGACTTAAATGATGGTTTATTTTAGTTTAATCATCCTATTTTTCCTTAGCTTAGTTGCTAAAGTTTACAATGCATATGAATCACCTAGGAGGCTTTATTAATATGTATATCCCCAAATCCTTCCCCTATCCCACAGACACCAATTTACTAGTTGTAGGATGATGTTTAGAAATTTGAATTTTTAAAGTATATATGCCAGTTCTCATGTAGATAATTCATGGCACTGCATTTTGAGAAACACACTCATAAACCATATCATACTTATATATCTGGTTACTGAAATAAAATTAGACTCTTTTTACTCTAGACTTCTATTTCTCTGCTGTAACACTTATGCCGGCAGTTGAATCAAAGTGTGATCTTGAGGAAGGCAGAATCACATCTGGGTTTCCAAATTTCATTCCAATTTTCTTTCAGTATACCAGGCTGCATTTCCCAGCATGTGGCATCCCCAGATTTGTAAACTCCTTGTAGAAATGGAGCCTGATTTATTCACCTCTCCATCTGTCCCTGATGTTCCCTGTTTCACATGTAGTAGAAACTCAATAAATAAGCTAAAGTCCTTGCAAGTACCATTCATTGGAGCACTATTTGAAACAGTGGATATGTGGTAGAGATGGTGGGAACTTGCACCTTCCAAAGTTATCTGGATTCAATACCATTTGACTTTCTGCCATCACCACCACATACCTGCCACTCCATGTTAGTACTCTGTTCAGTGGTATCGGGATAAGTTTGTCAAGACAGGGGCAAAGTGAGACTTGCTTGGTGCCTTCATTTGAAAGTGATGTATAAGGGAATAAAGTGTTTACCATAACAGCAGAGAGTCAGAATGATATGGCTTTAAATAAAAGGGAAATTTCATGAGTGCATTAAGGAAATGTTGTTCAGATAAGAAATACTCTATTCTTTTGATTGTGGTTTTATAATCTAAGGATCTTAAGTAGAGGAAAAATAAACATTTTATTTCAAGTGGCATAGGCATTCCTTGACTGAAAGCAGAAGTCTGAGATCAGACTCTGCCAGTAGCTACGTGTTCCTGCCTACATTACTGATCCCAGATTCTTCATATTCCCAGAGATAGCACTATATTGCTCTTAGGGTTCTTTGAAGGGTGGACTGAACAATGCATATGAAAGCACTATGCACTTGTGTATTGTTGATTAAGAAGCTAGCCACTTCATCTCAAAATAATATCTCCTTTAGTTCGGTCATTTGCTTGAAGAAAAGCAAAGTGTTGATTATGGTCATTAGGAGAAATATGGTTCATAATGCTAGTGGCTGTGTATTACCAGTAAGGTACGGTTTCACCCCTCCTTCCTCAATAATTACTTTATTCAACTGAAACATCTATTGATCATCCAGTATATGCCAGGCACAAACCTAGGCAATTATGGTACAACAGTTATCAGAACAGTCAAAAATTGCCATTCTTATGGAGTTTACATTCTTCATATAGGGTAGGGGGATATTGATGATAAAAAAATAAAATAATAAAATACAGAGTATGCCAGATGGTAATAAACAAGATATAGGAAATGAAGCAGAGAAGAAGGATAAGGAGCGAGAGGTCTCAAATTTTAAATGGAGTGGACTCAGAGGACTCCCTGAGCAGGCGACCTTTGAGCAAATAGTTAAAGAGAAGAGAGACAGGGCCATTTGGAGATGGCGGGAGCAGTCCAGACAGAGCATAGCAAGTCTTAAGGCCTGGAGGCGCATGTGTTTCTAGTGTTTTTGAGATAAAATAAACTGATGTGGCTGAAATGGAGTAAGCAAAGGAGAGAAGAGGAAATTAACAAACTCTTCTCCAGAGACGTCGTGGAAGGTGTAACTGGGGAGGGGTTGTGGATTCTGTATGTCTTTCTGGCCATCATACAGACTTTGTTTCTGATTGAGATGAGAAGCACTGAAAGGATTTGAGCAAAAGACTGATGTCCTTATTTAAAATTTTTGAAAAAATTACTCTGGCTACTATTGAAAATGGATTATAGAGACATAAAGATGGAAGTATGGAGATCAGTTAGAAGCCTCCTGCAATACTCTTGGTGAGAAGATGTTGGCTGGGCCCTATGTGGTCATTATGAAGCTGGAGAGAAGATTCTGAATGTGTTTGAAGGTAGAGTCATGTGGTTTGGTGATGGTTTGGATCTACAGTGTGAAGGAAAAAAGGTCATTAATTTTTGCTCAAGGATTCAGAAAATGGATTTGCCTTTTTAAGTTGTAAACACTGTTGGAAGGGCAGACTGGGTTGGGAGGAGCAAAGATCAAGACATTGTTTGCTTGTGGTTCCAATGGGATTATACATATTATATTTCTATGTGAAGATGGCAATAAATGTTGGCTATACATCATAAAACATTTAGAAATGAATATGGCTGATACAGAAGTCACTGATATTTTGTTCATAGCTTATTTGAACGGCAATATAATGTCTTGTTTTCCCTGAGCTGAAATGTGACAGTCAAATATCAAAAAGCGATATATTATTTAAATTAGAATGGGACTATTACATTTATTTTGTCCAGCACACGATTCAATGGACAAATCCATAATGTGAAGAAAACTGTTATAATTAGTGGATTTGAGATTTCTTTTTTTACTTTGTAGCATCAATGTATAGATTTTTCATTTTTCATATGAGTATGGCATAGTCCCGCATATGTATAATAAACAATGTATAGTATTCAATCTAGACATCAGCATACAAATCTATTGAAATAGCCAAAGGTCCCATTTGGAATATACGGGGCCTTGAGTATTTCAAGGCCACGTGTGTGTGTGGGTCTGTGTGTGTGTGTAAAATAAAATATATGTATACAAAACATATATTCCTATATATGTGATATATTTGGACATGAGTGTATATTGAAGTGGACATTTTTTGTTTTGTTAACCCAGCATCAGCTCTCTTTTTGGAAATATCCCTTTTTACCTTTTCTACCACCCATAGCTACTTTGAAAGCCACCATATGGTACACTAGAGAGATCCATGGGTGGACATCTTCCTGTCACTGTCTAATCATGGTTCTTACCTGACAGTTTTGGTGCTAATGTTAAGAAATAAAATGTAGTATTTCCTTGGAAATTTTGCCCATAAGTTAAAAATGAAGGAACTAAAGACAGCATTTTTTTCAAATTATAGCTCAAAGAAGCAGACAAAAACAGAGAAACAAACACTAAGATAGCCCGAGACAGAAAGGAAGAGATAAAAAAAGATTAAAAACAAAAGAGCAGACAGCAGGGTAGAAGAGAGAAATATTGGACAGTTCTGATAGTATTGAAGTTTCTGTTTTTTAGTGCTCAGTCTCACTCCTGCCTGTGGATTCAAGACTCCTATACCCTCATTTAAATGATATTTGGAATAAAAATAATTACAATCAATGTATGACTATATACTTTTACAGACTAAAATGAGAATATTCATTTTATTTCTGAGAGAATATACATAATTTATTCAACACTCTTCAGAATATCTGTGTTGGAAATATTTTTTTTCCTGGGATAAAATAGAATGATAATTTTACTTCATTTGTTATCCTGCTTGTGTTCTTTTGTGTTCTAAGACTCAGTTGTAATGCTTGGCATTGATTAAAGCAGAAAAGCTTTGGAGAAAGAAAAATTGGCCATAGTGAATTCTACTGTTGTACCCAACATCTCTATATTATTTCATCTAAGTTTAAAATGAAACAAAATACTCTCAATATTTATTGAGGACTTAATATGTGTCAGGCATTGTACAAGTACTTATTCCATTTTTTCTTATTTTCCTGTCAGCAATCTCTAGAGCATTATTCCCATTTTATAAAAGGAGGAAACTGAAATTTAATTAGGTTTCCTCCCCACAGCCTCACAACTGTTGACTGGAAAGAAGATGTAGGATTCCAATAACTGCTACAACATACCCTATCATAGGCACAGAAATACCCAGGAAATTGTGCTGCATGAATATACTATTGGCTGTTAATCTAGCCCAAAAGCACTATTTTTAGTTACAGTTGTTCTCACTCCACCCCAGGGAGAAGAAAATTAATGTGGGCTGCCAAAACATCAGATTTCACATTCAACTTAATAACTCATTCTAATATTTGACAATCCAGTACATCCAATATTTAATGACTTTGGGTTTCAGGGAGTTTTTATATATTTCCAATTCCCCAAAGAGAATATTTTACTGTTCACATATATAGTGGAAATGGAAAAGATTTCATTGCCATAGTCTAAATAACATTTTTTTACATCAATATAACTTTTCTTTAATGATGCCATCTACTATCCCTTAATGAATAAAATAAGTTTCTTCATTTTCCAGTGGTTCTGGCTTCCCAGTTCTGTGATTATGGAAATGGCTTCCTCTGAATTCTCTCCAAGTTTTTATAGATCCTGTCAGTTTGAGAATTCAGAAGGCTTTGTTTCAAGACAGCCACATCATTTATACTGCTCAGCCAGAATTCAGCTCGCAGTGAACCTAGCATGAGGTTCAGCTCAGCTCAATGTGTCAGAAGCAGTTTTTTGACACTAGAATTTAAAATCCTCAGAGTCCAGGTGTGGTTGACCCAATTACCTTCTGGCTTGGACTAAACTGTAATGTCCATCTACGGGGAAAAACGGGATCTTACAATGCCATTTTACATGTATGTATACAGTGATGTATACTTATATACAAATTTCTTTTAGTTTGAGCTTTGATTTGGTCATATCCAAAGAATTAGAAATCATACATCAGGGCAATGCAGCAAAACTGTGCCATAACACTATAAATAGTTAACAGAAAATTAAATTGTATGAAATGCAGGTCGCTATTATTATAAAATTAAAGAAAAATATTTAAAAATCACTTTATGCTTTCAAAAATCATAAACATAATGAACTTATAAAATTCACACCTATCAGTACAGTCTGTCTGGTAAACTGAAAACATCCCTATGGATTATGAAGCAATAACTTCTGAAGCCTACTCCTCCTCCCACAGAGATAAGAAATTTACCCTGTGTTGATTAAAAAAGGAACTTATGCAGGACAGAAGCCGTTCTCCATTTGTATATAATATAGACAAATGCCCCTTATTGGGATGTGTATTACATGGCTTTCATTATTTTAACCATAGTTTTGCTAGGTGAGTTATCCTAGAATTCTGTTTATGTTTGTAAATTTTTTCTCATCAGAGTACCTGAGTTATGAGAAGATTGGTAACTTTTTCTAATAAATTATTCATATAAGTTACAGAACTCCTAATCAGAAAAAGTAGAGCAAGGTGACCTTAGTAAAATTTTCAATGTTAGCTTATTTTTTACATTTATAAACGCTAACTGAAATGACAGTATATCACTGGTTATTTCCTTCTAACAAAATATAAATTGCCACTAAAGCCTTAGCCACATTGTATGACTAATTCAAGCCATCTGCCATGAGTCTACCAGATATTTTTATATTCTGAGTTAATGAGAACTGATAGACCATTTCATTCCTTTTTTCCTCAAAACTTGAGAGTAATAAACATCAATTGGAGATAAGAATTCTTTTTTTTTTAATGATGCAGGCTTCCCTGAACTGCAGCTTAGGAAATAGCAATACTGTGTTCTTTGGCTCATTTAGAGCTCAGCATTTTTATGAGTTAACACCAATATCTTATATAGCTGATCCTATCCTATCAGTGTTTTGAAATAGTTTTCTCTATAGATAACATGAGGGAAATTCAATATGATGGTGCCTTTTGTCACAAAGTGTACCTTAAATTTAAGTCTAGTAAGAAGTGATTAAAAACAGGTGCAATTTTTATTGCTTAGTCTCAAGAATCAGTTATTGTGCAATGTTGAATGTGGTTACATTCTTATGTGGTGGGCTTATATGCTTATCTCTATCAATTGCATGATCTTCCCATAGTACAGATTTTAGATCCACTTTTCTCCAGATCATGGTATGACAATGAATGGACTAAATGTTTATTGCTTCTGAGATGGTTTGGGAATAACATTTACATTAGGCACAAAGAGAAAAGTATAGCTGAGATCACTGTCTAGGGTTCTATGTTGTTACTTTATATTTAAAGGAAAAATAGCTCAGGTATGCTTGAAGGAATTAGATGGGGCCACTTGCTTATTGGAAACTGAGAAAGCAGCCCCCTGACCTTTAATAATGTCTCAGTTCTACTCTTCTTAAGGCACCATCTATTTATCCTCTGATAAAAGCGTTTGGACTTGTCAAAGGAGGATCACAGCCTACAAGTAGGTAATGGGAGAAAAATATAATTTAATTTCTTGTTTGACAACAATTCTAAGAAGAATCTGGAAGAAAGACAACTGAAAAATTAAGTTAACTCAGGCAGAGACCAATAAAAATCAATCACCTAAGATGTTGCATAATTGATACAGTGAGTGCTGAAGACTTACAGTTACTTAAGTAATCATATATGATCAGGAAACTGAAGTTCAGTCATTTGTAATTTCATATCCCTGTTGCTAACCATGAATTATTAACAAATACATTGTAACTACTTCTGAAATTTCTGACATGCTTGCTATCTTTAGATTATCAATTTGTGTAATTCCATAGGACACTAGAGTTTCCAGGGTGACAATGCTAGCCAATCTAAGCAAAGACCTAATCTTAAGGTCCTTACGTTGATGAAAAGGTATTAGAGCCAAGGAGTAATAGAATATTAAGACCCATTATAATTCTGCATAATGAAACCATAAGTTGTATATGAGCCCCAGTGGGTTGGATGTCATAGATAATTTTGCATAACATGGCTGTTTCTACTTTTGCATGTAGGAAGCAGTGCCATTTCATAAATGTATGCCACAGAGCAAGTGGCACTAGGCACTGGCAAGTTATAGCAGAAATTTTAAGGCCAGTAGCCTTCTTTTCTAATATTAAAAGTTTAGGTTACGCCACAGTCATTCTGGAAGTTCTCTATTACTCCTGGATTTATATTACATTAACCATCTGAGTCACTACTTGAGGTTCATAGGTCATCAGCCTTAAAATATAGATTAAGTTGGAGTCAAATGTACTAATTAGGTTCATTGTCTTTCTATTAACTTAGAGGCTATAAATTATGGGGGTTTTTTTTCTCTGCTTTTCCTAAGAATTTTCTTTCTCTTTTGTGTAAATCACACCAGTAGCTGAGAAATCAGCATCTTAGACCAACCTCAGGCAACCTCAAGCCTTTATCTTGCACCTTGGTGTGATTCTTCGGTACTTTTTCAGAAGTTAAGGAAGTCATACTATGTGCATCTTAATGCCTTCACAATTGTCCTTTCAGTTGATAGCTTCTATATGTTTACATTTGAGTAACCTAGGGCCCAGATATTTCAAATTACTCATTGAGGTTACCAAGTCATTTACAGCAAAGCAAGCAATACAGTCCAAGAAATTCTGACTTGTCCAATGAAAATGAATACCAATTCTGGCTCCGTTATTCACTATCTTCATGACAATGGAAATGTCTTAATTTTGAGTCAGGATTTTCTCATCTTTAAAATAGGGATAATAGTGTCTAAGAACTTTGCAAGTAGAAGGCTAGATATGAGATAATACAAATACAGTACCAGGCACATAGCAGGTACTCAATAAAAACTAATTATTTTTCCTTTCATTGGTGTTACTATGAAATTCTGACATCTGTGTCCACTTGCAATGTCTGGAATATCTTAGTGTTCTCAAATGAAAGTCAAGTTTTATGGATTCATTGTATATTTTTTGGTTTGACCTTACCATGAGGCTTGCAAATACTATCTTATAACCCATTACTTTAATAACAAGGGAACTCCCATTTTTAACACTGTTTGCATAAGCAATAAAAAAGAAAACTAATAAATACTAAGCCTTAACTTCCTCCTCCAGCCCACACATTTTAACTTATTGTTGTTTCTATTTATATCTTTTTTTTGTTTGTTTTTGAGACAGAGTCTTCCACTGTCGCCCAGGCTGGAGTGCAGTGGCACAATCTTGGCTCACTGCAACCTCCACCTACCAGCTTCAGGCAATTCTCCTGCCTCAGCCTCCCGAGGAGCTGGGATTACAGGTGCCCGCCACCACGCCCAGCTACTTTTTTGTATTTTTGGTAGAGATGGGGTTTCACTATATTGGCCAGGCTGGTCTCGATCTCCTGACCTGTGATCTGCCTGCCTGGCCTCCCAAAGTGCTGGGATTACAGGTGTGAGCCACCACACCCAGCCTCTATTTATATATTGTTGTACTGCCTATATCTTGAAAAGTTGTTGTAGTTACTATTTTGAATTGGTTCATCATTTAGTCATTCTACTTAGGATAAGAGTAGTTTACACACCACAGTTACAGTGTTATAATATTTTGTGTGTCTTGTGTACTTACTATTACCAGTGAGTTTTATACCCTCAGGTAATTATTTATTGCTCATTAATGTTCGTTTCTTCTGATTGAAGTACTCACTTTAACATATCTTGTAGGACAGGTCTCATGTTGATGAAATCCCTCAGCTTTTGTTTGTCTGGAAAAGCGTTTGTTTAACCTTTATGTTTGAAGGATATTTTTGCTGGATACACTATTATAAGGTAAAAGTGGCTTTCCTCCAGCATTTTAAATATGCCATGACCTTGTATTAGTCTGTTCTCATGCTGCTAATAAAGACATACCTGAGACTGGGTAATTTATAAAGGAAAGAGGTTTAATTGACTCACAGTTCCACATGGCTGGGGAGGCCTCACAATCATGGCAGAAGCAAAGGGGGAGCAAGATACATCTTACATGGCAGCAGCAAGAGAGAGTTTATGCAAGGGAACTGCCATTTCTAAAACCATCAGATCTCATGAGAATTATTTGCTGCTATGAGAACAGTATGGTGGAACTACCCCCATGATTCAATTATCTCCACCTGGCCCTGTCTTTGACATGTGGGGATTATTACAATTCAAGGTGAGATTTGGGTGGGGACACAGCCAAATCATATCACCACTCTCTCCTGGCATGTAAGGTTCCAACTGAAAACTCTGCTTCCAGACATATTGGAGCACCATTGTATGTTATTTGTTTCTTTTCTCTTGCTGTTTTTAGGATCTTTTCTTTATCCTTGATCTTTGGGAGTTTGATTATTAAATGCCTTGAGGTAGTCTTCTTTGGTTTAAATGTGCTTGGTGTTCTATAACCTTCGTGGATTTGGATACTGATATATTTCTTTTGGTTTGTGTTCTCTGTTATTATTTCCTTGAAAAAACATTCTACCCCTATGTCCTTGTCTACCTCCCCTTTAGGCTGAAAACTCAGATTTGCCCTTTTGAAACTATTTCCTACATCTTATAGGCATGCTTTATTGTTTTTCATTCTTTTTTATTTTGTCTCCTGATATGGTTTGGCTGTGTATTCACCCAAATCTCATCTTGAATTGCAGCTCTCATAATCCCCACGTGTTGTGGGAGGGACCTGGTGGGAGGTAACTGAATCACAGGGGCAGGTTTTTCCCATGCTGTTCTCGTGACAGTGAATAAGTCTCACAAGATCTGATGGTTTTAGAAAGAGTGGTTCCTCTGCACGTGCTTTCTTGCCTGCCACCATGTAAGACGTGCCTTTGCTACTCCTTCACCTTCTGCAATGATTCTCAGGCCTCCTCAGCTATGTGGAACTGTGGGTCATTAAACCTCTTTCTCTTTATAAATTACCGAGTCTCCCAATATGTCATTATTAGCAGCATGAGAACAGACTAATACGTCTCTTCTGACTGCATATTTTCAAATAGCCTGTCTTCAAGCTCACTAATTCTTTTTTTCTGCTTGATCAATTCTGCTATTAAGAGATTCTGATGCATTCTTCAGAGTATTTTTCAATACTGTTTTTCAGCTCCAGAATTTTTGCTTGGTTCTTTGTAATTATTTCAATCTATTTGTTAAATTTAGCTCATAGAATTCTGAATTCCTTCTCTGTGTTATCCTGAATTTTTTTGAGTTTCCTCAACACAGTTATTTTGAAATCTCTGTCTGAAAGGTCACAATATCTCTGTTTCTCCAGGAAGGATAGGTCCCTGGTGTCATCTTTAGTTCATTTTGTGAGGTCATGTTTTCCTGGATGTTGTTGATGATTATGAATGTTCATCTGTGTCTGCACATTGAAGAGTTAGGCATATATTACAGTGTTTACTGTCTGGGTTTGTTTGTACCTGTCCTTCTTAGGAAAGCTTTTCAGATATTCATAAGGACTTGCATGTTGTGGTCTAAGCTGTTTTTGCTTTAGGGGGCACCCCAAGCGCAGTAATGCTGTGGTTCTTGCAGACTCATAAAGGTACTGCTTTGATGGTCTTCCAAAAGATTCGGGAGAGTTCTCTGGATTACCAGGTAGAGACTCTTGTTCTCTTCCCTTACTTTCTTCCAAACAAACAGTCTCTCTCTCTGGTCTGAGCAACCTAAAGCTGGGGGTGGAGTGACACAAGCACCCTTGTGGCTACCACCACTATGACTGTACTAGGTTAGATCTGAAGCTACCACAGCACTGGGGCTCACCCAAGGCCTGCTGTAACCATTCTCTGGCTATTGCCTATGTTCACTCAAGGTCCTGGAGCTCTACAACTGGCAGGTGGCAAAGGTGGCCAGGCCTATGTCCTTACATTCAGGGCACCAAGTTCCGCTAGGCCCCTGGTTAGTCCAGAGGTGCCATCTGAGTGTCAAGGACTAGAGTCAAAAACTTTAGAAGTCTACCTGGTGTTCTATTGTAAATTGCAGCTGAGCTGGCAGCATTCAAACCACAAGATGCAGTCTCCCACTCTTTCTCCTGCCTTTCAAAAGGCAGAGGAGCCACACCCTATGGCCACCACCACAATAGGCCCACAGAGAGTAATGCCAAATTGCCACCAATGTGGCCTTAAGGCCCAAGGGCTCTCAAGTAAGCTTGTGCTTAATGCTACCTGGCTTGGGACTCACCCTTTAGGGCAGTGGGCTCCCTTCTGGCAATGGGCAGGTCCAGAAATGCCATCTAAGAGTCAAGTCCTAGAATCTAGGACCCCAACATCCTGGCTTGCTTAGTGGTCTATGCCACTGAGGCCAAGATAATACCTGAAGCCAGCAAGTCTCAGAGGCTCACCTAAGGCCCTTGACATATTACCTGGGTATTACTTTTGATTATTCAAGGCCCAAGGGTCTTCACTTAGCAGATGATGAATGCTGTCAGGACTGGGTTTTTTCCCTTTAAGGCAGTGAGTTCTCTTCTTGCCCAGGGTGCGTCTGGAAATATCGTCCAGGAACTTGGGCCTGGAACAGGGTTCTCATAACTCTGACCAGTTCTGTATCCTGCTGTGGCTGAGCTGGTATCCAAGAAGCAAGGCAGTCCTCCTGCACTCTTCCCTTTCCTCTCCTCAAGGGGAAAGAATGGGTCTCTTTTGGAGCTGCAAGCTGCACAACCTGGGCTTTAGGGACGAGTGATGCCAGTACTTCCTTAACTGCTCTGGCTGTTGCCTCAATAGGTGGTGTGCCCTCCTCGTCCACTGTCTCTGGGCCCAGTTCATCACTAGGACTCCTGTAAAAGTTGCAGTCCTTGTCGCCTAGACTGCCTTTCAAGTTTACTCAGAGATCCATAGCACTTTAGCCTATTGTGTCAAGGATCGCAGGAACTCAAGTTCTGACTTCTGGGATTGGCAATTCCCTTTTGGCTAGGGCTGGTCTAAATGTTCCGGTCTGTGGGTGGATGTCAGCTGAGTCTGGTCTAGTTTTCTTTTCTGCTCTAACAACACGGCCCAGAGTTCAATGCCTCATAACTGCTGTGCTCTCCCTCCCTCAGCACACTGAAACACTCTCCACACCCTGCCACTGCTGGGGGGTGGGGGAGGGGTTGCATTAGCGATTCGAGATTTTTTCTACCTCTTCATTGCCTCTTTCATGGATAGGATATTAAAACTAGGTAGTGTGAGTGCTCACCTGATTTTTTGTTCTGATGAAGGTGCTTTTCTTGTGTAAATACTTGTTAATTTGGTGTCCTTTTCAGGGGGACCATTGGTGGAATCTTGTATTCTACCATCTTGCTCCCTACTCCAAGGTGAGGTTTTGAAATGCAAATGAAATGTCTTCCTTTTCCTAAAAGCAGTTTCTTCACTTGGTTTCCAGTAGTCTAGGCCCTTCAGTAGCATGTCTCATCAGCCACTTCTTTTCAATCTCTTTTGCTCACTCTTCTTTTCTCTGGCCTTCCTAACACTGATGTGCCCTAAGCTTAGTGCTAGGACCTCATCTCTTCTCTTCACTATTATTCCCTTCTCTTCCCTTTCTTCCCCTTCCTATCCTTCTTTTCCCACGTACACTGTCTTCCTTTGTGAACACATCTCATTGTCAGAAATCCGAAGTATATGCTGATGAATCATAAACACATATTTCTAGATCAAACTCTCTTCTGTGCTCCGGATTTCTAGATGTAACTGCCTACTTAAATGTCTAATAGACATCCTAAACTCATTACAAAGAAACATGATATTTTAATTTTCTAAAGGAAAACAAAAACAAAAACAAAACTTTTGCTTTAGCTACTGTCTGCTTCATTTCATTTAATGGTAACTCCACTCTTGGGTGCTCCATGGCAAAATCCTAAGAATCATTCTTGAATCTCCTCTCTTCCTTCATACCCACGTCAATTCATTAGCAAATCCTTCTAGTTCTTCTTGGAAACCATAATCAAAAGCCTGTTACTTTTCACTATCTGTACTACCATTACCCTGGTCCAAGTTATCAGGAACAGGGTAATGAATTATTAGAGCCACTTCCTGACTGGTTTTTCTGCTTTCACCTCTACCTGTTTTTAGTCTTTTCTCAAACAGAAGCCAAAGTCGTCTTTTAAATTTCAAACCAGCTCAAAAACATCTAATGATTTCTTATTTCTCTTCAGCTCAAAAGCCAAAGTAATACTATGTCCCGTTACCTTTTAGACTTTGCTTTCTATTTATGTTAATTTTCCTAGCCCTGCTTCAGTCTCAGTTACCAGCACAGGGCCCACTACCTGCCCCTGGTCTTTATACTTGCTGTTACTCTTGCTTGGATTTTTTTTCCTCAGATATTAGTCTTTCCTTTGAAGACTTTACTCAAGTGTTACCTTTTCAATAAGGGATGTGCTGACCACTCTGTAAAATTGTGTCACATAAGACATCCAATATGCCTTAATCTGCTCTTTTTATTTTTTTAACACAGTGCTGATCTTCTTCTAATGTATAAATAATTTACTACTATGCTATGCTTATTATTATTTATCTATAACCCCAGTAAAATGTGATCTCTACCAGGGCAAGTATTTTTTTCTTTAATGATTTTGTCTTACTTTCAAAAAAAATTTACATATAACTATTGATTGAATGAAGGCATCACTATGTTATATACTTGTGCTCCCACATTCTCTTTTATTTCTGACTTCTGATAAGAATCACTATGTTCCTTTGGGAGCATGTGTCTACTAGAAACTATTATTACCCATAGGCATATATCTTAATTGCACTCTGTCGTGGTTTGATAACAATAAAGATCTGATTGCCATGTCACATTTTTTCAAGGTATCATCAGCTGTGTTAAAATTGCACTTTATACATCAAAATTAATACAAGTTCCAAGAAACATGAAGATAATTCTTTGTTTTAAAAATGAAACTAGTTATGGAATCTGGGATATGAAGTTTAATACCTAAAAAAGGACTTCTGAGATCTAATTCATTCTCTGCATTTATATTGGAACACAGAGGTTAAAAGAACACCAATTCATCCAAAAGACATCTATTACATGCTATTAACATATGCCAGGCTCTGTCATAGGCTTTTGAAGTACAAAAGTGAAGTGTAACATTATTTTTACCTTTAAGAAGGTAGGGTAGCTTCTAATATTGTAAGTAAGATAGACAAGTAAACATTAATTTCATTACAATGAGATTTTTACTTTAACAAGAAACACCTGAAGAAACCTTGCTTGCAATTTAGCCCTGGGAAAGTCACTTGGGATCTACTGTGATTCTTCATCTCCTAGTTCATTGTAACAGGATAAAAGGGATCCAGGCTTTGTAACAAAGTAAAAGGAGATATAGCCCAGCCACTCCAGTTTTTGAAAGGGAAATGTCCTAATAATCAATTTCTAGAGCAAAAACTCGGCATGTCTATTTTCTGTAAGTCTAAAAGATCTGTTTAATTATTTATCAATTTTGTACCGATGTCTGTGATCTGTGGCTCATCTGTTAAATGTTGCAAATTTTGTTCTAGTTTTATAACATTCTTAGTGATTTCATTAGTCCATTATAAAGTTCAGATAAAAGTATGACTGAAAAGTCTACTTCAGGGTGTCAAATAATATAAACTTAAAAGTTCAATCCAATGTTCAATTTGGTGTGCAAGACTTCATTAATATATGTATGTTATTTGAATAAAACAAAGTAGTACTTACTTAATATTAGGGTTTTGATAAAACTTCCTTAAAGCTTCTTATGAAAACTTATTTGAAAATGATCAAGAAGTTGCATAAATCTTCTCTGTCTTCTCTCTTTCTCTTTCTCGCTCTCTGCTAGAGGTGAAAGAGAAGAAATAGATTGTATGCTATACATCTTACAGTTTTAGTGATATTAAAAACACCTGTTCCCTTCCTGTCTATCAGAAATACATCCTAACCTTGTCTGACAAGACTATGTTGATGAATTATAACATTTTTCCCTTAGATATCTAGAGTCAACTCAGACTAATGGTCAATCTTGTTGCCAGGGGGAATAAAAGGTGATAAAACATAACTGAATGATGTAGGTGGCAAAAAGTCAGAAATTCAACAGTAATAACATGATCATCCCATGCAACTAGCTTCTCTCTCTAAAAGAAAAGGTGACTGAAATGTGGAGGAATGCCCCAGGTCATATTTGGTTTTATTCTTCTCACATTTACTACCAGAAATGATTCAAGGTTTATTTCCTTCTGCTTCAGTTTTCTCATTTTCTTCAGTCCCCTAGGAACTGGTTCTTGGCCTAGTGGTAGGATAGTTTGTATTCTCCAACACTGACTTTTCCTTACAATATTGCTTCAGTTAAATTCTTTAGGCTCTACTTCATGCCATTTTCCTAAGTCTTTCAAAAAATAATTATTTGGGAACTGTGTTAGGTATAAGAACTCAGCAAAGCCCTCAAATTTGAGTGTGAATTGGGCACTGCCTTGGGCCTCAAGGCAGATAACAAACAAGGCAAGTAGGACTCAGCTCTAGGGGTGCTCATGAAACAGAAGATTTTCAGTGTAAGGCAGTTGGCATTAGAGATACAGTCTAGTCCCACAGCTTGCAGACTGTATGGTCATGCGTGAAATACCGTCAGTGCCTCATTTCTTCTTTTCCAAAATGGGTGAAATCTTGAAGAGTAATTATGATCATAAGCAGCTTTCACATAACTCAGCTCTCAATATATGTTTCTCTATTCTTTAAGTAAAGGGAGGACTCAATTTTATGCATCAGTAAGTGGGTATTAGTTAAAAGTGTACCCCCTACCTCTCGGTAAAGGCAAAAACAATATACTCTACTTATTTTTCTTTTCAAATAATGCTGCTTTTAACTGTTGTTTAAAGAACTCTTCCTGACATTGAAAGCAGTTCATCCTGGGGACTCTACATTACTTTTATGGAATACATTAAACTCTTTCATGGGAGGCGATGTGGTCTACTGAAAAACAAATAAACAAAATATGCTCCATGTCAGGATAGTTAGATGTTTTACCTTAACTCTACCATACGCTAAGTGACATAAGTTACCAAGTCAATTGGTATCTCTATATACTTGTGTGTTCATGCATAAGATAGGAGTAATAGTACTACATATTTCACATAATGAGTGTGAGAATTAATATATGACTAACGCATGATGGCTATTCGTTTGTAAGCTGCTTTATCACCAACCTTGCTTTATCTGGAAAAAAAATATCCACTGCCTACCTGACAAAGTTGACGTACAGTTTATAATAGATAAATATATGGAATTCTTTGGAAAACAAGCCACATCTAAGGAATAAAAATATAAGAATAGTGCTACTAATTATTACTGTGTGATTCTCTAACCGTTTGTTCATAGTTCTTCAAAGGTAAAGAGGCCTCGATTCTTACCCTGCTTCTCAACCTCTCTTACTCTTTTGTTCTAATCTCTGCTTTTCAGACATTAGCCAGTTTTTTCAGCCTCTTAATTTCTCAGGATGAGGACATTCAGCACAGTTTGAGAGGAGGTGGCCTTTCAATCTCAACTTTTATGTCAACAAGCCTAAGGGGCCAATCACCTTCCTCTGGGCAGCTTTTGGAAAGATGCTGAAAGGAAATTTTTCTCTATCCATAGATTATCTAAATCAATAGGTCTGTGGATTGAGCTTCTACAGGCACACAAGTGGGATAAAACTAGTCATTTAAATTGGCTTTTGGGGCTTTTTAGCTTTGCTTCGCAAAAATATCCTGTCTAGACAAATTCGTACTTAAATTTTCCCTATGCAGCCCTTGTGAAGACATATTTAGGCCTGAGAATTACTCTGCCACATGGATATATTTATATTTACTTATAGTTTCTCTATTTCTTTTATATAGTTACTTTGTGTTTGATCAGTGGAGATCAATCATTACTACCATTTTGTCTGGAAATGTCATAAAGATTAAAGATAGTTTAAGGTATTAAAAATCATAAAAGGGAGCTCAAGTGATTTTTAAGAAGTAGTATTTGAGTTGTTCCCACTAACTGATTGAATTAACTGTATGTTATGCTGGAAAACCTATTGTATTGACCCTCTCTGGGTAAGCTTTTTTAAATGAGCATTTATAAATCTCCTTTTCTCAGGAAGCAGAATATAGTGGTAAAAATTAAGCATTAATTACAGAACTTACAATGCGAAGGAAACATGATTCTGAATATTAATCCTCATTGTCCAGTGATTTAAATACGTAGGAAACGGGAATGAATGTTTTCTTGTGCCCAGTTATACCCTGGACTTTGCTTTTGTTTTGAAAGTTTCATGAAATAAAATCCTAGTATTTGTTTCCTTTAAAAGGAAGGGGTCAAGAGAGATTAGTAATATCAATTGATATTAGTGTTCTGGTTACTTGGGTTTAAATAAAAATACTCAGATAATGCTTTTATGTAAATAGTTCACTATTCACTTTCTACTTATCTGGGGCAAATAAATTTTAAGTTACCTCTTGAATTTCTATCCTAAGAATTGTTGTAATTAAATAAATCCCGAACTCTACCTGTTCGTTATCAGGATGGAATGCATGTCATTTCTACTCTTTACCATTTGATGCATAAAATGCCAACTTAGCTCCAAAAGACAGATTATTTGGATTATTAAAATTAATATAAGATTAATATAAGATTATTCTCTTATCTTCTATTTTTAAAATTGTATATTTTTTATATAAACTGGTAGCTCATGAGTTGAGATACTAGTGTTGGTGAGAAGTAAAAGTTCTGAAACTGCACAGGAAATATTTTCTTCTTCCTAGTTGCTTCCTTCCCTATCTTAGACCATCCCATGCGCATAGTTCATAGGCATGTATACTAAATTTACCTAAAACTAAACTTTTTATCTTGTTCTCTAAACTACTAAGCCTAGGGATTATACCAAAACTTAATCTTAATTATTTCTCTACTCTGTTTCCTCATGTTCACCCTCATTGACAATAGCTTGATTCAGGCCTCTAATATCTCTATCATAGTATATTGCAAAATTACCCTAACTGGTTGCCTTTCTGGTTACCTTGTCTCTACAATGATCTGTTTAAAACTAGAATCTGACTATGTCACTCCTTGTTTGTAACTCGTCGGTGGTTTCTCATTCCTACAGAATAACACCCCAGCTCTTAAACAGAGCATACTAGTCCTAAATAGTCTGCCCAAACTAGCTGAGAAAAGCAGAACTGCTTTGAGGTTTCCATGTATATCATGATGCTTCTTGCCTCAATATTTTAGCTAATATTCTGGAAAGGTCTCCCTATACTTTTTTTCTTAATCAGCTACTGCTTTAATTTTAAGGTTGAGCTCACACATCCCTATAGGAAGCTTTTTTGGTGTATTTCCTCTATCATCCACAGGTACTGGGGACTGAGTTAGGTGCCCTTCTCTGTTCTGTAATACTGACACAGTGATTTTTCATATAATTTCATATAATCTAGTTCATATAACTTCTGAACTGGATATTCTGTATCACAAATTGTCCTTGACTGTGATAAATATAAGCTCCTTATACAGAATATGTATATGTATGTGTGTATATATATATATGCGTGTGTGTGTACATATATGTATGTAGAGGGGATGTGTGTACACATATATATGCACACATATCATTTGCATCTTCACTTGACAAAGTATCTGACACAATTAGATGGGTAATGATCAAATCTGGATATTTGGGATATTCATCACCTTGAACATTTATCATTTCTTTGTCTTGGTAATATTTGAAACCTTTTATGCTAGCTATTTTGACATATACAATATATTATTGTTACTGTAATCACCTTACTGTGCTATCAAACACTAGAACTTATTCCTTCTAACTATATGTTTGTACCCATTAACCAATCTCTATTCATCCCCTCTTCCTACACACACTCTTCCCAGCCACTGATAACTATCATTTTACTTAACTCCATAAGATCAAATTTCTTAGCTCACATATGTGAGTAAGAATATATGGTATTTGTCTTTCTGCACCTGGCTTATTTCACTTACCATAATGACCTGCATTTGCATCCATGTTGCTGCAAATGACAGGATTTCATTCTTTTTTATGACTTAATGGTATTCCACTGTGTGTGTGTGTGTGTGTGTGTGTGTGTGTGTGTATTCATATACCACATTTGCTTTATTCATCCATTGATATATACTTAGGTTGATTCCATATCTTGGATATTGTGAATAATGCCACAGTAAACATGAGGGTTCAGGTATCCTTTTCATAGATCAGTAATTTCCTTACCTTTCGATACATACCCAGTAGTGGAACTGCTTGATCACATGATAGGAAACTTATCTTTTCTTATCTTCAATGTACTAGTCTTGAGCTGTGCTAATTAGATAGCCATTAGCTATATATGGCTACTTAAGTTAATTAAAATTAAATTAAAAACTCAATGCTAAATACTTATAGTGATATATAAAATAGTACCAACACTGCAGAAAGTTCTGTTAGTCAATACTCTTCTCAAGTATTAGTACAAAATGTCTTATTGTGATGTGGAATCTCCATGTAATGCAAATTTCTCTTAAAGATATTGAAAAATGGAAATTTCAGTTTCACTTTCCCCTTTTCTATGTAATTGTCAGCGCTAAACACTTAAATGCAGAACATTGTATCTTACTTAGAGACAATATAGGCAAAATATTATTAACATGGACAATGAAATATAGAAAGTAAACCTTCAAGGATAAGTAGCATTTGGAGTATTGAGAAGGTAAAGGATGAGAAGAAAATATTTCAAATGAGTAAAGTTCCAGGATTAGGCCAGAGCATGGCCTAATGAATGTGTGGGTAAATCTCTTTAAGGGAAGTAATTAAAGTATGTTTAAGATTAAAGTAAGATAAGATGTAAAATTAAAAGGAGGATACAAAATAATATAATAAATGTATAGATATATGAGAATATGTTGTATGATAAATATATAATAGATGTATATATGATAAATGAAATGTAGTAAATTATTTAGAGCAAAATCTAGTTATTGGTATATGGGTACTTACTATAAAATCCTTTAACTTTTACAGTTAATACAGCTTGATACTTTTACAGTAAAATATTTTAAAATTTATGTGTATACAATAATTTAGCTATGTACCAGTACATTATAAAGAAAGAGAAAAGGAGTGGCCTGAATGACTATTTGTGGTGTGAAGAAAGTTAGGCATATTTATTATCCTTGGTTTTCATACTTCAAGAACATTTAAAAAGTAAATGCAAAAATGTTTTAACTAAGTTTGATATAAAAATAATGAATTTCTAATCTAAAGGTATGAGTGGAAAGATGTTGACATTTACTATCTGTATGAATTTGGATAAATTATTTAGTTTTAAATTCTCTAAATCTCAGTTCCCTTTTTAGTAAACTGTGATTAACAGTGGTACCAACTTCCTAAGGTTATCATGAGGATTGACTGATTTAATACAGGTAAAGTACACAGAATAAGGCCTACCACCTGGTAAACATTGGCTAATCTTTTTAGGAAATAGACTTTAAAAAAATATTTTACCAGTAGCTCCCACCCTACCTTCAGTATTGTGTTTATTTAGTAGGTTATACACTCTTTAATGTCTGAAACCAAATGACCTGTTTTTTTGTTTGTTTGTTTGTTTTAATGAACTGTATTTTTTCCCTAAAGCTTATTAAATAAGAGCTTGGAAAAGAGACTCCAAAGTGGCAACAAAGGTTATGATACAGGCATAGCAGCTCTCTTGGATGAAGTCAGAAGTAGTATTAACGTTAAGTTTTCCACAGAGGACTCTTTGAGTCTGCTGGTTTATAGAACAAAACAGACTTCTGTAGTTGTTACTGTTAGCCAATTAGCACTCCCTGGGGAGAGAACTTGATCAGGAATGAGAACACTATATAGAAAAGCAAAGCACAGAGAAAAGAGGTGTCTCTTGAGGTTCAGTGGATGATTTTTGTTCTGTCACTGATTTTTTCACCTTGAACGATGGTTACAGTCTGTATAAATTCAGCACAGAACTCTCCGTGCAGTTGTTTATAGCTCCAACTTTCAGACTTTTCATTACAGGAGGTTCATTTTCTCTTTCTGGGTTACATTTAGCACTGAGATGATAAATAGCTCTTCTGGAGCTGGAGGAGGTTTTGAGATTATAAATTGTAGTTTAAGTGCATATCCTATCTTCTCCTGAGCCCAAAAGGAAAGGATATGGATGAGTCCTACTCCATTTACTCCTTTTTAATAAACATGCAAAATACAATTATGGGCTATGTATTATGGATTACGTTACAAGTTATTCCCTGGCTATGAAATCCTAAGCCATATATACCCCAAGTATATAAATCGCCAGACTATGCTAGGGGCCTGAATTTGCCTAAGTCCTTATTTGGCTGCTTGAAACTAGAAATTCAGGGCCTGTCTGCCAGGATGGGAAAAAAAGGAAGGGGAAGGCAAACCTATGTGCATTCTTGCTACAGATCAGACTCTTGCCGGCGATAGTATGACAGTAAGATTGTATTGCCATCTAGAGAATTGTGCCTATTCCAATTATTCCAAACCTTACAGTATATAGCTGGATTTCTACTATTACCAATGTCTGAATGCTTCTTAGCCAAATAAATCTACATGAGCATATCAGAAATATACATGAGCATAACCATTTTCTGATTTCATGGCATTTGGTCATTTTAAAGACAGCTATGGTGCTTCCTCCATTCCTGTAGACCTTGTGATTAGTAGTGATTCATATGTAGTGAATATTAAATAATTCAATATTTTGTTAAAATTTAAATAAAGGTGTCTTGAGTGAATGAATAAATGAACAAATGAATTAATAAATTTACTTGATTTTTTTCAACATTTTCTAGAATATGGACTGTTCTGATGACTCAGCAACCATTATTTTATATAAACATATTTTTGGCATACTGATCATAGAAGTGGTTTTTGTAACCTATTTATAAGTTACATCTGCCTATTTATTTTTAGAAATAATTTTCCCACATATAAATGAAATATGTGCCCACACAAAAAAATTAAATAATATCAGAATACTTTAAAGTGACAATTATACATATTTCTTATCACTCACAAATGAGCACAGATAATAACATTTTAGGACACTTCCGTAACTTTTTTCTATAACACACAACACACAGAGACATTTTCTGTTTGTTCGTTTTAGAGAAAAGGTCGTACCCTGTCATCTAGGCTGGCTCCATCATATGACTCCATCATAGCTCACTGTAACCTCATACTCCTAGGTTCCAGTGATTCTCCTGCCTCAGCCTCCTCAGTAGCTGGAACTGCAGGTGCCCACTGCCATGCTTGGCTAATTCTTTTGTGTTTTGTAGAGACAGAATCTTGCTGTGTTGCTCAGGCTGGTCTTGAACACCAGGCTTCAAGCAATCTTCGTGCCTTGGCCTTTCAAAATGCTGTGATTATAGGTGTTCTAATTATTTGCTATCTTTTCTTAGAGAGGGAAGGGTGTTTTCTTGAGAGCTATCTTTTTTAATTAAAACTATAATTAAAATGCTTTTAGTCAAAATCCTACACATATCAAGAATAGATTCATGAAAGTAGAATTTCTATGTACTTTTTTGCTCCAAGAACATTTGTTACTTTTGAGTCTGAATAGTGTGAACAACCTAACTCACTTATGCTGAAAATCTTAACACCAGCATTAAAGATTTAAAATGTAATTGTTACAAACACAAAATTTAGCATTAAAACTACCCTATGAGGACCATTTATTTTATTATCTTTGAGATGTACACTATATTTACCCACATGGTTATTGCTACCACATAATTGCAGCTTTTAGAGTTGGTATATATTAAAAGTCTGAGCTCTAACATCCAAAATGTCTTTTATGTTTCACTATGTCTAGATGACATTTATACTTTCTTCCAGGCCTTGAAAATTGCCTGGAAGCAGTAGCCATTTGTAAACAGTCACAATAATTCTGTTTGTCACTATTCAGTATTAGATAGAACTGGGCTGGTAGATTAAGTGCTGAATCCTTGGGTTCATTGTTCTCTGTGTGTGTGTGTGTGTGTGTGTGTGTGTGTGTGAGGGAGAGAGAGAGAGAGAGAGAGATAAAAGAAAAGAGAAAGGAACTGAAGGAGAATATGAGTGATAAATAAATTTAATTCCTTGTTTCTTGAATCATTTTTGCTCCTTGGTGATCCTATACATGTATCTAGTTTTTCTCATCCTTATTTTGTCCACATCTTCCTTTAATTTACTCCTCTCCTTCTATTCTCATGTACCTTTATTATTTGGGTTATTATAATGTATCTAGACCTCACCTCTGATCTATCTCTTTTACCTCAGCAATTTATTTCCCAATTATTATATCTACTTTATTGTTCTTATGAGACAATAGACTATGATAATTTTCCAGAAATAATTTTGTTTTCTTCCTCCCATCTTCTAATGTTGAGACCGTTTCTCTGTTTTCTTTCATCTCTACCCTCAGTCTCATAGGTTTATTTCTCATTTCCAATCCAGCGATTTCAAAACCTGTACAACAAACCAACTCAGCAGACCTTGGCAACTTGAGGAGATTTCACAAACATGAGCAGTACATGCAGGGTGACAGGCACTTACACATGCACTGGGGATTAGGTGGTGAAATACACCAAGCTACACCACAGATTTCTCCAATGATTGTGTTCCACCAAGTTCTACCACAAAGTTATCTGAGTGATCCTGTTGAACATTGTCCCATGTACCAGTCCCTGCTCTTTCCCTTTGCATGTTGTTAGTTTTGATGTCATCATCCTGTTAGTGGTTATTAAGAGCTGAGTCTCTGAGGTCTTGGCATCATCTTTGACTGAGGCTCCTTCCTTGGATATCATTGCCATGGCCAACCTCTCTTTCTCTCAGTCTCTCACTCCTCCTCATCAACTCAACACTCTTCTCTCCCTCTCCCCCCTCCCTTCCCTTCTTCTCCCCTTCTCTCCTTTTTTCTCCTCTTCTCTCCTTTCTTATCATTTGCAGTGTACCTCACAGCAGTTTAACCTGCCTAAAAAGTAAAGCGTAGGTGCATAATATGATAAGGGGGCTCATTGTACGGTAAAGGAGGGGAGATGCCGATTCCTGGAGGGCTGATAACCTGTCAGATACAACTTGGTAGGTTTTAAAACATTCCCCTTACACTGGAGAGGCTGTCGGCATTCTAAAAAAGTGTCAGCACCCCTTTTTTCAGTACCTCAGGGAATCTTTTTAGACTACCTCTGCTGCCATTTCAAACTTGTTTTGCCATTACTGTATTATCTTTTGCTTCTATTGTCTGAATTCATGTGTTGTCTTTTTGCCTAGATACTCTTATTAAATATTTTGTTAATAATTTGATTCATCATTACAGGGTCACCATGAGACATTGTCTCTGGCTTTTCTTCAGCTTCACATTCTACCTGCTGAGGTCAATATCATTACAATCCTTAAATACAGCTGCAGCTCCCAGAATCCAGTCCAAGGTTAGACTCATCCAGTTAACAATGCAGAATATTCAGATAGTCTATGACATGAGTCTTAATGGATGGTCATCTGTTGGCTACTACGATTGCACTGAATAAAGAAACAATTAGCAATGAAGGAGCATCATTAATAATTTAGACTTTGGAATCAGACAAACCTAGATCTGATCACAAGATTTGCCATTAAAAGCAGTGTGACTTTGAAAAAGTTTATGTAACTACTTTGAGTTTCAATATAAAATGGACATGTTAACAGCACCAACCTCATAGACTTATTATAAGCATTCAGATGCTATAAGTAAAGAAATTAGTGCATTGCCAAGAATATAAAAAGTGCTTAATAAATTATTCTTATTGTCTCTATTTTACTGGTAAGTGGAAATTCTAGGGCAAAGTGATCTATGAATGCGTTTTCCCACTAAATGTTAAAATCTTCAGGTAGATTTTACTTTGCCAAACCTCTTTTATGATGGTCTAGGTATTGCCACATAAAGTGATATAAACAATCAAAACAACAAAAACATGAACAGATATTTCACATCCTGAAAATGGAAGCCACTCAACTTGTATATATTCAAAATTTATATTCCACAGATTGGAGACATTGAGACATCCATAAGTATGGACTTTATTACTGCCACCTGGAACTGTGAAGCCTCACCTTTAAGAGATAGACAATAATCAAACAAAAATCATAAAGTTTAAGAGAATCTAGAGAATGCTGAACTAAAAGAAAGAACATACCCATAAAATAAAGCATTAATGCTTACTTCAGGCAGATAATTTTCATTCTCTTTCTCCTTCAAGGTAAAGACTCCTAATTCTGCCAAATTTCATGTGCATCCCTTTGTACTTTTTGAAATTTGGCATTGCATTGCATGGGGAATTGTATGTAATTCCTGCAATCCTACATTAATTTCCTGATCTTTTCAAAAGGAAATTTCCTCTTGTGCTCATTGACCTAAAAATTAAGTGGTGGTAAGATAATCATACGTCCCAGGGTGTGCTTCACATGCACAGTGTCTTAGTGCGATGCTGATGATATCCAAAGAGACTAAGTAATAGGCTATTCTCCATGGCCCTCAACTGCCAGGCTTCTGAATATGTTGAGTCCAGACACTTGGGTTACAGAGGCAAATGGAGCTAATTTAGGGGACAATTTCCTGTGCTCCCACTTAGTCCTGCTTAGAATCATAGAATCCTGGATTCATAAGGGTTTTTAGCAAGTACGAAGTTTGGCATTTCATAAATTGTTTCCCAGGGTAATGTTATCATCCCAAGAGATGGCAATATGGAAAAAGAGAAAGAAATTCTGTGTTTAAATCAGTTTAAATATTTTCTTTCATTGTGGTAGTCTTAGAATCTTTATTATGTTAAGTAGACTGTGAGGGAATGACAAGGAAAGAAGAGGAATAAAGGCAAGAAAAGGAGAAGGGAAGGGGAGGGGAGGGAAGGGGAGGGGAGAGAAGGGGAGAGGAGGCAGGGGAGGGAGGAGGGAAGGGAGGGAGGAAGGAAGGAAGAAAGGAAGGGAGGGAGGAGGGAGGGAGGGAAAGAAGGGAAGAAGGAAAGGGGGAGGGAGGGAGGGTGGGAGGGAAAGAAGGGAGGAAGGAAAGGGGGAGGGAGGGATGGAGGAAGGAAGGAAGGAAATATTTGTCAAACTTGATTATGTTAGCATCTTCTAGTGCACAAGCATTATACGGAATAGTCTGGGAAATACCAGTGTGATTCCCGCACTTCACTTTACAGATAAAGAAACAGTGCCACTTCAAGACAAAAACCTGTCACTTTAATAAAAATCAGAGTACAGTTTTAAGTTTTTAAATATTAACCTGAATTGGCAAGAGCACAGGGAGAGCTCATCTTCCTGTTTGGCATCACAGCAGCTGGTGCTGGTAGCTCTTTCATTCTCCCTGCTCATGTTTTTTTCCCCTCTCCAACTAAGATTACATACAGCTTTTCCTGTCCTTAGAGACACTTGATACCAAGTTGCCTTTGTCTTCATAATGGTGAATAGCAGCCCAGAATTCCCATTTTCATGCCGTGGACTGATATGAAACCTAATCTTATTGACCACTCCCCACTCTTCCTTTTATACAATGTGAACACTAATAGGAACACACTGTAATGACACAGAGTCACCTAATTTTTTTTTAACCTGTTTCCATTTACTTACAGTGAATATAGCATTCTGTCTTTCTGTGTGTTTTCCAATAATAGTGTTAATATTTAGGAATTACTTGTTTGTAATCTTGTTTTTAAATGTGAGGTGGGGCTGGGCATGGTCGTTCATGCCTGTAATCCCAGTGCCAAGGTGGGAGGATTGCTTGTGGCCAGGAGTTTGAGACCAGCCTAGGAAACATAGCAAGACCTTATCTCTACATACATACATACATCCAAAGTGGTTCCTTACTGTGTCTCCATTTAAGAATCTGAACATATCTAATGTTTGATAGAGAGGACCAGTGGCAATTCCCTATTATGGTTAAAGGGAAAATTATATGTTTAGTTCTCCTGAAGATTCAGTTTCTTTAGGCCTTACCAGTGAGATTTGATAAGTGACAAAGTAAAGCACTTACACTACATCTCTCACCCAGCCTGGTAATTATGTCAACCTGGAAGATGCCCAGTGCCAGGTCTCGTTCTCATGCACCAAGACACCTCTTTTATGCTGCAGATTCCTAGGTCTATCTTCTTCCACTGCAGGACATCCCTTACTACCTCCATCAGCAGTCAGTGTGGCTTTCAGGTCATGGCAGAAGGAAAAGGCAGCAATCTTCCTAATCCACATGCAAGCAGACACTCCCATGCATCCATAGTCAATCAGCCTCACAGAAGAGAGAGAAAATCTGTGACTACTTGAAAACTATGTCAAAGCAAAGATTTTTGCCTTTCCTTTCATTGACAATCTAATATGATAGCATACTTATTCTCTGTCTCCTTCTGACTCTGTTTCTCTTTGCCTGTCTATCTCTGTTAGCTTTTGTGTCCTCAAAACATTATCTCTCTCTCTCACACACTCTCTCTCTCTATTTCGACTCTATGATTGTTTCTCTTTTTGTCTCCCTCCTTTCACACTTTCCTCCTTCTCTCCCTATATTTATTGATTTCCTAATCTCCGTTTCTTTTTGTCTATAACTTCATGGGTCTTCTGTGTCCTCTCACTTTCTTTCTCTATCTCTGTCCCTCTTTTGCCAATTCCCTCAGTTGATTCAGGGTTTTTGACATTGGTTCGGTATGAGTCATTACAGTCCCAGGTATGGGGTAAGCAATTATGAGCAGGGCAGTTTCCCTTGGTCCAGCCTTAGTTATTTTAATCTTAATCTAAATCCTTTCTAACTCACGAGAGTGATGTTACTGAAGGTGGAAAGTGGTATCTCCACCCTGGCCTAAAAGAGGATTGTTTATACTCAAGTTCCTAGAAACACTCTAACACTTCAGTTTTTGTTTTTAAGTCACTATTTGATAGTCATTCTCAAAATTCTTGTCCGTGTACCATGGGAGTTCCCAAGATCCTTTTGAGCCGTGTGCTAGGTGAAAACTATTTTTAAGTTAAGACTAAGGTATTATTTGTGTCTTCATTGTGTTAACAGTTTCCATGATGGTGCAAAGGCAATGGTAGGTAAAATTTCCAGAATCTTAGCACAATTCAATCTGGCAACACCAGACTGTTACTAGCAGTCACTGTATTTTCCACCATCATTTCTTTAAAGTAAACAAGCAAAAAAAAACAAAATGGCAGGTCACTTAACAGTGTCCTTTATGAAGTAGTATGCATTATTTTTTATAACTTGTTCTTTGAATAAACACCATCTTAATATCCTTTGTGATGAAATGTGAAGTATGCATAAAGCACATTTGCTGCAAACTGAAGTATGATGTTTTCTAGAACAAAAAGTACTTTTGTAATTGAGTTGCACACTGAACTAGCTACTTTTTCATTTAACATCATTTTAACATAAAAGTGTAACTAATAGTCAAACTAAAGCTATTGAGGCTTAAGGTATTTGGCATATATTTCTCAAAAATAAACAAAGTGATCTTGTAACTTCAAGGAAAGCAACTATTTTGTATTTGTATTTGTTGCCAGTGATCAAGTTTGAGCTTTGAAGTAAAAGTTAAAATTTTGAAAATTCTTTGTGCTACCATAGGTGTGACACTTCCCAATACTTTAAAATTATTCGGATAAGATTAGCGGTAATTTTAACAAGAGTAATTTTTAGTATTTTGTATGTGTTAATAATTTGATTATGCCTAATTTAGTGAACCAATATTTTCTGGATCACCAGTGCATGATGATCAAGCAGTCATAGATAAAGGATCCATTCACAATAAGAGATAGCCAGTGGATTTTAATATAATAATATGAAAAGTTATTTGATTTGGTTTTAGATTTTATATTGTAACTGATCTTTTAGAAACTACTACTCATAAAATGTTGCTATGCTATCAAAGAAGTATTCTACAATAACTTTAAAAGCAGTAAAAATCTCTTTCTTTTCTCCAAAAATACATGTCTATATCAGACTAGATATTCTTCATAGGTTTCCACTAAAATAATATATCACACAGGTTGAATGCAGATTGAATAAGGCTATTTTCTATTAAGTCAAATTTTAAGGAAATTTACAAAAATATAGAACAGTCTCACTCCCCTAATTTTTTTGTTTTGGAAAATATAATTATCTTTCATAAAAATGTGTCATTTATGTTACTGTTTTATGGGTTTATTTTTATTTTTAAATTAGTGTTTTCATAATAATTAACTGATAATCAATGACGATTGTTAAAAGTTTTTCTCAGCTTTCATTTCTAATATGATAAATGAAAATTTATATACATTAATTAATGCTCTTCATTTTAAAGAGTATATAGACCCTGATTCCTAAACGTTTGAGCACTGATATAAGACAACTTTCTATCTCCTCATACCCATTTACCTTAATTCAAGTTCCCAGAAAAATACCTGAGTAGTAATGATACTCAAAGAATGGCAGAGAATCTCAGTAGTAATGATAAATGTTCAATTCAATCATGCCTCTCTTTTACTTTGAACCAATAGTCTCAGACCAAACATATGTACCCCAATATTTAACTCTTGTAGAGTGAGTACATTCCTCATTAGTATTCATTATGGCCAGTCATTGTTTATCCCATGTTGATGCTGGGAATGTAATTTCTATACCCAGTAAACATTTGGAGAGTTATTCTATGCCAATGCCAGACATTGTGCATACATTTCACTTACATCTTTTATTTTAATCCTTAAAAGAATACTATGAAGGTAGTGATTTGAATCAGTTATGGGTAACTTATCACTGCATAACAAACCACTTCAAAACTTAATGACTTAAAACAAGTATTATTTTATTTGCTTTTAATTCTATGGGCATGCGTTTTGATCTGAGGCTCAGCTTGGTGGCACTTCTACTTATCTCTGCTGGGACATTCATGCAGCTACAATCATCTAGCAGTTCCACTGAGTCTGGATGGTCTAACGTGGCTACTTCTCTGTCTGACAGTTGGTGCTACCTGTCAGGGGGCCATAGGTCTCGAAAAGGCCAGTGTGGTTTTCTCCTGTGGTGGTGGAAGAGTTCTAAGAGGGCAAGAGGAGAAGATGCAAGTCCTCGCAGTTTCTAGGCTCAGAAGTCACATTCCTCTACATTTTAGTGGGCAAACAAGTCACTAGGCAAGCCTAGATTTAAGAGATGGAGAAAGAAATTTTAGCTCTGGAAGATGAGAATGGAAAAATTTCATTGCAAAGAGAGTATGTATAGAGATGGCAGGAATTATTGCAGCCATTTTGAAAGCTGTATATCACAGTGTCATTAGATCCATTTATAGATGAAAAAACTAAGAAACAGAGCTAGAAAGTAGTGAGGTCGAAATTTGAGGACTTGTCTTTGTGTTGCCAAAACACATACCCTTAACCATTAAAATATTTAGATAGATAGATATTGAACCCATGATTTTAACTCTTAAGAGTAAGGTTAGATGAGGCTTTGGTTCTCCTGCCATCTTTGTTTTTTTCCTGTACCAAGTGACCACTGACTGTCTATCTCTGCTGCCACCTACTGTTGTGGGTCTCCATGCCCCGTAAGTGTGTGGATGGATGGGCTCTCCATCCACGCACTTATCTGACAAATGTGTTTGAGAACTAATGTCAGAGACCCTTTTTAATAATCGCCATTCTGACTAGTGTGAGATGGTATCTCATTGTGGTTTTGATTTGCATTTCTCTAATGATCAGTGATGTTGAGCATTTTTTCATGTGTTTGGCCATGTAAATATCTTCTTTTGAGAAGTGTCTATTCATATCCTTTGTCCCATACTTGTTGTTTTAACAAGGAAATTTTAATATAATGGGTGGATTAAATATTTGTTGGAGAGCTGGAAGAGGAAAAAGAGGCCCCTGAAGTTATACAGAGAGAGTAATCTCAGGAAGCACCTCCACCCTTAGGGCTTGGGGAACGAAATGAAAAGCTGGGGCACTGGGAGCTTGGAAAAGGGACTTCGTAGATCTCTATATCACACTTCTCAGAAGTGTTGCTATGCAGCCAGTGTTGGTGTCTCAGAAGCTCAAAGCAGAGGCCTTGGGAACTCAAACTCAAGAGCTCTCAGGATGGGATACGAGCCACCTGGGGGTGGCACCTCTGTCAGGTCAGAATAAGCTGGTTCTGGAAGGATTTGAAAAATCGGTAGGCAGAAATGACTGCCGCTGACAGGGTGCAGGATGATTGCTAAACAATGCTGACAGCAAGAGAACAGGAAAGAATAAGCCTCTTTCTCCCTTTCTTCACCCCACCGGCCTGTCCCCAGTGCCCCCCCACCCCCATTGCAGAATCTAAGGAAACCATCTGGCAAAGGAAAGTGGTGTGCAGAGTCCCAAACCCAAAATCTCAAAGCAGAATATAGAAACATAGGTTTGGTTTTAGGTCTTATGTTTAAGTCTTTAATCCATCTAGAGTTAATTTTTGCAGAAGGTGTAAGGAAGGGGTCCAGTTTCAGTTTTCTGCATGTGGCTAGCCAGTTTTCCTAACACCATTTATTAAACAGGGAATCCTTCTCCATTGCTTGTTTTTGTCAGGTTTGTCAAAGATCAGGTGGTTGTAGATGTGTGGCATTATTTCTGAGGTCTCTGTTATGTTTCATTGGTCTATATATCTGTTTTGGTACCAGTACCATGCTGTTTTGGTTACTGTAGCCTTGTAGTATAGTTTGAAGTCAGGTAGCATGATGCCTCCAGCTTTGTTCTTTTTGCTTAGGATTGTCTTGGCTATATGAGCACTTTTTTGGTTCCATATGAAATTTAAAGTCATTTTGTCTGTGAAGAAAGTCAGTCGTAGCTTGATGGGGATAGTGTGAATCTATAAATTACTTCGGGCAGTATGGCCATTTTCACCACCATATTGATTCTTCCTATCCATTAGCATGGAAGGTTTTTCTATTTGTTTGTGTCCTCTCTTATTTCCTTGAGCAGTGGTTTAGGGTTCTTCTTGAAGAGGTCCTTCACATCCCTTGTAACTTGTATTCCTAGGCATTTTATTTTCTTTGTAGCAATTTTGAATGGGAGTTCACTCATGATTTGCCTCTCCGTTTGTCTATTATTGTTGTATAGGAATGCTTGTGATTTTTGCACATTGATTTTGTATCCTGAGACTTTGCTGAAATTGCTTATCAGCTTAAGGAGATTTTGGGCTGAGACAATGGGGTTTTCTAAATATGCAATCATGTCATTTGCAAGCAGAGACAATTTGACTTTCTCTCTTCCTATTTGAATACCCTTCATTTCTTTCTCTTGCCTGATTGCCCTGGCCAGAACTTCCGATATTATGTTGAATAGGAGTGGTGAGAGAGGACATCCTTGTCTTGTGCTGCTTTTCAAAGGGAATGCTTCCAATTTTTACCCATTCCATATGATATTGGCTGTGGGTTTGTCATAAATAGCTCTCATTATTTTGAGATACGTTCCATCAATACCTGGTTTATTGAGCGTTCTTAGCATGAAGCGGTGTTGACTTTTATTGAAAGCTTGTTCTGCATCTACTGAAATAATCATGTGCTTTTTGTCATTGGTTCTGTTTATGTGGTGGATTACGTTTATTGATTTATGTATATTGAACCAGCCTTGCATCCCAGGGATGAAGCCAACTTGTTTGTGGTGGATAAACTTTTTAATGTGCTGCTGGATTCAGTTTTAATGTGCTGCTGATGGATTACGCTTATTGACTTGTGTATATTGAACCAGCCTTGCATCCCAGGGATGAAGCCAACTTGTTTGTGGTGGATAAACTTTTTAATGTGCTGCAGGATCCAGTATTTTATTGAGGATTTTTGCATCAATATTGATGAACAATATCCCTGTTCATCAGGGATATTGGCCTGAATTTTCTTTTTTCTTGTTGTGTCTCTGCCAGGTTTTGGTATCAGGATGATGCTAGCCTCATAAAATGAGTTAGGGAGGAGTCCCTCTTTTTCTATTGTTTGGAATAGTTTCAGAAGGAATGGTACCAGCTCCGCTTTGTACCTCTGGTAGAATTCGGCTGTGAATCCATCTGGTCCTGGGCTTTTTTTGGTTGATAGGCTATTAATTACCGTCTCAATTTCAGAACTTGTTAATGGTCTCTTCAGGGATTCGACTTCTTCCTGGTTTAGTCTTGGGAGGGTGTATGTGTTCAGGAATTTATCCATTTCTTCTAGATTTTCTACTTTATTTGTGTAGATGTGTTTACAGTATTCTCTGATGGTAGTTTGTATTTCTGTGGGATCAGTGGTGATATCCCCTTTATCATTTTTTATTGTGTCTATTTGATTCTGCTCTCTTTTCTTCTTTATTTGTCTGGCTACATATGTTCTATCTATTTTGTTAATCTTTTCAAAAACCCAGCTCCTGGATTTATTGATTTTTGAGGGGTTTTTCGTGTCTCTATCTCCTTCAGTTCTGGTCTGATCTTAGTTATTTCTTGTCTTCTGCTAGCTTTTGAATTAGTTTGCTCTTGGTTCTTTAGTTCTTTTAATTGTGATGTTAGGGTGTCGGTTTTAGATCTTTCCCACTTTCTCCTGTCGGCATTTAATGCTATAAATTTCCCTCTAAACACTGCTTTAGGTTTGCAGCTACGAGACAACAACTTAAAAACACGAATTTCTTACTTGGCTTCTGTTGAAGGGGAAATAGAAGGAACTTTCATTGTTCAAAGTCTGTACCTGAAGTGAACCGATAAGAGGAATTGAGATGTCAATATTATTTAATGGGCCCAGCGGACTCTTTTGCATATCTAACTTTTAGGAAGAGAGATCCACTTGTGCCATCTAGTACCGTTGTAATTACTGTATTCGTAAAAATAGAAATCCAGGAACGCACTAAGAGAGTGCAGCAACAGAATTTGTTTTAAAGTGACTAATTTAAAATTGATCACTATGACATATCTCCTTGAGCTTGAGATGTTTTACACAATCAGGTTTCAGTGTTTTCAATACTGTGATTTGCATAACCAAGATTTATTTCATTATTTTGTAGAAGATTTATTGTAATGAAACCAAAATAGCTATTAAAGGGTATAGACCTAGCCTGGCAAATAAATGTGATTTCATTGTATTTTATGTGATTGTAGTATAATTTCTTGCAATAAATTTGACTTTTAAGTGGTATGTGTATGTGCATGTGCATATATGTATCTGTGTGTGAGAGCGAGAGTCAGAAAATTGCTCAAATTTTGCCAAAAGAGCCAAATAAATACCTGGCAAATTTATAAATGGCAAATTTATAGATTTATAAAAGCTTTAGCTTGCAAAATTATCAAGACTAGAATATATAGGTACAGAGTAATATATTTTATACTAATGTGATGAATGGAAACAGATAAATGTGTTTCATTATTGTATTATGGTTTTTATTCATTCAACTTTTAGAAAGACATCCACAAGCATCTGAAAAAGAGAAAAGCTATATATTCAAATTATTTTTCTTTCTCTAACACACTGTAACTTGATTGCTGTCCTCCTTTTTCTCATCTATATGCTATTGCTGATATTTAGTTGATTTTTAATATACATTTAAGAATACTCATTGATTTATGAAAACACATATAATAAAATGCATTACCTGAAAATGCAAGCAATAGTGTCATCAAGGATGGGTACATCAAATTGGATTGGAAGTAAACATTTTTTTAAATAATTAGGGCAAAACCAGCAAGATGGAGAATGATGTGGAATTTTAGCTGAGCACTACTGAAAGAAGCTAGGTTTTTATTTTCCATGTTCCCAAGAGTTTCTGTTTCATTTCATCTAGGAAATCCACTGGAGATGGTTTCAAGATATAGGATCCTTATATGTGAAGTATCCCAAATGAAGTTGGAGCATCCATGTTGAAATTGCTTCATGTTGTGGTAAGAGGAAAGTGATTCTTAATATGTTGGTCCAATTTCATACTATATATACATATTACATATATATAAAGGAAATGTATATATAATATGCATATTATATATAAATATACAGACGTGTATATGTGTGTGTGTATGGGTTTTCTTCTTACTACGAGCAGATAATGACATAAAAAATATGGAATTTTGTAACCCAGTCTACAAGTTTGAGATTCAACAAAAAGTCTATTATTTTGCAGTGATTATTTTCTTGCTCCTGAAGTGGAGTAGGGCACAATAGCAGACTCAAATTTGTTCTTAATTTCCCACTATGTGTATGTACATTATTTATGTTAGTCAGTAAGTTATCATAACAGCCTTAAGAGGTAGATATTATTATCCACAGAGTAAAGATGCAGAAACAGAAGTTCAGAGAAATTAAAACCTCATCCAAATTGATGAAACTAGCAAATGGCTCAAGAGTGATTTGACTGCAAAATCTACTCTATCACTGCCATGCTGCCTCCTTGGATGAATATTTAAAATATAAGCCACTATTTTTTATGGCACTATCCATGAAGAGTTGTAATTAACGAAATGTTTATCTGAAACATTCCATTCAGCATAATGGAAATTGAAGCTTCTATATCTATATCTATATAGATGTAGATACAGATATATAGATATAGATATAGATATATAGAGAGATATATAGATACAGATCTAGATATAGATATATATTTTTTACATAGAAGACATTTGTTTGAGGAAATTTCAGATTTCTGGTTGAAACCTTTAGAATTCCAGTACACATTTAGGATATTAGTTTATAAATGCCAGAACACAGGTTCTTTTGTTCCTGGGACTCAGCAGTACCATTGGAATTAGTTGCTTTAGGTAGCCTACCTGAAAAATTTCAAACAAGTCTATCCTGGTGATCATGAACCACATATGTACTCTGTCTCTGTGAGTCAGATTTGCTTGGGTTATTCAACAGTGATGCCTTGGAAGGCTGTAAAGCACTCTCTCTGTGGTAGTCATGCCTATAGTCTTGCTTCTGTATTGGTAATAGCACCATTTCTGTGGGAGCAGATACCATGTCTATTGCTGAAGATTACATTTTTACTTTCTGTGTTATGTAATGGGGGGAAAAAGAAAGCCAACTCTCAGTGTGAGATTCAGAGGAGCAGTCTTCAATTATCTCCAGGTTTCAATGTATGGTTTCACTTTTTAATAGGAAAAAGCCTACAAAATTAGTGAATGCATGGAAGATATTAGGCTAGACTCTCCAACATCAATAAGGACAGGCTTCTTCCAGAGCACCAGGGGAAAGGAATCTGGGCAATTCTTTACTAAAGCTATTTTTGATTATTTCCATTCTGAGAACACCTGAATAAATGTCCATATCCCTCCTATGCTATATTGCTTTTCAATTCAAGCATCTTTAAAAAATTTTACAGAAGCTCCTAACCAAACATTTCCAAATTCCCACTTGATGTCCAGCTTCGGATTGATTTTAAAAGTTTTTTTAAAATAGAATTCTCTCTGTGTAGGGGCACATTTCTTTCTGCTTTTTCTCTGTAGTAACCCTATATTTGCTTCTGTTTTACCTACTTTGAAGTAGTGATCAAGTTACTAAACATCTTTTAGCCTCAGAATTCTCATTAAAATATGAGGTTCATAACAGTCAGATTGCTTACATTTTAAAGATTACAAAGCATATATGTAAATCATCTCGTTCTTAGAACATTACTGGTGATCTTTCATATTAGCTATATATCTAGATCTACTGATAGGTTTGATAACATACAAATCCCTCAAATATTTATGAGGAACTTTTTGGAATCTTCCAGAATAAGGACAAAATTGGGTTAGGAGATTGGTGTGACTCATGAGGTTGGTGGGGAGGAGGTGAAAGGAAGCCTCATCTTTATCAGAAGTACCTAACCTAAAACAAGTACCTAAAAATGAGCATTTTATTCATTTATTACCATGCCAGAAGCAATAGATCTTTACCTTAGGTTTGTTCATATAACCTGTATGACAATGTTCCGTTATCATGAGGCTTTTTAACATTTGCTTCTCTAGGGCAACAGTTCTCAAGATTTAAAGTGTTTACAACCACCTGGAAAGCATTTTAAATACAGAGGGTAGCAGGTGCTATTTGGGGGATTCTGCTTCAGTACGATAGGTTGAGTCCTAAGAATTTACATTTTAAACATGATTATTCAGAACCAGAGCAATTCTGGTATACCCCACTAACTGCCATTTTTTCACCTTGAAGATTAAAGTTTTACAGTCTATTTGGAAGTTTTATTGTTGGAGATAGAATTGAACAATTTTATTACGTAACTGTTAAGAGAGATAGGTAAGAATGAGACAAGAGTTAATAATAGTTCTCTACACTTATTAGGCAGTAGAGTAACTCTGTACAGAATTTGATTCCACGTACTTATAAAAAGTTAATGGAAGAACTATGTAAAAATAAAACATGATGGTCAAGTTAATAATAGGGTTTCTGATTTTACTATTGTTTATCAATACCTTTTAATAACCAGTTGCTTTCATATATATTAATTTATCAAATCCTCATTCTAGTTCTGTTTAGCATTTTGTATCCTCATTTTACAGATTAATACAAATAGATTTATAGGAAATACTGGCTTGTTAAGTTGTAAGGTTAGAAAACGATAGGGCCAATCTTGGTACCAAGATAGCATGCAACTGGTACAGCTGCTTCCTAATCCTAGGGTAATTTAATTTTCTAATCATGAAAGGTTTTGTTTTATGACAGCCACCAGTATAAGCATGTATTGGAACAACCAGCCTATATTTGTTTTGTTTAAGCTGCTGAACACTTAATTCACCTTCACCTGATGAGTTAGACTTTGAAAAGCATCAGTAGAGTAGGCCTATTTCATCTGTTTTGTAGAACTTCTCAGGAAAATATTTTCTGAAAAACAGGTTTCAGGTATCTTCTGCACACAGGTAAAAAACATTCTTGTTTTTTACCAGTGTGCTTATTGACTTTCACCAATTATTTTGACTGTTTGTATGTCATCTTTCATTTAAATCAATTATTAGTGATTAAGCTTCATTCAGTAGCTGGTCAATAACCTCTTTTAAGAACAAAAGCGGCCAGGTGTGGTGGCTCACGCCTGTAGTCCCAGCATGTTGGGAGGCCGAGGTGGGCAGATCACCTGAGGTCAGGAGTTCTAGACCAGCCTGGCCAACATGGTGAAACCCTGTCTCTACTAAAAATACAAAAATTAGCCAGGCGTGGTGGCAGGCGCCTGTAATCCCAGCTACACGGGAGGCTGAGGCAGGAGAATTGCTTGAACCCGGGAGGCAGAGGTTGCAATGAGCCGAGATCATGCCATCGCACTCCAGCCTGGGGGACAAGAGTGAGAGTTCATCTCCAAAACAAACAAACAAAAACCCAAAAGCATTTTAGGTATGTAGATAGATAGACAGACAGACAGACAGAGATAGAGGTATGTCCAGCCCCCTTTGTATCTAGGTTTGGCTTTGTGTCTAAGTTCTGGCCAATGTGATGTTACCTAAAACAATGCATACCATTACTAGGTCATATCCTTCAAGGGTCTGAATGTCTGCTTCTCTTTCTTCCTTGACTAACTTGGAAATTAGATATGGAATGAGATGTCGTGGTGAGCCAGCTTGTATCATACAGACAAAGATAACTGTCTAGATGTGGTAGAATAACATCATAGAAGAAGTCTCGCTTACTGCCTTAATTTATAGAGCGAAACAGTCCAGGACTCCTTCTGTGATGAATGTTATGTGAAAGATGAATAAGCTCTACTTGTTTAGTTATTGCTGTTAAGCCACTATATAGGGCAGAATATATGTCCTAATGAACTCATGCATTCTTCCGTGAATGTGTTACTCATGAATGTTTAGCACACTATGGTTCCTTTACGAAGTTAATCTTAGCTCGACAAGATTCACTGGGCCCTTAAACAAAGAATGCCACTGTGATTGCCTAGATATTATACATGTACCCTATAGAAGCATCTCATCTCGCACATCTTACTCCTTACACTATTCTTCTCACCACCTTCTCCACTGATCCATCACCAGCCCTGTTATCCTTTTTTTCCATCCATTACAGAGCAATGCATACGTTTGTTACTTTTTTCAATTCGTTTTGCTACAGCACTTACCTTTCATGCATGTGCATTGTGAAGACTGCAAATAAAAGACAATAGGAATAATAAACCCTGAGACGAACTTCAGAGTCCTTGCCTTTCTTAACAGCATTCAATATAAACTTTAAAAACCACATCAGACTATGCAAATAAAACAATAAGTGGATGCCTTAAAGCTTCTCCCAAGATAACAACATCCAAACCTGTATAATCTACAATATATTCTTCATTGTCTCCTGCCCTTCACTCAATCCGTCACCTGATCTATCCTCATTTTGCTTGCAGGACACATTTTTTTTTTCATCTGTAGCATACCTCCTTGGATCTTTATTTTAGAGAGGATTTTAGATCTATATTTAATTCCCATAGTAGTCAAAGAATGTCTTGATGTCTTATGGATGCAGTGTTCTCCTGCTCCATAATGGAGTCCTCAGTTATCTTTAAGTGGCAATTATTCTACAAAGAATGCTCCCTACTAAAATGACTGTTTTGACTATGACACTAGCATTCTGGGACCCAGCCTGAGATTGCGTCTTTACCTTAGCCCTTAATACGACAGTTTGTGCATTTTCTGACTAGCAGAATGCAAGCTTATTATATGCCTTAATATATCTCATAGCTGGTTGCTTACTACAATTGCCATATTTTATCATTCTGTCTGTCACTGCTTTAATGCATCTCCTATTCCTAAGCATACATGCTGTCACTTCCAACTCAATGTTCAACACACAGTATCTCACTTAATTCCCTTAAGCCTCTTAGATAAATGTAATGATCACATTTTAGTCACCAACTCAACAAACATTTATTTAGCATTTCTTTTGTGTCACCTATTATTTTAGGGAAGGGAGAGGGAGATAGCAAGTAGCCCCCCATTTGCTCACTCTCTCATAGGGAAGACAAATAAGTGTAAAAATACAAAAACAAAAACAGAAACCCTCCCAAAAAAACTTTTAAGTATACAGTAATAGCATAAAACTTCATTCTAAGAACAAGGAGCAAATAAGAAAATTGCTCAGTTTCACTGGAAGGAGAGAAATGGCAAAGATTAGAAAATGTTTCCTGGGCATCGTACTTCAGCTGAAATTGAAAAGATAAGGAGACAGACTCAGACAGAGAAAACAGATTTTCTGAAATGTCACAGCTAGTTAGTGGCAAAGAAGGGACAGAGATTCACACCCAGGTACTTCTGATGTCATGGCCCATGCAGTCAGCCATTCTGGATTCAGTTATTTGGTTTTTGGTGATTTCTATAATTGAATGCCATTTACATATTGGTACACCCACCTGGCACCCCCATCACTTACTCTCCTCACTTCTGAGCACTTGCTTCTCAGCTATATATCATCTCTACCACCAAGTTATAGTTTTATATAGCTTTATAACTTGGTGCTGGAGATGATATACAAATTAAGTTTTCAAGGAAACAACTTCCAAATTTTGAGGTTTCCTGTACAGTCTTTCCTAAAAGAGTCCAAATGATATTCCAATTATGGTCTGCCAATTCTGCTTTTCTACTTTTCCTTTCACAATAGCTCCTCTTTCACTTTACAATACAAAGACATGGTTCTCATTCTTGTCCTTACTTCCCAGGGTATGCCGTCCTGGGGGATAAAAACGTTGGTGAGGTTTAAAAAAGGGAAGAGTCAGGAACAAAATGAAGCTTCTATAGGGACAGTCCCAAGAGAGCAAAACAAAGGAGCTTAAGGAAGAAATAAAGGGGGAGTACCTTATTTCTTTCAGGTGTTAAACTTATAACAATGCTACTGTCTTTATCTTCCTGTTGTTCATCACTTGATCAAGCTTTTCTCCATCCATCCTCATCTTCTTTTGGATTTCCTCTGATAAGATGAAAGATTAAAATATCTGTATACCAAAGGTTTTAAGGAACATGTACTTAAAGCATAAATAAAATATATAGTAACCCCAAAATTATATTCTTTAAAATTATACACACAAAAATTTGTTTTTGATGTCAACTTTAAAAAGGTATGGGAGTGTAAAAATAGTCATTCAATGCATATAATAGCTCTGAAAACATATGCATTAAATGCATGAATAAGTGAGTGGAGGATTTATTCTAATGTAAAAGGCAAAGTCTCAAGATTTACAGATCTCTCTTGAGAAGTGAGAACAATTGTACTATAATATGTATACATTTTTGCCTAGTTGCAAAAGGGGCTTATCACACAATATTATATAATTTAATTGGACAGTATCATTAGCATGTAAATGCCAAGGAGACACTTGTGGTACTATCATTATATGCTGCCCCAAGCTGTTTCACAGGATCATTGAAAAAGGAATAGGGTATCGTTTGTTTCTTCTCAGCTTTGAGGAATGACAGTAAAATTATTATTGCAGCATAATTAAATATGCATATCTAGATACTAATAAATGCTTTGCTGTCCTAGAATTCAAGAGAAGTGTCAGGCCTCTCAGCCTTCTCTGGCACTGGTCAGAGTCTCTAAGTTTTTCTGTAGCTTTCCATAGCTAATAAATGACTACAGAACTTTCAAGAGAATTTTACCATTTATTGCCCTTGCTGAAAACTCCAGTACTGTATCTGCTTATTTTATTTCAGCTGAATTCCTTCCTTCCTTCATTTCTTTCTTCCTCCTTTCCTCCCTTCTTCCCTTTCTCTTTTATTTTTTTTTGTGGAGAGAAAGAGTGTGACTGGGGCAAAGACATAAATATGAGTGTTCCTTTTAAGATACATTAGTCAATTTTCTCTTTTCAGGGGCATTTAAAGCAGAAAGTACATAAATAAAATTAATTGCATAACTCTCTAGACTCCTCAAAATCTTGATGTGTTTAGTCTCTGTAATTGGTGTTGTATATTCAAAGTAAGTTTTGCAAACAGCAGGAGCACAGGCTGCATAAGAGCTGCCTATTAAATAGGGGCAATTTGCAGTAATGAAAGTCCTGTCAGCAATCCTTCATAGTTATGGGAGTCACTAGTTGGAGTTTCACAAAGCTACCTTCTCCATTTCTATTTCTCACACATATGCACATACAAAGTTTTAATGTTTGTTATAACTGATTTTTATTAGCCACTGTAGTCTTATTATCTTGACATGAACCAAAGTAAAACAAATGTGTTAGTTAATATAATACTAGATTCTGTAACAAATAAACCTCAAGGTGTATAATAGCTCAAACACAATAGAATTACAGTTCTTTGTCATTTAAAGTTAAAAAAAACATATGGGGTGCATGGACAGCTCTCATTTAAGTAGAGATTCAAAGAACAGTGCTCCTTCCATCTGAGGGCTTGCTATTTTCAATATGTGTCTTCTAGGATCACCCTGATTAGCTTTATAATCTGGTAGAAGGGAAAAAGATATAAGGAGCACAAGTAGGCATTTTTGAAGGCCAGGCTGAGGAGTGGGGTACCATAATTTTACTCATTTTCCACTGGGTAGAACTCACCTGACAGAGCAACAGAGACAGGGAGTCATAGCCTACCTGCATGTCTAAGAGGAGAAGACATCGGCTTGGTGAACAGCTAAACTGTCACTGCCCAGCAACATGTAAGGTTTGGGAAATGCAATAATCAGTAATAAGAGGATGACTAAAGTTGGAGGCTGATGCAAGGCAATGTAGAAATTATAAAATGTAACAGAGTGCTTCATAAATTATTTTTATAATTATATTGATCTTTTCATGCAGAATGAAAATGCTAATTAGTTTCGTAAGTATTGACAAATTAAACAGCCACAGACAATGCTGGGCCCCAGTAATAAAGAGAACTTAATTCTCTCAAGATTTATTCTACTTTTTAATCTAGAGTGGGTAATAGAGGACTACAGGTCTTAATAAAGGTAAAGACCACCTTTTGGCTCAGAGGGAATTCAGAAAGGTGGGGTAGAAATGCACTGCAGTCATTCATTCACTCATCCCATGCACATTTTTTAAGTACCTTCTATATTCCAGTTGCTGTATTTACCTTGAAGATAGATAAATTAGTAAGATAGCACCTCTGCTCTCAAGACCTTGCATCTAAGTGGAAGAAACAAACCTTTAAACCAATAAGTAATTATAGTATTATAGTTACAGTTCTATGAAAGTATGAAAGGAGTGATCACATCTTCCAGAGATATTAGGAAATATCATATAGAAGAGATGCCATTTAATCTGGGTCTAGAAGAATAAGTATTTTTAGGCAGCAGAAAGAGTTTAAAGCTACCCATTTTAGGGGTAGTCAAGTATATGAAACCCATGGTCAAGTATATGAAAAAATGAGGCAGCTGAAGGGTATGAAAGAAAGTGGCACAAACAGAAATAGGAAGTTATTTTGCATGTCTGGAAAATAAAGGCTTTATAACAGGAGACAGAGTTCTGGGGAAGCCAGTTAGTGAGCAATGATTCCAACCTCAAATGTAGATGGAATAGTAGATTTTTGAGGGAGGTCCTAGCAGAGGAGGAGTGGCTGTTCTCTTCGTTGTCACTTTTTCACTGTTGTCAGCACTCTTAAGTAGCCTTAAGTAGCTTAAGTAGCCTTCGAACTGCAGAACATAAGGCACTCCTCCTCATTCACCTCCACGGTCATTCTTGCACTATATGTGTTCTCAGGGAGCTATAAAAGGGATAGAGCTACACAGATAGAATTTGCAGAAATAAGATAAGTGCAGGAAAGTAATAAAAGAAAGTAAAGTTCATTAAATTGGAATATAAGTTGCCCTTCCATAAATATGACAGAGCATGTTATCCTGCTATTGAACAGTTTCTACTTGTTAGTTCAATTTCTGCGTGTGAGCTCTTATTTCTTAACATTACATATTCCAGGAAAACACAGTGGACAAAATCATAGATATGAGAAATAGTATAATATTTGTTACAGTGTGATCGTATATCACTTACAGACAGGGATACATTCTGAGAAACCCATTGTTAGATGATTTCATCATTGTGCAAACATCATAGAGTAGATTTACACAAACCTACATGGCATGGTCTGCACCTATATGGTGTAGCCTATTGCTCCTAGGCTACAAACCTGTACAGCATGTTACTGTACCAAATACTGTATGCAGTTGTAATGTAATGGTAAGTATTTGTGTATCTAAACATAGAAAAGATAATGCATTGTGCCAAGTTGATGGTTATGATGTCACTAGGCGATAGGAAATTTTTAGCTCCATTATAATCTTATGGGACAACCATTATATATGTGGCCCATCATTGATAGAAATGTCCTTATGGGGTGCATGACTATATGTAGTATATACTATAATACTCATAAGTAAAATGTAAAAGGAGAGAGAGAAATTGAAGAAAGAAGTGTTAAGCAAAAAGGAAATTGAACTTAAAATATTTGGAAAATTCTAAGCCAATGCATATTATTAAAAAATGAGAAAGCATGTTCTATAGAGAACACCAAGAATGTGGTTGGCCAATCACTCCATAAAGAGGTAACCCATAAATTTAGTTAGCCATCTTTGCAGAGGTCAGGAATAATAAATGGGTGACTCCAGCAGAGGTCCTGCCACTGGACTAAAAGGAACAAAGATGGGACAAAATGAAGAAAGGCTTTCAGACTTCTGAAATTCTATAGAATGGAACAAAAGAGATAACTGGCTCTCTGGCTGCAAAATATGCCTTATTCTTTAACACAGGAACAGAAAACCAAATCCCAACTGTTTTCACTTGTAAATGGGAGCTAAATGATAAGAAAACATAAATATGTAGCGGAGAACAACACACACTGGGATCTTTTCAGGGGTGGAGGGTTGTAGGAGGGAGAGGATCAGAAAAAATAACCAGTGGGTCCTAGGATTAATACCTGGGTGATGCAAAAATCTGTACAACAAACCCCCATGTTACCTATGTAACAAACTTGCCCTTGTACCCCTGAACTTAAAATAAAAGTGGAAAAAAAAAGAAAAATGATCCAAACAGCAATTGAGAGACTAGCAGGTCTGCCACTCACACCGCAGGCCCAGAACCCACAGATGCAAAGGTGCAAGGCTGTCTCCTTCCTGGTTTCAGGGGTAGGACCACCTCCTTGGTTTCAGAGGATGAGGCTGCCCTTGCTCATTTCCTCAGGGGCAAAACTGCCACCCATGGCTGAGTGGGTGGGACTCCTCACCAATGGGTCTAGAAAGTGAGGCTGCCACCCTATTGGGACTGGAAAGCAGAGCATCAAGCCAAAGAGAATTATTCTCTGGAACCTTCAGATCTAACAGAATTTGCCTTTCTAGGTTTTGGACTTGCTTGAGATCTATCATCCCTTTCTTTATTCCAATTTCTGTCTTTTGGAACAATAATGTCTTTCCTATGTCCGTCCTACCATTTTATTCTGGAAGCACATACCTTGTTAGGTTTCGCAGGTTCATAGCAGGAGAAGAATTATTCACAAACAAATTTCAAATGCTGCCTCTCAAGTCTTACCATACGCGATATGTGATATTTAGATACACTTTCATCTTGGAGTCGATACTGGGATGGGTTAAGGCTTTTAAGACTATTGAGATGGGGTGAATGCATTTTGCATGCCAGAGAACATGAATTTTGGGGGACCAGAGGGTAGATTATGGTCCCCAAATCCATATGTTGAAGGTCTAGTGCCCCAATGTGACTTTATTTAGAGACAGTGTCTTTAAGAAGGTAATTAAGATTAAATGAGATCAATAGAGCCAATACTGTTAATCCAATACTGCTGGTGTCCTACAAGAAGAGACCCCAGAAGTGTATGCACACAGAGAAAAAGCCATGTGAGGATACATCGAGAAAGCAGTCATCTGAAAGCCAGTAGAGGCCTCACCAGAAACCAATCCTGCTGTTCCCTTGATGTTGGACTTACAGCCTCCAGGACTATAAGAAAATAAATTTTTGCTTAAGCCATCCAGTCTGTGATATATCGTTATACCAGCTCAAGCTGACAAATACAATATGTTCAAATGTGACTGACCACTTATAATAATAATGGCAATAATATTTGCCATATATCAGATAATATTTTAAGCCCTATATGTACATTATTTCATTAATACCCTTGATAACTTTTAACACTAATTATTAACACAATTTTACAAATTGAGAAAATCAGATCAACCAGGAAGACTACTGGTTTTCCAAGCAGTGGAGAACTCAGTGTCATTCTAATGTAGTTCGGTTGCATGTGACTCTCCACAAAGAGCTTAGCTTCTCTGGGCTTCAGTTTTATTGTCCATTAAGTGATAATGATATGTTTGCTGGCCTCTTCAGATGGTTATTTGTGTGGTTTAAATAAGATGATTTAAGGGAAACCATTGTATCCATTTGAGTCAGGAATATCTTTATCATCACCACTACCATTTTTTGGTGACCTTCTGTTCCTGCTCAGATCATGGACTTTTCACAGGACTGTGATGGCAAGACACCACAACACCCTTTCAAAATAGTTTTCTTTCAACTTTTTGTGTACAGGCTTTTGTTCTGACTATTAATTTAAAGAAAAGATATGATCATAAGATTTCCTTGAATAGCATTCTTTTCAGATGGTGAAAAATTAGTCTCCTTATGACTTCATTGAGTTTGCACATGGAAGTTAATAATAGATAATGATTGTGAAAATTTGTTTGTGAATAATTAAGGGTATTGGCCCACAAAATAAATTTCCCTTACTATCTTAATATTGTATTAATCTTACTAATGTTGAGTTCCTTGCTTTTGCCCACTTTGCTATCTCTGTAGAACAAAATACTCATTTTCTCTAATATGACTCTATTTTAATACCTTTTAATTAGCTACTAGAACATAGTTCTTTTGTTTCTCTAACAAAACAAAATCTAGCTGTCCCTTTTATATTATATGAACATGGCTTTTTTGTATGTGTATTTCAGATTGAGCCCTATTTTGCCAGTGTATCTTTTAACTAGGTCAAATATTTTATTTTTATCAAAATGAATTATAAAGTAATCAGATTAGCTCAACAGTGAGAAATGCCATTTAAAGAATTTGACTATATTGCAGATTTGTTTTTTTAAAAAAAGAACATTATATTTAATCCTCTTATGACTCTATAACATATATATTTATTAAACAATTTAAATACAGTTGCTTCTTTCTAAAGCAATATGAATAGAGTCCTCACCAAGCATATTTTGACTCCCAATCACTATGTATATGAAAATGTTTAGAATTTAAATATTCTAATTTTATGCAATTATGAAAAATAGATTTCTAGTTTTTGTATGCATCAACATTCATTACATTGCCTTAACTTTTAAATTGCTTCTTCTCTACTCTCCCAGTCTCTTTGTCTATATCTTAACTATAGGACAGCCACAAGATGGAATAAGAAAAAGAAATAGGTCATATAATGGGGTATTGCACCAAGAGCCCTTTTTAGCATTGGATGGTTTGACAGTTCCATGTTTGAGATCACTAGTCAGAATTTTAAAGAAAAAGAGGCATGCTGTTATTCCGGTTGAATGTAATGTCCTAATAACTGTAAGAATATTAGGACATCTAAAAAGACACTTCATGATATATACCCTGTTAGTCTCTTTTTTTATTGTTAATTGCAGAAAATGTCTCCCAGGAATTTGTAGGTTACAAGTATATATATCCTTTTTTTTGTATTTTTTGTGATTAATCTTGAAAAACAATTTTTAAAAACAAAAACTAAAGACCAGTATTGATGAGTATCATTCTCTTGGATTTTGACGTGGTTTCTTTTAAAGAAATTGATTATCAAGCCATAGTATAATTCTTTAGCAAAATCAAACAAGCATCAAACCTCAGGATATCAGAAAACAGAGAATACTGCAATTTAAATGGACAGCACTGTTATAATGATGTATGTATTCAGCAGACAATGGCTGTATTACCAAGGCAATCTGAATTAATCTGAAATTGAATCACCCTTTGTACAAAATTGAGGAAATTGAAGCAATTTTAGATTAAGACATACAAATATCATGCTATAAACTTAAAATTGAATTCAAAATAAATGGAGCTCTCTATTGTCTTACTTTCGTTGTTTTATTGTTTTAACTTTTTTATCCCTTTTTTTGCTGCAAAGAGCAAAGATATTGGAGGTTTCTTAAATGTGTGAAACTGTACATTGACCTACCAAATAGAAATATCTGGAATAAAAGATACCTGATTTTTTTAGGGATTGAAAGTATTTCCTTTACTGCAATCAAGAAAGTTTCATTTTTATCATACTCAGCATGAAATTGTTTACAGCTTGTGACAGAATGGAAAAGACATAAGCCCTTGACATAAAAGTTATTAATGTACTTGTCAATCATAGTCAATTAAAGGAGATTCATAAAAGTTGGCATTATCTGATGGACCCTCCTAGCTCACTCACATTAGTCATTTTCAGGCTCTTTCTAAGAGACTCATTAGCTCATCTATTTGCAAATGACTGCCACTATCTGGGCAGATTGCCTTTAAGTTCTATTTTGCTGAAGGATAGTGTTCTCTTGAAAGATAGCCATGTTGATCAGCATAAACCAGTGTAACAGGAATTTAAAGTCATGTGTGGGCAAGTTAGATTCAACAAGAAATAAAACAAATTTCAATACTCAAGTTCAGCTATGTATTAAAAAGAGTTGGAATTTTCAGAGAGCTGGATCCATTTTTCCCCCAGTCGTTACATTGGCCAGGAAGAAGTGCTACACTCCTACCAGTCCTCACCCCTATACCTTATGTCCCTCCACAGAGGATTCCCACATCCTTATGTCATCGTAAATATCAGAGAAGCTCTTCAAAAGAAAATATGTTTATTTTAGGAATAGATCATTGCAATGGGAGTACACTTCCATAATAAATTGTATGCATATTTTAAGAGGTAAAGAAAGCCAAAAGTTTTTATAAGAGAAAATGATTACACAATTGTTTTGAAATGATTATCCTTGGTTACAAAGATCAATAACAAGGGTGATACCAGTCCAAAGCTGGACAAGCAATTGTTGGGCGGATGTCCTTGTAGAAGTATTTTTTTGTGTAAGGTCACAATGGCCTTGGGCAAATTTGTGGGTTTTGCAGCATCTTTTTTTGTTATCAAGTATACAAGCTTGAGAACTCTCTTTTCATGGCCTTCCCTGGCTCTGTTTGTCCGGATTTTGATTCTGACAACTTTCACACTTATAAAATCTTTGGTGCCTGATGGTGGAGCTACCCTGTACTCCCATCAGATTTCTGCCTCGTGATATATTCTATATTGTCTTCTCCTACTACCATCTTATCAAAATCTGAAAGCTCCGGGAAAAAAAAATTGTTAACATCAAAAAATATGTTTGGAAAATGGCTATGGTTGGGTTAGTAAAGAGTTCTTATGCGATTGGCGGACAAGGAGGCTAGAAACTCAGGGTTAAAGAGAATATTTTCAAAGAGTTTGCAAAAGAGTTTTGGTTTAAACTAAGGATTTTGGGGAACCCAATGAAGCAGGGTGGTGATATGTTGAAAATTATATTTTAGGGAGATCCCTCAGGCAATAGTATGGAAAATACAGTGGAATGAGATAAGTAGGCTGGGCACGGTGGCTCATGACTGTAATCCCAGCACTTTGGGAGGCTGAGGTGGGCAGATCACATAAGGCCAGGAGTTCGAGACCAGTCTGGGCAACATGGCAAAACCCTGTCAATACTAAAAATACAAAAATTAGCCAGGCATGGTGGTGTATGTCTGTAATCCCAGCTACTCAGGAGGCTGAGACACAAGAAACACTTGAATCCTGGAGGTGGAGTTTGCAGTGAGTGGAAATCACACCACTGCATTCCAGCCTGGGTGACAGAGTGAGACTCCATCTCAATAATAATAATAATAATAATATAATAAAAAGAGGTAACTAAAGACAAACTGGCAGTAGAATATTGTAATTATATATAAGCGTAGTAATTAGGATCTAAACTAAAGCAGTAGCAGAAAAAATTGAGAGTAACTAAGAAATTTGAGAAGTAGCTGGGTGGTAAATTGATACAACTTTGCAATTAGATGTTGGGTAGGAGGAAAGGGGAGGAGATTAGAATGAGTCCAGGTTCTTAAATTATACAATGATAATATAGGAGGAGGCACAGGCTTAGTTAGAGAAAAGTTACCTTTTAGGGACTTGTTAGACAACCCAGAGGAAACCGTTTTAGAACTCACGAAGTTCTTAATAGAGGTAAAGATTTAAAAGTGCCTATGTCATTGGATTTCTCTGAGTATATGTAAGACGTTGTCTTAAACACGCTTAGCATAGTGTCTTAAGTGGAATAAGTTCTCAATAAATAGTAGCTATGGTTCCTGATGATGGACTGAAAGATGTGGATAGTTGGATTATTCTAGGATGGAAATTTGACTCCAGTCCTGGATCAGATGGACAAGGGACAGAGAGAGAAGGAATTCCAGTTATTATAAAGGAAGGTTAAAATAATAAGCCCAGGAAACTATGCTACATCAAAAATTAAAGGAAAAAAAGACTGCCAGACTTCAGGAGAAAAGAATGAATGTTCCCAAATATATCTGGAATGTGATGCAGTCTTGCTTCATGAAAATTAGTCATATTGCCAAGATCCCCCCCGGCCCCCGCCACTGCCTTTCATTTTATTTTATTTTATCTTATTTTATTTTATTTTATTTTATTTTTTTGTCAGAGTCTTGCTCTGTCACCCAGGCTGGAGTGCAATGGCGCAATCTTGACTCACTGCAACCTTCGCCTCCCGGTTCAGGCGATTTTTCTGCCTCAGCCTCCCTAGCTGCTGGGACTACAGGTGCGTGCCACCACACCAGGCTAATTTTTGTATTTTTAGTAGAGATGGGGTTTCAGCATATTGGCCAGGCTGATCTCGAACTCCTGACCTCATGACCCACCCGCCTCAGCCTCCCAAAGTGCTGGGATTACAGGCATGAGCCACCGCACCCAGCCCCGCCACTGCCTTTTGAAGCAACTGTTTTATTTTATATTTGCCTCATTTGTAAGTGATGCCTCAACATAAATACATTTTGCATTTGAAGTCATTGAAAACTACTATATTTGCTAAACAGTTATATTCCAATCCTATGTTTCCTCAACCTAAGCTCTTAGAGTCAAAAAGTTGTAAAGCAATTTTATACTGTACGATGCCTCTATGAAAAGAGATTTTTCTTTACTTTACCACATGAAATATGTGGTAATTGACAAAACATGTTGTAGTTAAGGACAAATGTGGAAAGTACAGCCCCAGATTATAGCAATACACCTTTATTAGAAAGAAGTCAGGCTATCTGATCTCTTCCTGCAATGCAAAACTGTCTGAAGGCATTGAGTAACTCAGTACCAGAGAAAATGGATTGTACCTGCCCAGATGGAGGCAGAAATGCTCATGGTGGTGTTGTAAAACAAGCTCCTAAGCAGCAAAGAGACACTGAGCTGTCTGTAGGGAAGTGAAAAAGAACTGCAAATTAAGCATGCCATGGTTATTCACTCTTTTATATTAGTGTCTCCAACTCCGATAAATGCTGTTTAGGGTTTTCACGTACTCAAAACTGTCATTTAATCTGAAATGATGTTGTTACATATTTGAGAGTCATTTTGAAAACTTACTGAAAAGGATCTGACATCATACCATGGAGTATATGGCTAGGGACATTGTGGCAGTTTATTTGCCACGGCAAGTTTAATCTAAATCAGCAAATATCTAATTTCTCATGAAAAGTGAAATTCCAGGAGGTTTTTTCCTCCACAGTGTTATTAAATAATCTGAGTTCTGCCAGAAGAAGGAATGGCTCATGTGGAAAATATTTAATTGCCTGCATTCATATGACAGGAGTGTTCTGAATTTAAATAACATATAATGAAAAGCAGTAGAGTAATATTGCCAAGAAATACCTTCTCACAGGTGATTGACTAATCCCTAGAGGATTCTGTGTGCCGTACATTAGCCTGGTAAAAGGGAACTGGGCTAATGGTCAGTCTTAAATCCGGACTGTGAAGCCTAATCCTGAATTTGCCATTGGTTGACCACAGAAATTTAAATTCCTCCCTCCATTTTAATTTTCTCTCCCTTCCTCCTTGTATCCTTCCCTTCTTCCCTATCTCGATAATTTCTAAAGAATCTACTATGTAATAGCATCATGTTAGATACTGAGATACAAAGATAAAAGATACTTCTGCCTTGAAAGGAGCTTAGGGGAAGAACTGGTCGGGTCAAATCATATAATTCAGGTCCCTTGAAGTTCTGATATCCAATCCTTTGCTCCTGTTTAAATTCTTATCACATAGTCAATGTCATTTTTTGATTGCTTGGAAATAATGAATCTTAAATGCGAGGTCATAGCTGGCTTGCAAGAGTCATTAATATATTCAATAAATATTTTGAGCCCTATGGGATGCCAAGCATTTTGCTAGAAGAAACATTATAAGAAACAGGTACCATGTGAAATGGGAGCACAGAGGAGGACCACACAGTCTTCTCTTAGGAATTCAAGCCAGGGTTTCAAGAGAGTGGAGGTCTAAGCCAAACCCTGAAGGATAAGAAAGAGTGTGGCAGGCAGAGGAAGCAGTACCCCTTGTGCATGAGAAGTACCCCTTGTGCACTCAAGGCAAAGAACAGTGTGTGCTTACAGGAATGCAAATTGTGTTTGTGGAATTGCCAGTCACTAGGCATCCCTGAAGAACAAAGTGTGAAAAGGGGTAGAGCAGGGATAGATGACCTCGAAGTTGATGCAAAGAAGTGATGAATGGCCATTCAAAGGATTTGGGGCTTTATCCTGAGGACACTGGAGCAGGTCTGGCATGATCAGATTTGAATTTAGAATAACAAATTAAAAACAAACAATCTTCTCAGAAAGGTGTTAAGGAAATGAGGTGAAGATCAGACATCTATCCATTAATTTTTTCCAAGCAAGATGACTTTCTGTTTTAGGTATGAATCTTAGTCTCAATCTCAGGGGTGTTAAAATTTGTTCTTTATAGTTTATTTAATTTGTATTTTGTATTTATATTTCCACAAGCTATAAAAATATTAACGTAGACCATTGGCGCAGTTTGCACTCTCACTCAGCTTTGCAGTGTTGTGACATAATACTTAGGATTTATGTGTGCCATGATGTCATGGGGGAAAGAAATGTGGAAAGTTGTCCATGCCGATATTGAAAGATTTATGGTTTCCTTTGTATAGCTCCTCAGGATCAGTAATAAAACTTACAGACTGGGACTATTTGCTGAGGCCCTCCAGATATGTCCAGGCCTCAGTTCCTTGTCCATTTTCTGGGTAACTGTCATTTCCTGAGAACTCTAGCTGCCTTCTCTGAGGATATGGAACCCTCCTCCCAACCCTCTCTCCTCAGCCCAGTTGAAACTTCAGCCTGAGGCTAACATTTTATTCCTTATTGTTTCTTCCAGTGTGCTTTTTCTAATACTCTTTTATCCCTCCTATGCATTAGCAAACACTTTTAATTATCCTAAGCATTTAAGCTTTTGAACAACAAAAGCCAAAAAGAACTGAACTCTGCTTGGGCTGAGTCTCTAAGTAAACTCACTCTCTACTGTGTCATGTATCTCCCCTTAGGGAATAAGGTGTGGAGCAGGCAACCCACGTGAAGTGGGCTAAAAGTCATGTGAGAGAGAAACAGAGGTAGAAAAACGCAAACTAAAACAAGTAAATATCTCAAAATATCATCTAGCTTCACCTGCTTTGTATGCTATTTCCCCTCTGCTTTTGTTGAATTTGAAATTGCTTTTGTTGAATTCCCTAGTTTACAGTCTCCACTCTCAGTTATTTCATGAACATTTTCTTTTGTGCAGCCCACTGCACTGACCTATTCACATGCTGTTTCCGTTTTGCAGTCTTCTCTTGGTACCACCACAAGCTGCCTCCTGAAACCCCTGGGCAGGAGTGCAGAAGCTCACTTGAGCTCACATACGGGGCCGATTGCGCTGCCTAGAACTCACTACCCTGAAAGGCTATTCTTAGATTCCTCATCTAGTGAGGGAATTGCACTATTTCATGTCAGAAGTGTACCAGTTAAAAACAAACAAACAAAAAAAAGAATTAGGAATCTAGGACCCTTTTAAATTATTCTCCTGCTACCATTAGAAATCCTTTTATCCTATCCACTGTGTTTTTCATGTCCTGGCCAAAGCAAAACTATAGAGAATGAAAATCTCCACTTTTACAGTTTCATTTAGCAGGGAAATGTTCTCAGTGCCTGAGTGGAACCTCAGTGCCTGTGTGGGAACCTCTAAAACTGTGTAGCTAATTTCCAAAAAATTTCCAATATATTTATTTAAAAAAAAACACATATAAGTGGACCTACACAGTTCAAACTCATGTTGTTCAAGGGTCAACTATCGTAACGACTGAGTAAGAGTTAGGATAGGTATATCCTTCTTTTAGACCAAAAATGAAATAATATTGATACTAATTTAAAGTTCACATACTTAGATAGCTATAAAAGAATTTATTCCATGAGAATATTACCTTTGCATGTGTATATAAAAGTCTCTGTAGCTATGTGCAAACTTGGAAACATAATAATTAGTTATATAAAAGGGTTTTGATATAAAAAGGCTTCAGTAAAGTTTTCTAAGGCAACAGAATACTTTTTTAAGTTTAACAGAAATTAATTCAAATACTAATTCTGTGGCTTGTGAAACAAGAAATCTTGGATAAATGACTAAATCTTTGTGAATGTCAACTTATTCAAAAATAGAGAATACCTACTCTGTTTTGCAAAGACTAAATAAGACAATGACTACTTTCTGGCACATTGTAGTGTTTAACAAACAGTTGTTAATTTATTTATTGAAATGACCGCAGGGCATGTTGGTTAAGAGCACAGACAATTTACCTGGGCTGCTTGTCTCTGAATCACAACTCTGTCACTTATGAGCTATGTGGCCTTAGGCAGATGACTTAACTTCAATGAATGTCAGTTTCTTCATCTGTAAAATGTGGATGATAAAGAGCACTGGCCTCATAGAGTTGTGAAAAAGAAATGAATTAACATATATAAATGCCTACAGCAGTTTTTAGCACTAAGCAAGCATTAAGCAGGTGTTAGCTCTTATTAATATTCAATAGATGAGATAAGGGTAAAAGGAAGTAATATTTATCCAGTGTATTACACACAAACTATTGTCTTCAACTTATTTACATTATCTCATATAATCCTTACAGCAGTCCTGAGGGGTAAGAATTTATTTCCCTATTTTTCAGTTCAGGAAATAGATTTAGAGAACCAAAATCTCTCCAGTATACTAAATCATCCATCTCAATTATTTAAATCCTTCTCTTTTCCCTTTTCTCTTGTTAGATTAGCTCTTCATCTAAGGAGTAGATATTACATGGGTTTATTGGTTTACCTTACCCTGTTTTCTCAGTCTGTTCCATGTAAAGTTCTAGAGCTCATTGGGAGAGTCTTTGGTCTGATGCTCTTGTCTAATCTGTATTCACAATGCCCCTAACACTTAAAAGTCTATAGAGAAAGCATAGAATGAAAGGGTAATTCATCAATGGTAATTCAGATCTATCTTAAGTGCCCCCACCTGCTCATAGTGCTACATTCAATCATTTTTCAAATGTGTCCCTTTATGGTTTGGGGCACTATTTACCAGGCACAGTACTTTTTATACCTGATGATATAAGCCAAAAAGATATGTTCTCTTTTTCAGGAGATGTACAATCCAGTTTGAAAGACAAATGCAAAAGAAACTAAACAACAATAAAATATAAATCAATAATTTGGGATATATGCTGTAAGAAGAAAAAACAGCAGGTGCTAGAGAAAGAATATCTATGTGGACAGAGGACAGAATAATTTTGACAGACAGTAAGTAAAGAGTTCTCAGTGGAGGTGACATTTCAGTGGAAGCCTGAGGGATGAGGAGAAGACAGCCATGAAAAGGTGGGCAGGGAGTGTAAGTGAAAAAGTGTATCTGAGTTGCCTAGACAATTAGAATAACTGAGAATACAGTTCACTTCCATTCTACTTCAACTGAATTTAAAGCAGGTGAACTAAATTACTCTTAGAAGTTTGTTAAATAGAGCATGAAGTAGAACACCACATATATAGTTAAGCACAGTAACTTACGTACACATTAAAAATAGACGTTAACCATATTAAAAAAAGCAAGCCCATATCCAGGTGTCCCAGCATTCAAACCAGCATGCCTTTTAGACAAATGACAAATCTGTATATCCTTGTGGCAGGGGTGAGGAATTCTAAACCTTTCTGTTTTGCAAACCAGGCTTCCTCATTTCTGCTTTTAGATTATATCTTTGTCATGTCAGCATATGTAGGGGTTAATTGAGGTGATGGAGTAGCCTCTTAATGTAGGCATTGTTCTAAAGCCCATATTTAAGGCAATGGCTGTTAAAAAGCAATGTGATAAAACTTCACTGTAGTTATTCTGATCTATGAAGCGAATGGTTTCTTTTTTCTTTTCTTTTCTTTTTTTGAGACAGAGTCTTGCTCTATCCCCCAGGCTGGAGTGCAGTGGCACGATCTCGGCTCACTGCAACCTCTGCCTCTCAGGTTCAAGCAATTCTCTTGCCTCAGCCTCCCAAGTAGCTGGGACTACAGGCATGCGCCACTGTCCCCGGCTAATTTTTGTATTTTTTAGTAGAGATGGGGTTTCACCATGTTGGCCAGGCTGGTCTCAAACTCCTGACCTCATGATCCGCCAACCTCGACCTCCCAAAGTGCTAGGATTATAGGTGTGAGCCACCACACCTGGCTTAACCAAATGGTTTCTTTAGAGAATACCCAGATCAAAGGTTGGACACTGCAGAGAATTTCCTCATTTCACTGCCTTTTTAGGGTCCCCATTCCCACTCAGGGGTGAGACTACTTCAAACAGCCATTAGCTCTGGACCCAAGGTCTCTATGTGGCATAAACTCACTGCTTGTAAGTGAAAGAGTTTTGTGTTTTCAGTTATCCTTAAAGAGATAAGTCACAAGAGCTTCTGTGAATGAAAGCAATTTATTTGTCTTCTATAGCTGACTTGAGAACAGCTGTCCTTACAAAGTTCAAAAGTTACCAAAACCACCATCAGTTTTGATAATTCACTAGAAGAACCCACAAAAATCATGGAAAGCTGTAATACAGTATATAGTTAATAGTTTATCACAGCAAAAAGATACAGATTAAAATTATCCAAGGGAAGAGATACAAAGAGAGCAGAGTCCAGGAGAGTTCCAAATGCAAAGCTTCCAGTTATCCTTCCCCAGGGAAGTCATGAAGAATGCTTGTTTTTCTGCAATGATGTATCACAGTTTGCATGGGGTATTACCCACCAAGGAAACCACCACGCCCCAGTGTTGAGTTTTTACTGGCACTTGGTCACATAGACATATTAGACTGACTGTGTGGCTGACCTTTAGTCTCTAGACCCTCTGGGCAGGGAGCTGATACCTGGCCCAAAACTCCTATCGTTAGTCATGTAGTTACATCACTGGCTCTGGTTCAAGATCCCCAGGTAAACAAAGATATTCTTAGCAGAAAGGACATTCCAAAGACTTAGAGATCACCTCTCAGGAGCCAAGAACAAAGGCAAGACTTTTCTCTGGGGAAGGGTTATTCTATTTTAAAAAGCGTTTAAATTTTATTTTTTAACCAATAACAATTGTATATACTTATGGGGTACAATGTGATGTTTGGATATATGTTTACAATGTGGGATGATAAAATCAGGCTAATTAACAAATTCATTGATTCACATGCTTACCTTTTTTGTGGCAAAAATATTTAAAGTCTACTCTTAGAAATGTTGAAATATACAAGCCAAACATAGACTGAAAGTGAAGGGAGGAAGAAAGACATACCAGGCAAATGGAAACCAAAGGAGAGAAGGGGTGGCTATCTTTATATCAGACAAAATAGGCTTTCAGTCAAGAACTATAAAAAGAGACAAGGTCATTATGTAATGATAAAGAGGTCACTTCATCAAGAGGATATAACAGTTTTAAATATATAGGCACCTGACATCGGACACATAAATGATTAATTATTACACAGTGTTGCTCTAATAGAAAACATTTATGTACAGCAAAGCTATAAAAAAGCTTTTTAAATATAAGCTTGATCAAAGGAAGAGTAGTATAACATGTGTTGATTGTCATTTCCCTTCCAAACATCTATAGTTGGGACAACTGTATGGAACTGATGTTATTACCTGCTGGACTGCACTATAAACCAGGTTTTGTTTGTTTGTTTGTCTGTTTATTTGATTTTTCTGATAGGAAGAATAAGGCCAGGCATGGTGGCTCATGCTTGTAATCCCAGCAATTTGGGAGACTGAGGCTGGCGGATTGCCTGAGTCCAGGAGTTTGAGACCAGCCTGGGCAACATGACGAAATCCTGTCTCTACAAAAAATACAAAAATTAGCTGGGCATGGTGGTGCGGGTCTGTGGTCCCAGCTATTTGTGGGGCTGAGGTGGGAGAGTCACTTGAACCTGGGAGTGAGATTGAACAGTGAGCTGAGATTGCACCACTGTTCTCCAGCCTGGGTGACAGAGTGAGACTCTGTCTCAAAGAAAAGAAAAAGAAAGAATACTTACCCAGAGCAAATCACTTGCGCAAAGGCTGGAGGCAAAAAAAAAGTTTGGGAAACTGAAAGAAACCAGGGGAGTTAAAGTATAGTACACAGGGCACGTGCCAAGATGCTTAGATTGTATTCAAAGTGCAATTCCACTTCTTTGTAGAGGCTTGAGTAGTGACATGGTCTTATCTACATTTGAAAATAATAAATCTAGCTGTTATGTGCTTCTTAAAAAGCAAAGTTTTCTAGACCGAGCATGATCATGTGAGTCTGTGACAGTGCCTACCTCTTTTCCCCCAAATCAGATCCCTTTTTATTTCCTGTACAGAGCTGGCTCGTTGGATATTGCCAAGTGTAACAGTTATTTACCCCCTCTTTACTTGCAAATATTATTTGGTCACTCACTAGTTAATAATTGGCCTATTTTATAGAGTAGCTCTGAGGGCATCTTTGGTTCCACCCAGAAGTTCTCTGGTTGCTTTTATGACTAGACCAGGTTTTTCCCTCTGGTGCCTCCTTCATTAGTAATTGTTAGTTGATAGTTCCTAAGTGGAACGCTTCTTTCTTATGTCGTCTACATTCAATTATCCCGAGTGGCCTATTCCCATCCTGTTGTATGCCAAGTAATTCATTTCTTTTTTCCTTCCAGGATTCACTCTTGGAACATGCCAAACCAAGTCCCAAACAGATGTCTCTTTTTCAGATACTTGGCAAAAGATTTTTGGTGGATCAGTTTTTAGTGGTCCACAGGGGCTAAAAGATTTTTTCCTCTTATTTATTCTAAAAGCTTCTAAACAGAAATTTGTTCTGTAAGAGAATCCACATTACTAAACAAGACACAAATACTGCTCCAAAAACAAAGCAACCATCAATAACTTGGATTTAAAAGCCACTCGTGAGATTCTGAAAATTCAGTCTTTCTGTGAAAGAGCTGACTTGAGTACTCATTAAGAGCCAATGTCTCTGGGGAGCTCTGCTATAACTTTGCAGAATTAGTTAGGGAAATGTAGTCACCATCATCTAACCATCTATAAGATAAAGAATAGTTTTCCTGGGCTGAAAATCAGTTTTCCCGGGCTGAAAGCAGGGTGCCAGCAGGGCTGAGATCCCACAAAATACTTTGGGAGAAAATCCATTTCCTTTCATTTCTCAGTTTCTAGTGCCGCATTTCTTTCATTCCTTGGCTGCTGACTCTCTCGCTTTTCAAAGCCAGCCAAGTAGCTTAACCTTGTACTTCAATCCTTGCGTTGTATTCATCTTTAATGGTTAAATCTCCTTCCACCTCCCTTTTATAAAGACATTTATATTACATTTAGGGTCCACCTGCATAGTCCAAAATAATCTCTCCATCTCAAGATTCTCAATAACATTTGCAAAATACTTTTTGACATATAACATTCGCAGCTTCTGGTTATTAAGACGGGCATATGTTTGAAAATCATTATTCAGCCTACCATAAGCTATGCACAGCTCAAGATCCTTTTCTAACCCGTGTCGCAAAGTAGTGACACTTAATTAACAAAAAGTGTTTAAAGGGTTTTATAGGCTTTAAATACTTAATATCAATAAATGCTTGTTTGTTCATTCATTCACTTATTTATTCATTCTTGATCCCATTTACTGTTTTAACCCCAGGAGTTACTGTGAAAATAAATAACTGAGATATGATTTTAATTTAGCCATGATTTACAATAAGGTTATTACGCAGTTTAATTATTTCCTGTGGTTAACTGCTCCTTTTACTTACAGTGGATATCCATTGAGCAAGAACATATTTTTGCTTCCTTAAATAACTCATTGAAACTTATCATCTAAAAGTTTGAATGTCCCCTTGTTTTATTTAAAAAAAAAAATCTGACTCTTTGCAGAGTAACTGTACCCTTCCGAATTTATCAATGCATGCGGAGACAATGGTGCTTTCATCTATTAGAATTCTTTCTGTCACAAGTGATACAAAACACAACATGCACTAGTTTGAACACGACAAAATAGTGTGTTACCTACTCAGATAATTGCAATGTTCATTGTGGGACTGGTTTATTGGTGAAAGTCAAAGCTAGAAGCAGATGGAGTACTCACATTGGGTAACTTGAGAAATAGTAATGAAAGAGGATATGCAGAAATGTGGAGGAAGTGTATAGGGAAACCATAAGATACAGTGCAATAGTCTAATGCCTGTACACAAAGAGCTGTTACAAAGTCCAGGGCCTGGGGGAGGGCATGGGGCAGTGACAGGAACCTAGAGACTGATCTACATGGAGAAGACCACCTGCCAAGAGCTGAGATTTTAGCTAAGGTGTGCAGCAAACCTGATTCAACACCTCAGGGAAGAATCCAGGATAATAAAATAGTCTCACTTTATTTTCTTCCTTCTCTGCAATCTCCTGCCGATGTTTACAATTTGAAACTAACTTGAAGTCAGAGGTAAAGAAGCTCCTTGATACCATCCTTATAAATGCACTCTCCCAGTCCAGACACTGAACAAGATGGAATAACTGGTGAGTGGATGTGGAAGGATGAATGGAAGTTACTGACGTGCTGGTTTAAGACACAGATGATTTTAGGATCTGAGGGTTAGCTTATCTCTCTCTCTTCCTCCTTGCTCCGCTCTCTTAGCTGTGCTCCCTTCCCTGTTTTCTGCATAGTCTCAGATGGACTTTACTGCTCGAGCTACCAAGATAATTGCAGCAGGTCCCCACATCACAATTCTAAATGCTGAAAAAAGAATACCTTTTTCTAATCAAGTAGTTTTGGCAAAATCTGCAATAATTTTATCTGTGTGACGGGATGACCTACCTGTCTCAGTCGGTCATTGTGGTTAAGAGACTTCAAGACTCTGATTGGTCCTACGAAACTCATTATTGCCTCTGGGGTGGGGGTGGAATCAGGTATGTGGGACTATGTGATATGAGAGAAAAGGATGGAGGGATTCACAAATGAAGAGCCTACATTTACAGGTGAAATATGAATAGATTCTGGATAGTCAGTGCCTTATTATTTTTCCAGTGATTAGAAATGTTTGTCTCTGAAACTGCTTAATAAAAGATTAACATTTTCATTTTGTTTAACATCTTTTTTCTCACTATGTCCAATATAAGCCACCATTTTTAGAAATACGATAAAGCTGCCTCTCAATTTTTTTCCATTCCCGCATGTGTCATAAAGGTGATTTGGCTATCATATTGTAATTCCATTTTCTATCATTGCTTACATGTTTTTCAGTGAGTAGTTAATACTTCCTAAAAATGCATATATTTTTGTACAGTTTTATAATTTTCATAGTGTCCATTTGTAATCTTCATAACCATCTTATAATGTAGGTATTTTATCTCCACTTTGCAGATCTGGAAATGTTAGCTAAAAAGAGATTAAGTGACCTGCTAACAAATTTTAAGTGTGTGGCCAGGGGTTTAAACTAAGGCTTTTCTGATCCTAGACAAGTATGTGTATAGAAACAATTTAAGATTCGGTTATGTAGATTTGTGTGCGTGTGTGTGTGTGTGTATCTGGATATAACAAAGGCCACCGGCTCTGACATTTGTGATTTCACAAGGACTTACTACATTCTTTTTTGCAAAATATGCTCCTTCATGACCCATTACTACATAAGAAAATTCCAAAGCATTATTTAGTAGCAATTTCTTTGAGAATGTTTTGTAGATATGTACATTTGAGTAAAATAGAAAAGTATTAACTAGGAAAGGGTAATGATAGTTTCTAGCCACATTTGTATTAACCAATTTATAAGACTGATTATTTCCTAATAAAAATGAAATCCTGAGGGAATGTGACATAAGGCACAGACTTTTTGTGAACAAAGGATACAAGGAAAAGTGAGAACAGAGATATTTCCCTGTTCAAAAGAGGAAATCCAGTTATATTAATAGCAAAGCTGAGCTTCTGAACTTAAAAATTTTATTATATATATATATTATACTAGTCCTCTATAAAGATGCAACTGTATTATGAAATCAAATTATTTATTGGTACCAGACTTCATCAGGTGCATTAAGAAAAAATGTTCAAATCTTTAAGGAGACTTTTCTGTAACCACCTGTGTAGAGGTGACTTACAACGTCTATGCCTTTGAGTAATTTCACTTCTGAGAATCTATTTTAAAAGAATCATCTTAAATAGAGAAATATGTATATTTACAGGGTGATGATTAGCAGTAATTGATTTTATAATAGGAAATAAATGTTCAAAAGAGGACTGGTTAATAAACTACAGTGTAACAATTTGTGATGTCGTAGTATTTTTACTGATCTCATATAAAGTATAGAAATATTCACTCATTTAAATTAAATGAGGAAAGCATAATACAAATTACATTATAGCGTGATTATACCAATGTAAAATATGTGTTTAGCAGAAGTCTAAAAGGATATAATGTTTAAAGTTAGCAGTGGTTGTGTGGGCCTGCCATAGCTATGGATTTTTTCCCTTTTTGTTTTCATTTTTAGAAATGTCTATAATGTTTATACCAGTTTTATAAAGAAAATATATCACTGTAATACACTGGTAAAAGTAACCTTCTTTGTCCTTGTATGCTCATATAATCTTTTGCAGTGTACTACTGAATAAAAGAATGTCCATGCCTGCACCCCTAGCTTTGAGTCCATTGCCTATGACACATACACCTGTGATTTCTGATTGTGGTCATTTTGCACAAAAGATACATGAGTCTGGCTGTTTTAAGATTGACTACTGGTCCTTGTGTGCTGCTGAACCAGGACATAACATCAAGTGATGTTACTTATTCATAATAATTCATAGCAGATTTCATGCTATGTTATACATGGCACTTTTTGGGAAAAGGAATCAGTAGGAAGAGATTGTATAATGAAGTTCCCTGGGACTGGCATGTAGGTTTGCCAACTACTGAGGCAGAAAATGTAGTAAATGATAAGAAATGTGTCCCCAGTTGTCATCATCATCATCATACGGATTCATGGCTGAACCTTCAAGCATGACTGCATGATAGGTTAAATGGAAGTAAACTCATTAGACGTGTCAGCTTCACTTCATTAATAATGAGAAGTAGTTCAGCCAGTGCACTTGTACATCTGGCGATGCTCTGTGGCTCATATATTTTGAGTTGTAGGAAGACAAATATCTCCCAGACACCTGAGGGGAATGTAAGGTAAGCAACAAAGGAATGTCTGCATTGAAGTATTAGTTAAGTAATTTTTACCTATTTTCACGGATTGAAGCTGAAGCCTCTATAATTGAACATACTGGATACAGTGCACCCATCCTGTTACTTTAAATAGATGTTTGGGGCATATTTTCTCCTTAGCTTAGTCTCTTTGTTGATTCCCTTGAATCCATACAATGAGCTAATAGGGTTTTTGCTAATATGATTGTTTTTAAATTTTGATTTTGTTGTTTTAGTTTTGTTGTTATTGCAGTTTATGTCCTAGTTTGTTGTTTTGTTTCATGTTTTTCTAATTGATAGCAAGATAAACATGAAGCTGTGGGAATGAAAAAAAGGTACAGGGGCAAAAAGACATTTGGAACGTTATTCCGCATACGTTGAAATATATGTTTTCAAGTGTATTGACACTGATGTTTCCATTTTAATACATTTTAATCTAAAATTAAATAATCCTGTGTCATTAGAGACGTAGGCTCCTTCTAGCTTTGTGTTCTACAATCCCTAAGTCAGATGTTCCATTGATGGGTCACAAATGGCTATTTGACTCCAAGAATGGAATTTTATGCAAGGGAGAAAGGAGGAGGAATGGGAGGGATTAAAAGGACTTTCCTGGAAGTTTTGTCCAAATGATTTCAATTTATTTTTCATTGATCTGTGTGATATGGTTTGGCTCTGTGTCCCCACCCAAGTCTCATCTTGAATTGTACTCCCATAATTCCCATGTGTTGTGGAAGGGACCCAATGGGAGATAATTTGAACCCTGGGGGGGTGGTTTTCCCCATACACTTCTCATTGCAGGGTATAAGTCACACAAGATCTGATGCAGGGGTTTCCGCTTTTGCATCTTCCTCATTTTCTCTTGCCGCCACCATGTAAGAAGTGCCCTTCACCTCCTGCCATGATTCTGTGGCCTCCCCAGGCTTGTGGAACTGTAAGTCCGATTAAGCCTTTTTTCTTCCCAGTCTCGGATATGTCTTTATCAGCAGCATGAAAATGGACTAATACACAGTGTATCTGTAAGGGATGACTGGAAAACTGTTTTCTAGCTGAATATACCTTAGGGATCTGTTAGTGAGATAAAAATTCAAAATGGATATTGTGTAGGCCGCTAGCACTGTTTGTCACAGCAGATATGCCTAACTTCTACTTGACTTTTCATTTACTATAAATGCTGGACTTCGTATTAATGACTATTCAATTTTCTTTCATAATTTCAACCTAGAAGAATACATTTGCACCTTGATTCAATCATCTTTTATATGAGCTGAACTTCCCAACTTTCTGTCATTTGAAAATTTAATGAGCAAGCTTTCTCTTGCTTTACTCAACTCTATGACCTAATGTAAAGGAAAAACTATCATGAAAACAAAAATAAGAAGAAAATGTAAATCACTGCTTCTTTCTATATCCAGGACACTGAAAAGGATTTACATGACTTTTTATGAGACTTTTAAAACTTATTCTGGTGGTGGGTGCCTGTAATCCCAGCTACTCAGGAGGCTGAGACAGGAGAATTGCTTGAATCCAGGAGGTGGAGGTTGCAGTGAGCCGAGATCCCACAACTGCACTCCAGCCTGGGCAGCAAGAGCAAAACTCCTTCTCACCAAAAAGAAAAAAAAACCCAAAAAAACCTATTCTAATGACAATTTTTTTTTTTTGAGTTTTGTTTCTGAATGGATGGGTGGAAAATGGAGAAACCTAGAACTGGGAGAAAGACAATAAATGTGAGAAGCAATAAAACAGAGGAAAGCAGGCCTCTTAACATGTTGGAAGGCTGAGGTAGATATAAATTGTGAAATTCTCCATAGTTGGATATCTTAGGGTGTTTTATAATAATAATGTTTACTACTTAATTTTTAGTTATTATTTTATTTCGGTGATATAGTTTCCCACTTCTCACTCATTAACTTCCAATTTTCAGGGTCTGATACACACAGCAGCTTTCTGTTTTAGACAACATTTTCCACAGGGCTGAGATTCAAAGATAATTCATGACAACCACAAAAGGTAGAAAGGGAAGTAAGACATGGAGATTAATGCAGCAACGGATGTGGGAATTATTAGTTGAACATTAGTGTTTACTCCCACCTTATCTTCCAAAATCCTTACATATATTGAGAAGAGCACTTTCCCCAGTATTGGTGGATGTGTTCTTGAATCATTTCCTTTAGACATTGAGGAAAATATGACCACAGAAAGGTGGAAGACAAGGGCTATTCACAGTGTAGAATATACACCTATTTAAAATGGAACCTGTAAACCAAAAAGTATAAAACAAGTCTCAATTAATTTAGAAGTTTATTTTGCCAAAGCTAAGGGCATGTGCATAACACAGTCTCAGGAGATCCTGAGAACATGTTCCCAAGGTGGTTGGGCTACAGCTTGGTTTTATATGTTATAGAGAGACATAAACGTCAATCAATACATGGATGGTACATTGGCTCAGCCCTAAAAGGCAAGACAACTGGAAGCAATTGTGTAGGGATGGGGGTGTGGCTTCCAGGTGATTAAAAGATTTTCTAACTGGCAATTGGTTGAAAGAGTTTATCTAAAGACTAGAGTCAATAGAAGGAGGGAGTGTTTGGACTAAGATAAGAGGTTTTGGAGACCAAGGTTTTCATTCTGCAGGGGAAGCCTCCAGGTAGCCGGCTTCAGAGAGAATAGATTGTAAATGTTTCTTATCAGACGTTAAAAGATGCCAGGCTCTTAGTTAATTCTCTCCTGGATCAGGAAAAAGACCTAGAAAGGAAGAGAATTCTCTACAGAATGTAGATTTTCCCCACAAAAGACAGCTTTACAGGGTCATTTCAAAATATGTCAAAGAAACAAATTCGGGGGTGAAATACTTTGATTTCTCTCGGGGCCTGCTGTCTGTCATGTCGGTATATTATTGTAACAAAGCGTCTGCTTTGTCAGTCTTAAGTTCTCTGTTTTAAATGTTAGTGCTGGTCAATCATGCCTGAATTCCAAAGAGAAGTGGGGTGTAAGGAAGGCATGTCTGACCACCCATTTGCACCATGGCCTGAACTGGTGTTTCAGATTGACTTTGGAAAGCCCTTGGCCAAGAGGAGGGTCCATTTGGTTGGCTGGGAAGGCTTAGAACTTTATTTTTAGTTTACAGAGCCAAGCCAGAAATTCGCGACCGTTTATCAGAGATTTTACAGGATATCTTGAGACATTAGCAGAAACTTGAAGATTTTATCAGTTATGTATTAATGTGATTACCATGCTTATACTTCTTTATTCTGTCTCCTCTGCTAGATTCTAAACTCTCAGGACAGGGATAATACATATCTTATTTATCTTGGTAAATCTGGTCTCTAGTATACCTTAGGCCTTCAGTTAGAATTTATTTAGTGAACATTTGAACTATGTGATTCACTGATAAAGTATCTCCTAAGTGACCAGCATTCTTCATGTACCCTTACAGTAAGAATTACATTTACCCACATATTTACTTTTAATACACAAGTCTATTTCAATACTATTGAAGTAATCTTTAAGTTAAGTGAGGCCCAACAGAAAGTACTTGAAAACACACATATGTAAATATGGTGATACTGAGGGCTTTTAAGTCACTAAGTTAATGATTCTCAAGGTGTGGTCACTGGTCCAGCAGCTTCCTTATCTCCTTAGAATATGTTACTAAGGTAGATTCTCAAGCCACACCCCAGACCTATGATTCAGAAACTCTGCAGTGACCCAGTAATCTGTGTTTTAACAAGCCCTGCAGGTGTTTCAAATGAACAATCAAATTTGAGAACCCGTGCCTTTCTTGAAGAAGTGACTGTGAACAGATGATTTCATAATAGAAGACAGAAAAAATAAACTTGATTAATGCTTGCTAAGCATTGGGTACTTTTCCTGAGCTTTCTGTGTCCTCAAAGTTTGTGACTAACTTTATTTTCATTTTTATTTATTTATTTTTTGTTTGTTTGTTTGAGACAGAGTCTCGCTCTGTCGCCAGCCTGGAGTGCAATGGCATGATCTCGGCTTACTGCAACCTCCGCCTCCCGGGTTCAAGCAATTCTCCTGCCTCAGCCTCCCAAGTAGCTGGGACTACAGGCGTGTGCCACCATGCCCAGCTAATTTTTGTATTTTTAGTAGAGATGAGGTTTCACCATGTTGGCCAGGATGGTCTCCCATCTCTTGACCTTGTGATCCGCCTGCCTCGGCCTCCCAAAGTGCTGGGATTACAGGCGTGAGCCACCGCACCCAGCGTTTGTGACTATCTTTAAAACATCCAGGACTGTTTGGGTTAGTGATTGTAAAGTTTGATCTGTACTTGTAACTGTATACAGCCATCCCTTGTCATACAGGAGGGATTGTTCCAGGACACTGGAAGATACCAAAATCTACTCATACTCAAGTCCTTCAGCAGACCCTGTCAAACCCAAATATATGAAAAATTGGCCCTCTGTATATGAGGTTTCACATCCTGCAAATATCAAATTTTCAATCTGTGTTTGGTTGAAAAAAAAATCCATGTATAAGTGAACCTGCACAGTTCAAACCCAATTAATTGTTCAAGGATCAGCTGTAGTTATGTTTGTCTCAAGCTAATATTGATCTGTAGATTTTCTTGGATGAGTTTTTTATTTTTGTTTTATTTGCATAAGAAAATGGTCTAAATATCCTAAAATTAAATGCTTCTTGATATAGGTTTGATAACTGCTTGATATTGATAGCTAACTCAGTTATAAATCCCACACATAAAGTCCATAACCTTACTTTAAATTCATAGTATATATAGCGTTTTGGCCAAAAGAAAGATACTTTTATCTGGTCTGTGCTGTCTAAAGTGTTTATTCTCCCTCCTTTTGGTTATATGTTTTATTTTATCCTGTACATTTATGCTATCTGTTTGTATACACAAATGTATTTAGATCATAAAAATCAGGTTTCAAGAATTACACACATTGTATTGTAGCTAATGGGTTTCTGCCCTTTTATGCATTCATGTTTTAATGAGTTATTTTCTTGTTGTATGCTTTATCACAGGAAAGTCTGTTTTCTCTTGGAAAGTGAGAGTGGCATAAATTGTGACTTCTAAATTTTTTCTATGAGAAAACATGGAAACAATGAAGCCGATATGTCAGTATTCAAAAGTACAATTAAATGATAGTGACTATCATGTATACGTACCATTTTAATTAAAAAATCATGTGCTCTCTGATACATTTGCTCTATTTTGCAGAATCTAAAATGAAATTGTACTCACTATAACGTATTACTTGGTCATGAAAACTTTCAATGCTGAGTCCAGGAACACTAAAGCAGGTAAATAGCAAAATTATGCACATCTTGTTTCTTAAGTAGTGAATATGTAATAAGCATTATAAAACAACAAGTATTATCAGATTATCACAAAAAAGGGAGACTTTAATTTTGGAGGAAATATGGGATGTAAGGACCTGACAAATCTACAACTATTTAGACTCATGTATGTATACCCAATATTCTTTCTCTATTTTGATTAAAGGTATTTTAAAGCGTTCTTTATACTATCTATACATTGGAGATTTTAAGTACACATTCACATTTTAAGGGTTTGAATCCTTGAACAAAGATGCCTATATAATATTGTATAACGTAAAGTATTATAAAATATGGTTGACATATCATGCAACAGTACTAATTTCATTGAGTATGATTTAAGGAGCATTAAGGTTAGTATTTCAATAAACCTACTGGAAACCTTGCTTTTGCCTTAGTTTCCCTTAAAAGACTAGCTAAACCATGATTTGCTAGAATATAAAATTCTATTTCACTGAACAGGCATTTATACAAATAGACATGTGGATAATAAAATCATTAATAATTACTACATCACATGTTATAATAATGGAATTATTATGATGATAACAGAGATTTTCATCCTGTTAGGAACATATGTTTGAGATTGTCTACCTCAAAATGAGGATTTTATTGAACAGATCATTTAGTTTGGAGTACCTGAAAGAAAAAGATAATTATTGTCTAGATCAGTTGAAACTGAGTGTAAACTGTACAGAGGAAATACCTCAAAATATAATGTTAATTAACTAACTTTCAACACCGCCACCATAAAGAATGTGGCTGGTTATTGTGCCAGAAGGAAATGAGAGATGTGAAAGATCTAGCACCAACAATTAAAAGTCACACACATAACTTCTGCACAACATTCACTAGATTCCACACAATCTCAAGAAGGCCAGGAGGTGATGTCATGAATCCAAAAGTCAGGAAGTAGGACATATCTTTTATGATTATCACAAAATAGTTGAGATGATTTGATTTAAAATATACTGCATGGTCTAAGCATGAAATATATTTAAGGAACACCTTATACAGGCTGTCGTTTTGTAGACTAGCCAAGACTGAGGTAATAAGGAGAAGCATCAGTGATTACTAATGAAGACACATGATGTCAATGAAGACTATATGTGAGGAGAAAATAAATAATGGTTAAAGCATGAGCCTTGAATAAAATTCCATAAGGGTTACTTGTCCAGTTAGTGGATGTAGATTTCCACTTTATCTGTTTCTCCTATGGGCAACTGTCACATATCTTCCAGGGTGAGCAGCAAACAATAATTTATTATTCTATAATGGCTGATTCTCCATAATAATACAGAAGAGTTGCCTGCCAGAGTATAAAAAAGAAGACAGAACAGCTTACCAGGCATGGAGAGAGAGAATATGTAAATGACTAGATGAGTGGAGGCAAGGTTATTTAGGCTGAAAAAAAAGGAACAAACCCAACAAAGGCAAAAAAGAAAAGTATGGGCAGCACAGGTTTTTCATAGAACTGACTGCTGCTTGACCACCAGTCATTTGACAAGTTAGTCTTTCACTGTCACTTCCAGGTTTTCATTTTTCACTTTATAGGCTTTTAGCTTTATTGATAAATTATTGCAATTATAACGATCTGGAGTTAAAAGAGCATACATGAAGTCATCTAATTTTATTTGTTGCTCAGGTTAGATTAAGCCATGTTGCCAGGCCGATGGCAGGTTGCCTTATTAGAGAGACTCTAGAAAAGGAATTCTAAATAATTTTTCTTCATATTGCAATGCATATTTAGCAAGTATATTCATACACATTTATTTAATATATCTTCAATATAGAAAAATGTTCAGAAAAGAATATGTCACTGATGTTTGGCTGCTGAGTAAGATGAAACTGTCTCTGGTGTATGTAATATGACTTTTAAAGTAATTAACATGAGAGAATTACTTGGTTACTCTCCGGGAAAGACTGTTGAACTAGATGGAGAGAACGTACATCTCTTTCTGTATGGCATTAATTATGTATGTTTAGAGCACATGTGTCTTCACACTGTACCTTCCAATATTATGAGTGGCTCTAACCTTTTAATATTTTAGAAGAACAACATTCTGTGGAGTTGAATATTCTCTAGGAGTTTGAAACAACATCTAAAATCACTTGTTATGTACTTAACTCTATATTAAATTGAATAAGGCTGAGGCACTTTCATATTATTGCTGTTTGATGTATAAATAATGATAAATAATGATCAAGGAGAATTTCATTTACAATTCTGTTATTTTCAGACTTGCATTTTGTCCATAATCTCCTTCTTTCTAGATAGTAGGAAAAAAATGGATGTTGATCAAAGATATGAATATGGTTCAGATTATAGAAAATTTTTTATATGTACCTGTAGTGGAAATGTCTAAACATATATCAAGGAATGTCAAACGTGCTTCTTTAAATAAAGAAAAGACAATATGCTTACCAATATGAGTTTTATTTATAGAAAAATTTTTCTAAAATAAGATTGAATGTTAGATTTATACAAATATATGAAGAATATGGAGAATTTAAAAAAATTGTATAAGTGATCTAATATAATGTGAAATACGTATGCATTTTGTTACCTCTTATATGCTTTACCTTTTTATATTCTACCCCTGAACATTACTGCCTCTTTTATTGACATAATCGACCCAGATCATATATTCCCTCTCTTCCTATGTTCAATCTCTTTTCTCACTAAAATTTTCACTTCCCTCTGGCTAAGTGGTTGGAAGCAGGAAAAACAAAAACAGACTTAATTTCTTCCATGTGACTGGATGTTAAAGACATAAACTGTTTTTGCTTTTAAGAGAAAACCATATTCATATAATCTGAACTATATTCCTATTAATATCCATTTTTCAAACAACAAATTTTTTTCTCTATTTCTATCATTTTCTTTCTACATTTACTTTCCCATATACAGGACTAGTATCTTTAGGTGTGTATATTAGTTCATTCTCATACTGCTATAAATAACTACCTGAGACTGGGTAATTTATAAAGAAAAAAAACTTTAATTGGTTCATGGTTCTTCAGGCTGTACAGGCTTCTGCTTCTGGGGAGGCCTCAAGAAACTTACTATCATGGTAGAAGGTGAAGGAGAAGCAAGCACATCTTCACATGGCTGGCAGAAGAGAGACAGAGGGAAGGTGCTACACACTTTCAAACAATCAGATCTCATAAGAACTCTATCACCAGAACAGCAAGGGGGAAGTTTGCCCCCATGATTTAATCACCTCCCACCAGACCCCATTTCCAACATGGGGAATTACAATTTGACATGAGATTTGGGTGGGGACACAGAGCCAAACATTATCAGAGTGTATGCCTTTTCTAGGAAACAATGTTTCTTGTTGCTCATTTGCTACACTGTATCTAAAGAGATGCATTCACATTTAGCATGATTTAGTAATGGTCTTGTTAACATATAGTCATATTTATTGATAACTCAAAAAAAAATTGGTGAGCATTTATATGTGACAGTCATTGATACTGTGCTATGTGTAGTTTAACATAAAGCAAATCAAAATCGATTTTATGCCCCAAGAGATCAACATTTAAGAAAAGAGATAAATGTATCTATATAGTATTACTCAGAGTACTATATAACATTGGTTGAAAGTACTCAAAAAAGGGTTTAAAATACTCTTGTAGCATAGGAGAGAAAAGAATATTATTTTTTAAAATTTAATTAGCATTAGAGGAGGAAGTTCATTTTATGTCATGGCCTTGTTAAAGTTAATTTTTGGCTTTGCTTAAGAATATTTGTGCATATAAAACTGGCTGGTTTATTCTGGTTTATATTATTCTTTCTTGCAATTGTTTCTGTATTATTTCATTGCCTTTCTGTTGATTACTGCTTTCAGGGAATAATTTGTCACTCAGCAAGCTCTCAGAATTTTGAAACAAAATAAAACAACTATACATGTTTTTCACTCTTTAATATTATATGTCTTACTTTCCTGAATTGGAGTTTTACATTCACTTGGAGTTGTACCTCTCTTTAGCAACTTCCAATTCCTTGCCACTGATGGTGATCTCATCAGGTGATGCAGTTGCTCACACCAGGAGAAAAAAGTTGACAGGAAATGAATGTAAATTAACTGTATGAGACTGAATTCAGCAGATGCAATATGTTTGTGAATCTTGATATTGAAGCCCAAGACATTGACATACGTTTACAGTTATCCCTAATTTTGTTCTGAAATCAAGAGTCAGTGGAACATGAAAGTTTAAGTATTCCATTTGTTCTTTGCAAATGTAGGCAATAGGCAATCACACACTTAACACTCAGTAATCACTATATTGTATATTTTTAAAAAACCTATTACTAATGTGCTAAGCAGAAATCAGGGAAAACTGATTATCTACATTATAGAATTACTTTATATTCTTTTCATCATTGCAGTGATAGAATAGTAACTTTAGTGACAACTATGTTGATTTGACTTATGCTGATATAAGCATTACTGTATAAATACTAGATAAACTCTGTTGTGCTGTTATATAAATGATACATGCAAGCAACATTTGTCTTCATTAAAATAAGTGACATATTTGCATGTCTGGCTGTGAAAAGATTACTACATACAACACATCTATCAGACAGAAGAGAGTTGCATAATCGGGTACATGGTCTTTGAAATGATAAAATTCATAAAGACATGCTTTGAGAAGCAGAATTATCTGGGAAGATGCTTATAATCTAAACAGGCCCAGATACAACTTATTTGTTTGTTTCTTATTCCTGTCCAATTGCTTTTCTAAAGGAAAGCAACCCAAATTGGATTGCAACCTAAAATATCTATATACCAGAAGACAGTGAAGAATAAAACATACCAAATCAAAAGACAAGACAGAGTATCAAAAATCATATACATCATGATATATTATAGGAAATAATCAGTCTTATAAAATGTTTGTGATTAAGAACTTTAAGTTTGAATTTCATTGTAGCAAAGGCTGAAGAGGAACCTTAACAAATGAAATTATTCTCTCTAAATAAAAATAACTGACAGGTCATTTGTTACAGAAAAAACTTAATTTAAAAAACCTTTTCTTGTGCATCCTTATAAAATAGATTGTGAATATTAACTGGCCATTTTTAACGATTATTTTTCCTTTTGGTTTTCCCCATGTTTCAAATACACATTCTTCATTCTATAAACTTGGAATCATTGGAATTTTTTGTTGTCTAACTTTTTAAAATAATATTTTCTTTCTGTGAATTATTTTTACTCCTTTGAACACAAGTGACTTCCTGAATTTTTATTATGGAAGTGAGAGAGGATAGTCAGCCAACATGGTATTGTTGTTTGTTTTCTCCAGCATCACTTTTTACTTGAGAGAGCAATCATTCTTATTGAGGAAATAATCAGTCTTATAAAATTTGATGTTCATTTCACAGCAACTTATTTCCACTACAATAAAATAAAATTGATTTTCTGGAGAATGTGAAAGAGGTCACCAGATATCTGCTCCATATTAGCTATAGACCTTCCCTAGCACACTTAGTTATATATCATTCAGCATAAAACATACCATGCCTTTGATTGTACTATCACAGCAGTGCAACCTGCTTGAGAAGTTTTGTATGTGTGTGTGTGTGTGTATGTGTGTGTGTGTGTATAGCTTCCCATGATTGAAGATGTAATAGTTTCTATAAAGTATTAATATCAAATAGATTAATAAATTGAAAAGCAACATTTAAGCCAGAATTATACCTAAATATATTTTAGTACTAAGTAATGCTGAGGAAACCTATATCCCTCAGACATCTTTTCTTAGAGCTTTTCCCATTCCAATAAATCTGTGCACTTTTGGGCATTCATTTATCCCTTGCCTGTAGTTGTCCCTAAATTACTGAACTTCATTTTCAGAGATGTAAGGCCACTTTAATTTAGAAGTTCTACAGTCATCTCGAATGCAATTTCTTCAAGAAGTAGTTCCTTTTCCATTAGCCCCTATCAACTATTTCCTCATTTCTCTGGTCACCCTGGTAGGAAAATCCTCATGCATCTCTGCTTCATTTTCTGTACATTCATAAGTAGTTTGTCATTAAGTCTGGCCCCTTCTCATTTCAAAATGCATTTAATATTGTAATTGACATAGCTTCTTAAATGACCTCTCTTCCTCCTGTTTACCTGCTATCATACATCTTGTATATTTCTTTCAGAGTGGTCTTATTAAGTACGATTTTCATCATCTCACAATAACATTCAGAAATTGTCTACTTGCTTTGCACTGTCCACCAGACCATTCATAGGAATAATATGTCATCACTTCTCTCCCTCTACTTCTCATTAGAAATCTACTACACTGTTGATCAGTTTCCTTACCACCTGCCAAAAAAAAATTTTTAAGACTGAAAGACCCTTTTCTATTCTACTCTACTTTCTCTTTTGTGCTACTTTCCACTATGTGAATAGCTTTTGCTACTGTTACTATGCTTAGCCACACTCATTCTCATAGGCACAAATCAATTTTCATCTCTTTCATAAAGTCTTCCTTGACCATTTCACTTAATGTTGACATTGCCATTTCGTCTATTTCTATGGCTTTTGTCTTTAACTCATGTGGACATTTAATCATGCAGATTAACTTTACAGGTCTGATTACCATGATATACAGATCATAGAAAATCAAGAGCTCCATAAAATCAGCCATTCCACCAGAAATGGAAGTCATGAAAAAAGATATTTGATGATGTTGATTGCAATAAAATAATTATTAATCAGGCTCTCTTAGCTTTAACGCATGTGAGTCAGCACTTATAAAATTTGCTTTAGGTGAGTTTTGTTCTGCTCTGTATTAGTTTCCAAAGTGGGTTAGGTAAAAGAAAACAAATATGACAGAACTTTTTATAATGAGGACCACACACCTTGCATGAATTAGAAAATGAAAGCTTTTTGATTCAGAGAGTACCTTGTATTGTTTTGCCTTTTGTGTATATATTGTTTCTCAGTGGGAAAACTTCCTTAGGATTGAGAAATTATTTTATACATCTTTTGCATCCCTTCATATTTAAGATGGTCACTTTGTTAGGGGAGCAAAATTAATAGAATCACAGTAATCGGAATGGAGCAGGATTTCATTTTATATTTCTTTCTAAATTCTCTGGTAGATGTTATATAATCCTGGTGACTTTTGTAGATGGATTGTACTGATTAGACACCCTTTCTGCATTTGGCATTATCTGACCATCTGGAAGGCAATGCACACTTGTTTCAACCTTATTATGTGAATGAGGCTATTTCACTTAATAATCATTGCCAGGATATCTGCTGTATCTACTTTAATAAAATATTTCTATTTTCCTTTTAAAATTAATTATTTTTAATTTATAAATAAAAATTATATGTATTATGTACTGTATGATTTTTTGAAATATGTATACATTTGGAAAGGATAAATTGAGCTAATTATCACATATATTAACTCACATACTTACTTTTTGTAGTGATCACACTTAAAATCTATTTTCATAGCAATTTTCATAAATATAATACATTGTTATTAACTATAGTCATCATATTGTACAATAAATATCTTGAAATTATTCCTCCTATCTAAATGAACTTTCATATTCTTTGACCCACATCTCCCCAGCCTGCCACCTAGAGCCCCTTGGCCACCATTTCTACCCTCTGCTTCTATGAGTTCCATGTTTTTAGATTCCATATTTAAGTGAGATCATGTGCTATTTCTTTTTCAGTGCCTAACTCATTTCAGTTAACATACTGTCAGGTTCAACTGTGCTGTTGCAAGTGAAGGGATTTCCTTCTTTTTTAAGGCTTAAAAGTATACCATTGTTTATATATAACACATCTTCTTTACTTATTCATCCTTTAATGGACACTTGGGTTGATTCCATATCTTCACTCTTGTGAGTAGTGCTGCACTGAACATGGGCGTGCAGATATCTCTTCAACATACTGATTTCATATGCTTTGGATGTCTACCAAAAGTGGGATTGCTGGATCATATGACAGTTCTCTTTTTGACTGTTTGAAAAATTTTCATAATGTTTTCTATGATAGCCATACTAATTTACATTGCCACCAGCAGTGTTAAAGAATTCCCTTTTGTCTACATTCTCACCAACATTAGTTAACTTTCATCTTTTTTATAGCATCTATTCTCACAGGTGTGATTTATCTCTTACATGTAGACATAAAATTCATTGCTATTTTAATTAACATTTCCCAGATGATTAGTAATATTGAGCTTTTTAAGAAAATTTGTCCATTTCTATATCTTCTTTTGACAATTATTTGTGTAGGTATTTTGCCTATTTTTAGTCACATTATTTTTTTTCTTGCTATTAAGTTGTTTGAAGTTTGGATATATTTTGAATGTGAACCCCTTATCAGAGTATAGTTTGCAAATGTTTTATCCCACTCTATAGGTTTACTCTTTATTCTTTTGATTGTTTCTTTGGTGTTTAGAAGTTTTTTAGTTTAATGTAATTCAGTTTTTTTTTTTTTTTTGCTTTTGTTGTCTGTGCTTCATACTCAAAGGGTATGAATATTTGTTGTATCCAAAATATTATTTCCTAGACCAATGGCGTGGAGCTTCCCTGTTATTTTCTTCTAACAGTTTTATATTTAAGATCTTAAATTAAAATCTTTACTCCATTTTGAGTTGATTTTTATATATCATGTGAGATATAGCTCCAGTTTCATTTTTTCTGCTTGTGTACACTGGGTTTTCCCTAAACCATTTAGTGAAGAGACTGTTCTTTGCCCGTTGTGTGTTCTTAGCAACTCTGCTGAAACTTAATTGTCTATAAATGCGTGGATTTATTTTTGGGCTCTCTGTTGTGTTTCCTTGGTCAGTGTCTCTGTTTCTTCTGCCAGTAAGCTTCATTCCTTCTGGTTAAGATGCTTTGACTCTTCCAGGTCTTTTGTGGTATCATACAAATTTTAGTATTTTTTTTCTATTTCTGTGAAAAATGTCATTGAATAGGGATTGCATTAAATCTGTAGATTGCTTTGGGTAGTATGCACATTTTAAGAGTATTAATTATTTCTACTCATATACACAAAATAGATTACTATTTATTTGTATCATTAGTTTCTTTTATTAGTATTTTATACTTTTGAGTGTACAGGCCATTCACTTACTCAGTTAAATTTATTTTTAAAGTTTTTTTGTATCTATTTTAAATAGGATTGTTCTTTTGGTTTCTTTTTTGGAGAGTTCATTGTTAGTGTATAAAAACAGTACAGATTTTCATATGTTGCTTTTGTATTCTGCAACCCTATGGAATTTCTTTATTAGTTCTAACAGTTTTTTGGTGGAGTCTTAAGTTTTTTATATATATAAGATTATGTCCTCTGCAAACAAAAACAACAACTTTTTCCTTCCCAATTTAAATGCCTTTTATTTCTTTCTCTTGCTAATTGTTCTAGCTAGGCTGCTATGTTGAGTACAAGTAGCAAGAGTTGGAATCTTTATCTTGATTCTGGTTTTAGAGGAAAAGCTTTCAACTTTTCAACATTAAGTGTTATGTTAGCTGTGGGGTTGCTACATGTGGCTTTTATTGTGTTGAGGTGCATTCCTTCCCATACCTAATTTATTGAGAGTTTTTTTTTTATCATAAAAGGATCCTGAATTTTGTCAAAAGCTTTTTCTGTATTGATTGAGATGATTGTATTGTTTTTATCCTACATTCTATTAATGTAGAATATCACATTTATAGATTTGTACATGTTGAAACATCCTTGTATCACCAGGATAAATCCCACTTGATCATCGGCAATGTTCCTTTTAACGTGGCATTGAATTTGATTTGCTAGTATTTTGTTGAGGATTTTTGCATCTATGTTCATTGGAATCTCTTAAGTTTTTTTACACTGTCCCTGTCTTCCTTTGGTATCAGGCAAATGCAGGCCCCATTGGATGAATTTTGAAGTATTCCCTCTTCTTCAGTGCTTTGGAAAATTTGGAGAAGGATTGGTATTATTTCTTAATTAAGTGTTAGATAGGGCCAAGCATGGTGGCTCATATCTGTAATCCCAGTGCTCTGATAAGTCTAAGGCAGGAGGATAGCTTGAGCCTAACAGTTTGAGACCAGTCTAGGCAATATAGCAAGACCCCACCTCTACAAAAACAAATAAATTAGCCAAGCATGGTAGCAGGAGGCACCTGTAGTCCCAGCTACTCCAGAGACTGAAGTAGGAGGATTCCTTGAGCCCAGGAGTTTGAGGCTACAGTGAGCTTTGATTGCACTACCACACTCTAACCTACGTGACAGAGGGAGACCCTGTCTCTATAAATGAATGAATGAATGGATGGATGAATGAATGAATAATGAATGAATGTTAGATAGAATTCATCAGTGAAGCTGTTATGTCCTGGGCTGTTCTATGATGGAAGACTTTGTATTTCTGATTCAATCTCCTTTCTCATTATTGGTCTGTTCATATTTTCTGTTTCTTCATGAGTCAGCCTTGGTAGGTAGAAATTTATGTCTAGAAATTTATTCATTTCTTCTAGGTTGTCCAATTTGTTGGCTTATACTTGTTCCTATTAGTCTCTTATGATTCTTTGTATTTCTATGGTAACAATTATAATGTCTCTCTTTCATTTCTGATTTTATTTATTTGAATCTTCTGTCTTTTCTTATTTAGATTAGCTGAAGCTTTGCCAATTTTGTTTCTTTCTCAAAAAAAAAGCTCTTCCTTTTGTTGATTTTTTTCAATTGTTTTTCTAGTCTATATTTTATTTATTTCTGCTCTGATCTTTACTATTTTTACCCTCCTACTAACTTTAGGTTTAGTTTGTTTCTTTTTTCAAGTTCCTTGGTATATAACATTAAATTATTTATTTGATATATTTCTTATTTTTTATGTAGGTGTTTATCGCAATAAACTTACTACTTAGAACTGTTTTTTCTGAACTCTATTTTGGTATATTTTATTTTCGTTTTCATTTGTCTCAGGATATTTTTAATATCTCTTTTAATTTATTTGTTGACTCATTTTTTGTTCAGAATGAGGTTTAATTTCAATGTATTTTTGCGTTTTCCAAGATTCTTTCTGTTATTGTTTCTAGTTTTGTACTGTTTTGGTCAGAAGGGATACTTGAATAATTTCAATCTTTTAAAATTTCTTAAGACTTATTTTCTGTCCCAGTGTATTATCTATGCTGAAGAATGTTCTGTGTTTATTTGAGAAGAACATTTATTCTGCTGCTATTGGATAGAATGCTCTCTATACACCTGTTAGATTCATCTGGCCTAAAGTGCAGATTAAGCCTGATGTTTCCTTATTGATTTGTCTAGATGATCTGTTCATTGCTTAAAGTGAGGTAATGAAATCTCCTACTATTATTGTATTTAATTCTATCTCCCCCTCACAGTGTTTGCTTTATATATTTAGGTTTTTCAATGTTAAGTGAATATAAATTTATAATTTTTATATCTTCTTCATGAGTTGACCTCTTGATCACTAATAAGGACCTTTTTTGTTCATGTTACAGTTTTTGACTGATATAAGCATAGCTATACCTGCTCTCTTTAGGTTTTATTCATTTTACTGATATAAGCATAGCTATACCTGCTCTCTTTAGGTTTCCATTTGCATGAAATATTTTTTCCTATCTCTTCAAATGAGTCTGTGTGTCTTTAAAGGTGACAGTAGTCTCTTGTAAGCAGCATATAGTTAGGTCTTATTTTTCATCCATTCTACCAATCTATGTCTTTTTATAAAACATTATTATTATTGTTATTATTAATTTTAGAGCCAGTATCTCACTATATTGCTGGGGCTGGTCTTGGACTCCTATGTTCAAGTGATCCTCCTGCTTTGGCCTCCCAAAATACTGGATTATAGGTGGGAGCCACTGTTCCTGGTCAATCTATGTCTTTTTATTGAAGAATTTAATCCATTTATAATCAAGGTAATTACTGATAGGTAAATATTTACTACTGCCATTTTAATAATTGTTTTCTGGTTGTTCTGTAACTTATTTGTTCCTTTCTACCTCTCTTGCTATCTTTCTTTGTGATTATTTTCTCTAGCAGTATTTTTTGATTCTTTACTTTTTATTCATGGTTTATCTAGTATAGGTGTTTGTTTGCCATTATTGTGAGGTTTATGTAAAACATCTCATAGGTATAATATGCTCTTTTAAGCTGATAACTTAATTTTTAATCACATATAAAAACTCTACACTTTTATTACACCCCCTATGCATACATTTTATGTTTTTGATGTAACAATTTACATCTTTTTTTAATTTGTATCCCTTAACAAATAATTGCGCCTATTATTTTTAATAATTTTGTCTTTTGACCTTCATATTTAAGACATAAGTGATTGCACAGACCCACAGTACAGTATTAGAGTATTTTGAATTTGTGTACTTACTTTTACCAGTGAGTTTTATACTTTAATATGTTTTGTGTTACTAATTAACATTCTTTTCTTTCTGGTTAAAGAACTACTTTGAGTATTTCATGTTAGACAAGTCTAGTGGTGATGAATTTTCTAGCTTTTTATTTGTCTGGGAAAGTCTTTATATCTCCTTCGTTTCTGATTGGAAGTTTTCCTGGACATGTTATTCTTTAATGGAGTTTTTTCATTAGTACTTTGAATGCATCATCCTACTTTCTCCTGGTCTATAAGGTTTATAGTAAGAAATATGTTACTAGCTATACTGAATCTTTTTTATGCATAATATGCTTTTAGTCTCTTATTGTTTTTAAGATTTTCTTTTTGTCTTTGATTTTACATAGTTTTACTATAATATATCTTCCTCTAGTTTGGATTGAATCTGATTTGTGTTTGATTTTTTTAAAACAATTTTAATATTTCTGTCCAATTTCTTACTTTCGTCACTTATTATTTTCCTTGAATTGTTTCCTGGTAGTTTCCTGAACTCCTTAAACCAATTGTTTTTCAATTTTTTGCTAGGCGGTTAATAAATTTTCACTTTTAGAATCCACTACTGATGCTTTGTCTCTTTGGTATGTCATGTTTCTCTGATTGTTCTTGATCCTTGTGGCCATGCATTGTTACCTTCACATTTGAAGAAGTAGGGACTCATTTCAGTCTTTGCAGACTGGCTTTGTCTGGGAAAGCCCTTTATCATTCAGCTTGTCCAGAGGTTATGGGCAGACTATCTGCCATGATTCATAGATGGACTTGCTGCTGGAGTCATCAGGCAGGCTGGCCCAGTACCAAGGTCAATAGGTGAGTGGGCTTGGCACCCGGGTATGCAGAGATGGCCTTAGAGCCTGGGTAAACTGTGCCAGAAGTTTTGATTGGGTCTGTAATGGTGTGTCTGGAGACTGGTTCCTTGAGGCTGGCTGGAGCCTGTATCCATAAAGTCTGAACTGAAGCCTGGGTCCACAGGAACTTCTGTGGGTACTGACCTGGTGCTAGAGTAAGGCTACACATGAGTCTTCTAAATAGACCCTGAGATAAGCCTGGGTCTGCAGAGGCTATCCTGGAGTTTTGGTCCTTAGGGTCTGGCCTGATACGAGGATTTACTGGTGGGGGCATGGACCCTGGGGCCACTGGAGCCTGGAACCGTGGGGACTGGCCTGGAGCCAGTGGCCAGCCAGCTGCTGGGGATGGCATGGAACCTGGGTCCATGAGACTGATCTGGTACATGGTATGGTGGGTACTGGCCTGGTGCCTGGAACCAGGACGATTGGCATGGAGCCTAGGGCCGTGAGGACCAGCCTGGAGCCTGTATCTGTAATGGCTGGCCTAGAAGCTAGGTCTGAGAGGCTGTCGGCCTGAGTCCTGGAGCTGCGGGGCTGACCTGGAACCTGATTACACAGGAGAGGTCATAGAGTCTGTTTCATTGGGGACCAAGATAACACTTGGGTTAATTGGGATGGGCCTGGACTGTGAGTTGGCTGAAGCAGGCCTGGAACCCAAGTCTTCTAGAGCATGGAGCCACAGGGGTGGCCTTGGACGATGGGGCAACAGGGAACAGCCTGGCCCTGAGCAGGCCAGGAGTCCATGTCAGTGGATATGGCATGATATCTTCAGCCAGGAATGCTAGCCTGGCACTAGGCAGGCCTGAAGCCTGGGGCTATGTGTGCCAGACTGGCTCTGGGCTGATCTAGAACCTAGGGAGGGCCAGGAACCTATAGTTTCTGTGCCCAGTCTGGCACTTGGGCAGGCCTAGAGCTTGTATCTTCAGGGCATGGCATGGCAGCTGGGTCCATGGGTGTTGGCCTGATGGCTAGGGATGCAAGGGCTAGCAAAGGCTAGCAAGTTGCTTGTGTAAGCCTGAAGTCTGGAGGGAGCCACTGGGGTCAGCCTGGTGCTGTGGTCAGTCTGGAGCCTGGGGCCACTGGGGCCAGCCTAACCCTGGAGAAGGCCTGGAGACTGAGTCTGTGGGGTCAGACTAATGCCAGAGTTTATGGGGATTGGCCTGGAACTGGGGCAGGACTGGAGGCTGAGACAGCCAGGCAAACCTGGATTGTAAGGCTGTGGGATCCAGCCCAGCACTGATGTTGGTCTCAAGGCTCAGTCTGGAAACTGATACTTAACCTTTCTGTCCTTCCCTCGTTTGGAATGTATCTCTTCTCACACTGTGTTGCCGAGGGTTTGGGGACGGGGCAATGTGGGTGATGTAAAACTGTTCTTCTTATTTCCTCAATGCATCTTTTAAAATTTTTGTGATATACCCAGATGCTATAATCTCTTAACTGGTTTTTGTAGCTCTTGTGAAGGTATTTTTGTGAAACAATAGTTGTCCAAATTAATGTTTCCGTGAGAGACAAACACTGGGAGGTCCTACTCCACCTATTGCTGATGTCTTCACCATAAAACGTTTCAATGAAGAAATTTAAGTGTAGGGATTTTTTGTTTAACTTTCATTTTAGGTTCAGGGATACATGTGCACATTTGTTATATATAGGTAAACTCATGTCATGGGGGTTTGAGGTACAGATTATTTTATTACCAGACACTAAGCCTAGCACCCTATAGTTATTTTTCTGCTCTTCTCCCTCCTGTCATCCTCCACTCTCTGGTAGGTCCCAGTGTCTGTTGTTTCCTTCTTTGTGTCTGTGTTCTCATTAATTTTGCAATATTGTAGTGTTTCGGGAAGTCAAAAAATAACAACTGTATTTGGAGAGAAAGCAACTCCCATTCCTATAAATATTATCCTTATCATCAAATTTAGCGTTTTCTAATATGTATTTTAAAAAAAAAGGGGTCGATTACTATGATTTAGCCAGATTTTCATTTAATACCAGTAGATAGAAAAAATAAAATCTGGCTGACGGAAAACCTCGATACAGACCTTTAATCCTCTACCATGGGCAAATAGTGCTGTGAAGTTTTGTGGGTTTCTTCATTCTTGAACAGATTTTATAGACTGTCAAATTTAAATTCTGAGTGTCAGTGCCTTAGTAAAATATCTCATGCTATTTATTCTTTTTTCTGGGCTTGTTGTGTTATTGAATATCTTTTCTAGAAACTGCGTTATATTCCCAATTATTTTGGATGATAACTGCTACAGAAAGTTTTACAGACTCTCTGTTTAATACATAGTGATTTGGTCTATTGTCTTATCAATCACGTTTGATGAATTATTTAAGGTTTATTCAAAGTAGCTTCCCAGTTATTAAAGACAATTATATTTCAGTGAAATGTAATTTTAAATATTAGTCACCTTCAGAGTAGTATAATGGTATTTAAATTGTTAGAAATGCAGGTTTTGAAGGGTAGAGGTCACTACTTTTATTCTTCCTCCTATGGAAAGAATTATTTCTTTACTATCATTGACAGAATCCTTTGTCCTCTTCTGAATATTTCTAATGATGAAGAACTAGCTTACAAGAAAGATACTAACATTGGATCCAACTATTAGAAAAGTTTGATTTTGATTTAAATAAAACCTAAATCTAACTACCCCAAATTTCTATCTATTATGGGAAACTTTTAAAAAAGTATTTATTAAGAATCAGGAGAAAGTATAGAAAATTTCATAAGTGGGAAATACTAATGAAAGTAGCTAACATTTTAAGTGTTTATTATTTGCTTTCATTACTCTAAAAGCTTATACCTATTATTTTAATTAATCCTCATAACCCCTGTGATATAGATACAATTATTATTTTCGTTTTACAGGAGAGGAAATTAGGCATAGAAGGTTGCATAACTAATAGAAAATATCAGAGCCAGAATTCAAGACAGGAAGCCTGGATCAAGAATACACATATTTTACCAGTCCTTACTGGTAAAACAAACAAACAACAACAACAAAACATACAGCTGAGAAGGTGACAAGAGATAGCAGAGAACTTAAAGATACTTTTCATTGCCTTAGTCTAGAAATGGTGCATATCGCCTCTACCTGTTTGCAATGACCAAAATACATCATATGGTACCAGCAAGAGGGCTGGAAAGTGTAGATTTCTATGTGCCTATCAAGGAGAAAAATCAAACATGATGTGATGTATAAACTTAGGATTGTCTCTGTCATGTCCTATGTGGAACTTTCCCCAAAAGCCCAGATTTATGCCTGCTCTCTCTAATCTCCTTTAGCCTCTGTGTGCTAACATAAACTATGTCCATTTACTAATGGAGATGAGTTTCATTGGACGCTGATAGCTCAGTGTGCACAAGTATGTGTGAGACTTCAGTGTTAGCTCTGTAGACCAAACTATGTAGTAACACATTAATCTTTGTGATAGAAAGATGAATACTAGTCTCTCACTCTTTGTCTTCCTTTTTTCCATGGAAACATTTATTTTAGGACCTCTTCACCACCCACTAATACCTTCAAGGAATAATTGTATTGTAAGCTGCGTATTAGTGATTTGAAGTTTCCCAGGATTTCTCATTTATAAAGCCATCTTTGCTCCCTGAAATCCTTTCTTACACTTAGGTATGTCACAGAAAAGAAAAGAGGATTTGTTTCTATAGATGATATGTACTTCTATAGATGATATGTAAAAAGTAAGAGATAGGGCAACATAATGGCATTGCTTAAATCCCTAAATTATTATGTATTATTCTCATATTAATATGATACAAGTATCATATGAATACATATGAGTAAACTGAGTCTCAGAAAAATTCAACTAGTATTCCAATCTAAGTCTTTCTGACTACACCACCAGTGTATTTTTTTGCTAAAATAAATGGCCTTCTAGCCAAAGGTTTTATATACATTTTTTACTTCATTCTTATTTTTTTATGGCATTTGAGTACAAAGAGCTAAATTTTCACTATTACATAGAGATAACAGTGTAGGTTTATAAGCAACTTGTTGCATAGGTGTATACTAACATTCTCATTATGTATTTCTTGCTCATATTCTAGCTTGTGCATACATAGTTACATCTGTCTTTTGACTCTGAAATAGTGATACGTATGATAAAATTCATAACATATTGGAAAATATTCTAATTTAATACAGTGACAGGAAAACATGAACTAAAATAAAGCCGCATGTACCAAATGGGTACAAATTACCAAATAACTCAAATTGAATTTCATCTTTGGAATGGGATATAAGAAAATATTCTGAATTGTACTAATTTTGTAAGTAGCTAACATGAACACAACAAAGTTGCCTGCATTGTCTTATGGTTCAAATCTTTCCTTAATTTGCAAATGTTTGCTTCTTTTTGCTTTCAGTTCACACTTTTCAGCCTGTCCTCTATTCTTCTGTCCAGTGCCCTCTCTTGAGAGCTGTACTTCCTTGTCTTTTAAATGTTAGAGCCCTTTAAAATTCGTTACTGGACTGTCATCCTTTTGGCATTCTGAACGCTTAATGTCATTAACTACTGTGATTTTGGTAGTGCTTTATGTTGATAGTTTCCAAATCTTTATCTCTATCTTAGATTTTTCCTAAAATGGGGATATGTATACTTAGCTACCTCTGTAATGTTTCCATGTAGATGACCGACAATCATCTAAAATTTTTAAAAAATGAAGTTTTTTTTCCCCTCAAATCTGCTCTGCCTCCTTTGTCTTATATCTAAGTAACATAAAAAGTCATCCCATTACTAAGCAAGAGAACTGGATGTCTCCCTCGGTTCTCCCTCCTGTGACATCCCCGTAACACTTAGGTTCTGTCAATTCTGACTACTGTCAATCTAAATATCAAACAGAGAGAGGCTCTCTAAAACAAAAAAAATGTATTATTTGCGAGTAGGGCACAGAAATGGGAATATGTATGCGCTTATAAATTATGTGCATATTCAAGGAGGTAAAGGAAGACAAAGGTTTTAAAGGAAAAATGAGGAAGATTACGTAATTTTTTGGAGATTATCCTTGGCTATAAAGATTAATAACACAGGTGATACGAGTGAGAGGGTGGACAGGCAGTTTCTGGACAGATGTCCCTCAAGAAGTACTTTTTGTGGAAGGTTGCCACGGTCTCTTTGCAAGGTTGCAGTTTTTGCAATCTTTTGTGATCATTTTGTTCTCAGGCATGCAAGTGTGACAACGCTCTCTTGATAATCTTCCCCAGCACTGTTTGCCAGGTTTGCTTGTTTGTTTTTATGATTAGTTTCTCCATTTTGATTCTGATGACTTTTATAGTGTGCAATAATGTCTATTAAACCTGCACTGTTTTTTTCAAACTGGCTTGCCTATGTAGCCCATCAAAATTTCTCTTGAATTATTGTAATTAGCTCCCAACTAGTATTTGACCTATGAAGTTTGAAATAGTTTTTACACATGTATGATGAAGGCTTTGGGACAGGTGCAGCAATAGAAACTAGGTCAGTAAAATAGATAATTACTGAAGACAGTCATGCACATATAGGCATAAAATTGTAATTTCTGTGACAGTTGTTGGTGAAAGGATACAAAATTTCAGTTAGGAGGAATAAGTTTACATCTATTGTATAGCTTGATGACTATAATTAATAACTGTGTTTTGTTCTTGAAATTACTAAGATATTAGATTTTAAGTATTCTTACTACAAAAAATTAAGTATGTGAAGTAATTCATATGTTGATTAGCTTGATTTAGTCATTCAACAATGTACTCGTATTTCAAAGCAACATATTGTACATGATAAATATATGCAATTTGTATTTGTCAGTTTAAAATAAATTTTAAAGGGAAATTATATTTTACACTCTGTCATATCAACAAATATTATATATTATTAAAATGTAAAAAGTTGACACATTTCTATTCATTGGCAAAAAATACTATTGCTTCTCACAATATAAAAAGTTAATTTTAGTTAAATGAAATATCTAAAAGTAAAAAATAAACTAAAAAAGAAGAAAATATAGCAGTGTATTTTAATATCAGGGTGGTAAATTTACTACTAAGCAAGAAATGAAACTGAGTCATAAGAGAAATAATTGACATATTTAACTATATAAGCTTTAAAAATGACTATATAATGTGAAAGACATCATAATAAAGTTAATTTTAAGCATAAAGCTTGAAGCGAATTGTTGTAACATGTAAGACACTATTATTATCCATGATAAAATATATAAATAGCACCTAAAATCAATATAACAGCAACCATATAGAATAAAATTGTCAAACTGGGTATATACCCAAAGGACTATAAATCATGCTGCTATAAAGACACATGCACACGTATGTTTATTGTGACACTATTCACAATAGCAAAGACTTGGAACCAACCCAAATGTCCAACAATGATAGACTGGATTAAGAAAATGTGGCACATATACACCATGGAATACTATGCAACCATAAAAGATGATGAGTTCATGTCCTTTGTAGGGACATGGATGAAATTGGAAATCATCATTCTCAGTAAACTATCGCAAGGACAAAAAACCAAATGCTGCATGTTCTCACTCATAGATGGGAATTGAACAATGAGAACACATGGACACAGGAAGGGGAACATCACACTCTGGGGACTGTTGTGGGGTGGGGGCAGGGGGGAGGGATAGCATTAGGAGATATACCTAATGCTAAATGACCAGTGAATGGGTGCAGCACACCAGCATGGCACATATATACATATTTAACTAACCTGCACATTGTGCACATGTACCCTAAAACTTAAAGTATAATAATAATTAAAAAAAATCAAACCATTAAAAAAAAGTGTGAATAACTTATTTGTGAAAAAGACACACAAGTAATCAATAGAAATATGAAACATACTAATGCATGTTCAATTATATTTCTTATCAGAAAAAAACTAAAAACAATAAGATATTTTCTTCCATCAAATTTTTTAAATTAAAAAAAAAAATGATAACCATTGCTGTCAAGGACACAGACAAATGATTACTGTTATTATCTGCTGTTGGGGGTGCAAATTGCCTTTCTGATGGACAATTTGTTGGGTTTTAGCAATTTATATTTTTAAAAAACTGCATGACTTTTTACTAAGAAATACTCAGTCTGAACCTAAAAATAAATAGACTTTCTCAGAGTGATGTTAATTGCAGCATTGTAATGGGCTGAGGGGGAACTAGTCATTGATGGGAAATAGTTGGCCATTAAAAATAGTCAGATGTCCTGACATGGTATAATGACCATCATATATTGAGAAATGTGAAAAGTAATTTGCAGGATTCAATGGGTAATACGGTCCCAATTCATGCAATAAAATCAAACAAAACATCATTATACTAGATGGAAACATTCTGGGAGATTAATGTTAAACTGTTAATAATGCTTGCTCCCAGGAAGGCTGTTGGATTGGGTAGAGAATGGAAGAAGAGAAGAGAGGCTTTCACATTTGCTTTTGTAGACGTTTAAAATATTTGGATCTTTAAGCATCAAGCATGTATAAATTTTTAATTAATAGAAAGGTAGAGGTGCATAAAGCATTTTGAAACATTTCTTATAGTATCTGCTATCACTACTTGAGATATAATCAGGATTGAATATACTTAAATTCTTTGAAAATGAAGTGGAATTTTTATTAAATACTTCAACAGAAATCTTTTTTCTAAAAAAATAATTTAAGTTTTAAACATTTTCGTCATTGTAGCACTAGCATAACACTATTTCTCCAAATCAAAACTAATTTAAAACTATTTAAGGAACAGTATTGTGTAATAATATTCAATAGGGTAGTATGACTCAGAATAGAAACTTGAGTATCTGACAAAATTAAAGTCAATACAGTTATCATTGCTGTTTCTTATGCCAAGTAATAAAATCTTTTGTGTTGGTATAATCATTTTCAATAAGAGTATGTCAAGAGAAATTGTCTTTTTAATTATGTCATTATCATTGCTTTTATTTACATGTTAAGTTGCTTTTGATTTTAAGTTGTGTATATAGTTTTTGTTGGTTTCATGAAACATGGATTATTAGTAAAAGTATGTGGCTATAGCTGGTCAGAAATCTTTTTGTCAGATTCAGTATCAAGAATAAGCATGAAAAGTACAATTGCATTGGTGAACATTTTTATCAGTAATGAACTTAGTGTCAAACAAATATCTTTGAAAGCATGAATCAATACATAAATTCATATTTTATCATGATCTCTTCACACATTTTCTGTAAAGTGTATGGGCATAGTGGCAATCACTATGGAGAAATAAGCCTAAGCAAATCTCAAACTTGAGAACTTGACCTCTTAGAGCTCAGTACATTATGACTGCTTGTTTTTCATAATTCTAATCAAAAACCTGGATAGGTGCATCGCTGCAGTCTAGCATGGAGTGAAAATTTTAAAATTCAGATTTATCTCCACCTATTTCAACCATGTAGTATACTTTATGAACATAGTGATTTGATGAGGTAAAAAAATTTATAAAGAAAGACCCAGTTTGTTATTTCCAACAGTTTATTTTGTTTCTCTAAAGATCAGACACTGGGATAAGGATAGAAAATGCTTATTAACCAAAGAGGTAGTAACATGAATAATGTTAGAGTGTTTATAAAAAAAGTATCTTAAAATAGAAAACTCATATAAACTTTTAAGTGCCTTACAGCATTCACGTAGTCTAAATTCTCATTCTAAAATATGTTGCTCTGTATTTAAGAAATATTTGTATTTCTGTGACTTTGACCATTTTCTTTATTGTGACCTCATAAATTGCATGAGTATTCTCTAAATAATTTATTTCAGCATTGATAATAATAAGTAGCAGAAAGGTTGTCAAAGAGCTATAAAGATGTTAAGGAATGGCTTCTCTTAATAGAAGTACAAGGAATGGGTATAGTTTTCATCATCTTAAATAACTTTTTGAGAAATGTGGAAACAGTTCCCTAGAAATAGCATCTATACTCACCCCAAAGGTACCAGACTTCATTATAATGACAATGTTATTAGTAGATTTTTCAGGATTATAATGGGTTAGGTGTTAATATGACTAATACTCTTTTTTTTTTCTCCAGAAATTCCTTTCCTGCTTCAAGATTTTAGCATTAATATGTAAATTCAGTAACAGGGCTATAACATTCAATTTGTTCTCTCTGTTCCATTCCTTACCCTCAATAATGACAATAATGCTGATAAGAATGATAAAATACTATGAGATAGGTACTACTAGTATCCACATTTTGAAATGAGAAAACTAAGTCCCAGAGAGATTAAATATAATGTGAGGCACACATAGAATACATTGCTTATTCTATGTGTGATAGTTACATACAGGTCTCTGCTTGTAGAACTCTAAACTTTTATGTACTGCTACACAATTGCTTCAACATTTCCTCCTCTGTTTCTTGGTTTGCACCATTTATTGCTATTTAGTGTTTCTCCTTGTCATCTTTGTATATCTGCATCTGTGATATGCATTTGCCACAAATAACCTACGTTTTATTATTAGGTAAAATGTTAATGCAAACACTATAAAGGAAATGATTGTATCACATTTATTTAGCCACCTACTCTACCCTTTAGAAAACTTTTAATAAATGTTCTCTGAGTTGCTGATTATTTATTTATTTACAAATACATTTCATATACTAGTCAGTTGATTTTGTTAGCTGCTGAAGATTTTCTAGGTGTGGAAAAAAGAAAAACAGGATGGTGCCTCTGCCTAGAGGATGCTTATTCCTTGGATAAAGTGGTGATCTACTCTTATTTGATTAGGCTATTTCAAGGATTCTTGACTGTCAATTGGAATTTTAATTGGAGACTTTAACAGCAAATAACCTTTATAGCATATGATTTACATAAATAGATATTCAACAATTTTAATATAGCCACATAATGAGGAGGTTATTCAGTGGGGTCTACTTCCTTCCCCAGCCCTAGTAGAGATTAAAGAGAGAATGTCCCATTGTCCTCCAAACTCCTCTGCCATACAAGTAACTGACTCTGGGTCCATTTGGAGAAACTTCTACACTCAACCACATAAACCTCATAATTCAGAGTAGTTGAGGCTGTATTCATTGTGGCATTCTTCTTCCACCTCATTAAATACCAGGCAGGCCCCTTTGATCAGGTCTCCATGGCAGTGCTGCCCCTGGTACACAAGTGTGTACCCATTTAGGAAAAGACAGTAACTGCTTACCTGCACAACCTAATTATATGGAGATATGGTCTCAGTCCTTTAACAGTGAGACAGAAACAGAAATCCAAGCTCCAGGGACAGGAAAGTCTACTGAGATCAAAACCCCTTCTTTTGCCCCACAAAAACAAAACAAAACAAAACAAAACAAAACAAAAAACCAAGAAAACCTGTAGTTAATTTCTGCCAATTCCTAGATAGGACTTAAAAATTAAACCTCTTCAATAAAGTATTTACATACTGCCTCTTACAAGGGCATATGGTAGTAAAATAAATGGATCTATATGCTATTCTGTACCAAGCATGAGTGCATGAAATTTTACCAGCTGGGAACCTTTATGGACAGAGACCCTGTGTGTGAACAGGCATAATTGCCTATACACATGCTTTTTATGGGGAGAAGAGATAGTGGAATATTTATTTTTTTCATTTGAACAAACTAACATAGGCAAAATTTTCTAGAGCTTAAAATTTCAGAAAAACTGCAAAGACTAACACCTGGTCTTGGAAAAATATTTACCTTGATGATTACCACCTTCCTGGTCAAGAACTGAGCCTGTCTTCTTAGAACGTTAGAGCTAGAGTCTGAGATCTAATGGAGACATTAAAGCTGATAAAAATAAGTTTCAATGTTAGGAGCCATTAAATGGGCAAATTAACCATTTGTTTTTATATGAGAAAAATAATTTATGTGTTGGCTGGTAGAAAAGATTCCAGTTATTAATAATACATTTAAAATTTACAGTAATTGCTGAAACAAAGGTTTTTTAATAGAAAAAGACAACTTCAATAACATTATATTTATGTATAAACACTTCCATTCTTTGTTTCCAGTTATTATATCATCATCACACATTTATATCCAGAATGAAAAGTAAAATAGCCCAAATAATAATTTTTAAAATTAAAAAAAAAACTGAAGCAAAAAACATGTTAAATGGTGTGACATGGAAATACTGCTATGTCTTAGCTGCAGTAGGGCTAGAATTCTGATCTCGTAGTTCCCTTTGCTAGATTCTTCCCATTGCACCAGGAAGTACAAATTTAAATACCACTGCCTCTCATTTGGCATTGGAGACTGATACTTTGACTCAGGCATTATTGAAAGTGAACTGGACTAATGTTTGATAGAATTGCCCTAAAGGCAAGAAATTATTTATCACTCTATCTTTAAAACAAGAACAGTGACCTGCTTAAGGGATGCTCAATCAATATTTATTGAATACATAAATGAAGGTGACCAGTGTCTGGGATGCCCACAAAACTGTTTGAAAAGAATCACAAGCACCAGGCAAGCTGCTGAAGATACTCCAGGGGAACAGATTACTGTATTCACTTGAAATGGAGGAAATATGAACAGCTGCTTATCTGCAAATGGTTCCTGCTTAGAATAAGTTTGTGTGCATTTGCAGGAACTTGTGAGTCTCCTATTGAAAATGAACAGGAGACTGATGAGTTCCCGGGAACACCCACAAATCTTCCTACTCATTTCTACTGCTTTGCAATGGACAACATTTTATGGCTGGTACCTTCCACTGTTGTCAGTTCCTCCAAGTTCTGAGTATAAGTTTAAGTTCTAAACAAGGAAGTAATGTTGAAAATGCAAAATAATTCAGTTAGGCAAGGGTTAACTTGTCCACTCAACATGGATGTCAGTAGGTTTACTTGAGGTGTTGAATCCCACCAAGGGAAGCATCTCTAATAGTCCTGATCTTATCTTTGTAAACTCAGCAGACATTCTACAAGACATAAATTATTCAATGAAATGAATGGTGCCAGTGCTTATGTGAAAGATAATTTATAGACCTTGCAGGAAAGGAAAAAATTAAAAATCATATGTATTCCCTTAAACTTTTTTTCTTGGTTGTATCTAATCAGGAGTTTAAGTATATAAATGTTGAGATTGTTATCTAATTTTTTTCTGAGAAAATATTTTCTCTGTTCATGTTCATGTGTAACATCAACTTATGTAATTAGTCTTTTTATATTTCAGGATTGTTCAATGGACCACATTTAGCATCAGCATTGATAGCATGAATCTGTTGTTAAATCTCATAAAGCAGCCTTTCATGAAACCACATAAGGTTGATCCTTTATAATCTGTTTATGGTCTTCTTTTAACAAGAGTGACAAATTCAATTACTGAAGGAGGAATATAGTAAATGTATGAAGTTGATGATGTGTATCCTACATTAGTGAGTAGCAGAGACTCTACTCATAGTCATACCTAAATACTTTCAAATTCACTTAGAAAAATGAATCATATCTAAAGGTTATATTTGTGTTAAATATTCTATAATAATTAGTGATAAAGTTCCTCTCAGTGTTTTTCTACATTCCTCAAAATGTTATCTTCAAAACATTCAATGAAGTTCTTACATGTAAGCTGGTAATACAAATCTTACCTTCATTTTGACCTGTCTTTTTTCTAAAACAATGTGCAGCCTTTAAATTTTTTGCAAATTAAATCCAGTTGGAGCTTATTTCTGTAGGATTTCTTCAATTGATTTTAATTATCCTGGCATAAATATGGAAAAATATTAAATCGATTGAAAGCATGTTTTCAGACAGAAGTATCGTCAATCACTGGTCAGTAGACCTTTCTGTTTCTCTTTCACAATCTAGGATTACAGTTCTCAGCCTTTTTGTTTGTCTTTTTGCCCCACATCTAAACCCATGATCCTTGTGTCTGTGTGATCACACTGCTGGATGTGGCTGAGATAAAACAATGTGTTGGCTGTATTTTATTTCCAGTAGCTTGTTGTGATGTCTCCTCTGAAAAGCTTATCTTACTAGAATGCAATAAGGTGGCATATATGTCACCCTGAACATGCCCTTCTTTTTTTTTAATAAAAGCAAATCATCCACTAACATTACTCTTTAATATTAGTAACAAATTACTGGCTTCTGCAACATGTCATCAGGTACAATCAGGAGAGAGTTGAGAATCACTTTTCTGGAATGTATAGTTCATCCTAATGCCAACAGTTTTTTTAAGACCAGGGGCAAGTTAGAACAATAGGCCTCATTCAAGGAGCTCATCTGACCCTTGACTTTCAATAACTAGAGAAAAAAAAATCCTTTCAATTTTTTTCCCACATGTAGATCAATAACATGGAACTTATATGTCAGCATCAACTCAGCAGACATCTCTATTGAGCATCTATTTTCAACTGTTCTGCCAGAGTCTGGGGTTAGAAACTGACAAGCGTGTTTGTATAGCTCTTTGTTCATCATTATTATAATGGACACAGCATTATATGTACAAGGTCCTGCCTCACTCGTTGGAAATCATACATTAGGCTTTCTTGTTCATACCCTGCTCTGCATTACCTTAAGCAATGAAATGTGGTCAACCCACTGGGGAACATTTCTTAAATATCTAAAATATGTTAGATCCACTTCAGTTTAAAAGCCTGCATCTCTAATATTAACTTGACGAAGCTCTAACTACTATTTCTATATTATTTCTCTCTCATTTAATGTTCTGTTTGAATGTATTATATTCAGTTTATCTCAAGTTGCCTAAGTGGAAACTCCTAAATGTGTCTCACAATTGCATGTTATCTCATAAAAGCAAAGTTTTAGTTTAGTATTGAATTCATTCTAGGATTCTGTAGATGACACTAGCTAGCCTCATTAGAATAAATTATGGGAAATTACATAGAGAGAAAAACAGACTTTCACCTGTAAAAGCGGGAAATCAAAAACAAACAAGCAGTACATATATTACTTAAAATTGGAAGAAAAGAAATAAGCAACAAAAGAAATTATGTGAGTAACTGTGGTATATTTTGTGCAAAAATCCAGTGGCCCATACTCTTTCCTGGAAGGTAAGACTCTAATTAAAGTTTCATTTGTCATTACCCTCAAATCCAAGGAGTAGCCCTGTCATTTTAATTAAATACCATTAACTGAAAGATTACTGCCTAGTATGACTTAATTGGCTCTTCAAATTACTCTTTCTAGAAGGAATATACCATTTTAGACCTTCCATAAAAGCTTGTTTTAAAAATTTTTTTCATAGTACCATTTTAGCTTAGATCCAATTTTTTGAGCCTCCATTTTCTATCCTAATTATGTTAGCCAATAATGTCTTTCAAATATATCAATGTTTTATCTTCTCTGCAATTAATTTTCTTCCCCTTCTCACTGTATATTTCATTTCTGAGTTTGAGTAAAGGCATGTCAGTACACTGAAAGCAAACATAACTCGTTGATTTAGTTAATTTATGAAAATTTAGGAAATTTAAAGCAATTCTAGGTTATTCTATTTATTTGTATCAATACTTAAAATAAAATTTTTGTTTTTTATTTGCCCACCATAGGAAAATAAATAGCCAAATATAACAACTGTATAGTTACTCTCACTTGTTGCTGAACAATTAATTACCAAGATAAAAGAGTATATTAGGCAAGTTCAATGGCGCTTCTAGGAACCTTAGTGAAAGTGGATCTGGTTTATGCAGTTTGAAACTCTCTGGAGAATTCAGCTGTTTGTACTGACTAAAAATAGTGATCCTAGTTTCTGCATGGCAACCTCAGATCCCTGACCTACAGGCATCCTGTTCAAATGTTCCACCACCTGGGAAGCTAAGGATAGCTGTTCTACCCCTCAGAAGTAGCAGAACCTTAGGCAACTAGAAAGTTCAGTTTTATTATTCATTGCAATTAGTTCCATAATAGCACCAGTTCTTGTAAAAATCTTTCCTAGTGCAACTACTACTTCAAATGCATTTTTTATAGATAGACTTTAATATTTAATTGCTATTGACACACTTTAACTATGCAATTAAATAGTGTTGTGTGGGCCTAAATGTTTATATGTTGTCATATGTACACACAGACTTTATATATATATATATAAACGTGTATATGTATGTATATATATATGTATGTATATATGTGTGTATATATATGTATATGTGTGTGTATATATATCTATGTATATATGTATGTATGTATGTGTATATATATATGTGTGTGTGTGTGTATATATATATATCTCCCTGCTGCTTCCAGGGAGTCCAGCCTAGTCCCATTTGCTGGCCAGGCCTCTCTCAGCTTCTGGTCGCCACCACTTCCACACTGCACCCATGGGGCAACCTCACCCGGACTGACAGGCACAAGGGGCACCGTTGCAATTATTAGGGACAATGCAGGGTCTCCCTGTGTCCCTCCTACCCACATGTGGGCAAGAGAGACTTTGAGTGCCCGGGAGTGCTCAGTGTTCTGAGAGGAGGGCCAGCCAAAGGGAGGGGACCCTGCAGTGCCAGCAGGGAAATTTTGATTTTGAGGTTTCTAAATGCATTAAAGTTATTTCTTTAGCCATATATATATATATATATATATATATAATATATTATTATATATTATATATATTATATATATAAAATATTATATATTATATATATTATATATAATATTATATATAGTATCTAAATACATATATATAGTATCTATATACATATATAGTGTATATGTGTGTATATATAGTGTATATATGTATATATATACAATTGCTAAAGAAATATATATATATACTGCTAAAGAATATATATACACACACACTATATATATATACACACACTATATATAATGTGTATGTGTATAGTTTTACAAATTTATATATTACAAATTTGTATATATATATATACACATACATACACTATATATATATATATATGGAAAATACATTGAGTTCTAAACCATTGACTTACTTATGTATAAACTTTTAAACACAGTCAACTTACAATTTGGGAATTATTTACAGATGGACAAAGGTCCGCAGGTCGATAATTGAACCTCTGTCCTATTCCTTGGAAGTAATCTAAATATTTGCTCTTTTTAGATAATTATTTTTTACATTTCAAAAATTCTAACAAAATTATATTCTTTTCGATAGTAAGTCTCCATTTGTTAACAAAACTCAGAATTACATTCACTTTCCCTGATAGTGATTATTTCGTGCTGATCAGAAGAACTGTTTGCTGATCAAATTGTAGCAACATCTGTGATGTGACTGGTTAATCAAATACAATTATCAAGGGTAATAGGTGGGCAGAGGGCTTGGATTATATATGCCAGACACAATCCATCTTTGGAAAAAAGAGCAGACTGAAAGTTTACAGGAGAAAAAAATATTTTCAAAACAAAAACTGTAAGGGAAAATAACAGTGAAAAAATATTCCCTGATTTCTTTTTATACTTTGTTCAACTAATTTTCGTTGAGTATTAGTTTGTTTAGACACTGCGCTATTCTCCAGGGATTAAAACTGAGAAAACTTAGCATGACACTTGTCTGTATGGAATTAACATTTAATGATTTAATATATAATAAGTATATTAATATAATAAACACAATATAACATATTCTAGCCGGGCGCGGTGGCTCACGCCTGTAATCCCAGCACTTTGGGAGGCTGAGGCTAGTGGATCACTTGAGGTCAGGAGTTCGAGACCAGCCTGTTCAGCACCGTGAAACCCCATCTCTACCAAAAATATAAAAATTAGCTGGGTGTGGTGGCGCATGTCTGTAATCCCAGCTACTCGGGAGGCTGAGGCAGGAGAATTGCTTGAACCTTGGAGGTGGAGGTTGCAGTGAGCTCAGATCATGCCACTGCACTTCAGCCTGGGTGACAAAGCAAGACTCCATCTCAAAAACAAAACAAACAAAAAAACCAAATATATATATATATATATATATATATATATATATATATATACACACACACATATTTTATATATATTTGAATTATTAAAAGTGATTAATATACACTGAAGGGAAATGTCAGTTGCTGTGACAGCATAGAAGGGAAATACCTGCCTTATTATGGTTTGAGTGGGGGAAATGAGGGCTTTCCTTGGGAAGTTGTGTTTGATCTGATATCTGACGAATTAAAGATTAACAGAGTGAGTGTGGTAGAAAGATGAGAATGTTCTAGGCAGAAGGAACACTATGTAAACAACCTGAGGTTAAAGACAATAGCAACACGTACAGCAATTTAAAAAGACTAGGCCGGGCACAGTGGCTCACGCCTGTGAGGTAGGAGAATCACTTGAACCCGGGAGGCAGAGGTTGCAGTGAGCTGAGATCACACCCCTACACTCCAGGCTAGGCAACAGAGCAAGACTCCGTCTCTAAATAAATGAATGAATAAATAAATAAATTAAAGAAGACTGACATGACCAGAGCACAGAGAGTGAAGGAGGAAGGAGTTTGGATTGAGCTCAACAGGTAGATAACAGCTCCAAATCATCTATAATCTTGTGGGCTGTGGTAAGGGCTTTGGTTTTTATTCTAAGGACTTGGGATGTTGTTGATGTGTTTGAATTGGGGAAGGCCAGTTAACACATTTGTGTATGTGTGTTTATTTTAAAGATCACTACAGTGTAAATAATGTATCAGAGGGAGCTGTGTGTGTATGTAAGGGACTAATTACAAGACTATTACAATAGCTCAGGAGAAGATGGTGGCAGTGAAGATTTAAAAACTACAGAAAAGAGACAGGATACATTGCAGAGACATTTAGGGAATGAAAATTAATTGACTTGGTGATGATGAGTATCAGCAGCAAAGGATAGGGAGGATGAGGTAACAATAATAACTACTACTTTATGGTGTGAGTCACTGAATATGTGTCAGTGTGGTCCACGAGGTGTAGGACAATGACAGACAACCAAGACTGTAGAGATAATCATGTGTGAGATGGTTATAATGAAAAGGTTGAGAGCCCTTATCTTAGAGGAGCATAGCTAATCTATTTTCTGAAATATTTCTAGTGTACTGATATTGAATATTTGCTAACTTGGTTCTATAGAAGGTCTACCACTCTCTAAGCAGGTAGAACTTTAATGCTGTTGTATTACTGGAGTTTACAGATGGCTACCATTAGTTAAATGCATACAGTGTTCTAGTAGCTGTACCAAATCATTGTTTCCAAACTTCTCAATAATCCTGATATACTAGCAAATGGCAGAGCTGGAGTTCAAACTCAGGACTGTCTAACCCCAGATTGCATACTTTGGACCATGTTGTGCTACATCTCTTCATCTATTGTGAATATGCTGTTAGACAGGTAATGCTGTTTTAGTGGCTAAGTGAATTTTAGTTCTCTCTTTTGCCCTTTGGAAGCTGTCTATACAAAATTAAATATACAAAGTTGAATATACAAGATTAAATCGTATCTGTGATTCAAGGAAATTAGAAGCAACAGGCAATTTTGGGAATTGAATTTACTGAACATAAAGAAAGTACAGATTTTGATTATTATTGTGATTATTATGACCATTGGTGTGAAAGTTACTAATACAGTGGTCCGCTGTGTGCTTCAGATTTAAAATGCTGTACAGGTAGATTAATGCAAAATATAATTGACAATATTAAAGCCTCAAAACCCACTGAAAATGAAAAGACAATAGTTAACATAAGAAAAAGGTTTTCACCAAATATTGCATGTTCTCGCTTATAAGCGGAAGCTAAATGATGAGCACACATGGACACGTGGTGGGGAACAACACATCCTGTGGCCTGGCAGAGGGCAGGGACTGACTGGTAGAAGGGAGAAGATCAGGAAGAATAGCTAGTGGATGCTGGGCTTAATACCTAGGTAATGGGATGATCTGTGCAACAAACCACCATGACACACGTTTACTTATGTAACAAATCTGCACATCCTGCACATGTAACCCTGAACTTAAAATAAAAGTTGGAAAAAAACAATGAAACCATACCGTACATTGAAAAAAAAAAAAAGGTTGTCAGTAATGTTAGCATTTTTCACTTAAAATACAGTCAAATTAGTAAGATAAAAATCATTAAAATATTTGTCAAATAAGTATTTTTCTGTATTTTTGAAAATTAAAATGCTTTCTTAGGAAAGTATTTGTTTCTTTTTGTGGATCACTGACAAATTTAAAATAGAATATTCTGACCGGCATGGTGGCTCATGCCTATAATTCCAGCACTTTGGGAGGCTGAGGCGGGTGGATCACTTGAGGTCAGGGGTTCGAGACCAGCCTGGCTAACAGGGTAAAACCCCATCTCTACTAAAAATACAAAAATTAGCCAGGCGTGGTGTGACATACCTGTAATCCCAGCTACTCAGGAGGCTGAGGCAGGAGAATCGCTGGAACCCGGTGAAGGGGTGGCCTGCCCCTCCACACCTGTGGGTATTTCTAGTCGGGTGGGATGAGAGACTGATAAAAGAAATAAGACACAGAGACAAAGTGTAGAGAAACAACAGTGGGCCCAGGGGACCGGCACTCAGCATACTAAAGACCTGCACCGGCCTCTGAGTTCCCTCAGTTTTTATTGATTATTATTTTCATTATTTCAGCAGAAAGGAATGTAGTCGGAGAGCAGGGTGATAATAAGGAGAAGGTCAGCAACAAACATGTGAGCAAAAGAATCTATGTCATAATTAAGTTCAAGGGAAGGTACTATGGCTGGATGTGCACGTAGGCCAGATTTATGTTTCCCTCCACCCAAACATCTCAGCGGAGTAAAGAATAACAAGGCAGGATTGCTGCAAACATGTCTTGCCTCTCACCATAGGGCGGTTTTTCTCCTATCTTAGAATTGAACAAATGTACAATCGGGTTTTATACCAAGACATTCAGTTCCCAGGGGCAGGCAGGAGACAGTGGCCTTCCTCTATCTCAACTGCAAGAGGCTTTCCTCTTTCACCAGTCCCCCTCAGCACAGACCCTTTACGGGTGTTGGGCTGGGTGACGGTCAGGTCTTTCTCATCCCACGAGGCCATATTTCAGACTATCACATGGGGAGAAACCTTGGACAATACCCCGCTTTCAAGGGCAGAGGTCCCTGCGGCTTTCCACAGTGCATTGTGCCCCTGGTTTATTGAGACTAGAGAATGGCGATGACTTTTACCAAGTATATTGCTTGTAAACATTTTGTTAACAAGGCACATCCTGCACAGCCCTAGATCACTTAAACCTTGATTTTATACAACACATGTTTTTGTGAGCTCCAGGTTGGGTCAAAGTGGCTGGGGCAAAGCTACAAATTAACAACGTCTCAGCAAAGCAATTCTTTAAGGTACAAGTCTTTTTCAAAATGGAGTCTCTTATGTATTTCCTTTCTACATAGACACAGTAACAGTCAGATCTCTCTTTCTTTTCCCTACACCTGGGAGGCGGAGGTTGCAGTGAACAAAGATCGTGCCACTGCACTCCAGCCTTGGCGACAGAGCGAGACTCAGTCTCAAAAGAGAGAAAAAAAGAATATTCTTCTAAGGGCAGAGTTCAATTTCATTCAAAGTTATTTACATTATCCCTAATACATCGTCAATAAAATCATTGAATCTTATAGCTGGCAGGAAACTTAGAGATAATTTAAGTTCAATGGCATTCTTTTATTTAAGTAAATAAGTATTAGGAAGACTAGGAACTGGTAGCTCAAAGAAATTTAGTAATTTATCAGAGTTATACACATAGGCTTTCTGATTCCCTGTCTAGCTCTTTCTACCACTTTTTTTTCTTTTTGTTTTCCTAGTCAATTGCCACAGTAGCAATTCCAGAATATATTTTCCTCAGAAATTCCCAAGTCCAACAATACTTTACATTTTACCCAGATCTACTCACAGTGGTGATGTTAAAGTCAACCATTTCTACACATACTTAGCATGTTAGCTCTGGGGGACATGGAACTCTACAAAGAGGGGTGTAGGTTAGGGTGGTTGTTTGCAAAAGTGTCAGTGTGAGCCAATTAAAAACTAATGAGGCAGAAATGCCTTCAACCAACTGGAACCCATAGATGATGTGAGAATGACTGGAAAAAAAGGCACAAATTTCAGTGGTAATTGGAAGAAACATGTAGAATCTAGCTGTGTATGAAATTTCCTGGAAAAGATTGTTAATATAGCTGACTTTTTAATGAGGTGTTTTGTGTCATTTGGGAAGGTTTCTTATTATCACTATTGAAGGATAATATGATGTGGTGGAGAATAAAAACCAAACTGAGCACCAAATTTTCAGTTCTAGTACTTATGGTTAAGTTCAGTGCTACTACATATTATCCATATGCCTTTGGACATGTCATTTTAGAATAGACCCTTGTTTCACTCTCCTATTAAAAAATAATACTAGAAGCAATTGTGAATGGGAGTTCACTCATGATTTGGGTCTCTGTTTGGCTGTTATTGGTGTATAAGAATGCTTGTGATTTTTGTACATTGATTTTGTATCCTGACACTTTGCTGAAGTTGCGTATCAGCTTAAGGAGATTTTGGGCTGAGACAATGGGGTTTTCTAGTTGTACAATCATGTCATCTGCAAACAGGGACAATTTGACTTCCTCTTTTCCTAATTGAATACACTTTATTTCCTTCTCCTGCCTAATTGCCCTGGCCAGAACTTCCAACACTATGTTGAATAGGAGTGGTGAGAGAGGGCATCCCTGTCTTGTGCCAGTTTTCAAAGGAATGCTTCCAGTTTTTGCCCATTCAGTATGATATTGGCTGTGGGTTTGTCATAGATAGCCCTTATTATTTTGAGATACGTCCCATCAGTACCTAATTTATTGAGAGTTTTTAGCATGAAGGGTTGTTGAAATTTGTCAAAGGCCTTTTCTGCATCTATTGAGATAATCATGTGGTTTTTGTCTTTGGTTCTGTTTATATGCTGGATTACATTTATTGATTTGCGTATATTGAACCAGCCTTGCATCCCAGGGATGAAGCCCACTTGATCCTGGTGGATAAGCTTTTTGATATTCTGCTGGATTCGGTTTGCCAGTATTTTATTGAGGATTTTTGCATCAATGATCATCAAGGATATTGGTCTAAAATTCTCTTTTTTGGTTGTGTCTCTGCCTGGCTTTGGTATCAGGATGATGCTGGCCTCATAAAATGAGTTTGGGAGGATTCCCTCTTTTTCTATTGATTGGAATAGTTTCAGAAGGAATGGTACCTCTTCCTCCTTGTACCTCTGGTAGAATTCGGCTGTGAATCCATCTAGTCCTGGACTCTTTTTGGTTGGTAAGCTATTGAATATTGCCTCAATTTCAGAGCCTGTTATTGGTCTATTCGGAGATTCAACTTCTTCCTGGTTTAGTCTTGGGAGGGTGTATGTGTCGAGGAATTTATCCATTTCTTCTAGATTTTCTAGTTTATTTGCATAGAGGTGTTTGTAGTATTCTCTGATGGTAGATTGTATTTCTGTGGGATTGGTGGTGATATCCCCTTTATCATTTTTTATTGCATCTGTTTGATTCTTCTCTCATTTTTTCTTTATTAGTCTTGCTAGTGGTCTATCAATTTTGTTGATCCTTTCAAAAAACCAGCTCCCGGATTCATTAATTTTTGAAGGGTTTCACAATTGCTTCAAAGAGAATAAAATACCTAGGAATCCAACTTTCAAGGGACGTGAAGGACCTCTTCAAGGAGAACTACAAACCACTGCTCAATGAAATAAAAGAGGATACAAACAAATGGAAGAACATTCCATGCTCATTGGTAGGAAGAATCAATATCGTGAAAATGGCCATACTGCCCAAGGTAATTTATAGATTCAATGCCATCCCCATCAAGCTACCAATGACTTTCTTCACAGAATTGGAAAAAACTACTTTAAAGTTCCTATGGAACCAAAAAAGAGCCTGCATTGCCAAGTCAATCCTAAGCCAAAAGAACAAAGCTGGAGGCATCACGCTACCTGACTTCAAACTACACTACAAGGCTACAGTCACCAAAACAGCATGGTACTGGTACCAAAACAGAGATATAGATCAATGGAACAGAACAGAGCCCTCAGAAATAACGCTGCATATCTACAACTATCTGATCTTTGACAAACCTGAGAAAAACAAGCAATGGGGAAAGGATTCCCTATTTAATAAATGGAGCTGGGAAAACTGGCTAGCCATATGTAGAAAGCTGAAACTGGATCCCTTCCTGACACCTTATACAAAAATTAATTCAAGATGGATTAACGACTTAAATGTTAGACCTAAAACCATAAAAACCCTAGAAGAAAACCTAGGCATTACCATTCAGGACATAGGCATGGGCAAGGACTTCATGTCTAAAACACCAAAAGCAATGGCAACGAAAGCCAAAATTGACAAATGGGATCTAATTAAACTAAAGAGCTTCTGCACAGCAAAAGAAACTACCATCAGAGTGAACAGGCAACCTACAAAATGGGAGAAAATTTTTGCAACCTACTCATCTGACAAAGGGCTAATATCCAGAATCTAAAATGAACTCAAACAAATTTACAAAAAAAAAAAACACAACCCCATCAAAAAGTGGGTGAAGGACATGAACAGACACTTTTCAAAAGAAGACATTTATGCAGCCAAAAAACACATGAAAAAATGGTTACCATCACTGGCCATCAGACAAATGCAAATCAAAACCAGAATGAGATACCATCTCACACCAGTTAGAATGGCAGTCATTAAAAAGTCAGGAAACAACAGGTGCTGGAGAGGATGTGGAGAAATAGGAACACTTTTACACTGTTGGTGGGACTGCAAACTAGTTCAACCATTGTGGAAGTCAGTGTGGCGATTCCTCAGGGATCTAGAACTAGAATTACCATTTGACCCAGCCATCCTATTACTGGGTATATACCCAAAGGACTATAAATCATGCTGCTATAAAGACACCTGCACACGTATGTTTATTGCGGCACTATTCACAATAGCAAAGACTTGGAACCAACCCAAATGTCCAGCAACGATAGACTGGATTAAGAAAATGTGGCACATATACACCATGGAATACTATGCAGCCATAAAAAATGATGAGCTCATGTCCTTTGTAGGGACATAGATGAAATTGGATATCATCATTCTCAGTAAAGTATAGCAAGGACAAAAAACCAAACACCACGTGTTCTCACTCATAGGTGGGAATTGAACAATGAGAACACATGGACACTGGAAGGGGAGCATCACACTCTGGGGACTGTTGTTGGGTGCGGGGAGTGGGGAGGGATAGCCTTAGGAGATATACCTAATGCTAAATGAGGAGTTAATGGGTGCAGCACACCAGCATGGCACATGTATACATATGTAACTAACCTGCACATTGTGCACATGTACCGTAAAACTTAAAGTATAATAAAAATAAAATAAAAATAATAATAATAATACTATATCGTAGGCATGACTCTCTGAGAGGTCTTAATAAATGACATAATGTATATGAAAATGTCTTAAAAATCGCAAATCACTGTGCAGACATTATTATTGAGAAGAGTAGCAATGCCACTGACTACTGCCATATTAGTCCATAGACCCAGCAGAGTTATGTTAACATGGTTTAAAAAATACTCGGAGTGAAAGGGTTTAATATTCTTGGTATACTTTTATTGTTAGTTGATTTTTTTTGGAAAATATAAAACATGAAATGTCAGAGCCAGTTGATTGATTAATACCTCTTCTGTTAAATGAAATGTGAATGGCTTTAACAAGGAAATGCAAAATGAAATGAAAACATAAATGTATTAAGCATTAGGACCAGGAAATATAAAGATCGATTAGAAAAACCAGAGGTATGTTAAAACACACACATTCAAATAAGAGAATCTTAAAAGTTAGTAAAGTCAATAGCACCTTTCTGGAATTATTTTGCCAAAATATTTAACCTGAATCTAATAAAAAGGAAACAAGCAGACAAATCCAAATTGTTGGATATTCTAAAAAGTAACAGGCCTCAAAACTTCAAAAATATCAGTTGTGATGAAAGGTAAAATTTCGACGTGGGGAAAACCATTGTAGGTTAATGGTAATAAAGGGCATGCCAATAAATGCAATATATGCCCCTTTTTGGATCCTGGATTTAAAAAATCCAGGAGGAAAATAGCTATAAAGGATACTCTTGAGACAATTGGTAAAGTGGTATTGTTATATTTCTTGAGATAATAGTATTGTAAACATATAGGTGAAAGTCCTTTTTTGTTAAGAAATTCATGCCAGAGTGTTCAGGATGAAATACCATGCTATTTACAACTTACTTTCAAATGGTTCTCACATAAAATATGTATAATTTTGTGTAGACGTACACAAACCCAGACATGCACGCACATATTCAGAAAGAGAGAAAAAGAGATGAAGCAGATGTGGCAAAATATTAGTGTTGTATACAGGTAAACATTTAGAGATGTAAGTTGTACTATTTTTTAAAAAATATTTTCAGTAGATTTGAAGTTTTTCAAAATAAAAAGATAGGAGAAAAAGTTAATTGAGGAGAACCAGAATCTATTTCTGAGGTTCTTGCTGTCAAAGCAAAGTAAATGTAATTTCTACTTGTGTTTTTCAAGGCCAAGCTGTGTCAAATCAGTAGTTCAGTCTATAATTCTCTCTGAGAGAGAAAAACATGATTGCTATGTTTTTGGTGTTCACTAGGCTTGCATCATGGTTTTAGTTAAGCCTTAGCATGGTATAGTCAACCAGTACAACCTTTCTCAGAAACAAGGACCTGTAGTGGGGCACACTATGGATATTTGTCACATCGTTGTTACACAACTAAATGAATAAAGTTTAAATGAAGAAATGTTGCGTAAAGCCACAGGTCATTTAACTACCAAAAGCTAGATTTGGGAATCCTTAATAAAGTCTCCATAAAAGTAAAGCATTTCACATCTAGAAAGGATAATGAGACTATCTAAAACCCAAAGTCTTCAGAGCTGGAAGGTGTTTTATGTATTTAAAAAAGCGTGGACCCTGAAGGCAAATTCTAGATTCAAAGCCTGGTTCCACCACTGAAGATTTTATGGATTTTGCCTAATGTACTTAATCTCACTGTGCCCTAGTTTTGAAGTATATAAAATAGAAATGAAAAATATATGATTTTGTTATATATAAATATAAATTTCCCCTTAATGTACTTTATATAATTACAGTACAAATCAAAAAATAATACATGTAATACACTTAAAAACAGTGCTCGATAGTTAACAAATGTTTGGTAAATTTTAGTTATTTTAAAGATGAGTAAAGTGTTTTTCTTCCATTATTTGCTTTAATTTATTTTGATTTTTTTAATCTCATAATATCCTTATCACTTACACAGTGAGATATATCACTTACGTAGAACCACTGAGTACATAGACCAGATGTACTCAAATTAATGGCCAATATTGGTTTTCTGTGAACTGGTCCAAATATTGGCTTTTAAAAGTAAACAATGGTAATTCCTTGATTTTCAGAAAGAAATAAAAAGCTAATAATGGCTAGAATATTCTCTATTTTAATCTCTTTATCCAAAAATATTTTTCTAAGTCTTCATGATATGGGCCAGCAGATGACCAAATTAATAAGTTTTTAATTGTTTAAGTCAAGCAATTTCCTGTTACTTGTCATTCTTCCTCAGCCATTACATTAGATTTACTTAATTGGTTAATGTTATTTATTTATGGATTCCTAAAATGTTTGTATTTTCAATTAGTATTAGATATTATTTATTGCATAGAGATATTCATTTCAGCTATATATATATATTTTTTTATTTTAGTTTTATGGTGGAATGTAAATGAGGTATTTACATTATGCTCTTCTACAGAGAGCTCATGTGTTCTAGGTACACAGATGCATAAACAGGTTTGAGAACTACTAAATAAAAACAGCTACTTTTTGTAGAACATCAAAAGAGAAGTAAGATAATTCTTCCTTTAGTCTTTTTCTGCAATTATATGAGTTCATAACTTGAATAATTAAAATAAAAACTGACATCCTTGGGGGGCTTTATAGTTACAAAGTTGTATCACAACCAACAGCCTTCATAAACCAGTTAATAAGGGTTGGCAAATTCCAATCAAAGTAATGCCAAGGTAAAATTACCTGAAAAGTTTGGCCAAGTCTAACTCCTGCCTTCTAAATTTTGGGTTCCAGATCTTAGCCATTTTATAGAGAAGTGTTTAGTCAAAACTTTCTTGAACAGTGGCTTGGTAGTTGTAATGAATTAGAAGAAATAGTTTCTTTTTTTTTTTTTTCTTTTTTTTTTTGAGACTGAGTCTCTCTCTGTCATCCAGGCTAGAGAGTGCAATGGTGTAGTGGCATGAGCTCAGCTCACTGCAACCTCTGCCTCCCCAGTTCAAGTGATTCTCCTCCCTCAGCCTCCCAAGTAGATGAGATTACAGGTGCCCGCCACCACTCCTGACTAATTTTTTGTATTTTTAGTAGAGACGAGGTTTCACCATGCTGGCCAGGCTGATTTTGAACTCCTGACCTCAAGTGATCCGCCCACCTCGGCCTCCCAAAGGATTACAGTGTGAGCCACCAAATCTGGCCAGAAATAGTTTTCTTACTAGTAGAGAATGTTGATCTGTCATGTGATAAAAGTAAACAAAAGATTATCTAATTTTGGCTACTGAATTTTCATAGATATTAAATATGGATTATGTTTAACTGATTTATTTTCTTTGTCATTGCAAATGGAATCCTAATCCTCAGGTAGAAGAATCATCATTTGATTTTCAATTAAAATGATTTTTATTGCTCAACGATTTTTCCAGTTAATGTAATTGTCTTATTTCTACCTTTTGGGAAAATCTTCCTGGTTTTGCATAGATGTTATCAAGTAGAAAACAAAGTGCACCTCTCTAGTAGCAAGATTGTAGGTGCAGAACTTTAAGCTACATAGTGTTAGCTATGAAATACTCTTAATACATCTAAGAACTGTTGATGAACAAAGTACCTATTTAATCAAAACAATATGGTTATGATCACCTGCCAGAAAATGTGTTGTTTGTTTACTGGAGAGGAATTTTTGTGCATATCCCCTTGGAAGCATGTACCAAACTTGATGGAATCTTTTTGCCATGAACAGCTAGTGAAACAACTGATTCAGAAATTGTAACAGAGTGAACACTGTCAAGAATTTGCCATCACATCTAAAATTATAATCTATTTTCACTGTTTCTCAAAAGATAACTTCATTTAATTTTGCCCCATTATAGTTTAATTGTTTCCTGCTTGTGAATCTTATCTTTCCTGTTAAATGTCATGTCTTCCACTGTTGTTAATATAATAAGTGAGGACAACTACAATAGTTTGATGTCAAAAAAAAAGGAAATCATTTTTCCTGTAAATGTCCATTTTCTATAGGAGGTGACTTAAATGACACATTTCATGGATCAGTCATTTAAGGAAAGGCTAGAGTTTCTTTTTGGGAATCATTAAAACACAATAGATATTTTATCATGCCCATCATTTTGCTAGCAGGTGTGAAACCTGAGCTAAATGACTTTTGAAGGTTTCTTTCTCTCTAGTTTTATGGTTCTGTGATTTTATGAGTAAAGGCATAAAATTATGATGATTTTGAAGTTTGAGGTTAAAGGCAATATTGCATTATAAATTGAGAGGAAATCAACACATCATTGACTATATTGTGACACTCCCCTCAAGTAAAAGACATCTTGGTGCAAAACTTATTATTAATCTCCAAATAAGGTAGGTTTTATAAAGTAACAGAAGATAAAATAAGGTAGAAATTATTAAGCATCTACTATGAACCAAGCATTTTCAAAACCATAGGAGATAAGTACTAGTATTCATATTTTATATTTAAGAAGGTAAGGCTCCAACATATAAAGTTCACCCAGTTAATGCATCAGAACTGGGATTTGAACCAACGTCTCTCATTCTTTCATGCTTATTTCACTCCTTATGTAGTGTTTTCAGTAGATTGCTCCTTCTACTTGTCATCTTATGTGCTGCAAAGATAAAAACCTCAGAGGTTTGAAGATGCAAATGTAAGCATCATTTGGTTACACTATAGTATAGCTGACAGTGTTCCTAAGCTTAATATTTTTATATATTACATAAAATATATAGTTCATTTTCTTATTTTCTATATTTTAATGCTGAATATATTGTCATATGACTAAGGTAGTAACACAGAGTATATGAAGTAAAATGTTGAAATCTCCTTTCTACTGCCACCATTGCTTTCCCTCCCACTTTCCATTCCTATTTCCTAAAAATAAACATTTTAAAGAAGTTGGTATGTGTGTTCTAGAGTGTTTTCTATATGCATATATATTTTCAATGAGCTTATATTATGAATATTGTTCTATTGTTTAATTTCATTTTCAATTAGCAGATTATTATGGCCACATTTTCATATAGATTTGCTGTATTTTAAAGTATTTATATATTATTTAAATATAATTTAGGCTTACCTCATTATTATATACCTTTAGTATCTACATAGCAATATTGAATTATAATTTATTTAACAATTTCCTTATTTATAAATATTTAAATTGGTTCCCACTTTTAATTCATTAAAAGTTGCCACAATCATCATCTGTCAATATATTTTACTCAAATGTAAACATTTCTGTAGATGTCTAGAAGGAGAATTTTTAGATAAAATTGTGTGTTCATTTTGAAATTTTGACATTTCCTACTATGTAGTACAAAAAAACATGGCAACTTACACTATTATTAATGAAACAAAATTTCTATTTTCTGTCGCCTTTGGCTGATACATGTTTTAATTATTGCCAATCTGATGGAATAAATATCTTGATGCTGTTTTCATTTGCTTTTTTAAAATATAAATTAAGTGAAGCATTTTCCCATACTTGTTGATATTTCTTTAGTACGATTTAAAAGTTCAAATAATTAGTTTACTTTTCTATGGTTTTATGTCCTTTTTTGTTGCTTCTTTTTATGCTTTTACTTATGATTGCTATAGACACCAAGTACGGTATATAAGCTGCAAATATTTTCTCCACATCAGGTATTTTTCTGTTCCAGATGACTAAGGCACAGTTTATGACCTCAGAAGGTCAAAGAATTGGAAGACAGATAAACGTATAAACCAATACACATGAATAGAAAATACTATACTAGCAGTAGGAACATTGGTCTGTGGGGTCCTGATAGAAGCTATAACCTCTGTATGGGGAGTCAGAGAATGTTTCACAGTGGACGTTATATTGGAGCTGTGTCTAAGATTGAACAAGAATTTTCTAGGAGGAGAAATGCAAGAAGTACATAAAGTCATTTTATGTTCACAATCATGAAGTTATATGTTTAGGTTAGAGTGGGAAGTACAGGTGGACTGGAAGATGACACACATGGGGTGGAATGGAAAAAAATAATGTTGTGCAGTTCGATTGTTGTCAGATCGTAATAAACTTTGTGGATTTTATGAAAAAGCAGTGCCTCGAAAATGAGGTATTTAAGCAGAGGATTACAAATATCAGGTATGGTTTAGAGAAAATGAGTAAAAATTGTGTACCATTTCAATGAACTGGCCATGTGTCTACAAATGGGAAAATAAAGTAACAAATCCTTCAAAGAGTGAAGGAGGGACTCAATATAAATGCATGTTATGGGTTTTTTTTTTCTGATTCTGAAGTGTTTTTAGCTTTACTGTTAATACTTTTATTTATCAGGTATAATAACGTTGGCTTTGAACATTGACTGATGTGTCCTTTCCTTTAAAGACATTTTTATGTAAGGGGAGGGAAGAATCGAAAGGCAGGGTAGGGTGTAAAACGAGCCCATAGGGTACTGAATCTTGGTGGGAAATTGGGAAAAGGGTGCTATGTTTATTATTTGTAGTAGGTGCAACAGTGGGAGTTGCAGTGTTGAAGGAGACATTGTTGTCCAAAATCACCTATTGATTTTTGACCTATTGATCACCTATTGATTTTGGACCTATTGATCACCTCTTGATCTGTGGGCTCCTTGAAGACAGGGACTAGCCATTTCTCATGCATCTTGTGTCTTCTTCCTCAGGCTCTGTCTACCACACAGTTCAAACCACTGGACTTTTAGCTAATTTTCATCTTTTTTCTTCCTGCTTGCTATTTCTCTGTCATACATAATTTAACATGTAGTTCCTAATTCAGACACATTGTCTCTTGAATTTCGCAAGTACTGTTTTCTTTATCTGGAATAGCCTTCTTTCTGTGACCCCTCCCCCCACTCCTTGTTCATCCTCTGGTCACCTGGTCAAATACTTTTAAACCCTCTATAGAAGTCAGGCTTCGTCTCTTTTGAAAAGACCTTTCTTATTGTCTAATTCTGATTAGCCACTTCTTCTGTAGGATCCTACACTTGTCCGTCATTACAGTTATGGCTGTACTGGAAATATTTGCAGATTTGTCAGTTTACCTGATGACTCTGAGCTCCCTGAAGGATGGAACATTAAGTATTCCCTTTGATTCTTCAATGTCTAGCCTAGTTTTTCCCTCATAGTAGGGGCTCAAAACATCTTTGATGAATGGATAATTAGATGTTTATCAAATTTAAACTAAATTTGAATTCAGTGTTCTAACTATGCCTGATCTTTGGCAGTGATAAATATGTATTTAATAAGTATATCATTTATTTTTATCCCATATTTAACAAATAGTCCTGAGCTAAAAGCAGGCCTGGAAATTTGTTATATTATCAAATCAGCGAGATATAAATTCCATCAAATATATCAGTAAATGATAATTGTGTATATAGTCACTTAAATATTGCAAATGTTGTGAGTTGGGGGCTTAAATAATATATTCCACTACTTTCTATCTTCATCTGCAAAACCACAGTGCTAAGCTTAATTTTCAGTTGCAAAATTTAATCTTTGAGGTTTGGAACAAACTCAACCCACAGGAACCAAATTATGTTTGCAGTTACTCAGCTGAACTGCTGTTCCAAATATAAGATTTTCATTAATGAGAGAAATAATAAGCACTGAAAGTTTACATGTTTTTAAAATGCTTATTTGTTTTCTGTTCTCTCATTCCCTTTCCAAAGGGGCACTCATTTATTCTCTTCAAATAACTAAACAATTAAATTTACCTACAAAACACTGGACTATTATGTGGACAGATTTGAAGTAGGATGAGTTATCTCTCAGATGACAGAAAATTACCCATGATGCCACTTTCGAAAGGCATCAATCTTGAAGCAGGGAGAACAAAAGAGAAAACATACACACATAACCACATGCATGCAGACACACACACATGCTCACTCACTCACTCACTATTCTATGTAGTCTCTGAGTAAATGTAGAGGTCCACTTTATAAACTGGATCTCTAGATATTACTGCTTAGACAAATGATCTTTGACAGTGAACTAAACCCTTCAATGACTGAAAAATACTTCCTGGAGTATAAAATCAAATGTCATCAATGAGGACTTATTCACAGAAAGGCATATTCAGCTGAAGGCAAATAAGTCATAGTATACTTCTGAAGGCAGGAGACTTTATTAAGTGTAAGCAAAGTTAACGACACACACTAGGTTAACAACATTCTTCCAAGCCTCTAGGGATCACCTATAATGAGTAAGAAAGGAAAGATTTGTAATTGAGATATTATCTATTTTTGTATAAATGGATATTTTACATAAAATCCTGAAAACTTTGTCTTAAGTAAACTGGATGCTTTTACAAAATGTTTAAGTATTATTAATATGTTTTATTATTTTTGGGTAAAAGAATTGTTTCATTGTAGGGCAAATGTATATTTGATTCTGTGTAAAATTTATAATTCAAACTTTATGTTTTTACCTAATTTTCTTTTCTCTATATATTTCACAAACACTATAGGTAATGTTGCATACTGGGACGTTATGGGGCAAAGACAAAACATGAGCTTTTAGACAAATCTAGCTCTGTTATTTAAACATTTGTTTAACCTTGGACAGATTACACTTTTTTGTGTGCCTCAACTGCCACGTGTTGAAGGCAGGGATTATGTGTTGTCTGTTGTCAGAAATCAGAAATAAATGAAGTAATACACATGCTTTATGGGTGCTTGATAATGAAAGTTTTTCTTTTTAAAAAATAGTTAAAATTCCAATAACTTTGTGATTCTCTGTAATTTATGGCAAATGTTTACATTGGTGCAGTAGGGGTAAGAGTTTGTCTTCTTTTTTTTTTTTTCTTTACTTGAAAGACATAGAGCCTGCCACATATTTAGCTCAGCTATGGCTAGCACTTGCTTATTATTGTTAGCAATCACTTGCTTTTATACCCTGACTTGCATTGTTTATTTTCAATATTTCAGGGCAAAAGAGAGATTTTATGAGAAAAGGGAGAAAAAAATAACCAGTAGGAGGATTGTATTTACTGTATATGCATTTTTCATTTCCTGTTCTATTTTTATTTTGTATTATTTTACTTGCTCTACTATTTTCATTCTTTTTAGCTTTCATCACCAGGAAAGGATGCAGGCTTCCTTCTGAACTTGCCTTCCCACTCAGTTTACCAGCAGCATTTGTCATATTAGTGGTGTGATTTAGCCCTTAACTGCAGATTCCTCTGTCAGTTCTGCAGCTGTTTTACTTCCTGTCACCAGCAGTAGTTATTTTAAATAGAGCTGATATTATGGCCTGTATTTTGATATTATCTCTACCTTATTTGTTTTATTTCAGTTTTCTTGCTTGTGTGGGTTGAAAAATGTAAGATACAAGATTCTAAGAAATAAGGATGAATCTAGAAAATAAACTATAGTACAGAATAAATTTCTGTTTATACTTTTGAATCAGAACTAAGTTACTCACTTTAAGACCCCACCAACGACGTCTGTCCTCTAATAAACCTGATGCCTAGTTGGAGCCCAATTAAAAAGAATTCTCCATTAGCTGGAATTTACCCCCCGGTGATAGAAGAGTAAGAGAATAAAGTTAATTATATGAATTCATGCTCACATTAGTGATTTTCACACTAACAGCACTCAGAATTTTTTGGCAAAAGCAAAAATATCAATCTACTTCATATCCTGTAACTGCCTGCAATGTACCATATTGTGTAGCACTTAAGTCTAATTCACACCACCCTTCTTCTCTGCCCTGGGTGCCCTGGGTGTTGGCCTTCCTCCTCTCTGCAGCCTTAGAACTTGGAAAATATTCCTTTCATAGCATTGATTATAGGGTTTATGCTATAGTTCCTAATTGCAGATTCAGAATCACTTTGTATGCCCCGTGGTACTCTGAATTCCTTTGGGGTTAGGGACCTTATTTTTCAAATCACAAGCATAGATGGAATAACTGATGCACGGTTATTAACAGAGATGTTGACCACAAGTAGAAAATGACACAGGGGTTCTGGATAACCTTAAAAAAATACAATAAAGCATTCAATATGGTAATTCATTATAAAATAACTGCCTATTTTTGAAGTTAAATAGTGCAAGAGTTTGAAAAAATGGTGTTTTCTAATAATCAGTGCACCGGAAAATTAGTTCAACCAGAACATTTCATTCTCAGTGCATATCATTTATCTACTTATATAAAATAGAGAGCATATTTGACAGAAAATGTGGGAAAATTTTCTAAATTAGCTGAATGCTGTCTAAAGAGGGACTTGCATGAAGTTTTCTTGCATTCAGATTCACAAACCAAGCAAAGCCAAGTACCCGACTAACATAGAGTGCTACATATGGAGAGCATATTTGTCTTGTTTAGTGAAAGAATAGCAACAAGAGGTATAAAATATTGTAAAAACACACCCTGGATTATTTCACTATTATTATTGGATCAACTTAATTTTACATTTGGATTGGAATGGTTATTCAAAGAGCCACTTAAGATCTCTTTAAGTTGAGATGATTGTTTTTTGTTTCTTTGTTTTGTTTTGTTTTTTGAGACAGAGCCTCTCCCTGTCACCCAGGCTGGAGCGCAGTGGCACGATCTTGGCTCACTGCAACCTCTGCCTCCCGGGTTAAAGACATTCTCCTGTCTCATCCTCCCGAGTAGCTGGGACTACAGGCGCAAGCCACTATGCCCGGCCAATTTCTTGTATTTTTCTAGTAGAGACGGTGTTTCTCCATGTTAGCCAGGATGGTCTCGATCTCCTGACCTCATGATCCTCCCGCCTCGGCCTCTCAAAGTGCTGGGATTACAGACGTGAACCACCACACCCGGCCAGGGTGATTTGTTTTTAAACCCATGTCAAACTCTAAATGTATTCCACCCAACTAGTATGCCTGAATTTCACTGGGGAAACTGGCCTGATTCTTCAAGAGGTTTTGCCTGGGCCAGTTTGGGATTGAGTGTGACACTTGATGAAGAGCTGGAGGACCTTTGTATAACTGCTCCTTTACTCTGCCCATATTTCAGACAGGTTGCCTCATTATTCTGGAGTTCTCTTACTTCAAATTTTTCTGTCCCTGCTGCCTCTGATCTGGTGATGCTCACTTGTGTTCACCTACTCTAACTGTAGCAGCAGTTTTCCTTTTCAGCTATAGTATACCAAAAAATAAAATAAAAATCACGTTATTTCTTTGGATAGGCCGTGGTATATGTGTTCTCTTCTGCTTAGAACACTTACCCCACCCTTCTCATTGCTAATTCCTGCTACTCTTTCAGTTCTCTTATATATGGTATTCCCTTAGAGAAGACATCTGTAATCAACGCTCTTAGCACTGAATTAAGTGGCCTCTCCATGTCTCCATTAGCCCTATATGGAAACTTTTCATAACACCTATTACTGCTTTTTTCAAATTCTTGTTTTCTCCTTTGTATTTCTTGAAACCTGGAGTTTTTATATCCCCAGCATCTAACCAAGACTATGCCTGGCACATGATAAGCGCAAAACAAATATTTTTTTTTCATACATACATATTTTCTACAAATTTTTTATTTAAATATTTTTAATTATTCAGATACTTAGCAAGTTTGGCTTGGTTGTTATATGTGTGGTTGGTGGAGGTGAGTAGGGTATTCCTGAGCAGTGACCTACACTGACAGTGGTGAACTGCCTAGGACTCTTATGTTCATGAGCTTCTATAAAGCAAACTTTTAATTAATGTTGACATTTGATGGTTACTTTGAAAAATGTTGAAATTTTCAAAAGCATGAATTACTTGATTGATATTATGCTTACTAGGCTGGGAAGATTTATAGATTCTTTTCATTAATTATAAATGAAACCTTTCTTTTTGCTCTTTAGATAAAAGTTAAAAGGTGGGATTCTGGTTATTTTGCAAAGGAGAGTAACTTTATTGTTTGTTTTTCATTTTTTATTGGTGTGGTTTTCTTTCAGAGTTGAACCTAATATGTATAATATAGAATTTAGTTTTATAAACATTCTTGGACTTCAGCAGTCATATGAAAAAATACTTACTTGGACAAATATCAGAGGAAAAAACACTCAGGTTAAACTCATTTAATGATTGCCTTTGAACTTTTATTTTAAGTTCAGGGGTACAAGGGCAGATTTGTAACATTGGTAAGCTTGTGTCATAGGATATGAGATTATATGAGTATAAAGTGGGAAGCTAAGTAACTGAGGATATCTTTAGAACAAATTATCCCAGCAACACTTATATACTGTGATATGGATGTGAGAATTACATATAGTTTTATTATTTATTCTACTCCCTACTCCTGACATCTATATTAATAACCATGCCCTTTTATTTTGATGAGCAGAACCCTGTTTTTTCATCCTGCATAATGTCATGCTAGTTATTGTATTAGGAATTCTTTTAAATGAAATTTACTGGTATATAATATAGAAAGCATGCATTTATTTTTAAGTTTTATTTACTTAAAATAAATGTTCAGTGTTTCTTGTGTGTTTCAGCTAAAAGAGGGTGGTGCAAAACTGAGCATATTCTTCAATTGATTGTGAACTAGATGGAAATACTTCCTCAACTTTTGGTGGCCAAAGGGTACTGTTTTTGTTGGTTCATAGGTACCAGGCTTTACACAAACTGTGAAGTGCTGTGGATTTCTTTGTGAATCACCATATCTAAGCTAATGTGGTGGTGGTTTACAAAGTAATTCATAGTGCTTCACAGGTGCTTCTGCAGTTGATCTACACCATGAAGCCTAAGATTCCTTTACTGAGCCATTGAGAACAAGCCACTTTGTATTACAAGACACACAAAGTCAAGAGATCCCTGGTAAATATACTCTAGAATCCTTCTATTTGGTGCTTAGTGTTAACAGTGATCAAACCTGTGTCAAACACACCAGAAATTATGGTTACTTTACCTAAATATACATGTTTTACATAGTTGCTGTCTCTGTCTCTACTGTTCTTTTTTTGAAAAGTAATTTGTAATATTTCTTGGTTAAAAAAACATGATACATCAGAAACATTAATTGAATCAGCCCCTTAAATCCTAAGCATACCATTTTGAAGTTTAAATATCATATTTTATTTGGATTATTATGCCCAATTAATATATTAATTAAATAGTTTGGTAAATGATCAGGGGCTTGAAGACATCATTGTTATGCAGTACTTTTGTAAAAAGCAACATTTTATTTTAACAAGAAAAACATTGGTGTGGGCAAAAAAAATCACCTTAACATACCAAATTGTACATTTTGATGGCATATATTAAAATTAGGTATTCACTGGGCATTCATTTTCATTTACTCTTCTGGAAACAGTATCTATAGTCCTATTCTATGACAGAAAAGATTGTGTAACCTTTACAAGGTCACAAAAGCCTAATTGTTGACTAGTAATTGCTTATTAAAATAAATGGAACTTTGTGGTCATTTCTGTCATCAGGATTACCAAGAATGGATTATCCCTGACCATAAATCAAACAATTGATGATTAACTATTTTAATAACTGATTAAGCTTTCAAATAGTCATTTTGGTTTTACCGTTTTTTATTTATTTCCAAGGCTAGAGCGTAGGTCTTATTTAAGTTCAATGGTATGACTATAAGACTGTCAGAACTATGAAAACTTCTGACCTTTAATTTCTTAAGTGACACATCTGGACACCTAAGTGACAGTGGTACAGGCTTCTGAAATTACTTTTGCATCATCATTGAATATATCTATTGTATTCATTATGACTTTATTTTGTCCTGTTATGTTTCATTCCTTAGAAGTGGATTATGCATATGCTCTATAAGGTTGGGTGACTTTAAATAAATTAGCATACTAATTTTTAAGCCCTTCTGTTAGATAAAAGAAAATCAGTATATTATTTTTCAACATATAAATGACCAAAAGAATGAATCAATATGTATACTTTTAACCTTAAAATATATGTGTATAAATATGATTGGAAATGCTTTACCTAAGAAATATCTTGCTACTCTAATTTAATTTGAACTATGATACAAACATGTTATTCTTATTTCCTAGCCTTTAATTCTTCAGTATTTATTATTACCATTCCTTGTCTGATACATATGTAACCTTATTTTTCATAGGACTGTATGTTCATAAGCAAAATCCACAGAGCTCTGGGATTTCCTGTGCTTTTGTTGGGTGCTACTTTGCTGATGTGTGAGGACAGGTGGGAAAAGAGTCTGAGAAGACAGGTTTCTGAAATTAATTTGTCCTAGAGCTCTTTGATTTTTCTGTTTTATGAAAGGGGGCACCTGTAAAATTTCCTTTGAGCCGAAGCTTATGTTTTTAATGATAATATGTAGAACTGCTGATATATGAATTTAGAAGGAAGTCACAATATTTTTTCTTAAGATAATTTTTAGTTTACGGGAGATATAATGGGATGTGCTAATGGACTAATAAGCATATCTCATAATCATGTACCTATATCCTTGTATCCTAATTTTAATCCCAACTTCTTTATATTTATTTCACTACCGCTTTTTTTATTTTTAAGATAAATACAGGTTTACAAACAATGAATTAATTTTTAGTGTAGGTTTTGTGTTTTTTGGTAAGAGACAAAAAACATATGTTGCCCTGGCTGGGGTGCAGTGGTGCAATCATAGCTCACTTCAGCCTTGATTTCCTGGGTTCAAGCAATCATCCCACTTCAGTCTCCTGAGGAGCTGGGACTACAGTGCCTGCCACCATGCCCAGCTAATTTATTTTATTTTGTTTTATTTTATTTTATTTTATTTTTGTAGCAACACAATCTCACTAGATACTCATGCTTGAGTGCAGTTATGAGTAGAACATGTGTTCAAAGTGAACCTGAGGTCTCCTGTTATGGACAAGGTAATATCAAGCTTCCCTAATTTCTGTGAGAACTATATGAGAATAGATATGTTTAAATGAATGTTATCTGTGAGAATTTTCTAGAGAACAGAACCAACAAGATTTTTGTGTGTATATATATATTAAATATGTATATATATTAATAATATATATTATATATAGTATATTATATAAAATATATAATATATAAAATATATAATATATAAATATTATATATTTTATATAATATTGTATAAAAAATATATATTATATATTTATATAATATTATATAAAAAATATATAATATATAAAATATATTAATATAAATATATTTTATATATTTATATAATATAAATTATATAAAAATTTATATAATTTATATTATATAAATATATTTTATATATTTATATAATTTATATTATATATTTATATATTAATAATACATATTATACATTTATATATTAATAATATGTATTATATAATATATTATATTATATATTAATAAATATAATATATTATAGATTTATATATTAATGATATATAATATATTATATATATTATTTTTTACCTTTTTTTATTTATAAGGCTAGAGCTTAAGTCTTATTTAACTTCAATGCTATGACCACAAGACTGTCAGAACTCTGAAAACTTCTGACCTTTAGTTTCTTAAGTGACACATTTGTACAACTAAGTGACAGTGATACAGACTTCGGAAATTGCTTTTGCATCATCATTGACTATATCTATTGTATTCATTTTGACTGCATTTTGTCCTGTTATGTTTCATTCTTTAGAAGTGGATTATGCATATATATATATATATATGAAATATATATATGACTATACATGACAGATTATATATATGCATCTTTATATATAGAGAGAGAAATAAAGACTATCTATCTATCTATCCATCTATCTATCTTTCTTCTATCTATAGAGAGAGGGATTTATCATAAGTAATTGGCTCACATAATTGTGGAAGCATGGCAAGTCCAAAATCCGATGAGATGGGGCAGCTGTCTGGAGGCTCAGGGCAGATTTGCAGTTCAAGTCCAAGTGCAATCTAATCTTCTGGCAAAATTATTTCAAGCATGGGGAAGGTCAGTCTTTGTCTATTAAGGATTTCAACTTATAGGTGAGGCCTACCCACATTATAGAGGGAAATCTGTTTTATTTCAAAGGGTACCAATTTTGATGTTATTCTCTTCCAAAAATCACCTTCACAAAAATATCTAGCATAATGTCTGACCAAATATCTGGGCACTATGGTGCAGTCACGTTGACAAATAAAATTAATCTTCACAGTAAAAATGGTATTTTTCCAATGAAATAAATTTTTGATTTTCAAACAATAAGTTGGTGTTCTTTGTAAGATTTTCTTAATTATTTTCCACATATTTCTATGGGAATGTGAAATTTAAAATATTTATGTTTTATTTAATTTATTGGAAATTCAATTAGTTTATGAATATTTCTTCAGGGAATACTTCTACTAAAACATTATTGACTTAGAAGAACTGTAGAAATAATTGTAACCTAGTCATGTCTTCAATATTTGAGTTTCATTTTTGTGGAGTTTAAATATTTTTAAATAAATGCATCCTTTTAAAATATTTACTATTACATATTTCTCTTTCACTTTTATGGAATTCTCATTTTATATATTATGTTGTGAAATTACAGTTCCTGGTGTACTGCACGTACCAAAATATATATTTGCTGAATAAGTGAATAAAATTTGAATATTATAATTTTTAAAAATTGATTTGAAGAATGGTAAAATATTCATATTTAAAACATTTTTAACTACTAACATAGTTCCTGATCCTAGCTTTGATTTAAATGAAAAGGTCTCCTAATGCATCTATGATATTCATGGCAAAATTCCAAACAAGTAAAGCAATCATTTTACCTAAAAATTAATGAAGTGACAAAAAATTAGGGAATCACAATAAGATAAATAGATGTCATATCAAATGTGAGTGAAATACTTAGAATAAGGGAAATATTTTGTCTATGAGGAATCTGAGTTTTAAAAAGTTCCAGTTCATTTGAATGCATATTTTTAAAAGTACTTCAATTGAATTACTCAGATTCTGAAGATATTAGCTGCGTACTAATTAGCAGTTAGTAGAATATCAACCTTTTATTTTCATGTGGGTATACTTAAGTGGTGTAACTGAGCAGCACTGTAATCAGTGTCCTAATTTTGTCTTCTTGAGATCCTGTACTTTTACAGCCTGTTCCCCAAATAATAATTAAAGAAGTAAACTAAATCTCTGCAATTTTGCTTTAGAAAATAATATAGCAAACTGTAAGCAGAAAGAATTGGGAAAAGTAAAAAACTTTAAATTCTTGAAAATTACTCTCCTTCAGAAAAACAACTAAGATGTAAAGAGATCTTATTTCCAAGTACTTTACTTGTATCATGACATTTAATTTCTGAGTTGAATATTATTGCTCCATTTTACAGATAAAGGAATGAAAGTGCCCTAACTTCTAAATCTCTGCTGTATATTATGACATAACGATCTGCCTGCAAAACACTCACTAGTCACATTCATGAGGCTTTGCAACACGCAAGGGGAAATTTCAGAGTAATCATAATAAAATCACAAGAGCTACGTTTGGGAAATGTTTACCTTTATTCTCCCTAAAAATCTAAATCATAACCTTCCCATTCAATTCTTTTTTAAAATGCATTATTGCCTGTGAGGAAACTCACTTCTCAGTTTTATCTGGGGTTTATCATGAAATATTTATGTGCTCATTTTGGAAAAGTTTTCTCTAAACAGATATGTCAAGTGGAGGTCTCCTAGGTAGGCAGATGGGTATTTTCATATGAACTAAATGTGTGACTCTGAAGTAACCATTATCCTGATCCAGTGATCTGATCTGATAGTCATCTTTGCAAGCCGGATGAAACCCGCATTTTAGAGCTGCGACGGGGGGACAGAAATGGAGACCTTTGGTGACTAGCAGATAAACAAAGCAGGTATGATATTGGGCTGAAGATGTAAAAGGAAAACAAAAATGAAAATATAGTGGTTATAATGCAGTAAGTTCATTTATCAGACAGTAGAGAAATTAGATCAGTAGTTCTACATTGGGGTCAGGAGCACATATAAAATCTTCCAGGGTGATGGGATTGCATAATTTGAGAAAACTTCCCAAGTGATTCTTAAATGTTCATCTGCCTGACAACCAGTAAACCAGAATCTGTGAAGTCAGAAATCCTAGACACTCTTAGAGAAGAACAAAAGAGATAACCATAAAATCAGTATTAAATAACATAAAGCCAGAGAAGCGAAATCTTTAGGACTCAGATTTTAAAAGCATCATTCTCTTCCTAAAGCAAGGTTACCATGGAAACACCACAGAGGGCAGGTCCTGACAGCCTGAGGGACAAGCTGGAGCTCAGTCCTGAATGTGATACCTGTGTCGAAGAAGATACATTAGAATGTTTGGTAGTGTTTATCCAATGCTAAGAATCCAGAGACCAAATGGGATAGATATCTAGAACAGGGATGTTGAACGGGCCGCATACGATATCTAAATTTTCTATTTTAAATCAACTTCAATTAATTTAAAACATTAAAAAAATTAAAAGAAATAGGTGAAATTAATTTCAATAATATATTTTATGTAATCCAATGTATCCAAAATATATTTTCAACAATCAGTGTAAAAAATGTTAATATTTTTACATTTAATCAGTGTAAAAAATTTTATATTTTTTTCATGTTAAGTCTTAAGAATTTTATACATATTTTACACTTACAGCATATCTCGGTTTGGACTAACCATATTTCATATGATTTTAAGTTGCCTGTGGCTAATCGCTATGGCATTTAACACTGCAGATCTAGAGGACAAATGCTTATGTGAGTTTAGATCCTTATGTGTCTAGCTCACGCCCCTTTGCCAATCTGCCTAAAGTACCTGTCAGGTGGTAGTAGTTATGAGCATGGGCTCTCGAATCAGACTGCCTGGAAGGCGGAGTTCTACCACTTAATCCCTGTAGGTGACCTGAGGCTGGTCACTTATCCTCCCTACACCCCAGTTGCCCCAGTATGGAAAAATAATATTTATCTCATAAAGCTGTTATGAACAGAAATACGTTCATATAAAACAAGGGCTAAATTATAAGTAACATGTAATAAAGGCTTAAAACACACAGCTAGTAATTGCTTTTGTTGTTGTAACGTGGCTTTTGAATGTTGGATTCTCTCAAGGCTCAGTTCTAGACTCCTTTGTTTTTTCTATACTTTCTCTAGAAAATTCTATCTGTTCCAAGGGCTTCAATTCTCTTCTCTATAACAATTAACAGACTTTATCTGGGTCTCAGACTTCTTGTTTCCAAACCCAAATAATCCCTGACAGATCTACTTAGACTGCTCAAACGTATCTCAAAATCTACATATTTAAACTAGAACTCAGAGTCACTTCCCTTGAATTCTGTACCCTTCCAAATAACAGAAAAAAAGTGATTATGCATTTTCTCTGACAAGAATCAACATCGGTACACAGGTGCAGCCTAAAATTTAGATGTCATCCTTCATCTCCCATCACCAAACGTGATTAGATAATTTTTACTACATATCTTAAATCCATCTATATCTTCTCTGTATTTCTACTATCATCAGTTTAGCCAGACTAATATCATTTCCTCCTGGATTACTGCAATACCCTTCTAAGTGGTCTGTCTTCATCTATTTTATTTAGGTGTCAATCTGATTATTTTATTCTCCTCCTTAAAACGCTTCAGTAATTTCCCATATGTTCAAAAGTTAATGACCAAAATCTTTTATGTGACCTAAAATTTAGTACTGCCTACTTCCAGTCTTTCCCTGGGCTTTAGTCACAGTGATTTACTTTCCATTCATTATCCTTCCTCTAGTCTCAGGACATTTGCAGAAGTTAATTCATCTGTTCATAACTCTCCTTTCTCACTTGTTTCTCTAGTTAAATTTTACCCATTCTTCAGTCTTCAGTTCAGATGTTACTTCTCTGGGGACAGTCCAGATAAGTCCTCTCTGATTTCATCTCATAAAACACATAGAACCACCATAGTTTGTAACATACTTGTTTGTGAGGTTATTGGTTAATATTAGTCTCTCCTGCTACACTGTAAGCTTCATGAGAGAGGGAATCATTATTTTGTTATATCACTTTTTATTGTCAGCATGAAATATAGTTCCTGTTATGAAGAGGATGCTCGATACGTATTATGAAAAGAAGATCAGGAACAAGAGAATATTAGAGTGGAAGCAAAGCACAAAATCTCTGTGGAAATGAAACCTTTTATAATTACAACAAAATTGTGTTCTCCCAATATCCTGGCACAGAATTATTCCTATTCATATTACGCTTCCTATTCGTTGAAGCAACTGTAATTTGGCCCACTTTTGCCCCCAAAAATGTAGCAGGAATATTGCCAGGCTGCTTCACAACCCTTGGTCTAGCTCCAAATAACCATCTTATGAATTCCTGCCTCCCAGTTATCTTGCTTTCATTCTGATCAAGGTCCAAAAGAGAAGGTTTTACCTCTGTGTCCGCCTACATCTCTACTGTCCAGTCCAGCTAGAAAGCCTGAATATTGCCCTAGGCAAGAATAGTCAGGGATGGAAGGGAGGAACTAAACAGATTTGTCCCTAAAGTCTGAGAGCAAACTGGAATTGCCTTAACCGGTCTGGGACCTGGAGACTCAATAGATTGCTTTTGGGACAGATAGTGCCTGGCACAGCTGCAGGCATCTAGGGTAAAATAACCCATTGAATGTTTTACTCTCATGAAGGGATAAAATTTAAAGGAATTGCTTGTGTGTGTGTATGTGTGTGTGTGTATGTCTGGGGCACCTATCTTATATTTTCTTTGGCATGTGTATCAATCATTGACCTTGCATTAGTAAGAGAAAATATTTGAATAGCTAAAATGTATAAAAATGAATAGCATACATGCAATTAATTTAGGTATATTATAAAACTTACCTGATCTTTAAACATTCATGCAGCTTAAGGGTAAATGTGGGGTGTCTGCATTTTATAAAGACTAAGATCTAGACATATTGATGATAAAAGCAAAATACACCTAAACAGATGGCTTCTGGTTACGAATGCATTACTCTGCTGCCACTTCTTTCATTACAGCAGGTTCTAGCACTGTATTAGGGTAGCTGTTTTTAAAAATCCATTTACCTATATTCTAAATCCTATCCTAAGGACTGCCTTCCACCCTTCCTTTGCATTGCTGCTGTTTGCAATTATCTGCTTCTTATTTACATCCTTGGAGGATCGCAAATAGTCTGCACTAGGGCAATCAGGTATTTTTAAAACCATCTTGCAAAACATGGAATGATAAGGAAGAGCACCCACTAAAGAACCCGTTTATCAATCTCTGAAGGAAATGCATGAGTATATATTTGGTCCCAGGACTTGGTCAGGAGCCTAAAGGTGGGTTTATATCATTCACAACTTCATTGATAGTTATACTTTAAAATAGTATATGTATATTACTTAATATATAGTAATGTTGGCTCTGTATTCATTTTGAAATAACTCAAAGTTCTGTTTGCAATTTAATAATTGACATTCTTTTTTAAGTTTAGGAAGCAATTTTCTATTACTAACTCAAGCATGTGGCTCTGTTAATTGTTTGTGCCAAAGAACATAAGGCTGAATTTGCAAATTTTGGCAGCTAACAGTTCTTTTTGGTACCTGACAGTATTGAAGTTCTAGAACTGAATATAGCAGTATTTATTTTTGGTTTTAGTCAGAAAAACTGTCACCTGAATTTTGACTGCCCAAAACCAAAGGCACCGTTTCATATTAAAATAAATAAATAGCCTAAATTACAAGTTAAGGACTTCTACTTAAAGAGGTAACTTTATTCTTATCTATATATTTAAATATTGTGGCTAAGGGATACTACCTACCCATTTCCATTAACGCTCATAAAATTATATTGCAACTCTGTGGAGATTCCATTTATCAATCAGTGATTTTCTGTTTTCAATGTATAAGCTCATCTACAAATAGCCCTATCACAAAGACATTAAAGCACAAGCACAATTTTTCTCAAAATACCAGTTTTAATGCTGCACATACTTTTATATTATCTTATATTTGTCTAAAGATTTCTATAACTTAGCATTCAAGAAGAGGGTATCATAACCCATTGTTTAATGTAGCTGTGGTCTTCTTCAGCATTCAAATTGTGCTTATGTTTTACTAATATTAATAATATGTAACAATTTGAGCATTTTATGAAGAGTTAGCTTAAATCACAGTTTCTCCGCCATGGCATTATTGGCATTTTGGACCTGATGATTCTTTGTTTTCATGGGTTCTAGGACATTGCAGTACATTTAGCAGCATTCCTGGCCTCTACCCTCTAGTACTAGTAGTACCTCCCCTCAAGTTGTGACACCCAAAAATGTCTCCTGTCATTGCCACATGCAACTTCTATGGGGAGAATTTTAATTGACAGCAATTAATTTATATAGATGATTTTATTTAATCTTCATAACTGTCCTATAAGGAAGACATAGATTTTTTTTTCTCTTTTCAAAAGAGGAAATTGTGGCTTAGTTCATATAGGTAGGTGATACAGTTTTCGCTCTGTGTCACCTCCCAAATCTCACCTTGAATTATAATCCCCATAATCCCCACATGTCAAGGGCAGGACCAGGTGGAGGTAATTGGATCATAGGGGCGGTTTCCTATATGCTGTTCTCATGACAGTGAGTTCTCACAAGATCTGATCATTATATAAGCATCTGGCATATCCCCTGCTTGCAATTCTCACTCCTGCCACCTTGTGAAGGACGTGTTTGCTTCCCCTTTCACCATGACTGTAAGTTTCCTTAGGCCTTCCCAGCCATGTGGAACTGTTAGTCAATTAAACTTCCTTCCTTTATAAATTACCCCGTTTGGGGTATTTTCTTATACCAATGTGAGAATGAACTACTACGTTAGGAGGCAGTGATACCTTGATTTAAACCCCAGATATCTCTGGAGCATGTGTTTCTGATCACCAAACTGCAATGCATTCTAATCCATATTTGCTGAATTACTTTGTCTTTAATATTTGACAGCTAGTTTCATGTCTTGATAGCATACCATTACATGAACTTTTAATTCACTTTAAGATTCAGTGAGTAATGAGTCTGTGAAATGCATTCAAGTTTGTATGAGTGCAGATAAGACACAATTATGCATATGTGCATGACTAATAAACACCTGGAGTTTCAAAAGGACTTTATAGGTCTTCAGCCTAATCTCCTGGTCCCCAAGAGGAATCCCTCTGCATTATCCAATGCACAAAGAAATGGAAGCCACAATAATGCAAATTTAATTTGAACATCATTTGTAGACAGATTGCCTTCTTAGAGACAAGAAAGCTTTCTGAAATAAACACAGGAATAAAAGCTGGGAGCCACATGGCTCCAGGTCTGCCATTCACCTGCTCAGCAGTCCTTAGCCACTGTTAGACCCAGCTTCCCCTCCTTTGAGAAATGTAGACAATAATTTCAGCCCTGGTCACTACACATGTAATTATGCACATATTTAGGCCAGCAGAGAGTGTTTTATAAATGAGGAACATTATGATTGTATTATAGGCTTACTGAAATTTTACTTGTTAGGCTGAGAAGGACTGTATCCTTTTGAGATTATTTTTATAGGAAAAGTTAGGCAACTGATAGAAAAATGACATATTGAAATGTATCACTTTTTATAGGAAAAGTTAGACAACTGGTAGAAAAGTGATATATTGAAATAATCCCTTTCTAATGTATCTGGAGGCAGGAGAAGCCATACTATTCTAGAAAAAGCCAGCATCACATTAGCAGCATCAGTACATTTCCTTTGGGTCTTAATATCTAAGCTGTTATCTTGAATTTTATTTTTGCAGTGTGGTAATATCATGGCAGTACCAGTAATGTAGTTACTGTCACAGTGCCTTCCCCTGGGCAGTAGCTCTGTATGCATAGAACCGTATTTGTAGGCATATGTATAAATAACCACTCTTAACTGAACCATAAAATTTCTTACCTGTTGAAAAATATATTTTGGTGCCTCTTCTAAACTTCTACCTTGATACTCATTAGTAAGTATTTGCTAAGTGCATACTTTGAGGTGAAAATGCACACTCAAGCCTTTGTTCTCTGTAATACTAAGAGTTTATGAATATTGATGGGGGAGGGAGCTGCAGGCTGACCCATCCCTACCTTAGATAATATCTAGATCTATACCATTTTTATCCTGCAGCTTGTGATGTATAATGAACAAACAGTCTTAGCCCTTAGACTGGGTCAGTTCATTTTCAATACCCTCTTCCCCTATCCATTAAAGTTAAAACAAATAAAATGGATCCAGCATATGCTCTTTACCTCTGCTTTGTGCTCTTGAGGAATGATGTTGTACAGGTACTTTTATCAATCTTTTGATAATTTCCTGAGTGCAACTGGAAGTCAGATTTAGGGGACAGGGATCTTAATGATTTATGGAAAAATACTGATACTTTCTGCTGTATCTAGTAGAGGAGGACTAGTATTGTCACCTCTTGAGTTTTTGGATTTTTAGTGTTATCTCCAAATGTGATTATATATATACACATACATTTGTTTGACTAAAATTATTAATTCAGTGCAAATAATTAAAAGTAGTATAACTTCTCATGATTTACTCTTCTAGGGGTCTGAAGAAGTAGGCATGGCTAGGGCTGTTTTCAGTGTGTTTCTTATCCCTTCAATGAGGGTTATAATAACCTATCTCAAAGGGAATGCTTGTGGACTATATTAAATAAAGTTATATTAAATAATGGCTACTGTATTACCTCAAATATGATACTGAGAAGTTGTACATGTCCTGCAGTAAGATCATAGATTAAACTCAAGGTGATAGGCAGAATCATGGCTCCTCATAGATGTTATGTCCTAATCCCTGGATTCTGTGAATATGTTACTTTACATGGCAAAGAGAAATTAATATTGCAGATTGGTTTAAGGTTAGGGCTGACCTTAAAATAGGGATACTATCCTGAATTACCTGGGTAGACCCAATATAATCACAGGGACCCTTAAAATTAGAAGAAAGGACCAGAAGAGATAGAACCAGAGAGGCAGCAATATGAAATGACTTGGCTCAGCATTGCTGGCTTTGAAGGCAGAGGAAGAGGCTATGAGTCAAGGAACATGAGGGATCTGTAGAAGCTTGAATGGAAGCAAGCAAATGGGTCATCTTCTTTCTAGAGCTTCCAGAAATGAATGCAGCCATTTCAACACCTTGATTTTAGCCCAATGATAATAAATCTGTGTTACTTAATTTCCTAAATATCTTGTAACTTGTTATAGAAGTAATAGGAAACTAATTCACCAAGTGAGCATCGGGCTAACATTTTGTTGTTTTAGATCTTCCTTAATGTAATTCCTTCAGTCATTAAGTCTTTACTCCTGGGACTTCTAAGCTATCTTTTTGCACACTCTTAAGGGAACTACTGTGGGTATCATTCAAAGAGGCTACTGGAAGTAAACACATATACGCCATTTAGTACAACAAGTGCTTTGAGAGAAGTAATCCTAGGACAAAGTCAAACCTGTATCTGACACATGCTACATGTTCAAAGTGGGCATTTTGGGGAGAATTTCCTCTCTGATCAGTGTTCCTCTCTTCTCACAACCAGAGACTCATTGGATGCTCCTATTCAAACACGAGCACAAAGAGGAATTCTATTAGAGTAGGGTAGGTTACAGCTCTACAATGTTAGCTCATTTCTAACTCATGCCATACATCCCTGGGCCATAGCCACTGGCAGAGAGTTTGTTCCATATTGACCTTGTTTCAAGACCCTGGTTAATATGCATTCCCTCCTCTGGAACATCACTGGCTGAGGTGGCTGGTTAAATAAGAAAAAGCTGGAGGTTTTATTCTAGAAATTACTTTCTCCAGTTCTGGAGTTTATGTATGTCTTTTTTGTCCATAGTTCATGGACCAGAAGCAGTTACATGGTGCAATGTAACTGCAGAGAGTGGGTGGCTGGGGGAGAGGGAGTCAGGCAGAGGTTGCCAAATAATCAATGCATATACCCAGAAAGAGAAGTACTATCACAGGGTGCAAGCCCCTAGACGGAACCAGGAGTGTGCATTTCTCACTCTCGACTCAGCTATATCTCTCCGTCTGAATATTATTAGTAGTACATATATTATTGCCAGAACAGAATTTCTAAATTATTATCATTCATAGTCTAAAGTAGACTCTACTTCTTTTAATTGCTGAAATTATATTTTTCTGCCTGGCTTACTACTGTTTTGTAACTGCTGGAAGAGTGGCTCATGTAATGTGTATTATAATTATAAGAAGTAACTGTATGCAGAAATATAAATTTCCATTTAATTAAGTATCCATACTCCTTTAAGGAAGGAGCTGTTTGAAAAGAAAACCGTAGAACTAAAGTGGGTATTATAAGCACTTCATTCACTCAGTAAGCAGTTACTAAATTAAGACCATGGGCTTAGAAGAATGTGCTAGGTTCTGGGTATTAGGCCAGACAAAATATACAACGTCTCACCCTAAGGTGACATTGAGAGAAATAGAACAGCAAGTTAGAAAATACTGTGATGAGTACTAAAACAAGGGAGCAGAGCGCTCTGGGAACATAAAAGGCCAGCTTAACCCAGGAGTGACAATAGGTCAGGAGATTTCCTGGAAGAAATGTGATCTAAGCTGAGAGCTGAGGGGTAGGAAGAGGGTAGTTAAATAAAGGAAGAGATGGTTAGAGTTGGTCTTGGGATGAAGAGGAAGGAATATTGCAAAGCTCGGTAGCTTGTGTTAAGTAGAAGGACCTACAGGCTAGAGAAATTGGGGCCACAAGTGTATGCTATTTGGCCTCAGAGAAATAATGACAACTTTTAGCACTGTAAAAGTCTCAGCTTCCTCTGTTAATTATGGACTATGCCACCATATATGGATATAGATATAAAGTCAATGACCTACTATTACAGCAAAGTTTTTAGTCTTTGGTAAACTCTAATAAACAGAAAGTCTTCTTCATCCAGTGTAGTCTTGCTTTGAAATGCAGTGATAATGTGGAGTTAGGTTACATTCTAGATGAAACAGATGATATTATTCTGGGTCTGTGTATTGCACATACAGAACTGCAAGCTGGTTTACTCTGTTTTCACATGCCAGGGACAGCGTTGTACTAGGGACTTACTTACAGCAGATACAACAACAAAAAGCTGCTTTAGGTGTTTGCAGCTTCCTATGCAAAGTTTATCCAAAGCATCAAATAGAGATGTTTTGTTGTGTGTAAGTTTTAAACAAGAAGAGCGTAAGAAATGTCTTTTACCAAGTGTACCTACTGGTGATAGTGGAAGATCTACACATAGAACTCTAGAGTGGATGTTGAAAGTTTTTCCTCCTTAATTCCCTAAATATGTTTTCCATCTTGTGCTCTGAGTAGAGGGGAGGAGTCAAGTAAATCTATTTTATGTAAAGAATATGTAACTTGGTCTGTTTATCACTATTCAGATTTCAGAATGGATGACTAGATCACTTCTCAAAGGACCCCTGTGCTAATACCATCACCTTAGGGGTTAGAATTGCAACATATGAATTTTGCGGGAGGAGACACATAAACAATCACATCATAGAAGGAGGGAAGGAGAGGAAGGCGTGGGAGTTTCAACAGCTGTATTTAAAATAAAACTCAGGATGGGATTACAATATTGAGATAAAAATGTTTTCCACATGCCCATTTCTTTTCACCCTGTTCAAATAAACTGTATCTCTTTGGCCTTTCACTCTCATGGTGTCATCTCAAAATATAAGACTTGAGGAAAAGCTCTGTAGTCCTTTCTCAAACCATTGACTTGATATAACCTAGGATTTTGAAAAAAAAGCAGAGGGTCTTGTTGAGATGAGTCATTTTGTTTAGGAGCAAACCAAGCAGAAAAGTTGAAATGCCTTAGAAAAATAACATTGTCCATTTTGGTTGAATGATACACATTTCAAAATTATAGCGTCTGAAACTTACCCTTAAAATCCACATGGTATATATACTATATACAGTATATATATATATATATATATATATATATATACACACACACACACACACACACACACACACACACAATATATGTGTATATATATATACACTATATATGTATATATATACACTATATATGCGTATATATAGTATATATATATGCATAGTGTATATATAGTATATATACACTATATATGCGTATATATAGTGTGTATATATACACTATGCGTATATATAGTATATATATACTATATATGTGTATATATAGTGTGTATATATACACACTATATATGCGTATATATAGTATATATATGCTATATATAGTGTATATATAGTGTGTATATATACACTATGCGTATATATAGTGTGTATATATATATTATATACATATATATATATATATACTATATATAGTGTGTGTCTATATGTGTGTATATATGTATGTATATATGTACATATACATATATACACATATATACATATATATGTGTGTATATATATGCATACATATATATTTGTATATATACACACATATGTGTGTATATATATACTATACATATATGTGTATATATACTGTATATGTATATAGTATATATACATATATGTGTATATATACTATACATATATATGTATATATACATATATACTATACATATATGTGTATATATACTATATATACACATATGTGTGTGTATATATATAACATATATATATACACAGACACTATATATTAGGGAAATAACAGTGTGTCAATATGTAGATGCTCAGTTGCTAGATTTGAAGTTGAAAGGATAAGGAATAATGTGCAATGGACTCATTTTAATTTAATTTAATTTTCTAGTCTTGACATGTGACTCTTGGGAGTTGCTTCCAAAGCAGAAAATCAGTTCAAAGGGATCTGTGGACTTGGATATGCTCCATGGGGATGAAAGGCATGTGAAGGAAGAAAAGACATGATCATAACAGACAGATGAGAACTGACATAACTGCCCATGAGTCTCATGTGCAGCTTAAATGAAATGACGTGCCATAAATTAAACCCTGTGATTCCTGTAAAAAATCTGACATATTAAGTCTGACTGAATTGAAAAAAAATGGATCAAAGAAGGCATATTTCTATGGCAGAGAGGGATGCATGAACTTCAGGTTTTTATTCTTAAATTGTGCTGTTATAATATTGATAATAAAGATATCTGTTTCCTTATTAGCCTACCAAGGCCTGTAGGCCTGTGATTGGAGTCTTAGGGGCCAAAAATGGGTCAGAGAGTTGAGCATAATGGGCAAGTCTGTAGTAATTTGCATCATTGCTCAACAGCCATCTACCCCTCTGATTGAGAGAATTATAGTTCCCCATCTCATCAGCATTCACTTTAGCCATGTAGCTTGTTGGGGCTACTGAAATATATGTGGCCTGATATTGCCACTTGTAGGAATAAGCTTTGAGAGCCATCATCTGGGTATAGCCTTGTTCTTTTCCCTCTGCCATGGGAACAGTGGTGCATAAGATGGGGACTTTTTTTTTTTCCTTCACTCTTGATTCTGGACTGTAGGAGGAGCAGAACACTGCTAACCAACAATGAATATGTAAATGTGAGTGGGAAACCATCTTGCTTTTTGTTAGCCATTGAGAATGATTTTCATTGTTACTGTAGCATGGTCTAACAAAAACTGACTAATGCACTTCACATTGATAGTATAGAAACAGGGAAGTGAAATGCAGTGTAGGGAAGAAGATTGGGCCCAGAGATGGTAATTAGAACTGTTGGGTCAGGAGCTGCACAAATTCTGGAACAGAAAAGGAAATAAGAACAAAGGTGGAAACAAATCCAGTGACATTCTTGATAGTTACTATGATCAGGGATGCAGTTACCAAGGTCTACTTATTTGTCCCTTTGTCTTTAGCTGCAGTGTTATCTGGTAGGTGAGTTAGTCATTTTTTATTTAACACCCACTTCCATCTAATATTTTATTTTCTTTCAGGAAGGGGAAATTCTCAGAAACTGCAATAAATCGGGAATCTTAAGAGTGGTTGTTCTAGAGAAGAGAAAGTTTTATGGCAAAAGCATTCTAAATAAATTAATCCCAACTTGGCCTCCAGTAACTCTGCACCACCCATTTTGGGTATGATGGGCTCGAACAGGGCAGAAGTATATCACTGCAACTTGAGGCAAGAGGCCTTTGAGTGGAAAAGAATCAACCATGTTGACTACATTAAAACACTGAGTGAGATCTGTATTTTATCCCTAAATTCACTTAAGCCAATGTGAGAATGCTACTCATTGCCTATATACATTCATCTCTGAGGGATTCTCTACTGGGATGAGAGAGGTAAATGCACAGTGAGCTTCTGACTATGTCTTATGATAGAACAAAACTCATGATCCAGTGTTTTGTCATTATTTCTGATGGTTGGTGTGTGTGTGTGCCTGCGTGTGTGTGTGTGTTTGATACAGCATTATTTTCTAGGATTTTGTCATTATAACTCTAAACGTCATTAGAGGGATATTGTACCTCCAGTGGGCTAATTTAATTAGAGAACACCAATGGGACATTGTCTCTGAACTTAATAAGATCCTATATACAGACAAAAGTTGGCACATAGATACATTAAAATTTATTGTTTTCAGTATTAATAAATCCTTATCTAAAACATTTTATTTTTTTATACCAATTGAAAGATTTTTTAAAGAATTAAGAGAAATTATCTATTTATTATTTCTCACACTCTAACATTCAAAATCAAATTTAATATAAATATTGAATACTCTTGTATATATATAAACTATTAAATGTTAACAGAAGTTAAACTCTAAGAAAGGCCTGTTAATTTTAAATGCTTCAATTAATTTTAAAATGACATAATTATCTCTTCACTTCCCCACACTGCTTTTAATTATTCCTCTTTGAATTGGAACTATTGGCTACAATTAATTTTTGAAAAGATGCTATGTGGGAAATAGGGAACATACAATGTATAACTGTTTTGCATCAGGTCTGTTTAAGGGGTAATTAATTTTCATAAGACATAATAGGAAAACTTAATGAAAGGCAATTCTTATTTTATTCCTGCTTCAATCCCAAAGGAAATATGGATGCTAGAGAATTTACTATTTCATTGTTTTCACAGAGTATTCAGAGACTTTATTAAGAAAAAACAAATCTTTTATGTCAAAAATATTCCATATTCTATTATAACAATAACTGTTCTTCAACTCCCAATTCAAGAGCATCTGGACACATCGCACTGTCAAGTACAGCTTTCTCATTCTTATCCGAGGCTTACATTTTTTCCTACCGTAAATGATTACACTCTATATCTAAAGAGGGCATTAAAGAAGTGTAATGCATTGGGCTGACCTGTTTGAGACAAGGAATTTCAAATACTCTTAACTTTCTGATGTAAACTCTCACCATTTGTGAATGATTCATCCAGGGAACTTGTCAGTCCTCAGATTCATAAGTACCTACTTAGCATATGATTTTCTGTATACAATGGATAAATGATAAAGAAGAGAACAATAAAACTGTGTTCAGATGAATCTTTTAGTCCCTCTGTCACAAACTCAGTGATTCATGCTTCAACCAGCCTTGAAGTGCTTATAATTATAATAATGCATGTTTCAGCAAAATGACAAACTGTATATCTTGGAATTTGGGGTTCACTCCTGAAATAAAAGCTATGAATATTAAATCAATAATACCAATAGTCTACTTTACTTCTTTCTAAAAAGGCACCAAACTTGATGGTAGATGTTCTGATCCCATATTGAAGTTTTGCTATTGGGAAGTACAGATGGGCTTGACTTCCCTGCGATGTAAGTTTTTCCAGCATACAGTAGGGATGGGTAGTAATTAACAAAAAATCAGCTCAGGATGGAACATGAAAAGAACAATGTTTTATAAAAATGTTGTTAAAGTTAGTATTTTAAAGACTGCATGCACTTTTGTTATACTTAGAATATAAACTTTTTATCCAATGTTTAAAAAACACTCCTCAGTCAGTGCCTTGACAGAACCACTGTGCTCATATTGGATTACATCTGTTTCTGTCCTTTTCTTCTTTTTCGTTTTTGTTTTGTTTTGCAAATGAGACAGAGTCTCATTCTGTCACCCAGGCTAGAGTGCAATGGCATGATCTTGGCTCACTGCAACCTCCACCTCCCAGGTTCAAGCGATTCTCCTGCCTCAGCCTCCTGAATGGCTAGGACAACAGGTGTGCGCCGCCATGCCTGGCTAATTTTTGTATTTTTAGTAGAGATGGGGTTTCACCATGTTGGCCAGGCTAGTCTCGAACTCCTGATCTCAGGTGATCCACCCGCCTCAGCCTCCCAAAGTGCTGAGATTACGGTCATGAGCCACTGTGCCCGACGTTTCCTGTCATTTTATTTTGGCAGAAATAATTCATTTTAAATACAAGGTGTTGATATAGCTACAGGTACATAGAATTCACTGATATTTTATCATGAGGCATGCATAGTGGATTCAGATAGATAATTAACTCCATTTTAAAGAGCAGGAGATAAAGACTCAAAGGAGTTACTCTAGTCTGTAAGAAGTAGAGCCAATAATTTGAACCTAAATCGTTCTGATTCCACTATTCTATGCCTCCCTTTACATAGTAAGCTCAGGGAAACAATAGGAAACAGAACATAAGCAAAAAATACATGCTTATCCTACTTAATAGGTTGAATACAATGATAACAAAGGCAGTCACAACACTAACAAAACTAACAACACACTATTTACTGAGAGCTTACAGTTGCTAGCAGGTCAGCATATACCCAGAAAGACAAATTTTCCTGAGCAAAAATTGATCTACTCCCTCCATCCCTCCCCTTTCTCTGTTCACTGGAGTCTCTCTATTTTCTTTCGTTAACACTCTGCCTCATGCGGATTTTTCAATATGTCTCTGTCTTGTGTCCTTCTTTGCCACTCCTTCTCTTCCCTTATCTCTTTTTATTTTTCTTCTCTTTGCCATTATCTTAAGCCTGATGTCTTTATCTATTTCTGTAACCTTAGGATTAAGTGATTATTAAAGCCTCTATACAAGAAAAGTAGAAATGAGGAAATTGAATAATTTTTAATAAGTGTGTAGAAACCCACATATATGAGGTCAGAATAATAGGAAATAAAACACTTTTAAAATATAGCCTTTACTCTTTAGGTTGAACTATGTAATTGTCATTTTTATAGGTCAAAAAGATCAAATAAGGACTATTTCTTATAGTTTAACCTAGTATTATTTCCTATGCTGGAACGTTTTTGAATAATTTACTGACTGCTGTCTTATTTTAAGTTATTGCATATATTTTAATTTCTAAAGATATTCATAGGACTTCAAGAAGCTGCAGTACAATAGCCTTAATCAGAATTTGTCTTCCTGCTGTCATTAGTTGTCGTAGTTCAGTTTCATATTAGCGTTTATCATGTTCCTTTAAAAAAATCACCCATTGTATATCATTAGGAACATAGCAAAATATTAATTTCTGTCTTCTAATTGTCACATTTCTGAGAAAAATAACTCCAAAAGCAGCCAACAGTCAATAACAGACTCTTCTTCATAATTATTGCCTATTTCATCTCAGAGTAACTTTATAAACATAAATCAAATACCTTCAGAGAGATGGGATTAGTGTTGAAGATTTAGAATTGCAGAAGAATGCTTATTGAGACTCAGAGAGGATAACTACCAACTATGGGAACCACAAATAAGTATGTAAATATTTGTGTTAATTTGGAAGAGTGAAAATGAAAGAGCAGAGGATGTGAGGGCCTGTGACTATCCCAAAAAAGTTATTCTTAGCCTTTCTGTGTATCTGGATCTGTATTCCTGGCATGCTTTAGAAGTTGCTTAGAATGACCAATGAGTTTACATTTGGTGGGGACTTTAGAGCATCCACCTTTATACAATCCACACATTATTTCTCCTTGACTTTAAGATCTCATTTCTGTGCCTGAAGAAGGCATGACAATCTCCATTCATTTCCAACAGTTTTATCAGAGATGTCTTTTTCATCCTTAATAAGTGTTCAGGAATGTGAAATAATGAAGAAACCTTGTTGCACAGTGTTTGTAGGCACAGAGACCTAATTAATAACTTAGTGTTACAAACTTACATTTCTGAGCCTCAGTTTCCTCATGTGAAAAATGGAGTAATAATATTACTTACCTTGTAGAGTTAATATGAGGAATAAATCCTACAAGCATTCAAAATGTGGAGCCATTATTATCACAGGTGTTGTTATCAATCTGTTCCAACTCAGGGGACAGGGACAGCCCTTTAGTCATGTAGAGTTGGAACGAATATTTTTTCACTGTCAAACTGTCAGTTGGTCTGGACCACCATTTACTTTCTTAGTTCAGTTTCATTTGTCTTAGTTCAGTTTCATATGTCCACATAGGGAGTGCCTACAAGAAGTGTCCTAGAATATCATGAGAAGTAGGAAGTGTTTTCAGTATAGTTAAACCACAAGACACATGATTCAATAGAATGCCCTCCTACCCCCAAACCTCATTTATACAACAGATTATCTAAATGAGGAAGGCGGTTTTTATTAGCTCTCAAGATATTAGTATGGTGCCCTTTGTTCTTATCTAGGTTGTGGACTCAGCAAAAAATACTGTCAACTATTTCTTGAGTGGCTATACCTTGTCATATTCTTTAGCTTCATTTTTGTTTGATACCTGTAACTCTAAATACTCAGTAACCCTAAATACTCATTGCTTACTTGTCATCTTTTTTACCTTCTCTGTTCATCTGTTTAAAATTGCAATTCCCAACCCACCCACCTCCTAGATTTTTCTAATCTAATATTCTGCTTTATTTTTTTTCATTGCCGTTGTCATCTTCTGGTATACTATATACTTTATTTAATTGCTTGTTTATTGTCTGTTTCCCAAACTAGAATGTAAACTCCCTAAAAGTGAGTATTTTTATCTGTTTTGTTCATTAAATATTTAGTGCCTAGGATAATGCCTTAAATAGTGTATGTTTTCTGCATATATTTGTAGAATGAATGGATGAGCAAGTGTAAAGTACTAATACTTTCCCAGTATTACAGATAAGGAAATTTCAGGCCCAGAAACATGGCCTATTAAGGTGACACACTGTTAAATCAGGTGCCAATCTTTTGTTCATCCGCTTTTCAAATAATTTTTGAGCTCTTATTCTATGTCCAGCCATGAGTAGATACTGGATATCCCTCCCTCTCCCATCCCACATGTACATATACATATGAGTCAGCCCTGATTTCTACCTTTTGATGACATGCATTTTATTGTAGTATATAGACACTAATTAAACATTCCATAAGTAAAAATTTATAGGACTATATAAGCAGTGCCTTGAAAGCGTAAACATTTGGAGGTTACAGAGTAACTTAAAGAAAAAAAGATTTTTATAGAATATCCAAGGAAAGCCACCTGAAAAAACAAAACAAGAATGAAACTCGAGAAGTATTTGGAGAAAAACATTTCACTCAAGGAACCACAAGTGAAAAAACTCAAAGGTAGGAAGGAGCTTTTCATGTTTAACACCAACAACCCCATTAGTGTTGTTAGAACATAATAAATGAGAGGAAGAATGTATGAGATGAAGGTAAAGGGTATGAACCAAATTACTCTCCCTTCTGGAGACCTCACACCACATCTTACAATGCATCTTAAACTGGATCCATAACCTTAGTTAAAGGTAACTTTTCTATAGCTAATTGAATTGCATTGATTAGTTGATATGCCATTCTACAGATTTTCAAATAAGCATTAATTAACTTTTATTTGGTGAGTTATTTTTCTCTCAGTGTCAATGATTATTTTTTAAGTTCCTAACATTGTGTCCCATCCTTGAAAGCATCCTAGGATATAGGCACTGAAGCTGTAGCTTCTATGGGATAAAAGATGTTTGACTGAATAAAAGAATGGATTGGAGAGGGGCAAGAGTAGAAGCAATGAAGTCAGTGGAGGGGATGTTGTTATGTCATAGAAGAATGGTTCTTAAGTTATGGTGATGGTGTAGAGAGGGAAGGTAGAACACAAGTCAGAGATATACATTGTTGATAAAACTTACAGGCTTTGGTAGTACTTGATATTGATGGCAGCAGTGGCCCAACTGGAGCAGCTGCTGCAAAGATGCCGGCTGCAGCAGGGGAGGTGCAGTTGGGGCTGCACGCTCCACAGAGCCAGCAGTCGCCAGGAACAGGTGGGAGCCCTACCCACTTCCAACTTGAAGGGGTGGGAGACCCACCGTCCTGGGTGCAGCCACAGCCGCGGAGTCACAGCTGGGAACCTGAGCATCTCCGTGCTCTCAGGGAAGCCCCTCTGTCTCCTCAAGCTCAGAGGTTCCTGCTCCTGTTGCCTAGCCCCTCCCTGCTCCCAGAACCTGCTCCAGTTTCAGAGCAGGGTTGTGGCTGAGCCCGGGGGCTATTGCAACCCAGTTGGGTGTGCCTGCACTTGGGGTGACGTTGACACACCAGCCTCCTGCAGCCTCAAGCTCTTGAGACTTTGGGCACTGATGAGCACAGGAGGGAGGATGAGGGGGTGCTGAGGGAAGCTCAGTGCTAGCCTGCAGGCACCCCTCAGCATTAACAGCCAGGGCACCATGCACCCCAGCAGGAGGCAGATAGCCTTCTGGGAAAAAAGAGGTAGATCCCAGTGAAGATCCACCTTCAAGCCTGGGATGGCCTAAAGCCTTGGGGGCGGACTGCCACGTACGCAGACCAAAGTGAGAACTTATGGTACTTTATCCAACCCTGCCCATGGCTGCCCATGGGCCAATCAGCACACACTTCCTCCCCTCTGAAGCATGTAAAAACCCCTGGACTCAGCTAGACTGGGGTAGATGTTGGGACCACCAGCCTGCAGAAAGGAGCTACCCATTGTGGGTCTCCTCTCAGCAGCTGATAGCTGAGCAGATGTGGGGACGACCTGCCTATAAATAGGAGCTACCCACTCCTGGTCTCCTCTCTGCTGAGAGCTGCATACTTGATGGGACAATCTGCTTGCAGATAGGAGTTACCTACTCTGGATCTCCTTTCCACTGAGAGCTGAACTCATTAGGATGACATGCCTGTGGAAAGGAGCTTCCCACTTCGGGTCTCCTGTCTCCTGAGAGTTGTACTGTTGCTCAATAAAGCACCTCTTCACCTTATTCACCCTCCAGTTGTCTGTGTGCCTCATTCTTCCTGGATGTGGGACAACTTGGGACCTTCTGAATAGCAGGACTGAAAGAGGTGTAACACAAACAGATCTGAAACACGCCCCTCACTTGCCATGTTGAGGGTGATGAAAAGGAAAGAAGGGAGAAAGAGAGAAGAGCTGCAGCCCCTTGGGGAGCCCAGAGCTAGAAGCTCCTTGAGCCAGGACTGTGACACCCTCTTTGGGACTCCACAGTTCCTAGTATCTCCAAGTTTCCAGGCGCCACCTCATTCCCTGGTGCCAGCAGTGGAAGCCACTTGCGATATGCCTGGTCCAGCTGCAGCCTTGCAGGGAGCTGGCACCCATGCTGGTGCCTGGAGCAGCCTGTCCTGCCACAGCCGGTGTGTCTGCCTGTGTACAGTGGCTGGGTCCCATGCTTGCTCACTCATGCACACCTTGCTGCTCTGCGCCTGTCTTACCTTTAGCAGGCATGGGATCTGGGCTGGTAACATAGCCAAGTGTAGCCTGCCCCGCCAAGTGGGCAGAATGAGCCCAGCCAGTGGGCGCAAGCAAAACTCAGGCAAAGGCGCCACTGGCCACAGAGATTTCCAGCTGGCAAAGTGACACCCCAAGGATCCTGTGAGAATATGTCCTGTAATATATAGGAGAATATATAGGAGAATGAGAGAAAGAGAAGAATGAAAGATGACCCCCAGATTATTAGCTTGAGCAAATAAGAGAACGATAAAGACTGAATTTGCTGAGATAGGGAAGATTGTGTAAACCAACAGTTGTTAAACTTTTGGTTTTGGGACATATTTGGATGTTAGAAATTGAGGATCCTCAAAAGTTTTTATTAGTAATGTCTATTCAATACGTAACATATTCAAAGTTAAAACTGAGAAATTTTAGAAATATGTATTAATATATTTAAAAATAATACTAATGATTACCTATGAAATAATGTATTGTATGAGAACAACTATACTTATTTACTTTCTAAAGCCAGACAAATAATGAAATGAATGGCACTGGTTTAAATTTTTGGCCAATTTCTTTCATGTTCGACCTAATAGAAGGCAGTTGGACTCTCATATCTGCTTCTGCATTTTATCTATTGTAATATCATGTAGCTTTTGGAAAATGTCACTGTGCACTTGGGACAAAATGGGGGTGAAAAGGGAAATAATGTCTTAGTATAATTATGAAGCCAGTTTTGACCTGTGGACCCCTAGGGTATCTGGACCACACATAAATGCCTCTGACTCAAAGTATTTGATGATTTTCAAACATTTTTTTCTCCTTTGCTGACTTTACTTCCTTTCTTTGAAGGGAATAGTTTTATAGAACTTTGTTCTTTTGTTAATGATGAATTGCCTTTTAAGGGACTTCTAATAGCATATAAATTTAAATCTACTTTTTCTGGAAATCACATTTTTCACTTCTCCACTGGGCTTATAAAAGCTCATGACCTCAAATTTTTGTTTTTCTAACTTATCCTTCTCTGGCATTTTGTGACTGATGGGAAATGTTCTGCAGGACCACAGGAGTCAAGCTTCACTATCTGTCTCTAAGCCCAGTTCTCAGCATGGAGGCTTGTAGGCACTGCACCCTTAGGCATCCCCTGTTATCCTAAATATATATATATATATATATGTATATATATATTTTAGACGGAGTTTTGCTCTTGTTGCCCAGGCTGGAGTGCAATGGCGCGATCTTGGCTCACCACAACCTCTGCCTCTTGGGTTCAAGCAATTCTCCTGCCTCAGCCTCCCAAGTAGCTAGGATTACAGGCATGCACCACCCCACCCAGCTAATTTTTTGTATTTTTAGGAGAGATGGGGTTTCTCCATGTTGGTCAGGCTGGTCTCAAACTCCTGACCTCAGGTGATCCACCCGCCTCGGCCTCCCAAAGTGCTGAGATTATAGGCATGAGCCACCACGCTTGGCCCTAACAATATTTCTAATAGTTACTTTGCTCTAATTAGGAAACCAGTCCCATTCTTGGAGCATAGGCTGGAAACTATGGAATGTTATAAACCAATAAATCAAACTACATTTTCAGATATTTGTTCCTGATCTTGGAAGAATGGATGTTCTGTGCACTTAGATGTATAACTTTCTGATATTCAGTCTTTTGAGAAAGCATCCTTTTATATCCTAGCTCTTGGCTTGAACAAACAGAATAAACACAGGATAGAAAAGAACAGAGGGATATATTTATGATGCCTGAACTTATAGTTCAAAATCATACTCACAAACATAACTGTACAAAGGACATTTTTCTCTCAAAGGATAACTTTGTCCTGTAATAGAAATCCTGTCTTTTGAGACTAAAGTATAGAATAGTACCAACTTTCCCAATGTTAGGGCTACTACTTAGTAAATTGATTTTTCTTGCATATTAAATAGAATTGCAATGTGTTAGGAGACCTTATTCACTTAAAAGAATGGTAAGTTTTTTCTTACTTATTTGTTTTTATTAAATAGAATTATATTCTAAAATAATGATGTAAGGTCAGGAAGATTAAGAGAAGTGTTCTTAAAGTAGTTACTAAATATGAAGCTAAAATTAGAAGTTTAAGATTGTTTGAGAGTTCTGATGTATTAAGCTCTTATCACATGACAAATCTTGAATTAAAATTAAAAACTAAAACAAATATTGAATAAAAATTTTAAAAAATTAAAAATATTGTTAGGGCCAGGCGTGGTGGCTCATGCCTATAATCTCAGCACTTTGGGAAGTTGAGGCGGGTGGATCACCTGAGGTCAGGAGTTTGAGACCAGCCTGACCAACATGGAGAAACCCCATCTCTCCTAAAAATGCAAAAAATTAGCTGGGTGTGGTGGTGCATGCCTGTAATCCTAGCTACTTGGGAGGCTGAGACAGGAGAATTGCTTGAACCCGGGAGGTGGAGGTTGTGGTGAGCCGAGATCGCCCCATTGCACTCCAGCCTGGGCAACAAGAGCAAAACTCCATCTAAAATATATATATAGTTAGGATAATGGGCGATGCCAAAGGGTGCAGTGCCTGCAAGCCTCCATGCTGAGAACTGGGCTTAGAGACAGATAGTGAAGCTTGACTCCTGTGCTCCTGCAGAACATTTCCCGTCAGTCACAAATCTTATCACATGAAAATCAAGACTGCTTGTTTTTCAGTTTATTAATTTCTTACTCCGCAGTTTGGATCGTTTCTGCCATGGCTCAGTGAGCTACAGTTTTCTTGTTGTCTTCTGCTGCAAAGAAGACATCTTCTTTATCCAGCATACCTGTTCATTTGCTCACTCAATTATTTATTCATTCAAATATTTTTGGAGTATGTGATATATCCAGGTTCTGAAGATATAAAAATGAAAATGAGTTGGTTCCTGCCATCAAAGAAATCATGAGCTGAAAGAGAAAAGAGATGTAGAGAACTCAAAGCAAAGAGTGTGATAAGTGCAGTAATAGAAAGAAAATGGGGACTGTAGAGGTCTAAAAATCTGACTCTTCTAACCCAGTCTCCATAGGAGTAGAGAACACTGGAGTTAGACCTTGAGGTATTAGCTGGATTTTAGCAAATGAGAAAGAAGTTAAGGAGAGAAGGGAAAAGACAAGACATTCTGAACAGAAAAAGAAAATGTTAGCAAGCTGGACAGGCAAAATAGGACTTGCTTGTTCAGTTGATCAGTGGCTCTCAACCCCATTTCCATAGAAATTAAGAGGTTAAGTAGTTAGATATGTGTTATATGTTGGTCAAAACCACTAGGATCTAAAATAAGCATTTATTTGTCTCTCTTTAGTCAAACAAATGGGTTTCTAAAGTGTTGTTCTGGAAGGAAAATTGAATTAACAAATCTGTGGACTAAGTGGAAAATAAAAATGGCTAGGTGAAGAGAGCTTTTGAGGCCTCATTAATATTTCTATATTTGACAAAATTAAGAAATAAGCATGTTATATCAGGAAAGACAATACGTTACCATTTTGAATAGCACATGTTATTAATTTCTACTTAATATCCTTTGCTCCAGAGAAACTTTTCAGAAAAGTCCCCATACCAGATGTTAAGTGATTCCTGTAAATTCCTCTTGCTTTGGGTCAGATATTATATATATCAAGAATCTTTTGTTTCCTAAATCTGGTTCTCTGTGCAAATATTTAATGCCTTTTTGAGTTCATGACTTCAGAGATGCCAACTCTCACCTGGCCAGTGTTGTCTGCTGCCTATTCTCAGCACCTCCTTCCTCATGGAGAGCAGGTCTAAGCCCCAGAACTACTCTTGCTTTGCTTTCTTAACCTTTACTGCAAAATTCTACCTGTTTGGCTATGCCTTACCTTGTTCATTTATTCATTCATTTAAAAAGACATTTATTGAGTATATATTTACTAGGGATTGTATGAAGTACTGGATATAAAATAGTAAACAAGGCGAGACATGGTTTTTTTCCTCTTTTATTCTAATTAGTTCCAATATGAGACAACTGAAGTCAAGTGATTCACCTACTATGTTGGAACAAAATTCTTCAAATTACCAAAAAATTAAATAAATGTAAAATTCAGTGTTCTTGAGTATTCTGTCAGCTCAATGGCAGATTGGGAAAGTTCACTACATTAAAAAATTAAAATCTTCAAGACCAGTTAGTGTACAGAGTAGGAAGAATAAGGTCAGTGTGGAAGGCAGGAGAATACCAAAATCATAAAATTATATAAATTTTGAAAGCATTTTTGTCTGCTCAGACTAAGTAGCTTCATTACTTCCAGGTGTTATTAATTATAATTGTTGATGGATACCTTACTCTTCAAAATGCTTAAAATTATTTTTATTAGGATTTGATTTACAAACACGAAGTCAGTTTAACACACATGGATTTGGAAATACAATAGAATTTTCAAATAAGGAGTTCTGTATATTATTCTAAAATAGATACATAGCAACATTGAAATCTTCCTGGCATCTCTATGTGGAAATTCACATTAAGAATTACCATAGTAACAGAGTCTCTAAATTTTCACAAAATGTATGCACTTAAATGTCTTAAGTATTACAAATGTAATATGATGATTTTTGAAAGAGGCCTGGGTTCAGTTTCTCTTTGTTGAGAGTGGCTCCAAAACAGCTACATAGTGTAGTCTCTGATTCCAAGCATTTTGCCAATTACTTTCTGAATTTAAACCTCTCTCTGATAAGAGATCAAACTTGTTAGTGCTGAAATGTTTTCTCTAAATCTACCTAATCAATTAATTAGTCATCTACCATGCACTAAGTAGAGTAGGCACATTAGGAGATCCAAAAGGAACAAGAAAAAAAAAAAAAGAAACAAGAAACAGTTTCTACATCCAGGAGCTTCAAATTGTGCAGGCTAAAAAAGTGTAAAATGAACCATAAATTATGACATGCAATCTATGAGTGCGATATAAAGAAGGAGAGCCAGTGAAAATTGGATCAGGCAGACCTTGGGCTGGGATTGGAAAGATGGAAGAAATGTTTGAAGATGCTGATTCCCTGTACCTACCAATATCCTTCTTATCAGTACCCTTGTCTTAAATAGAAACGTGCTTTCTTTCTATTCTTTTTATATGCTGTTGCTAAGCCTTGATTTTATTCGTTCATCTCCAGAGGTCTACATTTTAATAATCCTACAAACTCTAGAAAACTGCGAAAAAATAACACAGGCTGTGAATGTTCCCTCTCCCATATATTTTATGAAGCTACACACTTCTACTTGTACCATTGAATGTGGCAAAGGATATAAATCCTTTTCTTTGATAATGGAGAATTCAACAATATTTTGATAGAAATACTAGTTTGACATGTCAGTTTTCTTCTCTCTCAGACTTAGGTTCCATTACATATCATTAAATTTTTTAAGTGCTAAAGATGACTAGCAAGGTTAACAACTTAGCCTTGAATGGGTAGCAAACTAAAATCAGAGCCAATGGTCAATGTGAATGATTTTCTATAGACTGTCCAAGTGAATATGGAATTGTACAGTAGATCATGAAGGATATCTTCTAAAAGGTACTATAGAGAACTTGGAGAATCATGATTAGTTCCACATTCTACGATTAAGAACCCATGTACTACAAAAGAGGGGTATATATATGGCAAAAGTCAAGGGGTTCACTGTATTGAAGGCCACCCTAAGTCATGTGCCTGCTTTAGCTTGCAAAATTAGGCAGTACAGGCCTGCTGTCACAGTCCAGAGTGAAGCATCACATCTGTGCTTTGGAGGATGAGGTCTGGTTCCTCAAAACTTTAGTTATAAATATAAAACTATAAGATTCTATGCTTCCAATGTGAAAAAACTGTTCACACTTAAAGACCAGTCCATCCGTTACTGGTTCATTTTTTTTTTTACATCAAAAAATGTACTACGTCAGCCACTAATATCAGAGATGGACTAGACAGCCCTGTAAATATATAATTAGAATAAAATGTAACAGGTACACTATACAAAACATGAATCAAATGCTTAGGGAAATATAATTCCTTTGTGCATAGGATATAGCAAAAGGTTGACTCAGGAAGTGCCTTTTGACTATGTAGAGTTCTCTGAGTAGACAAGGAAGGAACAATGTAGAGAAATGTTTGAAAGACATGGCTGGATCAGTATTCTTATATGGAAACTGGTATTTTGTTTTCCTTTTTAATAATTATGTGGATGTGGCTAAAACTACTCTTTTATGTTGAGTAATATGAGCCGTATGATGATATAAACACTTCCCAGGAATTTTGCAGGACATGAGCCACTGGAAAATTCCTGGGAAGTCTTTATGTTATCCCAAGTCACCCCACTAGAACAGATCAGAGAAGTTCTGTGGTTCTGGAGAACAGAGAAGACAAACTGTATGCTTCAGAAATTATTGTATACTCTATCAGCTCCAGAGTTACGGAACTGAGTTGAATCACTGGTGTTAGTCCCATATAACATCATTTGTCTTTAAGTTTTAATAAGAAACATAAGTTGCACACGTGGTATGAGGTATTTGTAACAAATTGTAAAAGCATGTTTAGGAAAATAAAACTGTCATCAGCAGTGAAGTATTAACTGTAAGAAACAGTGCATTCATTTTCATTAAGTCAGATAAATATGAAAGGAAATGGTAATAAGAATGGGTTTCCTTTTAACATCTTGCCAACTCCAACTGCTTTTCTTTATTGATATTAATTTACCACTAAATTGAAAATAATTTGCTAAAAATCAAATTTAAATTCACTAAAAGGTTTTCTGTTAAGGTGAGCAAGTCAAATAATTTTGAAATTAAACTTGAGAAAAATAAAATAAAATGCATATACATGGAATAAGCCAAATTGGGAAAAATATGTCGTAAAAGACCTCCCTTCTCCTTTATATGATCTGTTCAAATCTAATGCCACAAAATTTGTTTAATCATTCTTTACCAATTTATGTAGAATAGAAGAGTCAAATAATAAATATAAAATTAAGTTTACATTAAGGCTGGAGGTTACTTTCACTATTTGTTTATACAGAAAACAAAACAAAACAAACAAAAGTTTTCTTAGGAATGTGTCCAGCCACTGTAATGAAGAATTACTTGGGGAAAGATAGCCATGACTAAAATTTTATATTACTGAAATTGTAGCTTTCTTTTTTCTCTGTATTGAGTCATCCATTTTCTTCCATTCATCTGTTCCTATCACATTTTACTGCTTTATTCATTCTGCTATTTTTTTTACTTTTTACTAATCTTTGATTATTTCCCACACGTTTACACCAATCCACATTTATCACTTCCTTCTAAATATCAAGTCTAGGCTCCTGATGAACATTTCTGGCTGACCTGGGTTTAAATCTGCTCTATACTACCTACTAACCAAGAACATGACTCACTCACTCCTCAATTACTCGGTGTCTTCTAAAATAAAATAGAAAATGGGGACAATACAAGGTTGTTTGTAGCATTTAATAACTTGTGTCCTTGCATGGGTGTGTTTACTACCATATGGCCTTCCTTCTGTCTGTTAAAATTTTCCTGATAATTTGATTATTATACAGTCCCTATTTTCTTATATGAGAATAGTCTTTGTACGTTTAATTTTTCTTGGGAAAATTAAAACTCCCTGTAAACTTACTTCATATGTATTCAGTAGGAAATTGGTAATTAACACAAGGAAGGGAATGTATCAAACACATATTCCTATGTTTGTGTTAAATCACTAAGCATCGTCAGTTCAGTGCCTCTTTTCTTTTTTATGAGGTGACAGGAGGCTTCTGACTTGGGTAGCTTGCAGAATCCCTTACATACCAAAAGAAATCCACCATTTTCCTTTTCTTAAGGGAGAAGGAACTCCACTTCCTTTACTGATAAAAGCTCCATTGTAGTCTAGGCCCACAGCCCTTCTCATGTTAGCCCAGGGCTGCTAGGCCTTGTTCTCTGTATTACGTTAGTGTGAGTGTCTGTGTGTGTGTTTGTGTGTGTGCGTGCGTGCGCACGCATGCAAGTGAACATGCATGTGTGCATGTATATACCATGCACACGTGTGTGTGCATGTGCACGATGCAAGTGAACATGCATGTGTGTGTGTATGAGCATGTACACGTGTGTGTGTGTGTGTATAGGGGCAAGAGAAGGTTTCTGTATATCAGTAGTTTTGGGGAGACGTCAGGAGAAGTAAAGCTTTAGGATTATATCAAATTATAAATTAAAAATCCATTATAAATCCAACAAGAGCTACTACTAAAATATCTTTCATTCATTCCCTCCTTTTAGGGAGTTGGGTTCTCTTACCTGGACTATCATATTAGTTTCTTATAGATCTTCCTGCTTTTAATCTTCATATCTGTCCACCCTGTACTTTATTGAGTGGCCACAGTTCTCTTCACAGAACAGTCTTGTTCATTTCCATTTTGGTTTTCAAAGCCTTCAGTGACTCCTATTTGCTGTAAGATAAAACCCACACTTCTTAGCAGATGATTACAAGCAATCCCCAATCTGTGGACAATCAATTTTGACAAATGCATGCTGCGTTATTCTCCCCTGCCTGGCCCCCACCCCACTCATCCAGGGCTGTAGTTCCATATGACTGTCCTCATTGCCGGAATGAACTTTCATGACTCCCTCCCCAGTCTTTCCATCAGCCCAAGAAGCAAGCATTTTTCTCCATGCTCATTTGTTTAAATGTTACTTACCCCACAAGGCCTAGTAAAATGTCCCCTTCTCTCATCTATTCCAGACGAAATTTGTCATTCCCTCATCTGTGGGTTTGTAGCACTCTGCTTTTATCGTTATTATAGCAATGGGATTTTTATCTTGGATTTTACAGACTAGTCCTGATGTCCAGAAATCTGTCTTGTTGTCAGATAGTATTTCAGTAAATTTGGTTATGAATGTATGTTCCTTATGATGACAGCATTTATAGTATGACTGATATGTCTAAAGTATGTATACAACTACTTTTATACCTCTTTCCTTTTATCTTTTTTGAGATGGAGTTTCTCTCTTTCGCCCAGGCTGGAGTGCAGTGGCATGATCTTGGCTCACTGCAACCTCTGCCTCCTGAATTCAAGCGACTCTCCTGCCTCAGCCTCCTGAGTAGCTGGGATTACAGGTGTCTGCCACCACACCCAGCTAGCTTTTTTGTATCTTCATTAGAGACGGAGTTTTGCCATGTTGGTCAGGCTGGTCTCGAATTCCTGACCTCAGGTAATCTGCCCACCTCGGCCTCCCAAAGTGCTGGGATTAAAGGTGTGAGCCACTGCGCCTGGCCAATTTTATCTATCTGGAATAGACAGTGTACAAATAATCATTATTTGATAAAGCAAACACTGTGCACTGGCAGGAGCAAAACTCTGTGTGCGTCCCATGTTATCCCCTGAAGCCAAAGGAATGTTATAGGTAGTGCTTTTTTAGCTTTGCCATCTGTGAATGGCTTAGGTCTTTAGCAGCTCAGTGGACCCTCTGCCTTTTTGCGAGGGCAGAGGATCAGTGTGACAACCTTCTGTATCCTAAGTTCTTGTCCGTTGTCCAGGAAAAATCAGGCCACATGAACAAATTGAAGGATAGTACATGTGGAGGATTTTATTGCCAATGTAAGTGGCTCTCAGCGGGAAGGGGGCCTGGAAAGGGGATGGAGTGGGAAGGTATTCTTCCCCTGAAGTCCAGCCATCTCTAGTAGGACTCTTCTAGGAAGTTCTGCCATCAAGCTGTCCCTCTGAAGTCAAGCTGCTTCTCTCTGACAATCAGCTGCTTCTTTTCCTCCCAACGTTCAACAGCTTCTTCTCTCTGCTGGTCTGGTCCTGGGGGTTTTTATGGCTGCAGGATGGGGAGTGGGACGGGCCATGGGTGGTTTTGGAAAAGGCAACATTCGAGCAAGGAAAACAGGATTGCATGTTCTCACTTTGGGCCACAGTTGCAGGCTTGAGGGTGGGGCCTTCTCTGGGGACCCATCCTCCTCTGCCCAGAATTTCCCTGCCTTCTGTCCCTGTCACTAGACTGTGTGATGCAAGTAAATTACAACTGCTGAAAACACCACCTGGCTCGTAGTAAAACTTGTGTATTAGTACTTGAAGGCAGTTTTCAAATTGCCTTCCTCTGAAGGTTCAGCATCTGCATTTGGCATGATTTTCAGACCCATACTTCTGCCTGTCTTCCTCTAGATTACCTCTCATTCACTAATATTCTGCTAAGAGTTGTATAACCTTAGTCAGTCACAAGTAATTCTTGTCTAATTAACCCAGAGTCTGGTAGGAATGTGGATAGGAAAAAAAAAAAAGGTTGCCTCTACCACTCCACCTATCAAAAGCTGAACTCTAACTCAAATTTAGCACTTCCTTGAACTACAAATGTAGGCAACAATCCATAGGAGGATTTGTGACTGTAACTAATAGAAATAAAACATTTTCATATCACATTATAGTTGTTATAAATATTTGAAATTGTTATAATCTCATCACTATTTTTAAACCAGTTTTTGGTGTATTATATCATTGCTAGATCATATATGAATATATTAAAATATCTAAAATATTTTGAAATGGATTTTTAATATAATTCCCTTTGTAATCCTCTGTATTTTATTTTGTGCTTTTAAAACCATTATTCTAAGGAAACTTAACCACATTGCCAAATGGTATGAAAAAGGATAAGACAACCTGGTCTAGTTGGATTCAGAACATACGTGTAAGAATGTAACATTTATGTTCATAAGTGCAGACTTAGACTCCATTTTCTTAGGTTTAACTATTACATAAATATATGTATATATATTTAATATATTCATAGCTTTGCATAGTGGAAGAGTTTATAAAATGCAACATTTAAGTCTCCGGCCCCTTCCCCAAAGATAGCCATTATGATTATGTTTTGGTTATTTTTCAAGATATTGTCTACATATAACATATATACCAATATAGATTGTGTATACTGTTATACACAATCTATATTATCTTACAAATACTGCTTCTGCTACCATTCTGCATTGACTTTTAAGTAGGAAAGTCACATTCTTGGTTCACATCAGTGTTATGGTCAAAAAACTTTTCAAGTCTTGCCATTTCCATTATCTTTAAGCCACATTTTTAAATTTTCATTAATGCAATGTTTTCAATAAAATATCTTTTGCTGCAGAACTTTTTAATTTGTCACTGCTAATTTTAATCTTGTACATTTTGTTATAATAACCTAATTAAATCATCTAGAATTCCAAATATGCTTCCCAACGTATTATCACTCTCATGTTTGTGTAATTGTCAAATTGTCCTTAAATCATTCAACAAATATGTATTGTCAAGTACTAATATGTATCATTTGTCAAGTACTATTCTAAGTACTGTAAATGTATTTGCTTATTTAATTCTTCTTACAACTTTATGAAATAAATACAATTATACCCATTTTAAAGATGTGGAAACTGAGGCATAGAGCGATTAAATAACTTGCTTAAGTTTTATAACTCATAATTACTTATTTGTGAACCTAGATGAACCCATCAAAGAGTAAATTAAATTATTGTGTGCAACTACAAATTGTGTTTGGCAGTCAAGGAGGATGACTTAAGCTAAGTATTAGGAAGAGTAATTAGAGCCATCTCAAAAATCAATGAGCTCACTATCACTAGTTACCATGAATATTGGAAAGAGATGCCTGCTTTATCAGAGAAACTGGACAGATGACTCTTAAGTCTGTTTTTATGCTAGGATTCTGTGGACTTGATTCAGGTAGCTAATTTTATATCTTTCAGCATTATTACTATATGCTGTGCCTCTAATTCTTACTGTTTTAATGAGTTGTTTTTAAAAAGTATTAATGGGCTATTAACTATAATTGACTATTCACAAAACCAATGGTTTATTCCCATTTTAATCATGGATAGACACTGGGACGTGGTTTTAAGTGAATTTCTCCAGACCAATAACTATAGCATCCATGGCACTCAGAAACTGGGTTTCAGAAATTTTTCAATGGAGGAAAACTCTATTGCAGGAGTCAAACTTACATTGCCCTCCTTGTTGACTCCCATGATTGTCCCATTGTTTTACTTTACTGCAATCGTGCAGCTATGTTGATTTTACATTAGACCCTGTCCTGGGTCTTACTCTCAACCATTGTATCCTAATGAATAGAAAATAAAAGGGAACATCAGTTAAATTAACAGACTTTGTTGTCTTATTCAGAGTGACTTCCTGATTATCATTTAGCCTGCCACATTTTCTCTACCTACCTAGACATGGATGTCAGTGTTTATTGTCAGCATTAAATTGGTCATCTAGCCAATTTTATTATCACTGACACAGCCAGCAATAATCCTAAACAATTTTGTGTGTGTGTGCTGGAGCATATTTAACAAGACTGAGGCTTTTGGCAGGCCTGTGATGCTCTTTTTGCATATCTCTTCCCTGAGTTCTGCAGATCCCAATATCCAACTCCCAGCAGAAGTACAGGAAAAATCTGGCCCACTGAAGCAGAGTGGCGGTGACTGTGGAAAGGATTCATCATATGGCTTTTTAGTTCTCATTAGATCTTTCTTCTGTGTAGAGTAAGAGATATAATAACTCATTTAATTTTTCAAAAGTCTTTTGATTGTTATACAGAATTTCTTACTGTAACAGCCAGTATGATGGTGATGTTGATAACAGTGGAGGAGATGAAGAGAAATCATTCCTAAGTTAACAATGGGCAGAGATTATATACACTGGTTTGGCCATGAATGTCGTTCACAGTCTGGGTTGGTTCTGATTGGTTGGTATGTCGTTCTTACAGTTCAATACCCATTTTACCATTAATACTTTAGATATCATCTTGACTTGCCCAAAGTTTGTTCTGTTAAGGTAACTGAATTATCATTCAGCCCTGTAGCTTTGTGCCTTGGCATTATGCAAAATAACATTAAGACTTGAGAGCCAGAGGAATCATCATAGAAAATGGTATTATCATATGGACTGGTCATGCCATGAAGTCAGTTACCTGTTTCAAATTCTGCTCAGAAAAATAGTCATTTATGGTAACTTTGATGGCTCCAAGATAACAGCTCGAAGTTTCTGAAAGACCTTTTCCCAATCAACTGAACAGTGTAGGATGAATTAGTGTGTGGCTACAACGTTTTACTTCTCTTCTGAGACAATGGGTCTGAGGCTGGCATAGAAAGCAGGCTATAAGTAAAGTAGATAGGGGAAAGTGTACCAAATATTTGGGAAATAGCAGGTAGGCCTATTTTACTGCAGGAGGGTTAATGTAGGATGGTGGCTTTTAAAGTTTTTAACAGCAAATCACCCTTTCTTGAAAAAATGTAATATTAAAAAAAAAAAACCAGATACAAATGAGCTGATCTTACAGAAATCAGGAAACTCAGGATGGCAACCTTTGGGTAAGCAGATGGAAGTTCTTGACGTCAGTGTGAGTTTAGTAGAAAGCTTCTTAATATTTACACTGTGTTTCTCTTTCCTGTTTACCTCTCTGCAATTCGACTCCTGCTTGCCAAACTTACCTGAATTCCTGACTCACAGACTTCCAATTACCACTCTGTTTCTAACTTTCTCTGGGCCTGTCTACTCATTTCTTCTCTACTATTAGTTCTGACTTTTCTTCTTCCTAGCTGCAGCTTCACTCAGTTATAGACATCCATTGTAGTCAAGAAAATCTACCCATTTTGAGAAGAGTGTCATAATAGTAGGAAATAAACTTAGGAGGCATTGGCGAGAAAAGAAAAAACTTTTGCTTTATAATGAGAGTGCTTTATAACAGTGCTTGCAATGAATCAGGCATAGATAATGAAGGAGTTGGACCAAATAAGACTTACACTTTTGGGCCAAATGGGGAAAAGTTGTGCCTTCATAATGGTTTGAGTAACCATTAATATGCATGCAGCCTTCACTGTTAACAAACCATATTCTTAGGAGTTCTCTCATTCACCCTCATAACAACGTCATTAAGAAGATTTTATTTTCTTTGAAAACTAAAGAAAAGAAGAGGAGATCAAGTTTTTGCTTAAGGTCATACTACAAGTTAGTCCAGCCTACTGATTTAACACCAGTCTTGTGACTTTAGATCCTTTCTTCAACTCATGGTAAACATCTGATACTGCACAAAGCTTTAAAGGTATTTTCTGCTGCATTCATACTGGGTCTTGTGATGAGAGCCACATATCTAATATTGAAATTAGTCACATTTAACACAGGGCTAGGAAAGGCATGGTATGCATGTCAAGTTGCTTTTTCTACTCTGGTGAAAGACATCATTAATCAGTCTTTCCTGCTGAGTCTGGATGCTGCCTTGTAGCCTTTTTCTGCATATTACTCCAGGCAACCACTACTAATAAATCAGAGTTTTCTGAAACTTGAAACTGATTTGCCATTCTGACACTAGAGTCTTGAAGTGATGCATGTGCTCTGGTACAAAACTCAGTAAAATGACATGCCTAATTTCTAGTCCCTCAGGATAGCTCTTCCTTGTCCCGCATCTGAGGCTGATTAACTTCTTGAGCATCAGGTCACACTTGTTAAATTTGCCCTAATCATGTGCCTACTAATTGGGCTTATCTCTTGGTTCCTAGCACTAAGGCCCTACTTTTTACTCAGGGTCTAGAAACAGATATTCTATCTTGTTCCACACTCCTGAAGTTCTGTTTATAATCCACTTCCTTCAAGCTAGAGTTTTGCCTTAAGTTCTCCCCCTATATTCCCAGAGACTAGAGTCCAGTTCTTGTTGTCCAGTTTCTATGACTTTTGTCAGTTATTACCGTGAAACAAACCACCTTCAAACTTCACAGGCATGAGCGAATAACAAGTACTAACTATTTGCATAAATTTACAATTTTAGTGTAACTTTTCAGGAATTGCTTTACTCTGTTCCATGTGATACCAACTTTTTTTTTCTGTTTCTTTGGTTTAGTTTGTATGTATATATTTTTCCTGATTACCAGTTAAATACAGAGGTTTTAATTTCTTAGTTTAATAACTAAGGGCTATACACTGAAGTCAATATATATACCTGACATTTCAGCCTAAGTCAGTCAATATACACACCTGAGAACAATGAGACTGTACAGCTTATCATATACTAGAGGGCCTTTTAAAAAATAACAACAAAGCAGTGTCTACAGATTTTAAGCTTCATCTTGTACACTGACAATCCACTTTCAAGATAAGTCATTCAGGTGGTTGACAGTTCAGTGCCGCCTTTGTCTAGGAGCTAATCCAGGGCTATGTATGGGCTGGGGCTTCAGTTCCTCTGTACATGGGCCTCTCCAAGGCATCTTAGGCTTTCTCACAGCATGATGGATAGATTCCAAAAACAAGTGCTCCAAGAGTGCATCCATTCTTTTGACTAATCTCAGAGCCACTTCTGCCATACTCTTGTGATCAAAGCAGTCACAAAGGCCAACCCAGGTTCAGAGATAGTACCATAGATTTTACCTTTTGAAGGAGGAGTTACAAAGTCCTAAAAGAGCTACATATCTGGAGATACGTTATGGTAATCTTCGGAAAAACCTTTTGATATATTGACCTATAAAACCTTTTAATATATTGACCTCCTTCCTGCTGCTGGATTTCTAGGAACCATCTGCCTAGATGTCCATTTAGTGGCCCACTGTCATAGTTTGTAATGTTGCTTCCATAATATATCCTTTTATTTATAATTCCCCCTACTGCTAACATTTGACACACTCCAGGAAGGTCCTATCATCAAGAAATCCTGAAAAATAAGGTGAGTGGGAGAAAGAAAGCATGTTTTATAGAGCCAAATGGACCTGATTTCAAATCCTGGCTTAATAACTGAACTCTGAGAAATTTACCTCTCTCAGTCCCAATTTACTTTTCTATCAAGTGAGTACAATACAATTCCAACTCATTGATATGAGAATTAAGCATGTTAATATAGTAACAGGTTTATTTAATAGTCCAAAAGCTGCTGGGTATTAACATAAAAAAGTATATTTTTTATTCAGTTGTCACTTTGAACTGTGTTCTGTTTCAGCCTGTTCCTTTTCTATACCCAGTGCCATCTCTGGATTTTAATTTTTTCAGTATGTATTAGTCAGGGTTCTCTGGAGGGACAGAACTAATAGGATAGATAAATATATAAAGGGGAGTTTATTAAGTATTCATTCACATAACCTCAAGGTCCTAAGAAAGGCCGTCTGCAACCTGAGGAGGAAGAAGAGCCAGTCGGAGTCCCAAAACTGAAGAACTTGGAGTCTGACGTTTGAGGGCAGGAAGCATCCAGCACAGGAGAAAGATGTAGGCTGGGAGGCTAGGCCAGTCTAGTCTTTTCACATTTTTCTGCCTGTTTTATATTCTAGCCATGCTGGCAGCTGCTTAGATGGTGTCCGCCCAGATTAAAGGCAGATCTGCCTTTCCCAGCCCATTGACTCAAATGTTAATCTCCTTTGGCAACACCCTCACAGACATCCCCAGGATCAATACTTTGCATCCTTCAATCCATTCAAGCTGATACTCTGTATTGACCATCATACATTGCTTGCATTTCTGGTTACTTAAAGTTATTAAAAATTTATGACAGTTAAAACTTCCATATTGTGATCAGTTTAGCATGTCCTCTTCCTCGTAGTGCAGGCCAGGTTTATGTCTTGAGAAACTTGAAGTATGCAGAGGGTATAGTTTGCTTTTTATTCGGCCTCCATTCATCACCTGTAGGTAGAGTTAGAGGAATGTTAACTTTGGTTGAGTATGCTTTGGTGTGAGATTCTTCTCTTTTCCCCTTTTCTGGGATTTCTTGGCTTCCATGGGACTGGAGGGCATAAGGACCTTGGGAGATAAGAAAATAAAGAGTTCGGCCACCTATGAGTCATTTAGAAGTATCTCTGGGCTTGCTCTGACCAGGCTGGTTTTGTCTGCTGCTTCAGGTCTCTGTTGATGGTAGGTTTGATTTTAGAAGAGACAGTATCCAGGTTCACCTTGACTCCTTCTGTCAGTGAAGACCCCTTAGAGAGGCACAGCATTGTCTCCCACTCTCCAACAGTCTATGCACATCTCTGGAGTGATTATTACCTTGACGGGCCTTTGACCACCTGGATAATTCTAAACTACTGCTCTTTCCCGTATCCTCTATACTTCATGTGGAACCAGAAGAAGCACTGAGGGCATCGTGGAACAGGAATGGGAACGTCCTCCCATCTTTTGCTGCCCAAGCACCTTATCCCACACATGGTTTCTTTACTCTGTGGTATGGGCTGCCAGAGCAAGTATACCCAGTTTAGTAATTTATTGTTATGAAGCCAGCACCAGGCCTATTGTTCTCTAACTCCAGGCTTTGCCCAAGTACTTTTTCACAACGTTCTGTTTTGATGGCAGCATTGAGGTAGGACTGTTGCAGCTACAGCTGGAGGCATCTAGTTCCAAGGCTGAGGTTATCACTTGCTCATTTTTGCAAATTTCCGTGATCTGTATGAATAAATTCCTAAGGGCCTTCTCTATTACTTGCCTTTGTTGGGGTGAGCATCCCACCAGGAGGAACATTATTGCTACTTCCCTTGCTCATTTGTTTTTATAATCTTTCAGCCCAGCTTTTGTTTAGTCCTTTATTTCCTACTCCTTCTGTTGGAAACTCCCAGGAAACAAAGCAGCACAGTTTCAGCAGGCTTTCACAGAAGCAACAACATTCTATCAGAGTCTAACAAGAATTAAATATAACCGGAGGACCCTCCAAGATATGCCCCTAGTCAGTGCACCCTGTGTGATGCTCACTTTGTTCGCAAGGGCTATGTAGCCAGCATGATGTTTTAGGAACTTATTTATTTTTCCCAACAATGGATGTAAAGGATTTCCTGCTCCTATTTAAGTTAGATACTAACAACTTCCTTAGAGATGCTGGGCATGTTAAAATTCTAGCTGTGAAAGCAGCAGTGAAGGAAGCTGTGCATTGTTAATCCTTCCTGTGACAGAAACATCAAAAAGCAAGCCTTGAAGGCTCATTTATGAGGATGGTGTTTCCTCCACCCTTTACCAAGTGTGTGTGTGGGTATGGGGTGCCCCTCCTGGCAAGCCTGTAAAGCTGCGGGAACTGTGACTGCTGCTATTTTCGAAGCAAATTGATTATTGGCCTTCACTGAATATTCACAGCTCTATTAGCCAAAACCCCCACTGTTTCTAAGGGAGTAAAAACTGGGTAGACTTCTAACTTTCTGTGCCCACTCTGTGCCTTAACAATGGCCCCAGGACTGCTACTTTAAACTGAATTTAGAATGAGAGATCCATTATATTTTCCTGTTTATATTTGTGAATTATGTTTGCCAGTTTTTTTGCAAATTGTTTTTAAAGTGGCCTGCCCTCAATTTTAAAATCTTTGTGCTCTGGACATATATAATGAACTTCATTCCAGGTAGAACTGAAACCAGCTTCCTATCCTTCTGACCTTGACTGATGCTTGACATACGTCAATGTATGGGATTACATGACATGTTGCTTTTTAAAGCTGTTATACTGCTTGCATCTTTTTCATCATTTTAGTGGAGATTTAGAATGTTGTATTCCGTTAGCCTAAGGTTTCTAAGGCCATTTTTGTCATCTTTTTTCTGTTGAAAATTCTCTAAAGGGTCTCTAATAGCTTGCTCAGTGGGTGACACACGTGGTCTTCTATAGTCTTGCTCCTAGGCCTATTTTTTTTTTTTTTCATCTTTTCTCCAGCACGTGCCCTTTCCTTAGGAAACTCTCATTCCAGTACCATATAATGCTCAGGAAAAAACTCATTTTGGTAATATATTACTTACTGGTTTCACTGTTTTTAAATGTTTCATGAGATTTAGTCTTACCTGTTCTTAGACATCCTGGTTAAAATGAGTGATAAATTAACATCAACATGGTCCCTGTACATATCCCTGTAGATGAATAATCTAAAAATGTCCAGGAAATTAGAATTAATTTATTCAAAGCAGAATACGACCATTTGATTCAGAGGGTGGGGGATTTTGGTGAGGAGGAGTGGTAGGTGTGGGTGGGCAGGTTATATATGTATGCTCCTCCCCTTCACTGATAAAAGGAGAGTTTACCAAGAGTAGAAGAGACAATAAATGGGATATGTGGTTTCTATAGCCCAGGAAGCTGCTATGGAAACTTCATAAACTCACAAGGAAACTGTGAATTTGGACACTGACTTAATGGTCAGCACCAAGGCAAGTAGTTTCTCATGACGTGCTCTGCCACAGGACCTGCTTGGCCTGTGATTAGGTAATAGTGATACAAAGTTAGAGAACATGTCTTCCTCATTAGGCCCTTGCAGTCTAGTGAAAAACACAAAACACCACAATATAATAGCTGTTTGAGTGGTGAACTCTGGTAGACACTCCAGGATTCAGAATAAGTAGACATGATCTCAAGGAAACTCCTACCAACTAGGAGGGAAAAGAAATTCATACAAATAAATATAACACAATTTAAGATTTGGCATGTGGAATAGTGGTAGAATATGCCAATATGCCATATCAGATGTTATACAATGAAACTTTTTTTATAAATGCTTGTGGATGCATAGAGGAAGAGATATAGCTGCCAACTTGGGAGGGGAGGGGAAGAAGGATGATGGGTGGAGATTAGAGAAAGCTTCACAAAAATAGTGAGATTTGAGCCAGACTCCAAGACTGAAAAGAATTGGATGAAAGGGTATAACAGGAAGAGGATCAACAAGAGCAAGAGCGAGGAGGTTGACAAGTATATCCCCTGCTTTCAATGGTGGTGAGTGTGCTGTGATGATAGCCTGATTATGGAAGGGAAGCTCTGATGGATAAGACTGAGAACAGGCTGCTGAGGACCTTTAATTAGTCATGCTGAAGGATTTGGGGCTTCTCAAAGAATGATGAGAGCAGTCTAAAGATGGATCTATCATCTGAAAACCTTCCTCAGGTAGAAAAAAAACAACAAAACTATGTATTTATGTGCTTAGCAACTGTTTTAGCTTTCTTATTGTGAATGGTTAAAGATTTAATGTGATTGGTTTTGAAGAAAACAAACAAAACACTCCAGAATTAGTAAGAGTGTTTTTCAGGTTTAAAGTTTTTTTTTTAGTTTGTTAATAGTTTACACCCTGTGAATAATGTGAGAGCTCTATCTTTTTACACTGCCATTCAAAGTGCAAATTAGAAAGTTTATCTCCTTAAGGTTTGAGCTTGAAAACTGATAATTACAGATTCCCAGGAGAAACAGTTAACTTCCTGTAAAATGATAAAAGAATGAGTTGAGGCCAGGCACAGTGGCTCATGCCTGTAATCCCAGCACTTTGGGAGGCTGAGGCAGGTGGATCACCTGAGGTCAGGAGTTCGAGACCAACCTGGCCAAGATGGTGAAACCTTGTCTCTAATAAAAATACAAAAATTAGCTGAATGTGGTTGCGGGCATCTGTAATTCCCAGCTGCCAGGGAAGCTGAGGCAGGAGAATTGCTTGAACCCAGGAGGTAGAGGTTGCAGTGAGCCTAGATTGTACCATTGCACTCCAGCCTGGGTGACAAGAGCAAGACTTCATCTCAAAAACAAACAAATAAAAAGAATGAGTTGATGCCTCTAGAAGGAAAAGTTAATATGGTAGGTTAATTAAATTCCCTTTTCTCCAAAGAAAGAATTTTTCTTGAGCCATCAGCTACTGTCTAGGACCCGTACTTTAGAAATGTCTGATTTAGAGCAGGTCACCTGTGCTTTTAGACTAGCACCTAATACTCTGAGCACTGACTCAGACCCAACTAATGAACTGCATGTATGATGGACAGAATGAGAAGGTATAGCTGCATTAACCAGGTCTTAGTTCTGATCTGAAGAGAGGTGTGAGTTCTATCATTAAATTTTAAAAACATTAGGATTAACTCCTAAAAAGTATTTTTTCTGTGATCTAAAGTATCATTCGTCTCAGACTGGGCTATAGGCACCTAACCCTCTTTCTCCATTTTACTGTTGTTTTCTGATCCTTATATGAGAAGAATGACTAGAAAAGTGAAACCTGTTAAAAGAGAAATATAACTAGTTATCTAGATAAAGAGATCAACAGTCAACTTGTGAGTATGTTACATAAAATGGCAAACCAAAAAAACAGAAATCCAAAGGTCAAAGTGTATTCATTTCCTTACTCATTATGTCTGGCATAAGGCTTTTTCATCTTCCCCAAAATACATTGCCCTCCTCTTGGAGAACTCCTCTTCCTCCTTTTCAATTGTTCCATCTCAGTGGGGGCAATCAGTCATAGGGCCAACTACTTGGCCATCATTGATGATTCTATAATGGGCTCCTAACCCAAGCCTGACCAATCTGAGTGCTTCCTTGAGACTTTTCAAGCTGTATTTGAGAAGAAAAGAGAAGCAGATCTCTGCTATTGAAACTTTGAAAAGTGGGTCGTGGGCTCAGCTAGTGGTCATCGTTTTGCCATGTGGACAAAGCTGTACTAGCAGAAGGAAGCCACCATGCAGAGAGAAGCTTAGATGAGGAATGGAAAGGAAAGGTCCTGAAAGCATTCAAATATCTGTGTCTTTGTTCCTGACATGTTACATCTCTATACCTGCCAAGATTATGTGAAATGGTTCAGTATCCAACCAATCTATTTTTATTTCTGCATAACTTAGTTAAGATAGCTTTCTGTTACTTGCAACCAAATCATTCTTTGCTAATACAAAAGAATGGGTATACCTATCCCCCTTTTTTTTTTATCTTAAGTCAAATCCTTACATAGCTCAGGAATGACTGAACTACGTATTAAAGTTTTCTCTTTTTTCTGAGCACCTCCTACTGATGATAACTTTCCATTTCTTTGATGCATATGGGTTCTTCAGTGTTTTGGCAAAACTTATGGACCTGTTAAATTCTCAAACTTGTAAAATTTCCATATTGCCATGCTAGGTAAAATATGATTACCTTATTTACTTTACTACATCCACAGATGGATTTCTAAAGAATGTCGCCTGTGAGTATAGTAAATTAATAAGCTGTGGGACCTACTAGCTGAACATACTACATTAGGGAATTGGAAAAAAAATTCTTAAATGCTTCATTGGGTACTCTTCGTTAGTTCCTATGTCTTGCTCTCTTTTATTAATTCTATTACTGATTTACAATAAGTTATTAACATCTTGCATTTAAAATCAGATCAAGGGGTAGTATTTATTTTTTCTGAGTAAAGCAGATATCTAGTTCATTTTACAAGGTTTTGATTGTGTCTGAGTTCCTTATTAAATCACCTCTCTTTCTTTTCATTTGTTCTTAGCAGTTGCCAGGCAACTCCTATGATACTTGGCAAAAATATTCTGAGAGGATTTTTTAAGAATAAAATTAGTAGAGACACAGACCCTTTGTAAAGATGGTTATTATAGTTGTTCAGATGTAAAATTAGCCACTATGAATGAGGAGTATTATTTAATATTATACTAAATGGGAATTTCTGTCCAATTGTAAGCTGGGTCTCCCACCTACAATTTGCCTAAATTGCAAAGAATATCTTGATTCCTGATTTAAAAAGAAAATGAGGTTGATAAAAAATAGCAATTACTCTTTTATTGAGTTTAAAAAGGTGAGTGATGATAAATGAATTTGCCCAAGCATTTTTCTCGCTGATTCAGGCTGCTGCCCCTGGCAAAATTGCTCAGAGAAAAGCAATCTTTTCATTTAAGATTTCTTATTTCTGTGGTTTAAATGTGTCCCCCAAAGTTCATGTGTTGGTAACTTAATCTCCAATGCCACAGTGTTAAGAGGTGGGACTTTAAAAAGGTGATTAGATCATGAGGGCTTCACCCTTATGAATAGATTAACATGGTTATCTTGGGAGTGGGTTAGTTATGGTAGATGCGGATTCCTCATAAAAGGCTGAGATCCCTTTCCTCAGTCTCTTGAGTGCCCTTTCACCACATGATGCCTTCCACCATGTTATGCTGTAGCAAGGAGGCTCCCACTGGATGGGGCTCCTTGATCTTAGACTTTCTAACCTCCAAAACCATGAGCTAATTAAACTTCTATTGTTTATAATCACCCAGCCCGTGGTATTCCGTTCTAGCAGCACAAAATGGATTAAGATACCTGTTAAGAAAGAATTGGCAAGACTAAGGTGGGGATTTAATCCACTCAGCCTTCTTCTAGAGGCAATCCCATGTAAGAAGCATTTTAATAACATGCGATTAATCACTTAGAAACAAGTCTTATAGAAGAGTGCTGGGAATATTAATGAGAAGTCCAAATGAAATAAACTATGTGAAAGTATTTTTTACACGGTACTCTTGGTTTCGATTTTTGTTGTATTGGTACTAGTGCTGGTGGTAATTGTTATTTTAAGAAGAAATAGTAAAAGATCTTTCTGAGAATGACTTCTATTTTCTACATTTCATTTTAGAGGTGAGTGTTAGCCTTGGTGAGTGCAAACATGTATGCAGATTGAGGGAGACAAATCAGCTTTTTGAGTTAATGGATGTCTTCAATCAGAAGCCAGAAAGATTTAGGAAAATAGTGCTCTTATATTAATAATGGCAACCCCACAATCTGTGCTCTAAATCCCATCTCCTTTGCCTTTCTTTTGAATTATGCTTAATTGCTGTCACTTCTCTACATATTAAAATTCTCCCTCTCAGCCAGATCTCTTACTTGAGTGTATCAAACTGTCCAAATCTATTATATTAAGAAATAAGAAAATATATGAGCAATTATTTCTCATTTGCTCCTTCTCAGGAATTTCGCTCACCTATCACTTACAACTGAATTTCTTGGTTGGGTTGTGAGGTGCGTCTTCACTTATTTCTCAACCTATTATTATTTGGTTTATCTACATCTCAGAAAGGGCTTTCCCTAGGGAATAAATTTGCTAGTTCAGTTGAGACAGCCTCTCTATAGAATTTGAAACTATTGAGAATTAGGAATCAAAATTCCTCTTTAGTTTTCAATTTTATTATTTGATCCTGCTCTCTCTCTAGCTTTTTAGAATTGTTTTAGGGACACTTTCTAACCAAGTTATTGTTTAAATATTAGCACTATTCAGGAATCTTATCTAGGCCCCCTTACCATCTCACTTTATGGATTCTTCCTGAGTGATTTTGTCACTCTTGAGTTTCTACAACCACTAATTTGCTCTTGACCCAAAATGATGTGTGTGTCTGTTTGTGTGTGTGTGAGAGAGAGAGGGAGAGAGTAGCTGGAATTACAGGTGCCTGCCACCATGCCCGGCTAATTTTGTTGTATTTTTAGTAGAGACAGGGTTTCACTGTGTTGGCCAGGCTGGTCTCGAACTCCTGACCTCGTGATCCGTCTGCCTCGGCCTCCCAAAGTGCTGGGATTACAGGCGTGAGCCACCACGCCCAGCCATCCTAGCATTTTTAAAAGATCACCCAGGCAGTGCTAGGGAGAATAGATTTGAGATAATAATGGTTTTAGGGAAACTTGCCAAGGGCTATGACAGTAGTCTGGAAAAAGACGGTGTTACCTTGGCAAGAGACATGGCATCAGAAGTCTTATTTTTTTTATTCGTTTGTTTGAGATGGAGTCTCGCTCTGTCGCCCGGCTGGAGTGCAGTGGCACTCTCTTGGCTCACTGCAATCTCCGCCTCCCGGGTTCAAGTGATTCTCCTGCCTCAGCCTCCCAAGTGGCTGGGACTACAGGCGTGCACCACCACACCCAGCTAATTTTTGTATTTTTAGTAGAGACAGGGTTTTGCCATGTTGGCCAGGATGGTCTCAATGTCTTGACTTCATGATTTGCCTGCCTTGGCCTCCCAAAGTTCTGAGATTACAGGCATGAGCCAAAGCACCAGGCCTGCAGTTCTATTTTTAAGACTTATTACATGTGTGATTTGAGTCTGGTCATATATAAGCTCATGTGCCATATAGGCTTGTGAAGAGTGCTTTTAAGCTGAATTATCTCTATAAAAATTCTAGGCTTGTTATCAGTAAGTATTGTATATATATGCTTCCTGGCCTCTAAATCTGTCTTCTGCTTCTTTTTACATCTTCATTTAATATCAGGCTGCCCATGGTAACTTTGCTGCAATCAGACTGACCTTTCAGGTTCTTGTACATAATGCAGTTTTTCTGCTTCTAGACCATTTTGTTCTCCTTAAAGGAAACTATCTCACTAACCCTTTGCATGGCTAGATCCTTTTTATTTTTTATGTTTCAACTCACAGACCCTCTTTGATTACCTAATCTAAAGTAGACTGTTTCAATTATTATACTTGTACCTTACCTTCATTCTGATTTGTTTATTTATAGCATTTATTACAAAATATAATTACCTTGTTTGTCTGTTTATTCGCTGTCCTCAGAATCACTGTGAGGGAGAGGCCTTTTCTGCCTTGTTCAATGTGTGTCTCCTGTGCTTGCCAACATAGTAGATGTTCGTGTTCATTAAATATGCATTAAATAATGGAAGGAAGGAAGGGTACATTGAGGTTTGTACAGTAGTTCTCTCGTTATTTGCAGTTTTGCTTTCCTCAGTTTCAATTCCCCATGGTCAACTGCAGTCTGAAAATAGGTGAGTACAGTACAATAAGCTATGGAGAGAGAAACCACATTCACATAAATTTACTACAGTATATTGTTATAATTTTTCTATTTTATTAGTTAATCTCTTACCATGCCAAATTTATGAATTAAACGTTAAGTACATATGCGTAGAGAAAACCATATCATGTATAGGGTTGGTACTGAGTTTCAGGCATCCACTGAGGGTCTTAGAACCATATACCTTGCAGCTAATTGGGGGGGGCTGGGCTACTGTATCCCATTTTCTTCTCACTTGACATCAATGTTCTCTGCAGCATATGAAGAAATACCTCAAAATCTGGAGTGCTCTTTAGACAATCTACGTGATGATACCCACTCTAGATTTTTTTTTTTTTTTTTACTGCAGTAGGCTATAGAATTCCAAAGCCTGCCTCAGTATAGTTACTTATGACTCTGTTTATACTACTTTATATTGGTATATGTCTAATTCTTAGAACCGTTGGAAATATCATTCATAAACTTCAGTTATAGTGGAATTGGAAGGAGTGCTTGCTTAGCATAGGAGCCAGGGTTTTCAGTGACACACAGGTGCTGCAGATCCTTTCTTCCTAGGCCAGACTGTCTCCTTATCATGTCACTTAGGATTGCTTTTTGCCTCCAAATGTAACAGAGTTGGGATCTCAGCTATTAAGACCATGTCTCTCTTGCTTTTATCTCAACCAAATAAATCACAGTTACTTTGCTCCTGATTTTTGAACTCATCGTGAGAAGAAGCCTTTCTCTGAGAAAAACAATCCTCCACTATGGAACTTACTGCTTCAATTAGTATATTAGATTCTCTCTTAGGATATTTTATAAAAGAAAGATACAAATATTTGCTTTCTCTTGGTGCATGTAGCTAGGACATTTAGTGGCAACTAAGGCTTGCTATTGGGTATACAACTGGACCATTAAGCATAGGAATTTGCATAGACATTGTTCCCTACTTTTGAAAACCTGAATTTCTCAGGCGAATGGGGCATAGCTTAAACATTATCTACCCAGAACAGTAGCAAATAATTGCGCATCATGAAAGAGAGATTTTTAAATAAATATATTTACATTTCATTTTTAAAAAATTTAGATACATTTATTAATAGAAGAAAGGCAATATCTATGAAATTCTCAATGAAAATATTTACTTGTTGGAAGTCCTTATTTGAAAGTAAGTACTACCAGATATTCTTGCACTAAAAATAATATTTATTTATTTAAATTTGACAGGTAGCCCTTCTCCTCTCTTTAGTTCCTGCTTCCATTTTACTTTTCTAGCAAAGATGTATTTATGTAAGTGTTTAAAATTCTAAATATACGCTAATTGATGGTAGGAAGAGTGAGAGTGATGCAAAAAAAAAAATTGCCACAAGAATGAAGCCAAAGGTTAAAACTCTGCTGCAGTGACTTCAGAAAGAATTGATTTTATATTAAATGTAGAAAACTGTACAGAAAATAGAGTTTACTTATTCAATGAATACATATTGCATGCCTACTATGCACCCATTGTGTTCTAGGGGTGAATAAGGAAAACGAGTTCCTTGCTCTCATGGATTTTATTTTCAAGTAAAGACATACAGATAAGAATGAATGAATGAATGAATGAATGGCAAATGAATAAATATGCAATATTGTCAGGAAATGACAAGTGCTATCTAGTGAATTAAAGATGGTCATGAAGGAAGTAGAGTATATGGTTAACTGCAAAATTATGGTTAAAGAATTCAAATTTAAGCTAAATTTAGAATGATAACAAAGCAGTCACTGGGAAAAGTATTCTAAGTAATATTAAAACACAAGGTAGAAATTAGTATAGTTTGGTTGAGGAATAGAAAAAAAGCTAGTATTGCTAAAAGGAAGTGAGTGTGGGTAAAAAGTGTGAAGAAGATTCATAAATGAATGGGAACAGATTATTATACAGGGCTTTAAAACTCAGGATTAGAGGTTTGGGTTCACTTCCCAGTTTAATAAGAAGATATTCGATAATTTTAAGCAAGGCCACTACAAGGTTTCATTCATGTTTTGAAAATAATCACTGTAATTACCACATAGAGATGGATGGAGTCAAGGGAACCAAAATGGATTCTGGGAATTAACTAGATAAGTGGCTCTCGAAGTAATTCAAAGAGATAATTGTGACTGGGACTAGGGTGGTGGTCATGTAATAGGAAAGACTGGATGGTTTCAAGATATGATTTGGAGTCAGAAGAACTTGTTGATATTGAATATGCGAGATGGGAGAAAGAGAAGAACGAAGAAAAACTCTATATTATTGGATTGAGATAATGAGATTATGATCCCATTTACAAAAATGAGGAAGACTGATACAGAAGTAGGTTTTTGCATAAAATCAAGAGTTCTGTGTTGTCCATATTGAAATTAAGTTTGAAATACTTATAAGATTTCTATGTGGTGACAAGGAGTAGTCAGCTGGAAATAAGAAGCTATAGTGGTCAAAAATAAAATGTTTAAAGTCATGGGATGAAATGAAGTCACCTAAGGAGAAAGTGAAGAACAAACACAAAGCCCTGGAGGAATACAATTAGAGGTTCACCAGAGGATGTGACTCACCCCCAAGAGACAAGGATGACTTCAATCTTCAGTAAGATTGAAGAATACTAGAGAACAGAAGAATACCCTAGAAGCCAGAAGGAAAACAAGTTTCAACTGTTTTGTATACTACTGAGAGATCAGTAAATATTTATAACATGGTGATAGATGCCCTAGAGAAAGATTCAACAGTCTAGACTTCTGGGCTTCTCTTTTTCATTTTGGTGAGAAGGTGAAGCCAGTTCACCTCTCTTAATCTTTTTTTATTCAAATATAAAGTGAGTCACCATTTCTCTGCTTTTATGCCCAGGATAAACATCATTAAATCACAGCACTCTCTTGATGAATCTGAACTCTATCAGGAGCCTTTTTCAACACAATTCTCATAACCATCCTGGCCCATCTCAAAGTTGGTATGTGAGGTGACATCTCCTTACAATCCCTGCTGTAAACATTCTTTGAATCATTTTATAACTTCGTTTTTATTTTATGATTGAATGAAAATGGTACATGATACTTCATCATTTTAAAAATCAACTCAGATAATAGTTTAATTTTAATTTCTGTCCTTTGTGATATGATCCTGAAAATCCTTGTCTGACTTTATAAATGTATTTTAAGATCCTGGAATTTGTAGATTCACCATGCAAATAAAACACATCTCAGATACATGTGTTCATTATAAAAATATCCAAATAGTTCTATACACTGGATGAATGACCTAAGCAGCTTAACTTTTTTTTTCTTAATTTTCCTTTCATGGAGATAATGATGAACATTAATGTGGACTAAATCTGGCAGGCAAAATAAACAAGAGTAAATGTAGTATTATAATGAGGATCTGATTGTGATGTTAGAGTCAGATGCCAAAGCAAAGATTTTAGGTAGACAATGAACAACAATAAGCAAAGGCACAATGTTTGTGTGAGGTGAAGGGTAGCAGAAATATGTTCTAAACAGAAGAAAGAATGATGTGGAAACTCTGGAGTGAAGATCTCATAGTGTTTTCGGAACTGAAATAAGACCAAAATAGCCGGAGTGTGATGAGCTATAGGGAAGATTAGCCAGTGGCTCAATTGCAAGACATGAAATTAAGGGGCAAATGACATAATCATCCAAGCTTTTTTTTTTTTTTTTTTTGAGACAGAGTCTGGCCCTGTCACCCGGGCTGGAGTACAATGGCACGATCTCGGCTCACTGCAACCTCCGCCTCCCGGGTTCAAGCAATTCTCCTGCCTCAGCTTCCCGAGTAGCTGGAATTACAGGTGCCTGCCACCATGCCCAGCTAATTTTGTTGTATTTTTAGTAGAGACAGGGTTTCACTGTGTTGGCCAGGCTGGTCCCGAACTCCTGTCCTCGTGATCCGTCTGCCTCGGCCTCCCAAAGTGCTGGGATTACAGGCGTGAGCCACCACGCCCAGCCATCCTAGCATTTTTAAAAGATCACCCAGGCAGTGCTAGGGAGAATAGATTTGAGATAATAATGGTTTTAGGGAAACTTGCCAAGGGCTATGACAGTAGTCTGGAAAAAGATGGTGTTACCTTGGCAAGAGACATGATTTGTAGAAATAGAAAGTCAGGCAGGTGCCAAGGATTCTGTCAGTCCTCATAATCGACCATTTGTTCCTTCTATCAGTGGCATAAACACTTTGAATCCTATTAAGAACTTTGGTACATGTAAAAGTTATTATCTTTTAGTGAATACTGTTCTCTAAATAAATTGTGTATAATATTCCATGGACCAACGTCTTTTTCTCATTTTGTTTAAAAAGATTATTAGTTTTAATTAAAGAAAAGCTTCTACTTGCCAGATGTGTTTATACTGCAGGCAAAGCCATGCCCCCTATATCTATGTCAAAGAATGTTTATAGTATAATGATAAAAATACATAAGTGCATAAAAATCTGGTAAGACAGAATGAGGATTTGATGCCAGTGCTTCTCCCAGCACTGGATGACCAGGGCGTTAGTCCTAGTTTTTCTTTTGTCTGTTCTTGTCACCTAAGAAAATTTGCTTTCTAGATGCATATACAGTCCTCAGGCTGATGGTAGAAATACTTATAGAGTGTTAAGCCTTCCTTAAATATTTATTATAAAAACATCATTTATAGATAATATTAAAATGAACAGAACCAAGTGAGATTATAATCTCATTTCTCCTTGGATTGGTTTTATGTCTGGTCATTATTGCTAAAAAGATGGAATGCATTTTTGGATGCTTGTTCTACCATGAAATTACTTAGCTTTCACCTTATCCCAGAGAGTCTGCCACATGGAATGAATAGTCCAAACTCCACACTTACAAAACTGGGATTCTATAAAATTGTAAGTCCAGTGAGAAACAATATAAGGACTGTGTCTATGGATAAAGCTAGAGCTTTCCTCAGATAATTGTTTCACTTTATTACTAAACAAAGGAGAATGCATGCAGATAATTTACCAGAAAGGTCAGAATGTTTAGATAATATCTTTATAGAAACTTTAGCATTTAGAATCAATGTCATTGAAAACAAAAAAAGTCATTGAAAACAAAACTATAAAGTAGCATAATTCAGGGCAATGAAATCAGTTTAAGATTTCTTTTGCTCTCTTTCTCTTTGTAACAAGGTACACTGAAAATAAGCAGATGGCATTCTGTGGGCTGAGGATGAATGACTAAGGATTCATGGCAGGATTGCATCACAAGATTATGTGTAATTGATGCATTTAGCTCTAAAAGCTTTTGGTTCTGCAGAATGTTTAAAGCATTGCTGAAATGGCATTGAGAGAAAAAACTGGAATTATTCAAAATTACAATAAGATAGAAAATGAGGTGTTTTCAATATCACTGTTTTAGTCATTATGATGATTCTAATCATTGGTAATGCTAAAAGTTGTACAATGTGTCATGATATTATTGTAAATAATAAGGTCAGTAAGACCATTGTATTCTTAGATCTCTGCGTTTATCTTGCTCTTATTTTTTTTCTTCTTTCATTTAGCATTTACTGAGGTCTTACTATTTGTTAGACACTGAGGTTATTAAATGAATACTATTCTGACCCACAAAAGGCTTATAATCTAGGAGGAGAAATAAATTGGTAAATTGATAATTATGAATGCTATGATTATGCAAAAAGCCTATCATTTTACACAATGATTATAATAAAATGAACTTAGCCTATATACTCTCTTACTATTTCTAAACTGCTTTTGTGTTTCAATTATCTAAAAGCTTACATGGGGCAAATGTTATTCTCAATTATTTGTTTTTACAATTTAAAAATGATTACTTAAAACTTCTATTTTAAATGCATGCCAGTTTGCTTAATTGTACTTATGTTACAGATAGGCTAAATAATGGCTATTTCAAGGGTAGAAATTGGTCTACCAAAACAAGACCAGATGCTCTCCAAGAGGCTTAATTCAGTTACTATGCTTGAACTTAGTTTTAGAAATTTGAAAGTAAAGGGAAAATGAAATCATATTGAGTTACATAAACCCTTATCAGAGAGAAGAAAGCAGATTAGTTCTCTGAGTCAGGTAAACTTTTTCTTGCTCTTGATTTTAAAATAAGATTTTCACGGCCGGGCATGGTGGCTCACACCTGTAATCCCAGCACTTTTGGGAGGCCGAGGCTGGCAGATCTCAAGGTCAGGAGATCGAGACCATCCTGGCTAACACAGTGAAACCCCGTCTCTACTAAAAATACAAAAATTAGCCGGGCGTGGTGACAGGCCCCTGTAGTCCCAGCTACTCAGGAGGCTAAGGCAGGAGGATGGTGTGAATCTGGGAGGCGGAGCTTGCAGTGAGCTGAAATTGCGCCACTGCACTCCAGCCTGGGTGGCAGAGTGAGACTCTGTCTCAAAATAATAATAATAATAATGATAATTATAAAAATAATAATAATAATGTTTTTCACATGAGACCTCCTATAGAAAACATTAAGTCAGCAACTCATATTATGCTTTTATACCTAAATATAGAAACAATTTTAATATGACTATTTCTTAGAATGGCCCTCTATAAAACTATACAGTGAAATGATTATATTCAAGTATCTGAGGGAAAAGGACTTTACAGGAGGCTAGCCAAGTATGCTTGAGAAATACTGGGTCCTGCTGCTCCAGTGTATTATGTAAAAATGAAACTAGTTTAAGGAGTATAAGAAAAGCATTATCTTTATATTGTTTTAATTATAGATCATTTATGTCACTATGGCTTCGATGAAACTTGTATAGATGATAACTATGGTTATGTTTTCTGATATAAACCTGGTGCCCTAGTTTTTGTAGCTCTGGAGAAGGGCAAGTGATTTGCTTTGGGAACCAAAAAAGGTGATAAGGTTAGCATTCATTCTATTATAGGAGCAGTCTGTAGTCAATAACGAATTGCATTCCCATTTTATAGATAGAATTGATTCTTAGAAAATTCTCAAAATTAGTAGGCTGGGGATGATATGAGAACTTGGTTTTTCTAATCCCTGATACAATCAAGTTATTAATATAATATTAGGAATTTCCAGAGAGCAGAGGACCTTGACAGTAAATACACCTGAGATAGCAACAAGGGATCGTGAAGGCAGCAGCTTTTCTCATATGTGTGATTCACATTTATCTTTGTGGTTTATTTTTAAATGCTGCCAGATCATTTTGCTAATTAATCAGGCATAAATTTCTGGGAAATCACTTAACTAATCAGAAATGGAGGAGATTTTATCTGTAGTAGAATTTTGAGTCTCCATTAGGACATTCTATGATAAGCACCTATTCATAAGCAAATTATTGCATTCTGGTCATGTCTTCACCTGGACCAAATGGAAGATTGACTAAGAGACAACTGAAAATCTCATCATTCCAAAAGAATTGGAAGAAGATACATTTTCATACACATTCTGTGTATTTCATTGTAGGCAAAACATTGTCAGTTATAATTTTCAAGGATATTTTATACTTTTATTTGTTTTTATCTGCTCACTTGAGAAAAATAGAATAATATGAGAAAATGAAATATATGTTATAATTATCTGTGTGTTTATACTAGATAAGTCTCAAGGTACTTTTTCCAAAACCCATGCATACTGACCTTAATCACAGTCTTAATATCCCTGAACTACCGCAATCATTACCTAGAGGATTCAATGTTCTGTGGAATATACACTGTACAGGGACTGTTGAGGGACAACAATTCCTTCCAGACAGCAATCTTAGAGATATGCAGTTTCCAGCAAGTTTCAGAGTCATCTCTTTATCTTAACCCAATCCTGTTAGTAGATTTGTGAAAACTGAATAAGTATTTTTACCATGATGCCCTTAAAGCAATACAGTAGCACAAGATGGATTGGAATTTAATATAAACGGATGTTGCAAATTGGCCAATATGTATACAAAACAATCTGTTGTAGCCACCCAAATCTTAGGGGCTAAACTCTGGCTGTTACATTCATGGAATTAGATAGATATAGAGAAGCCATGTGGTAGATATATTTTTGCCAGCCATTAAAATGACACAGAGCAGCAAACTTCTGCCCAACAGGAGATAGCATCTGTGATGCCACAGAGCCACTTAGTGACAAATTAAGACCTAGAACTCAGTTCTCTGATAGGCAGTTTACTGTTTCACTAGTATACAAGTTGTGTGATACTGAAATGTATACCTTTGCAGGAAATGTGTGCAGCAGCTGATGATGCTTAGAAATATAAATGTTTCTAATGTGTCAAGGAAAAATATTGTAATGGCAAATTTCTGAATGTTATATCCATGTTAACAGAACCTGAGTATCACATGTTAACATTTGCTCGAGAGCTAAAGGAATCTCTCAATTATTAAGAAACTATAGACTTGGGACCAGTGTTGACAGATCAGGATTTAAAGGACAAATAGTCCTGCATGTTAAGACGTGGACTGTATAGGGCCTGAATGTTTAAAACAATCCTCATGAAATCTTAACCTTTTCCTTAGGTGCTTTCATATATTCAGTTGTCATTTTAAAATTGAAGAACATTCAGCACTGGAGCTTGACAAGAATATTAAATGTATCATTCATCTTAAGAAGCACTAGGAATAATGTTACTGTAATTTCTGAAATAAAAATGGTAAAAATGATCTCTGATTGGTTGGAAGAGGTTCCAGCTGTGCCATGATTTGACTTAATGATCTAGAAACTGACCCACTTAATGATTTACTTTTAAGCATGCTTACCTTTGAAAAGAATTGGATTTTAGGATTCTGTATTTTACCTTAGAATATAGACAAATTATTTTAGGGAGGAAAAACAATAAATAAAATTGCTTCTGATTAAGGTATTAAATCATATTGTCCTATTCCAGATCTGTTTTTTTTTTGTTTTTGTTTTTGTTTTTGTTTTTGTTTTTGCCGTGAACACAACAAAAAATATACCAGACTGAGAATTTGGAAATCAAATAAACTAAGCTTTCTTAAACCTCTAGAAATATTAAGGGAGAAGATGGCCCAACTGATTCAGGCTAATGGTCATCTCTTTGTATTTCTCAATTGCTCTTTCAACAGTACCTAATTAACATCTAAACTTCACTTGCAGGAATTTCTAGGTCGTTTGTGTGTCTTGCAAATGTTCCTTTCGATGGACATCAACTTATAACCTGAGGGACAGAGACCACATTGGCCCCAATAGCTGCATATGTAACTGTATATAAAGGTCTGAAGAAGTCACTGCTCTGTTTACTTTCGTCCTCATTTCTCAAATACCCACATTTTCAGTCATAGCATCAGAGATGGGGAAGGCTGGGGAACTGACACGGATAGAGAAGAAAAGAGAATAAGAGCAACAAGAGAATTTAACACAAGAGGCCCAGTTCTCTAAACTATAATTATATTCCTAAGTGGAGGCCTTCAAATATGAATATTATTTGATGCCTGTTTTAGAGATAAATTAGTCACCATGTTTTATATTGGGATGAGAGAAATCATGGATTCACACTTACCTTTATAATTCTTTGAAGAAAAAATGGAGAACAGACCTTATTTTACAAAACATAAATAAATAAAACTAAATATTTAAAGGTAGCATCATGACAGTTACCCCTTAGTTAACACTGATTTTATCTAGCATTAACACAGGTTACATTTATCATCAAATTTCATGTATATTAAGTTGTGGTCCATTTTATGGTCTGTTCACAGAGTATTTATGATTTTTACATGGCTATTATAGGGAAATGCCATTATCTGGACTAATGGGGAAATAATTGGACTAGATGTCAGAATTTCTGAGTTTTATCATGCCTGGTATTGAGCCATGTTACTTTAGGAAATTCACTGACCCCCTTAAGGAAAGTTAAAGCATCGTGATTTTACATGGTATGAGTTGATAGTATGCTTTTGTTTTTCTAAATGAACAGAGTAGTATATATATATTAAAAATTTATATCATATTTAAAATTATTTAATGTCAACTCTTTGTTCAGAATTATCATCCTCAATTATGGCTTTTAATATGAAATAGAAAACAGTGGCTTTCAAATATTGTTTGCTGTGATCCAGAATAAATAACAATATATTTCACATTACAGTTCAGTAAATACATGATAGTATACACACACACACAAACACACTCACACACACACACTCCTAAAAATATTATTTCTACTTATGATGCACTTTGACTTTTGTGTTATATTCTGTTTCATTTTTTAAAACTTCTGTTTGTAATCCACTTAATCTGATTTAGAAGTTAAGTGAAATAAAGGATTTATAGTGTGCTGTCAAGGAAAAATAAATTCGATGATACAGTCTGCATAGCCCCATAACAAGATCTAAATGCACTGATATTTTTAGTTAATTTTCTAACTGACCAAATCAGATCTTAGTTGAACTGGTGATACTTATTACTGGTTTCTCTTTCCCAGAGTCTTGATTTTCAAAGTTCTTTCTATTTCTAACATTTTATGTTTTAAGGTAATGATACCTGAATTTGGAGACACAGAAGAAATCATTGACTCCCGGGACATGAGGACAAGGTGACAATATCCTGAAGTGCTTATTTTCCTCTTTTAGCTTTCTCGTTTGGGGACTTATACTTCTTAGCAGTGAGAGAACTAGAGCCCAAAGAGATAGCAACAGATTGAAAGAAGAGGAGATACAAGCCCCGTCCTTGCTTCTGACCCTTTGCCACACAGATATGCCTTGGACACTGGAACTCTATGAATGGACTTTAAAATCTGTACTTAAATCTTTTATTTTTTAAGTATTCTTTTTTGTTACTCAAGTTAAGTTGGCTGGTGGGTAACGTTCCATGCTACCCAACATAATTTCCTAATTGCCAATAGTTTCTTCCATATTAGAGACAAAATTAGACTTACCACTGAAATTATCACCATTCTGACAAGTATTTTTGAAAATATCACTTATATTCTTATTTTTATAGATTAAGCCAAAGCAGAAAGTGAAAAATGCAAGCTGGTTGGATACCTTTATTGGCAATAAAATAAAGTAGAGTTCTAATTAAGCTATTTCTTTTAAATGATTATAGACAACTGCTCATCTTACAGATTAAAGATTTTTCTTCTATCCATTCATGCTTTCAAAAATCTATCCCTAACTTTTCTTTTAGATGACATTTGTGACTGTTGGAACTGTCTAGATTTTAAATTATAGAAATCCAACTATAAAAGAATAATAAATTATTTTGTCTTGATTAAATACCTACCATATGCAAAGCATTGTTCAAATTGTTGGAAATATGCCATTGAAAGAGATACATACAACTTTTGAATTTATATTCTAGAAGGTAAACTAGAAAAGTTATGCACTAAACTATTATAAACATTCGTATAAATATTCATATAAACATTCATAAAATCTATTATATTTTAAAATTTACAAATATGCTATGCATAACTTTTGTTATAATATAAATGTATCATATATATATAGAAAAGATTGAAAACTATATGTGAGCATTTAATTTGACAGTGTTTCTGTGAGAATTGTAATTATTTTGGCACACTATATTTTCCAGATTTTTTACAAATAAAAATATAATATTTCATTGTAAAAATTAATACATATTCTGTGTGTATATATGTAGCATTAATTTTAATTGTTACTACTTCTGGCTGTTCTACCAAGTGTGTAGCTCCCTAAAACCTTGGACCTGCTTTTGTTGATTCTAACATACCCTTATCCTCCAGTGTATCACAGTTTTTTTATTCAATTAACTGAGCAAATGATTTGTAAAAGAAAAGATTAACATAGCTTCCACCTGGAAGGAGTTTACCACCATGTGGTGAAATAGATATGTGAATGACTGGAGATTACACAGTGAGGCGGACAAAAGGAATGTAGATCTGAACCACAGAGTAACTCTAAGGTAACTGAAATTAAGTGATCATAAATAGTATTTGCATATTTCTAGCTACCCTTAATTTTGAGGTCACATTTTTGCATCCCTAAGTCAGATCATTTTATGTGATAGAAATGAGTAGAGACTGGGAACAGAATCTTTAAAATTAGAGCCATCTTGAAAAATTGTTTACCAATCTGGATCATGGTTAGGCTTCATCTAAATTATTTCTTGGTATTATTTTTTATAAGTTCTTGCTCAGTATACACTCTCCTGAGATCATCAAAAACTGTCCAGTGGAAAGCACTACCTTGAGGCTGTCAGGTTGCCCCCACCTATCTTGAACAGCTTTGCATTGCTGTTGGCTTATAAATCTCTAAGCCTCACCATTGGCAAGAGCTCTAATTACTATGACAGGAACCAAAGACTCAAGCTTCTTGCATGGTCATTAACTGTATTTGAGGGTTAATGCTTCAAAATGAGATCCTTTCTTATCCAGCAGTCTGATTAGGAAATGAACTGGACCACTGTAATTAGGATTCAAATTTACTGCCTGTTTCTGAGAGAGGTTCAGTGGGATTGTAGCATCTCTAGCCAATCATGCCATGTTGCTCAACCTTACAGCATGGCTTATTAACTGTCCATCTGCTTTTACGTGTGGCTTTCCATCTCATCAAGCAGCTTGAGGACACACTTCACGCACTAGAACTGGCTGGGAAATAACTATATACTCATTGTAATATAACCCCATTGTTATTTACAGTTAATTTAGAAAAGATGAGCCAGTGTATTATTGTCTCTATGCATAGAGTAAGATATCATTTTCAGACTGGCATATTATTTTCCTTCACTTGATGAATGTTTACTGTCATGGCTCAATAAGAGATGAGCTACAGTCTGCTAGTTTTGACAGTGTCTGCTTAGTGGGGATGTTAACTTCTCCTCCCAAATTACAGCTCCATTTATTTTATCCAGTTTCATTAATCTTCTGAGTGCCTTCATGGCCAATGATACGGCTACTGCTAGCATTGAGTAGAGAATTGATTATAAGTAGACTAGAGCAATACATCTATGGGAGCCAGACCCCCCAAATGATTTGGATGTCATTTTAATTAACACAGAACAGACTTATAATAGACTGCAGCATTATTTGCAAAAGGACAGTCTCTAGAGAGGTAACTAAGAAAGACGTAGAATATGACTCTCTGGAGAAAAAATACACCGGGAATATAAATTGAAACTTCAAAATATGGTGATTTCTGGTAGGCCATACCAAAAAATAGAAACATTTCTCCATTTTTGTGAAAGAAAATCGAGTTCAACTCAGAAGACATTTTTACATGGAAATGCTGACTACCGAGTTGATTTTCTGTGGGATGGGAAGAGTTACTGCAGCTGAAAAGAAACGAGGAACCTATGTTGATATAGAAAGATGCTATGAATCTGAAATCTCTTTTGTATTTCTCACTGCTGACATGTAAAATGTCATTTTGATTCTGCTCATCCTTTCATCAAAAGCATCAACATGTCAAATACCATAGAATCTTTGAAACAAAGTCAATAAACCTAAGTTCTAAAGTAAGAAAGAAAATAACTGTCATTGTTATGAAAAAAAAAGTTTTTTGCTAAATGATTATTTTTTGTAATGGTTCTTATTTCCTCATCAGCTTACACTATAATTTCAGAGATGCATTTCTAGGAGGAAATTTTTGATTCCTGGAAAATTATATGGCTTATTCCTAATGTACTCAGTAATCTTGTCAAACCAAGTGATGAGTATGATGATGATAATTGCTAATGCTTATGGCACACTTAAGTTGTGCCTGGCTAAATGCTTTTTATCTGCCTCACTTATACTTCTCATAACAACTCTGTGACATAGTAAGAATTACTACTTCTACTTTATAAATGCAGAACATCTTTATCAATTACCACGAGGAACTCAGGCCTCAGAGGTCACTGCCATTTCTGGCATTCTAATCCCCACACATTTCAGCACAACTCCCTACCTGATTTGATTTCTCTCCTCTCAGTTCTTAAAACCCTGCTACTTTTCCTTCACTCATCACCAAATATTGGATAACTTGATCTTTTCAAACATTTGTTTGATAATTTTGATTTTCATGGTTTATTTGCAATGTCTCTCCCTTGATGGTACAGCCTCCCATGCATCCTCCTCAAAAAGTGATTGTTTCTTTTTCACACCCCTTCATATCACTGGCCTTGGGTGGGATATGGACATTGCTTCTCTATCTTGCTCAAAAAGCACCCAACTTTGAATTTTATATCATTAGACTATACTGACGATTAGCTCTCCTTGTTGCAGTCTGCAGTGCCACCTGGGTCATTCCTCCTAATTTCTTGATGATTGACATACTGGTTCATTGCCACTCTTTCTAACACTACTCCTTCATGATTCTTAGTGATTTCATAAATGTGTGGACTATTTTTATGATAGCCTGGTCTCTTAGTGTCTTTACTTCTCTCTGCCAATTACTTTGTTCTCCATAAAATTATACAAACTCACTACTCATGATCATACCACAAACTTTCTGATTACCAATAATTGCAGCCTCTCCATCATCTCAATTTTTTCTGTTCCTCCTTCTCACCACTGCCTCCTGTCTTTCCACCAAACTTAACAATCTTTTGATCTCTATTTAACTATTTACAATTCATTATTCATATAAATGTTTCCTGTACCTCTCACATATGTGTCCTTATTTTTCTTCTTATTTAGCTTACAATCAATATTCATTCATTGTAATAACTTCTCTTATATGTGCCATTCACTTGCTTTTGCTTGCTTCATTTTGGGAAGCAAGCGAACAAACCTGATGAAAGCCACCTTTCAACAGTTCTGTGCCTGCAACCGTGCAGCTGAACATGGCTGGAAGAAAACAGAATTGTTTGTTGAAATTGACTAGTTCCAGGTTAGATTTATGTTCATCAACCTCAAGTGAATCCATTCACTTGTACTCTTAGACTAATATTTTATACTTTCCTTCCTCCCTCTTCTCAAACCATCAGTACGTCCTTTTTCAAGTCATGGCCTGAAATCCTATTTTAATGAGAAAATAAGTGGAATCATTAGAAACATCCCACCTTCTCTCACCATCACATCTGAAGAGCAGCCATCAGCAGTTCTCATACACTCTGTTTTATCTCCTGTAACAGTGGGCAAAATCTCCATGTTAATAGCTAAGGTCAACTTCTCTACTTGTGTCACTAGAACCCACTCTTTTTACCTACTCAAGTTTGTTCTTTCAGCAGATGTTTCCTCTTTATCTTGCATCATCAGTTTTTTTTTCCATCCTACTACATCATTTTGACTTGCAACATGCTATTATTTCTACCATTAAAAAGAAAATTGTCTGTCTGGCCCAAATCGTCCCTTTAACTACCAACCTATATCTTTTCTTACCTTAACAATGAAGTTCTAAGAAATAATCATCTATACTTACTGTCTCCAATTTCTTTTACTGAACCCACTAAAATCAGATATTGACCTTTACGCTCAACCAAAACTGCTTTTATAAAGATCACTGTTGCTAAATCCAGTGATCACTTATCTTTTCTTTTTTAATTGAACTGTCAGCTAGTTCCCTCAATCTCTCTTCATTGAGCTTCTAAGGTACATATTCTCCTGGTTTTTCTCCTGCCTCATGGGCTGCTGCTTCCAGTTTCCTCTCCTGGCCCCACTTCATATCCCCTAAAATACTGAGTGCTCCAGGTTTTTGTCCTTGCACATTTCTACTGCTCTAACTACAATCACTCCTTTGGTGATAGCATTCAGCCTTGCATTCTCAATTATCATCAACTTTTTAACTCCAACTTTGTATCTCTAGCCAAGATCTCCCACCTAAGCTCCAAATGCATATATTCAAGAATTTATTTAAATATCTAATAGACATATCAAAGTAAACATGTCCAAAATTGAACTCATATCCTCCAACTTTAGGTATAGCCTTCTCACAGCATTTTATATGTTAATTAATGGCAATTCTAACCTTTTAGATGCTCAGATCAAAATCTTGGGTCATTGTTAATTTCTCTTCTTTTTGGCAAAGTGTCTCAGTTCAACCTCAAGAATACATCCAATATCTAACAGTGAGATCACAGGACACGAGTGTCATCAGTGTCATCATTTCTGTCTTGGTCTAAGACATCCGAGTGATTTCTGCAGGCTTTCTCTCTCTCTCTCTCTCTCTCTCTCTCTCTCTCTCTATATATATATATATATATATATATATATATGTATATATGATATCACATATACATTGCTGTATATATATGCATATATATTCATATAGATATGAATTCTTTGAGGATAAAGTATATTTTCTGTTCATATATTGCCAGTATAAAGAACTGTTCCTGGAAAATTCATATTTAATCAATATTTGTTGAGTGAATAACCTGAAACTTAGAGCAGTTCATCGTTTATTCAAGCTCTGTGAATTTTAAATTTCTCTCCCTAGACTGAGTGTTCTTCACACTATGCTATATTGCTTATTTCTTGAATACACCACTCAATTATTTTCTGCAAATTAAGCCTTTAAAATGTTTCATTGTTGATCTCTTAGAAGCAAATTAATTTATACATAAAGATGTGCAGTCTAAAACACACATACACATACACTCACATGCACACACAGCCACCATTTTAGAATTAAGTGCAGACCATCATCCAATACTAAAATATATCTCAAACATCTTGGAAAAGAAAAATGTTTCAAGCAGAAGAGGATATTACTTTAACATTATATTGGATGCATCCCAGTGTTTGACAGCAATTTGGAGTTAATACTGTGGGAATACTTTTATCTATAATGATTAATAGATTTTTCACTTCAAATATTTAAAATTTGGAAATCTTTAAAATTTAGAATCCTCTTATTCTTAAAGAAACACATGTCCTCCCTCTTATCAATTTGTATATAAAAATCATCATGATGTGGATCTTGTCTTACTTAATGAAATATGCTAATTGCTGACACCTTCCTATTTTCAGTTAAACAATGAAAAATGAGAACATTTCAATAGATTTAGTGCACCATTTAGCTAATTTTCGTCATAAAATTATTCATTAAGCACTCATTTATATAGGCTGTGCTTGCCATATGTTGTGGTATCAGACCAGTTTTAATATAAATATCAAATTCTGACACCTAAAAAAATAATTTTGAGATGCAACTTTAAGAGCTTTTGAGGCTACACCCATCTTTGAAGATTTTATAGGTCACATATATTCAAAGTTGTATTCATAGCAAATGATTATGTGTATCAAAGCGATAGTGTTCTGTTTTTAGAATTATCAGTTCTCAAATGCATGGGATATTATAGCTAGTTCCTAATGAATATTTTGTTGGAAGCTCTATCCTCTGCCTCTTTGATGTCTAATTTATCAATAAATCAGTTTGTGAATAGTCTTTACCCTCAAATACAGTGACAGCTCTCTTAAGGGTTTTAAGGTTCAGTTTTAAGGTTTTTTTTTTGTGCACTATTTAGTTATTTTCCTGATTACCTTATAGAATGATTATTCCCACACAGGTTTTTTTCCTGAATTGTGTGTGTGTGTGTGTGTGTGTGTGTGTGTGTGTATCTAGTACTGGCCATATAGATATATAAAGGTATACATTGACTATTTATTCTTCTTGGCCATATCCATAATTCCATTCAGTAATAGATGATTCACAGGCATAATAGAAAGAGCTCCTGAGACCACTGAATAAGCATGAGTTTCCTTCCAGTTCCTTCTGATATGTTAGTAAAAGATAGTAAGGATCTTTTTGAAAAGAATAATTATTGTGGGAGAAAAGGAATACAGATTTTTTAAAACAACTAGCACTCACCAAAATGCTAAAGAGGGCCACCGATTACTCAGGCAAGAATTAACATGTTCCACAATATGGATGCACAGTCTTTATATTTTACCTTCGTAATATTTTAAACCATTAAATTATATAAAAATATATGTATCTATCTATATATGGATATATGAAAGATATATAAGATATATTAAAGGTATATATGCATATATAAAGAAATAGACTAGTTATTTACAGTTTATAGCACAGATACCATGACATTTTTGAAAATTGCTAATTGTTATATTTCCCCCCTTCAGGCATGTAATAATTATTATTTTTGTCATGGAGTTATAACTAGAATCTAACGCTGCTTTTTCTGGGCTCTTCCTACTGTCATATATTTTGTCCTTTATAATACAAGACTGTCAAATTGAATATAAAGACCTTATTGTCTGATTAGACTGAAGGAATTTGTTTTAATTCAACTGAATCCAATTATAAAACTATTAATTGAGCACACGGTATTTGCTAAGACTACACTGGAAATACAGTAACAAGACAGGCACAAAGTCCTTGCTTTATGAACTTATTTGCTAAGGGTGGAGCTAGACTTCTTTTCCTACAGAAATTTATCATTCCTGGCCAGCCGTGGTGGCTCACACCTGTAATCCCAGCACTATGGGAAGGCCGAGGTGGGGGCGCATCACCTGAGGTCAGGAGATCCAGACCAGCCTGGCCAATATGGTGCAACCCAGTCTCTAGTAAAAACAGGAAAATTAGGCAGGCATGGTGGCACACACCTGTAATCCCAGCTACTCGGGAGGTTGAGGCAGGAGAATCGCTTGAACCTGGGAGGCGCAGGTTGCAGTGAGCTGAGATCTCATCACTGCACTCCAGTCTGGGCTATGAGAGCTAGACAACCTCTCAAAAAAAAAAAGAAAGAAAAAAGAAAAGAAAAAAAATTTATAATTCCTGAATTTGTTAAACATTTAACCCCTTGCCTTAACTATCATACCATCCACATGCATATAAAATATCCAAATTGTCCTTCTATCTCTGTTGAGAAAGCATTTAGACAATTAGAGTTTTCTAATTACACTTCCAGAATAAATCTTACTGGATGTCAAAGAAAACACGTAGAACACATGACTAGTATTTTTAAGAAAATGAAGGTAGTAGTCTGTTAATGACTAGAAAGAGCAGAATGATCAAACTATCCTAGGAAGAGAAGGAGCCAGGACAATTCCCCTTCTCTGGTGAGACTGCAATTAAAAATAAAATCATTTAATGTGTGTCTTCAACTCAGGAAACCTCATCCTTGCTTGCATTGATCTGCAGATGAACAAACTAGCCTCCCAGAACTAACTCAATGTTTCCCCCAAGGTGTAGCATAAAGTTAATCTAGTTCAGAATTTCCCAATCAGAACTATCAATGTGTGTGTGTGTTTTGGTTTTGTTTTGTTTTGTTTTGAGACGGAGTCTGACTCTGTCGCCCAGGCTGGAGTGCAGTGGCGCGATCTCGGCTCACTGCAACCTCTGCCTCCCGGATTCAAGCGATTCTCCTGCCTCAGCCTCCTGAGTAGCTGGGACTACAGGCGCCCGCCGCCACGCCCGGCTAATTTTCGTATTTTTAGTACAGACGGGGTTTCACTATGTTGGCCAGGATGGTCTCTATCTCTTGACCTCGTGATCCGCCCTCCTCAGCCTCCCAAAGTGCTGGGATTACAGGCGTGAGCCACCGCCCTCAGTCATGTTTTGTTTGTTTTTGAAGAGCAATGGTGAGGTTTTGAGGAGTAGGAGGGTGGAGATTGTTTTATTTATTTATGTTTTTCTGACTGAAGATCTGACAAGTACTTGGGAGTTCCCAGTTCCTTAAATAGTGTAGAGCAGTGCATCTTAAACTTTAATATGCATGTGAATCACCTGGAGATCATATTGAGATGCAGAATTGGATTACCAGATCTGGGAGGTGGAGATTCTGCTTTTTTAACAAGCTCCAGGGTGATATCTTTGCTATGATTCCAGAACTACACTTTGAATAGAAAAGACATAGAATATTTTATTCAGATGATTTGTAAGGTCTGTTGCTCTGATGTGTTATATTTCTTCTCTCTACTACTTTGGCTAATGAATGGATAAAAGGATTCTGCTTTGTTTGCTTCTGAAGGTTTTCCACTCCTATGTGTATAGCTAGGAATGTGCAAACCATAAGGCTCTACCATTAAAATGGCATGTAACTGCTATGTAATATAGGAATATATCAGGGTAAAATTTAGGAGTTGCACTGATCAGGGAAAGTCTCAAGTTTTCTTGGAATAAAATAACAACTCTCCGCAAAAGGCAGAGGGTGTGATCGAAAAAGACTGAGAGACAGATTGCGCAGACTATGGAAAATGTAGCCTGAATTCTACTAAAGGATAAGATTTTTTAAGTAGATGATAGGCTTTGGTCTATTAGATCTTTAATCATCCCATATCTTCTTGTAGCTGTATTCAATTAAAATACAGAAAACAAAAATGGCTCAAAAAAATTTAAAAAATATTGTTTCTGTGAACTTTGTCATTTTCTTTTTCCTCATCAGTAATACTCATGTTTGTTGTTTTGTTTCTCTGTCTCTTGTCTTTTTATTAATTTTTTGTTCAAGGATGACAATATTAAAGTAAAGATATTGGATTTCTACTTTTGTTAAGATAATTGATCATCATAGTCCCAGTATATACTCATGGTGTGTGTGGCAGGGTGTGTATCTTTAGTACTGGTTATCTGGATTTGTAAAGCCATGCACTGACTATTTTTCTTGCCCACATGTACAATTCCATTGAGTAATAGATAATTTACATGAGTAGTGGAAATATCTCCTGAGGCTATTAGGTAAGTATGAGTTTCCAGCATTCACTGGGGAAAGAACTTATTATCAGAAGCTTATGATCTTGAAAGAATGCATAGCATGAGGACAATAATTGGAGAAAATGTCACTTGTTTTCTGCCACTCAAAATCTTCATAAGCACTCTAGGTATGCAACCATCATGAAAATAATTTCACTTAAGACACTTGAGATACTAAAACATTTTGGATAGGTGGAGTTGTTACTTTTATTAAGGTAGTATTCAACTAAAGAATTATTGTCACATATTTATATGAAGTTTTCATGATAGGGAAATTTGCTGAATAATCCAATAAATACAGCATGACATAAAAACCCACTTGGATAATGACTACCTAAAATAAGACTAGTAAAGCAATTTTTTTCTTTATCTTCATTCTCTTTCGCATGCATACAACAGACTGTAGCATTTTGTAGCTGAAGATAGTGTGTTTATGATCATATATTTTTGTGTTTGGAAATTTTAGAGGGATTCTTCATTCATTATCAGCTTGTTTAATGCAGTCTTTAAATCCTTTGCTGATTAGCTTATCTTACAATTATTTCGATTCGGGGATTTATGGTTAAAATACAAATAAAAATAATCAGTGTCCATTTTCCATCTTTTTCTTTAAGAGTGGAGGTGAAGATCTTTCACCTTCTTTCTTTTCTCTTCTCTTATCCTAGCCTGTAAGCCTGCTTATTGTAGCATGAATCGGTTCCTTAAAAGCATCTTTATTTACAGTAAGGCTTAGGCAAGAAAATGTATTTATTGAATAATTTTTCTTTTTAGTTCTGTAATTAGTTCTCTTTCTCTTTCTCCCTGTACATAAATATACATACATACATATATATATATACTCTGCATATATATATCTATATTTTAAAGTGTATATATCAGTGTATATACCACTGTATACACAAGTGTATTTTAGAGATGAGAACATAATTATATGATAATTACTGTGATTATATATCATATATATTTTTCTGTAATATATTCCTGTAATATCCAGTGTCACTCATTCAGATAATTACAATGTTTTCATCTCTAAAATAATTTTTAAGAATTTAAAAATGTATCTGATATTATTTTTGTCATTGTAGGGTCAATACTTTAAACTTATCTCCATACTTAATGATGCAAATAAAATGATATAATACTGTATTCAGTAAAATTTTTATTAATCAAAACATTTAGAAATTGAAGCAGTCTAGATTGTTTATTAATTCAGAGTAAAGTAGAGTACTTTTTTATTTCAGCTCTCATTTCTGAACAAGTTTTACAATATCTGGTCCAATTCTTATCTTAGGATAAGATATATTCAAGTATATTCAAGTAAGTGAATCTTTCTTCAATTATTTGTAATCTGACAGAGAGTGAGTATTGAGTAAAAGAAAACCATGGCTTTGGGATCAGTCAAGCATGTTTTAATTTACAATATCTCCTTTATCGTTTACTAATTGTTTGACCTAGGTGATTTACATAGTCTAAATCACAGTACATTACTGTGGTTTATTATTAAATATAAAAGGTCTAGCACAGAATGAATACACAGAGGTGGTGGTCATCATTGTCAGTGTTCAAGATTACATACAGATATAGAACACATATTTAAATCCTAGAGCCAGAAACTCCTTTAAGATAAAGAATACTCTCATTTTTATCAGTGAAGAAACAGAGACACAGAAAATTACTACATTCATAGGAATTTTAGTTACCTTACTCTCGCCCACTTTCTCTATACTTTCCTGTATTCTGATAAAATGACTATATTGGTGGTGAGAAAGGAAGGGGATATAATTAATTATAATTTATTTTATACATACATTCGCATAGACTTTAAAATGTGCATAAGTTGGCATACATTTTTTCTCAAATAATGTTTTAAAAAAACTTTGGAAACTGTAAGCAAGATTCATTCTTTTCTGATTTTCAATCAGTCTTATAAGAGTATGGTAGTGTGTATGTACATTGTAAGGTAGTTGCCCATTATCCACAAGGGATATATTCCAATTTACACAGTGGGTACCTGAAACTGCAGATAATATCAAACTTTAAATGAACTATGTTTTTCCCTATACATACATACCTTTGAAAAAGTTTAAATTTTAAATTAGGAACAATACGAGATTAACAATAACTGATAAACTATTATAACAATATACTATAATAAAAGTTATGTAAATGTAATCTGTCTCTCAAAATTCACTGTATTCACTCTTCTTCTTGTGATGATGAGAGACGATACAGTGCCTATAAGATGCGTAAAGTAGGCCAGGCGTGGTGGCTCACGCCTGTAATCCCAGCATTTTGGGAGCCCGAGGCGTGTGGATCACGACGTCAGGAGATCAAGACCATCCTGGCTAACACGGTGAAATCCTGTCTCTACTAAAAAAAAAAATACAAAAAATTAGCCGGGCGTGGTGGCGGGCGCCTGTAGTCCCAGCTACTCCAGAGGCTGAGGCAGGAGAATGGCGTGAACCCGGGAGGCGGAGCTTTCAGTGAGCCGAGATCGCACGACTGCACTCCAGCCTGGGCCACAGAGCGAGATTCCGTCTCAAAAAAAAAAAAAAAAAAAAAGAAAGAAAAGAAAAGATGGGTAAAGTAAAATGAGGTGAATGATGTAGGCATTGTGAGGTAGCATTAGACTACTATTGACCTCGTAATGATAAGTCAGGTGAGAGGACTACTAAATGACTAACAGACAGGTAATATATACTGCGTGAATACTCTGGACAAAGGGATGATTTATGTCCCAGGCAGGACGAAGCAGGATGGTGCAAGATTTCATTATGCTACTTAGAACAGTGTGCAACTAAAAACTTATGAGATATTTATTTCTGGAATTTTCCATTTAATATTTTTGAACCGCAGTTGACCACAGGTAACTTAAGCCACAGATAGTTAAACCATGGGCAAGGGGGGACTACTGTGTATAGAAATATATATGTACCACTGTCTTCTATTTTTAAATTATTCTAGTAGTCAAAGAAGGCTGTTTGGTTAAGAGAGATAGAAACCTACTGTAATTACTGCGAGTAAAAGGAAGTGTAGAGATTTTGAGAGAATATGTTAGTCTTAAAGAAATTACATATGCCATGGTCCATGGGGTCAAGAATGAGGAACGTGGAATATTTCAAGGAACATGGATGCTTTCTCACCTCTCTTGATTCTAAGGAACTTTAGGTTTTCTCATTTGTGTTTTCTCTGGGTGTTCCATTTCTCCCTCTATGTCTTTTATTTTCCTCAATAACTTTACCTTAATTTTTTCTAAATTAACCATGGTGTAAATTCTAGACCTCACTATTCATGACATGTTCAATTCAACCTGACTAGCAACAGGTACCCATCTCTTTCCAATCAGCCATGGAAAGGGAGAGTAAAACATATGGGGTCTTTGGGCTGTCTTTCCTAGAGATAGAGATGAGGCCAGCAGTGAAAAGAGGGAGTCCAAGCTGGGCAAACAGTGATATCTCTTAATAAGAAGTTACACTGTTTATTATATTTCAGATAAAATGTTCTCAGTTATCTAGTTATTTGGCTTGATTTACAAAACATTGTGGTTCATGACAATAAGATACTATTGAGATAATAGCTTTTATTTATTTATCAAACAACAAAATTATGAACTATTCCTCTTTCCTTATCTCAAAACAGTGAGATTATTTTAATTAGATACTTTCATTAAAGGACTCATAGGACCTTATTTCATTTCTACTCATGCCCAATGTCATAAACAACAAGTAAAACATTAAAAATGTTCAAGTTGGTGATATTTTAAAGCAGTGTATATATATTCTAAGTTTATCCAAAATCTGAAACCAGGAATACATTTATTTAGGTCTTGACATATGCTATGAGGATTATATTTTTATTTTATTATCTGGCAGAAATAATAGGTTTATATTATTACATATTAGAGGACTTAAATTAGAAAAAAAATACTTTACTTCACCCTAAAAAGCATTTCTTTCGAGCAATGCATGTTGTAACCAAACAATATTTTGTACTTGTTGATATGCTTAGGCTTTGTGTCCTCACCCAAATCTCATCTTAAATTGTAATCCCCATACTCCCCACAATCCCATGTCAAGGGAGAGACCAGATGGAGGTAATTGTGTCATGGGGGCAGTTTCTCCCATGCTGTTCTCGTGGTAGTGAGTGAATTCTCATGAGATTGATGGTTTTACAAGGGGCTCTTCCACCTTCACTGAGCACTTCTCCTTTCTGCCACCTTGTGAAGAATTTGCCTTGCTTTCCCTTCATCTTCCACCATGATTGTAAGTTTCCTGAGGCCTCCCCAGCCATGCTGAACTGTGAGTCAATTAAACCTCTTTCCTTTATAAATTACCCAGTCTTGGGCAATTCTCTATAGCGGTATGAAAATGTACTAATACACGTGTGGTTCGCTCTCAAATACCAAAGCTTTAATGCCTACCTTTTCTACTTCTGCAAGGTGATAATGCAGAAAACACAAATAACCTATTGATGTATGTATTTCTAACAAATTGTTCACCAGGTCTTTATCAATATCAGAACAATCTTCTTGCCAATAAACACAATTTACTTTAAAAATATGGTAAAGCTTATTGGCAATAAACTGAAACCCTTCTGACACAGTTCACTGTAGTGTAGTCATAGACTTTAGCTTTAAAATTTGCACAAGGAGCTTTAATTACTGGCTTTTTAATGAATTTTTTTCTATAAAATTATTTCACTTGAATGGTAATTGCATTATGGAAAAATTCAATCTTAAGGAAATATCTGTCTTTTGTAGATATCTTTTTTGTGATATCTTTTCACTTTATCTTAATTTCCTTCCAGTACTCAGTCCTGTTCAATTGCCCAGATGACTTCAGATATAGTTCATCAGGTCTAGAAATACAAAATATGTTTTAGTTCACATAATTTACCTGAGAGGCAGTACTGATGGTTAGTGAATTTAGATATTGTTTAAAACATTTGTCAAGCTAAGGAGAACATGACTTTGCTGTTGAAGCAAAGAGAAAATGTGTTGAAGAATCAAGAATGAATGTGCTTCCACCATGTAATTTAAAGTTAAAAATATATGCCAATCATTAGAAGTGTTATTTTTATTGAGTTATATTTATATAAGCAATGATGAATGTATTTACAGAAATAGCTACATAGTAAATAAGAGATGTTTCAAATTTATCAATATTACTTAAATTATTTATCTTTATCTTATTAAAACCTTCCAGTGGTGTTAGGAATAATCATACTAAGGACAAGATTCTAAATGTGAAACAGATTACTAAGGAACTACCGGGTAAAAGACACTTTTTTCCCTTCTCATAGTTGGAAAGTAGACATTGCAGGGTTATTTATTGTTCTAGATTTTTTGACATAAATATTTGTGACAGGGAAGTCAAGCAATGTTTTCCTTTTTGAGGAAATAGGTTTTTCTCTGAATTATTCTCTCTTCATTTAGCAACTATGTAAATTATTTATCCTACAAGATGCCACAGAATTTATTCTATATATAGCCTTTTAAAAGCCATCTATAATCTGGTGTATTTGATTGGTATAGATACAGTTATATACAAAGACCTGTGTCTTATCGAATATAATATCATGCAAGTTTTCCAAGTGCATGTTAAGTTTTTGTAGTGTACAAGATCTTTCCTCCTTATATACTGTATTATTGTTAAGCTCCGGAATTTTCTGAAAACAAATAGTACTGGATGGATTTATTCCCCTCCCCTAGTCCTCATTCGTTCTTGCACAAACGAGTGTCAACTTCTCTATCTACCTAGGTCCAGTGCTTCATTATTACAACTATTCTAAGCAACATCACTACCTGGTGATTAAGCAAAAGTACATTTTGGTAACACCACACAAACATGTTACCCCTAGAACTAGCTTTTCTTCAAGATGTTTTTGCTTACTGATTTTGATGAGAGTCATGCACACATTGTTAATCCTAGGCAGACCTATTGCAAAATAAGGAGGGGAAATAAAAAATGCCCTGAGTAATTAAACTCTGGAATAGGATATTCTTTTTCTGAGCATTGTTCCTGCTTACCCGTCAAAAATCCTTTAGTAGCCTTATTTTCTTCCTTTTCTATTACTTCTAGAAGTATGCCCATACTTCCCTCTGTTATTTCAGTTCTTCTTACCCATTTAGTTGTGATCCTTCACAGATTCTGGCTCAAACTTCATGATTTGACTCAGGATCCTGACAATGTGAGTGAGGACAGACAGTAGTTAATTCATATTTGGGTTTTGTAGGCATAGAAGAGACTATAAAAAAGGGAGGAAGAAATATCTATTTGTCTGCACTATCTCTACCTCAGGCTCTCTTATTGGTATAGTGAAAAGAATATTAGATTACCTACACCCTAGGCAAATGATGCTTTTCCTTTTTTAATTTTCAGTTTCTTTATATTTACATGGAAATACAGTAGCTATTCTATGGAACATTTACTCAACTCATATTTATATGCTAGGAAAACTATAGGATGCCAAGAATATATAAAAATAAATAATACAGATACAGAAGGATTCCTTACTCTTTGAACTTACATCTGGTGAATTACCTTTCCCTTTGTCCCCACCTCCCATATGCCTCCAGAATGTATCACATCAGATTAAAATGGACTAAAATGCAATTAAGGAGGTGTCATGGTAGGAGAGGTTTTTTTTATTAGTAGCATTAGAAAGGAAGATATTTAGTTAACAGTAACTTCTCTGATAGAAAAGATAATATGACAACTCCACCAATCAATGCCAAATAGAAAAATGGATTGCCATTGAGTATTACCTATTGTGTATTTGCACAGCAGGCCTTGAGAAATGTGATTATCCAGAGGAAGATGCATTACAGAACAATGACCTATGAGTGACCAGAGAGCTGGCATTTGTGAATTCTTGTAAGAAATAAAAGTGGGCTATTTCAGTGCAGATAAATGGATTTGTTACAGAAGGTCGTACGTAGTTTGGAGAATTTAGACACCCATTGAATTATATGAATTTAGTGTACATTTTGTCATGAAGAATTAATTTTGACAAACTGTAGGTCTACAGAAGTAACATCAATATAAGTCCCTTTTGTTCCTTTGTTAGCATACCCATTGCCAAGATGATAAGCCTTCATCAGCTTATATATTGCTATTGCAAAAGATTCTGATTTTTCTTCTTCCAGGAAAATATTAAATTGTTGATGTAGTGTGTGTGCATGTGTGTGTGTGTGTGTGTGCGTGTGTGTGTGTTTGTGGAGAGAGAGAGAAGGGCCCTGGGTGGCGGGGGAGGGAGGGCAGGGAAAGAGCAAGTGAGAGTCTGCTGTGTGTCAGACAGTGTTGCTAGGGCTGCAAATATCGCAGTAAACTCAAAGTGACAATGTTTTTGTTCTCACAGAGCTTACAGTCTAGTGAGAGGAGAAAATAATTTCAAATAAATCAATAAGCAAAGCGATTTCTGTATAGTGTGATATTATAGAGAGTGAGAAGCTACTTTAGATGGAGAAATCATGGGTGGCTACTCTGAAATGAGAGTTGATATGAGGTCTCAATGATAAGAAGGATTCAGCCATCCATTAGCCTGTCTAACATGGTCCTATCATGCTGCAGGATAGGCATATGCCTAGGTATGGTCAATGATGCCTTGATGTCATTGAGTTTATATCTAAAATGTTTACATTGCTTCTCAAGACTCTTCATAATGTAATGTGTTCTATCCAGTGTATCTTACTACTTATTAATACAAAACTACTTTCCTCTGGTTCTCTGCTGCCATAGAGTATGTGCCATTTCTGTATAATTTATATTGTCCTTCTAAAGTAAGACTTTTATTTTCTCCTGAATTGTTTTCTTTCTTTTTATAACTCTCTGGATATCATGTATGTAGAACAATCCACATTATACTATACTTTTTCAGTTAGCTCTGAGTATCCTCATCAACAGTAGGCTCATATATTTGCAATTCTTTTTTTTTTTTTTTGAGACAGAGTCTCGCTCTGTCGCCAGGCTGGAGTGCAGTGGCACGATCTCGGCTCACTACAACCTCCACCTCCCAAGTTCCAGCAATTCTCCTGCCTCAGCCTCCCAGTTAGGATTACAGGTGCACGCCACCACGCCCAGCTAACTTTTGTATTTTTAGTAGAGACGGGGTTTCACCATGTTGGCCAGGATGGTCTCGATCTCCTGACTTCATGATCCACGCACCTCGGCCTCCCAAAGTGCTGGGATTACAGGCGTGAGCCACCGCGCCCGACCTGCAATTCATTTTATACTGAATCATATACTATCTTGTGTTGCTCTTCAATTCTTCCTTGAGAACAATTAGAATAATAAGGGACAGTTTTTCTGTATTTACTTTTTGAGTAGCAACTATGTGCAAAACTTTTTATATCTATTTTACTCATCTCTACAACAATTCTGAAATGTTAAGTTTTAGCATGCCCGTTGTATTGATGAGAAAATTAGGTCGTCTAGTTTAAATTACTAATACAGGGTCACACAGCTAGTAAGCAGCTGAACTGGGACTCAAACTGACTTCTGTGTAACTCCAAAGCTTGCCTTCTTTCCATTATACCAGAGCTTCTTTCTGCAATTAAATGGTTTGCTTCTCAATTAAAAATGCCCATCTAATATTTCTTTTGTGTTCTCTTCAAATCTAACACATTACTGTGTACATAAAGGGACTTGGTAAATTTGTATGAATTAACAAAATATAAACACACACCAATCTCTCCTTACAAGAAACTGGGAACAACAGTTGCCTCTGCAAAGTTACAGTGTAAAAGAACATTGATTTTTTAAAAAACAATTAATTTTATTTCACATTATTATGTACTGAATGTTTGTGTCCCCCTCCAAAACTAATAGGATGAAATTATAAACCCGAATGAGATGGTGTTCAGCGGTGGGGACTTTCGAAGATAATTAGGTTATGAGTACAGAGCTTTCATGAATGGGATTAGTGTCTTTATAAGGGGAGAAGAGAACAGAGCTCTCTTTCCACTACATAAGGATGCAACAAGAAGATGACCATCTGCAATCCACCAAGAGTGCTGTCACCAGACACTGGATCTGCCACTGTCTTGATCTTGAACTGTGCAGCTTCCAGAGCTCTGAGAAATAAATTTCTACTATTTAAGTCACCCAGTCTATAGCACTCTGTTATAGCAGCCTGAATTGACTAAGACATTGATTTTGTACATCTAGTTCCCTCTATTTGGAATGTCCTTTACTTTCTCTTTTGTCTTGTGAAATTCCACTTATCTTTCCACACCCAATTCAAATGTTATTTCCTCAGTGTAGATTTTGCTAACCCCTCCCCTCTAGAAAGAGTATTGGCACTGGGGTTTGTGTTCCCTTAGTACCTTATTTTTAGCAATTGTCTGCTTAAAAGCAAAGAGCGCAGTTAGTCCTCCATATCCGTGGATTCCATGTCTACAGAGATGACCAATCACAGGTTGAAAATATTTTAAAAATAAAAGTAAAAAAATATTAAGTATTAAAAAATACAAATAGAAATAATAAAATTTAAAAATATAGTATAACAACTATTTACACAGCATTTATATTGTATTAGGCATTATAAGTAATCTAGAGATTATATGAAGAATATGGGAGGATTTGCACAGGTTATATATAAATACAATGCTATTTCATATATGGGATTTCGTTATAAGGGAGGGGGTTCTAGAACCGGTTCCCCATGGATACCAAGGGACAACTGTATATTCATTTCTTTAGGTACTGACAGTGTCCTTCAACACATCTTAGCTTAAGTTGAGCACCAGAAGTTGAATTATCTTCATAAAATATAATGCAGTTCATAAATGTTTCTGTTCAATAACTGAATATATGCCAGTTGCTCCATAAGATTACATCATATTTTTACTGTACCTTTTCTGCATTTAGATATGTATAGATACATAATCCTTACCATTGTGTTACAGTTGTATACAGGATTCAGTACAGTAACACCCTGTACAGGTTTGTAACCTAGCAGCAACAGGCTATACCATATAGCCTAGGTGTATAGTGGGGCTGCGCCATCTTAGGTTTGTGTAAGTGTGCTCTGCAGGTTGCACAATGATGAAATTGCCTAACAACTTCCATTTCTCAGAATGTTTCCTTTGTTTAGTGATGCATGACTGTACTTTCTAAAGTTGTAGGCAGAAGAATGGACTATTGTTATTCACTACTCTAAGTTAATTCCCATGATGCTAGGATGACTTTCAAAGAAGTAACAAATTCTTCACTGTTGGAAAGAAAAAAGAGGAGAGTTTTGCATCATACTTTTACTTTTGTTTACCAGAATTTACTACTTCTCTACTTATTATTCTTTGTCAAATTTCTCAGTACAAATTGTGATACAGTGTGGATCTACTGTCACAACACATAGTTAATGTGGCACATACTGACGTACAACCTCTCTCATACTCTTGTTATCATTTCCCTTTTATCATGCATGCTATTCCTCTGGGACTACACTATCCACTGCCATCACCCCTTGCATCCTCAGCACATAACACAGTGTCTGGTGCATAGTAGATGATCAAGTAATGCACAGTGAATGAATGAAGGGAGGAAGGCACTGACATTTTGGTTTCTGAGGACGAAAGGTCATTTCTTTTTGGATTCCACATTCAGTCTCATTTTGAGTTTCTAATGAAAATTTCTGCTTTCTCATTTATTTTTACAATTGAACTAAGGACTCCATTGAAGAGTCACTTCAGAATTCACAACTAAAATATTTCGTCATTAATGCCATACCACTGGACAGAGCTTGCAGGATCTGGCTTGTAAGATATATATATATATTTTTAAACAAAGTAATGGTGTATGAGTAGTGATTCCAAAGCAGGGAACTTGAGGAATCAAGTAAGGAATCATCAATTATTCCTCATTCCAACATTCAAAAAACTAAAATATGACTATAAGTTACTGTGAAAATATCAAATTCCCTCTGATGTAATTCAAACTTGGTTTAAAAATGTATAGCAATCACATTTCAACAACTTACTGTATGACAATAAATTGAGTTTAAACACAATTGAAAATGTTCCTAATGTTGCCAATAAGTAATGGTATTGAGGTTTTCATTTATAATATGCATCCTTCTAAACTTGTTTTTGCATAACATGGAATTAAGTGGATTTTTTTCCTCCTCCTTTTATTGATAATTTCTCTGAATGCCTGCCAGGTGCTGACTACTTTTGTTTGCAGATCTCTTACTTCTTTGTTTCTTCAGCTGAATGGAAATGATTTTTGGCAACATGTGTTCTTGTAACTATATGATGCCAATAAAATGATGTTCACTCCATGCCTCTTATATTACCACTTGTTTAATAACATGCATAATTATGAGAGACAATGGAGTATGGGAAGGGTTGATGGCTTCCTTTTCTAAAGCAGGAAATAGTGCCAATTGTAGAGCTGGAAAATTAATGATTTTGTTTTGCTATTATTTGAATAAGGAGCTTTAAAATTTTCAGCGTGCTATCTTTATGGAGCTTCTGCCTGTCTTCCTCTTCACCACAATTTAATTTCAAATGTTGATGCATAAAATCTTATGATTTGAATGCATACCTTGGATACTATATGGTCTAACCCCCCAACCCTATCTAGAAATTTCTTCTAAAGTCCTATAAGAGCCCGGCATCTGGCTGCACTGCCTGTATTTGAGCACTGTCAGTTCACGCCTTTCCAGCTCAGATCATATGGGCTTGGGATCAAGAGAAACAAATTGGTTGTAGTCTCAGCTTCGTTTCTAACTCTGCCTATTACATAATGTAAGGCCAAACCCCTCTCTGAGCCTCAAAAACCTCATGTATAAAATGATAGGACTGAAATACAAGGCTTCTAAGATTACTTGTAGATTTAGACATTATGACTCTGTATATAAACACACATTTTAAAATCTTATTAGTATTACCTTACAGATTAGATTTTTGAAAATATTTTTGTTACTGTAATTTCCTACTCTCTCCAAAATTTCAAATAAACGTCAACTGATTCACTATCCAATCTGGTCTCATATATATTTAGTAGCAATATAATACACACACACACACACACACACACACACACACACACACACACATTACTACCAAGATCATATATGAAAATTCCAGCCGCTATGTTAAGGCGCTCTTGACTATGTTTGTGTGCATTATTATTGGTGAAATGTCCCACATCACAGGACCCAGGAACAGTAAAACTAGAAAGAAATGTACACAGTTTATCTAATTCCCTTAAAAGTAATACACAATGATAAAAAGAAATCTGAAGCTGTTCACCTGTAACTTGTAATAAAATCAGGGTAAGAAAGCAAGTAGGCCTGTGATGGATCTGGAGAAGAAAGAGCTAGACAGAGGCCTTTGAAAATTTTCTCATCTTCCTCTTCCACATTCCTGACATGAAGTCATTTTGTTTTCTTTTAACCAGTTGTGGTTGTGGGGAGTAGCCACATAGTGCTAAGCTGTTCTAACTGCTAAATATTTATTTCTAACATAGACTCAAAATATAGATTCCTGTAAACCTTATTTTGGCTGCTAAGCTGTCCATTGTTACAAAGAAAAAAAAAATTTTACTCACAAAAGACCCTCTACGTTAAATACCAATGAATAGGCTCAAATATTGAACTTAAAGTGTCATACCTTTAACTGATATTATGCGCTATTCTGGATTTGAGCAAGACCGAGTACAGGGAAGCTACCAAGTTTCTTGATTCCAGTGGCAACATTCTCTTTTTAAGTTATGCCTCACACTTTTAATTTATATTGAACACTTCTATTAAAATAGCCAAGTCCATTTTTTATTAAAATCTGTACATCATTTTAAGGTCATTTACTGTCAGGTTCCATTTGACTTAAAATACACTTATGAAACAAAACAATGAGTTAGAAGTTTTGACATTAACTGATTTAGAAGATTTTAACTTTAGTGGTGTAGAGAGAAGAAAAAAGGCATTAAACACACTTTTTTGTCCTATATTTTCTATATATACAAGTGCATCAGAGGGATAGTAAGAAGCAGGGAGGGAGGGAGAGAGATAGAGGTGAAATAATAGAGCAATGGTTCTATAACATGCCATCTGTGAGTCAGTATCAGGTTACTGTATGCTTTGCATCAGGTTCTAGTTAAATTTAAATGTTGAAAGCATATTTGAGTGAAAATAACATGTACATTAGAAAAATTTTCCTGTGCAATTTAAGAAAAAGCAATCAGAAAAAAACTGTGGCCTACATTCACTTGTTCTGAAATGTGTTGTAAGATTCATACAATTGACTTTGACAGGTGATATTGTACACTCTTTTCCTCTAACCATGAATGTGGCAGCACAATGAAGGGGTCTCTGGCTTATAAACTCATTGACTATCTTGAAGTTAAATAATCAGTGAGCCATCCTTTCAGAAGTGATTCATATTTTAAAACAGAATGAAAAATACTCCTCAGGGGAAAACACATGGTTTTGCAATATATGAAGTCATCAATAGCTCCAGATGTTTTGCAATCTGAACTGTGTCAAGATAACAAAGCAATGAGCCAAGATGGATTGTTGACCTGCCATACCAGAGCAGGTGGGAGATGGAATTTGAGAGGAAACAGTCCCCAAATACCTAAATTATGTAAAAAGCTGCCCAAAATAAAAGTGCTAACCTATCAATCATGGAAATGTATATTAGTCAATAATAATATGCTTTGTACTTGTCATGTGGTGACTACATATTAAAGAAATGAAATAAATTATTTTAAAAACGATTGAAAGGCAGCTAGAAATTCTTTTGCATGCATTTATTTATCTTTGTGAACTAAATAACATTATACAACAGATGCCACTGGCAGCCATTTGTAAGTTTTAAAGCACAAGCATATTATAAAAATAGTACGGTTAAGATTTAGTGCTCTGAGAATAGATATGGGTTTTATTGTTCCTGCTTTGTCTGTTCTTCTGTGTGATCTTAATTAAAATCAATTTCTTTATCTTCCATGTACAGATATAGATAATCCAGATGCAAAATGTTTAATATTTTCAGAATCTAATGCTTCCATGTATTTGCTGTTTTTAAATGTAACTTTTTTTGTGTTTTCAATAGATATCTCTTCTAGCTCAAAGCCACTTCATATGAAAATGTTAAATGAAAAATTCCTATTTTAGCTATCAGAGAGTTACTTATCAAGAGAACATGGAGACATTTTATTTTGTTTTGTTTTTGCAGAGCAAGTTGAAAAATTCTAACCTTGGCCCTAGGGTATTTCATCAGGAATAATCTTAAGTAAAAGCTTGCCTTTCACTTTTCAAAAGTAAGATTGTCCCTGTGCTCATACTCTGGCCTTTGTAAATGAACTGAAAATAATTTGTATGCAGTTTCTCTGAACTTCTAGTATGTCATCAGGATTTAGTTCAACTTAATAGTACTTTTGAGAGAATTAAATTTAGAAAATAGCTGTATAGTGTTGATGCATTTGTAGTAGTAAGGTGGTGTCTTCAGTAAAGGAAAAAGTTGGCAACGAACCTTACAACACCTCCCTTGTTTCCTTGACCACTTTGATTTATAGTTTTCCCAGAAGAATACTTTTTCTGAGTTACTGATAAGAAAAAAAATCACATAAATTATTTAATCCATCCTTTTCCTTATGACTTATGAAGGTCTTACCCAAATCTTAACTTAGAGTGGCAAGAGGAAACATTTTATCTAAAGTAAAAGATTTAAAATAACATGGAAATATACTATTAGTTTAAAAGAGAAGGAGAAAATAAATTAACCCAATGAAGGAACTGCTTGCTTAAGTAGGAGTCAAAAGTGTGGAGTTATAGTCAACCATTCAGTAAAGGATAATTGCTGAAGCAATTAATCTTTATATGCAGAATGCTTCTATGCCACTATCAATCATATCAGAAAGACCCACATGGACTATGCACTATAGAGAAGGGTCCTCATGGTACCCATCAAAACTCGACATTCATTATTGCTCTCTAATGTAGCAAGAAGGCAGAAGGAACTATGGGATGTGCTGTCAGAAAAAGAGAAATCAGGATTTTAAAATGAAATAAAAAAGGATTTAATACCTTAAATTTATACACTGTCTTATTTGTGGAAGTCCCTTGCTTTGGCAGCTTATCAGAGCCAGCATAGTTATGGCCAGGACTTAACACGAGCAACTCAGCCACTGATGGGTCACAAATTTATAATGTCTCCTACCCACATCATGAGATTTTCCTTATTCTGTTCTCTGTCTTAGACCAAAAGATCTTTCTGTGAGATTATATGACGCACATTCCTGCACCTCTCTTCTCTTAAAGTAGAGTACCCTTTGCCTGTAACTCTCTCGTATTAAAATAGTGAAATCAATATATATCTTTCTGGAGAATTTGTATAAACACCTCACTGGCACACAGTTTGAGCTACAGAAAACTTTGTTTTTCCCAATACCTGATCTTGTATCGCCTCATATCTCTTTTATCGTCACTTGAGCTGTTGCTCCAGCTTTCAACAGCTTAGAAAACAGAATGGGAATTTTAGTGCCTAGAATGTAAACTGGTGGTTGAGTATCTTAAAATAGGACCCTGCCTACTTTTCTTCAGTTTTAGAGGTATTGTTTCAAGTTTCTATGCCTCCCTTTCTTCTGAAATAATGATTGTTTTTATTCAGTCTCAATTGTTCAACATGCATATAATTCATCAAATATTTACTGAGTGTATTAATCCCTTTTTACATTGCTAGAAGAGCTACCCGAGACTGGGTCATTTATGAAGAAAAGAGGTTTAATTGACTCACAGTTCCACAGACTGTAGAGAAGCATGATTGGGAGGCCTCAGGAAATTTACAATCATGGCGGAAGGGGAGGGGAAGAAAGCGCGTCTCACCAAGGCAGAGCAAGTGGGAGAGGGAGCAAAGGGGGACGTGCCACACACTTTTAAACAACCAGATCTCGTGAGAACTCACTATCATGAGAACAGCAAGGGGGAAATCCAAGGGGAAATCATCACCTCCCGCCAGGCCACTCCTACAATTTGACAAGAGATTTGGGCAGGGACACAAATCCAAACCATATTATGGAGTAACTTCTGTCTGACAAGTTGACTGAAAAAAAAAAAAGAGGCAGCTGTGTGACTGGGGTTCTATATACTCTATACTTCCTCTGTTCTGACACAAATCTCACTCATCGTTATTGCTTATTTACTTGACCAGTGGTGTTCTTTGACTTACAATAACCTTTGAAAAGGAAAGACAGTGTCTGTTTAGTTCATCATTGTATTTTCTGTGCTTAACATGGTACCTGGTATGCATCGTGCCCTTAACAATTTTTGTGGAATAGAGAGAGGGAGAATGCATGAAAGGAAACAGCTCCAGCATGGTTACCAGCTCATAATATTTTTTCTTTTGAGAAGATACTCTAGGGAAGGATTATAGCTACTGGTTAAATTAGTAATATTTGAATATTGAATTTGAGTAAACTTTCTGCATTGTTAGTTTTCATTATTTAGTTTTTGCATAATTCTAAAGGACAGGCAGAACAATTAAATGGCCATTTCTAGAGTTACAATTTAGAGTCAGTTATTTTGATTCAAAATGTCTGTAAAATAAAGCTTTTGTTCATTTGATTCATGGGCTAGCACATTAAAGTATAAGAAGGCAGAAAGAAAAAGAGAGAAAAAAATTGTGATAGCCTCCTTTTGGCTACTGTTTCTCATCTTTCACCACTTAAGTGGTCGTTCAACCATTCTCCTATCCTAAGGATCACTAAAGCTCACTGTTTCCTCACTGAAGCCAGGGGCTTATTCAAGAGTTAGATTTTGACTTATAACAAAAGTATTCCATAAACTGACTTTTTCAGGATCCTCAAAACCATGTTGTTAATAAACAAACCTACTCTTTCTTTGATGAACCCATCAAACACACACTCTGAGTGCTTGCCATGAGCCAGGGACTGGTGACATGAAAATTGCTGATTTCTGCCCTCAAGCACTTCAAATGTCCTTCTGGATTTTGAAGCAAAGGAGAAGATATATGATGTTACAATTTTTTTCATTATTCTCATTAAAGATGTCACCACTAGGGTCTCAAGGCATAACCAACTAGGTTTTCCAAACAAAGAGTGAACGAACAAAGTATATTTTCCCCAAATTTAGAAAATATCATAATATTTCAGAATGGCCAATAGTTTTGCATGGAGAATAAACTAAGAAGTACAAATCATTATCAGTATGCACATTTCTTAAAATTACATCTTTAATAGTTCTTAGCAGATGTCAATCATGAAATTCTTCTTCTCAGGCAGGACTCATGTAAGTTCATTGAACATTAGACTTATAATATTTAAGGCCCCATAGTCCAGTGATCTTACTTAATGTTCAGGAAGTTTGAGGCCCAAAAAGATATGTATTCTTTCCCATGGCATCTAGAACATAATTGACCAGGGAACTATGTGACTTCCAAACCATGCTGGTATTTAAAGAAGCCATTGGACCTTTTAGAAAATTATCAGGCAGGCCATGCACTCTAAAGATTCAGTACCTATGCACAGATAGTTTCCACTATCTTTGGGGCTCAGAAACCTGGCTCAGATAGCAGTGAGATTCACAAATGGAAAGAATCCCTGTTTGAAGGGAGTGAACCAATGATGTGCTTCTCCAAAATCAAGTGGTGGTACAACTGTGTAATGTAGGGAGCAGCTTTAGAAAATGGGTGGCTTTTCACAACCAAAACACCGGGACCTTTCCTGTGCTAAGAAACAGAGAATCCAGAGTTCGGCTCAGCAGTCAGTGACTGCCAAGCAAAGCTTCTCCTCTAAGGCACAACTCATAACTCTGTTTTGCCTCCTATGCTCACTTTGGCAGCATCACCAGCAATATCCGCACACACATTATTGGTCACTCCCCTCCCCTTCTTCCAGTTGACTCTGTTAACATGTTTATTGCCAGGCATACTAAAAAAGCAAAGCTTTGACAAACAATTTACTTATTCGACGATTTGTTCCTGTGTGGTCTTTGAAATGCAAAACACATAAACAGTCAAGTTTAAGGTCCAGCGCTTTCATTTTGGTTAAATATATACAGCTGTTAAAATAGGGGAAACATTAATTTTCCTTATTATTAATTTGATTTGAAAAACCCACAATTTTGTTGATTCCCACTGAAAAAATTGAACTTTGCAATACTTTGTGTTATAATGTAGATATTCCTGAACGTAATTTACTTTGATCCTTTACCACTACATATTGGATTGTAAATTAGCTATCCTCCCTGTGGATTTAGAAGTGCAGTCACTGTATCTGTAATCTGGTTTTAGCGACCTCTAGTGCCAGAAAAGTTTAATTGCTCTGCTTTTTTTTTTAAGTTCAGAGCTGACAAGATATCTTTTAAATCATGCACATCAGTGACATCACATATATAAAATGAGAATATACCAATCACATTTTTCTATAATGTGTGTGTGTATATATATGTGTGTGAAATGTGTATAGGCATGGGCATATGTATGTACAATAATTCTAATATTTGCCTTGCAAACAAGCATGAGATTTTTGTTGGATACGTTTTGGCAATGGCCAAAAAAAATTCAACTAACAAAAAATGCAAAACATGTATTTCATTCCAGGAGGAATCCTCTTTCTTTTTTGCTATTCAGTGAACCGTTTTAGGAGGTCTTATATAAACTTATACTAGCATAGCTTACATATGTACCTTATATTGTGTAGAAAACTATTATAAGAATAGAAACTTGAACCTCCTGAACAGCTCATGCTCTATTATTGAAATTAAAATCAAAAGAGAAAGCTCAAGTTTCTTGCTGTTTAAAGTGTTTTAAATCTTGCCTTTACAAAAAGTGAGATGCTAAAGTAAGTGTGTGTGTGTGTGTGTGTGTGTGTGTGTGTGTGTGTGTGTATCAAAAAGAAAATGACATTTGGCCCACATACCTAAAATTTCTTTTAACATATCAAAAAAGTTTAACCTTGCTTATATTTACAAAAATACCAATTCCTCAGTTATATTATTTTATAAATTTCAAGGTAAACTGAATTTCCTTTATAATAAGTATTCATAGTCTTGCAGCACGATGTAGCGTGAGTTTCACAGGACTCCTGAGGACTGAAAAACATCCACATTTAAAGGAGTTTTTATTTAATTCTTCATATTTTACCCTCTCTCCAGTTGAATTACCCTTTCCACAAGCCTGCTCTCCACATCTAATTTTGGTGATTCAAGCATTTGCCATGAGTTTTCATTGAGAGCAAAATATCATCTTACTATTTGGTCAAACAGTGAATAATCAATAGTATTGTACAAACAAGCAGCATGAATAATAGATAAACCTAAAAGCTTAGAGATGCAGGTTTCCTGCAGTGGGATTTGGAAGGAATTATTCAGTATGCAGCCCACCATTTAATGGGGGGAAATGTTGACGTTTCAGCACACTAGTAGCAGAATCATCATCATCATCACCATCATCCCACTAATTTTTTTCCTTATATAAATAGTACACAGTACCCCTCACCATACATAAATAGCTATCCTTCAAACACTACAACTTTGTATGTAAGTCACTTTTTTTTTTTTTTTCTGAGATGGAGTCTTGCTCTGTCGCCCAGGCTGGAGTGCAGTGGCACGATCTCAGCTCACTGCAAACTCTGCCTCCTGGGTTCACGCCATTCTCCTGCCTCAGCCTCCTGAGTAGCTGCGACTACAGGCGCCCGCCACTACACCCGGCTAATTTTTTGTATTTTTAGTAGAGACAGGGTTTCACTGTGTTAGCCAGGACAGTCTCGATCTCCTGACGTCGTGATCCACCCGTCTCAGCCTCCCAGAGTGCTGAGATTTCAGGTGTGAGCCACCGCGCCCGGCCGTATGTAGGTCACTTTTGTTGCCTTACATTTGTGTCTAACCTAACTGAGCATTTCACTTTTATGTGATTATTATTTTTCATGACATTTTCTCACTCCATCTCTCAAGGCAACGTGATACTATGGAATGAGTTTAGAATCAAAAGGTTTGAATTCTAGCTCCATTTCAGTGATGTGCTGTTGTGGACAAATTGGATTAAGCTGGTGTGAGTTTGTGTTGTAGATTGATAGTATTGCCATCTTAAGTATATTACTTAACTACTGGAGCTTCAGAACTCCTCCTTCACTATTTGTATTTATCTCTATGGGCTGCAGTTTTAAAGTTAACTTTTTTTCTTCAAGTATCATATGGAAAGGTGTATCCAGAGTGCTGCTGTCTTGCTTACAAAGCCTATCCCTCTTAAGCAAGGGAACATATAGTACTGAAGTACAAAAAAGAGAGTTAAAGAAAATGTAAGGCCTAGAAGAAATAAGGTATGCTTTCAGCTTCAGCGGACAATTTTCAAGAGCCATTTAGTAATATCAATAACTGCCTAGAGCATGGTTTTCCATTCATTTACTGAAGAATTGCTAAGCTGGGGTCTCATTTTACTGGTTATTCGTGTGTGCTCACAAGTAGCCAAAAGTGATGCTGCTGTTATGTACATGCAACTGGTCTTCAGTGGATAGCTGCAGAATTTCCTTTCTGGGAAGGCTGAATTTCAAAAAGGATGTTACTAATAGTAAAGATGACAGAGAGAAGGAAGCCAAAGAACTGCACAGTGCCTCCAGAGCCATATATTTTTAGTATATTACCTGAGACCGCGGTCTGACTGGATTTTCTAGGGTGAGAAACTGGATTTAATCAATTACTCAAAGGTCACTTACTTATAATAATCAATCTTGCAAGACACAGATGTATAAACCAACTGCCAATTTATTAACTTACAAATGCGCTACAGGGATTCCATATTTGTTATGTAAGGCATCTCATTCTTCATATCTAGATGTTCGGGGAAAAATAATTCATTTACTCATTCATTCAGTGAATATTTATTGTTGAACGTGTCTTCAGAGCACTGTGCTAGGTATTTCAGATGAAGTAGTGAACAGGGTAGATATACTCCTTGTCTTCCTACGGCATTCAGTTATTCCATGAGTGTAGATAAATAAAAAGATAATGTCAATAAAATGTGATAAATGCTGTGATATGTTAAAAAATGAGAGATTTTGCCCAGCTATTCATGTTTACAAAAAAAGATCTATACTGAGACATATTCTAGGGAGATTTCTGAATTCTAAAGATCAAATCTAATAGTAATGATAATAATAAAGCATCTTTCCTAATAGCCAATCTTTCCTAAATGTCTGCTCTGTGCTATATGCTGCTCATCACTTTAAATGCATGATTGAACTTCACAACATTCTGAATATTAGATATTTTATTATTCCCCTTTAATTGATGAGAAAACTAAGGATTAGAGAGATTAACTAAATTCTCTTGTTCACAAAATTCACAAATGGTTTTACTGGGACTCTGACTAATGTCCAATTAATTCCAAACCTTATACTACCTTCTCTGAATCTCTCTCTCTCTCTCACACACACACACACACACACACACACACACACACACACACACACACACACACACCAAATAGGAAAGAAAAGAAAGGAGAAAGGAGACAGGGGGAGAATTTCAGTCACAGAAAGACATACCCAGATCAACATCAGATTTCTTATTGAAATAGTAAATTCTAGAGGAAAACAGAGCAATGTTGCAAGATCTTTTAGCAGCATTTCTTTCAATTGAAGTTATTTCCACCAAAAAAAAAAAAGCTCTTTGTTCATTTTATGTTTATTCCCATTGATTGTGATTTATGAAGTTGATCTTTTAATGAAACTGGTGCTCAGATGTGGGATCTTACGACTGACCTATATAAGCTGATTACAGGAGTTGAAGGGAAACCTTTAAAGTGTAGATTAAAAGGGAGTAAATCTCAAACAGTGTTTCCCTTTAAGAGGAGACCAGTAGGTAGTTAGACAATTTGTAAGACTTGGGGATAAGATAAGGTTGATAACAAATGGCCTTGAGCACTTGGCTAATGAGAACACTTAGAGTTAAGTGATCCTTGTCTATGCCTAAATCAAGGTCTGTTAGTTTTGCCATTAAGCCAGGATGATTTTGAATACGTAGATCCATAGTAAAGGAAGGTGATGCTAATGACAAAATTCTGTCCTTCTTTTGGTCTGACCAACAGTGACTTCCTGGAACATCTACCAATTTTTTCCTTGTTAAATTCATACTAAGAAATAACAATTAATACTTTCATCCCTCATCCATATGCCTTATTTTCTCTTATGCTATACCATATATTAACCTGTGTGTTTTTGCATGTTATAACTTATAGCAGTATATCTTGATGGTGATTTATAGTTTATAGAGAATTTTCTTATTTGATCATTCACTTTGTTATTCTATTAGATTTAACCCAGCACGTAATGTAAGCCAATAATGTGCTAAGTACTACAGTGTAGAATTTTCGGAAGACAGAGTGACAGTGGAAGCATACTATTGGATCTTTCCAAACCCTCATGTAAAATGACATAGCAACCAGACAGTGAAAACAGAAATCTACAGACAACATTTACAGCAGAGTACAAGCAGGTGAGAATAAAATACCAGAAACCACAAGACCTATGCGGTTTCAGCATCTGTGCAGCAAGAAGCAGAGAAAACCATTGGGGAGACTGAAGACTTGTAATAGGAGAATCCCCATAGAGTCAAAGGTATTCCCTGGAAGACACAGTTGGCTAACTTGACAATAGCTGCTAGAAAAAGATGGGTTTCACGTACTCCAATCACAAACTGATACAAGTGGCACCCAGTAAGAAGATCTAAAGGGACTGGAATGTTTCAGACCTAGTGAATTCTCAAAATTGAACGGAAGGAGCTCCCTTGTCTGACAGCACCCCATGCTGAAGAAAGACTGATGGAAGTGAATCAATATAGAACTGGACCGAAAAAATGAAGTCAAAGGGGAAAAACTGTCTAAATAAAAGTGGAGAAGAAGCACAGAGCCAGGAAATTTCAGAAAGTATGCCACCGTGTGTTTGAAACTACCTTAAAACAACAGAAGAGAGAACTTTGTGAAGTTAGGAGAGAGAGCTAGGCCAAGCCTCCTCCTAAAAGTTTACAGAAAAGATAAAAATGAGCAAAAAAGTAGTAAGAGCACAGCCTGTACAAACTTATTATTTAAAAATTAGAATAAGAATAAGAATAACATCCTTTTAGGAAATGAAAGCATGCCAAAAAAGATTGCAGGTCAGAAAAGATGATCTATTCTATGCATGATAGGAATGTCTGAGTAAGTAAACTAAAGCAGAAGAACAGAACAAATAAAAATTTTAAGTAAAAAAAAAAAGTTCCTGAAAAAAAACCAAGAACACATATTTAAAGAGTATACTGTGAACCTGAGAATTGTAGTACAGGATAGGCAACATCAAAATTTTTGAATAAACCTATGAACTTGCAAATGAAAAACTGGAGGACATTCAGGTAAAAAAAAAAAAAAAAAAAAAAAAAAATATATATATATATATATATATATATATATATATATATATATATATATATATATATAGCATGTAACTGGGGACAGGGAAAATTAAATGGTCATCAGACTTTTTTTTTTTAGACCAATGTCTTGTACTTAAAGAAACAATGAGTAACAACATAAAGAACATTAAAAATATTTGTTAACATGCAGGAATTAAGGGGATATTTTCCTATTAAATATGTTTTTAAAATCTAGAGAACACATTTTATATATGCAGAATACCTACAGAAATACAGATAAGGAGTGATGTTGAACACTAATATATACTTGCCTATAGAATTAAGATTAAATAAGGGTTACAGGGAGTGAATATATACTTATGGCTATATATTTTGACAATGCAGATATAGAATACCCTTAAAAAATGGGAGGGAGAATGAAGACAGCATATACAAAAATATTTAATCCATTTACAATTTTAATTTATAGTGATAGTATTAGTAACATTATACTTTTACTACTGTTTGTATAATACGAAGAAAACCCATGAAAAATTTTACAATATTTCTATCTGTGTCTTTGAGAGCACTTTTAAAGTGGGAAAAATGGGTTACATGTAATAGTATTATTATTCTGCTGCCATTATGTGTATATATTATATGTATAGCATTGGATAAAGCAAGTGAGAAATTATGGGATGTTCCAATTCTGTCATACTGTGTGCTTATGGGAATCAAGATTCTCAATGTAGAAAAAGATAGAGATGTAATCAAGAAGTTCAGTAAAAGCCATGAAGTACTATATTCAGTATAAACTCATGAGATGACATGTTTAAAAATTAAACATATATTTGTGTATACATGTATATGCAGAGAGAGAGAGAGGGAGAGACTGTGTGTGTGTGTGTGTGTGTGTGTGTGTGTGTGTGTGTGTCCCAGTCTGTCTACTAAACAGGTCTGGAAATATTAACAAACCCTAGAGGTGAACATCTCCAGTGCTCAGCTTTGGAGTATTGAAATCCAATTGCCCACTTAAAGAAATCAGAGCTTTTGGGGGGAATAATTCATCTTGAGTCTGGGTCAGGAAGTGAACAAGATAACCCTGGAACAGTCTGCTACATCAGATAGCAAAAACTATATCAAAGACTACAAAGATAATGTCAAAAGGAGTCAGGAACCAACTTGAAGAAGTTCCTACTGCTCAAAAATAGAACAACTTGATTTTTAATTAAGATACCAGTTCGAATGTTTTGGAACCTGTAAAAGGTTTAAATTCATGAGTTCAGAATGATGTTAAAAGGCCAGCTGGTTACCTTTGTGGATGACAGGGAAACAATTCATTATTGTAAACTAACAACGAGAAAACATCAAGCATTTATTTTTGCTTTCCCATATTCCTGTAACTCTGGGTAGCCAAATAAGGGATAGTCACTCTTTTATAATGAAGATCTCTTTATAATTATTACAGCTAGCAAACTAAAATAATATGGTACAATTAAAATACCACTATTTCGCACCTCCAATTATTAAATAGGTCTGCAATGAGCATCAATGGCTGATAACGCCACCAAAGGAGAGGAAACTAAATATTTTATGCCTCCTAATGGAAAAACACGACACCATCCAGACTGTGAAAAATCTGCAAATTAAATGGCCTCTCTTCTTTAACACAAATGTGTAAGAAAAAGAAAGAGATGGAGGAGAAAATGATAGCTGAAAAGAAACCTAAAAGGCATGAACTTTTTTTTTTTTTTTTTTTTTTGAAATGGAGTCTTGCTCTATTGCCCAGGCTGGAGTGCAGTGGCGCGATCTCGGCTCACTGCAAGCTCCGCCTCCCAGGTTCACGCCATTCTCTTGCCTCAGCCTCCCCAGTAGCTGGGACTACAGGCACCCACCACCACGCCCGGCTAATTTTTTTGTATTTTTAGTAGAGACGGGGTTTCACTGTGTTAGCCAGGATGGTCTCGATCTCCTGACCTCGTGATCTGCCTGCCTCGGCCTCCCAAAGTGCTGGGATTACAGGCCTGAGCCACCGTGCCTGGCCCAGGCATAAACTTTTTTAATGGGCAAGACTAAACTATTATGTCTAAGGATGCATACTTGGATAATAAAAAGCAGAAAATGATTCAAGGAAGTAATTGCTATAAATGTCAGGGCAGCATTTTTCTTTCTCTTTTGGTTTTTAATTGTATATTTTTAATGTGTATTACAGGATGTTTTGATATTCTTATACATAGCAAAATAATTACCACAGTCAAGCAAATTAATATATTCATCTCCTCATACCTTTTTTTAGTAAGGAAAGAGCACTTAAAATGTATTACCTTAGCAAGTTTTCAGTATATAATGCAATATTATTAATTATACTCATCATGCTGTACATCAACTCTCAAGACTTATTCATCCTACATAACTGAAAGTTTGTACTCTTTGACCTACGTCTCTCCATTACCCACCCCACCTTCCCCCACACCTGGTAACCACCATACTATCTGTTTTTATGTATTCAACTTTTCTTAAATCCTACATCAAAGTGAGATCATGCAGTACTTTTCTGTAACACATTCTGTATGTGTTTCTATACATTTTCAATATGTATACCACAATTATGTGTCTGACTTATTTCACTTAACATAATGTCCTCCATGTTCATCTGTGTTGTCACAAATGGCAGGATATCTCTCTCTTTTTCTTTCTCTCTCTCTCTCTTTCTCTCCTTCTCTCTCTCTCTCTCTCTCCTTCCCTCTCTCTCTCTCTCCCTCTCTCTCTCTTTCCCTCCCTCTCCTCTTAGGATCTCTTTTTCCTAAGGCTAATAATATCCCATTCTTTATGTATACCACAGTGTATTGATCCATTCATTCATGGACAAACATGTAGGTAATTTTATATCTTAGGTATTGTGAATAATGCTGACATTAACAGGGAGAACAGAGATATCTATGAGATGCTGATTTCACTCCTTTGGGGTACATATTCAGAAGAGAGATTGTGGTTCATATAGTAGTTCTATTTTTAATTTTTGAGGAATCTTTATATTATTTTTCATAATAGCTATACTAAATTACCTTTCCCCCAACAGTGTACAAGGGTTTTTTTTTTTCTTCACATCTTATCTTTTTGATAATAGCCATTCTATCAGGTGGCTTTGATATCACATTGTGGCTTTGATTTTCATTTCCCTGATGATTAGTGACATTAAGTATCTTTTCATATACTTGTTAGCCAGTTTTACGTCTTCTTTGGAACAATGTCTATTCAGATCCTTTGCCCTTTTTTTAAATTGGGTTATTTGTTTTATTGCTATTAAGTTATGTGAGTTCCTTACAAATATTGGATAGTAACCACTTATCAGATATATGGTTTGCAAATATTTTCTCCCAAATAGTAGGCAGCCTTGTGATTTTCTTGATTACTTTCTTTGTTGTGCAAAAGCTTTTTAGTTTGATGCCATACCACTTGTTTATTTTTGCTTTTGTTGCCTGAGCTTTTTATGCGATATTTGAAAAATCACTGCCAAGGTCTATGTCACGGAGCTTTTCTCTGTTTTTTAAGGCTTTTTACAGTTTTAGGTCTTGTGTTTAGGTCTTTAACACATTTTGAGTTTATTTTTGTGTGCAGTGTATGACAGTTGTATTTATTTATTTATTTATTGCATGTGGAAATCTAATTTTCCCACCATGATTTATTGAAGAGACTATCCTTTTCCCATCATGTATTTGTCTCGGTCTTGTTTTGTGCTGCTATGAGATATCAGAGACTGGGTAATTTATAAAGAAAGGAGGTTTATTCGGCTCATGATTCTGTAGGCTGGGAAGTTCAAGAAGCATGATGTTGACATCTGTGCAGCTTCTGGTGAGAAATTTTCTGCCACCTCACACCACAGCAGAAGGTCAAAGGGGAAGTAGACACATGCAAAGAAGCATAACCTAAGGGACCTCCTAGCTTTATAACAACCCACTCTTCCAGGAACTAATCCATTCCTGCAAGAAAGAATTCCATCTCTCCAGAGCAAGAGCTCATTCACTCCTTTGGGAGGGCATTAATCTATTCATGAGGACTCTCCTCCTGATCCAAACACCTCTCACTAGGCCCCACCTTCCCCACCACACATTGGGGATCAAATACCAACATGAATTTTGGTGTGGACAACCATATCCAAAACATACCAGTATTCTCTGTGCCCTTGTTGACTGTGTATTCTTGGGTTTTATTCTTGGCTCTCTAGTCTGTCCTATTGGACTATCTGTCTGTTTTAATACTAGTAGAATGCTATTTTTATTCTAATAGCTTTGTAATATAATCTGATATCATGAAGTGGGATGCCCCCACTTTTTATTTTGTTTTTCTTTCTCAAGATTGTTTTGTTTGTTTTGGGCCTTTTGTGATTCTATATGCATTTTAAGATTGTTTTTATAATTTCTGTATAAAATACTATTAAAATTTGATAAGGATTGCATAGAATTTGTAGATCACTTTAGGTAGTATGAACATTTTAACAATATTAATTTTCCCAATCCATAAACAAGGGATATCTTTTCATTTATTTGTGCCTTTTTTCATTTCCTTTATGAAAGTATAATGTTCAGTGTTTAGGTGTTTCACATCCTCGGTTAAATTTATTTTTAGATATTTAATTTTTGATGCTATCATAAATGCAGTAGTTTTTTTAGCTTCCTTTTTGCATAGGTCATTATTGATGTAAAGAAATACTACTGATTTTTGTGTGTTGATTTTGTATCCTGTAACTTTCTTAAATTTGTTTATTATTTCTAATGATCTTTTGGCAGGATCTATGGGGTTTTCTGTATATAGGATTACGTCATTCACAAACAGGGATGGTTTTACTTCTTCCTTTATAATTCAGATATATTTTATTTCTTTTCTTCTTTGGTTGCTCTTGCTAGTATTTCCAGTACTATATTGAATAGAAGTGGTAATAGTGGACATCTTTGTCTTGTACCAAATACTAGAGGAAAAGCTTTCAGGTTTTTCCTGTTGATTATCCTATTAGATGTGGGCTTAGATATGGCCTTTACTGTGCTGGGGTAATTTTATTTTATTCCTATTTTGTTAAGCACTTTTATCATGAAAGGATGTTAAACTTTGTCAAATGTTTTTTTCTGCAATTATTAAGATGATCATGTAGTTTTAATCTTTTGTACTGATAATGTGGTATATCACATTGATTTGCATATGTTCAAGCAACTTTGCATCCCAGAAATAAACCCCAGTTGGTCTTTGTATATAATCTATTTGATGTGTTGTTAAATTAGGTTTCCTGATATTTTAGAGAGGATTTTTTCATCTATTTTTATTAAAGATACTGGCCTGTAGTTTTCATTTCTGGCTTTGATATCAGAATTATGCTGCCCTTGTAAGAAGAGTTAAAAAGTATCTCTTCTACTTTTTTTTTTTAAAAAGAGTTCAAGAATTGGTATTAAATCTTCTTCCGATTTTTGGTAGAATTCAGTCATTAAGTCATCTAGTCCTTGCTCTTTTTTGTTGTTGTTGGGAGGTTTTTCATTACTAATTCAATCTCCTCATTTGTTATTGGTCTATTCAGACTTTCTATTTCTTCTTGATCCAGTCTCAGCAGGTTATGTTTCTAGGAATTTTTTCATTTGCTATAGGTTATTCAATTTGTAGGCATATAATTATGAGAGATCTCTTATGATCCTTTTTATTTCAGAGACATTTGTTGTAATGTCTTCTTTTTCATTTTGATTTTATTTATTTGTATCCTCTCTCTCTCTCTCTTCCTCTAATTAACCTAGTTAAGGGTTTGGCAGTTTTGTTCAGTTTTTCACTCTCAGTTTTGTTGATTTTATTTCCCTTATAGATTCTCTATTTAATTTATTTTTGCCCTACTCTTCATTGTCTTTCTTTTGCTAACTTTGAGTTTAATTTTTTTTTCTTTTTTTAGTTCCTTTAGGTATAAATGTAGGTTGTTTATTTAAAATTGTTTTTCTTTTTTAATGTAGGCATTTATTGCCATGAACTTCTCGCTTAGTACTGCTTTTGCTGCATAAGTTTTGATTAGTTGTACATGAATGTTTGTTTGTCTTGAGATATTTTCTAAATTCTCTTTTGATTTCCTTTTTAACCCAGTGATTATTCAAAAGTTTGTTATTTAGTTTCCACATATTCGTAAATGTTTTCCATTTTCTCACTGTTACTGATTTCTAGTTTCATTCTATTTTAGTAGGAAAATATACTTAGTATGATTTCAGTCTTCTTAAATTTGTTAAGACTTGTTTTAACAACATGTGATCTATTCTGGAGAACATTCTGTGTGAAATTGGGAAGAGTGTATTCTCTGTTGAGAAAACTTCTGTATATGTCTTTTAGATCCATTGGTTGAGTGTTATTCAAGTCTGATTTGTGTTTTTAATTTTGACAGTGGTTATTTCAGAAGGATAAGGTTGTGATTGGGATATCATTGAAATACCCGGAGGGGCTTCTGGAGAGGCTAGCAAAGTTTCATATTTTGACTTCGGTTGTTTTCACAGAACAAAATAAACTGTGAAGTAGATAACATTATCTTCTGTTTAAGGATGGAGAAGGTCAGACCCGTTGACAACTATAAACTAGGTAAAATTTGGAATTAAACTCAGCTTTTTACTTTTCAAAAACATTTCTGTTCCTCTTCCTCTCTTTCTTCTTTCCTTCCTTTCTTCCTTCCTGTAGTCAAGTCCAGGCTCATATCACCACCACAGGAGAGCCAGTAGTTCAAAAGACAAGGTATTGGGGCAAGGAAGGTGACTTTATTTTGAAAAGCCAGCAAACAAAGAAGATGATGAACTAATGTCCTAAAGAACCATCTGAAGTTAATACAAATTTCAGCCTCTTTTATGTTAGGGGAAGGGGACAAGAGAGGGGTTGAGATCAAGAGATGTTCAATGATCGCAGATATCTAGGCAGCAGCAAGTGTCCAAGGGGGTTGTAAAACTTCATTGTCCTCAATCAAGTTGCCGTGCTCCTATAAACCTTTAATTAAACATTGTTACTTGTGTGTACACCCTCCTTATCACCTCAACTTTAGTTTGGGGGAGGGACTATTATCACCTTTGCTTTAAAGTTAAAACACAAACTAAATTCCTCAGGTACTTAGGTTGTCCTTGATTCAGAGATAAACAAAAACAGTTAACCTAAAGAGCACCTTGGGGGAGTAAAATGGAATTAGTCATGCTAGGCCTCCTTTTCACTGTTACACTTCCCTTTTCTCTTTCTTCCTTTCCTTTGTGTGTGTGGTTTAGCTATCTTTATAAATACGTCTCCATGACACTAAAGTTATAACAGCCTCTTATATTGGCTATAGTTTTAAATAGTACAATTAAAATGGAAATAAATAGGTATTAAAAACTATGTTTAAAATATTTATGTTTTAGTCTACCCCAGTTTAGGAAAGTTAACTTTATTTGGGTTTAGACTTTAGAAAGCAGGAATGCAATTAAGTGATATGTGTTAGGGAAATAGAATTAGAAAGAAAATCTTCCAACTCAGAAATCCTGTCCACAAAGGTACAGAATAGAGGGAAAAAAAGGATTTTATGATTGAATAAGCATTAAACCACGATGTGATGTGCATTGTAGGCAGTGTGCTAAGAGAAGGCAAAGATAGAATGAAACCTCACCCTTTATATAGCCAAGCTGATGACAACCCATTGCATACATGTTTTCAAGATAAACAAAATTAGTCCTTATGTAAGAGGACTTGACATCACCATTTGTCACACAGAGTTCATCCTAACTTTACCTAGTAATTGGGGTGACCATTTGTGTTAGCTAATTGTGTTACCATATTTTTGCCATGGGAATTAAGTCTTTAATGTTTAATTTGCATTTGTTTTTACTCATATAAGGTTATCACTATAAGATATTATTTTCCTTAGGGGTATCACTAATAGATGTCACTTTTCTTATTTTATTTTGATCATATTAAGCCATGATGACATTATCTTCTTCAGACTATCAAAAGATGAATTTATATGACTCTAAAGAGATGGTAATTTTCTTATATGCCTTTAATACACACACACGTGTGTGTGCGTGTGTGTGTGTGTGCGCATGTATATTTTTCACATGAGCCTGCCCTTTTTTTCTATCAAACTTTAAGCTCTTTAAGGACAAGAATTAGGTTGAGTTTTTCCTTTGTACTTCCTCAGTACATCTCTTTCATTCCCCATGGGTGCTCAATAGCTCTTATTCAGCTAACTGACAAAATGATTGTTATCTGTATTGGGTCACTGGACTGATGCTATAAATAGCGATAATTTTGCTTGAGAAAGATCTAAACCTATTTCTCCTGTCGGTTTCTTTTTTCTTTGTTAAAAGCAAGTACTTCCTAGGATTAACTTATCCTTTTCTCAAATAATATTTCTTTATGAAAGTTTGCTACATTAAATATCCAGCAATCCCACTACTGGGTATCTACCCAGAGTAAAAGAAGTCATTATTCGAAAAAGATACTTGCACAGGCATGTTCATAGCAGCACAATTCACAATTGTAAAATTGTGGGACCAACCCAAATGCCCATCAATCAGTGAGTGGATAAGGAAACTGTGGGGTGGTGGGGTGTGTGTGTGTGTGTATGTGTGTGTGTATATATATATATACACACACACACACACACGTACGTATATACATATATATACACATATATATACACATATACATATATATGATGGAATACTACACAGCCATAAAAAGGAAAGAATTAACAGCATTTGCAGTGATGTGGATGAGATTGGAGACTGTTATTCTAAGTGAAGTAACTCAGGAATGGAAAACCAAACATTGTGTGTTCTCACTGATAAAGTGGGAGCTAAGCCATGAGAAGGCAAAGGCATAAGAATGATACAATGGACTTTGGGGACTTGAGGGGAAGAGTAGGGGGGCGAGCAATAAAAGAATACAAATATGGTGCAATGTACACTGCTGGGGTGATGGGTGCACCAGGATTTCACAAATCACCGCTAAAGAACTTACTCATGTAAGCAAATACCACCTGTATCCCAATAACTTATGGTAAAATAAAAAATTAAAAAAGAAAATTTAACAAGCCTTTTAGGAGAGAGACAAATAACCTAAAGTTTTTTGATGTTGAATTTCTTGAAAATCTTGTTTCCCTTTCTCAGACTGAAGAAAGGTACTCATGAATAACCCTTAGTGATGGCTGATATCTGGGATAGCTTTGGTAGACCAAACAGTTTCAATAATTTGTTGAACACATTCAATGTAAATTACCTATTTAGAAGCCTCCACTTGACTGACAATACAAGGTGTTTTATACTTACTAATTATTACTTTTTTGAAAGAAATTATTTATTTCATTTTTAATAATTATTCAAATGTTTGCTTTGCTTAAAGAAATACTCTGATTTGATTTCATCTATGCTCAGTATCTGTTTCATAAAACAAATTCTTTTTTTCCAGAAACAAAAACATTTCTATCAGAATAATATGCTAATCAAGAACATTTATAATATTTTATTATAATTGTCTATACAGTAAGTTTCTTGAGTGTGGGAAGTCTGACTTATTGATTTGTATAACCTAGCACATGACACACTCTAAATAAATGTCTTGGATCTATCAGGGAAAGTGGTAGATGATGGTGTTTATTGGACTGAATAGCCATTCTTAAAGTGGGGTCTGACCCATGTTTTACCCTCTTCTAATTTTTCTTCTATATTTTTGAATAATTCTGATCATTAGAAGCTATATTGCTCTCCACTCTGAGAACAACCATGACTCTGAACTCAGTACTACTGGAGCCTCTTGGCTATGGGCTATTTTCATCAAGTTAATTTGCCTGGCTGTACTGTAAGCCACGGACATTTTCTTTCTTTTTTTTTTTTCTTTTTGAGACAGATTCTTGCTCTATCGCCCAGGCTGGAGTGCAGTGGTGCGATCTAGGCTCACTGCAAGCTCCGCCTCCCGGGTTCACGCCATTCTCCTGCCTCAGCCTCCCGAGTAGCTGGGACTGCAGGCGCCTGTCACCATGCCTGGCTAATTTTTTGTATTTTTAGTAGAGATGGGGTTTCACCATGTTAGCCAGGATGGTCTCGATCTCCTGACCTTGTGATCCACCCGCCTCGTCCTCCCAAAGTTCTGGGATTACAGGTGTGAGCCACCGCACCCGGCCAAACCACGGTTATTTTCTTGACAATAGTTCCTTCAGCAATCTACCCAGAAACCCTCTTTGTCCTTCATTTTCAAATCTTCTTTACTTTCTATACAATGACATGGTACAGCTTTTATTGTATTCAAAATGTCTCATCTACAGTGTCCATCATCTTTTATACAGCATCCAAGGAACATCTGGGAGCAGAAAGATTCAAATAAACAATCCATCACAGTAACACTCATAGAGTCTCTCCTCTACTATTTGACATTTTGTTGATGTGCTATCGGAGCACTTCACACTTGAGAGCCATGAAAACAATTACTGGGTCACTGACAGCAACTAAGGAAAAATATTCCTTCTAAAACAGCACCTTAAGTATTGTTAAAGCCACAGTATCTTTAAATAAATGAAAGGTTGACTAAGGGAAACTACACATGCTCTATAAAGATAACAAACATGAAGTAAAGAAAAGAAAATATTGTTTTAGATTTGAGGGCAGTCTAATTTCACAGGATTGGTAATCTCCATAAACATTTAAGATTTTACTGGAATCTTGCTGTTAGTAAATGGATCCAGTAAGTTATCGTTATTACATAAGTAACAACTAAAAGCTAATGATACCTTCTATCCTTGGTGATTATAATTTCTGGGATGGCGAATAAATACAGCATTTAATTATAAGATAACAGAAGCCTTAGACAATATTTGTTTGTCATTTTAAGATGTACTCTACCTAAATAATTTCTTGAAACCATCCAGATGATGAGTGAACAGCAGAGAAGAATTGCAGGCAGCCAGGATATTAACAGAAGAATATGTATCACTTGAAACTTTTCCCATAATATTGCTCAGAGGGATGATGACAACTGTGAAGCAATATGGGAATGGGTGAATTCCAAAAAACCACACTGTATTGGTTTAGTAACAGGCTTTATACGGGAAATTTACAAACCAGCTGCCAGTAAGAGGAACTTTTTTTCACAAGTCATTTGTGTTAATAGAAATTAACACTTATTTCAGTTTCAAAGTTGTTATACTTGAAGTTACTAATACAAAATGAATTTAAAATCATCACATAACATTCTGCTTTGACTGTGGCAATGAAATGTGGCTTAAGAAAAGAAAAAGTATCCATCACCTACTCATAGTTCTTTTGGAATTTGTTCTTCAAGTTTCTGAAACTCTCCTGTCTGCAAAGTACAGGAGTTACTGAGCTACATGAGAAAGTATCTGTGGGACAAGTAATGAACAGGTAAGCAATCATAATAAAGGGAATCAGTATACATTCAGCATGGAAATTTGGACTATACAACAGTCCTTTCCTTCTGCTTCAGCTCAGGAGATACATGCTTCTAAGCACTCTTATCCTTCCATGGAGAACCATGGAGACACAGGTGAAGTTGTAGGAGCCACCACTGGCTTATATTCTAGAGGAAGCACCCCACCTGTTGTGGTCATTCTGTTTTATAGGGCAAGCCTGTGAGCATTGATGGTTATAGCCCAGGGCAAAAAGTACACTAGATGCCATGAAGTTTGGCTTGAATGCCAAATTTATATAGGAGTTATCTGGGAAAGCCCATATACCTGGAGAGTTTAGAGGTCTTGGGAGGTTGTGGCCTCTTGAACTGTGTCGGAAGCTGAGTTCAGTTGCTGACCCTCTCCCTCACCCCTCCCACCCCTGGACTCCAGGGGAAGTTAGAGGTCCTAACTGGCTCCTTGTTCAGCAAACCAAAATGTACCAGAATTGTCTATCTGGATGGCAGCACAAAAATGGCCTAATTGGAGATCAGTTGTTCGTGGAGAAAAATTAGAATTAGTAAAACTGACAAACATTTAAAGAACACAAACTATATATATTTCTTTATATCCTATATTTAGTGTTTTTACCACTTTGCATTTTACAGATAAGGAAATAGCTGTCTTAGGGGGGTCAAGTTACCAAACCTGGGTAAGTAGCATAACCACAATTTGAATACAAATTCAGTGTGCTCAACATTACACCATCCTGGCTCCAAAACCAGTATGCCTTGTGATATAAAAGTCTCATTCTATATCTGGGTAATTGTAGGGGTTCAAAAAGATGGATCTGTGAGAAGAATCAATGAGAGGTTCTGAAAATGAAATTAAAGAAATAGGAACTCTGAGACGGATCAAGGCTGTATTATAAAAATTGACATCTGAGTCATAAGTACTATGCCAAGTTCAATTTCAGTTTGGGAAAAGAAGGAACCATGATTTAAGTGTATCTTATCTTTGATAGCTGGAGATGCCCAATACTTTGACAAGGATACATTTGTCATTTATAGGATTTATAGAGATTTTAAATAAACTGGTTAAAGCTAAAAGTCACCTTAAAAATATTATCATCATCATTGGATTTATATCCTACTAATAATCACTGTTATAACTAAAACTGGTAAATTACTTTATTGTTTGCACACATCTTATCTCATTTATGAGATATCTCACTTCTTTTTTTTGAGATAAGAAAATTAAAGTTTAAGGCATTTAGGTGATCTGCCTAAGACTAGGTTATTTATTCGAAGAAAAAAAAAAGAGGTTTAATTGACTCACAGTTCCATATGGCTAGGGAGGCCTCAGGAAATTTACAGTCATGGCAGAAGGGGAAGAAGGCATGTCTTACCTGGTGGCAGGCAATAAAGAGCACATGAAGGGGGAACTGTCAAACAACACTTAATAAAACCATCAGAACCATGAGAACTCACTCACTATCACTAGAACAGCATGGGGGAAACCAACCCTATGATCCAATCACCTCTCTCATGTGGTCCCTCCCTTGACATGTGGGGATCATGGGGATTACAATTTGCAATGAGAATTTGTTTGGGACACCGAGCCAAACAATATCATTCTGCCCCATTTCTCTCCCCAATATCATGTCCTTTTTACATTTCAAAACCAATCATGCATTTCCAACAGTTCCCCAAAGTCTTAACTCATTCTAACATCAACCAAAAAATCTAAGTCCAAAATCTCAGCTGAGACAAGGCAAGTCCCTTTTGCCTATGAGCCTGTAAAATCAAAAGCAGGTTAATTACTTACAAGACACATTGAGGGTACAGGCATTGGGTTAATGTTCCAGCTCCAAATGGGAGAAATTGGCCAAAACAAAGGGACTACAGGCCCCATGCTAGTCTGAAATCCAGTGAGGCAGTCATTAAATCTTACAGCTCCAAAATAATCTCCTTTCACTCCACATCTCACATCCAGGGCATGCTGATACAAAGGGTAAACTCTAAAGGTCTTGGGCAATTTCCAAGATGTTTTGACAAGTAGTTTTTTATATTCTAATTGTAGAATGGATCAGGTGATTTCAGGATCATCTCACATCTCCAAATGAGTTACAGTCTTAAAAAGTTATACCTATTATACCCAATATTGTAATTATTGAGATTATGGTTCTTGCTCCCATTCTTATTACAAATATATTAGAATTAAATTTGCCTTTTATACTCCTGATAATCAAGACATTTCAAAGCCGTATTTAAATAACTGACTTAGAAGATGATTGTCAAAGTCTATGAGGTTGCTATTATCTCCACCAGTGCAAATGATCAGACATAGCTGTGATCGGACATAGCTGTGAGCAATAGACCTTTACTGCAGACACGGAGCAAACATTTAAGAACATTAGGATGATGTCCTTCTCCGTTTTCTTCTGTTGAAAACGATCTGTAGATCTTAAACTTCTACTAAGTAGCTGATAATACAACAGGAGAGACTGTAGTTTAACAACTCACTCGGAAGCCATGATGACATCTCCAGTGAAATAGCATCATTTCTTCCTTCCTATAAAATGTCCCTCTCTTAGTCTTGGCAGAGAATTAAAAGTATTTATGCACATAGCCTTGGCAGAGAAGGAGCAGCCAACTTATACAAACATAATTGTAAAAGCCAGTCATTTTTACAACTTGATATTAGAGGTCATTTATAAAGTGTCACATTTTGTTTCTTTTAATTTATACATTAATCCTGTGAGGAAAATGTTATTCCATGTATTATTTAGATGGAGCCACTAAGACCCAGAGAGGTTAAGTAGTTTGCTCAAGGCCGCAGAGCTAGTAAATAGAAAAGCTTTGGCTCAGTTTGTTTCTTCTGGTCCTGCAGTCTTTGTTGCTTGTGTAATTCCATTCTGTGTCCTAATTAATAATTTGTTTTATTTGTACTTTAAGAAATCAGCATATTTAAACACGAGTATGGCATTTAACATTTTGTAATTTATTCTAATAAAAAGTATAAAAGTCGGTTTGACTTAGCTGTATTATTTGCTTTAAGTATTTTACAGTATTTATTTTCTTATTGAGAGTCTATGGGTATTTCCAATGGCATATTGCCATTTTTCTTAAAATCAGAATTAATTTCATATGTGCCATTAATTATTAATGTAATTTAATATTATAGAATCTGTTTCTATCAAAGCAATTCTGTTTGTACTGAAACAACTGTTTATTAGAAATAAACAGATAAGGCTGGGCGTGGTGGCTTATGCCTGTAATCCCAGGACTTTGAGAGGCTGAGACGGGCGGATCATGGGATCAGGAGATCAAGACCATCCTGGCTAACACTGTGAAACCCTGTCTCTATTAAAAATACAAAAAAATTAGCCCGGTGTGGTGGTGAGCGCCTGTAGTCCCATCTACTCTGGAGGCTGAGGAAGGAGAATGGTGTGAACCTGGGAGGTGGAGGTTGCAGGGAGCTGAGATCACATTACTGCACTCCAGCCTGGGCAACAGAGCGAGACTCCATCTCAAAAAAAAAAAAAGGACAGAAACAGATAAACAGATAAAAGTTTCAGAATGCTAGTCTCTGTGTTCTGCAATGTTGTTTTCCAAACTTTGCAATGATAATCATGACAATCACTTGGTATGTTTATTAAACATTGAGCTTCTCTAGGGCCCTTTCCTGTAGATTTGGATTTGAATGAGACTTCAGAAATTATATTTCTAACAAGTATCTTCTGGGATTTCTCCCATTCATGGAAGTTTGGGAAACACTGTTCTGTATCAACTGTGGAATTATTTCTGTCCTCAGAAAAGCTAGAATTTTAGCATCAGACACATATGCGTTACAATCTTGATCTCTAACACCACATGAGTGACTTTTGGCAAGATATTTATCCAGATGAACATCAACTTCTTTATTTGTAAAATGTCAATAATATCCCCCTGGAAGAAGGTGAGAATTAAATGGAAGAAGAATCTTGTATATAGTAATGTTTAATAAAATAGTACACAGTACATAGTAAATAGTTGTTCCACTTTCTTACGGATAGTCTGTTAGTATACTTGGGAAATATGCTGAAGGAAATGTAGATACCTAGCTTTAATTGAGGGCATTTTATTAACATTGTGTGTGTGTGTGTGTGTGTGTGTGTGTGTGTTTGTGTGTGTGTATTCTCATTTAATAATTTAATAAAAATTAAAGTGGAAAAAAATCAAAATTCATGCAAAAGTTAGAAATTATTGTAATGCAAAACATTCCTCTCAAGTAATACTAATTTTCCATTTACTGGATATTTATTAAGTGCTAGGTGCTTTACATACGTTTTCTTTTAACCCAGATGACACCTCCATGGAGTATTCTTTTCCTCACTTGGCTCTGTATATGCCAGGGCATAGAGAGGCTGAGTTACTTGCCAAGTTCAGTGACACAGCTCTCTCTTATATAACAACAAGCATTTCTAAACTTTAAGATAATCTCCCTCCAGTATCCCTTAGTTACTTTTCCAAATGCTCTCTCCTTTCCCATTCTTGACACCATATTTACTTTCTTGTTTCGGGTTAATTAAATACAAAGAGCCAGAAATTAAAAGCTTCCCCTCATGACCCCTCTATCCTCAGATATATTATGGCTTCTTCTTAGAGTTGTAAGCAGCTCAGGCTTAATTGCCGTGGAAGGTATTAACTGCTCTGATTTAGGATACAATCTTTCTTTGAGGACTAACTCTGAAGAGAGTAGCTAATTTGCTTCCTTGATTGGACCTTCACAATTTGCAGCCTTATATTAGGATTGTCCTTTTCTCAGTGAGGAGGTCAGAGTTGAATGAACGAAATACTTTTCTGTAAGAAGATTTTTAAAATATAAGAAAAAAGAAACCACCCTATTTCAAATCAAAGGAAGATTTTGGAGAAGCATTGAGGTGTTAGGCAAAACTGCAGCTCTAGATCAAGGACACATTGCCCCCTAGGGTGGTTTCTTCTGCGGTCACTCACTCCTGGAGTATAAGTGTAGACCTGTGAGGATTTTCCTACACTCCTTCCAAAATATGCACCTGGGATTTTGTGTGAGTAATCTTCCTTTAAGCCACAGAATGAAAAAGCTTTCTGGCTGATAATACCATAAAAAAATCAAAAATCTCCAGGTGACAGCCTGTCTTTTGTACTGAAGTGCTATGTGGCCTGGAAGTGATGATGTGTCCCATTCGCTGGGTACCTACTGTATGCCAGACACAGTTACCTTTTTCAAAAAGTATTATCATCTCCATATTATATATTATAAAAAGGAGGTCCATAGAGGTCAAATAGCTGACCTTGGCCCCAGAGGCAGAAAATGGGAGAGCCAGGAGGCAAAATTAATTAGGCTGTCACACTCCTGTGTCATCACTTTTTTTCTGTATAAAGCCCAAACAATCTTTGGTGCTTTATGTTTAAGATGAGGAGGGTTAAGATCTATGCAGAGTTGGGAGCCGGACTAAAATGTTTCCAAACTTCTCTGAGCCTCATGAATCTACTATAGTGAACTTGGTGAATATGGAGAAAAGACTATTGAAATACTCACTTTTGAACATAGCCTAGGACTTTTGAAATATAATTGAGATATTTCACACAGAGTATTTCACAGAGTTTTGATACCAAATTTCTTCTGTGGAAAATTTATGCCAATATTTAGAAACATGTACAATATAGCATAGATTGTGTGCCTATTTGTGTATTTCCTTTTAATTTGTGGCATGGACAATCATGTGTCATCAAATGTTCTCTACTCACAGCACATCTGTCTTCATATATCTTCTGGTTTCTAAATGAATAACTACAGAGTTATATCTCTCCGGCTATTCTCCTTGATTGGAAATTAACAGTGCATGGTATCTAAGATAAGGGCCACAGCTGGCTTTGGCAAAATCACCAAGAAAGGTCATTCATAGGGTAATTCTACCTGTATTTGTTACTCCTGCCATTTTACTACCTCCTGATGCCACCAGGAGCCCAATACTTACACAATGTTTCCAGGTTGTTCAAACCCGAGTCTCAATATTATTATTTTAAAAATGTATTGAACAATACATGTCTTAAGACTTATTATGGGATTTTATTAAGTATATCTGGCCACTTTACTAAATACTCCAACGTGCATTAATTGGACTATTCTTTCTTGAATATAAATTATAATATGGTTTTTACTCTATTTAAATGTTTGAAGGTGTGGACGAGAGCTATTACATTCCATGGATGGTAACAAAGGAAATGAGACTCTTGAGTCAGAGGCAAAGGACATTATTATTCATGGCAAAACAGTAGCAAGAATATCGTCATGGGTGTATGGATTCCCCAGTCCCCAAATTGTGCACAGTGATGTGATGGCCAGGTGGAGCCAATACATACGATAAAATCTTTGCTAGAAAATAAGGAACCTGAGTTAGGGAATCCATAACTTGTTTTGTATACTAGTAATAAACTAGTATACAATAAAATAGATAAACAAATGAGTATACAATAAAATAAACAAAACACTAGTATAGTAGTGAATTTAAAATAATTATTGTTTAGAGTAGCATCACATATATGAAATATTTAGGGACAAGTCTAACAAATGTTGTGCAATGTTTGTTCACTGAAAACTAAATAATATGCCAAGAGATATTAAAAAGACTTAAAATAATGGAGTGATAGGTGTGTCATGTTAATATGGGCCATGTTCATGGGTCAGATGACTAAATATTAAAATGCAGTTTCTCTTGAAATATATCTGTAGTTTCAATGCAAACCTAGCTGGGCAATTGACATATTAAGTCTCTGAGGCAAGGACATGCTGGTTCTGGTTCATTTAAGAAACCTCTCCTAAAAGCAAGCAGTGAATCAAATTCTTCCCTTTTTTTTTTTTTTTTTTTTTGACTGGATCTTGCTTCGTTACCCAGATTGGAGTGCAGTGACATAATCATAGCTTACTGCAGCCTTGAACTCCTGGGCTGAAATGATCCTCTGATCTCAGCCTCCAGACTAGCTGGGACTACAGGCACATGCCACCATGCTACCATATCCAGCTAACATTTTTATATATGTATATATTTTTTATTTTTGTAGAGATTGGATCTCACTATATTGCCCAGGTTGGTCTCAAACTCCTGTTCTCAAGCGAATCTCCTACCTGGTCCTCCCAAATTTCTGGAATTACAGGCATGAGCCACCATCCCTGGCCCTCAACCTCTTTGTCCTGAGCAATACTAAATGCATTCCTAGACTACATGATACATTATCACAATGCATTATTTTAATTTTTGGTCAAAAGAATGGCCATAGCCTTGTGATTTTGGCACACTCAGCAAGACATCTAGGAGCTCAAAAGGTCCGTGGCAGACCGCCTTCCACAAAGTATGTGCCAAATACTATTACTATAACTAAACTTGTTGTACATGATCTTATTTAATTCAAACAAGAGTTATATGCGGTAAAATGATTTTCTCCACATAACAGATGAAGAAACTGAGGCTCAAAGGGGCTGAGTTCCCCAAGAGTATATAAACAGTTAGACACAAATATATCTGACTCCAAATCTGTTAATTTTTTTCAAGTATAAATTATTGCTCTTCCAGTTGGTAAAATTACACAATAGGAAAAATGATCAGGTTGGCAAGTGGTAAAGCAGTTCTGAAGATTTGCAGACTGAGGATCTCTGAGGGCCCAGAGCCTTCTTCAGAGCCACTCCCAGCTGGAAGGATTAGGAACCACAGCAGACAGATAATGTATTTTCATAGCAGTTTCCTCCTTTCCTTCCCTTATTCTAGGTTGGGTGTTTCTCTTTCCACCAAAGTTTGGCTTAGGACTCCCTGAGAGGAAAATAGAATCTTGGCTTACGCCACATGATTCCTACATCTGCAGAATATGGGACTGGGGTGTTGTTCTTAGAAAGCAAATGAAAAATGAAATTCTTCTACTCTCAGCTTTCATAACTGCCATTTCCTCTCTTGATAAGACAGGCAGTTCTAGTTCTACAGATTCTAGTGCGAAGGAATCAATGCCAGAAACATAACAAAATATTGCTCTTTGAAGCCAGGTCCCACCATTTTTTATCCTTCAGTTTGTCTGTGAGTAAAAAGAGAATTGGGCTAAATGATCTCTATGTACCTCCTAAATTTGGTTTCTCCAACAGGGCATTAGAAGAGCTTCCCATTTATTCTAGCTGCTTTCCCTTTTCTTTATCTCTAGCTAATCCTAGAACTACTTAGCTTGACAGTGTAAGTACAATACTAATTATAGTAATTTATGTGAGCCCTTTTAGCAATTATGACTAATCACTTTGCAACACAATAATGATTATGCATATCATTATATAAGCATCAGATTAATTTGGTTGTGAGCTTTATTTTATCAGGACACTCAACTCTTTTCACGTACTCATTCTTAGAGTCTGTTACTCATTGTTGGTCATCTACTCACAAATTTAAAACTTTTGTGAGTACTTTGCATTTTGTAGGACCTTCCACGGTATATTTGATGGCCTTGGACAAATTACTTATCTCCTCTGAAGTGCTCTCTTTATTTTAAAAAATAACATAAATACTATTATGAGATAATTTTTTTTATAAATGCTGATTAAACTCTTTGGTTAGCTGGTTAAAATTTGACAAACCCAATAAGCTATTTTCAGATTGAACAAATGGAGCTTATTCAGACAATTTGACTTATAAATGAGCAATTTAGTTTTCTATGGTTCCTACCACCTATAGGAGTAGGCACATAAATTGAGGTTTCTTAAATAAAAGTCCTAACTCATTATTCTCTATATAGTTTAAATGTACATTTCCAAGTCAAAGTAAATATTCTTAAAATTAATTCAGAAGAAGGCATGGGGGAATAGGATGCTAGAGATGGTTTCATAAGATACAATGTAAAAGGCTCTCAATGTAAAGGACAAAAGGAACATTTTCCAGAGGAGAGGGCTTTGCTAAGAGATATCTGAACACAGTGCTGATTCTAATGCGTGTGGGAAATGTTAAGGTTAGAAACATGACAACAGGAGTGTCACATTCAAGAGAGTGAGAAATAAAGCTCTTGGAATGAAGTAATAAACAAACTATATAATGGAAGGCTTTGAAAGTTAGGTATGATTTGAAATCTGAAGATAAGAAATTAGACATTATATTATTTTTGCATATTTTTAGAATATAAGTCAAAAATAGGCAAAAGGAGGCTGCATTTCACAATTATAACCATAATATGATTTCTTGAGAATAATTACACATCAAAACAGTTGATTCATACAAAATTTACAACTACCACATGCTAGATAATTACTTGCATATAATTCTTTATCAATTTTTGTTTTGATTTACTGTTAATCTTATAGTATTTTACATCTTTATTTTTGCCAATTTAGTCTATACTTCTGCTAAAGGTTTGGAGGGAGATTTTTTAAAAAGAACATAATTAGACATATGTTGTTCTAATGAGTTCATAAAATTACTCAATTTTCTTCTGCATTCAGTTTAAGAACAAGAACAACAACAACAAACCCTTAAGGAATCTCTCAAGCAAATATAATACTATTCATAGAAAACAGAATCTGATGAGTTTATGAAAATATTAGGTTATTAAGAACAATGTATTCCGGAAAGCAATCTTGTGAACTAATGGAAGATGTTTGGGTGTACTTCCACTCTCAATAACAAAAACAGTGTTTTAGTAATGAATCATTGTGTAACAATGGTTAGTTGTTTTGATGTGTCATTTTTTTTTCTTATAGTAGTGTGTGAGGAACATGAGTTCTTTTTTAAGAAGTTGTTAGAAATTTCTATTTTGCAGAAATTAGTAAAATAAATATCTAGGGATTATTCTTTTTATCATTATAATTTATTAATTTTCAGAAGACACATGGTGCAAATCAAATGTAGGCTATGTTAAACATACATTTTTCTATCTTCAAGGAAAGTTGAATACAACCAAAGAGTCTGTAATTTATTAGTGTTCCCAAACGTCTACACTTCTTTTTTGTTGTTGTTGAAGTAGCATTGGAGATATTATCAAAATGTTTAGAATTTAGTGTCAAAAATTACTGGAAAGAGCTCCAGTGGAAAGAAATCACCATAGACCTCAATAAGAACCCTGTCACCATCATAAAAAGCAATCAAGTATGTTTAATTACTCTGTGAAAATTGCAAAGAAAGTTGTTCCTTCTGTGGTATGCAGATACCTGCCAATGACTATTACATGTGAAGGATGGAAATTTTTGACTCGTTGTCTCCCAAAATAAAAGCAAGTACGTTAGTGACATAAAGTTTTCTTTTGTGTTTATAGGTTCTGGTTAAGCCCCACATCAGATTGCTTTCTTCTAATGGATACTTTCTGGAGTTATCTGCAATTGTTTTATTATGACATCGAATTGGGCTTCATCCAATAAAAATATAACAATAGCCAGTATGTTTTATAGGGATTGCTATATGTTAAGTACTTTCTTAATGAGATTGGAGAGTTCCCTGGCTCCTCTCACAGGATGTGCAACAGGGGTGTTGCTCTCTGTTCGGCCACTGCATGCTCAAACCCCTTATGGGAGAGGGAGCATGCAGACGGGCAGGTGCAGGAGCCAGGGCACGCACTTTGAGCTCCGGCTCCACAGTAATGTCTAGGGATGGGTGTCTGCAGCTCCTGAAGTCCAAGTGGGTGTGTGCTACACTGTGCTCTTTCAGCTTTGTCATCCACAGATGGCTTATGTGTTAATCACCTCAGTGCTCTCTTGGTACCCAGGTCTTTGTCCAACGTCCAGGAAGAATCCGGTCATGCACGGACTTGAATTATGAATGTGGGGGTTTTATTGAGTGGTGGAGGTGGCTTTCAGCTGGATGGATGAGGAGCTGGAAGGGGAATGGGGTGCGAAGATGATCTTCCCCTGGAGTTGGGCTGTCCAGTAGCCAATCTTCACTCTAATGGTCCCCAGCCAAACTCCTCTCAGCATTCAAACGTTCCTTCTCTTCTCTCTGCAGTGCTGTTCTGCTGTTCTTCTGCTCTCTCTTCATCTCCTCCTCTCCTTCTGGATCCTGGGTCTGGGGTTTATATGGGTACAGGATAGGGGGGTGTGGTTGGCCAAAAGGCAACTTTTTGGGCACAGAAACAGGAATGCCTGTTCTCATTTAGGGCCCTGGGTTTCCAGGCTTGAAGGTGGGGCTTTGCCCTGGGGAACCACCCTCTTCTTTCTACCCAGTATTTCTGTCTCCTGTCCGTATCACTAAGTGTGTGACATATAGTCATTCAGTTTATCCTCATTATAACTCTGAAGTCAATATCATTATTTTTTTCATTTCACAAAGGCGTAAAGTAAGGCAGGTGAAAGTGAAGTTTCCGAGGTCATGGGAACTAGTAAATGGTTAGATCAGAACTCTAACACAGGCTGATGGACTCCAGAGCCCACTGTCATAAAAATCACACAGTTGCTATTGTTTGTCTGTTCCTAATACATGTCAGGCACTATGCAGAGTGTTTTATTTATGTTATTTCCTTGATCTTACATCAAAAAAGTGGAGTAGGTAATATTATTCTCCATATTTTATAGACATAAAAGCTGAAACGCATAGAGGTTCAATAATGAACCTCAATTATATGGCCTTGAGTCATATAAATAACACCTGGAAAAGCTGAGATTGTCTTTCTCCAAAGCAACTACATTATCATTCTATCATAATATTCTTCACGTAATCTTAAAAATGCAACCAATTAAGAAAAAACATCTTGACCAATTAGATATGAAATTTTCAAAATCATATGAAAAGCAGGATTGTCTTCCCTGAATCTAAATGAACTCCAGAGGAACTTTCCTGTGGTGCCTTCCAGCAATAATATCTCTCAAACTTTATATAGCGTGTCAAGTAATTTTATTTAAAATTAAGTAAATTACTAAACAAGTTTTGCCTTTTAAAGAATAGCTGTTACCTAAGGGGGAGTTATGAATCAAAAGAAGATTCATAAAATATCTTACTTTACCTAGCATGATTATTGAAGAGATGGGAATTATATATTTTAAATTTTTAGAGGTGAGTATAATTGTCAGATCTTTAAAATAGTTATTAGTTACCTGAACTCAATAATCTCATCTATAATTTTCTCCCAGCAAAATTTTCAAGCCAGATTTTATTACTTACTATTAATAATTTGTCAAAAATGGTTTTCTGTGTTGGTTCCTTTGATAGTTTGTGTATTTTTATCTTATATTTGATAGTTTGTATATTTTATCTTATGTTCAACAGAGAATGTGTGGAGCAAAGTTGAAATACGTTCTTTATATATTAATGCTGACAAGAACTTTAGAAGTGATTTAGTCCAATTTTTGCTATAAGTGATACCGCTATGAAATGATATAGTATAGGAATCAGGACACAAACATTGGAGTCAAACAAATATGTATTTGAAGCCATATTCTCTTACCTTCAGATTGTATGAACTTTAACAAGTTACTTAAGTTCTCTGACCTTGGTTTCTTGATTTTTAAAATAAAATAATAGTTTTTCAGTGATTAGAATAGTTAATAATAGTCCATGGCACATATCAATCTTTTAATGAACAATATTTAAACATACCTTTTAAAATATTCTTGCCAGAATGATGAAGTAAGCAAAACAATATGAAAATAATTTTTAAAAACCCACTCATTCAACGTCTGGGAATTTTCCTAAGAACAAACTGCACATGTAAAGACATTCATTTACAAAAATTGACTAAATCTTGGTATGAACAGAAAGAATTTGGCATTTGAACCATAATTCACTCCATTATTCACACACCACCTTACCCCAACCCCATATTATGAGACATCTGCCACCACTGGAACAATCAAAGCAAGATGAGAGCTGACTTACAAACAACCTTCAAGCCACATGCATACCAACCAACATAGAGCTGAAGCCTCACTACTACATGAAGCTTAAATACAACCTCTGTCCACACACTGACTGAATAATAAGTACTCTGACTCAGGGGCAACCCATAGGAAGAAGGCTTAAAAATAATACTTTCATTACCCTTGGTGGTCTGGAAGACCGTGTTGATGCCCAATGCTATACTCTCTCAGGAGTAATCCTAGAAGGAACTTACAAGCTATTAGTCCCAGGTTGAACATGGGCAAGGATAAATAAACATACATGTCTATGATAAAGTTTGAAAACCTAAATGACATGGGTGCCTAAGCATAACCTTGATCAATAAGTGGCTTATGTAGACCTAGGGATCACTCCTGGGTAGTTAGAATAAAATATAAAAACAAGGATCAGCGCAGTGGCTCACACCTGTAATCCCAGTACTTTGGGAGGCCTTGGTGAGTGGATCACGAGGTCAAGAGATTGAGACCATCCTGTCCAACATGATGAAACCCAGTCTCCACCAAAAATACAAAAATTAGCTGGGCATGGTGGCACGCACATGTAGTCCCAGCTACTCAGGATGCTAAGGCAGGAGAATCTCTTGAATCCAGGAGGCAGAGGTTGCAGTGAGCCAAGATCACTCCACTGCACTCCAGCCTCAGCGACAGTGAGAGACTCCATCTCAAAAAAAAAAAAAATACACACACACACACACACACACACACACACGAGGGGAATATCTGAGCCAGGAAATCAGAAGCTATACACTATGGGGAAAATAGATTTTGAAGAATTAATTCTGCCAAGTCACTAAAATAATAAACAAATGACCAAGCAAACAACAGCAAGAACTTCATGGTGGACATCATCATCCAGAGTTGCTACCATACACCATGCAAGTTTGTTTTGAACAAAAACTTATGAGCTGTGAAAGGAAACAGGCAAGGGTGAACACCATGCAGGCAAAAGAAAAGCAGGAAGTAGAAATGGCATTTGAAGGGCTCCAGATAGTGTGCTTAGTAGACAAAGACTTCAATTGGCTATTATAAGTACGCTGAAAGAATAAAGGAAATTATGCTTAAACAATTAAGGAAGTTACTATGACACTGTTTCATCAAATAGAGAATATCAGCAAAGAGAAAGTATTAAAAAGAACCAAAGATAAAGTATTAAAAAGAACCAAATAGAAATTTAGGAGTTATATAGTAAAATAGCTGAAAAGAAAAAAAATATATATATATATATAGGAGTTCAAGAGTAGATTTGAGCTAGCAGAAGAAAGAACCATTGAGCTTGAAGATAAATCATTAAAGATTATGAAATCAGGAGAACACAGAGAAAAAAAGAAAAATGAACAAAGCAGTAGAGAAATGGGGAATATTTAAGTACACCAACATACATGTAGCAGAAGTACCATAAGAAGAGAAAGAAAAGGACAGAAAAATTTACAAATAAATCCTGGGAAGTTTCCAAATTTGATGAAAAATCTTATTCTATGTATCCAAGAAGCTCATTGAACTACCAGTAGTATCAACAAAAAGAGATCCATAGGCAGATACATTATAGTCAAAATTTTGGAAGACAATATAAATAGAAAAATCTTGAAAGCAGCAAGAGAAAACAAAAAAACAAAAAAACTACTCATCCCATAGAGGGCAGTTCAATTTATTAGATTAACAGCTACATTCTCATCAGAAATAATGGAAGCCTGAAAGGAGTGGGATGGCATTTTAAAGTGGAGAATAAAAAAACTGTCAACCAAGAATCTTATATCCAGCAAAACTACCTTTTAAAAATGAAGGTGATGCAGCCATAAAAAAGGATGAGTTCATGTCCCTTGCAGGGACATGGATGAAGCTGGAAACCATCATTCTCAGCAAACTAGCACAGGAGCAGAAAACCAACAGCACATGTTCTCACTCATAAGTATGAGTTGAACAATGAGAACACATGGACACAGGGAGGGGAATATCACACACCGGGGCCTGTCGGGGGATGGGGGCCTAGGGGAGGGATAGCATTAGGAGAAATACCTAATGTAGATGACAGGTTGATGGGTGCAGCAAACCACCACGGCACGTGTATACCTATGTAACAAACCTGCACGATCTGCATATATATCTCAGAATTTAAAGTATACTTAAAAAGATAAATAAATAAATAAAATAATAAAAATGATGGTGAATGAAGATACTCATAGAAAACTAACAACTGTTAGAATCCATTGCTAGCAGACTTGCCTTACAAAAAAATACTAAAGAAGTCATTTAGTCTGAAAGCAGGTGACACTAGACAGTAATCCAAACCTACATGAAAAAAGAAATATATCATATAGGCAATTATGTAGGTAACTACAAAAGATTATATAATTGCATGTTTCTTCTACTTCCTTCTCTTGACTTTTTAAAAAAGAATTGCATAAAATATATTATTTAATTGAATTATTGGTCCTATAACAAATATAAGTATAATGTATTTGACAATAATAGCACAGAGGGGGCAAGAGGAAATACAACTGTGTTTGAGTAAGAAAATTTGAAATGGTATTACAAATCCACAGGTATAAACTAAGAGAACCAGAAAAGGTTAATCAAAAAGGGTTAATCAAAAAGTGAATGTAACTAACATATAAATATCTAGTAGTTCTTCTTTCTCCTCTCAGGTTCTTTAAAAGACATACTATAATAAAAAGTACGAATTGTGAAAATACATGTTGGGTTATTAACAGATATAGATTTAGTATGTATAAGAGAGATAGTGCAAAGAAGTAGAGAGGAAATGGAGTTTCTCCATTTCAGGGAACTCAATATAAACTTGAAGTAAATTTTGAAAAGATAAGATGTATGTTTAAAGCCCAATCGCAACCACTGAGAAAATAACTCCAGAAAAAAGTAGTTTAGGGAGACTAACATAACTAAGATGGCAGAACAGGACTTTGCACAACTCATTCCTCCTCAGACACATCAATGTGAAGAAGTATCTGCATACAAAAATACTTCGGCAATATCTAAAGAAACTAGGTAAAAGATTACAGCACCTGTGTGTAGTGCAGAAATTAAAAAAAAAAAAAGGCAGAGTAGGATGGACATTTTTACACATATATGTTATTCCTCTCCCAACTCCAGGCAGGACAGCATGAAAAGAGGTGCACTCCACATGAGGGAAGGAGAGATAAGTGAGCATTAGATTTTGCCTCAAACCCCAAGACCAGGTTCACCATAGTAAAACATAGTGCTAGGAAGGCCAATGTGGCTTTAGCCTTCAGGCAGTGCCTGAAGACTAAGGCTTCAGGTCCACCCTGATACCAGGTGGGATCCCACAGTCCTAGGCTCAAGACATGCCCTGAAGATTTAGTTTCTGGGCCTTCCTCACTGTCAAACTGACTGCAGGGGCTCCAGGCTCCAATCCTAGCTAACCAGGCTGACCCAAGGCCTCTCAGCACCAGGCTAAACCCAAGGCCCCAGGCTTCAAACTAGACTCCGATTTCAGACAGCCCAACACCGGGTCAGCTCCTGCAGCCCTACTCATCAGGGCAGCACACGCAGACCCAGACTCTAGGCCAACCCCCATGGATACAGGCCTCAGGATCAGGCCAGCCCTTGCAACCCCAGGCACTAAGCAAGTACCTGGAGAACTTAGCTGCCACATCCACCCTAGTACCAAGTGGGATCCTATAGCTCCATGCTTTAGGCCTGTCCAACAGACTAGGTTTCCAGGTCACCCTATACCAGGCTGACCCCAGCAGTGCTATGCTCTGGACCAGCGCCCCCACAACCTCAGGCTTCAAGTATATCCCAGAGCAAGATTGGCTTCATTGGCTCTGGATGCTGTATCCACAAGGCCACAGGCATTAGGCCCACTCAGTACCATGCCAACAACTGAAGATTTTTTCATCAGGACAGCACCCATGCAACCATCCTCTGTGAATGATTCTACTCAATGCCAGGCCAACCCCTATGGCCCAGGGTTCTAGGCCAGCCCCAGATTTTAGACCAACCCCAAGCAAGGTCAGCCCACACAGCCGAATTTTTAGGTCTGCCCCAGCATCAGGTCACCACCCCTGACTTCATGCACCACGTTGGCACCTATGGACATAGGATACAGTCCTATCCAATGCTAGGCCAGTCCCTGTGGCTGCCCCATGTTCCAGCAGACACAATCCAGGTCTATCTCAGTGGACCTGAGTTCTAGGCTCTCCCTCATGAACTGAGATACTATGTTTACCCCAGGAGACTCAAGACCCAGGCCCACCCCTGGATCCAGTAGGCTGCATGCAGATAAGACTAGCTCATGTGAACTCAGTTTCAGGTCCATCTCAGGGGAACCAGGTACCAGGACCATCCCAGCACCTGGCCATGCCCCTGCCAAGTCAAGGTCACAACCCATTCCAGCATCAGGTCATCCTCTGTGGACTCAGGATTCAGGCTAGATACAATTCAGTTAGATATGAGGAATAAGGTCAAAAGATCTATTGTACACATGGTGACCATGGTTAATAACAATGTATAATATTTTGAACATCACTAAATGGGTAGATTATATTTGTTCTCACAATATGTAAGTAATGTTTGTATTAATTAGCTCAATTGAATCATCCCTCAACGTGTGTATATTTCAAAACATGTTTTGAATAAAAAATATATACAATTTTACATCAATTTTTTAAGAATGTAGTTTAGAATTATTAAATAATTAAAGTATTTAGTATAAAACTCACAACACAAAAGAAGAAAAAAGAGAGAAACAGAAATTAAAAAAGATTTTGAGACAAACAGAAAACAAAAAAGCAAAATGGTAGATTTTAACCCAGCCCTATCAGCAATAATATTAAAGATGTATGTTTGTATATATTTATATATATTACGTATAACAGGAAACAAAATTCCAAAGGAAGATATGTTTCTGTCAACTGACTCCTAAAATACATTAGGCAAAAACTGATATGATGGAAGGGAGAAATAGACAATTCAAAAATATACATGGATATTTCAATACAATTTTTTTCATAATGAATAGAAACACTAGACAGAAAATCAATAAGTAGACAGAAACATGAACACCACAGACAAACTAGATCTAGCAGATATCTATAGAATACTGTTCAACAGCAGCAGAATATATATTTATTGGAGAGCACATGAAGCATTTTCCAGAATGATCATACACTAGTCCATAAAACATTTTACCTAAGAAATTCTTATTTAATAATTTTAAAATATTAAGATCACGCAACACATATTTTTCTGGGGGCAGTGGAATTAAGTGAGAAATCAAAAACAAAAGGAAATTAACACATATATAGAAATTAAACAACACACTCCTAAATAACAAATGAGTAAAATAATTTATTCTGGGAAAACAAGGTTGATAACATCTAGAAAAAAAAAATATATATATATACACACATATATATATGTATATTTATATTTGACCTTTATTGTACTAATATGATGTATGTGTATACATCTTATATATAGGCCCAAATATCTTCAAAAATAATATTAAAGTTGGGGAACCCACTATTTCTGATTTCAAAACTTACTCCATAACTACAGTAACCAATATAGTATTGTACTGTCATAAAGCTAGACTTAGAGATACATAGATTTCAGAAAAAAACTCTTATATTTATGGGTTAATTGATTTTTGATAAAGGTTCTGAGATAGTTCAGTATTCATTTTATACTGACAAAGTGGTATATTATTTATTAGAGTTTCATAATATTTAAAAATCTCTATAGTAGGGTCCTCATAACTGACAAAGAATTCTTTGGAGAAATTTATTCCTTTTGTTCTTCCTGTTGTATTATTATTTGCTGGTTTCTGTCAGAATTTACATGTTTTGATGTTTTAATAAATGTTTACACTTTTATGTATTTACTCTTTTCATTCATGATTTCTATTTGTTACAAAACTCTCGTTTTATTCCAAATAGCTTTTTGGCTGTTGTTCTTGTGTTTCCATTAGACAATCATGTCATGAAGACATTGGAATAAATATTATCTGCCCTTTACAATATTCCTTATTTTCTATTTTTCTTTTCTCATTAAATAAGCTCAAATTAATAGGAAAATGTCAATAATAATGGTTTAGATGCACATTTTTATCTTTTCTTGAAATAGGGAGACCTTTATGATGGCATTTGTTCCAATATATTTTTTGGAAAAGTACTGCCCAAAGTGGCTCAATAATGAAAGGATGTATTATCAAGTAAAAAATAATAAATTTCAGAAGCACTTAATTATATATCCCTTTTGGAATGGACTTTTATAAATCATCATTTTTTAAAACCACCATTTCCTACTCAATTAGAACCTAGAAATGTTTCATTACCAGGATGTATTAAAATTGACAAAACGCAATTTGAGAAATAGTGTCCTTAAGTATGATGTTAGCTTTTGATTTCATGTAGTTCTATTTTTCACATAAGAAATTAAGTTTGACTTTTAATTAACTAATTTTTTTAAACCATGGATTTAATGTGTTATCAAATATATTTACTTAAAATATCTATTTTTATTGGACTCTACTGGACTGTATTGACAAACTGTCTTTTACATTTTGATGTGGGACATCATATTAAAAGATTTCTTACTTTTAAATCTCCCTTGCATTCTGAGAATAAACCAACATGTTTCATAGTCTATTATTATAATGATGTTTGAATAATTTAATAATATTTTATTTAGCATCTATTTTTGTATTCATAGGTAAGATTGCTATGTAGTGAGTACTTTTTTTGGTAGTGATTTTCTGTTGTCAAATTTTATAAGCAGAAATACGCCATACTGATCATTTGTAATTCAGTCTTATTTTTAATCAAACGGTTCTGAATGCTTGAAAGCATCATAGGGCCTCAAGAACAACATGTTTTGAGGAAAGTTTATGTATATTAAATAGTTAACCTCCCTGAACATCTAAGTTCAGTTATGGGTTGTTGATATCTAAGATTTTCAGAATTTCTAAAAGTATATTTAAGTGAATATGTGTATTAATATGGTTTATTTGGTTGCTAGCTTTGAAAGAGAGAGAGGGAGAAAAGTGGAGAAGAAAGAGAGAGAATATTAATTTGAAGTACCTGAGGCAGGGATAGATCTCAGGATTTCAGGAAGGCTGAAAAAAATGAAATAACTTGGTGACTGGAGTTGTTTCACAATTTTATTCAGGCAGTACTACTGGAATTAATTAATGCTTGTGTTCTTGTCCTCTCTGGACACTATAATCCAAATTATAGGAAGAAAGGGTGTTTGTCTCACAATATGAGTTAATGCCTCAGGAAGGGGACGAGTGCAGAAGAATTGGTTATCAGCTCCTGTACCACACATTTTTTAGTTGCTGAGAGGGAATGCCAGAAAAAAACAAATTGATGTTGGAATCGGTGCTGGGTAGCCCAAATCTAGCGGCAATTGTCCATTAAAGAATATATCCATAAAAACTTCCCCTCGAGGATACATTATTTTCCTTCTCATTGCCAGGGTTCAAATTTAAAGTGCATGTGTGTGTGTTTGTGTGTGTGTTTGTATTTTATAACTCTCTTACTTAACTAATTTTATTGGATGCATTACCAATGAGAACCCCAAGAAAAAAAAATAATTTTTGTCAGACTCCATAAAAATACTTGAAAAGACTGAATAACTCTAAAGCTTTAGATGTAGGCTTGTTTCAGGAGAAAAGAAAGAAAGCTGACATAAGTCCAGAGAGTGCCATTTACTGTGGTGATTGCATGGGGAGCTCTGAAGCCAAGCTGCCTCAGTAGAATACTTGCTCTGCCGTGCTTTAGCTGTATGACTTAAGAAAATATATGTAAGTTCTCTGTATGTCAATTTCTTCATCTGTAAAATGGGGATCACAAAGTTAACTGCATCAGTAAATATGCCACTTTACTAATATCATGTAACAAGCCATGCAAGACTTAGTAGCTTAAAGCAACAACCACTCATTTGGCCATGTTTCTGCAATCTGAGTAAGGCTCCACTGATTGACTTGTTTTTGCTCCTTGTTATGTTCTCTGGGTTCATTGATGGTTTCTGTCATTTGACAGCTTCATTGTGGCTTTAGTATCACATATCTGGCACCAAGGCTTGGATGACTGGAGTGACTGGGGACTGCCCAGGCCTCCTTTTTCCTGTTTCTTGCATCTTGCAGTATTTCACTCTGTCTGTTTATGACCTTTTCTATTCAAGAAGATGTGACATCTCAGGAAAGCAAGAGTAAAAGCAGAAACTATAAGCTTCTTAATGCCTGAACCCAGAACTTTCCCACTGTCACTTCTGTCATCTGTTGATCTAAACCAGTTTTAAGGACAGTCCAAATCTAATATGCAAGGGAATATGCCTTCTACTACCCAAGGCCTGAATTAGGAGGGCATGATCCCCTTGGGGAATGTTTTATAGCAATTTACCACAAGCACCTAGAATAACACCTGGAACATCATAAGCACAGAATGCCTGCTATCTAATCTGAATAATGTTCACTGAACATCTACTAGGAAAATTACTTATGTATGTATTTATGTATGTATGTATATATGTATGTATGTATTTATTTTGTGATAGAGTTTCGCTCTTGTTGCCCAGGCTGGAGTGCAGTGGTGATCTCGGCTCACTGCAACCTCTGCCTCCTGGGTTCAAGCATTTCTCCTGCCTCAGCCCCGCAAGTAGCTGGGATTACAGGCACCTGCCACCACACCCGGCTAATTTTTTGTATTTTTGGTAGAGATGGGGTTTCGCCATATTGACCAGGGTGGTCTCGAACTCCTGACCTCAGGCGATCAGCCTGCCTCGACCTCCCAAAGTACTGGGATTATAGGCGTGACCCACCACGCCCGGCCTACTTATGTTTTATTGTTTAATCATCACAAGAACCTCTTGAACAGTTTATAAATGAAGAAGTCGAAGCTAAGAGAGTTTATAGAAGGTGTTTAGACTGCGTGGCTACTTAAGAAAAAGACTGTGATTTCCACACCGTTCTGACTCCTAAGCACATACTGCTAACATTATTCTGGCTCTGTCTTCATCCTATGCTGGCTGACCCAGGCAAAAGACTGGGGCAATCCTGGTAAACTCAGAAAATTATGAGCCTAATTTCAGTCAGGGTGAGTCCATTGGCCTCTCCTCATGGTCTGCTTTCCTCAGCTCTAAGCTATAACACAAATTTGCACTGTGTGTCCATGATGAACGTACTGGGCATGTCCTGACAGAACCAAGAGTCTGTTGAGTTCTGTTTAATTGCTTTAGCTAGAATAACCTAGTTATCCTGAGACAAGCTGAGACAACTTCTTCCTCAGTGTTTCTTTTGCTATGCAATCATGAATTATTGATCTCACTGTTTATGTTCAGTGTCTTTTAATGACATTTTAATTTTTCACATGACATCCTCATCTACACAGCTCACTGAGGATAACAAAAATAACACCTTTTGTATGACTATAAACAGTAAGTCTTACACTCCTTATTTATCATCTGCAACCCTGTGTCATTGTGATAGGTGTACTTGATTATATTTCTCCTTCAAATATGTGATGGCTTAATAATCTCTAGAAGCTCTCTGACAAGTATTTTTTTTTTTAAGTAATGAGATTTTTGTTCACCTGTTTTGAGAAAGCAGATGTTATAATTAAAAGAATGTCATTATAGATCATAGATTTTTCCAACAATGTGTAAAAATTATTATTCTTTTTAAAGAGTTTTCAAGATATTTACATATAAAAATGTTTACTATTAGGAAAAATGTGCTGTGAGAAAGGGAATATGGGATTACCTAACCATTGTATGATTTTAGAATAACTTAAGATAATTATAATAACTTGATTTGAGCCATAATAGAAGCCTGCATGATACCACCAAATGGGCATATTTATAAGTTGAAATATTTACTAAGTATACTTAAAAGGAGAAAGGATATTTCTAATTGATAAAGCATCAGCAAATGTAAATTTACTTTAGAGGCTTATTAGATGTATGATAATTAAGGGTATAAAATATAGTGAATAAACACTGATTCATAAATGTTAATATAATTTTTAAAATTTATGGCAAATTAAATAAATGGCTATGTGCTAGACTTCACTTTGAGCTCTAGAGAAGTGTGCCAATGAGGTGTGCAGAGCAGAGAAAGGAGGGTTTCCTCTCTCCCTTCAACTTCCCACTCTTCTCTACCCTGTCTCTTAAATCAGATCTTATACCTCATTCAAGTTCTTGTAAACAATACTGCAGAAAAATAAACTAGAAAGAGTATAAATCTTGACAATTTACAGTAAACATATTGCAGAAGATAAAAAAATCAGAAGTACAAAAAACTGTAACCAGCCTATGTGTCCATCAATAGGAGAATGGAAAAATTGATAAATTCATAAAATGCAGTATTACTCAGAAACATAAAACAACACAAAAAGAATTTTTAAATTATGCTGATTGAAATAGTCTCTACAAAAAAGAAGCATATACTGTGTCATTCAATTGATATGAAATTCTACATTAGATAAGATGAATCCATTCTATAAATACATCAAAGCAGTGGTCGCTGGTGGAGATGCCGAGTGGGACTTACTGGGAAAAGGACAGAGGGAATATTTCTGGGTTCATGGTAAATTTATCTCAATAGTACTTTCGGTTACCCAGGTGAATGTGTTTGTCAAAATTCATTGAAGGAGCATTTAGTATTAATTTACTTCATCATTTGTAAATTGTATTCCAAAACAAACAAGTCTACATTTTAAAAAGGCATCTGTATGCTTTATATTTATATTTGAGCTGCGAATCTACCATTTAGCAGCTGTATGACCTTGGGAAAGTGACTTACGTAACACTCTGTGCTTCATTTCTCCCCTCTGAAAAAGGGAGATAACAATACAGTAGTCCCCTACTTACCTACAGTTTCACCTTCTGCAATTTCAGTTTCCTGCCGTCAACTGAGGTCCAAAAAATGTTGAAAGGAATGTTCCAGGAATAAGTAATTTATAAATTGTAAATTGTGCACCATTCTGAGTAGTGTGATGAAATCTTGCACCATCCTACTTTGTCCCGCCTGGGATGTGAGTCCTCTCTTTGTCCAGCATATCCATGCTGTCTATACTGCTCACTAATCACTCGTTAGTCACTTAGCCTTCTGGGATATCAGCTTGACTGTCGTGGTATCACAGTGCTTGTGTTCACATAACCCTGATTTTATTTAATAATATTTTACTAATAACTTAATTATTAGTTACTGGTATTATTTACTGTGTCTAATTTGTACATTAAATTTATTATAGGTATATATATATAGAGAGAGAGAAAAAAATCATAGTGTCTATAGGGTTTGGTACTATCCATGGTTTCAGGCATCCTGGGAATCTTGGACCATATCTGTCATAGATAATGGGGGACTATTATTTTTATTTCTTAAACTTGCTGTGAAGTTAAATACAGATAACAGATGTAAAGTTTCTGCTACTTAGTGATAGTACTTAGGGCAAAATCGCCACTCCGTAAAGGTTGTTGCATTTTTTTTTTCTTGGCCAATGAAGAATAGATATGTGAATGGATTTTTGAAGGGCAGATGGTGAAATACAGGTGTGTTCACCTCATTACAGCAAAAGCCATCTAGGAGAAGTCAGTATAACTGGTAAATCTGACTCTTTGGAAGGCACAGAGGTTAACTTGAGTAATGATAGATATCACAGAAGTGATAGAGAAAAAGGTGGACTGGTTAACGCAACCCTAGTGACACTCACAATTTTAAAGGAAGGAAAGAGGAATCATGCTTTCAAGGTGACCTATCATAAGTGTGTTAGGTGAGACAGGGTAGAGCAGATGGACAAGCACACTAGCGTTTATCTCGAACCTGAAAATTACAGAAGGATGACTAGGGACTGGAGAAGAAACACTCACCAGATGTCCATAAGTTCACTTAATGTCACCATCAATTTTCCACAATATTTTTTGATGTAGGATTTTACAGTATATGATAAAACCTTCCTTCAGCTAAAATATATATCAAAAACCAGTGCAATACTATCTTTTTAAACCCAAATATGGCTTGTATCTCTTTACGTATGACCTTTTTCTCCCAGATAAACAAAGACATAAGGAAAAAATAATGCTGGGAATAGTCAATTGATTTCTTAAACCTTTTTTTTTACCCCCCTCCAGACACCAAGTTTTGCAACGGATAAGCAATGGAAATAATACTTTCAGATTTCTAAGGCTGAAGTTAAACCTGTGTAGGTACTATGTGTATACCACAAATATCATCCTGTTTTAAGCAATATACTCTTAAGTATACTATTAACAGGTTTTTAAAGTATTTCTTATCTGGAAGTAAACTTGTAATAATTATGGAGTATACAGATGGATGAGAGCTATGTGCTCATGGGTCTGGTAAGCCTTCATTTGAGGAACATACACAGGGTTGTTGGCCCTTGCTGGGCTCCAGAACTGGCCTCTCCAAAATAGCATCAGGCCAGGATTTCTTGCATCCGGCCAGGATTTCTTGCATCAGGCCAGGATTTCTTCAGAAAGTGGAATGTGTAGATTGTTTTATTTCATAGCATGAGAAGATTAATGGCTAATTGATATTTATAGAGGAGTGGAATCAATTATATCGAGAACAACAGCAAAAATGGTTACAATGCACTGGGCATTGCACATTAAACAAAAAAGTCTGTATCCAGCTATGTCTCCTCAGCTATTTAATACATGCATTGAATTTTGATTTTTAATTATATTTATTTCATTTATCTATGTTCTTTTGTTTCTTTTTCAAATTTAATTTTTCTTCCACTTATGGTTTATGTTCTCCTTCTTTAAAGAAAAAATGTAAGCTTATTCAGTTTATCATCAATTTTATCGTATTCTATTTTCTACCATATTCAAGGGGTAAAAATACTCCTATTTATTGTTGTCTTTTGAGTGCTCCCACATTGTGGATTGTTTACTTGTGTGGTTTTAAGTTTTTTATTGTGGTTACTTTTCAGAGTGTTGGATTTTTTTTTTCATTTTTTTTTGGAATAATGTGAACCCCTGTTGTATGATATTTATAAAAGGATTTTGCATCTGGGTTGGCAAAAGTCTAAAAATTTTAGTTTGCTTGGTTTGCTTGGAGATTCCAGGGCTTCGATGAGCGTTTAAATAGGGTCTGCAGATCAGTGAGGGCTGAGGTATTAAGTTTTGATTTTTTCTGGGAGACTTTTTTTCACCACTTAAAACCCTGACCAGAAACAGGCATTTTGGCTACTTCCTTGGCTCCCTGAAAATAGTTGTTCTAGCTCCTCCTTATCAAGGGTAAATCCTTCTAGAATCCCGGAAGGTTCAGTTGAGGATGAAATATAATTATTTTCTTTATAGTATTTTGTTCAATTTTAGAATCATGGTTATACTACCATTAACAATAAATTGGCATCCTCCACATCTTTCTCTAAGTTCTAGAATGATCTGTATATTTATCTCTTTATCACTGTAGAATCATATACAATTATAAGAAATAGTATAGAGATGTCATGTACCCTTTTCCCAGCATCCCCCAAGAGTATCATCTTGCAAAATTATGGTACAGTATCACAGGATATTTTCATTTATATTATTCACCAATATTTTCCAGATTTTCCCAGCTATATTCATACTTCTGTGTGTATATATGTGTATCTTTAATTCTACACAATTTTATCACCTGTGCAGGTTTCTATATCTGCCATCATAGTCAACAAACAGAACAGCAGCTATCCCCAGGTATTCCTTAATGTCCCAAGTAGCCCGTGTCCCTCAAATGTTCCCAAGTATCCCTTGAGTTGTTCTTTTAAACCGCACTCACCAACTCTCTTCATTCCTAAACCCCTGGCAGCAATTAAGCTGTTCTCCACTTCTAAAATGTTATTATTTCGAAAGTATTATATAAATGGAACTATAAAATATATAACTTTTTGGCTTTTAACACTCAGCATAATCTCCTGGAGATTCAACCAAGTTATTGTGCATATCAATAGTTACTTCCATTTTATTGCTGAGTAGTATTCCATGGTGTGAATGTACCACAGATTGTTTAACCATTAACCCACTGAAAAATACCTGGGCTAGGCTGGGCGCAGTGGCTCACTCCTGTAATCCCAACACCTTGGGAGGCCGAGGCGGGTGGATCGCCTGAGGTTGGGAGTTCAAGACCAGCCTGACTAACATGGAGAAATCTCGCCTCTACTAAAAATACAAAATTAGCCGGGTGTGGTGGTGCATGCCTGGAATCCCAGCTACTCAGAGGCTGAGGCAGGAGAATCGCTTCAATCCGGGAGGCAGAGGTTGTGGTGAGCCGAAATCGTGCCATTGCCCTCCAGCCTGGGCAATAAGAGTGAAACTCTGTTTCAAAAAAAAAAAAATTCTCAGGAGTACAGTTTCTGGACTTTATACTATTTGCATGTTTTATTTTAAAAGAAACTGGCAAACTGCTTTCCAGAGCTGTTGTACCATTTTACATTCCCAACAGCAATGTGTGAGCAATCTAGTTTCTCTAAATTCACTCCAGTATTTGGTGTTCCTACTATTCTGATAGGTTTTTCAGAATAGAAAACTATTCTGATAGGTTTGTAGTGATATCTCATTGTGCTTTTAGCTTGAGTTTCCCTAATGTGTAATGACACTGAACATCTTTTCATATTCTTATTGCCATATGTATAAAACTTCTTTTTATACAGTATGTACAACTGTCATAGTGAACCTCTATGTCTGTTCATGTATTTTGCCCATTTTCTAATTGACTCATTTATGTTTTTGAGTTTTGAAGAGTTCTCTAGCTATTCTAAAAACTAGTCCTTTATTGGATATGTGCTTTGCAAACATTTCTCCCATTCTGTAGCTTTGCTTCTCATCCTTTTAGATGGACTTTTGCTGAACAAACATTCCACAAACATTTAGTTAACAGTTTTAAATTTTGATCAGGACAGATTTATTTGTTTTTTCCATTGTAGATCATCCTTTTGATGTTAAGCCTAACTCTTTGCCCAACTCTCGTCCCAGAGAGCAGTGAGGATTTTATCAATGACAGCCCTAAACAGATAAGTCTCATGATCACATTCCTGCATCTGGATTGCTTGCTGTTTTGTGTCTGTACACGCCTCTTATCCTAGTCTCTCTTTTCCTAGTCATCCTTGGGATTTTCTTATCTCACTTATGCTGGATCACTGGCTATTCCCTTTATTGCCCTGTTTCTTGATTTATACTAATATGTTTCCTGTGAAAGAGTAGATGGCAGATACATTTTTGAGAATATGTCTGAAAATCTCTTTTTTTCTTATCTTCACATTTAATTGTTAGAAATCCAAGTTAAAATTATTTTTATTTTAGATTTTGTATCTCTACATCTACTGTTGCTATTGAGAAATCCAATTCCATTTTGATTTCTGATTTTTGTATGTGACCCTGTTTCCCTTCATTATGGATATTTATGGAATATTATTCTATATAAATGCTCTAAAATTTCACAAAAGTATACTTTTGTGAGAGTTTATTTTCATGCTTTTTGGACCCCTAGTCATCTCTTTGAATTTGGCAATTAATATAATTGATTTTTTTGAATTGTGTGAACTCTTTTATTCTATTTATTCTTTCTTTTTGGAATTTCTTTAGGAATATTGAGTATAATGGAGAGTAGGATTTTAATATTTTTTTTCCTCCTGATTTCCTTCTGTTTATCTTCTTTTCTCCTGCTTTTTCAGGGATTTCTTCAGCTTTATCTTTGAGACTCTGTTTTTTTTAAGTTTTCATTTAGGATATTGTGATTTTTAACATACAAAGAGCACTTTTTGTTACTTGTTCTTGGAATGTTTCTTGACATTTGATGAATGATTCATGGATCTTATCTCTGCCAATATTTAATGATGTATTTTGTTTGTTTGTTTGTTGTGAAAACTTCCTCTCCCTCTTTTTAAGTTTTAGTTCCCCTGAGATTTTTTTCCTCTGTTTCTGTTCTGGTTTCTATCTTTCATGTAAGAAAATTTTCTCAGATGTATGGAATATCTTAATTTTATGTTCATGATTAACTTACAAAAACTTAGGTTCTGAGTACATGTATAAACCTTGTTAACTTTGAGCTGCACTGTTGAATGAATTATTTGTTAGTTGGAAGAGCTATAAAATCATTTTTTTCTGGTCTTTCTTCTTGGGCTGCTGATAATTCTTTAAGAAGTTTATTTCAATATCCAGCATGATACTAGTCTGCTTGCCATGTTTCAGGATGGCAGGTGTCAGAAGAGGGCAAGAGAGATCAAGATTCAACTCTGAATATTCAAAGAGATACTTAATTCCTCTCTCAATATTCCACACTATTCCTGCCAGTCCCCCAGTCTAGAGAACATCTCCAGAGAACAAACTTTAAAGAATAACTTATTTTGGAAGGAAGTATATTTTTCTAATGTGTTGGAGTTGGAAGATGTTGAGAGATCTGCCTTCTTCTCACGCCATCCTCCCTGGGTTATAGCACCTTCTTAGGTTTCTCAGCGTCCAGGTCCAGACGTTCTTGGCACTGTTGATTGCTGAGTCTTTGGAATGATTTATATTATATATTTGAATATTTTTCTGTAAGGATATTTACCATTCAACAATTCTTCTTTGAGTTCCCAACATTTTCCCTTTGTTTGCTCTCTTTTTGCCCCATTCCTTATGAGGTTTATATTTTTAAAAATATCTTTAATGTCATTCAGTGATGTTTCTGGGTGGTGGGTTTAGGGGAGAGCGATATTAGCAGTATGTTTTTTTCCGTCCATTATAAGTAAGAGGCAGAGCTGACAGTTCAGTCCGAAATAATTTTTGACAACTTTTACAGTTTATTTTATGGATATGCTTTTATTTTTTTGCATCTCCTTACCTCAATTTTGATAGCTTACATTTCTCTAGAGAACATTCTTTTTATATGATTTATTCATTTACTTCTTATCTGTGGTTTTATTCCTTTCCTTTTCTTTTTTTTCATTTGCAATTTTCTCATTTTCTTGATTTTTTTGTGAATAATAATTTAACTTTTGATTGCTCTTCTAAAAATTTAAATTTTGGATTTATTTACCTTTTAAAAATAATTTACCAGTTTGTATTTCCATATCATCTTCTGTCTTTCTCTAGGGCACAGTGAAGGGGAGGGGGTTGTGGTTTTCTTCTTCCTTCTTTCCTGTGCCAGAGGCAGTTTCTTTCCCAGGTGAAATAGGTTGCAAAAAGTGAGAGTAGAGGTAAGGTAGAGAAAAGGTTTCCTGAACTACACTTCTTTAAAACTGGACCTCAATCCCAGTTCTCTGTTATAAGTGAGATGCTGTCCTTCTGACCACTTTTAATTTCCATCTTAGTAGTACCTCAGCAGTTTCCTTGGTTCTTAGTAGTTTACCTCTTTACTGATCCTCTCTGTTGAGATCCCATGGCCCTTCTATGGTACCCTATTGAGCATAATCTCGTTGAGAGAACTTCAAGACAGCATTCTTTATCTCTGCCTCTGTATCTGTCTGCCTCTTACTCTGCACCTACCACCTCACCCTGCCAAACCAATCTCTCTCTATCTATGTTTCTCCTTCTCTCTTGGTCCACATCTGGTCCACGGGAAACCCATGCTTCTAATGTTTAATTAGTGAAGGAGCAGATTTCTTCCAAACTACAGCCTTCCCACTCTATGTTTCAAAACATTTCATCCCACCTTTCTTTGTGACCCTTTAGATTCCACAGCCAGAGTCAGTACCCAGTTGACTGTTTTATCTATCTAAAGACGGATGAAAGACCAGTGGTGACAAAAGTATTTTTTAGCTAATTTGGCCGGGCGTGGTGGCTCACGCCTGTAATCCCAGCACTTTGAGAGGCTGAAGCAGGCAGATCATGAGATCAGGAGATTGAGACCATCCTGGCTAACACGTTGAAACCCCGTCTTTACTAAAAAAATACAAAAAAATTAGCCAGACGTGGTGGCGGGCACCCATAGTCCCAGCTACTCGGGAGGCTGAGGCAGGAGAATGGCTTGAACCTGGGAGGCGGAGCTTGCAGTGAGCTGAGATCGCACCACTGCATTCCAGCCTGGGAGACAGAGTGAGATTCTGTTTCAGAAAAAAAAAAAAGAAGGATTTTTAAGCTAACTCTTCACAAGTTCCCCATAGACAGGTACTTTAACGCTATTCCCAGCTGCCTATTCTTTGGAATAGTTTGGGGCCTCTGTCAAAACTAAGGTTAAGAGTCTAATTTTAATATATTTTAACAGTTTATAGTTTTAGAATTAAGTGTATTTTATATCTATGTTAGTGTGTGTGTGATTTAAAAACATTCTTATATTTGCATGCATTAGTCAGGGGTCTAGCAGGAAACAGAGTTCCAACCAAATGGTTCAACTCTGGAAGAAACTGGGATGTCAAAATGCTCACTCTCCTCTCCTCCTCAATCTCCCATCAATATATTTAGTGGCTAAAAGCCACCCAGAAAACCGAAAATAGGGGAGCCCAGATCCAATGGTGGTCAAAGTAAGTTGGAGAAAAGGGTATACATCAGCGTGGGTAGTAGGTGGAGAGGTACCAAATGGAATATAACAAATATATGACTTTCCTATTGTTCCAACATTTAACAAATTTAGATGTATATCATCATGGTCAGAAAATGTAAATTACACTACATCTATTGTCTTTTGACTCTTTTGAAATATGTTCAAGAAAGGCTAGAATACCAGCCTTACTTATTTTTTTATATTGTTCTTTGTAGCAAGCTGTCTGCTTATTTGCTATAGACCTGTTAGTGCTGTTTTTTATAAAAATCACCTAAGGTTTCAATCTGCAAATTTAAAGATTGTTCCAGATTATCTATACTACACCTTGCCATTTACAGGCAATATTCAGTAGTCTGTTGCCATTAGTTAATAAATGTTATTTAATTTTATTTTTTTCTTCATATTTATATACACAGTTTACCTGCTTAAATCCAAGGAGCTCTCTGCTGAGGTTTCATTATTAAATTTAGATTTATCCCATTGTGGTCAGAAAATGTGAATTACACTCTGTCTACTTGTTGCAACTTATTATTTTCCTTGTAGCCCCACTTCAGCAGGTGATCTTCCTCTTGATTATATTAACACTAACATTAACACTTTCATGTTCCCATTTTCCACTCATGTTCATAAAGAAATAAGGACGAAATAATGAGATATTCAAATTGACTCACACATAGAGCTCTTAAAAAGCAAATAAATGAAAAAGGAACACTGTTATAACACACCATTTGACTGATAAGCAGTACCACATTATGAGGGCTCAAAATGATTGCTTATTGTCTAATATAGTCAATATTTAGCTTAGAAAATGCTAGTGTCACATGTAACATATGAAACTAGAATGAAATAAAGTTGTGTATTCTTGTATATAAATATTTTGGCACATGTTTTATTATTTGATATATTACATTGGATTTAACCTTTCCAAAACAACAAACAAAAATCCAACTCTTTAACCCTTTCAGTGCTTATAACCTTGGTTTTGACATCAATGAAATAGCTCATATACATGCACACACACATACACGCACATTTTGTATTTCTTTAGCATTAATTTAGGATTTTTTTCAATGTTAATTTTTAAGTTTCCTTTATTTTAATGTGTGTTTTTAATTTTGTTATTTGTTTGAAACTAAAGAGCTTTTTTCTTTTCATAGGTGACTTTATTTACATTTATTGTTTTAACAGACATATTTGCTGTTCCTTTATATCTTCTTTTGTTTCTTTTCCTTATCTTTGCAAACCAGTGGTTATTATTTTCATGTCTTGATGTTGTCACAGGCCATTTTCTTTTTTTTTTTTTCTTTTTATTCCATGGATTGAGATTTTGTTTATCTTTGAGATAACCTATCATCTTTGAGGATTATTCCCCCTGTTGTATATTGATAGTTCTCTTTTATTCGTGAATAAGAACGGTGATACGTTGTTCATTCATTGCCTTTATATTGTGTTGAATACCTTCAATCCTATCTGTGTTTAATCATTTTGCATTCCTCCCTGGTTTTCAGCATAGTTTACTCAATGTCCACTGATTTTTTTTCAATATTAATTACATATTTTATTTCTAATATTTAAATTAGGATTGCTTGTTTTCTTATTAACTCTAATAAGCCCTTTTTATCTCTATTTATCTTTCTGTATCTGTTTGAAATAGAAAAATACGCATACATATAGGTAATACGTGTGATAAATTTTTTTGATTGAGTTCATATTGGCCTTTATTTCCTTGAGCAAGTAAAATAGTTGCTGTATAAAAAGTTTGCCTCATGGAATAGATCATCATTAAAAAATACGCTCTGAATTTTTTTTCAGGTGTAGATTTATTTTCTTCTTGTATTTTTATTTCAGATTTTTGTCTTCTTTTTTTCTGTTTATCTTCAAATGATGATAGGTGCATTCAAGCTGTTTTTTGACCAAAATACTGTAAGGTGAATTGTCTTTGGAACCCATTTCTATTTATCTACAAAACCTTTGAATTCTTACATTGATCTAATGTTTCTTTCTTGTAGTATTTGAGCTCTGAAAGATTTGTGACTCTTCAAAGGTTATATTTCTGGATTTGGATGACCCCCAAACTTATGAACCAATTGCTCTTTTAAAAATTTGGGTTAGAGGAAGGCACAACAACATGCATACTTTCTCTTTGTGGGCTTTTCCCTCCCAAACATCTTTCATCCTTAATTTTCCCAACCCACATCAGCTGTTTGCTGATATTGATCTGAGGTGGATACAGTTATTCTGAGTTGACTAGCTCCTATCTCTTTCATGTTCCCTTTCCTATTTAGGTAGGTTATCATCCGTGATGGAGTTATCTGAAAGCTCCATCCAGAAGGTCAGTCTTGGTTTACCCCAAGGGAATGAGAGGTCTATGGCAAGTGCATTAGCTGTACAGTTCAGAGGTTTGTCTTGCAATTATAACTTCAAGTTGGGTAAATGCAACTTTTTAATGCAGGTTGCTGAATGAGTGACCTATGGAGAGCTTCTCTGGGACAGGAACTAAATCTAATTGATCAATATTTCCCTTGGGCAATAAAAGTAATTCATCTGAGTCTTCCCCTTCCTTATCCGCAAAAGCAGGTACAACATAGTGTGTCTCATGGGGGTGTAAACAGGACTAATTATTTGCCAAACATGTTACTCAATGGTTGGCCCATAATAAGAACTCAAGAAACAGTGGTTTATATTATTATGCAGTCTAACTCCTTCATTTTACAAATGGAAAGTTGAGGCCCAGTGTCACTGAGCTAGAACTAGATCTAATCTCTGACTCTGAGGTCAGTGCTTACTTAAAGGGGTGAAGTTAGCCTTAATTTATCTTCTTTATATGGTATGTTTGTATTATTGTGTACATATTTACATATATGCCCATAATAAACACAGAAGAAGCAAATAGAGTATATGCATTGTCACTGGGAAAAAAAAGAATAGCTCATCTTGTTAATTTTTTTTTCTTTTTGCATCTGAAACTTTCTTTTAAGCTAATTCTTTTGTCTTATTTAATAACCTCTTCAAGAACAATGTAGCCCCAAAGTCAGTTTTTTTAGGAGGATTCTTTTCTTTTTATGACCAATTGCAACATACCTATTTCCATACTTTATGTTTCCTATGAAAAAATGCAAACATCTTAAGAGTGGCTGATCTCTAGGATATGAGGTATAGAGGTGTTCTGTGAGGAAAGAGGACTGCACTTTCTATCTAATCCACTGAACCAACAGGGCTACTTTGATAATAGGAGTGATGTCTAGAATACTGTAGGAGAAACTAGCACTGACGAGTTCACCAATTCCATTCTTATATTGGCCCAGCTTCTGTCACTCTTTTGTAATCCATAACAAAGAGCATGTCATTTACCAAGAGAAGGTACCCCACTAAGGGATAGGTTGGGCCTTTCAAGGAATATAGAATTTTCCTGGGATATCTTGAAGCAGTAGTTTCTAATATGTATAGCCACATTGTACAACAAAGCTGGTATCATCTGATAATTTTAATTAATAGATTTTTTAGAAGACAATTCATAGAATCAGAATCTCTTAAAGGTGGAGCTTAATATATAGAATATTGAAAATAGCTGTGCCAAATAATGCTATAAAGAATTACAATTCAGTATGCAGCACTTATACCAGCAACAGCAACGTCACCTGAGAGCATATTAGAAGTGATGGATCTCAGGTCCTACCTAACATTTACTGAGTCAGAATCTTCATGTTAACAAGCTCTCTGGGTCATTGGTATGCACATTAAAGTTTGAAAAGCATTGATCTTGATCTGATACAATGTTTAATAAACCTGTGTGTACATAAACCACCTGGATAGCTTTCAAAAAGAATCATGCTCAAGTTTGCCACCAGAGACTCTGGGGTAATTGTTTCAGGTGGGGTCCAGCCAGCCCTAAAAGCTCCTCAGCAGATACTCAGCTATGGTGAACCACAGGCAGCATCATGTGATAAGCAGCCAGTGGATATCAGAGCTCACTGCTGTTTGTTTCAACCCAAAGCCATTTCAGAATTGCCTTTGACTCTATAGCAGAGAATAGGTTGAACGACTTATCACAAGGCTGGCAAACAGCAAAGTCCTATTGGGCCCCGTACTACTGGGATTATTTTTTGGCTAGAGGAGAAGATAGCATCCAACAGCAAAGGTTGTCGCATATTCCCAGTGCCCTCCTGAGGGTTGATATCAGTGACCTTCAAAAGACAGAGAAATAAATATTCCATTTTTAGCATTCCTGTTTCAGAATCTGTTTTAATTCCATGATTCAACTTTGATGTGCCTGATATGTCATTTATTCCTTCAGTAATGACACTGTCAGATAGGCCTTTCCTTCCTCTCCAGGACTATCTTAAGTCACTTAGTAAAAAGAAATGCCACTGACTGAACTTTTTAGACTGCTTTGCTCTTCAAATTCACATTGGGTATGGTTATGAGAAGAGCAATACAACTTTGACGTTTGTTAGGAAACAGTATAAAATGAACTTTTCCATAATTATACAGATTTAGTCCCAGAAATATATAGTTGAAAGTCCTTCTCAGGTCAAACAAAAGATTTCAAAATGTATAGCCCAAAAAACCTGTTTTCAGTATCCCAAAGGAAGGGATACTTTTTCTTCCATGAGTATCTGTAGCAATTATTTCTTGTACACTTTGTTTGACTATAAATAGTGGAACAACTTGCAATATTTCCTTTAGGCAATTTTCAAGTTTTATTTTACTTTTTACATGTTTATGTCATTTCTTGAAATAGATCATAATCTCAATTAAGGCAGAAAATGTATCTTGTATTTATTGGTACCCTCCTATTATGCAGAATTTCATTTATTAACATATCAGAATGTAAAATTTAACATGTTTGGGCTGTTTGGTTTTTATTATTTCCCCTCATGAAGATTTTCCCATTTTTCATACGTATATAATACAATGTTCTTTGAAAGGCATTAGTTATGTATATTGAAATGTTCCATAGGTAATGAACAAATTTTGGCTATTTTAACAAGAGCCCAAAGCTAGACTTTGGTGAAAAAAATTGTATCTCCATGTTTTTAATTTTTTTTTTTTATTTTACTTTAAGTTCTAGGATACATGTGCTGAACGTGCAGGTTTGTTACATAGGTATACATGTCCCATGGTACTGCACCTATCAACTGGTTGTCTAGGTTTTAAGCCCCACATGCATTGGGTATTTGTCCTAATTCACTCCCTCTCCATTCTCCCCATCCCCCAACAGACCCCAGTGTGTGATGTTCTCCTCCCTGTTTCCATGTGTTCTCATTGTTCAACTTCCACTTATGAGTGAGAACATGCAGTGTTTGGTTTTCTGTTCCTGTGTTAGTTTTCTGAGAATGATGGTTTCCAGCTTCATCCATGTTCCTGCAAAGGACATGAACTCATCCTTTTTTATGGCTGCATAGTATTCCATGGTGTATATGTGCCACATTTTCTTTATCCAGTCTATCATTGATGGGCATTTGGGTTGGTTCCAAGTCTTTGCTATTGTTGATAGTGCTGCAATAAACATATGTGTGCATGTGTCTTTATAACAGTACAATTTATAATCCTTTGGGTATATACCCAGTAATGGGATTGCTGGGTCAAATGATATTTCTGGTTCTAGATCCTTGAGGAATTGCCACACTGTCTTCCACAATGGCTGAACTAATTTACACTCCTACCAACAGTGTAAAAGCATTGCTTTTCTCCACAGCCTCACCAGCATCTATTGAGTTAATGATCGCCATTCTAACTGGCATGAGAAGATATCTCATTGTGGTTTTGATTTGCATTTCTCTAATATCCAGTGATGATGAGCTTTTTTTATATATGTTTGTTGGCCACATAAATGTCTTCTTTTGATAAGTGTCTCTTCATCCATCTTAACAGGAAATAGTCTATCTTGTGAGCATTCAGATGTGAGTTGAGGACAATGGACAGCCCTCCTCCTGAGAGACAACACTCCAGTGATTCACTATTTAGAGTGATGTGTCACTCTGAATACCTCTAAGCCACATTCTTCATAAAATGAAGACAGATTATATTGCAAAAACCTGTGCTTATTATTTTATTTTGCATGAAAAGCAATACAAGACAAGGTACACTGCGTTATATTGAAGGGACCACACATATTCCTCTTCCTCCAATCTTCTAACATTGAAGCCAATATATTTGGAATGATACAAATATATATCAATTTATTCTTTAAGAGTTAGGTTGCTGTGGAATATATTTAGCATCAATTAGGTCAAATAATATTCTTACTTCCTTTTTTCCCTTGAATTCTAACTATGGCACTGAATATATTTAGTGTTAAAAAACATCTCCTCATCAGTGACAGAAATTTTTTACACATATGAATTCCGTGTGGGAGAACTGGGGGAAAGAGACATGGTAGAGATATCTAAATATGAATTTTAATCAAGGAATTCAGATTGGTGGCACAGTCCAGTAAACAGATGATTGTAATACAGTGTTGTGCAAAGGAGGTTAGAAAAGCTTTACAGAAAGGGCCTTTGGCATGAACCTTGAAAGGAAGAGAAGAGCAAACTAAGCAAATTATGCACAAACAGTTCAGAAACATCTCTGAATGTCTGCATGTACCAGAACATTAGACATTTTTGTGGCTAAAACGTAGAGTGAATCTATGGCAAAGCTTGAAAAGGACTATATAAAAAAATGAAGTGCTTGGATACATGAAACAAGACTTTATATATGTCAAATTAAGTGTGGACTTAATTGTGCAGTGATTGGTTTGGCATTAGTAGTACTTTAGTAGGGGGATGACACAATGCAATTTGTATTTTTGAAGAAAATAACTTCAGCTACAATGTGAAAGATGATTTGGAATGGGAAAAACCAACTCAAATTAGATGCTTCGGTAGTTCAGAGAAGATATTATATGTTCTGATGATGTTGAAACACTAAGATTTGTTACTGATGAGGTTTGGAAAGAAAAGGAAGTAGAAAAATTTAAAAATTAATTTGAGTTCATGCAATTTACATAATTAAGCAAGTTAGTTGGACTGGAGAAAGAGATAAATGAGAGGAAATGGCAGTTCATTTTATAACAAGTTGAGTTTAAAATGCTGATTTCTAATATTTAATAAGCAATAAAAGCTATGGACCTGCATCTTAGAGGAGTAATCTTTATTAGATGTAGAAATTGGATTTTACATGCAGATTTCAGAGCAGAGCAGATTTTTCAGGAAGTGTATAATGAGAAGAAGAATGAATTTTCAATAAGAGGAAAGCATAAAAAGGGGGAAAACATAAAAAGAGAAGGAAAACAAAGTCAGTAAGATAGGGTCAAATGAGAAGTAGGTTAGGAGTGTCTGAACAAAGAGGGACTGGCCAAATGCCTTATAGAAGTCAAATAGGATGAGGATTGATGATGCCCACCAGACTTTTTGTACACTGATGAGTTTGGGAGGAGCTGCTGCAGTGCTGCAATAGATTACAGGGAGACAATGTGAATTAGTGTGAGGAGTGAATGGGAAGAAAGTGGTTTCTGCTGGTAACAAATGTTCAAAGCAGTCAGCACAGGAAAGATAAAACAATTAGTTCCTTCAGGGAAGGAGGTTAATTTAGAGAAGATGTAGGGAGTGTTCAACATGTTCGTTGTGGAAGAGAAAGAGCTAAGAGAGAGGAGCTTAAAGACACAAACGGGTAGAATCAAGGAGTGTGCTCTCAAATGAGAGGAACAGGAGTGACATTAACCTTGAAATGCTCGGAGACTCTACTCCTTCATGACAGTAGGAGGATAATTAACAATAGATACAAATGCAGGTAAGTTGAAAAGTGGGAAGGATGAGAGTTTGGGAGTTTCCATCCGATGGTTTCAAGTTGTTTGCTGTGAAGAAGGCAGGTTTGCTAAAGGTGGGAGTTGCAGAGTCTGAGTAGAAGCACTGAGAAGAGTGATGATGGCTTGTAACAGCTGTTTCAGAGAAAGTAAATGGATACTGAACAGTGTTACAGACCTAGAAGAAGGGGGCAGATCATAGATTTATAATACAAATTAACAGACTACTATTTAATTTTTTCAGGATGACCAGAAAGTTCAGGAGGGGAAGTACAGAAAAAACCAAGTGTTTGGGCTCATTTGTTCACACATTGTCAGCAAAGCTAGAGCAAAGAATAAAGGAAAAATGAGTTAAGTATGCCAGTAAGTGTCACCAAGATAGCCGAGTAGTTGAGATTTTAAAAGAAATAAAAAATTGGTAGGCTTTTAGCCTAGGAACAAATGGAGTTTCTGAGAAAAGTAAGACTCTTTAGTGGAAAATACTGGATGAGAGAATTTTAAGAGGTTTTAGTCAGAGCAGGGATTTCAGAGAGATAAAGCTATGTTGTGATGAAGGGGAGAAGGAAAGAAATCAAGCAATTATGAAGTAAGTAATCAGGCCATGATAGGCCCAAGGGTATAATTTCGAAATTGTCTGGTATGATAGCAATGTTTGGTTGAAGAGAAAGATAAAAGCAAGAGGTTGTGTAGTTTATGTATTATACATATATTTCATGATTAGAGGGCTGCCAGGAGACTCAAGCTATTTCTTCCATTGTCCTAGGGCAGTGAGGTATCCAGCTTTGAGCTGGCCCATCAAGTATCTGAACTCTGTTCACAAACTGAGAAAATACTGGGCATATTATTCAGGCTATTTATCATCTTAACTGGTATTAAACCTAAAGTCTCACATGGTTTGTTTTTTTTTTTCCTTTATACTTAAGCCATATAAGCATCTTCTTAACTTTCATCTCCCCCATGAAGCTTTTCTTAATGTTCTTTGTTGAAATTAATCTTTTAAATTTTTTCTGTCCCTGCCATCTCTGTTATAACATTGCCTATATTCTTCCTGTATTCTGTTGATTTATAAGGAATCTATGTTGCTTGGGGACACTGCCTTATTTCATTAACTGTATCGCTGGCTTCTTGTCTTTCAAATCTGGATATTCAGTAAATGCTCTGTGAATTTAAGTTGTCATTATCCCCTCATTCTGAATTAGGTAATAGGATATATTGACTATCATAGTAAGGTCTGAGAGTTACTGAGGTGTAGGTTTGTGTGACAGTAGTTGGGAACGAGTGGTCCAGCACCTGAAAAATTTCCCACTAGATCTGAGAAGCGAGGAGTCATATAAAAACACTGAGGACTGGGTAACTGGACTAGTAAGAAGAGACAGGAGGGATGAATGTTGAAAATATTTGCCTACTTTATAATTTTGAGTGGGGAAAAACACTCTGTCTACCATTAGTTTCTATATGTGTCTATGAATTCATTGGCATTGTTTAGAGAGAAGAAATTATGACTCTGTGTACATTTGCTCTTGAGTGTGTGGGAGAGAAAAGAGAGGGAAATCTCCTTAGAGTTTTAGTCTTTATTGTTTACTGTTGATTGCTTTCCAAAATCTCATGTTTATTGTAATTTTCCATCCCTATCTCCACTTACCTCACCCCTACCAAATTTCAGCTATTGATTGTAAGCCTGTCCCTAGACCTTAATAACATTTATTTTTTAAAAATCCCCCCTTCATCTTTTTTTTTTTTTTTTTAGATTAGGGTCTCTTTAATCAAGTTGTGGCCATGGGAAATAAATCTTGTAACTTTCCCCTAGTTTGAGCTCAGTTAAGTGCCATGGCCTCTTTAAGCAGCTGATGGGCACACTCCTCCAATATGAATGACTCCTTTGACACTGGACAATAGGGTTAAAGCAGCCATTAGTCTGCAGTTTTCTGAGAGCCTCTGCCTAGAATGTAATTTCTTGGATACCTCTGTGAACTTGACAGAGCCTTCACCTACTTGGGGGTCATATATTAACAAATCAGGAAAAAAAAATTGCTGTCTCATAGTTACCCTTTGGTTGTTTTTACAGCTTATATTAAATTTTCAATATTATTGTCTATAATTGTATAGCAGATTTTATACTAAAATGTATATTTGCACTATGATACCCCATTGATAGAAACCGTATATTTTAAAACTCATCAGGAATTTCCAGACATAGTCTCTAGGTAAATGGAAATGGTTAATTTATGATAGCTGGCTTAAAATTATACACTAAGTTTAATAGCATATATCTGTACCATTACTTTAATATAGTTTGATAGCAAACACTTAGAGATTTAAAAATTTTGGGTTGCTATATCATCTTGAAAATGATTATTAAATGAATTGTCTAGCTACCTATCTATCTTTCTGTCTTATCTACCAGAAAAATGACTGTATTTGGCAAAGATAAATGGAACACAATTTCTGGCCTCAAAGAACAGAATATTTAGAACTAAATCAAGGTGTACAGAATACACTGCACAATCTGTTTTTCTTTGCTCTTGCTTTAAAGGAAACTATATTTGTGACAAATACGTGATCCTATACTGGCTTCTTTTTAACGCAGGTCTTAGGGCTCATGCAACCAAATATACACCTGAATTATGTCATTGTGTCAGGGTAGACCTCTTATAACATTACTTTCCCTGTCCCCTTGTCATAAGATTTACTTAGTCTGAATATTTTGGACCCTTTCCTATCTAGGTTTCCTTAATGCCATTCTTTCTTTCACATACTCCATCCCTCTTTCTGCTTAAAATCCCTACCTCTGTTTTTCTAATTTTTCTCTTTGTAAAAAATTAAAAAAAGAAAATAACTTGGAAAGTGGTTCTAATTTTAATCTTACATGTGGAAGGAGCCATCGCATTGCTGAGAAGATTTTATTGTTTATGTTGTTTTTTTTTTTAATGCTGAAAAAGTTTTGAAGGCATTTTAAGTGTACAGAAACAGGAGAATGGTATATCCATTTGAGATGGAAGTATTATTTCGAGCTCCCAGACTCATAATGTGGACAGGAGTATTGCATGTAATTTATCTTGTACGATGCCTGTATAAAGGTATCACAACACATTTTATTGTCACTATTATTTTTGTTTCTAGACCCCCAACTACCAAATTCAAATTCAACTTGGCCCACACATTTAATAATGTATTGGAAAAGCCCTCTGGATTTACCTAATTTTCTTCCACTGACACAAGTCCAATATAGGCAGGCATCATTTGTGTAGATTAAAGCCACAGGTACCTTTAGTTCTTTTCTTTCTTTCTTCTAAGTTATTCTTCAACTCCTGCCAAACAAATCTTCTGAAAGATTCCTTTTCAGAAAAGTGGCTTGTCTATGTAAGGTAAGTGTTAATAATCATAGTAGATATTTTAAATTAACAGTGGCATAGCTTCTTATAATACAGTTAAAATGTATGCAATGAGGAAACCAGAACGATGACCTTCTGGTTTTACTAAACCTATTTATTTGCTTTAGCAACCCCACCCACCTCTTCTTCCTGACCTCTCAGCTCACATACAAATAACTTATTCATCCTTCCACTGGACCCTTCCACTTCTCTAATTCCGTTATCTAATGTTAGGGGACTGTACATTATAAGTGTACATTGCAGAATAAATTAATCTTAGATACATTACCCAGAAAAACAGTGGATATATTTCAGCACTTTTGTGATAATATACATGCTCATTCTCATTTACATTTTTCAGGAAGGAATAATGGTTTATTTTCTAAGAATCTGTGATATGGATTTTTAATTCCAGCATGAAATAGATAAAGGTATTGCATTTTACAGTCTACACAGAAACAGGAATTTAATGTGTGTGAACAGTCTGCTCATTTACTAGAATAATATATCCTAAATGGCTTCAATATGTTCATAGACAGTGAACACTGAAAGCAGTAATTGGAAAAATCCATCACCAGTCCAAATGTTTCTGCAGTCTTGGGTTGGAGTCTGGTGATCTTCCTAAATTTTTTGTTTAGTCAGGTTACAGTATGCTAGAATTATTGACTACGACTCACATTCTAAGAAGTGTAACCTATAAAAATACAAAAGATACAGATGGACTCATAGTTTAGTTAAACTAAACAAAATTATTAGAATTCACTAAATTCACTCTTTTGTAAATATCACATTGTTCATCTAAAAACTGCTTCTGGATGAGTAACATTACAGAACTTTCATGGTAGAAATTTGAATTTCTACCTACATAATAACTAAACATAACATAAAGTAGAATGCATATGTAATAATTATGAAACATTTAAGTAACTATAATAAACAATTATTTTATTTTAGAGTGAATCAACATTTTTATTCCAGTGACTCAAACTTATCAAAACCATTAACATCATGGAAAATTAATTATACTATCTAGATAACGCTAGCTGTTGTAATAGAGAAGAGCCCAAAATTCATGGCTTGACACAAAGGATTTTATCTTGCTCATTAAAACACCAAAATGACTGCCGTTAATAGTAAAGGGCTTATGTTCCATTCAGCATTGCATAGAACTGGGCTGAAAAGGCTCTGCCATCTTCAACACGTGACAATCAGCATTGCAGTAGGGCTCATGAGAATATTGTGACTCTCAGGCTATCTACGAGACACTGTGAAAACACTGCATATTACAGAGCAACTGGCAGATTTAGTGCAAAATCTCTGGCTTCAACCTGGATCTGAAAAGTGCTTGGCAAGCATTTTGAGCCTTGATGGTGATTGGGATCCTGCTGGTATTTTTGCTACCATTGGCATGAAATGTATAAAGTGCATGGAAGTGTTGAGATGTTGAGATGTAGAAGATGTTAATGACTGTAGTGGAGAGAGATATATATATATGTATATGTGCGTATGTGTGTGTGTGTATGTGTGTATATATATATATATATATATATATTATTTGAGGCATAGTTTCACTCTTGTCACCCAGGCTGTAGTGCAGTGGCAGAATCTCAGCTCACTGCAACCTCCACCTCCCAGGTTCAAGCGATTCTCCTGCCTCAGCCTCCCGAGTACCTGGGATTGCAGGCATGCATCACCAGGCCCGGCTAAATTTTTCTATTTTTAGTAGAGACAGAGTTTTGCCATGTTGGGCAGGCTGGGCTCAAACTCCTGACCTCAGGTGATCCACCTGCCTCGGCCTCCCAAAGTGCTGGGATTACAGGCGTGAGCCACCATGCCCAGCCCCAGTGGAGATATATTTTTATTGTATTTTAGTTGTCACAGCATAGTAAGACAGTAGAATTATTCAAGGATTCTATGTATTAATGATCCCCAGTCAATGCCAGATATGAATTTTGTTAAGCTTTCTTTATTGTGGTAGCCACTGCTTCTTACTGTCTTCCAAGAGAGATGTTCTCTGCTGTTCCTGACCACACCCCTCCACACACAAAACTGCTTACTCAAATCCTGTGTCCAAAATCAGTACCTTCTAATGGAAAATACACATGTAAACACAGAAGAACACAGCAAAAAGCCCTGTTAGAAATGCTAGAAAATAGACACAGAAATACCAATTGGACAACCAGAAGGAAAGAGCATGGAGCATTTTATGATCCAAGTTTTCAAGAGGTGCTTATCATTTTTGCTCACGTTCTTTTGGCTAGCATAGTCATATGATCATAACTAACTGCAAGAGAAGCTGGGAAACGGAGGGCAAATTGTGTGACCAAGAAGAAGAGACAGTCAGCTTCATGACTAGTTAGAGTCTCTCTCATACAAGCCATCAAGAGAAAGTCAATAGTGGCAAATTCATATTTATCAGTTTTAGTTATTATATTTGTATGACCGTTTGTATATGTGTACAGAAATGTCATCATTGAGGCTTTCATAAGCAAATAAATAAAATATATTGAAGCCTAAAAAAATAAGTATTGAAGCGGTAAGATTAGGAATTGAGGCCGGGCACAGTGGCTTACACCTGTAATCGCAGCACTTTAGGAGGCCGAGGCGGGTTGATCACGAGGTCAGGAGTTCAAGACCAGCCTGACCAGCATGGTGAAACCCTGTTTCTACTAAAAATACAAAAATCAGCCGGGCGTGGTGACAAGCACTTGTAATCCCAGCTACTCAGGAGGCTGAGGCAGGAGAATCACTTGAATCTGGGAGGCGGAGTTTGCAGTGAGCGGAGATCAGGCCATTGCACTCCAGCCTGGGTGACAGAGCAAGACTTCATAAAAAAATAAATGAATAAATGAAAATTTAAAAAAAATTAGGAATTGAGTTGTAATACACTTTCTTTTTAAATTCTATGTTTCTTAATCATATTTAAGCAAAACACATGCAACAAAAATGTTTGCTACATATTTGAAATAGTTAGATTTTGCTTTCTTCTAGAATCTTTTATTGTAGTTAATCATGAATAAAAATTTGGAGTTAATGGTAACATCTAGTATTATATGCCAGTCTCTATTCTACATGCTGTATATGTCTAGTTTATTTAATCCTTATTGTAGTCATACAAAGTAGGTACTGTTTATTATGTCCATTTTACAAATGGGGTAAAGGAACCTCAAATAATTTAAGTAATTTTTCTGTAAAATGGTAGAGCTGAGTTTCAATCATAGGCATTCTAGATTCAGAGCTTGAGCTACTTAATCAGTCTGAGAAGAAAAGATATAATCCAAAGAACCCTAGGCTTGGGCTCCCTAAGATGCTTTGTAAAACTATGTTCTTTTTAATAAAGTTTTTATATATAAGAGATGGTGAAACTTCAGCATATGCTGTTTATATTTACACACATACATTTTCAAGTTCATTTTGATCATTCAAGTGGGTGCAATGCTGAATTTAATATAAAACCCTTAAAGGGTCAAAAACGTTTATTTCTCACTTAATATTCTATAGCGATATAAATGTGTCACTACTGAATTACCGGGTACATTTTACAATCCTTCATCATTTCTGTCTCTACTATCTCCTACCGGCATTATTCTTTACTTTATTAGCTTTTACATATTTACATTTTATTCTGTCAAATGTAGAGTATTTCTTAAATCTTTTTTATATAATTGCTGGACTTGCTGGACTTACTGGATACTATACTGCTGTAATCCAATGAAAAGGCTGTCTTCATTGTTCCTAGCATCTCTTTTCCAACAGAGAAGATAACCAAGTCCCCAGCCTAGAGCCATTGTAAGTATAGCTTGTCTTTAATAGACTCATTGCCTTATTCCTATACGGATATAGTATTTGTGAGTTGTTTAATGGAGTAAGTTTTTGTGAGTTCTTATCTGGGCAAGGCACTGTACTAAATGTGTTTGATTAATTGGCTCATTTAATTATCAAAAAAGCTGTATATATTGGGGCTGTTTTTATTTCTAGATGAGGAAATTAAGTATTACAATACTTAAATAACAGAATCAGGTAGTTAGTGAAGGAGTGTGACTCCAGAAGCAACCCTTAACTGCTCTACTAACTCACTCTTCTGACCCACACTTGAATTATGTGTTGTCCCAAGGTTAATGCATCTTTTTATATTAATTTCTCTAGGATGCATAGTTAAATACATATCAGTTCTTTTTGAAAACCTTGCTCACCTTGCTGTTCAGGGAGTGTGGTGGGGCTTAGGTGGTTAAGAGAATAATGATAGGGATCATGAGAGGGAATACTGAGTACTTGCCATGTGCTAGCCTCTGGGCTAAACACTTTATTTAAAATATGACATATAAATCTTCACAGTTCTTGAGTGGTGTTATCACTATTTTACAGATGAGGAAACTGAATTTTGAGGAGAATTAATAACTTCTATTTGATCACTAAGCTGTTAAGTGCAAGGCTATGATAGAAACGTAGGGTTAGCCCTAAAATATAGATTATTGCAATTAAACTAAGAATCTTCCTTAGCATTAAGCACATAAAAATATATTTTTAATCTAAAATACCTAATTTTCTTATCACTTAATAAATACATTAAGCACTTAATAAATACATTTTTTTACCTAAAATACCTAATTTTATTATCACTGAAGCTCAAGGTAGTAGGGAATATTAACACAGAGATGAGGTACAATTAAAAATTACTAATAATAAATGCTGGGGCCAGTATCAAAACCCAGATCTGTCTGTCTGCAGAGCCTACATCATCCCCAAACCATATTTCCTTGAGGCCCTCTACCCAGAATCACCATTACCATATTCACTCATCTATTTGTTACATGTCAATTACATACCCACTCTGTTTTTCTTTAACACTGTTCTGTGTTTTATTCACAGTATTGAGTAAAATAGTTTATTTCCCTTGGAAGATATTTTTTTAAATCTAATGGGGGAAGCATATATTATTCAACTCATGTAAATATGTAATTGGAGGGTTAATCAAGGACTGATCTAGTTTGAAATGGGGTGATTCCTGGAAGCTATTCCTAGGACAGTGGCATTTTAGCTAAGATGTGAAAGGTGTATAGTTCAAAGATAACCAGTGAAATTTAGAAAGAGACTGTTCCAGTCATCCCAAGTAGATTTTTCTATTAACCCCTGAACAAGTATTTGCACAAACCTTTCCATTGGCTGATGAGGGTCTATTTTACAGTGGCATTTTTTGAAAAAAAATCTCGTGGTTTAGTCACGTAAATATCTCTAGCTAAATAGGCATCTAATAGTTATGTGCATGACATTTTTTATTCAGAGTCCACTTATCCAACAACCTCAATTATAAGATGTCAGTCCATTTGGGTCGCTATAACAAAATACCATAAACTTGCTAGCTTATAAACAACTGAAATTAATTTCCCACAGTTATGGTGGCTGGGAAGTTCAAGATCAAGACACTGGTAGATTTGGCATCTGGTAAGGGTTCATTTCCTGACTCACAGATGTTACCTTCTTGCTGTGTCCTCACATAATGCAAGGTTCAAGGCAACTCTTTGGGGCCTCTGTTATGAGCATACTAATTTCACTCATGAGGGTCTAGCACTTGACCCAATCAGCTCCCAATGGCCCCACCTCTTAATATCATAATGTTGGTATTGAGGTTTCAACATACAAATCTGGGGGAGACACAAACATTCAAACCATGGCATCCGAGATGTATATTTCAGTTTGGATAAAAGTTAGTAGAATTTGTATTATTCACAAAAAGGTTGATTATACTAAAAGCATAAAATATAGCCTCTGGAATTTAAAAAATATTTCCATATATGTGAACCATTAAATCATAGGTGCAATAGCCCTTCATAAATCAAGAGACATTGGCATATTAATCTCTAGTTAAATAATTGACATTTATTAAATAGCCCTGAATTATCAATCATATTGAGAATCATGCTGAGTATATTTGTGTAAGTAGCTAGATAACTACAAATTAAATATATTATTAGTATACATATATAATTTTAATTAGTACTTTAAAATAGATGTTTTGTTTATGTGCAGAATTCACTCATATACTATATTTAGATAAATGAAGTATTATTCTTTGTGCAAGCATTTCTGTTTGTATTTGTGACATGTACTAATACTTCCTGACATTAAAAATTATATATGATTCATAATTACTCAATGTGTTATTGCATTTGATTTGAAGTAAAATTTTGAAAATTTATTTAAGGAAAGCTTGGAACACGGCCTTAGATATATTAGATTTTCCCCCCAAATACATCCAAAGTAAACATACAAAAGAAAATTTATCTTTCTAAAATTCAAAAAACAACAAACCATTCTTACTCAAAACACTATTCATTTAACATTGGATTGGATAATAATCAAACTGGATTTCTCAACTTTGCATAAAAGAAGTCAGCACCTGAAAACACACTAAACTAAAACCAATTAGCAATTAGGAATGTCCAGTCAGGCATCCTTTAACTGACATAGTATGAGAGTTAAAAAACAAAACAAAACACTTTATTAGAAATAATAGAGATAGGGCATGTTAGTAGAAACTTGTTAAATCTTACCCTTATAGTCACTATTACCTGAAGGAGGGTGATGTTCTCAGGAATAAAAAGAACAGGAACAAGGTATTTTTCAGGTTTCTGCAGAACATCCATCAGACTATCTGTGTTAGAACCCTTGAGGACATAAGATTAAAAGACATGTGGGAGAGGAAAAATGGTTAAAATGTGTGTTTTGCTTAATTAATTGTAGCATGATAGTCATTATTATCAATTTGACAAAGATACATTGTTTGTTGGTTGCATCTGAACAAGAAAACATAAATAATCTATTATAGATCAGGTCTAGGGTCATTACCTTGATTTAAACTCAGCATGGACAGATGTAGATGATAGATAGATGATGGATAGATGATAGATAGACAGACAATAATAGATGGATAGATAGATAGATAGATAGATAGATAATTAGTTTAAAACAGACAGCAGGCTTCTGCTTGCTGTGACTCTGAAATCTGATCTGGAGGGTGGCTGAGGCAAAGGAAGCTACACGAAGAAGCACCGTGTACATAGGTGGTTGGAAAGACTGGCTTTCTCGGCTGAGTTCCCTCATTGTTTCACACTGAACTGTTCATCCTGTTCTTACTATGAATACTGTTCCACTGGAAGAGGGTTAACCAAGTTCTCCCCCCAGACAAAGATAAGCATTTTATTATTCATAGTACAGTCAACTGATCAGCCTTGAAACTGCTTATACAGTTTCAGGTATACAGAGAAAGAGAGCAGCTAAGGCAGACAGATAAAAATGGTCACAGTGATGAGGCATCTGCAAGAGTCAACCTCATGATGCAAAACTAATCAGATGGGGAACAAAGGAGCTCTCCTTGGGGATCCCTGAATTATACATGATACATACCTAACAGGTGTGCTTATGTTTATTTTCTGAATATTCATATTTTAGCTGAATTCTGTGCTTTTCAGGGCATTAAAGAATATATCTTTTCATATTTCTAGATATTAATGCCTGCGAAACATGCCTTCTAATTATATGCTGCCTTGATACTTGTTATGGAATTTGGTTATTCTTATTGTCACATAACATCACTTCTGCCAATCTTTATTTCATTCAAAGTTCCATTTAGTAGACTTAGAATTGTGAATTTTGTTTACTTGAAATAGAGGAAGTTAAAAAAATACACTGAGAACATTTTATTAGGTCTTTATTCCCACCTTCTTATTTCCATTTATTCTATTCTACTTAACAGTGAATGAGTTCAGTGTAATTTCACTTGCAGTTTTTCTGACTGAGGCATATTCTGACAGGATCCTGTTTTTTGAATGTGTGTTTTAATTGGGCTTCCATGTGGTGATAGATGCAGGACTCCCTGCGAGTCCCTTTCTGGCTTCTATAATTCTCAGCACAGATGGTTTTTATTACACTACTTCTTCCTCCCACCCTTCACCACCCCGACAATAAATACTGATACAGCCCCCTAAGGTATTCATTCATGTCTTAGGCCTCCAAACAGACCAGACAGCATCTCATGATTGGGGAGAGTGACAGTGGGAGGACAGGATCATTACAAGACAGTTGAGCAGACCTAGCCACCACCCTTGGGAGTTTGAAACAGATAGTGTGAGACAAAAATGAATCAGTTTTCACTGTAGCTGAATTTCAATTCTAGTGCTCCTTGAGGTTTATTTCAGGTTTTGTTTTGTTTTGAATTCCCCAGTGCAGCGAATGAGATGGAAAAGAATATATAAATTAACTTCGAAAGACTCTCAGGGATATATGCATTTCAGGAGGATGGATGGAGAAAATGGAAGAAGCTTTGGACTGTCAGGGGAATTCATTTATCTAATGGTCAATGGGGAAACATTTACCCTGAGAAAAGTTGTGAGACCTGACTTTAGGTACTTTGCATCCTACATGCTGTGTCTCTCTTTATTCCCAGCCATATGTATGATTCTATTAGGGCCCTCCTAGTTTAATTGTCTGGAAGATGTAATGATTTCATGAGACACCTCAATATTTTATTGATTCAACAATTATTTATTTATCACTCTTTCTTTGCCATCTTTAGGATATAAGAATACAGTTGTGAGCAAAAGCGGTTACCACATGTGAATTTTTCATAGCAAATCATCACACTGTATGAATTCATATTGCAAACCAATATAAATATTTTGAAAGAAGGGAACATAGATCTATAAGAACATGTAGTCCAGGAGTAGGGAGGAATGATTAAATAAGGTTCCTTTCCTGAAATTTGAAGGGTGATTTTTTAGATATATTTATTTTGGGTTGGGGTGTCGAGAAAGTGTTTTAGATAAAGGAACATTTACAAGCAAAGTTTCAGGTAAAGAGCAGATAAGGTCAGGTCTATCATCAGGGCTAATAGTTTGAGAACCTAAAGATTATACAAAGTGAAAATGCTCCTAGTCAAAATATGGTGGATGAGTGATACACAAGTGTGAGACTGCAAGGTTTGTTAGCCTAGTAGTTACATGTCCCCTAAAATGCTTTGTAGAACTTTAAGGGAGGGAATTACCAACTTCAACAGATTTCAATGTGAAGGTTATTGGCCTATTTCAGGGAAAAATATGGAATAGCATGTCTATCATGAAGACAAGAAGGGTCATCTTGTTTTAAAGCTTCAAAAGTTGACTTTAAAGTTTTAGCTGGCAAAAATGCATCTTGAAATTTTAAAACAAGTTTTCTAGTTTTGTCAGGCCTACCATTTTTCTTTGAAAAACTAATCTTTAATAGACTAATCCTAAGTAACATTAATTTTTTAAAATATTCTATTCCTTCATTCCTGAATGTAAAAGCTATTATCATCATAATAAGCTGATTTAAAAACTATGTTTGTGCTTAAGAATGGCCATGGATTCTTACCTTTTTTGAATGGCTACTATTCCAATGCCTTTGTTGTTTATGCAGTCCTTAATATGTTCTCTGTTTTTTAACCCATGTACTGTTGCATGCTTTAAATGCACTGTTTGAAACCGACCTTGAGGAAGGCAGACAAGACAATGGAAAAAGGCAGTAGATTGTCATATAGAGAGTTTAGGAAGAACTGGTTTATCTTCAAAGCCCTGAATATATGAATGCTTCCTAGCGTGAGGTTATAAATACAAAATCAATGGTATACAGAAGATTTGTGCCCTCAGTTTAGAAATTATTTTTATTGTCTGAAAAGCTGGAGTGTAAGTTTCCAGTCACAAAAGTAAGGAGCTTGGAAGTTGTTACTCTATCCTAACAACAAGTAAAAATCTGAACAATTTGAAAAAAAAATCAACCACTCTTTTTAGATTCATCAGAGAAGTGAGGTTACAGAGCAAACTTATGCCCTCCAAATTGGAAACACGGACTGGATATAGAGAATCACAACTTAACAGAGCAGAGCAGAATGCTCCACTGGAATTAGTTAAGAGTAGGAAAACCTGAGATGTAATTGACAAACTGCTGTAGGCTTGGTGTGGACAAGTCTGAGAGTAAAATAGTCCAGCGAGGACATTCATACTGGGGCCCTCACACTTTTGTGAGTTTTAACTCCAGAATCTCTACCAGGCTTTCAAAGTGAAGATCAGGGAAAGATCCCCTGCTGATTCTGGCAGTGGGAGCAGAAAAGTAACTAGTTTGAAATACTCCGGAGCATTCTGTTCTTATGAGCATGGGCTGCCTTCAGGAGAAGCTATTTTATCAGAGCCTTATATATTGGGGTTTTATCAGGTCCCAACTGATATAAGAGAAGAAAAATACCTGATTCCAGCTTCCTCTAGCTATTCTGTCCCAAGGAGACAGATTGTGGACACTTGTGAAGAGACACTTGTGAAGTCCACAGTCCAGGGGCACAAACTCACTAAAAGACAGAGATTATAGAATTATAATTATAGGACTGTTATTTGTCTTCCCCTAACATCTTACCACCACATGCTAAAGGCCTATTTACTATAATTTCTTTTACCTAGTACATTATATCTGTCTATCAAGAAAAGGTTACAAGGTGGCCGGGCATGGTGTCTTGCACCTGTAATCCCAGCACTTTGGGAGGCTGAGACGGGTGGATTGCTTGAGCTCAAGAGTTCGAGACCAACCTGGGCAACATGGAGAAACTCAAACTCTACAAAAAAATACAAAAAATTAGCCAGGCATGGTGGTGCTTACCTGTAATCCCAGATACAGGAGGCTGAGGTGGGAGGATCACCTGAGCCTAGGAGGCAGAGATTGCAGTGATCTGAGATTGAGCCACTGTATGAGAAAAAGTTACAACCAAAAGGCAGGAAAACACAGATTGAAGCAATTGAATAACATCAGATCCAGAGTCAAATGTGGCACGAATTTGGAATTATTAGACCAGGAATTTTTTAAAACTTTGAATAACATGCTAAGGGCCCTAAAGAACAACATTAAGACAATATGCAAGAACAGTTAGGTGATGTAAGCAGAGAGATTGAAATTCTAAGAAAGAATCAAAACATCATTGTAGAGCTCAAAAACACTGTATCAGACATGAAAATGCATTTGATTCACTCACTAGTAGACTGAGAATGGTTGAAGAATCTCTCAGCTTGAAGATGTGCCAATAGAAACTTCCAAAACTGAAAGGACTGAAAAACTGAAAGACTGAAAAAAAAATACAGAATACCCAAGAACTGTGGTACAATTACAAATGGTATAACTTCACATAATGGGAAGACAGAAGGAGAAGAAATCTTAGAAGCAATATGACTCAGAATGTCCTCAAATTAATGTCAGACACCAAGCCACAGATCCAGGAAGCACACGGAACACAGAACATTAAGCAGGATAAATGCGAAAAAAAAAATCCAATAAAAAACACTACACCTGAACATATCATATTAAGAAAAAAATCTTGAAAAATACCAGAAGGAGAAAAAATACCTCACCTCCAGGGAAGCAAAGATAAGAATTAGATCTTATTTGTCCTCAGAAATCTTGCAAGCAAGAAGAGAATGGGGTGAAATATTTAAACATTTGAGAGAAAACTCACACCAACCTAGAATTCACCCTTCAAAAGTGAAGATAAAAGGAAGATTTCTTAGACAAGTAAATATTGAGGGAATGTGTTATCATCAATAAACCTGCTTTTAAAAATAATGATTTTAAAAAGTTCTTCAGAGTGAAGGAAAATATATAGGTCAGAAACTCTGATCTACGTTTAAAAAAGGAAAACCATTAGAGAAGAAACAAATGAAGGCCAAATAAAATCTTTTATATTTCATATTCACTTACCTAACAGGTAACAATGTATCCAAAAATTATCAAAAAGGTATTTGATAAACAGAACTCATGTATTAGTGAAATGAATGACAAAAATAATACAAGGAATAGGAGGATGGAATTAAGAATACTTTATTATTATAAGGTACCTATACTACCTGTGAAAGGGTATAGTATTCTTTGAAAGTGGACTTGAATTAGTTGTAACTGTATACTACAAATTCTAGGACAACAACTGAAAGAGTTAAAAAAAGAGAGAGAGAAAATGGCATCATATAAAATGTTCAATGCCTTTTAATCAAAAATGGACAGACCCAGCAGGCAGAAAATAAGCAAGGACATAGTTGAACTCAAAGGTACCATTAATTAATCACTTGTAATTGATATCTATTGGCTACTTCATCCACAACAAGGAAATACACGTTTTTTTCAAGCTCATATGGAATATTCACCAAGATAGTCCAGATTCTTGGCCATAAAACACATCCTAACAAATTTATATAATGTCTGTTCTCAGACCAGAGTGAAATTAAGTTAGAAATACATAAAGGGAGATAAATGGAAAATGCCAATGGAGAATAAACAACACACGTCTAAATAACACCTCATTCCAAACAAATTTCAGGAGAAATTTTAAAATATTTTGAAATAAATGGCAATGAAAATACAACTTTTTAAAATGTTGGGATAGAGTGAAAACAATGATTACAGGGAAATATATAGCATTTCAAATATAGTTTAGAAAAGAAAAAAGATCTAAAATCAATAATTTAAGTTTTCACCTTAGAACGTTATAAAAAAGAAGAGCAATTAAATGCAAAGTAAGCAGAAGAAAAGAAACAAAAAATGGAGCAGAAATCAGTAAAACTGAAAACAGGAAATCAATATAGAAAAGCTATGAGACAAAAACGTAGTTTTTCAAAAGATGAAAAACATTGATAGCATATAGCCAGGCTAAGAAAAAAAAAGATAAAAATTACTTATGTCAGGAATGAAAGAGGTAACCTCACTACAGATACCTTAGACATCAAAAGGTTGATAAAGGAAGACTATTAATAACTCTGTGCCCACAAATTAGAAAGCCTAGATGAAATGGCCAAATTTCTTGAAAACCGAGATGAAATAGTGCAATTTGTCAAAGCTTACACGAGAAGAAGTAAGCCTATATATATGAAATTGCATCAGTAGTTAACAATGATCTAAAACGGAAAGCAATAGGCAAGGCAGGTTCACTGGTAAATTTTACCAAACATTTATTGAAGAATTATTACAAACATTCTGTCATCTCTTCCAGAAAATAAAAGTGAAGGAAATACTTTCTAACTCATTCTATGACAACAGCATTAACTTAATACCAAAACCAGGCAAAGACCATTACAAGAAAAACAAAGTAGACATAATTGTCTCTCATGAAGATAAATGCAAAAATCCTCAACAAATAGTAGCAAATTGAATACAGCAATTTATAAAAAGAATTATACAACAGAACCAAGTGGGATTTATTCCAGGTATGTGAGTGGGATTTATTCCAGGTAATAGATTTGAAAAATCTATTAATGTTACCCTCACATCAAAAGGCTAAAGCAGAAAAACCACTTGATTGTATCAATAGATATAGGAAGATCATTTAACAGAAATCCAACTCCATTTATGATAAAACACTCAATAAACTAAGAATAGTGGGAAACTTCTTCTACTTGGTAAAGAACATCTACAAAAAAAATTCTAAAGTTAACTTCATATTTAATAGTGAGAAACTAGAAGCTTTCCAGCTAAGATAAGAAACAAGGGAAGGATATTCCCACTCACTGCTCCTTTTCAACATAATGGGACTTGATGTCCTAGCTAATACAACAAGATGAGAAAGAAATAAAAGGTATACAAATTGGGAAGTAAGAAGTAAAACTATTTTTCTTTGCAGATGATGTGATTTCCTATGTAGAAAATCTGAAAGTATCAACAACAACAAAGTCCTGGAACTCATAAGTGTTTATACCAAGCTTCTCGGATACAAAAGTTAACCACTTTCCCATATATCAGCATTAAAGAAGTGCATTTTAATTTAAAAACACAGTACTGTTTACACTAGCACCCCAAAAATGAAATATTTAGGTTTATATCTAACAAAATATGTATAAAAGCTATATGAGGAAAACTATTAAACTGATTAAAGAAATCAAAGAAGTACCAAATGGAGAGATAGTCTGTTTTTACGAATAGGATGACTCAATATTGTCAAGATGTCATTTTTTTCAACTTGATTTATAGATCTGATGCAATCCCAGTCAAATCCCAACATGTTATTTTGTTGATATTAAAAAATTGATTTTAAAATGTATATGGAAAAGCAAAAGACCCAGAATAGCTAACACAATATTGAAAGAAAAAACAAGGTCACAGGACTGACGTTAACCAATTTGTGTTAAATATACAGTAACCAAACAGTGTGGTATTGAAGCAAGAATAGACAGATCGATCGAACAGAATAGAGAGCACAGAAATAGTTCCACATAAATATAGTCAACTGATCTTTTACTAAGGCGCAAAGACAATAGAATGGAGAAAAAAATAGCCTCTTCATCAAATGGTACTGCAACAACTGGATATCCATGGCCAAAATAAAATGAATTTAGACAAAGAACTTACAGCTTCACAAAGATTAAAAATGGAGCATAGGTCTGAACACAAAATACAAAACTATAAAAATCCTAGAAGATAACATAGGAGATCATTTATATATAATTGGGTATGGCTATCACTTTTTATGTACAACACCAAAGGCACAATTCATGAAATAAAGAATATATAATCTGGGTTTGATTAAAATTAAAAATGTCTGCTCCGGGCAAGACATTGTTAAGATAATGTGAATGTTAAGCCTCAAACTAGAAGAAAATATTTGAAAAAAAATAGCTGATAAAGGACATTTACCCAAAATACACAAAGAATGCTTAAAAGTCAACAGTAAAAGAATTAACAACCCAAAGAAAAGTGGGCAAAAGACCTAAACAGATTCCTCACCAAAGAAAATATACAGAAGACAAATATTACAAGAATATGAGAAGATGCTTCACATCATATGATACTAGTGAATTACAAATTAAAACAACAAGGAGTTACCACTACATACCTATTAGAATGGCCAAAATCCAGAATGGTGACAACACCAAATGCTGGTAAGGATGTGGAGTGACAGGACCTCTTATTCATTGCTGGTGGACATGAAAAGTGGTACAGCCACTTTGGAAAACAGTTTGGAAGTTTCTTATAAAATGAAACATATCTTACCATACAATCCAGCAGTTGTGCTCTTTGGTATTTACCTAGATGAGTTGAAAACCTTTGTACATACGCATACACACAAAACCTGAATGGTTTAAACATGGATGTTATAGCAGCTTTTTTCACAATTGCCAAAACTTGGAAGCACCCAAAATGTCCTTCAGTGTATGGATGGATAATTAAACTGTGGTCCATTCAGTCAATGGATTATTATTCATTTCTAAAAAGAAATGAGCTATTAAGTCACAAAAAAACATGGAGGAACATACTTCTAAGTGAAAGAAGCAAATTTGAAATAATACATTATGTGTGACCCCCAACTATAGGAGATTCTAGAGAAAGTAAAAAGTATGGAAAAAGTAAAAATATTGGTGGTTACCAATAGCTAAGGAAGAAATTTGGATGAATGAATAGGTGGTATCGGGGGAACCTGCCCCCAGTATTTCAATGTAGGCTCTTTACATTTTCCTTTAGTGTCAGCTGGCTGAGAAATAAAGAGAAAGAGTACAAAGAGAGGAATTTTACAGCTGGGCCTTCCAGGGGTGACATCACTTATAGGTAGGACCATGATGCCCACCTGAGCCACAAAACCAGCAGGTTTTTATTAAGGATTTCAAAAGGGTAGGAGTAGGTCACAAAGATCACATGCTTCAAAGGGCAAAAAGGAAAACAAAGATCACTGCTTCTGAGGAAACAGGGCCAGGGCAAAATCAGAAACTCCTGATAAGGGTCTATATTCAGCAGTGCACGTATTGTCTTGATAAATATCTTAACAGAAAACAGAGTTCAAGAGCAGATAACCCGTCTGAGTTCAAATTTACCAGGCTAGCGTTTCCCAGTCCTAGTAAGCCTGAGGGTACTGCAGGAGACCAGGGCTTATCTCAGTCCTCATCTCAACCGCATAAGACAGACACTCCCAGAGCAGCCATTTATAGACCTCCCCCCAGGAATACAATTCGTTTCCCAGGGTCATACTATTAATATTCCTTCCTAGGAAAAGAATTTAGCAATATCTTCCCTACTTGCACATCCATTTATACGCTCTCTGCAAGAAGAAAAAATATGGCTCTATTTTGCCCGACCCCACAGGCAGTCAGACCTTATGGTTGTCTTCCCTTGTTCCCTGAAAATCATTGTTATTCCGTTCTTTTTCAAGGTGCACTGATTTCATATTGTTCAAACAAGCTTGTTTTACAATCAATTTGTACAGTTAACCCAATCATCACAGTGATCCTGAGATGACGTACATCCTCAGCTTACAAAGATAACAGGATTAAGAGATTAAAGTAAGACAGGCGTAAGAAATTATAAGAGTATTGTTAGGGAAGTGATAAATGTCCATGAAATCTTCACAATTTATGTTCCTCTGCCGCAGCTCCAGCCAGTCCCTTCATTCGGGGTCCCTGACTTCCCACAACAGGTGGAGTATGGAAGATTTTTAGGGCCAAAAAAATACAGTCCATATGATATTATAATAGTGGATAAGTGTCATTATACATTGTCAACACCAACAGAAAATGTAACACTAAGAGTTAACATTAATGTAAAATTTGGACTTTGGGTGATAATGATGTGTTAAAGTGTGTTCATTGACCATAGTAATTGTACCAGTTCGGTGTTTTTGTTGTTTTGTTTTGTTTTGTTTTGTTTTGTTTTTGAGGCAGGGTCTCATTCTCTTGACCAGGCTGGAGTGCAGTGGTATCATCATAGCTCACTACAGCCTCAAACTTCTGGGCTTCAGTGAACCTCCCACCTTAGCCTCCCAAGTAGCTAGGACTACAGGTGCACACCACCACATCTAGCTAATTGTTAAATGTTTTGTAGAGCTAGAGTCTCATGATGTTGCCCAAGTTGGTCTTGAACTCTGGGCCTCAAGCAATCCTCCAGTCTTGGACTCCCAAAGTGTTTAGATGACTGGTATGAGCCAGTGATCTAACCTGGCCTGGTGGGGGATGTTGATAGTGGAGAAGATTGTGTGTGGGGGACAAGGGGTATGTGAGAACTCTCTGTACTTTCTATTCAATGTTATTGTGAAACTAACCTGAAAGTCCTCTAAAAAATAAACTCTTAAAAAAAAACCACACACACAATATAGCATGTTGTAGAGCTAGTCAATAATTTTATCTGTAGAATTTCATTATGTTGCAAAGTATTCATACCTAGAAATTGACAAAACATGCCATTTTGTGCTAGATGATTTAAAACAATTGCCAAAACACAACTCCAAGGGACCTGAAATCAGACGTTTGGAGATATTACTGAATGAAGAATAGTCTGAATAATATTAAACATTGATACAACATGAGTTTTTGGTATATCTAGTTCCATTGAAAAGATATGATAATTTTTTTGAATAACAGGATTCTAACTTAGAAGGATGTATAAAGGACCTGTGCAAGTATCTTATGATAATATGAATGGCTTATTATAAATGTATCTATACTGGAAATAAAAGAGCCATGATGCAAATACCATTGAGCAAATTTTTATCGTGTAAGTAAAAAGCATGAAAAACCAAAACCAATGTCCATCATCTCAGATCACCCTGAAGTTTAACCTTCAGGAATATGTGCACATTGATTGTATATGTAGTGTCTTCTTGGGATTGCCAATATCAGCTTATGAGGTGCCTTTCTGAGTCTAATTTGTTCATACATAGAACCAGTTTTACATAGAAACTTCACCAATTACCAATATTTGGAAGTGATTCAATGAATTAAGCCTTACCTGATTTTGACAAAATTTTGCATCTAAATTTTACATGTGCTTTGTTTAGGTGATTAAAGCCAAGTTATAAAATTCATCTAGACAAAATGTTGTATGCTTCTTTGCAACACCAAATATTATTTTTTGTCCAAAACCAGGGAAGCATTATAAAATATTGCAGCAATAAGAAGCGCCCTGGGGTTTTTTGAGCTGATTAGCTTTCACAGTTTACTTGATAATGTGGACTCCATTTAACAAAAAGCATAGCAAGAGTTACAACAAGGATGAAATGTGACTCCTTAGCCTATCTTATGTTAGATATGTTTCCCTGATTTTCCTTAATAATATTTCTACTTCAGTTAAATATGGACAAATATATTTCACAGTGATTTTTTTTTTCAAACTAGCAGCTTTGTTTTTTACAAAGACCCAGACTTTTAGATACAAAATCAACTATGGTTTAGAAGGAGGTGGTACCATAATTTTAATAACTCTTAAAACTATGATTAATTATAGTACAATTTGAAAACATTTTCTAACCACTAGGTAAAACAATTTTTATAAAGGGTTTTTAAAAAATATATAGTCGGTTTTTATTCTGTAAAGTGAAATTCCATTTTCAGAAGTTATATTCACTGAAATTACCTAACCTGTTCCAAATCCAGAAGATTTGCTGGCCAGAAATGCTACGGTGTTGTGACAAAGTGAATAAATAGGAAGCAGGTCTAGACAGAACACTAGGAAGAAGAGGAAATGAGGGCAGAGCTAGGGATCATTATCTTATATCAAGGTCTCTGGTTTTAAATTGAATTTCCACTCTAGTTGCCTTGTGAGTTCCCATGGAGTTCTAATCAGTCAAGGAATAAAAGGCTACTTGAATAGCCAAAAATAACATACTGTTCATAAAATTTTCAAAGAATATGACACCCCACTTCTACATGCCAGAAGAGTAAGTATAAAGATTATGTGGATTAGTTTTTGGATTCCCTTGAAAAATAGATAAACAAACAAAACAACTCGAGGACACCTAGCTAAAGGAATTATAGAAGCAAAGTAAGTATGCCAAGGAAAAAAAAATTTAGATCATGTCACTTGTATAGCACAAAACGTATATTGTTTTTGACAGGACAAAATCTAACCTCCTTAGCTCACCTAAATTCATTTTCAATAAAGCCAGAAATACAATTAATTAAATAGCTTTCTTATTTGACATTAATGATTTCTGGCTTCCTACTACCCATGTAACATGTTTGAATCCTCCTTGTATACAATAACCTTTCCCTAATCTGAACTTCTAATCATACTTCATCTCTGACTATGCATGGATTCTTAATCCTCCTATCTTAATATGATGAGTCTTTATGCATTTGGCTTACTTTTCTTTTAGAGTTTAAGCATATTGAAAATAAGCTTCATTATTGTAGTATTACCCAAATTTTCCTGATTTTCATGAGATAGTCAAAAATGAATTCATTCATTCATTTGTGAACAAAAGAGTAAGTCAACTTAAAGCTCTATTGGAGACTCTTAATTTAAGAAGTTAACTGTAGGTTTGGAATGAATGTTAAGAGGCCCTTCCACATTAGTAAATTTGCTTATCGTTTTGCAAATCTTACTTCTGTGTGACTTCAAATTTTTGGTATAATGGAAATACAGCACAAGCAGCAGTCATTCTCGTGCTACAGATTGCTACAAGCTGTAAAGAAGTCTACCTTTAAAAAGTGAACCCAAATCATGGGAAATAAGTAGTCAGCAATCTTGGTGTGAGTATTTGTTACAAGTTGTTTGTTGTCAAAGTAGTGTTTTAATAGCCAACTGACAACAGAAGAAAATATTCTTGTAGCTTAGGATAGCTTTGGAAAGAACTAACAACTAAAGAGAAAGAGGCTGACATTGAAAGGATTTCAATGATTTCTGTTAGGCATAGATAATGAGATCAACAGGTTCACAACTGAGGGGAAAAAGTAAGGAAACGGTTTCTCACTATTATTTTTTATCAAGTTGTTTTTAGGAAATCACAATATGCATAGCATAAAGAAACATCAATGTAAAGAGCGTACATCCATTTTTATTAAAATGAATCAAGTAGTACATGCATCAAACCAAAATAAATACCATTTTAAAAATTATCAATTGGGGAAGTTATGCTTTTATCTTTGTTTTTAATTGCAAAAAAAGCAAATGATTCAGAACTATATATTTTTTAAAAGTAATATCCTCTCATTCTTCTTTTTTTTTTTTTTAACAGAAATGCTCTTTATACTCCAGATATTGTTCTTCAATTTGCTGTGTTCATTCAACAATATTGGCAGCTTTATAGTATTTTCTTGTATGAAAGTGCCATAGTCTACTTAACTGCCCACTTATTGACAGGCATGTAAGCTATTTTCCAGAAATCTCTATTTACAAGTCATTGAAAATGTGTATCTTTCCATCACTTCATTGTTTGTCTAACATCTATTTACTACCCATTTATCAAGGCATTTATGTACTTCTTTAAGATACATTCTCTGAAGTGAAATTGTGTGGAACAACCTTTTTAAAAGTTAATAGTTATTGACAAATTGTCCTATAAAAAGACTGTATAAATATATATTTATGCCAAGAATGCATATGAGTACCTATTTTCCTGCCTCTTTGACCAAACTGGATATTATCATTTTTAAAATTCTGCCAATATTTATATATCAATTAAAAGCTTCATTTGACATTTAATGAAGTTAAACACTTTATATGTTTATCACTTAATGAAGCAAAATTGGAATGAATATACTAAGTTTTTGTGAGGATTCAATGCCATCTTTTAAATAGGGTTTGGCCTGAGCTAAGCCTGCCAGTTATGAAAAACTTTGTTCACTGTCAAAACAATCATGACAAATTGAAATGTTTTCTTGTTCTGTACTATAACAGGAGTGCTTGTTTGTTTGTTTGTTTGTTTGTTTGTATTAGAGATTGGGGCAGGTAAAATGTCCTGACAGCTCAATGGGTATACAACTCACCTACAGTAAATTCAATAAGCTGCATTAAAAAAAAAAAAAAACAGTCAGGATAATGGAAACACATTTAAAAGAAACTGTGTCCTCTAATTTAGTGAGAAATTATGCCTTTAAATTGTTTTTGACCATGACACACATACTTAAGTCTCTAACAGAGAAGAATCCAGCTCATAAGTGACACATGTGAACATGGGCTACACTGCCCTTCCACCTTTCATTACTAGAGCCCCCACACAATTAATTCAGTGAAAAGATAATTAACAGCATGGCCTTTACAGCTGGACTGCCTCAGTCAAAATTAAAGTTCTGCCCTTACTAGCTGTGTGATTGTGGGTAAGTTATTTAACTTCTTGTGCCTTGGATTCCTAATATGAAAAATTGGGATAATAGCATTATCTACCTCATAGGTGTAGGGTTGCTGTGAGGATAGGAGGAGTTGGTATATGTAAGGATTTTTGAGGTTGTAAGTAAGCATTACCTGATTGCTATAGGTATTATTTTCATCAGGAAATCCTTTGGGAGACAGGAGATGTCGTGTGAGCTACAGCAGTGAGTATAGTTTCTGAAATTGTTAATACAGATGTAGAAAGGAAATAATATGGTAAAAGAATATCACATATTCAAAAATTTAGCCATAGTTTGACTTATGAACCAGGAATTAAAAAGTTTCTTTCTCATCCTTCTTCATAAATCATTTGGAAACTAGCAGATAGAATATATATTTTATTATTAACATTTGTCTACTATATTTTAATATATTAGATTAATAGAAAATTGAACTGGGATCATAATTTCTACTTGCAATCTTTATTTGAAAATAAAAATGTGTCCATAATAAAACAACTGTCTCACAAATGATTTTTTTTTTTTGAAAACCATGTATTCAATTGAAAATGGCCTTACATAAGAGTTTTTAACTGGACCGCAGAAGTTATAGCTGGAAGCAATAATGAGCTTATTTTTTCACTAACTACCAGCTGATATCATGCTCAAAATATCAGTAGGGACATGGATTTTGATGGGGTCAGTGTATAATACTTGTTGGTAAGAATAAATTGGATAAGCACCACCTTCTAATAGCATATGTATATACTTTGTGTATGACTTCCAGTAAGTGCTATCACCAACAACATGGGAAAGCAATTTATCAAAGCATTTACTCAGGGATTATAAAAAACCTATAAAAAGTATAATGAATAAATGTATAAAGAAGACACAAATCCTACCTACCATCCCCCCAACATTTTCAAGCCAGTAATTATTTTTCAGGTTCTAAAAGGGCTATTGATATTAGATTGCCCTGACATTTCAGAGCTGTACTTTGAATGAGAACTTATTTAACTCCAAGACAGAGTTCAGATTAAGATTCATAAGAAGCCTCTTCTCAAAATCTGGGGTTAACACTTGAATGGGACTAAGCCTTGCCAGGCTGACTTAAGGATGTCTTCCTTTGTACTTCTGTTTCACCTTGTGAATATCTCTGGTAGAATAATTATTATTTTACATTTTTATGGTCTATTGATGTATCTGGATCACCACATAATGGCCTCTTAAAATCCCTGCATCTCAAATACCTCGTAAAGTGTATGATGGATGAGAGCAGTGCAATAAATGTTTAATGATTAAATCACTGAATGAATGAAGTATCAGTTACAGAGGTAAGAGTAAATGAGAGATGGTACCAAATTTTAGGTGTCTGAAAATATTGGCTTTAAACATTATATATTCTTGATTTCTATCATTTCGTATGTTTAAAATGTCTCAATATGTTTAAAAATGGAAGTGCACCAACAAAAATCACATGTAAAATACAACCTCAACACAACGTTGACGCTTGGATTATGTGGCTATGACTAAAGCACAAAATTGGAGAAAAGTGCCCGGGAGGTTAGTAGAGGAAAACTAAAATGCTGAATTATCAACCTAAAATGACAAGGTGATAACTGTATGCTCATTTAAAAAAATGACAATTTTTTTCATCATAGATCTAGGAATTCTCGTCATCAAAAAATAATTATTAAATACCTTAATATAATAAACTATATTTATTACTCTCTGAAGCAAGTAGTCTTTTCCTCTACAATGTTGTAGAAAAGATACAACATGTTCATATTTTGATTTTAAAAGTATAAGGCAATATATATTCTGAATATGTGATATTGACACCCACTGTTCTATGAATTCAGAGGAGAAAGAAATCACTTGTGACTAAGATGGAAACTCCAATACCTTCGTTATTATTAGCACCAGTGCCACCCAACATGAGGCAATTTTCTTGCATTTAGTGTTAGAGAAGGTTTCACTGAGTAGGTAAGATTTGATGTAGTCCTTGTATGGAGAGATCATATTTCAGGATTATGTTTTGAATGGCATGAATGTATGGAGGCAGGAAAATAGGAAAACCTGTATTTGACAACATATAGGTTTGGATAGAAAGGAAAGGTCTTTCAAGAGGTCCTAAGTATAAACATGGAAATATGAAAGAAATTGTCACTTTATTTTTATTTTTGTTTTTATTTTTTGAGACGGAGTTTTGATCTTTTGCCCAGGCTTAAGTGAACTGGCACGATCTTGGCTCATTGCAACCTCCGACCCTTGGGTTCAAGCGACTCTCCTGCCTCAGCCTCCTGAATGGCTGGGATTACAGGTGCACACCACCACACTTGGCTAATATTTGTATTTTTAGTAGAGACGGGGTTTCACCATGCTGGCCAAGCTGGTCTCAAGCTCGTGACCTCAGGTGATCCGCCGACCTCAACCTCCTAAAGTGCTAGGATTACAGGTGTGAGCCACCATGCCCGGCCGAAATTGCCACTTTGTAAAGTTTGGGATTATCTTAAAGGCAAGAGAGTACCTAGGAATTGATATGAGAATATCATAGTGCAAATACCAATTACCATAAATAATTATCCATTTTATTTTCTTTGCAACCTCATTCCATCCTAGAATCAAACCAGTGACAGAGTGATTCAGAACACAAGCATTGGAGATAATGAGGGATGAGATTAGATTTCATCTCCAGAGCTTACTAGCTGTCTCTGCTTTGAGGATTCCTCACCCATCCTAGCTTGTTTACTAATTGTTATATGGAGTTAATAACTTCATTATATGTTTTCTTCAGAAATTGCTATATTTATGTAGTTTTTAGCTATGCTTTGGCATATAGTAGGAATTAATTCAATTGTAGCTATTGTTGCTAGTAGCCAGATGCATTCCTATTAGTACACAAGCTTTTAAAATCTTTTTGCTAAAAGTCTACATGGAGATATGAATTATTTTAATAAAATAATATGCACATACCTTATATAAATGTTAAATACAAGTTATCCAAGATTCTCAAGATCACTACTATGATGGATATTCTTTTAAATTTTTTAATATGTAGATGTACTGCTTTTTTTAAGAGGCAATTTTTTTTTCTCAGTTTCTTAAGGATGCAATAGAGAAGTTGAACAAAACATTCTACCAGTGATTATGATATAAGGTTTTGCTTGCACATGGAAGATAAGAGGCTACAAGGAGGAAAAAAGTCAATTTTTGATCCAATACAGTAAGGGTCAGTGATGCCCCCAAGTGCATTCACTGTGTTGTGGGAAAAATGAAAAAGTCTACATTCTGTGAATAGTTTTGTTTCAACCAGTCAACTTTACCCAAGGGTGAGCGAGCAGGAAAATAAAGTTTGTGAAATTGGTACAGTAGGTTTATATGTGATTTGAGGATGTTAAGAATTTGAGGATAAATTGACATCATACAGTTTAAACTTTGGCAAAATGGCATGATTCCATTAAGACTGTAAACCAATCTCTTTTGAGAACTATTGAGATATATCCCCATCAGAGAATAATTCTTTTGGTTTAAAGCAGTGATTTTCAAACTGTCTTAACCAAAACCTTATGGTTGCCCATTGATGCTGCTGGGCTGACATTGCATGTGTTAAAGAGTGTAGCAGATGTTGAGCTGGAATTGTACTGGGTTTTCTATCAACCCCTACCCACATTCTCCATCTCCATCTACAACACCATCTACCATCAACCTTGCTTTACCTGTTCTATATACTGAAATTTCTCTTCAACTTTTATTTATAATAATGGTCCACTTAATAACCATGGGATGGCAGTGTGTTTGTGTAAGTCTCTGTACATATGCAAATGGAATTAAGCTATTTTGGTCTATTAATCTTAAGAGTGAATTGTTAGAATGAGAAGGATTGTGAGGGATCTGAAAGATTCATTGTCAGGAGGAGAGGGGAAGAAACAATAGATTAAAGGACTGGGGAATTCATCTGATTAAGTGGGAATAGAAGACTATAGAAAGAGGAGAATAAGTAAAAGATAGAAATTCCAAAGACAAATCATGTGTTTTATTGTTTTGATAAGAGTCTCCCCTAGAAACAACTTTGAAAACTATTCTAGAAACTATTCATGAATGGAAAGTAGAGTTTTCTAGAAAATGACTACAACAAATTTTCCTACTAAGAAATGAAGATGGCCTTACCCAGAGAAATGGAAGTAGGTAACTGATAGTCATAAATGATACTATCTTATCTTATATACATTGTATTAGTTTTCTTTTACTACAGAAGAAATTGCCACAAGTTTAGCAGCTGGAAACAATATGCATTTTTATCTCACAATTTTTATGGGTCAGGAATCTGGGTACATCTTAGCTGTGTCTTTTGCTCATAGGTCACCCAAGGCTGTAATCAGAGTGTGGGCTGGGCTATGTCTTTTTTTGTTTGTTTGTTTTTGTTTCATTTCCAACTTTTATTTTAACTTCAGGGGTACATGTGCAGATGTACAAGTTTGTTACATAGGTAATGTGTGCCATGGTGGTTTGCTGTGCAGATCATCTCATCACCTAGGTATTAAGCCCAGCATCCATTAGCTATTCTTCCTAATGCTCTCCGTCCTCCCACCCCGCACCCTCCGACAGGTTGTATTGTGTGTTGTTCCCTCTCATGTGTCCATGTGTTCTCATCATTCAGCTCCCACTTATAAGTGAGAACATGCGGTGTTTGGTTTTCTGTTTCTGCATTGGTTTGCTGAGGATAATGGCTTCCAATTCCATCTATGGATTCCTACAAAGGATGTGATCTCATTCATTTTCATGGCTGCATAGTATTTCATGGTATATATGTACCACATTTTTTTATCCAGTCTATCATTGATGGTCATTTAGGTTGACTTTATGTCTTTGCTGTTGTGAATATGCAGTGTATGCAGTGTATGTAGTGAACATACACATGCATGTATCTTTATAATAGAATGATTTATATTACCTTGGGTATATACCCAGTAATGGGATTGCTGGGTCAGATGACATTTCTACCTCTAGGTCTTTGAAGAATTGCCACACTGTCTTCCACAAGAGTTAAACTAATTTACACCCCACTAACAGTGTAAAAGTGTTCCTTTTTCTCCACAACCTTACCAGCATCTGTTGTTTTTTAACTTTTTGATAATAGCCATTCTGACTGGTGTGAGATGGTATCTCATTGTGGTTTTGATTTGCATTTCTCTAATGATTAATGATGTTGAGTTTTTTTTTTCATGTTTGTTAGCAGCATGTATATCTTCTTTTGAGAACTGTCTGTTCATGTCCTTTGCCCACTTGTTAATGTGGTTGTTTGTTTTTTACCTGGAGGCTAAAATGGGGAAGATCCACTTCCAAGATTAGTCGGCTATTTGTCAGATTCATTATTTTGCAGTTGTGGGACAGAAGGTCCTGATTTCTTGTTGGCTGTAGCTAGGGGTGGTCATAAGTTTCTGTTGATTCTCCTCAGCTCCTAACAGCTGCCCACATTTCCTAAACACTTTACCTGGAGTTCTTTGACATGTGAACTTCCCTAATAGGGCCACTTACTTCATCTGTATGAAAAGGACTAGAGCAGACTAGAGCAACTGTATTACAAGACAGTCTTACAGAATCATGGAAGTGATGACATCCTGTCGTCTTTACCATATTCTATCAGTTAGATATAAATCACATACTCACTCAGGATCAAGGGAAACGGATTTTGCAAGATCATGAACAGCAGCAGATGAGGATCGGGGGGCTGCCATGCAGTACATCCCCTCAACACGTTAATAAATCAAAATTAGCTAAGGGGAAAAAGACAGACAGATGACATATTATAGGACGTTATGTGCACAGATATCTGTATAGTAATAATGAAACTACAAAATGGAATCTGAAATATGGCTTTAGTGAGTACCTGTGTTAGTACCATGAAAGTGACTCACAGTAGAGATTCCTTTTTATTCAGCTTGCTTAGTAGTTTACACATAGGTTATTATATCTGCCTGCCTGCGCTTAGTTGTGTTGACAATAAATTAATGTAATAATTAGTTCTTGTTGTTTAAACGAGTTTATTTTTAAATGAGGAACACAGCTTTTAGGCTTTTGAATGGCAGATACACCTGCATTCTTCCTCGGGCAATTTCCCTTAGGAGGAACCATGTCACCTGAAGTAGTGACATTCCTCCATTTAAAGGAGTGTGGTTACAGATAACATTGCCAGCATGAGGTTTTAGGTTTAGAAAAAGCCTGAGGCAAGTAGATTATGTTTAGTCACTGAAAAAACACAGACACAGTTTGTGCCCAAGCAAGCTAATTTATTCCAAACTTGTGAAGCTTTGTTTTGATAACTTCTGAGCTTGTTCTTGGCTCAGTGAGCCTTTGAGAAGGCTTTAAGGCTTTCCTTCTAAGTGTTCTCTTTTGTCATGACAAATGCTATTTAAGGGACTAATGAACTGAGATCATAAAGAGAATCCTTAAAGGAGTTTAATGGGGTCATTGTGATATACCCTGCCAGAGGTAATGTATTTCTGCCTTACAGTGTTTACTGTAGCCTGCAGCAACTCTGTATGTGAAGTTTCCATTTGTATCATATGTGTAAATAGGGGAGTGCGCATACAAGTGTTTGAAGGGATGAGATTTTGGTGTGAAATTTTTAGAGCTTTTTCAAAGTTAACTAAACTTTTTGGAAGGTTTCAAACTGTTTACTTTTTTTCTCTGTTTTATGCAGCTGACACATTTCTCCTCTTTCCCATTCACAGAGTCTTTGCTCATAACCTGGAAGCTTTTCAATTGTGATTTGGGTATAATCGTTATATCCTATTATAATGAAACTATGTTACTGTATAGCCGTGTTTCAGGAAATAAGAAAGAAAATAAAATTGGCATCAAAATATTGAATTGTTGTACATTTCCATTAAAACAGCTGAATAAAAATAAACAAAAAAAAATCACCATAATTGTCAGGACTTTTTCATACTGTTATTGAGCTTGAGCATGCATTGATTTTTTTAAGTATCCATGTGCATAGAGCTTGCAGAGATTAATATGATGGAGCAAGCACACTGTGGTGTAAGACAGATCTGAGAGAGAAAGAGGACAAATGACCTACATATGTTGACTCAAATGAGTAGTGAGGACTGCTGACTCTTATGACCAATAGTCTCTCTCTCTCTTTCTTCAGAAGACATATTATAGGACAGCTTCTGGCATAGTATTTATGGTAAGCCTCTGTTTCTCATAATTTCTGCCTTTGACATTTTAAGAATGACCAAGGAATTTCACTTGGCATGACTGTTTAGTTGAAACTTAAATATAACACTGAAAATTAACATGAAGTCAATCTCAGCTATACTGAAAATGAAATCCTACACTTAGGCTTAAATCATTAGCTTAAAGTGAAGCTATAAATGGGATAACTATATTCAAGAATATCAAGAATGCCTCCCTCTCTACTGCAATATCATTCATATTTCTTACCTATGTAAATGCTGTGCTCATACATAAATAGGAGATGACGTGTTGTCTGGGTATGAATAAATTAGTGTTTTCTATTCTGTGTAATTTACTGACTTCCACACATAGTTTGTTTCTGGGTTATAATGTTTATTTTAATCAAATTTTATTTGTCCAGGTGCATTTTTACCATCTCCTCTGTCTGAATATGGTCAATGATGTAACTGTCTTGAAAAGTACCGTAAAAGTAGTATAACCACTCATCCCCTTTAAGTTAAATACCTACTACAGGTGTGACACAGAATTTGAAATGAAAGATCTTTTAAAGGCGTCTTTTTCTTATATTCAACATAAATTCCACCGTTTCAAAATTGGATCTTCAGTGGGCCATGGGCGTTTAAATACTCCTATCACCAGAAATTATTACAATCTATTCTGGTGTAATTTAAGCCAAGGAAACAAGAGCTGAAATGGATATTCCAATAAGCTCAATTTGTCAGACAAAGGTGTCCGATGGATGTAAACCTGCATTTAGAGGCTTGTTACTGTCTCTAGAAAGTGGTAAAATATAGGACTAGGTGTAGAAATTGACTATTCATTACCAAAAACTAAATAAAATAAATAAAAGCATAGTCCAGGATTAATGCAGGTGTTCTGCTTGCCATTTATATATCTACGTAGTTTGAAAACAGTTCCAAGATTGTACTCTATGAAATGAAATCTTACTTGAGGGCCTTTGAATATTGATACAAATTTTCCACCTGGTGCTTCAGTCAAACATTTACTCTGTTAGTGTTCTGGCTAATTTTGAGCTAGTAAAAGCCATAAAAATTAGTTTTCTATTTTAACAAACTCTTTTGCACTATAGTAACTTTAAAATGTCACTTTAATCAATAATATGTACAGTACCAGAGCCTTTGGGCATATGAAATATCAGTTGTTTAATTTTGAAATATGAATATTGCCCTTACAAAATCATCTGGTCAAGCATTTGCATTATATTACACTTAGCACAAAGACTTACATTGTACGTAGAATGTCTTCATCAGTTATATAAAGAAGATGTAAGGCTTGAGGATATTTATGTGTGATATCCAATTACAAGACCTTATGGCCAGGTTAATTTCCCCAATTTCTGCCCCATATCTGGGCAGAAAGAAAGAAAATAAAGCTGTTTTAAAACTATCCAATGTATACTGCTAGAATGTTTGGTTATTGATTCTCTCTCTCACTTGTCCACACACACACACACACACACACACACACATCATATATGTTATATATAAAAGAAATCATGCACCCACACACTACTCGTCTTCATATAGTCTGGACTGTAGTTATGACTTTTAGTACAAACCTCACCAATAATGGTGCAAGTGAGTAGTCATAATAGAATTTGAGGGATGGTGAGGAAATACGTATGTCTAGACTCACATACCTGCACACACACAAGATATACAAATAAATATGTGGATGAATTTTTTCCATATCTGTAGATTATTTTTAGGATCTCTGACTTTGAATATATGACAAGTAGAAAATGACAATTTTACTGTAAGGAGTTTTAGGGAGAACTTCAAAGATAAAGGAGTTATTCTCCACTCCAAAATGACTAAAACAAAAATAATGACTGGCCCATGTGAAGATCAATTATGAGAGAGACATGACATCATATGATTCCAAAGATATCTGAGTATAATAGATTCAAATAAAAGCCTCAAATGGAAAATCAGAAACACATCTTTTTCTATGAGTAATTGTACGAAATGTTATTATTATAAAAGCAGAAATTTAATGACAACTAAAGATCACCTTGCAAAGTACATCTATTTTTTGTTACAGTGTAAACTAATAAATACAGCTGTCAACTACTGTTTACTAAGCACTGTGCTTTGACTATAAATCTCTAATTCTTCAGGTGGAAGAGGTCAGAGTAGGAAAAAAAGAGATGGTAGAAAGATGGTGCTCCTCTATTCACAATAGCAAAGACATGTAATAAACCTAAATGCTCATCAATGGCAGATTGGATAAACAAAATGTGGTACAAATACAGCATGGAATACTATGCAATCATAAAAAAGAATGAGAACATTTTCTTTGCAGCAACATGGACAGGGCTAGAAGCCATTATCCTAAGCAAACTAATACAGGAACAGGAAACCAGATACCACATGTTCTCAGTTATAAGTGGAAGCTAAACAAGAATACATGGACACAAAGAGGGGAACGACAGACACTGGGGCCTACTTGAGGGTGGAGGTTGAGAGGAGGAAGAGGATCAAAAAATCACCTATCACGTGTTATGCATATTCCCTGGGTGACGAAATAATCTGTACATCAAACCCACGCAACATGCAATTTACCTGTATAACAAACGTGCACATGTACCTCTGAACCTAAAATAAAGGGTTAAAAAAGAAAAAAATGTCCAGGTGCAGTGTCTCATGCCTTTAATCCCAGCACTTTGGGAGGCTGAGGTGGACAGATCACTTGAGGTCAGAAGTTAAAGACCAGCCTGGCCAAGATGGTGAAACCCTGTCTCTACTAAAAATACAAAATTTAGCCTGGTATGGTGGTGTGTGCTTGTGGTCCCAGCTACTTGGGAGGCTGAGGCAGGAGAATCACTTGAACCTGGGAGGTGGAGGTTGCAGAGAATCACTTGAACCTGGGAGGCAGAGGTTGCAGTGAGCTCAGATCAGCAGCCTGGGTGACAGTGACAGAGTAGACTCCATCTAAAAAAAGAAAAAAAAAAAAAAGGCTGGGCGCGGTGGCTCACGCCTGTAATCCCAGCACTTTGGGAGGCCGAGGCAGGCAGATCACGAGGTCAGGAGATCGTGACCATCCTGGCTAACACGGTGAAACCCCCATCTCTACTAAAAAACACAAAAAATTAGCCGGGCGTGGTGGCGGGCGCCTGTAGTCCCAGCTACTCTGGAGGCTGAGGCAGGAGAATGGCGTGAACCTGGGAGGCGGAGCTTGCAGTGAGCCGAGATTTCACCACTGCACTCCAGCCTGGGCGACAGAGAAAGACTCCATCTCAAAAAAAAAAAAAAAAAAAAAAAAAAAAAAGATAAACATTTTAAAACCTGGTCTAAACTGAAAATATTTTTAATTTATTGATGCATACAATGGAAATAAAATTACTGGGTACAAAATGTGTTTAAAAATGTAAACTTTTACATTTTTTGCAAAAAATATTGCTTTTGAAATTTTTGAATTTTTGAATTTCACAAAAAAAGTTTTGATTTATAAAAGCAGGAAACCAAAAGCTTAATAAATCCTCATATACTTAAAGAGTAAGAGTACTTAATAACAAGTCTGTTATTTGACTCCATGTGAGACATGGCTACAATGCGGGAAAGAGAGAAAAGGAAATACATTAATATCTAATGAGCATCTACTATGTGCTAGGCACACAGTTTCTCCTATGCTGTCTCTACAAAACTAAGGAAGAGCTAGACATGCTTGCCACATAGCAGCTGCTGAATGAGTGAATGACAAACTTTCATGATAAAGCTTGATTGCATTTCATGTTAGATTTTTTATCATGGTTGTATAAATAAAATATAAGCAAACATTTCATTCTGAAAACAAATATTTAATCCTGGCTCTAAGATGGGCATCTAGGAGAGAACCATATTAAGCTATGGTTTTGATTAACAGGTAAATATTGTATACAAAATAATTGCTATGAAATAAGATAAATGTAATAATAGAGGCATGTATCTAATTGCTCGGTGGCATAAACAGTCCTATTGCTTGGGGTAGGAAAACTTAGAAGGCTTGATTTAAGAGTGATATTTGTGCCAAATTGTGAAAAATACTATGATCATCCCATGAAAGAAACACAGTGCAAAACCAGACAGGTTTTGTCAAAGATGTACCCATGTAGATATTGGTATGGAGTTCACAGGAAAATGATGGTACAAAACTTAACTAAAAAATGTGTTCGGCTCATCTATCTTGCTTAGTGGTGATTGTCTGGAACCAAGAGAAAGGTTATATGACTTGTGAAATTTGTTTCAATGTTTAGAATCAATAATAGCAATACAATAGGGTATGGGCACATTGATTTAAAATGAAGCACAAGTACTGGGCAAAGATTTGGGTACATTAAGAAAACATATAAATACAAGCAAAAAATACCAAAAATAGGCTATAGTATGTTTAGCTGTGAGGTTCTTTCTATTATTATCTCAGGACAGGGAAAGTGGGAATACTTAAAATCATTACTTAAGGACAGGGAAAGTGGGAATACTTACCATCAGAGAATATGGGTTTTCTTATCCTTCATTCAAAGACATCTCATTGTGGCTTTGGTTAAAATTTGAATTTCTTTTCAATTCCTGTGTTTTAAAAATAATAAAAAAAGTATCTGCCATAGAGAGAACCAACTTTCTATAATTATGTTTTAATATGAAATTCTTCCTATTATTTAACTCTGCATAAATTCCTTTTATTAAATATATTCAAAATAATCTAAAAGCATATCAATATCCATAATTAATGTAGTTCACTAACCCCTTGCAAATTATTTTAAATATATGACAATACATTTAGAATGACCAAAATTGCCATAATTTTACATCAATTTCAAATCATATTGCTGCAAAAACAATATATAGACTTGTGACTACAGAATTACATCTATAATCGTGAAATTGTCTTATAAAAGTACCTGGCAAAATGAAAAATGATATAAAAAAGTCTTAGGAAAGTAAATTAAAACCTCCTCAAGATTCCTAAGCAATATCCTGTGTTAATAAAAACCATGTAGAAGGTCTAAAAGATAACCTGTACAAAAATGAATCAAGACTTTGGTTATGACCCCTTCATTAACAGATTATTTTGCAAGAAGTGAAATTTAAGGCAAATATTTGACAAGGCCACAGATATGCAAGTCAGGCACAGTCCAGTGAATGCGGAACAGGTTCAGGAAAGACCACTGTGTTAATAGTTAGGTTCCATGAGCTTTTTTCCATCTGCCAAATCCTTTTCAGGGCTTCAGTAATGCTCCAGTGTTCAAGTGACTGAACAGTGTCATTGAAAGAGACTGATATAAGTTTACAGATCCATTTTTTATAAAGGGCAGCATATAGGATCAAGAATCAGCAATTCCAGGAAAGCACTGAATAGAAATCTCACCGCTATGCCCAAGCATTGGCAACTCTAAGGGTGAAACAAATCAGAAAACACTTACTATGTAGGATCTGGAAGCCAAAGTTCTGCTGCCATTTCAGCTTGCTGTCAGTAAGTCACTCTACCTCTCTGAATCTCTGCTTCTTGATGTGTTCAAATATGATTTGAGAATATTTTATGGGTCCATTTAGACTAAAATTATTTTATAGTTGGTTGATTGAATCATAAGCTTTCACTTAAGAGAGCCTATTTCTCTCTAGTCTGTATTCTACTTCCTATTCTCTGCTGTAGATTTTTCTTTCAAAATTCTCCAAACAAGTACTTAGTACTCAGTAATAGTACTTAGGCTGAACTATTTTAGGATTATAGGTAAAGGAACACAGTTTGGGAAAATACTCTGAATATAATATGGTACATCTGCAGAGATATGAGACTAGTCCAGGAATTGATTTAGCCAGTGTAGCTTTAACCCTCTAAGTGTGGGTCATCAGTTCCAGGAGCCAGCTGTCCCTTTTCTTCTTGGAGACATTTCACCCATTCCCATATCCCTTTTTCCTTACTACTTCTTTTTTGTGTGTTTGTTTGTTTCATTTTCCACATCCCTGCTTGTCTGTTTGCATTCTATAAAAGATCTAAAGCCACAGTAGGAGCAGCTTGATAAGAAACTTTGCACTGCCAGTTGTAATGGCTTCTATGAGGACACCACAGTATGGGGTTGGATTTTTGCTATCATTGCCCCTTCTCAGAGGAAGAAGTTAAAAAGAGCTGCCCTTTAGAACCTTCTGGTTACCAACCGCCAATTAACTTTTTCAGGAAAAGACTTTCTAGTGCATCTGGCATAGCAGGGTGTGTGATACATGAATTTTTCCAGGCTACTAACTGGAACTAAGTTAGTCCAGGGTACCAACTGGAACTAAGTTGCATGCAGTTAGTTTCCAGGGAACTAACTGCATGCAAGAGTGAATTTAGACCCTTATCCAACACTATATACAAAAATCAACTTAAATTGCATTAAAGACTTTCATATAAGACGTGAAACTTCAAAACTACTTGAAGAAGACATGGAAAAGTTCCATGACACTAATCTGGGCAATGATTTTTAAGATATAATCCCTAAAGTATAAGTAACAAGAGGGAAAATAAACTAATGGTGTTATATAAAACTGAAAACCTTCCGCACAGCCAAGGAAACAATGAACAGAGTAATATTTACAAGCCACATATCTGACAAGGGTTTAATGTCAAAAATGCATAAAGAATTCACAAAACTCAATAGCAGGACAACAAATAACCTGATTTAAAAATGGGCAAAGGATCTGAACAGACATTTCTCAAAATAAGGCATATAAATAGTGAACAGTTATAGAAAAAATGCTCGCAATCACTAATTATCAAATAAAAGCAAGTTAAAGCCACAATGAGCTAACACCTCACACCTGTTAAAATAAAAAGATAACACCTGATAAAAAAAGATGACAGATAACAAGTGTTGAAGAGGTTGTGGAGAAACGTAATCCCTGTATACTGTTGTTGGAAATATAAATTAGCACAGCCATTATGGAATACAGTATGATGGTTTATGAAAAAATTAAAAATAGAATTACCATATGATGCAGCTATCCTACTACTGGGTATATATCCCAAGGAAATAAAATCAGTATGTTGAAGAGATGCCTGCATCTCATGTTTATTGCAGTATTATTCACAATGGCCAAGATATGGAATCAACTTAATTGTTTCTCATCAGATGAATGAATAAAGAAAATATAAATATACACAACAGAATACTACCCAGTCTCTTAAAAGAAGGAAATTCTGTCATATGCAACAGCATTGATGAGCCTGAGGGACATCGTGTTAAGTGAAATAAGCCAGGCACAGAAATACCAGTATATCATGATCTCACTTATATGTGAAATCTAAAAAAATGGAACTCAGAAGTAGAGAGCAGGTGTGGTGGGTGCAGGGCAGGGTTGAGGAGATATTGGTCAAGGTACACTAGATTTCAGTTAGGTAGGAGAAATTAGTTGCAGAGTTTGAATGTACAATGTGATGACCATAGTCAATAACACAGTCACCTAGAATATAATTCCAGATATAATCCAATAATTATATCTGGAAATTGCTAAGAGAATAGATTTTAAATGCTTTCACCACAAAAAAAAACGGTAAGTATGTGAAGAAATGAAATGTATATAGTAATTATACTATTATACATTAGCCATTCCACAGTGTATACATATTTTGAAACATGTACTTGATAACTATATGTAATTTTTATCAATTAATATAAATGAATACATAAATAAAAATGTTTAAAAAGGACCAAATTAATATTCTTGAAAAAGCAGGACAAAGCAACTCATTAGGCTTTAGTATAACACTTTCTTTTCATGTTTTTATCTCCATATCTACATTTAAATATAATTATTAAAAATTATAAACCCTCTTTATTACTATTATTTGTATATGTGAGGTGATGGTTGTTTCACAAGTGTAAAGTTATCTTCAAACTCATGAAGTTGTATACATTAAATATGTACAGCTTTTCGTATGCCAGTCCTACCTCAAAAAAGTGCTATTTCTAGTTTTTAAGGGCTAGGAACTCTAGGTATCTGGAATCTTATACTTTCCGTTTTGAGGATTGGGATAGCAATAGTTTTCTGAAAAGCATCAGCAAGACATCCTTATTGATTATGCATCATAAGATGACATCTACAAAACAGCAATGCTAAGAAATCAGAACCAAAGTTAGAAGATTAGAAGATAAATCATGTGGGAAGCTGAGTTTTGAGATTTTCTTGGATTAAAGTCTGGCCCCAAGGAACTGTATTGTAGCTTTGATAATGGTGAAAAGATTTCTTTAAAACTTAGAAATATTATATTAGAATTTTTTTTCTGAAAGTCATCAAAGTTTTTGTACTCACTAACAACCAAATTTGCCAGTAATGAAAGAAGATGAGATGACCCGCCAAGAATTTCTCTAGGTGTTTTACAGTCATTTCTCAAATATCTTTGAGTTGAGAAACAGCTGAGTGAACACAATATCAAAATTTTCCCTAGATCCAGGGAACCTTCCAAAGCCGACTGCCACATATTGTATGATTTTGTGCATATCAAAGATCCACCATCCCCAAAATCGCTGATCTGTAATATTTTATTTTAAAATTATTTATTCTATGTATTTATAGATTCACACATTTATTTACCTGATTAATTAAATAAATATGTAATGAGTTTTTCTAAGTAAAGTACTGTTGAGGCACCAAGTTTGTGGTTGGGTAACAATATAGCCAGAGCTCCAGCTCATCTTAAGTTTGCATGTTTATCAGGAAAGCAAAATATAATCAAAAGATTACTCAAATAAATATAATTTCACTTAGTAATGACAGTTCCATTTATTGAGTATTTGATGTGCAAAGCCCTGTTCTGAGTGCTTAGTTGTATAAACTCAGTCCTCACAACCATCCCTTTAGGTAAATGATATTGTATCTGATTTTCTAGATAAGGAAACTAGAGCATAACAAGGATTACAGCTTTCCTAACATCATGCAGTCTAGCAAGCGATGCACTCAAGATTTAAACTCAGTAAGTCTGGATATAAATCTTGCGCTCGAAACCACTCTATTATGAAAAATTGACAGGGATGAAAACTTCAGGAAGCCAAACAGAATATCAAAAAGCACTGCCATTTAGAAAGAAGTATTCATTTGGAAGGGGCATTTAAGCTGATACCTGAAGAAAGAAGGAAATGACTAAGCAAGGAATGGAAAGAGGATTGCTCTAACAGTGCCAACAGCCCATGTAAGGGCTTTGAAATAGAATGAAACTTTCAGCACAGATGGAGCCTGGTGAGAGTGGGAGAGCAGGCCAGAAGGTGGGGCTGGAAAGTTTGACTGTGACAGATCAGGCCAGGCCTTTTAGATTAAACATTAAAAAAATAAAGTTTTTTTTTTTTTTTTAATATTCAAAGCACAACAGGAAGTCATTTGTGGAAAGACATGATCCAATTGATATTTTAAGATAATTTTCGTTGGAAGGTAGAGAATAGATTGAAAGGGCAGGAGCTCAAGAAGAAAGACTAGTTAGGAGACCATCAGAATAATCCAGGAGAAAGGTAACAGCTTGGAGTGGGGGTGGCAGTAATAATGATAACATGTAGATGGATTCGGGATGCTTCTGGGCAGGTGAGAGAGAAGGAGGAACTCAGGACATCCCAGGGTATTGGTTTCTCGGTTTGGATTTCTGGTTTATGGTGTTACTGCCTGATCTTCCTACCATTAGAATTACTATCCTGAATTATGATATTTTCTGTCAAAAACCTGTGTTAAAATTACCTATATTAAATGAAATTACAATGGATTTTTTCATTAGAGCAGTTTATTAAATGACTGTAGCATAAAGGGCTTTAATGAATATGAATATGGGCAGTTGTAAATGGAACACAGGTGGCCAGGGCTCAAGGGATTATGTGAGAGCGTTAGACAGTATAGTTGAAGGTGAGAGTGTGAATCCACTGAAGATATGTGCTGAATCTGGACTAGTATGTGAAGTTTGCACTTTCATCCAAGATGTGCAGAAATACCAGTACTCATATAAGCCTCCTTCTTTATCCATCAGTCACGCAACAAATATTTCTTGGATACTGGCTTGCTTTGTCTTAGATGCTCTACCAATATTGTGAGTATGAGATAAAGTAAGCAGGAATAGCCCATACCTTCAGATAGCTTCAGCTCTGTTGTTTCTCACTCAACTATTTCTGCCACTCTATCGCATTTTTAATGATTTGATATTTTTTGGTTAAGGAACATGTCCGCACAATTGTTATCCGAATGCCATTATTGGTATCTTTTAATCAGAGATAGTGTAGCAGTTCTTAGTAGCTCACACTCTGAAGTCAAACCACCTTGGTTTAAATGTTAGCTCTTTACTTGCCTGGTTAGTTAATCCCTCTGTGCCACAACTTTTTAACTTTCAATTGGGATAAAATAATATATTTGGACTGTTGTGAGAATTAGGCATGCAAATAAATGTAATGTACTTAGAACAGTGCCTAGCATACGGAAAGCATTCAGTAACCGTTAATTATCGCTATTATTTTGCTAATGTTGTACAAGACACAGTAGTTTTCTGTATGTGTTTGTTTGTGTGTAATTTAAAGAGATAGAGTTTATAAACATATGTTTTAAGACCAAACAAAATATGCCATCCACTTAAGAAAATGTGTAGCCATAGGAGAATTTCAACTTTTAAAAGTTTAAACACAATGACAATTTTTAACTTGATTAACCTAATAAAAACACAAGGATGTATGGCTTTCACTCTTGGGTTTTCAAAAGATTAAAGCAAATAAAATGCCAATATCCAATTATGTACCTCTCTAAAAAGGGCAAGAACAAAAGGAAATGTAAGCCACCAAAGCAATCCACAGTGAAGTCCTCGTAAATCTTAGAGCCACCACCACCACCAACACCACCACCAACAACACATGTTTTAAAAGCAGGCAACTTAAAAAAGAAGAGTCAAAATGCCTTCTTTTATTGTTTTATTACTGGATTTATTTATTGAAGAACAGGCTGTATGCATTCTATACTAAAATAGGATTTAGAATTTAGTGTAGTAAAAATGTAAGATTCTCTTGTGGTATGGTTTATGACAACATGTTTCAGGTGGCATGTATAGAGAGAGTCAATCAAGTAGTACTGTCATTGTGCTTTTTTTTAAGTTGGAAAAATGTTTGTTTTTAATATTAAGCAGTTCAGTGAAGGACAGAGTCAAATTATTCATTGAATATATTTTTCCTATGTTCCTGTCTTCTCTCTATTGCTCCAGCGAATGGTATAGCTAATTTGCTGTCTTAAAATTTGGCATCATATAACTTAATCTTTAATATTAGCATAACTATTTTATGCTATTAAAATTAAGAATTTATAAAGCTATTTTATTATATTATAATTAAAATGGAATTAATGCCATGTTTCAGTTTTTCTATTCTAATGGAAAAGTAATATTAAATAAATATAAGTTCCGAGGAAATGTCATTTCTATTATGTCATTTTGTTAGGAATATCATATTATTAATTGAAACAGCTAGATTTCATGTAAAATGCCTTATTTAAAATGTTATTTTTAAATGTATATATACATATATATCTGTGTGTGTGTGTGTGTGTGTGTATGTATATATATATATATATATACATACACACACACACATTTTTTTTTCTTTTTTTTTGAAATGGAGTCTTGCTCTGTTACCCAGGCTGGAGTGCAGTGGCATGATCTCGGCTCACTGCAACCTCTGCCTCCCAGGTTCAAGCAATTCTCCTGCCTCAGCCTCCCGAGTAGCTAGGATTACATGTGCCTGCCACCACACCTGGCTAATTTTTGTATGTTTAGTAGAGACAGGGTTTCACCATGTTGTCCAGGCTGGTCTCAAACTCCTGACCTCAGGTGATCTGCTCGTCTCAGCCTCCCAAAGTACTAGGATTACAGGCGTGAGCCACCGCAAAATGTTATATTTTTATAAACTTTTGTATATTTAAAACTTAATATTAATTTTATAAACTTTTGTTTGTTTAAAAGTTAATATTCATTAGGGAAACAGATTATATTGCATTTTAATAACCATCCTTTCAAAAAGCCAAAACAACAAATAAAAGAAAGAGCAAGCTTTTATTTAGAACTTGACTTTTATTTAACAATCACGAAATATTGAAAATAAAACACTGAATCATCCAACTTTGATCAACTGCAATGATTACAGGTTTCAAGTTTTATTAGGTACCATTGCATTCAATTTAACCTTTGCTCCCACTACTTCCATGTCCAAAGCCATTCAGTTTTGAAACTTTAAAGGCAGTGATAAATAATGGAAAGATCTGTAATCGTGAGAAAATAAATGCATCACTTTCTAAGCCTCAGTTATATATATGTGAAGTGGGATAATACCGCCTTTCTCACATAATTTATTTCTTGAGGAATAAATTAAATAATGTTTTTAAAGCACTAGGTATCATATCTAGGTACATAGTAGGCGTTTTATTTCTCTTCTTCCTTCTGTAACTGAAAAGAAAAAGCATAATATGACAGAAGATGCAGATTACATATAACAATTCAAAATATTTGGTCTACTGGATGTATGAGAGACCGTCTTTCCCCAATGTAGTGTAGACCATTTCTGTAGGTCACATTCTACACTCTCCAAAATATTAATGGAGCTTCAGGTGAGAGGCTGCCGATCTGTTGGATGATCCTTTAGTGATGCTGTGTTATTAGCCTTATGCAATCATCCAAGAAATTTAACAGCCAGACCTTTTGACCATGATGAGTTCTGCATCATGTGTTAAAGCCTGTGTTGTCCCGTGTGTTAATGCTCTAGACTACTGTATATAAAGTATCAATAATCATAAATATTTAAATAAATTAGAGGATTCATTTCCTTTTGAGAGAAGATGTCATATAGTATATGTTTTCTCTGGAAAAGTATTCTCCCTTTTTCCCCACCTTGAAATAAAGTGTGAGAATCACTATAAAATGTGGTAGAAAAAGAGAAAATGGTAAAAAATGTGTACCTTTTTATTTAAAGCAGGGGTTTTCAAGTCTTTTATCTGAAACACTTGTAGAGACATAATTAATAACAACAGACTATTTCTACCTAGAAACATTCAAATGTAGGTTGATATTTTTCCTTGTAAAACTTCAAGTAGCACTGAAAGTTCTAGGGAGATCGTTTCCTTCGTTTTCAAATTATTCCTAGAATATCACTATAAACCTAAATGATATGCTTACTCCAGTTTGAATCAATTTAAAGTATTGTTTATCCTTAAAGATTATTACATTATTGTATAAGAAGTCAGCAGAGCCACAGTTATTATTTTATAAATTGCATTTACATATTCCTAGCCTTGAAGTTAGGGTCACGTTTGTTTGAATGAGGAGTAATTCATGCCTGTTTGTAGTTTAAAAATATTAATCCTCTATAGTTACTGTTACAGCATGTTCACCTCTCTTTAACATTGTTTTCTCTCTTCACCATTATATCATGAAGACTATGAGACTGGATCTGTATTTTTTTTTAATTAGGTTTACTGACTACTTTAGATTTTATTGACCATACTAAGCATATGGATGGATTTTTTTTTTATTTTTTCTTTTACACATGGTTTGGGGGTATCTTTTGTCTGTTAACTGCTTGAAAATACATGTTCATCAAATTCCTACTTTTTGTCTTCTGTTTATAAACGTTATCACTTACCTTGAATTGTGTCGATTAAAGTATTGAGGGTATTGCTTCTTACGTTTTTGTTCTCAGTCTTGTCCCAGCTCAGTTGAGCTACATCTACCAATTCTTATGAAACTGATTTTTCATATTTTTCTTTTATCCTCTGAACAATATTTATGATGATGATGATGATGATGATGATGATGATGATGATCGAGACAGAGTCTCACTCTGTTTCCCAGGGTGGAGTGTAGTGGCGTGATCTTGGCTCACTGCAACTTGCGCCTCCCGGGTTCAAGCGATTCTTCTACCTCAGCCTCCCAAGTAGCTGGAATTACAGGCACGTGCCACCACAACTCACTAATGTTTTTATTTTTAGTAGAGACGAGGTTTCTCTGTGTTGGCCAGGCTGGTCTCAAACTGCTGACCTCAGGTGATCCACCCACCTCGGCCTCCCAAAGTGCTGGGATTACAGACATGAGCCACCACACCTGGCCTGAACAATATTTATTCTATTACTAATATCTTTCTGCTGTTTCTCTAAATCATTTTGGTGAGAAGAATCTAATAAATCACATGATCTAGGATTACATCTGGGCCTGGCTTCTCATCTGGTGTTATCATTTAATACAGAATGTGATGCCCCATCACTGTAAACTTCGATTTACTTTTTTAGGAATTACAGCTTTGATTTCTTTTATCCATTATTTTATTATTAACCCACAAAACTCTGAAGGAATTTCTACTTAGAAAATTGTATTACTTAAACTCCCCTTTAAAAAATACCCTACAAACACAATGCTATTGTAAGTTTTATCAACACATTTCACCCAACTTCTTTATTCACTCACTTGACCATTTAGTTTTCTAATTAGAAAAATAGTCTCCTTTTAATACTGTTTATTGTGTTTCTTCTTTTGCATTCATACTCTTTACTTCACCAACATAACTTATTTTTCACATCCCTCAAATAATATTGAGTCTTAGTTAAAATTGTTTTCTTCCAAGGAATTAGGAATTTCTGGTTTGTGGTTGTAAATAAAATGTACATTTCTTCTTCCTCAAAGATATCATGTATCTGATCTATAAATATGATCATAAACAAAAGATCTTATGAGGTTTCAGGATTCTCTCCATTGTAATGCTAAAATTCACATTTCAAACAAATAGATCATGGATTTAGTTGAATAATTTTCACATTCCATATATATTTTAAAACACTCAATAAACACTTTAGACATTCAGAAAGCACTTTAATCAAATTAAAGATATGGAACTTAAAACTTATAATGAGTAGGAAACAGCACTTTATTTCATGGAACATACAACTTATAATTTAAGATTTGTATGCTGAGATATCCAATATGTAAGCCAATGGTGGCAAAGTGTGACAGTGTACATATCTTGTTGATTAAATGAGATATGCATATGAAAGTGCCTATCACAGCACTTGTTACGGTGAGCTTCCAATAGAGTTAGAGTTGTTTGCTGTGAATTTATAAATTATAAAATAAAACAGGGCACAAAAAAAGTGAATACTATACAGATTTAGAAAACAACCAGGCATTGGAGAAGTTGAAGCATTCTCAGGAAAGCAATGATGCTGCAACATATGCAGAAATTCGTAAAATGCAATGCAACCATTCTTGGTGTTTTAGGGTTTTTCTGCCTAGTGTCCTACTATTCTGCACATATGAATGCTCCCTTTCTTGCTAAAAGTGGTTGCCACTTTCTTTCTAAGTCTGTTTCCCCCTAATGGAAGTGTAGCTTCTGATTTCTTTCCAGAACCTAATAGGACATGTTATTCACTCTACTGAATTTATTTGGCTATAAAGCATCTTCTCCTCAAAGTGAGTTATAATACCTCCGAACAAAAGACACAAAGCACATAATAAGAAATATATATATTTAATTTCTGATAGTAGCTTTTAGAAAAATTGAAATGATAATATAATATTTATAAATCCAACACTTAAAGCATGAACTTATATGACTTCTCCTGTGATAAGGAAATGCTCATGTCTTTATGTTCCAATCTTCTATATGTGCCTTGACAAAGTTATACTTCTTAGTTGAGTGCTACTTTTTTTTAACTCTTATTTTAGGTTTGGGGTACACGTTCAGGTTTGTTATATAGGGAAATGCGTGTCACATGGGCTTCTTGTACGGGTTATTTCGTCACCTGATGAATAGGCATAGTACGTGATACGTAATTTTTTGATTCTTTCCCTCCTCCCACCCTCCACTCTCAAATAGACCCCAGTTTCTTTCTTTGTATCCGTGTATTCTCATTGTTTAGCTTCCACTTATAAGTGAGAACATGTGGTATGTGGTTTTCTGTTCCTGTATTTTTTTTTTTTTTTTTTTTGCTTAAGATAATGGCCTCCAGCTCTGTCCATGTTGCTAAAAAGGTCATAATCTTTTTCTTTTTTATGGCTGCATAGAATTTTGTGTTGATATGTACCACATTTTGTTTATCCAATCTGCCACTGATGAGCATTTAGGTTTATTTAGGTCTTTATTTATTTAGGTTTATTTAGGTCTTTGCTATTATCATCAGAGGAGCACCATCTTTCTACCATCCCTTTTTATTCTATACTGACTTTTTTTGTCACCTAAAGAGTGAGAGATTTATAGGAAGGGTCAGCGATGTGCAGAGGGGAAAGGTCGAGCAGACGTCCATGGTGCTGATTCACTGAGATTTGTGCCTGAATTTAACATGTGTGAGGCTTGGAGTAATGGGCATGTAGAAAAGGGATGCTATACAGTTATCACCCTACATATTTGTGTATGGGAAACATGGGAAAGTGACAATATGCAGCAACAAAATACTCATCTATCTTGCTTATCATTTTAATTCTCTTTTATCAAGTAGATGGGAGAAAATAATGCTTTTTTGAAAAGTTTCTTCCCCAGATAATTGAAACTGTAAAAGTTTGAGTTGCTATATAATTTTATACTGTATATACTATATAGTATCTTGTTATTTTAGCAAGCATATGTATTTTATTTTCTATGTCTCCCTGAGGAAGATTCATAAAATGTAGGAAATGATAGCCATTCATTTGATAAGTTTAAACCTACCATATTGCATATTAACTTATCAGATGGATAACCATCATTTCCTACATTTTATGGCTCTTCCCTGGGAAATCTATGAGATATAAAGTAAGGATATTTGCTAAAATTTGGTTAAAGTAGCCAGTGGTAAAAGCTAAACCCTCTACTTCTTATAACTTAGCATCATGACTAGAAAAATGATTTGATGTGGTAATGCACATAAGAAAACATTTCATTTACAAATTATTTGGTTTTTATAATCCAACAGCCTTTCTCAGTAAAATAACATGCTATTGTGTGGTTTGATGTTTTGCAGTATGTCATAATCTAGGGTCTATTTTAGTACCTCGGAAGTCCCAGACAGACATAATTTTCATTGCTATATTGCACATTTAACAAAAGCTATTATAACAGCAATATATAGTCAGGTATTTTTAAAAAGGCAGTAGAGTGATAATAAAAATTTCATAGCTAATCACCATCATTTTACAAAGACATATATTGCTCTGAATATTCTCTTTCACCCTCTTGTTATTTGTAGGAATTGATGAGTGCCATCAGAAAGCTGTATCATGAGCTGCCTGCACTTCTAAAGTGTCCAGTGGATTTTTAATCACATGAGGTAAATGCCAAATTTATTTCAATTGTATTTTCAGGATGAAATGAAATAGGATTTTTTATTTTAAAACTTATTTTTATTATACCAAGGAAGTGGATAATTTTATTTAATCATATATTTAATTAATTTAATCAAATATTTAATTAGTTCCTCTAATTTGTTAGCCCCAAAGTGACTGGAGGAAGTTATTGGCATGTTGACAATCCACTGCTGGGTTTATAAATTTTTCTCTGTAAAGCTACTATATATGTGATGATATGTTTCTGACAGTCTGTATACTGTTTCTGTTTGCTTAATGTCATTTTTATCCATTAAAACACCATTTTAGCATGTTCTAATATACATTTGAAAGTGCGGTGACTGAAGATGTTTCTTTATTAATACATACAATCATACAATAAAAGTCATGATTTAAGAGGTATATAAATTTAAATTTATATAGGAGGTACTGTACATTTTAAATGAAAGCTGAGTTCCTTTTCTTTTTATTTCCCCCACTAGTACTAATGGCCCTTACGGTGGCTTGTGTATGTGTGATGGGAGTGACTTCCTTTTCTTGGAATGTCTTGTTAGTTTCTTTATCTTTGCCTTCTCTGCTAGTGACCACTTACCAAGCATCACAATGGGTATTTTTGTTTTTGTATTTTCATATTTCTTCCAATTGTTGGAAACTATATTGTGGCATTTACAACTGTGTTTTCTTTTTACTATCTGAAATTACAGAGAAAAAAAACAAAGAAGTCCAGTGGTGCCCAGGAAGATTAAGTTTAGCTCATAACTGTTAAGAAATGTCTTATTTAATTGAACTAAAGAAAGGTATATGGAACTGCATCACTTGTGTCCTCATGAAGGCTAAGAAATGAAGCACTAATACAAAATTTTCTTCTGAAAAAAAAGAAGTTTTCTAAAAAGGGAATATGCTTGCTTTCAGCCAAGTCCACTTGTCTCAAACAATAACAGCCAGGAAGCAGGGAGTTGTACATAGGTGATTACCCAGGTAGGAATGGTGAATACATACATAGAAACACAAATACACGTACACATTAGTCTAGGATGGGATCTTGGGGTTCAAAGAAAACTTGTATTCTTCATATGCAGAAATATAGATTAAAATATAAAAAATAAATATATTTAAGGGGTAACTAGGGTAAATTAAACAGGTACAAAATACACAATATTGGTCAAATTTTTTAAAAATTAAAGGCATCATTGATAAAATTTAAATTGTGAATTGCACCATGAGGCATATGGTTCATAATTTCAAGAGTCTCCATTATGTGAACTTGGATGAGATAATAACTAAAAATTGACAATCTTGTGAAAAGAATTAGGGGAAACTGCTAATTTGCACAGCACAAAACTGCCTGTCATTTATAGGGCTCTTCCAATCAAAAAGAACATTTAATGGCACTTAAAATATGATAAATTTGAAATGATTTCAAGACACAGTGAAATGTAATTGCTTTTTTGAATATATCTGAGAATACTCTTTCACAGTTTCTTTAGTCAGCTTAAGTAATCCTGGTAAATTAAAACCTTTTTTTCCTGCTTGAATTTATGTGACATTCTACAATATATCTCTGATTGTGAACCCAATGGACACTAGTTGTTTTTAGATGTACTTTCAGAGCGTATAGTTAGGAGGTTTTTTTTTTATCAGCTGAAAGTGAAACACATTATTAATCTAAGAAATTATTAGAAGTTATTTAAAAATTAATATTTTGTTTCACTTTTATGGGATTTAAAAAAAATCAAATCCATATGCAAATTTTTCTGCACTGAGAACTTTATTTTAACCGAAGTTTAAGGCAAGTAACATAGGGAGAGTGAAATGATAGGTCAATATCCTCTAGGTTCTTGTTCTAATTATGAAGTTCATTTTCACTTCCACTTTCATCCTCTTCACCCCACAGCACTGGTTCCTTTTCTTTTGCCTACAGATAAGATTTCATTTAAAATAAGAAAAGGAGATTTTAACCTTCCCCTACTACCACTCCACCTCGGGTACTGAATTATTTGCCTATTATTTTATTGCTAATCTCCAAGAAAAATAAAGGTCTTTATTTTCTCAAAATCTTTGGTGGGGTTTTAAAGATTATTTTCTCAATTCTAAAGCCATCCAGAATATTAAAAAAAAATCCATGATATTAGTTAAGAGCTAGAAAAATTGTGAATATAGCAGAGACATTTTATGTTGTCCAAAGAGTCATAGGTTCACGTTGAGAAGGTGTCACCAGTGTGATGACTAACATGCACTTGGAATGTAGATGACAATACAGGCACATTGAACAAGCTGTAAAATAGGTCAGCAGTGTGTATAGAAGAACATGCCCAAAACTGTTAGCTCAGTCCACAGTTGAAGAAGAACATTTATAAACCCAAGGATAACTGCCCAGAACAGACATCATAATTTGGGAATTTGAAAGTTTTTGTGTTTTGTTTTTGTTTTTGTTTTTGTTTTGACAGAGGCTCACTCTGTTTCCCAGGCTGGAGTGCAGTGGCACAATCTCGGCTCACTGCAACCTCCGCCAACTGGGTTCAAGCAATTCTCATGCCTCAGTCCCCTGAGTAGCTGGGACTACAGGCATGCAGTACCATGCCCAGCTAATTTTTGAATTTTTAGTGGAGATGTGGTTTCATCATGTTGGCCAGACTGCTCTTGAACTCCTGACCTCAAATGATCCACTTGCCATGGCATCCCAAAATGCTGGGATTACAAGCGTGAGCCACCGTGCCCAGTGGGAATTTGAAGGTTTGAGAGGATTAGGTATGACTTGTTTGGAGAAAGTAAAATTTAAAAGTGTAAGAGATGATGGTGACTCTCTGTAAATGTTTTAAATGATGTCAGGTGAAAAGGAGATTAGATTTTATAGCTGTGGTTCTAAGGGAGGCCATCAGACATTTGGATGAAATGTGACCCAATATGAGAAAGGTTTTAAAAATAATATTACATGGGTTTAGTTAAAGTGAGAAAAAACTGTGAAAATTACAATTTCTATATAAACAGAGTGGGCTGTTACATGAATAATTGACTACTGACTCTAGAGATAATAGTTGGTGTGTTTGTTTGATCAGCCAAGTACTTCTCACGGAGCATGCATTTGTCAACCAGTGTTTGAAGAAATAACACTTCACATCTTTTTTATTATTCTATAAGTCGTTGATGATCTTTTATGTGGAGAAATAGCCTTTATATACATTTTATTTAATACTAAGTGATACTTTTTAAGCTATATGTTTTCTTAATTTAAAGTGATTTTAATATAAAGAATATTTTTTTAAAAAATGCTATAATTGTTGTATTTTCATTCTGTTACTAGGATATGAACCTGAAGCCAACTATGTACTGTGCTTAAACATGCATTAGTTTTATCTAGCTGAGAAAAACTGACAAAAGTAAGGCCAAATATTTCAGTGGTTACAATCCCAGATCCAGATCCAGTATTCCTGGGTCTCTACTTTCTGGATATGTCTCTTTTTCAATTTATATGAGGTCTCTGAGGCTTAGTTTACTAGTCTGTGAAAAAAAGGATAAAAGTACTGCTCACCACATGATGCCATTGAGGCTTATAGTACAACCAAGGATGGTAGGAAAGAGTGATTTCAAATAAACTATTACAGAATATATGCTTTGCCATTTAACTGACCTTGAACTAGAGCCTAACAATTATTTAGTTGACTAGGAGTACCTTTTAGAGCCATTTTAAAGCATAGATTAATGTCAAATATTTTATGGGTATTTTACTTATTATTTTCTAGTGATATAGGGTTCTAGATTGGATAAAGTGTTGGCCATTAATCAGACTTCTTTTCATGTATTGGATAAAACCGGAGTTATTTTCAAAGGAAAGTCTTGACATTGGTTATATATATTTCCATTTGTATGTCTCTGCAGAAGTACAATAGTGCATGTTCAGGTATATATTCTGATTAAGCATATCAGCTTCTGAGAAGTTACCAAAATTATGCATGCTTTCAAACCCATGAATACATTCTTAAAAAGTAACACTAAGCCGGGCGCAGTGACTCACACCTGTAATCCCAACATTTTGGGAGGCCGAGGAGGGTCGATCACCTGAGGTCAGGAGTTCGAGACCAGCCTGGCCAAGATGGTGAAACCCCGTCTCTACTAAAAATACAAAAATTAGCCGGGTGTCGTGGTGCATGTGTGTAATCCCAGCTACTCAGGAGGCTGAGGCAGGAGAATCGCTTGAACCCAGAGGCGGAGGTTGCAGTGAGCCGAGATCGCGCCATTGCACTCCAGCCTGGGCAACAAGAATGAAACTCCATCTCAAAAAAAAAAAAAAAAAAGTAACACCAAATATCTATGGTCTGGTACTCATCATAAAATATATACATCATAACTTCTACCAGCCAATATTGATCATCAATGTAGGTGTCAGAAATAATACTGAGGAATGATTGCCTGAATGATATGAATCATTTTCATTCATCTGCATAGCTTAAATTTTACCAGTTGTTTAAACAAGGCTATTAAAAGCTTTATATTTTCTCTATAGAAGTGCTTTCACTAAACCAAAACTTGAATCAATGCTATCAACTTACACTGATTTGTATTATAAATGCTGGAAGTTCATGCTTGCATTTAGTAATATTATTCATGGTGTAATTCATGGTGTGTTTTTCTTCATCCTTTATGAAGTTTCTCCATTAAGGAGACCATGGTACATATTTTCCTTCAGTCTCACCACTCCAAATAGCAAGGTTTTTTAGGGCAACTCATTTATTTTTAACTTATGATTCTATTGGATCATGTAATAGATTTATTTGCATGTGTGTGTGTGGAATACAAGGAATTTCAGAACTAAATGTGTTGCACATATTTGGCATGTAAACATAATCTAATGGCATACGTGGTAGTGAAACATAGCTGCTCTGAGATCAGTCTAGGTATGGAACCCATATCTTTTATTTAGATCTAGAGTAGATTTGATCAGGTTGCCACTGCATTTTTCTCTTCAGTGTTTATTTTATGGTTTTGTTCTGAAGATTAACACTCTTGATAAATGTCAGCTATTGTCAATATTAAGTTCTCAAGAAGCATCTCTTTTTCCACCACCTTTTTTGGCCTACTAAAACACATTTTCATGAATGTATTTATTTGCTAAATCTTTATTGAGTACCTATTGTGTTCGCTTATAACATATATATATATATATATATATATATATATATATATATATATGTAAACACATACATAAATAATACAGATGAAGTCCTTGTTGTCATAGACCTTATGTTCTAGATGGGTAGTTTTGGTGTGGAGTCCGTTAATAACAAAAATATGTGAAAGAAAATATTCAGTAATAAGTGCTCAGTTAAAAGTAAAGCAAGGTGAGAGCTTGAAGAGCTGGCTACTTTGAATTGTGTTGTCAATGTAGATATATTTTAAGCTGGGACCTGAATTATAACAAGGTCAATATCTGGAATATCTGTATAATTACTGCAGAAAGAGCATTCTGGGAGACAAAAAAATCTAGTCCCCAAGAAGAGGATATGATGATCTCATTGGAGAGATTCCTTGGTTCTGTGCGATAGCCATTTGATGAAAATTTGTGTATGTTTCTCTCTTTTCCTTTCAAACTGAAAGGCCCTTCCACAGGAGAAGCCCAGTCATCCTTCTTTCTAATACATTCTTCTCCTTTTTATCTTATCTCAAAATGTTAAATTGACCAAGGTCTTACTCCCTATTCTCTCTCTGACTATTTTTCCCTTGAAGGCATCCAATCTGATCAACGTAAAATCTACTATGTGGGCTTAAATTGCGAGTGAGTAGTAGAGGTCTCTCAGGCTTCTAACCTAGACTGTGGTTCCAGCCCCATTTATCACAGCTCTCTATATTAGCATTTAGGTCTCAAAGACTGTTTGTCATTGTTCCTTGCAGATAGCTCCCCTAGAAGTAACAAAAAAAGCAGTACTGTGGGCTGAGGAAGAAGTCCAATCATCCTAGATTCCCTTAGCCATAGTCTTACCTAATTTCTAGTAGGTACTAATTTTATCCCTAGCATTATTTTATCTGTTTTAATTTTTTTCCTCACATATTTTTATTCTGCATCAAAACCAACTTATAATACCATCCCAAATCCTGTTAAGAATAAAGCAGGACACAATATCCTCTCTCGATATAAATATTTAATTTCTTACTTCTATTTACCAAATATCTCATATTATCTATAGATAACATTTTTGTTCCTCATGAATATTGTTGTATCATCAGTCTTAATAAGGGACTTAAATAACTCAAGCCTTTTTAGGTATAATAATTCATATATAATCTCAAGTTGATTCTTCCAGGAATATTGGTCCACTTTTCGTGTTTATCTCAACTCAACCCCATACTAATCCTTATGCATTTTTTCAGCAGTGCAAGACTTGTCATGACTCACCAGTCATCTTCAGCATACGGCAGACAGGGGAAGTGAAGGGAGCTACAATTAAAAATAACCTTTTTAAATGGTTTATGTGTTCTTTATATACCCATATATATTTTCAGTCACTTATATTTTGTTGAAAGATATTAAAATATTATTAATACATACTTTGGAGATATGAAGCAGAGGAACTTATTCCAGTTTTTGGTTTGCATTTTCTTTAGGGCCTTTCCCAGTATTTTGCTCATGGTAAGAGTTGAATTGCAGTGAATTGTTGTTTGCCTTTGTTGCATGCCATTCTCACAGGGCATGCAGGATATCTAATCAGAATACAACTGCAGGCCGGATGCGGTGGCTCACGCCTGTAATCCCAGCACTTTTGGAGACCAAGGCAGGTGGATCATCTGAGGTCAGGAGTTCAAGCCCAGCATGACCAATATGGTGATACCCCATCTCTACTAGAAATACAAAAATTAGCCAGGCATGTTGGCCGGCACCTGTAGTCCCAGCTACTCAGGAGGCTGAGACAGGAGAATTGCTTGAACCCAGGCAGCAGAGGTTGCAGCGAGCCGAGATGGCACCACTGCACTCCAGCCTGGGCAACAGAGTGAGACTCCGTTCCCCACCAACAACAACAAAAAAAAATACAACTGCACCTCAATATGTTAGCAGCAGCATCTACTTGTCGGCAGAAAAGAAGCTTGAAATGAATTTAGATGACTTTTTTTGGTCTGACAGTTATAATTCCTAATCTATATTTATTTCCATATCCTCCCAGTTACAGAAGATAATGGAGAAGAAAAGTAAAACTCCCTTGAACCCTCACACATCTACCCTTGATGTGTGAAACTTTGTTAATATTCTTCTATTTACCTCTATGAAAGCTGCATTTTCCCAAGGAAAGGCTCATTTTTGCTTACTCACAATGTTGGAAATCAAAGTCTTTTTTGCTGAATGGTCAGAAGTTTAAATGGTGATGGATCTCTTTGGAAATAGGTGAACATTGTTTTTGTTTCAATATTCATTCAGCAACTTTTATAACACTTGCCATGTGCCGGGCACTATTTTAAGTACTTTGCAATATTTACATAATTAATTAACATTATAGCGCTACAAAATGAATACTGTCATTGTCCCCATTCTGCAAATGAAGAAATTGAGGGCTAAAGAGATTAAGTTGCCTAAGATCACACAATAGATAAGAACAATATATTACATGCCAACATGTATTTAGCAACAAAGGCCAACAATAAGTATTTTCTGAGAGCATATAGGCAGCAATGACAGTAATGTGGTCACAGCAGAATAAAAAATCGCCCTCTCACTGGTTTTTTCTACAAAATCTCCTATCACTTGATAGATTACATGAGGAGGTGGGACTGTAAAGGTGGGTAAAAAGTTGATAAATATTAACATTCTAAGTCTGTGTCAAGAACAATTTAGACAGAATAATAAAAAAGCATCAATTCCCTTTGCTTGTAGCCTAAATAATTGTGCCACTCACTCCAAATTTTCCCCTCAGAAAAGGATACAAGTAAGATTAATCTCAGCAGGCCTCTGGTAAACCGATTTGCATTGGGCCCCGCTCTGGATTCTGATTACATTTTGCCCTACTGTTGTGTGACACCTAGCATCCTTGGAATCTTTTTATGACTCTGAGTGCATGTTCCACATGTAATTTACCATAGCATTAAAGAAGTTCAACATCTAATTAATTCACCAATCAACTGTCAGAGCCTGTGATCTTTTCCTAGTTCACTGTTGAGTTCCCTGTGGGAGAATCAGTATTCTGAAAGTGCCATTTCCATTATGCTGTGTGTGGCGTTTGAGCAAAGTACTAAGTTATGCTGCTTGTTCATGGAAAATATGCCATCCTCATGAGTACCTTGATGACTTTGTTAAAAATACCTCCTGCCACCCCTGTTCTCTTGTTCTCATGAATACTGTGGGTCCATAGTACAAGGTTTTCACAGCACCACAAATTGAAAGAAGGAAAATCAGCTCATCTGTTTCCTAACCTGTGCGTGTCTCTTGAGTTTTTCTGTTTTATCCTTAAGAAACTCTATCCCATTGGCTTTTTAAAAATGTAACTTTAAATCTATCATTTTTGAAGATTTCCATGTCTCAAATTTTTCAAAATGGGGACATTTTAAATGCAATAGAAATATTCATGGCCACTTCATGTTTCAATATGTTTACAGAATTATATCCAGGTTAACATTTCTGAGTACTTTCACAACAAAAGAGCAACAGGAAGGAAATAGTGCTTATAAAGTTGTAGAATCCATTTATTTCTGATTAATATCTGCTTTGATTAACCCCCAAACTTACATGCTTAATACAACAATCATTTATTGTCAATGGGCCGGTCAATGGGCAGGCAGTTTTGATGATCCTAGATTCAGTATTGTACCTGAGCTCACTTACTCACATGAAGTCAACTGTAGGGCAGGCCAAGGCTGGCTACTCCAGGATGGCCTCATTCACCTATTTTCAACTTTCTGACAGATACAACAGGAGTGACTGGGTCACATATCTCTCATCATACAATGGGGTAGCTTAGACAAATTCACAGAATGGATAGCAGGATTTCAAGACAAAGAATAGTATTTACAATTTCTTGAGACCAGTGCTCAGAACTGACCCAGCATATATATATATATATTTTTCTGCATCTTATTGGTCAAAGCAGGTTACAAGCCCATCCCAGAAACAAGACATAGACAAATAGACTCCACCTCTGGATAGAGGTAGTTGCAAGGTCACACTATAAAGGCAGTGGTGAGAAATTGGGACATTTTTGCAGTCTACAACATTTAACTACCTGGCAGAGGTTAATGGTCATCTAGATTTGCCCCAGGTTTAGTTTTTGCAGTGCTGTATTCATTCAGTCTGGTTCATCAATCAAAGACAGCTCTCCTTCTCAAGATGACAGAAAAGGTAGCATCAGACCAGAGATACAATACATTCTATATTCATCTAAAATCTTTTATTTTTGATGCTACCTCTTTTTTATTGGTTTTATTGACTATGGAGGGAAACAAACATTTTAAAATATATGATGGGTAGGTGAAAGTATACAATGCATAACCATTATGCCTAGAATCTAGTGTAAGGAAAAAAAATTAACATATCCTGAATTAGCAAGTATGTTCTTCCTTAATCCAATCCCTTTCTCTGACTTCTCAGAGATAACTTTTCTTTTGAATTTTATTATCATTATTTTGCTTTTTATTATGATTTTAGGCTACATTTTTACCAGTATATGTTTACTGTGAGATATATAAATTATAAATTTTTGAAATGTACATTAATGGAACCATACTGCTTCTCTGCCACTCAGCCACAGCTTTGAATTTTGTATTTTAGCTGAGGTAATTAGTCTATTTACATTTATTACAAATGCTACCATATTTTTATTATGTCTTCACTGTTATTTTTGTTTTTTATTTATCTAATCCCTTTTATCTTTGTGTATTTCTTAGATATTTTGAATTAATTATTCTCATTCATGTTTCTGTTATTAATAACCATGTTTTATTAATATGGTAAAATTAATAACCATATTTTAATTTCTAATATAAACACTAGAACAGTTATGATGCATAAACTCATCAAAGTGTCAGTTTTAATCTTTATTCACTTTCACAATAATATAGGTGCTCAAAATAACTTAACTACAATTATTTTACATGCAATTTTTATATATTTTTGTTCCATTACAGTTTTTAATCCCGATGACAACTTCATTTTTGTTTAATATACATGAATAAGCATATTGGTCACTGACGTTGCTCATTATTCCTTTTTCTATCTGACATTTTTCTTCCAGGATTATTTACTTCCTCCTGCAGAACATTTAAGATGTCCCTTTGTAATTATCTGTTGGTAGCAAAAGCTCAATTTTTGTTTGTCTATGAAGGTCTTTATTTTATTCTCCTCATTGAAAGCCATTTTTTTAAGTATATGATTGTAAGTTACCAGTTATTTTATTTTGTTACATTCAACCTATTACGACACTGGACTCTGGTCATCATCTTTGCAATTCAGAAGTCAGCCATTGGCCAAGCATGGTGGCTCATGCCTGTAATCCCAGCAGTTTGGCAGGCTGAGGCAGGTGGATTGCTTGAGCCCAGGAGTTTAAGATCAGCCTGGGCAACATGGCAAAACCTTGTATCTACAAAAAATACAAAAAAATTGCTGGCTGTGGTTGCATGCACCTATAGTCCCAGTTACTCGACAGGCTGAGTTGGGAAGATGACTTGATCCCAGGAGTTCAAGGCTGCATTTAGCTATGATTGTGTCATTGCACTCCAGCCTGAGTGAGATTTTGTCTCAAAGAAAAAAAAAAAGATAAAAAAGGAAAAAAAAGTATATAAGTCAGCTGTCAAGCTATTGCTGTCTTTGAAGAAGGTAATCTTTCCTCCTGCAATATTTAATATTTTTTCATTGGCTTTAGTGTCATGCATTTGTACTATACGTCCAGGCATTAATTTCCTTTAATTTAAATTTTTTGAATTTTAGGTTACTTAATCTTCATATTAATATCTTTCCTCAATTCTGTAAAATATTCAGTGAGTGTCTATCTGTATATTACCTCTATTCATTTTTCAGTCTTCTTTTCTTCTGGAAACCCAGAGAAGCTAAAAGTTAGTGTCAGTGCTATATTTCCACTGTGGATTCTAATATGTCCTTAATTTGTAGTCTCCAAATTAAGTTTTATTTAATCTTTAAAATTGTAGCATAATTTTAGACCTAAAGCAAAGTTGCAATAATAGTAACAAAGAATTTAATTTACTTTCACCCTCTTTTGCCAGCAGTTAACATTTTACCACATTGCATTGTCATCTTGCTGTCTTTATGAAACATTTAGGGAAAATTTGAGGCATTATATCTCTTAACCCTGAAGATACATTCATATGATTTCCCTTAAACTAATAATGTGTTTTTCATAACCATAGTATAATTATAAAAATCAGGAAATTAACATTGATATGATACTGTTAACTAATCTACAGGTATTGTGTTAGTTTTCTATTGCTGTGATTACTCCAAAATACAGTGGTTCAAAACAAAACAAAACAAACACTTGTGGACAACCTCCTCCCCATCAAAAGACATATATTAGTGGATTGTATTAAAAAATAAAATCCAACTATATGCTTTCTGTAAGAGACACACTTTAGTTCTAAGGACATGCATAGATTGAAAATGAAAGCTATTCCATGCATATAGTAGTTGAAATAGAACAAACATGGCTATATTAATATCAGACAAAATATATTTTAAGTAAAAAATTGTTAAAGGTTAAAAGAAGGACATTATATAGTGATAAAAGAGTCAGATCACCAAGAAGATGTAATAATTATAAAGATATATGCAGCAAACATCAGAGCTACTAAACAGTTGAAGCAAACACTGACAGAATTAAAAAGAGAAATAGAAAGCTCCACAATAATAGTAGGAGACTTGAATTTTCCACTTTCAATAATGGATAGAACAGCCAGCCAGATCAGAGAAACACAGGACTTGAACAACTGTATACACCAATGTGACTTAACAGTCATATATAGAACACTGCCCAACAATAGGAGAATACACATTTTTCTCAAGTGCATATGGAATTTTCTCTAGGATAGACCATATATTAGGTAATAAGCAAAACTTAATAAATTTAGAATGATTAAAATCATACAAATTATATTTTCTGATCACAATGAATTGAAGGTAGAAATCAATGGCAAAAAGAAAACAGGAAATCACAAAAATATGTGTAAATTAAACAATACACTCAAACCACCAATGGGAAAAAGAAGGAGTCACAGAGGAAATTGGAAAAAATATCTCAAGAGTAATGAAGATAAAAATGCATTAGATAACAACTTGTGGGAGGCAGTAAAAGCAGTGTTAAAGGGAAGTTTGTAGCTATAAATATTTATAAGAAGGAAGAAATATCTCAAATCAACCATCTAAATTTACATCTCAAGGAACTAGAAAAAGAAGAACAAACAAAACCCAAATCTAGAAGTAAGAAAATAATAAATATTACAACAGAAATAAACAAAATAGATAGTAGAAAAACAATAGAGAAATTCAACAAAACCAATAACTGGTTCTTTGAAAAGAGCAAGAATGTTGACAACCGTTAGCTAAACAAACTAAGGGAAGAAAAGAAGATTCAAATAACTAAAATTAGAAATAAAAGAGGGAATATTACTACTTATTTTACATCAATGAAAAGGATTATAAGAAAGTACTACCAGCAATTGTATGCCAACAAATTGGATAATCTTAATGAAATGGACAAATTTGTAGAAACATGCAATCTACTAAGAATAAGTCATGAAGAAATAGAAAATCTGAATAAACCTGTAATTAGTAAAGATATTAAATGTGTAATCAAAACCTTCTCAAGGAAAAAAATAAAAAAGCCCGGAGTAGATGACTGCACTGGTAAATTTTATGAATCATTTGATGTAAAATTAACAGTAATACTTTTCAAATTAAAAAGAAAAGAGTTCTTTTGATGGGTGGTGGTGATGGCAGTAAAAAAATATCAGGGTACTAGATGCCAATTAAATTATACACTTAAAAATGGCTAAAATGGTGAATTTTGTTATATATATATTACCAAAATTAAAGAAATAAAAAACAACTCGAACAAAACAAAACACTTATCTCACATTTTTTTTGGTGGGTCAAGAATCTGGAGTGATTTAGTTGAATGGTTTTGGATCAAGTCTTTATGTATGGTTATCTTCAAACAGTTGTCACATAAAGGCTTGCCTGGGCTTATGATTCATTTGCAGAATGGCTCACTCATGTAGCTGCTGTTTGGAGAACTCAGTTCCTCACTATGTTGATCTATCCGCAGAGTTATTTGTTGTCTGTCTTCCTCAGTGTGCACGATCTAGGAGAGAGAGCAAGGGTGAAGCTATTTAATTATCTAGTCTGGGAAGTGACATCTCTATTTCTACCACTATCTATTAGTTAGAAGTGAGTCACAAAGTACAAATCACACTAATGGATAGGGGAATTAGGCTTATCTTCTGAAGGGAGAAGCATCAAATATTCTTGTATGTATTTTAAAACTGCGTAGACATTTTTTCAAATTTTCCTCCTTGTCCCTATAACATTTATTATAGTAAATAGAAAGCATAGGATCACATGTCTCTTTAATGTCCTTTAATCTCAATCTCTCTTTATCATGCAAGATAATGACATTTTTGAAGAGTGCAAGCCAGTTATTCTGTAAATTACATCTCAGTTTGGATGTGTCTGATGTTTCCTTATGATTAGATTCAGTTATGCGTTTTGGTATAAATATTTCAAAAGTCATATTCTCCTTGCATCATACAAGAAGGCTCATGATGTCTACTTTTCTTATTACTAGGGCGATTAATTTTAATCATTTGGTTAAGTTGATTACTACTGATTTTTCTATTGTATACTTATTATCTTTTTCTTTGTAATTAATATGATGCCTTTAAAATCCTGTATTTTTCCTTTTTTATAGGATAACGCACTTTGAGACTATGTAAATATGCTATTTTTTTTTAACTTTAACCCACTTGCTTTAGAACAAATACTTTAAAATTTCTTGCTAGATCATTAATGTATTTAGGAAACATGTTTCATTTTTTGTTTTAGTATTTTATCTAATATCTTAGGTTGTCTTCAGCATGAAGGTCAGCCAGGATATCTCATCCACCAACTGTTAGAAACCAATGCAGTGTTGCCTAATTTGACACCTATATTTACAGCCAATGTTAAATAATTCACCTGCTTCTCATAGCTTTGGCTACTGTCACTTGGCATTGTGGTTACTATTTTCTTGTTAAACCTGTGATGTACAGCCCCCTAATTATTGATACATTTTGGCTCACTGTATTAGTCTGTTCTCACGTTGCTAATAAAGACATACCTGGGACTGAGTAATTTACAAAGGAAAGAAGTTTAATTGATTCACAGTTCAGCATGTCTGGGGAGGCCTCAGGAAACTTACAATCATGGAGGAAGAGAAGACCAACACATCCTTCTTCACATGGCAGCAGGGAGAAGAAGAATGTTTGCCCAGTGAAGGGGGGAGCCCCTTATAAAACAATCAGATCTCATGAGAACTAACTCACTATCACGAGAACAGGATGGAGGAAACTGCCCCCATGATGCAATTATCTCCACTTGGTCCCTCTCATAACATGCGGGGATTATGGGAAGTACAATTCAAGATGAGATTTGGGTGAGGATACAAAATCTAACCATATTATTCTATCCCTGGCCCCTCCCAAATCTCAGGTCCTCACATTTTAAAACACAATCATGTTCTTCCAACAGTACCCCCAAATCCTAACTTATTCCAGTGCTAACTCAAAAGTCCAACTCGAAAGTCTTATCTGAGACAAGGCAAGTCCCTTCTGCTTATGAGCCGGTAAATTCAAAAGCAAGTTAGTTACTTCCTAGATACAATGGGGGTGCAGGCATTGGGTAAAGACACCTATTCCAAATGGGAGAAACTGGCCTAAACTAAGGGGCTACAGGTGCCATGCCAGGGAAACTTACAACCATGGAGGAAGGGGAAGCAAATACATCCTTCTTCACATGGCAGCAGGAAGAAGAATGAGTTCCCAGTGAAGAAGGAAGTCCCTTATAAAACGATCAACTCTTCTGAAAACTCACTCACTATCAGGATAATAGCATGGGGGAAATCACCTTCAGGATGAGATTTGGGTAGGGACACAGCCAAACAATATCACTCACCAAGTTATCTTAAGCACCATATGGAAAAAGTTTAATAGCCTATTTCAAATGTTTTATGAATAGTAGCTCAGTAAATTCCATCACCATTAGGATACCAGCATTTTCACACAGCAAAAAACAAACAAACAAAAAGTGCCTAACGATATCATGACTCATGATAATTGAGTGCTTGCTACATTATAATATTCTAGATGCATTTGCAAGTGTGAACTAATTTAATCTGCTGAATATTTTATGAATTGGATGCTGTTATTATCTCAGTTTTACTGACTAGACGACTGACAGTGGTAAAGCTGTGAGTCAAATCTAGACAGTCTATCTCTAGTGATTTTACTTGTAACTATTTTGCATTGCTGCCGTGAAGAGGATTGCCTCTTCAAAAGCTATGAGGCAACCATAAACCTCTATGGTAGTGTAAAATCTCTAAGACATGGGAGACTGGAGTTGGAAGAAAACTTAAAAATCATTTACTTTCTTCACAAGATGAATAAACTGAAACTTAAAGAAATTCGGCTTATTTACAATTTAGGAATAAAGTTGAGGTAAAATTGAGGTCTCCTGATACTCAATCAATCCAATTCATGTTCTATCATATACTATAAATATCTGGTAAAATGAAAATAAATACCCTAAACTTATTTTTTCCCACCAGGGACAAAAATATAACTCTTCAATGTCAGATTTAAAGTGTGATTTCTGAAATGAATATGCTAGATATGCTATACATTAATTAAACATGAATTGCTTTTGCTTGCTTTCTTAGTACATAAAAGGGCTTTAGGGGAATGATTTGGATGACCCATGCATTTTTGCATAGATAATTTGTTAGTTCAAAGCTTTTCTCTTGTCCTAAGCAAATATGTTAGACATAATTTATCTGCTTATTTGTTTAAAACTAATCCTTGAAGATGCAATTTGTGAACATAATTTGGAAAGTTTCTTTTCTGCTTATCAAGTAAATAAGATAGGCAACTAAGAAGACAAGTCATTATATACATAGTCATTTAGCAAAACACTCATGTTATTTATACTATTTAGCATTGACATGTAAAATAGATAAACGTAAAAAATATACTTAGCAATAAAAGCATACATTAACACACCCTTTTATTATAGCTATAATGTTGTTTTATAATACATAGATTGTTTTAAAATACTACTCCAGGCATCTCCATATTTTATGGATTCCTGTAATCTTTAACAAAGAGTGATGTTCAAAATCTTTAACAAATGGGTGTGTCATGTGCCCTGATGAATGAAAAGAGAGAACCAACCAATCAGAATAAAGATCAGCAAAAAACAATCCCGTACAGTGTATATTGGATGAATTTCAGCTCTAATGTTCATTGTGAAGGTATGGAGATAAAGATGCTCTGGTATTTGACTCTTATTTATATTGTGTTGGTTTCCTTGCATCAATTCTTCTCATTATCACATTTCTTTCTAACAATAAAGCCATATCTGAGAGGGAAATAAGTCATGAAAACACTGAGTATAGAACCAGGATGGTACTGGTTGATTAAATTTTTGTATCCTGTGATGGAGATGTGTATTGTCCTCATTTATTTAATTTTCCTATCCCTCTAGGGACACTGGTGGAATATACTTCATCCCCTTATTGTTGGGTTGGGCTATGGCCTATTATAATTAGTGAGATCTGAGCAGAAGTGGCTGAGTGAGTCATACCCAAGTCTAAGCATTTAATTGCAAGATTCTCTAGCATTGTCTTTTTTTGCCAAGGTGACTGAAGAGGCCCCTAGCTCCAGGTGGTACAGTCACAAAATTATGGGGCTTTCATCTGCCTAGAAATCCTAGTTATATGTGAAGCGGTCTCACTTGAGGTGTCCACATGGGCAATACAGCATTTGTGAGAAATCAACTTCTGTTTTATTAAGGCACTGAGATTTGGGATTTGTTTGTATACAGTAAGCCTGACTAATGCATATTCCACAGGGTGCTTAATAAATATTTTTGAATTAAAGTATTAAACATTTTCTTAAAGATATCTAAGTAATTTTGAGGTTAATTATAAACTATAGATAATATATTAATCCTTGTAAGTTTTATCTGGAGTTTCAGCTATATCCTTACTATCAATTTAACTAACGCACTTTCTCCTAAATTCAATATATATCCCAACCCTGATGGGCCAGGCTTCAAATCTGGTGTCTCACTATGAGGCTTTTGACCTTAATACTAATATACTATGGTTGTTTAATAAGGATTTTATAACTAAATTAAAAATGAATCAACCATTTTCTTCCTGTCTTTCTTCTTTCCTTCCTCCACCATACATGGATGCCTTTAATCTACCTGAGGCACTACTTTTTTTCCTTTTTTTTTCTGGGATTTCAGCAACATGTCTTACTAGATAAGAAGGAAACACCAAACTCACTGCCTAAAACAACCAGACATAATGTGTATTCTGTATGCTTATTAGTTTCTTAAGAAGCAACAAGGTATGGTTTTGTAAGAATTCTCCCTTCATCATTTGGGAACAATAATCCTTTGTCAAGTACATAGCATGAACCTGTATGTATTGGAAACTCAGGGATCTGCTTCTATCTCTGTAGTGGTGCATTCCTTTATGAGTTTCAGGAGGACCAAAAGCCTTAAGTTGGAGTTGTTGAAACTGTCACCAAAAATAAACAAAGAACTTAAAGTGGGATTAAGCAGTATCAAGCTTCTTTTTGGTAAGATTTTTAAACTTTTGGAAAGTGCCAACTTAGTAGTTGGTATCTTATAAATGAAGAAAAAATCACAATTAATAGTCTATGAAAAGACATTGACTTAACATAATTCAGTATACTATTTTTAAACCCTATGTCTTAAATAAATTAGCCTATTGTTAAACACGATGTCTTAAATAAATTAGGGAGGGAGAAGTGAGAAAAGGGTAATATACAAAGATGAAACATGTCCTTGTGCTTATAGAATAGAAAAAAGGCATATGCAGAAATTATTATCATGCAAGAGAAGATATGATAGTTTAGAAACAAAGTTCTGTGATAATAAAGGACAAAGGTAATTAAAATTTAAAAAATCAAATTGAGGGCTACGTACTTGTGTGTGTTTGTGAATTAGGTAGCCTTCGAATATTGGATTTTAATACAAGTAAATAAAGTTAAAGAATACATTGTGCACAAAGGTAATAAACCAGTAAAAGAACTGGATATGCTAAGGGGGTGATGAATTGTCGGAGGTTGGAGAGGCAGAAGAATTAAATGGATGTTTCTGTAGTAATGGATAACTTCATAAATATAGATTGGAAGCTCATCAGAGGCATGTGAGACATGAATTTGCTTTAGAGACAATGGCAGAGGGGCCCATTACAAATGTTAGAATAGAAAAATGATGCTAAAGGCTGTTGTTTTTTTTTAAATAACAAGTTTTACTAAAACATAGTACATTAATACGATTATGGAAATTTTCACCTGCCTCAACTATGTATGCCAAATAGAGACCTCCCCAGGGACTGTGGGGTGAAACCTGATGAGTTAGATCAAGCCCTTAGAGAGCTCTGATGGACATGGTGGCTGGCTTCCACAGGACACATTTACTGGTTTCTGTTCTTGCATTGGGGAGCAGTGTAGAATGAGAGGTTCTCAGAGCTATCTCACTGGGACTCAGAGGGAGACAACCCGATGGCTAGTCTTGTCCTACTGTTTATTAATCATGTGACTCTGGCCAAATTAATTTCTAAGCCTATTAAACTCTGCCTTCCCCTGCTCAAAAAGTGCTATAACAGTATATTCTGTGTGAATAAGTTGTGTCCACAGGTGACTCATCAGGACACTGTGGTCAAGCTGTTAAGAACATGTCAGAGTAGGTCCTCTTCTGTACTAACCCATAATTTTCTTTTTTTTTTTTTGAGACTGAGTCTTGCTCTGTCGCCCAGGCTGGAGTACAGTGTCACAGTCTCTGCTCACTGCAAGCTCTGCCTCCGGGTTCATGCCATTCTCAGCCTCCCGAGAAGCTGGGATTACAGGTGCCCACCACCATGCCCGGCTAATTTTTTTGTATTTTTAATGGAGACAGGGTTTCATCGTGTTAGCCAGGATGGTCTCGATCTCCTGACCTGATGATCCGCCCACCTCAGCCTCCCAAAGTGCTGGGATTACAGGCGTAAGCCATCGCATCCAGCCATAATTTTCAAATATATCACATATTAGTAATACCTTTAAAATTGGCTGGTAAGCCAAACAAAGGGCTATTACTTGCTTTCCCCAAATGATTAGTGTTCAGAGAATACAGTGACAGTGATCACTATGGATAATGAAAATATAAGTCCTATTTATAAAACATATATATGCACTAGTTTGTTTGTTTGTTGAGAATGTAGAGAAGGGGCTCGTTTATTAGACATAAGTAGAAAGAAGAAAACAGCCAGGGAAGAGGAAATGTCAATGAAATAGAAATGTCAGCAGGAAACAGGACGTCAGAGAGGTCAGAAGCACAAAGAATTTGCAAATTTCTTGGTGAAGGCATTGATCTTCCCACAGGACTTTGGCTAGGGAAGTGAGGACTTTATTTGAATCTCAAAGGAAAAGGCGACCTCATCTGATGTGGGGATTTCATTTAGCTTTGGGGACCATCCATAAGCACCATCCATAAGCACTGGAGGATGAAAAGAGAGCATAGTTAAATCCTGGTGCCATAGAACCAGCACTACATTTGCGAATTTGGAGATTTGGGCACTAATCTGCAAATACTGTGGCTGAGCTCTCTGAATGATAGGTTCACAAGCAACTCAATCTGCTTTCTTAGGTTAGGAAAGAGAAAAGAGCCCACGTGCTAGAGTCTTTGAGGAAACTCCAGGCATGTCAATTTGGAACAATTTTTGTTTTGTTTTGAGAGTTGTAACACTAGTATTCCAGTGCAACTCTGAGGGTGTCCAATTTTCTTTTTTTTCATTTCTTAATATAGTAATATTCCTTTTATTTGCCTGTTCAGTGAGTCACTTCATCAGACCTTTAGTACAGCTACCTCTCTAGTGTTTGTTGTTGTTTTTTTTTTTCCCCTGCCAGTAAATTCATTTCAACCTTCAGCCACTCTACGATGGCTCTTCCACTGGGTAAGGCTCATCCTAGGAATGTTCTTTAGTTTTTCATACTGACCAAACTCTGTAGAATAACACAAAACTGGTCTCTGCCTTCTGAGGGTTGAATCAGGGGCTGTTCAGCCTTTCTGCACTCTCTCTTTGGTTTTTCCTTTAGATTACCTTTTTCTGTTTGTTTCACATTCTGCAGTACAACCCCTTCTTGTATTTTTATTTTTTTAATTTTTCACATCCTCAGTTTTCTCCTCCCCCCATTCCCAACCCAGTGATTAGTTTACAGCTTTTACAATTTTTTTCCCACAACATCCGTCCAGTGTTTCCAAGCTTTTACAATTTCTTAACTACTTTCTATTCTCCAGGAATTGAGGCAGAATGGAAGAAAATTAAAAGGTAACTTAAAATTTTTTTAACTGATTTAAGTTGTAGCATATAATTTAGGTTGGTTGGACCTATGTATGTATGTATGTATTTATTTATTGTTAGGAGGCAGCATAATGGTTAGGGCAGGGCAATCTAAGTTTCAGGTTCTGCCACATGCTGGATGAGCTATTTATAACAATTTAGCTAACTTCTATTAACCTCAGTTTTTCCCTCTATAAATTAGTATCTATATTTTAGAACTGTTATGAGGATTTAATCAGATAATAGTTTGAGTGGGAGCAACATTGTTGAGACATGCTTGTCATTATGTACTATGGTTACTACTTCTACTACTACTATTGCTATTAGAATGTTTGGAAGCTATGTTACTGCTTCTTTTTAAAGGTTTCCCATTTTCTGGGAGTATGCTTTTTACTATAACAATTCCATTTTCTGGTCTTTAAATTTGCTGCAAAGTGTATGTGTGGTTTGCTTTGACTGAAAACATAGGCATTCAAGTGGAAAAAGGTGAGCGCCATAAATTTTACTATGTTCGATATAGGTTTCTGAGTTGCTGTGCTGTTGAAATAGGACACACTTATGCCAAGATGTAAACTACTTCAACTCTCAGAGTATCTGGGGAGAGCTTACCATAGCTTCAGCCCCAAACCTGGTTATCTCTGATCATAAGCAGCCTTGTCTCTTTACCGCCCCCTACCATTTCTATATATGCCAAGACATGGAAGTTGGGAGGCACTGAATCAATGAAACTGCCAACAGAAGGTACATTCTGGTAGATCCTTTGCCTGTAACTACTGTGTAGAAACATAGAAACACACATACATGTATTTGCTTTAAGAATACCTTTTATTTATTTATTTTTTTCAAGTGAGGAATGATGTAAGAAGTAGATAGCATTAGACTAAGAGTACTAAGACTTGTGAAGTCAAATCTTTCTACTCCACTGTGAGAAAGAGGACAATTGTTTTTGCTTTTCTTTAATTTGTTCAAACATGATTGGATATGAAAATTAAACAGCATAATATTTTAGAGAATAATTGTAGACTACCTGTCAGAGGAATCTAATTTCTGAGTCTATGAGATAGTTAAGTGATTATTAGACTTAATGTGTTAATAATAGCATGTTTCAGATTTTCATTAGGTTCACTGGATTCACTGGACTATATTAAGTGCTTAATAAATGCTCCTTAAAAGAATGTCTACCTTGTGAAGATGCATTGACCGATCCTTAGAGAAATGAGATGAGTAGGCAATGTATAGGGTATGGATTTAAGTTTTGTTAATATAAATTTAATGTCAAAATAATTATTCTGGGATAGTCTATGCTCTCTCGTAAAATGTCTGTAGCAACTAGAGAAGCATAATTCTGAGTTGAATGGATTACATATTATATTTTTTTGCAAAGCATCACCTGAACTAAATTTATGTAAAGTTTATTTGCCATCTCATAGAAACCAGTCTATCTTTATGTTTGAGAATTACAAGTTACTGTCATTCTACAGTGGAATTTTGCAGGGATCATTATGTGCTTTATGAATAATCCAGGATACTTTTCATTCTGTCTTGTCTTGTGCTTAAGCATCTCACGTCTGCATTTCCACTATTGTGCAGCCCTCTGTTTACGGTACATGTGTCTACATCTTGGTCTCCTTTTATTTAAATACTTTGCTAGGGTTGATTAACCACAAGCTATGTAAGGAGTAAAAAAAAAAAAAAAAAAGAAAGAAAGAAAAAGAAATATCATCATACAGAATTATTGTCAATAATGGCTGACACAGGTTGAATAATAAAAGTTAAATAGAGAATATATCAAGTTAATGTATGGTATAATCCCAAACTCTTTGGAAGGTTCAGTTTATTGTGAAGTTAGGAGAAGCAAGCATAGATTTCAAAGGCTAGTTATTTTTGAATCCCTGAAGGGCAAGATAACCTTTACATAAATGCAACCTACTGAGAGACTAAGGTGAAATTTTAGTACATCTGTGTAATTTTCTTTATAATGCTGGTATAACATTCCACATTCTTTTTAATAAGTATATAAAAGTATAGATCCAGGAAAAAATATGTCATTTTCTGCTATTGGGAGGTAGTAGGAAATAAAGTACATTATAAAGTATTATTTATAAAACCATGTCTAGAGACAGAAAACATTCTAAATCACTAACACTGATTATGTGTCACTCACAAAAGCTCACCGAATATTAGAACTGGCAGCAAACCTGTTAAAGTTCTAAAGAAGTAGTTAGAAGGAAATAAAAGGATATATTATTTTACTCAGTGGAGAATAAACATAAAGAAACAATTAACTTATACATTTAAGTAGTCATAATAAGTTATTATGGGAAGTAAGAGGTGCTTGGGACCTATACCTTAATATTTTGAGTTTGATCAATTTCAGGGCAACCAAGCGTTCCCATATCTCTACGTATCATTTTTGAGAGGTATTAAAAGACTGAATTGAATGGGATTTGCATATTCTCCAGGTATCAATCATGGCAGTAGCAGTAGAGGCAGCAGTGGCAAAGGCTGTTTCAAAGGGACAGTGAGAAAGGGATACCTGTGGTGTCTTTGCTCAGTTTGGAAGATGCTAAAGATAATCTAGGCACAGCCTTTCTCAGTTGAGTCACCACATTCTGGAATTATGTCTCTTAACTTTCCAGAAACTGACCTATGTTCTCAATGCATTCGGTGATTAGCTCATACTCATTAAGCTCAGACTGGTATATAAACCAGAAACACTAAAGTATCAATTAGAATTCTTTCTAATGATTAGAATTATTATATGCAGTCAAGAACAAACTATATTATCCTGCTACCAAGCTATGTACCAAACTACATTGTTCATGAGGAAGCTACTTTGATGTTATAATAATTGTGGAATAATAAAGGTGACATTTCATAAGAAATTATTGCTTAATCACAATGGAGACCTGGAGACATCAGCCTCTCCAAATCCTATATCTTCTCCCTTCAACAGTGTTGGATGCTTGAAAAAAGAGTGTTTCCCCAGATCATATGGATCAATCTTTCTATTTTGTCTGATCCTTTTTGTTGGTTCATATCATGTTAGTATCAAAATTAGTTGGAGACTGTTCTTACCAGACTACAACTTAATGGTTTCTTTCACTTTCTCAATTAGTTTAGCCCGTTAAGTTCTTAAAGGTGTTAATTGTTCAAATCTCAGCTAGCATGTTATTTGAGGTTCCAGACTCACTGACCGTGCTTGCTCCTATGAAAGGAGCTTTAGCCGTGATGTGTGTGTGCCTTAGAATGACTATCCCAGCATGTTAGCTCTATTTCTCTAGCTTCAAATGAGATTCCAGCCAATGGATAACAGAGATATAGAGTTCTGGATGATGTAGGTGGAGAGGAGGACTTTTCCATGGACTTCTTACTTACTTATTTTCTTACATGGAAAATAACTAAGCATGTGATGCTAGAGCACTTCCCCGAGATTTCATGAAGATTTTCCTGACAAAAAGTAAAAACACTAATAACTAAGAATTATGAAATACCCACTTTGAGTCAGTTGCCATTACTTGGTAGTTGGCCTACAGTTTCTAATTTGATCATGAAAACAATTAAATGTGATAAATATTATTAAAATCATTTTGAATTTAAAAAATTGAAGCTCAGAGAAACTTAGGTAAATAGTTAAAATTACTAAACTCAGTAAGTAAGAGACCTGGTATTCAACTCATGTCTGTTTAGCTCTAAAGCACGGTACTCTAATCAATCTGCGCACTGCCTTCAAGACAGTTGCCTAATAAGGCACTTCTGAAGCCAGCTGAAGGCTGCCTTGTTTTGTCTGCTCCATGCCACACTCTTTACCTGATAACTTGATTATAGTCTGATATTAGATATCATTTTCAGTAGATAGGGCTACCAAGGTCTTATTAAAAATAAAAATGGAAACCTCAACAGCACTTAGTATGTCTTCTAACACATCAATTACTTGTCTTATTTTTTTCTAGTCACCAGTCCCCTCAAATGATCTATCTGGAGAGTTGCTGTCTAATGAGGTTTTTGGTCTCTGAGCATATTCTCATTGATTTTGAACTATTAGACAACAATGATTTCAGTCACAATAAAAAGCTCTTGGCCCGTTGCCTTTTATCAAATTGCTACTATCAGTAGATTCAGATATTAGTGTACTTACAGAAACAGTTCCGCAGGTGGACTTTGTTTTGTTTTAAAGCTTGATTTCTATTTTAAATACCATGGGATTGACTACAGGATAAAGGCACTTCATAACATTTTCTTTATTCTAAATTAAATGATGACTTATGTTTATGTGAATGACCTATCACAGTCCATGAAGGTTGACAGCTGTGGGCTCTGCATATATGACACACAGTGGGTTATGTCCAGTTCTTACTGCTGTGACTATAACTGAATCCCCTTTTTTTCCAATTAATTAACTCACCATAACTAATTCAGTAGGAAAACACCGAATTAAGGTATAGTATATAAACCTAGAAGCTGGATTTTAGAACCATCGGATAAGAGAATATAGCTGTGGTATTTTGTTGGCAATATTAGTACTGAGGGTTTTTATCAAACTAACAGATACTCTCTAAATTTATCACATGATATAAATGCATATCATCTTCAAATTGGCCTGTCCTTGTAATCATCTGGGATTTTTAAATTGTCCCTTCTTTTATATCATATAGCAATGACTCTACTTTTTAAAGGATCAGGAAGCCTTTAAAATGTAGGATGCTTCTGCTTAAAAACAGTGATCTTTAATTTTTTTAAAAAAATTTGATTTATGTGAGTACATAGATACATAGTAGATATATATATTTATGGAGTGCAGGAGATGTTTTGATACAGGCATGCAATGCATAGTAATGACATCATGGAAAATGGGGCTTCTGTTCCATCAAGGATTTATCCTTTGCTTTACAAACAGTCCAATTATACCCTTTTACTTATTTAAAAAGAACAATTAAACTATTATTGCCTATAGTCACCTGTTGCACTATCAAATACTGGGTCTTATTAATTCTTTCTTTTTTTTTTTTCTGTTTGCACCCATTAACCATTCCCACCTCCTCACTACCCTCCCCCTACTACCCTTCCCTGCCTCTAGTAACCATCCTCCCACTCTATATGTATATGAGTTCAATTGTTTTGGTTTTTAAATTTCACAAATAAGTGAACATATCGAGTGTTTGTCTTTTTGGGCCTAGCTTATGTCACTTAGCCAGGAACCTTCTTGCAAACGACAGGATCTCATTCTTTTTTATGGCTGAATAGTACTCCACTCTGTATATGTTCTATATTTTCTTTATCCACTCATCCATTGATGGACATAGGGTGCTTCCAAATCTTTGCTATTGTGAACAGCTGCAACAAACATGAGAGTGCAGCTATCTCTTCGATATACTGATTTCCTTTTTTTTTCTTTTGGTTATATATCCAGTAGTGGAATTGCTGTATCATATGGTTTTAGTTTTTAGATTTTTTGGTTTTTTGAGGAATGTCCAAACTATCCATAGTGATTGTGCTAATTTACACTCCTACCAACAGTGCACAAGGGTTCTCTTTTCTCCACATCCTCATCAGCATTTGTTATTGCCTATCTTTTGGATATAAGCCACTTTAACTGGGTTGAGATGCTATCTTATCGGAGTTTTGGCTTGCATTTCTCTGATGATCAATGTCGAACACCATTTCGTATGCCTATTTGCCATTTATATGTCTTCTTTTGAGAAATGTCTATTCAGATCTTTTGTTCATTTTTAAAGTGGATTTTTATGTTTTTTTCTATAGAGTTGTTTGACCTCCTTATATATTTCTGGTTATTGTTTCCTTGTCAGATGGGTAGTTCGCATGTTTCTTCTCCCATTCTGTGGGTTGTCTCTTTACTGCATTGATTGTTTCTTTTGCTATGCAGAAGCTTTTTAACTTAATGTGATCCCATTTGTCCAGTTATTTTCCTTACTTGTCTGTGCTTGTGAGTATTCCTGAAGAAATGTTTGCCCAGACCAATATCCTAGGTTTCCTCAATGTTTTCTTGTAATAGTTTCATGGTTTGAGGTCTAATATTTAAGTCTTTAATTCATTTTGACTTTATTTTTGCATGTGGTGAGAGATAATGTTCTACTTTTATTCTGCATATGTATGTCCAGTTTTTCTACCATCACTTGTTGAAGAGACTGTCTTTTCCCAAGTGTGTTCTTGGCATCTTTGTTAAAAATGAGTTCACTGTGAGCGTGTAAATTTGTTTCTGGGGTCTTCTATTCTGTTCCGTTGGTCTATGTGTCTGTTTTTATGCCAGTAGCATGCTTTTTTGGTTAAGTACAGCTCTGTAGAATAATTTGAAGTCAGGTCATGTGATTTTTCCTGTTTTATCCTTTTTGCTTAAAATAGCTGTGGCTCTTCTGGGTCTTTTGTGATTCCATATAAATTTCAGGATCATTTTTTTCTCTTTCTTTGAAGAAGGTTTTGATATTTTGATAGAAATTACATTAAATCTGTAGATTGCTTTGGGAAATATGGAGATTTTATCAATATTGATTCTTCTAACATATGAACATGAAATATCTTTCTATCGTTTGGTGTCCTCTTCAATTTCTTTCATCAGTGTTTTATAGTTTTCATTATTGAGCTATTTCACTTTTTTCAGTAATTCCTAGGTATTTAAGACCAGTGATCTTTTGTTAATTTATTCATCATATATATGTATATTAGTGGGTATGACCTTCAGTAATTTATGTTAGGGAAAACACGTCAAGAAACAAAATCTGCCTTGAATTTAACAATAATTTAAAATGGTTTTATATTCTAACGGTCACACCAGCTGTTTGTTCTGTAGTTGAAAGATAATAGGTCATATATGCCAGATTGATTTCTCTCTATACCCCTATAATAAGCAGAAGGAGTCATAAGCCACTTGTCATATCTTATGCCCCATGTGTGTCTTCTTTAATCATGTCTAAGTTTCCCATTCCACAATGCATTTTTGTGATAACAGAATTAAGGTAGTAGATTTTTCACTATTTTTTTAAGAAAGTAGAAATCACTTAAGACTAGTCACAATGTAAGCATACATTCAAAGTTGTCTGCTTTAATCATTATCTAAATAACTCTTGCCCCAAAAAACTTAAAAATAATTGTCATGCTTGTTTCAAAGTCAACTTTCTTTGTGTTTCTTGTTAAACTATGACAATATTGCTATTTTTGATCCTCGAAATGTATGAAATAAAATCCAGCAGGGTAGAATTAAGATGGTATTGATTATGGACAATGGTCACAAGGCCAATAGTTTGAATAAAACCTGACCAACACAATTCTAAAAATTAGTTATCTCACAGTTTAAAAGTTTTAGCAGAATATGTTTACTGAAATTTGGGGTTTTTTAAGGACACTTTTTTTTTCACTTTTTCAAAAGGGAAACTTTTTTTCTCAGTTTTCACAATGAACTTTACAGTATATTGAAGATATTTAATATGTGTTCACATATCTGAGTAAAAGTGTATGTTAATTTTTATAAAACATTTATATTTTTATATGCACACACATACACACACACACACACATATATAACATTTAAATGTAAGGAAATGCTTTAGCTAGCTAAAAAAAAAAACAGAGTATTATAAATACAGAGCATATGTGAGAATGAATTTCATGGGAACTTGTAAGGACTAAACCTTCCAGAATGGAGACAAGAAGAACATTCTGGAACTGAGAACAGTTCTTAAGATCTCCACAGCCCCTCCAGGACACATGGTTATTTAGTCTCATGCTTCACTATTAATGGAACGCTGGTAAAAATCACACTTGCTTTCCTTCTCTCCACTGCCAATGACTGACTCCTTATGCATAGTTTCCTTTTGCACATCACTGTGTCTTGCCCATAACCCTGATTTTGACTGTGTAAACTTTCTTGCCGCATCTTTATCTCTTGGTATATCTTATTTAAATTTCCGATAATAACTGAAAAATCTCCATGATATTGCTGACTGCAAATATGTGTGAAATCAGGTCAGATTAGATTTTCCTACAAAGTGAAAGTCCTTAGGCAAGAATCAAAAGTCAATTGCTCAATCTATGTTGGGTCTCCTCTAGTTAGAGGCCCTCCTCTTGTACATTCAGCTACAGCAATGGTATATTGGGCTATGTGAATGTTTCCTTTCACTAGTGACTTTCTTGGGGCCAGTTTTCTGTAGTAGGTGATGTGAGTGGTACAGGCTTTTAACAGCTTTAATTTAGTATTATTTCAGTGCATAAAAACTGTCGGAGGATACTTCTTTAAAACCTCTGAGGCCGGGCGCGGTGGCTCACGCCTGTAATCCTAGCACTTTGGGAGGCTGAGGCAAGCAGATCATGAGGTCAGGAGATCGAGACCATCCTGGCTAACATGGTGAAACCCTGTCTCTACTAAAAATACAAAACAAAATTAGCCGAGCGTGGTGGCAGGCGCCTGTAGTCCCAGCTACTCGGGAGACTGAGGCAGGAGAATGGCGTGAACCTGGGAGGTGGAGCTTGCAGTGAGCCGAGATTGCGCCACTGCACTCCAGCCTGGGCGACAGAGTGAGACTCCGTCTCAACAAAAATTTGGAAGGAAAACTAACCAACAGGAAGGACATCCACACCAAAACCCCATCTGTACGTCACCATCATCAAAGACCAAAGGTAGATAAAACCATGAAGATGGGGAAAAAACAGAGCAGAAAAACTGAAAATTCTAAAAATCAGCGTGCCTCTCCTCCTCTAAAGGAACGTAGCTCCTCACCAGCAACAGAACAAAGCTGGATGGAGAATGACTTTGACGAGTTGAGAGAAGAAGGCTTCAGATGATCAAACTACTCCAAGCTAAAGGAGGAAGTTCGAACCCATGGCAAAGAAGTTAAAAACCTTGAATAAAGATTAGACGAATCGCTAACTAGAATAACCAATGCAGAGAAGTCCTTAAAGGACCTGATGGAGCTGAAAACCATGGCACGAGAACTACGTGACGAATGCACAAGCCTCAGTAGCCGATTCGATCAACTGGAAGAAAGGGTATCAATGATGGAAGATCAAATGAATGAAATAAAGTGAGAAGAGAAGTTTAGAGAAAAAACAATTAAAAAAAAAAAAAAGAACAAGGCCTCCAAGAAATATGGGACTGTGTGAAAAGACCAAATCTACATATGATTGGTGTACCTGAAAGTAACGGGGAGAATGGAACCAAGTTGGAAAACACTCTGCAGGATATTATCCAGGAGAAATTCCCCAATCTAGCAAGGCAGGCCAACATTCAACTTAAGGAAATACAAAGAACGCCACAAAGATACTCCTCGAGAAGAGCAACTCCAAGACACATAATTGTCAGATTCACCAAAGTTGAAATGAAGGAAAAAATGTTACGGGCAGCCACAGAGAAAGGTCGGGTTACCCACAAAGGAAAGTCCATCAGACTAACAGCTGATCTCTTGGCAGAAACTCTACAAGCCAGAAGAGAGTGGGGGCCACTAGTCAACATTCTTAAAGAAAAGAATTTTCAACCCAGAATTTCATATCCAGCCAAACTAAGCTTCATAAGTGAAGGAGAAATAAAATCCTTTACAGACAAGCAAATGCTGAGAGATTTTGTCACCACCAGGCCTGCCCTACAAGAGCTCCTGAAGGAAGCACTAAACATGGAAAGGAACAACCGGTACCAGCCACTGCAAAAACATGCCAAATTGTAAAGACCATCAAGGCTAGGAAGAAACTGCATCAACTAACGAGCAAAATAACCAGCTAACATCATAATGACAGGATCAAATTCACACATAACCATATTAACCTTAAATGTAAATAGGCTAAATGCTCCAATTAAAAGACACAGACTGGCAAATTGGATAAACAGTCAAGACCCATCAGTGTGCTATATTCAGGAGACCCACCTCACATGCAGAGACACACATAGGCTCAAAATAAAGGGATGGAGGAAGATCTACCAAGCAAATGGAAAACAAAAGAAGGCAGGGGTTGCAATCCTAGTCTCTGATAAAACAGACTTTAAACCAACAAAGATCAAAAGAGACAAAGAAGGCCATTACATAATGGTAAAGGGATCAGTTCAACAAGAAGAGCTAACTATCCTAAATATATATGCACCCAGCACAGGAGCACCCAGATTCATAAAGCAAGTCCTTAGAGACCTACAAAGAGACTTAGACTCCCACACAATAATAATGGGAGACTTTAACACCCCACTGTCAACATTAGACAGATCAATGAGACAGAAAGTTAACAAGGATACCCAGGAATTGAACTCAGCTCTACACCAAGCGCACCTAATAGACATCTACAGAACTCTCCACCCCAAATCAACAGAATATACATTCTTCTCAGTACCACACCACACCTATTCCAAAATTGACCACATAGTTGGAAGTAAAGCACTGCTCAGCAAATGTAAAAGAACAGAAATTATAACAAACTGTCTCTCAGACCACAGTGCAATGAAACTAGAACTCAGGATTAAGAAACTCACTCAAAACCGCTCAACTACATGGAAACTGAACAACCTGCTCCTGAGTGGCTACTGGGTACATAATGAAATGAAGGCAGAAATAAAGATGTTCTTTGAAACCAACGAGAACAAAGACACAACATACCAGAATCTCTGGGACACATTTAAAGCAGTGTGCAGAAGGAAATTTATAGCACTAAATGCCCACAAGAGAAAGCAGGAAAGAGCTAAAATTGACACCTTAACATCACAATTCAAAGAACTAGAGAAGCAAGAGCAAACACATTCAAAAGCTAGCAGAAGGCAAGAAATAACTAAGATCAGAGCAGAACTGAAGGAAATAGAGATACAAAAAACCCTTCAAAAAATCAATGAATCCAGGAGCTGGTTTTTTGAAAAGAGCAACAAAATTGATAGACTGCTAGCAAGACTAATAAAGAAGAAAAGAGTGAAGGATCAAATAGATGCAATAAGAAATGATAAAGGGGATATCACCGCCGATCCCACAGAAATACAAACTACCATCAGAGAATACTATAAACACCTCTACGCAAATATACTAGAAAAGCTAGAAGAAATGGGTAAATTCCTCGACACATACCCCCTCCCAAGACTAAACCAGGAAGCAGTTGAATCTCTGAATAGACCAATAACAGGCTCTGAAATTGTGGCAATAATTAATAGCTTATCAACTAAAAAAAGTCCAGGACCAGACGGATTCACAGTGAAATTCTACCAGAGGTACAAGGAGGAGCTGGTACCATTCCTTCTGAAACTATTCCAATCAATATAAAAATAGGGAAACCTCCCTAACTCATTTTATGAGGCCAGCATCATCCTGATAACAAAGCGTGACAGGGACACAACAAAAAAAGAGAATTTTAGACCAATATCCCTGATGAACATCGATGCAGAAATCCTCAATTAAATACTGGCAAAAAGAATCCAGCAGCACATCAAAACTTATCCACCATAATCCAGTGGGCTTCATCCCTGGGATGCAAGGCTGGTTCAACATATGCAAATCAATAAACGTAATCCAGTATATATACAGAACCAACGACAAAAGCCACGTGATTATCTCAATAGATGCAGAAAAGGCCTTTGACAAAATTCAACAACCTTCATGCTAAAAACTCTCAATAAATTAGTTATTGATGGGTTGTATCTCAAAATAATTAGAGCTATCTATGACAAACCCACAGCCAATATCATATTGAATGGGCAAAAACTGGAAACATTCCCTTTGAAAACTGGCACAAGACAGGGATGCTCTCTCTCACCATTCCTTTTCAACATAGTGTTGGAAGTTCTGGCCAGGGCAATCAGGCAGCAGAAAGAAATAAAGGGTATTCAATTAGGAAAAGAGGAAGTCAAATTGTCCCTGTTTGCAGATGACTTGATTGTATATCTAGAAAACCCCATTGTCTCAGCCCAAAATCTCCTTAAGCTGATAAGCAACTTCAGCAAAGTCTCAGGATTCAAAATCAATGTGCAAAAATCACAAGCATTCTTATACACCAATAACAGATAAACAGAGAACCAAATCATGAGTGAACTCCCATTCACAATTGCTTCAAAGAGAATAAAATACTTAGGAATCCAACTTACAAGTGATGTGAAGGACCTCTTCAAGGAGAATTACAAAACACTGCTCAACGAAATAAAAGAGGATACAAAGAAATGGAAGAACATTCCATGCTCATGGATAGGAAGAATTAATATCATGAAAATGGCCATACTTCCCAAGGTAATTTATAGATTCAATGCCATCCCCATCAAGTTATCAATGACTTTTTTCACAGAATTGGCAAAACTACTTTAAAGTTCATATGCAACCAAAAAAGAGCCCGCATCGCCAAGTCAATCCTAAGCCAAAAGAACAAAGCTGGAGGCATCACGCTACCTGATTTCAAACTATACTACAAGGCTACAGTAACCAAAACAGGATGGTACTGGTACCAAAACAGAGATATAGACCAATGGAACAGAACAGAGCCCTGAAAAATAATGCCACATATCTACAACCATCTGATCTTTGACAAACCTGACAAAAACAAGAAATGGGGAAAGGATTGCCTATTTAATAAATGGTGCTGGGAAAACTGGCTAGCCATATGTAGAAAGCTGAAACTGGATCCCTTCCTTACACCTTATACAAATATTAATTCAAGATGGATTAAAGACTTAAATGTTAGACCTAAAACCATAAAAACCCTAGAAGAAAACCTAAGGAATACCATTCAGGACATAGGCATGGGCAAGGACCTCATGTCTAAAACACCAAAAGCAGTGGCAACAAAAGCCAAAATTGATAAATGGGATCTAATTAAACTACAGAGCTTCTGCACAGCAAAAGAAACTAACATCAGAGTGAACAGGCAACCTACAGAATGGGAGAAAATTTTCGCAATCTACTCATCTGACAAAGCACTAATATCCAGAATCTACAAAGAAGTCAAACAAATTTATAAGAAAAAAACAACCCCATCAACAAGTGGGCAAAGGATATGAACAGACACTTCTCAAAAGAAGACATTTATGCAGCCAACAGACACAATGAAAATATGCTTATCCTCACTGGCCATCAGAGAAATGCAAATCAAAACCACAATGAGATACCATCTCACACCAGTTAGAATGGCAATCATTAAAAAGTCAGGCAACAACAGGTGCTGGAGACGATGTGGAGAAACAGGAACACTTTTACACTGTTGGTGGGACTATAAACTAGTTCAACCATTGTGGAAGTCAGTGTGGCGATTCCTCCGGGATCTAGAACTAGAAATACCATTTGTCCCCGCCATCCCATTACTGGGTATATACCCAAAGGATTATAAAACATGCTGCTATAAAGACATATGCACACGTATGTTTATTGTGGCACTATTCACAATAGCAAAGACTTGAAACCAACCCAAATGTCCATCAACGATAGACTGGATTAAGAAAATGTGGCATATATACACCATGGATACTACGCAGCCATAAAAAATAATGAGTTCATGTCCTTTGTAGGGACATGGATGAAGCTGGAAATCATCATTCTGAGCAAACCATCACGAGGACAGAAAACCAAAGACTGCATGTTCTCACTCATAGGTGGGAAGTGAACAATGAGAACACTTGGACACAGGAAGGGGAACATCACACACTGGGGCCTGTTGTGGGGTGGGGAGAGTGGGGAGGGATAGCATTAGGAGATATATCTAATGTTAAATGACGAGTTACTGGGTGCTACACACCAACATGGCACATGTATACATATTTAACAAACCTGTACGTTGTGCACATGTACCCTAAAACTTAAAGTATAATAAAACAAACAAACAGACAAACAAAAAACCTCTGAACTCTTTTTTAAAGAGAATCATCTGAATTGGATCATATTAAAACTAATATATGTTGGTGTCTTATTTTATGGTTCTGTTACATTTATCCCTATGAAATAATTTTTTGTCATAATATTTTTTTACTTTTACTTATGACTTTTAAACCCAAATTAAACCTTATTTAGTAATTAATTATAAATAAATTTCATAATATGAATTCCAGATGTTGATAGCTTCTGTCTTGTTTTAACCTCCATGTGCTGATTCCCCCATCTCTTCCTCTTCTTTTCAAAATACCACATCTAAAATGTTATTTTCCCTGTCTCCTGTTTCCCCCTGTTCTCTGAATACTCTCTACACTTTTCCATGCCATTTTCTTTAATTTCACTGTATCTTATAAGTTAAGCTAACTTTTACTACTGTCATCATGATACCACCCATCATTAAATTTTTATATCAAATATCATATTGTTTCAGGGCAACTTCTTAATATCACAGTTAGGGTAGAAGTCTACCTCCTTTGTGCTTCCTTATCATATTTGTCTTTCTAATGTTACTCACTGCATTTTGCCATTAATTACAGCTACTCTAATAAAAAGGCTCTTTTGGTTATAAGTGACAGTTAATCCAACAGGTGTAGAATAAGAACAGCAAAATTTATATATTGGATGCACAACTGAAAGTTTCAAGAGTGAATGAGTCCAGATTCTCCAAAATGTCATCAAGAAGCTATTTCTTATCATCATATTTTGCTTTGCTTTTCTAGTGCTGGTTCCTTTGTGAGGCATGCTCTTCCTTCTGGGTGTTCCATCTGTACCTCCAGGCTTACAGCCACACATGGTAATTTCCCATCTCTAATGTTTCAACTAGAATCTCAGAATTATTATCTCTCCTTGTGGTACAGCACACATCGTAAACCTTTTATTGGGGCAAAAGGGTTGAAAAGAGTGATTTTTCTATTCACAGACTCTGTGTTTGTTCCAGAAGTCAGAGGAAAAGATTAACTCCTCCCATGTTACTTTGGTTGAAAGTAGGGAGGCCGGGTGCGGTGGCTCATGCCTGTAATCCTAGCACTTCGGGAGGCCAAGGTGGGCAGATCACTTGAGGTCAACAGTTTGAGACCAGCCTGGCCAAAATGATGGAACCCCGTTTCTACCAAAAATACAAAAGTTAGCCAGGTGTGCTGACAGACACCTGTAATCCCAGCTACTCGGGAGGCTGAGGCACGAGAATTGCTTGAACTCGGAAGGCGGTGGTTGCAGTGAGCTGAGATTGTGCCACTGCACTCCAGCCTGGGTTACAGAGTGAAACTCCATTTCAAAAAAAAAAAAAAAAAAGAAAAAAAGAAAAGAAAGAAAGTGTGGGGGGAGGGGAGTTGGTTCTAAAGGGACAATCAAGATTCTGTTTCGTAAAGGAAGGATGGGGAAAAGGTATGTTTATATTATATGTAATAAACATAAAAGAGATTGTCTGCATGGACCTCTAGAGAACTTATGCAACTTATAGTAAATTTAAATGCTCATTAGATAGTTACACAACATTCCCTCAGTTGTGTATATAATATTTTAAATGTAAGGAAAATCACTAGCTAGTTTAAGAAAACCAGCGTATTATAAAAACAAGTGGAACATATGTGAGAGTAAATTTCATGGGAACTAGTAAGACCTAAATGTAATTCCATGGGGCTAAAACTGGATTTTGATGTTGTTCTTTGTACATTTGCTTTTATTTAGAGAATAATCTCTGCAGTCACCACTGCCCCTCTCATTTAATTGTGCCTCTTTCTTGTTCTTATCCAGAGCCCTTGGTCTCTGCTTAACAAACCACGCTCTAAGAAAAGGTAGGAGACCTACTCACAGGAAGCTATGACAGAGTAATAGCGGCTTAAAATATGTCCTCTCTTTGGAGTGTGTGCCTATAAAACAAAATCGAAATTTTGAGGCAAAATTCTAAACTATTTACTCATTCAAGAAATATTCATTGACTACGCATTGTGTTCCAGGCTTTGGGGCTGTCAGCTGCCTGGTACTACACTACAAAGAAATTAAGTTCCTAGGTGAGATGTTAGGCTAAGCCAACAGAGAAAAGTGTATTATTAGTTTATTGTTGGAAGGAGCGTCACAGTACTGTGATCCATGTGAAGGTCTCAGTCCTATTAATATAGTAGAGGAAGTAGGGCAGGCCTGTCATGAACATCTCAATTTTTCAAATGAATGTGGTTTTTGTTTGTTTGTTTGCTTATTAAAGTACATGTTACTGAAAAGACACATAAATTATTTAAGTGCAATTTGAGAGCTTTTACCTCAAAATCACCTAATTTCTTTAATTATTAATGTCTCTTTTATGTAAAACCTCTTCTTATAATGTGTGAATTTATTATTTTTGCTTATTTTTTTGGAAATTTATTCAGCACACCACATATATCTGGAGCTAGGGCTTTACACTTGCATCTCGGTTTCACCTTTCATTTCTGGAAAAGGTATTCTCTGGAATAAAGGCAGCTTCTCTTTCCCCTTCTGTGATAGTTAATACTGAGTGTCAACTTGACTGAATTGAGGGATACAAAGTATTAATCCTGAGTGTGTCTGTATGGGTATCGCCAAAAGTGATTCACATTTGAGTCAGTGGGCTGGGGAAGGCAGATCCACCCTTAATCTGGTGGGCACAATCTAGTCAGCTTCCAGAGAATAAAAAGCAGGCAGAAAAACATGAAAAGGAGAGAGATGGGCCTAGCCTCCTAGTCTACATCTTTCTCCTATGCTGGATGCTTCCTGCCCTTGAACACTGGACTCCACATTCTTCAGTTTTGTGACTTGGGCTGGCTCTCGGGCTGGCTGTCCTTGTTCCTCAGCTTGCAGACAACCTATTTTGGGACCTTGTGAGCATATAAGTTAATACCTAATCAACTCCTCTCTCTCTCTCTCTCTCTCTCTCTCTCTCTACATATATATATATATATATATATAAAAAATATATATAGATTTATATATATAATATATAATATATATAGATCATCTATATAAATCTATATAATATAAATCGATATATAATATATAAATCTATATATATAGATCTATATATAAATATATAGATCTATATATAGATCTATATATAAATATATAGATCTATATAAATATATTTTTATATAGATATTTTATATAGATAAAATATCTATGTAAATATATATAAAAATATATAAATATATAGATAATATATTTATCTACATATTTACATATATCGACATATATAGTATATCGAGATATATATTATATATTGAGATATATGTTATATATTATATATCGAGAGAGAGAGAATTAGTTCTGTCTCTCTAAGAGAACCCTGACTAATCCACCTGAAAACCCCCGTTTTTGCTTATTTTATGAATATCCTCTTGTTCTTTCTCTCATCTGGATAGTGTGAGACTGGGTAGGTATAACCTTGGAACCCACTCTTTGGCTTCTCCCTACAAGCCAATAGTTGCAGTTTCCCTGCCCACAGGATATGTGTGTTTGTGTGTGGTCATAAAGTCAAGGCTTTTCCTTTCCATTTTTATATTTGATTGCTCTCTCCCACTTTAACGTATGCAATTCTGTCTTCATTATAGATTCTTAACACTTCCTTGAGTTTGCCATGTGATTAAATATCAACTATGCATTGAACGTGTTTGCTCTTCTACTTCTTCCCCACTTGATTAACTCCTATTAAGACACCAGTCACACTCCACTATGTGTCACCTTCTGCCTATCTCTAAAGATAGCCATTTTCTGCACTCCCTCCTGCAACACTGGATGTTGACATCTATTTGCCACCCTTGGCTCTAACTAAATCTGTTTACCAAACCTATGATCTTTAGGAATGTATAGACTCTGTCTTATTATCAGTTTATTTTCAACAATTAAAAATTGCCTGGTTCATAGTAGCTTAACACATATTTGTTGGATGGATTAATTCATAGGACCAAAAGGTTCTATTTCATGTGATACCACCAGTTTATTAACAGGTGCCTGGAGAACTGCCTCAAGAGGGATCATGAATTTGAGTCTGAATGAAGTCCCAAATTTCACTGTCCTCCACAAGTGAGGACTGTCATAGGTATAAGGCGGCACTTGGGGAGACAGCAACATATGTGCTTCTGTTTGCCATCTGTACCTAAGGACTCCTCAAGCAATAAAATATTAACGTTCTCTCTTCCTATTAAAGTTTCATACACTTTCCCCAATATTACGACCCTTATTTCCCAAGAAAATAGGTTTCTCTAATACCACACATCTACAACCATCTTTGACAAACCTGACAAAAACAAGAAGTGGGGAAAGGATTCCCTATTTAATAAATAGTGCTGGGAAAAGTGGCTAGCCATATGTAGAAAGCTGAAACTGGATCCCTTTCTTACACCTTATACAAAAATTAATTCAAGACAGATTAAAGACTTAAATGTTAGACCTAAAACCATAGAACACATGGACACAGGAAGGGGAACATCACACACCGGAGCCTGTCATGGGGTGGGGGTGGGGGGAGGTATGGCATTGGGGGATATACCTAATGTAAATGATGAGTTAATGGGTTCAGCACACCAACATGGCACATGTATACATATGTAACAAACCTGCACCTTGTGCACATGTACCCTAGAACTTAAAGTATAATAAAAAAATAAATAAATAAATAAAGTGATAAAGCAATAAATAAATAAATAAATGTAGCATTGATCCTTGGAGTACTGGTATTTCATTTATAATTTTTTTAATATTTAAATAATTATAGATTTACATACTGTTGCAAAAATAATATGGAATGGTTCCTTATAATCTTGCCCAGTTTTCTCCAATGGTAACATCTTTTCTAATTACAGTATAATATCAACACTAGTAATGCATTTAAAGGGGGTGAATATTTTATGCTCTCCATGGGGCTACTTTTTTTTTTTTCTTTATGTGCACAAAGATCTTATGAATAGAGGCTGTTTTGATTCTGAGGGTTACTAAAAATAGTCTGCATACTCTCAGTAGAGTGTTAAACTAAGTATTAGCTGTAGATTCTACAGATTTGTAGATATAAATATTATGTAAGGTTGAATTTTGGTGCTTATAACCATTTGATTAACTAATAATGCCATTCAAATATCTTTGCAAGCCTCATCTCTGCATTCCTGGCCATTGACTAGTGGGTCAAGGTTAGTTTTGATAGCATTAGAAGCCTCCCTGTATGAAAGTAGACCAGACAAATGTGTGTTGTTAGTCTGATAGATACTAATTCTGTTTACTGGGAATTTCCTTGTTCAGAAGCTTGAGTTGTATCATGTCTGTCATTTTCATAAATTAGGAAAAATATAGGCTTTGTATATAAACCTCTGAAGAAAAACTCAACAGTGACAAAAAGTGAAATTGTTCTTAAACTGATCAATTTCTTGAGTGTTTATGTCAAGTTAGGACTAATTAGTTAGGACTAATTAGCAGTATTAATAATAGAAAAAAAGATGAGCCAATTAGAATATAGTTACAACATACAACGTATGCTATAATCCTGAAAAGACATGTGACTGATGATGCATTCATTTGAATACTGAAACTTTTTTTTTTCTTTTTGATTTTTTTGTATTTATTTTTTTATTATACTTTAAGTTTTAGGGTACATGTGCACATTGTGCAAGTTAGTTACATATGTATACATGTGCCATGCTGGTGCACTGCACCCACTAACTCGTCATCTAGCATGAAGAGTTCATGTCCTTTGTAGGGACATGGATGAAATTGGAAATCATCATTCTCAGTAAACTATCCCAAGAACAAAAACCAAACACCGCATATTCTCACTCATAGGTGGGAATTGAACAATGAGATCACATGGACACAGGAAGGGGAATATCACACTCTGGGGACTGTTGTGGGGTCGGGGGATGGGGGAGGGATAGCATCGGGAGATATACCTAATGCTAGATGAAACTTTTTAAGTTAGTAGAAAATGTCATGTCAATTCTGACCCTCATGCATTTTTTCATACTTCTTCCCCAGGAAGGTTTTCATGTTATTACTTTTCTGAACCCATTTATATGCCTTTTATCTTAGTTTTCTTTAAAGTATCCTTAGTTTTATATTGTACTCTAGTTCTACCATCTGCCAGATGGAAAGCATTCTGAAAATGCAGTCTATATTTTATACATTATTGTATTCTAACCCAGCAAGCTGTATTTTCAGATGTGGGCTCTGTGCTTGATGAATGATATAGAATTTAATTTCTCATTTTTAGTATGTATTTGGCTATAAATGAAAATAACATAAAAAGTGTTCATATCCAAATTCAAAGATGGGCAAAACATATATGTACCATGAAGAGAATTTACTTCCTTTCTCCTAAGAGAAAGGGAAATTTTTAAATATGCTAACATTAAGTTTTTGGGGGAAACAAGAGGATCGTAAAGAAAAGGGAAGAAGAAAGGAATTTCTAGTCTTTCATTCTTCTGCTCCAGTGATGGACACAAACTTACCAAAGAATACATTTAAGTAGCTCAGCACAGTTTATAATACATTCTCTGTGCCCTGGAAATTGTCCAGTGGCTCCCATCTATTTTCCAGATAGCTTCAGAATTGATTAGGATTTGAGCAGGAGCGGCACATCACCCATCTGCTCCTGTATCAGCTTGGTTTCCTGTTTCTTGACATTAGCATTGCCACCCATACTCCAACCCTGAAGCTTCTCATGGTCTCATACTAGTTCAGTTTCATGCCTACTTGGATGGTTCTTGTGGAAGTAAGACAGAGTACACATAAAACATTAATGTAATGCCCACCACATAATAAATGTTCAATAAATGCATAAATGCTACTCATTGTATAAAATAAGATAATGGACCTATGCTTTTACGAATGGTAAACTACTTGGGCTCTGGGTATCTCCAGAGATTCATCCACTAATCTTAGGAGCTGGTTAAGTATTACACACTAGCACTTATGAAAAGAGGCATTAGCTGATAACACACTTTCAGCTATTAGTACAAAATCATTACATTACCGGAGGCTCATCATTGCTGAGGAAGCTAATTGAAGGAAATAATTTTATTGAGACAAACTTTATTGTACAGAAATAAAACATTGTGCTTAGTTTATGAAAGCAGAAATCAAGAGACTAGGTACCAAGGGGATAAAGTGGGTAACATCAATCCCTGACACATCCATTTGTTATCATTCTGTCATTAAATACCACTCACACATCAAACAAATACAGGTGTTTTGAATTCCTATCTCCCTCTTGCCCCCAAAATAAAAGCCTTGGAAAATCAGTTACACTATAGGACAGGAAATATGAGTTTGCAAAGTATAAAGTACTGAGGAACCTTCTCTGTAAATCAGCACACTATACGCACCCGGCATAGTGCACAGAACTGAAATACAAACTGCCAATGTTTTTTCTCTGCAAGTAGCATTTGTTTTACTGTTATGTGAATTTATTGTCTGCAAACTCTGACACAGCCTCAGAAACTGAACTCCTGTATTTATCCATAGAAGAACATGGTGATAATCTTAACCCTGTCTTCAAAGATATATTATATGCAGCTTTCTACAAAAGGAAGGAAATGTATTACTTTTTCTATGCTAGTTAAGCTTGGATCTTCCTGGTCCATAAAATGTCAGTAGCTGTGAATTGTACTGAAATCTGCTGCATGGTTTTGAGATGATTCTTCTGTACACTGGGGATTTGGCTTTGAAGACAACGTTCTTTTTTCTGCTTGGGTGACCAGCCTGCATTTTTCATAACTCCACAAATAAAAACTATGCTACAGCCATGAAGAATGGTATTATTGAGATAGAAACAGAGAGCAGACAATAATGATTTTGACCACACAAGTAAGCATAGGTAAAAACTTTTTTCTTTCTGCCATAGTTATATAAAAATTTAAAATATAGCTCTCCAAGGTCAAAATTTCTAATGCCTAATAACAACAGGGAAAATAAAATGCTTGGTATTTTATCTCATTAGCTTGTACTATCATCTTTACTTTGGGAAAAGATGCAGAATGACCAATGGATTATTATGTGCATATTTTTAATTACACAATTATTTTTATGCACATTATAGACAATTTTGAAAAAAGAGACTTATATAAAATATAATTAAGAACTCTCAGTTTGTGTAACTGAAACTAGACTTGTTTTCCCTACCTTAAACAGCCAGAAAACTTGTCAAAATATATGACACATTTGATTTCTGACATTAAACAATAAGCAACACAAGATGGTGATTTAGAAGAGAATGGAAATAAGATGAGACCTATAGTGATCTTGGCTTTCTGTCTGGAGGCATTTTCCATATTTTAGTGCAGAAAAGGGGACCATTAGGAGATCAGTTGAGAAAACAGACATTGAAGCATAGGAAGGTAAGTCAGGTAGAATTTGCAGAGCAGATGGTAAGTAAGGAAAGAACTCCCAAAATCTACATAGGGGTCCCTGGACTTTGTTGCCAGAAAGTAAACTATGGAGAATTCTATACAATATTATTTGTCTATTGGAGGTCTATTGGAGAGCTGTAAGGTACATAATCACTGAGTCTGCTCAACATTAAAACGTATTATATCTCTGTCCAATCAGAATAGAGAGACCTTCATAAATACCTGGAACATCTTGTAGAAAGTACAGAAATGTTTCATCTTTGCATCAGAGCTAAACAATCCCTAGAGTAAGGGCTACACCTACGTCAGCCTTGAAAAGATAAAATTTATCCAAAATTTATTAATTGCCTATCAGAACAAAGTTCAGTACTTAAAAAAATACACAAACTCAAAAACAACCGTTAAAAAAAATTACTAGAAATAAAAAAAGCAGGAAAATGTGATGTAGCCCAGGAGAAATGCATCAGCTAATAAAAAAGATTCAGAAATGACAGATATTATTAGATTAGCAAACAAAGGCTGTAAAATGGCTACTATAAACATGCTCAATATTTTTTTCAAAGCATGAAAATAATGAAGAGATAATGGAAGACACACACACACACACACAATAGAATTTTTAGAGCTGAAAAAAACATTTACTAGGTGGGATATAGATCAGAGAAAACAATGTAGAAAAAAACAATCAGTGAAGCTGAATAAATGCCACTAGGAACTATCTAAATTGGAGAACAGAGAGAGAAAAAACGTTGAAAAGATAGTGTGGTGTTGGCATGACACCCATACAGAAATAGTCATTGATTATTGACAAAGGTGCCAAAATGTTTCATTAAGAAGGAAAGTTTTTGAACAAATGATGCTTAAACTAGGTATCTGTATAAAAGAATGAACCTCAAACTTTAATTTGTACTACTAACAAAAATTAAAGTGGATATAAGAGAAAAATCTTTATGAGTGGGGAGTGGACAAAGATATTTTAGACAGTTTTCAAAGCACAAATCATGAAGGAAACATATTGACACATTGGACTTTATTAAAAGTAAACATTTTTTTCCTTAAAGAATACTTTATTAATGAAATGAAAATGCAAACCCCAAATTGGAAAAAATTACAATACTTATCTCCAGAATATATAAAGGACATTTACAACTCAACAATATGAAGACAAATAGCCCAATTTAAGAAAATGTGTAAAATATTTGGATATTCATTTCATACAAAAAGTGATAATGGCTAACAAGCACATGAAAAGGTACTCAACATATTAGTCATCAGGGCAGTGAGAGTTAAAGACAGTGAGATAAAACTGTGCAACAACTAAAATGGTTACAATTTAAAAGAATGAGAATACAAATTTTGGCATTTGTGAAGCAAGCGGAATTCTCAAATGTTGCCACCACTTTGAAGACAATTTGTAGTTTTTTTTGTTTTGTTTTGTTTTGTTTTAGTAAAGTCAAACATACACACTTGTAAATAATTTTCCTATTCGGTATTTACCCAAGAAAACTCAAAGTGTATGTCTTCACAAATACTTGTGTAGATATATATTTTTTAAGATTAAATTATATCTTTCAAATGAAAAAACACAAAGTTCAAAAGCTAAATGTTAGAGAAAGCTATACGATGCAAACAGTGACTAAGAGAGACTAGAATAACTACATTAATATCTTTCTTTATAATTTTCAAAAACTGGAAACAACCCAAATGTTCAGGAATAAATAAATGAACAAATTTTAGTATAACCATAATGAAATACTACTTAACAATAAAAAGGAAAAAAATGGGCATACCTCATTTTACTGTGCTTTACAAATATTACTTTTTTATATAAATTAAATTTCATTTAGAGAACATACTCATAGAGATGTGGAGCAAGATGGCCAAACAGAAGCCTCAACCAATAATTCCCCCTGCAGGAACACCAAAATTTAAGAACTATGTACACACAAAAAAGTACCATCATAGCAACCAAAAATCAGGTGAGCAATCATAGTAACTGGTTTAATGCCACATCACTGAAAGAGACATTGAAGAGTGTAGCAAAGACAGTCTTGAACTGCCTATGTCACCTCTCCCCCATCTCCTGGCAGTGGCCACATGGCTTGGAGAGAGAATCTGTGCACTTGGGAGAGGGAGAACACAGTGACTTAGGGACTTGGCATTGAACTCAGTGCTATCCTGTCACGCAGAAAGTAAAGCTATGCTGGGTTTGGCTGGCACTCATCTACAGAAGGAGCATTTGGACCAGCCCTAACCAAGAGGGAATAACCTATCTCAATGGTCAGAACTTGAGCTTTGGCAAGCCTCACCACCACAAGCTAAAGGGCTCTGGGGTCCTAGATACACTTGAAAGGAAGTCTAGAACACAAGGTCTGAAATTCCTAGGCAACTTCTAGTGCTGGGCTGGTCTTCGAGCCAGGGGACTAGGATGGCATGTGATCTAGGGAGACACCAGCTGGGGTGGATAAAGGAGTGCTTGTCCAACCTCTCCCTTAACCCCAGGCAATGCAGCTGGCAGCAACAAAAGTAACTCCTTCCTTCTGCTTGAGGAGAGGAGAGTGAACAGTAAAGAATGCTTTGTCTTACACTGGATATCAGCTCAGCCACAGTAGAGTAAGGGCACCAGACAAGCCATAAGGACCCCATTCTAGGCCCTAGTTCCCAGATGACATTTCTAGACTAATACCAATCCTACTCAAACTATTTCAAAAAAAAGTAGAGGTGGAGAGAATACTTCTAAAACTCATTCTACAAGGCCAATACTACCCTGATACCAAAAACAGGAAAAGACACATTAAAAAAAAAGAAAACTACAGGCTAATATCTCTGATGAATATCAATGAAAAAATCCTCGATAAAATACTAAGCAAACCAAATTCAACAATACTTTTAAAAAGATCATTTACCATGACCAAGTGGGATTTACTCAAGGTATGCAAGGATGTCTTAACATACGCAAATCAATCAATATGGACTATCATATAAACAGAATGAAGGACAAAAAGCATATGATCAATTAATGCTGAACACTCATTTGATAAAATTCAACATTTCTTCTTGATAAAATCCGCCCAAAACTAGATATAGAAAAAACACACCCCAATATAAAAAAAAGCTGTACATGACAGATGCACAGCTAGTATCATACTGAATGGGTAAAAACTAAAAGCTTTTCCTCTAAGATCAGAAATACAACAAGGATACCCATTTCACTACTGTTTTTCAACATAATACTAGAATTCCTAGCTAGATCAATCAGGCAAGAGAAAGAAATAAAGGACATTCAAATTGGAAAGGGAGAAGTCAAATTATCCTTGTTTGTAGATAATATGAGCTTATATTTAGAAAAATCTAAAGACTCTAACAAAAAATATTAGAACTGGAAAACAAATTCAGGAAAGTTGCAAGATACAAATCAACCTACAAAGCAGTAGCATTTCTATTTGCCAACAATGAACAATGTGAAAAAGAAATTTAATAAGTAATCCCCATACATAAAATTAAAGACCTAGAAATTAATCAAAGAAGTGAAAGATTTTTACAATGAAAACTATAAAACACTGATGAAAGAAATTGAAGAGGATACAAAAAATGGAATGATTTTCCACGTTCATAGATTGGAAGAATGAATGTTGTTAAAATGTCCATATTTCTCAAAGCAATCTATACATTCAATGCAATTCCTATCAAAATACCAATGACATTCTTCAAAGAAATAGAAAAAAAAATCCTGAAATTTATATGGAAGCACAAAAGACCCAGAATAGCCAAAGCTATCCTAAGCAAAAAGAACAAAACGGGAGGAATTACAATACCTAACTTTAAATTACACTACAGAGCTATACTAACCAAAACAGCATGGTACTGACATAGAAACAGACACTTAGACCAATAGAACAGAATAGAGAACCCCCAAGAAGAAAATTCACACACCTAAAGTGAACTCGTATTTGACAAAGGTGCCAAGAACATACACTGGGGAAAAGACAGTCTCTTCAATAAATGATGATTGGAAAACTGGATATCCATATGCAGAAGAATGAAATTAGAACCTTATCTCTCTCCATATACAAAAATCAAATCAAAATGGATTAAAACCTTATATTTTAGTTCTCAAATCATGAAAGTATTACATGAAAACTTTGGGGAAACTCTACAGGACATTGGTCTGGGCAAAAATTTCTTCAGTAATACCCCACAAGCACAAACAACAAAAGCAAAAATGGACAAATGGGATCACATCAAGTTAAAAAGCTTCTTCACAAAAAAGGAATCAATCAACAAAGTGAAGAGACAGCCCACAGAGTGGGATAAAATATTTGCAAACTACGCATCTGAAAAGGGATTAATAACCAGAATATACAAGGAGCAAAAACAACTCTGTAGGAAAAAAATCTAATAATCTAATTTAAAAATGGGCAAAAGATTTGAATAGACATTTCTCAAAATAAGACATACAAATGGCAAGCAGACCTATAATAAGGTGCTTGACATCATCTATCATCAGAGAAATACAAATCAATACTGCAATGAGATATCATCTCACCCCAGTTAAAATGGCATATATACAAATGACAGGCAATAATCAATGCTGATGAGGATGTGGAGAAAAGGAAACATTTGTATACTGGTGGTGGAAATGTAAATTAGTACAACCACTATGGAGAATAGTTTGGAGCTTCCTCAAAAAACTAAAAAAAAAAAAAAATAGAGCTGCCATATGATCCAGCAATCCCAAAAGAAAGGAAATCTGTATATCTAAGAGATGTCTGCACTCCTGTGTTTGTTGCAGCACTGTTTACAATAGCTAAGATTTGGAAGCAACCTAAGTGTCCATCAACAGATGAATGGATAAAGAAAATGTGGTACATATGCACAATGGAGCACTATTCAGTTACAAATAAATAATGAGATCCAGTCTTTTGCAACAACATACATGGAACTGGAGATCATTATGTTAAGTGAAATAAGCCAGACACAGAAAGACAAACATTGTAAGTTCTCACTTATTTTTGGGAACCAAAAAAATAAAACAAACAATTTTAATATTAATTAAAATTAAAATAAAAAATAAAAACAAGTAAATGGACAGAGAGAGTAGAAGGATGGTTACCAGAGGCTGGGGAGGGTATTGGGGGATTAGGAGGAAGTTGGGATGGTTAATAGGTTCAAAAATTAGTTTGAAAGGATGAATAAGACCTAGTATCTGATAGCACAACTGGGTAACTATAGTCAATAATAGTTTAATTGTAGATTTTAAAATAACTAAAATAATATAACTGGGTTGTTTGTAACACAGTTGAGAGGATGGATACCTCATTTGCTATGATTATTATGCATTTCATGCCTGTATCAAAGTACCTCATGTACCCCATACATATATGCACCTAGTAAGTACCGACAAAAATTAAAAATTAAAAAAGAATAAATTCCTAGTAACGGAATAACTAGGTTTGTGGTAACGCTTGCATGGAGCAAGTCTTGGCACATTTTTTCAGCAGTGTGTGCTCATGCTTGTTTTGTGTCTCAGTGTCAGGTGATCATTAGCATTTTTTAGCAATAAAGTATTTTTAATAAAGGTATATACATTTTTAGACAGAATGCTGTGACACACTTAATATATATACAATATTATAGTGTAAACATAACTTTCATATGCACTGGGAAACAAAAAAATTCCTGTTACTTTATTGCAATATTTGCTTTATTAAGGTGGTCTGGAACAGAATACATAGTATCTTCATAGTATGCCTTTATTAATATGTGCAAAAACACTGATAAATCTCAGAAACTTGCTGAGTTAAAAGACACCATGCCAAAAAACCAATGACATTTATATATCTCAGGAACATTTGGAATAAAATAATCCATATATATGAGTATATTCTATTTATATACAATTCTAGAAAATGTAAAACTAACCTGTGGTGACAGGAAGCAAATCAGTGGTTCTCTTGTGCCAGTTGGGGTATTCTGCTTTCAGGACTATTTCTCGGTGACACACTTGGAGAAAAAGTTCTGTGGAGCTGTTGCAAAGGGGTAGGAGAAAACATTTTGGAAAGACAGAAATGACCTGTATCTTGTTATGGTATGACTCTATATGTCAAATTCATTGAAAATATGACTTACTTAATTATACCTCAAAATTTGACTAAGATAATTAAACCACTCATAATTTTATAGTTAGTGGTAATCATCATTAACACATTATATATTGTTATTCCTATCTATGTACATATATACATTTTTATGTTATATAGTTTAAAATTGTTTTTATGTAGGATGTTTGTTTTGAGCATTGTCGTATTTTCTGCAGCTTTCTTTAGAATAAACTCCTAATAATGGAAGTACTAAACAGATGTAATGTTTGAACTCTTTCAAAGTTTTTGACACATATATCCAAATAAATTTTTAGACATTTCTTGCACTTTACCTTCCACTGGTTTTTATAACTTTGATTTTAAGTTCAGAGGTACAAGTGCAGGCTTGTTACACAGGTAAACTTGTGTCATGGGGGTTTGTTGTACAGATTATTTCATCACCTAGGTATTAAGCCTCGTAACCATTAGTTGTTTTTCCTGATCCTCTCCCTCTTCCCACCCTCCACCCTCCGAAAGGTCCTAGTGTGTGTTGTTCTTCTTTGTGTATCTATGTGTTCTCATCATTTAGCTCCCACTTATAACAGAGAACATGTGGTGTTTGGTTTTCTGTTCATCTGTTAGTTTGCTAAGGATAATGGCCTCCAGTCCCATCCTCTTATATTTTTAACTAAGAATTGCCTAGAACTGGTCATATATATTATCATTTCTGTCTTGGCTCTCTCTGTCCAATAATAGCCCATCTAGCAAACTGAGGTCCCGGCCTTGAAAGGTCACTGATGTATATGACAAACTGTGACTGCTTCCTTAGGTCCTCTTTAGGAACTAAGTATTGTTGCACACATTATTTTCAATATAAATTCCTGTGTCTTATGTATTAGATCTGAGTGATGATCTGTTACAAATGATCTGAAGTATAAAAATGTTTCAAACTGAATGGGGCAAAGAGGATAATGAAATCACATGCTGAACAGTGCTAGCTGGGAAAACTGAATACTTTTTAAAACTATTGTTCAAACTCTTACTTTAACTCTGCTTCTGATGAACACACTTTGTCTAAAACTTAGACAAATAACACAGTTTACTTACCTCTCTTTTCCGGTATTTGAGTCCTAGTCATCTATCTTGCAGCTTGAATCACCTGGGAAGAAAACAATGCAGAGTATTTACCTCAGTTAGGAGAATGCAGCACTTAGGGCTGTTGAAAACTGCAAACTTTCTCTGTGGAAAGACCATTGCTGCAGCTGAATCAAACAATTTGCTCTTTGGGCATTGTAAATAGTGTGGTTACATGGCTGTACATGGACAAACAAGTCTCTGAAGCAGAAACATATTAAAGTTTTTAGAGTGAGTTTAATGGACCATAACAATAATTCAAGTACAAATTTCTCAAGATTCTGGGCAGCATTCTGTGTTTCAGTTTTTGTTGCCAATTTATGGAAACAAGTGCATTTCTTATTCAAGAAACCAACTGCCAAGACCTTTTTAAAAATGATTACTTCACCCCTATAAGCTGTCACTACTTATTAATTTTGGCTTTGTGTTTCAAAGAAATTACTACCACTTACAAAAATAGTGTAGTTGCACATAGCACCAGTGAAACTGAGTATATGAGAAGAAAACCTAGTAGGCAGCATGGCCACACTGGCACCTCCAAGAACAGGGTAAAGAAATACAAGAAAGCCTAAACAACATTGAAATCAGCCTAAGCTCACATATTAACACAAGAACAGAATTCCTGAGCTTTTTTTAGATCTATTTCTCAGTGACACACTTGGAGAAAATGTACTATTAATTGAATATCAGTCACCTGCTAAATCATTGTGCTAAATTAATTACATTCAGTATCTTATTCATCGTTTCCAATAAGTCTGTAAAGAAGTGGCGTAAGAAAATTGAGGCTCAGCATATATAGGTGGTTATCTGAAGCTCATCAGCAAGTGGTAGAAATAACGTATTCCTAGATCTCTTTAAATCCCAAACTGCTTCTTTGTTTTGTCGAATCCTTCTAGTTTATAATTTTCAGGTTTCTTCTGATACATAGGAAAGTTAAATATGGTAGTCTTTAGAATCTCAGGATGGTAAAGAAATAAGGAATAAAGGTGTGTTACATACATCAGCAATAGTATGATTCAGGTTAGCTTAAAATGCTGAACATCATTCATTCAATAATTCATTCACTAGCCCATATAAAACCCCTATATTTTAATAATTTCCACTGGAAAAAAGTCCTTAGAATCTTACACTTAGGAGAGATATTATTACTCAATAAGAAGTCCTTTGTAAGACCTTATTGTAGTCCCTGTTTTAACAAAAACACAAGTGGCAATCATTTACGAAGTCTTATTTTGCCCCAGGTACTGTGCTAAACACTCAACTTATCTTGCCTCATTTATCTTCTAGTCCAAGCCTGACAGGTAGGTAGAATTATCTGCATTACAGTAACAAATTTTTTTTCCTTTAAGTTCATTCATTCATTCAGCAAATATTTAAGGAACACATTTTATGTGCCAGATACAGAAAGTATAGAAGTAAATAAAACAAAAAGCAATAATACAAGTTTATATTATTTTAGTAACTTGGTGTCTCCTTTAGACTGGTGAGATCAAGGTAACATTTAAGATGAAGTCTGAAGGACAAAAAGGATGAACATTACAGATAGAACTAAAGGAGCTAGATCATAATGGGTAAGAAGGAGAATGTTATAGAAAGAAACTGAATATATAAGTAGGGCAAGATCATACAGGTCATTGTGAGCCTGGTGGAGGGATTTAAATGTTTAATTTATGATGAAGAATCACTAGAGAGTTATAAGCAGGGGAGTAAATGACAATTTATATTAAAAAATAACACTCTGGATGCTGTTTGTTGAATGAATTGTATGGAGGAAAATTAGGAAGTTCTTGAAATAATTCAAGCATTATATGATGGTGGTTTGTGTGTGGATAGCAATGGTAGAAAGAAAAGGAGAGAGAGAGAAACACACTCGGAGATGCTAATGATTGAATGTGTAGTGAGTAAAAGAGAAAAATAAAATAAAAAATAGCTTAGATTTTTGGCGTGATCACTGAATATGTGGTGATGCCGCCTCTAATTGACATGGGGAAGAATAAAGGAAGACCAGGTTGGGGTTGGGGGAGCAAGAGTTCTGTTTTAGCCTTGTGAATTTGGAAATCACTAATTTGCCCAAGATTACTCAAATGGTTGCTCTAGAATTTAAGACCAGTTTTATCTCATAATCAAAACCTGAGCTCTTGAGCTCCTGCGTTGCTGCTAATATCCAGTTCCTAGTTGAAGGTTCTCAGCTCTTAAAACTTCATTAACTCAATGGTCATCCTATTTTATCTGGGAAAAGCTTCAACTTCAGTGATATCTTCACATCATCACTAGAGAAATCTTCATAAATGAGTATATTTATACCATGTATCTTTTTTCACTAGTAAAGAACATTATCCAAAAAGCAATTGAAAGTGTGTAAAGGGGAAAGACATAAGTAGAATTTTAGTCTTGCCCAGCCTTAGTTAATATGAAATACAGGTGTCCTATTAAAATTACATTTTTCATTCTAATCAAAGTTTTACGTAAGGTTGTAATTATGAAAATAAAAAAAAAGTAAAGATGAAAACAGGGATGAATTTGTCCTTTCAGTGTGAAAATAAAGGGAGTAATTTCATTGGTGAGAACATATGTAAGTAGTCTCTGGGTTATAAATGACTTCAGGAATAATAAATTAGAAATGTTATTGTCTGGGCGCGGTGGCTCACGCCTGTAATCCCAGCACTTTGGGAGGCCGAGGAGGGCGGATCACGAGGTCAGGAGATCGAGACCATCCTGACTAACACGGTGAAACCCCGTCTCTACTAAAAATACAAAAAATTAGCCAGGAGTGGTGGTGGGCGCCTGTAGTCCCAGCTACTGGGGAGGCTGAGGCAGGAGAATGGCGTGAACCTGGGAGGCGGAAGTTGCAGTGATCCGAGATCGCGCCACTGCACTCCAGCCTGGGCGACAGAGCGAGACTCTGTCTCGAAAAAAAAAAGAAAAGAAAAGAAAGAAATATTCTTTAGATTAAACTAGCCGGAAAGAGGAGAAAAGTAGAAAGACAGATAGATAGAGTCTTTTAATGCTATAATCATGAAACTAATTAGTCTTATTTTTGTCTTTAGGAAAGGTGTGAAAAGATGGTTTTAATATGTTATTAGCTAAATCCTATAACTCCATTTTTCATAATTAATAGGACTTATTTTTTACTTCATATTCATGCCAAGGCTAATTTACTACTAAAACAGAAAATAGGAGGTTTATAAATACTTTGTTGCCATAAAATAAAGAAAGGAAAATACCTCTTAAGTGAAAAATTGTCACAATTTTAGAAAGAAAAAAAACAAACAAACATATATGTATGCCAGTACTGGCCTAGTTTCTGTTTATAGTTGTGATGAAAGAGTCTTTTGGATGTGCTTTTGAAAGGGGAAACTTTAAAACAGAAGTTCAGAACCCATACAGTTAACAAAACTCCAAGCATCACACTACATTGGAAAAAATCTTTCATGTAAGTAGAGATTGATTCTTAATTTCATTCTTTGTTTCTGGCCTAGATAACCGACTGTTGCACTGCCCAGTCCAAATGATTGCACAGTGTCCACACAGCTAAAAACAGTGCATTTTTTTCCAGTTCTGTCTGTTTTCATTAAAGGGCAATAATCAGGGCAGGGAAATACATTTCTATATGTGCAAAGGATGTTTATGAGCAAGGAGACTTCATTTCTGTGTGCCCTCATACACATGGCTCAAACTTGCAGAGATGCCTTGCAATTTTAATAATGCATTATGGCAGTTCTGGTGGCTGATTACTTAAGGGCCTTTGTAAAAGGATGACCTCAACCATCTTTTGTCACCTTCAGACACATCACTTCAATCTGTTTGAAAGCAGCTGATGTGGGTCAGCTATATAGCTCAAAGCCAAACGGACTGACATTAAGTGGGAATCTATTCAGAAAATATTTCACATGTGTGTATGTGCATGCATGCATATACAAGTATAAAATCTTTCCTTTGCTTATTGTTGACTTACTAGAAAGAGTATATTTTGGTAACTATACGACTATAATTTTGTTCACGCTGTATTTTGACCAGCTGAACAAAAATATTTATAAGCATTTTAAAAATAAACTTTTCATTACGGTATAGCATATACCTGGAAAAGTACACAAATCATTAATGTACAGCTTGATGAACTTTCACAAATTGAACATACCATGTATTAATAATCACATCCAGATCAATGGAACATTACTAGCCTCACTCACTCTGCCTCCCAATCAATAATCTTTCCTCCCTAAATATAATTACTATTTTGACTCCTGACAACTTAGAATAGCTTAGTTTCTCCAGTTTTTTAAATTTACATGGAGTCATACAGTATATATTCTTTTCTGCCTGCTTTTTTTACTCTCCTGTTTACAAGATCCATCAATGCTGTTTAATGACATAATAGATTTCTATTTTCATCTTAAGCCATTGATTAAAATGCTGTACACAATGGTTTTAAAAATTTATATGCCCCCAAACTGTCCCAAGAATGATAGCTTTTTAATTACCTCACCAACACTGGGAAATTGTCAATGCTATAAAGATACCAATCCAGTGGACAAAATGCAATGGCATATATTGGTTTATTTCTACTTTTTATTTATTTGCCATTCATATGTATTTTATAAATCATCTGTTAATGTACTTTACCTTTGTTTTGCTATTGTTATATAGTATGTTGTTAATTATTTATAATAATTTTGTATATTACGGATTCAATGATTTAACATTTCTTCTGAAAATATTTATTGTGTGTCTACTTTGTGTCAGGGAATGTGCAGGCCACTGGGAATAAAATATTCATTAAGGCAGCATCACTGCCCTCATGGAGCTTATATTGCAGCCCTTTTTCTGCTATACTGAGCATTCTTCGAGGTTAAATCTGAGATCTGTTTATTGGACTTGCGTAGGCGTTTATATCCTGTTTTCTCATAAATGTGAAATGCAGCGTTTAAATTACCTTGAACATATTAAGTGAATATTTAGAGTGTACATATCATTGAATTATCCATGGGCCCTCTAAGAAGTGGACAAATCAATGACCAAGATATTCTAGGGATGAGCATCCCTGATTCCTTCTCAACATACACATTCTCGTATGGCAGAAGTGACATTAAATTTTCTTTTTGTCTTCCATGAGCAGGCAAATTAGTTCTCCCATGTAGGGTACAGAAAATTTAAAATGTCCTCCCTTAATTTTATATTTTCCATACAAAGAAGATGAAATGTATAGTTTTGATGACTATAACTTAAAGTTATATTTATTCAATATTAAATGAACTGTGTGAGAAGCCTGTAAGGTTGGAGGCTAATAGAAGCCTCTGCATCCTCTAGCACAGTAAACAAATTAACCTATTTCTTTTGTGTATACTATTCTTTCAGCTGAATGTAGGGTTGACACCTGAGGAGTTAAAACCCTGACTGTAACATTAAAACTTGTTCCCAGTAAATTAACTAGGCTAAGGTTATAATATGAGAAGCAGGTCATTCCCATTGGCCAAAACCTTAATACATCCTGCATATTTCTATCATATCCTAATTCCACTGGTCTAGTAGGCTTGAGGTGCAAATTAATTAACATTGGAAGTTATGACCTAAATTTCACCGATATATTTCTCTGCCTGCCTTCCAAATGAAATCTAGCTGCCTCTTTAAAGCCTATACAGTTAGTTTTAGAAGTTATCTCTCACACTATCAACTTATTTCATGGATATTCATATGGTTTTTATTTACCTATGACATCCTCTGAGGCAAATATTGAGAAGAGGGATGCTAGATTAATGTGAAAGAAACTTACCTACACTTTGTTTATGTTCTTTCTTTATTAGAAAATTCTTTTGAAATGGACTTTATACATTTAAGAAATTCATAATGATTTAGCTTTGTTATTTTTCGTTATTTTCACTAATGAAAAGCCTATTGATTTATATATACATAGCACACTATTTTTATTCAGCTAGGAAACACATAGGTCTGGCTTTAATATCTGTATTCTATAATAAAAAATGATTTCATTATTGATGCTCTTGTACTTGTGTCCATTCAAAAAGAAAATGTGTTCTGATACTTTTTAAAGAATATAGTAACTACCAAAGACATACAGACTTAAGATATCATGCAGTTTCTTTGACCAAATTTGAAATAATGATCAAGAGAGGCATTTTCATTTATTATAAATGATCTAGTCCAGGCATCAGTAAACCATATGGCATAAGTCAAATTATAGCCCTTTGCCTCTTTTAGAATGGCCCATGAGCTGAGAATAATTTTAAAATGTTTAAATAGTTAAAATAATATTTTTGATATGAAAAACGATATGGAATTCAAAGTTGGGTATCCATTCATTTTTAATGTCAATTCAAATTGTGGATATCCATAAGTATTTAACATGTCCAATGGACCACTGCTGCACTCATCCATAAACTTCTTGTCTGTGGCTGATCTCTGATATTAACAAATAATTTAACTCTTTGAAATAGTCTTTTACATCCTATTCTGACTGACAAACAGAATCAGTCTTTGGCAGTATTATGAAGTTAGTTCTTATACTACTTTATGCCTTACCCCCTTGTGTGAGTATATTCCCACTACCTTCCCACCAGTAGTCCTTTCTGTAACCTCCCTATCCCACCAACAATGGGCTCAACTTTACACATTCTAGTACGGCAGAGGTGACATATTTATATTAAAATACAATCTCCTGACATTTCTACATATCAGTATGTCTACATATAGGTAGGTAAATATATGTGTGTGTGTGTGTGTTTTCATAGTAGATAAATATATATATATCATATGGGTATATATAGGCAAATATATATATGTAGTATATGTACCTATCTGTAGCTATATACACACACACACACATACGTATATACACATATTCTACTATTTGTGTAGATACATTTAGAAAATACATATGTATAGTCATTTGTGATACGTATTTATGTATACTAATACATCAATATACATTATATATGATACATATTTATCACAAGAATGCTTCCCCACAAAAGTATCTGTATTAGTCCATTTTCAAACTGCTATAAAGCATTGCCCAAGACTGTGTAATTTATAAAGAAAAGAAGTTTAATTGACTCACAGTTCACCGTGGCTGCGGAGTCTCAGGAAACTTATCATCATAGCAGAGAGCGAAGGAGAAGCAAGATACCTTATTCACAAGATGACAGGAAGGAGAATGAACACCGGAGGAACTACCAAACACTTATAAAATCAACAGATCTCATGAGAACTCACTCACTATCATGAGAACAGCATAGGGGAAACCACCCCATGATTCCATTATCTCCACCTGGTCTCTCCCTTGACACTTGGGGATTATGGGAATTAAAATTCAAAATGAGATTTGCATGGGGATACAAAGCCTAACCATATCATTTCACCCCCTGGCTCCCCCAAAATCTTATGTCCCTTTCACATTTCAAAACAAATCATGCTTTCTCAACAGTCTCCTAAAGTCTTAACTCATTCCATCCTTAGCCCAAAAGTCCAAGTCCAAAGTCTCATCTGAGACAAAGCAAGTGCCTTCTACTTACAAGCCTGTAAAATCAAAAGCAAGTCCGGTATTTGCTAGATACAATGGGAATAAAGGCATTGCATAAATACACCCATTCCAAATGGTAGAAGCTGGCTAAAACAAAGGGTCTACAAGCCCCATGCAAGACTGACATCCAGAGGGATGGTCAAATCATAAAGCTCTGAAATGATAACCTTTGACTCCATGTCTCACTCCCACAGCCTTGGGCAGCTCAACCCCTGTGGCTTTCCAGGACATAGCCCCCCTCCCAGCTGATTTCATGTGTTGGTGTTGATTGTCCAGATATAGAATCAACATTAATGTTTGTCAGTAGATGAATGGATAAAGAAAATGTGGGCCACTGGCGGATGCCTATATTCCCAGCATTTTGGGATGCTGAGGTGGGACGATCACTTGAGCTCAGGGATTGGAGACCAGCCTACACAATATAGCAAGAACTCATCTCTACTGAAAAACAAAAAAATTAGCTGGACTTGGTAACACAAGCCTGTAGTCTCAGCTACTCTGAAGGCACAGGCAGAAGGATGGCTCAAACCTGGGAGGTGGAAGCTACAGTGAGCTATGATTGCCCCATTGCACTTTTTCACAGGCAATAGAGACCCCGCCTTAAAAATAAAAAAGAAGCCCAGGCGTGGTGGCTCACACCTGTAATCCCAGCACTTTGGGAGGCCGAGGAACCCTGTCTCTACTAAGAATACAAAAAATTAGCCAGGCATGGTGGCTGGCACCTGTAGTCCCAGCTACTCAGGAGGCTGGGGCAGGAGAATGGTGTGAACCCGGGAGGCGGAGCTTGCAGTGAGCTGAGATCGCGCCACTGCACTCCAGCCTGGGCGACAGAGCGTGACTCTGTCTCAAAAAAAAATAAATAAATAAATAAAATAAAATAAATACATAAATAAAAAAGAAAATGTGGCATTCATATGCAGACACAGACACACACACATATGCAATGAAATACTATTTATGAAGAAAGAAATCCTGTTGTATGTAACAACATGAATGACTCAGGAAGACATTATGCTAAATGAAGGAATCCAGGAATAGAAAGAACAAACTACATGATTCTACTTATATATGAAATCTAAAAAAGATGAGTTTGTAGAAGCAGAAAGTAGAATGGTATTTGCCATGGGATGGGGATCGGGTGTGAAAATTAGAGAGATATTTCTCAAAAGGTAAAGAAGTTTCAGTTAGGCAGGATGAGTAAGTTCTGGAGATCTGATGTGCAGCATGGTGCCTGTAGTTACTAATACTATATTGTATGCTTGAAATATGCTGAGAGAGTAGATGCTCTCTCTCACATTTAATGCTCTCACATCTCACACACACACACACACACACAAATGTTAACATTGTGAGATGATGGATGTTAATTAGCTTGATTATGGTAGTGATTTCACAGGGTATACCTATATCAAAACATCACATCATATATCCTAAATATATACATTTTGTTAATTGTATACAATTTGTCAATTATACCTCAATAAAGCTGGAAAAAGTATTTTCCCCTTTAAAGATATTTTGACCTTCATCTGGTAATGTATTTGAAGACAAAAGGAATAGAACCTCTCTTCAAAAACACCTTTGATCACATCTGATGGTGTGTGAGTTTACTACTGTTATGTCAGGAAGCTCTGCAGTAGTCAGAATAGCAGCTGCCTAAAATAGTTTTGTTGGCACATTTTTCCCCAAATATTTACTGCATCTGACTTTTGGTAATTAAGGATAATGGCATGTTTTTCTTAATATTGTTTTTTATTATTAGAATACAATTTAGATTTCAAAGGAAAAAATAAAATGTTAGAGATCTGCCATACAAAAAAGGTTAAAAGTTACTAAAGATGTGGAGAAAGTGATTACTTGACTAACCCATTTTAGAGTTCACCCAAAGAGTGTTACACCTTCTGCCCATTTGCTACCATTCTATATATGACTTAGCTTTTTTGTTCTGTTTTACCAAAATATCTGAGCCTGGTTTATTTATAAATGATAGAAATTAATTTCTCACAGTTCTGGAGGATGGGAAGTCTTAAGATCAAGGAACTGGCAGTTTCAGTGTCTGTTGAAATCCTGGTCTCTGCTTTCACGATGAAACCTTGAATGCTGTGTTCACAGGTAGTGGAAGGAACAGAGGGGCAGAAGGGCATACCTAGTTTTTTCTAGCCCTTTCATAAGGTAATTAATTCCTTTCAGGGCCCTATCCTCGTGACTTCATCACCTCCCAAACACTGCCACCTCCTAATATTAGTACATTGGGGATTACGTTTCAACATAGGTATTTTCATAGACACATTCAGACCATAGAAATATGTGCCCATGATAATTGGAGGAAGTGAAATAAATTGCTTTTTCAGTTTTCAAAACACAGAAAAACTTGCTCTTGCATTGATATTACTAATCTGATAAAAACAATTTTCCTGCCTTCATTTACTCTTGTCTATTCATATTTTAAAAGTGTAGGTAAAAATAATTAGCAATAAATGTATTTTGATTTTAAATACTTCAAAAATAGTCTTTTATTTCAAAAGTAAAACAGGTTTGTTTTAAAAAAATTCAAACTATTGGAGAATCATGTCATATAAACAGAAGTTTTTTTCTCTGCCTCTGTCTCTACCTTCCAATGGGGTAACCACTATTAACAGTTGGGTATGTGTCCTTCCAGATCTATTTAAAGGGCATTATAAAAATAATATGTTATTCTGCATTTTGCTATTTTCATTTAACAATACATGATAATATGTCTTTCAATGACAAGTAGATGGATATAAAGCAATCTTCTCATAGGTGCCACGTATTTTATGCAGACATATTTTGCTTTATTTAGTCATTTTCATATTGAAGGACTTTTAGAATTTTCCTAGGGTTTTGTGTTCGCTAATTTAAGGTACGCCATAAGAAACACTCATATGTGCAAAAATTTTAAGATAACTATCTATGACAAATAATTGGTTGAAAGAATGTGCACCTGACATTGTGACAGACAAAATTGTGCTTCAAAGACTTTTCTAAGTTACATTCCTGTAATCAATGTATGAGATTGTTCATTATCTTATCTCAAAATGAAGTAAGACATTATCTGATCTCTGCATTGTGTATATCTATATTTTATTATTTAATCTTATGTGAAGATAGCATTGCATTTTGTTATTTTTTTCTGATTTAAAAGAAGATTCAATAACTTTTCTAATGTTTATTGGTTATTTGTATTTTTGCTTTCATGAATTGCTTACCTATATACTTTTTTTCAACTAGAAGTCTTGGGGAAGTTTGCTTTTTATTATTGATTCATATGAACCGTTTATATATGATTTGACTTATTGCTGAGCTGAAAATTTTCTCCAGCTATCACATATGTTAGAACATTGTTTGAAGTGTGTTTTCACCCACCATATTATTATGAACTGTTTCGATATTTTATAATGATATATTTTGCATCCTTGCTAGAAAGGACATACCTAACCAAAGATTCTAAAATAAACATTGTTTTACTTTCCTCGAATATTTTTATAGTTTTGTAAAAAAAAAAAAAAAACTCTTTAGCTCATTAATCCATACTGGATTTTCAAATATTGTCTTTAGATGGCTGATGCATATGTTCTAGATTTCACAAAAGTAAAAATAATGTTTTAGGTATATGGACATATCTGATTGTATTGAATTTTGAAATAGCCTTGAAGCTATGTAACTATTTCAAGAACATTTTTCTGCCCCAAATGTTTTATCAAAATCCACCCAAAAACCAAAGTGAAGAGCAAAATATATATCTCCCACTTTTTAAAAGACAGGAATGTACAAATGAACTCAATTAAATAACACAAACTATAAAATGAATATGCTAAGTAACCATCTAAGTTTTCATAGCTTTTTACACTTGTAAAAAGCAAGGAATAATATAAACGAAATCTGAACTACATCCATGGTTCGAAGGAAAAGTTACCTGTGAAGCATGCTTCTCTCTAGCTAAAATGATACAGTTAGTTTTAGCTTAAGGAATGTAGAACAAATGATGTTTCATTTTGGAAAAGACCTACCCTACAATAATACTAGATCTTTTAATCTAAGAAGCAGCTCACCAAGATATTGAAAATTTGCGCGGACCAAAAACAGCTATTAAACTTCAACAAACCTAGTTCTCCATTTTTCTGTTTTAAAAAGCAGAACCTTCTGCTATTTATGCACATAATAACCGGTATGAATGCATGCAAAGAAGGCCTTCCAGGGGGTTTATGTAATGAAATATTTTAGAAAACAGTTTTAGAAAGAGAAGTGTTAAGAATTGGAAGAGACTGTAGAGATTGTGTAGAATGCATTCAATCTTAAGTTCAAACTCTTCATTCTTTTTTTTTGAAAAATAATGTCCATTCCAGAAAAGAAATTTATTTTTAATAAAAGATTCATTATTATAAAGAGCCTTACCATGTCAGTGTGTTCTAAAATAAAGTATCTTAAAAATAATTTTAGGGAAAGTGTTAGAATATCCCCAATCAATCCATAGAATGAGAATATAAGAAAGATAGTACTAAGTTTTTTTTTTTTTATCTTTCTACAGAATGTAATTAAAAAGTGTAATCTGTGAAAACAGTATTACTTCAGCAGTTGGTATATGGAAATCCCTACTGCAATATTTCTAATTTGATGAGTGTCCAGATTAGATCATAAATTGGAAACATATGCAAACCATTAATTTGTTTTACATTATGATTTCTTAACATGCATGCTGTAATGCAACTGGGATATTTTATTTTCATATCTTCTAAGATTTCTAGGCAGCACCAGTTGTTTGTTGTTTCTGGAACTCCACTTTCTTTGAGGAATGGTTCTTCTCCTACTCTGTGGTTCTGATTTGGTTACTTGATACATAAGTTGGCCCATCACATTGTTCCACCCCTCTACCCACCCATAGTGATTGCTATAAGGAATTGACCCATGACCAACTAGGATTAGTAAGGGTATTTCAATCAGATTTGACACATGAAAGATGGGGAATTTTTGGTCTCTTTTTCTTTAGAATTGGTTAGCTGTAAGGTGAAAGGCAGGCTGGCTGGTGGTCATCTTTCTGATCACGTGAAGAAACTCTTATCTATAGCATGAGAGAATAAGAGCAACTGACAAGCTAGACCTGAAAATGTAGAAACAGAGTGAAAGTTCTATGGCATACTTTGGAGTCAAGGCAGTTTCAGGCTTAAATTTCTTCATTAGTAAGCAAATGATGTCTACTATTTTGCTCAAGTTAGTGTGAGTTCTATTTTTAGCATTTGTGAAATACATTCTAGCTTCTGTGAGTAGGAAAAAATATGAATAGGAAAAAATATAAACTCCTGTATATTCCAACATGATAAAACCAATATATGAATGAGAATGCCACTGTCAAAACCTCCACATTGTACAATTCCCTTTTTTCTTCATGGTGACTTCTTTTGATCAGTGACTTTTAGGACTCAATGAAGGTGTCAGTATCAATCAATCTTTCAACATTACTAAGGTTTAATAATTGACTTGCTTTTTAAATCAAGGTTTAGTGTTTTTCTTTCTGGTCACCAATGGATCATTGTGTACTTAGTCCTCTTTGAGAAGCATTGTTTTATAAGACAGTTCCTTGCAATCTCAGAATACCAAGACAGGTATTTCCCACATTTCCTTCGGATATTTTAAAGACGTTACTGAATGTTTCAATTGATTTGCTGTAAATGTATTCTAATTATTCACTGGAACAAATAAGGGGCTCCTAATAAATGAAATGTAAATATGTTTATATGAAATATGCCAATTAATATTTTGTTTTTTGTAAGAACACTTGTCAGAACAAACTAGTTAATTGTACAATTTGATAAAAATATTTGAACATTTATATAATCCTCCTATTCCACTAACTCGTTTTATGATTCAATTTTACATAATTGCATGCACAGTACTTGTCATAGTGGTTTTCACTGTAAGGATGATATTGGAAATGTTGACAATAGCTAGTTGTGGAAGCATCAGTAAAGAGTAAATGTTTTGGTATCCTTTCATTCTAGTCTTGCTGAACAATATATCTTGTTTAAGAGTAACAAATTTTACCTCATTTTCCACATCTAGGAAAGTTAAGGTCAATTGATTGTATCAAGACAAACAAATTCCTTCAAACAAAATGAGAATTTCCCTCAGTCTGTATTATCCTTAAATGACCCACTTGGCATAGTTAAAAAGTGTAAAATAGCTTGTATTGATAGGTCACAGGAATAGTGGTATTATATCTATATTACTTTCCTCACCAGTAAAGTCTCTCCAGTAAAGTCATTTATTCTCCAGTAGAGTCTCCAGTAAAGTCATTTATTCTCCAGTAAAGTCATTTAAAGAGCTCACTCACCAGCAGGTAGACATCTTTTATTTCTTTATTTTCACAGTGACTTTTCTGACATTAAAAGTATTATAGTAGCTGTTTTAGATGTGCCCATTGTAAGTCTTGAAATCCTGAAATCAAGGGGCCTCAGATGGCAATAAACTTTAAAAGATGGTCCCTATTTATGTTGTCACGGTAGCAGACATATCAAAACATCTTCTCAGACCCACTATTTTAACTGAGAGAAATAGTCACAAAGGGATCCTGGGTTTTTATTCTACAAGTGGTTATTAAAATGTAAGCATCCTTGAAACACAATGTGAAAAATGTTTGTTATTTCATGAGATTCTAATGTCACTATAGTGTAATTGATACTTGAGATGGAAGGCGCAAAAAGAAAGAATCGACTCTGATAGCATAAGCTACCTGAGAAATGGCAAAGATTTTCCCTAAAGGGCCAGGTGGTGAATATTTCGGATTTGACGACCATAGGACTTTGTAGCAACTATGGAGCTCTGCTATTGTATCCCAGCTAGCCTATAGACAGTACTAAATGAGTGGATGTGGCTGTGTTTCCATAAAACTTTATTTATAAAAGCAGGTGCTAGGTTGGATTTGGCCACAAGCTGCAGTTTGCACACCCCTGAGCAGTCCTGATGGAGACATTCCTGACTCCATTCTGTGTAATGAGAAGACAGCTTGTGAGGAAGAAGAAGAAGCTTAACTTAGGCTAAAACGCTTGAGATTGTTATTTGCCTTAAAAGCCTTCCCTTGTTACTTGGTGTTACAAGATGAGAACTCGGAGGCCTGACTTCCAGGAACTTACATTTTAGTGAGAGATATACAATATTTATATAAATAGTTACATTAAAATGAAGAAAATAAAGTCTGTCATGAGAGAGAAACAAGAAATAAATAAGAGGAAAAGACAAACTAAGCAGGGAATTAACATTTCAGAGTCTCTCCCCTAACTTGTCAGAGATGGAGGCTATACAGTGTAGTGAAATACGGTCCAGTAGAAATAAAGTGAAACAACAGATGAGAACCCCATATGTGATTTAAAATTTCTAGTAACCACAATGAAAAGAAAAAAGAAACAGATAAAATTAATTTAAATAATATATTTTATTTCAACTGTTGTAGGCCAAATATCTCAACATGTGATCAATATAAAATTATTGAGGTATTTATTTTCTAATACTAATGAAAAACATTGTGCATTTTATATTTATAGTTTTTCTAAATTTAAACTAGACACATTTCTATTTCTCAATAACTACGTATGAATAGTAATCATACTGTAGAGTACAAGTTTAGTGGCTAAGAACTTGGCTTCAGATTTAGCTATTCCTCAGTCTGAATCCCTAATTCCACTCCTTATTTAGCATATCCATGTATCAATTCTCTGGTATATAAAATGCAAATAAAAATAGTGCTTACCTGCATGTTTGCAAGAGTACTTAGCACAGTGTCTTGCACATGTAGAAAGTGCTCAAGTGGCATCTGATACTACTAAAAAGTTAATACCTTTCCTCATTCTCACATATTAGGTCTCTCTATATGTACAATTTTGCCCCATTTCAATTGTAAATATGACATGTGTGTTATATAATTACATACTTGCCAAACTAGATATATTCAAGGATTTTAGAAATGCTTATTTCAAAGAGACATTTTTCTATGGATACTTACTTCAGATTAATTTACAGCAAACAGTACAACAGTTAACAATAGTAAATTTCAGATAAAATCATTTGCCTCTAAATACTCTCATTGTTAAATAAAAATACTTCCCACCCTTTTTCCTCTTTTGGAAACAAGCTAAATGTTAAACCGTGGTGTCTTTTATAATTATCTACTGAAAAACACATGATTATGATAATTAAATGTCATTGTTTCTAATCTTAATTTAAAATAAAGTGACATTTTGCCCTGCTTCAGTAGACTCGTCTTTCTAAAAGACAATCCAAATTGAACAAGGGCTCATATGAGCAAAGATTAGGCTTCCCTAAGTCATAAAAACCAAAGTCTTTGGACACAGTTAATTTATAAGGTGTTTTTGAATTTGAGGATTATGTGGGCACTTTCTATCTTTACATGCCTTCTTTTGGGGCATTTAGTTTTTTACTATTGCCTAACACTGTAGTGCCTGGGTATGCATTTTGAACTGTAGGACTTTGCACAAACTACAGTGAGTTTGCGTATCACCACAGTGAGTTTGGGTAGCACATTGTTAAATGGTCTGTCCTGCCACCTGGAATTAAGGCATATATAGAAAGTCATACTGTAAAAGGCCATAGAGAATTTGCATGGTTTAATATTCAGAAATGAAAATCTGCGGAAGAAAAACTCGAAGGCTAAAATTCAAGAAAAAGAAGATTAAAAGAGTAAAACACTGAAGTAGAGAAAACAGAAGAAACAATGTTTATCAAAACCAAAGCCCTAGTATACATGGGTGAGTCTAAGCAGACGAGTCTCAATTACATTCAATACTTCAATAAAAATGGACAGCAGAATTCTGCAGCTTTGCTGTTGGAGATATTGCTGGGTTACATCAAAAACACTAGGAACTATGCCAAAGAATAAATTCAAATAACACTGTCCTGGATTGTCTGATCCAAAATCGCCAGCATATTTGCAGCAAGTAAGGAAATACTGGGTTAATAAAATGAATCTTGTGATGACAATTTTATTCTTAATGTGATTTCCTCTTTCATTTTTCCCAAAGGAGACAGCTCTGGAAGAGAATGCAAGATTTATAATCAGGTGCCTCACAAATATGGCAATATAAATTGTATCTTTTAAAAATATTGACATGCTAATATATATTTCCTCCTTGGTCTGGTGGGTTATTTACATTAATGTGGCTACAATTTAGAATATTCTGCAGACATCAGTTCAGAAACCACTATGATTCCCAACTTTTTTTTGAAAATTAATTCATGTTTGTCTATTTCTTGATCCATTCAGTCTATAGTCATCCATTCAATCAAAAATATTTATTGAGTGCCTACTGTGTACCAGGGATTATGGCTCAGTACTAGACAGACAAAGATAACAATACTTTCTGCATAGTATCTACAAGCAGGAAAATGTCTACATTATTACTGAATGATTATTTAAAATACAAGTCATTGGTTTTCCTAATTCTGTACAGACTTTTATTGTGAACTTGCTGTAGAGGATCAGGGTGTTTAAAGTCCTTCTACAGATTATCAAAACACATGTCATCCTGTATTTTCATTTTAAACACATACTTGTAAAAGCAGAAACTTTGGCTCAATAGTGTAAGCCAGAAAACTTGAGTGTCTAGCTTTGTTTTCAAAGGATTTGTTTTCTATTGGACATCTTCTTTATCCAAAAGTGTGCTGGACCTAAATTGTATAAGAACAACTGCTTTCTATACTCTATGTGCCAGTCTTTATTTGCATTTATGAAGCAGAAAACTAGATCATACTTTGCCATATTTGGCTTTCAGCTGTTGAGCTCTGAACAGCAAACCTTTTAATCATGCCAGATTATGCGATTGTTTTGTGACACAGATGTACAGTCACTAGGGATTAGGGCTTGTTTTTAAATTGTCATTCAGCCTTCTGTATGGAGATACAGCATTGCCTTCAGAAATCTAAATATGGATTTTTCTGAAAATACTAACAAATATGTTAGAAAAGGAAGACTTTTATTTCTCTGAATAGCTTCTTAGAATAAAAAAATACATAAACTAAAGCATTTATAAGTATGTCTTTACTATATTTCTTTTCTCTGGAAAAATATAACATCAACATATTGACACATTTTAAATGCATAGGCGGTTTTAAGAATAATCACTCACTTTGATGTATGCATAAGCTATTAGAAAAAAATTATGTACCTGCAACTTGATGTATCAGAAATTTAAGTAAAACATATCATTTAGTATCTGAAAATGTATTAGGCTTTTGATAACTGGGTCTCTATCCACTCATGGTCCTTGTCATTAATAGCCAAATGTATTATTGGCCAAATCAATTTATGTTTTTGTTTTTAGTTAACTTTTATTTTGTTTGTTTGTTTGTTTGTTTCTATTTGCCAGACTCCTGCAACATGGGGTATATTCCCCTGCACCAACCTCCCCATGGCCCCAAGCCAATGAATGACTAATAAAGGAACACAAAACAGCCCATATTCCTTGCCTTAAGACAAACTCTGAGATGCAATATATTCTACACAATTTCAATCAGGGTAAGCCTAGGCTGGAATTTTACCTAAAAATCACAACTTTGCTTGGTTTCTTAGCCTCCTTGTTGTGCCTCCCCACTCCCTTGCTCATTTCTCCAGGGAGCACTTCTTTGATAAATTAGTCAAATCCGTACTTTAGAATCTGTTTCTTGAGAATGCAACCTGAGAAAAATGTTATACCTTTGAAGTTCTTCAGCCTGAGTTTTGTTACTTATTTTTCTCTTCTCACACTTCCAGCTGTTATTTTGGTACTCTCAATCTGCCTTTTTTCACTAGCTTTATATAACACATTCTAGATTTTTTCATTTTGCTAGTTCTGACCTGCTGCAGACAGGTAAAGCAAACTTGGTAGCTTTTGCATAAAGTTAGAATATGCAGCTATGAGTGAGGACTTGAGGGGATTTTTGTAGGTACTTCTTTCTCAGCAGGAGTTTTATCTTTCAGAATTTTTCTGAGAAATGACTTCCAAATGAATGAGTGCTACATGAGGTGCTAACGAATGTGAAATGGTATAATAAAGTACCAAATTATGCCGTATAAAAAGAGAAGAAAGCAAACACCATAATAAGATGCTAATTGTGCCACTCACTCAATTGCCACACACTCTGATTGAGTGACACTCTGATTACAGAGCAAAACCCATCAAGTCCTATTCACCCTGATACCTCTAGTCCTCCAGTCCCCCCTTCATCAAGCCATTAATGTGAATCAACACATTTTTCAACAAGAGACCGCAGAAGTAAATCAACTTGGCCAAAGTTTTTATAATTTCAGGATTTGCGGGCACCTGGCTGCCTGCTGGGTTGAGAAATATTTGTATTCTAGGAATAAGCCTAAATTTGGAGAGTTTGATAATGTAGTACACATTTGCAATGTTTCTTTGGATGTCTGTCTTTTCACATGCTTCTACAGCAAAGCTTGGCTATCTGCGATATCAGCTCTATGACATCTGCTACAAAGCATGGGTTCAATACAGTGGGAGAAAATATGAAAATATGCATTCTCCAGGGTACTGCTAGGCCTGTGTAAATAAATTGGACTTGAAAATGCCTTGCTAGGTGTGTCACGGAGAAAACTTTATGTGATTTTCTTTTCCACAAAACTCAACAGGCTCCAAGGGATCTGTTTACAGAGAAAAAAAACATGGTTTATTTTGGAGCAAAACATATTAATTTTTATTTTTGTTCTCAATTTTTTTCTCTTATTTCCATTTTGTTAATCTATGGATTTAGGATCTACCATGTGGAAGGTGTGGCCAAGGTCATGGTATCAAGATATTCTTTCTTTTTATATACAGAGTGTAAATTCATGGTAAAAACAAGACTTTGAGAAAGAATCTGTAAATTAGTTAAGTGAACAGGCTATTCTCGTGCCTCTATGCAGTTCAAAAGGCTGTATTTAGCCACAAACAGCTAGTATGCTAATTACTGCTTGTTATTAAGTTATTAAAAATGCTTCGTTTGAAAACAACTCCAGACAGCTCCTTGTTTTGTAGCTCATTTTGACCTTCGATTTATATTAAATAAAATAAAAATTTCATTCCTCAGGAAACACTTTGCATCACTCTATTTAGTAATTCACACTGGCCTTCACAGACAGATTCTCATGCTTCAGTGGCATCCATGTGACCAAAGAGATGATACTCTCAGATGCTTATTATAATAGTGCTTATGACATTTTTGGTATTATAAACACATTGCTTCCTTTTTCTAGGAAAAGAGTATTGTGTCTTTAGTGAATGTTGTGGATTCATTGATATAAACATATAACAATGAAACAATACAAACTATAACGTGTCATGAATGCAATATTGTCATGTTGTAATGGTGGAGTCAAAAATAAGCTCATTCATAGCTGACTTTGTCCTCATTACTGGGGAAACAAACAAACAGAAGTCCCTTTAAGCCATTATTATTGTTATGTGTTTTGAATAAATCTGCTTTTCTGAAATTAATTACCTTTTAAGTATAAACTGATTCTTCATTCCATAGTTTTCTTGGAAAATGTACACCAATATCATTCTCACTGAATGATCATCTTTTTTCATAGCAATGGTGGAGTGGAATTGTGGTAGCTCTTTATAGTAGAATCTAGTGATACTTTATTATTGTAGAATATTTTGCCATTTTCAAAAGCATTTTGTATTCATTTAATTTATTGTAAATAAATGAGTACAGTGTTGGGAAATACATTTGTTCCAACCCTATGCTGGTATGTTTCAATTCACTAAACAGTAAATACCATGTAACACACATGGTTTCTCTTGTTTCCTTGCCTAACAGGAGCCTCAGAGCTAATCTTGTGCTTAATTGCTGAAATTATTTTTATTTAATATAGAAAAAGCGTTTCTATAAATCACTTAGTCTTGTTTTAATGGTCCAGTTGAGTATACATTTTTATAGTGAATTAAAGCAAGTGCTTTTTAGACTAATAATTGGGTAAACAATAAACAAATCCATCTATTGATGGCCTGTCAGTTAAAATGGGAAGACATTATTAAAGTCTCTTTACAGAGAAGAAAAGTAGTTAAACAATAAACTTTCTTTATTATCCAAATCTGATTTGCTCCTGAAAATATGTTGGATATTTCATTATTTTAAATATTAAAAAAAAGCTGTTCCTCATTCATAGAAAAACACCAAGCAATTTTTCCCAATTTAAACATTTTCAAACATCTATTTAACAAGCCACCAACAATTTTTACACAGTAGAAACCATTTAAAACAGCATTTACTTAAATATCTAATACTTAATGAACTCATTTATGGGTATGTTTTTGTGCAGCTTACAATAATATTGTTCAGTATTACATACAGATTATACTCTAACTCTGCAAGAAAAATGTTCCATAATGTAAATAAACAATGAGGAAATCACTTAGGTAAGATATTCAATTACCTTCAGGATGGAGCAGTTCTATTTCTTGAGAGCCATGGGGAGATGGAGGAGTTGTTGGCAGAGACCATGGTTTAGGGCCTCATAGAAAAATCCCTGGCAGGCCTAGAAAACAAAGGTACTTTTGAGTCTTGCTGCAGAGACTGTTTTCACTTCTTCCAATAAAGACTAAAAACTTATAGTAACTTTAAATAAGCTAGCTTTGCAGTTGCTATATAACAGAAGTAGCAACAACTATTCATAAACCAACATATCTGACAACAAGTTGATGAAAAACATTTAACTTTTTGACATGCTATCCATGAAGTTTAATGGTGGATCCTACTTATAAAAGATGTTATAGGGGACTGAATTTGCTCTTGATCCTTTTAGTATAAGGGCTTCAAGACTGCTGCTTTTGTTATACCTCCATCATCTACACAACTGTGAAGAAACAGACCAAAGTAGAATTCCTCAAAGCCTGGATTTTAAAAGAGAGAATGGACATTTCCTGAATGAAGTATATAGCACAGCCAGGAATTTAATTATGCATTGCTGGAGGCCACAGGTGGAGCAGCCAAAGACTCCACCATCTGGAAAAGGATGAGGATTGGAGTGGCTTGTATCCACATCACACAGCTGGCCACTGGGCTGCTCACACCACTGAACTGGCAAGCGGACATGAGCTGTCCTCGCTCCCACCCAACCTCCCTGCTGTGTTCCTGGCAGGCTCATTTGGCAGGCTCCTGGCCACCTGCTATTTTCCCTGGAGTCTGGAAATCTTCTTTTAAAATAAGCAGATCATTATTTGGCGTTTTTTTTGTTTGTTTGTTTGTTTTGTTTTTTTTTTTTTTTTGATATGGAGAACAAATTCTTCTTTACCAAAGTGAATACACTCCTTTATTGATATACAATTCCATCTGAGCTATTTATTTTTCTCAAGTGAGAATACTGGGAGGATATTTTAGTTCTCAGAACAAAAGTATGAATGAGTGTAAGATGTATATAAGAACTTTTGCTTGCATTTTGATGTTGTTAGTATTTGTTTCTGTGGATGTTTACTACCTATTTAGCCTTCTTTTAGATAAGTTTCCTTTGGAATTAAGTGTGATAACTCTCAAAGAAGTTCTGAATTTATTAGTTATCATAGCTGTCTATAAGCTACCTACTTATTCATTCATAACTGAGAGACTATTAAAAATACAAAATAGGCTGGGCATGGTGGCTCACACCTGCAATCCCAGCACTTTGGAAGGCAGAGGTGGGTGGATCACATGGGGCCTGGAGTTCGAGACCAGCCTGGGCAACATAGTGAAGCCCCTTCTCTACTAAAAATACAAAAATTAGCTGGGCATGATGCCACACGCCTGTAATCTCAGCTACTCAGGAGGCTGAGGCCAGAGAATCACTTGAACCCAGGAGGTGGAGGTTGCAGTGAGCCGAGATTGTGTCCCTGCACTCCAGCCTGGGCAACAGAATGAGACTCTGTCTCAAAATAAATAAATACATATATACATACATACATGCATACATACAGACATACATACAAAATAGTTTTATAATTATAAAACCCCAACAAACTAGTTCATGGAAGCTGTACTTCTATGACTATACAATATCTTATTGCTTAGGCAAAAGTCCTTATGATATGTGGTTTCAAACTTACAGCTTCTGATAAATAGCTGCATCTGATAACGATGAAAAGACTTGAACAAAAGACCTTTGTACTTTTAAAATACTGTTACTAGTGTTGCTTTTGATGCCTAGCTTTGTTAAGATACAAGCCATTTGTGGCCTTGACCAATTCTTGGTTTGACTTTTGCAGAGACCCCCACATGTCCAATTTCATGACTGCATTAAGATCACTAAGCTGTAATCTTTGAGTGACTGTTCCTCTCTATTAATAGCTCTTTCTTCACTTCGGCACTTCTGATTGCATTTCTGGTTAACAAACTCCATTCCAAGAAGTGCAGTTGATTTTGAGGACTTGCAAACTGCTGCAATTGAAGATTCATATTTTTACTTTTCAGCCTTTTTCTCTATTAAGCTGTGTGGACCAAAGCTAGTAGATGCCTTACCCCATGCTTAGAAATTAAATTGGTCCCCAGGCACACCCTTTCATGCCTCGAGGAGGGAATATTACTCATCTTATGTCAACCTCTCTACTGTAAATTCAACCCCGTGAAGAATATCTTTGTATTTTTCTCATAGTTTTATCATTGAATCATTGCTTTCAGTTACTAATTATAAAGAATTGATAGATACCTTTGCATCTTGCCAGTATAGATAGACGTATTTGTCTTTTTTAAAGCATATAAACATGAGATGTATAGCCATGGAACACAGGGGACCCGCACTGGAGCCTGGCTTGTTTACCGGGTGCCTGGATAAGACAGGCATGCTCAGTCCCCTTTATCAATCCAGCTGTCCTGAAAAGAGCAGAACTTGCTTTGTTTCAAAGTTGTAATTAATGGGTCATTTGAACTATACTATCAGACTGTGCATATACTTATAAAGATAATGATGTATATTATGTATTCATCAAAGAAAGTGCTACAGTTTTATGCTAAAGGCATTGATATCATACATTGTTGAGAATAAATAAAATATTTGCAATGACTTTACAAGCTAGGTCTTAAATGTACTACAAAATACAGTTGGATTCTCTTGTTTATTATCCAGCACTAAAGCCTACAGAGAAAATTTAAAACAATCTATATAGCAATTAGATAAAAGCCATCGTTGGCTGGTTCATGCATCTATTATAGAATATTCTCTACTAAGAATTGATTTTTCTTATGATATCACTAGAGAAAAAAGTCAATATATTTGTTAAGAAGCATCCAACTGAAACACTAGCCTAAGATTTGGTAAAAAGTGAACACTTATTTTATTTACAGTTATAAAAAAAGAAACAACTTTCAAAATCAGGTCAAATATGTTTAGTCAGTTTTATTGAATAGACTAAGTCACTTGATTGTGATAACTGGAACCCTGTGGCCAAGAAAATTTGTGGCAAATCCTCTTCTACTGTGCAGAAACTCTACCTCAGTATTTTAATATGCACCTCTGTATCATATATTAGGTATGAAAAAAGGAAAATGGCAAATTTCAAATTTCAGTGTTCAAAAAAATAGTTATAATATCCTTCCCTCTCAAGTATATGCTATCATTAGGACCTTACCAAAAGTTACAGTAAAAAGTTCCATTAGCCTTTCTGTTTCTTTGTGATGTGTATTCAATGCAGAATTTTAGTTTTACATGTATTCACAGTGTGCATTTGTGCAAAATGATACACAAAAAGATACACAAATTCCGTTTTTAAAAAAGCAATGTGTTTTACCTTTATGCAAAAGTATCCCATTTTAGCTAGTATCTTTATGTTTAATTGGTCAAATATCTATTTGTCATCATCAGCTATTATTATCTGGTTGCCAGAATTTGTACAAACATGAAAACAGATGCACAGGCAATGTGACAATACAACTCTAGGGTTTCCCCCGCTGTGATCCTACTTTCCTAGTTTCTGCCTCAGTCTTTGGGCCATTGTAATGTAGTTTATAGGTGAAATTGTGGTAGTAAATCATATATTATATCGTTTTCTATTACATTAAGTATTAGTTGTTTCCATGAAGAAAAATCCTGTTCACTTTATGTATTATAACCACAAGTAATTTTTGTACACTCACTATTGGTATAATAGTATAACTGCTACAGACACTATCAAGTATAAGACTATAGACTAAAACTCATTCTTTAAACCCTGAGAAATTAATTGTATTTTGAAAATTAGTAGAATTTCCAGGCTGCAAAGGGCACCTTTGTGTCAGAAACACTTTCAATGATTTGGAGGGAGGTATCATCTTAATAAAGTCATTTGTTTAGAAAACCTATCCAGATCATTCAGAGATGGAATGAGTGAAAGATAGGTACTAGATGGAAAAAGTTGAGCTCAACATACACTAAACAAACAAACAAGCAAATGAAACTACATTTAAGATGATATTATGTATTTCTGTCTCACAATTCCCACATCTAATACTGGGTGGCATCCACTTAACTTCACATGATTATGTGCTATTTTTATATCATTGAAAGGGGTTTTTTCTCACCTATCTTAAGTGATAGATATGAAGCCTGAGCTCAAGAGGATTGTTGATGGATAACAGTGGAGTAATTGATTTCCTAGAGCCAATATTGACTATTTATGCTCATGAATATCCATTCTGATCGTGATGGAGTTAAGCAGATTGTCAGGTAATGACTGTGAATTTACTCATAGAATTACTTAATAGGTCCTCTTCAAATGAAATCTTACGTTTTAAAGAAAATAACTGGTTCAGACATCATTTCAAATTTATACACCACATCTCCAGTGCCATTTCACACATGAAAAATCAGTAATAGAGCAGTCTTGGGGAGTATTCTTTCATACAGATTTTAACTTGGAATCTATTTCTTGGACAGTTTTTGAAATAGGATATAAAGCTATCTTTCTAGAATAGTTGAGATGGAGCTCTGATGGACTAGATAATCCCTATGTTTTCCACGCTAAGCTTTTCATATTGCGATCTCTCTTCTAAAGCTATTTAGGAAACTCATTAACTTAAGCCTTGGCTGCTGTAATTACACAATTGTGAAATAGTGCGCCTTATATACGCTGTTCTATATATTGTAAACAAGACTTCACTTTAGCAAACAACTAAGAATGTGTAGCTATTACTGTAAAATACCAGTTCCAGAAGAAGGCAAGTGCAAGCGTAAATGAAAAGTACAACTAGGCATCCCCTTAGTGCAGATTTACTGTAAAGTGTATTTGCAAGCAGTTTGACTTAGTGGAGGATTAAAGCAAGAAAGAATCTCTAAACCAAATGTGAAGATTTGAAGGCAATGAACCACGTTGATAATTTTGAAGGCAATGAACCATGAACCATGATAATTTTGGCAAAATAAAATCTAAGCTGTATACTTTAGAAAATTACGTTAAATATGAGTTGGCTAATTATAAATAGCTCATTACTTAGCAAAGACCACAGAAGAAAAAGTGCTTTCCTATGTAGAGAGAACCTTAAATGTCTTTTCAATATGTGCTCCTTTTAAATAATATGTAGTTTAGACTATGAAATTGATTTTGCTCTTTTATAACACCCACGAACGCCATTTCACTTCTAACTATAGGTATCATCACTGTAATATTATAACACGGGTACTTTTGTGTTTTTTTTTATTTTGAAAAATCCAGCATGTTGATTTTATTACCTATTCTTTTTTTTTAAATAGTGAAAGCAAGGAGTTCATTGTTAACAGAAGCCATGCTAATTGACATTTACATAGGATATCCATGATGATTCATATTCTCCTACAATTTAAGCTGCTTCCTAGAAATTTGACAGCTAAGATAGCAGCTGGTTAACTTTTTCATTTGACTAAAAGCTGGTGTAATGTTCTTTGGAATTAAATATGTCAATGTTGGGAATTCAAGTTGCAGCACCTGGAAGTGAAAGCACATTGCAGTGGTTCAACCCTGCCTTTGGTATCAGAGAGAATTGGTTTCAAATCTTGACCCCAGTACTTTCTGGTGAAATGATCTTGAGCAAGTTTATTTTGATTTTTGATTAAAATACATACATTTTCTTTGGGGCTTGGCTTGCAGAGAAGTTTTAAATATGTTAGGAGTATTTTATGAAACCTAATAGCAATAGTCAGACCTTTTATGGGGAACTTAGAAGACACTAGACTACTGTGGTCCATCTGTTTCATTCTTCTTTCTACAGACCAATTTGCTCTATTTTACAAAACATATGGAAGGTAGGAAAAGATCACTGGAAGTGAGTAAGAGTGGGTGATTAACAGTTCATCATGACCTGGGAAAGAACGTCAAAAATTATCTACTACACATAACTAGAGTATCCTCATTTAGTAAATAGGGATAATAGTATCCTCCCTTTCAGGCTGCTGTGAGGATTAGTAATTATGTGCATGGCATGTTTCTGATTAGTAATTATGTGTATGGAACATTTCAGAGCCAGCAAATATTAGGTGCTTAATGAATGATAGCTTTATTATCATTCTTATTTTTTGCTAGGAAATATAAGAGCATCTAATCATTGCACAATATAGCCTTCGAATCAACTGACTTCTTGATTTGTTGAATTCTTGATTTGCTGAAGTCTAATAGGAGAAGCAGAGTTCACACCTAAAGCAGGAAATGTAATTAGTATTTGTTAATATAATGCATCCCCATTCCTCTAAGTGAGCCAAATTCCACCCAATATGGCTGAGAAGATAATGTAAGTGGAAGATACAGTTTTCATTGTAATGGAACATAGTTCCATTGGCTCAAATGGCATGTTACACGTGGCAGAGAGCCAATAGATGGGATTGGGGACAATGAAAGAGGGCTACAGAAGATATCTGCTTTGTTACTGTTTTTATTTTGAAATCCAATATTCCTTCATCTTTTTGGAAAGTGTACCCTATTGAAAAAAACAAGCTATGTTTCTCAGTCTTTTTACCATGTGCATGTGGAGATGTGTTTTCCCCATATCCTTTCTCCAAGGGTTGGTCTGTGACTCAGGCCTGACTAAAAATAACACCCATACCTCCATACCTTTGGCCACAGGGATTGATTGGTTCAACCATGGACATGTGATCTAACTGGAGCCAATAAGGCTCAATAAGACTATGTAGATGCCTTGCTGAGAGAGGCACCATTTATTCAGCTGTGCTTCAACATAAGAAAATATAGCTCTGAACTTGTTGGCAGCCATCTCGCTACAACACAAAGCTTGAAAGCAAACTCAGTACAGAAGACAGAGAGCCAAAAACTGGGGATAACTTGAATCCTTAGGACATTACTTGAGTCTCTGAATCAACTCTGGGGTTTGAAGCCATCCCTACTCCCAGATTTTGCATTTACAAATATCAGTTATTTAAGTTAGTTAGATTGCCTTTTCTGTCAGTTACATCCGCAGGCTTTTTTAAAATCTGAGGAGGTTCTCCAACCCAGCTTCCTTCTTTTATGTGTTTCATTAAATACATAGTACCTTTTTAATACTCCGTTTTCTTCTTTGTGAAAGGAAACAATGTCTACTTTGAAGGGCTTATGAAGATTAAATGAAACAATAAATGTAACAGCATGATTTTGTTCCACAACACTAGGAACAAAAAATATCCCATTACTCCATTTTCCTAAATTAATTTTAACCCTAAGTCACACCATGACTATGGGAAGAGATCAATATCTGTAATAAATGGAGACCTTCTTCTTTAGTATGGCACATAATATCCAAAAAATACCTTAGATGGAGCTTCTGGCTTCTGCCCATTGTGATTGCTGCCAGGAAGCTCATTGTGAAGCCCTTATGGTCCATTAAAGGCAGTTGTCTCCACAGCCTTTGTGCCAAGTGTGGGCACTGACAGCTATAGCTAGAGTTTCCAAGACAGTAGTATTGGAGGGTGAAGTCTCCAGGCATCAAATAAGCTCTACAAAACAAGAGTCTTACTTAATTCAAGATTTCCACAAGGATCTTGCCACTTTGGAATCTTTTGCTGCATTACTTTCTCAAGTCCCTGTCACCCTTAAGCATCTCTTTCACCTTTCAACCTAGCAGTGCCGCGTTCCCAACCTTCACATCTTCCTTCTCCAAAATACCCATCTAAATTGACCTCCCACACAAGAAGAGTTGCATAAAAGGTGCCTAACACTTTTACTTGGGGTTTGGGAAAACAAGTTATTAACAATCTCTGAGTACAGAAGACCAGAACTTTCTGGAAGACAGGAGGGCAGAAATACCTTTTCATTTCTCTTGGGGTCTAGTCTCATCTGCTTCTCCTCTGGAAGTGGGAGACAGTCATAAATAGCTTATTATTATTTTTTTCTGCTACAAATGTAGATTGTCAAGCAGACTGCAAGTAAGCAGAACAGGAATCTCCCAATCAGTGACTTTTATATATATATATTTTTATTATACTTTAAGTTTTAGGGTACATGTGCACAATGTGCAGGTTTGTTACATATGTATACATGTGCCATGTTGGTGTGCTGCACCCATTAAGTCATCATTTAGCATTAGGTATATCTCCTAATGCTATCCCTCCCGCCTCCCCCAACCCCACAACAGGCCCCAGTGTGTGAGGTTCCCCTTCCTGTGTCCATGTGTTCTCATTGTTCAATTCCCACCTATGAGTGAGAACATGCGGTGTTTGGTTTTTTGTCCTTGCAATAGTTTGCTGAGAATGATGGTTTCCAGCTTCATCCATGTCCCTATAAAGGACATGAACTCATCGTTTTTTATGGCTGCATAGTATTCCATGGTGTATATGTGCCACATTTTCTTAACGCAGTCTATCATTGTTGGACATTTGGGTTGGTTCCAAGTCTTTGCTATTGTGAATAGTGCCACAATAAACATACATGTGCATGTATCTTTATAGCAGCATGATTTATAATCCTTTGGGTATATACCCAGTAATGGGATGGCTGGGTCAAATGGTATTTCTAGTTCTAGATCCCTGAGGAATCACCACACTGACTTCCACAGTGGTTGAACTAGTTTACAGTCCCGCCAACAGTGTAAAAGTGTTCCTATTTCTCCACATCCTCTCCAGCACCTGTCGTTTCCTGACTTTTTAATGATCGCCATTCTGACTGGTGTGAGATGGTATCTCATTGTGGTTTTGATTTGCATTTCTCTGATGGCCAGTGATGATGAGCATTTTTTCATGTGTTTTTTGGCTGCATAAATGTGTTCTTCTGAGAAGTGTCTGTTCATATCCTTCGCCCACTTTTTGATGGGGTTGTCTGTTTTTTTTTCTTTTAAATTTGTTTGAGTTCATTGTAGATTCTGGATATTAGCCCTTCGTCAGATGAATAGGTTGCAAAAATTTTCTCCCATTCTGTAGGTTGCCTGTTCACTCTGATGGTAGTTTCTTTTGCTGTGCAGAAGCTCTTTAGTTTAATTAGATCCCATTTGTCAATTTTGGCTTTTATTGCCATTGCTTTTGGTGTTTTAGACATGAAGTCCTTGCCCATGCCTATGTCCTGAATGGTATTGCCTAGGTTTTCTTCTAGGGTTTTTATGGTTTTAGGTCTAACATGTAAGGCTTTAATCCATCTTGAATTAATTTTTGTATAAGGTGTCAGGAAGGGATCCAGTTTCAGCTTTCTACATATGGCTAGCCAGTTTTCCCAGCACCATTTATTAAATAGGGATTCCTTTCCCCATTGCTTGTTTTTCTCAGGTTTGTCAAAGATCAGATGGTTGTAGATATGCAGCATTATCTCTGAGGGCTCTGTTCTGTTCCATTGGTCTATATCTCTGTTTTGGTCTCCAGTTCCATGCTGTTTTGGTTACTGTAGCCTTGTAGTATATTTTGAAGTCAGGTAGTGTGATGCCTCCAGCTTTTTTCTTTTTTGGCTTAGGATTGTCTTGGCAATGCGGGCTCTTTTTTGGTTCCATATGAACTTTAAAGTAGTTTTTTCCAATTCTGTGAAGAAAGTCATTGGTAGCTTGATGGGGATGGCATTGAATCTATAAATTACCTTGGGCAGTATGGCCATTTTCACGATATTGATTCTTCCTACCCATGAGCATGGAATGTTCTTCCATTTGTTTGTATCCTCTTTTATTTCATTGAGCAGTGGTTTGTAGTTCTCTTTGAAGAGAACCTTCACATCCCTTGTAAGTTGGATTCCTAGGTATTTTATTCTCTTTGAAGCAATTGTGAATGGGAGTTCACTGATGATTTGGCTCTCTGTTTGTCTGTTATTGGTGTATAAGAATGCTTGTGATTTTTGTACATTGATTTTGTATCCTGAGACTTTGCTGAAGTTGCTTATCAGCTTAAGGAGATTTTGAGCTGAGACGATTGGGTTTTCTACATATACAATCATGTCATCTGCAAACAGAGACAACTTGACTTCCTCTTTTCCTAATTGAATGCCCTTTATTTCCTTCTCCTGCCTGACTGCCCTGGCCAGAACTTCCAACACTATGTTGAATAGGAGTGGTGAGAGAGGGCATCCCCGTCTTGTGCTGGTTTTCAAAGGGAATGCTTCCAGTTTTTGTCCATTCAGTATGATATTGGCTGTGGGATTGTCATAGATAGCTCTTATTATTTTGAGATACAACCCATCAATACCTAATTTATTGAGAGTTTTTAGCATGAAGGGTTGTTGAATTTTCTCAAAGGCCTTTTCTGCATCTGTTGAGATAATCATGTGGTTTTTGTCTTCGGTTCTGTTTATATGCTGGATTACATTTATTGATTTGCATGTGTTGAACCAGCCTTGCATAGTTAAGACTCATTGGCAGCCCAAACTGCCTCTTACTTTGAAGCACTGGCATGACATCTAAGCTTGCACAGCAGTGCACTATGTCTCAGGCTTTCTGGTAGAAGGAAGGAACTGGCCTTGAGTCCCAAGGGTGGGGATAGGAGGCAGTTGCCACAAGTTCTTGAAATGCTGCATGGCCTGACTAGTAATATCTGTACCTGTCCTTGTAACCACAGCCCAATTTTAGCTCAGGATTTAAGGAACTATAAAATTTCTAAATGAAAGACCTCAAAGAGAAGAACACCAAATGCTAGCCTTGACTCCCTCTTATATCTTGGATTCTGGTTCAATTCTCCATGCCCACACCGTCATGTTTGTTTGTTTGTTTGTTTGTTTGTTTTAACCTGAACTCATTAAAGAGATATTTGTGACTCCAGCTGCTGATTCCTGGTATCCTTATGCTCCCACCATCCCCAGGCTCCCAGCACACTTATACATTTTGGTTGTCCTGATATTACACTTATGGTATAGGACTTCATGTCTTATAATTCCAGGAAGCCCCTTTTCTTTTTCCCCTATTTTACACCATTGTTATCCTACTGGATAACAAGTCTGCAAAATGTGTGAATGATGCCCCTGGGAATTTTTCAAATCTTCTGACCCTGGCTGAGGACAAAGCCTTGAAAAATTTTAGTAAAATATTACTTCATTCTCCAATCATTTTTCAGCTAAAGAGTTTTTCTTTCCTTTGGACCATATTAACTCTTCCACATAGGTGGGAGGTTGTGTAGGAGGAAACACCATGCTAGAAACAGAGGGGGAATGGGCTGCCTTACTGAACTATGTCCTTAGTTTATTTTGGACAAGTCACTTTCTAGCCCCAGTGTGTTCAAATCCTTATATGATTCTTTCCTCCGGATTTGTATCTGGAGATAAAGAACTGAGAGCCAGGTATGGCTTGCTATGTGACCTCAGAGAAGTTATTTTCCTTTTGTTAGATATCCCTGGTCCATGGATACGTGGCCAGCCCAGTGCCTACTACAGCAATTCTTCATCCAACTCGGTGTCCACAGGACACTTTCAACATTTTCAAAAATGCAAAACGGCCACTGTTTTCACAAAAATGTTCTTGTCCTTTATGCCCTTCAGAGCTAGAATCTGTTAGGGTTAGGGAGGGGGAAATGTGGCCCTGTCCACATGTGGTGTATGTAACTCTGAAGCCGGTACCTACTGCAGTGGCCAGGTGAGTAACCCGAGTGCTTTCAGTTTTTGTGCTAAGATTCCCTCTCCTGGCCTACGTGGCATCTATTCCTCCCCTTCTCAGTTTTGCTATGACCTTTGCTTTGTTCTTTGGACTCCTCCTGTCATGAGGAAGAGTCATGACAGGAGGAGACCAAAGGATTCTGCTTTATCATACCCATCGCATACTAAGCCCTGGGTGTCCTACAGTCAGGTAGCCAAGGTCACCCTGTACATAGTCACACACCTTTACCACTCACACCAGCCTATCTGAGATTCTCCGGAGCTGAGAGACAGAGGGAAGGCTAGTGACTTTGAATGGGACCATTGAGCAAGAAACAATTCTCTCTGTGACTAGGAAGGTGAAGAGGAGCAGCAACAATCTCTTTGTCTGCTCCACTGTTCACAAAATACAGAGCTGAAGTTTTTTATGCCTTTCTGCTCTAGCTGAATATGAGGGCATAGGAATGGTACCTGCAGTATTGCTTCAGAATTTCATTAATGCTGAGTTAGCACAGCAGAACTTGTCAGCCTCCATCAGAAGGGGAAGGGGATCTTGGGGGCAAGTAACAGCTGATCCCCACCAACATAGTCAAGGTCAGTGTTTTTTCCCCTCACAATGGCCCAGCCACCTTCAAACTTTCAGTTCCCAATGTGCAAAATATGAAGCTCCTTTTCTCTTACTCTTCTGGAAACTGAGTGCGGGATTTCTAGCTGTATGAAGCCTTACGAATCCCATCTGTCTATAACTATATAAACTTCAAGTTAGAGAAGAAACAGGTTAAAGTTATGTTCAGCTAGGTCTTGCATTGGGATCTCTATTGTTTGTCACTTTGAAAAGCCCCTGAATGGCTTATGGCATTTTGTGTAGTTTTTTTTCTTAAGAAATTATTATGAAAAATGTTTTTTTAAATACCTCCTCTGAGTAGGAGCAAGGGGTCTAGGACTAGGGCAGATGAGCAGTGCCAGGCTTAACCTCTCTCCACGGCCCTGCTCACCTTTGAGAAACCCAAGTTATCCTTCTATAAGAGCTGAAATTGACTTCTTTCCTTGAATCCTTATTTCTAGAATTTTCTAATCCTGAATTCCAAACACAGAACAGACAGAGCAGCACTTGGCTATTGGAAGGACAGATATATTTGGGAAGACTAAATACCCTTGCTCATGAGAAACAGAAAATATTGAGAAATATGACAATATTATTTAGCATAACAGTAAACTATACTTATACATTCATGATAATGCAATTTCTAAACATTATTCAATATTATGATATGATTATTTTAAAAGGATGGTTGCATGAAAATGGGGGAGGCTGTAAAGGCCAAGTTCTCATCATTTATGGTAAGAGGTCAAATTCAATGCCTAAAATTAATAAACTATAAAAATTGATAACACATTAAAAAATGTGAAACCCAATGAGAAATGAAATAATTAAAAGTGCAAAGTGGTTACCACTGGGAGGCAGGGCATGTTGTAGAAGAATGTGTGGATAAGGTTGCTCTTTTTAAATGAGACTTATAGAACTTGTTTTATTCCTAAAATAACAAGCATGTCTTACTATAAAAAAAAATTAAATTACAAGAAACTCCTGCAGGTATGTTCCACGGTGGCTGAATTTTAAAATTCATAAATAAACTTGATTCTAAATCCATTTTCTAAAACAGACTTTATCATGTTTCTACTGCTGTAGTTTAACACAGATATTCTGAAATGCACAAAAAAAAACAAAATTAATGTACAGGTGGAAAAGCCCACACAGAAGCCAGGGCTGACCAGGAGGTATGCTCAACCCAGAAACTTGAAGCTTCACTGGCCATTAGTGCCACTGTGGAACAGGATCTGAACTCGACTAGTGGGAGAGCCACAACTGAGATGATTCCCCAAACATATTAAATCAGGTGCTCAACAATGACAATCTTGAAGGGGAAATTCTTACCAAGTGAACCAACAACAAAAATAAGAACAGATCCCATCTCTGTTGGAACTTGTTGGGAAGAACTTAGTATTCTTAATATCAATGCTTCTCAACTTACGACGAGGTTAATTCCTGATCAACTCATCCTAAACTGAAAATATTGTAAGTAAAAAATGCATTTAATACAGCTAACTTGTGGACATCATACCTTAGCCTAATAGCTTAAACATGCCCAGAACACTTACGTCAGCCTACAGTTGGGCAAAATCATCCCATACAAGACCTATTTTATAAAGTGTTGAATATCTTATATAATTTACTTAATACTGTACTGAAGTATGGTTTCTACTGAATGCCCATAGCTTTCCCACCATTATAACTTCAAAAAATCCTAAGTTGAACCATTTTAAGTTAGGGACTGTCTGGATTAATAATCTTCCCTAATAATTGGTATCCATAGCTCTCCTCTCAGCAGTCCTGGGACTTGAATTATACCATACCCTCAGTCTAAGGAGCCACAGTCCAAGAAACAACACTAAAATGTTTCCAAATTGGTCATGCTCCTTAGGGTTGTCAGATTTATCAAATAGAATACAAGATGCCCAGTTAAAACAGAATGATTTCCAATTACCTGTGAATACATACACTGAGATTTTAAAAATGTTGTCTGGGATATACAAATAATAAAAAACACTATTGTCATTTACATGAAACGAATTATGAGTATCTAAATTACGTGTCTCTTTCCTTGATTATACTTCTGTGATGACTCGCCTCTTTTTAACAGTTCCATGATTTACAAAATTTGTTTTAAAATCTCTTGCAGTCGTGAGCCGAGATCGCGCCACTGCACTCCAGCCTGGGCGACAGAGCGAGACTCCGTCTCAAAAAAAAAAAAAAAAAAAAAATCTCTTGCAGTCACAGTCTATATTACATTTACATTGCAACACAACTGTACAGTAGTCACATCAGCCTTATTTAGTTATTTTGTCCATTAAGCATTCATTAATGAAAAAATATGTTAAACTTAGTGACAAAATAATAGCATTCTCATGAATTTTAATTTTCTTTCTGATCTCTCTTCAACAGTATAAATGATGACTCTGCATGTTCTCAAGCTAGTGATTATTTAATAACAACCATGTAAAAAATTGAATTATTCAAGTGATAAAATCTATTATAAGAATTAGTCATCGCAGGAGCCTTAATAATTATCCATTTCAATTTGGAATTTCTTTTCCTGTTTATAAGTAATAGTGTATTTATTTCGACACAGGGATAATTTTTTTTTGGTCAATTCCTTACTATATTCAACAAGTTATTTTAAGCAAGAGTACTGCAATAACACCGCTCTTCTTTTAATGTGCTAAAGAGATATTGTGAACTATGAACATGAAATAATTAGGTTTTGCTCAATGGATTATACAAAGTGTTAATAGGAATTTGGGGGGCATTTTTGTTTAGAATTAAAGTATGATTTTAGTGCTTCAAATAAAATGAGATGCTCTCAAGTACATTTGTTAAAGAGAGCCAACAGGTTTTTGAATGTGAAAGAATTGAACAATACTGAATGTAAACAGAATAACAAAAATATTTTAATTGCTCAGTGTGAACAGTATAAATACTAAAGTAAGAAAAAAGTTTATCAAAATTACTTCAGTGTGAATGAGAAGGGCATGTGTCTAAATCTGTTTTTCGCTACTGTAACAAAACACCAAAAATGGGGTAATTTATGTAAATAATAGAAACTTATCTGACTCATGGTTCTGGAGACTGGGAAGTCCAACAGCATGGCAATGGAATCTGGCAAGGAGCATCCCCTGGTGGAAGGCACATGGGTGTACTAGAAAGAATTGAAATCTGGCCAAATCCATCCTTTCTATCAAGAGCCCACTTCCATGATCTCTCACCAATGTGTGATTGATAATGATGTTAATCCATTCAATAGGGAAGAACCTTCATGACCTAATAACCTTTTAAAGTTATTTAAAACTTTTGATACTGCTGCATTGGGGATTAAGTTTCAAAAACATGAACTTTGGGGGATGTTTTCAAACCATGTCAGCATCAACTACTGTTTTAGCAGCATTATGTAGAATATGGGCAGAACAGCCAACATCTTTTATAGAATCATTCATATTTTGCTTAATCATTTAATAAATATTGTTTGTACCTTCAGATAAATATCCACCAAAATGTTTATTTGTAGTATGTCCATCAATTCATAAAAGAAAAATTTTTTTCTTTATTAACTTCAATTTGAATAAGAGCATTTCTGAAAAAATTGCTATTATTTCTGAAGTTTTATCAGAAACAGTTTTGCTTACAGTAGCCTTATGGCTAAGCAAGCCTTTTCATGAAAACAATATTACACAATCAAAGGGAAATGTTTTTCTGAAGTATGATAACTTGCATTGTGGCTACGTTATGAAAAAGATGAGACATTTAGATTTTTATAATCTCTATAATAGTAAATGGAACTTTTTCATTTAAAAAATTTTTGCAATCAATTTCATTTTGACACTTGAAAATTTGCAATTTTGGAATCAGAAAATGCTTATAACAGCAATATGTTCAGTCATTGGAGCTATGAAACTAATGATATAAATAGTGGACAGCCATTACAACTTCTGCTGTAATTATTTTATCTTCTGAGTTTTAATATTAATCACTTTTCTTTGGTACTAGTTGAGAAAATTATATATCTCTTTTCCTTAGCTATATTCTGTGCTATTTCATCTTTTCAGCATTTTTTATATTGACTGAACAATTGTACCCTGAACAAATAACTTCAAAAGCATTTTTCCCTCATTTAATGATTGTCCTCTGTTCCAAAAATTTATCACAGAATTATACTGTGTATAATTTGTGTATACACATATACACAAATTAAAAAAAGATAATACTAACAACTAGAGGAGTTAAAAAGATTAAACATGATAATCTCAAGTCAAAGCATCGGTATGTTTTTCACTCACAAGTCCAATTCAAAACTAACCATAAACAAGGTTCAACCATAAAAAGGTTCGCAAATGTTTGAAGTAATAATAATTTAACTTGACAGCTAATGCAAACTTTTCATTGACTGTAAAGGAGAGCTGCGTTTGTAAGGCAAAATCTTCCCTAGTGAACCCAGAACTGATATATGAAGTTTTTGGAAGTCTGCTGTTCAAGAATTGATGGATTTTCAGAAGCAGGAGTATTTAGAGATTAATGGACTTTAGCTATGTTAGAGTGGTCACTGGATTAAAGCTCTTATTGATGGCTGGATCTCAGAAGCCTGGTCACCGGAGTGAGACCTTTGCTGATCAGCTCTTGTGTAGAAGCATGTGGCTGTCACTGGTAGGTTGAGTTTCAGAAGGTTGAGATTTTTACTAACTTGCTAACTTTCAGAAGCACGGTTACTGGAGTGATGCCATTGTTGAATGACTGATTTTCAGAAGCATGGCCACTGGAGTGAGACTGTCCTGATTGACTGAATTTTACAGCTTGCGAACTGATTAGAAGTTATCTCAGATTTGAGTCTTTGGTCAAACAATAATCTTTTTCTTTCTCGAATATGAAAAACACTTTTAATTCTCAATCCTCCTTTTTGATTTTCTCTCAAACTACTAGAGAGACCATAAGGAATTATCCAGATATTTACTTGTGGAAGCATGATTTTCAGCTTGTGTTTTCATCAAAGTCATTTAAGCACCTTGAGAAATAGCCATTTTAAAATAATTTATCAATAAAAAGCAGAATATAGGATATTTAAGGTAGCCTGATGAGCTCAATATAGGACTTAGGACAGAATCATTAAATACAGAACATGTCTCACAAACATAGAGTGTCTGGAAGCCTTAGTAACAGGGCCAATATGAAGATAATGTTCATGTGTTTATCATTGTGTAATTGAGAGATTAAAAATTAGACTAACATTAATAAAAAATAAAATAGTGAAAAGTAGCACAGTGATGATATCACACTTATAATGAATGCTTCTTTAACATTTCTAAAATAAATATGAATTATGAAAATTAATTTTCAGAAGTAACTTTACATTAGAAAATTATTTAATATTCAGAAGAAGGAAAACCATTGATCAGTTGAAATTACAAGAAACCTTTAAATATATCTCAGCAGAATAGATGCATTCTTGTGTGTGTGTTTATGTATATTTACATTATAATCAGCATCTATTCACAAGAATCTATTTTTGAACATATAAGGCATTTATATGAGAAATGACATAAATAATTGACATATTATTAAACTGATCATGGGTAAGTTTTCCTTTCAGACTTATCTGTATGTTGCTTTCTATATATATATTCTATATATATATCACAATTTACTATATTATTTACATGAATCTTGGGTTTAGACCTTTGGATTTTCCTTTTTAAAAAAATCAAATCATCATAGTGGATGATTTGATTTTTAAAAGTTTCTATACACTTAGAAAAAGCTGAAACAGTGCAGTCAGTCATTGTGTAACTGCAGGTATTCAAGTTTCTCCTATAAATTTTTACCTTTGGGAGGCTGGTTTGGCTCCCATAATGAAATTTAGCTGTGAGAGATGCAGTTGTTGGGCATTAAACACACACACACACACAGAGGCACACAAATGCACACAATGTTTTCTTACTGTAAGAAACTTCTAGGAATATATTAGATGGACTCTAACCAACAAAATAGCAAAACATCTAAAGTTCATTACAAGATCTTACCAGAAAATGTCAACAGCCTGAATTTCTTCCTTCTTACCCACTACTGGTTAGATAGCATCACCTTCAATATATCTTCTTCCAGTTTTTAAGAAGGGAGAAACTATGTTACTGTCGTTTCTCTCCCTATGCACCCACTGAATTGATTTATTCATCTGTTTAAAGTGACTAGGGAGCAGCCAGAATTTATTTTGTTTACAGTGAAAAAATGTTTATTTTTTTAAAGGTTCAACTGTCACTCCAGGAAAATACTTACCCACTACTGCTAAGTGAAAAATACCAGTATTTGGAGTGTCAAAGTGAGTCGTGGCTCAGTTTGTTCCTCAAAATCCCTATTTGTTTTCCTTTATTGCTGCTCAGAGCTTGGTGAAAGTTGATCTACAGAGTATTATAAATATATCTTATCCTGTATCCTTCAATAAAGGACTGTTTGAATGCCAAAGTGCTGGTGCCCTTAACCATGCTGTGCGTCTCAGTGGATTTAGCAGTGCATTTAGCAGACAGTATAACCATACAACATTCCATTTCTACAGTTAATGTGTCACTTTTTTCCCCACAGTAGAAGTGATTTTTATACCAAAAACAGCAAGTGGTCAAGAGCTGAAATAGATTAATCAGCATGATCCTTCCATAGAGATCTCTGATTTGTACTATATTTATTCAGTGGGAGGGAGGGGGATGGGCAAGGGTGATTCGTACCAGAGAATCGCGTGTATTTTTCAAGTTGTGACATTGCTGAAAGGTAACTTTAAGTGTTTTGCCTTAAAACCACTGTGCTGGGGCCAGTTTCATGATGTTTTGTTGATGTGTTATCTGCTGGACAATTGTAAAGAGAGTGGCTTTTTCTTATAGCTAATGACACTAAAATTATACAAGTTTTGGATTTATACATTAGCTGTCCTAATGTTTGAAGGATTGCATTCTGTACTGGTATATGATATTCCACCTAGCCTAGCCCAAGACCCATCTCTCCAATTACTAGGGACATACCAGTGAAGAAACAAGGTTTGAAGAGGATTCTATTCCTGTGGCTCAAAGACATACACACATTCTGCACTGCTTCTTTTGCTATAGCAATTAAAGCCATGGATTTTCACATGTACATCCATCTAATAAAAGTTGAGCTCGAAAAGCCCAAAGTGCATTTGAGTAATGTTGACAGCCTGCCCAACTTCACAAATGGTTTTTGGGTAATGCATGATCAAATATGTAATGTGCTCTCGTGCTTCCCTCTCTAGCTAAGAAAACTGATTGATTCTTGACAGGAGTATGAATGGTGATTCTTGACTGTTGTTCTCCCGCTATACCATTCTTCTTATCTCCCCTAAGCCAATTCATCATTATTTCTGGAAAAGGAATATTAGGGAATCCAAATAATTCAGCTAAATCTGAATGTTGAAATGGGCCTAGAATATAGCCAACAGTGAAGAGCCAGATCCACTAATTTTATTGTTATATATTGCCTCTCAGTTTGGCAGCCCTTATGTTTTTGTCATTATTTGATTCATTAAAATATATTAAGCCAGTGGCTTGAGCAAAATCATATAATATTTCATGCAAAATAACACAATTATTAAAAATCTTCAGACTCTTGCTAAATTGTACTTCCACCCTACTTCCATCACTGCTCAAATTTGACTTTTATATGTTTTTTATTATTTTCAGAAATTTATTTTCATGGATTCACAGTTTAGTATAATAGACAGCCAGCAACAAAGTATTGTTTTGTCAGTGATGAATGACCAATACGGTTTCCTTAATACTAATAAAAAATGGATGTACTTTTCTGTCATTACCCCTCCCTCAGAAAGGCATCTCCTTAAACCATTCCTATAAAATATATATTTTTATCATGGGCTAAGAGACTAAGGACAATAGTGAAAGCCTCACGTGGAGGCCTAGAATAAGGGAAAAGAAAACTCACAATTGATGATGCTAATTCTCAGGATTCTCACCTTGACTTAATGGATTCTCAGCCTTTGAGTTAATGTGTAATGTAGCATTTCCATAAAGGATGGATAGTCAGATTGAACCTCACACATACTGTGTAGCTGTAGAAACAAAAAAAAAAGAGCTCTTATGATTTAAATATTGATTTTCAAATAATTACATCTTACAAAAATAAATCTTACGATCTTTATTCTATCTTATCTTAAATCCATTATTTCTACCATGCATTTATGTGATGGCATCCCTGGAGTTTTTAGTGCAATACCATGACTGGGGTAACAACCTAAGCTTAACCTATTTTACTAACTTTCAAGAACAGGCTACATCTGCATTTAAACCAACCATGAATTTATACATATTTTTCTTAAAATAGAATGTTGTCCTTCAGGGCTAACTAGCAAGTCACAGTTAAGGTTATACTGAGGAATGTTAATTAGCATTCACCAAAAACCTAGGGAAGGCAAAGCTTGATCTTTGTACGTAGAGTGAAGTGGTTGGTTTTAGCAGAATTTATAACTATAATGACCAATAAAAGAAGGATATTTTTCTAATTTAAGTTAAAATTAGAAACATGGACTTGTTTAACAGCAAGGAAACTGTTTTTCCTGGTAACACAAACTACCATGTTATAAATTGAGTCTTGTAAGAGACGTCTTATTTCTGATTAATAATTAATAATTATACAGTATAAAATAAAGAACTTTCTATAATATCATTAAATAATTGTTAATCTTTATGAAGCTATTGCACAATGCGCATAGTCTGAAATTTAAAAATCTACAGGCAAAGATTAATTGGATAAATTTAATCTGTTACCTAAATCTGGCTAGAGAATGAATGACAGCTGCTGAGACACACAGGCAATCTGAATCTGGATCTGCCACCCCATTACCCACCTCCCCACCTCAACTCCATGCAGCAGTCTAGAGCCATTTCAGAATTAGTCTTTATGCTTTTGGCACTCTTCCCCTTTGGAATGTGGTTTAAAACCCTTAGCCTGGCAGCAAGACCCTTCTTCATCATGTATAAATTACCCTTTTAAGCCCCATCTTGCATCATTACCTTCCATTAATATCTCATTATAGCTACATCAAAGTTTCAGCACCTTCTGAATGTACTCTGCCCCAAAGTACTTTCCTGCACCATTGCCTGCTATTTCTACTGCCAGGAATTCCTTTTTCTCCATCATCAGAAGAGAGCCTTTGTTTCTCCCATATGCTGTCACTTTCTCTAGGAAGCCTGAATCAGATTTTCCATTCAGAAAAAGCTTCCATTTCTTTGTGTTCCCATAGCTGCTGGGTGAAAATCTGCTCACAGTTTGTCTTCCCAGTAAGATTATTAATTCCTCAAGAATAAAAACTTGATAATCATTGGCTCCATATTGCCTTGTGCTACTTGGCATTTATTTATACAGTTTCACTTTGAAGAAATGAATGCGTATTGCACCTATTTTATCTTGACTTGAAATTTTGCTGTTTATCTGTGTGCAAGATCTTCTAATCATGAAAATATAACCACCCAAAAGTTTCATCTTGCCTGCTGCCCAGATAGAACCAATTTATCAAGACAGGGGAATTGCAATAGAGAAAGAATTCAATACACATAGAGCCTGCTAAATGGGAGACTGGAGTTTATTATTCAAATTAGCCTCCATGCAAATTTGAATGCTAGGGTTTTTTAAAGATAGTGTTGTGGACAGTGGGTTAGGGAATGGTTGCTGCTGATTGGTTGGGGAATGCAATCATAAGGGTGTGGAAAATGGTACTCGTGGGCTGAATCCACTTACACGTGAGGGCCACAGGACTGGTCGGGTCTTGAGTCTTGGGTCTCAGTGGAGTCATCCAGTGAAGTCATCTGGTTTCAGAAATGCAAAAGTCTGAAAAGACAACTCAAAAGATCAATCTTAGATTCTATAATAGTGATGTTACTTAAAGGAGTGACTAGGGACGTTACAAATCTTATGACCTCTGGAACAAGAGCTAATAATCATTTAAATACTCCTACATTTTAGCAAAATTCAGGCCCGTCTCATAACCCTAAATTTGTGGCGTTTTATTTTATAAAGGCAATTTAATTTGGGGAAAGGCTATTAAAATTTAAACTATAAACTGAAATTCTCCCAAAGTTAGCTTGGCCCAAGCCCAGGAATGACCAGGGGCAGTTTGGGGGTTAAAGGCAAGATGGAGTTGTTTAAGTCAGATCTCTGTCACCATCATAATTTTCTCACTGTTACAATTTTTGCAAAAGCGATTTAAAAAATTTTGCAGTTCTTAAATATTAGAAGAAGTCATGGGACTCCACTTCTTATCTTAACTCTACTATTTTGGGTGAGCTTGAAATATCATTTGAAAAGAATTTATGCTTATTTTTCTTATCTGTTAAGGGTACACCAAAATCTCACAGATCCCAACTGAAGAACATACTCATGTAATCAAGTACCTCTTGCACCCCAATAACCTATGGAAAAAAATAGCAATATCTACTATGAAGTATTCTTGTGATGTTTTAAACAATGATGTATGTGACAATGCTTCAAAAAAATCCTAAAAACTATGGGAATGTATGACTATTATTAATTATCATAAGAATTATTCTCAAGTTATACCCTAATTTTGTGTCTGATTATTTAAGTAATATCTGCATTCAGTTATTCCGGAATATCTGCATAATGGCAAAGCTTTCATTAGTTTGTTTTGTACATGATCTTTATTCAAAATTACATTACTTGTAAATTAGTATTTATGTTATGCGCTTGAAGAATACGCACACACACACACGCAATCCTTGGCTTATGAAGGTTCTATTTGTGATTTTTTTAGTTTACCATGGTGCAAAAGTGATAATGCATTTAGCAGAAACTATACTTCAAATTTTTGAATTTTGATCTTTCCTCTGTCTAATGATACGTAGTTGAACATTCTTTTGTGATGCTGTGCGGCATTAGCAAGCTGCAGCTTCCGGTCAGCCATGCAATCACAAGGGTGAATAATTGAGACTCTATGAGCGTACAGTGTTGCCAAATGATTTTGCCCAAATGTAGGCTAATATAAGTGTTCTAAGCACATTTAAGGTAGGCTAAGCTAAGCTTTGATGTTTGGGAGTTCAGGTGTATTTAATCTATTTTGACTTACAATATTTTCAACTTACAATCGATTTATCAGTACATAACCCCATTGTAAGTAGAGGAGGATCTGCATGTCTATGTCTGTCCCTGTGTGGGGGGATATGTATGTGTGTGTGTGTGTGTGTGTGTGTATTTCAAGGCTAAGAGGATAATTATATACTCTTTCATTTTAGTGTGTTTTAGTCATTAATTTTATAATATATACAAAATGCTTCATCCAAATTAATGTGTGTTAGGAGACCTGGGATGTTCCATGCAAATGGTACAGAAGATAATTCTAAAAATGTAGTTTCCTATCTTATCTATCCAAAATAAGACGTATTTGTATTCTTAAGATTTCTGTAATTGTTTTTTCAATTTTTATTTTAGTTTCAGGTGTATTGTGTATGCAGGTTTGTTATATGGGTAAATTGTATATTGCTGAGGTCTGGTGTATGAGTGGTCCTGTCACCCAGGTAGCGGGCATAGTATACAAAAGTTAGTTTTTCAACCCTTGCCCCCACCTCCTCTCTTCGAAACTCCCCAGTGTCTATGTCTGTGTGTACTCAGTGTTTATGTTCTCATCTTTATGTCCATGTGTACTCAATTTTTAGCTCCCTCTTATGAGTGAAAACGTGGTTTTTTTTGTGTTGTTTTTTGTTTTTTTTGTTGTTTTTTTTTTTGAGACGGAGTCTGTCTGTCACCCGGGCTGGAGTGCAGTGGCACAATCTTGGCTCACTGCAACCTCTGCCGCCGAGGTTCAAGCAATTCTCCTGCCTCAGCCTCCCCAAGTAGCTGGGATTACAGGCGCCCGCCACTGCGCAGGCTAATTTTTGTATTCTTAGAGATGGGGTTTCACCATCTTGGCCAGGCTGGTCTTGAACTCGTGACCTCATGATCCACCTGCCTCGGCCTCCCAAAGTGCTGGGATTACAGGCGTGAGCCACCACGCCTGGCCTGGTGTTTGATTTTTATTTCTGCATCGGTTCATGAAGGATTATGTTCTCCAGCTGCATCCAGGTTATTGCAAAGGACATAATTTTGTTCTTTTAAAAGCTGCATAGTAGTATTCCATCATGTATTTGTATCACATTTCTTTATCCAGTCCACCATTGATGAGCATCTAGCTTGATTCCCTGACTTTGCTATTGTGAATAGTACTGCAATGCATTTTAAATTTGAAAAACAGGGTTTAAAGATCATGGAACAAACCACTTTCTTTTTAAAATGAGAGTGAGAAGCCCAGAATGTTGAGTGAATTGCCTTATGTCCCTCAACTAGAGATGAAGCTGGGATTTGAATTTGGATGTTTTGATTCCTTGTGCAGATTGATTTCAGATATTTCTCAGGGAACATTCTGAGAATTTGTGTTACCATTTCCTAAAATCTTAAAATCTGTGAATGCGGGGTTACAGTGAATAGCTTTCAAATATTCACCTGAAAAAAATAATAATAATGGAAAAAATATAGAGTCCTCTTCATAGTAATCTCCCGGAAATGTGCTCTTTCATCCAGTTCTCCCCTGCACCATCAGTTTTGGCTTCAATAACTATGTACTAAAAACATAAAGAGCAGCTACTGTGGAAGCACAAAACAACATTAGTGTCATAGACAACATTAGATCTCAACCTGCAAGACTAGTAGCTCTCTTACAAGATGGAATGACACACTAAACAGTGACTGTATGGAAACAAATGGCTGAGATTTGAAGTGGTTTCTAACACTTTGGGTGGGTGACAAATTCCCTTCAGGATCTGATGAAAACTGTTTACCTGTTTTCAGATCCAAAGGTGTTACTGGAATTCAATTATTGCAAATGTTAAATTTAACACACAATTTTGGGGAGTAGGTGCTTTGAAGTGCATCCACAGTTGAGTCTTAGTAACTATTTTTCAGTTTCTCACACACACTCACATGCTAACAAGCACACATTCATACTCATAGATTAGGCTTAGAAGTCTGTAGTGAAAGTTACATTACATTCTTTCGATGTCTGATTTGTATATAAAGATCAGTATTTCATCAAGTATCAGTGAATCATGGGAGCCATTGTTAATGTGAAGATAGCCAGTTTAATTTTTATATTGTCATTTTTTAAAATTTAGAAATTTGGATATTATAGCTGACTGCCTCTCATCTAAATTTAATCTTTTTTCTTAGTTTTTCTTCTATACTGTGCATTTCTTGTTTTTTAATGAAAAGTTGTTGTTTATGCAATATTTTAACATCAAAATATGAGTGTTTAAAAGATTTGCAGTCTATTCTTTATTTTCACATTTAATTTGTCAGGTAAGTGGTTCATCTGTTTTCTGACTTCCCAAATATAAGTAGGAATTGCTTATTACTCTTGAGAACAACAAATAATAAAATATCAAAAAATATAACCTTGCCACGACTATTTCTGGCTATAAAACCAGCTCATATACCATTTTAGCTCCTAGCAGAAAACTGTAATGTGACAAAAAGACTTGAAAGTATAAGGCCTATGACATTTAATACTATATAGTGTTCGGGAAAATAGTCATGTTCCTGCAGTACATTTTGATGTGAATGTTGACAGATTCCTGTAAAATTCAGGGAATTTTTGTTTAATTAAAAACATAATTACAGGAATTTATTGTGTGGTTGAATGGAGTTTTGAGGTGGCACAGCTCTACTCTGTAGCCAACTTTAGGGTCTTTGCATTTAATTTAAAGTTGCTAAGATGAAGTGGAATTATAATTAAATATGCAATTAGTGTATACATGTAAAGATTTCACTTGGTACAGAAAAAATAGCAAAGCTGAAGGAAATTTCATGTATACTTCAATAATCTGGATTATTTTCTGAACCGGATAAGTGTATTAAATAATTGCTGAAACCTTCTCTTTACTTATGTGACTGACATAAAGTTCAGATTTAATTTCAAATTCAAGATTGCCTTCAGCTTTTACTGTGTGTCCTTGGTTCTTTCACTTGAAACAGAATCAATCCAGTTAGTTCCTAGAAATAGAAAAATAAATTTCTGCAAATATTTTGCCAATAGATATTGAAAAACTTGCCACAGAATACACCTTTGTGTATATGAAGCTGTGGAATATGCATAATAAGATTAAATGCCATGACTCTGTCTTGGTTCATGGCCAGGAAGGTTTAGTTACTTAGGCAGTAAAATGGCATCTTTATAAAGCAATCTTACTTTGAAGGACATCTCAAATTATGAACTCCAAAGGGCACTGTTACAGTGAATTTCTAGTGTTCCTTGAATAAAGGCAATATATTTAGCTTGCAGAGGTTATTGGAATTCAATTATTGCACTAAGTATTCAGATATGAGTCTAATATACGCGGAGTAGTTGTCTGGAAGCTGTTGGACTAAAGTCACTGTCAGACCCCTTCACATAAAAGGATGAATGAATCACGGGACATTTTGCTATTCAAGAGCGCTGAAAGGAAGATGTCTCCATTTCCCCTTAAATCCTTCAATTTCAAATTTTTCTGGCTGCAGGTGGATTTTATATAACTTATTGAGGTCATCACACCAATTGCTTGTGCTTTAGGACAAGAGCAGACCATGAAGAGCGGCCTTGTTGTTATGCTTCACAGATCAGTTTGTACTGGATTTCAAAAAATAATGTCAAGTATTGGATGTTCTCAAGTGGTGTGACCCTGCCTTTCTTGAAAGTTAGCTATGGAAGAGTAACTTTGTACATGCCAGTCGTATCTAAGCAGAATAAAGGAGATAGGAAATCTTCATGCCTCAATATGTTATCTCTAAATCCAATCCATTATAAATCAATTCCATTTGATAAAATAAGTACTGTCCAGAGAGATATAATCCAAGGATAGTGTTAAGTCATTTGTGTTATAAAATATGAATTAATTAGATAGTTGCCTTGTGGAATTTAAGAGTTATGAAGAGGGGAAGAGAGAACACAGCATCATAAATCTGGAGAAAAAAAGAATTTCCTGGAGAAATGTCAGGGCTGAAGGAGGGACTTACATGCCAAGAACAGAGTTTATATCCAGGTGACAGCACGGTGTAGAGTCAGTCTATCATTCATATTTTTCATGTAATTTTCAAGTCACATGTGAGGACCACTGTGGTTATGGCAATCCTGCATGCTGAAGCCTCATGTTATACTCTATCTTATAGTTTCCTGCCCAAAGCAAAAAGTTAAAAATAAAACAAAGTTTGGGAACAAATTAGCTGACCCTGGTCAATTTGCCGATCTGTTCCTCTGTGAGTAATAGCTAATTTTCTGGTCCATGATGTTCGGAACATTGTCTTAATTGCTGCTGTATTCTCAACATATAGAACAATGTCCATTAAAAAATAGACAGTTAAAAATATTTTATGAATGATGATGAGGTAAGCCCATAGTAAATAAACTAGGACATTTTAAAATGTCTGCCTATGCAAAAAACCAATTCATATGGAGTCAAGTATTAAAAGCCATACAAAAGAAGTGGATTTAAATCTTCAATCCATCACTTAACTGCATAATCATATGCAAGTTATTTAACTTCTCTGAGTCTCAGTTTCTTAATTTATATAATGGGACTAATGATAATTCCTATTTTACAGGATTGTTTTATGAATTAGAGAGAATGTCTGTGAAGTGTGGTGTAAGAGGGCACTCAGCATGTGATAACGATAATTATTATGTGTGCTTTCATCTTAGCAAATCTCTGTACAGAGTGTTTTAGTAATAGCAGCCAACCCTGCATATGGAATACCAGTAATTAAACATGTATATGTTACTAAACTTACAAGCTCTTTACTTTAGAAGTACAAGCCTCTGAAAGACTACTTATACTTTTATTTTCTATCAGTAGTTCTTAGGAAATTGACTGTTCTGGTTTACATATAAGGCTTTAAAAATGCATTTTCCCCCAGCCAAGAAGAAAATATTCCAAGTCATAAGCAGCCATGAAAGTATTTTTTTAAGATACCTTAGATTTATTCAGCTTCTTTCTTCTAAGCTGCTCAGTCTACATCATGGATCTCATCTCCTTTATTCTTCTAACGTTTTAATGATACATTCTGATTTTTCTTGATTTAGGAATCTGTAATTTTTTCCTGTTTACTTTCTCATTTTAAATTTATTTTTCTTATTCTTTTTTTTTCAGTTGAATATCAGTAGAAGTTTTTTCTTGATTTGTTGTTACAATTTAAAAGTGTGGATGTTTTTAAGCACATTGTAGGCTACTTGATAGTGAATACAATGCATGTCTACTTAGAAGTAACCTATGCAACCTTTCTGAGAAATAGCACAATAGAGAAGAAAGTCTGGATTTATGGGGTGAAAAACAACTGAAGAGTGTTTTAAAATTTTTGTTCTACTGTTTGACCAATTGTTAATGCTAAATCCAAAAAAGACATGGGTAGTAGATAGAGTTTTGTAGTTATGTGCAAGGCAGAGAATTCCCACAACAAAAACAGATGCTGCTCCCCAAGTAGATAGTCAATCACACGGTGTTTTTTTTTTTGCAAACTGTTTCAGTGACCTTGGCTTTATTCTTAAAAGTTATATGCTTCTGATAGTACTTGAAAACTAACAAACAAATATCCAGAAAGAAAATTTAAAATACCAAAATAAATTTCCCCCAAGTAAAATTTTTTTATCGCATAGACAGATAAAGGAGAAGAAAACTCTCCTTTAATTTTTTTAATCCATCTTTGTTCCTGAATGCTTTGTTCTTTCTCATACTGTAGCTCTATTTAATACTAATGTATGGGTTGCAATGTCCAATTCTTTATTAATATATTTGAGAAAAACAAATGTTAACATGTCATATAGACAAACTTTCATAATAGCCGTGACGTGGTAGAAATTATCTAAACCATTTCCTGTTTGTTCAGTTATGAGAAATGGTAAGTAAGTAATGTCAATTATTATATGACATTGTATCTATCATTATGTTGTACTATATGTCAGTGATGCCCACAGGAACTATCAAAATATTTAGAATTTTTTGGCCACATATGTCTGTTTTAAAAATATTTGTTTTCTCTGAATATGTAGCCTTCCCTTGGTTAATCTTCACCCTTCCCGTCAGTTTATTAACTATCACTGCTGTTTTCTATTTTCTTTATTGTTTGAAAATGTTGATCACTACTTCAATTTTATGTTTATTATTGTATTTATGTCTTTTTTCCAGCTTTATTTTTTGCCAAATAAAAATTATAAATATTTAAGGTATACAATGTTGATTATTAAATACATGCATATATTGTGAAATGATTACCACAATCAAGCTTATTGACTTAGCTGTTACCTCACATAGTTACCTTTTTTGTCTGGTGAGAATACTTCAGATAGTAGATATACTCTTAATAAATTTTATTTATACAATTATCATAGATATTGTTAACTATAGTAACCATGCTGTATGTTAGATCTCCTGAAATTATTCATTTCGTAACTGAAAGTTTGTACCCTTTGACCAATATCCCCCCATTTGTTCTACCCCCCAGCCCCTGGTAACCATCATTATACTCTGTTTCTATGATTTTGACTTTTTCAAGTTTCATGCATAAGTGATATACAATATTTGTCTTTCTGTGTCTGGCTTCTCTGTTAAACAAAATGTCCTCTAGGTCATCTATGTTGTCACTAATGAAGGAATTTCCCTATTGTTGAAGGCTGAATAATATTCCATCATATATATATCACCTTTTCTTTATCCATTTGTTTATGTCTAGGAATTTATGTTATTTCTAGATCTTGGCTGTTACGAATCACACTACAATGAACAGGAGAGTACAACTATCTCTTCAAGATACTGATTTCATTTCCTTTGGCTGTATACCCAGAAGTGGGATTGCTGGATCATACGGAAGTGTATTTTTAATTTTTTCAGGAACCTCCATACTGTTTTCTATAATGGCAGTACTAATTTACTTTCCCACCAACAGTGTACAAAGTTTACTTTTTCAGTACATTTACATAAACACTCTTGTTATTTTTCATCTTTCTGATAATAGCCATTCTAATAGATGGGAGGTGATATCTCATTGCGGTTTGATTTGCATTTACCTGATGATAAGCAATACTTAGAATGTTTTCATACACTTGTTGCCTTTATATGTATTCATTGAAAAAATTTCTATTACAGTCCTTTGCCCACTTTTTATTGGGAGTGTTGAGTATTCTGAATTTTAATATATACCAACCTTTACTCGTGAGTTTTATACTTTCCTCTGTTATTATATTACTAATTAGCATCCTTCATTTTAAGTTGAAGAACAGTCTAGCATTTTTTCCAAGGCAGATCTAGTTTTGATGAACTCGTTCAAATTTAGTTTATCTAGGTAAGTTTTTATCCATCTTTATTTCTGAAGGACAGTTTGTCTGATAAAGCATCCTTCAGAGGAAGTTTTTATTTTTTCTTTCAGCATTTTCAATATATATTTCCACACTCTCCTGACCTGCAAGGTTTCTGTTATTAATCTGCTGATAATTTTATGGCATGTTTCTTATATGTGACAAGTCTTTTTTCTCTTGCTGCTTTTAAAATTCTCTTGTCTTTGATTTTTGACAATTTCATTATAAAGTGTCTTGGTGAAGTTCCCTTTGGGTTGAAACTGTTTGGGAACTTTCAAAAAATGTTTCTTTCTTTTAGGTTCAGCAATACATGTGTGGGATTGTTATAATATAGGTAAACTAGTGTCATGGGGTTTGTTGTACAGGTTAGATTGTCATCCAGGTACTAAGCCTAGTACCAAATAGTTGTTTTTTCTCATCCTCTCCCTCACCCCACCCTCTACCCACAAGTAGACCCCCGTGTCTGTTGTTCCTCTCCCAGAATCCATGTGTTCTCATCAGTGAGCTCCCACTTGTAAGTGAGAACATATGGTATTTGTTTTTTTCTCTTTGTCTGTTTTCAGATTTTTTTGCTCCAGTGGCAAACTAGAACTTCTCCACCTGACTCCCACACTTCCACAAAGGTACTGTCATCCATGGGTGGTTATCAGAATTTGTTCACTGTGGGGAGATGAGAGTAGAAAACTCTTATTCTGCCACCTTGCTGATGTCACACCTACTTCAGTTCCCTGCTATTTGTTTTCACTGGCTGGTCTATAGGAATTTCTCACTCCCTGGTGATTTGCTGAATCTTTTATTTTGTGGGATGGGAAGTCAGCTTTGCTTGTTCGAACTGACTGTAAAATAGCAGTGAGTAGAGTCAGAGTAAGAACTGCATGAGGAGGGAAGAGGAAAGAAAAGCCTTCCATGCTTTGAATCTAGAAGTATTTAACAGCTCCTTATAAATTTATTTATTTATTTATTTATTTATTTATTTTAGATTCAGGAAGTACATGTGCAGGTTCGTTCCATAAGTATATTGTATAATGCTGAGGTTTGTGCTTCTAATGAACCCGTCACCCAAATAGGAACATAGTACCGAAAAGGTAGTTTTTCAACCCTTGCCTCTCTCCCATCCTCTTCACTTTTGGAGTCCCCAGTGTCTATTATTTACATCTTTATGTCCATGTGTACACATTGCTTAACTTCCACTTATAAGTAAGAGCATGTAATATTTGATTGCCTGTTTCTGAGTTATTTCACTTAGGATAATGATCTGTAGCTCCATCCATGTTACTGCAAAAGGCATGATTTTGTTTTTTTCTATGGCTGCATATTATTTCACAGTGTATATGTACCACTTTTTGTTTAATCCAGCCCACTGTTGATGGACCCTTAGGTTGATTCTGTGCCTTTGCTAATGTGACTAGTGCTATGATAAACATATTGAGTGCTAGGTGTCTTTTTGATAAAACAATTTCTTTTCCTTTGGGTAAATAGCCAATGGTGGTATTGCTGGGTCAAATGGTAGTTAGTTCTATTTTTAATTCTTTGAGAAATTTTCTACTGTTTTCCACAGAAGTTGAACTAATTTGCATTGCCACCAGCAGTGTATAAGCATTCCCTTTTCTCTGCATCCTCACCAACATAATAGCTGCCTTTTTAAATGCAAAAAAATTCTGACTATAAAATGACCACTGGTATATAGACAGCCTTATGAATAAGGTTTATTTGTTTATTGTTTTCTGTGTGGAGTCATGGATAAATATCAATAAGGAAGTAATGTTGCATTTACTGAACATTACTTAAAGCTGAAGATGAAGGCTAAAAATAATATCATATCAACTATTGGTTTTGCACTACTGTAGTTGGCCACTTTAAAGAAGTTAGCAACTTTTTGTTTTAAGTGTTGGCAACAACGAGCTATCAAAAATATTTTAGATGAAAGCATACCATTTCAGTATCAACATCAGGCATTTTATTTTAGGCACAAGATGTTTTTATTGAAAGAAATGATGTGATTTTACTCATTTATGTTAAAAGCAGTGCAAAGCATGCCATATCCTTTACTTGTTTATTTGTTACAAACTACTTTCATTTTATTAGCCAATCAGCCAGGTTGAAATGTAATTTTTTTGAATTGCACCCCTTGCAGGCACTTCTGAAAATAAAAGTGTCAGCTTATTTAGATTTTTAGGCCTAAAGCATCAATTACCCCATACACAACATCTGAGGGAGCAGTTTTCAGGGATGTGGTAATCTGCACACAAATGTACGTGACATTATACCAATGGTATAAAGATCATGTGCCTATTTAGCAGTTGAAAAGCTTTTGCTTCAATATCCCAGAAGGTGGGTATTTCATGTGGCATAGTAGTTATATTCCTGAAAAGTTGTTTTAAAGTTGTTTGATGGCAAATTCTACTGACTGTATGAACTTGGGACAATTATGTCACCAGACTTGTTTAATAAGCATAGGTGTAGCTATATTCATTGACAAAATATTGAAATGGTGCCATTCTGGTAGACAAAGTGGCTTCAGCCACGAGCCCCTAAAAGATCCTCCTCCACCATTTACTTGGTTGTCCCCTTTGTTGCAGAAACCTTTGGATCTTCCCAATATTCAGGAAATAAGGAGAAGAGGGCCTTTAGGACTCAGTTAATACCATTAAAGCCAGTGTCCATTCTGATGAGCTGGTGCCATAGCACTTGTTAAGGAGTTTGTTACTTCTGCAGGCCACTTCGCTGGTCCTCAGTTTTCTCCTGGTAAATGAAAAAAAGTTTCACAAAATGGTGGATTATATGTTCATATTTTTAATATACAGATATAGATATATAGATATACAGCTATTGAGTGTAAAGCCCCAAGAGTGTCTGAGAAGACAAAGCTATATAGCCTTTCACCTTTCCCCAAGTTAGCAAGAAAATAATCCTTTTGGGCTCGTCACAGTGGCTCACGCCTGTAATCCCAGCACTTTGGGAGGCCGAGGCGGGTGGATCACGAGGTCAGGAGATCGAGACCATCCTGGCTAACATGGTGAAACCCCGTCTCTACTAAAAAATACAAAAAAAATTAGGTGGGCGTGGTGGTGGGCGCCTGTAGTCCCAGCTACTCAGGAGGCTGAGGCAGGAGAATGGCATGAACCCGGAAGGCAGAGCTTGCAGTGAGCAGAGATCGCGACACTGCACTCCAGCCTGGGCGACAGAGCGAGACTCCGTCTCAAAAAAATAATTCTTTTGCCTAGATCTCTCCTTCTCTCTGTCTCTAGATGTCTGTAAAAAAAAAAAAATAAAAATAATTTTTCCTTATCAGGCATGATGCCTCACGCCTACAATCCCAGCACTTTGGGAGGCTGAGGCAGGGGTATCACGAGGTCAGATCGAGATCATCCTGGCTAACATGGTGAAACCCCGTCTCTACTAAAAAGTACAAAAAATTACCCGGGCGTGGTGGCAGGCGCCTGTAGTCCCAGCTACTTGGGAGGCTGAGGCAGGAGAATGGCATGAACCCAGGAGGCGGAGCTTGTAATGAGCTGAGATGGCGCCACTGCACTCCAGCCTGGGCGACAGAGTGAGACTTATATATATTCCTATTTTTTGATAGTTTAAAGCAGCAGTATGAGATTTTACATGTGAATATTATAAATTAAACTCAAAAAAATTTCAGAAGTGTTGGAGATCATTTCTAAATGGAATATATACGGGTGGAGGGAATAGAAAATATGAAAAGTAGCCTACACTTTGAAGGGTGATGGAATTTCAGTTTGTAAATTTGGAGGGGTGTACAGGAAGCAAGAGCATTTCTACTTTAAGGGAATAACATGTATCAGAACTTGCAGACAGCTTCATACCATAGAACCTCAGGGCAGGTATGCAGCAGTGCTGTGCCATAGAACTCTGCAATGATGTATAATCGGCACTGTCCAATACCGTAGCCACTAGTCACAAGTGACTATTGAAGACTCGAAATGTGGCTAGTGCAGTAGAGGAACTGAATTTTTAATTTTATCTGATTTAAGTGTAAAGTGACACACATCGCCGGTAACAATTGCATTAAACAGTGCAGGTTTATTGGTGCAAGCATAGGTCTAATGTTATAAACAGAGAAAAGAAAATTCTTGAAAAGCACATTGGAGCCCTAAGATTCAAGATAAAGAATTTGGGCATACAGCATGTGTGACAGCAGTGGTGAAAGGAGGAGGAGCATAAATGCTTTAAGGCAGGGTAGTAACGCAACTACAACAGTGCTCTTAGTAGATTCCTCTGCTTGCTGTATGAAAGGCAAATTGGAGGAGGTTGAGGAGACAAGAACTTGGTTAGTTGTAACTGTAATCTAAGATAGAGGTAGGGTTGGTGCCTGTAAGTCTGGTGAAGTGACTCAAGTAAACTGGATTATTTATTTTAAAAAAGCACAATTGGTTTATTTAGAATTATCTACTCCCGGTTCATCTACTTTTGCAGATCTAGATTTCCTTATGATTTCTTATGTATGACTCTAATCTTAGGAGACTACCTATAATGATTGATTACATTTTGAAAGTGCAGGATGCTTCAATAATATAATCATATTTTCTTTCTATGTAAAAGACTATTGTTCCATATGATATTAAATCAGCAAAAGATAATTATTTTGTTATTTTACTTTTCCCCACAATTCTTTTTCATTGTTTCTGTGATGGTTACCAATGTGTTAAGTGTCTAAAATAAGGTTCTGAATAGTCATGGTCTCATAAAGCATCTATTTGTCATTGTAATTGATTTAAACACGTATGTGCAGACATTGGTCTGATTATCAGTGACTTTATGTATCTGTAGGATGCATCACTACATTTATAAAAATTGGGACTTTGCTAGCATGCTAGCTCATTGTTATGCATAGGTAGGAGGGGTCTAACTATCTAGAAAACCCGTTGGCAGAGATACCACAGATTGGACCAGAAACAACTCAGGAGGTGGTTTACTTGGCTCAGCAGCCGCGATTCTGGGCACTGAATGTCAGATCAGCAGCCTAGTATGTTAGCCAAAATGTCTGATTGAGCATCATAGTCTCCACAAAGATATCATTTAGATGATTTTTCATGAGGACTTATGCCAGGGAATCTGAGCGATCTTAAGAGTTTCAACAGAGAAAGCACTCATCAATTAAGAAAAACACAAGGATAATGAACTGCCAACATGTACATTTTTTTCTATCAAGCATTTGTTCTTTTGCATATTTGCATTTGCATAGAACTGCAGAAAACAAAGACAGTTAATTTGAGATTACATGTGTTTCTATTTTTATAATGCAAGCAAATTGGACTGCATTTTTCCTTGCCAAAATTTGTCTTTAGAGAGGATTATTCTTTTATTGTCCAGAATATGTTTTGAACTTAGACGTAAATAGAAAGCTGTATGACTTCTGGTCACTAAGTACAGAAACCCTGATATTCTAGATTTGTCGTTACAATTGAGAATTCTGTAAGTACCCGATTTTAATTTATTGATATTCCCAGAGAGGAGATAGTATAAAAAAGTAGACAGTGATAGATCTGGATTTAATTCCTGGCTCTTCCCTTTATTAGTTCTGAGGTTTTGATCAAAATATTTAACCTCACTGAAAGTTAGTTCCCTCATCTATAAAATGAAAATAACAAGTTTTATTCAGGCCAGGCATGTGGTTCAGGCCTATAATTCCAGCACTTTGGGAGGCCAAGGTGGGTGGATCACTTGAGGTCAGGAATTTGAGACCAGCCCGGCCAACATGGTGAAACCCCATCTCTACTAAAAATACAAAAATTAGCAGGGCGTGGTCGCATGCGCCTGTTGTCCCCACTACTTGGGAGGCTGAGGCAGGATAATCGCTTGAACCCGGGAGATGGAGTTTGCAGTGAGCCGAGATTGTGCCACTGCACTGCAGCCTGGGTGACAGAGAGAGACTCCATCCCAAAATAAATAAATAAATAAATACACAAATAAATAAATAAGTTTTATTCAAACAGTTTTTGTAATGATTAAATGTGGTAACTATATGTAAAATGCAGTAAAAGCTATTTGTGTCTATCCTGTCCAAAGCTTTTAAAATATAAAATCTGTCAGAAAAATGGGAGAGTGAGGTATTTCAACCACCTTTACAACATCAGAAAGAGGCTCACCTCATCATAAAGACACATTCCTTTGCAGCTTTAACATTGTAAACCTTATATCCTCATCACTAACCCTTTTAGCATGACACAGGAAAGCTTTGTAGAAATTTATTTTCCTATAACTCTGTGAAGGAAACATATACTTTCCTGGTGAAATTTGCTTAATGGGGACCAATTTTTTGTTTTTTCTGTTTTTTTTTTTTTTTTTTGAAAGTAAATGCACATTGCTTATTTCCTGTTGAAGAATATTGAATTCTTGGAAAACATTCATTTTGACTTTATACATGAGAGATTAGAGATGGTTATGTGGGAGAGTTGTGAAACTGGCGGTCAGGAAAGCCTTAGCTCACTGAGAATAATTCACCAATAGAGGAAAAAAAGAACAATGCTTTCTAATCTCTAATAATCATCGTTCCTTACTTGTAATTCTTCAGAAAAAAGTAGACCTTCTATTTCCTGAAAAACTGAAAAGTTCTATGAACGAGGAGACCAATCATCTTAGCTTGGTTCATTAGCAGAGCATTTTTAGTAACTGTAACACACCATATTATGTGGACCCTTCTTGTAGTTCCCTGCAATCTCTGCAGACTGCCCACTGTATGGGGTTATTTGATAAGGTACCAGAGGAGTTCAAAGTGGCTATTGCAGATACATCAAGAAAAAAGGATGACAGTGTTTTTGTTTGTTTTCAGTTTAAAAAATAGAAGTTCAGCGAGTACAAATTGAAAAGCAGAGAGCTGGAGTGCTCATTAAGTGCATATTGGTACACCACAGATCTGTGTGCAGTGCTTCATCCTCACTGTGTAAAGGTATGTCTGTAGGAGTGTGAAGCTTAAATCCTTCAGCCTTCTCTACTGTCTTTTTCAGTTCTAGTAGCATATTTTTTATATATATATATATATATATATATATATATACACACACACACACAAAATTATATATAATACATTTATATATAATTTATATATATTATACATATATAATACATTTATATATAATTTATATATATTATACATATATAATACATTTATATATAATTTATATATATTATACATATATAATACATTTATATATAATATATAAACACATTATATTATATATAAATCTATTAAACCAATTACTGATGTATAAGTAGCATAGATATAAAATATTTAAAATAAATATAAGGTTCTTTATAAACTAATTATAGAAACAGGGACAAATCTCCTGAGGTAAATTTAAAAAGTAACTATCAGAGGTTCTCCTACACTTTATTTTGCTTACTACTATAAGTAATCTGTTTTAATCCACAGATTCCCTATGATACTCAGGTTCGTATCTCCTAGTGGCCAGAGCTGTTTCTTTGAAAATGACTCTGAATAACATTGAGTGAATTTTTTTTAACGGTAACTCTATCCAATGATGTCTTCAGAGTTCGTACTCATTTTCTATAGGGTGGTTGGGCATTCTAAAGGGAGCCTGGGAAATAAGGAGTGTGGCAGAGTGCATATGGTAAGAGAAAATTAGTGGTAGGAGTTACAAAAACATAAGGGTACTGATAAGTATCGTATCATGTACTCCTCCCTCCTTCTTTCCTCACTTGCCACTTTAATTTCAACAGAAGAGCTGGCAATTTTGTTTGGAAAAACACAATACTGTGTCCTCTTCGTTGTGTATTTTACACAAAACTTATATGTTTAAGAAGAAGAATGAGGCCAGGTGTGGTGGCTTATACCTGTAATCCCGGCACTTTGGGAAGCCATAGCAGGTGGATCACTTGAGCTCAGGAGTTCGAGACCAGCCTGAGCAACTTGGAGAAACCCCATCTCTACCAAAAACACACACACACACAAATTAGCCAAGCATGGTGGTGTGCACCTGTGGTTCCAGCTACTTGGGAGGTTGAGGTGAGAGGATCGCTTGAGCTGGGGAGGTGGAAGATGCAGTGAGCCAAGATTGCACCAATGCACTCCAACCTGGGTGACAGAGTGAGACCCTGTCTCAAAAAAATATATAAATAAATAAAATTGTAAAAAATAAAAACGCCAAACAGTGTGGCATAAAGACTCAAATATATATATAATCACACCCAAATAATGCCTGCTAGTCTTTATATTAGTCATAATTCTTTAGAAAAAAGACAATCAATAGGATGTGTATACGTATATAGAAGATGACTTAAGGATTGCCTTATTCAGTTATAGAGGCTGACATGTTTAAAATGTGCAAAGTGGGTTGGCAGGCTGGAGACCCAAGAAAGAGCTAATGCTAAAGTTCAAGTCTGAAGGCTGATAGCCTGAAGAATTTCTCTTGTTCAGAAAGATCAAGACCAGATTTTTCCTAATCCTTCAACTGATTAGATGAGGCACACCCACATTATGGGGAGCAACTTACTTTACCCAAATCTGCTGATTTAAATGTAATCTTACCCAAAATCACCCTTTCAGAAACATCCAGAATAATGCTTAGCCAGATTATCTGGGCAATGTGGGCCAGCTATACAGATACATACTATTAATCCTCACAGTACCCAAAAGATGAGAAGTATTGGTAACGTAATCAGTGGTGAGCAGATCATCTTTCATTTTTCTTTTTTTTTTTTTTTTCCTCCTAAATATAAGCTGCTTAACTTGGGAGATACAGAGAAGAAGACCAAAGGCAGCTTTGAGTAGGAGGCTGCATGTGGCTACACAGGCTTTTCCCAGTGCTCCTTGCTGTTCCTCTACTCTATGTACAGATGTTGGAGAATAGAGAGGATGATTTTATAGTATTTTTAAGCTGGTGAAAGTAAGTCCCTGGATTATTCTCTGTTTTTCCTAGATTCCAGCCTCAGATCCAGTTGAGGTACACTAAACTTTTCTTGAAATGAAAAACATCCTGGAGATATAAATATTTCCCCCAAACAACTTAAATACTGGCAAACATAAAAGGACAATCTTGTACAGAACAAAAAAAATTTAACAGAAAAATGGAGAAAAGGACACAAGACTGACATAAAAACTTTGTAACTTGTGAAAAAAAGAGAATTTTGATTGTATTTCTTATGTAAGTTACATGGGTTGAAAGAAAATAATAAAAGCTATTACACAGTGTTTGGTCAAGAAAATAGATTCCATTATTACACAGTCATATACCAAAGGCCGTCAGTGGCCATGTACTGTAGGATCTTGGAACCTGAGGTTGGAAGAGCATACTACAAGCTGTAAGACTTACAGGCAATAAAATGCATGTGCAATGACCTATTATGTTTGAAATTCTATACATGAGGCCACTGGAGAGAGACAAAACAAAATGCATTGTTTCTAACAGAGGGAAACATTCTCCTGGGTGAAATGGGACATATATTCTCAAGCAGCAATTTGAAGACATTTCAGAATAAAGATCTGAGACATTTTCAGATGAAGACACAAAAGGTGTTGACTTTGACCCACAGTTGTAAATTGAAAACTGAAAACATGAAAAGTCCCTCTCTGGAGAGTATTAGTAATCTGCAAGATCAAATACTCACAACTCTTCCAATAAAGTGCTGACAGTGTCTGAATATTTACTTGATGACAGTTTTTAGAATTTATTTGATTGCAAATTGAATGTATATGCATCCTGAAGAAGTAAACATCCTAGTCATTATTATCAATTCTTATATTTAATAGTGGACCTGAACTTTTCTTTCAATAAATAAGAAACCAAAGCATGGTTACTTAAGAGATTTGGCAAATATACTACTTTTTTCTCTAAATCTCTTTATTTGGGGCATGGTTTCCTATTCAAATCATCATCAAATAGGTTTTTATTTATATAGATTCTTTTTTTGGGAATACCACTTCTAAGGATGCAATAGACCAGTAAGAGTAATTAAACACACACACGAGCTCAAAAGCAAAATTGAAAGATCACAAATGAAACATTTTTGAAGCTGGAAACTAGGTAAGTAAGATTCAGCTTTTTTCTTTCTTTCTTTCTGCTAAAATGACAGTGCAGAAAGTTAAAAAGCCCCCCAGTGTTCATTACGATACTCTTTTGTAAAATTTAAGATTTGTCCCACCAGGGACTTTTGCCAAAAGAGATGAAATTATGGCTAAATACCATAAAAGTAGTTTGGAGTCTCTTGAACAGTTAGACTTCTGTGTTGCTTTTCCTGTTCTTCAAAATAAGGCTACTACTCTTCACTCCCCCTACTAGAAAAGAAGAACTTTATTCCCCAAAGAGGATAAAACAGGTTCTCTGGCCTGGAGGACACGTGGACACAGGATAGGAATACAAAACTGAAAGGAGGAATATGCATACTAAACGCTGAAACACTTCACCCTGCCTGACTCTCCCCTCTTATTGAGATCTACAGCAGAACCCAGGCAGCCAAGTTTCATCCGAGCAGGAAAATGTATGAATCTTCTGTAGGGAATATGTCTTACTCAAGAGAAAAGACCTAACAAAAATGGCAGCAGAAAACCCTTAAGTAGAACGAAATCAGCTAGATCATAGTGAAAAATGGGTTCAACAGACCCATTGTTTTTTTTTTTTGGTTTTATTCTATTTTTATTTTTATTATACTTTAAGTTTTAGGGTACATGTGCACATTGTGCAGCTTAGTTACATACATATACATGTGCCATGCTGGTGTGCTGCACCCACTAACTCGTCATCTAGCATTAGGTATATCTCCCAATGCTATCCCTCCCCCCTCCCCCCACCCCACCACAGTCCCCAGAGTGTGATGTTCCCCTTCCTGTGTCCATGTGATCTCATTGTTCAATTCCCACATATGAGTGAGAATACGTGGTGTTTGGTTTTTTGTCCTTGCGATAGTTTGCTGAGAATGATGGTTTCCAGCTTCATCCATGTCCCTACAAAGGACATGAACTCATTATTTTTTATGGCTGCATAGTATTCCATGGTGTATATGTGCCACATTTTCTTAATCCAGTCTATCATTTTGGACATTTGGGTTGGTTCCAAGTCTTTGCTATTGTGAATAATGCCGCAATAAACATACATGTGCATGTGTCTTTATAGCAGCATGATTTATAGTCCTTTGGGTATATACCCAGTAATGGGATGGCTGGGTCAAATGGTATTTCTAGTTCTAGATCCCTGAGGAATCGCCACACTGACTTCCACAATGGTTGAACTAGTTTACAGTCGCACCAACAGTGTAAAAGTGTTCCTATTTCTCCACATCCTCTCCAGCACCTGTCGTTTTCTGACTTTTTAATGATCGCCATTCTAACTGGTGTGAGATGGTATCTCATTGTGGTTTTGATTTGCATTTCTCTGATGGCCAGTGATGATGAGCATTTTTTCATGTGTCTGTTGGCTGCATAAATGTCTTCTTTTAAGAAGTGTCTGTTCATGTCCTTTGCCCACTTTTTGATGGGGTTGTTTGTTTTTTTCTTGTAAATTTGTTGGAGTTCATTGTAGATTCTGGATATTAGCCCTTTGTCAGATGAGTAGGTTGTGAAAATTTTCTCCCATTTTGTAGGTTGCCTGTTCACTCTGATGGTAATTTCTTTTGCTGTGCAGAAGCTCTTCAGTTTAATTAGATCCCATTTGTCAATTTTGTCTTTGTTGCCATTGCTTTTGGTGTTTTAGACATGAAGTCCTTGCCCATGCCTATGTCCTGAATGGTAATGCCTAGGTTTTCTTCTAGGGTTTTTATGGTTTTAGGTCTAACGTTTAAGTCTTTAATCCATCTTGAATTGATTTTTGTATAAGGTGTAAGGAAGGGATCTAGTTTCAGCTTTCTACATATGGCTAGCCAGTTTTCCCAGCACCATTTATTAAATAGGCAATCCTTTCCCCATTGCTTGTTTTTCTCAGGTTTTTCAAAGATCAGATAGTTGTAGATATGCAGTGTTATTTCTGAGGGCTCTGTTCTGTTCCATTGATCTATATCTCTGTTTTGGTACCAGTACCATGCTGTTTTGGTTACTGTAGCCTTGTAGTATAGTTTGAAGTCAGGTAGTGTGATGCCTCCAGCTTTGTTCTTTTGGCTTAGGATTGACTTGGAGATGCGGGCTCTTTTTTGGTTCCATATGAACTTTAAAGTAGTTTTTTCCAATTCTGTGAAGAAAGTCATTGGTAGCTTGATGGGGATGGCATTGAATCTGTAAATGACCTTAGGCAGTATGGCCATTTTCACGATATTGATTCTTCCTACCCATGAGCATGGAATATTCTTCCATTTGTTTGTATCCTCTTTTATGTCGTTGAGCAGTGGTTTGTCGTTCTCTTTGAAGAGGTCCTTCACATCCCTTGTAAGTTGGATTCCTAGGTATTTTATTCTCTTTGAAGCAATTGTGAGTGGGAGTTCACTAATGATTTGGCTCTCTGTTTGTCTGTTGTTGGTGTATAAGAATGCTTGTGAATTTTGTACATTGATTTTGTATCCTGAGACTTTGCTGAAGTTGCTTATCAGCTTAAGGAGATTTTGGGCTGAGACTATGGGGTTTTCTAGATATACAATCATGTCGTCTGCAAACAGGGACAATTTGACTTCCTCTTTTCCTAATTGAATACCCTTTATTTCCTTCTCCTGCCTAATTGCCCTGGCCAGAACTTCCAACACTATGTTGAATAGGAGTGGTGAGAGAGGGCATCCCTGTCTTGTGCCCATTTTCAGAGGGAATGCTTCCAGTTTTTGCCCATTCAGTATGATATTGGCTGTCGGTTTGTCATAGATAGCTCATATTATTTTGAAATATGTCCCATCAATACCTAATTTATTGAGAGTTTTTAGCATGAAGGGCTGTTGAATTTTGTCAAAGGCCTTTTCTGCATCTATTGAGATAATCGTGGTTTTTGTCTTTGGTTCTGTTTATATGCTGGATTACATTTATTGATTTGCTTATATTGAACCAGCCTTGCATCCCAGGGATGAAGCCCACTTGATCATGGTGGATAAGCTTTTTGATGTGCTGCTGGATTCAGTTTGCCAGTATTTTATTGAGGATTTTTGCATCAATGTTCATCAAGGATATTGGTCTAAAATTCGCTTTTTTGGTTGTGTCTCGGCCCGGCTTTGGTATCAGAATGATGCTGGCCTCATAAAATGAGTTAGGGAGGATTCCCTCTTTTTCTATTGATTGGAATAGTTTCAGAAGGAATGGTACCAGTTCCTCCTTGTACCTCTGGTAGAAGTCGGCTGTGAATCCATCTGGTCCTGGACTCTTATTGGTTGGTAAGCTATTGATTATTGCCACAATTTCAGATCCTGTTATTGGTCTATTCAGAGATTCAACTGCTTCCTGGTTTAGTCTTGGGAGAGTGTATGTGTCAAGGAATTTATCCATTTCTTCTAGATTTTCTAGTTTATTTGCATAGAGGTGTTTGTAGTATTCTCTGATGGTAGTTTGTATTTCTGTGGGATCGGTGGTGATATCCCCTTTATCATTTTTTATTGTGTCTATTTGATTCTTCTCTCTTTTTTTCTCTATTAGTCTTGCTAGCGGTCTATCAATTTTGTTGATCCTTTCAAAAAACCAGCTCCTGGATTCATTGATTTTTTGAAGGGTTTTTTGTGTCTCTATTTCCTTCAGTTCTGCTCTGATTTTAGTTATTTCTTGCCTTCTGCTAGCTTTTGAATGTGTTTGCTCTTGCTTTTCTAGTTCTTTTAATTGTGATGTTAGGGTGTCAATTTTGGATCCTTCCTGCTTTCTCTTGTGGGCATTTAGTGCTATAAATTTCCCTCTACACACTGCTTTGAATGCGTCCCAGAGATTCTGGTATGTGGTGTCTTTGTTCTCGTTGGTTTCAAAGAACATCTTTATTTCTGCCTTCATTTCGTTATGTACCCAGTAGTCATTCAGGAGCAGGTTGTTCAGTTTCCATGTAGTTGAGTGGTTTTGAGTGAGATTCTTAATCCTGAGTTCTAGTTTTGCACTGTGGTCTGAGAGATTGTTTGTTATAATTTCTGTTCTTTTACATTTGCTGAGGAGAGCTTTACTTCCAAGTATGTGGTCAATTTTGGAATAGGTGTGGTGTGGTGCTGAAAAAAATGTATATTCTGTTGATTTGGGGTGGAGAGTTCTGTAGATGTCTATTAGGTCTGCTTGGTGCAGAGCTGAGTTCAATTCCTGGGTATCCTTGTTGACTTTCTGTCTCGTTGATCTGTCTAATGTTGACAGTGGGGTGTTAGAGTCTCCCATTATTAATGTGTGGGAGTCTAAGTCTCTTTGTAGGTCACTCAGGACTTGCTTTATGAGTCTGGGTGCTCCTGTATTGGGTGCATATATATTTAGGATAGTTAGCTCTTCTTGTTGAATTGATCCCTCTACCATTATGTAATGGCCTTCTTTGTCTCTTTTGATCTTTGTTGGTTTAAAGTCAGTTTTATCAGAGACTAGGATTGCAACCCCTGCCTTTTTTTGTTTTCCATTGGCTTGGTAGATCTTCCTCCATCCTTTTATTTTGAGCCTATGTGTGTCTCTGCACGTGAGATGGGTTTCCTGAATACAGCACACTGATGGGTCTTGACTCTTGATCCAATTTGCCAGTCTGTGTCTTTTAATTGGAGCATTTAGTCCATTTACGTTTAAAGTTAATATGGTTATGTGTGAATTTGATCCTGTCATTATGATGTTAGCTGGTGATTTTGCTCGTTAGTTGATGCAGTTTCTTCCTAGTCTCGATGTTCTTTACATTTTGGCATGCTTTTGCAGCGGCTGGTACCAGTTGTTCCTTTCTAAGTTTAGCGCTTCCTTCAGCAGCTCTTTTAGGGCAGGCCTGGTGGTGACAAAATCTCTCAGCATTTGCTTGTCTGTAAAGTATTTTATTTCTCCTTCACTTATGAAGCTTAGTTTGGCTGGATATGAAATTCTGGGTCGAAAATTCTTTTCTTCAAGAATGTTGAATATCGGCCCCCAGTCTCTTCTGGCTTGTAGGGTTTCTGCCGAGAGATCCGCTGTTAGTCTGATGGGCTTCCCTTTGAGGGTAACCCGACCTTTCTCTCTGGCTGCCCTTAACATTTTTTCCTTCATTTCAACTTTGGTGAATCTGACAATTATGTGTCTTGGAGTTGCTCTTCTCGAGGAGTATCTTTGTGGCGTTCTCTGTATTTCCTGAATCTGAACGTTGGCCTGCCTTGCTAGGTTGAGGAAGTTCTCCTGGATAATATCCTGCAGAGTGTTTTCCAACTTGGTTCCATTCTCCCCATCACTTCCAGGTACACCAATCAGACGTAGATTTGGTCTTTTCACATAGTCCCATATTTCTTGGAGACTTTGCTCGTTTCTTTTTATTCTTTTTTCTCTAAACTTCCCTTCTCACTTCATTTCATTCATTTCATCTTCCATTGCTGATACCCTTTCTTCCAATTGATCACATCGGCTCCTGAGGCTTCTGCATTCTTCACGTAGTTCTCGAGCCTTGGTTTTCAGCTCCATCAGCTCCTTTAAGCACTTCTCTGTATTGGTTATTCTAGTTACACATTCTTCTACATTTTTTTCAAAGTTTTCAACTTCTTTGTCTTTGGTTTGAATGTCCTCCCTTAGCTCAGAGTAATTTGATCGTCTGAAGCCTTCTTCTCTCAGCTTGTCAAAGTCATTCTCCATCCAGCTTTGTTCCGTTGCTGGTGAGGAGCTGCGTTCCTTTGGAGGAGGAGAGGTGCTCTGCTTTTATAGCAGAATCCCAAGGATTATTAGATATTTGAAGAAAGCATGTTATACCAAAGAGACTAAAACAAACAAACAATAACTCGGAGAAAAGTTTTCACCAAAAGAAAGCTTCAAAATATCTGGGATTAATATCCTCAAAGATGTGAGAAAAGGTTCTTCATCTCGAAAACAAGAACACAGATTTTTTTTTTTTTAATGTTGGAAACTAAGATAGTGTAAATGGAAAAATACAATGAAAGTTTTAGGGGGTAAAGTTGAAAAGCTGTTCCAGAATGAAAAGCAAAATGTCTAAGATTGAAATTAGGAAAAAATAAGAATAGAAATAAAATAAAATAAAATTAGGGAACCCACAGAGAAAATCCAACGTCTTAAAACATAGAAATCCCGGAAGGAGAAAACAGAAAATATAGCATAGGAATTCATGAAAAAAAAAAATCATAAAAAGTTCCCAGAATGGAAAGACATATGCTTTTATAATGAATAGACTCACCATGTGACCATGTTCCCAGTCCTATGAATAGCAATAGATCCATCTTAAGACACATCATTGAAAAGTCAGTACCCTGGATACAAAGAAAGGAAATATTTAAGCTTTTGGAGGGAACATTAATATGAAATAAGCTAGTAAACAATAAGACCAAGTGTTCGTGATTCTGATGAGACAGTATGAGTTATAATCTAGGGTTCTATGGCTAAGTATGCAACAAAGTATTTAAGACTTTTATCTCCCGTGCAGTTATTTTCTTAATGTTACTGGAAGATGTTTTAGCTGGTAAACCAAGAAAGAGGACAAGAAATCTAGGGAATAGGGCATCCAATCTAGAAGAAAGGTAGAGGGAATCACCCATCACAAGGTGACAGCTGTAGGCAGGTCTGGAGAAACACCCAGGGTAATTTGCAGCAGGATGAGATTTATCAGGAGGGCTTGATTTAACAAGGTAAATTTATAATTTCTTGTATATTTACATGTATTAACAAAAGTGATATATGGGATATGGGGGCAAAGGATTAAATGACAGTTAGCGATTATTACTAAAACACAGAAAGCAATGGCAACAAAACCACACAATTTAAAAATCGTACAATAAACTGAAAAAATAAAAAGGATTAATATTTTTATAAAAGGAAGAGTAGAAGTAATGTCTGACATGTGTATCCTGTAAATAGTGCTTATATCAATATGGCAATGTAAAAATTGCATATGCAACCAAACCATGATATGACATAATGATGAGAGGCTGAGGACACACGTGTGTCAGAGAGCAAGGTCTGCCAAAGTGGTGTTGAAAAAGGCTTGATTTGTATCTTCCAAAATAGAATGTCAATATACAGTGTCTAAATCATCCCTTCCCCATCCAAATAAATTAAGAAGTAGCAATATAATCATATTGCAGAGAAATTTGCATATAAATAAAAATAGAATCATGCAAACTATTTGAAAGTGGTTGCCTCTGAGAAGCAGGAAAAAGTATGTAATAAGAGTAGTCTGTGGCTTTTGTGTACAACCACTGAATTATATAACTTTTTAAGCATGAGCATATAATTTGGATAAAAGCAGAACATAATTTTAAAATATTGTTATTTTAGAACACTGGAAATTTTAAATCACCTAAAACCCTACCTCTATTAAACTATTTCAATAATAGTTTGGTTTCCTTTTTTCTAACTTTATATATCTTTAGATATAGACGTATATATATGTAGGTAATAATAAATATACATACTTTATATAAGTAGAAAATATTTCACAGAGAGATTGATGGATACAAGGCCATTTATAGTTCTGTGAATTATTAGATTATTTGCCTAGTTTTCTGTGGCAGTCTCTGGTTTTATTATACTAAATTCTAAGAGATGGGCCTATTTCAGATATTCTAGTTTTATTTTAGTAATCTATTTAAAGTTTAAAATATTAATACAAGACTTGCTTTAATGATTATCTTTTTATTGTTTTATATTTGGAAGAGAGGCTACTCAATGACTTTACTGCCTTTATGTATTAATCTACAGAAATGTGTGGAGAACACTATATTGAATGTTAATATACTCTGAAGATTACAAGCAATTACAAAATTTGTATTCTCATTTGTATTCATGCTGGATCTCCTTCTGCTTCTTTCTCTCATAAGTAACTACTGATTTGGATATTTATCATTCTTTTGTACATATTTAAATTTTCACCATAGGAATATGTAATCCAAAATAATATGTAGCATTGATTATATATTTTAAACTTCTAAAATTTATATCATGCTATATGTATTTCTTAACCAAGAATTTTATAAACATTATTTTATATGACTCCTTACATTGATGCATGTAGCTTTAGTTCATCTATTTTTCACTGGTGTTTACTATTCTATTTTATGAAAGCAAAAATATTAAATGGTAATTTGTTTCACAGAGTGTTTTTAATATTCAAAGATAAGTTCAATTGCAGCAGCAATTCAAAGCCCAAGAAGAAACAAATTACCATAGAGTGTCTGTTGATGTAGCAAATAGGAGAAATGGCACCCTGACAATTACTGAAATAATAGAACAATTTGAAAGATATAATAAAATAAATATGTTTAAGAAGTGTATTGAATTAAAAGTAGACAAAAGAAGGCATGCTTGGAAATAATTATATAGAACTAATAGAAATAAAAATACAGTCATTGAAAATAAAACTCAGTTAATTTAAACAGAAGATCAGATGAAGCTGAAGAAAGAATCAGTACTTTGAAAGATAAATCTGAAGAAATTATAAAGGATGCAGCACCAACAAAAAGGGAAAAACATATGAGAAGTTAAGCAACATAGCACATAAAATGAGAGAATGAAAAGATCCCATGTGTATGTTGGAATAATAAGAATTACAGAAGAAGAAAGTAGTGAAAATGAGAACTGTGCATATTGATGCTTAATTCTTAGTAATTTTCCAGAATTTAAGGCAAGTACTCAAATAATGCACAGCTTTCTGAGAGGGATAAATAGGAATAAATCCAAATTTAGACACATTGAATTTAAAATATAAAATGCAAAGATAGATACTTTTAACAGCAATCATAGGATTATCTAAAAATGAATGGCAATTCAAGTAAATAATTCTAATTAACAACAGGATGTTGTGAAGATAATTAAAATACATCTAAAAATTGCTAACAGAAAAGAAATGTCAATTTTTAGTTTTATGTCCTGTTAAATTATTATCAAAAATGGAGGGTAAAATGATATTTTCGAGAACTATTAAAGAGTATGAGAAAAAAATAAAAAACAAAATGGATGAATATGTTTGAAATAGCCATAATTGACAAATAAAATTTATCTGTTATATGTAAAAATTAATACTTTAATAGAAAAAGGTAAATAGATAAAAGGAAAATAGACAATGAATATGTTAAAACTATTCTGTGACTATCATTTAAAAAGATACTACTATTAGTAAAAAAAAATACTAAAATATTACACATGATAATACCCATTATTGGTAAGGACATAGTTCAGTGGCAGCTTTCATACACTGCTACTGCAACTGTAAACTGGTACAACTATTCTGGAGAAAATATCTAGTAAAAGCATAGATGAACAAGTCTTGTATAATAACAATTCCATTTTTAACTTTAAACCCTACGTAAACCACTGAGCACATGCTCAGTCAGCTCCCTACCACAATGTTTATTGCATCATTCCTTTAGTTAGACAGGCAAGAAATAAGGAAATAAACAACCTCAATATTCATCAATATAGATGAATGAAATTCCGTTTAGCATTTTAAATTAATGAACTAAAACTGCGTTCATTAACATGACTCAAACTGAAAAATATGTTGTTGCTTCATAAAAACCAGTTGGGGATGGATACTGACAGTAAGATAATATTTATGTAAGATTTAAACACACACAACAATGATATGTATTGTTTATGGTTACCTAGGTGTGTGTGAATAATTCAAAATGATGGAAAATAGTTAACCTGTAGAGAGAAAATAATGGTTTTATTACATCTGAAGCAATTGTATGTCATTAAAAATAATATCTGAAAGAACTGTATACAGGTTAATATTTCAGAACTGTGTACAGGTTAATGTTTTGCAGTATAAAATATGTATTATATCTATACAGTGAAAGCAGACATTTGTTTTATTATATTCTGAACTTTTCTACATTTTTGGAATATTACCCAATTTATACAAAATAAATATGTAAAATGAATAAATGTATTTAAGAATAAAGTTAATATCCCTTGGGTGAAGTTGTTAAACGAAGTGGTAACAACTTCATGTGTCTACATTTTTATAGTAACTCCCTGAGGTAGTTAATACACAATTGCATTTTTTCTTCTATGTTACTATTATATAGAATCAAATATTTTTTTTTTTTTTTTTTTTTTTTTTTTGAGATGGAGTCTCGCTCTGTTGCCAGGCTGGAGTGCAGTGGCTCAATCTCGGCTCAGTGCAACCTCTGCCTCCTGGATTCAAGTGATTTTCCTGCCTCAGCCTCCCGAGTAGCTGAGACTACAAGTGCCTACCAGCACACCTGGCTAATTTTTGTATTTTTAGTAGAGACAGGGTTTCACCATGTTGGCCAGGATGGCCTCAATCTCTTGCCCTCGTGAACCACCCGTCTCGGCCTCCCAAAGTACTGGGATTACAGGCATGAGCCACCACACCCGGCCCCAAATAATTCTTGAATGATAAATGTAATGTGGTGTTCAGGTATCAACTTTTGTTTTTATTTTTCATTAGTGTAACTACGTTTACTGTGTAGTAGGAAATGCCAGTTCAAAACCTTGTCTACTATGGGAATATCCCCTCAAACAGGTGTAAGCCCCAGTTGCTTCATTTATCCTACGTAACAGTCCCTTAGATGCATTTGGCTGATCAAAGAATGGACACCTAACTTTAATATAAAGTTGATATTTGAGTGATAAAAGGATTTGAACTTCTTGAAACTCTGGCAGGCTTATTACGGTTCCTTAAAGGAAAGTTTCCTTAACATCTCTAGGGAGGATCTGTGAGCTCTCCAGGTTCCTGCTTTTCCATAGCTTCCTTGGGTGGATTTTCACTGCATTCTGTTATATACTCTAGCTTCTTCTAATAAATTTTCTTTTGGGCATAAGGTAGCCAGAGTCTGATTTTGTTACTTGTAACCAAAAGTACCATAAAATACTAATATTGACTATTTTACTGAAATTTGTATAACAACTTAGAAACTTACCTATGCTCTTCCCCCTATTTTCTTCAAAGGCAATACAGATGAAGACATTGGTTTCAGCTTTGTATTCACCATTCACTCTGTATATGTTCAGCCTTTTGTCATTCTCAAGTTTACCTTCTTAATGGGCACTAAGCCCAGTTTCCTACTCCTTTCCTTTTTATTATGAGTAATATTCCATTTTCAAATCTTGAAACCAGATCCATTTGAACTTTTGTTAGCACTGTATTTCATTTCTTGTAAATCGTTTGCCTATTTAATGGTAGGCTTCTTAATTTCCATGTGTCATTTAAGGCAAATGAAAATAACATATGTTCCTTTCGAAAATAAAATGTTGCTCACCCTTTCTTAAAGAACTAAAGTTGTTTTATATGTAGTTTAGCTCTTAGAGCAGTAATTTAGTGTTTCTATTAAGAGCAAAGTTGCTATCTCTAGTTAATGGCAGTTTTTCCCCTGCTGTTGATGGAATTTTGATATTGAAATTTATATCAGAGAGATGCAAATGGAACATTTTAAAGGGTCTCTTCCCAAATTAAGTGTTTTCATTAAATCACATTACTAAGACTTCTTTACATATAAGGGTTTCTGTAAATGTATCTACTAAAACTTGTGAAAAAAATGAAAGGACGGTTATAGAAAAAGATGTATGCCTGCTTTGTACCCTTTTCACATAGTAGTAATACAGGGAGAATACTCGATTTCACAAATAAACTAGCTGGTAAACAACGTAACTTCAGATGCTGGCAAAAAGCAGTGGAATATTGATATAGAACAAATGGAGACATGTTTAGTGTCTCAGGATCACAATGCCCACCTTCCTTTTTCTAGTATTTCACTTGGAATTATTTGATGGATTCAATTTGTCCCACCAACTTTTCCCAGTCAATTTTTCCTGCAGTTCTGAAATAATTGATGGGAATTAGAGGGTAAGACTTTCAATGCAACTTAGGGGAAAGGTTAAAAGACTTTGAGAGTTCGGTCACAGAGATTTGTCCTCATTATCATTCTACTTCTCTAATTTAACTGATCTACTATTGGGGTTCAGAAAATGATACCCCAGAGTGTGGCATTTTGGAATGCTGAGTAGTTTGAACTGAAGGACATTGGAAGGGTCTCAGAAGGGTGTCAGAAACAGAGTCTCTTTCTGACATTCTCTTGCCCTTCTTTCTCCTGCTCCCTTTTCTCCCTCAAGGCAGGCCACAGAAACTAGAATTCCAGAACTACTTTCCCCAAAAGCCAGCCATAAAACCTAGAAATATTACTTTAACCTTTTTCCACCTTTCTGTGTAGGAGCTGGCTGTAATGAAATTGTTTGACCCAGCTTGTCTAATAATAGATCATAAGACCCTCATTTCAGAATGGGTCCTGCCCTATACTCAGGAGAAAAATACTACACAGAGAGTTTAAGAAGAATCTGAACAAACAAGCCTTGCTGAGTTCCCTCACTCAGTCTATTACCATTAGATCATTCCCTTTTTGTCCAATCACATTTTTGCATGGCTGTTTATCCTTCATCTAACCTAATTTGGTCTACATTGCTGAAGGCTCCCATGTCACATAGAACTGATTAAATATTTTTTTAATGCTCTTCTCTTATTAACCTGCCTTTTGCTATAGTAGTGTCAGCTATGATCCTTATGATGGGTGAGGAAAGCTGTCCTGTCTGTCTACCCCTACACTACCAAAACCTATTTATATTAAAAGAAAACTAATCGATCTAAAGGCCTTTTTTCTTTTTCACACCTCCCTTAATTTATCAGCATATTTTACTCTTGGTAAAGAGTACCACTGGTTCAACTTCTTTAGAGTCCACATATAAGTGAGATCATGAAGTATTTGTCTTTCTGTGCCTTATGAAGATAAAATTAGCTAATATGTGAAGAATACTTAGAGTAGTAGTGACATAGAATATAAAAGTGAGTATTTTCTACAGAAAACTGTATGGTATAATGTTGTGTGGATTCTTTCAGGAACCAGACAGATACAATTTAAAAGTTTACTCACCCACTTTCTACCTTATGACATTGAGGAAGTTATTTATCTTCAATAAATATTAGTGAACCAATCTGTAAAATGTAAAGGCTTTTCCAAAGGCACAATATACAGTAAGTATACCTAGAATACAATAGGGAAGTATTTGGCATATTTCTAAGTGGGTCCTTTCTTCATTCTAATAAAATACAAATACCCAGGCTAGCACCTAAGGACCACTAAAAGTTCCCCCCCTCTTTTTCCTCTCCTTTCACTTGTACTACCAAGTCTGCCCTCCCTATATATATGGAATAACTAAATACATACTTCTTTGATATGGTTAAGACCAGCCAGCCCCTGATTCTTTAATTGTTCATCTGTTTATTGTACCTTCCCATATATTATAGTGCCTCCATCCCAAGCCTAGGATGTTTTCCAGACTTATTTTTGCAGATCCCTTACCTTTGCTCTCTTTCATAAGTTGCAAATGGGTAACCATCCAGCAGATATATTTTAATTGGGCCAGTTCATATTTTAAAAATTGAACAGAAATGTCTTTAGGTAGAAATTCACAATGCTCTTTAGTAATCATTACTCCTTCACATATTTAGGTCTCCTGACTGGCCTCTAAAGTCTTTGGGTTTATCATGGAACTCTTCTTAATTAAAGCTAACATAAATGAATCACTACCTTGTCTGCCTCCCCTCAGTTCAGTTAAAATCCTTATCGGTCCCTTTATACAATATGATGTAAGGCAGGAAAAAGTGAGTTTGGGTGTAAGTTAGAAGTGATTTTAATCTCTGCAGCTAAAAACCCTTAGCAAGCCTCCCTTGCTCATCTGTAAAGTGCAGAGAATAATTCTCAAATGCAAATAATAATTGTTTTAGGGTTGCTTTGACAATGACTATAAAGAATATATATAACATAATTAACATAGTACCTCTTCCAAAATAAGTAATCTATAGATATTAACTCCTCTGAGTCCGTTTTCTAATTTGGCAATTAAAAGGATTGAGATTAGATGACCGTTTAAGTTCCCCCAATTCAAAAACAAGAGACCCATGGAATTCCTAATTTTATATTTTAGGTATTCTTTGTTTGTTGTGCTTTCTTATTATAATAATAGAATATAGTAGAGTATATAATATAATATATAACATAATATCATATAATAGTATTTTATTTTTATTTTTATATTCAGTGTACTCACATATATTGCCTTATGGCATTTTTAATATGATGCTAGTAATGCATTTTGCTATTCTTCTTGTTGTAACAGCTTCTGACTTTTTAACAGAGAGAAAGAAAGAGAAAGATACTAACATGGGTGGGAATGCCCACTCTGGACTCCATGGTAGGTCCTTTGCAAATGCAATTGTTTTTGTTGATTGAAGGCCTCATTGATCAACAGAAGTCATGAACATGAGTGAGTAATCAACAACAGAGAGGGTTCGGTGTACCTGGTATATCAGTCAGTGTGGGTTACAAAGGCCAGGGAAAAGATACTGTTAACCAGCACCAACTAAGTGAAAGTCAAGAGAGCTGTCACTGCATTACAGGTATGATTTCCAGATACAGTAGTTTTTAATTTATGAAGTCTCAGATTACAGAACTGGCAACTCTATTCCATAAAAATGAGGTCTTCAAAATTATGCCATTATAGTTTGAGCAATTATTATTTATTTTTGTTTTTTATTTGTATTTTTTTTTGAGATTGGTTTTTATTCCTGTCGCCCAGACTGGAGTGCAGTGGCTTGATTTTGGTTCACTGCAACCTCTGCCTTCCGGGTTCAAATGATACTTGTGCCTCAGCTTCCAGAGCAGCTGGGACTACAGGTAGACGCCAGCATGCCCAGCTAATTTTTGTATTTTTAGTAGACAGGGTTTTGCCATGTTGGCCAGGTTGGTCTCAAACTCCTGACCTCAAGTGATCCGCTTGCCTCGGCCTTCCAAAGTGCTGGTATTACAGGTGTGAGCCACTGTGTCCAGCCTAAAATACTTTTTGTTAGATTCATAATTGCTTGTTTTTATGATTTAACATCACAATCAAGATCTTATTAAACTTAAGTATGTCATCAGGTGCCTTCTAACCCCCTCCTTTCACATTCTAATACCTAATGTGTTTGAAATTAATGAAGCAACACCTACTTTTAGATTGATTAAAAGCAAGGAAATATGTTTTATTTAAAATGAATGTTCTACAATCTTTCAAGCATTCTTAAGTGTTTTGTGTTCAGGGTTATTTAAAAAGCATGTAGACCCACACTAAATATAGAAAAAGTAAGGAGATTTTTTTATACATTCATATACCTTTTTTTGTTAACACTTTTTTGTCACTGTTTCTGGGCTTAAACTCAAAATTCATAAAAATTCTGAGGCAGTCCAAATACGAGTGTTGCTCAGTCCCAAGTGGTCTCAGTTCACTAAATTATTCAGTGCTCTACATAAATGTGTCAAACTTATTCACAAGGCGTAAATGAAGAGATCTTGCGCTTGATAATCCAGAACTGTCTTTCTAATTATGAATAAAATATTTTAAAGCCATTGAAAAAGGGGTAACAAGTAGACCTTAAAACTTTCTCTTGGTTCCAGAGATATGCTATTCTACATTAAGGTATAAAGGAAATTTATGAGAATTTGGTTATAAGCTAAGTAAAACATAAGTTTAAATAGACATTTATTGGACTGATCAACTTGTAAGTGGGAAAGTCAGAGGCTTGTTAAATCTGCTAAAGACATTTGGGTGATTTTGAAGTCTCATATTCCCTACTGTCTTTATATGCAATTGCTATTTCCTGAAGTACTAAATACGTCATTTTGCCCATTATTTGTGTTTTAGAAATGCCTGCTCCCAGATCGTCTAGTGCATTTGGCAAAGGACATGTTTTACCATATTTGTCACTGAAGCCTGATCTCCTCTGGTGCTTTTCCTTGTTGTTTTCTGTGCCCTACACGTCGTGTTCTGCTCCTTTCTGCCCATTCCTAGACATCCTCTTCTTTCAGACCCTGAATTACGGGAGTGTGGCATGTAACAGAGTTTACTGAAGCTTTAGGCATGTTGTTCTCCAAGTGTGGTTCATGCACTGTTTCACTCACCTCAGCATAACCAGGATACTAACGTGGAATCCCTGAACACATCACTGCTCTCATGAATCACGATCCATGGAAATCACAACTAAACATCTGTATTTTCTACAAGTTCCTTAAATAATTCTTAATTACACCAAAGAGAACAACTCTTCTGGGTTAATCAGTGGTGATGGGGTAAAGGATCAGCTATATAAATTACCATTAAAAAAAAGAACTTAAATTTTCTTCTTAGGCCTCATTATTCTGGTATTTTCTGGCTATCCTTGTGTTGTATACTATACTACCAGTTTGAGTTTGAGTTCAATTCTTTTTTAATTGAATGGGAATGCCTTTAGGTAAGGGAAGAAATCCGCAATTCACTACAATAATCATTAATCTTCATGTATTTGGATCTCTTACCTGGCACAAGAGCCTCTCAGAGGGCCATCTTTCCTTAGGCCTCTCTGGTAGATAGGAAGATGTATTGCCCAGATTCTGACTCAAGAAGACCTTGATGTCCAGCTGCAGGGAGAGCTATCAGCAGATAGCTTGCAGCTGCCTGTTTTTTTTTCAGGATCTACCTTACCTATAGAGGACAGACTTGCTGTACCTCTTACCCATCCAGCACCTGATAAGTGAGTGGAAAAGGTATGGCCATTTCCATCCATTGCAAGACAACTTTGGAAGGTAATATCCACTGCAGAGTTCCCTAGCAGATGCTTTGTTGATTGGCATCACAATTTAACTTCTTTCCCTTCCTAATCCTGCTTCTTACCCTTCTTTTCACAGATATCAATGCCTAATCAGCATTTTGTACCCCAAACTCTGTTTTAGTGTGTGCTTCCAGGAATGCACCCATTCTATAATGGCTTCAGTCTGCAGTCATATTATGGAGGCAGCTTCTCTCCTCTGAAAACAGCCTGTCTCAGCTCTCCATGCCTCTCTTAAGTTACTAAGATATGTTTCCAATATATCTTACTTCAGAATACACCAAGTTTTTGAATTTTAACTCTAATCAAGATTCAGCTCTGAAACTGATTTACCATATTCAAGAACATAATAGGTGGGTTCTATTTTTCTAATAGCAAATTGGCCATCTGCTCCCTGTAATGATTTATGTTTTACCCAAGGAAATGCAGTCAATTTTGGTTTTAATAAGCATATTTGTCATTTTGTTTCAAGGAAGTGAGTTGCACATTTTTATTTCTTCACCAACTCTATTACTTGTTTTTGTTTGTTTGTTTACAATTAGTGGACATGGCTTCCCAGACCTCTTAATAGCTCTGAAACTAGAAAGCCACACATCGGAAGTTTTCTTCCTCATCTGGAAAGTTGACTCAATTATAAAAATTGCTCTTGTTTTTCTATTCATGTTTTGTTGAGAATCTATTTTTCTGACAATGAATGTTGTTCTTAAAAATTGTTTTCCTAATTACATCAGTCATCCTCATAAGGACCTGTTATTTTTACCAAAGCAAATAAACCTATGATAGAATATGTGTCCCTCCTCCAGGAGAGAAGTGTTTTTTTAAACCTACTGCCAAACCCATGGTACTCTCTGTCTTAAAAGATCACAGAGTTCATTTCAATATTTCAAGGTAAATTAACCACTGAACCTCATTGCAGGCATTCTGGATATTATCTTAAACATAGAATGAAATGGTTTTCTGTTGGGAAATACTGCATAGTTTGAGTTGTTTTTATCTTCCTACCACATTTCATCAATATCAGCAACTACATTTTTATTATTCACTCTTTCTCACTTTGCATTATCTATTGTTCCTTTCTGTTTTAAACTTCTTGAATGCTATCAGAAATGTGTTCAAATAATTTATTCTAACAAGTATATTGGAGTGGACCTGGGCTTTAGATAGGAAAATGAAACCATTGTAGAAATAAAAGACTTTGTTTTTAACTGAACTACAGAAGAAACAAAAGTTAATGTACACTCTGATCACAGTCCAGTAGGTTAAGTTGGTGTACACCTGGGCAAAGACTACAGCTTATGACATTGTAATGACAAAATACAAATAAACTAGAATACTTTGTGATGGCAACACACATCTAATCTTCTATAGTGTGGAATTAATGTAATCGTTAAACTCTGCACTTACTTGGTGGAGTGATGATCACGCCTATACATTTTTATATCTAAGTCCTAGTGACTAAGATCATTCCTTTATTAAACAAACACATTGAAAACTGTTATGAAGAGTGATAATAGTGATGGTATTATTTCTTTAGATTATTTGGAAGAAAAATGCAAAAGAGAACTGAAAAATGGGCCAAGTGTGGTGGTTCACACCTGTAATCCCAGCACTTTGGGAAGCTGAAACCGGTGGATACCTTGAAGTCAGGAATTCGAGCCCAGCCTAGCCAACATAATGAAACCCTGTCTCTACAAAAAAATACAAAAATTAGTCGGACGTGGTGGCACCTTCCTGTAGTCCCAGCTACTTGGGAGGCTGAGATGGGAGGAACGCCTGAGCCTGGAGAGGTTGAAGCTGCAGTGAGCTGTAATTGTGCCACTGTATTCCAGCCTGGGTAACAGAGAGAGAGAGAGAGAGGGAGAGAGAGAGAGAGAGACAGAAAGAGAGAGAGAGCCTGTCTCAAAGAAAAAAAAAATGAACTGAAAAATGGTATAAAGGGAGAGTTCACCATAGGTGTAGCCTTCCATGATGGTTATAGAAAAAGAAATAAGGTTAGAGTCCGAGTCCTGTGTTTCCAGTCTTATCAAACTGTTTTTTCAGAGTTGTGCGATGTCTTTTAGACTTCCTATCTCCCTCATCCCCACACCACTTAACCCTAGCTGTCTGTCTGGAAACCCTTTCCAAATTTTGCAGCATCACTAGAGAAACAGATAGGAAAGTAAATGACTCGGGCATCCTGTTGAAGTATATTCAGCTAGTGGAGCCTGTGGGATCTCATATTGTTTACCAGCTGCTCCTACACTCTCTGCTGAACATAGACTAATTTTACAGCTAGAGTTGAATTAGCAATTCACATTGCATGCTTACCAGATGCTACTGAAGAATGTGGAGGAGACAGCAACATGATCACACTGAAAACAGAATTTGAAGATCACCTTGTCCTTTTAGCATCAGGGACTCAGCTAAACAAGATGACTGATTTATCTATGCACCTCATGCCATTATTAAATAAGCAAAGATGAGAACACAAGCATGATATTACACAACAGTGTTATTGGTATGAGTCACAGTACCTGTAATTTAGCAGTCACATTGTCTAGCTCAAACAGGTAACACAGTCTGGCAGATGGTAGTGAGGATTTCATTACAAGGTTCACAATTTCTCACAAATTGTTTGCCTTGTTTTTTTTTTTATTTTGCTAAAATTTCATGTGTGTGTGTGCACACATACCTTGTAAACATAATGTGTGTTCATTTATATTTTGAAACCAAGTTGTTAATTATATATGAAGAGAATTGTATTAACTCACTGCTAATGTTTTCTTTTAGTACTTATTAAACATTCACTAAACAAACATTTCTGAATGCCTATTATGTGCCAGGTACTATTCTAGACATATAGGATATGTTGATTAATACCACAAATATCTACCATTCTGTAACTTACATATATTAAAAGACCCACTTTATAAAAATAATGTAGTTTACTTAAAATCTGTGTTGATATATTTTAATATGGCTGCATAACCTTTTTTACATTAGTATTATCAAATATATCTTCTTTTATATCTTTAATTTCAACCTTACTGAAAGAATATCTTTTATTTAGGTATGTATTTTATATACATATTACGAGTTTATTTGTTTTTAAGAAAAATATAATTGAAAAATCTCTGAGCTTAAACAGAAAATTTCCATCCACATACATTTTTGAGACTATTAATATATATGGATTTTTTTATTTTATTTTTTTCTATGCCATGCTTTCCCTTTGCTTTCTTTTAATTATTTTTCTCAATCTATTTTATTAGCTGCTGTGGTATGAATATGACTCCCCAAATTCATAGGTTGGAAACAAACCCCAAAACCCCAATGCAACAATGTTAGGAGGTGGGGACTTTCGGGAGGTGTTTCGGTCATGAGGACTCCACATTCACGAATGAATTAATGCTACTATAAAAGGGGCTTGTGGGAGTGGGTTCACTCTTTCTTGCACCTTCCAAATTCTGCCATGTGAGGCCACAGCAAGAAGGCCCTCAGCACATGCCAGAACCTTAAACTTGGACTTCGTAGCCTCTGGAACTGTGAGAAATAAATTTATGTTGTTTATAAATTACCCAGTTTATGGTATTTTGTAATAACAGAACAAGTGGACTAATACGTTAGTCAAGTTTCTTTTTTACTCCTTTATTCTATTAATTTAAAATTATGCATTCTATTTTTATACTTTGACAGTTTTGAATTTAATGATTTAATACTTGTGTTAACTATGTCTGTCACGACTGAATATCTCTATCAACCTCTTCCAAATACAAAAACTTTAATCTTTTAAATTCAATCACCAGTCTCATCTTCCATATCTATATTTTGAATTTATGACGTCAGAATTCATCATTATCAATACTTTTTATAGACAATACATTTACTAATTTATTTTATATTCCTATTTTATTTTATATTGTTTTATTTTTATTTTATACTCCACTATTTTCTTCCGAGTTAAATTATATTCCCTTGAAGTACTTCTATTGGTATTCTTTCAGTGAAATCTGTGAGTATAATGCCTTGGACAAAAATATCTATTTTGCCCTCACTCTTGATTAAAATCCCAACTAGGTATACAATTCTAAGTTGACAGATATTTTCTCTTAATACTTAAAATCTATTTTTTCACTGTCTTGTTAACTGTGGTTGATTCTAACACTACTGTCAATCCGGCAGTCATTATTTCTTAGAATTTTAGGGCAACTTTTTCTCTTGAATTTGGGAAGTTTGGATTATTTTTATTTCTTCTAAAAGAAGTGTTTAAGTTTTTTTTTTTTTTAATTTAACACTTTTGATACTGACACTTTTTCAGGACTCAATCTTTCTTCAATTATGGGTAATTTTCATTCACCACCACTTTGAATATTGCCTCTTTTCCCCTATTCTCTCTATTCTATTGTTATAGAATTGCTATGGTACACACATTATAAGTTCTCATCATACCTTTTATGTATTCACTTCTATTATCTTTACGTCTTTCTCTGAGTTTAATTCTGGATACTTTCCTGAGTTCTGTTTTTTAGTTTACTAAATTCTTCTTCAGCTCTCTTTCTAATTGGCCTTCCTTTTAAATTAGGTCTCTTTAAAACATTTTTTTTTTTCTATTTACTTTATCCAGCATTCCTCTCTGTTTATAAAAGGAAGTTGTTTTTAGCAACCTTGTTTACCACAGTCAAAGTCCATGACTATTTTTCTAAAAAGTTAAATTAGTTTTTGGAAAGCCTCAAAAGAGTCAAATAATTTGGTATTCTAAATATTAGCAAGAATCAATAGAGAAACCGTGCTAATGAAGGGGAAAGGGATGAGAGGAGATTTGTATATTTTGAAGGAGACTGTGTTAGTTTGCTAGGGCTGATGTATAAAAGTACCACAACTGCATGGTATCAACAATGGAAATATATTGTCTCTCAGTTCTGGAGGCAAGATGTCTGAGATCACATTGTTGGTCAAGTTGGTTCCTTCTGATGTTGAGGTCTGTTTGGGAGAGTATTTTTCATGCTTCTTTCGTACCTTCTGGTGGTTTGCTAGCAATCTTTGGAGTATATGGTCTTCTGTTGCATCATGTCAGTTTCCTGTTTAAACTTCACATGGTGTTATCCCTGTGTGCATGCCTATGTTTATTTTTTTTTAAATAAGGACACTAGTCACATTGAATTAGAGGCCCATTCTGTTCTAGTATGTCCTCATCTTAGTTGCATCTGCAACAATCCTATTTTCAAATAAGCTCGTATAATGTGGTGCTTAGGGTTAAGAATTCAGTACACAAATTTGAGGGGGTCACAAGTCAAACCATAACAGAGACACTATTGGTAGGAGCCAGCCTTGAGTTTAGAGTCTGAGGAATCTCAGAATTTTTCCCCAAAAGTTACATAGTATCAAATGTCTTGTCTTATAAGAGCCTTGTTATTCTGGTATATGGTCTGTTCAGATTCTGTCAAGTTGATTGCTCGTTGTTGATATCTTAACTAGATTTTGACAAAAAGTGTATATTTATCACAATTTTTCTCAGAATTAGAATACACTGAAAATATTCAACTGTTAAGGCAATGTCAATTATTCAGCGACCCATGCAATCATCCTCTGTCTGCCTCTGTTGCTTGTGCTTGATTTGCTTATTCAAGTTTCTCTCAAGCGACTGGCTATGGGTAAGGGGCTGTCTTCATTCATGCATTATTACTCAGCAGTAGTAGATGTACAATGGCAGCTATATTTTTGCAGTGATTTTACTTTTGCTTTTAACTTAACTGAAAAATGCTTGAATGAAGTTATGACAACCCAAAATATTCCCTTTAGGAAGCCAGTGTTTGTTTATGTAAGGGGTAAAAATCCCTAACTAGTAAATGTCTGTGAGATTTTGATTTATATGATTAAAAGAGTGAGTAAAAGAAATTATAGTTACAAAGTAAGAATTATGTAAAATTTGATATCTTATCTCTAAAACTTTCCCACCACACTTAAGCACAGAGTTAAAAATATTTTATTGGCAATGTGTATCTTCGGGTTCTGATGTCTATTATTTTAGAACAGTCTATTCTCTTTCTTGCAATTTCATTTTTAGTCAAGGATACCCCAAACCTGTGAATCTTAAGTGACCAAAAAAAATTAAATCATCTAATTATTAAAAACAAAAATAATAAAATAAAACTTCATCAAGTGTCTATCCAATGATGATCTCCTTTGTGCTGGAATCTCAGGTCCAGCTCTCTTGTCTGGCTTAGGCCAAAGGTCATGTCTCATCTCCAAGAGCATTACAAATCCAGGTGAAAAGTTTAAATCCTCCTCTGAAACGTCAAGATTATTATGATATCAGTAACCTTTCTTCTTCTGCATTTGTCTTCTCCTATTGTTCTATGCCTGCAGATGTCCACTTTCTTCTGTTAAGTGTAGCTGTCCAGTTTAGCTCCGTGTGTGTGTGTGTGTGTGCGTCCACACGTGTGTGTGTGTGTGCATGCACGTACTCATGTGGTGTACATATGTGTGTGTGTGCACATGGATGTGGTATTATTCAGTATTTCTCTGTGTTGTAGCAGAAAGGAAATCTATTTGGACAGTCTTAGCCTACCTTGCTGCTGAAGTCTCTGAACATTTTCTATATATGTGTATAAAATTAAAAAAAAATAGATACAGTTTATTTTTAAGAAAATCATGGCAATATATATCAGGCTTCCTTTACCTAGCATCCCCAGAATGGCTATGGGAATCTCACCCTCTTCTCCCAACTGCATACCATTTTGTTGTTTGTTTGCATTAGTGCATTTTTTTCTAGGTAAAGGATTGATGTCTTTTATCAGAATACTAATATAATTCATGATCCCTGCAAAAGTTTTAAAAACATTAATTATAATTTTGAAAGTGTATTTTTTCACCTTTGAATTAGATTATGTCCATTGACCTCTTAGCATTCTCGTAAGGCACACTTTTCAATGTGACCTAGTAATCCATTGTATAAATATGATAAAATTAAAATCAAAATTCCTGTATTGTTGAATTTTAGATTTTTCCTGTGTTTATTGTAATGAACAAAGCAATAAATATTTGTAAACATAAATGCATGAACCCATCCCTAATACTTTCCCTGTGGTAATTTCCTCGGAGAAGAATTCCGGGGTCAAATAGTAAAGTCATTGTTAAAGCTTTAAATACATAAAGCCAATTACTGTTACATTTATGCTTTTAAAAAGTGTGTGTATGTATATACATACACATGTATATATACAAACAAATTTCTTATTTTACTTGATTGATATACAATAATAGAGCAGCTCTGTTTTAATTTTTGACAAAACTCCAGAATAATGTGCCATGAATAATAAGTAAACCTTTAAATTTAGCTCCATGGATGATGCACTACAGCTGAGATTCAAGTGTAAACAGATATTTTTCTGATGTACAATGTTAATTCTTATTCCTTTGTTCTAAGTTTCTATATTTAATTCAGTAGAATAATTTTAATGGCTTTTCTTAGTTTGCTAATGTTTCAGTATCTAAGAGTTTTTAAGGGACCCAAACATTATAATAAGTAAGCAGCACTGAATTCCATAAAAATTGAGAAGAAATTAAGAAAGTTTTCTTAGAAAGAAAATGAGCTAAGAATGACAAGTTTTTGGAGTTTTAGTAGGAAATGAAAAAATAATCAAGGCAGAATTGCTATAGTACGATATCTTGGTTAGTTGTGGAATAAGAGATTTAAAAAACAAATCCCAGAGGATCCAAATGTACTCCTGGGAATGACCCCAATGTGTTTTCAGTAAAAACAGTGCATGCTCTATAGTATATAGTAATTGTATTTAGGTAGTCAACCATCTAAGGATCCAAAAGAACAGAATGAAGCCAGAAGTGATGGCACATGCCTGTAGTCTCAGCAATTCAGGATGCTGAGGTGGAAGGATCACTTCAGCCCAAGAGCTGGAGACTGCAGTGATCCATGATTGTGCTTCTGTACTCCAGCCTGGTGACAGGGCAAGACCCTGACTCTAAATAAATAAATAAATAAAGCAGAATGAGATTTCATGAAAACAAGGCAAGGTTTAATTGTGTACCCAGGTAAGGGGTATGCTTAACCAGTTCAATAAGAAGGAAATAAATTGCTAAACATATTTTCACTTATAACAATTGGTTCATACTTTTCTATTAAGTTGAAAAGGCCTAACAACAATAATCTATTAGATGTGTTTATCAATGTATAGGTCACAGAAGATCTTCAAGTGTATATAATTTAATTTGTAACCTAGCAGTCCAAAATAGATATTTAAACTTGAAATAAATAAATAATAATGTCATGAACAGAAAAATCACTACCACCTTTAAGCTAAGTACTTTCATCCATTTACCAAATACTTCATGAATGTCTTTTAATTCAGGTACTGTTCTGGGTGCTGGAAATATTGAAGTAAATATTAACCATCATTTACTAAACTCCCACTAGATTCAAGCCTTCTTTATGAACAATCTCTTATTCTCAACACAGCCTCTTCAAGGGCACAACCCTGTGATAAAGGAATATAGTCTGCAGTCAGTTTCAAACCTCAGCACTGACAGATAACATAGGCCACACCTATTGCGATTCATCAACCTAAGTTTGAGAATCTTGACTTCATCAGGACTTCAAAGCAGTGTTTATGTCCTGACTCCTTCCTTATAAGATAAACTAAAGAGGACTGTATTAGTCAGGGTTCTCTAGAGGGACAGAACTAACAGGATAGATGGATGTGTGCAGGGGAGATTTTTAAGGAGTGTTGACTCACAGGATCACAAGGTGAAGTCCCACAATAGGCCATCTGCAAGCTGAAGAATCAGGAAGCCCGTCTGAGTCCCCAAACTTCAAAAGTGGGAAGCGGACGGTGCAGCCTTCAGTCTGTGGTCAAAGGCCCAAAAGCCCCAGGCAAACTACTGGTGTAAAGTCCAAGAAGCCAAAAGCTGAAGATCTTGGAGTCTGATGTTCTAGGACAGGAAGCAACCAGCACCCGAGCAAGATGAAGGCCGGAAAACTCAGCAAGTCAGCCCCTTCCACCTTTTTCTGCTTGCCTTATTCTAGCCGTGCTGGCAGCTGATTAGATTGAGGGTGGGTCTGCCTCTCCCAGTCCACCTTTGGCAATCTCCTTTGGCAACACCCTCACAGACACACCCAGGAACAATACTTTGTATCCTTCAGTCCAATCAAGTTGACACTCGGTATTAACCATCACAAGGACCAAAGAGCCAAGTATGTCATCAACAGGGTGCAAAGGATTGCCTTGTGAAGACTGACAGAAGGCAAGCTGGATTCGGTCTATAAGAGGCAGTAAACGTAATTAGAAATGTATAATAGAAAAGAAAACCCAATTTACAGGAACTCTCAGGGTAGAGATACTTGTAGTCAGAAGGAGTACTTTGACACCTGGTCCCCAATCCTCCACAATCAGAAGCATACTAAGTAGCCTTTCAACGCGGGCTGGGCTGGTTAACTTTCCTTTCTCAGGATGAACTGCTTGGAAGTCTAGAGGAGAATCAGAGCACTGTCACTTGAGGTTTTCCTGCTTTTTCTTTCTCCTTGGAAAGCTTAACCTCCCCACCAAATGAATAAGTATATGATAAATACATAGAGAGTGTTAGCTTGAAAAAGTACCCTCAATCCCAGGGCAGGTACAAAGCCTTTGTTTTGTCTTGTTTGTTTCCCAGTGTAACAAATAAAAGTGACAAAGGCCTCCCTTCTTTTTCTGGAAAAAAAAAAGTCGGTTTAGAAAGAAAAATCTGAGGACAAATCATGTGAACCACAAAAAATATTAACAACAACAAAAAACAGTTTGAGGACTTTGAATTCTCACAACCTATTTTAGCTGAATATGAGAAAAGGACTAAAACAGGATATTCTCCTGATTTGCTGATATGAAACCTCTCTTTTTTCTTTCCTAGATTTATAGGAGAAATCTATTCAACTTGCTTTTTCTCAGCCCCCAAGCTGTCTGAAAGATATTATCCCCACTGTTCAGATGAGAAAATAGAGGCAGAAAATGTCTGTTAAAAATCATAATGGCTTCTGTTTGTATAAGAAATTAAAATGAGAGTCCTTGCTCTCAGTTCAGTTATCTTGTTACTTATACTTGCCTCATTTTTAAAAATCTGAATGACTCCTAATGGAACGTTACCGGTTTGTAAAATAAGGTAAAATGCTCCCATAACAGTTTAAAATCCATTTTATGCTTTTAGATATCAATAGCTACAATTTTAACATGCCATTTTATTTGTTCAGCTGTTAGCCCATAATATTTTCCAAATACAAATGAATAATTCAGTGCATCTGAAAGTTTTGCATTGGAAATAGTCCAGAATTTTCACACACAAAAGCTTTTTTTTTTCACCCTTGAGGATCTGAACTAAATTTCCCTTATACTGGCCCCCATTTCAAAAGCTGGCCTTTAGTAAATGGCAAAATCCGTGTTGTTTATTCAGAAATGTTAATACAAATAAAGTGAATACGTATTTGGAAATTAAATATATATTGTACTGGTATTTTCCTGACAATAATTTTTATATAAATATTTCTGATCTGATCTTTTATCAGTATTTTGACTGAGTCAAATAAAACTATAGATACTTAAATAAGATAAACCTTCAAAAATGCAAGTTTTCTTTATGTAAAATTCTAGTAGAGTACACACAAGTTACCTTCTGTCTACACTTCAAAACTATGAAGTCAGATGTTGCAAATTGTTAAACATAACTAGAAAAAAGGGATACTGGTGTTTGGAAAATTGAAAAAATGTAGACAAAGCATAATGGAATGTTATAGTGTTGAAACTTGGGGAGAAAAAGAGGACAATGTAGGAAAAATAACCAATGCCTTAATGCTCCCGAGATTGTGTGGGATGGAAGGGACAGAGGTTGCTGTGGCCCTGGGATACTTGTAAAAGAGGCTGTGTATATGTGCTTTGATAAAGCATTACTATGAGGGAAGCTGATCATATGTCATTTTGGATTTTATGAAGAAAGCATAAGAAATGTTTACTTGGAAATAATCTTTTTTCATTTTTAATTATTTCAGTTACTGTTAGGGTTGCCAGATAAAGTATAAGATGCCAGTCTTATTAATTTGGAATTTTATATATTATATATATATATATATTTATTTTTATATATGGCATACTTATATTAATTTTTTGGTTTATTTGAAATTTAAAATTAATTTGGCACTATATTTTTACTTACTAAATCTAGCAGTCCTAGTGACGGTGCATCATGGCAGGACTTGGCATATGACATTGTGAAGAACGGTATGAGACATTAGAAAAAAGACTAGGTGCAGAAAAAGATGTTTTTCAATATGTACTTAATATTCAATACAGTACACATATATAAGCAATTAAATTTTAGAGAAGCAGGATTCCTGAGATGTTTATCATGATTAGAAGATGGCAGAGGGAAATCAATAGTGAACATTTTAATATTACTGACACATAATTAGTGTTGTCTTTATGTAATATGTTATTGATTTTTATTTTAGTGATTGAAAACAATATTAAGCCCTATCATAGTTCTATTTCTTTAACCCATTTCTCCATAAAGGCTGAAATCCCTATAGGTTTCATTCTTTTTCACACAGTAGTTTCTTGGATGTGCACTTTGAAAGAAACAACTTTATACTGTTAATTAGGTCAACCTGTGCATGGGGCCGTTATGTTTACTCTGAGAGGAAATGGGCAAATTAGCATATTAATGAAGACATCACACACTTTTTTTTATTTTTGCTGGGGCAAAGGCATTCCAGTTTTAGATGGTTTTTATTTGAGCCAAACTGTATTGTACATGGTGTAAAATCTAGCAAGTGCAACTATTGCCTGAGGGATAATTTGCTCAAAATGGAATGGCAGATGGCACATGGTGATGGTGGTGATGTATTGTTATAATCTAAAATATTTTGCATTATCTTCGTTGTCATCATCATCACCATCATCGTGCTATTAAACTTGTCTGGAATTGTCTGATTAAGAGACATTGCTTACAATGATTTCTCATCTCATATGCCACCTTCACCTGCTTTTGCCAGACTGAATTCAGCTCATCTTTCAAAGGTTATTTTAGGTGCACCCTGCTCCAACCAGCTTTCACTCCCCCCAAAAAGCTCAAGAATCACTTCCTACTTCTACTTCCAACCTTAATCATAACACGATGAAGCTGAAAAATACTGTGTCAAGTTTTATCCCCTTATGTTAGAGAGGAAAATCTGCTTCCCAAAGAGGTTGGTGAATAAAGTCAAGATTGAATAACCAGTTAGATAAAAGAAGTAGGATTTTTCTTTTAATTTTGCTATTTAAATTTAGAGCTCTTTTCACACTTTCCTGCTGTTTCACTTCATCATATACTGTACTCATTTGCATTTATATTTATAGACTGGTAAACCTGGGAAAGAACTGGTATTCAACCTTAAACTATTCATTATGTTTTGTATTTATGTAACTTTTCCAACCTACCCGATCCACCTTTTTAAAGGCAGACATTGTGTTTAAAACTCCCAGGGCAGTAAACCCAGTAGCTAAAATAGAGATGGCAAAAAAAAAAAAAAAAAAAGTATTTGCAATTTGCAACTGGTCTTAATGGTTGCCTGAAGGAATAGTTTAGTTAGGGCTTTAAATCCTTGGGAAAGACTGCCATTTCCAATTAGGTCTATCTACCTTATCTCTGTACTGTGACATTTCACATTGTTTATTGATAACTAGGAATATATTAAGGGATAACAGATATAAATCCATTGAGTCATTAACGTGTGAAAAACAGTATTAGACACCTGACATACCATATTTAAAATGCAAAACCATTTAATCATAGGTGACTGAGCCTTAAATAGTTAAGTAATCTCTAGTATGGAGAAGAATATAAATTTAATCATAGTCTCACTAATGCTGAATTCCATTTCAGATAAATAAATGTTAATACACAATCAAAATGGGCTTGCATTCATTGTATGTTATATTTATTTCACTTTCCCATAACTCTGCCTGAGGTACTGGAAGGAGAATGGGTCATTACGATGTTTATGGTCTCTGTAGTTCCCAGATGGGTAGCAGATAGACTCAACCAGGAGTTCCTAAAGAAAGAATGGAACATGAAGGACTTTCTAAAACTATTCCTCTGCTTTAGAATTATTCTAACTAATACTCAGGTTAAGTCTAGGAAGAATACCAGGGAACTATTCCTGCTAATAATTTGAATAACACTTAATCCTTAGTGACTCAGATAAAGTAATGATATTGAATTTTAAAGTAGCTAGTGATTTATTTGAGAAAATAATGTTGATTTTTTATGACAAAACTAAAAATATCAAATTTTATTTGAATATATATACACAAACACATACATATATGTGTATATATATGTGGATATATACACATCAACAATACACACACACACACACACCTTTGCTGCAGAGAATAGTAGATGGTGTGTTGACATTATTTATCTTAGTATTTAGTAGATAGTAAGGACAAATTTTAGTATCTCTTGTAGAGTTATTTGTAATACAATTCAAAGACAATTATGTAGTACAACTCATGTACCTCCCTTTAATGCAAAGATATCCTGGAGTGTTTTTACATTCCCAATACAAAATGTAAGCAGTGTTCAATTAGAGAGCATGACTGAAAGGATAAAAGTTCAGATATGAATTAATTTATTGACTGCCATTTCAGATTCCAGCTGAGAAAGAATTATAAATTGGCCTGTGTAATAACTAAACCAGCATGTGTAGAATTTCATGTTGGTGCTGAGGGTTTTGTTATTGCTGTTTTCTCTTTCTGAAACTAGACCATAGACCTCCTTCAGTCAATCACAAATGAAAACAGCTCAGTTCTGAAAGATAGCTTCTGACAACTACCCCAGTTCTGAATTGTGCATTGCTTTATGCTGCAACTTATCATGTGGCAATTTTTAAATCAATTTGGCATTTAACAGAAAACCGAAGTAATTTTCTCAGAAGTTGAACAGAACTTGTCTCTGTTTTGTGAAAATTCTAGCATCAGCATCTTATCCTGAGTTAAGTAGGATAAGTAGAAGAGATGGTTGTATTCTTCCACAGCTATGAGATGTGTCCCTTGCTGACACATTGCATTGAGAAAAACATGACATCAGTGTGGAGAAGAAAATCATCCAAAAATAAATTGGATATTTTTGACATTATTTACTGATAATTAGTTTGGAACTAGTAAGTTGCAAATGACCCTAAGAGGAAGAATTCCTTTACTTAAACTCATTTTCAGTAAGGTTTAAAAGCCCTATATAAGATCTTTTGTTTGTGCAGACATCCTCAATTTAATCGACAACAGATTTAGTCAGCACTCATTCTGTTCCAGGTCAGGTGCAGACACTAGAGATATCGGAAAAAACAAGACACCAGTCCCTGCCCTCAAGGAGGTCATAATTTAAGAGAAAGAGTGACAAATAAGCAGATAAATACCTTTCCAGGTTGTGGTGCTCTGAGGTAAGCACACAGTGTTAAGGGAGCACAGAGCAGGGGTATGTCGTCCACACTGGGGCAGTGAGGGGAACACAGAAGACTTGGAGGAAGGTCTGCCTCAGGCTATAAGGCTACTTGGGTTGTTTTCCTTGACACTTAGAGAGACAGAGAATAGAAATGCCCTGGGTACCTGATGAAGATGGACCTTGGTGAAGAATGGTAAAAACAGCAGGAATGGGAGGCCATTTCAATGAGATTCTGCAGAAGCCACATATGATCAGAGAAGAAAGGCCCCTGAGAACATGGACTTTACCTATTTTCTTTACCTCTGCATCCCCTGAATCTCAAAGAATAGTTGGCACATAGTGGATAATGAATACGTTTTTACAGAATGAATAAACTAATGAGATGTTTATGACTACAGACAGAAACAGAAGAAAATGGGAGGTTATGGGGCAGTTTAAGGAGCATTAGACAAACAAGCAGATACCTAGAATCTGGTTTCAGCTCTGCATTTATTTAATTGTCATCAATTGTCCAGTGAACCAAGTTTGCTTGCCTGTACAGCGAGAAGATTATACTACATAATCTCCACGTTCTTTTGATAGCTGGAATGTATGAAATGACTCTACTTCTGTGTAAAAGAAAACAAACATGTTTCTAGAAAATTACTTTTAAGTCGTCTTCCAGAGTGATTTAGAGTCAATTAAAAATGTGACTTTTAATATAATAATGTAATATTTAATTCATAAAAAGATGGCTCATTCTTTAAACTACATTATAAAGGACACATATATTGATAGCTCCCAGTAGGTAAACATTCCCTATAATTTTTAGGGAAGCTGCTATAATCTCTTAGAATAATACATAATTCATTTATGAAATACAGTAATAAGGAAAGGAAAATCTATTACGTTGTAAAACCAAAATAAGCCTAGTTGGAAAGGCTGGGCAGGCCACATGGCATCCTGTAATGTGGCATTTAGCAAATTAAGGTACTTGAGCTTCCAGGGATATCTATACACAGTGGTGGGTTTCCATTTGGCCAAAAGGTCTGCCTTTAGAAACACAGGTATTTTCAGCCTCTATTACCTTAATATTGCAGGAAGGCCATAGAATTCATTTAGATTTACCCAAAATGTCAATTTTGATTATTGTGAACATTCGTGTACAAGTTTTTCAGGGTTGAATGTTTTCACTTATCTTGCTATCATAGGGTAGGTCTATGGTTAACATTTTGGAAAACTGAAAACCTAGTTTCAGAAGTGCCAGAAAGGCTAATACATTTCTAAGATTCTACAACAGAAAGATGGAAGCTAGTCTCTCTGAGTATCTTGTAGATGCTGCTTTGCTCTTTTATGGCATTGGATGTTGCTGTTGAGAAGCCTGATGCAAACCTGCTTTTCTATCTGTTGTAAAGCAGTTTATTTTTCTGGCTGAGCACTCAAAGGATTCTTTCTTTAAAGCATAATAATTTTATTAGGACGTGTCTTGATGTTCCAAGTAACATTCTTCCAGAATATGGTGTACCTTTCCAATAGCAATTTTTAGATTCCGTTTTTGTATTATTGATTTTGTTATTTTAATGTCCTTATTGAGGTGTAATTTCCATACAAGTTCACCAGTATAAGGTGGGTAACTCAATGGCTTTTTTTTTTTTTTTTTTTTTGAGACGGAGTCTCGCTCTGTCACCCAGGCTGGAGTGCAGTGGCGCAATCTCGGCTCACTGGAAGCTCTGCCTCCCGGGTTCATGCCATTCTTCTGCCTCAGTCTCCCGAGTAGCTGGGACTGCAAGCGCCCGCCACCACGCCCCGCTAATTTTTTTGTATTCTTAGTAGAGACGGGGTTTCACCGCGTTAGCCAGGATGGTCTCCATCTCCTGACCTCGTGATCCGCCCACCTTGGCCTCCCAAAGTGCTGAGATTACAGGCGTGAGCCACTGCGCCCGGCCCTTCAATGGCGTTTTAAAAAACATATTTTTAGAGTTTTGTGACAGTTATGAAGATCTGGTTTTAGAAAATGTCACCATCTCAAAATAAGTCACTCTGTTGCCTCCCTCACATACACTCCCACTTAGACAACCACTGATCTACTTTCTGTCTCTATAGATTTGCTGTTCTAGACACTTCTTATCAATAGGATCTGCAATATGTGGTCTTTTGTGACTGGCTTCTTTTACTTAGCATAATGTTCTCAATGTTCATCCATATTGCTGCATGTGTTACTACTTCATTCCTTTTCATTGTGGCATAATATTCCATTATATAGGTATACCATATTTTGTTTTTCATTACATTAAACAATTGATGAGAATTTGGGTTGTTTCCACTTTTTGATTATTATGAACATTCATGTACAAGTTTTTCATGGGTGTGTGTTTTCACTTATTTTGCTATCATAGGGTAGGTTTATGGTTAACATTTTGGAAAACTGAAAACCTAGTTTCAGAAGTCCAGAACCATGGTACATTTCTATTGACAATGATAGTTCTAATTTCTCTACATTCTTGCAAACATTTGTTATTGTCTGTCTTTATTATAATAATCCTAGTAGAAGTGAAGTGTTATCTCACTGCAGTTTTGATTTGCATTTCCTTATTGACTAGTGATGTCGAGTATTTTTTCATGTCCTTTTTCGTGATTCATATATATTTTTTAGATAAATACCTATTTGTATCTTTAGCTATTTTTAAAAATCCTTTTGCTGATTTTTGAATTGGATTGTTTAATCTTTTTAGTGTGTCATTGAAGTTTTGATTTGTATTTTCTTATTGACTAATCATGTTAAGTATATTTTCATGTGCTTATTTGTGATTCATATATCATTTTTGGAGAAGTACCTATTCATATTCTTTACCTATTTTTAAAGATCCCTTTGCTTATTTCTGAATTCCATTGTTTATCTTTTTAGTATTAAATTGTAAGAGTTTCTTCAAGTCTTTGCCTTGATTTATTTATTTGTTTATTTATTTTGAGACGGAGTCTTGCTCTGTTGCCCAGGCTAAAGTGCAATGGCGTGATCTCTGCTCACTGCAACCTCTGCCTCTTGGGTTCAGGCGATTCTCCTGCCTTAGCCTCCCGAGTAGCTGGGATTACAGGTGCACACCACCATGCCTGGCTAATTTTTTGGGTTTTAGTAGAGATGTGGTTTCACCATGTTGGCCAGACTGGTCTTGAACTCCTGACCTTGTGATCCCCCGGCCTCAGCCTCCCAAAGTGTTGTGATTACAGGCGTGAGCCACCACGCCCGGCCCTTCCTTGACTTTTGACTTTTATAAAGATGTCTTTTGAAGTAGAAAAATGCTTAGTTTTGATGAAGTCTAATCTCTTTTATTATGTGTGCTTTTGATGTTATATTTAAGAAACATTTGCCTAATTAAGTTACAAACATATTCTCCTATACCTTCTTCTTATAGCTTTTGCTCTTTCATTTAATTCTATTATTCATTTTTAGCTCATTTTTGTGTGTATGGTGTGAGGTAGGCATTGAACTTCATTCTTCTTCATGTGTATTATCCAACTGTTCTAGTACTAAAGGTTAAAAGCTGCTTTTTCACTTTTAATTATCTTGGCCCCTTTGTTGGAAAATCAATTGACCCTAAAGTTTGGGACTTATAATGAGTCTCAATTCTATTCCATTGATTTCTATGTCTATACTTATACTAGTACCACACTGTTATAATTTCTGTAGCTTTGTAGTAAGTTTTAAAATCTGGAAGTTCACTGATTTTTATCTTTTATTTTCAAGATTGTTTTTGGTGTTCTGAATCCCCTGTATTTCCACCTGAATTTTAGAATCTGGTTGTCAATTTTGAATTAAAAAAAAAAAAAGCCAACTGTGTTTCCAGTAGGGATTGTGTTGCATCTGTTGATCAATTCGTACGGAATTGCCATCTTAATAATATTCAGATATCCAATCCATAGAAATGTCTTTCCAGTTATTTAGATCTTCTTTAATTTCTTTCAATAATATTTTGTGCTTGTCAATGTACAGGTCTTGTACTTATTTTGTCAATTTTATATCTGTTTATTTTTAAATCATTATGAATGAAATTATTTTCTTAATTTTATTTTTGAGTGTTCATTGCTAATGTGTGTATATGCAATTGATTTTTGTGTGTTGATCTTGTGTCCTACAACTTTGTTAAACTCAAATAATAGAACTAGTAGAATTTTCTGTATGTAAGATTATGTCCTCTAAGATTACAGTTAGTTTTATTTCTTATTTTCTAGTCTGGAGTTCTTTTATTTATTGTTGTTGCCTAATTGTCCTGTTTATACCTGCAATACAATATTGCATGGAAGTGGGGAATGTGAATATCCTTGTCTTATCTCTGGTCATATTAAGTCTTTCACCATTAAGTATGATATGAGCTGTGGGTTTTCTGTAGATGCTCTTTATCTGGTTGAAGAAGTTCCCTTCTGTTCTTAGCTTGTTGGCTATTTCTATCATGAAAGCATGTTAATTTTTTTTTCAAGCTGCACTTCTAAATCTACTGAGAGGATCATGTGGATTTTGCCCCTTATTCTATTTATATGGTGTTTTGTGTTCATTTATTTTAGGATATTAAAGCAACTTTTATTCCTGGATTAAATTTATTGAATTTATTTTTACATTCATTTTCTATTAATTTAATGGCCTTTTTAGATATTTAAATTATGGCTGTGTTAGATTTTCTTCGCCTAATCTCTTATATTTTCACTCCACTGCTTTTTATACATTTTTTTCTGCTTCATTTGTTTTGTTTATGTATTTATATCTTCTACATTCCTTACTCTGTTTCTCCCTGTGTCTTTTCTTTCACTGGCTTCTTAGAACTTATTCCCATATTTTTTTTTTCTGATTTCTACAGGTTCCTTGTCCCTTCCTCTTGCCTGGAAATCACTAATATCCTCCTGCCTAGCTGTTTTCCTTCATAGGTTCTATGTACTTCATTTATAATTTGTGATGGAATATTGGGTTACAAATTTCGAATGCTCTGTAGAAATAATTTTCTTGTAAGAATTTTTAAGAATCTGCAATGAATTTGTGCTGCTCTTTCCCACATTACTTATTCTTATCATATTTTATATATTTCAATTGTGATTTTAAATATTTATTTTGATTGCATATATTCCTTTTGTATAAGTTGTATTTTTCCATACCAACTATTAGAAGAAAGTTCCTTAGAAGTGACAAAGACTTTTATATTTTTCTGCTTATGACTCTTCTGGTGCTACTCTGATGGAGTGTTTCTTTAAAATACAATCATACTTTATTTGCCTCTCAGAACTGATGAGTTCAAGAGAGTTTGCACTAGTAGCTCTGTACTCCCCTCGCAGATTTATTGTCTTTGGTACCATGGAATAGAACTTCTACTCTTTATAAAGAGGAAATTCTGAGATCTGTCTCCTTTGATTTCCTCTGGCCATTTCTTCTGATTTATTTCTTTGTTGCCCACAATGATAGCTTTTCATCTGATCACAGTCCTTTTCACAGAGTTCCTACTAATGTGAGATCACCTTTTTCTAAAATTCAGTATTTGCTGTTGATTTCTAAGCTTGCCACTGCTAGCTTTCTTGCACTCCCCTCTTCTTTTCTGGTCTTATTGTCATAGAAGTTTTGCTTGTCTTAATTGCTTCATTAGTTTCATAGAGATGCTGTAACAAATTACCATGAACTGGGCAACTTAAAAAATAGAAATTTATTCTCTCACAGTTCTGAAGGCTGGAAGTCCAAAGGTGTTGTAATGGCCATGCTCCCTCGATGGATACAGAGAAGGATCCTCCCTTGCTTCTTCTAGCTTGTGGTGGCTATTGACAATCCTTGGCTTTCCTTGGCTTGTGCCCACATAATTCCAACCTGTCTCCACCTTCACATGGCTGTTTTTACTCTGTGTGTATCTGTGCCCAAATTTCCATTTTCTTATTAGGACCTCAGTCATTAAACCAGGGCCCATTCCAATCCAGTATGACCTCATCTGAACTTGATTATATCTGCAAAGAAGCTATGTTCAAATAAGGTCACATTCCCAGGTTCTTGGTGAACATTAATTTTGGGGAAAACACTATTCAATCCAGTGCACCTGCATACACCCCACTTGCATAAAATTTGCATATTCTAGTTTCTTTCTACAACCTCAGTGTTTGTAAATTATGGGGATTTTCCCCCAACTTTGTTAGTCATTCTACATTTTTCAGAAGGAAAAATGGGGGGAAGAACATGACTAATTGGCTGCCACAGGCCTACCATATCTTTTCCTCAGATTTGGACACATCATGCACAATATTGGTGAATGGCTTACAAACCCACTTCCATAGGGCCTCATGAATCTATTTCTAGGTTTGGCATTGTAAGTAGGAACCCTGTCTACATACAGTGGTGTCGCCTCCTGGAGTTTTAGTACTCATACCCTCACTACAGTTTTGAATAGTATAGCAGGAAAGTTAGCTGCCTTAGATCATCTATTGAATTTCAGAGACGATGTTTCTACTGCCCTCTTAATTATCAAAAATAGCAGCATTTATTTTTATCTTGCTTTGAATATCCCACACGGTTTAAAATTTTGATTTTATTAAGACATGTCAAAAGAACCTACAACGGAATGATATTACTGTCATAACAAATAATTCAGAGGATTAGTATTCCCTCCAATTTTAGGCTCTACTGGGCCTAAAACTCTCAAAGGGGAAGACAAAATCATTTATTGAGAAGGAGTTTAATTGTAGGGATTTAAACATTTTACACACATCCAGCCATTGAGAACAGAGAAGCTGAGGATCCAAAAAGCACAGGAATATAGGAATCAAAGAGTGATGCAGGTACTATTGTGTGGCACATCTTCAATGCTAATATTTTCTAATTAGTGCTTATCATATTCCTGCTCTAAGGCATATGTAAAGGAGATTTAATGAAAAAGTTGAAAAATTATTGTACCTTCATGCTTTTTGTTACTAAATGTAAAAATATAGTATATACTACTTCCTTACTATAGTAGCTGTGTTAGCTGATTAGTCTAATTAAATTATTGAGCATTGGTGGAATGCAATAATTTATTAATTCCACAACTCTTTATTCAATGCCTCTTGGGTACTAGGCTGTCTTCTAGGTTCTGGAGAAACAAAGATGAATAAAAGAAATAACATACCTGCCCTGAGGGAACTTGCATTCTAGTGGGTGATACAGACAAGTAACGTATCAACAATAAAATCTTCAAATATCAAGTAATGATTACTGCCTTAAAAAAGAAAAGCAAAGACAATAAGGACAAATAGAGTAATGAGATTTTTTTAGCTAAGGTAGTTTTAGAAAGCCCCTCTGAAGAGGTAATAAATGGATATTAAATGTCATAAAGAAGGAAACTATGCAAAGATCTGGTAAAAGAGCATTCCAATATTACTAAAAAATTCTTAATAAACTAGTAAAAAATTATTGATGTCACCTACTTAAAAACCTACATCGTCATAATTCATAATAAAATTTTAGAAGTACTCTTAAAGTCAAGACTAAAACAAAGACACCTGCAATATCAGTTTCTACTCAGTATTCTACTGAAGATTGTAGCTAATGTAAAAGGAACACAAAAGCGGCATAAGAATTAAGGCTAAGGTAAAACTATCTTTGTATACCAATCATGTGATGTTTATGTTGAAAACCCAAATGATTTTACAGACAAACTCATAGTGCTAATAATGATAATGAAAACAAATTGATATGTTATGGTTTACAAAATCAAAATATGAAATTAATAGCATCATTATATGTATTTTTTTAACTGGAAAATTAACCTTAACCCTCACTTTGTATATGAAAGTAAACTCAAAATGGTTTATGGACAAAACGTAAAACCATAAGACATCCAGAAAAAAAATTGGGGATCAAGGGCTGGGCAAAAACTTCTTAGACTCAATGCCAAAAACATGATCCATAAATGGGAAATTTGATAAATTTCACCTCATCGAAATTATAAACTCTTTCTCTGTCAAAAACCCCAGTAGTGAGGGTAAAAGACAAGCTGCAGTCTTGCCTTGCAGAAAGGTTTTCTTGATGAAGATCTGTAGATGTGGTGAAGGATGTATAGTGCAGGTAACATTTCTTATCTGGCAGTTCTATGACTCTACAACTTCATTTATGGGGCTGTAACTTTTTGCAGCATCACTGGTTTACATAAACATGATTTAAAAGTTTGATGGTAGCAACCACAGTACAGAGGATAGGAATGATTTGTTGAGCAGAGTACAAAATGTTCTATATATGCTTTAACATCTAAAAGCTATATATAGCTCAGCGTTTCCAAAAAGGGAAGTCTTAACTAAGTAATGATACATCAATGATACTAGCTCTTACTATTTACCTGAACAACTTATTTAAGAGATGAAGACAATAAAAGAGAAAAATACAAGATCTTGTGTGACCAAGTGCAGTAGCTCACACCTATAATCCCAGCACTTTGGGAGTCAGAGGCCGGGGATCACTTGAGCCCAGGAGTTTGAGACCAACCTGGGCAACATGATGAAACCCCATCTCTACTAAAAAAAAAATACAAAATTGTCTGGACGTAGTGGCACACACCTGTAGCCCAGCTACTCTGGAGGCTGAGATGGGAGAATCACTTGAGCCCAAGAGGTTGAGGCTGCAGTGAACAATGATCATACCACCGCACTCCAGCCTGGGCAACAAGAGTCAGACCCTGTCTCCAAAACACAAAAAACAAACAAAACAACAACAAACCAAACATTTAAAAAATACTGTGAAATAGTCATTAAAAAGGCAAGTATTTATAGGATGCAACAGTACAAGAAAAGCAGAAAGTACAACACAAGTTAGATAAATCCAGGCCAGTAGAATAGTCAAAACTTTACCTTTTCTCTCTAGGTTTCCGGCTGGACCTAAGAATTAAACTGACATAAGATAAACAGGAGAAAAGCATACAAATTTAATGTTTTATGTGACATGGAGCCCTCAAAAGGAAATGTAGGCCCAACGAAGCAATTATTGTCAATCACTTATATACTTATATACTTTGTCCAGTTTGAATTGGACAAAGAATAATAAGTTTTGAAAAAGCAATTAAATTATATGGAGGAGCTTAAAAGATGAGTTATGTTAATAAGGCCCGTCTGTGCAGAATTCTCTCAGCTATGATTCATCATCAAAGAATGTTTCTTTTCTCCTGGTTCAAGGAGCATCTTTCACATGAACATTTTTATCTCCTGTTTTAAGGAAGAAAAAGGTAAGTCGAGAGTGTCCTTCTTGGATCTGGTATTTTTCATATGACTTTAGTTCCAAGTAACCCCTATGTTGAAATGACATACTTCAGAGTTGCATATTCTGGTACACTTCATAAATGATTGATTAATTGGAGGTGACACATGAGTGTTTAGAACATAGTACTAACCTATATTATAACTAGATATGAGATATGACCTTCATATATTTCATTGAATGGTGGAAAGGAATGGAAACTAGGCTGGGAATCAGGAAACTTGTCTTTTCTTCTTAATTTGTTTTAACTCTTTGAAAACCAGAATTAATTCACTTCATCTCTTAGGTTCATTTTCTCATTTTTAAAATGGGGTGGTAGTTGTGGGCACCTCTGAGTCCTCTCCAAGTTGTAATCTCTCTGAGCCTCTCCTGCTGGCTGTGGAGGTAAAATGACTCTGCTCCATACATCACATTTTGGGACCCTATCTGTTATGCCAGTGACTCACTGCCAAGGGTAATGCAGAGGGACACAGAAATAAGATCTTGGAATCCAATTGGCTTTGCGTTTCTCATTTCCAGACTGCTATGTTCGAACAAATTTAAAAGTTCTTCAATTTAAAAATTCCGCCCCTGAAGCAGAGTGAATCAAAGCACTTGTGGCATTTGAATCTTTGTACCTTGAGGATGATTTATTGTGTTTGAATTTTCATTGTGTTTCTATTGGGGAAAATAGGCTTCTGGGTAGAGTAAACATTTCCGCAGTGTGAAAATATGCTTCAAGCAGCCCTAAGCCTGTGCCGAGAAGTACTAATGTTGCTTGAAAATTATTATTGCTCCATTAAGGATTCCTGAATTTCTGAATATTCATTGTAACCATGTGATTAATTTGTACCTCCTCAACTCTAGATGACTGCTTTCCAAATGCTCTTTAATTTCAGTACATTTACAAAATAATTAAAATGCAATTTACCAGTTTTTAAGAGTGTTTGCAGTAGACGCTCATAAATGTTTCAGGTAGCACTACTTTCTGGGTTTTTCCTAATAGTGTCTTCCTCCCCTCCAATTCTTTTAATTTAGCACTTAACAGGTACAGAAATTCTCATAAATAAACATGTAAATTGATTGAAAGGAGTGATTAAATAGCATTCAGAGGTTAGTGCTCTAGCATTTGCTTCCTAGAAAGTCTGTTAGATGTTTTCAATTACAAAGAGAAAAGAGGAATCTCACAACTCTGAAATGAGGGTCTTTGAATTAGTGTGATATTAAAGATCTGGCTCTTTTAGAAGGAGTGGCAGCTGTGGTGGGGGTGGAGGGGGAAGAAAAGAATAGGAGGATTAAGTCACACCACTTATACTCATTTGTCTGTAAGAAAGACCTTTCTGTCTGGTTAAGTGAAGACGAATGAATGAAGAATCACAGTGTTCTTACTTAATCAGCTTAATCACCTTGAAAAATTAAGGTAGTTATTCTGCCTACCAGGCACGAAGGGCCTAAGTGATATTCGCCAAGTTGTCTCAGCACCTTGAAAACCAAGTTGTATGTATTGCCACAGATCCATGCTGACAAAATGTGCCCATGACATCCTGACATTACTTTGAAATTGCTCTAAATAGACATTGTCACTAACATTTGAGAAAGAAAAAATAATGTAGGGTCAGACCTTCCATTTTTAATATTATCAGATATCTCATAGAGTCTGGCACAGGAAGAGTGTATCTATGAATCATCTGATCCCAATTCTAGATTTAGCTAAGAAGATATTTCAACCTGAGAGAATACTTCTTAGGATAGAGTGTTCTTCAGTAACATTAACAACAACAGCAACAGTGTCAGTAACACTGCAACAACAGCGATGTTGATGAGAATATCAAATATTGTCCTCAGTGGTTTTTACACCTTGGTTTTAAATTTTTTTAAAATTTCATTTCTATGAAGTAGATATTATTGGCATCACCTATTTAGACTTGGAAAAGCAGGTTGCAGAATTTAATTTTTCCAGGTCCCCTGACTAGGAAGAAGTGGAGTCATCACACCCAGGCAGGGAGATACCACACCCAGGCAGGACCTGTGTCCCTAAAACCAACAGGCTGTGGCTCCATCTCCACCAAAGACTGGCTTAGTCCACAGTGAAGTCGTAGCACTTCTCTCTTATTTCTAAAAATTATCTGTTAAAACTTAAATGTAGTTTTTATTGTCCTCTCTGTAAAGAGAGTGAAGTATCACAAAATCATTTTGAAATGATCCTACCTATATCAGAAGCTCCCTTGACATTTGTGGGGAGAGATTAAATATACAGGCGTACCTCAGAGATAGCACAGGCTCAGTTCTGGGACAACACAATAAAGTAAGTCACATGAAATTATTGGTTTCCCAGTACATATAAAAGTTATGTTTATAGTATAACATAGTCTATTAAATGGGCAATAACATTATGCCTTAAAAATGTATATACCATAATTTTAAAATGCTTTATTGCTAAAAGATGCTAACAATCATGTGAGCCTTCAACAAGTCACAGTCCTTTTGCTGGTGGAAGATCTTGCCTTGATGTTGATGGCCGCTGACTGATCAGAGTGGTGGTTGCTGAAGGCTGGGGTGGCTGCGGCAATTTCTTTAAAATAAGACAACAAAAGAAGTTTGCTGCATCAATTGACTCTTCCTTTCACAAGATTTGTCTATAGCATGGAGTGCTTTCTGATAACATTTTACCCACATAAAACTTCTTTTAAAATGGAATCAGTCCTCTCAAAACCTGCCATTGCTTTATCAACAAAGTTTATTTAATGTTCTAAAATCCTTTGTTGTCATTTCAACAATGTTCCCAATATCTTCACCGCAAGTAGACTTCATAAAAAGAAACCACTTTCTTTAATGAGAACAACTCATCTATTCACATTTTATCATGAGATAGCATCAACTCAGTCACATCTTCAGACTCCACTTCTGCTTCTAGTTCTCTTGGTATTTCCACTACGTCTGCAGTTACTTCCTCCACTGAAGGCTATGGCAACTATAGCCTTACAAAATGTATTTCTTGGCCAGGCGCAGCGGTTCACGCCTGTAATCCCGGCACTTTGGGAGGCCGAGGTGGGTGGATCACGACGTCAGGAGATAGAGAGCATCCTGGCTAACACGGTGAAACCTCGTCTCTACTAAAAATACAAAAAATTAGCCAGGCGTGGTGGTGGGCACCTGTAGTCCCAGCTACTCAGGAGGCTGAGGCAGGAGAATGGCATGAGCCTGGGAGGCGGAGCTTGCAGTGAGCCGAGATTGCACCACTGCAGTCCAGCCTGAGCGACAGAGCGAGACTCCATCTCAAAAAAAAAAAAAAAAAAAATGTATTTCTTAAAAAATAAGACTTGAAAGTCAAAACTACTCCTTGATCCGTGGACTGCAGAATGGATGTTGTGTCTGCAGGCAAGAGAACATTAATATCCTTGAGCATCTCCATCAGGGTTCTTGGATGGCCAGGTGCTTTGTAAATGAACAGTGATATTTTGAAAGGAATCTTTTATTCTGAGTGGTAGGTCTTAACAATGGGCCTAAAATATTCAGTAACCATGCTATAAACAGATGTGCTGTTATCCAGGCTTCTTTTTTTTTTTTAAATAGAGCATAGGCAGAGTAGATTTAGCATAATTCTTAAGGCCTTTGGATTTTTCTGAATGGCAAATGAGCATTGGCTTAAACTTAAAGTCAACAGCTGCTGTTTTGTCTACATTGAAGGCTATTTTGTCTACATTGAAAATCTGTTGTTGAGTGTAGCCACATTCATCAACTGTCTTAGCCAGATCTTCTGGATAACTTGCTGCAGCTTCTTTATCAGTACTTGATGTTTCCGCTTGCACTTTTACGTTACATAGATGGCTGATTTCCATAAACTTCATGAACTAACATCTACTAGCCTCTAATTTTTCTTATGCAGCTTCTTCACGTCTTTCATCCTTGATATAATAGAAGAGAGTTAGGGCCTTGCTCTAGATTAGGTTTTGGCTTAGAGAATGTTGTAGCTGGTTTGATCTATCCAGATGACTAAAACTTTCTCTATATCAGCAATAAGGCTGTTTCCCTTTCTTATTATTCTTGTTTGCCAGAGTAGTACTTTTTATTTTCTTCAAGAACATTTCCTTTGCATTCACAACTTATCTAACTGGCGAAAGAGGCATAGTTTTCAGCCTATCTTAGCTTTCAATGTGTTTTTCTCATTAAGCTTAATCATTTTTAGTTTTTTATTTAAAATAAGAGATGGGCTACTCTTCTTTTCACTTGAACACTTAGAAGCCATTGTAGGGTTACTCATTGGCCTAATTTCAATGTTGTTGCGTCTCCAAGAATAGAGTGGTCCAAGGAGAGGGAGAGAGATACGGGAATGGCTTTTCAGTGGAGCAGCCAAAAGACACACATTTATTGATCAAGTTCATTGTCTTATATGGGCATAATTTCTAGCATTTCAAAACAATTACAACAGTAACGTCAAAGATCGTGGATCAGAGATCACCATAACAGATATAATAATAATGAATAGTTCTGAAATACTGTAAGAATCACCAAAATGTGACAAAGAGACAGGAAGTGAGCACATGCTGTTGGAAAAATGGTGCTGATAGACTTGCTCTATGCAAGGCTGCCACAAAAGCTTCAATTTGTGAAAATGCAATACCTGCAAAGCACAATAAAAAGATATGTACCTCTATCAATTTTACTATACATACATTCACGAAGTCGGTATGTCCTTTTTTAAGATCATCCATTTTATCAACCTCTAAGCTTCTTCAAAATACTTTATTGGGTATCACATATTTGAAATGTTAAGAACATACACACAAAGAAGAAAAATAGACTACTATGTTAATTTTATAGAACAATATCTGAATTTTTTACAAAACAATGTTGGCAAAAGTAGACTCATCCAGTATTTTTATTTAACAGTGTCTAAATATTTTAAGAATACATTTCTAACAAACTATCTCATTGTAGAATTCAAGTGACAATAAAAGATATGAAACTATTTACTCAAATATTGCTTTTTCTATAATTGTATCTTTTTCATGCACTTAAATGTAATCAGTGAGATTACAGACTGATGTAGAAACTAAGATTATATAGCTGTACCCTAAAAAATTATATCCTGTGCCATAGTTATAGGAAACAATGTAGATTTCAGATATTGTGCTAAGTACATGTTATTTAAAAGAATATTCACTTTGAGTCTGAAATGTAGACACCGTAACACTTTGAGCTGCAGTTAGCTCATAGTAGTTAGTGCATAAATAGAAATTGCATTGATTGCAGATTGGTTGACTGATTGATTGATTGATTGGTATAAAAGGTGTGAATACCTACATCTGCCAATTGTTTTTTTGCCTGTTTGTTGCAAAGTTTGCATGTGGCATTTAAAGCTAGAATATTTTCTAAGTGTGTGTGTGTGTGTGTGTGTGTGTGTGTGTGTGTGTGTGTATGATGGTTAATACTGAGCATCAACTTGATTGGATTCAAAGTTACAAAGTATTGATCTTGGGTGTGTCTGTGAGGGTGTTGCCAAAAGAGATTAACATTTGAGTCAGTGGGCTGTGGAAGGCAGATCCACCCCCAATCTGGTGGTCACAATCTAATAAGCTGCAAGTGAAACTAAAGCAGGCAGAAAAACATGAAAAGGAGGGAGAGAGACACTGGACTAGCCTCTCAGCCTACATCTTTCTCCCGTGCTAGATGCTTCCTGCCCTCAAACATCAGACTCCAAGTTCTTCAGTTTTGGGACTCAGACTGGCTCTCCTTGCTCTTCAGCTTGAAGACAACCTATTGTGGGACCTTGTGATTGTGTAACTAATACTTAATAAATTCCCAGAGAGATAGATAGATAGATAGATAGATATCCATATGTGTGTGTGTGTGTATGTATGTGTGTATATATATATATATATATATATATATATATATATATATATATACACACATATATATCCTGTTAGTTCTGTCCCTCTAGAGAACCCTAATACAGATTTTGGTTCCAGAAGTGGAATCCAGAACAGGAGAAGGCTCTGCAACAGGTTCAGGCTCTTAGCAAGCTGCTCTGCCACTTGGGCCGTATGACCCAGCAGATCCAATGGTGCTTGAGGTGTCAGTGGCAGATAGGGATGCTGTTTGGAGCCTTTGGCAGTACCCCATTGTTGAATCACAGCGGAGGCCTCTAGGATTTTGGAGCAAGACCCTGTCATCTTCTGCAGATAACTACTCTCCTTTTGAGAGTCAGCTCCTGGCCTGTTACTGGGCTTTAGTGGAAAATGAACATGTGACTATGGGACATCAAGTCACCATGCAGCCTGAACTGCCTACCGTGAACCGGGTGCTTTCTGACCCATCAGGCCATAAAGTGGCTCATGCACAGCAGCATTGCGTCATCAAATGGAAGTGCTACATATGTGATCGGGCTCAAGCAGGTCCTGAAGGCACAAGTAAGTTACATGAGGAAGTGGCTCAAATGCCCATGGCCTCCACGCCTGCCATCCTGCCTTCTCTCCCCCAGCCTGCACTGATGACCTCATGGGGAGTTCTCTATGATCAGTTGACAGAGGAAGAGAAGACTAGGGCCTGGTTCACAGACGGTTTTTCATGATATGCAGGAACCACCCTAAAGTGGACAGCTGCTGTACTACAGCCCCTTTCTTGGACATCGCTGAAGGACAGTGGTGAAGGGAAATCTTCCCAGTGTGCAGAACTTCAAGCAGTGCATCTGGCTGTGCACTTTGCATGGAGGCCAGGTGTGCCATTCTATACTGATGCATGGGCTGTAGCCAGTGGTTTGGCTGGATGTTCAGGGACTTGGAAGAAGCATGATTGGAAAATTGGTGACAAAGAAATTTGGGGAAGAGGTATGTGAATGGACCTCTCTGAGTGGCCAAAAACTGTGAAGATATTTGTATCCCATATGAGTGCTCACCAACGGGTGACCTCAGTAGAGGAGGATTTTAATAATCAACTGGATAGGATGACCTGTTCTGTGGACACCACTCAGCCTTTTTCCCTAGCCACCCCTGTAATCTGTTAATGGGCCCGTGAACAAAGTGGCCATGGTGGCAGGGATGGAGGTTATACATGGGTTCAGCAACATGTACTCACCACGGCTGACCTGGCTACGGCCACTGCTGAGTGCCCCATTTTCCAGCAGCAGAGACCAACACTGAGCCCTCAATATGGCACCATTCCTCAGGGTGATCAGTCAGCTACCTGGTGGCAGGTTGATTATATTGGACCTCTTCCATCATGGAAAGTGCAGAGGTTTTTCCTCACTGGAATAGACACTTACTCCAGATATGGGTTTGCCTATCCTGCACATAATGCTTCTGCCAATTTGACAACGGGTGGACTTGTGATGGTTAATACTAAGCATCAACTTGATTGGACTGAAAGATACAAAGTATTGATCCTGGGTGTATCTGTGAGGGTGCTGCCAAAGGAGATTAACATTTGAATCGGTGGGCTGGGGAAGGCAGATCCACCCTTAATCTAGTGGGCACAGTCTAATCAGCTGCCATCAAACATAAAGGAGGCAAAAAAACAAGAAAAAGAGAGACTGGCCTACACCCACAGTCTATATCTTTCTCCCGCACTCGATGCTTCCTGCCTTCGAACATCAGACTCCAAGTTCTTCAGTTTTGGGACTTGGACTCGTTCTCTTTGCTCCTCAACTTGCAGACAACCTATTGTGGGAGCTTCTGATTGTGTAAGTTAATACTTAATAAACTCCCAAATAGATAGATAGATAGATAATTTTTAAATATATAGTCAAGGTCCCTCTAGAGAATCCTGACTAATAAAAAAGACTGTGTGTGTGTACACACACACACACACACACACACACATATATATACAGTTGACACTAGAACAACCTGGGTTTGCGCTGCACAGGCCATTCATATGTGGATTTTTTCAATAAAAGTTTCACTGAATGTGCCTGTTCTCCTTCATCTTCCACCTCCTCCACCTCCTCTGCCTCTGCCACCCCTGACACAGCAAGATCAACCCCTCCTCTTCCTTCTCCTCCTCAGCCTACTCCACATGAAGACAAAGATGAAGACCTTTATCATCATTCATTTTTACTTAATGAATAGTAAATGCATTTTCTCTTCCTTATGATTTTCTTAATAACATTCTTTTTTAGATTACTTTATTATAAGAATATATTATAATACATATAACATACAAAATATGTGTTAATCAACTGTATGTATTATCAGTAAGGCTTCCAGTCAACAGAAGGCTATTAGTAGTTAAGTGATGGGAGTGAAAAGTTTTATGTGGGTTTTCAATTGCATGAGGAGTTGGTACCCCTAAGCCTTGCATTGTTCTAGGGTCAACTGTATATTAATAACCATGTTTAGAGAATTGTTTAAATGAATGCTGTCAATAAAAATGTCTCACTTTCCACAAGTATATTTAACTTTTTCACATTTCCAAGCCCTAATCAACAAGTGAACATCTTAAAATACAGGGCAGTAAGCTGCCGGAGAGCAAGGTTCTTCTCTCTGCCACAGGGCAAGCTGAGCAACTGCCACTGCATTGATACCAGTTATCATTACGAATTATTGCAATGATTGTAATGTTAGTATAGTGCTATTTGTTTTGTTTATCTTCAAAAATATTTAGGTTTTGTTAAAATATCACAATAAGTTAAATCTAGACTATACATGTATTAGTCTGCAAGGGCTGCCACAACAAAATACCACAGACTGTATGACTAAAACAATGAACTTTTATTTCCTTGCAATTCTGGAAACTGAAAGTCTAAGATTAGAGTGCCATCAGGTTGCTTCCTGGTGAGGCTTCTCTTTCTTCCTAGCTTGTAGAAGGCTGTCATCTCTCTTCTCTTATGAGGACGTAAGTACTATTAGGTTGAGGTCCCACCCTTATGACCTCGTTTAACCTTTACGACCTCCTTAACGGCCCTGTCTCTCAATATAGTCACATTGGGAGTTAGAGCTTTAACATACAAATTTTGATAGGGGCACAACTGATTCCATTACCACACATGTAAAACAATGTTTTCTCAAAAGTATTCTTAGTGGAGACAATGATTGTAAACCACTGACTAGAAAAATATCCAGATAGGAAAATATTTCAGGCAGGGGTTCAAAAGGTGGTCAATAGTCAGAACTTCAATCAAAAAGCAGAAGGCTACAGGAATCACTGTCATAGGAAGGAGTTTCAAGCAATAAAACTTGTAGTAGAAAGGCTGAATATTATTCTCTGAGATTTTTCATGTCCGAGCGAAAATGTGAAACCTGTTTCAGAGGTAGCCCATTGGACGTTCTTGAGGGAAATTAAGCCACACTCAGTTTTTAGAATTGCTTTGTAAATTACAGTCTCACTCATAGAGGAATTTAAAAAGAGCCTAAAGTTAAAAAATAACTAGGGCCATAAGGAGGCTGATTTGATCTAAAGTGAGGCTGATTTAGACCATAGCAGATGAATTCCAGGTTGGGAGAAGTATAAGTACAATACCATAGAGTCTGCTAGATTCTTGGCCTACCATATGAAATGGCAGCAGATTAGTATGTAGCATGTGGTATGTAGTATGCATGTAGTATGGCATGCATACTGCATGAAGTAGTTCACACAACCACTCCATAAATTTATTATTTCCATTCTAGGGATGATGACATCTATGCTCAAGTAAGGTAAGAAACTAACTCAAAGATCATATGTGTAGTAAATCATCAAAGGTAGGGAGAAATCCTTTGTTTCTGTCTGTTAACTGTCATGGTTGTTCTACTCTACAAATAGAGTTTTCTTCATTAAATACAAGCAGAAAGTCATAGAATGTCTTACAAATAATTTTTTTTCTCCCTCCAAGGAAAGGAATTAAATAACCAACCTTCTGCTTAGACATCAAATAAAGGAAAAGATGTATTGTGGAATCCAAGACAAAATTGGGGGGTTAACAAAAGACTAATTCCAGTAGTTAGATAAATATAAGTGAAAAAAGTAGGAAAATCATTTCACATATGGGCTAGACTTTTTAAAAAAATTAACCAAAAATGAGAGTACAAAGGGAAAAAAAGAGAGAAGGTGAGAAAAATAAGTAAAGAGGATAAGAACTTAAGATGAGTTTTCTTTCTACAATTTCCCTTTAGTATTTAGTGCATGCCTAAAGGTGACATCTTAACATACTGTTATAAGTCATCTGAGTAAAAGATTACTCAACTATTGAGCCCCATAGAATAGCACATCCAAATGAGCACTTAATAAATACTATTTTCTGATGTCAACAATGATATATTAAAGCTGTAATCTTCTGGCATACAAATAGATGTAATGATTTTTTTTGAAATTTTAACAAATGTACAAAGCAGTAGCCTAAAGTAACAGGTAGGGAAATATGTGTATTGATAATTTCATGTAAATACTGTTTAGAGCCATAATATGTGCCATAAGAAAGCCAAGTTTAGTTTTATAAATTTCAAATCATTTACAGAAATTGGAATGAACCCAGATTACACCACATACATTTAACCTACCCACTCATCAAAGATTGATTTTGAATACCTATTTTTTTCTTTCCAAATATGACAAAATATATTATTAGAAAGGCTGGCTTTACAATGAACCCTTCACTGTCATCCTACCTTTGCTCTGAGTCACAAAATATAATACCTAAGTGAAATTTTTAGAAAAAAAATCAAAACCTACTTATGCTAGTTTTGCAGTTAATTTGCCCTGATTATAACATATGAGAAACTCATTATAAATCTTTTTAATAATCCAGCCTCATATTATGTAGTACATGAAAGCCTTTTGCTCTCCCTCATTCTGAATATAGCCACTATTAATACTTGAGTATATATTCTTTAACCTATTTTCAAAGCAAATACCAATACATAAAGTTTTATATGTAGGCGTGTATGTATTGATTTAACAAAATTTGAGTCATACCTTATATATAGTCCTTTTTCTTTACTAACCTATCTTGGACATCTTTTGTTGCCAGAATTGTTAAATGTCATTACTGGAGGAGGGAAAGATCAGGAATTCAGTTTTGCACATTTAAGTCAGAGATGTCTATTAAATATCTAAGGTAGGATGGTGAGTGGGATATATGATTTTGGAGTTCAAGAGAGAAACCACTGAGCATGAATGCTTTGAGGATTGAAAGGCTGGGTTCTTCATCACCGCTCCAGTTTCCATTGCTATGTGGTTCTAACAAAAGACTGAGCAAAGTATCTTTTTCTCTTGAAGGATATAACATAGTTACAGAAGACTGTTGGGTAGGAAAGAGTAATTATCTACACACACATGTGCGCACGCACGCACACACACACACACACACACACACTCCTCTGAAATGCAGTAAGGTCTATTTCTGATTTTTGCTGAGCTATCCAGGATAAAAAGCCTCAATCAGCGAGAGTTGCCATTCATGGGACATCATCTTGGAATTTCTTATAAGGTATAAGTCTTTGCTGCCTTCCTAGACCTTGATGCTCAAGAATTTTCAGCTGGTAAATGTGGAAACAAGATTCAAACTTTTTGTTTAATTCCAAATTGTGTGAACTTTCCATTACACAGAGCTGTTCTTTCCCTTTGTAATTCTTTTGAATTTTATAGTAATGTAGGAAAATAAATAAAATTTAATGAAACAAATTTCCTAATGGCTGTAGAGAAGATGATTTAATCAATCTGTTAAAGTTTGTTTTCCCAGGGGGAATACCTTTGCAAGTGACCAACATGGCAGTTCTTACACTCAGTACTTTCTATAGCATAAACACCTGGCAATAATTATGGTACCTAGAGACAAAACAACTCACAGCTAGTAATGTGAGCAAAGACATTTTCTGTGTGATATATATCAGTGAATAGTTGTTTAAAATGAGTGAAGACAGACATGCAGGTATATATATTTATATATGCAAATATATATATGTTATGAGACAATTCATATCTTTTTTAAAGAAGTAGATCATGATGATTATAAATTATAAATGGACATTAACTAGAAATAGAGGGCACTTAGTCCCCAACAGTTTATATATATATATATATGTCTGTGTGTGTGTGTGTATGTGTATGTGTGTGTGTGTGTGTATGTGTATGTGTGTGTGTGTGTGTGTGTGTGTGTGTGTGTGTATATATATATATATATATATATGTCTAAGAAGCCCTCAATTAAAACTAGAAGATCTTCTTTGCAATCTTAGGATGTCACTCCATTAATAGTTCATTAGAACTTATTCTTACAATTGAACATCGTCAAATAGAGTATAATATTCACATCTTACAAATGAAGAACTTGAGCCTCCAAGTTATGACTTGTCTAAAGTACCTTTGTTATTTAAGTGTGGAACAGAAGTTCAAAGTGGCCTTACTTTTCTTGAGTGGAAGTGTGAAATTAGAATTATTTGAGATGGTATGTTGCTGTGAAGATCAATATAAACTATATCATATAGGTAAACACCTATAATAACAATATAAATTACTACTCATATTATATTGTTATTATTGATGAAGGGAGGAATTTTTCCACGGGTCAGTACAACTATTCAAGTTGAGTTGCTGGACCTAGAGATATAATAGAACAATGACAAAAACAGAAATACCCTTGCATAATAATAATTCCTTTGTGCTTAAAACATAGGAAAAATGTTATTTAGTTGAAGTCATCAGTATTTGGGATAGTAGTTAGTTGCAACACATGACTCCCACTCCCCAAGAGTGAAACCTAATGCAAGAATGAATGAAATAGAGATAACAATGTGTTGATATATAAAGCATATGAAAATTAGACTGATTTTCACTAATGATAGCCTCGGAATTAGGGTTTACAAATGCAGGTTATGCATTAGTTGGTAAATGTAGCAGTTGTTTGTCTTAGGGTCAAATAAGAAAAGGTAAATGCACTATTTATTGTTTGTAAACTCTTGGGAACAAAAAGCCCTCTGTTTCTATTTAATATCCATTTATGATTTATAATCATCATGATCTATTTCTTTTAAAAAGATATGAATTGTCTTATAGCAAAAGTAAGCCTTTTCAATTCAATGTATCATCGGTCACAAATTAGAAACATAACTAAACAGACATTCATTTTCAACTTTCCAAAACTTAATAAAATGTTATAAACAATATCCAACAAATTTGTTAGTGACACTATTTACCCTCATTTGTCTAACCCCTTAAATGTTGCCAATGAAGTACAAGTTAGGAGATGAAACCACAGCTGCTGAGGAACATTTTGTTTATTTTTTACCTTTGGCCCCACCTGAGAGTCACTTCTTTATTTTGAGAGTCTCCTTTGTTCCATGAAAAAATGTCTCATATTTTCCCCTTTATGCTTTCTAGACTGAATTTCTAGTAATATTTCTTAAACATAAAATAATTTGTTCAATAGGTATGGCCAAATCATTATAGTTGGTTAATTTTTAACCAATGTAGTAACTTACTGTTGCTTCTTCTATCACAAAGCCAACTTTATTTTTTCAGCATGGCATCAAAATCCCTCTTAAATTGGCTTACACCAAGTCACATAATTTTCTTTCTCATCCTTCCCTGACTTGAACCCTTCCCTGCAATCATTTTGGTCTCCTCATTGTTCTATTATGCTCATGCCATTTTCCCTGTTTGTTGACACCCTGCATCATCATTTCAATCCATGGTTCCTGTTTTGCTTCCTCTATGAAGCCTTTCTAACTCCAAATACACTTATCCCACACTGTTTTACCAAAAAGCATATTCTGCCTCTTTACTTCTTTCTCATTTCTCAGTTTTATTTCCCAGCTAACTTATAAGCTGATTTAGGGTACTTACAATGACATATTTTTCCTACAATGACTATTTTTAATATCTTGAAAATATTAAAATTTTAATATATCTATTAGGTATAAAATACATATATAAAAATATTTATATTTTGTCCATTTTTAATGATGAAGCTAATGCATTAAAATGTAATGAAAAAAAATCTAGCAGTTAAAGAACAGTGAGATTCGAAAGAGATGAAAGAACATTTTAAACAATCATGTTAGAATTGTGCCAGTGAAAACACAGCACAGTAGGGACTTATTTTTTATCATCCCAATTTAGAAGCCTTATGTGTGTACTGGTTACTTCTACACATTTTTTGAAATCGGCCCCTTGTGAAGCATTATGCCACGGTATGTTTATATACCATGACAAGTTGAATTTTGCTGCTTATGTTACTATATTTTTAATATATCTAAATTAAAAGTTTTAGTGGAAAAGGGAAGGGTAAAAAATTTAGCACAGTGTTTTAAATGATAAACAATACTAAACAGCCAAAATATATAAGTATGTGGGAAAATATAGAGAAATGATGGAAGTATGATTGTTTGCATTATTTTATTTATAACATTTTCTTAGCTTTTTGAAGTTGAGGAATTAATGAAATATTTGTTTTTTCCCAAGAAAAATGTGTTTTGAGGTCTAACTGTTAAAATCAGAATAGATTAGTGAACCGTAGGCACTATAGATCTGACCTTTGATGATAGTTTTTCTGCTGTGTGGGGTTTTATTCTGTTCTTCACATGATAGGCAGTTAAAGAAGTATCCACTAAATTTCAGGAGAACCCCCAAAACTGTCTTCATACTCAATCATGTTTTCTTGTTCTACCTTTCCTAATATCTTATTTATTGGTCAATCTGTCTGGTTTTTTATTTTTATTGTTTTTTTTCCCCCCGTATCTTTTTTCTCTGATTTTCTACTGTCTCGTAATGTTCCCACTAATTAATTCCTCCTGCTCACCACCAACATTCTGACTCATACCTCGGGAAGATGTGGCAGGCGGAGTTTTCCCATGGAAGAACTTTACTGACTATTTTATCCCTTCCAGTACAGTTTCTTTTCAAAGAATAATGTCTAACATTTAATTATCTTATATAAAACAAATATTAATCCATGTATATGGCATTTAAGTTTTACTCTATGGAAAACTGAAGTTTTCTAAATAACAATTTTTTTTTCACTGAAAATTTTTCTCTTGTAAGCTCTGTTCCCATAAATATGACAGCAATAATAAAAGAAGCCTTTTGATTTCATGTAGACATGCATTGCTTTCCAATCTGTCATCACCCTAAAGGTGATGCTAAATGAGTTATCATACATGATAGCTAAACATGTGTTCCACGTGGAAGCACAATCAATAGACTTTTTAAGAAAACATTTTATCTTCAATATGTTGATTTTAGGATTGCCTTCATCAACTATAATGACATGTCTTAAACTAGATATTTTATGGAATTCTTAATTTTTATGTACATTTAATGCATTTTTATAATGTATTTATATACTTTCGTATTCATTGTTTGGCTTTCTAAAGAGTTACTAAATTTATAATCAGAGCTGCTTCATAGTGGCTGTAATGAACCCAAAGTAATACAGAAAGTGTTTCTTTCCATATTGGTTAACAATAACAGCCTGGTTTTTGAGTCAAATTCGTAAAAATTATACCTTAGTATGCAAATTTATTTTTTCATTACTGATGCAGAGCAAAGAAAGCCAACAGGATAGCAAACACTAACATTTTGCCTCTAAGTGCTCACAGGCATAAAATAAATGAGCCATGGCTATTGATTGTCTTTGGCCTACATTATCTGCACAGGAACTATTAAGGAGGCTTTGCCATCTTCCTTTCATGCCTCATTTTCTCACACTATCTAATGAAGAGCTTCACTTAAATGATAATGTGCTACTCTCCCGAAAGTACATTTTTATAGCACTAAAAGGCAATACTTGTGTAAAAAGGAATGTTTTTAGTGCTATATTTAGTGGCCTGTTGCACTGTATAAAATGAAGAAATATTCTAGAGCTGAGTGGCATTATTCTTTTAATTAATTTCTAATTTTAAAATTTATGTTATCAATCCAAACTGCTGAATAACAAATGTCACTATAATATTCAAAGAGCTGTGAGATTATCTTTGATGCCCTCTAAAAAGACATATTTTATAGTTTTTTGTTGTATTTGCCTTATGAAGGGTTCATTGTGCGGCTAAAATGATAAATATGTGTAAAATAAATTTTCATTTTGGGGCACACTGAGTTTAGAATCCCTCTCAGAAATGTACGAGTGAACCTTTGGATTGAAATCCTGAAATTTCATTAGTAAGGTCTAAGCTGGAAATACTTTTGTATGAATCATCAGTTGTGGAAATCAGAAAAATGAATGAGATTATTTGGGCAGACAAGAGAGAAGTCAAGCTGAAATACTGGAAATATTGATATTTAAGGAGTAGCACATAAACAAGTGCCCATGAGACCACATATGCAGAAAGGAAGGATACAGACAAGTAGAGGGTGGTGTCATGAAAATCTAAGAAGAAAATATCTTTGGAAGAAGATTGTGCGATGCCACAGAAATGTGTGTGTGTGTATGTGTGTGTGTGTGTGTGTGTGTGTGTGTGTCTGTGTTTCTCATCTTGAGACCTGGAAACCAAAACCTGCAATGTGCATTATCAACCTTTGTCTTCCTCCCTCCTTTCTTCCCTTTATCCATTACTTCCTCCTCCCTTTCTTCCTTCCTTTCTTTTCTTTTTCTCTTTCTCTTCTTCCTCCCTTCCTCCTACTTTCTCTCTCTTTCTGTTTTTGCCAATTGCAAAACAAATGCCTCACTTTAATTTGTGTTTCCATGCCTATTCACAAAGCTGAACATTCCTTAGCTATTTATTGGCAATTTGTTTTTCTTCTGTGAATTTTCATGCATTCTAAATCAATTACATTGTAAATCGATGGAAAAATGGACAATAAATCTGGATTGCAAAGCAGGATATTAGGTATAAATTTCTGCTAAAGACGTTTTTCAAGTATCAGCTGGTAGTAGTATCACCTGTATGTAGGGGTGTGTGTGTGTTTCTTAGGTATGCCTCTTAAAAACAGAACATAGGTAGACAGGTGGATTTTCTTTTCTCCACCATCCCTTCCCCAAATTGAGAGTCTCTGGCTTTTACTAGGGAAATGTAATAAATTCACATTCACATTACAGTGGTCACTGATATTTTTAGAATTACTTTTGGCACTTTAGATCTATTTTTACTTGCAGTGCTTCCTTTAGATTGCCCTTTTCCCCACTTGACTTTGTTGGATTAATTTAATGTTCTTTGCTTCATTCAATTATTTGTGTTAGTTTAAATTTCTTCATCGTATTTACAATGTGATAGTGGCAATGCTTAATATTTTATTTAAACTTCAAAAAGTTTTATTTTCTACCAACATCTGGAATTACTTAGTATTTATAGCCACATTCAAATAAAACAAAGAACGCAGCATGCTGCTTCTTTCACCTGCCCTGCCTTATCTTTAGCAGAAATAAATACTTCCTAATTACCAACAATTTGTGTATGATACTTCAAGTGCATTTTTATATAAATATACTGATAAAATTTTTGTTCAACACTGTTGCATGAATTTGACATATTTCTTGATATAGAAATCTTTTTTTATTTGTTTTGCTAGTATATATCCTTTAGCAATATTTTCAGAAAGGACCTGCAGTTGGTAGATAGAATGTTATAAAAGTCTTTATTTTTCTCTACTACTTACATGTTATTTTCCTGTGTATGAGATCAGGGTTTTTGAAGACATTGTACTGTTATATTCATTCTTCCACTTTAACTGCTGAAATACCTTAGACTAATTTAATATTCATTCTTTTGAATTCAAGCTGCTTTCCTTTTGTAGCTTTTTGTAATTTGACTTTGGAAATACAGCCTCATTTTTTACTTTTCTTATTCTTTCTGCTCAGTACTCAGAGATCACCTCTCTATTTGGAGCCATCTTATTTTTCTCATTTGGGGATACTGTATATCTTTTTTAATTAAAAAATCATCTCTTCCATGATCTCTATTATACTCCTCTGGAAATTTTATCAGATGAATATTGAAACATTGACGTATACTCTTCCTGCCTCCAAACTCCTCTATTTTACTTCTTATCTCCTTATTTTTTTTGTCGTGCATTCTGAGAAAATATCTTGCCTCAATTTTTCAATCAATTGACTTCAGTTTATATCTAATCTATTTAGCTCATTTAAAAATTCTAGCATCCAATTATTTTTACTTTTTTCACAAAAATATGTTTTAATTATTGTTTTTCTAGCTACAGTAGTACCTTTAATCTTTGAGAATTCTAGTGAATATTAATGCTGTTTGTTTGCCTCAAATTTCTGGGGATTTAACATTTTCTGCCTTTAGAGGAATACAGCTTCTGATTACAAAGACAAGGACATGTGGTCAGTTATTAGGAAGGAGAAGGATGTCTAATAAGGTGAAATATGTTGCTAGTGTATTTTCTTGGTGTGAAAGCCCCCAACTTCCTTGAATCCAGAGGCACAGCTCTGCCTCTTTAATCCTGCTTCCCATCTGGGAATCTTCAAAGTCAGAAGACCCACACAGTGGCTCTATTCAGAGTTTTACCCTGTTACCAAAAGATTCAGCATCAGCCAAGACCAAAACAGGGAGAAGGGCAGATGACTCCTGAGCGGTGAGAACTAGAGACGGAGGTTGCTACTGAAGGGGAAAAGCAGTATCAAGAAAAATCTCTGGTGTCACAATTTACCTTCAAGTCTAGGATCATTTTAACTGACTACCATCAAAGAGAAGTTTCTAGGAGGTGACATACATTTTTTTGTGGCTTGTGTGACTGTGCAACTATGGCATCCAGTGGGGACATATAGAAACTTATCTACTATTCTCTAATTAGTCTAGAAAGGCTTCCTGTGAGAAATGGGATTGTAGGAGAGAGAAGTTCTGCAAACTTCTTTGGAAATGTCACATCTATAAAGTGATGGCTTTTCAGTGGGAATAAGATGAAGGAATGCCATTTGTTTAACATTCACTATGGCCATGTACTGTGCTATGTGATTTTATGTATGTTACGTTGTTTAATTTTCAGAAGTGTATCCTTATCACTCTTTACATATGAAGAAAACTAGGATTAGTAAAATTGAGTAACTTACCCAAAGTCATTCAGCTGTCAAATGGGAAGTCTGGGTTTGAAACCATATATGTCTAAATAAAACCCATATATGTCTAAATTAAAATTGCTGTCAGGCACTTGAACTGAACTAATTACAACAGAACAAGATATTTACCTCTCATTTACTTAGGGCCAAAGGCTAAGGGATGTTGATCATTGACAACAGGCTCCTGGAACTATGATCACTCAAGACTTTATCAGGTCTATTCTTATATACATATTGAATAGTAAGATAAAAGTGATAATTCAAAACCCCAGGTAGGTCTGACTGAGATGGTCTTTCTACTTCCTAATTCCCCATATTCTACTTTGAGTGCCTCAGAAAACAAGTCATCTGTCTTTCACTCTAAGGCTAGAAAATAGTATCTTCATTCCTCTGCATCTCCAACTGACCTCCCAGGACTTACCTTTGGATTGCTAAAGAAGGGAAACTTTATAGCAGTTATAACATGTTAGAGTTAAGTAAGCTGCTCTTCAGAGTGTGGATAAATGAATCGAAGGCTACTTTCTTGTGAAAATACCTGCAGATATTATGAATATAGGTTACATCCCCATAAGTTTGCTTTCTTTCTGATATTTAAAGACAAAAAAAAAGTATTTGAGTAAAATATCATAGTGGATAATTTAATATTTTATAATATTTACCTTTATTGCTACCACATTATGTAGTATTATTTTTATTATATAGTCTTATATTTTTATGGTCTTATATCTTTCATGCACTAGACACCTACTGATCAAAGTAGCCTAAATAGGAGGGGGGCGGTTCCAAGATGGCCGAATAGGAACAGCTACAGTCTACAGCTCCCAGCATGAGCGACGCAGAAGATGGGTGATTTCTGCAATTCCAACTGAGGTACCAGGTTCATCTCACTGGGGTTTGTTGGAGAGTGGGTGCAGGACAGTGGGTGCAGCCCACCGAGTGTGAGCGGAAGCAGGACGAGGCATAGCCTTACCCGGGAAGCGCAAGTGGTCTGGGAGTTCCCTTTCCTAGCCAAGGGAAACTGTGAAAGACAGCACCTGGAAAATGGGGTAACTCCCACCCTTCTACTGTCCTTTCCAATGGTCTTAGCAAACGGCACACCAGGAGATTATAACCCGTGCCTGGCTCAGAGGGACCCATGCCCACAGAAGCTCGCTCATTGCTAGCACAGCAGTCTGAGATCTAACTGCAAGGCAGCAGCGAGGCTAGCGGAGGGGCGCCCGCCATTGCTAAGGCTTAAGTAGGTAAACAAAGTGGCCAGGAAGCTCGAACTGGATGGAGCCCACCGCTGCTCAAGGAGGCCTGCCTGCCTCTGTAGACTCCACCTCTGGGGGCAGGGCATAGCCAAACAAAAGGCCGCAGAAACCTCTGCAGACTTAAATGTCCCTGTCTGACAGCTTTGAAGAGAGTAGCGGTTCTCCCAGCACGGAGTTTGAGATCTGAGAATGGTCAGACTGCCTCCTCAAGTGGGTCCCTGACCCCCAAGTAACCTAACTGGGAGGCACCCCCGAGTAGGGGCAGACTGACACCTCACATGGCCAGGTACCCCTCTGAGATGAAGCTTCCAGAGGAACGATCAGGCAGCAACATTTGCTATTCAGCAGTATTACCTGTTCTGCAGCCTCCGCTGCTGATACCCAGGCAAACAGGGTCTGGAATGGACCTCCAGCAAACTCCAGCAGACCTGCAGCTGAGGGTGCTGACTGTTAGAAGGAAAACTAACAAACAGAAAGGACATTCACACCAAAACCCCATCTGTACATCACCATCATCAAAGATGATGGTAGACAAAACCACAAAGATGGGGAAAAAACAGAGCAGAAAAGCTGAAAATTCTAAAAATCAGAGTGCCTCTACCCCTCCAAAGGAATGCAACTCCTCACCAGCAACGGAACAAAGCTGGATGGAGAATGACTTTGATGAGTTGAGAGAAGAAGGCTTTAGACAATCAAACTTCTCCAAGCTAAAGGAGGAAGTTCGAACCCATCACAAAGAAGCTAAAAACCTTGAAAAAAGATTAGACGAATGACTAACTAGAATAACCAGTGTAGAAAAGTTCTTAAATGACCTGATGAAGCTGAAAACCATGGCACAAGAACTACATGACGAATGCACAAGCTTCAGTAGCCGATTCGATCAACTGGAAGAAAGGGTATCAGTGATTCAAGATCAAATGAATGAAATGAAGCAAGAAGAGAAGTTTAGAGAAAAAAGAGTAAAAAGAAATGAACAAAGCCTCCAAGAAATATGGGACTATGTGAAAAGACCAAATCTGTGTCTGATTGGTGTACCTGAAAGTAGTGGGGAGAATGGAACCAAGTTGGAAAACACTCTGCAGGATATTATCCAGGAGAACTTCCCCAACCTAGCAAGGCAGGCCAACATTCAAATTCAGGAAATACAGAGAATGCCACAGAGATACTTCTCGAGAAGAGCAACTCTAAGAAACATAATTATCAGATTCACCAAAGTTGAAATGAAGGAAAAAATGTTAAGGGCAGCCAGAGAGAAAGGTCGGGTTACCCACAAAGGGAAGTCCAGCAGACTAGCTGCGGATCTCTTGGCAGAAACTCTACAAGCCAGAAGAGAGTGGCGGCCAATATTCAACATTCTTAAAGAAAAGAATTTTCAACCCAGAATTTCATATCCAGCCAAACTAAGCTTCTTAAGAGAAGGAGAAATAAAATCCTTTACAGACAAGCAAATGTTGAGAGATTTTGTCACCACCAGGCCTGCCCTACAAGAGCTCCTGAAGGAAGCACTAAACATGGAAAGGAACAACTGGTACCAGCCACTGCAAAAACATGCCAAATTGTAAAGACCATCAATGCTAGGAAGAAACTGCATCAACTAATGAGCAAAATAACCAGCTAACATCATAATGACAGGATCAAATTCACACATAACAATATTAACTTTAAATGTAAATGGACTAAATGCTCTAATTAAAAGACACAGACTGGCAAATTGGATAAAGAGTCAGGACCCATCAGTGTGCTATATTCAGGAGACCCATCTCACATGCAGAGACACACATAGGCTCAAAATAAAGGGAAGGAGGAAGATCTACCAAGCAAATGGAAAACAAAAAGGCAGGGGTTGCAATCCTAGTATCTGATAAAACAGACTTTAACCCAAGAGAGATCAAAAGAGACAAAGAAGGCCATTACATAATGGTAAAGGGATCAATTCAACAAGAAGAGCTAACTATCCTAAATATATATGCACCCAATACGGGAGCACCCAGATTCATAAAGCAAGTCCTTAGAGACCTACAGAGAGACTTAGACTCCCACACAATAATAACGGGAGACTTTAACACCCCACTGTCAACATTAGACAGATCAACGAGACAGAAAGTTAGAAAGGATATCCAGGAATTGAACTCAGCTCTGCACCAAGCAGACCTAATAGACATCTACAGAACTCTCCACCCCAAATCAACAGAATATACATTCTTCTCAGAACCACATCACACTTATTCCAAAATTGACTACATAGTTGGAAGTAAAGCACTCCTCAGCAAATGTAAAAGAATGGAAATTATAACAAACTGTCTCTCAGACCACAGTGCAATCAAACTAGAACTCAGGTTTTAAGAAACTCACTCAAAACCACTCAACTACATGGAAACTGAACAACCTGCTCCTGAATGACTACTGGGTACATAATGAAATTAAGGCAGAAATAAAGATGTTCCTGGAAACCAATGAGAACAAAGACACAATATACCAGAATCTCTGGGACACATTTAAAGCAGTGTGTAGAGGGAAATTTATAGCACTAAATGCCCACAAGAGAAAGCAGGAAATATCTAAAATTGAAACCCTAACATCGCAATTAAAAGAACTAGAGAAGCAAGAGCAAACACATTCAAAAGCTATCAGAAGGCAAGAAATAACTAAGATCAGAGCAGAAATGAAGGAAATAGAGACACCTGACTTCAAACTATACTACAAGCCTACAGTAACAAAAACAGCATGGTACTGGTATCAAAACAGAGATATAGACCAATGGAACAGAACAGAGCCCTCAGAAATAATACCACACATCTACAACCATCTGATCTTTGACAAACCTGACAAAAACAAGAAATGGGGAAAGGATTCCCTATTTAATAAATGGTGCTGGGGAAACTGGCTAGCCATATGTAGAAAGCTGAAACTGGATCCCTTCCTTATACCTTATACGAAAGTTAATTCAAGATGGATTAAAGACTTAAATGTTAGACCTAAAACAATAAAAACCCTAGAAGAAAAGCTAGGCAATACCATTCAGGACATAGGCATGGGCAAGGACTTCATGTCTAAAACACCAAAAGCAATGGCAACAAAAGACAAAATTGACAAATGGGATCTAATTAAACTAAAGAGCTTCTGCACAGTAGAAAAACTACCATCAGAGTGAACAGGCAACCTACAGAATGGGAAAAAAATTTTGCAATCTACTCATCTGACAAAGGGCTAATATCCAGAATCTACAAAGGACTCAAACAAATTTACAAGAAAAAACAAACAACCCCATCAAAAAGTGGGCGAAGGATATGAACAGACACTTCTCAAAAGAAAACATTTATGCAGCCAACAGACACATGAAAAAATGCTCATCATCACTGGCCATCAGAGAAATGCAAATCAAAACCACAGTGTGATACCATCTCACAGCAGTTAGAATGGCAATCATTAAAAGGTCAGGAAACAACAGGTGCTGGAGAGGATGTGGAGAAATAGGAACACTTTTACACTGTTGGTGGGACTGTAAAGTTGTTCAACCATTGTGGAAGACAGTGTGGGGATTCCTCAAGGATCTAGAACTAGAAATACTATTTGACCCAGCCATCCCATTACTGGGTATATACCCAAAGGATTATAAATCATGCTGCTTTAAAGACACATGCACACGTATGTTTATTGCGGCACTATTCACAATAGCAAAGACTTGGAACCAACCCAAATGTCCATCAATTATAGACTGGATTAAGAAAATGTGGCACATATACACCCTGGAATATTATGCAGCCATAAAAAAGGATGAGTTCATGTCCTTTGTAGGGACATGGATGAAGCTGGAAACCATCATTCTCAGCAAACTATCTCAGGGACAAAAAAACAAACATCACATGTTCTCACTCAAAAGTGGGAACTGAACAATGAGAACACTTGGACACAGGAAGGGGAACATCACATACTGAGGCCTGTAGTGGGGTGGGGGGAAGGAGGAGGGATAACATTAGGAGATACGCCTAATGTAAATGACCAGTTCATGGGTGCAGCACACCAATGTGGCACATGTATACGTATGTAACAAACCTGCAAGTTGTGTACATGTACCCTAGTGCTTAAAGTATGATTTAAAAAAAAAGTAGCCTAAATATTAGGTTGATACAAAGGTAATTGTGTTTTTGTGATTTAAAAGTAATGGCAAAAACCGGTATTTCTTTTGCACCAAACAAATATATGTTAATATTTATTCTCAATCTAATAATCTATGAATCCCTAATTCTAGGTGTATTAATCAAGGTTCTCTAGAGGGACAGAACTAATAGCATAGATGTATATATAAAGGGGAGTCAATTAAGAAGAATTGACTCACACCATCACAAGATGAGGTTCCACAATAGGCCATCTGCAAGCTGAGGAGAGAGGAAGCCAGTCAAGTCCCAAAACTGAAGAACTTGGAGTCCAATGTTCGATGGCAGGAAGCTTCCAGCACTGGAGAAAGGTGTAAACTGGGAGGCTAAGCCTGTCTAGTCTTTGCACGTTCTTCCACATGCTTTTATTCTGACCGTGCTGGCAGTTTATTAGATCTGTACCCACTCAGATTAAGTGTGGGTCTGCTTTTCCCAGTCCACTGACTCAAATGTTAATCTCCTTTGGCAACACCCTCACAGACAACACCTAGGGACAAAATTTTGCATCCTTCACTGTAATCAAGTTGACATTTAGTATTAACCATCACACTAGAATTTTATTAGATTTTTGTTATATATTTGTTTGTTTCATGATTTTTCAAATAACATATAAGCTATCTTTTTACCCACTTTAATTGCTCTGAAACAGCTAGAAAAGACTTGGAGAGATGGGTAGAGAGTAGGTACTGCATTTACCAATATATCTCCAATGATTTATTATCATGTCTTCTTTTGATGTCTGTGGTATCCTTAGCTGAATGCCTACTGAATATCCATCCTCACTTGTTATCTTTACTAACAGACCCCCAATGTTGATTTTAAAAGTGATATGTCAGTTATAAATACTTTCTTTCTTGGTTACCCTGGCAGTGAGAGATGATCGTGTTTTTAGTTCTGGAGAAAGAAATGTAGGTGGAAGTATTAACAAAGGGATTCCCTTTAGGACAAAAAGGCAAAGCCTCATAAGGAGAAACACTTTGACCTTCTTCCTTTGGTCATTTCCTATGTCAGGAAATGCAAATAATCGCCTGGAAATAAAATAGGACAAACGCCACAAACTAAGGACTGTGGATGAGGATGACAGGGGATACTTGTTTCCTTTAAGAAACACACCTTTAGGCATCTCAACCAGCCTAGAGACTTGAAAAACATGAGCCCCCATCTGTCAGAGTTCTTTGGGTTTTCTATTATTTGTACCTACACCAATAAAATAGGTTAACACTTCTGTAAATTTTTGAAATCTGGTGAGCTGCAACTGCTTTTAGGATAATTGCTCAGTGATGAAGTAGTCCACCCGCCCGCTCCCCTCACCGTTTTTTTGTTGTTGTTGTTGTTGTTTTTCTTTTAGGAGTCCTTTGCAGTTCTGCATTTATTGACTTCTTCCCTCCAGGACAGGTGAAGGATCTTTCCTAGTGGACTGTATTATGGCAGTGTTTAGTAGTCCCTCTAGATGCTGGTTGGAATTCAGAGACTCATTTATGTTTAGGGATCTCTTTAGCTGAAACCTTTCAATGCATCTTCTTCAATGGAGGGAATAATTAACAGCTGTTAGTATTTCAGGAGTTTAGTAGAACTTTGGAAAAGACCCAGAATGATTTGTAAAGCCCTACTTTTAACAAAAACAACCAACATTAAGCTTGACAGGACTATGTGGAATTTTATTGTCACCTAAAGCTATGTTATGCAGCTTCAGGTTGCCAACAGCATATCCTTCATTACAACGGTGGCAACATTTATATTATACACATACTTTGCTGTACTTTTGGATTCTTCCTAAAAATTCGCTACAGGCTAGCATAAAGCTTTCAGGTTTTCAGCATACGAGTTAATGCTATGTGTTCTCAATGCTTTATTTGTTTGTCATAGAATTTTTCCCCCAAGACATTGAAACTGGGAGACTGGATAGTTTAGACAAATTGATCAGACATTGTTGTATTCCACTTAGTCTCACTGGCACATGCAAGATACACAACACCGAATGGAATTTAGTTCTGTGTGGAGCATTCCTGGCAACATCTTTTTCTATTAGGAATCACGGGAGAGAGAGCAAAAGCTGAAATTTTGAAATCTGATATGAAATTGTTTTGAATGTTATTGGCAACACTAAGTGCCCCATACAATGATGCCCATGCAAAATTTTCTGTGAGCTTAGTACTAGAAAGATCTATCTCCTCTTTATAATAATTTGATACATTTGTTCAGTTGCCAACAATACAAATAATACACCCTTTTTCCCACAGTTTCCCTTTTTGCTTTAGCAGTCAGGAACCTCAAAACAAGATTTATGCCTATTCAAAGCAAGTATTTTTACTCATAAGATTATAGTATAAGCATTCTCATGTTATTATATTTCTAATCCCATTTCAGCTTTCAATTTTATTTATTTTACTATTGGAGCCTGTTTTATAAACTGCCTAAATACTCTTTGGAACAAACTGGGGCATAAATAAATCCTTCTTCAAAAATGAAATATTGCACTTGTAGCTGATATATCACAGTGTGCCTAAGAAAGGCACAGGTTTCCATTTGATTTTAAATGTTTAATTAGGTTTAATTTTATTTTAAAGTTAATACAAAAACATAGTTAAAATAAGTCAAATAATGCAAAGAAGAGGATAATAAAAAGAATACTTACTCCGAACATGTGGTAGGCAGAAAACTGGTGACCCAAAAATGCTGTATCCTGCTGCTTGGAACCTGTGAATGTTACTCTATTTGGTAACATAGATTTTGCATGTGTGGTTAAGGATTCTGTGATGCAGAGATTATCCTGTATCACATGAGTGGGCCTGATGGAATGGCAAGGGTCCTTCTAAAACAGATAAGAAGGCAATGTGATCACAGACACAGGGATTGGAGTGATGTGGCCACAAGCCAAAGAATGCCAAGAGGCCTCTAGAAGCTGCAAGAGACAAGGAATATATTTATCACTGAAGCCTCCAGAAAGAATCAGCCCTGCATACACCTTGATTTTAGCTCCATAAGACTCATTTCAGACTTCTTACTTCCAGAGCTTGAAGAAAATACATTTGTGCTGTTTAAAGCCACCCAGTTTGTAGTAATTTGTTACAATGGCAACAAGAAACATACACACTACAATACTCCCATCTCACTTTTCCAAAGTTAACCACTGTTAAGAATTATTCATGTATCCTTCAAATAATTTTCTAGTAACTCTATATACATTGTTTTCTCTTTGGTTTTGAAAGATTTGTATTTTTTTCCAGATTTTAACATTTACAAATAATTTTACAATAAACATCTTTTACATACACCCTTTGATATATGTGAGATGCATAGCTGTAGAATAGTTTTCTTGAAGTGAAATTATTGGATGATAAATTATGTACAATAATCTAGTAGTTTTGATAGATTACGAAAAACTACCCTTTAGAAAGGTTAAACTAATTTATACAATCCCAGTATTATGTGAGAATGTTACTTCTCTCTACCCTTGCAAAAACCATTAAAATGTTGATATTTAAGATATAGGTTTATATTGGCCATTAGGTAGGACACTTCACATAATCTGAGTTTATGTTTCTATTGTCTTATACATAAGTAAACTAAATTAATTCAAGATTACCTTTAGGAAATCTGTAATGAAGGAACCTGGAGCACAGTGGCTTCTAGTTCTGGCTTTAGCACTCACTGTATTTATGACTCTGTGCAAATTGTTTAACCCAGTTGCTCACAAAACTCCCACTCTATGAGATTTACCTGGGAAGTTTTTAAAATGCACATTCCTAGTTCACCCAAGTTTACTCAATCAGACTTTCTTTGGGTTAGAGATAGGAAAATTTGCTTTTTAACAAACACTTGAGCTAATTATTGTACAGCTAGTAAGGAGCAGTCTATAGACTACATTTGAGAACCACTTATTCAATATTTCTAAGCCTCAGTATATTTTCTTTTGTTAAACTCCGGCAATATAAGCTTGCCTTTCCCACAAGGTTGTATTGGAACTTGAAGTTTACTTGTTCCACTGGGCCTGCTCCCCTAACTCTACCTAGAAGTTTTAACCACCTACTGGGGTAGGATTCGAAAGCAGCTCACACCATATACCTTTTTACTAACCTGGGACTTTGCTGACTGATTTTATGCCAAGACTGAGTCTAGCACTTTCTTGCTCTTTGATTTTATTTTCATTCATTATCTTATAAAAGATTATATAAATATTGGTCTGCTAATTGGAATTATATACTTTACTTATTACATAAATCATACCTATATGCCTTTCCTTATCTTACTTTTTTTTTTTTTTTTTTTTTTTTGAGACAAAGTCTTGCTCTGTTTCCAGGCTGGAGTGCAGTGGTGCAATCTCGGCTAACTGCAACCTCTGACTCCCTGGTTCAAGTGATTATCCTGCCTCAGCCTCCGGAGTAGCTGAGATTACAGGCACGCACCACCACCCCCAGCTAATTTTTGTGTTTTTTTAGTCGAGACAGAGTGTCCCATGTTGGCCAGGATGGTCTCGATCTCCTGACCTCATAATCTGCCTGCCTCGGCCTCCCAAAGTGCTGGGATTAAGGTGTGAGCCACCACGCCCAGCTTCCTTATCTTCCTAAACCTCAGCTTTAGCAGGTGGCTAACGGACTTAGAAAGTCACAGCAAAATACAAGAACAGACAAGAGAACAAAAGTTCAGGCCTATCCTCAAAGAACAAGCCCTTTTTTAGCCACAATATTAAAAGGAAGGATGGGCTGGACGCAGTGACTTATGCCTGTAATCCCAATGCTTCGAGAGGCTGAGGCAGGTGGATCACTTTGAGGTCAGGAGTTCGAGACTAGCCAGCCAACATGGCGAAACCCTGTATCTACTAAAAATACAAAAATTAGCCAGGCGTGGTGGTCCATGCCTGTAGTCCCAGCTACTTGGAAGGCTGAGGCAGGAGAATCTCTTGAAACCCGGAGATGGAGGTTGCAGTGAATTGTAGAAGAAAAGCTACTCTCACCTCCCTGGATTGTGACATTTTAAAGTGTGATATCATGATCATTTATAAATATTGCTCAGTCAGTATTCTGGAAACTGACAATTTATGCCAGAATGTAGAGAAGTGAGTAGAGGAATTCCCCACCTCTACCCTATATGCATCATTAGAATATAAGCTTTTTTGATTCCTTTAAACATCTTTGCAGTTCTTGAAGCCTCGGTCTCAATAGCATTGGCTAAACAAATAAAAATAATTTATTTCAAAACATTTTGTAAATTTCAAAACACTGGACAAAATATAAGGTATTTGTTTATTGGTCGAACATTTATAGACCAATATTTATCCAGCCTTATTCACCATCACACAATTTGATGACAGCAAATAATATGATTAATTCAAGCACCATTACAATTTAACTTTGAACTGTGATTTAGTATAACCAGGACCATCATGTGGAAAGATAGCTCTGATGAGATTATTTCTAGAAAAATCTTTCATTGAAGTTTTATACTTGGAGATACTACTTAATAATATTTGCAAAATTAAAAATAACTACATATGTGACTCATTATGTTCCAAATACACAAAAAAACTCCTTTGATTCTCACAAGTATATGAAATATGTGCTGTTGTTTTCTTATTTTGCAAATGAGAAAGGGTTGACTTAGATAAGTCAAATAACCTGCTTAATATATAAACAATTAATGGCAGTGCTAAGACCTTAACTGAAGGTTTCATTCTAGAGCTGGTGTTTTAACCACTATCCTATATTGTCTTGCCTTAATGGTCTTAGGATAACTCACTTTGGATGATTCTGTGAAGAAGTTGGATCTATTTATAATAATATTTAATTTAATTAGTAAGTAATATATTTCAGTTCCTTGGGTCAGTGTTTCTTTGCTACAGTATTCAGTAAGTTTCCCTGTTTATGTGGGATATCATTACATCTCTTAAAGTTTTTTCTTAATGTCTTTTTAGAGTTCTGCAGGCACTCTCAAATATTTGCCAAACATTAAAAAGCACAGAAACCTTAAGAATCCACATTAATTTTTAGCTCTTGAAATTCTTATCCTATGACTCCTGTAGCTTTTTTGCTACTCAAAATCACCTCCATGGGGAAAGTGGGAGAAATGTTTTTATCCTAGAGAAATGACTGTCATTTGGTTTGGTAAGAAAGAATGTGTATATATTCAAAATAGATGTCAGCAGGGCTATACTTTAAAAGCATGCTTTTCAGAGTATACATGTGTGTATACTTTTAAATAGGCTAAATAGCTAATTGTTTTCTCTTGTTTTGTTTGGCTTTTGATCTATACATTATGGGTCATATTAAAAGCTGGGAAGCTTCATCAAACACCTAACCTGTGTTGACTGAGAGCATCTTGGCAAATTAAGCTGAAAAAATATTCCATAATTTTATTTTCTAATTAATGAGTTTCGGTTAATGGCTGCAGCTGTATTTAACATTTGTGTCATATCAGCAATAAATTAGGATCAAGTCTGAATGTAGCTAGCAGCATTCTCAGGCCTAAGGTGTCACAGTGCAGAAAAAATCAAGATTTATGCTGCTGTTTATGTTAGTATTTCTTGTGGGTGTATTATGGATATTTGTATACACTTTATTCAACCTTTCATTGGGAAATTTGACATTTCCAACACATTTCATGTGAGTTGAGAAGAAGTAGAGAATGTTCCATGGGAGAATTGATTATAATAAATTGGCTCTCATAAATGTGGCTTTCAAAGGTTTTCAGATAAATTTCCTTTAAAATTTTGGCATAAGAATTGTTATGCATATGACCCAAACTCTATTTAGTTGTTTCTAAAACAATCATATCAGGCTTATTCAAGTAGGATTGGCTTATGCTAAATCACCTTACCTGCATTCCAGAAATACCTGGTGAGTCAAAATTGAAAATATCAATTTATTCTTTAATGCATTCCCCAAATCACAGTGGTGAGAAAAGCATACTAAAAGAATATTTATCAAAAGATTTCAGTGTTCTATAAACTCTTAGAAGACCACCTGCTATTGGAAAGGTACAGAGGATGAAAAGAAGCTAGTTTCCTACCCGATGGGGACCAATGTCTGTCTCCACAATATGATCTGTTAGATTAGTGAGGAACTGTAACTTTATATGGGCTTTCTTCCATCCAAGCAGAGCTCCACTTTTTCTTTCTATGGTTTACTCTATATATGGGTTACATTTTTGACTCCATACCTTCTTTTACTCTACCTTGAGGCCATCTTCCTCTGGAACTGCTCCCGCTGTCTCTGCTTGGCACTCAGCCTCTTAAATGTTTTTTCTCTTTGTGTCAAATAACTCAGTACCCTTAATGGAGAGACTGCAAGCATCCTACAAAAGAGAGTCTGGCTGTATGTCCTATAAACTCTATCTCTAGTCATAGATTGTGAGTTTATATCACTATTTTATTATTATTTTTAAAATTCCATTTTGTGGGGTTTTTTGGAACATGAGGTTGTGTTTCATGAGTTGAAGGAGGGTCAACCCAAGATTTTTTTTACATTGAAGTACCATTTGTTTGGAGGCCTCATAGAACGAGAGCACTATTCATTATAACAGAACTAGATGTCTCCTGTACCTGAGGAATACCTTTTTAAAAGGAAATCTGAGCAATAGAAAAAGAATACATACACACCCACATACATGCATGCACACACATGTGCATATGCACATGAACATATGTATGTATGTGTACTTTCTTTGGAAAATATAAGGCACTGGGAAAAATTTCCAGGAGACAATATCTTCATTGGAATAAACATTTTTTTTTCTCTAAATAACACAAAGGAACCCTAGTTTTTGTCAGACTTCAATTACTTAGTATTTACTTAGCACCTATTACTTTCTATCAGTCATTTGCAACACACAAATTGCCAAACATAACGACCTACATTTACTTTTCTTGTGTGTAAGAAATTGCCACACGGAATCTTTCAATTGTCATTGCTGTGCCTGTTGTCATCAAGAAAATAATTAGGCCAAACAACAGCTAGTGTTACCCTCAAGCAGATTATTAGAAGAAGTGAACAACACTCAGTAGTCTGGACGTGCTGGATTTCAAATCAGCATTAGAAGGATATCCTCAGCTCTCCTCATCCATACTAAATTGATGTCTTTTCAGACTAATTGAAATTAATTCCGAGAGTATGTGCCTTTTCTCCTACCAAAAAGTTAGTCATTCCAAGCTGTGTCACCTGGCTCCATAATTAAAGTAACCTCTGCCATACCAATCAGTAGAGACACCAAGAATAAGAATAGTGATTTGGCAGTTGCAGGGCTCAAAATCACCTCCTTCAATGCCAGTTGCCAACAAGATATTTTTTTCCACTTATATCTTCTGAGTATATTTTAGAACCCAAAAGTAAATATCTCCTCTTGTTCTTAGGTCTCCTAATAGTTACAGGGCTGCACAGGCCCCATGGGAGTGTCAAACCTTGTGACTGATGGTTGTATCTTGCTAACTAAGCAGGGTGGAAATATGTGTACAAGGGGTTGGTTTCAGCAACCATGTTTCAGGGTTGTTGCATGCTGTGGCCACATAATTTCTAGAGCAATGGAAGACTCTTTATCAAGAAATATGCTTTATCTTATCAGTACACAAATACTTCCCTCTCTCAGATATCAAAATCCTACCTCATCAACTTATACTGTCTCCTTATATATCCTTCATGAGGTATTTTTCATCTCTTCAGGCTATAATGAGCTTTCTCTCCTCTGATTCTACTATTATTTAATGTCATTATCATTTACTTGATACTCATACTTTTACACTTTAAATTGTAGCATATTATAGTCTAGCTAGGTTATGGTGTAGGTATATCTACATAACTAGACTGTAGGTTCTTCAAGAGAAACAGCTGTGATGATATTACTTTGTATCATCCGGAGTGCCATGCACTGTGCTGTGCTCATAGTATATAATAAAGTAAGTTGCTTAGTGAATCAGCCAATGAACCAGTAAGTAGGAAGACTGGAGGAACTGCTGAAGCACTTTTCTCAGCTTTTTATTGAAGATAAAACTATTTAAATTTGGGTCAAATTGTAATCAAAGACAGGATTTTAGAATGATTTCTGACAAATAAGAAGTTGGGAATCATTGAAATCCCTTACCAGGAAATATTATGGTTTACATGGAATCTTAGAGATGATTTAGTCAACGCTTTCACTTGATAATGGAGAAACTGAGAACCACAGGCATTAGTGACTTGTTCAAGTTTACTGAGCTGTTTGAGGGGAGAGTCATGACCTAGATGTCCTTTCTCTGACAGATGTTCTTTCCATCCCTCTCTAAGAGTTCAATATTTTGGAGACTTAACAGACAATTGATTGAAGTGTTGTCTGTGGGTTGCTCACAACACCCTGTAGATGATGTCTCTCTCTGACACTACTTTGTAACACCAGCAGACTTAAAGTTGAATTTTTAATCCATTAATATTGTAAAGTTCCTTCTCTGACCACTTTTGGGAAATAGAAATTTTATTTAAGTTTAGACCTTGTCACTAGTCACAAGCCAGATAAATTTAGTTATTCTCATGGTGTTCCATGTCTGCTAGTAGCTCCAGAAATGTCATACAGTGTTCAATGTATTTTAAAAGGAGACATTGACAAATTGAAGTACATCCAAAAGAGGGTGACCAGAATAGTGAAGTATCTACAAACATGTCACGTGAGGAATGTGGCTGCCATTTTGTATTCAAGAAAGTGGTGATGTTGAGTCTGAAAGATGTTCTATATCCTGCAGGGCAGTGATAACTTCCTTCAATTACTTGAAGAGCTGCCTCATGAAACTGGGATTCTGTGTATTTTGTATAGTTCTAGAGGGCAAAACTTGGACGGATGTATGACAGGTACAAGCCTTCCACTCTATATAAACAGATTTATCCAACAGTTGGAGCTGCTGTTTCAAGCTCCATTCTTGGTGCTAAGAGAACCACATTATGGGCCCTCCTTGTCAACAAAAGCTGGTATACTCCACATTGAATGGGAGATAGACTGGACAAACTGAGTCGCTTATTACTTGAAGATTGTGTAATTATGTGAGTCATTAGGCTATTCCCAATGGATGATAGTCAAACCTCATCAGCAATTCTTACTCACCTCATTCAGGTGAAGGGTACTTTAAAAAAGACCATGCTACTGGAAGCTGTTGCTGACACTAGAACCCCTAATTAAATGCCCAGGCTGTAGATAAAGCTTAGCCTGGTATATTGAGGTGGTATTTCTTTCTCTCTACTTAAGTTACCATAATCTGAAGCTTTTCCTGCAACAGTGAGGAAAATATAGTTCTTTAGGAAGCTGTCTTCATTGATCTACATGAAGGAAATAGAATGTGTTTAAAACAATCCTTTTCCTCCCAATCTTTTTAGGTTAACAGTGGATGTTCTTGGTGGCTTATATGAAACAAGTATAATTTAATGAACTACAGCATTGAAAATGTTAGGAAATGAATCAAACTGTAAAATGTGCCATAAGTTTTAGAATAAAGTAAATCATGTTTCAGTATATTTGAAATAATGCCACAGTGAGACAACATATATAATACAAATATTATTTCACTTCTCACTTTGATTACAATAGAAAGTACATACTTAACAGTTATTTTAAGGCCTGAATGTGACTCAAGCTACCATCCTAGTTACAGTTCTTTTTTTATCTTTTTTTTTTTCCTGTCACTAAAGCAGCAGTGAAACCTCATATTTAGGTTTAAAACAGATTTCAATGAGCACAAAAGTTCCATGATGGAACTCATTTTATTAGACCCTGCACTCAATACAAAACATCATTTGCAGAGGGTCACACCGCATCTCTAGCTGTCACACCAATATCTTGCTGAGTGCCACCTGCAATGTCTTAGGTTCTTTATTTATACTGGAACTCATTTAGTTTGATCCAAGAGCTATTTCCAAAATGCCTGCAGTACACAAAATAAACACTTTATCAGCAGATAGTCCATTGCTTTGGAGATAGGAATATCAGCAAGATTTTCAACAGTAGTGAAGAGCTAGACAAATGATGATAATAGAGTTAAGGAGAAACAATCTGAATGCTAACAAAAGTTGTTTTATATTAAATGAATCTACCTATCCTGAACTTGTATAGCTGAAATGGGATTCCAATACCTTGCACGTTTTAGGTTTTGAAATGCAAATCCTGTATTTGAGACTATTTAATTCTTCTTTACAATGTGCCTGCAATTTAGGTAACTACCACCAGGTAATAAAGTTATCTTGGAACAGAGCAACATGGGCTAGGTAGAAAAATCTTTCTTAAAATGTGTCTATGCGTATGTCCTGAATGGTAATGCCTAGGTTTTCTTCTAGGGTTTTTATGATTTTAGGTCTAACGTTTAAGTCTTTAATCCATCTTGAATTAATTTTTGTATAAGGTGTAAGGAAGGGATCCAGTTTCAGCTTTCTACATATGGCTAGCCAGTTTTCCCAGCACCATTTATTAAATAGGGAACCCTTTCCCCATTGCTTGTTTTTGTCAGGTTTGCCAAAGATCAGATAGTTGTAGATATGCTTCATGTCTAAAACACCAAAAGCAATGGCAACAAAAGCCAAAATTGATAAATGGGATCTAATTAAACTAAAGAGCTTCTGCACAGCAAAAGAAACTACCATCAGAGTGAACAGGCAACCTGCAAAATGGGAGAAAATTTTCACAACCTACTCATCTGACAAAGGGCTAATATCCAGAATCTACAATGAACTCAAACAAATTTACAAGAAAAAAACAAACAACCCCATCAAAAAGTGGGCAAAGGACATGAACAGACACTTCTCAGAAGAAGACATTTATGCAGCCAGAAAACACATGAAAAAATGCTCATCATCACTGGCCATCAGAGAAATGCAAATCAAAACCACAGTGAGATACCATCTCACAGCAGTTAGAATGGCGATCATTAAAAAGTCAGGAAACAACAGGTGCTGGAGAGGATGTGGAGAAATAGGAACACTTTTACACTGTTGGTGGGACTGTAAACTAGTTCAACCATTGTGGAAGTCAGTGTGGCGATTCCTCAGGGATCTAGAACTAGAAATACCATTTGACCCAGCCATCCCATTACTGGATATATACCCAAAGGACTATAAATCATGCTGCTATAAAGACACATGCACACATATGTTTATTGCGGCACTATTCACAATAGCAAAGACTTGGAACCAACCCAAATGTCTAACAATGATAGACTGGATTAAGAAAATGTGACACATATACACCATGGAATACTATGCAGCCATAAAAAATGATGAGTTCATGTCTTCTGTAGGGACATGGATGAAATTGGAAATCATCATTCTCAGTAAACTATCACAAGAACAAAGAACCAAACACCGCATATTCTCACTCATAGGTGGGAACTGAACAATGAGAACACATGGACACAAGAAGGGGAACATCACACTCTGGGGACTGTTGTGGGGTGGGGGGAGGAGGGAGGGATAGCATTGGGAGATATACCTAATGCTAGATGATGAGTTAGTGGGTGCAGCGCACCAGCAATGCACATGTATACATATGTAACTAACCTGCACATTGTGCACATGTACCCTAAAACTTAAAGTATAATAATAAAAAATAAATAAATAAATAAATAAATAAAACTTACACAGAGGAGGGCGACAGCATTTCCAGTTGAAAGTAATAGAGGGAGTTAGCATTTGATCTAGATATTGGAAGGTGACAAATACTTGAAAATAAAGAGACTCAAAGGAATGTTCCTCTGAATATAAATATGCACAAATCTGTCTTCAGAGAAAGGAAAATAAAGTATTTAAAGAAGTGGCTAATCATGCAAATTAGAGGACAAATAAATTTTGGTGCGTATAGGCTGTGGAGGTAGAAGGCCTGGTTACTACTATTTATTAGGTTAACTAAAGGCTTAGAGTAGCCATAACATCTCCATGTTTCAATTGTCTCATTACAAAATATGGATATTAATAATTATTTTGCATATTTTTTCTGAGCATGAATTTAGTCACAGTTATGAAGATCTTAACTATTTGCAATACACTTTTGCATTATGAATTTGCACATAGGAAATGAGCCCAAAAAGGTAAATCAAAGACATTTGAAGACTTTGAGCCCAGGCTTTGGAGTTAGAAATGGGGCTCCATGCCCATTCTCCAACCTTGTATTACACAGGGGAGCTTGAGAAATCTTTTGATAATGAGTTGACAACATTATAGTTTTGGATTGGAGAATTTAATCTGGTGAAATTGGGAACAAAATTGATGTATGAAAAGGAGGCAGGACTGTTGTTGAGGCAGATGACTTAGTTGAGAAATTGTTGCAGTAAGGGGCAAGAGGTGGTTGGAGCCATAGAAATAGAGAAGTCGCAATGCCTTTTGTTTCTTCAGGAAAGTCAATTAACCCTCTATAAAGTTATATGTTATAGAAGGGAATCAGGGCCTAAAAGGACAGATAGGATACTAACAAAAAAAATTGAAAGTAAAATAAAGTAAGAAAATTGGATAGAAAGCCTGAAAGCATTTTAGGAGTAGACTGCACAAGAAAGAGACTGAAATCTGAGAAGCCAGTTGCAAGGTGAGGTGGTAAGTTATTCCAGTAAGACATTAACTGAAGGATATTAAAGTTACTGAATTCTTCCTCCTGGCAATAGTTTCCCCCTTTAATTTTTAACCTTGTTTTCCCTTCCAACAAACAAACACTTCAATCTACAATTTATTTTTCTCTTTATTCCTATCAGAAATTTACCTAAACAATTGTCATTTTACTTCCATGTTTGTGTCTTCTGCCATGGATTCCTTGAGCCTGTTCCCATCTGCTCTTGAAAAAGAATAAATTTCTCTGAATAACTGGCTTTCAAACATAATCAGAATTAAGATGCTTTATATTATGAAGGCACTTAAGTGTTTCCTTTCAAAGAAATTATTGAAGATAGCATTTGAACATATGTGCAAAGAAAATCATAAGGTGGGTCTCAAATAATGAAGAAAATGAACTGACCAGCTCTTATTAAACCTCTCTTAGAAAAGAGCCATACTAACCCATTGGGCAAATACCTTGTCTTTCCTGTGTTGTTAAAAGTTCTTGTTTTGATAATTGAATCTAAGTGAAACCATTATTGACCTACAATGATTATAATAGCAACTCCTTGTAAACGTAAATGAACCTCACAGAAATCATAGCATTACATAATCTATCAAAACAAATAATAGCAATTTATTATGGTGGTTGAAATTTTGCTTAGGAAGTAACCCTATTTAAGTTTCTCTCAAAATGTACATATATATATATATATATATATATATATATATATATATATATATACCTACGTATATATACACATACACACATACACACACACACACACACACACACACACACACACACACAGATGACATGGTTCCAGTAGTTAAGACATTCTTCAGTATGGTACTTATATGGGAGAAATAGTCATTATAGATAGGACCAATGACTGTTCTTTAAAGGAACTAGACACATGTTCCTGAAATACATTGTTGTTTGGAAATTTTGCTGAAAAGACAAGTAAGAAATAAGCATATTCTTGTCACCTGGTCTATCATTCTTAAATGAAAAATATGTCAGACATAAGCATTTATGTATTACATGGGTCTGCCATTATTAAACATCTACTTATTTTATTTCATTCTTTCAAAATTGATTAAAACCTATGCCTTCAGAAAGATCTTTGGCAGTAATATTTAGCAACAAAATGATCTTTTGCTAAATTTTGGAAATAACGACTGTAATCAGTATTCTGTAAAATTTATAATGACATTTCCTGTGCTTTTGCAAACACTTCTTATTTTGGCATATTGTCCTTTAATAAAGTATATAATACAAAGCTAGTTCCTATGTTCTCTTTTGTAATATAATTGGCTACCTAAAATATCTTCTAGCAGAGATATGATTCTTTAAAAAAAAATTAAATTTCCCTTGATTATAAAAACAAGGCTGAGCATAACTGAATTTAATATCATTTTTGCCACTTTTAAAATATATATGCTTGAACTAATTCTTCCATCCCAAAATTCTGTCTCTATGTATTAATAGTTCATTTTTGTAATGATAGTTAATATATACAAAGCACTAATACAGTGCCTCGCCATTAGTAAGAGCCCAAAATGATAACTACTACTTTTAACTTTAATTTCATCAATTTATCAATTAAATGAAATAACATAAGTACATAAAAGTATATAAACACACATATTTACCACAATGTATTATAGGACTTCATGAATGAAAGCTAAAATGTATACTGTAAAAGGAATCAGAAATATAGAAAAAAGCACAGAAAAGTGCAGAAGTTAGCTCAAATATTGGTCAATTACAAAATTCCAGTATTTTATATATTTCATGTGTTATTAAATTTAAAGGTGTCTGCATTAGGTGACATCAGGGTGCACACTTATCTTCAAGGCAAGGACAATCTTTATTCAGAATTATTGACAAATTACAAAGTAAGTAAGAGAAGAAGTATGTATGGTTTGTTAACTACTTAGTGATGTATTGTTGATCTCACAGGAATGGCATTTGTCTGAAGAGGAAAATGTACGTTTAAAAAACTTATTGTTATAATAGTATTTTTGCACATGGAAAACACACACAAACACACAGAAATATACAATAGGAATCATTCAAGAATCTTTCTGAAACCATCTAAAACTGTGACCTATCTTCTGAATTCTTGTTACTCAAAATGTGGTGGGTAGATCAACACCATCAGAGTAACCTATGTGATGGATACAGATTCTGCAGCCCTACCCTAGACTCACTGAATGAAAAATCTGCAGTTTGATGAATGTGCCTATAAATCTCCATGTAACTCATATTTGTTTTAAGCTTGAGAAGCAATGCTTTAAATCAAACTGAGAAAAAAAAACAGAAACAAAGATTAGAGGGCTGCATATATTTTAGTAGAATGATTCAGATAGGAAAAAAACAAATGCTGCTAGTTAAAATCACATATAAATGTTGTTGTTTGGTATAAATAAAATCAATATATATGTCCTGAAATAATCACTCTGATGCCTCATTGCACAAGCTTACTTCAGCGCTATTTGACAGTTACTGGTTTCTTCAGTGAGGAGGAGCGATAATAGATAATTAAACAGATAAATTAAAACATGGCTGTAGGTTATGATGGAAGGAAAGACTCTCTTTGAGTAAGTGACTTTTAAACTGAGACCTGTGGGATGAAAAGTATCCAGTCTCAGAGCCTTCCAGGGTTGATTCCCAAAGTCCTTAGTTGCTGAAGACCATGGCTTATTAGAAAATGAGTTAGTGGAAAAATGGAAAAGAACTATATACGGTAATGTTTGAGAGATCGGCTGCAGCCAGCTCATTTCAGAAGTTGTAGACCACAATAGATCATTGTATTTTATTCCATGTGCAATAAAAAGCCATTGAATAATTTTAACCAAAGAAGTAAAATGATGATTTACGCTATGAATTATGTGAGCAATTTATTGTAGAAGGTGTCAAGCGTGGGATCAGTGAGAACAGGTAGAAAGCTCTTGCTATATTCTAAGGGATAGATGATGGTAGCTTCAATTGGAGTATTGAAGTGAATTATATGGGTATTAGCTATAATTAGCCTGTAAAATCACATGGAAAAGAAAGGTATCAAGGAGATGCCTACATTTCTGGCTTGAATACAAGGCAAATGTTTCAGTTTCCTAGAAAATGGGGGAAGACTTAAGAAGGTATATGAGGAAAATGGAGAATTTCAATTTGGGTCAAGTTTGAAAGGTAATAGAATACCTTGAAGATTAAGAGAATGGGTTCTGAAAAAGTTCAAATCCTACCCTGTTTTTTTTACTAGCTGTGGATCTTGAATAATTCACTTAAACTGTGCCTCATTTTTCTCATCATTAAAAGTAGGGATATTAATAACACCTGCCTTCCAGGGTTTTTGTAAATATTAAATTAGATCATACCCTAAAATACTAAGAACAGTTCATGATACAGTGTAAACAATACGTAATTATTGCCATTATCATTGGTCACACAAGTGGCAGTGTCATGTAGGAAATCTGATATGTAAACATGAAGTTTAAGGAAAGTGATTGACATTCTAATTATTTTCAGAAAGCATTTTTTTCCTCATTATAGTTCTTTTGAGAGAGTGCAAATGATCCTAGAATAGTTTCTACTGTTTTCTGCCAACTTATCTTTCTCTCTTTCTGTGGTTCACTGAAGGGAGCTGGTGTGGAGTAGGGGAAGAAGGAAATGATTGATCAAGAAAATGGAAATGTCATATTCTAATCCTGAAAAGAACATCTCATTTCCTTTTACAACTTTACAATTCCAAAAGCAGATTCCAGTTTTTAACTGATTGGATTTAAATTTTCCTTAATAAATTAATCATTACTGTTTTTGACTTGTCCATTATATTAAATACATAAACGACAAAGAATAATCTTAGACTTGCATGCTGACCACATTGTCAGATTTTAACCTTTGAAAGCAGGTTTACGGACACAGCAAGTCTTGTCTCCTTCCGGTCTGTTTTCTCTTCATTACGTTATAACAAAATACCATTTTGCCTTCTGGAGTTTAAGTACACAGATCTTCAAATATATGAATGGCTTTAAACATGAGTTTCCTTTATTCATCTATTTAATAAAACAAGAAAATAGGCCGGGCGCGGTGGCTCACGCCTGTAATCCCAGCACTTTGGGAGGCCGCGGCGGGAGGATCACGAGGTCAGGAGATCGAGACCATCCTGGCTAACACGGTGAAACCCCGTCTCTACTAAAAATACAAAAAATTAGCCGGGCGTGGTGGCGGGCGCCTGTAGTCCCAGCTACTCGGGAGGCTGAGGCAGGAGAATGGCGTGAACCCGGGAGGCGGAGCCTGCAGTGAGCAGACATTGTGTCACTGCACTCCAGCCTGGGCGACAGAGCGAGACTCCGTCTCAAAATAAATAAATAAATAAATAATTTAATGATTAATTTTAATAGATTGTTATGTTCCGTGGATTGCAGATAAACATAACAATATTCTTAACTTCAAAATGGAAAACCACACACATGTGAAGTGAATTAATCCCTACTGTGTTTCTTTCAAACCTTTATATAACAAATACTATATATGTTAATTATTACCGTTATGGCCATTAATATAGTAAAATCCTTCTTGAAGCAAGCGAGTGTCATTTTTCTTTTCATTTCCTATTTTTTGGCAGCCTGGAAATAGGGTTATGAGAAGAAGCTCAGAGCAGAGCACCGAAAGTGGCCACTACCAGCATGAAGAGCCCAACAATTCAAACTGGTAAGTGAGTCTCTTTTTCTAGGTTTCAGGATATCTTTCGATTCTGTGTCTTATGCAAAAAGTCTGCATAGTTTATAAATAAAATGAGAAAGCTTCTAAAATGTACCCTGTGAAATGTATTTTCATGACTTGGAAGACTTTAGGGAGGTAGTATTCTATGGGAAACTTGACCACATTTTTTTATAGACAGACATGGATTTAAAGTAGCTGTGTAGGACTGTGGAAGTTGCTGACGTTGTTTGAATCTTCGTTTCCCTATTTTAAAATGGAGATTATTGTTGTTGTCTGGTTAAACTTTTTATAAGGATTAACTAAGACATTGCATATAAAGAATTCAGTAGTTTTCTTAGCATAAAGAGCTTAAAGATATAAGACTAATACTTAATACTTTTCACATACCAAGTAATAACCACTAAATACTTTCGTGTATTATTTCAACCTCACCTCAACCTAAAATTAATAGTCATAATTACCCTTGTTTTATAGATAAAGAAAGTTTGCTATTAACAGATGATGTGACTTGCCTTTAAATCATATGCTGCTCCCTGAGACAGTTATTTTGTGTGCAATTGTATCCACTGCCAAAATTTCTATTTTTGTATTTATACAAAAAGTATAAAAACCTTTAGTATCTAATAGATGCCAGGCTTCTTTTAGCTGAGATGCCATGCTACTTCACAAATAATTATTACTTAGTATATGATGACTGTATATTTATATGAGGCCTTATAGGTATAAATAGCTTATGAATACGTAATTGTGTTTAGTTTTCACATACTCTGTAAAAAATGCAGGGTGGAGTTCATTATTCATATTTTTACAGATAAATTCAGGTTCTGAGAGACTAATTGGCTCTCTGGATGTATTAGAGCTCAGTGCTTCTCAGACTCTCTGTGGGTTAAGAGTCAGTTTATTTTTAATGCATTGTAGATTGAATGTTTTTGTAAAATTACTAAAACTTGCTAGAAAAAATGAAATGATAAAAAGAAGACAGAAAATATACAGATTTATATTTTTATTCTTATTTATTATCATTCTACAAACAAAAAATTACCTCATTTATATAACATTTTTCATACTTTCTCCCAATATCCATAATCCTCATGGTGCAGACCAGTTATTGTTTGCAAATTGACACCAGCCTGACCATACAGACAGGTGACAGCTGACCATACAGCACTGGTAAAACTCATGTGATGCAAGTGAAACACTCAATCTAGATTTTCCATCTCCTAGTCCAGGACTTCTCATAGTACCCTTGGCTGCCTGAACACACAGTAACAAACCTGTTGTATGGTCCAAGGGACAAGAAGATCAACTTCCAAATTGTTAAAATGAAACTGGTGCAAGAAAAATGAAAAATGACAAAAATTATAAAAGAGTAGTATGAAACAACTGACATTAAAAAATTAGGGGAAACATTTGGAAGCCTGTAGAAATGACTTATTCTACATTGATTTATAAGACATCTAGACTTCTAAAAATTCAATATGTGTTATGTTTTTGAAAAACTTTCTCAAGTTTTTTTATGTCTCTTCTTTTTTCTTTTTTTATTCTTTGAGAAGGTAAGTTAAGCTGTATTTAGGAGACTAGACCTTGTCAGTTCAAAGCAGTTTACCGACCTGTGTACAATTCTAAGAGATAAAGGTGGATCCTGGCCTCCTGTGAAATAAAAATGAACTCATTTGCACACTACATTGAAGGGGCTTGAAAATAAATGTTACTTGTTCATTTCAAAACTACCAAAGAAAATTGCAGCACTTTTGGTGCAAAGTAAAATGCACATTGAGTCAGCAATGAAAATTTACTTTGTAAGATGATTTTGTGGCTTTCTCAGTTCTACTGAAATGGATCCAAATATTTACATGTGCTATTTTATTAATAATTATTTTACCATCTGTGTCAAAGTAATATTACACAGATGTTCGGGAATAGCTTTTGGTTGTGAGTAAACATTAAAGGAAGATTGAATTTTTCTCAAAATGATGCTGATGGAATGTTTTTTATCATAGTTTAAGATGTCAGAAATAAGTTTTTTTTTCTTAGCAGTGCTTGATTTAGCTTAAAATGGCTGTAAGGGCCCAGAGAAAGATGACATTTTATGATAATATTCAAAACTGACACTTTCAGTCAACCTATTATTAGTTTCTGGGAAGACTCTACATTGCTAAATTGAAATTCACAAACTAAAGTAAAGAAAACCTATGGCCTTAAGTAATGTAGAGAGACCCTGTGTTTCTTCCCCATGACTCAAAGATCCAAGATTTGTATCACTCAGAAAATCAAGCAGTCATACATGGGCACCTTTCTTCAATCAGTGCCTCTACATCTACAGAAAAAGTGATTACTTTTTCTGCTCCCTCTGAAAAGGGAAGAAAGGAAGGAAGAACTTACAGTAATGCAGTATGTCCCGGGAAAGAGATATAGTCCCAAAAGCACTGTAGGTGTTACAGTAGTGGGAATAGAGACAGTAGTAATGTGTGCATGCTCACAGTGTGTGTGTGTGTATGTGTATGTGTGTGTGTGTGAGAGAGAGAGAGAGAGGCTCTAGATATTTTATCAGATCAAGGTGAGACGACCACAGAATGGAGAAAGACGATGATCCATCTACCAACAATTCTAGAAGAATTGCATTAATTGAATGCTGCTACTCATTGGAATTTGGGCCTGAATTTCTTCATAACAATCTACTCTTCAACTGTGAAGCTTAGAAGCTTTCTGCTGAAAAAAAAAACAAGTTATCAGTAGAACCAAGGGCTAATGGTCAATCTTGTCACTTGTCTGTTAGAAAACCCTACACTTCAATAGATTTTTATCACAATCTCAGATCAGTAAAGAAAAAAATAACAAGACCATTAAAGCAAAACTCGTTGTCAGTAGTAATTACTTGACATGGAAAATTAAAGTCTCAGAGGAAAAGCATATATAAAGCAAGAGTTAATACAGAAAGCAGAAAAAATGTTTTAGAAAATTGTTTTCCATCCTTGTGTATGCATTGAATGACTCAGAAATAAAAAACACAGAGATTGGATATATTAAAGTACAGACAATTGAAAAGAAACAAAAATGTTACAGAAGAATGATATCTGTCTTTGGAGGCAACAAATAACAGAATCAGATTTGTGCAAAGGAAACTGAAGGAGCACTCAGTTTCTTCAGAACTGCAGAGGGCAAAGATAAACTATGAAAATAATGAGAGAAAACATATGACCAGTATGGAAAACAGAAACAAATGTGTAGGTAATTATTTATGAAAAGAAGAGACCAAAATAAATAAAAAAAGAGCACTAATCCAACAGTTGCAAGGGAAAAAAAACTTGTTGAAGAAATAAATGGAAAGGGTTTTTTTAATCTAAATATTTGCTGTGGTCTACGATTTTTTGTATTGCATGGAAATTACTTATTCTTTAAACGTTAGGACAACCTAATAGTAAACTTAGACAAAGATTATCTTCGGTCTGACAGTTTCTTTTTTAATTTCTCATGCTTCTATGGTTATTAGTCTATTCAAGATTTTCTTGATTCCCTTAACATATTTTGATAATCTGTGTTAACCTAGAAAAACTACCAATACTGAGTAATTATTCATGTGTGAACCTACATATTAAAAAAAAAAAAACTTGAAGTCAATGCACTAGTGGAATAAGAAGTAATTTTTTATTTTTTAACTTTAGTCTCTTCTGTTTTCTGGTATATAAAATAACCATGTATCATAGGTTAAGCAATATTTGTATCAGAACATACATGAGAACAGTGCACAAATCATAAATGAATAGCTAAATGAATTATCAGAATGTCTACAAACCTGTGTAATACCACTCAAATTAGGAAATAAGACATAATGAACACCATTGAAAGGGCCCTCTTTTTTCTTTCCAAGTCACAAATTCCAATCCCTCACAAGGCAACACCTTTCTTGAATTCTAATACTATAGATTATTTAGCCTGCTTTTGAGTTTTATAAATGTAATAATAGAGTTTATACTTGTTTTATGTGTGGCCTCTTGGTCTCAATATTATGCTGTGAGATTCCTATGTGTGGCAATAGTTTAATTTTCAATGTATTTCATCATGACCAGATTTTGGACCTTACATACTTATACATGTCTTTTGGGACATGTGTGTGAAAATTTCTCTTGCTGTACAATTGTGTTTATGTGGCTTAAAAGCTTGTTGGTAGACAGATGCTAGTTTCCCAAAAGGTTAAACCAATTTGTATTCCCACTGACATAGTATAAGAGTTCTAGTAGCTCTATATCTTTATAATCACTTGGTAATAATTATCAGAGATTTTTGTTTTAGCTGTTCTGTTGGGTATACTGTGGTATCCCATTGTGGTTTTAATTAACTTTCCTATAACTGGTAAGAATGGTGCTATTGTTCGTGTGTGTCTCCCAGAATTCACATGTGAAAAATGTGGTCCCCTGTGTAGCAGTGTTGGGAGGTGGGATCTTTAAGATGTGATTAAGTCACTGAGAGAGAATAATGCCACTCTTGTTTGATCCTGTTAACTCTTGAGGGAATAAGTATGTTCTTGCTCTCAAGTGACTGGATAATTTACCAAGACAGCAGGCTGTTAAAGTAAGGCCACCCTCGTGTTTGGTCTCTTTTACATTCACTGTCTTGCCCTTCTGTTTTTCTACCATGTTATGACACAGTATGAAAGCCTATGCCAGAAACTGCTAGTATGCACTTGGACCTCCCAGCCTTCAGAACTGTGAGACAACTAAACTTATTTTCTTTACAAATTGCTCAGTCTCAGGTATTCTATTTTAGCAACAGAAAATTAACTAAGACAGATGGCATTGGTATACCAGATCAACAATTCCTTGGCTTTCTCTAAGTTAAAAGGTACATGGAAATTTAGAAGAGGCATTAAGAAGCATAGTAACTTTATTTGCCTCCACTAAATGAATACTCAAGTCTTAAAAAACCTATAATTTCCTATTATATAAAGAAAATTATATATAACATATATAAAGAAAATTATGTATAATATATATGTTATATATTACTTATATTTTATATATTTGTTACATATATGTACTATATTATATATTATATATAATTACAGATATATAAATTGTATAAAACCTTATGTCATTAAATGTATGCAAGCCTAACAATCCCACTTAATTTAAAATTCAACATCTATTTTTTTCAACTTTGACTTTTCCATTAGCTAATTAATACATTATAATCTATCAATTTTTGTCCTGTTTCATTGGGTACCAACCTATCTTATGACAGTAGAATCACAGCTGAATGGCGATGATTAGAATTTGTTGCAGGAGAATGATTGCATACCCCATTCGTGTGTTGGGAAAACTAATTATTTGTTCAGCCATTTGAAACTAGGGATGGCACATGGGCAACAGGCATGAAAATGATCCAGGAGGGCAGCATGATCTTGACAGAGGGCCTAGGGCTCCCACCCATGCAGCAAGTGTGACAGCTCCATCACTTTCCCAGTCATTTCCTCTGGCGAGCTATGTAATGGTTGATTTATTTCCAGTACTATTAGTTTCCAAACAGTGTGAGAGCCTGGATGATATGTTGTTGAGACAATTTGTATGTGCATAATTTAATACTATGTTGTCTTATGGTATTCTTGCTTATGAAGCCATATTATCAGGAATTAGCAAAATTCAAATACGTTTTTCTTTGTTTTATTTTGGTAAAATATATGACAACAAATTTACAACTTTAACAGTTTTCAAGTGTACAATTCTGTAGGATTAAATACACTCTCATTATTGTATAGCTATCACCAACATCAATCTCCAGAGCTTTTTCACATACAGACTTAACTCCAATGCATAGGAAAACTCTACTGCTTTAGAGCTTCACCCTGTTCATCTTTATGTTATTGATTTCACAAATTACGTCTATATATACATATACATAAAGGGTATTCCTTTATGTATACTTAGAATTATTTTATACATTTGTTTTTTAAAATCCTGTAGAAAATAAAAAGTTAAGTTACAAACCAAAATTACAATAATACTCTTATTTCTGTTTGTCCCTGTGTTCATTTTTACTGGAGAACTTCATATTTTCATATGACTTTGAGTTACTGCCTATCATGTTTTCATTTCAACTTGTAAGACTCCTATTAGAATTTCATATGTAGTAAGTCTAGTTGTAATTAACTGCCTCAGTTTTGTTTGTCTGGTGAATGTTTTAATTTCTCCCTTATTTTTGAAGAAACTTTATGCCAAATATAAGATTCTAGATTGACAGGTTTTTTTCTTATTTTAGCACATTAAATATATCATCCTACTGCTTTATGGTCTGCAAAATTTCCACTGAAAAATTCAATGATAGGTTTATCAAGGATCCCTTGTACATGATTAATGTTCTTTCTCTTGCCGCTTTCAATATTCTCTCCCTGTTTTTGGCCTTCAGAAATTTGATTGTAATGTCTCTTCTTGTGAATCTCTTTATTCTACTTGGAATTTGTTGAGCTTCTTGGGCTTATAGATTCATGCATTTCCTCAAATTTGCAAAGTTTTCAGCCATTATTTCTTCAAATAATCTCTGTATCACTTTATCTCTCTTTTATCTTTTTGGATTCTTATAATGTGTACAGCAGTCTGTTGATTGGTTTACTGTAAGTCCCTTAGGTTCTGCTCTGTTCACTTTTCTTTACTCTTTTTTTTTTTCTTTTTACTCTTCAGACTTAATAGTTTTAGGTGACTTTCCTTCAGGTTCACTGATTCTTTTCTTTGCTTGTTCAAGGTTGCTGTTGAACAACTCTAGTGAATTTTCAATTCAGATATTGTATTTTTCCACTCCATAATTTATGTTTGGTTCTTTTTTATGATTTCTATATTTATCGATATTTTAATTATGTTCATATATTGTTTCTCTACTTCCTTGAATTTTCTCCACATTCTTCTTTTGCTCTTAGAGCATATTTAAGACAATTATTTTAAAGTCTTATCTAGTGAGGCTGATGTGTGTGTTTCTTTAGAGACAGTTTCTGAAAGTTAACTTTGTTCCTTTTGATGGACCGTATTACCCTATCTCTTTGAATGCTTTATGATATTTTTGTTGAAATTTGGTCATTTAAAAAAGAGGCCACATCCCTCAGTTTTTGCACACTGGCTCTGTGCAGGGGAAAACTTACTAATCAATGTAATATGAACACATAAAGTCCTCTGAGACCTTTTCTGAGCATATATTCTGTCTGAGCATGTGTGTATGCTTTTCCCTCTTATAAATACTGTAGAACTGTGATTGCTTTCCAGAGCTCCTAAAAACCTGTATTAGTCAGTCTGTTGTTTTTAATGTTCCTGTGGGTAAACAAGGGCTTGGAGCTTTCTAATCTACCAACTTGCAGATGTCACTCACAGACCCTGTTATGTTTCAAGGAGTCTCAACTCAGCTTCTTCTTGGGGCCTTAGATGTTCTACTGTATTATTTCCCAATAATCTCTTACCTTCAGTTTCTGTGGACCTGCAACTTCCCCTCTCTCCTGCAGTTTTTGCATGCATGCCACTGGTTTACATGGTTTCTAGCCTAAGATCCCAACTATACTACTGTTTCCTCTTCTGAGTTCCAAGTAAGGAGAGTGAGAAACTAGTGCCTTGGCAGTGCTCACACTGGTTATAACCTTGCAAATATGATCTACTTCGCTCTTTCTGGTCCAAGTGAGGGAACTGGGTATTGACATCATCTTCCACCTGTGAAGCACAACATAGGATAAAGAATGGGGCAAAGGCAAGTAAAACACTATGAAATTTCTTACCATTTTTAATGTGGCTTTTTCTTGATTGGGCATTTGCTTGGTTTCTGTAGATTTTTGACTATCAGATATACTATTAAATTATATAAATCAGTCTATAAGTTTATCTATTTATTTTAGTGTTTGTTTTCTGTGATGGATAAAAGGGCTTTGAGCTTTCTATTCTGCTACTTTCCTGATTATTTTTTAAAAGTTTTTAACAAAATACATTGTGAATGTAATACAATATTGTATATTTTGTATATTATTTTGATATATGATTTCAGCATTGGAAATAATTTCAATGACTTGAAAATATGTTATAAGCCTTTCAAACAGGGAAAGCAGAATTAGTTAGTTATTCATGTTGACACAGTTGTATTATGTTATTTCCTACTCTAATATATGACTCAAAGGTAAAGATTAATTTTTCATGTGACTTTTATTTGCAATCTATGACCCCAATAAGCACTGTGTTGAATTAGGCTTCTTTAAAAAAATTCCAGTGGATCAACCAATTTTTACTCATTAAAAATAATAAAAAATAATAATATGTAATAAAAATATTTACTTCTTCAATTTTACTGTAGTTTTCTAGTTTTAATCAGTTTGTTGTTCAAACAAGCAACAGTGTTATAAGCTAACTTTTGAAGGAGAAAATGCATGCTATGGTATTTAAGGAATTGTGGTTCATTTTAGATATATGATTTCAGCATTAACAAAGAAGAATTCCAATGACTAAAAAATATGTTATAAGCCTTTCATCATAGGGAAAGCAGAATCTATACGTTTCTCATGTCAATATTGTTTTCACTATGTTGTTTGCTACTCTAGTATATGATTTGAAAGGAGAAAGAGCTGAGGTTAAGAGTCAGCTAGGGGGCCAGGCATGGTGGCTCACACCTGTAATCCCAGCACTTTGGGAGGCCGAGGAGGGCAGACTACGAGAGGTCAGGAGATCGAGACCATCCTGGCTAACACGGTGAAACCCCATCTCTACTAAAAATACAAAAAATTAGCCAGGCGTGGTGGTGGGTACCTGTAATCCCAGCTACTCGGGAGGCTGAGGCAGGAGAATGGCGTGAACCCAGGAGGCGGAGCTTGCAGTGAGTCAAGATGGCGCCACTGCACTCTAGCCAGGGCAACAGAGCGAGACTCCGTCCCCCCCCCCCAAAAAAAAAGAGAGTCAGCTAGGGTTATTTTTATTAGTGGAACAAATCCACCCACTTTGCCTTTGTATCTCATCAGCAGAGTTAGTTTGGATTAAGTGTGTATAAACAATAATTTTAGTCATTTTTAACCAGTTTGTAACACCATTTCTAAAGTTCAACAATATGCATGTGATACAGAGATAGCTGGATAATTTTATTCATGCCTTGTGTTCAATTTAATAAAAGAGAAAAACACTTTGAGTTAAAGTCACACTTTTAGTGAAATGGAATGCTGTCTTTTTTTAATTTATAATTATTGTGGGTACAGAGTAGGTATATATATTTATGGGGTATATGAAATATTTTGATAAAAGCATAAAATGTGTCATAGTCACATCAGAGTAAATGGGGTATCTATCACCTCAAGCATCTATCCTTTGTATTACAAACAGTCCAGTTGTACTCTTTCATTTATTTCAAAATGTACAATTAAATTATTACTGACAATAGTGACACTGATGTGCTATCAAATACTATATCTTATTAACTCTATTATTTGTACCCATTTATCATCACCACCTCCCCCTCTTCCACCTACCCTTCCCAAACTCATCATCTACTCTCTGTCTCATGAACTATTTTAATTTTTATCCTCCACAAATAAATGAGAACATGATCAGTTTGTCCTTCTGTGCCTGGCTTATTTCATTTAGCATAATGACCTCTGGTTCCATCCATGTCACTGCAAATGATGGGATCAGCCATCTTTTTTATGGCTGAATAGTACTTCACTGTGTATATGTACCACATTTTCTTTATCCATTCATCTGTTTGTGGGCATGTAGGTTGTTTCCAAATCTTGACTATTGTGAACAGTGCTGCAATAAACATAGGAGTGCAGGTATCTCTTCAATATACTGCTTTGTTTTTTGGGGGAGTATCTACCTAGCAGTGGAATAGCTGGATTATATGGTAGCTCTGTTTTTAGTTTTTTTTTTGAAACCTCTGAACTGTTCTCCATAGTGGTTGTACTAATTTACATTCTCACCAACAGTGCACAGTGGTTCCCTTTTCTGCATATCCTCATCAGCATTTGTTATTGCCTGTCTTTTGGATAAAAACCATTTTAACTGGGGTGACAGGATATCTCATTGTAGTTTTGATTTGTATTCCTCTGATGATCAGCGATGTTGAGTACCTTTTTCATATGCCTGTTTGCCATTTTGTGTCTTATTTTAAGAAATGTCTACTCAGATCTTTAACCCATTTTTGACTGGATTATTCAATTTTTTCCTATAGTGCTGTTTGAGCTCCTTATATATTCTGGTTATTAATCCCTTTTCAGAAGGGTAGTTTGCAAATATTTTCTCCTATTCTGTGGATCGTCTCTTCAATTTCTTGATTGGTTCCTTTGCTATGCAGAAGCTTTTTAACTTGATATTGATATGAACAGGAAGCAGGGAAATATTGGGTAAAAGAGGGCGGAGTCCCTGGCAAGGGCTCCACCCTCAAGCCTGAATTTGTGGCCCTAAGTGAGAACTTCACTTCCCTGTTTTCCCAACCAAATGTTGCCTTTTGGCCTACCATGCCCCCTATCTTGTGCTCATAAGAACCCCAGATCCCAAACTCAGCGCACACACACAAAAGAAAGAAGCATCTGAACGTTGAGAGGAGAAGAAGCAGCTGGACATCAGAGACAACGGTCAGAGAGGAGTTCAGCCGGGGATGGTTAGGCCGCCTTCCCACTTTATCCCCTTGCCAGCTTTCCATCCTACTGAGAGCCACTTCCACCACTCAATAAAATTTCTATGTTCACCATCCTTCAAGTCCTTGTGACCTCATTCCTCTTGGAATGAGAGGACAAGGACCCAGGTATGGGTGCAAGACGCTGTCACACTGACTCTCCACTGAGCTGTTTTAACACTTAAGCCATCCACAGACAGCAAAACAAAGAGTACACTGTAACACTCACCCTTTCAGGATCCAGAGGTCGCATGCAACCTGTAGACACTGCCACAGGCCTGTATGTGGGGCGGGGGGGCGGCGCCCAAAGTTACTTGCCCCTGCTCCTGCACCTTCTCACCTGTGTGCTCCTACTCCCACAAGGGTTTTGAGCACTGCGGGCTGAGTAAGCAAGCCACCCCTTCATGAGTCCCACAAACTGGTCAGGGGAACTATCCTGTCTCAATATTATTCCATTTGTCTATTTTTGTTTTGATTGCCTGTGCTTGTGGGGTGTTGCTCAAGAAATCTATGTCAAATCCAATGTTGAAATGTTGTCTTGGAAACCTTAAGTAGTGAGCTATTAAGTAATTTTCTATAGCCAAGTTCCCCACTCTAAAATAAAAAGCCGATGATGGCCTTTACCAAGAATTTCTAAGAGTTTCTTTAACAATACAGTAAAATAAATTGAGAGGAAATACGGAAGTTATGACCTATTCATTTAGGCATGTTTATTTTCCCTGAAATTATACCCCAGATGTCATTAATACATTTCTTCCACAAACACATGGCTTTCAAAGCAGGAACATTTTTAGTTTTGCATATAAGGAACTGTATATTTAACATATTCTTCAGAAACAAAAATCATTGAGGATGACAGCCATGTACAGCAAACGAAAACAACCATTAGTAGGTGTTATTAAACAGAAGATTGAATGTTCATTCATCCAAACAACTATAATATAAAACTTAGATTTATTTTGTATTAATTTATGTTTATTCTTCAAGAAAACTGAACATGGAAAAGCCTTCTGATTATAACTACTTTCTTGGCAGATAAACAGGGAGATAACAAAGTAGTTATAGTGTAACACAGGAATAGAATTTATGCCAATCACTCTGTAGCTTAGATCCTATGTTGTATAAAATACATTTGCTAATTTAATTACATGGGAAAATATTGAAATATTGTATTATGAAATAATAATTCATACCATAGACTACAAGAATTGTGAGGTCGTTTCCCTGAACAGAATATTGTCTTCCCAACCTTAAGTGTTAGGGAAATGTTTTGTCTTGATAAATATGCAGAAAACCCTAGCAATATTTTGATTCTCTATAACTTATGGATTTCCTCCTTATACAGGCATAATGTGAAGTACATTAAGATGAAAACAGGCTCATTTCCTCTAACTTTAAATAAAAAATAATTATCTTTATTGTGACAGGGAGGAGTGAATACAAGGTGCTTTAAATGTATTGGCTCTGTTAAAGATATTTTTTCCTGCCAAATGCACTCAATTAAAACAGCTATCATAGGCTTACCCTATTTTCAGTAAATCATCATTTTTTTTCATTTTATTTTTATGATTGAATTATAAAACTCTTCAATGGCTCATCTTGGCTCTCTCCCCTTCCCTGAAGCCATCTTAAGTGAATATTTTTGTATACAACAGCACAAACATGCACACATATTTGTCTGTGTAAGGTCAAGTAAATGTCCATGATTTTTCCTTTATGGCAGTTCAGATGACCTTTTACAAGCCATTTGCCCCTAATACTCAAGTCTTAAACCCTCCTATTTAATTTACATTACTTGATCTTTTTGTCAGTAGAAATGAAAAGTCCTAGTATACCTATAATCCAGACTATCCATGGGCAAAATTGGAAGACAGGTGAACACTTTTCTCATTTTTCTTCATCCCATTTTTCTTTCTTTTTTACTTATTTATATATTTTTTGGCCTTTTGGTGCCAGTGTTCTTTTGTTCTGCCATCCCACTCATTCAAAAAATCGATTATAGTTCAGGCATCAGACAAAAGAGATTTGATAAATTTCTTCACACTAAATTGAAAGTAATGGCTAAGCTCTCCTATACAATGTCATTTTTCCTTTAATACGTGATGTTACATATCTAGGTAAAGAATTATAGATACCAATAACAAAGACTAGGGTAACTTGTGAAACAATAAAATTTGTTGCCCAAACCAAGAAACTTTTGATAGGAAAAAAAAAAGCGCTATTAATCACTCCCTGAGGATAATAGTGTAAAACAGAAGTGTCTTTTGTAAACCAGAAACTAAATGTCATCTTCTAGCCCTAGTATTCTTTGTTCAGGATATTTAACCCTGTATGTAGTTCCCACGATTTGCAGACATACACTGTCTTGCAAAACTTAATGTTAAAAGACATTGCTCTTTAAGGTGTCACCAAGTTGGCTTAGAAATCCTATGATGGGTAATTTTTTTCAATTTTTAGTTCAGAATAGATAGTTCCTTGGAAAAATCCTCAGAACTTAATTACCACTCACAACCAAGTTACTCTATGAATCCACATTACTTCATTGAGCCACTGTTTCCTTGTTTTTAAAATTGTGGGGGGAGGTAATTAAACTAGAAAATGCCCAAAGATATTTTCATCACTAATATCCTATGAGTGTGAGCAAGAATTATGATTAATTTTTATCCCTTCAATAAATAATAGCACAAACTAAAAAATCATTTATATGTAATCTATGTAAATTTTTGGAGCCCTGTAAAATAATGGTTGAAGAGAAAGGTGACAGAAATTTACAACTCCATTTTTTCCCCCTATTTGTGGTCTTCAATTGTGGACCAAGTGTGCTTGATCCCTTTCAAAAGTGAGATGTCATTGCAAATTGCAAACTCAGGTATAATTTTTTTTTTTTTTTTTTTTTTTTAGCTAGAGCATGATGAATGTTATTCTAGTGTGTGACCCTTTCTGCTGATTGTAAAATGAAAATAAGGGCATTGGTTTTTGTTTTATTTGTAAAAAAATTGTTAAAAATCAAATTATCTGCCATAATTCTGTATTATTTAAACTGAAATAATTTCACCTTAGGGATTCTGCAACAGTTACTAACAATTATAATGGCAGCTAAATGACTGTTCTCTCTTCATCTAACCCTAATGGACAGAGTCAGGTTCTCTGGGAAATCCATTCAGTTACTCTGATTCTATGAGATTAGAAGGTAGCATGACTTAGGACTTATGTAAACAAAGATAAAGATAAAGAATAGTGTTGAGATAAGACATAACATTAGAGGAGAATGAATACAGATTTTGAAAGGAGACAGATGATGCTTCAAATCTTGGCTCTGTGGTTGCTCAGTTTGTAACATTAGACTAAGTCACTGATTCTCTTTCAGCCTATGTTCCCTCATCTGTAAAATGGACTGCTGACATCTAATAACTCACAGAGTAGTTAAAAAATTTAAATGAGATAAATATGTAGAGCTGTCACCATTGCTGTAATGTCATAGACTGCACAACAATTACTTTTCTTTGCCTGAGAGTCATTAACAGATATAATCAGGAACTACTACTTGCCTTTGGAGCCTGATGTTTTTGTAACTTTTGTCCATATTAGACTCTCAGAAACTATCCTCTTACTCTCCTCTCCACATCCCTGCAAATAAAAACAACAATGACATTGATTCACAGACTGTGCTAAGTCAGATCAGCTGATGCATCAGCTGTAGGGAAGTGAGCCCTATCTTTCAGGACATCAATTCTCAATATTTGTTACTCATTAGAGCAATTGTTTACATCTTTAAGAATCTAACATTTCTTTTTATTTTCATGTTTTAGTTATTTCCAGTCAAGAAAAAATAATACATGCCCAACCTAAGTCATTAGGACTTTGTTTGATACAAAATGTGTTGCTATTTTTGATGGAGTAAACACAAATTTAAGATACCCTGTATGGCCAGGAAACACCATTTCAGAAAGCCACGAAGTAAATGATAGTGAGGGATGAATGGTAGGGAGAGAGCACTGAGACTGTGAAAATACTGCTTGTATAGCACTTTAGGCTCCTAGTGAGGCAGATCAAGAATTGTCTTATTATCTCGATATTGTATAATATGTTTCAAAAAGCCCATCCGGAACATTATTTTGATTTGTATTCCTTTAGAATCAACTTCAATTTCCAGTACTATCTTCTATCATTTTATGTTGTTATAAAAGTGAATCAAATATTTGTAGCAAACTGTAGATTTTTCTTCATATAAGAAAAGAAAAAGACTATGATGATAAAGAAGAAAGACAAACAAGAATGAATTTATGCCCAAGTGTTTAGGGTTATATTGTATCTTCAATACTCTCTAGTTGTTTCTACACTGCGGAGATTGTAGGGTTTTAAAAAAAAGTTAGGTTGAACTAAAAAGGAAATGATACAACAGTTTCTAGACATTTTTAGTCTATTTGTATGACGAAGTTGAGTTCTTGCTCACTTACCTTTTCTTCACCTCCCACTCCTCCACCCCTCCCCCCACACACAAACCACACACTTGCCCTCCAGGCTGGGAGGAATTCATTGCTGTAGAATACCATCTATCATACCACTTCTTCCCAAATACCTGCACAGTAGAGGAATTAATTCCCAGAGGGAGGAGTAAAATTTCCTGTTACAGATGCATTATATTTTATATAGCATCTTTTCATTGAAAGATCATTTTTCTGATTACACACCAGGAAGATTTTCAATTTCCCCCATTTCTCCATTACTATGTATTACATGAAGTTATTTCTTTTGCTTTCCTTTCCCCTATTGCACTATATTCTTATGTATGTTTCTAATAGCATCTTTCTCTTGTAGCAAGCAGTCTATAATCTGGACTTTAAAAGTCACCTATACTGCAAGGCTGAGTTTTTAGTATTGGGAAATATGTTTAAATTAGACATAAGCTACGTTTTGCTAATAGTTCTCAGATAGTTTTGCAAACAGTTCAATATTTCACTTGTCCAAAGGTCATTTATTTTGCAAGCTTGATTCCCAAGAAAATAACTAAGATCCTAAAAGGACTCTGAGATTTAAGAAGAGATATATCTTATGTGAGTGTTGTGCATAATGTATTTGCTCCTATATTAAGCATAATTCCAACTGGTTTTCCAGACTGCAGGGAGTTAGAAAGAGGCAGTAAGTCTGTTTAAATCAGATATACTGTCAGTGTCAAAAAGGGATAGCTGACAAAATAACAATAGATAAAAATAAAAGAGACACTCAAATTTACAGATTGGAAAAATTACAAAACCATGATTACTATGATACAGAAGTAAATTCATCAGACACACAAGAATAAATATATGCCTCATTTATTCAGTTTATGAAAAAACATGAATGTGTAATATACCTTATTAAAATAATTTTTTGAAATCAACTATTGGTTTTTATTGGACATATGCATTATGTTTATAAGTTATCTAATACAATCTCAGAAGACTGATTTTTGATAGTAACAATATGCAAACATATTGTCTTCACTTTAAATTTCAAAGCACATACAATAATATTACTTAACGGTATAAATACTTTGAAGTTTCAAATATGTCTAGGCAACAGTCTTATAAGAATGCCAGATTATCATTTATTTATTTGATAAATAATATATTTACTTGGTACCATCTATGGACCGAGAATATTGTGTGGTGCTAAGAATACACCTGTGGAAAAGATATTATTTCTGATTCTAAGGAGCGAAAAGTCTACATGGGACCCTAGATCCATATTAATATTCATACTAAATGTTCATTCATCTACCTGGAAATATTAAATCATTTAAATATTAAATGAGGAAAATAGACTTTTTTTTCTGGCACATAGAAAATGTTCAGTGTTTGTTGAAATCGATTCAACTCTCATGTATTTTTCACAACTACCCAATGAGCTGAAGCGTATCACTATCCCTACTGACTCTCAACTTGTTACCAAATCTCTTTAGCCCAGAATCCTTAACTTTAAAATGAGTATGTAATTACCTAACTTTTGGGGTTATTGTGAAGATTCAAGAAAATAGTAGCATGTGCATAGTTTTTTTTTTTTTAAGTTTTCTCCTTCCCATCCTTTTAAATGCTTATTTCCAGAAGATCAGATGAAAGAACCATAACATCATGGTGGAATATATTTTGATTGCCTTTTGAAGTTTACTAATATCATTATTTTCATAATTTAAGCATCATTTATTTTTTGCAAATTAATGTAAAATAATTTTGTAGAGTACTATTGGAATTATTATAATAGAGTATATACATACATTCATTGATGCCAGGATTTTATTTTATGGATAATTATTGAATAAATCATGTTGCATTGGAATTTAGTAATGCAAAATCATAATTCACATTTGGGCTCTATATACCTTTAACAGCTTGTTCTTGTATCTCAAATCCTACAAGGATAGGCACGTACTACTTTATGCTTCATAGCTTTTTGTAGATTTTCTATTCTCCAATTTTTAGAGTATGGATTTTTTGAGCAAAGTTCAAGGTGAGCAATGAGTTTAACATTTGTAGCCAGGGCAGACCTTCAAGAGTGGGCAGTTAGTTGATCTAGGAAGCTTCAGAAGTAGGATATGGGAGAATGAGAATTTGTCTGTCAAAAGTTAGGTGAGCCTGTCAGTGGTCATTAGGCAGGTACCAGGAGAGCTGAGAAGCAAGTAGCAAGGATCCCACCTAATGGCAAGTGAATTTTGGAAGGGGAACTTCAGTTTCTAACAAGATCAGTGAGAGGATGACCAAGTTTTTGCTCCAGATCTTGGCAGTGTATGTTTATATGCAAAAAAGAAAAGAAAAAGAGACGCAAGTATATTAACAGTGACTCAGTTAATGTAACTAAAATGCAGGATATTTTTCATGGTGAATAATGGGGCAGAAGTGAGCAGAGGTGGAAATTGTCATGAGACAAATAACAAGACAAGTGAAAATCACAGAAAATGTAGTTAATGAGCAAGTAGATTTTGAGCTGTGAACAAGTGTCACTATGTTAGTCCTGGGACGTATAAAAATATAGGAGCTTGTGCCTTTAAGAAACATATAATCCAGCTGCAGAAATCATCCTTCATTAGGTAAAAAGAAAATATAATTTTAAAAACATTCAGAGAATGATTTCTGACAAATTGTTTGCATGCTCCTGAGACATATGACATGTGGCTCATGTTGTGATCTAAGGTTAAAAGAGCAATTTGTTGTTGATCTCTTTAAAGTAGTCCCACCAATTCCTAAATCTGCATCAAGTCAATTTCCCAACACTTTTCTCTCTACATACTATTAAGCAGAACAGCATTGAAAGAAATTGATAATTATAGTCTCCTTTGTAATTTGCCTTGTAAAGTATTCTCATTGAGATTCACTTTCCAGTACCCTGCCTGGATTGCTAATTCTTTTCAGTGAGAATGCTTTGGCTGAGTTGTGTTATTAATGAAAATTTATGCCTCCCAGTAACTTTTTATATGAGGGGAAAAGAAAATAGCAATGACAGGAAAGAAAAGGAGACCATTAATGTGAAATTCATATACAATGTTGCTCTCATTCTCTGGTTGGAGGTAGTTTTATATTCTTGGAATTAGTATTTACATTAAAACTTTCCATGCAGCACAGTGACTCATACCTATAATTCCAGCTACTTGGGAGGCTGAGGGAGGAGGATTGCCTAAGCCAGGAGTTGGAGACCAACTTGGGCAATATAATGAGACCCCATCTCTTAGGGTTTTTTTTTAATTTTTGTTTTCTTTTTATTAGCTGGGCATAGTGGCACATACCTGTAGTCCCAGCCACTAGTGAGTCTGAGGCAGGAAGAATTGCTTGAGCCCAGGAGTTTGAGGCTGCAGTGAGCGATGATTGTCCACTGCACTCCAGCCTGGGTGACAAAGTGAGACCCCATCTCTAAAACAGACAAGCAAAAACTTTCTTTGTGACATGGTGACATTATTGAGGATTGAAGGTTATGGAATATAGTTTAGTCACATTAAATTAACTTAAGCCTTCACTGTGTGCTTTGCCAGCATTTCAGTCCTGTTTGAAAGGCTTTCTTTTATTTTACTATGTGATTAGCTATATAGTTGGTCCCTTGCAAGGAAAAGATTCTGTGCTTATGCAAGAAGACTGTCATACACAGAGCTCATGAACATTTTTTTAAACCACTGTGATGGGTCAAGGTTTCTCCTGAATCTCTCTAGCTTTGCATATTTCCATGATGTGCACAACTTGACTGTCTTGCTTCTGGAATTAGCTCTGTAAGAGATCATGTTCACTTATGATTTAAGTGGCTAGTTTATAGCACTTTGGCAGTTTCAGGAATGTACTCTCTCTCCATGGGTTGTAGAAAATGATTCTTGCTTCCAAGTTCTGGAGGCTCTCCAAATGTGAAAGGGGTGAGGAAAAGATAACATGTAAGTAAAAATAGCCAAATATTATTTTGAATAAATCCCACAAGGAATGAACACAAAATGGTTCATAGCATATATGTTTAGCAGGACCAGTGATCTTTCATAACGACACAAGAGTTTTCTCCAAAAAGAATCCTTGTTCCAATTCATTTCTTATATTTTTACAAGAACTTCTTGAACTAGAAGCTTCAAATTAGCAAATATCTTATGTTTGTATGTTCAGTTTGTGTCATGCGTGTCAGAAAAAAAACTCCATCTGGCATTCAAGGTCATAGTCTGGGATAGAGAAAGATGGCACTGGTTCAAATGGGTAGACTACTGGGCAATTTCTCAAAAAACATCTGCAACAGTCTCTTGTCTGTGCTCTGGAAAATGAACAGTCAGAATGGTACAAAGCTCTGAAATCAAGGGAGACTTCTGCAAGCCCAAATTTCTCTTTTGGTACTCTTTCCACATTTTATATTTATTTGTCTTCACTTTCTTGAAAGTATTTATTATTTGTAAGAAATTCACTACCATGCCTCTGAGTTAGAAGACATAGAGAGAATGGAGAAAAGTCTTGGGAGGCTGTAAATGAGTCAATCCAGTATAGAAGCAACTCAGGTTGGAGGAAGAAGTGTGTGCATAGGCTGACAAGCCAGGCCAGACCCTGTAGTTGCCTTGTGTTGAATCTTGGTCTTAGTACTAACCAGCATTGACTTCAACAAGTCTTTTTCACTTTGCTTATGTGTAAAATGGCAATAACAATAGCACTTACCTCAATAAAGTTTATGTGGTGATTGAATAGCATATGGCTTATAAAACACAACACAGCATAAGATAAACACTCAAAAATTACTAACCATAACAGGTTAAAAAATGTTAGTTATTATTTGAGAAACAAAGTTTGAAGATAAAAATGAGATATAAGAGAACACATGGGAATATGGAAGTTAGTGGTACTACTAATATGCTAAGCAGAGTCTTAAAAAAGTATGTGTCCACCTGGCAAATGAGAAAATAGTGCCTTCCTGATACAGAGGGCATCATGGTCAGAGAGTATAGCCCCTGGTTAAAAGAAAAATGCCATGGTGTAGGTGAAGAACTGCCAAATGGTTCGTACTTTCAGAGTATACTCTACAAGGCAGGGGGATGTGGGAGACAGGATTTCAGAATTAGATGAAGGCTGTCTAATGAAGGCCATAATAGTTTATGTAAGTAGTTTGTACCTGTCCTTATGAATAGTAGAATGCCATTGCTGGGTTGTAAGCAAGAGAGTAGCATGGCCTATTCTCCCAGACTGTCACGAGAGCATAGATTTACAAATTAAATACATTGCTCTTCATGTGGTCCCTTCTCAAAACCCATACCTATCTTTTACTCTTTGGCTCTTGACTTTAGTTGCATCCTACACTCATGCATTGGTTTTGATTGTACGTTCTATGTTTATTATATGAGTATAGCTTGCCTGTAACTACATTAGAGAAAGGGTAGATTTGTCCTCATTTTCACCATGCCAGTATTTAGATAGGGAATCATCGTAATGCTCAGATTACTTTGCAAATCAAATATTTCTTATGAAATATATTGGATTAATATTAAAAATATATTCACTTATACAAATAGTGTTTATCAGGTAGGGCAAAGATATATCTATTTTAATAATCTAGTATATTAGAGTAGCCATGCAATGCTTGTGTTCTGGAAAAATTATGAACTCACAATCACCTAAAATGTTAATGTCTTTTGTCCCTTAACCGATGTCTCCCATTGTGTCTCTCCTACAACTCATATTCTATGTGGTAAGCATGATGATTTTTCCTACAAGACAAACAGAAGGGAAATTTTATTTAAAACTTCAGGAAATGGAAAGCAATAGAGAAAGTGAGTGAAGGGATCTAAAAGAATACTAGAAATATTGATAAGAATAACAAAATGATTTGGAAAATCCTTAGTACCTGCTCTTAATACTAATGGTTGCATTCTGAAATTCAGCTAAAGAAGCTAAGAGGTGTCAAAAATGTATCACATTATGTTCTAGCAGATGGTTAAGTAGTATTTTTTTGTTAACTCATTTATCTAAAGCTCTTTCATCTATATTAAAATTGTCCTAAGGAAAAAAGAAGTTTCAGAAATGTTTGTCATCCTTTATTTTGAGGGAAAAATCCATTTTCTATGATATCTGTCAAGTGCAAAAACCTATTTAAAGGAATTAGCTGTAATAATTCACTGCTTTGAATTGATTCCTTTTGCAGTATTGCTTCCCACACTTTCATCTTATTTCATTTAAGTGTCTTTATCTTGCAGTTTCAATGATCAAAACTTATACAGTACAGAATATATATGTACATTGTGTATATATATATAATATGTATATGTATGTATCCTAAATACCAACAACCTGTTTAAATGCAACATTTGAGACTTACTTTTCTTGTATAGACTTCCTCATGTCTACCATGCCCTCTAATGTCTATCTGTTGCCTATATACTCATCTTTTAAATACATTATTCTGCAGGTGTTATATCAACCCTTTTGGAAATTTTGTTTGAGTTCACTGTTTGAAGGTGGCCTGTGTTTGTGTGTATGTGTGTGCTTTTTTCCACAGGAGAGGTAACAGAGACACAGCTTAAAAATAAGTGCAAAAGTTGAAAAACAATTTTAGCAAAGTGTCATAAAAGGAAGACAAATATAAGCAATGGAAAAGTGACTTGTGTTGGTATATATTGATATTTATTGTTTATAATCTGAGAATCTGAGAGTTAATAAAGTGAAGTAGTATGACTAATGTCTTAACAGGATTTGTGCATTCCAGCCTCTTACTTACCTTCTAGGTTATCTCTTTGAGAGGTTGTTCTCTATTTACAGTGACACTCTCATTACTCAAGACTGATTTTAGCGTGTCTCATTAAAAGCCTACTTCCAACTCCTTGGTCCATTTTAATCTTTCGGACTTCTCATTTCACCATTCCAGCCATGAATGCAGACAGACTGCAAGGCAGCTGCAGCAAAAATTAAAGGCATGGGTCAGTATTCATATGCAATATCTATGTGGTTCAGAAGAGCCATCCAAATGATTTTTTTTAAACCACTAATCAGAAAAACAACTCTAAAGACACTGACACTGAGTAAAGAATTAGGAAGCTTTTTGAGTCATGTGCTGTGGGCCCTGAAGGTGGTTGCCAAGGAGGAGTTCCAAAAAGATCTTGAGCAAAAGGAGCATCAATGAAATAAAGGGCTCAACATACATTTATATTCTAGTATTAGCAAGAAATCTGGTATGATTTTCTATAAATCTGAATTAGACCATTTTACTCCTCTTTTGAAAAACTTGTAGAGATTCCCAATAATCTAGGTAGTGATTTTAAAGCTTTTTAACTTAAATATCCCTAAGGACAAAGAAGAGACAATCATGAAATTTCTTTGTCTTTGAGTCTTACCTTAAAAATGTATCTGAATATTTTATTTATTTCACAATTTGAAAGACTGTATTAAAATTTTACTGTCAAGCAAAACAAATAGACCAGAAAGTTGCATCAGGTTTCTTTATATTTTAATAGAACACTGATATTACCTCCAACATTCATCCACTTCACACATCCAAAAAAATTAACCGAGCATTTGTTATACAGTACAGAGTGTCAAATGATGGAACTGTGTGCACCTCACTATATTTTATCTCTTTGTATGAGCATCTTTCATAATAAATTGAATTTCTTGAGAGTAGGGACTCTTTTTTATTCACTCTCATATCCCAGTGACTAGCATAGTGGTTGGAACACAGAAAATGCTGGGAAAATATTGAATAAATAAAAATGTTAACAACCATTTCGAAATTTTATGGTACATTATATATTGCCATTTCAGTTCTTATTCCAGTATCATTCTACTCAAATCTATTATCTTTATTTATATCAGAGTCATTGATCTTAATGCTAAGTCTAAACTTTTCCCAATTTTATATATTTGGCAAATATGCATGACTTTTTAAGTTTTGCACAATAAAGTCTAACATTTAAACTCCTCCTTAAGCAAGATATACAAGAACTATGACTATCTCGTGCCTATTCTTTCAGTGTTAACTCTTACTGCTCTCCTTCAACTCAGTACATTTCACTTTTTCCACACCTCTGGGCTCTTACCCATGTTTGTACATATATGCTTACATTTTGTCTAGACTGTACTTCTTTCTTTTGGATCTAGCAAATTTCTACTAATTCTTCCAGACCCAGCCCAGGCATTTCTATATTTAAAACCTTCCTTGACCAACAGATGTAATCACTTCTTGTATGCAATCACTTTCCCTAATTTATACTTTTATTGCTATTATCCACAAACCATGATCCAAGGACACTAGCCCTGTAGAATGCTAACAGTGTATTGCATGAGGTAGGGGATAAAGAATATTCTAGGGTCAACAAAATTGGAAAATTATGTATTTAATAAAATTAAGCAAGTGTTTTTATTCTAGGAATAGTCAGAGCCTTTTCAGTTTTCATGTTTATTGTGAGTCTTTAAGAGTAGACTTCATAATATGCAGAGTTTCCCATATATATTCCTCTATGAAATACATGTTTCACACATGGTTTAACATCCCATGGGACACAAGCCTTCTACTAAATGTAGTTCGTGAAAGCTGTTCTATTATTTTACTTACTATGATTATTTTCTTAAGATATGTGAGTCCTTGAGATCAGGGACTGTGCACTCAGTAAAATTTGCTACTCTTTTGCTTAGTAAATGAGAGTAATTGTCTGAATATTGACTTAGTTTACATATGAAAATATTCTAAATCATATCTCAATGAAAAGACTAAAAAAGTGTCACTTTTCATCCATCTTAATTGCTGTGATTTTGTTTGAACTAGTGCATATGAATGTTGGATAAATAAGTAAAACATGTAAATAAAATGAGAATTTATTTTTTAGTGTACTCTACCTATTTCAATGTTAGAGTTTTTCATATGCTCAATATTCTATTGCAGTATATTTTAATGGTCAAGAAGCTTTAAAAATAATATACACTAAAATTTTACATTTTTACAGTACTTAATATTGATAATTACTTCATGTTGATCATTATTATGCACATATTCAGTTGGAATTTTATAAAAGACAGTACAATTATTTCAACTATATTTAAGCCTATATTTAAAATATTTAGTAGGCTACTGGGTGTAGCTAAATCCCTTTATAATATCAGATATAACACCAAAATATTCATACAGACTGATGGCAAAATGTAGCCAAGGTGCAAACATAGATACTTAGATTTACCATCCGAAATTTAGTTAGCTTTCATTCTAAAGAGATTGTCAATATTGCTCCCATAATATATTTTAATGAATAATTGGTTTAAAAATACACTAAGAACATTTTCTACTCCATACTAACCCAATTTGTGGCAAGATAAAGAGTTTATAAAAACCACCTGAATTTGTGTATTTGATGATTGTTCATTGGTTTGGCTGAATTTCTTCAGTTGTTTTATTGAATCTATGAGTTGATTCAATTAAAAAAGTAAAGCTTTATCGAACCTGTTTGCATACACATTCAATGCCATTGTTTAAACATTATTTTCCTGGTGTTAGACTATAGCCTGAGAAGTGAGATAAGCATTCTACTGCCATTTCTCTTCTCTCTTTTCCTTCTATGAAATGATTATTTTCTTCAGATAATTGTTTTAAAGTCTGGAGAGATAATGTTATTGAGAGTAATGTTCATAAAGAACATTGTAAGTGAATTATTGAAACATTATACCCAAGTAGAGTTCTTATAAACACAGGGAAATATTGAAGAATTAGAACTAATAATTGATCCTATTGGTTAGTTATATGGAACTGTATTTTTGTTAAACAATTTGACACACTTGCATTCAAAAATTTTATCTTTTTTCACTTTGAAGATACAATTGTAGTCTTTTAAACTACTCTACCAATTTAAACAATGAAAAAAATTAAGACTATTTCTATTCAAAATGAAGGAAAGGACTCAGGCTCATTTATACTGTTCACCACAATTAAGTGATAAAATCAATGAGGAGAGTGGGCCATTTAAATACAACTATTAATCATTCATTTTTATGTGGTTTAACTTTTATTTTTATAATGACAATAGAGTATAAAATGGAAATATGAGGAATCTCTTCCAGCCAAGTTAATATATACATTTAAAAAGTCATGAAAATGTAAAGATTATGTTTTTAATAGTCATACTTCAACCCATAGTCAGGAACACTCTACTGTATTGACATACGGCATGGATTGATGGTAGCAGAAACAATGTTCTTGGGTTAGGTTGATTTGATAAGTAAACTAATTAGGTAGAGAAATGTTTAATTCCAATGTGACTGATCATACTTCAGTGTTTAAGTACCATTTTTATTTGGTCATTTTCTGAGCCTCAAAGTTAAAAGGAGCAAAAGGATCCTAATCTAATCAAATCTTCATAATTAATGCTACTACTCTAGATGTTTAGCAACAAGGATCATGGCCTTGGCCTCCTCCAAAACTGCTTTAATTGTTCTCTGCAGCTCAAAAGCCCACTCTTTTTCACTATCTTTAAAACTGTGATGATTTGTTAAATAGAACACTTCTTAAAAAGCACTTATACTCAGACTTTAATGAACAGAGGATTCATCTAGGAAGTTTGTGAGTAGGCAGATTGACGGGACCCAATACCCTATCTGTTTGATGGGTCTTAGATTGGACTTAGGGGTCTGATTTTAAGGAATGTCCTTAAATCTGTTACAGGGGGTCCACAGATTACATTTCAGAAGCACTGCAAGAGAGAATAGTTGACAGCCCAAAGAACAATGTTCAAAGTGTATACAAGTTCAGATGTGTTTCAGTCATCTTGCATACCGGGAAATTCAATCCACAAGACTGAATATTGCAAGAAGACATCTCAAGAAGGGAGTCTAAGTTATGGTGTGATGCATGAGTAATGCGGAATGGTGTGCCTACGAATCCAAGAACATTCTAGCACTCCCTCCTTCCTGCAATGCAAGGACCAGGGGATAAGGAAATGAGATTTGGCTATAGTCAACTCTAAGAAAGGCAGAAATTGCTGGATAATTTAGCCTGATTTGGTGACTTAATTTCAAGTCTCAGTGGATGGTGTCACCAAGTTTACTTCTGTACAGTCAGTCTCAGAATTGATTCATAAAGTAGATAATATTGAACCAATAGGTGGGGACTAGTAATTGAAGCAAAGAAAATCAGGTAAGAAATGGCAGTCGAAACATTCCAAGTCTGCCTTTTATAAACATTCTAGCTGATCTCCATTTTCCAGACTCGTCGTATGGTAATAAAGAATTGATTCTTCAAAGGGAGAAAAAAAATGGGATTTTGGTTTGTTTGTTTTACTCTTTAGTAGACGAGTAACTTGTTGGGTATTGAGGTAGTATTATATAAAATAGCATTTTACTTTGTTTTTCCTACTTTAAGTAGCAGTACTCAGTATTCAAAAGAGCATTGGCAACAGGCCAACTATTAAATATTAAACTCCTTTTCTGGCTTTATGGATATTTATTTTAAACATTGCTCATAATCACTTTTTTTAAAAAAAAGAAATGCACTTCTGTGCTTTGCTTGAAAACAAACTGTTTGTGGATACTATGGCAGAATATGCAAGAAGTAAGAAATTAGTCTACCTTGTCTGCCATAGGACTTTGAGATGCTTTGTTAATCCAGCCAGTGCTTCCCTGTAAGTAAACTTTGGAATACAGTGGAGACAGCTAGTGCAAAATCCAACAACAGCATCACATAGACAGGCTGTGGCGTGATGCCTTGATTCATAGCCTAGAAAGACACAAGAAAACCATTTGTTATAGAAAAGGCCAATATTAAAACAACCAAATAAAATCTACCTTCCCAACACACACACACACACACACACACACACACACACACACACACGAATGTGAATACATAGGCAGAATGGATTGTCGTTGCCAACAGAATCAAGCCTAGCTCCTTGATGTGATACTTATGGCCCTTCACTATGTGGTACCAATCTGGTGGTAATGCTTTTCTTTGTTCCCTTGATATATCCCTGACTTGTCCTACATTTTAGTCAAACTGGATAACTTAACATTCCCAAACTTACCCTAGGTATTGTGGCTGCACTCTCTCATCACACTCTTTCCTCTATTTGCTGTACTGTTTTCTCCAGATGCAGAATCCTACCAGTCACTCAAGGCTAGCTTAAATGCTCCTTCCACCTAGAAGCTGTCTGTTCTTTATGATCAGAAGGAAATAAATCACTTTCTTTTCAATTTCCATAGCACTTTTAGATTTACCTTCTTTTCTAGGCCTTTCCATTTTCTCACTTCTATTGTATTTATCTGCATCTGGATCATCTTCTTTTTGAAAACTGTATGTTCTTGGGTATCAAGAACTTGTTGTCCCTCCCCTGCAATTGCCTTTAGCAAATAGCTTTATATAGGTAGTAAGTATGCAATATGTATTTTTTAACAAACGTCTTCTTTTGCATGCGTTTTGTCTTATCAGTAAGAGTTCAAAATATGAGCCTTGAAATTTAAACATCAGAATGCTTTCTGACTCTATGGCCTATTAATAAAATCTAAAATTGTCTTATAGCAGTTTTTAAATGTGTTTTGGGATATGCTGTTGTTTAACTTTTAGTACCAGTCATGTCCTTGACTATTAAATTCTGCAAGGTTTTTTGTACTACCTGCTGTCAACCCAGAAAGTATTCTCCATTTTGTAGGTGCACAACTTTCAAACTCATACAGCATTTTAATGCTGGTTTTATTTGTCCTTTATTCTATCTTTTCAAGATATTTTTAGATCTTAATCAGTTTTGCCAGTAGAAAGACTAGCTGTCTCTCTCCCTGCACGTACCCCCTTCATTTGCAGCTCTAGGTAGTATGATCCACAGAGAAGCTTAGCAATTCATTGATAAAACTGAGTGGTACAAGGACAGGAATAGAGACCTCTCTTCTATCTCTGGCATCAATTAAAATCAGCAAATTATAAATCATCCACTATGACCATAATCCTCCATCTTATCCACAAAGATGTCAAAGGATATTTCACTGCCTTACTGTAATCAATATGTGTTCTTATTTAAAAATTTTTCCCAATATATCCAGTGCATCACAATAAAAAGAGATGAGTTCCTATATCAAGCAAGTAATGTAAAGTTTTGTGTTATAAACTTGTTTGCATTGTTTGACAACATATATAGTTCTCCAATGTTAGCTGTGCATTTAGACTTTAATGAATACTGAGAGAAGATTCTATTAATCATTTCAAAATAGTGAAAGCTAACAGTTTCAATCTTTTGAAACATCTATTAGTTTAATTTTTTTAGAGATGAGATCTCACTATGTTCCCCAGGCTGACTTCAAACTCATTAGAGGAAAAATCAGTTGGTTGCTGTCTTAGTCCACCTGGGCTGCTATAATGAAATACAATAAACTGTGTGGCTTATAAGCAGCAAAGATGTTTCTTACAGTTCTAGAAACTGGGAAGTCCAAGATCAAGGCACTAGTAAATTCCATGTCTGGTGATGGCTCACTCTTCTGGTTCGCACATGGTACCTTCTAGTTGTGTCCTCACATGGTGGAAGGGCAAACAAGCTACCTTTGAGTTTTACAAGCAACTAATTCCATTCATAAGGACACAGCCCTCATGATTAATCACCTTCTAAAGCCTCCACCTCTTAATACTGTTGCATTAGAGATTGGGTTTCAGCATATGAATTTTTAGGGACACAAACGTCCAGACCTAACAGTTGCAATTATGAAAAGTAATACAGAAAAATCCAGAGTCATATGGGGATAGATATCAGGCAAACCTAACCTAGGATGGAGGGTCAGGGAAGGATTCTCTAAGAAAGTGACAGTTAATCTAAATCCTCATAAGAGTTAGACAGCCAAAGGGATATTGACAGTTGGGCACTGAGGGGGAGGGCAGATTCTTTAAGGCAGAGAAAGGAACACCTATCCTGAGATGAGAAGGAGTCTGGCACTTTTTAGAAAAATAAAAGGCATCCAGTGTGACTGCAGGGCAGAGAGTGAGAGGGAGCATAGAGGCTTCCTGTCATTTATGGTATTCCTGCAGGCCACCTGTTAATTTTAGATTTTAGCCCAAAGGGAATGGGAAGGCAGAAAGCCTATTTGCTTACTTGTATTTTGTTTGTTTTAATTAACAGTGAAATATAATCAGATTTGCACTGTAAAAAGATCATTCTGGCTGCTCTGTAGGGAATGGATTAGAAAAGAGCATAAGTAGGTGAAGGAAAACCAGTTTGAAGGCTTTTGCAGAGGTGAGGGAGAAAAATAACAGTGCTTTGGAGCACGTAATAACAAAAGGGATCAAGATTAGTGAATAGAGTCAAAAGAGGTTTAGGAAATAGAAATTATAAGACTTAGTAATTGATTGAATGTGGTGAAGAGCAAAAAGAAAAAGCCAAGGCTTTGTTCAGCATGGTGGATATTAATTAAGTATAATAGTTGCCCAAGGACAAATAGCTAATAAATGTTAGGGATTTGGACCTTGTTTAAAATTTGTGCTGTTAGCAGTATGCTCCTCTGAAACCCAGCTTAAAATGGCCAAGCATTCCAGTATTTGAAATTTTATATTATAAACTGGATGTGCTTGAATGTGCATAACAACATAATGGAGAGACATGTGCAATTCAAAATGAATAATGGAGCAGATCCAGGATCTGTCATTCAGAATTAGCTTTGATGACTCTTCAGAGAACCTATGAAATAAGGGGTTCCTTAATTTGTTTCATTCCATATCCTAGTGATAAACATAATAATCATAATGAGGTATTCAAGGTAAAATGAAAAATAAACATTCCCTAGGATCCTTGAATGAAAGAAAAAAATTTCCCCAAATTATAAAATAATGTATTTTCTCTATAATGTTCTATCTTGCTCTGTCTTGCTTAATAATATCAAAATTGTGATATATATCCTCAAATTACTTTGTAACCATTTGCACAGATCAGGAGAATTAATTATATGTGAGGTCAGGTAGAATCTCTCCTTTTTTGAATTCAGATGCCCTTAGTAATGTGAGGTAGTAAATCATAACCCATAATCATGTTTTTTTCCCCCTTCTGGGTTAACAGAGAATCACAAAAGGAATTATAGCCACAGGATTTCATCTTTAAAAATGTTGCCAACAATAAGTAACATTGTCACCAGGCAGAATCAGGTGCAATTTTGCCTTGTATATTCTTAAATTTTTGTTTCAGATTTGCTTTCAAAATGTATTACTTCAAGTTTCTCTGACAGCTCTGAATGCTGTTTTCTACATAATATACTTTTAAGTGTAATTGCATATGGACACTGTACACATTATTCTGATGGAACAAAGGGAGCAATAAAATATGTAAAAAAAATAACAATTTTAAATGTTGATAGACCACTATAGATGGTGACACTATTTTGTCTCCTTCACAAGCCTGCTACTGTGTACATAGCTATTTCTCCAGTTTATTTCCTGTTTTTCTAGCTCATTCCTTTTCCAAGAGAGGCAAATCAAGACATGTCAGATTATGCTTGATCTGCGGAAGATGAGCAAGTTCTGTGGCTTTGATCACAAGCTTCAGGGTGGTCAGGATGAGGTGTAGGGACCATGTATCTCCAGCCCTTTGGGACAATGTGAGGAACATGGCAACTATCAAGTGAGAGGAAATAAGTTGTTTTGCAATACAGAAACCACCATTCCCATTGACAAGGGTTCAGACTTACAGAATCAAGAAATAACGATAACTTCTGAAAATAAAGGATAAAATGTAGCATGTTAAGAATGTATATTATTATTGATAACATTGTCATGTGGAGTAGTGAAGAGCACAGGCTCTGGACCCTGGCTTCTGGCATTATCAGTCACTAGCTCTGTGACTTTGGCTAAATTACTTAAGTGAGGTAGTGTTCTTGGGTGGCTTTGTCACAGGATCCTTGGGGTGTCACTTCACCAGCCAGAAACCTCTGTAGACAGCAGCACCTTATGCCTGAGTATGGCTTGCTTTCACTGGGCTAGTTCTGCCCACTTGGCCCAGCAGACTGCACTTGGCTTGCACTACCAGCCTGGATCCCACACCTGCTAAGGCTGAGCCAGGTGCAGAGTGGCAAGGGGTATGTAAGTAAGTGAGTGTGGGGTCTGACTACTGCACACAGCCAGGCATACTGGCTGCTGCAGTGGGGTGGGCAGCTTCAGGCACCGGCACAGGTGCTGGCTCCATGCAAGGCTCCAGTTGGACCAGACATACCACAAGAAACTTCCACTGTGGGCACCAGTGTCTGGATGAGGGGAATATGGTGGTGCTTGAAAGCTCAGAGATGCCAGAAACCACAGAGTCCAAAGAGGGTGTTACATACAGCCTGTCACAGCCCTGGCTTGGGGAGCCCCAAGGTCTGGACTCCAAGAAGGACTGTAGCTCTTCTCTCTTTCATGTCACCTGCAGCGTGGTGAATGGGTTGATGGGGGCATGTTTCAGCCCATTTGTGTTACAGCTCTTTTAGTCCTGCTGCCTCGTTCTGGCCCACAACTCATGGGCTTGCCCAGCCCCACTGCTGCTTCTGTTGCATGGCATGGCCACCCAGTGCCAGCAGAGAACAGGAGGGCTATAGTGTTACAGCAGCTTTGGTTTTGGGAACCCCAAAGTCTGGGCCACCAGAAGGGTCACCACTCTTCACTCCCACAGTCTAAGAGCGTTTCACCACCTGCAGCTCAGCGAGCTGGCCAGGAACATGTTACAGCTTCTTTCCTCCCACTGTTTGGTGGATCCTGAGTTCGTGTCCCATATCCAGGAAGAATGAGGAGACATGGACAACTGGAGGGTGAGCATGGCAGAGAGGAACTTTATTGAGTGACGGAACAGCTCTCAGGACACCCAAAGTTGGTAGCTTCTATCCACAGGCAGTCTGAGTCTGGCTGAGTCTGGGGTTTTTATGGGCTCAGAAGGGAGAAAGTCTGTGCTGATTGATCCATGGACAGCCATGGGTGGGACTGGGAAAAGCACCATAAGTTCTCACTCCAGGTCATGGACTCCACCTGGAACTGCCAGCCCAGACCCAGGCTTCAGATTGTCCCTGGCTTGAAGGTGAGGTTCCACCAGAGACCACCCCCTCCCACCTAGGAACCTGTCTGCCTCCTGCCACCATCAACGTGCTGTTTGTGGTGCTCAGGCTGTCCATGCTGAGGGCCGCCCACAGGCCCACACTGAGTCACCCTCAGCTCCCTGGCCTCCCTCTCACACTCGTTGGCACCCAAAGTCCAGAGGGGGCCAAGGTAGCAGGGGCTGGCATGTCAGCACTGCCCCAAGAGTGCTCACACCTGGCCAGGTTGTGACAGCACCCAAGCTCAGCCACAACTTTACTCCACATTGGAGCAGCCACTGGAAGTGGGGAGAGGCCAGGGAGCAGGAGCAGGCACATCAAGCCTGAGGGGGTAGGGTGCTTACCAGGGCCCCAACAGCACAAGGATGCGTGAGTCTAGAGCCATGGGGCAGCTGCACCCAGGAATATGGGGCTCCTGCCCCACCAACTCAGTAGGGGTCAGGGCTCCCGCCTGTTCCCCGCCCCAACCAGCTCAACAGAGTGTGCAGCCCCAGCCATGCCTCCCCACCTGCAGCTGGCATCCCCACAACAGTTGCTCCAGATGGGCCTCTACCACCATAAGTTTAAATGACATTATCCATTAAGGATATTAAGGAATGTTAGCTTTTATTATTGTTATTGTTACCCTAATGTATTTACCCAGCCAGAACCTTTAACAAGCACGGCAATAGGCACCTGATAGATGAAGCGAGGCAATTGGTATAAAAGCATAACTTCCTTTTTCCTATTACGTCATTTTTCCTCTTCTACTCATGCACATGCCATAGTCTATATAAAATTATAACTGAAGTACTCCTTATTTTAAAGCTTATCAGTCTATGTGTGTTACAACCTCACTTTTAAAAGTCCTCAGTTTGTGGGATAAAAAAACAATGTTGGGGTAATATTTTTAATATTGAGTATATGGAAAATATATACTATGTAATGAAGTTACACCAAACCAAGGATTTGATCCTCTATCACTGAAGCAAATTTACTACCAAAAGCTTCATGTGCCTTCATAACCATAGAATTGTGATTTCAACTAATGAATGGCCATGAATTTGTAAGAATATATATATATAACTGTCACAGGAATGCTTATACCACTGATGGTGTTCAACACTGTAAGAGAAGATGTAAATGAGCCTAATTACCTAGCAGAAGCCTCTGGCTCTCCTGAATGTAAACTCTTGATTGCTGTTTCAAAGAGAGTCCATGTTTAAAAACAAGAAAATAAATGAATGCATTTAATGGAAGTATATGTTCCTTTGGCCCTAATAATAGAGAGAATAAAAAAGAAAAATAGTTGGTAAGTACTGAAGAAGGAAACAAAAAAAGTTTATAAAACAAATACAGCACATTAGTACATTTTAAAATATTTTATTATTCTTTAATTAACAAATTATAATTGTACACATTTACATGGCACAGTGTGATGTTTTGATATATGTATATAGTGTAGAATCATTAATCCATTCTTTATTGTTAAAAATTATGATGTACTCTTAGCATAAACAATCAGAGAAGTATACAAACCAAAAACTTAAAGTGGTTATGTCTTGGTGGTAGGATTTCGGTTGGTCATTCATTTACTTGTTATTTAGCTAGCTATTTTCTTATTTTTCTGCTATGTATTTTTTATATCCTTAAAGAAGAAATAAACAAAAATGAAAAGTAAGCTGACCAGCTGACAAATAGGAAACTTTTTTTTTATAATTTGCAAAACTGAACAATTTTTTATTATGTTCAGGAAATTTAAGAAATCCCTCCGAGATCACAGGCAAAACACTAAAATTCAAACAAATCAAATAGAAAATATACGTTGCAAATACACTGCCCTTGGCAGAAAAGTTTTCTAAAATATAATAATAAAAAGATTGAATCGATATACATTTTGAAGAGCATGTACAATAGAAAACAGTGGGTGAAGTTAGGGAGTATCTTAGTTCAGTGAAGTCAGAGACAACTAACAATCTTAAACACAATAAGTTATCAAAGTATAATTTTTACAGCCACAGAGACTTCTAGAGAGTTATTTGTTTGCAATAAATCTCAAGTAATAGGTGACTTGAATAATGCAAGGAAGAATAATTGACTATTCATCAAGGAAAACAAATCAATAGGATAATATGTTATTTTCTTCTTTGTTATTAAGAGAAGTAGATTTTTATGAAAAGCGTGGTAACTATAAATGCATGATGTAAAAGAAGAAAATCAATGCCCTTATAAGATGTCAAAGTCCCTGTCTTGAGCAGTTTTCTCAATGTGTAATGCCTAGACAACTGGTATGAGAAAAACCTGGGATGTTCCACCCTGGCCACCAAATCAAATTATCTGGAGTCACATTTCCTAGGAATCTGCTTTTTCAATAAGTGCCTAAGTTAATTCACTGAAGCTTGAGAACTAACATGAAGTATGGGCTAAAGTCTATCAAAGGAAGTATGAGGTAAAGTCTATCAAAGATGAACAAAGTGGTAGATTTCATACTTCTCTTTATACAAAGAGCTTCTGTATTTAACTGAAAGTTAGTTTAATATATAAACTTCCTGAAGAGAGAATGGGCTAATTCACCAAAAAAAAAAAAAAAAAAAAAAAAAAAAAAAAAAAAAAGCCTCCAATGAATTTATACTGCTATACTTGTGACTAAGGTCATTTTGTGAAATTTATTTCTCACAATTCTGGAGGCTGGGAAGTCCAATATCAAGGTGCCTCAGCAACTGGTGAAGGCCTTTGTGCTGCACTGTCCCAGGAAGGTAGAAAAAAACTGTGAGAGGGCAAGAAAGTGAAGTAAGTCTCAAGAATCAATTCATGAGGGTGGATTTCTCTTGATATAAATATCTCTCATTACGCCCCACCCTTCAAAACTGTTACATTTGGGATTAAGTTTCCAACACATGCTTTTTTGGGGAAACATTCAAACCATAGCAGCTTGTATATACACTTTTACAGATATGCCTCTAGGTCATTTTCATTCAAATTGTTTTATATATTCTGAATAAGTATGTGAACTGGGAAAACTTTAAAATGCTTTGCTCTCATTTGCATAACTGATAGAAATAAAATATTCTTGTTAATCATTGAGGCATATGTAGTATGTTTCAGCTGATTAATTTTATTCTAATGTGATCTCTGTTTATTTTTAATCCTACTTCATAGGGTAGTCATAGTTGAAACAAAAAAGCATTATCTGAGATATTTATATTCCTTTAGTTATTAAATCCAAAGGTAAATTACTTTTGTTGTTTTCAGAGTTTTTGTGTAATTTTTTTATCCTATGGTATTTCTAAAAGACATGACTACACTTAAGCTCTGGAAGGTTTAAGAAGCCAAAAATATAGGAAGAATTCATGAGACCAATAGTATGTTAATATCAGAGGTAACATTCTGTCCTCATAATTGATGGCTTTGCTTTTCCAAAGGGGCACTATTTCCAAATTCTTCTGAAGAGCTAAAAGACATTTTTCCGGAAGTGAACGTTTTATAAATGTCTTGTGTCTGCCCTTAAAAGAATACCTGTAACTTTATATAACTTCAGTATTCACACCTTTTTATATACATTTGACTTATGAAATATTTTTTATAAATTTCTTATGTATTCATACTTAGTATTCCAGAAATTTTTTCAGCATCCTGAATTCCAGATGCTTCAATTCACAAAATGCACATACTCCTGAGTATAATTTTACTCTTTAAAAATAAAATAATAAATATCAGGGTTTTGAGGAAAACAAAATGTCACTGTGTAAAAACAAGACACTGTGTAAAAACAAGGTATTAAGTTATTCCCTTAAGGATTGTATCAGTCAGGATGGGCTCTGTTATGCCAGGGTGAAAAATAACACCAAATTTCAGAGTCTAACAGCAGCCCAAATTTAGTTTGCTACTGGCATGTACACATCAAGTTATACTCAATTCAGGATTTAGGATTTCAGAGAAGCCACTCTCTGGAACATTGCTCAACCCCATGGGAGGGAAGGTGATGGCAATGTGAATCATACGACAGACCTTAAAGTTTCCTCACAGAGTAACACATATCACTGAACAAAGCTAGTTTCACGGTGTATTAATCCATTTTCAAACTGCTACCTGAGACTGGCTAATTTATGAAGAAAAAAGGTTTGATTGGCTCATCGTTCTGCAGGCTGTGCAGGAACCATGCCTGGGGAGCCCTCAGGAAACTTACAATCATGGCAATAGACAAAGGGGAAGCCAGCACGTCCTATATGACTGGAGCAGGAGGATGAGAGAGTGAAGGGGAAGGTGCTATATGCTTTAAAACAACTAGATCTCATGAGAACTCTACCACAAGAACAGCAAGGAGGAAGTCTGCCCCTATGAGTCAGTCACCTCTGACCAAGCCCCCTCCTCCAACACTGGGAATTACAAACCGACATGAATTTTGGGTGGGGACACAGAACCAAACCATATCACATGGCCATACCAAACCCCAGTGTGCAGGGGAACAGAGTCACACAATATGCCCAAGAGAACCATAAACATTTGATGAACAGCACTAACGACTGCCAGAGGATCCTTGCTTACTGGGCATTTTCATTATATATATATATGAAACACACACACACACACATATATATACATATACATATACACACACACATATATAGTATGAATATATATTATCTCTATTTCATAATATGTAATGTATAGATATCTATATTTCATTATCTATAATGTGTAAATATATATTATCTGTATTTCATTACATATAATGTATAAATAGATATTATCTATATTTCATTATATATAATGTATAGCTATTATCTATATTTCATTATATATAATGTATAGATATCTGTATTTCATATATAATGTATAGATATCTGTATTTCATTATATATAATGTATAGATATTATCTATATTTCATTATATATAATGTACACATATTATCTATATTTCATTATATATAATGTATAGATATATATTTCATTATATATAATGTATAAATATATATATTTCACTATATATAATGTATAAATATATATATCTCATTATATATATATATATATATATATGTATATATTTTCTTCTTCCTTTCTTAAACATCAGAACTATCTTCCACAGCTGGCTTTCTGAAATTTAAGACAAAGGCATTAGCCCTTGATGACCTTCAGTGGCAGTAGTAAAGATTTGTAAGCTTAATTCCTCATTACTACTTGCCAATAGCTGATGCATTAGTCAGGGTTCTCCAGAGAAATAGAACAAATAGGACATATGTAGATATGCAAAAGGAAATTTACGCTAGAAATTGGCTGATGTGATCATGGAAGCCTAAAAGTCCCACAATATACATTCTGCAAACTGACGAACCAAGAAAGCTGGTGGTATAATTCAGTCTGAGGCTGAAGACAGGAGAACCAGTGGGACCACTTATCTAAGTCCCACAACCTGAAGACCCAAGAATCAGGAGCTCTGATGTTTGAGGACTGAAGAAGATGGATGTCGCAGCTCAAGAAGACGGAAGGAAAATTTGTCCTTCCTCTACCTTTCTATTCTATTTGGATCCTTAACAAATTAGATAGCGGATCTTTTTACTAGATCTGCTGATTTAAATGCAAATCTCTTCCAGAAAAACCCTCTCAGACACACATGGAAATAATGTTTTACTAGCTATCTGGGCAACCTTTAGCTCACTCAAATTGACCCATAAAATTCACCATCCCACCTGGTTTGGGAGAGAAAAAGACTAGCTGGACGATAATTTTTTTCAATAGCCATAGAAATCAATATAATCAGAAAGGGAACCATCATGAAAGCCCTAGGCCTTTGGTGTGACAAGGAAAGGAGAAAACTAGATTACTGGAGCCAAAGCCAATGTTTCAAACTTACAACTTCCCCCATATTCTTAAGTCACTTGTTTGATAATTATTGTATGAAAAAAAGTCTTTTTCTTTGTAAGAAATACATTTGGAAGAGGAGGAGGTAGTTGGATCTATGGTGTTAACACTAAAAATTAAACTGTTAAAAATGATATGAAAAATTATGCCTGGCAGAATTTTTTTTGTGCTACATTGAAAAATTATGAAAGGGCCTTCTGAGCCAAATATATGTTGTTTGTCCTTCAGAACCCCTCTTCATTGTTCTCTATCTTTCTATAGGCTCAAGAAGTCTGATGTATGTAGCTCCCTTATCCTTTGGCTTCCTGAGTTTAACAATTGGAGATGGCATCAAGAGATGAGAAAGGGGGAGAGGAGATACATTGGTCAGGGTTTTCCAGAGAGATAGAAGTGATCTGTATGTGTGTGTGTGGGTGTGTGTGCGCGTCTGTGTGTGTGTGTGTGTGTGTGTGTGTGCGTCTGTGTGTATATGTGTCTGTGTGTATAGGAAGGGATTTATTAGGGAAATTGGCTCATGTGATTTTGGAGGCTGAGAAGTTCCACAACAGGCTGTCTGCAAGCTGGAGACCCTGGGATGCCAGTAACATGTCTGCGGCCAATTGTGACAGCCTCAGGACCAGGGAAGCCCATGACATAATTCTCAGTCAGATGCTGAAGACCCAAGAATGTGGTGAGTGGGGAGGCTGCTCGTGTAAGTTCTAGGGTCCAAAGTCTGAAGAGTCTAGAGTTACGAAGTACAAAGGCAGAAGAAGAGTGTCCCAGCTCTAGGACAAAGAAAGAAAAGTGTTTGCCTTTCCTCTGCCTTTTTGTCTTATCTGGGCCCCAGCCCAGGATCGTGACCACTACATTGAGAGTGGACCTTTTCCACTCAGTCCACTGACTCATAAGCCAACCTCCTTTGATAACACCCAATAGGCACATCTGGATATAATGCTTTACCAGTTATCTTGGTATTCCTTAATGCAGTCAAGTTGATACCTATAAGTAACCATCACATTGAGGTATTTGAACCCCAGTTCACTCTGCCAGGTCTTCAAAGGGTGGCCCCTTTCCTTTATTAAAAGCTGCAGCTCGTATCATATGACCCTCTCCACAGAGCTATGCTTTCAAGGCTCCAGGAACCGTTCCTTACCCTTGCCCTATCAGGCCTTGCGGTGGTAAGGACTTCCTCCTCTTGCTACCATGCAGTACTGCCTTATCTCTTCTTCATTTCTCTATACCCCGACACGCTTTTATAAATACTCTTCCTGGCCGGGCGCGGTGGCTTATGCCTGTAATCCCAGCACTTTGGGAGGCCAAGGCGGGCGGATCACGAGGTCAGGAGATCGAGACCATCCTGGCTAACACGGTGAAACCCCGTCTCTACTAAAAATACAAAAAATTAGCCGGTCGTGGTGGCGGGCACCTGTAGTACCAGCTAATCTGGAGGCTGAGGCAGGAGAATGGCGTGAACCCGGGAGGCGGAGCTTACAGTGAGCCGAGACTGCGCCACTGCATTCCAGCCTTGGCGACAGAGCGAGACTCCATCTCAAAAATAAATAAATAAATAAATAAATAAATAAATAAATAAATAAATAAATAAATTCTCTTCCTTATTCTTCTCTCTCAAACAGACTGTCCCATTTCCTGCCAGAATCCTGACAATCACCGTCTCCAGGTATTAAGACATATGTCTATGTTCAGTGCCAATAGTTAAAACTATTAGGTTGCAAAGGTCTTGGCAGAAACTAATCTTCCATTAAGATTTTATGTTCTTAGGATCTCAAAATTATTTTTATTATATAAAGAGTAAATTTAAGTCTTGACTTTACCAAGTGAAAAACAAAACATAACAAATACTTGAAGTCCTTGCAATTACAGGTTGTTGCTATGGATAATTTGGTCAAAAGCTTCTGAGAAACTGTGGAGTGGGCTATTTATTATGTTAAGAACAGAAAGAAAGACTATTAATAAAACCCCCAAGTTAGTAATCTTGGTAACTGCTTTCTATTGCGGATCACTGCTGGCCGACACAAATAGAAACACTGAAAATGAAATAAGTGGCAAGAATGTTAAACCAACCTGTCAATCAATCAGTGAGTATTTACTGTTCTAAAATCTCACGTCCCCAGTGCACTCTTTCTATTGATTTATCCAACAATTTTCCAAGTTTTGTTCATTCTATTATCTTTTGTATTGATTTTTATTACTCTCCATTGACCCCAATTGCTCATAATAACTGCAGTCTCACATGGTCCTTTGTCATATCACTTTCCTTCTTAGTCTGATACTCATTCTCCAAGGAGAGAGCTACTTGATACACAAAACCAGGAAGGGATATTGTCATTCTAATCCTAGCCATCAGGACTGAAGATCATGGGACAAATGTGTAAGCCTGCATTCCAGTAACCAATCTACATTGTTTTTTCTCCTATTACATTGTCATTCTATGTTAAATTCACAGTCCTTCACAGTAATCTTGATGTCAGATAGAATGACAATTGGGCATCAAACCTCACAGTCCAGAGATCATTAGAACGTTTGTGAGCAACTCCTATTTTTCTATTACATGGCATGTTTTTGTCCTAGAAATATGAGGCATCACAATTTTTGCTAATTTAGAAGTTTTCTTGGCCACAAAGCACAATAACCCTTCTTCTTACATATAGTGATACCGCTAAATAAAATTTGACATGATTCTTAGATAACAACATTATAAAGGTACTAGAGTGTTAAATTATGAAATATGGTTAAAATGACATAATAAACAAGACTTGAATTACTTTACAGTAAAATTGAACAGGTTTTTGTTTAATGTATAGCCTTTAGTGTCTGTAGTTGTTTGAATCTGGTCTATATTATTTAATTATTTCCTGTAGTGAGTTTGTTTTAATATTTGTATACTGAGTGCTCAGTTTATGTTCTTTATTATAAAAAATTACCAGTGACAAAGTTTGTTTCCCAAAAGTTAACTCTGCTAAAGAGAAAAAAAGTGGGTCTTTTCACAGGGAATTTTTTTTAAGTAAAATGAAAGTTTAAGGAAGAAAAATGTAGAGGTTATAGTCGATTGAGAGAGCCTGGAATACTCTAAGCTAACAATAGAATGGTAAAATATAGTCTTCATGGGTTATATCAGTGTTTCATTTTTCCTCCTTCTTCTTTTGTACAAGTGTTCCATGAAAATAGTCAATAAACCTTTTAAAAACAATAGATAAGAATAGATATCCAAGCTGTGACTCAGACTAGAGAATAAAATAAAAGTGAGTCCAAATTATGGATTAGGAAAGAAACAAAAGAGAAATATTCATATCTGATTGTATTGGCCTTCTCATTTAAAGTAAATGTGATAAAAAATTTGGCCTTGAGAGCATAAGAGAATAACGAATGTATGGCGAATACTGAGACAGAAGACTTCTGGTTTGATAGAAGCCAATTACAGGAAGGATAAAAATGTCATTTCTCAAGTCCCATCTCCAGTATTTTTTTTTTTTTTTTTTGATGCTCAAGAACTTTATTCTGGCAGTGCTCTTACAAGATAGATAGTTATAGAGAAAGCAGGTTGTAGCATGGGCCAGACACAATCAGGGTTCAGATGATTGACTAACCAGGAGGGTCTCTGTCCTCTATCTGAATAATGTTCTCAGTATTTTGGAGACTCTTCTCTCTTTTTTTTTTTTCCTTTTTTTCTTAATTTTTTTTATTTTAGTAATTTTTAGGGTACAGGTCATTTTGGGTTACGTGGATAAGTTCTTCAGTGGTGTGTAGTCATTCTTTCTGACTACACAATTTGTAGTCTTTTATCCCTCACAACCCTCTCTTCCCACAACCCATAGTCCCCAAAAGTCCATTATATCATTCTTATGCCTTTGCAGTCCTCATAGCTTAGCTCCCACTTGTAAGTGAGAACATACGATATTTGGTTTTCCAATCCTGAATTACTTCACTTAGAATAATGGCCTCCAGCTCCATCCAAGTTGCTACAAAAGACATTATTTTGTTCCTTTTTTTGGATGAGTAGTATTCCATAGTAGTATAGTAGTATTTTCATGTGTGTGTGTGTATATATATATATATATAGAGAGAGAGAGAGAGAGAGAGAGAGAAAGAGAGAGCACATTTTCTTTATCCACTCATTGGTTGATGGGCACTTGGGTTGGTTCTATATCTTTGCAGTTGCAAATTGTGCTGCTGTAAACATGCATGTGCATGTGTCTTTTTCATATAATGATTTGTTTTCCTTTGGGTAGCTACCCAGTAGTGGGATTGCTGGATGGAATGGTAGTTCCACTTTCAGCTCTTTAAGGAATCTCCAAACTGTTTTCCATAGTGGTTGTACTAATGTACATTCCCACAAGCAGTGTAAAAGTGTTCCCTTTTCACCACATCCATGTCAACATCTAATGCTTTTTGCCTTTTTTTGACCATTCTCGCTGGAGTGCAGTGATATCTCATTGTGACCATATCCAGATTTTAATGAAGATTTCTTTATTTGCTTTCAGAAATATGTCTTAAATCTGTTTTTTTCCTTTCCATCAGCACTATCCTAGGCTTTGAGGTTCATCTCTTTCTGGTTTGCATGTCCCTAAGTAGAGGGGACGTTTCTTACTTATCTGCTTTTCTGGCTCAGCATGATGCCTGATATGTTGCATCTTTGCAAATTATATTTGTGTAATAAATAAGAAGTGGAAGAGTTTTGGAGTACACCCAGTGGCTGAGATCTTCCCTTTATATAGGGGTGAAGGGTCACAGCTGGGAGAGTAGGAAAGGGATAACAGGCGTGGGTTTTATAATTTAGGAAGCCTATTTGCAAGATCACATCTTAACATACACTTTTCCAACTTGGAATTGTATGCAATGATGCCTTCCCATGAAACCATCTACTGTTACCTCTTCCATGTCTTTATAATCCACTGCTTTTTAAGAGAGATGATAGCCATTTTGAATGCTAAAAAGTAACAATTAATTACTATGCTTAGTCTTTCTGAATCTATGTTTTTTCAAGAAAATCCAAGATTGGGATTTTTTTAATGCATATTCTTGTTGTCTTACTACTGTCATTTCCTCCTCATTTCTACTCTCTCCAGAAATTAAAACAAGATTTCTTAACAACGTTCATTTTCTACTAGTGGAATTGTGATTAATCTTCAGTATATATGGCTGATAATAAATTGAAAATGTAGTCAAGCTGAAGTCAACGTCTCTTTTATCTGCAATGTTTTATTATGGGAAATTAATAGAAATTAAATACAAACATCAGAATCCTGTATTTTAAAAGTGCAGTTAATACAAAATGTATCTTATAACATTTTTCTATTCTGCATTCATGATTAATGTGACCATAAATGCAAAGAAAATAGAGACAGAATTCAGATCTGAAAGCATTCAGACTGTCCTTTATTAGCCCTGAAGCTGCAATCAAATTAACCCATGTGAATAGATTTATTTTTAATACATGTAAATTGCCACAAAATCAATCACAGTTAATAGGAAGTGGAAACTCTTATAGTTGCCACTCTGAGCAATAACAGGGAAAGTTTTGCCTTTTGATTTTTTCCATCATCAGTTCCTTTCTTTTTCTTGAAATTGCAGTTGAAATATTTCTATTTTATGTATATTAGTAAATATCTTATTATTTTAAATATTAAATTTATATTGATTGGGAAAAATTATTTGTTGAAATTCAGGTACAACTTCAGCTCACATAGTGTCTTTTAGTGTCAAAATGAGCTTTTAATTAAATTCAGTGTCCGTTTTCCACAAGTTTGACCCATAACTAAACTATCTCCCCCAATAGTCATTGTTTATTTTTAAAAAGATGACAAACTAGTATATAACTTCTTCCTTAACAGTAAAGGCCTAAATAATATCTCATCTGTGTGGTCTTCTGACCTTTCCAGGCAGAGCTAATCACTCTTTTCGTATGACCCTACAGTGCTTTTATAGAGTATGGTAAGGCACATTTATTCATATTACATTATGGTTTTTTGATTAAATGCTCATCTGGATGTACATACAATGAATTATTAGGGCAATGACTATATATCAATCATATTGATTTCCCATCACCTACGTATTTAGGGAAAGAGAGAGGGAGTAAGTAAAAACAGAGCACTAGATTTGAAAGGGAAAAAAAATGTCCTATTAAGTATTGTTGGAGACAGAGAATGAATACTTTTTCACTGTGCTTTTGAGGAGAAATCAGCCTAAATTGGAATTCACTTTGGATAAAACATTTAAAATAGCCCATTTAAGATAATTGAACTTCTGTTTATTATATAAAACTGCATCCATAGATGTCAGTGTTTCAGCCACAGGGCTTTCTGAAAGAGTCACAGAATATACTGCAAGGAACTGCCATGAACTGGGAGAATGACCGTAACTGATCTTTTGGTTTCTAACTTTAGTGATTCTTTCCAGACTTATACATGAGTTATTGAATCACAAATTCTGTTTCTGTCAATGCCATAATCAAGGGCCATGGTGCTAGAAATTCTACATAATTTCAATCTTGACTAAAATATTAAAATTCTGTTTCTTTCTTCCAAACAATTGTTCTATAGATCAATCATTTCCAATTATTTAAGGGATTTAATATGTGATTTATCTTTGATTGCGCTCTCTCTTTCTCCCTTCTTCTCTTCTTCCTTTCTTTAATATTTACTGTGCCAGACACTAGGCAGATGACAGGAAAACAGAGAAATTGAGTTTGGTTTGGTTTCAGCTCTCAAATAGCTTTAAGTCTAGTTAGGAAGATACTGGATGTGGTAGACAGTCTCTTAGATTACCTTCTCCACCCCCGACAATGATTCCTGACTCCTAGTATTTATGTTCTCTATAATCACTTCTTGAATGTGGCCAGACTTACTGCTTTCAATGAATAGAAGGTGACATATGTGATGGGATGTGGCTTTTGAGATTAGGTTATTAAGAAAGACTGTTGTTTCTGCCTTGAGTTTCTCTCTCTCTCTCTCTCTCTCTCTCTCTCTCTCTCTCTCTCATCACTCATGCTGTAGTAAGCAAGTTATCATGTTCTCAGAAGCTCAATGGAGAGGTCCATTGGTATACAAGGAAACGAGGCCCTCAGTTTAATCACCTACAAGGAACTGAGGCTTGACAGCAACCACAGGTGAGCTTGGGAAGCAGATTCTTTAGTCCCCATTAGGTGCCAGAATCACTGCAACCCCAGTCAACACCTTGACCACAATGTAATGAGAGACCTTGAGCCAGAACCATCAGCTGAGCCAGCCCTGAGCTCCTGGCATATAGAAACTGTAAAAAAGTAAGCATTTGTTGTTTTAAGCTACCCAGTTTTAGGTCAGTTTGTCACCCAGCAAGGCATAACTAATATGTAATATGACATTGAGTGTAAGCAACCCATTCATTAAAGACAGTATACTGATGGCATATAGGAAAAATATAGGTAAAACAAAAGAAGTCATATCTATTTGAAATAAAATGAAGACAAAAGTCTTTTGATTTTGAATTTAAAAGTTAAGGAGATTTTCTCTAGGAGGATGATATTGGAATGAAAGAGAAATTATTCTAGGAAAAGAGTTACGTGAACAAAGGCTCATAGAAGTGAAACAGTATGGTGTATTTTGTCAATTATAAGTACTTTGTCATGCTTGTGTGCTATGACAGAGCATAGGATGCTATACAAATCTTATATGCCATACTAGGAAGATTGAATTTTATGCTGTAGGGACTGGGATTGAAATTTTGAAAACAAAGTTGGTACCTTTCACCCACCTAAGTCACATGGCTGGCACTTTGACCAGGACCCTCTTCTGCCAAACCTATGAGGAAAGAATCTTCTTCTACACTATGCTCCAGTCAGCTGTCATCAATCAACAATCATTGAAATGAAACTAAGAATCTCGTCAAAATATCCAGAATCACACACACACACACACACACGCGCGCGCGCGCGTGGAAATCAGCCTCTCCCTCTCCCTGACTCCCCATCTTAGGGATTACTTATGATTCTTCCTGGTAGTTTCTGAGAATTAGACACACACATATCTAATTCAATATAGGAAATCTGAAGACATAACTAATTCATCTTCATAGGTGCTACAGGGGTTTGCAAAAGCAGTGACCCAATATTACATATTTGTGAAACTGAACTGCAAATCTCATAACATCCTACCTAGGCTATCTTCAGTTTCTTACATCCCTCCCTCTTTTTTCCTGCTTCTCAATTTTTATATGCATGGATTCAAAGTCTGTTGGAACACCAGGGGCTACATCTTTAGTGAGGTTAAGAAGCCATAAAAGAGAAGATAGAGAAATGAGAAAATGGAAGTACTTTAGTGGTGATGAGTATGGTAATTAGTTTAGTGTATGAGAGCTTGAAGACTATTTTTACTGCCATCTTCTACTCTAAAACTAAAGGATTCCTTGAGTCATTAGACATTTCTAGCATTTCAGGTGTCTCAACTGAAAAAGGTGGGGGTGGTTGACCTATTGAACATCCTCATATAATATCATCAGTTATGCACAGCTCCATATTGGTAGTTCTCTCCTAGATGTTAAAGAGTGGCTAAGAGGAAATGGACCTCAACTACCAAAGAGAGATTGATGTTTCTTGGTACAACTTTTAAACTTCATTCATAACATAAGGGAATATCTTTGGGACTAACACATTGTCATTATACCATATAGGGAAGAAAAAAGGGCTTTGTTATTACCCTATCACTATTTTTTTAATCTAAAATTTTAAAACTCTTGTGAGGTTTTTAGGAAGAAAAAAGTCCAGAGCATACAATATATTCTTATTAATGCACAGTGTCTTTGCAATGTGTTCTGCAAGTTTGCTGGGGCAGGATAATAGCAGAATACTCTTTGTATCTATTTCATTTTTCTTTAAACAGATAAATGTGCTAAGCAAACATTAAACATTTACTGAGCTGTTAAGATGATTTATTAGAATAGTGCTGTTTCTATTTTTCACTGCTATGATACAATTGTCAAAAAAGTATGTAAGTAAACAGTATGCTTTATTTTCAACCAAAATTATTTAACAAGTTAGATTCTTAAGTCAAGATAAAGAATCATGTTCACTTAGAGCTACCTGTTTATATGGCTAGGCCTTTTGAGTGTAAGGATAACCAAAGGGAACTAGGATGCACTAAAAGTTTACCACTTAATACTACTTTACATTCTCCCTAAATGCAGTAGATATTAATTTCATTATTATGCAGGTGAGAAAACCCATCCTTGAAAAATTCAAGTAAGTTGTCAAAAGTCATTCATAACTGACAGAGGCAGTTTCAAATCCAGGTGTGTCTGATTCCAAATCTTCTGCACCTACCATATAACCAGCAGCAACTACGTCTGAACCCACCATGATACTGATGAAAAGCAGAGTCAAGCTTTATAATAGCAGCAACTGCTCTGATTAAAGCTAAGTAAATCACCCATTTTTGAGTCAATTGAGGTCAATGACTGAAAACCCCGCTGCATTGCCAAGCAGTTGTTAAGGTCTGGTTGTTTTGATCAGATGACTTTCTCAGCAATTAACCATCCTGATGAACCAAAGAATTGATTAGACATGAAAATAACCTACTTTTGGAAAATGGAAACACAGTCTAATACAATCTCATACTTTCCTTCCTCTGTGGAGAAGCAGTGATTCTGCTTCGTCAGCCAGAGGATGAAGGCAGGCAAGATCCCCTTTCCTCCTTTGCTTATTATTCACATTGTGATTTTCTTAACCACTTTCCTCAAAGATTGCCCAAAGAATCCTCTCAAATATCAGAAACCCTTGTTCCTGATCCTCAGATGAAATATAAAAGCCAAACAGATGGCTGTTTTGTTTACTGTTCTGTGAAATTGCATTATTAGGTGAGGCATCATTTTAAATTAAGGAGTGATACATGGCTATAACTGGCTTCAACCCATTACCTTTTTATGATTAAGGAATATTTTGCAATGTTAAAAAATCCTGGGGAAATGATCGAAGATGTTTCATGCTGCTACTGTCCTGGGTGCAACTGACTGTATTACACACAGAGACTCTGCAAAGGAAACAGATGTGATACTGTTTACAGAAATAAAGAATAAGATCTAGAATGTAATTTGATGATTTCAAGGGTCTCAATTGAAGAAAGTAGGGGAGGTTGACCTATTGAATGTCCTCATATAATATTATCAGTTATGCCGAGCTCTATATTAGGAGCTTTCCCCTACATCTTAAAGTGGTTAAGAGGAGATGGCCTCATCTAACAAAGGAGTGATGTTTCCTGGCACAGCTTTTTCACCTGATGCATAACACAAAGGAATACCTTTGGAACGAACACATTGTCCTTATGCCACAGAGGGCTGATTTAGACTAATGTGACATTCATTTAAAAGTCTGTGGAATAGGAGCATAAAATTATTGATGAAGAGACAAGTTTAGATAGAAATTAGAAGCCTAGATTTTAGAATGAGACAAATCTGTGAAAAATCCATCTGTATCATATTAATTGTAGAATTTAAGCAAATGATTTAACCTTTATAAACAACCTCAGTTTTCTCATATGTAAAATGAAGATTATCCCTCATGGGATTATGGTGAGGATTAATGGAGAGAATATACATCAAGTGCTAAGTACACAATGAATGCTCAGTAAGTAATAATAGCTAGTTGTTTGAGTAGTGAAGTGATCGTATTCATACACACCGGGCCTTCATATCTCTTAAGCAGGAACATGTGTGAGAGCAGGTGGGCTGGACCACTTGCAAGAAACCCCTCTAGTGCCCCATTATCCATCTATAGCAGTGCTCAGGAGAGAAGGGAGCTCTTAATGTGTTTTTCAACTCCTCTAGACTATGTCTTCTTGTGTTTTAACATATTTGTATCCCTTGCAGCATCTAACCTAATGTTTACTGCATGGGAAGTGCTCATGTGCGGTTTTTAAATGAGAGTAAAATAAATAGGAGAGAAACAGATGATTTATTTGATATCCAAAGCAGCTGAGAGGTATGAAACCAGATATTAGGTTTTCTAAAATGCCTCTATATGCTAAGTGCCAGACTTCGTTTATGGTATATGATAGCTACACCTTTGAAAGGAAATTATAGTAAAATATTAATAAATAAGAATACCAGTAAAAATCAGGACCTCATGCTTTTCAGTTTCAGAGGAAAGACAGAAAGAAGTAACATCTGAAGTGTATCTTGATTGTTAAAGGGGAGTTTGGTAGGTAGATGATAATCTGTGTTCTCACTCTAAAAACAACCAGAAATGCTACAGGCATAAAAACAGGGTAAAGAATGCTCGATGCAATTTCCCTTTAAACAACCTTAGACTATATCTATTGAGCTCCATCCTCTTGGATGGACACTAAACCTCCATTTAAGCCATGTGCACCTCAGGGGCAACCTCTCTGTCCCCATCTTTTACAAACATGGCAAAGGGTATGAAAACATCAGCACAGTATACCTGCATATTTAAAAACTTCTATTGGTAGTGCTCCCTTCAAGCTAACAAATAACAAAACAAACAATGTTTTGATTGCTTTTCTACCAATGGTGGCAGAGTAGTGCTAGTCCATGCAAAATTCATTTCATCCTTTTTACCTTCCAAATTAATAGGTTGTAAATATAACTCTCGAATTACTGAATTTATAGTTTTATTTTAAAAACATGAGCAAAATGTTACTTCTTTTTCAGATATATGAGATTAGTTCTGGAATTACACGTCCTATGTCTACTTCAGTACATGTACTAAATGTTTTATTATATATTATGTATCATTAATATGTTATAGGCAAACCTATAGGGAGGGATATTTTATTTTGGAGGGGGATGTGCTATTTATCATTTTTCCCCAAAAGTGTTTATTGCTAGGATAAATTATTGTCGTTGTATTGTAGCAAGTGTGTGTGCATGTGTGTGTCATCTGTTAATCTGCCATTTTATCTTCATAAAGGCAGAAAGAAGAATTTCATTTTAAGTAGCTGATTTCAGTAATACAGTTCAAAGTATCTTCAATGTGTTCCACTTCAAAACAAATGACTCTATCTTCTCTGAAGCAAAGCAAATTATAGTTATAGATGAATTTAATCTTGAAAATACGCCTAAAGTAGATCTCAAAAAGAAGCAAGCTGAATAGGCATTTCAAAAAGAAAGTAATTTATCTACATTTAACAATAACAACAACAACAAAAATATAGTCAAACTCAAAAGAAATTTCTCTTTGAGAGAGTTCCCATTTTGGCTTCTCTGGACAATACGGTGTGATAACATATTTGATTAACACAGGTCATAGGCAGCTGGTGCAATGAGTATGAAGACACTACATTTTGGAGAAGATGCTTTAGTAGACAAGATCTTTGATTTTGTTGTTCTTAATTTTAAAATGTAGATTTCATTGGATTTGATTTCTACTAGATAAGTTACTTCCCCGTAACCCCTAACAAACGCTATGGTGTTGGATATTGCCCTTATCAACACAGTCGCAAGACAGGAATGTTCCAGACCATGATAAAAGGAAAAAGGCCAGCAGCATAGCACAGTATTACGAGCATGAGCTTTAGTGCCAGGCTGCCTCCACTACTTCTTTAGTACTATCAGAGCAGGTGATTTATCCTCTCTTAGACATCTTCCTTTTCTAAAATGAATATTATAATAGTTTCTACCTCTTAGAGCTTATGTGTGGATAATTGAGCCAATATATGTGTATATGTATGTGTTTATATATATATATATACACACACACATATATACTGTGTATACACATGTATATATACATATACACACATATATAATATATAATATATAATACATATATTTAATATGTAATATATACTTATGTGCAATTATTTCTTTCACATAGTAAGCTCTATTAAGAGTTTTACTTGTATTGTTAAAGTGCAGAATGTAAAGACACTTAAAAGAAACCATGGGAGTTAAAGAAGTTGAAAATTATGTATTAATTATGTATTAATCAAAAACACTAGGGCCCTGCACTGTGGTAGAAAATTTAAAAATAACCCGTTTAAGACCTACTGTACATGAGACATTAAATATGTTATATTATTTGGTCCTCACTATAGCTTTATAAGGCAGGTATTACTATCCTTATTTTACAGAAGAAAAAAATTGAGAAATTAATATACTTATCCAAGACCAATGAACCACTGTATGGTTGAAAGGACTCAAACAAGGCCTGCTTAATTCCAGGGCCTGACCATTTAACTACTGCACAACACTGCCTCTTATGTCATCTTGATTCTTACATATGGAACTCATTGACACAAGTGTAGCTAAACATAGCACCTGGCTAAACAGAGTATAAAAGAGAAATCAAGCCTTGTTGTAATAACTGGAATACTGGATCAAGTTATAGGACAAAAAGTAGTAATTAATTTGGTATTACATTGATGTACTTAAATGACGTCGGCTTACATGTTAATTAACTATTGCTGCATAAAATGCTACCATAAATGTTGTGACTTCAAATCAACTACCATTCATTTAGTTCATGATTCTGCTGGTCAGTTGTTTTAAACATGGCTGGGTTCTGCTAATCTCAGTGAGCCTGATCATATATGTGCTGTTAGTTGTTGTGTTGTCTGGGGACTGACTGATTCCAAGCGACCACACTCACATGTCTGGCAATTGTCTAGCTATTGGCTACGGTACCTCGGTTCTCCCACATTTTGTCTATTCTCCAGCAGGCTAGCCTGGACTTATTCATATGGTGGCAGCAAACCAAGAGTAGAAGCTGAAAGGCCTCTTGCAGGCTAGGCCTAAAAGTTGTATAACTTCACTTCCTTCATGTTCTTCTACACAAAGTGAGCTGAAAAACCAGCCTAGTTTCAATGGTTGGGAAAGAGATTCCTCCTCTTCATGAAGGTGAATAAAAAATATTTTAGGCATTTTCACAATCTGTCATGGCTTATATAGAGGTGATCCTACCAAGTGACTTAATTTCCTTATAAATTAGTATGACAGACAATGTGGACAAGGGGTAGGCAATGGATGGGAATTGGTGGCATGAGCCCATAATACCAGTCTTAACACTATTGATAGAGATCTGGGAAAAAGAGACACCCTCTGAGTGAGGCACTTCATGATTTTTCTATTTAAACCTGATTTAGGAAATAGGGCAGTCGATGTAGCTGTTTCTGAAATTAATTATTGGAAGACCACATTTAAAGATAATAATTTTAAAACACTCCATCATTCTATTTCTCTGAATTATATCTTGAAAACGAACAAAGATTTAGATATTATACACCTTATTCACCCAAGCCGAGAAGCACCACTATTAAGCACTTACATTTTGGTTAAATGAGATTAGTCCTCTAAAACAGCTCATATTTATATAAAACATAGAGTAGAAGTAAATTCAGTTTTCTTCACATGTGAATATTTTATACATATGTAGAGCTACTATAAGATTTTTCCTTTCTAAGAATTACCATGGGGAGTTATAAATCATGCCACTAATCACCCTGGAAATTTTATTCTGAACAGAGTGTAAGCTAATTTAGTGACAGGTAGCATCCTTAATTGATTTAATTTTTAAAGATGCATATGTAGTTCTTTAACCATGGCTGAGAAACCACAAAGGACATTCACTGATAATTCAGTTTCATGGGTTCATTTCCTTTTTTGAAGTTTTAGGTTATTGATGATTAACTTGAATATTCTAGTTCTAAATCGTTTACTGTTTAATTTTTTTTCCCTTATTTCTTAGACCTAGAGTGTCTCAGGATTATTTGGCAAAGATGGGATCTGTTCTGACATGTAGTCTTAGGACATTCTCTTAATATTTAACTGTATATTCCATTTCAAGCTTTACTCAAAAAAGGAAACTTTTTAAAAAATTGTGGTGGAATACACATGACATAAAATTTACCACCTTAACCATTTTTAAGTATATAGTTTAGTGGCACTAAATACATTCATATTTTTGTTTAACCATTACCACGATCAACCTTTGGGACTCTTTTCGTCCTGCAAAACTGGAAATCTGTATCCATGAACAAATAACTTTCCATCCCTCCTTCCTCCCAGCCCCTGGCAACCATCATTCTTTCTGTCTCTATGATTTTGACTATTCTAGGTACCTGATAATAAGTGGAATTATAAGGTATTTGTCCTTTTGTGACTAGCTTATTTTATTCAGCATGATGTCTTCAAAGTTTATCCACGTTATAGCACATGTCAGAATTTCCTTCCTTTTTATTTTTCCTGAAAAATACTCCATTGTATATGTGTACCAAATTTTATTAATGTATTCATCTACCAATGGCCACATAGGCTACATCCATCTTTTGGCTATTGTAAATAATACTGCTATAAACATAGATATACAAATGTCTCTTCAAAATCTTGCTTTTAGTTATTTCACATATATACTCAGAGTAGAATTGCTAGATCACGTGGAATTTATGTTTTTAAGTTTTTGTGGACCCATAATATATTTTGCATTGCAGCTGTACCATTTTACACCCCTACTAACTGTATACAAACCTTTCAATTCATCTACATCCCCAGAAACACTTACTATTTTCTGCTTTCTTTTTTAATAGTAGCCATCCTAGCGGGTATTAGTTGGTAGCTCATTGTCATTTTGATTTGTCTTTCCACTAATGACTGTGATGTTTAGCATCTTTTCATGTGATTGTTGGCCATTTGCACATCTTCTTTTTAAGTCCTTTATTGAAGTCCTTTACCCATTCTTTCAAAAAATCAGGTTGTTTTGTTGTTGCTGTTGAGTTGTAGGAATTATTTATATATTCTGGATATTAACCTCTTTTTAGATATATGATTTGAAAATATTTTCACTCATTATGTAGGTTGCCTTTTTATTCTATTGATAGTGTCATTTGATGCACAATTTCAATTTTGATAGAATTCCATTTGTCATTTTTTATTTCATTTCTTTTCTTGTCTTTGGTTTTGGTGTCACAACCAAGAAATCATTGCCAAATCCCATGTCCTGAAGATTTACCCCTACGTTTTCTTCAAAGAGTTTTATAGTTTCAGCTCTTATGTTTAGGTCTTTGATCCATTTTGAATTAATATGTATATATGGTGTAGGTAAGGTAAGGGTCCATCTTCATTCTGTTGCATGTGGATATCCTGTATTCCCAGTTTGTTGAAAAGATTGTTCTTTTCCCATTGAATGGTCTTGTCGCTCTTGTGGAAAATCATTTGGTTTTATATGAGATGGGGTATTTCTGAGTTGTCTATTTTTTTGGTCTATATGCCTGTATTTATGCAAGGACCACACTGTCATGATTATTGTAGCTTGGTATAGTTGACCCTTGAACAACATGGGTTTGATCAGCTGTGGTACGCTTATGTATGAATTTTTTTCAATTAAATGCAGATGGTGTTCATGGAATGTAAAATCCTTGTATCTAGAAGGTGGACTTTTCACATATGTGGGTTCTCCAGGGCTGAACACAGGACTGGAGTATGAGTGAGTTTTGGTACTCCCTTGGTCCTGAAACTAATCCCCCATGTTTACCAAGGAATGATGGTACTACATTTTAAAATCAGAAAGTGTGAGACCTCTAACTTTGTTTTTTTTTTCAAGACGTTTTTGGCTATTTGTTGTCCCTTGAAATTCCAAATGAATTTTAGGATGGCTTTTTTTTTTTCTGCAAAAAAAATGCTTTTGGGTTTTTTATAGGTATTGCATTAAATCTGGAGATTGCTTTGGGCAGTGTTGACATTTTAACAATATTAAGCCTTCTGATTAATTAAAATAGAATGTTTTTTCATTTATTGATGTCCTTTTTTATTTTTTTCAGCAATGTTTTGTAGTTTTTAGTTACAAGTCATTCATCTTAATTAGGTTTATTCTTGTTCTTGATGCTATTATAAATTAAATTGTTTTCTTAATTTCCTTTTAGTGTATACAAATGCAACTGTGTTAATTTTGTGTTCTACAACTTTGAATTTTTTTTGTTTCTTTGTTCTACTGTATAATGATCATGACAATTTGGGCAAAAGGAAAGCCATTTAGTATTTACCTTGGGAGATATTAAATGGCTTATTATTAAGTGATTTATACAATCACCAACTATATTATTTTCTTTAAACATTTCAGGAATCTTTGAAATTTGGTTAGTATTTTTAGTATTTTTTCAGCATTCGTTTCTTAAGTCATGAGAAATTTACATGCCTGATGGGAAAATCTAGTCCCTCTCGACATGGCCACAAAAGAATGATGAATACAGAAAAAGGTATTCCAAGTCAGTTCTCCATAAATGTTATGATACAGGGCTATCTTACTTTGTGCAAACCTATGGGTTTGACACAGAGAAAGAAAGGAGTGATGGTAAAAATTTTCTGAACTTTAGCAGAATTTATGCCTATTCTCTTTGAATATGGGTCATATTACTTTTATAGAGAACAAATGGTACTATAGTTCAGCCCTGTGACCTGTATCTATACAGAAATCCCTGGCCCCTCCCCAGCAATAGCTGTAAATTAATCCCCTTGATCTGCCTTATTGTCTTTCTTACAAACAATGGTATGCATATGGTAGATGGGAAGTGATATATGAAAAAAATGTGTTTGTACAATAGATGAAGCGAATCTTTATAGTGAGCCAGCAAGTTTAAATTAAAAGTTTTATAACCATAGATGAAGCAAGTCTTTTAGTGAGCCAGCAAGTTTAAATTAAAAACTATATAACCATGAAGGAATGTTCCTCTATTCACTATAAATGGCATTGCTAATTATCAATAAGAAAATGTCACCTGCTGCTTTCTAAAATTGACCTTGTAATTAAGAAGAGACTTAGTGCTTATGCCTGAAGGAGAAATAAGTTTTACAGTAAGAAATATTACTTCTAGAGTATTTGGAAATGCAGATTTATTTTTACGTTTTGCCATGTTTGGATATTTTGGAGCTATAATTTTCTTTGGGCAATGAGACTTCCTTTGTGAAGTCACAAACTTGTAATACTAGGACTCTAAGAAACTATACAAAAAGATGAATTCTATTCTTCCTCAGTTGAGGCAATGGCCTTCTTAACTTTGATATACTATAGCACTGCCAAACATTCAAATGTGTCATTTGATGTTGGTGACTTTTATTTTTTCTTTATATTCAATTTTTCTACCATGCAATTATTTTCTCACTTTTTAAAATTATAATTTGCCAACCTTTTATATTGGCAGCCACCTTACTTATTACTTTTTATAATCCATTTCTTAGTCCATATTTTTAAAATTGAAAATAAATTTATATTTACCGATAAAATTATACATAACTTTGTTCTTTTGTAGTATTTCTATTATTGGCAATGTTGCAAATTTAGATTCTTCAGAATAGAAATTTTAAAACAAAGGATTATTTTATGAATGTCATTGGTCTTAAGGCTGATTTTTTTATTTTTGGCTGAATATGTTTTATTTCAGAACTGTAAAATAGAGAAGTGATATTTTCTTTTCTTTTTTTTTTTAATCTATCTCCACATTTGTTTCTTTGTTCTTATAGGAGATTGAAATGTATTGGCCAGGCTTGTTCTTCTTCCGTTTCTATGTTTAAGGACAAGATGGACTAATGGAGTCAGACTTGCTTATGAACAGTCTTACCTTTATACAACAGCTTACATTAAGCAAATAACCCCTCTGAATCTATTTCCACATCTGGAAAATGGCAATAGTATTACTAAATATAGATTAGTATTGCAAAAATGAAATAATGTTTGTGAACTACTGCTCAATAAATATCCAATAAATGTTTTTCTTTGTTTACACAGCATATACATTTGAGAAAAAACAAAAATTCAAGAAGTTTTCAAAACTAAGCAAAGCTGGAAGATCAAATAGCTTTTATACTATTTGCTGATCGGAAAAAATGATGGAAACATCCCTATTCATTTCCTTAAGTTAGCCTAAATCTGACAGTAAAACAACACGAACTATAAAAGTAACATAAAAGACTACAAAGGAGAAAAAAATATATGACATATTAATTCTGCAGTTTAGTAAAATAATAATATGCTTTAATTATGAGGGATTTACTCTGGAAATGTTACTCTGGACTTACTCTGGACTGATCAAAATTAGAAAATGACTTCAGTAATTGATCATGTTATAGATCAAAGGAGGAAAAATGTGTATGAATATTTTGATTGGTACTAAAAACACATTTGTTGAAATCAAAAATATTCATTCCACATTTTCAAAGACAGTTTTTAACTTGATATAAAGGCTACCTCAAACCATATTAAAGATTATGTTAAATGTTGAAACAGCACAGACATTTCCTTTTGCAATCAAAAATTTCCTTGTAATCAAGAAAGTTCCCTTATAATCAAGAGGCTGCAGCCTCTGATCATTTGCATTTATTAAATGCTTCCTATATGCTAAGCCCCCAATCTAAATGGTCTCTTTTAATCTTGCCATTTACTTTAAGAGATTAATCTTATCCATTTTACAGATGAGAAAATAAGGCAACTGACCCTTAGGTATAAATGTAAATTGCCGTCTGGGCACGGTGGCTCACACCCGTAATCCCAAAACTTTGGGAGGCACAGGCGGGCAGATCACGAGATCAGGAGTTCGAGACCAGCCTGGCCAAGATGGTGAAACCCCATCTCTGCTAAAAATGCAAAAATTAGCCTGGCGTGGTCGTGGGTGCCTGTAATCCTAGCGACTCAGGAGGCTGAGGCAGGAGAATGTCTTGAACATGGGAGACAGAGGTTGCAGTGAGCCAAGATTGTGCCACTGCACTCCAGCCTGGGCTACAGAGCGAAACCCCATCTCAAAAAAAAAAAAAAAAAAAAAGTACATGGCCTAACATTACATAAGTAATAAATGGCAGAGTTAGGACTTATTCTAGGTCCTTGTAATTTTTGGATTCTTAAATATTCAGTGCTTTCTTACTGAACAAGAACACTAATCATATGCTCATGACACCAGAAAATTAGGAAGTCTAAATAAATTATTGAAGGAGTTTGATCTCTGTTCATTAAAAATAGTAGTTATCCACTGGGGGAAAAAATGGAACCTCTCTTAGACTTCCTTAAATTGTGGTTCAATTTAGTTTTTAGTGCTTCAAGTCTAAGAATGATAGTTCAGTCCCCTTTCTTACCACCCAAGGAGTTAATGATTAGAGTTTTCTGAGAAGATGGCCACAAATTCATTGATTAGTTCACTCATAAAAATCCATTCAGAACCTACCTTTTGCTATATATTTTTCTGCAGGATGAGGGATATGGAGATGAATACAACTGAGTCTTTACTTTCAAGATACTCACAGTTTAGTAGATCCAACAAGCATGTAAACAACCTAATAGTATGACATGAGTAACAATAAAAAGTTATACATGGTACACAGATATTGCACACAAGGTAATGACACACTATTGAAAGTAGGAATGGCATTTTGTTAGGGATGTCTTCTTGAAGGAGACCACATTTGAGAAGGATTGTGAGAGTTCTATAAGAGTTCATCACGTAAAGTGAAATAGCAACCTGATGTTTCTGCAGGGAACCACAAACTATGTATTACATAATTAAGGGAAATTTTTCTAACCTTATGGAATAATTATCTCCTAATAATTATGTAGTGTATTATTTCTATATTATCAGACTTATCAGATGCTTATTATTCAGGCCAATGCCACATTTTAAAATATAATTACTATCATAATTACTGGATAAATAACAAATAAAATATGTTAAAGTGATCTGCTTTGATTTTATTCATTATGACATTTAAATGTAGCACCTAGGACTGTGTTGGCTTTCATAATGTCTTTAAAGGAAAAGTATGGGACTGAACACCACTGAACTGCAGCCATTCCTAATAGGGCTTGGTTTAAACTTCTCCTCCCTGCCCATTTCATGTCCCTGAAAACCAGAAACAAGTTGGCCTTGCCAGAGTCCTTCACAGACTAACCATTTCCCCAGTGACTTCTTTTATAAATTCCACAGCAATATATAACTGAATCAGCTTTTTTTTTATCTGAACTCCTTACTATATTGCAATAGTTTCCATCTACAGTGATTTATTCACTAGGTCAGTTACAATCTACATACTTATGTACTTGATATTTGCAATAAATTGTGTATTTCTAAAGGGCTGTAAGGGTATATAAATGCATATGTGTACCCATGTATTTCTTTTATTAGTACAAAGAATTGGGTACATATGTACAATTCTTCATCTAAGTAGGTATGGAAGGAAAATGTATACATTAGATTAAAAAATACAAAGGATTTTGTCCTATATTGTATGGCTTTATCTTAACATTAACAGCTTAAATATAACCTAATAAAAGCGTCTTCTTATACTCTGCAGCTCTCTGGACGAAAACACTCCACTGTTCATTGCTTTTGAGACAGGTTCTGACCTTTTCTAAGATACTCACAGTGAGGAGATAACATGTCATATTTTTTTCTTGATAGACATTTTGAGGGCCTCTTGCATGGGATTTGAAGCTGAGTGTGCTGGGATAGAAGGGATTCACTCATTGTAATTCATTTGGAACACTTTGTAATCTTGAGTTTCCCTATCTCTCTCTAAAAATAATTAATGCTTCACAAAAGGTAATATCTCTTGAAGCAAATTTAATTTAAAAATCTATTTTAAGTGATAGTGAGGTGATGACACACTTTAGTAAATTGTGGATGTTCAAAATATTCTTAGAAATCAGTTTTGTGTGTGTGAGTGCTTTAAATTCAAGAATCACAAAGGAGAGAAAACCATAGCAATTCTGTTCTTTTTAAGGAATGCTGTTGATTATAATGATTACTACCCAAGCTTATTAATCTAGCATCTTTAATTAAACTGGATAGTGATGAAGTATATTTATTTAACAGAAAATGTTTAATTTTATGAAAAGAGTATAATTTTCTGGCTTTACTTGTGTGGTCAGAGAAAGCAGATTGTTTACATATCTGCTATAGCTACTCCTGTCACATGTGATAGTGGTATAATGAGCAATTTTGCCTAAGATTTTGATAAAGTAATCAAAAAACATAAAAATCCTCAATCTTTACAGTTTTTTTATACAAATGAAAAGTTGAGCAGATAAATGGAAATAATTTTGTTCAAGTCTTTGGTTTAATAAGGTGTATTGTATCCTGCAAAAATCTAAACTGAATAGTGTTAAACACTTGTTGATCTTTCTGAATATAACAGAGATCACAACTGCAGTTCATATAAATATACTAAAAAGATATTATTTTCATCCATGCATTTATGTAACTTTTTTTAGCACTTACTATGTGCCAGCCACTATATAATAATTGCTTGTAAAACAGGATTACAGCTCTCATGGAACATATAGTATAACACTTTTTCTGTAAAGGTACGGATGGACAAATAAAATAATTAAAAACTAAGGTGCTGTTATAGAAAGTGTTACAAGATACAGCATGGCCTCCCTTAGCTAAGGTTGTGAGTGTATTTGAGATTATATTTAAACTGGGTCCTCATGGATAAACAAATGGAAGAATACTTCCAGGAAAATGGTAGTGCATTCAGAGACCCTGAATTGGAGAAAAGATCGGAAGATAGGAGCCAAGTGAGCTCCAGCAAGAGCATCTCAGAATGAGGTAGCAGTTAGAAGGGCCATTTCATGCAGGACCTTGCACGCTGCAGTAAAGAGTTTAGGATTTATTGTCAATATAATGGGATGCCATTGATCATTTTGGAAAGTATTAACATCCAGACGTCATTTAAAATATATTATCCTGCCTGTTGTCATCAAAAACATTTTGACTGTGTCAGAAGTGGAAGTAGACAGGCTGGAGAGGGAGCTAAGAGAAAGACCCAAGGTCCTGGAGTTACTGAGACAGGGATTTGATAGTTTCCTATCCATTCTACTGCATTATGGGAGTGAACTTTTTTTAACTAAAAATAGAAGGAACTAGCACGTGAATTGATTAATATTCTAAATGCATGTCGAAGAATTTGTCATTATCAGTGATTTTGGTGCATGTCCTTCTATTCCTTTTCTGCTCTCTGTTTTTCTCTTTTTTTATATGTGTTCTGATTATTGTCACTTAACAGTATAATTAATGACCACATACCATTAAATAATTTTCTACAATGTTATCTTTTAGACACAAAATTTTACTGCTTAGATATACTATATGTTTATTTAAATAACCCCTTATTTTTTTAACTCTGGACTTGTTTTCAGTGCTCTACTATAATAAACAACTTTTCAAGAATTTTCACTCACAAAATCTTAATGCCTATCTTGAATGATCTCCTGAGGATATATTATTTGTACAAAACCATCACTTTCTGTAAAACAAATATCCATCATTACTGTGGCAAAAACACAGAACAATGAAGCCCAGTTGAGGGGAGGCTGTAGGGCAATCAGCTTGGTGCACTCATTAATAAATGGCTCATTAATACCCTTCAAAAGTGTCTCCCACCCCCATCAGAAGATGATTCAAATTTATATTTTAACAGTCCAGCATGTTATTAGTTTCGGGGACTCTAAAGGTTTTAAACAAATAGTTGGAACTTTGAATATTAAATACACAGTTGGTAAGGTATATTTTCTCTAATCTCCTTCTAAAACAGTTCATGATTTAGAAAATGATTGGCAAATATCAGCCCCTCAATGCTCTCTTCTTTTTGCAGCAGGTTTTGAAGACTTGCAAGCACATGGTGAGGGAAAATATGTGTTAAAATTTGTTTATCCATTTATGTGTATTTAACAAAATATATTTTATATATTTACATATATGTACTTTCTCAGCTCATCAATAGCCTTGTGTATGGATTTCTACCTGCTTCAAGGGCTAGAACAAAATAATGATGAAATAGACAACTTCATGGACTGTGGAACGAAATAAAATCCTAAAAATTCAGGGACCTTCTGACTCCCAAAACAGTAACAAGTAAAGTTCTGAAAGTCTTATTATTTTTTATTTTGATAGCTAGAAGCCTAGAATAGGAAGCCCTGGGGTAGAAAGCTTATGGAGCCTGTCTCTTTCACTTACTTGTCAAAAATATTTTTTAAAAAACAAGCTGCTGCTTTGCTTATGTACAACTCTGATTCAGTGCAAATATATGTCATAGGGGAGGCAATTTTGTGATTCACTTAAGAAATGCTATTAATATGGGAATTAAATAATAATTATAAATTAATACTAATTGATTTAATAATATTAATACTGCTTATATTTTTACAGCCTCTCTTCAAAGCACCAGTCTGTTTGATCATCATAATAATTAACATTAGTAACAGAATCCTGGCTTCAAATATATCTTATAATCAAGTATTAATTTATAACACAGACAAAGCATAGCCTCCGTTTGAAGTATATGTGAAGCAGAAAGGATCAGTCTAAGCTCCACCTGCACAGCAGGTGCCACCCCTACCACTCCCACATCTCAGCCCTCAGCATAGTCCCAGAAGTAATCTGTTGAACCCTTCAGCATAATGGAGCACAGCTGGAAAGCCATTGTGGTACCCTGTGCCAAGAAGATGACAGTAAGAGTCTCTTCCATTTCTTTTTTCTTCAGATGAAGAAAATTAAGCCCAGAGAGCTCAGTGATTTGTTCATTACCACAGAGCTACTGAGAGGGAGAAGTTGGAGGGAAAGCATTTTAAGCCTATAGAGTTCGCATATCACTTTTCTTTAATTACGTTTGCATGTGGTTACATGTGTGTGTGTTTATTTTATGGGGAAAGGAGGAACAGGTAGCATACAATATGAATAAAGACCTACATGTGAAAACTTAGGCAAGTCACTTTCCCAACCACAAAATGAAAGCTTAAATGATAGATAAACCCTAGCATATCCAAAATTAAATTATTCTGTTTTCAGATGACCCTTAAACAATATGGGGTGGGGGTTAGGGTTATTTATTCCCTGCACAGTCGAAAATCTGCATTTAATTTTGACTCCTCCAGAACTTAACTACTAATAGCCCACTGTTATCTGGAAGGCTTATTAATAACATAAACAGTAGATTAACACATATTCTGTATGCTATGTGTATTACATACTATATTCTTACAATAAAGTAAGCAAGAAAAAAGAAATATTTTAAGAAAATCATAAGGAAGAGAAAATGTATTTACTATTCATTAAGTAGAATTGAATCATCATGAAGATCTTTACCCTTATCATCTTCACACTGAGTAGGCTCAGAAGGAGGAGTATGAGGAGGAGTTAGTCTTGCTGTCTCAGGGATGACAGAGGCAGAGGAGGTGGAACAAAATCTGCATAAAGTTAGACCAAGGCAATTTAAACCTATATTGCTCAAGGGTAAAGTGAACTTATCATTTAAGGTGAGTTAAAATTTTATTATGAAATTTAGATTTCTTAATGAAAATCTAAATTTTAAATGCATATTTTATGTCATTGCTATTGCCTCTTTTTTGCTACCAAATATATTTAATAAAAACTCTTAAAAATCCAAGGAGCTATTTTCTTAATTTTATTTTCAGATTTATAATTAGTACTATAGAAATGCAACTTATTTTTGTGTTCTGATTTTGTGTCTTGCTATTTTGCTGAATTCATTTACTAGTTCTATCAGATTTGGGAAGAAACTTTAGAGTTTTCTGCATGTAAGATCCTATCATCTGCAAACAGGAATAATTTTACGTCTCCCTTTTCAATTTGCATGTTTTTTAATTTTTATTTTATGTTTTTGCCTAATTGCCCTGGCTTGGGCTTTCAGATAAACAACCCTATTCACAAATGGGCAAAGGATTTGAATAGATATTTTAAAAGAACATATACAGATGGCCAATTAATCATTAAGCATGAAAAGATGCTCAAAATCATAAATCATTAGAGAAATGCAAATTCAAACCACAATGAGATACCACCCCACCACTAAACTGCTTTTTAAAGAAACAAATTAACAAGGTTTTTTTTTTTTTTTTTTTTCACTTACAAGTGGGAGCTAAGCTATGAGTATGCAAAGGCAGACAAAGTAGTATAATGTAGTGAACACTGGAGAATCAGAAGAGGGGAGGGAGAAGTGGGCTGAGAGATGAAAAACTACTTGTTGGGTACAAATAACACTACTCAGGTAATGGGTACACTAAAATCCCAGACTTCACCATTATACAATTCATCCATGTAACCAAAATCCACTTGTACCCCTAAAGCTATTGAAATCAATATTTTTAATAAAAAAATAACAAGTTTTGGCAAGAACTTGAAGAAATTTGAAACTTTGTACACTGTTAATGGGATTTAAAATGGCACAGCCACTGTGGAAAACAATGCGGTGATTCTTCAAAGACTTAAAGATAGATTTACCAGTTATCCAGCAATATCCCTTCTGGGTACATACCACAAAATAATGAGAAGCAAGATCTTGAAGAATATTTGTATACCCATGTTCATAGCAGCATCATTTACAATAGATAAAATGTTTGAACAACCCATGTGTCCACCAACAGATGAATGGATAAGCAAAATGTGGCATCTACATATGATGGATATTATTTGGCTACAAAAAGGAAGGTAATTATGGTTTATGCAACAACTTATATGAGGTACCTAGAGTTGTTGAAATCAGACACAGAGAGCAGAATGGTGGTTGGCAGGAAGGGGAAATGGTGATTTCTTGTTTAATACATAAAATAAGTTTTGCAAGATGCAGAATTCTGGAGATGGATGGTGGTGATGATTGTACAACTATATGAATGTACATGATACCACTGAATTGTATACCTAAAAATGGTTAAGATAGTATATTGTAAGTTATGTGTTTTTTGTTACAATTATAAGAATTGAAGAGAAAAACCAAGGATAAAATCATTTTGCCACTCAGAAAACTTGATAGATTTTGAAATAGATCCTAAAAAAAAGGAGCATGTGGTTTATTAAATATCACTTTGCTCTGGAGTTGCCTGGTTTTTAAATAACTAATCTTAGCATGTTTTCATATGCCTGTTAAAAAAAAATCCATACATTTATTTGTTTAGAAGGCTCTCCTAATACCTGATTTATAATGATATGCTATCACATTTAAAGGAAAAAGGATAAGTTCTAGCTTGTCTTAAGAATTTGTTTTTGCAGCTAGCAGCCTTCAGAGGTAGGCACCTGTGAATTCTTAGTAACTTCTCTAATGTCAGCCAGTTTTGGTCGTTGTGCATGTTGACACTGAGGGGAAAGCAATTGGTAAGGAACCAGACCTTTTTTTTCATCAACTAACTACAGTGAAGGTGTGCACTTTTACCTCATTTGCAAAAGTATTCTATGAAACATGTTGAAATTTTTGCCTGACGATTGAGTTTTCATATTTTATCAGAATAAAAATGATCAGAATTACAAGATGTCAGAGTAAATTGTCAAAACTAATGATGCAATAGAAAGCAAGTAAAACATACACAGTGCACTTCCCCCTTATTGCGTTTGTTGTTCTGAATCTTTCAAATACAGATTGTAATAGAGAACAAACTTTCTCTTACTATACTTTGTCAGCCTTTATCTTGGTGATAACGAGCCACTGGCAGTCACGAAGCAGCAGTCTCATGCTCTCATTAATGTCAGGACTTAAGTCACAGGAAATCTCATGGGATTCCTGGCTCTGGCCCTCATTTTTGTTTTGTTTTGTTGTATGATTGTTCTATGAGTGAGCAAAAATCTAAACAGCCTTTCAGCTGGTTTAGGGGAGCAGGGGAACATTCTTATTTTTATGCCTGTGCAGTTCTGTTAATGACTCTTAGACTTTTTATTTTAATATGCAAGTGGCTTGTTATTCTTTAGCAGAAAACCCACATAAAGTAAACAACTGTTCAACTCTGAGTAGTTCATGTAAATCCTAACTTGCCTGGTTCGTAATTTCTTCATATACAAATTATAAAATAAGATGGAGAATAAATTTTTAAGAAGGCTGAATCAAATTATAACCTCTATTTCTTCCTTTCCTTTCCCTTTCCTTTCCTCTTTCTCTTTCTCTGTTACTTTTTCCTTTCTTCCTTTCTCTTTCCCTTCCTCCTTTCCTCCTTCCTTCCTTTCTTCCTAACTTTTTCTTTCTTTTTTTGTTCTTCCTTTCTTCTTTCCTCTCTCCCTCCATCCCTCTCTTCTTCTGTCTCTCTCCCTCCCTCCCTTCAGCCCTCTTCCTTTCCTTCTCCCTTTATTTCTCTCCCTCCCTCACACCCTCCCTGCCTTTCTCCCTCTTCCTTTCCTTCTCCCTTTATTTCTCTCTCCCTCCCTCACACCCTCCCTGCCTTTCTCCCTCTCTATCGTGAAATGTATGATTTTCATGTCCTTTAGCCTCAGTTTGATTAGTTTAAAGAGGTTGTTGGGCTAGATGGTATCTGAGGTCCCTTCTACTCTAATATGCAATGACTGTGATTCTAGTGGTGGGTTCAGGAGAAGAGTAACTGCACCAGATAATAACCTGGACATTATTAGTGTGTGATCCTGATGCTCTCTTTTCCTTTTACAATGACTTCGAAACATCACACACACACACACACACACACACACACACACCCCTGCACATCTGTTAAGCCAGCTTTGTAATAATAATCCAGATTTTATATGAAATATAAAATTAAAGTCTTCCTACAATATGAGTATTATTTATCAGAGTCTCAACAGGGAAATGTATTAAATCATTTAACACTATTCAAAAATCCACATCAGATTCAACAAAAGTGACTCATGTACATAACTATCCACAGCAAAGTTCAAGATAAAACATTGTAAAATTGTACACTTGTGCTTGCTATCGTAAGAAATGGATAGGATGGATCTGATTTCTTCTTTCATAAAGGAAATGTGAAGTGGGTGTTAAAATTATGTTGGCTTTTGTTTCTGAAAGATGAGATGGCTGAACTCTATGTAAATGTATCTTGGACAAGCAAATGATCCTGTAGCGGGATCACAGAAAATAATTACCATCCACAATGGGGTATACAACATGAATTTTTTTCACTTGTTCTCAGGAAGTTTTCATTTTAAACACATGAGCCATGTGTTCAAAATTTATTTTTCACATAATGCCTACATGAAAATGATGCCTTAGACAGGTGCCCAGTGGGAGTTAAGGTGATGCAAGGGAGGGGGTGATTACTGACAACCTGTCCTGTGTTCTTAGTGTCATATGGTAATATGGTGAATATGGCATTAAAGCAGGAGAAATTTATTTCTAATAATGTTTGTAGAAGCTTTTAAAGGAAATGCTAGAAGTTCATAAACCACTGTGGGGCCTATTTTCTAAATTCTTCCCTTTTTATGAACTTCAAAGAAAGTGGTTCTCTTTGTCATCCAGGAGGACTGTAGACTATGGACCAGGAGGCCATCTTTCTATTTGTTTTTTTTTGTTTTTTTTTTTTTGTTTTTTTATACTTTAAGTTTAAGGGTACATGTGCAAAACGTGCAGGTTTGTTACATATGTATACATGTACCATGTTGGTGTGCTGCACCCATTAACTGGTCATTTAGCATTAGGTATATCTCCTAATGCCATCCCTCCCCCTCCCCCCACCCCACAACAGTCCGTGGTGTGTGATGTTCCCCTTCCTGTGTCCATGTGTTCTCATTGTTCAATTCCCACCTATGAGTGAGAACATGCAGTGTTTGGTTTTTTGTCCTTGCGATAGTTTGCTGAGAATGATGGTTTCCAGCTTCATCCATGTTGAATGACTTTGAGAAAGTTAGGAAGCATCCCTGGTCCTGAGTTCCCTGATGTAGAAATAAAAGCATAATCCTCTGGAGGCTTTTCCAAATCTACCAGTCCACGTTGAAACTAATAATAGTGATAATACTCAAGATATTTCTGGTGTTTCTTATTTGCCATGCAATGTATTAAGTGCTCTGTAAAGTGATCTCAGTGAAGCAAACATATAGAGGAAAATATTTACAATATTCATAAACATTTTCTTGCTTTCCACATGAAAAAGCTGAAATTTAAAGGAGATAAATGATGTACCCAAGGGTACCTTGTAAGTTACTGACTCTATATGAACCTAGACGAGTGTTGGTTTTACCCAACAGTCCCTCAGCACTGCCTCCTCCCTTTACAGATAACAGGGTTGTTGAAAAAATTTTAAGCAAATTAGTAAAATAGTCAGACTGCTTCTCTTTTCTGTCTTTCTCTCCCTCCCTCCCTCTCGCTGTACTCTTACTACTCCATGAGTTACTTTGCCCAGTCAAGGACTGGGCTTTCTGTACACTATTTCAAATGCACATTGTTTTACAAGTTTTTATTCTGTTAGAATGCTTTGGCCAACAAAGAAGACTTCATTGGGGTGAATCTTATGGTCTGCTTGCTTCACAGAAAGATTTATGGATAAGACTGAGATACAGACTTATTTGTAAAATTATAGTGATTCAGTAAATATAATGTAAGGAAAAGGTTAACAGTTGATTTTAATGAAATCAGGCATCCTCCTGAAATAGAACCATTCTCTCCTTCTCCCCGCTTTTTCAACCTTCCCTTTAGCATGCGTCATTTCATACTTTCACACTTGTTTTGCTATGTGCTGCAAATTAGCAGAAACCCTTAGGAAAATTTGCAAGTGTTGGCAACAAATCCAAGCTTCCTTTCTTAAGTTGTGTGCTGTGGCCTTAGAAACCTCTCCTCTGTGATAACCAGAATCTTGGCACAGGGACTTAGGTGAGCTGAGAAATGTGCGTCTGTGCTTTTAATTCTGTGTAATCATTTGCCTCCAAATAGGGCCATTCATTAAGGAGCAATAATAACCTTTGAATAGTGCTTTACACATTTATGGCTAGCCTTTCAGCCCTGCCTTGCTGAGTTACAAGTAAGTGAATTTTCCATATCATAAGTGATTTTTTTCTATAACCTTACTCTGGCTCATTATATTTTTCTATCTTTTTTTTCTCTTTGCCTCAATTATTCCTTAACCTGCCCCTCCCTCCTTTTTTTATTGTTTTTAAATTATTTTCTTTCTTTTCTTCCCTTTCTTATGTCCTTCCTTCTTTCCTTATCTTGATAAATAGTTTATGCACCACTATAAACTATCATAAGTGCATACATATTTATATATGCATCTCTATATATAGGGATATACATATAGCCCTAGAAACAAAAATGTAGTAGTATCATATATTCTTTCTTATAAAACTTAGCCCCTGCAGTTGGAGATTTCTTTAGTAACTGCACCCAACACAGGAATTAAGAGACTAATTGGGATTTTTGCTGGTGGTTATCTTGAGTGTCTGGACTATAGAATCATCATGAACTCTAAAAGCCAAGTATCAGTAGCACAATGCAGTTGGAAATTTCTTTTACCTGGACCAATGTTGGTGGGAAGAATGAATTAAAATAGCTTTTTCACAGTACCTTTATAAAATCTAGAAACATGTTTATCCTTGTTGTATATTTAACTTGGTCCTTAAAGAACAAATAAGAAATAATAATAAGAACAATTTGGTTGGAGAATGCTGCAGATGGATTCATGTTTGTCTAGAAATGTCAAAGCAAATTTTCTGAAGTATACATAGTCAGAATCTGGTGGAGATAGAGTAGGGAGAGTTGTTTTCACCTGTTCTGTTAATTAATCTGAATATATGGTTTTATTATATAGAAATGAAGAAAATAGAGGATGCATAAAGAGAATAGCAAGCTAATGTCTGGCTGGAAATGGTCATCAATTAAATACATTTAGCCATAATGAAAGGCAAAGATTGACAGGTAGTAGCAACATTCCAGAAATCTTTTTTGGATTTCTGGCTGCCAGGCTGGAGTGCAGTGGCATAATCTTGGCTCACTGCAACCTCTGCCCCCTGAATTCAAGCAATTCTGCCTCAGCCTCCCAAGTAGCTGAAACTACAGGCGTACACCACCATGCCCAGCTAATTTTTATATTTTTAGTAGACATGGGGTTTCACCATGTTGGCCAGGCTGGTCTTGAACTCCTGACCTCAAGTGATCTGCCCACCTCCTCCCTAAGTGCTGGGATTACAGGCATGAGCCACCGCACCCAGCCGCACATTCCAGAAATCTCGAATGTAAGTCAAAACTTCAAATTCTATCCAATGAACAACGATATGTCAAGGGAATTTTGAAAACAAGGAATTAGAATAAAGATAAGAAAAATATGAATGCATTGGTAGTGCAGGAAGGAACTAGAGTCCTGGAGAAAAATTAGAAAGCTATTGGCATATTTAGGAATTAAAGTACCTTAATACCTTGCTAATAGCCAGCCATTTAATAAATGCTCTTTGGTTGAATGAATAAAGGAATGAGGTAACCTTTAGTCTACACACGGTTGGTGAAATAAAAAATAAAAAGGAAGGAAGAAAAACGGAGTCATATAAAAACCATAGAGAAGGCTTAAGTATTGATTGGAGGTGGGAAATGAAGAGAAGGAAGAGATAAAAATGCCCTGACACCAATGTCTGGAAACTTGATAGAAAGAGAAGTTTGTCTTATTCTAAAAACAACCACTTCTAAAACCATTTTCAATGGATAACTAAAACAAGCACAGCAATAAAGTAATTCTATTTTACTCTCCTCCTTTTACTTCTAGAATGTGTATATGTATATGTCTGTGTGTTTCTATTATGTGGTAAATGCTACAAATCTAATAGTGATAGAGGTAAATTTAATACATTTTTAAATGGAGGAAAAGCTACCTACATGAAGGAATTGGTGAGGTTGGTACTAGAAATAACAAATTAAATTGAATTTGATGTGACAGTAAGACCTCTAACTAGAGGCGATGGGCCCAGACTCCCCTGAGAAGACAGGAATGAAGACACAGTTTTAGAGTTAACTATGATAGAGGTTTCAGAATGAGCACTCTCTTTGAAGGACCCAATTCTATTTCAATTGAGAGGACACATATTAATATAACAATGTCGAATAATAATACAGTGTTGCTAAAGCTCAAGAGAGAATAAGAAATAAAATGCCTTAAATTAAATATACAAGTTACGTAATATATATTAGTGTTCTTTGAAAGTTTTAAACTTGCAGAATATTAAAATGTCAGTGAACCTAATCAAAGACTTCTACAATAAGATCCCTTGGCAGGGATTTGGTTTTCAGTGTTTTCTTTCTATATCTCCTAACGAGAAAGGCACACTTCTCCTTATTGAGTTAGATCTTTTTAAATTTAATTGAAAATTAAATTTCCGCTGGCTTGCTCCAAATGAAATTCCTCAGTCAAAGGTTTATATGGCAAGCTCAAAGGTGTAGTCCTTCTGGAATTTTACACACACACACACACACACACACACAAAGCGGCTGAGCCTCTAGTTTTAACAGCAGTCACATTCTTCCATACATTTCAGTAGCTACTACTTTCTACTCTAAAAGTCACTGCAGCTCACTTATGGATGAAATTATTCAGCCTTGCCATACCTACAGTGGCAAAAAATGATTACACAAAGTGAGATTACAATAAAGAGCTGATTGTCAAGCCTGAATGCAGGTGCCCAAGTGATGCAAGTATGCCTGGAATATTTCAAAAGAAATTTATGTCAAAAGAAATATTCCAGGGATATTCCAGGGAGAGGCAACATTTAGCCTCTCACTAGCCAAGCTTTAGCTCAGCACAGTAGTGCTATAGGTTCTCATACTTCATATATATTTTTTCTTTTGAATATAATCACATACATTTTATGGTACATTGTAGAAATTCATTTCTGACAGAATATTCTTTTTAGTAATATAATTTAGAGTAAATAACATCTATGAGACTTTCAGTTTTCAAATGCTTGAAATAGACTACCTGTTAGGTTTAATAATTTTTTAAAAAGAAAATTAAGTTAATAAAGTAAGCTGATTTTTTTTCTTTAAACCTCTACCACGAATCATTTGGAGAATATATTTATTCATCTTTTATAGAAAAGAGCAACATATTGTTTTAATAATACAAAAAAGTACAGAAATAAGCAATGAAAGAAAGCTTACTTATTAGCATGTGCTGAAAGAAAGAAACAAAAAAGACAGCTTTGAAGAAAGTAAGTTGAGATATAGGGGTATATTTTTAAAGATATTTGGGGCAAAAATTATGAATGTGTATTAGCAAAGAAAAGTTATTCATACATGAGTGTTACCAACTTCTACTTGGTTTTTAAGGGGAAAAGATTTTGGCTTATTGGGTCAGGTTGTGGGCGTCCTTTGGTATAAAAAAATAGGTAAAGACAGAATTAGAGAGATAATTAAAGAAAGCAGAGAGACTAAATTAATCTTCATCTTAAGGAATTGGGAGAAGAATAGAGATGATGCCAAAAAAAGGATTTAATTCCATTTAAAAAATCTTATATTCATATTCCATGTGCAAATAACTGTAGCAAGTGTTTCTAGGGTATATTTGAGTAGGATCCAGTCCCTGATCTCCAACAGGCTCACAATTTTATAGGCAGGAACCAAATTACTATTATGTAAACTCTGCTTCTTGCCAAACTAGATTAAAGTTTCATGCATATTATTCTGGGCGTCCAGGAAAAGTTGAGGTCATCCTTTGAAAAAAAAAAAAAAAGGAGAGGGGTGGCATTGTCATAATTATTTAAAACAATAGCATTTTAGTCATTCTTTGAGAACAGGGTAGGGCCTCGATAAGTTTAGAAGAGGTTAAATAAAGGTATTGCGGGCAAAGACAACAATCATAATTACTGCATTTGTCAGAATCCTGGCAGGACAGGTGGCACCCCAATGATATACATTACCATTTCTAGAACAGAAAGAGCCAGAAGAGCTAGCTGTCAGACCTGAAGAGAAGGTGTAGCCATGAGAAATAGCCACCTTATAGAAGCTGCAGCCTTTGACAGAATAATGCAACCCCTGCCATCCTGTAGAGGAGCTGGGAGGGAGCCTCGGGAATAAATACTCCAAAGATTCCTCTCCATTCATCTCCTACAGGAACCTCTCTTTGCACTACTCCAACCAGACACCAAAGAGAAAGGAGCCCATTAATTAAGTCCATGAAGTTCAGCATTTTGGAATACAGAGCCAGTGGGAAAAGTACGAGGCAAATCTGGAGCAGCAGAGGGGAAATATTCAGCCAGCACAGTCATTATCACCTTTATCATCACTACAGTTGACTAATTATCAAAGTTATCTTAATGAAAGTTCACATGTGTTATCTCATTTATTTTTCACAAAAACCCTAGATAGGGTATCATTATTTTATGCATTAAGAATCTGAGGCATTGAAAAGCCTAGTAACTTGCTTTTCATACTACAACTGTTAAGTGGTAGAGACCCGATGTGATTTTGCCAAAACCCTGCTTTTTCTACTGCACATTCTACCTTCTTTTCAATGAAAAGGCTAAAAGTGTAAGGTGTTTGGGAACTATCCTGTTGAAATGTTGCTGAAGCAGGGGGTCCACTGAGAAAGAAGACAGAAAAAACGTGATGGGAAAGATAGCCTGGGATATAGTGGGGGAAAGGGTTGTCTCTCATTGTGTGCATGTCATGTCAGATGTGTGCCTTAGAAAAGGACCTTTGTAGAGTTAATTCTGATCTAAACAGAGATGATGTGTTGGAGGAGAGAGTGAAGGAGAGCAGATACCTAAGAGGAAAAGAAGAGAGGAAGGAAGGGAGGGAAGGAGGGAGAGGGAAGAAGGAAGGGAGGAGAAGTGGGGCAGAGAAGATAGGAGGCAGTGTACGGATCTGCTGGAAAGATTCTTCATGGCAAAAAGTTGTAAAATCATTGATGATTTTTGTTATACTTGTCATTCGCTGTTTTTTGACACCTTGATGATGATTTCTTATTTTCTAATCTCACTTTTTTCAATGTTTTATCTTCTACTCTGCATTAGATTTATATATAATATGAAGTTTTAACTGCGACTATTCCTCTTTTCACATACTAACACTTTTTTCAACAAATAGGGGGGAAAGAAAAGAGAGAGGAAATACAAATAAAAGAAAATACAATTTGTTCTTTGTTTCATAATGCCTATCCTAAGTTATTGTTTTTTCTTTAGTTGTGTGGCTATAAGTACTCATAAAATGACAAAATAGATAAGGGAGGAGATCCCAGGCTGCATGACATTAACTGTATCCACCTGGGTGGGGTTTTAGAATTGCTTGTGTTGCCCTAGTGAGGCCTTGGTCACTTAAATGCCAAAAAGCTAGTCTTTCCTTATAAATCTTATCCTTTTTTTCAATCTAAAGAACACTTAAATATATTTACAAGAAAAAAACACAACCCCATCAAAAGGTAGGCAAATGATATGAACAGACACCTCACAAAAGAAGATATTTATAGGGCCAACAGATATATGAAAAAAAGCTCAACATCACTGATCATCAAAGAAATACGAATCAAAACCACAGTGAGATACCATCTCATGCCAGTCAGAATGGCAATTATTGCAAAATCAGGAAATAATAGATGCTGGCGAGGCTGTGGAGAAATAGGAATGCGTTTACACTGTTGGTGGGAGTGTAAATTAGTTCAACCATTGTGGAAGACAGTATGGCAATTCCTCAAGGACCTAGAACCAGAAATACCATTTGACCCAGCAATCCCATTACTGGGTAGATACCCAAAGTATTATAAATTATTCTACTATAAAGACACATACACACATATATTTACTGTAGCACTATTTACAATAGCAAAGACATGGAACCAACCCAAATGCCCATCAGTAACAGATTGGATAAAAAAATTTGGTACATATATACCATGGAATACTCTGCAGCCATAAAAAGGAATGAGATCATGTCCTTTGCAGGGACATGGATGAAGCTGGAAGCCATCATCCTCAGCAAACTAACACAGAAACCAAAAACCAAACACCACATGTTCTCACTCATAAGTGGGAGTTGAACATTGAGAACACATGGACACAGGGAGGGGAACAAGACACACCAGGGCCTGTTGGGGGTTGGGGGTAAGGGGAGGGAGCTTAGAGGATGGCTCAATAGGTGCAGCAAACCAGCATGGTACAAATATACCTATGTAACAAATCTGTACAGTCTGCACATTTATCTCGGTTTTTAAGAAATAAAGGAAAAAAAAGAACATTTAAAATCTTAATTGTACCCTTGTTTTGTCACTACATGTCTTTCACTTATTCATAAAATATAACATTATATTTTGTTTTTCATATATAAACATTGTACATATGATTATTAATAATGCAAACACATTTCCGTATGTTAATGTTATTGGTGTTTAGGAGCAGTCACCTTGATTCAATGTCCATGAAAGAAATAAAAAACAGAAAAAATGATTTCAAAAGATCTGTTCAGACTTTTGCAGAACATAAAAAATTAAAATATATCTTTCCAATTATTTGCAGTTCTGTGTAACATTCAAACACCCTCATATGTTGAATTAATTTATTTTTCAGAACTTCTTACATGCTCCCTTTACCTTACTCGTGTTGTTCTCTTAAATTTCATCTTTTGTTAATGTTTTCCTGCACCTGCATTAAGCTTTAAGTTTGAGAAAGCCACTATCAACCATCATTAATTACCCTTTTGTCTCAACTCTTCTTTGTTCATGGGTACCTTTGATAATTATTTGTTCAAGGTTTGAGCTATCAAAACACTATGCATAGAATATTATTAACGATACCTTACAATGCATGTTGTTTTACAAGGCACTTTTACATCCCTTAGTCATGTTATTCTTAACTCTCCAACAAACCAGTTGTTTAAACCAGTGATATACTGGTAAATGTTTTACAACTAGGTCTTTTGGGTAGAGGCAGCCCTGGTTATTAGTGTTTGCTGGTTTCCGTGATGTAAATTCACCTACCATGCCTAATTTTAAGCTATTCATATAACATCATTGAATATGGACCTGGAAAGAGGTGTTCATAATTGACTCTCACAGGCCAGTATGAGCCAATTCCTGCACACTAATGGAACTGGAACTTAGGAAAATTCATACGTTCTTTGAGCTCCCACAGATCATAAGAGACAGAGCTAGCACTTGGATCCAAGTTCTTCTGAATCCCCATAAATTAATTCTCTTCACAAAATAGGCTATAGTGCAAAGGTATAATTGTATCTTGGGCTGGTCTTTCCGGTGCCAAAGGGTCACAATAGAGTCACTCTGTCTGCTTCAGACACCCCCATTGCATTCCGTGGTCAGCTCCATTGTGTCCATGTAGGTGGACCTGCCACTGTTATTTGCTTCCAACAAAATAATGCTGCAAAATTAAACTGACTGCTTTTTGGACACCATAGACCATTCGTTTTAATTTTATAAACTAAGCACTACTTCAAGTATGGTATTAGTTAAGTAATTATTTATATTGATTCTTCAACAGATGCCTTCAATATGTTCAAAATAGGTATTACTTTTAAAAATCTGCCCACTGCAAATATGTCGGATGTAGAATCTTAGAACTGAAAATAGAATGAACATTAAACATCTGTAAATCAAATCCCATAATTTAACATAATGCCTAATGTAATTCAGAACTCTGCCTTCTTAGGAACTCTTTCTAATACTCTAAGCCAGTTCCAACCAGAATCCTTCCCTGATCATCACAGGAAGTATTAACCCCATAGTATTTCACAGTGGGTGGAAAATGGTCACTTCGTTGTTTAAATTTGCATTTCTTGGATTACTCTGAGGATGAACATTTTATTTATGTTTTCTGTTTATTTGTATTTCTTCTTTAATGAATTATTGTAACCATGTTTTCCCTATGTTTCTATTTCTCATCATTTTTAACAGTTATGTAATTATTTTTATTTGCCTAATATTTACATGTAAATCTACAAATTATTACAAGGGTCATAATTTATGTAATCAGTCTAACACTTCCAATATTTATATACTTTTTAGTTTCACTTTCATAACGAATGTTATGACAAAAATATTTGTGCACATATTCATTACTATTTCCCTAGGATAAATTCCTAGAATTTGACTCAGGTCAAAGGCTACACAGACTTTTAAGGTTTTTGCTTTATGTTGCTTAAGTCCCCAGAAGAAAGGTTTGCTAGTCTATGTGTCCATTTTCTCAAGCCCCTCATATTTGCAGAAGAATGCATATTTAATTCTTGTTGGGGGTTTAGTATTGGGAAAAATTCTTTGGCAGATTTTCTCTTCTGGTAGGATATTTGGATGTGCTAAATCCTACTGATGATGGAGGAGGTGAGAAGATGCTGCCAAACTCCCCAAAGCTTGGGCAAATGCCTTTGAATAATATTATCCCCTTTGTCCTACAAAGACAGAAATATATCTTTTTGCTACATGGAGTTTTTGACTGTGATTGAACTGAGATGGAATGAGAGTCTCCTTGAATTTTATCACTCAGGTAATTTGAATGTAAGACGAAAAGGGGTTAAGTGAAAGGCCTTGAGATACTTAGCCAATCTCCTAGACACCATTTGCATGCCATCCTTCAAAAATTACATTTCCTGAATCAATAAAAATATAAAGAAATATGCAGGTTGTTAAAGCAAAAAATTATATAAGTTATAGAGCCTCTTTTTTGGCCTTCTCTCTCTCAGTCTCGTTTTTACTCACCTTCTTACCTGCTCTAACATACAGTTTCTATTCATCTAGTATAGGTTTCTACTTCTCAGCATGCTGTGAGATTTTATAACAGACTGTTGGCCCCAACTGCATATTCAAAAACCTCTCTTTTCTCTTTACCTATATTGCTTAATTCTTTTCTGAATGGATTTTAATCCCTGTTAACAAATTATCTTATTTTACATTTTTGCCAAACTGTATCTAAGCTGGTTTTTATACCAAATCAAGTTATGTAAGTAAGATTTATGGAAATGAGAACCAAAGAAAGGAAATCACTATAGAAATGTTTACTCATAACCAGATTATAAAAAGGATTTCTGCTAAACTTGTGCTAGAAAGTAAAATGAATATATTTGTATATTAAATTACCACTAACTCTTTGCAACTGATAAAACCAAACTTTTCATTCAACGCCTTCTAAATTCAGGTACAGTGTCAGGTAACAGAGTCCCCGTATATATCATTGATGCTGTAATCCACCTTAGATTAAATAGTCTGACCTCCACATAACATGGGTTATGCAGATAATTTCTGTCCAGTTCCTGATCAGCCAGGGTAATCATAACACTGACTGATCTTTTCTGTCTCAGTTCCCAACCTGGCACTTATAATGGCATTTCTTTAACATGCAAATTTAACTCCAACAATAATTTTCTTTTATTCTCAATGTATGACTTTTGCTACTGAACGTAAATGACATTTATTAAAGCCTATTGGAGTACATGTGTAATAGCACAATAAAGAGAGGTACAAAGATCACAGAATTTGGGGAGATGTTGGCCAAATAATACATATTTGCAGTTAGATGGGAGGAATGAATTTAAGACATCTATTGGCCGGGTATGGTGGCTCACGCCTGTAATCCCAGCACGTTGGGAGGCTGAGGCAAGTGGATCACGAGGTCAGGAGATCAAGACCATCCTGCCTAACACAGTGAAACCCCGTCTCTACTAAAAATACAAAAAATTAGCTGGGCGTGGTGGCGGGCACCTGTAGTCCCAGCTACTCGGGAGGCTGAGGCAGGAGAATGGTGTGAACCCGGGAGGTGGAGCTTGCAGTGAGCTGAGATCGCACCACTGCACTCCACCCTGGGCGACAGACTGAGACTCCGTCTCAAAAAAAAAAAAAAAAAAAAAAGACATCTATTGTACAGCATGGTATTGATAGTTAACAATAAAATGTCTTCTTGTAAAATCCAAAATGTGGCTGTTAAATATTCTCACCATAAAAATGATAACAATGTGAGGTAATACATGTGTTAATTAGCTAGATTTATCCATACCATAATGTGTGTATATATATATATGTATATATATATATATATACTTCAAAACATCATGTCATACACAATACATACAATTTTATGTCAATTTAAAAATAAATAAATGTGAAAAATAGTTTTTATTTTTATATATCTTATCCTCCCAAGAAGATATTGAAGGATATGGATCCTATTCTACTTTTACTGCCTCTTTCATAGGAGTTAGTAGGAGTTATACATATTATCAAGACTCATTACATGCCAAGTGATAGAACTCTTCTTAGAAAATTAAGTCCAGGATTATTAGGAAGGAAGTACTCATGAGTTACTTGACAAACATTCCTGAGAAGAATGGATAGGCAAAGATAATGAGCCCAGGGCATCATCTTTTTACATATAAATTTATTATGATTAGTAAAGGAGTGTAGGCTAGATTAGGAAAATACTTGCAAAATCATCTTGAAGGATAGTGAATCATTGTGGTTTTCTATCAGACATAGAGTAAATCTGAACTCTTAACCTCTCTGATTTTACCTCCCACTCCTCAACTTTTTACTAGGTTCTCTCTAGGAAGCTGGCCAACTTGCTAGTTCTCAAAACCTCAAGGTAGTTTCTCTCTCAGAGCACTTGTTGATCTGTCTGCCTGAAATATTGTTCTCCCAGATAACTGCATGGATGACCCTTTGATTTGGTCAGGACTTTTTTTTTTTTTTTTTGAGATGGAGTCTCGCTCTGTCACCCAGGCTGGAGTGCAGTGGCGTGATCTCGGCTCACTGCAAGCTCCGCCTCCCGGGTTCACGCCATTCTCCTGCCTCAGCCTCCCAAGTAGCTGGCACTACAAGTGCCCGCCACCATGCCCGGCTAATTTTTTGTATTTTTAGTAGAGACGGGGTTTCACCACGTTAGCCTGGATGGTCTTGATCTCCTGACCCTGTGATCCGCCTGCCTCGGCCTCCCAAAGTGCTGGGATTACAGGCATGAGCCACTGCGCCCGGCCTAATCAGGACTTCTTAAATATTACTTCCTATTCAAAATTGTCAACTCCAAGTATCACACATAAAATAGTAAATAAAATAATAAAATATTCTGACTAGACTCTCTAAAATAGTCCCATATATCTCTGTTTCCTTACTTGGATTTACTTTGCATATGATTCATAGCACTTGTAACTCGCAGCTTTGTCATAAAGAATAAGTGAGTCAATACATAAAAAAGTGCTTATAACAGCACCTGGCACCTGGTAATTTCTATATAAGTGTCTGTTAAATAAATCATCAATCTTCTACATTTCGTGGGAGGAAATGGAGTCTCAGAAATGAAGTGCCCCATAACTAGTTGTATGGAACCCTGAGTTTTCTGTTACCCAGAGCTCACTGTGAATTATGGTAGCGTCCCTAGTTTCCTTCTGCCCAATGGATACTCCTATTTTTAACATTTTTTTAACCAAGACAAATGGATAGGAATCTATATTGAAGACCAAAGGGCCAAACTTAAGATCTAATATTAATTTATAACACAGAAAAAGGTTGCTGAAATGTTTATACCACTAATAACTAAGCTTAATAAGTCCTGTTCCAAAAAAGTATCCATGACAGAGGAGTGTGAATTTGCCCTGCTGAGGTCTGAGCTATGGCTAGAAAGAACCAACTGTAATTATAAAAACTTATCAGAATGCTATGGTTTTATTTCAAGAAGTGATGAAAACATTTCATTCAACTTTATACTATGTCTGTTTAAGTATATAAATGGTATTTTAAATTATTTACCACCCAATGAAATTGACATTACAGGACTTGTGTGGGCTTTGTTGGTTAACTTGCCATATGGGTATATGCCCTGGAGACCAGGCTTTCCACTTTAAGCAGCAAGGACATGATTTTTTTTTTCACTTCTGTTATTTTAGGATTTACTGTCATATATTTGCTTCAATATCATAGTTGAAATGGTTTTGAAATATACTTTATGCAACAATATCCATCTTCTTGGCAACGAATACATACTCTTCTAAACTTCTAATATGTGAGCATTGAAAGAGAGCATGCCAGTGATTGGGTAAAATCACAATAAAGTGACATTTTCCAGCACGCCTTGCACTGAATTTAATTGATGAAGCTATTCACTAATACATTTTTTTTCGACTTGAGTTATCTCCTTCGTTTCTTATAACTACATAGTTTACCTATTTTATTCTATTTTATGATCATAGAGCTTACTTCAAGGACTAGTATGAAGGGCTTTCTTCTGTTTATTTCAAATAAGGACAGTTATCAGTTTTGATGGTGGGCTGGGACCCTTATCAAGTACCTGTTAATTTTGTTTCCTATGCCAATGATTCCATGTTTTAATAAAACAAGAATGTCTAAGTTTTTTTCTCAAGTGCCAAGACAGATGATTGTTTGAACTCTGGTAATCTAATGAATGTGAGAGCAATGGCCTCATGCCAAATGGGAGTTAAATGCAAAAAGATGGGGCAAGTTTATCTTTTCTACCTTGTAATGAAATTAATACACTCTGCACTTGTGTTCATTTTACTAAAGAAGAAAATGACAACAGTTTGGGGCTGGGAATTCTATAGTTAATTCTGTTATTTCTGTTAGCTACACTGTGTTCAATTGGAAAATGAAATGGATTATTTCCTTCACAGAGGATTTTCTTTCTTAATAAGAATCTATATGTATAGTACTGGGTAATAACAAGGAGTTCTAAGTACAGCTAGCTCAGTACTAATAATTTATTTCTTACCTGTTACCTCTACCTACCCCCATACATCTTCTGATGGATTTAGAAAACAAAAGACATCAAGGGAGGAAAGGTTAATCACCTATCTTGTATCTGCCTACCTTTTTATCTAAAGGAATGTCTTCTTTCAAAAAGGCTATAATTTAGGTAAGATTATCTTTACTGAAGGAATAAAGGAAGAAAGCAAGAAAATGAGGGAGGCAGGAGAGAAAAGAGGGAGGCTGGAAGGGAGAGAGAACACTGGTAGTGAGGGCAGTGGGGAAAAAAGAGGAAAAGGCTTTTCTCACTGTCATCTGATTCTGTTTGGATGATGGAAAAAACAATCCCCATTTGCTTTGTAAGCAGTAACTACGTTTCATATCTCTTGCCTTCAGAATTAGAGATTACTGACAGTGAAGTCCTCCATCAGAAAAAGGCCTGGCAAACTGTGGTTCATAGTCTTTACGCAAAGTGAAGCATTGCGTTGGAAAGAGATCTTCAGATATACCTGATATGGCTTTGGTATGGACCTGTTAATCCTATGAGCACTGACTGGCTACCCTTACCTGGGCGAATCCATTGGTGTCTTAGTCTTGGTTCCGTCAGACAGAGACTCTCATGAAAACATTATATTGCAGGAAATTTATTTGGGAATTAATCCCAAAAAACACTGATAGGGGAATGAGACAAGGGAAAAAAAAAAGAGGTTAGTACAAGTTATCAACCAACTTACCATTCAGTAACTGAGATTGAATCCTGCTGGGGAACACCTGCAGCTAGTATAAGAGCTTTTTCCTCAGAGTTATCCCCTCTAAGGGGCAAAGGGTATTTATCTACTAACTTCCATTAGTCATTAGCTGAAGGTTGCTTGGGAGAGGAGAATGGGTGTTAATTCCCTGGCACCTTTGACCTGCCCTGCTATACTGGGGCAGACCAAACTCTGAAGAAAGACATCGAGCAGAAAGATGGAGTTGCTGGAAGTTGGAAGTCAGGCTGGTGTTTTCCTCCTGGTAAGGCCTGATGTTCACCTCTGACAGTTGATCTTGCCTTGCATTCCACTCCATCGCTATTTATCTACCTCTTGTTACCCATCCCTCGTCTCCATCTTAAGGATAAATGTTTAGTCTTGCCTTGTGGTTCAGTATATTGTTGTTAATATGACCACCACCTCTCCTACCTGAAGGATAAAATTTGAAGTTTTCATTGATTTGGCAACCAGCAAAACACCAGATCTTGAACCAGAAAATGCAGGCTTAAGTACTGCCTGTTCAGTCTGGTTTACCAGCTTAATAACTCTCTTTCAGCCTCATTTTCCTTGCATATGAAATGGGAATAATGTAATTTTCTCTGCTGAACTCTGAGAGTACTGTAAGGACTTAATGAGATAATACAAAGTGTGCTTACTAAATATATGTCCTTTTATCCTATATTCTAGAACTGGATCTCCATGAGGGCAGTGTTTGTGTTTTTTCACTGCTGTTCCTGCCCCCAGGGCATAGAATACATCCCACATAGTAGGTACAGGACAGATATAAGAATTACCTATTAAAAGAAAGTAAACATTGAAGTAGATTTCCTTGATTTCAAATATTAGCTCAGCTATTTGCTGGCTGTGTGATTTCACACAACGTTTTCATCACTCTAAGAGACTTTTTCTGAGGGATTCATTAGTCAAATGACTTTCTGACAAGGTTGTTCTAAGTATTAAGAAGTTCCTAGGGACATATTCTCCCTCAGCACCATTCATAGCCTTACCCTTGGGGATAGTGTTACATTTCCTACATCTAAATTTGAAAAAACAATCTATTAAACTACTGCCATAAGAAATATTTTTGATCTTTGTCTGCAGCTTCTGGCCTAGAGCTTCTAAAACCCTTGGAGTTGCCTGAGTGATCAGGTGTCTTTTGTTATTCATAACAAGCCCCCTTAAGAGTACACCTGAGTTTATTGTAATAAGGTGATTTATAGCTGGGCCCTTAGATAATCTCAACATGGGACTGGTCACCAGAAACACCAAGTGATTAGAGGGCTGGAACTTTTAGCCCCACCCACTGACCTCCGGAAGGGTAGGGGGAACTGGAGCCTGGAGAGAAGAGAGTTGATGAACACCTCCAGGTGTTGGGAATGCGGTTTAACTGAAGAGAGCATGGAAGGTCCGTGCACCTGCTGCTCTCCCATACCTTGCCTTATGCGTCTCTTCCATTCAACTTTAACATCACCCATATGAGGTGGAACTATGATTTCTACTCACTAATGTGTAAATCACAGCTCAGGGAAGTTACATGACTTTTATGTGAGCAAACAGCTAGTGAATAGCACAGACAGGATCTAGGCATGCCCGACTCCAAAGCCAGGGTAAAGGTGTTGCTTTTATACTTTTTCTCAAGTAGCCTTCCTTCCCTCATGCATATTGTCAATTAGATCCTAATTAATAGGCAAAATATCTTCACTGACTAAAGATGGCAATAGTCAAGGTGTTTATTTTTGTTTGTTTATTTTTGAGATGGAGCCTCGCTCTGTCACCAGGCTGGAACGCTGTGGCACAATCTCGGCTCACTGCAAGCTCTACCTCCTGGGTTCAAGAGATTCTCCTGCCTCAGCCTCCCGAGTAACCGGGACTACAGGCACGTGCCATCACGCCCCGCTAATTTTTCTATTTTTAGTAGAGACGGGGTTTCACCATGTTGGCCAGCATGGTCTCAATCTCTTGAGACTGTGATCCGCCTTGGCCTCCCAAAGTGCTGAGATTACAGGCGTGAGCCACCACACTTGGCCAAGGTGTTGTTTTATAGGGACATAATTATGGATTCAGCATAAAATAGGGTTTTCTTACTAAGAATTATTTTTCCCTATTAGATTTTTGTACAATGTAGCCCACGTGCCTAGAGTAGGTATTTAATAATGTTGTATAAATAAATTAGGTATTTATTGGTATATTCAAAAATAATTATAAAGAATTTCCATGTGATAAGGAGGGGTCAGGCTTTAATTAAGGGCATATCAGCAATAAAGAAAACATGATTCCTATTTCTGAAAGGTCTCCAGTCCTGTGGATGAGGTGATTAAATCACACACACACACACACACACACACACACGCAAACATAAATACAAATTGTGAAAAGAAGGAAAAAGGGGAAAATCAAGGACAAGACAGAATAATAAGGCCGTTAGACAGGGAAGGCCTTGGTAAGGAAATGATAAATCATAACAGAAAAACAGATGATTTCCCGATTCACATCCCCTTGACAGGAATCCAGGCACTGAAGTTTTGAATCTGATGAACCCGTAAGAGCACACCTGAGTTTATAAGTAATAAGGTGATTTATAACTAAGCCCTTAGATAATCTCAGGATGGGGCTGATAATACCACTTCCTTAGATATAAGCTCTAATTTCTAATAAGTTAAAACTGGGCCTATGTAAAGGGCCACAAGGAAACTCTCTGATGATGAAAATATTCCGTATCTTAATCAGTGTGGTGCTGATTATTTGGATTTATAAATTTCTCATTTCATTGAATTTTACAGTAAAACTTTGTAAATTATAATACATTATATAGTAATAAAGTTAATTAAAAATAAAACTAGATTTAAGCTAATAGGTCAATAAGCAAACAAATTAAAGATGAATTCAAATGATTCTGAATTACCCACATCTAAGTTTTAATGGTTTTACATGTCTGGGAGTCGTGTATTATTGGATCAGTACATGCAAACAGATAACTTTTACATCTGTATCAATAGTTCTGACTTGTCAAGTATATCAGACTTTTTTTTTCACTAATGCTACTAAGATAGAAGAATAAAAGAGATAGACGCTTTTTCAATGACGTGAAATGCTGGATTTTCCCCCATACTGTGGCTGCATTCCTGAATAATAAGAAGAGCATCACGATAATGTCTTTTGTTTATAAAATTCTTAGCTCTGAAGAAACCAAATTGCTTTGAATTTATGTCTACATTGAATAGCTTTTACCTAGGAGAAGTCAGATGTGTATTATCCCCATTTTGCAGGGAGGAAGCAGGAGCACAGGAAGGTTTAGGAGATGGCAGACTTAAGTATCTGTCAAGGGCTACAAGGGCTGTGATCGTAAACTCCATTCTGAAGTTTTCTCTTTTTTTTTTTTCATTTATGTATCATTCAAAGAAAACCTATTTCTGCTCTGTGTGTATATGTCAGCATTTTAATAGCAGGAGAACAATGGAAGATGTTCATAAACACAAAAGCTGAAAGTATTTGTCATGCCATTTCTTTATTCCAGACTTGATAAATTGATACACAAAGTGATATAACTAGATAATTATTAAATAATACATGGCTTCGGAGTTAACATCCATTATGCATAGATGTGAATTAAGATTTCAGAGTAAAAGGTTCTTCCTTTATTATTTGCCAAACAACTCTAAACATGTTTGTGCTGAAAGAAATAGTTTAATTTTGTAGTCATCTGCTGGATGCGAACAATGGGAAGGCTATTTTCTCACAATGTGTGGTAGCATCGTACAGCAGAAGGCAGAAACCGTGGAAGCAATGAGCTGAGGTAGGATACAGCTCAGGCATTTACTAGTTGGGCAATATTGAGCCATCATGAAGCATTGTAAGAATTACAGAAAATGTATGTAAAACACATACATGTTGTCTGGCAGATAGTAGACACTAAAAAAAAATAAGTAACTATTATTGGTGTAATGGCTCTTTAAGGGCAATTTAGGAGTAGTCCAAATCCAGACATCAAGAAAAGGAAGCATGGAATGTTGGAACATGAAACCAGGGCCAGATTAAGACTTTATTTCTCCTCATATTAGAAACATATCAGACTACATTAAGACTTTATGTCCCCTCAAATCAGAAATTTATTGTGTCCTCCATAGGTAATTCAAAGTAAAAATATTATTCAACTACATAATACAACTCTAGATGTCTGTTGAATGCAAAATAGTTTCTAGATTTTATGATTGCAAAGTTCTGGATGCATTTATGAAAGGTGAGGTTTTCGTTTGTTTGTTTCGTGTGGGAAGTTGAGATGCTAGGTTGGCTGGTTTTCTAGGAAGATGATGAGGCTCCCTGCAGGGTGATGCAACACTAAGTGGGGCTGACTGTGAATCCTCTAAGAGATGAGGCAGGAATTTAGGAATGCTGACGTCTAGAGATCTTGGGTAGGTGGGAATGATGCCTCTGTGCATGGTTGTCAACATTTATGGAAGACATAATTCTTAAACCATTGTTGAAGGTGGGGATCTAACCCAGCCAGGTCAGGAGAGTTGAAGAATGTTTATGATATAAAACTTTAAAACTCTGATATGTAGCTTCCAATCTGTGGTTAGAAATCTCTGAAATTGTAAAGTAATAATATTTGAAGACAAACATTATCTTTCTCTGACATTATCTTGTCTTTATAACATAGCTCTTCCTAGATACATTGATAAGTGGCATATAAAATATATAATTTTATAAATATAAGCTAAAAGAATAGTTCATATGTTTTGCCATTCAATATTTTTATTATTAGAGTAACATAATTACTTTAGATAACAATCTCCTAAAGCTGGTTTAATGTGAGCATCTAAGGAGACATGCCCAAGATTCTAAAGACATAAAGGGCTGTAGCTACATTTTAAGGTAAATTACAAATAACCTGTCTATACCAGGTTATAGCAAAAATAATTGTCTTCCTTGAGCCTTGACAATGAGTGAAGAAAAACAAAAACCAGGAATTTTAGTAACCACAAGTAGGTTCTCATTTATGGTTTGCATCCTGAATTCATTCTACTTGGGAAATCCAAAGAAAGAGAGAGAGAGAGAGAAAGAGAGAAAGAGAGAAAACCCTCAAGTCAAATATTTACAGTTGGTGAAGTTTGGTAAAGCTTCTAAATATGTGGCAGGAGAAAATGCAAATTATATCTGATTTAGTTCACATTTGACTCAGGCATCAAAGAATTCCTTCAGATAAAGCTTCAAGGAATATCAACTTAGAGTCAAAAACCACAAAATACACAAGGAAATACCATAAATAGGCATACCACAGATGAGAAATCATATCTTGTGAACCTCATTAATAACGAGGGACATACATATTAAAATGAAGGGTGAGATACAGGATTGGCAAAAATTAAAAGTCATGTAATATGAAGTTTTGGCAAAGATGTGGAACAAATAAAATTGGAAAAGTCCATGTTTCAAATAAACGTATTTGGGAAACAAATTGCCATATTACAGTAAAATTGAACATATGCATGCCCTATGACTTAGCAATTCTATTCTTAGCTATAAACCTAAGGGACACTTATGTGTCCCAGGATATCTGAATCAGGAGACACAGGGGTGAACGTTAACAGCAGCAATGTTTACAATAGCAAAATAGTGGAAAAAGCCCAAATGTCCATGAACAGTTGAATAGAGGGGGATAATGGGGTATTTTCACATAATGGGATACTCTATACATTAATGAGAATTAACAAACAACAGATGCATAAAAGAGCGATTCTATCATAGAGACATGACACTGAGAGAAAAAAGCAAGTCTAGTTACACAAACTTTAAAAACATGCAAAGTAGGATGTTAGAGGTTATTAACCAATGTAGTAAAACTATGAAGAACAGTGAGGGAATGATAAAGCACTATGTTTATTTTATACCTTTGGTGGGTAGGAGTAATGGCTGATCTCAGTAATGGATCCATGAGGGCCTTAAAAGTGATCGGCATGCTGTGTCCAGAATTGGTGGGTTCTTGGTCTTGCTGACTTCAAGAATGAAGCTGCAGACCCTCGCCGTGAGTGTTACAGTTCTTAAAGATGGTGTGTCCGGAGTTTGTTCCTTCTGATGTTCAGACGTGTCTGGAGTTTCTTCCTTCTGGTGGGTTCGTGGTCTCGCTGACTTCAGGAGTGAAGCTGCAGACCTTCGCAGTGAGTGTTACAGTTCATAAAGGTGGTACGTCCAGAGTTGTTCGTTCATCCCAGTGGGTTTGTAGTCTTGCTGACTTCAGGAGTGAAGCTGCAAACCTTCGCAGTGAGTGTTACAGCTCTTAAAGGTGGCGCGTCCACAGTTGTTCATTCCTCCTGATGGGTTCGTGGTCTGGCAGACTTCAGGAATGAAGATGCAGACCTTCGTAGTGAGTGTTACAGCTCATAAAGACTGTGTGGACCCAAAGAGTGAGCAGCACCAAGATTTATTGCAAACAGCAAAAGAAAAAGGCTTCTACAACGTGGAAGGGGCCCCCAGGAGGTTGCTGCTGCTGGCTCCAGTGGCCAGCTTTTATTCACTTATTTGGCCCTTCCCACTTCCTGCTGATTGGTCCATTTTATAGAGCACTGATTGGTCCATTTTTACAGAGTGCTGATTGGTGCGTTTACAAATCTTTAGCTAGACACAGAGCGCCAATTGGTGCGTTTTTATAGTGCTGATTGGTGCATTTAAAACCTTTAGACACAGAGTGCCAATTGGTGCATTTTTACAGAGTGCTGATTGGTGGGTTTACAAACCTTTAGCAAGACACAGAGTGCTGATTGGTGTGTTTTTACAGGGTGCTGATTGGTGTGTTTACAAACCTTTAGCTAGACACAGAGTGCTGATTGGTGCATTTTTACAGAGTGCTGATTGGTGTGTTTACAAACCTTTAGCTAGACAGAAAAGTTCTCCAAGTCCCCACTCAACCCAGGAAGTCCAGCTGGCTTCACCTCTCAATGCTATATTAGTTAAATTGGGTACCTATATTAGGTACACAGTGTTCATTGCATTGTAATTATTTATCGCTAACAGTGTTTACAAACATTCTTACTATATCTTCAATACTTAATTTTAAAAAATTAGAAATAATGTAGACACAATACTGCTTGATATTCTTCTTATTCCCATATAAAATATAACTGTTTCATGTTTCCTTTTTTGTTAAAATCTAATTATTTTGTCAAATATTTTTAACATATTCATCTTCATAACTTATTCTAAGAAATCTCTACCTACTTTATAAACAACCTATCTAGAATAGTTTATTTTTAAAATTAGAAGTGCCATATTGGAGAAGGTGTGACAGAAATTCTCATATACCACACCAAGTACTGCTCTGTTAATTGAGGTAAGCAACTATGATTGTTTTAAAAGACTATTAAAGTTTGTATTTATTGAAGATATTGTGGTTTTTTTAAGAGTTATATACTCTGTCATCTCTCATTGGCATGATACAGAATAATGAACATTCCCTTCATCTTTAGACTCATTCATTGAATTATATATTCTCTAATCTTTCTTCATCATTATTTAAAATGTTTTTTCTACTGGTTGAGTAGGAACAGGATATGTACAGTTTAGGGAAATATGAATCAGAGGGAAATTGAGTAAACACACCCGCCCCCACACAAAGACAGGGGTCTCTCTTTTAGTATTTAGTGTCTTAGTTGCAAATGAAAGAACTAGAAAACTTGCCCAGCTAGAAAGTTTGCCTCTCTCATGTGCACATCAGTGTCAAAGGACATGTCCAGATTCACAGGATAAAGGGGTAGTTCTTGATCTCTTTAAGAACATTGTGTATCCTTTCCCTTTAAAACAGAGATACACTACACCTTCTGAAATCTTTGGAACAGGTGATCCTCAGGCAGGCAGAGGGATATAAGTCATCGATGTTGTGTTATGTGCAAGGCTTCCAATATTAAAGTCTAACTTAGTTGGAAAGAAGATTTCATGCTTGTTGATATTCCTCTCAAAGGCAATTATCTGCTGCTATCATGTCTGAGTTCCCAGAAGGCCCAGAACTGTAGTATTTTATTAATGATGGTCTGTAAGAAGATATATATTGAATTGTGTTATTTCATTAAAAATAAATTCCACACAGTTTCCAAGGATATACCAGCTTCCCTAATAAATCCAAAATGCCATCCCTCCTTTCTCTCTGGGTCCATTTTCTTTTGCCTTCTCTGAATCTGTGCCTAAGCCTAGATGTAGTTATCTGGAAAGGTATGCTAATGAAGGACATGCACATATATTTTTCCATTATCATTTCCTGGTTTTTATGGAAAGAAACACAATTCATAGAGTATTTAGTACATTTGAGACTTCCAGGGCAAGTTTATGTTTTGAATATTTATCTTTTGTTCGCTCCATTTCCTTCTGCTTCATAATTTTCCCTAAGCTGCATATACCTTCTTTCCAGCCACAAAGCCTAATTTTATTTGCCCAGAAAGAAGAAAATAGGATTATGAAGCATAACAGTATCCGTGCCTTTTCTATATTTCTTAATTCAGAGCAGAGTCATGAAGTTGAATACAGCAATCCCTCCCCACTGACACACCTGATTGTGAGTTCTCCTTATATAAAATCAACCTGTATGTGAATTTGCTTTTCAACAGCTGTGAGAAAATGGAATCTAGTCTAGGTAAGCCCAGTGAATTTTAAATCACTTCAGGTGAGGTTAATTATATTACAGAAGGAGCAGAGCTGGAAGTAGCAACTTAGGTAAGGTTAAATGCTACAGGAATAGAGATTATAAACACTGAATCTTTAAAAGAATGAAAGGAAGGTAATGCTTCTTTTAAGATTGGCCATAAAAACATATTCTTAGAAGTCTTCAATGCATCTCACTAGAGGTCAGCGTCCAAGAACTTAGAGCTACACCTTTCTTGTGCCCTCCTGTACCCCAGTGTCTAGCTTAGTACATCACAAATAGTAGACATTTAGTAAATATTAATTGAATGAAAGGAGAATGAATAGGAGTAAATAGATCACACCCAAGAAACAAGAATCAAATTAACCTTAGATTTTTTGAGGGCAACATTGGATACAAGAAAACAGTGGAGTGCTATTTGTAAAGTATTAAAATAACTTAGGATCTAGAGTGTGATATCTGGCTAACTGTTGTTGAAATGTGAAGACATTTTTTTTTTTTATCACACAAAGCCTCTGAAACTTTGAAAAGACCCATACAGGGAGCAGTTTGGATCAAGTATCTAGATGAGAAAATTGTTTAAAATCTTAGGGGATGTTGCAAGAAACATATTTTTAAAGTAATTTTATTCCTTGTTATAAACTGTTATAAATATTGCTAAGAGCAAAGAAAAGAGAAAGCACTAACACAGAATTAAAAGTCTAGAATGATAATGCCAACATGACAGACGTATTTGAGGAGTGAAATTCAATGAATGTGATGTGTGCTGAAGTGTTTGTTTTAAAAATAGTGGGAAAAAGGGTAGACAATTATTACTGAAAGGTATAGAAAATGAGACAAAATTGAAATAATAAACTAAAATGAAGTATATCAAAACGTATCAATAACTACAATAAAATGTTAACTGAAAAAATGTCCAAATGATTACATACAACATTATTACCTTTTTTAAGTTAAAAAATCACACATACACAGGCATATATATATATATATATATAGTGCATAACATGGAAAAGAAGGGAGTGATAAATGTGGAATTCAGAGTATTGGTTGCCTGAGGTGATGGATTGAGGGGGATTATGTGTTTGGAGTTATAGAGGAGCATAGGGTCAACTTCCTAGTTTTTGTTTTGAGTGGCAGGTTTGCTCATTATATTATTAAAAATCTGTAATTGTCTAAATGCAATTTTCAAATTGTCTAAAATAAATAACTATTATGATAGAGATCAGTAATATAGTAATATTTATCACTAATATAATATTTATAGATGTTCACATATGTTGTATTGTGTAATGTTTTATTTTAGTGAAAATGAACATATGTAAATGACTTTCATAGCTGTAATCCTGCCCTCAAGCCTTATAACTTTATTTTCTGTATTAGCATAAGATCATAGGTTTCTCTACCCCAGATTCTTTTAACACAGGGATTCTATGCAAACCTAAGCACTGCAGGTGAGGTGGAAAAAAGTGCATATACAAAACAGATGTATTTTCCAATTCAGAGCTTCCTTATATTAAAATCTCTGTTTAATTAATTTTACACAATATTACATGGTCGACTAACTCCCCTTCTCTAAGCACCCCTGGGAATATCTGAAATATTATACAGATGCTCTTACAGAGAATTACATTACTAAATGTCATTAACATAAATCAACATTCAGTATTAATTTAGTGGTTCGGGCTTGGAAGTGACAAACCCCTCTGGATTTCACTCACCTCCAATTTCCTGTATATATTTATGGCTTCGTGCACTGTGAGTTTCTCTGTATGGACTGCTTCCTTTCCAGATAGAGATCCCCTGAGGAGTTTGACTGCCCACTCTCTAGAAACTGCTGCCTCACCAGTAGCCTCTACTGCCTTCAGCATGTTGGCCTTTTTGGAAACCTTCCTCCAATGTGATCACGGACTTTCTCAAGCCTTTTTCATACTGTTTGGTCACTTGTGGAAGATTAAAAACAGAGGAGAAAGTATTCCAGATAGAGAGGGACTATATACAGATATACAAGAGGCAGAGCAGAAACGTAGAATCTTACACACACACACACACACACACACACACACACACACAATGAATGGTGATCTATAGTGTTTCAATTTTAGAAATGAAAGAGTGAGTGCTGCTAGCAACCCACGTGGGCAGAAGTCACCCATGGAGGTCCTTGCATGCATTGTAGGGTGAATATTCTTCTTCCTACAGATGAGGAGCTATACATGAAAAAATTTTAAGTGGGGACATGGACTCAGGGGACTTAGCTCTGGATTGGGCTTAGCACAGTAAAAGACTTCACTTCCACACTTACCACCTTTTACTATAGGATCCTTGTTCTTTTTGTCCACATTGTTTTAACTGTTATATATTTGTTATATGAAATAAATCTCTACAAATCCTGTTTGGAAGCAGGTATGAAAAAATGATAAAATTTATTTAGTGATCTCAATGTATCAAGAACTTTTGTGGTAGTATTTCATTTAATCCTCACAATAATCCAGGGAGGTAAACACTATTTATTACTATCCCCATTTTACAGATTAAGAAAATGAATCATGGGGACAAGTAACTTTCCAAAGAGCACACAGCAAGTTAAAGAGTTATGTCAACTGTCTAAAAACAGAGCAAGTATTTTTGACCACCATGCTTTAGTGTTTTTTATTGAAATGTACCATGTGGCCCATAGAACTGAATGATAATATCCTGTATGAAGATTTTAGGTGTTGAAGAGCTGCAGACTGCATGTGAATGGCCCCCCATGAGATTCAAGGCTTTGCTCTAAATACTGCTGATGTACAACACAGGAAACATGAAATGTGTTTAATTGCTGTTCAGCTAACTCTCCCTGTGTGTATTGTTTCTGTCCTTAAAATAAATGAGCACCTAGTAATGGTCCACAATGTGTTGTAGGTATTTAACTAAAATCATTTAATACATAGTTTATCAATGTGATTATTTTGGAAAGACGTATCTAATGAGTTTTTCCATGTGAATCATTCCATGAGAGAACATCTTTATCTGAATTCTAGACATTTGGGATTTTGTAACAATGCTTTCATATTTTGAATGTCATAAATATAAATGCAGCCAGCTGAGATAGCTTAATAATCACAAAGAGTATTAAAGAAGAAATGGAATGAATATTTATTTTGTGTCTAATAAATGCCAAGTACTATCTATTACCTCACTAATTCTCAAAACAAACCTTGAGGCAAGTATTATTATCCCCATTTAATAGAGAAGGAAACAGAGGCTCAGAGAAAGTAGAGAACTAGCTCAATATTTCCCTGTTAATAAGTAGTAGTGCTGGGATCCAACCTAGGTCCATCTGTATCCAAAGACTTGGCTCTTTACACTGTAATATCCTGATTGTAATATGCTGCTATTAAAAGTGTACAGGAATCCATGGATATATAAAAAGAAAAAGAAAAAAACTGAAGAAACAAAATGTAAATGGTGGCCTAAGCCTATTGACTCACAGGGCAGCATTCTAATGATTTGGCCAAAAATCTTCCCCAAATTGTAGTGTCGGGTTAGAAGTGCGACATAAATGACCATCTGGGTCAATGTTTTCAGTGTCAGTACAAGACCACCTTTCTCCAAGCTAAACACTTCCATCAGACAAAATTGGTTAAGGTAGGGGCAGAGGGTGAATATTTCCTTTTAAATCCAAGATTATAGTCAAAGAATAATGGAGCAACTTTATAAATAGATAAACATTTTGAAAATATGGTATTTTTTATTGATGGTGCTGATTCAGACACAAATATGGTTTTATATATTCAAGATACAAATGTGTTGGCATATACATTCCAGCCTAAATTACAAAGACATATTTGAACTCCCCACACAAATAGTTATAATTATGTCCTGTATTCCATGAGCGGCTGTGATTCCTGAGATCTTTTACCTGCATGTGTAGCCATACTCAGTTCCAAACTGTATGATTATATTAACAGCCTGAAACTCACCAACCAATGGAGACTGAAATTATTTTTGCTGCCACTGGCACCCAAATACCCACAGACTCACAGCTTTTCCCTATTTCTACCATGTTTGACCATGTTAGTCAAAAGTCTGCAATTGTTTTTGTTTTTGTTTGTTTGTTTGTTTTTGTTTTTTTGTTTTTTTTGCTCTGTTCTGAAGTTACCTTCCACACTAGGACTCTGGAAAAACTGATGGCTTTCTCCCTGAACCCAAACCCCATTCTGTATAGCAATAGTCATTGTCAAGGATCCTTTTCTGAAGGACACCACTTTTTACCAACCAATGGTGGATTTCACTGGATATTGATGCAAATCAAAATGGTGTTTACTGTGTTCCTTTGGGCCCTGTGTAGAGGAAGCTCCTGACCTGAGAAAGAAATACATACTCAAGGGCAAGCCCGTAGTTATACCCAGCCTCTACTCCTTATTTCTTCCTCATATGCCTGAGTTGCTATGTACCTAGCATTTCTCATTCATGTGAAATACACATTCATGTCTGCTTCTCTCTTCCCATCCAATTCTTAGTGTTCCATGTTCTTATTTTAAGCCTAGACTGCAGCTGTTCTATATTCCATCTGCAATCTATCCTACATATCGCTGTCAAAATGATCTTTCCTGAACTTCACTTTGTTTATACTATCTCTTTTAAGAAAGACTTTGTAGCTTCCTATTAGCTACCAAATAACCTAGAAAATATTAAGCTTGACATTGAATGACCTCCACGATATGGTGTTTCTCATCTTTCCAGACATCTATACTGTACTTCCTCACTCCTACCCTACATGTTTATTCAACTTGTCTGGTTTTCATTCTCTGATCACTGAACTTGACTCTTCTGTACCTTGAAGACTGCCACCTCCTACTTCTCCATCTATTTCCATTAACCAATTTTTCATGGACTTTTTCTCCATGAAGTATTGTATTTTAAAGACTCTTACCATTGGAAAAAAAAAAAAACCTTTATAGTCATTGAGTCAATGATTTACTCCCCTCTACGATGTCCTCTATTAATGGTCACCTAGCTTGCGTCTGGTGGCCTTATGGAAATTGGTGGGTAGGCTAAGAAACAGACTGTTTCTTATCTGTATGTTGCCAGGTACATTTTAGACACATTGTATATGTTTGAAACCTGTTTATTAAATGAATGAACACATGAGTGAATGATTGATGGATTGGCTATTTCTTAAGGCAGGAGTCAAACTTTTCCTGTAAATAGATTGTAAACATGTTCAGCTGTAAATATGTGTGGCATCTGTGTGGCATCTAGTTAACTCTGCTACTGTAGCAGCAAAGAGGACATAAATAATCTGTAAATAAAAAGAAGTAAGATGTTTGTGGCCTGTAATTTGTGAACCCCTGTCTTAACACAAGCCATCTTGAGACAGTTTTTAGTTAGTATTCTTCCTCTTGTTACTTCAAATTTCTCTAGCTAAAATGTTATGATACTTGCTTAGATGTTCCAGAACCTTGCATGCCCCCACTTGAATGCAACTTCTGCCATTCCTTGCAGTATTTTTAGTTTCTTCACTCATGAAGCCTTCCTCCCAGATTGTGTCCCATTTGTTTGTGGATCTTATAAAATGTGGTATCTTCAACTAAAAGCAATGCTCCATCTCGATATGACAACTTAAAAGTAAAGCAGGTTCATTTCCTACCTTCCTCTATATACTACAGGTATAATAATAAAGCATACAATAGCATTCGTGTTTGTGGGAGGCACATCGCATTTCCTGTTGATCCTAAGTCATACTTCTGCTCTGCACTCTTGCCTAAACCATTCTGTATTAGGGAGTGCTGGTTTTGTTTTGGGGAGGAGGGCAGGGGAGTACTCGAAATTTAACTTGTAACTCAAGTAAAATTGTTGAACAGAAACAGATAGATAACCAATTGGAGCAGAGTATAGACTAAATCCTGGGCTTCTGATTTTATTTACAGTGCTCTTTGAACCACACCACTCTACTTTCCTAGTGAGAGAGAAAAAAATCATGATTTCAAATTAGTTAAACTGAGCAACATTTGCCAGCCTTGTCAATAGGGCCCCATCAAACACACATGAAACACACCTGCTTTCAGTCTCTTGCAGGTGCTACCTCAGCAATTTTTATAAAATGCCTTCTCATCTGAAAAACATTTTATGGCTTCATGCTGACTATACTTCCTTCAAAATTTACCATATGAAAGACTTTATGGCATTGCCCCAACCTCTCCCTGTTATTTAATTAAAAGTTAAATAACTTTTAATATTTTTAATATCAAAAGGAAATTATTAAAATATTATTTTCCATGCTGATAAGCTCTGTCCTGGAGAGCTCTTTGTGGTTCAAAGTTAACTCCATGCCTTTGTCCGTCTTTATCTGTTTGTCAGACTACTTTTTGTAAGTACTTTGTGATGTTAAATGTAATGTACTGTGTACTGACAGTCACTCAGCTATAGGAAATCTGGGTGTCTTGGGCAAAAATTGACTTTCTTCCCTGAACTCATGAATATTGATGTCTAGAAACTGAGGTGCATTCTTGCCAGTGTCAGGTGTACTTGCATTATAAGTCAAAGTAAGCTTGCTTGCAAGTAGGTCATATACATCATTGTATCTTCCACAATCCCAATTAAATTAAGAATGAATTGATGTAAATCTATGTTGCTGCCTTTCTGAAGTTTCCAGGTTTATGTATTAATGGTGCTGTTTAGAATAGTGAATGATCCCAGAATAAAGTTAGAAAGCCTAACTCAACAGTTCCGTAGCCTCATCAGTCAGTAGGGAGCAATGGTCTAGTAGAGTTTCTGGAAGTCTGGAAGAATCTTTGACTTAAAGCTCACTGAGTAGAGTGTGCTTTGCAAAACCTGCTGCCTCTTCATGGAAAGTCCCCCATTAGCTGCATGCTTCATTAAAGTGTTTCCTGTATTTATTGCCACATGGGATATATAACACAGATTCCATGGGGAGTTTCCTATCCCAGTTACCACAAGTTTAAGAGTTTCACAACCCTCTGATACTTGAGAGCTCTTTCAAAAGCCTCCCTGCTTAAAATGGCATAAATAACCTTTTGTCCACTAACTGAACACAATTAAAGATAGAACTAAAGCTAGTAGCTCTTCCTGGATATGTAGCAACTATTTTCTGCCTCACCATGGACAGGTTAGGATACCTTTCTTGGAATGCTCTAGTTTTACTTTTCTGTCTGAGGAATTTTATCTACAATTGCGTTTGTATTTATGACATTTAAGCCTTTGATGCAGTGTAGTGGTGGCATAACCTGAGTAAACCAGTGATGCCACAAATGCTTAAATAGAAAGTATAAATGATTTGATCTAGAATTAAGAGTTGTGAATGAAATAAAAGACTTGATGTAGAATTTCTTGAGGAATAGTGTGGAGCAGTGTTCACTGCTTGTAAAATCTTAACTGGATTTTCTCACAACTGCATAGAATTAGGTAACTTCTGTGTTCTGATTGTAAATACTGCCTGAAGTAACATTTTACTGGACCGTAAATTGTTCTGACTACATTTCATGCCTGATAAAATCCTTACATTTATTGCAGAAAATGTAAGCCCTTGTTCCGTAACTAATCTTTTAAGTTTTCTGAAATAGAGAAGTCTTGAATAGTCTTCCTAGAAAAATGGCATTATTAAAAGTATCATATTGTTCTTTGCAAATAGGCTAGTATAATTAAGGATTTTGGTCACAGTAACCTTGGAATGAGTGCTGAGATACATTTTATAGGATATATAGACATGTGTGTACATGTATACTATATCCACTTGAGCTTTGAACAATGCAAGGGTTGGGAAACTAACCCCCCCACACACAGTTGAAAATCTGTGTATAACTTTTCTACTCCCCCAGAACTTAACTACGAATAGCCTACTGCTGTCTGGAAGGCTTACTGATAACATAAACAGTAGGTTAAGACATCTTTTGTATATTATATGTATTGTATGCTGTATTTTTATAATAAAATAAACTGCAGGAAAGAAGGTGTTATTAAGTAAATCATAAGGGATAGAAAATATATTTACTCTAAGTAAAACTGGACCATCATAAAGGTCTTCATCCTCTTTCTCTTCACATTGAGTAGACTGAGAAGGCAGAGGAAGAGGAGGGGTTGGTCTTGCTCTCTCGGGCATGGCAGAGGCAGAAGAGGTGGGGGAGGTGGAAGGGGAAGCAGGCATACTTATATAATTTTTATGGAAAAATTTCCATGTATAAGTGCATCTGCACAATTCAAATCTGTGCTGTTCATGGGTCAACTGTATTTTAATATAATATTATAAATCAACGTGTGTTTGTACATATCTACTAACATCTCTGTAGATGTCTAGATTTCAAGAGATCTAAATACATTAGTTTAATATTCCAATGGCAGTATAATTGTAGCTATTGTGTAATAATGAAGAATGATGACTTACAGGCTGAAATATACCATCATTGCCTATGTCTACTGCATACACAAAAATGTTCTGAAAATTTGTTTCAACTCTTCGTTTTGATAGGTAGAAAGATATAATGGAAAGGATATGGATTTCAGAGCCTGACATATCTGTGTTCAACTCTCTGCTCCATGTCTTCCAAATTTACCTTGATTTAGGTAAATTTTCTGGTGAAACAAACTCTAAGACAGAGGTTTTCATGCATGAAATTTATTGGGAAGTTACTTGGGATCAATGTATTTATAGGTGTCCCAAGCTGAGGAAAGGGAGTCCGGTCTTTGTAGTACAATATTAATCAGTCATTAGCATGAGCTGCCTGTGAATAACCTGTCTTGGTCAAGGCAGTTCCCTCGGGTGGAAGGTGGAAAATTCCCAGAGAAGGACTCAGCTGTGGGCTACCAGCAGCCAGCACTTCAGGCAGCTAGGGCAGTGAGTCTTTGTCACGAAGTGGGTGATGCCATGTGGCATCTACTTGGCACTACTTGCATCATATAATATATTTATCCCATCTGAGAACAGCTCCTCCAGAATCCGAATAGGTTGCCATCTTTAGGAAACCTCTTAGAAGAAGATTAGTGGGGAACCATGGCCCCTGCTATTCAAGCTCACAATAGATACTTAATATCTCTCGCTTCGCTTCTCTTCTCTTCTCTTCTCTTCTTCTCTTCTCCTACCCATTCTAAAATTCTCCCATCCTCAGCCAGTACCCTAATGAACATATGTGGCCTACCTTATGGGGTAACACAGACTATTACTAAGGGATCTGAACCCCTCCTCAACATTTTATTTTTAGGCTGCTGCACTTGTCCGTTTATTACAAAAAAAAAAAAAAAGCAAGGAAAGTTCACAAAATGCCTAGTGTATCACCTGCATGCCAGATATTCTTTTCTGCCCTTATTGTGTAATAGCAGCCATATCAGATCCTGATGAGGAGATAATTGTCCTGGCAAAGAGAGTGACGCTTCTCCTTGCTGCCAATCTCTTGGCACAGGAGCCCAAAGTAATTTGGTGTAGGATATAGCTTGAAGCTTAATGAGATTCGTACTGTGTCCCCTCTCAGAGGCAGTGTCTCCTCTCAGAAGCAACCTCCCTCTGAAAACCAAGATCTCTAGACCCACAGAGCCTAAACTTTTGTGAACAGGAAATGCAAATTTCCCGTTTAAGACTGTGGAAGTGATGCTAGGTTCAACCACTTCTATATTTTCCCCTTCGTTCCTAGACCCATGTATTCTACCTGTTGGGGATGCAGTATCAAAGAATGGTCATTGATTTAGAGAATTTACCACATCTTTAGGATTCCAAAGGCTGTTCCATCACTCATCAGACCAGCACCTTCTGCGGCATGCAGTGCGTACCAGGACAAGTGGATCTCCTGACTATGTACCCACTTTCTACCTCCGTCCAAAGTAGTCGCATTGGTCTGGATGATATTATGCAGAATTATGTATTCACCTTTCAGACACTCTGTAGGCCCTCAGATCTTGGTGCTAAACAAGGCCCTGCAGGCATATAAGGCAAACCCTAATTTGGAATTGGCTCAGTTCTAGTCAAAATGAGTTACTGCTCCTTCTAAGGTAGTAGATGTCATAATCAGCTTACTACTGACTAGCAGGCTGAACCGGGGAATAATACTGAATTGAGACCCAGCATCTACCCCTGTTGCTATTAGGTTGGACAGCTCATCCACATTTTCAGGTATGGAAAATCAGAAATGGATAATTGAACGGTCCCATTGCAGCAGATGGATGCTGCCAAAGGAGTGGAGAGAAGCTTAGTGTGGGGTGTATGTGTGTGTGTGTGTGTGTGTGTGTGTGTGTGTGTGTGTGTGTGTTAAGGGGTGTGTGTGCGATAAGGGGTTGGAATTTCTTGGGTGGGGTGTTAGAAACATAACAAAGTCCAGAAAAGGTCCAAGAATAGGTCCTGGGAGTTCTTAAGCTGTACAAGAGGGTCGTCCTCTAAAAACTCACTAATTTATATACTTTGTCCTTATCTTTTTAATTTCCTGTTTTTGTTTGCCTTCAGTTTCTGAGTTTCTTTTCAATCTTACTTTACTTTTGGTCGAGGTGGGTCAATTTGTCAAATTAAAAGAACACAGGCTAACTTGGTAAATTTGGGCAAATAAATGACTTTTGTGAGACTCAATTTTCTCATTTGTGAAAGCGGAGTAAAATGGTTATTATAGAATATTGAAACCTGCTTATAAAGTGCTTATACATGGTGGGTGATCAGTAGTTGCTTATCAATATTGAAACAATCCTAAACAATTACTGCTGAGCTAAGGAGGAAAGGATAGAGCTTCCATCCTTATTTGGGGCTCTGGTTGTACAGATCTGGCAAGCTAGAAAGAAGGCAGGCAGATGAAAGGAGTTATTGGAGGTCTGCTTCCCATTTTATCTAGGGACCCACCTAATAAGCTGTTTCAGTGATCGGCCTTGTGTTTTGTTTGGTTTTTGCTTTCTTATTAAAATAGTATAATTTTTGCATTTATTTTTGGATGTCCTTCTTTCTATGTTGTTACATTTTTAAAAATTTATTTTCTCCTTATAAAAAAATATTATAAACACTTAAAGCATAATATTCATGTATCATGAAGGAAAAAAGTTCCCTCTTCAACCTCTTATTAAAAGGTTACTTTAAGTGTCTGATAGCTACTCCTTTAGATTTGTTTCTATGCACAATTGGATATTACATATATATATATATATATATAAATAAAAACATATTTTTAACAAAAGTAGAGTCATGTTACATATATTGATGTATCAAATACTCCGTAGGCCTTCACGTCGTGGTGCCGAACAAAGGCCTCATGTCCTTCGTCTATAAAATTGGGACAATACTATTACTTACCTCATGAGGTTGTTGTGCGGGTTAAAGGAGAAACCTTTGTGATTCACATATGCCTGTAACATGCATCTGTGTCATACACATGTAAGCCTGGTTGTGTCATGCCTGCCATAGTAAAGATTAGCTATTATTATTATGCTTGTCTGAATCCATATCTTTTTTTTTTTTTTTTTGAGATGGAGTTTTGCTCTTATTGCCCAGGCTGGAGTGCAGTGGCCTGATCTTGGCTCACTGCAACCTCTGCCTGCCAAGTTCAAGCAATTCTCCTGCCTCAGCCTCCCGAGTAGCTGGGACTACAGGCGCACGCCACCATGCCCAACTAATTTTTGTATTTTTAGTAAAGATGGGGTTTCGCCATGTTGGCCAGGCTGGTCTTGAACTCCTGACCTCAGGTGATCTACCTGCCTCAGCCTCCCAAAGTGCTCGGATTACAGGCATGAGCCACTGCGCCCGGCCTGAATCCATATCTTAAATCCCAACATGATGTTTTATGTTAGTTTTTTTCTCTTACCTCTTTATTCCTCAAAGAGAACAATGACTAAAAAAAACATCGTTTGGGTAAATACAGCATTATCATAATTACAATTTCCCTGACAAAAGTGGCTTGCAGTTTGAATATTCAGCATCATAATTACAATTTCCATAAGGAATGTAGAGCATTTATTATAAACAACAGAATAATCACTTGGTCCATAAGGGAGAACAGATTATTAGGGGAGTAAGGAGAGAGAAGACGCAAAAGCCTGTGTTCTAATCAGCATTCAAGAGTAGAAATATAGAACCTGAGAAGAAATTGTAATAGCACCTTAAAATAATCTTGCCTGAATTTATCAAAAATCTTATCATGATGGCTTCCATGGGATAAGTGCTGCCTATATAATTTTTTCTTTCATACAATTTAATCATGTTTATTAAACATCCCCTCTGCATTTTTACTCATTGTCATTCATAATTTCTATACTCATAAGAAATTTTAAAAAGCAAATTATGACAAAATTTAAAAAGTAAAAATATATTAAAAACAATATAGGAGAAAAAGAGTTTTATCAGTTTTTTTTCTCTCTGTAGTTAAATGCTTCTTTCCTGTCAACAAGAAAAATGGGTAAAAGTTAAAAGAAATAAAGAAAATGTCTTTTTGACTTCTTGTGTTACTTTAATTGGCTTTTATTTCAGTTTCCTTTTTGTGTGTGTTTTGTATTTTTTAGGTGAAGTGAGAAAAACAGAATGCAGCTTTCAAGGTTGGTACATTTTATAATTTTTGTTATAAATTGACAATTTGTAATTGTGTAAATCTATGGGGTAAAAACTAATGTTATAGTTTATGACTGCAATGTGGAATAATTAAGCTAGTTAACATATCCATCAGTTTAAATTCTTAACATTTTTTGTGGTGAGAAGATTTGAAATTTATCCTCTTAGCAATTTTCAAATATAAAATACTCTATAATTAGTTAGAATTAGTTAGATTTACCATGCTGTGCAATAGAACTAACAAGAAAAAAAGCCTATTCTTCTTGTCTAACTGAAATTTTGTACCCTTTGACTATCATCATTCCATTCTCTCCAACAGCCAGCCTCTATAACCACCATTCTATTCTCTATTTCTGTGACTTCAGCTGTTTTAGAGTCTACCTATAAGAATGTGAAGTTTGACTTTCGTGCCTGACTTATTTCACTTTGCATAATGTTCCCTTGTTCTATCCATGTTGTCATAAATGACAGAATTTAACATGTATGTTAATATGAAACAATATGAAAGTAGCAGAGAGAAATATATCCTTAGCTTTGCACCAATAGCTATTAGAAAACATTATGTTTTTATTTTCCTCACTCATGGACAGAAAAGTACAACATAGACTTAAGTGAATTCAATATAGCAATTAAATATAATAGCTGATTCAATCTGTAGCAAAATTGTGAAGTTGGAAGTATGTAACATTTTCATATTAACATTTAATATTAATAATTTTTCACTCCATCCATCTATCCATCATTCCATCCATCTACTATTCATATATTTTTATCAATGAATCCTAGTTACATATTGTGTGCAAGGTCCTGTCATCTAATTTCCTCTCTTCGTACATTGTTTGGCTGACCTTCAACAGATTCGCAACCCTACCCCTTGCTCCAGCACTTTCTGCTTATTACTAGCAATAAACCTTCACCTATTCTAACAGGTATTCGATTTTAACTTGCTGTATCTGATAAATGAGCATAGTTTCCCTAACATTCCTCAGCTTATGTGTATGCCAATATGTCTACTTCCAAATAATTGGGGCAAAGAGGAAATCATCAGGGCGATAACTACCAAGTATATTTTAATTCAAGTAAATTAGGAGAGTACAAAGAAATCCTAATCTGGCCTCTGAGATAGAACACTCAGAACTGAATTTATATATGAGCACCCTTGGATAAAGGTACAGCGTAGCCCTGCAGTGACAAGGTACTATGGCCTGAATGTTTTTATCCTCTCAAAATTACTCTGCTGAAGTCCTAACCCCCAAGGTGATGGTCTTAGGCAATGAAGCCTTTTGGGAAATGATTAGGTTCATGAATCACGAAAGGGATTAGTGCCCTTATAAAAGAGGCCCAAGGGAGTTACCTTGCCCCTCTCAGAATGTGAGGACACAGAAAGTGCTGTCTCTAAGGAAGCAGGCTTTCAACATACAGTACTCCTGCCTGTACCTTGATCTTGGACTTCCCAGACTCCAGAACAATGAGACATACATTTCTGTTGTTTCAATGCACTAAATTGATGGTATTTTGTTAAAGCAGCTAGAACAAACTAAAACACTAGTGTTCTCGTTATAAAAGTTTAAAACGTCAATGGGTTGAAATGGAGCTATCATCTCCACACTGTACTCCATAGATAAATGGTAAAACTTAATTATCTGCAATGTCCTTATGGAGAAATTAAAAAAGGAAAATAATTCTTGATAACTCCAGACCCATCTCCAGGAAACATTTAAATATTTGAGTGAAGGGGCCCAAATTTGAACCTGCCTGTGAAACCTAGTCTATCCCTACAATATCCCATGGTCATGCTTCCATTTACGTGCACTCTATGTAGATACTTCTGATGGCTTGCATTAGCCACTGTAGGTATACTCATGCCCTTCTTATAAAAGGGAAGCCCAGTAACAGATTTTTAGATTGAAAAATGCTTCAACTATTATTCATTTTAATCATTTTTGTCTTCAAATAATAAAATCCAGGCCTATAGAGGTTAAATACGTAAACTGTTCTAAATCAGAGTTCACTAATGACCAAATAGGGTCCACAATCACATTGTTTACCATCTTAACATGAGGCGTCCCACAGTGGTGGTTGGTATGGAGGATAGGAAGGTCTTTCATTTGGAATAGAAACCTTTCTGTAACAACACATTTCATACCAATCTGTTGGCTAAAATTGTTTATGTCCTCTATTTTTAAGCATTTCTCAAAAACCCTTTTACTTCCCTGACTATATCATGATCTCCCTGAAGGTAAAGCTCATGGCTATCATTTCTCTGTATTTTTACCATATTTATAAAGTTTAGGTAAATGTTGTGCAGTTCATTATTATTCTAAACCTTATCAATAACACTGAACCTCTGCCTCTATTCCAACTCAGTGAATTCCACTCATATTCTTTGTAGAATATCTAGAAAAAAAAATCACTGAAGGAAACCAGAAACCAAAGAAAGATGGCTGGGTTTTGTTTTTGTTTTTGCATGCGTGTATATTTTGGAATGTGTGTGAGGAGGAGGTGGTCAAAAGAAATCACTTAAATTTATCTGAGACTATGTGGGTTTAATGATTTGCAGGGTAAACCATTAGAGCGACTGAAGAGAATAGAGAATGCCTACTGAAAATGTGAAGGTATGTTTGGATAGATAGAGAGGATCCAGAGGCTAAACGTTAGAATAAGTAGACTCAGTTTTTAAATACAGAAGAAAGATTAGGAATAAGAAAACTAATTTCCTTTTTATTATAGATCTTAGATCTAATTTCCTTTTGTCCTTCCTGTGTATTTGAAAATAGGATGTAGCTCTTCTTTCCATGTGAGAGCTGTTTAATATTTTCACACTCAAAGTGTCGTGTTTAGATTTGAGCACCACACATTTAGAAGTCTATAAATAACCTATTTTGCCCTTCAAAATATGCAGAATGTCAGTCAAAGAAGCAGAGATTATACAATGATTATTAATTAAAGAGGAATACCAATATTCACTTTACTCTTTCAAAGATCATTAAAGGTGATCAAATCTGTAACTCACGGCAACTCTTTTCACAAATCCTTTTCTTCACCTGTCAAATCTTTCACACTGCAATGTTTCAAATCTTCATCAAAACCTTAAGCTCTTCTTAAGCCCTAGTTCTTGCCACTTTTGCTACATATGTATCTCACTCTCCTTTCTTCCAGCATTTTATTATGTAGTTCAACCTAGTCTCTCTTACTAAAACCTTCCCTCTTACCCACCTACCTGTCTGATTTTATCTTTCTAGGTTTTCCTATGGAAGAGGAGAGATAAGAATAGGCAGATTATGTAAATGCTGAGTGTACCCAAATGTCAGTAAATCTTGTCTTAGCCATGCATATTCTATAGCATGGTGATGGACTCAAAATTGTAAGCAGTGGCAGCACGTGTAGTGGTTATAGCAATGGTGTCACTTTTAATTAAACATGGTGTGAGCTTTTATCTCTACTCCCTCCCCAAAAGTAACTAAAATAAGAATAAAGGATAAATAATGCATAACCCCCCAAGGACAAAGTAATCAAGAAAGGTGACAGACAATACCAGACAAAAAATGGCAAACACATTTTCAAAAATGTTAAGTGGATGGACAAAGATAGTCATAGTAGCATGACAGAAGGTTGAAACTGAAGCAATCAGAAAAGTAATAATAATGAAAAGGAGTCTGAGCTGCTGATCCCCAGAAATGCCCAGAAATGAGAGATATTAAAGGTAGGGATTAAGGAAGTGACTAAAAACATTAAAATGGGGGTTGAAAGTTTGTAAATGGAAGAATTGGGCTCCCAGATTCTTTCCCACATCATGAAGCCAGGCAACTACCCCGGCTTCATTTTGTCAAAGACTTGAGATATACTTTGTGAATTCTGTAATTCAACTGGAGAAGTACTGGTCTTGCAAATCCTAAGATCAGTTTAGGACAGAAAGAAGGCACTCTAGGCTGGGCACGGTGGCTCACGCCTGTAATCCCAGCACTTTGGGAGGCCGAGGCAGGTGGATCACGAGGTCAGGAGATCGAGACCATCCTGGCTAACACGGTGAAACCCCGTCTCCACTAAAAATACAAAAAATTAGCCGGGCGTGGTGGCGGGCGCCTGTAGTCCCAGCTACTCGCGAGGCTGAGGCAGGAGAATGGTGTGAACTCGGGAGGGGGAGCTTGCAGTGAGCCGAGATAGCGCCACTGCACTCCAACCTGGGCTACAAAGCGAGACTCCGTCTCAAAAAGAAAAAAAAAAAAAAGAAAAGAAAAGAAGAGAAAGAAAGAAGGCACTCTAATGAAAACAGGATTTAATTAAAGTATACAAAAAATAAGATAATTAAATAAAAGTATGCTTATGAAAAAATGAGACCCTTAATACATCTCTCTAACTTCGCTCTCAGAACTCTGGAAGCCAAGCAGAAAAACAAAGGATTCCTCTCTGGAGACTAAAGAACTCAAAAGAAAAGAAGTGCAGATAGGGATACTGTTTTCTCCCAGCAAAAAGTTCAGTGCTTTATTGTGGGCTGCACTAAGGCTTACCAACTGACAGGTCCAGCAAACACACCCAGAGATTCCAATCAGCCTTAGAGGTTCTGCAATAAACAGAAGGAAACTCCTATAAACAGAGGGGAGAATTGTACACCATGAAAGAAGAACACCAATACAAACAGAAAAAAAATAAGACAATGCAGGGTGTAATAGAAAACAATGGAAAGGCTATAATACTGTCAAAATGATGAGACATTATATCCCCTAAAGTAGAACAGGATGTATAGATAGATGAGATAGAGATAGAGATACAGAGATAGAGGTAGATGTACATAGAGAGAGACAAAGAGAAAGAAAAAAAGTAAAAGCTCTTGGAAAAAGAAGGAAAGAAATTGAAGCATATTGGAAGTTACCCTTAAGGAGAGTTTCCAGAAAGTTGAAAAAAATGACAAAAAGATTAAAAATAGGGGAAAAAGTTCAATAAACCAGAATTAATGCAGAATACCCACCATCTGACTCATAATAGTTCTTGAAATAAAGAAAGGTTGGAGGTGAGTGATTAATAAATAATAATTGCAAACTAATAGCCGGAATTATTTTCAGATTAAAAGGGCCCAGTGATGCTATAATAACAACTTTTATGATGCTACCATAGAAGCTCAGAATAGAAGAGACAGAAGAGTACACTACAGCTTCCAGAGAGAGAAGAAAGGGGAAAAAAAGAGTCACCTACAAAAGCGTAAGAGCCAGAATAGACCATGACTTCTCAGTATCAATCCTGAAAGCTAGAATTCCATGGAGCAATACTCTCAAATTTCCACATGCTCCACCAAGAAAGAAGAGAAAATGGCCCCCAGGAAATAAGGTCATGAATATAAGAAGGAGATAACATTTCCCAGGTTATCAGTGAAGTTCTGGAATATCAGCTTATGCAGCCCCTCTAGAGAACAGCCAGTTCAACAGACCAGCTGCAGCAAAAATATAGAAAGAAGGACTCCAGGAGGAGTGTTTTAAAACCAAATACAGTTCAATAAGCAAAACCAGAAAGAATGATGAATGTGTTCACACATATTAAGAGAAGATGTTCAGTTCTGCAGGATGATTTGGGAGTTAATTAATGACAGATTTATAGAAATCATGCAAGTCATGAAACAGGGCAATTACTAACTCCAGGAGAGATAAGAATTGAAATAAATGTATAGAACATCATATTATTGAGCTGATAATATTAACAGTCATAATAATATGTGCTGACTTTTGATTTAACCAAAATTATAATACAACTATATAGAGAAGATAAATGTATATGTGTCATATGGGCAGTTTTAAGAAGCTAAATCTGTATATTCCATGTGGGAAATCGATGAGAAAGATAAAAAGGAGGAGGAGGAAGAAAAAATGGCATTTTACCTGTGTCATTAGATACAGATTATTATCAAAATATACAAATATAAGAGGTGAGAGTAAGCCTGTTGATAAGAATAAAGCAGGTTATTATTATTACTATGTTTTCCTATTAGTGTACCATTAATATATTATTATAGAACTACTTGGCTTTTTAAAATATTAATCTGTATTACTTTCATAAAATAAAGCAAAATTTAAATGTATTTAATATTAAAAATTTATAATTTAACTTTACATACCTGCTTTACCACTTACCTTGGGAAAGTAACTCTTTTTTTTTTTAACTGGTTTATTTGTATATTTGTTGTATTTTCTTTTGCTTTTCCTCACAAGGAAGCTAATGCAAGTGAATGATCCTACCTTAATATCTAACATGAAGCAGTGAGTCCTCCAGCATTCTTTTTCATTTCCCTCTTAAAGGAGCTAAGAAATGTGTTAGCTTCTTTCAGATATTTGAATGAGTCTTATGTGGAAGAGAGATGCAATTTGGCTTTGGTTTCAAGTGATAAAAACATGAGCTGAAAGGTTCAAGAAAACATATCCAGCTCAATATTAAAAGGAACATTATTGTAAAACATGGCTATCCAGGGCACAGGTAACTGGTGAGTTTTCCATGGTAGAGTCTTTCAAACACAGCCTAAAGATCACATAAGAGGGATGAAATACAATATAGAGGTAATGCAAGTGATGAATAAGTAAACTAAGTAATGTTCCAAGTCCTTCATTTCTATAGAATGGATGATGTTATGCCCTGCTTCTTCTTCACAGATGCAACAACCACCAGGGAAGCAAGCTGTAGTTACTAATATGGTAGCAACGGAGGTTAGACGAAAAAGGAACAGGCTCCGACTGTTTCCGTACTAAGGAAAATGTGAAAAGTAGACTTAGAAAGGGGTCTGAGCCAAATTCTGGCCCAGATTTAACATTGTGAAAAAGTTCAAAGTAAGGGTGAAATTCTGACATCTCTTTTGAAAGCAATGCAGCTCCCCTGGGAAAGGACTGACTCCTGACTCAGGGCTTGCTTTACTATGAACTCCATCCTTTCTTAGTCACACACAGACAGACCCTGACTTGTACATATGCTCTGCCCACTCTGCCTCTGCCTCTAAGGCCTCCAGAGTAGTCTCAAAGTGGATTCATTTCCCCATTGGAAGAAAAGGAAGAGAGAGAGAGGAAAAAAAAAAAAAAAAAAAGAGGATCCAAAGGTTCCTTTGTACCTCCTAGCTCTTGTCCCCATTCTTTAACTCTGAAAAGGCAGGGTAAACCGTAAACCCCAAAGCAGGTGAAGAAATCCTACTCCAAACCACTCTTCACTCCCTGTGGCCCTGTCTTCTCCTTCGTGTTCCCTGTTTTGTTTTTTTCCAGGTCCCTTTAACTGCCTACTCACTTGCTACCTCAGCAATCAACCCTCACCCAGGCCTGCAGGAGCCTCATTCCAGGTTAGGAACGTGGTGCGAGCTCTTGCACTAGGGGGTGTTGCAGTTTTGCTTTCTGGTATTTCACTATACAGCCTGTTTGAAAATAGGGTCGCCTCTGCAGCACAGATCCAGTTCTTAGCTCTTAGTCATATTTCTATTGGTTACCCAATACCCAGGCAATTAATTCCAGGCTCTTTAGCATGACACATACATTTTTCACAATCTGGCCCAGGTGACATTTTCAACCTCCTATCCTGATCTTCCTCTAGAAAGCTCCCTTTGTTCCAACCACACTAAATTCTTCACGTTCCCTCTATTGAGAATGCCCTTTCCCGCCATCATCCCTCTCCCACTCTCTCCCCTCTCTGCAGCACACTGACTAGACTAACTGGAATATCTCTCCCTCCTCTGTAAAACCTTATACTCCCTTATTTGAACTTAGAGAGCAATCCCTCTGTGCTCCCAAGACATTTTGCTCATATGTCTATTATAGCACTTAACATGATGTATTTTAATTTATGTTTTTGTGGGTTTATCTTTCCTACCTGATTTCTCAAATAAAAGCATCCTATTCTTCTTGGTATTTACACTACATAACACAGTATAAGGTTTGTAGCAGGAACCCAATTAATGTTATTTGAATGAATGAAATAAATATGTGAATGAATGAGAATATAGGCCATAGTGTGTGCCTTTTTAAACAACTGATCTAAAAAATTAGTGATTAAACAAAGAAAGCTTCAGTAAGCATCTTGCACATCTGGACAATTGTAATGCAAAATATTTACTTAGGAGGCAAACAGATAGACTCTTTTCTTGTTGAATTATAAAGGAATTTTGTTTCAAGGAAAATTACGTTGAAAACATAACTGTCTACAATACAAGAGTCTAAGTTTATATCTTTGGGGACAGTTCTTATCTTTTTACATTACAAGAGTGAACACAATTTAAACCAAGCAGTCAGTGTGATGATGTTTGCAGACAGCTAATAAAAAGGAAGATTAGAGAGCTATATAAAATGGCAGGTGCCTTGGCAGATTCCACATCTTAGACATTAAGCACAGAACCAAGTGAAGCTGTTTTCTGAAGACCGCCAAAAGTGCTTGATGTCAGCTTCAGCAGCATGATGCCATTTTGACTGTGGTGTTCATCTTACCTTGTATCCGTGTTAGAAAACAACATAGAGAAAAAAAAAAAACTAAAGCTAACAGTGGTAGATGATGACACTCAGAACAGAGAAAGCATCTGAAAAAAAGGAGACTCTTGCAAAAAAGAATGTTGAATTATTTCTAGTCAATCAATCACTTGCAACATATCCTTTGCACTCATAGACCAAACTGTTATGTCTAATCATATAAAGAATCATCTGCAGAAGGACTATATATTCTATAACTCACTTTATATCATAATCTCTTAAGGAGTTTAGAATTATGACTATTTAAAGATATGAGAGAAATGAACCAGGGTGATATTTCTCCTGGTAACTCACATGACTACCAGGGGTAACAGCCATCTTTACCCAAAAAGCGAATACAGAAAATACATCATCTTTTTTTTTTTTTTTGTAACCTAATTAATGCAATTACAACAAATATTTTCTCTTTTGAGCTTTCTTTATCAAAGGTAACTTCAAAACCACCTCCTGTTTGGAGACAAAGGTAATGCCGAGAACATACTGTGAATATAGGCTAAAAGAAAAACACAAAGCAAAGAGACAGACACGTTAGGAGAAAATAATTGTCAACCTCAAAGACATCTAATGCACATGGAACAGGAATCTCAGGAATTGATCATGAAGATAATAGTAGAAATTTTGTAAATGTACAATTTGTAATAAAGGGTTTTTTTTTTCAAGTGAACATGTGCATCTAGCCTTGACTAATTAGCTAAAGATAGTGACTCCGCTGATTGGTGGGGATGATTAATTTGTGAGCTTGTCAAAGGACAAATAATAATAAAGTCCTGTGTTCCACCCTTTTTGCTGATGATGCTGCCTGAATGTCTTTATATGTCTAAAGAAACCCAAACTTCTTTAGTCAATGTGACTATTACCTGAAGGCTTATTATCAGGGGCCAAAGATAAGTTAGAGATATTTCCTGGATTGGCTCAAATCAAATTACATACTAGCAGAGGAGTTGCCCACTGCCCCTTCCTGATAAACGATTGCTTAGCCTCAGGTCTGGTTTTCTCATATGCTGTTCTTCCTCTTTATTTTCTTACTCTTGCTTTAGTTTTCCTTCTCAATAGGACTAATGTGTATATGTCATGGCTGTTTCACTTATCATTGATCTGAGAGTAAGCAGAGCATAGGCTCTGGAGACAAACAATCTGGGCTTGAATCCCAGTTTTTCCACTTACTGTGTACATTTTGGAAGAGACGCTTCTAATCTCTAAACTTGAGTTTCCTTATCCACAAAATGGAGGATGCATCCTGAGGGGTTTATGAATATTAAATAGGATAATCTTGTTTTGGCCTGCCGTAGATACTCAATTGATGTTATTATAATAATTATATGATTATGCTGGAGAAGGGGAAGAGACATGAAGGTTTTCACACTCTACACTTTGACCATATGTATAAGCAGTTCCCTTAAGTTCTTACTCAGAAAATAAAAATGCGACAGACATCTATTTTTTCTTTTGCTCAGATGCTGGGAGAATTAGAACCAAATTAGTCTTGTTAGAATAAAACACTTTTCAAAATACTGTTTTATTTTTATCTTAACTGCTAGAAGAATTAGAGTCCAAGTCAAAGTCAAATAACTTTTCTGGGTCGGGCGTGGTGGCTCACACCTGTAATCCCTGCACTTTGGAGGCTGAGGCAGGCGGATTACCTGAGGTTGGGAGTTCGAGACCAGCCTGACCAACGTGGAGAAACCCCGTCTCTACTAAAAATACAAAATTAGCCAAATGCGGTGATGCATGCCTGTAATCCCAGCTACTCAGGAGGATGAAGCTGGAGAATCGCTTGAACCTGGGAGGCGGAGGTTGCGGTGAGCTGAGATCACGCCATTGCACTCCAGCCTGGGCAAAAAGAGTGAAACTCAGTCTCAAAAAAAGAAAAAAAAAAAAGGAAAGCCAAATAACTTCTCTTCTAGGCTAAGTTCCTCTTTTCTTTTGATTCTTCTGTTACTCAATCTTTGTTCTTGGTTTATCTATAATTGTATAATTTTATTTGTATTTGACTTCTGGGTTCTCTCAAATCCTTTTGAAGCAAAACAGTGAAATCTTTAAGCTTTCAGAAGTCCTCTCTCTCTCTCTCAAACACGCACACATGCACACACACACGTGCACACACATGCGCATGCGCACACACACACACACATACACACACAATTTACACCATTAAAGGGAAATGATAAACCTAGTTTGGCTTATATTGGTTCCCTGTGGACCTTTATGAAATTGCATATGCATATTTCCACGTCCAGCTTTAGATATTCTGATCCTCTAGATCAAGGTAGAGCCAGGAATCTGTATGTTTTAGCAAGTATTATGCACCTAGGAAATTCAGATTCAGACAGTACTCTACCACCTTTGGAGAAACAATGGCCTATGTGGTGCAGCGGGCATAGATGTAAATGAGTCTGGCTTTCAAAGCAGAAACAGTTACTATCTGTGTGACCTTAGAAAATCACTCAACCCGAGATTCAGTGTCTTCATCTTTAAAAGATGGAGAAACTTGTAAATGTCTGTTAAACCTAACTTACAAAGTTGCTATAAAATGTCTGTTAAACCTAACTTATAAAGTTGCGATAAAAAGTAAATGAAATGAAATATTATATGTCACAAGGATGGAAAAAAACATATTAATTAAATGAACATCTAGGTTTCACAATCTGCAAAAAGACCCATATGAATTTTTAGAGGCAAATAGCTTTTTTTTTTGTTCAAAAATCAAGGCCCTTTGCTGTGACTTCTGACTGCTCCAGATAGATTAGGTGTGTTAAATCTCAGGTCATGACTCATTAGGGAATTGTGTGATCTGGTAGTAGCCCCAGCATTTTAAAAATACAATATAATAAAATGAAATAGAATAGGATAGAATAAGATGAAAAATATCAGAGCACATTGCCCATAAGAAGAAGTTTAAAATCAGATGTCTAATACAGTAGTCTCCCGTTGTCTGCAAGAGATGTGTTCTAAGACCCCCAGTGGATGCCTGGCCACAGATAATATCGAACTCTATGTTTTTCCCTATACATACATACCTATGAAAAAGTTTAATTCATAAATTAGGCAAGTAAGATGAACAACAATAACTAATAATTAAATATTAATTATAATGACATACCATCATCACTACTCTTGCACTTTGGGGCCGCTTATTAAGTAAAATAAGCATTACCTCAATACAAGAACTGCTTTACCTCAGCAGTTTATCTGAAGCAAAACAGCTACTAAATGACTAACAGGCAGGTAGCACAGACAGTGTGGATCCACTGGACAAAGAGATAATTCACATCCCAGGTTGGACGGAGCTGAATGGCACACAGTTTAAAATGCATTAATTTTTTATGTCTGGATTTTTCCATTTAATATTTTTGGACAGCTGTTGACCATGGGTAACTGAAACAATGGAAAGCTAAACCACAAATAAGGGGGGGACTATTGTATTTAAATCTAGTTGTTTTTTGTGCCATTTTGTGTCTCCTCCTGAGTTACTCCTATATATTCTGAGTTGTGTTTGGAGGTCATACTCAGGAATAGAAGAAGAGAAGTGCTGGCCAGTATAGAGGGCAAGATGGGGCAGGAAGCAGGCAGCATCTATAGGTGAGACTGTGTAAGGGAAGCAGGAATATATGAAAAGGAATATGGTTAAAGGAATGTTAAAAGGAATACAATTAAACATTATCATAGGCATGCATGTATAAGGAAAATGGCATATACATGGTTTGGTACTATCTGCGGTTTCAGGCATCTTTCAGGAGAAGGACAGGAGAATATGTGTCTCTTCAGTGCCTTCAAAAATCTTGTGGAGGGCACTGGGCTTTTAAGATCATGCAGAAAGGAGTTTTAGAGCAGCTTCTTTGAAATTTTTAAAAAAGAATGATCCTAAAAAGCTGAAGGACATGGGGCAGTTTGTATGTGCAAACATTCTAAGCTTAAAGCACACTGGTAAGGGAAAATAGTACTTTTCAGGTATAAGTTAAATTATACTTTGCAGGTATAGGTTCCTTGATGTATCAGATGCTCTTCTAATCCCCAACTACCTCTACTGAAAGCAAAGTTTAGGACTATGATAAAAGATGGAGTCCTTTCTCTGGCTGACGGTTTAAAGGAATAGTGCTCTAGCATCTGAAAGTGAATTTTGAAATTCATTTTTCTCATTTTAACAAAAACACTGCCTTACTTAATAAAATAATACATTATATGCAGTTTAATGGGTACATTAATGGCTACCATTTTGTGAGCTCATACCATATACTAAGAATTGTACTAAGTACTTTACAACCATGATCTCTTACCTTCTAGAACTCTAATGGAAAAGTTTTAGTGTACATGCTCTATAGATAATCTTACTGAAGCTCAAAGAGATTAAGTAATTAACCTCAATCTACATGAGTAGCCAGGGCTAGAAGCAGAATTCACACCCAGATCTCTACAGTCATTTACTTGCAGCTGTACCTCACTGCCTCAGCCCCTAGGGTAAACTGGTGCTTATGGACTGATTTTGGAAGGTCACCATCATATGTAATATGTTTCTGAGAGGGAAGCATGCCTGCAAAGTCAAGCAATTTGGCTAAACAAAAGTGTTACGCATTAAGCAGTCAGCCACTGCTGAAGATGCTCAGTGTCTCAACAACTTCACTATACACATTGGGTATGTAACTGTGTCTTTTGTTTCTCAGTGGATTCTAAAGGGACTTGGTAGAAAAAACAGCTGCTTATTTGTTTCTCTTTTAAATGTTAATTTTGTGGTATGCTTCATAAATATATTTGCATTCTGTCACCCAAATGATAGTGATTGAGATGAAAAGAATATCATGCTAAAAATATATTTTGGATTGTACAGTTATAAAACAAATTGTTTCATGTGTTTTTGTAATTTTAGGGCCAGGGTTAGGGCAGGTATGTGTGTGGTGTGTGTGGGGACAGGAAATGGTATTACTCTGGGACCAATGTTTTCTTTTTGTTTGTTTTGTGTTTGGCAATGAAGAAGATTGATGTTAATTTGATCCAGAAATTATGCTGTATAGAAGTAGAGAGTCTAGTATGCTCTGGATATCTAGTCCCAGATTCTATTCACTGTCTGCATCCAGTGAGGGTTAAAATGAAAAAATGAAGCAGTTGTGACTAGCTCTGACAGGAACTCAGGGGGACTTTCTCCTCAGTTCTCCCCTACATTGCAAAGTGAAGAGCCTTTTGTTCATCCCCTATCCAAAACCGTGAGAGGTACAGATGTCCTCTTTGCAGTCGATTCTTTTGTAAGTAGAAGTTTGGGTTAGGTAAAGGAAACAGGCAGCAAAACTGCTGATTTTCAAGGGCATCTTGCGCAAGGAAATTTGCATCCTGTGATTCTCCTCAATCTCTCTGGTGTCTCAAAACAATCTGGAATTATCAAGCCTTGACAACAGCTAATGAGAATGAACAGACTCAACACAGATTCCCCCTTAGCAGCAGTTGGATTCAACCTTTACAAGACAGGCAAATCAGCCCAAATAACCTATTTTTTTGAATGAATAAAAAGATTTTCTAGCCTCCAGCAGTTGTCTACTAAGAAGGAAGTCTGGTAAAGAAGTTGAGCTGTAATCATGACAATAAGACCTGTAGAATGTTTACTAAGTGCCAGGTATGTAGTGCTTCACGTCAACCCTGTGGTCTGGGTACCACTGCCACCACCAACTTCATCACTATAATCCCCGTTTCATAAATGAGGAAACTGAAGCACAGAGAAGTTCCATTTTCTGCCTGTAGCCCATATGCCTGGTTCCAGAGGTCATGGGCTCAACTCTTTTCTTCCCCAGTCAGGGTGAAAACTAAGGTGTATCTGAATTCTGAGCTGCCTGACTAAAGGGCTGTCATCCTGAGACCTGTGGAAAAGGGGTTGGTTACAGTTCATCATATCTTCAGCACAGTATCTCATGAATTATTCTCTCCATTTGTGACTGATCAATTAAAAAATAATGATTTAGAGTCTGCTATGAGCTAGGCACCGTAATATATGACAGGAGATACTGCTCAGTGGCTGAGGTGAATCCTGGAGCCAGGCTTCCTTGATTAGAATTTACTTACTAGCTGTGACCTGGAGATGTAACTTAACTTCGTGGGCTTCAGTTTTCCCATCTAGAATTGGAAATAATAATAATTATGTTCTTCATAGAATTAAATTAGTTAATTAAAGTAAATCAATTAAAATAGTGCCTGACACATAGTAACAACTCGATAAGTTTTACTGTTATGGTTATTACTAACCTGTTTTACAAGCTAAAAATTATAAAATAGTTTTGGTGTAGTTATAATAGTCTAGATGGAGAGAAAAATGAATCATTCTGGATCTACCCTTTTTATGAAATTAGTCTAGATTTTAAAGCAATAAAATACCTGTAACTTTTTAAAGTCTTAATTAAGTTACCCTTTTCTATCCCAGGAATGTGTACACATTTTTTAAATTGTTGGATTTATTTGATTTAATTAATTGATGTGATCAATGTAGCTAATATGTATTGATTCCCTACTAGGTGCTAGGAACAATGAATGAAAAATCCATGCACAAAATTTGTAGAATTAATGCTCCATGATAAGTTCCCCACTCTTCTTCACTCTGATGTTTATAAAAACTTTAACAGAAAATTAAAGTTAACACTGAACCTGTTAGTGATTCTATAGAATACAAGAAAAATGATGCCTCATTATTAGTTGAAATATCATTTACTACATTTCTGCTTTTCATTTGTTCAGGGTAAAAATATCATTATCTAAGTAAAAATGTTTCCATAGACTATCTATACCCCAATTCTTGCTTATACTATATGGTTATAGTTGTTTCTAATCAAAGATATGTCTCACTTTAAAAACACAACAAATTTAGGATTGTATTTTGGGGTGAATATTTGTCATATAGAAAAACCAACATGTCTATGATGAGTGTTATACATGATTTATATAATTAATTCTACACTAAATATTTGCTCCAAATTAGTCACAACATAGACCATATAATAGAATTGTATCCCTAAAAAGATCAAGAAGTATTGGTGCTTTCTTTTTTGGGGGGGGTGGGCTTTATTTCTGTATCTGAAAGACTTTTAGAGGTTTAACTAATAAAAGGTTGTATTTTCCAACTGTTTCCATTTGGCAGATGGTTAATTTTAAGCCTATAGAATAAGTATGCTTAACTCACTTTGCAAACCCGAAAGAACCATAAATTAGAAAGCTAGATATATTTTATCTGTTTTAACTATTGGCTATCCCAATTGCTCACCATGATCTCTGCTTCTGGGATAGATTACAACAAATAATATTAATATATTCTATTCTTGAATGCATTATTGCCACATTCATTTAGTGAAATTGATTGCATAGGAGCCTAGATATGTATATTTAAATAATTAATAAACATTTTTACTTTGAAGTTAGTGTGTAGCCCTTTAAAATTCTCAGAGCCGTTTTTACCCCTACCCCATATTTCTGTTCTAAGAAATAATATAATCACTCAGTGGAAGAGGAAGTAAACTTGCTTAGTATCTCTCCAGAGGTTAGAAATAGGATCCAATAGTAAGAGCTTCTGGGAGGCAAGATTTCTGCTCAATAGAAGGATGCACTTTCTGATAATTAAAGCTGTCTGACAGTGGAGAAGTGACCACCTGTCATGGGGATAATTCAGGCAGAGACCAGGTGATTATCATTTAGAAATATGGTAAAAGGGATAATTCAGGTGGTAGAACATTTGATTAAGTGATTTCTCAATTTCCTTACAACTGAAACGTTTTGCTTAGGATTGTGGAAGTTCTTATCTAACCTAAAATTTTTTCCCATGAAGAAACAGCTACATGGTACAGTGGTTAAAAGCAGCAATTTTATGATTAAACAGATTGACCTGGAGTTTGTGCCTTGCTGCTACTGACCAACAGAGTGACAATAAGGCACTCATTCAACTTTCCCAGAGACAGTTTCTGTAGCTGCCAGAAAGAACAATATCTAATAAGTGAGTTTGGAGGATTGAGTTTATACATGTTACAATATCTCATGGGTATGGGTCTACAAACCTAGGAGGTCATGTCTTTCAAAATACAAAGGGAGAAATGATTGAGAAATATACCTGCTTGGAACTAGAGGAACATCATGATATTCAATGATTTTTTTTAAAAAAATCTCTACATCTGTAATGTATATTGGACCACTTTGCATGCTTAGTTTATAATAGCCAGAAGCAAATATCTTTGTGGCAGTTGTATGACAATTAAGACATTTTAGCAACTGCATGGATGAAGTATTCACAATTGATTGCTTTCTTCTGGAGATAATTCCATAATCTATTTCTAGATCAATAGCTCTGTATAGACACTAGAAGTGATTAAATATCTAACTAAATGCTGTAAGTGTCATTGTAACATCCTGGGAATCTGGAAATCACATAATCTCTCAGTTCATGTGTATCACTCTCTTTCAAGCCAGCAACACCTGGGGCAGTTTAAGGTTTTCTTGCACATTTGTGTAGCATGATGATACTCACGCTGGCAACAATAAATCAAACCTCTGGTGATAGATGTTTTTTCTGTATGCACACATACAGATACCTTAATGCAAGTCACATTTCCCAAAGAGTACAGTGTGAGTATTACGTACAGATACTACGCAAAAGCAATCTCTCTTAGCCTAGGGTTTCGATCCTTCACTGTGAACCCTCCTGGAGCCTGCTGATCAGCATGCAGAACCAAGTTCCAGAGAAGTACAGAGAAATCTCTAGGGATCTCTGTCCACCTGTGAAGTGAGAAAGGATCCATATATTATTTGCAGACCCACCTTCACTTGTTCTCCTTGAGAAAGCTTTTGTTGTTACCTCAGAAGTGGAAATATATGTGTGTTTTAGCTGGTGTCTAACACATTTAGTTACAGAATACAAAAATGTTCAGCACTTTAGGGGGCGAATGTTATTTCTGGGGAAAAAACTTTTCCAAGGCAATGCACACACACACACACACACACACACACACACACACACACACACACACAGAGGGAGGGAGAGAGAGAGAGAGAGAGAGACAGAGACAGAGAGAGAGAGAGAGAGAGAGAGAGACATAGAGAGAGAGAGAGAGACAGAGACAGAGAGAGAGACAGAGACAGAGAGAGAGACAGAGAGAGATAGAGACAGATTACGGTTTTGAGATTTATAATACAACCTGGGGCAATGAAGAAAAAAAATAGATGGTTAAGACAGGTAAGTAGAATTATAGATGTCTATTAGACTGCTATGTTTAAAAGATGAATGTTCTGTGGACTAAAGTTAGAATGAATTTCTCTTCCTATTAGACTTAGTTTTAGAATGTTTTGGGTAAGTTTGTTAGCACCTTTAATAAGTGAGCACATTTCTTTTAAAATGTGTCAAATCATGATAAAAGCTGCTGCACTGAAAAGGCTCCAGTTTTCAGTACAAATTCAGCAATGCACAACAGCAAGCTGATCAAGTCTCAGTTGTATTTTATTTTTTATATGATATCACTAGGTTTTATTTGGCTGCTCTTAGCTGCTGACAACAACATACCTCCTGTCAAATTTATTGTGAATTAAGAGATGATAGGTATGAAGTTATATTAAAAGAGTTTTCTGTATGAACTTATATACAGTAGAACAAATTGGTAAAAAACAGCTATAAAAATGTTTTAAAATGTGTAACTTGTTTTCTATTGGTCAAACAAGGAGAAAAAATGTGTACAGGGTTGTTGTGTTTAAGGGGATGGGGATAGTTAAAGTAACAAAAATAGCTTTGACAATATTGTTTAAAAAACTTATTTCACCCCATGTTTCTTGAGCATGAATTTTGAAATTTCACCTTAACTCCTACTGTTTGAAGATTTCTACATTTGAGAATTGAAAGAATTGAGAAGCAAAATCACATAAAAAATTATGAAGTTCTAGAACACCTAACGCTATTACATACTATCATATTGATATGTAATTTGGGAGCCATTGGTAGGATTTTGTGAAGTTTTTATTAGCTTATGTCATATTTGCTTTATATTTCTGAAGCAATAGGTTAACATGAATTTGCATAATTACCATAAAATAAAGCAAAATTAATAATGAACCGCAACATAGTACATCCTCATCTTTCCCAAACCTACTGGTATGAGTACCGTATCACCTTAAAAGCCAAAATTTAAAAAACATATATGTCTTAACAATTTTAATCAGAACTCATATGACGTGAACAGCATTTTTTTTTTAATTAACTTTAAGTTTTAGGGTACATGTGCACATTGTGCAGGTTAGTTACATATGTATACATGCGCCATGCTGGTGCGCTGCACCCACTAACTCGTCATCTAGCATTAGGTATATCTCCCGATGCTATCCCTGCCCCCTCACCCACCCCACAACAGGCCCCAGAGTGTGATATTCCCCTTCCTGTGTCCATGTGATCTCACTGTTCAATTCCCACCTATGAGTGAGAATATGCAGTGTTTGGATTTTTGTTCTTGCGATAGTTTACTGAGAATGATGATTTCCAATTTCATCCATGTCCCTACAAAGGACATGAACTCATCATTTTTTATGGCTGCATAGTATTCCATGGTGTATATGTGCCACATTTTCTTGATCCAGTCTATCATTGTTGGACATTTGGGTTGGTTCCAAGTCTTTGCTATTGTGAATAGTGCCGCAATAAACATACGTGTGCATGTGTCTTTATAGCAGCATGATTTATAGTCCTCTGGGTATATATCCAGTAATGGGATGGCTGGGTCAAATGGTATTTCTAGTTCTAGATCCCTGAGGAATCGCCACACTGACTTCCACAATGGTTGAACTAGTTTACAGTCCCACCAACAGTGTAAAAGTGTTCCTATTTCTCCACATCCTCTCCAGCACCTGCTGTTTCCTGACTTTTTAATGAATGCCATTCTAACTGGTGTGAGATGGTATCTCATTGTGGTTTTGATTTGCATTTCTCTGATGGCCAGTGATGATGAGCATTTTTTCATGTGTTTTTTGGCTGCATAAATGTCTTCTTTTGAGAAGTGTCTGTTCATGTCCTTCGCCCACTTTTGGATGGGGTTGTTTGTTTTTTTCTTGTAAATTTGTTTGAGTTCATTGTAGATTCTGGATATTAGCCCTTTGTCAGATGAGTAGGTTGCGAAAATTTTCTCCCATTTTGTAGGTTGCCTGTTCACTCTGATGGTAGTTTCTTTTGCTGTGCAGAAGCTCTTTAGTTTAATTAGATCCCATTTGTCAATTTTGGCTTTTGTTGCCATTGCTTTTGGTGTTTTAGACATGAAGTCCTTGCCCATGCCTATGTCCTGAATGGTAATGCCTAGGTTTTCTTCTAGGGTGTTTATGGTTTTAGGTCTAACGTTTAAGTCTTTAATCCATCTTGAATTGATTTTTGTATAAGGTGTAAGGAAGGGATCCAGTTTCAGCTTTCTACATATGGCTAGCCAGTTTTCCCAGCACCATTTATTAAATAGGGGATCCTTTCCCCATTGCTTGTTTTTCTCAGGTTTGTCAAAGATCAGATAGTTGTAGATATGTGGCATTATTTCTGAGGGCTCTGTTCTGTTCCATTGATCTATATCTCTGTTTTGGTACCAGTACCATGCTGTTTTGGTGACTGTAGCCTTGTAGTATAGTTTGAAGTCAGGTAGTGTGATGCCTCCAGCTTTGTTCTTTTGGCTTAGGATTGACTTGGCGATGCGGGCTCTTTTTTGGTTCCATATGAACTTTAAAGTAGTTTTTTCCAATTCTGTGAAGAAAGTCATTGGTAGCTTGATGGGGATGGCATTGAATATGTAAATTACCTTGGGCAGTATGGCCATTTTCACGATATTGATTCTTCCTACCCATGAGCATGGAATGTTCTTCCATTTCTTTGTATCCTCTTTTATTTCCTTGAGCAGTGGTTTGTAGTTCTCCTTGAAGAGGTCCTTCGCATCCCTTGTAAGTTGGATTCCTAGGTATTTTATTCTCTTTGAAGCAATTGTGAATGGGAGTTCACTCATGATTTGGCTCTCTGTTTGTCTGTTGTTGGTGTATAAGAATGCTTGTGATTTTTGTACATTGATTTTGTATCCTGAGACTTTGCTGAAGTTGCTTATCAGCTTAAGGAGATTTTGGGCTGAGACAATGGGGTTTTCTAGATATACAATCATTTCGTCTGCAAACAGGGACAATTTGACTTCCTCTTTTCCTAACTGAATACCCTTTATTTCCTTCTCCTGCCTAATAGCCCTGGCCAGAACTTCCAACACTATGTTGAATAGGAGTGGTGAGAGAGGGCATCCCTGTCTTGTGCCAGTTTTCAAAGGGAATGCTTCCAGTTTTTGCCCATTCAGTATGATATTGGCTGTGGGTTTGTCATAGATAGCTCTTATTATTTTGAAATACATCCCAGCAATACCTAATTTATTGAGAGTTTTTAGCATGAAGGGTTGTTGAATTTTGTCAAAGGCTTTTTCTGCATCTATTGAGATAATCATGTGGTTTTTGTCTTTGGCTCTGTTTATATGCTGGATTACATTTATTGATTTGCATATATTGAACCAGCCTTGCATCCCAGGGATGAAGCCCACTTGATCATGGTGGATAAGCTTCTTGATGTGCTGCTGGATTCGTTTTGCCAGTATTTTATTGAGGATTTTTGCACCAATGTTCATCAAGGATATTGGTCTAAAATTCTCTTTTTTTGTTGTGTCTCTGCCTGGCTTTGGTATCAGAATGATGCTGGCCTCATAAAATGAGTTAGGGAGGATTCCCTCTTTTTCTATTGATTGGAATAGTTTCAGAAGGAATGGTACCAGTTCCTCCTTGTACCTCTGGTAGAATTCGGCTGTGAATCCATCTGGTCCTGGACTCTTTTTGGTTGGTAAGCTATTGATTATTGCCACAATTTCAGCTCCTGTTATTGGTCTATTCAGGGATTCAACTTCTTCCTGGTTTAGTCTTGGGAGAGCGTATGTGTCGAGGAATTTATCCATTTCTTCTAGATTTTCTAGTTTATTTGCATAGAGGTGTTTGTAGTATTCTCTGATGGTAGTTTGTATTTCTGTGGGATCGGTGGTGATATCCCCTTTATCATTTTTTATTGCGTCTATTTGATTCTTCTCTCTTTTTTTCTTTATTAGTCTTGCTAGCGGTCTATCAATTTTGTTGATCCTTTCAAAAAACCAGCTCCTGGATTCATTAATTTTTTGAAGGGTTTTTTGTGTCTCTTTTTCCTTCAGTTCTGCTCTGATTTTAGTTATTTCTTGCCTTCTGCTAGCTTTTGAATGTGTTTGCTCTTGCTTTTCTAGTTCTTTTAATTGTGATGTTAGGGTGCCAATTTTGGATCTTTCCTGCTTTCTCTTGTGGGCATTTAGTGCTATAACTTTCCCTCTACACACTGCTTTGAATGCATCCCAGAGATTCTGGTATGTTGTGTCTTTGTTCTCGTTGGTTTCAAAGAACATCTTTATTTCTGCCTTCATTTCATTATGTACCCAGTAGTCATTCAGGAGCAGGTTGTTCAGTTTCCATGTATTTGAGCGGTTTTGAGTGAGATTCTTAATCCTGAGTTCTAGTTTGATTGCACTGTGGTCTGAGAGATAGTTTGTTATAATTTCTGTTCTTTTACATTTGCTGAGGAGAGCTTTACTTCCAAGTATGTGGTCAATTTTGGAATAGGTGTGGTGTGGTGCTGAAAAAAATGTATATTCTGTTGATTTGGGGTGGAGAGTCTGTAGATGCCTATTAGGTCCGCTTGGTGCAGAGCTGAGTTCAATTCCTGGGTATCCTTCTTGACTTTCTGTCTCGTTGATCTGTCTAATGTTGACAGTGGGGTGTTAAAGTCTCCCATTATTAATGTGTGGGAGTCTAAGTCTCTTTGTAGGTCACTCAGGACTCGCTTTATGAATCTTGGTGCTCCTGTATTGGGTGCATATATATTTAGGATAGTTAGCTCTTCTTGTTGAATTGATCCCTTTACCATTATGTAATGGCCTTCTTTGTCTCTTTTGATCTTTGTTGCTTTAAAGTCTGTTTTATCAGAGACTAGGATTGCAACCCCTGCCTTCTTTTGTTTTCCATTGGCTTGGTAGATCTTCCTCCATCCTTTTATTTTGAGCCTATGTGTGTCTCTGCATGTGAGATGGGTTTCCTGAATACAGCACACTGATGGGTCTTGACTCTTTATCCAATTTGCCAGTCTGTGTCTTTTAATTGGAGCATTTAGTCCATTTACATTTAAAGTTAATATTGTTATGTGTGAATTTGATCCTGTCATTATGATGTTAGCTGGTGATTTTGCTCGTTAGTTGATGCAGTTTCTTCCTAGTCTCAATGGTCTTTACATTTTGGCATGATTTTGCAGCGGCTGGTACCGGTTGTTCCTTTCCATGTTTAGTGCTTCCTTCAGGAGCTCTTTTAAGGTAGGCCTGGTGGTGACAAAATCTCTCAGCATTTGCTTGTCTGTAAAGGATTTTATTTCTCCTTCACTTATGAAGCTTAGTTTGGCTGGATATGAAATTCTGGGTTGAAAATCCTTTTCTTTAAGAACGTTGAATATCGGCCCCCAGTCTCTTCTGGCTTGTAGGGTTTCTGCCGAGAGATCCGCTGTTAGTCTGATGGGCTTCCCTTTGAGGGTAACCCGACCTTTCTCTCTGGCTGCCCTTAACATTTTTTCCTTCATTTCAACTTTGGTGAATCTGACAATTATGTGTCTTGGAGTTGCTCTTCTCGAGGAGTATCTTTGTGGCGTTCTCTGTATTTCCTGAATCTGAACGTTGTCCTGCCTTGCTAGATTGGGGAAGTTCTCCTGGATAATATCCTGCAGAGTGTTTTCCAACTTGGTTCCATTCTCCCCATCACTTTCAGGTACACCAATCAGACGTAGATTTGGTCTTTTCACATAGTCCCATATTTCTTGGAGGCTTTGCTCATTTCTTTTTATTCTTTTTTCTCTAAACTTCCCTTCTCGCTTCATTTCATTCATTTCATCTTCCATCGCTGATACCCTTTCTTCCAGTTGATCGCATCGGCTCCTGAGGCTTCTGCATTCTTCACGTAGTTCTCGAGCCTTGGTTTTCAGCTCCATCAGCTCCTTTAAGCACTTCTCTGTATTGGTTATTCTAATTATACATTCTTCTAAATTTTTTTCAAAGTTTTCAACTTCTTTGCCTTTGGTTTGAATGTCCTCCCGTAGCTCAGAATAATTTGATCGTCTGAAGCCTTCTTCTCTCAGCTCGTCAAAGTCATTTTCCATCCAGCTTTGTTCCGTTGCTAGTGAGGAACTGCATTCCTTTGGAGGAGGAGAGGCGCTCTGCTTTTTAGAGTTTCCAGTTTTTCTGTTCTGTTTTTTCCCCATCTTTGTGGTTTTATCTACTTTTGGTCTTTGATGATGGTGATGTACAGATGGGTTTTTGGTGTGGATGTCCTTTCTGTTTGTTAGTTTTCCTTCTAACAGACAGGACCCTCAGCTGCAGGTCTGTTGGAATACCCTGCCATGTGAGGTGTCAGTGTGCCCCTGGTGGGGGGTGCCTCCCAGTTAGGCTGCCCGGGGTTCAGGGGTCAGGGACCCACTTGAGGAGGCAGTCTGCCCGTTCTCAGATCTCCAGCTGCGTGCTGGGAGAACCACTGCTCTCTTCAAAGCTGTCAGACAGGGACATTTAAGTCTGCAGAGGTTACTGCTGTCTTTTTGTTTGTCTGTGCCCTGCCCCCAGAGGTGGAGCCTACAGAGGCAGGCAGGCCTCCTTGAGCTGTGGTGGGCTCCACCCAGTTCCAGCTTCCAGGCTGCTTTGTTTACCTAATCAAGCCTGGGCAATGGTGGGCGCCCCTCCCCCAGCCTCGCTGCCGCCTTGCAGTTTGATCTCAGACTGCTGTGCTAGCAATCAGCGAGACTCTGTGGGCATTGGACCCTCCGAGCCAGGTGCAGGATATAATCTCGTGGTGTGCCGTTTTTTAAGCCTGTCAGAAAAGCGCAGTATTCTGGTGGGAGTGACCCGATTTTCCAGGTGCAGTCCGTCACCCCTTTCTTTGACTCAGAAAGGGAACTCTCTGACCCCTTGCGCTTCCCAAGTGAGGCAATGCCTCGCCCTGCTTTGGCTCGTGCACGGTGCACACACCCACTGACCTGTGCCCACTGTCTGGCACTCCCTAGTGAGATGAACCCGGTACCTCAGATGGAAATGCAGAAATCACCCGTCTTCTGCGTCGCTCACGCTGGGAGCTGTAGACTGGAGCTGTTCCTATTCGGCCATCTTGGCTCCTCCACCGTGAACAGCATTTTTGTCATGAAAATATTTCTTCATTAGATTACAATCACTGCTTATATTCACTATACCTACAATCCTATGACCTGTTTACCTAGAAAGCTTCTAAAATACTTCTGAGAATAGCTTATACTCCAAAGTGTTGAAAATAAGTGACATTCTTTACATCCAAATCTTTTTAATGGGATATTTCTATAAATGATAATACTAATTATCTCAAGAGAGGCAGTAACAACATAGTAGAAACATCTTTGAGCTAGACAGGAGACTTGACATTTCTCAGTAGTACTCAGCACTCAGGGCATTTGTAATTATATGGTCAGTGTCTGTCTTCCCACTTAAGTGGTTCTCAACCTTGGATGCACATTGGAATTACTGCACACCTTTAATAAAATAATAATGACGCCTGGGTAATACCCTAGAAATTCTTGTTTAATGAATTACAGAGTGGAGTCTGGAGATTAAGATTTTCAGAATTGAGCAACTTAGCTTATTCGAACATGTAACTAAGAAAATTGTGCATTGGACTGCACATTCAATGACAGAAGGGACCTTATCTTCAATGAATAAATTGATATCTAGCACAGAGGAGACTGTCACTAAATATTGGATGAATGGATGGGTGGATGGATAAATGGATTGATGGATTGTATTGACAACTTCTTTTATCTTTATGGATCTTGGTTTTGTGTGTGTGTGTGTGTATCACTCTCTGCCAGGTCAACTTCAATGTGTATGTATATATATTAGGAGGGTTGAGCTACATATCTCTTCCTTTTACTCAGATGACTTTCCTGAGAGCCCGTTGTAATGGGTCTAGCTAGTGTTTGTTTCCTCAAATGCAAGGGCCTTAATCATAGGAACTAGGAATATTTAAATATCCAATAAAGGCTATAATAGGTTTAATAATTTTTGCTGAATTAAATGCAAATTTTTATATTTTGTAAAATCCTTTGTAGGAATTTTCTATTTTTATTCTTTTAAATGTAACCATGGATTCACATCCTATATCCTTAAAGATTTATTTGCCCTTGGGAAAGAATATAAAACATATTTTGTATCTGCAAAAAATGACACTTTTCAAAAATTGACAAATGGGATCTAATTAAACTTTAGAGCTTCTGTACAGCAAAAGAAATTATCAACAGAGTAAACAGACAACCTACAGAATGGGAGAAAATATTTGCAAACTATGTATCTGACAAAAGTCTACTAACCTATATCTATAAGGAACTTAAATTTACAAGAAAAAAGCAACTCTATTAAAAAGTATACAAAGGACATAAACAGACACTTCTCTAAGAAGGCATACATGTGGCCAACAAGCATATGAAAAAAAAAAGACTCAATATCACTAATCATTAGAGAAATGCAAATCAAAATCATAATGAGCTATGATCCCACACCAGTCAGAATGGCTATTAAAAAATCAAAAATAACATGCTGATGAGGTTGTGGAGAAAAGGGAATGCTTATACACTGCTGGTGGGATTATAAATTAGTTCAACCATTGTGGAAAGCAGCGTGGCAATTCCTGAAACAGCTCAAAAGAGACCTACCATATGACCCAGCAATCTTATTACTGGATATGTACCCAAAGGAATATAAATTGTTCCACTCTAAAGACACATGCACACGTATGTTCATTGCAGCACTATTCACAATAGCAAAGACATGGAACCAACCCAAATGCCCATCAATAATAGACTGGATAAAGAAAACGTGGTACACCATGGACTACTATGCAGCCATAAAAAAGAATGAGATCATGTCCTTTGTGGGAACATGGATGGAGCTGGAGGCCATTATCCTTAGCAAACCAATGCGGGAATGAATACCACATTTTCTCACATATAAGTAGGAGCTAAATGATGAGAACACATGGATACTGGGAGAGGAACAACAGACAGTGGGGCCTACTTGAAGACTGAGGGTGGGAGGAAGTAGAGGACCAGTAACCATGTACTAGGCTTAGTATCTGGGTAACAAAATAATCTCTACCACAAACCCCTGTGACACAAGTTTATATAACAAACCTGCACATGTACCCCTGAACCTAAAATAAAAGCTTTTTTAAATGATGGTCTTTGTTTCTGATAAATCAGAAATCTGTGGATGATGCTTTAGTTATCCAAATTATTTAGTGATAATTTTGTCTAGCAAAGTTATTTTTTATAAATCTTTTTCTTTGTCAATTAAATTAGGCAATTCCAATGGGATCGCTGTCATGATACATTATGTGGGTGTTGTTTATATAAGGACTTTTGCTATTTTTGTTTAGGAAACATTTATTTTAACTAATCCTTCCTCATTGTCACTACTGAGCAATTGACAGTCTCAAGAGTCATAGAAGCATTAACATTTTATACATAATGAGCCACGTGTGTAGGCCACAGTAGTGATTTTATCACAATGAGAGTCAAGAAGAGTTTGCTTTGGTGAAAGAATACTGGACAAAACTCAAATGTGAGTTGAAGGCAATCTAAAATTCATTTAAAACTTGTTTTCCTTCTGAAGTCATCCTTCAAAAGGCCCATGTTGTGATGAAATTTTAGAGGGATTAAACTTGAGTAGGTCAACATTATATAATGAACAACACTATACTATGATCAAGTTCAATTGCAATTACTAAGTGATCCAGGCCTGCTAGTTTGATATAAAGCTGCAATAGGTTACCCTATATTTGAGAGGTCATTCTGGCGTTCTAGCAGTTTGATGTGTACTAGTTAATGGATTGACCAAAGGCTTTCAAACTTTTTCAGTTCATGATACCCTTAGTGTCTCAGTAATATTTTCATGGCAAAGGAGATATTTCACAATTTTATTTATTATGCACTTAGGCCCTTAGTAACCACTTGAAAAAAATATATGAATTAAAAGAAAAAATATATTTAATTCAATTCTTAAATAGCCACAATTAATTACTGGCTGGAGGTGTGTCCCTGTTGGGTGCTACATGGTTTCTCAAACCTTAGAATCAGAATGGAAGCCACCCTCATTCCCTATTCCAAGGTACTTCTTAAGGGGTACCTCTTTTTTTTTTTCTTAACACGTCAGCCACTAAAAGCCGAGCTTCACAAAGATAAGACACTATCAAAGGGAATGATGCCAGATTTTATATTGAGTCAGTGAACTACCACTGTCTAATATTTTGTACAGTATCCAACAGAATGTCTAGTATTACTGTATTTTCTTTGAAAATTAAAAATAATCTGTGGCTCCTTTGTGGATTTATTGCAACACCCTAAGATGCTTTGGTGCAGTTGGGGAACTAGGGAGGTAAACTGTTTGCTAAGCTAGGGGTGCTATATTCCGGAGTTAGCTAAGCTAAATGATGGACAATGGGATGGATGGTATAATTTCTTAAATCCTTGAGTCTTTATTAGCTGAAACCATCTGTGTTCAAACAAATATTTTTCTTTTTGAGAGTGGATATTTTTTACTAGTGCCGCTTATTTATATATTTTAAAATTGAATGACCCTTTTTCTGAGAATAAAGCTTAATACACATAAATTTAATTTGATCCACAAAAGCAAACAGAAAAGAATAAAAATAATCTAATCCCACAATTCAGGAATACACAGTCTCCATATTTCTATGTATATATACCCAGATACTTTTTGTCCTAATCATGAATGTATAGACATACTCATTTTTCATTACTTATTTTCACAAACATGATTTTATACTGTTTTACAGTTATATACAGTTACTGTTTTACTGTTATACTGTTTACAGTCCACTTTATTCACTTAATAACATAACCATATATTTTAGGTATCTCTCCTGCTTCTTTAAATCCCTGTTTTGCTGGAAATATTTTTTCTTAGTGCTCATATGATCCCCATCTTTTGAACTACTGAGAGTTTTCATTTTCTCTGTTGATTTTTCTGCCTCCTCATTCTTATAGAAAAAGATCCAGGTTGTTTTTCTGTTATTAAATGAAATTTGTGAATAATTATGTAGGGTCACTCTTCTGTCATTTTTTTTGTTACCAATAATGTTAAAATTTATTTACTGAATCATTAATGTTTAAATTTATCATAAACTTTTGTTGATAGCCTAGAGGGGCCCAGTAGTTTGCAGAGCTGGGGGACGAGATACACAGAGAGACATTACTGGCTGCAGGAGAAACATTTTTGTTCAAAAATTCCCTTAGAAAGTCAGCTTTGGCTGCCTTAAGACATTTGAGCAAGAAAGGCTCAATTATTCCTCCCTGCCACCTAATGGAGACATTTTATTTGGAGGGTTTCCTGTTTAACTTACCAAGTAATTCTCAGTCTCTCCAAACTTAATGTCGCGTTTAGGCATCTCCATGATTTCCAGTCCCCACAGCTAATGGCAGCTGATAGAAACTCTTCATATGTGTCCTATAGAAATGGTGAGAAGAGGTGGGCCCAAATTTTTTCCCTACATTTTTGACCTGCACTTTCTTGTCTAAGGTCTCAAGAATTCAGGTACCTGAGTAAGATCCTTAAATAGTTTTCAGCAAGAATATGGATGTTTTTTCCTATTATGTTAATTGAGTCATTGTAATCAGTAACTAGTCTCAAAGCTGAGTTTAAATTTTCATCTCAGTCCCAAGAGTACTTTTATCACGATGTCTATCAGTACTTATACAGGACAATCTATGTATACAGAACAATCTTTGTTGATTTGCCAGAAAACACAAAATATTTACCTTAGACTTCTTTTCAGTATTTTTATACTAATTTCAATACAGAATAGGCAGACCCGTAGCTCTGCAGTCCAAGAAACGGAAGAGATGAGCATGATTTTTTGTTTATTTGTTTATTTGAAGTGAGGAATGTATATATGTATGTTTGCGTGTGTTTATCAACAGCATTTGCTGCTATTGGCAATTTATGTCATAAACTATAAGCAAAGTGTAGGTTTAACTTGTGATTGTCTTATTATGATGCTTCATTGTATGACCCATTACCCTGATTGCCCTGAGGGATATTCTAGATTTCTAAACAGACAACACTTATCTGTTTGACCTCAGGCTATCCTGTTTCCTAAATCCTCAGTGTGAAATACTATGAAAGGTGATTGTCATATGCTTTATAAAATGACCATATGGAAACCCTGGGTTTTGATTAGAGCAGATGTTTAAACCAATTTTGCAATCCCTTAGAAATCACTATCTACCCAGCAGCAGGCTTTTGCTGCCAGTGAATGTCTCATGATAAAGCCACTCACCTGAAACAAATGGAAGGATTTGATCACCAGGAACAGCGAGACCAATTCTAGCTGTTTTTGTTATTGTTTTGTTTAAATGAGGAGAAAATGCTCACTTAACAGAATGTCTTCATTCTGGTCATTCCTTTTACTAAAGGAGAAAAAAGAGTATGTTTTAACCATGTAGAGTCATTTTCAAATAATATTAAATTATGTTTAAACTACATTTGTAAGTTTTTTACTCCTCTAGGAGAAGTTAGTTTCAGTCCTCCTCCCCACCACCACTCACCCCATATACTGCAGTACTTTTCTGAGGTTATTACATGATGGAAAAACCTCTAAGATATCATAGAATTGAAGTCTAATATTGTAGATGAGAGGAAGCCAAGCCAAGAGATACCCAGATCTCACCAAAGGCCTTAAGCTGAAAAGCAGCCACGAGGATACCTGACAAGAGATTTGAGATTCCAGTACCACTGACTGCTGGTGGGCTGGTGGGTCACTGCAGCATGACTGAGACTAGAATTGTACATCTCCATAATTGCGGGTGGACATAGGGGATGGGATGACACGTAGCGATAAAGTTTGCGTGTTTGTTGGACTATTTCTTTTCTGTCTATATGTAGGATTTGAGGCATCTTACAGTAGAAATACTTATATGACGATGGGAATATGAACACTAAAAGATCAAGGACAAGTAACAACATAGATTAGAAGACAGGGTTGAAACACAGCAGGCAAAAGAGAGCACATACTAGCTATATAGACAGCGAGAGGTTTGTGGCAGATTTTGCTTTGCACTTCCTTGAATTCGAGAAAAGGAAAGTATTTTTTATAGTCAGCATTTTTCAGAGAGAAGAGAGTTAACATACGGTCCCTTAGAAGAAGGAGAACTTTCCCCATAAGTTTTAAGCAACATTTTCCCCTCCTTTTTTTGGTATTTGGAATTACATTGTAAAGAAGGCTTGAGCATTCATCCTAACTCATGAATCTTCCTAACTCTCCCCTATAGGATAAAAAGAAGGTGGTAAATGTGTTATTGGTCACAGAGAGAATCTGAAGTTAGTGAAAACTTAAACAATGCATTGTGGGTATGTGGTGTTTTATTTCCAGTAAAGGGATGCTAAAGTTGACCTGTTTCTGTGAACCTTATGGTAGAATGGAAACAATTAGAGATTTTGAGTCAGGAGGCCAGTCTAGGATACTTATCTACTGTGTGAAAGTTAGAAACACACGCTATATGGTTCTCACAGTGGTTAAATATGGTTAAATTTTGAAAAAGGGTTTTGTAATAGGTAAAGTTTCATAAGCTTAATAACTATTATCCATTTAGTTGCTGAGTATTCTTTTGAGAAAATGGCAAATACTGTACAAGTGCATCTTTTCTGATTGTATTTAATGCCATATTTTTTCCCATGTGCTTTATTAGCTGCTTTCATGGAGAGTTGAGTCCTCATCACTGTAAAGTGCATCTTTTCTTGGCTAATGTTTTGTCTTTGCTTTGTTTTAGAAGTCACCATCACAGAGTTGTATTTTGTGAAATAATATTATTGTAACAATGAAAAGTTAATTTAAGTGAGTCTTGATAGTAAAACATAATATAACATATGACCAAAATGACTGGTAACACAGTAGGTGGAAAAACATCTCTTTCTGTTGTGTTTTATTAGATTGCCAAAACACCTTTCCCAGATTCACTGTTGTCAGCATATATTAAAAATAAATTTTTAAAATTGCAAATTTTAGTTTTTTGTTATGTGCTGTAAGAGATGGATTTTAAAATGGCCCAGGCATATCTATTGAATTGGTTAAAGATTTATATCAACGGAAAACTTGTTTTTTCACTTAGTCAACTTTCTTTGTTCATTAAACAATCCAGATAACAGTATGTAAAGAAAAACTAGTCCTTGCTTGCCTTAGTTTTTTGTTTCATGATGCATTATTCTCTAAGGACTCATTAGATTGTTTTAATGCTATGCATTTTATTTGCCCTTTAAAGAGAATGGGGAAAAGATACACTGTGCTCTTGAATTTATTGCTAGATTTTCTAAAATAAATGACAAGAAGGAATGATTCCGTTACTAAAATATCCATGTGATTACTTCATCTATTACTGTGCTGAGTAACCTAATAACAAGTTTTTCTATTAAAATGTTCACAGTTTTACGTATTTTCTATAATGAGCATCATAAACCCACTTCTTCATGTTCCAAAGACAGACTGCTATTCCATGAAGTATTTTTTCCTGGAATTGCTTTGCACTACTAAGAAATTAGCCAAACTCTACTCATTTACATCCACTATTTGAGTTTTGAATAAACCAACAAAGGGGAGACTTTTACTCACTCTTGTTCAGAAAATTTGTAAAGAATATGGTAAATTTCTTTTTTTTGCTAATAGATTCCCCTTACCTCTCAAAAGAATTCAAAAATAAATACTGTTCTATTTATTTTAGTGTGATATATGTTGGAATATTACTATTCTGTCTTCAAATCAAATTTCATATAATTACAAACATTTTATACCCCATCCAGAAAGAATGTAATGTGTTCTCGATTTTATGCATTCCATGAAGCACACATATATGTTTCACTGTGCTATTTTCTGTTGTAAAAGCATCAAATCAGCTAGCAGTATTGAGGGCTTATTATATACGAGACATTGTGCTTCAAAGCTTTATGTAACTATCTAATATAATCTTCATACTAACTTTATGAGTTATGAATTGTCCATCTTATGTATACAAAGAAACTGAGACCCAGATAAATTACATAGTTTCCCTGTGGTCACAGAACTAGTGTCAGAATTTAACCTTAGGTCTACCTGATAACAGAATTTGTGCTCTTCACTATCATTCTATTCCTCCTGATGGCAAAACAATAGTATATATACAGTATTTGCCTGTTTTACTGAGCAGCAGAGTTGCAGACCAGACTCTTCTTGAAGGAGAATTCAACTGTGAAGCAGGATAATGGAGGGGAAGTGGCCAGGCTTTGCAAGATCATTAGAGGCAAGTAAAGCCAGTAGGCACCTATGGCTAAACAGGCTACAGGCTCAGAGGAGAGAACTTAAATAAAGGGGCTCCAATCAACAGAGTTGTCCAGAATTTTTCACTACCACAAACACAGCTTCCTAACTTTGACTCCTGTAGGAATGAAGTTCTAATAACAGATCTTCACATTGTTTCTACCATTGCCTGGAAACAGTAAATAATATTCACTACTGGTTTTCAAGTATATGCAGATTTCATTATGATAATTAAAGTAAAAATTTATTTAAAAGCATCACTGAACTCAGAGTTTATATTTAAGTATTTTCTCAGTCGATAGATCCTAATATTACTATTTAGTGGGCCTAATTTAAGTTAGGTTCAGAAAATATGTTGACATTAAAAAGTATCCTCATTCAAAAATATTCACAGCCACCATACTACTGGACTTAGGCAACTCTGAACACTCACTGAGAGCTTACTATTTTGCTAATCATTCAAATAAACATTTTCAATGTACAATTATGTTTAACCTTACAACAATCTATATGGTAAGTCCTATTATCCCATTTTTAGACATAGAAACTAAGCTTCAATTTTCACTTTCTAAATACAACCTACTATAAATAGTTTTTTGGAAATTAAAATGGATAATGAACTGAAAATAGCACAGCCTAGTTCTAAGGCAATAAATGTTTACTGTTATTATTAGTAGTAGTCATTAATATTAGTTCCATTAAAGACATAATCCATTAATTTTATTTGTAAGATCATTGATAATATAACTTACCTATTCTAAAAAGGGGTTAACAAAGTTAGCAAAAGGACATATAAGGACATTTTGTTATGACTGAAGAGTAAATAGAATCTCATTAGATTTTAAGATAAAACAAGAGACTGCAAAGGTATTTCATGCTTAGAGAGCATGCTTCAGGCTGTGCTCCAAGACAATACTTGGGAGTATCATTCTCTTGGAGAATGAGTTTACTCCCATCTGGCATCATTTTAACGTTTGTTTGTTTGTTTGTTTGTTAATTTTGCTTTGTATGTTAGTGGATGAGGGGGTGGTGTATTCATTTGTTCTCACACTGCTAATAAAGTTACCCTAGACTGGGTAATTTATAAAGGAAAGAGGTTTAATTGACTCACAGTTCAGGGTGGCTGAGGAGGCCTCAGGAAACTTACAATCATGGTGGAAGGGGAAGCAGGAACGTCCTTCTTCACAGGGCAGCAGAGAAAAGAAGAATGAGCAAAAAGGGAAAAGCCTCTTATATACCCATCAGATCTTGTGAGAGCTCACTCAGTATCACAAGAACAGCATGAGGGTAATGCCCCCATGACTAACTTACCTTCCACTGGTCCCTCCCACTACATGGGGGAATTATAGGAACTACAATTCAAGATGAGATTTGGGTGGAGACACAGCCAGACCACATCATTCTGCCCCTGGTACCTCCCAAATCTCATGTCCTCACATTTCAAAAGACAATCATGGCCTTCCAACAGTTCCCCAAAGTCTTAACTCATTCCAGCATTAACTCAAAAGTCCAAACCCAAAGTCTCATCTGAGACAAGGAAAATCCATTCCACCTATAAGCCTGTAAAATCAAAAGCAAGTTAGTTACTTCCTAGATATTATGGGGTTACAGGGATTGGGTAAATACACCTGTTCCAAATGGGAGAAATTGGCCAAAACAAAGGGGCTACAAGCCCCATGCAAGTCTGAAATCCAGCAGGACAGTCAAATATTAAAGGTCAAAACTAAACTCCTTTGACTCCTGTCTCACATCCAGGACACAATGATGCAAGAGGTGGGCTTGCATGAGGTGCCCATGGCCTTGGGCAGCTCTGTTCCTGTGGCTTTGCCAGGTACATCTCCCCTTCTCGGTTCTTTCATAGGCTGGCATTGAGTTTCTGTGGCTTTTCCAGGTGCATGGTACATGCTGTCAGTGGATATACCATTCTGGGGTCTGGACGATAGTGGCTGTCTTCTCATAGCTCCACCAGGCAGTACCCCAGTGGGGACTCTGTGTGGGAAGTTTTACCCCACATTTCCCTTCTGCACTTCTCTAACAGAGGTGCTCCATGAGGGCCCCACCCCTGCAGCAAACTTCTGCCTAGACACCCAGGCATTTCCATACATCCTCTGAAATCTAGGTGGATGTTCCCAAACCTCAATTCTTGACCTCTGTGCACCCATAGGCTCAATACCACATGTAAGCCTCCAAAGTTTGGGGCTGGCACTCTCTGAAGCAATGACCTAACCCGTAACTTGGCCCCCTTTAGCAATGGCTGGAGATGAAGTAGCTGGGACTCAGGGAACCATGTCCCAAGGCTGCACAGAGCAATGGGTATCTAGACCAGGCATAGGAAACCATTTATTCTTCATAGGCCTTCAGGCCTGTTATGGGAGAGGCTGCTGTGCAGGTCTCTGACATGCCCTGGAGACATTTTCCCCTTGTATTGGTGATAAAATTTGGCTCCGTGTTACTTATACAAATTTCTGCAGCTGGCTTGAATTTATCTTCAGAAAATGGAATTTTATTTTCTATCACATCTTCGGGCTGCAGATTTTCCAAACTTTCATGCCCTGCTTCCTGTTGAATGATTTGTTTACATTTGATTACAAAATGATTTGTTTAATTGTATTTTATTTTTAATATCAATTTTTTATTTTAATTTGGAGGGTCGTTTTTCCTACCACAACCTAGCAATTACCTTTAAATAATACATAAGCATTGTAGAAAATGTCTAAAATACAGAAAAGCACAAAGAGAGAAAGTGTTTTTCTCATAATTCTACTATTATTCTATAAAATATAACACTGTGCTTTCAGGAATTTCTCTATATACATATTCTATATATATAATATTTATGCTTTTATATTTTATTTTTATAATATGAAAGTATATATGTTCATTTATAATTAAAATTATTAAAATATTGAAAAGCTATGTGTAAAATTTTTAATAAGTTGATTCAAATTTTAGTACTTCAAAACAGTTGTCTATGTAAAGAATTACTGAGAGAAATAATTCTGTGATATGTGTGGTCAGCTCAAAATTGTCTTTGTGATTTTTTAAATATTCAAATTTTTATTTAAAAAAAGTATTCTAGTAATAAGCAAAATATTTTAAATCTGCTATTGCTATGGAAAATGAGGTGGTTTTTTTTTGCCACAATTTGCACTGGTAATGATTAAACGAACAGCTTATCACAACCATGCTTCTAAACCCAGATGCACATACATTTACCCAACTGATTTTTCTGCAAAGGTGCAAAAGTAGTTCAATGGAAGAAGAATCTCTTTAACAAACAGTACTAGAACCATTGAACAGCAGTAGACCAAAGAATGAAGTTTGACCTAAAACTGATGTTATTTTAAAATTAACTCAAAGTGGATTGTAGATCTAAGTGTAAAATATAAAACCATAAAATTTTCTGGAAAGGATGTATAGAAAGTCTTTATGACCTAGTGTCAGGTAAAGGTTTCTTACATTTACCAAAAAGAAATCCAAAAAGAAAAAATGGATAAATTGGATTTTCTCAAAATTAATAACTTTTGTTCTGTGAATGATACTGTTAAGAGGATGAAAAGACAAATTACCAACTTGAGGGGAAATACTTCCAAATCCTCTATCAAATGACTTGTATTAATAATATATAAAGAACTCTCTAAACTCAACATTAACAAAACATATAATCCAATTGGAAAATAAGCAAAAGTCTTAAACATCTTTCTAAAGAATATATACAAATGAGAAGTAAGCACAGGAAATTATGTTCAGCCATTTAGAGCAATGCAAATTAAAACTATGATGTGACACTACTACATATCTACTAGAACAGATAAAATTAAAGATAATACCAAATGTTGGCAAAGATGTTGAGATACTAGATCTCTCATATAATGCTGATGGGAATGTAAAATTGTATAACCACTCTGGAAATCTGTCAGGTTGTTTTTTTAAAAAAGAAATTAAACCTACAATATTACATCTAAAATTATACTACTGAGCATTGATCTAACAGAAAAGTAAACTTATGTTAGCACGAAAACCTGGAAATGAATGTAAATTGCAGTTTTACTTGTAATATCCAAAAACTGGAAACAACCCAAATGTCCTTCACTGGATGAATAGTTAAATAAACTGTTGTACATCCATGCCAATATTACTCAGCCAATAATTCATATTTTTAAAATTTGAATGCTTTCAAAAATGTCAGTGGTTATTTATCCTTGGATCATGGTTGACTTTATTGTTTTGTTTTACTACTTTTTAACATTTTTCAGCTTACTGACTGTTGGCATATGTTGTTTCTATAATCTTAAAAAAGTCCTCAGATATTTTTAAGGAAAACAAAAGAATATGCTTCTCAAACTGGGGTAAGATTCTTGTTAAGGAAACCCCAGAGCAATGTGCACAAATCCTCTGGATAAGCCCATCTTCCTGGAATATCTGTTTTATTTGAACACTTAGCATGGTATGTATATGGAAAGCATGGATATTTTGTGCAGTAGAATATGAAATTTGGGTATGTTTTTCACATGTAACAGATGATTACAAAGAAATGTCTTGCCTGAAGTGACTGCCCTAGGGCTACAATGCGAGATCCCTGGAGGGTTCTGTGAAGACCTCTCTATATTCATTCTTCTCTTAGATGACAATGTATATGAAGCACTCCTTGGCACAAATATGCATGGAATGTAACAATACCTTAAATGCTAGACTTTCTGTTGTTTCCACCTGTCATTTGACATGTATTGAGAATGTGACACCAGCTCTCCCTCCTAAGCCTCAGCATTGATCCTCTGCCTCAGAAGAGATGGAGAGTGTAGATCAGAATTAACAGCTAACTAGAGGAAGAGAAGGAATTTAAAAATAATTATAATTGTAGTGAATATGAACCTCATTCCACCAATATGGATAGGCAAGAAACATCACATTTCTATTATCTCTAAAGTAACTTAATTTCTAACCCTGGCCTCTATCTCACTGGCCTAGCAGGGAATTCTGACTCAGTCATTCCTGGGTTTCCCCTAACAAGTCTCATTATCCCTGCTTTGTCTTTGTGCCTGAATTCTGGTGTTTTAAATGGGGCCAAGGCCTCCGGGAATCCTCTCTTCATAGCTGTCTGAATACAATCACAATGCCCACTGTCATAAACCCCAGGATCATTTCAGGTTCATGACTGTGGTGCTCCAATACCTGCCTTGGGCATGAGTAGGACAGGACAGCTCCTTGAAGCACATCAATTCATTCCCTTTAATGTTGCCACTGTTTCATGGTTCCAGTAAGCATAGGACTCCACAGAGAGTTCTTACATAACCACTACGCCACCCAAACCTACTAGAGTCCCATTCTCTACGGAAAACACTTATTTAAAATGTACTACATACCAGGCATTGTTCTGAGTGCCTTATTACTATTAACTCATTTTTCCTCATAAAAACCCCACTTAGTAGAGGAAAAAGCAGTCACAGAGTTAAAGTATATGATTTTAGATACCTAAACCCATACTATTTTATTGAACTATACGTTGTGGATATTTTTCTAGTGGAATTCATTAACTAGGCTTCAATTGAAAAATAGACATAATAATTGGCTGAATAGTGTCTTTAAATAATTGTACCATTATTTAGTTCCCTAGTTTGCCATCAGAAGAAATATAAATACAGGATTTACAAATAGAGTTTCGTCACTCATAGTACCTTTTTTCCTCATGTATCTTATTTGCTTATAAGATTGAAAGCTCTCAGGCCATCTTCTTTCTTATATTTCATTAAATTTCTTACAGTAGGTAACATGTATGTGTCCACAACATTCACCCACCAGGGAAGCTACTCTATGTTCAGAGAAGGCTTCAGAGCAGAAACAGCTCCTGCTTTTACAAAGAAGCAAACTGCAGCACAAGGGGAAGCCTGTAATCTAATTTTCAAATCTGAAATATAAATCAGCGTTAGATAAATTCTTGATAATTTTGCTAATGTTACTGTGCCCCAGTATCATGGTTCCCTTTCTTTTATGAAACAGCAGACTGACAAAAGTATAATAAGGTCATTTGTAAGCAATATTTTCATTTCCTTTGCGCTTTTCAAATGAATATAATGTTAGATTTAATGCACTGAGAGAATGTCTGCTCATGTACAGTTTTTAAGTCATTTGGAGCAATGATGATACCCCGTTCGAATATCTTACATAGTAGTTGTATGACTTTTAAAGAACTGTGTATGCATAAATCAGAGGATATGGCACGGCCCTGACGTGATTATATTTTGAAAGTTCATTAAAAATATCTTAAGAGTACGTCACAGCTTTAATATGCACACTTGAGGATTGACTGGTTTTCAATTTGGTTTAATTTCCTGAATAACAATGTACATTTTTCATTTGAGGTATTTTGAAAACTAAGTAGTTATCACTGGATTAGAAGAAGAAGAAAAATGTATCTTCCCTTATCAGCTCCATCAAGTTACCATTGTGGCTTGACTTTGCCATGCAGTTGTCCTAAATATCTTTGTATTTACATTTGAATGTACCTTAGCCTCCCACCTAGATTAACCTTATACAAATCTGTCCTTTAAAAATGTCTGATGTGTCCTTAGACAATTACTAGTTGACCTACATTACCCTTACACTGAAAGGTCTCTTTCTTTTAAAGAAGCTTTACAGCAACTGTAGATATTTTTTATTGAATCAAGTGTTCTTCCTGTTTAATCAACTGTGTTCCCAAATGTAAGTATCTGCCTTCAATTGTTAAAACACAAAGACATGGGCACGATGTTTGCCTAACTTAATTGTTCTTCTTTTTGTGTGACTCACAACTTGTTAGAAAGCTTCTAGTGTGATGTTTCCTGTGGATGTGTCTCTTCTTTTTACTGACTGATTTTTGGAAAGACCAGCTGGATTTTGATCCGTAAAACTGCAGAAATTAAAGATAAATATCTCTGAATCATAACACTTTCATTTTCTTGTTAAAACATCTAGCTTTAAACTTTGAGGAGTGAGGATGTTTACCCGATCCCCTTCTTTCTGATTACATTTAATCATCAGATCACAGACCTAGAAAACAAGGCAGAGACCATTGAGTCAGCCCCCATCCCCACGCTGATATGTGCTTTAACCATTCACTTCCTATGGACTTTTCCTGGGCCAGAGTTTTACAGGTTTTCCTACTTAGGGATTTATGAATTCCTCCAGGCATGCGTTGAATTCTTATGACTAAATAAGGTTCTTGTTTCAATCAAACTCTATTCATTTCCTTTCATTTGATTCTCTTTTCATGAGAGGAACCAGTCAGATTCTTATAAGAGCCCATCTCTGTCTTGAGTTTGGCTCTTACAAAACCTTTTCCCCATTCCCCCTGCCTTTTTTTTTTTCTGTACTTAATTTTTATCCCATTTCAACAAGGCCAACTTCAAGAATAGATAGTACCACCCTAGGATGATTTGAGAAGTGTCCTTGTAAGAAATTTTCACCACAAAATATGTGTGCCTCTATTAAGACCATGTCTTTTTCGTTTATTAGAGAATTGGTACATTACTGTTTTCACTTCCAGAGAAACCTTCCATGTGAGTCTCAGGCCAGGTAAGGGTCAAAGAGGAAGCTCAGTGTAGCGCCTTGGATTATTAGGTTGATGCAAAAGTAATTGCGGTTTTGAAAGTGACGGCAAGACCACAATTACTTTGACATCAACCTAATAGAAACTACAGCCCCAGGCCTACTATCTACTTTTCAGGATTTTTTAAGTCTTAAGCAAGGACTAGAAAAAAAAAATTCTAAAAAGAGATTGAAAGGTGCCTAAATTGCTCTGAAAAATAAAGTCTATTAAAAAAATCAGAGAATTTTCTTCAGAGTTTACTTAAATGGCACATAACTGTGTGCTTTAATTAATTAGGTATCAGGTTAACGTAAGTTTATTTGGCATTTAGGTTGATTATTTTAATGAAAGATCAATATAAGAACTTTATTATCTACAAATGTTTTAGATAATCCTTTGAAAAATCAGGTAAGGCAAAAAGACTCTTTAATAAGAGATGTCATGAAGTTGGAGCTCAGATTTAGATGCGCCCACCACATCCAGGTTAGTGACATGTGCAAGGTGATCAGCAATTCCAAAAAAGTTTCTTTTTCCTTTATGTGATTTTTAAAGTATATCAGGATGGGAATGGTGGCTCATCCTGTAATCCTATCATTTTGGGGAGGCCAAGACAGGAGGATTGCTTGAGCCGGAGAGTCCGAGGCCAGGCTGGGCAACATGGTGAAACTCTGTCTCTAAAAAAATTACAAAAATTTGCCAGGCATGGTGGCGTGTGCCTGTAGTCCCAACTACTTGGGAGACTAAGGCTGGAGGATCACCAGAGCCCAGGATGTTGAGGCTACCCTGACCCATGATCAGGCCATTGCACTGTAGCCTGGGTGACAGAGTGAGACTTCTTCTCCAAAAAACAAAAAAGAAAAACTGTAACAATATTAGTTATGTGGGAAGAATTTATATGCATCAGAAAATGTACTCCTGTTTTGAGAGATTTACTTTGCATATCTTAGGGCCCAGTTTCTAGAAGTGATTAGAACAGATTCATATTTAGCATAGATAGCATTTTCAACTCTACTTGATTAATTAAGGTTATGGAGATTTAAGTTTTTTGCTTGTTTATTTGGTTTTTGTTCTTTTCTTCTTGCATATAAAATATAGAAGTTGTTTGCTTCTATATTCTTGGCCACAAATTATGAGACTGAACTAAAAGTTATTTTTAATTAATAATGTTTAAGATTTATTGAGAAAGTATGGGTTTTCTTTACCCCTCACCAATAAAGAGACCTGGAAAGGAATAAACTCTTTTGTTTCAGTTGAATACTTTTTAAAATTATTATGAAATTATTAGATTACTTAATAAATAATAAATATTTTGAAACATTGTTTTTAAAACAATGTCAACTTCACACAGGTTTAATAAAGAAAATTTAGCCTATTTAAGTTTATAACCATTAAGAAATAAAGTTAGAAATAGCAACAGTATCCTACCAGATCTTCATGTCTCTTGAAAATCTGTCTTATTTTTTGAATGAGGCAGAATGAATTACGAAATTTCATATTAAAACCTACCTAAATTATTTTTCTAATCCAAAATTTGTGGTCACTCTTTTGAACACCACATGTCCTGGAAGGTGAGAACGGGAGAAGAGTATACCACAAAGCATTAAGCATAAAAGAAACAGGATGTTAAAAGATGGCATGAAGTTGGGGCTCAGCTTTAGACCTGCCCACCATGTCCAGGTGTCACAGTCAAGGTGATCAGTAATTCACAATAACAGATCACATTTTGGGTGAATCAAGTGTTTCAGAGCCATTATTTATTTATTTATTCGTATAATTCTTTTACTAAATTCAGTATTTAGTAAACATCTACCATGTACCAAGCACAGCCCTTAGGGTCTAGGGATATGGAGATTAAAAATATGACCATCTAATATAATGTATCAATATTGGCTCATCAATGATAACAAATGTACCACACTAATGTGTGATGTTAATAATGAGGAAAACTTGTGGAGAGAGGATGGGTGACATATGGGAGCTCTCTGTACTTTACGCTTAATTTTCCTGTAAACCTAAAACTGCTCTTTGTCTTAGCTTGGGCTGTCATAACAAAATCCATAGACTGAGTGGCTTAAACAACAGAAATTTATTTCTCACAATTTTAGAGGCTGAGGAATTCAAGATTAAAGTGTCAGCAAGATAGATTTCATTCTGAGGTCTCTTATCTTGACTTGTAGGCAGTACCATCTCACTGTGTATTCACATTGCCTTATCTCTGTGTGGATGAGAAGAGAGAGAGAGCATTCTCTCCTGTTCGTTCTTATAAAGTTACTAATTCCATCATGAGGGTGCCATTCTCATGACCTGATTACCACTTAAAGACCTCATCTCCAAACACTATCGCATTGGGGGTTATGGCTTCAATAGATGAACACTAGGGGCGCAGAATTCAGTAAATAGCAAGCTCAAAAAATAAAGTGTTGAAATAAATACATAAAAATTAAAAGAAAGTGTCTATTGGAAGAGCTAAATACACAAATAGACAAATAAAGTTTCATAGAGCTATACACAGGTGAGGTGCTTTCATAGAGATATGCACAAGGTGATATAAAACCCCAGAGGATGGCTATCTAATTCAGGGTGGGGTCAGGATGGTCTGCATGGAAAAGGTCATGCCTGTTTGAAGTCTTGAAGGGCAAGTTAAAATTAGCCAGATAAAGAATATGGGGGAGGTAGCAGTTGCAGTGGTAAATGAGTGAAAGAAGGGGAGAGTGGGAAGGAAACTATTCCAGGCAGAGAGAATAGCAAGTGCAATTATATAAAGAATTTTTGTGTATGCTTGGATATCCTGGCTTGAACCGAAGCCCTGGCTCAAACAAGTCTGAACATGCATGTTGTACCAGGAGTCAATTATCATGAGCATTTTAGATTGAACAGGAGCAAAACTTGTATATACATGACAAGAAATAATGACTTGGCCGAAGAGACAGCGTGGTGTGTGCCCCTACCTTATTAGCCCAAGCCCTCAAGTTAAGCCATATGGAGAGAAGGGGTTTAGTAACAGGCAGAAGGTACTGCTTTGAAGGGAGTATTTGTCAGATACAGGGAAATAAGAAGCTCTGCTTTGTGCCATGGGACAGAATTATGACTAGAAATGGAGAGAACCATTCTTCCCACTTTTGGACAGAGGCAAAATGAGCTGAGCACAATTAGACTATTAGGAAATCTCGGCTCCTTTGGAAACTGGAGGCTTGGTTTCAGATTTGGGAGCCTTCTGTCTGTCTTAGTAAGTGACTGGAGCAAAGGAATATGCAAAAATATTTATGAACATGAGCAACACACCAAGAAATACTGGGACTGCTCTTGTAAGGGATAAGGCCTAGCTCGTATACGGATGGGGTGAGAACCTGAGAAGTCTCTGTGAAGGCCATTCAATGTATTCCATTAATTTTCACTGTTTTCTTAGATATTATTTTTTTGTCAAATGGCACCAGTATTAATCCCAGAAGGACTCACTGTCTCTCACTATTTTTGTCTTTCAACAATAAATCTTCAGAATTTTGACTGTGACCTACTGACATCTTGTAACCTGATCAATGTATGATATTGAGATGATATTCTTGGCTTACTAAAATAGTTAACTGGAAGAATCCTATAACTTATTTGAGTTCCATTGGATTATATACATATTTTTATGTACATTGCATTACTCCCTTAATGAAGAAAATTAAGGAAATTTGGCACATTATGGCTTTCCTAATGTTTTGCTTAGTGCCTTAAGGTTCTTAATGATTTGTTTTATGCCATTCCCAAGATTAAATTAAGGTTAGCATTCTAAATTATTTCCGTCATTCTGCTTTTTTTTTTTCAAAGATGGACTTTTTAAAAAATCTTTCTAAAAATTCCTCTTCTCTTCCTAGTTCCCACAATAATAACCAGCCCCTTAGAGATAAGAACAACATATTCTACAAGGATGCTGAAGGCATATGTTTGGTTGTGAAAATGTCTGACATATTTCTTCTGCTATTCATTTAGTTTTGTTCTTTTTGCTTCACAACCAACTCTCATTCTAATTATCACAACACATTGGACTTTCCATAATGTTAGATATAAATAACATTACAGACAGCCTTTTACTTTTTGGATACCTTATTGTTAATATCCCATCTCTACTTATCAAAAGGCAAGTAACAGCTGCCTTCTAACTTTCCTCATTTTGCTTACCTGAGAATGGTTGTCTCATTTCTACTACACGTGCTATGAGCCATAGGGTCTTTTCCTAGTGATTTCCTCTGGATACAATATATGATTTTCCATGTTCTTTAATATTCTCCACTGCAATTCTTCTTGCTGCGTATTTGTTCTCGCTCCTGCTAAGAGCTTTCTGATGCACACATTCACAGGGTCCAAAAGTCTGAAAGGAGGGTCTGGGCCCCTGGCTGCTGAGAGTGTATGTTGTACTTTCACATAACTCTTCCACTCTTATTTTTTTTCTTTCCTTCCTTCCTTCCTTTCTTCCTTTCTCCTTGCCTTCCTTCCTTTCTTTGTTTCTGTTGATCACATTACACTAGACGTTTAATGATAGAATATTGAATATATCACATGACTTTTTTTATTGATGAGTGATTTTCACATTATCATCACAGATTTGTAAGAACAGCTGCCAGTATATTTTATCAGATGAAACTAAAATTAACCAACTGTTTTATTGCCATACAAAGCCCATATATGTATAATATCAATTAGATGTTAGCACAAAGATGACAAAAACAAGTGTGCTTATTTCTGCTGTTTTTGAAAAACAAACAAAATTCTGAGATAAAATTTGCCAGTTTGACTGTAAAGGGAATATGGCCTATGGTAATTAAACACTGGGCCAAATAATCCTCCACACTCCCCCTAAGGGAGAACTGCTGTTGGACTAAGCTTAGAAGTAGATAAAAATGAGAGAGATTTTCCACCTCAACTCACAAAATGAGCTTGAAAAAGCCATTCATTCTTCCTCAGAGCTGGAAGAAATGCATTGCCAGTGGTTCTTGAGCTTATTCCTATTTTAAACATTTTTTCGGGACTTCTTCCTGCCGACTTAATACTCATTCAGCTGGAGGTGGGAATGATGGTAGCAGACTTTCTTAGTCCACATGGGCTGCTATAACAAAATACCTTAGACTGGGTAATCTATAAACAATAGTAATTTATTGCTCACAGTTCTTGAAGCTGGGAAGTCCAAAATTAAGGCAGCAGCAGAATGAGTGTCTAGGGAGGGCCTGTTTCTCATGGATGGCACCTTCTTACTGCATCTTCACATAGCAGAAGAGGTGAACAAGCCTTTTTGTAATGGTACTAATCCCATTCATGAGGGTGGAGCCCTCATGACCTAATCACTTCCCAAATGGCCACCTCTTAATGCCACCACATTGAAGATCAATTTTTCAACAAATGAATTTTGGAGAGACACAAATTGCATTCAGACCTTAGCAAGCCTGTTGGATGTGAAGAGGTGAATGAGGCCCTTAGCCATTCCCCTAGTGCTTTTCTCAGTAATGGTATTTATGTGTCCAGGGGTGACCATGTAACCAGCATGCCACAATCACCTATTGTGCCTGTTCTCTTGTGACCATGATCCCCAAGGAATATTGAACCTTCCTAACATTTGTGAATTATGGAGCCTATGATTTGGGATTAGAAAAATACTATTGATGTATTTTATTCAGTCGTTTATTTGAAAAACATTCATTAAGTATATACCATGTCTTAGAGCACTGTGCTATGTTCTGAGGATTAAAGAAAAGCAAAACAGTGAACGATGCCAATATAGTTCTTAATCTCATGGAACATACCATCTCATGGAAGAACCAGGTAATAGACAGGTGAACAACAAATACAGTAATTACTATTTGTGGTGAACACTGTATAAGAAACAAACAGGAAGCAGTGATATAGAATATCAAGTTTTTATAGCTAGGAATGCCAGAGAAAGTAAGATTTAAGTGAACAAACAAAGGAAGTGAAAAATTGGGTTAGGGTAGAGGAGCAAGGTTAAAGAATCTGAGGAAAAAACCGACATTGGCACGCACTAGAACTAAACACTTTATCTACAGCATTATAAAAACAGTTTGTGGCCGGGTGTGGTGGTTCACACCTGTAATCCCAGCACTTTGGGAGGCCAAGGTGGGCAGATCACGAGGTCAGGAGTTACAGACCAGCATGACCAACATGGTGAAATCCCATCTCTGCTAAAAATACAAAAATTAGTCACATATGGTAGCAGGTGACTGTGATTCCAGCTACTCGGGAGGCTGAGGCAGGAGGCTCGCTTGAACCCAGGAGGCGGAGGTTGCAGTGAGCCAAGATCACGCCACTGCACTCCAGCCTAAGCGACAGAGCGAGACTTTGTCTAAACAAAACAAAACAAAAGTTTGTATGTATGAATTGTCAAAGAAGAATTGCAATGGACAGACTTAAACAGGCAAGGATGACTTTATTTAAGACTGTTGCAGTAGGGGAGAGAGATTGAGCTCAACTCTGTTTAAATAAAATGTGGGAGAGTTTTTAAGCCCTGGTGTGAGCTAATAGGATAGTACTGGAGGGTACTAGGCCAGAGTTTAATCAATGTGATTAGACCATGTATTAGTTCATTTTCACACTGCCTATAAAGGCATACCCGAGACTGGGTAATTTATAAAGAAAAAGAGGTTTAATGGACTCACAGTTCCATGTGGCTGGGGAGGCGTCACAATCATGGCAGAAGGCAAAAGGCACATCTTACATGGTGACAGACGAGACAGAATGAGAACCAAGTGAAAAGGGAAATCCCTTATAAAACCATCAGGTCCTGTGAGACTTATTCACTTCCACAAGAACAGTATGGGGAAAACCACCCCCATAATTCAGTTATCTCCCACCGGGTCCCTCCCACAACACAGTGGGAATTATGGGAGCTACAATTCAAGATGAGATTTGGGTGGGTACACAGCCAAACCATATCAGACCGTGTGTGTTTTCTTATTGGTACTTAGTGAAGTTTGGCTCCAGCTGTTCTACAGAGACTAGGAGATAGGGGTTCTATCTTTCTTGATGATTATATTTCAAAGGTATGACTCCTAGGTCCTTAAAAAAGACTTTTCTAAGTTGTGTAACTGGCAAGAGGCTGAAACAAAATTTATGTCTTAAAGGGGAGGATAAATTATTTATAATTGCAAGTTTTCTAATATAAATGCCCTAAGGAAAGAGAATTCAGGGGCCTATAATCAGGAACAAACCTGTCTAAAGTTTAGTCAAGCTGAGAGAAACAGGCCATCTTAGTCAGTGACAGAGATGGGGGATAGGTAGGGGGAGAGGGAGGAGAGGGAGAGAAGGAGAGAGAGAGGGAGTGTATGTGAGCCTGAAAGAGAGATACGTGGAAGAGAGAAGTTAAGAGAGACATAAAATTTAGTTTGCTGCTCCATAGTCACACCTGGTACTGACTATGTTACTGGAAAGGGGTCTTCAAGAGAGGGTCCTTGGATCTCGTGCAAGAAAGAATTTGAGGCAAATCAATATTATCGGAGAAGTAAAGAAATAAAAGAATGGCTACTCTATAGGCAGAGCAGTGGCATGGGCTGCTCAGCTGCTTATATGTATTTTTACTTCTTGATTATATGTTAAACAAGGGTTAGTTTATTCATGAGTTTTCTGGGGAAGGGGTGGCCAATTCCTGGACCTGAGGGTTCCTCCCCTTTTTAGACCATATAGGGTAACTTCCTGATGTTGCCATGGTGTTTGTAAGCTGTTATGGCACTGGTGGAAGTATCTTTCAGCATGCTAATACATTATAATTAGCATATAATGAGCAGTGAGGATGACCAGAGGTTACTTTCATTGCCATCTTAGTTTTGGTGGGTTTTGGCAGATTCTTTACCACAGGCTATTTTATCAGCAAGGTCTTTATGACCTGTACATTGTGCCAACTTCCTATTCATCCTATGATTTAGAATGTCTAACCTCCTGGGAATGCAGCCCAGTAGGTTTCAGCCCCATTTTAACCAGCCCTTATTCAAGATGGAGTTGCTCTTGTTCAAACACCTCTGACAACTATACCTGGTTCCTTCACAAGTAAAAACCGATTACCGAAACCAGAGGTAGATGCAGGTTTGTGGGGCTTGAAGCTTATAAAATTTGGGGAAGGGATACGGCTATTATTTTTTTAAAAACACCAACAAACGAATAACTGCTAATGGAAAAATAGGAATGAAGCCTTGACAGGGGCCCGTGCAAGCCAGAGACTTTCAATCCTAAACTTGCTTGCTTCATGGTTAATCCCCTTCTGACTCTAAGTATTAGCCTTACGGATACAACATTTTGCTTTAGACAAATAATTTCCTCAGTATAACACACCAAGGCTTTTGTTTATATAAGAGCTGTAGAAAGCTGTGACTTTCTCTAGAATCTGCAAAACAAAGGAAGAGCCTTAGAGCATTTGTACTGTTAGGTTTCCTGGATTGCTTCGTTAACCTACCTGTCTTTTCTTATCAACTATTAGTATTTTAGGGGTAGCTTTTAATTTCTGTTATAATACCATGCATTATTTCTATCAGCTTCTTTACAAATTATATGTCTGATGATTCCTCCTCAGCCTCTTATTCTGATATATGGTGATGTTAGCCGTCTACCTTTTAAAGCAGGTGATGGTAATTAATTGTGATTGGTTACTGTCAGGTGCCCATTATCCTGCCATTGTTCTCCGAACTTATGTTTGCTTTGATGCTACGCTCTGGAGTTATTTACAGCTTATTTTGAGACTATTTTGGATCTGTTTGGCTTGCTTCTTATTTTATTGATTGATTGAGACAGAGTCTCCCTCCATTGCCTAGGCTGGAGTGCAATGACGTGATCTCAGCTCAGTGCAACCTCTGCCTCCCAGGTTCAAGTGATTCTCCTGCCTCAGCCTCCCAATTAGCTGGGATTACAGGTGCGCACCACCACACCTGGCTAATTTTTGTATTTTTAGTAGAGGTGGCATTTCACCATGTTGGCCAGGCTGGTCTAGAACTCCTGACCTCAAGTGATCCACTCACCTTGGCCTCTCAAAGTGTTGGGATTACAGGCGTGAGCCACCGCACCCAGGTTGTTTCTTATATTACTTTATCAGAGCAAATATAGTTATATCAAAAGGCACAGAATTTGCCTACAGAATGTGAGAGCTATAGGTAATCCATTAGGCCCACAGATTTTAAACTGTGAATTTTTTGAAGATCCTTTTGAAATTCTACAAGTTTTTCTGTGCATATATAACATATTAAACTGTATTTTAGGTGGCATAATAATAAACCACCCACTCTGGGACTATTTTTATACACCAGATTTTAACACACTGGAGACCATCAATATCTAAACATGTGATTCCAGGTTAACTCCCTTCTGGGCACAATTAGAATAAAGATTTTCCTGCCATACCTGCAATCAATGAGTATGTTGAGATTTCAAGGAGGTCAGTTTTTAAAAGCTCACTGTGTCTCACTGTGTACATATAAATAGGGATTTTCTTAACATATTCAGCTAGAAATTTTAAAATGTATTGGTCAGGCAATCTTATTACTTTCACTGAATGATTTCACAATAAATAAACATTGTGTCTTTGAATATATCAAATTAGCAATTTATTGAGGTTGTCTATATGATTTTATTTAGAGAGAAAATATATTCTGCTGCTAAAAAAAATTAGAAAAGCATCTTTACGTCCAGTGACTTACCCCAAATCATACAGGTAGTGATAGACAATCAGTACATGACAGTGTTTAAGAGCCTGGCCTTGGATCCAAACAGATCTGACTTTGAATTATGCCATACATAAATGTTTGATGTGCAAGTTCCTTAATTTTTATTAAATTCAGTGTCCTCTTCTATAAAGTGAATAAAATAAAATCTATTATGTTTGGTTATTTAAAAAAGTATTTATTGTAAACGTGTGTGTGTGTGTGTGTGTGTGTGTGTGTGTGTGTGTGTGTACTGAGTGCCTACTATGTCTAGGAACTATCAAATATGCAAAAGAGGCTTACTATTCTCAGTGAATCTTATATTTTAGTTGTGACAGGTAATATTTTTTAAGTGGAATGAAAATGGTGTGATATGATAGGAAGTCATTGATTAATTTTAGCTTGGGTGATCAGTGAAAACCTCTCTGATGAGGAAACATTTGTGCTGTCATCCAAATGATCAGAAGGATTCATCCATGAAATGTAAGGACATTCCAGGCAAAAGGGACAGTTGGAGCACAGGCCCAAGGCCAGTATGAACTTGATGTGTCTAAAGATGAAAAAAACCCATGTGTCTCAAGGTTAGTGTGTAAGGAGAATACTACAAGACAAAATTGGAGATGAAGCTTAGTAAGCTGAGGTAAGTAGTTTGGATTATTCCAAGTAGCATGGAAAGCTTTTGGAATGATGTGATTTTATTGTATTTACAAAATGGATCTCATTGATGGATGTATAAAAATATGCATCAAAATTAAATTGTTGAGTTTGTTTTTTTTCTTTTTTTCCATTCCAGTGACTGGAATCTAGCTTTCCATCGCCTGTCCTAACATCCAATGGAATTTATTTTGGGAAACTATCTCTTCATTGGTGGGTGTAATTGGGTGGGCCCTGACCTTGTCCCAACCCAGGACATGACCTAAAATATGTTCAGCATATATTTCCAATCTGAATTTGAATATAAGGCAGATCAACAATGAAATTGAGAATGTTTGAAGCCTGTTCATGTTGAATGGGACAGGTCCTATAGTCTCTGTTTCTTGGCCCTATTATAGCACTTCTCTGCTTTGAAATCTGCTTCTCCACTCTTCATTTTGAATTCATAAACTTTTAATATATTTCCAGTACATTCTCTTTAGCCAGTAACAGTTTCAATTGCTTGCAACCAGAGAACCTTAACTAATACAGCACATCAATTCACTGGCACATAGTAGGCCCTCCATTACTGTTATGACTAGTGATTGAGGTGAACTAGAACTCAGGTTTCCTAACTTTTGAATTTTCAGCACACTGGCTTTTGCATGTCTTTTATGTAGTTTCTGCCTGGCTATATGCAGTTTTCTCTGCCTCTAACATGTTATATCTTGTGGGCTGAATGATCCCATAGAGGCTTATTGTGACAACATGTTTGTCAAATGTTTTACTTCTGAAGCAGGTCTCTGGCTTCTTGATTCTTGAATTTCAGTAGGTAATTTGTTTGGGTATTTTCTCAAGATAGTTATGGAGAAACATATGGAATAGTTTGTATTCAACTCTTTGATAAGCATTTCTTTAAATGAAGTGAGTGTTTTAATTTCAATGGGATAAGGGTGAGAATGAATGTGATTGCATGAGTTTGCCAATATTTAAAAAAAATTAACAAAAATTAAAGTAACTTATTCATCCTAAGAAATGTGATTAAATGAGCTGTCATTTTATGCCATGGATTGGCAGCTGCAAGACAAAGTGCATTAAATTACTGATGCTGTCAATCAGACCATACTATACTTCTGTGCTATAAGAATCTGCCATTTGAAGCTAGCTAAAAGTGCTCCCCGAGTTTCAGTGTCCTGCCATGATAAAACAGGGCTTCTTAACGTCAAGAAGGAAACAGAAGGGGAACAGATGTCTGAGGGAGTTGGCAAGTAAACAAATCCCTAGTCTCAGTCTGGATTGAGAGTCCTCTATTGAATTGGATCTTTGAGAAGAAATCTTTTGAAGGTAATGAAGCTGCCATTCATAGAGAGCGATCTGGCTCCCGTCATTAAACTGTACTATATAGTACTGCCTCTGTCTTCTCCACTTCTGCGTCCTGTGCCTAAAGTTATATTCCTGACCCCATCCCTAGAACATATTGCCTAAGTGAACGTCTAAAGATACCTGTTTGTTTGACCAATTCATAAGTAAGTCTAATGCCATATAACTATTTCTCCAGAGCCTAAGAGCAGCACACACATCTGGAAAAGTAAATATAACTACTGAAATTGTCACCAATTATGTCGGCTAACTGCAGCATCATTCACAATTTGTGCAGTTGCACAGGTGTCTCACTAATGCTTAAATATTGGGATTGACAGAAACAATTATAGTTTCCCTTAGATTTCTAAGAACCCTTCAGTTCAGTGATAAGAGTAGTGGACTGGAGCTTAGAGACATGAATTCTACTCCTGGCTCTCATACTAATAAGATATATGACCTCAAGCAAATTACTTAATCTCACTGGCTGCTGCTTCTTCTTGGAAATGATGGAACTAAGCTATGTGACCCTTGAGAATGAGGGGATTGTATGTTTCCAATGCAAAACTGGAACAACTGACGTGTGATGGAATTTTTCTTGGGTGCACAAAGTATATTTTGCACACTAAAATATTCGTATAGCTGGAATTCCATAGGAGCAATGAGACAAAATGTTTGAAATCAGTAAAGTCTCAGAAAATTAGGGACATATTCTCACCCTACTAATTCTAGTACTTTAAGCCCTAAAATTCTAGTACTTTAAGATTCATGGTGACTCAGTGAAGCATTAATACCTTTTTCTTTTCTGTTTGTTTTCAATCAGTTTTCTTGCATGTAATTTACATATAAAAATTTACTCTTTTTAGGATTCAGTTCTATGAGTTTGGACAAATGCACACAGCAGTATAATCCCATCAGAAGAAAGATGTAAAACATTTCTATCACCCAAAAAATTGCCTCAAGCTCCTGTGTAATCAGTCGCCTCCTCTCATTCTCATTTCCTGGAAACAACCAATCTATTTTCTGCCTCTATAGTTTTGTCTTTTCCAAATGTCATATAACAGGAATCATACAGTATGTAACACTTTTATTTAGTGTCATAAATTTAAGATTCATTCACGCTGTATGTGTTACTAGTTTAAGTATGTTGCTGAGGGGTTGTGGTAGGAAGAATAATAACAGCCCCCCAAGATGTTCACACCCTAATCCCTGAAACTTATAAATCTCTTATTTTACATGATAAAAGCAATTTTGTAGATACAATTAAGATTTGGAATCTTAAAACAGAGAGATTATCCTGAATTATCTGAGTGGTCTTAATCTAATCATATAAATCCATATAAGAGAGTAGTAAAGAAAAAGATAGATGAAAGAAGGAGCAGAGATTAGAAGACTGACAGGGTTCCACCCATTATTGCTGGCTTTGAGAATGGAGGAGGAGAGGGGCCACAAGTCACGGAAGGTGGGTGGCCATCCCTATTACTTTTGAAATCTATATGGAAGCCCCAATTTTCCCATTATACATTGTGTTAAATTTGATTTCATGTGTAGATCCTGACTCTTTAAATGTTTATTTCTCTTCTGTCTGCTGGGCAGTTCATACTTTGTAATTATTTCTAATAAATGCAATACATAAATTGTCACTGACTATAAAGAGTTTTAAACTATTAACTAATGGAAGAGGCTTTTGAGTCAGCCCTACATTCTAAGGCTCCTTCTGCCACTTACTAACCAAGTGTATGTAGCAAGCAGCTGAACATCTCTAAGCTTCAGTTTTTAACTTGTAAAAAGTGGGAAACAATAAAGATTATTGTTATGAGGATTAAGTAGTGTTTTGTCAAGTGTTTGCTTAGTACAGTGCCTAGCCTAGAGAAAGCACCCAAGAAATGATGGTTTTATTGTTATCACAATTTTTAGTAATAAGCATTTCCAATAGTAATCTTAGGTCTTTATATTTTCAAATATAGGGATCTCTTTTGTGGGACATACTTACTAATTAAATACCCACATGACCAGTAATGCCAGGCGGAATTCTTGTCAATAGACAATACAACAATTGATCTCTCTGTCCTTTGGAGCTCATTTTCTAAGTAGACTGTTTTTTTTATAGTTGTGAAAAAGCATGAAATTTAGCTTCAGCCAAACAAGTGTCACATTCTATCACTGACCATTGCAAGTGACTTTGTGCATGCTATTTAACCTTTTTGAACTTGATAAAAATAATCTCCAACTCCCAAAGTTATCATGAGGTTCTACTAAGATGAACACATAGTTCACACTTTAAATATTAATTTTCTTCTCCCAAACAGAAATTTGGAGATTATACAATATAATATATGCTTATGAATAAATCAATGATATAAATAGAAATATGTGTATAATTTGATGTTCATGATCTGTATTTAACTTTTTCAAGTGCTAATTTACAATGAGGAGTTGTCACTCAATGTATTTCAGTTCTATAGAAACAGTGAAATTAAAGAAATTCTTTCCTTTGCATTTCTTAGGTGTTTATAAGGACAGAAGTGCTTTGAGTCATTCTTGTTCCGATTGTGAAGCAAATTAGTCCAATTGTAGCCTGATATTAACTCAGTGAACCTTGAAAGAACATGGGAATCCTGGTGGGATGAAGGGCCAGGTACCTGTTTCAACTCAGTTGCTTCTTGTATGGCTGCAGCATATGTGTATTCCTTGCTGATAGTCTTTTGATGTGACTCATGCACAGATGTCTGAGAGAATGGCCATTCAAACTCCCTCTTTATCTCTTTTTGTTGTGTTATGCTTAGTCCCAACAAAGGCAGGGACTGGGTTTGACTGGACTGCATTATGGGGACTCTAAAAGTTGGCCCATACCCTGTGTGGCAGACAGAACTGTGACTTAAATTAGCAGACAGGGAGCCTTTGAAAGTTAGTAACTGCTAACACAGCTGGCTGTTCTCGTACCCTGTATGAATTAATATAATATTTCATTTTTACTATCAACCCACTTTTATGTGAACAGTAGAAAAGGGAGAAAGCAAATAGAATGAACGTCTTTTGAAAGTATCTTTTTTTAACACTCTGTTTTTTCAGAATAATGAATCCATTAAAATTTCATCCTCACAATATTCAAGTTTCAATTATAATCCATAGAACCCTCATGGCCTCTACCAAACTTATTTCACCTTGAACAGCTCTACTTTTAGCTATTTTACATATTTTGCTTCCAATAATGATCTGAAAGTTCTGAAAGGTTTTACTAATAAAGTTACAAAGCAACATGTTTAATCTAAGGTAGAAACATTTTTCAGTCACATTTATAAGATTTTTATTTGTCTTTTTAAGACATTTGTTTGACACAAATTAGGGAGAAATCTTCATCAGAAACTTTTCTTCTAGCTCTCCAACTGAGATAAACAAGGAAAGGTCAATCTAGAATTTCAGCTCTCTCATGAAAATTATATCTCTCTTTTCTCACAAATATATATGGAACTCATACTGACAAAATGCATCACATGCTGAATGCATCTTTATAATTCGTGCTTCAAGAATAGTTGAGCCGAATCTTCAGACCTCAAAGTTTCACATTGTTCTGTGAAACAGAAGAAACATAATTGGAATACATTAATACAGTACAAAAGAATATATTTCTAAGAACTTAGTTTTTCTAAGAAAAAGAGAGTTAACCTCTTCAACATAAGGATAATGACGGATATACATTGTCATGTAGGTGAAATAGCCAAGTTAGCATAGTGCATGTAGCATGTACTCAACTGATGCAAGGGACTTTTGGCAGTTAATGGAAACAAAATGGAGATTGAGCTTTCTGTATTCTCAGATGGCTAGCAGATAAGGGTGCTTAAAAATCCCTCATCCTAATTTTTACTAATCATCCTGGTGTCAGATTAAACGTCTTTCTGAAAGGCCTTCTTGGAACTTCTTGGCATAAATTAAACCCTCTTCTATAATCTTATATACTTAGTTTGTGTGTATTTGTTAATGTCTCCTTCATCTCTTCTGCTTAAGACACTCTGTGTATATTGGTTTCATAAATGTGATTTGTCCTTTAGTCCAAGTTCAAATGCCGGTTCCTCTCTGGGGACTTGCTTGACACATCCTAAAACAACTCAATTTTACATGATCTTTTTTGTAACTTCTTTGTAATTGTACCTGTATTATAGAAGTTTTCAAAGTTTTTCAAATTAGCTATGTACTTTTCCAGATTCCACTTCTTTGCCTCTATTCCCTACTTCCTGCAATATCTTAAATCCTTTAAAAGCCAAGGTCAGTGTCTTAATAATTTTGAGTTCCCTCAAATCCCAACACAGAGCTGGCATATGGTAATCTTCAATTTTTACATAAAACATATTGCCTTATCTGTTTGTCTTCATCCGTTTTTTTATTTTGATAAGAGTAGATAATGAAATACATATCTCCTCACTATATATTTCATTGTACAGTCATTAAATTTTAAAAAAAAGTTTTGGTACTGTTTTCAAAATATGTGTATATACATGTAATAATATATATTTAATAATTGTTTTTATAACTAACATTTATTGGCTGCTTATTATTAATATATGACAAGTGCTATACTAAATGCTTCATATGTATTTGCTCATTTAAAGTTTCTGACAATTCTATAAAGTGAGAAATATTTTTTATTATTATCTGTATTTGTAAATGAGAAACTTGAGGGAAAGAAAGGTTTAGAGACTTGGCCAACAATCACATAGGTAAGTGATAATTGGCAGAGCCACTTTTAAATTTGAAACTCAGAAGATCTGGTCCTGGAGCCTACGCATTTAACCCAAAAACTAATTTGCATATTCACAAATCTTACGCTATTATTATACCCTATACTAAGAATTATGTACTTTGAATGTCATATTCATAGTTTTTACTCCAATAAACATATATGAAATAGAAATTAGAAAACGATAAAATTTGAGTATATAAATGAAGTTCTGGTATTTTCTTGCTGAACTACAGTGGATGTTCTCATGTATGCTGGGAGTGCCACATTCCACTTGGATCCCACTGATGAAATGATCTAAACTAGTAAATCATCTACCAATGCTTTTAAGATCTCTTTCACTTAACCAGCCCTTCTTTTTATTAAAACCTAGATAATATGAATATAATATTTCAAGTGACAAAAATAATTTGCATTCCATCAGTAAAAACAGCTGGTCAGCTAGAATGCTTCCATAAATAAAGATGAGGCACATGGAACAAGTTTAGGATATAAATATTTGTCCTATGGAAAGTCACTCCACATCAGACCAAGAGTGTGTCATTTTTTTTTTTTTTTCCCCGAGACGGAGTCTCCCTCTGTCGCCCAGACTGGAGTGCAGTGGCACAATCTTGGCTCATTGCAACCTGTGCCTCCGGGTTAAGAAATTCTCTGCCTCAGCCTCCCGAGTAGCTAGGATTACAGGCGCCTGCCACCTCGTCGGGCTAAATTTTTGGTATTTTTAGTAGAGACGGGGTTTCACCATTTTGGGCAGGCTCGTCTTGAATTCCTGACCTTGTAATCCTCCCGCCTCAGCTTCCCAGAGTGCTGGGATTACAGGCGAGTGTGTCTCTTTTTTTATCCATCTCTGATTGTGTTACCAATGATCGTTTGGGAATTATTAGAATACAATAAAGCATTCTATACTCCTGAAATGTTTCATATTTTCATTTTGTTTCTTTTTTTTTTTTTTTTGAGACGTAGTCTTGCTCTGTCACCCAGGCTGGACTGGAGTGGCGCGATCTCGGCTCACTGCGAACTCCGCCATCTCGGCTCACTGCAAGCTCCGCCTCCCGGGTTCACGCCATTCTCCTGCCTCAGCCTCCCGAGTAGCTGGGACTACAGGTGCCCGCCACCACGCCCGGCTAATTTTTTGGTATTTTTAGTAGAGACGGGGTTTCATCGTGTTAGCCAGGATGGTCTCTATCTTCTGACCTAGTGATCTGCCTGCCTCTGCCTCCCAAAGTGCTGGGATTACAGGCGTGAGCCACCGCGCCCGGCCTCATATATTTATCTTTGCCATTGTTTCCACTGATGTATGTAAATTCAGATTTTTAATGTGAAATAACATGATGGAGCAAAGAGCTGTCAGCTTGTTTTGTGATGGTCATCAACAAAAGCCTAGCTCTGGCAAAGTGCTTTGGGGAAACTGTTTTATATTTTAGCCGTCAGTTTCTTTATCTGTAAAATAAACTCGGTGCCTTGAACACAGAGACACTCAATTATTTCTTGAAGAAGGAACAGGAGACAGGTGGAAGGAAGGTGTTAGAGTACAGGGTTAAGCTCCTTTTCTCCTCTAAAATTTACTGACTCTGATTTCTAAAACTTTGTCTTGGGTTTCAAATTGAAAGATTTGTGGATTTATTGATCAACTTTTTGTTTACCCTAACTAAGGATCCAGCTGCATTTAAGTGTAGTATTTCATGCCACAATCATGTTATAGGACTTAAAAAGATCAAAAATCAATTCTCGGCCGGGCGCGGTGGCTCACGCCTGTAATCCCAGAACTTTGGGAGGCCGAGGCGGACAGATCACGAGGTCAGGAGATCGAGACCATCCTGGCTAACATGGTGAAACCCCGTCTCTAGTAAAAATACAAAAAATTAGCCGGGCGAGGTGGTGGGCGCCTGTAGTCCCAGCTACGCGGGAGGCTGAGGCAGGAGAATGGCGGGAACCCCGCGGGGTGGAGCCTGCAGTGAGCCAAGATCGCGCCACTGCACTCCAGCCTGGGTGAAAGAGCGAGACTCCATCTAAAACAAAAAAAAAAATCAATTCTCACTGGTCACAGTGTTTGAAATTCTCAACGTGTTGAGCAACTAAGTCTATGAACATTTAAAGGCCCTCTTCAAATAAGAACCCTTCAGAGACACATACAAAGTACCATCAAACTAACTAATAATGTGGATAGGACTTCTAGTTAATATTCATTGGCACTCCTTACATACTCCCATTTCCAGTTTGCATTAGGGAAAGAATTTATTACTTCATGCTAATTTCATTTAAAAGCTTGAACTCGAGAAGCAACTTTCTTCAAAATAGAATTTGATACAGAATAAGTTTGAGGGTGATTCTGAGAGAATCCAGCCTCTCTGCCTAACAATCTAAGAATGGGCTGTCTTACAGACAGGGATGACAATGATTGAAAGATTTCAATTTCTTCTGATCTTTACACATGGAACTTCAAGAATTTGAATTGCTCTAGATTAAAAAAGGGGCACAGTCAACTATTTTCCAAATTTAATGAATCCTGTAGAGTTGAAACTTAGCAAAAGATTCTTTATAAAATATTATATACTGTCCTTTTGTCTGAATTATTCTAACACCAAGTACCAAAACCCTTTCTCTGGGCCTTCTGGATCTTTCCCAAATTGCACCTAAGAATTTGAATGTGTGAGCAGGAGCCCAGAGACCCCTCTCGTTAAATAGTTCCCTGAATACTGTGAGTGTGAAAAGCATTCTTTTGAAATGATTCAATTTCCCAATATAGTGGTTATGCTTCCAGATATAATTATGTATTAGCCAATGATATAACTTCTCTCAATTGTAATTATGTAGTCTCGTTACAAAACTGTCTGTACGATATAGGAAATGAGTGATTAAACTTTTATTCAGCAAAGTGTCATCATCAGATGTTGAAACAGGTGTCAGGATTATTCTCTGTTGGTATTTTGCTTGGTACCTGGACTATTAATCTTTGTATGAAAGTGGGGATGATATACTGTGTCAGCCTGAAATCCTTTGTATTTTGTGGGTTTTCATGACATTTAATGTAATAAATAACTACCCTTGGGTCATTAAAAACAAGAAGGTCAAGTTTTCCTTTTTTCCTGACACAACAGAGCCCTGATTAAGAATAAAGGCACAAGGTGATTTCTGCTGTGAAATCTCCTTTGGGTTGAGAGTGATATAAATGATTATTTTAAATGGAAACAGCAATGACAATAAGCCACTACTGATTTTATTTCATGTTGGCATATGCTAATAAAACTATTAAAATTTTCTCAGAATTATAATAATTGCACTCTGTCTTGTATAAGGGTAGAAATACATTTTTATTAGAAGGGATAAAGACTTATTTGAACCCAATCTAATGATTTTGTAAATACTACTAGTGCCTTAATTAGAATAAAGCATTATGATACTACACAGTACTCTCTGCATGTTGATATTTATGACTGAAATCCTCTTATTTAGCTTCTTTGCAATTTTATCATTATTTTTAAAATGTAATCATAATCACTTTATTTTGTTAAATTTTCGTGATTTTTTCCTGAAAATTTTAATAATTTGATTTCCACTAATCATTTTCTTATTTTCCTTGACCACCCTCTCTCTATTACCCCCTCTTCTCTCCCTCTCATTTTTATTTAAATGATTCACAATTTTCAAATAAAAATTTAAAAAAATTTGAGCTTATGTCAAAGTTTTATTTCAAAGTTTGCAAAAAGAGAGGGCTGAGCTGGCCATTTGAAATATTCTTTCTCGGTAAGGACAATTTCAAAGTAAAAAGATTGACCAGACAATTATTGGTATCTGGATACAAAAAAAAGAAAAAAGAAAACATCTAAAACATCTAGCTAAAGAACATAGATACTTGACTAATAACCAATAAATGGTTAGCTAATTTCAGAAGAAGCCTTACTTGTTGTGGGAAGTCAGGGACCCCGAACGGAGGGACTGGCTGAAGCCATGGCAGAAGAACATAAATTGTGAAGATTTCATGGACATTTATTAGTTCCCCAAATTAATACTTTTATAATTTCTTACGCCTGTCTTTACTGCAGTCTCTGAATATAAATTGTGAAGATTTCATGGATACTTATCACTTCCCCTATCAATACCCTTGTGATTTCCTATGCCTGTCTTTGGTTTAATCTCTTAATCCCATCATCTTCGTAAGCTAAGGGGGATGTATGTTGCCTCAGGACCTTGTGATGATTGCATTAACTGCACAAATTGTAGAGCATGTGTGTTTGAACAATATGAAATCTGGGCACCTTGAAAAAGGAACAGGATAACAGCATTGTTCAGGGAACAAGAGAGATAACCTTAAACTCTGACTGCCAGTGAGCCAGACAGAAAAGAGCCATATTTCTCTTCTTTCAAAAGCAAATGGGAGAAATATCGCTGAATTCTTTTTCTCAGCAAGGAACATCCCTGAGAAAGAGAATGCGTCCCTGAGGGTAGGCCTCTAAAATGGCTGCTTTGGGGGTGGCCATCTTTTATGGTTGAAGCTGTAGGGATGTAATAAGCCCCAGTCTCCAGTAGCGCTCCCAGGCTTATTAGGATGAGGAAATTCCCGCCTAATAAATTTTGGTCAGACTGGTTGTCTGCTCTCAAACCCTGTCTCCTGATAAGATGTTATCAATGACAATGTGTGCCCAAAACTTCATTAGCAATTTTAATTTTGCCCCGGTCCTGTGGTCCTGTGATCTCGCCCTGCCTCCATTTGCCTTGTGATATTCTATTACCTTGTGAAGCATGTGATCTCTGTGACCCACACTCCCTCCCCTTTTGAAAATCACTAATAAAAACTTGCTGGTTTTATGGCTCGGGGGGCATCACAGAACCTGCTGACATGTGATGTCTCCCCCGGACATCCAGCTTTAAAATTTCTCTCTTTTGTACTCTGTCCCTTTATTTCTCAGACCGGCTGACACTTAGAGAAAATAGAAAAGAATCTACATGAAATATCGGGGGTGAATTTCGCCCAATATCTGGCTGAATTTCCCCCAATATTAGTATTGTTGAACTTTATTAAAAATTGCTTGAGCATGTTATCAGCATTAAAATTTCTTCTTAAAAGAATGATGTGAGTTTCTGTGCTCAAAAAAGTTTTGTTCTCGATCAGATTGGGGACAATGTTTCTTAATAAATTACTACAGATAGAAGAGATTTAACTTTAAAGAAATTTTCAAATTAAACTTTATACTTATATCCCATTTGTTTATTTAAATCAGCTTTATTTACCTATAATTGACATATAATAAAGTGCATATACTTAAAGTGTACACTTTTATGTTTTGACACATGAATATACCCATGAAACCATCACTGCAGTTAAAATAATGAACGTATCCATCACCCTCACAAGTTTTCTTGTGTCTTTTAAGTTTTTCCTTCCTGTTTCCTCTCTGCGTCCTCAGGCGCAGAACTGCTATGATTACAGAATGGCTTTCTGTAATCATAATTAATTTGAATTTGTATTTTCTACTGTTTTATATACATGGAGTTGAAGAGTATACATTCTTTTTGGAGGGCTGCAGAAGAATCTGGCTTCTTTCATGCAGCATAATTATTTTGTGATTCATTGATGTATTGCATGCACCATTAGTTCATTCCTTTTTATTGTGCAGTATAATTCTGTTCCATGGATATAACACTATTTGTTTACCCACTCACATGTTGGTGGATGTTTGAGTAGTTTTCAGCTTTTGGAAAACTGCCAAAAAAGTTTCTAGGAACGACTGTGGACAAGTGTTTGTATGTCATATGTTCCATTTCTTGTGAGTAAATACCTAGAATTTGAATGGCTGGACTATATATTTGTGTATGCTTAACATTTTAAGCTGGATTATATAATTGTGTATCTTTAACATTTTAAGGAACATCAAACTACTCTTCAAAATGGTTGTGTCATATTACACTCCTACCAGCACTGTATAAAAGTTTAGCTTCCTCCACACCCTTGCCAACACTTGGTAAGATAAGCCTTTTTAATCTTATTTAATTTAATAGCTGTGTGGCAATATCTCGGGGTGTTTTTTATTTGCTGGAGAACTAATCACATTGAGCATCATTTCATGTGCTGATGTGCCATCCATGTAGCCTCTTTGGTGAAGTGTGAAATCAACTCTTTTACCTTTTTTTTTAAATTGGTTTGCTTTTATATGATTAAGTTTTGAGAGTTCTTTAGGTATTTTACACGAGTTTTTTATGTAACTTGCATATATTTTCCCCTGGTTTGTGGCTTTTCTTTTCATTTTCTTAAAATTGGTTTTCACAATGCAAAAACGTTTTAAATTGTAATTAAATCAAATTTATCAATTTTTTTAAATTTTTTCTTTAATAGTAAATTAATCTTAGCTTACCCTAATTTTTGTTTTGTTTTTTTTTATTATTATTATACTTTAACTTTTAGGGTCCATGTGCACAACATGCAGGTTAGTTATATATGTATACATGTGCCATGCTGGTGTGCTGCAACCATTAACTCATCATTTTGCATTAGGTATATATCCTAATGCTATCCCTCCCCCCTCCCGCCACCCCACAACAGTCCCCAGAGTGTGATGTTCCCCTTCCTGTGTCCATGTGTTCTCATTGTTCAATTCCCACCTATGAGTGAGAATATGCGGTGTTTGGTTTTTTGTACTTGTGATAGTTTACTGAGAATGAGGATTTCCAATTTCATCCATGTCCCTACAAAGGACATGAACTCATCATTTTTTATGGCTGCGTAGTATTCCATGGTGTATATGTGCCACATTTTCTTAATCCAGTCTATCTTCGTTGGACATTTGGGTTGCTTCCAACTCTTTGCTATTGTGAATAATGCCACAATAAACATACGTGTGCATGTGTCTTTATGGCAGCATGATTTACAGTCCTTTGGGTATATACCCAGTAATGGGATGGCTGGGTCAAATGGTATTTCTAGTTCTAGATCCCTGAGGAATTGCCACACTGACTTCCACAATGGTTGAACTAGTTTACAGTCCCACCAACAGTGTAAAAGTGTTCCTATTTCTCCACATCCTTTCCAGCACCTGCTGTTTCCTGACTTTTTAATGAATGCCATTCTAACTGGTGTGAGATGGTATCTCACTGTGGTTTTGATTTGCATTTCTCTGATGGCCAGTGATGGTGAGCATTTTTTCATGTGTTTTTTGGCTGCATAAATGTCTTCTTTTGAGAAGAGTCTGTTCATGTCCTTCACCCACTTTTTGATGGGGTTGTTTGTTTTTTTCTTGTAAATTTGTTTGAGTTCATTGTAGATTCTGGATATTAGCCCTTTGTCAGATGAGTAGGTTGCAAAAATTTTCTCCCATTTTGTAGGTTGCCTGTTCACTCTGATGGTAGTTTCTTTTGCTGTGCAGAAGCTCTTTAGTTTAATGAGATCCCGTTTGTCAATTTTGGCTTTTGTTGCCATTGCTTTTGGTGTTTTAGACATGAAGTCCTTGCCCATGCCTATGTCCTGAATGGTAACGCCTAGGTTTTCTTCTAGGGTTTTTATGGTTTTAGGTCTAACATTTAAGTCTTTAATCCATCTTGAATTAATTTTTGTATAAGGTGTAAGGAAGGGATCCAGTTTCAGCTTTCTACATATGGCTAGCCAGTTTTCCCAGCACCATTTATTAAATAGGGAATCCTTTCCCCATTGCTTGTTTTTCTCAGGTTTGTCAAAGATCAGATAGTTGTGGATATGCGGCATTATTTCTGAGGGCTCTGTTCTGTTCCATTGATCTATATCTCTGTTTTGGTACCAGTACCATGCTGTTTTGGTTACTGTAGCCTTGTAGTATACTTTGAAGTCAGGTAGCGTGATGCCTCCAGCTTTGTTCTTTTGGCTTAGGATTGACTTGGCGATGAGGGCTCTTTTTTGGTTCCATATGAACTTTAAAGTAGTTTTTTCCAATTCTGTGAAGAAAGTCATTGGTAGCTTGATGGGGATGGCATTGAATCTATAAATTACCTTGGGCAGTATGGCCATTTTCACGATATTGATTCTTCCTACCCATGAGCATGGAATGTTCTTCCATTTCTTTGTATCCTCCTTTGTTTCATTGAGCAGTGGTTTGTAGTTCTCCTTGAAGAGGTCCTTCACATCCCTTGTAAGTTGGATTTCTAGGTATTTTATTCTCTTTGAAGCAATTGTGAATAGGAGTTCACTCATGATTTGGCTCTCTGTTTGTCTGTTATTGGTGTATAAGAATGCTTGTCATTTTTGTACATTGATTTTGTATCCTGAGAATTTGCTGAAGTTGCTTATCAGCTTAAGGAGATTTTGGGCTGAGACAATGGGGTTTTCTAGATATACAATCATGTCATCTGCAAACAGGGACAATTTGACTTCCTCTTTTCCTAACTGAATACCCTTTATTTCCTTCTCCTGCCTAATTGCCCTGGCGAGAACTTCCAACACTGTGTTGAATAGGAGTGGTGAGAGAGGGCATCCCTGTCTTGTGCCAGTTTTCAAAGGGAATGCTTCCAGTTTTTGCCCATTCAATATGATATTGGTTGTGGGTTTGTCATAGATAGCTCTTATTGTTTTGAGATACGTCCCATCAATACCTAATTTATTGAGAGTTTTTAGCATGAAGGGTTGTTGAATTTTGTCAAAGGCCTTTTCTGCATATATTGAGATAATCATGTGGTTTTTGTCTTTGGTTCTGTTTATGTGCTGGATTACATTTATTGATTTACATATATTGAACCAGCCTTGCATCCCAGGGATGAAGCCCACTTGACCATGGTGGATAAGCTTTTTGATGTGTTGCTGGATTCGGTTTCCCAGTATTTTATTGAGGATTTTTGCATCAATGTTCATCAGGGATATTGATCTAAAATTCTCTTTTTTTGTTGTGTCTCTGCCGGGCTTTGGTATCAGAATGATGCTGGCCTCATAAAATGAGTTAGGGAGGATTCCCTCTTTTTCTATTGATTGGAATAGTTTCAGAAGGAATGGTACCAGTTCCTCCTTGTACCTCTGGTAGAATTCGGCTGTGAATCCATCTGGTCCTGGACTCTTTTTGGTTGGTAAGCTATTGATTATTGCCACAATTTCAGACCTTGTTATTGGTCTATTCAGAGATTCAACTTGTTCGTGGTTTAATCTTGGGAAGGTGTATGTGTCAAGGAATTTATCCATTTCTTCTACATTTTCTAGTTTATTTGCGTAGAGGTGTTTGTAGTATTCTCTGATGGTAGTTTGTATTTCTGTGGGATCAGTGGTGATATCCCCTTTATCATTTTTTATTGCGTCTATTTGATTCTTCTCTCTTTTCTTCTTTGTTAGTCTTGCTAGCGGTCTATCAATTTTGTTGATCCTTTCAAAAAACCAGCTCCTGGATTCATTAGTTTTTTGAAGGGTTTTTTGTGTCTCTATTTCCTTCAGTTCTGCTCTGATTTTAGTTATTTCTTGCCTTCTGCTAGCTTTTGAATGTGTTTGCTCTTGCTTTTCTAGTTCTTTTAATTGTGATGTTAGGGTGTCAGTTTTGGATCTTTCCTGCTTTCTCTTGTGGGCATTTAGTGCTATAAATTTCCCTCTACACACTGTTTTGACTGTGTCCCAGAGATTCTGGTACGTTGTGTCTTTGTTCTCGTAGGTTTCAAAGAACATCCTTATTTCTGCCTTCATTTCTTCCTTCCTCCATTGTCTTTTTTCTTCCTCCCTTCCATCCTTCTTTCCTTTCCTTTTCACCTTCTTCATTTCAACAAATATTTAAACATGTTTTAAGTTCTATGCAATATGCTAGGCTCAGAGGACAAGGCAAGACACTTAGTTCATGTTCAAGTATTGCTCATAGTCTAGTAGTGTGAACGGGGAAGTAAACCAACAGATTATGGAAGAAGAGTAGAGGTGCAACCTACATTGAACGTGTCAGGACATGTCAGCTTTGAGTAGAAAATAATTCATAAATTGATCCTGATTGGTTTGGCTTGGCCTGGTCAACTTAGAACTCACAAACAAAATATAATTATCATTAGGCAGTTTCCAAATACTTCATATACTCTGAGTTTTCTATGATTTAGAGAGAGATCTTTTAAATTCTCAAAGCTCACAAACTGGAATGCCTCAGAGTCAAGTGTATCTCTTAAATGTAAATATAGTGTGGCTGACTTTGACAAGGAGCCAGAGAAATTAAAGACCAGATGAATGAATGAACGCCACATTCATGGGTTAGAAAACCCATTATTGTTGATGTCAATTTACCCCAAACTGACTAATCACAATCCCAACAGAATTTTTTAAAGAAATTACATACGGATTCTAATTTTTCTGAGCAATGTTTTATAGCTCTCAGTGTACAGATCTTGTATGTACGTTGTGAAAGAGTCATCCCCATGTATTTCATTTAATTTTATATTATTGGGAACTTTTTTGTGTAAATTTCAATGTCTAATGTTTTGTTGCTAGACTATAAAAATACAATTGGTTTTTGTATGTAATTTTTCTATTCTGTAGCCTTACTAAATCCACATATTAATCAGTTCTGGTACTTTTTGTGTAGATTCCAATAGATTTTTACTTAGACAATCATCTGCAAATAAAGGCAGTTTTAACATTTTTCTTTCTAATTTGGATGCCTTTTATTTCTTGCCGTACTGAACTGGATAGAACCTCCACTACAATGTTGAACAGAAGTGATGGGAGCTGACATCCTTGCCTTTTCCTGATCTTAATAAGAAAGCATTCAGACTTTCATCAAGTATAATATTAGCTCCAGGTTTTTGCAGATATCCTTCATCAGGTTGAAGAAATTTCTTTCTAGTCCCAGTTTGTTTAAAGTTTTTATGAGGAATTGATGTTGAATTTTGTCAAATGCTTTTTGTATGTCAATTGAGATGATCATATGGTTTTTATTTTTTAGTTTATTAGTATGGTTAATATGGTTACATCAACTGCTTTTGTATGAAGCAAATCTCTTTTAATTTAATGTATCTTTATTGTAAAGTTGCTCTGGCTATTCCATTTTATCTGCAAGTCATTTGCCAAATTCTTCCTAGAACATTGATAAGTAATAGAATTAAAGTATTTTCTAAAATAACTGATAAAGACTTTACATCTTATTGCTAACTTTACTAGAGGCATTATAACCTCAGCTACAGTTTATTTATTCAAATTTTGTTTTTCATGCTTTATTTTTTGTTATTCTCTTCGACATACTCCATGCTACTTTGAGTTAGTCTCTGAGCTGGGTGCCAGTAGGTTTTCTATTAATTTGAATTGTTTGGTAAAGTTTCTAATATAGTTAAACATAGATCTAAACAAATACCTAAAAGTAAACTTCCAAGAGAAATGAAAACATATATCCACAAAAAGACTTATATAAATGTGTGTACTGTATAATTCCATTTATATAAAGCTCAAGAACAGGTGAAACAAATCTTTTAAAACCAGAATACTAATTGCCTGTGAGAGGTGTGTGTTGAAAGGAAGAGATATGAGGAAGCTTTCTGGGGTGCAGAAATATTCTATATCCTGATTTAAGTGTTGGTTTCAGGGATATACTGATTTCTTAAAACTGATCCAAGTGTATACATAAAATCTTATGTTTCACTCTCTGTAAATTGTACAACATTTAATTACATATATATACATATCATGTATATATTTATAAATCAGTATATGTGTATATAATGTAATTATACAAATTATACATATATGTAGCTATTTAATTCTATGCCAGGTGAAGTATATTTTTAGAATTATACATTTTATATATATATATACATTTTAAATTTTTTAATTATTTAAAATTTTCAAAGAACAAATTTCTGTATCAGTAAGGATTTTTTGTTATAAATATTAGAAAATGACTCTGGCTGTCATAAGCAGAAAAAGAATTCATCAGAAGGAGATCCACATCTCACAAAACAGGCATATGGAGAGGAATAAAGAAGCTTGTGCACCTAGATCATATTGCAGGGAAACCCAGTGCTTTAGCTATCATTGTTATGCATCTATCCTTATAAATGTCTGTATAATGTAAATATATATGTACACATACACACACATACACAGGTGATCCTTAAACAACACAGGTTTGAACTGCTTGTGTCCACTTACATGTGGATTTTTGTCAGTAAAAGTTATACCCAGTGTGTTGGTTCTCCTGCCTCCTTTTCTATCTCCTTTACCTCTTCCTCTTCTGCCACCCCAGAGACAGCAAGACCAACCCTTTCCCTTCCTCCTCCTTAGCCTACTCAACATGAAGACAATGAAGATGAAGACCTTTATGATAACCCATAAAGGTATTTATTATAAAGAGTAAATACCTTTTTCTTCCTCATGGTTTACTTAATAACATTTTCTTTTCTTTAGCTTAATTTATTGTAAGATTACAGTATTTAATAAATAGAGCACACAAAACACGTGTTAATCTACTGTTATGTTACAGTAAGGCTTCCAGTCAAGAGTAGACTGCTAGTAGTTAAGTTTTGGGGGAGTCAAATATTGTACACAAATTTTCAACTGCATGAGGATGTTGGTGTTCCTAATCCACATGTTGTTCAGGGGTCAATTTTATATATAACTACAGTTTAAAAAACCTTTGTGTCACTCCCTCAAGCTTTCATATTTAGGTCATGTTAGTTGAGTTAGGTCACATCCAAGCCCCTCTCATTCCCAGGCTGCAGTAGAAAGAAGGTCTTTCCTTCCCTCCAAGATTATCCTCAGCAACAACTTCCTAATAAAAATCAGAGAATTAGTAGAAAGAGGAGCATGTTGGTTTATGGAAAGCCTAAATGAAAACAAAAACAAATAAAATCATATTCACACACATATATACACAAGCTGTCCATGACATTGTCTCTCTTGTATTTTGTCTGTATATACCTGATATTGGGATAAAGTGGAATATAGTGTTTAGGGGAAGGAACTATTAGAAATAGAGAAAGAAATGGGTTGATCTGGCTTTATTCTTGATGTGGGAAATCAAAAGCAAATTGATAGGACAAATGACATACAGAGCATTTATTGTGCTAGAAAGCGTAAGACCTATACAATTAACAAGTCACAAGTTTAAATCTTAATTCTCCCTTGTAACTTTTTGACCTTAAGCAAGCTACTTATCTTTTCTGACCCCATGCTTTTCAATTGCAAAATGGAAGTAGTACCTGTCTCCCAGGTTTTTTATGAAGATTAAATGAGAACATGTATGTAAAGCATACAATGTGACACACTAATTCTCAATGGTCACTTGCCAAATACTTATTATTTTCCCATCTCTCTTCTTTAGAATATTGTGTTACTTTTGATTCATCCCTACTACCATCACCCTGCTGAAAGGGGTTATAATATATATATTTGAGACAGGTTCTCACTCAGTTGCCCAGGTTGGAGTACAGTGGTGTGATCAGGGCTAACTACAGCCACAACTTCCTGGGTTCAGGTGATCCTCCCAACTCAGCCTCCTGAGTAGCTGGGACAACAGGTGTGTGCCACCAGGCCTAGCTACTTTTTTGTAGGGAGAGGGTTTCACCATGTTGCCCAGGCTGATCTCGAACTCCTGAGCTCAAGTAATCCACCTGTCTTGGCCTCCCAAAATGCTGGGATTAAAGGTGTGAGCCATTGCTCCCAGCCTAAAAGGGGTTGTATATCTCAAATATGCTAACTACATCCCATCAGGAAATGGTACTGCTGTCAAACTAATGCAGTGGCACTGTTCTTGAGGGTGGTTATATAGAGAGATGACAGTTTCTTCTTCATGAAATGTAAGTCCTGGTGAGACCACTTACCCTCCATCATTTCTTGTTTCCCATTTTAGGCACAGTCTGCCTTACACCAATAAAAACTTGATTGCATTAGCTTGTTTATATGGCTGCTTTGTAGTGACACTGGTCTGTGTATTTACTGTGTTTTTATATTAGCTGCTAGAGGTCTTTCCTTTCTACATTTAGTGCTCCTTTCAAGATATCTTATAAGGCAGGTCTGGTGGTAAGGAACTCCCTCTATATTTGCTTATCTGGAAATGATCTTATTTCTCCTTCACAGAGGAAGCTTAGTTTGGCTGGACATAGAATTCTTGGTTGAAGATTTTTTCTTTAAGAATGTTGAATATAGGCCCCCAATCTCTTCTGGCTTGTAGGATTTCAGCTGAGAGGTCCATGGTTAGCCTGATGGGGTCTCCTTTGTAGGTGACCTGCCTTTTCTTTCTAGCTGCCTTTAACATTCTGTATTTCATTTAGACCTTGGAAAACCTGATGATTATGTATTTTAGGGATGATCTTCTTGTGTAGAATTGAAAGGCCATTTCTCACTTTATGCAATTCATGGAAGAATCATTTTCCCCCAAAATAGGCTATCTGAAACTCAAAGAGAAATAAATGTTTTACATTAAAAGTTGTGGGAAAATGCTGGAAAAATTAAAAAATGGCTTTGTTCTAGAAGAGTTCTTAAACATGAGTGTGTCTAAGTGTAATCTAGGGAAGTGTCATCTTCAGAATCTCCAGTCTCACTCTAGACATGGTGATTCATTAATTCTGGGGCATTGCCCAAGAACCCACATTATCAACAACACTCTCATAATTTTGATGAGCTAATTCAGAAGTTGTTTTTTCCCCACTAGAAAGGATTTCTAGGGAGAAGTTTCTGTTTTTTTTGTTTTTTTTTTTTTAACTTGTCATGGATTTTGCCAAAGGCAGTGGAAATGGGACCTATACTATATCTAGAGAGCAGTGGATGGTGACTCCTCAATAGTTACAAAGGAGGATCTCAAACTGGTGGCCAAGGACCAAAACCAGTCCAAAAATGTGTTCTTTCTGGCAAAATGGTGTTTCAAATGTTGTTTGTAATATCCTTAGTCTAAGCTTACTTTCTCCAGCTCACCATTTGTGGCTCTCTGGCTCCTTGTCAAAGTCAGCCACACTATATTTACATTTAAGAGATACACTTGGCTCTGAGGCATTCCAGTTTGTGAGCTTTGAGAATTTAAAAGATCTCTCTCTAAATCATAGAAAACTCAGAGTATATGAAGTATTTGGAAACTGCCTAATGATAATTATATTTTGTTTGTGAGTTCTAAGTTGACCAGGCCAAGCCAAACCAATCAGGATCAATTTATGAATTATTTTCTACTCAAAGCTGACATGTTCTGACATGTTCAATGTAGGTTGCACCTCTACTCTTCTTCCATAATTTGTTGGTTTACTTCCCCGTTCACACTACTAGACTATGAGCAATACTTGAACACGAACTAAGTGTCTTGCCTTGTCCTCTGAGCCTAGCATATTGCATAGAACTTAAAACATGTTTAAATATTTGTTGAAATGAAGAAGGTGAAAAGGAAAGGAAAGAAGGATGGAAGGGAGGAAGAAAAAAGACAATGGAGGAAGGAAGAAAAGGTAGAAAGAAGAAAGCAGGCAGGAAGGGATAAAACACTCAGGAAAGGAAGGAAAAAGGACAGAGGCAAGTTTCAACTGTGGAAAATGTGGGAATGTGACAAATGGATGCCTCATTTTGAGAAAATGAAAACAAGAATGTGGCCTATTTTAATTGGTAAAGTTTCTAGATCATAATCAAATTCAGAATTAGGCATCTTTGAGCGAAGACAAAAACAAAGAGAATTGTGCTTGAGTATCAGGCCCTGCGTTCTCAGTGATTGATAGCGTTACCTTAGATCTTGCTTTATGTCACTTGAAGGGCTTCCTGCTGGGTTCTGAAATGAAAATGATATCAAATGAGTATTTTGCAAGATTATTTGCAGCTTGTGATTACTAATAATGTAGCTACACATACAAAATGTTCATCAGCAAAACACTGATGTGCTATTCATACTTTAATCTAATCAGGGGTTTTGTCATAGTCTATCAACACAGTCTTCTCTTTGTGTCTTTGTTTTTTTTTTTTTTTTTCCATTAGAAAAATGAGAGAGAGAAAGGTCATCTGTTGCTTTCAAAATTAAATTCATTTAAAACTGTGTATCTCAAAATCCTGTTATTTTGTTTGTTGGCTTTGGTATCTTCTTTATGAAATAAAACCTACCAGAAACACCATTTACAAAAAAAATCAAGTGAATTGGAAATCTATAAAGTTGTTTGGACACCATGCTGAGTAAGCTGGGTAAGAAAGTGGTGTATTGGAAAGACAGGAGTATCATGGGTTTAAATGCTTTTCCAGACCCTATTGAGATCTGAGTAGCCTCTAATATGTCACTTTACTTCCCTGGGACTAAGTTTTTCATCTATAAATTGAGTGAATCTTTCAGATTCAGTCTCTAGGAACTTATCATTAATTGAGTTAATACGGTACAGCACTATCAATTAACTGCATTGAAATCACAGCTCCATTTTTCAAAGGCTCTATATCCTTGGGTGAGTAACTTAAACTTTCTGATTCTTATTTTAATCACCATAAAGTGGGCATTATTATAGTATAAACTTCTCATAATTTGGGAGACAATTAAAAAGAAACTACATATAAAATAGATAGCAACAACATTTACAAGTATTAGTGGTAGTTGTTAATGACCTCTGCCTACTGAGAAATACTTTCTGACCTTTTCATCAGACTAAATGAATAGAAAAAAAAAATTAGAAGCAATAATTTTGTGAATAATAAATGGCCAAACCTACCCTTTCCCTAAAATTACTGACAGAAAAGGCTAAATTTGACATTTTTAAGGTAGAAAGCCTCATAATTTTGATTATTTATAATCTCTCTGTTTTTACATTCTTGATTATTATATTCTCTGTGTTAGTATGGGAAAATGAGTGACTTAGACACAAAGCTTCCAGAATATATCAAGATCAAGCAATCATTTAACAAATGCATTGAACTCACTGAATGCTGAGTACTCTTATAGTTCTGTTGGCCACCTAGAGGGTTATGCAACATGTCTCCACGGGGAAGATGAAGCTGAGATAACGTATAAAAAACAACTTGTCAACAAGTGCAAATCAATAGCCTATAAAATGAGTGCCTAAGTGCTAAGGGGATCCTTTGAAAAGCTTTCTTCAAAGCAATAAGGTATACTAAAAGGGTAGTAGTGTTGTGCATAAGGAAAGACAAAGAATACCAAAATTCAACTGGCACTTAGGGCCAGGCCAACAAACAGGAAAACAGCGTTTGTACATGTTAGAATTTCTTCTCCTTTGTTTTCCAAATGTTATTTTGGTCTTGTTTTGTTTTAAATTAATGTACAACAGTGATTTATCAATCACTTCTGTATGCCATGCCCCTATCTGGAACCTGTTTGCACATTGTCAAAAATTCATTTTAGAACATTTAAGTCAACATTAATGAGGTGTAATTTACATACAAGAAAATACATTCATTCTGATTTTTTTTTTTTTTTTGAGACAGAGTTTTGCTCTTGTTGCCCAGGCTGGAGTGCAATGGCACAATCTCGGCTCACCACAACCTCTGCCTCCCAGGTTCAAGCAATTCTCCTGCCTCAGCCTCCCGAGTAGCTGGGATTACAGGCATGCACCACCACTCCCAGCTAATTTTGTATTTTTTTCTTTCTTTTTTTTTTTTTTTGGTAGAGACAGGATTTCACCATGTTGGGCAGGATGGTTTCGATCTCTTGACCTCGTGATCCACCCCTCAGCCTCCCAAAGTGCTGGGATTACAGGTGTGAGCCACTGCGCCCAGCCCCAAATTCATTTTTAAAAGAATAAGTTTCTCAAAAAAATGAAAGCATTAAAGAAAATATCTTGTTATCATACTATGCATCCCAGTAATAGCAGAGTTTCAAAACATAAAATAATTAAATCCTTTGGAAATCATATTGATTTTAGTAAAAAAAAGTCACCTACTATCTAAGAGCATTTTAAATAATAATTATGCCTACCTTTTGTTTTCATTGTATTCTCATTAATAACATATTTGGAGAGAGATAAGTGAAAAATTATTTGAAGCGTGTTTTTTCATAATGAAAGTTGGTGACAGGATACAGTTTCAAACCAATGTCATGGAATTGGTACTTCTTATGACCCCTCATAGACTTCTCTTCAAGGAGAATACATGCATTTAATTTTGTATCTCCTTTTAGAGAAAACAAATAGAATAATCATACAAAAATTGTGTAAAGCAACTTATACAATAGCATCTTCCCCTACCCCCGCACACACAAAAGTCTGTTAACTTGGATGTGATGCAGAGCACACAGGATTGTACTGTAATTCCTTACACAACAGTTGGAAGGCAGTGACTCTTGTGTTTGATGCCGTAGATGTTATTGTACTATCAAAACCTAATTGGTTGGATTATCTGATTCATTTTAACTCAGCTACATGAGGTTGTGGAAGAAGATATAAGAGTGACACAAAGCTATCACATCCAATAACAACCTCACAAGCATTAGCTATGTGAATTGATCCTTCTATATTGTAGATTTTCCCTTGGCCTATAGTGCTCTACTCACTGACAAACCTCATGAATTTCCCAGCTCTGGTCACATAGCAGATTGTTCATAAGGTAAGGCTAATCATCTTGATTGGATGTAATATTGCTGCCTTTCTTGGTTACAAGAAAATGTTAAACAGAATAGAATCAGTGATAATCTTTTCATGAAGAGAACTTATGTCTTTTTGCTTTGTACCTGTAGCACCAAATCCCATGCCTGGCACAACAGAGGTGCTCAAATAAAATGTGTGGAATGAATAAGAGGGCTAATAAATAAATAAATGAACAAAAGTTAGTGGAAAATCATCACTGCTGAAAAGAAAATACACAAAACTTACCCCTTCTGAGGAGGGATCAATAGCATCATTTCTGTGTAATAAAATATAGCCATTTTATAAAGCAAGTAGTTATACTGACTTATTTTCACTTTTTTTATAATAAGTGGCAGAACCAAAGTATGAGAAGTGGCGCTAAGTCACTGATGAGTGCTTCCAAAGCAAGTAGCTTTCAAAAATTTCTCACTTCAAACCCAGTTTGGAAGCTTAGAAATTATGTTTATAAACTCTTCCCTGTCATCTGGTCCACTAGTATACGGCTTCTTTTAATATCCTTCATGGCTGCCAAAAGACCAAAAAAGGTTTATCATTCATGAAAACAGGTTTGTTTTATAAAATAAGTGATATGATAATTTCCAGAAGATCTTCAAAGAAGATAGGAAGTAGAAAAAAATGTTGGCATGAATAAAAACAGTTTGCATCTAGAAGTTGACTGAGGTTATAGGTTAATAAGTACCACAACTTGGATCAATAAATACAAAAATTTTAGACGTGTGTGTGTTGAGGGGGTGTGGATATTTATGGGTATCTAATAGCATCAACATAACGCTCCTGCTTTGAATTGCAGTATTGTCATTTAGTGTCACATATACACCTCTTTGTTTAAGGAATTATTTTGAAGTGCTGCATTCTAGTGCAAGGCATGTGTTCCACTTGAACCCTTTGTCATCTTAGCATTGTGGCTGAAATGGTGTAATAGGATATCATACTGTTGTGCCTTTTAACAAAGTCTCCACACTGACTTCTGGGAATCCGTGAAGCTCTAATCACAGGTGCATGAGGATTTATTATTTTGTTGCTTGTTAAAATCAGTTTTTGCACCTGTGTCCATGAATCTTCAGAACGTAGTTATTCACAAGTCCCCCTACAGACTTAGAATAACCTCTAAGCCCTTTCTGTGCACTACGTAGAAAATAATAGTAATAAATTTGCTTCTGTATATGTATTACTAAATATGGTTGTTATAGTTATAAAAAATCTAATAGTTTTTAAGAGCTACCCTGGGAAGACCAGTGAGCATTTCTGTTCATTAATATCATCCTGATCGTCTATTGAAGTGTTGTTTATGTGTCAGATAACAGTCCAATAAAGGTTACTGATTATACATAGGTTTTCTCTGTATGAATAAAAGTCAAACATGCTAATTAAGTTTAAATGCCATATTTATTCATGGACATAAACAACTGAATCATTAAATACGTGGTACATTGCCCCCAAATTAGCTGTCTAATTACTTTCTTGAGTCTGGTCATTCCTTTGTGTACCCACTCTGGCTACAATGCATTTACATTGGTTACTCTCTTACAGTACTGTCTTACTGTCATACAGTCTGTATGTTGATATCAATAATGGTGGCTGCTGAATTTGCAACACCTTACATATGTCCCTCAAAGTTGTTTCTCACACATTATCCTAGAAAGGTGACCCAACATTTATACAGGGAATGTTCACATTGACTGGAGCATCAGAAATCACAAAGGAAATTGTCCTTGATCCACAATCTTGTGGATTTCGCTCTAACTGCTCATGGGTTTTGCCCTATTGCATCCCATTGCCCAGTTACCCTGAGAATATTATGGGTAAAGTAGAAGAATACTCTGAGTACCCCAACTGGTCACCTACCTGAAGAAGAGGCGGTACATACTATATAGGATGTGTGAGTTTTAATATCAATAATGTTCATTAATAACTGATGGCTTGAGTAGATCAATAACAACATGCAGAGGGACATGCACTTGGAAAAAACACCTTTTGTAGCACATAAACTTCAGTCTTCCAGTTTTAATGTTTATCAGCATCTTGAGAAGCATTTATAGTCCCTCACACACTCCTTTATGATTCCCTTATTGATTAAGTTGTGATGCCTCCTGGACCTAGGACACGGTTCACTATTTTTCAATTAAAATGGAGAAATATCTTGTTTGTTGCAGGTTCGTTTCAAGCAGTTGGCTTGTGGGACTCTGAGAGATGCTGCTGCCCATGACATGCGGGAATTATCATGATCAACTACCCAGCTTGGATTTCACCCAGTGGCCAAGAGCTTTGTGTGGGAGACGGCAAGGGTTGGATTTTTCAAAAGAGTAAACCAGGTAAGGTTCGAGGGAGACATCTGATCATTTATTACTTGCTCTAAGGGCTTCAGTATGCTGCCAAAATATATGAATAATGTATAGCTTTTCTATTTGTTTTCTAAGTCCACAGAGCAGGTTGTTAAAGAATGGGGCTCCCTTGGATTTAGGAGAATGCATATAGTAATAATTGAGTCCCTTTACTCTCAAGAGGAGAAAGGAGCTATTTTAAGATACACATAATGCAGGCATATGAATACTGTAGAGGCCAATACTATAAAGATTTCCTCTTTAAGCTACTATTCTGAACTCTAATGGCATAAACAGTTGTACTTTTGAAGGTGCATTAGAGAAAGTGTTGCCGTTAAGTATTTATATTTTACACAATATAGAAGTGAATATCAGTTCATGGCATATGATCTTATAAATGTGCTTCAAGGTTACTCCAATTCAGAAGATTATACCATTGTTCTTCTTTTATTTCTTTGAAAGTATTTATCATTCCAAATCTATTCACCTGTTATTTAAGATGGTGATACAATGACATACTGTATTATTTTGGCTCTGAGGATTTAAAACATTGCACTCTTATTCAAGTACTCTTTTATCTCCTTTTTCTATTACATGCTGGAAACTCTTCCCAACTGTTAACCATATTTTGGTCAGATCTTCTTATCTCTCTCTTTAACTCGCTTCCTCCCCTACAACATAAATTAAATATGTTGTCCATAATTACCTGAAGAAACTACAAGCTATTATTGTCTTCTGACTCTAAGACTGTCGAAATTTTAACAGTTTATTTGAATTTTCTGCATTGCAAAGCAAGCTTTTCTTTAAGTTCAAGTATAGAAACGGAAAAAAGTATGTAAAATTCCTTTATTTAGAAAGCAATGGATGGAGATTATTCTATGTCACTAATGCTTGAGCACCTTAAGCTTTTTACAAATATAGCTTTCATACTTTCTGAAAATAAAGTAAACGGAACTCAGTCAGTAAATTATAGCCTGACATAATTATTTGGATATAAATAAAGACTTCTGAAGTGTTTGAAAACAATCTTTTAAAGTTTAATAAACATTAACTTTCAATTCCCTAATGACTTATTTGCATATAAGATGATATCATGAGAGTATAAAACCCAAATATCTACAAATTTAAAAATTTTTTGAAATAGTGTAGATTACCAATCTCATGGCAGAAATGTTTATTTGATGAACTGAGCTGGTGAATAATTTTTTTGTCTTGCTTAGTGGCAAAGTGGATTACTCACATTTAGAAGACTTCTGACAGTCTGTAAATGAAAGGGACATCAAAACACAGCATACATTAGTAGAAGAAAGTGAAACCGAGTTCTATGCTTCATAGCATTGGCATCTAACACATAACTGTAGCGAAAATACTTTGGGATAGACTTCCATAGTCTTATACCTTTAAGTCTTAGAGTTAATCCTAATTATTTTTATTTCAGAATTTACCACAAAATTGGGTTACATGTCAAAACCTCAGAGTTAGAAGGAAAAACTTAAAAAAAAATTTTTTTTGGAGACGTTAACATTCCTCTCTTAGTACTACAACCAGCAGACAGAAAATCAGCAAGGATTTAGAAGAATTGGACAATACCATCAATCAACTGGATCTAGTTGACATTTATAGAACACTCCACCCAACAACAAAATATACATTCTTTTCAACTGCATAGGTAATATTTACCAAGATAAACTGTATCCTGAGTCATTAAACAGACATTTACAATTTAAAAGAATTTGTGTGTTGATTGTGTATATCAAAGGGAATAAAGAAAAATAAGAAAAAGTAAAATAAAAGAATTTGTGGCTGGGTACAGTGGCTTACACCTGTAATCTTAGTGCTTTGGGAGGTCAAGGTGAGAGGATCACTTGAGACAAGGAGTTTGAGATCATCCTGGACAACAAAGTGAGACCTCATCTCTATAAAATTTTAAAAAATTAGTCGAGAATGGTGGTGTGTGCTTGTAGTTCCAGCTACTTAGGAGGCTGAGGTGGGAGGACTGCTTGAGCCCAAGAGTCGGAGGTTACAGTGAGCTATGATAGCACTACTGCATTCCAGCCTGGGTGACAGGGTGAGATCCTGTCTATAAAAAAATAAATAAATAAAAATAATTTTTAAAAAATCAGGGCCAGCCGGGTGCGGTGGCTCAAGGCTGTAATCCCAGCACTTTGGGAGGCCAAGGCAGGCGGATCACAAGGTTAGGAGATCAAGACCATCCTGGCTAACATGGTGAAACCCCGTCTCTACTAAAAATACAAAAAAAGTTATCCAAGCGTGGTGGCGGGCACCTGTAGTCCCAGCTACTCAGGAGGCTGAGACAGGAGAATGGCATGAACCCGGGAGGCAGAGCTTGCAGTGAACCGAGATCGTGTCACTGCACTCCAGCCTGGGCGACAAAGCAAGATTCCATCTCAAAAAGAAAGAAAGAAAAAAATCAGGGCCAGGCGTGGTGGCTCATGCCTGTAATCCTAGCACTTTGGGAGACCTAGGCAGGTGGATCACCTGAGATCAGGAGTTCGAGACAAGCCTGACCAACATGGTGAAACCCCATCTCTACTAAAAAATACAAAAATTAGCTGTGCATGGTAGCAGACACCTGTAATCCCAGCTACTCAGTAGGCTGAGGCAGGAGAATCGCTTGAACCCAGGAGGTGGAGGTTGCAGTGAGCCAAGATCGAGCCATTGCACTCCAGCCTGGGTGACAGAGCAAGACTCCGTCTCAAAAATAAAATTAAAAAATAAAGATAAAATAATTGATATTACACAAAATATGTTCTTGGACCATAATGGAATTACACTAGAAATCAATAACAGAAAGATACTGGGAAAATCCTCAGACTGTTGGAAATAAAATAATTCACTTAATCCATAAAATGCCCATGTGAGTTGGATCTTATTGTTATCCTCATGTTAGAGATGAGAAAGTGAGGCAGAGAGAAAGTGAGAAAATTGCCCAAGTTTACTTGGCTAATGAGAGCTGGAGTCAGAAATTGGACTCAGGCAGGCTGGCTCCCGATCACACTCTGCTGTCCCTTTGATACATGTTGGAGCCTAACTTATCCAAACAAGTGCTTCCACAGATCAAATGATGCAGATAACTCACTTGGCTTCATTTAGGATAACTCAGGATACTTTTACTAGTTATGAAATTCTAGATTGACAGGTCTTTCTTCCCCCATAAGCACTTTAAAGATGGTTTTCCATTGTCTTCTGCCTTGGTTGTTTCTGATCATTGTTCTCCTATATGCAATGTGTCTTTTTTCTTTGGCTGCTTTATCTCTGGTTTTTAGCAGTTTGCTGATGACTTGCCTAATGGTAATTTTCTTTAAATTTATCCTGTTTGGAATTTGCCAAGTTTCTTGGGTCTACAAGTTGAATTACTTTTTCTCAAATTTGGAAATTCTGCCATCATTTTCCTCAAGTAAATATTCTGCCACATTCTCTCTCTCTGCATCATCTGATATTCTAATTACATGTCAGATATTGTCCCACAATTATCGAGCCTCTGTTCATTAAAAAATATATTTTTACTCTATTTGCTTCAGCTCGAATGGTTTCTTTTCATCTGGCTTCAAATTCATTCATCCTTTCTCCTGCAGTTAAGCCTATAAAATTTGTAAAATCATTTCAGATATGTATTATTCCATTCTAGAAATTCCATTTGGTTCTTTTAAAAAAACTCTTGGCAGCTATTAGACTATAACTTCCATACGGGCAGAGCATTTTATCCATTTTGTTCATTGCATTATCCCTGTTCCCTAGAACTGGCATAATATCTGTTCATAGACAAACAAGTGACGCCATCTCCCTAGCTGTGAGTGATGGGCTAAGGAACACGTGGATGTAGTAATGATTTGGGAACAAATGAGAGTGGCCCAGCTCTTTTTCTGTTCACTTCAATGCCTAATGATCTCAAAGTCCACCAATCCTTCTCTTCCTGAAAATCTGTATTTTGGATGATGCCGATTGCCTTAGTTTGGGTTCCAAAGAAGCAGACCTTGGGAACCCCAACACTAAGATTCAAGTGCAAATAGATTAGATTATTTTGGAAAGGATGCCAGGAAATATCTATAGGTAAGCTGGGAACTGAGACAGGGTAAGAAGGGCAGCTGATAAAGGATGTATTATCAAAAGTGTCATTAAGTGGACAACTGGAGCCTAATCCCAGTGGATAATTCTGAGAGTCAGTGCAGGGTTTTTCCTCACAAGAGGCAAGGGAGCTGCAGCTTATATACACCATTCTCATCAGTCATTGGTTGAGAGCTGCTGGGGTTGGGGTGGGAGAGTTAATTATCCCATGCTTTTGAAACCGACCCAGTAGTCCCATGGATAGTTTTTAAGATACACATAGAAATTGACCCTTCTGATCTTAAAGCTTGAAACTGACATTTGTCTTCTCTGAGTTCCTTCCTCAGGAAATGATGTTCAGGCCTCTGAAAAAAAATAAAGTATCAAAGAACTGAAACTCACTAAATACCCACATCCAGACAATGAGATGCCAGGCCCTTCACTCCTCATGATTGCTTCCTTGCCCCTCCCCAGTTCCTGTTTTCTCACACATTGTTACATTCCTTCCCTGCTATATAAACCTCTAGTTTTAGTCAATCAGGGAGATGGATTTCAGACTGAGTTCCCATCTCCTCAGCTGTAGCACCCAATTAAAGCCTTCTTCCTTGGCGATATTGTTGTGTCAGTGATTGGCTTTCTGTGCAGCGAGCAGAAGGACCTAGACTGAGTCCCCTGGTGTTTCTGTAACACTTTTAGTCTGCCATATTAGCGTTGCTGGAGAGAGCAGGAGCCAGAGAATGACCTCAGGCAGTCCAAAGTCTTGCCGAGTGCACTGCAATGGTGAGGCGTAAGTTGGTATGGGTAGGGCACTTTCCTCAGGTGCTCCACTGATTTGCCTGAAAACAAGTATCCAGTAAGACCAATACTTAATACAGCGCTAGGCCCACATAAATATTAGCCTAGAATAGTTGCTAAATCACAGATTCGGGAGTCAACCCAACTTGGGTTCAGTTGTCATATCTTCTATCAATCTGCCTTGTGACCCTAACAAAATTACTTAACTTCTCTCAGCTTTGGTTCCCTCACTTAAAAAAAGATGTAATGCAGAAGAATGATGGAGAGTTAATAACAGAGTGCCTGGCACCAGGGCAACACTAGAAAGGAAGACATGTACATGGCTTCCTGGCATCCCTTCTCCTGGCTGTGAGCCAAAGCAATAAATGATGGAATTTCAGGCATCAGTGAGCCAGGAGGAATTTGTATGAAGGGCATGGGGAAAGGAGAAGACAATTTTCTGGCATTCCTGAATTACAATGTGGAGGGAATACCTCTTTGTCCTGCTTCCTGGTTTCTAGCCTGAGTGCCCAGGAGAGTGGGGTACTATTTCCAAAAAGGGAGAGACTGGAGAGAGAAGATGCTTCAGTGCAAGAGTAGCTAATTAAGCAATTTAAATATTGGGATATTTAGTCCATTAGAGGTCAAAACTCTGAATATTGCCCTAGATTTTGATAACACATTAGCTCAAATTAAGTATAGAAAGAACAGGTTTTTAAAAGGGAGATAAAATTAAGTCTGTTTTGAAGGTAAATAATGATAAGATAATGCAATTAATAATTATCTTGTCACAAAGGAAGAGCTCCCCTGTTTGTGAGATATGCACTTTCTTTCTTTGGAATACTTTATCTTTCTGAACTGTATAAGTCATAAGTATGGGGAAAATGCACAAATAATTTTGATCCAAGTATTATAACGCAAAACTTCTCCTCACATAGCCCTTCAAAGTGAATCCTGCTAATCAGGATGTACAGAGACAGTCCATTCCACTTTTCTGTGTACAAATATATGATTTAGAAGTGTCCTCTGGAATATAAAAGATTTGACAGTGAATTAGTATGTTTTCATGGTTAAAGGTTAAGTGTTTTAAAATGAACAGAAAATTTATATATTATAGTTTTATAGTTTACATTAGTTTTAAATTTATTTTTGTTCTCTGTTGTATGAATGGCAGTCACATTATTTTATGGTGATGTATATTAGCTTGTCCATAAGGTAGAAAGAGTGTCAAGATGTCCTAATTCTGTTTCTCAGAAGTTTATAACAAAACTATAAAAATTTGTACTGTCCCTAAGCTTAGAAGCAATTTTTCTTTCTTAAAGCATTTTTTAAAGTAAAGATTTGCCAAGCTTAGGATTACATTACTATAGGCTCATACATAGAAGCAACATTAAGCTATAAAGACAGGATATAAAAGATGAGATCTCTGAAAACATTCCTGATAATAGTATGCCCCATTAATGGGCTATGCTTTCCCCAAGGTGATTCATGAAAAATACTTAAATAGCACCTGTGTATGCAATACATCCCTTGCTCTCTGCAGAGAGCAGTGGGCATTCTCACCTATGTAACTCTTCACATTCTTAGATCTTCTGAAATAAAATCTTGAGAATTTAGTGAGGCAGCTGATTCCCTCATGAAAAATCTCATGTGACTCTTAAATACTTTCTGGCTGCATATTTGTTTGCCCTCTAAACACTTTTTAAAAGCCTAGCACATGTAAAACAGCATGTAGCCAGAAACAAATTAGCAGCCTCCCCGCCCTGTCCTCAAGTAGTTCACACCTACCAAAGAAAAAACAACAACAACAAAATAACAAGCCATATAAACAGAGATATGAACAGCTCGTTTCAGGACAAACGAACTGAGAGCTTTAATGACATATTCCAAGCAAAATTACCCAGAAATTAAGATGAAGGACTGTTAAAACTGTTAGAAATATTAAAAAGCATGAAGCTTAAGAGGCATTTCAGCTGCACTTCAATCAAATGGAGTGGGTTTTAATGGATGGGAAACTGGTATGAAGGTATTTGAGGCTCAGAGTACAGTCTGACAAAGTCGCCATTATGTAAAAATAAACGTTATGTTTGAGGAATGGAAAGCTTGAAATTGTGATATTGGGAGAGATGCAAGAAGTGGCTGGATGTATCGGTAGTGGCTAGACTGTAGTGTTTTTACATACACAGCTATGGTGGTGTTCAAAGTGAAAATGAAGCCATTTATATATATGTTTTTAAAAAGATTATGGCAAAGGGTGGGGCGGAAGTAGGGAAGATATGTACAGAGAGAAATGATAAACTAAGAGCGTTCAGGTCCATGAGTGCAGAAATGTGTGGTTTCTAGCCTATTGTATCTGTAGTGCCTGGAACACTTGTCCTTCATGGATTCTGTTATTCTCTGTTAAATGCTGACTAAATAAATGTCTTCCAGTGAAAATCAATACATTTCTACATTTGCAACTTTTTCCTTTATAAAACTGACTTTAAAACCCTTCATACAAAGGATGAAAAGAGCTTGTGTGTTTTTTGTCACAGCAGTGCACATATGCACACATACGCACACACACGCACACACAAACTCTCTCTCAGTGTATGCTTGAAATGAAACCTCAGATCCTGCTTCTGAAATTTATGCTTCAATTAACATGGGGGCAGCTGCTACCCTACTTTATTTCCCTTTTGAGACTTTTTTCTCTCTGGCTTTATCCTTCCCTTCATCATTTTATCATCACATCAATCACTGTGTTTCCTCCTCGAGAACACGGCATGCACTGCAGGCACATTTTTATGGCTAGAAAGCAAACCTAGCTTACTTGGCACATACTGCTCACAAAAACCTAATTAAGTAATTCTGCTGAATGTATCATGTCCTTTCCATTACAGTGCATGTGTGGTGAAAATAATAGGGGATATTTTAAGGATATAGAAAATAACTGGAGGAAGGAGCCTAAAGAAGACACAAAACACACAAAAAAGTGAACGTCAGTTCAGCTTTATTTGATATAATCCTCTAATGAGCTGGAGCACATTAACACCTCTGGTAGAAGAATCTCCTAACTCAGAGCATCATTTTCTCTTCAGTTATTTTATTGAAAATTACCATTGTTGTACGGCTCCGTAGTAGTACATCAGAGTCAGTATTTTTTGTATGATTGAGTCATGTATTTTCAGAGAAGTTCTCTTATGTTCTGAAAATAATCTAAGAACTTGTTTCTAAATGTGCAGACTTGGGGAAGTGTGATATTTTTCACTAAACTGTAATGTGCTTGAGGTCAGGGCCTTTGTCTTTCTTCCTTAAGACTTAACCCCAGAGCCCCATACATACTCAGGTCTGGTAACTGACTGAATGAATGAATATCTAAACCTGTGCTAACATCACACTTCTATATATTTTTTTAACTTTTAAGTTCAGGGGTACAAGTGCAGGTTTGTTACACAGGTAAACTTGTGTCATGGGGGCTGTTGTACAGATTATTTAATCGTCCAGGTGTTAAGTCTAGTACCAATTAGTTGTTTTTCCTGATCCTCTCCCTCCTCCCACCCTCTACCTTCTGAAAGGCCCCATTATGTGTTGTTTCCCTCTATGTGACCATTTGTTCTCATTATTTAGCTCCCACTTATAAGTGAGAACATGAGGTGTTTGGTTTTCTATTCCTGTGTTAGTTTGCTAAGGATAATGGACTCCAGCTTCATCCATGTCCCTGCAAAGAACATGATGTCATCCTTTTTTATGGCTCCATAGTATTCCGTGGTATATACGTACTACATTTTCTTTACTCAGTCTATCATTGATGGACATTTAGATTGATTCCATGTGTTTGCTATTGGGAATAGTGCTGCAAGGAACATATGTGTGCATGTGTCTTTATAATAGAATGATTTATATTCCTTTAGGTGTATACCCAGTAATGGGATTGCTGGGTTGAATGGTATTTCTGTCTTTAAGTCTTTGAGAAATTTCCATACTGTCTTCCACAACGGCTGAACGAATTTAAACTTCCTCTAATAGTGTATAAGCATTCCTTTTTCTCCACAACCTTGCCAGCATCTGTTATTTTTTGACTTTTTAATAGTAGCCATTCTGACTGGTCACACTTCTATATTTTTAGCAGTAGGAAGCATATCTCTCTCTTGTTGGTCAGACCAGTTGGTAATTAGTTCATTCTGTCCATTGTCAGATAATGCTACTTTATCCTCTCATGGTTAACTAAAGTGCCGTTATTTAGTAATAGATATTTTGACATCACAGAGTGACATATAATCATGCCCTTGTAGTACATAATAGCATAGAGGATTTAATCTGAAATAAAGGGACAAGAAAAAGCATTTATTAGGTATCATGTTGCCTTTATGGATAAAGTATGGACTCTTCCACGAGCTTTCACAAACTTTGAATTTTTACTTAATAAGGTCTACATGTTGTGAAAGTCTCATATATTGGGAGAAAGAAGTAGGGCTTGCCATTTTCTGGCTGTTGGGTATGTACTACTGGGTAGAATTTATTAGAATGCTGCCATCCCAGCAAGCTACCCTTTTCTTGTTTGAGGAGGCAATCTATAAGAAGTCGTGATTGACCTATAAACTATCAAGTTTATCTGACTTTAAGTAAGGCCTGGGTTTGAATCATAGCTCTGACACTAATTAATGATCTTGGGCAGCAGGGTGCAGTGGCTCACGCCTGTAATCCCAGCACTTTGGGAGGCCGAGGCAGGCAGATCACGAGGTCAGGAGATCGAGACCATCCTGGCTAACACGGTGAAACCCCGTCTCTACTAAAAATACAAAAAATTAGCCAGGCATGGTGGTGGGTGCCTGTAGTCCCAGCTGCTGGGGAGGCTGAGGCAGGAGAATGGCATGAACCCGGGAGGCGGACCTTGCAGTGAGCTGAGATCACGCCACTGCACTCCAGCCTGGGAGACAGAGTGAGACTCAGTCTCAAAAAAAAAAAAAAAAAAAAAAAAATGATCTTGGGCAACGTGTCCTCTCAGAGTTTGATTTCCAATCAGTAATATGGAGATATTGGTAGTGACCCAATGGGACAATTGTAAGCATTAAATGAGATCATTGATATAAAATACTCAGACAAGTATCTGATACATTATATATAAGTTACTGTGATGATGATGATGATGATAACGATGATAATGATGTGAAGTCTATATATACAGCAGGTCTACCTAGAAGTTCATTTGTTTAAAGCCAAATGTCACAATATTTTGACCTTGGTCTCCAGAGGTAAGTGAGATAATCCAAGGCCAGTGCTTAGCACAATGCCTGACACCTCATAAACACTCAATAAGTGTTTTGTTGTGGTAGTGGTTACTATTATTTGCTTTTATAAACATTGTTCTTCTTCAGGCTCTTTGAAGATATCTTTGTCTAGTGCATTTCTATCAACAATTTCCATCTTACAGTAGTGGCAGTTCTATGAGTTATGGTCAGGTTTTGACTTTGAGGTAATACTCTCCTTAATAATCTAATATATAGTTCATATCATATTGGTGCCTTGAGGTAAACAGCATTTTCTTTACAGCCATAGATTACCAGAATGGTTTTTCTATCAAATAATAGTCTTTTGGATCATAAAATGCATTAAAAGCAACTAAATGAAATGTTAACATATATCTTTACAGTAGCAAACAAATAATCCTTCTCTGTTGACATAATTCTCTAATTTGAGATACTACCTTGAAGTACACTCATAGAAACGGTCTTTGGGAATCCCTGACATTAATCTAGCCGTATCTATAATTATGCCTTTAACCTTTTTTTATTACATGTATTTTATTAAAAAGACTGTCATTAATTTTGAAAGAAAAGTTAGAATTAAAACTGTATTTAACATGATAAAATAATACTTATGAAATAACTGACAGCATTCATCTACAACATGCCATCTAAAACCATATTAGGAGAAGAAATGGGATAAACACAGACAATCCCAAGAGTTTCTAGCTAATGCTTTGTAAACTATTGGTTTTGGGTTGGTCCAGTCTTCTCAGTGAGTGCAGAATCTACATCACAAGATCAATCTAATCTGAGGTGTAAAGAAAGAGAGTGTAAATGGGAAAACTACAGTGGGAGGAAGTGAGTTCACCCAACATCAGCAAAGTCGGCATCTGAAACAAAGGAGGACTGGAAAGCTGCTCATCTTCTCTCAGCAGCTCACTTTTCCCCTCAGTGAGGTGCAGAGGAAGCAGACATTGGAAGGGAAAGAGATTCAGGGATGTACTGCAGTTGGGAAAGTAGCACTGTTACAGTAGACTATGGAGTTGATTGAAAGCCAAGCAGAGTCATGCCAGAGGCTAACGATTTGATAAAATATTTGCAAGAGGTTTGAACTGAGTGGCTAGGAAATCCCTGAGTGAGCAAATGGAACATTGTATTATAAATAATATACTCATTCTAAGGATAAAGTTTAGCATGAAATTAACATACTGCTGAAGACAGACAATCTTCATAAAGTCTCTTCTTCAGAAATAGGTAAGGAAAAGTAACCAGTACCTGAATATATCATGTATCTTTCTATTAAATCTAACATGACAATAGCAATAAAATAATAATAATAATAACTACCCTAAATTAAATAACAGCCTTAATACAGGTATTTTATACAAAGGTATGTGTACTCTGAAATGTAGACATGGTTGTAAATATGTTCAAGATGAAGAAGCTGAGACATAGAAAGGAATGTAATTTACTAAGCTCACACAGCTAATACATGTGTGAGTTTTTCTCCCAAAGTATCCTCTTTTTGAAATCTGTGAGTTTTCATAATATTAACCTGGTTTTCATTTTCTAAAATTAATAATCCAATCCCTATGCCATTATACATGTGTGCTATTTGCTCTACTATAAAATACATTTCTATGATATTGTATAATTTACTTTTTGTTCTGTGTGTATATTTTGCCTTTCCATGAATTTGAAAGCAGCTTAGGACTTAAAATCCTTAGTATTTCTTTTTATGGAAGCCCCATTGCTACTAGTGATATTACAGGCCTGATTCTAAACAAGTGTTTGCTGATGATAATGTCAACAATCATCTGGTTTTCCTTTTCATCAAAGAACAAAACACCTATGGACACACTTCGTGTATAATTCTTGGCATAATTTTGTACGTAAATGTATATACCCATTACTTATTGAAGAATTACCTAAAGGGCCAAGTTAAAAGTTATTTGAATAATACTTTAGTGTTCATCTAAATAGGATTTTTCTTTCTCTAAGTACCAGAGTGATTGAATGGATTGTTTTCTAGCGTGTGTTCTGTGGACCACTGGTCTGGAGGTATGTGTTCCATCTACAAAGGGCTTTGTAGCCAAATACATTTTGCAAGTATGTTAATTTATGATAAGGACTGTTCCTGAGTATGGACTGAAACAGAAAGAGTTTAGGTTTACCTGCCACAGGGGCTTACTCCTTTCTTGAATAATTAGTACATTCTGTCAGTTACTGGGACTTACAGTACAAATATTGGAAATGATATATATTGCTATGGATATAGAAGAACTAAAAGTAAATTCTTTGCATATAAATTTTTAGAGCTGGTTACTAGCAAATCTGAAGCACTGAAAGAGACATCAAATAATTTCCTAGCCAAGAATTCCGACTTGTAGAATTTCTCAAACCCATACCTCCTAGAAAGTCTCCCACCCGATTCCTGAACATCTCCAGGGCATAGTTGATGCAAAATTGATTATCAACTCTGATTTGATGTAAGCCAAAAGAGCACAGTTATTATAGCCTAGTACAGGGTCTAAGATAACTTATGATACTTTTTATTTGAAAAATAATATTTTCTCCTGGCATGAACTTGCAGCAGAATGAAAACATACTTCACTAGCAGAAAGGGCAGTGTTTTCTACATCTGATCTTTCATCAAATAGAATTCTTAAACCAGAACCTTCTGAAATACATGATTTGGAGGACTTCCAAAAAAAAAAAAACTATCCTGAAAGAGATGGTAAACTACAGTTTGATCTCATTTGTCCTAAATTCTGCACATCATTCACTCATTACTTATCATTGTCTCACCATTACTTATCATTGTCTCACCCTCACTTATCATTGTATCAGTGTCTCACACTTATCATTGGGACACCCTTGTGAGCTGTGTCCCATAACTCATTCTAGTCAACATGATGCATTTAATATTGAAAGATTTGTATCCTGGAAATAACTTGACTATTTTAAACTTTGGTCTCTAATGAATCAGAACGTAATTGCATTTAGTATCTTTCTACTTCCCAAGTCTAATCAAATTCCACCCAGGTAAGTCTGCATCTGGCCTCTACATCTGGCATGCTTTGTGAGATTTATTCAGGGGCATAATTTAAGGAACTCCGTGACTGGACATTGAAGTTCCCCCAATGTTTGTGTTATAAAGATCAATAGCAGATTCAGCTTGCCTTTACCATGTGGAATATTGTTTCCTGTTTGGAAACAGGTACAGGTTCAAGCAAGCATTTCCACATGCAGAAATCCGGTCACTAGTTTTAGAATATACTAAGAAGGCATTTGCAGCTTTAGTCTAGAAACAAGTCTGTCACAAATCAGAATCACATAATGCCAGATTCTATAGAAGTGGATGTAAACTATCTGCCAGATTAGCCTTAGGACAGTGTGATTCAATCAGTAACATAGTGTATTTGTGATATCACCTATCCTTGTATGAGCTGCTATCCACATCTCTATTTCTCTTCCCCACTAGACTATATAAACATCTTAAGGTCAGGCACTGTTAATTTTTCCCCTTTACTGTAGCATTCTTCATTCCTAAAACAGTGACTGGCAAATGGTAGATGTTGATCATTCAGTTTTTTAAATGCCTAGTACCTAATAGTCCCGTTATATCCCCTTATATGTGTGTGTGTGTGTATATATATATATGTAAATTTTTTAATTGATAAAATAATGAATATGCATATGAATTTATTTCAATGGAAGTGGGTCTTAATAGTTAACTGGGGCATTTAATGGTTAAAAGAAAATGATATGCAACTTCTTTCTCCTCTTTATTACTTTAGAAATGAATTACACTGAAAATTCAAATTTGAATACTACATTAAAATATTGGAAGTAGTTTCTTTGCCAGTATTCCCAAATTACACATTTTATTAATTTTTAAAAAAATAAAGTTATCTTCCTGCTAGCAGAGAGCGACATTTACAGTGTGCTTTAGGGGTCTACACATTTCACCCTGTCTGTACATGCATCTGCATTCACCTTACCTTCTTTTCCAGTAACTCTCCCTGTGTTTAAAAAGAAATTAAAGCAGCTAATTTTCAAAGTTTGCATATCTGACCAGATGTTCTTATATTTGAAAGAAAGTTTTTTAAAAGACTGTTACAAATGATCATAATAAATATTAGATTGCTTCTGTTACTGTTCATAATGTGAAAACAAACAGGTGTTAGGGTTGTTGCTACATAAGAAAATAATCACTGGGCTTTAATATGCTAGTCTTAGTCAATTCGAAGTCTGACTACCCAGAGAAGCATCAGTTTGATAGAAAACTTTTTGCAGAAGACTAGGCACTGGATTGGTACATTGCACTTACGAAGCTTGCCTCATGCTGGGAGAGCAACTCAGTTCTTTCCTTATTCAGTCTATGGCACTATCACTGAAATGGGTAACAGTACCATGAGTACTTACTACTGGATCAACAGGACCTGTCTGAAATGCATAACCAACCATTCAGAGTATACTGATATCCACACAACTTCCAGATGTTTTACCTCTACCCCAAATCTTCTACACTGAGGAAGAGTAAAAGGACATTGTCTTAAATGGAACACACTAGGAAGTAGCTATACCTAAAGGAAATCACACAAAGATGATCTTCATATGATCCAATAACTTCATAGATATTTGAAATGTTAATAACTACTATTAGTTCCTAGTGTTTATTTGTAAGATCTTAAATTCACAAACTTCTCCCTAACATTCTTCAATTTCTTTTCATGTTTGTATTCCCATATTACCCTGAGTTTAGGTTTGTTATAATTTTTAAAGCAATAAATTGTACTTTTGAACATATTTAGCTCTCTTGTTGGACTGAGAGCTCCTTGTGGACTCTTATGTATCTTACTTACAATGTAATCCAGTGCCTAATAAAGTGTTGAACACTTATTAGCTCTCTCAAAAATTTTTGCTGAATTCATAAATGTAATTTTTCCGCACACTACTTTTGCATCATTTTCAAATGCCCATTCTTTGCCTTTCATCCACATCTTTAAATGATTCTGCAATTCCATCACTCCATTTAGCATTCTCTCAAAAAATCAGTCAGAAGATAGTTATAAATATCTGCCATCTTATAACACTGTGCTTTGTTTCTCAGGGCCTGCCATACTCCTTCGACTGTCCTAAGATAACTTACTTTCTAGGTGCAGAGACAAAATAAAAACACATAAAAGACTAAATTATAAAATGATGAAATAAATAACTAAAAGGAACACCATAAATTATATGAATATGGTGTATTCTAAAACTGTTTCTAAGCTAGATTCATTCTGGAGATCATATCTGGAAAAACTTTAGGCTCTTTGTGGGTGGGTGGGTGCCAGAGTTTACAGTTTTGAAGGGCTGGCATACCTCCTGGGAGAATACAATACAAACATACCTTGCAGATATTGAGGATTTGGTTCCAGACCACCCCAGTAAAGCAAGTCACATGAAATTTTTGGCTTCCTAGTGCATACAAAATTATATTTATACTATACTGTAGTTTATTAAGTGTACAGTAACATGATGTCTAAAAACAATGTACATATCTTAATTAAAAATAAGCTAAAGAATGCTAACCTTCATGTGATCCTTCAACAAATCACAATATTTTTGCTGGTGGGGGGTTTGCCTTGATGTGGATGGCTGCTGACTGATCAGAGTGATGAGATCAGAAGGTTGAAGTGGCTGTGGCAATTTTTAGAAATAAGAAAACAATTAACTTTGCCACATCAATTGATACTTCTTTTCATAAAAGATTTCTCTGTATCATGCAATGCTGTATGGTAGCATTTTACCCACAATAGAATTTCTTTCAGAATTGGAATCCATTCTCTCAAACATTGCTACTGCTTTATCAAATAAGTTTATTTAATATTCTAAATCTTCTGTTGTCATTTCACCAATGTTCACAGCATGTTCACCAAGAGTAGATTTTATCTCAAGAAACCATTTTCTTTGCTTATCCATAAGAAGCAACTTCTCATCCATTCAGGTTTGATCATGAGATTGTAGCAATTTAGTCACATCTTCAGGATCTACCTTTACTTCTAATTCTCTTGCTATTTCTACCTCATTTGTAGTTACTTTCTCTACCGAAGCCTGTAACCTTTCAAAGTCATCCATGAGAACTGGAATCAGCTTCTTCCAAACTCTTGTTAGGGTTGTTATTTTGACCTCTTCCTGTGAATAATGAATGTTCTTTATGACATCTAGAATGGTGAATCTTTTCCAGGAGGTTTTCAATTTACCTTGTTCATAACCATCAGAGGAATCACTATCTATGGAGCTATAGCCTTACAAAATATATTTCTTAAATAATAAAACCTAAAAGTCAAAACTACTCCTTGATTCATGGGCTGCAGAATGAATGTTGTGTTAATAGGCATGAAAACAACATTATTCTTGTAAATCTCTATCAGAGCTCTTGGATGACTATTTGACTTGCCACTGAACAGTAATATTTTGTAAGGAATCTTTCTTTCTGAGCAGTAGGTCTCAACAATGGGCTTAAAATAGTCTGTAAACCATGATGTAAATAGATATGCTGTCATCCAGGCTTTGTTGTTTTGTTCACAGAGGCAGAGTAGATTTAACATATTTCTTAAGGGCCCTAGGATTTTTGAAATGGTAAAGGAGCATTGGCTTCAACTTAAAGTCACCAGCTGCATTAGCCCCTAACAAGAGGATCAGCATGTCCTTTGAGGCTTTGTAGCCAGACATTCCTCTCTAGCTATGAAAATCCTAGATGGCACCTTCTTCCAAAATAAGGCCATTTCATCTAAATTGAAAATCTATTGTTTGGTGTAATTATCTCTGTCAATGATCTTAACTAGATCTTCTAAATAACTTGCTGCAGCCTCTACATTAGCCCTTGCTGCTTCATCTTGCACTTTTGTGTTATAGAGACAGCTTTTGTTAAGCTTCATGAGCCAGCCTCTGCTAGTGTTCAACTTTTTTTTCCTGCAGCTTTCTTACCTTGATAGAATTAAAGTGAGTCAGGGTCTTGCTCTGGATTAGGCTTTGGCTTAATGGAATCTTGTGTCTGGTTTGATCTTCTATCCAGACCACTACAATTTTCTCCATATCAACAATAAGTCTGTTTTGCTTTCTTACAATTTTTGGGTTCACTGGAGTAGCACTTTTAATTTTCTTCAAGAACTTTCATTTGCATTCACAACTTGGCTAACTGTTTGGTTAAGAGGCCCAGCTTTCAGCCCGTCTGGACTTTCCACATACCTTTCTCACTAAGCTCGATCATTTCTAGTTGTTTTTTTTTTTGTTTTTTTTTTTTGTTTTGTTTTGTTTTGTTTTTTGAGATGGAGTTTCACTCTTATTGCCCAGGCTGGAGTGCGTGGCACCATCTAGGCTAACTACAAACTCCAACCTCCACCTCCTGGGTTCAAGTGAGTCTCCTGCCTTAGCCTCCCAAGTAGCTGGGATTACAGGTGCCTGCCACCACACCCAGCTAATTTTTTGTGTGTGTTTTTAGTAGAGACAGGGTTTCACCATGTTGGCCAGGCTGGTCTCAAACTCCTGACCTCAGGTGACCTGCCCACCTCAGCCTCCCAGAGTGCTGGGATTACAGTCATGAGCTACTGCACCCGGCCCATTTCTAGTTTTTAATTTAAAGTGAGAGATGTGCAGTTCTTCATTTAATTTGAACAGTTAAAGGGCAGTATAGAGTTACTAATTGGCCTAATTTCAATATGATTGTGTCTCAGGGAATAGGGAGGCCCTAGGAGAGGGGGAAAGATAAGGAACTGCTAGTCAATGGAGCAGTCAGAACACATACATTTATCGGTTAAGTTTGCCTCCTATGTGGGTACGATTTGTGTCACCCCAAAACAATTATAATAGTAACATAATAAAGCATCGATCACAGATCACTGTTACAGATATATTAACAATGAAAATATTTGATATATTGCCAGAATTACCAAAGTAGGACACAGAGACACAATGCAAGGGCATACTGCTGGAAAAATGGCACCAATAAACTTGCTCAATACAGGGTTACCACTAACCTTCAATGTATAAAAATGCAGTATCACAAAGTGCAACAAAGCAAAGCAAAATAAAATGAAGTTTGAGTGTGTAAATGAGAGAACTGGTAGATAAACATGACCCAATAACTAAGCCTTGAACATTAGAGGGGATGAGCAGCTTGAATTTGCCCCCAACATGGCACCTCCTTTCACTACTGACTCATATCAGAATCTTAGGAAGAGAGAAGGAAATGTTACATAAAACTCTTTAATATTAATATTAACGAGATATCATCCATCTAAAAGGTATTAGACATAAAGAGTTTGTCTTTTAATATAAAAGAACAAAAAGGGATAGATGCATTTTATCCCCCTGTAGCTCAGGAATATTGCCCAGTTTTGGGAACTGGAGGGTGCAGTTAATCACTAGATAATATAATATGCGAGAAGTAGTTTCTGAAACAATCACAGATATTATGAAGAGGGAGAAGCATCCAGTGGATGTAACTGTACCTAACTGAAATATCAGTATTATCCAACAAAGACTTTTCCAACAGATGGAAGGGAGATCAGAAGAGTATGGTGGCAGACAGACATATTTTTTAGTCCATGCTGACTTTGTTGATACATCAGAATACCTGGAGCAAGACTCAGCAGGGCATGTTAGCAAGTGACAGGTTACATACCTAATAGATATTTCTAGGAAAATGAGGTAACTGAGACATGGAGTAATGAAGGAAAGTTTCTTAACTAGATTTAGATTAATAAGAATAGATGAGGGAAGGATGGTACTGAAAGATAAAGATGAGAGAAGACAAAGAAAAAAATATGTGTGGTCCATATGGGAGGCAACGTGTGCATAGCATTTTGACTGACTGTTGCTCTGTGTACATGAAGAGAGGATGGTGAGAAACTGGTTTAGAAATGAAGCCAGGCCAAAATTAAAGAAGCCTATAGCATCATCATCTCAGAAATCAAAACGTACAAGGCTCCTGATATGAAGATTTCAGAAATTCTTAGATAGTCAAATCCCCTTGACTCATAGCCAAGCAGTGGGTACTTTGCATATTTTATCTTTCATCTTCAAAAGCTCTCTGAGGTAAGTACTATTATGTTAATTTTGTATAAATCAAAATTAAAGCTCAGAGAGGTTAAGTAACTGACCCAAAGTGACATATTAAGGGTTGAGCCAGAACTCCAGATCAAATGATTGTGGTTTCACAGACCACTACTTTTCTAATTTTGCTCTACTTGATTCTCTGATCACAACAGGATCAGGTCAAGCTTGAATGTTCCCTTCATTGTTTTATTTCCTTGGGTAAAATAATTATGATTCCCTATTACATAAAGATAGAAAAAACATTAAAGGTCGATCTCTAACTTCTTGAAATTAGTTTCTTACATGATATTCACATTACCTGGTAGTTCTTGAACATGTTGACTTTGAATTTTCAACTTTGTTTTTTATAGTGCCTTAGGATAGTTTAACACTGCATATACTTAAGTGTTTTGCCTCACCATGTTAAGGCTGTAAGAGATAATATGCCTAGTTCTTTGACAGAAGACACCTTCTTGTGCTCTCAGTGACCTATAGGAGGAGTGTAAGAGTTAAGAGTGTTAAAAAGGTAGAAAGGATATAGGTTGTATAAAGGAGGATGAGGCCAGCAAAAGAAGTCTTTGAGTTGAAGACTGATGAGGCTGGGATTTAAAAGGCTGTGAAGAGGGTAGAGTGATTAGGTTTGACTTGGTATACTTAGAAAATAGACTTTAGGGCCGGGTGTGGTGGCTCACGCCTGTAATCCCAGCACTTTGGGAGGCCAAGGTAGGCGGATCATGAGGTCAGGAGGTCGAGACCATCCTGGCTAACACGGTAAAACCCCATCTCTACTAAAAAAAAAATACAAAAAATTAGCCAAGCGTGGTGGCGGGTGCCTGTAGTCCCAGCTACTCGGGAGGCTGAGGCAGGAGAATGGCGTGAACCCAGGAGACGGAGCTTGCAGTGAGCCAAGATAGCGCCACTGCACTCCAGCCTGGGCGACAGAGTGAGACTCTGTCCCAAAACAAAACAAAACAAAAATGGACTTTAGAGTAGACAAGACCAGCATTCTGAACTAGAAACAGACATGACTTAAGACGGAGGTGAAGATACTCATACTGACAGGAAATCAATAAAGGCTTACTCTACTGCTGAATGAGGAGGAACTTTCTAAATACTTGTGAGCACCTAACTTAATTAGTTTTAGAGATTGTGCTAAAGCTGCTTTGAATACATGTGAGAATAGCCAATGGCATAGCTACTTTTGTGATGACCCACCCTGAGAAAAGGTACCAGTAGTAACTGGGATATCTTGTTCCTGAAGTTGGTTGGAAGAAAGAAGCACCCTATCGTGTGGGGTGTTGGTAAAAGGAGTCATTTAGGAAAAAGCAAGCTATTCTGCTGCCACTTCTGACTTGTCTATGTGGAACTTATTTAGCCACACTTTATCTTATGAATCAGTTTGGTTTAGCAAGAATAGCCTACAAAGAAATAACATTCTACTGAAACTGTGTGTGAATTTGTCTTGGAGGGTTGAAATAATTGATAGATAAATCTAATTTTAAAAGGTAAATGAAAGAAAATCTTCAATTTTCACAGTTCAGATAGCATTATGCATGATGTAGTTTTCTCCTAATTTAAAATGAGGGGAATTTCCAAGTTATTTATGAATTCAGTGAGAAAATTAGAATATGCTATCAAATATATCTTGATGTCAGTTTAACCCAAACATTAGCCATGCATTTTAAATTTCCAGAAGCAAAAAAATATGTGCTCATAAGTGGACCTGGGTTACTTTTTTAAAATTACTATCAGAAATGGGTCTTGGAATAATAGAATAGAGGTTTGTATAAGGTATAGTGTTAAAAGAGAGGAGAGAATGATTAGGAATAAATTTGTCACCAGGAAACATTATTTTGATATGGTTAGAATTAGTTTTGTGTGCTTAGGTTACTGAGGTAATACAGTAGCAATTATTCAAAAAATATGTCCATAGATGTCATCATCTACAGTAAATATTAATTATAACTCCATTTTAGCTCTCAAATATATCCAATTCTCCCCATCTTCTCTTCTTCTGGTTGATATAATGGTCTCTTAAGTCTGTCCCTGCTCAGTCTGTGCCATTATATGTGGCTTTCTATCTGGAGGAAAGGGGAGTTCCTCTTTTGTCCATTGCTCTCTAGGCAGGGGAATATTGCTGTGTCTGGTAAATTTGCTATGGAAATTAGTTGTAGCCCTAGTATCTGGCCTTTGATAGACTGACATGTCTGAAGATTACAAGGTTTTCTTCAGATTTACTCTCTGAATAAAGATACCAGAATCACTCATTTAGGTACAGCTACTGCTAAGGGCTTAAGTCTTGGTTTTACTGTTTGTATTTCTTTTCTTCCCTGGATTTTATGGGACCATTAGTTGCCCAAAGTCGTAACAATCCCAATATCCTCTGATAGAAGCATTAATCAGATGAAATAGTAAGCAAACACAAAATGGATAAAAGTTGCATGGCAGAATTCAAGCTAGGGTTCTCCTTCCCCTGGTTGGTAGCTTGGAATTTTCTTTCACCAGTCCTCCATGACCTGCCACATAGCTTTCCTGGGCATTTTCGGACTTTGGGAATAATGCTCACTACTATTTGGTTACCAAAATACTAAGGGACCATTTTCCCTGAGTGAAAGCTTCCAGAGAGTTTCCGTGGCTTTCTTTTTGAAGTATCAGTAAATTTTAGCTCTATTCCATTTGTCTTTACAGAAGGACCACTTTGCTTTTGCCATTGGCAGGATTTGGTGGATACTACAGCCATAAAACCAGTGTAAATAGGACAATAAGTAACTTTATTTATTGAGGCTGCATTCAATAACAAGATAACTCTTGGGTATAAAATAAAGAATCTCTTCTAAGGAACAAGGGGCCGTGTGGTCAGCTTATACAATACGCAAGAAATAATTATGTTGGATATGAGGAACTATGTGGTTTTCTTTTTAAAAACAAATCAGCCCACAGATATTTATTGAAAACCTATGGGAGAAGCATTGTCCTAAGTATATATGGAGCTTACATTCTAATAGAGGGAACTAAAAAATACATAAGGTCAAAAGGTAATAATTTAAGTGACTCAAAATGAGCTGGGAGCTTTATTCAGCTGATGTGCACTGGGAGCACCTGAAGACTGGGTAACTCTCCAAGTTAAAGCAGGGGTGGGATTTTATAGGGTGAGGAGAAGATGGGGGTACCTGTCCTTGGAGATTGGTTCAGTTAGTAATTTTCCTCATTGGCTGCTGTAAAACTTGCTGGTGGTGAGGTAGGAGATTGTTTTTGTTGTTAGTCCTCTGCTCATGATTACTGGGCCAATACCACTGCAATGACTGTCAGAACAATTCTTGTGAAAGTTGTTTTTATAAGCCTTGTAGTTTGTTGAAGTTGAGGTTCAAGGGCAGAAGTAGGGAGAAAAAGAATAAAGGGAATTAAAAAAGGAAGAAAGGCAATATTAAAGGCAATTTTGTTTGTTTAACACAATCTATTCAAATAAAATATCTAATGATTTGTAAATTGAGTTAACAAAGTAATTTCAGGGAAACATGGAAGAGAGTCTTTAGGGAGGTATCTTTCAGGAGGCGATATTCAAGTTGAAACCTGACTGTTGAGAAGGAGAAAGCCATGTGACGATATGGGAGATTTAGCAGCTGCAAATGCTCTGAAGCAGGAATAAGCTCAGCATGTTCAAGGAGAAGAAGGAACAAGAGAAAGAGACATGTGAGACAAAGGTTCAGCTAGAGTTCATAGGCTGTGCTTTGATACTTGATTTTATGCTAAGTGCAAAGGGAGGCCCCTGAAGTATTTTTGGCGTAAGAGGAACACGATCTGTTCTCCCTGTTGTCAGGGTTCCTCTGGCTGCTATGTGGAGTGTGGACAGCATGGGGTCAGTAGGCAAAGGGGAGAGAACAGTTAGAAGGTTACTAAAATAGCCCATATTAAAGATGGGGGTAGCTTGTATTAAGGCTGCAGCCATGAAAATGGTGAGTGGATGACATGGGGAAGAAGTAAGGATGCAGGAAAGGTCTTAGTTGACTGGAATTGTTTTAAGCTGGCATCAGCCCTTGCTGCTTGGCAAGCATTTACAACAGATTCCGATGAGGTGTTTTGGAGACATGGTATTCAAACCTCAATGTGCTTAGAAATCACTTGGGCATTCTGTTACAGTGCAGATTCTAATTCAGAAGGCCTGAGATAAGGACTGTTTTTCTATTTTCTAACAAATTCCTAGGTCACAGAAATGATGCTAACCAAACTGTACACTTTGAGTAAGAAAGCTTTGGAGGCTATTTTTGGAGATGTCTTTGTCCTTTCTAATTCCCTCAAATACTTAAGGCATCGCAGTGGGTACAGCCACGTTTGACTTCCTTCTTCACCATTCAGAATACCACATGAAGGCTTTTCCTTGGTCTATTTATTGGCCCAGTGGAAACCATTGTCATCTTAGAAGGCTGATTCTTGGTAGATTTCCAATTCAGATTTGAAAATGGTAGAAGCTACTTAAATCACTTTATGTCCAGGTGTCTTTAGTTTAATATTTTGAAGTTATTCTATCATGTGCCATTTACAAATTCTATGTTATTTCTGAGAAAGAGTAATGCTTGTTACATGGAAAATGCTTAGTTTTTTTACTTCTTAATTATTTACAAAGCTCTGTATGTTTTCACTGGGCATCCTTTAGATTGTGTAGTAGAGACAGTGAAAATATTTGTCCTCTGTAAATATGGAAGTCTTTCTAAATTATGTTAACTAATTTAAAGCTAATGTCTTAGTGGGAAAAAGTCATTTATAAGTGAATATATGTAAAGGTAGTAATTTGACTAAAACATTGCCTATACAAATTAGAAACAATAAAACAATTATTTTCTACACTGTGATTAAATTACAAAGTTCTAAGTTTTTTGTGTTTTTTTTTTTTACTTTTTTCTTATAAATACAGAGCAAGGGGGAAATAACTCTAGATCAAGAGGACTATGTTCTTGAATTCCAAGAACATCACAGGAATGTATGGGTTGCTTAATAACTGATGATAGGAAAGAATGCTCATGCTTCTGATGATCCTATATTACTATTTTCCTTTATTGTTAGGAAAGTATTTTAAGAGTAATAGGCTGAAGATGTTAATAGACATAGGCTCTGCTCAGCCACCCACTGTTTGAGTAAACTTTGGCAAATGATTTAGTCTCTCTGAATCTCAAGTCCTCATCTGTAGAGTCTGGATTATAGAAGAAACTCATGAGTTTTGTAACACTTAAACAGGATATGCCTGTAAATTGTAAGCATGATGTTTGGTACACAGTAAGCTTTCAATAGATATTAGATATTAATATTAGTAGTATGATTACTAATTACTATTTTCCCAACAAGCACAAATTCGATTCAGGAAGAACTAGTTGGCAGAGCCTTCAAAACATATTCAGTCGTGATCTGCAGCTCATATACCAGCTGCTAATTTGCTTGTTTATTTCATTTGATTTTCCTTAGCTGCACATAAGGGAGGTGGCTGGTAGGAGCTTAATTTATTTGTTCCTTATTTTGAAAATGTGGGTTTTGGCTCTCACACTATTTTGAGGCATGGCCTGGTGGTCGCATTGGGGATATGCATACTTTAGGGAGGTGGGAAGACAGTATAGCTCTCCTGGTGGCTTTAGTGTCTTTCTTTCCCCGGGTGGTCATCATAGGTGCTAGATTGCTAGTGCTGCCAGCCAAAGGCCTCCTCCCACTGATCTGGAAACACATGAAAAGAGCCATGACTCATGGGCTACAAGTTTTTCAACTGCTTGATACAAGCACTGATAGGCTCAGCTCCCATATTTCTATCACCCCACAGGCTGACTGAAGGGGAAAGGGCTCTTTGGTATTCAAATAAAATGCTTCCCGACAATAATTGAGAACAACTGAGAGATACCGTAAAGAGGGTAGGACATTGTTTCTGTCACTTTGCCGAACTCAGTGAAAAGGATGATCTGGGGTAGTGCCAGGGTATCTTCAGAACCTTAAAGGTATGGCATTTGAAGTAATTTCAGATTTTTATTTACAAACTATCTGAGAATCCCTGCTTTCCTGCCTGGATTTTATCCATTGCACCTTGCACATTTCTCTAGTGGCACTTAACTCATTGCATTATTATTTGTTGTGGTTGCTGTTATTGACCTTCCTGTCTTCTGTGGACTATGTGCTCTGTGAGGGCAAGTCCTCTACCTTTGTCATCTTTAGATCTCCAGCCCTGAGTTCAGTGCCTGTTAGACAATCAGTACTTAAGTAGCAATTGTTGGCTACATGAATGCATAGACTCATGAATGGTTGGATGAATGGATGAATGGCTACGCTGATGAAATTGGGGAAAAGGAAATAATCTAGCAAAGTCTTTTGTGGTGGATGTGGGAATACTTTTTGATTAGCAGAGAACATTTGGTGGGGGAAATTATTGATTCAAAAGCCATTCCTGAAGTTTAGAAAAGTTTGCCTTGCTGTGAAACTTAAGGTCATAGTATAAAGCTTGAGAAATGCTACTCTGTCCATAAAACCTCTGAGTAATTTTAGGGAGAATTTAGAATGAAAGAAGAAAGTGTCCTCAAAAGTAGAAATGGAAATTTGTGTTATCGTTTATAATGTGACATTTAAGTGAAAATTAAAACAGATTTAGTTTATATAAAGATGAGATGTATTCAATCTATAGGAAATTTATATAGACAGAAAACTTAATGTTCCCTTTAGAAAAATGACAGAAGTTCATTTAGGCACTCACTGAAATCATATTTATTGAAGACCTATTTTGTACTGGAAACAATGGACCTAGAGATGAATCAATCCATATCTCAGTCCTCTGGGACCTATCAGTTAAATCAAGAGGCAGATGTGTATATAAGTAATTACAGTAGTAGGAAAATAGAGGTATAATTAAGACATTATGGAAACACAAGAAATGGACATGTTTAACTCTGCTCACAAAAATCTAGAAAAAGGGAGAAGGTGATAGTTCTGAACTGGAACTTGAAGGATGTGTAAGAGTTTGCTATAAGAGGAGAGAAAAAGAGGTTATGCATGTGCAGAGAGGGAGTCCAGGAAGAACAGCATGCATTCTGAGAAATGTGAATTCTTCAGTATGACCACTGCCAAAGTGAGTAGATGAGATTAGAAAGGCCAGCAGAGAAAAATCTCTCAAGACTTGTATACCAAACTGTGGATTTAAAAAATTTATTCCTCCATTTAGATGACACTCAACTGAAGAATAAAGTAATCTACTAATTGCTTTTCCAAATACTGCGGTGTACTGTCTAATAAAGACATTGTGTTGTCTACAGCATGTTCTAGTTTAATAGACAGAAAAATATTTATTCAGTGGTTATGTAGTCCTGACCTCATGTACTTTTAATTCTTTTGGTAAAGGCAATTGATGAAAAGCATAATAATGTGATTTAATTTTATACTCATGTAATTTGATATAAATCATTTTACAAATCAGAAAAACATACAGGAAAAATTATCACTGTAGTTTTAGAAATTGTCTTATACTCAAATGGACTCATTGACAGGGTCAAGAATAAAATGTAAGACCTCTAGTTTCCTACCAATTGACTTTCTTATGAGACCACCTGAATCAATAAATGCAATTACCTGAAAACCTGGATGGTGGTGTTTTATCTTCTTTGTTGTGTCATGGAAACTCTGTTCTAGGTTCACCAGGTTCTTCTGCATGACCCTGAGTGTCTGCCTTATAAGCTTTTCTATTCCTTACTTCAGATACCATCACAGACTGTGGTACTCTTCTAATCTAGTTCAAAATTGCATCTATCTTTAGCCAAAGAATTTGTTAACCAGACATCATCCTCTCAAAGATTAGTTTACCCAGATTCATCAGCGCATTAGAGGAATGGCTACAGAAAATCAAGAGCACATCTTCAAAAGCTACCTAGTTTTATTTGATATTTGCCTGACCTACATTTTTAAAGTGCCTATATGCAAAGAATTATGTGTTTGTGTGTGTGGCTGTGTGGATGTATGTATGCACAAATAACTCTGATATTGACCTTTAAATAGTGGATACTATGTTGTAAGGCATTATTCTGAGTACTTTCTCATAATAGAAACTAATTTAATCCTTGTCTATGAATCGATACCAATTAAAATCCCCATTTTATCGATGAGAAAACTAAGGCTCCGAGAGATTAATATGTAGCTTTCTCATGTCCTGAGCCAAGAAATGGAGGAGCCAAGAATTGAACTTGGTTGATTTGAGTCTGGAGCTCCTGCTGTTAGATGCTGTGCTAGGCTCCATGCCCTGGAAGGAAACTGGGACCTCCAGGAGTAGGGGATCATGTAGCCATATAGGAACTACTCTAGAAATTTGGCGTACGAAGAAAGTCCATTTGTGGTGTTCATGAAGGGTTCATAAAAGAGGAAACATTGAGTTGAAGCTGGGCTCAGGATTGGTGGGATTTTGTCAGGTGAAGATTAAGGTGACATGCAGGCTACAGATTGGTAGCAGCAAAGGCACCGAAGTGGAAAACCACAGAATGATGTGTAGAGGGCAATACATGTCAGGAACGAGGTGGAAAGTGAATATGAAAGTACAGGAGGAATGTTACTAGACGGGTAGCTGTAGCAAATTCCAGAGAAAACTACAACCCAGATAAAATAGTTTGAAATTCATTCTGGGTGTGAATGTTTGTGATTAGAAGTTTATTTTATTGCGTTTTGTTTTGCCCTAAGCAAAGGAATAAGTGAGGAAAGTTGAATTTGGCAGCTATGTGTAAGATAATTAAATAAAGACTGGAAAAGATTTCAGAGGTGAATGACAGAAAAAAAAATGGTGGTATTGTAATGGATTTAAACACTTTAACAAGAACAACAACAACAACACAAAATGAGAGACATTGTTCTGGAGTATTTTAATCCTGAAATAATCACACAATCTCAAAACTGCATTGCTATAGCAGGAAAGACATAGTTACAAAGGTAACGTTTTCTTGCTCATCCTCCTCGGCCTACACAAACAGGGCATTATTGCACTGTCTGGAAACATGGAAGAAGAATTCATTCTTTAGTTTCTCCCTGCACCCTGGAACCATGAGTAACAAAGTTCTTTAACTTTTCCTCTGTACTTTGGTGACAGGTTTGCCCAAGATAGATGTACAGCGGGGCACAGCTAGTGTATTATGTTCAGATGTCCACGATTGTCCTGTGATGTGGAATAATGATGTACATGCTACCTTGACATGGGCATTAATACTGGTCATAGCTTACTCAGGGCACAAGGGACCAGGAGTGGCTGAAATGGGAGAAGATTCGCCAGCAGTAACAAACATTCTTACCTAAGTCTCTGTATTTTCTGAAGAGGCACAGAGCAAGAATATTAACCCAATTTAGGTTTTGCCTTTCTGGTTTAACTGCCTCTGCATTAGGATGTCCAAATATCAAGGATGGCATTCGATATTAGGAAAAAAATGAGATAATCCACAGGTAACCAAAGAGATAACCAAAGAGAAGAACTCTGAGACAGAAAAGAAAGAAGGCAAATTCTTCTCTTGTCAATTTTCTGTTAACTGATTTGAAATTGTAGGGTGTCTAAGCAAATGTATGCTTTCTAGGAAATGGAATTTGGAGAGAGAAATCTGGGAAATTCTGGGTTTGCCCTGGAAACAGAGAGCAGGATTTAAGTGGCCTTTGTCCATTAGAGGGTCACAATTAGTTGCATCAGAGAAGATGGCAGAAAAGCTCACTTGAAAATTGTAACTTTCTTATAAGAATCCTCTGAGTGAAGTTCTTTCTTTGTGAAACATTATACTATTCAAGTAATGTGCTACATTTGGATGACAACTTCCTTACAATATCCCAAAGTAAATGGACCTCTGGGGGTACTTCATCAAATGGGGATCTTTTGGGTTATCTTTGTGTCTCATTTCACTAAAGAGAAAGCTTTAGCAAGGTAGAACTTCGGAAGCATCTTGAAATGATGCATAGTGAGTATATTAAAGAAAAGGCATACTTAGTTTAAATGTTTTTAGATAACATCCATTTTAAAAACTAATATTAAATCATTCAAATCATTCCGTGATGAAAAAATTACTAGGTGTTTCTGTATCTTCAGACTCCATCCTTATCATCTCAGATTCTGGTCCCCACTTTGAATGTGTCTCTTTGAATGTGACAGGGTATAAGGAGCAGGCATGTTTATGTTTATGAGCCTTTAAACCTAACCAAAGCATACAGCAAGTCAGGTCAGGTGCTTTCAGAAAGGTGGTAATAAGACCTCTACTTTTGTTTGGGCCCATTTATGTCATTTTCTTTTGCCATTTTTAAAACATTGTGTTAGAAATAAATTTAAACATACAGAAAAGTTTCAAGAATAGTACAAAGAATTCCTGTATCCCCTTTATCCAGAATCACCAGTTTGTAACATTTTATCATATTTGCTTTAAATTTCTCAAGTTAGAACATCTTTTTTCAGCTCCATTTGAGAAGTTGCATGTGTCATGCCCCTTTACTCTTTAATACTTTAATGTATATTTCCTAAAAGCAAAAATATCTTCTTACATAAATACAGTACATTTATTAAATTGTATCTATTCTACTTTTATCTAATCTACAATCCATTTTGAAATTTGTCCACTGTCCCTATCATATAATTTACAGCACAGGTACCAAATCTAGTTTAGAATCATGTATTACATTCACAGTATTAGAATTCTGACTAACAGGAGGGGCTATAGGAAGATAATTTCCAGACAACATTTAGAAAGGAGCTATGGGGGAGTCAGATTTATCCTTTTTATACTCAGAAGAGGTATCCCTGTGAGTGATGTGCCTTTTTATCCTCAGAAGAGGTGATGTATCCATCAGGGTTGTCCAGGGAAACAAAACCAGTAAGATATATGAGTGTGTGCGTGTGTGTGTGTGTGTGTTGTGTTGTTGTGTATATACACATATATGAAGATATTTGTTTTAAGGAATTAGCTCTTACAATTGTGGGGCTGGTAATTCAAAGCCTGTAGGGCAGCCTGGCAGGCTGGAAACTTTGCCAGGATTTGATATTGTCATCTTGAGTTTTAAATCTGTAGGTCAGGCCATCAGGCTGGAAACTTAGCAGGAGTTGATGCTGCAGCCTTGAGGCAGAATTTCTTCTTCTCTAGGAAACCTCAATTTTTGCTCTTAAGGCCTTCAGACTGATTAGACAAGTCCCACCCACATTGTGAGGGCACTCTTCTTAAAGTCAAGGACAGTAGTTGTTAACCACATATGTAAAATACCTTTACAATACCATTTAGACTAGTGTTTAAGTAATAACTAGCCTAGCCAATTTGACACATGAAACTATCACAGGAAGAGATTATCACTCACATTTTATAGATGAAGAGCTGTACCACTGTTCTTACTAAAGGTACTCAGTGTGTGTGGCCGAGCTAGAATACAAATCCAGTGTGTCCCATTCCCAAAACCCATGCTTTTCCATAGCATGCCCTGTTGCCTAACTTCAGTGTGAGATGATTCGGGAAGTGGTGAGTTTCCAGTCACCGATGACATGCAAACATGGGCTGAATGACTAGCTAACAGGAATATTTCAGAAATGACTCAAGCCTTGAATGAAATATTGTAATAGATGACTTTTACAGTTCAGTTTGCCTTTATGGATTTATATTAAGTTAAAAAATAATGCGTTTTAAAGCCATTGTATTTCTTTTATTAAGAGATAATATTTTTATGTACAGATACCTTTGTATTAAATTAGTACCCCTAATTAGAATAGACAGATCAATTGTACCCCCTTTTTTCCTGGAACCTACGTTATTTATGGTTTTACCATTTAAACCATTGTCACTATTTGGCAGTTCTGTTTAATAGAGGGCGTAGCGAAAAATATGAGACTTTATAGAAAAGCTGTGCTGTTCAAAATCAATCATAAATGACATCTATGTAAATATAAAGTTTAAATATCCAAATGAGCCATTTTAGCTTTATATTTTATTACAAAGATGATTTGATGGCTACAGATTTTTTCGTCTTTTTTTTTACTTCACAGCAGAACTGTAATGAGAGCTCGTGGTATATCTTGAAAACTATCCTCACTATTAGAAAGAGTTTCATCCATTGTAGGTCATTTTAAGTAACAAATAATAATCATAAAAGTAATATTCATTACCGTAGGAGACATACATATATAGACGCTTGCAATGTCAATCCAGTCATACTGAAAATGCCTATAAAAGAGTGATATCAACTTTGAATTTGAATTACTCCTTTTTAACCCATCTTAGCCAACTGATTAATCTGTTCATTAAGAATTGGGTACATTTCTAAAGCTAAATGCCACAGAGTAAGTTGAAGCTAATGCCAGGTTTCATTGCAAACCAGGGAAGATATTTTTAAGCAGCTGTGGTCACATGGCATTGCTTCAACCACACTACATACGTGGCTATGACTCCTCCATGCGGGGTGGCACATGAGAAAATGTTCTGTAAATACTTTTGAGAGAAATAAATGAGATTTTAACCTATCTCATATTTGGGGATAAACCCAATAATTAAATAGAAAGTGATATTATTTTAGGTCAGATAGGCAAATCTTGAGATAGGATGATAGGCAGAATTCCAGGATGGTCTCCAAAAGTCCTGCTTTCTCATGTACACGTCCTGCATAAACCTCTCTTCTTTAGTGTGAGTGGTACCTGTGAATATCATAGAATATTACAGCCATTATTTTGTTATGTGGTGTGGAAAGAGTGGAGTAATTGCACAGGTGTAATTAGGGTCTTTAATCAGTTGATTTTGAATTAATCAAAAGATGAATTAAAATCATTTGGCCTTAACTAACCAAATGAACCATTTCAAAGAGGATCTAGAGGAAAGAGACAAGAAGTTGCAGGAGACTCCTTCCTGTTGGCCTTTGAGAAGCAAATTGCCATGGTGTGGAGAGGGCCATCTGGCCAGGAATGGGTCTCGGTCCTCACAGTGGCAAGAAACTAAATTCTGCCAATAACCAGGAAGAGGACTGCAAGATAACAGGGGGTTGTACCTCTAGCCAACACCTTAATTTAAGCCTTAGGAGACGGGAACCCAGCTAGGCTATATGCTTAGACTCCTAACCCACAGGAACTGTGAAATAATAGGGAATAAATGTGTGTGTTGTAAGCTTCTAAGTTTAGAGTACAAACTTACTTGTTACACAGTCAATACAGTTAGTCTACCATTTGCTTTATCAAGGCTTAGTTGCTCTTACTCCCAGGAGATGTCTCTTACTGAAAATTGAAGTTCATGGCCTTCAATTTTGTGTTCTAAAGAAATAGAGAATAGTTGGAAAATCCCCTATATATAAGAACTTAGTAACTTATCCTTCAATTCTCTATACATCAAAAAATCTAGATTCTTTTAACATTCACATGTAAACTCTTAAGCTCTACATTGTTTTAAAATTTCTTCTTATATATTTTAATTTCTTACAATGTTTTCTTCTGAACGCAGTTCAGTTTTCTCACATATACTGTGTTAACTTAAACTGATTCAAAATCCAATAAAGAATTTACCACTGATAATAGAATAGAGGCATTAGTACTTGCCTTTCTATATCCTGTCTTTATATGTTATGTGTTGAAGAATACCCCACTAATCTGGCTTTTTTGTCCATTTGTTTCTTTCTTTCTATTTTAAAATACCAGCTGGAAATTGTTGATTCAAATTCAATTTGGATGTCCATTCTGACTCATTTCTCTTCTCTGTGTCATTGAAGCTATAATAGATCTTTTGTAATTTTTAACTCTGCAGTTTGTTTTGGAACCAATAGAACTACATAAGCATAGACAAAAAAAAAAGTAATATTCAGTAAGGACTAGTAGGTGTCAAGTACTTTGCTAAGTGATTTATAAGCATCGTCTTAATTATTTCTCATAACAACTCAAACAAGTAAGTACCATTACAACATCCATTTTAAGGAAAAAAGAAATTTAAAAAAAGCATGCACAAAAAGATTACATAACCCTAAAAGGAAGATTTTACATAGATCATGTGCAGGTGAATATTTTGTTTTCTAATCTGTACTTCGTGTATTAACACAAATTGACTTATTTAATATATAATTCAAACTGTCTTTTTAAAATCTGAGAGTGTTCATATTTCAATAGATGATGGAGGAAAGTAATTACGTGCCTTGTCCTTAGTCACCAGCAAGATGGTTGCCAAATTAGAAAATTAATTTATGACCTTTTAACACCAAGTCCAAAGTTTGTCCATTCATTTACAATATCTTATAACAAAACCCACTGTTATGACAGCTTAACATATGAAATTCTCAATTGCTTAGCAGATATTAATTTTCTATATTGCAGTCTATAATTACCTTCACTGGGCAATTGCATGGTTCTCTTCTTGAATAATATGTTGTCATCTTAAATTAAGGTGGATTTTTTTTCTCAAAGAATTATAGGAATGTACACCTCTGTCTCTAGGGGTATTTGTCACTTAGCAAGGAATAAAAGACAACTCTTTAGTTTCATTTTAAAGTTTCAAATCTAAAGGTATCTTATTAGGAGTATAGAAAGGACTACGTGCCAAATTTATTTTTTATTTGTTTGTTTTGAGATTTGACTATAGTGAGATTTTGTGCATAAAAGTCTCCTATGTAGCAAAGCAGTAGTGTTGGATCTCAACCCAAGGATAGATGGTAACAGTTCAAATATTGTTTTGAATACAATGGAAATGTCACGAGTGTCTTTAAAAACTTGTGATGTTACTATTCCTGGCTGAATTTAAGCATGGCTGCAAAAAGAGTAAGCTGGGATTTATCTTTGCCTAAAGATTTTAAAGTCCCTTCTAATTTAGATATTTTTTAATTCTCTAATTCTGCATCTTTACATAATATAGAGGACTTTCCTTGTTATGCTTATCATTTTAATAAAACATAATTCCTATTTTAAAATTACCATGTTATAGGGATTGAATTGTATAAAATTATTTTTTACATAATAATTTAATCTCATATAGTTCCAGAACTACACAGTAATTAAGCAGTAAAAAATAATGGCAATTAAGGAATAGTCAGTTTCAGGTTATCTAGATGTATGATTTACATGTATCCTACTTGTATCTTATACGGGTACATTAAATCTTTAAGCACACAGACCAAGATTTCTGATGGTGACACAAAGATTGTTGATGATGCCACAGCAGGTTACTAAATTCTGCTCAGATAGCATTCACGGAATGCTCGTATCACTGAATATCCAGTTGATTTATAAAACCCCAGCATCAACCACATTGCAGAGAAAGTGTCATATGAGACTAAAGGAAGAAGCTACCCTAAGGTAAGGCATTATTTATTTTCAGAGGTAAGAAACTCATTAGAGGTGAGAAACTCAAGAAATAAACTCATCTGTCTCAGAGCTGGTTTGATGTACAGGTATAGGTATAATTCTAGGTATAAAGCTTGCTACATACGTAGGACTCTCTGGTGCAAATTTGTTTGAATATGTGTTTCTACCACCAAGATCTAAACCTGTGTGCCTCTGTCAGGCCACACCCTGATGTGAGGGAATGTAACTACGAGTAATGACAAAGCATTTAAGAGTCTGTCTCACAAGACTGAATATTCATGTTAAACAGTGACTAAGGCACTGTTCTTAAAGTGGATCTAGGTATCTTAGGGAAGGATCCTAAGATATCTCTGAAGTTAGAATTAAAAGTTTGAAGTCAAAGCGACCATTACGAAACACATCAGAATAGAGTTTGGAGCAACATGGAACATAGAAAAGCTTTAGCAGGTGGTATAGAGAAGTTTTCAAGAGTGAAGCATTAGTTCTCTTGGCAGTTCAACCTAAAAGTTTCCCAAGTAAAAAAAAAAAAAAAAATTACAAGTCATCATTTGTCCACTTTGAGTAGTATAGTATCCTTTGTATATATGGTTATGCATAGGACAACTGACATATTTATTATTTGTTGGGGTTATCACGATATAATTTCTGAATTTATGGATCCTGAAGTTTTTTTCAAGTCAGGTCCATTCCATCTCAGTACAGATGAGCCCATTGCTCATTCTTGCTCTTATAGGCAAACAGGGTATCTTAAAAATGGGTTGTCCATGGGGCACAATATTGCTGACATCCTGAAAACAAAATTGTGGAATAAATAGTCTTCATTTTTGCCGGGTGGTCAATCTATGAGATGTTAGTTGCTGGTGCAAGAGGAGAGGCTCAACTGACCAAGGCTTTGGAAGTAGGAAAGGGAGGATCCTGCTCTAATCAGGGCTGGTGGCTGGTACAGAATGACTCCCCTATCCTTTGGCTTCCAGACCTTCAGATAATCTTTTCTTTAGTGTTCCTTTCTGAGTTTTTCTCTCACTAGTCTTTCCCTTCTTGATCAATTTCCTTTGGGCTTTCAGGATCAATTTATACTCTCCCCTACCAGTGTACCTCTACTGGTCTCCTTTTAACATGAGGAAATGCTCCTTCTCTGTTTCCTTTCATGACTCTCTCTCTCTTGCTCATTCTCTCTCCTCCCTGGGTCCCTTCATCTCTCTTCTTCCCTGTATTTCTTCCTCTTCCCTCAAAAACCTTCTTCCCTTCTGTTTCCTTCATAGACCTTGTATGGCTCACCAACTCAGACCCCAAGCTATCGGCAAGTAAAATCAACATCCCTTCTTTTGTACGACTGGGAGAAATTAATTGCCAAATCTCTCCAGGAGGTAAAGGAAACTATTTCCATGCCCTTCTTCCAGTACCTCCTAGAAAGAGAAGAAGAAAAAAACATTAGGTTTTCAATTAAAACACAATTCTACCATAGTCATACATTTTTATTTCATTTAAGCAGGTTAATTCTTATTTTATCCCTGGGTAAGTCCTAAATTTAGGCACCTCTGTGGTTCCTAAACCACCAAACAAAAGAGAAATTATGTACATTCTAACTGATAGACTGAGTCAGGACTCTGGTGTCAATACTGGGGAGATCAAATAAGCAACACTACTTACAGAATAGCACCAGAACCAAGCCTTTTCTTGTCAGGGTCTGCTATGCATCACACATGCAAACAGACTAATTCTGGAGAGGGTAAAATTTTTAAATTAGAGAATTAAAAAACCTCATATGCATCTTCTCAAAATATAAATAAAGTTGGTATGGGACCAATCCTCCTATGATTTTCTTGCCTTGAAACTTAATGTTTTTTTTTTTGACTTATGAAATATTCACTGCACCATTTGAAAAGTCAGAACCATGCTTGCCTAGGCTTTCAGGTTTCAGAAGAAAAAGCAATTCCTCTTGGATATGACTTATACACATTGTATAAACTTTGGTATGGTATATGGTTGGCAAGCCATAGAACTCACAGATAAGAAGGGTAAAAATAATATCCCAATGTCTGTAAAAGATGTTCCGTGTTGTAGTTCACAGCTTTCATTGAGCTGTGGAATTCAGATTTATTTCTAAACCTCTCTGTAAAGGCTCTCTGGTGAGATATCTGTTAATCACCAACAGACTGGGAAAAATTCTTTAAAAGGTATTTTTTAATGAGGCATACATAAGAAGCCCAAGTTGAGCATAATATTACAGGAAGAGCAGCATAATTCTAACAATCTTGTGGGGTGTGTGTGTGTTTTCAATAATTCAGGGTCCAGAAAAGTTTTTTTGCAGTGATCTTTTTATATGTTTATATTGACAATTAAGTGCATAATTTAATTTTATATGACTTGTATTTATTTTATTTCAGCAGCTCTACATTTATTCCTCAGACCTCACTCTTGGGAAAAATAAGAGAAGGGTCATAGGGGTAGTTTTCTCTTAGGATGGGAGAGAGAGATTTTTCTCCTCTCCTATGACCCTTAATTAAAAATATATTTTTCAGGAAGCATTTTTACTCCAGTGAACATATAAGTCCTATTCAATATTTTTATAGCCTTTGTATTTGTGAAGTGGTTTAAAATGAACCTGATTAGACACTTCTTTTGTCATCTAAGAAAAAATAAGCACTTGAAAGACAAACTGGACACCTCATCATTTATTAGCAAAGAGGTTAAACTGCCTGCTCAGGTTGGTCTTCCAAGTAAATAGAGGACAAAGAATAAAATTTGTCATTCTGTAGCTTCTAATATGTATTGCTTTGGTTGCTTACCTATGTGACTGCTTTTTATGCGTTAATCAACAACACCACAATTATTAGGAATGACAATTGCACATCAGTAATTCTCCAATATAAGTACATAAAAGGATTAATGTTACATGGGCTCTAGAATATACAGAAGAAAAGGTCACTAAATGATGTATTGGAACAACCATAACAGACCAACAAATTAAACCCAACAGGAGAGATCAGCATTTGTTGGATAAACCTAATAAAATCTTGTAGTTTATTGATGTTGTTCTTCTACTGGGCAGAAATAGCTCTAGGATAAGATAGAAAGGCAATAAATAAGCATGTGGATCAAAGAGTATTGCTGAAACGCAGGTGGAGATCAAGGTAGCTTCAAGTATAGCTGTAAGTACAAATTTTGAGATATCCATCATTGCCAAAATGTTATCTTACTTATGGAATTATTTTCTGTTACTGAATTATAAAGAAACCAAGGTTTGTTTGTTTTCTCTGAACTCTGAATTAGCGACTTCTAGTAGTCATAATTTTAGTGAGTCTCTGGGAGGCTATTTTTACTAAAGACCATCTTTTAAATCACAAAGAGTCCTTTCTCTTTTAAGGACTACTCTCCTGCGGACTGGAATGGTCTTCTGTCTTGATGAATTATTTAAAAAGGCCAGTGGACATATAAATATGTGAACACATGACTGATATAGACAAAATGGTAGGTTAAAAAAACATCTCTTTAAACATGTTTTATACTAAATCTACACTGAGCTGAATAAGTCTAAGAGACGCTTTATGCTATTTGGACATTTAAAATCAAAATGAATTCTACTTCCAGTCATCTAATCCAATAAACTGTTCAAAGATAATAACATAAATATTTCCATAAAAATAATAATTATAGCATTTATGTCAGAAAAAAAAAACTAAAAGTAACTTAAAAGTCCATGGGGATTGATTACATAAAAGTTAATACTTTTGTGTCATGAAATAATATGCAGCAATTAGCAATTATGTTTATTAATATTTTTAATGATCCAGGAAGATATTCCTCACAATAGATTTAAAGGCAGAATAAAAATTGTACATAGCAGCATCTTTTAGACCTTTTCCTTTGCTAAACATATATTTAAAATTTCTGGGAGGAAATATAGGAAAATACCAAAATTATTAAAAGGCTTTTTTGAAATACATTTTATTTTTATACTTCTTTGTATGTTTCACATTTTCTAAAATAAGAATATAATACTGCTTTAATTAGCCTAAAACAATGAAGATTCTTTTACTTTGTTTTTATTTTAATGAAGCATTTCTATTTTTCAAGCATGTCAAGCTTGTTCTTTGCTGCTTGTACCCTCTGTCCAGAATGTTCTTTTCCCACTCTCATAGCTGGCTGCATTAAATTATTTTACATATTTGCTCAGACATTACTTTTTCATCATTCTTACCACATTATCTTTCTTCATTTTTTTCATGGCACTATCAGAAATTATATCATTAACCTGTTATTTAATGCAATTATTTGTTTGATGTCTGTCTATTGCATTTGAAAGAAAACCTACGAGGGTAGCAGAAAACTTTCCTATCTGGCTTACTTCTACGTCCCCTGGAATTCGGTCTAGCATGAAGGACATATTTGTCCTTCATGTGCTCTTAAAGAATTAATCAATAGTTGGCAGTGTGTATATAATTGTCAGGCATATTAAGAAGAAAAAAAGGAACTAACATTAATGAAACCAGCTACTATGTTTTGGCATTGGCAGGATGAAATGCATTTTACTTTTGAAGAAAAATATGAGCATTAAGGAAATAAAAATAGAAAAATGAAGCAAGGGGTGAGGGCCGCTTACAAAATAAATGCCAAGAATTCCTATTCAGCTGCTGGAGTGTGGTCACAACTCTGTCTCCAAATCGTTGGTCTATATCTCTTTGTTTTGGGTATATATCCCTTTGAGAATCTAATCAAAGATCTGAAACATTCCCTCAGAAATATATCTGTGTATATTTGGACATGTACATGATGTTTTGCAAACAATTTCTGCAGATTCACAGACCGCCTTAAGAGTGTGTAGTTTCCACAATAAAAGCTATTGCTTTGTCTTTTGTGACATACATAATAAGTTACAAAGCACAGGATAGTTAGAAATCTTCACAAGAATTTGCAGTTGTATCTAGGAGCAGCAGCAGAAGTTTCACTTTAGCCTCTCATAGAGAGAACACATTGCAAATATGATCACATTTAGTTATTATTACCTCAAGATCAGGAAATAGAATTGCAAAGTTAAAGAACTTGCTAAAAATTGGAAAGCCATCATAGAATTTCATGTGAAGCTAAGTCAAAGATGAATGTTTATTCCACTGAAGCATGTCAGTAAAAGTTTTATGGGAGACCTGATGTGTGAGTTATATCTTGAATAGTCGTAATAATAAAATAATAGCTAGGGCTGATTGAGTGCATTACAAGTGCTAGACACTCTACTAAGTGCTTTACATACATCATATTTTTAAAGTCCCAACAGTATCCCTACTTTATAGAAAAAGTAACAGAGAGGTTCAGTTACTTGCCCCAGGATATTCAGCTAATAAATAGTAGAGCAGGGTTTCAAGCCTAGCAAGTCTGACTCTGTCTTTCCATGCTGATACAGCATTTCTCTACAGGAGGATAAGATTTCAATCACTAGAGGAGAGGGCAGAAGTCAAAAGCCATTCCGAGTGGGGACTACTATAATACCTGTACAGATGTTACTATACACCTAGAAATAGCGAAATAATTTTAAGTGTGCTAGGAATAATGTTAAGACCAAAAAGAAAGAGAGAGAGAGAGCGAGAGAGGGAGGGAAGGAAGGAAGGAAGGGTAAAAAGAGAAGAAAGGAAAACATAATTTCCTTGAGACTGTACATAAATCTATTTTCACAACTATTTTGAAATAAAATTGGGAGGAATAAGTATCATTTACTAAGTAACAAAGGAACTCTAGTAAATGAGGAACTCTAGTAAATTTAGGTGTTACATGGATTTATGTATTAGATTTGGTATTTCTTGATGAGAACACATGGACACATAGGAGCAACACACACTGGGGCCTATTGTAGGGTGGAGGGTGGAAACAGGGAGAGGATCAGGAAAAATAACTAATGCATACTGGGCTTAATACCTGGGTGATGAAATAATCTGTACAACAAACCCCCATGACACAAGTTTTTACCTATATAACAAATCTGCACATGTACCCCTGAACTTAAAAGTTAAATTTTAAAAAATTTGGTATTTCTATTGGTTGCTTAAAAAATGGTTGTTTGAGTGAGAGCCTTCTGAAAACTTTATCTTCTAGCCAAAAGCAAATTTTTTTTTCAGTAAAAGGACAGATGTTATGGCACCTTTATACATAAGTTAAAAGATGGATATGATGGAAGTGAACCTTCTCATGGGATTTAAAGTGCCTCTAAAAGCTATCAGTTGCTAAGAACTATAAGATTTTTCTTCATTGAGTGTCATGATGATATATTCTTTGCACCAGATATGAAATAAATACATATGTGTCTATCTTTCATCTAGGAAGATAAATCAAGTGCCCTAAAAGTAGTCTATTTTTCTGAAAAATGTGATATTGTATATTAAGAAATAGTTGAGAGAGCGTGGTTAGGGGCAACCTTTGTGCACATTTTAGTTACCATTTTAATACCATTTCATTGCTATATTCCAACAATACAGTGGAAATAGCATTAAATATAAATGCTCTTTCATATATTCTGACAAGTTTTAGAAATAATAATGGTAGCATTGTTAATATTAATGTTAAAAATTACTAAAATTTTACCTAGCAACTATTATGTACTAGGAAACATGCCAAGCACTTAAAGATAATAGAATTTAATTCACATAATTATGTTATTGTTGTAGGACTTTCTCCTTAGTTCAGCTAAAGACGGGGGTCCTTGTCACACGGCCATGAAATATTAGGCTCACAGACACCTTGAAGGGTGAGGAAAAATGGAATTTGTTGGGCAAAAGGGAAAAAAAGGACTCTCTCCTGAACAAGAGTCCGACTAGTACGCTTCCCACTTCACAGACTGAATCCCAGGTTCCACCCAGGAAGAGGAAGGGCCAGGCTCTTCCCCGCTGCAAATGGAGGAACTTCTGTGGCTCCACCCGTGCACATTTTTCCCAGTGTGTAGGCTGGTTGGAGTTTTTCCGGGGACCCGCTTACACTTAGCTGTCTCATTATGAGGCTAGACTATTGTGATCCCCATTTTACAAATGAAACTGAGACCTGAGACCAGGAAGGGAAGTTAGGTTGCCCCAGGCCGCAGGTTAAGGTGGTGGTAATGGCATTTGCCCCAGGTGAGCCTGTTTCCAGACCCTGAGGTTTTAACTCCTACCATCTTAACCTCGTCATTCAAATCTGAGAAAAGACTTTTTTTCATTTAACATGCATTTAATTTCCAGACAGAAACTACTAAAACATGGTTACAAAAATACAATGCAAGAGGAATCATTTAGCTTACTGCTGAGAATACCTAGGAATATATTTACCTCTGGATTGAGAGAAAGAAATAAGAATGCTTTCTCACTCATCTAAAATGACAGATTATCATAAATTCTAAAATAATTGGTATGCAGCAGCCTTTGTTTTTAACATCCACAAGTCAAGGGTCATGCCTTCCATTTCTTTTGTGAGGTCTCATTGTGTTTAGTACACTGCCCTGCAGAGTTAAGTGGTCAATAAATGCTTGTTGATGGACTTTCCCATTGGGCACCTGTCAATATCCTACAGTGTACTTTTAAGATTTAATGAAACTGTACTCTAATAAAAGAAATGTGTTTCTGTTCTAATACCACATGAAAATCAATATATGTACTATAATGCCTTGAAAACATCCATTAATTTTTCTCTGCCTTGTCTTTCCCACCTGTTTATTGAAGAAAATAATATTTTTTTTTTTTTAGCAAATTGAAACATGAGGAAGTTTAGGTTTGATAACTGCTCTGAAAATACTTGTTGCTTACCTTTTAGCACTTAGATAGCTTACAAAACCTTTATTATATTCTCCAAATGCTAGTTTTCTTTGTTTATATTTTTTAAGTGTAGAGAAATTGAGACTGTCCATTAAAGTTACTCTGTAAATTAATGGCCAATCTACAATATGATTTGGCTGTGAGCTTGATAACCACTGTATAGGCATAATTAAATCCAGAAGACCTGGATTTCCACATCTTGTACTATTACTACTCACTGTGTAACTCAAACTCTCTGTCCTTAATTTCCTTATTGGTATAAAGTAAGAGTTGAAGAAAATCATTTCTAAAGTTCTTTATAGGGTAATATTTTCTGATACTATTATATATTTTGTACTATATATACTATTCTTATATGTAGTAAATATACTATATATTTTCATATGATTGCTCTCATTTAACTGAATTTTATGTTACAATATGACTCATGACTCAAGGTTAGACAAATGTTGGCTTAGAGTAGAAATAATGTGTGCCAAATTCTCTCAACCATGGTTCCTACCTGTAATCCCAGCATTTTGGGAGGCCAAGGGGGGCAGATCACGAGGTTAAGAGATTGAGACCATCCTGGCCAACATGGCAAAACCCCGTCTCTACTAAAGAATACACAAATTAGCTAGGCATAGTGATGCGTGCCTGTAGTCCCAGCTACTCAGGAGACTGAGGCAGGAGAATCACTTGAACCCGGGAGGCAGAGGTTGCAGTGAGCCAAGATCACACCACTGCACTCCAGCCTAGAAACAGAGTGAGAGTCCATCTCAAAAAACAAACAAAAAAAAGTGTTACTATGATTTTTAACCTTCATTCCATTTATGTAATGATCTTTGTATAGACCACTGCAAATATTCTTTCATAACATAAAAATATATTTTATGAAATGTGACTATAAATGTTTGTGCTTCTTCTGAAAATTATCAATATCTATAACATATTAAACTGCATGATCTTCATATTTCATATTTTATAGAAAATAGAGAAACTGAGGCTCAAGGAAGTTAAGCAAATTGGCCAACGTCACATAGCTATTTAGTGGTAGAACATGTAAGAATCAAGATCTCCTAACCCTTGGCCCAGTATTCTTTCATGTACTTCTCCAGAGAGTACAATTCCAGGTATACAATTTGCAGCTTTGTTTGGTACATACATATGTAGGATTGCTATGTCTTCTTGAAGGATTGACCCTTTAATTATCACATAATATTCCTCCCTGTATGTAATAGTTTTTTTTCACTCTGAATTCTACCTGTTATTAATAGAGCTACTCTTGCTTTTCTTTGAAATCTTGGGGAAATATAATTAAAAGTAAAATTTTCTGCCAATTCAGAAAACCTCTCCACAAAGACAGAAGAGAAAGAAAACAGTTCTATTTTTGAATAAGCACTAAATCAGAATGTGATGCCCACCACAGACAATCTGCTAAAGAGATTGCAAAGAGAGAAAGAAATTCTACCCTTTTGTATAATCAGGCAGGTATGATCCATTACATACATGTTTTCAGGATAAATGACAACTAATCCTCAAATAAGAGGACTTGAAATTTGTCACACAGTTTATCTTAAATTTACCTGATAATTAGAGTGACAGTCTACGTTTACTAATTGCCTTTATCCAAAGGAAAATAGACTTCTCATATCTTTACAAAAAGGAGGCATATTGCAACTACCCTGAGGAAGTTAGGTTCCTACCCTTCTCTAGAAGCTGAGAGATAAGGGAACTATCTTCTTTGATGATTACATTTCAAAGATAGCTTCTGGGTTCTTGGGAAAAAAAGGTTCCTGAGTTTAAAAACTGACCTGAGGCCTATTTAGCTTTCAGAAAGATTTATATTCATCATAGGGGGCAGAGAAAGAATTCACAGAGGTTTTCTAAAGTAAATGTTCTAAGCAAAGGGCAGGGGGAGGAAAAGTCTTTTTCCATTTTACATTAAGGAAAATTAATTTTTTTTTTCTTTTTAAAATTTGAATGTACCCTTACAGAAAGGGGAGAACACCTTGTGATTGCCAGGTGGAGGCGAAGAACAGGTTCCCCAACTTAGCCTATGTTGACACCTGATGGTGAGGGCGTCTTGTGACTGCTGGGGTGGGAGGATTTGCAGGTCCCCAACTGACGGAGATCCACACCAAGGTGGAAGTGGCCTCATTATCACTGGGTAGCTGTGAAAGTCCTCTCTGTCCACTAGTCCTCCTCTGGCAACCCCTGAATAGGGAGTGGGAAGCGTGCCGTATTACTGCCAGATAGGGCATAAGTGCAAGCTGTCCCTGTGGCTGGCATGGGATAAAAAGTCCAGATCCTGCTTTGTCTTCTCTTCTATAGCGTAGCTCTGGTGAGGGGTTAGGGTGCTTTGTTATAGCCTCTGGAAGGTAGAAGTCTTCCCTGCCCATTCAGCCATCATGAGCGGGGATGGGGACACAGATATTTCTGTGGTGTTTAGCTGGAGCAGAGTTATTAAAGTCTAAAAGTTTTCTGTCCTGCAAAACTGCCCCTTTCCTGGTCCTTTCACTAGAAAAGGCTGACTTGTTCGGGCTTCTTTGTCTGCACCTGTTGATGTCCTGTATTGCCTGCTTCTTAAGCTCCAAGTCTGGGATATCTGAGGCAAAAAGAAAACCAAGGAAACTCACCACTGTGCTAAATTCTCTAGCCAGTCAGCCTGTTCTTCAACTTTGAAAGACTTCGTATGTTTCTTTTGTAAACACTGTATAGTATTTGTAACTGTACTTGGCAGAAATAAGGAAAGCTACATCCACTTTATCTTCCTGGAAGCAGAAGTCTCTCTGTGCATATTTTGAAAATAGTGGCATAAGTCACTTATGTTGCAGGAGCTCAGAAGGATGTGACTAACATCCAGAAATCCAATCCCTTTCCTTCTTAACCACTCATTGTTAAGACCCATGAGGACAGGGACTGTTTTATTCACTTTTTGATAATTTTCAGTCCTTTTGGTGTCAGTAATAAAACATTTTCTTGCCTTTATAAACAGGTTTTTCATGTCTGAGAATGAGTACCAGAGTGAAGGATAATAATTGTGGTACCCAAACGCTGCCCCTTCTATCTGAATATTTGCAACACTTTTGTTGAAAACTTAAGATAATTGTTTGACCAAAGGAAAAATGGTTCCCCTTTCTCTGATTAAAATTGTCTATTTCTTCTATCACTTCAAGGAAGAATTTAAATGGAGTTTTAAAAAATACAAAATAAGTCAAGTTAATGGTAATGATAGGGGAAGAATTTTTACTTCTGACTAAAAGAATGATAACTCATTGTTTCCTTTAATGAGAACAGTAAGTAAAAATAATTATTCATGCATGCTTGCCGTCTCATTAAGCATTGCTATAAAATTTTCTCCAATAAAACTCAAGTGGGTTTTTTTTGCAAGGTTGGGCTTTAGGAGGTTTATTATTTCCATTAGTCTGTGGAATTTGATTACTCAATCAACCTACTTCAGTCCAGAAAAAATTCTTAAGGCCCATTAATTTAAGGAAACTTCTTTGTAAAGTGCATGATTGTACAATGCTTTTCTTTCTTCTACTTTTATTCTACGTTTTCAATAATTCTTGTTGCCAATCACTTACCATAAGCACATTAAACACATTTCTAGCTGCAGTTATTCTAGAAACTTGAATAATAAAGATTAATATGCTGATCCAAACTCAATTACTGGTCTGAGCATATCAAATATATCAAACTTCTTTTCAGCATAAAAATATATTTTCATCAGCAGAAATAAACATTTCTAGGTTTAATTACTGTAGAGAGTTTTAGGTAAAACTTAAGATTTTCTCATGGTTAAAACAGCCTCATGATCCAAAATAAATTTAGGAATATATATTGAATGTTGCATGTTGAAAATACAGTTCCCAAGGTAAAATAATACTTCGCTTCTTATTTTTTTCTAAAAAAAAGAAACCACATTTCCCCACAAATCATGTAAGTAAATATAGGACTCTACACATTTCTGTGTATGCATGGTGAAGGAGTTAGTAAGTGTTGTTCTACATGAGAGCATAATCTGTAGAAGCCCTAGAAAAGCACTGTTCCTGTCATAGATGGCTTAGATTAATGACATGAATGACTTAGATTAATAATAACTCTCTCTTGGTGTGGGATTCCAAACTTGGTTAAGGCCTGATGTCTAATTCTAGTTTCTTTATAGGCATTACTGTTTCTCAACACTAGCAAGTTAACTTTTCTATAAATGAGAAATCTACCTTGAATCAACATAGAAACTTTAGAAAACAATTTTATTTTTTCTGGATACATAGTAGTTGTATATATTTATGGGGTACATGAGATACTGTGGTACAGGCATGCAATGCATAATAATCACATCACGGAAAATTGGGTATTCATTCCCTCAAGCATTTATCTTTTGTGTTACAAACAATCCAATTATACTCTTAGTTATTTTAAGATGCATAATTAGATTATTATTGACTACAGTCCCCCTGATGTGCTACCAAATACTAGGTCTTATTCATTCTTTCTAATTTTGTTTTGTGCCCGTCAACAATCTGCATATCCTTCCCTGTACACCCTATGACCCATTCCAACCACTGGTGACCACTGTTTCTCTCTTCTCTATGTCCATGAGTTTAATTCTTCAGATTTTTAGATCTCACAAATGAGTAAAAACATGCATAGTTTCTCTTTCTGTGTCTGGCTTATATCACTTAACATAATGACTTCCAGTTCCATCCCTGTTGTTGCAAATGACAGACTCTCATTCTTTTTTATGGTGAATAGTACTTCACTGTGCAGAGGTACCACATTTCCTCCATCCTTTCATCTGTTAATGAACACTTAGGTTGCTTCCAAATCTTAACTATTGTGAACAGTGCTGTGATAAACATAGGAGGGCAAATATCCCTTTGATATACTGATTTCCTTTCTTTTAGATACATACCCGAAAGTGAGATTGCTGGATTTTATTGTAGCTCTGTTTTCAGTTTTTGAAAAACCTCAAACTGTTCACCATAGTGGTTGTACCAATTTACATTCCAACCAACAGTGTATGAGGGTTGCCTTTTTTCCACATCCTCTCTGGCATTTGTTAGCTCCTGACTTTTGGATAAAAGCCATTTTAACTGGGGTGAGATGATATTTTATTATAGTTTTGATTTGCATTTATCTGATGATCCATGATGTTGGCACATTTTCAAATGCATGTTTGCCATTTGTATGTCTTCTTTTGAGAAATTTCCATTCAAATCTTTTGCCCATTTTGTAATTGGATATTCAATTTTTTTTTTAAACTTTAAGTTCTGGGATACATGTGCAGATCATGCAGGCGTGTTACAAAGGTATATGAGTGCCATGGTACTTTGTTACACCTATCAACCCATCACCTAGGTTTTAAACCTGCATGCATTAGCTATTTGTCTTGATGCTCTCCCCCACTTTGTCCCTTCCCTACAGGCCCCAGTGTGCGTTGTTCCCCTCCCTGTGTCCATGTGTTCTCATTGTTCAACTCCCACCTAAGAGTGAGAACATACAGTGTTTGGTTTTCTGTTCCTGTGTTAGTTTGCTGAGTATGATGACTTCCAGCTTCATCCATGTCTCTGCAAAACACATGATCTCATTCCTTTTTGTGGCTGCATAATATTCCATGGTTTATATGTACCACATTTTCTTTATCCAGTCTATCATTGATGGACATTTGGGTTGGTTCCATCTCTTTGCTGTTGTGAATAGTGCTACAATAAACATACTATGCATATATCTTTATAATAGAATGATTTATATTCCTTTGGGTATATACCCAGTAATGGGATTGCTGGATCCAATGGCATTTCTGGTTCTAGATCCTTGAGGAATCGCCACACTGTCATCCACAATGGTTGAACTAATTAACATTCCCACCAGCAATGTAAAACCTGTTGCTATTTCTCCACAGCCTTGCCATCATTAATTGTTGTGATTTTTTAATAATTGCCATTCTGACTGGCGTGAGATGGTATTCCATTGTGGTTTTGATTTGCATTTCTCTAATGATCAGTGATGTTGAGCTTTTTTTCATGTTGGCTACCTAAATTTCTTCTTTAAAGAAGTGTCTGTTCATATCCTTTGCCCACTTTGAAAAAGGGTTGTTTGTTTGTTTTTTCTTGTAAATTTGTTTTAGTTTCTTGTAAATTCTGTATATTAGACCTTTGTCAAAAGGGTAGATTGCAAAAATATTCTCCCACTCTGTAGGATGCCTGTTCAATCTAACGATAGTTTCTTTTGCTGTGCAGAAGCTCTTTAGTTTAATTAGAACCCATTTGCCAATTTTAGCTTTTGTTACAGTTGCTTCTGGAGATGTCATCATACAAGCTTTTCCCATGCCTATGTCCTGAATGGTATTGCCTAGGTTTTCTTCTAAGGCTTTTATGGTTTTGGGTTTTATATTTAAGTCTTTAATCCATCTTGAGTTAATTTTTCTATAAGGTGTAAGGAAGGGGTCCAGTGTCAATTTTCTGCATACGGCTAGCCAGTTTTCCCAGCACCTATTATTAAATAGGGAATACTTTCCCTATTCCTTGTTTTTGTTAGGTTTGTTTAAGATCAGATGGTTGTAGATGTGTGGTCTTCTTTTTTATTTTTTTGAGATGGAGTCTCACTCTGTCACCCAGACTGGAGTGCAGTGGCAAGATCTCGGCTCACTGCAAACTCCGCCTCCCCCTGGGTTCAAGCGATTCTCCTTCCTCAGCCTCCCAGGTAGCTGTGACTACAGGTACACACCACCATGCCCGGCTAATTTTGGTATTTTTAGTAGAGATGGGGTTTCACCATGTTGGTCAGGCTGGTCTTGAACTCCTGACTTCATGATCCACCTGCCTCAGCATTCTAAAGTGCTGGGATTACAGGCATGAGCCACCGTGCCTGGCATGTGGTCTTATTTCTGAGGTCTCTATTCTGTTCCAGTTGTCTATGTGTCTGTTTTGGTACCAGTACCATAGTGTTTTGGTTACTGTAGCCTTGTGGTATAGTTTGAAGTCAGGTAGCATGATGCCTCCAGCTTTGTTCTTTTTGTTTAGGGTTGTCTTGGCTATATGGGTTCTACTTTGATTCCACATGAAATTTAAAGTAGTTTTTTTTTCTAATTCTGTGAAGAATGTTAATGGTAGTTTGATGAGAATAGCATTCAATCTATAAATTATTTTGAGCAGTATGGCCATTTCATTATGTTGATTCTTCCTATCCATGAGGATACAATGTTTTTCCATTTGCTTGTGTCCTGTCTTATTGCCTTGAGCAGTGGTTTGTAGTTCTCCTTGAAGAGTTTCTCCACATCCCTTCTTAGCTATATTCCTAGGTATTTTATTCTCTTTGTAGCAATTGTGAATGGGAGTTCATTGATGATTTGGCTCTCTGCTTGTCTATTGTTGTTGTATAGGAATTCTTGTGATTTTTGCACATTGATTTTGTATCCTGAGACTTTGCTGACATTGCTTATCAGCTTATGGGCTGAGATGATGGGGTTCTCTAGGTGTAGGATCACGTCATCTGCAAACAGAGACAGTTTGACTTTGTCTCTTCCTAATTGAAAACCTTTTTTTATTTCTCTTGCCTGATTGCCCTGGCTGGAACTTCCAATACTATGTTGAATAGGAGTGGTGAGAGAGGACATCCTTACCTTGTGCCAGTTTTCAAAGGGAACGCTTCCAGCTTTAGCCCATTTAGTATATCAGTTGTGGGTTTGTTATAAATAGCACTTATTATTTTGAGATATGTTCCATCAATACCTAGTTTATTGAGAGTTTTTAACCTGAAGGTATGTCGAATTTTATTGAAGGCCTTTTCTGCGTTTATTGAGACGATCATGTGGTTTTTATCATTGGTTCAGTTTGTGTGATGGATTACGTTTATTGATTCACTTATGTTGAACCAGTCTTGCATCCCAGTGATGAGGCTGACTCGATAGTGGTGGATAAACTTTTTGATGTGGTGCTGGATTTGGTTTGCCAGTATTTGATTAAGGATTTTTACATCTATGGTGATCAGGAATGTTGGCCTGAACTTTTCTTTTTTTGTTGTGTCTCTGCCAGGTGTTGGTATCAGAATGATGCTGGCCTCATAAAATAAGTTAGGGAGGAGTCCTTACTTTTCAATTATTTCGAATAATTTCTGAAGGAATGGTACCAGTTCCTCTTTGTACCTCTGGTAGAATTTGGCTGTGAATCCATGTGGTCCTGGGCTTTTTTTTTTTTTTGGTTGGCATACTATTACTGCCTCAATTTCAGGACTTGTTATTGGTCTATGCAAGGATTCGACTTCTTCCTGGTTTAGTTTTGGGAGGGTGTATGTGTCCAGGAATTCATCCATTTCTTTTAGATTTTCTAGTTATTTGTGTAGGGTTGTTTATAGTATTCTCTGATGGTAGTTTGTATTTCTGTGAGGTCAGTGATGATATCCCCTTATTCATTTTTTATTGTGTTGATTTGAATCTTCTCTCTTTTCTTCTTTATTAGTTTAGCTAGCAGTCTATTTTATTAATTTTTTTCAATAAACCAGCTCCTGGATTCACTAATTTTTTGAAGGGTTTTTTGTTTCTCTGTCTCCTTCAGTTCCACTCTGATCTTAATTATTTCTTGTCTTCTGCTAGCTTTTTGATGTCTTTGCTCTTGCATCTGTAGTTCTGTCGATTTGAGATCTTTCTAGCTTTCTGATGTGGGCATTTAGTGCTATCAATTTCCCTCTTAAAACTGCTTTAGCTGTGTTCCAGAGATTCTGGTACATTGTCTGTTTGTTCTCATTGGTTTCAAAGAACTTCTTGATTTCTGCCTTAATTTCATTATTTACCCAGGAATCATTCAGGAGTAGGTTGTTCAATTTCCATGTAATTGTGTGGTTTTCAGTGAGTTTCTTAATTCTGAGTTCTAATTTGATTGCACTGTGGTCTAAGAGACTGTTTGTATGATTTCTGTTCTTATGCGTTTGCTGAGGAGTGTTTTACTTCCAATTATGTGGTCAATTTTAGCATAAGTCCCATGTGGCTCTGAGAAGAATGTATATTCTATTGTTTTGGGGTAGAGAGTTCTATAGATATTTATTAGGTCCATTTGATCCAGAGCAGAGTTCAAGTCCTGAATATCCTTGTTAATTTTCTGTCTCATGGATTTGTCTAATATTGCCAGTGGGGTGTTATAGTCTCTCACTATTATTGAGTGGGAGTCTAAGTATCTTTGTAGGTCTCTAAGAACATGTTTTATGAATCTGGGTGCTCTTGTATTGGGTGCATATATATTTAGGATAGTCAGCTCCTCTTGTTGAATTGTTCTCTTTACCATTATGTAACGCCCTTCTTCTTCTTCTTCTTCTTTTAATCTTTTTTGGTTTAAAGTCTGTTTTATCAGGAACTAGGAATCCAACCCGTTTTTTTTGTTTTTTTGTTTGTTTGTTTGTTTGTTTGTTGCTTTCCATTTGCTTGGTAAATATTCTTCCATCCCTTTATTTTGAGCCTATGGTATCTTTGCACGTGAGATGGGTATCCTGAATACAGCACACTGATGGGCCTTGACTCCTTATCCAATTTGCCAGTCTGTGTCTTCTTCTTCTTCTTTTTTTATTTTTTGAGAGAGTCTTTCTCCGTCGCACAGGCTGGAAGGCAGTAGCACGATCTTGGCTCACTGTAACCTCTGCCTCCCAGGTTCAAGCAATTATCCTGCCTCAGCCTCCTGAGTAGCTGGGACTACAGGCACCCACCACCACACCCGGTTAATTTTTTTGTATTTTTTAGTACAGATGGGGTTTCACCATGTTGCCCAGGCTGGTTTTGAACTCCTGACTCAGGCAATCTGCCCACCTTCGCCTCCCAAAGTGCTAGGATTACAGGCGTGAGCTACCACACCCAGCCTAGTCCGTGTCTTTTAACTGGGGCATTTAGACCATTTACATTTAAGGTTAATATTGTTATGTGTGAATTTGATTCTGTTATCATGATGCTAGCTGGTTATTTTGCACACTAGTTGATGCTGTTTCTTCATGATGTCAATGGTGTTTATATTTTCTTGTGTTTTGCAGTGGCTAGTACTGGTTTTTCCTTTCCATACTTAGTGCTTTCTTCAGGAACTCTTGCAAGGCAGGCCTGGTAATGACGAATTCCCTCAGCATTTGCTTGTCTGAAAAGGATTTTATTTCTCCTTCACTTATGAAGCTTAGTTTGGCTGGATATGAAATTCCAGGTTGAAAATTCTTTTCTTTAAGAATGTCGAATATTGGCCCCTACTCTCTTCTGGCTTGTAGGGTTTCTGCTGAGAGGTCTGCTGTTAATCTGATGGGCTTCCCTTTGTAGGTGACCTGGCCTTTCTCTCTGGCTGCCTTTAACATTTTTTCCTCATTTCAACCTTGGAGAATCTGATCATTATGTGTCTTGGGGTTGATCTTCTCATGGAGTATCTTAGTGGTGTTCTCTGTATTTCCCGAATTTGAATGTTGGCCTGTCTTGCTAGGTTGGGGAAGTTCTCCTGGATAATATCCTGAAGTGTGTTTTTCAACTTGAATCCATTCACCCTGTCTCTTTCAGGTACTCCAATCAGTCGTTGGTTTGGTCTTTTTACATAGGCCCATATTTCTCAGAGGTTTTGTTTTTCCTTTTTATTTTTTTTCTCTTTAATCTTGTCTGCCTGCCTTATTTCAGCAAGATAGTCTTCCAACTCTGATACTCTTTCTTCCACTTGATCAATTCTGCTATTTATACTTGTGTATGGTTCACGAAGTTCTCATGCTATGTTTTTCAGCTCCGTTGGTCATTTATGTTTCTATCTGAACTGGTTCTTCTAGTTACCACCTCCTCTAACATTTTGTCAAGGTTCTCAGCTTCTTTGCATTGGGTTAGAACATGCTCTTTTACCTTAGTGAAGTTTGTTATTACCCACCTTCTGAAGCCTACTTTTGTCAATTTGTCCATCTCATCCTCCATCCAATTCTGGCCCCTGTTGGAAAGGTGCTGCAATTATTTGGAGGAGAAGAGGCACTCTGGCCTTTTGGGTTTCAAGCATTTTTTCATTGATTTTTTTTTCTCATCTTCATGATTTTTTCTAGTTTTGATCTTTGAGGCTGTTGACCCTTGGATGAAGATTTTGTGTGGACTTTTTTGTTGATGCTGTTATGTTGGCTTTCTGTTTGTTTTTCTTTCAGTAGTCAGGTCCCTCTTCTGTAGGGCTGCTGCAGTTTGCTGGGGGTTTACCTCATGCCCTATTTACTTCCATGCCTGGAGATGTTATTCAGGGAGGCTGGAGAAGAGCAAAGATGGGTGCCTACTTCTTCCTCTGGGATCTCTGGCCTTGAGGAGTACTGACCTGATGACAGTAGGAACACTTCTATATAAGATGTCTGACAACCCCTGTTGGGGGATCTCACTCAGTTGAGTGGCATAGGAAGCAGGACCCATTTAACAAGGCACTTTGGCTGTCCCTTGGTGATGGGGTGTGCTACACTGGGGGTAAACCTACTAATCTGGGCTGTCCAGATTCCTCAGAGCACCTCTCTTGGCTGAGGGTGGCTCCCCTGCCCCCTGTGGCTCTCAGGTGGGCGGCTGCACCACACTGCCCTTCCTTCCTCACTGTGGGTCATACCTGCCGCCTAGTCAGTCCTAATGACAGAACCCTGATACCTCGGTTACCACTGCAGGACTTGCACACTGTTTGGATCTTTTTGATGGTTGCCTCTGATTGCCACTGCTTCTAGTTGGCTATCTTGGCCCCACCCCACATTCTTAGATTTTTTTTTTCTTTTTTCTTTTTTTTTTTTTTTTTTTTTTTTTGAGACAGGGTCTTGCTTTGTCACCAGGCTGGAGTGCAGTGGCACGATCTCAGCTCACTGCAGTTTCCACCTCCCGGGTTCAAGCAATTCTCCTGCCTCAGCCTCCCAAGTAGCTGGGATTACAGGCGCACACCATCACACCCAGCTAATGTTTGTATTTTTAGTAGAGACGGGGTTTCACCATGTTGGCCAGGATGGTCTTGATCTCCTGACCTCATGATCTGCCTGCCTTGGCCTCCCAAAGTGTTGGAATTACAGGCGTGAGCCACTGTGCCCGACCAGATTTTTTCTTATGGAGTTGTTTGAGCTCCTTATATATTCTGGTTATTAATCCCTTGTCGGATGGGTAGTTTGCAAATATTTTCTCCAATTCTGTGATTTGTCTCTTCACTTTCTTGATTCTTTTCTTTACTGTGCTTTTTAAACTTAAAACTTAAGTTTTTATAAACTTCAGCTTTTTAAACTTGATGTGATCCCATTTGTCCATGTTTTCTTTCGTTGCTTATGCTTGTGGGATATTACTCAAGAAATTTTTGCCCAGACCAATTTACTGGAGTTTCCCCCAAGGTTTTCTTTTACTAGTTTCATAGTTTAAGGCCTTAGATTTAAGTCTTTAATCTATTTTGTTTTGATTTTTGCATAAGATAAGAGATGGGGATCAAGTTTCATTCTTCTGCATATAGATAACCAGTTTTCCCAGCACCATTTATTGAAGAGACTGTCTTTTCACTAATGTATGTTCTTGACACATTTGTCAAAAATGTGTTTACTGCAGGTGTGTGGATTTATTTCTGGGTTCTCTACTCTGTTCCATTGGTCTATGTGTCCGGGATATTTTTGTTTGTTTTTTTGCCAGTACCATGCTGTTTTGGTTACTATAGCTCTGTAGTATAATTTGAAGTCAGGTAATGTGATGCATCCAGTTTTTTCTTTTTACTCAGGATGGCTTTGGCTATTCTGGGTCTTTTGTGATGTCATATCAATTTTAGGATTGTTTTTTCTATTTCTGTGAAGAATGTCATTGGTATTTTTATAGGGATTGTGTTGAATCTATAGATTGCTTTGTGTAGTATGGATATTTTAACAATATTAATTCTTCCAATTCATGAACATGGAATATCTTTCCACTTTGGGGTGCCCTCTTCAATTTCTTTCATCAATGTTTTATAGTTTTTATTGTAGAAATCTTTTACTTCTTTGGTTAATTCCTAGATTTTTTATTTTATTTGTGGCTATTGTAAATGGAATTACTTTTTAATTTATTTTTCACATTGTTTACTATTGGCATACAGAAGTGCTGCTAATTTTTATATGACGATTTTGTATCCTGCAACTTTACTGAATTTGTTTATCAGTTCTAATAGTTTTCTTGTAGAATCTTTTGGTTTTTCCAAGTATAAGATCATATCATCTGCAAAGAAGGATAATTTGACATTTTCCTTTCCAATTTGGATGCCCTTTATTTCTTTCTCTTGTCTAATTGCTCTAGCTAAGACTTCCAGTACAATATTGAATAACAATGGTGAAAGTGAGCAATCTTGTAGTATTTCAGATCTATGAGGAAAAGCTTTTAGTGTTTTCATATTCTGTATAATACTAGCTATGGGTTTGTCATAAGCAGATTTTATTATGTTGAGGTATGTTCCTTCTCTACCCAACTGTTGAGGGTTTTTATTATGAAGGCGTGTTGAACTTTATCAAATGCTTTTCAGCATCATTTGAAATGATCTATGGTTTTTGTCCTTCATTCTGTTGGTATGATGTTTCACAGTGATTGATTTGCATATGTTGAACCATCCTTACAGCCCTGTTGTAAATCCTACTTGGTCATGATGAATGATATTTTTAATATATTGTTGAATTTAGTTTACTAGTATTTTGTTGAGTATTTTTGAATCAATATTCATCAGAGCTATTGGCCTGTGGTTTTCTTTTTTTGATGTATCTTTGTCTTGTTTTGGTATCAGGACAATAATGACCTCATAGATGAGTTTGGAAGTATCTTCTCTTCCTCTATTTTTCAGAACAGTCTGAGTGGTATTGGTATTGCTTTTTGAAATGATTGGTAGAATTCAGCAGTGAAGCCATCTTGTCCTGGGTTTTTCTTTACTAGGAGACTTTTTATTACAGATTTGATTTTATTACTTGTTATTGGTCTGCTCAGGTTATACATTTCTTCATTATTCAATCTTGGTTGGTTGTAGATGTCTGTGAATTTTTTATTTATTCTAGATCTTCCCATTTATTGGTATTTAGTTGATCATGCTAGCCACTAATGATCCTTTGAATTTCTGTGGCATCCATTGTAATTACTCCTTTTTTCATATCTGGTTTTAATTATTTGGGTCTCCTCTCTTTTTTTCTTAGCTAGTCTGGCTAAAGGTTTGTTAATTTTGTTCATCTTTTCAAAAAAATCACAACTATTTGTTTCATTTATCTGTTATTTATTTTCATTTCAAATTTATTTATTTCTGTTCTTATTTTTAGTATTTCTTCTACTAATTTTGGATTTGGTTTGCTCTTGATTTTCTAGTTCTTTAAGATGCATCATTAAGTTACCTACTTGAAGTTTTTCTTCTATTTTATGTAGGCATTTATAGCTACAGATTTTCCTCTTAGTACTGTTTTTGCCATATCACATAGGTTTTGGCATGTTGTGTTTCCATTATCATTTGTTTTGAAAAAAATTCCAATTTCCTTTTTAATTTCTTTATTGACCCACTGTCATTCAGGAGCACATTGTTTAATTTCCATGTGTTTATATAGTTTCCAAAGTTCTGCTTCTTGTTGATTTCTAGTTTTATTCCGCTGTGGTCAGAGATGATGCCTGAAATTTCCTGAACTTTTTTGAATGTTTTAAAACTCTTTTTGTGACCTAACATATGGTCTATTCTTGAGAATGATCTATGTGGTGAGGAAAATGTGTATTCTGCAGCTGTTGGATGAAATGTTCTGTATATATCTATTAGGTTCATTTGGTCTATAATGCAGATTAAGTCCCATTTTTTGTTGTTGTTGTTGTCGTTGATTTTCTGCCTGGTAAATATTTCCAATGTTTAAAGTGGGGTGTTGAAATCTCCATCTATTCCCTATTGGGATCTCTCTCTCTCTCTCTCTTTAGTTCTAATAATATTTGCTTGATATATCTGGGTGCTGCAGTGTTGGATGCATATATATTTAAAATTGTTGTATCCTTATGCCGAATTGACTAATGGATCAGTATGTAATTACCTTCTTTATCTCTTTTTACAGTTTCTGTCTTGAAATCTATTTTGTCTGATATAAGTATAGCTACTCCTGCTCTTTTTAGGTTTCCATTGGAATGGAATATCCTTTTCCATTTCTTTATTTTCAATCTATGTGCATATTTATCAGTGAAGTGTTTTTTTGTTTGTTTGTTTTTGTGTGTGTTTTTTTGACAGAGTCTCACTCTGTTGCCCAGGCTGGAGTGCAGTGGCACAATCTTGGCTCACTGCAACCTCCACCTCCTAGGTTCAAGCAATTCTCTGCTTCAACCTCCCGAGTAGCTGGGATTACAGGCATGTGCCACCATGCCCGGCTAATTTTTCTGTATTTTTAGTAGAGCTGGGGTTTTGCCACGTTGGCCAGGCTGGTCTTGAACTCCTGATCTTGTGATCTGATCCACCTGCCTCGGCCTTCCAAAGTGCTGGGATTGCAGGTGTGAGCCACCGCACCTGGCGAGTGAAGAGTTTCTTATAGGCAACAGATCACTGGGCCTTGTTTTTTTTAATCCATTCAGCCAATCTATCTTTTTTGATTGGAGAGTTTGGTTTCTTTACATTCGATGTTATTATTGAGTGACAGATAAGTGGTGACTTACTCCTGCCATTTTATTATTTCTTTTCTGGTTGTTTTGTGGTCTTCTCTTCCTTATTTTCTTCCTTCCCATCTTTCTTTTAATAAATGTGATTTTTCTCTGGTGGTATGCTTTAATTTCTTGCTTTGAAAATTTTTTGTGTGTATATCTATTGTATGCTTTTTCAATTTGAGGTTTCTGTGAGCCTTGCAAATACTATCCTATAACCCATTATCTTAAACAGATGACAGCTTAGCACTGATTGCATAAACAAACAAACAAACATGCAAAAAAAACCTAATAAAAATCCTACATTTAACTTTACCCCCCCCCCGCACTGTTTAACTATTTTGTTTCTCTTTGTGACTTACTGTACTGTGTCTTTTACCCTATGACTTTAAATTTTTTTATTTTTAATTTTTGCAGTACATAGTACTTGTATATAAATATGGGGTACCCGAGATATTCTGGTATAGACATGCAATGCATAATAATCACATGATGACAAATTGGGTATTCAACCCCTAAAGTATTGTCCTTTGTGTTACAAACAATCCAGTTATACTCTTAGTTATTTTAATATGCACAATTAAATTATTATTGACTATAGTTCCCCTGATGTGCTATCAAATACTAGGTCTTATTCATTCTTTCAGTCTTTATTTTTATACTGATTAACCATTTCCACTTCCCTTCCTACACCCCCTACTACCCTTCCCGGCCTTTGGTAAACATCCTTGTATTTATTATGTCCATGGTTTCAATTGTTTTGATTTTTAAGATCTCACAAACAAGTGAGAATATGTGATGTTTATTTTTCTGTGCCTAGCTTATTTCATTGAACACAATGACCTCTAGTTCTGTCCATGTTGTTGCAAATGACAGAATCTCATTCTTTTTTATGGCTGAATATGTACTGTCTATGTCTCAAAAAGTTGTGTTACTGTTTTTGATTGTTTCATCATTTAGTCTTTCTACTTAAGTCAGGAAACGTATACACACTACAATTACTGTGTTAAACTATTCCGCGTTTTTCTTTGTGCTTACTATTAGCAGTGAGTTTTGTGCCTTTAGATAATTTATTCTTGCTCATTAACATTTATTTTTCAGATTGAAGAAATCCCTTTAGCATTTCTTGTTGGACAGGTCTGGTGTTGATGAAATCTCTCAGCTTTTGTTTGTCTGGGACAGTCTTTATCCTTCATGCTTAAAGAATATTTTTACCAAATATACTATTCTAATGTAAATTTTTTTCATCACATTAAAAATATGTCATTTCACTCTCTCATGGCCTGTAAGGTTTCCACTGAAACGTCAGCTGCCAGATGTACTGGAGTGCCATTGTATGTTATTTGTTTCTTTTCTCTTGCTGCTTTTAGGATCCTTTCTTTATCCTTGACCTTTGGGAGTTTGATTATTACATGCCTTGAAATAGTCTTATTTGGGCTAAATCTGCATGTTGTTCTGTTTCCCTCTTGTGTATTTGAACGTTCTTACCTTTCCCTAGGATTAGGAAGTCCTCTGATATTATCTCTTTAAATAAACTCTCTACCTCTATCTCTTTCTCTATCTCCTCCTTACGGTCAATAACTCTTACATTTGCCCTTTGAGACTGTTTTCTAGATCTTGTAGGTGTGCTTCATTGACTTTTTTTGTCTCCTCTGACTGTGCAATTTCAAATAGCCTGTTTTCAAACTCACTAATTCTTTCTGCTTGATCATTTCTGCTATTAAGAAACTTTGATGCATTCTTCAGCATGTCAGTGGCATTTTTCAACTCTAGAATTCCTGCTTGATTCTTTTTATTACAATCTCTGTTAAATTTATCTGGTAGAATTCTGAATTTCGTCTCTGCGTTATCTGGAATTTCTTTGAGTTTCCTTAAAGCAGCTATTTTGAATTCTGTGTCTGAAAGGTTACATATCTCTGTTTCTCCAGGATTGTCCCTGGTACCTTGTTTAATTCATTTGATGAGGTCCTATTTTCCTGGATAGTGTTGATGCTTATAGATATTCTCTAGTGTCTGGGCATTGAAGAGTTAGGTATTTACTATAGTCTTTATAGTCTGGGCTTGTTTGCATATGTCCTTCCTGGGGAGGCTTTCCAGGTATTCAAAGGGACTTTGGCTTCAAAACAAATAATACTGTGGTTTTTACAGACTCTCAAAGGTACCTCCTTGCTGGTCTTGGATAAGATCCTGAAGAATTCTCTGAATTACAAGGCAGAGACTCTCGTTCTTTTATCTTACTTTCTCCCAAATGTAGAGATTCTCTCTCTCTCTGTGGTGAGTCACTTGAAACTGCATATGTGGTGATGTAAGCACCCTTGTGGCCACCACCACTGGGACTCTGCCAGGTCAGACCTAAAGCCAGCACAGTATTAAACCTTGCCCAAGGGCCTTCCCTTTAGGATGGTGAATTTCTCAGTGCCCAGGCATGTCCAGAGATGCTGTGTGGAAGCCAGGGATTGGAGTCAAAAATCTTAGCAATTCACCTTATGTTCTACTCTCTTGCATCCTAGCTGGCACTCAGACCACATGTACTAGTCAGGGTTTTCTAGAGGGACAGAAGTAGTGGTGTATACGTATATATAAAGGGGAGTTTATTGAGTATTGACTCACACGATCACAAGTTGAGGTCCCACAATAGGTCATCTGCAAGCTGAGGACCAAGTAAGCCAGTCTGAGTCCCAAAACCTCAAAAATAGGGAAGCTGACAGTCTGTGGCCAAAGGCACAAGAGGCCCTGGTAAACCACTGGCGTAAGTCCAAGATTCCAAAAGCTGAAGAACTTGGAGTCTGATGTTCGAGGGCAGGAAACATCCAGCAGAGGAGAAAGATGAAGGCTGGAAGCCTCAGCAAGTCTGCTCTTTCCATTTTCTTCTGCCTGCTTTATTCTAGCCATGCTGGTAGCTGATGAACTGGTGTCCCATAGATTGAGAGTGGGTCTGCCTCTCCCAGTCCACTGACTCAAATGTTAATCTCCTTTGGCAACACTGTCTCAGACACACCCAAGAACAATACTTTGCATCCTTCAATCCAATCAAGTTGACACTCAATATTACCCATACTGAGTTTTTCACACCCTTCCTTCCCCTTTACATAGTCAAAGAAGCTTCTGCTTGTGGCTACCATCACCACCAGTCCCCGGGGGTTCTGCCATGCCACTGCTGATGTTAGCTTAAAGCCCCAGGGCTGTTCTGTCAGCTTGTGGTGAATGCTGCCAGGCCTGGAACTCGGCCTTCAGGGCAGTGGGCTCCTTTTTGGCCCAGGGCAGGTCCAGAAATGCTGCCTAAGAGTCTAGGCCTGGACTCCAGGACCCCAAGAATCTGCTGGTTGCTCTACCCCACTGTGGCTGAGCTGGTACTAAGGTCCAAGACAAAGTCCCCCTTACTTTTCACTCTGTTTTTCTCAAATAGAAGGAGTCTTTCACTATAGCCACCATAGGTGGGAATGTGCTGAGTCTCACCTGAAGCCAGCACAGCTCAAAGCCCAAGGCCAATGGCTTACACCCTGGGTATTACTGCTGGTTATTCAGGGCCCAAGGGCTCTTTAGTCAGCAGGTGGTGAATTCTGCCAAGACCAGGCCCTTCACTTCAAGGCAACAGGATCCCTTTTTGCCCAGGACTTGCCTAGAAATGTCACCTGGGAGCTAGGGCCTGGAATGGGGCCTCACAACTCTACCTGGTGCCTATCCTATTGTGGCTGAACTGGCATCCAAAAGGCAAAACAAAGTCCTCTTTTGTCTTCACTCTCCTCTCCTTAAACAGAAGGAAGTAATCACTTTTGTTGCTATGAGCTGTACTTGCTGGAGTTGGAGAGGAGATGGTGCAAACCCTAACACAGCAACTTTTAATGAGAATTAAAAAGAAGTTACTTTGAAGATCAAAGTCACACTTATAACACTATTCTATAACGATAAATATAATTTTATTTTTCCTTCTTAATCAAGTCAGGCTTTTGCATGTGTTCAAATTAAATGACTGCTCATAACATTTTATATTAGGTGTTTGGGAGTGTCATTCCTCTGCTCAGAAATACCTCACTAATGGCAAGGTCATCTTGCCAGATATACTTAAGTTTCTGCCAATTTGACTTAAGACTGTAATTGTCTTCATAATGTTACACATTTTTCAAATAGGAAGTAAATGTATGTTTAGTTGCTCAAACTCACTGGAGCCCATTTGTTCAGTTAATTAGTTTATCTGTCACTTATTAAAGGGAATGGGACAGATAATAATGATTTTAGAATAACTTACATGTTTTTCATATCAATGGAGATGACACACACACAGATACGCACACACACACACACAGACCACACATACACACACACATAGACCCCCCCACACACATATATTTAAAATGTTTACTGTATATCTATTATATATCTAATATATATATATATATATATATATATATATAATGTTTACTGTCTCTCTCATGAGAAGTATAAGCCCTTAATTCATTCTCTTGATTATGGAATCATAGAAGTCTAAACGCATCCCCAGGTTGGATGATACCAGGGTATTTCCCATATGCATGGGTGAGTAGTTAATATTCACAGCAATGGAGTTGACATGCCTTTTTTTTTCCCCAGATGCATGATCTCACTTATATGGGGAATGCAAGAAGTCAAGCTAATAGAAGCAAAGAGTATAATGGTGGTTGGCAGGGCATGGGGAGTGAGGGAGTAGGGAAATGGTGGTCCAAGGGTACAAAGTTTCAATTAAACAGGATGAATATGTTCTGGGGACTTACTGTACAGAATAATGACTGCAGTTAATAATAATTATTGTATACTTGAAAATTGTTAAGAGAGTGGTTCTTAAATGTTCTCACCACACACAAAATAATGATGAGTTATGTGAGGTGCTCGTTACATTAATTAGCTTGACTTAAGCATTTCACAATGTTTACATATAACAAAACATCATATTGTATACAGTAAATATATCTAACTTCGACAGTTTTACCTTAATAAGCTCTGGGAGAAAAACATAATCTTTTTTCAGCTTTTTTTTTTTTTTTTTTTTGTGAGATAGAATCTCGTTCTGTCACCCAGGCTGGAGTGCAGTGGCGCAACCTCAGCTCAGTGCAACCTCTGCCTCCCAGGAGGTTGCCCTGAGCCAAGAATTAAGCAATTCTCCAGCCTCAGCTTCTCGAGTAGCTGAAATTATGGGTGTGTGCCACCATGCCTAGCTATTTTTTGTAATTTTAGTAGAGACAAGGTTTCATCATGATGGCCAGACTGGTCTCGAACTCCTGACCTCAAGTGATCTGCCCGCCTTGGCCTCCCAAAGTTCTTGGATTACAGGCATGAGCCACCGTGCCCAGCCTCTTTTCAGCTTTTTAAATATGGGAAGTTCTATGGGTAAAAATTACCAATATATAAGAGACATAGTTTTAGAGAGTCATCAATTAGCATGGGGTTTGAACTTGTGAAGGTAAGGATGATGTATTATACTGATTTTATTACTTTAAATATAAACATTGAATATTGACATTGAAAATATTAAAGAAACAAGTATAAAAGAGCAGAAAAAATATATATATATAAAGCATAGGAAGTATCCTTTTTTTAAGATGCCTAGCAATCAGGATATTTTTTATCTTTCCATTTTTGTGCATGCTTAGTGCCTTCTACTAATCATTGAAACTGAGTGTGTTGATGGTCTGATCTGTAAAATGGAGATAATGGCATCTTTACCATACTTACCTAACAAGGATTTGGTGAGGGATAAGACTTCTCAAGGATCTCCTCAAAAACCATTAACATAAATAACAGAGTTTTACTATAACTATGTGGGAGTATGTCCTTTGAAACCCATTAGGGAAGAGAGTGTCAGATGTCTTAAAACTCAGTGTAATATCTCATGCTTGTTCCCAAATGTATGATATTGCTATAGATATTAGTTTTGTTTTCTTTTTAATTGTAGAAGTTAATGTGATTAAATTCTAGATTTTCATACTTCCTTTTAAAAAATTAAACATTTCTTAAATATTTAAGAATCCTTTAGTATTTATAATTTTAAATACCAAAAGAAAAACCAATTTTCCCACACTGCTCCAAAAAATAATTTTTTTCTAAAAGTAAAAGTTTAAATATACTTGGAAATGGCTTGTCAGTGAATGGCTCCTATATAGGGAAGAATCTTCTCTTTTATTTCTAATGATTTAGGCATATATTATGAACTCTTTCAACATGTTGTCCTCCTTCACCTTCCAATGTAATAATATCCTTACCTATCTTTACCATTTTTCTTTGTTCATAAAGGTAGTATTTTTTTTTTGAGGCTTAAGCTAACCCTTGATCTCATTGATCCCACTGTCAAACATTTTATTCTTCAACCCAGGTTTGTTTTTCCAACTACATATTGAGGTCTCTATATTATATATTAGTATATTCATTGTCTTATAGGAACTCATGAAATGTGTGCTGAATAAATAGTGGTCATAGCTGAGATTAAGATTATTTGTCAGAAAAACATGACTATTTCATTAGTTAAGTTGCTTTGACAGTATTTGATTTGATACTCTACATACCATTATAAACAAGTAAGAAAATATATTGGGTAAAACTGTGACGTCAACATTTATAAAACATATTTAAGACTATAGTAAGAAATATGTGGCATATTATGTTGAAAAAACAAAGCACTGTGGATAAACATGCAAGAAGACAGAAATAAGTGAGTATGCACATCCATTTCCTGTATGGGAAGATGAAATTCTCTAAATGTAAATTATTTACAAATTAATTTGCAGATTTTTTGCAATTCAATTAAAATCTCAATAACTATTGTGGTTTTCAACAATGTAAAATCAAAATTTAATAATAATAAAAACTGTAGACTTGGTGATAGAGCAAGACTCTGTCTTTAATTGAAAAAATAAAACATAATATTAATAACTGGCTGGTGATAGTATATTTTAAATTAGTTAAGATGGGATTTACCTTACCAAATATCAAATGAAATTATAAAGCTACAGTTATTGAAACATAAACTATTAAGCCAAGTAGGGTATTAGACCTCAAAAACAAACCTGATATCATAGTTTCATGTATGATAAAGATGACATTTGTCATTTGATTGTAATTACATCTGATTCTAGCTTTGGAAATCTGCCAACACTGTTACTTTCTGAGTAGCTTACTTAGTGGAGTTTACCTGTATTTTTATTTTTTTACAGAACCAGTTTATTCAACTGTTTTTCACATTTTAATTAACTGCATACACACATGCACACACATATAGTATTTTTTATCCTTTCATTGAATTTGTTGAATACAATTTTTCTAAATTTTCTAAAGTATGTTGTCTTACAAAGAAAGTTTTTAGAACAATAAATGTGACGTTGATAGTTATTTTAATTTTTCTCACATCTAACACAACTTGCATTTTGAGTTTTGGTTTTCTTTTTAAAATAAAGATAACTGAGAAGTCGGTTTTGTTTGTTTGTTGAAACTTTTGGTGTTAGTTTTTCTTTTATTGCCTTTAGGTCAAATCAGCTCCTTTGTACAAGTTGTTCTTTTTTGAGATGAAATTAAATTACTCTTATTTTGCAATAAACTCCATATTCAATTTTTCTAAATGGGCTAGGGATACATGAATAAAAGGTGAATTATTTATTAGGAGGGAACAAAGTTCAGCGTTTATTCCTCAATTTTAGTAAAATTCCTGTGACCTTATTTCTCTGTTTCTAATTGATTGATAAAAGAACTGAAAGCCAATATGTTAAATTTTCCTGCTAACTATATATTTCTATCTGATTATCACTTTATTTTTTAAAGTTTTGTTAAACCCATTTTGATACTAAATTATTCAGTTCGCACATTTTGCAACTATTCTGTCATCACATATTAGATCTTTTGGTCATTCTTTTTGTGTTAACTATTTGCCTTCTGTTTTATGTCTAAAATTAACACTGCCATTTCTGATGATAGGGAGGGTCCTTTACCTTTCCTTCCTCCTCCTCTTGTTCTTCATCTTCTTCTTTGCTCCTCTGATACTTGTTCCTACTATTAACTTATTTTCTTGTAAACAAGGTATATTAAAATTGTCTTTATTTTTTTCTTCTACAGTTATTATAGACTTTTATTAATTGTCTATATCAACATATATTATTGTCACAGCCCAAGGTATTTTTGTTTTATTTTCAATATTTTGGAAGGTTATCTCTTTAACATTCCTTTTAAAAATTACCTTTTTAATGAAATAAGAACAAAATATAATTTAACTGTGCTATATATAAGAGGAGGAATTTTGCATGTTTTTATTTTCCCATCCTTTTCTTTGTAAATATGTATGTTATGTTTAGAAGTTCAGTCAAAGAAAAGAATTCCTCTCCTGTTTTACTCTCAGAAGAGAATGACCTTTGTTCCATAATGCTTTAGGTTTTAGTGTGTATCCATGAGAATGATCTCTATTCTGATTAATAAATGTGGAAATACTGGATGCTTATATGAGTACAACCTGGCATTCTAGAAATTATGGGAATACAGGAATAAGAAAAGAAAAATTTTAATTTCTATGCTAATCAAGTTTGATTTGGAAATGTTTTAAGGAGACACATCTCATTATGTAAAAATAAGGTCTTCCCATTTAAAAATATAGAAATTTAATAAAAACATAAAACTAAAAAATAATTCCAAAATATTAAATTATTATATTAAAGTATTATTTTGTTTTAAGAATAATTTTGACCCATTTAGTTTTGTAAACAAATCAGCTAGATTTAATTTTGTGATTGTTTAGATTTAACTTTGTAAGTGATTTTTAAATCATTTTATAACATATCTCTCTATTCTTTATTTTACATTCTCAGGCTACTTGAATATTCAAATATTACTTTTAAAAATAGCACATAGATGATATATTTCTGGAACTTTTGCTTTATATATGAATATCATTACATTGCTTATTAACAGAAATAATATCTTTTTGGTTATAAAGTTTCAAATCCCAACATTTTCCTGTAAGGAATTATAGATACTTAAACCAAAGGAAGAAAGATATGTATGAGTCAATTCATGGTCTTGCTGTATGCCAAATGGATCTGATTTAGTTCGTACAATTCCACAGGGCAAAACTAAGATGAAAAGGTAGAAGCTATATAGAAAGTTAGCTGGGTAAAATGTTGATCTCTCTAACACTGAGAGCTTTCTAAAAATGGAGGTAGAACTGCCTTCCAAAGTCATAAAATACAGGTATTCCTGCAGTGATTTGGTGCCTACCTTTCAAAATATTGTGCAAAGATAGTTCACACTAGATAATTATAAAAGGTAGGAACTCCTCATTAGGTGAGTATCTGGCTCCAAAAATAAAGGATTCATCTTTTTTCAAAGCCAATATGTTGCTCTGTAATTTGTAATTAGATGGAATCATTAGGATATGACTACATGTATTAAGCTCCTATCATCTATCGATCTGATGATCTATTTATGAATGACTATTTATTTATATATTTATTCTAGATAAATAATAAAGCCCTAATTACTCTGGATAATTAATAAATAGTGTATTATTCATCAAAGTGTTGTGGCTTTTTGCTAAATTGTGGAAAGGGCAAGTTTGCATTTCAGTATCCTGTAGATGTTATGGCTTCTTTGCTGCCATCTTTCCTGAACCTTCCTTTGACTATCAGACATATGGCAAGCTAGGCATTCATATTGCTCACACTGGAATCCCCAAAAGGATAGTAACCAAAGCAAAAGCCCTCTGGTGGAAAATCTGTTTGCAACTTCATTACATAGTATGTGGCTGTTAACTAGAGGGATTCTAAACAGTCTTTTAGGAGTCATTTTATACTTTTTTTTTTTAATTGCTGAGTTTCAAGTGTTACTTGTGTATGTAGTTTAAATATTTAGTGTTTAACATAGGAAAAAAGAGAACATTGATTTTATTGTTAAAGAATACATACCAGCCACATAGAAGGGGAGAATGGAACAATATAGATTCTGCATTTCCATTTTAGAGAAGTACAACTAATTGTGTAATTTACCATTCTTATTTTAAAATGAGACATAAATTATAGCTGGGTCAGATGGGATGAAAAAATTAGAGGAAAATAGCAAAAAGAAGTTCAACCTTTTTCTTTCCTTGAGCAGCTGCTCTATCTCTCCTAAATAATAGGGGACCATGGTCCATGGAATTTAGTAAAACAGAACCAAAAGCCTAATAATGTTTAAAGATAGCTTGAGAACCACTGGGGATGTCTGGATTTTACTTCTTGTTCTGCCAGCTCCTATTGGATTTGCATACATTATCAGAGCTTCAAGTTTCTGATCTGTACATTGGAAGGCATATATCATATAATAATAATGGCCCTTGATTTATTGAGTGCTTAGTATGTGCCAGACACTTTGCCAAGCTCTTTAGATCGATTATTTCATTAAATCTTCATAATAATCCAATGGGTTAGAAATTTTCCACAAACTGATACTGAGATTAGATCTGCAGCCTACCTACAAGCTGACTGATACATATACCTGAAAACTATACAAATATTAAAACCCTACCTAGTTCTAAAATTGTACGAAAAATTGGCTTAGTACTTACTAAGGTCAATTGCACTTTAAATTGCCTATTCCTGATAAAAGCCATTGATTAACTAACTACACTCCTCCTGGATAGCCCTGCATTCTTTCAGCCCTGGAAGGACCTTTGGACAAATGCATCCAAGGGATGGATCCAAGGGATGCACTGGATCATAATATGCAGTTTCCTCTCTTTCTTTCTTTCTCTTTCTCTTTCTTTCTTTCTTTCTTTCTTTCTTTCTTTCTTTCTTTCTTTCTTTCTTTCTTTCTTTCCTTCTTTCCTTCTTTCCTTCTTTCCTTCTTACCTTTTTCTTTCTTTCTTTTTTCTTTCTCTCTCTCTTTTTCTTCCGACCCTTCCTCAATGATGTGTTCTATTTCTCTTCTTATGCCCTTGAATCAGAGAAATTAAAAAAAATCCTCTGTTTAAGAAAGACTCTACCTGGTAAGAGAAAAAAGCGTGCAAATGATAATTAATATAGCAGACGTGCATTGTATGTAACATACTGTAATGGAGGTATATATAAGAGACTGGGAAGACATTTCTACTCTACCAGAAGTAGGAGGAGAGGAATACAGGGAAATCCTCACAGAGGTACTAGATGGGTCTTGAAGAGTAAATTGGTACACTTCAGATAGGCTAGAGATGTAGCTGAGCTTTCCAGACCCAGAGGGTAGAACCTGAAACAACCACTCTCGTACTATTTAAATTCTGGATTTTACCTTGCAGGTTGATGAAATTATTTTGGATACATGTTTTTAAATCTCCAATGAGATATATTCAGAATGCATTCCAGTGGACCAAATCTTTCTGTGGCCTTGGCTGGATTGTGAGAATAAGCCATTTAAGATTTAATAGGTTTATGCTTTTAAATTTTGGAGGAACTTCTGGTGTTATGTAGATACAACATGAAGTCATTCCTGGAGATTGATTTAGCATCAATTTTCAGAGTGACAATGATTGCCATACTGGAGAGATGACTGATTTTGGTGATTGTCCATTGTGAACACTTACAAATTTTGAAATTCAAAATGGCCATTTGTTTCAATCTTATGGAATTTTCATTTTAACATCATTTCAATTTAACAAGTTTCAAAAGGAATCTCATTATTTCTATTTTTATTTTTTGCACTACTAGTAAAATTGAATATATTTCCCTGCTTATGGTCAGCTTTATAATTTTCATGAGGTTTTCACATTGCTTGCTTGTGTGTTTTGCTCATATTTCTATTTAAGGAATTTTAAAATTGTTGATTTATAAGAATGCTTTATATATAAAGGGTATTTATATTTTGTTCATTATATTTATTGAAATATTTGTTAGTGTTTCAATCTACATAATTTTTAGTATATTTTCTCTCATTAAGAAATTTTAATTTTCACTGCATTTAAAACTATTGGCCTTTTCCTTTAGACTGTATTGACATTATGTTTAGGAAGAATTTTTTTACAATTCTCATACAATCTGTTACAATTTTATCAAATTGCTAGAAAAGTTCTATTGGTATTTTGATTTGTATTGCATTTAACATATATAGTAATTTGAAGAAACTTGACATTTGTAAATATTCTTTAAATATTCAGACTTACCATCCAAGAACATAATAAATCACTGTAATTATAATTTTAAAAATCTCACAATAACATGTTATACCCTTTAATAATAACAATGTTAAATTAATACCTAAGTGTTGTATTTGTTTCTTGCTAATCGGTTTCTCATTTACTGGCCCCCTTTCCTGCTCTTCTTTCACCTCCTTCAAATATAGACATCCAAAACTTCACATCCTTAATCTATTTTGATTTGACTTTTCTATATGGTGAGAAATAGGACTCTAGTTTTATTCCTGTGCATATGGATATCTAGTCTTCCCAGCACCTTGTATTGAAGACTGTCCTTTCTTCAAGGTATGTTCTTGGTGCTTTTGTCAAAAATGAGTTGGTTGCAAATGTGTGGTTTTATTTCTGGGTTCTCTATTCTGTTCCATTGGTCTATGTGTCTGTTTTTATGTTGCTGTTTTTGTACTATAGCTTAGTAGTATATTTCGATTCCGGTAGTGTGGTGCCTCAGGCTTTGTTCTTTTTTGTTTTCTCAGGACTGCTTTCGCCATTTAGGGTGTTTAGTGATTCCATACAAATTTTAGGACTTCATTCTATCTTTGTGAAGAATGTCATTAATATTTTCATAGGGATTAAAAGCTATATTTCATGAAGATAGAAAGTAAATCGGTGGTTATCAGAGGCCAGGAAGGGTATGGGGAAGGAAAGATAAAGAGAGGAAAAATGGGTACAAAAATACAGTTAGAAGGAATAAGACATAGTGTTTGATAGCTCAGTAGGGTGACTTCAGTGAATCATAATCTATTTTACAGCTATTCGAAACAGCTGTAAGATAATTCTCCAAATATTCCCACATAAAGAAAAGGTAAATATTTGTGGCGATGATGGATATCCCAGTTATCCTGATTTAATCATTATATATTATATGAATGTATCAAAATACTACATGTACCCTTATAAATGTACATCTATTATGTAACAATAAAAAATTCTGGGCCAGGTGCGGTGGCTCACGCCTGTAATCCCGGCACTTTGGGAGGCCGAGGCGGGCAAATCACGAGGTCAGGAGATCGAGACCATCCTGGCTAACACGGTGAAACCCCGTCTCTACTAAAAATAGAAAAAATTAACTGGGCATGGTGGCGGGCACCTGTAGTCCCAGCTACTCGGGAGGCTGAGGCAGGAGAATGGTGTGAACCCGAGAGGCAGAGCTTGCAGTGAGCCGAGATGGCACCACTGCACTCCAGCCTGGGCTACAGAGTGAGACTCCGTCTCAGAAAAAAAAAATTCTGCCTTATTTATTTCGTATAGTCTGATTGTACAGTTTCATCTATCCCAGTGATTACAGCTATTACCTGAAAGTAGATGAACTTCCACACTTACACATCAACCCAGTCAATATAATTACTTGTCATCTTTGCTATCATTGCCACACCAAACTCAAAATATCTACTACAAAACCCATTATCTTATTTTGGGGGCTAAATACTCTTGACTTCCATATTTTGGTTAATGGTATTTCAATATGCATCCAAATTTTTAAAAAGCATGGCCATATTTGTCTTTTTTCTCTCTTTATTTCCATAGGCAATGTACAGGCAGTTGTTAAAGATTTCAGCTCTATGAAGTTTCCAGCATCCATCCCTTTGTCTCCCACTCTCTGTTTCCATAACCACTATCATAGTTTTTGCTCTCCTCATCTCCTGCCTAGATTATTTCTTTGGTGATTAAACTAGTCTTTTTGTTTCCATCTTCTTTTCTTCCATCCCAATCAGCCTGATAAGCATCTAATTAATCTTTATGAAACAAAACATTGATTTGCTGCTGTGGTTTCAAATGCCCCCCTGCAAATTTGGGTGATGAAACTTAATGGCCAGTGTAACTCTGTTAAGATGTGGGGCCTTTAAGAAGTGATTAGGTTATAAGGGCTTCTCCCCTTGTGAATGAGATTTAGGCCATTGTAAAAGAGGCTTCACACAGTGTTTGGTTCTCTTGCCCTTATGCCTTCTTCCATGTGAGACCACAGCATTCCTCCCCTCCAGAGGATGTGAGACGGCAGAATCTTAGAAGCAGAGAGCAGGCCTTACCAGGCAACTGAACCTGCTGGAGGCTTGATCTTGGACTTCTCAGCCTCCAGAACTGTGAGAAAACAAAATTTTTTAAATAAATTACCCCATCTCAGGTATTTTGTTACAGAAGCACAAATGGACATACCATCTCTCTTCTTTTAAGGATCCTTCAGTAGTCCACAGTGGTTGCTTGCCTAACTGAGTGCAAGTCCCTCAATTTAGAAGGCTCTCAGGCCTCAGTTTATTTTCTATTCTCCTTTTCAGGTGATTCTTCTCCTTTTCAAGTCATGACTGTATCTTGAAATAGGACTATTCTTGTTCTTTAGAAATATATAATGATTTCATTCCTCTGACTAACTAGGTAAACTCCAGCTGTTCCCCGAGAGTACCATCTCGCTTATCTCTCCCCAGTGAATGCTACCATCCTTAAAGCTGTATGTAATCGCCCCCTCTTCATATCTTGATTTTGGAAACTTACTGTGGCATGACTTGAATATAAAGCTGTTTGTGTATTTGACTTACCTTCATTTCTAGATGTTTTAGCACCTTAACTGTGGAGATTGATCTTATTCATCTCTCATTTTATTCAGTGTTTTGTGCGCATTTGGAATCATCCAAATAGTTATTAAACCAAATCAAATAGGCTCAATTATCCTTGGAAATGCCTGTGATTCAGACTAAGAAACAAATGCCTAATTTTTATTAGATTCGAAATGTGACTCAGTATAAAACCTAAGGTAATGCTGACTTTTTTTTTTTAAATTTTGCCTTTACCTAAGTCAAGTTTTAATTTAAGGTGAGCAGCTGGGAACCTCTGATTATAAAATTCTGTATGCCAATGGGTTTTTTGTAGTAAAAAAGAGTTATTTGTTAGAAATGCATTAGCACATATAGGTATTCGATTCAAAAGCTGTGATTTATGACTTAGACTGGAATTTTATGGGAACAATGTCATATAATACCTGAAAATGCCATTTATTTTCATGCACTATTTAAATTACACTTATACCAAGTTACAGCAATATTTAAAAAGAAATATTCAGTGCCTCTTCACATTTGCCACATTTTTATCACAGTTGAATTCAGAATTACTGAATGGGAAATATTTCTTCTACAAATGTTACAGTTGAATAATTAATCAAATGAGAAAAATGTTCAGGTGTATATTTTTATCTTCCTTTGTTCTATAATTTTTTTATTTGTAAAATGAATATATTCATGCTTCTGGATTTTTCCTTTTGAGTAGGATTCATAACATATCTCTAAACCCATAGCACATCTCACAAAAGATAATACAAATACAATTTTCTAATGAATGTTGTGAGGGCTAGTTTTCCAAAATGGATTTAGACTGGAATATTCAGAGGTGGAAGTGCTTTAGCTAAAATATTAACTTACTCTGAAGGAAATCTAAAAACAGAAATTAGTATATCCTGTTGGAAAGAAGCAAGTATATATCTTAAAGTCATGGATAACTTGGTATATCAGTGAATGTGAGATGAAATTGAGGTAATGAAGACACTTTCTGAATCTAGAAGAATGATCAGGGATCTACTCAGAGCATTTCTTCATCTTTTATATGTTGTAAAAGTAAAGCATTAAATATCTTAGTTTTGTCGTTTGTCTAAAAATAGCTGCAATTCAGTTGCAATTCAGTGTCTATAATTTTAAATTTGACAAGTAATTGGAAAGTTTAATATCTCCCTTTATTACCAGTAATTTCTAAACTTGCCTGATTATTTATGAACCACCAAATCATATGCTTTTTTTAAATCGGATCCCAACACCTTCCCTCTACTTCCAATTAGGAGTAGCAAATGTATTTTTATTATATATTTACTGCGTAAAACATGATGATTTGAAGTATACATACATGTGTAATAATTAAATTTAGCTAATTAACATTCATTATCTCACAATTATCATTTTTGTGGTGAGAACACTTAATCTCCTCTATCTTTGCTTTTTTTTTTTTTTTTTTTTTTTTTTTAGACGGGGTCTGGCTCTGTCACCCAGGCTGGACTGCAGTGGCGCCATCTCCGCTCACTGCAAGCTCCGCCTCCTGGGTTCACGCCATTCTCCTGCCTCAGCCTCCAAGTAGCTGGGACCTTACAGGCGCCCGCCACCACGCCCGGCTAATTTTTTCTATTTTTATTAGAGACGGGGTTTCACCGTGTTAGCGAGGATGGTTTCGATCTCCTGACCTCGTGATCCACCCGCCTCAGCCTCCCAAAGTGCTGGGATTACAGGCGTGAGCCACCGCATCCGGCCTATCTTTGCATTTTTGAAGAATGCAATATATTGTCATTAACTATAGTCACCATGCTATACAATGGATCTCTTGAATTTATTCCTACTAACTGTAATTACATATTTGATTGACATCTTTATTTGACCCAGAATTTTTGTTTGTTTGGGTTTTTTTCCTTTGGGCTGGAGGTGTTACTTGGTTGTTTTGCTTGCTTGTTTTGCAATGGAGATACAGATCTGGCATGGACTTAGTGGCATCTACACCTCAATTTTTCTGGAGACCGATGGTAGGCATTTCTGATATATCTGGTGATTTGATAGATCAGAGCTCTAGAATGTAGGGTCTTTGTAGATTGGAACAATGTAAACTGTCCCATATGAGAAATGAACTTGTAACCAACACACCAAATGAGTAAGTTAGCAATAAAGGCATCCTTTTTAAAGTTGATCTGAAAAATCTGAAAAGTTCAACTCTTTTTAAGCCGTATTCAGAGCCTTTAGTCAAAAACATTTCTAAATAAATCCAAATAACACTACTTCTAAAAAAATATCCATAGCAGCATTTTATTCTTCATTTGGATCTGTTTATATGACATCCTACTGTGTGCTCCTGGTACCCAGGAGTCTTATTTTCTCATAGAACTTGCTTTTGTGTGATAACGGACAAACAAGATGATTTTAAATGGTGAACCTGTTCTGAAAGCCAGTATTATACTTTTTAAAGGACTTATGGTTGAAAGAGTTTGAAAAATGTTGTGTTAAAATTCAACCAGTTTCTTTTCCAAAGGACTACAGTCATCCCTCAGTATCCACAGGGAATTGGTTCCAGGACTCCCAGAGATACGAAAATCCCAGACTCTCTAGTCCCTTATATGAAATGGCATAGTATTGGCATATAACATACATACATCCTCCTGTAAACTTAAAGTCATCTCTAGATTACATATAATACCTTATACAATGTAAACTCTATGTAAGTTGTTGTTATACTGCACTGTGTATGGAATAATAATGACCAGAAAAAAACTTTGTGCAGGCTCAGTATACATGTAACCATCCTAGTTCATGTCATCCAGAAAGTAATATTTTCTGGAATTTTAAAAATATGATCTGTAGCTGGTTGAATCAGCATATATAGATCTCATGGATACAGCAGACTGACCATACTTAGAATTTTTAATATTTTAATCTTTGTTATGAATCTCCAAGAGGAAAACATAGTATGTAGCATTTCACAATATAATTTGTCTGTGAAAATCTCTTTGCACAGACTATGCAGCAGCTCCACTGTTCAATAGAACATACTTTGTAAATGCTGTTCTACAACATGCATAACTAACTATGAAGGGTATAAACCTACGAATTCACAGCTAGAAAAGCCACATATCTAGACTATGTTTCATGATAGCTTTGTGAAAGAAGTTAAACTGATTTGCCAAAACAGAACCTTAATATAATCTTGATAAAAGATCTATGTGACAGGCATTCTGTAGGAAAATTATAATTTAAGGAATAGGTATTCACATTGCTTCCAACAAGAGAAATAAATGTATTGACAATTTGAGAGCAATAATATGAAATTTTACTTGGCATTATTCTTGCTATTTATGAGACCTTAAAAAAGAACCTCTAAAATAAGGAATAAGGCAAGCATATCCATCATTTTGAAATATAAAAGAGTGTAACTGAACAAGAAGCCCCATTTTTTATGCAGGCTAAAGAAAGAGCAAGTATGCAGAAAGCCACTCGTTAGTTTTTCTGAATATTAAGCTTTTTGAAAGCAAGAATTATATCTTTCTAGGGCCTACATGGGTGCCTGCCTGGCACAAAAAGACATCCACAAATACTTCTTAACTTCAGTTGAATTTAGAGAATTGTCAGGCAATAGTTAACAGGATAGGGCCACTAAGGAATGATATTCATAGGGTCAAGTTGTCCTGGTTCTGCAAAAGCTAATCCGGCTGCAAATGCTGCCTGAAAACTGGGTGACTGCCTGCATGTGTTATTATTTAAAGGACTAAATGATTAGAATTTCTGGCAAATGGTCACTAGTGAAGACAAGTTTCAGGTTATCCAAGCTAACGTGCAAATTATAGTCTCAGAAAATTTGAAATAAGTGGCACTCAGAAGTAGAAACCTTATTCTTGTGTCTGAAATGGCAAATGGGCTATTTGCTATGGAATGGAGCCTCAGGAAGAACTTTAAATTCCAGGCAGGGAATAGTGAAACATTAGCATATCAGGGTCTCATGGCCTTCACCCAATGCCCAGGGCAGAAATCCAGTTATAGGAGGTAGGTTGTGGCATGAGACATTGGGCTGTGAGATTGTACAAAATTCTTAGAAGCCATGGCTTCTTCAGCTTTGTCCTTCATGGTGGAGAATATAGTTAAACATTAGAATATCAGGGTCTCATGTTCTCCACTCAAAGTCCAGAGCAGAAATCTATTTATAGAAGGTAGGTTGTGGCACGGGATATTGGGCTGTGAGATGATACAAAATTATTAGAGGCCATGGCTTTGTCACATCTGTTCTTTATCGTGGAGAACATGTGACTTTTCCACTTCAGAACAGGCTTGGTTTTGGTGATGTGGACAGAACTGGTTTTCTAGGAAGCAGACTGGCCAAGATTACTAGATAGTGTGTTATATCAAGTCACTGGAGGGCATGATCCACTTCGTAAGTGCATACTTAACTAGCTTAGGGACCTCATTTTTCTTTTACAGATTCTATCCAAATTTCCATAACTAAAAAAAAAATTAGAAATTCAAGATTAAATTCTTAATTCCATGTAGGAACTGTATAATAGAGTTATTGTATTACTATATTATTGTTTGATATTATTTGATACATTTGATATTTGATACTATATTTAGTATTATTTGATAATGTTATATTAGAATTATATATATTTATAATATAATATAATTATGATATTAGAATTAGAATCCAGACCCTAGTCTTCAAATCTACATCTACAAATCTATAACTTGATCTTCATCTCTGTCCCTTTCCAAATTAGACTTTATGTTTAATCTATATTTTAGACCATTTTAAGAATATATCTCCCTCCTCTTTTTCCAAATTATGTCCTTAGGATATCTTAATTCTTATAATAGATAATTATTCTAGTTTTTCAAACCTAGGTACCTTATTTCTGCAAACAATTATCTCAAAATAATATACCCCACTTTTTGTGGTCATATTATGTTTGCGGTTGTTGATCCTGCACTTTAAAAGCAGTTCCTATTTCATGAAGTCATATACTTTCTCAATAACTGACAGCTAAAATGTTAGAAGGGGTCTTTCGGACCAAGACCCATTATAAGTCACCAAATATCTTTTATGGGAGTCAGAATGTGAAGGCTATTTTGGACATCAAGGCAATAAAGGAGACAATATAAACTATGGGAAAATAAGGACATTAGAAGAAGAAAAATATGAAGAAAACATTTCAGAAAAAAATAAGACTTCCAAGACTCTCTTCAAAAAGTGTCTTTTCTATGGTGGTGTTTGCTCTTATAGAGAAAACTGTGAAAACAGTCATGCATAAGGGTATGAACAGGAGTGCTATGTTTAGAACACATGCACAAACTTATCAAATATTTTCTTTTTCTTTTTTTTGTGAATCTTGATTTCAGTTGTCTTTATTTTCACAACTTGAAAAATTCTTTAGAAATATTTTAACAGTGTATTAACCCCAATAGGCACAGGAACTATTTAATTTCTATTTGGTGTTTAACTTAAAGGATAAATTACCTAATTAATTTTACTAGAATTTCTTATTTCAGAAGTTCATTCCAAGTAAGGTATTGTAACTTAAAAAATAAACTACATAAAAATAATACACCACTCAATCAATTCACATATAGTATATATACAGTATATAATATGTAGTATTATTTATATTATATGTATACATTTAGTATATTACATATTATATATTTTATCATGAATTTATTGACATCAGCACTGATGATTTGTGTAACTACATTAATAAATGTCTATTCCTTGCTTTTCTCATTGATGCAAAACAAGGGCATTACAGTTTTTTATGCCATTTTCTGTTTAGTTTATATAATGTGAAGGATGTTGGCATGTAAATTGAAATTTCATGTGCGCAAGAGAATAAAGTTTAAAATATCACCTGAATATCACCCGATATCTTTTTTCTTTTATATGATGGGAAATTTCTAACTTACAGATCCATTTATTTGAATAAATGGTATTTTATTTTAAAAGTGACAAACTATAAAATGTAGTGACTTCAATAATGATCATAAATGAGCCATTTTAGTTCTAAGAAATATTGCTGCCAGTGGAAGTCCTTGCTGTATTTAGGGGGAAAAAATCCCAATAGATAATGTACTGTATTCCATAAATTCTCAAAAAATGAATATTTAAATAGATATAATTTTTGGATTGCATTCTCAACTCAAATAGTTTTGCTTCATTTGCAATTTATGGTCAGTGGGAGTTTATCTGTAGTGATGGTTATGTTGTCAACACGAAAATCATATTGAAGACATTTTACAATGCAACCGCCATTGCAATTGCTCTTTCTGTAGAGATGGATATATAAGTGAGTTATGCTACACATTCTTTTTTCTACTCTTTCTTCATTTAACTATTTGATAGCACCTTTTTACTAACAACCACTCCTCCCAGAATCATTGAAATAATATGCTTAGAACTTCAGAAAATCCCAACAAAATTCTGTCTTTTGTTTTTAAAAGGTCCAAAATTTTATCCTAGTTGAAAATGTCATCTGCAAAATCCTGAATTAGAAAAGCTATCCATGGGTTGTGGACTATGAGGCCACATTTATTTATTTTGACTGTTGTGGATGTAATAAATCATTCTAAAATAATGTTGGCATTTATGCATTCCACTAACATGACAGTTTAACAGCCTGTCCCATATACTGCTGCTTGAGTTAAGGATTTGCTATCACATTTTCCAGCTTAGTTCTCCCAGTCTTAACACACCAGACAGGGGTAATGTCAATTGCAGAAGTGCCAAAAGAGCAAAAGATGGCTAATGTGTTCATTTTTTATGGGCAATTTAAAACTCCATGCCATTGAGCACATTTCTCTGAGTGACTCTCATAGCTCACAGTGTTTGCTTCTTTATTCTTTCTCTGGGCTACATGAAGCCTTTTTTTGCTGCAGGTATGGCTTTCAGTTTGATTTAAGTCTGTTTTCTCTGCCAACCGACAGGTGCACAGAATGCATTAGCAAGAAAGATATCATAATTGAAATCAATACCGTGACTATGAAGAGTGTTTCTATGATGGAGTTCTGGTCCCGCGTATTTTATGTGCTGCCATAACCATGTTGATATAGTGGATTAGACACTTCCATCGATTCAGTTCACACACACACACAAAGACACATGCACAACCCTTGACTAACATTTTTTTTTACTGAATTTATTGTGGCCTCCCAGTTGTTTGATTAAATTGAACCAATCAATACATGAAAAGAAAATATTCACTTGCTCTTCCAGCTCAAAAAATGTGATTTAAGCACCACAATGAATGCTTTTTTTAAAATATAAAGGTTCTAATTCCCATGTGCAAATGAGCATAGATTTCAATTTATCACTGCTATATGCGCAACATTTTTACCTCTTGACTTCTAATCATTGATTCTTTAAACTTCCACAATCATCGCCAACTGCCCATATTTTCCTCCAGTAATTTATAAGATACACTTTACCCAGCACTTTTCCCTTCTACTATGTCCTGTTCTTTCAAGTGTAAACTTTTGACCTCTCTGTATTTTATTTTTCTATATGAAATGGGAAATTCTAAAGGAGAATGTTATTGTTAGATATCATAGCTATATAACCCACCTCTGAAATTATTTTCTGGCTTTTGAGGGTATCTTGATCAGGTAGCGTCCTGGCCCTGATAATAGAGAAGCAGCAATATCAGCCATTCTCAGGATATCCCTGCCTTGTTTATGGCCAATAAACCATGAGAAGAATTATGACATTTCCTGTAGAAGAAAGAGGATCTCTTCACTTTTAAAATTCCCCATGTCCTTAAAAAAACAAGAAGGATGTACAGAACATGTCATTTAATCCCTCTGGTGCTCACATTTAAACACCAGTTTTTAGAGTTTTGGAATATATACTTACTGTGTGTTTATAATTAAATTACATTTTATAGAAAGATTGAGAAATAAGCTGATTTGTTTCCATTCTGTGATTAGTATCTTTTTTACTCTAGCATCACATTGCCAAAAGAGAGTAGAGCATGTGGGTACCATTGGCTCTACTTGCAGAGCATGAATTTACACTTACATTTGGACAATTATACCTTACAGCTTTTCTGTTTCCTTCATATATAAAATAGCTACATTAGTAGATGACACTATTTTCTTAGTATTCCCCTATTATAGAGCTATACCTCTGTGGGCTCCTAGTAAATTCTACAGGCTAATGGGAAAGAAAATGAGAAAATGGGCCAGATGGACCTATAGTACCATCTTTGTATTGTCATTCATATGGAGTTGGAAAAGCTCCCTGAGGGACTTTTCTGAAACACATTCTAAGATTTTTCTCTAAAGATAATGGAATTCAATAGTTGGAATTGAACAAATTTTCTTCGGGTAGACAGAAGAATCCTTTAGTGTATTTTCAAGTGTAGACAAGACTTTGCAAACTGACACAACATCCTTGGAAACTGAGGTTGACAAATGATTGGGAATGACTGCCTTGAATACCTGTACAACTTTCACTATTATCAGCTGTCTCTTTGTTCAGGCAAAGAGAATGTCATGGTCCATCAGCAATTTTGTTCCATTGCTTTTCTGCATGAAAGTATAAAGAATTTCTTACTCAAGCAAAGTTTAGATTTACTATGAAAGATGCTGACATAATTTTTGAAACTTCTTTCGATAGCTCTTACTTTCTCTCTACTCCAATATTAAAATTGTATCCTCCTATCTAATACTTCAAAGTTTTGTTCAAGTAGGAAAATATATTTTTTTGATTAATTTCCTCATATCTTCTAAGATATAAGTCAAAAAATCCTCCTGTGTCTTCTGAGCACATTTAAGATGTATGTCTAAAAGTAAAGCTTGGTCTGTTCTTTTAAAATATAAAATTGAGGATTGAATTAGGGAACACTGCGTACTTTAATTGCAAATAATGCAAGCTAAAGGATTGCCATTTTTTCCATCGAGCAAATTCACCATACTGTGTGGAGTGTAAGTTTATAAAAGCCATTTTTTCAGAGGTAAAGGAATCCAGTACTAACATAAAATGTTTAAAATAAATATATAACCACTGAGAATATTTATGATGTCTGGTGATTCCTAGAGATATTTATTTTTATTAAGTATTTCATAAGTGACCACTTATAAACTGAGCTAGATAATAATTTTACATTTATTGACTAATAGAGAAGAAGAAAGGGAAGATAAATGTTTATTATACAAATGTCCTCTGCTTCTTTTAAAGAGAAAAAAAAGGATCCAGGAAAAATGTGTTTGCTTCTTAATAAGTCACTATTCTATCACTAGTTGCCAAATAGATAATTAGAAAACCAGGCAGAAGAAAGGCATGCTGGCTTATTTCAATTTTTGTGCTTATCTGTTTATTTCCTTGAAATTGTTTGATCACTCTGGCTTTTCATTTTCTGTATTTTTGTGGCTGCATGGACTATTTCTGAAGATTGGCTCAATACATCAGAATACCATCTATCCTGCCTTGTTAATTTTTTTTCTAGAAAAACACAGGGGTTCCTAAAATAACTCTACTTCCATCCTCCTTTATTGAAGATTCTCCAACAAATTGAACTCTCTAGGAACTTTCATTTAATGAGGATGACTAATGTTTACTTAGCTTTGAAGGCATGTATTTTGAAGTGTCCAAGAGTAGAATCTGTTGAAGTGGGTGAGTAATAACATAAGAATGTGTTTGCTATGCTTTGCTTACAAATGTCATTGCACAGGGCAAAACTTTGCATACAGTTTCAGATTCAGAGTGACCATGAAAAAATTACAGATAAATTTTAGTTCTCTGTATATTTGGTCTGCATAATTGAGTGTGTATGTGTGTGTAAGGATCCAGTATGAGAATTTTCAAAGTAAGTGCTTTCTCTACTATGACAAAGGATTTGTTATAGACAAATTCCTTGATAAACAAATTTATTCACATTCTCATTGAAATGTATCTGGTTCAGTGCTGTCAGTAAAACTTTCTGCAATGATGGAACTGTCCTATGTCTGTGCTATTCAGTATGGTAGGTACTAACCTCATGTGGCTTTTGAGTACTTGAAATGTGGCTAGTGTGACTGAGGGTTTGATTTTTAAATTTTATTTAATTTTATTTATCTTAAATTTAAGTAGCTACTTATAACTGGAAGCTACTGTATTGATCAATGCAGATCTAGTTGATATATGGATGCATACTTTACATGATTAAAATCAACATTCAGTATATGCATGTGTATGTATATGTATATAGACAAGAATCTTTAGATACCCAAAACTATAGGAAGATACACAATTTTTTTCTAAATCCAGTTCATATGTACATCGTACATGAACAGAATGAAAGAAACCAGTTTTATCAAAAGAAGGAACATGTAGGAGGCCATAGCAGATAGCAGTTGAGAGTCTAGGCTTTAGAATATGTCAAACGGGTTCAAATCCTAACTCTGCCCCTCATTTGCCATGCTAACTTAGACAAAATATTGAAGTTTTTTTAGTCTCATTTTCCTATGCTGTAAATGAAACTAATGAGATTATGTATATATAATGTACTTATTACTCAACACAGAGAAATAGTGAGTTTAATAACAATCCTGTTCACGATGGTGTTGTCTTCATACATATTGACTTATTTAGCAGTCATAGGACTTTTATTAAAAATACTATCTCCATTTCTCAGATGGAAAGACAAAGCTCAAAGTTATTATTTTCAATTTTACTCAGCTAATCCAAAATTTGGATTACTTCTAAATACATATTCCTTTCATTATGCTACAGTGTCTTCTTTGGTAGAAACCAGCTAAACTCCAGTTAAAGTCTAAACTATTAGGTTGGTGCAAAAGTAACTGCAGTTTTTGCCACTGAAAGTAATCGATAAAAAAAAAAATTAAGCATGAGAATGCAAAGCAGAATACTAACCTGGACCTTTAAAATAGAGCAAGGAAGAAAGGAAGGAAGGGAGAGAGAGAAAAAGGAAAGTAAGAGTAAATTTAGCAAGCAAGAAAGGAGGAGACAACCTCTCCTGAATTAATATTTGAGGAATATGCATTTGCTCATTTCTGGGAGAAAGAAGGAAGAGTGAGTGGGTAAGAGAAAGAGAGAGAGTGTGAATCACATGAATATGAATGGTCTGTCTTGAGAATACAAGCCTTGCCTGTCTCTTCTGACTTCTTCAAAGTAAGAAATGCAAGAAAAAGTTTGCAGAAGATATAACTTTTTAAAAAGTATAACTCTGTCCATTGTTAATTAGTATCTCAGGCTTAGAGTAATCAAATTAGCAGCTCCTTCTTCCTTAGAATTGTGGTAGAGAGAGCAGAAAAAGGCCTGATCACAAGAGGGTTCAAGTTTCCTCTCCTTTGTTTGACAATGGCAGGAAAACCATGGCAGTACACCTTTAAAATTATTGTGTGTATTTTACTCCCTTAGTGGTACACAATTTAACAGGTGCTCTCTGGAGATGAGAGGGATTATATTTATAACTCAATGGCAGGGAAAATACTGTCCTCAAACTAAAAAAAAAAAAAAAAAGGAATTTGGAGTTTTCTTGGTAAATCCAACTAATCTAAATCACGATTACAAACCAATCAGTAAGTGACCCTGATGGGCTACGGTAATTAATTGCAAAAGCACAAGTAGTGTATATTTGTATAGTCCATGTTGACTGAATAAATATTATTTAGCCTGTACATATTTGCTGCAATTTTTAAAGGCTTACAGGTACAGTATGATCAAAGATTGATTTAGAACAGAATTAAGAGTGCTTATGAAATTTGCATTTTCTCAATCAACTTACATGAAAAGTACAGGCAAATGCTTGGGGAGGAATCTTCATCATTTCGAATGAATAGAACCATCATTTAGAATGGTACCACTAAGCTGGATCTCAGTTCTTGGCTCTATTATAGGCTTCATGATAGTCTTTCTGGAGCTAATGTTCCTCTCTTGGTTATGTGATATTTGCCCTTAAATTTAGACTTCCTGTTTAACCAGATAGAAATCTCATGAAAAAAATAAAAATATAATATTTCTCCAAATATCACAAAATACTCATGGAAATGATTTGTATCAGGAACATGGATGTGAGTCCAACATTCATAAAACTCTACCAGTTTTACACCTAGTGGCTTTCTTCTCTCTTCTCTCTCTGCGTCTACATAAAACACAAATTTACATAGGTGCAGAAGATTGTAATTCTGTCACATTAAGTACACACATGCAGCTCCTGCATTTAAAGTAATATGGTAACTTTTTAAAGAAAAACTACAAAACTTGCTGTTAATTGTAATGGCACAAAAACAGTATTTATTGGCATCTCTCTCCCAACTCATTAGTTCATATGAACAGCATCTATTATAAAGAAAGCCAAGTCATTCTTTATTTTTTTTATTCTTACAGCTACATTTTCCATATATTAATATCACATCAAAGTGATGGAGTTCGAGGATAGAAAACAGAACAATAAAGTAATATTATTACTTTATTAGGTTCTACTTCACAAATCTGTGGTCTAGGGACTAGAAAAGTATGAGAAAATTGCTCAGTATTTTTGCCTTGAGCTGTATATATTTACTTAAAATATGCTGAATCAATGCTGTAAGTTATTGAGACACATGGCTAGAGCTGTAGCCACCTCCAAGAGCTCAAAGCCATTAGAAATTGGAAAAATATTGAAATATCTGGACCTTGAATTTAATACATCCAAGTCAATGTGAATTACTCATGGCAGAAAGAACATAAATTGTTTCCCTCTTTAAAGGGTAAAGGAAATTAATTCAGTATTTCTTCTTGTTTGCATTAAAGTGGCTTTAGGGCATGTTAATTGGAGATTCTTTTGAATTATTTATACTTGTAACCCTAAAGCTAAGGAGATAAGTTGGTGGAATTTTTTATTTTTCAGTGAGTAGTTTCATAGCTTGCCTTCCATGATTATAAGCCTGGGAGGATGAATCTGTTTACTTATCTGTTGAAATAAAATATAAATACACTGAGAAAAGTGTTCATTTACTGAAATATGTCCATTATCTGATTAACCTTGCCATGGTATTACTGCATCCCATCATACTCCTGGTATATTCTAGAACAGCTCTGATTTCCTTTTTCTGATGTACTCTTTCAACATAGAAAATGTTTTAACCATATACTTATACAAAATTCCTCCGAGACACAGAGAGCTTTACCGTTACAACTTACCTTAACATTGACTTAGAATTCAAAAACGTTTATTAAATTAAACTATTACTAAAGGTGATTTTATTTTTGTATTTTCATTAAAATAAATACACAAGTCATAAAACAAACTATTTTTAAGACCATTAGACAGTAAATCCTGATTTTTATTTCAGAAAATATGGCCATTATACCTAGTGTAACAAAAAGTTCATGAGACCACCTGCAGTATGAAAAGAAATTCCCAAGGGAAATTAAAGCTAAGAGCTAGTGGGAAGTGTCTTGAATTTATATGTGCATGACAGATGACTCCAATGGAGACAGAATGAATGATACATACAAGTCTGAGAGCATCCTTTTAGCACCTTAACCTAGGCCTCATATATATCAGTTATTCAATATATATTTGATGTATGAAAATCTCTAATGTGTTAAAACTAAAGTCAATGTCATCGTAAAATGTTTAGAGAATGGATAAATAAGATCACGAAAGGACGCTTTGAAAAATTGGGATGAAAGATTGGCAGCACAATTTCATAACTGCTTTCAAGATTACATAAGCTTATTACAGGTATTTTTGCTCTCTGTCGTGAATAGAACAGGAAGAAATATGACATACGGAACACATGCATTTATCTCTACTCTCTCCTGCAACTTCATTAAATTGGTTGTACAAGAACAAACCCAGAAAGGACAAAGAAGAGAGTTAATAAGAGTAGAGAAATGATATCAATAAAATGATGGGAAATGGAAAGCAGATGGTCAAGTGCTAAGGACTTAGCAGAGCAGAGGAAAAGGAAGCCTAAATGCCTGCAGAAGATGAAGCATGTGTGAGGTGAGCTTATTAAAGGTGCAGATCCCCCAAATGCTCAGAAATTAGACATTATATGCCTATGAGTACATAGGTTAATGAAGAGACTGAAAACTAGAGTATTGTTCAGAAATCTAATAAGAAGCAGTTAAAGGCCTAGGTCTCCCCACCCAGCCAACATAGTGATAGCAAGTTTATTCTCCGTAGAAGTAAGTGAGGAAAGCTGTGTACTCCAGGAAACCAGATACAGTGAAAGAAAGGGGAGGCACCGTCTTGAACCCAGGAAATGAGAATTAACTATGAGTCTATCTCCCTACCCCTCACATCTTTTCTCCTCTTTACCTCCTGCCCCCAAGAACCTTGAAATAAAGGTTATAATTCTAGCTTCCTTAAATAGCAGATTGCAGTTATATCCTGAAGAGAAAGCCCAGTGAATAACTAAGATTTGCCGTAAGATATATCATCATAAAAATGCTTTGAATAGATTTAACACAGTCTTAGGATTTGTGTCTATAAATTCAGTTGCATATAGTTCTCCTCCCCCACCCCACAGGCAGCAGTTAGAGTAGGTTACTGTTATTTTTGGTCCTAAGGCTTGTGGTGATTTTTAAATCAAAACGAAAATTCAAAACATAAAATTCTCTTTTAATTGCACTTGTAGTATAAATGGACAATTATATATTTATAAAATCTACATGTTCTTAGGAAAAACTGTATGCATTCTGACATTAGTTTTTACAAAAAGTAAACCAGCAGTAAAATAATGGACAGTGGCCCAATCCTGCTGTAAAAGCAGCTATACTCTAAGATGGGCATGGAAATTAGGTGCCATTGGTAATATTCACATAAGCCAAAAAGCAGACTTTGAATTTCCAATCTACTTATTCATACATGCATGGAAACATTACCTGGTCTCTGTGAGGCATACAGAAGAGCCAAGTTTCATGCAAAACATTTAAAAAAAAAACACCCTCTTTCTCTTTCAGTTTTCAAAATATTGGCAGACACTGCAAGTCTATTTTTGGAATTAAACATAGCTAATTATTTTTAGGCATGGCACCAAATGTTTATGTCTTCATACTCAGCAATTCTCAAAATTGGTTTCTGGACTTTTCTTTTGAACTCATAAATCTCATATTCCAGAGCTGAGACATATACATAAACTTCAAACGTAGGTACCTTTTTTTAGCTTGTTATGTATCAGGGTGAGGATGAAGAAAGAGAAAGATTATTTAGAATGGAGGGGAACATTTTTGTTATTGAATATTGGAAGTGAGAGAGGAGACTTTTTTTACTCTCTGTGAGGAATTTATTGATAGGTTATGTATTTTATTTTCAAGACCAGTACCTTCTCATTGTAAGAAATGAAACAGGTCCTTTAAAAATAAATAAAATTTGAGGAAAGACTTCTAAAGGCATTAATTAGCCTGTCTAAAATCCTTATAAATCTGCTACAATTTATGTAAAGTAACAGAAGATTGTGAGATTGGTATTTTAAGAATCCTAAATGATATTAAACAGCCTTAATCTTCTTAACAAGCTGTGATTACTTCAATTGACTATGTTTACAGTGGGAAATTGGAAAATGTACTTTCTTTGACTTGAATTTCAGGGCTAACCTGAAAGTACTTTGAGTTTGAATAGCAATTATTTACAGATGATATTAAAAATTACCGTATTTAAAGTGAAAAATTATCATTGTAGTGCTATTGATAATAGCAAATGCATAATGCATGGCACATAAATCAGATTCTATAATTAAACATTTAACTTGTGAAGGTGTAATTTTTAAAACTGTTTCATACCTCTAACAGTTAAAATAAATAAGAGAAATATTTATCTATGCCCACAAAAGGTATACATAATGTGTCTAATGTTGACTAATATCCAGGGTCTAAAATGAAATCAAATAGTTCCATCTTAAGTGAACAAAAACTATCCAACTGTGCAGAAATAGTAGGGTTTGTATGATAACTGGGTTGGGAGAAATAATTAAGCCATTGAACCAGTATAACCTAGTAATTGAAGATTGCTTCCAAAATCACGTTGAAAGAGATTACATTACATCCTTATGGTCTTAATAGTAATGCTTCAGATTATAAACACTGGTATTATTCTTGTCTTTTCAAATTTATGAAAACATAGTTTTTGTGACTTATGCATTTTAAAGAGCTAGTATTTTTATCTATCTATGGAAATATACCTATTAAGTACATAAGTAAACTTGGTATTATGGAGTCATTCTAGTTCAAGATTGCAGAAAACCATAGATAAAAATTAAATAAGTTAATATAAGGTGGTGATTTTTAATCTCTAGATAGACTGCCTTTAGCTTCCCTGTGAGTCATTTTGAAACCTTGGACAGTGCAGGCTGAGACATTTCTCAAAGTGACAGACATTTTATCACAAAGCACTGTTTAAAAGTATTATATTTAGTATCAAACTAGGCATTTTCATATTTTTTGTTCTTGATTTAGATATTACTAAACTTGGAGAAGACATACTACTCTTGGAGATGAGTGCTAAGAAAATGTGCTGATCATTTGGAGGCTTTCCAGGATAATTTCTTTTTGTGTGCTTCAACAGCTTATTCTCAACTTTATAGGTCAAACACTCAAATTCCTGAGATATAATTTCTTCCTTCCTCCTTTTTTTTTTTTTTTTTTTTTTTTTTGAAACAGGGTCTCACTCTGTCACTCAGGCTGGAATGCAGTGGCATGATCTCAGCTTACTGCAACCTCCACCTCCTGGGTTCAAGCAATTCTCCCACCTCAGCCTCCTGAGTAACTAGGATTACAGACAGACACCACCACACCTGGCTAGTCTTTGTATTTTTAGTAGAGACAGGGTTTTTCCATATTGGCCAGGCTGGTCTTGAACTGCCCACTTCGGCCTCCCAAAGTGCTGGGATAACAGGCGTGAGCCACCGCACCTGGCCAGACATACTTTCTGCTTTCTAGAGTAGATTGGAGATCAGCATACCTGGGAAGCTGACACTTTAGACTGCACTTGTTTGCCTAGCTTGGACTTGGAACAAAAGGAAATGGAGATAAGATTTGTTTCATCCAGAAAATGATGAGGAGTAATGAACCATCTGTGCTTTTATAATAAAGATCAATTCTCTGGTGACTAGAATATTTCTGTCACCGAAATGAATGATTTTCTACCTGGTCAGATCTGGATAAATACTGCCATGTTTTCTTCTTTGTTTCTCTTTTAGTTGAAGAATTTTCACTAATATTTATTGAGTGCCTAAAATGTGATATTCAAAGTAGACAAGGCTGTTGTCTCCCCACAGTTAACATTCTAGTTAGAGATGATAAAAAACCAGCAGTGATATGTTAAGTAGGTTAATATCAGGTGTTGATAAGTATTATGAAGAAATAAATTTGGCATTGATGATATGACCAAGAGTAATGGATTGGGATAGATCGGGGAAGGCATCTCTGGGAATGTGACGTTTGAGTTAAGATCTGAGGATGGGAAGTATCAGATGTAAATATCTGGGGGAAAGGAATTCCAGGTTAAAGGAACAGCAAAACACAGGTACATGTCAGAAAAGAAAACATTCAGGTGAGGAACTTACATTCTTGACTCTCCAAATGTGACCATCAGGTTATATCATATGCTATTTGAACACAAATATTTCTTCATGTCACAGATATTTCTTAAATCGCTTAAATGTGATATATACTCCTAGAGGGTATAGACAGGGTCCTGATAATTTCCATATCCCCTAGTCTCTAGAATAGGCTCTAGTGTAGATTTGAGATTTGGGACTCAACACATATTTCTGAATTGACAAGAATAGTCACATATGAAGACCATTGCTTGAAATTCAAGAGCAATATCCTGTTACAAAATTAGGCAGAGGCCAATTGGGCTAGTGGGCCAATTCTCTGTTTGACTGGTCCCTGGTTTTGATGCTGCCATATGCCCTCCAAACCCAGGAAAAAAACATCCCCTTTATTAAAATAAACCGACTCAATCTGTTAGCTAATGGAAAAGAAGATTCTGTTCATGGAACCAAGTGCCCACCCATCCCTTGAAAAAGTTTTGCAAAATTTCTGAAAACTCACCTCTTGCCAATTTCAATGGTCTCTCCTTTCTTTCATAAAAGTTAACATTAAAAACACAAATTCTTCTTGGAAGAGTTGCATTTTAAGTAAGTAACTAATCCAAATGATACTTTGATGAAGAAAAACTCAGTCTAGGTTCTGGAACTGAGGGGCAATCAATCAATGTTACTCCCATACACCAGGCACATACAAGATATGCCTAGGGAACTGCTTTGACCCATCACTATGTAAGGAGAAATGTCGCTAACAATTCACTGAGAGCATGATTAGAATAAGTAACCATGGAACTATAATGGAAAAGATAATACAAAATAGAAAAATATACTGACACAGTTGAAGAAAGAGCATCACAGTATCAGAATGTGTGTGAGTAGGTCCTTTTGTTAAAATTCAAACATAATAAACATTACTTAATCGTATTAGTAATTAATTAATCCATTCCACAAAAGACTCAAAATGACTCACAGGGAATACGTATAATAAAATAAGATAGTGTTTGTGTGTGTGTGTGCATGCACGTGTGTGTATGTATATGTACAACTATAAAGACAAGTAGATACAGACACAGATATAGTTAGAGTAATACATGATGTCTAGGAAAACTACAACTGAGTGACAACTAGTTGCTACAATAACATTGCAATCTGGCTTTGGGTATCCCAGAATCCAGTATTAAAGAGTATTCCATGCAACACTAGCCCTTTGTGGCATTCAATAAAAACGTTCAGTGTCACATAAGCTTTGAAAAGATTGTATATACTCTGTGACCCTTTTTTGAAGATTCAGAATGCACACTAGAATAGGAAAGGCTCTGAGGAACAACCGGAAAAAATTTTTGCTGTATTTTCTTAGCCTGTTGTTTCCCAAACATATTGATCATGTAATCCATTTTTGGGTTTGCTTTTTAAAATTTGTTAACACCCAGTAAATCTCTATGAAATAGTATTCCACCAAATACCCTGAGACCCAGAGGCCTAGTGCTCTTAGTTTCCAGGAAGCTCAAAACAAGTGTTGTGTTCTAATTCTAACATTTTGTGATGTGGATATATCTATTTTATTTCTTCCACTGGTGCTAATGCTTTGTATGATATGGCATTTTTCTTGATGCTGTTTATTATTTTATCTTATTTTCATAATATATACTTCCTATGAGTTTATCACATTCTTTATGGAAACCTTTGATGAGTTACTAATTAATAAAGCAATGCTTACTGTAATTCAGCAATGACTAATTTTCAGAATCCTTCCAAGTATGATTCCAAGCTCCTCACTCCTCCCCTGCCTCACTACCTATTCCTCCTTCAGAACCTAGGCCCAAAAGAAATACCCCTCTTTGTAATGGTTCATAAGAGGAGGCACTGCAGCTATTACTGTCATACTTCAGTGGTTGGAGTCCATCTTTATGCCATGCAAACCAAATAGGTGCTTCCTCCCTTGACTGTTAGCAACAATATCAAAGCATTGCTTAGCAGAGTGAACATTAGGAATGACATAAAAGTACTCTCAAGTAGTTACATGAATTATGTAACACATTGACACAGTGAACACATTGAAACACTATAGTGACATTTAAAATCATCTTTTCGGTGAACACTTAATGTTAGGTAATTTAGTTCACTGCATATTGCTATGTTAAATATAGTCTCAATCATTATAGGTGGAAGGCTATACATTTCATTGTAATTTTAAAGAATAATTTCCTGCTTTTTGTTTTAAAATTTTAATATTTGTTGTGTACCCATTAGGTTCTAAGTACTAAAGTATGTACTAAGATTTGTAGTGAACCAAACAAAGCCCCTGCTTTACAGAGTTTACATTCTATTCACAATAAGCCTGTGTCACTTGTGAAATGAAAAATAGCTAAGAATTATTTTCATGTATCTTTCCATCCCCTACTTGTTTACTGGAAGTTTGAGAATGTCAGTTTGTGCCATGACTCAAGCTCGGGAAAGAGAACATACATTGAGCACTTCATATCTTGCCAGGCACATTCCTACATTCTCAGCCTAATGAGGTACATTATCCCATTTTACATTTGTGAAAATAGAGGCTCACAAAGGTCCAAGGTGATATGTTAACAAAGTCACATGATTTGAGCCAGGGTTTTTCTGCATTGATAGCCCCTCCAGTTTTGTTTTTCTAAACAATATATATGACAATAAAGGAAATGTTAGTGCAAATCCTTTCTGGCGGGGGGGACGGGGTGAGGGAACAGAATTACAGCCACCTCCAGGAAAGAATTGTCACCCTAAAAACTAATTAGTGAGCTTTTGTTTCCAAGTCTTTTCAGTGGTTTTCAGAAGACATCAGGCACATTCAGGGAGGTATGGCTGGTAAACTCTTTTCAGTGGTTTTCAAAGAGTGGATAGCTGATGGCCCTCTGCATCAAAATGTGCAGGTGTATTTGTTACAAATGGTGTCTGTTAGATGCCATATCAGACCTATGGAGTCAAACTTTCAAAGAGAGGGTTATGGGTTGAATTGTGACCCCCTGGAAATTAATATATTGAAGCCCTCATCCTGATACCCTAAAATGTGACTTTCCTTAGAAATAGGCTGATTTAAAATGTAATTAGGTAAGCTAAAATAAAGTCATACTGGAGTGGAGGACTGTATTATAATATGACTGGTGTTCTTATAAAAAGGGGAAATTTGGACACAGGTAAATGCACAGAAAAAATGCCACGTGAAGATGAAGGCAGATGTCTACAAGCTAAGGAACACCAAAGATTGCCAGCAAACCTCCAAACTGTGGGAGGCATAGAATAGGGCCCAGAAGGAACACAGCCCCCAGAAGGAACCAACCTTGCTAACACCTTGATTTTGAACTTCATGAGAAAGAGGAAGGGAGATCGCAAGTGTAGCATCAACTGCTAGAGCGGTGGGCTCATTTATTCTGAGTTCTCTTATGAAGGTTGTAGAGGAATTTAAATAGGGGGAGGAGGAAGGGGAGGAGAAAGAGCAGGAGGAGGAAAAGAGAGGGGAGAAAGGATGTGGGGGGAAAGGAAGAACTAAATATGAGAAGGCAAGCTAACTGAAATGGCATTATAACACTTTTACACTGTTGGTGGGACTGTAAACTGGTTCAACCATTGTGGAAGTCAGTGTGGCGATTCCTCAGGGATCTAGAACTAGAAATACCATTTGACCCAGCCATCCCATTACTGGGTATATACCCAAAGGACTATAAATCTTGCTGCTATAAAGACACATGCACACGTATGTTTATTGCAGCATTATTCACAATAGCAAAGACTTGGAACCAACCCAAATGCCCAACAATGATAGACTGGATTAAGAAAATGTGGCACATATACACCATGGAATACTATGCAGCCATAAAAAATGATGAGTTCATGTCCTTTGTAGGGACATGGATGAAATTGGAAATCATCATTCTCAGTAAACTATCGCAAGAACAAAAAACCAAACACCGCATATTCTCACTCATAGGTGGGAATTGAACAATGAGATCACATGGACACAGGAAGGGGAATATCAAACTCTGGGGACTGTGGTGGGGTTGGGGGGAGGGGGGAGGGATAGCATTGGGAGATATACCTAATGCTAGATGACGAGTTAGTGGGTGCAGCGCACCAGCATGGCACATGTATACATAGGTAACTAACCTGCACAATGTGCACATGTACCCTAAAACTTAAAGTATAATAAAAAAAAAAAGAAAAAAGATATCAAGAAATCAAGTCTCAAGGAGAGCAGTATGATTTTGAATTAAGGAGGCAATAGAAGAAAAAAAAAAAAAGCTGAATCTGTCAGCCCAGTAATTAAAGTTAGTAACCAGGTCAGGAGTCTTGTACGGTGATTTATTGATTTATTGATTTATTTTTAATCTTTTCTTTGTAGATTCACCTGAGTATTTAAATACATATAAAGGGATCCACTGTTTTTAACCAAAGTCATTTTGCATGGCCTTTGCCTTATTCTCTAACATTTTTATCACTGGACTTTAAAAATGCTGATATTATTCTGCATATAGAAATTTGTGGTAAGACATAGATGACTGGAGGGTACTTATTTATGTGTTACTTCTATTCTTTATTTATTAAACAGCCCTATTACAATTAAAATATTCAACTTTACAAAACAACTAAACTCACATACAGATCTTTATCAATAATATCTTCCATAATGAGAGTCATACCTTTGCAGCCAGTATGTCCTGATTAAATACTAAATGTTCAGAAGTAATTTAGAAGTATTCTTAAAGCCATATGTAAATGGTTATTTTTTTTTTTCCTTAAGAGAACTATACCTGCTTTACCCAAAGGATTGCTCTAACCTAACCTACATGACCCAGTTCTTTCTTTATGGGATGAGATGCTACCTTGGATAAAGCCTGTGTGATCTTAACGTGGTCTTATTTATTCTTCCAAATTTGGAGGCTTTTTTTTCCCCTAAACGTAATAAAATGATAAAACTGGAAGGAAGTTTGAAAAGTCATTAAGTCTAAATCAGACCTAGACACCAACACTATCTTTTGCTTAAAATAACTCCAGAGGCAAGGTTACCTATCTTAGTCACTGTTGTGCAGTTTAAAACCCTTATTGGCAGGAACTGCATTAGCTTAAATGTTTATTGCTTTGTAAATCACACAATACTCTGTTATTTGTGAACACAGAGCTCCTTTTTCTTTTAAAAATTCCCTGTTGTGAAGAAAGTGTTTTGTTGTAATTGTTGTTTGCTTGTTTAGTTTTTTAATTAGCTTCCATTTTTCCAGGAAGTCTTTTTTTTTTTTTTTTTTCCTAAATGAAGTTCAACTGGTATTTCAAATTGAATTTCAGCTAACAGAAAATAACCACGAAGTTCTTTGTTTGGTTATCTTTATGACCTGTAGTTTTGGAGCCCTATACTAATACTTTAAAAGGTTATTATCGGATGGTAATATTGTTTTTGAAGAATTATCTTTCAATGTATTGGTCATGTATTATATTCACTAGAATGATATGTACTACTTCTCTTAATTATTGATATAATATCAGTATCAGAATAGAAAATTAATATGTGAAAAAATGTTAATTCAGCTTAGCAGAGATAAACATTGGGAGGGAGATGTTCGTTTAAAATATGAGAAGCAAGCTGAGCCACCTAAAAATGAAGAAGGGGCCAGGCGCAGTGGCTCACGCCTGTAATCCCAACACTTTGGGGGGCCGAGGCAGGCGGATCACAAGATCAGGAGATCGAGGCCATCCTGGCTAACACGGTGAAACCTCGTCTCTACTTAAAATACAAAAAATTAGCCGAGCGTGGTGGCGGGCGCCTGTAGTCCCAGCTACTCGGGAGGCTGAGGCAGGAGAATGGCGTGAACCCGGGAGGCGGAGCTTGCAGTGAGCCAAGATCGCGCCACTGCACTCCAGCCTGGCGACAGAGCGAGACTCCGTCTCAAAAAAAAAAAAAGAAGAAGAAGAAGAAGAAGAAGATAGCCCGTAGTCTTTCAACTTTATGAGTACATTAGAGAAAAAATAACCCTTGGATTTAATGAAATGCATGCCTTCATCATAAAGCATTTATTAATTGCCTACTATGCACCAGGCAATGTGCTAAGGAGGCAATGGGAATAAAGATAAATAACAACCCAAATACCAGGAGTCAGATAAATAAGTTGAAGTTTGCAATGCTGGGTAATAAGAACTATGATACATGTATTTACGGGGAATTGTTGAGAAATGGTATTACAGATGGTGACTTTTTCAAGATGTACATGGAAAAGAAATTATCTAGGAAATCTTCGTAATAACATTCTAAGCAAATCTTCCAATAATGTTTTTACTTTAATTACAATGAAAAGAATTGCCAGACTTTCACATCTTTCAACAGAAGACAAGCCAGAGCACTTGTCAGGAAATCATTCAAAAGCTAGCAACGGATGGGACATTTAAGGTCCATTTTGACTCTGAGATCCTAAATTTCCGTGAGATTGTATGTGCAAATAAAGGCAAACTTGTCCTAAACTTTACTGAGCTGAATACTAGAAATGCCCTAAAAGATAGGGTCATCATTTTTCTTAGCTGCTGTCTGCCAGGAGTGTAAAGGATCTTTTTGACTGTTTTCTTCAAAAATGAGAAACCAAAAAGTATAGTGGAAAAAAAATGATGATTTTTGTTAAGTGATGGTTGTGACCTCTCAGCAGCTGGAAGTTCCTCAAGACACTTCCATTTTTAAAACTCACTTGGCATATTTAAAATGAAAAGGAATAGCAAAATAAGTTCTAAATGAAAATATTTTGTCATTTTTGCATCAGTATTCATATGCAAAGGAAAGAAATTGAAAAGCAAAAGTATGATTGTTGAAAAGTAAATTGGCTTCTGTTGCCATTCTCCCTTGACACAAACTCTTGCTACAGTTTCCTATACAGTATATTTATCCAGAGAGTATCTGTGCATATCCAAGCATGTGGTATATGTAGGTCCATGCACATTTATACAGAATACTAGTGGTAAAACTGTATACACAGCATTCTGTAACAGGCTTTTAGAGTTTGTTTTTTTTTTTCATATTTGTCCACAGAGAAATGGCACATCATTTTTTAATAAAACATTGTAACTTAGAGTCAACTTATTGATGGACATTTAGTTTTTTTTTCCTGAAATTTCTCAATGTTGTTCCTCAAATATATATCTGTAGGATAAATTCCTACGAGTAAACTGAGTAAAAAAAAAAAGTGAATGTAATTTTGATTGCTGTGCTCAATTGCCACCAATAGAGTTTTAACCAATTTTCCCTCCCATTTATGTAATGTGTTTACACACACATTTATTACTATGGTACATTATTAAATTTTACTCATTTTTCCTGTGTGTCAAAAAAATGGCACTTTACAGTAGTTGTAACTTACATTTCTCTTATAATGAGTAAGGATGATTCATAGTCTTTTTTTTTAATGCAAATTTTCTATTTCTTGTTGACTTGTCAGAGTTCTTTAAGATAATTAACCTTTGTGGTATGAATCACAAGCATGTTTCTCCAGTTTGCCATTTATCTTTTGATTTGATCATTTTTATGCTATGCAAATTTTCTTGAATTTTTCTAAATTTCATTTACTCTTTCCTTTTAATAGTTTCAAAGTATTATACTTAGAAAAACCTTTACAACTCTGCAGTTCCTAAAGAAAATTCATTCAGGTTTTCTTCCACTTTTTACTGCTTTTATTTGTGTTAAAATCTTTGACCCATCTGGAACATATATTAATAAAAATACAACGAAGAAATACAACTTTATTATTTTTCCCAATTACTAATGACTATTAACATTTTATTAAGCAATTTATGCCTTCCCTAGTGAATTGAAATGCCATCTTTATTATATTCACTTTACTATAAACTAAATTTTTATTTCTGGTTGTTTTAATCTGTTTTTTTTAAATCTTTACTACACTGTTTAAGATATTTTAGCCTTATAACATATTTTAATGTTGTGTAGACTAGCTTCCCATAATATTCTATTTGTTTTCCTTAGAATTTTCCAGGAATCCTTGCATATATTTTTCATGTAAACTTTATTTTTATCATTTTAATCTTTTAAATTAAAAACAAAGTTTTAATTATAATGGATACATACTAGTTGTATGTATTCATGGGCTACATGTGATGCTTTGATATAAGTATGCAAGGTGTAATGATCAAATCAGGGTAATTGGAAGAAATTATCTATCTCCTCAAGGATTTATCATTTCCTTGTGTTAGGAGCATTCCAATTCCACTCTTTTAGTTACTTTGAAATATACAGTAAATTATTGTTAACTATAGCCACCCTATTGTGCTACCAGACAGTAGATCTTATTCCTTCTGACTGTAGTTTTGTACCCATTAATCATCTCCACTTTATCCTCCAATCCCCACTTCCCATCCTGGCCTCTGGAAGCCATCATTCTACCCTTTATCTCCATTTGAATATTTTTTTGGCTCCTACATATGAGTGAGAACATGTGATATTTGTATTTCTATACCTGACTTATTTTGTTTAACATAACATTGTCCAGTTCCAGGTAACCTTTAGATATAAATTGACTAAATTTTAAAAATAATCTTTGGGTATTTTTATTATGATACCATAAGTTTTCTAAATTGATTTAAGAGAACTGATACCCTGATAATCTTGAATCTTCCTATCTAAAAAATGGCACAATTTTGCATTTGTAAGGACCTCTTTCTGTTTCTTAGTAAAAATTAAGACTTCTATCCATTTCAATTATTCATATTTTTGTCAAGCTTTTTCTGAGATATTATACCTTTTTGTTTCCATTGTAAATGGGGTATTTTCCTCTAATTTACCTTGTTAATGGGTACTGCTTGTACATATAATGTCTATTAATTCCAATATGCTAATTTTGAGCAACTACCTTTCATGAGTCTCTTATTACTTTCTACAGTTTTAATTGATTTTCTGGGCTCTTCCAAGAATATAAACATAGGTCTGGAAATTCTGATAATTACATTATTTATTTTCAGATTTTTAAAATTTTAATTTTTCTTCTCTTGTCCAGTACCACTAGGTCAATATTAAATAGTTTGATGATAAAAGACATTCTTTCTTTAATCTTCAATTTAATGTGTGTTTTAACAATGTAAATCCATGTATGTGTATATTTCAGTATCTTGAGAAGTATCCATATATTTTGATTTTAAGAGATTTTGTCAAAAAGGATGTTAGCATATTTGTATATTTATCACACACTTATCTGCATCAGTAGAAATAATCAAACGGTTTTTATATTGATTTATTAATATAGTTGATTATATAAATATATTTATTTATGTTAAAGCATTCTTGTATTCATGGAATACACCAGTTTTTCATGGATTATTGTTATTTTATAGTGCTGACTAATTTGATTTGCTGATAACTTATATAGAACCTTTACATTGATACAATAAATGAGCATGGTTTATAGTTTTGTGTATGTGTACATCTTTTTTTCCATGCTGTGAAGACATTTAAACAGAGTTTTCTGTTACTGAAAATGGTATAATTCTTTTCATAAAAGCATCTTTGCTATAAACTATGTATGAATAAATAGGAGATTTACTTATTTATTGGAATGGGGAGATGTTTGTTGATGGAAGTTTTTCAGATCTTTTCTGGCTATAATTTATCTGTTCTGGTAATATTATTTTCTTAGAAAATCATCTGTTTCATCCAAGTTCCCAAATTTGTTTATATAGGGTTGTGAAAAAAATCAATCTTTTAATATTTATTTAATTATTATTATAATTATGATATTTATTTTTACCAAATTCTTGTTTATCAGAGTGAAAAAGCATCTTTTAAGTGCCTCTCCATATCCCATGTTTCTATTTTTTATTATCATTCCTTATCTTTCATATAATTATACATTTTTCTATTTCGCTTTTTGTCGCTCACCATCTTGTTATTTAAAGGCAACTTTCTTGAATTTTTTTAATGAGTTCCATAACATAGTGAGATGGCAAAATATAAATGAGGGTAGAGAGGACCTAATCCCCATGACTATTTCAGGTAGGTCTAATTAATAACTATCACATTTTATGCCTTTTCCTGTCAAATATATTGTAGCTGGTTCCTATACATTCCAACATGTAGGTGTCCACTGTTACTGTCTAAATAGTCTGTAATTCTGCTTTGACTTATATTTTGTTCTAAAAGTTACTTAATAGAGTATTTTCCCCTTAATTTCAAAAAACAAATGTTTACATTTCTGTTGTTTGTTTTTCCTAGGTTTTATTACTAATCCTTTTTGTTTTGTTTTGTTTTTGTCCACTTATTCTGTTAAGGCTAGAAAGAGGTGACTTAAATCCTCTACTACTAATATGTTTCAGTAATTACTCTATATATTTAGTAGTTTTGCTTTATAAATGTTGATGTTATATTATTTGGTACATAGAAATGAGTAATTGTTAGATCTTTGTACATTGCACCTTCATCGTAAGAAAGTCTTTTTCTTGTCTGTTGCTTTTTTCCCTGAAATAAACTTAAGTTAAATTATTTTTAGCTTAATTAATTTAATTAATTAAGCTAAGAGTGCTTTGTAGTTGTTTGCATTGGCAGGTGTGTTTTTATTTTTTTCTTTCTTTTCCTGATTTCTATGTCACATTGTTTTCCATACATTTCTAAGATAGTATTAATTTTGAGTTTTCTTTTTTATGCATTTTGAAAGCTTTTCCTTGTTATTAGTGAATTTAGCCATTTTTTTTTTTTTTTTTTTAGGATAGAGAGTTTAGGTCTTAGCTCTGTTCTTGTGAAAGGAATATGATGAAGTGATTGAGATAATGTACTCTGGAGTCAGACTGCTCTTCAAATCTCAGATCCACAATTGATTAGTTGCAGAGACTTTGGCAATTTACTTCACTTCTTTTGCCTTAATTTCCACATCTGTAAACTGGTACCTTTCTCAGAATTACAGGGAGGATTAATTAGGTTAGTATTGGTAAAAGACTTTAAAAAGTGCTTGGCCCATAGGTTTGTTACTATTATTATATTTTGTGGCATATATTTTATTTTACTTTTCACTATATTGTCTACATTCAGTTTCTATTGTTTTGTTATGTATTTCTTCTGATACCATGGAAGATATAGTAGATTGTATTTTCCAAAGATGGCCACGACAGTATCTCTCATTTCATTTGTTCTTACTATTTGACTTCAACAATCCCCTTTTGGAAAGGTGGAGCCTGTGTCCTCTCCCTTTGAAACTGGACTGGCATTTGTGACTGCCTTGACCAACAGATTAAAGTAGAAGAAATGCTATGTGACTTCCAAAACAAGTCATAAAAATGCCATACAATTCCACTTTTCTTTCTTTGACTGCTCACTCTGGGGCAAATCAGCTGCCGTATGAGCAGTATGACTGCCTGGAGACTGTCCCTCTGTAAAGGAGACCAAACTAGCCTAGAGAGACTCTAAGACTACATAGAGAGAGATGCCTGGGCAGCTCCTAGTTACTCCAGTCTCTGATTGTTTCCACTGCAGCCTCCACATGAATGGACTCACACGAGGGACTCTGAACCAGAACTGTCAAAAGTTCTTTCTCAGTTTGTGACCCACAGAACTGTTGAGAGATACTAACGCCACTGTTGCTGTTGTAAGCCACCGAGTTTGGAGGTGACTTATACAGCAATCGCTAAGTAGAACAAAAGTTTGTATTTTTGTTCTAGTGGTTACCTTTTTTCCCCTAAAACATAGTAGTGGTTACCTTTCTATCAATAGCTTTATATAATGTGTTTAATCTTCTATTTTCTGAGAATGTATCTATTAGCTCTTTATGAGTCTTGATGTAGTTAGGATAATCTTCCTTTACTGTCCAATTTTGGCATGTGATATATTTATACTTAGTGCTTAATTTTATACCTTTCCAAATCCTTAAATTTTTAATTAAAAGTTAAAAAATAAAAATTAATTTCACTTGTCAGTTAATAAAGCCACCAGCAAGATATATGTGAATTTTATGCAAAAATTTCTAATGAATCTTACTTTGTAGTAAAATAACATGGAAAATGAAAAGCAGCCTTGGTAAATGTGAGTCTAGTTCCTAGATCTAAGAAGGAAGGGGACTATTCAAAGGAAAAGCATTGGGGTTGAACTCCTATTTATAATAATATCATTAGCTATAACATAAAAAAATTCAGAAATCATTTGAACTCCCAGCATAAATCTTTGAGAACATCAGTGTAATCTATCTTTTCATCTTGATTCCTCTAGGAATAAATTAAATTTGTACTATGTCAGTAACCATCAAATGTGAGCTATTCAGCACTATACGTTATGACATACAAGTTAGGCCTTCTAAGTCTCCCCAATTATCTCTTCTCTTAATGTCTTTAGAATGTGACTCAGTGGGTATTGTTGAAATTATTTTATCTTGTGCCCCTTGGGAAGGAGGCAGAAGCCTAAAAGACAAAATTTTCACATAGAAAAATGTATTTTCAAAAATATAGACCCTAACACCTACATCAAATATTTTTTCTTTATGTACATATAGTACTGTGTCAAAGAGAACCCAGATTGGCCACTCGGATAAACTGATTAATCAGAAATAAAACCAGCATTTTGCATAAAGTGTCTAAACATGTAGTGATAAAAAAATTATGACCCGTAGAACATTGCGGTGTTACCATTTAAAAGTACATAGAAACAGATTGACTTTGCATTAAGTTGTCTACACAATGAAGAAATACATCACCACAGAGCCAGGCCAGTGGGTTATGTGTGGGTTATAGCATATCACAATCAGAGACACACAAAGAAAGGAGAGGAGGCCACCAAGGAATAGGAAAGAATTGCAATCACTGATAACCAAGGGTTATATAGCCAAATATCTAGGTAGGCACGGCATCAGTGATTTGAAATTTATTCTGAAGAAAGTTGCTTATGCTAAATACTTCTTAAATAATTAATTAAATTAATTAATTCAGTGAACATTTACTGGGTTCCTATTTTATGCAGTTGAAAAATATGAAAAGCCACTAAAATATTTACTCTGTTTATACATATGTATATAAAATGTATATATATAACATGTATATATATTTGTGACTATGAGCATGTATGTATGTAAATATGTATACACACATACACATTTGAGAGATGATGCAGGTATCTTAGGTTTGAGCAATGAGAAGACTGTGGTGCTATATTGAAATGTGGCAGAGTCATGAAGAGGCTGTAAGAGTTTAGGTTTGTCTATATTAAATCTGAGTTTCCTTTGAAATGTACATATTTAGATATCAAGTATGCAGTTGGAAATACAAGTCGGGCTTTCAAGTGGAGAGGCCAAGGACGGATATAAACATCTGGGAGTCGACAGAATATAGATGTTATTTTAAGCCCTAAGACTAGAGGAAATAACTAAATAGAAAAAGACATGCACTGGGCAGATTTAGTGGTCAAGTAAGAGAATAAGACCTGGCAAAATCAATTAGAAAGTAGCTGGTGAATCAGAAGAAAACCAGGTTACTGTCATTTTACTGAATATGGGAAAAGATAATGTTTCAAGAAAGAAGGAGAGGTTAAAACTTTAGGTTCTGCTGAGAGGTCAAGGAAGATGTGGATAGAGACATCACCATCGGGTTTATCATTGAGGTTACTGATGACATTTACACTTGTTCTGAGCACATGTCATGTTCCTGGCATTGAGCATGTACATAATAGATGCTCATTAAATATTTTTAAAGAGGAAGGAAGCAAAGAAGATGGAAGAAAGGGGGTTAAGAGGGAGGGAGGGAGGCCTTCAAGAAGGAGAAAAATAAGAGAAGGATCGCTAGATAAATGAGCCAAGTGATTTTATTTTATTCTTCCTGCCTAGACAAAAAATGAAAGTTGATTGTGTGAGATGCTGGTTAGAAAATGAAATCACAGGCAGCAGGAATAGGATCTAGACTCTCAGCTGCAGATTTGGGGGTTCCCAAGTTTTGGGCAGAGCTATACTTTACCTCTATGAACTATAGATACTATATATGATGAAACAGTTTTATACAGGCCTACTATAAATAGTCAAATGTCAAGAAAATAGTAGAAGTCTTCACCGCTGTGAAGCGAAGTTATTTTATTCATTTATTTTTACACAAAAATGTTTCTTGTCAGAAAGCCCAGCTTGCCTGCCTAGAGCCAATTTAACCATGGGACCTTTCTCATGCTTTCTCTTAAATTCTCTCTAGGAAAATATGATTTGGGACTGGTTGTTTATTTTAAAGAAATTAAGAAACAATGACTAAGCAGCTGCTTTAATCCTTAAGACATACTGCCTTCAAAATGCTAACTGGCACCTGGCTGGCAAAGAGCAAATAATTGTTTCTCCACTTACACAATTGCAAATTATTTGGTCACTGTAGTGTAAAACAAAAAGAGAGCTGACATCTGTCTGGTATATTAGTTGTTAAATTCTCATAATTCATTAATATCATCTTTAAAATTTAGATGTTTCTTCAGCAAGAGTATCTATTATCAGTTAGTTTGGACTAGTGGCTTGACCTTCCCCAACTCCTCCTAATGAATAGCTACCTTTGTACCTGCAGATTGGATGAACAGAAAACCACAAAGAATGTCCGGGCTGGTTTAACAAAATACCATAGACTGGGTGGCTTATAAACAATAGAAATTTAATTCTCACAATTCTAAAGGCTGGGAAGTCCAAGATCAAGGCATCAGTAAATTCTGTGCCTGGTGCAGACCCTCTTTGTGATTCATAGATGACTGTCCTCTTGCTGTGTCCTCACATTGCAGAAGAAACGAGAGAACTCTCTGGGGTTTCTTTTATAAGGGCACGAATCTCATTCATTTGGGCTCTGCTCTCAGGACATAATCACATCTCAATGGCCCCACCTCCTAATACCATTACACTAGGGGTTAGGATTTCAACATGTAAATTTTTGTGGGGAACAAAAATATTCGGTTCATTGCAACCAGAAACTGACTTCTTTTGATGCAGTATTTTTTAGCATACTGGAGAGGTAGTAAAATACTGTGCAACTCTGCACAAGCTACTAACTTCTTCCGAGAAAAAAATAAAAACAGATACACTCCCAAATTTTACAATTGGGGAAGTTTATCAACCCTTAAAGCCCATTTATGGACAAAACAGCTCAGGAATTCTGAAGGTATGGACAAGACAGCCTGGCATCAGAATTACTATGGAGCTAAGGAAACTTGAAAATGTGGCTGTCTTGGCCATACCACGTCAAAATATCCATGTTTGTGAAACGTTTAAAGAACTTACAACACTACAATTCTGCCTAGATTCATGGACCCAAGATTAAGAGGCCTCAGTTAATGGCAACCTGTCTAAGTATTCCTGTTCTTATGTTTCACTTAATTTCTTTCCCTTGTTTTTTGCTGTCCCCCTTTCTAGTCCCCTCTTCTCTCTCTTCTCCATCAGTACCCACCACCCCTTATACACACACCACATGTTTGCACACGCACATGTGCAGTACACACAGAACCAGAGTGGCTGCCTTAAGCCCTTGATCACAACTGCTTCAAGCTTTTGGTTCTCCAGGGAATATCAGGCACTAGTAAAGCAGTGAACTTTTCATCATCTTTTGAACCAACCTTCCTTCCTTCCTTCCTTCCTCCCTCCCTTCCTTCCTCCCTTCCTTCCTTCCTCCCTTCCTTCCTTCCTTCCTCCCTCCCTTCCTTCCTCCCTCCCTTCCTCCCTCCCTCCCTTCCTTCCTCCCTTCCTTCCTTCCTCCCTCCCTTCCTTCCTTCCTTCCTCCCTTCCTTCCTTCCTCCCTCCCTCCCTCCCTCCCTTCCTTCCTCCCTCCCTTCCTTCCTTCCTCCCTTCCTTCCTTCCTCCCTCCCTTCCTTCCTCCCTCCCTTCCTTCCTTCCTCCCTCCCTTCCTTCCTCCCTCCCTTCCTTCCTTCCTCCCTCCCTTCCTTCCTCCCTCCCTTCCTTCCTCCCTCCCTTCCTCCCTCCCTCCCTTCCTTCCTCCCTTCCTTCCTTCCTCCCTCCCTTCCTTCCTTCCTTCCTCCCTTCCTTCCTTCCTCCCTCCCTCCCTCCCTTCCTCCCTCCCTTCCTTCCTCCCTTCCTCCCTTCCTTTTTTCCTTCCTTCTTTCCTTCCTAATATGGTAGAAAAAAAAGATCACTGCTCTGGCTATCTTTGTTTTCATTTCTGAGTGGTTTGGAAAGGTGTATAAAGCTAACCTCAGGAACTTTGTTCTGAATTTGCAGGATAGCCCTGTACCTAAGACAAAAGTTGGCCTCACAATGTGAACTTTTCTGGGATATATCCTCCAACAGCTGCCCAGATTATCTTCTTAATTGATGTAAACTTTTAGACTTGTCTTCTGTTTTTTCCTTCCCACCTCTCTCTCCAATCTTAAGCAGTTTCTGAAGAGATGCTTTTCCCTTATAGGCAATTAAGGATGGATTATGTTCACAAAATCAGTTTTAAAGTCCTTTGTTTTAAACTTGGAGCATATTGTGTCATGGTAATTACACGTAAATGATGATGTTGTCACAGCAGCCTATAAGACCTCTTTGACCCATGACAGTAGGAATAGCATTATTTATTAATTATGGGAATATAGAAGCAGGTGCTATAGTTATAGTGACCATTTCTGCATTTTCCTTGGCTTGTCACCATACTCCAAACATTGTCTATAGAAAACATAAGAATGTCTAGGAAATCTCCGTCACTTTTTTTTAACTGCCTCTTATATCCAAAAGGGTTAGAAAAAATTTGATTGTCCCAATTTTTGGTGATAGAGAAGATAACAGTAATTTTTTTTCCGGAAGCAGAGCTTTTCCCAGGCAAAATTGCAGGAAAGATAGTCATCTCAGGCGTCTTCCCATACCCTCTGGCCCAGTCATCTTTGTAATTGCCGTGCAGGTGGTTCAACTTTAGCAGGTGGTTGAAGAGAGGATGGCCATTAATAAATAGGAGCTATTTATAAATGTGCAAGTCAGGAGCTGCTGCATCTGAAAGAAGAAAACAATTTAGTTATTTTTTAAAGAAAAAATGCTTATTTTGTTATCAGAAGCAATTATTATGTGGACTATGAGAGAAACAGGTAGTCCAAGGTAATGTTCATTCACTCAGAAGAAGCCCTGAGTGAATAAGTAGAAATTAGCTATGAGTTAGACTCATTTGAAAAGCCTGTCAGCTGTTTAGTCCACACAAAGGTTTTGAGCTCTAGACAGCAGAAGAAATGGTTTGGCCTAAAGAAGGGCCAAGTAGAAACATTTAGAGTCCGGAGCAAATAGCAGGGAAATATTAAAAAGGATTAACGAGCCTATTCTAAAGAGCAACTAATTACAAGCTTGGATAGCTGAGACCAGGAGCTATGAAAATGTCTGAGGTGACGAGAACAAGGGAGAAAGATAAAGAAGCAAATCATAGTTTGGAATTAAAAGGCAATTACCTAGTTATTAGGGGCTCTGAGGCTTTAAAAAATTATATTCAACTCATAGTATACAATTAAATCATAGAAGTTTAGACTATGGAAAAGCCTTAGAGATCACGTTATCATATGTATGTTAAGAAGTAACAATTATGCACTATAGTCTAAGTTAGTAAGTATGCATGCATTTGCCTAACACAAAAGATATATAACTCTGTCCTTCTCAAGTTTAAATGTTTATGTCTGCCCCCCTTATCTTGAACTCACAGCTTGAAATAAGCATTGCAAACCTAAAATATCGGAAATTAATCTCTCCTCTTTACTGATTAATTTTCTCCTCCTACAGTCTTCTTCTTCATTGATGACAATTCTATCCATCCAGTAGTGAAGCCCAAAACTTTGGAGTAATCTGTGAATCCTCTGTCTTTTTTTTTTTTTTTTCTGAGACAGAGTCTCGCTCTGTCACTCAGGTTGGAGTACAGTGGCGCCATCTCAGCTCACTGCAACCTCCGTCTCCCAGGCTCAACTGATTCTCCTGCCTCAGCCTCTCAAGTAGCTTTGAATACAGGCCCTTGCGACCATGCTCAGGTGATTTTTGTATTTTAACAGAGATGGGGTTTCACCATGTTGGCCAGGCTGGACTCGAACTCCTGACCTCAAGTGATCTGCCTGCCTCAGCCTCCCAAAGTGCTGAGATTACATGTGTGAGCCACTGCGCCTGGCCTTAGTGAATCTTCTCTTGATCTTCTATCAGGAAATGCTGATAACCCTATCTTTAAAATATACCCACATTTTCTTACTTCCTTTAGTATGTCTATTCTGATTTCAGCCAGCATCACTTATTTCCCAGAAGACTGCTATAGTCTCCTAACTGGTCTGCCTGTGTCTACCATCGATTTCCTTCAATCTGTCCCCACTACTGTAGTCAGAGGTGTCTTGTTTAAATATAAGTGAGATCATGTCACTTTTTGGCACCAAAACCCTGATGATGTTGAATCTCACTCCAAGTAAAAGGCAAAGTAAATCCCCGTGCCCTGTGAAGTTTGGTGGATTTGTCCCCAGTTATTTCTCTGATCATATATGCTACTACACTTCTCCTTGCTGATCTGCTCCGGCACCCTGGTCCTCTTGCTGCTTGTCAAATATGCTAGGCCTGCTCCTACCTCAGGGCCTTCGCATCTGTTCTTTCCTCTGCCTGGAATTCTTTTATCTCCAGATGTCTATATGACCTTTCACTTTTATTGATTCTCTACTCATTGAAGTCTTCACATTTTTTGATTCTTAACTTATCTAAATCTTCCTGGACTACTCTTTATAAAATTCCAACTCCACACGTCCCCTCTCTCTCCAACACTCCCTACTCACTTTCTATGATTTATTTTTCTCCATTATAAACACTCTTATATTTTTGCATTTATTTTGTTCATTGTCTCATCTGTCTAGAACATTAGCCTTGTGAAAACAGAGATCTTTGCTCTTTTGTTCACTGCTGAATCCTCTGGCCCTAGAGCAGTACTTGGCTCGCAAAAGACCTTCTGTAAGTATCTGCTGAATGAGGCACATTTCCCATTTATAATTACTTTAACTTAAACAGACCCTGGGCCAATCGATCTACTTTTTGTACCTCGTAGTATCATTGAATAGAATCAGCGCCTCTTTAGAAATTTTCCTACATGCAATATGAGCCTCTTCATTTAAAGAAATACCAGTTTGTGTAGGAGTCTCCCTCTCGACTTTTCCAATCCCCCTATAGGATGAGGTTAATGTCAAAAGTCAAATTGTACCAAAAGGCAAGGACATGAAGCTGGGTCACAGTAGTATGACAGGACAAGGAACTAGGGAGTGAAAAGAGGTTTTGACCAGGTAAAAGGAGAATGGAAGAAGACGGTTGGCTGAGGACATGTCCCAAATGATTGAGCGTCTCTCATAATAAGCCTCTGTTCTCGGGTTTTATCAGATCCACCTAGACAAGATTTTTTAGTGATGAAAACTTATGCTTCCTAAAAGCAGAAGCCTTTTATCCCCTTTACATTTCAAAGTATAATCTTAGAAATGACTCCTGTAAGTCATTTGTCAGACTATAAAGTATAAAAGATGCAGATTTCTGACCATTCCCTAGAATAACTGGTTCAGAATAATGTCAGATACGTTTTTAAAAATTTTTCCATATCATTCTCCTGGACTGTAAATCCCTAGGAGTATCTGTAGCCATCAAAATTTCAGATGTGCCCAAGAAAAACAAAATCTATGAGGAGAAAGAAGTGTAGCTAAGAACTATATTTTTGCAGTCCTATTTCTACAATTGTGTTTCAGTTTTCTAAAGAATACAAATAGTGAAAAGTGGGAGTGAAGACTTTCTTGGAGAAATGCATTTAGACAAAAATTGATGAAATAGAATTACCGTGGGGTTTCTCAGAGCCATTTATGACATGTACTGAGTGTGATATATCATGAAGGGCATAAACTAGGCCACATTTTCTAAAGTTTTTTTTTTACCATTTACCTGTTAATCATGGGTTATGATTATGCAGAATGAATATTCTAGGAAACATATTTGATTAATACTAACATAGTGTTATGGTATTTATAAGAGAGAATTTATTACAATAGTAAAGTAACATAAGGACACTTTAAACACCTTGCATTATGTAAAATTGAAAAAATTAAAATGGATGTGGCAAGAAATTATTGCTTACTCTTTAATGTCTGCACACTGGTGAACTGTGATTGACTGTGTTAGCACTACCAAGTTTATTTACCTTTAAAATGAGGTCCAAAGAGGGCAATGCTTAAACCAAAGTAATAATGTTCTGAAGACACTATTTTGGGGAAGCTGGTACCTGAAATATGTGCAATTTCAGTGTAGCTGGGCCTTTCTGGCATTTCTCAAAGCAATCACCTACTTCACCTGCCCATAAATCCAGCTCTGTTTCTTGTTGCTCTGAAGTTTTGGAAGAAGATTTTTTTTTGTTTTGTTTTGTTGTGTTTTGTTTTAATTTCCCCTTTCTTTCAACAGCCACCGTATCATTAGTATGCTCTCCAGAGAATGAAGAATTTGTACTGAATATTTGGCTCCTGGGTCAGAAAAAGCAGCAGATGTTTTCTTGTACCATGTATAGGGGTGCAGTTATTTTAGGCCTTTTCCAATTTGCTTTCTTACTGAAAGTTTTATGTTAAAGTGTGTTGTTGTTTACTTTCTCCTTTTAGAATAAATGTCTGTATACTTTCTGAATTATGTCTCCAGCCTGTCTCTCTCTGTCTCTTTCTGTCTCAGTCTATCAGACTCAGAGTCAGTCTCTCTTACTCATTCTTTCTCTTTCCCCCATCTCTCTCTCTTTTTTCTCTCCCCCCTCTTACCCTCCTTCCTCCCCCTTTACATCTTTCTTTTTCTCTCTCTCTCCCTTCCTCCTTTATTAACCATACTTGTCCAGTAGGATTTTTTAAGTCGAACCTTAAGAAGTTCAGTTTCAAAGGTAAAATTTAGACATAGTGCAGCCTTAGACAAAACAATATAATGGTACAAAAGGTAGCAGAAAAATATAGGCTTTAATGTTAGACCAGATGTGCCTCATAGTATCACTTGTTGTCTGCATTACCTCTAGCAAGGTACTTAAGAGAATGGGTACCACTTCTTTATTTTCAAAAGAAACGAAAGAGGGTAGTAGCTAACTTGTGGAAGTATACAAAAGAAGTATACAGCATTTATGAGCATTGTTGGACTTTTATTTCCACCTACCTCCCCTTTTCCCATTAAGACCTCCCCTTCTATTTTACCCTCCTGTGTTCCTTAGAACTTCCCCATACAGGTTCTAGAGAGCATTTCCTGGCATTCCTTGTTGATCTTTTTCTTTAATCCAGCAACAAGATGGTCAATAATTTTCCTCCAATGAACCAATTGCAGAAGATTAGTAATGGCTGCCTAGAAAGTTTGTTGAGAAGGGCTGTGAGGCCCAGGTAGGGCTTTGAGAATACAAGCCTCATGATTGATTGGTAATGTCTGTCATTTGCATGAGAAGGAGGCTGCAACATATGAATTTTTCAATCTTATTCCAAACCTATTCCTCTCTTTAGTTTCCAAACCAAATTTTACCATGCTGACCTTGTCTTCTTGGGCCTTAGCTATGGCCTTCCAAAATAGCATATGTTTACACAAGCTCATGCCTACAGATGTCTTAATTTGGGCTGATGGTAGCCTGTATAATTCCTTTCAGAGACACTTACATGTATACAGGCTACATCTAAAAATAAGAGTGGAATTTCATGCAATGTCCTTGCAACAGTTTTCTGTAGTCACATTGTATAACTCTCATGACCCCCTATGAGGGCTCTGCCACTACTTAACTCTGCCATTGTGGTGTTAAAGCAATAATAGACAATAAGTAAATGAATGAGTGAGGCTGTATTCTAATAAAACTTTATTTACAAAAAAAGGCAGTGAACTAGATCTCATTCACACATGATAGTTGTGTGACCCCTGCATAAAAACTACATTTCTTTTCTTAAAAAAAAATTAATTTCTGGGAAACGTGCATAATGTGCAGGTATGTTACATAGGTGTACCTGTGCCATGGTGGTTTGCTGCACCTATTGACCTGACCTCTAAGTTCCCTCCCCTCGCCCCCCACCCCTCAACAGGCCCTGGTGTGTGTTGCTCACCTTCCTGTGTCCATGTGTTCTCATTGTTCAACTCCCACTTATGAGTGAGAACATGTGGTGTTTGGTTTTCTGTTCCTGTGTTAGTTTGATGAGGATGATGGCTTCCAGCTTCATCCATGTCCCTGCAAAGGACATGATCTCATTCCTTTTTATGGCTGCACAGTATTCTATGGTGTGTATGTACATTTTCTTTATCCAGTCTATCATTAATGGACATTTGGGTGGCTTCCATGTCTTTGCTATTGTAAATAGTGCTGTGATAAACATACGAGTGCATGTGTCTTTATAGCAGAATGATTTATATTCCTTTGGGTATATACCCTGTAATGGGATTGCTGAGTCAAATGGTATTTCTGATTCTAGATCCTTGAGGAATCGCCACACTGTCTTCTACAATGGTTGAACTAATTTACACTCCCACCAACAGTGTAAAAGTGTTCATATTTCTTCACAGCCTCGCCAGCATCTGTTGTTTCCTGACTTTTTAATAATCGCCATTCTGACTGGCTTGAGAATGGTATCTCATTTTGGTTTTGATTTGCATTTCTCTAATGACCAGCAATGTTGAGCTTTTTTTCATGTTTGTTGGCCATGTAAATGTCTTCTTTTGAGAAGTGTCTGTTCATATCCTTTGCCCACTTTTGGTTAGGGTTTTTTTCTTGTAAATTTGTTTAAGTTCCTTGTAAATTCTGGATGTTAGACCTTTGTCAGATGGGTAGATTGCAAAAATATTCTCCCATTCTGTAGGTTGCCTGTTCACTATGATGATAGTTTCTTTTGCTGTGCAGAAGCTCTTTAGTTTAATTAGATCCCATTTATCAATTTTGGCTTGTGTTGCAATTGCTTTTGGCATTTTCATCATGAAGTGTTTGCCCATGCCTATGTCCTGAATGGTATTGCCTAGATTTTCTTCTAGGGTTTTTATGGTTTTGGGTTTTACATTTAAGTGTTTCATCCATCTTGAGTTAATTTTTGTATAAAGTGTAAGGAAGGAGTTCAGTTTCAGTTTTCTGCATATGGCTAGTCAGTTTTCCCAGCACCATTTATTGAACAGGAGATCCTTACCCCATTGCTTGTTTTTGCCAGGTTTGTCGAAGATCAGATGGTTGTAGAGGTGCGGTGTTGTTTCTGAGGTCTCTATTCTGTTCCATTGGTCTATATGTCTGTTTTGGTACCAGTACCATGCTGTTTTGGTTACTGTAGCCTTGTAGTATAGTTTGAAGTCAGGTAGCATGATGCCTCCAGCTTTGTTCTTTTTTTTTAGGGTTGTCTTGGCTATACAGGGTCTACTTTGATTCCATATGAAATTTAAAGTAGTTTGTTTCTAATTCTGTGAAGAATGTCAATGGTAGTTTCATGGAAATAGCATTGAATTTATAAATTACTTTGGGTGGTATGGCCATTTTCATGATGTTGATTCTTCTTATCCATGAGGATAGAAGGACCTCTTCAAGGAGAACTACAAACCACTGCTTGAGGAAATAAGAGAGGACACAAACAAATGTAAAAACTATATTTCTATACACACTAACTCACAAGGGATGCTAGAGGCTGGGACACAAGAGAATGAACCCTGCTGCTGACACTGTCAGAGAAATCTAAACAGTCTTTCAATGAGCTGTAAGCAGGGTCTTTGCTGTCAATTTGAAAACATTTCATTAGGCTTCCCAAAGTTGACTATACCAGTGGTTCTCAAACTTGAATGTGCATCCTAATCATTGGAAGGGTTTATTAACACACCATTGCTGGCCCTACCACTGGCATGTCTAATTCACTGTACCTAGGATGGGACCTGAGAATTTGCATTTCTAACAAGCTTCCAGGGGATGTGGATGCTGCTGGCCGAGATATCACACTTTGAGATCCACTGGCCTGAGCCTTTGCCTAGAAAATCTGAGATGATAATGAGGCAACATTATTCAAGCAACAATGAAATTGGTTAATCCTCCAAACATTGTTCATAGGAAACTTTTTACACAATATTTCTGCTCAGTCAATGAATACATCCCTCCTATTGGCAATGTAGGTGCCTACTGGAAGCAGCCCAGTAAGCATAATCTAAAATCAGTGGATATGCTGGTTGGTGGTAAGAGCTGCACGTGATTTTGCAAAGGAACCCCAGACTAGCAGGCTTCCTGTACTTGCTGTCTCCCTTCAGCCCCATTCATCTCTTTTGGCCAGCTGTAACAGCTTACCCTGGCATCTAGAGTGACGCTTTAGGGAAATGAATTTTTACCTAAATCTAATAAAAATCAAACAGTACATTTTCTCACGTTGATGCAACCTCAATTCTTATCATGTGGTTTTGTTTCTGTGAAAGTACATAGAAGGCTACATTGGCAAATGGTTATCAATTTGACTATGTGAACTAGAGTAGTGAACAATCCATTGTTTTTCCCTCTTTTAGGCAAATGCTGCACATTTCTTTCTGTGTGTGTGTGTGTGTCTATGTGTGAATGTTTGATGTATGTGACACTCTTGGGGTTCTCTTTCTTGGGGTTCTCTTACTTGGGAGAGGACATTTTTAAAAATGATATTTATTGGATAAACTGGCAACCTTCCTTCTCCTTCCCAAACTCCTGTTCTACTCACTGGCTAATGCCTCAAGTCTATCTTTTGAACTATATTGTTTTATCTGGAAAAGCTGGTCTTTAAGCTGTTAGCAGTCATTCATCCCTGAGTGAGGATAAAGTGAAGATGAAACTGGATAGAAAACATGAGGACTGAGAATGAAGCAAGACAAAGACAACAGAATTGGGGGAGGAAGCAAAGAAACTTGCCTCACTCTTCCTTTTGCCAAATAATGACCGTAGTGATCAGTATGTTAATGCAAAACAGAAGATAGAATATGTAATGTCATTCACACACTTGTAGCTTTCATTTATAAAATAGACACTTGGAAATTTCTTTTAAAATCCACAAGATAGAAAACTTTACATGAAGCAATACAACAAATGCTCTAGTACAGTACTGCTGAGTTTACTGGGGACCTTCCTTATCGCTTGAAGATACCCCTGGCCACATAGCCATGGAAAAGAAGTTCACCTGAGGGAGATAGCACATGGCATGGAGGCAGCCCAGTGGTGACAGATAAAGCAGACGGTTTTGCTTTCTTGCTATGGTTTACAGGAAAGCTATCTGGTTTTATTTCCCTAATCCACACTGAAGCACAAAAGACAGCTCCTTGCCCCAGGTCATATATTGAGTGGCAGATTAATGACATACAGGACAGAAAATATAAGTATGAAGGCTAAATGTCATTACAGACTTTTGAGGCAGTGGTTACCTAAATTGTGCTTATAGTCTACATTCAAAGAGGAAAACAGATAATTCACTTCAGAGGTTTATCTGAAGAATTATTTGACTATTTTGTTTCTCTAATTTAACATACCAGAGTTTTAGCTGCACAAACCTGCTTAACAGGCACTCAGAAACTACAGTTTTCTTTTCATGAGGAAAAAAGTGAGAAAGAGAAAACAAAATGAGTAACATGTTGCAAATCTAGATTTTTGCCTGTTTTTGTAAATGATTATTTAAGGGAAAATACTATATATATACTCTATATATAGAGAATATATATATACTATAGTATATATAGTATAAAATACTATATATAGTATATATACACTACAGTATATATAGTATAAAATACTATATATAGTATATATACACTATAGTATATATAGTATAAAATACTACATATCGTATACATACTCTATAGTATATATAGTAAAAAACTATATATAGTTTATATATATAAACTATATATAGTACATATATAGTATATATACTATAAACTATATATAGTATATATACACTATAGTATATGTATACTATATATAGTATAGTATACATACATATAGTATACTATATACTATAGTATATATATACTATATATAGCATAATATACATACATATAGTATATACATAAAGTATAGTATATATATACATATAGTATAGTATATATAGTATAAAATACTATATATGGTATATATATAGTATTTTTATATATAGTATCTATATAGTATTAAAGAAAATGAGTTGAAACTAAATGCTTCCACACACATTAGATCAGCTCTTAGAGATGCTATTAGCTATGCTATAAATATTTTGAAGTATCAAGTTTCCAATAAAATATAGGAGGAACTTTAAATAAGTGGAACTAGCAGATGCCAATTCCATGTATTAAAAAAAGTTTAACACTTGCTCCATGCTGCGGTTCAATTCACTTTTGTACATTTTATTAGGTCTGCAAAAACTATATTATCCTTTGAGTCTCAATTTGTCTCTCTTCAAGTCTATTTGGCTGATGTTAGAGGTGAAACCTGATATAACCCAATGGAGCATAGATTCAGAAAAATTGAAAATGGAGTGCGTATCGTTTCCCACTTAGAAAGAAGCTAATAGAAGTTATTTTGCTACACTGGACTATTCACTTCTTGTCTTCCCTTTCCTGATAGAAAGTTTCATGGATTGGAAATCTTCCAGCTGCCAATAATAATATTCACGATATGCATTTGGCTAGAATCAATTATGTTGTAATCACCAGAATAAAAACATGAGAACTCAGCTATGAAAATAGCACATTTATGGAAGAAAATGCACAGTCTAAAGAAACCGTAACTTTCAGTGTCAACTTTAACTTCTGAAGATGGAGAACAAAATGTTCCGTGAACATTGAGAAGATAATTTCCTGTTATCACCAAAGCTTTGTTCCTGTTCCTTCTGTGGTTATCAAATCTTATTTTTGTAATGAATATTAATGCTTATAGCATTCTAAAACCAAAAGTCTTCTGGTGTCTAAATTAACTGACTTTTTTTTTAACCATATTTAACACTTAGAAAGTTTCTGCAGAAGCATCTATTGCCATGTTGATGTATATTTTGAATGTATATTTCATTTATATAAGTCATTTCATGTTCCAAGTTTACTGAGATTGTAAACTACGGTTTCAAGCTTCCTCTTCCTACATGTGAGAGCCCAGACATTTTAATATAATGTATACGCTACCGTCTCTAAGTCACAATTTAAATTTTATCACAACACTGTGGGAGCTGCGGGTATCTGTAGCTTGATTTCACTCCATGTTTTATGCCCTGAGGTGTCAGGCAGATAGACAATGTTTTGCCAGTCAGTTTCAGCCTGTTAAAACTCAGGGGCAAGGCAGAGATAAAGTGATGGGAGGCCGATAGTAGGCTTCATAGCTCCTAGGACTTTAGCATCTGTGCAGAGGGCAGTAAAAGGAAGACACATCTCTATTTGCATAGATTCATGTATGACTTCAAAACACTTGGTGGAGGTTGGAAGGTCTAAAACAAAAGCCCCTGCTAAAGAAAAAGAAAGAAAATGTAAAGAGTATTTGATAGGCTGTAGAATAAATTTCAGCAGCGTCACTTTTAACAGGTAATAGTACATGAATTAGACCTCTAAATCATCCACTATTTGGGTCAGTTTCCTCATCTATAAAATGGGGATGCTACTGAAATTTATTTCATGGAATTTTTGTTAAGAATGAGAGGAAATGGCCAGCAAGATGCCTGGTCTCTGGAGTTCTGAATCCATTCCTTTTTCTTCCTTTCTTTCTTTTTATTTATTTATTTGTTGCTCCTTTTTATATTTCCACCATAGCAATCATAACAATATTTGTTGGAACATTTAATGTGTCAAGCACTATGCCAAGCTTTACATTCCTTATCACATGTAATAGACAAATTAACCCTATGAGGTAGGTACTTCTTTTATTTTCATTTAACTGGGGAACATAATGGGGATCAGAGAGGTTCATGCAGGTTAGTGGTGGATTGCAGATTTGCACATGTATCTATGAACTCAGAAGTTCCTAACACATTTGTACCATATGACCTTCAGAAATCAGAAGGCGTAAATTCGGATTTCCCTAGGAGTTTTGGAAAATGGCTGGGCTGCAAAGAGAAAAATCTTTCAGAACTTTGGCCAGTTCCAAATGAGACCCATTTTTGTAAGCCCTGTTGGACAAGCTAGTTATATCTAAAGCTTTCTAGCATATTTCTATTCATACATTTACTCAAAAAAACCATCCTTTACAATAGCCATCTATGATTTTATCCAAATGTACAGCATAGTAGGAAAATCCTATCAGAGGATAACAGAAGAGATCCTTCATGTTGAAAAGAAATGTTAATTCTATAGATGCATCCACATCTTTCTATAATAACATTTGCATGTATACACTCCCTAAATTTTCAGGGATTCCTAAGACTTGGTAAATGCTATCGCAATCAAATCAGAGTCTGGGAAGCTTGACAAATGAGGAAGTATTATTGTGTTAATTTTGTAACTAAGATGACATCAAAGCCATACCTTAAGTCATGTTCGTATAGGAAGTTGTCAGGAAAGATTGAAAATATGATTCTTGAGTTTTAAATGATTGAGTAACAGTATGAGACACAGGCTGCTGATGCCAAGTTAAGTACACTACACGTGCTTACATTTTCTGTAATAGCAAAAAGAGCTGAGGGCAATTGTCTATATCAAACCATCAATCAAGAAGTATTTATGATGAGTCTTTGGTGTGCTGAGCAGATCCTAAATATTCTTGAGTTTTAATTTCCTTATCTTCAATATAGAAATAATAAAAATATCTGCCTCATTGGCTTGTTGTAAAGATTAGGTGAAAGAATATATGTGCAAGCATTTTGTACTCTCTGAAGTGTTATATTAATGTCAGATATTGTATTAAATTCAGGCCATTAATCTTTATTGAGCATAATCTACTTGGTAATGGAAATCCAAACACTGAAATACAGGTTATTTTACCCCCAATGATATAACCATCTAATGGAGAAAATATGTGTCTTATCTAAACAATTAAAATTCAGATGAAAACTGCTACTATAGATGTATAGACAAAGTACCATGGTGCTATAGAAATAAGGGCTGCATTTAATTCAGGGCAAAAAGGTCCTTTGTCGATCAGGTGGGAATGATATATTGAACTAGCTCTGAAAACTGAGATGGGAGTTTTTCAGGAAGAAAAGATTCTACGTAAGAAACATCGTACATGGAAGGGATTTTGTGAGCATCAATATAAAAGAATAACAGAGTAGCCTCCTGTGACTGGGCTGTGGAAGGTGCCTGAAGAAATAGTAGAGCTTACAAGGTAGGTTTGAAGATTGTATGTGAATAATTTTGAGCATAATACTTAAGCGTTTTATCCTAAATACTATGGAAAGTCATGAAAATATTTTCAGCAGGGAGCAACACAGATTTTATTAGATAAAAGTAAGAGCAAAGGTGGTAATCATTCCTACCTTCAGGTGTTTATCTTCTGATGAGGTCATATCAGTATAAACAAAGGCATGTTGCCTCCTTGACCTCCACCATCAGAATAAGAATTTAGGCCAAGATCAGAGAACGAGCTTCATCCAGAGTTGTCTTGAGTTATTGGAGCTCATACAGTTGATACATAAATCAAACACCTAAGAGCGCTGGAGAGATTCTAGAATTAACATTGTAATAAGAGTGAACAGGACTTGAAATCTTCCTTATCTTACAGAGCAGGTAACACTAACTCAGTATTTTCCCTAATGACTTACCACATGTGTTGCAAAAGCATATTCCTGGATAGGGTCCCAGTGAGACTGTTCCTGAGCAAAGGATCATATCTCGTAGTCATTACATTTTGGAACAGAGTTCCCAATATTGGCATATAATCTATATTACATGAATAATAACAAAATTACTATAATAGTGATAAATCACTCCTGAAGTTGGCAATGTCTCATTGAGGATGTTGTATTCAATTGTCTGAATCACGAAGAGGTAAAACTACAGTTCTGAGAACCTCCCTCCCCTATGGTTTCATGCCACTGTCTGCCAATGAGAGGAAGTTGTGAGAGCTTTGGAAGGAGAAAAAGAAAGAGGGGCTGGTCTTCTCTGGAGAGAGTTGCGGTCAGACACATGAGCAAGTGTAGGGTTCAAAATGCTTTCCTGGAAAGCATCTTGAAGATCACCTGCATTTGCCTGAGAAAGTTTGTGGGTGCCTCCAGAGGTTGTTGAGGTTCACAGTGGCCTCAGGTGAGCTACTGAACAGGCTTTGCTGTTGCAGGCTGGTATTTGGGGTGGCAGTCTTCCACAACTTTGCTTTCTTGGCCCTTCTAATGATTGTGTAAGCTTCCAGTTCCTATGATAACAACTGCTATACATGAAATGAAGAGAGTAGATTAAATTCTTCTTACTAAACACGAAATCTGCCTGATGCTGGTATGGGCAGGCAGTTACCCTTATACAATACTTGGCCAGTAGAATGAAGCCTGCTAATGGGTCTCTGTCTCTTTCTCTCTGTCTGTCTCTCTCTCTCTCTCTCTCTCTCTCTCACACACACACACACACACACACAGAGACACAAATTCTCTTTCTCTCTCTCCCCCATCTCTAAGAAATCTGACTTTTAGGAATTCATCCCAAAGATATATGTTTCATAAACATTTATTGAGTACCTTTCATAGAGCAGGCACTGGATTCGATGTATAATATATATGGTTCCCACTCTACAGAGCTTTCAGTCTACTGGGAGATATAAAAAAGTGTTCATGCATTCACCATACGGTGTGATGTATATCACAATGGTAGTACAGGGTACAATGAGAGAGCCAAAGAAAATCATGCAAAATATAGACCTCAATCAGAGTCATCTCCCTATATGTGGTTATGTCTAAAAGGAAATGTGATGGTTAGGCAAGAATTAGTTAGAAGTGCACATGCTTATGTGAAATATATGTGTGTGTGTTTGTGTGTGTGTACCTGTATGTCTGTTTGTGTGAGACAGAGGGAGAGAGAGGGAGAGACTTAAGAAGAGTAAGGGTACAAAGAAAAGAGAGAGGAGGAAAGAAGAGCATGTGCAAAGACTCATGAGCAAGTGGCATTTTGTAAACTGAAAGCAAGTAATTTTACATAGCAGTGTTCTGACCCAGTATGCTTTGATTCCATAGCTTGCTTCTTAATCTTAAAGAAGAGAACATTTATTTTATTAAACCTTTACAATTAATGCAGAAATAGAAGCTTATAATTCTGAGTGGATTCTCATTTTAGAAATGTCGCAGCTCATACTGAGCAGTTGTCACCCACACTAAGCCAAATCCTCTGCTGAGAAGTCTTTGGAATAGCTTAACAGAAATATGGTGTATGCATTTTCCCATTATTCTGTTCTGCAAAAAACTTAGTGCATCCACATTGATATCTTAGAAAATATTGCTTTTACAGTCCTTTATTTGTAGTGAAAAGACCTCAACTTTATATAACATAGATTTTTTTCAGTTTGGATATAACCTCACTGAGCTTGGTGGACTATAAAGAATACAATTTTAAAGCAGAGATTGCTATAACCAGCTACTCCTAATATTGTGTCCAGTTGAGGGTTCCTGACTTTAAATGATTAATTTATATCCCTAAAAGACATGGGAAAATTCCAGTGGCTCAATAAGATAAAACCTAACAGGCACAGTACATATCAGTCTCTTAATATTTACATGCTATGCTAAAGGCATTAATGAAAAATAATTTCCTCACTAATTATACACACAGTGAAACAAACATTCTTATAACCGTTCCATTCTTGGTCACAAAGACAGTGTGGCAGAGCACTAGTAATGCTGGCTCATGCCTCTTACAAGAGAGTATTTACCAAAAGTTCAAATGGCAATGATCCTATCCCCATTGTGACACTTCTCCCATGGAGATGCACTTTCTCCTTTTCCTGGTGGTAGATGAGTTGCTCATCTTATGGTCTATTGGTCTCTATATATAATTCAAAAAATTGGTCCTATCCCTTAAAGACTCAATAAAAAGAAGAGTTTTATTCTTTGAATTTTTTCCTCCTGTTATATCTCACCTTCCAATTTTCCATTTCCTTAGAGTTCAGCTATCCATCTCACAGTATCAAGTCCTTCAGTATAAAAGAGAAAACAGCAGATATAAATACCATTTTAAAGAGAGTGAGCTGCCAGGTCTTTTGGAATAGAGGATGAAGAATATGAGGAAAATGAAGCAAAAATTTAAGCAGGGTATTATTGGATGCTTAATTGTTGTTGTTTAGTGTAATACACTGATACACTTCAGTATGTCCTAAAGCATCTCATTTGTATGTGTATATATATATAACAGACCTTGAAATCTTTAAGCTGTCTTTAAAACTACAATCAATGAGAGTATTTTGAAGGGGAAAACTGCCTCTGCTGAATTGGAGCCTTCAGATTACACAATTTTAAGACAGTTATGCACCTAGGAGCTGAACCTAATAGGCACAGTCAGAGAGAATAGTTTCAACAAGTTTGTAATTACATATACTGGACTCCAGTAGGTTGGCATCCCATTACTCCAGTCCATCAATGATGAAAAGATAAGAGTTGTGCATGTATATAAGCAATAGGCCATAGGCAAAAGCAGTATTTCAACCAGCATTCTGTTCCCTAACATTCATTTGTAGAAGATTAAAAAGCAAGAGAGTCTGTCAAAGACAAAAAACGAGAAGAGAACTAGAAGAATGAGCTTCCAGAAAAAAAAAATTGAGAAAATTTTACTTAAGGACAATGCACTGAAGCAAGACCACACAGGCTCAGCTTTGTGATCTCCTGAAACTCCTTTCTCCATCTTTCCCTGAAGGTTTCCCTCCAAAGCTACTTCTTCATGTGTAAATTTATAGGTTTGATTAAGGATTTATCACTCAGGAATTAATGTGTTTTTAATCACAAAAATATCCAAACTTTAAGTCAAGATTACCCTAGTTTTGAGATGTTTAAAATGACAATAACGATATTTTCTTCTATGTAGGGTTCTTAGGTGGATTCAGTGAGATAATGTATGGAAAGTGCTCTAGTTTAGTGCCTGGTGAATTCTTTTTTTTTTTTTTGAGACGGAGTCTCGCTCTGTCGCCCAGGCTGGAGTGCAGTGGCGGGATCTCGGCTCACTGCAAGCTCCGCCTCCCGGGTTCACGCCATTCTCCTGCCTCAGCCTCCCAAGTAGCTGGGACTACAGGCGCCCGCCACTACGCCCGGCTAATTTTTTGTATTTTTAGTAGAGACGGGGTTTCACCGTTTTAGCCGGGATGGTCTCGATCTCCTGACCTCGTGATCCGCCCGCCTCGGCCTCCCAAAGTGCTGGGATTACAGGCGTGAGCCACCGCGCCGGGCCGTGAATTCTTAATTATGTCATTTATGGCAGTAGCCACAGCAGGAAAGTGGTAGGAGATGCTGGGTTTTTTTTTTTGTTTTTTTTTTTTTTTTTGAGACGGAGTCTTGCTCTGTCACCAGGCTGGAGTGCAGTGGCGTGATCTCGGCTCACTGCAAGCTCTGCCTCCTGAACGCCATTCTCCTGCCTCAGCCTCCCAAGTAGCTGGAACTACAGGGGCCCGCCACCACGCCTGGCTAAATTTTTTTGGTTTTTTGTTTTTTTTTTCAGTAGAGACGGGGTTTCACCGTGTTAGCCAGCATGGTGTCCATCTCCTGACCTCGTGATCCGCCTGCCTCGGCCTCCCAAAGTGCTGGGATTACAGGCGCGAGCCACCACACCCGGCAGAGATGCTGTTTTTATTGAGTTTCAGCCAGGATCCAGAGGCCCACATTTTGACCACAATAAAAGGTTTAGATGTTGGAATTTTGGTGAAAAAAAGATACATTGGTAGCTAAAGTCCCAATACATATTTATATAGTATGTAAATCCCATGGTGCTAGATTTGGGGACTTCTGTCCATGCCCTTAAGGTGCTTCATTTTTTTAGTGTTCTTGAGAGCTTCCCAAGCCCTCTGTGATGCTAACAACTTCTCTCCCCAGTTTGATGGGGTTTTAGTATTGATGAAGGACCTTGTGGAAGTGACCCTTTCAGGTACAGCCCTACCCTGATCAAGCATTGTTGTAATTAAAACTGTTCTGGTTGCCAGGACAAGGACATTAAAGCTAGGTTTAGTAATGAATAGATTGTAAATGAAGGGTACCCTAATACTCTGCTTCCCTCTGCAAGTTTGTTCCATGTCCTTCCCTGCAGACTGGGTTTTTCAGTTTCTTCATATTCTCTACACCCACCTCTCCTTCCAATTTCATGTTGCAGTCGGTTTTCATTTATTGTGGTAGAGATTATGGTCATGCTGCTGTAATAACATTCAACTCATTGTCCCACAGCTACCACCAGTGCTTCAAGAACCAAATACTAAATTTTTGGAAAATAAAAGATGGTTGGCCGAACTTACATTGAATATCTACTCACACATCTAGAAAGTGGTTTTGGGTTGGGGATGATGGTGCCCATAACCATCTGTGATAGGCAGAATAATGGCCCAACAAAGTTGTCCATATCCTAATCCTTAGAACCTCTAAATATGTTAGCTTATGTAACCAAGGGACTTTGCAGATGTCATTAAGATAAGGATCTTGAGATGGGAAGATTATCCTGGATTTTCTGGGTTTGCTCCCAGGGTGTTAGTAAAGGGAAGAGAGAGGCAGAAGAATCAAAGTCAGAGAAGGAAATGCGATGATAAAAGCAGAGTTTGGAGTGGTGCTGGGCCCTGAGCCGTGGAATACAGGAAGCCTCTTGAAGCTGGAAAAAGCAAGGAAATGGATTCTCCCCTATGGCCTCAAGAAGGAATGCAGCCCTGAGACCCATTTTACACTTTTGACCTCCACAGCTATAATAAATTTGTTCTGTTTTAAGCCATTAAATATGTGATAATTTGTTACCACAGCACTAGGAAGCTGATATACCATTGATTCCAGAAGTAGAGGCAGTTTCCAAAGGACATTGCAGCCAGCCACCACCCTTATAATCTCAAGACCTCAGAGAAATCAAAAGTAGCTTCTCAAAATTTAGGGACTTCTTACTTTACATTTTCTAGCTGTTTTCCTGCCACTGAAATAGCCTCAGTGGATAGCCACTATAATCCTCTTACATGCCGGTGGAAGCTGTTTCTATTTCTTTTGGATAATAATAACTACCTTGTGAACTTTTTGTATTAATTTAAGTAATATATTTACATAAGGCTACTTGGAACAATGTCATGTAGTGTCTGTTCATTGTATTCATCCAACCAACCTTCTTTCCGTGCCTCAAAATGTGTCAAGCCCTCTCCTAGCTCACATATTTATTTATTCAAACATTCATTCAAATATACATATTCAATACCAGGTATGGTCCTGGCACTGTTCCAAGTGATAGAAACTTAGCAGTGAATACAACAGAAAGTTATTCTTGCCTCCTTGGAACTTCCATTGTTGTCGGGCTCAGGCAGATAATAAACAAAAGCAACAGTGATAATTTTAAAAATATAGATGAAATAGGGAGTGCTGGTGGGTCAAAAGGGATGTAACCTTAAATACCATGACTAGAGAAGGCCTCGTTGGAAAGATGACATTCAAACAGAACATATGAAAGAGCTAGATTGCAGATATTTGGGAAGGAAGCAATCCAGACAGGGAAAATTCCAGGTGCAAAGTTTAAGCTACTCTTTCTCTCATCTGGGAAATACATAAAACAGCATATTCTTTACCCCACTGTCCCTTCCAGCTACCTTTCCATTTCTCAATTCTGGCTCCCATGCTGTATGTTTTCTATGCTCATGATTATGCACTATATTTATTTGTTTATTTGCCTCTCGTGTCCATTCAATAAATGTTAATCTCCATGAAGATATTGATTTTGTCCATTTTATTCACTACGTAACATCAGAACCCAGAACAGTGTCTGGGCACATAATAGGCACTTGATAACTATTTGTTGAATGGATACGTTAGTGAATATTTTTAAAGAATAAAGTTAGACTTCCTATCCTTATTGATAGGTTATTACTGAATATGTTTTCTTCCGGTTTTGCTTTTGTAAAGTATTGATTTCTAAAAGCCTCATTCTTATTCTGATTGGAAATTCTGGACTACTGTACTTTAAATACAGTAAAAATGAATATTATCCTATAAAAATTTTTTTACCTACTTTCCTCAGTTCTACTCATTTTAAAGAATATTTCAATTTTAGCAAAAAACAAAGTCAGTATATGAATAATGGTTTGAGTTTGATCATGTGTTTTTGTTCTGCATGCTGCTGCCTCAACTATGTGGGAGAGTGAATTGAGTTGTTAAAGTATACAAATTAAAAATTAAAATAATAAAAGTCTCCACACCTTTTAACATTTTCTACAAAATATTTAGTCCGTATATTAATCAGAACATTGTTTTTGGTGGCTTTTGTGTGTGTGTGCCTATCAAAAGCTTGAAAGAGTTGAATTCATGGGTGCAGATGTTTGGCTCATTTGTAAATAAGATATATCAAGCAGTTAACATAGTACCTGGCACAGACCAGCTGTTCAGTAAGTGCTTGTTATTCATTCATTCATTCATTGACTTACTGAAAGATGTATGAAGGAATGCTGGGTGGCAAAGCCACACATAGTAATTCCAGTGCCTTTTGTGAATACAACTCCCATTGTGTGAAAATGGAGGTGACAGCTGCATTTATCAGCTATTTTTATTGTCCCAATTGTAATACATGCGTGTTACAAGGACCCTAATACAATTTAGGTTCCACAAATCTGTAGGCCTCGGCATCAGCCATCCATATAATCATTTGCATGTACCTTTAGAGCAATATGCGTCATATGTCTGTCCTATACACATGGCTCTGCACAAACGTTACTTGCCCATTTTGAAAACTAATTTATAGCCATTTAGAACCAAGTATGTGCCTTTGAAAAGCAGGCTATTAGCAATGTAAATTAAGAATAAATGAAACAATAACACCTGTTATGAAAGGTACTTTAGCTCCTTAACAAACACATGAAGTTGGTACTCTTAAATTTAGAAAATTTGACTCTAGAGATTGGAGGGCAAAGGAAACAATTTTTTCTAGTTTCTAGATTATTTTTCCTGAAGAAGCCTTCCTGTTGCTATTTTCACACTACCCCAGATGTGCAGAGCCCTACGGTAGGCATCAGGACTTCATAATGTTTGAAATAAGACATAATTCCTGCTTCAGTTATTACAAGTAAAATAAAATAGAAACCATGGCTTAATCAAAAACTGTATTGGCTAATGGACCTAAAATATCCGGGAGTAGATCTGGCTTTAGGCTCAGCAGGAGTCAGGGCACAAATGATGTTATCACCACACTCCCTGCTCAAACCCACTGCACACCAATTTCTCATCCAGGTAACAAGAAGGGGAGTTTCCTCCCAGAAGTACAAGCATTAAGTTTTAGAGAATCAAGTCACTGTGGCCAGAGAAATTGTCTTTTCAGGGATGAAGGAGTATAAACATGACCACTCAGGGAAAAATTGGGAATGGTTACCAAAAAAGGGCTGAGGAGATACTGGCTGGCAAAACCACATCTCCTCACTTCTATGAAGAAGCCTCCCAATGTGTGGAGAAGGAGATGACTACTGTGCCCAATCGAATTGTTTGCAAATCTGGCTTTCTGTTAGAATCACCTGGTGGGCTCTTTTATCTGTAGGATGCCAATTTGAGCAACTTCTGCTTCAGCCATAATGCAGTAACCTAGAACAAGAATTATTATCCTACCATAATCACTAGAAAACTGGACAAAAATAGAAAACAACTGCTTTAAAAATTAGACAATAGGTGGGGTGCAGTGGCTCACACCTGTAATCCCAATACTCTGGGAGGCCAAAGGGGGCATACTACTTGAGCACAGGGGTTCCAGGCCAGCCTGGCCAACGTGGCAAAACCCCACCTCTACTAAAAATAACAAAAAAAGAATTAGCTGGGCGTGGTGGCACATGCTTATAATCACAGCTACTCAGGAGGTTGAGGCATGAGAATCGCTTGAATCCTGGAGGTGGAGGTTGCAGTGATCTGTGATCGTGCCACTGCACTATAGCTGGGGCAACAGAGGGAGACTCTGTCTCAAAAGGAAACAAACAAAAATATTAGACAACAGAGAAAGACTGGGCTCTCTTAGGGAAGGGAAATGAGCAAGGTAAGCCCAAGGAGGATCACGTAGAATTTATGCCTCAAGGCACTTTACTGATCATGGCACAGAAATGGGGATCCCTAACAGAGCATGGGAATCTTACAAAGTTGAGTAGAAGCAGATTTTCAGCTTTCTAAAGTTGCTGGAATTTGCAGGACAAGAAAGCTGGAGAAAAGAAAAGTGGGGGGGGGGGGTGCTATATTAAGTAAAAGCTCCAGGAATCTGCATATACATTCCCTTGAGGCTCTTCCTCAGTAATAAACCATGTACCCATAGACTGGGATTCTACAGGCTGGAAAAATGCCATCTAGGAACTAGTATGCTTAAAAATTCCCAGAGTCACACAGAACTTCGAGAGGTTTGAGTTCTGGCTGCACATTGATGAGAGTTCTCATTGACTGTCTGTGGCATTCATAGAAACCCCAGAAGAGTCATACTTTAGTAGGTACATGAAATAGCACAGAGTAATGGGAGTAAGAGTAATAGTAGACAAGAGGAATTGATAGAATCCATAAATTCACTCTGATTTTTTTGTTTGTTTGTTTTTTGTTTTTTGCCGAGAAATAAAGACCCAACTTTGGAATTCCAGGAAAAAAAAAAGGAAATATCATCAATAATGTTATTGGTTAAAGAAAGCCCCAATACATGTTTGTACAATGTCAAATTATAGACATTTGTACAAGTTCTACAATGTCAAGAGAAGACTTCTTCTCTTCTTTAAATTAAAAAAATCTTTTTGTGCATTTGATTTGTACACTCTTTCCAGCCCCATCTCAGTAAGTTAAAATCATATTCTTCCTTCACTGTCCAACATAAATACCATAAAGCATTCTCAAGCTTCCTTCTAACACTAAACAAAAAGATCATCCCTCCAGTGAATGATGTCATTTGAATGTCTCATAGCTGTGCACATTATCTCATTTAACCATAACAAATGCATCCGGTAGGTACCTCCCACTGAGGAATCTGAGGCTTAGAGTGCTGGTAAGTAGCACCGGACAAGTCTGGAGTTGAACACAAGCAATCTGGCTCCAGAAAACAAGTTCAGCTCTACCATCTATGACTTATGATAGATTGTGTTGTAGTTGTTTTGGATTAGGTGTTCTTGTAGACAAAGGCTATGGGTTTTTGTTTGTTTGTTGGTTAGTTTGTTTGTTTCTTTCATCCTTATATGCTCTGTACCTAGCATAGTGTTTTGCCTATACAGGTACTTAGTTATTGGCAGATATATAATGAATGAGTAAATACATGCATTAATGAAAATTGTTTAAGTGTCTTTTGAAAGGCCACTCTGTTATGAGTCATACCCAGATATACTGTGATGTCTACACAGTAGAGGGTATATTATTGATGTGTTGAGTGGTTTTGTGTTTGGTAAATACGAGTTTTGTTGAATTCCTTTTGAGAATTTTTTCTTTTAGCTCCCCTTTTCTCTTTGCTTTGTGTTCCTATCCTAGGATTCTGAAGCAAAATATTCTTATTGGTATGTAAAACAGATTGTGTTTTCACAGCTAGCAAATTTAGTGATCGATATTCTAATCTTTAAATATGAAATTCCTTTAGTAGGGTAAGATTTGGTAAATTGAGAAGGGAAACTAACTAAAATAATTGAGCGGAAGGAAGCCTCCCTTAGCTTCTCTAGAGGGAAATATACCAGCTCAAAAGGAATCAGGAAAAAAGGGAAAACAATTATGACGAAAACCACAAGCTTTACAGGTTCAATAATTTTTTATTTCAGAATGCATTTTCTTGCTCTTCTTTTCCTTCCTTTAAAACTAAAAATGAATGGGAAATGGCATGGTAATAATGAATTTGAGATTGCAATCCACGAGGACAATTTTTTCTGTTAAGTTACTATATGGTTTGAACAAAGAAAACTAGGCATCTTTTATGTAAAACCTGGGAGTGATTAGTGGAAGGACAGTGATGAATTACCTCCCATCCTTTTATTCTTCACCTCCCTAAATCCCTGGATCTCCCCAGCATGTCACAGGGTCTCTGAGTTCAGTGAAGAAACAAAATTCAGTGTACCATCAACAAAGGTTTAGCATGAAAGAGACCAAAGCACACTATTGATTCACTTCTGCTTTGAACAAATGATTCATTAAAAACAATGTTCTTTAAAGGAATTGTAAATGTTGTGACTGCATTTGTCCTTATTTTAGGCATCTGGGTTTGCACTTAAAGTGTCCTAAAATGGAAGCAGTAACAATGAAAGATTAAGAGGTCTGTATGTCTAGTTTTTGTTTTAGAAACTAATTGGCAGGAAGAACAGTCTAATGTAGGTATTGCCCAGAGATGAGGTTGGTGCTTCACTGCATCAGAGTTCAAGTGACTCAAAGAAAAACTTGCCCAAAGGCCTTGTAGTCATGCTCAAGTGGAAAAGCCAAAAATTTTAATGGAGCAGTGATATCCAATAATAATTCGATATGATGAGTGGGAACCCTTTATCGGTGTGCAAAGTAAGACATAGGAAGCAAAGGACATGTGGAACCTGTCAGGAGGAAAGTGCAAGGGGGCTAAGGGAGCAGTTCAAGAATGGGGGCTGGAACCAACCGGGAAGACACCAATAACTTACCCTGATGACATAGTGCTAGCCACATATATAGGGGTGAACCGGCCAGCTCAAAGGCATAAAGCAGACCAGATGTATTGCAAATAGCACCTTCCCTGGTGACTTTTCAGATTGCCTGATATCAAGGTGACCTTTGCTTCCTTTGTACTCTCAAGACATTTATCTGTACTGCTCCAATATAGTTCATTATTTTTCATCTTTGACCATAGATGGGCTCTGGTGACAGATAACCTGGATTACCTTTCTAGCTGTGTATTCTTGGGAAAATTATTTAATTGCTCTCTTTCTGTATTTTTATCTCTAAGATGGAGATAAAAGTTTCCAGATCTCATAACATCTTTACAAAAAGTAAATGAGTAAATAAATGGAAAAATCTTAGGATAGCTTCTGGCAAGTAGTAACATTCGACAAATTTATATTTTGTTAATATAGTTGTTATAATCATCTTATATTTTACCACAGTGTCTAGTATAGCACACTGTCAGTGATCTGTAAATATCCAATAAGTTACTGAATAAAAGAACATGAATCCTGGGTTTAGCTGTACCTTCAGATGTCAAAATAATCACCTCTAGTTAGGATGAAATGAACAACATAGATAGGTAACAGACACTTCTTAAAAATTGTCAAAGTGATGCCATTCTATTACAGTTTATTATTAATTTATTTTCATTACATGTAAGCCAAAAATAGTTTCCAATATTTAGAGAAAATTTACTCCTGATTAATTTATATTTTTGACTTTAGATAAAATTGCAGACAGAATCATTTCCTGAACAAGTACAAGCTGTGACTTATTTACATCTTGATCAATGTTACAAGCCAGGGCCAAAAGATATTTTAATTCTGGGCTATTGCAGAAGAGTTTCTGGTTACATCATGAAGTTAAATCATTTGAACAATTGTTATTAGAGCTTTAACTAAGTCCAGTGAACTGTAAATAGGCAAGTTGGATCTCGTTTAGGCAGAAAATTGGGCTGTAGATGTGGGGTGTGTGGTGATGCTTATTGAATCAAACAGACCGTGTCATCTGCAAAAAAGAAAAAGTAACTTGGCGTCATAATCTGTACTTTTGATTTGGTTGGTGAGTCTTTGACCATGTATTCTTATTTTTATTTATTTTTGCCTTTGTTTAAGAGCAACTAAAAAAGTCATTGAAAGGAGCAGCATATGGTAGTATCTATCTACTCATTACTCCTAGGCCATGTGACTCAATTCTTCCTATCTTACTTCCTTTCTAAGTTCTATAGATTATTTTTGTATGCATTTTAGGTATTTTTATCCTTTGAAAAATTTTAAACTATTGGATTGTTTCAAGTATTTTTAATATATATTCTAAAAATAACAAAGACTTTGCATTCACATTACATTGCTTTCAAGTTATCAGTGTCTAGTTATTACTAACCTCTTGGCATGCTGTTCATACTCACACACTCAACGTCTGCCTCAGTTTTGGCTATTCCCACTTTCTTAACTCTCATTTTACTGCAGATTCGATTGATACCTTCTTTCAATGCCTCCTCAAATCTAGAAATAACTAACCCCTTTTTCTGGAATATATATAGTTGACTTATACAATTGTTTTCTGCCTCTAGTTTCTTGCTCCTCTGATTAACTTCACACACTCCTGCTGGAGTTGTTTTCCAAAACACAAATATGAATATAACCTTCTCTAGCTTTTAAATTTCTAATTTACCTTTCTTGCCAAAAGATAAAATCCACACTTCTCAATCTGTTACTTAGAGTTTTCCAGCACATAGCTTCCTGCAAGCAACTCTCTCCAGTTCATTCTCACCATGTTTTAACAATGCACTTAAAAAGTTAGTATCAGACTTCTGCTCCTTTGCTCAAGCATTTCATTCTGTCTGGAAATTTCTTACCCTACATATCTCTACATCAATCTTCACTATGCTATACCATGTTTTTGTTGCACTGGCATACATGAACAATCATGTCCAAGTTAAGTCCCATGTAAGTGATAACTTCTACAGCCACATAGTAGGATCTCAGCACCCCACCAAGATTGTCATCATGCAACCATCTCCCAGAATAGGAAGTAGTACACAAGGATATACAAATAATTAGTACAAAATATAAAGCATCTTCCTTAAAACACAAATTTGAATCCATAGTAAGTAAATTATTACCTTTTATATTAAAGTTATCAATGTAGTAGAATAGCTATTGCTGTTGTTTGATCTCTCAAGCATTTTATCCTTCATTGGAGAGACTTATTCCTCTTGACACCATATGATTCTGAGAGGGCTTCCATATTACATCACATCTCTGCCTCCTTAGCTCTAGTTGACTGATCTAGTGCAAATCTGAACCAAGCTAGATGAATCAAAGCCTTTCCCTGTGATTTTTCACCCAGAGTCTGACATGAAAAACTATCTTCTTTATGCCAAAAACAGAAGATGTGAGATATGGGAACTAACAGTTATGTAAATAAGCAAACTTAAAAGATTGAATGTTTATTGGACAAACAATATCATTCAAGTTCGTGACTGAAATGGCCCCTGACTGAGTCCTTCATTTGCCTGATAGAAATGTCCTCTGACTGAGTCTTTCGTTTGTCTGCATTTTCTCATAAGTTTCTTTCTGCCTAATTTGGTACTGGTTTCTGGCATTTGCCTGAAAGAATGCAGGCAATATATGGATATATCATGGAAATTAATTGAAATTGTGCTTGTATTTTTAGAATATAAGATAAAATTTCAAAGAAATTTTGAAATCACTGCAAACTGTTCAGTGCCTCCTGGATGTCTCAGACTATGACTTCTCCTTTGCTATTAAAAATATATTAATGAAATATTTTAAGGACAGCATTGAAACATTGGAAAATTTGTTAATGTTTTTTGTTGGCCAGTGATTACATAAAAGAATTATTTACTAGCATTATTAAATTAATTAGAAAATGTTGTGAGTTAGCGTCTACCGAGATGAAATGAAATGGCGAAAATACCTGAAGAGCAAAATTTCTGAAGTATGATTTGATAATGTTCTCATAGAATCTTCTGATTGGATCATAGATACTAGATTATAGGTGACTGAATTCTGCATCTTACTTGATAACATAAGACATACAACATGCTAGCTGGTTTCCTTTACACATGAATCCTTCTCGTTCTATTTTCAATATACATCGAGATGGAGAATTATACTATTTTTTACCCTTAAGAGGCTCACTCAGTTTCTCTTTCTTATTTTTTCCATCAATAAAAATGAGGCTAATACTATCTTTTAGCTTACACTTATACTAAATAATTTTTAATAAGGTTGTGTTTAAATTATATACTTATTTCACTTATTACTGAATGAAAAAATTATTGTCATTACACTTATATCTTTTGCACTTTCAAAGGCAAAATAACAATGAAATAATGATACTAAAAAAAGATACTAAAATTTCATTGCCAACCATTATTTTCCTCTTAATTATATTCTTGGCATTATACATCCAAATATCTTTATCTCCTACTGCCCCCCTGCTTTTTCCCAAGTAGTCCTAGAGGCCTAGGACCCAACTGGATCTTCTTGAGAAATCTTACTGACCACCGGTATCAACAATTAATAGCAAAGTTAATTTATACAACTTAAAGCTATTAGGAATAATTTCACCCTATAAATGCAGTATGTGTTCATATTATTCTTTGAATTTTGCCCTCCCTGCTCTTCAACCTTTGGCAGGAGTTTGGTCTGGTTAATGATGCAATGGCAGAGATTCTATGGAGCCGAGGCCACTTTGGGAAGTCTCCACCAGAAACCACTGGAGAGGTCAAAATTGGAAGGCTGGGTAACACCAAACACTGTTCAGGAGCATGGGTGTCCCAAATGCTAAGAAGGGAATTGAGAGAATAATGAAATCCTGGTGGGCAAGAGTAGCTAAGAAATTGAGATATGGAGCTAATAAATTGAGATATGGAGCCAAGAGGCAGAAATCAGTGTAGTACCTGATACTCAGTTCGTTTATTTATTCATTTATCTAGAAACTATTTATTGTCTGCTGTTACCAGACACTGTTCCCAGCACTGAGGATAGAATAACAAAAAATAGGGAAAAAATTACTGTTCTTTAGAAGCTATTATTAAATAGTGAATAAATGAATGGCTGTAGAAGAATGAAGTAGTTAACAATGCACATTGTTAGAGAAATCACAGAGATGAAGAGCAAGAGCAGAAGGGGGGCAGGAGGGGAACAGAAAGGACAGAGATTCTGAATTTTGTCTTTTATGGGACAGTCTGGACATGTGAGTTGATGGGTATAGACTGATATAAAAGGAACAGAAAGGTAGCAGATAATTAGGATGAAATTTTGTCCATTTCATTCCACACAGGAGAGGCAATAAATAATTTGACAGCGAAGAATTCTTTTTTCAGTTTCTCCCCTTTCTTTTATTTTTTAAATATGATGAGTCCAAGGGTCATTACTCTGTTTAATGAGGGAGACATCTCACAGATATCAGTGCAAGCTCAGGCTCTTTCTCAAGATATCACACAAGATGGTCTTATTTCTACTGGAGTCCAGTTGACTCCAATTAGTACAAGAGATTCACTGACCTGCTTAGTTCAACAGATCTCTCTTATCTAGCAGAACATTAGACAATGCCTATATTAACCTTAATGTTCTAGAGTCATTGATTTTTTTTTCATAGTTGCTATAGATTCCTTTCCATAAGGTAGCACATTTACTAATAATTTGGCAGTCACAACATCATCTTGGCAATCACAGAAACAATGAACTCATGTATAACTCATAGAAACATAGAAATAAGAAACTCATGTATAATGAGTTTGGGTTAGGATTTCCAAATCAGTTATCTCTGTTGAACAGACATCTATCAACTTTTTTTAGTTAAAAAAGTCTCAATTACTCTCTACCTGTGGGTAATAGGTTGCCTTATAAGAGAAGGCAAAGGAACTATATTCAATCATAAAAATATGTGAACTGTATTTGAAATAATGTTTATCGTTTATAGTTAGTTAAGCAATCTGGTAAAACAGAAAACATGCCATTTGGCTCTTGTTTATCAGAGTTCCAGATAATGTCAGGAAATCTCAGAAGACTATAAAGGAATTTAAATTTTCATTTGGATTTCTACACTAGTCTTTGTTTTTTTTTCATAACTATTCAGTATGAAATTCAAGAAAATTTCGTATCAGAAAACTGGGTTGTAAAGCAATTATCTAAGATAAAAATGGACTTGTTAATTAGCTTGGTTTAATCATTCTACAATGTAAGTACATATCAAAACATCATATTGTACTCCACAAATATATATAAGTATTATTTGTCAATGAAAAATGAAAATTGAAAAACAGAAAATTATACATGCTTATTAAATGGTTTTTTAAAAAGAGAAAAAATAAAAGCTGCACATGTGCTAATTAAAATTTGAAACAAAGAACTAGTTACATTTTTTAGCTAAGGAGATTTTAACTAATATTAAAATATTCTGTGACAGTTTCAGCATTTTAATTCTCTGTTCATTCACCTCAAGTATTATGATACTTGCGGAAAATAGTATCTAGCTCATCTTTTAAAGTAATTCATAAAAACAAACTAAAATTCTTATGTTTTAAACCAATTAACAAGTCAGGTAACAAAATAAGAAAATATTCATAATCACCATTTTTATACCTTATAAAGCAGTCTGTCATCCACTCAAATCAGGCATGAAAATGGTGAGTTGTCTAAGAATCTAGCAGTCATTCATATCTAGCCTTTTTGTATACAGGTCTGTGTGTAACTTCCTTTTGGCTTTTATTGTTCTACTCTAAGTTTTCTCTTTGCTCTGAAACAGAATAAAGGAATGAGGAAAACCTAAATAAATAAAGCCATGTTTTTCAAAATAGTCCTTTTTCAGTGTTTACAATGGAAGTAAAAATTTGAGCTAACGAATTCCTCCTTGGTACATACTTCGTGAAGGATAGTTTTTCAGCTGTATTGTGAATGCACAGTCAGATTCTTCCCCTGTGAAACTCATCCTTAGGGTATCCTTGGAAGCTGCTGTGCACCCATGCAGGGGAGCACTAAGTGGAAATAGCAATTGGAAAGGCAACCCCCTCTTGTCTGTGCCAGGGTGGCTCTTCATTGTTACCCTAGGGATATCATAACACAAGCCTCCCTCCCACCCACATCCTTGTCTATTAGATGTGCTCCACTGAACCCTGATTGAGTTTTAATCCAATTTTGAGAGAGGAGGGGACACTCTGAAGGAAAGACATGTGAGATGCTGAGGAAAGAAAAGGCTAGGGAGAGAGGAAGTCTGCTTTTCTTTTGTCTTCAAACTCCCCAACCAACTTTAAGAGCCCACCTTTCTCTGACCTTCCTTTAGTAACTTTCTCTCTTACCTGAGAACTCTTTATTGGCACTTGATATGGTTTGGCTGCGACCCACCCAAATCTCATCTTGAATTCCCACGTGTTGTGGGAGGGACCCAGTGGGAGGTAATTGAGTCATAGGGGCAAGCCTTTCCCGTGCTGTTCTCGTGACAGCGAATAAGTCTCATGAGATCTGATGGTTTTAAAAAGGGGAATTTCCCTGCGCAAGCTCTCTTCTCCTATCTACCACCATGTGAGATGTGCCTTTCACCTTCTGCCGTGATTGTGAGGTCTCCCCAGCCATGTGGAAGGACTGGGCATGTCTTTATTAGCAGCATGAAAATGGACTAATATAGTAAATTGGTAACATTAGAGTAAGGCACTGATGAAAAGATACCCGAAAATGTGGAAGCAACTTTCACACTGGGTACCAGGCAGAGGTTGGAACAGTTTGGAGGACTCAGAAGAAGACAGGAAAATGTAGGGAAGTTTGGAACTCCCTAGAGACATGTTGAATGGCTTTGACCAAAATGCTGATATTGATATCAACAATGAAATCCAGGCTGAGGTAGTCTCAGATGGAGATGAGGAACTTATTGGGAACTGAAGCAAAGGTGACTCTTCCCTGAGACCGGTGGCATTTTGCCCCTGCCCTGGAGAGTTGTGGAACTTGAACTTGAGAGAGATGATTTAGGGTATCTCTTGGAAGAAATTTCTAAGCAGCAAAGCATTCAAGAGGTGACTTGGGTGCTGTTAAAGTCAGTCAGTTTTATAAGGATAGCAGAACATAAAAGTTCAGAAAATTTGCAGCCTCACGAGATGATAGAAAAGAAAAAAATCATTTTCTGAGGAGAAATTCAAGCCAGCTGCAGAAATCTGCATAAGTAACAAGGAGCCAAATGTTAATCCCCAATACAATGGGGAAAATGTCTCCAGGGCACGTCAGAGGCCTTCATGGCAGCCCTTTGCATCACAGGCCCAGAGACCTAAAAGGAAAAAGTGGTTTTGTGGGCCAGGCCCAGTGTCCTTGTGCTGGATCAAGGAGCCTAGGGACTTGGTGCCCTACATCTCAGCTGCTCCAGCTGTGGCTGAAAGGGGTCAATGTAGAGCTTGGACCATGGCTTCAGAGGGTGGAAGCCCCAAGCCTTGGCAGCTTCCACATGGTGTTGAGCGTGTGGGTGCACAGAAGTCAAGAATTGGGGTTTGGGAACCTCTGCCTAGTTTTCAGATGTATGGAAATGCCTGGATGTCCAGGCAGAAGTTTGCTGCAGGAGCGGGCCCTCATGGAGAACCTCTGCTAGGGCAGTGCAGAAGGGAAATGTGGGGTTGAAGACCCCACACAGATTCCCTATTGGGGCACCACCTAGTGGAGCTATAAGGAGAGGGCCACTGTCCTCCAGAACCCAGAATGGTAGATCCACTGACAGTTTGCACCACGCACCTGGAAAAGCCACACTCAACACCAGCCCACAAAGGCAGCCAAGGGGAGCTTGTACCCTACAAAGCCACAGGGGTGGAGCTGCCCAAGACCATGGAAACTCACCTCTTGCTTCAGCATGACCTGGATATAAAGCATGGAGTCAAAGGAGATCATTTCAGAGCTTTAAGATGTGACTGCCCTGCTGGATTTCAGACTGCCATGGGGCCTGTGGCCCCTTTGTTTTGGCCAATTTCTCCCATTTAGAATGGCTGTATTTAACCAATACCTTTACCCACATTGTATCTATGAAGTAACTAACTTGCTTTTGATTTTACAGGCTCATAGGTGGAAGGGATTTGTCTTGTCTCGGATGAGACTTTTGACTGTGGACTTTTGAGTTAATGCTGAAATGAGTTAAGACTTTGGGGGACACAGAAAAGCATACATCAATTATTGTTTCCATCTACCTGAGATTTTAGAGACATCTTATTTTCCCAGTAAACGTTAAACCTCTCTGTACTTCATTTGCAAAACTGGGATTAAAAATCCCTGTGTCATAAGATTGGATGTAGATATTCAGTGATAGAATGAGAGTCAATACTTTAAAATGTCTACCACACTGCCTGGTGCATAGTAGGTTCTTTAACAATTCTAATTGGATCTACTGCATTTTTACAAACCATTCCTTAGAATGGGGTTACTCTCACAGAATTATGTCACATTTCTGTTGAAAGGAGCAACATTTTCTGATCTTATTCACGTTTAGGGAGGATATGCTGGACCTTCTAATCATGCATGTCTGCTATTATTATTCTCAAAATATAACTATTCAGTACATAAGACGAAATGAGAAAAATCATTTAGATCCAGAAAACAAAGATAGAATCCCCCAAACTTCTTAGATACTTGTCTCAATAATGATCTTTTCTATTGCAGTGAATAATTCATTAAAAAGAAAGGATTAAAATCAGTAGTAACAAGTTGTCTTGGTTTGTTTGGGTTACTATAACAAAATACCATAGGCTGAGTGTCTCGTGGACAACAGAAATTTATTTCTCACAGTTCTGAGGCTGGGAAGTCCAAGATCAAGTTGCCTGATGATTCAGTGTCTGGAGAAGGCACATTTCCTGGTTCATAGAATGCACTTTCTTGCCATGTCCTCACATGGTGGAAAGGATGAAAGCACTTCCTATGGTCTATTTTATAATGAAAGGAATCCCATTCATGAGGACTGTGACTTTGTGAGATAATCACTTCCCAAAGGCATTATTTCCTAATACCGTCACCTCCAGAGTTAGAATTTTAACAGGAATTTTGGGAAGACACATTTAGTCTATAGCATTAGTCTTACACCAACTATTTCCTAAATCCAGGGCTGATTTTGTCTCATAATTGTAAACAGTTAGATATGACTTAATGTTTATTCTGCCATGTTCATGGAACATATTTTAGAAAAAACTTCATTTCCACAAACGTATCTTGGGCATATCTTATGTTCAAAGCTTTCAAGCAGGAAGTAGCATGATCAGTTTTGTGTTTTAAAAAGATCATTTTGACTATTGTCTAGAGAATGTGGAGGAAAGCAGGAGTAGACATAAGGAAATAGGACTTTCTAGGATTGTGTGTAATGAAAAAGCCAACAGACCTTAAAGAGATGATATAGGACTTTCTTCTAAGCATAACTTTTCATGACTGACTGTTTCACACAGCATGTGGCTTCTCACATGGTCACAGCATGTGACCTTGTTTGCCATGACTTCTAGATTCCTGGCTGGGTTCCAGAGTTGTTGAATTTGCTGGAAGTCTAAGCATAAAAGAATTGGATTCTTACAGTAAATTGAGTGTATTATCAAGATAACCTTGTTTTCCCAAAGGTGGAAAGCACCATGTGCCAGTTGCTTGCATATTTTCCTTATCTTTTCTTTAATGAGTCTTAATGCTCTCAGAAAGATTTGTCTGCAATAAACTACCAATACATCAAGTTTCAATAACAAGAATTTCTGACTAGAATTCACAAGTGAAAATTAAAATTCAACAGCAGTTGCAATATACCAATGATTTTCACTTCTGCCTTCTAACAGCTAGTGATTCATGATTTTTAAAACATAAAGCAAATTATTTCTAAATGTTCTCCTAAAAATAAGAAATAAAACAACTAGTTTGAGTTTTTAAAAGATGTCTTCATTCAAGAAAAACTGTATCTCATTCTAACCTGACATTGTATTCTGCCTTGTAATCCTATTAGGGCATTACTAGGATGATATTATTATCTCAGTAAGCGTAGTTGCAACACATATTGAAAGTCCATAGGTGTCTGAAAAGGGGATGCTGCAAAGTGGAAATTCATAACCTTTGATTATAAATTGCACACTGTCATTCTTTAGAGCACAGAAGTTTTCTCTTCGTTGTGGAAACACTGAGATTTAATAGGTGGAAAGTAATTTTGATGCCCAGAAACACAGTACTCTGTGAATAAACCCTCATTTCCTCCATTACAGGAAAATAATATGCAATCTGTCCTGTGCCTTCATAAATAAAAACCTACTCATAGGCATGTATCCAAGCAGACCAAACAGTACAGAAATGGAAATAGCATATTTATGTCCATTTGGTTCTGCATGTGTTCATCTTTGATTTATAATATTTTCCATTGAATTGTGGCCCAACAGAGAAGGGGGTGAACTTTATTTTGAGTAGGAAAACGTCTTAATATTATGACCCAATGTCTCCAATTTTCTTTATGGGTAAAAAAATATGACAAGCGCATAAAATCTCATAGTAATAAATAGCAGGCTATACAATTATGTCTTTGATAGAAATGTGGATTCCCTCATCCAACCCACTTCCTTTACCTCTGTCTTCTCTATCACCCAAAAAGATAGTCTCCTCAGCTAGAGGCACCTGCTTTATGGGGATGGTTGTCAGAGCTATAGCAAATGAATGGAGTATTAAAGCAAGTTCAAGTCTTGATTCTCCATTAAAAATGATGAGTCTTTCTAAGCATTATTCATCTCATCTCTGTGGGGCAAATAATGTAATAATTTAACAAATGTGTATGTAAAAGTGATTATAAACCTTAATTCATGAAGTTGAGGTAAGCCTTGTCCCAATTGTATTTGCTTTCCTTAATGAAATTTAATCATGCTCATCTTTTTTCCTTCCTAGGATATAGTATCCCCCCCATCTGTACTGTAATATCTTACTGTTTAATTATTAATTTAATCACAAGGAATGTAAGTTTAGGTAACACCAAATAGCATAGCTCTGGTATAAAGGAATAGAGGAGTGCTCTCTTCTTTTCATATTTCAATATTTTAATCACATAATTGCATGGTTATTTTAACAATTAGAAAACGTTTAAAAATTGACGAACTCGAAATGGGAAATTTCTGAAGTAAAGACCACTGGAATCACTTTGGTCAAATGTTGAAGAGACAGACTTTTTATAAATATGTGATTTTGGGTTGCATTCTATTTTAAAATTTACTTTTGGCATGTAACAACAAGACTTTTGCTCATTCCATGTGGAAGAAGTGTACTGAACATCAATAAGTAGGTAATGTTCTAGGCTCTGGGTTACAGCAATAAATAATCTAGACAAGGTCTGTATATATTAGAATTATTTTTATTGCTGCATATAGAGATCTATCTCCATATATACACATTCAGCATAACATATATGTGCAAACTTCACTAGTGGGGATTCAGGCAATTTCCAATACTTCACAATTAGACAAAAAAAGTAACAAGGATTTTTCAGTATACACGTTTCTGCACTTATGCAAATGTTAATTAAATAAAATTAACAGGTCAAAATTATTGATATTTATTTTACTAGATATGCCAAATTGCCTTTTGGGAAATTGTGCAAATTTACACTCCCAGGAACAACAAATGTCTTATAGGACACAAACATTTTGCTTCTCTGATAGATGAATAGTGAACTCTCTGATTAAATTTTCATAACTTTATTAATAATATTGAGCATCGGGGGTTATTTATCTTTTCTTCATTGATATTTAGGCATTTTGTATATCAAGCAATTAGTCCTGGAGTTTCTAATTATATTGTATTCTTTTCTTCCAAAGTTGTTGCCCATCAGTTTATGTTGTTTAAGGAAGACTGACAGGTGATTTTGATTTTTATTATTTAGATTTATCAGTTATTTTCTTTATGTCTTTCACATGTTGTCATGTTTCAAGCATTTTCTGTCCCCAAGTTTCAAAAATATTGATTTAAGTTTGCTCCTAGTATGTTGCATTTTTATTTTTTTACATTTAATTATTTGATCCACTCTGAATTTTGAGTAGGGAATGAAGTAAAGCTCCAGTTTTACTTGTTTCAAAAAGCTTCCAGTTGTCCTATTGACATTTAGCAAATAGCTATTTTTCCACTAATCCAAAATGTCATTTTTATACATGTTGCATTCTTGTATATATTTGAGTTTATTGTGAGGTTCTCTCTTTTTGTTTCATTCCACTTGGGCTTATCCTGTTTGTGTTGCTATAAAGAAATAATTGAGACTGGGTAATTTATAAAGAAAAGAGGTTTGTTGGCTGCCCCACAGTTCTGCTGTCTGTGAAAGAACCATGGCGCGCTGGCATCTGCAACTGAGGAGAGCCTCAGTGTGCTTCCTCTCAGGCAGAAACGGAAGAGGAGCCAATGTGTGCAGAGGTCACATGGCGAGAAAGAAAGCAAGAGAGAGAGAGAGAGACAAGAGTTGCCAGGCTCTTTTTAACAACTAGCTTTCTTAGGAGCTAACACAGTGAGAAATCCCTCACTGCCTCCCCAAACCCTGAACCCAGAGAGGGCATGAATCTATTAATGAGGGATCCACTCCCATGACCCAAACAACTAGGTCCCAACTCCAACACTGGGGATCAAATTTCAACATGGGATTTGAAGGTTAAATATCCAAACTATAGCATCTATTAATCTGCCTATTCTTTTGCCAGTTCTATACTTTATTAATCAATATTAGTATATCTTATATTTGGTAGGGTTATTAAGCCCTCATGACACTTTCTTCTAAATCAGTCTAAAAATAATTTTGTTGGTATTTTATGTGGAATTGCATTTCGTTTCTATATGAATGTAGGAAATATTGGTGTCTTTAAAATGTTAAATCATCTAGTCCAAGATTGAAAATATCCATCTATTCAATTCTTCATTAATTTATACTTTTTACAAACTTTATAGTTCTTATTAAATTTAGTCTCAAGAATTTTATAGTCTTATTGCCATAATTGGGATTATTTCAGTAAATTTTTCTGAGTCATCATTTAGAATATAAAAAAACTCTTAAAAGTTTTATTAATTTTAATTTTATTTCATTGTTTTGAGTTTTCTAGTAACAAAATCCTATCAACTTCAAATGATTACAATATTTCCTTCTTTATTTAAATAGTCATAATACTATTTTCTAATTATATTCGTCAGCACATCTTGAATTATATTACATAGCACTGGTGATAAAAGATAATCTTAAGTTGATCTTGACTTGATTTGCAGTACTTCTAAAATATTACCATTCAATCTAAATATCATATGACCTTTATTATTTTATATTGATCTTTTGATATGTGTATATAATTTGTATATATGTGTGTATGTATAAATATAAATTCACATTTAGTTAAGAAAGCATAACATAATCCATACTTATTCAAGATTTTTATTAGGAAAGAATGTTGGATTTTATTAAATTCCTCTTATGCATATATTAAAGGAGATTTTAGTCTTTTTTCTATCAATCTCTTACTATAATGAATTATAGTTATTGATTTCCTAATATGAAAACATCTTTGCTATTCAAGAATGAACCACTCTTGGTCATAATATGTTATTATTGCAATGTACTGTTGGGTCTTATTTAGGTTTTTCTTTAACTCATCATAGTAAGTGAACTTGTACAGTTTTCTCTCGAGTATTTACTTTCTCAGGATTTGTTATTAGTGTTACTCTGGCTTTCAAAATAATCAGGAATTGTCCTTAATTTTGTTTTATTCTGAAATACTCTAAAAGGCTTTGCAATTGTGTGTTTCTTTAAGGATAAAAGAATTTAACTTTGAAATTAAGTTTGGCAATATTTCAGGAAGTAGCTCTCTGACATTCTTAATATCCTCTATGATTATTGACCTGTTTAAGATTTTTACCACTTAGGAAGCGACTAACTATGGCGACCGCCACGGAGCAGTGGGTTCTCGTGGAGATGGTACAGGCGCTTTACGAGGCTCCTGCTTACTATCTTATTTTGGAAGGGATTCTGATACTCTGGATAAATCAGACTTCTTTTCTCTAAGACTTACAAATTACAAGAATGATCTGATCTTACAGTCGAGGAAAAAGAAGAACTGATTGAAGAGTGGCAACCAGAACCTCTTGTTCCTCCTGTCCCAAAAGACCATCCTGCTCTCAACTACAACATCGTTTCAGGACGGAATCTTGCTCTGTCACCAGGCTGGAGTGCAGTGGTGCGATCTCGGCTCACTGCAACCTCCACCTCCCGGGTTCAAGCCATTCTCCTGCCTCAGCCTCCCGAGTAGCTGGGACCACAGGCACAAACCGCCATGCCGGCCTAATTCTTGTATTTTCAGTAGAGACGGAGTTTCACCATGTTGGCCAGAATGATCTCAATCTCCTTTTTTTTAATTAAAAAGTAAACTTCAATGTCGAAAATGCAAACTTGGGGAGGGCAGAAAGATCACACACAAGGCTGTCACTTCACACTTGGAAGGTTGCACAGCAGCCGGGCAGAGATGCTCCTCACTTCCCAGATGGTGAGGGGGCCGGGCAGAGGCGCTCCTCATTTCCCAGACGGTGCAGGGGCTGGGCAGAGGCGCTTCTCCCTTACAAACGGTGAGGGGGCCAGGCAGAGGTGCTCCTCACTTTCCAGACAGGGCGGTGGCTGGGCAGAAGCACTCCTCACTTCCCAGATGGGATGGTGGCCAGGCAGAGGCGCTCCTCATTTCCCAGATGGTGAGGAGGCCGGGCAGAGGCACTCCTCACTTCGCAGACAGGACAGCGGCAAGGCAGAGGCGCTCCTCATTTCCCAGACGGTGAGGAGGCCAGGCAGAGGCACTCCTCACTTCGCAGACAGGACGGCGGCGAGGCATAGGCGCTCCTTACTTCCCAGACAGGGCGGCGGCTGGGCAGAGGCGCTCCTCACTTCCCATACCGTGAGGCGGCCGGGCAGAGGTGCTCGTCACTTCCCAGATGGGATGGAGGCCGGGCAGAGGCAGTGCTCCTCCTCAATTCCCAGACGGTGGGCAGCTGGGCAGAGGCGCTCCTCACTTCCAAGACAGGGCAGTGGCCAGGCAGAAGCGTTCCTCACTTCCCAGAGTGTAAGGGGGCCGGGCAGAGGCACTCCTCACTTTGCAGACAGGATGGCAGCCGGGCACAGGCACTCCTCACTTCCCAGACAGGGCGGCGGACTCCACAGGCACTCCTCACTGCCCAGACGGGGCAGGGCCCGGGCAGAGGCGCTCCTCACTTCCCAGACTGTGAGGCGGCTGGGCAGAGGCGCTCGTCACTTCCCAGAGAGGGCGGGGGCCGGGCAGAGGCGCTCCTCACTGCCCAGATGGTGGGGCAGCTGGGCAGAGGTGCTCCTTACTTCCCAGACGGTGGAGCAGCCTGGCAGAGGCGCTCCTCACTTCCCAGACGGTGGAGCAGCCGGGCAGAGGCGCTCCTCACTTCCCAGATGGTGCAGGCAGAGATGCTCCTCAGGTCTCAATCTCTTGACCTCCTGATCCGCCCGCCTGGGCCTCCCAAAGTGCTTGATTACAGGCGTGGGCCACCACGCCTGCCCTACCATCTCTTCTTTCTCCTCCTAAGCAGCTCTCTTACTCTCCTGAATTTTGATGTTCTACTTAACACCCTCATGTTCTTACACATGTTGCCCTGCTGGAGGCGTCCTTCTCTTTGGGAAGCCTGACCCACCAACAGTGCCTCAGGAGATAGACATGGAAGCTTAGCCGGTGGGGGCCCCTCGTCTCTATCCCACCTCAGTTGCAGGGGAGGGGTCGGTTGCAGCTGCAGCGGTGGCCCCGACAGTTTTCTTTTGTGGGAACTGTGGCCGGCAGCTCTGTGTGGAGAAGACCTACTTGACCCAAGAGCTGCAGGATCCTTGGGCTGCATGTCCTCCCCCACCATCAGCAAGCCTGGAGAGCTGGGCAGGTGGTCTTTACCCAGCACCTTCAAGGCCGCCTTCTCTGGCCACAGGGAGCAGCCTGGAACTGGGGCAGGGAGCACTGTTGGAAGTGGGTCAGGCTTCCCAAAGGGAAGGATGCCTCCAGCAGGGCTGTGTGAACTGGCGACTCCATGGCCGTTGGAGTAGAAACTCACTGCAGGCACCTGGGCCTTGTCAGTCTGGTTGTTTTCTGTCAAGCTCTTGAGGTGGACATTTCCCTCCAAGGGCCTGGGATTGTACCAGGAGGAAGTGAAGTTTCCCTGAGTCTCCAGGGGCCTAGAGGTGGAAGCTGCTTCCCCATTGCTACAGGGGCCCCTTTTATTGTCCTCCTGCCCCTGGGTCTCTACCTGGTCTGTCACCTCCGTTGCTTCTCTGGGCTCTTCTGCCCTCACCTCCATCTTCGGGAGCCTGGCTGGGATCACCTGCTCATCTAATGAAGGAAGTTGAAGGTTAAACTTGCCTCTGAGATGAGGAATCCTCACGGGGCTGAGGTGTCCAAACATCCTGGAGTTGTGAGCAGACAGCATGGGTTTCTTCCTTGAGGCGGGGCTCCAGACCACAGGAGACAGGACCCTCTGTGGGGTGCCCATGTTCCGAGGGATAAGACACAGCCTCATAGGGGCGCCGTCCCAACTGACTGGAAAAGAAGGCCCAAGATGTCGCTGAGGGTTGAAGAGGAGTGGGAAACGGCCCACGATTCCCCGGGCAGGCACAGGTGCAGGAGCCGCGGGGTTAGCCCGGCCAGCTGGGAAGGCCTCATGGACAAGACGAGCAGGTTGCCAATGGCATGGCCAGGACCTGTGGCGGAACCAGGAACAAAATATGCTTAATGAGTTGCCCATTTTGAGTGAGTTGTGCACAGACGAAACCAAGGGTCAGAAGCGGAGAGGATACTCCTAAGTCACCCACTTCTCTGTGGCCGGGTGCACACTGGGCATCTGGGAGTTTATGACATCACTATGGGGCTGGTGACAGAGCCAGGGTGTGGAGGAGTGCTTAGGAGCCCAGCGAGGGTGCCTACAAGAGGAGTCAAAGGGCAAAGGGTGAGACCCTTCCACCGGTCCAGCTGGACTCTAGCCTCAGGGACGTCCTGCTCCTGGGGGCAGTTGTGTGGCCCTGGACGGGCCCCCCCGTGGGGCTGTTGGGGGTGCGGGGCTGATCCGCCAGAGCCCTTCCACCTGGCACCTCGCCCAGGTGCTGGCTGGCACCCAGTGGCCCTGTCTTGGCCGGCCCTGTCCCCCGGGTTACAGGGCCAGAACCTGGAAGCAGAGCACAGGACCAGCCAGATCCCGCCAGGCTCCCCCGGGGCCTCTCCAGTGCCTCTGTGCTGCCTGGAGCCAGGCCCGCCTTCTCCATGGCTGCCGTGGCCTCAAGGGCCACCAGCCTCGCTCCACAGGTTTCCAAAGAGAGAACGCGGTGCCCTGACCTGACTGGATGCGCCTCTTACCACATGCCTCCCTGGCAGGCAGGGTCTCCACTTTTTACAAATTTGCCTGAGACCATTCCTCAGGTCATTCAGGTGGTCATGGCCCAGCCAGGCTTTGAACCCAGGCTGTGCGATTCCACAGCTGGCGCTCTGGCCTGTGTGCCTCATGATCATGGATACAACATCTATTCTTATTTTTTCCTGTAGTCCTGGGGTACTTAGCACCATGGCATATCTGTAATAAGCACATGAACACCTCGAAGGAGGTCTTCACTTCAACATACAAGTTGACCATGGCATGCTCTGGGCTCCAGTCCTCTACAAAGATGTAGGGCAGGAATTACCAGTTGTCAGCACAGCACCATCCCACATTGCTCTTCTAATGGAGTCTTTCACCCCAGATGTTCTTTCTTGTCTGATGGGAAGGATCCAAGTATGTAAAGATTATGTTCTAGATCAGCTTTGGTCTGTCCTAAAAGAAATTTGCCAGTGGATTATTCCATATGGATAAAAGTCAGTTTCTCTGGTCTTCCTGGAATGTGTCTAGAAAGCAAATACATTATTTACAAGTTCATAGTAGATCAATGTATTGGATTAAAATATGACAAACATAATTTGGTCATTGTGAGCATGACAGCTCGGTCAACTATTCACCACACATGATGCCCTAAATATAACTCTAGGTTTTCTTATGCCCAAGAGAGGGACATACTCTTGGGTGTCTGGACTAGGGAAACATGTATGAAAAACCATTTGGGCACTCTACATCTTGTTATTGGAGAATTGAAACCATCTATATTCAAAGATATTATTAAAAGGCAAGAAGTTAAAAAAAAAAAGATTTTTACCACTTAAGTAAATTTTGGTAGTTTATGTTTTTCTAAAAAATCGATTACTTTATCTAGGTTTTCAAATATTTAATTTCCTCTATAGCTGCAATTCTTTCCTCTTTACCAAACCACAATCAATATTTGTACTTTCTCTGTCTTTTGCTAGATTAGTCTAACTAGTGTGTATTTATTTTATTAGTTTCTTTTAGGATAAATAACTCTATAGTTTTTATTCTGAAATTATTAATTTTTTGCTGGCTCTTCTCCTTCCTAGTTCTGACACAGCATGAAAGCAGGGATTTGAGGGCCCAGGGACAGCAAAAACTCAGTTGACTATTCAAGCCAAGTTTAAGACTGACTGCTTTCTCTTGACCTGTGGGCAGTTACATCTGAAGGGGGCTGATTGTGGTACAGCTAGCAGTTCATAACGAATGAGGGCTGTGTGCTTCTGCTGTGAATGACATCACACAAGGCTGAGTGGGAAAATACTTTCTCTTGAGATTCTATTTAAAAATCAAAAGTAGAACTTTATGATATCATTTTTGACAATGCTGTACAACTGTGGCCCTTCCCATCTGTCTGCTCACCAAAGACATGGAGATCTGGGTTTCCCTTAGCACAGAGCAAATCAGCCAAAGAGCCTGAGGCCTGGGTAGCCTGGGGAAGAGAAGCGGTCTTAAGGGGAAGAATTTCGATCAAGTAATCCTGGAGTATTGAGCCTGGGTAAGATTATCAATTAGTTTCTGCCACTTTTGCTGAAGCTATTTGTGAAAGAAAAAAAGAAGACCTTTTAATGTTTAAAATTGTATAAAAACTGTGTAAAGAATGGGTAAGACAGGAAGCTTAATGACTCTTGGTTCAAATTTCACATCCAGCAAGATGAGAGAGAGAGGGAGAAGGAGGGAGGAAGAGAAGTGAGGGAGGGAGAGAAGGAGAGAGAGAAGAAAAAAATTAACACATGGTTTTCTCAAATCTGGAGCAGATGTTTTCCAAGTGTTCACAAAAATAGGTCAGAAGCGCATCTCAGAACTGAATTAGAGTACAGACAGCCAGTCCTGACTCTAACTATAAATCAAAATTCATCTTTTAAAAATAGATGATAATGTGGTAGTCTTGAGGAAACAATTTGATGTTCTTAGAAAATACTATATAAACATATTATTTTATAGGCTACTTCCCGTTTTGCAACATTAGAGAATTGCCTAAAATACCCAAAGTATGCAAATAAATTCATAGTACCTCATAGTTTAGACTACAAATTATCCCATGTGTCAGAAACTCCCTGCATGTATCACTGTATTCAACCCCCACTATGTGCAACGCTTGCCTTCCTCGCACACTTTGAGCTTCTAGTAACCCTTAAAGCTTCCTCATGTCCCTACCTTTTGAACCCACATAAGAGCAGAACATTTCTTACTGTGGCCTAATTTTCTGCATAATCTTGGTTCAGAGAACACTGTGACAATGCAGTGATGGATGGAGAAAAGAGAAAAGGTGACATTTTGCTCTGCTTAGATGGTCTCCTTGATGGCCAGAAAGCACCTCATGCACATTCCTGCCTCTATTGCATTCATTTCTTTCAGAGGATTTAATACTGGGTATTAAAATCTCACCTTTCAAAAGTTTCCACTGCAAAATATCCACCCCACTAGACTAAATGAGATGCAGAAGTCCATCCAGTTTTTGTAACTGGGATGCAACTCAATCACTGATCTCAATCTTCTTTACATCCTTGTTGTACTTCTTTAATAGCCACATATACTGTCTTGCATAGGCTTCAATTAGTCTTTGTTATTTTGGTTTACCAAACCAGACAGTAAACTCCTTGTAGGCAGGAGTCCCGTTTTTTGTTGTCATTGTCTCTTGTTGTTACTACCTCCTCTAACTCTGTCCCCATCTTCCAGCACTCAGCAAAGACTTAAACATAGTAGACTTTCAACTCTTTCTTAGGGAACTGAACTGAAAATACACTCCAGGAGATCAAGTATACCAGTTATTTTCCAAAGACCAAAATTAAGTCAGAAAAAGCTTACAGATTGAAACTCTTAACCCTGGAATTATGGATGGCATTATGAATGTTGTCTGTGGATGTAGTTACATTCAAGAAATCTTATATAAGCACCTCACTAGTACTTTTTAAAACTTCCTATTCACAGGCCTTTCTCTTTAAAGATTTTTATTCAATGGGTTAGTATAGATCTTGGTAATTTGTATTTTTAACAAGAATCCTAAGGGATTGTAGTTTGTAGCTAGGTTTGAGAAATACTGTAATAGGCCTGACAAACCTACATTTGAGATGTTCTGGAAAAAGGTATATTTTTCTCATTTGAAATTATATATGCCATTTACCCCCAAGCTCACAAGAATAGCATACATTTCCAAAAAACAATAACCTTTATGCAATTATTAAAGGACTTTAAAGATCAATTAATTTTTTAAGAAATACAAACTATTTTATCTATTTATTTTTCTGTCTGTTCAACCATTTATCTATCTCAATCTGTCTGCCTACGTACCTACCTGTTTCAATATCTACCATTCAATATATCCATTATTAACCTTATTCCAAAAAGGACTCTCGGTGCTCCTGCACAAGTAGTTTATGCTTCTAAGTTAAGCATATGCTTACTGCAAGAAGTCACAACAAAAGTTTTTATAAAAATAAATATAACCAAAAAGATCTAATAATTACCTCTTGTTTCACTGAATTTTTTCTCTGGATTAAAATATTTCTTGAGACTTGAGTTATTGGTTTCCTTTTTTATGAGCAATTTAAGTAATCTAATAGGCAGTTCTTATGCTTGGAAAAATTTACTTGATATTGACACTAAAGTTTCCTTTTCTCATTTTCATCACCAGGTCTTCTATTTATACATGTTTGTTCTATGTTAAACACCTCTTTTCCCTTGGTGTTTATGTTTCATACACAAAAACCAACTGAAAACCATCTTCTTAGTCATTATCCAGTCCATATTAAAAAGGTTGAGCAATTTGATTCACTAGTTCATCTCTCTATTTTCTTAACTACTTTAAGCCCATTTGCCCATTTTCCTGCTCCTTTCAATTTATTGTACTGTTCTGATCCTGTGCTACTTGAAACAGACAGATGTGATTTTATCAGGCTTTCATACAAAAGAGATTATCAATTTCAAGATGCAAATTATCTGTGCAAATCCAAAATAGCACTAATCCTTTCTCCATATAAAGCAATCCAATGACTCTTAGAATTGGAATCCAATTCCAGTCCTTAGAATTGACATTTGACTTACCATTTGTGCTTTCTTTGACTCTCCAGGACTATTCAATAAATGCAGCAAATTCAGACTGTTTAACTATTCCACTAGGACATGAAGTCAAAGGATCTAATGTAGATATCGAATTTTGGCATTTCTTCAAATTTAATGCTTTTGTAGCAGTTATAGAAAATGATGGTGATTCCTAAGTAGGACTAGCTTACCACTTATTTAGAGCCTCTGCAGGTAAGATGTGGACAAATAGTTAGCTTAGAGTCCCACCCTTAGCTTTACAGTTCCAGAAATTTAATTTTTGTCAATGCATCTGCAATTGATCAGATTGAAATCTACTGATATAGACTTTTCAATAACAAAACTCCCCATAGACCAGCATAGGAAGTTGATTTATAATGAGAATTGACTGCCAACTAAACCAACTGTTAAGTTATCTAGTCAGTATACCCACTCCAGCTAGGGAAATGATCATAAACAGGCAAAACAAACAAACAAAAATAATAGTAGAGGTTTACTTGGCAAACAGGGAGCCAGATCAATGAAATTAATGGGACATAAAGGGCTAGCATCCTTAACCTACCCGATGGAATCATCAAGAGTTGGGATAGTTCTGTCAATCAACTCAAAATCCCCACAATAAAGGAATCAGGGAATTATCTCCTTAAGTCAATGATAGCCAATTACTAATATACACTGAGATTCTCTTTCAATCTTTTCATTAGTTAACCTAGTCTTTCTTCAGATATGTAAATACAATTAATGAGGTAATTAATTTCTTTGAAAACAATTATCTACCATTTTTTTTCTGAGCCAGACCCTTTGCTATGGACATGAAATATGTTATTTAATCCTGAACAACAACAAAAAATCCTATGAAGTTTTTATAGAAAAGTGACATCAGAATCTTACCCATTGCTACATAACTTGCAACTAGGATTCAAATCCAGATCTAGCAGTAACAAAATCCTTTACTAATTTTTTTTCTCTACTTAAAAATACTTACTTTAAGGAAACATGACATACAACTAATTTCGTGTGTTGGTTTTATTGCTTTTCTCTTAGAGGATAAACTTACTAAGGAATTCTGGAAACACCTTATTACTTTACCTATATATATTACTAATGCATAGTATTTAACTTACTTGCCACAAAAAAAAAAAAAAAAAGACAAAGAAAGTAACCCAATCAGTTCCAAAGAAAACAGCTGGTTTTCATGAAGTACACAGAAAAGGAAGGAAGTTGGGCAACAAATACACTTTCTATTAGTAATCCATCAATGAAATTCTACTTGGTCACATGGTAACCAGAAAACGTGCTGAAGTAATGCAGAAAATTGATGCATTTTTCCCGTTATGTTTTCCAACATGAGTTCCATTTAGTTAACAATTCTAGCTAAGAATTTTGTGTTTTTTGAGATGGAGTCTCGCCCTGTCACCCAGGCTGGAGTGCAATGGCGCGATCTCGGCTCACTGCACCCTCCGCTTCCCGGGTTCAAGTGATTCTCCTGCCTCAGCTTCCTGAGTAGCTGGGATTACAGGCATGGGTCACCCCAGCTAATTTTTTTGTATCTCACTAGAGACGGTGTTTCATGATGTTGCCCAAGCTGGTCTTGAACTCCTGACCTCGTGATCCGCCCGCCTCAGCCTCCCAAAGTGCTGGGATTACATGCATGAGCCACCGCACCCAGCCAAGAATTTGTGTTTAATAGTGAAATTCCATTACAGGCATAGACTAATGAGGAGACTGTAATGTTTTCCAAAGTGTAACCCAGGCTGCAGAAGTTAGTAATAAAAATCAATACAAGATGATTCTTGAATCCCTTAAATTATTGGGTATAAGCAATGAGGTGCTATTATGGTTTTAGGTAAACATTTCTTTTTTATGTGAGGCTTCCCAAGCATTGCTGAACACTGAGCGTCCCTAGCTTCTGACTACTAAATGCCACTAGCATCTGCCAGTCTTGTTACAAACACACCAACGTTCCCACACCACATTTGCAAATATTCCTCCTGTGGCTGGCAATTCTGCCCACTGAAGGAAAGCATGAGTGTAGTATTTGGTAAAGGACACATTTCTAAAAATTCCAAAGTGAGGGCCAGACCCATAACTTTAGAAATATTAGTACATGAAGGACTGTTCTATTCCCCAACTCCAGCTAATATCATGACAGAAATAAGTTAACCTTTCTCTAATAAGCTATTAAGAATTTCTTTTCTCATCTATATTGAATAACTGAGGCAATTTTCTGCATCAGGATACTCAACCAAATGTTAATTTGAACATCACTGGTTTGGACTTAAGATAGTTTGCTATTTTCAATATGAACTGTAATTTTATATTGTTGATGATTAATGATAATATTAAGTATATATTATTTATATTATATTAAGTAAAGATTATATTAAGTATATTACGGAATAAAGAAATTAACAAGGAATACTTTTCATTTAAGAAAATAATCATGATTAGTATCTTGTGCCAAGACCTGTACAGGACATTAGAGATACATAAAAGAATGATCCTGTCTTTGTGGAGTGTATAACTTAGTAAAGAAGACAGAATATTAACCAAGTAATTAGCATATGGTTTGCTAAGAGATACAGAAAATGAGTGTACAAAATGCCATGGGAAAATCCAGGTGGTAGTGATAACTCCATCTATGGGTTTAAAGAGAGCTTCACAGGAGATATTTCATTTCACTTGGATTTTAAGGCATGCGTAGGAATTTGCCAGATGAAGATAGCCTTCAGTGAGAGAAAACTTCATGGGCAAAGACACAGGAGTATTAAATAACAGTAGTTCAGTGAGGCTGGACTAGGAAGAAATGGTAGGAAATTAGGTTTAAATGATGTGTGTGCACTTGAAGAAATAAGTGATAAGAAGTATGGCTACTCTCCTTTGGGTCATAGGAAGTCTGATGAAAATGTATAGGTGATAGTAACAAATGATTTAGTTCGTGAATGTCAATCATATACATTTCCTATCTGGTTCACTCAGTAAACATCTCTGCCTTTGTGTTGCAAATTAAACTTACCATTTTACGGAAATTTGGGGGGAAAGATGTTTCTAGTTGCCACTGGTAGATTGCCCTGGCTTCCTCAATCCTCACTGTCTACAGAGTACATGAAGAAGCTTTTCACAGTAACCCAGAAGTTGTATTTTCTTTTGTCTTGTGATGTCTGTTAGTGTTTAAGTCCAACTATTTAGGTCTTTAAGATTTAGCCTGGCTTAGATGGGACATTAAGGTTTTGTTTTGCTGGAGGGACAAAGGTTACCTTGTAATTGTTTAATTGTATATGTCTGTATGCACATCATTCTCATACAAAAATACTTTTGACGGTAAAGGCACTTTTTTTAATTAAAAGGCGTGCTTGTAAGGTGAGGTGAATGGTATAGCATAAATATTTTCAACTAATAATCACAAAACTAAATGTTATCCAAGAGGATTAGTAAGGGAGTTCAATGGTTCTTTTGGATGCTTCTGAATTACCTTAATTTTGCTTTTTTTCCCCTCAAACTCAAAACATAGTTTTCTCTATGCTTATATTTGTAGTATTCATTGTATTTTCCCTTATTTTTTTTATTTCGTGATACCTTTCTTAATATTCCATATGAACATCTCAACGTATTTCATAAGCAATTTTTGTAAACCTTTCTAGCTGTAGAATTCCTTTATATTTTAAATTAAATCTCACAGTAGGAAGAAATAAATTCAATGAAAAGGACCAACTGAAGAATCTAAGCATTTCTATTGTTAGCCATGGAAAAATGCTTTACTTTATGCTCTTTAATTAAAATCTACATTTCTCTTATCAGTTTTCTTTCTACATTTGTGCCCCAGTGAATATCCAGGAATGTAGCTGATATACCAGGCTGTTGTCATAAGTGGATGAATAGAAAAAGGAATAAATTAAAAAGAAAGGTATATTCTACCCACACAATTTGAGTTAAGGATACTTTATTCCACATGCACATGTATCCACTATTTGTCTATACTATATAAATAAGGTATATGTAAACTGTGTTTTAAACAGCTGTAGAAAGCTGTTGGAAGCCAAGGTTTTGCCAAAAGCAAAATGCCAATGGCCAGGGTTATGTCTCTGGTGACTTTTTTAGTAATAACTGAGATGCTGGTAGAGTTACTGCTAAGGTCCATACCCTGCATCACTTAGCTGCACAACTGTGGCTCTCTCTCTTCACTGGCAGATAATGATGCACTCAGCAGCACTGCTCTAAGTTTTTTGATACTTAACTAACCTGAAAAATAGCTTCAGGCATGACTGAACAGACCACTGCCTCCTAGAAGCCAGGCCTTTTTGAGACTTACTGATAGTGGAGGGAGAAACTCTTAGTGAAACTGACCATTAGCGAGAAATAACCCATTTTTTTTCTTAGACAAATAACAGTCCTTACATATTGGAACTGGGTTGATACTTCTCTCTCCTTCTTTGTCCCTTGACTTTTCATCTGTGTAGGGGAAGGTCTTGCGTTGTGGAACTTCAATCTTGTACATACTTGATGTATAGTCGTTGAAAATAAGCATGAATGCATTAGTCTATGTAAATTCTTTAGGAGTGGTTATTATAACAGTTTATGTGCTTGTTAATATTAGCATTAGTAAGGTTTTATATGATGTTCTTAAAGGAGGCCTAAGGACAAGAGTTCCACTACAAAAGGAAGTGGAATAAAATTCATGATTAGTTTAATGAGTCACTGAAAAATGCCTACTTTTCAAAGCAAGGCTATAATTCTTTAATCAAAGACTGGAGGCAATGAAGGAAAATTACATTATCTCACTACATCACTTATCTTAGATTCAAATATGAAAAGTGGCCTCACAAAAAAAAGATGTGTCAATTCTGCATTTGATGAGCTGGGCAAAATTAAAACTTTTAATTCCCAGCTTTGTCATCGACTTGTTGTCTTATGAAGGCATTTTTCTTTTCCTCCCGTATTCCATACATGTAGACAAAGCACATTTTATAGTCTTCAGCTACTTCTCTTACTAGAGATAGGTTGAAGTAAAGCAAAGGAAAAAAATCAGAGTCCAGAGAGAATTACTGAACAGTGTTTTAGGTAAATTGAAAACTGTTTTGCCTTTAATCTTTGGGGGAGTCTGATAGTGCAGACCAGAGTCTTGAGATAGATGGAGCTAAGATCAAACCTTGGCTCAAACCTTGGCCACCGATTACTTTTAAGTGTCAAGGTGATCTTGAGCAAATTTATTAACTTTTCTGAGGCAGATTTTTTTATTCTATAAAATAGGAATGATATCTACCTTCCAGAGTTTTTATAAGAACAAACTTGATAATGCATGTAGAGCATTTAGCAGCAAAGAATTTGGCACTCAGTTGCTTATGGCAGCTATGTATCTTGGAGGAATTTTATTCTATTTCCTGAAAATGTATAACTCATGGAACAATCAAAAATATTCTCACATAAACTTTTATGTGCTGAGCTTGGGAAATTCTTCCTCTTACCTCATAGAACTAAAGGTATACCAAAATACATGTTTAAATAATGGGAAAAATCTATTTTTTATTATAAAAAGTTTGATTATGTCTATCTTTAAGTGATCAAAATCTTCAAAGGTAATATGCCTATCATTATGAAAATCTGGCTTTTCATTTATCATAAGAATACATCAGACTTCAGAAAAAATCTTTTCTATCAAATACATATTCACTTTTTCATGTTAAAAAATTCCAGTAAGAAAATCAATAAAAATATATAAAATATATATAAAGTCATTACAAGGTTCATGTTTCCAGGAAATTTTTAGAACTATGACCCACTTGAACCCAATATTCTAGGCCCTAAATATGAGTGTGAAGGACGCAAGAACAATAAACTAGCTTGCCAGATTAATTTCCTAGGCCTGGCTTTACTTTAATTTCTCTAGAGCAGGTTTGTTGTAGAGGTGTTCAGGAGTACTTTAACTGTCAAGCACTCTTGCTGCACAGAATTAAGTCTTAACAAGAAGTTAAATTAATAAATATTTAATTAGATATTACAACTGACATTCAACTTGTATACAATCATTTTACATTGTGTTAAATGTATATATTTGCCAGGGTTCTCTAGAGAAAACCAATTTGTGTGTGTGTGTGTGTGTGTGTGTGTGTCAGGGATTTTCTATATATGTATGAATATATAAAAATATTTATCATAAGGTATTGGCTCACAAGATTATAAAGGCTGAGATGTCCCAACTCCCCTGCAGTTGGCAAGCTGGAGACCCAGGGCAGCCAGTGGTATAGTGCCAGATCAAGTCTGAAAACCTAAGAAACAGGAGAGATGAAGGCATAAATTCCAGTCCGAGTCCATGTCTGAAGGCAGGAGAAGACCAACATCCCAATCTCCAAAACCATTAGGCGGAAAAATCTAATTCTCCCTTACTCAGCCTTTTTGTTCATTCAGGACTTCAGCAGATGGAATGAGGGCCACCCACACTGGGGAGAGCAATCTGCTTTACTCACTTTACCAGTTCAAATGTTAATCTCATCCAGAAACACCCTCACGAACACACCCAGAATAATGCTTAACCATATGTTTATCTGAGAACTCCATGGCCCAGTCCAGTTGACACACAAAATTTACCACACTACATTATGGGATATGGTATATTCTAATGTGATATAAGAGAGGAACATCTGGACATAAGAAAGTCTAACATTGATGAAGGTTTTAAGAAAGCACTGGAGGAATTCTCTCTAAAGCTTACCCTAGCCAGGTCATGTTTATGTTAATCACCACAAAAAAAGAGAAAAAGTGCTGATTAGAGTGGGAAAACAGAAAAGTGACCCTGAAATCCTGAGCATCCCTGCTAGGCAGAATTAGCAAATCCATAAATCTTAACTGTACAAAAAGTGGAGTGATTCTCAGTCAAGCTTCATCAGTGATACACAGATTTGTGTTCTACCAGATGACAACTGAAGACCCTGTGTGGGAACCTGGATAGTGTCCTGTATAGAGCCTGAGTAGAGCTGCTGAGAGCTGCATCTGAATGCAGGAAGGGAATGCCTTTTTCTAATTCATGCAATATCGCCCTCTGGGCCAGCAACAGCCTTGATTATCAACTAGTAGTATCGTACACCACCACCACTACCACCATTAGCCTCACAGTAACTTTGTAAAAATTCTATAATTAATTATGTGATTATAAGCTTGATAAATCAAGGTATACAAAGACTTAAAGTTGGTTAAATGCTCTTAATGGAGTCTGTCAGACTCTACAAAGTGAATTACTAGATATAACCAGGACATTAGAATTGAAGAAACCTTAGAAATAATATATTTCACCTTCCTCTAGCCATCAGACTTTATCACTGCTGACTGTGCTAGATAGATGCTGGACTATACAGACCTCTGTTCATAGGGAGATTACATTGCAGTGAAGGGAAAAAAACAAAATCTCAGTAAACAATATAAATAATGAGATAGTTGTGTTTGAGATAAGGGCTGTGAAGGAAGTAAACAGGATAATGGAAGAGAAAATCACTGGTAAATACCTTAGAAGCCAGGGAGAGGGTAGAGGGAAGGCATTTTATGACAATACATTCAGACTCATCAGCTGCAGGAAGTTCTGGGGACTGTTTGAGCTTGAAGGGGAATAGCAATGTAAATAAAAGATTAACGTGGCTGAGTGAGGGATCAGCAAGACTTGAAATTTGTAAAGGAGTGGGAGTAATACAGAACAGACCGTGATACAAGGTTTGACTTTCATTTTAGAATTCATCAGAGGCCATTGAAAGGTTTAAAAGAATGAAAATGATATGGGGAGGATTTTTTCTGTTTTGAATTTTATTATTGAGTAGATACTAGATCAACAGGTTTTATAAATAAAACAATAGATGGTATTGTTTTGTTAATTTTTCTCATTTCTGTTGTCTGAGTCAGTTTCCATGTTTTCTTATCCTGTCTGTTCTCCCAAGTATTCCTTTTAATCTTGCCTTCTTTACTCATTTTATTTTCTCTTCTCTTTCTTGAATTCTAGCAGCTTGTATTTCATCTCTTTTTTCTTTCATTTCATCTTCTTTCATCCAGACATCTCTTCCTTGAGTTCTTATATTTCCTCTTTAGGGTCTTCTTTCATAGCAATCACTTCATGTATTTATTTAAGCCTATGATGAAATATTTGGTTACGATTTTATATGCTCATTGTGATTTTTTTCTTGAGATTGTTTTTTATTCATTGGTATGACATAACACCTTCTTCATAGAGTACAACCATGCTATTTCTTCTACTGTTTTGTTACTCGTGGTTGAATGTAGAAGATTTTACTGGAACAGGTGTTAATTTGAAAGAGGTTCCTGGTGTGGGCCTATGCAGCCTTCTAGGCTTTGCAGCTCAAGGGTCTCTCTTAGTCTTCTTGGATTTAGATTGTTCTCTTCCTGTATAGAGCGTCTGAGCTTATCTGTGTAATCAGCTATCTTTAAGATATCCAGTAGTTTCTGCTGCCAGCCCTGCATGCCACGTTCCCTATTTCTTCACTGCCGTTGTCATAAACGGAAACGGCTCTGTTGTCCAAGGCAATATTTATTTCAAATCACTGTAGAACTTGTTTTCACTGGCATTGTCTTTAATCTGACATGGCTATTAGATTCATCACCTTGGCAACTGCTCTCTGATGGCAGCATTCTCAGAACTCAGCCATGTTTACTACATCTCCAGCAGCAGCTTTAACTTTCACATTTCAGGGGATTCCTTACTCTTAGAGAGTGTATCTGTGTTGTGCTCTCCGGAATCGGCTACCTCTGGGTCTCCAAGCACTTACCAGCCAGGTGCCCTCCCTTCCTCCCAGGTGGCTCTGCCCAGATCGTAGTGGCACTTGGTAGCACTAACTTATCATTGGAGTTACAGCTTCTTTCTATATGCTAACGTTTCTGCAAATTGAAGTCAGGCAATTTTTGACATTTTATATATGTTTGTTTGTTTCTTTGTTTTCCTGATGCTTAATGGTTTCTAAGAGGAATAGCGAGTTGTTCTTAGGTAAACAATAACCATATAAAAGAACTACAACCATGTTCTTATTGATTTCTTTCTCTGTCTCTCTTTCTCTATATTTTTAATGATCACTGTGGCTGCTAAGTGAAAAATGGGTTGTTTGGGGACAAGAATATATATAAGCAGAAGAATTTGGAGCAACTTCAGTAGTCCATGCTACAATGATTGTGGCCAAGATTGTAGTATGGCAGAAGAGATAAGTCAATGTATTTGAGATATATTTCAAAGGTAGAGTGGATAGAAATTAGTGAATTGGGAGTTGTATATAAGGGAGAAAAAGCAATTCAGGAAGGATACTATATGTTTAGATTTGGAGAATAGGGTAGATGATGGTATTATTTATTGAGAGTTCTTTTTGGACATATCATGTTAGATATTGGATAATATTGTAAGACATCTGTAAGGAAATGCCAAATCTGGACTGAAGATATAAATTTGGGCATTAGTAAATGATGGATGGCATTTAAAACATGGAATTGGAGGAAATCAGATTTGGAGAGAGTTTAATGAAAATAAAGATCCCAAGACCAAATCTTAAAGGACACCAACATTTACAATAAGAGAAATTAAGGAGCCAGGAAAGAAGATTGAAGAGGGATGACATTGAGGTATACAGAATGCCTCATTTCACTTAAAAGAAATCTGAGTTCTATGAACCCCGCCTCCAAGCTGCCCATCAGTGCTTTCTGAGCCTGTCTCTCAACACATTGCTCTTCAGCTCAGTGATTTAAGATAATACTTCAAAATTTCACTCTTAGTGTGAAAGTTTACCCAGTGAGTAATATTTTAATAGTATCAATTGAATCTTAAATACTATCTGTATGTCATTAACTTTAACTTTATATCTCTAGTCCAGACTTTTTTCCAGAGCTCATATATCATCCTTCTAATTGACAGCTCTACATGAATGTCTAATAGGATCCCAAATATATATGTCCATAATTATAAATATGAAGCAGACATTTGTGAAATTATATTTTCTGATGACAACTACAGTAATAGATCACCCAAAACTTTTAATATGTAAATAATCATAATTGCATAATATGTAATATATTATTCATGTATTTGGTACTTATTTAATAATATAGTCAGGAAAATATATTCTTTTTTTGTTATTTTATCTTCTTAATATTTCAAAGTTTACTTGTGAATAGGACAGTCTCAGCTTTCTTCAGCAATTTTGTTCAAATAATCCTGTTCTTAAGAAATGTCAGCTGCTTTGTGGTTTGATATAATAGGCAAAGGCTTTTTCTGCCTTCCTGTATTTTTGTGACATTTAACTTGCTTATTCTTAGGGTATTTATGTTAAAAATGTACGGGCTGAAAGCCTTACCCACAGCTCACTGAGTTTTCTTCATGAATATGGACATTACCTTTTGATGAAAAGGGGGGTCTGCTCAAAATGATGTGAGGTCTCAGTTTAGGACACAGTGACTGCTGTCACTATTCACGTAAGTGCCCACTGAAAGCAAACAGGTCAAGGTCAGCTTTGTTTTCCCCTTGGAAAGTGTAGCATCTAAAGAAAGAGCATAAAATGCTCTGGGACCTTAATAACACAAAGTGGAACAACAGATTAAAACTCAGTCTTTTCGTTGAATCAACATATGAAAACCAGAAGCAGCTGTAGTTTTATTACATTTGAACCTGATTTATTAAAATAAGGGGCTTTGACAGAAAGTGGTAAAAATGTATAAAGCAGTTACTAGATTTTGTTAACGTTCTACCTCAAAATTTTTACCTGTTCAAACTATGCAACCTCAGGAAATCTAAATAACTGGCCATGGAGCTAAAAGCTATCTAACTGAAGTACCTGCAATGGTTATAATTCTGACAGCTATAACTCCTGGTATCTGCCCTCTTGCCTTGGAAAGTCTCTTTAAGTCATGTTTTTGATGGGCAGATGCAATTGAGTTGGGAGAAACCACATTAAGCTACGTAAAAGGTTTTTATCTAGACATTATCCTATTTTATCTTTCAATAGCTCTACACATGGGTATAACTCAATTTATATATTTATAGCCCATATACTTACACAAAACAATTAGAGGTGGCTTACAATAATTTAGCCAATATAATAAACTAGAAAGAAAAGTCAGGGTCAGTAGAAACATAGACGACATAGAACATAATATGCAAAAGATTTTGTAGTACATAAGCAAGCTTTACATATCTATCAGTTTACTAAAACTAGTTACTAAAACTGGGCTGCATATTTAGCTTTGAACTTTTTGGCACAAGTATAATTATACTACTTTTACAAAGAAAGAGATGGAAGTTCAGAGAAGTTACTTAATCCACCCAAGAGCATAGCTGGAGAGTGGTAGAGTTGAGATCTGATCTTGAATGTCAAGCCTTGATCCCCCAAATCTATGTTATTTCTACCACAATGTGCTGAGCAGTTTTCATTATTTCTTTTTAAGTCAGGTTTCACCCTAGGCATATCTTTCCTTCTATATTGAGCCTTCTTCTTTCAAAATGTAAATTTCCCTGAAATCACCTAAGAGGTGTGATGCATTGATAAATTTTGTTACCTTTGATTTGTTCCAGCTGAAGAACTCAATCCCTAGGTGGTGGGTCAGCAACCTTTTATTATTGGAGTTTGTGAGTGAGAATGTATTAAGGGCTTCTACCTGGAAGCATCTGATTATTATGGGCATACAGCCACATTACATGAAACTATTGTAAAAAAATTACCAGCTAAACTCTACTATTTAGGTTTCTATAATCTATCTGCAATTTACTTTTCCAGCCTTAGATCCTTCTTCTTCCCTCCATTATATTCAATTCATGAAATATTTATTAAGCATATATTTATTATGCTAGGCATTTTGGGGAGATAAAAAAGATGAGTGAGATACATTTTTTACTGTTAAAAGAGATTAAGTTTATTGCCAGTGATAAGCCAAGTGCAAACATAAAGTGGAATAAGTTAAGTGACATAAAAGAAATAGAAAATGCAGTAGGATTTTAAGGAAGAAGGAGTTCATTTGATTAACAGACCCCAAAGATCCATATGACTCAGGGGGATACTTTTTCTAGGCCTTGAATGGTGTTTGCAAAATACAAAATACATGACATTTATAACACTGCTCCAAAAGTCGTACCTTGTTAGACATCACTAATCACTCATGTTTTTTTTTTTTTTTAAGATGAAATGATTTTGGAATTTTTCCCTCATATCACTCTCAGGAAACCTTGCCAGTTTATCAGAGTTGAAAGCAGAGAAAAAACTTATTTTTAAAAAACCTTCATTATGAGGAGATAAGGGGAGGGAGGCTGGGAGCATGGTAGAAGTTAAGGAAGAAACATAAGTAAAGGCAGAGATGGGAAGGCGTATACATTGTTGGGAAATCCAAAGTTTTCCAGTTTGTCTATCATACAGGCTATATATTTGGAGACAGAAAACTGAAACAAATATAGATGTGAGGCCCTATTTTGAAAGGCCTCAAACGCATTCATGGGAACATATGTACATAAACTTCCTTCTGTAGCCAAACTGTACTACTTCTCAGAATCTAATCTTTTTCCATTTCTGCACATTTGGCCCAGAATATCTGATAATATAATAAGAACAGTGTCCTACTCTTCTCTATTATCTGAAACTCTGGCCATCCTAGCCCTAAGGTCACTCTCTGACCCTCTGGCTTCCATACCATGACACTATTATTATATTTATTAATGACTTTTATGATGTGCTTTCTGATAACATTGGTTATATCTTTACATGTAGGTGTTCTGTTTCTCCAGCTATATTGTAAACTCCTTGACATAGGAGCAATGTCCTATTTCTACAGGTATTTCTAACAGAGATTAAATGACTGTCAGTGGTAACATGGTGAGAGATTCACAAAAATTTGACTTAAATTTAAATTGGGAAGAAAAAGAACTTAAAGTTTAGCAGTCTGGCACTGTCTCCCAACATAGCTCTGTCCTTGTGAATGTTTAAATACCTTCTACAGTCTCATAGCTAGAGGGAGAGTTGAATATAAGACTTATCAGTGGCTAACCTTTTTGAATCCAAAACTAATACAGTCATAGCAGAACAAATACAATTGAATCAGAAAATAAGCAGCAAGTTTCAAAATCTGATGAAGTGTGTTAAGGTCTATTTTAGAGGGTCTAGAGTTCAAACCAGTGGTTAAAATGAAGGCACAACTCTAAATCTAGAAAAGTCCTCTGTTCCACATGGGAATCAATGTCAGAATTGACAAAATCCCCAAGAGTTTACCTGAAGATCAATAACTATATTCATGAGACGCTGAAACATATGAAGTAGTCTGAAGAGGTTACTCTGTGGCTTCTTGAATTTTAGAGGAAAAAAGTCTACTAAAATAGAAGTTACTGGAACATAAGTTGTTATACCACAAAGATTCACATGTTCTGGCTCAAAACACGGATCTTAGTTATTTCTCATTCTATAAAAAGAACAACATATTTTTTCTATGCATGTTTCTTTATTTTCCAAGTGTTCTGCTATGAATGTTTTCACCTTCTTAAACCAAAAATAAACAATATAAAAAATAAAAGCTTATGACTAGGTTATTGTTTTCAAATCACCAGCAATATGTCTATACCAAATTTCTGTACATTTGAGCAATGAAATTTTCAAATTTACAATGGGACCACTAATAAAAACTAATTTGGATTTTTCAAAGATTTTCTCCCCCACTTACTGCCTTAGTTCAGGTGATTGATGAGTTTTAGCTACTTACGTACAGGCAGATAGGTCAAGTGAGTTGGGAAGAGTCAGGGAAGTAATCCTAGATCCATTCACATGGGCAGGACCCAGTCTGAGGACTGAAGAGGTACGACTGGATAGGCTGTTTCTGTGATGAGACATCCAGGCCGGCCAAGAGTTATACTTAGGAATCTCTTTTTGGGTGAAGAGTACCCAAATGCCATGCTAGAAAAATGAGTCAGGGCCTCAGCTTCTCAGGAGCTATGGAAGTACACAGTTACACAACAAAACAAGAACCAAACATGGGTGTATTAGTCAGGGTTCTCCAGAGGGATACAACTAATAGGATATATGTATATACCAAAAGGAGTTTATTAAGGAGAATTGACTCCCACGATTACCAGGTGAAGTCCCACGATAGGCTGCCTGCAAGCTGAGGAGCAAGGAAGCCAGTGGTAGATCAGCCCGAGTCCCAAAGCCTCAAAAGTAGGGAAGTTGACAGTGCAGGCTTCATTCTATGGTCAAAGGCCTGAGAGCCTCTGGCAAACCTCTGGTGTTAAGTCCAAGACTCCGAAAGTCAAAGAACTTGGAGTCTGATGTTTCAGGCCAGGAAGCATAGAGCATGGGAGAAAGATGAAGGCCAGAAGACTCAGCAAGTTAGCTCCTTCTACCTCCTGCTTGCTTTTCCTAGCGGCACTTGCAGCCAATTGGATGGTGCCCACGCAGACTGAGGGTGGGTCTGCCTTTCCCAGTCCACTGACTCAAATGTTCATCTCCTCTAGCAACACCCTCACATACACAGTCAGAAACAATACTTTGCATCCTTCAATCCAATCAAGTTGACACTTGATATTAACCATCACAATGGGGAACAAAGGCAGCTCTGTTATCTGTTTTGTGTTACCAGGGCTGGACCTCACCAGAGCATTATCAGCACTGGTTCAGCCCCAGGTCAGAACCGTAGAGAAGTTGAGTCCAAAAGACCAGTGGTCAGCCTTGGAGCAGCACTGCATTGAGGGAGAATGAACTGCAGTTAAATTCAATTTAACTGCAGCCCTTATCCAACTTTAGCTGAGACTTTAGAAATATTTTCTCCTTAAATCATGTCCAGACTTAGAACCATGTGGTATCATGCGTGGGAAATTAAGAGAAACAGAGGCAGGGAGAATTAGATGGGGCTGGTATTTTTCACCTACATATATAAGAGGAATGCTAAGATGTTTGATTTATTTGTACCTGTTTGGCCTTTTCATGACAATTTTTAATCTGGGAATGATGATTTTCATAATGACAATTAGGGCTATTTCTAGTTACATTTTCCTCACCCAGGGGAAGCTCCAGTTATGATGGAAAGAGCACTGATTGAGGAGTCAGGAAACAATGGTTCTTGTACTTTTTCTGTGGCTCACAAGCTGGATTCTTTGTACAACTCACTTTTCCTCTCTAGATCTTTCTTCTTCTGTGAAATAAAGGGATTGAGCTAGACAGATGATCTCTATGGGTATATTTTTAACTTACCTTCCTGTGACTCCATTAAGCAAGCCTGACTTTTAACCAGAGCTTTCCAGAACAGGTACCTAACTAACAGATTCCACATGTGGAGATTTGGGACAGAAAAATAACTGCTTTGATTTTTTAAATAGAGACACTTAATGAAAAGGCTGCATGACTGAATTTCCTCTCTTGTATTTTGAAGAATTTCCATTTTCTTAATATAAGCAGAGACAAGAGATAAAGTAAGTTTCTAAAGTCATAGAGTTTGTAAGTGGCAAGCCCCTACTCAAACCCAGGTCTTTCTGACATCAAACTCTACACTGAATCAGAAAAATCGTAGCAAAAACGGCATCAAAGGTGAAGATGCTAGTTTTATTTTCCTACCTGGGAATTGCTGTTCATAACGGTGAAGAATATGTGAAGAATCTACCATAGAGAGGACATTTCCACCATAGAGAGAACATTTCCACCATAGAGAGGACATTTCCACCATAGAGAGGACATTTTGCCACTTGTTAGGCTTGCATTCCCTATTCATAGGTTCCTTGTCCGATTCCATGGGAAGCATCCTCTATTCAGCAATCCCATATTTGTGACATTCCAAGAAGGATGCACTTGCTTGTTTACTGTCTACATCTACTCCTCAAGGAAAGTTCTTTAGGGTAGTATGTAGTACAGGTTTTTCAAATTAAGCATTACAGTTTTGATGGAAATGCTCATCTCTGCTTCATGCAGTATTGGGAGGGCATCTTGACTGAGGCTGATGTAGTCTCTCATCCTCCAGGGCCTGCCTCTCTTCAACAGTATAGTTGTACTTTACATGTGGCTGTCTTCCAAGAGTGAAAGCAAACACTCCAAGGCCCCGAAGGCATAAGCATCAAAATCCCTGGACATCGTTTATACTACATTCTATTCACCAAACCAGTCATAAAGCCATACCAGATTCAAGTGAAAGGACTTACGTTTCTACTTCTAGATGAAAGGTGTGGCAAGTACAGAGAAGGAAGAAATTGCCAGGGGCTATCTTGTAGACAGGCAGAACTGAGTTCCAGCGAAATTTCATCTACCTAATACCTAAGGGACTTCTGTGAATCTCAATTTTCTCATCTTTAAAATAGCTGATTTTAAGATTGTGTGTACTCATATAAATGGTGCATGTAATGTGTCTAACAAAATTCTTTATTTATAAAAAATGTTAGGTATACATTTATTTCCTTTTCTTTTTCTGTAATGCTTTCATGAAGAAGAACAAATTGAAGTAAGTTTAGAGAGTACTGTTTCTCTGAAGGAGAATAATATCCTTCTGCTCACTGCTGAGCATCCCCAGTTGAAGAGCTATTAACCATATAAACAAATGTAACACCTGAAAATAGGAATGCCATGGGCTGGGACTTTTGATTTGTCATGTATGTAAAGTTGATATTTATTTGTTGTGTCTCTGGCTTGTTAATGCATATTGCAAGTCTCTACCAACTGAGAGTCATAAGCCTCTAATTGTATGATTGCCTGTTTCTTTGAGGGACCCCTAGGTGCCCCAAAGTGAACTTCACCTTTGCCTAATGGCCTGTAGTTTTAAGTCATGCCATCTCAAACATGTCAGACACATTTGGGAATGTCATGCAGCAGCTTTCACAAGGATGTGGTCTGAAAGGGACAGCAACATCAGTTCGTTTGGGAGATTCCCTACAAGATGGTAGAGTTCCATATACAACTCTTTGTTATCTAATGAATTATATTGGTCTCGGTGGTCAGTGAGGATGTCTTTTTATTCCCCTTCCACTTAAAGCCATTATCTTTGACTAGTCTTCTAAATGAACCTTCGAAAAATACCCTTGCAGCTGGAATGATTCAGTACTTATTCTAGGTTTTATGTTTTTGTAGTAGCCAAAGCCTATAAAATACAGTTATCTGGAACTTTCACCCTTTAGATATGAAATTTTACTATAAGCCACGTCATGAAAATACAGCACAGAATATGATATCACATTCCTTGACTACAAAAATTATGTTGAGGAATTAATATCACAGACTACTTTAGAGGAGGCAAATTCTATGGCCTTTTATCAAAAATTTTCTTTTTAACATGACAGAGCTGCTTAGTATTTAAGGCCCTTTATTTAAATCAGCCTTGTTAAGATTAATTTGAATGATTTGAATTTGAGATCCTATTGATATGGAGTATAACAGGTGCAGTTTGGTTGGTACTCAATTTTCACCAGAGAGTGTTTATCACAAATGATGGGATAAATATGCTGGCAATTAGAGACATTTGGGAAATGTAAAAACTGAACCTCTGGAATTGGATTTGAAAGTAGCTGTTCTGTTCTTAGTGATTGATCAGCCTTAGGCAGTATTATAGTATTTCATTAATGTCACCAGTTAGTTTCATGGGCTCAGCTCACCCTTTGGCTCCCACAGAAAAGAAGGTCACTCAATTTTTTTTCACTGTCCTTCTTATTTCCCCTGAGTTCTGGTCTTGGAAATCTACGTGGGCCTTAATGATCTGGAACTGAAACCTCTCCTATTCCAGGGATGAGACTCTAAGAGAGCCCTGCAGTCAACAGCATATGTTCATAAGGTTGGGTCTAATTTGGCTGCAGAAAAATACTAGGAGAACCATAACAGTCTAGCTTCAGCATTTGGGCAGAAAATTCTACCATACTTTATGTCCAGAGTGCCACTAAAATATTCCATAAATTAATGTGCTAAAAGAAGTTTTTATGTATGCTGCATATAAGCAGTTTTGTTTTTAGTATCCTCTGAAACAAATATACGTATTAAATATAGACTGCTAAAATAAACAGATGTACTTAGATCAACAGTGATCTTTAATTACAGAAGAAACTACATGTCTTTTATTTCTCTTTAAGCCAATGGATTGTTATGCTGCTTGGGCTTCTGAAAGGTCTAAAGAAATTTATAGCCACAGCTTCCCTCTGGTACTGAGAAGCTTTAGCCAAATAGCCAATGCACACACATTTTTCTTCTTCCTTACACTATCCCCAGTGTTTTGCTGAAGAATATATGTTCTCTTCACTTTGTGTTTTCTGGCTCCAGAGTTCTGAATGTCCTACCAGAAGCACAATTCCTTTTGACATCAAGAGATTTGAAATGGCATTTAGGATACTGCTGGTTGCCAACCTTCTTTCTATATGGGTATCTATCTCATTCTATGTGTTTAGTGTGAATAATACACAGCCTTCTCTTTTATGGCACATGTCATTATCTTCTAAACAGTCTTCCCTTATATTATTACTGGTAGTATTTATTTTTGTTCGCTAGAGATTTACTTGATTCAATGAAAGGCCACAGCAAGAATCACTGAAGAAAGGCATGAGCTTTCCTTTTCTTCCTGTTTTTCTTTTCCTGTATTTATTCCATCTCTCCCCAACAGCTAGTCTATGTCCCAGAACATTACTAATGAATGCTAGCAGCTGCCTTGATAGTGATCCCATTTCTCAGGAAGCCAATGGGGAATTTCTGATGAGTGCAATATTTTAATGTTTCACTGGGAAAAATAAGTTGATCTCTGTTTACTCAGAGGTAAATAAAAAATTATATGTGCATCCATAAACTATTCAAAAAAGAAACAAAGAACAAGATAAACATAGTTTGTCTCTGAGGTATTTTCTTGCTTTAATAGGAGTGTACAGATGGTATAATATGCATCATTATAAATGTGATATGTCTGTGATTGAGGGAAAACTTCCTTTCTTTTCACCTGTTTGATTTTGAAATTGCCAGTGGAAAAAAATTGAAGTGTAATCTTCTGTTCCTGTAAAGAGAAGTAGTTTAGTCCTCCCAAAGTCTTATCTTAGATGTTGTTCCTAAACTTAAGTGCATGATTTTAACATGTTAACTTCAAACATTCTTCTTAACGAAATAAGGTAGAATCAGATTTCTTGAATCTAGATGGGATTCAAACTCTAAACTGTGAGCAGGGTTAATGAGTGCCAAGTCATATGGTATCCTTCAGACTACCACCAAGCAAATGCTTCAATGAATAGACCAATTGTCTTTAAAGCCACTCCTTGAGAGAATCCACAGTAATAAGTGAGCTTGAAATGACATCTCCATTGTTGTGGGAGTTGTGTTTTCTATTATCAAAAATAGGCTGAAAAAAGTCCTAGGATATTATATAACATTATTGTGCTTTTTCCATATAAGAATTAAATAGGCTGGGTGCGGTGGCTCACACCTGTAATCCCAGCACTTTGGGAGGCCAAGGTGAGTGGATCATGAGGTCAGGAAATCAAGACCATCCTGGCTAACACGGTGAAACCCCATCTCTACTGAAAAAAATACAAAAAATTAGCCAGGAGTGGTGGCGGGTGCCTGTAGTCCCAGCTACTCAGGAGGCTGAGGCAGGAAAATAGTGTGAACCCAGGAGGCAGAGCTTGCAGTGAGCCGAGATCACGCCGCTGCACTCCAGCCTGGGCGACAGAATGAGACTCCGTCAAAAAAAAAAAAATCAAATATTTTTTAAATGTCCACCTGTTCCTTTTTTATAGAAGGGTTCACATTTTGTTTAATTTTAGTCAGAAGGCCAATTACAGAAGCATTTTTGAATGCCAGATGAGTTCCAGAAGCAATATTCTGTGCCATGAGGACTATATACACCAGTGTCTCTTGACTGAAGGCAGATTCCTATCTAGAAAATGTGTCCTTCATTCCTGAGAGTGCAGCCTTGAGAAGGACACACTTACAACTGAGAGAAAAGGAAAGAAACAGGAAGACACTGCTGACCAGGTAGATGAATAGACTCAGTGCTGGAATCAAGTCCAGATTGCTCCTACCTTTCACATAGCCAAGTAAATCTAAGTATATGCTCTATTTTTAAGGTTCTTCTTTCTTCATATTTTATTAATTAGATTTCCTTTTTGAAACCTGACTATGATTTTAGGAGATAATTAAAACTAGAAGAAATGTTATTATTCTTAGTTTTGTTTTTGTAAAAGCCTGGGAAATACGAAGTGGCCCCTTTTCTCCATTCACCGTTATTCAATCCTCTCAAATTTTTGGTTCAACTTTGATCTCAACAAAAAATAGATAAGCACAAGAATGAGAAGAAAATGTTGACACATAACTTAGTATTTTTCAAATGCTGAGAATTTGGTCCAAAGATAGAAAACCAACAAATAAACAAAAACATAAAAGAAATAGAAAAGAGACAATTTAGATATCATAAATATATTTTGACAAATTGGCCATTTGTAATCCTAGCACAATAAATCAGTCAGCAGTAGGCATGTTGCCTGCTATAGGCGTCACCCAATTTCTCAGCACATTTTAGACCAGTAAATAATTACAATACTTAAAAACATAAAGCTCTCAAAATTCTCTTAATGTAATTGAACTCTTATATGAAATGAATTGAAAAACATAACTTGTGGTTCTTTTGATGCTGTGATAGTGGCTTGGAAATGGAAAAAGACAAGGAAAAGTCTAAGTCACCATCATCCTGGGATAGGTTGCTTTTAATTCCCAGGAAGAAGTCCAGGAGGAGGAACGATTGTACAACTTTCATACTGAAACCCACAGAGCGACTCTTCTGTAACATGGTGGGAAAAATAAGGGTTTAGGAAACAAACATCTGTGGTTCTCATTCCATTTGGACCTGTGTGATTCTGGACAGGTTAGCAAAACTTTCTGATTCTCTATTTTCTTATAGACAAAACAATAATGCTGATAGGTATCCTGTAAGATGTGAGTTTCAATAAGATTTTTCATTTATTTGGAATGTAGTGAAGCCCTAAGCACTTGTTATTTTCCTTCTTCTAATCCGTGTGTTTATATACATAGCCCTATTTCACTATGAATTGTTAAAACATTTAAATAATATTTTAAAAAGTGTGCTGCTGATAATAACATCATATAGCTTGAGTCTATCTTTCCTGAAAATTATTTTTAATGGCTTTTGATACTAGTAATCTATTCCCAAACTGGACACTGAGAAAGCATACACTATTGAATGTTTCGTTTTAAGCTTTCCTATGTACTGTCTCAAGACAGTTGGACACATTAAAATTAGGAAATTAAGTAAAAAGTAGTATCATGCGCTAGTTTTGTGAACACCAGGAATTAAGTCCTCTCCCAGCTCTGATTTTTCCATGTAAGTCAATTCATCTTTTATCTTATTTTCTCCCATATATAAAATAGAGATGGTGGCATTTATTTTTGGCAATGTTATGAAATTTTCAATTCCTAGGAATTTAAAAGAGCATTAAATATTGCATTTTTGCAAGATATTTATTTTTAATAGCACCAAGCTTGAATATATAATTCATCGGTTCTGAAGTCTTCCTGCTTATTTTCACTGATTCATATTCTAGTGGAGTAATGACAAGAAATTGGATTTTTAAGTGTGCAGGTTTTCTTTATTCACCGGTCTTTGGAAGAGCTTTTTTCCTTAAGTAAAACAATCTTTCCAAAGTTATAGTTCATAAATCTTTGGGTATTTCTCTGAGGAATGTTCTTGTAAGGGACACATTTTAGACTGTATTGTCCTATTGTCTTTTATGGCTCTCTGCCAAGAGACCCGGCTGATTTCATTTAGATTGCCTATCTATTGGCTGCAGTAGCTCCAAGCACAAAAAGGACTATGTCCCTTTGTTTTCCTGAAGGTTCCATGGGAGTGCTACCAAGTCCAACAACAAGAAAGAAAAAAGAATGTGGAAGGAAGTAAGGATAATCAAAGATAAAGAATTTAAATTTTAACGAGATAAAATTCCTGTGTAACAATAAAGCAAGAACAAAAACTCTAAAAGAACATAGATGGATTATTCCTACATTGCATAGGTAAAGTAAAACCACCAAAGTCCTTTACCAATATTTAAAAATGATTTTTAGTTTAGTTACAGAAAAGCGGATTTGCTGAGGAATCCATGTGCCGTTAGTAAAAAAAACCTCTGCACTGAGAAACAGCATATATACAATTGCTCTCTAGCATTTTTTCACCACTTTTATTTCCCCTTTATTCTTATTTCTTTCTAGTTTGTTTTATGGTATTTTTCTGCCACAAATTTACAGTCTATGAATAATTGTGTTCTGGAGACCCAAAAATCTTCTATCAGTGTATCTAAAATATAATTTTGAGGGAAACATAGCCCCCAAAATTCTCAAGTTGAAGCAGACAGATTTTAAATAAATCAATATGTAACAGATGTTTTTGTGTATGATAAGAGTTTGTTTTGTCTTTTTGTTTTGTTGTTTTTAAATCCAGGCAGTTTTGTTTCTTACTTTTTTTTCCTATTTCACTTAAAGCAACACTGTCGTGAACTATTAAGCAATACCACAAAAGGTACGTAAAGCTTCCTGGTCTGGGCAAGGAGAACCTTGTAAACTGAAACAGTAGGCTTTTCCTCATAAGCTGGCTTGAACTGTCAGAAGGATAATTATGTGTTGCTTCAACCGGAATTTAACAAGGAACTACACTCATTATTAATTTTTTTCCATTTTACATCTAGAAATTCTGTGAATAATAATTACCATATTGCTGCATCAAGTAAAAACCAAACTGATATTTGGTAGTTCATTTGAAAGCAGTGGGGTGAAGAAAGGGAGGCGGGTATTTGTAGACCTACTAAAATTGTGGGTCCCAGAAAAGGACCCTTTAACACTGAATATTTCCAACAAATGCAGTGTTACCAAGTTTCTTCCCTTTCTGTATAGCCTGTTTTCTTTGGCATTCAGCCACTAGAAATTAAGACCCAGTTTCCCTGGCAACAATAAAGATGCACAAGTCCTCACAGGAGCTCCTTCATTCAGATTGTTAGCTATACAAATAAAGTTCCACAAAGAGATTGCCTCAGAATAAAAGAATAAAAGAAAGACCGTCCCCATCTATTGTGACAGGCGTTAAGGTATTATTCACAGTACCTCCAATTGGACAGTGTGTTTTTGTGATGAACTGAATTACCTTAGATTGGTTTTCCCAATCTTTTTGTGCCTGGGATAGCAGCCGAGGCTTTTATGGTCTATGTAGTTTCCTCCTTAGTTCCATTAGCATCAATCCTATTTCTTTCCAGTTTGTTTTAGAGGAAATTTACTTGTTAAGTTGCCGTATTACCTTTTAAAGAGCCGTTCCCAATTGAAATTTAAGTATAGCTCATAGCTTTCAAAATAAAGGTGCATTTTTTATTCTATCTTTTCTCTATCTTCTCCACAATAGGTATGTTGGGAATAAAGAAACTCTAGTATTTTAACCTGTGGTCTGACCTGTGAAATAAATTAATTATAGTGGGATTATTTCAAATTTGACTTGAAATCTTGAAGGGTGTTTTTGTGCTTGTTTATTTTTCATAGTGCATTTACCTATAGTTCTAAGGTAAGGGTAACACAGGTGACTGGTTTTAAATTTTACTAGAGACAGATTGATACATTTTATTAGGCTTTTAATTAACCAAGCCCTCTGTAATATTTGCCAAAAGAGGGCCAGACTTCATACAGTAGGCCTCTAAAATTATAAATCTGGAGAGGGGAGTAACTTACATCTTGTTAGATCGTAGAATGAGATATCAGGCAAAAGGTTTGATAAAATTAATAAGAGCTGTTAGTCACTGAATGTTTACTTTGTGCCAGCCACACTGCTAAAAGCTTTACTTAGATGCCTGAATCAGCACATCCCCCTGAATTATGTATTATTATTATTGTGCCCATTTTAAAGATAAATCAAGACTAAGACTGTATTAACCTGCCCAAGTATATATGTTTGTTAAGCAGTAAAGCTGTAATTCAATTCCATGCCCTCTGGTTCTAGACCCCATGCTTCTAACTACTTCATTACAGCTTAAAATCATGTATTTCTGGAGAACGTGGTGAAACCCCACCTCTACTAAAATACAAAAATTAGCTGGGCATGGGCACCTGTAATCCCAGCTACTCAGGAGGCTGAGGTTTCTAGGTTGGGAACCCTCACAAGGTTATTGGGTTTGCTGGTTACTGACCTACATGCTAAAATCCATTGACCCACCTATGATGCCTTTTCGAGACTCAGATTTTGCTAGAATTTATTCACACTGTGCACTTCCATTATAGCAGTCTAAGAGAAGTAGTGAGCTTCTTTTTTAAAAACACATTTTTTTTTTACTTGACTGCCAAAGGTAAAATGTTTTAACGAAAATTATATTTAACCCAGGCTCTAGCAATGATCCAGGGACCACAGGTAAATTATACAATTAATTTCCAAGCCCTTATGATAAATATGTAGCATCAACTTCTATATAAGATGTCAGAAGAGGGCTCTTTTGCTATTAAACCCACAGACTTCTTTGTTGCATTATTCATGGCAAGGATCATTTTCTATCTTGCAGGATATTTATTGTCTATTAGTATTTTGTCCTTTACTAGATGTAGACTTCATATACTAGTAAGATAATATGTATTAGCAAATCTCCAAAACAGCACAAATAATTAGCACTTATGAAGCATAAGTTAATTTTACAGTAATATTGAATGTACATATAATTGTATATGAATGCTGCAATTATAATTTATTCCTAGTTTGTTATTTTGTGAAGATCACATATTAGTTACTACTCTCCCAAAAATCACACTGAACTATCTTCTCATAATGCCCACTCTCAAGCTTTCTCATTCCTCATATGCACGGATTTTCTACTTGCCACTCCAAAGTTAGATAGCTTACTGAATAAGTTATTGCACTGTTAGAAGCACTGCCTTCTCCTTATTAAACTAACAAGCGTACTTATTAGCTAATGTTGATGAAAACCTGGCATTATTTTTGAAAATCTGGAGACAACTGGATATGGCTTATTATAAGTAAGTTCAAATCAATCTAAATAATACCTGCTATTCATTTAGAAGTAAGACAGGCAGTGTTTTCCTCTCAGTTCTCCATACTCAATTCACACACTCCTGCATTCTCTGGACTCTAATTTTTATTTTAATTTTGGGGGTCCATGTGCAGGATGTGTAGGTTTGCTACACAGGTAAACATGTGCCATAGTGGTTTGCTGCACCTATCAATCCATCATCTAAGTATTAAGCCCAGCATGTGTTAGCTATTCTTTCTAATACTCTCCCTCCCCTACTCCACCCCCCAACAGGCCCCACTGTGTGTTGTTCCCCTCCCTATGTCCATGTGTTCTTATTTTTCAGCTCCCACTTATAAGTAAGACACTTACACTGTTTTCCACAATGGTTGAATTAATTTACATTCCTATCTCTGGACTCTTTTACACTTCATGCCTTTATTCTTGCTGCCCCCATGTCTTGTGCTATTAAGCCTGGTCTTTTTAATAAACATTTATTCTGGGGGTGATATCTGCATTTCCATCTGAGGTACCGGGTTCATCTCACTAGGGAGTGCCAGACAGTGGGCGCAGGCCAGTGTGTGTGCGCACCGTCCGCGAGCCGAAGCAGGGCAAGGCATTGCCTCACCTGGGAAGCGCAAGGGGTCAGGGAGTTCCCTTTCCGAGTCAAAGAAAGGGGTGACGGACGCACCTGGAAAATCGGGTCACTCCCACCCGAATATTGCGCTTTTCAGACCGGCTTAAGAAACGGCGCACCACGAGACTATATCCCACACCTGGCTCAGAGGGTCCTACGCCCACGGAATCTCGCTGGTTGCTAGCACAGCAGTCTGAGATCAAACTGCAAGGCGGCAACGAGGCTGGGGGAGGGGCGCCCGCCATTGCCCAGGCTTGCTTAGGTAAACAAAGCAGCCGGGAAGCTCGAACTGGGTGGAGCCCACCACAGCTCAAGGAGGCCTGCCTGCCTCTGTAGGCTCCACCTCTGGGGGCAGGGCACAGACAAACAAAAAGACAGCAGTAACCTCTGCAGACTTAAATGTCCCTGTCTGACAGCTTTGAAGAGAGCAGTGGTTCTCCCAGCACGCAGCCGGAGATCTGAGAACGGGCAGACTGCCTCCTCAAGTGGGTCCCTGACCCCTGAACCCCGGGCAGCCTAACTGGGAGGCACCCCCCACCAGGGGCACACTGACACCTCACATGGCAGAGTATTCCAACAGACCTGCAGCTGAGGGTCCTGTCTGTTAGAAGGAAAACTAACAACCAGAAAGGACATCTACACCGAAAACCCATCTGTACATCACCATCATCAAAGACCAAAAGTAGATAAAACCACAAAGATGGGGAAAAAACAGAACAGAAAAACTGGAAACTCTAAAACGCAGAGCGCCTCTCCTCCTCCAAAGGAACGCAGTTCCTCACCAGCAACAGAACAAAGCTGGATGGAGAATGATTTTGATGAGCTGAGAGAAGGCTTCAGACGATCAAATTACTCTGAGCTACGGGAGGACATTCAAACCAAAGGCAAAGAAGTTGAAAACTTTGAAAAAAATTTAGAAGAATGTATAACTAGAATAACCAATACAGAGAAGTGCTTAAAGGAGCTGATGGAGCTGAAAACCAAGGCTCGAGAACTACGTGAAGAATGCAGAAGCCTCAGGAGCCGATGCGATCAACTGGAAGAAAGGGTATCAGTGATGGAAGATGAAATGAATGAAATGAAGCGAGAAGGGAAGTTTAGAGAAAAAAGAATAAAAAGAAATGAGCAAAGCCTCCAAGAAATATGGTACTATGTGAAAAGACCAAACCTACGTCTGATTGGTGTACCTGAAAGTGATGTGGAGAATGGAACCAAGTTGGAAAACACTCTGCAGGATATTATCCAGGAGAACTTCCCCAATCTAGCAAGGCAGGCCAACGTTCAGATTCAGGAAATACAGAGAACGCCACAAAGATACTCCTCGAGAAGAGCAACTCCAAGACACATAATTGTCAGATTCACCAAAGTTGAAATGAAGGAAAAAATGTTAAGGGCAGCCAGAGAGAAAGGTCGGGTTACCCTCAAAGGAAAGCCCATCAGACTAACAGCGGATCTCTCGGCAGAAACCCTACAAGCCAGAAGACAGTGGGGGCCAATATTCAACATTCTTAAAGAAAAGAATTTTCAACCCAGAATTTCATATCCAGCCAAACTAAGCTTCATAAGTGAAGGAGAAATAAAATACTTTATAGACAAGCAAATGCTGAGAGATTTTGTCACCACCAGGCCTGCCCTAAAAGAGCTCCTGAAGGAAGCGCTAAACATGGAAAGGAACAACCGGTACCAGCCGCTGCAAAATCATGCCAAAATGTAAAGACCATCGAGACTAGGAAGAAACTGCATCAACTAACGAGCAAAATCACCAGCTAACATCATAATGACAGGATCAAATTCACACATAACAATATTAACTTTAAATATAAATGGACTAAATTCTGCAATTAAAAGACACAGACTGGCAAGTTGGATAAAGAGTCAAGACCCATCAGTGTGCTGTATTCAGGAAACCCATCTCACGTGCAGAGACACACATAGGCTCAAAATAAAAGGATGGAGGAAGATCTACCAAGCCAATGGAAAACAAAAAAAGGCAGGGGTTGCAATCCTAGTCTCTGATAAAACAGACTTTAAACCAACAAAGATCAAAAGAGACAAAGAAGGCCATTACATAATGGTAAAGGGATCAATTCAACAAGAGGAGCTAACTATCCTAAATATTTATGCACCCAATACAGGAGCACCCAGATTCATAAAGCAAGTCCTCAGTGACCTACAAAGAGACTTAGACTCCCACACATTAATAATGGGAGACTTTAACACCCCACTGTCAACATTAGACAGATCAACGAGACAGAAAGTCAACAAGGATACCCAGGAATTGAACTCAGCTCTGCACCAAGCAGACCTAATAGACATCTACAGAACTCTCCACCCCAAATCAACAGAATATACATTTTTTTCAGCACCACACCACACCTATTCCAAAATTGACCACATACTTGGAAGTAAAGCTCTCCTCAGCAAATGTAAAAGAACAGAAATTATAACAAACTATCTCTCAGACCACAGTGCAATCAAACTAGAACTCAGGATTAAGAATCTCACTCAAAGCCGCTCAACTACATGGAAACTGAACAACCTGCTCCTGAATGACTACTGGGTTCATAACGAAATGAAGGCAGAAATAAAGATGTTCTTTGAAACCAACGAGAACAAAGACACCACATACCAGAATCTCTGGGACGCATTCAAAGCAGTATGTAGAGGGAAATTTATAGCACTAAATGCCCACAAGAGAAAGCAGGAAGGATCCAAAATTGACACCCTAACATCACAATTAAAAGAACTAGAAAAGCAAGAGCAAACACATTCAAAAGCTAGCAGAAGGCAAGAAATAACTAAGATCAGAGCAGAACTGAAGGAAATAGAGACACAAAAAACCCTTCAAAAAATCAATGAATCCAGGAGCTGGTTTTTTGAAAGGATCAACAAAATTGATAGACCGCTAGCAAGACTAATAGAGAAAAAAAGAGAGAAGAATCAAATAGACACAATAAAAAATGATAAAGGGGATATCACCACCGATCCCACAGAAATACAAACTACCATCAGAGAATACTACAAACACCTCTACGCAAATAAAATAGAAAATCTAGAAGAAATGGATACATTCCTCGACACATACACTCTCCCAAGACTAAACCAGGAAGAAGTTGAATCTCTGAATAGACCAATAACAGGCTCTGAAATTGTGGCAATAATCAATAGTTTACCAACCAAAAAGAGTCCAGGACCAGATGGATTCACAGCCGAATTCTACCAGAGGTACAAGGAGGAGCTGGTACCATTCCTTCTGAAACTATTCCAATCAATAGAAAAAGAGGGAATCCTCCCTAACTCATTTTATGAGGCCAGCATCATTCTGATACCAAAGCCGGGCAGAGACACAACCAAAAAAGAGAATTTTAGACCAATATCCTTGATGAACATTGATGCAAAAATCCTCAATAAAATACTGGCAAACCGAATCCAACAGCACATCAAAAAGCTTATCCACCATGATCAAGTGGGCTTCATCCCTGGGATGCAAGGCTGGTTCAATATACGCAAATCAATAAATGTAATCCAGCATATAAACAGAGCCAAAGACAAAAACCACATGATTATCTCAATACATGCAGAAAAAGCCTTTGACAAAATTCAACAACCCTTCATGCTAAAAACTGTCAGTAAATTAGGTATTGATGGGACATATTTCAAAATAATAAGAGCTATCTATGACAAACCCACAGCCAATATCATACTGAATGGGCAAAAACTGGAAGCATTCCCTTTGAAAACTGGCACAAGACAGGGATGCCCTCTCTCACCGCTCCTATTCAACATAGCGTTGGAAGTTCTGGCCAGGGCAATCAGGCAGGAGAAGGAAATAAAGGGTATTCAATTAGGAAAAGAGGAAGTCAAATTGTCCCTGTTTGCAGATGACATGATTGTTTATCTAGAAAACCCCATTGTCTCAGCCCAAAATCTCCTTAAGCTGATAAGCAACTTCAGCAAAGTCTCAGGATACAAAATCAATGTACAAAAATCACAAGCATTCTTATACACCAACAACAGACAAACAGAGAGCCAAATCATGGGTGAACTCCCATTCACAATTGCTTCAAAGAGAATAAAATACCTAGGAATCCAACTTACAAGGGATGTGAAGGACCTCTTCAAGGAGAACTACAAACCACTGCTCAAGGAAATAAAAGAGGACACAAACAAATGGAAGAACATTCCATGCTCATGGGTAGGAAGAATCAATATCGTGAAAATGGCCATACTGCCCAAGGTAATTTACAGATTCAATGCCATCCCCATCAAGCTACCAATGACTTTCTTCACAGAATTGGAAAAAACTACTTTAAAGTTCATATGGAACCAAAAAAGAGCCCGCATCACCAAGTCAATCCTAAGCCAAAAGAGCAAAGCTGGAGGCATCACACTACCTGACTTCAAACTATACTACAAGGCTACAGTAACCAAAACAGCATGGTACTGGTACCAAAACAGAGATATAGATCAATGGAACAGAACAGAGCCCTCAGAAATAATGCCGCATATCCACAACTATCTGATCTTTGACAAACCTGAGAAAAACAAGCAATGGGGAAAGGATTCCCTATTTAATAAATGGTGCTGGGAAAACTGGCTAGCCATATGTAGAAAGCTGAAACTGGATCCCTTCCTTACACCTTATACAAAAATCAATTCAAGATGGATTAAAGATTTAAACGTTAGACCTAAAACCATAAAAACCCTAGAAGAAAACCTAGGCATTACCATTCAGGACATAGGCGTGGGCAAGGACTTCATGTCCAAAACACCAAAAGCAATGGCAACAAAAGCCAAAATTGACAAATGGGATCTAATTAAACTAAAGAGCTTCTGCACAGCAAAAGAAACTACCATCAGAGTGAACAGGCAACCTACAACATGGGAGAAAATTTTCGCAACCTACTCATCTGACAAAGGGCTAATATCCAGAATCTACAATGAACTCAAACAAATTTACAAGAAAAAAACAAACAACCCCATCAAAAAGTGGGCGAAGGACATGAACAGACACTTCTCAAAAGAAGACATTTATGCAGCCAAAAAACACATGAAGAAATGCTCATCATCACTGGCCATCAGAGAAATGCAAATCAAAACCACTATGAGATATCATCTCACACCAGTTAGAATGGCAATCATTAAAAAGTCAGGAAACAACAGGTGCTGGAGAGGATGTGGAGAAATAGGAACACTTTTACACTGTTGGTGGGACTGTAAACTAGTTCAACCATTGTGGAAGTCAGTGTGGCGATTCCTCAGGGATCTAGAACTAGAAATACCATTTGACCCAGCCATCCCATTACTGGGTATATACCCAAAGGACTATAAATCATGCTGCTATAAAGACACATGCACACGTATGTTTATTGCGGCACTATTCACAATAGCAAAGACTTGGAACCAACCCAAATGTCCAACAATGATAGACTGGATTAAGAAAATGTGGCACATATACACCATGGAATACTATGCAGCCATAAAAAATGATGAGTTCATATCCTTTGTAGGGACATGGATGAAATTGGAAACCATCATTCTCAGTAAACTGTCGCAAGAACAAAAAACCAAACACCGCATATTCTCACTCATAGGTGGGAATTGAACAATGAGATCACATGGACACAGGAAGGGGAATATCACACTCTGGGGACTGTGGTGGGGTCGGGGGAGGGGGGAGGGATAGCATTGGGAGATATACCTAATGCTAGATGACACATTAGTGGGTGCAGCGCACCAGCATGGCACATGTATACATATGTAACTAACCTGCACAATGTGCACATGTACCCTAAAACTTAGAGTATAATAAAAAATAAATAAATAAATAAATAAACATTTATTCTATCATCTAAGATATGGTTTGAATATCACCTTCATATATAGTGAGTGCTCCAGAAATAATGCATCACTCTCCCCTGTGTGACTCTAAAAGCCCTTGTATATCTCTGTTGCAGCATTCTTTCCTGGTTTTAATAAAGGAAGATAACTATACTTCATTGATCAATTAATATGGGTGAAGCCCTTTGCATTACATTTATTGTACTACAATTATCTTTTTCCAATCTCCCCTTTCCTGATTTTAAGATCCTTGCAGAAAGGGGGAGCACATTTTTGTTGAAGGAATGAATAATTAGAAGAATGATTACTCTGAACTAGCCACATTCACTTGGATTATTCCCTTCCTAAAACATGATTATAAGTCAACAAAACAGCTGGCCCGAGTTAAAAGTTTCCTAGAGCCTTTTTTTCTGTACAATTCCAGTAAACTCACATAGGAGGAACGCATGATGTCAGCCTCTTCGTTTTCCTTTTTTTTTTAATTTTTATTTTACTTTAACTTCTGGGATACATGTGCAGAATGTGCAGGTTTGTTACATAGGTATACATGCGTCATAGTGGTTTGCTCCACCTATCAATCCATTATCTAGAGTTTAGGCCCCACATGTGTTAGGTATTTCTCCTAATGCTATACCTCCTGTAGCCCCCAAGCCCCCGATAGGCCCGGGTGTGTGATGTTCCCCTCCCTGTGTGCATGTGTTCTCATTATTCGACTCCCACTTATGAGTGAGAACATGTGATGTTTGGTTTTCTGTACCTGTGTTAGTTTGCTGAGAATGATGGCTTCCAGCTTCATCCATGTCCATGCAAAGGACATGAACTCATTATTTTTTATGGCTCCATAGTATTCCATGATATATATGTGCCACATTTTCTTTATCCAGTCTATCATTGATGGGCATTTGGGTTGGTTCCAAGTCTTTGCTAGTGTAAATAGTGCTGCAATAAGCATACATGTGCATGTATCTTTATAGTAGAATGATTTATAATCCTTTGTGTATATACCCAGTAATGAGATTGCTAGGTCAAATGGTATTTCTGCTTCTAGATCCTTGAGGAATCGCCATACTGTCTTCCAAAATGGATGAACTAATTTACACTCCCACTAACAGTGTAAAAACATTCTTATTTCTCCACAGCCTTGCCACCATTTGCTGTTTCCTGACTTTTTAATACTCACCATTCTGACTGGTTTGAGATGGTATCTCATTGTGTTTTTGATTTGCATTTCTCTGATGGTCAGTGATGATGAGTTTTTCATACGTTAGTTGGCTGCATGAATGTCTTCTTTTGAGAAGGGTCCATGCATATACTTAGCCCACTTTTCGATGGTTTTATTTTCTTGTAAATTTGTTTAGGTTCTTTGTAGATTCTGGATATTAGACCTTTGTCAGATGGGTAGATTGCAAAACTTTTATCCCATTCTGTAGGTTGCCTGTTCACTCTGATGCTACTTTTCTTTTGCTGTGCAGAAGCTCTTTAGTTTAATTAGATCCCATTTGTCAATTTTGGCTTTTGTTGCAAATGCTTTTGGTGTTTTAGTCATGAAATCTTTGCCCATGCCTATGTTCTGAATGGTATTGCTAAGTTTTCTTCTAGGGTTTTTATGGTTTGGAGTTTTACATTGAAGTCTTTAATACATCTTGAGATAATTTTTATATAAGGTGTAAGGAAGGGGTCCAGTTTCAGTTTTCTGCATATGGCTAGCCAGTTTTCCTGGCACCATTTATTAAATAGGGAAATTTTTCCCCATTGCTTGTTTTTGTCAAGTTTGTTGAAGATCAGATTATTGTAGATGTGTGGTGTTATTTCTGAGGTCTCTATTCTGTTCCATTGTCCTAGATATCTGTTTTGGTACCAGTACCATGCGGTTTTGGTTACTGTAGTCTTGTAGTATAGTTTGGAAACAGGTAGCATGATGCCTCCAGTTTTGTTCTTTATGCTTAGAATTGTCTTGGCTATTTGGGCTCTGTTTTGGTTCCATATGAAATTTAAAGTAGTTTTTTTTTCTAATGCTGTGAATAAAGTCAACAGTAGCTTGATGGGAATAGCATTGAATCTATAAATTACTTTGGCATTATGGTCATTTTCACAATATTGATTCTTCCTATCCATGAGCATGAAATGTTTTTCCATTTGTTTGTGTCCTCTCTTATTTCCTTGAGCAGAGGTTTGTAGTTCTTGAAGAGATCCTTCATGTCCCTTGTCAGTTGTATTCCTATGTATTTTATTCTCTTTGAAGCAATTGTGAATGTGAGTTCATTCCTGATTTGGCTCTCTGCTTGTCCATTGTTGGTGTATAGGAATGCTTGTGATTTTTGCACATTGATTTTGTATCCTGAGACTTTGCTGAAGTTGCTTATCAGCTTAAGGAGTTTTGGGGGTGAGTGGATTAGGTTTTCTAAATATAGAATCATGTCAACTGCAAACAGAGACAATTTGACTTCACCTCTTCCTATTTGAATACCCATTATTTCATTCTATTGCCTGATTGTCCTGGCCAGAACTTCCAATACTATGTTGAACAGGAGTGGTGAGAGAGGGCATCCTTGTCTTGGCTGGTTTTCAAAGGGAATGCTTCCAGCTTTTGTCCAGTCAGTATGATATTGTCTGTGGGTTTGACATAAATAGCTCTTACTATTTTGAGATATGTTCCATCAATGCCTAATTTATTGAGTGTTTTTAACATGAAGGGATGTTGAATTTTATTGAAGGAGTTTTCTGCATCTATTGAGATGATCATGTGGTTTTTGTCATTGGTTCTGATTATGTGATGGATTATGTTTATTGATTTGCATATGTTGAACCAGCCTTGTATACCAGAGATGAAGCTGACTTGATCGTGGTGGATAAGCTTTTTGATGTGCTGCTGGATTTGGCTTGCCAGTATTTTCTTGAGGATTTTCTCATTGATGTTCATCAGGGTTTTCCTTTTTTTTATAGCATGAAGTAGAAGACAAAGCACAGGCTTATGTCTCAGATAATTTTGGAATGGCTTTGAGTCTAATCTCCATGTATGAAATTCAGCACATTGTTATACCTTTCTGAGACTGAGTTTCCTCATCTACAAAACATGGATAAAATATTTATCTCTCAGGGTAGATGTATTAAATAGAAGGAAAGAACTAAGTGTTCAGAATGGTGCCTGATACTTAATAAGTATTCAAGGACTGTTGGTTTCCATCCTTTGGGACTCTTTTTACCAGGAACTAATAGTTCCAGGTTGCATTCTGTACTATTGCCTTTTTTACTCTGAACAAACCTAACAGGAAAAGTAAAGAGGGAAGTACTAAGAGGCCTCTAGCTCAGAAAGTTACACTCCTGAGAATATATTTTTTCTTTCCCTTCCCTATCTCCTTCTTGGATTTGATGTTACTCTCAGACTTTTCTAAGTGAGATGAAGGTGCCATGGAGTGAGTATAAAAGATCGATGGCCAGTGTAAGGCAAAAGAAATTTCACACTGCATCTTCCTTACATGGAAGAGTACCAGAGCATCAAATCATCACATCGAGTGTGACATGCTGTTTAATAGTTGTAGCACACTTGGCTGCCTGAAGACTCTTCAAAGGTAATTTTATCTGAGAAGAAAGAGTTAGCTCACACCTCTTTCCTCCAGTCTTTTCATAGGGGAAACAACCTAATTGCGACTTTAAAGGGACCTCATAGTCTGTGTTCCCTTTCAAAGATAGCATTTGGTATTGAGTCACTGGGTATTGTAGCTGCGAGAGAGCTTTCGGAATCGAGTGCAAAGGCAAGACTCATTCAGGGAAAGCTCTAAGACCTATATGTACTCCCATTTGAATGAGGTTCTGGCAGTGCTGCTAGCTTTTTGCTTCCATTTGTGTCTGAGCATCAGTGAACTTGCACTGCTATTATTTTCATATCTGTGTTCCTTTTATAACAACTCCTGTGGATTCTACTTTAGACTGCAATTCTATGTCCTGAAAAGTGAAGTGGGTCTCTAAAATGACTGCCTTTTTCTTAGAAGGGATACATGTAAGGGAGGTTGCAGTAGCTATGAATTTTAGACTTTGATGACTTACCTATTTTCAAAAGTAGCCAAGCATATGAGGTGTTTTATATCTCAAAAAATGCACAGACTCCCCTTAGAAATGAATCATTTATGAGGTTGAGCAAACATCCAACTGAGGTTTCCATTTGAAATTGTATTGGTGAATTACCACTGGCCCTTTTTGCTTTGTCCTCTATGTTGCTTGAGAAAGGTTTACCTTATACGCTTTTCTAATTACTCTTAAGAAATACTCTGTCCTATAACTAATAGAGGTAAATGTACAACTATTGGAACTAAAGCAGCAGTAATTACTGAAACAAATAGATGAAATGGAGTGGCTCAGAAATATGCATAGTAGAGAGAGTCATAGATTTTTAGAGGTAGAAGAAACCTTAGAGTGTCTCTAACCCAACTCAATGATTTATAGATTAACCAATAATTGAGCTACAAGAGAAAGTAATTGTCCCAAAGTCAGAATGTATCCCAAAATATGAAATTTCAAATGGCAATACCAAAGAAAAATGGACAAAATAAAGATTTAGAAATTATTCAATATTTTTGTACATTTTACACACTAAGCATTGTAAAAGGTGCTAGGAATATAATATTGACCAAAACAAATATGATTTCTGCCCTCATAGACGTTTGGCTAGTGGGGGAAAGACCCCAAACAATCATACAAAATAAATCTAAAGACATACTTCTGTTAAATGTTGTGCAAGAGAGTTGTGTAGTGCTATGAGAACGTATAATAGAAGGCAGCATTGGGAAGACAAGGAAACCATCTGGAGGAGGGAAGTGAGATCCGAAAAACAAAGAAGCCAAGGAATTAGCCAGGAGGAGGAATTAAGGAATGGGGGAGAGGTGCATGGAGCATTCTAGGTAAAGAAACACCATGGAAACTTCATGAGAAAGCTCAGAATGTTTTTCTTGTGTGGTAAGTAATCACATGAGCATGAGAGACAGGAGTAAGAAGGCGAAGGAAAAAGTATGTAAATAAAACAACATTCATTTTGCCATAAACAAGATACTTTTATTTGTGCTATTTTATGTAATTCTCCCAAAAGCTCTGTGATATAGCTATTTTTCCCCCAGTTTACAGATAAAGTAACCAAAGTTTGAAAAGTTTAAAGAATTTGAGAAGGCTTCACTGCTAGTGAACAGAACTGTCAGACTGTAGGATTTTAAAACACTGTGGTACTTCTGGGCAAGAAAATGGTGGGTGGTGGGATGAGGAGGCTGTGAAGAGATGCTGAAGGAAGAAACAGGTAAGACTAGAGCAGTAAACTTGGAATGTGTATGTGAATTGAGGATATGTATATGGCTCTAAAGCCACGTAGCCTCAATAGTAAATTTCTCAGTCAGGCATGAGATTAAATAAGAAGTTTTCCTCTTCGACTTTTTCATTCTTGCATGGTATCCCCTAGGGGTGGGGCACGGAGAGGGGAGAGAAGGCAATCAAAAAATTTGAAATTTGTAATAAGAACAGTTGTCAGGCTTGAATTATTTCTGTCTCTGTGTCCAACATGGAAGAAAATGAGAAAAATTTTCTGAAGATTCTTCTTTAAATTGTGTGGGTCTTCCTTTTGCCTTAGTCTGCTCATGCTGCCATAACAAAATGCCACAGACTGGGTGATTTAAACCAGCAGTCCCCAATCTTTTTGGCACCAGGGACTGATTTCATGGAAAACAGTTTTTCCACGGACTCGGAGGGGTAAGGGGGTGTTTTCAGAATGAAACTGTTCCACCTCAGATCATCAGGAATTAGATTCTCATAAGGAGCATGTAACCTATATCCCTCACATGAGCAGTTCACAACAGGGTTGGGGCTCCTATGAGAATCTGATGCTGCTGCTGATCTGACAGGAGGCAGAGCTCTGTTGGTAATGCTTGCTAGCCAGCCCTCACTTCCTACTGTGCAGCCCACAGACCATTACCAGGCTATGACTTGGGTACTGGGGACCCCTGATTTAAACAAGAGAAATTTATTTTCTCACAGTTCCATAGGCCAGAAATCCGAGATCAAGTTTCTGGTCAATTTGGTTTCTTGTGAGGGCTCTCCTCCTGGCTTGTAGACAGCCACCTTCTCTCTGTGTCCTCACGTGGCCTTTCTTCAGTGCATGTGTGTGGGGAGAGAAAGAGAGAGAGAGAGAGAGAGTGAGACAGGTTCCTCTTGTTATAAAGTGACCAATGCAATTTAATTAGGACTCCACCTGTATGAGCTCAGTTAATCTTAATTACCTCCCACAGACCCCATCTCCCAGTAGTCACACAGGGGTTAGGGCTTCAATGTATGAATTTGGGGGGAACACAGTTCAGTCCATAGCACTTCATTTTATTTTTTTCCTACATTTAATCACCTTATTGAATTTTCTGAATAGCAGTTATCACTGCTGGATATTTTTCTTACTCGTGTATTTATCTGTTTAGTTTTCACTATCATGATTTATCTCCCCAGAGTAGAATGCAAACTCCATTAGACCACTATTGTTTCTTGTTCATCATGATACTCCCAGAGCCTAGAACAGTGCCTAGCACAAACAGGACACCAGAAAACATTTGCTTATGAAGAGAAGAGCTTATATTCTGTGAGAGCTTCACTGGAGAGCACATTTTCTGAACACTTCCTAATAACGTGACTTCTCATCAGTACAAGAAAAACCACCCCCTGGTGTTTCAGAACAGTTGTTGAGAGGGAAAACAGAAGTGGAGTATTTTTGTCTTCAGCTGTTCATGCATATTCTTACTTTCTCTCTAGATGTCTATTACTGCATACACAGAGAATAAAGTGTGCCAATCTGACTTCCTAACTCTAATTGCAATCAGGTTGAAATGATGAGTGATTCTTGGTCCCCGTTCTTCAGAGGAGGTACATATGGCAGGTTGATCAATGTTTAAATGGAAACGTGATCTGTTATATAGTGAGCCCAGCAGTGAAACTCTCTTGTTAGCACATTCATTTGTGTGTGTGTGGGTCGGTGGGGGCCGGATTCTACCTTATATTTTTCCCATACTGTATTTATCTTCTCATTATAAATATTTCTAAAATAAAAATAGAACAATATTTCTTTGATTTCTTTTGCATGATTATTGATAAGACTGGCATTATCAAAGAAGAAAGCACATCAGTGTTAACAAGGGAGAATCGGATTTAAATTATGGCAAATTTGAGAAGAAATGTGTAAGTTTTAGTAGAAAGAGTTAGTAAAAAACATACAGAAATACAAAAGGATTGACATTATTTTCACCACAATAATGGAGAGTCAGGGTGTTCCATCTTAGGATCATGGAATTGTAATTGAAAAAAAACATGTAAACAAAATGGTCATTAGAGGTAGTGTCCTTAGTGTGCTCTATATTGGGAGGTCTGAAGGAGGAATGAGAATTAGGTTTGCGCCTCATACAAAATATGAGATCATAGAGGGAGAATCTGAGTTATTTATAAAAGTTAATTTTAATCTCTGTGCTAGATGGTGGCTCTGAAAAATGCAGACACATTGCTTCTATTCTGGTTAAACTAAGATAGGTAATAACTGTTACACTTATACATCATGTTTCTCATTCGTCATTGTTGCTTGGGGAAAAAAAAGCAAAAAAAAAAAAAAAAAAAACAAACAAAAAACTTGTACTGGGGAAAAGCAAATCCCTACTCCTTACTCTTCTCATACAGTTAAGGCAGCTTTTCTTCTTTACTTACCCTTCCTGTCCTTATTATAACCCAAGAAGGACAGAGAGGAGTAGGGGACAAGGAGTCATTGCTTTTTCTGTACATAATATGTGCTGGATGCTTTTTGTGTCCAGCAGAATTATTTTATAGGAGTTTTTTTCCCCCTTTAAAATAATAGGTAATAGAAAAAAGAGGTTACAGTGGGTAGCTATTAAAAGCACCCTTTAATAAAAATCTGCAATCAAAGGAAAAGTAATTTAAGTTACCCAATGATTGGTATAAGTCAACATAGTTCCAGAATAGTTCACCCTACTTCCTCATTGTTTCCAGAGCAAAGAAAAAGACTTTTTAAAGTTTAAATGAACTCTCTGGGTATTCAAAAGAGTTAAAATGGCAGATCTAAGTGCAATAGAAAAATGATAGTTTTGTCACATTTATTCTCTATGTGTACATGTATTGATTATTTTTCACAATATGTCAAGTCACCCCACAACTTAGTGAAGTAAAACAACAATTATTTCTTTGTCAATGTGTCTTTTGGTCAGCAATCTTGATTAGGCTAAGCTAAATAGTTCTGCTGGGCTGTTGGACTCACTTATGTGGCTGAGGTAAGCTGCTGGTCAGTGTGGCAGTTCTGCTTCTTGGGACTGCTGGCTGTTGGCTATGGGGCAATGAGGGCAAGTAGGCCATGTGTCTTTCATCTTCCAGCAAGCTAACCTGGGCTTGTTCATATGGTGGTTCAGAGTTTCAAGACAGTACATAGAAACAGACAAAGCTTCTTAGGGCCTCGGTTGGGAAGTTGCATCATCTCACTTCCAAAACTGTTGGTCAAAATAAGCCATGGACCAACCAGTTCAAGAGATGGAGAAATAGATTCCACCTCTTAAATGAAAAGAGCCATGGAGAATCATGACCGTTTATGTAATCTAACACAGCACATGTAAATAAAAATACAGATGCATTTTTCTTTAATTTTCACTTAATTATGCTTTTCAACTTTCCATAAAAATTCAAAGAATCTCAAGCTACACCTTCATAGGTTACATATGTTTACCTTTAAACACCTTAAGTTAACAGAAATTTGTACTAATAAGTCTTCTAGAATCCAGGCTAATCTAAACTTGGAAGAATGCTAATGACCTATATATAAGTATGTTTTGAATCAAGCTGAGTAGAAAATGTAGTGAGGCAAACCAAAGAAAATTTTGAATTCACTGTGGATTCTCCAGAGTTAACATACCAGCCTGGCTTCTAAAGCAGAAATATTCAGAATAATCACTCTGAAATATACTAGTTCTGCAGCTCTTCCATTTCCAAAGCTTAGTTCATTGCTAAGTGCTGGACTGCCAGGCTTCCATGGAAGAATGTCTGTCCACTTAATTTCTCCCACATTCCACTTTCAAATAGTCATAGTAGGTACAAGCTATTGTGAATAAAGGCTTGGAAAACAGGCTAGTGAACATTTTTTATGCTTATTAGTGATAAAAAGGGATCAAACTCGTATGGCTCTTTATGGTTTGGGATGCCCAATTTATCACTGATACTGTGGGTTGTAAGTGTCTGTCAAATCTGAATTTGGCTTATTTTTAAGCTGCTCAATTTTTTTTTTAATAACCCCTTTCCCTTCCCAGCTGCAGTCTCTCACATTGATCCTTGTTTTGAAACTAATTAAACACATACAGCATATTTAAAATAAAATTACTGATCCGTTTGCCCTCTTCTCCCATCTGTAATATCTTGCAAATGTTTTCTTGCTTAAGGCAATTTTGAGTTTTAAAAAATAAAGATCTCTTAAATGAATTCATCTTTTACCTCATTTCTGGCAGCTAGGGATCCCCCTCTCTGGTTTGTGTTTTTCAATCAGAATTAATACTTGAATTTAAAATATTATTGTTATTTCCACCTCAGCCTTCCAAGTTACTAGTTTCCCACATGGCTGTTTTGATCTCTCATTCAAGCGTATATACTGTTTAAAATTGAAAGCTGTCTTTTCCCATAGTCCCACCAGAAATATTTTATAGAAAAAAAAAAAATACAGCCTTTCCCAGGGCTGCTTCTAAGCTGATTTTAATTGACTGCTCCTGCCCTGGGACAGACCAAAACAGTTTTGATTCCAACGTGGTCTCTGTGGCAGCCGAACAAAGCATTCAAAATGCTCAGTGGGAGGGATCAAGGTGAGTTGGAGGCAAAGCTGATGGAAAATTGGAAGGCAGAAGCTTATATTTGTCACACCAGTCTATGGCAGCATGTTCATGAGGGTTTATATTCCTGGTGCGTGACTCCTAAATGTCAAAATAAATTATCCCAGGGAAAACAAGTGAGTTATCAAGGTTGACTGTTCTTGACTTCCCGACTTTTCATAAACTCTTTCTCTTCCCCAAACTAAATGTATCATTAGTTCAGTTTTGATGGCAGGGGAATGTAATCCGCACTTGGCTTCTAGCAGTGTGGGCTGATAAGGCACTATTGCTGAGAGATTTAGCCCATACAGTAGTAACCAAGACAAACTTCTGTTGCAATAGTTTAACTCTCCCAGAGACAAATATTCCCTTGTCCGTGGGCATTCTTGCAACCAATACCCAGGAGATTTAATTGAAAAGCTTAAAACATGTAGAAGCAGTGGGAGAAATCCCCAGGAATTTAGGAATGATGAAAAAGTTTAATCTTTGTCAGTGAAAAGTTGTTCTAATTTACTCTTCACACTGTGAGGTATTAGGCTGTGCAGCATTGACAATAGCAAGAAATTAGAAGCCTTTTTCTCCCCTAGCAATAGCCTTGAAGTGACCTACTTAAAGTCATGTTTATAGTTTATTTTGAAGTGCTGTCTTACTTTAATTTTGTATACTAACATTTGGTTGCTCTGTTAGTAAAAATACATAGCCTTTAGCAAACTCAGGACTCAGTAATCAAAGCTGAAAACTGGAGCTGTATACTCAAGATTTTGATCTAGGATGGACACCCCATCAATAGTCAAGGTCTAACTATAAAGAGAAATAGGCCAGCAGTGGAGAGGGAGACCATATGTATCAAAAACAAATGTTATTTTATTGTCTTCTCTCTTTGTCTCATAGCTTTAGTTTCACAATGCCTCCCATAACTTCTTTTTATCTTTTCTTTAAAAACAGAAATCATTTCAACATCATATTCCCCTAAAATTGAAAAAAAAAATGTGTAATTTTAGAAGATATTCAAAGGAGCAGTTGCTCACTCAGCTTCCTCTCAACTCTACCCTTATCTGTGTATCTTCATTTACTCATATATTGACCGATGCAATGACCCTCTAAAATACACTGCCAAAATGTAGTTTTCGTGGGTGGCGAATAAGAGCAAACATGAAAACAGAACTTAGATGAAACACAATCGTACGCAAAGCTCATTCCCAGTCAATTCATCAATTCTAATAAGTCAGACATTGAAGGATTTTGTGGGATAGAAGTTGAATCAACTCAAGGAAGGCAAGACAATTCAAAGTGGAGGATGGGAAGCAATAATCCCTGAGATGAATAAGGTAACTACAGCCTCAATTTGCACAGGGGTCTTTATGCTTTGGTTCTGTGTTAGCAAGGAAACATTAATGGCCACAAACAAGCCTGGATAGTAGTGTGCCCAACTAGAATTGTCTTCTTCTACATACTGAACACTGAATTAATTTTCTTTTTGGACTCAAATGTGACTACATTTTATATCTTTACAATAGGGCAAGTTTTTAGTTCCTCATCAGCATGTGTTCATTTCTCTCTACTTCACATAACATTGTTCAAATCTCCATGTTAGCATTTACTACATTTTACTCTGATTTATCTATTTAAGCCCTCTGCTTACCTCCCTCTAAACTATGAGTTAGCTGTTTGAAAGCAGGGAGCATTGCATTTGTCTCTGCATATCTAGTGCCTAGCACATGCTAAGAGCTCACATTGTAAGAGATTTTTGTTGCTCTGAAATGTGTGGTGCACCTGCTATTACAGAAAGAGAAGCTTTCATGGGGACTCTATTGATTTTATTCATGATTTTATGTGTCAAATAATTTTGAACTTCCAATATATTTTAGGTACGATGCTAGGTGTGAAGTATATACCAGTGAATAAGACAATGTTTGCCCCCAGAGCTTTCAATCTAATGGGAAAACAGATTTGAAACAAATACTTCCACAATAATATTTTGAATATGATCTTGTTATGTGCTAAGAGCAGAAGTACATGATGCTATGATAGCAGAGAACACAGTAGATTTTCAGAGGTAAAAACATATTATTTGTAGAAGTAATATGATCACACTTGTAAAATGTGCAGCAATCAACTGAGTGAAAGAACATTCAGACAGAGGGAGCAGCATTAGTAAAGGGTCTGAGTTGAACAAGAGGACAGGAGGGCAAGAGCATGGCAACTTTGGGGGCAGTGGTGGAGAATGAAGTTGGAGAAGTAGGTTTTTTAAGACCAGATTTCTCCTGGCCTCAAAAGCCATTTTATCAGTGTGAATCAATATTTCATGAGGATAGTTTGGGTGTTAAGAGTGTTAAAGACTAATATTATCATATTTGCCTTTTAAAAATCATTCTTGCTTCAATAGAGAGTAGAACAAACATAATTCTGAGGTGACAGAACAGTATTGTGATAGTCCAAGTAGATACAGTGGTGGCTTGGGCCAGGATGGTGTCAGCTAAGATGGAGAGATTGGACAGTATCAATTTATCCCAATGGCTAAGTCAGTGAGAACTCTTCATTGATTCTATGTAGGAAAAAAGGGAGAAGATGAAGCCTAAGCTTCTTCTCCACTTGTCCACGTGGTATTTAAGCTTCCATCATGGAACAAACATTAGGGTATAAGAAAACAAAACAAAAAACAAGAAAGCACAGACAAATTGTATAAATATTTTTCAAAAATAAAAAGCCTTTTTGTTTGCTGATATTTTGTTGTATTTATTCAAATCCGTGAATTGGCACTTTAAAATAATCACTAGATGCTTTGCTCCACTGATAGTCAGTCCCAGGACACACAATAGGGGCTATGGCTTTTAGGTACAGATGAAAGATACCAAAAAAAAATCACCTGTAAGGAACCTTGTGGAGCTTTCAGATATTATGTTAATTTAACTAGTAATACTAATGTTATTGCTACTGTCCTATCTAGTACATACAGTCTTTCTATGCTATTAGCATAATGTTTTGAATTCAGAATCAATGTGACCTGAAGTTCCTATGGGTTTGTTTTCATTCCCTTACCCACCAGCTTCAGTGTAGCATGAAATACATTTCAAAGCCAGCCAAAAAGCCTAACTGAAGGTTACACAGGATGTTCACCCCATTTTTTTCAATAACACAAACATATTCACCATTTCCTCCCATATCAGCACCATCCATTATCAAAACATTCTGTATCTCAAATAAGCTGTGGACCCCTGTCAAGACAGGTGCAAGCTTTGCCTGCTCCACTTGACATATTCTGTGTAACATTCTCATTGTTTTGTGAACTCTTGATATTTTATAATGCTTAACACCTACCAACTGGTACTCTAAGCATCTCCACATGGGGCTTAGCATTCTTGACTCTTATAATTCACATGTGCCTTGGCCAGTGACCAGTATCCACACATAAAAATATCAGAATAACACAGAGGATATTTAGTATATAGACGAAAAAAGAAAGATCCATGCCTGAAGGATGTAACTACCCTACATCAGGAAAGGCCAGGTGCTAAGAAGTATATAATCTGATGTGAAAGTGCTAAGCAGACAGCAAGCCAAATTTGTGGTGCAGGTTTAGGAAACAGACAGTGACAAAGAAATATGACATGTTATAGATTTATTGATATATAATTCACATATTATACAATTCACCCATTAAAACGTAAAATTCAATGGTTTTTGGTATAGAGTTTTTTTTTGCTTTTTGTTTTTTGTTTTTTGTTTTTGACAGAGTTCGGCTCTGTCACCCAGGCTGGAGTGCAGTAGCAAGATCTCAGCTCACTGCAACCTCAGCCTCCTGCGTTCAAGCGATTCTTCTGCCTCAGCCTCCCTAGTAGCTGGGACCACAGGTGGATGCCACCACACCCAGCTAATTTTTGTATTTTCAGTAGACATGGAGTTTCACCATGTTGGTCAGACTAGTCTCAAATTCCTGACCTCAAGTGATGCACTCTCCACGGCCTCCCGTAGTATTGGGATTACAGGCATGAGCCACTGCACCTGGACTTTGGTATCGATTTTTAAAAACATCTTTTTATTAAAATAGAATGAATGAAGAGAAGCATTGGCTAAGCAAGGCCTGTTGGCAGACTTTCCTTAAACTAGGTATCCAGCTCATCTCATCCTTTCCCTATAAGCTCCCTTCAATTTTTTTTAAGAGGTTGTGTATCTTTTATTTTTTTATTTCATTATTATTATATTTTAAGTTTTAGGGTACATGTGCACAATGTGCAGGTTAGTTACATATGTATACATGTGCCATGCGGGTGTGCTGCACCCATTAACTCGTCATTTAGCATTAGGTATATCTCCTAATGCTATCCCTCCCCCCTCCCCCGACCCCACCACAGTCCCCAGAGTGTGATATTCCCCTTCCTGTGTCCATGTGATCTCATTGTTCAATTCCCACCTATGAGTGAGAATATGCGGTGTTTGGTTTTTTGTTCTTGCGATAGTTTACTGAGAATGATGGTTTCCAATTTCATCCATGTCCCTACAAAGGATATGAACTCATCATTTTTTATGGCTGCATAGTATTCCATGGTGTATATGTGCCACATTTTCTTAATCCAGTCTATCATTGTTGGACATTTGGGTTGGTTCCAAGTCTTTGCTATTGTGAATAGTGCCGCAATAAACATACGTGTGCATGTGTCTTTATAGCAGCATGATTTGTAGTCCTTTGGGTATATACCCAGTAATGGGATGGCTGGGTCAAATGGTATTTCTAGTTCTAGATCCCTGAGGAATCGCCGCACTGACTTCCATGATGATTGAACTAGTTTACAGTCCCACCAACAGTGTAAAAGTGTTCCTATTTCTCCACATCCCCTCCAGCACCTGTTGTTTCCTGACTTTTTACTGATTGCCATTCTAATTGGTGTGAGATGGTATCTCATTGTGGTTTTGATTTGCATTTCTCTGATGGCCAGTGATGGTGAGCATTTTTTCATGTGTTTTTTGGCTGCATAAATGTCTTCTTTTTTTTTCAATTTTGTTTCTTTTATTATAATAAAGATAGGCAAAACAATTATTTTTAATTACTGAATGATTGTATCAATAAATAAGTTCCTTTTTATCATGTGCTTTAATGTACATACAGAACAGGTCAGTAAACTATTATAATGATGACAAGTTAAGCATGAAAACATTTTAAAAATTCGCCTCACTTCAGGGCTATTTCTTGAAGCAATCTGTGTGTCGGAGTCAGATGAATGCCAAGACATTACAAAATTTTCAGTGTTTTCCATGTTGTTTAGATATAAGTTTGAGTATATGCAATTGGAATGGTCAACAAGTACAATTTGAACTCCTTCAGGATATACTCATCTGTGCCTGGCCAGGACCTAGCCCAGTGCCTGACATATAAAAGACACCGGATCAGCACTGAGTAGGTAGGTAGGTGGGTGGGTAAGTGACTGATTGAGTATGGTAGTCATTAGTGCTGTCTCTCTGTCTAGGCACTACAAAGCCAATACTTTCTGTCTTTCTACCCTGTGATTGGGTACAGTCATTTAACCACTTCTAGCCAAGGAATTGTGAGAAGAAGTGACATAAGTAATTTCCATTTTGGAGCATTTATATGAGATCTTCCATGTTCTTTTTCCACTGCTAAGTGTTCATGAAATCATAAGCTAAAATTTACCATAAATTAAAATGAATAAGGAGTAAGAGATGAAAATAAAATTACATATGTAGTGTAAATGTGTCTAATGCATTATTAATGATAGTAATTTACTACCATTTATTGAAAGCTTCAAATACCATAAATATTATCCTAAGTACTTAATAGACATTCACTTATTTAATCCCTATTACTGTTCTGTGAGGTAGATGCTATTATTCCATTTTGTAGGCAACAGAACTATCCTTTTTGTTTGTTTGTTTTTAGACAGGATCTTGCTCTGTCACTCAGGCTGGAGTGCAGCCATGTGATCATGGCTCACTACAGCCTTGAACCTCTGGGCTCAAGTGATCCTCCCACCTCAGCATCCTGGGTAGCTGGGACTATAGGTGTACACCACAATGCCTGGATAATGTCTTAATCTTTTTGTAGAGATGGGATCTCATTATGTTGCCCAGGCTGATCTTGAATAAATGTCTTCTTTTGAGAAGTGTCTGTTCATGTCCTTCGCCCACTTTTTGATGGGGTTGTTTGTTTTTTTCTTGTAAATTTGTTTGAGTTCATTGTAGATTCTGATGTTAGCCCTTTGTCAGATGAGCAGGTTGCAAAAATTTTCTCCCGTTTTGTAGGTTGCCTGTTCAGTCTGATGGTAGTTTCCTTTGCTGTGCAGAAGCTCTTTAATTTAATTAGATCCCATTTTTCAATTTTGGCTTTTGTTGCCATTGCTTTTGGTGTTTTAGACATGAAGTCCTTGCCCATGCCTATGTCCTGAATGGTAATGCCTAGGTTTTCTTCTAGGGTTTTTATGGTTTTAGGTCTAATGTTTAAGTCTTTAATCCATCTTGAATTAATTTTTGTATAAGGTGTAAGGAAGGGATCCAGTTTCAGCTTTCTACATATGGCTAGCCAGTTTTCCCAGCACCATTTATTAAATAGGGAATCCTTTCCCCATTGCTTGTTTTCCTCAGGTTTGTCAAAGATCAGATAGTTGTAGATATGCGGCGTTATTTCTGAGGCTCCCTTCCATTTTTAAGCTTATCTTTATTATGACATTCACCACCTGCTTTCCTTGGAAAAACAACATTGGTGCTGCGGTTGCTGACTGAGTAGTTGGGATACGGCGAACTGTCCCTGTGCCTACTGCTAATTGGGCTGTGATGATAGCAGAGCATTTCAGTGGTCATAGGCCCTCCTGTGGGTAGGATATTTTTAGGCTAATGAATATATTTTTCTTCAATGGTTTTTGGGAGTCACACTGAAGGTGTTGCTCTGTCTTTCAAGGGAAATAAAATATGTAATTGTTTTCAAAAATCTGAATGGAAAATTTTGGAGTTCAGACATAATGTAAATATTAAACTTTTAATTGTGGAATTCTAATTAGATGGTTACTAAATTTTTAAAATATTATATTACAGGTTTTGAGGCATCTAATTACTTCTGAAGTGGATTTTATGCAATTAGTGTCCACCTATGTCCTATCTCCTAGGTCCTCTAAGAGGCCATGTAGAGTGCATTATGCTTCTAAGCAAACTTAATTTAAGTAAGAGGACTTTTGCTATTACTATCTTTTAAGAACTTCACAATTAGCTTTGAGGGTCTGGTTGAGTGGGAAAAAAAGTATGGTACAGAGGAGTCCTACTTTTCAGTATGATTTCATCTCAAATGTTGTTAATGAAAGACATGAAAATTGAACACTTGTTCTAATTGTAGCTTATTAAGTACACTAGTATTTGCTCAATGGAAAAAAAGTCTATGTTCACCTTTAGCACACATATGAAATGCATGCTATCATTGTAATATTATCAAAAGAACAGATTGTCCTAGTCTAAAACATATAAATAAAATGAAATATTTACTCTCTCTCTCTCTCTCTCTCACACACACACACACATATCCCCTTTCTCTCTCTATTGCTTCATCATGCAAAATACAGCTCAACAGATTTTTACCAAATTTAGAAGATTTGTTCAAGATGGCCTTTCTTATAAGTGCTGGCATACACCGAAGTCATTTTGGGACATTCTGGGTTAGAGAGGTGAGGAAAATACCTTACAGAAATATAGGCAAACTACTTCCTGTTACTTGCTATAGCTTGCTGAAATACAAGCAACAGCAGAAAGGTATTCATTTGACAAGAGTTAAAATTTTCTCCAGCATCTTATCTAGATAGTTTAATTAAGTTACTATTCCTCCTTTGGCAGTCAACTTATGCATCTTACAGTCATTTTCTTCCCTAAATAGGTTACCCTCATTATACCACATTTTGTGAAAATAATTCTGATTCTTGGGAGATATTTTATGCTAATTATATGTAACATTTGGCCATTTGGCCTTTTCAAAGAGCTCATTGTTCAGATCACATTTATTGATTGCCTAGCATGTGCCAGGTCCTCTACTAGCTGCCAGATCCAAGATGTATTGGAGGATTCAGAATTTGTAATAAATGAGACATAATAATCTTCCTCAAGCATGTACCTTCACTACAATCTCCTAAAAAGTGGCCATGGTCAGATTTCCAAAATTTTGCATGGTTGTCAATGGTTAAATAAAAAAAAAAATGTTTAGCTACTGGGAAAGAGACACATTTCAAGGTCTTCCCGGAGTGTGGTTAGCAGCCCTTGCTTTCTCGTGGCTCAGTCTGCCACACTAATGCTCCTGGTTGAGAGTGTGAGAAAGACACTCTAATGGCAAGGGATTATTTAGGCTAGCAGCACACTGCATCTTCAGACTAGAAGAAGCAGGGGCTTTTAAAAAGCCATTTTCCAGGAACAAAAGGGTTTCTTGACGGTTAAAAAGGTGTCATAATGTGTCTGACATTAATAATTAATTAGAAAAATATTAAAAGTTTTGGCAAAAGTGACGGTTAAAAAAAAAACTAATGTTTAGTGAGTACTTACTGTATACTAATTGCCACACTAAATACAGTCCATGAATGACTTCCTTTAAGTTTCGCAGTGACCCTAAACTAACGTGTTGCTATGCTGAAAGCGAGTTACACTGCAGTGTCACGGTCTGCCTCACCCAAGTGCCCATCTTTGTCATTATCAGAACAAAGAAACCTTTGCTCCTTGTCAGAGATTGCCACTAATGCTCTTGGTAATGACCAGGGATTTTTTTTCACAGAGGTGTCTGCAGCTCTGTGACAAGGAAATGAGTCCTTTCATTCTGGAGAAAAACGCACTGTATAAATTGCTTCTTACATTTCTTTCTCTTAGGCAGCAGAGCCTTAGAACTAGTCTAAGAGTTAATTGAAAAGCAGAACCCTGGCAACATCGCACATTGCACCCAGGGTAATTAGCACAGAGATAAAAAACATGTACTTAGAGGTCTGACTACCTGGGTTTAAATCTTACCTGTTCAACTTGCTAAGTCTGTGTGACCCTATACAAGTAACTTAGCCTATCTTGGCATCCCTTCCATAAAATGGAAATGGTGATAGCACTTAACTCATAAGGTTGTGATAAGAATTAAAAGCCATGATGCATAGAAAGCACTTAGTCCAATGTCTGGTATATGAGAAGGGCTCAGTAAACAGTAACTATTTTTATAATACTATGTCATAAAATGTTCACTATTATTTAAGGATGTCACATTCTTATTATTGATCATACAAGTAAGGAAAGACGCTGCTTGGTTTTGGATAGTGAAAACTGCCTTTCAGTTTTTTCTTTTTTAATTACTTTTTTTATTATTACTTTTATTATTATTATTATACTTTAAGTTCTAGGGTACATGTGCACAACGTGCAGGTTTGTTACATACGTATACATGTGCCATGTTGGTGTGCTGCACCCATTAACTCATCATTTACATTAGGTATATCTCTTAATGCTATCCCTCCCCCCTCCCCCCCACCGCACAACAGGCCCTGGTGTGTGATGTTCCTCTTTCTGTGTCTAAGTGTTCTCATTGTTCAGTTCCCACCTATGAGTGAGAACATGCGGTGTTTGGTTTTTTGTCCTTGCGACAGTTTGCTGAGAATGATGGTTTCCAGCTTCATCCATGTCCCTACAAAGGACATGAACTCATCATTTTTTATGGCTGCATAGTATTCCATGGTGTATATGTGCCACATTTTCTTAATCCAGTCTATCATTGATGGACATTTGGGTTGGTTCCAAGTCTTTGCTATTGTGAATAGTGCCACAATAAAAATACGTGTGCATGTGTCTTTATAGCAGCATGAATTATAATCCTTTGGGTATATACCCAGTAATGGGATGGCTGGGTCAAATGGTATTTCTAGTTCTAGATCCTTGAGGAATCGCCATACTGTCTTCCACAGTGGTTGAACCAGTTTACAGTCCCACCAACGGTGTAAAAGTGTTCCTGTTTCTTCACATTCTCTCCAGCACCTGTTGTTTCCTGACTTTTTAATGATCGCCATTCTAACTGGTATGAGATGGTATCTCATTGTGCCTTTGATTTGCATTTCTCTGATGGCCAGTGATGATGAGCATTTTTTCATGTGTCTTTTGGCTGCAAAAATGTCTTCTTTTGAGAAGTGTCTGTTCATATCCTTCACCCACTTTTTGATGGGGTTGTTTTTTTCTTGTAAATTGTTTGAGTTCTTTGTAGATTCTGGATATTAGCCCTTTGCCACATGAGTAGATTGCAAAAATTTTCTCCCATTCTGTAGGTTGCCTGTTCACTCTGATGGTAGTTTCTCTTGCTCTGCAGAAGCTCTTTAGTTTAATTAAATCCCATTTGTCAATATTGGCTTTTGTTGCCATTGCTTTTGGTGTTTTAGACATGAAGTCCTTGCCCATGTCTATGTCCTGAATGGTATTGCCTAGGTTTTCTTCTAGGGATTTTATGGTTTTAGGTCTAACATTTAAGCTTTAATCCATCTTGAATTAATTTTTGTATAAGGTATAAGGAAGGGATCCAGTTTCAGCTTTCTGCATATGGCTAGCCAGTTTTCCCAGCACCATTTATTAAATAGGGAATCCTTTCCCTGTTTTGTGTTTTTGTCAGGTTTATCAAATATCAGATGGTTGTAGATGTGTGGTATTATTTCTGTTCCATTGGTCTACATCTCTGTTTTGGTACCAGTACCATGCTGTTTTGGTTACTGTAGCCTTCTAGTATAGTTTGAAGTCAGGTAGCATGATGCCTCCAGCTTTGTTCTTTTGGCTTAGCATTGACTTGGCAATGCAGGCTCTTTTTTGGTTCCTAATGAACTTTAAAGTAGTTTTTTCCAATTCTGTGAAGAAAGTCATTGGAAGCTTGATGGGGATGGCATTGAATCTATAAATTACCTTGGGCAATATGGCCATTTTCATGATATTGATTCTTCCTATCCATGAGCATGGAATGTTCTTCCATTTGTTTGTGTCCTCTTTTATTTCGTTGAGCAGTGGTTTGTAGTTCTCCTTGAAAAGGTCCTTCATATCCCTTGTAAGTTGGATTCCTAGGTATTTTATCCTCTTTGAAACAATTGTGAATGGGAGTTCACTCATGATTTGGCTCTCTGTTTGTCTGTTATTGGTGTATAAGAATGCTTGTGATTTTTGCACATTGATTTTGTATCCTGAGACTTTGCTGAAGTTGCCTATCAACTTAACAAGATTTTGAGCTAAGACGATGGGGTTTTCTGATATACAATCATGTCATCTGCAAACAGGGACAATTTGACTTCCTCTTTTCCTAATTGAATACCCTTTATTTCTTTCTCCTCCCTAATTGCCCTGGCCAGAACTTCCAACGCTATGTTGAATAGGAGTGGTGACAGAAGGTATCCCTGTCTTGTGCCAGTTTTCAAAGGGAATGCTTCCGGTTTTTGCCCATTAAGTATGATATTGACTGTGGGTTTGTCATAAATAGCTCTTATTATTTTGTGATACGTCCCATCAATATGTAATTTATTGAGCGTTTTTAGCATGAAGGGCTGTTGAATTTTGTCAAAGGCCTTTTCTGCTTCTATTGAGATAATCATGTGGTTTTTTGTCTTTGGTTCTGTTTATATGTTGGATTACATTTATTGGTTTGCGTATGTTGAACCAGCCTTGCATCCCAGAGATGAAGCCCACTTGATCATGGTGGATAAGCTTTTTGATGTGCTGCTGGATTCAGTTTGCCAGTATTTTATTGAGGATTTTTGCATCGATGTTCATCAAGGATATTGGTCTGAAATTCTCTTTTTTTGTTGTGTTTCTGTCAGGCTTTGATATTAGGATGATGCTGGCCTCATAAAATGAGTTAGGGAGGACTCCCTCTTTTTCTATTGATTGGAATAGTTTCAGAAGGAATGGTACCAGCTTGTTCTTGTACCTCTGGTAGAATTTGGCTGTGAATGCATCTGGTCCTGGACTTTTTTTGGTTGGTAAGCTATTAATTATTGCCTCAATTTCAGAGCCTGTTATTGGTCTATTCAGAGATTCAACTTCTTCCTGGTTTAGTCTTGGAAGGTGTATATGTCCAGGAATTTATCCATTTCTTGTAGATTTTCTAGTTTATTTGCATAGAGGTGTTTATAGTATTCTCTGATGGTAGTTTGTATTTCTGTGGGATCGATGGTGATATCCCCTTTATCATTTTTTATTGCATCTATTTGATTCTTCTCTCTTTTCTTTTTATTAGTCTGTTAGCAGTCTATCAATTTTGTTGATCTTTTCAAAAAACCAGCTCCTGGATTCATTGATTTTTTTGAAGGGCTTTTTGTGTCTCTATTTCCTTCAGTTCTGTTCTGATCTTAGTTATTTCTTGCCTTCTGCTAGCTTTTGAATGTGTTTGCTCTTGCTTCTCTAGTTCTTTTCATTGTGATGTTAGGTTGTCAATTTTAGATCTTTCCTGCTTTCTCTTGTGGGCCTTTAGTGCTATAAATTTCCCTCTACACACTGCTTTAAATGTGTCCCAGAGATTCTGGTATGATGTGTCTTTGTTCTCATTGGTTCAAAAAACATCTTTATTTCTGCCTTCATTTCATTATGCACCCAGTAGTCATTCAGGAGCAGGTTGTTCAGTTTCCATGTAGTTGAGCAGTTTTGAGTGAGTTTCTTAATCCTCAGTTCTAGTTTGATTGCACTGTGGTCTGAGAGACAGTTTGTTATAATTTCTATTCTTTTACATTTGCTAAGATGTACTTTACTTCCAACTGTGTGGTCAATTTTGGAATAAGTGTGATGTGGTGCTGAGAAGAATGTATATTCTGTTGATTTGGGGTGGAGAGTTCTGTAGATGTCTATTAGGTCCACTTGATGCAGAGCTGAGTTCAATTCCTGGATATCCTTGTTAACTTTCTGTCTCGTTGATCTGTCTAATGTTGACAATGGTGTGTTAAAGTCTCCCATTATTATTGTGTGGGAGTCTAAGTCTCTTTGTAGGTCTCTAAGGACTTGCTTTATGAATCTGGGTGCTCCTGCATTGGGTGCATATATATTTAGGATAGTTAGCTCTTCTTGTTGAATTGATCCCTTTACCATTATGTAATGGCCTTCTTTGTCTCTTTTGATCTTTGTTGGTTTAAAGTCTGTTTTATCAGAGACTAGGATTGGAACCCCTTCCTTTTTTTGTTTTCCATTTGCTTGGTAGATCTTCCTCCATCCCTTTATTTTGAGTCTATGTGTGTCTCTGCACATGAGATGGGTCTCCTGAATACAAGCACACTGATGGGTCTTGACTCTTTATCCAGTTTGTCAGTCTGTGTCTTTTAATTGGAGCATTTAGCCCATTTACATTTAAGGTTAATATTGTTATGTGTGAATTTGATCCTATCATTATGATGTTAGCTGGTTATTTTGCTCTTTAGTTGATACAGTTTCTTCATGCTTGGTCTTAATCCCGTGCTAAAGGCTCTATTTCTGTGGTCTTCCATATGTTGCACAATATGTGTTTCTGTCAGTACCCAGAGGACTTAGACCTGGGATATACCTACATTTCATCCACGGATCCCAAGGTAGGGGAGAGGGATGAGGGAAGAAAACCAGAATCAGATGGAATGCAGATTACTATGGTGTTTGCAAAGGAAGATCTTGGTTTTAACATTTTGCTTTTATCAGGGTAGTCTGGCAATGAAGGCCAGAGTCTAAAGGGCATAGCAGTCTTAGCCATGGTCCAAATGTATATACTAGAAGCAGGTCCAATGTGTTGCCTTGTATGTAACTGAACTTCAGGTGCCATCACTTTTTCCATTTATGTACCCATTAGTTGTACTAAACCATTATATGTGTGTGTGTGTGTGTGTGTGTGTGTGTGTGTGTATAATTATATATATATAATCTTATTTCTTCATCTCCTCAAACCCTATGCAGGAGGTATTGTTATCCCAATACTATAGATAAGAAAACAGATGTTCAGATTAATTAAATCTCTTATCCGAAATTAGTTAATGGCAGAGCCACGATTTGAACTCCAAAATCTGTTCCTTTAAATTGCTTCACTGGACATCCAAATAGCATGAACTGTCAAGGAATAGTATGGTTATCAGAACAGATGCCTATTATTCTGTACTGAGTCATTATATTATAGTGATTGGGAATGCTGAAACCAAAGAGTTTCTTTTACTGGTACTAAAGTATCTTAGGTAGCCATGGAGGAAATTGTGGCTATTGAAGACTAGGAGCTATCTCATGGGTTACTCATGTTACAGGACTGGAAATGTGAACACACAAATCTGGAAATATGTACCAATGAAATGCTAATTCCCATAAGATTGTCTCAGGAATTAGGTAAGGGCCACTGGTGTACTTGGCTCAAAGCAGCTGGCTGAGTTGTGAGAGGGGGCATGAAAATGGAAATGCATGTTGAGTATGTGGCATATTCCTGTATCTGGGTGCTGAACACCACACATAGGGATCTATTTCATGATCATTCCAGGAAAAGATTCCCCAGATAGGACCAAGAATGAATGAAGAATGAAAGAATCTCACCCTAAGTCACAGGTAAACTTTCAATCTTAGGGAACTCAAAAGAAAAATAATTTTCTCATGAATATATTTTACTTATATTTCTGCTTAGAGGTATTCGTTTTTACCCTTAAGGGAAATGTTAATTAATAGTGATGATTAGAATGAAATATTGGTAAAACACATATTGTTTTAAAAGTGCTTTTTCTTCCTATACAGTTTATCTCTTGTTACAAAAATGCTGTATAACAAATAACCCCAAAGCAAGTAATTTACAATAAAACCTCATGAGTCTATGGGTCAGCTGGGCACTTCCAACAATCTAGTCTGGGCTCAGTTAATCTCATCTTATCTCTGCTGGAGTATCATATGCATCTGTAGTCAGCTGGCAAGTGGACTAGGAGCTAACTGGTCTGGGATGGCCTCAGCTTACATGACTTGGCTCTCCTGTTTATGCTTTCTTTTCTTCAAAAAGCTAGTCTGGACTTGTCCAAAGGTACAGCAGAGAGTGATTAGAAGCATGCCAGGCCATGTGAAGCCTGGGCTTGAAACTGGCACATTGTCACACAAGTCTAACTCTGATCCAAAGGTTGGAAAAATAGACTCTTGTCATGAAAATAACTTCAAAGTCATATTGTGAGTGCTGTGGATACAGGGAAAGAAAGAATTGGAGCCATTTTTATAATCAATCTAGAATACTTGCTATTTAAGCCTTGCCTGTACTGAAGGAAATGTCAATAAAATTATAGCCTTGAGATGGATGACGTGAAAAATAAAAAGAGTGACTCTGTTAAAGTCTCATAAGTTTGTGGCCAAGTTGGAACTCAAGTTTTTCACTCTCACTCGTCCAGGGATTGCTGCATTGTGTGTGATACCATTTGGGACATGTTTTTTTTTCTTTAAAAATTTGCCATCAAGACCGTTTTCTGACATATATAAATTCAGAGCTTTTAACTTTGAAATTAAGTACGCCCAAATTAGCTTTAATTTTTCTTCCCCTTTCATTAGGCAGGAGAAATGAGATTGGGATCTCCTGAGGTTCAACTTTCACACATGGATATGCCCAGAAATATATTCTTTGTTTCAAATGAGGAAAGCTTATTGCAGGTGTTTGGAAAGGAAAAACTTCATTTAAAGTTAGTTATATTGGCTACTTATCTTGTAAAGATTATATCTCTGTACTTGCGGCTTTGAATGGAGAACAATGAAATATAGGCTTTTCCCATTCTTTCTGGTTTCTGAGTTGTATCATTTTTTAAATCTGAATCAGCGTCATCTTTTCATTTTGAATATAGTGCAGCATTTTTCCATATGTTTTAATTTTGTCAGCTCAGAGACGTGTGGATTTTTTTATAGTTAAAAATGTTGATTTTCAGGCAAGAGACAATATATGCTTGTAGTATGACATAAAAGTGTTTCAGTGAAAAGTAAGTTTCCCTCCCACTGTTAACTGCTAGCTCCTTGTCCAAATGCATATGGGATATGTCCTTCCAGGGCTGTCCTATGTACAGGTAAGCATATGTAAATATTTTTATACAGCTGTTCACACCTCTTATTTTAATATAAACATACTACCCATGCACATTGTTCGTGTAAGTGAAACCTTACTTGTTTCACATAATGATTTATCTTAGAGATTTCATGTCAGTACATAGAGAACTACCTCATTTTATTTATAGACACTCACGAATTCAAGTATCATACCGCCCAGTAAAATACCTCACCAGCGTCCCTTTCTTTGCCTCCCTTCATGTGTTAACCACACACTATTCTTGAGGATTTCCATTTTCATGTTAAAGATTTTATCTGTCTCAGATGGGTCCTGCAATCTTGATCACTCTCAAGAGGTAATGAGATGCCTACCCTCCTTTCCATGCCTCATTCTCTGGGATCGCTGGAATATTTCTATATTATAGGGATATTCTGCCTTAGCTTTTCCAGTGAGGTCTGAGAATGGCCAGCAGTGGTTCCAATAAGGCAGTCCATTTGGTCCACTTTGCTTCTCACTTTCAAACCCAAGTGTTTATTTTCTGATACACCAGACATGCATTTCATCAGTGATAAACAATTACTCTGCTTGCTTTCTCACGTTAAAGCCAGCTCTAGTAGTACCCTAGAGGCCCTCAGAAAAGAAACCAAGATGTAGGACAGATCCATTAAAGGTTATATGTAAAAGCCACATCTTCTCCATACTTCTATATCACAAAGGTTTTGAAGACATCAGGAATGGGTCAGGTGGAAGGGCCCCTCTTCTCCAATTGCCACCATGGTTTGGGAGTTATAGATAAAACAAGACTTTCTACAGTATGACATTTATGTCTCAATGCAATCAAATTTAAGTTTGGTGAGCATTTTACATTGTAGAATATAGTCTAATATTTAATTGCAAAATACAGTATAAAGTTCATTACCATGAACTTCAGGATCAGCTAGACTCTGTAGGACCATAGGCAAGTTTTTTGAGCTTTCTCTGTCTCTGAGTTCTCATCTGTAATACTGGGTCAATAATGCTTCATTGGTCCACAGACTGTTTTAAAGATTAAATTAGATATTATGTGTAAAATGCTCATAGAGTACCTTATATAGCAATTCATGGTAGCTATAATTTTGAACTAGGCCAATGTGCCAGCTCCTGCAAAAGATCTTCTCATACTTTCCTTCTCCAAGGGCCCTCACCCATTTCAAATCCATCATAACTCCTGGCTTTCTCCTTTCCCAGGAAAATTATTTATACAGACTTTCTGGCCCATGGACCTCAGTAAGGCCCAGCAGTGCTGGATGAAACATCTACTAGGTACAAGACCATACTTTTGGTATGACACAACTAATGAAAACTAATTTAATTTTTTTTAGAGGTAAATACCATAGTACAGATAAAACAGCATCTGGAGTCAGCGGGTTTGGATTCTAGCTTTTTCACCTACTACTGGGAGTCTTGAACAAAATGAGCCAAAGCTTCTTCATACAGTAAATAGGAATAAGAAAGTCTACCTCATAGGTTTTTAATAGAATACTTTAATTTGAAGAATTAAATTTAAGATAATATTGATAAGTACCTGGCGTATACCAGGTATATGTTAACTGCTAATTTCCTTCCTTCACTTTAGCATATGTGATTGATATCAATTTAGGTATTTCTTTGGAATGGAGACTCATCCAATTCGTATTTATTATAAATATTTTACTTATCTTTTGCCCCCCTGTCTCAAATTACCATGTGAGAGCTCAGCACCTGCAGGTGCATAATAGATACCAAGTGACTGATACTTTTAAATTGTTTTTAAAAGCCAAATAAAACAAAGAACATAATTAGAATGATTTTAGTACCAACAAAGTTGTCTCTTTTAAAACAATGAAACACCCTAAACTAGACTATAACAAATTCTTTAAAACGGTATAAATATGCTCTGAGGGCTGTATATATGGTTGCCTTCTTCCCTACCATTGCTTTATAGAATGCACAGAAATTAATACAGAAATATTAATTTTCTTTTAATTAATATTTCATCAGATTGTACTCTAAGGTCCAAGAAGGTCTAGGAGGATATGCAAAACACAGTAAAATTATAGCATAATCATTATTAGTTAATTAAAAAACAGATTATAATCTTGATGTGGACACACAGTGTACAATTACCCTTATTATTTGAATTTCTCAACACATACATCCTCTTAACTGTTCTTTATTCCTTTTTCACTTTGACTTCACACTAGGTCATTTCCAGGTTTTGCAATTACTATAGTTAACAAACTCAAGAAAAAAATAATACTATTGATTAATGAATATATCTGATGGCCTTCTGAAGGTTATAAATTCATTAAATTTGATATGTATGCCCTTAATGTGGCATCGGTAACAAAAGTTGAGAAAGAAAGACACTCCAATTTGATTAGCTACTTACTCTGTACCAGGCATTATGCTTGGCATTTCACATGTGGTATTTTATTGAACCATTATGTGGCCAAATCTAACCTACAACCATAAAGAGAAGGGGATTCTGAGAAATGTAACTCCTGGCTTTCCCTCTGTGCCACAGAGGAAACTGTAAAATGTGCTGGCAACTATAGCAATTAACAGGTAATCCATAATAGTCAACCTATTGGGGGAGGAAGTAGCACCCCTGTTCTTATAATCTAACCACTCAGGAGAGTCTTTTCAAAATTAGAACAGAAGCAGCTTATTGAAGAAGGTTCTCACCATCACCCAGAGGCAGAGCCAGGTGAGAAGACTGATCACTCCTTGTAGCGACCAAGCACGATTGTCTAGAGTCAAAAAGGGAGCTGGGGCCAAAGCCAGGAATGACAGAGCCCTACAGGGCTTTCCCAGAGCAAACACTCAGGCTTCCTGCCCACAGGGATGTCCTTGTGCTCACCAAAAGCAGGTCCTATCTGGGAATCTTGTTTTGGGAGGTAATGTTTAGCAATGCATGTGAGTCTCAGCATATAATTCTACTCTTAGAGGTGGGTATTGAAGTCTGAGAAGTGCCGTCAATTTAGTAGAGAATCAGGCAAGTAAGGAAGGAGTTACAGGACCATGGACTGGTGCAAAGACAGAGGTAAACACCAGTGCTATGGGAGTACCAAAGTATACCTGGAGGAGGGGACAATAATGATCAGTGTGGGTCATTAAGATGCTAACAGAGGGAAAATTTGAAACCAGAAACACAAGCCTTAAAGGTTGCACAATTACATTTAGTGTTTTGGCTCTGATTTTACCGACTGAAGGATAATGAGATGGCAGGACAATCCAGACAGAGGGGAAACCATATGAGTCAGAAAAACGCAGAGGGAGAGAAAGAGATCCAGAGAGGGAAGGACAGTGAGAGAGAGAACATGTTCTTTCTTTAACTGAGGTATTTCTCATTGTGAAGTGGAGAATAGAACGTAGTTTTTAAAAATTAAATAATACAACTCTGATTAGAAAAACTAATTATGGCTTTGAAAGCCCAGTTTAAAGTTTTCAAAGCCTCTAGTATTTGTCCATTTGTTTACTGCCACTTTCAAAATGTCTCATTGCAAATTCCTACTCAAATGTTATACCCATAATTTACAGCTAGAAATCATACTCACAGCTTTGTAAAAATGAAAAAAAAATTGTATTAAGATGTGACTTATTTCTGTGCTCAGATAGCATTAAAAGTTTGACCCATAATCACACAACCAACAGCATGATTTTTTTAAATCTGACAATTTGTAATCATGTTGAAAATTTTGTACTGAGTTTAGGCACAAACTGGTTATCATACCTGCGCCCATATGAGATGACTTAAGTTTCCATTACCAATTAGAGTTGAGATCTTTCAAAATCAACAAAGATGACAGCCTAAAATTTCATGTGTCTTAATAAGGTTTCAGAAGGTGATTTTTGTTTTGTTTTGTTTTGCCTTTGATGGGCTTCAAAATCCAAGGTGACAGAAGACTACCCCCACCTACTTCTGGCAGGAAGATAGACCTCAACGAAACAAAGTTGAGAGTGTGATAGCATGTGTCAAAAGCATAAAGGATCACATCTAATAGAGGTTTTTATGATCAAGAAGTCCCATGTGTAATCAGAAGACAGTACCTTAATTGATACTTGACTCCTGTCAAAAGCTATTTGCCTGAAAATAATGAAGGCATTCCCTTAGTGTGTTTCACTGTATATTAATTCTGTATCATGGTATACATCTGCATTAGCTACTTTTATATGACATAAAAAAGAAAAAGGCCATTTACTTTAGAAAAAAAAACAATTGCTAACATTCAAAGAGAGTGTGCTACACATGCAGCTGGACTGTTTGCATGAATTTTACTGCATTTAATCTTTACAGCACCTCTAAAATATAGGGATTGCATTTCCCATTTTACAGCAAAAGAAGGTGATGTTCAGCTTCATTAAGTAACTCATCCAAGGTCATACAGCGGGTAAGTAGCAGAGCTGAGATTTTAAAACAGAGCTGAGATTTCCATCAATATAGCTCGTTCTCTATCCAGAATTCCACAAAACCTTTCTAGGTTTATGTATTCAAAGTGACCATAAATTGTAATTGAATAAAATACCTTTCTTCTTTTAATGTTGAAATTTTACAATTGGGCCCAAATGAACATTACCATTATATACCACATGAAAGCCTACCAAGCTCTAAAATTTAGGCACTTTTTTCCCTCTTTTATTTCCTGCTTGAGGATTGTTAAGTGGTTCATCATAAGAGGTAATTTATTACAAATAATTTTGTCTATTAGATAGATGTGAATAAAATGTGAATGTGAACTTTTTTTTTTTTTTTTTGAGTATTGAATCTTAACCAGAGGTGATTTTGCCTCTCCTTCCCCCTGGGGACATTTGGCAATGTCTGGAGATAGTTTTATTTGCCACAACAGGGAAGGTGCTACTGCATCTAGTGGGTAGAGGCCAGGGATACTGCTGAATATTCAACAATGCCTAGAACAGCCCGCACAAGAAAGAATTATCCAGCCCCAAATGTCTCCAGTCCTAAGGTTGAGAAACCCTGCTTTGTGTTGTTGTTTTCAATTAGTGAATCCTCTGGAAAGGAAGTTCTAAACTTTAATTAATAAAAGTGCAACTTATCTTCTATTCCAGGCTACCTTCTCCTGCCACAGATACTCTATCCCATTTGCTGTCATCCAACGACTAACACCGTTTTCACTTCAGAACGTCAAGCCTTTTCTGTTCTCTTCATGGCCTCCTCCCATTAAAGCTGAAAGTATCTGCTATCAGTCATTTGTCCTAACTGAGTAAGAGTACATTCTTTTTAGAATTTAAGAACCTACACTTTAGACCTCTCTTCACTAATTATAGAATCCATCATTCAACAAATATTTATTGATTGCCTACTATGTGCCATGCTCTGTTCCAGGCTTTAAGGGTGCAGTGGTAGCAATCACAGATAGGACCCCATTATTCTGTCTACACCTTGTGAGGGGAGATAGTCAATAAAGAAACAAACAAAATAATTTTCCCATGGTGATACTTGCTTTGGTGTCATTCAAATAGGATGTGCTGGTAGTAACTGGGGAAGGTAGGAATTTTTTTTAAGGAGGTATTATTTGAACTAAGATGCAAATGACAAGAAGAAAACAACCATTTAAAAATCTGGGATCAGAGAATTTCAACCAAAGAGACCAGAAAAATCTACAGTCTCTAAAGCAGGAATGAGTTTGGAATGTTTAAAGAATAGAAAGCAAGCCAGCGTGAGTTGATTCTAGTGAATAAGTAAAAGAGCGACAGAAGAAGAAGCTGGAAAAACTCCACCAGACCCGATCAGGTAGGAGGTCATATGCCATGGTAGAAATTTCAGTATTCTTATTATTGCAATTAAAAGCCATAAAATAACGTTAAGCAAAGACATAAGAAAACATGATGTGTATTTTAAGAGACAACTTTGGCTACTATTTGGAACATGTCCCATGGGAGGCATAAGTGAAATCAGAGAATCAGATAGAAAGCCTTGGAAATAATGAGAGATGTTGGTAGCTTAGACTATGGCATAACAGTGGAAAGGGACAGACTGGGTTGTTATCAAGAGTTACTTTGGAGGTAGAGCTGACAGGCTTGATGATGGGCAGGGTGTAAAGGGAAGACAAATATCAAGAGTGATACCTGCATTTTTTACTTCGGCAACGGAGTTGAGGCTCATATTATTTACTGAGATGTCGCATAATGACAGCTAAGCTGGTTAGAAGGAAACATCACATGGTCTGTTTGGAGTTATGTTATATTTGATGTGACATGCAACAGAAGATGTCAAGGATGCAGGACAAAGGAAGCTAGAGATCAGAGATGGAGATGTGCATTTGGAAGTTTCCACCATGCAGATGGCATTTAAAACCTTGGAAATAAATGAGATCAGTTGCAGAGCCTGTATTTATAGACTTATAAGGAAACTTGTGGCAGTTCAACCTCCAGGAGCTCACATCTATCCTGGATAAAAATAATTGCAGGTATCTTTTTATAAACAAGAAGTATTAAGTGCAGCAGAGGAGATCTAAAAAATTATTGTGCTTATTTACTATGCTCTAAACCAAACAAAAAGTGTAGGAAGGGGACAGAGAGCATAAGCTTTCAAACGATAAAGTAGTTTTATAAAGGTAAAGAGCATTGTTAGTTATTTTAGAGTAACTGAAAAGAGCGTGGAAAATCTGAAATAAAAACGAACGGCTCACAGTGCCTTCAGACTGGTTAACTCGTGTTCACCAAGACATTCTTGGAGTCTTTTGGGTGTGGCTGGTTGCTTTTTATCATCACCTTCTCATATTGGGTATGCTCTCCTAAAACCCTGGTGTTTTTGCCTGCTAAGTTAAATTTTACTCAGTAAATCATGTTTATATTCAAGTGCTAGATTTTCCAGTTATCTATATTAAATTTCATCTTTTTAGGCAGTTGGGATTGTGTTAAAACCTGATCCTGCTTTAAAGCCTAATAGTAGTATTTCAAGTTTCTTGTCACCTGCAAATTTAACAAATATATCTTCACTTAAATCTTAATTTAAAGAATTTAATCAGAGGAGGACCATTTTACCAGGGAGCTCCCTCGTGTTAGACATCACACCTCTCTTTGGGTACCACCAGTTATGTATATATCAAACTGTAAAGGCATTGCACCCATATTTTCATCTTTATCTTCATTATTTTCTACAAACTGTCTTGCTGAAATGTGCTCCCACTTGGCCTATAAGATTTCAGTAGAAGAGTCTATAGATTTTTTTTTTTTTTGACAGAGTTTTGCTCTTGTTGCCCAGGCTGGAGTGCAATGGCGCGATCTTGGCTCACTGCCACCTCTGCCTCCCAGGTTCAGGCGGTTCTCCTGCCCCAGCCTCCTGAGTAGCTGGGATTATACAGGCATGTACTACCACACCCAGCTAATTTTGTATTTTTAATAGAGACGGCGTTTCTCCATGTTAGGCTGGTCTCAAACTCCTGACCTCAGGTGATCCGCCCGCCTCAGCCTCCCAAAGTGCTGGGATTACGGGCATGAGCCACCACGCCCGGCAGAGTCTAGAGATCTTAACCCAAAATAAAGCAAGGTCAATATAACATAATTTGTCAATAAGGCATATATGGTAGCTCCTAGGATCACTATTCTTTTTCCATGTGCTCACAAATCCTAAAAAAAAATAGTCTATTTAAAAATCAGATTTAGACATTTCTTTAAGTTCTCTAAAGTTTTTTTCATCATCATATTGTCCTAATCAGTCCTTTAATACCTATTCTGCTCTCCATATTCCTCAAACATTGCTGGTAGCAACTCTGCAAACTAAACTGCACATCCTCTCAGTTGCCCTGCATGCCTGCAGTTCTATCTGGGCAGGAGACACACACTTCCTGAGTGTTAACTCATCTTGTTGGGCTTCAATTTCCTCTCGCAAATATCTGCTCCTCTTACTAGCCTGACCATCCTTCTCACTGGCAGAAATGATGGAATATAAATAGGAGTAAAAGGGTTATGTTTTTCTCTGTCAATACATTACCAGCATATTTTAAGGCAAGAGCCATTATTTATTTGTTTATTTGTTAAGCTTTAAGTTTTACAAAAAAAGATATGTTAAACCACCACTTAACCATAACACATATGGCAGACAGATTACAACCACATCATTCTCTAGAGTTGACGCTTAATCATGAAATCAGGCCTGCTCTTTTCCTTCAAAGAAGCAGTAGAGTAGGTTCATTTTCACAAAGACAAGTAACTGAAAATTGAGCATGAGGTTATTAGATTGAGGATTCTTCCTTTTCTTATCTTTCTTTTCTACTTCTTTCTTCTTTCTTCTCTTTCTTTTTTTACAACCATATCAAATAATAAAGTAAAACCATTGAAAAATCTCTAGATAACATTGGAGTGGGTTTTGGTTTTTATTTTTTTGCATCTTTTCTACTCAATTTAGCTGACATTTTAATGAAACTACTCTTCCCCAAGTAATTAAATAGCATACTTGCATTGCAATTGCCTTCATAGCCTGAGAGTTTTTGTTATCTCTATGAAAAAAATAAGATAATAGTTTTGATGCATTTACTTAAATAGGAACATGGGTTCCCAGAACACAGATGGACTTAATAATAGTTTTAAGTGAATGAATGAATCCATGAGTGAATAAAATGTGACAAATGTATATAAAGTGTATACATGTGGATTCATAAGCTGTCCAACCCGTATCCTTTGCTATAAGATAGTATACAAAATGGGAGCACATTTTTGTAAGACTCACTTGATTAGATGAAAATATATTTCATGATTTTCTGGGAAATAATTCATCATACTCAACAAACTCTATCTCTTTACTGGGCCTTACTCAACTCTTACTTCCTATCTAAGATTTTGTGGTACTTGTATGTATGTATACCATTTAGTGGAAACACATCTTGGTGGTCCATTGACTGTCAGTTTTCTTGTGATTTCAGACTGGTTTTTATTTTTCTGACCACATGTTCACATCGCCAAAATGTTTTTGTTTTAGAGTCACTTACTGTAGTTTTCTATGGGGTAGAAACCAGTAAGCTGTGCAGTCAAACTTCATTAAGTCACGTCAAAATGTTGGTAAAAAGTACCCCTACTTACTTCTGTCACTATGCATTCCCATTTTCAACCTTACTGCACAATTTCCAATGTCTTTTGTTGGAAACCAGAACAAACAATGAAATAATAGACATTAGAATTTCAAGAATGAACCCCTTGGTTTATCCCCTAAAAGCAGCCAGAGGGGAAAAGATGGCTCCCCTACAAAGCATCAGAAATGAGTTTGACAGGTAACTTTTCACCAACAACTGTGGAATCCAGAAGCCAGTGGAATGGACCTTTAATGTGCTCCAAAGATAGCTGACAATCAAAAATTTGAAACCCAATAAAACTATGGTTTTAAGAACCAGAGGGAAATAAATTCCATTCCAGAATTTTTTTTTAATTTATCAGCAAAAGACCTTAACTTCCTAGAGAATGTTTCAGAAGTAAATAATTGACATCAGAGAAAATCTGACATGAAGAAAGGAATGTGATCAAAAATAAAATAAGACATACTTGTTGGGAGATTTAAACCTATTCTTAAAAATAAACATCATAACATCTAACTTGTTGGACTAAAATGAAAAAAAAAGCTTGAGGTAAAATATAAAAAAGCTATGCAATGTAAGCTAGGAAGAGATCAGAATTAAAATGTTTTCAGATATGTTTACTGTTTGGGGGGAAGTTAAAGACACTGATTAACTTTAGATTTTATTAAGTATGCATGTTCATGCTTCAATGGTATCAATTAACAGAATGGAGCTAGTGTATTTAAATACCAAACCAGTAGGTATAAAAAGAAATGAGAAACAAAAAGATCAACCAAACATATTTTCAGTTAAAATCCCAATACAGTTCTAAGATAGTATTTAGAAGAGCAAAGGCTCTGAAAATATAATTTGTGAAGAAAATGTGGGGTGAATTGTGGTACCAGATTTTAAAGATTGATTTTAAAACAATAGTAATTAAGACAGGATATCCTGCTGCAGGAATAGACAAATAGCATGTATGACAGGCATAATATTGCAATTATTAGGAAGAAGATGAGCCATTCAATAGATATTGCTAGAATAATTGTTAATCTATATGGGAAAAAGGCATATTTACTTCAAACTAATGCACAGCACAAAAAGCAAAAATATTAAAGGAAAAAATGGACAAATTTTTCTACCTTAAAATTATAAACTACTAGAAAACACAAAAAGTGAGAAAAGCAGCTATGAAATAATAGAATATATTTGTAACATATAAAATTAAAAAGGAATTAGTATGTGTAACATATAAAGAATTTCTTCAAATCAATTAGAAAAGACAAGCAACCTGAAAGAAAAAAACAGGCAAAAGAATAAACTGGCAGTGCATAGACTAGAAAACTCAGCAGAACAAGAAATATTGAAAAGATATTCAGTCTCATGTTCAATCTAGGATATACAAATTAATACCACAATGAGATAATGTCTTATACATACAACATTGGAAATTTTTAAAATTTTATTAACAAATCTTGATGAGATTGTGGAGAAACGAGAACATGCATACATATCTGGTGTCTATAAATTACCAGTAGAGTTACTAATGGGCACAGTTAATTAACTAGCAATTCTTTTCCTAGATATATGATCTAGGAAAAGTCCTTCACATATACAACAGAATAAGTGTACAGCATTAATTATAATCATAAAAACTGGAAGTAACACAAATTTCTATCAACAATAGTATGGATACATAAATTTTAGTTCAGTGATTACTAAACAACAATAAAAGGAATGAATAAGCTACTTATATCAGCATGAATCTAATAAACAGTATGTTGGGTAGAAAAGAAATAAGATGTAAGAATAATACCTATGCTTTGATACTCCTTATACAGAATTTTAAAATATGTAAAACTAAACACTATTTCAAGCCACATACATATGTATTACAACTATGAAGGAATTCCAGGGAATGATAAAAAGTTCTGAATGCTGATAGCTTCCGAGTGGAAGAGAAAGGAATGGCCTCATGAGAAACTTCAGTGATGTAGAAAACACCCTATTTCTGAATGTGGTTGTCCTATTAGCATTTTTCATATATTTTATATATAATACATTAAAAATATAATTTTATAAGTATAAAATATTGTATAATACAAAAGTAAAAATTAAATTGTGTACTTTAAAAGAACAAAGAGAAAAAGATACAATGCTTTATTCCCCACTCCTATCACTTATTCTGATATAAAATATAAAATAAAACCATCAAAATAAAACTAATGCATTATAAATCTTCTTTTAGTAAAAGTTTAAAGTCACCCATGTTAAGCTTTTCCACTAAAATTGGTTTCTACAATATCACATAAAAATCAACACACAATGCATTAATTAGTGCATGTGTTTGGCATGGGATAAGGCACTAATCTCTATAGGCTTTGGGTTTTTTCATCTGTCCATTGAGATGACTTGGATCAACTAACTTATATGAGATTTTTCTGCAGTAAGTCTCTATGTACTTCCTCTGGTATATGACTTGAACACCCTCTCCACTAATGAGGAACATATATTACAAGCTGTTATGTTCTGGAAGACAGAAGCCATGTCTTTCATAGCAATACCTTCAGTGCCTAGTGAAGTACCTGGCATGTACGACATGATCCAATAAAGGTCTGCAGAATGAAGAACAATGGCATTATATGCTAGTGAATTCTAGACATGCTAAAATTTGATCATATTCTAGAAGTCATTATATGACAAATTGCATGGATTTACACTATCATTACAGAGATATTAGCTGCTAAATTATCAAAAAGATGAAATATTCATCAATTTTAGGGTGCACAATTTTTACATTTTATCTTCTCTGAAGTCAAGGTTGGTCTTACAATAGATGACACCTTTTTAAACTCTTGTCAGCCAGGCAGCAGTTGTGCTGCAGTTGTCATTGCCTAATTATGAAAACAATTATTAATATTATTCCTGGTGCCACGGCTAGACAACAGAATTCCCTCAATGCAATTAGTCAACAAATGCTTCCAGGAAAGAATGTGAGTCCTACTTGTCCTGTCCAAAAAACTTTCATTGACATATTCTGATATGCTCAAGACAACCCAGCTTGAAAACTTAAGAATGAATACTGGTATTTTGAAAGAATATTCTGAAGACAATAGTAGAGCACCCTTTCAAGAAAACCTCCATCAAAAATGTTCTTTAAAACAAGTAAATTGTAGAGAGAGTGGTGTGGCTATATTGTCCAGGCTTGTCTTGAACACCTGGCCTCAACCCATCCTCCTACTTCAGCTCCCCAAAGGGCTGGGATTATAAGCATGAGCCACTGCTCCTGGCCCCTTCAAAATGTTCTTGATTGTCCCAAAGAACAAGATTGACTGGGAAAACTCAGAGATAAAGAAATCTAAGTAGAAAAACAATTCAGAAGAGTTGGACTCTAAATGCAAGTAGATTTTAGGAGAACCTCAGTCAACTTATGTGGCTTATGTTTCTCTGTAAACGAACAAGAATGTATCTTTTAAAAATGGTTCCTTTAATTACTGATCTAGTTTCTGAAGCTTTCAAGACTTAAAGGGTTAATTCCCACTAAGAAGTCATAGTTATGGAAACTGGGAGCCAGGAGAGGGCAGCAGAGAACTAACCTAAAAGAGTTTTGTTTTGTTTTTGTTTTAACTATTAATATATACAAGGGACTTCACAGTTTATGAAGCTCCTTCATGTATGTAGGAACTCATGGTATCCCTACAAGGAAACTGGTGTAGGCTAGTTATTTTCATCCTCATTTAACAGACAAGGAAAATGTGAAGAAATTAAATTTGAAGGACAGCAGCTAATACGGGGTAGGCCTTAACTAATGATAAGTTTGAGAGTTGGACTTTGGCGCGCCCTTCTCCATCCCGTCAGCTGCTGGTAAGCCTTACAGAAGCCTAGTGGGTGGTCAGGAATAGTATTGGAGATGGGGTCTGCTGGACACACCGTCTAGTTGGTATCTAACTGAGGTCCAGGTCAGCTAAGCCTAGAACCAAGGTGTCTGGTGAAGATGTAATGAATCAGCATGCAGATGTGAACTAAGAAGTCAAGCCGAAGACCAAGGGAGCTTAAGCGGATATCAAACCAGTCCATGAACACTGGAGGGAAGACAGGCCTGAACAGAATTAAGAAGTGGGCCAGAGAGAAAACCGCAGATGGCATATCGTGCTATCAGAGTGCCTAAAAGCACCATGAGTACCGCTACGTTGTCCATTCCTGCCCTTTCTGGTCATTAAGTGGCCCAGCCCCAGATATATTGAAAAACAGAACAGATCCTGGGCCCTCAGCAATAATGTTTGAGCAAGACTCTGGGGTATTTTACACTGGAGAAGGTACAGATGAAATAACAGATATTTTCTGTGTTCCTACCTCACTATCTAAGAATAACAATAAAAAAATCAGAGGGAGAATTTCTGCTTCATTTACCGAGTGGCTATTGTTTAAAAGCTAAAGTCAGGAAATGGAATATTTTGAAGTCCTACTGGGAAGGGATATATGATTCTTCACTCCAGAGAAATTGCACTAAACCTTTTGGCCTGACAGGTCTAGTCTAGCTGAAATAGTTCATCAAGATCCATTTCTGTACTGAGCTGTCATTTCACCAAGTAAGCTATATGGTTTGGATTTTGAAGGTTTTGGTTTCTGCTGAAACTCAAAGATGGAAAATGTTCTGAGACAAACAAGAGCAAACTCTGCTTAATATTCCCTGGCATGGTCACCTCTTGGGAACACCCCTAAAGAAGGTTGAAATGTGTGCTTGCAGCTGCATTTTCTTAAGAGAGGACAGGTCTCAGAATGCAGAATAGAGAAGTAGCTTTTCCAGATTCTCCATGTTGTGTGCAAGACATCAACTGTGCCAGTTCATACACATGTTGTGCGAGTCCCTTTCCCAGAAAGCACACAAAAAGGAAAATAGGAGTCAGTATTCTTTATTATTCATCCAGAATAGATCATGCTTTGTGTTAAGTGAATAGAAAAAAGTGCAAGTAAATACTGATATGTAGAAGGAGGATGAAGATGGGATTGGTATATCTTGTCTCAAGAAAATCTTTGCTCTAACCAGACGATCATATGTACATTGTCTAAAGACTTATATAGTGTATAATAGGATGCAAATACATTGGGAACTGAATGCCTCCAACTGTTATAGTCATTTCATTGGTGAAGTGTCTTTGACTCTTTTAGTTTTCACTCTGCAATAATAAATAAAATTCAGAAATATATTTTATATCAATATTTTATATCTACATCTATATTTATTGTTAGAATGAAGAGAATGACGCACAGAAAGAGCTGTGACAGACAGCTCTTAGAACCAAATGGACCTGGATGTATATCCAGTTTTTATCACTCATTTATTGGCTAATTTTTGCCAAAGTACACAATACCTGTGAGCCTTAATTTTCCTATCAATACCCACCTTCTAGTGTTTTTAGGGGCCCTTGTCACAGATAGGAATTTGATAAAAATTATCTCGTATGATTATAAATGTATACATTTAAGACCATCTAAAGAATAGTTGGGAAAGTACAAAAACTTTACAAAATGGTAAGGACTAGAGAAATTTACACATAAAAAGTAATTAACTAGCAGCTAGGCTAGAGTAAATAAGTACAAAGAGTAGCAGAGTGATTGAAAAGGTACCAACAGTAGAAAACTATAAAGATTGTGTTGTTGCAGTTTCTATATTAAAGGACTATAAAGAGAAATGAGAAAGAACATAGCCTACTCCATATCGTGTTACATGAGTGTAGTGACTATGGCTGCAAACTTGATTGGCAATAGTTGTTAAGAGCTGAGCACCACACTTGAAATGTACAACCCAAGGATCATATATGCCCCACCTCAACCCCAAGGCACCAATAGCAGTAAACTGCTGAATTTGCCTGAAAAAGGGAGGAATATACATCTTCCAAATTTCCGCTATAAGTGCATGTAAGGCAGCATCACCCTTAGATGATTCCATAAGATAACTGTTGGTACTCAGACATGTAAACTATCTCATCTTCCTCAATATACTTTATAAACAGTAGTACTGGGGCCAGGCATGGTGGCTTAGGCCTGTAATGCTAGCACTTTGGGAGGCCAAGGCATGAGAATCACTTGAGACCAGGAGTTTGATACCAGCCTGGACAACATAGACCTTGTCGCTACTAAAAATAAGAATTTTAAAAAATAGGCAGACATGATTACTCATGCTGTAGTCCCAGCTACTTGGGAAGCTGTTGCAGGAGGATTGTTTGAGCCTAGGAGTTCAAAGTTACAGCGAACCTGTGATCATGCCACTGCACTCAAGCCTGGGTGACAGAGCAAGACCCCATCTCAAAAAACAAACAGAACAAAACAAAATAATAGTAATTCTGGTCCATGGCCCTATAACACCAAGTACATAATAATTACAGTAGTTATAAGATTTGCCACAGTAATTTGTTACTTCTAATGTTTATAGTACTAGTTTATAAATGATTTACTATTTTACATAAATTAAAGTGGAAACAAGGTTATCTCTATTATATCAGTATCACTCCCTAGCATTATGTAGATGGAAAAGCCATCCTGGGATTTAAGGCAGGACTGTAGGACAATCAAATAAACTGAAATGATTATTTGCACATGTATGTTTATGTGTGTTGGGATTTGTTTTTTGGTTTTTGGTATAGGTCATGTGGCTATGTGTAAGTTTTAAAGTCAGATAAACTTGATAGTCAAAAGGATTAGAGAGGAAAGAGAAGCCTGATTTGCTTCCACCAAGAGGTATAACTCCAACCAACCGCAGGAAAAAAACTGTCTTCATGATGACTTGTTTTCTGGTAAACTAATAGACTAGGGTTGAGGAAGTGAGGAATGTGTATATGCAGTTGTGCTTATAACATGGCTGGTAGAAATGGGGGTCCTTAAACCACCTAAAGTGGGTAACTCTTATTGAGTTAGAGGATCTGGAGTATCTCTCCAGGTTTAGGTGATCTGGCGAAACCTGGTCAGAGCGCTGTGTGACATTAAAGAGAGTGGACGGACATGAGCTTTTGCATCCTGAGCATGCTGCTCTGCACTGCCCATCTGCTGTTGCCCACTATGAGCGGCTTCTTGAGCTGCCCCTGCTCTGTTGTATATTTGTGCAGTGCAATGGCGACACTCACCAGCAATTGCTGGAAGAGCTTTCACTTTCCACATGGCTATTTGGCAGTTAAGCAAACTATTTTATGGCCTCACTGTTAATCTCTGCTGATGAGATTCCCACTGGGACCAGCCAGCACACTATAGAAGTGGGGAGACCTCATAAGTTGGATGTCTCTGGCCTTCTCCATGAACTCAACATCAGGCTCGCTGGGCACTAAATGCTGCTACTCTTTCAGTATGCTCCTCAACGTAGACAGAATACATTCTCTCATCAGAATATCTGGTGAGATTACAGAGCCAGAAACTCTAGAAGTTATAATTCCATTTTGGAGTGGTATAAGAAAGGCATTCGGAAGGAATATCAAAACCTGCACCATGGGTTGAATGCAAAGCAGTTTCTAGGCTGAGTCCTGCTTAAATTATCAGAAAACAGAAGGATTAGTTGAAATAGTTTCTCTACCACAAAAATAGTTCTGTTTGGCTTTAGGTTATGAACATTAGACAACCTGCTCTTCCCATAATAGCTCCATAGACAAACCTTTCTCTTGCCTCCTTCAGGGTGTCATTCATAGTATGTCTATGCTTGGAGTGATCTATTGCTAATTCAATAAATAATGAGCACTGACTATATGCCAGTATCTATTCTAGGCCCTTATTAAAAGAGATAAATAAAACAAAACAAACTCTACCTCAGGGAACTGACAGCCTATCGAACCCTTAATCTCTCTTTTTCTTTCTTGCTTACATCCTCATTTCACCTGCCCTCCAAACTTCACCTCAAGGGCTTCTCTCTCAGTGAATATTTTCCTGAATTTATTATACCAAAAACACTCTGCACGTCCTTTGAAATCCTATAGCATTTTCTTGCTTTTGATGCTCAGATGGCTTTTTATCTTCTGCTTCTCTGTACTCTAGTTTTTTGTGCACATGTTCTTCCAAATTGCATGTTTCTGGAGGATACAATATCTAGAATATAAGCTCCGAAAGGGCAGCATGATTCTGTGTGTTTTGTTCACTGCTGTATCTGCAGTGATTATAGTAAGCACATGGTATACTCTCTGTCAAAATTTTGCATGAATGAATAAATGAATAGATTTGTATCCTTCATAGTACCTTGTTGCATTGTATATGGAGTATTGGATTTGAACTCAAAAGCTCCAATTCAAAAATCAAGCTTAAAAGTTGGCTTTCCCTGTCTGAGACTCCACTTCCTGATATGTAAGATGGAAATAAAAATTTCTGCTTTACTTATCTTACAGGATTGTTTTGCAGATCGAATAAGTATGGTATATTTGAAAAAGAAAAACTACTTTGTTCACTGCTAAATGAGTAAAAGTTATTACTACTAAGTATGTAATGATTACTATTGAATGAATAAATGAATGAATATGTTGTAGACTAAATGTTGGTGTCTCCCAAAATTTATATATTGAAGCTCTACCCCCAATGTAATGGTATTTGGAGATGGGGACTTTGAGAGGTAATTAGGGTTAGATGGAGTCCTTATGATGAGATTACTGCCCCTATAAAAATAAAACTCCAGAGAGCTTGCTCATTTTCTCTCCCCATGTGCACACAAAGAAGAGGCATTGTGAGCACACAGCAAGATGGTGGCTCCCTATAAGACAAGAGAAGAGGTCTTAAAAAGAAACCTACCTTTAAAGCACTTTGGCCTTGGACTTTGCAGCCTCTAGAAATGTCAGAAATAAATTTCTGTTGTTTAAGCCAGTTATGGTATTTTGTTATGGCAGGCCGAGCTGACTAAGACAGTGTATATGCATACACTACATGAAAAGAAAAAATTTGATTCCATAAAGTCTAAGCAATTTGGGGATCCAATCAAAATGTAAACAAAGGCACTGTAGAGAAGACAGAGACTTTAGTCATTCCAGAGAACTAATTGATGCCCCAAAGCACTATGCCACAACTTTGTTGAGTATATTTTCTGAGACAAGCTTTACTGCTAAGTTCAGGATACAAGGAATTTAACTGTATTAACAGACTGAGGTCTCAGTGGGTGCTTATGGCAAGTCACTTTAACTCTCTGATCTTCTGTTGCCTTACCTATAAAGTGAAGACTAGAATGCCCAACGTATCTACATCGTAGCATTGTTATGATAATCGAAGAAGTTGATGCGTTGCTAAATAATTCATAAATTATTAAATGTTGATAAAATGTGAGATATTATCGGTAGCAGCATGCCCTTAAAGACTCATGGGTTGTGTTACATCCTTTGCTTCTGAAAACTAACTTCCTTACCCAAGATTTCCTTATCATCTAGAAATTTCTAGCATTCTAAAATTCATTGAGAGTGTTAATTTTTTAATCCACACCCTGTGTGCCATGTTTTACAGGGAAGAAACTATCTTCCAGAGGCAAAGTACATCGTCCGAGGTCACACAGCTTGCCAAAGGCACAACTAGGTTCTCAACACATGTTCAACTAACTCCAGATATGGAACTCTTCCATTAAAGCACAAAAATCTGAACTTTTTGTTTTTAAATATAATTGTTTTTATTTTCCATGAAATCTAGTTTCCCTTATTATTGCATTCAATTCCGAAAGGGTAATATCTGATATTTTATAAAATGCTATACTATCTCTAAGTTTTGGTAAATATGCAATATTATTATTGGCAACTATTTTCAATGTACAATTTAACTATTACCTCTTGGTAATTGTTAATGGGTGTCTTCTTAATTAAGATTCACAGGATACCCATATTGTTGATATATAATTGTTCACAAAGATATTTTAAAAGGGCTGTTACTGTGAAAATATTTTGTGCTTGTAAATATAAAAGGTATGTGACCCTGAATATTTTGAAACTTTGAGTGCTGGCATAAAATAAGAGGACCAGAGTTCATATTCCATATCTGCAGATATTACTTATTAAGCAAATAACGAGGTGAGTAGAGAGGCCTAAATTATATTTAAATCTCTGGATGAAGGATGGTGAGGAGGTGTAGAATTTTATAATAGGCTTTTGAATATAGCCTGTAACTAGGCACACAGTAGAAGTTAAGAAGAAATTGCTTCACTAAGCACCATTATTCTGAAGAATAGTAAGAATAGCAAGCAGAGACATTGATGACCTCAGAGAAATATGAATAACACATTATTGCTTAGATTATATTGACAGCCTAGACTGTCTCCCAGGAATTTAAAGCAAATTGGGCATTCAGAGACCAGAAGGGTTTCTTAAAGACCCTTTCTAAATTTTAAAGATCTTGTTAAGTCAGTCTTGGAGAAAGAACAGCAGGTATTTCTTCTAAGAGTGATATAAATTTTTCCTCCCCCTAAATCTTATCATTTAATGACAGTTCAGTAATGGAAGACTAAACCCAGGACTCTTGAGCCTAATGTGGAAAGAGAGCTGGTTCAGTCCTCATAAGAATTCCTATTCTCCTAGCTAAGGTTTCCACCTGGGAAGCCCCGTAGGGACTGAGATCATGATACATCTTCAGGACCACAAAGAGCCCAGTGGAGAAGCTTTTTCTCTAAGCATGAGATCATGGTCTCATTCTGTGATTTCTTTGGTGCCACCCCTGAACATAGATTTAATAATCATGCTAAGCAGACAAATAAAAGCCAGGATCTCAGTATTCCTCTGCCCAAACGAAAGATAAGCCAACCACTGACATTTCTCCAAACTTTTTCTCTGTTGCTGATCACAGATGTATTGTGAGTGTTTGTGCCAGGTGATGTGACAATCAAAATCATGGAGAAAATTTAGGCTGTCTCTGTGGTACAGTCAGCAGTTATCATTGGCTTAAAGATTAGGTAAATTAAGGTAACAGGGTGCTGAGTTTGCCACACTGAAGACTTCCAGGGGCTTTAAACAAATGAAACCGCTGCAGCCGTGTACAGGACACACCCCTCTAATGTGCTTTTTTTTGGCATACAGGAGCCACAGAAAACCTCTTTGGCTAGCTTTTATTTTTGGGAGGTTGTCAAGCTACAGAGAGAGAACATTATATGCATGTGTGTATGTGTGTCCAGACATACATACAGGTGAGTCAGTTGTTCCCTGTACTTGTGAACAATTTAATATTTCTGGGGTTTTTGTGAGCTGCTGCCATAATTTTCTTTGTTATCACCAATGCCACCATCATTCTCATTCTCATTATGATTGATAACAATTACTGAGCCTTTCACATGTAGATAAAGACAGATGGTATTAACCCCATTTTACTGGTGAGGAAACTATGGTTTATACCATCACACCTTATTGCATCAGACCCATGCAGACCCCGGATTCCTGAAAGACTCTCAAAATCTGAGGCTTCATGGAGGAGTTTCACTTATTTAGTAGCCAGTGTCATGAATCTATCTTACACTTTTAGAAGATACATATTTTTAAAATGTAATAAAAATATTTTTGTATTGCCTTTAAAATATACTTTTAAAGTAATAAAAAGGTACTAAACATCCAACTACAATTTATCAAATGTAAATCACTGCCCGTTTTTACTATGCAACTCTTAAATATGTGATCTTTTATATGATTCCTGACCATCCCCCACCCTCTTATTCACAATGGCCTCTTTGTAGGTCATTCATGTATTTATTTAACAAGTATTTTGAAAAGAACTTGCTTGGTACCAGACATTGTTCTAGAGACTGGGGATACGGATATGGCAGTGAACAAAACAAATACAAACCTCATTAGAATACAGAACAAAAATGTGGTTATAAAAATTGATTGATCTTGAGACAGTGTTTTTTTTGTTTTTTTTTTTTAACTTGGAGATCAGAAAAACCAACAGTTTGATCTCTCCCAATCCCACTCCAAAGCAAGCCACGTCCACAATTTAGGCCATACACTTCCTGTATGCAGGGCATTATGCCAGGCTCTGTGGAGCTATCAGATAGAAGAAAGCTTGTCTTGTCCTCAAGCAGCATGTGTAGGAATGTTGTGCGTCCTATAATATGGATTTTTGTAAGTCTCTTTCTAGGGCTCTAATCTAGTAATGCCTTACCAAGTCACTATTTAACACGTTCACAGAACCCTGTGTTTTCAAGATGTTCTATGGTTTAGGTCTATAGGGATTAGGCATTTCCACTTGCCAGTGCCATGCTAGCAAGACCTGATGCAAAAATCATTTCCCCAACATGCCAGTTGGCAAAGGCACCAGGTTTGGTTTTGTTTGGGCAAGCAGATTAGCCCTCTAAGGGTTAATTAGGAAGTGAGCCCCTTTCAGGGCCTGGAACTGTTTACTTCAATCGTTTTCATGCAAACTGCCATGTTTCACTTGGGTATTAATTGTGCCTGATGGACCCATTATTTTGTAATCAGAGCAGTTCCTTGGTTAGCTCTCCAGGGGTTAATTAAGTGGATGAGGTAGTGCCCCAGATATTACTAACAGATAGGACCACGTGGATTTCTCATCAAACTTACTGGAGAAAGTCCCGTTGCTATCAACAGTCGGGATTCTCACCACCAGTGTTGCCTCTCACAGTTGGAGCTTATTAGGTTACTATACCGAGACAAGCCCAGCTGGTTCGTCAATGCAGACCTGCCTGGCTTCGTCCCATTTCTGCTCAGAGAGGACTTGTGCCAGTGACTCTGGAAATCCAACCTGCTATAAGCAGCCCTGTTTTACTGCAGAAGATGATTCCTGCCCCAGGTTGAATGGGTACAACCTCATGGAAATGTCGGTGCCTTTAACCCGAAGGCACTTAAAAGCTAGGAAAATGGCAATCTACCCTGAAATACACTGTCCTAAACACAGCAAGAGACCACAATGACTGGTAAGGTGATTAGACATTTCTCTGATGTTATGCCACTGCTGCTAACGGGGGCTGACCTGTTATCACCAGTTCTTTCCCTCTTGTTTTTTCTCCCCCTACTGAAGTTCTAGCTCTGGTTTCTTTATGTAAAATGATCACACATTGTTTTTGGTCTTATGCTATTTTTTATTTTGCAACAAGCCCACTGGGATTTAATAACCAGGAGATAATATTATGTATTGAGGTGTGACTGAGGAAAACAATACACTCTAGAACTCAAATACTTAAGCCTTTCTGCATGTGGAATCAGGGAAAGCAGGAAACCAAAAAGGATTGTTTGCATGAGGCTTGGTACTCAGAACCACAATATCAATTATAATGAAGCATTTCTGTTGCATGTAGAAGTGTCCAAACTATAGCCATCAGTAACTTAGGAAAATGGTCTTGGAGAAATATAAACCATTTTTATAGAGTTAGCTCCTGTCAAATTATAACAGAAAGACTGATTGTTTGAGAGTGGAAAATGTAACATGATGGAAAGGACACGACGAAATGGAAAGATCTGAATTTAATTCTTACTTCTTCCATGTATGAGTTATATGATTTGGGAATATTTACTTTACTACTCTGAGTCTCAATTTCCTTATCTTTAAAATGGGGATAAGAGTTCTAGCCACTTAGGAGGCTGAGGTCGGAAGATCACCTGCACCCAGGAGTTTGAGGCCAGCTTGGGCAACATATCAAGACCTTGTCTTTAAAAAAAAAAATGTGGATAATAATATTGACCTACTTTCTACCACAGGATTGTTGTAAAACTTAAGCATAGTGCCTGGCATATATTACATGACTCTATTAATATTATATGAATCAAAGACCCACTGGTTTTAAAAAATTAATATTGTTTCAGAAAAATCTCTGTGAGGTATTAAGCATTTACAATCCTTCGTAAGGCTTAAAAGCAAAAAACAATCTGATGATGGGTGATATTTATTACATTCTTCTGTTTCTGCACACAAACTAAAAGAAAGTATGAATTGTTCCCAGCTATGTTCTGCAATGTCTGGATTGTTCCAGAAACTAGCCTGCTCGTGAGGTCTTTTTGCTTTGGTTCTATGGTTTCCTTCTGTCAGAGTAAGAAAACTGTAAAAGCAAAGTTGTTACATCTTTCTGAAGCCAGGTACAACCTTGCAAGATAGGGTAAGGAGTACATGTAGTAATAAAAATATATTAAGTAAATGAAATGTTCGGATAAGGAAATCTATAGAGATAGTAAATTCGTGGTTGCCTACAGCTGGGGGTTGGTGGTGGATGGAAGTGCAGTGACAGCTAATGAGTACAGAAAGAATTTTTGGAGTAATTGATGAAAATGTGGTGATAGTTGCACACCTCTATGAACGTACCAAAAAACTGAAGAAACCATATTTTAAATGGGTAGATTGTATGATATGTGAATTATATCTCAATAAAGCTGTTATTCAAAAAAGTACATTTAGAAATTTTGTATATATATATACAAAATATATATATTTGATTTTGTATATATACAAAATATATATATTTGATTTTGTATATATACAAAATATATATATTTGATTTTGTATATATACAAAATATATATATTTGATTGTGTATATATACTATATATGTATATACAATATATAGTATATATGTATATGTATATACAATATAGTATATATACATGTATAGTATATATGTATATATAGTATATATACAATATGTAGTATATATGTATGCATATATATGTATATAGTATATATATACACATATATAGTATATATGTGATATACATATAGCATATATCCTAACAGAGATATTTGCAGTGATATTGGATAGACATTGATGGATGTATAACTCTGAAATGGAAAATGCTAACTCCTTAATGAAATGTTCCAATGTCAAGAGGAAGAAAGCACACACACTTCCAAAAAGAAGGTAGTCACCAATCCTGTGGCAACCTTCAATACTGCATTCTATGGGAATCTGGTAAGGTATGTCAGCATTCGATCTGAATTTGAAACCGCTTCCCTAGCTCCTTTTACTTTTCCAGTCTTGGATTCTTTTTTCTGTCTGTTTCTGTGGTGCTGAAATATCTGGACCTAATCAGGCTTGTCCCTCTGGAAGTTTAGACTAAGTGTTAGTAGTAACAACCTTCTGGCAATGAGACAGAATACCTCTATCTCATTTATTCCCACTGAAAACTAAACATATATTTCATCATTATTGGTAGTAATATTGCCAGGCACTGTGAAAAATGCATCATATGGAACTTCTGATTTCAATTCTTATAACACTATTCATAAGTTATTTTATTATGCTCATTTTACAGATGTGAAAACTGGGGCTTGAAGAGATTAGAGCCAGGATTAAAATTTAGGCAGTATGGTTTCCAAGTCGAAGTTCTTAATCACTTTCCTATGCTATTTTGCGTTACTGTCATTTCTTTGATTGTGCTTTCAGGAAGCTTGAGTGAAAAATTCTACTATTCAGAAGGATCTCTAGGTTATTGGGATGAATTTTAGAGAGAAACTTGTAGAAGTGGGTGATCACTTGTGCTCCTGTACCCATGGTGCATGGGCATCATGGTCATATTTTCCTTTTATTTCATTTACTTTTTTTATTTTTATGGATTAAAAGGTACAAAGCATTTACAATCATGTGTAAGGCTTAAAACAAAAAAAAAGAATCTGGTGATGAATGATATTTTATTACATTCCTCTATTTCTGCACATAAACAAAAAAGGTAAAAGTTGTTCCTAGCCATATTATGCAACTTCTGGATTATTCCAGAAAGTAGCCTGCCACTGAGGCGTAGTTATGTTACATGGGTATATTGTGTGGTGGTAAATTCTGGGCTTTTCGTGTACTCATTACCCAAATAGTATGCATTGTGCCCAATAGACGTTGAAGGCCTCACTACCAGCATGGTTTTCCTTTATAGCCACTAGTCAGGATTTAGATTATTTCCTTCACTCATTAAGAAACATACTAGATGCCAGGTTCTGTGCTAGGTGTGTGGTGTGTATCAGAGAACCAGAAAGAATGCAGAGCTTATCCTCTAGAAGGAAAAAAAGAAATTGAAAAATAACCATAACAAATAATTATGAGTATGACGATTGTATCAAGAACAATTGCAAGGTATAATAACAGCATGCGACTGTGGATTCTTCCCTAACTTCAGGGGAGAGGAAGAAAAGCCTCTCTAAAAAATGGGGATTGAAATTGATATCTGAAGGATACTGGGGGTTAGTGTTCCTATAAGAAGAAACAGCGTATCTGTAAACCCTGAAGAGAAAGGAGCATGGCATTTCCAAGAAAAGAAGAAGACAAGTTTAAGATCAGGCCAGGTTTTCCCTGAGTCTGAAACCTCATTTACACATTTCCTTTTGGACTTCCGTCTTAAATTTGCCCAACCTTGGACTGACGATTTGCTGTCGTATTTAATCTCCTTTCAGATGCTGGTGTCAGGTTTAAATTCTATTACACTTCTTTGCACTTACATTTAAGAAAGTTTACCATCTCTACATATGGAGCACACAGAGGGCAGGGAAAGTTAGCCTGTCGTTGAGGCAGGGTTGTATAATAATAATTAGTTCAAGCTCTAAAGTCAGACTGCTAGGTTAAAATCACAGATTTACTTACTTCCTGGCTTTGTGAACTTAGCGTGTTGCTTTGACTTTCTGTGCCTATTTTTCTCATTTGTAAAATGTAAATAAAAAATCTTACTTATGAAAGATTAAATGTATAAATAATATGTGGGGCACTTACAAAAGTACTGGCACATAGTAAGAAACCAAGTGTTAGCTATTAGCATTATACAGTGTAATTAGGGGCTTAATATATGTTTTCTGATAGGAAGATCGTAATTACAATGAAATCAGTGTTGATGGAATTTCAGCTTAGCAAGAATGTTTGAAGATATTCTTGCATTCTTTGATCTGAATTCAACTGTTTGCCTCTAATTCCCAGGAGATGCTATTGGAATTTTTGTTGCTTTTGTGGGGAAAAATTACGTATCCACTTTTGGTCAAGTGGTCATGTTTTGAGTTTTCATTTTGGCTAGTGCTCTGCAATATAGGAGACTACATATTTATGTATTCTAATTTTGTAATAATAGTGATTATTATTAAAACCATTTTCTAAAATTTATGAGTACATTTAACTTGATAACTTTAGAAACTGACACTAAGGATCAGTGAATCTTTGATAGTCACAGATGGTAAGAAGCAGAGCTATGATTTGAACCCAGGTGTTTTGCATCCAAAGCCCTCCCCTTTGCCTCTCATACCCCGTTCTTCTATTTGCATGTACTTAGGCCTCCTGCAATCTGCTCTGGACAAACCATTGTTTAGAAGCGTCAATCCAGTATCCTTTCCTTCAAGTAATTTCTTCAGAATGGCATTGTTGGTTGTATAATTTTCATAAAATGAATTTAAGCTAAAAGTCAACATGATGGCTATAGGGCCTTTCCAATACACTGTTCATAATTGAATATATTTATATAAATGTGTTCTATAAATGCTTCTTCCCACAAAAGTTGCTAGAGATAAGAGATTTGCTTTTCAAAAGGTCTGTGGTTGAATTCTAGTAAGCCTGATGGTTCTTTCATCATCTGCTGTCTCCTCACACTTGTGAAGAATAGCACTGGTTACATAGCATTCCCTGAGTGTAACCTTTTTGGCAAGGGAAGGCACAGTTCTAACTGGACTGCCTGTGTTGGGGTGATCAGACCCAACACCAAGTCGTGCGGGTGGACAAAGACCGGCGGAGTCAAAGGATTGAGAAAAAGACAGTTCGAGAAACAAAGCTGGGACCCGGTGGGGTGGGGGGGCATCACTAGTGTATGGAGGTTGTGAAGGCCCCGAGCTCTGGGAGCACATGCTATTTATTGGTAATCCAACAAAGAAACAGGTGGTGAGAATGTGGAGGTCAAAAGGGTAGGCACATGATCTACAGCTGTGACGGTTTAGCATTTATAAGGAACATGTTCTGCTATTTGAGATAATGGGAATACAATCGATCTAGGGCTAGAAGCAAGGAGCCAGAAAGTCTAGACACATTCCAGAGGACATTATGCAAGCCCTGCCTCAGTTTCCCTCCCAACACTCAGCTTTTTCCCAACAGCCTAACTACTAGGAAACACTTCTATTATAAAATACTTGGTATAATTGAAGTTGTGAGCTCTGAATCTTTTTTGATATACACCATCATAACAGGAAATAAAATGTGAGCATGCACACCAATTTATATATAATTGTTTACTTATAAATTGCATGCATGTACAAGTGTTCATACCTAAGAAAAATGCAAAGTTTTAACAGTAGTTTAGATTAAGTTGGAATTAGCTATATTTTTAATATCTTAGAAATTGCAATGTCTTTATACTATCATTAATCCCAGCTAACTTATTATGAGTGGACTTAAGTCCATAGTGCAATATTTTTTGATAAGTTTGGAATTTTATGGTTTTATTTTCTGATTAGACTGTTACTATATTTACCTTATAAATTGGCTGAATGTTTATAATAGAAATTAGAGAAAATTACTTCTTTAATTTTCTTGTTCATTGGTGTTTGTATAACTTACATTTTGCTTTATCTTCAAACTGGTGTGCTTGGAAGGAATTTATTAAAGTCATTTATCTACTTCATAACATTTATTTAGTGTAAGTCCAGTAAGAGAAACTATAAGTTTATTTAAGCATGTGCTGCGGAAAAAGAAAGAATGAGTTATGTCATTTTTATACCTATGTATTGTAGCACTCACTCTCTTGTGTAAAACTACATTGGGTACCTTATGTATGAGTGACCATATATGAGTGACAATGAGCATGTTGTATATCCATGAAGATTAAAGATTTCCTTAATTGTAAAATGGCCTATTAATAAATAGAATATCTGTTTTCTTTTGGCATACCAGTTATTGTATTGTACTCCACCACTGGTGGCAGCACCCCATCTTGAGACTGCCAAAAGAGATTTTAGTGATGATGGCATCAAATACTTTGATCCATTAAGCCTTGTAGTATCAACTAGCAGCTGGAATTATTTATTGGCAAGGGTAAGTATCTAAAAGGGATGACTTTTCAACTGGCACAACTATTTATTGGGCACTTACTAAATGTCAGGCAAATGCTTGCCTCCAAAGATATAAAAATTATCAAATCATGGTTTTGGCTTCAAAGTAACTCAAAGTTTAATAGGAGAGAATAGTATATAAAAGAAAAGCTATTATTTATCATGCAGTGTGGTATCTGCTATGATATAATGATACACAGGAGCAAAGAGGACCTGACAGAAGGTGACAACGCTTGAGCTGATTTCTGAAGAATAAGCAGGAGTTAACTACACACAGAAGTAGGTGAAGGGTAGCCGGAAGAGAGTAGATACTTTTTGATTGTCACCAAAAAGCTGTGAGTTAATATGCTTAAAAAGCAGGTAGGCAGTGGAAAAGCTGGTGTTAACATGAACGTATTCTTGATCTTCTACCATGTTACCTTGTAAAGTGGATGAAGAAGAGAGGTTTCGTATTTACTTGAACAGGTTTATATATGTGTGTATATATATGTATATACATATATGTGTATATATATGTATATACATATATGTGTATATATATGTATATATATATACTTATATACATATGTGTGTGTGTATATATATACACACATATATGCATACATTCACAACTGGAAAGCCATGAACAAGGCTCATTTTCATAACATGGGCCTAAATTTTGAAAACTGTATCTCATAGAACACTAATCCTCAAAAGCGCTTACTGGCAAATGGTTCCATAATTAAATAAGCTTGAGAAAGGCTGAATATGCTGTTTCCCTTTTGTAGATTTACAATACACATTATCATAAACAGGGTTCTGAGAAATCCTGCAATAAAAAAAAAAAACTTTACTTTTGCTTAACTTATTGGTTGCCAAATGCGTTAAATGTGGAATATATTTCAGCCCAAATCAGTTGGAATACCTCAGAAAAAAATAGTGTAGCCAGCATCTTAGTAGAACAGGCATAGACATCTTGGGTTAAGTCAGGTTTAACTTTTTGGTCTAACTGCATTCATTCATAAGCGCAACAGCCACTACTTCAAAATTAGAATAACAATCATTACATTATCATGTAGATTTTCATTTTATTTCTTGGTACTCTTTAGTTATTTTATATAGAATCATCAACACTATGGAAAGTGTTTCTGTGATTAACCTAAACCAAGACACTCTCTTAAAATCCAATATAATATCAAATTATGTGACAATTATGTAGCATGCTTAATCCAAGGTCATTTCAGTTTCTATCATTCTTGTATTTTAAAAAAGCATGAACTGAGAATTTGCACATGTCAAAGACACAATGACACTTCATTATAAAAGAAATGCCTAACAACTTAGCTTCTCTCTGTATATATCAGAATTCTTTGGAGTTGCAAGTGACGAAAGTAAAAGTCAAGCTTAAGCCACAGGCCCTGTCTCTTCTGCTCCATACATCTGCAGAACAGCTGGTGACATATCTAAGATCATTCTTAGAGCTGCAGATCCTAAATTATGGTTTTCTTGCTAGGTCCTGCCAGGGGCTAATTGGCTTTAGCCAATCACTGTGTAGGGTGCTGTATTCAGGTCTGAGCTGTATGCAAATCACTGAGGTATCCCTGGGATGTGAAGGTGGGTGGTGTAGATGAGAAGAACCACATGATATTCATTAAAGAGTATGGGAAACTAGTTTTCCCATGGAAAGAGTGCTGAGACAGGACAAAAACAATATTTAACTGATGGAGGCTGAAAGAATGAGGGTCGTGATCTACTGAATATACCACTGGAGGCTGTACGAGTAAACAGCAAACTGTTTCTCATAAATGCAAAATGTCAGCAAACTGACAAATTGAGTCTGCCACCCAGAAGGAATGCCGAGGGCAGTCACGCCCCAAGTGCAGTGTTTCTTGCCATTAGGCACATCTGAAGCCTGTTAGTAATAATATAAACCTGTTATCAATTAAGCAGCCGACCAATCGTTACCTGCTCCGCCCTGCTCTTGCTACACAATAAATAGGAAGGGCGGTAGACGCTCAGAGGTTGCCTTTGCTCACTGAAAGCGGGGAGCTCCTTTCTTTTTTCTCTGGATCTTTCCTTTAAAATAGTTTCTTTTGTCTTAAGTTTTCATTTCTATGTTCTTTCTTTTCGTCTCATAATGAAGGTCTCAAGTAGTAACAATAGTAACTGTTGTAATGATAGATTCAAGTAGTAACTGTCTTAGTGAGGGTCTCGAGAAGTAATCGTGGTAATCAGCCACATTTAACTTTTGCCAAATGCCTCCTTCGAAACCAAAGTAAGTTGTGAACAGACTAAGCAAGAAGACTTTTTTAGATAAAACTATATCCATAGGCTTCAAATAGAACTAAAGATAGCAATTTGAACTACTTAAACTTCCAAGAGAGACTTGTCTTTGAGTACATATCTTTTAAAGAATTTTAAGTAACAGGTAGTTAACAAAGAAGCATTTTGTTTTTTGACAATCTAGCAAACCTAACAAACTTAATAGCAAGACGCCGTTTTTATGTAAGCCTATGATAGAGAGAAAACATTTTGAGAAATTAGACTGAAGCCTTACACTTCGAACGAAGAATTCCAATTCAAAGTGGAAGTCACAGCCAATCCACAGAAGTACCTTACATTTTCCTAAAAGTGAACCTTACTCTCTTTTTACAAGTTCTTATTTTATGCAAACAGACTTGCTGCAAATGCCCTTATACCCAACAGAAATGTGGCAATAGCTAAAATAGCCTGGCCATTCAGACTCCTTGGCTGAAGCTTGTTTAGAGTTTATTTGAGCAGCCCTTTTCCATCCACCTGTACCTGTTCTATCAAGAAATTACTAAGCCATTTAAAACACATGTTATAAGCAACTACAGGGAAAAGGAAATCAGTTTGAGGCTTCTACCTTATTCGTAAGTTATTTTCACGTTCATAAGAAATTGTCTGCAGAAACTTAAAAAATTAAGCCAATTTACATAAGGATAAACCACAAGGAAAACAAAAGACTTCAGCATTTTGCTTTGAAATGCTTTCTGTAAGTAAAGCATTCTCCGGTTTTTGGAAATTTTTGATTACCATCTAGCTTCCCTCTGGGAGGCTATATATATTTTTTTTGCAAGTTTGTGCGTTTTGTTTTAATCAGAAAGCAAATTAAATTTCAGTAAAGCTTATGTAAGGAGTATTCACATTTAAGAGGAAAGAAGACTGTAGCTTTGTAGTATGAGGCATACAAAAAACAGGAATATGTGAAAGTAGTGCTTGGATATTTGAAAAGGCTCCATTTCTAAAATAAGGCATAACAACCTAAGGCTTAGATTTAGTATAGTAAACTTAAGGAAATATTGAAAATTAAAAATTAAGTTATAGCCTGGAATATGATCACTTATAATATGGTATTTGTGGATATCAATATAAGCTATTGGGTTTTTAACTTAAACTTATTTACTATAATTTTTTGTGAATTAGGGGAGGCAACTGTTGACCAAAAGACAAAGTCAAATTAATGCCTGCTCTGTTTTTGTTCACTTTTGAGGAAGATAAAAGGGGAGTGATCAAGTGTTGTAAGTTTTTCTTCTAAAATTTTTTAAACAGTTAATGGAACTTCAAACTTCATGCAGTAAACATAACACTAATTTCTTAATATACCTAATATATACTACGTTAGCTAAGGTCTAGATAAAATTGTGTGTATATATGTCAGTATAGCAGTAACGTGGAGATCCAGACAAGTCTTATAAAATGTTCCATCTCATCAGCTACTACTGATCTTTCGGCATCTTGTAGCATCTAAGTAAAAGTGTTAAAAATAGCCAAACCATCCAAGAGTCAAAAGAAAAATCTAAGATGCAGCTGTAGCTCCTGCTGGTTGAACTGAGTAAGAAAAGTGAAAAGGTGAGAGAAGGGCTCCCAGGTCTTTGGATTTTTCTGTCTGGCACTATTTCTTGTCATTAAGATTTCTCCTAATGCCTTATAATAAATGTACAACAGGCTAAGGTCCCAATAACTTCAGTCTCAACATTTTGACTTTTATAACAGGCTTCTCCCCACCTCCCATCACAGAATCCCACTTTCTCTTTTTTTTTGTCTGCTAGCTGGGCTGCAACCCACGTACTCTGTAGATGCAGAATTGCATATATACAGGCCCTCGACAACTGGTAACTGATACTAACCACAGACTATATAATACTTGGCCTTCCTTTTTACCCCATATCTGTTACTCAGTTGTCTTCATTTGAGTATCTATTCTTTGGCTAGCTATTGATAAGACAAACAAAGCAGGAGCTGTGTTCCCAATTAGAGTGCAAGTACCTCATGGTTTAGCTGAAAACACGTAATCATTTCTGAGAATAGAAAATACATTGGGTTCTTTCCTGCCTCTATTTACGTTCTTTTAAAAATTACCAACATACCCATATCCAGTTCCAATATAGACCTATTATATCAAGATTTCATGATGAGGCCTCGACATCAGTTTATTTTACAATTCCCCAGGTGATCTTGATTTGCAACCAGCGCTAAGAACCACTCATCTAATTTGCAAACCCTGAGACTGGCCACAGTGTTTTGATTGTAAACCTTATCTGATCTGTAGCAAGCTGATATCCCGGGAAAGAACTCCAAATGTAGCATCATCAATTAAGGCTTCAGATTCAGTTTCTATTCTATTTTTGTCAAGATGTGAATAAACAACTACCATTTATTCGTATACAATTAAGAGTTCTTTAGAAAATGTGTTTGTGTTTGCTCTGCAGTTTTTTTATGATCTTGCTTCTGCTTAGCATTCTAGTTTTGTCTCTTACGACTCTCTCCCTTGCAGCCTAAGACCCGGTCATACTAAACTGCTGGCAGTTTCCCAGTTAGCCTGTGTTGCTGCTGCTGCCTGAGCCCCTCTCTCTCCTTGTCATGTAATTCCTCTCCATTCTCCAGGACTCAGTATAAATGCTACATGGCCTGTATAGATATCACCTAGTCTACTAAATATTTCCTTGAATCCAAGTCAAATTCTGGAGCCTTCCTATGACTCTCATTATACCTTATGGTTCCCCTGTCACAGGGGTTATCACATGTTCTTGCCTGTTTACTGCTTTGTATTACTCTCTGGATTATAAACTTGATGAGGACAGAAAACATACCTATATTGGTCACCTTGTTATCCCCACTTTCTAGCATAATGTCTTACATGTACTGGATGCTCAATGTCTTAAATGTATTTGAATACAGATTTTTACTTGTACACATAGATGTGGAGTACAGTAGCAATTATCTAGATATTGCAAGTCCAAATTACTGTCACATAAAATATCCAAATGATTACTTCCCTTGTAAGAAAACCCTTTGATGCCAAATGTCATGTACTTGAGAACTAAGATGTCTCTTCTCTCCCACTTACTAGATCTGATTCCTTAAGAAAATTCTTTTACTTTCTTGGGCTCCAATTTGTAGTTTGGAGACCCTAACTGCCAGAAAGCTTAGGAATGAACAGCACAGGTTCTTAGGATTTGCTGGTTTCATCTTTGAGGACCCATGACATAAGTTTATATGAGAGATGCGTACCATGAAACCAGGTGTTTCTGCTGCTTCCAGGTAAAGGACTGGCTTGGGCTGTGCAGTGTCATCTCTGGCAGATGGTGCTTGAGCAAATGGCCTGGTATACCTCTGGGAAATGATGTTCCCAATAGTGAAAACCAGAAGTCCCAGAAATGTGCTCTCTAGCTTCTTGGAACCCCCCAAATTCCCCACAGTGGCTACTAACCACAAGGTGTGAGCAATGTGCTTCGTGTTAAAGCAGAAATAATGTTCAAATAATAGCCTAATAAACTAGTCATTACTTGTAATTGCTGTGTTAGCACTTTAAATTGCCATTCTCACGGCTAGTTTTCATGAAGTGACTCTCAAACTTACAACACTTCCCTACTTTGTCAAAGATCAAGTTGCCATAGGAATATTTTGGTTTTCTTTTGAGAATCCATAATTTTGTTGAATTCACTACAGAGGAACTATGTGCTTCTTTAACGAATTAAAATTTAAATCTGAAACCACTTACTGGGCCCAGTTTACCCTCTGCTAAATTCAAAGCTCCTTAGCATATCAAAGTGATAAGAACGCAGAGAGCATAGTGCAAGAGACAGCCCCAACTGTATAATGAGAGATCTAGGACAGTTGGAATTTGAGGCAATGCTTACAGTGCCCAGGGCAATTATGATTTTGAATATTCTGTGTTTTTTATTGTTAGGTATAAGAAACTCTAACACTACTGTGCTGTGTCCCTGGCTGTCTTGCATATTCTTGGACAGACTGTATCCTGTTTTTTTAATTTGGATTTTGAGAGGTGTTCCTTCTATTCTTGATGAAATCTGTTTATATCAACTTACAAATTCCTGAAATTCCAGTGATGCTGAGTTATTGGAAAGAAGCAGTAAAATAGAACAAAACTATGTGCTGTGGAACTTGAATGACTGTGGTTGGAATCTAGCTTAATCCTAGGCAGGGTTTGAAATCTCATGAAATCTCCCTTTTAGGTTATTGTGAAGATTGAATGAGATCGTAAGTGAAATTTGAGATCATTAGGATGAAATCACCTCTAAGAGGTAGGAATTTATCTGTTCCCTGCTGTGTCTCCAGTGCAAGGTATTCACTTCATAAATTTTTTGGATAAATATATGCAAAATACCAGCATTTGATGTGCATACACTTGGTGCATAGAAGTAGTCAATAAATGAAAGTTGTTAGAATTGTTTCCAGAATCAGTGGACAAATGAGAAGTCTATTTAGTAGACAAAAGTTAAGAATGTAAAATGCTGTTAAATTTTTGGAAAGAAACTTTTCTGCAGAGACGGAGGGATTTGTCATATGTTTTATGAACTTGACCCAATACTGTATCTAGCTATATTCTTTCTGATAGTTTTCAGTCTTCACTTTGGAGAAAACTATACTAGCTGATGGTGTTGTAGTCATGACCTCAACTGCATCTGTGATTGGAATGTGCCTCAACTAACCACCACAGCCAGAACTCTTCTGAAATGGTTTTCACATAGCATCCTGTGTAGGAAAAGGAAAGCAGGAGAAGACGACCTTGGAGAAAGGAGTTAGCTAAAAGCTGGAACTGAGAAAGAGGTTAGCTAAAAACAGAACTTTGTTTCAACCATCCTTGTATTTCATCTATACTTCTTACTGATGAGTATGTTGAGCCCACCACTGTCATAACATGTACTACAGTGTGTTTTCAATATTTTGAAAAAACTCATCTGTAGATTAATGGTATTTATTACTCTTTCAACTTATATAAAATCACCAAATTGAACATTTGCCCCACTTACACATGTTATTCCTCTATGTGAATGCATTATATCAACATGTATGAATTACATGAATATTTTAAGTTGTAGACATCATGGCATGCTACCCCAACTCTTTAGGTGTTTAGCACTTACAGTGGAATGCCTGGGCTCTTCTACATAACCACGAAGCAATGGTACACCTAAGACATTTAACAGTGTTATGAAGGGTGGTATTTCGGTTCATATGCAATTGTTTCTAATTAGCATAGTAGTGTTCTTTTAACTGTTATTCTGGAGTATGGAGGGGATTAGAACCCTATCAGTGATCACACATTACATTTGATTGCCGTTACTCTTGTAGTATTTTAACATTGAACTGTTTCCCAGTGGTTTTTCTTGAATGACATTAATAGCTTTTGAAGAGTTTTTAGATTGTCTTGCAGAATATCCCTTACTTAGGATTTATCTGATTTCCTTATGATTAGATATTAAATATTTTGCTGTCAAGACTCCAGATATGGGGCTTTAACCAAAGTGTATTTTATTTCTTTGGTTGTCTTCCCTACCAGCATGTGAGTTCCTTACAGACAGGAAGTATGTCTTACTCATTTTTGTAACCTCAGAACTGAGTATACTGCCAGGCACATGGTACCAATAACTCATTGCCTTCCCTCAATTTGTTCCTCCTTTTTATTCAGAATTTTAGTTGCTTCACTCAGCCACCCACACTAGAGAGCTAGTTATACTTGACCCCTCACTCTTCTCTCCTTCCATCTCAATCTAATCACAAAGCCCTACCTTTTTACCTGATGAATATTTCTCCAACCATTTCCTCATTTCCATTCCTGCTTCAGCCTTCACTGTCTCCAGAACTATTAAAACAGCCCACAAACTGACCTTGCTGCCAGGCTTGGCCCCATCAAATCCAGCTTCAAGACAGTTTTTAGTGATCCATCTGAAAAACAACCCTGATCATGTTGCTCTCTTGATTTAAAAATCTTCAGAGGCTTCAGTGACTTATGGAATGGAGTCCAACCGCTTTAGCCTTGATGAAGAAGTTCTCCATGATCTGATTGTCTCCTACCTCCTACCTCATCCCACCTTGTACTTGGTTCCAGTAATGTCAAAGCCCTTGAAATAGACCTGTTAGACCTGCCGCATCAGGCATTATAATGCCTCCTTTACACATTTGGTCTCATTTCATCCTTATATCAATTTGTGACATAAATGGAATTATTTGCATTTTTAGATAAGATTTGAATAATAAGCTAATAAGCGGTAAAATCTAGACTTAAACATGAACCTGAAGCCCTTGCCCTTCCATACTGCAAACATATTTCTTACTCACCATGCTATTTCCTACCTTCATGCCTAGTCCCTATATGCAATGTCTTTCCTCCAGCCACTTATCCTTTTTGCCTCGCTAACTCTACCCATCCCGTAGAAATAAGATCTAATATGTTTTATTACCTGCTATGTTGAATTTGATACCACCTTGGGGGTTCTAAAATAGCCTAACCCTAGTACTGTACGTACTATGTTGTAACTTAATGATCATTGACATGTCTACCTCCACTAGACCAACAGGGCTGAGATATATTGGGTTATTCTTGTATATACAAAAGACAGCCAGAATATCGGCTCAGTAAACACATGCTGGGTGAGTACAAGGGATGACTATGGGCCACAGAGCTCTTGATGTTGTCCCATGATGCATTGCTGACTAGGATAAAGGCATGAAGACATGAAGGCATTGCATACACTTAGTGATGTGCAAACACATTACTCTGTTACAGAAGAGGAATTCAAAGTTAATTTTAATTTATACTGGAAAGAAAACTTCAAAGAATGCTTAAATGATTTAAAAATTAATCATAATTCTAATACTGCTATTAGTACTTTTTGCCTTTTATATTTCACATACATGCATTTGCTTTGTTACACTCGGGATAGAATTTGTTCTATGTGCATAAACATAACTATATATGTTGGCATAAACACAAACACAAACTACATATATATATAGTTACATATATATGTTGCTATTTTCATCGATTGTGGTACTTTTAACATTTCTATATATCCTTCATAATTATCATTTTAATGATTACATATTTTTCTAGGTTGAATTTATTAAATCTTTTCCTTTAATCTTGGACATTTATGCTATTTTCAGCCTTTTGGCATCGTAGATAAGTGTTCTGTGCATATATTGTTTGTTGAATAATTAGAAATTCTAGAGAATAAAATTACCGAATCAGTCTATAAATTATTATGCTTAATTACTGTCCAAAAGAGGTATGCCAATTTATAAGATCACTATAAATAAATAAATGGATTCCTTACTTTCACTGGCAATGAATACAATATTTCTTAATCCATTTGCTTTTTTAATAGGTGACTAAAGGTATCTTCAGGTTCCATTTGGGATAGTGTTTCCTCGGTATTTGTTTATTAATATTTATGTAATTTTGATGTTCATGTCATTGGCTTACCCAGCTTTTTCACTTTGAGATTTCCTTCTGAATTTTAGTTATTGTTATACAAAAAATTTAATTACAATGTTTTCACTTAGTAGAGGCTTTCTGTATTTATAGATTTAGTTGGGGCAATGTGTTTCCCGAGTTTCTTCTGTGGATTATTACATTGTGTAAGGCATGCCTCTAACACTTGTTTCCTAAATTGTTATATTTTAATCCTTATTAAATGTCTTACCCCTTTTTTGGAAAGCTGATTTGTTTTGGATTTATTTCTAATTTTCCTACCCCTTCTCACTGAGGTGGCTTTGTGTTTCTGCCAGTACATGCAGTTTTAAGTTCTAAAACTTCTTTGTAAGTTTAATGTCTAATGTGATTAGATTTTTTCTTTTTATTTTCTATTACAGTCACACTTTTCATATTTTTTGTGGAAATTACGTTGATTCTAAAAAATCACATTGCTACTTTGAAGTTGCACTAAATCTGTAAATTTCCCTGGGGTGAACAGATAAGTAATTTTTAGTCCCATTCTGGCAAAAATTATACCTACCTTTATTCTTCTGAAGATTTATAGGTTTCTGTAAAAAAAATACTTTGCTCTTTTCTTGTTCAGTATAATTTTAAGTGTTCTATTGCTTTTAATAAAATGACAGCTAACATTTACTAAGCATGTAATATGCACCCGACATTGTGCTAATTATGTTATCTCAGGTTATTCATAGAAGACCTCCCACAAGGTAGCTACCGTTACTATCACCATAACTCTCCCGAGGAAGCTGAGGTGTAGATTGATCATGTAAGCTGTCTAGGGCCACATGGTTGTTAAATAGTAGAGCTATGATTTGCACCCAGAACTGTCTTTGAAGGCCATGCTCTTAACTGCCGTCCTGTATTTATTAAACTGGAATTAAGAACTATGAAAATGTTGAATAAAAAGTTACTGTGCTATAGTTAATATTTCAACTGGAAAAGAAGTGGAAGGCCACTATCTGTTTGAATATGAAAAAACTCAGTTGTTTAGTAGATCTTTCATACAGTATGACCCAATGAAGTGACATGATTGCTGCTGGGAGAACTCCCTGCCAGAACCTACAATCATCCTCCATAAAAGGAGGGCAAGCTCCGACCAAAGAGTCAGATCACTACAGGTTGGTGGGTAGCCAAAGATTTGTTATGTAGGGGAAACTTACATACAAAGTGGCCGAAAGACGAAGTACATCTCCACCCTTGCAATACCTACCTGTCTAGCCTTCATAGTGGAGTCACTGACCACATGTTAAGCCACTGATTGCTCTCTTAATCTATTTACTGTCTGCTTATGGGGATTGTTTGGGTTCCCTACAATCTGCTAAGCATTACTTAGGGGCTGCTAGGGGAGGCCTATTCCCAGCAGCAGCATTTATCTTGCAGCCAGGATGCTTTCTCCCATCTCACTGTGCTACAACTTCTCAAATCACATACCCAGAACGCGTTTCCACAACAATTTCTTTAAAGTAGTGAAATCCAGCAAAATCCTGTGTTAATAGATACACGTCAGTTTATGGAAGGTGATAGTCCCAGTGGATCAACATCAACAATGTTGTGTTCTTGGCCACATACTTTGAGTAGCTTATATAACAGAGTTGCATCAGGGGACAATATCGTGGTAGATAAAGAGGAGATATGTGGAATAAATGGTTGAGAGGTGGGAACTTTAGGTGTGGTTAAAATAAGACATTTTAAGAGCTACTATGAGCAGGAGGGAAAATATAATGAACAGAAATTTCAAGGAGACAGTAAAATCTTTAAGAATTAGCCAGTCCAACAGTAAAACTGACTTTGCAATTTAGTGTTTCACCTTCTGAAGTGTTTAAGCAGAGGAAAAAGTTACAAAAGTATTCCTAAACTGCAAAGGAAGTTGGCTTAAATTATAGGTTCTTAAAGTGCAAGTCCAGGACCAGTAGCGTCCACCAAAAACCACAGTTAGAAATGCAAATTGGTGGACCCCATTCCGGACTACTGAATCGGAAAGTGAGGGTGGGGTCCACCAGTCTGAATCTTAACAAGTCATGCAAATGCTTCTGATACAGGCTAAGACTGGAGAACTTCTAACCTAGATAAATTCTTAATGGTCCTGTACAGAGTTAAACTGTTAAACTCTTCTTCTTGTCACACAGTATGCTTTTATAGCATTCAATGCAATATCAATCGTATACTGCATCTAAGGGAAGTTAGCTATTGAAATAGCAAAAGGATCTCATTTAAAAAGTGGTTTTAGCCAATAAATGGCTTCATAATGTGAACTATGAAATAACATTTAGCTGAACTTCAGGTATCCCAAAAACGGATGGATGCCTCACATCATACCAAGCTATGTCCACTAGTGGAGGCATGGATCATCCTCATTATAGGTCTAAACTTTTTGCCAAAGGGACACATGAGGAAATGAAGAGAAACCTGAGTTATCATAGTTTAACTCTTTGCTTTTCATCATCATCAAACTGAATTGAAATCCTCAGGAGGTGGGTTGTAGTAGATGGGAAGAACATTGTAGTTTCTCATAGCTAGGAGATAATCAGTGTTGAATTCCCTTGCCGCTTACCCATATGTCTCTCCACGCTGTAAGTTCATTTGGCTTTGGGGCCATGTCTCATCCACCTTTATCTTCCATAGTGCTTAGCATAGTACCTGTGAAAATTAGTGTTCAATCATTGCTTATTAATTGTAATGTGTTTAATTTGGTCAATATTCCAAGTTTAAAAATATCTGTAAGTATTAAATGACAAGAGTAAGAAGAAAATCCTCTAGGCTCCCATAATCAAACACAAACTATTTACATTTTAGAACAATAATTCTCAATCTTTTCTCTCATACTTCATTTTACATGTTTATAATCACTTTTAAAATTCTGAGTTCTACTTTTCCCCTGTATCATTGTGCATTAGAGTCAAATTACACAACATTCAGATATGCAAAGAGAATATAGCTTTATAAGTTGCTAGAGCTAACTTGATTCTTATTAGGTAATTCGGAAAACTTGACAATTCATAATAGCTTAATTTCTTCCAGTTTAAGCAGTCTGTCTATAAAATACTCAAAGTTTAACTCTCCCTCTGTCAGGGTGAGGTTAAAAATAGTCCCTTGGGTGACTGAGCGTATTTTACAGGCTCAGTGTTTTAGATTTGTTTTCCATCTGTTTCTTTACAAGACAATCTGTAGTTTGTGTGTGTGTGGGTTTTTTTTGGAGGGGTAGTGGTGGGAATGGACCGGAAAATGGCTTATGTGGGATCATAAGGATGGGGGGGAAAAAGTCTCAATTTTTTCCTCTTCTATTATATTGCCTGACTTCTACTGGTTCACTGGCTTTCTCAGAGCCCCCACACTCGCTCCCCTGGGCCCACTGGCACACTGGGATTACGAAATGCACATGGGAGTCAGGAAAACTGTTTTCTGCTCGTCTGTCTAACCATCTTTATCAGTTTTACACCATCGCTCCTATATTACTTTGGATTTGGCCCTGAGTTAAAGGTGAAATTTTCTAAGTACAGAAAGGGAAACCACCCCTGCACTTTCAGCTTTCTCTTCAACCTACGGAAAAGTCTCTGATTCCTTATAACATATGCCTGAGAGAGAAGCCAAGACACATGCTTCCCACCTGCTTGCCCTAACTCTCTTCCCTTCCAGTTTGGACTTTTTGTTCACATCTCTCTGCTCGTTTGGATTCTCCCCTGCACCAGCATTGATAGCATGGTTTCCTCTTCTTGCTTGACTTAGAACTACCATACCATACTTTATCCTGTGTTTTTTCTGTCAACCTAAAAAAAAATCAAACCAAACAAAAAATATTGTTATAAGGCCTATCTCTTCATATGAGAAAGGAGGGACTTTAAAATTAGCAACCCATGCTGTTGCTCCAGAAACCTGGCTTTCAGGTTGTCTATGTTCTTAGGAAAGTCTGTTTTGAGACTTACAGCTGATCCATGATGCATGGGGCAGCCCCCACTGTCTCCTTCCCTGAAGAAAAAGACTTAGTTGAAATCTAACATGATTTAATGGGGAAATACGTTCATTAAAAAATTTGATATAATTTTAACATGTATACCATTTAAAATACCCATTTATGCTCTGGTGTTATATACTTAGCACCATAATGGGAGATGAATGTACTTAATCCTTGAGGTGGTATCATTACTCCCATTTTACAAATGATACATTCAGGTTCAAAAATAACTTATTTCACAAAGGCCATTCTTTCAACTGCATCATGCCCAAGATTTAAGCAAACACACATAGTGTAGTTGATTCAAGCATTCCTCCATACGTAGACATTTAACTTGCCTGAAGTTTTAAAGACAGATCTAAAACTGCTAGTACAAAGGCATGGAGCTTCACATTCGAAGAATACTCCAAACCAAATGGGGAAAACACATAGATTAAAAATAGTACTAACATATACATCAACCAACTGCAATAGAACAATCTTATTTTGATCTTGATTCAAACACAATGTAAAAATGTCAGGGAAATTGAACATTGACTAAACGGATACTTGATTATAGGGAATTATTGTTTGTTTTGTAGCTATCAGGCTTTTAAATAGCTCCTGGAGATATATATGCAAAATCATTGTAGATGAAATTAGTCATGCCAGGATTGTTTCCATGTAATGTGAGGTGGAGGATTGGGTGGGGACAAGAAAGGTGGTAGATGAAACAAAATTGATCATTGAGCAAAATTTGATCATTGTTGAAACTGGGTGATGGGTACATGAGGGTTAATTCTTTCATAGTTTTGTATATGTTTGAAACTTTCCATAAAGAAAAGTTCTCAAAAATGGGGTAATAACTAGAACAGCATTCCTTATGCTTTGAGTTCTGATCAAGGGAGTGTTGTTTTTCTAATATTAAGCAAACATGCATTTACGTAATTTGTTTCCAGTCTCTCAACCCCTCACCTTCAACCACTGCAGAGACTGCCATACTCTCCTTCTACATACTACACTTGTCAGATGAAAAATCTTCCTCAATGTGTACAGTAAAGAGAGGTAGTCAGTTCACTTGAGTTATTCATGTGTGAGTGTTGAGGGCATGCAGTCAACACAGCTAGTGAACACAATGGCTGTCTGAAACAGGCCTTGCCAGAGCCTTGTTATTCCACTTCTTACCGCAGTTTTATCATGTGTCTGAGGAAGTGTTTCCCCTGCCAGGCAGGACGGAAATTTGAAAATTAGTGCTAGCTTCAAATGCCGAGGAGGCACACACTGACATCTTCTACCTGTCTCGTTGGTGCAGCCAGGATGCCCTGCAGAGTGTCTCATTAACACCAGGGGCTTAGCCCAGGCAGGGTGCCCCAATTTGCCTGTGCATCCTATCTAGGCAGTCTTTATTCAAACCATGAAATATCCTCAAGTCACATTGCATTAGACCCTTAAAGTGTACCTGTTTTCTTTAGAAATGTTTACGGGATTTTTCTCATCACGGTGCTACTGAACTAGGTATCTGGCAAATTCAGCTGCAGTGAGACAAAGTGGCAATGTTTCATTAATAACTTTCACTCTCGATATTAATCAGAACTCTTATTTGTATAATAACATTTGTTAAAGGGAAGAAGGAAGAAAATAGGCAAAGATAACATATATGGGGGAGAGGGGAAGAATAAAGAATATAAGATGATATTGATTGCAGAACATGAATGAAGCAAGTACATTATCTTGATTATAGTGGGAGTCTGAAATGGAGACTGAAAAATAGATTGAATATATGAATTTTTCCATAAGACACATGATGAGAATTAGAGTAGGGAAAAATATCCTCTTGAATTTGTACCTTTCTTTCATATCCTAGACATGCTAATAAGAGGTTCAAGATGAAAGATGGTGGACTTTGGTTATAACACTTCCTCTTCTATAGCTTCTCTACAAAACTCAAAACAGTATGCCATTAAAAATATTCATATGACAGTCAAAGACATAGCTCATCCTCAAACTCCCAGCATATACCAGTGACTTTTTCATCTTTTTCCAAAATTTGTCAGATTTTGCTGTTTTATACAAGTTGACAATTAATATGGAGCTGATTGATTTCCTCAGGGTAGAGCAAAAGGGAGCAAGTTGTAGGGGTGATAGTCATGGAGATTAACATTAATGGGGTGAATTTTCTACTCTGAAGCATGTCCTAATCATGTCTGTTCTTAAATGAACCAGAGTTTTAAATTGAAAGCAAATGGAAGAAAAGGAAGTAAATAATATGTAGATCCTGACTCATCGGAACTAACATTTGTAATTGTACTAAGCTTCGTGCTTTATACACTGTATTTGATTAAATCCTTAGAAGTATGTATGTAGGTAAATTTTATTCTCCCCATTTTACAGATGATGAAACTGAAAATCTAGAAGTTCAGTTACTTGCCCAAAACCATACAGCTTAGGAAGTCACAGAGCTAAGCTTTAAAACCAGCTCTGTCTGAATCTAACACCTGTTTTATTTCTACTGCACCTCATTGACTCACTGCAAAGATCATGCTAAAGTAGTTCATGGGTTTTGAAAATATTATTCCAGGTACTACGGAGTTTATAAACTTTTTGAGTTACAATAATTATAACTATAAATTTGTATGTTGTAGGGTAAGGTGTCATGGAAAAGGAAAATATATGTAAATTATAATATGTCGCTAACAATATGTGTGGTCCTGAACTGATAATTCTCTGGGCTCACATCTCTGCCAAATATAAAGTGATTTGATTAGATCAAATATATAAATCATATTTTTCTTCCATGATTTACTTTTTCTTGTTGATGGATTTTACATCTCAAGTCAGAACTGAGACTTTAAAACATCTGAATGCTCAGTTGGGCTGGACTTAAATTATATCAGCCTTCCATGTCAGCCAATTTTCCTCTAAGTAGCTCTTAACTACACACGCACACATACCCAGCACCCCTCTATATTCTACATACCTAGCATTATTTTTATTCAAGGAAGGACAATTCAGAGCAGGTTTTATACACAGAAGCACACAGGTAAAGAGTTCCAAGCAGCTCACTCACTCCGTACAGTATGAACATTAAGACAACAGCCAGTCTATCTACTGCACTGTTCTCTGACAATTTTTGTGAACTAAGTTACGTTGATCTGGACCCTGGTCCAGAATTCTTGCCACATTGTATGAACCTGTGCTGACCTCTTCCACCTCATAACTCTGAGAAAACAGTTTATGAGGTGCAATAGACAGAATAGATGCTAGATTCAGACACAAAGATGGTCTTGGATCTCTTTTGAGGGAACATTTTTCAGTCAACAATAGTGGTAGCTTTTTTGGAAAGTTTTAGACCTTCAGTTTTACAAAGGAAATGCTAACAGTAGTGCTGTGGTATTCTACCTAGAGGACAAGACACAGTTGGATGAAGTCCTCTCTGCTATAGATACTGTCAATATGTGACTGTCTTTCCTGCCAAATTGATAACTTCCTGGGTAGAATATATACTATAGGTCAATTCCTCTACCTCTATAGCATCTAGCTCAGTGCCTGATATAATAGGCAGTAGATCAAAGTAGCAGAGTATATTTTTTAGTGGGAAAATAAGTGAATTTTGGAGCCAGACACCCCTGGGTTCAAAATACTGGCTCTGTTAGTCTGTTTTGGGAAAAGTCAGTTAAATTATCTGAGTCTGTTTCCTTATCAGTAAAACAGGAATAATAAAGCTTCCTTTGAATGTTGTCTGAGATTTTAGAAACAGTCAAGGCAAAGCAGCTATTAGGTAGTAGACACTCAATGTATTATAGCCAACAGCAGCAGTATTTGAAGTTGATAGCGCTCAGTTAGTATTGGAACAATGGATTTATTATAAATCTCTATTATGACATGGTTCATAATTCAGATAAAGAAACTGCCATGAACCTTTCGAGGGGAAAGAAAAAAGATTTTAATAATGAAGAGCCATCTGTCTTGTGAGGTAGTGAATCCCTGTCCAAAAAAAAAAAAAAAAAAAACTTCAAGCTGTCTTTTTGAACAACCACTTAAAGTTGAGAAGGAAGTTACATTGGACCATTGCTAGGAACCTTCCAATTCAGCAGTTTTTGAAATTCAGACTTATTTTTAGTAGTGAAGGCTTCCCGGTCAAACACTGAGCCTCATTGTTCAAGATAAACTATTAGTAATTTGCCTTTGCTGCAACTGCATTCTATGGAGAAATTGAAGAGACTGCAGCTAGCTTCTAATGAATCAATCTGTTTTGCTAATAGCAGCAAAAAAAATAAAGAAGGCAAAATTTAGTTTATAAGGAAGGGAGTGATAATCATTCAACATTTGATTTATAGTCAAAATGCAGTGAAAGAAGGAAAATGGTTTTGAAAAAGTCTCCCAGGATGAAAATAGTTCACCTTATCTCATGCTGATTAGCACATGGACTCAAGCTTGGCACATGTTTTAATAGTTTGTTTTCAAAGAGTGGCAAATGTATAGAGGATGGAATGTTCAGCCCATCTAAGACCCCATGGAGCTGATCCTCCAGTATATCTCACAAGGGGGTGGGTCAGAGAGGGACACTCCAAAGAGGAAAGACAACAGAAATGGAAATTCTCATAAGCCTAACACCACGTAAGGGAGGCACTGGCATTTGTGTCTATTAAGGAACAGAATTTTAATTGGGAGACTATTTAAAGACTAATCTTTTGTGCCTGATGAAATGACATCAGGAGACTTGCCATGATTGAGTTAGCCTTCACTCAGAAGTATACTCCATAAAGATATAAAGATTTTCTTCCCTTCTCAGTGGTCAACAGCATATCCACCCAGATGTAATACTGTTTATATACAGAGTCCAAAAGACTTACATGTACTCAATGGAATTATAAGAGATAGCACTGTTACTGTGTCCTGCTCATCTTTTTACATACACACACACACACCTGTTACACTCATCCTTCAAGGCAACCTAGATGGCATCTCCTTTGTTAAGCTTTATTTTTTCCCTCTTGTCTTCCCACTGTTAGTTGCGCCTCTTTTAGAAGTATATGCAATAACGTGTTCTCTTAAATTTTGCCCAAATAAAAATCCCAGATCACCTTTGCACTTAGTTTATATATAGAACTTCTTAAGCTTTTTAAAATTGCGTAGTCAAGTGTATTGGCCTTTTCCTTTTATTAGCCCAATTTCTTAAAATTAAGGGTGCAGCCTTATTCCTCTGGGAAACATTTATAGAAAACAACTTTATGTATGTTCAGTTTGTAGATGCCCACGGCCTACTTATACTTGTTTTTCAATTTGGTGAGCCAGAGGAACAATTGTTCATATAGAGGTCCGTCCTCTTCCCCTTGCTTACTAAAAGGGTCCTTGGCTTTGCCCTAAACTTCCTCCCTCCCCCTTACTCCCCGACAAAGGAAGATCTTTCCTTGCCAAACTCCTTTAAGATTTCGTGCTACACAATCAAAAAGAATTGTAGACCTAGAGAAGGAAATTCAGAAGGTTTATTTGGAAGAGATTTAGTGACAACTTCTAGAGAGCGAACAACTATGGTGTCTGAGGGAAGTGAATACAGAAACAAATAGAATTTTAAAAATATTGCTGTGGTTTGCGAATATTCTTCAGTATCTGAAAAATACATGCAAAGAGGCTGCTTTTCTTTGAATGTACATTTTGTTTGTTGGAGTGTTTGATTTCAACACTGCTTGGGTCTACTACATATGTTATAATTTTATAAGCAAGGCTTTTTTTTTTTTTTTTGAGACGGAGTCTCGCTCTGTCGCCCAGGCTGGACTGCAGTGGTGCAATCTCGGCTCACTGCAAGCTCCGCCTCCCGGGTTCACGCCATTCTCCTGCCTCAGCCTCCCAAGTAGCTGGGACTACAGGCGCCCACCACTACGCCCGGCTAATTTTTTGTATTTTTAGTAGAGACTGGGTTTCACCGTTTTAGCCGGGATGGTCTCGATCTCCTGACCTCGTGATCCGCCCGCCTCGGCCTCCCAAAGTGCTGGGATTACAGGCGTGAGCCACCGCGCCCAGCCATAAGCAAGGCTTTTTTAAAATTTATGAATATGAGCAGGTGCACGTCTCTATAATGTTGTATAATATATGTTCCCAATACTTCAGATACTTAGTTTCCCACATCCTCTTCTTTTTTCTCATTAGAGGCCCCTTCTGGTCTCATAGTGGTTTTCTTTTCCCCATCCACTTAATGGATACTTAAATGAACCATGATAACTGTCCTGGCATGGTCTCAAATTAAATCCATTACAAATGTTGGGTTGCTTCAGCTAAAATGCCTCTTATCATTCCAGAAAATGAAATTCCGGACTCATTTTTCAGAATTATCTAAGAAGAGCCAACTTTCATAAAATCTTATTAAAAAGTGGTATGGTGGTTGAGAGCTCAGCTCTGAAACTCACTACCACTGTTTCATCTTAGTTCAGTTACTATTCACTGTGTAATCCTGGGAAAATTACTTAACCTCTTTATGCCTCAGCTTCCTTATCTAAAGGGAGAACATCCCTTCTCACAGGGTTTTGGTGACACTGTATATGAGTTACTTCAGGTAAAGGACTAGTAGAGTAGCTGACGCCTAACATAGTATCTGCCTCCAAATAGGTGTTTTAAGAGGTTGTGTCTTACAGATACTGCATGAAAATTTGCTAGAACTAAAGGCAACCACATTTGTGATCCATATTTGAGTTCCTGGGTTCTAATTCATTCATTCGCTAATTTATTGGTAGTTCATTGAGTCCCTTCCATGGCAATTCTGGCTGTATGCCAGCTATGAAGCCACAAAGATGAACAAGACACTGTTTCTTCCAAAGAGCTCAAGCGCTGCGGATAAAATAACTACATAACAAACAAATTAAAATGCAGTGTGAAACAGCAAGAATAAAAAAGCCTATAAGAGACAAGGCAGTGCAAAGGAACGAGTAATTAAGACTGTTGAGGAGCTCTCAGAAGACTTTTTTTTTAAAGGAGACAGAAGATTAGCTGAAGAGTTGAAGAATGAATAGCAGCCCAACAGGAAAACGAGCAGGAAAAGATCAAGGCAAGGTAAATAGTGTGAAAAGTTCTGAAATAGTAAGCAATTTAGTCTTACTGGAGTATAAAGTTTAAGTCTAGAAATGGCAAGAGATGGTGCTAGAGCAACTTAGTGCGCCCTGGTAAGATGATAGATCCAAGTCAGACAGCTGCTGTTTGTTGCATAACTACTGTTTGTATAACTAGGCGTTCAATTCAGAGTTGTCTCCGTACCTGGAGTAGACACAGGTTGTGATTATGTGGTTATTTTATTCCACCCATACTTCCGTTTTCCTACTTTAACATCACTTGAATTGACTGCTTGAACTCGGATCCTTAGAAATAGGAATTCATCCACAATAAGCCAAGCAGCAGCATGGATGAATAATACACAGATACATCAAGATGTGTGCAGAGCCCTTAATGTGTAACTAAGTGCAGTAAATGTTACACTTGTCTCACTTAAACACCCAACTTCTCATTTGTATGGTCTGAGAACCTTCTATTTTTCCAGTCCAATTTTACTTTCAGACCTTTTGTTGAGGCTGAGCTAGTCATTATATTTTCTGTGTCTAGAAATAGTCTGGCTTCTCCTGCTTCTTTTGAATTTTCTTGAGCTAACTTTGTAAGGAGCCTTTTTTCCTAATTGTCTCTTATCTTACACGTGTATCTATTTGCATTTTTCCATTTTAGATATTTGACTAGCCTACTAAAAATGAACTACTGTCCTCCATTGAATCATGGACTTATGAGTCAACTCAGGTTAGGTTGCACCAATCTTTGGGCTAAAGTCTTGTCCCTTTGTCATTCTTCGCATATTTCCCAAAGCAACACTTTTCCTTTGGACTTTTCTGATGGAAACCATATTTGCCTAAAATTATTGCCTCCATTGACTAAAAATTCTTCCTTCTAGACAGATAAATACCCTCAGTCATAGGTCTACTAGAACTAGATTGATAACTTAAATCTTCCTGGTTTTCCTGGCAACCATGGTTTGACCAACCAGGACCCACAATAATCCAGCTAACTTTACCCTGGATGTGTGTCTGCAGCCTGTTCTGATGACACCTCTCCTTTCCCATGATGTGCAGTGCTCATGTATCCTTTCGCTTTTAGTAAAAAAGAATAATTAGCTAATTATTGGTAACAAGATTGTGAACAGCACAATGTTTCTACATTTCTACATGATGATGGGCTGTTTGTTCTTTTTGTCTTCCAAAAGATTGCCTTTTCACCTACAAATGGTGAGCACAAAACAGTCCTTAATATGTGATGGTTTGGCTTCTAATATAATTACTGCCTCACCAGTAGAAAACTCCTTTAGGTCTCATTTAAATTCTTTAACACTTTCTTGGCATTCTGTAGAGATGCTTCCTAAATCTCAAAGCACTTTGCTAAATCTATATTCCTATCTACTATTCCAACAATAATTTTTTAAAAGTAGAGGCTAGATATTGAATGACCACATCATGTCAACTGCCTGATGAGTCAGTATTATATTAGCGCATGTGTGTGTGTGTGTGTGTGTGTTTGTGTGTGTGTGTTCTGCTATCATTTCATCCTTGTTTAAAAAGCAATTCATAGCTAGAGGATTTACAAAAGCTAATTAGGAGCTTTCACATTCATACAGCACCTTTCTACTAAAATACATAAAATACATAACATATATTCAACATACCCCTACAATGATGTCAGCTCTGTATGCTCAAAAGATGTATTTCACTTCAATTCTAGTGCCCTAAGACATTCATAGAATTTTAAAAATGTTTTCTCTGAAACAAAAGTCAACAAGATACTTAAATGTTTTCACTGAAGATAAAACTGCATAACATTTACCAATTATGTGAATATGGAATGGATAATAGCATGTGTGGCTAATTATCAAATTGTTACATTTACCAAAAATTCGACTATTTCATTTCAGTTAATAACACTGGATTCTATTATATACTGTAGCATACCAGAAGCAGTATTGTAATTATCTGAGGTAGTCATATTAACTGTAAAAGACCTTCACAAATGAGACAGTGCCCTTGAAATTATTGAATTGTTTTGAGGAAGTCATTGATACCCACAGTGAGAGCACAGGTTCTGAATTCAAAGTAATGTCATCTAAAATATGTCCTATAAGGAAATATATGGCTTTATCTATTTTGCCTATACAAATCCCTCTGAAGCATAAATCATTAAACAGAAAGAACACTTATCAACCGAGTTAGCAGTATGCTGACAAAAGCTAGGAAAATAAAAGCAACTCCAGACCATGGTACCAAAAGACCCTGAGGGTTGATTTTTCTAGAGTGTAGGTGCTGCAAGCTAATGCATAATTTTTGGTTTTTTAGAAAGTATTTGAATATCCAAACAGGCACATCAGTTAAGGAGTTGCATGGATGTTGAGTTCTGTGGTTTGCAAGAGCTGTGGAATGGAGAAAGACACAGTGATAGATACTTCTCATGTACACAGTGCTCATAGCTAGCTACACTTACTCTATACACTCAAAATCTGCAACTCACACTTTATTAGCAATTGCTAACTGATCTACCTGAAATGGTATTTTGGTTTGCTTCTGAAGACTGAGGTCAAACAAGTGAGAGGAGACAAAAGGTCTCTGAAGAAAAGCAATTTAAGAAGTAAGTTTAAATTATTAAATACATTTCACATATAATTTATAAAAATAAGTAGCAATTTTAATTTAGTTTTTTGAAATCATAAGAAAAACATGACAGGTCATTAACTATCATCCCTGAAAACTTGTTCTGAGAGAGAAATCCTTGTTCTCCAAGCCAGAATGGAATGAGTTTTCAGTTTGTTCTACAGCCAAGAGATATTATCCTCGTTTTCTAGGCTGACTTGCAAAGCCCTATCCTTCAAATATCACACATAAGGATATTTGAGTTCTTTGTGAGTTGCTGAAATTCTGGGCTTCTGGGCCACAAAAGCCAGGCTGAGCTTTCCTAACTAGAATATGTGCGAAACCTCCAACTAACTGCCTGGAATATACACATTTTGGAAAACTGTCAGAAAATGCTCCCTAGCAAGAGAAGAGCTAAATAGAACGGGCTTCTCGGGAAACATTCTAAGAGGGAACAAGATCACAAAGCAGAATTCCGAAAAGAAAGAAAGTGAAATAATCGGCTTTCTTCTGCCCTTCACAGCTGCCCCTCTACCTATTCAACAACCAGCAAAGGAGCTGCGTTGTTACAAGATGTACACTGGGGAGCAGAGCAGCAGCTGGTGTGCAGGCTGCTGAACGCCCCAGCAAGCCCTGGCCCCAGGAAACAAACACCTCACAGGTTTAAGGTAGAATGAAAATGGGAAATGAAGCTAATTCACTTTGGAGGAGCCTCCTAGACAGGGAGGAGGGCCCGAGACCTCCAGAGCACATGAAGCTTCGCTAAGGCATCTCTTAGAAGGGAGACCTACAGAAGCTCATACAAATGAACAGCCCCTTCTTAGAGAAGGTGATATTGAAGTGTGTTTACAAGAATAAAACGCACAAGGGCCCACTGGAAAGGGCTGGACTTGGGTGTGGGGGATGGGAAATCCTTGTTGACTGAACAAATGTCCTTCAAGTGAACTATACATGACTTGGGTTGCATTCACTTCAAACTCTCACTGAAGTCAGCTACATCTTCTGTCTTCCTAACGAATTTAGCAGATTATCCTGGTTATACTTTTCAATAAGTTTCACACATGATGTGAGCTTTGTAAGGATGGTATTAAATTGGGGCAGAATAGAAACACTGCAAAAAATTTTGAAGTAATTTTTTTTTTGCCATTATAAAAGTAATCCATCCTCAAAATATAAAAAAACTAGGAGAGAAAGCATCAGTCCATGATGAAATTACCTAATTGACATTTTGGTGTGTTTACTTTCCAGTAGCCTTTTACAACTATACCGTGGCAGTTTATTCTCCTAGTGCTCTGCCTCCCCTTCCCACCAACTAAAGCTGTTGATGGTTCTCTCCTGCACAGGTTTCAGTAGGGCAGAACAGCAGGCCAGTGCAAGTGGGCAAGAACCTTTGATGACTGCTAATAAGAGATCCCCCTCCCTAGCATTGCCACAGTGTCTCCAACATGCTCCCATTTCGGAGGGTACTGACTCTTGCCCCACCCCCATCACTGAGCTTCTTTTGACTCTGGAATGTAACATGTATAGTTCTGAAGACAAGCCATAGGAATTCAATGAGATTTGGTAAAATTCATGCACACCTATTTAGTGTAACACACTGTGCAAGCCCACTGAACATTTGCAAAGGGAATGGAAGGCACAATTCACATACGCAACTAACAACGTAAGTAAAGGGATCATAGCAGCAAATGCAGAGGGTTTCAGGCTTTGTATTAGCTGCAACAGTACTGGCTTCTGTCTACACCATGTTTTCTAGTATTCTAGAACATTTCTCATCTGATTTGAGAGCCGCAAGGATTTCATATGGATAAATTATCAGAGAAAGAATGAAGCTGACTGGGATGCTGTCTCCTAAAACTTTCAGGCACAAATCTTTCTCAGACAAAAGAAGGCAGCCGCCTGATGGAAAACTTTATTTTAAAATTGTATCCCTTCTGTTGTACAGTGTTTCCCTGATGTGGCACCATCTACTAGACCCAAACCAAAGTAGAACTTTTCAGGGACACAGTGTCCATTGTCATGGGGTGAAAATGTGGAGTGTTTCTGGCAGGATCTATGTCACTGTATGCTCACTCATGGGTTATAGGTTTTCATTCCAAGATTCCTGGTCTGTCGCCAACTAGTTCTGGGACGATGGGCAGGATGTTTGAACATTTTGGGTCTCAGTGTTTTCATCTGTAAAAGGGACTAAAAACATTTATGTTGCCTCCTTTGTCAAGCTGCTTTCAGTACTGAATGAGAATGCCCAAAGGCACTGAGAGATGGAAGATATTTCTGGCACCTGGTTCTCTTAAGCTGTAACTAGATTCACCATTGATTGCCTGGAATCATAAGGCATGAGCAGTTAGTTATGTGAATCATATGTAATGTTGACAAAGACAGGAATCTCCCTCTGCTAAGGCAGTGGGAGCCCATCTGTGATCAGCATTCCTATAGCCCTGGAGACTGAGGTGGGGTGCTGGGCAGCGAGGGCAGGCAGTGTGTGCGCTTTCATAATAGAGCAACAAATGCTTCCTCAAACCAAGTACCAAGAGAAAACAGCCTGCACCTGGACCTGGGTTTTTATCATGTTGTATTTTTTTTTTAAGACTTGAATTAGATCCTGTGTGGAATTGTGAATGCCCATATTACCTACTTCATGACAGGACAGCAGAGCAATCGGTTTTCAAAGGCCAAAGCTGTTTTTATTTTCCCCCCAGCTCTGCGGTTTTTCTTTGCTGTCTTCATCCCAGTGAGGCTTTCCCCCCCCACCCCTCATTTTGAGTCAGCAGACTGCTAGTAACAAAGGTACCCAGCTGTTCTCTGAGCCCTAATCTCCAAACAACTTTTAATAGGTACTGCCTGCCTGGCACACAGTTGGCTGTCACAATAATACACCAGATTGAAGGTATTTTAAGGAGGATTTGGAGCATCATGGTGAAGCGTGGTTTTACCCAACAGTTTAAGAATAGAATCACTAATATCTCTCTGTAATGATCTGTTTTCCTTTGATAGACAAGTGTGTGTTCTGGACAGCTTGCTGCCATACAGCACTGAAAGGGAGCTGGCAGAGGTCTCCCAGGTATTCCCAATCAGCCCTGGACAAACAATAATCGGCTTAGCCGACACAGACAGAGCAGATCATAATTATCTCAACTAATCTCATCCCAAAACCAATGTTGTGTGGCAGACACCAGACTGTCCCCACTTTAAAGATGAGGAAAGTGAGTGAGAAGTAGCTAAGGTCACACAGCAAGTAAGTGGCAGATCCTAGATTCCTACTAAAGCAATCTGATGCCATCAAAATCCATCAGCTTTTTAGAAATTTGTAAGGTGATGGATTCAATTAGATTGATTTAATCATTCCACAATGTAAACATAAGTCAAAACATATTGTAACCCATAAATATAATTATGTCAATGTTAAATTTTTTAAAAATTGTAAAAAAAAAAAAAAACCATCCTGTTTTTCTACTGAAGTGGGTATAAAGAGACTGCTTAATATATGCAAAACAAGGTTAAACATGGTGGATGGTCCCATTTTATTTAGTGAGTATCTCCAAAGCTAACACAAGCCCACCACTTAAATTTTTAATATATCAGAGAAATCACATCCTTTATATAGTCTCGGCCTCCAGGAAGATGAGTGTTTCTCCCATTTTGAAGGCTCATTTACAGCCAAGGAGAAGCTTGGATATGAGGAAAGCTTGATCTAACACTATAAAGCCTCATTAATCGACTCCATTAATTATTATAGAATCAATATTAGAATTGGGAAAGTATAAGATTGATCATATCATTTAAATCCTTGTTCTCAGGAAATCTCTCTCTCTCATCTATCTCTTGCTACCCCTTTGTCTCAAAGTGCAATGTGGCCTTGGGGAGTTCAGCAATTTGTCAATGGTATGCAAGCGAATACAGGATTTACTTAAATGACTTCAGAGTCTCATTTTGAATCTTTGTCTGCTTTTTTTGTTTTTCCATTTCCTTCATCATTGGATTACTCCCTGCCACTTTTTGCCCTTAATTGTACCACCTTAAGCTACAATGTAGTGTGCTGTTGATAGTAGGGTTACAACATGTTAGAATTTTATTTCAAATAAGATTAATTAGCTTCTGAGAATATGAGTAACTCAGTCACTCAAACTGAAAGGGATGGTGCATTACTGCAAGTGCTGTGATACCAGGTCCTGGAGCAGACACTTAATATCTGCTGTTAGATACTTAAAGCATTGAGTAGCCAACACTTATTATTTCCCACTTCCAGGCCATTTTATACATTTGGGATTGCCAGATATTTAGCTTATAAGGGAGTGAAGTGTCTCTGGACCTTTTAAAATTTCATCTTTGTGATACAACAGTAACCTTAGGAATTTTGTAAGACTTCTTCTGAGTTAATTGCATAAATACCAATGAGTCTTAGTTTAGGGTGTTGACTTGTTAGTCAACACAACTTATTAATAAAAACTACATTGTGATAAAATATATTGACATGAAAGTAAATATACAGTTGGTTTTATACTTTGCTATCTCAGAATCTCAGAAATGGCCTCACTTAAGAAGTGTTTTCTCATGTTCCAAGTTAGTGTTGAACATGAGTCATTGGTGCCTGAGTTCTCACATTCTATTAATAAGCACTTGTCTGTGCAGTGTTTGATTCTTCCCTATAATTTTTGGCTTTACCTGAATGATCAGTGATAGCCAATTACTGTCTGCAGTATATGGAAGCTCTTACAAGTCAGAATACCTTCTCCTTGGGGATCAGCTTTACTTGTGTATTCTGATATCTGGTGGCCTTACATCACCTTCTCTGATTTCTGGGATTCTAGATTCATTTTCTTACGCTCTTCACTTGAATTGTCCTCTCCTTCAGTAGGAATCTTCCTATTTCTCTAGGGACTATGGAATTATTGTGCCTTTCTGACCTATAACCTTGATCCAACCAACAAATGCTTTCAAAGTTATATAATTGCAAGTTAATAATACATACAACAGTTGAAGAATTTGTACATGCCAGGAACTATTCTAAGAACTTCCCACATGTTATTTTATATAATATCAGCACCCTATGATATTTATCCTTAATTTCTAAAAGAGCTAACAATTTTCACATATTAGTTTTGACTAATTATTAGTTTTGACTATCTCAATAAATTCTTAAACGTATCAGTTATTGCTGATTTCAGGTCACTTTTTATATCCGACATCAACTCCTTCATTTTATTTTTGACGGTTAGAAGGATATAAATGTGGTTCCTTTCATAGCTGCTCCTGCTGCTGGTACTCAGAGTGGTAAATTTCCCCACCTGCCTCTCAATATCAAAGTGGCTTAACTATCTCTCTTGCCAAACAGATCAACAAGCCTTGCATCTTCGTTCTCCTTTCTGTTAACCGAGTAGCTCTGAGAAGTACCCTGCCTGTTTTTAATTTACACTTTAGTGTTTGTCAATATATTGGCCACAGATCAAACGCAGCAGAACAGTGGGATGCTTGTTAAAATTCAGATTCCTGGATCCCACTCCCAAGAAACGATCCTGTGGATCTGACCTCGCATTTTATACTAGCCTCTAGTGATAGTAATATGCACTAAAGTTTGAAAATCACTGTTCTAGATGAAAAATTGTCTTATCACTTGGCTTCTTAAAGGGACCTTATTTTTTGATATTTAAATACCATAAAACAAATGAATTGAGCAGATTTCTTCATAGGGAGAAAAATGCAATGCTGAAATTTCTCTGCATAGATGGTCTTTTATATACTCACTCTCATCTAGCCCCGCCTATCCTATTTTTGAAAGTTCCTGTGAGCCTCCCTAAGAAGCACCCAATAAGCAGTTGTCTGTGCAGTGTTTGATGGTTGCCTTGGGGCCTGCTGTACCAAGATTAAATTGGTTCCATAGGCTCAGAAGAGGTAAAATTTGGATGATTACAAATGTGTGCTTGTGTGTGTCTGTATACTTATATATATGCTTTCCCTATATGAGTGTAGGCAGCCCTCCATATCTGTGGATTCTCATCCATGGATTCAACCAACTGCTCATCAAAAATATTCAAAAAGAAAAAAAATACAAAAAACACAAATACAATATAACAATTTGCATGGCATTTATATTGTTTTAATGTTACAAGTAATCTAGTGACATGGAAGGATATGCATAGGTTACATGCAAATACTATGCCATTTTTTATACAGTACTTGAGCATCTTCTGGTTTTGGTATCTATGGGGGTCCTGGAAACAACCCCCTGGATACATCAATCTACCATTCATTAATTTCAATGATTATATTATGTATATTGTTATAATCTTCTCTGGGTGTTACGTGTATATACATTTGTATATGAGCAAGTATAGCATCTATAGAAACCTAAATCCTACTTCCACCTTTTATACTGTAGATGTCCGTAATATCCTACCAGCTCATCATGATGTAACACTGTTGCTATGACAGGTAGAGCAGCTTGAAAAGCTGCTAAAGTGAAAGATGAGAATCGATGAAATAAAGATTTTATATGATGGCATTGCACCTGCCTAGTTGTGGAAAAGCTATGTTAAAAGTCTACCAACCTGAAGCCTTCTAATTCTGTTCAATATAAGCTCTTTGGTATGTTTTCTATATAAGCCTAAACTTAGCTTCATTATCTTAAAACACCGGTCAAGAGAGTCAATAACAGAAGTTCAAATATAGCATGAGTGATGAAAACAGTTTTGAGAGAAAAAAGACAAACACTATTTTCTTCTCTGAATTCTTGGTGCCTAGCAGTTTGACACCTGCTCAATAAATAACAAATAAGTGAGTGGTCAAGAAAAAACCTCCATTTATGAATCATTTTATGTTCTTTAAGTTTGATTTCCTCTTTAATTGGATATGGCCCACCACTCCTATATACTTTTGGGGCCAATCCTGGACACATGAGATTTCGTCTTAGACATATTGAGGCAAAAATTTATGGCAGCTAAATTCTTAATCCAAGAGCATCACTACCAATTGCTGTCTACTGATGAATATATGGGAAGCTCCTTAAGGCCAGGGCTAGAATGATAGCTCTTATCTACTAAGCAGACATGACGTGTTTCATTGTGCTAAATACTTTATATACCACCTCGCATTTAATCCTGCCAGAAAGTTTGTAAAATATGTTTTATTTTCCCCATTTTAAAGAAACGGAACACAGAAAGGTTGAGTAACTTGCCCAAGGTCACATTACTAAGAAAGTGGTGAAACATGGGTTGTCTGCCTCCACCTGTAGGATTAGACAGACTTGCACCTTACATGCTGTATTCCACCCATGCTTGCTTCCCCAGTATTTGCCGTAGCTCCCTACAAATAAAAGGTGCTGAATAATTTTTTTGTGATTATGTGTAGTTCAATAAACTGGCACACAAGAGATTGTTATTGCTTCAGGTAATTTTAGGCATTATTTGGACTATGCCTCAGTCATGGTAGGTAAGATAATGAACTACAGCCAAATTCCAGAGTATGCATGCTTGAACCACCACTTGCGAGATCTTGGACAAGTTACTTCTCTATACCTCAATTTCCTCACCCGTAAAATGGGGATGCTTTAGTGTAAGAATAAATACATCGATATGTGTAAAGTTGTTTGAAGAATGAATTCTGGCATAGAGTAAATCCATTTAAGTGCTTCTAGGGTTATCAGTGTTACTGTTATACAAGAGGCAAAATATAGTGTTCAGTGACTTTCATCTGTTTAGTAATGTATTATGATGCAACAACAACAGGTCAAGTTTGTTAAGTGAATGAGAATGTCATGGTGCTTGCCCCTATACAGCTGGCAGCCTGTCAGGAAAGATGGACCATTAGATAACTACAATAAGCTATGAAGAGTTGCATGCAAATTTAGGAGAGGTGAGCAACACACACAGGAGATCTAGGTCGTGAAAAAGCCTTGAATACTGAGATCTTCAACATTTTTAGACAAGGGCAAAGTTTAGTCATAATGACATCTGAGGCACTTATAACTGGCAATAAAAAATAAATAGTTCAAGGAGCAGAGAATGGTAGCCAAGAGAATAAGGATGTGGTTACAGTAGTTCAAATGTGAGGTTACAATGCTTCCATCTAGAAACAGGGCAGAGGGAAGGAACGGAGGGGATACCTCAAAAAAATAAGAAACAGTAAGATGTATTGACTGACTTGAAAATATAAGAACTTGCTTAAGGTTTTCCAGGCATTTAGTTGCAGAGATGGATCCAAAATGCAAGCTTTATAACTTGGGGTCCCCATGGTAAGAATGCAGTAGTGCAGTAATGAAAAGACTTTACATTATTATGTGGTTCTCAAAGTGTGACTACAGCACCATCCCAGAACGCCTTAGAAATGCAGATTATTTGGTCCCAGCTTTATGCAGAAGAAACTCTAGGGGCCCAGCAACCTGTGCCTTATCAAGCCATCCAGGTGATTCTGATGTTCAAACTGTTTGAGAACCACTGCACTAACTTACTCACTCATTTAATATCTATTATGCCTTAGGTGGATACATTTGCAAAGTGGAATCCTCCAGGTGCCTTTAAGGAGTTTACAGTCTAGTAGGTATGTAAACATCAAAAATTACCCGAGTAATAAAATCTTAGCAACAAAAAGGGCATGAGTACACTTAACAAAGGGATTTAAACTTACCAGAATAAACAGAAGTTCCTGGGAGAAGTATTATTTAGGATGAATCCTGAAACATAAACAGGAGTTTTAGGTAAAAGCAAACAGTTGTAGAGAAGCAAAGGAAGGCCTCAGTAGCTAGAACACAGTAAGTAAAGGCAACAGGAGACTGGATGAGGATGAAGCATTGGAGACCCAAATGATCATGCAGCCTCCTTGGTCTTCATCCTCTGTGAAATGGAAAGCCACTGAAGGAATTTGAGGAGAAGAGCAGCTTGATGAGATTTGCATTTTTAAATTACTACTTTGGCACTACATGTGTAGACCATATTTAACCCCCTGTAATCTACACAGGTATGAATCCAGCCATCCTCAGCAGTGGCACCGATATCTTCAAAAGTGTCGTTTGTCTGGCTCTCTGCCTTCTGGATGGGAAGCCTACCCTGATGTCTCTCTTCAAATCTGTATGCTTTTCTGATCTAACAATTCTCCTAGCTAGTTCAAAAGCAGTTATTAGAGTATGAGTTTTAAACTGGCCTCCAACCATGAAACCACCAAGAGTTTCAATTTAATTTCCCTTTCATGCCCATTCACACCTTGACTCCTTTTGAGAAAAACCAACTATTGATACAGATAATAAGCTTGTTTTATGCTTTGGAAGGAAAAAATGCTCAGCTGAATTCATTAAATACAGGCCTCTCATGATGGAGTCTACATATAAGTCAGGCTTCTTTTAGCTGAGAAAAGAGTGTCCACTGAGGTATGAAATGTTTATTGTAGCTAGTTCCTGCAAGCGCTGCCAAAAGAGATAGTATTTTCAATGGCCAAAAGCCGAAATGCACAGGACATGAATTATGTATGCCTGTCTCTTTAAAACAAATCAACATAAATTATCCCATAGGGCAGACTGCAGGAATTGAGGGCCCCTGTAAGAAATATTTTGTCTTGGTCTTCTCAGCATCAGAAACTTTGGGATGTAATAGTGGTGACTGAATGAAATTCCAAATCACAACCTTGAGTGTTTAAGGGGAAAAAAGGGTAGGAGCAAGCAGTGACCTGCGTTTCTCAGCATCATCTGTCAAGATACCGGTAATCAACACATGATTATTATTCTCATCAGCCCAAAGCATGAAAGTAATTGAGTGAAAGAAATCCTCACATTATGTGAAATGATTACTGCCTTTGAGCCATAATAAACAATGATCTCGCCCGGGTGCTAGGCAGCAAAACAAATGAGGGCTGCCTGCTACTGGTGCAGTGCCAGAATCATTACCAGAGTCTACAGTCACCAATCCCCTACTCTCTAGTAAGGACCTGATTTCATTGTCGCGGCTGGGGAGATACTGCTCAAATGCTGCTCAGATGCAACATTTGGCTCCACGTCGGGGAAGCTGGCTGCCTGGCACAAGCCTACTCTTCAGAACTCAAGTTCACATTCACCATGTGGCTCCCCAGAACAATGAATGAGGATATCCATGAAGATGCAATGACTTTGGAACATTGGAACTCACTTGTTGGTTACAAATGTAAGCTGTCTAACCAGGCAGCTAGGCAAGCATAAGGCAGTTGGAGGCATGATAAAGGAAAGGTATTACAAAAGGAGGCTTTGGCCTTCTCAAAGAGTGAGGCTGGAGATAAATGCAAAATCTGAAGATCTGAAAGAGCTCTCTGCTACTGGCCCTGTTCCATCAAAGCCTGAACAAGATGAAGGAATCCTTGGAGCAGTTCTGAATGTTCCCCACAAACTGAGCTAAGAAGAGCCACTGGATTGTTTCATAAGATGGTTGGAATTGATGAGCTCAGGCTTCAACCTCCCTTGTGCAACCTTGCAAAGCAGGGTCAGCTGTTACCCACCCTCCACCCATCCTCCGGGCACCTTTGCACAAACTAGATGCCACCCTCTTTTTGCCTCTTAGCCTGGTTGTCCTTGTAGAGCACAACCTTCACAACTGTAGGAAGCAGCCCTGAAAGTACTTATTTAAAAATCATGCTGATTTGCTTAAAGGTATCACCAGAAATGCATGGTTATTTCTCAGAAAGGGCCATTTCCAGTTGCAGTTCCCACAGGTAAAGAGCTTGGAAGTGGTCACTCCTGTTCTTAAAACTAGAAAAATCTGAGCAAACTGAAAAATTGGTGACATTTCTTGGACTCCTCATAGAATTGAGAATACAAAGCAAACTGCTATCCCAGAATCTAAACAGAAAGGTGAATCCAGAGACGCAAAAATGAAATTCGCTTCCCTGGACAGATGCTACTGGAACCATAAATGGGTAGAAAAACTTCAGTGGTAGATTTGATGGATTGTTGGAGGCTGAGTATGGACTAGCTAAAGGAAAAAATTCCTGTGTGGCATAATCTTAGGGGGCCCCATACTTTGGTAAGTTTTATCTCTAGGAAAGTCACCAGGTTCTCATGTTAGAAACCCAGGAAAGATCTCTTCTTGGCTTTGGCAGGGGAGAAGAAGAAGAGTTACCATTGTGAAATATGCCAAGAGACTTCTTAACAAATGACAAATCCAGAGGAAAAGGCTTTGTCCTGCCAGGAGAAAGATATATTTCTCTGACTTCAGCATCCTCTAGCTTTCCTGTTTCAACTGGGCTGCGGAGAAGCTAAGAAAACTTGTAAGGTCATAACCACAAAACGCAAGCCCACTGAAAGACTGAGATTGGTTCATAAGAGTATAGAACATTTTCCCTCTCTACACCTTACCACCATACCAACAAGTTTCCAATATAGTAACAGTGGGTTACAGATGAAAGAACTGCCAGGCATAGATTCTACTTAATGAAGTGACAAAAACAAGGATATTACAGGAATTTGAAGCCTCTAATTCCTCTATTAGGGTACCCAAATACAGCAACCATTAAACACAGTTCAACTTCTAGCCAGATAAACATTAAACTTTTATGGGTTAAGGTACATTTACCTCAGCTCCTATTACCTGAAACATCATGTCCAACTTTGAACAAAAAATTACAAGGTATAGTAAAACAAGAAAAAAGTCTGAAGACAAAATGCAAACATCAGAATCAGACTGATTCTGTGACACAGATTTTCAAATTATCAGATAAGGAATTTAAAATAGCTGATTAATATGTTAAAGGCTCTAATTGAAAATGTAGAAAATACACAATAACACATGATTAATATAATCAGAGATATGGAAAACTCTGAGAAAGAATCAAAATGCTAGAAATAAAAAATAGAATGAAAAATGTCTTTGAGGAGTTCATTAGTAGAACAGACACAGCTGAGAAAAGAAACAATGAGCTTTTAAGATAAGTCACAATAGAAGCCTCCCAAACTGAAAAACAAAACAAAACAAAAAATCAGCAGAGAACATCCAGAGTTGTAGGACAATTTCAAAAGGTATATCATAAACATAATTAAAAGAGAAAGGAGAAGAGAAAACAGAAGAAATGTAAGTAATAATGACGAAAATTTCCCAAAATTAATGACAGATACTAAACCACAGAATCCAAGAAGTTCAGCAAACACCAGCAGGATAAATATCAAAATGAAGGAAAGGAAGGAAGGAGAGAGAAAAAGAAGAGAGTTATGCAAGCAAGAACAGAATGAAATAAAAAATATTTAAACTGTTGAAAGGGAAAAAGTCCACAAATATAGAATATCCAGTGAAACTCAACCTCAAAAGAGAATTAGTTTTTCAGACCAGCAAAAGCTGAGGGATTTCATGACCAGAAGACCACTCTGCAGATGTTAAAATAAATCCTTCAGGGAAAAGGAAATTATATAGGTCAGAAACTCATACCTATATTAAGAAGAGTGTAACAGAAGGAATAAGGAAGGATAAAATTTTATTTTTCTTACTTCTAATCTTAATTGATATAAAAGAACTGTTTAATAGTAGCAATGATGTATTGAGTGATTATAGAAGATAGGACGAGTGAAATGAATGATAGCAATGTCACGAAGAATAGGAGGGAGAAATTTCAAGGATATTCTGTTAAAATACCTGCACCACATATCAAGCAATATAGTGGTATTTGAAATTGGACTTTATTAGTGAATTATGTATATTGCAAAATTTAATTTTTAATAAAATTTAATAAGGTATAACTGATATTCCAAAAGAGGAGCTAAAATTGAATCATATAAATATTCAACTAAATCTAGAGAGGGCAGAAAAGAACCAAGAACAAATGTAACAAATATAAAACAATTCAAATATGGTAGATATTAATCCAGTTTTATCAATATTACTTTAAATATTTATGGTTAAATGCAGTAATTATGGAACATTTTAAAGTGAATTAAAAATACAAAAACAAAACACAACTCCATGTCATCTGCAAGAAAACCCACTTTAAAGATCAAGATTCGGCTTAAAAACAAAGATGGAAAAAATTTTACTGTGCTCCTACTAATCAAAAGAAACAGAAGTAGTGTATTAAACGAAACTGACTTCAGAACAAGGAAAATTATCTGGGATAAAGAGCATTATATAAATAGGTCAGTTCTCCAAGAGTACATAACAATCCAAGATGTATGTGTACCTAACCACAAAGCATCAAAATAAGAGGCAAAACTGATAAAATTCCAAGGAGAAATGGACCAATTCACTATTATTGTTGGAAACTTTAACAGCTCTCTTTCAATAATTGGTAAATCAAGCAGGCAGACAATCAATAATGATACAGTTGACCCAAACAGCTCTACCAATCAACTTAATCTAATTGACATTTATAGAATATGGCATCCAGCAACAGGAAAATATACATTCTTCTGATACTCACGTGGAGCATTCACCAAAATAGACCACACTGTGGGCCATAAGACACCTCAAAAACTTTAATAAGAATTATACAATGTACTTAGACTACAATGGGATTAAAGTAGAAATCAATAACAGAAAGACAGCTAGAAAATGTCAAATATTTAGAAATTAAAAGACACTTGTACATAACACATGGGTCAAAGAACTCTGAAGAATACCTTTAAATGAAAACGAAAATACTACTTATTAAAATGTATGATACAGAAAAATCAGTCCTTAGAAATATTTTGTAGCATCAAGTGCATATATTAGAAAAAAACATCTAAATAATTTAAGCTTCCACCATAGGAAATTAAAAAAGAGCAAGTTAAGCCTAAAGCAACAGAAGAAAAGAAATAATAAAAAAAAATTGAGCAAAAATCAATGCAATGGAAAGAAAGAAAACAAAGAAAAGAAATGAAACCAAAAGCTGGTTCTTTGAAATGATCAATACAACTGATAAATCTTTAGCCAGGCTAGCCAAAAATAATAATAAGGAAAAGCCACAAATTACCAATATCAGAAATGAGAGAGAGGGGTCATTACTATAGATTCCAAGGAGGTTTAAATGATAAAGAAATGCTACAAGCAACTATTCCTGCAATTTTGTTACCTTAGATAAAGTGGACTAAATCCTCAAAAGACACAAACTACCAAAACAGGGAGAAATTGATACAATCTGAATAGGCTTACCTCTGTTTAAGATGTTGAATCAATAATTACCTTTCAAAAAAATAATGCACCAGGCCCAGATGGTTCCACTGGTGAATACTACCAAAGATTGATGCTAATTTTCCACAGTCTCCTCAAAAATAGAAGCAGAGGTAACACTTTCTTGTTTTGTTTGTTTTGTTTTGTTTTGTTTTGTTTTGTTTTGTTTTGTTTTTATAAGACAGAGTCTCACTCTGTTGGCCAGGCTGGAGTGCAGTAGTGCGATCTCGGCTCACAGCAACCTCCACCACCCAGGTTAAAGTGATTCGCATGTCTCAGCCTCCTGAGTAGCTGGGATGACAGGTGCCTGCCACCACACCTGGCTAGTTTTTGTATTGTTAGTAGAGTCGAGGTTTCACCGTATTGGTTAGGCTGGTCACAAACTCCTGACCTCAAGTGGTCTGCCCTCCTCAGCTTCCCAAATAACACTTTCTAGTTTATTGTATAAGCCCAGCATGACCCTAACACTGAAACCAGATAAAAGGAAAGGCTGTGCTCTCAGTGCTCCTGCCCAGTTCCAACAAGAGTCATTTTCCCACTTAGAGAGGGATTGCATGCTGTGTGCTAAATGTTAACGCAGAGATGGCTCATTCAGACTGGAAGTGACCATAAGCATCATCTAGTGTAGTGTTTCTGAGGCTTGGCTATTTCTATGAATCACTTGGGGGCACTTGTACAACACATCTTCCCGGGCTTCTCTCTGGAATGTCTCATTTGGCTGATTTCAGGTGCTCTTGGGATTTTATTTTTAACAGTTGGCTGAAAGGATTCTGAAGATTGGCTAAGTTTGGGAAACAGACCTGGCCCATCTCCTCATTTGACAAGTAGGAAGAACTTGAGTCCAGGAGGCAAGGGGAATTTGCCAAAGGTTACTCAGCAAGTTGGTTAAATTGGTGAAAAAACTGAGGCTTAAATCCTGAATTTGATAAGCAATATAATATATACACACATATATATACATTATTTTTAGAAAAAATATTGCTTTTGCATCCCTAATGAAAAAATAGAATGGTAGAGTCAGTATTCAGAAAGTATAGATAAGCAAAAAGAATAAATTAGGAATAGGCCATGACCCTACCACTTAAAGATAAGCCCTGCTCAATTCTGATGCATCTGACCACTTTATTTGCTATTTTACTCATAGCAAATATGAGCAAATACTCATAGATTAAATATACCTGATTATATTATTACAATATTCTTTGTCACTGCCTTCAGTTTGTTTCATTGGTGAGTTTAGTATTCCCCCAGAGTCACATAAAAGACCAGATTAGGGTTCTAATCTTCCTTTGTTTCTTTCCATGGTTCCCTACCCAGCACTCACTAGTTGTGGTGAGCTTTTATTATGTGTTTGCTAATCCATTACTAAGGAATGGAAAAAAAAAAACATATATTCCCCTAGGTGCCATAGTTGGAAACTGATTTTTTTTTTTAAGTTTTAGGTTCAGCAGTATATGTGTAGCTTTGTTATATTAGCAAACTGCATGTCACGGGTTTGGAGAGCAGTTTATTTCATCATTCAGGTAAAAGCATAGTACCCAATAGGTAGATTTTCAGTGCCCCTCCTCCCATCTTCATCTGTCAAGTAGGCCTCAGTGTCTGTTTTTCCCTTCTTAGTGCCCATGTGTACTCAATGTTTGGCTCCCATGTATAAGTGAGAACATGCAGTATTTGGTTTTCTGTTCCTGTGTTCATTTAGGATGATGGCCCCCAGCTCCACTCATGTTGCTGCAAAGGACATGATCTTATTCTATTTTATGGCTACATAGTATCCCATAGTGTATGATTCCTCATCTTGTGAATAGTGCTGCAATGAATATGTGTGCATGTATCTGTATATAGTAATTTGTATTTCTTTGCGTATATACCCAATAATGGGTTGCTGGGTCAAATGGTAATTCTGTTTTAAGCTCCTTGAGAAATCACCACACTGTTCTAATAGCTGAACTAATTTACATTCCCCCCAGCAATGTATAAGTGCCCCCTTTTCTCTTCAACCTTGCCTTCATCTGTGATTTTTTTTGACTTTTTGGTAATAGCCATTCTGACTGATGTGAGATGGTAACTCATTGTGGTTTGTATTTGCATTTCCCCAGTGATTAGCGATGCTGAGGATTTTTTTCATATGCTTATTAGCTGCATGTATGTCTTCTGAAAAGTATCTGTTCATGTCCTTTGTCTACTTTTTAATAGTTTGGTTTTTTGCTTGTTATTTTAAGTTTCTTAGAGTCTAGATATTAGACCTTTGTTGGATGCATAGTTTGCAAATATTTTCTCTGATTCTATAATGGGAGAATATATTTCATTCTGTATCGGCTGTGCAGAAGTGCTTCAGTTTAATTAGGTCCCATTTGTCAATTTTTGTTGTTGTTGGAATTGCTTTTGGCATCTTCATCATGAAATCTTTGCCAGGGTCTATGTCCAGAATGGTATTTTCTAGGTTTTCCTCTGGGACTTTTATAGTTTTAGGTTCTACAGTTAAGTCTTTAATTGATCTTGAGTTAGTTTTGGGATATGGTGTAAGGAAGGGGTCCAGTTTCAATTTTCTGCATATGGCTAGCCAGTCAGCCCAGCACCATTTATTGACTAGGTATCCCTTTCCCCATTGCTTGCTTTTGTTGACTTTGTCAAAGGTCAGATGATTGTAGGCATATGGCATTATTTTCAGGCGCTCTATTCTGTTTCATTGGTCTATGGGTCTGTTTCTGTTCCAATACCATGCTGTTTTGGTTACTCTATGGATTTGTAATATAGCTTGAAGTCAGGTCGTGTGATGCCTCCAGCTTTCTTCTTTATGCTTAGGATTGCCTTGGCTATTTGAGCTGTTTTTTGTTTCCATATGAATTTTAAAATAGTTTTTTCCAATTCTGAGAAGAATGTCATTGGTAGTTTGATAGGAATAGCATTGAATCATACTGCTTTGGGCAGCATGGCCATTATTACAGTATTGATTCTTCCTATCCATGAGCATGGAATGTTTTCCAATTTGTGTCATCTCTGATTTCTTTAAGCAGTGTTTTGAAATTCTCATTTGTAGAGATCTTTCAACCTCCCTGATTAGCTGTATTCCTAGGTATTTTACTCTGTTTGTGGCTTAAGGGACTGTGTTCTTGATTTGGCTCTCAGCTTGGATGTTGCCGATATATAGAAGTACTACTGATTTATAGATATTGATTTATGATCTGATTTATGTACATTTATTTTTGTATCCTGAAATTTTGCTGAATTTGTTTATCTGACCAAGGGGCTTTTGGGCAGACACTATGGGATTTTCTAGGAATACGGTCATAATGTCTGCAAACAGAGATACTTTGATTTCCTCTCTTCCTATTTGCATGCCTGTTATCGCTTTCTCTTGCCTAATTGCTCTGGCTAGGGCTTCCAGTACTATGTTGCATAGGAGTAGTGAAAGGGCATCCTTGTGGTATTCTAGTTCTCAAGGAGAATGTTTCCAGCTTTTGCCTGTTCAGTATGATGTTGGCTGTGGGTTTGTCATAGATGGCTCTTATTATTTTGAAGTGTGTTCCTTCAATGCCTAGTTTATTGAGAGTTTTTAACATGAAGGGATGTTGGCTTTTATCAAAAGCCTTTTCTGCATCTATTGAAATGATCAGGTGGTTTTTGTTTTTAGCTCTGTTTATGTGGTGAATCACATTTATTGATGTATGTATGTTGAACCAACCTTGCATCCTAGGGATGAAGCCTACTTGATCGTGGTGAATTAGCTGTTTTATATGCTGCAGGTTTTGGTTTGCTAGTATTTTGTTGAGGATTTTTCCATCTATGTTCATCAAGGATATTGGCCTGAAGTTGTTGTTTTGTTGTTGTTGTCTCTGCTAAGTTTTGGTATTAGGTTCCTGATTTGATAGAATGAGTCGAGGAGAAGTCCTTCCTCCTCAATTTTTTGGACTATTTTCCGTAGGATTGATACCAGCTCTTCTTTATACATGTGGTAGAATTCAGCTGTGAGTCTGCCTGGTCCTGGGCTTTTTGTGGGTTGGTAGGCTTTTTTTTTTTTTTTTTTACTGGTTTAATTTGGGAACTCATTGATATGTTTGGAGATTCAGTGTCTTCCTGGTTCAGTCTTGGGAGGTTGTATATTTCCAGAGATTTATCCATTTCTTCTAGATTTTCTAGCTTGTGTGCATAGAGGTGTTCATAGTAGTCTCTTAGGGGTTTTTATTATTTCTGTGGGAAATTTGTCTTTTACTATAAGAACTTCCGACTCTGATTTGAAATGTCATATTTGTCAGATACAGTTCTCCTTCCTATTTCTTGATAATATTAAATTCATTTCAGAAGTCAGACTTTCAGGGGATAAAAATATCCTAGAAGATAAAAGGGTTTGTAGCTCATGTTGTACCTCAGATAGCCTGACCTAAGTATTTGGAAGTGGTGGGATCTGCAACGGAAACCCTGGACATAATGCCAAGCCTATGCTCAGAGTCCCACATAGGCCACTGCCATTGTATCTACTGCCAGCTTTTAATGTAATTTTAGGTCCCATTTGGAACCTAAAGCAATTACCCTGAGATTATTCTTGGATATTAGCTGGAATGAGGAGGGAAAAGAAATTGGAATCAGGAAATGCAGGTCATTGGTCACAAAATCAGGATCAAATGCCACTTCTCCAAGGAAGCCTCCATTAAACTTCAGAATAGGTACATTTCCTTAATATATCCCTGAGGTATCTTTTTTTTTTTTTTTTGTCCCTTTTACTTTTCCTTCATAACGGTTAGTTAGCACAGTTTCTCATTAAATATTTGTGTGATTATTTGGTCTCCTCTTGTAAATCAGAGTTCAAGTGCTTTGCTCTCCATTGCATCTGAAACATTCAGCACAGTTCAGGGTGCATAGTTATATCCAATATATATTTGTAAAATGAACAAATTAATAACTAAAAATTATTAACATTAAGGTAAACTGGGATTATCACCTGAGTCTCAGGTTGTTTTGAGGGTAGAAAAGGGACAAAGATAGCTCTAATTGTGATTGTTAGTTTGTCACGATGTACATTCTAACTTTTTATTAAAAACAACTATCCTTGGCATCATTACCCTTTCAGGGACATTAGTTGTGATTCTTTCCAAAACCTGTGTTCCTAATGTAATAATTGCTTTGAAAATTGAAAATATCACAAGTAATATTTATTGACATTTTTCCAGACAATGTCAAACACGGAATTTAAACATAGAAGGAAGAGTACTAATTTTCTTATTTAAACGTTGAACCTCAGAATTCTTGCATTGATGATTTACTTACGGGCTTGACAGTAAAAATTACAATTTAAAACTCCTCAATACATTATTGCCCTGTGTGTGTTCTATGCATTTTTATAATCTTTAACAATTCTCCATGGGATAAAAAATTTGTAAGCTCCATGTACAGAAGTGGAACCTTTTCTCAATACTACAAGAAATTTGTAATGTAAGGCCTGCTTTTGCTAAACCTTGGGAGAATAGGAGAATGAAATCAGTAGGTTTAATAAGAGGAACTTGTTATCCCAGCTCCTATCCAAGAATTACTTCCCACTAATATATTTCCATTTTGTTAAAGGATCTTGAATAAGGACTGAGTAGCGTGGACGATTTGGTTGCCTTTTGGATCAAAGAATTTCCAGTTCTCTTGACATTCAATTTGAGACACAACTTTGCTATATGTGATATATAACTCTACCCACTAAAAATTATTCACTTCAGGAACTATTTTGTTTTTTATCACCACATTTTTTGTACAAACTTTAGTTTTTGAAGCACTAGAGGTATGTTAATGATTCATGTAATAATTTGATGGAATTTATAAATCTATGCAGATTATTTGGAGAGTTTTCTAAATTATTAAAAATATTGAATTTGCATGAGGTAGTAGTCACTTTTTTGGTGTACAGTTCTATGAGGACTAACATATACCTAGATTCTTATAACCACCAACACAGAATTATCTTCTGTGGGCCCTTCAAGGTCAGACAGTCACAAAATATAATTTGTGGCTCAACAACTCAACTTCTAGGAATATGTCCAAGGGAAATAAAAACTTGTCTACATAAAAACTAGTAGATGAATGTTTATAGCACACTATGCATAATCGTCAGAAATTTTTAAAATGTTACTATGAACTAAATGTTACCTTTGTTAATTGTCTTATCCTGGATAAAAAAGTAAAATTTATCTAGTGTATCAGTTGGAAGTTGCTTATCATTTCTCATATTCTCAGCATCTGCTAATAGTAGGATGGTTAAGAGTGCCATTGAATTGATCTAATTTAAGGCACTTGAGTGCAATTACATATTCTTATTCTTCTGTTTTCTAATCTAGGTGCTTGCATATGTATGGAGGGGCCTAATGGATCAGTGAATTATCAGAACAATGAGTAGCACTTGTATCAAGAGACTATTATGCAATTATAATGAAAAACCATTAGTCATTAGAATTTTTTGTCATTTTTTCCCCTTTGGTAAGTGTTCTTTATTTTCTTCCAGCTCAGTAGGCTAATTCTAAAGAATAATTTAATTTTCCAAATGCTCGAGCGCACCAACTGTGTTCATGTGTTTCTAAGAATTATTGAATAAGGCCTGCAGATTAACTTGCCATAATTTCTGAGTGGTAACCACGTCCTACACAGTGGTGGCAAAAAAAGGCTGCACTTGCTGGAAATGATTGACATCTGGGCTTGAGAGGTATCAGGGCCTGAAGAACTTCACTGCAAAAATACCAGAGCATGTACTTCTTCACCTTAGCAATGTAACTAGTTTGATTTCTTTCTAGGAACTGCAGAAAGAATTGAAAAGAAAATAACGGCAATGAAAGCCCCATTCTTTAGCCAGAAATATCCTTTCACCTAACAATCTGACAACTAGTTAAAACCCTATCATCTTCCAATTTCATGTGCTAAGAGGATAAAGGTAATAAATTCCCTTGAACTTACTGATTTCCAACTCCAAGTTGAAAGTAGGGGTATAGAAAAAAAGAATCAGAAATATCTTTGTGGGAAACATCTGCTTCTTATTAGCAAGCCAGGAACCAACCATAAAGCAAAGCTCCAGCTTCAAAATGAAGAGCCATTGTAGACAATAAGAAACTAAAAGTAGAGCTACTTACTATCAGCTTCTTCTCATTCACTCCCCGTCTTTGCCACATTCCTCTGTACAAGAGTATTTGACAGTTGTTGAAAATACTGATAAAAGTTTTAAGCCAAATGTTTGCAGGATATTTGGATAATTTTGATTGATTGATTCCTGAATAACTATGCTAGAGGAAGGAGAGACCACACTAGTTTAACATCAACGAGATTTTTCCCTGAGTACAGCAGATAAGCAGATTCCTTTTACCTTGGGGCTTCTTTCTCACACTATTCCTATTACATGTTACAATCGTCTGGATCATAAGACCCTTCTAAGTCAGGCTTGGAGCAGGAGGAAAAGGTGAATAAGAGTGAAGAATTTAAAATACATATATAAAGGAGAAGAAAAAGAAATACAAAGACCAAAAGTGGAAGGCAGAAATAGGGAATTCTATGTGCCAAAATGTCTTTTATCATCCCTAAAATCCTGATTGTTACTAGAGACCCAGTGCTCAGAAAATACACTCGGGTACCCTATGCTAAAACATCATTCCAACATTTTACAGGTTTAAAATGTGTAAAGCATTCGTTCTCAACATGCTAACCCTAGACCAACAACATCAATATTACTGGAGAAGTTGTTAGAAAAACAAAATCTCACGCAGCATTCTTTATGTAATTCCGCAATCAGAATCAGGATGGAGCTCAGGAATCTGTCTTAACAAGCGCTGCAAGTGATTCTGCTGCTGTCCAAAGACTGAGAACAAACAGGAATTTAGAGAAGGTGGTGTTTCTTTTAATAGTCAATTTCAGATAGACAGTTTTTGAATGGAGATATCATAAAAGTGAAGAAAAGAAAGTAGGCTCCTTGGGGCTATAAGTGGGAGTTGCCCAGGGAGGTGGCAGCTATGAGCAAAAATGATCATCTTGAGAAAGCTACAAACCCCAACTGAAATAACTGATGATGGATGACTGGCTTGTGGAGTAAAGTGTCTTGGCCAGGCGGTATGGAGGGGTTGCCAATCAGAAGTAGGGTGAGAAAAGGAGGAGCTGGTGGCTTGAATGGATTGTTGGAGGAACAAAAAGTCAGGCTACGTCTTGTAAAACTATGATTAGCATTGCACTCCTCTCACTGCCGTTGAATGGACCTTGGCAGCAGAGACAGTAGAGAAAGGCAGTAGAGAAGGTTAGAACCTAGAAGACTCTAACTTTGATTAACTTTTTTTTTTTTTTATCCTTGAGGATAAATCATGAGGAACCTATAACCCTTTTGGCCACATGCAAAAAAGCAAGGTAAGCCAGAAACTTTTTAAACTCTCCATTCTCTCGCAAGTGGGGAAGGCATAAAGTCCTCATGAGACCAGCTCCTCTCCACCTTCACATCCTCCCCATGTGTAGCTCATATGTATGTGACCTTATACATGCTTCTCAGTTTCCCTTTCCCTCCACTCTTTTCCCAGCCACTACCCTGTGGTGGGCAAAAAGAAAGCAGAGAAGGCAATTTTGCTCAGTGGTAAGAGGAGACTTGTTTCCTTTTATGAAGTCCTAAACCAACTCTTCTGGGGAAAATAAAGGTGGGATTGTACTGACACAAAGCTGGCAGAAGAACATAATCACCAAGTTCCACTGCACCCTAGATGAAGAAATAAATTCATTAATGCTGTGGTTATAAGAGTGACCCACACAATGTGACTGTCCTTCAGAGGCTTGGGGTTAACAGCTGAGACCAACATTCCCTTTGACATGCAGGGCAGTTGTTGGCATACATGTGGATCTGAGTTCATGCCCTGCCTGTGTCTTCTTGACTGTCCACCACAGGAGGCATCTCCCTCATCAGGCCACTTCTCTTGCCAGGAATAACATTAGAAATGCTTAGCCTGAGGCTTTCTCACAGTTTGTGACCACACTTTAGGGTATTTAAACTCTGCAGTAAGATGAAAATGCACAGAGCTCAGCAATCCCTATGGTCATGAAGCTTCTAACTAATATATATATCAAATACAATTCCATCACTTTTAATTAAATGGAATAGAAAAGTGGCCCAAATAACTTCACCCATCTGCCTGACCTTCTACTGCTAAAGTACCATGTATTTGAGTGTGCAGCAAACTGAAGTCCAGATTTGGGGACAATGAAGAGGGGTTTATATCACATAAATTCAAATTGCTTACTGTCCTTAAAAGTTACTCAGCTACTCTTCCATGTTCCTAAGTCAGGCATTCTGACTCTTTCCCCTGCACCCCTGTACTCTCTATTCTTGCTATTTCCTAATGCAGAATGATGTACACAGTATTTGATTCCTTTTCTCCAAATATCCAGGCCTGTCTCACCTCCTAAAACAACCTGTGAAGGAATTTTTCCAAACAAATGTTATTTCCCTCCCTACGAAAAATTCTGGTGCCAGCAATTTTTTGTGTCGTGTCACAGAAATTCAGCCTTCGTTCCTTACTGCTGATTTAAAAATCAATTTGACCTGGCCTCTTACATTTGACTTTCTCATTCTCTTGAACCCTTCTCTACTCACATCCCCTTTCCCTAGACCAGTTGACTGACGTAATGTCACTCAATTTCACCCACCTCTTTTTTGTTCCATATGTTATTGTACCTAATTGACTACTAAACCACAAGGGGATAAGCTGTGGATAATGTTAAGATTGGAAGGTACCTTTGGACCCATTTGGATTTATTTTATTTTAGAGACAGAGTCTGTCACCCAGGCTGGAGTGCAGTGGCCTGAGCATGGCTCACTGCAGCCTCGAACTCTTGGGTTCAAGAGATCATCCTTCCACCTCGGCCTCCCCAGTAGCTGGGACGACAGGCACATGCCACCAGGCCTGCTAATTTTTTAATTTCTTTTTGGAGTGGCAGGGTCTCACAATATTCTCCAGGCTGTTCTTGAACTCCTGGCCTCAAGCAATCCTCCCATCTCTGCCTCCCAAAGTGCTGAGATTATAGGCGTAAGCCAGCCACTGTGTCCAGCCTTGATTGATTTTAAAACAGTATTTCTAGGGAATGCTGTTGAGCCCATGGTGCTCTGTGGCTATTTGAGGATATTGCAGGGAGCAACTCAAGAAATAAACCTGACTGGGTGGGATCTAGAAACTCCATCCCTGTTTGAATCAGAAAAATAGGGCTTTTCTCTGCTTTATACATTGAGTTTCCATGTAAGATTTTATTCAGAGCAAAAAGGAGGGATTATAATGCTTGAAAAACAATCAAGTGGTATCATATGGGTGAGGAAAGGGGCCCAGAGGAGTGAGGTCTCAGTGTCCAGGTGTCTAGGTTACAAACTATGTTAGGGCAGAGTCATGCTGACTCAATGCTGTTACAACTCAAACTATCTCCATACAAATCAGTTATACTTAAATTTTGTAATTAAAAAGAAAATTTAATGCTAAAATTTTAAGATACACATGTTAGGTATACAATTCAGTGGTTTTTAGAATATTCACAATGATGTACACTTTCTGCTTCCTCTATGGACATTTTATGTAACTGGAATCATGTAATACGTGATCTTTTGTGAATGACCTTTTTCACTTTGCGTAATGATATCAAGATTCATCCCGATTGTAGCATGTTAATCAGTACTTCATTCCCTTTTATTGTCAAAGGATACTTCTTTGCATAGATACGGATAACACATTTTATTTATCCGTTCATCAGTTTATGGACATTTGGAAGTTTCTACTTTTTGGCTATTATGAAAAATGGTGCTATGAATGTTCACATGCAAGTTTTTGTATAGATATTTATTGTTACTTCTCTTGAGTATGTACCCAGGAGTAGAAGTGCTGGGTTATGTGGTACACCTATGTTACCATAGTAACTTTTTGAGAAACTGCCAAACTGTTGTTCAAACAGGCTGCACCATTTTACATTTCCACCAGGAATATATGAGAGTTCCCATATCTCCACATCATTGTCAACACTTGTTGCTATCTGCCTTTTTTATTGTAACCATCTAGCAGATGTGAAGTAGTATTTCATTGTGGCTTCGATTTGTCTTTCCCTGATGGCTAATGATGTTGAATATTTTTTTCATGTGTTTAGTGGTCATTTTAAAATCTTCTTGGGAGACATATCTATTCAGATCTTTTGTCTATTTTTAATTGGGTTATTTTATTGAGTCATAAAAGTTCTATATATAGTCTTCTTACAAGTTTTTATTATATATTTATAATTTACAAATGTTTTATTGCATTCTGTGGGTTGTCTATTCATTTTCTTAATGGTATTATTTGCAGCACTAGTTTTCATTTTGATAGAGCCCATTTTATCTTTTTTTTTTTATCACTTGTGCTTTTGATACTGTAAGAAGATCTTAGCTAACCCAGGATCATGAAGATGTATTCCTGTGTGTTCTTCTAAGAGCCTCATAGTTTGTCTATGACTCATTTTGAGTTAACTTTTTTGTGTGTATCATATGAAGTTAGGGGTTCAACTTTATTCTTTTGCATATGGATATCCATTTGTCTCAGCACCATATGTTGGAAAAAAAAAAAACTTTTCCCTTTGAATTATCTGTCAAAAAAACAACAAATTTATTTCTAGACTCTCAATTCTATTCCATTAGTCTATATGTCTGTCCTAATGTCAGCACCACACTGTTTTGATTACTGTTGCTTTATAGTAAATTTTGAAATCGGTAAGTGTGAATAATCCAAATATATTCTTTCTTGAGATTGTTTTGGCACCTTGGGTTCCTTATAATTTCTTTATGAAATTTAAATCAGCTTTTCTATTTCTGCAAACAAAAAGCAGTCATGATTTTGATATGTATTACATTAAATCTGCAAATCACTTTGGTGGGCACTGTCATCTTAACAGTATTAAACCTTTCAATCGGTGAACATATGTGGTATATTTCCATATGCTTAGGCCTTTAATGTCTTTCAACAATGTTTTAGTTTTGCATTTGTTTTCTTAAACTTAGTTCTAAGTATCTTATTCTTCTTGATGCTATTGGAAATTCAATTTTTTAAATTTCATTTTCAGATTGTCAAATACATTCAGTATTTATGTATTTATATTGATCTTGTATTCTGAAATCTTGCTAAAACTCATCTATTCTAATAGTTTTTAGTGGATTATTTTAGATGTCATCAACAAAGAGAGATTTTTAATTCTTCCTTTACAATCTGAGTCTTTTCCTTTTTTTCCTTCCATAACTGTCTTGAGTAGAATCTTCAGTGCAATGGTGAATAGAAGTTGCAAGAGTGGAGTTATATTAAATGGATATGTTCACTGATTTAAGAAGGATACAGCTGTACCTTTCTGGTTGTATTTACATATTTTATAGATATCATCTATATTATATGTATAACATAGGTAAATAGATGTATATTTTTAACACACAAGTTATGATGATATAGAGGAATAAATACCAGAAGGCTGAGAAACATCATAAGAGAATCATATTAGACTTTAATATTTTCCAGTAGTTTGCAACTCAGCAACATAATCTTTGAGTTTCTCCCTACTTCATCACTTTTCATAGAAAGCCCACTCACCTTTGCAGACCTCTCCTGAGAGTGAAGGAGATTCTGATGACAAACGATGTAAGACGGGAGCCTCCATTAGGACATATAACAAAAGCCCCTGATTTCAACAAAAAGTGGTCATTCAGTAAACATGCGCTGGTCATCTTCACCATCTAAGCTCGGCGGAAGATGCCACATGAATGTTGTCATGAGCAGAGGAAGAACTCACCTGCTGAACTTTTTGAACATTAGGCTTGTTTGAGTGACACCGTGGTAAAATGGAAAGAAAACCAAGCCAGGAGCCAGAAAAATGTAGTCCATAATCTTGATTTCTTTTGTGACTTTCACACCAGGTCACTTACATGTTCTCACTGTAGCATAAAAATTGGTGTGTTTGCCATCCAACCGTCAGATGATTGTTATGAAAATAAAAAATGATAACATTTAGGAAACCACTGATGTTTCTGCAGCTCCAAGGTATGAGAGTCAGTTTGATGGAATTATCTGTAAAACTGATAGAATCCCATTATATTTTCTCCAATGTTTTGTTTTATTTGTCAGGGCATCTGGTGACTAACAGAGGGTTCCCCATAGCCATTTTATCTTAATTATCAATAGAGCCATTTTAATATTTCAGAAATAAAGATAAGTGAGGTTATTTTAGTGGATAAAATATAATTAAAAGGACATTTTCACAGTCAGATTTACTGTTCATTTTTGGAGTAGTAATCTAGTAACTTTTCTGCTAGTAAGCCTTTACTTGGTACTGGACTGTTACTCAGTTTTCATCATGCGTAGCGCTTTTTGTCTTTCCTGCCCTCCTCTTCTACCATGCAATTGTTTTCTATTCTTCTATAAATGACTCTCCAGGGTGTCTGTTATTTTACATAACACTATTTCCTGGGTTTGGCGCCACTTCCTAACGTGGACGATGAGGCTGTCAACAAGAGACTATAGAACTTACTTTGTTTCTTATATTAAGGAGTTGGGCTAGATGACTGTCTCTGAGTTTGTTTCTATCTGTACAAGTCTGCTATTCTATGCTACGTAAGTGATTTTGTTTTAAAGAGGAGTTACTAGCTTTATGAAACAGCTTAAAAGCAAACTAACAGACTAGTGAAACACAAGATTGCCCCATTGCTAGTCACAAGGGTCCAGATTGGAAGCATCCCTAGTACTTAGTCTGGTGCCTAACACATACTAGGTATTCAATAAATAATTGTTACATGAATAGATAAAATGAATTAGACTAGCTCAGTATATGTGGATTAGCTGCTCTCTACACTTGTTCAACCATAAACATTTGTTAGGTATTGCTGTTTAGTTTTAGGGGAAAGCATTTCTGAGACATGGCAACACTGAGGTTGATGTATGATACATCATTTTAGCATGCCATGATCTGCTAGATAACTCCTCTGAGAGGAGGCCTTAAGAAAGAACATGTAGTGAGAAGTGTTCCCTAAAAGAGTTTTCATCTATCCTTGAGAGATTATTGTAGTCCTACTGGGGCAAAATATACCATGGTTAAAAGGGTTGGTTTGGAATTAATATGCATCATCATTGAGTTCATGATTAAAATTACATTCCATGGCCAACCTAGATTTCCTAATAAAAAAATTCTGTGTCCCTGGAGTTGAGCTTCTGTTCTATTTTTTATAGTTCTTGTCTAATGCAAGGCATTTTATACAGTTATATAAATTTTCCATCTTGCTCTCAGTGGCTGAATACAAGCTGTATAAATTATTTCAATCCCAAATCACTTGTAAAGGCAATCTCCACTATTCCTCCCTCTGATAGCCCCACTATTTTGATCTCTGGTAAGGATTTTTTTAATCTTAGGTAAGGATTTCTTCTTTTTAATCCTCAGAAGGCCCATGTTTTCTGTGGCTCTTTTCCCCATTTAAAATTGACTTTGTGATTGTGTTTCAATTTCACATTCAGAGTTTCTTGTTTTGACTGATAAATGTTTGCAAGAAATGTTATCTCCCCTTATGCTTTTTTCCATCTTTTTTCTTTTTTTCTTCCGGAAGGAGCTTTGCATGGGTAGCAAAGCTCTCCTGGTGACACTGGAAATAAATCTTAATGTCTTTGCCCTGTGATAGGCCTAGACCTTATCATTCTTCCTTTTACCCCAGTGATAATTGCTTATCAGTACATACAGGCCTATTCATATGATTCTGATGCTACTGGGGTTTACATCTTTAGGAAGATAGACAGAAAGTGCAGTGCTCTGAATCCATTAATGGCTTTAATAGAAACCAGACAAAGAAGGAATACTGGGCCAGGTTGACTATCTCAAAATGATAAGGCCATCTATGCATTTTTGGATGCTTTCTTATGAAGCTGTTTCTCCTCTGCTCTGTCTTGGTGGCCCTATAAAGGAAAGATTTGAAAAATGCAGTTCTGTCAAAGCTGCAATCAAAATAAAAGATTATATATTAAAAATAAATTCATTGCCATTTTTACTTCCCTCATCGGCTGAAATGAATCTCAGACTGAAATCACCACCAACACAACACACTCAAGCAAGCCTACAGCCCCACAAGACTTTGGGACCAGCCATATTCTTTAAACTTAAAAAGAAAAGATTGAACTTCTCACTTAAAAAATAAGTATATCAATTTGGAACACCGAATACCAAGTGTCTTAGGATATGTGGAGAATTAGATAGAAACTGTGGGGAAGAAAAGTAGAGGGAAAAAGACTGGCAAGAGAAGGGGAAAGGGAAAGAATAAAATGAGGCCCTGAGAAAAGTTTTTTAATCCTGTCTCATTTGTTCTGAAATCATCTCAGAGAAGTTGGGAATCACATATGATATCCTCACCAGAGCAGTTAAGAAACATGATAACCAAATTGGCTAAGGTTAAAACAGCTACACATGGTCTTAACTTCTAAAGTGTCCATGGTGGGCACATAACACTATGGAAAATGCCTGACATGATTATTTGGCTGAGGACCACTGGATTGGTATGACCTCAGCCAGTCACATCGTGCAGGAAGTAGAAAGTTTATCCAGTTGAGAGTCATGTGTTACTGGGAAAGCTAGTTAATTATTTCCCTTTTTCCAAGGGAAGGAAACAACTGTATCCTGCCACTTTCAGATGTACTGCCTAATTATGGGTATCAGGGACATTTCCCCTCTTCTTGCGTAACAAAGGCAGCCTCGCTGCATATGTCTAAGAAAAAGCCTCCCATGTTCATTACTGTTCATTATTACTGGGCTGGTTGATGGTTTTAAAAATCATATCGATAAAAACACAAACCCATTTCTGGAAGGAACTCCTCTTATATACATACCTGCTACCAAAACAGAGATCCCTGCCGCATTCTCCAACATTTCTATCTCTACCCATACCTCCATTTCAAACCATCACCCTATTTTGGTGTCTCTTTCTCATTCTGCTACATCAGCTCTCTTACCTGTCTTCAAAACCCAGCCCAATTTTGCTTTCTCTTGAACTCCATTAATTTGTTCAGGTGCCTTTGTTGAGTATCCACTATAAGCCAGAGAATGTTTCAAACTCTGGGGAAAAAAAACTACTTATCACACTATTTATCAACTATTAGTTGATATGTCATCAACTAATATATCACACTCCTTACCATCAACGCAGTTAATTGATAAATACACTAAATGACTCATAAGTGTCAGAACCTATGTGACAAACTGGCTTACATTTATCAAGAAGGTACGTCTTCTAGTAATTGATTATTTTGAAACTAAGATCAATGCAATTCAATTAACTTTTATTGAGCATATACTATTTGTACAATACTGTGCTTTAAGCTGTGAGAGAAAAAAATGAATCGGATAAAAATCTCTACCTTTTAATGAACTAACAGGCTACTGTCTATTTAAATATACATTAAATTTAAATAATATAATTTATCTTGCCTGGTATTTTAAAGTATATAAGAAAAACAAAGATCAAAAACTTATCATGGGAAATGATTAATTGTTATTATATAGGATTAGGTCGATACTTCATTTTTAATACAAACCACTGTATCAAGAAAAGCTAGATTAATAAGGGGCCAATTCAAGATGTTCCAAGACAGATATCGTACAAATTATAATTCTCATACTGAAGGCTAGTTTGATTATTTCATTGTTCTTAAAAAGAAAGCATGTCACCTTTGGGTTAAATTATGTATTAAGTGGGTTCAAATTCACTCTTTTTTCAAATGGCTAGTTAAAAAAATATTCAACCAGCAATGTTTGCATTTCCTTAGTGTTGGTACATAGTGGTGTTCAAATAAGACAAACTCGGTCCCAACCAAGATGACTAGTTTTCATATGCAATAAATCCTCACTTAATGTTGTTAGGTTCCTGGAAACTGCAACTTAGGACATATAACAAAACCAATTTTACCACAGACCAATTGGTATAATCAAGGATTAAGTTCCTCTGGCATATTTCTAGTTACAAAAACATCATCAACTGGGAGGCCAAGGCGGGCGGATCACAAGGTCAGGAGATCGAGACCATCCTGGCTAACATGGTGAAACCCCGTTTCTACTAAAAATACGAAAAATTAGCCGGGTGTGGTGGCAGGCGCCTGTAGTCCCAGCTACTCAGGAGGCTGAGGCAGGAGAAGAATGGCATGAACTCGGGAGGCGGAGCTTGCAGTGAGCCGAGATTGTGCCACTGTACTCCAGCCTGGGCAACACAGCGAGACTCCATCTCAAAAATCATTGAACTTCTAAATAAAGACCCAAAACACCTCTAATAGTAAACACTGAAATAAATGTGAACTCTCTAACTCTCTCTCTCTCTATATCTATCTATCTATCTATCTATCTATCTATCTATCTATCTATATATCTATATATCTATATGGTTAACAAAAACTAATAAAAATGAGTGAGATAATTACCCAATTTTTTGTGAATCAGTGAGTGACAGCAGTTGTTGTAGTGAATTAAATCAAGGAATAAATGTTTGCAAAGCAGAAATTTTAAGGAGCTCTCCCTACCACCATGCAGTCCAAAAGCAAATAATCACAAATATGGCAGGATCACTAATGCTTTCTTACCACATCATTTATTGTCATGCATTTGTGTGATTATCATATATACTTTACAAATTTTAATTTTATAATAATTCATATTCATTAACTTATTCATTTTTCAATCCACTTTTTCCATTTGGGGGTCACAGGTGGCCAGAGCCCATTCCAGCAGCTTCACACTCAAGAGAGCAACTATCCATGGACAGGATGCCATCCCATTGTAGGGCACACTCACACATACACTGACACGCACTCACACTGGGATTAGAACACACCACACGATTGAAACACACCAACGCAGCTAACATGCACATCTATGGTGTTTCGAAGGAAACCAGAGTAGCCTGAGAAAACCCACTGACGGGGAGAATGTGCCATCTCCACACAGACAGTGGCCCTAGCTAGGAATCGATTTTTTTTCTCATCAATGTTATGATGAAATGATGTTGACTGAAATGGCGTTATTCAAGGACTTGTACTTAAATATCTCCATATACATTGGCTTTGTTTAAGGGTCTCTGTCAAACAGACTAAGTAGCAACATCACACAAATTCTTACAGAGGGCAACAATCAACAAGAATGCAAAATTATGTGGCACAGCATGATTTGAACTATTTTAAAAATATATAAGAATATAAACAGATTGGGAATCTGGACAAATGGAAAACAGTTATAGAAATGAGAATTTTTTTGAATAAGTTCCTTTAATATGACTATAGTGGTTTTCAACAATAGAAAAATAAATAAATTGGCACTATTAGAAAGTCTGCTTCTTTCTCAGTTGTGGTACTTTCTAATTTAGAACCACTTGCTGATAGATGAATTTTACAGGCTTGGGTTTGTCATATGAAACAAATTGAAATACGAGAGGGAACAAAAAAAAAATGGAGGGAAGGGAAGAGAGAATTTAATTTGTTGGGCACTGACGGTAAGTTCATGGTGGACAATAAAATATTAGTGTATAAATCTGCCTACACTGTCTGCTCCCAGGACCCATTTATCTATGTTCATTGGTCATGTTGCTGGTGCTCACACTGTAATATTCAATCTGATTGATCGGTCTAGGTTTAGCCTATCTGAGTGCTGTGACTTGTGAAATAGTAAGTGCTCCTTCCCAAAATGTATGAAAGTTTTGCCATAGGGCAGCTTTTATGAACTTGATTGTCAAATTTTGCTATAAATTTTAATTTTCAACTGTGTGGTGTGGCAAGTTTTTCTCATATCTCAGAGTAACTTTCAATGTATCAATTATCAAAATTTTGATAAATACTTGTCATTGCTTGGAGTAGATCTTCTTAGAGCATCACAGAAGTTGTAAACATCCTTTTGTGCATCATCCTTTTTTTCCTGACTAGATTGTAAGCCTCTTGTAAACAATGATTTCATTCCTAGTTTCCTTCAGACTTGAAACTAACAATAATTCAGCTGTACTTGTGCTTTTTTTTTCCTTTCTGCCCCCTGCTTTCTCTTCTCTGCTTTAAATAAATTTCTTTTCCGAATGGTCCTATCTTTTCCCCGGAACAATGCCTCTGAAAGACTTGCAACAATATAGGAAAAGCACTGGACTTGGGCAAATAAATCTTGATTTGTAGTTATGTCTGCCATTAAGTAGCACTGAATGTAACACAGGCGCAGAAGATTGGGAGCATATTTTGCACACTTTCTGGGCCTTAGTTTTCTTATCTGGGAGTTGAAAGGCATAAACCAGTTGAGCTCCAAGGTTCTTCTTGATCATGGGCTTATTGTATAACTTGTGATAGTCCCTAACATCTCCTGACTTAGAAATTCTACAAGTCGATGATTCTGTTACATCAGTTGCTATTCAGGAATGCTCTGTGGATCCCTGGAGGTTGTGTGAAAGTGCCCTGAGGGCTTCTGTGGCATGTGGAAGAGGGGCAAGGGAAGCCAAGCTGGCTGCTTCAATCAGAACAGCTCACTTTGATCTATTTTACATATTGGTCTTTCTGAATAAGATTTCATTTGAAGAAAGGATTCTATAGTTAAAAAAAAATTTGTTTGGAAACTTCTGTACTAGATTAAGAAAATTCCTTTAAAAATGTGTGAAAACACATTGATGGTGATTATAGATCCCAAACAGATGATGTCTAGAAATAAGAAGGATTGATTTGTTAAGTAGTAATCAATTAGTCGAAAATATTTTGTAAAAGTAATTTGGAATTGTCTTGACAGAAATAACAGTTTTAGACATTGTTTGAATAAGAATTGAGCTGGCATGTCAGGATAAGGAGACTAGGCAGGTGGGAATATGTTTTGTATTAATTTTAGGTACTTCACAGTACAGTGGCTCCCAACTTGAGAGTCTGGATAAAGTTTCTATCAGGCTAGAGTGAAGAATAATTATGAGAATATATGGCAGTTTTTTTATGTGTACTTTCTTGGCAAATAAAAAACTATTGTCAACTTTCGGGTAGTGCCCCCACTTTTAAAAACTATGAAATCCAAAAACGTCAGAACTATTGCTCTATAGAGCTTATCACTGTGTCAGACATTCAGATACTGCTCAATAAATGTTTGTCTGATTGAATATGGTGTCAGGAATGCAGAGATTGTATTCTAGTAAATTAAGTTGGTCATTTGACAAGCATGGAACCATGTAAAAGTCTGGTGCCTAAAGAAATAATTTTCCACAGTATCTTTATTAAAGAATTTAATCCAACTCCATTGACTCAGGCTTTTGAAATTTATAGTGAAGGAGCCAGAAGGAAAATAATCCCCAACCTTCCTTTTCTTTTTCTCCCTCCTTTTTTTCTCCTCCTTCTTTTCGGCTTGTTAATACCACTCTGTGGCTCTGTGATGTGTGGAATCTGTTTCTGAAGTCTTCCCAGTAAAGCTAGCATCCTTTATAATGTTCTTTCAGTGGGAAAACTTATTTCAAGTTACCAAAAAGCTTACAAGTTGATTTTGGAGCTGTGCCATATGGCAATTTGAGCACTGCTGCCACCTCTCATAATTTAATACAATACCCTCCATAGAGCTTCTTCGGTGAATGTGAGGTATTCAGGTTGCTTCACTCGTGTCTAGTCTTTTCACTGAGTTTATCCTGTTAAGTATCTAAAATCAATGTCACATCATTGTTGCATATCTGAGAAAGAGGTTTTAGAAAACAATCCAATCCCCTCAAAAGCTTATTTCAAGTACCGTAACAACAATTATTTGACATCATGTATAGTGGAGCTAATATTGAGTCACAGGAGAATTTGTTATTTAAAATCCATTTTATTGCCTTTTATTAGGTTGGTGCAAAAGTGATTGTGGTTTTTGCCATTACTTTTAATGGCATACATGTGCCATTAATACATGTACGATTTTTATTACCTCTATGTTAAATAATATATATTTAGGAGTTCCCAAGTCCTAGAAGTCAGCATCTACCTCTCTCCTAATCTATAGAAGTCCTTTGCACAGTCAGTCTTTCATTGGACTTAGAGAAGTCAGTGTACATGATAATGGATATCACTAATATTTCAAAAGAAGACTTCTGGAAGGGCACTCCAGAAACCTGGTGGCAGTCTCTTCCAGGGAGGCAGCAGAGGAAAGAAGTGACCCACTATAAACATACTGTGTCAAGGATGAAAAGCCCAATGAGTATCCTTTATATATAAGGTCTATCACACTCCCTACATAAGCATACATGCAAATGCACGTGCATCACACAGACTCTCTCTCTCTCTCTCTCTCTCTCTCTCTCTCTCTGAAGATTAGGCACTGTGATTAAGTCGTAGAGGTTTATGAAGTCAAATCTGCAGTTCGTCGGCCAGCTGGCAAGTTACACCTGCACACAAAACATCATATCTTTCTCTTTTCCACCTGAGTCTCTTACCCAGGCATTCCTCCATTATAATTTTTGTGGTTGATGCTTTCTGATTATGGCCTTCCTAAACCCTCTTGGCTTCTCTGTCTTGGCTTTTCAGAGAGTATGTTGTTGTTGTTGGCAGTGTTGGGTTTTTTTTTGCTTTTTCATTTTTAGTTATGTGCACTAACCTGGAGTATGAGGTCCAGGACCCAATGTGCCTTTCTTCTTCCAGGTATTATTTTAGTTTAGGGTCTATAAATCTTTTGCCTCTTGATTCTTCACTCCTAGGTGCACATAAATTCTCTACTGTGCCAAGATTTTAACCAGATACCAAAAGTAAGAGACAACTCTGGGTCTGACCCTAATCTGCACCTTCTGTAGAACCCTAGGTACTTAAGGCTGAACTTAGAGTATTTTTAAAATTTGTATGGTGTAACAACAACCCACCTCATAATAATAGTTTACTCTTCTCTCTCATGCTGTGGCAGTTATGGATCTCAGCTGGGCAGTTCTTACTCGAATTCTGTTTTGTTTTGTTCTGTTTTTTTGAGACAGTCTCCCTCTATCACCCAGGATGGAATGCATGACCCAGTAATGGCATGATCTCAGCTCACTGCAACCTCCACTTCCCTGGTTTCAGCAATTCTCCTGCCTAAACCTCCCAAGTAGCTGGGATTATAGGTGCCTGCCACCACGCACAGCTACTTCTTTTTCATTTTTAGTAGAAACGGGGTTTCACAATGTTGGCCAGGCTGGTCTCGAATTCCTGGCCTCAGGTGATCTGCCTGCCTTGGCATCCCAAAGTGGTGGGATTACAGGCATGAGCCACCGTGCCAGGCCTCAAATTCTTATATATCTGACGTCAGATGGTGGCTGAGACTGGAATCATCTGAGGGCATCCTTGCTGGTTCCTGGGCTGGCATAACTGGAACAGCTGAGGGCTGGTCAGGCATATCCCCCTATGAAGCTTCTTCCCATGGCTAGTTTAGACTTCTCCACAGCATAATGGTCTTTGAGCAGTTGGCATTTTTACATGGCAGCTGGCTTCACCGAAAGTGAGCATTCCAAAAGAGTCAGGTGGAGGCTGAAAGGTTTCATATGACCTAGCCTCAGAGTCACACAGCACCACTTTCTCCATATTCTCCATTTCTCTACATTCTGTTGGTCAATGTAGACATAGGCTAGCTCAGATTCAAGTAGCAAGAGAAACAGACCTTACCTTTCAAGGGCCTGTGCATACAGAGAAGAAAGGAATTGATGGCCGTTATCTTGGAGACAAGCTACCTCAGTGGGTATCAAGCTCATTATATTAAACTAAAATATTATAATTTTCAAAATAGCAACTAATTCAGACTGGTGTCCACCTCCCCCCCTCCCACCCCAAAAAAAGGCTCATGTGAATCCCCTTCCTGAAACCCATTTAAAAGATGCACCAGTTAGGCCTACATTTTGAAACGGATAACACCTGCTCCACTGAACATGACTTGGGAAGGAATAATTTGCTTGGTGGCTGGAAAATAAGTGCATTAAATTAGCATTGAACTTGCTTTCGACCCATTTAGTCTTAAAGAGAACAAATCACTGGATTATCAGTAGTTCACAGACAAGGCAAAAAGATACATTTTTGCAAAGATCTCCATTGTGGGTAAACCCAAGATGGCTTAATTTCAGCCTGATACAGAGTGCAAACTCATAAAAGCAAATTGCCTGCCACATAGTAAGTACACAGTAAAAATTAGCTGCAAGTATTCAATTAAAGAGTAAAGAATTACAGTCTGAGCATAAAAGTACTTAGTAATTCATTAGAAAAAATATGTTATAGGCAGGAGTCTGAGGCCCAACAAGGGGCAGGGATCTGTCCAGGGTCACACAGCTTGTAGGAGCAGGGCCAGGTTTGAAGTTCATCTGGACTCAGATTTCTCACTTATGACGGGGGGAGGGGGGAGCACATCTCAAAGTGCTTAATAACCTGGGAATTTTACCGCAAAATGAATGGCATTATATTTCAGCTGAAGTTTTGCTGAATTCTACAAAGAACAGCTTGACCCTCAATTAATGAGCACGTGCACATCTTAAGTCTTTCACATCTGCCAGGTGGTACAAATGTAGGTAATTAGCCCAGACCTTGAGTGGCCTATGCATTTGACCCAGTTACCAATGTTGCAGAAAGTTGTACTGGGCTTTGATTAAATTCAGTATAAAGCCAGCAAGAGTCATTATATGTCAGAAGTAACTGATGGTATTGTAAGGAATCTTGCTGAATATGTGTATATGAATATTAAATTCCTCTTTTGGAGTTTAAAAATTCAATTTGACATAAGAGAATTTTTGAAACCTGTGTCAGCTAAAGCTGAAAATAATAGGTATGTCATGTGTGTATGTGAAAATACAAATTTTTAAAAGCATTTATTGGGCTCTTTAAGTGTTTTAATTTTTATTCTTTATTGATACATACTAATTCTACATATTTATGGAGATGTGATATTTTGCTACAAGCATACAATGTGTAATGATCAAATCAGGGTAATTGGGATATCCACTACCTCAAACATTTATCACTTCTTTGTGTGTGGAATGTTGCAAATCTTCTAGCTATTTTGAAATATACAATACATTACTGTTAGCTATAGTTGCCCTATTGTGCTATTGGACACTAGAATTTATTAATTCTATCTAACTGTATTACCCATTAACTAACCCCCCTTTTTTTAAATCTCCTCTTCCCACTACCTTTCCCTGTCACTAGTAACCACCATTCCATTTACTACCTCCATGAGATAATTTGCACATGAGAGATTTGTTTTTCTGTGCCTGGCTTATTTCACTTCATATGATATCCTCCAGTTCCATCTATGTTACTGCAAATGACAGGATTCCATTCTTCATGGCTGAATAGTATTCCAGTATGTATATGTACCACATTTTTTACCTATTTGTCCATTGATGGACATTTAGATTGAGTCTATATTTTGGCTATTATATGAATAGTGCTGCAATAAACATAGGAGTGCAGATATCTCTAAAACATTGATTTTCTTTCTTATATATACACAGCAGTGAGATTTTTGGATCATAAGATAGTTGTATTTTAGTTTTTTTGAAGAACCTTTATACTGTTTTCCATGGTAGCTACACTAATTTGCATTTCCACCAACAAAATACAAGTGCTCCCCTTTCTCAACATCCTTACCAGTATCTGTTATTTTCTGTCTTTTTGATAATAGCCATTTTAATGGGGATGAAATGATATCTCACTGTGGTTATGATTTGTATTTCCCAGATGAGTAATGATGGTGAGCATTTTTTTTCATTTACTGCAACCTTACTGAATTAATTTATCAGTTCTAACATTTTTATTGAAGTTTTTAAGTTTTTAAGTTTTTCTAAATGTAAGGTCATATCATTTGCAGACAAATACAGTTGACTTCTTTCCCATTTGGATGCCTTGTATCTCTTTCTGCTGTATAATTGCTTTTGCTAAAACTTTTAGTACTATGTTGAATATAAGTGGTGAAATTGGGCATCCTTGTCTTGTTCCAAACCTTTAAAGGCTTTCAATTTTGCCCCATTCAGTATGATGTTAGCTGTGTGTTTGTCCATACATGGTCTTTATTGTTTAGAGGTATATTACTTCTAAATTTATACTCAATTTGTTGAAAGTTTTTACCATGCAGTGATGTAAAATTTAGTCAAGTGCTTTTTGGCATTTATTGAGATCATCAAATAATCATATGGCTTTTGTCCTTGATTCTACTAATGTGATTAACCATCTTTACATCTCTGGAATAAATCCCACCTGATGATAGAGACTGCTCTTTTTAATGTGTTGTTCAATTTGGTTTGCTAATATTTTGTTTAGGATGTCTGCATCTGTGTTCATTAAGGATATTGGCATGTAGCGTTTTTTATTGTTCGTCTTTGTCTGGTTTGGGTAGCAGGGTAAAGCTGGCCTCATGGAATGAGTTTAGAAGTATTTCTTTTTAAATTTTTGTAACAGTTTGAGTAGAATTAGTATTAGGTCTTTAAATATTTGGTGGAATTCAGCAGTGATGCCATCAGGGCCTGGGATTTTTTATGATGGGAGGCTTTTTATTACCACCTCTATCTCATTATTCATTATTAGTCTGTTCAGATTTACTATTTCTTTATGGTTCAATCTTGGTAGGGTGCATGTGTTTAAGAATTTATCCATTTCTTCGAGGTTTTTCAATTTATTGGTGTATTGCTGCACACGATTCTCTAATGATTCTTTGTATTTCTGTGGTATCAGTTATAAGGTCTCCTTTTTTGTCTTTGTTTCATTACCAGGAGGTTCAGGAATCCTGGTTATTAGTGTTACTTAGAGAAAGTATTCTGCCAAGTGACTAATTTAGCCAAAAAGAATTCATTGAAGGCAAATTAAGAGCAGAGAGTTTATTGAGAGAGAGACAGTACACTCTGAAAAGATAAGACAAAGCAAGCTGCAAGCTGCTTAAGGGAATGGGCCAGCAGCACCCTGAGAGTTCTGCATTGGGATTTTGTGATGTCAGCCCTGCCTTAAGTCCCCTACTTCTTTCCCCACCACCTCCCTGCCTAGTCCCTGTCTCAGGCTTTTGTAGGACCATCAGTTACTATTAATTGGTGCACATGCGTGGGCCAATGTTGAATATGAATGGTTCCTGTGTTATCTCTTAGGAATTTCTTCATTGCCCTTTGCCCCTCCTTAGGCATGCATCGAACTACGTTCTGACAGGTTAAATGCAGAGTGAATGATTACAGGGCTTCTTAATGGGTGTTCCTTTCTGCCTAGGAACTTCCCCTCCTCATATCCAGCATGCTGGTTCCAGTGGTCCCTGGGGCGTGGGATTTCCCAGACCTCCCTTTTCTCAGGGGCTCCCCTCTCCTGCTCATGTCTACCTATCTGCCTACTCTAACAATTTTACTTATTTGGTTCTTTTCTCATTTTTCTTAGTCTAGTCAAATGTTTGTCAATTTGTTTAACTTTTTTTAAAAACGAAATTTTCCTTTTTTTTAGTTTCAATTTGATTTATTTCTGCTTTGATCTTTATTTCTTTCATTCTACTAATTTCGGGTTTGGTTTGTTCTCACTTTTCTAGTTCTTTGAGGTCCATTTTTGGGATGTTTATCTGAAGTCTTTTTACTTTTTTGATGTGGTCATTTATTGCTATAAATTTCCGTTTAGTACTACTTTTGCTGTATCCTATAGGTTTTAGTATGTTGTTTCCATTTTAATGTGTCTCAAGAAATTTTTAAGTTTCCTTCTTAATTTCTTTATTGACTCATTGGTCATTCAGGAGTATGTTGATTAATTTCCATATTTTTTGTACAGTTTCCAAAGTTCCTCGTTATTTTTAGTTTTATTCCACGGTGGTCAGAGAAGACACGTAATAAGATTTTGATTTTTTTTTTTAATTTGTTGAAACTTGGTTTTCAGCCTAACATATGGTCTATATTGCAAAATGTTCCAGGTGCTCACAAAAAGAATGCATATTCAGCAGCAGTTGGATAAAATGTTCTGTGTCGGTTTGATTCAATTGCTTTTATGTTTGCAGCCATTTACTAGGTACTAGGGGTAAATGTTAAAATGTAAGATTACCTTTCTTTCAGCAATTATAATTAAAGTAGTGAAGACTAGCACACAAATATTTAGACACTAATAAATTACCAATTATTAACCTATATTTAAAGAGGCAGGCATTCTAAAAAGAGGAAAATATATCCATTTAAGATTTGTTTTCGACAGGAAAGATTTCATAAGAAAGTTGTGGCTAGATATGAACTTTTTTGTGTATGTGACAGGGTCTCACTATGTTACCCAGGCTGGAAGGCTGGAGTGCAGTGGTATGATCATGAATCACTGTAGCCTCAACCTCCTGGGCTCAAGCAATCCTCCACCTCAGCCTCCCAATATGTTGGGATTACAGGCATGAGACACCATGCCCAGCCTGGGCTTTTATTGATAGATAGGATTTCAACACGTAGGAGAATTCATATGGATATTGTTCATGAGAAACCAACAATAATACTGAAATTATCCACAATCCAAGTTCAAAATATTACCTCAACAAAGAAAGAAAAGCTATTTCTTAACTTTGGATGCATGTGAAAAGGCAAAGAAAAAGAGGGGGGAAAATTACCAATTTAATATGACATAAAAGAACTCTAAATTCAACTGCAATTTGAATGCTAGCCTTACCAAACTCCAGAAAATTAGATAAATGTTAGCATCATCTGTGAAATTAGCATATTAGTCAATATTTTGCATTAACCATCGTCAAGTGATTAATGATTTTTATCCAGACAATGATTGATTTCTACAGTTGATTTCCCATCTAATGACAATATATTCTAGTTAATATAAGGAAAAAATAGCTCCCATAGTTCTCACAAGTTGCCTTTTCAGTGGTATTGGGATTGGTCTGCACATCAGTTTCATGTGTCTATGTATAGAAAGTCTGTCAGTATCCTTTTGTGTCTCCTATTAGTTTGGTAAGATCCATTTTATAAGTGACGCTTCACACAAGGCACCATTTACTTTTAGTTAATGTTCCCTCACCAAACTTTCATTTATTACAAAAATAAAGAGAAGGAAAAAAGAGAAAACCAACCAGAAATCCACCACCTTAACATAACTTCACTTTCCCTCATTGCTTCCTAATGTTTGTCTATATGCATGTATAATGTGTTTATAGTATTGATATAATTTTATTTTTTCACTTTATATTATTAAATTAGTTTTGCATTGATCACTCCCTCCTCTGTTCTCCCGCAGCATCCTAGTCTCGCCTTCATTATAACATTTACTGCATTACATAACTATTTTAATTTTTTTTGGCTTTTCCTTACCTATGATAATATTTCCATATAGAGATAGTTTTCTTTGCCTCTGCTCTAACAACTTGCATAAAATATGGCACATAGACTCAATAAATAATTGTTGAATAATTTTATGTAAGTGCATACATTACATTGAACCAACACATCATGATTTATGTAGTCATTGTATCTATGGCTACGTTTTACATGGTTTTCAATTATTTTGCATGTATCCACTGCCCTTCTTGGGATTAGTATCCAAATATTAGAAAACAAAAGGATTTAAGCACACATATATAAAGTCAAAATGTTTATATATGTCAGTGACAGGTTAGGGCAAAGGACTGGAGGGGTATTTTCAGTGAAAATTCATCAACCTGATGGTGAGTTATTTGGGGGCCACAGCCTGCAGTGTTGTCATTAACACCTTTGTCATTAACACCTGACAGAAGCAGAAAAGTTGGAGAAATGCGTCCGAATACCCAGAGTAGTAATTTCCCATAGTCAGGGTTTGGGTTTAGGTACAGATAGAAGTGAAAATGAGTGTACGATATTGGTGACAACTAGAGTCTTGTGGAAATTGAGAGACAGGTGAAAGCAAATTGGGATCAAATGCACATTTTTTAAAAAATGGAAGGCAGCTCAGCTGAAAAGTGACAGGTACTGAAACATATAATATTTTAATATGACTGCCTATTTCTCACAAAACAATGCAAACACCTACCAGGACTTCCTCTGACATAAAATAATGCATATTTCTCACTTTTGTCTTCTAAAATGTTCTATCCATAGGAGTCTTATGAGATGGGAGAAACAGCTAGTGGCAATGGCTGCCAAATGTAAAGTTATACGGTCCCTATGTTTGCATGATCAATGTTTTACTTGTGTTCCTATGTGTTTGAAGTTGCCCTTGACATGGTCAGCTCCTCTTTCTGTCTATATCCTTTTTGGGGGCAACCACCTCCAGTGTTCTAAAAATAAGGATGCCTTGACGCCTAGCATCTGCCGGGTCTTGAGAGAGCTATGCTAATTGTGGCTGCCCCTAAAGAGCCCTGGCGAACCTCTGAACTGTCTTTGTTTTGATTTATCATCTGAACACAGATTGCCAGGGCTTATGGAATAACCTTGAAAGGTCACCTATCCACTTGCTTGCACTGAGGTAAAAAGACCAAAGCCACAAGCAAATCATCCGGGAGAGAAAAATTACTCTCTAAGCTCTTCAGAGAAGGCTGTAGACACCCTCAATAACTCACCTCAGTATGGAAAAAAATCCTTTGTTGTTGTTGTTGTTGCCGTTCATTGTATTCAACCAGAGTCCTTATGTAGTAGTGTGAGTACCTGAATCTAAGTGCTTTGAGAAAGAAAAACAGAGCTTAGAATAATCATTAAGGTTTGTGTAATTTTTCCTTGATTTTCAATGCTGGCATTTTCAGAGTACCCTTCCCTTTTTTTGTTGGCTTTTCGGTATAGTATAAGGTCTGTGCTGGCCCTGTCCTGCCCAGCTGTATTTGGTAAGACTTAGGCTGAGAGAGGCTGCCTTCCCCGTGGAAAGTGGCTGTTTACACCAGAGATTCTGAACTCCCTGGTTTCTTCAGGAGAGCAAGTTCAGCTCTTTGCTTTTAGGCACGCTGGAGAAAATGGATGCCAGGTAGCAAATTAGTGTGGGATCCCTGTTTTCATGACACCTTTAATGACTTCTTTTTACAGGGAGCAAAGCCCTTGATGCCTGCTAGGCAGAGATGATGTAGTATATCAGAGTGGTTAACCACATAGACTTTGTGTCAGGCAGACCTGGGTTTTCATTCTGACTCTTCCACTTACATTGGTCAATGCACTCAACCACTGAATGCGATAACCTCCTCTACTGTGAAATAAGGGTATTTTTTCTCCCCACAGGAGTGTTAAAAAGACTCATTTTGATATAATACATAGTTTTTCTTTTTTTAATGCCTTTGTTCCAAATTTTTAAAATTGACTACTTCATATATTATATTCCATTGGCTGGAAGCTTCGATGGGTAAAGTTCACTACTGAAGTTAAAAATAAAAGGGGGGGGGGTATTGAGACCACTGAAGTGATGCTTTTTGCAGATACTGAAGCTCAGCAACATTTCTAAAATATATCCAATGTGCTGAGGAACATAAGCCATTGTGTCTATCCTCTATCTGTTTAAATAAGAGTGATGATAATATATACAGAAATCATGAACAGATATTTAATCAGTCAGAAACTAGTGGCAAAGCTACATTAGATGTGATACCTGCCTTCAGGGAATGCTCATTCTATTATGTTGAATCTTGTTGAAATGCTGTTTTTGTAGGTCAAAAATGGTAGAATATTGGCAATTTCATAAGACTCAGCCTAACAGTTGGACAATGTATGTGTAAAAAGATCAGTTAAAATGAAGTAAGCAGTGCTATTTGCTGAAGGAGAGTGATTTTAATACTAACAATTCATTCAAAGGAATGATTGCTTAGTATGCACTATAGCAATAGGGAATGATCTGTGCAGACTTGTGGCTTGATTGAGGTTCCTAGAGCTGGAACCACTTCTCATTCCTCCTCTCTTCTCTTCTCTTTTTCCTTCTTTTGAGCTTAGTCCAACTATTGTTAAGAACATAGAACAACAGTTTTAGGGGAAGAGCAAAAGGCTTGAAATCATAAAACCTGAGTTTAAATCCCAGTTCTACAACTTTCTTGCATGAACTTCATCATTAAGCTTTCCAGATTTCTGTTTCTTCATTTGGTCAAAATGAGAAAAATAACCAGTCTTGTTGGGGTGAGAACTAAATGGGTCAATGCGTTAAAGTGTGTAGCACGGTGTTTAACTCATAGTTATCTGTGTTCTTTTGTTCTGGACATAGGTCTTTGGTTCCAGCTGTGCATAATCATAATGCAGTTTCTATATATATGGTGATGATGCTGGCTTTCTGGATTGGCCTAATGTCTGCCTGAGCATTTCATCCCCTAGTGCCTGCCAGAACTTTCCACTCATGATATAGTTCTTTCTATAGTTCGATATTTTCTGTATTCCTGCACACATACACACACACACACACACACACACACACACACAGAGAGCATTCACTCTGTTATTCATTAAATAAGTACTTCTTGATCACAAACTATATGCTTTGAAGATGAAGCAATAGGTAGGATAAAATCCCCATCTGAATGTATCTTATATTTTGTTGGGAAACTAGGCAATCAAAAATGAACAAATCAGCATACAGTAAAATTCCAGGTAGTGACAGAGGCTTTGAATAATAATAAATCAGAAGACTAGCAGAGGATGATGAGCAGACCCTTGATGGGAATGCTGAACTTAGTGAAAGAACAAGCCATGCAAAGACCTGGGTTAGAGCTTTCCAGGGAGAAAGAAGGATTGCAAATTTCCCAAGGTGGAGAAGATTTGGACAAGTTTCAAAACTATCAACAAAGCTGGGCGAACTGACTGCTCTGATGGCTTTATGGGAAATAGAAGGCTCAGGTTGGTGAGCAGTGGTAGAGGAAGAAGACTGAGAGGCTATTGCAGTCATTCAAGCAAGAGATAATTATGATGTGAACTAGGGTGGTAGCAGTGGAAGTGATAAGAATAGTTTCATCTTTTTTTCTTTTTTAAGATGAAGTGATCAATCAAGTTGCTGATTAATTGGATGAGGGTGGTATGAGAAAGACAGGAATCAATGATAGCTGCTGACCTGCTCTGAGCAACTGGATGAACAGTGGTGCCAGTTACAGAGATAGGAAGAGTAGAGAAAGAACAGTCTGTGGGCGAGGTCAGATGAACAGTGATGCCAGTTATAAAGATAGGGAGAACAGAAACAAACAACCCCATCAAAAAGTGGGCAAAGGATATGAACAGACACTACTCAAAAGAAGACATTTATGCAGCCGACAGACATGAAAAAATGCTCATCACTGGCCATCAGACAAATACAAATCAAAACCACAGTGAGATACCATCTCACACCAGTTAGAATGACGATCATTAAAAAGTCAGGAAACAACAGGTGCTGGAGAGGATGTGGAGAAATAGGAACACTTTTACACTGTTGGTGGGACTGTAAGCTAGTTCAACCATTGTGGAAGACAGTGTGGTGATTCCTCAGGGATCTAGAACTAGAAATACCATTGGACCCAGCCATCCCATTACTGGGTGTATACCCAAAGGATTATAAATCATGCTGCTATAAAGACACATGCACACATATGTTTATTGTGGCACTATTCACAATAGCAAAGACTTGGAACCAACCCAAATGTCCATCAACGATAGACTGGATTGAGAAAATGTGGCACATATACACCATGGAATACTATGCAGCCATAAAAAATGAGTTCATGTCCTTTGTAGGGACATGGATGAAGCAGGAAACCATCATTCTCAGCAAACTATCACAAGGACAAAAAAACAAACACCACATGTTCTCGATCATAGGTGGGAATTAAACTATGAGAACACTTGGACACAGGAAGGGGAACATCACACACCAGGGCCTGTTGTGGGGTGGAGGGATGGAGGAGGGATAGCATTAGGAGATACACCTAATATAAATGACGAGTTAATGGATGCAGCACGCCAACATGGCACATTATGCATATGTAACAAACCTGCACATTGTGCACATGTACCCTAGAACTTAACGTATAAAAGGGAGAACAGGTTTGTGGGAAGGTCAATTTGGTTTGGGATTTTGTGTGTGTGTATATATATATTTAAAGAGTCATAAATGAATCTGGGTACTTGATTTATTTAAGTGGAATTTTAGGGCTCCACATGAGTTAATTGGATCCTTCCAAGGCCACAGTCTGAGAAACACAATAGCATTCACTTACAAGGCCAAGGAGTTACCTACATAGACAACCCCACTTCTCCCACAGTCAAAAATAGTTGACCATAGTGAGATGGAGTGAATGCTTTACTTTGGCATACGAAGCTAACGTCTTCAAACCAAATATCTTGTTTATTTAATCTAACAGTGATCTAGAGCTATTGTCTTAGCTGTTTGGGGGGTACAGTACTTACAAAGCTAGAATTGAAAGTCTAATCTATACTTAAAGCAACTAGCTTTTAAAGTCAGCCAGGCACAGTGACACATACCTATATTCTCAGCTACTCAAAAGGCTGAGCCTGGAGGGATCGTTTGAGCCCAGCCTAGGTAACATAGTGAGAACCTGTCTCAGGAAAGGAGGGAAGGGAGGAAAGAAGCAAGGAAGAGAGGAAGGAAAGACGGGAGGGAGGGAAATATCCTGACTACAGACATATTTAGCCACATTGCAAATGTTGACAAGGAAGACTCAAAACTAATAGCTACTTATTAAGAATATTTGCTATGGGAGAAATTTTATTCATTTTAGAAGACATCTACTTTCATCCTCATAAGTACCCCTTGAAGGTTGGTTTTTTAGCTTCATTTATTGAGTAGTTGACTGACATGTAGAAAAGTTAACAATTTTGCTGAAACTCACACACACACAAAAAAAAGTCGACCATAAGTGAGATGGAGTGAAAAAGTGGGAATTACTATTCCCCACCTTATCTCCATAGGAAATAGCCCAAGGAGCAGGTCTTGCTGACTGAGTTGAGGAACTGATGTGCAGGGAGCCAGCCCTCTTTTATGCTCTTCCTCTTCTTGGATAGTAGAACATCCCCAAAAAGATACCATGTACTTTCTCCTTTCTGTATAACCCACCCTTCTCCAGCTCGTTTGGCCAGTCTTAAGCATTATGTCACAAATGACCGTTACCATGTTGATTTTGGAATGTATACCTCTACATCTTTAGGAAACTAGTTTTACAGCCTTTAAGGAGAAAGTGCTCAAGGAGGGACGAGCACTTTCCCTGATACTCCAGCCATGATCTGTTTGCACCTACCTTCCCTCAAAGTCAGACCTGCAGTCCCTTTCTTTCCTGTGCATTCTCGTGCAAGAGCAGTGAGAGGCTGTCAGTTTTTCCTAACATAGACCCTTAGGAAATATTGTTGAATGAATAAATAGTACTAGGAAGTCCCACTCCTAAAGGCCCTACTCCTAAATGGTGCCCAAACTCTGCGTATATAACCGGAGAGTACTAAATTCACTACTGTAATGGCTGTGGACAGCTTACCTCCCGTTGCCCCACTTCCTGCTTCCACGGGTCACAGGTGCTAATTTCAAAAGTACTCAGTCCCTTTGCCCCTGTTATTTCTTAGTTTTGTTTTTCCTTTTCTTTTTTGTTTTTGTTTAAAGATGTCCTGAAGATTAACTGCTCTGTGTGTGTGTGTGTGTTGAGTTGGGGAATGTGGTCACTGGAAAATGTAACATGGGATAATGGACCATCTTCTGTCTCTTTTCTGTCTTCTCTGGCTGTTTTTTTTTTCTCCTGTTCCCCCTCCAGAAGCCAGCTCCACCCCAAGGTTTGTAAGTAAGAATTCAGCCTAAACCAATTTCCTCAGGGCCTAGTCATCTACCACCCAGAAGAAATACTTTCCCCAACAAGGCAGTTTACTTTCTAAAAGGAATTTCTGAGAATAACATTGCCTCTCCTTTGTTATAAATGTGATTGTGAGAGTTTTCCAGTGAGAAGTGTCTTGGGTTGGAGAGGAAATTGAAAATCCTCAGTTCCAGTCCATCAGAATGACAAAATAACAAGTTCCGTTTGATTTTACCATCAACCTCTCACCATTGCAATTTTCACCTCACTGGAGTCTGTCTGCACTTGATATCTTCATTCACCTTTCTTCTGCTCTGTTTGCTGGGATATTCAGGATGGCCTGGGAAGTGTTGGGGGGAATTTCAAGGGGATTTTGCTTGTTTAGGCTACCTTTTTCTCTCAGCCAGTAGAATCATAGTAATCATCATCATCATAGAAGTAATAATAATAAACCCTAATTGAAAACCATAAACATTTACCACCTACTGTATGCCTTATCTTGTACTACACTTTTTCTTGTGTTTTGCTAATTAATGTCAAAAAATCCCCCAAAAATTATCCTCAAATCACACAGATGAGAAAACAAAGATTCAGAAACTTGGTATTATTAATTTACTCAAAGATGCACAGTTAAACTGTTCAAGCTAGCCTTCAAGCCAAGGGCTCCTGAGTCCAAATGCAATGTCTTAACTGAATATGAAAACAAGAGGAGAAAATCGGGGATATCCTAACCTTTTATGTTGGATGTATACTGTAAATTTTATGTTTGATGCCTTGTTGTGGAGCTGTTTAATTTGAAATACTATTTTGATTGACTAAAATTATTACACTTTCACATCACAGCAGATTCAGAACCAAAAATAAGTGGAAGAAAAATACATGTTGTATATATATGATGCTCATGGTTGATGTGTTATGACACTCATGTTGTGAAGAGTGAGAAACTACTGGTAGACACACCTTCTTTCCTCATTCAGAAAAGAAGAATGTCATAACAATTCTGTTGTCTCATTTCCATGTATTTATATCACACCTAAACTGTTAAACTAAAATAATTCAGAGTCCAAAGAGAAACGTGTCTAATTATTTTTGTCAAAACAGAAGTGCTTACTTCAGTTCAACCTCTTCCCCTAAAACTCTATTGTTTACAGCATTTACTTTATAATTAAATACGCTATTTCCTTTTCCTGCCTAAAATATACTGTGATAATTACAATGTTGTGACCTTGGGCAAGTCATTTAAACTCAAAATTTTCCTCATTTATAAAATGGAGATAATACTAATGCCACCACATAGGGTGTTATAAAGATTTTTTTAGAAACAGATGATGAATATAAACTCATTATCACATGATCTCAGTAAAAGCCAATCTCCTTACCTTACTCTGCTTCTAGAATATAAAATTCTAAAGATCAAGAGCCAGCTATGACCCCTACTCCAGAGCTAGGAACACAAAATGAATTAAATATTATGCTGATTTTCTCAGTGATCTATAGTAGAAAGAATTCCATCTCCTTAGCCCATAAAAGAGCAATGCTCTTTCTATATTCCCTCAGACCACAATCCAGAGCCCAGAGCTCAGGCTTATGAATGACAGGAGGTGTGTTTTCCCTTCTAACTCAGAGCTTTGAAGGAAGTTTTGACATAGGTATTTACTTAACAAGACAGTGTTCAGAAGACCCAATTCCATTTGCTGATACCATTTCATCACTAGATTTCAACCAGTTGAGCTACACAGCTCACTGCTCACCTATTAAAACCTGGTTGAGTCTCACATATGAGATGCATTGGGAAGGTCCACATGCAGTCTTCCACTGCTAAGAAGATGAAGCCAATGGTTGTTGTAAGGCTCATAAACCTGTTACCCTCATAGATCAATTTCAGAGCAATTGTGCTTAAATGACTACAACCCAGGCAACCAAGAATAACTTCAAAACTACTCAAGCTAGCATTCCTCAATATTATGAAAGGGACCACAAATCTCTGGTAATCTTAAAATCTTGTTTTTCTGTTTGTTCTTCCCAGTCCACTGCCCCACACAGTATAAGCTGCCTTTCTCAACCCATGAAAACTCCACAGCCCTTGTTTTCTCTTTCTTCTTTTCGTCCTCTACTCTGCCCCTTTTCTGTCATTCTTCCACTGCACAGCCCTGGAACTGTGCAAGACCACGCCCATCTTGGAGGACAAGAAAAGGAAGACTCTGATGTAGACCTTGCCAGAAATTTCTGGTAGGAAAGCAGAGAAAAAACTCTGGGATAACTCAAAAATTAATAACTAATATCTTGGCATGTGACAGTCAAACTTAAGTATGTGAAACAAACCACGGTGGGAATTGCAAAAGGAATGATGAAATCTGGTCAGGGAAAGTACCAAATTGGAAGTTTGAAGTTTTATTCTCACCTTTTTCTGTGCCACCAGTTAGATGCATGAACTTTGAATGGTGATTTTACCTCTCTGATTCTTTATTTGCTTTCTTTTATTAATATGGAAATCAAGGCTTTTCATAGTAAGATACAATGACTGATGTAAGGTCACACAGTTAGTGGGATGCAGGATGACTCTAGGAAAGCATCATGTCTTTATATGCTTTTGCATCTCTGGTACCTACCAACAGGGTCCTGGTACATGGTAGGAATTCAATGACTTTTGGATGGATGATGACTTGTATCTGGGTTTTCTGAATCCAGGGTCAATGCCCTGTGTCCTACTTGGTGTCTCACTTCCTCACTGTGCCTCTTTTCCGTTAAGGTCCCACCTACTTCAAATGATTGAGAACTTCCAGTCTGTGTATTTATGATACGGAACACCAGTGTACACCAGTCTCATTGTCTTGATGGCAGTAACATCTCTACTATTAACTAATGCTTTTTATGTAAGCATATAAATTCATAGAGCTTCTAAGATGCATGCATTTCACATAACTTGATGTGGTAAAATTTGTAACCATTGCTCTGAAATTATTTCATTTTCTCTGAGACATAAAATGTATGTATACAATTATTAATAGTTAGATTAGGACGTATGAAAATGTTTCAAGGGTATTAGGAAATTATTTTTCCATATTATATGTTTTTATGTGTTCAGTTCATTGTGGGGAGAGGCAAGGTGACCGAGAAGTATAAGTAGGAAAGACAGAGTACGTATTGTGTGCTGCATGTACAATGGATTGATAACATGTATGTAGCACTTTACAGTTCGTAAGTGTATGTAAAGCACTTTACATACATTTTTCTCATTAACTCCCCTCAACCATTGTGTAGGGTTGATATTATTAACCACAGTTTACTAATAGGAAGCTGAGGCTAAGTAAGCATCATTGAAGTGACTTGTCATCCAAGATCACAAAGCTATAGCTAAGATTCATATCCAGGTTCTCTGCTCTCAGCACAAATCTTAAACCAGCATAGGGTAGTTCAGAGAAGAACCTCTTTAATCAGATTACTCAGTTTTAACATCACAGTTTTGCCACTTATTAGCTGTGTGAGCTAAATAAGGTAAGTTACTTAACCTTTATATGCCTCAGTTTCCCATTCACAAAAAGGGATGAGGATGTAACCTACCATATATGGTTATTAAGGGAATTGAGTTAATGCATGTGAAGTTCTTAGAACCTGATATGTAGGAAACACTTAATAAATATTAGTTGCTGTGTGTTTATCTGTATGCACATGCATGCATGTGTATGTGTTTATATGTATGTCTATATGTGTTGACACTGAACTGTTTCTCCCATTTTTGGAAATCTCACAGATTTACTTCTGAAGTATACTTCATTTCCTTTATACAAAAGAGCCCATTCCTAGTGTCCGGCTGATTTATAAATTATGTGTGGTGTATTTATGAGGCAATTGAGAGCATGCATCTGACCATCCATTTGGGGAAAGGGTCCCAATGTGTAGAAGAGGAACAGAGACAAACCTCTGACCTCTAATGTACTCTTCACTAAAATGCTCAGATAAAATCCCTATACTTCAGGAGCTGATTGCCATAGTAACCCTGCAGCCCACTAAATATAAGGCAGGCTGTAATTTAAAATTTCATGAGGGAAGGAAAAGTCAGTTTTCACAGAGACTCTGTAGATTAAACACAAGACAAGAGCGTGGTGTCTGCCCCATATATGAAGTATAGAATCAGACGGTGTGGCTTTTGAATTCTTTCCTGGTCAATTTTATTGATTAAACCTCAAACTAACCTGGTACATGTTGCTTGGATGTCTAAAATCAGCCTTTGAACAAAGTGAGAACACTGTATCCAAATAGTCAGGGAGTAGAAAACTTCAAACTACTATTGTATTTGCATTATAGCTTCTAAAAACCAAGGGACCAATCTCAGAAGGCTTTAGGGTCACATGTGCTAAACTCTGTCACTTTACTTGGAGGTGCCATGTTTTTCTTTCTGGACCTTCACTAATCTAGATGGACAATGAAGATCTGCTCTCTCAATAAGAGGGGAACAACAGCAGTCCTTAGGTCCTCCTGGGTGGGTTATAAGAGTTCCTGAACTGCTGGTATAGGAAATTTTTTTTCTTTTTTTTTTCTTTTTTTTTCTTTTTTTTCTTTTTTTTTTTTTTTTGCCATCCTCGTCATTTATCCTTTCATATCATCTCCATTCAAACAAAACCATACTTCAAAATAACCCTCATTCTGCCACTGGGAACAGTGTGAGGTTTGTAGAAATAATACGAACTTTAGTGTCAAAGAAAACTAGATCTATTTGAGCTCATGTTTCGCTTTTTATTATCTGTGTGATAAGGGGAAAGTTACCTAGCTGTTTTCTGCCTCGATTTTCTTATCTGTAAATGGAGATAATATTATCTTACAAGGTTGTTAAGAGGACTAGGTGAGATAAAACATGGGAAAGTGTTTGGCACATAATGGATGTGTAAATGTTAATTCAGAGAGAGAGAAACAGAGGCAGGAGTATTAACTGGCTTTTGGAAACAGTGGAACTTCTGGAAAAATACAGATGGATGTCTGACTTGTTAATAAAATTTTAATTTGACTGAGATCAATGAAAAGCCCCATGTGTTGAGTACAAATACATACTCATCAGCAATCCCAAGGAAAATCCATCAGGGTTATTTCCTTTCATTAAAGAGCAATATCAATATTGATCAACTCTCCTAACTGACCTGTGGTTTGCTTTCATACATTAAATTTCTGTTCTGCACATAGGGCACAAATCTTCAAATTGCCTTTAGTTCCTAATTCATTATGTCACATAAGAAACTAAACATAAACAGAGTCCTCACCAAGGAAAAAGTATCACTTAAGAAGCACTTCCCCTATTGCCTTATCCCCTCAAGCTGCCTGAGCTTCACTGATGACCTGTGCAAGGGCTAAGGGAATATCCTCACCCATCCCAGATAGGCCAACCTCTCACTTATGAAATCAAACCATGTGCATGACAAGGTCAAGAAGCAGTCCCCTCACTGAGGACCAGAAATGAACAGCATACCAACAAATGAAAAGAGAATATTAGGCTTGATGACCCAAGAAGGGCTGGAAAAATGCCAGGGCAAACATCTGCTTAATAAAGATGGTTTAAAGACATGCTAATCATCTTGTTAGCAGCGGTCAAAACATTGAAGATATTCCCTTTAAAGGCAATAGCAATATATTCTGCCTCCTGAACTTGGAAGCACTAAGTAAATAAATAAATGTGTAATACTTGATGGCCAGAAGCTTGGACAGTTTTCCTCCAATTGCTGTGCCTTACCATGTTTTTCTGGAAAGTTTTTCTGGAAAATCAGGGCCTCAGATTCAACCTGTAAAATGCATTATTAGTTTAAAATTTTCTTAGTAGTTTATTGCCAGGGAATTGAATGAATAAATGGCATAGAAAGGCACTTAGCATCCTGCACGTTTGAGTGCCTTATAGCTAAAGCTGTGTCTTTCTTGAACTGTGTTTAAGACTGGCTTCATTACTATACATTATTTTGCTTCTTCTGGCTAAGCAGGATCCTTCCTTTGCACCTTTCTTTCTCAGTATCAAGGCAAAATTCTTGCCTCGAAGTGAGGTATTAACTAAAGTACTCTGAACAGCTGGTGTTGGAAATAGTTACTATGCACCTTAAGTCCTGTCCCCTTCACATGTCAATACAGGATGGGACCGGAATCCAACCTCCATAATAGGTGAGAGATGGTGACTACCCACATGAGATATGATTCTTCCTCCTCCTCAGTTTTATGGACAGAAAATGAAACTGATTTTTCTCAGTTATCATTTACATTAAGGGTTTAGTTTGCTTAATTCAGAGCAAGAACTAATTATTTCCTGTGAAAGCCTTTTTCCTTTAATATGCAATAATAGTGGTTTTCCATTTCTAGTAATAAGAAGTCTTTCCTTTTATCATTGGCATTGATATCAAAGGATCCCAGTGGAATGCTCTTCCAAATTACAGTGACATTGCAGGGGTGAACTATAGGGGAAGTAAATATAGGATTCTACTTTATGTAAAGATTACATACTTTTCCATACCTCTATTTTCCTTTTTCATTCACGTAGATTACTAGCAGGAGGAGAATATTAAACAGTATAAAATATAATTTGCAAGATAATGTAAAAACTATTTTATTAAAATGTGTATATATATTTATGCACACAATTATTTAATTCCAGAGGCTACCCAGTTTGGTTCCTTTAGGTCATATATGAAAAATAAGAACTGACTGCCCCTGGATCACCAAGTGAAGCAGTGACCCAGGAGTATACCAACCCTAGGCCTTTCCTTTTAACTGAATTTTCTTCCCATACATGTTAAGCTTATAGAAAACCAAACAAAATAAAAGATAGAGATTAGTAACTGAGGACCAGTAAGATGGAAGTAAGGATGGCAAATCCTGGTACAAGAGCTGCCACTACCCCTGCATTGCTGATTGACCTGATCCTCCTTCCTTGTGAGCCCACACACTCAGCCTTAGATGTCATCTCAATTCAGTGGCTTCAGGTGGCCATTCCCACTGATGACTGTTCACAGCTCACAATGTAAAGCATACTTTCTATTTCTGGTTTAGCAATTAAGTATATGGGGTTTAGAAAGGGACTGACCAATGTTCAAATTCCAATTCTAACATTGACTTAACAGTATGACCTTAAATAAGTGGCTTAACTTCTCTGAGCCTTGAACTCTTTTATAAAACAGAGATAACTATTTTTCTCCCAGTATTGTTAGACAATATATGTAAAGTGCTTAGCACATAGTAAGTTCTCAATGATATCAATCCGATGGTCCAAAAGAATCAATAGCTTTTCTGTATTTTCCATTTTTCAACATTGCAACATTAGCTGTAGTAAAATGTGTGTGGGGAGAGTTTTACAGAGGTATCCAGTGGTGTCTTAGGCCTTGGTGCTGGATTCTATATTAAAGGCAAGTATAGATTGGTCTAGAAGAGACCTGTCTTAGTCTGTTCAGGTTGCTATGACAGAATACCATAGACTAGGTGGCTTGTAAACCACAGAAATTTATTTCTCACAGTTTTGCATAGTAGGAAGACCTTCATGAAGGCACCAATATATGTGGTATCTGCTAAAGGCCCACTTCCTGGTTCACAGACAGCATCTTCTCCCTGTGTCCTCACATGGTGGAAAGGGGTGAGGGAGGTTTCTGGGGTCCCTTTTATAAGGGCACTAATAAACCCATTCATTAGGACTTCACCCTCATGACCTAAACACTTCTCGAAGGTTCTATCTCCAAATGCCATCACCTTGGGGGTTAGGATTTAACATATAAATTTTGCAGTAATGCAAACATTCTCTCTATAGCAAGACCCCATTTAGACATAAATCTAGTTGTTATCTGTTTGATCCATTTTCAGCCACATGTTCAGTGTCCCTCCAGACATCTGTTGCATTGAATTGCAGTTTGGCTAAAGATGGCTCATTTAGAATCTAAAGAAGGCTTAAAAGTTCTTAGAATTCAGGATAGGATCAGCGCCAAAGCTGACTCTGGAGCTGAAGTGTTCTTACATTTCATCCCAGGAGCAAAGGCTGTAAAGGACAAAGAACCCACACAGTATAAGCAGGTCCGAGAGGCTTTTTTATTGGATGTCCTTTCCAGTGACATCATTCAGCAAGAGGCAGCTAAGAGCAGTCGAGCCACACACTCAGCTACACCAAAAATGATGTTTTCATTGAAGCCTGCTGGGGCTTGTTTGCAGAGCCAGAATCTGGGACAAACGGCTTGCAACATCTCTTAATGCCTAGCCTCACCACTTTGTTTAATATGAGATCTATTTCTTTCCTATTAAAAATCAAAATAGTTGCAGTCACTCTTTCACATGAATTGTTTCTTGTTTTCTCTTCCTTTTTTTTTTTCTTTCCCCTGGGAAGCATTTTGCCAACGTGAGGTTGTCAGACAGCATTGGGTAGTGACATATTCAGGCTCCCATGTGATGGGGGGAGAAAAGTTTAGAGATCACTTTAAATATTTCACTAACACAGTAGTAAAATATTTAACATGTGTATAGTGATGGTGCTGCTGTTTAGTATGCTCACACTCCTTTTTTATTTCTAATAAAACTTGTCTTCTGAGGATATGCAGTCAAGAGCTCTCCCTAGAATGTTATTTGTAATAGATGCTTCTGAATAGATTATTTTTATTTATACTTGTAGTCAGGGAGTCGTCGTAATCTGGAGAAGTGCAAAAGGTAATTTTCTTTTGAGGCAATAAGGGTAAGACTGCTCCCCCCAACCCGCCCCCGACACACACTCTTTAGTGCCCTTCGAGCTCTCTATCACCTGAAGTAATTAATTAGTCATCCAAAAAGGTGTGAATATTCCCAGCAGTTGAAGCCTTCCTGGTTGTCTGGGAGGTTTAATTCTCAGATACTTAGCATTAGGAGTAACCCTGAAATGTCTCCTCTTGTCTTTATCTCTGTGGTCTGTGATTGTGAATATCTTTTCTCTTTTGTGGTCTTCCACTCTTTGAAAATGGAAAAAAAAAAAGTAGGTAAAGCCCAAATTTTAGAATGTTGCCTAGAGTCTATTTCCATAATATTACGTAATTATTGAGAGATAGCATCTTACGAATGTTCAGTTGTTTGCTTCCACTTCTTTTTTTTTTCCATTTACCTAAAAAAAGTCCAGTGGAACAGAAGTCTTTGTTGCTGCCTTAGTGGAATCTTCTCACGGGCTTTCTCAGAGATTTATGTATTTAGAAACAAACTTAGATTTAAAAAAAAATACACAGAAAGTTCTGCAAAATACCACGAGAGTGGTCCAGTTCATTGTGTATTATCACACAAATTATTCTTTTCCAGTGAGGCTGACTCCCAGCCTGGCATCTACTCAACTGGAAAATATGAAGGATGTAACATTTATTTTGTGCTTTCTTAAAGCTTAATCACCTTCCTAAAACTTAATTTCTTAAATGAAAGTGAGATTTCTGAATAGTCCCTATTTAGAAATATTAGGCCGTATGGTATAGTGGGCAAAAGTAGAGATGATGGAACCAGACTTATTACTAGACTGCGACATTGGGCACATGTCTTAAGGACTCTGAAAATCAATTGCCTATCTATAAAACAATGACAATAGCAGTACCTCCTTTCTAGAGTTGTTGTGAGGAGTAAATGCTATGATACACAGAAAAAAACCTAGCATTATGCCTGGCATATAAAATTATAGCTATTTTTTAATTGTTAAGCAGTTTGCTTAATCCAGACCATTTGGTCTCAAAAAACTATAATATGGAGGGACACTTTCTCCCAGAAAGAACATTCACACTTTTAGAACACAGGAGTTCATCAGATATACCTGCATGCTTATTAAAACACAGATTTTGGGGGCCCCATACTTTGAGAACCCTAATCTAAGGCAACATTTATCGAGTTCTACACTAATAGCTTGTTAATTGCTGTCCTAAAATATATTAGTGGCCATAAAAGCAGAATCATGTGGTACTTAGTAAGTGGCAGACACTGCTCTAAGCACTTTACATATGTTAACTTGTTTAAGCCTGCAACAATTTTATGAAGTAGGTACTGTTAGTATCCCATTTTACAAAGGTAAAATTGAGGCAAACAGGTTAAGTAACTGCCCCATTTTAATTCATTCAGGTGGTAAGTGCTAGGACCAGCCTGATTCCAAACCCATGGGCTTAACCATTAGTCTGTGCCACCTTCCTGCCCTCAAAATGAGGCCTAATAGACACTTGTTTCCATATAATCACCAAGTTTGATTAAGAACTGCCTTTCTTTACTATGCAACTATCAAATGTGAAAATGTAACACAAAAGACAAATTAAATATATACTTTTTAAAATGGAAATCTTTTGAAGACAATAAAATTTGTGTCAGATTTCACCTATAATGAATTTAGGAAATTTTCAATGCACTTGCAGCCTTTCAGAACTTTCAGAAACAGTTTTATGAAATAAGACATAACAGTGTTTTGAACCAATAACAAGGTTTTTTAAAAGTACAATGTATTACATTTGGTTACACAAAATTTACGTCAAAATTATATACATTACATAAAACAGGGTCTTAATATATATGGAGCTATTGCATTCAAAGAAGTAGGGTCCAGGTACTTGTGTGTGCTGGATCCAACTTATATCAGCTTTGCAAGAATCAACTGTTGATTTTCCACAAATTTTATAAGCATGTTATCATATTGTGAGGTAGAAATTGATCATGATAGAAAATATTTACATCATGGAAATCTGCAAAAGGTAGAAAACAGGACTTCCTCAACCCCAGCCCCCCCATTTACCCCACCCTTTGGAAAGCCAGTTGTTAAGCATTTACCACTATTCCAAGTAGGTTTTCAATCCTAAACCAAATTCTACATAGTAGGGACTTTTAAAAAGAAAGATACTTTAAATAGTGCATTACTAAGACTGGCACATTAAATAGCACGTTAATCACAGTATTGAGTTCTTAACTTCAATCACTAAATTCTTGCCAGTAACCAAAAAATGTGGATTCGACACACAGAATTTATCTCTCATCCCTTTGCTATTAAAGATCTAAATATTTATTTCTACACAGTCCTTAAAGCTAAATACATCATGAGGAAAAAAATGCCTCTAGGTCCTCACTCTGATATTCCTAGGATGCAAATCAGAAGTCTAGATTTCTAATAACTCCTCTGGCAACAGAATGAACAATGTGGAGTATGTCTGGGGCAGGTTTGATAAGTTAGGATTGTGCTTCTAACCTGCCTGTCTTTGACCCTTACAGCAAGCATTTCCTGAAACCAAGTAGCGTTTCAAAATTTTCTAGAATTAAATAGGCTTGGAATTCCTCGAACAGGTTGAGATTATTCTTACACTTGCCCTGTCGACCCTTTCTTTCTCTAAGGTGATAAGCAAGAAACTTTTTTTTCTTTTCTCATCTTAGTGATGGCTGAAATATTGAATAAATTAAATGACTTTAAGGTATTTTAATTACCTGCTCCCTGTTTGTTAAGCCCAACTGTTTATGGTCAAAACGTCCATTCAGTAATCAGAAGGATTACTGACTGCTTTTGTCCTGGTAACACTTGAAGTTATAACAAGCCCTGAATAAAAGCATGCAATACCGGGTGGTAATGAACACAGTCATGGTGACTAGCATTGCATGGACTGTGTTGCAGGTTCTTCGAGGGAATCCCCATTATCCAAGGAGTACCTGCAGGCCTTTGGTGACTCAATAGGAAGGTGACTCTGCGCTGTGTTTTTCAGACATTGCTACCGTCCTTCAAAACTACACCAACACTGTGTAGCACTCAAAAGCCCCCTAAAAAGCTTTCTCTGAAGACCTGTTATGACCGCTGATAAGACAGTGCAGAAAAATAGATGGTGTTCAATTACAGATCTTTTCTGCAATCCCAGGAAGAGTAGAGAGGACCCATCATGGAGGATTGCAGCTTGAGGTAACATCTCTCCTGAACCCCTAACATGACAGCATGTAATCCTCATCCTCTCAGGGCCATAAAGTACAAAGCCACCTCTCTTGTCACAGTTCCCAACTGCGTGTTCACGCAGCAGTTGTGATGGCTATGACAAGTCATTTTTGATCAATAACAGCTTGATTGTGGAAGTTTGAGGAATGAAGCCTATTAACAAGCAGAATGAACCACTGACTCTCCATATAACACCACCATTTTTACTTACTCTTGAGTCCATTTGTACTCTTGAGTAGAAGAGAAAAGGGTGGAGTTAATCAATATATTTTATCTATCCCACAGACTCATAATCTGGGAATGTCACAGGAATGTGCCTTATATGTAAATGTCATTGGTCACACACAGAGCTGCCACTTTATCTGGCTTTTGATAAAACACTAATACAATAAAAACCCAAAAGATTGGTGAATGAACCATCATGTCCTTTGATTATTCTTAAAGTAACATTTTTTTCTCGCAATGGCAATACTAGAATCTTCAAGTGGTCTTCAAGGACGCCCAGGTACTCTTTCCACAGGAAAGATACTCAGAAGCTATATCTGAAAACCCAAAGGCTGGGCTAAGCTGGCAGTGACCATCCCCATCTCATCCAGTGACTCTCTTTCCTAGGAAACATACTGACCACGTTGGCTTCTTTTCCTTTCCTGTTGAAACATATCCTTCCTTAAATGTTTTAGAGCTTCAGTTTCACAGCTATTGCTGTTAAGTCAGAAAGAGAATTTGACCCATTCCTTCCTTTGAGGCGTGAATTCCTTAGAATAGAGTTTCTGTTCTACACTCTTCTATTGGAAGAGTGGTCCTTTCATCAGCTGAATGAGAATCACCTGAAATTGTTCATGAACAGTGAAGATTCATAGGTACCTCCCTGGACCTGATGAATCAGAACAAATATTCTTCCCTGTTATACTCTTCCAGGATGACTTCTTAGTATACTAAAACTGGAGAATCCACTGCTTTAAGCCAACAATGACATTTATTTAAAGTGTCTGTTTTAGTCAGAATTCCCCAGAGAAACAGAATCAATAAGATGTGGATGCACACAAACTTACACACAGATTTATGGTCATTGGATCATGCAATTATGAAGGCCAAGAAGTCCTACCATCTGCTCTCTGCAAGCCGGAAAACCAGGAAAGCCAGTGATACAACATAGACTGAGCCCAAAGGCCTGAGAACAAGGAGCTCCCATATCAGAGAATAGGAGAAGATGGATGTCTCAGCTCAAGAAGAGAGGGAGAGAAAATTTGCTTTTTTTCAGCCTTGTTGTCTCTGAGCCCTCACAGATTGAACAATGTTCACCCACACTGGTAACAGCAGATCTTTACTTGGCCTACTGATTCAAGTGTTAAAGTTTTGGTAACTATCCTGGCATCTCTTAGATGTTTAATTTTGTATGTCAGTTTGAATGTAACTATCAATGTCCTTTGTGGCAGTGGTGAGGAAATCAGGGAGTAGTCCATGTGGAAAAATTGAAGTGCATTCCAGGTGGAAAAATAACTTCTGACTCCTGTGGTAAGCCTCAATACCAGCCTGCCTGGAATACTCAGAAATTTCTACCTGCGTGGACAGAAAAGTTAAGCCCTTTAGTCTGTAAATTGGTCTTACAGTAAATAGACCTGGGATTGTTGTGATGGAGAGCCAAGTCCAGATCACAGGGTGTCCATCACTGTCAAGGTCAGCACTAGTCCAGACTCTGCACTGTGGATCTGTGACTTGTTCATGACGGACTGAGGTTGTTGGAGGATTTTTAGGAGGGCTTTTAGGAGGACAGAGAAACGAAGATTAGGATAAGAAGGGGAAACTCTCCCTTGTTAAATAAACTTGCAGAAAGTCTAGCTTTCTTATATCCCAGGTTTCCAAAATGTTGCTATTCTCCTCAGACAATTTTATCTAATTAACATCTATTTTTCACTCCTTTACGCAGTAATCAGCTTTCAGTTACCGGAACCCAGCTGCTGATGCAGAAAAGTACTGAAAAATCAGATTCATACAATAAATCCTTAGATGCCCTCACCGTTTCCTAAACCAAGACAGAGAAGTTTGATTCCTCAACTTCCTCCTCTTTCTTTTACCTAAGTACCTTTCATTCCTTTCTCTTTCGTTTTTTAATTCCTTTTTATAAGTCCTTTTGTGACTTTGGTTCCATTGCAGTACCCATTATTGAAGGCCTTAGGGAAAGGATCAAAGAAGAAAAATATAAACAAACATGAGCACTAACAGAAGTTTCAATCTTATAAGGATAGTAAAGGCTTTACATATACCAATATTTTCCATTTTGTTTTAAGGAATGAAACTAATATTGAAGAGCACTCTATCTAAATATAATATTCATGTGTCTGTCTGCTACAGAGAAATTTATCCTCCAGAGGAAAAATTTTGTCAGCACTTTACACATCCCGTGTTTCTTTTCTAAGAGATGCCATTGAAATCTGTCCCCAAAGGCCTTATAAACAAACCTGACTTATCCTTGATTAAAGGGCTAATGATTTTGATAATAACGATCACTTCTAAAAAGACTAAATTTCAGGCCGGGCGCCGTGGCTCATGTCTGTAATCCCAGCACTTTGGGAGGCTGAGGTGGGCAGATCACTTGAGGTCAAGAGTTTGAGACCAGCCTGGTCAACATGGTGAAACCCCTTCTCTACTAAACATACAAGAAAAAAAATTAGCCAGGCGTGGTGATGCACAGCTGTAATCCCAGCTACTTGGGTGGCTGAAGCAGAAGAATTGCTTGAACCAGCCAGGCGGAGGTTGCAGCAAGTCCAGATCATGGCCACCGCACTCCAGCCTGGGCGATGGAGCAGAACTCAATCTAAAAAATAATAAAATTTAAATTTCAAATCATTTTTCACATGCGGATGTGCAGTATGTTCATTTTATAATATGTTGGCCACCTTAAGACTTTGGGTGAGAGGGAAAGATGGGGAAGGGAAGAGGGCATAATAAGAAAAAAACAGAAGAAATAGAAGGAAAGATGGAAACAGTAAGGACAAGAAAAAGAAGTGAAAATAGAGGGAATAGGAGGGAAAAAAGATAGATTGTGACGTTTAGTATGTTTATTGTGAAAAATACAGGTACAGCATGTAGCTATAGAACTTGGGGTTTGACTTTGCTATTTTAAATAAAAAATAAAAAGAGGAGAACCACCATTTGCTAGGGGCTTTCTCTATGCTTGCTATTTTATGTACTTTCAACTCATTTAAGTATCAAAACAAATAGAAAGATGTAGATATTATCCTTGACATTGGGAAACTCATGCCTTATGAGTTTACATACTAGATTAACACAGTTATCACCATTTACAAAATCAGAAATTGCTCTCAGATATGGCTATTCAAAATGCCCTATTCTCTTTCCATGTTATTTATTTTCATGGTTATATCTCTGTTTCCATAGCATACCATTATATCTTTGATGTCTTGATGATGAATTGCTAGTTCCAAGTTTTTAATCATGAAGTCAGCTGCCAATTAGAACAATGTTGATAAGAAAATAACATAGTTCACTCTTATTAGTCCAAGTTCTCACAATGGAGATCAGAGCAAGGATTGAAAGTTGAAGGCAACATTACTTCCTTGGGTGTTAATAGACTTCATAAGCATCACTCTTTCTACAGCAAAAATGGAACACAAAAATCAATGTTTACTCAGGGTTAAAATGCAAACCCCTTACTGTAACAGTCTTCTAGCTGTAAACATGACAATGCCCCCCAAAAGGCAGGAAAATCTGCTCAATTCCAGCTCAAAACCTCTTACTTGATTTTAGACATGTTTTTCCTAAAACTAGATTAATCAATTAGGAACAAAGAAAGATACGTTTCTTCAGATTTACATTAAAAGTTCTCAGTTGGTTTCAGAGCAATATCTGAGACAAGAGTATTTATAACAGATCCCCCGAGCCTAAGGGAAAAACCAGCCAATGACTGTCAAGAGGGAGGGTCTACATGTCCCAGGAACAGTGGTGGCCATATGTCCTCCTTTGACTAAGACAGTCTCTGTTTTTCACCGCTGCCCAGCATTACTACACACAGTGTCCCCACTCCTACAGAAGCATCCCAGTGTGTGTGGTATAGTCTATGGTCACTCTACTTGTAGAAAACCTAGATTACAGAGCAGATACAAATGTACCCACTTTCACCTTGGATTTTTCATGCTGAGAACATGCAATATTAATACAACATATTAATACAACATTATGAGGCCTTGATAAAGCTGAAACTAGTAAATTGTATAATAAATGCTGCTTGTTTCATTTACAAAATGTATTGAGGGATAGGGCTTAGTTTTTCTGCTACGGCAGGTCTACAGCTTTTCAAAGATGGGTAGAGGGACCTCAGCCAGGTCAATGACAGATTTGCATTGGAATCCTAGTTCTGCCACACTACCTAACTGACCTTGATCTAGTAGCTCAGATCTCCTGAGACTCAATTGCCTATTCTGTTAAAGGGATAGGAATAATGCCACCTACCACTCAGGGTTTTTTTGGTTGTGTTTGTTTGTTTGTTTGTTTGTTTTACTAGAGTAACTAGGACTTTAGAGCCAGAAAGACGTGAGTTTGAATCCCCTTTCTATCACTTCTTTGCTGCAAGTCCTTGTACAAGTAAACTTAACCCAGAGACTCACTTTTCTTATCTACAAAATGGTAATGAGAACAGTTCCTATCTCAGGGGAGATTGTTTTGAGGACTGAATAAAATAATGGATATCAGATAATCATGTCATAAGTATTTTTATTATTATCATTATTTCCAAATATTATATAGAAAGATATTTAGTAGCCCTGTAAATGATTTGTTCCAGAAATTGTTAGTTAATATTTCTTTTTTTCTGGCCACACATCGTTAGACACTAACAGGCTTATTTTAAAACCAGTTTTCTTGTTGGAAAACTGAACTAAGTGTTCACCTAGTTGTACATACTCAATGAAGCTTTCATATAAACATAACCTATGAATTATACTCCTGAAGTGGCTAAGTTAAAGCCTGAAATGACTTTGTTTTCCATAAAACAAAGTTAAATTTCCAGGATTCATTTCTTTATGTAAGCTGTTTTATACTCTATCTGCTCTTTCATACTTTATCTGTTTTTCACTTCATTTTGAATCATGAAAATCTGTTTGCTGAGCCATTTATTGGTTTTCTTTCAATACAAATTATTCAGAAGAGGATAATTAGCATGTATATTATATTAATGTAAATATTAATGTGATTCCCTATGATTTCAAAAATGTTTATCAAAATATAAATAAACTAGAATATATACATATTTGATCTTCTCTCTACCTCTCCTATATGTAATTTCCTTAGTAGAGAGAGAGAGAGGTGAGAAATTATAATTTTATATACAATTATATATTATAAATGTTTTAAAGGTAGAGGTAAATTACCATAACAGGGAAAATAGAAGTAGTAAAGAAAAGGAGCCTTATCTTTGCCCTAACTTTATAATGTGGCTAATTAATTGACTAAAGATATAGCAAGTTATCTATATACATTATTCATTCAGAACAGAGTTTACCTATGATTGAATTTTGAAGGACTTTTATTGTATTTTTGTTTTTATTGTTTCCTCAAAATCAGTGCAATACAATGCGCATTGAAAACATTTTTTAAATAAAAAATGAAGAGAAAGCAGAACTCCTAGAATAAGTAACTAATACCTATAGCACAATCTAACACTTTAAAGTTTGGCATATTTCCTTTCATTCTTTTGCTTTATGCATGAAGGTATTTTTCCTTAACTATGTTCAGGATGTAGATATAAATTTATTTTTTCACTTAATATCTTTTTTATATAAACATTTTCCAAATTATTAAATATCTCTTATAGCCATCATTTTAATTCCTGCATAATAGTCCATTTGGAACCATGAGTCATGAATAATACAATTGTCTTTCCATAGCTGGATATTGTTTTTTCAGTATTTCAATATATAAAATAATGTAATAAAGTGCATCTTTGCTGCTTAAAATTATGTGATTCCAATTTGGGAAAGTCAATATAATTAATTTGTTTACTGGACAGAGTTTCCTTACTAGACTATAAGCTGTTTTAGAATAGTATTGCATTTGCTCATCTCTGTCCCCAGCTCCACTTTGCATATAAAAGGTAGCCAGAAGGTGTTTATTGAGTTCAATTAAATATACTTCCTACTTTGATAGTTTTCTACTCTTTTTTGGACAGAACTCAAGCAGTAAGTTGGCAACCATCAGTAGATAAAAGTTCCCAAATATCTGCTAAAGTTACAGGCAAAAAATATGTTATTACAGTTTTTGGAATATAAAGAATTGCATGTTCTTGCTTAGCTTGACTGATATATAATTGTTTTAAAGGTTGCATTTATACCACCTAGGAATCTAATAACAATTTAGTATGAATTAAGAGTAGGCATGCAAATGGGAATTTTAGATGCAGCTGTATCTGGAAAAGGATTACATTAACAAAGGTCAGAGTTAAACCTTACTATGGCAAGATGTGTTTCTCTAATGTGTAAAAACATGCACACAGAGTTAAATACAAAATGGCATCAGTGATCATTTAGATAGTTGATATAAATAGATAGATAGACAATAGGTCATTTTCCAGATGCCTGTGTCTTCTCTGAAACAATTTATAAATAAACAAAAAATAGAAGCATAAATCTAGGCATATATACTAGATTCATATTAATATCAATTTATATTTATTTTGGCAGATACTGGCAAGCTACACACCAGCATTTTCTCTACTTCATAGCCACGTAGCTAAACTACATGTTCCTGCCTCCTTTGCATTTAGTTGGGTGTGCCCACATGACTGAGTTCTGACTAATGAAATGTGAACAGACATTATGAGTTTATTGTTGGGTCTGGTTTATGAAAACCTTATAATTATGATCCTCTTCATCTTTTTTCATGTCAAATGGAAAGGACTTCAAAGACCTAGAAGAGGGAGGAGCCACAAAATAAAGCCCAAGTCCCTCGATGTCTTCACAGAGCAGAACTAATAAACTTCTATTGTTTTAAGCCACTGAGATTTAAGGGTTTATCTGTTACAGAAGCTGGTAGAAATTTATTTGTTCATTTCCAGAGTGTTCCAGAAGGGATTTAAGACAGCTATCTTGTCTGAACAGCTTTAAGTGAGAAAGAGGCTAAAATGTCTAGGTGCATTCAGCACCAACTAATTAAAACCAGGTAATCTCCAGAGAGATTATCTTTTGTTCAAGAATATCCACACTTCAAAGAGTCCAGTTTTTCATGGAACAATCGATAAAATTGAAGAATCTGCAAGGGAAAACTACTTAACAGAATTCTTCTCCAGTTGATATTTCCCAAGTAAAATTTAATAACCTTATGAAGGAGGGGTAGTTGTTCTCCGTAGGCACACGTTCTATCTAGATGGGCCTGGGTGGGTTTTGAAACCTGAACAATTATCACAGAAGGCAGCCAAACTTTCTTTGACCCAAAGTTGAGGCGCATATTTATTTTTTTTCTTTTTTTAATTTTACTGTAAATTCTGGGATACGTGTGCTGAACATGCAGGTTTGTTACATAGGTATATATGTGCCATGGTGGTTTGCTGCAGCTATCAACCTGTCATCTAGGTTTTAAGCCCCACATGCATTAGGTATTTGTCCTAATGCTCTCCTTCCCGCTTCCTCACAACCCCTGACAGGCCCCAGTGTGGGATGTTCCCCTCCCTGTGTCCATGTGTTCCCACTGTTCAATTCCCACTTATGAGTGAGAACAAGCGGTGTTTGGTTTTCTGTTCCTGTGTTAGTTTGTTGAGGATGATGGTTTCAAATTTCATCCATGTCCCTGCAAAGGACGTTAACTGATTCTTTTTTATGGCTGCATAGTATTCCGTGGTGTATATTGAGGCATGTATTTCATAGCTTGTCCTAACTGTATCTTTAGAGGAACTTAAGTAACTTCTTAGCAGGAATTTTTGCCCTGAGTATGATTACCTCCTTTGTTTTCAGCTGTAATATAAAATACTTAACAGACTTTAACATCTACCTTAATAGATTAATCCATTGCCTCCAGATTGCATATCCTCTCTGTGGCTATTTGCATCAAAAAGGGTTTTCAGTACTTCCTTCAGTTGAGAGATTTTGTGTCATACAATGAGCAACATTTCCCTTTGCCTAAATAGTGATAATAATAATAAAAGTATGGAGCTCTGACTTTATGTACACGATCACATTTCATTCACACAGTAACCCTGTAGGATAGTTAATATTGTTCTCATTTTAAAGGTAAGAAAACTGAGAATAATAGAGGGTTAAGATTTAAACACAGTTTGACGGTTGCGCATATGTGCTTTTAGCCATTACCTTATACTGCCTTATAGATTAGGGTCATTTTGTGTCGCATTTGTGAGGCCAGCAGGCATCTTAAGCCAACTACCCTTTAATTAGTAATATTAATTTCAAAGAGACCTCAAAGCTAGACAAAAATCACTTTCATCTTTTAAAATTTTAAGTAGAATAGGCATACTATATATGTCCAAGTATTTCTATGTAGGCCAAAAGGAGATTCAGAACTGTAGAAGAGCAAATAATTTGCATTCCAAAGAGATCAAAATAAACACGAGAACAGAGGGCTCTCCAGTTTCGGGAAAGATTAAACAGAAACTATCAATTAATGACTTAGGACAAGCTTTGCTAATTGTTCACTAGTCGCTGGAATACAAGATGAATTCATGTTTTCAGATAGATACAGTCCATTGGAAAGATGACTGAGAATCAGGGAAAAAGATAACAAAGCATAACCCAGAGAGAAAATGAGAAAATTGTGTGGGTTTTTTTTTTTTCTATTTTTAAAAGGAAGCGTTACTGGAAAAAATCTGCTTTTTAAAATAGAGTTGCTATCTATTTGCAATGAGAGGTATTTCAGTGATAAAGCATGAGAGAAGTATAAGGTAAAAGTTAAGAGCTCAAAAAAACCTGGACTGAAAAAAAAATACTGAGAGTCAAAAAATCCTGGATAGAAATACTTGTTCCCTTACTGAGACTGTAACATTAGGCAAATGACTCATCAAGCAAGAAAAGTTTCTTTCCCCTTCTCCTGAAATCAGGAGAAAATTGCTTCAACAGGATTATATGGAATCCTTAATAGTCTTTGCCTGTAGTTAAAGACACATCATGACTTCTGTCTAACTCCTTCCTGGCAAATCTAGAAAACAAATATTAGGCTAGATATCCTCTTTTGTTTCTTGTGGGAGAGTAAAGAAAGTTGCTGCTGTATTGGGATTGCTCTGCATTTCCAGAGGTTTTTTGGGCAAATGAGTTTTTTCCATGCCGTTGAAGGCAACATACATATACATACTTTATAACAAGGCCACCTGGAAGAGGTTACAGGACCTCTGCAAATAAGATATTCCTAGAGACTATGGAATAACTACTCAACAAGCCAGAATGGAGATTTACTCATCCAGATGAAAGGAAACTACATGCAGGATAGCTCTTGATTGTGGATCCTGAAGAACCCCCAGAAATTGCTACACAAAAGGACTGAGCTTTGAAATTCCCCAGTCCCAGAGGACATTAAGTTATCTATAGCACAGTTCCAATTAAATAACAATTTTCTTGATCCTCTTACCTCCCCTGAATAAATTATAAAGAGACAATAGAAGAAAAGAATAAAGATGCTGTCTGACTATATTGTCTGCTCAATTTAGTAGTTGTATGCCCATTTTATATCGATTTCATTGCATTAAATCATATTAACAGCTAATTCAGCTAATTTTTATACAGATAGAATCTCACATTGTCTTTATAGGCTTCAAACCATATAATAATTGCCAGCATATATCAGTCCCTAGCCAAGTAATTATAGACCAAAATACTATCTTCAGTTACCCCCAGAATTGGTAATCAGCATATAGCTAATTGAAAGGTATTTACAATAGTGAGTAACTGTCTACCTACTTGCGTGAGCCACTGAATAATTTTAGCATTACACCTGTAAACTTTTAGAAAAAAATATGTTATAATATATAACACATTTGATGCTCTCCAAGTCTGGCTTTCATTTTGGCTGTTTCCATTTCCCCTTGAATGTTCTCCAAGTTGAACCTCAATATTGAAAGTTTCCATTCCTTCCTTACCATAAATAAGTAGAGAGAAATAGGTAAAAATGCAATGGTTTGGAGGATAATTAGAAATCATGTATAAAGATATATTTTATTTCTGTAAAAAGAGAGTTGAAATCCAATGTTTCCTGCCAGGTCTGGGACTTTGGGCTTCATCTCAAGTTGGCTTGGGGTCCTTCAAAGAACTTAGGTAACCCTGGTGATTTTCCAGACTTGCTCATACTAAAATTGATTTCTTTTAGTTTTAAAATGTTTTATACAACTTTCACAACTCTTCAGTATCTGATTTCATGGAGTCCAGGATTTCTGAAGTTACAGTTTTTAGATATCTGGAAATTATAGCCTCAGATGTATTTTGGACACCATTATTCATTAAAACCTTTGCTTGCTTTTTTTTTTTTTTTACCCTTACCTCAACCCACTCTTCACCCATTCTTCTCCATTTGAGAAATAGCTTTACTGACTTCAAAAAAACAAAAAAGTCTTATAGATTGTCAGAAGGTTTACAGAGATTTCTGTGCTATCCATTTATTGTTTTGTGCCCTTGTTCATTTGCCAGTCAGAGAACTAAATTAATCATAGAATTTCCAGGCTAAGCAATTTATCATTACCTTATCCATCAAAGCAGCTGTTTCCTCCTAAACTTTCTTTTTAAACAACATACAACAACCATGATCTCTTTCCTTTCTTACTTGTGTTTTTTAAAAATAATGGTTGCTTAAAATTCATTTCTCTTTCTCCATTTTACCAATCTCTTCACTCTCCTTATCACTGTATCTGTTTGAGGACATCTTTCTGAAGTGTAGTCCTATTGCAGAGGAAATATATGCCTTTATTTGGTTTGCTTTCTGTCCTGACAAATACTGATTCAACAAACGAAACCATTATCCTATAAAAAATAATCACAATGACAGCTATTATTTATGTGCTAGGCACCATGTATACCACCTTTAATGCTCAGTTATTCTGTGTTATCAAAAATTAACAGAGGAAATAGTGAGAATCATAGACATAGATGAAAAAGTCCCACAGCTAACAAATGTCAAAATCAGAATTTGGGCCAGGTATAAGTGAGCACACATTTATGCTATTTTTAGTCTTTCATGTTGCTTCTTTAAGTCTATTTCCTGATATTTTGATTTGTGTTCCTTACATGAATAGAATAAGTGGGGAATAAATACCCAGCATACGAAAAATGTAAGTATAAAAATATCCAACTTTACATGCTAGGTTTTAAAAGGTACGTACTAATCATTGTGCTTGAGAATCCCTTTGATCAGAATTAATGGAAAGGCCCTAGTCAACTCCCTATAGATTTTAGCTTCCTGCTTTATTCCTAATGAAACAAAATTCATCTTGTCAAACCTTGGTCACAGTCGGACATTATGAGCAAGCTTTGGATTGTAAGACTTCTGCTGACAGTGAAAGCTAAGTGGAGCCAGCAGTTTGCCTTCTGGGCTAAAACTGAGAAATATTTGTGAGGAGAATAACAAAGCACAACATTCCTCCACAGTTTCTAAGCTACTCAAAAAGTTGATGAGATATGACCCCAAATTATCCACTTTTGCCTAGCTGAAGGACAGTCGTAGAAGGGGGGGAGCAGTTCCAGATGTAAAGGGACCTTGCCTACAGCAGGCTTGCCGGGGTGCTTATCCACCCTTCTTTTTGGCAGTCCTTCACTTTGGAGCTGAAATTGATCCACCTTAGTTGAGCTCCTTTCTAGTTCAGTTTTGGCCATGATTTAGTTAGATACTGTCTTCCGTGGCAGACATACTTACAGCCAAATTAAGGAATCTAAACAATAAATGAACTTTCTCTTAACCACTATTGAAATAAATCAGAAATAAGATGCCAATTACTTCTATATTTAATTGGTGATAGGCAGATTGGGCAAATTCTGCCAAATAAGACAGTACTCTCCAGTGGAATCTATAAAAAACGACTCGCACTTTACCGTCAATTCAAAAACGAACTGGAAAGTATGAAGTACATCATAAAACTTTTATGTTGGACATAGTCATCTGATTATAATTGAAAATCTATTTCCCTGCCCTACCAAAGAAATTCTAAAAGCTATTACAAAATAATATTCTTTTTAAGGAGTGGAAAAGTCATTAATCTGCCCAGGCACCCCACACATTTTGGTCTAGTGATAGACACATTTGAGGAAACCAGGAATTCCTCATGCTGCTTTAAATTCTCCATCTCAGTGAAGGACACCAGGTCTCACCCAGTTGTCAAAAGAGTGTAAATAATCTTGGCTTCTCCTCTCATACACCCTCCACAGCCGATTGGCTGTGAAGCATTTCTGTTGTGCCTCAGAATACCTCTTGAATTTGCCCATTTACCCAAGCCTACACCCATGACCCTGAGAGTAACCACTATTTTTTTCTGACTTGAATTAACAGCCTCCTGAGTGATCAGCTTCAAGTCTTTCTCTTCTGCAAGTCTATTTTTCGTGTTGGAATCAGATTAATTTTTCCAAAATGTAAATCTGATCATATCACTCTTTTGCATAAAACACTTTAATGGCTTGCCATTGCTCTCCGGATAACGTGTAAACAGCTTATCACAGTGTATAAGCCCCTTGTAAATCATTCCTCTAATTACCTCTTCAGTCTCTTTTCTCTCCTCAGTTTTTGTTCCAACCATTCTGAACTACTGTGTCCCCAATTGCAGAGTGTTTCTTACTGTCTCCATGCCTTTGCAAACACTATTCGCTATGTCTGTACCTCTCTCCACCAAGGATGAGGGGAGGAGTATAAATGGAAATATGCTGTTGCAGAGCTCCTATATTTTACTTGAAGCAATTCGATATTAAAGTTGACTGCGATGAAGATATACAGACACTCCATGACTTATGATGGGGTCACATCCCAATGAACCTATTACAAGTTGAAGATATCATTACATTGAAAATACACCATAGCTTAGTCTAGCCTAACTTATATGTGCTCACAACACTTACATTACCCTAAAGGTGGACAATATCATCTAACAGAAAGCCTATTTTGTAATAAAGTATTGAATATCTCATGTAACTTATTGAATACTGTACTGAAATGGGAAAACAGAATGGTTGTATGGGCACTCAGAATACAGTTTCTGCTGAATGCATATTGCTTTCACACCATTGTAAAGTTGAAAAATTATAAATCGACCATTATAAATTGGAGACCATCTATATACTTTAATCCCTAGAGGAATAAATAAAAATAAGTAATAAAACATAGTTTAAAAGTCACAGGAGGAATTGAAATACAAAACAAAAATCAGAATAAGGCAAGAAATGAAAAAGACAGGAACAAAAAATGCAAGGGACAAATAGACAGCAAATAGCAAAATGACATCCCTAAATGCAACCATATCAATAACTATATTAAATTTAAATGGACTAAGCAGTATAACAAAAGGCAGAGATTATGAGACTAGATTCAAAAGCAAGAAATAACTACATGCTGTCAAAAAGAGAAGCTTTCTAAATGCAAAACCACATGTATGTACAAGTAAAAAAAAAAAAAAAAAAAAGATATACCACAAAAACTTTAAGAAAGCTAGAGTGGCTGTTTTAATCATTTAAAATGTCACGCCACATTTTGTGTGTTACAGATGGCTGAATCACAGCTTAAGGAAAACAGCAGAAAGCTATACTGTGAACCAGGCAAAGGGTACTTGCTGTGGGGAAATTATAGCTGCAAGATAGGGAATCCTCAATGGCAAAGCAAATATTGTCTGTTTAGATGCTTCTCAGGTCATGTTTTATCGAATGCTATCAGTTCACCTCTGTTGCCAGGAAATATTTGGCTTCAAGTGTGTTTCCAGTGGACTGTGAATACTGAAGCATAATTATTTGAAAATAGTTTCAGCTCTAGATTGATTAACCAGGACTCTATTTCTCAACAATTTAGACTAGCAGAACAACCAGATTTTAACAGCTTGTTTTTTTAAAAATCTTAATTTCAAAATGGAAGGAAGCTGGTTGTTCCTGTCGTTCTCTTGAATATTCTCCTTGTATTCATATATTTGAATATCTTATTTTCTGAAAATTAAGGAATGAACCAAAATGAAATAACCCCCAATATATTACCCCAACAAAGATGACTTAAAAACAAGGAACATTACTAGATACAAATATGGATTCTTCCTAATGATAAATGATTTATACATCAGAAATCGAGCATGTGCTTAATATCAGAGCTTTAACATACATGAAACCCAAACCTATAGAACTTAGGAATATGCAGACAAGTTCACATTCATAGTTAGAGATTTTAATACCCATTTCTCAGGAATTGATAACATAACTTAGAAAAAATTCATAAGGATTTAGAAGAGCTGAACAACACATTCAACCACATTAGCCTTAATGACTTTTAAAGACTGCTTCACCCAAAAAGTACAAATTCACATCCATTTCAAGTGCACATGGCCTGGCAGCAAGATTGATCATACGCTGGTCCAATAAAACAATCATAGTAGGTTTCAAAAGATGGAAATTTTTCATAGTGTATTCTCTGACCTCACAGAATTAAATTAGAAATGATATATTTAGAAGAAGACCTAAACATTTAAGAATAAACCAACTAAATCCTAAAGAAGGGAATTTTGTTGGGGATTTAGAAGATGATTTAGATGGGACAAAGAAGGAAGCACAAAGTAAATTAGAAAACGTTTTTGACCGAATGATACTTTATAAAAAATCAATTTGTGATATGTAGCTAAAGCATGTAGAAAGGGATATTTATAGTTTTTATACCTTAAGTCAGTGAAGAAGAAAGGTCCAAAATTAATGATCTAATCTTAGGAAGCGAAAATGAATTAAAAGACTGGACTGAAGACAAAATAAATAGTCAAATAATAAGGATAAGAACAGAAATTAATGAAATAAAAAGACACAATAGAGAAAATCAATACAAGCAAAAGTTGGTCCTTTGAAAATTTTAATAAAACTGAAAAAATTCTAGATTTCTCAAGAGAAAAGAAAGGCACAACTCACTGATATCAGGAATAAAACAGATAACCTCTAGATTTTCAGACATTAGAAGAATAATAAGGGAAGTTTATGACAACTTCAGGCAATAAATTTGATAGCTTAGATGAAATAACAAAATTTCTTGAAACAAATTACCAAAATTGACACACAAGGAAATAGGACATGTAAATATTCCAATATCTGCCAAAGAAATCAATTTGTATTTTACAGCATTCAAACACAGAAATTCTAGGGTCTGTTTGGATTCGCAGGTAAGTTCTGCCAAATATTTTTAAAATAAATAATAAAAATTCTATACAAACTTCTTAGGAAAAAGAGAACAAAAATCAAGGAACACTTTCTAACTGGCTTTGTGAGAACTGTATTGCAGTAGTCCCCCCTTAACCACAGGGTATACGTTCCAAGTTCCCTGGTGGATGCCTGAAACTGCAGATACTACCAAACCCTACAAATACTATGTTTTTCCCTATGTATACACACCTATGATAAAGTTTAATTTGTAAATTATCCACAATACAAGATTTTAAAAATTGCTAATAAAATAGGACAATTATAAAAATATACTATAATAAAAGTTATATGAATGTAGTCTCTCTCTCTCACTCTCCCTTAAAATAACTATTGTACTCACCTGATTTTGGACCACAGTTGACCATTAGTAATAAACCACAGAAAGCAAAATCATGAATACGGAGGGGCTACTGTACTCTGATACTAAAAGTATATAGATACATCACAAAGAAACTAAAAATTAGACAAAAATTCTCACGAAGTAGAAAAACTACTGACCAAATATTAACAGAACAATTCCAAAAAATATTACAAACACAATATTCAATAAATGACAAAGTAAGGTTTATCCCAGAAGTGTGAGGTTGGTTTAATCTTCAAAAATTAATCAGTATTACTTGTCATATTAAAAGAATAATGGAGAAAAACAATAAGATCATCTCCATAGATACAGAAAAGCATTTTTTCATTCCGTACTCACTTGTAATTTTAAAAAATCTTAGTTAACTAAGAAAAAACACTTCCCAATCTTAATGAAGGTCATCTATGAAAAACCCACAGCTAACATCAAACTTAATGGTGAAAAACCAAATAATTGTCCTCTAAGATTAGGAAAGGAAGGAAGATAGCTCTCAGCACTTCTATTTGACATTGTACAAGAGGTACTAACAAATGCGAAAGACAAAAAATGAAGGTATACAAATCAGAAAGGAAAGAATGAAACTGTCTTTATTTCTAGATGACAAAATATTTGTTGAAGGAAATTAAAGAATACCTAAAGATAAGAAGCTCGTACAACATTCGTGAATTGGAAAGTTGTTCAATACTGTTATAATATCGATTCTCCATAGATTTATTAATTTAATCAACACATTTTTTGTCAATATCACAGAAAATTTCTTTAGAAATCATCAAGTTGATGCTAAAATTTATATGGAAATTCAAATGATCTAGAAAAGCCCAAAGGATTTTTGGAAAAGAAGACAAAAATTGGATGAACAACACCATCTGATTTCAAGAATTAAACTGATGATAAAAAGCTACAGTGGCCGGGTGCGGTGGCTCACGCCTGTAATCCCAGCACTTTGGGGAGGCCAAGGTGGGCAGATCACAAGGTCAGGAGATCGAGATCATCCTGGCCAACATGTTGAAACCCTGTCTCTACTAAAAGTACAAAAAATAGCTGGGCCTGGTGACACATGCCTGTAATCCCAGCTACTCGGGAGGCTGAGGCAGGAGAATCTCTTGAACCAGGGAGTCGGAGGTTGCAGTGAGCCAAGATTGCGCCACCTCACTCCAGCCGGGCGACAAAGCAAGACTCTGTCCCAACAAACAAACAAAAAATAAAAGCTACAGTAACCAAGACAGCCGTACTGGTATAATATAGTACAGCTGTACATACTGTATCTATTCTGGTGGAGCAGAATAGAAAAGAGAAATGGAGATGTGCATATACGGTCAACTGATTTTTGATAAAGGTCCCCAGGTAATGTTATAGGGAAAAGAAAGTATTTATTTTTATTTTTGTTTACTTATTTATATTTTTGTAGAGACAGGGTCTCACTGTCACCCAGACTGGAGTGCAGTGTCAATCACAGCTTACTGCAGCTTCGAACTCCTCAGCTCAAGCAATTCTCCCACCTCAGCTTCCTGAGTAGCTAGGAATACAGATGCATGCCACCATGCCTGGCTATTTTATTTTTTATTTTTGTAGATATGAGATCTTGCTCTGTTGCCCAGGCTGATCTCAAACTCATGGCTTCAAGCAATCCTCCCACCTCAACCTTCAAAAATGCTGGGATTACACGTGTGAGCCACCATATCTGGCCAGAAAGGAAAGTCTTTTTAAGAAATAACACTACAAAAAAACTAGATAGCTGTAGGAGGAAAATAAATCATCTTCCCTACTTCATACCACACACAAAAATCAATTCAAAATGGGTCACGGACTTGAATGTAAATAATAAAACTATAAAAATTTCCAGAAGAATACATAGGAGAAAATCTTCAAGACATTGGCATATAGGCTCTAGGGGCTCTTAAATAGAAACCAAAAGGACAAATCATTAAAAAAATGTTAAAATGGATTTAAATTTTAAAACTTCTGCTCTTTAAGAAATATGAAGAAAACAAAAAGGTAAACCATAGATGAGCATAAAATATTCACAATACATATATCTAATAAAGAACTTGTATTTAGAATATATACATAACATTTATATCTCAATAATTTAAAAATGCAATTAAAAGTGAGAAAAATGTTGAACATAAAATATACCAAAGAATCTACCTAAATGGGCAATAAGCAGACAAACAGATGCTCAGCATCACTAGTTATGAGGAAAATGCAAAGAGATAATATAGTCCCACAAGAATGGATAACATATAAAAGACAGTCGGCCAGGCGCAGTGACTCACGCCTGTAATCCCAACATTTTGGGAGCCGAGGCGGGCAGATCACCTGAGGTCTCCGGAGTTCGAGACCAGCCTGACCAACACGGAGAAAACCCCGTCTCTGCTAAAAATACAAAATTAGCCAGGCATGGTGGCGCACGCCTTGTGATCCCAGCTACTCAGGAGGCTGAGGCAGGAGAATCGCTTGAACGCAGGAGGCGGAGGTTGCAGTGAGCCAAGATCATGCCATTGCACTCCAGCCTGGGCAACAAGAGCGAAACTCCGTCTCAAAAAAAAAAAAAAAAAAAAAGTCAGTATCCATGTCGAAGGGGATATGGAACACATGAAACTCCCTTGCATTGCTAGTGGAAATGCTGAATGGCATAATCTCTTTGGGAAATGATGTGCCTGTTTCTTATAAATACTATACATATTCCTACCCTATATATAGGTATATATTTCTAGGTATATATTTAAGAAAAAACATAAGTATGCACAAAGATGTTTATATTAATATTCATAGCAGCTCTTGGACACAGCCCAAGCTTCCAAAAATAGTTGAATAGCAAGTTGTGACAAAACAATACTACCAGACATAAAAAAAGAACAAACTACTGTTACATGCAACAACATGAATCTCAAAAACATGCTGAGTGAAAGATGCTGGACATAAGAGTATATATTATATGATTTCATTGATATAAAATTATATAAAATGAATACTAATCTATAGTGACAATGCAGATCAGTGCTTACTTTAAGCCGGTAACAGAGGTTGGGATAGACGGAAAAGAGGTAAAGAGGATGATGGTAATGTTCTGTATCAGATTGTGATGGTGCTTACAAAGGTGTAAACATCTTTCTAAATTCATTGAGCTGTATGCTTAAAATCAAACGATTGACACGTTTTAAGTTTTCTTCTTAATTTAGGTGGCAAATAATGATCACAATCTTTACTACCTAAAAGTCCACCTTCTATGAGGTGGAGAAATTGATGAGGGAGGAATAATGTCAAGGTAACTAAATAAATTATAATTTTCTATGAATTATTCTGTGCATTAGACATCTAAATAAATGACTTAGTTGAGCCTTTTTTTAAAAGCCATGCAATTCTATCTTTCATTATAAAACATATCCATGACTTTTTGAATGTCAAAATAATGTCAAGGACATCAGTAGACATTTCTCAAAAGACATACAAGTAGTCAACAGGAATATGAAAACAAAATGCATGCTCAACGTCAGTAATCATCAGGGAAATGCAAATCAAAACCACATTGAGAGATCATCTTACCCCAGTTAGAATGGCTATTATTAAAATGACAAAAAATAATTTATGCTGGTAAGGATGTGCAGAAAAAGGAACTCTTAAACATTGTTGGTGTAAATGTGAACTACTACAGCCACTATGGTAAACAGTATGAAAATTTCTCAGAAAAACTAAAAATAGAACTCTCGTATGATCCAGCAATCCCACTGCTGGGACTGTAAGTCCATTAAACCTCTTTTTCTTCCCAGTCTTGGGTATGTCTTTATCATCAGCATGAAAATGGAGTAATACACAGTATATCAAAGGTATATCTGTATGCCCATGTTTATTGCAGCACTATTCACAGTAGCAAAGATACAGAATCAATCTAAGTGTCCATCAACAAATGAATGGATAAAGAAAATGTGGTACATGTATACAATGAAATACTATTCTACCAAAAAGAAAGTATAAAGTGTTGTTTGCAGCAACATGGATAGAACTGAAGGCCATTATAGTAAGTGAATTAAGCCGAGCACAGAAAGACAGTATCACATGTTCTCACTCAAATGTAGGAGCTAAAAACATTGAGAGCATGGAGGTTGAAAGTAGAATGATAGATACCAGACACTGGGAACTGTGGCCAAGATCAAGGGAGGAGATGAAGAGAGGTTTGTTAATGGATACCAACGTACAGTTAGACAGAAGGAATCAGTTCTAATGTTCCACAGTAGAGTGACTGTAGTTAATAATATATTGTGTATTTCAAAACGGCTGGAAGACTTGAAATGTTCCCAACACATAGAAGTGATATATACTCAAGGTGATGGATACTCTATATACTCTAACTTGATCATTACATTCTATGCATGTAACAAAATATCACATTGTTACATAAATACGTACAAATATTATGTATCAATGAAAAATATTTCAGAAATTATTTTTCTAATTATAAAAGTAATACAGGTATGTTTTTGAAAAAATTCAGAATTCATAATGTTATAAAAAGAAAGTGAAAATCACCATTAATCCCACCACCTCAAAAAGTTAGTATTGTCAACATCTTTATTATATCCTTCCAGTTTTCTCCTTTCATACATGTATGTATATTCATATTTATAAAATATGTTCATACAAATGTGAGTACAGCATATATCATTTCATTTTCCATGTTAAGCTACAGTTGTATTAGTTTGTTCTCATGCTGCTGTGAAGAAATACCCAAGACTGGGTGATTTATAAAGAAAAGAGGTTTAATTGACTCACACATCAGCATGGCTGGGGAGGCCTCAGGAAACTTATGACTGAAGGGGGAAGCAAACACATCCTTCCTCATATGGCAGCAGGAAGGAAAAGAATGAACAAAGAGGGAAAAGCCCCTTATAAAACCACCAGATCTTGTGAGAACTCTCATTATCACAAGAACAGCAGCATGGGGATAACCACCCCCACTATTCAGTTACCTCCCACAACATGTGGGGATTATGGGAATTATAATTCCAGATGAGATTTGGGTGGGGACACAGCCAAACCATATTAGCCGTCAAGGGTTACAGTGTATTGGCTAGATGGTATTTTACTGTATGGCTGCTTTATAACTTATATAACTAAATTCCTACTGTTACATATTTCCATTTTGCTCTATTATAGACAAATCTGTAACAAACATGTATAGTAGTTCGCTTATTTTCTAATGATACATTTCTAGAAATAGGAAAAAAAGTCAAAAGAATTAACATATTGAACTTAGATATATTTAAATCTACTATATCAATTAATGTCCAGTTTTTATTCCTTATCAGTATGTGGATGTTCATTTTCTTCTACCCTTGTTAATTCTGGCTAAAAATGATTATCAAACTTTATCAATATGACAGGCAAAAACTACATACCCCCTATTTTTAAATTTGCATTTCTTTTGCTTACTAATAGCTAATCACCCTTTCATATACTTATTGGCTATTTTTAATTTTATTATACTCATTTCCTAATTTTCTATTGGCATTCACCTTTTCATCTATTACATATGTTTTAAATATATTCTCCAGTTTAGCAATCACATGTGTGTGTTATTTGTTTGTTATACCAAGTTTTTAAAATGTGTACAACAGAGTCAATCATTCTCTTCCTTCCTGGGTTTCTAACTTTATTCACAGAAAATGCTACTTAACTCTAATATTATAAAATTATTGAATTTTCTTCTAGTACATGTTTTCTTCTTACATTTGAATCCTTAATTCATCTGGAATTTATTGGAAGAAGTAAAGTTAGTATGCAAATTTTCCCACAAAATATCAAGCCAATCATTTGTATTTTTCTCACTGATTTAAAATGCCGCCTTTAACATAAACTGGCTTTTCAAATATATTTAGATATAATTCCTTACTTTCTGTTTTCTTGACTTTATTTTTGTGTAAATAGCATGCTGATTTATTATTATAGTTTTGTATCTTATGTGTGAATGCATTGTATGGCAGGTGTTTTCATAATTTTTTTACTGTTTCTGATTATTTTCATATATGTTTTCTTCCAAATGAACTTTAGAATTAATTTTTCAAGCTTAAAACATTATTCTTTGTAATGTGTGTTCTATGGAAAAAGAAATCAATATTTTTATAATATTTAATCTCTCTACATAGTACATCTCTCTTTTAGTTATTTTGATTCTTGATAGGGTTTAATAGTTGTCATATTAGTTCTATGTATTTCTTGTTAAGTTTATACTAAGGATTTGATGTTTTTGAGATGCCATGACTGAGATAATTTTTACAATAGTATTTTCTAAATGGTTTGTGTAGACAAGAAAATTTTTTTTAAATTACATTTATTTTGTAGTATTCTAAGTCACTTATTCTACTGTTCTAATCATTTTAGTTGATTTCCATTGGTTTCCATGATAGACATTAATTTGATCTGTGAATAATGATAGTTTTGCCACATATTTTCCAAAAATTATACCTCTTCCTATCTAATTGATTTGCTAGCACTTTCTGGGTTTTTGCCTAGTTTCTACATTTGGAGGAAAATTTTCTAGTGATTTAGTGATTCACCATTAAGTTTGATCCTACTTGTTATTTTTTATTCATAAATTTGTTTACATATAGACATACTGTGGTTGTAGACATAGATATATATGTAAATACTGTAATCGGATAATTATTTTTTTACTAATTTTTCCTTTGCAGCTCAGGAATGAATGTTGAAGTTTATGAAATACTTCTTTATCTAAAAGTATTGTTTCAAACTACTGAACCTTAATTAAAATATGGTGTTCGTGGATAAAGTGTACCCCTGAGAACCCCAAGTTGAAAAGCAGAGCTCAGTAATACACCTTTTATTTATTCAGTTGGATTCAGTATCTGCTAAACTATCCACATTTAAAACATACTCATTTCCCTTCTCATTTGCTACCTATTTAATTTCACTTTAACGGGTCCACTGAGTTTGTCTGAATGTGAAAGAGGGATAGTTCATTTATCATTAAATGATACTTTTTCTGAAAATTATTTATCTTCCCATTCCTCAATATTTATCTCAAAATCATTTAAAAGAGCATTTTTATTATAGCCATCTTGTACCTTGATTCTGCCTCATTCCTATGAGAAACAAAAACAATACAGGGATACTTTGAGGATCTTTTGTCTGCCTCAAATAAGAAAATCCCTTCATAAATTAAAGTTTGCTAAGTGATGAAAGATGCGTACATTAAAATTCAAAGGTTAAAAGTAGAAAATGTATACATGAAGAAAAACATTCCAACACCTTGCACTGAATATAAGTTTGTTTTGTATGTTGCACCTAAAGGCCTGATATAGAATGAAACTTCTGTTAGCTTTGTTTTGAATAGAGGATGATATCCTAAACATTAGTGATGCCGACACTGATTCAAACTCAACTGCTTTCTTCTTAGCTGTTGACCTGTTTCTTTCATTTAAATTAAAACTGAGCCTTTGAGTGTGAAATTTATACTGTGTTGTCTCACAGTCTGTGTCACACATTATCTTTATACTTGTCAAACATTGAAATTGTCATGACAACTCTGGGAAGCTATTACTATTATCACTATTATCCCCATTTCACAGCCAGGAAAACTAAAATGCAGAGAGATTAAATAACTTGACCAAGAACCTGTTACTAAGAGGGTCGTCCATCAGGTTTATGCCCAAATCTGATTGATTCCAAATCCAGTATCCTTTCCATTACACTTGCTGCCCTATTTATGCCCCTTCACCTATTTATATCCTAACTCACCTTCTCTTCCTCCCTTCTTGTGTCCCTTCCATGCAGACCCGTGACCAAGGTGTAGACTAAGAAGTGGAGTCATGCTTCACACGGCCATATCATGCTGGCAGCCATTCCTGGGTCTGGCTGTGGTGTTAATCTTCATGGGATCCACCATTGGCTGCCCCGCTCGCTGTGAGTGCTCTGCCCAGAACAAATCTGTTAGCTGTCACAGAAGGCGATTGATCGCCATCCCAGAGGGCATTCCCATCGAAACCAAAATCTTGGACCTCAGTAAAAACAGGCTAAAAAGCGTCAACCCTGAAGAATTCATATCATATCCTCTGCTGGAAGAGATAGACTTGAGTGACAACATCATTGCCAATGTGGAACCAGGAGCATTCAACAATCTCTTTAACCTGCGTTCCCTCCGCCTAAAAGGCAATCGTCTAAAGCTGGTCCCTTTGGGAGTATTCACGGGGCTGTCCAATCTCACTAAGCTTGACATTAGTGAGAATAAGATTGTCATTTTACTAGACTACATGTTCCAAGATCTACATAACCTGAAGTCTCTAGAAGTGGGGGACAATGATTTGGTTTATATATCACACAGGGCATTCAGTGGGCTTCTTAGCTTGGAGCAGCTCACCCTGGAGAAATGCAACTTAACAGCAGTACCAACAGAAGCCCTCTCCCACCTCCGCAGCCTCATCAGCCTGCATCTGAAGCATCTCAATATCAACAATATGCCTGTGTATGCCTTTAAAAGATTGTTCCACCTGAAACACCTAGAGATTGACTATTGGCCTTTACTGGATATGATGCCTGCCAATAGCCTCTACGGTCTCAACCTCACATCCCTTTCAGTCACCAACACCAATCTGTCTACTGTACCCTTCCTTGCCTTTAAACACCTGGTATACCTGACTCACCTTAACCTCTCCTACAATCCCATCAGCACTATTGAAGCAGGCATGTTCTCTGACCTGATCCGCCTTCAGGAGCTTCATATAGTGGGGGCCCAGCTTCGCACCATTGAGCCTCACTCCTTCCAAGGGCTCCGCTTCCTACGCGTGCTCAATGTGTCTCAGAACCTGCTGGAAACTTTGGAAGAGAATGTCTTCTCCTCCCCTAGGGCTCTGGAGGTCTTGAGCATTAACAACAACCCTCTGGCCTGTGACTGCCGCCTTCTCTGGATCTTGCAGCGACAGCCCACCCTGCAGTTTGGTGGCCAGCAACCTATGTGTGCTGGCCCAGACACCATCCGTGAGAGGTCTTTCAAGGATTTCCATAGCACTGCCCTTTCTTTTTACTTTACCTGCAAAAAACCCAAAATCCGTGAAAAGAAGTTGCAGCATCTGCTAGTAGATGAAGGGCAGACAGTCCAGCTAGAATGCAGTGCAGATGGAGACCCGCAGCCTGTGATTTCCTGGGTGACACCCCGAAGGCGTTTCATCACCACCAAGTCCAATGGAAGAGCCACCGTGTTGGGTGATGGCACCTTGGAAATCCGCTTTGCCCAGGATCAAGACAGCGGGATGTATGTTTGCATCGCTAGCAATGCTGCTGGGAATGATACCTTCACAGCCTCCTTAACTGTGAAAGGATTCGCTTCAGATCGTTTTCTTTATGCGAACAGGACCCCTATGTACATGACCGACTCCAATGACACCATTTCCAATGGCACCAATGCCAATACTTTTTCCCTGGACCTTAAAACAATACTGGTGTCTACAGCTATGGGCTGCTTCACATTCCTGGGAGTGGTTTTATTTTGTTTTCTTCTCCTTTTTGTGTGGAGCCGAGGGAAAGGCAAGCACAAAAACAGCATTGACCTTGAGTATGTGCCCAGAAAAAACAATGGTGCTGTTGTGGAAGGGGAGGTAGCTGGACCCAGGAGGTTCAACATGAAAATGATTTGAAGGCCCACCCCTCACATTACTGTCTCTTTGTCAATGTGGGTAATCAGTAAGACAGTATGGCACAGTAAATTACTAGATTAAGAGGCAGCCATGTGCAGCTGCCCCTGTATCAAAAGCAGGGTCTATGGAAGCAGGAGGACTTCCAATGGAGACTCTCCATCGAAAGGCAGGCAGGCAGGCATGTGTCAGAGCCCTTCACACAGTGGGATACTAAGTGTTTGCGTTGCAAATATTGGCGTTCTGGGGATCTCAGTAATGAACCTGAATATTTGGCTCACACTCACGGACAATTATTCAGCATTTTCTACCACTGCAAAAAACAAAAGAAAAAATAAAAAAGAACAACCTACAGTGTAGGATTTACATATTAAAAAGACACATTTGTCTAAAACATACTCTACAGAAAAATTTGTATCTATGATTATCATTTGTTAAAGCCTTGCATCATACCATATTGTTGGTTCAGTACCACAAAGAGATCAATATATTCTTTTCTTCCTTTTTTGAAACATATATGCTGTACATGTTTTAAAGCAATATGAATGAGAGGTTGTGCTTTTAGTTACTCACCACTATAGATCCAAGTGTGATTTCACCTTCCGTTACCTACAGATGACCCTGAGACTAGATCCCTGGAGTTATGGGCGGAGATATTTTGAGAGATGTGTTTGTCTGATGTAGGATGCCAAGAAACAGGACCCAAGGCAAAACTGCTCAACTCTGTTAACTTCTGTTACTATAAATAAAGGCATGTGCCTAGTTTTGATACAGAATGGAATATTTTTTATACTTGTAATAATATCACACTGGACCAGTTTACTGTAAACAAAGCCCTTGGTTTCTCCAGAAGGTGGTACACCACTAGATGTACCTGTAAAATGCAAGGTAGGTGTTAATAATGAAAATGATTCATTTAATCACTCCTTGATTTTACTTTCCACAGTCACTATTAGCGGGTTAATAGAAAATGGAAGAAGAGGTAATGGTTACAAATAACCATAGGATAATATTCACCAGTGGCTAAGATCAAGAATTCAGATGTTCAAAAGCTCTCTGAATAAGAAAGAGTTCTTCTCAGATGCCAACACAAACCAGGGTGATACATACATAACATGATGTTAATGCAAACAACGATTTGTTTAAAACATGATAGCTGCCTGCATGCTAGATTGCTGCTAGTCAAGGGAACATCTAGCTACTGCCACTCTGATGTTCTCTACTTGAATACTGTACACACAATATTACCTTGAATAGACAACTTCAGGGTTTCTTCCTGCTTCCTTACCAATTAGATTTTGGTTTTTTCTTTGAAAATTATCTTGTATAATAAAGAGGAATTTGTCTTGTTTTCTAAGAACTGAGAAAAAACAAGGTGGATTAAAAACCATTTAGTGTTTTTTTTCTCCACTGAGGAAAAAGCAAGGTTATAGCCCCATAAATATGTCAAGTTGTGCTGATTTTTTTTCCTCTCTCTGACCCAAGGATACTTATCCAATTCAGTTTGTATTAATGACTGTTACTCAAAGTTAAACATCCCAGTTTTTAAAAACTGATGTCATGCCGTGACCACCAGTCATCTGGTTCAGAGCAGGCATAGTTTCATTTGGCTAAATGTTCAGTGAATGACTTTCAAAGCATATGGTTATGTGATCTGAGAAAGAATTGAATGTGGACTGTGTTCATGCAATGTCAAATATTTAATCAGCATAGAACTGATAGGAAATATCTATACTTTTCCTATTTCAAGAGGGATCTGAAAATAGGTCATGTTTTTAATAACATGTAAGCTGGAGTAGAAAGTCTCTGGGGTTTGCTTCTTGACATATTGGATTGGCGGGTTGACATTCAAAAGGCTGGCTTTTTAGTTTGAAATTTGAAAATTTGAAATTTTGAAGAACTTTAATAAAATTAAATTGACCCCAATAAAAGTAGGATAAGCCCAGAAATTATTTTGCCAATCAGATAGCAACAGAGTTAAACCCATTTCTCCCCTAATAAAGGGTGGAAAATATGATGAAAGATTGAAGAATTGCCTGTTCAAGCCATTTTTCATTTGACTTTTCTGATGACTATCATAGATCTTTTAGAATTTTATTTTCCATTTGTGCCAAATACCTTATATCAAACAATGCAAATCAAGCTCTGCTGCAAACTCTATCACAAATCCAACTTGTGTGCAAATGGAATGGGGTCTTTCAAATTTAAAAATGAACTGTTAGAGATTTCAAAAAAACTTCCAAAAGTTAATAGAAACTATTTTGCAGCATTGTGTGAAGTGTAGTATTCAACTAATTGTCATAAAAGAGAAACATTGAGCAATTAATAAGAGGGCTTTGTGATTTTCACTGCTCTTTTGTCAAAATAAAAGTTGGCCAAAAACAGCTGAGTGAAATGAAATTGGATTAAAATGTACCCATCCATGAAAAAGATTTAGTTAAAAGATTTTGTTACTATTCATTTTATTGGAAGAAAAGAGAATGGATTTTCTCAGCGGTCCCATACTCTGATCTATGGAATAATAGTTATTTAAGATATTTCTAAGCATTCTTCCAAAAAAGTCCTGTTGACCAGTCTATCAGGGAAATGCATTCTGTAACCACCTTTAGAGATTCAAAATCTATATGAGCCTAATAAATCCTCTGAAAAGTCCTGTAAACAGGAATCCTGTTTAATATTGTTTATCTTCAGGCTTCACTAATTTATATGAGCAGAAAGCACTTCTTTTCGTGCTATAACTGTTAACATTTTCAAAAACTAGAGCTCCATAGAACCCCGGTTGGTCTACTTCAGACTAGAGTAATACTCTTGTGACGTATTCCTAAACCTAATGTTTCCAATAAGAGTAAAATTACTGTTTGAATTGGCCTCCGATAGACTACCAAAAAAATATTGACTGTGTCAGTGCTTAGATCATAAAAGTATATTGACCAGATATTTTCAGGGGAATTGGCTACTTTTTGCCTGAAGCATCCATCATAGCAATGGATTAAGAGGTAATTGAATAGACATTTAATTTTCTACACTCTCACTATCTGAGCAGATCTTGGGTTCTTTTTGTGCGTGCAAAGCTCTGGTATCCATTGAGTGAAACGCTGGTGCTTTAGTACTCAGTTTCACAAAAGGGTTAATGAATTTTCCCTCATGGCTTCTGATTACCTCTTTGTTATATCAACTAGACCATGGTAGAGCATAACAGCTCATACCAGCACAGGGGCCAACTACTCACTTAAATATGACATCTCTGAGTCATTTTCTTCCCAGAGGCTTTGTTTCAAAGTATCCCAGAAAGAAATACTGTTGTTTGACTCAGCATTTCACTCCAGTTGGTTTTCATTCCACTCTGGTTTTGCTCAACTTTCTCAGAAATTTTGCTTGTTACTGACAACTCCCTAGTAGGAAAAACACATTCAGAAGTTGCCCTACAGTATTTAGGATGGATTCTTTTTTCATTATTCTGTCAAATATTCTGTGTTCCTCAGTTCTTACAGGAGTCCAGAAGTTGCAGTCTTCTGTGACTCTTTAAAAAATGATTATTTAAATGTCATTTGCATTGAGGCCTGACTTTTGTCACTTTACTCTGGTACAAACACATGTATTTTTATATCAGAGGAACAAAAGAGAGAATGTGATCTTGGAGAAATAAAATTGAGTAAAGTCCCATGTAAATTAACTTGTATTTCCAGGGTCTCTCTTCATCTCTGTGTCAAGACATTTGTTTTAACTTCAGGGGATGTACTCAGAAGCCATTCAACACTGCATATGTCTTGAGGGTTTCTAGGAAAGAAAAAAATTACATAATTTTCAGCTTAGAAGTCTAAGACCAAACATAAAGATATATCAAGACTTTAAAGAAGGTTGGAGGCAGACACTTGACCCATGTTAATCCTGTTTTCTTTCTTGCCAATTTTTGTAGTTATCTCCTACCTGAAGAAGAATCAGAGATTATGTTCTTCCTTGACTTTCACTGAAGTCCTTTTTATACCTTTTTTCTATGACCCAGTCACCTATATCTCACATGAGCTATCCCAAATGGATTCTGTGGCATCTGAATCTAGTAACAAAACCTTTGGGACCAAAGGCATTCATTCTACTCAGCACTTAGGTAAAGACTTATTATCTCTATTACTATAATTAACATTCCCTGTTTGTTAGACTCATACATCATGTGCCTGGTTATTTCCATTGATTTTCCACCGTTGGCTTTGGGAGCACCTTTTAATTCCTTTCAGCTAGAACCCTTGATGTTTTTCTGATTGAGGAGTTTGGGAATTATTCTGCCTTTGGGTATAGAAAGTTTTGAGGAATGAAATATTATTTGTTTGATTTTTGAATTTTCTATTTTCGTTAGGCAACAGAGGGTGTTTTCTGGTACTTTGGCAAACACTTGACATGAATCTCTCAGTGATGCTCCCCTTTTCACCTTCAAAAGCCATTCCCAAAAGAGCCTTCTCATTTACATTCCAGCTGGGAAAGGACAGCTTTACAACATAGGTGTACAGGATAAAATGATAGCTGATTGCTGTGCTCTTTAGCTCAATTAACCTAATAAACACTGGGTCCAGGGGCCATATGTCTAGGCTTGCAAGGTTTAGCCAAGTAAACAAGGTTTTAAATCAACAATTAATGACAGGTTTTCGACTCTGAAGTTGGTTTGCCTGTTTGGAGAACAGTATGTGTAACTGCATGTCTTCTCAAAAAGGTAGGGACTAGAACTTCCTTATCTTATGTGAGATTTTTAACAAATGGTCTAGGATAAAATGTGTCCAACAACAACAAAATACATAATTAAGATGTTTGTAAAAGGTTTATTTTTCTAAAATAGGATTGGGGCTGATGTTACTCTTTCCAAATTTGGGAGTTTGATCAGGACAAGCTTGCATGTGCCCCAGACTGCCCTTTCTCAAGTTTACCAAGGTCTTTAATACCTCTTCTCCCTCCCTGATCCCCTTCTCCCTGGAGAACATCCTGAATAGGAAGGAGAAAAAGAGCAGGAACTAAAGTCCCCTGAGACAGCCCACAGAAGGAGAAAAGCTTTGGTATTCCCCCACATTCTTGCCTCCTTTCCTGATGCAGCAATTGAAATGATCCTTCACTCTCTGCCTACTTACCACTGTCACTTCTCAGCTGCTGCCATCCTCATCAATGAACGCTCTCTCCAGGGATAAGTCTTCTTTCATTGGTAACTGAGATTCTTGGGTAATTGTTAAACTGGAAATTGCTTTAAAAAAAAAAAACCCTCCAGCTATCTCACATAACACTTTAAAAGTTAAGACTTACCATTCACATAATCACAAGCTGACAGCAATCTGCAGGTTGAGTGATTCTGATTTTTTTTCCTCTCCCTTCCAGAAGCAGGTGGGTTGATATAATGCCAGCCTTAAATAGAAAGCTTTATTTATAGCCTTAGCAGAATGAGAAAAGAGCTGGCATAATCAAGAGAGTACTTCACATTTTAAAGAAGACTTTACCTTTAATATGCAAAATAGTCATTAGAAGACAACAAAAATGCAAATTTATGTTTTACTAAATTGCTTAACTATATTCCAATAAAGTTCAAAAGATAACTGTCCATACTGAAGATGGGTCAGCCAAAGACTTTATGCCTGTTCTAAAAGGACCAAAAAAAAGCAGAAATTTGGTTGCCATGTTAACTTTATGTTGTTGCACACCTCCTATTCTAAATTGCTTTAATATCTTTACACTGCAATATATTGAGTAAAATCAACAATATAAGATAAATAATAAACAGGAGATTAATTCAGACTTGCAAAAAAAATTTTTCATTCTTTACAATGTATGTCCAGCAGCAAAATGATGTATATACATATCTGTGTGATAACAAGAGATTGGAATTGGCATGAACAAACTTTGCATAGAGGCTGTTTGGAAGAAAACATGCTGTTTTTCTCCCCAGTTACAAAATCAGGTATATCATAAAAACCTGAGTTGCTTCATAACAAGACAGTTGTTTTCAGGTTTTTTCCATGTGGTATAGAATACCCCAAATCATAATTAATTTCTATTGTTTATATATACATATATAAATATGTGGGGAAGGGTGGTTAGATTTTTTTGTGTTTAAATTATAACCGTTTTAAAAGTTGATAAGCCTGAGCAGGAGAAAAAGAGACAGAATGTGTATCTGTGTTTTCCTTTAATGTCTTTTATCAAAATCCTATTTTGAGAATATCCCATGATTGAAAGTTAATAACCAAGAACCTAACAAAACTTTTCGTAAAAAATGCCTGAAAGTTTTTGTTTTCAAAAAATTAATGCTAATGACAAAAGTATCTTGATTTAGGTTTGCATCTCTTTAGCTATTGGTTAATTGTTGTGGGCATGTTTTTTTTAACATGTAAAAACAAATTAACTTATTAACATGTAAAATAAGTTAAGAAAACATGTTTTCTTTTCGGATGAAAGGGCTTAAGCATCTGACATCTCAGTTAAATTCACTGAAGTATTAATAAGAAATGCAATATGAGACAATCGGAGTCGTATAAAAATATTTTCTTATTGAGAGAAGTAGGTTATATGAGTCTCACAGGGAACGTGAGGTATCACTGTATTAATTAGTAATCCCCAATACTGTCAGAGATGAAGCAGGTCCAGTGGAATCTCATTCAAATGCTAAGGTGAGTGGAGATAACTCACAGAGGAATCAAAAGACAGGCTATCCAGTTACATAAAGTTACAAAGGGGTCATAGTTCAACCTGATGGGCATCCAAATTTATGTAATATCAACCACACTCTAAAGATATTCTACTTTTGTGGAGTTAAATCCTGTATCACTTGCAAAAGTATCCCAAATTCATGTGACTTAATAACATAAGCAAGTAATGGGCATAACTTAAGGCGTAAGATCTATTTGAGCAAGAACTGAAGGGTTCAGCAAGCCATACATACAACACCACCCTCTAGTTTTTCTTTCTGAGTTAGCCTTCACTCAGCCAAATGATTCAAAACATTGTGTCAAGTAGGAAGCCACAAAAAAAATAAAAAGAGAAACAACTTTAGTCTTCAAGCAAATTGAAAAAAGGGAAAGAGAAAATTGTCTAGTGTTAAAGAGGAAATGAATTGAAAATTTTTAAACTCCTCTTGGGCTGAGAGTGAAGGTGCCCTCTCTTTACCTTTCGTACTTGAGGGAATGGGCTTTAGAGAGATGTGTTCAGGCAGGTGTCATCATCTAGGGTATCATCTTTACTCCCTGTGGCTCATTAGATGGCTTCCAGTGAAGGAGGAGGAGGTAGAGAAGGAAGCAGAAAGCTGACAGTCATGGTACCTGAAAGTCACATTGTTAGAGAACAAGAAAGTCCGGGATTCATCTCCAGGAAGCAATAAACACACAAATACTGAGACTGTTAGCAAGAAACCAGAAAAGGTCCCTTTGCTATTCTTCTTTTCTTTTCTTTTCTTTTTTGAGTCTCACTCTGTCAACAGGCTGGAGTACAGTGGCACAATCTCGGCTCACTGCAACCTCCCCGTCCCGGGTTCAAGAGATTCTCCTGCCTCAGCCTCCCCAGTAGCTGGGATTACAGGCACCCACCACCACACCCGGCTAATTTTTGTATTTTTTTAGTAGAGACAGGGTTTCACCATGTTGGCCAGGATGGTCTCGATCTCCTGACCTCGTGATCCGCCCACCTCGGCTTCCCAAAGTGCAGGGATTACAGACATGAGTCACTGCACCCGGCCTGCTGCTATTTAATTGCAAAATGAAAAGCTTGCCCCTAGAGAGAGAATTTCTTGAAAATGTTCTGTTAATGCCAGAGCTGCTCTGGTCAGAGTCACATCTCTAACAGTGGGCTTTTATTTTATGCTAGTAAATCAGTAAGACTAAAACAAAGGGCCATTTCCCATAAGCATAGTTTTGAATGTGTTGGGTAGACATCTCGCCAATTAATATTAGGAGTTAGCTTGTCCAGTAAACTCACCAATCAGGGATAAGATGATCCCAATACTTCAGAACTTGTACTTAAACAATGGGAAGAAGATAATATAATGAACTCGAAGCTAAACATACTTTTAACTCAGTGGCCTGGCTTCTAGCTCTGCACCTTAAAGACTTTCTGGTCATGTATTACTTCATAAATTTAGAAGTTCTTCATAGTTCTGTGTTTCTGTTTCTGTTTGGTTTCTTCTTCCTTTCATTTTTCTCAGTCATGAGCATACTGCCCTTGCTAGATGGCTGTTAATGTTTTTGTGTTGTTTGATACAGTCGAAATAAAAATTAGGAGTTTCTACCGACTCCCTTCAAGGCAGATAAGCTTATTGTACAACCCTATATTCTTTTCTTAATTACTTCATTATCAGACCTAAAACACAGGACATGAAGATTAATGTGGAATAAAGCCAAGTTAAGGAGAAAAGTGAGAAACCTGAGGGGAAATTTACCTACTATTTCTGCCACTGACTGGTGGAAAATCTGAAAACACTGGCTTCTAGGGCTTGTCACACTGGTGCCTTTCATCAACTCTTATAAATAACTAAATGCAAAAATTATGACCCTCTATCAAAAAATAAAGGATTGGGAAGGAGATCGCTTATTACAGCTATGCAGGTATTGTTTTATTCTATAACGCTGTCATTGGCAAATCAGGACATGTCAATAAATCTCTCAAAGTAGTATATGTATATTAATGGCAGAATGACACGTATATACATATCTATTACTAAGAACCATCTGGGGAAAAAAATAAGAAAATTTAAAAAATAAAAAAAGATAAGGCAGGTGGAAAATATGTGGATTCTCCCTATTCTATTTGTCTGCTAAAAAAACTAAGACCTCACCTGAATCACCAGAGTCAGGGTCTCAGAAATGAAAACCCAAGGAGAGTCTCTACAAAAAGAACAGACTGCTAGAGAGGATACCTCTTTGATTAAAATACCTAAATCTTTTATGTGATTGTGAAAGTTATATCTATAGTGAATAATTTTGTATTGTCACATTGGGAGATAAATTTGTTTACCAGATCCCCATCTAAGGCAGAAATAACATTTATGTGAACCCTTTTCTAACTGCAGCATCACTATTCATATTATTTCCAAGCACAAGAGATCAAGTATGCTAGTACCATAGCACAGAGGCAATTCACCACATCTAGCCTATTCCTTTAGCCATGGGCTATTAGCTGGATGTACAAAAGACTAACAGGTTACATCCATTCTATACATGCAGGGATTTCATAAAAGTTAAACACTTCTTCAAACCTGCACACACAAATCCATACTGTGGCATCCAGAGTTTCTTTAAGCCTCACACTGTATCAGTACAAACATCCTACAGGGAATTAATTCACTGAGCACAGAACAAATGTGTAATGCAAAGAGATTACCAAGTCACCTCCACCACCTTGATTTATATAAGCTCTTCTGTTTTAGCAACACCTGGAGAATCCAGTGGTCTGTGCTTCAGTGGTCTCAAGAGCTCTTCATGGCAGTTCTGTAAGAAAGTTGCTGGCTTTAACGCAGGGCTGGTTTCAATATAGGGCAGCTGTTTTCTGCTGTGAGTCTTCTGGAGGAAAAAGAATGGGTTCACGGAAACTGAAAGTAACTGAAAAATGTATCCTGGCTGGTGAGTGTAGGAAGAGTAGTTCATTGTTCTAATGGTTGAATATATTTCAAAAGAACATTTAATAAGAATTGGAGAACACAAGCATTTCAAATAAATGGCAATGATCATATGAGCATGTGTAAGAGAATTTAATTGCAGAGGAAAATGGATGATTATGCATATCACACTGCCTCTAATATTGATCTTGAGTTGGTTTCCAAATTGATAAGTAAATACATTCTATATTGAAAATCATTTTAAATGTCTATTTATATCTTTTAAATATTGCCAATAATTAGCTTAAATACATGCCCTCAAAATATTCAGGAATCTACTCGGTCCTTTCCTTCTCATCCTTGATTAGAAGTTAAAAATCAGATTTCTCTAGCTTTGTTTTAAAAGATACAGAAAATTTAATTTTCCAATTATCCAAGCACAATCTCCTTTCATTCATTTACTCATTTAATTATGCAACATCTACTGAGTATCCATTATCATAGTAATCGAGCTGCCCGTCACTGAAGTCATTATCAAACTGTGGTTTAAACCTTAGCTCTGTGTTTCTCCACATTAACTCCTTTGGCTTCCATATTGATTGCAACTTGTGTCTCATTCTGTCATCTAAATCATGTGGTTTAGAGATAGGCCTTAGTGTCCACCTGGCCAGGCACAAGTCTGGCGTTAAGGACCTACCTGCTTTAATGATCCACTCTCAGGGAGTCAGAACAGTTAAGTACTAAAAAGACAAGGATCTGGAGTGAGAGTCCCTAGGGCTATGTCACTGGATTCATGTTTCTTTATGGGCAAGCTACTTAACATCTCTGCATCCCCATCTCTCAAAATAACCATAACACTACCTACCTCACAAGGGTGCTGTGAGGCTTACCATGAAAAGCATGAGGAAATGGTATATAGAATTGGGGACCTAGTAGAAAGGTGCTACAGGATTAGAGTAACTAGATATCATTGAGTATGAACCCTGCTTTCCCTGGGAGCCCCAGGTTTGCCAGAATATGTCTAATCTCTTTACGGCTAGAATCTAAAATGGTGTTGGCCATCGATTGGCTTAGGTTATCTTTAATGTCATTGACTTTTACAAAATTCGTAACGACACCTCTTTCTCAGAGAGATGCTGGATTGGAAAAATTATTAAATTAATTTTAACAAAGGAGAACAAAAATGATTCACTTCCAGGTGCTGGGTGTGGCGGAACAGTTATTTATTTCAATATGAAACAAGAGTTTGAATGGATATCTTCAAGGGGATGCATTTTATTGGAGACATTTATTGCCTGGGGCTTTCTGTTTTCAGTCTGACTCCCCAGCTTTCTGTATCATTGTTTTAACATACATCCCCTTTTCTCCTTTATTGGAAGAGAAGCTATAATTCTCCTCATTTCATGATAATCCTTTTCAGTCTGTTTTGCTCAAAGGACAAATTCTTTTCAACAACTATTGTAATTATTTTCTTAGAGGGCCATTTTTAATTGCCGTATTGTTTAGCTAAGCCCTATTGTCTTGGTGTCCTTCAAAACTGTCAGTTGCATTAAAATATAGGGGTGGGAGGGGAGCTGATAAGCACATTGTTGTAATTGATTTGTATGTTTGAATTGTCTTATCAGAAAACAAGGTTATGAATTTCATCTGTTGAGACACAAAAATAAAATACTTTCTTAAAAAATTGCATTTTGTTCTTGAATGTTCTAAAACAGCATTTATGCTTCTCTTCATCTTTTTAATATTTCATTAATAGTGTTGCCTTATTAATCATATAATAGAAGCCTATCCTTCTCCTACATCTATTATTATAGCTCAGTCCTTTACGACATAAACTTGGGAAACAGTAAAGTAAAGTTATTCAACATGTAGAATTGAAGCAAATCATGAAGAGCCCATTCTGAGGTGTCTGCATTTAAGGCTGACCATGGAATGACACTCAGACAGATAGATGGCTGTGAAAAATAGGACTTTCAAGGCCTACTTTTCCAATGGAAAATATCACCATAAGTGACGGGAAATGGCCAGAAGATATTACTTCTGTCAGTCAAGAAACTAAGAAATGAGATGAAAGTAACTGAGCTTCATTTTTTTAAGTGCTCTGGTTCAAGATTTTGCCATATTAATTTAGAGAAACTTAAAACAAAATATTGTTGGTGTCTTAGTTCTGGCTGCCATAGTAAAATACCACAGGCTCGGTGGCTTAAACAACAGAAGTTTGTTTTTCCGCCTTCTGGAGGCTGGAAAGTCTAAGGTCAAGGTGCCAGCGGAGTATCTAGTATCTAGTAAGGGCTCTCTGCTTGGGCTGTAGGTGGACACCTTCTCTCTTTGTCCTCACAGGGTCTTTCTTCAGTGCATGCAGAGAGAGAGAGATTCCTTTTTTATAAGGCCACCAATTCTATTAATTTAGCACCCTACCTTTATGACCTCATTTAATCATAATTACCTCCTAAAAACCCTATTTCAAAACATGATCACATTGAAGGTTAGTGCTTCAATGTATGGATCGGAGCGGGGGCACAATTCAGTGCATAGCCATTGGTTTCTGCACATTGATCAAAATGCTACATCATCTTTCTTTACCATGAGTAGGAAGGATGTTATATATTAGGAAGGCAAGTTAAGAAAGTCAATATAAACAAGCAAATATGGAACAGAAAAGGGTTTCAACAACTAGTAAATATTCCTCTTTATTGTACTTATTTTATTATTCCTTGACACTTCAAGACTCTGACCAAGTTGTCGCTAATTTTCTGCAATGGCATATAACTTTTCATCCTATAACACTAAAGTCCTGATTTCTCATAACACATCCCCAGAGCTATGTTCCCACTTCTTAAAAGTCTTCACCACTTACGTTTCTTTTTCTTTTACTCAGTATCATTAGTCAACTAACGTCTTTCTGGAATACCTATCACTCATCTGATGCTCCTCCCAAACACATCAAGTTCTCCTTTGATTATGTTCCAACACATGCTAAAACAATCACTACACAAGGGAAAAAGCATGGTGATATTCCCTTCATGGTCCAAATGTACTCACTATCCTGGACAGTTTGTACCATTTTCAGTATGTAAATGGGCTCATCTATGTGAGTCAAGGGATGGGGCTGTTTGCTTGTTCTCCACGGTTATTTCAGTATGTAAACGTTAATCAAAGTGTTCATGTCTAAATAAGCACTGTGGTGTTTACTGGTTTACTGAGGCTTTTTGCTTGTCCTGAAGAGTCCTGATGATTGAAATGTAGAGACCCAAAGTGTTTGAAGAAGATAACTGCCTAAATTAAAAGTTGTTCAAGATGCATACAAGTTCCCCTGTAGCTATTTCTATTGGTTTTGCAGATAGTGCAGAGCCAGGTGTCAGGCGCAGTGTGATAAGCCAGCATCTGTCGAATTCACTCATGCTCCCTGAAGTTTCCAGAGAACAAAAATGCTGGGTTGGAAGCAAGTTCACAGAGACTTATCCCACACACTGGAATACTAAATTCCAGAAATTAGGGAAAGGTCAGGGAGAAAGGGTTAGGGTCCTCATGTAAAACAACCGTAGTTTGTCGGAGATTGATTTGTGTTTACTAAACTAGACTCCCCCATATGAAACACTCTGCCTTTTGCCTTTCGTGAAGGTGAAAGGAGCCTAGGGGTCCTGGCCTACCTTGGTTATGATGATTCCTACGGCTGGAATTTGAATTCCTAAATCTCTCAGGTCCTATTTGTATACATCGTTAGTTAATGAAGCTTCTCAAACATTACTCTTTCAAAGGACCACAAAAAGACATGTGATCCTGAAATAATTAACAAGGGTGCCATTTTTATTTTCCTAATTATAAAAGTAATATGTGCTTACTCAATGAGAAAATTTGGAAAAAATAACAAGTCAGAAAAAATATTTTATACTCCTATCTTTCAAAGGCAATCACAGCCGTTGTTATAATAGAATACCTTTTGGTCTTTTCAAAGTAATAAAATGGGTTTTAAAATCAAGATTTAAAATGTTTCACTACCACACCACAACTCCTTCCTACCTCTGCTCTTTCTTTTTCTCCTCCCCCCTGCTTCTTCTATTCCTCCTTCCCTTTCCCCTTTCCTTACCCCTTCTTTCCACTAAGCATTCCAAGGCCTCTTGTAAAATGTCAAGAAAGTAACTTCTGCTCCCAAAACAGAAGTAACCTGCCTACTTTCTCATCCAGAGCCTCAGATGAGGGTTCTGAGAAAATCCTCTACAGTGATGGTGATGTGAGTTGTATCCTTAAAAGTTCATTTTCTTTAACACAATTTACTCAGGCCAGTCTTTAGAGTTCTCTTTGAAATTTGTGAATCCAAACAAGAGGCAATAATATCTACCAGTTACTGGACACCTATGTATCTGGCACTTTACAAAAGCTGGCTTGTTCATCTTCCCCGTAGCCCCAGACATTCACACTATCTTTTCTGTGTTACAGGATTTTCACCTCGAGCTGTCTAATTCCAAAATCCATCCTCTTTCCACTCTGCCATGCTGCCTCTCAACTCCAAAACTTTTCTAGGTAGAACAAAACCTTGGAATCATTTCACAGAGGGGCCTCTGATTATCGTGCCGTACACGTGCCATGCAGCTTCCAGAGCTCCCTTTGCTGTTAGTTGATTCATTTCCTTTTTGTGCTTTCCGCTGACAGCAGTTGTGGATCTCTTATTCATTCCCCTGGTGTTCTCTGCAATAATATCCATCCAGGTGAACTCTCTTACTGCAAATGTGGGCCTAAGGAGGGATGTTCTGAAAATGCAATTGTAATCTAGTGTTAATTAAAAATTAAATGCTAATACAGTGCAATCTTTGGTTGCCTGCTTCTAAAAGCCTATTGACTGTCTTAAAGGGCAAAGGGTCATTTTTCTTCCCCTGAAATTATCATCTTGTGATTGCACAGCCAACACAGGGAAAAAGATTGTCATTCCTCATCACCTTCAAAAATCTTCTACCTTCATGTTAATATAGTCCCTTTTCATTAGCTAGCTTAGAAAATTGGTATGTGACCCAAATACAACAGAGTGGTCTGCTTTTCTTCTGACATATTTTTCATGATGGGAATGAATTTTCCTAGAATTGAAGTAAAAGATAAAACTAGATTGTCATCCATAGGGAGAGAAAACCACATCTGCTTTTTTTTTTTTTTTTAATAGGAAATCATCTTTGTCCATTCTGCAGAACTTCAGTTTCCTACAGAAGGGAGGTAAATCTTGGAGTAACTGAAACAAAGGAGCATGTTTGCCCAGTTAGAGAACACTGGGTATTGAATAAGGCTGGGAATTTCTGTAAATTGGGGTAGGAGAGAGATAGAGACCACTCTCTCTCCAGAGGTTAATGGTGCAGATGCACACGGTGTGGTAACTCTGGCCCAAGCACCACAGCTGCCTTCCCCAGGAGGATGGAAACTCCACTCCAACTACCAGGAGAGTAAAGATCATTAACAACAGCTGCCTGCTGGTGTTGACTAAAGCAACCCAAGCATGCCACTGGTAATTCATCTCATTCAGAGACAGATAGGCAGAACGGCATAGAGTAATTCCAACACAGAAAACTTAATACGTTATTTAGGTTTCCAATTAAACGCCTGCTTGTTAAGCAGAGAGACAAGGCCACTTTGTCCTTGTGTGCTTTTGCAATCTCTGCAGTGCAGCATGGATTATTGATGTTCCTTCTCATCTCTGTCATTTTACCATCACATGCTTTCATTTGTCAGCCTTATTACACACAAAGTACCTTTTCCAAATTCCTTATATTTTCACATGTCCCTGAGTTGGTATATGGAGAAATCTAAAGAAATGGGCCCATTCTTGGGTGCTTTCAGTGAGATTAGAAAGAGGGCTGACATCTGGCCTCCTTGTAAATCATTTGCTCAACTATTTACTCAGTGCCTACTCTGTGTCAGCTAACACACTAGGCACTGAGGCTTCTGCACTAAACAAGACACCTGGAAAAGGCAACAAGTCACTGCCTGTTCTTCAGCCCCTGCTCTATCTGGAAGTCATTCAGCAGACTGCCTTTTATTCAAGCCACTGCCACCTTTGTAAGGTGAAAAACAAGGTTGGTATATCAGTTCTGCCACGGGAAGCTGCGCCAGGCACATAGCCCAGTGAAATAGCAAGGAAAAGACCTTAGGGCACAAACACTTGGTCACAAGTTCAGCTTTGCTACCAAGGAGCAGCTCTGCTGGGCAAAAAGTCTCTTTAGAGACTGTTCAAAATGAAAACTTTTAGGATTGGGCTGGCACAGACACTTTCCATTTCAGAAATACCTTCCAGAAAAAGAAAAAGAGGTATGTAATAGATTCCTTCCTCTGTCTTATAAAACTACTTACAATGGTGGTAAACAGCTCTGGGATGTCAATAACCCCTTGGTGGAAGGGTAGCCTAATACAGAATGCTGCATATAATAGGTGCTCAATAAATGTATGCTGGATTAATGGGTACATGACCTAGAAAGACAGGGCACGTGGTGAGCAATCATATTCACAGAGAAGGAGTAAGAGTTTATCTACACGAATCTCTTTAATTGTTCACTTTTTGTGGAGTTTATTGGTATATATTTTTAATTTTTAATTACACAATATATGTTTACTTTAGAACCACTAGAAAAAAACAGATTAAAAAACAAAAAAACTAACATTTGTAATCATTCCAACATGAAGAGATAACACTGCTAACACTTAGATGGTTACATTAACATGAGGATAAATTATTATTTATATGTATATATATGTATCTTTAGTGGGTTCCTACTTGATTTTTGCTTAGCATTTTATTGTGAATCTTAGAGAATTCCATTCTTTAATTATACTGTAATTTAACCAAAATACTATGATTAGATACTTTGGTTGTTTCAGATGTTTTATCTGATAATAACTTACTATGTACTTAATACCTTTGGAAATAAATCTTCATTCATGCTCATAATTATGTCCTTAAGTTAAATTATTAGAAATGGAATTACTGAGTCAGAAAGTAATGCAATTTTTGAGGCTTTTTAGTGATAGATTAACCTCCAGAGAGGTACCAATTTACAAATTGACCAAAAGGGTATAAAAGGACTCTTTTCCCTAACCCGTCATGAGCTATTCTAGATTTTGATGAAAGCAGCATCTATAATAAAGGTTGTCATTCTTTCCTTTTACATGAAGCACACTTTGATCCCACCTGACCCCAATTTATTGCCCTGCAATGATACTGGACCATTTGTTTGCAAAGGGTTTTTTTAATCATGTAATTTACTCTCAAGTTCTTGCATTAAAGAGGCATGTGCCTAACAGGTCTTTTCTAATTTATTAACTGGTAAAATAAAAATACCAGTACTCACTCAACTGTAGGCAAGAAGCTTCAGTTATTCATTTACTCAATAAACATATATTGAGTACTTTCAATACACCAGGCACTCTTCTGGACTCTAGTATGAAAACATTGAACCAGATAGATAAAACCTCTAACCACGAAGAGCTTGTATTTTGATAGAAAAGAAAGAAAATTTGCAAATAGGTATACCGATATGTTAGGCTTTCTGTCCCCACCCAAATCTCATTTTGAATTTTAATCCCCATAGTCCTCACATGTCAAAAGAGAGACCAGGCGGAGGTAATTAGATCATAGGCGTGGTTTCCCCCATGCTATTCTTCTAATAGTGAGTGAGTTCTCATGATATCTGAGGGTTTCATAAGGGGCTCTTCCCCACTCACGCTGCACTTCTTCCTGCCGTCTTGTAAAGAAGGTGCCTTGCTTCCCCTTCACCTTTTGCCATGATTGTAAGTTTCCTGAGGCCTTCCCAGCTATGCTGAACTGTGAGTCAACTAAATCTCTTTCCTTTATAAATTACCCAGTCTTGGGCAGCTCTTTATAGTGGTATGAAAACAGACTAATACATATACAATATCAGGTAGCCGTTAGTGCTACTTGGTGTTCTAGATAGGGTACTCAGAGACCCCCGCTCTGAGGAGACACCTGAACAGATACTGAGTGATCAAGCCATGCTTTCATCTGAAAGAAGGAAAAGCAATGTGCAGAGGTCCTAGGAAAGAAGTGAGCATGGCATGTTCACAGAACAGCAAGAATGCCAGTAGTATTACTGGAGGAAAGTGGAAAGACAGCAAGCAACAAAATTGAAGAATGAGCCAAATCAAGTAGGGTCTGGCAGGCTATTTAGCAGACTTTGAATTTTATTCCAAGTGATGGGGGACATTGAAGGGCTTTCAACAGGAATGCAGTGTGGCCTGATTTACATTTTCCAAAGCTCCTTTGGACTGTTACGAGGAGAAAAGCCTCTAGGCCAAGAGTGGAAGTAGGAAGATGAGTTGGAAAACTCTTGTAAAAGTGTAGGCATCTAGTTGTTTCAAGCCCTTCAATCCCGTTTTGGAAGGAGGCAAGAAATTAAAAGTGATATGAATACTCATCATTAAAAGGAGAATCCCCTGGCTCAGGGACTAAAGGATGCCTGGTCATCTCCCTATCATCATTGCCACTATCTATCAAATTGGTTTCCATGTGTAGAGAAAGTTATGAGGATTGCTAATGCACAAGGGAACTGTGTCGGCCCAGAAAATGCATGGCCCGGTATTGTTAAGCATGATCTTTACAAAAAGCCAGAATCAATGCATTTTCCTAAGGAAGAAGTTGAATAACTGAATGGTAATATAAGGGAACTATGAGCTGCCCCCTTTCCCTGTGACCCTTGGGTCTGTCTTACCAACCTGGGCTCTAAAATAAGAACTCAGGTGAAAACAACAATATTGCTAACATGAGAGACTGGTTATTGAGCTACTTATAATCAAATGCCTATTAGAAAATATTATGGAAAAACTAGGAGTTTGTTTCTAGTTCTAGAAACCTGTTCACTGAATATTATTTAAACTTTGTTGCAAGGGGGATAAACGGGATTAACTTTATCATCTTAAAGCTGGTTTGATTTTTAAAGTACATAAAAATGGGACATAGTATATTTCCTTTAAAATAACACACAAAAATTAAAAGAACTACTGAATCCGCAAGGGCATATGCTCAGCAAAAGCCTTGGGGAAACCAAAGCATTTGGGTCTCTGTATGTATGCCTTTTTATTTTTAAGTTTTTCCTTTTAATTCCCTCTGACATGGATGTGTAATGCTGAGAATTTATGCTAATGAAGAATGTGTCCACAAGATGTATAATGCATGCCTTTTAATTAGTTCTGCTGCTATAATTTATTAACATTTTGCCTGTGCAGTACTATTACAAAGAATCAGCAGTGAAACACTGTATGCATCCAGTCCCTGTAGGAACCGAAAAAAAAAAGAAAAAAAAAAGCACTGAACATTGCCATTGTATAACATCTGCACTGCCAAAGTGAGCCTTTGTATTCCTATTGAAAATCTGTTGGGAGGTGCTTTAAGCAGACTGGAAAGAAGCAGCAGAAATAAAAAACAAAATGAAAGGCCAAAAGGCCCAGAGGAACGAATACAGGAAATATTATAAGGGGAGGGAGAGAGATCAAGATAAGCATGAAGAATGTGAAAACAACCACGAGTCCATAGGAATCTGGGGCAGATGGAACAGGTGGAAGTAAAAGCTGAGAAAATAGGAAGTGCAAACTGTACATACCTGTGTGTGTAGACATCTGTGTGCATGCATGGATGTATATGTGAACAGATGCACATATCAAATTCTGTGCAGAGTAACGATCACATATATAGAAACGTAAGACACCAGCATTAACATAGATATTTGCTGCTTAAGTAAGTTTGTCCAGGGTCATCTTCATCTAATTCAGCATCTCTAGCAATCACCTCCTTCCCTCCACCCCCACCCAGGTAAAAGGAAGAGGCATTCACCATTCATTCCTCAGCCACATTCTCTAGCCACATACAAAGTGTGTACTATGTGTCAACCCCGTGCTAGGTAACTGACTTCTATGACATGTCTCCTCGTTTCCTTCCACCTTTCTGTGATATCCTTATCAGCCTCCTCTGCAGGTTTATCCTCTTCCATTCCTCTATTAAATGTGTTTAAGTTCCTCAAGGCTCTAACTTAGCCCTTCTTTGGTCCTTACACTATGCTCCTCTTTGGATACTTGTATCTACTTTAGACAGGTCTGAAGAAGACATATTTCCATGCTTCAAGTTGTAGTGGGGTAGAGGGTAAGCAAACAGGGAGTTCAGGTGTTTTGAGCACAGAATAGGAGAACAGATAAATATAGAAACCTGACTCAAAGCTTGAGCCATGCGAGGAAGCATTTCTGGCATAAATGATTTCTATCCAGAGACAATCATAGGAAAAGTGGATGGGAAAAAGATGTTCCAGGCTAAAGGAATAACCTGTGCAAAGGACTTGAGGAAAGAAGGGTTGGGCATTTTCAAGAAATGTGAATAGTTCAGGAGAGTGGGAAGGGAAACTGTAGGTTGGGAGATTAGCAAGTGGCAGGATCAGCAAGCAGAGGCCAGATCATGAAGACTTGTCTTGAGGCAATTGGTTTGAACACTTCTTCCAGACCATGCAGCACGATAAAGTACATGAATCTCCAAGTGAGGGAGACGGTAGACAGGACTTTTCCCCCATGCTATTCTTTTTTAGCTAAGTGTCTATTCATATCTTAGGTATTTAACTGAAAACCTGTTAGACATAGTCTAAGAGTTAGTGGCCAAGATAAATACATTTGAACTTGCCCTCTATTCTCCATAACCTGCGCCTCAGCCTACCTATTCTGATACTGTAAATGCATAGTCACCCTCACCCTCCAGCAGTCCTAGTGTTTCTTTTCTTTCTTTTCATGATCATCTCATTCTTCCATTCTCCCTAACACTGATTTCAAAACTTCTCCTCTCCAATGCCCAGTCTTTCTCCCTATTTCTCTTCCCTCTCAGCAGATAACTTGTACTTTACGGAGAAATTAGGTGCCATCAAATGGGAACTCCTCAGTTTCCTGCCACCTCCATATTCCCACATCTACATTCACTTCCCTGTTATCACAGTAAAGGAGCTGTGCAGCCACCTACCTGTTTGAATCCTATCCTTTCTTATTTAATTAAATTTTCACTATACAGTATCCCTTCTCACAAAGTCTCATTAAAACACCACCACCACCACCCACTACCCCACATTCCTCCCCAGCAAATAATCTCCCTCCTTTTTGTAACAGAAGAATTTTTCAAATAATTTGTCACCATGTCTCTGTCTCTGTTGCTCACTTCCCAGTCTTTCTTTCACTCACAGTCATCCACCAAAGCAGCTCTTGCTAAGGATCACCAATGTCTCCTGAATACAAAATCAAAGGGAGATTTTTCAGTGCTGCTCTTATTTTACCTCTCACTAGCATTTTATGCTATTGACAACACCCATTGCCAGAAATACTTTCTTCCCTTAGCTTCCATGACAAGACTCTTCTGGTTTCCTTCTAACTTTCTATGATCTTCTTATCAGCCCTCTTTACAGGTTTATCCTTTTCCATTCCAGTATTAAATGTTTAAGTTCCCTCAAGGCTCAAACTTAGCCCTTCTTTGATTCTTAGTCTGTACTCCTTCTTGGGTAAATATATCTATTTCTATCTCTTCAGTTACCTTCTGAAAATCTCTTGAATTCTATACGCTCCTCCCCGTCTTCATTGCCACCAAGCTACCACCTTTTTCTTCTCACACTTTTGCTGCAGCCTCTAAAGTAGTCTTCTGTATCTTATTTGGCACCCTTAACAATGTGTTCTTCATGCCACAGGTAGAGAGAAAATTTTGTATAACAAATATGGCAAGGTCAAAACATTTCCCCTTTGCCCACCCCCACAACACACACACACACACACATAATATTTAAAACATTTTCCTGGCTCTCTCATTTTTAGGATAAAGACCAAAAATACCTGGCATGGTCAATAAGGCCCTATATGCTCTGGCCCCTGCCTATATCTCTACCTTCATTTCATACTCTTCTTCCCCTCAATCTCTATGCTTCACTATATTATTATTTGTGTTGGGTTTCTCCATATTATTTCTCCCACCACAAGCTCTGCACGTACTTTCTTCCATCTGCTTGGAAGACACTTGCCCCTTCCTCCTTCATCTATTAAATGCCTTCTCATGCCTTAACTCTCAGCTCAGTTGTAAATTCTTTAGGCAAGCCTGCTGTAACAACCAGGCTCACCATTCTAAATTCTGAAGCCAGAGATAATCACTGGTCTTATTATGTACCTCATCATCCAAAAGCAGCTATATTGACAAATATTATAAGGAGTAACTAGAAATGGATATAGTCCCAGCTTGGAGAAAATACAAAGTTGAATTAATAGTTTTATAATGTAATGTATAAACATTTCTTTTCACTGACAACCCAAATACCACACCTGGGAACCCAACAGTGGAGGTGTGGAAGGTACCTCTTGACTTTACATTTAATAGTCTATTTTCAAAGTGTTTGCCTCTTGATTTCATACTTAGCACTCTGCTGGTCCACAGGTTTAGCTCTCATGGGAGAGACATTTCTACTGCAGCACAGACAACATTTCCACTAAATGATAGTTGACGTGCACTATGGGTATTTCAGAACCTTATGCCTTACATAAAAAAGGGGGGCATGGGATTGGCTTTGTATGATTGACACCGACAATAGCAGAAAATGTTGCTGTTGGGCACGAGGAATTTGAACCCAGAAGATACCCTAAACTACCTCCTGCTTCACTCTTCTTACCTTAAGAGCAGACTCTCTCAAACTACACGTAGGTAGGACTACTATGAACTTTGCCTTCTCAGAAATAAATATTTATGTTACCATACTAGGCAAAGAATCTTGACCATCTGAGATGCTGGATAGAGAAAAGGAGGAGGTGGAGAGGCTAATAACAGGGCATGAAAATAGTAAATGCTAGTTGTGGCCTCCTGACTTACTGTAGGAACATGCTAGTGCATATGCCTGTGTGTCCTTACTACTTCTCTTACCTATTATTTTCCCTCTCTATTTATATTAGATATGTTGATGCTGGTGAACTTTCCACTTTTAGTCTGTATGGTGTAGACTACTGAGGTAAATTTAGGACAGAACAAAACGGGAAAGAGACATTACCCAAAGATCCTGGATATAAAGAACAGAGATACCATATTACCTCTGGATGAGTTCTAGAGATAGACACTTCTAGCATCTAGTTCATTTATTCATCAATTCAGCAACACACACCTAAATTAAATATAAATCTACTTATCGCAATTCACAAAGCACTATGTCAGGAGAGGTGATTTTCAGTGTTGATTCTTGGGATCTCTCCAACAAGCCATAGCAACACTTGGTAGCGCCCAGGATACGGGAATTTTTTGTTTGCTAAGCCCTTTCATAAGCAAGGACAAGACTGTCAGCAGCACATAATTACATTTCCTGCCTCTTAAATCACAACTGTCTTTATGTGAATGTCATGTACTCTGTTTCAATCTTTGCATGTTTTATAGTTTGTGATTATTTCTGTAAAGGAACGTAGCCAGGTAAGCCCATAATAAATTTCAGAAAGATCTTCTGCATTTTTAATATACAGCAGAATCTGAACTGCTGGTAGAGACACGAGAGGGATCAATACATATTTCCCTGGACACACAGCTGTGTTGTCCATGTGTCTAGAGACAATTGCATTTGGGTAATGGGATTTTCTGCATGAAAGTTTTATCCTTTCAAGCCAAAGGCAAATGTGGGTGGTTTTGTTGCTGTTGCATCTGGTGCCCCAATGTTCCAAAGGGAAAAGCCCACATTTTGGCAGACTTTGATTCTGGTGCCTCCTTATTTCCCAAAGAAGTTGGAAATTAGAGCTGAGGAGAAAATTCCTTTGTAAGTATAAGTGTTCTTTGTAGATGGCATTGTCAACCAAAGGAAAATTAGGAACTTGTATAGTGACTCAATCTATGAAGTTACTCAAAAATGTTTGGGAATAAAATCAATGGCATTTATTTATTGAACATCTATTATGAATCCAACAAGACCCTAAGAATTTATCCTCAGAATGTAACAGAACCAAAAAGCTACACATTTGAAGATGTTAATTGTAGCACTGTGGTAAAAAACTAAAAATAACCTTTATACTCAATAATAAGGGAACGGAATAGTGACTATCACCTACTGGCAAGCTAGAAAATTATGCAACTAATAGTAATGATACTTTTGGAGATGATATAGATGCATGAACTCATTAATGATAATACATTAAGGAGAAAAATGCAAAATTTAGAATGCTACCTACAATGTACATCTGCAATGAGACCGGGGACCAAAGAATGATAAGTCATAGAGTATAGGAAAATAAAAATAGTTCTTGGTCAGGGCTAGTAAAATTAAAATTTTATTTTTATTTTTGAAATATGAAATATCATTGATTCATAATCTGTTCAATTATGAAGTTATAAACTACCCAATAATCATAGAGAACTCTTAGAGCTACAAAGCACAGTGATTTGTTGGTGAAGGGAGAGGAGGGTAAGAAATACAAAATAAAATCCTGCCCCCATGGCATTTTTGGTCTGCAATAAAAGCAATAATATGAGTCCCCTTTGTTATGAAGTTCTGAGCTCACAGAAGATGACAAGTGTAAACAATCAAGAATGGCATCAAGGAGGAGATAGGATATGACTTAGGTCTTAAAGAATCCCAGAGATCTGGATAGGCAGAGGTGGAAGAGGACAGCTCAGGCAGAGTGATACACATGCAGAGCAAGACACTGACACAGAATTATGATAGCATTGTCTTATTTTATTTGCTCTGACAAGGCATAGGCATAGATAATGGGAGAAAAAGGAGTATCCTAATCATAGATGAGGCGTGTTGGAGACTAGGCTCCATTTCTAGTCCACCTCAGACATATAAATAACTGAGTAAACTAGGGTTTCTGGTATGTGTTAATTCTCTTTCCTGACCAAGGCTATTGTATTCTTGTCCTAAGCTTTTCAAATCACCAGTGTCCAAGTAGATGCTCAATTAATACTGGCTATAAAAGGGTCAAGGTTAATTACAAAGATGATCCCTCTTGTGCAAAACTAGCTCTCTAGAAGACTGTGGATATAGGGAGGTGAGTGCTTGCTGAGACTGGCATGTTTGCTGATGCCTGCATCTTCCCTAAAGCCCGTAAGTGCGTGCATTAGGGTGGTTTGGCCCATATAAAAATAACTATTAGCCTGTGGACAAAGATGCCACCAGTTGGATCATCTTGGTGAAGTTAAAATACCACATGAAATTAGTCTTAAAACCTATCAATTCCAGTTATAGCAATTAAAAATAGGGCAGAACTCTAGAAAAACAGCTCATTACCCAACATAAGGTCACATTAATCTGCCAAGACAAATATCTTTATGATTCCTTTTGCACCTAAAATTTCATTCCTTTATATTTCTCAAGGACTGGCCTTTTTGTCCCACCCTTGTTCTCTGTTCTCTATCAAATAAGAGAGAGATAAGAAAGACTAAGGCATACAAATGCCAAAATGCTGTTTCAATACTGTGAAGCTGATATTAGAGAATGCGGTTTAAATCTATCTGCAAAGGGCTTCCTAATAATTCAACCCCAAATCAGAAGATTTACCCACCGAGTAAGAGTTGCTCTCCCACAAGCACATGCACACACACATATACAAACATATATTACAACATAGAGGAGGCAGAGTGGCACGCCTGTTCTCCTCAGGTAGATAGCTTCCTTAGAAAGGGAGAAAGGCAGGGGCAGAGATTCACATGTCTGTTTCTCCTTCCAAGCTCACAAATTAGATAGATGGCTCCATCTTCCCTGAGGGGGAGGGAACAGGGAAAGGCCCGAGTCTTATGTTGGCAGAGGTCCTTTCACATGGGAGAAAGCATGAGGAGTATAGAAGAAAGGATCCACATGCTCTTTGGAAAGACATGTATTTGCAATTTTTTTTTGCAAGCATAGCTATAGAATAAATACCTAGCACACGGAATGCTGGGTCATCTTTATCTTCATAGATGTTGCTAAATATCCCCCCTGAAAGACTGCATCAATTTTCTACCAGCAACAAAGTTTGAGGGTTTCCATTATTAACTCTTTTACCACCAGCTCTGGATGTCATTAGACCGTTTAATATTTTCCCATCTGATGGGGAAGAGGAAGAACGATTATCTCATTGTTACTTTGTGCATATCCTTAATTATGAGTGAAGTTGAGCTTCATTTCATGTTTGTTTAAGTATTTGAATTCCTTTTTTCTGTTAATTACCTTTTCTCTGCTTTTTCCTGTTTGTTTTTTAAGGTTGCTCATCTTTTCATTACTGATTTGTATGACCACTTAGTGAATTAAGGCAGTTAGTCCATTGTCTTATATGTTGAAAATCTGTTCTACTAGAGTGTTGTAGTCTTTTAGCTTTTTTTGTTACCATCACACAATTTGAAACTTCTATGTAGGTGACTTTATCAGTCTTTTCTGTTTTGCTTTAGTGATAGAATGCTTGTTTTTATGTTGGCTCATCAGCTAAATAAACATAGCTCAATGTAGATTTAACTGGATTTCTTTCCAAACCTTGTCAATGAAGAATCTTTGCTATATTTTTAGACTCTGTTCAAGGCTGTCACCGAGGAAAAGAAGTGGCTTCTAAGCCATCTACCTTCTTTTACAGAGCAGGTCAGACTTGATCTCTTCTAATAATAGTGTTCTGTGTCAGATTCATTTGGGAAAAAAAAATACTAAATTAGGGAAAAAAATTAAACTCACTTCCATTAACTTGTGATTTAGAAAACCAGACAATGCCATCCCCAGTTCACTCTAAAGCCAAATTGACTTACAAGAGCTGTTCACGGAAGGTTTTTTTCCCCATTTACCATCACCTTGTCCTACTCCCAGTCTCCTACGTCATGGTCCAGCTAATATTCACTCCCCTGATGGAGAAGAGCACACCAACTCAAACTTGTGGTGTAGACATTTATATACATACTACGTTTTTATCAAGTGGTTGGTGAAATGGTAGTGTCTATAGGGAACAGGCCTAGAATAGAGAGATATTCAAATAATCTTAGCATCTGCCATTGAAGACTCTGTCCTGACAGGAAAAATGGCTGCAGGCATTATTCATAGCAGTCAGACACCTGGACTGGAAATCTCTCATGGCAAGGATGCCCAGCTGCTGACAATATGATTCCTAATCTCATAATCTCCTAGTGACCACTGACTGGAAGTTGTAAGATTCCTTAAAAACTACACATTTCCTTTTTTTTTTTTTTTTTTTTTTGGTGGGTTTTTTTTTTTTTTTTGACAGAGTCTCTCTGTGTCTCCCAGGCTGGAGTGCAGTGGTGCGATCTCGGCTCACTGCAACCTCCACCTCCTGGTTTCAAGCGATTTTCCTGCCTCAGCCTCCCGAGTAGCTGGGACTATAGGTGCGTGCCACCATGCCCGGCTAGTTTTTTGTATTTTTAGTAGAGACATGTTTCACCATGTTAGCCAGGGTTGTCTCCATCTCCTGACATTGTGACCCACCCGCCTCAGCCTCCCAAAGTGCAAGGATTACAGGCGTGAGCCACTGCGCCCGGCCTCACATTTCCTTTTTTAAATTTTTTTGGAATTAATTTTTTTATTTTTATGAAATTATGTGTACAAGTGCAGTTGTGTTACATGAATATATTGCATAGTGGTGAAATTTGAGCTTTCAGTGTACCCATACACAAATAATTAGACCCAAACAGGTGATATTTCATTCTTCACTGCCTGTCACCCTCCTACTAGTTGAAGTTTTCAGTGTCTATTATTCTACTTTGTATGTCCATGTGTACCCACCCATTGTTTAGCTCCCACTTACAAATGAGAACATACAGATTTTCAGTTTCTGAGTCATTTAACTAAGGATAATGTTCTCCAGTTCCATCCATATTGCTACAAAAGACTTGATATCACTCCTTTTTTTTTTAATGGTTGAGTAGAATTCCGTGGCATATGTGTACCACATTTTTTTATCCAATCATCCATTGATGAACAATTAGGTTGATTTCACGACTTTGCTATTGTGAACAGTGCTACAAACAACATACGAGTGCAGGTTTTTTTTAATAAAATATTTTTTTTTCCTTTGGGTAGATACCCAGTAGTGGAATTGCTGGACCAAAGGGTAGTTCTATTTTTAGTTCTTTGAGAAATCTGCATACTGTTTTCCACAGAGTTTGTACTAATTTACATTCCCACCAATAGAGTATAAGCATTCCCTTTTCTCCTCTGCATCCTCAACAGCATCTCTTATTTGTTTTTTTTTTAAATAATAGCCATCCTGACTGGTGTAAGATGGTATCTCATTGCGGTTTTAATTTGCATTTCTCTGATGATTAGTGATGTTGAGCAGTTTTTTACATGTTTTTTGGCCACTTGTATGCCTTCTTTTGAAAAATGTCTGTTCATGTCCTTTGCTCAGTTTTTAATGGAGTTATGTTTTTCTCTTGTTGAGTTGTTTGTATATTCTCAAAGAATTACAAGCCCTTTGTCAGATGCATGGTTTGCAAATATTTTCTCCCATTCTGTAAGTTGTCTGTTAACTCTGTTGCTATTTTTTTTTTTTTTTTGCTGTGCAGAAATTTTTTTTAGTTTAAGTCCCATTTTTCTATTTTGTTTTTGCTGCATGTCCTTTTGAGGATTTAATCATAAATTTGTTGCCTAGACCAATGTCCAGAAAATTTTTTCCTAAGTTTTCCTCTGGGATTTACATAGTTTTAGGTCTTACATTTAAGTCTTTAATCCATCTTGAGTTAATTTTTGTCTATGGTGAAACATAGGGGTCCAGTTTCATTCTTCTGTATATGATTCTCCAACTGTCTCAACATCATTTGTTAAATAGGGTGTCCTTTCCCCGTTGTATATTTTTGTCAACTTTGTCAAAGATCAGTAGGTATGTGGCTTTATTTCTGGGTTCTCTGTTCTGTTCCATTGATCAATGTATCTATTTTTAGATAAGTACCATGCTGTTTTTGTTGCTATAGCTTTGTAGTACAATTTGAAGTCAAGTAATGTGATGGCACTTGACAGTGAGCATAGCACTACCATATGCAGAATTTCGTCATGGTATAGTGACAAGGCCGGAGTTAAAATCAGAAACTATGGCTTCCCCCTAAAAGATGGGTGCCACTCGGAGATAGACAAATGTTTCTTCAACAGAACACAGGACACACTAACCATAAAAGAAAAAGGTGAAAAGGTGACATATTGGACTTCATTAAAATTAGAAACTTTAGCTTATCTATCTATCTATCTATATAGATATCTAGATAGATACATAGATAGATAGAGAATTTTTTTCTTTTTCTTTAAAAGATATATGACTTTAAAGTAAAAATTACAACATACTACCATAAGGATTAAGTGGTTTTCCTATTGAATACATATGGTTGGCATTTTCTATCTAATCTGATAATCTCTTTTAATTAGAATGTTTTGATGATATACATTTAATATAAATATCAATATCATTGGGCTTACATATACTATCTTGTTATTTTCTACTTATGTGTTTTTTACTTTTCCCTATTTTCCTGCCTTCTTTTGGGTTAAGTATTTAATAGGATTCTGTTTTTTTCTCCACTATTGGCTAATTGATTTTACCTCTTTGTTTTGTGTTTCAATTGTTATGCTGCGCTTTGTAATATACATCTTTACTATATGTCAATTTTACTTTAAAATCTATATGTTAGATAATTTGAACTATTGTTGTTAAACATTTTACTTTTATATATGTCATAAATCCCATGACAGATAATTGTTTTTAACTGTTCACTTTTGTAAAGGAGTTTTTAAAATGAAAAATGAATTTATATTTATGGGTACAAAAACTACCTGAAAATATTTTCAAATCAAATCTAGCAATATATAAAAATGGTATTCCATCATCACCAAGGAAGATTGTCCCAGGAATGCTAGGTAGGCTTAACATTCAAAACTCAATATAATTCATCATATTAATAGAATAAGGGAGAAAATTTATATAATCATCTCAAAAAAAAGCTAGAAAAATATTTGACAAGTTTTAATACCCATTCATAATAGAACATCTAAACTATTACAAAAATAAGAGAATTTCTTCAAACTACATAAGCCATCTGTAACAAATCTGGAGCTAATATCATACTTAATGGGGAAATACTTAAGGCTTTCTTCTTGAAATTTAGCATAAGGCTAGGATGTCCACTCTCAATATACTTATTCAACATCTTACCAGCGATCCTAGTGGCACAATAAGGCTAAAAGAAATGAAATTAAAAAGACCATTAAAAAGAGGTAAAACTTCTCTCACGAATGGCATAATTGCTTATGCAGAAAATCCTAAGGAATATATAAAACAACTACTAGAATTAATACCTAAGTTTAGCAGGGTTGCAGGATTTAAGGTCAATATTCAAAATAAATTACATTGTTGCATATCAGTATCTTCAATTGGAAAATTCAATTAAAAGAATAATTTCATTTACAATTTCTATTACAAAAAACACAACATGCTTACTAAGGAATACATTTAACAAAATACCTGTCAGACTTCTGCATTGAAGATTACAAAACTGCTGAGAGTGACTAATTAAAACTTTAATAAAAAAGGAGATAAATCACGTTTATGAATTTTAAGATTCAATATTGCTTAGATGTCAGCTCTCCCCCAAATGATCTATAGAATCAATGCAATCCCAATCATAATTCCACTCGGCTTTTTGTAGAAATTGGCAAGCCAATACTAAAATTTATATGGAAATAGATATGAAAATGACTTAGAACAGCTAAAGCAATCTCCAAAAAGGGTAAAGTCGGAAGATAAATATTGCCCAATGCCAAGCCTTACTATAAAGTAAGTGTGGTATTGTGAAATGATCAACGCAGTGGCAAACAGAACAAAATAATGAATTTAGAAATAGACTCACATTTATATGATCATTTGATTTTTGACAAAAGCACCAAAGCAATCCATAAGAAAATCAGTCTTGACAAAAAACAGTACTAGCACAACTAGTATTCATAGGAAATAAATGAACTTTGACCCCTACCTTACACCATACTCATAAATTTATTTGAGCTGGATTATATATCTAAATGTCAATGATTAAATTAGAAATATTCTAAAAGGAGATAGGACGACCACTTAGGTGTCAGAAATGTTTCTTCCACAGGACACAGAAAATAATAATCATGAGAGAAAATAATCATCTATTAGACTTCATCAAAATGAGAAACTTCTCTTTAAAATACATCATTAAGTAAATAGACAAGTGACAGACTGGGAAAAAATATTCACATAACGTATATCTGACAAAGAATTGGTATCAAAGATAAATGAGAAACTCCTATACTTTAATAATAAAAAGTTCAGAAAATGGAGAAACATTTTAAATGGACATTTTGGAGAAGAAAATTAAAATGGCCCATAAGCACATAAAACAGTGCTCAACATAATCTTTTTTTATAGAAATACACATTAAAACCACAATGAGATACCACTCCACACCCACCAGAATGGCTAAAATTAAAAAGACTAACAATTCCAATTGTTGAAGAGAGTGTGCAGCAACTATTAATAGAACTCATATAAATCACATATATATAGTAAACACACTTATGTGTATATATATATATACCAAAGGGACATGAAATAACATGTCCACAAAAAGTCTTGTAGATGACTTGAACTTCCAGTGATGGGAGAACTCCCAGTCTTCTAGGATAGCCTATTTCATTGCTGATTGCTGAGAAGCTCTGCTTGATCTATTTTCTTCTTTTGGTCTATAATTGGACTGTGAAACATATATAAAATATATAGTATACATTTTTGCTAAGGTGTCCTTCTTTTCAGTCAAGCAACCTTGTTCTTCCAAAGTTCTTTTTCCCTATGGACATCCCAAAAGAAAACTTGCAAGATAAAGAGAAGACAGAAAGAGAAGGAGGAGAGAGCGAGCGAGAGAGAGAGAGAGGAGAGAGAAACAGAGACACAGAGAGAGTGAGGTGATCCTAATGTTGGGAGAAAACAGGTGTCTAACTGTTGGCCAAAATGTTAAATTACTAGAGCAATTCAGTTTCCCAGTTTGCCATGATGCCAGCTACCCAGAATTAACAAAGACCTGCATATATCAGCAAACAGCTGAAGATAATTTTCAGCAACATCGTGCCCAAAGCAAAGAAAGGCATTCTAAAGATCTCATTAAACCTTCCGAGCCTGAATGTTCATCTGATTTCATTGTAAGCCATAGACTTTGCCTCCTGCACTCTCCAAAGCATCTCTTGAATCAACGTTTTTCTGGGAAAAGTGATGCGTCAAAGTGAGCAAACCTACTCTTCAGATCTTGCAAAATCGGTCTGTACTATTCCTCGCTCAGACACATATAAAATATTTCCTTTCGTATGTCCTGTTTAAGGTCAGTGTTTTGTGCTTTAGGGTCTGCACTTCCCAAGAGGGTCAAAATATAAAAGACAGTTCTTCCTTCCATATGATTTGCATTGTGTCATCTCAGAAATGAGTGCAGCCTCTGATTTGGCTACCAGGCATTAAAGCAATCAATGACAAAGAAGGTCTCCATCCTCTCTGTCTATTAGTTCTTCTACCTCTCTAATTAGGCATATCAATACTCCTTTAGGATGTTTTAAGGTCTTAGAGAACCAATATGAACTTCTGGAGAAAAAAGGAATACATTATAAGTAATAATTCAAGCCAGCTGGGTAATGTTCAATAAAAGGTATCTTTAGAGATATATATATATATTAAGAGGCTTGCTGGGGTCCTCTCTCTCCATTCCATCAAAATTTCTTAACTATTGATCATAAAACACATACACACATGTACAAACACACGCGACACGCGTGTGCACACACACACACATATTTTAGCAATTCTTGATCGCTCCCCAAGTAACTGGGTTCAGTAACATGGAATATTTCTTCTAATTTCACCCCTCCTACTGAATGAGCTCACAGAAGGTGGCAATTGCAATCCAGGAGCACCTGCTTCTATGACTCCCCAAACCGTAAAACTGATAGAACCATTAAGATGTGGCTGCCTTTACTCCCTCATTCTGAAGCTCAAATGGGACCCAGATCAATCTTAAAGCTAACCATACTCTCATTCCAAATGTTTCTCGGAGGATGATGGCAATACAAAAACAGGAGAAGTGTCAGGAAACTTCATTTGAGGACTGAGTTTCATCTGTAAATTGAAAGCACACTTTGATCTCCAGCACCCCTCTGCTCAACAAACTACCACATCTGCAGTATGGCTAGGTCTGCCTCTGCCAAAGCATTGACTGCAACTTTGGGTAATCCGAATGCCAGATGAACTCCTCCTCCCCCAGTTAACTGTTACCAGCCAAATACCAGCCCCCAAGTGTCACATCCAATTCAGAAAGCAAGATTTATATATTAGTTGAAAAAGAAAGAAACCATTCGTATAAAAAAACAAACGCAATTTGAAAGTAGAACAGCTTCAGCCCTATTTAAAAAAAAAACAGTGGCGAGGAAACCAAATATCAATCTCGAAAAGAATTTAAATGGCATTTGAAGTAAACAACATAAGCTATATTCATGGATGTATAAGGAAAAATGTTGGATCAAAAGTCATTTCTTGTCTTCCATCAACCATATATGGGATGGGAAATAGAAGTTCTTAATCAAAATAAAAATGTTTTATTTTTTGCTTTTGTGTTTCATGTTGCTTGGATTTGTTATTGTTTGATTTTTTTGCTTGGGGCACTCTTGCTGTATTCACAGACAATTCACTCCTTTCACACTTGTGCCATCTTGAAGCCACCTTGAAGATTATGATGCTATAAAAGCAGAAAACCAGCAGGAAATTCCGCAACTGCATTTGCCTTTGCTGTTGGCTGAACAAGCTTCATTTACAAGCACTATAAAAGACACATTCACTTTAATATTCAGAGTGCCTCCCCAGGTTGTTATGTTGGATCAAAAATGTAGCAACAAGAATCCTCAGCAATACTTACCTCTATGTCAAGATGAACTTTTTCAGAGTTCCACCAGCCAAATGGTTTTCTTCTTGAGTTGGCCTGATGGGAGATTGAAACTACTAAATCAGTATTCATACAAAAATAGGAACATACTGGGAAATCAAAGACTATTTTAAGCTTCATATGCCTTTATATGCCTTTATATGCCTTTTACTTAGGGAACAGTAGCTTGTGTTTTCTAAAATTCACAACTGTATAATTAAACATAGTGGTCAGATTTTTATCAAAATAGCTTGTATAGAATTCCCTTGCTTTAGAATTTATAACGGAATTATTTTTAAGTCTTCATATTAGAAAAAAAGATTAAAAAGTTCAATTTTTAAAGTTCATTTAGGTAGGGGAAAGCACACACTCCATTTATAATAGCTGTCATAGACTTGGCAAATGGAGTGTTCTGAATATTCCACCTAAGAATTATTTACAGGGCATTCTATCAAAGCTCAACCTTATTTATTTCTGACAAGACAAACACCCAGAAATAAAGGACATCTTTTTATTCCTTCTGAATCTGTCAATTCTATTTTCTCCGTGTCAGGAGCATGAATGATTGGGAACTTCATTCTGTATGTGACACAACGAAGTTGATAAAGTCAGTGAACGCAAAATGAACATGTAGCAAGATGGAAAACATCAGCTATTCAAATTGCAAGTTTAAGAGACCCCTTCTAAAGAGGGAGGGTGTAAAATGGAAAGAGTTGTAGACTAAATGGATTGAGATTTAGATTCTGACCCAGGGTTGTAAGCCTTACTTTTTCTGGGTCTTAGATTCTTTGTATAAAAAAATAAAGTATATCACTTAGGGCTATTTTGTCTGCAGGTATAAAAGCCTAATTCAAAATATTTTAGATGACAAAAAATTGAATTTATTACTCACATACTCCAGATAGTAAACCTCAGTAAAGGCTGGATATAGATGCTTAAGTGGTACATTAGTAAACTATCTCTCTTTACTCTGTATTCCTTTATTGGCTTTATTCACAGGGAAGCCCTCCTTAAGGGGAGACAAAAGGGGGCCATTACTACAGATCCCATGGACATTAAAAGGATAATGAAGGAATGCTGTGAATAACTCTATGCCTACAAATTAGATAACATAGATAAAATGGACAAGCTTCTTGAAAGACAGTCTGCCAATACACAAGGAGAAATAGGCAATCTGAATAGGCCTAAATCTATTAAAGAAATTGAATCAATATTTAATAACTCTCTGAAACAGAACATCAGGCCCAGATGGATTCACCAGTGAATTTTACCAAACATTTAAGTGAAAATTTGTCAATTCTCTTTTAGGAGCTAGAAACAGAGGAAATACTTCCTAACTCATTCTATGAGACTATCATTACCCTTGTACTAAAATCAGACAAACGTATTACAAGAAAAGAAAATGATAGCCTGTAATCCCAACACTTTGGGAGGCCAAGGCAGGCAGATCACTTGAAGCCAGAAGTTTCAGACCAGCCTGGTCAACATGGCAAAACCCAGTTTCTACTACAAATACAAAAATTCGCCAGGTGTGGTGGTACGTACCTGTAATCCCAGCTACTTGGGAGGCTGAGGCACAAGAATCATTTGAACCCCAGAGGCAGAGGTTGCAGTGAGCTGCGATTGCACCACTGCACTCCAACGAGGCTGTCGGGAGGAAGGGAGGAAGGGAATCTATTTTTAAAAAAGAACTTTATAGCTTACATTACATAATGGTGAGAAACTCCAAGCTTTCCCACTAAGATCAGGGACAAGGAAAGGAAAATCTATCTCACCACTACTTTTCAACATCATGCTAGAAGTCCTAGATAATATAAAAAGATAAGAAAGGAAAAAAGTGTATACAGATAGGGAAGGAAGAAACAAAACTGTCTTTGTTCACAGATGCCATGATTGCGTATGTTCACGAATAAGAAGTTTCAATACTGTTATCATAGTCCTTTCAGGCTACTGCAACAAAAATACTATTAACTAGGAGGCTTCTAAACAACAGAAATTACTTTCCATAGTTCTGGAGGTTAGGAAGGCCAACATCAAAGCACCACAAGATTCAGTGATTTGTGATAGCCCAATTCCTGGTTCATAAACGGTAGCTTCTCTCTATGTACTCACATGGGGAATGGGCAAACAAGCTCCCTTTTGTAAGGGCACTAATTCCACTCATGAGGACTCTATTTTTTAATCATGTCCCAAAGGCCCTATCTCTTAATATCATCACCATGAGGGAAAGATTTCAATGTATATGTTGGGGAAACACAAACATTCAGATCAAAGCAATTGTCAATATGCCAACTTTACCTACAGATTCAATGCAATCCCAGACAAAATCCCAGCAAGTCATTTTGTGGATATTGACAAAGTGATTCTAATGTTTCTATGGAGAGGCAAAAGACCCAGAACAGCTAACACAATATTGAAGGAGAACAATAAAGCTGAAGGAAGAACTGACACTACCTGATTTCAAGATTTACTATAAAGGTACAGTAATGAAGATAGTGTGATATTAGAAAAAGAATAGACAAATAGTTCAATGGAACAGAATAAAGAGCATAGAGATACACTCATATAAATGCAGTCAACTGATCTTTGACGAAGCAATAAAGGAAATACAATGGAGAAAATAAAGTCTTTTCCAAAAATGGGGCTGGAATTACCGAACATCTTCATGCAAAAAAAAGATGAATCTTTTATGAAGATTTTGTGAATCTTCACAAAAATTAACTCAAAATGAGTCGGAGGCCTAGATGTAAAATGCAAAACTATAAAAGCTTTTAGAAGATAACATAGGGGAAAATCTAGACAACCTTGGGTTTAATGATGACATTTTAGGTGCAATACCAAAGGCATAAATTATGAAAGAACTGATGAGCTGGACTTCATTAAAATTAAAACTATCTTCTCTGAAAGGACACCACCAAGATAATGAAAAGGTAAGCACAGATTGGGAGAAAATGTTTGCAGGACACATATATCAGATAGGACTATTATACGAAATATATAAAGAACTCTTAGAAGTCAAGAACAAGAACCAAAGAACCCAATTTAAAAAATGAGCCAAAGACCTGAACAGGCACCTCGTCACAGAAAATATACAGATGGCTGAAAAGCATTTGAAAGTATGCTCCACATCATATGCCACCACAGAAATGCAAATTAAAGCAACAAGGAGATACCACTACACACCTATTAGAATGGCCCAAATCCAGAGCACTGACAACACCAAATGCTGTCAAGGATAAGAGGCAGCAGAAACTCTCATTCATTGCTGGTGGAAATGCAAAATGGTACAGCCATTTAGGAAGGGAGTTTGGCAGTTTCTTACAAAACCAACTTTTACCGTATGGTCTAGCAATTACAGTCCTTGGTGTTTTCTCAAATAAGTTGAAAATGAGTGTCCACAATGAAACCTACATACAGATATTTATAGCATCTTTATTCATAATTACCCAAACTTGGAAGCAACCAAGATGTCTTTCAGTAGATGAATGAATAAATAAAAAAGTGACACATTCAGACAATGAATATTACCCAGCACTGAAAAGAAATGAGCTATCGAGCCATGAAAAGACATGGAGAAAACTTGGATATGTATTACTAAGTAAAAGCCAATCTGAAAAGGCTACATGATATATGATTCCAATTATATGAACCCGGGAGGCGGAGGTTGCAGTGAGTCGAGATCGTGCCACTGCACTCCAGCCTGGGCGACAGGGCAAGACTCAGTCTCAAAAAAAAAAAAGATCACTGGTTGCCAAAGGTTCTGGGGGAGAGAGGGATGAATAAGCAGAGCACACAGGATTTTTAGGGAAGTGTAACCACTCTCTATAACACTACAATTCTGGGTATATGTCATTATATATTTGTCCTAACCCATAAAATCCATGACAAAAATGAATCTTAATGTTAACTATGGACTCTGAAGGATAATGATGTGTCAATGTGGCTTCATCAGTTATAAAAAATGACCACCCTCTCTGATGGGAGGTTAGTGATAATGGGGAGGCTATGTATGTGCAGAGGCAGAGGCTATATTGGAAATATTAGTATCTTCCACTCAATTTTGTGATGCACCTAAAATTTCTCTTAAAAAAATATATTTTTAAAATAATAGAAGTTCAACTTCATTATTCACCCAAACCAGTTTTAACTTCCTAATGTGATAAGTTACATATATTATTCTAAATAAAATAATTAGATAAACGCAATATTGTTACCAAAATGGTGCAGTTGTGGATTGTATGATAATAAGACAACAACAATAATTTGGTTGAATTTCTCAAATTTTTATCCATAGGGCTCCTCCTATAAAAACATGAGGTCACCAATAAAAGTCAGTTGTATGCCCAGTGGGTGTTTCATTTGATTCGTGATAAACAACCAAAAATAAAATGGAAGACACTACTACATAAAAATCATTCATTCTCAAATGGATTAGGTAAAACAGAAATACTCCAGAAATGATAGACATACTTCTCAATATTGTGAAGAAACCCACTGGACTCTGTCTGGGAAGTGTAAGAACCAGATTCTTGTATGGGAAGCATGAAGGGAGTTAAATGAGGCTGCAAGCAGCTAAAGATACGATCCTTGGTTGTAGGAGGTAATGGAAAAGATACTAATGATACAAAGAGAAGAAAAAATGGCACCTCCATAGGAATGGCTTTCATGATTAGGATATTAAGAATGGCATTCAGGTTTCAATTTCAATTAGTACTTACATCAATGACTGCTCCAAAGTCTTCCATTTTATTATTAAAAAAACCATTCTATGAAAAACTATAGGTAGTCAGCATTAGCCTTTTTTCCCTCCTCATATTAGTCTTAGTGTCTTTTTTTTTTTCTGTTTACTATGATGATTCCTAATTCCTTGAAAATATTCACTATACCCTTGGTTTTTCTCTATCAAGATTGTATCTGTTGGAAGCATCAGCTCTGACTATTGAATGCAAGACATTTTCTACCAAATATAGGCCTACCAGCCTCATGAAACAGCAAGTGGTAGATATATTTTCAAGAGAGGCAGTCACTTCAGTATCTTAATAATTTCATCATTACATATGCTACTGATGCATATGGTAATTTTCCAGTGTTTTGAGGGTGCCTACAAAAATAGAAAAAAAGTACAGTAAAAGATAATTACTAAATTGTATATAAGCAAAGAAGATCTGATGATCTTTAAAATTTTTTTCAATCTTGTTTACATTATGCTATGTATATATTTAATCTACTTTTTTTGTTATTACAGGATGGCCACAAACAGTAGTTAAAGCCAAGGTTCATTTATTAGTGTGAGACAGAACAACAGTAGGTGAACGATTTTACATGAAATGGGACAGTCTTCCAGAATGCACTCAGTCCAAACATTTTTCACTTCTCCTCTACGCATCATCATGGCCTATGAAACACCTATGCAATCAAAGCTATGGGATTTTGCATAGGGCATTATTTGGTTTTATTTTTAATTTTTTTAATTGTTATTTTAAGTTCAGTGGTACACATGCAGGTTTGTTATACAGGTAAACTTGTGTCATGGGAGTTTGTTGTACAGATTATTTTGTCCCCAGATATTAGACCCAGTACCCATTATTTTTCCTGATCCTCTCCCTCCTCCCACCCTCAAGTAGACCCCAGTGTCTGTTTCCTTCTTTATGTCCATGTGTCTCATCAGTTAGCTCCCACTAACAAGTGAGAACTTCCGGTATTTGGTTTTGTATTTCTGCATTAGTTTGCTAAGGAAAATGGCCTCCAGCTCCATCCAAGTTCCCGCAAAGGACATGATCTCATTCTTTTTTATGGTTGCATACTGTTTCATTGTATATATGTACCACATTTTCCTTATCCAGTCTATCATTGATGGGCATTTAGGTTCATTTCATGTCTTTGCTACTGTGAATAGTGCTGCAGTGAATATATGTGTGCAGGTGTCTTTATAATAGAACAATTTATATTCCTTTGTCTATATACCCAATAATAGAATTGCTGGGTTGAATGATATTTCTGTTAGCCCTTTGAGGAATTGACACACTGTTTCCTCCAATGGTTGAACTAATTTACACTGCCACCAATGGTGTATAAATGTTCCTTTTTCTCCACAACCTCAGCAGCATCTCTTCTTTTTTTTTGACTTTTTATAATAACCATTCTGACTGTTGTGAGGTAGTATCTCATTGTGGTTTTGATTTGCATTTCTCTAATGATCAGTGAAGTTGAGCTTTTTTTCATATAATTGTTGGCCACATGCATGTGTTTTGAAAAGTGTCTTCATGTCTTTTGCCCACTCTATAATGGGGTTGCTTGGTTTTTCCTTGCAAATTTGTTTAAATTCCTTATAGGTGCTGGATATTAGACCCCCGTCAGATGCATAGTTTGCAAAAATTTTCTCCTATTCTGTAGGTCATCTGTTTATTCTGAGAATTTCCTGTGCTGTGCAGAAGGAGCTCTTTAGTTTAATTAGATCCCATTGGTCGATTTCTGCTTTTGTTGCAATTGCTTTTGGCATCTTCATGAAATCTTTGCTCATTCCTATATCTAGAATGATCATGACTAGGTTGTCTTCCAGGGTTTTAATACTTTGTGGTTTTACATTTAAGTCTTGAATCTATATTAGTTGATTTTTGTATGCGGTGTAAGGAAGGGATCCAGTTTCAATTTTCTGCATATGCCTAGCCAGTAATCCCAGTAAAATTTATTGAACAGGGAGTCCTTTCCTGATTGCTTTTGTCATCTTTGTCAAAGGTCAGATACTTGCTGATGTGTGGCCTTATTTCTCAGCTCTCTATTTTGTTCTATTTGTCTATGTGTCTGTTTTTGTACCGGTACCATGCTGTTTTGGTTATGGATCGCTATAGTATAGTTTGAAGTCAGTCAGTGTGGTGCCTTCAGCTTTGTCCTCTTTGCTTAGGATTCAGAGGGCATGATTTTAGAGGGCAATATGTGGTCTCACACATATTGCTAGCATTTTGTGTATTTGTATACTTTTGTGGAATGACAAGTAGTAACCAAAATCCTTGGGCAATAAAATTCAATTGGTAGGTTGCTGTATAGTCTGAACTGAAAGGTGCTGTGCTTTAAAGATGGAACTTGAAATAAGAGCAGCAAAGACTGGGAACACTTCATAACTAGTAAATATATTTGACCTGTCTGATAAGAAATGGTGTCCACACGAGTGAAATGTAACACTGCATAGACATTAGTCAAAAAAGACTAGATTATGCTGCAGTAACTATATCTCAAATCTTAGTGGCTCAAGAGACAAAGATGTATCCCTCATTCACACTACATTTTTATTGTGGTACTGCAGGGGGGACTCTTTCATCATCCAGGGACCCAGTCTGGTGAAGCACTGTCTGGAGTACTGCTGATCCAGTAGTTATCCCTAAGAAAAAAGAATACTTTGTTCAGTTTCTCACAGGTAATTTGATTCACCTGGAAGTAACACATGTCCCTTCTGCTCAAAACTCCTTCATTAGAATTGGCCACATTGTCCCACTCAACCACAAGGTATTCAAATAGTAAATGTCTGTCATTGTCTGGAAAGTGGAAAGCTGGATGTATTCTGTGAGAAGCATTGATGACTACCACAGAACATGATTACAATGGAATATAAGTGATAAAGACTAGGACCAGACCAGAAAAGTGACTGTACTGTAGTTCGCATAAAAATAGAGGGTCACCCGAACTCTAATGAGAAGGAATAACTGCACATTATAAGATATTTATTAATGGTTCAATATGCAGAGTTTATTTTGTGGGTCCTATTCCTTCCACATTGTTTTGCTATCTTTACAAAGTCCTAAGTAAAAAAATATATATATATCCCTTTGGGCAATATTAAGGAAATGCATCTGAATTCCTGAGCTAAGTAATATTCTTTTGCATCAGGAGAGGAGAGAAGGTTAATAACACCTCCTACCTGACAACATTGAATATCACGTTGCTTCTATGTGAACGAGCACCCCTTACTCAGGCATACATGAAGCATGCCATTCCTTCCCTTCTTGGTGTACAAATCATAAAATTAACTAATTTAATGTCCAATATGTTTTCAAACATTGTAGAAACGCATTATGGGAACTTCTTGGACTGAAATCTAGGATCTTATCCCTGACTTAAAGGATTGCACTGTAAGACTGTTCCAGCTAGCTGCCTCCTCAGACTCCCAGTCCCCAATCTCTGGCCTAATAGTGTATGCACCATTCTCATTATTCATGATGGAAATGGTTTTGATCAGTATGGGAATTTTAATTTATGTAGCTCTTAAGACCTTGCCTCATTTCCTTTATTCTGGGAGCACAAGAAAATTTCCCTATTTGTCATTTTCTCCTTTCACAAATACTTCATTTATAACAATATTTGGTTCTTTGTGTGATTATCTGCATGGCTCCAATTTTAGGACTGCTAATAGGTTGTCCCTGGTTCATGGAGTGAGGTTGCTGTTATCTGGCCAACTTCACAAGACTAGTATTTAAAAATGATTAAAAAATACAATTGTCTGTCCAGTGAAGTCTACAGAGAGAAATGATAAATATAAAATGATGTAATAATCCCAAGAACAATAACCTTGTGTTAATTTTGCAGACACAAAGAGGGAGTATATTACTGCTCCGGACAGGACAGCATCTTTTACAAACAAGAAGTTTGTGAGTGACTGGATGCATTTTGATTAATGTTAAAGCTAAAGGAAATTAGAGGTATGTCCCATTTTACAATGATGTAACTGAGACCTGGATTGATTTGATAACTTTCCCAAGGTCTTGTTGTTGATTTTGGCCAAAGCCAAAACTAGAATAAAGGCCACTCAACTACTGTTCTTTTGATGACAAATAATATGGCAGCATGAAGTTCAGTTAAGTTCTAGTTAGTATTTTTACATACTTTATGAAGGAGGATGTATTTCGATGACATACCGCCATAATTGAAGTCCAGTTGAGTTCTAGTTAGTATTTTTACATAGACTACTGAGAGTGCAAAGGACTTTATGAAGGATGTATTAAGGAAGTTGTTACATTTTCAGTAAAATTCTCATTCCTCATTAGGGTTTAAGAGTCTTCAAGCAGTCTTTAGGTAATCACTCACAGACTGCTTAAGATCATGAATGAGGCTAAGAGATCATTGTTCAAATTCAACGGAATTCGATTATCCATGGTGTAGTGTGACCCTGTCCTGAAAAGAGAGCTGCCCGGGGATTTTATTATATTTTTAAATTTTAGACAAGGAAATTGCATTAGACTCTAAAACTTTATTCTTTTCAATTAATTGGAGAGGAAAGTCTAACTCATTGAATAGTATAAAATGTAGATTTCTTAAAAGAAATTCAGTTTGGGAGAAGTATTTTAATTTTCAGATGCACCTAATAATTGAATCTTAGCCTAAGCTAAGTAAGCAAAAGAGACATTTGTTGAGTCAGTATTTCTCAACAAATAAATCTATTTCAGTTTTGTCTAGTCTATTAACTGTGTTAATTAATCATACTAATTGAGTAATGCTAACTTCACAGGAAAGGTTGTTCAGCAAGGTAACTTCAGCTTGATTTCTGTCTGAGTAATTATGTAACAGTGAAGGCCAAATATGTAAGATTTCACTGCTTCTCAAAATAGTTGTGGAAAAAAGAAAACATTGATAATAACTGAAATCCTGACCACTATTTATTTGGTATTTACCATGAACTAAGCCCACTTTATGTATTATCTTGTTTGATTCTCATAACAACACTGTAAGAAGGGTGCTATTGCAAGGTCAGGAGATCGAGACCACAGTGAAACCCCGTCTCTACTAAAAATACAAAAAAAAATTAGCCGGGCGCGGTGGCTGGCGCCTGTAATCCCAGCTACTCGGGAGGCTTGAGGCCGGAGAATGGCGTGAAGTTGGGAGCGGAGCTTGCAGTGAGCCTAGACCGTGCCACTGCACTCCAGCCTGGACGACAGAGCGAGACTCCGTCTCAAAAAAAAAAAAAAAAAAAAAAAAAAAAAAAAGAAGGGTGCTATTGTTATTTTCATTTTGTAGGTAAAGAAACTGGTGCTTAGTACCGTTAAGTAACTTGCCCAAGGTTACACAGCTAGAAAGTGGCAAGGCTGGAACTTCAATCCTGTATCTGACTCTCTGTACACAATCATATGCTTTACTGCATTCCTAATGCTCCTTCCTTCCTTCCTTCCTTCCTTCCTTCCTTCCTTCCTTCCTTCCTTCCTTGATCTTATTTTCACTTTTTCCACTCTGAGTTGGGGAAAATATGTCTGGAGCAACCTACTTTCTTTCCTAACCTCTGTTCTATAAACCTTTACCCCGTATTTTCCCTCCTTTCCATTTGGAAAAGTTATGTGTTGGTGAGAGGAGAAACTCATCGTCTCTTTCTTCGTGCTCCCAGTTCATCTTAAAATCGATATAAATGGCCCAAATGCTTAACAGACCAACTTTTGACTGACAACACAGTCAGTGTACTTCGTTCTATGAAGTTTGACTCTGTTAAGCACTTCCAGCAGCAAGAAAACCTTGGTTCTGCTGAAGACACTCTGGAAGAACTATTGGAAGAAGCCATAGCAAATGGAGCAGAAAATACCCCTTGATATAGTCCAATTTGCTTGTGCTTATAGATAAATAAAACTTAAATCAAAATAAAGGTCCAGATAAACCAAAGAATCCCACAAGGAAAGAAATCATTTGATCACCTGTACAAGTTTAGAAGCATAGCCACTACTGTCAAGCTTACAGTTTTTAAAAATCTATTCCAAGTATATGCTGTAAGATCAAATTGCAAGACAGATTTCATGCCATTAAAAATGTGGACAATGGGTGTTCCTAGGTCATAGAAATCATGATTTGGGTGGCACAAATAAACTTAAATATCGAACTTACTGACCTATACTAACTTGAAATGATCTTACAAGTTATAAATAGTACCATGTGAGACTTATCAAAATGGACAAATACCGTCCTGAGAGAGGAAGATATATGCCTCAACAAGCCGAGAAGTATCACTGGCCCCTTCCCTGCCTGCTTTTTGAGAAAGGCTGCTTCTGAACACCAAAGTCAACCCAATGATAGACTCTCCTGAAAGTGTAGGCTTGGCCTAATCTTCCTTGCCTTTGTCATCACTGTGCCAGTAATAAACAACAGACTTGTCCTTATGAACAAACAACCTACAGCTGAAGGTTACCTTTACTACAAATAAATGACCTGTTTCCTTATGAATTTTAAGCTCTGCAAAAAGGAAAAGGAGTCCCCAATTTATTGATTATAGACATGACCTATCCAATCAGAAATCAAGCTTTGGTTAACAGAAGAAAAGACCAAAAACCTCTCTTTTCTAAGCACACCTCTTTATAGAAAGCAGCTAGAATAGAACCATGCAATCTTGTCCAGCTTTCTGTCCTTCTTACTAAACAAAAGGCTATAAAAATTCTAGAAGATAACACTGGAAAAACCCTTCTAGACAATGGATTAGGCAAGGGTTTCATGACCAAGAACCCAAAAGAAAATGCAATAAAAACAAAGATAAATAGTTGGTACTTAATTAAACTAAAGAGCTTTTGCATGGTAAAAAGAACAGTCAGCAGAGTAAAAAGACAATCCACAGAGTAGGAGAAAATCTTCACAATCTATACATCTGACAAAGGACTAATATCCAGAATCCACAACGAACTCAAAGAAATCAGTAAAAAAACAAACAATCCCATCAAAAAGTAGGCTAAGGACATGAATAGACAATTTTCAAAAGAAGATATACAAATGGCCAACAAATGTATTTAAAAAATGCTCAACATCACTAATGATCAGGGAAATGCAAATCAAAACCACAATGCAATAACACCTTACTCCTGCAAGAATGGCCATAATCAAAAAATAGAAAAAAGTAGATGTTGGCATGGATGCAATGAACAGGAAACACTTCTACACTGCTGGTGAGAATGTAAACTAATACAGCCACTATGGAAAACATGTGGAGATTCCTTAAAGAACTAAAAGTAGAACTACCATTTGATCCAGTAATCCCACTACTGGGTATCTACCCAGAGGAAAAGAAGTCATTATACGAAAAAGATACTTGCACATGCATGTTTAAAGCAGCACAATTCACAATTGCAAAATCGTGGAACCAACCCAAATGCCCATCAATCAATGAGTGGATAAAGAAACTATGGTATATATGTACGATGGAATACTACTCAGCCATAAAAAAGAATGAATTAACAGCATTTGCAGCAACCTGGATGAGATTGGAGACTATTACTCTAAGTGAAGTAACTCAGGAATGAAAAACCAAACATCGTATGTTCTCACTGATATGTGGCAGCTAAGCTATGAGGACACAAAGGCATGAAAATGATACAGTGAACTTTGGGGACTTGCGGGGAAGGAGAGAAGCAGGAGGCAAGGGATAGAAGAATACAAATATGGTGCAGTGTATACTGCTCGGGTGATGGGTGCACCAAAATGTCACAAATCACCTCTAAGGAACTTACTCATGTAACCAAATACCACTTGTACCCCAGTAACTTATGTGAAAATAAATAAATAAAGTGATTTAGCAACTATTCTAAAAAAAAAAAAAAAAAAAAAAAAAAAAAAAAAAGCCTAAAAATGAAAAAAAAAATTAAATGACCTAGAAAACTGCATTTGAATTTCATGATGGTGTTTGCCTTGGGGAAAAGGTAGGGAAGTCATGTAACTGGGAATAGTAGTCAAAAAGAATGTTTTATAATATTTTATTTCCTATATTTTAAAATGAATGTAAATATAAAGAAATGTTAAGACGTTTATTAGGGCAGTGAGATCATGGGTATTACATTGTTCCCACTACTTTTTAATAGTTTGACATTCTTTAGAATACAAAAGAGAAGAGTAATAAAGAGGGACTTTTATTACTAGTTACTAAAAAGTATTTTAAAAGACTTAAATGTTAGACCTAAAACCATAAAAACCCTAGAAGAAAACCTAGGCAATACCATTCAGGACATAGGCATGGGCAAGGACTTCATGTCTAAAACACCAAAAGCAATGGCAACAAAAGCCGAAATTGACAAATGGGATCTAATTAAACTAAGGAACTTCTGCACAGCAAAAGAAACTACCATCAAAGTGAACAGGCAACCTACAGAATGGGAGAAAATTTTTGCAATCTACTTATCTGACAAAGGGCTAATATCCAGAATCTACAAAGAACTCAAACAAATTTACAAGAAAAAAGCAACCCCATCAACAAGTGGGCGAAGGATGTGAACAGACACTTCTCAAAAGAAGACATTTATGCAGCCAAAAGACACATGAAAAAAATGCTCATCATCACTGGCCATCAGAGAAATGCAAATCAAAACCACAATGAGATACCATCTCACACCAGTTAGAATGGCAATCATTAAAATGTCAGGAAACAACAGGTGCTGGAGAGGATGTGGAGAAATAGGAACACTTGTACACTGTTGGTGGGACTGTAAACTGGTTCAACCATTGTGGAAGACAGTGTGGCGATTCCTCAAGGATCTAGAACTAGAAATACCATTTGATCCAGTGATCCCATTACTGGGTAGACACCCAAATGATTATAAATCATGCTGCTGTAAAGACACATGCACACATATGTTTATTGTGGCACTATTCACAATAGCAAAGACTTGGAACCAACCCAAATGTGCATCAATCATAGACTGGATTAAGAAAATGTGGCACATATTCACCATGGTATGCAGCCATAAAAAAGGATGAGTTCATGTCCTTTGCAGGGACATGGATGAAGCTGGAAACCATCATTCTCAGCAAACTATCACAAGGACAAAAAACCAAACACCACATGTTCTCACTCATAGGTGGAAATTGAACAATGAGAACACTTGGACACAGGAAGGGGAACATCACACACCGGGGCCTGTTGTGGGGTGGGGGAAGGGGGGAGGGAAAGCATTAGGAGATATAACTAATGTAAATGATGAGTTAATGGGTGCAGCACACCAACATGGCACATGTATACATATGTAGCAAACCTGCACGTTGTGCACATGTGCCCTAGAACTTAAAGTATATATTAAAACAATATTTGAAACAACATGTTACTAGTTTAAAGAATGGACAAATTAATAAAAATTAATTGAGATTTTTAGGCTAATAAAGAATCAAGGCAAGATATATATGTCTGTTTTTAGGAAAATGTATAATAAAATAAAAGTGGAATTCTGAATAAGTGAGAAAAAGATGAGTGAATTTACCCTGGCTACTGTGACTTGTTTTTAACAAGGTCACTTTCTGCTGTATCTCCACGTGGTTCTGGAAAAGAGAAGTTGCCAATAATCTTCATAGCAGTGAAAACCACTTTAGGCTGACCTCACTCAAACAGCATAGCATAAATATGAACAGGAGTTCTATAGGAAGGAAAAGTATCATTTGGGACCCACACATTGCTCTGGCATATATGATACAGATGCTGTGGCTGAAGAGAGGCAGGCCCAGTGTCAACAATTCCAGAGGAAGGACCCTTCTAGGAAAAGAGGAGTCCACTTGGCTTCACTGTGGTATTCCTGTTGGCAGAAACCTCTGCTGTGAATACAATCTTTCATCCAGGGATGGCAAGTCACGTTAGACCTTAATCCATGTAGGTACAGATACTCCAACGGACCCTGAGTTACTAAGCGTCAATATTATTTACTACATTTATTATTTTGTTTTACATGTAAATAAACCAACTGTCTTATATTTTGTCCTGTGTGCTTTGGACGTATGGAGCTACTGTGGGTTTATCCGACACTCTGTTGAGAGATTTTTCTTAGGTGGAAGTCTGTTCCAGAAGTATGACAATTCTACCAACAGGTCCTAGCCGCTCAGAATACTAGTATTTCGCACATAGGTTATACGTCTACTTGGCTTCTAAGGCAAATGAATTGAAAAAGCCAGGAGTTTCCATTCCCTTAAGAACATGTTCAATTTATAACTAAATTAAGCCCTAATATTTCTTCTCAGTAGCAGTTTAAAATGGAATGTTCCTCACCTCCTTTCTTATAATGAGGCAGATAATAAATCTTGCCATGCTTACACCTTCAACACACTGTAAAAGTGAAAAATTCTTCCTTAGGAAATCTTTTTTACCATTATTACACCCATCTCCCAGTCCAGGTAAGGTTGCTCTCCTGAATACTCCCACAGCAGCATCTGTATATTCCTAATCATTGCAGTTTTAACACTGTGTCATAATTATTTGCTTATTGTACTACTTCACTAAATCATAAATCTTTTAAAGGCTACTTATCTGGTTTCTGGCTCTGGCCTCTCTGGGCTTAGAATGGTGCCAGGCATCATGTTTATTTATTATTTACTGCATGTTGACTAGCCTATGTAATCTGCACTTACATTCTGTAATCTTACATATAATTATCTGAGCCATGTAAAGAACAGAATGTGTTCATGAAGTTACATGCTACATGGACTAAAGGGCTGTGCTCTTTCTCTCTGGGTTTCTGTTTGTGCCTGATAGAAGGGATTAGAAGGTAACTTCTGTACTGATTCTGGCAAATACTGAACTGTCTACGCATATTTGAGGTTCAGGTAGTTGAATATGTGGTAATGACCCCTGCATGAATCGCTCTCTTCTGGGAAGCTATTTGTCTCTCCCAAGCTGTGGCTGTTTCTCCTAAGTCATTTTTCAATGTCTGAAGTGGTCATAACAGCAATCTGTCAGCCCCCAAAACTTTTACCAAGAATGCAGAATAAAAGGCTGAGGAAATTCGTTTAGCCAAAGATGGAAGTTTAACTCATAGCAGTTAGAACCCAATTTGACCGTGCACAGTCTTATACCAGCATTGTTTTGACAGAGGAATAAAATATATATACATACTCTTTAATTTGGTATATTTCTCCCCTCATGGGCGTTCAGCACAGTGCTTTTCTTACAAACAATAGCAAATATTTTTAAAGTTGTTTTGCCTCTCAATATTCTATAGGCTAATAAAGAAATCATTCCATATAGGAAACTGTGAAACATGCAACATATTTTAAATTATGCTTATGATAGCCAGTTATTAAACCATGTTAATGTTTACAGTGAAATCACTCATTGCTAATTCAAAAACTGATCATACGGATAATGGCCCCTGCCTCTACTTGCCTTTCAGCTACTTCAGATCTTTCAACTTTATTTATTCAATTTCTGGAAAAATCTAGGAAACATAGGGCATAAAATAAATGCATTAATAACAACTATAATTATATACAGTATCTTTGTAACACAGTTTACAAATCACTATTACCTATATGTCCTCCTTTATTATAATACTTCAGACAAAACTGTGAAGCTTTACTCCCACTGCAGAGATAAGAAAACTAAGATTAAGACTTTTGAAGGAAAGTCACTTACGGCTACTCTCTAGGAAAAGCCATGGGTATTTTTATGTCCCTAATATCTGCCTATCTCTTACTTAATGATATATCACTGTTATGGGTTGAATTGTGTACTCTGCAAAAATGTTGACCTCTTAACCCCAAGGACCTGTAACTATGACCTTATTTAGAAATAGGGGCTCCATAGATGACAAGGGTGTTCAAGTTAAGGTGTGGTCATTAAGGTACGCCTGTATCTAATGTGTTTATTAAAAGGAGAAATTTGGACATACAGAGAGATACATACAGAAGGAATATGAAGAGGAGAGAACTTCTACACAGGGAGGTCTCATCTACAACCCAAGAGTTACCTGGGAATATAGGAGGGAAGTCTGGAACAGATTCTCCTTCACTGCCTTCCTGCTGGAAATTAGAGTTTTCTGTTTACCTAAGCCCATGCTTCTAGAGTCCTGACACCCAACCTAACCTTAGCCAATCTCCTCCCCAAAGAGATTAGATGTTACCACTAGATAAAATTCTACCTCAAAATGTGATGTATAAGAAAATCTTGATTGTGCTGCCTGTTTTATATTTGGCCATTGTGTGCCCTACTCACCTTTAGTAAGGTAAGGTAAGGTTAACTGCCTAAATCAGGCCCGAGTGCATCATTTAATAGCTACGTCTTGGGTGGTTCTTAGTATTGCTATGATAGATACATAACTCATTTATAATATCTCACAATAAACATAAGAGATAGGTACACTGTTATCCCAATTTTACACAGAAACTGAAGCTCAAAAAAGTTGGTAAAGTCTTGCTTCTCATCCATCTCTATTTTACCATGTTTCCTTGCTTCTTTTTTAACAGTCTCTGGGATGTCAAACAAATGGATGATTTAAATATCGGTGTTAGTGTTGAGAAAATGAAGAAGTTTAGTGACTGGATCTTTAAAAATCCTCTTCTCAGTCAAGGGGTATCCAATTATTTGCTTTCAAAGAGATTGATTGAAGAACTTATCAGTGGACGGCTGTTCATAAAAAATATTTTTGATGATTAATCATTATGGGGTGTTTGCCATGTATCTCAGAAGAATTTCAAAGTGAGTGACATTGCTATAACAAAACTCCTTCATTCCCATCTACTTTTCAGTAAATAATATTTCTCAGACATCTATAAAGTTGAAAAATTGGAATAAAATTGATGTTGATCTTTATTTCATTTAATAATACCATGAATATATAACAGGAAACAATAAAGGTTCTATCCATCCCATGCATTCTCAAACAAATAATGACCTTGGTAAAGATGCAGATTAAGAGGTCAAAGAGCTAGAAATAGCTCTTATTTACTGACAGAATCCTTTTGGATGACTCAAATGCCAGACTTAGAAATCGACATGGATACATCTTTCAGGTAACTCCACAGAGAACAGCCATCTTAACCAATAAGAAAAGCATTTGGTCAAATATGAACAACTGGTAGGCTTTGAGATAAATCTGATTATAAGGAAAATCTAAATAGGTCAAAAATAATCATTATCACACTCCAACTAAAATGCAATAAGTATGGAATGGTAAATAATTATTTGGTGGTCCCATTTAAAAGCTTTATTGTCCAAGTTAAAGCTGTCTACTCAGATACACCAGTTCAGTGGTACAACATAATTTTCTACTCTAGCAGCCATATCAAAAGTAAAAATTGGAACAATCAATTTAGTTTCTGAGAATTTGGTTTAACACTTTAATAATGGGCAACGTCATAGGTTGCTATGAGAATTAAATTACATAAGGCATGGCTTGGAAAGCACCTTGTATTTAACTTATTGGAGAATGAAAGTATAAGTAAACAAGTATAGATCAAGACTTAATTTTAATAGCCAAGCAAGAACAATCTTGGTTGGCTCTCTTTCACTATATTCCTTCTATCTCTGGTATTGGCAGCATTGACAGTGCAATAATCTATATTGATTACAAAAGTCGTGGGGAAAAGGAAGTATTTAAATTTCCCTTTTGAATAAAGCATTAGAGATGCCCCTTAAGTAACCCTAGCTGCCAGGGACATGAAAACTATCTTTACAATTCCATCCTTTTGTGAACAGCACTAGTTAAGCACCTGATATTTGCCAGTAGCTAAAACTATAAAGTTAAAGAAAAAATTAATTTTTACATACTTAAGTATAAAAAATAATGTGAGGTGAAAAAAATCTTTAATAAAGGCATATATAGTGGCAAAAGGAGTGACTAAAAGATTAGTAGGATCATGAAGGAGGAGATATTAGAGGAAATATTTATAAGGCATTCTGGATTTTATCAGACAAAGGGGTGAGGAAAGAGACCATGGCTGTTACGTTCACTACAGAGCTGACACATCCTTGGCACAAAATAACCATTGGTTGTCAACAAACCATTTATTGAATAATTATTTTTTGTCAATAATTTGATACATTGGGTGTACAAAAAAGGAAGTCTGTATTCTTAGATCTTGGTATGTATGTCGGATGAGTTCAGATAAGCCGCAAAGTACTTGGGTTTCTTTTGTGCAGAGATAGCTATAATTGTTTCAATCTGACCATGAAGGCATGAGTATAGAACACACCCTCTGGCTTCACATAAAACAAACTTTTCTTTCACTGGGAAACTCTTACACTGTTTGCATCATGAGTTCCAGTCTTCATTTGTTTGACTTAAATACTCCTAATACTTGCAAACATTTTTCATCTGATATTGCCCTTTACTACACTTGTTGCCTTTTTTTCTAGATATGCACCAATTTCTTCAATGTCCACAGAGAAATTGGGGCCCAATACTCAAATGTATTGTTACAAATACAGAAGACAATAGAACAGAAGCTATAGCTTCATTTAAAGATTCATTTTCACATTATTTGATTTCTAGTACACGGTACCCCATTGGGAAGAAACAAAAATGTCAACACAACATACCTAGGCAAGATCTCTGTCATGGTTTGCCAAGTATTGTTTCTTTATTTCCCCTCTGTTTTTCTGTTGCAAGGAAGAAAAACAAGCCATATTATTGTGAGGAAATATACTTTTAGTATTGGGGCAACCCATTCATTGCTAGAATGTAACTTTAAGAACCAGAATATTTCTTAGACTTCACCCAGGAGCCCTGTAACCCTCTCACCAAAGTTTGTGCCTGGATAAGATTCAAGAGATAAAGATCAAATCCATAATAATTATGTTATTTATCTTCCAGATGCCGACCTCCATAGTCTCCTTATCCTGGTCTTAAGCAAATTTTCCTGCATGGAGCTACTCTTAGACCCTTTACAGCTTAAGCTTTGGCTTCTCCTATTTCTTCATTTTGGAATATTCTAGAGTCTCAAATATTTTCTGCCAAAGATGTTGTAGAAATTCTCTTTTGGACATTGAAACAGTCTCAGAAACTTTTGTAAATAGCACAGCCAAAGCACTAAAACTTATTCTCTCTAACAATCAAGAGTAGATACAAGAAATACAGGAAGACGTCACAGCCTCTGAGATTTAATGGCTTCCATGTTGATGCATATGAAATGATGGACACTGTGTGGTTTTCTAGTATTGTGCATAGATATGGTCACTCCTAGAAATTGTCATTGATCATCTGGGGAGGAGACAAGGGCCTTTTTCTTCTATGTCTTCATCTCTTCTGAAATTTAGGTGATCTGACATATTCTCATAGAAGCCAGTCATCCATTGTAAACCATAGTTGCACGTCATTCTCCAGTTACTTCTCTTTCGTTATTCTCCAACTTTCAGATAAGTCTTATGCAAATAATGTAAATATCTCAATTTTGGCCTAACTGTTAATAGAAAAATGGACTGCCTCTCAGACAAAGAAAAACTTCAAAAGGAGCAATGCCGTATACTCATGCCATCATCTCCAAGATGGTGGTAATGAAAATTTGCAAGAAAAACTCTAGAAAAAAGGAAACATAGTCTGGTTTTAGAGTCTGGCTAAGCCTCTCACTTGTAGAAATTCTCTTTGCTGCCAACTGAAGATTTTATTAAGGAAAGTAGCTGTACATATATATCTCCTTTTTGAGATTCTAACTGTGGGATCCAATGTCAGCCCATGAGTGCTGAACACTGGTAAGAATCCAAGCTGAGTTTCCAGACTCATCTCTCTAAGAGCGGCCCCACATTCCTGTAGATTTCTCAAAAACACTCTACTGTCCTCAAACCTCAAAAGCTGTGAAAGAACCATAAAAAGATGGAATCCCTCACTGGTGACAAAATTCCCAAATCCTATCCACAGAAATTCTCAATCCCAAATCCCATCCACAGAAATTCTCAATCACATCACTGAAAGGCTCAGGGATAGTTTAATATTGTGGCAAACCAGCCATGTCTCACTTTAGCACCTGTGCAAGGAAAGTCATGGTTTGGTTCTATTCACTTATTGCAGTTGCGAGGATGAGGAATTTGTCTTCCTGCCTAGCTCTCAAAAAAAAAAAAAAAAAAAAAAAAGATCTTTTGAAAAAGATCAAAATTAAACAGCAAATGTTTCTCTCCTCTGTTTTGGTTTAAATAAGAGAGTCTCATATGTATTCTCAAGAATCAGTGATGTAGGGCAGAAACAATGTTGCAAGAAAATAGATCACCTCCTCACAAAGCTATGCATGGCTCCTAAGAAATCTGGCCAATTCCATGCAAAGACTTACTTAACTAAGTAGATTTCTAAATACCACACATTTAATATTCTCCTCCCAAATTATGCAAATTTCTTGAAGAATTTTTTTCATTGCCTTCATACTCACACAAGAAAGGTCAATATCTGGGTTAATGCTGTCCCTGGACACAGTCCACAGGAACTTCCCACAAGTTTCTCATGTCTCCAATATATTGAGAATGGTGAGTGATACTAGTCTCCAATTACTACCCTTCCACTCCTTTTTATATCACTTATAATAGGAAGTACATTTTAGTTTTTTATAACGTCTGGAGATTTTGAACCTAATTATAACTACTTACTGACTGAACTCCAAGAGATGCTTTGCTGAGATGCATAGCTTGGTTTGCTTTACACCATCTCCTCATTGAAACAGTCATATTAGAAAAAAAAAGAAAGCTTTTCAATAATGTATTGCTTGTTGGTCCTTAGAGTTTCAGCTCTCTGAGCCTCAATTCTACCTTTTTTTTAAAAAAAAAAAAAGGAGGACTGGGAAAATACTTGATTACAATATAGTCTTTAATTATATTATTTACTCCTTTGATGATGACATGTAGTAAATCAAATATAGGAAATGGCCAAAGATAAATAAATGGCTTTAATAAGTTTCTCAGGCCCAAGTTTTGAATGGCTTTAGGTATCTTTGGAATAGAGCAGCTCAAAAGGCAGAGACCAGGACATCTGCTGGTCTTTCATACAGGTACATGTAGATAACCTAGGAAGAAAATGATAGCACTATTTCCTCTACCTCCTCCTCCTCTTCCAACCTCCACCATGAGATTGATTGTGCATTCCAGGTTATCCCTATGGCCTCCTTCACAGGGACAGCTACACCCAGGCCATCACCATTTCTTTCCCAGAAAAGGATTCCAATATTAAGGTAGATGTTATGTTTATTATTCTGCTTCCAGGTCATAAATCCATTAGATCCTGAAAACTCTTAAAGCTTGGGTCTCACTTTTCCTAATGCTATTGTGTTCTCAAGCCTTGAATAAGTGGTTGTAATAATCTATCTATACCTGTCAAAAACTGCATGAGAATTCCCTACTCTTATTGAACTGAGCAGCAAATGTCAGAGTTAACTTACAGTGCTGTTTTAGCTAGATGCCCATCAAGGACTTTACAGGATTTGCTGGCTTCCTGGGGATATAAGCACATTCAACAAATCCAGAATCAACTCAGTCAGGCCACAGAGGATCTTCAGCCCCATTATTTCCAGACATCTGACCAAAATTTAACCTCTTCCCACACTATAGCCGCATATCTGGTAAAGCAGAATTACTCTTTATTTCTTCAGGGCCTTTCCAGTGCCTGCCCCTGGATTATAAATCAAAAAGGAAAAGTGGATACACGGAGTAAATATCCCCACTCTTTCTGACTGCTGAGATGAACCAAGAGTTAAGTAGCATCTGTTGATTTTCCTGTCAGGATATCCACAAACATGTTTTTTATTATAGTAATATAATTTAATAATAGAAATTATCTAAATGAGAAGATGACCACATCATCAATCCTCTAACAAATAAGGTGCTAACATTTCCAAATTAAGTATAGCTTTATCTATAGATAAATACATTTAAGTTGTCTTGGTACCTAGAGAAACTTTAGCCATTCTGGATAAGGCATTTAGTTCAGGCCCTGAGTCCCCAAGGCCTAACCAACTCCCAACTCCCTGAGCTGACTGAGGAAAGGGTGGGGAGGAGGAAATCGTTCTGAGGAAGATCCTGGCCAGGCCCCTAAACAAAGTGAGAGCAGCAGACAAATGACCCCTCAGCAAGGGCATGGAGGATCCTGGGAAGCAGAGGAGCAGCGGGTGCTATAGGGCCAGAAACTTAATTGAGGCCATCTAAACTTGGCACACAGACTGGTCAGCGCAGACTTTTTCAGCATTTAGTCTGAAAACTTATCTTTTGCACACAAAGTGAAAAAATACATTTTTAAGAAACAGAAATTCAATCTCAATTTACTCAGTGTTCGACCTGGGCAGTAAATTATTTTCTTTAATCAAACTGATACAGAATTTTAAACCATTTTAAATGAATGAGAAACAGCCTGCTCTGAAACTATATCTGATTATTAAGAGAAGTTATTACCACAAAGGACCTGAAGATAAGTTTCAAGGTAATTCCTCATAAATAATACACAGAGCCAGGCTCTCTTGTTTTCCCCTTGGTGTCGACATTCAGATTTGAACAACTCTAGCCTTAAAAATAGCTATCTCACCATCAGCCAATTCAAACTACAGTGCTTGGGACATGGCAAATTTTCAAAAGCACATCATAGCTCCAGACTTTTGAGACTCTTTTATATGTACATACACTTCTTCTGAGGCCAAGGTAAACCGGAAACTTCAGTTGCTATGTTATTCTTTTTAATATAAATGTGCATTTGATGTTGAAAGATACATCAATTATTTTTAGAAGAACTTTGGCATTGTATTACAATGCTAACATGTATATTTAATATACCTAGCTTATAAGTAATAGAGAAATATTTCTTAGCTTAAAATGAAAACTAGGAGATGAGAGGAAGATGAAAGGTGAAAAAGGAGAAGATTGTGTCAGCATCTATCTTTAAGGAACACACTCAATCATGCTTTTGCTGAACAGCCTGCCTGGCAGTCTGTTGGAAGAGGAAGGTAAGATTCAGGTAAGAAGATCACGTAGTTGGGCTGTGGCAAGCCATCGACAGCCTCGAAATGCAGCAAAGCTTTAAACGCTCATGCTAGAAAATAAGAAAAGTAAAAATTAATGCCAACAATGAAAACTAATGAAAGTCCAAAGAATTAAGATGATCAACAAAGTCATCAACTGATTATTTGAGGAAAAAAATAATAGACAAATTTCTGAAGGAAATTGAAAAAGAGAAGATGGAAATTATGTTAGTATGGATTAAAAGGGAGGGAACTGGAGATTACATAGAGATTTAAAAGAAAATAAAATACTATGAGTAATTTGATGCCAACACATGTGAAAAACGAAACATAAGGAATTCCTAGAAAAGTATAAATTCCAAAGCTGACTCAAAAGAAATATAATATTTGATACTATAACTGCTACACTATTTTAAAATAAAAAAATGTTTCATGAAAATAAACAAGGCCACCATAGTTTTACAAAGAAGTTCTACCAAACATTCAGAAACATCTAGCGAATCTAAGGCAAAATTTGTTAACGAAGAGAAAAGAGGAAGTGTTCTCAATAATTTTAAGAGTCTACTATAACCTTTATACCAATACCAGACAAAAACATTATGAATATATATGTAAAAATATATTCTATTTTGACTGAGTCATTTCATTTTGCATCAGACTACCTCTTGTAGCCTGAAAAACTAGAAAAGTTGAATAAATTTCAGAGCATCAGAGTGATACCAATGCAGCCAGGATTTGACATTTTAAGAAAGAAAATGATTAAAATTTTCTTGTGGTTCCTGTAAACAAGATACATTTAAATATCAAGCACATATAAATATCAATTTGTGCCAAAAACAGAGAAAACAATTTTTAAAAAATAAGGGATAATTTAAGAGTAGACTTTACAAAAGATCATAACTCTGTCACTCAAACTCGAATATAAAAACATATGGGAAGATATATCATATTCTTGACCAGAAACCCTTGTCTTGTTTTTTATCAATGTCCTACTAATCAAACTATAGACTTAACTAGAATCTAATCAAAATGCTGACAGGGCCCTTCGTGGAAGTTGACAAGCCTATTATGAAATTTATATGCAACAGTAAAGGATCAAGAATTACTATCGGACTCTTGAAGAAGATGGTATGCAATTTGCCTCACGATAAAATAGAGGACAGGAGAGAGGAGAGGAGAGTTCATGACATATCTGTGTGTGTGCACGCGTTCTATATATTGTAAGATGTGTTTTGCACTGAGTTGTGATAAAAAATAAAAATTGAAAATATCCATCCGAGAAAAACTTTTAAACACATGAAGAAATATGTTCAAGAATGTTCATAGTAGCACTACTAGGAATAACAACAAAAAAGCTATAAACAACCCAAATGTCCACTAAATAGAAAACAAACACAATGTATCTGCAAAGTGAAATACACATATAGCATATCTTAATTGGCAGTAGCCACATTTCAAATATTTAATGTGACTAAGGTATCGAACTAGTAGCTAGTGGCTAGTGACTAGTTGCTAAGGTATTGAAGACCACGAGTATGGAATACTTCATAAATGTAACAGAATAAAATGAATTTTTTACATGCGTAGATATGTGTAGATCCCCCAGGCATATCATTCAATACTAAAAAGGAAGACGTAAAACAGTACATATAGTATGATCCAATGTGTATAAGTATATGGGGACATACAGGCTTTTTTTCTGGAAAAAAAAACGGTTAACAGCGGTATTTCTTAAAGAAAAGAGGTAGAGACTGGACCCAGTGACATTTTTGTCTCTTTTTATAGCTCTATGAACTTTGTGAATGTTTTAAAGTATGTATATTTATTAGTTTTATTTTTAAGAATAGAAACAATGGTTAATAAGTTAAGCATATAGAAGTGGAAAAAATATTGTAAAACAACAACCTGTCAGGTTAGTCTAATGTAAGGATGGCCTCATGCACCTCTCTTACCAAGATGTCAGAACTATTGATTTTATAATTATGTCACCACTGACCGACCCTTCTCTGTCTGTCTTGATAGACAAGCATCCTAAAAAGGACGCAATGATCACTTGTCCTGTGAACAGTCTACTTTTGTCATCATTGCAACTCCTGAGCTAACTGAAGATGGATGAAGGATTAGGGAATTAAGTAAACCGAGAAGAAAACTTTTGTGGCCTGTGGCTTTAGAGACTTTAATTCAAATGCAGTGGTGCATATGAGATACCTAGATCTACGTTCCTTTGGAACTACTAATTTAGTAGGCCTACAAAAGAAAGAAGTAAACTTATATCTGACCTCATTTATTCCTGACAAAATGGTGTTTGTGATTATTTCTTTTTAAGTAGATTTGAAACAATTTAAATGAAGAAACCGCATTAAAATTTTTTTCTAGGGAACCAATCAATGTTACTGGGTCATATTGCAATATCGACTATGTTTCTTTTTTGGAAAACCAGGAAGACATGATCCCATCTCTACTTCTGATGCCTCTCCTGTTTTTCACCTATATTCTCTGGATTGACAGTATTGTTCAGGAATCTCTCCTAAAAGTTCCATCAGTGCTCTTAAGTTATTAAATATTGATCAGGAAAGTTAAAACCTTTGGGGTGGCCCTGTTCTACTCTACTTCTATAATAATATTGGTTATGCAGCCTATAATCTGTAGTGCATTTTTAATGGGGGAATAAAAGAGGTTTAGGATTTGAGGGACATGGCCTCCATTTCACCATATTTTTATATTACACTGCCAGCTCCAAACAGTAAGCCTCTTGCTTACTCCCTTCTTCTTCTCTTTCCAAAACAAAATGAAAGTTTATCTTGGCTTTATCACCTTAGTTCTCTTCTTCAAAGTTCCTGCAGCTGAGCTGGACCAACAGCTTCCAGTCACCTGGTCAAGGTGTGCGCAGTACTGCACTTGGCCAGGAGAGGCAGCAGAGGCCTGGAGCCAGGTGGCCATGTGGTCTAATGCAGCTTTGATGGTGGAAAGATGAGTCGGAACTTCTTGATCTCTCACCACAAGACCACACTAAAATTGTCAGTGCACCAAGCATAGCCTGAGCAGAAGGGCATCAGTGGTTCCATTGGTTGATTCAACATTTGATGAAGAAATTGAAAATTAATTTCACCTTTTTAACCTGGTATGCTTTCATTTCATTTTTTTTTTCCTTGATTCTTGTGTCTTTTAAAGATACCATGTGGACCATCATTATCAGTGGCCCATCCCAATAGTTTCTGATTCAGGAGGTCTGGAGTCAGGTCAAGGAATCTGCATTTGATCAAACACCACCGTTGACTCTTGTTTACATTACAGAACCCTAGTTAATCTATAAATGAATTTCATACAGGTTAGTTATTTAATATTTTATCTTTTGCGTTATATTACTATTATTGTTCTTCCTAGTTGCTAACATCACTAACTTTTGTCTGCCGTTAAAAGTATTTTTTTCTTAGGGCTCTGAGAGTTTTATTTCTTCTCATTTCCAAATATTATTCAATTATAAACTATTTTAGAGGCAATTGAGTATAATAGAAGAAATAGGTTTTGGAATCAAACCTCCCCAGCCTCAATTTCCTCATTAATAATATGAAGATAATACATAATATAGTGGACAGGAAGATTAATGAGATGATATATGTAAATGATTGAGAAGAGTGATGGGATAAATGTAGACTCAATACATGTTAATTTTATTCCTTTTTTTATTCTTTACAGTAACCAAAAGTATGTAATCTACATCCTTCCCTAGTGCTTATCTCCAAAAGTTCCATTTTGAAAAACAAGGAGATATATATATATATATATATATATATATATATATAGTAGAATATCACAGGCAGAGGAGGGAAGAACATCTGGGTGGAGACGTAGGTCTGAATGGAAAGGACAGAAAAGAAAAAAAAAGGAGTGGCAGATTCCTCCTGTTACAAAATACTGAGCTCTAGTTAAAAAAAAAAAAAGATTTAGGGGAGCTGTAGATGTTAATACTTAAAAACTACATTAAGGCATAAACATCAGATGATGTGATATTTTAACTCAAAGGTCACTGTATATAAAACTTGAGCCCAAATTGAGTAATTAGTCTATACAAAATATTCTAGAAATTGCCATGGTTTGTTGTCTAGATGAGAAAACAAAATAACAAAATCAAGATTAATAACTTATTTTTGCCAATTACTAATTATTAAAATAACTGATGGCAGACCATCAGTATCTGTCATGGAGGCAAGCAATCACAAATGTATATACATGATGTGCAAAAAATAAAGATATAGACCAAATAAAGAAAGAAAGAAATGGAGAGAAAGTAGATGACAAATCAAAAGCCAAATGATCTATTTGTTACTCTGTGTAGTTTAATGGAGCATTTCAAAATAAAAATTAAGAAGAATTACGAATTTAATGCTAGGGTTTAAAGCTATAGATAACTTAACCAAATCTATCAATAATTTCTTTCACTCTGCAGACCTCTAATTACAATGACCAGAAGAGTGAATAAAAGCCCCAGGTAATTGCAGAGGCAATTGTATCAGTTTTATTTCAAAATTAAAATTATTCTTCCAGGTAATCCTTCCAGATTAAAATTCTCTGTATCAGTCTAATACAACTCAGAGAGCTGATATCTCTTTGAGCCTCAGTTTCCTCATCTATAAAGTAATTATAAGAGTTCACACCTCACTAAACATACAGAAAGTACATCAGATAGAAATTGGCTTATGTTGGTGCTTCTCCCAGCTTTTCCTCTGCATTACATACCGACCTATGCAATATAATATCTGAATATAGATATTGATATTTATAATCCTACCTTCCTTAAAGTTTCTAAATAATGCATAGTAGAAGTGATTCACTTGTTTTTTATATTTCTTAACATATGATTGGAAAGAGAGTATAAGTAAATATTAGTAGCTACTGTATTTTATCCATAAGGAGACTTCCGGTAATATTCCCCTAGTTTTCTCATCATAAATATTCAACATTTACTGAGTACTGCAACGGGTTAGTTCAGCTGACTAAATTAAAGCATGGGGAAGTCAAAAATCATGGACCTCATTAGGCATATAAAAAACGGCTCTTATCCCCTGAAAATACTATTGATCACAGGCTATTGTCACCTGGCTCAGGGTCTATGAATCTCAAATCCCACTATTGTCTTGAGTAAGATACAAATCTTTATGGACAGCCCACCAAGCATGCCAACTTCACAAAGTCAATAACAGCCTCCCGGACCCCACCAATCAACACTTGCATTTCACTTATTGATGTCACCTAAAACTGTCCCACCTGGCCGGGCGCGGTGGCTCATGCCTGTAATCCCAGCACTTTGGGAGGCAGAGGCGGGCGGATCACGAGGTCAGGAGATAGAGACCATCCTGGCTAACACAGTGAAACCCCGCCTCTACTAAAAATACAAAAAATTAGCCGGGCGTGGTGGCAGGCGCCTGTAGTCCCAGCTACTTAGGAGGCTGAGGTAGGAGAACAGCGTGAACCCGGGAGGCGGAGCTTGCAGTGAGCCGAGATCGCACCACTGCAGTCCAGCCTGGGCGACACAGCGAGACTCCGTCTCAAAATAAAATAAAACAAAAAACAAACAACAAAACCAAACAAACAAACAGAAAACTGTCCCACCTGTGAAATCTTTAATTCTAGTTTTCTGCTCTAAATCTCTGTTGCCTTCACTGCTCTCATTTTATCACTCTAATTATACCTATTCTTTGGCATTACTAAGACCTCTAGTCCATTTAACTATATTCTTCCAAACAAATAAACCCCATAGTGAAATAACTTCCTCACACATTTGGATTAGATCTCACCCATCATTTGAACTCATATATTCCCACAATTTTATTACTGTCTATCTGACATGCCAGTCTTATATCAATTTAATCACCTGACTTCCCTGCCCTTCAAATGGCTAATCACTGCTGGAGAAAAATGCCCAACTCTGTGGACTAATGTCACCACAAACATGCTCTCCATCTTCAGATGCACCCTTACAATATGAAGAAATATTCCTTCTCCCTTCCCATTCTTTTTAACAACTTTCTCAAAAAGTCCACAGAAGATAAATTCTGTCTCAGCAGAATTCCAAATTCATAGAGCAAAGAAAGGCTATTGTGTCTTTCTTGTTCCTTCTACTCTTCTTTGCTAGTGTTTGTTTGTGAGGGGAGTAGCATGTTAATTTAGTACATTTAATATTAGCTAATACAACTTATTTTTAAGTGGCTACATCAACTTTACATCTAAAGAATTTCCTCTTGAAAAATTACTAGTTTGTTACATCAGTATTTGTTTCTCTAGGATTTATAAGATTCATTTTGAACTCACTACAGTCTTCTTTCGTTATATCATATCTCTTCATATATGCCGAATATAAGAATCTTTAAACAGCATACTCCATAACCCCATCACACCATTCCACTAACATTTGTGCAGTTGTTACAGATTTTATTTCCACATATGGTATAAACTGCACAATACATTTTGTTGAATTAAGCAATTCATTATATTTAAAAAACAAAAGCTTGTGAAGAAAAGTCTGTTTATATTCACATATTTATGATGTTACTCTTCAACTCTTTGGTAGATCCAAGTTTTCATCTGATATTATTTTTCTTTTGTGAAAAGAACTTTTTTAAATGTTTCTTGTAGTACAGGTCTGCTACCAATGAATTCTCTCATAATTTGCTTTTCTAAAATGCCTCCTTTCTTTTGCCTTCTTTTATAAAGGATATTTGTGCACAATATGGAATTCTAGTTTGAATACTATTCCACCGTTTCCTGGCTTGCATTGCTTCTGATGAGAAGTCAGTGATAATTCCTATCTTTGCTTCTCTTTATAAAAAGTCTTTCTCCCCACTCTGACTGCTTTTGATATTTTCTCTTTATCACTGAATTTCAGCCATTTGATTTTGATGTGTCCTGGTATGGGTTTGGGGTATGTATTTACCTTTTAACTTCACAGAGTTCTAGAACATACTTTTAATCAATAAGGATAATTTTGCTCATTATTTCTTTAAACATTTTTCTGCCACTCTCTCTTTCTGGAATACAAATTTCGTGTATGTAAGATTGTTTGACATTGTCACACAGGTCACTAAGACTCTACACATTGTTTTTCATCTTGTGTCTTTGTATGTGTCTTTTGATTTAAATTATTTTGATTGCTCTTTAAGCTCATTCATCTATTTTTCTCCAGTATCTCATCTACTGTTACACAAAGCCAGTGAATTTTCTATTTCAAGTACTGTGTTTTTCAACTTCAGAAGTTCCACTGGTTATTTTGTTGTATCTTCTCTTTTTCCTATATGTAATTTCCTTTAAATCTTTAATCATTTTTATAATATTGTTTTAAAGTCTGTGTTTGATAATTCCATAATCTCTGTTATTCCTGGGTCTGTTTCTATTAATGTGCTTTCTCTTCACGATAGGTCATATTTTCCTGCTTCTTGCATATCTAATGACTTTGTATTCTGAACTAGAAATCGTACATTTTATGTTATGGAGTGTCAGGAGTTTGTTATCTGCTTTTAAAGAGGATTAAGTGTTGGCTTATTGCTTTGCATTTGTGTGTGTGTGTGTGTGTGTGTGTGTGTGTGTTTGATTTTCTTTTTTTGGCAGACAGATTTCAGCTTGACATTTTTGAGACTTATTTTAAGATTTTTAAAGGTGCACCTAGGATACCACTGTAGGAATAGTTTAGCCCTGCTACCAAAAAAATTTAAAAATAAAAAATAAAAAGGTAATCCTTCTGTTGTGTTCACTAAGAGTTCCAGGTTCATCCAAGTCTCTCTACTCTGGCTGATCAGATTCAAATGTCTCCCAATCCTTTCTAAGTTTTGGGAATTATTCAGTACACATCTACTTTGCAGTGATTCTTTCCCTGGTAGTTGTTCTTTGTACTGAATGTAATAAGCCTGCTTTCTTTGCAATTTGAGATCTGTCCAAACATGGCTCAAGTTTGGAGGTGATCAAAAGAGGAACAGATCAGAGTACCACTCCATTTAAGCTGTCTGTGTGTAGTATGTGTCACAGAAGCATACTAATTCCAGGCTACTTGTAATAAGACTTAAGATAGCTCCATGTTCTGTCTGGCCAAGCCAGAGGTTCCCATTTAGGAAATCTCACTGATCAGGCTTATAAAGTTCTAACTCTCTGTGGGTCCCAAGGAAAAGGTTTTGTGGAGCGTAGGAGGGATTCTGTTTGTTTTTAGACTCCTAAATCCTCTGTAGAGGTTGAATTCACACAGTTAAGGAAGATTTCTTTTCCTAGAGTTTGCCTTTGGGCTTCCTGGGAGCCTAGACTCATCTAATATGAAGGAGATGAATGGTTTGATATTCCCTATGGACTACTTTTGTTACTTGCTGTATTAGTTCATTCTTGCGTTGCTATAAAGAACTACCTGAGACTGGGTAATTTTAAAGAAAAGAAGTTTAACTGACTCACAATTCCACAGGCTATGCATTAAGCATGACTGGGGAGGCCTCAGGAAGCTTAAAATCATGGCAGAAAACAAAGATGAAGGAGGCACATTTTAGATGGACAGAGCAGGAGGAAGAAAGAGCAGGCGGAGGTGCTGCACACTTTTAAACAAGCAGATCTCATGAGAACTCACTCACTATCACAAGAACAGCAAGGGGAAAATCTGCCTCCATGATCCAATCACCTTCTGCCAGGCCCCTGCTCCAACACTGGGGATTACAATTTGACATGAGATTTGGGTGGGGACACAAATCCAAAACATAGCACTTGCACATGTTTTTTTTCTCTCCCTAAAGCCTAAGAGAACATTACAAATTTTAAGGGACGTTAGAGACCATATTGTCTAAACACGCATTTAGAAATATTTGCTCTTCATCGTTTTTTGTGTCCGAACACTAGCATAGCATGTATTTCTCTTGCCTACCAGAGATGCATGTTCTGAAAAAGAAACACAGACAGAAAAGATAGATTCTGTCTGACAAAGAAGTCAGTGTTATTTCAGCTAATATGTTACAAGCAAAGCAGGGAGAGTTACCAACTTTTCTTTTTGTCTAAGCATGTAACTTAGACATACAAAAGACTTTACAATGAGCTACTCTTGAAGGTAAAACCTCCACAGAACTTTTTACCTTATTTGTGGTACCCTTTGGAAGTTCCTAAGGAATCTATCGCCAGCTTACAAAGAGCTGCCTTTCTTAGCTTACTGTCATTGCCTCAAAACAGATCTGGCCAGCAGGGCAGCCTAGGAAGACAGAGATGAGCCCAGGGACCCAGGTAATGGCCTGCCTACAATTAACAAATATAGATGTCGATTCCCATTAGAGCAAACCAAGGTATCAAAGGATGGTAGGCATAAATCATCAACATTTTTACCAAAACTAGAAGCAGATGCCTTATGGTTTATGATGTAGGGGAAAGTTCCGTAAGGTAAAATACCAGTATAAATCTTAAAGCCCAGAACAGTTCAAAGTTTGGGCCATAAAACTGGAGAAGAGGCAAACACAAACTATCAGATAAAAATAAGAATACTCTATTAGTTAAGGTTCTCCAAAGAAACAGAACCAAGAGGATGGATGGATAGAGAAAAAAAATTTATTACAGCGTAAGGAATTGGCAAAGTGATTAGGGAGGCTGAGCAGTCCCATGATCTGCTGTCTGCAAGCTGGAGACTCAGGAAAGGCAATGATGTAGTTCTCAATACCAGAGGGCTGATGGTGCGAGTCACAGTTGAGGGCAGAAGACCGATGTCCCAGATCAAGCAGATGGCAGACAGCAAATTCCCCCTTCCTCCTCCTTTTGTCATGTTTAAGCTTGCAACAGATTGGATGATGCCCATCCACCTTGGAGAGGGCAATCTGCTTTACCCAGTCCACTGATTCAAATGTTAATATCATCTGTAAATACCCTCACAGCACATCCAGAAATAATATTTAATCTGGGGACCCTTTGTCTCAGTCAAGTTGCCGCATAAAATTAACCATCATAAATTACAAAGAGTGTAACTAAAACATGGGATTGCCTTCACCATGGGCTTACTTAGAGGGCAAAATCCACTATGAGATTTATAACACTTACAGGAATTTTTTCTGGGAGCGTCTGAGGAATCCATGATGGGACTAAGGACAGCTATCTCCTTTGCATCCAATGGGTATTATCTTTTCTTGGTTTCGTCCTAATAAATAAGGCTTGAAAGGCAGAAGAGAGCATAAGAAAAGGAAGTAGCTTCTTTGGGAGGCAGGAAAAGAGCTGTAGTCTGAACGCGTACAAAAATTAATGGGTATTGACAATGAAAATGCCAAAAGGTGAAGGCAGGGTATTGGAAAAAGGATTTAGAAATCCCTTGCTTGACCTGATCTTTTGGCATTGACTCTTAATTATAACAGAGCCCAAGGTGCTCTAAGAGAGTGGGTCACTTACAGCAGAAGCGAGTATGCTAAAGGCCCTGGGCTCTGGTGTGCCTCTGTGACAAAGCCAGCTACAAAAGGAAAGGAATACAGCTATCCCTTGAAAAGAAATGAGTTTATTAGTCTCCTGAATGCCATGAATAGAGGATGAAGGACCTTGGAAGACTGAGGGTAGAAGGAGCCTATGAACCTTTAAACAAAAGAATATTAAGATTAGATGGCAAAGAATAAAGCCATTTTGCATAAGAATTAACATCCTTGTGGTGGTTTATGTGTCAGCTTGACTGGGTTAAGGGATGCCCAGATAGCTGGTAAAACTTTATTTCTGGGTGTGCCTCTGAGGCTGTTTTAAGAAGAGATTAGCATTTGAATCAGTAGACTAAGTAAAGAAGTTCCACCCTCACCAACATGGGTAGGTGTCACCCAATCCACTGAGTGCCCAAATAGAACCAAATGCAAATTAAGGGCAAGTTCTTTTTCTCTCTTGAAGCTGGGACATCCATCTTCTCCTGCCCTCTGACATCAGAGCTCTTGGTCCTCAGGCTTTCCAGTCTTAAGAATTTACTTACTTAGGCCTTCTTCAGAATCACATTACCAGCTTTTCCGGTTCTCCCGCATGCAGACAGCATTATCGTGGGACTTCTCAGTCTCCATAATCATGTGAGCCAATTCCCACAATAAAATCTCTCTTATTTATCTATATGAATGCTATTGACTCTGTTTCTCTGGAGAACCCTAATTAACACAACCTTCCTATATCAATATTCTTTGGACAAAGAAAATAATACTAAAAAATGGACACAGTAGAACAGTGAGCAGGTTTGCATGAATTGAAGCAATCTGGATTGGACTCCTGTAAGATCACTGGGTATATAAGGAAACATAAGGGTCCATAGCCACTGGAAGTGACTTAATTCATTTAATGAGAACTAGTGCTAAAAAAAAAAAAAGAAAAACGGATTACAAATTCAGGGGGTGTTCAAACACTTGAGAGATGAGAGTACTTCAGCCTGTAGGCACTCTTTGTGAAGAAAAGCCCAGAGCTGACACAAGCACCAGGGAGCCAGCTCAAACACAAACGTGTCAAGGTGACAGGGCCTGAATCTCATACTGTGAACTCTTTCAGAGAGACAGGCACGCATAAAATCATGTGTTCTAAAGAAAAGAAAACTTGGAATCACAGACTTAGAAGGCCCTTAGAGATAATCTAATCAAACCTTCTTTCTGTAGTTGAGAAAACTAAGTGAGGCCAGAGGAGATGGAGTGATTTGCCCAAGTTACATACATGGTTGGTTCATGATGGATCTGAAATGAAAACGCTTAGGTCACCTCCTCTAGTCTAATATTATTTGCAAAACACTTTCATTTTAATTCGTACCACAAATCCATCTAACTGTAAAGGTAAAACTTGATAAGGAGAGAAAATACACTATCAGAGATGACAGATGTGTCAGTCCATCTGATCTCTTTAGCATTACATCATCTGTCTTAACTAATAGAAACCAATTAGTGATAATGCATGTGATTGGACAGACTATATCTGTAACATGCATATTAACCAGTTCACTTGCATATGACTTATGCTGCAAAATGAACATTTTTAAAGTCATCATCATAAGGGACTTAACCATAGTAAAGATTACCAACGTATGTAGAATCTTAATAAACATTATTAGGATGTTGACATGATCACCAGCCAATTCCTAGCATAAGATATTTTAACATTACCAGGATAAATTTCTCTTTGGAATTCATCCGTAAATTCCAAAGACAAATTCAACAGAAATTCAAATCTCTCCTCACGTGAAGGTAAATTTTGACTTCTCATGGTTCTCAAAGCACATGTAACCCAGTTTCTCCAGGTTTTGGGGTACACACTGTGAAAAAGAATCCACTTGGAACTATTAAACCTTGAGTTCTTATCCTTGCAGACAAGTTCCAGAAAGAAGCCCATCCCTGTCAAAACAAAAACTGATTGGATTCAGAGATGCCTGAGTTGGAGGTAAACTTTGGCAAATTCTCCCAATTACCATACTAAAAACCCTGCCCATGGAGGAGCTTATTCTATATTTTTCATAAATGCAACCATCTAGAGGCATGATTGGAGATTATGCCTGCTCTGCCTTTATTCCACCTCTGCATATGAGGTAGAGGCTAACTAGCCTAATAAAAGCCTTGTTTGAACCTTTAATTGGGAAGGCCTACTTTGGGGAATTATCCCCGGTACCCTCCTTATTTATTGCAAGTAATAAAATCCCCTTGTTAGATCTTTCTTTGTTGTGGTCATTGGACTATCACCCACCAAGCAATCAAACACACTCATTGTGTGGGTAACAACCCTGGCAACCGAGATGAGACAAAGACTCCAGTTCTAACGCTAACTTCACAAAGGCTTGCTATGGGCAAAGCAGTGGACAGCGGCAGCTTGGCTGGGCTAACGTGCTCATGTTGCCTGAGAGGGTTGGGTGCAATTCCTAAGGATCTTCATCTTGGGGTAGAGTCCACTAGGCCATCACTTGGATCTAGCCCAAAAGAGTGGAAGCAGTGGTCCGGACCTTTTGTTTGGTGCTCCTTCAGGGCGGTAAGTGGACTTCACCCTGTTGGCTGACTAAAAGGGAAAACTCCTAGGATCTAGCAACAGGATCTCCAGACTAACCACAATGCACCTCTTGTTTTAGTTTCCACCTTTTGCCAGTTGGTGCCCTGGAGGATTGAGATACACTCCCATCATGGCAACTGGCAATCCTGATCCCTGGCCACTCTGTGCTCTGGAGGGTTGGGAGGCATCCCTGTCACAATAAACAGCAATCTGTACCTAGCCAGATTACCCATGAGGATCAACTTTTCCAGGAAGACAGGTTTAAGATCCTTAGATTCGGGGGGCATTTTCCAAAGTGGGAAACGACCCAGGTACATCTGGAAGCCCTCAGTCTTGACAACTAGGCTGCGAAAATTGTAACATAAGAGAAGAGGCTCTTACCAATGCATCCCTGGACCACCTGAGTGAGTTCTTCTCAAGTATCAGCTTTTAAAAAAAGGGGCAGCTGCTTCACGTGACACCCAGGAGGGTCACCAAGTGGTGCAATCAGAGTTTTGGGGATGTTCATGGGGTTACACTAGGGAACCACTGGGTCACCCTCACATATTGGCTTACTGTGGATCTACACCTTAGAGAGTTTTTTGAGAGACGCTTTTTGAGAGGAAAACCTCAATTATCACACATATGCATAACAATCTGATATTTAAATCTTTTGGAAGCTGGGATCAGATCCTGAGGGTTGTGTCTGAGGGTGGGGGAAACCAGACCTCAATCCTAGAGAAAAACCCATTAGGTTGCATACTCCAACACTAGAAGATCTAGATTGCCAGAGGACGCTCGGAGGCCAATGCAGTAGCAAACTTTGTGTCCTCAAGACTCAAACGGTTTCATCTCCAGCTTTATTACAACAATATCAGCCCCTTTGAGCAACTCCAGGTGACCGAAAAACTTATTTGAACTCAGCAGCCCAAGAGTCTCACTCCTTTAACTTTAGGGAGCTCAACACACTCGGTCAGCATGAAATAGTTACAGAAGCATGAACTCTGTCTCTAAACCCTCAGGAATGAGGAGTGGAATGTCTCAGGAGGGATTCCTAACCCAGGGTCCATGAGGTTTGGAGTACACACTATGAAAATGTACCTATCTGTAACTGTTGCATCTTGAAGTTCTTGTTATTTCAAAAAGGTCCACGAAGAAGCCCATCCCTGGCAGGAAGAAAAAAAAAAAAACAGTTGAATCCAGAATGCCTGAGTTGGAGATGAACTTTGGCAAACTCTCCTCTTTATGATACTAAAAACCCTGCCCAGGGAGGAGCTTGTTCTCCATTTTCTATACATGCGACCATGTGGAAGCATCACTGACAATTGTGCCTGCTCTGCCTTTATTCCACCTCTGCATAGGATGACTCAGAAAACTGGCCTCATAAAAGCCCTGTCTTCACCTTGGTTCACAAAGGCACTGCTTTGGGGAATTATTCCCAGTGTCCTCCTTACTTGTTGCAAGTTATGAAAATCCCCTTGTTAAATCCTCCTTACTTGTGCTCTTTGGACTGTCACCCACCAAGCAATCAAACCCAGCCATTGTGTGGGTAACACCCAGACCCCCAAATATTTCCTAAAACATTATGAACAGAATACAAGAACACAGACTGTTTAAACCGTATTTATGACAAGTGCCCCTAAAATCATACTTTAAATAAGGAGGAAAATTTTTTAAATCTTCATTTATGGAAAATTTTGAAAACTAGAATTTATTTTCCTCCATTAGAATACAATTTTGCTGGGAAAAAGGAAGGTAACTTTTGCTTTCAGATTCACTAAAACTGTGATTTAATAGAAGAAAACCATTCTATCAGAAGAATCAGAAACATTGTAAGGAAGGTAGAGTGGATAATCCGATAGAATTACATGCAGTCCCAGCCCCACAACTACTACCACACATACACACAGACTGCAAGGTATTCAAAGATTTACTAAGGAGCATAAAGAATAAAAATGAAGGCTATTAGTACTTGGGCAGTTTATAGAAACTATAATCCAGAATATGAAGAACTACTGCCATGTAGAAAACAGAAACAGGAGTTTGGTGAAGAATTAGAACGAGACAAATGGCAATTGCAGTGCACTCTACCCTTGGATTTTGGCCTCCTATAAATTTACTAGTATGGTTATTTACATGGAGAAGTAAAGGAAACATTCATGTAATTACAGATACAACAGTAAAGACAAAATAAATGGTACCACAAACTCATTTGGTAAAATATATGGTACCACATCCTTAAAGTAGCTATGAAGGTTTTGTTCTGTTGCTCCTCCCAGCATCTCTCCTGAAACCTCTTACCTGACTGCTGAAGGTATCAAGACATAAAAGTCCAGAGAGCAAGAAAGAGGAACATCTTGATCTTGTTGTATGCATTGAGGATCTATGCTGATGCTGAGTGGCAAAGGTGTTCTACCAGAGAGACATATTCCCTCCCATTCATTTATCTCTGATTTCTGCTGTCACACTGTCATTGAAACTGTTTTTCTGAGGGTTCAGCATTTGGTGAGCAGCAACTTATCCAATTTGATGGGTTCCTTTCAACAGGAAACCTCTCCCCATCCTTCTTGGATACTTTTTGTCATTATTGACCTCATGCTTAGTCTTGAAACTCTTGTCTGTCTCTTCTGCTAGTAGCCTCTTCCCAGGCCCTTTCTGTGTAAGCATTCCCAAAGAGTCTTTCCTATCTCCTTGCGCTCACTCCCTTGGCAATCTCATTTGCTCTCCTCTCACATATTCACCATCACCTTTCCTGTGTAATTGTACCTTGTATTTGTCTAGACACTTATAAAATGTACATAGCCTTTCCTTTAATACTCGCAACAACCTATTGTGATTTCAGAGAAGAGGAAACTGAGACTCAGACAGGGGCAGTGACCTGCCCAGGGCCTCAAAGCTGGAAAGTGGCAAAGTCTGTAAATTTAACCCTACTATTTAAATCTAGTGGTTTTTTTGTTTTGTTTTTTGTTTTTTGTTTTTTTTTTTTTTACAATACCACAAATGCCTCCAAATGATTCCTAAATACATATCCTAATCCTATATATTGTGTGTATAATGCCTAATACCTCATCTTCTTAATCAAGTCCCAGACAAATAACACTTTACCCACCTATTAGATAACCTTACATGAATATCTCATACCTCATCATATTCCCCAAATGCTTCCTCCTGTGACTTCTGTCTTTTTATAACATGATCAGTGTATTCCCGGTTACAGGTACTTGAAAACTTAGATTTAACTTTGATATTTCTATTTACCACTAATTAGTTGCTACATTCTGTACCTATCAACTCTGGTGTCTCCCACCCACTCCTTTAACTGTGCAACATTTCTGCCTTTCTTCTAATTCTTTGATTCTCTTCCCTAGAGTTCTAGGTTATAGTACTATTACACTAATAGTGTATGGATATACTAAGATGGTTCTACCTCCAGCCTCTCTCCTCTCTAATTCCCTGTTTGCATGGCTCCAGTGGCTCTTCACTGCCTTTGAATAACATCAAGATGTTTGAGGCCCTTATCATTAGGCTCTTTCCTATCCAGAGGTTTATCCACTAATTTTCCCACCTACTGCATGGATTCTGGACTAATGACTAGTCCAGTAAAACATTGTCTGATTGTAGGTGTTCAAAGATATTTGCTCAATTTACTCAAATCTGTCAGGAGTGAATTAGTTTTGTCTTAATATTTGACAGTCAAGAGATTAAGGCCCCTTCCTTTTAAAACTCCATTCTTGTTAGCCTTCATTTGAATGAGTGTCCTAGAACCCTTTTCCCTTCCTGTTCTTAAATATCTATATGCATAAATCAATAACTCAAAAATTTGTAGCCATCTGTTGTTATATTTCAGCCAAGATACTACATTATATGCCAATAAAAATTATTAAAATGATGCAAATTGATGATATAATCATTTTTCATGGAAAAAAAGCTTGGCATAAATATTGAAAGTGCATTATAATACTTTTTATTCTCGTTCAGCATATAAAATATTCTTTCTTTGCATAATAGCTAAGAAGAGCTAATAAAACAGTAGCTTCATGAAACTTTTGATTTCAGACATTTATAAGTGAAGCAACAAAAATAATTTGTTAAATTTGCTCAGGCCATATGCATTCTAGTAATTACAAAATAAAATAAATATAAAAGAATATGCACTCGCATAGTCTCGGAGTGAGATGCTAAGTCTGCGTGGTCCCTGAGACTGTTAAATGCAGTGAGAAATAAATATCTGAAGAGTAATTCAAATATTAAGTCATCAAAATATAAACTCCATTTATGTTGTGCTATACTCAAAAATTTTGGTCTCAAAAAGACAGTCAAATTATATCATTTTGTACCTTCTCCGCTATGGCTCACTTAGCCCAACATACAGGTAGGAAAGGAAAAGTAAAGGCAAAAATCGCATGCCAGATGTCATTTTCTTCAACAACATATAATAGAAGGCATTTTATCCTATCTAATGATACTGAGAAAAATTCATCTTATACAACCATGATATTGGGAATATTTACAAAACAAAAAGAATTCATTTAAAGACACAAAATACCATTTGTAGAACACATACACACACACACCAGGACACCAAGCCCCCTGAAACGCTCCCACAAATTCTTGCAGAATTATCCGTAAACATGTCTGATCTGTTTAGGAAAACGTCTCTGTCGTCTCAGTTAAGGAGGACTTTCTGTGGATTGATGCACTGTGTCATTTCCCCAGGCAGTTTCCTTTGGGCCAAAACTGACACCTGCAGCCTTAAGCTATCCAGGATATTCATGTAGCGTGAGGCAAGACAGGCATCAACCTGGCTCTGTCCTTGACTCACTCCACTTTCTCCCTTTTGTCTGTTCCCCCTGATCTCTTCTGTTTCCTTGTCCAGCCTCAGTGTGTTCAGGGAAAGAACACCACATATGAAAGAGAATTGAGAGGTTAGAATTATAGTCCTGACATTGTCACTATACAGCCAATTTACTCTACCTGTCTGTGTCTGGCTTTCCTCATATGTAGTAGTTAGAATCCTATTTCCTGGGATCCTTGTGAGAATCCAACAAGATGAGGTTCAGTATAGCATTTTGAAAACAATCGTGTGCCAGGTGCAAGTACTCTCACTTTTTCCCCAGTATCTTTTAGCCTTAAAACATCTATATTGATATATGTTGCTCTGAACTTTAACCAAAAGTGTATACAAATTGCAGCATAGAGGGTGACATTCCTGCCACAATACAGAAAACAATTCAATCATTACAATTCCAATTTCCTCATCCACTTCTTAGTATTTTCCTAGAAAACCATGAAAAGCCTCTTAATTTCTCTACCATTGAATTCTTCCATACAGAAAAAGAGGTTTGGAGTTTGAAGCAGTCAGAATCTGTGAAAAAATCGGAGAGGAAGTGATGTGGAAGGCAAAGAAACATGTTCTCGCAATTACCCAAAGATAACAGCAGATTCCTGAAATTTTTGTGAAGGTAGAAAATTAGATGCCGGGGATTAATAAATAAAAACTTAAGGAAATTATAAAAGAAAGAGATGGTTGCTAAAATGTCCTGAAGGCTTAAAAGATGCCTCAGATTTAAACATGGACCTTTGAGGAAACAATCGAATACCCTACAAAAGGTAGTCACAACGTAACCCTTTTCTAACATCAGCTCTTCGTACTTCATCTCACATTGTCCTCTGCTTCAGGTGCCCTAACATCCCATGGATCCCGGAGCCACTTTTTTTCTATCCTTAATGCCTTTGCATGGGTCAATTCATTTGCCTGGAATTCCTTTCTTTTGTTTGATCACTGACCTGATTGCTGGTAAAATATTGAAGTCAAAGAAATAACTACAATGGATACAAAGTTAAAGAATGAGTAAAACCTAGTATTTGCTAACAGGATAGGGTGACTATGGTCAAAAATAATTTAATTGCACATTTAAAAATAACTAAAAGAGCTATTATAATTGGATTTTCTCTAACACAAAGGATAAATGTTTGAGGTGATGGGTACCCCATTTACCTTGATGTGATTATTATGCATTGCATACCTATATCAAAATACCTCATGTAACCCATAAATATATACATCTACTATGTACCCACCAAAGCTAAAAATTAAAAAAGTAGGACTACATGTTTGGACAAAAGTGGTTATGCCAAAATGTGCTTCTTTTGAAATTGCAGCTGAGGCCAATGGATAACAATTGTCCTCTTTCTCTAACAAGAGGTGCTAGATACACTAGAGCATGGGTCCCCAACCCCTAGGCTGCAGACCAGTGCCAGTTTGTGGCCTGTTAGGAACCAGGCCACACAGCAGGAGGTGAGTGGCAGGAGAGCCAGCATTACCGCCACCTGAGTTCTGCCAGATCAGCAGTGGCATTTGCTTCTCATAGGAGCACAAACACTATTGTGAACTGTGTATGCGAGCTAGGTGCGAGCTCCTTAGGAAAATCTAATGCCTGATGATCTGAGGTGGAACAGTTTCATCCCCAAACCATACCTCCCCCACACCCTGGTCCATGGAAAAATTGTCTTCCACAGTCCCTGGTGCCAAAAAGGTTGGGGACTGCTGCCCTAGAGGACTTACCCAGAGAAAGTGAAACCAGTTATGAGACCTTTGTTCAGCATGCATATCCACTGTACACATAATTGAAAGCTAGAGAATCATTGAGAAGAATAATCAGCACAAATTTAATTGAAGGGATTTAAGTATTCACCTGCAAAGATGAGTCTAAGGCATCTCCCACCCTTTGCCCTTCTCTGCCTCAAGGTAAGTGAAAGAAGCCTCAAAAGCAACACTGTGTTTATCAGGGTGGAATAGGGTAGAGGAGACCTTGCCAGAGAGTATGCTGCTGTCTTCCCATGCTGGCTGGAGGTTTGCTGAGAGAGCACATACACTCATTGGCCTGGCTCTCTGAAGAAAGTGAGAATGTGGTCTTTGAAGCAACTCACCTTTCCAGAGTTTGGCAAGGCAGGGATGCTAACATATCTGTGACCCAGCTGACATCATGGAAAGTCAGCAAGCTCAAATCATCTTGAAAGCTTACTGTTCAAGAAGATGCCTACCTGAAAAGATGCACCCATTGAAAAGGATGACTCTAATAGCCAAGACATGGAGTCAACCTAGATGCCTATCAGTGGTGGACTGGATAAAGAAAATGTGGTACATATACCTCGTGGAATACTATGCAATCGTAACAAAGAATGAAATATATCCTTTGCAGCAACCTGGATGCAGCTGGAGACCATTATCCTCAGTGATTTAATGCATGAACAGAAAACCAAATACCACATGTTCTCGCTTAGCTCCCAAGTGGGAGCTAAACACTGGGTACTCATCATCATAAAGATGTCAGCAATAGAAGCTAGGGACTACTAGAGGGGGAAGGAAGGGAGGGGGCGAGGGTTGAAAAACCAATGATTGGGTACTATGCTCAGTACCTGAGTGATGGGTTCAGTCATACTCCAAAACCTCAGCATCACACAATAAACCCAAGTAACAAACTTGCATGTGTACTCCCTAAACTTGAAATAAATGCTGAATTTTTTTTTTTTTTTAAAGAGTGAATCTAGGTTTTGTGGGCCTGAAGTACATATGATTCTTCAACACATAAAAAATTTTCTGATACTTTTACATCACAAAAGCAAATACTGCTTTAGAATGAAAAAAGATAACAAAATACAAATTTTTAAAAGCTGACAAATGCCAGAAACACCCAAATCCCCACAATAATGTAACATTTTTAATAATTAATTGTCTGACACTTCTTCGTAATAGTTTTACCCCTAATTTTTGGCTTCATATTTTTGATACCTGCTTCATGTGACAATGATAGTAGAGAAAATTTTAAGATCATTTAGTCTTTGATTGGGTATGGTTGAATCAATTTTTTTTGGTTTCTCATAGTTTAGAAAGTTTCTTTTTTCTTTAAATCTTATTTTGGTGATGCCATATAAACTTTCTGGATTGTTATCAAATTTAGGAAACTCTGACCAGTTTTTATCAGGTCTGATTTGTAATATTTGAAAGAATTTTTCACAGACTAGCTCTGAGCCTCATAGGTTTTAGACCTTATTTCTTCTTCATTACCCACATACTTCTGAGGCCAGATGCCGTAGGACACTTTATGTCAATAAAACCTTTGTCCTAGGCCAGGCACAGTGGCTCATGCCTGTAATTGCAGATCACGTGAGCCCAGGAGTTCAAGACCAGCCTGGGCAACATGCTGACACCCCATCTCTACAAAAATACAAAAAAAATTAGCCAGGCAGGGTGACACATGCCTGTAGTCCCAGCTAATCAGAGACTGAGGCGGGAGGATCACCTGAACCCAGGGAGGTCGAGGACGCATGAGTCATGATTGCACCACTGCACTCTAGCCTGGGTGACAGAGTCAGATTACATCTCAAAAAAAATACAGAAGCAAAAGCAAAAAATACAAATAAAAACCTTTATCCCCTATACCTTTTTATGACAGTGAGTGATAGGAATATTTCTGGAATCCATAGCAAAATCTTGTGACTTTGGAACCACACAAATGTATCCCACCAAATCCTAATTTAATGGATCCTCAAATCACCTTCCCAAAATTCCCCATCACACTCTAAGTTCACCAAACATAAGGAGAATTATTTCAAAGGAAAAATTGGAAAGGAAAGAGACTTCAGACTTAACTGTGTTAAAATAGCTTATCCTTATAAATTTTACAAAAGCATATGACTGCACAGACACACTGGTAGGGGCCTTCCTAGGACCTTGGTAGGAGCCTGTGCAGGTGAGGGGCCCTGAAGCTGAAGCGTCATTAGCTTCAGGGTAAATCCACTTCTGTGTGTGCGTTATATAATTGGCACGGACTGAGGAGGAGCCCAAAGGTGTCAGCTGGAGAATGCATAACATACCTAAGGAAATTGCCAATTTCCCAGGTCAGAGGCCTCCAAAGGCCATGAAGAGCATTTGAATGTCTGCTACAACAAAAGGTGTTAACCATCAAGAAAACAAACACCACCAGCCAACTGAAAAGGCACTTCTCCTCTCTGTTGCTCCTTTACCCATATTTCCTTCAAAATCTGAAGTAACAGGCATAGTGAAAAGGAGAAGGGAGTGCGGGAGACGGGAGAAAAATTAAAACAACTTGTAGAGCAGAGATTAGGGTGAAGCGAGTGAGGCATCTGGGGAGCAAAATTTAAGGGGGCGGGGGACTCATCCTAGTACCGGCTCAGAGACCATGCCACTCCCCACTCCTCCTTCTGTAGCCAGGTCAGGTTTTGGCTGTGGTGAAGGGAAGATGTCCTTAGTTGAATGAGAATTTGGAATTTTGACCCATAGCACGTTGGTCTTTCTAAAGAGTTTTATTTATACTGAAAGTGACAAAAAGCTATGAAATTTTCTCAGCTTATGGAGCAATTTAGAGGACATATTTGGAATGAAACCACTCCTGATTGTACCCTAAAGAGCACCTCCTTTTCAATCACTATATTTAAAGAAGGAAACAGTGGCATTTGTTATATATACAGGATGAAGGCCCAACTCCTTAGCTTGGTACACAAGAGCTGCCACTGTCTTACCCTCCACCATCATCTCTGCTGAAGCCACAGTTGTCACCATTATAAGGCAACTCAGCAGGCCAGGCTATCGCTCTCTCTGATGCTTCCTCTGCTTAGAGTCTTCCCTTCCTCTACTATCTCCTTTAAAGGCCAACTCCTTGGGGAACCTACTTCATAACCTCAAATTAGTAGTTCAATCCTCTGAGCCTCATTGTATTCTTTTTGGCCCTTCTGAGGGCACTTAAGATATTGCAGTATATTTTGGTTCTAGTTCTGACTTCCCACCAGGCTGTAATATCTTTCTAGATAAACAGCATGACCTAATCAGTTTTATTACAGCGTTTTGAATGCAGATCGTGGCACATATGGTTTGTTTCAATAACATTAGTTATGTGAATGAATGTCCTCCTTTTCTTTTCCCATATAGAAGAACTTCACAATAAGAGTGCTGCCTATAACAGGAGGCTCCCTTTGTTTAGTGAATGTGTTAACCAACTTACTATTACTTCTTTATGGATGCCTGAGTCATCTATCCCCAAGGATGTCTTGAAGGTAAAATCTGAAACAAACTCCCTTATTTGTGATTATTAAATTAGTAAGTCATTTCAGTTTAGAAATTTTCTCAATTAGGCACAGATAACAACCAATCCTCGCAGGCAAAATGCTACATACTTAAATATCTTTATTAAAAATTCTGGTGATTTCATGAGGGAAAAAATGCCCTTAGATCCAAAGATTTTGGGCTTCCAACAATTAATAACTAAACTATTAGATAAACACAACTTTCCCCAGGTAAATGTCTCTGAATATGTTCTTCCTCTCCTTCCTTCTGAAATGCAGCCAACTGCTCTGAAGTACTAGGTCTCCATTTTAACTGACTAACAACTCAATTTTGTTTCAATCAAAGTATCACAATTGGGCAAATTCAGAGAGCACACTCTAAAATTTGCTTGAGGTGGAGTTGTAAATTCTTAGAGATAACTCAACTTGCTGTACTGGTTCCATTAATTCCATCCCTCAACGTCTCCTTTCTCTCTTTAATACCAGAAATGTGAGCTCATACTGAATGTCAGAAAACCTCTGCCTTAAGTTTCTGCATGAATTTATCTATAAACCAGGTAGACTTGTTGTTCCTTATATAAATTTGTCTTAAAAACAGGGAAGTGTTCATGGGACACCCATATTGTATTTAATAATAGCATATCAGATCAGAATAGAATTATACTACTTCTTTTTCAGAGTTACAGAATCAGATCTGGGGAGTCATAACAGCCTGCCAGAACCTTGATTTTGAGCAGTGTCAGTTGTCAGTATTACAAAACACAAATTACACAGCAATTAAATGTGGTAAGGCTTCAATCAGAGTCTTTCATGAATATAACAGGGATAAAAATCTCCACATACAGTCATTCTCTGAAGCATTGAAAACTTATCTAAATACCCCCTTTCCCTTTTGATAGCATTTTATGTATACCTTTATTTGAAACACTTATCATATGATACTATAACAAATCTTTTTGTTCTGCTACCCTCTCTTGACTGTGACCTACTTAAGGTTAAAAACTATATCTGACTTTGTGTCCCCAACACTCAACATTAGTGCTAGACATAATAAGTACTCAATGAATCTGTTGAATTCATGATAAAAGAATAAATGAATGTGATGAGTATCAAAGTAAATATCTGTCTAGGCAATTCTTGAAGTCTGCTTTTCCCTAATCTTCACCGTTAAGCACGTGATTCGATACCTGCAAGTTTCCTTAAGGTCTTTGGCATTTCTCAACGTTCCAGCTTAAAGTGCCCCAGTTAGAGTGATTCATTATGCTTTGCAACTAAAGTGGGAAATCAGGAAGAGCTATACCAGGATTCACTGGGATTGGGTGCACTACATCTGGTGTTCCCTAAGATAAAAGTGGGCACTTAATGGGACTAATTCATGCTCATGTCAATGACTCAGGACTAATTATCTTCTAAGGTCATTGTAGCAGGGAAGTATGCTATCAGGAGGAACGAATCAATGTGTCATAGAAAGGGTGGGATCTGAAAGAGAGAAATCAGGTGAGGTCCACCTTAAGAAATAAGAGATAAGAACAAAAATTCAAGAGGACTTCAAGGGATCCAGGTCTACAAAAAACTGCAAGTCTAAGGGTCATGGCAATTCTGTAAGATTTCTTAAACCTCTACAACTTGCTGATATGTGTAATTTTTGTGAGTTTATGTCTTACTGCAATGGCAAGGAAGTCAGTCACCAAAAGGAAAAACAAAACTCTGCGGACAAAAGAGCGCTCAGGAGGCCTCACCTCATCATCCAGGCCCTCCTGCTGCTCTGTTTAGCCAGGACCTATCCCTCAGTCAGCCTGCTTTTGCTCCCCCTGGGGGTGGGCTCCTGCCCTCCTGCTTTTATCCAGCTCTGTGGACCAAAGCACCTCCATCTTGTCTTTTCCTTTCTTCATCCCTTGATCCACTGAACAGCAGACTGGTTCCTACGCAGTGCTTTCATATACATGCACTCTATCTTAGATCTCTTTCTGTGTGGGGAGAGAGTTACAAACCACTCCTTTTACCTCGTGACTGAGGTGCATATATAATTTATCATCCAAATTTGAGAGTGAAAGGGGATGCTGTTCTTAATCATACCAGGATAATAGGAATAAACTACACCTCTGCTAGGCAAACCCAGAAGAATTTGTAAGATTAAAACAGAATTTAAGCAAAGGCTGACGGATTGAAGGGACATGCAATCAAGAGAAAAACAAGATATTAAAGTGAAAGAAATCCTCATTTTCTTTTCCTCCTAAGATCTGTGATATCGTAGTATAACTAATCTCACCTAAGAAACCATTTCCTTTTGGGTCCCCATATATATGGCAATATTAGCATTAAAATAGCTACAGCAACATTATTCATAACAATAAGTTCTTCTTCCATTAGGGATAGTTCCTAGAGGAGTCCCTTCCCCAGACAACTTCTCCCATCGTTCTCTAACAGAGCTCTGGGGAAAGGGACCATGCTGGTCTCCCTTCCATTTAGTTATCTCTAACAGCCTCCTTAAGGTGTCTTCTCAGCCCATGGCCCAGGCACTTCTCTGATAACAGGTCCTGCTGTGCCAGGCTTCCCTTTACATTCACTTCTGCAAGTAGCCTTGCTTAGACTAAAACTTAGGACTATGTAAACCAAATTGTGGTTTACCCATTTGCTGTTAAATATAAACCCACTATTCAAGAACTAGTCAGAGCTTGCTGTAAAAAATAACATTAAGTCCGAACTAGAGAACGGCTTCTTATATATATTTTGAATGTTTATATCCTATTTTGTTAGCCTGAGGCATTTACTCTTTTTCAAAGTACAGTTTACATGTTCCCACTTCTGAAAAATGTTTGACGCAGCTCACACTAAAATATGAACATATATTCACAAGATAACTTAAACTTCAGAAATATCACGAAGTACAGGGAGTAAAAGAATTCCACCTGAATTTTTAAAAACAAACAATAAAATAATAAAATAAAATTTAAGAAGTAGAAATTCAGGAATAATGCAAAAAAGAATATCATAATGTCAACAAAAAGAATTTACTCTTTAGTTTCTAGTTACTGAGAAGCAATAGGAAACTCTGTCTGTGATTAATTGTTATTAAAGTCACATTTGAAAGAAACATGAAACACTCCTTTAATTTACTTCATTCCCCCAAGTACAAAAATTGTGCTCTCTCCTAATCTTTCACTCCTCTTAATTTGGGTCATGGTATTGTACAGCACAGGAGAGAGGTGATTTTCCAGGACACTCAGATAAAGCAATAGAAGATCATATTTTGGAAAATAAGAGACCAGTCACTCTGAAATCTGTCTTACAGTCACTGTCTCAAGAGTAGGGTAATTATTAGGAACACTGAAATGGATCCTTGGAGAGGTAGTGCCTTGAGAGGCAGGAAATGAGAGGGCACAGGAAACATGAAATGTGTGCCTTTCAGCCGATACATTAGCAAATCTCTGGCCACAAAGGTTCATCTGCTGCCAAGCCGGAGAGAGCAATGGGGGGAGAAATGGCAGCCCCGATTACTGATTGACAGGAGTTTCCAGAGGAAAGCAGTAGAATTATTTAAAGGCATCTCAAGTGGGATTTGATTGCACATCGTCATGAAGTGCCAGGATAAATGATTCACATTTCCTGGCAGCCACAGCAGTGGCAGAGCTGACCAGTAATCTGTTGTCTCAGAGGTTTTAACATTTCTGAGTTCAAATCAGCACAGCCTTGTAAGTCTGAAGTCCTACATCTGATGAGTCCTATAATTAAAGACCCACATGAACTTTGAGCAGCCACTTCAGACCTGCTTGCATTTTGTGCTCAATTTACTTTTTCACTTGAGGTGAAAAATCTAATTATACGAACAACAAATAGTGTTATTTTTCCCCCTTGGAGAAAGCCGTGTGTTAAGTGTCACCAATTATTTAGCTAATCATAACTCTATGCATGGCACTGCTAATCCCTTAACAGCATCATCTATTCTGGGTCAGCAGTTCACGCTCCCTTAGCTGCTAATGAATTTCTTTTTTTGGATTCATCAGATATGATCTCAGCAGCACATCAAGGAGTTACTTTAGCATTAAAATGGTCAGCTGGATAGACTATATTCTGTGCCAGGTAGAAGAAAGCAAGCTGCAAATTAGCATCAAATCCAGTAGGCTCATTCATATAAAAATTTAGCAAATATTTATTGAGGGCCTACTAGGTACCCCTTGCCAGCACTTACTAATTATGTAACATAAGAAAAATGCTTGATCTCATAAAGTTTATTTTCTCTTAAGTGTAAAACAGACGTGAGTACTTAATGCACATGAGTGTCTTGTTCAGATAAAAAAATACACTATTCGATTGCAACTACTACAGTGTATTTAGAGCAGTTTTAAAATGTATTTAGGGCCTACTCTATAGAGTGCCTTCTCTGCTAAACACTATACTAGGCATTCTAAACATATTAGCACAATACTTAGTTTATGGTAGTTACTCAACAATGTTCATTTATTTCTTCCTCTTCCTTCAAGCTCTCTGAACAAATCACTCACTAGACATTGGCACTGTTTTCTCCAATTTTTCAGAAAAGCTTATGCAGCTATGCTTCTTTGAGACAAAAAGCCAATTCACTATTAGCATGGGAGGTAAAAAGCCTATTAGGAAGATATAAATACGTTATAGCGCTTGTATACCAAAGAAGTTGAATGACTTCAAAATAATATTTCTAACTCCTTCCTTTGCAGTCTATTTATGAAATAAGCAGGCAATAGTGGTTTCCATTATGAAGCTTGAAATCCACCAACTTAAAAAAAGAAAAGAAGAAATGAGAAAAATATCTAAGCCATCTTTCACTTCATTTCCTTGCAATTTCTTGTTTTTGTTTTTGTTTTTGTTTTTTACCAAGAATGTCTTCAGGGTTAACATTTCCCAGCAGGCAAACTCTCTTTTCACACAATCAGGTTATTTTAAAGATTTTCCCCTTAAGTTCTTCTTGTTTCCCTATCTTTGTCTACATGTCACAGGCTGACAAGGGACAACACAGAAAGAAATATTCCATTGGAACACGGCTTGGCAAACCACAGCCCATGAGCCAAATCCAGCTTTTACCTGTTTTGTATGGTCCGTGAGCTAAGAATTTTATCAATTTTTAAATGGTCAAAAATAAAGATATAAAATATTCTTCTCCTTTTGACTTTATAAATATTCTATGAGAGAAGAATATTAGATAAAAATCAAATGTAAATATCCATAAATAGATTTTTATCAGAAAACATCCATGCTTATTTATTTTCATATCCTGTGCCCGTTTTTGCCAACAACAGTAGAGTTGAGGAGTTACAATAGAAATCATATGACCTGGAAAGCTTAAAATATTTACTATTTGGCTTTTTACAGAATAAAGTCTGCCCACCCCTGATTTAGAATACAGCTAAAATTAACTCCTATATAAGGGGGACCAAGCATGTATACATTGTCTCACTGAGCAAAGGCAAAGCTTTAAAAGCAAACATTGCAGAAAGTCTTTTGAACAGAGTTTTTTTGCAAAGCTAATTGGCTAAAATCTACCAAGGAGGACAGCTTGCCCTTAAGCAGTAGATGGAGTAAGGGAGGAAGGCAATTTCCATTATTTGATGGGTTTCTAAAAAATACTGCTATTTCAGGAGTGTGATGCTTCTGTCTCAGTTCTGGCTGCTGATAACCTACCCGTGGCAGTTTAGTTAAGCTAGGTCCGCACCATTTTTTCATGGTTTTTCGGTCCCCACTTAAGTCCACCTCAGATGCCAAATGAGGTGCTTGAGTGACCACAGCGACTTTACTCTGTATTATTAACTGGATATTGGCTTGGGATATCCAGTTAATGATAGTAAAATATAAGTAACAATATCAGCCAGAAGAGGAAGCCAAAAAATCTATTGGCAATCAAAAATTCATTAGAAACACTTAGAACCCAACTTTTATGTAGTTTACTCTTCAGCCTAGATGTAACCAAGAGAACAATATCCATGAATAATGGCAGTCATCTTTAGATAATCAATTAGCCTTGACTCCAAGCTAGTCATGGTTTCATTTTTTTCCTGAAGTGTATATACCCAGGCATATCAAGGTGTTTTAGTCATTGTGCACACTTTAATCATGATTGGCCAGTAAATAGTCAAGAGAAAATCTATGACCCGGGGCTATTTTTACTGGTCATTTTGGCCTCTAAAGCTTGAGCTGCTTTATTTGCTCCCTGGGCCTTAGTCAGCCTTAAATTGTGGATACATATTCCAGCGTTTGAACTTCTTAAAAAGGGGAGAAATGCTCATACAATGGGTGCTATCCAGTGTCGCAGATGCATCCAGGTAGATTATTGTCAGGCAGTATTAATCAGGGAGGGGAGTTGCTTTTGAACACATAAGGGAAGATGGCCTTATCAAAAGTGTAGGCTAGGTTTTGATTTTGTAAGCACAGGAGAACCATCTGAACACACAGTCATACACACATATGCATGCCTGAGAGTACATTTTGAAGGGACACTAATGTGTTGTTTATGATAATCAGTTGCTCTGTCCATCACTCTCTGGCCTTAATGGGTTTGACTATAGTGAAAGAAAAACAAATGCGTGAAATTTAAAAGATCTTGTCATGATTTCTGTGTAGTATCATCAAAAATAATCGGATCATAGCTTGCATCATTAATTTCATATCCATTTTTATCTCTGTCCTCTGAATTTCTTTAAGGCTGTGTAAGATACTAATAATAGCAGCTAATTGTTGTGGTTAACCACGTTTCCTTATTGACTATAAAAAGGAATGTGGCAGTACTTATAGCTGTGTGATTCTTACTAGAGGAGTCTAGGGTCAAATATCAAACCCAACAGTTGTGAGACTGCTGTCAACCACTGCAATTGTTTGAAAATGGTGCATTTAGAGAGTCTGAAGAATTTAAATGAAAGAAATCGGAGAAAATAGGGCAGAAAAGTATGATAAATGGCCTCAAGTTTTATGTGGACCAAAATATACATTTTTTTTTGCTCTGAAACAAAGCAGGGTGAAGATGATTCTTCAAGTAAGTCTTAATACTAATATTTTCTTAGTGTTTTGGGTTTTTTTAAACAAACTGTATATCACTTGCCATAACCTAACACCATCCATTAATTTAACTCACAGCCAAGTTTTTCTCCCCTTGAGTTACATCTTCTACAAGGACATAAAGCTTTCTGAAAGAGCCAGCGCATTTAAAACATAAAGAGTTAAACTTCTTTTCTTATTCAAAAATTCTTAAGTTTTCATATCCTTGGCTTATAGAAATATTTATTACACTCTGTAAGCCAGTCCAAATAGGAGCTCCTTTGAATTTAAGAGCCTTCATAATGTGATTTATTAATATCCTTCAAAATAGGTAAATGTATTTCAGTGTATTTGCTAGAAAACCATGTACACTACACAGCAAAGGAAACATCAATCTCTTGATCAAGGAAGGAAAATTGGGGAGCAGTTATCCTCTATAGCATAGAAGCCACTTTCCCTGGTGTTGATTCTCCGGTAGGTAGCTTAGTGCAGAAATAGTTTTCTAACTCCACTATATGAAGTTTATAGCTAGAGGTTGTTCCTTTCTCTTTCAGAGGAGCTGTTTTCTCTAACACTTGTTCAACTGGATATAGAAGCGTATCTCCAAGGTTTATTTATACTTAGTTCTAGCCACTCAAAGGTTTTTCTCACATTTTGATTTAGCTCATTTGGTGAATTTCTATAAAACTGTTCTATTATTTTCCAGGGAGTTGAGCAAAGGCCATGCTCTAAGAATACTTCAGATTTCCCCAGACTTAATGAGGGGACACAAAACTCTAAAAAAGCCAGAAGTAATATTCCCAATCTGCATTTTTTAACACACATTCATGCTATTTTATATAAGGATTTAAAAAACAAGCTCAGAATTCAGATCTCTTTGCTTTCCAAACCATATAAACTAATTCGATTCATTGATTCCTTTGATCTTTGTATGCAGTACATTTCTTCTCTTTGAATAGTTGATCTGGTCTGAATAAGATATTTCTGCAGTGTAAATAAATGATGACATATTATTATGGCTAACTAACTTCCGAAAGGTAGAGTGAGAGAGAGAGAATCTGGCCACAGAAACAAAAAGGGCTATAAATATGAACAGACAATTGAACATGGCTTCTTTGAGGGGAAAAAAGCTTTTTTCATTTATAGATAGAGACAGAGGAAATTGAGAGCTTTAGTTTCACATTCGTATCAAAAAATACAGACACCTGTGAGCCCATCATTTTATTTCACCTTTTGAAAATTTCATAGACTTTCATATATAAACAGTGATAGCACAGCTGGGACATCATATCTAGGCTCCCAGGATTCATACAGACCAGACAGACAGCACAGAAAACTATAACAGCAATGGAAAAACAAATGGTCAGTGGTATAGGAAGTGACACAAGTGACTTCCAGACCCTGTGACTGAGACTACCAGCCAATGGCCTGAATAAATGTAGTAAGTTTAGTGCAAAGAGAATGGGTGTCTCAGATGTCATGAGAACCAGAATCACCAAGACAAACATGCCGGAGTCCAAGCATTAAGAGACATTCGGGTTTCCTGACTATTGCCACTTAGCAGATATCAGATTCCCCATGTTTGTACCACTTAATTACAAAGACCAATTGATGAGAGCAAAACAATAGTTTCTACTAGCAAAGGGAGTAGAGTGAGTACGCAGAAATAAGAATCAGGACAAAACCAGATTGGGCCAGGAACCAGATTCAGTTCACACAATTTAAGAATTATCTGCTGAATGGAGAAACTCAAAGTATTCACTTACATTCCTGAGTTTTACATTTCTCTTGGCATTGATGAATGGACTTAGATGGACAGAACACACTAGAAGTTCCATGAATAATTATCGGGAAATAAGTCAGGCACATTTAGTTATGGCAGAGCTGAAGTTTACTTGTGTGTGAGATTTCAATATTGTCTCACTGGACAAAGGCAAAAGCAGAATAGAACACAAAAGCAGAATTGGGAACACAGATTTTAAATTTTTCTCTCCTATTGATATTTACATTGACTTTCCACTATTTATCCTGGATCACTTTGAGAATAGAGAGTTCATGCTCTTCCAATATTTTAAGCTTTACATGAATCTTTTGATATAAAATTTCTGTAAAATTAATTTCCCAGTATAATTCAAGGTCTTAAAATGTGTATACATTTTTCATTATTAATGTTTATATTGTTTTTTTCACTATTTTAACTCTTTGTAAACCTATGCTATGTACATAATCTGAAAAGTGAAACAAAAAAATCTAATGTTCAAAGATACTTAATGCATTATTACTTAAAATGGTAAGAAATCTACCACTTGGAAAATTTAAACCATTCTATCACTACTTGGGAACATTATACAGCAACTAAAATGAGTTTATAAATAGTTTCATATTATACAGGAACATATAATAAACGATCATGAAAAACAGGATGCAAAATTATGTAGAGAATATGATTGCAACTACACATACACGACTATAATTAAAAATAATTTTGAAAGATACAGCAGAATGCTAATAGCGGTTATATTTGGGTGGTGGAAATGCTTTTCTTTCTCTTTTTTCCAGTTTTTTTCCAAAAACTTTTATGATGAATATTTATTGCTTTAATGATAGAAAATTCACAATATACTTTATATACACAACAAACAGTGCTAGTAACCTCTGAAAATCCCCTAAAAGTTCTATTGAGAACCTCCGAAATGTTTTCATTTTTCTGTAACATATTTGTATTTCTTAATTCTATAGGTTCTTTTAAAACTAATAAGTATTTTAAATGTGTGCATCCTTGCATCTATTCATTCTATATGACATATGTTCATGATTGCATCTCAGTCATTGTCTTCTTGCTCTTAATACAGACGATATAACTCCAGAACCAAACTTATCAGTGTGTGGCAGCACCCAAGGAAGCCCACAGAGCCTCACATGGAGGCCCTGAAAGAGAACTTCTCACTATGTGTTTCCAAGTTTTAAGACAGAGTATTACGGTAACTCAGGCTAAGTTCAAGAAGTGGTGCAGGACAGTTGTCAGCTAAGCTGGATGAAAGTACACCTAAAGAAAGCAATATACGGCCGGGCACGGTGGCTCACGCCTGTAATCCCAACACTTTGGGACGCTGAGGCGGGAGGATCATGAGGTCAGGAGTTTGAGACCAGCCTGGCCAATATGGTGAAACCCTGTCTTTACTGAAAATACAAAAATTGTCTGGGCATGTTGGCGAGCATCTGTAGCCCCAGCTACTCAGGAGGCTGAGGCAGGAGAATCACTTGAACCCGGAGGCGGAGGTTGCGGTGAGCCAAGATCGCACCACTACACTCCAGCCTGGGCAACAGAGTGAGACTCCATCTCAAAAAAAAGAAAAAAAAAAAAAAAAGAAAGAAAGAAAGCAATATACATAGTACCACTCAATGGTTTTTTTTTTTTACTACCCCAGAAGAGCCACTCTGTCAAAGCCCATCTGTAAATCATGAATTGCATTTTTTTCTGTTCTTAAACATTAAATAATCTCATTTAATTGGTATCACTCTGGAAAAACATGAGCTCTAGATTTGTGTTAAATTTTCTTCCTCAACTAAGTAAACAATCCCACAACCACCTTCCAGAAACTTCTATGTTAACAGCCACACAACTACTCAAAGCATTAACACTGCCATTGTTCCTCTCCTACTCTTCTCTCCTCTCCAGTCTCCTTTGCCTACATGGCTTCTTTCCACTTTTAAATCTCCAGTAAATTCTTAGCCTTTTTAGGGAAGATGCAATTACACTACCTCTTCTTTATAGCACATATTATTACAGTTGCAATTCCACTTTTAATTTTTGTGATAACTTACTCAATGTCATTTAGCTATAAGTTCCAACTGAATGTCCCTGAGGACAGAGAGCATTTTTTAATTGCTATACCCTCGGGGCTTGAAACAGTGTTTTAACATAGTAGAAAGTTAATAAACACTGGTTGGATGAATAAATACATGAACTAGTGGAAGAATCAATGCATAATAAATCCATAAATACGTAACATATAGAAACTATAGAAACATGAAAGTACTCTTTATATCTTCACTAAATAGTATGTGGTGTTTACTAAGGGGTTAAGGTAGTTGTGTTTTTGGGTTTTTAAGAGACAAAACTAACTAGAGATCAGATCTCTCCTGAAAATGGGGTTCATGTCATTGTGTCCTGACATTCACCAAGGATAGAGACAATGCTCTCAGTGAACTGGGTAGAAAGATCCAAAGGGTCCGAGGCTCTGGAATCTGCCCCTTTGAGATTATGAGTGAAGAGGACAGGAGCCCTAGGTACCTTCTCTACCTTGGAGATAAGATCAGGAATGAAGGTGTTACAGGCAAGGGGTCCTGATCCAGGTCCCAAGAGAGGGTTCTTGGATCTTGCACAGGAAATAATTCAGAGCGAGTCTGCAGTGTAAAGTGAAAGCCAGTTTATTAAGAAAGTAAAGGAATAAAAGAATGGCTACTCCATAGAGCAGAACATTTCCAAAAGTAGGAGGAACACATCCACCCTAGGTACAATGCTTGTACATATGGGGAGATGTGTTCTGCTACAAGGGTTTGTGATAAATAATTAACTTTCTTAATTATGATATTTTGCAGAAATCAATATTATTATCTTTAAAGCAAATATAGGAATGCCTTTGTTCTCCAGATGTTGGGATATCTGGACACTCCCAAGTCTAGGTCTGTTTAGTAAGCATTCTTAATTTGTTCCCTTAACTGTAAACATCTAGAGGCTAGGAATGCCTAACTTTCTGAGAATGCAGCCCAACAAGTCTCAGTCTCATTTTCCTAGTCCTCACTCAAAATGGAGTCACTCTGGTTCAAATGCCTCTGACAAAGGCAGTAACTGTGAAGGAAGGACACCAGGCCAGGCATCTAGGAATTTATACCAACTGTGTGAGGACAAAAGTTAGGTATAATAAGACCCAAAATAACTATTTCGGATAATAGCCTAGTTTGATGCTATTTGTTCATTTTTCTAATAACAACCACAATCATTTACATGCAGGATAATTTTTTCCTCATGACAACTCTATAAAGTGGACAATATTCTCCCATTTTTAAGATGATCACACTGAGCTTGGAGAGCTTAGTAACTGGCTCAAGAGCACAGCGTTACTAAGAGTTGAGTTTTGGTTCAAATCCATGTCTGATCAAAATTCTTGCTTTTACTCAGTATTCTCTATGGTCTATAGTACTGTTTTTGTTTCTGTCCTCTAGTACATAGAAAAGCATTTTGTCGTGCTGTTGTTTAGATGTTCTAAACTGCATGCTGAGAAAAATCAAGATAAGGAGGTTTTGTCTACAGCTGGTCAGGAGTGCTAGGAGGGAGACTGAATTAACTACGTTTTTTATTTTCTGTATCCTGAGCCTTCAATATCTTGGGTCTTGCTGACTGTGGAAGGGACTGGCCCTCCCAGGGTTAGCCAATACCTAAAGGTAAAAACAACTTAGCTAGAGAGCAGAGCATGTCTTTCAAATGCAAAGCAGCCCACCCAGTGCCCATACTCCCAATGTCCTTTATCAGCTCACACATTCCAGGCCACTATCCCCTGCCCTAATCACCCAAGGGACAGGTACCAGATAACTAAGGACAGTCCTATGCCCCAGAGCTCCCCTGAGATTATTCAAAGTAGCTAATCCTAAATACACCTACCTTACCTTGCTGTTCCTCGTCATACAATAAAGGTTCTTGTCCACATCCCCCGCAACCTGGCCTCCCATGGTCTCCTGACTGACCCAGAGGCTTCCCCTAGTAACCCTTGTGGTGTAGTGTTCCCTCTTCTCTTGGGATCTGTGAGAAGAACAAATTCTCTTTCCAATGGCAGTCATCTGATCTATTGGCCTTGCCATACCTAAGTAATAATCAAATCTGTATTTTTAAACAGAGACTCTTTAGCATCCAAGTAAGAGTGTGAGGGGTATGGGTGAGCTGCTGACATCAGAGAACATCAGGCACACTGGAAACCACAGGAGACAAGGGCTGGACTTCTGAGTGACCTGTCCCTCCTCAACTAAACTTTGTCCTTCTGCTACTCTTTCTTTCTTGTTTCATAAGGGAGTCTCTATCTAACAAAAAAGTTAGGAGAGAACTATTGGAAGAGGAAGGCTTAAGGAGTATTTTGTTTCCCTCCAATCCTAATTCCATTTCATTTTCTAAGGTTTCTTAAGCCAGACAGGCTACTAAAGTGTACAGGAGAGTTAGGGCTCTGCCAGAGTCCCCACAAAGCTGGTGAACTTTCTCCTTGTTGGGCCAGGTATGGAACCACAAGGGAAAGGGTGACTTCAGCCAGTATGAATATACCTGATCACCTTGTTCTCCAGGGATCTAGGACCAAGCTGAACAGGAACACTGAACTCCTTATCCCTAATTCTGGAGAAGATAAAGTCAGGGGCTTTCTCTCAGGGCCTTGATGTGGCACTGAAAACCTGACTGCTACTATGCTGCCAGACCGCACGAGAGGTTACTGCTACTAAGGGACCCTGGTAGGTGGACAAGAGATTACAGTAAAGGAAGAAAACACTGCATTTAATGAGCATGCCATGCAAAAGATGAAGAAGAAGTAAAACACTCTGACCCGGGCAACTCTAGCCAAAATGGGTTACTTGAGGAACACAATAGAAGAGGAGGAAGAGACGGAGAAGATGAAAGAGAAGAGGAAGGAGGAAGAGCAAGATATTTAGGAAGATTCAAGGGTTCAAGTTAAGAGTCAAGAATATATTTTGGAACTAAAAAAAAGAAAAAAGCCGGGCACAGTAGTAGCACACGTCTGTAATCCCAGTTACTCAGAAGGCTGAGGCAGGAGGATCACTTGAGCAAGGAAGTTAGACACCAGACTGGGTAACATAGTAAAACCCCATTTCAAAAATAAATAAATAAAATAAGAAGAAAAAAAAGTTTAAATTATCATATACGTCGAAGGTGAATATAGTCATTGTTAAGGCCTTATTTAGAGGCCTGAGAGACCAAGAAGAAGAAAATTCCTGGAGTACACAGCAAAAATACATGATTTATATCAGGAGGAAAATAACAAGATACTTGGCACATAGATCTAGGAAACCCAACATCTGAGATCCAAAAAGAAAAAAAGTTCCAAAAAGAAAAAAATAAAGATGAATGAGAGGCTATATTGAACACATAATATAATAAAATTTCCAGAAGAAATATTTGAGTCTCAGATTAAAATGGCTAACCAAGTTCCAGAAAATTTGATAACTGAAGATACACACTTAACATTAAAATTCATGATTTCTAAAAATAAAGTGAAAAATCTTAAAAGCTTTCAGACAGAACAATCTACTTACATAGGCAAAAGAATCAGGCTGAAATCAGACTTTTCATCGGCAACACTTGGAATTGGAATAACATTTATGGACTACTGAGAGAAAAGGAGTGGAACTCAAGGTCTATTCCTAGACAAGTATGATTCACCTATCACCATTACGGATTCAGCGATTACACCTGCCGTTTACTCATTGTAAGAAAAATATGTGGGAAAAAAAGACCAATTAAAAAAAGTATCAGAACAGGAATCTCAATACAGAGGAAGATGAAAAACTGACAGAACAGCAGTAAGTAGTGAAACTACCAGGACAAAGACTGAAACTCAATAGATACTAATAGACTGTTTGGTAATACAATCACACTATAATTGCAAAATATATTTATATTATTTGTTTTTATCTTAAAGTTTCTACTAAATAATGTATAACAAAAGAATTGTCCCATTGGTTTAAATATTGAAAAGAAAAATTTTGCTGATTATTCTACTGTACACCAAGAAAATTAATTCAAGAAACTCTAGTGGAAAAAAAAAAAACAACAAAAAAAACTACTGCCAGGCGTGATGGCTCACACGTGTCATCCCAGCACTTTGGCAGGCTGAGGCAGGAGGATCGCTTGAGTCCAGGAGTTTGAGATCAGCCTTGGCAACATGGCGAAACCCCATCTCTACAAAAAATACAAAACTTAGCCAGGCCTGGAGGCACGTGCCTGTAGTGCCAGGTACTTGGGAGGCTGAGGTGAGGCATGAGGATCACTTAAGCCAGGAGGTTGAGACTAAAGTGAGCGGTTATCATGCCACTGCATTCCAGGGCAACAGAAAGAGATCCTTTCTCAAAAAAAGAAAAACCTGCTATAAATAACAAGAGAATTTAGTAAATTTAATAAAATGTCAACATAAAATAAAATGTTTAATATAGCTTTTCTTTATAGTAACAAGAAGCCAACAGAAATAAAATAATATTCCAGTTATTAACATTAGTGTTGAGATTTAAAAATGTAAAGGCTGCACACAGACACACACACACACAAAACCAACTAACTGCCACAAATGGGAAACTTCCAATTATGTAATATGCATTCGTCGGAGGTGGTAGATTATGGGTTATGTTTAATTTCTTTACACTTATGTGAGTTATTAAGTATTTTTGTAATTAGCATGTGTTTTTAAATGGTGCCTCCAAAATGAGCTGCAGTCACCTGGGAGGAGGGAGGACAATGGCAGACGGGCAGTGGTGACTGTGGTATAGTGTAAGATGGAACAATGTGACAAGAGAGAAAATATTAGAACTTCGATTTATAATTTCTCGTCCTTACGTTAGAGAAATATGGATCACTTATAGTCAGCTAACTATCTTGAGAGTTCCACCAGAGAGAGGGGCGATGGTGAGTGTCATCCTTGTTCACTTGTTCACTTTCAGCATGTTGGGTTGTTTAATACTTCATGTCTGCCTGATTAAATGGATTTGCAAATTCTGTTATTTCAAATGATAGAAATGATACAATACTTTGTAATGAGATAGTGAGTAACCATGACAGTTTTTTTGTACCACACAGATATTCACTATTAATTACCTAGCAAAGCTTTTTAATTTTAATGGTGTGGACCTCAATTATATATATTTCTCACTTTCCAAAATATAATATAAAATAAAAAACAAATATCTTAAATTGTCTGATATTTTCTCTGATGAAAAGTGGTGGGCAGTGTTCTGTTACCTAGCAACTATTGAAAACAAATACAAACATTATCTGTACCTTCAAGGTAAATGGAACACTTTAACATTGAGTTAGAAAGTAACTGCTTTCAGAAAGAAATCTGTAAAATAGATAACATCATCTGATTCATTTGTAGGAACATCACTGATGCAGGATTGACATCAAAGTAGGTGGGAATTTATGAGCCAAATTTCAGTGCAAACCTTTGTATAATTGGCTGATGGAGGAAAATATACTAGTATCTACAAGTGTTTCCTAGTACCTGCCTGACAGAAGGATTTTTAAATAAATGTCTGTTAAATAAATGAACATACAACAACAGAGTCATAGTTTTTCTGTATTTCCTATAGTCTCAGTCCTGGAACTTTATTCATTTTAGGTGCTCAATAAATTCTTAGAATCAGACAAGCAAAGATTGTCAGAGTTGAATGGTTTATTGGATTTTTTTCCAGAGAAATTAAATGACTTTCCCAGAAACATAACTCATCCACATCTCCCAAAAGATCTGAGGAGCTTGGGTGTTGATTTCAAAATATATAAATTTTTTTTAGTCTTTGTTCTTCCTTGGAGAGAGAATTTGATGTTCTGAAAGAGCACAGGATTTGGCATAATTTGATGCCAAAGAATTTCTTAGACCAGGTTCTAGTCCTTACCTGACCCTATCAGTTATCAGCAGTGCAACCTTTAGCAGGTCATGTACCTTCTGATCCTGTTTCCCCAACTAAGGAATGGTGAAACTGTTATTGATCTTACACGTATTAGTGCAGCCTCTACACTCCAAGTAACAACATAAATTAAGGTTTTGGTTGCTGTTATTTCTCAATTTCTTGCTTCCTTCAGATGATTGTTCCCCAGACTGTGCTCTGAGGAACTAGCAACCCAAGTGAGAGAGAACTAATTGGGTTCCCTGCAGGGAGGCCTAGACTTCCCTACAGAAGGCTAGGCTCTTCGACTTCTTTCTCTTTGTTCTATTTATCTTTCAACTGTGAGAAGATTTTCTTCTCTTAATATTAGTTTGGCTATTTTACCCTGGACAAATCCCCCGGGTTATGTCTGTGTGTATAACCCAGTTTCTCTCAAAGAAAGACAGTGCCCTTCTGAACTAGAGAAAATATCCTTTGAGAGTGGCTCTAAACTATCAGTGTTATCACATCCTGTCTTGTTTGTTCTACGGCAAATTCTAAGGCGTCTCATTTTTATTTTTGTTCAGTTCTTCATCTCCCACCCTGGAAGAGTTCACCAACACCTCCTGCTTCATTAAAATTGCTTTCTGATCCTGAAAAAGTATTTACTTCATGGTGCATTCCTCAGTCGCTCACATCTTTCCAAACAGTTGTCTCTGCTGCTTCTCAACTTCGCAGAGTATCTTCAATCGACCGTAGCAAGCTGTACTTCCTATCATTTGCAAGTGCTTCTATTTCAGGTAAATGTAGAAGACATTTACTGAGCACCTATCCTTGGAGTTTAGAGATGAAAATAGTACAGTCTCACACCCCCAATGAGTTAACAGACTAGACCCAGCTGGAAATAGTCACATGGCAGTGTGAAAACTGCCTCAGTAGAGGAATGGGTCAGAGGCTTTTTTATTCAATGATTTCTATCTGCCTTGTTTCAGAACAGATTCACATTTTTCTGTGTTGATGATAAAACATATGCATGCCTCCTCAAAATTTTATGTCTTACTTAGTTCATTTACCTCATTTTGGAACATCTCTTGGATCATTTTAAGACATTCTACCTGTGATTCAAGTGAATATTGAGCCAGAGGTAGAGAAAAGACAGCCCATATTTAGAAGAAACTTTGGTGAAACCAGAAAGAATCGAGAAGGAGGCACCCATGGCTGCTGAGAGAGGCTGGCAATATGGTAATGGGATTAAAGCTGTTTAGACTGAAGAAGAAAATTCTGAGGGCACATGATTTCTGGTACATGCGTTTCCTGTTGCTGCGTTAAAAAAATAACCAAAAACAGCAGCCAATACCAATAGCCATTTATTTTCACACAGTTGTGTAGTTCAGAAGTCAAATGTAGTTAAGCTTGGTCTTTTACCCAGGATCTCACAATGAAGGTGTCAGGTGGGTTGACTTTCTTTTATAGGATAGGGGAAGACTCCCCTTCTAAGCTCACTCAGGTTGTTGGCAGAATTCAGTTCTTAGAGGCTGTGTGTTTGAAATTCTGATTTCTGGTGGGCTGAGAGCTCTTAGAAGCTGCTCTTAAGTCCTTACAAATTGGCCCCCTCCATAATTCAAAGCTAGAAACAGATAATCTCCTTCACACGGAATGTGTTTCATGCTTCAAATCTCTGACTTCAGCAAAAATCCAATCCCTTTAAAGGTTAAGCCAGCCCCACGAAGGATAATCTCCTCTTCTGAAATCACCTGTACCTTATACAATAACCTAATCAAGGGAGTGCTATCCCATCATATTCACAGTTCATGCCCACACTCAAGAGGATAGGATTATACAGGACATGTACATGAGGAGGAGGGAAACTTGGTGACTACACTGACACGCCACAACGACAGCTGGGTTCCCCTTTTGGTGTGGAGAGTACCATAAGCCTTAAGGACATTAGGAGAGGAAGAGTAAGTAATCATGGACAAAGGCACAAGTGTGTTAGGCTCTGAGAGACAGAATAATGACCAGAGAAGGGTTGGTAGTATAGGAAATGACCACACACTCCACAACCTCTCCTCAAACCCGAAGGTATAGTCCTGTTCAAGCAAACATTTTCAAATGGTTTGGATCTCTCTTTGTAAGACAAAAGGAAGTCTTTGGGATCGTCACCCTGACAATTCAAGTGTCCGAATAGGATGCAACATTAAATCTGAAGTTGAAAGTAAATGTATATGGAAGCCTTGGTACCTAATCAAAATTGTACAAATTTGGGTCAAATAAAGCAATTTGGAAAAAAGTAAAAACTATTGTTAGGATGCACTTTTCCCTAAACTCTTTGGCTAGGAGATAAGAGTAAGCAAAGGCTGTTCACTGACTCAATAAACCATTGCACTAAAGATAATAATAGCTAAAAATGTCCAAGGTCTTATGATGTGCAGGTCCGATGCTAATCACTTTGCAGATATTATTTTAATTTCTGAAACAGTTTAATGAAGCAAGCAGTGTATCTTAGATGAGGACACACGTACCGACAAATATACATACCACTTGCTCAAAATTAGAACCGCCCAGCAAGAACCCCACCCAGGGACCTTCCTACCTTGTATGGCACGGACTTCGGAGAGAGTGGGAAAGGAACCTTAAATATGTTTGAAAGACCGTTGTGAAGATGAGGGGGTAGACTTGTTTTGCTCAGCTCCAGAGGTATTTGTGTGCTGGTAAAGTTTAACAACCAACTCTTTCCAAAGATTTCCTGATTCATATCACTTGCAGATTTCTTCCGTATAAATACTCATACTGTGGGTGATTTCAAGCCCAAACCTGATATTACCAAACGTGGACCTAGAAAGAGAGGCAACTTCAGCCTAGCAGGTAAAAACATTTGGAATCAGATTTTTATTGATGCACTGGATAATTTTCAAACAAGTAAAGCTGTGCAACGGAACTGACTTGCTCAAAGAGTAGGGGCTCCCAAGACTCCAGGTAAATAGGAGCAAACTTTGATGCTGTCAGAAAAAAAGTGTAAAATGAAACCTTGCATTGGAACATTACAAACATAGGATGTAAAAATGGAAGGGTTAAAGATACCTGGTAATTCCCTGTTCCTTCTGTAGTATCTATGGCACAGTCTCTTATTTGCAGGGAGGACTTTTTTCCATGAGCCACTAGCTTCTAAGCTGAGGAATGGAGCCTGCAGATCTCCCCTAGTTAATGACCTTAGAGCAATGCCAAGGGGACGGCTCCACTGTTTTCTGCCTCCAAAATCACTGGTTGCTCACCTTTTTCTGTTTCAACATTTTAGGCTGGGACTTTTCAAATAGTTCTTTGTAAAAATCACATTCTTGGCAATTTTCTTCACCATTATCTCCCAAAGATTAGAACTATAAATAATACAAAAATTTAGTTACAAATTTCTTTTTTTAAAAACACTGTTTAGAGATGTGATGTTTAAATCTCCATGAAATTATACCTTTGAAATTGCTTAATTGTATTTTCCCTGCCAATTTAAATTGCTCATAAAAGGGAAATTTTAAAAATATATAGTTTCTAATTCTTTCCCTGAATCATCACAGTAGCATTGTTTTGTTCCAGAAGAGCAGTACTATACAAATATTGCGAACATCAGCAAATTAAGGTTAGGCCCACAGTGATGTGGGAGTAAGAGGGAGGAGACGCTTCATTCTCCTGATTTGGTTTAATTTATGTCTAATGAACTAAAAAAAAAAACAACCCCTTAAAAATTTGGTTCTTATTCAAAGCTTACAGTTAAGGCATGTAATAATTTCTTTGCTAAATTTCTTTATGAAGGTGTTGCTCTCTAGCGCAATGGCACCTGGCTTTCGTTTTAATTGCAATTATTACTATATTAGGCTCACTTATTTGTATAACCAAAATAATCATTTGCATTTATACAATTTCTTTCTTCCTTGAAGTTCACAGTCTTATGAAGTATATATCTTACTGACCTGCAAAAATTCTATCACTGGTACAGATTTGTAGGCCAGCAGTCTAATAGATTTGGTAACATTAGAGAAATGTTCATTGAAAATTTTTTCCCTCTGCCAAGCAGCCCAATCTGCAAATAGACCAGCTCCAGAGGCACATCAAGTACTGTTTGCTTTAGTACAAAGGCCACCTTCCCAGGTTCTGTGAGCTACCATAACCAGCAAGGCAGTCGTAATACATGCAACTTTATAAGCTTCTAGTCATGAAAGCAACAGAAGGAATAAAAATAATAAATGATGAGTGCTGTTAAAAATGGGAATCCACTCAGAAGTGCTAAAAGCATTAAAAATTTATCCCTCTGCCACTCTGCACAGGACCGCAAACTAAGAACTAGTTTCTTGTTAGGTTTTAGTATGTTACACAAAGGAAGAAAGCATATTCTAGTAGTTCCCTTACTTGACTGCATTTTATAATCACCTGGAGAGCTTTTACAAACCACAAATGTGAGGGCCCACAACCAGAGACTTTTAATCAATTGATCTTGATGAAAAAATTGCATCAGCATTTTTTAAAGCTCCATAGGTCTCTTCAGTGGGTAGTTCAGTGTGGGGCATCATTGGTCTAGTGAAGACAGCACTGGGTTGTTTTTGGCTAACCATTAACTAATTGTGTATCTTGAAAAAAATATAATGTTAATCCCTCTAGGCCACAGAATATTATACTAAAAAATTTGATATTTGGATTAGAAAGAATTTCCTTTCACCTCTAAACTCCTATGATTCTAAACAATAAAAATGACCAGTTCTAATCATAAACTATAATTTTCAACACACCTTCACTTTCACTCAGCATTTACAACACGAAAATACTACAGGGGAATATATATTGCTGGGATTTTACTCTCAGAAAATATATAAACTATATAAGCTAATTGGGAGACCAAAACTTATGTGTAAAAAGAGAAAATCACAATTCAAAATAGCACATGCTAAGTGTGTAAGCAGTATCATTTTAACGCTGACCATTTCTCTAGAACTGGGTTACTAGTGTAAAAGAAAAGTTGCGCTGGACCAGGTAAACAAGCAAGGAGGACTTTATTCCAGACTGTTGCGATGGAGAGAGAGATTAAATTCAACTCCCCTGAAACAAAAGGCTCGAGGGGAGGATTTGTAAATTCTGGAGTGAGTTAATGGGAAAGCACTAGAGGACATTAGGAGTGAAGGCTGATTAATGTGTGAGGCCGTCTGTGTTTGTTAATGAGTGCCCATCAAAGTTAGACTCCTACCCTCCCACAGAGACTGGGAGACAGGGGCCGCATCTCTTTAGATTATTACATTTAAAGGGGGTGGTTCCCAGGTCCTTGAGAAAGATACTTCTGATTTATAGAAGATTTACACCTCAAAGGGGCAGAGAAAGAATGTAAGTTTCCTAAAGTAAATGCTTTAAGGAAAGGGGGTTCAGGAAGAAACCTATCTAAAGCTTAGTCATGTTGAGGAGAACATTAAGTCCTTTGTCACTAGGTTACTTCTTCAATTCCTCATCGCTGGACAGGAAATTCCCATATCTGGATCGTTTCCTTATCTCTTGGCTGTTTAGAGTGATGAATTATCATAGTTCATCAATTCTAAATCATACTTTTTTTTCACAATTTAACTTTTCCAAAATTTAAATGTGTCTTATTACCATTGCTGTTGGCTGGGTGGCAGTGGTGACATACGAAATATTATAACTTGTCAGTCTTTAAAAAGACTACGCTATGATTCACTTCGGAAACAAAGTCATTTTGTTGAAATGAGCCACTGCATGTAAACTTGGTATTACTAGAGAAATAAATACTTACTGTCCAAGTGATGATTGAAACTCCCTAATTTCTTGCAAAGCAACAATCAAGTTATTTATAGATGTGGATGAAAATGGGTTACATTTTGTTATTGGGGCACATGCAAAAGACAGTGTCTCTCACTTGCCAGGCAATGAAATGAAGGAAAGAAAAATCACCAATACCATTGAAAAGACAAGATGCAAAGCCATAAGAGGCTGGTGTGACCAGCTGTTGGTATTTTTTTTTCTTGGTGGTGCATAAAAATAAGGTGATGCATTTTTGAATCAATGCAGTCCTAGATTTAAGAAAACGTGGTAGCTTTGCCAAGCTTTGACTGCTCACCCTAAGCCACGTGTGCCAGTCCATGAGATTTGTCCCAAAGAAGCAAAATTGTTGTATCTGTATTTGCTTTTAACAAAAGATGTCTCAAAAGGCTAAAGGGAAGGTGCAATTTAGAGAGCAACATCCAGAGAAAGACAAACCATTTTTTAATGATTTCCAAATGTTTTTAATTCCCTTTTAACCTAGCCCCTCTTTTTATTATTTTACTTTAAACAGAATCTGTACCTGTCTTTCAGCGTGTCCAGTATGGAAAAGCCCCTGACACTGTGCATGTGCACTGCCATGTCTGCTCTAATTATCAGACTGAGAGAGCCTTCTGTGTATCCTTCAAAACTCAAGGTTCAAAAAATGCCTATGCCATCTTTTCATGAAAAAGAATCACTTCATGTGGGTTTATAGTGAGTAAAATTCATTGATTCAGCAAAGCCACAAGCAGATAATGGCTTTAGTTTCCTTAACTTAATCCCAAAGGAGGGCAGTAAAATAGCAAGCTGGATTTTCTTAAAGAGACGTCCTGATTCAGGTTCAAATGAAAGAATTCTTAAACCACCTGAAGTGAGGAACCCTAAGGGAATCATTAACAACTTTTCTTGGGTGTCTTAAATTGTTGGAGGTTGTCTTTTCCACACAGGGTTGAAAATTCCCAAAAGCCTTGGGAGGATTAGCTCCTCATGGCCTCTGGGAAATTCTCAGGTATAGAAAGTGTCACAGAGGCTAATGTCCTGCTGTAACTCTGTACCCCCAACAGTTCTCCCCAAGGGCACTACTGCAACCTTGTCTACGTTGCTTGGCAGTGACACAGTAATATCCTCTTGCCTGGTCTTTGAAGTCCTAATACTTCCTGGGAACTGAATGCAGTTCAGTGGGGTCCTCAGTGACATACTAGCAAAAGATCATCTTCTGTGTTCTACTAATCTTAGAACTGTAAAATGCCTGCTCTTGTGTTCCTGTGCAAGCTTTGAAAATGAAGCAAAAAATCAAAATTTGGTGGCAAGAGCTTTCTATTTGGAAGTGAAACATTTGGTTCAACTCCTGGCTGTGTCACTGACCAGCTCTCTGAACTTGGGCAATCTATTTAACTTTGGGTCTCAATTTCACTAACTGAAAATTGAGAAAGGCTGCTGAGAGAACCAAACGTGATAAAATATTTTGCAAGCTGTAAAATAACTTACCAATGTTAAATGCTGTCAAATTGCAATAATAAATGCCACTGATATGGTCTGGTTGTGTCCCCACCCCCAAATCTCATCTTGAATTGTAGTTTCCATAATCCCCACATGTCATGGGAGGTAATTGAATCATGGAGGCAGTTTCCCTCATGCTGCTGTTCTTGTGATAATGAGTGAGTTCTCACAAGAGCTGATGGTTTTATAAGGGACTTCCCCCGACCCCACTTCCCTCTGCACTTCTCCGTGCTGCTGCCATGTGAAGAAGGACATGTTTGCTTCCCCTTCCACCATGATTGTAAGTTACCTGAGGCCTCCCCAGCCATGCTGAACTGTGTGAGTCAATTAAACCCTTTTCCTTTATAAATTACCCAATCTCGGGTACGTCTTTATTAGCAGCATGAGAATGAACTAATACAGCCACCATCCCTATTCTCAGATGAGCCACAATACCAGATAGAAGAAGGTCAAATGTGTTTAGTGGAAAGTTTGCTCTTTTCAATAGAAATGACATTCTTTATAGTCAGTGTAATAGCTCACACCGCCTTACGCTGAATTTCTTTAGAAGAACTTTTAAGAATTGTTAGAAGATGCTAAGTAACTTGGTCAAAGACTTTTAGTTTAAAGGAATAAATGGACAACAATGAAAGGGAACTTCACAGAATGGAGATGCAGCAATGACTGTTTACAATATTGTGCTCCCGCCGAGATTATTTTAGAGTGAAGCTTAAATTGTTTGTTCACCCATCTTACATCATTATTGAACAGTTTGAGGACATGATTCCTGAGGAGCAGTTAAACCATAAATGTCATGTTTTCAAAATCCTTAATGTAACCTAGTCCTTTAAATGTGTGCCTCTATTCATCTAAGACACTGCTAGAATTTTAAGTATTGGTAAACTTCCAGTCTACATAGGAGGATTCTTGAATATACTTGGGGACTCCGAGACCCAAGCTCTGTCTCGATTCTCCCACAGAATACTCCTAGCCCCTAATAAAGCTAAAAAGGGGTTCACAGCATTTGCTTATTTTCTCCAAATAGAATCATAGTACCATCAGCAGAGGAAGTGTCCCGAGAACTAGTACTATAGGAAAGCATTGGTGATGAGATAATGTATGATGCCTATGAAAATGTTTTGTAAGCTGCAGAATCCTGCAATAATAATAGCCAATATTTGTTGATTGTTTACTGAGTGTTTGGCACTGTTAAAATGCTTTACATGCATTATTGCATTTAAGTTTCACATGGGATTATCAAAATTGTGTGATAATGGTTTAAGAGCACAATACCTTAATAGTATTATTCCCTAATTTCATACAAAGGGCTGGAGAAACAGAAAACTTCAGTGTCTTGCCCACAGAAAACAGAGCTAAAAGTGTGGTAAAGGAGAGAATTTTGTTCAGGCAGTCAGTCTTTGAGCCCAAGGTCTCAAACCCTACATTCCAGTCACTAGGGGATATAGCGCTATTAATAGAATTGTCTCCCTCAGTTGCACAATTTCTAATCGCCCTTCAGGTCTCAGCTTAAATTTGTCTTCCTCCTGGAAGCTTTCCCCATTCCACCTGACCAGATCAGGACCCCCCGTTTTTATATACACACTCGCAGTAGTCTGTATCTCTCCATCACAGTATTTAATACAATTGTATTTAAATATTTCTTGGGTAACTGCATTTCATTTCTGTCTCCTTCTACATCTTACACTCAGACTGCAAGCTTGATCATGGTTGGTGCTTCAGGAGAGTTAAGACAGAGAATAGTGACACTGAAAATGCTCTTGATGCTTCAAACACTCCCTTGTCTACCACTGAAACATGAAAACTAGAGAATCCCAAAAGGACCTCAATGTGACCAATGCCTTCCTGAATATAGAACAGGGAGACTCCTTTCAGGAGGTTTGGAAGACCTGATTTCATCTCTGAGCTTGATTTTCTTGTTTTCTGAAGCACAAAAATCCCAATTAAACAGTCTCTGATGATCTTGCCAGATTTCACTTTCTTTCTATAAATTCATAGGCCTGAGAACTTCTTTGCCATATGAGAAGAAAAAATATGAAAATCTCCCTCAGATCTGGCAAAACCTTCTCAAATTAATTAATAAGTGGGAACACTTCAAGATCTGAAGAACTATTTAGAGATTCATTGTTTGCTATAAATATACAGGTTTAAAAATCTTCTGTTCCACACAGAGGAAGCTCAGACACCAACACTGAGAGTAGGCCATTGAAAGGGAAATAAAATCCAAGAAAAATCTGAAACAAAACAAGAAAAGAAACATGATGTAGTGCATGCTGCAGTAAAATGTTACTGTTTAATCTAAATTTAAAACCTTTAAGTACATTCCAACAAATTTTTTCAGATAAACAACAATAGAAAAATAGAGAAAGAACTAGAGCCACAATAAATTTAGAAATGTTAGCCAATGTGAATCTAGAAAGAAAAAAAAAACATAACTTTTAACTGCAGGGGTAGAAATGCAGGTTTGTTGCATAGGTAAACTTGTGTCATGGGGGTTGTTGTACAGATTATTTCATCACCCAGGTGTTAAGCCGAGTACCCATTAGTTGTTTTTCCAAATCCTCCCCTCCTCCCACCCTTCACGCTCTTAAAGGCCAAATTGTGTGTTGTTCCCCTCTATGTGACCATGTGTTCTCATCATTTATCACTCACAATGTGCAATATTTGGTTTTCTGTTCCTGCATTCCTTTGCTAAAGATAATGGCCTCCAGCTCCATCTATGTCCCTGCAAAGGAATTATCTCCTTCCTTTTTATGGCTGCACAGTAGAAAAATACAATTCTTACGAATAGAAAACTAGGTCCTCCTCTTTACCACTAAATCAATGTGGAACAACCATTTAAAGAATATTGCTTAAGGAGATACCAAATTATTAGCCTGCTCATCATGTCCTCATATCTCAGGTTAATCCTGCATGCGTATATCTAAATGTACACCCACAAGTGTACATTACAAAATTTTAAAAATTACTTTCTATCATCTGCACTGTTTTGATTTTTTGAAGGAGAGCACCAATATAACAGCTAAGTAGTTGTTCCTAGGAGACATTCTGGCTTAACCGGAAACAGTGTCAAACCTTGGAAGTTAATCAAGTTATTCCACTGAAGCATAGTTCAGGATTAGATAAGCATCTCAGTGTTCAAGTTTTCAAGGTCCACCTATTTATCATATAGCCTCATATTTTATTCAGGTGAAATGCTTTCTGAAAGCTTTAGAAATTCTCTGTGGTGGGGAGCAAGCAGTGCTTTTGAATTTTGCTTAGAAAATGAAAATCCTTTTCAAATAAAGTTACAAATTGCCCTCAACAAGAGATGCTTGCACTAGTAAGCTAACTCATGCCAATTTCTGAACTCAGCTATGAGAATGCTAACACCTGGAGACCAATTCTTGTTAGAAGGATGTTTACAATTTCTGGAAATTTCAACTATTCTGCTACTATAGAATGACAAAGTGGGATGGATGGATGGATGCATGGATAAATAGGAGGAAGAAAGGACGAAGAAAGGATGGGAAAGAAAGAAAATACAAAAGGAGGAAAAGAAACAAGAAGGAAAGAAAGATAAAAAGGGAGAAGGAAGAAGGAAGCAAAGGGAAAACCTAGATTAAAATCTATTTGTGCAGTAAACATCCTTATAAAATAAATACAACAAAATAAAATGTATTTGGTAAAAGTGAGCTGAGAAAAAAAAAAGAAAACATAATATATTCACAATGTCATCTAACAGCTATCTTAGAGAATCACATAGAATCATTGCTTGTGAGCCGGAGTTATTATTACGTTATCATGGAAAATTGACATTTAAAATTTGGACTGATTTGGGTCCTCAAAATTGAGAGTCATGTTTTCAGAAGATCAGCGTAAGCCCCTATATTTCTGTAATACAATGGCATCAGGCGTGTTTATTCTACCTGATTTTTCATCTCACCAGTCAAGACTCACTATGGATGAAACATTATCTTTCCCTTCAAGAAGCTTGAAAAAGTGGTATGGTTTGGGAGTGGTGATTTGTGGGTAGAAGCACAGGTTTTGAAATAAAAGAACTAGAATCAAATTTGGTCTTTTCTTGACTAATCTTTTTGTGCTTTAGTTTCCATTTTGATGATAAAACAATAATAATTGATCTTAGAAGTATGTTATGAGCATTAAATGAAACAATTTAAAGCTCTTAGCACCATGTTTGGAACATGACAAAATCTCAGTAAATGCTAACTTCTGCCAAAAATACCTGACAGGCATATTGTTATTTGTTAACATATTATTTAATGATATGCAGTGAAAACCGATAATAATTATTTATTGTTAATTTATTTTAAAAAGCCAAACCCGGAATATAAAATAAAAAGAGGATAGGAGAAGGAAAAACCAAAGACAGTTTGAAAACTGTTAATTTTCAAACTGATCATTTGGTTAAACGGGTAAACTGGTAATTAACTAGAAGAGAGGCTAATCAAGGTGTTCTGCTCTTAGACAGCTGGGTAAGCATCAAGGAAAACCTTGTCAGTTTCTTCTGAATTCTCCAGAAGAGCTTGACCATTTCACTGTGGATTAGGGGCTAGGATACCTGAATGTGTGATGCCTGTTTTTGTCCTTTGTTAGCATCTTTATATAGGCTATGACAGGTCTGCACCATTTCTCTGTCCAAAATTTCTTCTTCTGTACCTCAAAATCTAAATTCTATCTTCTGTTATGCTAGCTTATTGTATTAGTCTGTTCTCTGGCTGCTAATAAAGACATACCCGAGACTGGGTAATTTATAAAGGAAAGAGGTTTGATTGACTCACAGCTCCACATGGCTGGGGAGGCCTTAGAATCATGGCAGAAGGCAAATGAGGAGAAAAGTCACACTTTACATGATAGCAGGCAAGAGAGCTTTTGCAGGGGATCTCCCATTTGTGAAGCCATCAGGTCTCATGAGACTGATTCACTACTGTGAGAACAGTATGGGGGAAACTGCCCCCATGATTCAATGATCTCCACCTGGCCCTGCCCTTGACATGTGGGGATTATTACAATTCAAGGTGAGATTTGGGTGAGGACACAGCCAAAGCATATCACTCATGGTGCTCTGTACTTTCCTTGGCAGTACTCAACTCATTTTGTAATTACAAATTTGCTTTTTGGTTATTAGATTCATGGCTATCTTTGCCCCAAGAATACTGTCACATCCACTAGAGTATGGATCTTTTCTGCATTGTTCATCACTTTATGCTCAGCCTGTAAAACATATAGGTGTCCATGGTGTTTGAGGAAGAAAGGAGTGTAAGGAGAGGAGGGAGAGAGGCGAGCAATTAGACAGGTAGGCAAGTACAGTAAAAAATGGGTAAAATAAAGTTCCATGATAGTGTAGAGACAAAAATTATCACCTTGGATTTAAACATGGGAATTAGGAAAAGCTTCAAAAGGACATGCTATTTTATCTGAGCCTCAATGCATGGGTAGAATTTAAACATTCCCACTGGGAAAGCATGGGACAAGAAATAAAATATGTCTCAGTTTTTCTAGAACATAAGGTCTCTGAGGAGGCTTCATGAGAGTTGAGGCTAGAAATGTGTCCCAGGCATGTCAGATGAGCTGTTTGACAATGAGGACCCCCTGGAGGATCAGGGTGAGAGACAAGACATGCACAGATCTGTGCTCTGGAAATGCAAGTTTGGTAAGGCGTAAAAGTCGCATGTTGAGAGCGGAGAAATCTGAGGCAGGGAGGTGACTTAATACAGACTAAGTTATTCTCTCTGACATTTCTGCAACAGTAGTTGTATTTACAGTGGCAAACAGCCTACCAAACATTCTGAGTCTACTTGATTTAGACAAATGATAATGTTGCTTAATCCTTGGAGGAATTTTGTGTGTGTGTGAAAAAAAAATTACCAAGATGAATAATTAGAATATTTTGAAGACTATTCAAGCCTTTTCTATATGTGCATTTATCTATGTCTGGCTGGCATGCAAATTGGGGCTCATGCTTAAAATCATGGTGAATTATATCACAGAATTATCATAGAGTAGATAAACCCCAAAAGAACCATGGAGGTTGGGAATATGAAAACCTCTTTTTTTAAATAGAAAGGCAGGTGAATAATATTTTGACAAAAGTCTGCATGATTTCCAAGTTTATGTGGTTAATACTAATAGTATTTGCTGTGTAGCTCCAATGTTCTAGGACATTATATACATTATTTTATTTAATAGTCATAGAAGATTTAACTAGAGCTTAGAAAGCTTCACAGTGGCAGGTCCAGGGCTCCAACTAAGTTTTTTCTAATATGTTTCTTACTAGTCTAGATGCAATTGTCCTTTGCCTGGTAAATAGCTTGTTATTATTTTAAAAGATTTTTTCCAGCCTATCAGTTCAAAACAAATGATATTAAACTTAAACACACAAACACACACACAGCCTTCCCCATCTCTGTCCCTATACCCATCCCTACCCACCAACTTCTGCACCCATATTTCTTCCTTCTGAAGGGCATTTTCTGTCTCCATGGAGTCACAGGTGTCCTCAGCTCACTCATCTCCCCCATCCTGTCCATCCCTGATGCAACCATTCCTGCCCTGGGTCACCTCTGTCATATCCCCCCCCCATCATCTCCTCATCTTCACCCCCACATTCTGTTGGCTTCCCAATCCCACCTAGCTGCTTAGCTATCTCTAGGGAAGATGTGATAGTACAGCCCTTGTCACCTCAAGCTTTCACCGACACGGCTGTGATAGGATGGGTCAATCGTGACACATGGCGCAGGAATATACGGAGGCAATGGTGGGGCAGCTAAGGGGACAGTGATAGGGAATGTGGCTGCTGCCAATTCAGAAGTGGCCGAAGTGGTGGCTGCTGAGGAAAGTGTGACTTGAGCTATGTGCTAAGACTGCTCCTGCTTTCAAGGAGCTAGAATTCTAAGAGACAAGAAACAGAGTAAAATGCATAGTGCTCTGTCTTGAGTCAATTGTCACCTGTCCTGTAGTGATGGGGTTTCCTCCCGTTATACAAGGGAGCATGCTAGGTGGCTACCATGGGTAATCATAAGCCAAAATAGGGACTTTTTCAGCTCAATGAAACATTAAAATATTTAGAGAATTCATTGCCAGAAGACCTGCGCTACAATAAATGATAAATTCTTCAGGTATCAGGACTATGATGCCAGGATCTACACAAAGAAATTGAGAAAGTTATAATTGAATTTTTTAAGTAAAAATTCATTTGGGCAGAGGATCATGGGTTGATAGGTTTTGTTTTTCTTTCAGTTCTTTAAAGATGTCATTGTCTTTCACTTGCATTCTCTCTCTCTCTCTCTCACACACACACACACACACACACACGCACACACATGTACATACAGAGAATTATATATACCACTGGTCACCACCCAGGTAGGAGTCTCTCCAGTAGAATTTTTTGTTGAATTTATGGCTGGTGGTATAACTGCACCAGTTTCATTTGGACAAAGAGGCAGAAATGTTTTAAATTGCTTTAGATGCAGTTATTAAATAAGAGCTAACTTCTGTTAAATTTATTTTAAGGTTCTAAGCAATGTACATGCATTACTCCATTTGTTACTATTATTATCTCTGCTTTTCACTGAGGAAACTTGAGTCTTAAGTCAGTTTTCATTAGGTCCATGACTGATCTGAGGGCTAAGCTGGGCTAAGCCTAGATCTCCTTGGCTCCAGAGGCTGTGGTGATAACTACCTCCCCCTCGAAAATGCCCATGTGATATGTTAGGGTTCCCCAGTCTTGGGTTTGTTTTTTTTTTTCATTTGTTCAAATAAAGATTTCTACAGGGCCGATGGCTGCGCTGTATTTAACAAACTCAGAGGAGGAAAAGCAGTAAAGATGGAGTTTAGAGTCTCTGTGACTGCATCAAATGTGGGCCGTATTAAGAAAATTTGATTAGATAAAACTCCTCACGGACAGAAAATGCCTTCTATCAAACATGTCACAAAAATTGATATGGCAAATATCTGTAGGTCATTCTCATTTTACTTAATAAAGCCAACTCTTGAAAAACAGACTGCACTTTAAAAGCTTATTTCTGATTGATTTATTTGAACCACAGATTCTCAGACTTTGCTGCTTTGCGTAATTTGATTTTTACACGTCATAAGGGAAAAATTAGAAAAAAAAATATAGTATGTCACATGTTCAGAGTCCCATGATTGTCCATTATGCTCTTAGAATATTTTTCTCAACTTAATTCCACTTCTCCATCATCTGCACAGAGATAAATAACTTTACTAACATTCTTTTATTAGTTTTAGAAGACTTTCATCTGATCCCTATCACAGACCAAGGGAGAAACACTGCTATTCAGCTCACTGGCAGGATTTCTTCCTGAATTTACTCTCCAATTTTTCCTTACGCTTTTCTCCAGCCACCTCATTCTAATTACTTTTGTTGTTGATATTCTCATTCTCATCCTGCCCCTTGGCCTCTTGACTTGATCTTTTCTTTCTCCCATCCACTTATTGTACCTGGCCTTCAGCTATTTCAGTCCCTCCTTACCCAGTGTCTCTGAAAACAAACACCACTAAGTGGCCCCAGGTGCCCCCACATCTGAGCACCTGGGCGGCCAAGGATGAAAGTAAAATAATCCCTCAACCCAACTTCATGCTATTCTCTTTTAAAATTAACCTCAAACTGTACTGGCCTATGCTCCGAACCTCAGGAACTCCCTGTGTGTAAACAGCTTTACATTTTTATCTTTATCCACTTTACCCTTGAACTTGGCCTCTATTTAACACTACGCATGCTGTATTCTGAATCAGAACAGTCTTGGCCCAACAGTGAGAGTATTGTGCTGAATCAAGCCTGGGCATCTCACTCTCTTCCTCTGAGAATGATCTTATTCCCAAGCAGCTCATCAGTCCCTCTAGCCGATGGATTTCGTGTCTGCCTCTAAGCCATGAAAACAGATTAACGCCCATCTGCCATAGCTCAGCAACAAGGGCCTTGCAAGGTTTCTATCTGCACATGCACCCTGGGGTTCTTGGGGGCTCAGTGAGATGGGCCAGAGTCCTCTTGGCTAGAAGGGCTCAAAGATTCTGTGAAGAAAGGAAAAGGGAACTTTAGACATGGTCGATGGGGCATTAAGACTTGGCGAAAGAAGAGGAGGTACCAGTCTGCCATTTTCTTCTGCCGGTGCCAGGGAGACTGGGCAGTTTGGACCCAGGAGGAATTTCTCACAGTGTCTTTGACAGATCATGGGAAGACTGCCTTTTTAGGCTGAACCTGGACCCATCCTTCCTCACTGGGCAGGGCTTCTCTACAGGAATTTTAGCAACTCCAGCAAAGGGTTTACAGTCAGAACTCTGATCTCCTTGGGATGGAGTCCATGAGGGGAGGGGCTGCTGTGGTCTAGGCAGATGAGCAGACTTAATCTTTACCCCTGCTGGCTCTGAGGAATCTGGGCAATCCGAACGAGCAGGATGCCCCCCCAGCACAGCGCAGCCCCTCCACCAAGGGGCAGCCAGAGTGCCTTGTGAAGTGGGTCCCTGATCTCATGCCTCCTGACTGGGTGAGACCCCCCCAACAGAGGTTGCCAGACACCTTATACAGCAGCATTCCTGCTGGCATCAGGTCGGTGCCCCTCTGGGATGGAGCTCCCAGGGGGAGGAGTAGGCAGCCATCTTTGCTATCCTGCAGCCTGCACTGGTGACACCTCCAAGTGCAGGAGCGACCCAGGTAAATAGGGTCTAGGGTCTGGAGTGAACCCCCAGCAATCCACAGCAGCCCTATGGAAGAGGGGCCTGACTGTTAAAAGAAAAACAAAAAGCAACAACTACCACAGCATCAACAAAAAGCCCCCACAAAAAAATTCATCCAAAGGTCAGCAGCCTCAAAGATCAAAAGTAGATAAACTCACTGAGGATTAAAACAAAAAATCAATGAAAACAATACTGAAAACTCAAAAACTCAGAGTGCTTCTTCTCCTCCAAATGATCGCAACACCTCTCCAGCAAGGGTACAGAACTGGGCTGAGGCTGAGATGGATGAACTGACAGAAGTAGGCTTCGGTAGCTGAGTAATAACAAACTTCGCTGAGCTAAAGGGGCATGTTCTAACCCAATGCAAAAAAATAATCAAATAATCAAATTAGAACTCAAGATTAAGAAACTCACTCAAAACCACACAACTACATGGAAATTGAACAACCTGCTCCTGAATGACTCCTGGGTAAATAATGAAATTAAGGCAGAAATCAAGAAGTTTTTTGAAACCAATGAGAACAAGAGACAATGTACCAGAATCTCTGGGACACAGCTAAAGCAGTGTTAAGAGGGGAATTTATAGAACTAAATGCCCACATCAAAAAATTAAAAAGATCTCAAATCAAGATCCTAACATCACAACTAAAACTACTAGTGAACCAAGCACAAACAAACGCCAAAGCTAGCAGAAGACAAGAAATAATCAAGCTCAGCGCAAAACTGAAGAAGATAGAGACACAAAAAACCCTTCAAAAAAATCAGTGAATCCAGGAGCTGGTTTTTTGAAAAAAAAATTAATAAAATACATAGACCACTGGCTAGAATAATAAAGAGAAAAGAATCAAATAGACACAATAAAAATTGATAAAGGGGATATTACCACTGACCCCACAGAAATACAAACAACCATCAGAAAATACTATAAACACCTCTATGCAAATAAACTAGAAGATCTAGAAGAAATGGATAAATTCCTGGATACATACAGCCTCCCAAGACTAAACCAGGAAGAAGTTGAATCCCTGAATAGACCAATAACAAGTTCTAAAACTGAGGCAAAAACAAATCCTATCAACCAAAAAAAGCCCAGGACCAGACGAATTTGCAGCTAAATTCTACCAGAAGTACAAAGAAAAGCTGGTACCATTTCTTCAGAAACTAGTCCAAACAATTGAAAAAGGGGAACTCCTCCCTAACTCATTTTATGAAGCCAGCATCATCCTGATACCAAAACCTAGCAAAGATACAAAAAAAAAAAAGAAACCTTCAGGTCAAAATCCCTGATGAACAAAAATGCAAAATCCTCAGTAAAATACTGGCAAGCTGAATCCAGCCAGCACATCATAAAGCTTATCCACCACAATCAAGTCGGCTTCATTCCTGGGATGCAAGGCTGGTTCAACATATGCAAATCAATAAGCAATTCATCACATAAACAGAACTAAAGACAAAAAACACATGATTCTCTCAATAGACACAGAAAAGGCCTTTGATAAAATTCAACATCCCTTCATGTTAAAAACACTCAATAAACTAGGTATTGATGGAACATACCTCAAAATAATCAGAACCATTTATGACAAACCCACAGCCAGTATCATACTAAATGGGCAAAAGCTGAAAGCATTCCTCTTGAAAACCTGCACAAGGCAAGTATGCCCTCTCTGATCACTCCTATTCAACATAGTATTGGAAGTTCTGGCCAGGGCAATCAGGCAAGAGAAAGACATAAAGGTATTCAAATAGGAAGAAAGGAAGTCAAACTGTTTCTGTTTGTAGATGACATGATCCTACACCTATAGAACACCATCACTTCAGCCTAAAAGATTCTTAAGCTGATAAGCAACTTCAGCGCTCATTACAACAGGCTTCCTTGGCTATTCCAGAACCACAGGAGAACTACAAACCACTGCTCAAGGAAATCAGGGAGGACACGAGCAGATGGAAAAACATTCCTTGCTCATGGATAGGAAGAATCAATATCGTGAAAATGGCTATACTGCCCAAAGTAATTTATAGATTCAATGCTATTCCCATTAAACTACCATTAACATTCTTCACGTAATTAGAAAAAAACTACTTTAAATTTCATATGGAATCAAAAAAGAGCCCGTATAGCCAAGACAATCCTAAGCAAAAAGAACAAGGCTGGAGGCATCACGCTACCTGATTTCAATCTATACTATAAGGCTACAGTAACCAAAACAGCATGGTACTGGTACAAAAACAGACACATCAACCAATGGAACAGAGTAGAGATCTCAGGAATAAGACCACACATCTACAACCAACTGATATTCGGCAAACCTGACAAAAACAAGCAATGGGGAAAAAATTCCCTATTTAATACCTGGCGCTGGGGAAACTGGCTAGCCACATGCAGAAAATTGAAACTGGACCCCTTCCTTATGCCTTATACAAAAATTAACTCAAGGTGGATTAAAAACTTAAATGTAAAACCCAAAACTATAAAATCTCTAGAAGAAAATCTAAGCAATATCATTCAGCACATAAGTACAGGCAAAGATTTCATGATAAAAATGTCAAAAGCAATTGCAACAAAAACGAAAACTGACAAATGGGGTCTAATTAAACTAAAGAGCTCCTGCACAGACAAAGAAACTATCATCACAGTGAAAAGACAACCTACAGTACTGGAAAAATTATTTGCAATCTACCCATTTGACAAAGGTCTAATATCCAGAATCTACAAGGAACTTCAACAAATTTACAAGAAAATAACAAACAACCCCATTAAAAGTAGGCAAAGGACATTAACAGACACTTCTTAAACGAATACATGTTGCAAAGAAACATGTGAAAAAAGGCTCAACATCACGTGATCATTAGAGAAATGCAAATCAAAACCACAATGAGATACCATCTCACACCAGTCAGAATGGAAATTATTAATATTAAAAAGTCAAGAAACAACAGATGATGGCAAGGCTGTGGAGAAATAGGAAAGTTTTCTTACTGTTGGTGGGAATATAAATTAGTTCAACCATTGCGGAAGACAGTGTGTGATTCCTTAAAGACCTAGAATCAGAAATACCATTTGACCCAGCAATCCCATTACTGGGTATATACCCAAAGGAATATAAATCATTCTATTATAAGGATACATGCACACTTATGTTCATTGCAGCACTATTCCCAATAGTGAATGCATGGAATCAACCTAAATGTTCATCCGTGATAGACTGGATAAAGAAAATGTGGTACATATATACCATGGAATACTATGCAGCCATAAAAATGAATGAGGGTGAAAGTGCTTTGAAAAAAATGAACGTGAAAGTGCTTTGAAACTCCCACAGTTATCCAGACTGAGAAGGTGCTCATTACAACAGGCTTCCCTGGCTATTCAAGAACCCTGACTGCTGCCAACATCCTCCCCCCGTCCTACCCAGCATTGATTAATTTTTAAAAATCTAATTTTGAGAGACTGTAGGTAAAGTGCTGAGTACAGTGCCTGGAATCTAAGTGTTCAATAAATCACAGCTGTCATAATTCTTCTGCCACATGTCTTTACACTTCACTCTGACTACATGACAAAGTTTGGTTAATGGGCTGTGGCAGAGAGGGCTGTCTACCAGATATCTGTGCTACCTACCTTTCTCTAGCATACAGTTATCACAGAGAAGTGGCTGCTCATTCATCGACTACATTTCCAAAACCCTCCTGCAGTTAGCTGTGGCCATCTCACCCCTTTGCAGGGGCAGAGATGGAACTGGAGGCCATTATCCTCAGCAAAGTAATGCAAGAACAGAAAACTAAACACCACATGTTCTCACTTGTAAGTGGGAGCTGAACATTGAGAACACATGGACACAGAGAGGGGAACAACACACATTGGGGCCTGTGGGAGTGGCAGGGGGAGGGAGAGCATCAGGAAAAATAGCCAATGCATGCTGGGCTTAATACCTAAGTGAAGGGTTGATAGGTTCAGCAAACCACCATGGCACATCTTTAAGTAACAAACCTGCACATCCTGCACATGTATCCTGGAACCTAAAATAGGATAAAATAAAAAGAAGAGGAGGTGGAAGTGTCTCTACTAATATAAGGAGTCTACTCTGAAATCAGGGAAGGTGACAGGAAAGACACATATTCACTGAATTCAAAGGCCTTGTATTAGTCCATTTTCACACTGCTATAAAGAAATGCCTGAGACTGGGTAATTTATAAAGGAAAAAGTTTTAATTGACTCACAGTTCTGCATGGCTGGGGTGGTGTCAAGAAACTTGTAATCATGGTGGAAGGGGAAGCAAGTACATCTTACACTGTGGCAGGCAAGACAGAGCATGGGAAGCAAGAACTGTCAAATGCTTATAACACCATCAGATCTCGCCAGATGCGGTGACTCACGCCTGTAATCCCAGCACTTTTGGAGGCCGAGGCGGGCAGATCATGAGGTCAGGAGATTGAGACCATCCTGGCTAACATGGTGAAACCCCGTCTCTACCAAAATTACAAAAAAATTAGCTGGGCATGGTGGTGGGCGCCTGTAGTCCCAACTAATTGGGAAGCTGAGGCAGGAGAATGGCATGAACCCGGGAGGCGGAGCTTGCAGTGAGCCGAGATTGTGCCACTGCAGTCCAGCCTCGGAGACAGAGCAAGACTCCATTAAAAAAAAAAAAAAGAAAGAAAGAAAAACAACAACAACAAAAAAAAAAAAACATCAGATCTCATGAGAACTCACTCACTGTCACAAGAATAGCATTGAGGAAACTGCCCCCATGATCCAATCACCTTCCTCCCTCAACATGTGGGGACTACAATTCAAGATGAGATTTGGATAGGGACACAGAGCCAAACCATATCAGGCCTGCCACATGATATAGAATGGTGTCACTAAAATAGTCCTTAGGCTTAGACTTTGGAAATATAATTTTCTCAACAGATGTTGCTGGGATTCTGAAGATGCCAAACTACTTTATGGGTCCCAAAAGGAGAATCACTTAGGGATAAGATCTTTTTAAGATTTGTAGAAAAAGTTCCCTTCACAAGAAAAAGATACCTTTCCATTTGAGACTGTAAAGGTAGAAAGGTTTGGCAGAGCAGTAGGTAAGAGCACACAGCCAACACACAGAGACAGAGACAGAGGTGCCCCACAGGGAGAAGGGCACACTGGGGACCCCTCTGTGCAGTCAACCTTAGCCATCATCATAGACCCTGGAAGTCTGTGCAATTTCTACACTATTTTCCCTTCCTGACTGTAATAATCTCTAAATAAGGGAAATATCCAAGTAAGCCACCCAAGGATGAGTAACTTGGGTGGCATCTGGAGTCCTCAGAACAGATGGAATAGAGACTGGTGGCAGACGCCTCTGTGCTTGTCCCCTCAGACACAGAGGATTCCTAAGCTGGTGTGGTCAGGCAGAGTAAGGTGATATATAGTCATGCATATATACAACATGTTCACAAGAAAATGAGAAAGTGAGCCATTACTTCCTTAGGACAGGCTAACTGCTGTAAAAAAAAAAACTGTATAAATACAATTACACAATAAATCAAAAACAATAGAAGCGTATTTCTTGCTCAAGCAACAGTTTTCCTGGGCAGTTAAATAGGTTGGCTGATCAGTCCTTCTCTGTGTATATATTTAGAAGTGTCAGGGAATCAGAGGATCTGCAGTCCTCAACACATACCTTCCAGATTCTCCTTGGGAATCCACCATTCCAAGCAGTGAGAAGGGTCAAAGAGCTTAGCGTTTCCTGAGAGTTCTCAAGGCCAAGCTTTAAAGTGGCACACATTACTTTTGCTCACAATCTTTTGCTAAAACTCAGTTACATGGCCACAGCTAACTGCAGGAGGGTTTTGGAAATGTAGTCGATGAATGAGCAGCCACTTCTCAGTGATAACTGTATGCTAGAGAAAGGTAGATAGCACAGATATCTGGTAGAGAGCCCACTCTGCCACAGCCCATTAACCGAACTTTGTCATGTAGTCGGTTAGAGTGAAGTGTAAAGACATGTGGCAGAAGAATTATGACAGCTGTGATTTATTGAACACTTAGATTCCAGGCACTGCACTCAGCACTTTACCTACAGTCTCTCAAAATTAGATTTTTAAAAATTAAACAATGCTGGGTAGGAGGGTGGGGAGGATGTTGGCAGCAGTCAGGGTTCTTGAATAGCCAGGGAAGCCTGTTGTAATGAGCGCCTTCTCAGTCTGGATAACTGTGGGAGTTTCAAAGCACTTTCACATATATGATCTTATTTGAGCTTCACAATGGCATGGTGAAGTCAGTAAGACAAATCTTATTGCCATTTTGAGGAAAGGAAAGTGGAAATACAAAGAGGTCAAGGGTTTTCCCTGCAGTCCCACAGCTAATGAGGACTACACTAGATTTCCTGACCTGTCAGCTGTAATCTAGTACTGTTTCCAATGCAGCTCACTATTCCTCTGGTACTTTAGCTGGGTTGCAGTTGTCTAAAAGGCAATTAAATTGAGACCTTTCCAAGAAATGGTATTTCTTGATTTTTGATCAGTAATGGCATGTATTTTATTTGACAGCTACTGAAAACTTTTAGCATTAGAGTTGAAAAAAATACATTCCTACTACCCTTTATTGTGACAACTGAGTGAAAGACCTTTGAATGGGAGGTAATAGAGAAGCCACGATCACCGAAACGAGGGTAAATTTATTTGCTAATATTTAAGGAAACCTAGAGCATAGGCAAATGCTAGAAATAATTTTTCATTCTATTGGCCAGTTGACTAGGCTGTGTTGTTCAACTGTTTTGTTGCCTCTGTGACATGGAGGCTGCACAAACACTGCTAGGAGGGTGACCTGGCTGATTACTGATCCATAGGCCTTAAAGCTGGAGGTTTGCTCGCCTGTGCTATTGATCATGCAGTCGACTTCGAGGCCTTTCTGTCCTTCTGGAATTAGACCCATGGATTCATCTCCTTCCACTCAATCTTATTCTATAGTGGATAGTTACTAGGACACTCCTGGCCTGAGCTTCAAGCCACTTGGAAACCCTTAGAAGTAATAACCTCCATATAGTGCTAGCATAAATTAGTATCTTTCTTTACAGGACCTTTCAGAGCTTTATGAATCTCATGAGGAACACTAGCTCTGTGGAGCAGCATAGCAGCTTCTCAAGTCCAGAATGAAGGATAATATTTTCCTAACACTAATATAATTTAGGTCTTTTTAACACCAAATTGTTTTTCAACAAGTAGTGCTGGAGCAATTGGATATTCATAGGCAAAAAAATAAAAAAAAATCTCTACCTAAACCTTATACCTTATACAAAAACTTACCTCAAAGTAGATCATAGAATTAAGTATACAACAGAAAACTATAAAACTTTAAAAATTAGTAGAAAATCTTTGGGATTGGGCTACACAAAGAGTTCTTAGACTTGACAATAAAAGTATTACCTATAAAAGAGGCTGGATGCGGTGGCTCACGCCTGTAATCCCAACACTCTGGGAGGCCGAGACAGGTGGATCACCTGAGGTCAGGAGTTCAAGACCCGCCTGAACAACATAGTGAAACCCCATCTCTACTAAAAATACAAAAATTAGCTGGGCATGGTGGCGTGTGCCTGTAATTCCAGCTACTTGTGAGGCTGAGGCAGGAGAATCACTTGAGCCCAGGAAGCGGAGGTTGCCGTTGCCGTGAGCCGAGATTACGCCATTGCTCTCCAGCCTGGGCGACGAAAGAAATAAAAATGTATTTTAAAAGTATTATATATAAAAGAAAAGATTGGCCAAGTTTGGTGGCTCATTCCTGTAATCCCAATACTTAGGGAGGCCAAGGTAGGAGAATTGCTTGAGCTCAGGAGTTTGAGACCAGCCTGGGCAGCAAAGCAAGACCTTGTCTCTACTAAAAATTAAAAAATTAAAAAATTAACCAGGCGTGGTGGTGTGAACCTGTAGGCTGAGGTGGGAGGCTTGCTTGAGCCCAGAAGGTCAAGGCTGCAGTGAGCCATGATCGTGCCACTGCACTCCCTGCCAAGGAAGGAAGGAAGGGAGGGAAGGAGGGAGGGAAGTCAGAAGGAAGGAAGGAAGAAAAAAAAAGGAAATATCAGGAAGTTGACCTTCATCAAAATTAAAAGCTTTTGTTCTGTGAAAGTCTTTATGAAGAGGATGAAATGACGAAATGAAAAGTTATAGACTAGTAGAAAATATTTGCAAGTCACATAACTGGCAAAGGACGACTATCTAAAATATATAAAGAACTCTCAAAACTAAACAGCCAAAAAAAAAAAGATCCAATTAGAAAATAGGCAAAAGACATAGACATTCACTGAAGAAGATATGCAGATGGCAAATAAGCATATGAAAAGATGTTCAATATTCTTAGCTGTTATTTAAAACCAAATTAAAACCACAATGAGGAGGTATCATTGCATACCTATCAGAATGGCTACAATAAAAAATTGTAATAACACCAGCAAGAATGCAGTAGGAATGTAAAATGGTGTGGTCACTGGAAAAAGGTTTGGCAATTTCTTGTAAACCAAACATTCAACTACTGTATGACCTAGTAAGTGTACTCTTGAACATTTACCTCAGAGAAGTGAAAATTTATATTCATGCAAAAAATCTACCCATGAATGTTTATGGAAACTTTATTTGTAATAGCCCAAAACAGGGATCAGCCCAGATATCCTTCAAGGGATGAATGGTTAAATAAACTGTGGTATATACACAACATGGATACTAGTCAGCAATTTAAAAAAAAAAAAAAAAAAAGAATACATATAAAAACTTGGATGAATCTCCAGGGAATTAAGTTACATGAAACAGACAATTCCAAATATTACATACTATAAGATTCCATTTATATGACTTTTTTGAAATAACAAAATTTCAGAAATGAAAGCCATATTAGTAGTTGCCAAAGGTTTTGGACTTGGGGAGTTGGGGAATGGAAACAGGAGGAAGTCAGTGTGGCCATGAAAGGGCAACACAAAAAATCCTTATAGTGTTGGACTTGTTCAGTACCTGGACTGTGGCAACGGAGACAGGAACCTATGCAGGTGGGTAAAATTGTATAGAACTTAACACACACCTACACAGAAAGAGAGAGAGAGAGAGATAGAGAGAGAGAGAGAGAGAGAGAGACACGATATATCATTGAAACTAAAAGGAATCTAAATTCCTTTTAGTAGATTATATCAATGTCCGTATCTTAGTTGTGATATTATACTATAGTTGTGTAAAATGTTACTATTGGGGGAAACTTGGCAAAATATACATGGGATCTTTCTGTATTATTTCTTATAATTTCATGTGAACCTAGAATTATCTCAATAAATAAAAACTTCAATTAAAAAAACGTCCTTTGCCATCCACTCTCAATTCAGCTTATTTCACTTCTCTCATTACCCTGTAATTTAAAGAACCTATTAAGGAAGTCAGGAGGAGTATTTGATGATTGTAAATGAGGGTTCCTTCTTATTTTCTCCTGAGTTCTTTATGCTGTGATGTACAGCATCTGCCAATTAGCAATTTAAATACTTCCAGATGGACCCAGGTGCTTCAGCTGTCTCAGTACCAAGGCTGTCACTTAAAGGCAAACATGTCCTCCCCATTGCCCAGTATCCATACACTAAAAGATGAGCTCCAGATTTACATATACACCACTGGGGTATTGCGATTATCTATAATTCAGTCACAAAGGGATCTAAAAAGTTCTTTAAGCCAAAAGGAATGCAGAATGACAGCAGATGGCCCTATCCTAAAATGAAGATTTAAGATATTAAGCAGAAGAGCAACTCAACAAAAGAACATGAAGGGTCACAAAAAAGCCAAACTCCTATCCCTTCAGCTAGGTGAGTACATTCTCACTTCAATTTCATTAGAGTTCAGCACCCATGTCAATCATAAGACATGCTAGAACTTGGTACAACACCATACAGGGATGCTCTCAGGTTGTTGGTAGGAATCATGGATTTCTCAGCACCTCCTAACCTCAACAGACACAAAGCAAAACTACTTATAGTGTTTCCAGGCCCCGGAAGCCCTGAGTTTACATGTAGAGCTGCCAAAGAAGTACAGTTCTAACAAACTATCAGGCAGAGGAGTGTTTACAAATGAATTCTCAGTAACTCCAAACTTTTCTCCACTAGCTGAGCCACGAGTGCCTCTGGCTATGACATGGCCTTCAGTACTATGGTATCTTGATGGCCTCAACTGCTGTCCCTGGGCTGGTGATGAGTCAAGGACCCAGGACCTTCGGTTGCAAATAAAATTTCAAAACCCCCTCCTGGGAGGCCCACCCCAGCTTGCGGGACTCTACATGGGTCAGGACTGATATTAACATCATTCATCTAAAGGAATATGTAAGTCAGACCATATGCCAAGCAAAGAGCTTAAGTAGTTCACAAGCCAGAGAAGATTCCAACTGGGTCAAAAACCATGGAGCCCAAAACAAATAGTGAACACTAGATCACAGCAGCAGACATCAAAGTATCAGGGAGATGAACAAGGAGCAGTGGGCACAGTATAAATTAAAAGGAGTCTTAAGAAATTAACAAGTATAGGCCCTTTGTGACTGAGCCACCATTGTGCCTGCAGAAGCATTGTGGATAAAATGGCCAGTTGTAATATCAGACCTAGGATAAGAAGGCAGACAGGGAAAACATGGAAATGATTTAAACCTATGCAAAGCACCTGTGCATTTATCTCAGCTAGTGCCTGAGGTGTACCAGATGCAACAGTTTATAATAGACTCATTTTAAAACTCCAACCATGGTCTTCCCCACTCAGTTCCACTGGGAGTTCCTAGGAACAGCTAAGTCACAAGGGAACCAAAAGATTAAGGAGGTTTTAAAATTTACTCTCCAAATTAAGTAGCCTCTGTTGAAGAGTCAAACTTGAGTGACAGAATAAATTCCTAGGAAGCCCCAAAGGTGAGTGTACAGTAACCATACTATATTGCAAGAGGAGATAAACACAGAAAGAAATAAGATTTGACTAGAGAAGCCTTGAGAATTAGAATAAGAAGGCTAGCAGTGAGTGGGCTGTAGGTGAAATGATTGGCAATCATCAAATGGCCTGGCTGGATCACAGGAAGACTATAGGGGCTTTCATGCCAGGAGGCACGTTTTCAAGGAAGCTATGGATAACTAAGGCAGTGGAAGAAGGCAGCATTAAAAGATCCCCATATTTCTCTCACTGGCTCTTGAGACAGGGGACTTGAGGGGAAGAGGCGGAGCGGGGACGAGGGATAGAAGACTACAAATATGTTGCAGTGTATACTGCTTGGATGACGGGTGCACCAAAATTTCACAAATCACCACCAATGAACTTACCTAGGCAACCAAATACCACCTGTACCCCAATAACTTATGGAAAAAAATTAAAAATATAAAATAAAAATAATTTTAAAAATAAAGAAGGAAAAAAGGCAGCATTTAGAATAACTAAAATAATTGTGTATCCCACCCACCCTTGGGAATCAGAATTCACAATTTGAGAACCAGTAGGCCCCCTAATGTGTCCTAAAATGGCCAAGCAATATAATCACTGGGGAGATTGTGGAAATTCAGCTTCCCAGGCTCCATCCTAGAGACACATAATAAAAATCTCAAGTTTGAAAACAACTGGTCAAGCAGAGCTCCCTAACTGGTCCTCTGCATTTACCTTACTTCTTGCTGCTGCTTCAGGAAGCAGTCTTTTGTAATCTTAGATATATTTGTTGTAAGAGTGTTTCTTATAGCTAGGGTGACCTTAACAATTTATCATCCAAACTGGTACAATTAGAGTGTGAATGGAGGTGCTGTAGGGTAATTACTAAATTACCCTGGAACAACAGGCATAAATAAACTGGAATTGCCTCAAGCAAGCTGCACTCTATTTGGAGCAAACTAAAGCCTCCCCACAGGAACTTTCACCCACTTATCCTCATTCTTCCTTTTGGAGCCATAACCATCAGTCTAATTTCATTTGATATTCTTTTAAATCAGAATATAGCTATTCTGGCATCCCTCCTGGTTCTTTAACCATTTCTTACCCAGAATCATAATAATGTAAAACAAAATCAAATGTGATTGAAAGGAATGATGGGCCAAGTCTCCACCTGCTGTCTTCACCTTGACCCTTGTGGTGGTGCCTGAGGCACCTCCCACAGCATCCAAGGCATTGGTGTTTGAAAACCCTGCCGACTAAGTAAAGATCACTAGGTGACCTTTCCAATACTAAGTTTTAGATTCCTAGGTGACTGCATTTTGAATGCAGGAATAATATGACAAGGAAAAGACTAATATTCAATAGCCTTGCAATTCTCAGTATTTATACTGTAAATATATGTATATAAAAGTGCATATATTTTTATACCGTAGAGTATAAAAATACAACTAACATCCAAGTAAACTTTAACAAATTGACTAAATCAAATGTTAGCATTGCATTTGAAACTGTGTCTATTTCTCTTTCTCTTCATATCCCCTTCTATCTCTCAACCTCCACCCCAAAAGGTAACCACTATCTGGAATTTGTATGCATCCTTCCTGTCACAATTTAACAGGATACCTTTAATCAAGGCCAGGAAACTGGATGAAGTGGGGGATGAAGACCCCACTAACTGAAAAGGCAGCTCTCTGTCACGCATGGCCTACAATTGGCTGGCAAGACCTTGAGACTATTTTCCTTTGGAAAATATGAACCATTGGAATTAATGGTTCCATTAATTGAACCATTGGAATTAATAAAGACCCCAGACTTGGCTATCTTCCAAGCTAATTTGATGTGGCTAGTACAGAAATGCCAATTCCACACTGCTGTGCAAAAAGCTTAAGGTTTTGACTAGGAAACAGGAGAATCTGGCACAGAAAACCTTCACAAACCGATGATTGTCCTGGTGTTTTATGCCCAGTAATTGACTGCAGCAGTCTTTTCAAAGAAAAATGGGGCTCGTTTAAATCAAAAGGCTGACTGAAGGCAGAAGTTAACAAGGGAAGCTAAATCATTTGTGGTCTAGCCCCTTCAATCATTAAGTCAGAAGGTATTTTTTGAGATCCTATGTTTTGCCTTGCATAGTCCTTGCCCACATGCTGTTTAAGTCTCATGTGAGAAGATAAATGCAGGGAATAATTATTTTATGAACAAAGTGGTATGCCATTGAACATCTTTACACAGGTGTACATTGAAGAATAACAGAGTGCCATGTAGCTAGACAGTGATTGTGAGAAAGAGCTAGTAAGTACAAAAGATATGAAAAGGTAAAGATCAGTTTGGCTGGCATCAGAGAAATCTTCATAGAGGTAGCAACATTTCAGCTGGGCCTTGAAGACAGGGTGGGAGATGAAGACATAAAGAGTGGATGCATTTTTCTACTAATAATGAGAACAACTAGCATTCATTCAGTGCTGGGCACTGCGGAAAGCACTTTTACATGCATTATTTCATATAATCCTCCCAACAACTCTTGGAAGTGTAATTCTACCCATTTTACAAATGAGAAAACTGAGACTCAGAGAGATTAAGTAATTTTTCCGAGTTCAGGTAACTGGATAGTAGCAGTCAGGATTGAAGCTCCAAATGTTTGACCAAACAGCCAGCGTAATGCTACACTGCCTAGGTAGAGGAACAGAGTGAGAGGAAGCCCAGACATGGGAGGAAAGGAGTCAGCAAGGATCAGATGTATTGAAGGGGCGACGGGGCATAGGTGATTGGCCAAGTTATTCCTCTGCTGAAAAGTTTTAAGTATCTGCCCCATCCTCTGCACTTTGCACACAGAGATGTTCAAGACTGCTTATTAAATTTAACTGGCAATGTAAGAAAAGGCCCCAACATGAGAAGCAATTATGTAACTGGGGATCTTTGCTTATTATATTTTCCAGTTTGGCTAATATTTTAAAGTTTCACAGGGCATGAACACATTTATAGGGGGAAAAATATCTTAAATACCACAGTACAAGTTGGGAAAATGAGAGATAATGCAAGAATGAGTGTAGGAGTAGACTTTCAAAAGCTGTGAAGATTTTTTTTAATTCATTCAACAAACATTTCCTGATTGGCCACTTTGTATAGTTTCTGTGCTGGGTCACTGGAGTTGTAGGTGCCTCCAAAGGGGCAAAACAAAGGGGGACACAGGATTCCACCATACTTTATAACAAAATGGAATTCAATGGAACACCTGCACTATGCATTAAACAGTGGGCATTTATCAACCCCCCTCTATGTACTGGATGCTCTAAAAGATGATAGATACACATTCTTGTCCTCAAGGGCCTCCAAGGGAAGATCCACAGTTGAGCAAATAATTTCAACACAATGCAATGAATACTACCTAAAGGGGGCTTATAAACTAAAACAAATGTTTATACCAAGGGAGGATGTAAAATCCTAATCTGTCTACATCTATTGAGTTCACTCAGAATAATTTTAGTAGTTTTCTGCCTTGGTTAATTAAAATGTTCATCTCCGTGTACTCCAAGGAGCAGATCAGGTGACCTCTTGAAGAACTTTGAAGCTCTAGGATTCTGTTTTTGCACTCCCCTAGCAACTGAGAAATCAGGACATCTTTCTCCACAGGCAAGAAGAGGAAAATAATACATGAGTGACAGAAGATTGAGTACAGTACCCAGCTTTGCCGAGTAGACCAGGTAATATTCACTAAAGGTTAATGTTAATTTTTTAACATGCCATCAAAAAAATTTATTCAGAAATAGGTCAATGTTCCAATTTTACAATAGTAAGGAAACATCTATGAGCTTTCATCTAATTGCTAAATTCCAGTATGTCAGTAGTGGTCCACTAAAAGTCAAATTTTATTAACTAGAAAAGGTAAATTCAAGCAGTAGTATCCGATCAGTTTGTTAGAAGTACAAAATTAAAAAAAATTAAAATTCAGAAAGTTCAATTGCATGTATTAAGAAAAACAATTTCAAACCAACGCTCAATGATCACACAAGAAGGATTATAATAGCAAGGACATTCTTTCCATTAAAATTACTAAAAGAATATAATCTCAGGATATAGCTTACTAGTTTGTGTGACATGCCAATCACTTACTCTTTCTGGGCCTCAGTTTACTCTTCTATAAAATAAGGAGGTTGAACTAAAGGCTTCATCTTTATCCTTAGCAATTTAGAATTGTAGTCTAGGGATGGCAAATATTTGAACCTCGAATAACACCTTCAGTGAATTGGTATTTATGAGCTGCCTGGGGGGTGGAGAAAGATTCTGTGGCTTAGTCCAGGCTCAGCAGGAAAGATCCGAAAACGTTTAGCAATATCTGGATGGGGTAAATGAGACGAGGGGCACACAAGAGCCGTGTTTGTTCTAGTTGAATCCTCATATTTTAAAATTAGGGTTCAAAATGTGATTATTTGGGTTCATGCTATGGTTACAAAGAAAAGTAATAAGTAACACAATTCTAAGTTGAATTTGTATTACCGCTCATCTTTACTCTCTTTTTAAAAAAATAACAATTATTGTGTCATCTTGTATCTTGTCTCCAAAAGAAGTTAAAGTGGCTTATAATAGCGTTTATAATGCAGTGAGATTAATGAATACAAAAAATGAGACAAAAGGAAATCTATTATTTCATTTCATTATACTTAATGTCAAATTAACTTGTCCAAAGCATAGTTCAGATTACGTTACTATCCTTCTCAATGACTCTCCGCAAAGTCTTTCATTATCTTTTCTTAGCTGCCCTTCCAAACCTGTATTCTAGTTGCACTGTGCTACCATTTTCCTTGCACAGCACAGTAGCCGCTCTTCAGGGTACGTCTGACCAGCATGCAAGTCATCTCCCCACATCTAGGAACCTCTGGATCTTCTTCCCCTGGAAGCAGTGTTTATTTATGACTTCACTCTCCTGGCAATAGTTCCTAAAATTGACATAATGTGGGGCAAGAAGATTCTCCTTGCTGCCTTTCAATTAGTTGGGGCAATCGTAGTCAACCATGTGAATGGAAAAGCAGAGAAAGCAAGTCTGCAGAGAGAAAGAATGAAGTTGAAGCAGGACAATACCCAGGTTCCTGATTGTATACCAGTCTTGATTCCAATTAGTTCCTAAGGTCTGGCTGTATGTCTGCCTGTAAGTTTCCCTCGAACACCCTAAATGCTAACAGTAATTTCCCCTTCTCTTAAGCACACTTTTTGGGTTACCGACAAGTCTTAATTAATCTGCATCGCTTTCTGTGCCTTTGCCACGTCCCCACACCCTGCCTTCAAGTTTGTGCTCAAAGTAACTTTCTCCAGAAAGCTCTTTTTCATTCTAGGAAGTAACGTCTTCATCTTACGAATTCCTACAGTACTTTATCTGTATATTTCTTATGATACTTCAGCCTTAGATCACACCTTTATCATTACACGTTTGTTTTTTTTTGTTTTTTTGTTTTGTTTTGTTTTGTTTTACCATAGTTCTAAGCTTCTTGTGGGGAAGAATCAAGGCCTTATTCATTATTGTAAATTCTACACACCGAGCAGAGTAGAAGTGGGTAGTTGTCAACCTTTATTTGTTTAAAAAAAAATGGATGAACAAATGAACACCTTTTATTCATTCTCTACTATTGCATGAATTCCTAAGCCTCACTCCTCCAGGCTGGTATTACGGAAGTGGAGATTTGATCAGCCAATTTACCCAGTTAATGTGAGCAATGTAGACAGACAAATAGGATAATTGTGGCCCAGAACTCTACTCCGGGGCCGGAATGATGCTGTTTAGTTGTCAATATTGATCACATTTAATTAGAAAATTGCCAGATCTCTGCCGTTCTTAGTGCTGTGTGGGCATCACCTAAAAGCAAAGGGATGACAAGCTGTTCCGAGCATCTGCGGTCTTTATGTAATAAACATGTTTTCATTTGAGAAAATTGGTGCCTGTTTCTGAGAAAGATCAGAGCCTTTTAGAATTTCAAACCTTGTCCCCATACAAACTTTCTTCAGTGGTTATGATGAGGGAACTATTACTGTATAATTTCTAGAGTTATTAAAATAATTAATTCGCACCATGTGAAGGAGTACTTGCAGAGTGGATTTAGAGTAGGGTTAAAAATCAAGATTAGGGTTTAAGAAATAATCACCTCACGAAAAGAATGGAGTTGCTGGAGACGCATTGTGACTTTGTGAAGTGAGTTATTAACCTGTCAGGTACCTATGTCCCTTCCAAGCACTCCTTTGGTTTTTGATGACCCTATGAGAGCTCTTTCCAGATGAAAGCATAGCTATAATCACTGTGTTTTATGCCATCCACTCAGTTTCTCAAATAGCAGGTGACACTCCTGGTGTGACTCGCTATTTGAGCTGTCTATATCTATGTTGATCCACCATCAGAACTGAAAAAAACCTGTCACTCTGAAGTAATAGTTAATAGAGGGTGAGGGTAGCAAAAAATGTAACTGTTTATTTTGCCAGTACTTATCATTTGAAATGGTCATCAAGCAGTAACCAATTTGCTCATCTTAGTATTCAGGCTTAAGCATGTTACATTTGCCTACAGTTACCAGTAAGTAAACGTCAGGTGTGAATCAGTAAATCATCAAGAATAAACCAAGGATTCAGATTATTTATATCTATGGCATTTTCTTATCTGTACTTATTGACTAAGTAGGCTTAAATTATGAACCTGCAATAATTCACCCATGTTTTGAAAATACGTATTGTAAAGCCATAATTCACTATCTTGAACAGAAATAATTGATTATTATATCTTCTACATTTGAAAGTCTTTTTCTACCTGAAAGGAACAAGTCTCATAAGACTGTTGAGAGAGAAATTTGAAAGGAAAATCTTCTCTTAACCTGTTAAATTCCTTTTAGCCACTTAGGATAGAATAAAAGAAAAATGCAGAAAACCAAAAAGAAAATTTTTTAAATCACCCTTAATACTACTATCTTGAAAAAAGTAGTTAAAATTTTGGTTTTATATTACTTCAGTCATTTTATTATACATATACATATGAGTGTCATTAAAACTTATGTTTAAAATTGAAATAATACATACCATTTATAGTGTTTCATAATATGCTTTCTCCCACTTAACAATATAGCACAGATATTTATCTGATCCAGATGTGGGCAAAATTTCTGTGAAGGGCCAGGTAGTAAATATTTTAGGCTTTGTAAGCCACACAGTCTTTGTCACAACGACTTAACTCTGATATTATAATGGGAAAGCAACCATAAATATATACAATATAAACAATATATAAATAATTGGACATGGCTGTGTTCCAATAGCACTTTATTTATTAAAAAAACAGGTAGCAGACATATTGTGTTCATGGATTGAAAGTCTCAACATAATAAAGATACTAATTCTCCTCAAATTTATGTATAGGATTAACATAACTCATATTAATTCCCAGCAAAATATTTTTTGCAGATACAGATAAGATTATCCTAAAATTGATATGGAAAAGCAAAGGAACTAGAAGAGCTAAAACAATTTTTACAGGGAAAAACTGAAGAGGAAAGAATCAATGTATCTAATTTAAGACATATTTAAAGCTATAATAATTAAGTTTGTGTGGTCTTTTTTACGATACAAATATTTGTACATAATTATGAGGTATGTGTGAGTTTTTTACATGTATGGCCTGCATAATGATCAAGTCAGGGTATTTGAGGTGTCTATCACTTCAAGTGTGTGTCAATTTCATGTGTTGAAAACATTTGAAGTTCTTTCTTCTAGTGATTTTGAAATATTCAGTACGTTGTCGTTAACTACAGTCATCCTACTCTGCTATTGAACATTAAATTTTATTCCTTCTATCTAACTGTGTGTTTCTACCCATTAACCAACTTCTCTTTATCTCCCTACCCTCATTACCCAACACACTCTTCCCTGCCTCTGGTAGCCATCATTCTACCCTCTATCTCCATGAGATCAACTTTTTAAACCTTCTACACATGAGTGAGAACATGAGATAGTTGTCTTTCTGCCTGGCCTATTTCACTTACAATAATAGCCTCCACTTCCATCCATGTTGCTACAAATGACATCATTTCATTCTTTTTTATAGCCAAATAGTGTTCTGTTGTGTATATGTGCCACATTTTCTTTATCTATTCATCCATTGTTGTGCATTTAGGTTGATTCCATACCTTTGCTTTGTAAATAGTGCTGCAACAAACATGGGAGTGCAGGTATCCGTTCAATACATGGATTTCTTTTTCTTTGGATAAACACCCAGTAGTGGGATTGCTGGATTGTATGGTAGTTCTATTTTGAGTTTTTTGAGAAATCGTCCTACTCTTTTCCAGAGTGGCTGTCCTAGTACATCACCAGCAAGAGTGTATATGTGTTCCCTTTTCTCTGCATCCTCTCAAGCATCTGTTATTTTTTGTCTTTTTAATAGTAGCCGCTCTAACTGGGGTAAGATGAGATCTCATTGTAGTTTTGATTTGCGTTTTCCTGATGATTAATTATTTTGAGCATTATTTCACGTAGCATTGACCATTTGAATGTGTTCTTTTGAGAAATGTTTATTCATGTCCCTTACTACTTTTTAATGGGATTATTTGTTTCTTTTTTTTTTTTTTTTTTTTTTTACTATTATTTCAATTCCTTCTATAGTCTGGATAATAGTCCTTGTCAAATGAATAGTTGGCAAATATTTTCTCCCATTCAACAGTTTGTCTCTTCACTCTGTTGATTGTTTCCTTTGCTGTGAAGAAGCTTCTTAGTTGAATAACTCCCAATTGTCTATATTTGTTTTTGTTGCCTGTGCTTTTGAGCTCTTAGCCATAACATATCTGCCTAGACCAATGTCCCAAAGTGTTTTCTCTATGCTTTTATCTAGTAGTTTTATATGTTATAAAGTCTTACATTTAAGTTTTTAATCCATCTTGAGTTTATTTTTGTCACTGACGAGAGATAGGGGTCCAGTTATAGTCTTCTATAAATATCCAATTTTCCCAGCATCGTTTATTGAAGATGATGTCCTTCCCCAAATGTATGCTCTTGGCACCTTTGTAAAAAATGAGTTGGCCACACATGCATGGCTTTATTTTTGGGCTTTCTCTTCTGTTCCATTGGTCTATGTGTTCATTTTTATGCCAGTACCATGCTGTTTTAGTTTCTATAGTTTTTATATTATAATTTGAAGTCAGGTAACGTTATGCCACCAGTTTTGCTTTGCTCAGGATTGCTTTGGCTCTTGGGGGTCTTCTGTTGTTCATAAAAGTTTTAGGGTTGTTTTTTCTATTTCATCGAAGTATGTCATTGATATTTTGATAGGGATTACACTGATTCTGTAGATTGCTTTGGTTAGTATGAAAATGTTAACAATATTACTTCTTCCTATCCATGAACATGGCATATCTTTCCTCTTTTGGCATATCCTCTTCAATTTTTTTTAATCAGTGTTTTACAGTTTTCATTGTACAGATTTTTCCCTTCTTTAGGAAAATTTATTCCTAGCTGTGTCATTTTATTTTATTTCATTAGCATTGTAAATGGGATTGCTTTCTTGGTTTCTTTTTCAGATTTTTTTCTGTTGGCATACAGAAATGCTACTAATTTTTGTGTGTTAATTTTGTATACTGAAACTTTACCAAATTCATTTATCAGTTCTAACAGTGTTTGGTAGAGTCTTTAGATTTTTCTAGATATAAGATTATATCATCTGCAAATAGGGACAATTTTATTCTCTCTTTTCTAACTTGGATGCCTTTTATTTCTTACTCTTGCCTGATTGCTCTGGCTAAGACTTCCAGTACTACGTTGAATTGGAGTGGTCAAAGTGGGCATCTGTGTTTGGTTCCAATTCTTAGAGAAAAGGCTTTCAGCTTTTCCTCATTTAGTATGATGTTCGCTGTGGGTTTATCATATATAGCTTTTATTACATTGTGTGGTATGTTCCTTCTATTCCTAATTTGTTGAGAATTTTTATTACAAAGGGATATTGAATTTCATCAAATGCTTCTCTGAATTTATGGAGATGATCATATAGTTTTGGTCCTTCATTCTGTTAATGTGATGGATCACGTTTATTGACTTACAGATGTTAAACCGTTGTTACATTCCTGGGATAAATCCCACTTGAACATGTTGTGGGTTTTTTTGTTGTTGTTTTTGTTTTGTTTTTGATGTGCTGTTGGATTCTGTTTGATAATATTTTGTTGAAGATTTATACATCTATGTTCATCAGAGATATTGGCCTATAGTTGTCTTTTTGATGTGGCATCCTTATCTGTTTTGATAGCAGGATAATGCAGAATAATCCTTGTCTGTTTTGATACCAGGGTAATGCCAGCATTACCCCACTATCAGTGTACAATGAATTAGGGAGAATTCCTTCCTCTTCAAGTTTTTAGAATAGTTTGGGGATAATTGGTATTATTTCTTAGAAAGTTCATAGTATTAGGTTGGGCATGGTGGCTCACGTCTGTAATCCAAGCACTTTAGGAGGCTGAGGTGGGTGGATCACCTCAGGTCAGGAGTTCAAGACCAGCCTGACCAATATGGTGAAACCCCCTCTCTACTATAAATACAAAAATTAGCTGGGCATGGTGGCCCATGCCTGTAGTCCCAGCTACTCAGGAGGCTGAGGCAGGAGAATTGCTTAAACCCAAAAGGCAGAGGCTGCAGTGAGCTGAGATCATGCCACTGCACTCCAGCATGGGTGAGGACACCATCTCAAAAAAAAAAAAAAGAAAAGAAAAATATAGTTTATAGTACCAAATGCCACATCAAAAAAGTAGCAAGATTACAAATAAACCATCCAAAGTTGCACCTCAAGGAATTAGAAGAGCCAGAACAAATCAAACCCAAAATTAGTAGAAGAAATAATAAAGATGAGAACAGAACTAAACAAAATAGAGACTAAAAAATTATACAAGGGATCAACAAGGTGAAAAGTTGGTTCTTTGAATAGATTTAAAAAATTGATAAACCACTAGCTAGACTAACCAAGGAAAAAAGAAGAGGTGGGTATGACTATAAAAGGGTAGCACAAGGGAGATTTGTGTGGTGATGGAAGAGTTAGTATCTTGATTGTACTTGTAATTACAAGAATCTATACACATATTGTACTAATGTCAATTTTATGGTTTGATATTGCACTGTAGTAAGATTTAACCAGTAGAGGAAACTAGTTGAGGGGTACAGAGTACCTTTCTGTACTCTTTGCAACTTCCCGTGAATATATAGTTGTTTCAAAAGAAAAAATTAAAAAACAAAGCAGATTGCAGGCCATTTTGCCATAGTTTGGCTATAGTTTGCTAACCCCAAGATCTAGGTCATTAAGTGTTTTGATAATAATACTTTTATTAGCTGCATAATGTTTTTCATTACATATAAGAATTTATTGAACCCATTTTCCAGTTTCCAATTTTTCTCTTTATAAAGTCAAGACCTTATATATTTTATATCATTTTATACATCCACAATTATTTCTTCAGAACAAGTATCTAAAATTACAGTGTCAAGTTTACAAAGTTTATACCTTTAAACTTCTGAAATAACCTTTAAAATATGTATAACAATTTACATTCCTATCAGCAGTGGACAAAAGGGGGTTACCTAGTTTCAGTTTTCTGCATATGGCTAGTCAGTTTTCCCAGCACCATTTATTAAATAGAGAATCCTTTCCCATTGCTTGTTTTTGTCAGGTTTGTCAAAGATCAGATGGTTGTAGATGTGTGGTGTTATTTCTAAGGTCTCTGTCTGTTCCGTTGGTCTATATATCTGTTTTGGTACCAATACCATGCTATTTTGGTTACTGTAGCCTTGTAGTATAGTTTAAGGCCAGGTAGTGTGATGCCTCCAGCTTTGTTCTTTTTGCTTAGGATTGTCTTGGCTATACAGGCTTCTTTTTGGTTCCATATGAAATTTAAAGTAGTTTTTTCTAATTCTGTGAAGAATGTCAATGGTAGTTTGATGGGAATAGCATTGAATCTAGAAATTACTTTGGGCAGTATGGCCATTTTCACAATATTGTTTCTTCCTATCCGTGAGGGTGGAATGTTTTTGCATTTATTTGTGTCCTCTCTGATTTCCTTGAGCAGTAGTGGTAGCTCTCTTTGAAGAGGTTTTTCAAGTCCCTTGTTAGCTATATTCCCAGGTATTTTATTCTCTTTATAGCAATTGTGGATGGGCATTCATTCATGAATGAATTGTTGGTATAAAGGAGTGCTTGTGATTTTTGCACATTGATTTTTGTATCCTGAGACTTTGCTGAAGTTGCTTATCAGCTTATAGCAATTGTGGATGGGCATTCATTCATGAATGAATTGTTGGTATAAAGGAATGCTTGTGGTTTTTGCACATTGATTTTGTATCCTGAGACTTTGCTGAAGTTGCTTATCAGCTTAAGGAGTTTTGGGGCTGAGGCAATGGGGTTTTCTAAATATACAACAATGTCATCTGCAAACAGAGACAATTTGACTTCCTCTTTTGCTATTTCAATACACTTTATTTCTTTCTCTTGCCTGATTGCCCTGGCCAGAACTTCCAATAATATGTTGACTAGGAGTGGTAAGAGAGGGCATCCTTGTCTTGTGCCAGTTTTCAAGGGGAATGCTTCCAGCTTTTCCGCATTCAATATGATATTGGCTACGTGTTTGTCATGAATAGCCCTTATTACTTTGAGATATGATCCATCAATACCTAGCTTATTGAGAGTTTTTAACATGAAGAGATGTTGAATTCTATTGAAGGCCTTTTCTGCATCTATTGAGATAATCATGTGTTTTTTTGTCATTGGTTTTGTTTATGTGATGGATTACATTTATTGATTTGCATATGTTGAACCAACCTTGCATCCCAGGGATAAAGCCGACTTGATCATGGTGGATAAGCTTTTTGGTGTGCTGCTGGATTCGGTTTGCCAGTATTTTATTTTTTGCATCGATGTTCATCAGGGATATTGGCCTGAAGTTTTCTTTTCTTGTTGTGTGTCTGCCAGGTTTTGGTATCAGGATGACGCTGGCCTCATAAAATGAGTAAGGGTGGAGTCCTTTGTTTTCAACTGTTTAGAGTAGTTTCAGAAGGAAGGGTACCAGCTCCTCTTTGTACCTCCAGTAGAATTCAGCTGTGAATCCATCTGGTCCTGGGTTTTTTTTTGCTTGATAGGCTATTAATTACTGCCTCAATTTGAGAACTTGTTATCGACCTATTCAGGGATTCAACTTCTTCCTAGTTTAGTCTTCGGAGGCTGTATGTGTTCAAGAATTTATTCATTTCTTTCAGATTTTCTAGTTTAATTGTGTAGAGGTGTGTATAGTATTCTCTGGTGGTAGTTTGTGTTTCTGTGGGGTCAGTGGTGATATCCCCTTTATCATTTTTTATTGTGGCTGTTTGCGTCTTCTCTCTTTTCTTCTTCATTAGTCTAGCTAGAAGTCTATGTATTTGCAGGGCTTAAAACCTAGATGATAGGTGCAGCAAACCACCATGGCACATGTATACCTATGTAACAAACCTGCACATTTTGCACATGTATCCCTGAATTTAGAGTAAAATAAAAATTAAAATTAAAAAGGGGGTTACCCATACACTCATCAACAATGTATATTATCTTTTTTAAAAAATATGTCTCTGCAAAGAGACACTTTCTCAAAAAAGCGTATCTGAGGTTTTTCTATTTTTTCAATTTTTTTTGTTTGCTCATCTTGGTCCCCTGCCTAAGACAGTCTCCCCTTTACCTCGCTAATTTGTACTCAACTTTCAAGTCCCCAGTAAAACATCACTTCCTGCTGGAAGATTTCCCTGATCCCTTTTTCTGGGTTAGGTGGCCCTCTTATTCACTTTCATGCCACCCTGTACTTCCTCTACCATACCAACTGTGATCACAGCTTGTTTAATTGTATATCTGTCATCACTAGATCTTAATCTATGTGAGGACAGGGGCTGTGTCTCTCTTGCTCCCTCTTTTATGCACAGCATTAGCGTAGTGCCTGACAATACATATTCATTAAATATTTATTGAACCAATGAATAAAAAAGAATCAATCAGAAATGGGATGTTCTGCTGTTTGAAAGTTTACAGCAATAATATGAGTACTCTGTTTCCAGTACCATGCAGGAAAAAATGGCCTCCTACCTATGAATATAAATATCAGGTCAGAATGGAGGACCACTCCTATATCAGAAAGATGAATTCACGAGATTGTCATAGCTTTATGACACTGGCCATTAAGATTATCTAAATAACATTCATGTTGCTGACTATACTCTCTAAGTCACTTTTTAGTTATTTAGCTTTTAGGTATAAACTATAGACTTCCCAGATTGAGAATATGCATGTGTCATTAAAGCTTAAATTCCCTTGTCTTTAAAACAATTATATTTTTACTGAAAATTAATAAAATGACATCTGACTTGTGCATCCATCACTCATGAATTTTATTATGAGTACATTCCCAAGATCTCTATGATAACCTCTTCTGCAAGGGGGCAATCACACTCATGTGTTACCAAACACCATTCCCTCTGGAGACTCTCTGATTGTTGGCTTCCTCAAACTACAACAGGCATGACTTTTAAATCGTTGTGGTTTTTATACCAAAGTTCTATTTCATTTGACTTTTTAAGTTTTCAAATACCTTCTGAAACTCTTCAGGAAGTCACTAACAAACCTCTGTGCTCCAACACATCAATAATCTCCTTCTCTGTAGCCCCTCCCTTAACCTGTCCCTCCAACACACCACTCAGCTTTTAAACTTCCTCCATAGTCGAGGATATCAGGTCTCACCCTCAAATGCTCAGGTAGCCCAAACCCAGGTCACTTACCTTGGACTTGTTCTAACCCCTAATTCTTGGGCCATCCCAACCCAAAGAAAGAAGTTAATTTGGGACATGTCCCTTCCCTACACCAAAAAAAAGGACCTCCTCTCCTTCTCGGGCCTTGTGGGATACTTCCAGCTGTAGATTCCCAAATTCAGCTTGCTGGCCAAGCCACTCTACATGGCTTCACATGGGCCCATTCTAGAAACCCTAAACCCAGCTTGCCCCATCAACTCACACTTTAAAAAACTAAAAAATGCCCTTATAACGGCCCTGGCACTGGAACTTCCCAACCCCACCAAGCCCTTTACTCTGTATGTATATTTTGACTAAGGCCTTGCTCTTGGACTACTCTGCCAAACGTACAGCAACGCCCCACAGGCCATTGCATACCTCTCAAAACAACTGGACTCTGTCATTCAAGGCTGGCCATCCTGCTTAAAAACCGTGGGTGTGGCCACATTGCTGACCTCAGAGGCACAGAAACTCACTCTCTACCAATGCATTACTGTATTCATCTTCCCATAGCCTACAGAACCTCACAAGCCATCAATCTCTTCTAATTGTCCCACCATCCAACTTACAGCAGGTACCCACCTTATTCATGGGAAACCATCTAATCACCTTCCAGAGAGGTAAAGCTCTCAACCCAGCCACCCTCCTTCCTGTAAGCACTTCCAACTCTAAGCTCTCTCACTCCTGCCTGGACCTTTTAGACTCCCTCTCCCCTACCACCTTCCAACACATTTCAAAAACCCCTTTTTGGGGAAGACCTACATGGTTCATTAATGGAACCTTTTTTAGGGAGCCATGTTCAGCCATCATTGCTGATATAAACTCCTAAAATCCAATGCTCTCCCACCCCATACTACCTCTCAACAGGCAGAACTCCCTCTCAACAAGTGGAGCTAGCTATCCTAACCAGGGTCCTCACCCTAGCAAAGGAAAAGTGACATTTACACCAATTCCAAATATGCATACCACATCCTATACTCTTATGCCTTAATCTGTCAGGAAAGGGGTTCTCTAAATACAAAAGGAACCCCCATAGGAAATGGCAAACTCATACACAAACTGCTGGAGGTGGCTAAACTACCATTACAGTCCATCATTATTCGTTGCAAGGAACACCAAAATGCCATAACCAAGGGGAACTCTCTGGCAAATTTGGCAGCCCAGTAGGCAGCCCTTAAAACCCCATCATTATTGCCCACTTTTCCCAACATACACCGTATATATACCCAGGAGGAACAAACCTCACTTGCCCAGGCTGATGCTACTCAGGAAAAAGTGGTTCTACCTCAACGATAAAATTGCCTTGCCCAAGTTTTAAAAACTTTCTGTACTTTTATATGTTCACAGTCATTTCCATTCCACCCCTACTCCAGCTCTTAAAAACTTACGTACAATCTCCCACCATGGCTTCCAATCTCAAAGATATTACTAAGGCATATTCCCTTTACACTCAAACTTCCCCTCAAGAAGCTATCAAATCACCTCCTTTCCCCACACACCAGGCCCAAGGACACCTGCCAGGGCAGGACTGGCAAATCAACTTCACACACATGCCCCCCGTAAAACTAGTCTGATACCTTCTGACAAATAGTAGATGCATTCTCTGGGTGGATAGAAGCTTTTCCTGCCACCACTGAAAAGGCGCACACTGTCGCTTCTATTATCCTCACCCATATTATCCCTGGTTCAAACTCCCCTCTTCCATCCAGTCAAACAACAGGCCAACATTTGTTTCACAGGTTAACCAACAGCTGGCAAAGGCTCTAAACATTAAATACCCTTCCATATTCCTTATCGCTCCCCTGCCCCCAATCTTCAGGTAAAGTTAAATGGACCAACGTCCTTTTAAAACACTAACTAACCAGACTCTTTCTAGAGGTTAAAATGGCCTGGACTTCACTTCTCCCATTTGCCCTCATGCGTTTGCCAGCCATTCCCCCAAAATCCCCTCAGCCTGAGCCCATTTAAACTCTTGTACAAACACTTCTTTATCCTCCAGCATCTGCCTGTATCTTCTTCCCCTTTTATGCAAGATACTTGGCTGGCATTACACCTTACTCAACATCTAGTAAGACAGTACGCAAACACTTACTTGCCCCATCCGGAAAGTCCATCCTCCAGACACTTCTCCCTGTCCCTACAACCAGGGGACTGGGTCTGGATCACAGACTCCTCCTCCTCCCCTCTCCAACCTAAGTGGATGAGTCCGCACCAGGTTATCCTAGCCACTCCCACAAAGGCAAAGATTATATCCTATCCCCACTCGATACACCATTCCAAACTAAAAAGAGCCCCAGATCCACATCCAGAAATGTCCTCCTCCCAAATTTTTCTCCCTCCCTCACAGGACCAACCTCACTTCACTTAACAAAAATTCCAGAAGTTGCCAATCCAGGAGGCCATGGTCCATAACACTGTCTGCTTCCAATTTCAAATCTTTTATCTCATACCTTGTTTCAGATCTCTCCTGGTATTCCCTCCCCAAGTCCCTGGATAATCCACTCCAATTTCTCACATTAATCCAAGAGCTATGGCTGAAGAACTTTCCAAAATTTCACTCCTACTCAAATCTCCTTGTTCTCATTTTGTCTTCTTTGTCTGTGGGATACTCTAAGTCCCCACCCCTAACCTCTGGCAGTTGAGCCCCCTTTGTCAACCTCAAACATCACCTCTTAAATCAGTCACACTCCCGTCTTTCTTCCAACTGTTAAATTTGTTGTCCACACAAATCCAGCAGTTTACAGCCCTTCCTGTTAACTTAACTGCATAAGCCCAGTCCAAAATAAACCTGCATCTCACGTACTCGGCCAAATCATTCCCAAAACCTGTTTATAATCTTGCTTGGCTAAACGCCTTTCCCGCAATCTATCAAATCCATCCACATCATCACACAGGGCTGTCACCCTCTTTCGCCTCATGGCCTCTAAGCTGGATTCTATAAAACACCCCTTACTAACCCCTCCCCTCTCTGCTGGTACCCCTCTCCATGTAGTCAACCCAAGGGCGCTCCCTGGAGAAACTGCACAAACAATTCCCTCAACTGCAACCTATATCCTTCTGCCCCATCAGGATCTCAATGGCTTAGTTACAAAAACCCATTTATCTCTCTCTCTCCAAAACCAAACAGCCTTCATCTCCTCTCCCACCAACATTCCCTATCAGGCCCTTACAGGCTACCCTTGCTGGCAGCTATTCAACTTGGAAAAACAAAAAAGGATGGGACAAAAAGTTTATTCAGGATTCAACCCCCACCTTGTCATGGCTTTCCACCATAACCTACAACTTTTGTCTGTCCACCCGCAGTGTCTTCTTCCTTTGCAGTGCAAACTCTTAACTCTGCCTACCAGCCAATTGGTCAGGAACATGCACCCTGGTGTTTCAATCTCCAAACATTAACATTTTGCCTAACAACCAAACTACTCAGGTTCCTTTAGTAATCCCTACTTCTTCCTCTTCCACACACACCAAGCAGGCTGTACACTTCATTCCCGTTAGCAGAACTAAACATCTCTGCTCTGCTGCACTTAGCACCAGTATAGGAGGTTGCCCCTTTCTTAGGGCCCCTAATTTTCTTCCTCAAAATACTAACAACTGGCCCATGTGTATTCACCTTCATATCCCGCTTTACCTCCCAAAGGCTAAACTCCCTTATCCAGACAACACCCAGAAACACATTAATACCATCCTCCTCCTCCACCAAGTTCGGTATCAACGCGTCAAGGAAAACAACTCTGAAGTCAAACACCCACTACTTCAAAACCCAAACTCTGAGTACAGTGCCCCTACTAAGCAGGAAGCAGCCAGATGATCCACAATGCCCCTCTTCCTTTTATATTAAAGTAAAAGGCAAGAATGTTAGTCCAAACTGCACTACGTTGTATGCTCCCTGCTATTTTGCAGACCTTGGTCAAAGTGAAACATTTTACAGGGGTTTGGGCCGTGAGAAACATCCTTCCTAACCACATGACCACAAGGCAGACAAAGGCCCAACTAAAAAAACATCCCTATCATATCTTGCTGGACAAAGGTCCATGGAAGATCACGATGACATCCCGCTGGAACAAGGGCCAGAACTGCCTCATCATGGGCACATCTTATCAATATCCTGCCAGGCAGCAAGCCATACTGCCCAGACCCCTCCCACCCATACCTATGAATTGCCACAGCCTGTAGGCAGTAGTGGGCTCTGGCATTAGGCTGGTCCCCCTTTTCTGTAGGTTTTATGCTGGACATAAAGCCTGCATTTGCTGTTGAGCTGCCCTCTTTCTGTGTGTGTGTCTTTAATCCTCACCTTCCCTTCAAAACCTAACAACTAACAAACCTCTGTGCTTTTTCTGATTTAGCCAGAATCTATTTTTGATTGTAATTGAATTTGATCTAAACTTGGGGAGGTATTTTAATGTTCCTACTCCTGATCAGGCTGCCATAGTCCCTCTTTCACAAGGAGTTTGTAATGTGATTCTATCCTTTATCAAAACTCCTTTTTTTAATGTAAATTTGCTACTCATGTGTAAGAGGTTATTGCTTTTAACATGCCACTAATTTATTTGAAGTAGTTAGGTTTATTGTATGTGCTGATTTTTAGAAAAGATCAGAAGATATGTTTAGTGGATGAGAGTTCGGTATGTGTGAAACAGAATTTCTTGAGAATGTACATTCTAGGCCATGAAAGTTATAATCAGTCACTGTGATTATAACTGTGGAATGAAAGGCAGTCTGACCTGGAAATAAGGGGAGAGTCTAGAGGAGTAGGCAATATACATAGGAAACATACCAGAATCAGTCCCATTACTAACTTGCTAAGAGACTTTGTACTGGTCACCTAACCTCTCTGAACCTCAGTTTCCTCATCTACAAACCAAGGGAAGTGAACGAAAAGAAAGAAAAATTCCCTTCCAGCCTGGAAGTTCTGTGATTCCATGACACAATTTGTCTATCTTTTCAATACTCAATCTCAACTAGTGAAATTTATTTTGGAAATGCCCCTACAAACTACTTAGGATCCCTTCCATTAGACATCAATCTGTGATGTACATTTTTTTGGTCCAGATTCTTTTCCCTGTTCTCTGTGCTTAGCAATATAAGGAAACCCTCACTAGACTTGACTTCAGTTGGTCCATGTTAGCTCTCCCTCCCATCTCCAGCTTTCCTCTTCCCATTCCTTGCCTAGCCTGAACAGCTCTCATTCTTGTGCTTTCTGGGCCAACTCTCTACTTCTATCTAAACCAATCTTTAGACCCAGAAGGAGGTCCAAGGCAGCACTCAGAATCTCCTTACGAAATATTATTCTTACATGTTCACAAAAGCTCTTCCTTTTTATTCTAACCTGAAGGAAGGACCTTACTTGAAGAAAGAGGGAAAGAAAACTTAGATTTGTTAAATACCTGCTGCTCATCACATTTATATATAGTACTCATTACAGCTTTTTCTTGACATATATCCTATTTCGCCTTTTTTTTTTGAAGTTGAAAAAACTGATCTTCACGGATATTAAATAAATTGCTGAAATCAAGAGGTATTATCAGGAGAGCTGGGATTCCAACTCCTAGACTGCATAACTTGAGAATTTGTCCTTTTTCTACCAGATCATAGAGTCTCCTATGTTCCGCGAAGCCTCAGAGTTCTGGAGTCTTATTTCAGGGCCCTCCAAGGAAACAGAATAAGAGTTAAGGTCCAGCTCTGTCTTTATTTAGAGGTAATCCAGAACGGGTCCAGTGGTATTTGTTTTATAATTCTTACTAGTATTTGATCTGAGGAAAAAAGATCCCACTGATTTAAAAATGTTAGTACAGCACTTCCTAAAGAAACAACACCTTAATCTAGAGCATCATCTTTTTCTACTCATACACAATTATTTTCATAGACAGTTGAGGTAATAGTCTCAGATGGAATAACCAAATCTCATCATTTATGTGTACTTAGCTACAATCTGAGAGGTAATGAAACCATAGTAGATAGTCAACAAATCTTACTCTGTGCCATTCCTTCTAGAGCTATCTAAACTTAACTATATCAAAGATGTCCTCAGGGTGGTATATTAGGATCCAAAGACACTTATGGTTTGTGAAAATTCTACAGCTGCTGTAGATGTACAATTTTAATTTTATGTTAAATATGCTTAGAGCTACATCGAGTCACATAACCATTTTTTTAAAAAAATTTTTCCTGTACCTGAATCTGCCCTCTTCTTTTCTTTGAGCCAATGAGTCATAATGTGTGAAAATAAAGATCTTCACTGAGGAAGAATGGATGTGCTGCAGGCTGCATGTGTGAAGAATGGTAGATAACGAAACATGCTCCTGGCCAGTGTTCTTTGAAGTAGAATGTCTGGCAATTTTGCATTTGGAGGAGGGATAATAACATCTGAAGTAAGCTACAGGGCTTAGAAGTGTCTAGCATCAGAACGGTCAATATGTGAATAGGTAAGGAGGAAGCCAGAAGAAACAGCAGCTTCTTCTGGGGAAACAGATAAGGAGCAAAAACTATCAGACAGCCTCAGACTTGGGAAATGGTCTCCAGGTGTTTGTTGGGCTGGAACTCTGGAGTACTGAGTTTTACTATTTCTGACCCTTTTATAATTGTGTTCTTCATCAAAGAAGCCACACTGGAAATGGAGAGCTAGATTGAGTGATTTGTCTGCTGACTGAAAGTTACTTACAATTTGTCCAGCAATGGCATAGGGACAGAGATGAAGGCCTCCCATTTCCTCCATGGGACTGCTTCACAAAGCTGGAAGATGGCCAGTAGTCACCATTTTGATCCACGCAATCACTACAAAGGCAGTGCACCACTGAAGGGACATCCCAAGATTCTTAACTGAGGCGTTTTCTTACCCCATGAATATTTACTGCCAGGACCAGTGCCTCTACAGGGGCGTAACAGGATATCTCAGACATGGAATGAAATCAAATAAGATTGTATTCATAGACATCCTCAGCATTGCAAGTGATGCATAAGAGGTATTCACAACAAATTGGTAACTTTCATCTCTGAATTCATTTCAGTTTTCTTCTCTGCAAAGTTGAGATGCCTAGGAGACTGTTACATGGAGATATCAGTATTCAGTGGGATCGTATTGAAGATACGGCTCAAGTTCAAAACTGAGAAGCAGGCTTATACAAGTGGGAAGGGGTGGAAGTGGAAGATAGCCAATGGTAACTGTACACTTAGAGGTCATATGTCTTTTCCCAAGGGCTGAGAATCACCCTGCAAGCCTTTAGCCTTCTCACTTACATTTCAGTTACCAGTTGGCCAGTGACCTGACTATGGACCATGTTTATTGTATACATTTTACGATAAAATAGGCAGCTAAAAACTTAAGTCACTGGGCCCAGTGTTAGGAAAAGGACATTTCTTTGAGGACTTATTTCCCTTATAAGTGCCTATGTGCTTTCCCACACATCCCTGACCTGAAATCTAAGCTTTAGTAATTGCCTCATTATCTTCCATTCTCCATCAACAGAAGTGCTAGTGGCTCAGGACATGGCCTCTTCTCTTCCCTTTTGCTTATAAAGAAGAAAAAAGAAACACATTTTAGACTTCAATTATGAGTTCTCTCGCTTGACCCTGCTGGCTTTGAAACCATGAAATGATCTCTCTCTCTCTATGTTTCATAGTTTTCCTTTTAGAAAGAGCAAGTGAGATTCGACTGGAAAGAACATTATGAAAAAAAAAAAAAAATTGGAATGAAAACTGAAACGGCTTCAAACACCAGATGCCAAAAGAACAAAACTGGTTAATGATCTAATTTTTAAATATATTGTATGCTTTCTAGCGAAGAAAACGGAAGTAGGAAAACAGGCAACATAAATATGTCATGATGCCCACCAGCTTAAAAAAACATTGCATTCTAATGGGGCTGGGACTGGAGGGAATAAGGAAAAAAATACAAGTAATGTTATTTGAATGCCTACTATGTGCCAGGTACCTCGACATATATTTTAAGTGTTACTTCATTATCTGTAACCTCCTCATATAACCTCCCATAACATTCGAGGTTTGAGGAATTGAAGTCTGTTTCAGTTTGAGCATTGGGACCTATTAGCTGCCCATAATAAAAGCTGTTTTACTATTCCTTTAAAAATAAAAATGGAAATTCTGTTCAAGAGGATGTGTCAAGAGTCCCCATGTTTAGACATTCACTAAAAGGATTCATGGGACTCAGAAATAGTTTTACTCATGGCTAAGATTTATTACAGCAAAGTACTAAGGATAAACAGCCAGATCAGAAGGGGACATATGCATTCAGAGCAATCCATAAGCAGGTTTGCTTAGGCTCTTCCCTCCCATGAGGGGTCATACAGAGTACACTTTCCCCTGCAATGAAAATGCAATATGCATATTGTGTGTCTGCTCAAGCAAGCCTATAGAGACTCAGTGCCCAAGATTTTTATTGGGGGCTGTCACATGGGCACTCTGCCTGATACATACCAAAATTCCAGTCTCCCAAAAGGAACACAGGTATTTAGCATAATCGTATTGCTAGTATAGTCTAGGCACAGTCAACCAACCTTATCAGTTAACTGTTGATGTGCACTGCTCTGACAGCCAAGTTCCCAGATGCCAGCCAAAAATCACCTTGAAAGCAGGACTCTAAAGATAGCTATCGCAAGAGTGCTATATCAACTCTTCTCTGAACAGATGGTGTAGTAAGTTAATGCTTTCATGTATATTCCTGCCCACTACCACCATCCTTTTCCAAACACATGGCAATAATAGATAAAAATATGAAAAGGTAAAGTAAAAAAGATAGCTGGGCTTGAAAAATAATCTTTATGGACCAGAAACAACATTGTAAAGATACAGCAATGTAGAGCTATAAGTGAGACTGAAGCACAGTATGTAACTACAATGAACCATGAAGAATGCAACAGTATTGGAATAGACTAAAGTCACAAATTTATTTATGGAATATTAGACCTACATTGGAAATTTGTCCATTTGCAAGTGGCCTTGCAAATGGAAAAGTTGGTATTATTCAAGTAGAAAGGACTCTTTAGAGTAGTTCACACCCATTATGACTATTTACTCAGATTGAACCTAAGCAGAATTAAACTACAATTTTGAAACTTAACCAAATGACAGATCTGCTTGATCTCAGAATGCTTGATTTCACAATCATTTGTTTAGTCCTCAAATGACATCAAATGTCCCACAAGTAGCTTTAAATGCAGCCCTGTCCAATAGAATGTTCTAAGATAATGAAAATGTTCTTGCTGTCCAATATAGTAGCTACTAACCACATGTGACTATTGAACATTTGAAACGTGGTTAGTATGACTGAGAAATTGAATTTTTATTTTATTTTAATAGTTATATGTAGATAGTGAGTTCTATATTGGAAACAGATTTTCTAATGGGTTCACTGCCTTGTTTACTCCTTTCAAAGGAGCTTCTTTCCAAATGTTTTTGACAGAGCTGTTGATTTTGAGAGATTGAGAGAGAGAGAGAGAGAGAGAGAGCATGTCTTGGGCAGAGACAGCAACACCATTTACAAATGTATATACCCAATTATCAGAAAGAGAAATCTCAGCAGTGTTTTTGATCATCCTAACTTAGCTCACCCATCATCTCTTCACATTTGTAACTTGAATCATTGAAAAAATCTAAATCACATCTCATCCATTTAAGTGGAGGGGCCAAGTGAAATTTGTTGAGTATCTAACTTCTTGATAATCTCACTAAGTTAGCTTTTTCCTTAAAAAAGAAGAAAAAGGAGGAGGAGGTAGTGCTGGTGGCAATATCTAGCAGAATCTGTATTATGTATGAAGAATGGCTCAAGTTATAGTTTACTTACTGGATTTCACTTTAAAAAAAAAGCATGGACTATTTTCCATTTTTGCCTATGAATTTATATTGTTGTGAAACTAAAGACTCATCAGGACACCACCTGAATTCTAAAAATGGTATTGACATGCTGAAACATTAGGCTAGGTCATGATGAGTAAGCTTCAGGCAGTGATACTCATTTGCTCATTAACTTCATGATATGTACTGAATGTCTCCATCATGCAAGTCACTGTGCTAAGTCCAATGGATGGTATAAAGGTAAATCCCTGACCTCAAATAATTCTGATCAAGAACCAGCACTGGGAGTAAGCCAACCTTTAAAGACATGTTAATACAGCATACTCCTGACCGGATTTTGTAAGTCTAAAATTATTTTTAAAATTAATAGTTTGTTAAAAATAGGTATTGAAGGATAAGCGGGGTTGTCTAAAGCCCCTGACAGTTCTCTCTAGGTTGACTGGCAATCAGTTAGCTGAGACTAGGGGCTGCCCTCCCCACAGAAGGAAGGTTTATACCTGACTTCAATGTCTCCCAAAGACTCTAGTAATTCCTATAAGCAGCTGGCACTCAAGCCCAGACTATTTGGCAGTCTATCTCAAAATATTTGTCTCCAGTGGCAAGGCTACTCTAACAGTTGCACTATAAAAATGTACAGCAAAGGGGTGGAAACACCCTTCTAGATACAATCCTGTCCCCAGGATGTGTCCAGCTGTGATCAGGAACACTAGTTTGAGAGGCCAGGAGACCTGTGCATCTTCTGACCCTTCTTTTTGTGAATTCCAGTCTGTGCTATATTCATACAAGCCGTTTCAAAAAATAATACTATGGAAATGCCTTCATACTTTATTTTTTAATTTTCCATTTTGGATATCTCCATGTTTTTTTACGAACAGATAAAAGTTTGAATAGTCTACCTTTTGAAAGTTGAAAATCAAAGGAAGTGGGGAGGAAGGGGGTGGACAAGGAACTGAATAGAACATAGATTTGAATATGTAAAGATAAATCTAAAAGTATAGATCAGTTAGTATTTCAATTCCAAAACCAGTTTTTAAATTGTCATTCTAACTTTAATGTATGTGGAATTTGCGCAAACAAGTGAGTATAAATATTTAGACATGCTTATTTAAAAAGCATTTACTTATACAAATAAATTTCAACAACATCCTCAATAATTTTAAATGTCTAGATGTATTTTTATAAGCCAATATTATACTTATAGATTTAAAGGATCCATTAATTTGTGTGCAGAAACTTAGGGGTTAGGGTAAAATCACTTTAAATACAGAAAAGTTCAAATTCTGGAAAATGTCTGTAGAAAGCTGTCACTTTCCAGATATTAGTCTGTGTACTTAATGAGGAACATAGCTTGCCTTCGCAATTTTAAAGGCAACCTGAGGTTTTTACACATTGGTATAGACAAGCCTATGCGAGACCTTCTCACGTCGAGAACAGGTTTTTAAATAATGTGTGAAAATTCTGATGTTGTAATATAGTTAGTACTCTCACATGACAAATAAGAGAAGAAAAATCAATTCCCACCCTAAGAATGAAAGAGTAGTCCTGCAGGGGCAATATACCAACTGAATGAACAATTTCAAATTTGGGCAATAGACTTTTTGGAAGAACAAATTTATATCCTTTGTGAAAATGCAGGGCTCAGAGTTTCTTTAAATAGTTTCACAGGCAAAAATCAGTAAATTTCTTTGGAGACGGGAAGAAGAAATAGGAAAAGCAGTCAAAGGCAAAGCTGTGCCTGAATCTTTTATATTCCCCCTTCCCTAAGGCTTCCCAGAGCCCATATGACAATTATTTTCCTCCTCCATCCTCTCCAAATCAGAAAGCCTTCTTCATTTTCTTGGTAATCAGACAACAAAAAGGTATTTTTCAGCTTGCCCCTGGATATTTTTCAAAAGGAAGTAGAGATTCTCCCCCAGCATTGAAGGAAAACTCCACTGTGGCCTATATTATTCTCTGATTATAAGTAAAACTACTTGACGAAATATAAAAAACAACTACCTGAAGACTCTAAAAAGTAAAAAAAAAAAAAAAAAATGTTTGATATTTTGAAGTTATGTGAGTTTTGTTGTCATGCTGTTATACTAGGTCTTAGTCCTGTGAATTCTGGCTGCATTGAGATCTTTGAGATCTACCGAAGCTTGTTGCCAGAACTATGAGCGAGCTGACAGCACTGTTTGGTCTCAGTGACAGTAAATAGTACCCTCACACTGTGCAGCCCAGAGGGCTTGGTCAGGTGTGACATCCACCCACACTGTGCCCTAGAATGTAGTATGTGGAATATTTCCCTTCATTTGTACCTGCACATTTCTCACTTTCATTTCATAGCCTACGATATGCTGCTTTTTAAAACAAAGAGATATTTGCAAATTGTATTTTCAACACAGCCTTTCTTAAATCAAATTTTAAAGATTTTTTTTTATTTAGGATGTAACATTCTTATGACTTCTGATCAATAAATTTTCTAAAATCCTTTCAAAAAATGAGTATGTTTATCAGGATGGAATTTATATCTATATGACATGTGAACCATTCACTAGCTTACACAGTCAAACTTCCTATGGAAGGATAACATATGTATATTAACACCTTAAATTTCTAGAAAAAAATTGGTTTTTTTTTTGAAATTTTATTGCATGAGGCTTTAAGATTATGTGAAATAGGCTTTGTTGAATCCAGTCATCTCTTTCAAAATATACATATCCTTCCCCCATCTCTATTCACGTAGAAATTTTCCCTCATACTCTGTCTTCTTTAGGGGACATCGTCATCACCCTTCCTTATACTCCATTCTGCTGTTTATTACTGGAGCACCCTGAAGTTGTCCTTTTGTAAAACACATATTTGTTACAATTACATGTAAATGTCTATATTCCCATTTTACACTAAATTCTATAAGGACATTGAATATGTTTGTTTTGTTTACACTTATTTTTTTAATCTAGCAGTGTCTGGTATATAGGAGGAAATCAATAAATGTGCTTCAATGGATGAAAAACTAAATGTGCTATTGCCGCCAAGGAAAAGTGCCTCCAAATTACATGTATTATGAAGTAAAAACATCCAATAAGATGAAGATATTGTTCACATCCCTTGAGGTAATAGCAATAGTTTTCCCAAGAAGATATATTTTTTGAAAAGTATTTTCAACAAAAATGAATGTAATCATCTTCGTTTTTATTAATGAATACATAATATTACATCACCATTTTTTGAGCTATTTGGATTAAAAAATATTTTATGGCCATACCGCCCAGAGTAATTTATAGATTCAATGCTATCCCCATCAAGTTATCATTGACTTTCTTCAAAGGATTAGAAAAAAGTACTTTAAATTTAATATGGAACCAAAACAAAGCCCATATAGCCAAGACAATCCTAAGAAAAAGAACAAAGCTGAAGGCATCTACGCTACGTGACTTCAAAACTATACTACAAGGCAACAGTAACCAAAACATCATGGTACTGGTACGAAAACAGATATATAGACCAATGGAAGAGAAAAGAGACCTCAGAAACAACACCACATATGTATAACCATCTGATCTTCTACAAACCTGACAAAAACAAACAATGGGGAAAAAATTCCCTATTTAATAAATGGTGCTGGGAAAACTGGCTAGCCATATGCAGAAAACTAAAACTGGACCCCTTGTTTACACCTTATACAAAAATTAACTCAAGATGGATTAAAGACTTAAATGTAAAAGCCAAAATCATAAAAAACCCTAGAAGGAAACTTAGGCAATACCATTCAGAACATAGGCATGGGCAAAGTCTTCATGACTAAAACACAAAAAGCAATGGCAACAAAAGCCAAAATTAACAAATGGGATCATATTAAACTGAAGAGCTTCTGTACAGCAAAAGAAACTTATCATCAGAGTGAACAGGCAACCTACAGAATGGGAGAAAAATTTTGCAATCTACCCATCTGACAAAGGTTTAATATCCAGAATCTACAAGGAACTTAAACAAATTTACAAGAAAAAAACCCTATCAAAAAGTGGGCGAAGGATATGAACAGACACTTCTCAAAAGAAGACATTTATGCAGCCAACAAACATAGAAAATAAAAGCTCATCATCACTGATCATTAGAGAAATGCAAATCAAAACCACAATGAGATACCATCTCATGCCAGTCAGAATGGCAATTATTAAAAAGTCAGGAAATAATCAATGCTGACAAGGCTGTGGAGAAATAGGAACACTTTTGTACTGTTAGTGAGAGTGTAAATTAGTTCAACCATTGTGGAAGACAGTATGGAAGTTCCTCAAGGATCCAGAACCAGAAATACCATTTGACCCAGCAATCCCATAACTGGGTATATACCCAAAGAATTATAAATCATTCTACTGTAAAGACACATGCACACATATGTTTATTGCAGCACTATTTACAATAGCAAAGACTTGGAACCAACCCAAATGCGCATCAATGATAGACTGGATAAAGAAAATGTGTCACATATACACCATGGAATACTATGCAGCCATAAACAAGAATGAGATAATATCCTTTGTAAGGACGTGGATAAAGCTGGAAACCATCATTCTCAGCAAACTAACACAGGAACAGAAAACCAAACAGTACATGTTCTCACTTATAAGTGAGAATTTAGTAATAATAACACACAGACACAGGGAGGGGAACAACACACACTGGGGCCTGTGGGGAGATGGAGGTCAAGGGGAGGGAGAGCATTAGGACAAATATCTAATGCATGTGGGGCTTAAAACCTAGATGACGGGTTGATAGGTGCAGCAAACCACCATGGATCAGTAGTTTTTTCTAATTCTGTGAAGAAAGTCAGTGGTAGCTTGATGGAAATAGCATTGAATCTACAAATTACTTTGGGCAGTATGGCCATTTTCACAATATTGGTTCTTCCTATCCATGAGCGTGAAATGTTTTTCCATTTGTTTGTGTCCTCTCTTATTTCCTTGAGCGGTAGTTTCATGTCCCTTGTAAGTTGTATTCCTAGGTATTTTATTCTGTTTGTAGCAATTGTGAAGGGAAGTTCATTCATGATTTGGCTCTCTATTTGTCCATTGTTGGTGTAAAGGAATGCTTGTGATTTTTGCACGTTGATTTTGTATCCTGAGATTTTGCTGAAGTTGCTTATTAGCTTAAGAAGTTTTGGGGCTCAGATGACGGGGTTTCTAAATACAGAATCACATCATCTGCCAACAGAAACAATTTGACTTCCTCTCTTTCTGTTTGAATATGCTTTATTTCTTTCTCTTGACTGATTGCCCTGGCCAGAACTTCCAACAATATGTTGAATAGGAGGGGTGAGAGAGAAGATCCAGCTTTTGCCCATTCAGTATGATATTAGCTATGGGTTTGTCATAAATAGCTCTTATTATTTAGAGATATGTTCAATACCTAGTTTACTGAGTTTTTAACATAAAATATCTATTTGATTCTTTTATATATATATCAATTCTTTGATGAAGTCTTCCATCTTTTTTTAGAGACAAAGTCTGACTCTATCCTAGAGTGCAATGGCATGACCTTGGCTTACTGCAACCTCTGCCTCCCGGGTTCAAGTGATTCTCCTGCCCCAGCCTCCCGAGTAGCTGGGACTATAGGTGTGTGCCACCACACCCAGCTAATTTTTTTGTATTTTTAGTAGAGATGGGGTTTCACCATGTTGGCCAGGATGGTCTCAATCCCTTGACCTCATGATCCACCCACCTTGGTATCCCAAAGTGCTGGGATTATGGCATTAGCCACCGCACCCGGTCCTTCCATCTCTTCATCTATTTTGTTAATCTTTCCCTCTATCTTGGGGGCATATTATAAAGTCCTCCTTCTACTAATTCCAATAGCTAAATCACCTGTTCATCTCTTTTTGTTGTTGTGTGTTGATTTTTATTGTTGTTTTTTAATCTTAGCTTTTAGGCTATAGTCCTGTATCTTGGCATGCTAGGAATATTTTATTAAATGTTAGGTATTATCTTTAAAAAGAGAGAGAGAGCCTACATGAATTACTTTTCTTTCCTCTACTACTGAGTTGAATCAGAACTGGTTGGTAATTCTGATAAGGCTTCATTTTCCTTTTCCTTTAGTTCACCTCTGCTCTTAGGGTGTGAGCTTCCTAGGTTTCAGACTTGAGATCAGTGCATTCACCAGGGCCATTTCACTTGGTAGTTCCTAAACTCTGATCTTTCCACATCAGTGCCTTGAAGCTGCTAACATAACTCGCTTTGTTTTTCAGAGGCTTTCTGCTTGGTTTCATGGCCTCCTGCTTCTTGTAGTTTCAAAATTCATATTAAAACAGAAACGAGCCTTTATCAGGCTCAGTTCTCCACTCCTCCCTTCTCTTTGGGATCTTGGACTCCAAAGTCTCCAATTTTGCCTCTCCAGCCCCACAAGATTTGCCAAAACTCTATTGGTTACTTCAATCCTCAATCCTCAACACAGTCCCTCTGCCTAGGAAAATCATGGGTTCTCAGCCTCTTGCCCTGTACCCCCAATAAGCAAATGTCCCCAGGAAACAAATGTGGCTGCAGAAGGTTAGATCACCTGTCTGCAGTTCCCCTTTCTCCACAATCTTGGCCCTTGTAGACCTGGTTACTTTAACAGCTCTCTAATTTCTTTAAACAGATTTTTAAATTAGCATTTTTAATTATCTTCACTGATAGCAATGATCTGCAATAAGCTACTCCACCAAAACTACCAACAGAAATCTTTCTTGAATTTTTCCCACTGTATCTTTAATTCATTACAAAGACAAAAATATATGTTTAAGACATTTTTAAACAAATAATAAATGATGTATAATGAAAAATAAGATGTAGAAGACTTCTATCAAATAATTATTTTTTATATTGTTTATATGTATTTTTGATTATTAAGTTATATCAAGTTGTTTGTTACATTTATCAAAACTGTCAGCAATTACAGTTGTTACTCAGAAACACAAAGCCACATGTAGTTGTTTTTCCTTCCTATTGCACTAGTCTTTGCAACTGAAAAGTGTGGATTTTCTTAATTTTCTACCTTTTGGAATAATTCCAGGAGACTATTTATATTTGCTTTTTCTTGGCTCCCTTAGATCTCTCTAATTTTGTAATACTTTATTCATTGATTTCATTACGTGAGTAAATTTAGTTTGAATTTGAATGGTTTTCACTGAAATTGCATCAATGTCCTTTTTCAGTTTACAAGTAAAAGAATAATTGATTATTGAAGCAATAAAATAATGAAACACTACATGTACCATTATGAGTTCATAAAAAATAATTAGGTATTTCTTTAGGTGCTTTTACATTAGTAGGTACTTATTTTGAAGCACATGGGATTATTCTGCTTATATGGTTTATGCTGTGCAATAAACATAAGTGCAGTCCATTTAAATTCTTCACTGACAATTTAATGTAGAAATTGAGCTTGAATAGAACTTTATAAATAATAATGTTACTTTCTTTTTAATATTGCCTTTTGAGCAATAATAACTAACTTTTTTGCTTATAATCATTTGCAAATGAATAATAGTTTAAATATTAAGAATTGACATATATTGTTGGCTAATAATTAACTCAAAACTCACATGACGTTCTTCCGAACATAATTAGATTAATATGCTGAACATATTCACACAGAAGCTAATTATTTTTCTTTATTTAACATGCATGAGCTTAAATAGATGGGTAGAAAAAGTCTTTCGTCAAGGAAAGAAAGCAACAGCTCTTAGCCTCATGTAACTTCTTATTTACAGAACCATAAATACCAATATAAATGGACTTTTCCCCTCTGAAGAACTTTCCAACCCCTAAGACCATCCCTATCTCCCCTAACAAACACACATCCACATACACTTTTGGGAGGAGCAGTACCAACTAACAATTTATACTAGACTGGCTAAAACCATGACAAACTTAAGTGTTTTCTTAAACTATTGAAAGAAATCAGAGAAAATTGGTGTATTTTCCAAGTAATATTTCTCCCTAGTTTTTCATTTACCTGAGTCTTTGGGAATATGGACAGAATTTTTTTTTTCAGAAAGGCTGTGGAAAGACTTACATTTTTAAAATGGCTGGTGCTTATACTCAAATGGAATATTAGTTGGGGGACAGTATTATCCTTCATTCAACTAAAGAATTCTCAGGTTACAAGAGACCTTATGAGTCATCTACTCTAATCACCCATCTGAGGCTGAAATGCTCTCCTCAGCTTGTTCAACATGTTACCCAGCTGTCACTTCCAGTGAGTAGAAATGTTTGTCTCCCAAAGCAGTTTAGGACTTCCTTAGACCATAAACTGAAATCTCCTGGAAGCTTTTTACTGGCCCTCACTAAAACCCTTCCAACAATATAAAATGAGACTCTCCCATACGCAGTCTTTTAGTTAATTGAAGACCTCCATGCTATCAGACCTAAGCTTTCTCCTCCCCAACTATTACCCATTTGACAGTTTTAAGTTTTTCTTCAAATAAATATTTAAGTGTCACTGGATTGGAAAGTACTATGTTTGGAGCCGAGGGATAGTCAAATAATTTCTCAACATACTTCTACAAAAAGAACTTTAAGGAAGCCTCTATAGAGGAAAATAAGCCTTGATGAGACTATTAATCAGGGTACTCTGGAGGGACAGAACTAATAGGATATATGTATATATGAAGGGAAGTTTATTAAGGAGTATTGACTCACACGATCACAAGGTGAAGTCCCACAAGAGGCCATCTGCAAGCTGAGGAGCAAGGAAACCACTTTGAGTCCCAAAATCTCAAAAGTGGGGAAGCTGAAAGTGTAGCCTTCGGTTTGTGGCCAAAGGCCCAAGAGCCCCTGGCAAACCACTAGTGTAAGTCCAAGAGTCAAAAAGCTGAAAAACTTTGAGTCTGATGTCTGAGGGCAGGAAGCATCCAGCACAAGAGAAAGATCAAGGCAAGAAGACTCAGCAAGTTGGCTTCTCCCGTCTTCTTCTGCCTACTTTATTCTAGCCATGCTGACAGTTGATTAGATGTTGCCCACCCAGATTGAGGGGTGGGTCTGCCTCTCCCAGCCAGTGACTCAAATGTTAATCTCCTTTGGCAACACCCTCACAGACACACCCAGGAACAATACTTTGCATCCTTCAATCCAATCAAGTTGACGTTTAATATTACCTATCACATTGAGTGACTAGTAATTGTTCATTCATTCATATGTTCAACAACACAGGAGAGTATCTATTATGTGCAAGGCTCTGTGCAAGGTGCTGAGAATTCAGAAATAAGATGAAAAAAGTATTTGTTGGCTGGATAAGTGAAAGAAAAATTGGATTGATAAGACATAGCACATGCCCTCAAAAAACTCACAGTCTAGGAAATGTTAGTTCAAAAATTTCTTAATACCTTTTACACTTATGTATTAGTTCACACTGCTATAAAGATATATCTGAGACTGGGTAATTTACAAAGAAATTTCACAGTTCCACGGGTTGTACAGGTTTCTGCTTCTGGGGAGGCCTCAGGAAACTTACAATCATGGTAGAAGGGCAAAGGGGAAGCAAGCTTCTTTTACATGGCCAGCAGGGAGGAAGAGAGTGAATGTCGAGTTGCTATACACTTTCAAACAATCAGATTTTGTGAGAACTCTCTCACAAGATAGCAATAGGGAAATGGTGATTAACAATTAGAAACTGCCCCCATGATCCAGCCACCTCCCACCAGTCCCCACCTCCAACACTGGGGATAACAATTCAATATGAGATTTGGGTGGGGACACAGAGCCAAATCATATCATTCCACCCCTGGTCCCTCCAAAATCTCAAGTCCTCCTCACATTTCAAAACACAATCATGCCTTCCTAACAGTACCTCAAAGTCTTAACTCATTCTAGGATTAACTTTAAAGTCCACAGTCTAAAGTCTCATCTGAAACAAGGCAAGTCTCTTCTGCCTATGAGCCTGTAAAATCAAAAACAAGTTAGTTACTTCCAAGATACAATGGAAGTACAGGCATTGGATAAGTGCTCCTGTCCCAAAAGGAGCTCCATTGACTGAAACAAAGGGGCTACAGGCCCCATGAAAGTCCAAAACCCTGTCATTAAATCTTAAAGCTCCCAAATAATCTCCTTTGACTCTATGACTCACATTCAGGACACACGGATGCAAGGGGTGGGCTCCCAAGTCCTTGGGCAGCTCTACCCCTATGGCTTTGAGGGGTACAGCCCTTGCAGCTGCTTTCATGAACTGGCGTTGAGTGCCTGCAGCTTTTCCAGGCACATTGTGCAAGCTGTTAATGGATCTACCATTCTGGGATCTAGAGGATGGTGGCCCTCTTCTCACAACTCCACTAGGCACTGCCCCAGTGGGGACTCTGTGTAGGGGCTCCAACCCTGTGTTTCCTTTCCACATTGCCCTCATAAAGGTTCTCCATGAGGGCTCTGCCCCTGCAGCAGACTTCTGCCTGGACATCCAGGTGTTGCCATACATCCTCTAAATTCTAGGTGGAGGCTCCCAAGCCTCAGCTCTTGCCCTCTGCACGCCTGTAGGCTTAACATCACATGGAAGCTGCCAAGGCTTGCAGCTTACACCCTGTGGAGCAGCAGCCTGAGATGTATCTGAATCCCTTCTAGCCACAGCTGGAGCTAGAGCAGCTGGGATGCAGGGCCATGTCCTGAGGCTGCACAGAGCAGCAGAGCCCTGGGCCTGACCCACAAACCATTTTTCCTTCCTAGGCCTCCACGCTTGTGATGGGAATGGTTGCCACAAAGGTCTCTGAAATGCCTTGGAGTAATTTTCCCATTGTCTTGGCTATCACTCTTCAGCTACTGTTTACTTATGCAAGTTTCTGCAATGGGCTTGAATTCCTCCCCAGAAAATAAGTTTTTCTTTTCTATGACATGGTCAGGCTCGAATTTTCCAAACTTCTATACTCTGCTTCCGTTTTAAATATAAGTTCCAATTTCAGGTAATCTCTTTGCATACACATATGAGAGGACACAGCTAAAGGCAGCCAGGTAACACCTTGAATGCTTTTCTGCTTAGAAATGTCTCCCACCAGATACCCTAAATCATTTATCTCTGGCTCAAAGCTCCACACATATCTAGGGTAGAGGCAGAATGCCTCCAGTCTCTTTGCTAAGGCATAGCAAGAGTGACCTTTACCCCAGTTCTCAAAAGTCTCTTATCTCCATCTGAGACCACCTCAACCTGGATTTCATGGTCCATATAACTGTCAGCATTTTGGTTAGAACCATTCAACAAGTCTCTAGAAAGTTCCACACTTTCCCTCATCTTCCTGTCTTCTTCTGAGACCTCCAAACTGTTCCAGCTTCTGCTCTTTACCCATTGCCAAAGTTACTTCCACATTTTTAGGTATCTCTGACAATGCTCCCTTCTCTGGTACCAATTTTCTGTATTAGTTTATTCTCACACTGCTACAAAGACATACCTGAGACTGGCTAATTTATAAAGAAAAGAGGTTTGATTGGCTCATAGTTCTATGGGCTGTACAGGTTTCTGCTTCTGGGGAGGCCTCAGGAAACTTACGATCCTGGTGGAAGGGTGAAGGGGAAGCAAGCTTGTTTTACATGGCCAGCAGGAGGAGGAAGAGAGCAAAGGGAGAGGTGCTACATACTTTGAAACAACCAGATCTTGTGAGAACTCTATCACAAGACAGCAGTAGGAGGATGGTGCTAAGCCATTAGAAACTTCCCCCATGATCCAATCACCTCCCACCAATCCCCACCTGCAACACTGGGGATAACAATTCAACGTGAGATTTGGGTGGAGACACAGAGCCAACCCATATCAACTTAAAAATATTCTAAAATATTCTGAATTATCACTCAAGGGTTTACAAAATTTTACATTGAAATTAGTAAGCATACTTATGTTTTATGACTTAGGAATATTTCCACAGTATGAGTCAGAAAAAGAAATGTTCAGATTAATTTAATCTTCTGGTAACCAGTTTACTGAATTATGCAAATCACTAATGTAGCCTCAGAAAATATTAAATGCTATTTATTGGCACCATATTTGGAATGCAGTACTCAGCACTTCCCAGAAGTTCCATCCCCTGTGAACAGAACCTGTATGTTTGCTTTCTATATTTGGCATCAGTGAGTTTCAGAAAAAAGATCTTCCAACAAATCAATGAGAAAACATTTTGTTTTAAGTTATAACTTCTTAATTTTCTCAATTATATTTCACTAAAGCTGAGAAAAAGTAACAAGAGGAGAAGTCACTTTGAAAAGCAGTCGGGGAGCTCTTCAAATAGTTATATATAGAAATCGCATGACCCAGCAATTCTAGTTTTAGATATATACTCAAGAGATATTAAAATATATGTCCACATAAAAACATATACATGAATGTCTATAGCAGCATTATTCATAATAGACAGACAAAAGTTGAAAACAAACCAAATGCCTATCAACAGATGAATGATTTAAAAACTGTGGTATAGTCATACAATGGAATATTATTTGGCCATAAAAAATAATGAAGCACTGATAGCTATAGCATGCATGAACTTTGAAAACATAATGCTAAGTGAATGAAGCCTGTCACAAAAGACTGCCTATCACATATTATATCACTCCATTTATATGAAATGTCCAGAATAGGCAAATCTACAGAGAAAGGAAGTATAAATTAATGATGTCTTAGGGTTGGTGGTATAGAAGATAGGGTGTGATAGCTAAAGGGTCTGGAGATGTTTGGTGAGGTGATGAAAATGCTTTAAAATGAACTGTGGTGTTGGTTGCACACATCCACAAACATACTAAAATACATTGAATTGTGCAGTTTAAATGAGTGAACTGTGTAGTATATGAATTACATATCAATGGAATTATTACAAAAATGAAAAAAAATCATTGAAAACCAGACATTTTCCATATTGCGATGTGATAACTCAGTCAACAAGATCCTTTATTTTTCCCAGGATTTTTCTTTTTTTTGGAGGGGAGGGTTCTTTGTTTTTGCTATGGGTTGTAATTGTTTGTTTGCTTAGTAATAACTCTGAACGATTTTTAAGACAGTATTTTTTGGTCACGTGTGGTTGTGAATATTCTGTAACTTTTTGTAGCTTTTAAAAAATTTATGTTATTAAAAATGTTTTGGATATATAATAGTTGTGCCTATTATAGCATACATGTGATATTTTGATATGAGCATACTACATGAAATGATCAGTTTGTAGTGACTGGGATACCCTCACATTGGACATTTGTCATTTCTTTGTGTTGAGAGCATTCCAGATTGTCTAAGTATTTTGAAATATACAATATGTTATTATTAGCTAGAGTCTCCTTATTTTGCTACCAAATACTGGATCTTATTCCTTTTATCCAGTTGTATTTTTGTACCCATTAATGAACCCTTTTTTATCTATTCCTTCCAACTACCTTTCCCAGCCTTCATTCAGATTTCAAGATCTAATTTTCTTCTTTAGAGTAGAAAACATATGTTATGTAAATATGTAATAGAAATGACAGCACTTGATTATTTAAAGGCTTTGTTGTCACTAATCTCTCTGATTATGCCAGATTTATATTACTGCTTTTGTTTTAATATCTTGATATACAGGACCACTGTCAGGACATATTCCTTGGCATTTCCCTCTGTAATGGCCCTCATTCACAGACCATTAAACAAATGTGTGTGTTGTGCTAATTTCCAACTATGTCTTCTTTATATATGCATTTCAGATATTAGGAAATACTATAACAGTAGACTTAAGATTCCTCTGTATTCTTTGTGAGATAGAGTAAAGGAAATGATTCATTCATCACTTGACTCCAAAGCCACCACTTTGATTTGTAAACCACAGGGGATTTTTGTATTAGTGTTTGCTCATAGCCAGCTTCCAGTTTTCAAAAAAATTGATCTAGATACTTGCTTTTACTTAATTCACACTTTTCAAGGGAACAGGCCACAGTTCCCTTTGAGCACTAATATTCTGAAAAATGTTTAACCAGCTATTGCTTTAAAATATGTTAAAAAGGTACAATAAAGCAAGAAATAAATGAAGGAATAATAGAGAAAGGAAAGAAAGAATGAATGAAAGATAAAAAGACATGGGGTAGCTGGCAAGATGGCTGAATAGGAACAGCTGTGGTCTGCAGCTCTCAGCAAGATCAACACAGAAAGTGGGTGATTTCTGCATTTCCAACTGAGGTACCTGACTCATCTCACTTGGAATGGTTAGACAGTGGGTGCAGCCCACAGAGGGTGAGCCAAAGCAGGGTGGGGTGTTGCCTCACCTGGGAAGCCCAAGGGGTTGGGGAACTCCCTCCCCTGGCCAAGAGAAGCCGTGAGGGACTGTGCCTTGAGGAACGGTGCACTGTGGCCCAGATACTACTCTTTTCCCATGGTCTTCACAACCCGCAAACCAGGAGATTCCCTCAGGTGCCTACACCACCAGGGGCCTGGGTTTCAAGTACAAAACTTGGCAGCTGTATGAGCAGACAGCGAGCTAGCTGCAGGAGTTTCTTTTCATACCTGACTGGCCCCTGGAATGCCAGTAAGACAGAACCGCTCACTCCCCTGGAAACAGAGCTGAAGCCAGGGAGCCAAGTGGTCTAGCTCAGCAAATTCCACCCCCACGGAGCCCATCAAGCTAAGATCCACTCACTACCAGCACAGCAGTCTGAAGTCATGCTCAAACTTGGTGGGTGGAGTGGCATCCACCATTACTGAGGCTTGAGTAGGTGGTTTTCCCTTCACAGTATAAACAAAGCCTCTAGGAAGTTCAAACTGGGTGGAGCCCACCACAGTTCAGCAAAGCTGCTGTAGCCAGACTGCCTCTCTAGATTCCTCCTTTCTGGGCAGGGCATCTCTGAAAGAAAGGCCGCAGCCCCAGTCAGGGGCTTATAGATAAACTCCCATCTCCCTGGGACAGAGCACCTGGCGAGAGGGGCGCCTGTGGGCACAGGTTCAGCAGACTTAAACATTCCTGCCTGCCGACTTTGAAGAGAGCGGCGGATCTCCCAGCATAGTGCCTAAGCTCTGCTAAGGGATAGACGACCCCCTCAGTTGGGTCCCTGATCCCAATGCCTCCTGACTGGGAGACACCTCCCAGCAGGAGTCGACAGACACCTCATACAGGAGAACTCCAGCTGGCATCTGGCAGGTGCCCATCTGGGATGAAGCTTCCAGAGGAAGGAACAGGCAGCAATCTTTGCTGTTCTGCAGCCTCTGCTAGTGATACCCAGACAAACAGGGTCTGGAGTGAACCTCCAGCAAACTCCAGCAGACCTGCAGCAGAGGGGCTTGTTAGAACGAAAATTAACAAACAGAAAGAAATATCATCAACATCAACAAAAAGGACATCCACACAGAAACCCCACCCAAAGGTCACCAACATAAAAAACCAAAGGTAGATAAATCCACAAAGATGAGGAAAAGCCAGGGCAAAAAGGCTGAAAATTCCAAAAACCAGAACACCTCTTCTCCTTCAAAGGATCACAACTCCTTGCCAGCAAGGAAACAAAACTGGATGGAGAATGAGTTTGATGAATTGACAGAAGTAGGCTTCAGATGGTGGGTAATAACAAGCTCCTCTGAGCTAAAGGAACATGTTCTAACCCAATGCAAGGAAGATAAGAACGTTGAAAAAAGATTAGAGGAATTGCTAACTAGAATAACCAGTTTAGAGAAGAACATAAATGACCTGATGGAGCTGAAAAACACAGCACGAGAACTTCGTGAAGCATACACAAGTATCAATAGCCAAACTGATGAAGTGGAAGAAAGGATATCAGAGATTGAAGATCCAGTTAATGAAATAAAGTGTATAGTGAAGATTAGAGAAAAAAGAATGAAAAGGAATGAATAAAACCTCCAAGAAATATGGGACTATGTGAAAAGACCAAACCTACATTTGATTGGTGTACCTGAAAGTGACAGGGGGAATGGAACCAAGTCAGAAAACACTCTTCAGGATATTATACAGGAGAACTTCCCCAACCTAGCAAGACAGGCCAACATTCAAGTTCAGGTAATACCGAGAATACCGCAAAGATACTCCTCAAGAGCAACCCCAAGACACATAATCGTCAGAATCATCAAGGTTGAAATGAAGGGAAAAATATTAAGGGCAGCCAGAGAGAAAGGTCGGGTTACCCACAAAGGGAAGCCCATCAGACTAACAGCAGATATCCTTGCAGAAACCCTACAAGCCAGAAGACAGTGGGGGCCAATATTCAACAGTCTTAAAGAAAAGAATTTTCAAGCCAGAATTTCATGTCCAGCCAAGCTAAGCATCATAAGTGAAAGAGAAATAAAATCCTTTACAGACAAGCAAATACTGAGGGATTTTGTCACTACCAGGGCTGCCTTACAAGAGATCCTGAAGGAAGCACTAAACATGGAAAGGAAAAACCAGTACCAGCTACTGCAAAAACACACTAAATTGTAAAGACCATCGACACTATGAAGAAACTGCATCAACTAATGGGCAAAATAACCAGCTAGCATCATAATGACAGGCTAAATTCACATATAACAATACTAACCTTAACTGTAAATGGGCTAAATTCCCAAATTAAAAGACACAGACTGGCAAATTGGATAGAGTCAAGACCCATCGCCATACTGTATTCAGGAGACCCATCTCATGTGCAAAGACACACATAGACTCAAAATGATAGAGGAATATTTAACAAGCAAATGGAAAGCAAAGAAAAAAAAATGGAAGTGGTGCCTTCCTTGTCTCTGATAAAACAGACTTTAAACCAACAAAGATCAAAAAAGATAAAGAGAATTCCATAATGGTAAAGGGATCAATGCAACAAAAAGAGCTAGCTATCCTAAATATATAATAACCCAATACAAGAGCACCCAGATTTATAAAGCAAATTCTTAGAGACCTACAAAGAGATGTAGATTCCCACACAGTAATAGTGGGAGACTTTAACACCCCACTGTCAATATTACATCAATGAGACAGAAAATTAACAAGGATATTCAGGACTTCAACTCAGCTCTGGACCAAGCAGACCTAACAGACATCTACAGAACTCTCCACCCAAAATCAATGGGATATACACTCTTCTCAGCACCACATCGCACTTATTCTAAAATTGGCCACATAATTGGAAGTAAAACACTCCTCAGCTAATGCAAAAGAACAGAAATCATAACAGTCTCTCAGACCACAGTGCAATCAAATTAGAACTCAGTATTAAGAAACTCACTCAAAACCGCAAAACTACAGGGAAACTGAACAACCTGATTCTGAATGACTACTGGGTAAATAACAAAATTAAAGCAGAAATCAAGAAGTTCTTTAAAACCAATCAAAACAAAGACACAACATACCATAATCTCTGGGACACAGCTAAAGCAATGTTAAGAGGGAAACATAGCACTAAATGCCCACAGGAGAAAGCAGGAAAGATCTAAAATCAACACCGTAACATCAAAATTAAAAGAACTAGAGAAGCAAGAGCAAATAAATTCAAAAGCTAGCAGAAGGCAAGAAACTTCAGTTCTGCTTCAGCAGAACTGAAGGAGATAGAGACACGAAAAACCCTTCAAAAAAAATCAATGAATCCAGGAGCTGGATTTTTGAAAAGATTAACCAAACAGACCACTAGCCAGATTAATAAAGAGGAAAAGAGAGAAGAATCAAATAGACACCATAAAAAATGATAAAGGGGAGATCACCACTGAGTCCACAGCAATACAAACTACCATCAGAGAATACTATAAACACCTCTACACAAATAAACTAGAAAATCTAGAAAAAAAATGATAAATTCCTAGACGCATACACCCTCCCAAGACTAAACTAGGAAGAAGTTGAATCCCTGAATAGACCAATAAAAAGTTCTGAAATTGAGGCAGTAATATATAGCCTACCAACCAAAAAAAAAGCGCAGGACCAGATGGATTCACATCCGAATTCTACCAGAGGTACAAAGAGGAGCTGGTACCATTCCTTCTAAAACTATTCCAATTAATAGAAAAAGAGGGAATCCTCCCTAACTCATTCTATGAGGCCAGCATCATCCTGATACCAAAACCGGGCAGAGACACAACATAAAAAAGAAAATTTCAGGCAAATATCCCTGATGAACATCGATGCGAAAATCCTCAATAAAATACTGGCAAACCGAATCGAGCAGCACATCAAAAACCTTATCCACCACGATCAAATTGGCTTCATCCCAGGGATGTGAAAGCTTGTTCAACATACACAGATCAATAACGTAATCCATCACATAAACAGAACCAATGCCAAAAACCACATGATTATCTCAATAGATGCAGAAAAGGCCTTCAATAAAATTCAACTCCCTTCTTGATAAAACTCTCATTAAACTAGCTATTGATGGAACGTATCTCAAAATAATAAGAGCTATTTATGACACACCCACAGCCAATATCATACTGAATGGGCAAAAGCTGGAAGCATTCCCTTTGAAAATGGGCACAAGACAAGGATGCCCTCTCTCACCACTCCTATTCAACATAGTATTGGAATTTCTGGCCAGGGCAATCAGGCAAGAGAAAGAAATAAAGTGTATTCAAATAGGAAGAGAGGAAGTCAAATTGTCTCTGTTTGCAGATGACATGATTGTATATTTAGAAAACCCCATCGTCTCAGCCCAAAATTTCCTCAAGCTCATAAGCAACTTCAGCAAAGTCTCAGGATACAAAATCAATGTGCAGAAATTACAAGCATTCCTATACACCAATAACAGACAAACAGAGAGCCAAATCATGAGTGGACTCCTATTCACAATTGCTACAAAGAGAATAAAATACCTAGGAATTCAACTTACAGGGGATGTGAAGGACTTCTTCAAGTAGAACTACAAACCACTGCTCAAGGAAATAAGAAAGGACACAAACACATGGAAAAACATTCCATACTCACCATAAAAAAGGATGAGTTCATGACCTTTGCAGGGACATGGATGAAGGTGGAAACCATCATTCTCGGCAAACTAACACAAGAAAACCAAATACCACATGTTCTCACTCATAAGTGGGAGTTGAACAATGAGAACGCATGGACAAAGGGAAGGGAACATCACACTGGGGACTGTCAGGGGGTGGGGGGCTAGGGGAGGGATAACATTAGGAGAATTACCTAATGTAGATGATGAGTTGATGGGTGCAGCAAACCACGATGGCATGTGTATACCTATGTAACAAAACTGCACATTCTGCACATGTACCCCAGAACTTAAAGTATAATAATTTAAAAAACCTTCTAAAAAAAAATTCCATGCTCATGAATAGGAAGAGTCAATATTGTGGAAATGGCTATACTGCCCAAAGTAATTTATAGATTCATTGCTATCCCCATCAAGCTACCATTGACTTTCTTCACAGAATTAGAAAAAACTACTTTAAATTTTATATGGAACCAAAAAAGAGCACATATAGCCAAGAAAATCCTAAGCAAAAAGATGAAAGCTGGAGTCATCAAACTACCTGACTTCAAACTATACTACAAGGCTACAGTAACCAAAACGGCATGGTACTGATACAAAAACAAGTATATAGACCAATGGAACAGAACAGAGGCCTCAGAAATAATGCCACACATCTACAACCATCTAATTGTCTACAAACCTGACAAAAACAAACAATGGGGAAAGAATTCCCTATTTAATAAATGGTGCTGGGAAAACTGGCTAGCCATATGCAGAAAACTAAAACTGGACCCCTTCCTTACACCTTATATAAAAATTAACTCAAGATGGATTAAACACTTAAACATAAGACCTAAAACCATAAAAAAAACCCTAGAAGAAAACATAGGCAGTACCATTCAGAACATAGGCATAGGCAAAGACGTCATGACTAAAACACCAAAAGCAAGGGCAACAAAAGCCCAAATTGACAAACAGGATCTAATTAAACTAAAGAGCTTCTGCACAGCAAAAGGAACTATTATCAGAGTGAACAGGCAACCTACAGAATGGGAGAAATGTTTTGCAATCTATCCATCTGACAAAAGGCTAATATCCAGAATCTACAAAGAACTTAAACAAATTTACAAGACAACAACAACCCCATCAAAAATGGGCAAAGGATATGAAGAAACACTTCTCAAAAGAAGACATTTATGTGGCCAACAAACGTATGAAAAGAAGCTCATCACTATTCATTAGAGAAATGCAAATCAAAACCACAATGAGATACCATCTCATGCCAGTTAGAATGGTGATCATTAAAAAGTCAGGAAACAATAGATGCTGAAGAGGATGTGGAGAAATAGGAACACTTTTGCACTGTTGGTGAGAGTGTAAATTAGTTCAACCATTGTGGAAGACAGTGTGGCGATTCCTCAAGGATCCAGAACCAGAAATACCATTTGACCCAACAATCCCATAACCGTTTATATACCCAAAGAATTATAAATCATTCTACTATAAAGACACATGCACACATATGTTTATTGCAGCACTGTTCACAACAGCAAAGACTTGGAACCAATTCAAATGCCCATCAATGATAGACTGGATAAAGAAAATGTGGCGCATATACACCATGGAATACTATGCAGCCATAAAAAAGGATGAGTTCATGTCCTTTGCAGGGACATGGACGAAGCTGGAAACTATCATTCTCAGCAAACTAACACAGGAACAGAAAACCAAGCACCGCATGTTTCCTCTCATAAGTGGGAGTTGAACAATGAGAATACATGGACAAATGGAGGGGGACATCATACACCAGGGCCTGTCAGGGGGTGGGGGCTAGGGGAGGGAGAGCATTAGGAGAAATACCTAATGTAGATGACATGTTGATGGGTGCAGCAAACACCACCGTGGCACACGTATACCTATTTAACAAACCTGCACATTCTGCACATGTATCCCAGAGTGTAAAGTAGAATTTTAAAAAAAGAAAGATAATAGGACAAAAAGAGATAAAAAAGTGTTTATTTGTAGCATTCACCAATTTCTTTCATATAAACACTTTCCATGGCCAATATCAGGCTGCCATTGCAACATCACTGAAGAGGAAACAGGGCAAGCATATGCAAACTTGGCCCTCAAGAGACATATGAACGAAATTCATCATATCACTTCCTTTGGGTAAGTGTGTTAGTCTGTTCTCTCTCTGCTAATAAAGACATAGCAGAGACTGAGTAATTTATAAAGGAAAGGGGTTTAATTGACTCACAGTTCCACATGGTTGAGGAGGCCTCACAATCATGGTGTAAGAGCAAGGGACATCTCACATTGCAACAGGCAAGAGAGAGCTTGTGCAGGGGAACTCCCCTTTATAAAATCTTCAGATCTCATGAGACGTATTTACTGTCACGAGAACAGCATGGGAAAGACTGGCCCCATTATTCAATTACCTCCCATGATACTTGGGAATTGTGGGAGCTACAATGCAAGATGAGATTTGGGTGGGGACACAACCAAATCATATCAGTAAGCTTAGGAGGAAAATATAGACCATAAATATGTGGCAGCTTTGCAGTCCACTCTCGAGAGTATCTGCCCTTATCATTTGAGAATATTGGTCAGTGAACAGTCTCAGGCCTGAGAATCAAGTGAGAGATTGTGATTCCACTGTGGCGACATAAGTCAAGCTGCTTTCTACTGGAACCAAGGGATTTTTTTTATTTAAATGCAGATTTAGAGACCTGAAAAAGATGCATATCTTTTTTTTCAGCTTTATTGATGTATAATTAACAAATAAAAACTATACATTTAGGGTGTACAATGTGATGTTTTGATATCTGTATATATTGCAAAATGATTACCGCAAGCTAATATATCCATCAAAATATCAAGTATTCTATACAAGCTTAAAAAATAATATGGATAACAATTAGCTATAATTAGCTAATTAAAGTTAGCTATTCCTTTTATTTAAAAAAAAATGTTTCCTCTCCCTATTTGCAATCCCACCATCCAGATACATTCACTGTTGACAATCTGGTTCTATTCTTTAATTCTTCCTGATCTTATTTTAATGCTTACATAAACACAGTATGACATTTAAATATACCAAGTCATAACATAAATATGCCTAATGAGTTTAAAAAAAACCTTAGTGATGAACTCAAAATCCAAGATTCTTAAGCCTTCATACATCATTCCACTCATCATTCTTGCTCCAACATTTTCTTTTCTGCTAGTATCTTAGAAAGACTTGAAATTAGTATGGATTGTTTTATATTTGGGGAAAATATGTAAGTAGTGAGTACTTTATCTTAGGGTTATTTGGAGTTTTCAAAGTGAAATTTTGTCAACTGTCATGTTGGACTAAATAACTCTGTAAGAAGCAGGGTGTCAAGCAGTTAATATAAAGAATTTAATTTGTTTACTTCTTCTGAGTTTTGCCATTGAGCTTTCTGTGGGAAAGCTCTCCCTAAAAACAAACTTTATTGGTTCTAATTAAGAATGCATCCAGTAGTGTTCTCTCAGGCTTTGGATGCCTGCTGGCTTAATTTTTAAGCTTCTCCATTCTCGATGAAAGTGCTGAATTGAATTTAAAAGTCTATTCTTACAGAATTACCCCTTAGTGTGCACACCACTCACACTTCTACAGAAAAGATTAAAATACTATTTACTACATATGGCAGACATTGTTTTTAAAAGATGAATGGAAAATGAGTCTATAGTTTAACAATAATTTTGAAATGAAAGGTTGTTTCAAACATATGGTTTTTGTTTTCTGGTTTGTTGTTACCCAAAACCAAGATAGAAATTACCAATGAAGCCACAGAATTTAAGAAAATAACTATTATAAGTCAGCAGATTCATATATTTTAATTTCAAAGGCCAAAAAGTTAAAAGATAGAAGTTATCAACGAAGCCACAGAATTTAAGAAAATAACTGTTATAAGTCAGCAGATTCAGATATTTTAATTTCAAAGGCCAAAAAAGTTAATTTCTTTCTAGCCAAAGTCTATATGACAAACCTTGGGACTTTCTCATTAGGTAGACCTGGCTACAATACCTTTGATTAGGCATCATGAGTACTTTTCCTTTATCAATTCTTTTAATTGACTATTGACAAGATGGCAACCTTTGCTGCCCTTGGTGACTGATCTTAAATGTACTGTTTTTGTTTTTTTGGAACCTATTCAATATCATGCTAACTGATTATGTTCTTTCTACAATAGAAGATATTTGTTTGCCAAATTGTATATTTAATTATTCGTCACATGTATATTGTCTCCTATTATGTGTCAGTTACCATGCTACACTATGGGGATATAAGAGCTAAAAGTCCAATAGAAGAAAACTTACTCATAAAAATAATTTAGGAAACAGACTGGCAGATGCCACAAAGAAGTGAAAGCTATGTACACTATGTACAGTGAGGTACAAATGATCCCAAAACTAACATTGCTTGGGAGACTCTTACTAGATTTAGAGAAGGAGGTATTTCCTTTTTAGTTTTAATGTCTTGTATTTACCTATCATTGATTTAATTACCTACTTATATGAATAAGAGTTATATGGACAAGGAAAATATTTTTAAGGTTTTTTAAAAAGGCATACAGTGAAAATTAAGATTCCTTCAACCCTTCTCTGATGACTTCCCAGTTCCCCTCATCAAAGCCTGGTAGGAGTATAGCGAAAAAGCTACACATAAACAAGCATACAAACATACACGGGTGTACATACATAGAGCTCTTTTTCTTTTCTTACACAAATGGCAGTGTTGGTATTTCTTGACAGGAGTCTGGGAGGTGAAAGAAGAATCAGACAGGTGAAGGTCGAACGGGTTTGGCAGTGGAAAAGGTCTTCTGGGGCTTCAGGGACAGAATATGCATTGTGCTAATATACGAGAAGAAAGGAATTATGAAAAGATCAGTGTAAACTTTTGTTAAATGTAATATTATTCTCCTTCAACTAGATTGAAATAATTTATTTGGCATGATTACAGTGATCCCTGTTGGGCCATAAAGTGATATGATTTCTACAAAATTACTGTCTGTTATGTGGAGAATAAGTAGTAATGAGGGTAAAAGTGTGAGAAGGGGAAGAATATTAAAGATTCTATGTGAGGACATAGGATCTCTGCAGTCGTCCAGGAGACAAATGATGCTGTCCCTTAGCAGTGCTAGATGCTAGCAGTGGCGACAGCTAGAAAGGGTCAGATTTAGGATATAATTTGAAAGTTGAACCAACAGGATTTACCAACAGAGTATGAGAATGTGGTTTGTGAAGAAAAGAGGGGAATTAAGCGTGACTCCTAGGTCTGGGACCTAGGCAACTGGAGAGATGTAGCCATTTCCTAAGTGGAGAAAAAATGCAGGAAGCATGTGTGTGGGGTTGGGCGGGGGTGGGGTTTGTGCATGCATGTTTGTGTGTGCATGGGCACATGTATGCACAAAAGTTAGGGTGAAGAAAAAGCAAAGATGCTGTTTGGCTATGGTAAGTTTCAGCTGCATTTAGTGAAGTTGTCCTTAGGCAGCTGTATGTAGAGTGTGATAATCAGTGGAGAGTCCAAGCTTAAGATATATAGAGGGTATTAAAGTCTTGGAACTAAGGCCGGGCATGGTGGCTCATGCCTGTAATCCCAGCACTTTGGAAGGCTGAGGCGGGTGGATCACTTGAGGTCAAGAGTTCGACACCAGTCTGGCCAATATGGTAAAACCCCATCTCTACTAAAAATACAAAAATTAGCCGGGCGTGGTGGTGAGTGTCTGTAGTCCCAGATACTCAGGAGGCTGAGGCAGGAGAATTGCTTGAACCGAGGAGGCGGAGCTTGCAGTGAGCTGAGATTGTGCCATTGCACTCCAGCCTGGATGACAGAGTGAGACTCCCTCTGTCTCAAAAAAAAAAAAAGTCTTGGAACTAGATGAGAACAGCCATGAAGTCAGAGTGATTTGAGAAATATGAGAGCCAAGAGCTGAACCCCAAGGCATAGTAACGCTTAAAGACCAAAAAGCGGGGTAAGGAGCCAGCAAAGGTGAGTAGGCAGGAAGAGCCAATAAGTACAGCGCTTATGAACCTGAGAGAAGAAAATATTGCAAAGATAAGAGGATAGTAAACTGGGCAAAATTTTCTAAAGAGCTCGGCAAGATGAGAAGGAAGTCATCAATGAATCTGGCAACATGGAGATTCTTGGTGACCTTGAAAAGTCAGTATTAGGGAGTAGGGAAGCACAGGAGATGAAAGTCTAATTGGATGGGCTGTGGAGATGAAAGGAAGTGAGGACATAAAGACATAAATGAGATATTTTGCTTTAGAGGGGAGCAGAGAAATAGGATGAAAGGAAAAATGTGAGTCAAGGCAGGGATTTTATCTTAGGATGGGAAATATTTATTTTAATATTACTGCTTATGTAATTAAGGTGAGAAATATAACAGCTGATTGGAATAATCCAGTGGTAATTGGGCACATGTGGAATACTGAAGACATGCAACAATTTTAAGAGTCATTTCCCGAGTAGATGAGAGGGAAAATGATCCAGTGGCAACTAAAGATGTTGTCTTTCGTTAGCAACAGGAACAATTCATCCATTGGAGAAGCCAGAGTATTTGATAGACAAGCTACATAAATGATAAAGTTGCCAAATTAATAACAGAACTAGCTGTAAAAAGGAAGTTAGTGCTACATCTCCAATGAATGAGGAGTGATAAAGAGGTTGAAAGATGATTACAATGAGGAAGTTTGCAGAGTGTATATTCTAATGGGTTATTTAAAGGAGATGCTTTTTGAGAAAGGAAGATAGGGAAATGTATTGGAAGTAGGAATAGGACTAAACAGGACACTTTATTCTCCTTCATATTATTTATATACATACTACATACATATGGGACAAAAAATAACCATCCCTTAAGAAGGAAGTAGAGTCCTTAGTGTGAGCCAGGTTTATAGTTAGAACTAGATGAAGAGAACATTCAGAGAAGAGTTGAGGATGTGGACAGTTTTGCTCGTGACAATCTAAGAGTTCAAGAGAGCAAGCAGAAGGGCTGCAGTGAGTTTGGAGTGGTATAAGGTAGAGTGCCATTGGGAAATTTGGAATACCATGTGGGTTTTATGTTTTGGAAAATAAGAGATGACCAGGGAGTCTTGACCTTTTGATGTTGAATGAGGTAAACAGGAATGTAAGGCATGGTTAAGATTAGGTCTGATGGTCTCCCAGGGGAAAGTGGAAAGTTGGTTCTGTCAATACAGCAGTGTCCTTCTTAGGAATAGTGTGCCATAGTTGGTATTGAAGTGATGGATGCTCATGGTGTGGTAGCATAGGAGTGCTCTGCATTGACATCCTTGCAAAACAGAACATTGTGTTTAGCTGACAGCCTCCCACTGCCTCACCTTAGCAAAATCCACCACTGTGCTCACCCCAAGGCCACATTCTTCCTGGGCTACTCCCAGCCAGACTGAGCATGGGAGAGTACTAAAAACAGGCCATTCCTGCCCAAAGTAAGACTCCTCTTTGCTATGGTCCGCCCTATTGGCCCAGTCAAGACTTTTTTAGGGCTGCCCTATGATCTGAGGCTCTTCCTACCAAATCCTCTTTCCATCTCCCCCTCTTTTCACAGATGTCAAAAGTATTTCTGGGTCAGAGGTTTTTCTTATCTACAGCTGCCCCCTTTCCCTATTACTTTCCATAGGCACTTTCCATAATAAACATCTTACACTTCTAACTCTGTCTTGGCATCTGCTTCCAAAAGAACACGAACTAACACACTTGTGGACTGGAGGAGAGGCTGTGGAGCTGGAAGTAAAGTGTGGTAGATTTTACCAGGAATCACATAACTCCAAGGGCTTCTTTTGGCTCTCATAGACATGTTATGATCAGGGATGAACTAGTTTACCAGGAATAATGGATTTTCTGTAATCCTGCTATAGATGGCATCACAACCAGGATAAGGCATAACTGTTCTATTACTATGCATATTATTATCCTCCTTGTATGCCAAGTTAGAAATGCTATAAAGTAGCCATCAAGAAAGTCAGGAAAAAATGTTTTGAGGGCTTACTCTGTATCACTCATTTGTCTGGTGACTCTCATTCATTCAGAGTACTTTTACTGAGCATCAACGTTTATAGGACACGATCTTGAGACAAAATCAGGGCTGACACTTACTTTTTAAAAATAATTTACATCATTTACATCTTGCCTTATAGCAAGGTGCTTATAGCACCACTGGGTCTGTCTTAAAGTAAACATGTTCACAGTCTGCCACCTGATATAAATTCTTCTTGCCATCTTGCTGACTGGATGTTTCCTGCTTCTCCCAGCTGCATCTCAATTTTCCTCCTTGAATGGACCTAACAAAGGGTCTCTTTCTTGCTATTGCATGTTGCGAATGTTTCAAAACTGATAACATACCTCCAGGACACTAGAACACATGAAAATCGGTGCCTCATGAAAGGAATTGCTTGTGTTGCCCACTTCAGGAGTTCTTGCCTGACAGGTATTTCTGCAGTTTCCCAGTAGAGAGCCCAGCCTGAGTGAAGCTAAGAAAATGTGAGCCTTCAACTCATGAGACACAGCACTGTGGGGTTCAGGTTCCTTTGAACTCTTGGATTACTTATTTGATTTTTTTTCCTGCCCTTTTCTGGAATGACGGCTGCTTAAAATCTCAAACCTCCTATACCTTTTTATTCTTCTCTTTAGTGAAAGGCTTAATTAGGAGCAAAATGTGTCTTTGCATCAGAAACACATCTTAGAAGTTAACAGGAGTCCCTGGCCCCTGCTAAATGCTAGCCAAATGTGTTAAAATCAGTAGTTGGATGTTGCCCATAGAGACAGCTGGAGGATGGGGGGAAGGGGAGATCCAGGGAGTGTCTCACAGCTGGAGAACCCAACAGGAAATTACACTATTGGAGACTTGTGACTAAGCAAACAACTAAATAGGAAAACAAAGAGAGAGAGAGAATGTGAATGAGAAAGAATGTATATGAAACCAGCCCAGCCACGTCACAGAACTGGTAAGGGGATACAGCTCTCTAGGTAGATAAAATTAAAAATAATTATCTGAGAATTGTCTAATCAGACAATTCCATTCACTGAAAGTGAATACAAAAATCCACTAAATGCATACTATTCTAATTTCTGTGCATGTGTGCTGTGGTGTTATTCACAAGTTTAATGAACTCACTTCTAGAAACTTAGAAGCCATTTACTATGGACTTTAGCTGTAAAATTGCAAGAGCTGGACAATTTGTAATGCCCTTTAACCTACACATGCCACTCCTGAGAATAGAGCACAAGAAAATAGCATATGAATGAAGGTAGGTATTCCTATCTATTAATTCTAAGGACAAAATATTTTCAACCTAATGGAAATTGTTTTATAAATGATATAATACCAACACACATAAAGAAACTATGAAGATTATTTGCATTTAAGAATTAATTTCTATGTGTTACACAATGTTAAGTGAATCATTCCCTGCTGTCTTCAGAACATCAATAGATGGGAAATAACACTAAAGAAGAATGTTAGTTTCATCCATATTAAGAATAATAGAACTGTCCCAGTGATTATTAATTTCACTGTTACCGGAAAGAGGTCCCGATCCACACCCCAAGAGAGGGTTCTTGGATCTTGTACAAGAAAGAATTCAGGACAAGTCCATAAAGTGAAAGCAAGTTTATTAGGAAAGTAAAGGAATAAAAGAATGGCTACTCCATAGGCAGAGCAGCCCCGAGGGCTGTGGGTTGCCCATGGTTTTTATGGTTATTCTTGATTATCTGCTGAACAAGGAGTGGATTATTCATGCCTCCCCTTTTCAGAGCATATAGGGTAACTTCCTGATGTTGCCATGGCATTTGTAAACTGTCATGGCGCTGGTGGGAGTGTAGCAGTGAAGACAACCAGAGGTCACTCTCATCTCCATCTTGGTTTTGGTGGATTTTAGCAGGCTTCCTTACCACTGCCTGTTTTATCAGCAAGATCTTTATGACCTGTATTTTGTGCTGACCTCCTATCTCATCCTGCGACTAAGAATGCCTTAACCTCCTGGGAATGCAGCCCAGTAGATCTCAGCCTTATTTTACGCAGCCCCTATTCAAGACGGAGTTGCTCTGGTTCACACACGTCTGACACCATCACTTACGAAACAGCTTCAGTCAGGGAAAACTAGAAATTCCAAAAGGTGATAGAAGAGAATTGGTAGGAGAGTTTTCTGAGGTAGAAAATATAATGGCTTTTTTCCCATCCTCTCCCTGAGGAGAAGACTGTTGGGGCTCAGAAACCAATACCCCAAAATATGACACTTTGTACATGCTGAACCAAAAAAGGAGCTTCAAGGTCTACTTGACTCTCCCCACCTTTCACTACCATCTCTCCTAAAGCACAGGCTGAAGTTGTTCCCTGAAGTTCCCTTATCTTCCTAAAGTTCAGACCTGCCAAAGAAGACATTACCTCCCATGAGTTTTCATTAACTGAACCCATACCACAGGAAAGAAAATTAAATTCTGTCAACAAACCTGGACAGACTTTTGTCACAATCTATTGTCTGCTCTGCAGGCCCAGCAGACTTTGTCCAAGACCATTTTATGTTCTTCAAGCCCATTGAATGCTCCCTAGTAATCATTTATTGCCCCTCAACAGATTTCCTCTTCTCTCCTCTCCCATAACATGTTTTGCCAGAATCCAAGCCCCCATTTTTTCTGTAACCTCAAGACGGTATATAAGCTTCTTCACCCTACTGGGAGTTGGGTCTTCATTCTGAAGACTCTCGTGGATACATGTTAAATAAATTTGTGTGCCTTTTCTCCAGTTAACCTGCCTTTCTTTGCTTCTACAAGAGGTAGTGCTTCCTCTCACAATTTGATTGAGAGAGGTTCAAAAACATACCCACAGAATGATGTCCCTCTTTACATAGGGAGGCTATAAAATTGACATTTTAGGATAAAGCTGAGCTGTAAGGCAACAGAACAACACAAGGAACCACTACTTGAAAATTTGATTCCTATGTGAATAAAAGATAAAAGAAGATTAACAAGTAATCCTATCAAGATGTCGTCCTGAAGCATTGCCAATTGCGGTATTTTCTAGTTTTGATATGCAGATAGGGATGCGAATAAGACGAAGACTCAAAAAAGTAACTTTGAACACCTCATTTATCAAATCAGCAACATATAGCATTGTGTATTTTAATAATTTTCAAACAAGCCTACTGTGTAGGCTATGCTTTCTGCCCTTTTGTAAGTTGATGTTCTTTTTAGCCATCAGAAGGCCTATGGTTTGAGCCCAAAGCAAGAAGATTTGATTTGAAAATATCAAGAATATGGAACTTTCAGGAGAATCTGGAATATGACAAGTGAAATATCCTAAAACATTGCTTCCCAAAATACGCTGCACTAAACACTATAAGATGATCCATTGCAAAAAGGAGGGATTGCCGTGAAGCATTTGAGAAATGCATATGTGTTATCTTTATTCTTAGATATTCACAATTCACATTAGCATGTTTAAAAGTTTGAGAAATCCTTCAATTTTTAAAAGTTGCTAATGTTTAAACTAGCATATTTGATATACCTTCCAATACCCAATCCTAATTCCATGACAAAATCCAGTTAGCATCTGTGGAATAAATCTTTGGTAGAAGTTTCTGAATCTATGAATTCTCTCTGAGCACAGAGATGGGAAACACTGCTTTTTCTTTCTTCCTCACCTTGTAGACCGTGACTGCAGTTATAGAAAAGTGAGAAAGAAAAGAAAGAGGCTAAATGAAAAGGCTATAACAGAAATTGGACAGGATGAATGTGGGGAGAGAGAGTACAAAGTAGCTAGAAAACCAGTATAGTGCTGTTTCCTGGAGGCCAAAAATGGCGCCTCAAAAGGCAAACATGCAAGTGAAACCGTCACTTCAAAGGAGAGACTTGTGACCCAGCTCAGCTGCTCACAAAGCTTATTTACCAAAAAGATTTTGGCTAAAAGGCCCAATGGTTAGAGCATGGAAGATGAGTAGAAGGCAAAGATTCATTCAGACAAGATGGGGACATTGTTTAGGTCTGGCTATGGGATAGGAGAGGGAGATCTTAAAACTTTACAGAAAAAAAATTGTTAGTTTTTTCTCTGGGAAGATAATCAGTGGCCTTGGTTGCAGGTAGTATGAAAAGTAACGGTCTAAAATAGAACCAAGGAAGGAAACAGAAATGCTCCCAGGTGGGTTGAAAAACTGCCTTGCCAAGCTCCATAGAGCATCAGTATATCAAATGAGCATTCAAGGTCCAGGTCTGTCAATCCCACTCCCTTCGGAAGCAATGGGTTTTTAAAAATGCATCTATGCTATATTTAAATGAGCGAACTTATCAGCCTCTTTTCAGAATTTACAGATGGAAAGTGGCTAAAGATTTTTCTTAGTGAAAATGATAAATAGCAGGGTTTGTCATGTGAGATATGCTATTACCTAAATCTGACTGAAAGGAAGGTGATTTGCATCAATTAATTGACTATGTTTAAAGTCTGTTTTCCCCACATGACAAGAACCTCCAGCCTGCTCTATAAATGGGCTGCAGGTAAGAGAAAAGAGGAAGGCTTCCTTCAGGGTCTTCAGAGTAACTGTGCTCCATTCTTTTCTCCTTCCACAGTGATTTGAGAGAGAGCTTGTCTCAGATGAGGTGCGATTGTAGTTGTTAATCTGCTTGTGGGGACAGGAATTTAAACAATACAGGTGGCTTTCGCTGAGAACTTAAGCTTAAAGTAATCTTTGAGCACCAAAAATCGTCCTTGGGATTTGGTATCCATTGCCCCATTTCATCCTCAAAACAACTGTATATGAAGGTGGGCACTTATTTTTTTTCTTTAAGTTCTGGGATATGTATGCAGAACGTGAAGGTTTGTTACATAGGTATACATGTGCCATGGTGGTTTGCTGCACCTATCAACCCATCATCTAGGTTTTAAGCCTTGCATGCATTAGGTGTTTGTCCTAATGCTCTCCCTCCCCTTTCCCCCAACCCCGACAGGCCCTGGTGTGTAATGTTCCCCTCCCTGTGCCCATGTGTTCTTATTGTTCAACTCCCACTTATGAATGAGAACATGCAGTGTTTGGTTTTCTGTACCTGTGTTAGTTTGCTGAGAATGATGGTCCCCAGCTTCATCCATGTCCCTGCAAAGGACATGAACTCATTCTTTTGTAATGGCTGCATAGTATTCCATGGTGTATATGTGCCACACTTTCCTTATCCAGTGTATCCTTGATGAGCATTTGGGTTGGTTCCAAGTCTTTGCTATTGTAAATAGTGCTGCAGTAAACATACATGTACATGTGTCTTTATAGCAGAATGATTTATAATCCTTTGGGTATTTACCCAGTAATGGGATTGCTGGGTCAATGGTATTTCTGGTTCTGGATCCTTGAGGAATTGCCACGCCATCTTCCACAATGGTTGAACTAATTAACACTCCCAGAAGGCGGGCACTTTTGTTATCCCTAAACTATGGATGGGTAAGCTAAAGAAAAGGAATAAAAATGTAAGAGGAAAGAAGAGCTGAGAGAAGGAAACCAAGCAGGCACACATTGAACAGTAGACAGTTCAATCTAGAAAGTATCATGGAAATTTTTTTAGGCCAAGGGTTCTCAAACCAGAAGTAATTTTGTCTCCCAAGGGACATTTGGCAAAGATTAGTGACATTTTTATTTGTCCCAGGTGGGTGAAGGGAGGTGCTGTTAGTATCACAAACCAAGAATGCTGCTAACTATCCTCTAATGCACAGGGCAGCTCCCGACACCAAAGACTTATCTAGCCCCTAATATTAATAGTGCTGAAGTTGAGAAGCTAATTTAAATGAATCCTTTTATTTTACATAGGAGGATACTGAGATCCAGAGAGGCTAATATGTAGTATAATGGTTTAGAACTTGGACAAGTGCCTTAACATTTCCGAGTTTTCATTGCAATATCAGTAAAGTAGGGATAACTATGGTAAGCACTTCACAGGGTTGTTGGGCCAATTAAAATGTTGCACATAAACCAGGTAGCACCCAAGCTGGTTCACAATCACACCTAGTCAATGGATGACCTGCCCACTAGTTAGCTTACAGCTTAGATCCCCTACATCTTTAGAGGACTTGGGAAGCATTACCAGCAAATGCGACTCTCAGACACCCACACCTTCTCCTGGTTTAGTCTGACCTTATTTTCCTCCATCAAGAAAGAGTACAAAATAACACCCAGCCTGCTGACTGATGACGCTCAAGCAAAATATGAAATCCAAGCAAGACCAGTTGAGATCAAGAGAAATGGTGGGAGGAGAAAGGTTACAAAAGATCACTGAAAGAAAAATAAAGAGGAAATATGGCATCCCCAAGGAATTAGAGATAAATACTTTTTTTTAAAAAGCCACCAGCTGAACCTGGTGGGAATCTAGTTGAGGGCAGAGCACAGTGGGCACTAACCCCTCTAGGTCAATAATTGGCTTGGGCCTCTTACAGTTGGCACAGCTCCAGGTAGAATAGAAGGAGGCTGTGTGCATTTAGAGAGACAAAGCTGGGGACACCATGTAAATATACACTCTCCCAGCAGCACAAAGTGCTAGTTACCATCCTTCCTGGAAAGAAAAAAAAAAAAATCACTGAGGCCCCTGGTGGGCGTGCTAAAGCAAATATCTGAGCAACTAACTATTCAAAAGAACAGACTTTTGCTTTGATCACAGGATGAGGCTGGAAACTGCATTTTTCTGATTACACTGCATTTTATCCATTCCCTTGTTGATGCCAGACCACATTTATTCTCTATTAGAATAGAAGCCATTTTTTATTCTCAGCTGCTTTTCTAAAAGAGTTTTTTTTTCTTTCTCCTCACCAGTGCTCAGTCTGAGTAGAAAGGTTTCTAATATAAACTCTGAAATTAATGTCAGGCCTTCTACAGCTGGTAACCCTCTGCTTTCCCCCTGAAGCTATACTGAGCAGAGCAATTTGAGCTAAGAGAAAACTCCTTCCCTGTAGTGTTATGAATGTGATAAGTTATTCAGGGGAGTCCACCCAGAAAACAAGAACAAAAATCCCTAATCCAAACCTCTGCAGTTATTCAATATAACACTTGTCATTGTATTCATTTTCTTGGGGGGATTATGGACACAATGAATAGCTAATAGACGTGTATTCCTCTGAGTCATCAGCAGTTATTTAGAATGCCATTTTATGCAGAAGACAGGGTAGGTACTGCAGTGAAAAAGTGATGGCCTAGCATTTGCAGTACAATTGATTTTTCAGAAGTTAGCCAAGCTATAAGGGCAGAGGACAGCACAAACAACCAGGAGCTGAAATCTCTGTCCCTATGTGAATAAGAGATGAAAGATTAGTAAGAAATTCTACTAAGATGTCATCCCTGAAGCATGCCAGCTGTGGTATCTTTGGGGGTTTTGATTCATAGTAGGAATGTGAATGAAAAGATGACTCCAAACAAATAACTCTATGTATTTACAAGTAGCACCAGCTAATACTTACACAGCATTCACAATGAGTTAGGCACTATGCCAAAGCACTTTACATATATCATCAAATTTAATCCCCATAACAGGTAAATACTATTGTTATCTTCATGTTAAAGAAAGGAAAACTGAGGCAGAAAGAGGCTAAGTCATGTGCCTCACATTGTACCACTATAGGAGATTATGAAAATCTTAAAAGTTGTAAAATAAATATGTCAGGTCTCTTCTGAGGACAGAATTATACTTCCACCCCATTTGAAATTAAGCCTAGTCTTGTGATTTGTGTTAACCAAGGAAATATGTATGTAAGCCACTGAATCACCTCTAGGTAGAATCTGGAAGAGCCAGCATTTTGTTCACCATGTTCTCTTTGCCCTGGTTTGGTGATCACTGAGGTATGTATGGGGAAGGAGACTCCATCAACCTCAGTTTCTGCATAACTTGATGATCATAGGCCTCCTGCCAGTCTGTGTGGGACATTTAGCATGAGCAAAAACCTCACCTTTGCTATACTAAGCATCTGCAAGTTCCGTCTAACAATGGAGTATACGCCAGGCTATACAATACAGTGGTACCTGATAGATTTAGAAAATGAATAGCGCAGACTACGTGAAAGGAAATTCAGAAAATTGGAATATCAGTATAGCCAGGTATTTTGATCCAAGCCCATTGGGTGGGAAGGATGAGAAACCCTTTCTAATTAGCCTTGGTTAATTAAGAAGAGAAACTTGACGTTAGGTTATAAAACTTTTAAAATCTAAAGCAGAGACCTAAGAGCAACTGAGCCCCCGGTAACCCAGAAGTAACTTTGAAAGCCAACAATTTCAGTTGTTTTCTAAGAGGTTGCATGCACTCTTGAGTTTGTGTCTCTCAGCTTTCTTATTTTCTCTACTTTTCAACTCCTTGGCTTGGAACAACATTACTGTCAATCTCACATAGCAGATCCATCTCTCCCGACATTTAAAATGTTCTGTGTCACTTAGTTCCGTTATTGAGAGACAGAATCTGCTTGGCTCAAATGGTTTCCCTTTGGACAGACATAAACTTCTGGTCCAGTGAACTGACGAGGAGAAGATCCCATGGAACATAAGGTTGTCTAAGGCCAGTCTTTTCAGTAGAAATGGGATGAGGGGGCAAGTCCAAAGAAAAAAAGTATGTGGATAGTGAAGAAGTTTAAAATGATTTATGAAAGAGGTGAGGATGTGATGTAGACAAACAAAGAGAGAAGTGTGGCCAGAGCATTGCAGGAAGGAAATACCAGCATGTGTTAAGATGGGCAATTGCTCCTGCTTGTTTGTAACCTACAGTGGCTGAAGAGAGAACGCTCAGGTTTCTCAGAGGTGTGAGGTTAGAAAAGCGAGATGAGTCATCAACCGATATTCATCAGTGACCTTTGCCTTTACGCAAAATTTATTTTCTAAGTCTGCTCTGCTCAGCTCAGCACCTGCTCTTGTAATTGTTTTCAAAGTCTACGCTGCGATCTCCAAGTCAGAGTGTGTGGCCCTTCGCTAAACTATACCATTTCTTTCATCTCAACATTTCTTAGTCCCTTTCAATTTTCTCTTAAGTTTTATAAAAATTAATAAGCATTTTTATATCCTCTACAGGACTGTAAGCGACCTTGAAGGAAGGACCTGTGTTTTATACCTATTCCTAGCACCTAGCTCAGTTCCTTTTGCATAACAAAGCTTCATAATTGTTTGTTGAATAATTCGAAATAAATAAACCTTGCTTTAGGAAGAATGAAGGGTAACAGTGACTTACGTAGGCAACACCACACAGACTCGGAGTTTTTTGAAGAGCAAATTGCCTATAAGAGGAAGATGAGAACTTTTAATCACTATCATGACCAGCACCCCCGCCCCGGCCCGAGCTCTTCTTTTGCCTACTGACTACTCTTGAAGTTGGTAGTGGCGCTCACTCTCTGCTCCCTAAAAGTAACAAACCATTTTTTAAAATAATGCTTTCAGTTTTAAATCTTGGAATTGAGTTCATAACACAGTAATGATTTTCATGAGATTATTAAGTCATATGTCAATATATTAGCGGGAAGTGCTAAGAGGCTTTAAAGCCATGATCTGAGTCTTCCAGCTCTACCTAATCTTAGGCAAGTTACTTTACTTTCTTTAGTAAAACCTGGATTGAATAATACTTACCTCATAGGTTTGGTGCAAAGAGTATATGAAAACCACACATCAAGTAGTTAGCACACAGTAGGCTTCAAGAAATATTAGGTCTCTTCCTATTCTGTTGTTCCTTTGATGCAAACTGCTTTTTGCTAAGCTGAGTGATGCTACATAATTGTGTGCCATGTTGTGCTTTGGACAGACAGACCAGCTGCAATTTAGACTGCTGAATAGAACCCCCAGTGCGAAATTGTACAGCCACTCAGGCCCGATGGTCTTTGATCTCTCCAGAGTGCTTCATCTTCTCTGGTCAGTGGCTATGCCTCCTTGTTGCTCTGGAATAACAGAAGGTCAGAGCAGGTCTCCACACTATTCCAAGTGACAAGACTATCCAAAGCATTGCAATTTTGGCTCATTCCCTATTATGACAATGAGAGTAACAAGAACTGAAAATGGCACAACACAAATCCATTCTTGGAACCAACATTTTAATAAAAATGGGAAATTTTACAAAAGCTGTTATTCTCAGAATAGGTTTCTCATTGTAATTGTGTGAATTTGTATTTTTCTTATTTCTTGCTTTTTTTATAATCTTATGTTCAGATCTTGGTATTGGCTTTCAGTGAAATTTGTTTGGGCAATCAGGAAAAAAATAATGTCCAACTAGTAACAAGGTTGTAAAATTTGAATAGACTGAGGCAACACATGCTAAAGATATTTTCCTTTGCAAAACTATTCTACAGTATACTTTTGACATATTAAGAAAAAAAAAAAACATCAAACCAAGATGCTAGTGAATAAAATTTGCCTCTCAAGAGACAGACATTCTGTTACAACAGTGGTTCTCAAATGCAAGCAACTTTGCATCCCCTGGCCCATCCCCAAAAGGTAGTTGGCAATAACTGAAGATATTTTTTCATTGTCACAATTAGGGGAAGGGTGCTACTGGCAATGAGTGGGTAGAGGCCAGGAAGCTGATAAGTGCCCTGCAATATACAAGCCAGGCTTCTACAACAAAAAATTATTCTACCCAAAAATGTCAGTGGTGACAAAGTTGAGAAACTTGTCTTAAAGGAACTTAAAGTTCTTAGGTGCTTGAATCCAATACCTTAACATTTAATTATTGAAAGATTTTTGCATCTAATGTCCACGGGGCTTATCAAAGGAAAGCAAAAAAGGAAAACAGATAAAATGAAAATTTGTAAAATAGGAACTAAGCAATTAAGTATCAAACTTTTCAGAAGTCAATATAAGCCATTTAAGTAAACGTTATATTAGTCATCTTTTTCAATTAGCTTATTCATAATTCCTAACACTTATATTCCACTTTAAATAACATATACAATTTAAATGATTTCATCTGATCCTCACAAAAGCCCTCTGAGGTAGATATAATTAAGACTCAGGGAGGTTAAGTACTTGTCCAGTGAAACATGAATAATAAGAACAGTCTGGGACAATGAGAAAAGTAAATGACTGAGATCAGGAGAACTGAGCTTCCTAAAGTCTACCATGTGCCAGTCATGCATCATTGTTTTACCCTGCTAAACCTTGGCTTCCCCAGCTATCTAATCGGATTGGTAATTGCTAGCTCAGAGAATCACTACAAGGACTGAACAAGGTGATGAGTTTCAAATAAATTACCTCACATGGTGTGAAATACACATAGAGGCATCAGACCACCAGGGCCTGAGCCAGATATTCCCATTTCAAATCTAATGCACTTTCTTCCATCCCATGAGGACCCACCGTGTGTTTAGAACGCCGCAGGCATTTGAGGACACTGATTTCAGTAGAGAATGTGTATAGCATGCCTGAGGAAAGAAAAAAGGAAAAAGAAACACCTTAAAATCAATTAGAACTCCTTTACTTTCAACTGTATTGTTCAAAATTGCCAAGAGATTTCTTTCCTGGCCAGGACAAGAAAAGCAGAAACTTTCCATTTTCCATGATTGAAGAGTGTGCGTTTTTGTATGTGTTGGGGAGTGGAGGGCAGGGAAAGAAGAGCATCTCAAAACATTCTAAAGCAAAAAGGAACTTGATCATGTTCCCTGAAATGAGGAGAACACACTTCTACTTGTCAGACCAATCTCAGACCAAGGGAGTGTATTTTTCTCAAGCTTCCAGCAAATCATTTTGGACCTAAATCAAAAAAAGTGAAAATTTAAAAAGAAACATTGACCCAGTAATTCTACTTCAGGGAATTAATCAGAAAAAAAAGCATATATACATACATATAATTTTAACAGGCAATATAGAAATTTTAGTGTCATGAATACAGTTCTATAAATTATGGAATCTTTTATAAACATGAACAATTGACACCAAATAAAATACCTAGCAAGAGGAGAATGGTTAAGCAATTATTGAAAATTATGGTAAAGGATAGCTATAACAACATGATGAATGTCTGCTACAATAGCAGGAAAAGCAGAAAGAATTACAAATACAAAATAAACTCAGTTTTATTTTTTAAGCCTAAATAAGCTGGTAGGAAACAGTCTAAAATGTTACAGTGGTGAGATTAGAAACAATTTTTCATCTTTCTTATTTTCTATTTTCCAGCATTCTAAAGTGAGCATATATTCATGTTGTAATAAAAAAATAAATATAATGATTAAGCTAAGAGGACTTGGAAAAAAAGGAGCTAGGTTGGAAGAATACATAGAATTTTATGTGGAGAATTTGCTCTGCAAATATAATAGTTCAGTAAGGCAGGGGAAAGAAAAACTTGATTGTTACACCATTCCAAAGCCCTTAAGACCAAATTCCTCTCAGCCCATTGATTTCATCTTGACATGTAACATAACCCACAGTTCTACAGTAAAAGAAACCATGAAATATTGGTAATGATTTCCAGAGTACACATATACACTTGTTGATTGAAGATTAATTTCTCAGCAGGGTGGCTCATCATTGATATCCTGCCTTTTATGTGACGTAGGTTGCATGACCTTAATTATTAAGGAAACCTGCTTTGAATTGGCTCTAAGTATCTAGAGAATATGAGTTAGACTGCAGTAAAGGCATAAAAGATGCTTAGGTTGGATCATATATTTTATTATGGAGCATCAAAATCAGAGTAAGAGATAATTTGATGGTCTGAAATAGCCTTGAGGGCTACCAGTTGTTGGCTTGAACTATGTCCCATGTAATATCTTGTTTTTCCCTCTTTTCCTTTTCCTTCTTGCATAATTGCCCAACAAAACTTCTAATAGCACATGGCCTTTGGGGAAAATGTATTCAGGAGCTTGTTTAACCAAATTATCCTCAGGGCTCCACCTAAAGAGACATATAAACAGCTCTAAACTGAAGATTCCGTTTAAAGAGAGTATAGATTCATAGCAACAGAACATGACAATTACCATGAGAATTACAGGCTTAAAAGCCATCTTTTGGTCCATTTAATGAAAACAATCATTTCACCCCAAATACATATCCTCCGTCATGGTTGTATAGAAGACTGCTTTGGGTGGTCATAACCACTCACTTTCTGATAATTATTTCCCAACCTAAAAAGTTCATTTCTAAAATATGTGAAGTAAATGTGGAAATAAGAGAGATGTGCTGGGGTTTGAGAAAGCCCAATACGAAGACCTCGCTTCCCTCCCCAAGTTTTAAACCCATCGAAAAACACAGTACCCAGATTGAGATCTCATTTCCTGGTGGAATTAATCTGTGACAGTCCAGATGTCAGAAATAAACAATATCTAGAGCACCATAGGCCTATAGAACTTTCTGCAAAATGGATACATTTTATAGCCGTTCTGTTCAATATGGTAGCCACTAACCACTTGAAGTGGGTCTAGGGTGGTCGAAGAACTGAAATTTTAATTTTATGTAATTAATTTAAATTTAAACAGCTATATCTAGTTAGTGGCTACTGTACTGGACAGTGCAAAACCAGGATGTCAGGACAAGAGCTAGGAATTCAGTGACATGCCATGGTCCTGCCAACAATGTGTGGAAAAGCAGTCAAACACAATAGGAAAAGGTAACTAGGTGTTGGTCACAAAGGAAGACAAAGATCCAGGTTTTGAAGGGAGGAAGGGAGATAATAATAAGCATAATAATAACTACTGAGTAGCTATGGTAGGTAATATTATTGCCATTTTTCATTTGAGGAGAGTGTGGCTCAGAACTTGTCCAAGGTCATACATTTAATAAGTAGGAAAGCCAGAATCTGAAACTGACTCTAAAGTTTATCTTCTTTCTAGCGTGCTCAAAATGGGATTCCTAAGAGCAAAATCATCAAATCAAGCCAAATAGTGATCATCAAATATCTTCACATATCCTTAGTCCTTAAGCCTTCTGATCTCTCTTAAGATTCACCTTATGCATCACTATGTAGGAGGTAAATAGGAGAAACTACAGTCATTCAGCAGCTTCCTTCAACCACCATCTGTTGAATACCTACCAAGTTCAGGGTGCTGGATGCTGCAGACGCTGAAATGAATAGGAGATTAAGACATGATTGTAAGTGAAATGATGGTAAATTGTGGCTGGATTGTATCCTTTCAGCTAACTGTCCCCACTGCAGAGCCCTGAGGCACAGTCACCACTCAAAGACCCTGCAGGGAGGAACAAACACAGCACAGGCTGTGGTTCTAAATTCCCATGCCTTCTCTTAGCCTGCAGAATTGGCTGCTCCTTTGCACAGAAGTGACCACGGATGAGGAAAGGGTTCACAGAAGCATCTCTAGGGTACACAATTCACATTATATTCTGTATGAATGGTGCCCCCGACACTAAAACTGGTGGCCTTCTATGAACCTCTCTTCATACACGATTTTCCTAGGACCTACTCTGGTTCCTGTTCGACTTTTTTAAAGGATAGAGTAGGGAGAACTCCTGGGCATATCTCAGCAAATTAGCAGCACAAAAGATGTGATTAAAATAGAAATTTCCTTTAAGCTTGTAGCAACCCAAAAAGAGAAAGTGGAAATCAAAGTTCCATGCTTGCTTTCTCCCAAGGAAAACTTCAGCTTCTAGCATTATGGCTCTGAGCTCCGCCTACAGGTGATTCTGGGCCACCTATGCTATCAGCAGTCTGGATCCTCAAGGAGCTCACAGCCAAGTGAAGGAGACACAGCAATAAATTATTGCTGTTCAACGATAGCTTCTATAGGAGAGGGATGTACAGATGCTAGTGGTAGCTCCAAGAAGGTACTAGTCAGAGTTTCGCAGATGTCTTCTACAAGAGCTCTGTTTTCAGTAAGATGATAGGAAATTAGACCTGAGAGCTATTGTCTACATGCATGACCTATGGTGTTTGGTGAGATGCTCCCAGCAGTCAACCTCAATGCAGGGAGCCAGTACTTCCTAAGAGGTACCCAGCTTGACTGATGAGTTTTTTACTGTGAACCAACCTAAACCAACTATTAATCAAGGAAAGAGAAAACATGAGATGCAGGTTTCAGGTTCCACGCCATATCTAGGTCCATCCTGAAGACGTATACTCTCCTTTCTTTCAGAAGATTAAGGATACGCCTCCCCCACCACCCCCAAAAAAGGGATAGCCAAAAAAGGTGCCGTAAGCTTTTTTAAAGCCATTAATTAATCATGAACTTGAGCAATTCTGAATCTGCCCTGAGAGTGTCTGAGTTCAGTGGTTAATTTTCCAGATCATCTGCATGTAAGATCCACAAGGAAAGACTTGATTGAGTATAGGCTCCCCAGGGCAGAGGCAGTTCCATTCGTCACTGATCCCTCAGTGCCTAGCATGCCTGGTACCCAGTGGGTGTTTATTATATATTAGTCCTCCTTCTCCATGTAGTAGTTCAGTTATGTTCATCACACATTTATGGAGTACCTGTGTGCCTAGCATTATTCTAAGGGTTGAGAATAAATAGAAATATAAGACATTCTGGTCCTTTGCTCTCCGATGGCTTACAAACAGAGAACACTCAGTAAATGTTCTTTGAATTGAATTGCTGACTGAGTGGTTCAACAGGATAGGCTTGGAACTACAAACTGACTCTCGACAGAATTCTCCAATCAACTGAGTAGGAAAAAAAAACTGGTTTGAGATATATCCAAATGATATTGATCAGGAATATAGCTTGAAATTCTTAACTATGCTTGTGTTCACTGTCATAATACTGATGCTGATTTATCCCTTCCCATACCTATCCCCAACACCGGCTCCTTTCTGAGCAGTAAAGTTCAGGAGGAAGCCTGTTATCCCTGATCAGAGAAACACACAGGTCTACACGAGATTTGGACTGATGTCCTTCATTGGCATCATCCTTTTACCAGCTGGCCCCACATATTGCAGATGTGCCAAAATGGATTCGCTATCATGTTGACACAGCTTTATTGTATCTTCTCCAAAACAACTTAGAATTTTCCTTCCAAGGTGTAGCATTGAGATGGACAACTTAACTTCTGTATTTCCTGACTTTGTGAGTGTATGTCTAGATTAGTATTATGGAGATTACTCAGGGTTTGTTTTTTCACTCTTTGGCACTTTGGTCTATAAATCATGCTATTTATTTGTTTGTCCCTAACTGTCCAAAGGAGACTATCCTTGTCACTGGAAAATAAGGCTGAGTAGCCATACAGTGGCAGAACACAGGCAATCACAAATGATCAGGGAAACAAAAACTAGCAACAAGATGAATGTACTGGAAGCAAGCATAACAAAGAGAGGTGACGGTGAGCACGGGCCATTGCTCCAGCTGCACAGCCAGTGGCTCTGTGCATAAATGCTCAGCAGGTTTCAGTGCAGGAGCTGGAAATAAGTTTATACCCGAGGCAAAATAGACGGTCAAGTCAACTTGAGGCGCATTAGAGGAACAGGGGAAAGGAGGGTGGAAGTGATTGACAAGGGCTACATGGCACTTCTTACGTAATATCCCAACCTGTCTAGCCTCCTCAAGGAACACAGATCTGGCCATGAGCCAGTGTGAAAGGTCTTTCTGGCTTGTCTGTCTCCTACACCTCCCATGTCCTAGACTAATGAAGGGACCATGTGTAAAATAGATGTGTGAAGACTCAGAGCTTAGTAACACACAGGACACACAATGGTGGTCATCCTTGTTCTCTTGTCATTAGTTCACTTGCCAGAGAGGTGAAGGGAGTTCCCCATACTGCCCTCAAATTGCAGCTTCCAAAATTTAGCTGGTTTTGAAGCTGGAGCAACTTTGATGTTTTCTTAACACAGGCAGGCACTTCATTAAAGTACTACGGAGTATACCAGCTATGTTTTCCCAGGAGTGAGCTGGATGAGATCCAAGCTGGGATCCAGACACACACAGGCAAAAATTATATAGGCAGGGAAGTAAACCTCATTATCTTTCCAAGACATAATCTTACTTGCTTTAGTTAATTGCTACGTTTTTGCAGGGAGGGGAGTTGCTTCATCAAAGACATGTTTTCAAGAGACATGTGGTAGTCAATAGTCTATGGGCTGTTGTCCACATCAGAGGCGTGCAGTCTAACCATGGGTCCAAGCAAACATCCAGGAGCAGTATTTCCTCCAACGCGATAAAAGAGATGAAGCAAATTCCAGGTCAATTCAGGGAAAACCTTTGTTCCTGCTAAATGGATCTTGTAAAACTGATGGTTTTTTTAAATTTTATTTTAAGTTCTGGGATACATGTGTGCAGGACGTGCAGGTTTGTTACCCAGGTAAACCTGTGCCCTGGTGGTTTGCTGCAACTATCAACCTATCACCTAGGTATTAAGCCCAGCATGCGTTAGCTATTTATCCTGATGCTCTCCCTTCCCCCAACCCTGCCGACAGGCCCAGTGTGTGTTGTTCCCCTCCCTGTGTCCATGTGTTCTCATTGTTCACCTCCCACTTACAAGTGAAAACATGCAGTATTTGGTTTTCTGTTCCTGTGTTAGTTTGCTGAAGACAATGGCTTCCAGCTCCATCCATGTTCCTGCAAAGGTCATGATCTCATTCCTTTGTATGGCTGCATAGTATTCCATGGTGTATAGATACCACATTTTCTTTATCCAGTCTACCACTGATGGGCATTTGGGTTGATTCCATGTCTTTGCGATTGTGAATAGTGCTGCAATGAACATATGCAAGCATGTATCTTTACAATAGAATGATTTATATAGCTTTGGATATATACCCAGTAATGGGATTGCTGGGTCAAATTGTATTTCTGTTTCTAGGACTTTGAGGAATCACCACACTGTCTTCCACAATGGTTGAACAAATTTACATTCCTACCAACAATGGAAAAGCATTCCTATTTCTCCACAGCCTTTTCAGCATCTGTTGTTTCTTGACTTTGTATTAATTGCCATTCTGACTGGCATAAGATGGTATCTCATTGTGGTTTTGATTTGCATTTCTCTAGTGATCAGTGATGTTGAACTTTTTTTTTCATGTTTGTTGGCTGCATGAATGTCGTCTTTTGAGAAGGGTCTGTTCATATACTTTGCCCACTTTTTAATGGGGTCATTTGTTTTTTTCTTTTAAATTTGTTTAACTTCCTTGTAGATTCTGGGTATTAGAGCTTTGTAAGATGGGTGGATTGCAAACATTTTCTCCCATTCTGTAAGTTGTCTGTTCACTCTGATGATAGTTTCTTTTGCTGTGCAGAAGCTCTTTAGTTTAATTAGATCCCATTTGTCAATTTTTGCTTTTGTTGCCATTGCTTTTGACATTTTCTTTTCTTTTCTTTTCTTTTCTTTTTTTGTGATGGAGTTTTGCTCTTGTGCCCAGGCTGGAGTGCAATGGCACGATCTTGGCTCACTGCAACTTCTGCCTGCCAGGTTCAAGTGATTCTCCAGCCACAGCCTCCCGAGTAGCTAGGATTACAGGTATGCAACACCATGCCCAGCTAATTTTTTGTATTTTTAACAGAGACGAGGTTTCTCCATGTTGGTCAGGCTGGTCTCAAACTCCCAACCTCAGGTGATGTGCCTGCCTCAGCCTCCCAAAGTGTTAGGATTACAGGCGTGAGCCACCACGTCTGGCCGCTTTTGACATTTTCATCATGAAATCTTTGCCCATGCCTATGTCCTGAATTTTATTGCCTAGATTTTCTTCTAGGGTTTTTATAGTTTGGGGTTTTACATTTAAGTCTTTAATCCATCTTGAGTTAATTTTTGTATAAGGTGTAAGGAGGGGGTCCAGTTTCAGTTTTCTGCATGTGGCTAGCCAGTTTTCCCAGCACCATTTATTAAATAAAAAAATTTTCTCCATTGCTTGTTTTTGTCAGGTTTGTCAAAGATCAGATGGTTGTAGATGTGTGGTGTTATTTCTGAGATCTTTATTTTGTTCTGTTGGTCAATGTGTCTGTTTTTCGGCTTTATGTTTTTTAACCAGTACCATGCTGTTTTGGTAAAACTGATTCTTTTGGAAACTACAACTTGTCCTATTGAAATTAGGATTATTTGATATTGAGTTTATTTAAAACTGAGGGACAGCAGTCAGGGAAGGGCAGGAGGAATGCTGTGAAGTCATTGACGTATTCCCCAGGCTTTGAGCAGTATAGTATTTACATAAAGAGTTGAGTCCCTTCAAAAACACTTGATTTCATGCAATAATTCCTGGTTCATTTGTCCATTGATTCCTTGATTTATTCTTTCAACAAGACTTTATTTTCTGTCTCCCACTCATTGTGGTAGGCCCCATGGATAAGTTAATAAATAAGGCAAGTATCGTTCATCTCCTTTTATAGCTTAACCTGTTAAACATGTTTAAAATGTGGTTTTTTAAAAAAATTTAAGAGTGTGCACTGGGAGCAATACATACATACAGATGAGAGGCCTAAACTATTTAGGGCACTGTGGAGGCCTTACCCCCAAAAGAGCATATCCTCAGGACACCGTGAATTTTTCTGTTAACTAAGAACCCAAAATCTCAGGGACTTATGCCTTATTTTTTATTCACCTAGATGTCTACTGCAGTTTGACAGGAGCTTCTGCTACTAATGGTTACTTAGGGACACAGGCTGATGGAACAGTCATCAACTCCAATGACACCAATTACTAACCGAGAGGGATTAAAAGGGCTCTGAGGATTTGGCACTAACATGCAAATACTCCACCCAAAAGTGGTACACCCTGCTCTGCTCACATCTCACTGGTCAGGATTACTTTTGTGGCCTCACCCAGCTAGGAAATACAATCCTTCCAGGTACTAGGTTATGACCTGTACAAGTACTGACTCCACTGCATCATGAAGGCAGGGTAACAGTGAGCCCCATAAGTTGGAGAGGTGGCCAGGGGCCTCAGGAAAAGAATTCCAGACCAAGGCAAAAACATGTGTGAAGGCCACATAATTTCTTCCTGGAGTGGACCTCTCTTCTGTAGATACAATTAATAATATGTCTACCTCCAGGTTAGACTGTAAATTCCAAAATCCATAGTTCTAGCACAAAGTAGGTGCTCAGCACATGTTTAGAAATGAGGAAAACAAGGTTGTCTCTGGGTTGGATATAATGAACTAGATCAGAAATACTCAAAGTTTCCTTATAGTGCCATAACCACCTCCAGGCCAAAGCAGGTCTTGCTTGAATGTTTTCCTAATCTATGTCTGTCTCACTCCTTCTCTGATAGAGCTAGTCTCTTCTTCCTTCTTTCTCTAACTATAAATTGTACAGGGAACTTCAAAGTACCTGTAACACCTTTTTACCTGTATGTGTTTATCCATTTCATCCTACTAGATGCTGAGGGGAGACTCCTATCTTATTTGGCTTTATACCAATGTATAGATCAGTGCCTGGGACATGGTATTTGTCAATATCTATTGAGAAAGTAAATGCATCTGAAATTGTAAGTATGAAGAGAAGGGTAGTTGGATAGCACTGGAAATACGGGAAAATTTGGTAAGTTAGATACTATCGATAGGAGGCCAATTGACTAAAACACCCTGTTTCAGTGACATGTACATCTCCCAAGAAGGATGCTGCAAGTTATAGTAGCCTGGATTGAATTGGGTTTAAATCATACTCTAACATCATGCTCGTACATGACATGAGAGGCACAACATGCTATCAGCTTACATAAGCATTCTGGTCTCTCCAATAGTGTTTTCTTTGACATTTCTGTTTGCTTAGACACTGTCTGTCACAAGCCAATCCAGCGGTAACCATCCTAATCCAAGGTGGATAACAATAGCATCAACCTCGCATTTGTATGACACTTGAACTTCATAAAATGATTTAATGTCTTTTATCCCACCATCCAGGAAGGCAACTTTGTGATGTCCACCATAAATAGTGATTTGTTGTCATTATCAACCAGAGGAAGAGAAAAAATCATGTGCAGTTTTTCACCTCTCTTTCAGGTTCCATTTTGCAGAGTAGCTGAGATGCTATTCAGTCCTCTCTCCTAGCTCTATTAGCCTCAGTAACTGCCTGAAACAGCAAGACTGCAGACAATATTCGGGCTTATGACCACAGAAATCCAAACAGAATGACAATTTTCATTCATTTGAGGTGAACTGGGTTATTCTAATTTTCAGGAATTGGATATTCTTCTAGGAGACCTGTCCCTGTGGCAGTAGAAGGGGCCTGTTGCTGTCAGCACAGTTGCTCAAGGAATGGCTTGTGAGCTGCAATTTTTTCACACTACTAATGCATTGCCTTCACCAGGGAGCACAGCCGGTTGCTGTGGGATTGCATTAGAGGCTTTGGTGAAAAGCCTGGAGACCTCACTATCAAGGAGGAAGTGAAAGGTGATCAGTGGGACTCTACCAGTTAACTCTTCAGGGAACCTACCACCATTTATGTGTTTACCAGAGATATGCTTCTGATTGTAATGGGACCCCTGACAAATTGAGGATTTTTGCATTGCTGCACCTGAGTGGGACTAATAGAATGTCAGCATCAGCTTTCAATGCCTTTCCTGATGACCCATGCATAATAGCTTCCTGTGCGTGGGCTTCAAGAGTCCGTGACTTACTGTGCAGCTTATAAGTTTGTGGAAATGCTAGTCATTGGAGAATCCTCTACACCCTAAATTTTTATTATAAGCCCTATAGTATTTAATGGTTTAGAGCATTTACCTCCAGTTATACTGCTTGGATTCACATCTCCATTCCTCCACTTTCTAATTGTGAGGCTTCAGATGAATTGCTCTCTTTCAAAGGCTCTGTTTCCTCATCTTTAAAATAGAAATAATAATAATAGCAACTACTTATAGTGAAGATTAATTAAGAAAATGAATGTATAGTGCGCCAGGCATGGCAAATTGTAGCAATTTCTCTTAATTGCCTTTTTATATAGGGCCCAAGGTAGGGTTTCACAAGATCAGAGAAAGATAAATCAGTTGAAATTAGAAAAAGAGAGATTTTAGTAAGTTGTCTCTTACCAAGTGTCAAGTACTGCCCTGGAAGAAAGGGCATGCCTTCAATAAGTATTTATTGAGGACCTAATATATATGAAGCAGTAGGCTTCAGGTAGATAAGTTGTCTGCCACTGGATGTGTTTAAGTACGGGCCAGGCAGCCACTTGGTGAGAGCAGGAGCCAGCACAGGGCATCTTTCACCACAGAAAACCTCATACAGCCTAGTGGGCTATTCTAGGATTGTTTTAATCGGATTACAAGGCTGAATAATCAATTTGTACCCACTTGAGTCAACCCAAAGTTGTGTGTGGGCCACTTCATTCTGATAGATGCCTATTAATAAAGAAGGATAAAAGAGAAGGGGGAGGGAGAACGGCAGGAAAATTACATAATTGCCTTTTCCAAATTGCTTGTAAGTCTTACCTGAAGAAAAATACATCATAATTAAGGCCTCTGGCTTCCATTTATGAAAATGCTAGAACAGCTCAATTGCTTTGCCCCCAGCACTCTTAGAATTTTTTTTGTCATTGGCATTATTATGTTATTGAAAAGTGTTCAACATTATTGTAGGCTCTTTAGGATCACAACGTGCAGGTTGCAGAGGTGCACCTTGAGCTTCTTTTCCTATTTATATTGAAACTAGAAAGGAGAGATAGGTACAGAAAAGAGGTGGGTAGGCAGGGGCATCGTGTAAATATATAAGGTGCAGTCATGTATCCAGCAATGCTTTCATCGAGCCAAACCCTTTCCATCTGACAAGTTCCCAAAGCTCTCCCTGGAGGACACAGAACCTGAGGAATGAGCAGCTGCTTGGCTAAGGAGGTGGCAAGGCAAGCTGACAGCAGGAACAGAGCATGCGGTTAGTGGGTGAGAATGTACCAGGAGAAGGAAACTGGCAAAGGAAGGAGAGACTGAAAAAGGCCCACAAGTTACATTCCCAGAAGGCAGCCCACCCCAGTGAGCATGACACAATAGGCTCCCAGATGTCTCCCTTGTGTTATTCATCTGCCACCACAGTTCTCAATCTTGCATAAGCATGTGAGTCACCTGGAAATCTTGTTAAAATGCAGATACTGATTCAGTAGGTCTAGCGTGGAGCCTGAGATTCTGCATTTCTAACAGGCTCCCAGGTGATGTTAATACTCAGAGTCTGCAGACTGCTCTTTAAGTAGCAATGTACTAGGTCACGGGTGGGCACACTATGGCCTGTGGGTCAAATTTTGCCAGTTGCTTCTTTGGTAAATATGCATAAGATTGGAACACAGCCATGCCAGATTGTTCACATATTGTCTCTGGCTACTTTTGCACTCAGTTGAGTAGTTGCAACAGAGACTTTATAGCTCACAAAGCCTAAAATACATTTAGTGTCTGACCTTCCCTTTAGGATAGAGATCAGAATATTTCTCCTTTTTTGAAGCTAAGAAAAAAAGAAGAAATTGTGTTATGTTGAGCTGAAGGAACTTGTATTATGAATTTCAGTAAATAAGAGGAAAATTCTGGCTTTGACAACAAAAAATAATGATTTCTATAAACATTTAGAGGAGATTAAATCTGTAAATGAATTGAAAGAGAAACATTCCAGAACTCCATGGTTCTAGAGAAACCCTGGATCCTTGCAATCCTTCTACATTCTGTAAGACTGAAAAGAACTAGTAAAATCTTGTGTGATGTCCTATGTTGACTATAAATTATCTTCAGAACCACAAAATTTATAAATTCATCTTCCATCAGTTGAAAATAACATGCTTTTGCTCTTCACCACCTCATTATGGTTTCTTAGCTGCTTAGAGAGTTCTTTTTCTTCGGTGAGGAAACTATAACAGCAATAATTCAACCTTAACTTTGCATGACACAGCATCTTTTCCAAATTACTTTTCACATGCAGTATCACGTTTGATCTTCACATTAAATCCTCCAATATAGGTAAACTAATTACATTTGATGCAAAGAAGCAGTGACACAAAGTCTTCACTCAACAAGCTCACACTCTAATCAAAGAGACAGTAATAGACATAAACATCAACATGGTGTGACAAATGTTCATAGAGGGGTGAATGGGACACAGGTGCAAGTCAGAGGATGACATAGGCTGTGATGGGCTGTCATTTCAGAATTTACCTTACAGGTCTTTAAATTGGGGGAAGAGGTTGTAATGAATGAGAAGATTATCACAGCAAAAATATTAATAAAAATTTGAAGGAAAAAAAGGCAATGGTAGCATTTTACAGAGAATATCATTTTGAGGTAGAAATTCTTGCATGGGAAATTAAAAAATTGAGGTTCAGAATCAATACGGATTAATTAATCACTGAAGGTAGGATGCATACTGAAGACTTCTAACTCTAAACATTATTTTTTCCCCTATGGCTATATTAACTTTTCAAGGATGATTTTTTTCAGGGATGAGGATATCATATGGGTTTATAATGACAGTTATGATAATGATGGTTAACATTCATAGAGTATGTTTTCTATGTCTTCCAAAGGACTAGCACCAATAGATGAATGTACCTTAGAAGATTTCAGAGCAATGTAATTAAAATCTTGCTAATCTTTTGAGCTGTCCAGCAAAAGAATAAGCTATATCAGAAAAATAATGAGCTCTCCCTTTCTTAAAGGAAGTGTCTACATTAAAGCTGAATTCACAAGGGGTTTTACAGAAGAGAATGCTTTGTGTTGGCTGAAAAATCGGAATGAATGTGTCTCCTTCAAATAGAGCCAATGAATTTCCCAAGGCCACACAGTTACAGTAACTCAGCCAGAGCTAGAACCTACATGTCCCAGTTCTCTTTCCTCTACTTCCCTCTTCTATTATGACTATTAATATCAGATGTAAGTGACAGGATGATTAATGAGGAATCCAGCATTGTATTCCAGTAGAATAATGTTCAGTATAGACAATGATGTGTAAATAGCTGTAATTCCCAGTGAAACTTTGTAAAGGACTTAGCCTACATTAAGCAGTTGGGAAATTTCCTCATTCTCACAGTCATTAAGATAACGTTCTCCAGTTACTTTTTTTGTTCTTATTAGAATTGTTCTTGGGCCTTATTTCAGGTACTACCCAAATGGCATACATTATGGTTTGGTCTTATTTGATTGCTACTTTTTAAAAGCATTCAGATACCATCAAGCATAGAGCTTCCTAAGGTACAGTAATTTAGCTAAAGAATATGTGTGAGGAAGCTGAGTATGTATGAAACAAGATAGAGTAAAACCCCAGGGAATTATGTGGCCTTTTGTTTTATAGCTATTGCAATAATTTATGATACCATGAATTCAGTCACATGTTTACTTTATGGAGTGACCTATCAACCCAGTCCTCTTTCCAACATAATTCAAAAAACATTTACTGAACATCTCAACTCTGAGCCTAGTTTCTCACCAGGCACGTGAGTAAATGAAAACTATTCCATAATGATGTTACTGTAATCTCAGGGGGTTTTATTCTCATGAAGATTTACAAGTATGCAACCAACTGCTAGAGAAATAAAGAACCAAAAGAAGTAGAACAGACAATAAGTGCCACAGAAGGGGATTCAATATTGAACAGGAATTTTAACAACATTAATTTTCATGTTTCAGCCACATTACAGGTTGACTAAAATACCCCCGATAATCAATTAATTTATTCTCTCTTGACAGCAATCCATTTGTGCATCCGTTGTTATGCCACATAATCGGCACAAAGGAACCATGTCCCATTCGAGTGAGATTAGCCAGTCTACTGTGGCTACGTTATGATTTTAATCCTTGTTTCCTGTAATGCTTCTATAATGCAAAACCTAATGATTTTTCTCTAACCTGCATGGTCTCCAGAGATAGTGCATCTGATTCGGTCTCTAAAGTAACGTAAGCAGTGTGGTTTGGGGGTCAGCACAGCAGGCTAGAAAGCAATAGAAACAGCTATACAGCCAAAGAAAGTGCTTACATTCTTTTCAAACTGAGTTTAGTTTTTAGTGCCAGAAAAAAAAGTGAAATCAAAGGTACCAGTATTCCTCACCCTTATGCTAAATATAGATTTTCATAAACTAGTCAAACACAGCTCTAAAAGATGGTTTATCTTGAGGTTAATCTCGGATGAGAAATTAATGTTTAATTAATTTTAGTCAAGTCAAGGGGTAGCAGATATGCCTCCTTTATTTTTGTTTAATTGGAATCTAATTACAAAGAGGTCATTCATTCATTCATTTGCTCAGCAAATATTTTTTTAACTACGTGAAGCTGGGTTTTTTAACTAAAGCAAAACTCAATAGAAAGTTCTGTGCTGCATTTATTTTCCTAATTTTAGACATTTGTCTAACTTCCCAACGACATTACCCTTGCCTTGAGTGAACATTTGAGGAAATGTAGATCAAAATTATTTGTCCCCCTTAACCACTTTCTAATTAGCAAAAATGCCAAATCTCTGCCTTTAAAATTCTGAATGGCTTTGGCATAATGAAGCAGCATTATGGGTTAATTTAAGTAATACACTAGAAAACTGTCATCAGCTAACAAATGCACTTGTCTTTAAATTGATCATTTAATCCTCATGATGCCATATTTTTATTTCTTTACTTCTCAAGATCAGTGGTTCTCAACCTTGCCAGTATATTGGAATCACAGAAAGAACTTTAATAGATACTGATGCCTAGTATTCACTCCCATAGAGACTGATTTAACTGGTTTGGGGCCATAGTCTGCTTAGCTACTATAACAAAATACCTTTGGTAACTTATACTACTGGGTAATTTATAAATGATAGAGATTTGTTGCTCACAGTCCTGGAGGCTGTAAAGTCCAAGATCTAGGTACCAGCAGATGCTCTACGCTTCCAAGATGGTATCTCCTAGCTGTGTCCTCACATGGTGGAAGGAACAAGGGAGCTCCCCCTGGAATCCTTTCTGTAAGAGCACTAATCCCATTTATAAGGGTAGAGCTCTCATAACTTAATTGCTTCTCAAAGCCCTCGCCTCTTAATACTACCACAATGGGTATTGGGCTCCAACATATGAATTTGGGGGTGGGGGAACGCCAATATTCAGACCATACCAACAAGGTTTTGTTTACATATCCTAGGTGTTTCAAATGTGCACCCAGGATTAAGAACCACCATTCTAAACTATGAGAACATAAGCATGTGATCATATTCCTCCTTTGCTAACAACCCTTCAACGATGCAACAGTCCTTACAAATGCTGGGGAAAATCCAGAATCCCGAGCACAGTTGTCAGTGCCTTCAGAGGTCCACCTCCTGCTCCTGTCTCTCCCCTTTTTCCAGCCCTCAGCAGTGTGCTTTGCATGCTACAGGTCTTCCCACCTGCCACTCTCAAGTCTGACCCAACCCCAGTCCTTGGGCAAACTGTTCTCTTTGATGAGATGCTTCTCTGTATTTCTTCATCTGAACAGTTTCTACTGATCTTTAGTTTTGGTTGAAGTGTCACTTTCTTACACAGAACATTTCTGTTCCTACCCATGACTCTCATCCCAAAAATGTTTCTCTGCCATATCTAACACTTTACTTGTTTATTACATGGAAACTGTAGGGGTGTTGAGGACAGGAACCTTGTCTGTCTTCTTTACTGCTGTGTCTCCAGTACCTAACATAGTGTATTGTATCTAACAGGAGCCCAGTAACTATGTTATTTAATCAGTCATGATCCAGTCAAGAAAAAGAAACCACACCAGGAATTTGAATGGGGAAAACTTTATAGAAAAAGTTCTTAACTGGTAAAATGTGATTGACTACTAAGTAGACTAAAAAGTACTCACAGCAAATGTTGGGGGCAGTTATACTCCTAAGGTAAAAAAGAATACCCAGAGAAGGAGCTAAAAGTTTGAAAAGCACCAGCTCATACCAATGGCTGAGATTTTTGACCCCACTGGAGAGGGCACAACTGCTACCTGCTGAAGAGCAGAGAACTTCACTGGGTCCTGTGGGCCAGAGCTGGTCTGCAGGAGGTCACATGTTCGGATGTTGGTGACTTTTACTAGGGTGTCATGGGTTGAAGCTGGCCCATAGAAACTCCCCACTTGGGTGCCAATAGATTATAGTTGGTCTGCAGGAAGCTTCCTATTGAGATGCTGGAGACACTCAGTGTCCCTCAGTGGAGACTGAGGGCCACTCACCACTGCCAGATGTGCAGCTGAAGGAGAAAGAGAAAAGCACACAATAAAAGCCTCTTTATTTTTGTTGTTGTTGTTTTTGTTGTTGTTGCTATGTCTGCAGTGTCTCTCTAGGCTCTCTCGCAACAAAACCTAAGACTGAACCAACTCTCAAATGTGAAATGTCATAGGGCCCAGCCCCAAAATCACAAAACAGGGTAAACAGCAGTAGATTTAGAGGTGAGAGATAATCAATTGATATCTAGCACTGTTATCAATGATTGATAGATAGATGATAGATAGGTAGATAGATACATAGACAGATACATAGCTGGATAGATAGATACCAGATAGATAGATATCCCCAGTAAAACAAAGCAAATATTAATCCCTTCACAAAGTAAAAACAAATAGCATATTCAAATGAAAAGATAAAAACTTGATAGTCACTTTCTCCTATATTTTTTTATGTCTTCTTTAACATTATTTTCATTTTAAAGAACCAATTATATTTATGGGATATGATGTGATGTTTGGATATTGGGAAACGAGTAAATCAGGCTAATTAATATATCACCTCACATATTTATCATTTCTTTGTGGTAAAAACATTTAAAATCCACTGGTTTAGTAATTTTGAAATATATAATACATTGTAATTAACTGCATTTTTTAATTTTCTTTTTTCTATTCAGAGCTTGAAGCCCAAACCATATTGATGATAGCCATTTTATCTATCCCTATTAGAGTTGGACTTCTCTCATCATGGTCCTGAGAAGCCATGTAACTGGGATGAAGGCAAATCTTGAATTAGATATTTGGAGCTTTTGCTCAACTGTAAGATAGATATTAAATCCTTTCAATTTTGCTTTTCAGGATATTCTGGTAGCAATGTTACAAGCAGTGAAAAAGCATAAACTAGAGGAAATAAATTAATCAGGATATTGCTTGTCATACTTTCATATCATTAAGAATGTTTTGAGTGCCAAATGAAAGCTTTGATGCAAAAATTAGAGCACAGAATGGCAAGATTCTTTTGATCCTTAATCAGTGCTTATAACTTCTGCAGAACATCAACTGTAGCAAAGAATCATTAGTTTTATGCTATATTTAAACTTCTGCTTTATTTAATAAGCAAATGGTGAAAATAAAATGCACATAGCAGGAAGATGATCTTTAGCTGGTGTCAGGGATTGAAAAAATAAGCATCCATTCTAGCCTATCTCTTCACAAAATCATGCAATTGACTCAGAATGCAGCGGATTTCTGAAAGCAATTACATTTGCTTTAAAACAGCCATGCATTTCTGACAGGTACCATAAATGACACAACCTTTTTAGAAATGTTTCTAAAGAGCAATTAACAATATCCATAAATAAGGAAATAGTCTGATATAAAAGAAAAGCTTTATTCTAAAGATATCTGCCAGGCAATATTGATAACACATTCCCATCCCATGAAAAAAAACTAAATAATAAGCAATAAGAGTACTGTGGAATCATCCCATAAGACATGCATACAGCCAGTAAAAATGAAATGTAATAGACTTTAAAACAACAAAAGGAAATGACTATCTTATAAACATCTTCTGTTAAGTGAAAAAAAGCTGATGAAAATAATGTCTCTTGTATAATCACGATTAAAAAGTGCAAGGGAGAAAACCTGGAAGGCTTTTTTTTTTTTTCTTTTCCATAGGATGATTTTGTAGAAATACAGATACAAGACAAAAAAGGGAAGCAAATTTTGGTAGATTACCAAATTGTCCTCCTAAAAGGTGTTATACCACATATACATATACTTTCCTACTACCCATGCATTTTCCATATTTTTGCATATTCCATAATGTACATAGATAATGTTTATACCAGAGAAAAATAGCTAGTATATTTTGCTTTAAAACTTTCAAGGAGGGAGTGGCCAAGATGGCCAAGTAGAAGAAGCTAGTATGTGGCTGTCACAGAGAGGAATAGAAGGGGCAAGTAAATACAGCACCTTAAACTGAAACATCCAGGTACTTGCATTGGGTTTAATCAAGGAAACAACTGGACCCACAGAGAATGGAGAAAAGCAAGACAGGACAATGGCCCACCTGGGAGCAACATGGAGCCAGGGGATCCTCCCCTGCCCAGGGAATGGTGAGTGAATGTGTGACCCCAGGAAACCACGCTTCTCCCACAGATCTTTGCAACCCTCCACTTAGGAGATCTCCTTGTGGATCCACTCCACCAGGGCCTTCAGTTTTCAGTTTGACAGACAGATCTATGTGTAATCTTGGCAGAGCAGCCACTCAGGCATGCATGGAGACCCTGGAGGCTTAGATACCTGGCCTTTCCAGCAAAAGTAGCTACAGCTCTGGCAAAGTGGGAGGTTAGACTCTTATACATACCTCTAGGAAAGAAGCTGAATCCAGGGTGCTGAGTAGCAACAGCCTGCGGACCCCATTTCCATGGCACCTAACAAGGGAAGACCCACAACCAGCTACCAGCAGTGGCATTGCACCCCTAAGGAGCTCCCAGGGGGAGGGACATCTTTGCTGTTTGGGCACCTTAGCCATTCCAACCTTCAGGCTTTGGAGAGTCTGAGCCCACCTGGGATGGAAGGGATCCCCCAGAACAGCACAACTGCTCTACCAGAACATGGTCAGACTGCTGCTTTAAGTGGGTGCCTGATCCTGTTCCTCCTCACTTGGCTGGACCTCCCAACTGGAGCCTCCAGCCATCCCCACACAAGCTCTCTAGCTGACAGAGATCTGAACCCCTGGGACGGTGCTCCCAGAGGGAGGGGTGGGCTGCCATCTTTGCTGTTTGGGTGACTTAGCCATTCCAGCCTTTGGGCTTCGGAGTGTCTGAGGTGACAGGGAGTTGAAGTGGACCCCCAGCACAGCACAGCTGCTCTACCAAAACGTGGCCAGACTGCTTTTTTAAGTGGGTCCCAATCCCATTCCTCCTCACTGGGTGGGACCTCCCAGGTGGGGTCTCCAGTCACTCCCTAAATGTGCCTTAGAGCCAGCAACAGGTCTGTGCCTCCCTGGAACAAAGCTGAGAAGGAAGGAGCTTTGTCCCAGAGGGAGGGATAGGCTGCCATCTTTGCTGTTTTGCAGCCGTCACTGGTGACACCTCCAGGTTCTGGAAAATCTGAGGTGACTGGGAATTGGAGCGGGCCCCAAGCATACCACAGCAGTCCTACAGAAAAGTGGCCAGACTGTTACATGGGTGCCCATTCCCGTATTTCCTCACCAAGCAGGGCCTCCGGGCTTGGGCCTCCAGCCACCCCCTACCAGAGCTATCAAGCCAGTACCAACTTGGCAACTCCCTGGACAGAGCCTCCAGAGGCAACTGAAAGCCTCTTGGCCACTGCCTCTGCAGTGGAGCTTCTCTTGCCACCCTTGGACAAATGAAGGACCAAAGACCCTAAATGCCTTATCCACACCTCCAACAAGCTGCAGTAGACCCAAGAAAAGGAGTCCAGTCCACCTTCCACGGGTCCCACACCCCTCCGTCAGCTCGTCACCAGACAGGGAACCCCTGGCTTGGGCCCACAGCACAAACCTTCCTTCTTGGTCTCACTGTACTGAGCAATTGCTGACCTGCATTTCTCTGGGGTGAAACTCCCGGGAATCAAGCAAATGAACCCTTGGCTACAACCACTATTAAGATCCCTTTCTGTGTTGCCTCTAAGCTGGGGAAGAAACATAAACCCTGAGATCATTCCAGAGCTGCAGCAGACAGTCCAGGAATGCCAAGTTGTGAACTATAGCCAGCATTAAAGTGGAAAAGGAATCCACACTTTCAGAGCACTGAGAGGGAACACAGCTCCATCTATGAGGAAACATAGGGGAGCCACATAACCAAAGAAGAGTCAACCAACTGACCAATAAGCCTAAGTGTCACCTGCTGGATCATACCCAAAGCTTCAACACCAAAAATACCTCACTAACATACGCCCCTCTGAAACCAGAGACGAGAAGTCAGCTTCAAATAAAGACCCTATACAAAGCCTCAGCCCAGTGAAAACATCCAAAAAAGAAGTCTATTGACTGTACTCAATCTACACTGCAGTTAAAGGAACAACCACATGCAGTGATGAGAAAGAACCAGTGCAAGAACTCTAGTAACTGAAATGGCCAGAGTGTCATATGTCCATCAAATTACTGCACCAGTTCTCCAACAAGAATATTTCAGAATATCATCCATGAACATTTCCCCATCCTTGCTAGAGAAGCCAATAGTCAAATTCAGGAAATACAGAGAACTCCTGCAAGATTCTACACAAGAAGATCATTCCCCAAGACATATCATCATCAGATTTTCCAAAGTCAAAATGAAAGGAGTGTAAAAGGCAGCTGGAGAGAAAGGGGGAGTCACCCACAAAGGAATCTCCATCAGGCTAACAGTGAACCTCTCAGCTGAAATCCTACAGGACAGAAGAGATTGGGAGCCCATATTCAACATTCTCAAAGAAAAAAATCTTCAACCAAGAATTTCATATCCAACCAAACCAAGCTTCCTAAGTGAAGAGATAAGATCCTTTTCAGATAAGCAAATGTTGAGGGACTTCATTACCACCAGACCTGTCTTACAAGAGATCTTGAAAGGAGCACTAAACATACAAAGGAAAGACTGCTACCAGCTAATATGAAAACACACTTAAACACACAGACTAGTGTCACTGCAAAGCAACCACATGAACAAGCCAATGTAGTAACCAGCTAACAGCACAATGACAGGATCAAATCCACACGTATCAAGGTTTGTATTGATATCAAGGTTAGTATTGATATGCATGGATTTGATCCTGTCATTGTGCTATTAGCTGGTTACTAACAGCTAACTGGTAAATGAGCTAAATGCCTTGACAAATGGGCTAAATGTCCCCACTTAAAAGGCACAGAGTGGCAAGTTGGATAAAAAAGCAAGACCCAATGGTATGCTGTCTTCAAGAGGCCCATCTCATATGTAATGACACTCAGGATCAAAATAAAGGGATGGAGAAAAATCTACCAAGCAAATGGAAAACAGAAAAAAGCAAAGGTTGCAATCCTAATTTCAGAAAAAAAAAAAAAAAAACAGATTTAAAACTAACAAGAATCAAAGACAAGGAAGGGCATTCCATAATGGTAAAGGGTTTAATTCAACAAGACCTAACTATCCTAAATATACATTCACCCAACACAGGAGCACCCAGATTCATAAAGCCAGTTCTTAGAGACCTACCAAGAGACATAGAGACATAGACTCCCATGCAATAATAGTGGGAGACTTCAACACTTCAGTGGCAGTATTAGACAGATCATCAAGGCAGAAAACTAACAGATATTGAGGACCTAAACTCAGCACTGGACCAAATGGTCCAATGATATTCTGACAGACCTTTACAGAACTCTCCACCCAAAACAAAACAACAGAATATACATTCTCATTGCCACATGGCACATACTCTAAAATTGACCACATAATTGGATATAAAACAATCCTCAACAAATGTAAAAGAACCAAAATCATATCAAATACACTCTTGGACTACAATAAACATAGTAGTCAACACAATGAAAATCATTCAAAATCATACAATTACATGGAAATTAAACAACATGCTTCTAAATGACTTTTGAGTAAAGAATGAAATTGAGGCAGAAATCAAGAAGTTCTTAGAAAATAATGGAAGCAAAGATAAAACATGCCAGAATCTCTGGGACACAGCTAAGACAGTGTTCAGAGGGAAATTCATAGCACTAAATGCCCACATCAAAAAGTTAGAAAGGGCCGGGCGCGGTGGCTCACACCTGTAATCCCAGCACTTTGGGAGGCCGAGGCGGTCGGATCACGAGGTCAGGAGATCGAGACCATCCCGGCTAAAACGGTGAAACCCCGTCTCTACTAAAAATACAAAAAATTAGCCGGGCATAGTGGCGGGTGCCTGTAGTCCCAGCTACTTGGGAGGCTGAGGCAGGAGAATGGCGTGAACCCGGGAGGCGGAGCTTGCAGTGAGCCGAGATCCCGCCACTGCACTCCAGCCTGGGCGACAGAGCAAGACTCCGTCTCAAAAAAAAAAAAAAAAAAAGTTAGAAAGACCTCAGATTAACAACCTAACTTCACAACTGGAAGAATTAGAAATGCAAAACAAACCAACCCTAAAGCTAGCAGAAGAAAAGAAATAACAAAAATCAGAGCTGAATTTAAGGAAATTGAGACACAAAAAACAATTCAAAAGATCAGTAAGTCCAGGAATTGTTTTTTAGAAAAAATTAATAAAATAGATAGTCCACAAGCTAGACAAATTAAGAAGAGAGAAGATTCAAATAAAAACAAATAGAAATGAAAAAGGGAATGTTACTACTGGCCCCACAGAAATAAAAACAACCATTAGAAATTACTATGAACACCTCTACACAAACAAACTAGAAAACTTAGAAGTGATGGATAAATTTTTGGACACATACACCTTCCAAAGACTGAGCCAGAAAAAAATTGATTCCCTGAACAGACCAATAATGACTCTGAAATTGAATGAGTAATAAATAGCCTATCAACTAAAAAAAGGCCAGGACCTGATGGATTCACAGCCAAACTCTACCAGATATACAAAGAAAGTCTGGTACCATTCCTACAGAAACTATTCCAAAAATAAATAAATAAATAAATAAATAAATGAGGAGGAGGGACTTCTCCCCAATTCATTCTATGAGGCCATCATGATATTAACACCAAAACCTGGCAGAGACAACACACAAGAAAACGTTAGACCAATATCCTTGAGAAACATTGATGCAAAAATCCTCAACTAAAGACTTGCAAACCAAATCCAGCAACACATCAAAAAGCTAATCCACCATGATCAAGTAGCCTTCATCCCCAGGATGCAAGGTTGTCTCAACATACGAAAATCAGTAAATGTGATTCATCACATAAACAGAACTAAAGACAAAAACCACAGGATTTTCTCAATAGATACAGAAAAGGCTTTCCTTTATGTTAAAAACTCTCAGTAAACTAGGTATTGAATGAACATACCTCAAAATAATAAGAGTCATCTATGACAAACCCAAAGCCAACATTATACTGAGTGGGCAAAACCTGGAAGCATTCCCTTGAAAACCAGCAAGACAAGGATACCCTCTCTCACCACTTCTATTCAACATAATATTGGAAGTCCTAACAAGAGCAATCAGGCAAGAGAATGAAATAAAGAATCTCCAAGTAGGAAGACAGGAAGTCAAACTATCTCTGTTTGCAGACATGATTCAATATCTGAAAAGCCCGATAGTCTTAGCTCAAAAGCTTCTTCAGCTGATAAACAACTACAGTAAAGTTGCAGGATACAAAATCAATGTACAAAAGTTACTAGCATTCCTATACACCAACAACAACCAACCAGAGAGCCAAATCAGAAAGGCAATCCATTCACAATTGCCACACACACAAAAATAAAATACCTAGGAATATAGCTAACCAGAGAGTTGAAAGAGCTCTACAATGAGAATTACAAAACACTACTCAAAGAAATCAGAGAAGACACAAATAGAAAAATATCCCATGCTCATGGAAAGGAAGAATCAATATCATTAAAATGGCTATACTGCCCAAAACAATTTACAGATTCAATGCTATTTCTATCAAACTACCAATGACATTCTCATAGAACTAGAAAAATTTATTTTAAAATTTATATGGCACCAAAAAAGAGCCAGAATAACCAAGGCAATTCTAAGAAAAAAGTAAAAGGCTGGAGGAATCATGTTGCCTGACTTCAATCTACACTATGAGGCTGCAGTGACTAAAACAGCATGGTACTTGTACAAAAACAGGCACATAGACCAATGGAACAGAATAGAGAGCCCAGAAATAAGGCTGCACATCTATGAACATCTGATCTTTGACAAAGCTGACAAAAACAAGCAATGGGGAAAAGACTCCCTATTCAATAAATGGTGCTGGGATAACTGCCTGGCCATATGCAGAAAATTGAAGCTGGACCCCTTCCTTACATCATATACAAAAATCAACTCAAGATGAATTAAAGGCTGAAATATGAAACCCAAAACTATAAAAACCCTAGAAGACAACCTAGGCAATACCATCCTGGACCTAAGGAATGAACAAAGATTTCATGATGAAGATATCAACAGCAATCATAACAAAAGCAAAAATTGACAAATGGGATCTAATGAAACTTTAGAGCTTCTGCACAGCAAAAGAAACTATCATCAGAATAAACAGATAACCTACAGACTGGGAGAACATTATTGCAAGCTATGCATCTGACAAAAGTCTAATATCCAGCATTTATAAGGAACTTAAACAAATTTACAAGAGAAAAATGAACATTTAACCCCATCAAAAACGGGCAAAGGACATAAACAGACACTTCTCAAAAGAAGGCATACAGAGAGCCACACTAGCATATGGAAAAAAGCTCAACATCACTGATTACTAGAGAAATGCAAATCAAAACTGTAACGAGATACCTTCTCACACCAGTCAGAGAATGGCTATTAAAAAGTCAAAAACTAACAGATGCTGGTGAAGTTATAGAGAAAAGGGAACCCCTTATACATTGTTGGTGGAAGTGTAATTTAGTTCAACCATTGTGGAAACCAGTATGGTGATTCCTCAAAGAGCAAAAAGCAGAACTACCATTCTACCCAGCAATCCCGTTACTGGTTATATACCCAGAGGACTATAAAGCATTCTACCATAAAGACACATGCATGTGAATGTTCATTGCAGCACTGTTCACAACAGCAAAGACATGGAGTCAACCTCAATGCCTATCAATGACAGACTGGATAAAGAAAATGTGGTATATATATATACCATGGAATATCATGCAGCCATAAAAAAAGAATGAGATCATGTCTTTTGCAGGAACATGGATGGAGCTGGAAGTTATCATCCTTAGCAAACTAATGCAAGAACAGAAAACCAAATACTACATGTTCTCACTTGTAAGTGGGAGCTAAATGGTAAGAACTTACCAGAACAAAGGAAAAAACAACAGACATTGGGGTCTACTAGATGGGAGAGGGTGGGAGGAGGGAGAAGAGCAGGAAGAACTCTTTCAAAGTCCAGTTCTAGAGGTAGTACCAATACTTTGATAAAACAAATAAAGATAATAAATTTGTCTACCTCTTTTATAACTACCATATTTCCCAAGAGTAAAAGATCATATCTAAAGTATAAAGCTGTGTTTAATCCATTCAATCACTATATTTAGTTAAGCAAATATATGCACGAATTGCTAAATAAAACACTGGAGAGGGACACAAAAATAAATCAGAACTGGATTCTACCCTTAAATAACTCACAGTCCCATATACATGAATAACCATGAAACTAGATAAAGAGAAAGACGTGCCACCAAGGAGGGAATGAACCTACAGGATGTTCACTATAATTTGAGAAGAGTACACATAGATAGCGGGCAGTAGCCATTTTGATAGGACCCTAGGAAATCTCTTACTAGAAATGCAAAGAAAATCATGGCAGAGCCTGAAGGGTGGTAGTTTTAGGTTTTTGTCTTCATTTTTGAAAATGATAATCCTCCTCTGGTGACACTTAAGTTCGGGAATATTTTCTATTGATCACCTTTCATTTATGGGATTACATTTACTGTGTAACTATCAAGTTCCAGATATGATACCTGATGTTAGCATCACAGGGAAAACTTTAGACAAAGTAAATTTAACACAGTTTATTTGAACAAAGAATGATTTATGAATCAGGCAGCACTGAAAACTAGAAGAGGTTCAGAGAGCTCCTTGCCAGCAGCATAGGCAGCAGGCTTTCATTGGGTGAGCACGGAAGCAAAGTAAATAAACAACTTGACTGGCTACAGCCAGATGTTTGCCTTACTTGGGCATGGTTCAATGGTAGATCCCTAGTTATGTAACCAATCAGCTAATTGACTTTCTGTGATTGACTGAAACTCAATTCAAAATTAGTCAATTACAAAGAATACATAAAGTTTTAGTTTGCTTGCATAAAGATGCCACATACAGAAACAACTCCAGGCTAATGGCCTTCTGCTTATTTTGCTTTTTTTTTTTTTTTTTTTTTTTGAGATGGAGCCTTGCTCTGTCGCCCAGGCTGGAGTGCAGTGACATGATCTTGACTCACTGCAAACTCTGCCTCCTGTATTCAAGTGATTCTCCTGTCTCAGACTCCCAAGTAGCTGGGATTATAGGCGTGCACCACCATGCCTGGTTAATTTTCGTATATTTTTAGTAGAGACCGGGTTTTGCCATGTTAGCCAGGCTGGTCTCAAACTCCTGACCTCAGGTGATCTGCCCACCTGGACCTCCCAAAGTGCTGGGATTACAGGTGGGAGCCGCTGTACCCAGCCTATTTTGCTTTAAAAGTAGAAATATGCACATGAAATAAAAAGATTTAAAAAACAATGTTTCTAAACTCAAGGTGCTTACGCTAACACTCTAATAAAAGAAACAGCCAAATAATCCGAAATAAAAATTCAGTTTGAGTTAAGTATGTTGGAGTAGAACTGAATCATATGGCAGGTGTGTGTTTAACTTTTTAAGAAACTTTCCAACTGTTTTATAGTAAATGTGTAGTGATATCTCATTTTGATTTTAGTTTTCCCTATTGACCATGGATAGTTCCCTATTGGGCAACTTTTCATGTGCTTATTTGTTATCCTTATATCTTCTTTTGTGAAGTGTCTGTTCAAATCTTTTTCCCATTTTTTACTGGGTTGTTTGCTTTCCTCTTATTAAGCTATGAGCATCTCTTAATATATTCTGGATACAAGTTCTTTTTCAGATACAGACTTGGCAATTATTTTCTCATCTATGACTTGTCTTTTCATTCTCATAACTTGTACATGAATGTTCACAGCAGCTTTATTTATAAAGCTGAAAACTGGAAACAATAAGAATGATCAATACAAATGTCCATTAACAATACAAATATCTACTCCACTCACTCCTTCTTCTGCTTCCTGTCCAAAACTTGGTGTTCCTCCTGTGACCCTGTGGCAAGCCATACCTTTCATTTCTAGGAACTATGAGTAACATTAAACTTTTTTTCCCAATGACATTAATCTTTCCATGATGTCACTCAGTCACTTCTATATATACATAAACAAATTATGCACATCCATACAATGGGATGCTACTCAGCAATAAAAAGGAATGAGCAACTGATACATGTAACAATATAGACAAATATCAAAATAATTATGCTGCGTGAAAGAAGCCAAATAAAAAAAAATAGTGAATAAGTTTCGGTTATATGAAACTCTTGAAAATTCAAACATGTCTATAGTGACAGAAAGCAGATGAGTGGTTTGAGGAAGCCAAGGTTGGATGGGATCAGGGAAGGACTGTCAAGAGGGATTACAAAGAGCATAAGGAAACTTTAGGGGAGATAGATATGTTCATTATCATGATTGTTAATGGTTTTACAGGTGTATTCACAAGTCAACATATCAGATTGTCCAATTGAAATATGTATGTCAGTTACACCTCAATAACTGTTAAAATTCAATTTGAGAAATGTGACAATATAGATAATTACAGGTTGCTGTAGAAGCTCAGAGGAAGAGCATCTACTCTTGACTCATGAGTCAGGGGAGAGTTCCCAAAAGAAGTGGCACCCAAGGTGAGACTTGATGAAAAAGGCAGGATAGGAAAGATGTACATGTCACTCTCTCCCATCCTAAGTACCAACAGACCTCTTCATTACTGATAGCATTCTCTCCCCTTGAACCTACAGGTCACCTTGTTCTGTGTTTTCTTAGATTTCATATTTGTTTACTTGGCATTCATTCATCACAGGGCCAATTGTATTAGCTATATTTTCTTATTTTCTGTATTCTTGATGCTCTGACATTTGGGAGCCTTACAAACCCCTGGGAGAGACTGCCACTCCTACAGATGGCTATATCCTAAAGAGCCTAAGACTACTTGCCTAAGAGCATGCCTTTTATATACAAACCCAGTTATCCTGCGTTGCTACCCCCAACTACCTCCTTATCTAACTCTCATACACTAAGCCAATATTTCCCTTACCTAAATCATTCAAGCACCAGACAATGAGAGAGACTACTCCAGTAGCTCAAAGGCCCTAGAATTATTCATACTAACTAATTCTAAATTGTTTACCCTGCCTTGCCTCCCTTTCCTGAGAAAAACCCAGTAAAGGCCATGGTCTAAGCACTCCTGTTTCTGCTTCCTGACCGAAACTTGGTGTTTCTCCTGTGGTGAGCTGCACCTTTCATTTCTAGGAACTGTGAGTAACATTAATTTTTTTTTCAATGGCATCAACCTTTCCTTGCTGTCACTCAGTCACCCTTATAAATTAAGACCCAGACACAAAACACACCTGAGAGTCATTCTCAACATTGTATTCTAAGCAGGAGATACTAATCAAATAGTATTAAGATGAGAGTTGAAATTTACTTGCCATCTCTGAAATAGGAATTATTCGGTTACAGAAATGATCCAAGGATTTTAGGATACTCTGTTTCCAATTCTGGTTCCCACGTGTTCCATCATGAAATGGAAACTGATAACTAAAAGATTGCAATCATTCCTAAGGTGTCCTCTAAACAGAAAGCATCTTATCAGGATGGATTTCCTAAAAGGGCCTAAGGTGGGAATTCTCATGCAAGTGATTGATTAGGGAGAGTGCCCTCAGGATACAGGGAGCAGGGAAGCAGGGGAGGGTAGGGGAGAGCAACTGGGCAAAGATGCCATATCAGCTGGAGCCTTTGTTTAATCTGACCCCACTGGGAAACTGGAAGAAAAATCACACAACAAAGTTCCTCTCACTTTTGCATCCAGGGTTCATCAGTCATTGGCTGTGGGCTGTGGAGTGTGGCAGGGGTATTGAAGGGCAGTAACTGTCCTAGCAAGGTGGAAGAAACGAGAAGGGGAGCTGTGGGCTATTAGTAGCCAACACTCAAGGCACCTGGGGGATGAGAACCAGCCTGGAAAGGGGGATCTGGCCTGGACGGCAGGGCTTTGACCACAATAACTTCCCCTTTTCCCCTTTTCCCCTTTCTTCTTCTAATATTCTGATCTTAGGGTTTAGAACAATGATTCTATACTTAAATTTCTACAGGAAGAGGAATGCAAATGAATAAGATAGATGTATGTATAGAAAATTATTTCTCTACTTTAAGGGGAAACAAACAAATGCAATAATAATACCCAAATGTGACCTTGGTATCAGACAGAGACTGGCTCACTGGGGAGCAAACTCAGCTCTGGCCTGTGTTTTCATGCAGGAATATGAATCCAGCATTGGTAGGTCTTCCAAATGTTGAAGAAAAGCCAACAATCTTAATGTGAGAGCTATTAATTTCTGACTGTATTGCCCAACTAAAAACAATCATTTTATAAACATCGTTCATGAGTTGACCTATGGGTATCAATATGTAATCTCTACTTTAGGAAAGCAATAAACATATAGTTACTCCACACAAAAACTTTCCCACATTTTTAGAGTCCAAAATTTATAAGTAAACAGTGACAGACAGGCATCCTTATTATACCACTGTGTTACAGAAATCTAAAAATCAAAGTGATATGGAAAATACAATAAAGATAAAATATTAGGAAAAGAAAAGACCCAAAGCATAAAAGAAATTATGTGCTTACCCAAAAGAAATTCATAGAGCCATGCAACGTAACTTTGCAGTGGAATATATGAACTCTTTGAAAATCTGATTAAAACCGTAGACCCTTTTTTCAGAAACATGTGTTTATTAGTCCATTCTCGAACTGCTATAAAAATACTACTTGAGACTGGATAATTTATAAAGAAAGGAGGTTTAATTGACTCACAGTTCTGCATGGCTAGAGAGGCTTTAGGAAACTTACAATCATGGAGGAAGGCAAAGGGGAAACAAGGCACATCTTACATGGCAGCAGGAGAGAGAGAGAGAAAGAGAAGGGAGGAACTGACAAACACTTTTAAACCATCAGATCTCATGAGAACTCACTCACTATCACAAGAAGAGCATGGGAGAAATGTCCCCATAATCCAATCACCTCCCACCAGGTCCCTCCCTTGACATGTGGGGATTAAAATTTGAGATGAGATTTGGGTGGGGACACAGAGCCGAACCACATCGATGTGCATAGTATATGGAAGTGCACACATACAAATTTACATGCCATTCCTGAGGATTTGTGGACCCTTGAAGCCCATGATGGACACCAGCTTAAGAGCTCTTGCCATGGCCCAGAGGAACAAGACAGAGCAGACAAGGTACTGTAAAGATGCATCACCCATAGAAAAGGAACTACATTTTTTTTCTCTTTCCTTCATTAAGAAGGGTACGAATAGCTGGTTTCAAAAAGCCTCCAGGAATCTAAGCACCTCTGAGAACATGTCACAAAAGGTGAAGATACTGTGGATGATGCTCTCAGGTAACATCACCTGGGGAAGATGACTCCAAAGAGGCCCAAAATTTTCAATCTCACAAGTAAAATGCTTCATGGAATTTAGTGGCATGGAGTATGCAGTTTCCTTATGAAATGATTGATTTGATGTTTATTTCCAAAAGTTAAGTCATTTCAAATAAATTCTTTATTAAGATATACCACTAGGAGTGAGGAAAAAAGAAACTAGGCCAGCCCCAGCTGTGGCTGTATTATGAATTGCCTATAGCAGGGGCCGGAGACACTGGTGCAGCACTGAGATGTTATGTGGCCACCTGCAAGAGTCACTAATCAATAGATAACAAAAAGTGCCACTATGCCTGATTTTACAATCTAGAGCTTATGCACACCTCCCCTGGAGGGGAGCAGCCAAGTACATCCTGATACAAACCCTTCCACTCATGGGCCATGACTCTCATTATGTTGATTTTTCTCCACCTCGATTTTCCACTCGTAAAATGCAGCTATAGTGACCATTGAACAACAAATATTGAATGCAAGGCACAGAACCTTGGAATACATGAGTTGCCTTCCTTCCATGGCAAGGAATGTGCCAACATTTCGTTGAATCTACTGGGAAAATAATGGTGTTACCTGGCTATTCTACAAATGGACTTCTGCAGGTGAGGCTAGATGAAGTATCCACTTGGTTCAGGTTATATCAGTCCACTCCTTTACCTTAAAAATGTATAAAATAAAGCCCTCCTTTTTTATAGAAAAGCAAAGAATCTTCATCACTATTTGTGTATCCTCATTGAGACCCCAAAGTGTAGATTTCCTTGGGCTCTATATTTGCAGAAGCAATTCTAAACTCTGTCAACAACAGCCTTACTAACCTAGATGGTGTTAATTTGCACAGTTCTCTACTTAGTATCAGTGTTTTCTTTGCATTAAGCAGGAGATGGTTCCTTATTCCAAACCTTACCACCGACCCCCCCCCAGAAGACACACATTCTACCAGCAACAACCTGTGTGGTATTGTAGATCAGCTCATGGAGATAAATTGAAATCCCCCAGGAGGTAAAATAATGTAATTTAAAGAAGCCCACATCCCACACATCTGCCTATATCCAAAGGGCCAAGACCATTAAGGAACAATGCAATTCACATGGTGTTTCAATATTGCTGTGCTTCTAGATTGCTTCCCAGTAGATACAATGCCTGACAGTCACCTGGAATTGATTACCCTGCCTTGTCAAGCAGCTTCTATTGTTTTTATTTGTAATGAAACTGGGAACTCAATTCTCAGCAACCTCTCAGGGTCTCTTAGAGGCTATTTCATAAAATTAAAGTTTTTCTCCTACAAAAACTTTTTCTTCCAAAGTATACTACAAGGGTGTGAATCAAACCCAGCTTAGTAATTGACTGGGAGGCATTAGGCTACATACATTCTGACTGTTTAATGAGATGGTGAAGGTAAAATCGCACTTCCTAAGCATTTATTATGTACAAGTCCCTGTTCAAGGGGCTTTATACGATCTTGTCCATTTTTATTCTCACAACCAACTTCAGAAAAAGGTGCTCCTACCAAGATCTTGCACCACAACAAAAACTCAGCATTGACCTAGTTAGAAAAACAAAACTTTAAGGCAAGTTTAAACCTTTGTTCTGCCTCTTATAAGCTATGCAACCTAAGGCTGAGAGTCAGTTTCCTCATGCCTAATATGGAAAAATGCAACGTCCATGTAGCAGGATTAGTTTAGCTAATGAGTGAAGAAGCATTTGGCACATTATCGGGCACCAAAAGGCAGTTCCTTTCTGAATGATCTCTCTCCCTCAAGCTCGTGCTGTGCGTGTGTGTGTTTGTACTACGTGTGAGTTTGAAACCATTGGGTAAAAAATTCTCATGCGTGATTCATCTAAAAACATAAGACCCTCATCAGACGCTTCTTCGGGCTATTTTTCATTCTCTGCCTCCACTTAACAACACACGCGCCTCTTCTTCTTTTCAGTATTCTTCCCTTGCCCTCACTGGCCCTACCCCTAACCCACACCCACCACCTTCTCTGCTCTTCTACATATTTGCCTCACAAAATGCTACCTCCTTCAGGTCAGCCAATCCAATTCCCCCAGTAGGGAACTCTTTGTCTTCAAAACATCTTTGTGACCTCCAAAGCACAAAAGCCTGAGGGGCCCCCTGGCATCATGGTACCCATATTGGGCCTTGTGGAGAGCTGAAACACTGTTTCGTATACACTTACTGTCAAAACTCCTGGTATGATTTTTGTTTCTCTAAAACCACTTTATTGTATGTGTATGTCCATTTAAAATGAACCCTGTTGATTTGAGACGAAGGTGTCCTATCTACACAGTCCCACCTAGTCTGTTCAAAGACTGTGAAGACAAGACCAGTACCAGTATCCTAAGGGCAGCTGACAATCACACATGTGACTTCTTCTGGTTCTGCTCAATTACTGCAATCACCTTGTTTCTCTAAGTATTGACATGCAATTTTCCATGCCTGTTTTCTTTCTTGGTCTTTGTCTACATATTGGCTGGAAAATCAATGTATGTACTCTACTCTTTGCATCATGAATCTGAGAAAATTGAGGAAACTAACACTTCTGTGGCACAATTCCCTTAAATGCTACAAGGTGCAGTTACAATCAAAGCTCATTGTTTACTACGCCCTTGTTTTTCATTTTTTGCTGAATGCCACCTCAGTAATGTTGGGCAGCATTAGTAGAGTGTTTTCTGTGTGTTAGGCCCTGTACTAAGTCATGGTCACAACCCTGTGAGGCTGATAATGTTATCCTTATTCTACAGGTAAGAAAACTGAGATTAGCCTTGTCAAAAGCAAATATGAATTGAAAAGAAGTGAAATATTTCCTAAGGAACAAATATGTAATCTATTGCAATGGAAATGTCACGGTTTTCAGACTGGATAACCCTTAGCTCGAATCCCAGGCATTCACCAATCTGAGTCCCCAAGGAAAGTTGCTTCATTTCATGAAGCCTCAGTTTTCTCACCTCTAAAATGGGAACAGTAATTCCTACTACACAGGGATAATTGTAGGAGTAAGTAAGCAAATATATAGATAGAGTCTGAACCATAAAATACCTCTGTAAGTGCTTATTACCTTCCTTCCCTTGTGATTGCAATGGGCACTCATAGAGAAAATGGGAAGCTATGTATACAGTCAGACATTTTGGCTAAGTTATTATACAACCCAGCCAGCTGCCCTTTCAGAGTAATGCTCACCTCCATGTGCTAACCAATTTGGAAAATAATATATATTTATTACCCAGACACTCTTTAGGGCCTCTTATAGCTTCATGGAGATCTATCTCAGTTCACAGACCATTGGCCCAAGTAATCATTAAAAGCTAATAAGAGCGTGTTTTTTCAATTTGGTTGTCACACATGAGCACTAAGTCTTTGCACTACAAATCTTCTTGCAACGTTTTTTTTAACTCATTACATATTTTGGCAGTGAATTGTAAGCTTACTTCTATTGTCTTTTTTTGTTTAAGAATGAGAGTGAATCATCTCCAATGACCCATTTCTCCTGCAGTGGTTGTGATTGTCTGTGACAGCCCACTCAGACAACACATGTTCTGTATGTGTGATTCTGGGGCTGAATCTGTATGTACCAGGAAAACTCAAATCCTTGAAAATAATGGCTTAAAATAGGAATGCTGACACCACCTTAACTCAAATAGCACAAATGCAGGGCTGTAATTTTCTATGCTACTTAATCTCCTAGTACAAAAACCTCTGTTGCTCAAGGGAATTCTTCATCCTGTCCAGGGGGGAAGAAATTCTCTCAAGGATGTAGTAAGTTAACAAACCAAATTAGTACACAGTTGGGCTCTTATCATCCACATTAACCTCAGGGCTCTATGGGGCTAATATCTTTAGTTGTGCTGTTTTTGCTTGCTGTCTCCAGACCACTAACCTCATTTTCTCTATGGGGGAATTGAAAGCTCTGCTCTTTGCAAATCTTCCTCTGATTTTTGTTCTCTTTGGTGGAGCAAAGCCTTCAGTTTCCGAGGTCAAATGAGCTAAGCCCCTTCCAAGAAAAGCTTACTTCTGACTGACACCATCAGGGGCTACTCTTTTTAGCAGACCTCTTGCATCAGTATCATTAAATCACTTCGCCATTTGAAAAGCAAGTTTCTTCTGCACGCACAGTTGAAGACCTCAGAAGGAACACACGGAGCAGCAGCACCACCTACTGGTTTTCCCTTAATAGCCAAGTAATGTTTGCAGCAGTGTTGTCTTTGGGTCTCTGCTTTTGCATTAGAGAATGAAGTTGTTTGCTTTGGGATTCTGTTCCCTACATGAGGATCAACAACTGGACCATCTTTAATATACTTTCTTTATAGTACTCTGCCTAATGAGATGCTTTATCTTTAGGGCCTAAATTTTGAGACAGTGTGAAATGGGAAAGGCAAAACTGGAAATATACACAATGTTTTTTGTTGACTCCTGATGGCATATTCTGCATGCCCCCACGGGTATTCCTGTTCAAGTTGATATGCATCATGTTGACTCCCATTTGCTTAGTGAACACCATGGCATATGTCAGCTTCTGCCTCTAGCAGAGGGGGAAGACAATGGCCCAATATGTAATTTTTGTTTGTTGTTGTTGTTTGTTTTTTTTTGTAGTTTTTTGTTTGTTTGTTTGTGTTTGTTTTTGTTTTTGAGACGGAGTCTCGCTCTGTCACCGAGGCTGGAGGGCTGGAGTGCAGTGGCACAGCCTCGGCTCACTGCAACCTCTGCCTCTCGAGTTCAAGCAGTTCTCCTGCCTCAGCCTCCCAAGTATCTCGGATTACTGGTGCCTGCCACCATGCCTGGCTAATTTTTGTATTTTTAGTAGAGATGGGGTTTCACCATGTTGGCCAGGCTGGTCTCAAACTTCTGACCTCAGGTGATCTGCCCACCTCAGCCTCCCAAAGTGCTGGGATTACAGGCGTGAGCCACCACACCCAGCCATATGTGATTTTTACCTGATATAGAAGAGTCTGCTTTCCCTTAAGTTGTAGGAAAGCTGCCTGATAAACATAACATTATGACAAAAATGTCTCAGAATAGCAGTTGCATGTTGTGTTATGGAAAGCTCTGACATTTCCCAAAATGGCATGCCAATAAATGATAATCTTGGAATTCAGTTGCATATCTATCTGAATTCAAACCTTGTGTTCTCAATACCACAAATATACTCTTATGCCTAGTTGGCGCTCTTGAAAATAGGTCCCCTCGTCACAAGAAGAGACACATAAGAAATAATAGTGAAGGATGTTTCAAAAGCCAAACAACTCCCTGAGCCTGTTCCTAGGTAAGACATCTTTATCAATAACGGGGGCAGGGTACAGAAATACACTAAATATCAGGTACAACAAAGGAACTTATAATATGCCTTCACTAGAGAAAAAATTACAATTAATTCCAAAATCTGCCAGAAGCCCCACATACCTCTCAGTGGATTGCATTATAATTCCCATATCCAGAAAAATAAAGAGATGTTCTGCATTTTCAAGGTTTCGAAGTTACTTATCTCTTTAGAAGATTATGTCAAGTATTTCTTGAAGAAGACAATATAAATAAACCCATTTGAAAATCAGAATTGTCCTCACCACTGCATTGTAATAGCTTTTTCAAGGTCACCAGTGACCTCCATCCATACAAATCCAATGATCTGTTCTCTGTCCCCAACAGCTCAGAGAGTAGAAATGATGTCCCACACTTACAAGGGACTACGCAAGGATGAGGCCTCCCCTCTGCTGCCTACTGGGGCAGTGAACTCTCTGTGACTCTAGGTGGACTATGGGATACCTCACTGCATCCTTAACGTCATATTGTATGGCTTTTTATATTATTAAATAATACATATCTAGATGTTAAAATTACAGTAAAGGATCAGTATGAATATAAATATTAGCCACAATCCCATTACTCAGATGACCATTGTTAACATTTTGGTGTATTTCCTGTATGGTGTGTGTGTGTGTGTGTGTGTGTGTGTGTGTGTGTGTGTGTGTGTGTATGTAAGAGAGAAATTTATAATTTTTTAATTTTCTATTTAGAATATCCTTTTCATATGCATATGCATTTTGTACATATAGGTATAGATCTATTCATAAGTATATGCGATATTTGCATTTAGCAAATCAGAAAATGTTTTAATCTTAATAGCTAACTCTATAATTAATGTCAAGGAAAAAAGAAGCCTTGAAAAGCTACTTTGTTAAGTGCTTGGGGTAGGAAATAAACCCTGGCCCCCCTCTCTACCCTCCCACCTCTCCCTACACAATCTAAGAACTGAAGGTTTGCTGGCACTGAGGCTTAGAGGAAAGGAGAAAACTGTAAAACAAAAGAAGGAATTTGTAGCTCCTAAAGCAATTTAGGAGTTAGGCTATGGTGGGCAAAGGTGGGCAGGGAGAAGAAAACGGGAACTCAGTATAAGGGCAGAAAGCTATACAATGCATCAAGACCAACCAAAACTTTCCAGCAATTCTAGTCAACTTGTTGTCACTTGTATGAGTGTACGCGGTAAAACTGGAAGGGGGAGCAGGGTTCCCAGGTAGGACAGGACAGAAGTAGTGTACAAAGAAGCCAGAGCCATAAGGGAAAATAGCCACGAGGTCAGGAAAACAGATACCCCTTGTGGTATCACAGAAATTCAAAGGAGGGCTTCGGACTTCCACCATCTATGGTGTTGGTAGACTGAAGGCAATTTAATTCAAATCTGAAAAGTTACAGGACCCCAACTAATATCTGATTTCACATGTTTAAGATGATGCAGTTTCTGCAGGTTTTCTGTGCTCTTGTCCCCCAGTGGCCAGTGGTTGACTGCCATTTGATACCTGCCTCTGCAAGCCTTCCCAGGAAATTCTAAAAACAGTCTCACTTTGGTCTTCCCTCCTGAGTGGAGAGCTGAAGACTCTGATCGAGGGTAGGGACCTCTGGGGCATTGGGAGAGACTGTGGTTGGCTTGCACAGAGCAGTAAAGTATGAAACAGAAAACTGTTGTTCACTAGAGTCCTCCGAGAGCTAAACTACCTTCAGCCTAGGTTACCAACAGGAGAGACTTTCCAAACTGTGGAAATATTTACTATGTTTTGAGCAGTAAAATAGGTAATTCCTATGTGTAAAACTTGAAATCCAGAATTTTTTTAATCTATCAAAATCTCAAGGAAATTTATTTTCCCAAGTGCTAAATAATATCCAGTTTTCTCTAGCTATTGTGTGTGAGTTTGCACACCTGTGTCAGACAAGTTATTAATATATATAAATTGATGTTAAGGGTCTTTTTAAAATATTTCAAAATGCTAAGAGCTTGAGTTAGGAAGGTGAAATAGAAAAGAAGAGGTGTATATAAAAGTTGTTGGAAATGAAAATAGAACCTTGAGAGTGACCATTTTTAGAATTATGGAAGAATGAGGAACAAAATATGATTTCACCTTTCCCAGCTTGGGAGTTGAGAATGAGGAACAGAAGTAGAGAAGGAGGCTGGTTTGCCACTGGCTTGCATAAAGGCAGATAAGTTTATTTTCCTCTTATTTCTTAAGAAATAAGTTGAGACCTTAGTTGGTCTCAACTAAGGCATGTTGGACCAGTGGAAATGGCCAATAGTCAAATAGAAGTGTGGGATGAAGTTGAGAAGATAAATCAGGGCTACTGCTGTAGGTTTAGGAAGCTTCCACATGAATCAACTGAAGTCGGCAGAGTGGGTGAGACCTCCAAAGAAGAGACTGAAAAGTCAACATACTTCATAACACACCATTTACCTTACTTGAAGAATTAATGCTTTTCAAAAAGGATTGTCAGCAGAAGGCGTGCATAAGTTTTGGGGGGGTTTCCTTTCACTTTATGGGCATGCAGTCTAACTTTAGTTCATGGATTCCTAGAGCACTTGATTCCAGGATGCAGACAATCTGATCAAAATAGTAGAAGGACAAAGAAAGAGATCTTTTAAAGTAGGGCCCTGGGCATGCTTTAGAACTTCTACAGAAAGGAAAAAAAAATTCCTTTAGCAGAAGCTAAAGACATGAGTCGGTGCCCTTGCTTCTGACCCTAACCTAAAGAAAGAAAATGTTTAGAATGCTAGAAGGAAGTCCCTTGTTCTTTAAACAAATGGACTTTCCAGAACACCAGAGTCGGCTCTCTTTGACCAACAAAAAAAGAAGGTAAGCGAAAGCATGGGAAAGATGAAAATGCAGAAGGCCAAACATTATTGGAGGAAGGCTTTAGAGCTGAGTGTCACAAAGGAATCTGAGAATATAAATTCAGCATTTGTGTGGAGTTTATGGGGGCAAAAAGGAGCACATATCTAAAAACAACAGCATGGGCAATGGTGGCTGATTCCACCATTGATTCAATAATAATGTGTATCAGTGTCCTCATAATGAAATATGGCATTTAAAATAAGTTTACGAGTGCCCTACTTGAACTTTTTGTCCTTAAAAAAAAAATTACCCTGCACCCTTGAACTATGTTACCCATCATATTTCTCTAAGTGTGGACTTCCTGAATAAGTATTCCCAGAAGGCTTATTTAAAAAGTAGATTATTGTGCACTACAGAGATCTACTCATTCTACATTTTCAACAAAAACTCAGGAGATCCTTTTGCATATTCAAGGTTCAAAAACATTGTGTGAAAAAAAAAAAAAAAGTTTGGTCTTCCAGAAACTCTGAGTCCCAGGTATTTAAAGGGAAATTCAGTTTTTCCTAGTCTCTCAAACTGGCATAATGAACATTAGCTACTGTACTGAGCCCATAAGAGCAGAGGTTATGTTTTTTAGGCTGAATAGTTATAATTTTAGCTCTAGAAAAATCCTGTAATCCCTCAGTCTGACAGGGTGACCCTGTTGTAGGATAAATCTTGCCAAAGAAATTGCAGAAATAGCTGATATTATAACCATTAAATGCACATATAAACACACACACACACACAGAGACAGAACAAAGACACTATATTTGGAAAGATTCTTAAATGATGGTAGTAGTGGTTGTGTGTTCATTGCTGTTTTCAATAAAGTACAACATTATCATTTTATTTTTGTACCAGCTACTGGAAAAAAGCAAAAACCAGACAATTTGGAGTAAAGGAAATGGAAGAAAAGGAAGGTAAACAGTTAAGTTAAAAATCCATCAGAATTATATATTTTCAGCCCTATCTAGAAAAAACAAAACAAAACACAGTGCAATGAAATCCTCTTACCCTGGTCCTACATACACTAGGTGGGTCTGCCGAAGAATATCTGCTTCTATTCATTTCCAAACATACAAAGATCAGCCCCCTACCCCAACCCCCCCCTACCTTTTTTTTCTTTTACTTAAACCAAGACTTCTTCCAAATAAGGTAGCTTTTCACAAAATTGTTTCCCCTCCTACATCTGTGTTCCTGGTGTCAGAAGCTATAGAGGCTGCTATTTTCCAGAACTGTCATTGTATTCTGTAACAAAGCATCCTTTCCCTTAGCTGAGCTGAACACTAGAGTGCTTTTAAACTAAGTTTTAAAGAATCTAGGCATCTTTTACCTTTAGCTGTCGGGTCTGACTTAAGCAATTTTCCTTCTTCCTCTTGATTGAAGCTCATTTTAAGCTTAAAGAACAGTAACTGTAATCCTAGTTCTCCTTCAAGGATTCTGAAAATGATTAAAACAGCAACACTTAATTCTTTGAGTATTAAGCCATGATATCTTAAGAAATCTGTGGTAGGGAGAATTCTAAAATGGCCTTGAAGATTTCTGCCTACTGGTATATATAACTTCTGTGTGTAATTCTCATCTTGAGTGTGGGCAGAATCTGTGAATTTGATAGAATATCATTATCATGATTAGGTTATATTCTTTGGCAAAGGTGAAGAGATTTTGCAGATGTAAATAAGTTCTCAAATCATTTGACCATAATGAATTAATCAAAATGGAGATCATCTTAGGAAGGCCTGACTTAATCAGGTAAAAGCCTTTAAAAAGAGAGACAGATCCCTTCCTGAAGGGAGAGATTCTCCCACTGGCTTTGAAGAAGTGGCCATGTTGTGAAAGGACCACATGGTAAGTAACTGTGAATGGCCTCTACGTCCTAAGAAAAGCTTCCACCTGACAACAAGAAGGAAAAAGACCTAGTTCTCTAATCACAAGGAACTCAGCTAACGAGCACATGAACTTGAAAGAGGGCCCTGAGTTTCAGAAAGGAACAGACATCATCCTATATCATTTCTTACATTTTATTTCATTTTTAATTAACAAATAATTGTATATGTTTATGGGGTACAACGTGATGTTTTGAATAGTTAATAAAAATGTATTATATATTTCAAATACCTAAAAAGGAGGGTTTTAGATGTTCTCACCAAAAAGAAATGGTAAATATTTGAAGTGATAGGTATGATAATGTGCCTGATTTGATCATTCCATTCAACATCTTGATTGCAGCCTTGGGAGACCCTGAGCAGAGGATCAAGCTAATCTGTGCAAAAATTCTTGACCCACAAAAACCAAGATAATAAATGTGTGATGTTTTAAGCCACTAAGTTTGTGGAAAGTTGTTACGCAAAAATAGAAAGCTAACCTTCACTTTGAGTCTAAAAGTTGCTATCAACAAGAGCAAAGATAAAGGAAGTTCAACTCAGACATTCAGTTTGGTCTGTAAGTTGTTATGAACAAGAGCAAAGATAAAGGAAGTTCAACTTAGACTTTCAGTTCAAGTCTATAAGTTGCTATGAACAAGAGCAAAGGTAAAGGAAGATGTGGCTGAGGAGAGGCTGCCCATATGATGGAGAACATTCTCACTAGTTATCAAGAGACCTCAATTCTGGTCCTAGCTCGCCACTAATTCATTGAATAATATTGGACAAGTCACTTTATTTCCCTGAGTCCTACCCAGTTTGCTCACACATAAAATGAAGGGATTGACCTAGATACACTCCGAGACCCCTCCAGTCTCCGATATTCTCCAAGCCTGTGAAACTATGTCCCCTGTAGCATAAGCCAATCACCTTCCTTCCACACAGCACCAAATGGTAGCTCACCATTAGGTGGCATGAACCCCTAGAAAACAAAATGTCACAAAGGATGACATTGGAAGAGTAGAGAGAATCCTGCTTTCTTTTCTCCCAAGTGTCTCCACAGTGGCATGAAAAGCAATACAGAGATACTTCTGAATCCACATACCCTAGCAAGACTCAGGTCATAAAACTACACTAGACATCAAGACCTCAAAAGGGTCCTTGGTCTCATACAAGACTTTTCTATGTCTCTGTGTACCTCTGTATGAATCAGGAGCAACTGATTACAATCTTCTCCTTATTATCACTGTTATGTCTCAAGTCATATAATAACACCTACCATTAATTGAGCAGCTGATATTAATGTTCTATCTCAGATACTTTATACACATTATGTCTCAGAGAAGATCAATAACTTATTGAAGATTACACAGTTAGGAATTCAGGATGAGAATTTTTACCCAAGTCTACCTCAGGCTGAAGCATGTGTTTTTTCCTCTGCATGACACTTGCACTGGTGTCGCAGTACTTACCCACGTGCCCTATCCACTCAACAAACATCTCATGACCAACCATTCTTATGTCACATTATAGAGTGACCAGCTATCCTAGCTTGCCCAGCACTGAGAGGTTTACCACGATGCCAGACTTGCAGTGCTAAAACTAGGAAAATCCCAGGCAAAATGGGATGAATTGGTTATCCTAACCAACCTGTGAAGAGGTCTGGGTGTGCAAACCTGGAGTGCAGGAGACATATGGAGCTATAAAGTGAGATCCTAAATGCAAAACTTTCTCTGAAAGTCACTTTATTTCACTTCTTGAGCACAATCCCATGCCCTCTATCCTAAGTGTGCCTAAACCCAAATGTGGTCTGTCCATGCAAACTCTTAAAATAACCATGCCTGATACTCTATATTACACTCCCACCTGTCAGCTGGGAATCTGCCAGAACCTGGGTAGCAGGTTTTCCCAGTCATCTGCAGGTCTGCATCATCCAATCTAATACCCTGCCTGAGATAGAGGAGGAATTGAAGCTTAACGATGCATCCTTTAACTAACTTTGCTCTTTGATCCACCTAATACCTAAATCTCTTGAGAACAAATTAAGACTTTATGAAGTCTTGAGTTGTTGTTGCTTTGTTATTGGCCTCTAATTCCAAACCCAGTAAATCTCTTATCAGCCTAATGGCAATATCTCAACTCTGGTACATGGTTCTTGATCTTCTCTTGTAACTTTACAAGTCTACATGCTGCTGACAATACAAATAGGGAAGGCTGTTGACTGAGGGAACACTTAATCTAAAATTTATATTCTGAAGTATGTGAAACCTGATCCTGGTCTCTGTTTCTCACTCAGAGTTGACCACAGGGTTCAAGTGGGCTGGACAATGGGGCCTCCAGCTGTGGTAAACTACAAAACCAGCATCTCCCACTGATCCAGGCCCATGTTGGGTTCCAGGAGCAGCATCTCCAAGCATCTAAATCTCTTGGACACTTTTTATCAGGAGGAAATCTAAACGTTTACAGTGCCAAAACCAAGATACATTATTTGGCCGGAATACTGAGCATCCAGATGGATGCAAACCAAAAACTCTGCCTACCAGATGACCCCCTCTGGGAGTCAAGAGTCTGTTTTGGAGTGGTCTTATGCTGAGATTTAGCCTGTTCAAAATAAAATGAGATGCAGCAGCCATACAGGGCCTTTGCCATGCACTATGGGTGATGGCTGCCTCCTGCATCAACTGACCTTTGCCAAGACTGTCACTTCCTTGTTTTAGCATCCCCAATAAATGCCACCTCTTTTCCTCATGCAAGCACTGAATAAACTGAAAAATAAAACAAAGGAATGACAGATTATGGTTAGATTGAAAGATGTAGCTTAGTGAGCAAGAATACGTATGCCTGAAAGTCAGACATCACATCAGGCAGATTTGCACACTTCTCCCAAGAGAACTGGAGAAGACTTCCTCTTGGCGGAAGAGTGGAGAATTAATATTTTCTGCAGCCTTCCAAAGAGAAGAGGGAAAAAAAGAGCAGGGCTACTTGCACACAGTTTGCTCTTCTTGAATTTGCCAATCGGATAAATCACTCTGATCTTCACTCACATCTTTATGAATGAGGAGGTTGAAGGGTAGGTAGGGGTTAGACTAATGGATTTTCCCCCACTTGAAGAAAACAACATATATGCCTATTAAGTCCAGCTCCAGGCAAGAAGTACTCTTGTTCCGCTAAGACAAGGACACACGAATCAGGATTTTCAGAAAAAAGTGAAGCTCAGTTGAGTGGTGAAAACTGCAAGTGCTCTAGGAAGAGAAGGGAGCAACGGGAAGGGATGATACGAACGGGGCAGGCTTCTGAGACAGGGAGACACCTCTGGCAGAAGGAGAGGAATGAGAATAATTTGGATAGCAAATAAAGGAAAGGACGATATTCCTGAAAAAGGAAAAAGCCAACCAGAATGGAGAAGTGCAGTGTGAAGGAGAGAGTGCACATTTCCGACTCATAGGGGTGAGAATCAGTGGAGTATGTAGTGTTTCCACTTATCAGAGAAGCTAATGGCCTCAAACTGAAAGCAATAGGGAGCCTTAGAGGTTCCTTGGCCAGAAGTAATAGGCTTAAACTGGGGTGAATGCATTTGGGAACCAAAATTACAACTAGTGAAAGCGTTTGGTTAAATGCATAATCAAGCTTTCTATCATACCTAGAGTTTTCATATCTATGCAAACCAAAATTGTGACTCCATTCTCTGTAAAAAACACAAAGTTGTTATGAAAAACACTTGTTACCAGACATTTGTATTTTCCAAGGAAATTAAAATTTCTGGCAAGACGAAGCTTTTAAACTTGCTTTGGTTGGTGGCACAAAGCCACTGTCGGTACATGGTGGGTGCTCTGTGTCCGCCAGAGGTGCCCGTGAGGAAGGTCCCTCTGGCTAAGTGCTAAAAGCAGCTCGGATGAGGAGAGGCAGGAGCAGAGACAGTCATCTGCCACACCTTTGAAGGTGCCCTCTGGGTACTGTGCTCTCAAAGATCCCTCAGGAGATGCTTCAGGGCTGCCCAAAATATCCCAGGCACGATTTACTGGGTCAAAAGTTTAGAGTACATCCTGAGGTTTGAAGCATTATTTAAATTCAACCTTCTGTCATTAGACCAATGAGACCTTTCTCAAACACCCTCTCCCTCTAGCTGAGGAAAAACTGTGAGAGGAAAATTAGTCCTCAGATGTCTTGGTGGCTCTGGTCCTCTGGCAGCCTTTTCCCTCCCCCACAGTGCTTCCTTTCATTAGTGTGGAATCTTCCCACCTTTTCCCCCATTTCTCCCCGTAATAAGCTACCTCAGAGAGGTTCCACTTCACTCTAGCTTAGATGTTGATCAAGAGTCATTTGCTTTTGACACTCTTGAATTTCATCTTATGATGAAAGGCTTTTTCTCCATGAAAAGAATTTGAGCCCCTGGGAAGCTGAGGAGAGAAAGATTTCTGTAAAGAGCTTTCCAGAACCACAGACATTACCTCCAAGGACAATAAGATCCTGACTTCATCCCCAGTCTCCACCTCTCCCTGTCATGCACATGGCTCTGCCCACGCCTGTTCCTCCCAGGCACCAGTCAGGCTGTGTCACCCAGAGGCTGCTCTCTCTTCTGCCCCAGGGAGATGAAAACTGCAGCCCACCAGAGCTGCCAGACTTCCCTGGCCCCTTTCACTTTGATCTCCTCACAGTCATTGTGAATGCCTGAGGATATCTGTGCCCTGAGGGCCTGCAGGGCAGTGCTGAGCAAGGGAGTCTCAGCCCTGCCTGTTGGAAGTGAGATCACAGAACATGGGGGATGAGGAGAATGTGGTGTACCCACAGGTGGAGAACCTCAGGGTCTAGCTTGTCGTTCATTTATTCAATCAACAAATCTGATAGGGTGTCTAAAATACAGTAACTACCTTCAAATATAAATTCCTATTCATTTATTCATCAACAAATTTAGCCAGATGGGGTCTGAAATAAAGTTTTCAAGAGCTTTAGATACCAGAATTTTAATATTGGGAGGGATCTTGGAAGCCATCTGCCCAAATTCTTACAACAGCAATCACCTTTCTAAAATGCCTGACAGGCATTGAAATAGAGGCAGCCCATTTTTTCCATGGACAACACCAGGTCTTAGAAATTACTTTTCTACAGTAAGCCAAAATCTGCCCTGTCAGTGTATTTCTAATGTCTAGACTACAGAGAAACCCCTATGCCCCACAAAAGTTTGTCAAATATGTGCGTGATGGCTTCTTGACTGTCCTTATAGTCAGCAGCAACATCTGTTGGTTCATTCACTCATTCCTTACTAAGAGCTATACTTCCGTGCCCTTCCCATTCCAGTTGCAAGGCTGGAGACATTCTCTGGGGTCTCAGAGTCCCCTGAGAAACACGTGAGCAGATCTGCAGATAATCTCACAGAAGTGGATGCAGGATCATCCCAGTGCACAGAGGGGTTTTTGCTGTCCGTGAGCTGTTTCTGTACTCCTCTCCTTCTGACATTCAGGTCCTTCAGAGTCATAAATGACCAAGAGAGGCAGGGACAAAAATGGCTAAAAGAGGGACAGCAATGCACTGGATCAAATAACAAGGATGCCACTGTCAGACTGACTGGAGATTCTAACAACTTTGGCAGTTACTAGCTGAGTGACCTTGAACAACTTACTGAACCTCTCCAATCTTGACTCATCATGCACGAAATTGGGAAGGTAACGTCTTTCTTATCGATTATTTTAAAATTTTATGAGATATTACCTGTAAAAAGCATTGCACAAATTAAGAGAATAATTATTAGAAGCTATTGTTGTTGTTAGTGCTACACAAGTGTCCAAAGGACAGATTGGACTAAGAAAAAAAAAAAAAAGCTCTGTATTACTTTTTATGGCTTGCTATCGGTCCCTTCTTTCCAGCACAGTCCTGGCCATCTGGATTTAAAGCTGTTCCCTCTGTGCCCCTGCTGGTGAGAAGGGAAAATAAACATCATTCCCTTGGTGTGCTAGGTCTATAACCTGGAGAGAACCCAGTCCCTGCCAGGAATGAATTTGTTTCTCTGCAAGTCAGAGACTTTCTCTGTCTATCCCAGCTGAGCTCTGAGGAGATAGGGGTTCAGACATAAATCAGGGAGTAGCAGGACCAATGTTTCACCTTTTGCTGTTCCAAATCCATATCCCCATTGTGCCATCTGTCCTATTTATAAATGGGATCACATCACAGCCTACCCCACCAGTACCAGTGGAATTCCCTCTACTCACCTTTAGCCATTTATCTCTAGTCCACCAGCCTCTGCTAAACACTAAATTATCAAAGTGATTCTAGAAATTACTCTCTAGAATTGATGCCAGTCACTGAAACATTGGAAAATTTCACATCCAATTGTTTCCCTTCTCCTGAGGTGACACATTCCCTGGGACTTGAGGCTCCCCTGAATTTGAGGCAAGTTACAAAAGGGCCAAAAAAAACCATAAGGAAATCCTGTAGATCCCATGCATCTATCTATCCATCTAGTCACCCCAGCAGGAAGTTGCTATTCTGAATGTCAAGAACTAAGATGAGGTGGTTGCTAGAGGACAGGTCATTGTTGTCTTCAGGACCGACTACTTCTTTCCTCTGGATCTTTCTCTCTCAAATTGTGGAGTTGAGGTGACTGATTCTGTGTCCTTAGCAGGCAGTCATCTCTTATAAGCCAGATTCTCTAATTACATGCTACCAAATGTTTATTTCCCCTTTGTTTCCCTCCAGCCTTCATGAAAACTCATCTCAGTGCTCCAGTCTTAGATGTCACCCAGGAGATTAAGGGAAGGGGCATTTGTACAACAGCACTGACCCAAACCTCTCCTGGCGGTGGCCATAGCCCGAGGAGGGTTTTATCGCCCTCAGGTTTTGTTTAGAAGTGACAGCCCTTCCTTCTGGATTCTTCTCTTCTTCCTTGTCTGTTCTCCAGCTTGTCTAGAACTTTAGTTTGGAAAGAGAGATAACATTTATTTATTTAATACCTTTTGGTTTCTTATGAATCAATTATTTTGGAGAAATTGTTTATCCCAGAGGGAGCACGAAACCCAAGTTTCCCTTTCGTCATCTTGGGAGAAACCCTGAGCCTCCTTTCCCCTTCACCACCTGCCTCTCCATTCTGTTTCTGCCTCAGGTTATGGCCTTTGTATTTCTTGCCTGGTTTCCTGCTAATCCTCCTAACAGCTTTCTCTGACTCTGGCTTTCCTATACCTCTGTCCTAAGGCATCTCAATCCATTGCCTGCCTCATTGAGCTAACTGATACCAGAGTGGTCCACTCTGACTCTCAGATAAAGTCTAAGTGCTTTCTCAGGGCATACAAGGGCTTTTGTGCAAAGCGCCATGAACTGCTCTCATTTCCTGAATGCACACTGCTTTCTCTCACCGACTATCAAAACTGGCTTCCCAGAGCCCGCCACTACACTGTGCTAATAGCCATCTCAGTCCTGCCTTTGCTTAAAAAACCTCCCCTTTGGCTTCCTTTCATTCCCGCAGGTTTTCCAGGGCTCTCATCCTTTTCAGGATTCAATGGCCTCACTCGAGATATGGAAATCCAGACACATATGGTCCATGTTTCCTGGCTCCACATTTCCCACAGAAGGTCCACTCCTCTCGCCTGCATTCACTCTGGCTTCCTGCCTACAGTTGATCTTCATCCCATCTGTGATTTTTTTCTATCAGGAGAACAAATGGAGAGAGGTTAAGAATCGAAAAGAAGAAAGGAAAAAGAGGAGAGATTGATTTTCCTTAAAGAAGACCTGGTCCTATTTCTGAAATGTCTCCTACTTTGAAAACCAGTGTACATCAGCTAGCATCCTAAAGGAACCTCAGTTCTCAGGACCTCAAATCAAGAGAGAGAGTCTACAGGATCATGAGCCAGACTGCCTGGGCCACCGTCTTTCTGCACCATGAGATAGGGACATTTGTTTATCACTTCCAGTTCCATTTGCCCAGTACCTGAGCTGTCAATATTTCAGTCTTTTATGCTCCCAGTAGAGGCCAATGCCTTGGCACACTCACCCCCATTCACCACATTCCCAATTCTCTCTCACTCGTTCTTTTCCCTGGGCCATTTCCTGTCTCTTATGCCTCTATTGTCCTTCATCCTCAGATAATACAGATCTCCACAGTCTCATTCTGTCCAAAACCCTGGCCGAATCATATTCCACTACATTAAACCTCTGCCTATCTTCCCTAAGTCAGAAAACATAACTAGAGATGCCAGTTCCTGCTGGTGGCTGTCAGGCTGGCAGCAAGTTCTGGCCAGAGGCAAGCAACTGCTGGGCCAGGAGGTAGGGACTGGCTTGTCTAAGAACCGTTCTCTGTTCACAAAGCAACACTGTAAGAGCTTCTATTTCTTTTTTCATCAGAATGACTTTATTTTCTGATTTAAATAAAAAAGACAAGAAGAAATGAAAAACAAAGAGGGTGTGGAGAAAGAAATTCTCTTAAAAAGTGAAGGTGTTATAACTAGATAGTCTCAAATTTCCCTTCCTCTTTGTTCCTTGATGGCCACAGTGAAGCATATAAAGGGGAAGGAATCCACTAAAATAAATGTATCCCTCTATTTCTGTTTCTAGCACTGTAAGTGCAGGCTGTGGACAGGTAAGAATGTCTGACACAGGGGACCACGGAAGAGCAGCTCAAAGACATTAGGCCCTGGGCTCTCTAGGTTCTGTGCTGCCTCAAGCATATTAGAAAATACAATCATTGCAACACCACCATTTCTCCCCTCCATGCTTTCCCTCACCCCACACTGAGGGACCTGAGACCCATGACACCCAAATCATAGGTCAACAAAGTCTATTCACATACTTGCTTAAGCAAAGGTGAGCAGTGCTGACCTCCAGCCGCCAGGGCAGCTTCTCTTACCTCCTCTCCTGCCAGTTGTTTCCACTTTTGACAACTCTTCCTGGTTGGACTGGGAACCTGCCATTCTTAGAAAGGTTCATTAAAACCCAGTCCTCTTGTCCCTAAGATGATACATTCTTTTAGTTCAGAGACATATCTGACCATGGCCCTTGACTAACTGGGATAACTAGAATTTGCAAAATCTCCAGAATTTCCACTTACGTCAAATCAGTGACACCTTCAGTTTCAGTGCATTCTGAGGATATTCAAGGTCACATACACTATCATGTCATCAGTCATGACACTATCCCCAGATAAAGCTGCCACTCAGCATACCTGTTATTCTCAGTGTCATCTCCAAGGAAAACAACAATTTTCCTTGCCCGTTGACCTACATTTGGTGTCTTTTTGCTGCAACTGCATTAGAACAGAAATATTTTCTTGGCTTTCTAAGAGATTTTTGTATCTAAATCCCTGTAATTCACCCCAATAACTGACTCCAGCCTCCTGCAAAAGAAAAGAGCAAAAAGTTACTGAACAGAATAAACAAAGTCTCATTTAGGTTGCCCCAGTCTGAAAATAAGAAACACTAAAAGCCTTTATTCACACAATCAATCACCATTCCTCCTTAGCATTGCCCAAAACAAGGGTCTGGTTGCAAAGACATTATACCCAAAAACATTAAAAAGATAAAACACAAAACCACCTACATTTCCATCACTCTCAAAAAGTTTATATTTTCATTTTTCTAATCCTTGCCTATCCTATACAAGAAAATAAATGCAATACAGTTGGATGTAGCCTTGGTATAAAATGAAGAAAACAATACAAAAGGTCAATGAAATGAAAAATTGTTTTTTGAAAAGATAAACAAAATTGACAAATCTTTAGCCAGACTAGTAAAAAAGAAGACTCAACTAAACAAAACCAGAGATGAAAAAGGAGATATTACAATTGATACTGTGAAAATTCAAATGATAATTAATGGCTACTATATGCCAGTAAATTGGAAAATCAAGAAGAAATGGGTAAATTCCTAGACATATAACCTACCAAGATTGAACCGTGAAAAAATCTAAAACCTGAACAGACTAATAACAAGTAATAAGAGTGAAGCTTTAATAAAAATTTTCCAGCAATGCAAAGCCAGAGAGCCAATGGCTTCAATGCTGAATTATACCAGACATCTAAAGAACTAATACCAATCCTACTCAAACACTTCCATAAGATAGAGGAAGAAGGAATATTTCCAAACTCATTCTGTGAGGCCAGTATTACTCTGATACTGAAACCAAAGATACATCTAAAAAAGAAAAGTATAGGGGCCGGGCGCGGTGGCTCACGCCTGTAATCCCAGCACTTTGGGAGGCCGAGGCGGGTGGATCATGAGGTCAGGAGATCGAGACCATCCTGGCTAACAAGGTGAAACCCCGTCTCTACTAAAAACACAAAAAATTAGCCGGGTGCGGTGGCGGGCGCCTGTAGTCCCAGCTACTCGGGAGGCTGAGGCAGGAGAATGGCGTGAACCCAGGAAGCGGAGCTTGCAGTGAGCCGAGATTGCGCCACTGCAGTCCGCAGTCCGGCCTGGGCGACAGAGCGAGACTCCATCTCAAAAAAAAAAAAAAAAAAGAAAAAAAAAGAAAAGTATAGGCCAATAGGCCTGGTGAATATTGATATTAAAATCCTCAACAAAACACTAGCAAATTGAATTCAACAACACATTAAAGAGATAATTAATCATGCCCAAGTGGGATTTATCCCTGGGATGCAAGGATGGTTTAACATATAAGCAAATAAATTAATGTATTACATCATATCAACAGAATGAAGGACAAAAATCATATGATCATTTCAATTTATGCTGAAAAAGCATTTCACAAAATTTAACATCCCTTCATGATAAAAACCCTCAAAAACTGAGTACAGGAGAAATGTACCTCAACATAATAAAAGCCATATATGACAGACCCATAGCTAGTATCCTACTGTATGGGGAAAAGCTGAAAGCCTTTCCCCTAAGATGGAGAACGTGACAAGGATGTCCACTTTCACCACTGTTATTTGACATAGTACTGAAAGTCCTAGGTAGAGCAATCAGACAAGAGAAAGATATAGAGGGCATCCATATTGGAAAGGAAGAAGTCAAATTACCCTTGTTTGCAGATGACACAATCTTATATTTGGAAAAACCCAAGGACTCCACCAAAAAGCTATTAGAACTGATAAACAAATTCAGTAAAGTTGGAGGACACAAAATCAACATGCAAAAATCAGAGCACTTCTGTATGTCAACAGCAAACAATCTTAAAAATAAACCAAAAAAGTAATTCCATTTACAGTAGCTACAAATAAAATAAAATACCTAGAAATTAACTAAAGAAGGAAAGATCTCTACAATAAAAACGATAAAACTTTGATGCAAGAAATTGAAGAAGACAGAAGACAATAAAAAGATAGTCCATGTTCACGGATTAGAAGAATCAATAGTGTTAAAACGTCCATACTACCCAAAGCAATCTACAGATTTAATGCAATTTTAATCAAAATACCAATGACGTTCTTCACAGAAATAGAAAAAAAAAATCCTAAAATTTATATGGAACCACAAAAGACCCAGAATAGCCAAAGCTATCCTGAGCAAAAAGAATAAAACTGGAGGAACCACATTGCGTGACTTTAAATCATACTACAGAACTATAGTAATCAAAACAGCACGGTAGCAGCATAAAAACAGACACATAATCAGTGGAACAGAATGAGAACCCAGAGATAAATCCATACATCCACAGTGAACTCATTTTTGTCAAAGGTGCCAAGAACATACATTGTGTAAAGGACATTCTCTTCAATTAGTGGTGCTGGGAATACTGGATAGCCATAAGCAAAAGAATGAAACTAGTCCACTATCTCTCACCATATACAAAAATCAAATAAAAATGGATTAAAGACTTACATCTAAGACCTAAATCTATGAAACTACAAAAATAAAACATTGGTAAAACTCTCTAGAACATTGGACTAGGCAAAGATTTCTTGAGTAATACCCCACAAGCCCAGATAACCAAGCAAAAATGGACAAATGAGATCACATCAAGTTTAAAGGATTCTGCACAGCAAAGGAAATAATCAATAAAATGAAGAGACAACCTCCGCAATGGGAGAAAATATTTGCAAACTACCCATCTGACAAGAGATTAATGACCAGAGTATATAAGGAATTCAAACAACTCTATAAGAAAAAATATAATAATTTGATTTAAAAACTGGCAAAATATCTGAATAGATATTTCTCAAAAGAAGACATACGAATGGCAAACAAGCATACAAAAAGGTGTTCAACATCATTGATCATCAGAGAAATGCAAATCAAAACTACAAGGAAATATCATCTCACTCCTGTTAAAATGGCTTTTATGCAAAAGTCAGACAATAACAAATGCTGAAAAGGATGTGGAAAAAAGGAAACCCTCATGCACTATTGGTGGAATGTAAATTAATACAGCCACTACGGAGAACAGTTTGCAGGTTCCTCAACAACAACAACAAAAAACTAAAAACAGAGCTATCTTACAATCCAACAATTCCACTCCCAGATATATATCAGAAGTAAGGAAATGACACTAAGTTTTTGAAAAATGAAAAGCTTTTTATTGCAAGCTGGCTAATGAGGAAACAGGTGTCCAGCTCAAATCTGTCTCCCTGTGCTGGCTTTAAGGCAGTAATTTTATTAGAAAGGTTTAGGGGGTGGATTCTGGGATTAGTAGGTGATTGGTTGAAAGAAAGGGGAGGTCTAGAAAGTCCCTAAACATCTGCCATTATTTCTTCATGCCTCCTTATGAGTTCCATGTACAAACTTGGGAAGAGTTAGTATGAAATATGCAGCAGAAATTTGGGCTGTGAAGTTGGCACGCTTGATCTGCACAGACTTCATTTGGCCTTATTGGTTCCAACTTATTTTAGCCAGTTTTGTTATTTTACAAGCAGAGGGAGTTTCAGGGTTTCACCAAGTTGTTTCTGTTTTTTTGTAATCTACCATCCTGCAAGCGCAGGAATTTCTACTACACATTGGTTGCTTTATCTCTTGGGAGTACGATTTCAATTTCACCTTTATTAGCTCACTAAATGGGAGATATTGTCACCATTAGCAAATAAGGAAACCAAAGCATAGAGAGATAAATGAGTTGTCTAAAGGCACGCAAGAGTTAGTGACGGAGCCACATTTTCACTCCGGGCCAGTGGTCCTCCCTTTCCCACAGAGCTGGGTGCATGTACAAGAAATCCATGAACTCCAAAGTAACTGCAGAAATTCTAGAACATAAACTCCAGAGACGAACATAAATATATACGAGTGGAGTCATGGACGGGCGCGGTGGCTCACCCCTGTAATCCCAGCACTTTTGGAGGCCGAGGCGGGTGGATCACGAGGTCAAGAGATCGAGACCATCCTGGCTAACACGGTGAAACCCCGTCTCTACTAAAAATACAAAAAATTAGCCAGGCGTGGTGGCAGGCGCCCGTAGTCCCAGCTACTCGGAGGCTGAGGCAGGAGAACGGCGTGAACCCGGGAGGCGGAGCTTACAGTGAGCGGAGATCGCGCCACTGCACTCCAGCCTGGGCGACTGAGCGAGACTCCATCTCAACAACAGAAAAAAGAATGGGGTCACATCCTTGTTCAATAAATGTTAGTTATTATTATTAGCTTAATACTGATTTACTAAATGAATAAATTCTGATGTCAAAATTAATTCCATCCCAATCATCATAATAGCTACACTTCATTGATTGTTTACCCTGTGTCATGCACCATGGTATATGCTGTAAATGATTTATCTTATTTAATTTCCGCAACGTTTCTCTAAGGTATAATTTACTATCCCCGTTCTACAAATGAGAAAACTGAGGCTCTGAAAGGGGAAAAATTTGACCAAATTTAGACTAACATGTGACAGAACTAGGCTTCAAACCTAGACTCTGCCCCCAAGGTCTGAGCTCTTAATCATTCCATCGTCCTGCCTCGTGTCAATGGAACTCTGTTTATAATCCATCAAACAGAAGAGGTAATGTTGCTTAAAAGAGAGAAAGGGATGGGGTGAACTTCTTCATATAAAGCAATTTCACAATGAAGTTGCTCAGTGGAGGATCTTAAAGGGAGAGAGAGAACAGAGATAGACTTTCAGGACAGTATAGACTTCGGGGAACAGCTGAGGTGTCGCATGTTACTATTGATAAAAGTGCAAAACCTGAGTTTTACTGGGATCCTCTGGTGCACTTCAAAGGCAACGCGAGTTTCTAAAGCTCGCAGCCATGTGGTCAGAGATGGAAAGGAATTTGCCAAATCTGAAAGAAGGAAGCAGGATTATTTCTATAGCATGATGATCCCATAGAAGTCTTCAGATCCAGGTAAAAGGTGAACCCTTAGTCTCAAAGAAACAAAGTATGAGTCCCATTGGCCAGCCAGTTTTAAAAGAGATTGAAAGCAAAGAAGAACAAGTTCCCAGCAAGGTAGCCTGTACAGAGAGATATTTCCCTTCCGGGAAGAAGACAAGAGGGAAAGACTGGAAAAGAGGCAACCTACATTCTCAGTGAGAGAGGGAACAGCTGTACCAGACTCCTAGTCTGCAAGTCAAATATAAATACCTGCCCCCCACCCCCAACAAAAGCTTGAACCAACAGAATGAGAAGAAGATTTGAAAAGGGACAAGATGCAAATTAAATATACAATGCTACTAGTGTACTACTGAAGAGTTTGCTAGAATCACTGGGCTGAGGGAGAAAATGTGACAGCAGTGCCACTATCGCCTGGCAAGAACAGAGACTGGAAAAGCAATATTAGAGAAAGGCCAGAGGGCAATGTCACAGAAGTGCTTCTGACAGGTGTTGTCCTTGGGGAACAGCAGCAGGCCAAAGTGGAAGGAGAAAGTGTTACGGCTGAATGCCACTTGCCCTCCAGCTGAAAAGTCACATCATCACACAAAAGAAGGTTATAGATGAATGAAGTTTAACACAATTGTTCCTCTACCTCAAAAGTGAGCTTAGGCATTTGACTGAAATACTGTACGTCGATATCTACATGCTAAAAAATGTAGAATGCCATGACATTTAAATTTATTAGCTGACAAACATTGTGTTGTGCCATCTGCCACTCTGTACTAAACTTCCTGTAACTAAAGATGCACAAACCCTAGAGAATAAGCATTAGCTAAAATAGATTCATTTTATATAATTGAACATAATTGTCCATGTAATGTTTTAACGTAATATTACTCAACAGCTGTGCAGATAATAGAAGGGTTACTCACCATAGACCATATACTGGCAATGAGATATGAAGACAGAACTCTAACGACCAGTGAACCCACAGCTTCACTGGGATGATGTATGGCTTGCTTCAGAAATTAGTTCAAGTTGAAGGCAGAAACCAAAGTAGAGTGCCACAGAGTGCCAAAAGCAAAGGGGCAGTGTTATCTCCTGACTCTCACTGTAGAGAGGGCATCACCCTTGCATTTCGTCAGTCTTAGCTCACATCGCCATCTGCTCTTCCCAAGGTTGGCTTTTTCTACATGGTCTCTCTTCCTCTTCCATAATTTTTCTAATGTTTTCAGTATTCTTCATTTACAATCACATATTGACTAACCACAAGTGGGCACAGCTTCTCTTGCTTTATGTTCTGTTTGTTAAACAATATGGCAGCTGAGCTCTGGAACCAGAATTCTAAATTTCTAAATAATGGTTATTTGCTCTCTCATTAAACTTTTTCAAGTATCTTCATGTAAGTCCTAAACTGTCCCCATTATATGGGTAGATTTCATTATTCTAGTTTTAGAGATGACAAAACTGAGGCTGAATATTTCAGTCGATCAAGTGCTTACTGAGTTTCTAGAAAGGGCCAAGCTAATGCAAGTCACTTGCCTATAGTGGTACAAATACTTAAGACAGAGCTAAGAAGTAGGATGTAATGCTTTGTTCTATCCATTAGTTCTTTCGGCAGTTCACTGCTAAATGACCTTGCTCAAGCTGTTTAATGTGTCTATAACTCATGTTCAGCATTTTTGAAAGAAGAACCAAAAATCAACTAATTGGAATGTATCTACACATACCACTTTGATCAGATATAAATATTTTTAACATCTAACCAAAATCAGCCTACAAACATCAAGTCCATGTATACTATTTCAGCCCTTGATTCTATTAATTCTATTCAACTCTCCTTTTTAAAGCTTATAAACATTTTTTTTCAAACCTGCTTTGGTATAGTGGCCATTTCAAGTCTGTGGAATAAGATGAGATATATTTTGTTCTGATATATTATGCTAAGAAGTGTCTTACTTGCAGGCAAACTATTGTAAGTTGCCTCAATATTCACCGTATTATACATTTCACATTGTTCTGCCTATATTATTAAAGCTTGGTCTCTTGGAAAATATTATAAGGGAATTTAACTATACATAAATATTGATAGGTGCAATAAAATAAGAACAGCATAAAAGTATTTCAGCACTAAAAGTTAAATGTGTTGGAGCCTAAGGAGAATCCTTTACTCTTTTGGTATTTGCAAATGACTTTAAACTCACATAAGATGATGAAATGATAAAAATGAAAATAACAAAATGCAAAAAAATTATTACAATATATTTCAAAAAGGAGTTAGTGGCTTAGAAAGACCCAAAATGACAAAGAAAAGTATAACATTCTAGAGTTGAAACAAGTCACCACAAGTGCTCAAATACTGTTCTCCACCACAAGGTAATGACATTTTTACTAACATTCAGACAAATATAATAATCTCAAACTATTTTAAGATTGAGAGAAGGTTATGAGAAAGAGTTACCGAAGCCAATATATATCAAACTTGGGGCTGACATTTGGTCTCAAATCCCCAGTGTTTGCAAGAATTTCAGCACAGGTGGTAAGTACAATCACCATATGTTCAAACTGGAGACATCTGCAGAATCAGAACCAAGAGACTGTCAACTTAAATGCATGTTCTTTTGGGGTAGAAAATTAGTTATTTTAAGATATAGTGAGAATATATGATTTAGCTTAATCTCAATTCACTTGAAGATCTGAGGATTAACCCAATCTGTCAAGTAGAGTTCTAATCACTGAGGTTCTTTTCTAAAACCATTCCAAAAAGGATCTGTACAATTTGGATGAGGGATTATGGTTTAAAATATAATTTAATTAAAAAGAGAGGTTTAGTAATCCTTTAATCTCTCTGATCTTCAGTTTCCTTTTTAATGAATTGAGGAAGTGGAAGTTGGGTTATATCTCTATAACAAGTCTACAGTTATCTAAAAACCGTGAGAAGCCAGATAGAACATAATCCTTCTAGGACAGTTTTCACATCCAATTGTAAATGAATACATTGGTTTCCAAGGCAAAATCTCAGCCCCCTTGCCCAATTTGTTACAGGAAACTCTCTGCTACAAGAGCAAGCAGCAAAGCCTGTCAAATTAACTTTCAGAAATGTCCAGTTTTTATTATCACCTCCTGAAATCCACCCTTTATACCGTGCCAGAACAATCCTGGTTGTAGCATACTTTTGGAGGTGGCTGCCCACTCATGACCCTCCTTGTCTTCATTTTACTCTTCCCTCGTCACAGTTGATCCAAGTTGGGTTAATGAGATTCTGTTTTCCTGGAATCTGGAATTAGTATTAATAGTTCCAAGGCATTCTCTGTTGGTTGTTTGATATAAAATCTACAGGTTGGATAGCTACACAAGTGTCCATCTTCTGCTATATGCACAAAGAAGCAAAAACAAACAAACAAATAAATAAATAAATACAAAAACTAAGTCAATCTCCAGAAAGAGAATAGGCAACAGATACCGAGAGAGAGAGAGGGTGACAAAGAGAGAGCGAACAAACCAACACCTTGGTTCCTGATGACTGCCGATTGCAGGAACTTGTTGAGACCCCATGTCCAATAAGATACCTCTATATCCTTATAATATATTCCCTTGGCTAACAAACAGAAACTTCAAGCCCACCACTAGAAATGCAGAGGCAACAGCCTCTTACTTTAAAAAAATATTAGATTTTTTTATTAAAAAATCTTAGATGTTTTTTAAACAGCTCCCATAATTGTGAAATATCTAATCCTTATAATAAATGTTTATTCTGTATAACTTACAGTTATTCTGCTTCCCTGAGAAACAACAACTGATATAGGAAAGATCTGCAATTAGGACCACCTGTTTCCTGTACTTTCTAGCCATGTAACCTCAGAAAAGTCACTTCTCTAAGCTTCAGTTTCATCATCTACAAAATGGGAATAATCATTCCCATCTTATAGAGGTCTTTGAAGGTTAGATATACTGAGGGATGTGTTGAAAGAGAACACACATGTAAAATGCTTAATTTGTAACATTGTAAATACCTTTATCACCATCCCTATCCCTACTATTCAACTAAGCATGTATTATAAATCTATTATTATGTTACAAGTTGCACTTATTAATGAGAAGTTTTAACTGCTGGTCTATTCTTCTAGAAGGTACATTAGAAAATAGAACTTACGTACTTTATCTTAAATCAGAGTCGACTATATACTGGCAAGAAGTGATACAACATCCCAACATAGCATCTTTTTAATGCTTGAATTGTCCTCTTTTTAGAGAGTTAATATCTTGACGGTAATTATGCTATGCTGTGACTTCCAACATATGCTTTATTTTTTTGCTAGTTCTTCCTTAATTTTTCACTTATCGGTACTGCACTGTGACATCTGAACCCAAGGAAGCCAATGCAATAATAACAAAAAGTGCTGCTATGACACTCTTGAGTCTAAAGCAACCTCAGCAAGTGCAGCATTTGGAGAGTTCAGCCAAAGGACAACGCACAACCCAGGAAATGTGCTAATCGGTGGTTAAGACTCCGATGTCTCTACCAGCTGGAGCAGTGGTCTTTAGACATTGCTTCCGAGGGAGTCAATAACATGGGATGTGTTAGTTTTAGTGCAGTGAAGCAGCTTTTGTATAGCCCCTTTTTTAAGGACACATAACTCTGTCATGGCTGCAACTCCACGGACAATGTCCTCTCTTTTTAAGCTCATGAATTTCACTTTCCTAACCTGACAAAACGGTGTGTGTTAGATGACACATGGATGTGGAATTATTACACAGGAACCATCGGAGAGACAAAACTGTCTGCTCTTATTAGATTTGATGACTAGGCAACACACACACTACTGATCTAGAAAAGCTATGAGAAAAAGAAAGCTTTAAATTGGGTTAGGGGACTTGAAGCATAATCTGAGATGCCAGTTGCTTCAAAAATGAAATTGTGCCAATGTCCCCTCCAAGAGAAGAAGGAGGCTAGGTGCCTAAAACGCAGAGACACCCCGTGGCATCATATCTAAAGGCCATGCAGTAAACAGAAATCCAGTGTGAAGAGAAAAGTTCAGAACAGAGTGAAGAGGACAAAAAGAGTGAAGCCTGCACTTCCCTGAGAGGAAGTGCCCCCACCCATGACAAAGCCATCAAGCCACTTCAGACACATTCCAGATAGAGGAACACAGTATGCTGCTGCTGTGAAGACAAGAGGAAAGAAATTGGGAATCTTTTGTATCCCATTTAACAAACATTTCCTGGGAACTTATTAAGTGTCGAGCACTATATTCAGTCTTGTTGGAACCAATATGACTAAGACTTCCATATAGAAATGTGTCTCCAAGGGATCTAAAGTAAGGGTCAAAGTTTTGCCCAAAGAAGGAACTTGAAATCTGTCTTGGCAAGAAGTAAGTTATGATTCTAGAGAGTTGTGCCATGTAATATAAAAGGGCCAATTGATTTGAAAGCAAAAAGGGAATGTTTTATACATACGTCATTTCTATCATAAGAACTCAGTCTGGCCTTTTCAGATTGCTGACTTTAAGCAGACCATGTCCCTAATGATCACTAATGCTGATTGATACTCTGGTTGTGAGTTTGTGTCTCTGCAACTCACGTCAGCCAGTTCACATCACTGATTAAGCTCTCTCTGGGTCTCAACCACGTGGGGCCCCCATGAGCAGTCAGCTTTGTCTGCCTTCCCCCTCAACTTTGCTCCACTGAGACATGGATCCAGGGTTGATCTGTGTGACCTTAAGCGGACTAGAACTGTTTCAGAACACCCTCAGAAAACACTTTTGTATTGCAAGTGCAGATGAAATGGGAACAGAGCAGAGCAGCATGGTTAGGGGCTAAAGCATTCCTCTGCAATCTATGACAAAATCCTTAAGGCTAAATAAACAATCCTTTCCTGCCTCCCAGGTGCAATCTTGAAGGGGATCTGATCCCCTGCAAGGCTTTTCTGTTAAACGTCAACTTAATAAATAAAGTTTACATTTTCATAGTTAAAATACGATCACCGTCCAAACGGTTTTTTAAGAAACAATTGCCTTTCCATCCTAAAGCAATTGTCATCATGAAGTTTATGTACTTCGCTCCACTATGTTACTACATGAAGTTGCATGTGTTTTAACATAGTTGTTATTGTTTTTCATGTATATTTTTATAATCTGGCTTTATTTCACTTGATATTAGATCAGTAGTAATTGATCCATAATCTTAATTTGTAGCTTCTTTTCAAATGCTGCATAACAGTCCCTCATTTTTCTCCATTTAAAGAACCCCAGTTGTCACTAGAAAGAGGATTTATGAGAATATCTTTCTGAATTGATTTGTTTTCTACTATATGTGTCTAGTGTTCTACTGTTAAGTGTTATTTTAGTGTTCTTTGGCAGTATCAGCTCTCTTCCCCCAACTCACCCACATCCCTTCTTCTTTTTCTTTCTTTTAACAATTCACATTATTCTATGGAGAAAGTGACCACCATTGTGAGCATCTGGGACAGCTCAGCTGAAACTTAGACTCAAAACTGTGGAGACTTGTGACTGAAACAGAAAAACTGTTCAACCTTTCATGACGTTGGGAAAATAAACATAGATAACTCTAATATGAAATGTTTGCTTTAGTCCTGGTGTCACAGGGAGCTGATAGATGACATTTTCACTCAAGTGCAGCACTCTACAGTTGGTAGCATACTTTATGGGGACCCAGAAATAATCCTCTCCATGAGGCTTATCATTATTACTTTAAGAGAGAATTAATCTTTCTCCCCTGAGTGTTTTAACTAAACTTTTGTTTTAGCTGTCAAACTTTATTCTACTTGGTTTTACCATTAATTGTTTTGTTTATAGATGTTTCCCCATAGATAATAATAACCTTGAGTGGAGTCATTCATTCATCATAAAAATATGGGCCATCACATAAATGGAGGACATGGAGCCTGGTACAGGGTTGGCAACCAATAAACTTGAAAATGCATTGCCAATAAGCAAATGTTCACTGGTTGCTAACTGTGTACCAGGCACTTGGTTAAGTACTAGAATTAATTCACATTTTTTTCCTCAGAAAAATATAGAATTGATTCCTGTCAAATGCAAACTAACAGAGTCAAGCTTTAAAACCTGGCAGATTTGGTCGGACCTATCTACCTACTACAATGAGAAAACACCTATTTTAATCCTTTCTCTAACTCTGTGTCCATGCCTAATAGAGCCAATAAATTAAGCCCTGTTGGTGAGGTAAAATATCTTGAGCAAAATATAGACTGGGAAAGCACTATTAAACAGCAAGCCATAAAATAACTGTAAACCTGCTTATGAACTACCTTGAAAGTAATTTCAGGCGAGTGGAGAAGGAACCGATTACCAGCAGCAATAGCTGCCAGGATCTTTTACACCAGTTCCTTATAAATGGGAGTCACCTTAGCAATCTTCACCAGCTTCCTACTGAGAAGAAAAGTAACCTGTACATAAAGATTTATAATGTCTACTTAAAGGTGACCTGGGATGGAGTTTGCCACTTTTAACATCCCACTTGTCTAGATCCATATAATCACTATAACACTGAATTCTACCAGCTTATCTTAAATTGCCTGGCAGCCTATATCCAGTAAACGGTCTTTCAATTCTCAAGGCTCGCTCTAGTCAAAATCACGTTGGCCCCTGCCCTTGACTAACAAGAAGGCTTAGAGGGTTTCTAAGACATAGCCCCCACCCCCAGGCCCTATGGATTTAGTTAGTCATTTCAGAGTTTAGATAAAGGTATCTCGATTATATATAAGCCAGTGCAGTGGACCTGATGTCCAATAACCAGACATGATGTTCCTCAGGATAACAGTAAGACTCACCACAAGGCCACCATGTAAGTGACTTCTCTATAGGTGTATGGGTTTTGGCCAAAGTGAGTATCAATGGCTCCTTCTCAGTCTCCTTAAATATAGCCGGGGATAAGGGCAATGTTCTCTGGGGTCATCCATAGCCATCATTTCTAAGATTTCTCTAGGTGGAAAAATCTCCTCCCATATTCAGATGGTTTACAAACATCAGTTGTTTACAGCTAATCCTTCTGTTTCCTCAGGATTCAACAAGATATACTATTCAATTAGACATACAAATGACTGAGTTTTCTTTTTGTTTATAAACATGGTGGAAAAATAAAAATACCTGTTTTGAAATTTATCTAAGATAAATACAATATGATCATGCTGAAATATAAAGTAAAATATTGGGAGTTTATCACCTACTCAACCTTCTGTGTTAAAGCAGACACAGGGCCATTTTCTAAGAAAGATTCTGGTACTGATGTAGGTACTTGAGGCTCACTTTTATTGTTTTTTTTTTTTTTTTTTTTTTTTTTTTGAGACAGAGTCTCACTCTGTTGCCCAGGCTAGAGTGCAGTGTTAGGATCTCGGCTCACTGCAACCTCCACCCCCCGGGTTCAAGCAATTCTTCAGCCTCAGCCTCCTGAGTAGCCGGGATTACAGACATGCACCAACACACCCAGCTAATTTTTGTATTTTTAGTAGAGACGGGGTTTCACCATGTTAGTCAAGCTGGTCTCAAACTCCTGACTTCATGATCTGCCTGCTCTGAGGCTCACTTCTAACCCTCTAGGATGTGAGCACACAATCAGGTGCATTTCTTAGAGTTTCAGCTGCCCCCTTCCCCAGGATCTTGATGTTGTCTTGATTGTCAAAGTACATGGATCTTGGCCAGGCACAGTGGCACATACCTGTAATTTCAGTGCTGTAGGAAGATGAAACAAGAATATAGCTTGAGCTCAGGAGTTCTATGCTGCAAGCTATGATCACTCCCACTGAACTCCAGGCTGGGCAGCAGAGCAAGACTCTGTCTCAAAAAAAAAAAAAAAAAAAAAAAAAAGCAAAAGCACATGGATATCTGACCTGCATGGTAATCACCCTGTCACCCTGTCAAGGTGCTTGGCTGCACTGATGACTTTAAACTCTCTGCTCTTCAACTCTTCCCAAAAGCAGAGTTGCCCAAAATCATGTTTGTGAGAGATCCTAAAGCACATTCATGAATGCATTGCTCCAAGTATTCTAAAATTTGCCCTAAAGTCAGTAGTTCTCATACTAAAATGCACATCAGAGTTGTGTCCAATATAAGTAAATAAAAATTGGGAAGGGAAAATTGAGACTGCCACAACTAATTATGGGCATTGGGTGACTTAAACCTCCAGGGATAACTCCAGGCTACTACAGAATGACACAACCCCAACTGACAGGAATGGCCCTGGACAGGTGAGCAGTAAACACACAAACACATAAACTTCAAAATGCTTTCCCACACCATAACTGGATTTTACAATAACATAAAATTTTGTATGGCAACATACCAAAAGTGTGTTTATCTAATTTTTCTGTCTCATAGTTTACATCTGTAAATCAGAGATAATAAAACTGGTTTCTGTTGAAAATTTAAATATTGAGCAACAAACACAACACTTCTCGCCTATTATGTCTAAGCCTGCCCTGACCACTGATCTCTAGACTAGATTATTATTCGTAATTAAAGCATACTATTATTTTCCTTATCACAATTTGCAGTTAGATATTAATTTGCTTATATATGTGTTTATTATAATATCTACCGTTCTCATTAGATTTTGAGCTCTGTAAGGGCATGTACCATGGGTGTTTGGTTAAAATTATAGACCTAGTGCCTATAATATCCTCAATGATCAGATAACTGGATAAAGAATGAATGAATGAGTTAGGGTTTTAACATTTTACACAAGCATTAAGTAATGGTAACTCCTTTTATTTATTTATTTATTTTTTAAAATTTATTTATTTATTTTAATTATACTTTAAGTTTTAGGGTACATGTGCACATTGTGCAGGTTAGTTACATATGTATACATGTGCCATGCTGGTGCACTGCACCCACTAACTCGTCATCTAGCATTAGGTATATCTCCCAATGCTATCCCTCCCCCCACCCCCACCCCACAACAGTCCCCAGAGTGTGATATTCCCCTTCCTGTGTCCATGTGATCTCATTGTTCAATTCCCACCTATGAGTGAGAATATGCGGTGTTTGGTTTTTTGTTCTTGCGGTAGTTTACTGAGAATGATGTTTTCCAATTTCATCCATGTCCCTACAAAGGACATGAACTCATCATTTTTTATGGCTGCATAGTATTCCATGGTGTATATGTGCCACATTTTCTTAATCCAGTCTATCATTGTTGGACATTTGGGTTGGTTCCAAGTCTTTGCTATTGTGAATAATGCTGCAATAAACATACGTGTGCATGTGTCTTTATAGCAGCAGGATTTATAGTCCTTTGGGTATATACCCAGTAATGGGATGGCTGGGTCAAATGGTATTTCCAGTTCTAGATCCCTGAGGAATCGCCACACTGACTTCCACAATGGTTGAACTAGTTTACAGTCCCACCAACAGTGTAAAAGTGTTCCTATTTCTCCACATCCTCTCCAGCACCTGTTGTTTCTTGACTTTTTAATGATCGCCATTCTAACTGGTTTGAGATGGTATCTCATTGTGGTTTTGATTTGCATTTCTCTGATGGCCAGTGATGATGAGCATTTTTTCATGTGTTTTTTGGCTGCATAAATGTCTTCTTTTGAGAAGTGTCTGTTCATGTCCTTCGCCCACTTTTTGATGGGGTTGTTTGTTTTTTTCTTGTAAATTTGTTGGAGTTCATTGTAGATTCTGGATATTAGCCCTTTGTCAGATGAGTAGGTTGCAAAAACTGTCTCCCATTTTGTAGGTTGCCTGTTCACTCTGATGGTAGTTTCTTTTGCTGTGCAGAAGCTCTTTAGTTTAATTAGATCCCATTTGTCAATTTTGGCTTTTGTTGCCATTGCTTTTGGTGTTTTAGACATGAAGTCCTTGCCCATGCCTATGTCCTGAATGGTAATGCCTAGGTTTTCTTCTAGGGTTTTTATGGTTTTAGGTCTAACGTTTAAGTCTTTAATCCATCTTGAATTGATTTTTGTATAAGGTGTAAGGAAGGGATCCAGTTTCAGCTTTCTACATATGGCTAGCCAGTTTTCCCAGCACCATTTATTAAATAGGGAATCCTTTCCCCATTGCTTGTTTTTCTCAGGTTTGTCAAAGATCAGATAGTTGTAGATATGCGGCGTTATTTCTGAGGGCTCTGCTCTGTTCCATTGATCTATATTTCTGTTTTGGTACCAGTACCATGCTGTTTTGGTGACTGTAGCCTTGTAGTATAGTTTGAAGTCAGGTAGTGTGATGCCTCCAGCTTTGTTCTTTTGGCTTAGGATTGACTTGGAGATGCGGGCTCTTTTTTGGTTCCATATGAACTTTAAAGTAGTTTTTTCCAATTCTGTGAAGAAAGGCATTGGTAGCTTGATGGGGATGGCATTGAATCTGTAAATTACCTTGGGCAGTATGGCCATTTTTACGATATTGATTCTTCCTACCCATGAGCATGGAATGTTCTTCCATTTGTTTGTATCCTCTTTTATTTCCTTGAGCAGTGGTTTGTAGTTCTCCTTGAAGAGGTCCTTCACATCCCTTGTAAGTTGGATTCCTAGGTATTTTATTCTCTTTGAAGCAATTGTGAATGGGAGTTCACTCATTATTTGGCTCTCTGTTTGTCTGTTGCTGGTGTATAAGAATGCTTGTGATTTTTGCACATTGATTTTGTATCCTGAGACTTTGCTGAAGTTGCTTATCAGCTTAAGGAGATTTTGGGCTGAGACAATGGGGTTTTCTAAATATACAATCATGTCGTCTGCAAACAGGGACAATTTGACTTCCTCTTTTCCTAACTGAATACCCTTTATTTCCTTCTCCTGCCTAATAGCCCTGGCCAGAACTTCCAACACTATGTTGAATAGGAGTGGTGAGAGAGGGCATCCCTGTCTTGTGCCAGTTTTCAAAGGGAATGCTTCCAGTTTTTGCCTATTCAGTATGATATTGGCTGTGGGTTTGTCATAGATAGCTCTTATTATTTTGAAATATGTCCCATCAATACCTAATTTATTGAGAGTTTTTAGCATGAAGGGTTGTTGAATTTTGTCAAAGGCTTTTTCTGCATCTATTGAGATAATCATGTGGTTTTTGTCTTTGGCTCTGTTTATATGCTGGATTACATTTATTGATTTGCGTATATTGAACCAGCCTTGCATCCCAGGGATGAAGCCCACTTGATCATGGTGGATAAGCTTTTTGATGTGCTGCTGGATTCGTTTTGCCAGTATTTTATTGAGGATTTTTGCATCAATGTTCATCAAGGATATTGGTCTAAAATTCTCTTTTTTTGTTGTGTCTCTGCCTGGCTTTGGTATCAGAATGATGCTGGCCTCATAAAATGAGTTAGGGAGGATTCCCTCTTTTTCTAATGATTGGAATAGTTTCAGAAGGAATGGTACCAGTTCCTCCTTGTACCTCTGGTAGAATTCAGCTGTGAATCCATCTGGTCCTGGACTCTTTTTGGTCGGTAAGCTATTGATTATTGCCACAATTTCAGATCCTGTTACTGGTCTATTCAGAGATTCAACTTCTTCCTGGTTTAGTCTTGGGAGAGTGTATGTGTCGAGGAATTTATCCATTTCTTCTAGATTTTCTAGTTTATTTGTGTAGAGGTGTTTGTAGTATTCTCTGATGGTAGTTTGTATTTCTGTGGGATTGGTGGTGATATCCCCTTTATCATTTTTTATTGCATCTATTTGATTCTTCTCTCTTTTTTTCTTTATTAGTCTTGCTAGCGGTCTATCAATTTTGTTGATCCTTTCAAAAAACCAGCTCCTGGATTCATTAATTTTTTGAAGGGCTTTTTGTGTCTCTATCTCCTTCAGTTCTGCTCTGATCTTAGTTATTTCTTGCCTTCTGCTAGCTTTTGAATGTGTTTGCTCTTACTTCTCTAGTTCTTTTAATTGTGATGTTAGGGTGTCAATATTAGATCTTTCCTGCTTTCTCTTGTAGGCATTTAGTGCTATAAATTGCCCTCTACACACTGCTTTGAATGCGTCCCAGAGATTCTGGTATGTTGTGTCTTTGTTCTCGTTGGTTTCAAAGAACATCTTTATTTCTGCCTTCATTTCGTTATGTACCCAGTAGTCACTCAGGAGCAGGTTGTTCAGTTTCCATGTAGCTGAGTGGTTTTGAGTGAGATTCTTAATCCTGAGTTCTAGTTTGATTGCACTGTGGTCTAAGAGATAGTTTGTTATAATTTCTGTTCTTTTACATTTGCTGAGGAGAGCTTTACTTCCAAGTATGTGGTCAATTTTGGAATAGGTGTGGTGTGGTGCTGAAAAAAATGTATATTCTGTTGATTTGGGGTGGAGAGTTCTGTAGATGTCTATTAGGTCCGCTTGGTGCAGAGCTGAGTTCAATTCCTGGGTATCCTTGTTGACTTTCTGTCTTGTTGATCTGTCTAATGTTGACAGTGGGGTGTTAAAGTCTCCCATTATTAATGTGTGGGAGTCTAAGTCTCTTTGTAGGTCACTCAGGACTTGCTTTATGAATCTTGGTGCTCCTGTATTCGGTGCATATATATTTAGGATAGTTAGCTCTTCTTGTTGAATTGATCCCTTTACCATTATGTAATGGCCTTCTTTGTCTCTTTTGATCTTTGTTGGTTTAAAGTCTGTTTTATCAGAGACTAGTATTGCAAACCCTGCCTTTTTTTGTTTTCCATTTGCTTGGTAGATCTTCCTCCATCCTTTTATTTTGAGCCTATGTGTGTCTCTGCATGTGAGATGGGTTTCCTGAATACAGCACACTGATGGGTGTTGATTCTTTATCCAATTTGCCATTCTGTGTCTTTTAATTGGAGCATTTAGTCCATTTACATTTAAAGTTAATATTGTTATGTGTGAATTTGATCCTGTCATTATGATGTTAGCTGGTTATTTTGCTCGTTAGTTGATGCAGTTTCTTCCTAGTCTTGATGGTCTTTACATTTTGGCATGATTTTGCAGTGGCTGGTACCGGTTGTTCCTTTCCATGTTTAGCGCTTCCTTCAGGAGCTCTTGTAGGGCAGGCCTGGTGGTGACAAAATCTCTCAGCATTTGCTTCTCTGTAAAGTATTTTATTTCTCCTTCACTTATGAAGCTTAGTTAGGCTGGATATGAAATTCTGGGTTGAAAATTCTTGTCTTTAAGAATGTTGAATATTGGCCCCCACTCTCTTCTGGCTTGTAGGGTTTCTGCCGAGAGATCCGCTGTTAGTCTGATGGGCTTCCCTTTGAGGGTAACCCGACCTTTCTCTCTGGCTGCCCTTAACATTATTTCCTTCATTTCAACTTTGGTGAATCTGACAATTATGTGTCTTGGAGTTGCTCTTCTCGAGGAGTATCTTTGTGGCGTTCTCTGTATTTCCTGAATCTGAACGTTGGCCTGCCCTGCTAGATTGGGGAAGTTCTCCTGGATAATATCCTGCAGAGTGTTTTCCAACTTGGTTCCATTCTCCCCATCACTTTCAGGTACACCAATCAGACGTAGATTTGGTCTTTTCACATAGTCCCATATTTCTTGGAGGCTTTGCTCATTTCTTTTTATTCTTTTTTCTCTAAACTTCCCTTCTCGCTTCATTTCATTCATTTCATCTTCCATTGCTGATACCCTTTCTTCCAGTTGATCGCATCGGCTCCTGAGGCTTCTGCATTCTTCACGTAGTTCTCGAGCCTTGGTTTTCAGCTCCATCAGGTCCTTTAAGCACTTCTCTGTATTGGTTATTCTAGTTATACATTCTTCTAAATTTTTTTCAAAGTTTTCAACTTCTTTGCCTTTGGTTTGAATGTCCTCCCGTAGCTCAGAGTAATTTGATCGTCTGAAGCCTTCTACTCTCAGCTCGTCAAAGTCATTCTCCATCCAGCTTTGTTCCGTTGCTGGTGAGGAACTGCGTTTCTTTGGAGGAGGAGAGGCGCTCTGCTTTCTAGAGTTTCCAGTTTTTCTGTTCTGTTTTTTCCCCATCTTTGTGGTTTTATCTACTTTTGGTCTTTGATGATGGTGATGTATAGATGGGTTTTTGGTGTGGATGTCCTTTCTGTTTGTTAGTTTTCCTTCTAACAGACAGGACCCTCAGCTGCAGGTCTGTTGGAATACCCTGCCGTGTGAGGTGTCAGTGTGCCCCTGCTGGGGGGTGACTCCCAGTTAGGCTGCTCGGGGGTCAGGGGTCAGGGACCCACTTGAGGAGGCAGTCTGCCGGTTCTCAGATCTCCAGCTGCGTGCTGGGAGAACCACTGCTCTCTTCAAAGCTGTCAGACAGGGACATTTAAGTCTGCAGAGGTTACTGCTGTCTTTTTGTTTGTCTGTGCCCTGCCCCCAGAGGTGGAGCCTACAGAGGCAGGCAGGCCTCCTTGAGCTGTGGCGGGCTCCGCCCAGTTCGAGCTTCCCGGCTGCTTTGTTTACCTAAGCAAGCCTGGGCAATGGCGGGCGCCCCTCCCCCAGCCTCACTGCCGCCTTGCAGTTTGATCTCAGACTGCTGTGCTAGCAATCAGCGAGACTCGTGGGCGTAGGACTCTCCAAGCCAGGTGCCGGATATAATCTCATGGTGCGCCGTTTTTTAAGCCCGTCGGAAAAGCGCAGTAGTCGGGTGGGAGTGACCCAATTTTCCAGGTGCCGTCCATCACCCCTTTCTTTGACTAGGAAAGGGAACTCCCTGACCCCTTGCGCTTCCCAAGTGAGGCAGTGCCTCGCCCTGCTTCAGCTCACGCACGGTGCACGCACCCACTGACCTGCGCCCACTGTCTGGCACTCCCTAGTGAGATGAACCCGGTACCTCAGATGGAAATGCAGAAATCACCGTCTTCTGCGTCGCTCACGCTGGGAGCTGTAGACCGGAGCTGTTCCTATTTGGCCATCTTGGCTCCTCCCCGGTAACTCCTTTTATTATTTTAGATTACAAAACTGTGGCCATTTGACATACCATCTGGGAAAACTTCATTGGTTCGGTTACTTGCTAAAATGTTAGGCATATCTTTTCAAACACGATGATCAAACTCACCTGCATAATACAGATGATTATGTTTACAAGACCAAGTTTAGTGATAAAATCAGATAAATGCATGCATTAGCTCATTAATCCTCATAAAAATCTCTGTACAGAAACCACAATTATATCCCAGTTTACAGAATAGTAAAACTGGGACTCAGAAAAAGAAGTAACCAGCCCGATGTTACACAACGAGTTAGTGGTGGCATCAAGTCTGCAATGCAAGGGGCTGACTCCATCACTTTCATTCTTACCTGCTACTCTCTTCTGCCTCCCAACTTTACTGAAACAAACCGCTGAACATACGAATTACCTATGAAATATTACCAAGGTTCTATATAGCACTAAAGATTTTTTTTAGCTTGGAAATGAGTATTTCGTATATACTCAACATCATTATTTTGGCTAGATTATATGATGAAATCCTAACTTTTGAATGCTCTCCCTGAATTTTTCCCTTTATCTTTCAAATTGCTAACTTCTTTAATTCATTACTTCAGAGATGATAAGCAGTGTAAGTTTTTCAAAGACTAAACCCTTGGGGGCGTTGCCAGATATAATCCCAAATCCCCAGTTAAATTTGAATTTCAAATGACAAATCGTTTTTTAAATGTAAGTATGTCCCATGCAATATTTGGACCATATTTCTAATAAAAAATATTTGTCATTTATCTGAAATTCAAATTTAACTAGGCATCTTTTATTTTTACTTGCTAAGCCTGACAACTCTTTTCTTGGGAAAACTTAGTTTATGGAAGAACTAAAAGGAAAGAAGGAGATTAGCACAGCAGAATATCTTAGAAAAACCAGGAGGGAAAGTTCTAGGCAGTTGAATCAAAAGCATCCTGGTAAGAACTTCCATTGTTTCAATGTAGCAAGGATAACTGTAAAACTAAGATATAACTGAGAAGCCCAATTTCAAAGGCTGGGCCAAAATGAAAGCATTGTGGACAAAGAGAAAAGCTAGAAAAGCTATTAAATAGGGAAAATTTGAATATCTACTGGACTTTAATGAGGAAAAGTAATGCTAAATTCCAACTTATGAGGACTGAAATAGCTTATGAACCCTCTTCTTCAGACATGACTATCCCAAAAGATGAAGCAGGTAGAGGGGATTATGAGACCAAATTCTGAGCAAAAGATTTGAAATGCTGATTGTATGGCCTGTGCCTCGCCCTGAACAAAAAACCAGGGAAACTGCGATGAAGATCACACTGCTCCTGCTTTTCAGGCACTTGGATTCTGGCAGGCCAAAGTAAAAGGTAAACAAGCAATTTCAACACTAGAGTTTCCCATACACGATGAAAATCCTCACAGGATTAACTGTCTAGAAAGTGACCAGAAAACTACACAAAGGAAATTGCTTCCGAGAGAGAGGTCTTGAAGAACAAGCCCGCGTTTGCCAAGGGGACAGTGTTGAGAAGGGCAGCCCCTTTGGGGTGTGTTTGATATTTCTGGAACACACAACAGAGAAAGAGAAGTGGGCTGAAACCAGAACATAAGAGACCTAAGATGCACAAAGGCTGCTGAAACTTTACTGTACCCACAAATAATCCAGGGATCTCATTAAAATGCAGGTTCTAAATACATTGCAGGTACAGCCTCCGAGATTCTGCACATCTAATAAGTTGCATTTAACAGGTGATGCAAATGCTTCTGGTCTGAAAATCGACTTGGAGTAGTATTAACTTAAAAATCACAAGACCTTCAAATTTGGAAAAGGAGACTTTATTTCTTATAAAGGGTTAGGGCCTGCAAGGTGGCCACCCCACAGGCTAGTAAGCATGTCTTCAGCAAAGATGGGAGACAGGGACTTGGAGGGAGAAACGGGTATGACAGGAATTTAAGCGGAACAGTTTGGTCAAGTACACATGTTCAGCAGGTTAAAAGAGGAGCTATGAGTATTAATGACTGTGGTCCTGGAACATGCATAGTGAGCAAACATACATGTAACAGATGACCCATGTTCATCTTGGGGTGGAGAGTTAACATTTAAATGTACACAATTAGGCCCTATCCTTCAAAAGGTAAAACAGGGACACAAAGGCATTTGAGTGTGCAGCCTCTGTAAACTGGCCAGAACCAGTCCATGGTCAGTGGTCTCATTATGAGGAGGAAGTTTCTGAAATCAGTCTCTTGTCCAATCAAAGCTATAGTTATAGCTGGTAGAACAGGAGCTGGGAGTCAGTTCAGTGTCTGGTGAAGCGACAAATTGTTTTAATATTGTTTATCTGGAGGCCAGTGATTGTTTAGCTGCTAGAGAAAAAGAAAAATATTGTGGCAATTAGAACATAGTTTCTTCTTTAAGTGTAGGGGGAGTGTGACCTAACGCTTGCCTGGCATAGCCATAGGTTCCATTTATAATTTGGCATTTTATTGACAGAGTCTGTTTTGTTAATCTTATAATCACTTTAATGCTGATCAGTTGTGGCTAAACTCAGAAAGGGAAGGGGTATAAACAGGCATGTCTGACCTCCTTTCCCATCATGGTTGGTAATTTAGTTTTTAAGGGTTTATTGGGTCCTCTTGGCCAAGAGGTGTTCATTTAGTCAGTAGGGGCTTAGGATTTTATTTTTAGTTTACAGTAGGAAGGCTGTATGCCACATTTTGGACCTTGAACCTTTCCAGCCAGCAATGGGGAGCCATCCTGTGGCTTTTCTAGCCTGAGAGGATCTAGAATTCGAAAAGAGCTAGACGCAGACAGAAGACTATTTCTATGATCCAGTAGAGAAAAAGCCGTTTCCTAAACTAAAGAGAAGACAATGAATTGAGTAATACTGAAAAGGTAAAGTTAACATGACTTGGTGTTCAATGGAGACACAGATAAAGGAGACTTGGCAGGAGATGATAGTCTATGAGGAAACTAAGCTTTTTTTTTTGGCAAAATTATAGGATATGATTTGAGGGATGTAACACTTATCTAGCATTTAGGATGTCCTACTGTGATTAATTTTGACACCCTTTTTACCACAAGATATTACTTTTTTAAAATGACGACTTGAGTTTTAAATGTATTGTAGATTCAGTCACATTACTTTAAGGTAGCTCCTGATATATGTCCTGTCTTTCCAAATAGTGTAAATTTTTCTCAGGCAGGAATTGGGTTCCTTATGTCCCTGGCACTGAGCACAAGACTTCCTCTTTGATTGCAGTTTTATTATACACAGACAACCCATTCCTGATCAAACACTTGGCTTCATAAATACGAAAGCATGGGAAAATCCCAAAGCATCAGTCCCAATAGTTTCATCCTCTATTTTCCCTCTTCTCATTTTAAAAATCTGAAATAATGTAAGATTTCAATGCCAATACTACAACAGAGAGCTCATTCATTTCTCAAGTTCTGGAATAACATCCTGAGTTACAGATCTTGGTGGTCCTTCTTAATGACTGATTAGAGTTCTTGTCTTTACCTCCTACTGATGATTACTTGTTTTGATAAGATGCTGAGTGCATTGACTTAGTACCTGTGTTAATTGCTTTATCCTGTTAGAATCTGATTTTCAGTGTGTTGAAAAGTTAGCTTAAGCCAGTGGTTCTCAGCCCTGGCTACACATTAATATCGCCTGGGATCCTTTGTAAAAGAGCAATGCCCAGGCTCCACCCCCAGGGATTCTAATGTAATTGGACCAAGGTGGATCCCAGGTATCAGTATGGTTTGAAAGCTCTGCAGTTGATTCTCATGTACAGCCAAGTTTGAGAACCACTGACTGAAACAAACCTAAATGGGTATTTCATTTTTCTGAATTCAGCTGCCGCTATCACACCAGTCGACCCAAGAAAAAGTGAATGAAAACTTTGATCATCTCATGTAAGTCTATCTAAAGAAATCTGACCTATCAGGAACACCAATAAGAATGAGGAAAGAATCCAAACCATCAAAAAAGTTGGTATGAAGTCTGTACAGAAATGTGCTAAAGTAGAGAGCTAGATTTGATGATTTTTAGAAACAAAAAAAACAGCTCTATTATTTTAGTGGTTACACGACATTGGAGAAGTTATTCTTGCATCTCAGTTTCCTCATCTGCCAAGTATGCATAAGTCTTCCTCATGAAGTTGTTAAATAGATTTAATGAAGGTCCTGTATTAATATACTTAGGAAATAGTTTGCTCACATTTCAACTTCTTTTGAAATTCCTACATCACTCAAGGCATACTATATTTCTCTTTTGCCACATTCTCAGCATTTGAAGGATTATTTTAACTAGTTAATCTAAGAGCATTTGCAACTTAATTTTATTTTTCTAATGAGTGCTTATCAAATATGTAGCACGATATAAATGAGTACATTGTAACTTTGTGGATATCTTAATCTCATGTGCATATTTTAAAATACTTTTATTTTCAAGGTAAGTCAACAAAGAAGTGCTAACCAAGAAAAAATAATCTGTCACACCCAACACTAGTGCCCAGTGTTATGGGTCACTGAACACTAATATTCATTGGGCAGGTTGATCACTTGACAAAGTGTCCTATCTCTGAAGAAGCCAGCACCTGGCTAGAGACCCACCTGCCACAATAAGCCAGGGGTTAAGGGTTTGAGCCACAGAGGCTGACCATATGAGAGCAGCTGGGTAGGCATAATCCCATGCCAATGGTAACAGACAGGTCTATGTTCTCAAGAGGCCCAGCAGGCTTCTAACCAGGTGAAGTAATACAACAATTCCTCACCAATGCCAACCACACCAAGTTGTGAAATAGCATGGCTTTGTGTTTCTATGTAAAATCATTAGATCCCACTCTTTTAAAATTCTGTTCTGTTCAATCCTCTTACAAAAATATGAAGTATGCCTGATTTTCATACCACAACTTCAGATGTTCAAAACTAGAGCTTTTTCTTAATAACTGAAGTTGATTTCTATCTCAAGCCCTTCATATTTCCTGATAGACAATTGATCTGGTCACTTCCAAGTAAACCCAACCACTTCAGTAATTTCTTGTTTCAGCATTACACTGAATCAGATTGTGAACTTTCCCCTTTCTCCCTTCTCTCTGCAGTTAATTCTAACTCAAGTGCTTACACAGTGATGTAGTATATATGAGAAAGTGTCTCTGTGGTTGTCCAGAGTTGACAACTCCTGATATATGCAATCATAACATCTTATACTTAGTGTTAACCCCCAAATGGGCTTCCACTGAAAGTGGCCAAATCCCAGAACTCATCTGGGTCTCAGATTGAATGGTTCACACCACCACTCGTGGTTGCATCCCCTTGTCATGACCTTGAGAACACTTTGGAAATCCAGATTTCTGCATCTGCTGAAAAGTTTACTTTTATTAGGGACATGTGGTAGTTGCTACCCTTCTTCTTGGGGCAATAGAACAATTAGGATCTGTGAACAAGCCCTCTCTTTGACACCAGTGCAGTAATTTCAGCTCTACTACCCCATGCTGAGTGGCCTGAGATCTTTGTGTGTCTCTCCCTTCCAGCCACCCAGATGGGAAACAGAACACAGATAGGGGAAGTTATGCTACAGTAATAAACAATACCCAAAAGATCAACAAAATTTTATTCCTCACTCATATAAAATCCACTACAATTCCAGAGAACTCTCCATGACCTCTGTCTTGATGTAAGAAGAAGCAGCAGGCTGGAAAGTCTAGCTCCAGTAATTAGATGCTTGGACATAGAAATGAGCCAAGTCACTTTCATTTACAATTTAGTGGCCAAAGCAATTCACAAGTTCATACCTATCTTCAAGGAGAAGTACAATGTCTCATATGCCCAGAGGAAGAGCAAGGCTTGAATGTTAGTGTGCTATATCAATATCTTCTATAGCACTGTTTCCTCTATACTTACACTTATCTGAGGGTCTAATAGTCTCTTTGCCTATCACTTGGCTCATTACTTATTGACCCAAAAAGGGGCTTATCCCTAAAACCAGTGTCTATTTCTCTTTATGTTTCCAAATTTTTTCCCTCTCTTCAGCTGGGAGCATCTTTATCTAGTGAGGGAAGAACAGAGAAGACAGATTATGGAAAGATTAATAGAAACTTTTAATTTTAAAGGTCAGGAATTTGACATTCATTTCTCTGTCCTCTTGTCAAGCTCCATTGTGCTATGTACTCCATCCCAAATCTCCTGATGTGGAATATCATCCTCACATGTCTTCTTACATAATGGGCCAGGGTTATGCGATGAAAAGTCAGTAGAAGTAGGTGAGTATCAATACTTCACATTTTTTTCCACCATCAATAATGTATTTCTCTTTTGTATACCACAAGTGGGTCAACTGGGACTGGATAGAGAAATCAAACATGTGTAATTTATCAATAGACAGACCGGAAAACATATCTGGAAAATGTGTACTTAAGTGTTGTGGTAATTGGTGAAGAGGCCAGCGATGATGCTACCATTTTTCTGGCATTTGCTGAAAATAAAAGGAAGGGAAATGGAAGTAAAAAAGATATTCAATTTTAGGCTAAGAAGCTCAGTATAAAACTTTAAAAAGTGGTGCCTTCTGAATAGCATAGCACTTATATGAGCACCTGTCTCAGCAAATCACAATGCCACGGTCATTTCTCCTTAATCATTGAAGGTGATTCAAGAGATGGGTTGCCCACCAGAGAGACGTTTCATGCTGAAGAATCTGATTTTAAAATATATTTAATAGCATTTTAGTTTTTATTTCTCTGGACCTCTGTGAATTACGACACTTCTGTTTTGCCCATTATAGTACTTTTCAGGATCTTAATCTCTGAGACTACTGTTCTTAAAGCCAGGAACTCAGAGAGTTATGACATCTAGTTTATCTATTGCTACAATTAAAATATGTAACAAACAACCCTACAGTTTCAGAGCCATACAACGATAAATTATTACGCTTACATATTGGGGACCAGCTGGGCGTCAGCAAGGTGGCTCTGCTGATGTTGACAGCGATTGCTTACATATCTGGGGTCTGCTGGGTGTGGCTAATCTACATTGATCTCGACTAGGGTGACAGGATACTCTGCTTTGGTCCATGTGTCACTATTCCTCCTGGGACCAGCAGTCTAGCCTGGGCATGTTCACACTGGCATTAACAAAGGCATGAGAGTGATAGAGCAGGCCCTGTCACAAACAGTTTTCAAGGCTCTGCTTCTATCACATCCGTTAATATCCTAGAGGCCAAAGCAAGTTACGGAGCTTAAAGCCAGAGTCAAGGCAAAGAGTGGATGCAAGGAGAGGCGAGAATCAAGGCTAAGACATGCTATTTACCACATCTAGGATTCTGTCCACCAAGAGGGCCTGGGCAGGGCTGGAGTACAGACTGGCTTAGGCACTAGCAAAATGCTAGCTGAAGCTTCAAATAGGGACAAGCTCCTGACTGCTCAGTGAGGGAGACTGAGAAGATTAAATGGAACATGGCACTGAAATGAGCCAGAATAGGAATTCAAGAACCTTTAATTACAGAAATTAAAAGAAATATTAAGAATGATTGCGAACGACCAGAGTATAGAATTATTATCTCTACTTCCCCCAAACACACAGTACCTTCTATTTTACAGAGTACTGTGAGACTGAGAAAGTGTTTACATATTCGTCTCCCTCATTCCTGATGACAGTCCCTGTGTTGTGGTATGGTAGGCATCACTACCCCATTTTAAATGTGGGAATATTGAGAGCTTTAGAAGTACAGTGAGGTGCCCACAGCAACAAAACTAGTAAGTGATCCAACTGAGACTCAAACCCAAGCCTAGTTTTTTTTTTCCACTGTGTAATAAAAAACTTAAAAAAAATGGAAACAGTAACACTTAAAACATCTTCCCTATAATTCTCCGGCATAAAGGCCAAGGTGCCAGGTGTCATTGAACTTAGAAAGGGATAAGCAAATTGGTGGTTGCTATGGAGTCACCTTAGCACTTCAGTGTTTTTGAAGTTGGGGTTGACACTGAAGGCTATTAAAGTTAAAGGGAAACATGAGCCAATACTTATGTATGTTTCTAAGTAATGACAAAAATATGACATGATTCTCATGGAACTGGAAAAAGTAGTTCAAAATGCTACTAGATAAAGGGAGAGATTTAATGGAGGAATCAGAATAAATCAGTAGATAGAGCCTTTGATGAGAAATAATCATTTTGAAACAATTATGTAAAATAAAAACTATAAATCATGAATATAGAATAAAATACCATTTGTTGTTACCAAAGAGAAAAGTCAGAAATGATGAAATGTAGGTAGGAGACCTAAAAGATTTTTAAAAATGCAAATACATAGATTATTACTGATCACAGAGGCAATAAGAGATTAGTATAAAGTTGCAGAAAACTCTAAAGCTGTTTGATAATTAGTTTTTCCTCAGAAATTGGAAATGTGTATTATTGAAGAGGTCCTTAATGTCACTAGATGTAGCCCATACTGCAAATCTGTTGGAAAATAAACAGGAAGAAAGACTTGTACCTGTGCTACACTTAATATCAGAGTTATTTGCCTTTGAAATAACTTGAAGACTAGGAATAAATAAATTGGGGTAGGTCTCATTTCTGTGATCTGATACTAGACATGGGCCTGGTTTCTCAGAAAGCACTCACTAGGTGCGGTGGCTCACACTTGTAATCCCAGCATTTTGGGAGGCCGAGGTGGAAGGATTGCTTGAGCACAGGAGTTCATGATCAGCCTGGGCAACATGGTGAAACCCCATCTCTACAAAAAGTACAAAAAATTAGCCAGACACGGTAGTGCATGCCTGTAGTTCCAGCTATTCTGGAGCTTAGGTGGGAAAATCATTTGAGCCCAAGAGATGGAGCTTCCAGTGAGCTGTGATTGCACCACTGCACTCCAGCACCTGTGTGACAGAGCGCGACCTTGTCTCAAAATAATAAAAATAAAGCACTCACTGGGGGTAGCACAAAGGGTAATTCAGGAGATGAGATGTGCTTCAAAAGAGTTACAAGGAGAAAAAAATTAACTAAAAGACCTTGATGGAAGAAAGGACCTATGGAACTCTAACGTGTTTAATAAAGAATGCCAAAACATAGCAAGATCTCATCTCTACAAAAAAAAAAAAAAATTTTTTTTTAACCACATCTAGGATGTGGTATGGCGGTACATGCCTATAGTCCCAGCTACTTGGGAGGCTGAGGTGGGAGGATTATTTGAGCCCAGGAGTTTGAGGCAGCTGTGAGATATGATTGCAGCACTGCACTCTAGCCTGGATGACAGAACGAGATCCTGTCTCAAAAAAAAAAAGAATGCTGACATCAAATTCCATCCTGTGAGACAGAGCATCATATAAAGGGCACAACGAGTAGACTCTCAGAAATCTGGACCCAGAGACTCAGAAAGGCTGCCACTGGTTAAAAACAGCAGATTATTTAGTTGTTAATATGTGGAGGATTGCCTCTGTCTACTCCCAGAGAAACCCCAAGCAACCTGAGGAGAAAAACAAATGCAAAGGAGACACAGGCTCTGCAAACCATTTTCAACAGCCATTACCCTCCCCTGGGTCAGCCCTCACATTGAGCAATGATTTAGATACAAATCAAGAGAGAATGCCGATCAAATTATTTGAGGAAATAGCAAATATGTTAAATAACAGAGGTGCGATAAAAAGAAATGGCCTTGAAAGAGAAGAAACTGGTAAGATTAAATTCAATAGAGCTAAGTGTATTACTATGCCAAATGTAGGTTCAGAAAACCAGTTATGCAACTTGAGGGAAGAAATTTAAGAGCAATGTATAGGAAAATGAACTCCTTGTTTGAACTGGCTACAAGCTCAATGTCAGTCTACCTTTAATACAGTGATTCTTAACCTCTTTGGGAAAACATTCCTTTGGGAACATGATAAAAATTGAGTACATTCACCTTAGAAACACATATTTTTATACAGCATTTTGCACTTAGTTTCAGAAAGCTCATGGAAGTCTCATGAGGCATCCATTTATAGTGTGATGGTTTAAAATATGAGACCTGTGCTAAACAAATCTACAGTCAGTCAAGGACCCCGTCATGTCTCTGCCACTCAGAATTTCTTATTATGGTTTTTAAAAAGTAAGATAACCTCTATCCACTCTGAGTTTCCTCATCTGTAAAGGGGAGATAATAAGATAATAATACTTGCCCTCTGGTGTTATTATAAAAGATTAATAAGATAAAGCACCAATAGCTTTTATTTTTGTCATAATTATCATTTTATTATATTTTAAAATATTAATATATTTTTATTATATGTATATTTCATCATATGTATTATATTACCAAAGTCAGTTGCTACCTTATGTTAACTTTTAAATAACTTTTAGGTTTGGCTTACAGGACAAAAGAAAGGGTTGCTCCCCTGGGCTGCCTGCCACTTAAAACAATATCTGGAGCTTTTAGCTCTGATCTTGGCATCTTGTTTTAAGAAACACAGGTGTCACCTAGAACACAAGTAAAGGAGGCCAGCCAAGATAGTAATGAGATACATAGGGTATTTACAAGAAGACAAGTGGAAGAATTGGGGATCTTTGACCTAGCAAAAGGAGGATTTAACTAAATTCAACTACTTCAAATGCTATTGTGCCAGAAGAAGAAAAATTATTCTGAATTATTTCAGTGGCCAGAATTTGGGCCAAAAGCGTAGGAAACTTCAGCTACATGTAAGGAAGGCTGTCTTAGAAATTAGATGCCAGCATTTCTTCATCACTGAGGGATCAACATATTCATTCATTCAACAAACATTAATTAAGCATCCACTGTGCACCAGAGACCATGCACGTTACTGGGGATACAAAGATGAGTGAGGCACAGATCTTGCTCCTTTAATAGACTCCAAGTTTGGTGGGAGACACAGGTAAAATAAGTAATGACAATGCAAACAGAGGCAATGGTATTGCCTGGAAAACAAGGCAGATATCTACTAAGAAAAGAGTTGAGCTATAATAGATTAAAAGAAACAATCTAGGAACTACGCTAGTCATGCTAGGCAGAAGACAAAAGGCACAAAGGCAAGAAACAGCATGATGTATTCAAGAAATTCTGGGCACAAAGGAAAAGGCAAAAAAAAAAAAAAAAAAAAAAAAAAACAAGGAGAGAGCTTAGATGTGATCCTATGAGCTCAATAAAGCCATTACAGGATTTTAGGCAGGGGAGTGACCTGGTCAAAACTGTGTTTAGGTATGGATGTATCATTACTAAATATCTGGACACAGATCTTATATTTGTGATATTTCTACATGTTCCCATGAGAGGTCGTTAAACTAGTTAAGTAAGGCACTTCATGAGAGTTCAACATTTTTTCAATGGGTTACTTAGACTTGTGTTATACAAGAATGTTTCAAATGCGCTGCTTGTTTTGGGTATTGAGCCAAGTTGACATCTAAAAGCAAAATAAGAGACAGAGGTAAGAATCCAGGCAAGAGACATAAAGGCCTGGATTAGGTCTGCAAAGCTGTAGAAGGATTGGGAGATGGCACTGATACTCTCCGGGATCTTTCCAAAGCTTGGACTCTATGCAGTTCAGCCCTGACACAATCACAGAGTTGTAGAATTGTAAGGGACACTGACACCATCTCATCCAAGTCTTCCATTACAGAGACTAAACCCCAGGAAGAAAAAGTAGCTTTCTCCCTTCTCCATAGAGCAAGGTAATAAAGAAGTTAAAACTCTGAAAAGCATCACCCTTCAACCTTGATCCAGTGAGTGACCTCTTATCCTGCCACATCACGCAGATTTTCATTAAATCTTTTTTGTAGCATATACACTTTGTTAATTAAGCCTACAAAAACAGGGTGCTAGGATATAAGCTGTTCGTCAACTGGAAAAAAGCAAAGAATTTAAATGTTGCCATGAATTACAGGTATCTTATGAAGCAGGAAGGGTCTCCTATTTAAACTTCTCAGCATAGCATACAAAGCAAAGGATGATTCAAAGCTGAGTCCTCCATTTGCCAACAAAGTGGCATTGAGGAAGTCACTTAACCTCTGAAGCTCATCTGTAAAATGAATAAATAATTCTCACCCTAAAAGTTGTAGATATATATAATGCCTTCACAATGTATAGAGCCCAGCGCACGTTAGGTAGGTCATTTATTTCTCTGTTCCTTCCTTCCTTTCCAAATTTTGCCTTCAAAATTTGTAAGGAGAAGTTATCTGCCATCTTCTCCAGCCCACTAGAGACAGTACAGCAAACGAGTTAGAATTTGGCCTCTTGTGTCAGAAAAACTAAATGGTGACTCTTGGCCCTACATGAACACAGACACATTCTTCAGTCTCTCATGACTGTTGATACATCTATGATAATCTGAAGACAACTATTGCAACCTCATAGGGTTGTTGTGAGGATTATATGAGCTAAATATATGAAAGCTTCTTAGAGTAATGCCTGACATAGAGTAAACACTCAAGTTATGGCTTGATTATGTTGACTTTGCATGCAGAGAACCACGTTACATTGTAATCTCCCTTATCTTCTCATCCTCATAGCTAATGATCTTCTCTTTCATACACAACTTCATATTTTCAAGAAAATTACATTTTCTTCATGCATGTCTCTTCAGACATGGAAGAAGCTAAAAAACCTCTTTTCTCAAAAGTAGTTAAGGTAAATGAGATCAATGGATCCAACTGACTGCCAGAAATGGAGTAGTGGAGCCCTTAATATCATCAATTCAAGATATTGGACACCCATCCATTGATTTTCTCCCTGTCTCTATTAGAAGTCAATAGCTCCTCATCACACATTCGACAGGTGAGGATTCCTAGAAGTGCTGTAAGTGGACTGAGGTAGTTTGGTGTGCCTGTGTCCAGAGCATTAGGTGAGAATTAGAATTGACCTCTGTTTATACCATCCTCTATCCCACACACCTTATAGGGACTCGAAAAACATCCACTGATCCATGAACCTTTCCTCACTGAGTGCCTTGGTAATTAGGACATGATTAACTCTAGGGGCTACCTTGCATTGCATTTGAGAACACAGGACTAAAGTGGATGGCAAAAAAATAATGAGTAGGAGATTGGGCTCCATGGTGAGACCATTTGAATCCTGGCTTCATCATATTTGTAGCTTTAGGCATGTCACTGACTTTCTCCAAATCCCAATTTTCTCTTCTATAAAATTAGGAGCATAACAGGTATACTAAACTAGCAGAGTTCTCATGAGATTAAGTGAAAGAATTTTTGTAAAGAGTTTAGCACCAAGCAAATGTTCAGTAAGTGCTCTTACTGTGATTAGTTCAATATAAAAATGACTAACTGCTGTATCATGTTATATTGCTTCAAAATGCAAAAATAAGAATTTACAGAGTGCGAGATTACTGTGGCACTAACGAGAGTATACACATATTAACTAGGGAGATGTTTCTTAAACAAGATAGGTTCTGACCTAGATCTTAGAGAATAAATAGGTTTAGATCTGCAAAGGGCTCTCCCCATGGGCAAAAGAGCCAGGAGGATAAAATCCCTGAGTATGCAGAAAAATAAGTGAACAGTCAGAATTTTGAATAAGTACCCAAAGGCTAGAAAAGGAACATTTCAAAATCCACTATGGAAGTGCCAGGCAATTTCAGAAAAGATGAGCTATCTAGTGATAATAACTGGCTGATCAAAACCATAGTGTGGTAGGTAAGCAAAGGTTTTAGCAGCAGACAGGCCTAAGTATAAATCACAGACAAACTACCTAACATTTCTAAGCCTCACTAGTCCCGTGTCTGGAATTGGTTCCTTGCAGTGGGTTCTTGGTCTCGCTGACTTCAAGAATGAAGCCGCGGACCCTCCTGGTGAGTGTTACAGTTCTTAAAGATGGTGTGTCCGGAGTTTGTTCCTTCAGATGTTCAGATGTGTCCAGAGTTTCTTCCTTCCAGTGGGTTCGTGGTCTCGCTTGACCTCAGGAGTGAAGCCACAGACCTTTGCAGTGAGTGTTACAGCTCTCAAAGGTGGCGCCTCTGGAGTTGTTTGTTTCTCCCAGTGGGTTCGTGGTCTCGCTGACTTAAGCAGTGAAGCCGCAGACCTTCACAGTGAGTGTTACAGAGCTCATAAAGGTAGTGCAGACCCAAAGAGTGAGCAGCAGCAAGATTTATCGTGGAGAGTGAAAGAACAAAGTTTCCACAGCGTGGAAGGGGACCCTCGTGGGTTCCGCTGCTAGCTCGGGTGGCCAGTTTTTATTCCCTTATTGGGCCACACCCATATCCTGCTGATTGGTCCATTTTACAGAGAGCCGATTGCTCCATTTTACAGAGTGCTGATTGGTGCATTTACAAACTTTTAGCTAGACACAGAGTGCCGATTGGTGCGTTTTTACAGAGTGCGAACTGGTGCATTTACAAACCTTTAGCTAGACCCAGAGCGCTGACTGGTGTGTTTACAATCCTCTAGCTAGACAGAAAAGTTCTCCAAGTCCCCACTCAACCCAGAAGCCCAGCCGGCTTCACCTCTCAGTCCCATCTTTGTTATGAAATTATTTTCACCTACCTTGCAAAATTTTGGGGAGAATTAAATGAGCTGTTGAAGGTAAAACAGTCATCTCAGGGTCTGACTCAGTGTCAGCTAGCGTGATTGCCTAGTGATATTCTAAGAAAAACAAATACTAAAAAAAGTTATTTAAATTTACCTGGACAAACACCAAAGTGGGGTTGCCTAACTGAGGCAGGAGAATAAGGTCTGGAGGTAGGGCACTTAAGACCAATTCATGCTGAATCAAAGAAAAACACCTTGATTTCCTAGGCGCAGGGAATCTGAGGCCAATTTGTGCTGACTTCCTAAAATAGAAAACACCAAGGTCTGGGATTGGGGAATCTGAGGCCAATTCCTGCTGACTTCCCAAAGCTGGATCAAAAGGAAAACACCTGGGTCTAGGGGCAGGGAACCTAAGGCCAATTAACGCAAACTTCCTAAAGCTAAACCCAGAGGAAAAACCCCATCGCCCCAGGCCAAGTAACAAAGGATCAAAGGCTACTCTCCCTATAGCCCTCCCCATTCCACCACATCTCAGATGGAAAGGGAGATTGCCTCGGATTGACCGTAGGCCTAGCAAGGACCATCCCTTCGTGTGCATAGAGCGCCAATTCACCTCAGCCTTATAATTAGCCAAAGACCAAATCCTTCATTTCAGATAACAGGTAACCAATAGAGTCCTCAAAAAAAGTACTTAAAACCCAGAAAACCTTGTAACCGGGCCCTTTAGCCTCTTGCTCCGGCCCACTTCCACCCCGTGGAGTGCTTTCTTGCTTTAATAAAGTCCTGCTTTTGCTGCTCCCTTCCTGTGTTTTGTTCCTTTGTTACTTTGTGCGTTTTGTCCGGTTCTTTGTTCAAAACGCCAAGGACCTGGACATTTACACTCAAGGCCCTCCTTCCGGTAATATAACTGTAGAAGAATCAGGGGAAGTTTTATCCTCATTCAGTGTCCTAAATGTTCTTACTGGTTTCTGTAGGTATCTTATACATAGTAAAATTTCAGTGTTCAATAAATACAAGGCACTGTCATCATGAATAGACAGAGCTAATTGTTACTCCACTTAATCCTCACACAACCCTGGAACAAAGATAATTTTATTTGTCCTGTCTTACACATTTACAGAGCTTAGTCACTTATGCAAGCTCACACAGAAAATAGGGAGTAGAACTAGAATTTGAGCCAAAGCAGCCTGTCTCCAAAGACTGCGTGCTTTGTGTGCCTCTGTAGACTGCCAGGAGATAACTCTGAAACCTTCAGACATGTTCCTGCTGATCTGAACCTGCTATGACAGTGTGAGCCCACCACCTGAATTCAAGAAGGACAAAAAAAAAAAAAAAAAAAAATAGCCCAACAGGGAAAAGGAGACATGATTAGGTAGCTGGCTGGATAGAAAGTAGGCTGACAGAATCACCTGCAATTTTCCTTTCAATCTTTCTCTGTAATTTAATTCTTATTTGAATTCATCGTGAACAGCCCTTACACTTAAGGGTGCTGCAGATCTTGCCTCTGCTTCAGGGCAAAGTGCTTGTTGGAGCTATTGCCCTGTAATGACCGAGAGACAGAATGCCTCCAAAAAACAAAATTCTTAAGTAGGTCTGGTTGTGCCAAGTGACATTAATTACACAATCCATACTAGCACTATCAACTGCAAACTTACCTGGAAGAAGGGCTTGCCCCCTTAGATACTACTTAGAAACTATTTGCTCCTCCTGTCAGTGCCAGAAGTAACTGAAAATCGAATTTGAGAACATTATGGAAAATCCAGAGAGGATTCAGTAAAGGAGGGGGGAAGTTAAACCATTGGTTCTCAATTTTGTTTTCTTTTAAACTTTCCCCATACATTCTCCTCAGGTGTCCCATAACAAATCCAACCTTCTTGTCCCTAACTTTGCCAAAGGAGGGCAGGGAGAGAGAGTGCATGAGAGAGATGAAAGAAGAAGAGGTATAGAGGAGGAAGAATATAGAGGAAAAAAGGAAAGAAAGAGTATCAGGGAGGTAGATATCTACAGATTTGGGGTCTTCGAGAGGTTAAAAAAAAAACAGATGTAGCTAGAAAGAGGGATCAAGAGAGCAAGAGATAGACAAAGTTCTCAGGATTTCATCAGAGGAACATCCTTGTACTCACAAGGCTCAAGAGCATGAGTAGATTTCAAGTGCGTTGAACTGGAACTGATTAGAAATAAAGAAGCTGGAATGTAGAGAGGAAATCGCCCAAGCTGTTAGTTGCTAAATATTCACTTTTCTGGACTTCCCCAGGAATAATTGGGCATTCCATTCTCTGGGCTCCCATGCTGTTTGTGATGGTGTTAGTAAGGTGAAGATAGGCTTCTGGCATAGTTTACATCACAGTGAAGTGTGTATTTATTTAGATGCTGGACTGAGAAGCTTTGAAGCAGACACTGTATTCAATTCATGTGTGCCTATATTAGTGTTTAACAAATGTCTGCTGGAAGAGAGGAAAGAAAAGTAGGTGTAAAGGAGGGGAAGGAAGAAGGAATAATGGGCAGAGAAGCATTCAGGAAACAATTCCTCCTTATCTCAATCGGCATGAGTCAAACAGTAATTTTGGTCTCATGTCAGCAATTTCATTCTTTCAAATCTAGTGTATATTTGCCCTGACAATTAGGAGAGATTGAAAAAAAATGAGGCAAAGTGATTCATAGTCTATCTTTTCATTAGAAAGTTCAAAAATGAGCAGCAGCCAATATTGTGAATAACTAGAACTCAAGGGCTGATATTATGAACTTAATAAGCCATTATCTCTAAAATAATTATTCTGAATGAGCTTTTAAAAATGGTTTTATGCCTTTTATGTCCCCATCTGTCCCATGCCAAAATACCCTCCACTCTTAACATTTTGTCTTTGAAATCTGAACTATAATGTTCAGAAAAATTACAGTGATTTTTCAACCTCCTAAAAAATAGAAAATGCAGTATTAATCGTAGTGATATCTTCTATGTTAGGCATGTTCTTTCTTTTTCAAACTAGTTTTTAAATCTTTCGTCTCCTTTAGTGATCACAATAAGGATCTGAGGTTGTTAGAGCGAGTACTCTCATCTCCAGCCTATTAATGTGCAAAGTGAGGAAAGGGAAGTAACAGCACACAGTAAGATAATGTCTGAGCAAAAGTGAAAACCTAGAGCTCTGACTCTGAGCTCAGCACTCACCCTGCAGCAATGCTTAGAGTAGAGTAATTCTAGAATGTTCTTTGAGTATGTCTTTTGAATCAAAAGGAGAAAATATTTCCCAATTTTTTACATATCAGTCATGTTCTTACATATGCTAATAGCCTTATTTTATAAGATAGTTTATTATTATTATTCTCACCCAGCTGTGGTTTACATGTTTCTTTTAGCAGCAAAATTTTATTATCAAAATCTCATGCCAGGCCAGGCGCGGTGACTCACGCCTGTAATCCCAGCCCTTTGGAAGTCTGAGGCAGGTGGATCACTTGAGGCCAGGAATTCAAGACCAGCCTGGCCTACAAGGTCAAACCCTGTCTCTACTAAAAATACAGAAATTAGCCAGGCATGGTGGCACACCTCTGTAATCCCAGCCACTTAGGTGGCTGAGGCAGGAGAATTGCTTGAACTCAGGAGACAGAGGTTGCAGCGAGCCGAGATTGCACCACTGTACTCCAGCCTGGGTAACAGAGTGAAATGCTGTCTAAAACATAAAAAAAAAAAAAAAAAAGATCATGCCAAACCTCTCTATATAAAACAGATAAAAGTGTATCTGTACTGGAATTGGAACAAAGCTGAGAGACCCAGAAGAGGTTTGCTGATAAGGGACTGTTGGCCTCAATCTCAATACCAAATACATAGAGATCACCAGAACACCACTGAACATAAGAGACTGTTGGCCTCAATCTTAACACCAAATACACAGAGATCACCAGGACACCACTGAACACAGAATGAAGACCTCGTCATAGAGCATGTCTGACTTCTGGTGAAGCGAGAATACTGAAGACTTCACAATCCAACTGATTCCAATTTCAAATCTACCACTTGCTCTCTGAGTGCATTGAAGAGGTTATCAACATTTCTGAGCCTCAGTTCCCTCATCTGTAGAAATTGTAGTAACACCTGCCAGATGAGTTTGTTCTGAAGATTAACTCAGATGCCCCAAGTGAATCGTGAATCGCAGTGCTCAGCACGCAGTAGATACTCAGGCAATTTCCTTCTGGAAGACCCTTGCCAAACTTACATATGCTTTGCTGACAAACCAGATGTGTTCTTGTTGCCTCAGAGGGTATAAATCCCATTTGTTTTTTTAAGTCCAGCTCATGCCGTTAGCATTTGAGAGCTTGCACTACTCCCTCAAACATTTAACATTTTCTGTTCAGTTAGCACAGCATCGAGACTTCAAAAGCAGCTTGAAAATAAACTTGATTCCAAATATGATTTATAATGTCCCAAGAAACAGCTCATTTACCCAAGAAGGCTTCATCAATTATTGACAGATGTACCCTCTGAGGAGAAATAGCATTAATACTAGGAGACTGAGGGAAAAGCATGCCTCAACCCCATAAGCCAATTATCCAAGGTGATTTTGAGCATTAAATCCTTAGATATGCTTAATTTACTGTCCCTTGCCTATAAGCACAGGAAGAAGTATGAGAAGGGAAAAAAATGGTAACCAATTTAAGACTGCTTTTAAAAACAAAAAGAAGGCATAGCATCAAGGGGAAAATGTATTGGAGGGAATAAGTGGGTGTTGGACACATATGAGCTTATAGATTGAACATCCCTGGACTTCAAGCATTTTGCCCCCTCAGTGCAGAGCCAGCTACTACCCACCTGTTTTTTTTCAGTACAGAAATAATTGTGCTTACCTGTCTCTGGCCTAATAATTATAGCAGAGACTGATTTTATTCTCAGCATGTTTATTGTGGTCGGATTTTCTCAGTTTTCAGGGCAAAGGCCTTACTAAGGATGCTAGCATTATTTGCTTTAACATCAAGCTAGTGACAAGGCTATGCAACGTTTTGTAAAAAGCCAAGAGGCCAGTGTGAATCCAGCCCAGGGGGCTTGTAATCTGTGTTTGACATGCAAATATTAGAAAACCTTGGCAAGACTACAAGGTTTACATGCAAGGGAAGAAAGAAAATACATGAGGCCAATACATTTGAGAATGCTAATATATTTCTCTACAGTTTTCTCAAAAGGAGGAAAATAGGAGAGGGTTATTTTTCCTAAAATCCAAATTATAAGGCAAAAGGTGACCAATTATGACTACTTAGCTTTAATTTTCATGTACTGAGGAGTGTGTGTGTGAGTGTGTGCATGTGTGCATGCATGCCTACATACATTGCATGCATGTTTTGAATGAGTGTGCGTAGATGGAAATAAAATAAACTTGGGATAGTGAAGAGGTCTACCTATGTAAAAATTTTTGCATGATGAATTGAACATTTCTATATTCAGAAATAAACCCTGCCACACGAAACCTAAAAAATTACTACCCCGACTTAATGCAATCTATAAAGTACAGTTATAGAACATTCTAAAATTACCTGCTTATACCTCATGACCTGGCAGAATAATTATAGGCTAGATTCTTTCATCTTTTTTACACTCTTTTTATTGAGAATTAAGAGATTCACTGTATTGGGTTATTAAAAGCCTGACCTCTTATAGCATGCATTCTTATCCCATTATTAAGCTGTGTATATAAAATTCAGTAGGCCTTCACTTTTATAGCTTTAACTTCTAAATTTCAAATTCAAAATCAGCATTGAAGTGCCAGTTGGGTGCCAGGCACTATGCAAGTGCTTTTAAAGGTACTGCCACATTTGATCGACACCCAGATTCCTGGCCAGGAATATTCTGATTCCAATCTAGTAAGCATCCTACGACACCACAACCTTCTATCATTGCCTTGCCATCAAGTCTTGCAAGGATTTTAGACAGAGAATTGGAGGGGAGGAAATCAGCAAAGCCAGATCCATGTCTGGTACACCACTGGCTTTTTACTAGAAGTGTACGCCTTTATTCTTTGGAGACTCCAATTTCTCTTAACATAAAACTGAAGCAAGAATACAGAATTCTTGATCAACTCACAAAAACATTATCAAGCGTCTTAAGTACATTCACCCCTCTGAGGTTTCCTCGATGTTCAAGGTTTGAATAAACCATGTAACCTAAATAAACCATCAAATAAATGGTGTATCCTTGAACAACAGATAAGCTTTTTATTTTTAGATGGGGTCCCTCTGTGTTGCCTAAGCTTGTCTCAAACTCCTGGCTTCAAGCAATCCCCCACTGTCCGCCTTGCTGGGATTAAGGGCATGAGCCATGGCACCCAGCTGAGATGAGTTTTAACAACTAGTTATTTTAACAACGTTGCAATTGCTCAAAATCTTGTGTTGGGGAGAGGAGCAGTCCAGGGCACAGGGAGTCCTCTTTGGAATTGCCATCATCCCGAGAATGCATTCTTAACATCCTCAAATGTTCATTCTTTAAGGGATGGAAAATTTTTATCCTTTGGAAGCACATTTGAAACATCCAGAAGTTATTCAGAGCCAAGGGTGATAAAGTGAGGGATCAAATGGAATATGACTTTCTATAAATATAAGAGGTGACTATAAAGTAAAGTAACTCATTATCTTGAATAACTTGTAAGCTAGCATTGAAGACAATCGCAAAAGAAAATTCCAGAATATTTTGGGTATCTGTACTCAAGATATTTTAGGTAACTGCACACACCAATTCACAAAGTTACTTCTTCACAATAGTTAGATAGCTAAAACAGAGAGGAAAATATAAGAATACATTTCTTCTGTTAAGTAGGTAAGAAAACTGATTGGAAAGGTAAGCCATTGGCCTGGGCCATGTGTGTGTTTGCATATGTGTGTGCATGCCACACACAAATGGGAACTGCCCTCGTTCGACCATCATTTTGAAAGTTCTGCTACTTACCTCGTCTAATTATCTGAGCACCTGAATCTTGAGCATAGCTGTCATACCTCCTTAGAGCATGTTTATATCTTCGCATTCTGGGAGGGATGTAATTTTCTTGACCTGAAAAAAAAAAAAAAAAAAAGGAGTGATGTCACAAGCTCTGCTTTTAATTACAACTATGTACTCTCCAAAAGAGTAAAGCATGATTACATATACAAGGATACCTTGTTTTATTGTGCTTTATTTACTGCACTTTGTGAATACTGCATTTTTAATAAGTTGATGTTTGTGGCAACTCTGCATCCAGAAATTCTATTCAGGGACATTTTTTCGACATCATGTGCTCACTTCATGTCTCTGTGTCACATTTTGTCAATTCTAGCAATATTTCAAACTATTTAATTATTATTATACCTATTACTGTGATCTGTGATCAGTGATCTTTGATGTTATTATTGTAACTGTTTTGGGACACCACAAACCCCACCCATATAAAAGGATACATTTAATCAATAAATATTGTGTTTGTTCTGACTGTTCCACCAACCAAACATTCCCTGACTCTCTCCCACTCCTCAGGCCTTCTTATTTCCTGAGAAACAACAATGTTGAAACTAGGTCAATTAGTAACCCTACAATGACTTTGTCTTCAAGTGAAAGTAAGAGTTGCATGTCTCTCACTTGAAATCAAAGGTTAGAAATGAGTAAGTTGATTTGGGAAGACATGTCAAAAGCCAAGATAGGCTGAAAGCTAGACCTCTTGTGCCAGTTAGCCAAGTTGTGAATACAAGGGAAAAGTTCTTGAAGGAAGTTAAAAATGCTACTCCAGTGAACACACAAATGATTTTTTAAAAAATGCAAAACAGTCTTATTTCTGATATGGAGAAAGTTTGAGTGGTCTGGATAGAAGGTCAATCCAGCCACAACATTCCCTTAAGCCAAAGCTTAATCCAGAGCAACGCCCTAACTCTCTTCAATGCTATGAAGTCTGAGAGAGGTGAGGAAGCTGCAAAAGAAGAGTTTGAAGCTAGCAAAGGTTGGCTCATATGATTTAGGGAAAGAAGACATCTCTATAACAAAAAAAAATGAAGGTGAAGGAGCAGGTGCTGATGTAGAAGCTGCAGGAAGTTATCTAGAAGATCTAGCTAAGATAGCTGATGAAGGAAGCTACACTAAACAACAGATTTTCAGGATAGATGAAATTTCAGTATAGATGAAATAGCCTTACATTGGAAGAAGATACCATCTAGGACTTTCATAGCTAAAGAGGGGAAGTCGATGCTTGGCTTCAAAGCTTTAAGGGACAGGTTGACTCTCTTGTTAGGGCCTAATGCAGCTGGTAACTTTAGGTTAAAGCCAGTGTTCATTGATTATTCTGAAAATGCTAGGGCCCTTAAGAATTATGCTAAATCTTGAGCCAGGTGGTGTGGCACACCTATAATTGGGAGTCTGAGGTGAAAGGATTGCTTGAGCCCGAGAGTTTGAGTCCAGCCTGGCCATTACAGCAAGACCTCCATCTCAAAAAACAAACAAACATATTATGCTAACCTACCCTGCCTGTGTTCTGTAAGTGGAAGAACAAAGCTTAGATGACAGCACATCTGTTTAGAGCACAGTTTACTGACTATTTTAAGTCCATTGATTAGATCTGTTGATTAAAGGAAAGATTCTTTTCAGAATATTACTGCTCATTGACAATGCACGTGGTCAGCCAAGAGCTCTGATGGAGATGTACAAGAACATTAATGTTGTTTCCATGCCTAGTAGCACAATATTCATACTGCAGCCCATGAGTTCAGGAATAATTTTCACTTTCAATTCATATTATTTGAGAAACACATTTTGTAAGGCTATAGCTGCCATAGAGAGTGATTTCTCTGATGGATCTGGGCAAAGTAAATTGAAAACCTTCTGAAAAAGATTCACCATTCTAGATGCCATTAGGAACATTCATGATTTACTGGAGCCTGAAGATGTGACTGAATTGCTGCTGTAATTTCATGATAAAAACCTTAATTGATGAGGAGCTGCTTCTTATGAATGAGCAAAGAAAGTGGTTTCTTGAGATGGAATCTACTCCTTGTGAAGATGCTATGAACATTATTGAAATGACAACAATGTATTTGGACTATTGCACAAACTTAGTTGCTAAAGCAGTGGCAGGATTTGAAAGGATTCACTCCAACTTTGGAAGAAGATCTACTGTGGATAAATTGCTATCAAATAGCATCACATGGTACAAAGAAATATGTTATGAAAGGAAAGGTCAATAGATCAGCAAACTTCATTATTTTAAGAAATTGTCACAGCCATCCCAATTTTCAGAAATCATCACCCTGATCAGTCAACAGTCATCAGCAGCAAGGCGAGACCCTCCACCAGCAGAAGGATTACAACTCATTGAAGGCTCAAATGATTGTTTGCACTTTTTAGCAATAAAGTATTTTTAATTAAGGTATGTACTTTTTTGGCATAATGCTATTTCACACTTAATAGAGTATAGTACAGTATAAACATAACTTTTATATGCACTGGGAAATCAAAAAACGTGTGTGAGACTCACTTTATTGCAATATTCACTTTATTGCAGTGGTCTGGAATATAACCTCAGTATCTCCAAGGTATGCCTGTACAATAAACTATGCATTGAGTACAGTGTTTCTGATCCTGCCTTCCAAACATATGTAGTTCTTAGAAAATGGAATAAAGAAGATGAAGCACCTTCCAGTTTGTGTATGGGAATACCTTTTGCAAAGGTTTTCCTTGCCTCAAAAGCCAAAAATCATCATTATAATAATAACCATCCAGATAGTGTGATTTAATACAAAGGTATCATGAACTTAGAAAATTGTGAACTAATACTATACTCTAGTTATAGTATTAGTTGCTTCTCTTGGAGGTATGGGTTAGAAATTCTAAAACCAGTTTATGTTTATACTAAGGTTGAACAAAATAAGTAAATATATTGTAGGCAGTGAGGACAAAGTTTCTTGAGCTTGGGAAAGAAATTACAAGTAAGGAAACAGGAAAGAGAAATAGTACCCTAATAGCAACAAGCACACCTATTGCTCAAACCTTGGTGGTTGATTCCAAGGCTGGGGCAAGGAAAATACAAGATGAGTCTGGAATATCTTATAATTCTGGAAAATAAAGAAGTGCTCAACAAAAGATGGGGACATGCAGAAAGGGCACAGGAGCCTACCTGAAAGAGCTCACAATGGCCAAAAGTGAAGCAATTTGAGCAACAAAATCAATAATGATAGCATTGTGTCATAACCCATAGAATAAGGTAAATAAATATTCCTGAATCTATACTTTCATAAATAAATGATTGAGCAAATAAATAGAGGGGAGAAGACATAGTTCTTCCTTTAGATAAATTCCAATTAAGAAACATAGGAAAATGTTAGAAATATGAAATCACCTCTTAAAACACCACAAATTGTTTCAGGCAAGATCTGTGGCTAGCCCCTGTGTCCCAGAGCCCAAACTACCTGCATCCGTCAATGAAAGTGAAGCAGCTTCGCTTGTCTGGGGTAATACCTGAGGTTCATTGCCTCACACCAAGGAAATCAAGGACGCAGACACACAAAATGTGAGGTTAAGCTTGGAGGTTTAAGAGGCAAAAGAAAGAGAGAAATTCTCCTGTAGAGAGAGAGGGGCTTCCGGTCCATGGCGAAGTGCAGGAGTTTTTATAGATGAGCTTGAGGAGAAGGTATCTGATTTACATAGGGCATATTTACATAGAGAGATAGTTTGGATCAGGTGTGCTGTTTGCACAGCGTGCGAAGAATCTGGCTGCCCCACCCTACTCTTTTATTATGTAGATGGCTTCTCTACCTGGCTAGCACCATGTTGCATGCTTCTTTATTGCACACGTGGCAACAAAGAAAAGGGAAAATGGATTCTCCCTATTGAACATACCTCACTTCCAAGTGTCCCTTTTCTATTAGTGCAGCTGCCCGCATATACCTATGCAAGCTTTCAGCTTGCTTATCTATGTTTGCAGCTTGATTTTTCAGGCTGCTTTTTGTTAAAAAAGATGATTTAGGGGCTGCTTTTTATTAAAAGGAAATTCCACCGAGAACTCTCTTACCCTCACTATCTGCCTAAATAGCTTCTATATCAAAAGTCCTAGTGTTACCATCTTTATCACAATTATTTGAGTCAGCCTTGCTAGAAAACATGTTAAGAAATGACACCTCCCCTTGGCATGGAGGGTCTATTTCTTGCCGGACTGGTCACCCAGGCTGAGATTCTACACTCAGAAAATGAGTAACTTCTTATCAAGCTGCACATTCATTTTCGCAGAGAAAGAAAGTTGGCACCTATTTTTCCAGGTTCCATTATGCCTGTTCTGGTTATTATAATAATCGTGCTTCACATTTCTATAGTGTCTTCAGTTTATAAGTTTCATTCATATACTGTACCTGAGCTAACCCCCAAAACCACCCTTTGAGATTAGTTTATGAATCAGTCAACAAATACTAACTGAGAGCCTGACACATGTCAGGACCTCAGAGTGAAACAGTGAACAAGACCAATGTGATCTTTGCCCGCCTGGAGTTGATATTACGGGGGGAAGATAACCAGAAAAAGTAAACACATAAAATAAGTACAAGGTATAGAGTTATAAAGAAAAGGAAACAAGCATACCAGACCAGGAAATTTTTAAAAATCAAGCATAATGTGAGGAGACCTACTTTAGAGAGATGTGAATGGAAGCCTGTCTGAGGGGGTGGTGTTTGATGAGAAGCAGGCAGCCTTGCAAAGCTTGGGGTAGCACCTCCCATCAGAGCAATCAGCAAGTGCGAGGGCGGTGTGTGCGGGAGTGGGTGATGTCAGGGGAGAGTGAAAACAGCTTGGTACATTCTGGAAACTATCAGAAGGCATGTTCTTCTGGAGAATTGAGGAGGAGGGGGATGGGGGCCTGAAATAAGGGCACAGAGGAAAGCAGAAGTTGCTAGCAGCCTGTGGATGAAGGGTTTTACTCTAGTGCATTGGGAAGAGGTACTGTCGTCTTACAGGTGAATAAATTTAAAATCAGAGATGTTATATGATTTCTCAGATTTCTCAGAGTTCTTACATCTGGCAAGTTACATCTCTGTCCCAAGTCTTTCCATTCCCTCCTTCTTTCTACAAATATGTATGAAGCACAGGAGATCAAGACTAGCCTGGCCAACATGGTAAAACCCTGCCTCTACTAAAAATACAAAAAAAAATTAACTGGGCATGGTGGCGTGTGCTTGTAGTCCCAGCTACTAGGGAGGCTGAAGCAGGGGAATCACTTGAACTTGGGAGATGGAGGCTGCAGTGAGCCGAGATCGCATCACTGCACTCTGGCCTGGCAACAGAGTGAGACTCTGCCTCAAAAAAAAAAAAAAAAAAAAAAAAAAAAAAAGCCAAACACATTACGACTTGCTAGATAAGATACAACTTTAATCTCAACTAGGTTAAGTCTAGAGGTGAAGAATGATTGTGTGAACAAATGCAACAAAAAGTGATAAACATAGGGCTGGGCATGGTGGCTCACACCTGTAATCCCAGTGCTTTTGGAGACCTAAGCTGGAGGATTGCTTGAGACTAGGAGTTCGATCAAGACCAGCCTGGGCAACATAGTGAGACCCCATCTCTACAAAAAATTAAAAAATTAGTCAGGCATGGTGGCACATGCCTGTGGTCCCAGCTACTTAGAAGGTGGAGGCAGAAGGATTGCTTGACCCCAGGAGGCAGATAGAGGCTGCAGTGGACTATGATCATGCCACAGCATGCCAGCCTAGACAACAGAATGAGACCCTGTCTTTTAAAAAAAAATGACAAATGCTATATCCAAAAATTTATACAGAATATAGAGAAGACCTGGAGAAGGGAGAAGTCAGTTCTGTGTGGGTAAGACCAGTAGGGTCAGAGATTTAGCACTGAGCTCAATCTAGAAGATGAATGGCAAGGGAAAGGAGGATGGGGGAGGATAATCAAAGCAGATTGAGCAAAGATACAGACAATAAAACAGCCTGGGTGGCTTCTGGGAATACTGAGCTGTTTCAAGCATGGGGTGAGGGTGCAGAGATGGAAAGTGGAAAAATAGAAATGACCAAAGGCCAGATCGTGAGCCCCTGATATGGCAAAGTAAGAAGCTTGGACTTCATTTTCCAAGCAGTGGAAGCCAGGAAGCAGGGAGCAACATGACTGGATTCGTTTCAGATAGGTCGCATCAACAGAACTATAGAGTTGAATTGTGGTGGTGCCAAGTGATAGTGGTGGAAGCAGGGAGAGCAGTTAGATGACTTCCAAGGTCCATGCAAGCAAGAGGAAATAGAGGCCTGAAGTAAAACTCCGGGTGTGAGTTGGAGAGATAAGGGTAGATTGGAAAGAAGGTGCAGAACTTAGAACACTGGGTGTTTCGGGTGAGGGAGACAGGGAATTCAGGGTGATTTCTGGGTTTCTTTTGACTCTCAGTTCAATACTTCTAATATGAAAAGTTTTTCTACCTTATATAAAACAGCATCTTTTGTTTGTTGCAAACAGTTTAACATTTCTTAATTGCCAGCTAAGAAAAACTCACCTGAGTTTATTCGCATTTTAAAGAGAGTATAATACATTTCCCTCTGACAAACTATTATTTAGAAGACAATGAAACTTTTTTTTTCCTAAAATGATCAGCATAATATCCTCTACTGAGATGAAGAACAAATTTCTACATTGCCACTGGCAAGACCGATATCTAAACAGAAAAAGAAGGTAGATTTTAACAAACTGAATTTTCCTACAATTTAAGTTTCTATCAAAGTAAAAATATTAGCACTCTATTTAAGAAAATAGTTCTGTCTCTGGGATCCTTGGAAAATGTGAAATAATAATTCCTTTTATGTTCAGACCTGTCTTGACATGCCCTGCTACCATCATAAACACAGCACACATAAGTTCAATTTCTATTCTCAGTTGCTCAAGAAATAACGTCAAATTCAAGTCTAAGAACTGACTTGAAAGATATGATATTAACATTTCATACATGGTGTCTAATAAAGCAAAACATTTTAAAATTATATTTAAAGATCTTTGAAAATAGCTTGGCTATAGAAGACAAATGTCCATGACATCTGTACACTAACTATTCCAAGGGCGTATGTAGGACAGCTTCCATATACATTCTACCATCTCCATGTTTCCCCTTTATTGCCCATTTTATTTTACCATCTTATTCTTTTTGAGAGGTGGAGAAAACTCTTAACCATGCTTAGGGGGAGAAATGGTCTGAGATTTTGATTATCTTAATGGTTTACATAGAATGTGTTATGTGCAGAAAACTGTCAAAGAAAATGAATTAGGACTTTGAATTGTCTTGTTGAAAGCATCCCCACTGATGGCCATCTGGAAGAACTGTGCCAGCTTCTCTAAAGATTCAAGATATATGTTATTATCTCCATGGTAAAGATGAGAAAATGGAAAATTAGAGAAGCTTAGTAACTCACTCAACATCACACAGGCCACTAAGTGATGGAATTGGGATTCAAGCCCACATCTGTGACTCTAAAGCTGAGGAAAAGTGTAGGTAGCAATTCCTAATTCTAGTGAACCTCCTAACACTAACCATTTTGGGGAAAACTTACAAGTGTCCTCTAGATATTTTTTCGAATTCACATTTTCTTTTCATAAATGTGGAAAATAATTTTGATTTATATGCATGTATCCTTAATTGGCTATCTTGCTTATTTATTTCAGAATGCAAAGTTACAATTATTAAACTTCTGGGTGTTTTTGCAAATTGGCAAAGGAAACAGAAACAATGGACATAACACACTTCTTGCAATAGCCTGCAGTTAATGGAAAGGGCTCTCATAGCCCTAGTTAACTCAGCTGTAAACTCACATTCTTCCCATCTAACTCCAGAAGCAAATCTCTGGGTGAAAAAATGAGTTAATTTGCTCTCTGTGCTAAAGTGGACCAAAGAGAGGCAATTCTCTATTGAGTAAGCAGTGTTGGAGTCTGTTAATGACAATCTTGAAGTAGCCTAACATTATGGTCTCATATGATAAATTTCAGTTTTCTAAATCTAAATTGCAGACTACTAAAAATCAATTGCTTAAGGAGAAAGAGGCTGTCGACAGAAAGAATGACGGTGGGAAGGAGATGGTTGGCATATTTTAAAAATAGATTTTAATATAATCAATTATTTTCCAGAGATATGGGTGACTTAAACCAGATGAGTAATTTCCCCAGGCTGCTTGCTACCTCTGTAGACTTACTTTGTATATATCATCAATGTTACAGGCTATGGGATGTTCTAGGAATCTTGTCTGTATTATGGAAGTTACAGGATGTTTATGGATGTTATAACAGGTTACAGGACGGTATAGAAAGTCATAGAATGGGTGAAGAGTTAGGAGAATTGAATGTAAATGGATGGAATATAAAACCCAGGGAGGTAGATGTATTCTCACCAGTGGAAATACCAGGACAACATTTGGGGATCTCTCAGTAGTGGACATGGTATTAATTTCCTATTGTGCTACAACAAATTTCCACAAGCTTAGTGCCTTAAAACAATGCAAATGTATTATCTAACACAAGGGTGTCCAAACTTTTGGCTTCCCTGGGCCACATGGGAAGAATTGTCATAAAATACACTAAAACTAGTGAAAGCTGATGAGCTTTAAAAAAAAATACAAAAAAAAACTCACAATGTTTTAACAAAGTTTACTAATTTGTGTTCAGCTGCATTCAAAGCCCTTCTGAGCCACATGCGGCCAGCACCACCGATTGGACAAGCTTGATCTAACAGTTTCTAAAGGTCAAAAGTCTGGGTGGCTGGGCTAGATACTCTGCTTAGGGTCATCTCACAATGCCAAACTGAAGGTTTTGGTAGGGGTGTATTCCTTACTCCAGGTGCTGGGGAGAGTCTGCCTCCAAGCTCATTCAGGTTGTTGGGCAAACAGTTCCTTGCGGTTGTGGAACTAAGGTCCCCGTCCTTGCTACTGTAAACCAGGAGGCAGTTCTGGCTCCTACAGCTGCCCTTGTTCTTTTTTATTTTTATTTTTTAATAAATTCCAGGTGTCCAGTGCAGTTTTGATACATGGATATATTACACAGTGGGGAACTCTGGACCTGTATCCTTTCTTATGCTTTCCATGTGGCCCCCTTCAGCAATGGCAGTGGATTCCCTTTCCTGCTTTAAACTTTTCTGACTTCTCCCACATCTCTCTGACTCCAACAAGTTCTCCAGAAAGTTCTCCACTTTTCAGGGCTCATGTGATTTGATTGGACCAACCCAGATAATCCAGGATAACCTCTCTATCTTAAAGTCTTCACCTTAATAACATCTGCAAAGTCCCTTTCGCCAAATAACATAACAGCAATGTGCCACCAGAGGACAAAGTTCATGGGGCCGTAAATCCTGCCTACCACCAGCACCGTTGTTTCCCTGGGGACCTGGCCCACAAATGCTTTATTAAAGAATGTGGCAGCTAAAACCACCAGGCTACCTTCCAAATGTTGTGAGTGTGAGGATAATCCCCTGCAGAAGTGCCTTTCTGTTTAGAAAGGAACAAAATCAACTGGGTTCATACAAAACTTTTTTGATCTCTGACAGACACAGAGTACTTTAAAATAATGTACAAGTCAACAGAAAAGAGATCTGTCTTATTACTTTTTTTAATGTCATCAGAAAATATTGAGGATAGGTTTAGTAATAATAATAGCTATCCATTTCTTATTTGTACCAGATATTACATAGTCTGGAATATAGGCTGTTGTGACCATATATATATATATATATATATATATATATATATGACTACATAAACTGAACTTACACATATGCACGATGTGGTAGAATAAGATTGTGCATGACATGGTTCACTGCTGCGACAGAATTGTTGACTAGTGCAATCACCAACCACTGTCACAAATCTCAAATCTGCTTTGACATCATGGTCTGCAAATTATAGTCTATCAGCAGACACAGCTCACTGGTCTCTGCTCAGTCATTTTCTTATGCAATAAAATCATTTCCCAGCAAGTTTACAATTGCGTGAGAGTCAGTTCATAGTGAGAACCATCCAGCACAGTCATTAAACTCCAGGGGCTTATACAAAAAAACCCAGACGTTTTTTAATTCTGTGAGTTAATATTTAAAGGACCAAGGTGTTTAATATATTGATAAGTGTAGAAATTCTTTATTTCTAAGGGTATTTAACATTGATCTTAATGATAGTGATTTGTATTTTAATGAATCCTAATGACAATAATTCAAATAATTTAAAAATGTATTTATTTCCCTCTGGAAATAAATTCGCAGCATACTGAGTTAAAGCCAGTTGTCTGGCCGGGCACGGTGGCTCACACCTGTAATCCCAGCACTTTGGGAGGCCGAGATGGGCGGATCACCTGAGGTCGGGAATTCGAGACTAGCCTGACCAACATGGAGAAACCACGTCTGTACTAAAAATACAAAATTAGCCAGGCGTGGTGGCCCATGCCTGTAATCCCAGCTACTCAGGAGGCTGAGGCAGGAGAATTGCTTGAGCCTGGGAGGCAGATGTTTTGGTGAGCCGAGATCCCACCATTGCACTCCAGCCTGGGCAACAAGAGCAAAACTCTGTCTCAAAAACAAACAAACAAACAAACAAACAAAAAACCAGTTGTCACTAAAAGAGCTCAGGTAGTATGTCCTATGTTTTATTTAGAAGTTACCACTAAATTTTGGAATAGCCATCATTCCTAAGGTAATTTTCTACCTTCCTTTAAGCTAAAGTATTAGCAAATGGAAAAGAGTAGCAAAAATAACTCATTCTGTATCTTTCTATGCTTTCCATTCTGTTCCTTGTGATTGGCAACTGTTGTTGGAGACTAATACTCACTGAACTTTAGAATGATTCCGAATACCTGTAATTTGTATTAATATCCGCTGGAACATTTCCCTGTGTTACCTTTTTCTTAAAAATAAAATAATTGATTAGAAGATTTAGATACTATATTAACATAGATTTCATTCTGATTAAAATTAGGAAAAAATTGGGGTTTTATGATTTTTTAGCATGTCACACTCCAGTTATAAATATAAGACTGCGTATTTACTCATAAATCCAGATTTAAATATTAGATAAAGCATATTTTTATATCAAAAATAAAAGTTTTAATCACTTTAAATTTAAGTCACTTTACTAAGTAGAAAATGAATTCAGTAAAGATACTATCAGCTTTTATATGAGATCTGCCAAATGGAAGCTCTCTAATAGAAAACTGTGACCTTTAACATAGTTTAACATCTACAATGAAATCTTATTTTCATTCTCTGTTCTACATATTATTTCATGTATTGTTGGTCCCAGAAAATTTTTAATGACAATATTTTCATTGACAGCATCTTAATATAACCTATATTCAAATTCATCGAAAGTCATGTATCACTTGTACAGCCTCTTTCTTGACATTATTTTCAAAATATTGCTTGCATCCGATCCTTTTCTGCACATACTCAAATTCATACTAGGGCTGTTATGGAAATAGCTAATTTACATTTAGATTAAAAATTTCCTTGAAGCCCATTTACACCCTGATGAGTTAAAGACAAAGTAACTCAAAGCTGATAGCTGGCTTTCATTAAATCCAAGTATTATTACATATTCAACTAGTCAAAATACAGGCTTCAGGTTCATGGCTTAGATCCTAAAATGTCAAATAGGGTGATTGTAGCTCAGCAGACATAGCCAAATTCAGATATACTCAATGTTACTGCAGATCTTGAGACACTATCCTTTAGATTGACTCACTTGTTTGCTTATTCTTTATGTTTCATCCAATACTCATTAGAAAATAGTTGTTTAAAATCAAATCAGTTAGCAGGCCATTTGCAGTCTAGCCAATTTTAATTAGACTTCAGGAAAGAATTTTCTTTCAAAATGACTGGGACACTTCAAGTTTAACTGGCTGCTTAGTTTGGTAGCTCTATTCTGTCTGCCTGTCTGCCTGTCCATCTACTAAACTTCAGGGAAGCATTAGAAAATTGGTGCCTAGTAGGAAAGGCTTTTTAAACACTTCCAGTAAGTAGAAGACCATTCACAGTGGTTATGTCATTCAGTTTGTCTGCCATGCCCAACTTTTCCTTAAACTTTCCTACACATGACCCCTACCCAAAGGTGAAGGGCTAAGAGGCTGGATTAGGAGTACGTGACCCTGCCCCCAACCTGGCCACAGGCATTAACAAAAGATGAACAGCTCTTCATACACCTGTCCATCTGTTCAACTATCTGTTACCAATTGGATTCCCTGTCTTGAGAATTTGAACTTCTATCCACATAGATTGTGTCAGGAAAAGCTGAAAGGCCTTGTAGAACTGAGGCAAGCCACACTGATAAGAAGCAAGGTTATGGATCAGCAGATTAAACCATCCAGCAAAGAAGATAAAGAATACGTCTTTCAGGAAATGACAGAGTTGAAAGAACATATTGGACAAAGGAAACACAGTGAAGGAGAAATAAGGACAGAAGGAGACAGAAAGACCCACAGAGAGATTCAGAGAATGATGACATCAGAGACAGAGAACTTGTGAGTTCCCAATGGCATTCCATCTCCTGCGCCACTTCTCATGAAGCTTGGCCTTATTTGCTACCCTCATTTTGATGACATAACCTTACCTATTCTCCACATACCTCTTTTTCACTTCAACTGATGTGAATAGCTGTTCCTTTTAAGCAGACTGATTAAAACACGATGTTCAAGGATGCCTTCAAAATAAAGCAATAGATCAACTGCTTTGTATCTGTTTTTAACAGAATAAAAGAACAAAAACAATGTGTTTTCTAGAAGAGGAACAATTTCTGGACATCTTGACATGGAAAGATTCTTTTTTTTTTTTTTGAGACGGAGTCTTGCTCAGTCGCCCAGGCTGGAGTGCAGTGGCGCCATCTCGGCTCACTGCAAGCTCCGCCTCCCGGGTTCACGCCATTCTCCTGCCTTCCCGAGTAGCTGGGAGTACAGGTGCCCGGCACCATGCCTGGCTAATTTTTTTATTTTTTTAGTAGAGATGGGGTTTCACCATGTTAGCCAGGATGGTCTCGATCTCCTGACCTCACGATCCGCCTGCCTCGGCCTCCCAAAGTGCTGGGATTACAGGCGTGAGCCACCATGCCCGGCCGGAAAGATTCTTTAACCTAACACCCAACATAATGTGCTCTTAAAAAACAAAGAAAAACCCTATGTCTGCTTTCTTCTTGTGAAAAAGTAATACATCCCTAACAGTTTTCACCCTTTAGAGTTTCTAAAGAACCCAAGGAAAAGTGACATGTTCGTATTCTAAAAGATGAAAAGGACTTAAAGACAGATGGTTTTGAAATTGGTTCTGTTCTCAGCATTTCACTCTGGTATTTATTTAAAAGGCGTTTCAGCCTACTTCTTCTGTATTCATCTTGCTCCATATACCTAACCACTCCTTTCTACCCAATTCACAGGCTGATGATCCTGACACTGTCTCTCTGTCTCCAGCTCTCTTCTTTATGACCTTTACCACAGAGAATACTTCCCTTTTTCCATATATAAACTAAGCTCCCAGTTTCCTGAAATATAGGCAACACTACAAAAGACATTGCAGCATATCTGGAGTACTGAAACAGGAAAAGTTCCCTTGCCCCCTTCACAGGGTGTGCGATGGGGGTGTGGCTAGCTTCTTCAGTACCCCACTGCTCAAACTTTTAGGGGAGCACACAGGCAGGCAGGCTGTGGGGCTCTGACCCCACAGCAGTGTCTGGGAGTGAATGTTTACAGCTGAAGCTCCAGTGGGCATATGTTACAAGGTGCTCTTTTAGTTTAGCCATCCCGCTGCTTGTGTTAGTAAGCTCAATTAGACCCACGCGTTGTCGTAAGGACGGAGGGCTTTCTGTATCCTGGGGTTCTTGCCTTGGTGTACCGGAAGAATCGGATCACACATGGGCTTTGAGAATAAATGCAAGCTTTTATTGAATGGAAGTAGCACTTAGCAGATGAGAGAGCCAGAAGGGAGATGGTTTTCCCCTGGAGTCAGGCTGCACAGTAGCCTGGGCTCTCCTCCAACTGCCCCTGCCAAACTCTGCCTCATTCCGCTGGTCGATGGCCTGATGGCCTGTTGGCGTGCCAGTGTCTGTCATGTGCTCTTCCACCAGCATGCTCCCCTCTACATCCTCTCAACGTCCAGCCATTTGTGTCTTCTTCCACCAAGGTGTTCCTCTCAACGTCCAGCTGCTTGTGTGTCTGCCTGCTAGTCGCGGTTTTTATAGGATGGGGGCGTGGCGGGCCAGGGCGGTGCTGGGAAATGCAGCATTTGGGCGTGAAGGTAGAAGTGCCTGTCCTCACCTAGGTCCGTGGGCACAGGCCCAGGGGTGCAGCCCTCGCCGGGGCCCTGCCCTTCTCCTCCCAGCACTTCCTTGCTCCCCTTCCATATCACTACTGCCAGAGTATAAGAAGTTAAACACCAACTAAGATAAAAAGAAAGACTATGGCTCCTTTCTGCAGAAGAACTTTGATCAAATGTTTGTATTACAAATAAGGAGGTATTTATTTGAGGCTAAAATAGACCTAATTCTAAAATAAATAAAATAAAGCAAACATAAGAGAAATTTTAAATAAAAACCTTTACTCAGCAATTCTACCTTTGTTTAGTCAAGAGAAGTAAAATGCATGTCCATACAACTATTTGTGCAAGAATATTTATAAAAGCTTTGTTCATAATAGCACCATACTGGAGACAGTCTAAAAGTGCATTAGTAACAGAATACATAAACAGATTGCAGTATATCCACATAGTGAATATGTTCAACAATAAAAAGGAATGAAGTACTGATATATGCAATAGAATATATGAATATCCATAATGTTATGCTGAAATAAAGAAACCAAACACAAAAGAGTGCGTACTATATGATTCCATTTATATGAAATTCTAGAGAAAAGCAAAACTAATCTATGGTAACAGAAAGCAGACCAGCAGTTGACTGAGGCCAGGGATGGGGGTGATGGGGGAGATGACTACAAAGAGGCATGAGGCAATTTCTTGGGGTCATGGAAAGGTCTTGATTGAGATAGTGTTCCCATAGTCATATACATTTGCAGAATGTCATCAAAATGAACCTTTTAAATAGGTACATTTTACTGCACGTTAATTATACATTAAAGTCGACTTAAAAGCAAAACATCCTAAAGCTGGGCCTTTCCCAATTCTTATTACTGTAAAGACATAATTGACTTTAAGTGACATTGTTATTTACATAAATGTTAAAAATATTTTTATTTAACATAGATTCTTCATGCAGATACATTAATTTTCTTAGTCATAATTTAATGGAATTTAATAATTCATGATATTCATATGTCAGAGTGGTACAGTCATGTGTTACTTAATGATGGGGATACATTCTGAAAAATGTGTTATAGGTGATTTCATATTTGTGTAAACATCGTAGAGTGAACTTACATAAACCTAGAGGGTATAGCCTGCTACATACCTAGGCTATAGCATAGCCTATTGCTCCTAGACTACAAACTGGTACAGCATGTTACTGTACTGAATACTGCAGGCAGTTAAAATGATGAAAAGTATTTGTGTATCTAAACCTATTTAACATAGAAAAGGTACAATAAAAGTACTGGTATAAAAGATTTAAAATGGTACGCCTGTTCAGGGCACTTACCATAAATTAAGCTTGCAGGACTGTAAGTTACTCTGGGTGAGTCAGTGAGTGAGTGGTGAGTGAATGTGAAAGCCTAGAACTTTACTACACACTACTGTGGACTTTATAAACACTGTACACTTAGGCTACATTAAATTTATAAAAAGCTACTTTCTTCCTTCAATAATTAATTAGTCTTAGCTTGCTGTAACTTTTTAAATTTATAAGTTTGTTAGTTTTTTAACTTTTTGACTCATTTGTGATAACACTTAGCTTGAAACACAAACACATTGCACAACTATACAAAAATGTTTTCTTTCTTTATAGCCTTATTCTATAAGCTTTCTTCTGTTTTTATTTTTTTTTACTTGTTAAGCATTTTTGTTTAAAAAATAAGATACAAACACATTACCCTGGGCCTACACAGGTTCAAGATCATCAATATTACTGTCTTCCACATCCACATCTTGTCCCACTGGAAAGTCTGAAGTGCAGTAACATACATGGGGCTGTCACCTCCTATTATAACAATGCCTTCTTCTGGAATACTTTTTGAAGGACCTGCCTGTGGCTGTTTTATTGTTAACTTTATTTTTATAAGTAGAATGAGTACACTCTAAGGTGACAATAAAAAGTACAGTGTAGTAAATACATAAACCAGTAACATAGTCATTTATTATCATTATCAAGTATTATGTACTGTGCATAATTTTATGTACTATACTGTTATATGACTGACAGCACAATAGGCTTGTTTACACCAGCATCACCACAAACACATGGGTAATGTATTGCACTATGAGGTTAAGACAGCTATGATGTCAGCAGGAATTCTTCTGCTCCATTATTATAATCTACGAGTATTATAATCTACGAGACCAACATCACATGTGCAGTCTGTCATTGACCAAAACATTATTACAGAGCTCATGACTGTCTTAGGAAAACATGTACTAACCATCCGCATCTTTGTTTTTTTTTTTAAGAGTTGGGAGTCTCACTATGTTGCCCAGGCTGGTCTTGAACACCTGGCCTCAAGCAATCCCCCGGTTTCAACCTCCCAAAGCATTGGGATTAAAGGCATGAGCCACTGCACCTGGCCGTATCCTCATCTTTATAGAACAAAAAGTCCATCATTCTTACATAGTACTCAGGCAAGAAGGATAAAAGTTTGGTTGACTTTAAAGAGAAAATAAGATATAACTCACTAGTCATTTTTCTTCTCTAAAATAAGCATTTTTGTATGTGTACATGTACTTTAGAGTACATTTTGTTTATGATTAACTTCTCCAGGTGCTAAGTCTAGTTATCCCTATTTGAAAACACCAAGTCATTTTCAAAAAGTAAAGAACTTCTGTCCCTGTAAGCTATATCAGGCCATCCCCTCTACCTGACAAAATCACTGATGTACCTACTGGTGGAAGCAATTCCATCTTCCATCAGGAGACTATTTCCTGACTTCCAGGAAACCTCCAAGAAACTGTCATTGCCCTGTGGCTATGATAAATTAGTCTGATTATCACATGAAGGAGACAGGTGTTAACTTTGGATCCCCAACCCCACCCACCCACTCATGCCACCTAGAACATCGATGAATCCACTAAGACAAAAATGCCCCAAAGTGGCTCCAGTGAAAGAAGCTCTAGGAACAACAACAAAAAAAAGATTTATAGCAAATAAGCTGCATTCTTCCAGGTCAAAAGCTTTGGGACTTGTTGTCTATTCTGACGGACATTTTCTACCCTTCTTATAATCTCATATGGCAGAACATTTTTTTAAGTTTTTTTCTTTTTTTTTTTAAATTTTACTTTAAGTTTCAGGACACATGTGCAGAATATGCAGGTTTGTTACACAGGTATACATGTGTCATGGTAGTTTGCTGCGCCTATTGACTCATCCTCTAATTTCCTTCCCCTCACCCCACAACACCCAACTGGCCCTGGTGTGTGTTGTTCCCCTCCTTGTGTCCACATGTTCTCATTGTAAGACTCCCACTTATAAGTGAGAACATGTGGTGCTTGGTCTTCTGTTCCTGTGTTAGTTTGGTGAGGATGATGGCTTCCAGCTTCATGCATGTCGCTGCAAAAGACATGATCTTGTTCATTTTTATGGCTGCATAGTAATCCATGGTGTATATGTACCATATTTTCTTTATGCAGTCTATCATTGATGGGCATTTGGGTTGGTTCCATTACTTTGCTATTGTAAATAGTGCTGCAATAAATATATGTGTGCATGTGTCTTTATAGTTGAATGATTTACATTCCTTTGGGTATGCACTCGGTAATGAAATTGCTGGGTCAAATGGTATTTCTGGTTCTGGATCCTTGAGGAATCACCACACTGTCTTCCACAATGGTTGAACTAATTTACATTCCCACCAACAGTATAAAAGCACTCCTATTTCTCCACAGCCTTGCCAGCACCTGTTGTTTCTTGACTTGTTAATAATCACCATTCTGAGTGGCATGAGATGGTATCTCATTGTGGTTTTGATTTGCATTTCTTTAATGATCAGTGATGTTGAGCTTTTTTTCATGTGTTTGTGGGCCCCATAAATGTCTTCTTTTGAGAAGTGTCTGTTTATATCCTTTGTCCACTTTTTGATGGGGTTGTTTGTTTTTTCTTGTAAATTTGTTTAAGTTCCTTGTAAATTCTTGATATTAGACCTTTGTCAGATAGGTAAATTGCAAAAATGTTCTCCCATTCTGTAGGTTGCCTGTTCACTCTGATGCTAGTTTCTTTTGCTGTGCAGAAGCTCTTTAGTTTAATAGGATCCCATTTGTCAATTTTGGCTTTTGTTGCAATTTCTTTTGGCATTTTTGTCATGAATTCTTTGCCTATGCCTATGTCCTGAATGGCATTGCCTAGGTTTTCTTGTAGGGTTTTTATGGTTTTGGTTTTTACATTTAAGTCTTTAATCCATCTTGAGTCAATTTTTGTATAAGGTGTAAAGAAGGGGTCCAGTTTCAGTTTTCTGCAGCTGGCTAGTCAATTTTCCCAGCACCATTTATTGAATAGGAGATCGTTTCCCCATCTTGAGTCAATTTTTATATAAGATGTAAAGAAGGGGTCCTGTTTCAGTTTTCTGCGTACAGCTAGTCGGTTTTCCCAGCACCATTTATTAAATAGGGAATCCTTTCTGCATTGCTTGTTTTTGTCAGGTTTGTTGAAAATCAGATGGTTTTAGATGTGTGGTGTTATTTCTGAGGTCTCTGTTCTGCTCCATTGGTCTATATATCTGTTTTGGTACCAGTACCATCCTGTTTTGGTTACTGCAGCCTTGTAGTATACTCTGAAGTCAGTTAGCGTGATGTCTCTAGCTTTGTTCTTTTTGCTTAGGATTGTCTTGGCTCTACAGGGTCTTCTTTGATTCCACATGAAATTTAAAGTAGTTTTTTCTAATTCTGTGAAGAATGTCAATGGTAGTTTGATGAGAATAGCATTGAATCTGTAAAGTACTTTGGACCATATAGCCATTTTCACGATATTGATTCTTCCTATCCATGAGGATGGAATGTTTTTCCATTTCTTTATGTCCTTTCTTATTTCCTTAAGCAGTGGTTTGTAGTTCTACTTGAAGAGCTCCTTCAAATCCATTGTTTGCTGTATTCCTAGGTATTTTATTCTCTTTGTAGCAATTGTGAATGGGAGTTAATTCATGATTTGGCTCTCTGCTTGTTTATTGTGGGTGTAAAGGAATGCTTGTAATTTTTGCACATTGATTTTGTATCCTGAGACTTTGCTGAAGTTGTTTATCAGCTTAAGGAGTTTTTGGGCTGAGACAGTGGGGTTTCCTAAATATAGAATCATGTCATGTGCAAACAGACAATTTGACATCCTCTCTTCCTATTTGAATACCTTTATTTATTTCTCTTGCCTGATTACTCTGGCCAAAACTTCCAATACTATCTTGAATGGGAGTGGTGAGAGAGGGCATGCTTGTCTTGTACTGGTTTTCAAAGGGAATGCTTCAAGCTCTTGCCCATTTAATATGTTATTGGCTGTGGGTTTGTCATAAAGAGCTCTTATTGTTTTGAGACATGTTCCATCAATATCTAGTTTATTGGGAGTTTTTAGCATGAAGGGATGTTGAATTTTATCATAGGCCTTTTCTGCATTTACTGAGATAATCATGTGGGTTTTGTCTTTGGTTCTGTTTATGCGATGGATTATGTTTATTGATTTGCATATGTTGAACCAGGCTTGCATCCCAGAGATGAAGCCGACTTGATCATGGTGGGTAAGTTTTTTGATTCAGTTTGCCAGTATTTTATTGAGGATTTTCACATCAATATTCATCAGGGATATTGGCCTGAAGTTTTCGTTTTCTGTTGTGTCTCTGCCAGGTTTTGTTATCAGGAAGATGCTGGCTTCATTAAATGAGTTAGGGAGGAGTCCCTCCTTTTCAATTCTTTGTAATAGTTTCAGAAGAAACGCTCCTCTTTGTACCTCTGGTAGAATTTGGCTGTGAATCTGTGGTCCTGAGCTTTTTTTTTTTTTTTTTTTTTTTGGTTTGTAGGCTATTAATTACTGCCTCAATTTCAGAACTTGTTATTGATCTATTCAGGGATTTGACTTCTTCCTGGTTTAGCCTTAGGAGGGTGTATGTGTCCAGAAATTTATCCATTTCTTCTAGATTTTCTAGTTTATTTGCATAGAAGTATTTATAGTATTCTCTGATGGTAGTTTATATTTCTTTGGGATCAGTGGTGATATCCCCTTTATCATTTTTTATTGTGTATATTTGATTCTTTTCTCTTTTCTTCTTTATTGGTCTAGCTAGTGGTCTGTCTATTTTGTTAATTTTTTCAAAAAACCAGCTCCTGGATTCATTGATTTTTTTGAACGGTTTTTCATGTCTCTATCTCCTTCAATTCTGCTCTGATGTTAGTTATTTCTTGTCTTCTACTAGTTTTTGGATCAGTTTGCTCTTGCCTCTCTAGCTCTTTTAATTGTGATGCTAGGGTGTCGATTTGAGATCTTTATAGCTTTCTGATTTGGTCATTTAGTGCTATAAATTTCCCTCCTAACACTGCTTTAGCTTATCCCAGAGATTCTGGTACATTGTGTCTTTGTTCACATTGGTTTCAAAGAACTTCTTGATTTCTGCCTTAATTTTATTATTTACCCAGGAATCATTCAGGAGCAGGTTGTTCAATTTCCATGTAATTGTGGTTTTGAGGGAGTTTCTTAATTCTGAGTTCTAATTTGATTGCACTGTGGTCTGAGAGTTTGTTCGTTATGATTTTAGTTCTTTTGCATTTGCTGAGGAGTGTTTTACTTCCAATTATGTGGTCGATTTTATAATAAGTGCCATGTGGTGCTGAAAAGAACATATATTCTGGGCTGGGCACAGTGGCTCACGCCTGTAATCCCAGCACTTTGGGAGGCCGAGGTGGGCGGATCATGAGGTCAGGGGATCGAGACCATCCTGGCTAACACAGTGAAACCCCATCTCTAATAAAAATACAAAAATTAGCTGGGCTTGGTGACGGGTGCCTGTAGTCCCAGCTACTCGGGAGGCTGCGGCAGGAGAATGGCATGAACCCCGGAAGCAGAGCTTGCAGTAAGCTGAGATCATGCCACTGTACTCCAGCCTGGGCAACCGAGCAACAACAACAACAACAAAAATGTATATTCTGTTGATTTGGGGTGGAGAGTTCTGCAGATGTCTATTAGGTCCACTTGATCCAGAACTGAGTTCAAGTCCTGAATATTTTTGTTAATTTTCTGTCTTGTTGATCTGTCTAATATTGACAGTGGGATGTTAAAATCTCCCACTATTTTTGTATGGGAGTCTAAGTCTCTTTGTAGATCTCTAAGAACTTGTTTTATGAATCTGGGTGCTCCTGTATTGGGTGCATATATATATTTAGGATAGGTAGCTCTTCTTGTTGAATTGTTCCCTTTACCATTATGTAATGCCCTTCTCTGTCTTTTTTGATCTTTGTTGGTTTAAAGTCTGTTTTGTCAGAGGCTAGGATTGAAACCCCTACTTTTTTTTTTCTTTCCATTTGCTTGGTAAATATTCCTCCATTTCTTTATTTTTAGCCTATGCGTGTCTTTGCATGTGAAATGGGTCTTCTGAATACAGCACACTGATGGGTCTTGACTCTTTATCTAATTTGTCAGTTGGTGTCTTTTAATTGGGGGCATTTAGCCCATTTACATTTAAAACTAGTATTGTTATGTGTGAATTTGATCCTGTCCTCATGATGCTATCTGGTTATTTTGCACGCTAGTTGATGCAGTGTCATTGGTCTTTATATTTAGCTGTGTTTTTGTAGTGGCTGGTTTTTCCTTTCCATATTTAGGGCTTCCTTCAGGAGCTCTTGCAAGGCAGGCCTGGTGGTGATGAAATCCCTCAGCCTTTGCTTGTCTGGAAAGGATTTTACTTCTCCTTCATTTATGAAGCTTAGTTTGGCTCGATATGAAAATCTGGGTTGAAAATTCTTTTCTTTAAGAGTGTCGAATATTGTTCCCCAATCTCTTCTGGCTTGTATGGTTTCTGCCGACAGGTGTGCTGTTAGTCTGATGGACTTCCCTTTGTACATGACCTGGCCTTTCTCTCTGGCTGCCCTTAACATTTTTTTCTTAATTTTGACCTTGGAGAATCTGATGATTATGTGTCTTGGGGTTGATCTCCTCGTGGAGTATCTTAGTGGCATTCTCTGTATTTCCTGAATTTGCATGTTGGCCTGTCTTGCTAGGTTGGGGAAGTTCTCCCGGATAATAAAGATCCTGAAGTTTGTTTTCCAGCTTGTTTCCTTTCTCCCCATCTCCTTCAGGTACTTCAATCATTCATAGTTTTGGTCTTTTTACATAGTCCCATATTTCTTGGAGGCTCTGTTCATTCCTTTTCATTCTTTTTTCTCTAATCTTGTCTGCATGCCTTATTTCAGCAAGGTGGTCTTCAAACTCTGATATCCTTTATTTTGCTTGTCCAATTCAGCTGTTGATACTTGTATATGCTTCATGAAGTTCTTGTGCTGTGTTTTTCAGCTCCTTCAGGTCATTTATGTTCCTCTCTAAACTTTTTATTCAGGTTAGCACCTCTAACCTTTCATCGAGGTTCTTAGCTTCTTTGCATTCTGTTAGAACATGCTCCTTTAGCTCAACAGAGTTTTTTATTACCCATTTTCTGAAGCCTACTTCTGTCAATTCGTCCAACTCATCCTCTGTCCAGTTCTGCACTCTTGCTGGAGAGGTGTTGCAATCATTTGGAGAAAAAGAGGCACTCTGGCCTTTTGGGTTTTCAACATTTTTTTCATTGATTCTTTCTCATCTTCATGAGTTTGTCTAGCTCCGATCTTTGAGGCTGCTGACCCTTGGATGGGGATTTTATGGAAACTATTTTTTGTTGTTGATGCTCTTGTTTTTGCTTTCTGTTTGTTTGCTTTTATTGCAGTGGTAAGGTCCCTCTTCTGTAGGGCTGCTGCATTTTGCCAGGGTTCACTTCCGGCCCTATTCATCTGGTTCATGCCCATACCTGGAGGTGTCACTCAGGGAGGCTGGAGAACAGCAAAGATGGGTGCCTGCTCCTTTTTCTGGGAATCTCTGACCTTGAGGAGCACCAATCTAATGCCAGTAGGTTTGCTCCTATACAGGGTGTCTGCCAACCTCTGTTGGAGGGTCTCACCCAGTTGGGTGGCGTGGGGAACAGGACCCACTTAACAAAGCACTTTGACTGTCCCTTGGTAGAGGGAGTGTGCTTCCCTGAGGGGAAACACACTTGTCTAGGCTGCCCAGATTCCTCAGAACCACCAGGAGGAAAGGCTAAGTCTGCTGATCCACAGAGACTGTGGCCACCCCTCCCCCTAGGGAGTCAGAGCCAGGGAGATCAGGGCTCTGGCCCTGAGCCTCTGGCTGGAGTTGTTGGAGTTGCTACAGGGAGGCCCTGCCCAGTGGGGAAGGATGGGTCAGAGTCAGGCCTGAAGAGGAGCTCTGGCCACAATCTGCCACAGCCAGTGTGTTGGGCTGTGGGGGACAACTCTTTGAACCAAGCCATCTAGCCTTCCTGGCTCCAGCAGGGGAAAAGCACAGGCTGGAGCTATAGAGATGGATGCCGCCCTTCTCCTGCCCAGGGAGCTTAGTGTGTTAGGCAGTTATGAGACCCAGTGCTGGCTGCTGCTCCTCCTTCAAGGAGCTCAAATGGCTTAGACAGCAGGAAGCCACAGCTGTGGTGCTGGTTGCCCCTCCCCCCACCCCAGGATTACAGCAGATTTAAGTAGATTCTAGCTGAGAGGCTGTTGAGAATCTGTGCAGCTCCAGGGTTTGGTCCCTAGGCCCGGGTGGTGAGGGTTCACAAGTGGGATCTTTCAATCCGTGGGTTGCACAGTTCTGTGGAAAAAGCATGTGTTCCCCAGCTGGGTAGCACGCTTACTCACTGCCTCCTATGGATAGGGGGTTGGGGACTCCCCTGCCCCATGTGCCTCTCAGGTGGGCTGCTGTACCCCACTGCTCTTTCTTCCTCACCATGTATCATGCCAGCTGCCTAGTCAGTTCTGATGAGAGAACCTGAATACCTTGGTTGCCAGTGCAGAAGTCACATGCTTATTATGGTTCTTTTTGATGGGAGCCTCTGATTGTCACTGCTTCTAGTCGGCCATCTTGGCCCTGGCCCTTTTTTAGTGCTTTGAGTATATTATTAGTTGTTACCCCCAGGTAATCCACTGTCTCACTTGATCTATGATCTTTATAAAATGCTTCAAGAGCACAGCATAATAATTGAATTTTGACAGCTGATATAAAGAACACCCACGTGCCACCTGCAGCCAGGATATTGCTGGCTTCTGATAGGCTGGATTCACCTGTGAGACAGGGGGTTGGAATCTCAGTCATTGATGTACATCCACAAGAGTCCAGGGTGATAAAAGCTCTTGCAGTGAAATAATGTTGCCCACATTCGTTACAGTCCCTCACAGTTTTTACCTGTCCTAAGTGAATGTCTAACAATGTCCAATTCAGTGAGTGATGCTTCTCCAGCACAATAACTTCTCCTAAAATAAATGAAAACACGTGATTTGTGTACATAAAACATGAGGCACAAATGTCTTCTGTCTTCTTAGGCCTGGTTGGTATAGTCAGAAGAACTTGGCGTTCCCCTCAAGCTGTCCCATTATTAAAGTATTAAAGAGATCCCTCACATATATGCTATATAAGGAAAGTCCTATGCAGAGACCAGACCCTCCTTTTGTTCATAATCCAGTCCCCATTGCTCACGTCACCTTTCCAGGGTCAGCTGAGAAAACCTTACCACCCTCATCAGCCATCCTGAGAATAGCACTGTTCCCACAAAGAATGATGTCTCTGTACACTCCCATAGTGTCTAATCTAAAGTAGCCAGAATACAGAAGAGGAAGCTTTCTTCCACATCTGTGACACACTTTGTCACTGGGCTCCCAAGGACTTACTGATCTGGGAGTCTCACAAACTGAGCTTCTAACTCTAGCTTCTTCTTTCTGTAATGTTTCAAAGCTAGTTCAAGGAAACTTGTCCTGGAAAGCTGCCATACATCCACATCATACTCTTATCCCCTTTCCCCCAACTGCTACCTGAGGTGATGTCTGAATGGTAGGAATGAGGGACATATATACACTGGTGTATTAGTCGGGGTTCTCTAGAGGGACAGAACTAATAGGATATATATCCTATTAGTTTATACATACATATATATGAGTTTATTAAGTGTATATATATATAAAGGAGAGTTTATTAAGTATATTAGTATATATATCTTATTAGTTTATGTATATACACACACATATACATACGCATATGGGAGTTTATTAAGTATTTACATATGTATATAAAGGGGAGTTTATTAAGTATATTAGTATATATATCTTAGTTTATATGTATACACACACATATATACACATATGTATATGGGAGTTTATTAAGTATTTAAATATATATATAGGGGAGTTTATTAAAGTATTAACTCATATGATCACAAGGTCCCACAATAGGCCCTCTGCAGGCTGAGGAGCAAGAAGAGCCAGTCCGAGTTCCAAAACTGAAGAATTGGGAGTCCAATATTCCAGGGCAGGAAGCATCCAGCACGGGAGAAAGATGTAGGCTGGGAGGCTAGGCCAGTCTCTCTTTTCACATGTTTTTTCCTGCTTATATTGTAGCCACACTGGAAGCTGATTAGATTGTGCCCACCCAGATTAAGGGTGGGTCTGCCTTTCCCAGCCCACTGACTCAAATATTAATCTCCTTTGGCAACACCCTCACAGACACACATGGGATCAAAAGTTTGTATCCTTCAATCCAATCAAGTTAACACTCAATATTAACCATCAGAAGTCCACCCCTCGCCAACTTGAACCCATACACATCTCGTGAGATCATAATCTTCAAATAAAGACAATAATAAGGTCATAATTATGCCTAACATAATACAACTATCCTTCCTTCATACAACCATAAATGTACCAGTCTCCAACTCAAATACTATTACATAAAGTTAACAATACTTGAATGCTGATGTGAAGTCAATAAATCTCATGTCACATGATAAAGTAAACAGGAAATAAAATGAAGATATTTTCTTAGTACAAATATATACATGCACAAACAGGTTTTTACAGAAGGAGGAAATAATCATGACAATTACAGTCCTCATTTCTGCAGCTGGTCATGTGATCATAGCTGATATTGATGACTACCGTCTTCTACTACCCATTCTGTATTCCCTTTGCCTTCAGCAAGCATCTTAGCAGGTTGTGGTTTTTTTCCTGGTGGAGTGGCCCAAACCTTTATTCCTAAAGGGTCTGGGCCATTTGTAGTCCTGGCTGGACTGATCTGTTGTAGTTTCCCATTGACCTGAATCACAGGGCATGGTAATACTAAGAGATGCCCTAATCGATCTCCTGTATTCCATGCATACTCTTCCTTACCTCCATTGTGGAGTAGTAGACTAATTTCATCTTGATAGTCTGGGTCAATCACCCCAGTCAACACTGTAACTCCCTTCTTAGCCTGTTAACTTAAAGGTAGGAGGAGCCCAAGTGTCCAGGTGGCAATCTTAACTCCCAGTTTAATGGAATTATTGTTGTGTCTCCTGGTGGCAGCATTCCTCTCTCTGGAACTAAGACCTCTATGCTGGCAGAACATAATGTCGTGGAAACAGGAAGGAAAAATTTTGCTCATGGGTCATTAGGGGTGATGGTGAGTGGTGTCACTTCTACTTCCACCCCTTGGTTCCTGGACCTGTAAATCCTGGCTATGGGAGAAACAGTACCATATATTGGACACTGATTCAGAGCATACATGGCCTTCTTAAGAACTTTGCCCCATCCCTGCAAAGTGTTGTCACCTAGTTGGCATTGTAATTGTGACTTCAAAAGGCCATTCCACCGTTCTATCAATCAGCTGCTTCAGGGTGATGGGGAACATGATAAGACCAGTGAACTCCATGAGCATGAGCCCACTGCCACACTTCTTTAGCTGTTAAGTGAGTGTCTTAGTCAGAGGCAATGCTGTGTGGAGTACCATGCCAGTGGATAAGACATTCCATGAGTCCATGGATGATAGTCTTGGCAGAAGCATTGCATGCAGAGTAGGCAAACCCATATCTGGAGTAAGTGTCTATTCCAGTGAGGACAAACCTCTGCCCTTTCCATGATGGAAGAGGTCCACTATAATCAACCTGCCACCAGGTAGCTGGCTGATCACCCTGAGGAATGGTGCCATATCGAGGGCTCAGTGTTGGCCTCAGCTGCTGGAAAATTGGGCACTCAGCAGTGGCCATAGCCAGCTCAGCCTTGGTGAATGGAAGTCCATGTTGCTGAGCTCATGCATAACCTCCATCCCTGCCATGATGACCACTTTGTTCATGGACCCATTGGGTGATGACAGGGGTGGCTGGGGAAAGAGGCTGAGTGGTGTCCACAGAACAGGTCATCCTATCCACTTGATTATTAAAATCCTCCTCTGCTGAGGTCACCCATTGGTGAGCACTCATATGGGATACAAATATCTTCACAGTTTTTGACCACTCAGAGAGGTCCATCCACATACCTCTTCCTCACATTTTCTTGTCACCAATTTTCCAGTCATGCTTCTTCCAAGTCTCTGGCCATCCAGCCAAACCATTGGCTACAGCCCATGAATCAGTATATAATTGCACATCTGGCAATTTCTCCTTCATGTATAGTGCACAGCCAGCTGCACTGCTCAAAGTTCTGCCCACTGGGAAGATTTCCCTTCACTGCTGTCCTTCAGGGATGTCCTAGAAAGGGACTGTAGTGCTGCAGCTGTCCACTTTCAGGTGGTGCCTGCATATCATGCAGAACCGTCTGTGAGCCAGACCCTAGTCTTCTCTTCCTCCGTCTATTGATCATAGGAAACTCCCCATGAGGCCATCAGTGCAGGCTAGGGAAGAGAAGGCAGGATGGCAGGAGTGGAGGCCATGGGCATTTGAGCCACTTCCTCATGTAACTTACTTGTGCCTTCAGGACCTGCTTGAGCCCAATCACATATATACCACTTCCATTTGATGATGGAATGCTGCAGTGCATGATCCACTTTATGGCTAGATGGGTCAGAATGCACCCACTTCATGATAGGCAGTTCAGGTTGCATGGTGTCTTGTTGGCCCATAGTCAAACATTCAGTTTCCACCAAAGCCTAGTAACAGGCCAAGGGCTGTCTCTCAAAAGGAGAGTAGTTACCTGCAGAAGATGGCAGAGCCTTGCTCCAAAGTCCTAGAGGCCCGCACCGTGATTCACCTATGGGGGCCTACCAAAGGCTCAAAACAGCATCCCTATCTGCCACTGACACCTGGAACACCATTGGATGTGCTGGGTCATATGGTCCGAGCAGCAGAGCAGCTTGCGCAGCAGCCTGGACCTGTTGCAGACCCTTGCCCTGTTCTGGATCCCACTCAAAACTGGCAGCCTTTCCGATCACTCGATAAATGGGCTGGAGTAACACACCCAAATGAGGAATGTGTTGCCTCCAAAATCCAAATAGGCCCACTAGGCATTGTGCCTCTTTCTTGGTTGTAGGAGAGGCCAAATGCAGCAACTTATCCTTCACCTTAGAAGAAATATCTCAACAGGCCCCACACCACTGGACCCCTAGAAATTTTACTGAGGTAGAAGTTCCCTGAATTTTAGTCAGATTTATTTCTCATCCTCTGGCATGCAAATGTTTCACCAATAAGTCCAGTGTGTTTGCTCCTTCTTGCTCACTGGATCCAATCAGCATAATGTCATTAATGTAATGGACCAGTGTGATATCTTGCAGAAGCAAAAAGTGATCAAGTTCTCTCTAAATAAGATTATGACACAAAGCCAGAGAGTTGATACACCCCTGAGGTAGGACAACAAAGGTATATTGCTGGCCTTGCCAGCTGAAGGCAAATTGTTTCTGGTAGGCCATATGGACAGGAATGGAGAAAAAGGGATTTGCCAAGCCAATGGCTACATACCAGTTACCAGGAGAAGTGTTCATTTGCTCAAGCAATGAAACCACATCTGGTACAGCAGCTGCAATTGGAGTCACCACTTGGTTAAGCTTATGATAATCCACTGTCATTCTCCCAGACCCATCTGTCTTCTGCACAGGCCAAATGGGAGAGTTGAATGGGGATGTGGTGGGAATCACCACACCTGCATCTTTCAGGTCCGTGGTGGTGGCACTAATCTCTGCAGTCCCTCCAGGGATGCGACATTATTTTTGATTTACTATTTTTCTATGTACAGGCAGCTCTAATGACTTCCATTTGGCCTTTCCCACCATCATAGCCCTCACCCTACCAGTCAGGAAGCCAATGTGAGTGTTCTGCCAGCTGCTAAGTATGTCTATGCCAATTATGCATGCTGGCACTGGAGAAATAATCACAGGATAAGTCCAGGGACCCACTGGACCCACTGTAAGTCAGACCTGAGCTATAACTCCATTAATTACACGACCTCCATAAGCCCCTACTTTAACTGGAGGACCACAATGGTGTTTTGGGTCCCCTGGAATCAAGATCAGCTCAGAGCCAGTGTCCAGTAGTCCCCACAATGTCTGATCATTTCCCTTTCCCAATGCATAGTTACCCTGGTAAAAGGCCGGAGGTCTCCTTGGAGAAGGATGGGAGAAAGATTCACTGCATAAGTTAATGGTAATGTAGTGGGGTCCTTCCTCAAGGGGATCTGGCCTCCCCTTCATTCATGGGGTTCTGGGTCTGTAAGCTGGCTCAAGTCTGGAAATTGATTGAGAGGCTGTGATTCTCTGTTTTTATAATTCAAATTAGTCTTTTGTCCATTTGACCTTTTCTGCTTGTATAAATTAAGTAGGAAGGTGGTAGGCTTCCTATCAATTTCACTTCTAGGAACACCATGATTAGTTAGCCAATGCCAGAGCTCTACATGAGTCAGACTATTCTGATTGCCGCTTTACCTCTGCTCTGCATTACAGTAGCTACACCCACCTTGCCTTCGACAGCTGAGTGCCACCACTTGGCTCCTGCAACCTCGGGATCCAATGATTCCCATTGTATTTAAATTTTGTAGTTGAGAGACTGCAGTTCCCACTGTTAGATATGACATACGGAGAAGAGCAATTACAGGGCTCTTCAAATATGCAGGACGTGCCCTCACAATTCTATTTCACAAGTCATTGGCCAAGGGCTTATCTTCTGAACCCTCCCAGCTGGGATGAGTAGGTCTAAAGTGACTAATCCACTTCACCATCCCAATCTCCCTAAGTTTTTGGATCCCTTCCTCTACTTTAAATCAAGGGAGATAAGGGATTTCCCACTCACTGACGATGGGCCATCTTTTAATCTATATTTCAGCTAACCAAGCAAATAAACTATTAGGACCTTTTTTTAACTCCCTGAGCTGCAACATTAAATGCAGAGTCCCTAATTAGTGGCCCAAAGCAAGAAATTCTGCCTGATCCAACTCTATGTTCCTTCCACCATTATCCCACACCCTTAATATCCATTCCCATGCCTGTTCTCCAGATTTCTTTTCACATAAATTAGAAAACTCAAGCAATTCTTTTTGAGTGTAGTGGACCTCCTCATGGGTCACACTCTCAACCTCATCTCCAGGGGTCTGCTGGGACTTTAGTCTAGTTATAGGTATAGGAGCAAACAGGGGTGTTGGGGGTGACTCCTGAGGAGAATCAACATTATCTTGCCTGGCAACTATCCCTGGGGAGGCCATCACTGTTGCCTCAGGCAACATAGGGTTTATCTACTCAGACAAAGGTGGAAAGGCTGATGGCAGCATGGGTTGGTGAGGGGACGTTGCCACTACTGGGGATGGGGAAGCTGTTTCCTCTGGCAAAAATGTTCAAACTCAGTGTCCCCAGCTTCATCAGGGTCCTCCCACACATCCCCAACCAAGTTTCAGGATCCCATTATTTTTCTAGTCAATGCCCTCACTTTAAGGGTAGACACCTGGTGAGGCTGTGCGTGCACATTTTGTTGCAGTTCAGCCACTGACATGATAAGAGCTTGTGTCTGTTTTTCTACAATTTCAGCTCTTTCTCTACAGGGGGTAAGACTCTCACTCAGGACTATCTCAGCAGATCTGAGGCTCAGTATCTGCTTCTGAAGCCAGGAGACAGAATCCCTGAGTTCATCATTTTCTTTCATCACTTTGTCCACTGAACTTAGGAGCAACCAACCAGCTTCATTATGTTCTTTGGTTCTCCACATATAGTCAAAGGTATTATGTATAGAGTCACTAAACTCCTTGCCTCTCATGAATGGTGTCAAATGCATTTATTTTGCATAACTCTCTAAGCAGTTCACACCAAGGACTATCAGTGTTCTCCATACTATTAGAAATAGTGTCTTTAGCATTTTTGGGTCAATCATATTAAGCAGCTAACTCCAGAAACCCCAAAACCAACAAAAGAACTCCATCCTTAATATTCTGTTTCTCTAGAACCACTCCTGGCACCAATATCTGTATTAGTCAGGGCTCCCTAGAGAGACAGAACTAATAGGAGATTAGTTAGATTATATATATATATATATGGGAGTTTATTAAGTACTAACTCACATGATCACAAGGTCCCACAATAGGCCCTCTGCAGGCTAAGGAACAAGGAGAGCCAGTCCAAGTTCCAGAACTGAAGAACTTGAAGTCCGATGTCTGAGGGCAGGAAGTATCCAACATGCGAGAAAGATGTAGGCTGGGAGGCTAAGCCAGTCTCTCTTTTCACATTTTTCTGCCTGCTGATATTCCAGCTGCACTGGAAGCTGATTAGATTGTGCCCATCCAGATTAAGGGTGGGTCTATGTTTCCCAGCCCACTGACTCAAATATTAATCTCCTTTGGCAACACCCTCAGAGACAGACACAGGATCAGTACTTTGTATCCTTCAGTCTAATCAAGTTGACACTCAGCATTAACCATCACAACTGGCAACATGCTCTATTATACCAACACTTAAGCAAATGGGTACAGAATCAAGGGAGGGACCCAATCTATTTTTTCTCAGTGTGTGATCTCTGACAACCTGCACAAAATACTTGAGTGCTAGTTGAAAATACATATTTTTCCTCTGATTCCACCCTAGACCACTATATCAATCATCTGGAGAGGTGAATTCTAAATCTTTAAACAAGATCATGAGATGATTTTTGCAGAGACCTAAGTCTGAAAATCATTGCTGGATAATCTGAGGAAAAACACTGGTACAATTCAAATTTTTTTGAGATAAGCAAAACATGGGTATTCTCATTCATCTCTGAGACCCTTCCTCAGCAAGTAGCCACTAAATCGTATTATTGACATTTGACTAAAATGGGGGTCATTCAAAGGATGCAGGCCCTAAAAAAATGAAGCCCAGGAGGAACGCCTTGTAGACATCCACAACTTTCACATGGATATTTCCTAACGAAAAAATGGAAAGTGCTGGAAATGTTTTTAAATGATAATGAGGACACTGATATTTAATTTTTGCTTTTAAGGAGAAAATATAGAAATATCAGGAAACAATAAGATTTATTTGTAATCCTAGTTTTTAATTCACTATTGATATAAAATAAAAGATAGGTTATTTGTTTAGAAAGATAAGGAATATGTTTAATTTGCTTTGCTCTGTCAACCTAAATGGCAAACAGAATGAGGCTCTGTAGAAGAAAGTGATAATCTATGCATGCCATAGTAAACTATGTACATATTCAGGAAGGTAAAGGAAGACAAAGGTTTTTAAAGGAAAAATGAAGAGGATTATATAATGTTTTGAGATAATTATCCCTGACTACCTGGTTCAATAAGAAGGGTGATGCTAGTCCAAGGTTGGATAGGCAGTTGCAGGGCAGACTCTGCAGAAGTACTTTTTGTGTAAGGTTGTGATGGCCTTTGTGCAAGGTTGTGGTTCTTGTAGAGTCTTTTGTGATAGTTTTTGTTATGAGACATTTATGCATGAGAACCTCTCTCTTTGAGGCCTTCCCCAGCTCTATTTGTTAGGATTTTTTTTTTTAGCACAGTTGACTTCATTTTGATTCTTCTAACTTCCACAGCTTTTAGAAAATATTGTCATATTTCATGTGTTAAACATAAGAGTATAGTTTGTGTCAAGAATAATTATTGGCCAGGCACGGTGGCTCACGCCTGTAATGCCAGCACCTTGAGAGGCCGAGGCGGGCGGATCACAAGGTCAGCAGATCAAGACCATCCTGGCTAACACGGTGAAACCCCGTCTCTACTAAAAATACAAAAAATTACCCTGGAGTGGTGACGGGTGCCTGTAGTCCCAGCTACTCGGGAGGCTGAGGCAAGAGAATGGTGTGAACCCAGGAGGCAGAGCTCGCAGTGAGCCGAGATGGTGCCACTACACTCCAGCCTCGGCGACAGAGCAAGACTCCGTCTCAAAAAAAAAAAAAAAAAAAAAAAAAAGAATAATTATCAATGCACTTACTGAATTTACCTTTAAATGTTTTAGGGATACCAGTATTTTGTCTCCATCTCTTTCAGTTAATAAATAACAAGCAAATATCTGAGGAACAAGAGAAGGGGAACTAGTAATTATTGAGTAGTTACTATATATCAGTTCTTGTATTAAGCAACATATAGGCTATGTCTGAGAAGAGAAGAAAGTGTGAAAAAGTGTTTTTTAACACACTAGAAAAAGTTATGTTTTCAGAATTTAGTAGATCTCATGGTGACAAGAAGCTACAGAAAGCACTAGTGTTCAGAAGAGCAAGTGAGGGTGCAGGACAGTTTATTGAATCCAATATTTGCCAACAGTAGCTAGCCTAACTCAGCGGTTCTCAAACCTGAGGGTGCATCATCAGAATCATCAGAGGAACTTATTAAAACATGATTATGTCCCCCCTCCCCCACTTTTGGAGTTCCTGGTTCTGTAGCTCTGAAGTGGGGCTAGAGAATTTGCACTACTAAGTTCCCAGGTAAAGCTGATGTTACTGTCTGGGGACCACAATCTGGGAACCACCGGTCTAACTAGTTTCATTTCCTCAGTTGTGGCTGATCCTGTAGCCTTGTCTCCATGTTGCAAGAGGTATACATGCAGATAATACCAGATGCATCCTGGAACTAACAGCCTAAAGTATTTCTAGTTCTGCAATTGTTTTTGATAAGGAGAAATAATTCTTATTTAAAGGTATATTTTGGTCAAGTTAGAAAATTTGGAGAAGAAAAGAAAAGTGTCCTTACAACAACTGAAAATACTTTTCCAACATGAAATCTTAAATTTGCACCATGTTTTATAATCAAATGAAGTAGGGATCTTGCTTTGTTTATATTTCTCCTCTTGAAACTTGGCTACAGAAGATAAGCACAAGCATAAAATGGCTGACAACAAAATTTGCCTGTTTCTTAAATTTTTTACTTTTTTGTACACTTTTGAACAAAAGATCCACCTTAAATCTCAAATATATTTTTCCCTTGGCAGCCTTCAGCTGCAGTGCCTCTTGAAGAAATTGGCTTTATAACCCACAGAGAATTCTGCAGTATGCATCACCATCAAGCATCACAGTTCTCACACTTCTGAATACTTAAAGACCCCCAATTACTAATTTTCTTAAAGAGCTTTGTTGTTTTCTAGCAAAAAGCATATTATCATTTTACAAACGTAGAATTCAATCCAAACTTCATCTCAGCGTATTCCTTGCATCTTTTCTTTCTTGGAGCTGAATACTATTAAGACGACTGTTTATCCTTTGTAACTTTTGTTCTCTTCTCCCTATATTTTCAAGAATATTTCATAATATCAATAAACAAATCTGAGCCACAGAATGCACATCTTAATGGTGTCATTGGATAGTTGCCTCTCATGGTTTCTCTTATGGCCTTGATTTTATTTACACCATTAATCAACAAATATAGCAGATCTTAATACTCAGAGGATGTTATAAGAAAACGGGCAGCTATTTACACAAAGAAAAAAAATGCTGTGCCACGTTTTGAGAGTTGCAAACAGTAACAGAGAATAAAGGCTTGATTAAAAAACAAACACACACCTGCTTTGAGGTGTCATAACACAAGCATGGTAGTGCAGTGATATGGCTCAGATCGGATTGTGGAAGCATGGGGAAGTTGAAGAAGGAACTCACTGTTAGGAGAGAGGGTACTGTGTGGGAGGGGTAAAAGCAGCCCAACTAGGGATGTCTGAGCCAGCGTAGGGTAAGGAGGGTATCCTATGGGAGATTGCAGTGGCAAAGGGAGATTCATCACATCCAGGACTATTGATTAAGTGTTATATAAGGCTAATGAGAGTCAGGTTTCTCACTGTTGGAGAAGGCAGTTACAAATATGGAAAAGAAAAAACTAGAATAAACTTTGTGGCATTGGATTGAAATTTGAGGTATAGGTGCAAACTCATTGTTTTCAATATAGATAGTTATGGAAATATAGATGTTAATGTGAGGATAGATAGGCAGACAGACAGACAAATATTCCCTACCTCTGTCCACCAAAAGGGCTTCAGAGTAGTAAGACTGCAATGAGAACAACTGGTCTCCAAAACTTGGCTTCTAAATACCTTTCTCTGCTGGTCAGGACTCTCGGCATAATGAGTGATTTCAGGATTGGGCAAGGAGAAAGTACGTGAGCCTGGTGAATCTTATTGCTCCAGGAAGTAAGGAAGTGCTCAAAGAATTATAGAACTGTGTCAAAAGTACACATAATCCATCCTAAAGGGACTTCCACTGGATAAATTAGGGATAATTTGAACATTAAAATAATTACGGTAATACATATAATCTTGAATTTAAAAAGAAACCATGAGTCCATGCTGAATATATAAACAGATAAATAAAAGCTGTGATGAGGAACGGGAAATTTACATGGTTTTAAAGTACCTCTTCACAAAAACATTTATTAATTACAAAAAGGAAAATTATAACTTTACAGAAGTCCTGGCAGATACTTAATTCAAATGATCAAAATGAACACAACTAATAGGGCAAATTGAAATCATGAGCCACTAGATATGATGTGATGATAATAATACATTATTTCTGTGATATTCTCGGAAAAGATTCTCGATTATAATCATGAGGAAACAACAGACAAACCCAAATTTTAAAACATTCCACAAAAACACAAACTGAGGAACATTCCACAAAGGAATAATCTTCAAAAGTGACAAATAGTGGAAGACAGACCGCTAGGAACACCAATAATCCCTTCCCTTGAGTTGGGCAGAACCTACCCACTTTTAACAAACTTTTAATTACTTACTTTTAACCAGTAAGATATGGGAAAGTTGATGGGATATCAGTCCCATCATTACATTATGGCATATTTAAGATTCCCTCTTGCTAGCAGAGATGCTAGAAAGACTCCACCTCACTGTCCTTGAAGATGTGAATTGCCATAAAGTTAAGTGGTCATGTTGGAGAGGTTCACATGACAATGAACTGCAGGCAGCCTCTAGTAGCTGAGAGTGATCTCCAGCAAGAAACTGAAGCCTCAGTCTTACAGCATCAAAGAAATACATTTTGCCAACAACCTAAGGGAGCTTAGAAGCAGATCTTTCCCGTCAAGCCTCTGGTGAAACCGCAGCACTGGCTGACCTGTGGATTGCCTCCTGATGAAACTCTGAAGCAGAGAAGCAAGCTAAGACATGCCTAGACTCCTGATCCCCGGAAACAGATAATAAATATGTGTGTGTGTGTCCGTGTGTGTGTGTGTGTGTGTGTGTGTGTTTCAAGTTGGTAAGTTTGTGGTAATTTGTTATGCAGCATAGAAAGCTAACGTAGTCATGAAAGTCCATGAAAGGTTGAGAAATTACTCCACAGTAGAGGAGGCCAAAGAAACGTTACACGCCAGACTGGGTGGCTCACGCCTGTAATCCCAGCACTTTGGGAGGCCAAGGCGGGCAGATCACCTGAGGTCAGGAGTTCGAGACTAGCCTGGCCAACGTGGTGAAACCTCGTCTGTACTAAAAAAAAGTACAAAAATTAGCCCGGCATGGTGGTGGGTGCCTGTAATTCCAGCTACTCGGGAGGCTGAGGCAGGAGAATCGCTTGAACCTCGGACTTGCAGTGAGCTGAGATCGCGCCACCGCACTCCATCCTGGGCGACAGACCAAGACTCCATCTCAACCAAAAAAAAAAAGAAAGAAATGTTATAAACCAATGCAATATATGATTCTGAATGGGATCTTTGTGGATGTTATTGGGATAATAAGAAAAACTTGAACGTGGTCTGAGAATTAGAAGGTAGAAACAAATTAGTGTTATTTTCCTGATTTTGATGGCTGCTTTGCAATTATGTAGGAGACTATCCTTGTTACTAGGACATAAACACTAAAGTGTACAAAGGTGATGGGGCATCAGGTTGGCAACTTTCAAATGGTTCTGAAAAAAGTTATTTGTATTAGACTCACAATTATTTTGTAAATTTGAGAGATTGCTTCAAAAAAATATTCAAAAAACACATTAAAAAGCTGTTTCCACCCTTGTCTTCTCCATCTCAGTAAATGGCACCTTATTCATCCAGTTGCTCAGGTAAAAATCCTAGACCTCATCCTTGATTCCTCTATAACCTGATACTGTTCACTCAATTATAGAGTGATCCAAGTATCTATCACCACCTCCACCATTACCTCCTTTGTTCAAGCCAACATCTTCTTTGGCCCTCTTGTTTCAATAGACTCCTGGCTGCTCTCCCTGCTTCACGCTTGCCCTACAAGTGTCAATGCTCTACACAGTAGCCAGAGTGATGTTTGAAATTTTTAATTTAGAACCTGTGATTCTCCTGCTCAAAATCTCCAGCAGCCGCCACAACACACCTTTCATGGGCTACCAGCCCCTATATCATCTAGCCCTGTTCTCTGACTCATGTACCACCCTCCTTCATCATCCCCTTCAGACTCTACAGCCTTCTTGCTGTTTCTTGAGCTCCAGCATTTGCATTTTGTGTTCCCCCAGACAGCAATATGGCTTCCTCCTTCTCTTCAGTGCAGTCTCTGTCAAGTGCAACCTCCTTAGAAAACTCTTTTTTAACCAATATTTTTAAATGTTTAAAATGCCCCCTCCCTCTCATCATAATATACATGTATCCCTCACTCCACCTTATTTTTCTTCATGGTACTTATTACCAACTGAGAGTAAAAATTTCCTCTTATTTTCTTGTTTTATTATCTGTCTCCTCTATGAGGGCAAGGCATGTTCACCTCCGAATCTCCAGGACTAGAATGCTGCATGTTGAATGAGTGAGCACGACAGTACTGACATTCAGTTTCTGAGGAGTCAGCTTACTCACTAACTATATATACTTGTCTACAAGCCTGGCAGTACTCATGACCAAAGTTCCTGCCTCAGAAAAATAAATTACTGCTGTGCAGAAATGCTAGGGTCATATAAAATAGGTAAAACCATAACCTTCTAATTATAAGAGTCCATTAAAATTAACCTTTGTCTATCCTAGAGAATGCCTTCTGCTTAACACTGATAACAGTGCTGTCTCATTGGCTTCGTGTGCCCATCAACTGTGTTTGTTGAGTACAGAGCCCTGAACAAAAAGAAAATCTCTGAAACAGGAGGAAGACAAAAAGACATGAAATTAAGTCAATAAATTAAGGGGACACAGAACTTGAGGAAAATTCATAGCTGATGGAGACAGAGAGAAAACAAACAAGGAAAGGAAATAGGACTAGAGAATGCTTTACATTCTTTTGACTACTAGAGTAAGAAGGGCCAAGAACACAAGAGGAATCTTAAGAAGTAGAATTAAAAATCTCTGTCAAACCTCTTCTTTACGTATCCATTCCTGGTTAGCCTTGCAATGTTTCCCACATTATGGAAATGGCATTGCGATGAAGGAGAAAAAACTCATGCAAATAGAGTAAATAGAGGTAAGACCATTTTAGGTCTGGTTAGCTTTACATGGTCGTGGGATGGGGCTACCTGGATAGACATTTTCAAGAGGTTTGAGCTGTGCAGAATTGTATCATGAAGAGAAAGGATATGAAGGTCATATAATGATCACCTTAAGCATGAGATTTGAAAGAGACTGCGGATGAGCATTTGAGAGCCTCTGGGTACCGCTCACTTGTTACTTCTTCTGTCAACTGTTAAGTCAGTAGTAGGTAATAAATAAGATAGTTGCAGTTCCATGTTATCCTATTGTGTCTACTCCTCATTTCTGCCTGGAAGGAAATCCCAGATTAGGATTGCCAGATAAAAGATAAGATGCCCCATAAAATTTGAGTTTTCAATAAACAATTTTTTTGTTATTTTTCAATAAACAATAATTTTTAATAAAAGTATGTCCCGTGCAATGTTAGGGATATACTTTTAAGGAAGTATTTATGGATTATCTGAAATGTAAATGTGACTAGGTGCGCTATATTTGTCTTTGCTAAATCTGGCAATGCTACTCCACATCAAGGACTAAAAACTAAGAAAGGATGGACTTTGGTCTTTCTGGTCTTTCTGGTGCCCTTGGTAGGGATTCAGAGAGCTTGGATGGCTCTCTCTGCTGTATTTACCATACAAAGGGCTGGATCCTTCCAGGAAGTGATGCTACACTAAAGTTTATGTGTCTTCTTATATTTGTCTTTGCCCATCTATCTCTAACCCTGCAAGGAGCTGCTATTCATTCATTCTTCCCTTTCCCAGGTATTCTTTTATTCTAACTTATTCTGACTTATTCTGTTTCTAATACAGTCTGCTCAAAGAAGGTCTCCTGGGGCAATGGCATGCTTGAGTTACTCATTTATAAATTTCCTGCTACTGTGCATTTTCATTATTGACAGTTGCGTTGCAGAAGAATTTTTCTTGCAAATGCAGGCCAATTTTTCCATGAATTTTAGGTGATCTCCTATTTATAAATAAAGCCACTGAAAGGGTTTTTGTCATTATTTAATAATGTAACCACAGAAAGAAAAACAAAACACCAGAATCAATATCCAGGACTGAGAATCCTGTGAGAAGAAAAACATTTGGCAACAGCAAGTCTGAGAAGTAGTGACATTTGTGTCCCAACAGATAGGCAGAGTTCAGTAATGGGCAACTTAGAGCAATAATTCTTCAGCTACCCACACAGCAAGAAGACAGTCAGCCTTTTGGAGATATTTCATTCTTCTAATAAATGTTAAGGTTTAGGGATAAGTAGTGGTAGGAATTGAAGCTCATACAGAATCCAAATATCACAGCTGGAATATGCTATTAGAATCTCAATAGCATTAGTTTAGGAGTAACTACATAAACAGTCTTTCAAAAATTATTTTATTTTTAATTTTTGTAGGTACATATGAGGTGTATATACTTATAAGGTACATGAGATATTTTGATACAGGCATACAATGCATAATAATCATATCAGGGTTAAATGGGGTATCCATCACCTCAAGCATTTATCCTTTGTGTTATGAACAATCCTATTATACTTTTCTAGTTACTTTAAAATCTATAAATAATGGTACTGTAGTCACTCTGTTGTGCTATCAAATACTAGATCTTATGGGTCACTCCATCTAAATATATTTTTATACTCATCAATCAACCCCACTTCCCACATCAACAAATGCCACTTCCCCCATCAACCAACCCCACTCCATCCCCTCCACCCAGGAGTGGGTGGAAGTGGTGAAAGAGGGGAAGTGGGGATGGTTGAAGGGTACAAATATTTTACTTTTTAGCTCCCACAAATGACAAGAACATGCAAAGTCTGTTTTTCTGACACAGAGTCTTGATGTTAGGCTATATCAGAATTTTTAAACCTTGGCATTGTTGACATTTTGGGCCAGATAATTCTGTTGTGGGGGACTGTGCTATGCATTGTGTGATGCTTAGCGCAGCCCTGGCCTCTATTTACTAAACGCCCGTAGCAAACTCCCAGTTCTCACAACCAAAATTGTCTCCAGACATTAACCAATGTCCCCTGGAGGACAAAAACTGCTCCTAGTTAGGGGTAGCCACTGGTCTGGAATAGAAGAGTGATGTTTAATCCTGATGGAATGTTAGAAGAACCTGGAGGGTCTTTTAAAAATAATGATTTTCTGACACCACCCCAAAGATTCTGACTTAATTGTTCTGGGAGAGAGCTCACTTTGTTGTTTTTCATATGCAAGTAGAGTTTAAAACTATTGAGCTAGATCTAAAAAAGAAAAAAAAAAATCCTGTTTGCAAAAGTATCATTCTTGGAAACTTAGAGATGAGTCCATAAATGTGAATTAAATAGCCTCAGCTATTGAAAAAGAAACAGACAACGGGGGGCAAGTCTTGGTAAAGCCTGGGCCTAGAAGAGCACATTCACTTTCCCCAGTTTAACTTGTTTTTAATGGCATTTTTAAAAAAACAACATTCATATTTTAGGCTGTAGTTGTATTAGTAAGGTTGCAAGACAGAAAAAGGGGCAGTAAAAATAAAAAAAGAATTAAGAAATTGCAAACTGGCTTTTTTTTTTTTTTTTTTTAAAGGAAGTTTTTACTTACTGGTTTCTTTTTTTTTTATTTTTAAAAAAACCTTCCACTAAGTTTATCTCATGAGATTGCCAATTTGGGAACATCAGCAATCATGGGTGCACCTTTGTGGTGATCAAATATTTGAAGGCACGTTACCTTGCATGCCTTTCCTAAATCTTACACAGAGTGAGTAGTAAAGAGTTAAAGGACAGCCTGCTGCTCAGCTCTGGGATTCTAATGCAGGCAAGCTTTTACTTCTGCGGAGCTCTTCTAAGAGAGACAGCCTAGAGGTATTCCAGAGAACGGGTTTTTGTTGCTTACTGTTAACAGTCTTCCTAGGAACGTTTGGCAAGGCATAAAACATTCCTTTCACAGTACAGAGGGGACTTGTGGCCAGAGTGTGCAGATTTAGAGACAGGTGGCACCAAGAGGGTCTTTAAAATTAGTGACGCTTGCTGATGGCTGCACTGCAGTCACAATCTATCCCTACCATATTTCAAAAGTCCTCATATTTTATATGTATAATGTCACTAAGCCTGGTTTAAATAAATGCTAGATGATAAAGTATGACTTTATAATGAGTAATTGTTAACGTGCTCTCTGTACTTTGAGGAGCAGGGCTAGTGATTACTCCTCACTTGATCATTTACACTAAGACTCTCAGATGGACTTGATGCTTCTTGCCTATGGACAACGCTTTGCTTTCGCTTCTGCTGTAGAAACCTTGAACACCCACTTTAGTTCTACCACTGGGTAAGAACTTTATGATGAAAACTTAGATCTTGAGGATCTTCTTGAGACTCTCCTGCTTCTCAACTCAATGAAAATCAGTGCAACACAAAAAGTAAGTAAATCCTGTGAGGTGTGAGCCAGCTGACAAGGAGTGAGGTCAGTCCAGAGCACAGAGAGAAGTGTTGGGGACAGCTTGGGCAGCAGAGACGCAGCTGCGGCAGTAGCAGAACAGTAGCAAATGTCCAATGTGCAACTGCAGGAGAGAGAATGTAGGCACGAGAGAAAAGTCCGAGACAGAATGAGTGAATTATGAAAGGCCGGGGTGGGAGGGGAGAAAGTTTAATCATAAGAGTTTAGAGCCAACAGGACAAGTAATGATGTGTAATAAGCCCAGGTAATACAGTACCCAAGGAATACAGTAAAAACAAACATATCAGTAAAATGAGTCATACTTACTGATATGAGGACATGGGTTTTCTTAAATGCTTCCTTGCACCCTTTTTGGAGCTGGCATTTCTAGTACTAAGGTAATTCAGTGGACCCTTTGTAATATAACTCTACTCTGAAGAAAACAAACATTCTTTTAGCAGCATAAGCTAGTCATTAATCTTCACAACCTGGAAGATCTGATGGTGTGTTACAAAGTTCAGTACTGCCCTGAAACCCAGGCAAGAGGTGCCACTTTCCTGTTCTTTAGAGTGTCTGGCATATGAGAGACTCACACAAATCAATGTATTAGGAACACACAGGTGTCTCTGTTTTTTTGGGATGCAGTACTCAGCACTGGCACCACTTGACCCACGACCATAAATATCTGCTTCCATAACTCACACCAGTCAGGCCCCGGAGAAATGATCCCCACATCTCCTGCCCTGTGATTCTAAAACAAAAGGCAAGTGCATCTGAATTCTGTGAGGGTTTGTGTGTTGCACCACCACTGAAATCAGAGAAAGGCACTGCCTTAGATGGTGGGGAGTGTTTGAGTGACAGAGGCACTTAGGTAAGAGAAAAGACAAATTAATTAACTTGTCAGATCCTTCCTCTCAGATAACATGAATGCAATAGATTCTTGCATAATAAGTATAGTTTCCCAGGAGTACCATGCATCTATTTTTTTGCTTCTCTTCATGTTCCAATTCATAGTTCCAGAGGTACTTCTGAATTAAATCAGTTTTGTAAAATCAAACATGGTTGTTTAAGGACATTTTACAACATCAAGCATTCCATGTTAGTCTTAAATTTGTATATATGTATATCTATAGGCTTAGTTGTAATGATTTATGTATTGGCAATTAGATGAAAACAAAACACAGGAATTGCTAAAACTTTTATTACCATGAAAATATTTACTAAGATTGAATTACTTTTCCAAAAAATTAAGTTTAGCTTTAATTAAATAACTTTAAATTTTCATATTTATATGTTGTACTTTGTAAATTTGCTTTTAATGTTGGATAAGCTTGATAATATTATCAAATATTAGATAAATGTAATATTAGAAGAAAACTTTTTTGAAAAGATATATAAAAATAATTTCATTCAAAATTTTTATATTTAATTTAAATTTTTAATGAAAATATATCTAAGTTTTGTACGCTTTAAATGTAATTATGTTTGATAATTTAATCATTTACTATTCGTTCTCTATTGCTGCCCTAACAAATTACCATAGTTCAGTGGCTTACAAAACACAAATTTATTATCTTACCATTCTGTGAGTCAAAATTCCAAAATAGGTGTCACTAGGCTAAAATGAAGGACTGCATTTCTTCCTGCAGGCTCCAGGAGAGATCTATGTCTTACTCTTTTCGGCTTCTAAAGGCTGCCCACATTCCTCGACTAGTGGCGTCCCTCCTTCGTCTCTAAACCCAGCAACAACAGGTTGAGTCCTCATGTCACATCTTTCTTACCTTTCTGTCATCTCATCTCGCTGACTGCTGCTGGGAAAAATTCTCCACTTTTAAGGGCTATCATGATTAGACTATGCCCACTAGATAATACAAGATCTCAGATCCTTAACTTCCATCACATCTGCAAAGTCGCTTTTGCCTCATAAAAGAGTCTGAGGTTTAGACGGGAGATCTTAAGGGGGCTATTAATATGCCTACCATAATCACTGAGAATAAGTACAAGTTAAGATTATAATAGCAATAGAATATACAAACGTGAAGCTCCAAAAGAACAACAACAACAAAAAAGGTGAACAGGAAAAAGAAACTGAAAATCTTTAAAAAGGCAGTCTGTTTAAATCTATAAAAACTGGAAAAAAATGAGAGTGGACAAATATCTGGTAAGCATGATGGACTTAAAATTTGTGACTAGGGCATTACATTTTTTATATTAATATAATGAAGATTGAATTACTGATCAAAACAATTAAAAAGCAAGAGAACTATTCTCATCAAATCTGCAACACGAAAAGTTCAGACAAAATTCCAACAACTTCACATTCTGAACTAAATGAGGACTAATTACCAGTTCGAGCAATGAGAATATATGAGGTCCTCCGTTTGCACTTTGCCAGGGATCTGAAAACGTTGGGAGTAGGTCGGCTTCACCCTGAAGCCAGACCATCGACAGCCAGTTTTCCCTCCCTTCTCCACCCACAGGTCTTAGGCCCTCATCCTTCCCAGCCTCAGAACTAGTCTCCAAAGAAGAGGAAAGTTAGAGGAGAGAGTAAATCGTTGAATAGGATGAAGGAGATGTGGGAAAAAGAAAAAGAGAGGCTGCAAGAGAGAGGGTCCCAGGGATAACTCTGCTCTTGGAAGGGTGGCCACAGTCATGTGGTCCCAAGAGGCAACAACAAGCTTAGGAAGCCAGAGAAACCAGTTACAATCACTGCTACTCTTTTCGATTCTGTGTTGTTTAAGAAATATCACCCGCCAGGAGTTCTCCAGAAACATTTTCCCTGATTCCATGTAAGTGCTCAACCAGTGAATGGTAATCCCATTTTGGTTTAGTCTGTACCATCCCCTATTCCAAAATAAAGGGAAAAATGGTGGGTTTATATCTTAAATTTTCTACTTTACTAAACTCAAGGGAAATAGCCAAGCAAAAACGAAAGCTGAGACTCTTGCTAATTATCCTTTCCATAGAATGTTTGCTAAAATTCCTTGTCAAGGAAGGAATAACAAAGCTAGTCCACGCTCTGTATAGGGTGTTTCCAATTAGTTATACTTTAAAGTATAAGTATTTAACAAAATCTATAAATTTTGTTAATTATTTACTTGTAGTGAAAAATGAGCCATTCTCAAGCAAATCACTTTTTATTACACATTCCAGAGAATAACCATAAAAGGACATTTATTATAGCAAAAATAACCACATCTGGATGGAACTTCAATCACCAGTATTTACTAAATAAATGCCCAGAAAAAAAATAGTTCATCTTTAATTTCAGTCATCATTAATAAAAGCTGAAGTACCTCTTCAGATCTTTTGATCATTTTCTGTTGGATTGTTTTCTTTTTACTGAGTTGCAAATGCTCTTTATATATTTTGGATACAAAGCTTTATCACATAGGCATTTTGCAAGTATTTTTTCCAAGTTTTTTTATCTTTTCATTTATTTAATAATATCTTTCAAAGAACGGGAATTTTATAATTTTTATGAAGTCCATTTATAATTTTTTCTTTTATGGGTTGGTGGGGGTTGGGGGTTGTGTTGTCCTAAGAAATCTTGGCTCAACACAAAAAGATTAGTTTCTATATTTTCTTCTAGAAGTTTTATAGTACGATCTCAGATCCATTTCAGATGATGAATAAGCACATAAAAAAAGGATACTCATCGTTAGTCATTAGAGAAATGCATATTAAAACCATAAGGAAATACTACTATATACATATATTAGATAGGATGAAGAGCAACTGGAATCTCATACAGTGCTGATTGAAATGCAAAATGGCAAAACAACTTTAGAAACCAATTTGGAAGCAGCTGTACTGACATGGAATTTTGAGCTGGAAGAATCTTAGAAAAAGAATACTTTACCACCTCCCCCATTCTCTTCACCCTGGGGAACTGTTAAATGAGGAAATTGTGGTTCAAGGAGGAACTTGTCTATATGCTTTCTCAGCTTTCCCGTGGTAATTACCATCTTGATAATATAACGTAATGTATGTATATGTTATCAAATAATATAATATCTTCATCATATATTTATCATCTTCATAATGTTAGCTGTCTAGTGGTAACTTTTTTTTGCTCTTTATTGCCTCCCTCTTTTTTCCCTCTTTGTTGTTTTTTGTCATACAATTATGATATATGTGTATATATTCTCACTGTAAAGATGTAAACAACACAAAGATTATTGAACAAATCACGAAAGTAACCCTTCCTTCATTCTTACCCTATCCAACCCTCATCTCCTCAGAAGAATACACCATTTTAGTTGTAAATGTTTTTCTAGCTCTTTTTCAATGTTTCTACCTATATGCATGTATGTATAATGTATATACATACATATATACATACATATTGATATATACATATATAGAGGTATGGTTTTTTAACTTAAATGGAATTGCATTGTGGATATTGTCCTATGACTTGCTTTCAACCAAATTATATGTCTTGGAAATACATACATATATTTAAAAAATATGTTATGTATATGTAACATACTATATGTGCATAATATATATTACATAGATATAATAAGGCCTAGGAAGAAATTGTGTGCAACCTCTAGTACATCTTCCTCTATATCTACTGTACATACATACAACCCATTCTTTTTTTAATTTTTTTATTTTTTTAGACAGAATCTTGCTCTGTCGCCCAGGCTGGAGTGCAGTGGCACAATCTCGGCTCACTGCAAGCTCCACCTCCTGGGTTCACGCCATTCTCCTGCCTCAGCCTCCCAAGTAGCTGGGAATACAGGCACCTGCCATCAGGCCCAGCTAATTTTTTTTTGTATTTTTAGTACAGATGGGGTTTCACCGTGTTAGCCAGGATGGTCTCCATCTCCTGACCTCGTGATCCGCCCACCTCATCCTCCCAAAGTGCTGGGATTTACAGGCGTGAGCCACCGCGCCCAGCCACAACTCATTGCAGAGTAGTCCAAAATATGGATGGACTGTAGCTTAATTACTTATTCTCCCATTGATAGACACTTAGGACTTTTCTAATTTTTATAATTTAAAAATATGCTGCAATTAACAAACATTCTTGTGTATCTTTTTGCTGTATGTATGCATATTTCTTTAGTATGGGTTTTGGAAGAGGAATCACAAAGGAGGCATAGAATATAAATATTTTTATTTTGAAAAATACAGTTGTAATTTAATAACCCACCAAAAGACTCTAACAGTTTAGATTCACATCAACAGTGTAAGAACATGTCTGTTTTACTGCATCCTTACCCCCACTGGTTATAATACTTTTAATTAACAATCTTATGGATGAAGAATACTATCGCAATGTTGTTTTAATGCATTTTTCCAATTACTAGTGAGATTGAACATTAATTCTTTTATTTTATGGATCACTGGCTTTTCTCCTTCTGTGAACTACCTGTTCACATCCTCTGCTTTTCAGCTCTTGAGCTGTTATCTTTTTCTTATTGATTTATATGAGCTCTTTATATATTCAAGATGTTAATCATTTGTATTTTATGTATATGGCAATGATTTTCTTCCAAACCAATGCTTGTCTTTTATTTATTTATTTATTTATTTATTTATTTGAGACCGAGTCTCGCTCTGTCGCCCAGGCTGGAGTGCAGTGGCGCGATCTCGGCTCACTGCAAGCTCCGCCTCCCGGGTTCACGCCATTCTCCTGCCTCAGCCTCCTGAGTAGGTGGGACTACAGGCGCCCGCTGCCACACCCGGCTAATTTTTTGTATTTTTAGTAGAGACAGGGTTTCACCGTGTTAGCCAGGATGCTCTCTATCTCCTGACCTCGTGATCCGCCCGCCTCGGCCTTCCAAAGTGGTCGGATTACAGGCATGAGCCACCACGCCTGGCCAATGCTTGTCTTTTTATCTCTGTTTATGGCATCTTTCATACTATGGACATTTTTATTTTTATTTTTTATGTTGATTTATTCTTGAATTGTATACATGTTAATTATACCTAAGTTATTGTAATACCCTTAAAGCCAAGTTCTACACATATATTTAATTTGCTTTCCCAATAGGTCTCTGAGGGAACACATTTTTTCAAATCACTTTGTTTCATCTTTTTTAGGTGTTGATCAATTATTAAGGAGTTTGAAATAATCATTTAAACGGAATTCTTCAGATGAAAACATAAAGACATTTATCGGGTCAGAGCATTGGTCGGTTCACATACTCAGGATCAGTGGCCTGGGTGGGCAGGCACTGGGTGAATGGAGAGCTGCAGGTATTGGAAGAGAGCCCAGTTGGATATGTAGTTTCCAAAGATCATCAAGGCAGACAACCAAAGGGAAACCGTGGGAAACACCTGCTTTGGGCCATCTAAGATGAGATGATAAAGTAAGGAAAGAGTTGAGCCCAACACAGTGATAGCCAATCTGAAAGCGGGCAGAACTGACAAGACCAAACAAGTAGGTGAACTGGCTGCAGGCAGCCAGCCACCACAGGGACAGCGTGTACTCCAGGGACAAGCTCAAGGCTATAGGTAGTTAGTTCAAGGCTACTAGGGTGAGAAGAGCAGGAACTGAGTTCTATACCAGTGCTTCTCAAAACTAATGTGCATCCTAATCACCTGGAAATCTTGTAAAAATGTAGATTCTGATTCAGTGAGTCTGAAGCAGAGCTTAAGATACTACATGCTTAACAAGAGCCTAGTTGATGCTGACACTGCTGGTCCCTGGAGCTCTCTTTGAGTAGCAGGCTTCTGGAAGGCTTGTGTCACTAAGCACAGAGAAGCCTCACTTATCAAATCTGCACCAAAACAGGAAAACTAATGTGAAGAATAATGTGATGCACACGTCAGAGCATGAGGCAGTTGCTTTGTCCCTGAGGTTGCGCTCCAGATGGCTTCCTAAGATGCGACAGGCTGATCTTGTGCGTGGGGGTCCCGGAGGCTTGGGCCACGGGAGAGACAGGACCTCAGAGGCTGGGAGACAGGCAGAGACAGAAGAGTGACATCCTGCTGCTTTTGAATTTGCACATTCTGTAGAATAATAACAGCAGTAAACTGTTACACAATATCTATTCTCAGCATCTTGAAGCCCTTTCACATATTGTTACTTCCATTAATGGGGCCCTTTGCTGCTATTTCTACTTTTCTCTTCAGCTATCAACAATATGGCTTTCCACACCTCCATCAGACAGTAGCCAGATGAAATAAAATGTGCCAGAATGAAAACTTGTTCATTTGTCTACTTTTTGCCAAGACTAGACAGGCAGGAAATTGAATGTATTTTTACAGAAAAGGTTTTCAAAACTTTTTCCCCTCTGTGGCTCATTTAGGTAAACTAAAAGGCATAAGACCCACCTAAAACATGGGTTCCCGCTTTTTATTGGAGAAAGAACATAGTACTTTAAAAAAATACATAAAATAATAAAAAGGAAAGACAAAGATAATGAAGGTTGTACATGGTACCAAATTTTTGTATCCCATAATAACACATGAGTAGATCACTACTAAGTAGGTTTTAGTGACATATAGGAAACATTAAAATCTACAGAAATTTGCATTATTTTCTGTCAAAAAGGATCATTTCACAGCCTTTCAGGGGGAACCCATTGCCCACAGGAACTCATGCATTCCATGCTTTGAGGATCACTAGATCTAAGAAGCCTTCCTTGGAGGTTCTAGCCTCCAACCCTTATTTTAGTAAAAGAAGCTCCAGTTTTATCTGTTTCTAAGTCAGACTACCACACAACATTGGGCTTAAAGAAAGGTTTCCAGGGCTAAAGCAGACTTTGAGGATTACTAATTCCGAGTTAAATTTCTGTGTATTATCTCTGGATTTGACTTATTCACACTGGACTATCACTCATAAATATACATAATACAGAGTTAACTATTTAAATTTATAAAGAGAGTATTTTCCTTTTTTATGAGCAAAACATGCTGCCAACTACTTGGACCACATACTGATCCATAAATACTGACAGCTTTGTAATTGGAAATAATAAATACACACTAATGAAGCATCTCAAAAGGGAAGAGCCACAGGTAATCTGAGTGATTAGGCATTCATGTTAGGTTAGGCTTTGATCATTGTTTTTAATCGCAATTTCATTGCAGTGCATCTATAAATCCATGTCCAGAAGTATGAAGTGGTTCTATAGTAAGAATAAGATGCTACAGATAATGCGACTAAATAAGACACTATAGGTAATGACACAGATTCAAGTCTTATTGTTGATGGGAAGAGGTCAATAATGGATGATATAATATACTACAGCAATGAGAATTATTGAATGTTTTCCAGACTCACTTGTATAATTGGCCATAACAGCAAACAAAAAACAGGTTCTGATAGCAAAATGATATACAGTACTAACAAAGGTGAATCTTGAGGTGAACCTTCTCTTTATAAGTTTAAATAGTTTACCCCCGACCTTTTCCCATAGTAGAACAGCCTAAAAAGTATCTTTCAGTAGAATGCTAGTGCTTATGAGGTTTTCTTAAGATATCATTTTTCAATTAAAATTTATTTCACAAAAGACTCACATCCTTGCCAGCCTTCAGGGTGAGTGTTGATTCAGGCTGTGTCCAACGGCAACGATGAGTGAACTTCTCACCCTCAGAATCACATGAGCATTCCTGAGATGTTTTATCAGAGTGATACCAACTTCATTATTAGAATATTGAGTCCCTATTTCCTATATTCAATGTCCTTTCAAGCCCTAACTTTGTCCGGGTTGAAGGCAAAGATCCAAATAATCACATTTGTCTTTGATAACTGAAACTGGGAGAACTGGGACTGTCTCAAGAGTTCTACGTGACTGTAGGTTGCAAGTACTGTGGTTGCATCTCCAAATATTAACCAATCCCAGTGACAATTCAATGGGGTCTCCTGAACCATGATCCTCATGTCTCCAGTGAAGGAAATGGGCAAAGGGGATTCAAAAATCCCTTTTGGAGGAATAGGAAACTTCTGCTTTCCTTCATTTCATAACATTTGCGATGGAACAAAGGCTTTTTTAGAATGGAGCAACCAGATCCTTTTTTGGGGGAATCAGCTTAAATGTCCCTTCTTCTCATACTACTTTTATCTATGTGATCCTATTCTTTTCTGTTGTGGATTGAATCATGTCCCTCAAAAAGATTGAATTTAGAGTGTGCTCTAAATTCAATGTGGAGAAATTTGGACACAGAGGCAGACACACAGGGAGAACCCCGTGTGACAATGGAGGAAGAGGATGCATTTATGCTGCCACAAGCCAAGGAACACCAAAGATTGTCAGCAGCCACCAGAAGCTAGGATAAAGGCATGGCACATCACTCCCTCTGAGCCCCCAAAAGGAGCCAAGACTGCTAATACTCTGATCTCGGACTTCTGGCCTGAAACAGTGAGAGAATAAGGTTCTGTTGTTTCAAGCTACCCAGCTTGCGGTATTTTGTCACAGAAGCACAAGGAATCAAGTACATTTTCTTTCTCAGCACTTGTGATAATTTGATTTTTTCTTTACTCAGTGGTTGTTTCACACCTATGTCCCCATCAGACTGTAAGCTTAAAGAGACCTGGATCTGGTCTGTCTTCACCACTGTTGATTCATTACCAGCACAGTGCCTGGCCCATGGTCACTGAATAAACGTTTGTTGAGAGAATGAATGTGCTTAACCAGAAGTACTATTGACCTATTAGGCCAAGTTCAAGGTGCCTAACAGCTCAGCTGTGAAGGATACCTCTCCTTTCAGTCCTCTGTTACATATGTCCCTGATAGATGTGTTATTTGTATCTCCTCCTGGCCCTCAAGTTTGTTTGAGGGCAGGACCCTTTTTTGTATATCTGTAGAGCTTCGTAGTACCTAAATACTACTTTGCATATATAATAAAGTTTCGATAAATATTCATTAAATAAAGAAATAAATGAAATGACTAAGTTTTCTAAGATGTTACAACTAGATTGAAGATATTTAGCTCATTATTTAACAAGAAAACTATGGTTAATTATGGTGTCCTGTGTGAAAATGGTTATAGTTTGTTTTTTAATTAATATAAGCATGTATGTGCATTATCAGTATACACAATTTGTGGTATGAGTGTTTTGTGTCCCTGCACACAGACCACGGAAATCCTGAGAAACAAACTGCCACCCCAGAGCAGGTGCCTAACACAGAGACTTTTAATCCTTAAAGTTTTTCTATAACTAAGCAATGTTTTTTCAAATGCAATAACACTGATATGCAGACATATTGATTGTCCACTCACAAAGCCATTCCTCAATATCATTACAACATGCCTCTTTGAATGTCATTAAAAATAGATGTCTCATTTTTCTAGGACAAGTTGGCTGAAGTTCTGCTTGAAAACTGGTAATAGAAAATACAATTTCTCAACCCGCTTTGGCCTTTTAATTCTGTTCTACAACCTTGCCAGTTCACTTTCAAAGTCAAGGGATGCATCTTGCAAAACCATGACATCTTTTGAGTAACTCCTTCTGTTCTTAACACATATTCCCAGGAGCTTAATAAATATTGTTTTTGCAACTTGTTTAGTGGCAAAATAATGAGTCCTTGGTGTATGCTTATCCTCTGCTTTGCTATTAGAGAAGATATATTCAGACTGTTTTAAACAAATTAATTCAAGGGCAGGGAACAGTCCTAAAACCTGTTAAAATTCAAATACTTGGTCACTGTATGTGCAGCATGTGTGTTCTAGAAAGTCCTATTATTTTAAAATATAAATTGAATCTTGTTGAGAAATTAATGTCATATGAATATATTAATAACTGAAATGCTGCCAAGTTTACAAAAAGCCCTCAATGAAACTGTGACCTTGTATAGACAAGGGCCTGTGGAGGGACATTTTTAAACCATCTCTTTTTTTATTTCCTCATGAGATCTACAATGTAAGTGCATTAAAGTTGATGAATGAATTGCAGTGCAACTTTTCCTGCCTCTTTTGCCTTTCATTTGTCTATATTTCAAGCTTCACTGAAGTGATAGATTTTGGGCTTTGCCACATTGTCCTCTGATTGCTTCCCTCTGCTCCTCCTTTTCCTAGTGAATCTTTGTTTTACTGGTGGAAAAATCTACATCTTTGTATCTTGGCATTTTACTTTCACATTATCTCATAGATTTTATTTCAAGTTGCTATAAAGTTATCAACTTTTATTTTTAACTAATATTATTTTTAACAATTAGAAAATTGTTGACCAGGTAATTCCAGCACTTTGGGAAGCTGAAGCGGGAGGATCACGTGAGCCCAGGAGCTCGAGACCAGCCTGGGCAATGCAAGGAGACTGTCTCTACAAAATATAAAAATACATTAGCCAGGTTTGGCGGTGCATGCCTGGGGTCCAGCTATTCAGGAAGCTGAGGTGGGAGGATCACTTGAGCTGGAGAGGTTGAGGCTGCAGTGAGCAGTGATCGCACCACTGCACTCCAGTCTGGGTGACAGAGGGAGACCCTATCTCGAAAAAAAGGAAAAGAAGAGGATTTTGCTGGCAAGATGGCTGAATAGGAATAGCTCCGTTCTGCAGCTCCCAGTGAGATCAATGCAGAAGGCAGGTGATTTCTGCATTTCCAACAGAGGTACCTGGTTCATCTCACTGGGACTGGTTGGACGGTGGGTGCAGCCCATGGAGGGTGAGCAGAAGTAGGGTGGGGCGTTGCCTCACTCAGGAAGTGCAAGGGGTCCCTCTTCTAGCCAAGTGAAGCCGTCAGGGACTGTGCCATAAGAACAGTGCACTCTGGTCCAGGCTTTTCCCACAGTCTTTGCAACCCACAGACCAGGAGATAACAAGCGGTGCCTATGCCACCAGGGCCCGGGGTTTCAAGCACAAAACTGGGTGGCCATTTGGGCAGACATCAAGCTAGCTGCAGGAGTTTTTATTTTCATACCCCAGTGGTGCCTGGAACGCCAGTGAGACAGAACCGTTCACTCCCCTGGATAAGGGGCAGAATCCAGGGAGCCAAGTGGTCTGGCTTGGCGGGTCCCACACCCACGGCGCCCAGCAAGCTAAGATCCACTGGCTTGAAACTCTCGCTTCCAGCACAGCAGTCTGAGGTCCACCTGAGACGCCCGGGCTTGGTGTGGGGAGGGGCATCCACCATTGCTGAGGCTTGAGTAGGCGGTTTTACCCTCACGGTGTAAACAAAGCTGCCTGGAAGGTCCAGCTGGGCACAGCCCACCACAGCTCACCAAGGCCGCTGTGGCCAGAGTGCCCCTCTGGATTCCTCCTCTCTGGGCAAGGCATCTCTGAAAAAAAGGCAGCAGCGCCAGTCAGAGACTTATAGATAAAACCCCCATCACCCTGGGACAGAGCACCTCAGGGAAGGAGTGGCTGTGGGTGCAGTTTCAGCAGATTTAAACGTTCCTGCCTGACAGCTCTGAGAGAGCAACAGATCTCCCAGCACAGCGTTCAAGCTCTGTTAAAGATCAGACTGCCTCCTCAAGTGGGTCCCTGACTCCCATGTCTCCTGATTGAGAGACACCTCCCAGTAGGGGCTGACAAACACCTCATAAAGGAGAGCTCCAGCTGGCATCTGGCAGGTGCCCCTCTGGGACGAAGCTTCCAGAGGAAGGAACAGGCAGCAATCTTTGCTGTTCTGCAGTCTCAGCTGATGATACCCAGTCAAACAGGTCCTGGAGTGGACCTCCAGCAAACTCCAGCAGACCTGCAGCAGAGGGGCCTGACCGTTAGAAGGAAAATTAACAAATAGAAAGGAATAGTATCAACATCAACAAAAAGGACGTCCACTCAGAGACCCCATCCAAAAGTCACCAACATCAAAGACCAAAGGTAGATAAATCCACAAAGATGGGGAGAAACCAGTGCAAAAAAGTCTGAAAATTCCAAAAACCAGAACGCCTCTTCTCCTCCAAAGAATCACCACTCCTCACTAGCAAGGTAACAAAACTGGACAGAGAATGAGTTTGACAAATTCACAGAATTAGTGTTCAGAAGGTGGGCAATAACAAACTCCTCCAAGCTAACGGAGCATGCAAGGAAGCTAAGAACCTTGAAAAAAGTTAGAGCAATTGCTAACTAGAATAACCAGTTTAGAGAAGAACATAAATGACCTGATGGAGCTGAAAAACACAGCACGAGAACTTTGTGAAGCATACACAAGTATCAATAGCCAAATCGATCACGTGGAAGAAAGGATATCAGAGATTAAAGATCAACTTAATGAAATAAATTGAGAAGACAAGATTAGAGAAAAAAGAATGAAAAGGAATGAACAAAGCCTCCAAGCAATATAGGACTATGTGAAAAGACCAAATCTATGTTTGACTGGTGTACCAGAAAGTGACGGGGAGCATGGAACCAAGCTGGAAAACACTCTTCAGGATATTATCCAGGAGAACGTCCCCAACCTAGCAAAACAGGCCAACATTTAAATTCAAGAAATACAGACAACACCACAAAGATACTCCTCGAGAAGACCAACCCCAAGACACATAATCGTCAGATTCACCAAGGTTGAAATGAAGAAAAAAATGTTAAGGGCAGCCAGAGAGAAAGGTCAGGTTACCCACAAAGGAAGCCCATCAGACTAACAGCAGATCTCTCTGCAGAAACCCTACAAGCCAGAAGAGAGTGGGGGCCAATATTCAACATTTTTAAAGAAAAGAATTTTCAACCCAGAATTTCATGTCCAGCCAAACTAAGCTTCATAAGTGAAGGAGAAATAAAATCCTTTACAGACAACCAAATGCTGAGAGATTTTGTCAACAGCAAGCGTGCCTTACAAGAGCTCCTGAAGGAAGCACTAAACGTGGAAAGGAACAATCGGTACCAGCCACTGCAAAAGCACACCAAATTTTAAAGTCCATTGACACTATGAAAAAACTGCATCAACTAACAGGCAAAATAACCAGCTAGCATCATAATGACAGGATCAAATTAACCTTAATTAAGTTAGCCTTAAATGTAAACGGGCTAAATGCCCCAGTTAAAAGACACAGACTGGCCACCTGTATAAAGAGTAAAGACCCATCAGTGTGCTATATTCAGGAGACCCATCTCACATGAAAAGACACACATAGGCTCAAAATAAAGGGATGGAGGAATATTTACTAAGCAAATGGGAAGCAAAGAAAACAAAAAGCAGGGGTTGCAATCCTAGTCTCTGATAAAACAGACTTTAAACCAACAAAGATCAAAATAGACAAACAAGGGCATTACATAATGGTAAAGGGATCAATGCAACAAGAACAGCTAACTATCCTAAATATATATGCACCCAATACAGGAGCACCCAGATTCATAAAGCAAGTTCTTAGAGACCTACAAAGAGACTTAGACTCCCACACAATAATAATGGGAGACTTTAACACTCCACTGTCAATATTAGACAGATCAATGAGATAGGAAATTAACAAGGATACTCAGGACTTGAACTCAGTTCTGGATCAAGTGGTCCTAATAGATACCTACAGAACTCTCCACCCCAAATCAACAGAATTTACATTCTTCTCAGCACCACATCGCACTTATTCTAAAATTCACCACATAGTTGGAAGTAAAACACTCCTCAGCAAATGCAAAAGAACGGAAATCATAACAGTCTCTTAGACCACAGTGCAGTCAAATTAGAACTCAGGATTAAGAAACTCACTCAAAACCGCACAACTACATGGAAACTGAACCTGTTCCTGAATGACTACTGGGTAAATAATGAAATGAAGGGCAAAATAAAGAAGTTCTTTGAAACCAATGACAACAAACACACAATGTACCAGAATCTCTGGGACACATTTAAAGCAGTGTTAAGAGGGAAATTTATAGCACTAGATGCCCAAAAAAGAAAGCAGAAAAGATCTAAAATCGACACCCTAGCATCACAATTAAAAGAACTAGAGAAGCAAGAGCAAACAAATTCAAAAGCTAGCAGAAGACAATAAATAAGATCAGAGCAGAACTGAAGAGGAGAGAGACATGAAAAACCCTTCAAAAAAATCAATGAATCCAGGAGCTGGTTTTTTGAAGAGATTGACAAAACAGATAGACCACTAGCCAGACAATAAAGAAGGAGAGAAGAATCAAATAGATGCAATAAAAAATGATAAAGGGGGTATCACCACTGATCCCACAGAAATACAAACTACCATCAGAGAGAATACTATAAACAACTACACAAATAAACTAGAAAATCTAGAAGAAATGGATAAATTCCTGGACACATACACCCTCCCAAGTCTAAACCAGGAAGAAGTTGAATCCCTGAATAGACCAATAACAAGTTCTGAAATTCAGGTAGTAATTAATAGCCTACCAACCAAAAAAAGTCCAGGACCAGACAGATTCACAGCCGAATTCTATCAGAGGTACAAACAGGAGCTGGTACCATTCCTTCTGAAACTATTCCAATAGAAAAAGAGGGAATCCTCCCTAACTGATTGTATGAAGCCAGCATCATCGTGATACCAAAACCTGGCAGAGACACAACAAAAAAAAGAAATTTTCAGGCCAATATCCCTGATGAACATTGATGCGAAAATCCTCAATAAAATACTGGCAAGCGGAATCCAGCAGCGCATCAAAAAGCTTATCCGCCAGGATCAAGTCGGCTTCATCTCTGGGATGCAAGGCTGGTTCAACATACGCAAATCAATAAACCATCATTCTCAGCAAATTATCACAAGAACAGAAAACCAAACACCGCATGTTCTCACTCATAAGAGGGAGTTGAACAATGAGAACACGTGGACCCAAGGAGGGGAACATCACATACTGCGGCCTGTCGAGGGATTTGGGGTTGAGGGAGTGATAGCATTAGGAGAAATACCTAATGTAGGTAACAGGTTGATGGGTGCAGCAAACCACAATGCGATGTGTATACCTACCTAACAAACCTGCACGTTCTGCACATGCACTCCAGAACTTAAAGTATAATAATAAAAGGCGCTGCCTCAGGATGTAAAGTGTAACAAGGGGGCTGGGGTGGGCAGCGTGGGCCTCTGAGACCTTTGGTTGCCCGTGTCCGCAGCTCGCCCCGCAGCCGGCTCCACAATGGTCCGCTCCGTTTGCCACGTGCGGATTCGGGTTCCAGACTGAAGGCTGCGTGTTCTCTGCCGCCCACAGCCCAAGTTTATTGTGGCAACCGCCGGAGCAGCCTTCCCCGCTGTGGAGGAGCCTGGGGCTACCCCTCAGCGGTATTTGGGGCTGGTCCTGGGGGAGCTAAGCAGGGTTGTGGCAGCACTGCCTGAAAGTGTGAGACCAGACTCTAATCCTTATGGTTTTCCATGGGAGTTGGTGATATGTGCAGCTGTACATGGATTTTTTGCTGTTCTCTTTTTTTGTGTGGAGAAGTTTTAGATCGGTTGGGAGTCGGCTTTATGTGGGAAGAGAAAAAAAGCTTGCTGTAATGCTTTCTGGACTAATTGAAGAAAAGCATAAACTACTTGAAAAATTTAGCCATGTTCAAAAAGAGTATGAAGGCTATGAAGTAGAGTCATCTTTAAAGAATGCCAGCTTTGAGAAGGAGGCAACCTGTGAAAAGCTAAACAGGTCCAATTCTGAACTTGAGGATGAAATACTCTGTCTAGAAAAAGAGTTAAAATAAGAGAAATCTAAACATTCTGAACAAGGTGAATTGATGGTGGATATTTGCAAAAGGATACAGTCTCTAGAAGATGAGTCAAAATCCCTCAAATGACAAGTAGCTGAAGCCAAAATGAACTTGACGATATTTCAAATGAATGAAGAACGACTGAAGATAGCAATAAAAGATGCTTTGAATGAAAATTCTCAACTCCAGGAAAACGAGAGACAGCTTTTGCAAGAAGCTGAGGTATGGAAAGAACAAGTGAGTGAACTTAATAAACAGAAAATAACATTTGAAGACTCCAAAGTACATGCAGAACAAGTTCTAAATGATAAAGAAAATCACATCAAGACTCTGAACGCTTGCTAAAAATGAAAGATCAGGCTGCTATGCTTGGAGAAGACATAACGGATGATGGTAACTTGGAATTAGAAATGAACAGTGAATCGGAAAATGGTGCTTACTTAGATAATCCTCCGAAAGGAGCTCTGAAGAAACTGATTTATGCTGCTAAGTTAAATGCTTCTTTAAAAACCTTACAAGGAGAAAGAAACCAAATTTATAGTCAGTTATCTGAAGTTGATAAAGGAAGAGCTTACAGAGCATATTAAAAATCTTCAGACTGAACAAGCATCTTTGCAGTCAGAAAACACACATTTTGAAAGTGAGAATCAGAAGCTTCAACAAAAACTTAAAGTAATGATTGAATTTTATCAAGAAAATGAAATGAAACTCCAGAGGAAATTAACAGTAGATGAAATTACCGGTTAGAAAAGGAAGAAAAACTTTCTAAAGTACACGAAAAGATCAGCCGTGCCACTGAAGAGTTGGAGACCTATAGAAAGTGAGCCAAAGATCTTGAAGAAGAGTTGGCGAGAACTATTCATTCTTATCAAGGATGGATTATTTCCCACGAGAAAAAAGCACATAATAATTGGTTGGCAGCTTGGACTGCTGAAAGAAACCTCAATGGTTTAAGGAAAGAAAGTGCTCACAACAGACAAAAATTAACTGAAGCAGAGTTTAAATTTGAACTTTTAGAAAAAGATCCTTATGCACTTCATGTTCCAAATACAGCATTTGGCAGAGAGCATTCCCCATATGGTCCCTCACCACTGGGTCGGCCTTCATCCTAAACAAGAGCTTTTCTCTGAGGGCCCACTGAGACTCTCATCTTTGCTAACAGGAGGAGGAGGAAGAGGCTCAAGAGGTCCAGGGAATCCTCTGGACCATCAGATTACCAATGAAAGAGGAGAATCAAGATGTGACAGGTTAACCAATCCTCACAGGGCTTCTCTGACACTGGGTCCCTGTCACCTCCATGGGAACAGGACCGTAGGATGATGTTTCTTCCACCAGGACAATCATATCCTGATTCAGCTCTTCCTCCACAAAGGCAAGACAGATTTTATTCTAATTCTGGCACACTGTCTGGACCAGCAGAACTCAGAAGGTTTAATATGACTTCTTTGGATAAAGTGGATGGGTCAATGCTTTCAGAAATGGAATCCAGCAGAAATGATACCAAAGATGACCTTGGTAATTTAAATGTGCCTGATTCATCTCTCCCTGCTGAAAATGAAGCAACTGGCCCTTACTTTTCTCCTCCACCTCTTGCTCCAATCAGAGGTCCATTGTTTCCGGGGGATACAAGGAGCCTGTTCATGAGAAGAGGACCTCCTTTCCCCCCACCTCCTCCAGGAACCATGTTTGGAGCTTCTCAAGATTATTTTCCACCAAGGGATTTCCCAGATCCACCACATGCTCCATTTGCAATGAGAAATGTCTATCCAGCGAGGCGTTTCCTCCTTACCTTCCCCCAAAACCTGGATTTTTCCCCATAAACCCCACATTCTGAAGGTAGAAGTGAGTTCCCTGCAGGGCTGATTCTGCCTTCAAATGAGCCTGCTACTGAACATCCAGAACCACAGCAAGAAACCTGACAATATTTTTGCTCTCTTCAAAAGTAATTTTGACTGATCTCATTTTCAGTTTAAGTAACTGCTGTTACTTAAGTGATTACACTTTTGCTCCCACTGAAGCTTAATGGAATTATAATTCTCAGGATAGTGTTTTCTAAATAAAGATGATTTAAATATGAATCTTATGAGTAAATTATTTCCATTTTATGTTATTCTGGATAGTATAACTATTTTAATTTGATAAACTAATCCACGATTATATAAACAATAATGGGAGTTTTATATATGTAATCTTGCAGGTAGGGAGGCTTTAAATTATAAAGGTTGTGTCTTTATGCCAAGAACTGTATTAACTGTGGTTGTAGACAAATGTGAAAGTAATTTTATGCTTCATTAAATAAATTTTAGTTGATTTTTTTTTAAAAAAAGAAAATGGTTAATCTATCATTTAGGTGCATCATCAGTTGTTTAACCATTCTCTCTTACTGAACATTGGGTTGTTTAAAAAGTGTTGTTATTTTTGAATCATGGTTCAGTGAACAATTTTGGACACATAACTTTTTATCTGATGAGTTATTTCCTAAGGATCCAGCTCAGAAACTCAGCACATAAACCTAATAAGAAAAAAACAATTTGAAGTGGCTAACCTCTTATCCCAATAAAAATGTTGTATTTATGTTTGGATTTAGATGCCTTTCAGTGGTCATACCTTCACCTAACTTTTATGGATTCTACTTTTAACATGTAGAGTGACTGTTTAAATCACCTAAACTCACTGAGTTTTAAGTTCCTTTTTATTCAACAAGACTGGATTGTATGTTCCAGCTCCTCAAACTTAGTTACCAACCACCATCCTAGAGAAGTGAATTCACATGAGGCCTGTCCAGAAGAACAATCTCCCTTTCAGTGTCCTCATGCATGCAGTGACCAGAGACCAACCTTGATAAATTATGGAAAAAGTACAGCACATTCTGGAAGAGCCATGAAAGATCCAGATCATCTGGTGCTGGATAAGAATATTAATGGACAGGCTGGGCGCGGTGGCTCACGCCTGTAATCCTAGCACTTTGGGAGGCCGAGGCGGGCGGAACATGAGGTCAGGAGATCGAGACCATCCTGGCTAACACGGTGAAACCCCGTCTCTACTGAAAATACAAAAAATTAGCCGGGCATGGTGGCGGGCGCCTGTAGTCCCAGCTACACGAGAGGCTGAGGCAGGAGAATGGCGTGAACCCGGGAGGCAGAGCTTGTAGTGAGCCCAGATGGCGCCATTGCACTTCAGCCTGGGCGACAGAGTGAGACTCCGTTTCAAAAAAAAAAAAAAAAGAATATTAATGGACAAAAAGATTAATGAAAGAACATATTGAAGCATCCAATTACCTGGTGTCTGCTCAAATGAGGAATCGGTGAGATAGGTCAGTTAGCAGTCAAGATTTATAAAAGAGACGATGGCCTTGGGAGGGGCTGCCCTACTCGACTTTTTAATGGCTAGAAGCTATTAAGGGCTAAGCCAGAACCCTTCAGTATGGTTCAGTGAGGATCCCAATTTGGGGTCCAAAAGTAAATGACAACTCCCAGGAACCATTAAGAATAAAAATCATGGAGCATTACTGAGAATTTATGTTATCTAAGTCTGAGGAAAATTAATGTTAAGGAAGCTTTCAAAAGTCTAATATTTACACCGAATTCCAGGGCACCATGCTCTAAGACAAAGCACTCTGGTCCTGCCCCTCTCCTTTCCTCATGTTTTTTGGTTCTTGGGATCCTTAAGGGTCAATGTTATTCTTAAAATACAGAGCATCCTGGAAACTAAAAAAGTGGAAGATATTCAAATTCTAATGAATGTACTGGCAGTATTGTAGATCATGGAGTATAACATAAAGACAAGAATCCCTAGCCTCTTCCACCATACTTTGTAATGGTAAGGAGAAAGGATAGAATTTTGAGAAGTCTGGGAAGACAATGTATGATAACATCTGGAGAAGCTCTGCATAAGTTACTTTTGTTCAGGCTTAAGAAAAATTCTAGCTTGCCCCTGCACTGTCATCAGGTATCATGAAAGTAAATAAAACCTTTAAAGATTCTTCAAGCCAGCAGACTTCTATCTTCTCTATACTATCCTGTGATCCTAAACTCTTAACAGTTACTACGTATAATTTCCCTACATTTGCTACTAGTATTTTATCATACACAATATTACACTCAATATTTCAAAAGTGGATGATTCATCTCCCGAAGAGACTGCAAAATTCATGAGTTAAGATTTGAGAATACTATTTTAGACAAGATTTAGTCAGATTTTAGAGAGTTAGAAACCTGTAACAATTCTCTAACAATACTGCTTCTCCTTTTGTGTATTAAGGAATTTTTGTCTATCAAAGATAGTACGAGGTAGACCAGAAGATAACTTGCCTTCAAAATGTCTGGAATGTAAAATGGCAACAGTAGTATTTGGGGACTTCGTAGGGGATGGCCAATATACACCCATTCTTAGAGGTACTGATGATATAATGTATAAGACAAAATCAAGTGGTCTCCATCACCATATAATGTTTAAAATGGCAAAGAGGGAGCAGAACAAACACCCTTTGCAAATCTCTTCATAGAATCTACCGTAATAAACTTGTACTTGCTTAAAGTGTGTCTCTTCAGTGGTCTTATTACCACTACTTTGGGGAAAATGAGGCTGCTTAAAAGATTAACAGACATTACATTTTACATATCTGTGGCAGAGAAAACACTATGTATTCACCAAACCACTTCTTTTCCTTCCCAGTCACTCGGGAAGAGGTCATTTCTTTGTCCCCTTTCATCTAATTGAGGTGCCGTGACTACTTCTAGACAGGCAATGTGAGCAGAAGGTATGCACGCCACGTATAGGCCTGGTCTTCAAAAATCCCTCAGATATGATCTTCTTCTCTCGTCTCTTTCATGGACAAACTACAGGCCATGTAATAAGGATGGTGGGGTTCCAAACTGAAAGAGCCTGGATTTCTGATTTACTGTTTTGAGAAGAGTTCACCAGGGAAACAGCCTGGAAATACGCACAGGAAAATATGCACAGGACCCTGTGTGAGCAAGATATAAAGATCTATTACATGGTGCCATTAAGGTGAGAGTATTGTGCTTATAGTATCCAGCATTAATTATCCTCACTACTACAACTTCTTTGTATCCATCATGTGGAAAAGTAGAGTATTTAATAAATGATTATTGAGTTTATTACCTTTTTTATATTCCAATCATTGCTAATTGTACGTTACCTCATTTCAAGGTAAAGGTGACCAAGGGCTAAAGCAGTGCTATCCAAACCAAGCCAGACATCAAAATCACACAAAACCTTTTGAAAATACAACTTTGAAGATGCCATTCACATAGATATTTATTCAGTGGGTTTTCAAATGGAACCCTGGAATCTACAGTCTTTAACAAGGCTTCCCAAGTTATTCTGATATACAGCAGGCAAATCTGAGAACCACTGGACAAGAAGAAAATAAAGGCTATATCTTTCGACAACAAAGACAATGCCTTAAACATAGAATGTATTCAATTAAAGCTTGTAGAAAGATAGGTTTGTGAACAGGCACAGGGACTAGCCTCGAGCAAATTAATAAGGGCAGCAATGTTTTTCACTGAAACCATTATTCCCCCTATTTTATTTCTTCTGGGGCTCTGTGTTTCCTTTCTCCTATCAAAATCCATTCTAAGGTTGGAGGTTGGGGGTATCTCTTGCCTACTCCATACAGCAAGGAATAAAATTAGTATTTCTCGAACTATCTGTGACAGCAGACCCATTGTAGGCCAGTACTTTTGTAAAATGCAATAAAAATTAACTTCTAGAGAATGAAATTTTAAAATCACAGACATTCAAAATACAAATTCCAATTTTTTTATTATTAACTGTAAGAAATTTAAAATTAAATCTCAATAAATAAAATTAAAGCAAACATAAGATAGAAAAAAATAAGCATTATGGATTGGCCCAGTCTGCAAACTGTATACACTTTGCCAAACATGGGCATAAATTACTAAGAAGCAAAATCTTCCATCTGTAAACATTTCCATTTCCATTGACAATATGTGTGAGGGAAAGGAGGGATGCTTCTGTTTTAGAATGCCAGGCGTCAGCTAACAAGTGACAAATACGTATTGAGACTGAGATCTCCCCAGCCTCTCAGTAGTCAGCAAGAACATGTTGAGGCCTCTGTTTTTGACTAAAAAATTGGCCAGTGCATGGGCAACATGCATAGGTCCTGAATGAAAAAAATAGCAGCAGCAGAAATTTAAAAGAATTTTCACAGCTAGGCCACAGTAAATTCTCAAGCCCTTCATCAGAAGCCACTGTGGGGCCTCATTTATGCCTTTGTTTTTATTAAATTGGATGTGATCTTAAGATTCTTCTGTCAAAATTCCACTAGCATGTGAAGGCACCAAAAGTTTAAAATGTAAAATTAACCCAAGTTAAGCTATTCCATTATTAAGCAATAGCAGATATATTTGTTATTATATGAGAAGAAAGTTAACAGGGAGCTAAGATTGATGTTACTGATAAGAAACAGAAACAAGACTTTAAAATTAAATAAATGAATTATTTATTTAATAAGAACCAATTGACAGATTCTCGATAAAGACTGTAAGATGTCTTAAAACATTAGGTGTATGGAGATAACATTTGTAACTTTGACAATTTATATGATGAGAAAAATCAAGGAATGTTATTGTTTATTGGCAGAGTTCTAGAATTACAATTCCATCATTCTGTTTTGGGGAAGTTTCCCTTGAAGTAAATGATAACAGGGCTTGAAATAGTACACCTCAGCATTTTGTTTATAAAACTGTGGAATAGGTAAGGTTTGTATTGTAACTGAACCCAGGTTCAGCTGCTTGCTGCTCTAAAGCTAGACATAAGAGAGGAAGGTTGGTGGGAGGAAAAGCGATTTTAATCGGAGAAGCAGCAAACCAAGAAGATGGTGAACAATAGTCACAGAACCATCTTAAATTTTAAAATTTACCATAGAGTGTTCAAAGGAAAACTTGGTATGGGAGGCATGCAGGAGGGGTGCAGGGGGCGGGGTCTGTGTGTCTTGTTCCAATGGCTATCTCAGATAGTCACCCATCTGGAGGTCTAGTTGGTATTATTTTGAATTCAGCCCAGTGGTGGTGGACTGTCAGTGACTCCTCGCTAAGCAGGAGGATTCTGCACTCAGGGCTCCATGCATGGTTTGTTTCAAGATTGGCCTCTGGAATTTCTCAAGCAAGAACATAATTAAATAAGCAGGCATTGCCAGAGGGGAGTGTCTGGAAAGGAAAGGAATGAAGAGATGAAAGGAAAGTGGGTGGTTAAACTATATTTTTAAAACTGAGGTTCCCAGTTATAGTATGTTTCGCACGCTCCCCCCATTTTAGCACCCCTGACAGAATTTAGTAATCTCCTCATCTTGTCCTCTACTTCAGGTCCCCTATCTGTCCTTGTACTCTCCAGGGTTTCCTTTTCTTCTTCACGACCTTCCTTCCCTGCAATTTTATAAGCTATTCCTATCCCAGTGATTTAGTTTCAGCTTATAAAACTGTGTCTTTGCCATTGTAATCAAATTGAAGGGCCTCTGCTTCATGGTTGGATTCTGTGACCAGGAGACTCTTACGAGGAGTTGGCCAGGTCTCTGTTAGGAAAGCAAAAAAGAACAATGGAGGCAATTATCCCATTGATTTCAGCTATAAATCCTATTTTGCCTGAATTGTCTGAACGATGAGTATTCTGTGAAAATGCTGCTCTCTAGTGCAATAGAACTGCAAATAATGCACATCTATTTCTTATAATCTCATCCAACATACCCACAGAGATTCAGATCTAACAAAACAGAGGTGATTTGGTTATTGAATCATAATATAAATATGGGGAAGAGGAGGGAAATTTCAAGCCTGAGGAAACTGTAGTAGGAGTAAGTATGCTGTGTTTAAGAGGTCACAGATAAAATTAATATTACCAATCCATCAATAGGCAATTACTAATAGCTTACTACACACACAGGAATAAAATGTGAAGACAGAGGAAGTGTAAAATGGAGCCGCCAACTCTACGGAGTTGTTTGCAATTTGGTCTGGTAGAAAGCTATGAAATAAGGAAGTACATGATTGAGAGCTAGAGAATGTGGCACAGGCTCTGAACCCGGACCGTTCAATGTAGTAAGCTCTAGCCACACTGGACACTTGCAATGTGGCTTGTCCAAACTGACATGTGCTTTAAGTATAAAATATAATCCAGATTTCTAAGACTTCAAAAAAAATGGAAATATCTCATTAATAATCTTAAGTTTATTACAGGTAGAAATGATAGATTAAATAAACTATATTGTCAAAATTCATTTGATCTGTTTCTACAGTATAACAAACTTACTTGTGTGGTTTGCATTTTATTTCTACTGGATAACATGGCTTTAAAAATGGTATTTTAGAGGAAGGAAAGCTTGGTAGAGAATGGACTAATCCGGATCCCTGGAAGAAATGGACCTTGAATGGGTCTTGATGACTTGGAGAGGCAGAGAGAGAAAAAGAAAAGTCAAACATAGGGAATTGGTTGATAAAATGAAGGTGAGGGGAGAAGGAACAGAGGGAGGAGAAGATCCAGTTTGAGGGATATTACAGCGAGCAGCCTGAGAAAGAAGGATAAGAAAGGAGAGAAAAAATGCAAGGGAAGTAACCCTTCAAAGCCAGTCAGAAGTTTCTGGGTTCCTCAGCAGCCAGAAAAGAAGCCGTTGAAAAGATCTGAGTAACGGAGATTCTGGACGAAAACTGAAGTTATGGAAGGGAAGTTTAGACATGGGTTATTAAACGCTTTAGCGCATTAGAAGTTTCTTATGTAATCACTAAATTCAGATCCTGAAATAATGCCACAAGAACTATACAGCTCAGCCACCCAATTCAATAAGAAGTTACAGCACAGTCTCACACATATCCAATTAACCTTGGCCTTTAGTCAACATCTGGGTTCTTTTTGTCATTTTCAAATACTATCACCCAGAGGTGCTATGATTTATATTGGGGAGGGGATTAAAAGAAAATAAGTAAGTTGGTGATAAGAAAAAGCTTTCAGATGATTCCATCTGAATTAACAGCCCTCTTTAGTTGTCTAGGAAAGAGGATGCTTTTTCTTGAAAGTGCTTTGAAATGATGATGTGCTTGTTAGTAAACATCAATTATTTTCAAATCGTAATGTTTGCAAGTTTGTCTTCCTGTAGCTCACCCTTTATGTAGGTCCAGAATATGATTGTCACAAATATCTGGGTGAGCAAGACTATGAAATGTGGTCATAAAGTAAGTGATTATTTCTAAACTCATCTTTGTCACTCGTAGTGCTTCACAAAGCACCTTTTCCTGGACTACAATTCATTTTAATTGATCCCATCAGCACTATATCTGTATCCTGAGTGACTTCACAATACCCTCTATTTCAAGAGAAACCAATCAGGTTATGGGTTTGTTAGTAATAAAAATTACCAAGGAGCAGTTTGTGGATGGTAAAAGCAATGCAAATTCTAAAGAGAAGTCATAAGAGCAATAATAAGCATCCTCCTCACTTCTTGGAAGTGAACAATTCCAAGCTCCCTGAAGCAACACTTAACCTATCATATTAAACAGTAATGGACAAATATTAGAAATGTTGATGTCAGCTTTCAGAATCTGTGGGCATCAAAACATCACTTAAGTTCTCCGAAGTATTCTCTGTCAAGTTTCCTTCTACAGTATTCTTTTCCTACTAGGACAGAGCCTTAAGCCCTAGAAGAATAATTTTGCTTGTGTGTTAATTATTTGTTTACTGGTTCATTCCAGAGTGTGAGCTGGAAAAAGGGGGAAGTGTCATAAATAGTTTTTTATGGCCCATGGTTTTTCAACTACGTCACTATTGGTAGCAGTTTCCACTGCAGGATCTATTTGCAAAGCCTAGGAAATTAGCATTAAGCAAGCTGCTAGGAAGACTTCAACAGTAACTAGGCCACAGGCCTCACACATTTTTCCTCCACCCCAGCCTCCTCTGGAGAGTACTTGCTAAACCTCTGTGACACATAATGAAGCAAAGAAAGTGATAGAACAACAGAATTACACGGGCAGATCCTTGTTTCTTCTTCTCTCTCTAAAGAATTCCTTGGACTGAAAAGCAGTTTATTTTGGAGGAGTGAGAAAGTGGTGACAGAATTAGAAGGGCCTGGGAGGGCTTCATTTTAGGAGACAGTTTTAGGCTGAAAAGAGATTTCATGAGTGTGATTTACCTGAGGTGACTTTTGGGGGCTCTTATAAAAAGGAAGTTCATGCTGAATGGGAGGTGGCTTCTGAGATGCAGATTCTGGTGAGCTAAGAGGGCTCGGTAAAGAGGAGGCAGGAGTTAAGTAGCGTGAACTATGCAGTAGCAGCCTTCTTCCCCCCTTGCTTGGGGCAGGTCATCACAACCCTTCTCAATAAAGGGGTCCAGGAACCACTAGGAATAAATGGGCATTTGCACTTCAGGTGAAACCCATTTGTCATAACTGCTTGGACTTTAAGCTTACAAATAAAAAGAACCACATATTTCCCTTTGCAGCTTGATTTAGTTAATGTCATTTTGAGAAAGAAAGAAGACATTGTTATCCCGTCCCTTTTTTTTTTTTTTTTTTTTTTTTATGAAGAGACTGGGACTCAGAGAAGTCAAGTGATTTTCCCAGAACCAGAAAACACAGAAGTAGCAGAGCTGAGATGACTACTCCGGTCTTCTGATTCCAAATTCCAAATTCATTCTTCTAAGCGATTTCCCAAAACGGGAAATGGGTTTATCTTCTATTTATGGGAAGTGATAGTGGTATTCTATTTAGAGAACTTATATAAAATCTTACTTTAAAATAAATAATATTTCAAAAAGTAAGCTTAATTTAAAGAAAATAATCAAGAAAGTCTGGTATATTTTTACAAATATACCAAATGACCTTGCTCTAAAATACATCTACTTTCCAGCAAGCCAAAGTGAAACAATTTGAAATAAGTGGCATTTACTGACCACTCCCTAAAGTTCACACAAAAGAGGTAGTACTCTAACTTAAATATACAAGGTGAAGAAATAGCTTACTCAGCCTGTTGGGCTTCCTCTTCTACACTCTTGGGAAATGCCCTCCGTGTTAACCAAGAATTCTCAGGCCTTGGAGGGAGTTTTCCATTCTCAGTAAACTGAGATTGCAGTTGCGGAAATTAAGAGGTATCTGTCCAGCACTTCATTCCCTTAAGGTCAGGATCTGTGCTTTTAATAATGACAATTAGCTAACATATACAATTAAGCCATGCAAATGAAGTAAGAGAAAGCTAGAGGAGAAATTCAGGAGCCAGTTGCCTTTTCCAGACATCTTGTACAAATAGTGTTCAAAGGACTAATTCAAAAGATGGGATTCTTCGCTTGAACCCAGGAGGTGGAGTTTGCAGTGAGCGGAGATCGCTCCACTGCACTCCAGCCTGGGTGACAAAGTGAGACCCCATCCAAAAAAAAAAAAAAAAAAAAAAAAAAAAGATGGGATTCTTTTTTAAAAAATAAATTTTACTGCGTATTTTTAAGGTATACAACGTGATGTTATAAGATGGATATAGATAGTGAAAAGGTAACTGTAGTGAAGCAAATTAACATATTCATCATCTCACATAGTTATCTTTTATTTGTTTTGTTTTGATGGGATTTTTAAGATAGTAGAAAGGAATGGTAGACAATAAACATTTGAGGGAAAGTGGGGCTTTGTAGAACTCCTAAAATGACAGCACGCACAAATGTCCCCATTATGTCTAAAGGGTAACTCGTTCCTACTTCTAGGGACAGCTGAGGGACATCAATGTAAATTTCTAAATGACTTCCTGAACTTTTTATTTTTATTTTTTGTATTTTTAGAGGAAATTATAATAACATCAAGCCACCTCTGGACCATATCGCTGCTGATATCATCAGCAAATGGCACTATTCCTAAATCCTAAGATGCACTTTTCCCTTCACATTTCAACATTTGTGAAACTCGATTGTACCTACACCTGATTTTATATACAATGCAGCCTTTCCTTTTCTTTTGTCATTGCATCTTACGCCTGATTTCTCCTTGGAATTGAGTAAATATAATGCTTACATGTGTTAATAAGAATTGAGGTCACTCATAATTTTTGAAATATGCCACCAAATATAAGCCTTTCTACATATTGTTGACTTTGAAGTCATTTCTTTTTTTAACTACTAAACAATAACACTTTTTGTTGAGAAAAATTGCATATGAACAAGAGACCAAGCAGGTAGAGAGAAAAAAACTTTTAATAATCAAGAGAATGTTACTGTGTCCCAAAGGCTAAAGTCACCTTACTATCAAGAGAGAAGGACAGGAACAGAGAGAACCAGGTAAATTACGAATTGAAAATTCCATGGTTCATTTATCTTTATTTTTAATAATTCCATTTGTGTGATTGTGTTGACCACAAGGTCATAATGTTACTCTTCATACTGACTTCTCATGTAAATTATAAATAAGTTTTTATGCTAATGATTTATGGAGTAAGCTATTCATCTTTCCGACAGAGAGTTACCTACAAAGAAATAATTATTCTACCTCTGAGATGAAATATCATGAAAGGAGTGGTTTCCAGATATTTTGACTTTTAAAAGCTTAAAGAATATATGTAGTATAAAATTCTAAAGCAGGCAAAATTAATCCTTTTAGCAATCAAGATAGCGGCTACTTTTGGTGAGAAGGACAAGGTAGTGATAGAGAAGGGGCTCAGGGGTCTTTCCTGAAGACAGTGAGGTGGGCAATGGTATTTTCCTTGACCTGGATGGTGATTAAACAGATGTGTTTACTTTGTGATAATTGACTAGGCTGTGCACCTATGAACTGCATACTTTTCCATATATGTACTGTATTCTTATACTTAAAAAGAAGTTTAAAAATAAATGCAACAGATATAGGACTTCCTATATTACTCGTTGACCAAAAAAATGGATTCATTTTTCTTTCAGGTAAAACGTACTAGTGGTTTTAATATTATATTGACCAGGGAGTAAATGTTTACCTTAGGAACCTTAATCTTGATGTTCTCCAAAGTCATTATCTGTTCTTTCTGATTATCAGAATAGAGTATATCTCTATATAAATGAAAATTTCTGGTCATTCTCAAAAAATAACACTAAGCATGAAAATCAGAAATATTGATCTTGTTTTGTAATGATGTTTCTATTGATGTGAAGTAGTTTCTAGTAGAGTTGCTGTCCTAACACACAAATGAAATTGCACTGTTTGGAAGACACAACTGTGAATGACTTGCTTCAGTAAGGAATTTCCAACATGATGGTTTAGGGATAGAGGTGCTCGATTCCTCTGTCTCCGGTTACCCAGGTTATTGAGGACAGGGAGGTCAATAAGTAATGCCCTCCTCCCACCCATAGCACAAAACAGAGCGGGGTTCAGAGAATAGGTAAGGCTTTGGCCAGGGTGTTGAGGAGACTTACATCCCTGGGAACCAGTCAGAATGGGGGCGCTGAAAACAATGTTTTAAATTCTAGCACCCAGCAACATATGTGTGAAGATTAAATGTACTCGTGCTAAATTCACTTGCTCCATTACTGAATTTGGGTGGTGTCTGTTAAAGATGGGAACAAAGGCATTCAGGTCCTGGTATCTTCTACCACTCCCAGCATGAACAGACTCATGTCAGTGGGTAAGGGATGGTATTTCCCGAGAAGGCTTTGAACTCTTGTAGTGGGTCAAATAATGGCCCCCCACTTAAAAATGTTCATGTCCAAATCCCTGGAAGCTGTGAAAAGGGGTTTTTGCACATGTAATTAAGTCAAAGATATTGAAATTAGATCATCCTGGATTACATAGGTGGGCCCTACATTTAATGACAAGTATCCTCATAACAGAAGAGGAGAAGGTGATGTGAGATTTGGAGCAGCAGAGATTGGAGTGATGTGGCCACCAATCAAGGAAACCAAGGACTTCCAGCAGCCACCAGAAGCTGGAAGAGGCAAGGAAGGACTCTTCCCTAAAGCCTTTAAAGGAGCACAGCCCTACTAACACCTTGCTTTTGGGCTCTGGCCCGCAAAACTGTGAAAGGATACATTGCTGTTATTTGAAGCCACAGTTCGTAGTAAATTTATTACAGCAGCCCTAGAAACTGATACAACTCCTAAATACACCCTTAGCAACACTGCTCAACAAGAAGTAGGCAATTTCCTCCTGACTGAAAAATACTGATACTGTTATGGGATCCTTGGGGGTGTTGCTTTTCTGTCCAGAAACCTCTGTGGCGGTGGCACCTTTGCATGAGTTTTGCTCGGGTCCACTGGGCCCACTCATCCTGGCAGGCTGCGCTCAGCTGACACTACTGGCGTGGATCCCATGCCTCCAAAGAGACTGGAGCGAAGCGGTGAGGGATGTGTGAGGAAGTGAGCGTGGGGTCTGGCACACAGTCAGGCTCAATGGCTGCTACAGCGGGATGGGCAGCTTCAGGTGCTGGCACGGGTGCTGGCTCACTGCAAGGCTGTGGCTGCACCAAGCAGCGCAGCAACGGAACGCATTGGTGCCTGGAAACTTGGAGACTCCAGGAACCTCAGGGCTCCAAAAGGCAAATCACAGCCCTAGCTTCGGGAGCTCCCAGGTCTGGGCTGCCAAAGGGCTGCAGCTCTTCTCTCCTCTCTCTCTCTTCGCTCCTCTCCCTTTCTCTCTTCACTCCTCCCTCTTTCTCTCTTCACTCCTCCTGTCGCCTATGAACAGCGAATTCAACCTTCCAGTTTTCAGACTAGGAATGCTGGAGTTGTCCTTGATTACTCTGAATTGTTCACTCCGCATATGGGCACTGAGGATACGTTGATGAACTACACAGACAAAAAGGATAGAAATTCCTGTCAAGACTACATTCAATAGGGATGAAGCAGGCAATAATGAATAAACATACTAAGTTGAATATGACTATTTAAATATATATAACACATATGACTTGTATAATGTTAAATATTTTAAGTTTTTTAAATTCTTCCCTTCATAGATTTTACATTATAGTAGAAGAGGCATTTTTGTTGTTGTTCTTTTTGTTTTGGATTCAGAGGGTAAATGTGCGGGGTTGTTACATGGGTATATTGCATAATGCTGATGATGGTCCCATCACCCAGGTGGTAAACATAGTACGTAATAGGTGAATTTTTAGCCCGTGCTTCCCTCTCCCATCTAGTCGTCCTGAGTGTTTATCGTTGCTACGTTTATGTCAATGTGTATTCAATATTTAGCTCCCACTTATAATTGAGAATATGCAGTATTTCGTTTTTTGTTCTCGTGTTAATTTGTTTAGGATAATGGCCTACAAAGAACATGATTTCATTATTTTTATGGACATGTAGTATTTCATGGTGTATATGTACCACGGTTTCTTTATACAATCCCACTGTTGATGGGCACCTAGGTTGATTCTATTGCTGTTGTGAATAGGGCTGCAATGAACATACAAGTGCATGTATCTTTTTGGTAACAAAAATTTTATATTTGGATTACCCAGTAGAATTGCTGGGTTGAATAATAGTTTTGGTTTAAGTTCTCTGAGAAATCTCCAAACTGCTTTCCACAGTAGCTGAACTAATTTACATTTCCACTAGCAGTGTATAAGCGTTCTCTTTTCTCCACAATCTTTTCACCAGCATCTGTTATGTTTTGGCTTTTTAATAGCCTTTTGATGACTGTGAAATGGTATCTCACTGTGGTTTGGATTTCCATTTCTCTAATGATTAGTGAATGTTGAGCATTTTTTTCATATGTTTATTGGCCGTTTGTATGTCTTCTTTTGATAAGCGTCTGTTCATGTCCTTTACACATTTTCAATTAAAATATTTGTTTTTTGCTTGCTGATTTAAGTTCTTTGTATATTCTGGAAATTAGATCTTTGTCAGATGCATAGTTTGCAAATATTTTCTCCCATTCTGTAGCCTGTTTACTCTGTTGGTAATTTCTTTTGCTGTACAGAAACTCTTTAATTAGGTCCCACTTGCCTATTTTTAGTTTTGTTGCAATTATTCTCTGGAACTTAGCCATAAATTGTTTGCCAAAGCCAACGTGGAGAAGGATATTTTCTAGGTTTTCTTCTAGGATTTTATAGTTTAAGTTTTACATTTAAATCTTTAATCCATCTTGAGTTAATTTTTGTATATGTTGAGAAGCAGGAGTCTAATTTCATTCTTCTGCATAGGGCTAGCCATTATCTTGGCACCATTTATTGAATAGAGAGTCCTTTCCTTATTGCTTATTTCTGTCAATTTTGTTGAATATCAGATCGTCGTAGGTGTATGGGTCCATTTCTGGGTTTTCTATTCTGTTCTATTTGTCTCTGTGTCTGTTTTTGTACCAGAACCATGCTGCTTGGTTACTGTAGCCTTTTAGTATAGTTTGAAGTTGGGTAATGTGATGTCTCTGGCTTCGTTCTTTTTGCTTAGGATTGCTTTGGCTATTCAGGCTCCTTTTTGGTTCCATATGAATTTTAGAATATTTTTCTGATTCTGTGAAAAATGACTTGATATTTTGCTAGGGATAGCATTGGAGTGGTAACTTGCTTTGGACAGTGTGGCCATTTTAATGATATTGATTATTCCAATCCATGAGCATGGAGTATTTTTATATTTATTCAGTCATCTTGATTTCTTTCAGCAGTGTTTTGTAGTTCACCCTGTAGAACATTTCACTTCCATGGTTAGATGTATTCCTATTTTGTGGCTATTGTAAATGGCATTGTATTTTTTTTTATTTGGCCCTAAACTAGAATGTTATTGGTGTATAGAATTGCTACTGATTTTTGTACATTGATTTTGTATCCTTAAACTTTACTGAAGTTATTTATCAGTTCTAGGAGACTTTTGGAGAAGTCTTTAGGGTTTTCTATGTATGAAATCATATCATCAGCAAAGAGAGACAGTTTGACTTCTTCTTCTTTTTGGATGCCATTTATTTCTTTCTCTTGCCTAGTTGCTCTGACTAGGACTTCCAGGGCAATGCTGAATAGGAGTGGTGAGAGTGGGCATCCTTGTCTTGTTCCAGTACTCAAGAGAAATGCTTCCAGCATTTACCTGTTTAGTATGATGTTGGCTGTGGTTTGTCATAGGTGGATCTTATTATTCTAAGGTATATTCCTTTGATGCCTAGCCTGTCGAGGGTTTTTAATCATGAATGGATATTGAATTTTATTGAAGGTTTTTTCTGAAACTATTGAGATGATCATATGGTTTTTGTTTTTTCATTCTGTTTATGTGGTGAATCACACTTATTGATTTGTTATGTTGAACCAGCCTTGCATCCCAGGAATAAAGCCTACTTGATTGTTGTGAATTAACTTTTTGATGTGCTTCTTGATTTAGTTTGCTCATATTTTGTTGAGGATTTTCGTGTTTATGTTAATCAGAGATATTGTCCTGAAGTTTTCTTTTTTCATTGTGTCTCTGGCAGATTTTGATATCAGGATGATGCTGGCATTGTAGAATGAGTTAGGGAGGAGCCCCTCTCCTTAATATTATGGAATAGTTTCAGTAAGATTACTATCAGTTCTTCTTTGTATGCTTGGTAGAATTCAGTTGTGAATCCATCTGGTCCAGGGCTAAATTTGGTTGGTAGGTTTTTTATTACTGATTCAATTTTGGAACTTGTTATAGGTCTGTTCAAGTTTTCACTTCCGTCCTGGTTCAATCTTGGGAGGTTGTATGTTTCCAGGAATTTATCCATTTCCTCTAGATTTCCTACTTTGTGTGCATAGAGGTGTTCATAACGGTCTCTGAAAATCTTTGGCATTTCTGTGGGATTGGTCGTAATGTCATTTTTGTCATTTCTTGTGCTTTTTGGAACTTCTGTCTGTTTTTCCTCGTTTTTCTAGCTAGCAGTCTATTAGTCTTGTTTATTCTTATGAAAAACCAACTCTTTGTTTCACTAACATTTTATGGACTTTTGCATCTCAATTTTATTTAGTCATTATCTGATTTTAGTTATGTCTTTTCCTCTGCTAGCTGTGAGATTGAATTGTGCTCTTTTTTTCTAGTTCCTCTAGTGTTATGTTAGATTGTTTAGTTGAGATCTTTCTAACCTCTTGATGAAGGCATTTTAGCACTATAAACTTTCCTCTTAACACTGCTTTTGCTACATCCCAAAGATTTTGGAAAGTTGTGTCTCTATTTTCATTAATTTCAAATAATTTTTTGATTTCTGCCTTAATTTCATTGTTCACCCAACAGTTATTCGGGAGCATGTGGCTTAATTTCCATGCTTTTGTGTAGTTTTGAGAGATCTTCTTGGTATTGATTTCTATTGTTATTTCACTATGATTTGAGAGTGGCCTTTGTATGATTTTAATTTTTTTTAATTTATTGAGACTTGCTTTATGACTGAGCATGTGGGGCAATCTTAGAATACGTTCCATGTGCATATGAGAAGAATGTGTGTTCTGTCATTGTTGGCTTGAGTATCCTAGAGAGGTCTATTAGGTCCAACTGGTCAAGTGTCAAGTTTAATTCCAGAATTCCTTCGTCAGTTTTCTGCCTCAGTGATCTGTCTAATGCTATCAGTGGAGTGATAAAGCCCCCACTAATATTGTGCTGCCATCTACGTTTTATTGTAGGCCAATAATTTGTTTTATGAATCTGAGTGCTCCAGTGTTGGGTGCATATATGTTTAGAATAGTTAAGTCTTTTTGTTCAATTGAACCTTTTATCATTTTATAATGCCCTTCTTTGTCCTTCCTGATTGTTGTTGGTTTAAAGTATGTTTTAATCTGATTTAAGGGTAGCAACTCCTGCTCTTTTTTGTTTTTCATTTGCATGGTAGATCTTTCTTCATTCTTTCACTTTGAGCCTGTGAGTGTCATTCATGTAGGATGCATCTTCTGAAAACAGCAGACAGTTGTGTCTTGTCTTTTTATCCAGCTTACCACTTTATGCATTTTAAAGGGAGAGTGTAGACTGTTTACATTTAGGGTTAGCATTGACATGTGAGATTTTGCTCCTGTCATTGTGTTGTTTAGCTGGTTGTTTTGTAGACTTCATTGTGTAATAAGTGTATTTTTATTGGTAGCAGGTTTCGTCTTTCATTTCCATGTTTAGCAATCACTTACGGATTTCCTGTAAGAATCATCTGGTGGTAATGAATCTCCTTGGTGCTTGCTTGTCTGAGAAGGATTGTATTTCTCCTTCACTTATGAAACTCAGTTTGGTGGGATATGAGTTCTTGGTTGAAATTTATTTTCTTTAATAATGCTGAAAATATAGGCCCCCCCATATCTTCTGGCTTGTAAGGTTTCTGCTGACAGAACTGTTGCTGGCCTGATGAGGTTCTTTTTGTAGGTGACCTGACCTTTCTCACTAGCTGCCTTAACAATTTTTTCTTTTGCATTGACCTTGGTGAATCTGATGACTATGTGACTTGGCAATGGTTGTCTTGTATAGTGTCTCACAGGAGTTCTCTGTATTTCTTGAATTTGTATGCCCACCTCTCTGGTGAGATAGGGGAAATTTTCATGGACTGCATCCTCAGATGTATGTTCTAAGTTGCTTACTCTCTTTCTCAGGAATGACTGTGAGTCATAGACTTGGTCTCTTTACATAACCTCATAAATCTTGAAGGTTTTGTTCATGTTTTAAATTCTTTTTTCTTTATTTTTGTCCAACCAAGTTGATTCAAATAACTGGTCTTCAAACTCTGAGATTCTTTCCTCAGCTTGGTCTGTTCTGCTGTTAATGCCTCTGACTATATTATGAAATTTTTGAAGTTGATCCCTCAATTTCTGAAGTTCAGTTTTGTTCTTTCTTAAAATAGCTATTTCATCTTTAAGCTCTTTGATCATTTTTCTGGATTCCTTGAGTTCCTTGTATTGGGTTTCAATGATCTCCTGGATCTTGATGTACTTCCTTGCCATCCAGATTCTGAATTCTATGTATGTCATTTGAGTCATTTTAATCTGGTTAAAATCCTTTGCTGGAGGACTTGTGTGTTTGTCTGGAGGTAAGGAGACACCAGCTTTTTTGAATTGCTAGAGTTCTTGAGATGACTCTTTAACATATGAGGGCTGGTGTTCCATTAACAATAGTGTACATTGAGTATAGTCAGTTGGCTTCATTCTGAGTGCTTTCAAAGGGCCAAAGCTCTGTACAGCATCTTTATTTGTGGCTAGATTTTTGCTTTAGGTTTCACAGGTGCTGTATATTGGAAAAATGTTTTTGGTGTTGTCATTTGGGGTGCAATCCAGTAGGTGATGCTTAAGAGTGGTAGCTGGCAGATAGGCTCTTACTCAGTCCACAGCTCTTTTGTATTTTGGTGCAGTCCTCAGTAGTGCTCTGTGGTGGTAGGGAGAGATGACCCCCTCACCAGATACATTCCTGGGCCTTGGGGGAGCCCTCTCTTATTACTGGCACTGCACCTGCATTTCATTTATTAGGTGTCCTGGGCTGCAGGGTGCCCTCAGGCAGAGGCTGCGGCTGGAAAATAGACCATACCCTTCCCTGGCTGGCCCTGCACAAGGAGGCACACCCTGTTCCTGAGCCAGTCCATGAACCCAGCTGTCTCACCCCTCTCAGTGTTCTGAGAGTAGGGGATCCCCCACTGCTTGAGCACCATGAGCCCCTCCTGGCTACAGGCAGTGGGGGTAGGTATAGTCTCTCAACCCACTGTCCAACTGATTTCCAGGGTAACAGAGAGCTGTGCCTGCCCACAGAGTTCAGGCAGAGGCCAGGCCATTGTGCTGGAAGCTGATGCTAAGCCTTGTCTGATGATGGGGAGTGAAGCAATGTAACGGCTCCCTAACTGTGGCTTCTCTCAGGGCTATGGCAGCTGGCATGAGACTGCTCCAGGTCCAAGGCCTGTGGGACTTCCTGTGGACTTGAGTTTTGCCTCTGCAAACACTCCAGCAACTCTCTATGTCAGTCTAGAGGCCCAGGGACACGGATCAGGTATTGGGATGAAGGGGTTCTCCAGTTCCCAGGATTTCACAGGTCCCTGTGGAAAGTGAGGATCCCCCAGGGGCTCTCACTCACTCACCCTTTCTCTATGTTGGGGAGCTTCCCCTGGCTCCATGCCCATCTTGGGTGGCCAGCTGCCCAGCTTCACTCTTCCCTGTTCTCTGTGTCCCCTCACTCCCTTAATTGTCCTGATATCGTTCCTTAGGTGATCTACTTGCAGAGGCAGTGTTTACTCGCCACTTGTTTTCTCTCTGTGAGAGTAGCACACACTAGCTGCTACTCATCTAGCATCTTGAATTCTTCCCATCTGAAAAAGTTTCAACTGCAATCACAGTTAAAGAAATACAAAAACAATAGCACTCTAAGTTACAACTTCTCACCTATAGAATTCAAAAACATCCAAATGATTAACTAAACATTTGTTTGGTAGATCTGTGGGAAAACATGAATTCCTTGTGAATTACTGGAGAAAATGAAAATGATGCAACACTTATGGAAGAAAATTTGGGGATTTTTGGGGGGGAGGGGAACAATATATTTAAAACTATAAATGCATTTATCCTAGCAATTCTATGAATGGGGATTTATCTTAGGGTACACCTGCACACTTAGGAAATAATGTATGCAGTCATTCATTACAGAATTGTTTGTAATAGCAACAACCTGAAAAGCAACTCATATATCCATCCATCACACAGGGACTGGTTTCATGACTACGGTTCATGAATACTCTGCAGCCCTTAGAAAGAATGAGGAAGTGGCCGGGCACGGTGGCTCATGCCTGTAATCCCAGCACTTTGGGAGGCCGAGGCGGGTGGATCACGAGGTCAGGAGATCAAGACCATCCTGGCTAACACGGTGAAACCCCGTCTCTACTAAAAACAATACAAAAAAATTAGCCAGGCAGGCGCCTATAGTCCCAGCTATTCGGGAGGCTGAGGCCGGAGAATGGCATGAACCCGGGAGGCAGAGCTTGCAGTGAGCCGAGATAACGCCACTGCACTCCATCCAGCCTGGGCGACAGAGCGAGACTCCGTCAAAAAAAAAAAAAAAGAGGAAGTTCTCTATGCGCTGACATGGAAGGAAGACAGATGGTTGAATGAAAAAAGTACATAATTAGCCATAAAGTGTAAGACTTTTTGTCTAAAAAAGAAGGGTGATATAATTGCATATTTATATTTTCTTCCATTTATATTAAGAGATAATAAAGGTACACAAATTGGCTAGAATAAAGTGGTTTCCTATAAAGGGTAAGAGTAATTGAGTGGATGAAGACTAGGGTTAGGGATAGATTTCTCAGTGTATTCATTTTAATATATGTATTCATTTTATATATGTACTAATTTTTATATATGTATTTATTTTATATTTTGATTTTCTTAACATAAATATATTATTCCTTCATAAAATTAAACTTGATACATTTTTGATTACTAGATATGTAGAAAGCATTATGTTCAGTACCACAGTAATACTTTCAAACCAGCTACAATTAGTATTTATGAGCATCTATGTGCCAGACATTGTGTTCTGCTTTGGTTGGTGGGGGTAGAGGAGGAAAGGAAACCATGGCTTACATAGGAGTGGAAGTCTTGTCTTTCACTTTGCACCTCTCTCCTTCAGACCTAGCATAAATATGACCTTAGGGGAGGCAGAACACATATGATAAAGAGATAACTAGCAAGAGACATAATAGTAGCTAAATAAATACTGAAGGAAAAATTCAGGAAGAGGTAGGAAGGATATGCCTCATCACTTCCACCTGTTAAGAAAAACTTTAGACATTCTTGCCAATATTCCTTATTGCCTGTCTTTTGAACAAATGCCATTATCACTAGAGTGAAATGATATTTCATTGTAGTTTTGATTTGCATTTCTCTCATGATCGGTGATGTTGAGCACCTTTTTATATACCTGTTTGCCATTTGTATGTCTTCTCTTGAAAAATGTCTATTCAGATCTTTGCCCATTTTTAAATGGCGTAATACATTTTTTCCTATTGAGTTGTTTGAGTTCTTTATATATTCTGGTTATTAATCCCTTGTCAGATGAATAATTTGCAAATATTTTCTCCCATTCTGAGGATTACCAGAGGCTCAGAGGGGTAATGGTGGTGGGGGAGAATAAAAATGGTTAATGAGTACAAAAATATAGATAGGAGTAATAAGATCTAGTATCTGATAGCACAACAGGGTAATTACAGCCAACAAAAATTTATTGTGCATTTCAAAATAACTAAGAGTATAATTGGAATGTCTGTAACACAAAGAAGCAATAAATGCTTGAGGTGATGTGAGGGGATGGATATCTAATTTACCTTGATGTGATTATTACATATTGTATGCCTGCATCAAAATAGCTCATGTATCTTATAAGTATATACACCTATTATGTACCCATTAAATTTTTTAAGAACTTTAAACAAATCAAATTTAACAGAGTTTAATTGGGCAAAGAATGATTTGAGGATCAGGCAACCCCCAGAAACAGAAGAGGTTCAAAGCAACTCAGTGCTGTCACATGGTTGGAGAGGATTTATGGGCAGAAAAGGGAAAGAGAGATACAGAAAATGGAAGTGAGGTACACAAACAGCTGGATTGGTTACAGCTTGCCATTTGCGTTATTTGAACATAATCTGAACAGTTGGCTGTCTTTGCTTGACCAAAACTTGGTGTTTGGTACAAGAGCAGATTACAGTCTATTTACACATCCAGTTAGTTTACAGTTCACTATACACGAAGAAGAAACCTTTAAGCAGAACTTAAAATATGCAAAGAGGAAGCTTTAAGTTAAACTTAATTTAACACACCCAATTATCAAAAAATGAGTAGCTCTGCAAAAGTGGATTTTCCTGGTCATCTTTGGTACTTCCTTAAAAAAGAGAAAAGTAGTACTCACGATAAAAAAAAAAAAGTCCTCAAGTCTTTATTTTATTCCTTTCCAATTTAAAATGTTACATCATCTGAGGAAGGTTTTTCCCTTTGACCGCTTTCATAGACATTTCTTCTGCATGGGTTGGCCAGAATCAGAAGAGTAATTGTAACTTTCTGTTCTTGTCCTACAGTTACAAAGCGGTTTCACTTTGTAAATGCTCTTTGGATGGCAGGAACCAAGCAGCCATGAAAAGAGGAGTTACACCTTTAAAGGAGTCATTCCATCATGACTCTCAGGACTGGAACATGGAATACCTGAATGGCCTCTTTGGCACAGATAGGCCACCCTTGAAAGGTGTTCCAAGCTAGGAACTCACTACCACTGTTACATCGATGCAACTCTGTGAGAAGTTTTTATCTGGTGATGGAAAATCTCATCTCTTCAACACACTGACTACTACCAGTCTCAGAACCCTGTAAACAAGATTCATTCATCTCAAATTGGGTTAAAGCAGTCACCCTGCCTTACATTAGTTTGGAATAAGGATGTGGGGATGGTGGTAGAGGAGGGGAGTGGATGATGATTTTTTTATTGTTATTTGATTCTAAAGAAACTTCTATACATTTTGCATTTAAAATAATTATGTTTTTAACAATGTTTGGATTAATTCAAAATAGGATATTATATCCTATTATATTAAATATACTATTTAATCATCTTGTTGACCAAATGCAACTTAAACATGTAAAATGGTAAATAGCATAATAATTGTCTTCTAAGCCTGCACTATAAAGTATTTCAGTGGCCTCATTATTAAAGGACCAAGGTGCCCAAAGAAACAAAATTTAGTAATCATAAACAAGAGACAAACCTACTTCTTTTCCCCCAGAGTTCTGGCCACATTGAAATAAGGTGTTTGAATGCTTAATAAGAATTATTTTGGCCCACACAGTGGCTCATGCCTGTAATCTCAGCACTTTGGGATGCCAAGGTGAGCAGATCACTTGAGGCCAGGAGTTCAAGACCAGCGTGGCCAACGTGGTGAAACCCCATCTCTACTAAAAATACAAAAATTAGCCCGGTGTGGTGGTACACGCCTATAGTCCCAGCTACTCGGGAGACTGAGGTGGGAGAATCACTTGAACCCGGGAGGCCAAGGCTGCAATATCGAGATCACACCACTGCACTCTAGCCTGGGCAACAGAGTGAGAGTGAGACTCTTTCTCGGAAAAAAAAAAAAAGAATTATTTTGAACAAAGTGCTGTCACCTAAGTTAGCAAAACTCCAAGCAAGGTTTTTGGCTCTGTAAGGAAAGAATTAGCCTACTCATTTGGAAATTTAGTGGTGTTTGTAATGCAGAAAGTGACAGTGAGACTGGAAAGGGATTGGCTTTGGGGCTTGTTCTGCTTTATAAATAATAATGAATCTTCTCCAACATGAAGTAATGTGAATTAAAAAAAAAAAATCTGTCCTTAGAGTACAAAATTACTTCATAACCCAATCTGCATTTCTCCACTCCAAGCATATTTTCTGGGAGTTCTACTTAGAGAGTGAAAGCTGCTGTGTGTGTGATAATTAATTTTAACAAACACTTGGCAAACTGAGCTGGACTATGTATAAGCTACCCTAGACTAAGCATGAATTTGAACTGCACTTTTTATGGTGTTTTTTCCACAATGACATTATTTAGGCATTTAAAGTTATCTGAACTGCAATTTTTTGTTCTTTTTTTTTTAATTTGACTTTTTAAAAAAAATTATTCCTGAATAAAGAGGCAGTTTGTAAAAACTCGAGAACTGTGAGAGATAATTGGATCTTTGTGTAGCAAAACTAGAAGGGTGTTGGGTATCTGCTCTTTATCAAATGGACCACTTACTTTTCTTTTCTTTTTTGCCCTGTGTTCAGAAAACAAATGTGCGTGTCTCCTGATTTATAATGTATAGTTCATTAATGGAGAAAGTGCTTGAGAATTAGATCCTAATGTCATTTCCCATGCAGCATCTTCATTCTTTTCTAAAGCACTATTTGGTAAAAACAACTGATAGTCGTCAGAGGTGATCAGCAATGTTTGAGCACTATTTCCTTTTTATATCCTGCACATGGAATATGGACAGGCAAACAAATCATTTCCAAGTAAGAAAATAAATTTTGAGGGAGTTAATACTATAATTTGAAAGTAATAACCTCCTATTTATCCATCTAGTTTGTTGTTCTGTACTAAATTATTTGTGCATGTCTCTGTGTCTATAATTTATGTGAAACTTTGCACAATCTTAAATAGGACAAAATAGACATTCTGTAATTTCCCAGGCAAGCTATTTAAGGTGACTATCTCTCTACATATTTGAGATGAAAAACAATAACATGACAATCCATCCCTTCTTAGGTTTTTGTAAGCAGACTTACTACCTGTGACTCAGTTTTGTTCTCACAGGGTACTAATTAATCCTTCACGATAATAACTTGTCAAATTCCATTACTTCTGTAAAGGCAATACTTTATATTTGTTTGTATTCAAATTTTAAACTGATGTTAAATGCCGTGGGTGCAACTGCAGGTTAAAAATATGTGTTTGAATCTCTTATTCTTTTTGCTTGGCAATGTATGAAATAACTGCTCTTTCTAGAAATCTTGATGATGAAGTGGCCTGTTGTTTTGTCACCTAAAAATGCAATAATGTTCAAATTAAGCTTTTCTTTATTAACATCACTTGATTGTGTGCCATATTTAGAGCTTAGTGAAATTTTAATCTACACATTGATTAAATACATTTTATTTATTCTTGTTTCTAATGGGAACTTTCTTTGTTTCTAATGGGAACTTTCTTAAATTAAATTACATCCAACATTTATTAAAGACCTAAAACATAGGCAATTACTGTGCTTAGAGGAAAAGCGCAGACGAAAGTGAATCAGACAAGTTCCCTGCCCTCCGGAAGCTTTCAGTCTAGTGATGAGAAAGACGTATACACACCTTATGTTGATTTAAAAAAAAAAAAAGCTCTTACCTGGTTGCTGGCATATGAAAGTGTTAGTTACAGATCTGCCCCAAACTAAAGGTGTCACCTCGAGTAAATCTCTTTCCCTTTCCCTTTCAATCTCTTCATCTATAAACTAGGGGTTGGGAATACATTTATTAACAAACACAAATTGAGCGTCTACCATGTGATAATAGTAGCTAAACTTACTGAGCAATTACCATGGGGCAGGTATCAAGATAAACCCTTTATGATGGTAACCTCATTTAATCCTCAAAGCAATTCCATTTTCAAGAGGAGGAAATTGAGGCTCAAAAATGTTAAGTAACTCCCCCAAGGATGCAAAGTGATTGAGCCAGAATTCAAGACTAGGTTGGTTTGACTCCAAAACTCATGCCATTAAACCCTATTGTGTCACTGCAAACAACTCTAATAGTTTCAAATTATTAGTTCTATTAATATTATATTACCATTATTTGCCCCCAAAATGTAAAATGTAAATACAAAGAGTTTGGTTTTTGTATTACTAGTGGAGGTTAAAGGTGCACAATGGAATTATTCAAACTGGGAAAATCCAGGAAGACTTCATGGAGGAGGCAGCATATGGCTGCAGTTAATAAGGTTTGCTCACACAAAATGGAGAGGTGAGGACATTTCAGGCAGAGAGAATTATATGAGAGGTTACAGAGCAGTAAACAGTCATGCGTCTGCAAGATCAAAGGGAAAGGGCGGTAAGAGAGAAGCTTGAAAGTCAAGTGGAGCCAGATTGTGGAAAAACTAGAGAGTCATGCCAAGGACCTTGACATATAGAAAATGGGAAGCCCCTGAAAGGTGAAGAACATGAGAGTGAAATGATTAGTAACTTTTTGGTTTAGGACTTGTTTCTTTTGTGTTTTGGTTGCTTTCTTGTTTTGTTTTGTTTGTGGTTTTTAAATTTACAACCAATAAGAATATTTAGTAAGGTTTCCAAATACATCATGAATATATAAAACTAGCCTGACTCAAGGATAATAATTCTGGGTAGTTGGAGTGAAGTTTCAATCAGCTACGTGGCATTTGCTAATCATCTGATATGAGCTAACAATAAAGGAGTTAACAAATAAACTGTCAGCCTACAGTCCAGGGTCTCAAATAGCATGTGACATAGTTGAGAAGCAGTTTTCCATATCATACATGAAATAACTAAAGAAACTACTTACAAAGCACTATACCAGTAACTACAATAAAATACAACTATACATGCAAAATAATGCTGAAAGCTGCAAGTAGAGGGGTAAAGCTAGGCCAGTTGCTCAGGGAACCATTCTGAAGTGGATTTGGGAAGTATGTCTAGAAGGGGAGCCATTGCTGTGAGAGTGCTGAGGCTCATCTGCTACTAGTCCCCCACTACTCAGGCATATGGTAGGTCAGTAACAAAACCATCATTGTGCACTGTTCTTTCCATCTAAATTCCATCAAATTATGACCAACCTATCAAGGTACTAGTTCAAATTCTCTCTTCCTCTATAAGCTAGTGGTCTTCTCTAAAATTTAAGAAGATCGTGCTCATCTTCCTACTTCTTGTTCTCTTTCTTCTGTGTTTTCTGAGGCTGCAATGAACTAGGAACTTCCTCTCCCCAGAACTCTGTATTCCAGGCCTTAGATCACTCAAAACTGTTGCTTATAAAGTGCAGAGAATCAACAGAGAAGGAATAGAGGTTAATGTCTGGTCAAAGATGTGATTCTCTTGTTGAAAAGTTCATTAGCTTATTATTTATAGAATCATAAGTCCCAGGAAAAACCAAAAGGAAATATATATTGGATCCTAATGATATTCTCTTTTTTTCTTTTTTCTTTTCCCCCACTCCATTGCCCAGGCTGGAGTGCAGTGGCATAATCTCAGCTCACTGCAACCTCCACCTCCCGGGTTCAAGGGACTCTCCTGCCTCAGCCTTCCAAGTAGATGGGATTACAGGCATGTGCCACCACATCTGGCTAATTTTTTTTTGTATTTTTAGTAGAGATGGGGTTTCACCATGTTAGTCAGGCTGGTGTTGAACTCCTGACCTCAAATGATCCACCAGCCTCGGCCTCCCAGTGTGCTGGGATTGCAGGCGTGAGCCACCACACCCGGCCTGATATTCTCTTGCAAGGGCATTGTTTACATTGTCTATCATCAGAACTGTAGAGTGTTGGCTCCAGGCACAGAACCCCTAGAGTTTTGTAAACCATTTATATCACACTGGCAACCAGAAGTAACTTTATATACTCAAGAATCAAGATTTCACCTAGAAGTACCTCAGGTAGGTGTTGGTTCATTCACATTCCAACCAAAAGATAATGTACCATAAAGTGCATACCGCCTAGTCCGTAATGATTAAGGCAACCACATAAAATCTCATTATTTAAAAGAAATTAAGTCCAGGCACGGTGGCTCACACCTGTAATCTCAGCACTTCGGGAGGCCAAGGAGGGCAGATCACCTGAGGTTGGGAGTTTGAGACCAGCCTGATCAACATGGAGAAATCCCATCTCTACTAAAAATACAAAATTAGCGGGGCATGGTGGTGCATGCCTATAATCCCAGCTACTCAGGAGGCTGAGGCAGGAGAATCACTTGAACCCAGGAGGTGGAGGTTGAGATCGTGCCATTGCACTCCAGCCTGGACAACAAGAGTGAAACTCTGTCTCAAAAAAGAAAAAAAGAAAAAGAAATTAAATGCACTATGGTTTATGGAGCGGTATTCCTCCTCCATGTCCTACATAAGATCTTTCACATGCCAGTCACAGTTAAATCTAATTTGCTGTAATCTGGATAAATGGGAGCTAATCAACAAGCTCTCAGCTCTAGCTCTGAATCAGCAGCAGATATTGCATTTTTGAAATACACTAATAGCAAGAATGCCTTCCTGACAACAACTGGCATTTTTGACACAGCAGGAAGTTTATCTGGATTCTGATATAATAGTTATTGGAATCATACATAGGTACATAGTTTAAAAGGCTAATAAGTCATTTGTTATTGCTTTTATTATCTCTGCATAGTTAGTAAAATTGAGATTAGAACCACTTCTCGAATGTACTGTTCTAAATCCTTAGCTTGCTTGATCACACATGACCCTCACAATGATCCTAGGAGAAATTATTCTGCATGCCATTTTGTAGCTGGGGAAACTGAGGCACAGAGAAATACAGTACTGCCCAAAATGTCATAACTAATCAAAGGCAAAGACAATACTCACACCAGCTCTGATTCCAGAGCCCACTCTCTTAACCATATGCTTTTCTGCTTCCCTAGTTGTAGAGTCTTTTTGTATGACTGCATTAATTATATGTGAAGAGTTCAAAAATTTCTATATAAGGTCTTTTAAGGGTGTCATTCTGGTTGAAAATGGAGGACTAGGCTTCTCACTTGAAGACATATTTCTGTAGAAAAACCTATTTTCATTTAGATGCTACAGTTACTTGATGTGGTTAATAAACCAGTTAACAGAGTATGAAAAGGATAAGGGTTAAAGCCCTCCCAAGCCATCTTTCATGCTGCTAATATGAATCACATTACTAGATACTTAAATATCATTTTCTCTTTGGTTCCCAGAAGACTGCATATATGCTAGAATATTTGTCCTCCTCTTTTACCCTTTCAGGCAATAAAGTATTTTGGACCACTGTACTATGTTATAATTATTGTTTCTCTCCTGATTTTTTTGCTCCAATCTAATGAAAGACATACAAGCTACTATACTGCTACACAATGACTAAATACCTGTTGGATTAGGTGGGGGGAAGATACACAGTCACTGGCTAGAAAGCATCATGCATACAGAGCCATTTTCACCATATATTTTATTTCTCATGATCATGTAGAATTTAGGCTTTGGTGTTGATTATTTCTCTCTTAGGAAACATAGTTGTTTCAGGGTTGATATCACAAAAAAACAGAAAAACCTATTCGAGAAAAGGAAAATTATTTGTCTGTAGGCCAAATTTTGAAGTAGGAAAACCTGCTTTTGGAGTTGTATTCCCCTCCCAGGCACTTAATCCAAGTTCCAGTCTTATTCTAAACTGGGGATGCTAGTATTAACCACCATAGGAGTTATCTGAGATGAGTTATCATCAACTTGGTACCAGGTTGTTGTCCTCTGGACTCAGTGAGCTCTAGAATTGCATGAAACTGGCCTAATTTATCAAAGTATGTAGCCTTGGGTAAATAATTCAAGCTCTCAGAGGTCCAGTTATCTCCTCTGTAAAACATATCTACATCCTAGGGATGACAATATCTACATCCTAGAGATGTCAGGAGGATTAAGTGTAATTTTTTTTAATTGTATGTATTTAAAATGGGCAACATAATGTTTTGATATACACGTGTATAGTGATTACTACAGTCAAGCAAATTAACATATCCATCATTTCATAGCTACCTTTTATGTATGTGATAAGATTATCTAAAATCTATTCTCTTACCAAATTTCCAGTATACAATATTGATATGGTTTGATCCATATCCCCATCCAAATCTCATGTTCAGTTGCAATCCCCAACGTTGGAGATGGAGCCTGGTTGGAGGTGATTGGATCACAGGGGTGGCTTCTAATGGTTCAGCACCATCCTTTCTTGGTACTGTATAGTGAGTAAGTTCTCACGAGATCTGGTTGTTTAAAAGTGTGTAACACCTCCCCCACTTTCCCTCTCTCTGTTCCTCCTGCTCCCGCTATGTGAAGTGCCAGCTCCCTCTTTGCCTTCCGCCATGATTGTAAGTTCTCTGAGGCATCCCCAGAAGCTGATGCTGCCATGCTTCCTATACAGCCTGCAGAACCATGAGTCAATTAAACCTCTTTTCTTTGTAAATTACCCAGTCTCAAGTATTTCTTTATAGCAATGCAAGAATGGACTAATACAGAAAATTGTTACTGAGAAGAAGGGCATTGCTATAAAGATACCTGAAAATGTAGAAGTGACTTTGGAACCGGCTAACAGGCAGAAGTTGAAACATTTTAGAGGGCTCAGAAGAAGACAGAAAGATGAGAGAAAGTTTGGAACTCGCTAGGAACTTGTTGAGTGGTTGTAACCAAAATACTGATAGTGATATAGACAGTGAAGTCCAGGCTGAGGAGGTCTCAGATGGAAATGAGAAATTTATTGGGAATGAGTAAAGGTCAGGTTTGCTATGCTTTAGCAAAGAGCTTAGCTGCATTGTTCCTCTGTTCTAGGGATCTGTGAAATCTTAGACTTAAGAATGATGATTTAGGGTATCTGGCAGAAGAAATTTCTAAGCAGCAGAGTGTTCAAGAAGTAACCTAGCTGCTTCTAATAGCCTATGCTCATAGGCATGAGCACAGAAATGACCTGAAATTGGAACTTACACTTAAAAGGGAAGCAGAGCATAAAAGTTTGTAAATTTTGCAGCCTGGCCATGTGGTAGTAAAGAAAAGCTCGTTCTCAGGAGAGGAAGTCAAGCAGGCTGCATAAATTTGCATAACTAAAAGGAAGGCAAGGGCTGATAACCAAAACAATGGGGAGAAAGACTCATAGGACTAACAGGCATTTTATTTTATTTTATTTTTATTTTATTATTATTATACTTTAAGTTTTAGGGTACATGTGCACAATGTGCAGGTTAGTTGCATATGTATACATGTGCCATGCTGGTGTGCTGCACCCATTAACTCGTCATTTAGCATTAGGTATATCTCCTAATGCTATCCCTCCCCCCTCCCCCACCCCACAACAGTCCCCAGAGTGTGATGTTCCCCTTCCTGTGTCCATGTGTTCTCATTGTTCAATTCCCACCTATGAGTGAGAACATGTGGTGTTTGGTTTTTTGACCTTGCAATAGTTTACTGAGAATGACGATTTCCAATTTCATCCATGTCCCTACAAAGGACATGAACTCATCATTTTTTATGGCTGCATAGTATTCCATGGTGTATATGTGCCACATTTTCTTAATCCAGTCTATCACTGTTGGACATTTGGGTTGGTTCCAAGTCTTTGCTATTGTGAATAGTGCCACAATAAACATAGTGTGCATGTGTCTTTATAGCAGCAGGATTTATAGTCCTTTGGGTATATACCCAGTGATGGGATGGCTGGGTCAAATGGTATTTCTAGTTCTAGATCCCTGAGGAATCGCCACACTGACTTCCACAATGGTTGAACTAGTTTACAGTCCCACCAACAGTGTAAAAGTGTTCCTAATAGGCATTTTAGGCTTTCATGGTGGTCCCTCTCATCACAGGCCCCGAGGCCTAGGAGGACTGAATCATTTCCTGGGCCAGGCCTAGGGCCCCTGCTCCCTCTTACAGCCTTGGGACTCTGCTCCCTGAATCCCAGCTGCTCAAAGGGGCCCAGGTACTGTTACAGTAGGTAGCTAATCAGGCATGAGTGGGGTAAGAGAGAAGTCCCCACCACCCACCAGGAATGTCAGGCAACCATCAGATGATGGTCAGGCAGTTGTCATACTGCCTCTCTAAAATAGTAATTGGTTGCAGCCAGCACCAGGGAGAGGCAACTTCTCAATAGATAGAAACACCTGAAATTGGTAACTGGGCGCTTCCAATAAGATCTCAGGAACTGAGAGAGTGGGCTTAACATGCACATTAAGAGGCAAAATGGTGAAGTATGACCTTTGGGGGCATTCCACCGGAAAAGGGAAGAAAGCCTCAGGTAAGCATGTATACAACTCCAGTAAACACACTGCACACGCTCACCTTCCAAGTGCAAGCAGGGCACCATGCATGCGGCAAGCTCACCCTTAGGGAAGGACCAAGGGAAAGGGGCACAAGATGTCAGAAGTAGGCCAGTGTATAAGATCCTAGGTTCAAGGTCAAACAGGGCACTTGACCTCCAAGGTGCCCACTTGGGCCTCTTCCAAATGTACTTTCCTTTCATTCCTGTTCTAAAGCTTTTTAATAAACTTTTACTCCTGCTCTGAAACTTGTCGCAGTCTCTTTTTCTGCCTTATGCCTCTTGGTCAAATTCTTTCTTCTGAGGAGGCAAGAATTGAGGTTGCTGCAGACCCACATGGATTTGCAGCTGGTAACTCAGATAACTTTCACCAGTAAGAATACAGTTCAGGCTGCTGCTTCACAGGGTGCCAGGCATAAGCCTTGGTGGCTTCCATAAGCTGTGAAGCCGGCGGGCGCACATAATGCAAGAGTTGAGGCTTAAGAAGCTCTGCCTAGATTTTAGAGGATGTATGAAAAAGCCTGGATGTCCAGACAGAAGCCTGTTACTGGGGTGGAATCCTCATGGAGAACATCTACTAGGGAAGCAAGGAGAAGAAATGTGGGGTTGCAGCCCCCACAGAGAGTCCCCTGGGGCACTGCCTAGCAGAGCTATGACAAGACAGCCACCGTCCTCCAGACCCCAGAATGGTAGATCCACCAACAACTTGCACCCTGCAGCCTGGAAAAGCTGCAAGCACTCAATGCTAGCCCATGAGAGCAGCTGTGGGAGATGAACCCTGGAAAACCACAGGGGTGGTTCTGCCCAAGGTTTTGGGAGCCCACTCATTGCATCAGTGTTCCCTGGGTGTGAGTCAAAGGAGATTATTTCAGAGCTTTAACATTTAATGACTGCCCGGCTGGCTTTCAGACTTGCAATGGGGCCCTATAGCCTCTTTCTTTTGGCAGATTTCTCCCTTTCGGAATGGCAGTATCTGCCCAATGCCTATACCCCCATTGTATCTTTGAAGCAATTACCTTGTTTTTGATTTTACAGGTTCATAGGTAGAAGGGACTAGCTTCGTCTCAGGTGAGACTTGGGACTTTGGACTTTTGAATGAATGCTGGATCGAGTTAAGACTTTGGGGAACTGTTGGTAAGGCACGACAGTATTTTGCAATATGAGAAGGACATTAGATTTGGGAGGGGCCAGAGTTGGAATAACATGGTTTGGATCTCTGTCCCCACCCAAATCTCATGTTCAACTGTAATCCCCAGTGTTGGAGGTTGGGCCTGGTGGGAGGTGAGTGGATTATGGGGTGGCTTCTAATGGTTTTGTACAGTCCCCTCTTGGTACTATATAGTGAGTTCTGACAAGATCTAGTTGTTTAAACGTATGTAGCACCTCCCATTTCTCTCTTCCCCCAGTTCCTGCCATGTGAAGTCTGGGGTCTCCCTATGCCTTCCATCATGATTTTAAGTTCCCTATGGCCTGCCCAGAAGCTGATCCAGCCATGCTTCTTGTACAGCCTGCAGAACTGTGAGCCATTAAACTTTTCTTTATAAATTACCCAGTTTCAGTTATTTCTTTATAGCAGTGTAAGAATGGACTAACACAATTATTAACGCTAGTCCTCATGTTGTACATTAAATCTCTAGATGTATTAGACGTAACTGCAACTTTGTACCCTACCCTACAATTTTCTTTCCCCCCAAGCCCCCCAACCAAGGGTCTACTCTGTTTCTATAAATTCAGTTGTTTTTTAATTCCACGTATAAGTGAAGTACAACTCAGTGTAGAAACTTGGTAAATGCTAGCTACTTGTTATAAGCTGTCAGTCAAAATAAAAATACAGAGATGAATCTCTAAATTAAGTGATTTATTTGGGAAGAAAGAATTGCAATTAGGGCATACATGTAGATCAGATGGTCTTCGGTATATCCACACAACAAAGAAAAGGGGGAGGTTTTGTTAAAAAAGAGAAATGTTACATAGTGCTCTTTGAGAAAATTCATTGGCACTATTAAGGATCTGAGGAGCTGGTGAGTTTCAACTGGTGAGTGATGGTGGTAGATAAAATTAGAGCTGCAGCAGGTCATTTTAGCAACTATTAGATAAAACTGGTCTCAGGTCACAACGGGCAGTTGCAGCAGCTGGACTTGGAGAGAATTACACTGTGGGAGCAGTGTCATTTGTCCTAAGTGCTTTTCTACCCCCTACCCCCACTATTTTAGTTGGGTATAAAAAGAATGACCCAATTTGTATGATCAACTTTCACAAAGCATAGAACAGTAGGAAAAGGGTCTGTTTCTGCAGAAGGTGTAGACGTTGAGAGCCATTTTGTGTATTTATTCCTCCCTTTCTTCCTCGGTGAATGATTAAAACGTTCTGTGTGATTTTTAGTGATGAAAAAGATTAAATGCTACTCACTGTAGTAAGTGCCATCTCACACTTGCAGATCAAAAGGCACACAGTTTAAAAAACCTTTGTTTTTTTACACATCTGAGTGGTGTAAATGCTACTCATCTGTAGTAAGTGGAATCTATACACCTGCAGACCAAAAGACGCAAGGTTTCAAAAATCTTTGTGTTTTTTACACATCAAACAGAATGGTACGTTTTTCAAAAGTTAAAAAAAAACAACTCATCCACATATTGCAACTAGCAAAAATGACATTCCCCAGTGTGAAAATCATGCTTGAGAGAATTCTTACATGTAAAGGCAAAATTGCGATGACTTTGCAGGGGACCGTGGGATTCCCGCCCGCAGTGCCGGAGCTGTCCCCTACCAGGGTTTGCAGTGGAGTTTTGAATGCACTTAACAGTGTCTTACGGTAAAAACAAAATTTCATCCACCAATTATGTGTTGAGCGCCCACTGCCTACCAAGCACAAACAAAACCATTCAAAACCACGAAATCGTCTTCACTTTCTCCAGATCCAGCAGCCTCCCCTATTAAGGTTCGCACACGCTATTGCGCCAACGCTCCTCCAGAGCGGGTCTTAAGATAAAAGAACAGGACAAGTTGCCCCGCCCCATTTCGCTAGCCTCGTGAGAAAACGTCATCGCACATAGAAAACAGACAGACGTAACCTACGGTGTCCCGCTAGGAAAGAGAGGTGCGTCAAACAGCGACAAGTTCCGCCCACGTAAAAGATGACGCTTGGTGTGTCAGCCGTCCCTGCTGCCCGGTTGCTTCTCTTTTGGGGGCGGGGTCTAGCAAGAGCAGGTGTGGGTTTAGGAGGTGTGTGTTTTTGTTTTTCCCACCCTCTCTCCCCACTACTTGCTCTCACAGTACTCGCTGAGGGTGAACAAGAAAAGACCTGATAAAGATTAACCAGAAGAAAACAAGGAGGGAAACAACCGCAGCCTGTAGCAAGCTCTGGAACTCAGGAGTCGCGCGCTAGGGGCCGGGGCCGGGGCCGGGGCGTGGTCGGGGCGGGCCCGGGGGCGGGCCCGGGGCGGGGCTGCGGTTGCGGTGCCTGCGCCCGCGGCGGCGGAGGCGCAGGCGGTGGCGAGTGGGTGAGTGAGGAGGCGGCATCCTGGCGGGTGGCTGTTTGGGGTTCGGCTGCCGGGAAGAGGCGCGGGTAGAAGCGGGGGCTCTCCTCAGAGCTCGACGCATTTTTACTTTCCCTCTCATTTCTCTGACCGAAGCTGGGTGTCGGGCTTTCGCCTCTAGCGACTGGTGGAATTGCCTGCATCCGGGCCCCGGGCTTCCCGGCGGCGGCGGCGGCGGCGGCGGCGCAGGGACAAGGGATGGGGATCTGGCCTCTTCCTTGCTTTCCCGCCCTCAGTACCCGAGCTGTCTCCTTCCCGGGGACCCGCTGGGAGCGCTGCCGCTGCGGGCTCGAGAAAAGGGAGCCTCGGGTACTGAGAGGCCTCGCCTGGGGGAAGGCCGGAGGGTGGGCGGCGCGCGGCTTCTGCGGACCAAGTCGGGGTTCGCTAGGAACCCGAGACGGTCCCTGCCGGCGAGGAGATCATGCGGGATGAGATGGGGGTGTGGAGACGCCTGCACAATTTCAGCCCAAGCTTCTAGAGAGTGGTGATGACTTGCATATGAGGGCAGCAATGCAAGTCGGTGTGCTCCCCATTCTGTGGGACATGACCTGGTTGCTTCACAGCTCCGAGATGACACAGACTTGCTTAAAGGAAGTGACTATTGTGACTTGGGCATCACTTGACTGATGGTAATCAGTTGTCTAAAGAAGTGCACAGATTACATGTCCGTGTGCTCATTGGGTCTATCTGGCCGCGTTGAACACCACCAGGCTTTGTATTCAGAAACAGGAGGGAGGTCCTGCACTTTCCCAGGAGGGGTGGCCCTTTCAGATGCAATCGAGATTGTTAGGCTCTGGGAGAGTAGTTGCCTGGTTGTGGCAGTTGGTAAATTTCTATTCAAACAGTTGCCATGCACCAGTTGTTCACAACAAGGGTACGTAATCTGTCTGGCATTACTTCTACTTTTGTACAAAGGATCAAAAAAAAAAAAGATACTGTTAAGATATGATTTTTCTCAGACTTTGGGAAACTTTTAACATAATCTGTGAATATCACAGAAACAAGACTATCATATAGGGGATATTAATAACCTGGAGTCAGAATACTTGAAATACGGTGTCATTTGACACGGGCATTGTTGTCACCACCTCTGCCAAGGCCTGCCACTTTAGGAAAACCCTGAATCAGTTGGAAACTGCTACATGCTGATAGTACATCTGAAACAAGAACGAGAGTAATTACCACATTCCAGATTGTTCACTAAGCCAGCATTTACCTGCTCCAGGAAAAAATTACAAGCACCTTATGAAGTTGATAAAATATTTTGTTTGGCTATGTTGGCACTCCACAATTTGCTTTCAGAGAAACAAAGTAAACCAAGGAGGACTTCTGTTTTTCAAGTCTGCCCTCGGGTTCTATTCTACGTTAATTAGATAGTTCCCAGGAGGACTAGGTTAGCCTACCTATTGTCTGAGAAACTTGGAACTGTGAGAAATGGCCAGATAGTGATATGAACTTCACCTTCCAGTCTTCCCTGATGTTGAAGATTGAGAAAGTGTTGTGAACTTTCTGGTACTGTAAACAGTTCACTGTCCTTGAAGTGGTCCTGGGCAGCTCCTGTTGTGGAAAGTGGACGGTTTAGGATCCTGCTTCTCTTTGGGCTGGGAGAAAATAAACAGCATGGTTACAAGTATTGAGAGCCAGGTTGGAGAAGGTGGCTTACACCTGTAATGCCAGAGCTTTGGGAGGCGGAGGCAAGAGGATCACTTGAAGCCAGGAGTTCAAGCTCAACCTGGGCAACGTAGACCCTGTCTCTACAAAAAATTAAAAACTTAGCCGGGCGTGGTGATGTGCACCTGTAGTCCTAGCTACTTGGGAGGCTGAGGCAGGAGGGTCATTTGAGCCCAAGAGTTTGAAGTTACCGAGAGCTATGATCCTGCCAGTGCATTCCAGCCTGGATGACAAAACGAGACCCTGTCTCTAAAAAACAAGAAGTGAGGGCTTTATGATTGTAGAATTTTCACTACAATAGCAGTGGACCAACCACCTTTCTAAATACCAATCAGGGAAGAGATGGTTGATTTTTTAACAGACGTTTAAAGAAAAAGCAAAACCTCAAACTTAGCACTCTACTAACAGTTTTAGCAGATGTTAATTAATGTAATCATGTCTGCATGTATGGGATTATTTCCAGAAAGTGTATTGGGAAACCTCTCATGAACCCTGTGAGCAAGCCACCGTCTCACTCAATTTGAATCTTGGCTTCCCTCAAAAGACTGGCTAATGTTTGGTAACTCTCTGGAGTAGACAGCACTACATGTACGTAAGATAGGTACATAAACAACTATTGGTTTTGAGCTGATTTTTTTCAGCTGCATTTGCATGTATGGATTTTTCTCACCAAAGACGATGACTTCAAGTATTAGTAAAATAATTGTACAGCTCTCCTGATTATACTTCTCTGTGACATTTCATTTCCCAGGCTATTTCTTTTGGTAGGATTTAAAACTAAGCAATTCAGTATGATCTTTGTCCTTCATTTTCTTTCTTATTCTTTTTGTTTGTTTGTTTGTTTGTTTTTTTCTTGAGGCAGAGTCTCTCTCTGTCGCCCAGGCTGGAGTGCAGTGGCGCCATCTCAGCTCATTGCAACCTCTGCCACCTCCGGGTTCAAGAGATTCTCCTGCCTCAGCCTCCCGAGTAGCTGGGATTACAGGTGTCCACCACCACACCCGGCTAATTTTTTGTATTTTTAGTAGAGGTGGGGTTTCACCATGTTGGCCAGGCTGGTCTTGAGCTCCTGACCTCAGGTGATCCACCTGCCTCGGCCTACCAAAGAGCTGGGATAACAGGTGTGACCCACCATGCCCGGCCCATTTTTTTTTTCTTATTCTGTTAGGAGTGAGAGTGTAACTAGCAGTATAATAGTTCAATTTTCACAACGTGGTAAAAGTTTCCCTATAATTCAATCAGATTTTGCTCCAGGGTTCAGTTCTGTTTTAGGAAATACTTTTATTTTCAGTTTAATGATGAAATATTAGAGTTGTAATATTGCCTTTATGATTATCCACCTTTTTAACCTAAAAGAATGAAAGAAAAATATGTTTGCAATATAATTTTATGGTTGTATGTTAACTTAATTCATTATGTTGGCCTCCAGTTTGCTGTTGTTAGTTATGACAGCAGTAGTGTCATTACCATTTCAATTCAGATTACATTCCTATATTTGATCATTGTAAACTGACTGCTTACATTGTATTAAAAACAGTGGATATTTTAAAGAAGCTGTACGGCTTATATCTAGTGCTGTCTCTTAAGACTATTAAATTGATACAACATATTTAAAAGTAAATATTACCTAAATGAATTTTTGAAATTACAAATACACGTGTTAAAACTGTCGTTGTGTTCAACCATTTCTGTACATACTTAGAGTTAACTGTTTTGCCAGGCTCTGTATGCCTACTCATAATATGATAAAAGCACTCATCTAATGCTCTGTAAATAGAAGTCAGTGCTTTCCATCAGACTGAACTCTCTTGACAAGATGTGGATGAAATTCTTTAAGTAAAATTGTTTACTTTGTCATACATTTACAGATCAAATGTTAGCTCCCAAAGCAATCATATGGCAAAGATAGGTATATCATAGTTTGCCTATTAGCTGCTTTGTATTGCTATTATTATAAATAGACTTCACAGTTTTAGACTTGCTTAGGTGAAATTGCAATTCTTTTTACTTTCAGTCTTAGATAACAAGTCTTCAATTATAGTACAATCACACATTGCTTAGGAATGCATCATTAGGCGATTTTGTCATTATGCAAACATCATAGAGTGTACTTACACAAACCTAGATAGTATAGCCTTTATGTACCTAGGCCGTATGGTATAGTCTGTTGCTCCTAGGCCACAAACCTGTACAACTGTTACTGTACTGAATACTATAGACAGTTGTAACACAGTGGTAAATATTTATCTAAATATATGCAAACAGAGAAAAGGTACAGTAAAAGTATGGTATAAAAGATAATGGTATACCTGTGTAGGCCACTTACCACGAATGGAGCTTGCAGGACTAGAAGTTGCTCTGGGTGAGTCAGTGAGTGAGTGGTGAATTAATGTGAAGGCCTAGAACACTGTACACCACTGTAGACTATAAACACAGTACGCTGAAGCTACACCAAATTTATCTTAACAGTTTTTCTTCAATAAAAAATTATAACTTTTTAACTTTGTAAACTTTTTAATTTTTTAACTTTTAAAATACTTAGCTTGAAACACAAATACATTGTATAGCTATACAAAAATATTTTTTCTTTGTATCCTTATTCTAGAAGCTTTTTTCTATTTTCTATTTTAAATTTTTTTTTTTACTTGTTAGTCGTTTTTGTTAAAAACTAAAACACACACACTTTCACCTAGGCATAGACAGGATTAGGATCATCAGTATCACTCCCTTCCACCTCACTGCCTTCCACCTCCACATCTTGTCCCACTGGAAGGTTTTTAGGGGCAATAACACACATGTAGCTGTCACCTATGATAACAGTGCTTTCTGTTGAATACCTCCTGAAGGACTTGCCTGAGGCTGTTTTACATTTAACTTAAAAAAAAAAAAAGTAGAAGGAGTGCACTCTAAAATAACAATAAAAGGCATAGTATAGTGAATACATAAACCAGCAATGTAGTAGTTTATTATCAAGTGTTGTACACTGTAATAATTGTATGTGCTATACTTTAAATAACTTGCAAAATAGTACTAAGACCTTATGATGGTTACAGTGTCACTAAGGCAATAGCATATTTTCAGGTCCATTGTAATCTAATGGGACTACCATCATATATGCAGTCTACCATTGACTGAAACGTTACATGGCACATAACTGTATTTGCAAGAATGATTTGTTTTACATTAATATCACATAGGATGTACCTTTTTAGAGTGGTATGTTTATGTGGATTAAGATGTACAAGTTGAGCAAGGGGACCAAGAGCCCTGGGTTCTGTCTTGGATGTGAGCGTTTATGTTCTTCTCCTCATGTCTGTTTTCTCATTAAATTCAAAGGCTTGAACGGGCCCTATTTAGCCCTTCTGTTTTCTACGTGTTCTAAATAACTAAAGCTTTTAAATTCTAGCCATTTAGTGTAGAACTCTCTTTGCAGTGATGAAATGCTGTATTGGTTTCTTGGCTAGCATATTAAATATTTTTATCTTTGTCTTGATACTTCAATGTCGTTTTAAACATCAGGATCGGGCTTCAGTATTCTCATAACCAGAGAGTTCACTGAGGATACAGGACTGTTTGCCCATTTTTTGTTATGGCTCCAGACTTGTGGTATTTCCATGTCTTTTTTTTTTTTTTTTTTTTTGACCTTTTAGCGGCTTTAAAGTATTTCTGTTGTTAGGTGTTGTATTACTTTTCTAAGATTACTTAACAAAGCACCACAAACTGAGTGGCTTTAAACAACAGCAATTTATTCTCTCACAATTCTAGAAGCTAGAAGTCCGAAATCAAAGTGTTGACAGGGGCATGATCTTCAAGAGAGAAGACTCTTTCCTTGCCTCTTCCTGGCTTCTGGTGGTTACCAGCAATCCTGAGTGTTCCTTTCTTGCCTTGTAGTTTCAACAATCCAGTATCTGCCTTTTGTCTTCACATGGCTGTCTACCATTTGTCTCTGTGTCTCCAAATCTCTCTCCTTATAAACACAGCAGTTATTGGATTAGGCCCCACTCTAATCCAGTATGACCCCATTTTAACATGATTACACTTATTTCTAGATAAGGTCACATTCACGTACACCAAGGGTTAGGAATTGAACATATCTTTTTGGGGGACACAATTCAACCCACAAGTGTCAGTCTCTAGCTGAGCCTTTCCCTTCCTGTTTTTCTCCTTTTTAGTTGCTATGGGTTAGGGGCCAAATCTCCAGTCATACTAGAATTGCACATGGACTGGATATTTGGGAATACTGCGGGTCTATTCTATGAGCTTTAGTATGTAACATTTAATATCAGTGTAAAGAAGCCCTTTTTTAAGTTATTTCTTTGAATTTCTAAATGTATGCCCTGAATATAAGTAACAAGTTACCATGTCTTGTAAAATGATCATATCAACAAACATTTAATGTGCACCTACTGTGCTAGTTGAATGTCTTTATCCTGATAGGAGATAACAGGATTCCACATCTTTGACTTAAGAGGACAAACCAAATATGTCTAAATCATTTGGGGTTTTGATGGATATCTTTAAATTGCTGAACCTAATCATTGGTTTCATATGTCATTGTTTAGATATCTCCGGAGCATTTGGATAATGTGACAGTTGGAATGCAGTGATGTCGACTCTTTGCCCACCGCCATCTCCAGCTGTTGCCAAGACAGAGATTGCTTTAAGTGGCAAATCACCTTTATTAGCAGCTACTTTTGCTTACTGGGACAATATTCTTGGTCCTAGAGTAAGGCACATTTGGGCTCCAAAGACAGAACAGGTACTTCTCAGTGATGGAGAAATAACTTTTCTTGCCAACCACACTCTAAATGGAGAAATCCTTCGAAATGCAGAGAGTGGTGCTATAGATGTAAAGTTTTTTGTCTTGTCTGAAAAGGGAGTGATTATTGTTTCATTAATCTTTGATGGAAACTGGAATGGGGATCGCAGCACATATGGACTATCAATTATACTTCCACAGACAGAACTTAGTTTCTACCTCCCACTTCATAGAGTGTGTGTTGATAGATTAACACATATAATCCGGAAAGGAAGAATATGGATGCATAAGGTAAGTGATTTTTCAGCTTATTAATCATGTTAACCTATCTGTTGAAAGCTTATTTTCTGGTACATATAAATCTTATTTTTTTAATTATATGCAGTGAACATCAAACAATAAATGTTATTTATTTTGCATTTACCCTATTAGATACAAATACATCTGGTCTGATACCTGTCATCTTCATATTAACTGTGGAAGGTACGAAATGGTAGCTCCACATTATAGATGAAAAGCTAAAGCTTAGACAAATAAAGAAACTTTTAGACCCTGGATTCTTCTTGGGAGCCTTTGACTCTAATACCTTTTGTTTCCCTTTCATTGCACAATTCTGTCTTTTGCTTACTACTATGTGTAAGTATAACAGTTCAAAGTAATAGTTTCATAAGCTGTTGGTCATGTAGCCTTTGGTCTCTTTAACCTCTTTGCCAAGTTCCCAGGTTCATAAAATGAGGAGGTTGAATGGAATGGTTCCCAAGAGAATTCCTTTTAATCTTACAGAAATTATTGTTTTCCTAAATCCTGTAGTTGAATATATAATGCTATTTACATTTCAGTATAGTTTTGATGTATCTAAAGAACACATTGAATTCTCCTTCCTGTGTTCCAGTTTGATACTAACCTGAAAGTCCATTAAGCATTACCAGTTTTAAAAGGCTTTTGCCCAATAGTAAGGAAAAATAATATCTTTTAAAAGAATAATTTTTTACTATGTTTGCAGGCTTACTTCCTTTTTTCTCACATTATGAAACTCTTAAAATCAGGAGAATCTTTTAAACAACATCATAATGTTTAATTTGAAAAGTGCAAGTCATTCTTTTCCTTTTTGAAACTATGCAGATGTTACATTGACTGTTTTCTGTGAAGTTATCTTTTTTTCACTGCAGAATAAAGGTTGTTTTGATTTTATTTTGTATTGTTTATGAGAACATGCATTTGTTGGGTTAATTTCCTACCCCTGCCCCCATTTTTTCCCTAAAGTAGAAAGTATTTTTCTTGTGAACTAAATTACTACACAAGAACATGTCTATTGAAAAATAAGCAAGTATCAAAATGTTGTGGGTTGTTTTTTTAAATAAATTTTCTCTTGCTCAGGAAAGACAAGAAAATGTCCAGAAGATTATCTTAGAAGGCACAGAGAGAATGGAAGATCAGGTATATGCAAATTGCATACTGTCAAATGTTTTTCTCACAGCATGTATCTGTATAAGGTTGATGGCTACATTTGTCAAGGCCTTGGAGACATACGAATAAGCCTTTAATGGAGCTTTTATGGAGGTGTACAGAATAAACTGGAGGAAGATTTCCATATCTTAAACCCAAAGAGTTAAATCAGTAAACAAAGGAAAATAGTAATTGCATCTACAAATTAATATTTGCTCCCTTTTTTTTTCTGTTTGCCCAGAATAAATTTTGGATAACTTGTTCATAGTAAAAATAAAAAAAATTGTCTCTGATATGTTCTTTAAGGTACTACTTCTCGAACCTTTCCCTAGAAGTAGCTGTAACAGAAGGAGAGCATATGTACCCCTGAGGTATCTGTCTGGGGTGTAGGCCCAGGTCCACACAATATTTCTTCTAAGTCTTATGTTGTATCGTTAAGACTCATGCAATTTACATTTTATTCCATAACTATTTTAGTATTAAAATTTGTCAGTGATATTTCTTACCCTCTCCTCTAGGAAAATGTGCCATGTTTATCCCTTGGCTTTGAATGCCCCTCAGGAACAGACACTAAGAGTTTGAGAAGCATGGTTACAAGGGTGTGGCTTCCCCTGCGGAAACTAAGTACAGACTATTTCACTGTAAAGCAGAGAAGTTCTTTTGAAGGAGAATCTCCAGTGAAGAAAGAGTTCTTCACTTTTACTTCCATTTCCTCTTGTGGGTGACCCTCAATGCTCCTTGTAAAACTCCAATATTTTAAACATGGCTGTTTTGCCTTTCTTTGCTTCTTTTTAGCATGAATGAGACAGATGATACTTTAAAAAAGTAATTAAAAAAAAAAACTTGTGAAAATACATGGCCATAATACAGAACCCAATACAATGATCTCCTTTACCAAATTGTTATGTTTGTACTTTTGTAGATAGCTTTCCAATTCAGAGACAGTTATTCTGTGTAAAGGTCTGACTTAACAAGAAAAGATTTCCCTTTACCCAAAGAATCCCAGTCCTTATTTGCTGGTCAATAAGCAGGGTCCCCAGGAATGGGGTAACTTTCAGCACCCTCTAACCCACTAGTTATTAGTAGACTAATTAAGTAAACTTATCGCAAGTTGAGGAAACTTAGAACCAACTAAAATTCTGCTTTTACTGGGATTTTGTTTTTTCAAACCAGAAACCTTTACTTAAGTTGACTACTATTAATGAATTTTGGTCTCTCTTTTAAGTGCTCTTCTTAAAAATGTTATCTTACTGCTGAGAAGTTCAAGTTTGGGAAGTACAAGGAGGAATAGAAACTTAAGAGATTTTCTTTTAGAGCCTCTTCTGTATTTAGCCCTGTAGGATTTTTTTTTTTTTTTTTTTTTTTGGTGTTGTTGAGCTTCAGTGAGGCTATTCATTCACTTATACTGATAATGTCTGAGATACTGTGAATGAAATACTATGTATGCTTAAACCTAAGAGGAAATATTTTCCCAAAATTATTCTTCCCGAAAAGGAGGAGTTGCCTTTTGATTGAGTTCTTGCAAATCTCACAACGACTTTATTTTGAACAATACTGTTTGGGGATGATGCATTAGTTTGAAACAACTTCAGTTGTAGCTGTCATCTGATAAAATTGCTTCACAGGGAAGGAAATTTAACACGGATCTAGTCATTATTCTTGTTAGATTGAATGTGTGAATTGTAATTGTAAACAGGCATGATAATTATTACTTTAAAAACTAAAAACAGTGAATAGTTAGTTGTGGAGGTTACTAAAGGATGGTTTTTTTTTAAATAAAACTTTCAGCATTATGCAAATGGGCATATGGCTTAGGATAAAACTTCCAGAAGTAGCATCACATTTAAATTCTCAAGCAACTTAATAATATGGGGCTCTGAAAAACTGGTTAAGGTTACTCCAAAAATGGCCCTGGGTCTGACAAAGATTCTAACTTAAAGATGCTTATGAAGACTTTGAGTAAAATCATTTCATAAAATAAGTGAGGAAAAACAACTAGTATTAAATTCATCTTAAATAATGTATGATTTAAAAAATATGTTTAGCTAAAAATGCATAGTCATTTGACAATTTCATTTATATCTCAAAAAATTTACTTAACCAAGTTGGTCACAAAACTGATGAGACTGGTGGTGGTAGTGAATAAATGAGGGACCATCCATATTTGAGACACTTTACATTTGTGATGTGTTATACTGAATTTTCAGTTTGATTCTATAGACTACAAATTTCAAAATTACAATTTCAAGATGTAATAAGTAGTAATATCTTGAAATAGCTCTAAAGGGAATTTTTCTGTTTTATTGATTCTTAAAATATATGTGCTGATTTTGATTTGCATTTGGGTAGATTATACTTTTATGAGTATGGAGGTTAGGTATTGATTCAAGTTTTCCTTACCTATTTGGTAAGGATTTCAAAGTCTTTTTGTGCTTGGTTTTCCTCATTTTTAAATATGAAATATATTGATGACCTTTAACAAATTTTTTTTATCTCAAATTTTAAAGGAGATCTTTTCTAAAAGAGGCATGATGACTTAATCATTGCATGTAACAGTAAACGATAAACCAATGATTCCATACTCTCTAAAGAATAAAAGTGAGCTTTAGGGCCGGGCATGGTCAGAAATTTGACACCAACCTGGCCAACATGGCGAAACCCCGTCTCTACTAAAAATACAAAAATCAGCCGGGCATGGTGGCGGCACCTATAGTCCCAGCTACTTGGGAGGATGAGACAGGAGAGTCACTTGAACCTGGGAGGAGAGGTTGCAGTGAGCTGAGATCACGCCATTGCACTCCAGCCTGAGCAATGAAAGCAAAACTCCATCTCAAAAAAAAAAAAAGAAAAGAAAGAATAAAAGTGAGCTTTGGATTGCATATAAATCCTTTAGACATGTAGTAGACTTGTTTGATACTGTGTTTGAACAAATTACGAAGTATTTTCATCAAAGAATGTTATTGTTTGATGTTATTTTTATTTTTTATTGCCCAGCTTCTCTCATATTACGTGATTTTCTTCACTTCATGTCACTTTATTGTGCAGGGTCAGAGTATTATTCCAATGCTTACTGGAGAAGTGATTCCTGTAATGGAACTGCTTTCATCTATGAAATCACACAGTGTTCCTGAAGAAATAGATGTAAGTTTAAATGAGAGCAATTATACACTTTATGAGTTTTTTGGGGTTATAGTATTATTATGTATATTATTAATATTCTAATTTTAATAGTAAGGACTTTGTCATACATACTATTCACATACAGTATTAGCCACTTTAGCAAATAAGCACACACAAAATCCTGGATTTTATGGCAAAACAGAGGCATTTTTGATCAGTGATGACAAAATTAAATTCATTTTGTTTATTTCATTACTTTTATAATTCCTAAAAGTGGGAGGATCCCAGCTCTTATAGGAGCAATTAATATTTAATGTAGTGTCTTTTGAAACAAAACTGTGTGCCAAAGTAGTAACCATTAATGGAAGTTTACTTGTAGTCACAAATTTAGTTTCCTTAATCATTTGTTGAGGACGTTTTGAATCACACACTATGAGTGTTAAGAGATACCTTTAGGAAACTATTCTTGTTGTTTTCTGATTTTGTCATTTAGGTTAGTCTCCTGATTCTGACAGCTCAGAAGAGGAAGTTGTTCTTGTAAAAATTGTTTAACCTGCTTGACCAGCTTTCACATTTGTTCTTCTGAAGTTTATGGTAGTGCACAGAGATTGTTTTTTGGGGAGTCTTGATTCTCGGAAATGAAGGCAGTGTGTTATATTGAATCCAGACTTCCGAAAACTTGTATATTAAAAGTGTTATTTCAACACTATGTTACAGCCAGACTAATTTTTTTATTTTTTGATGCATTTTAGATAGCTGATACAGTACTCAATGATGATGATATTGGTGACAGCTGTCATGAAGGCTTTCTTCTCAAGTAAGAATTTTTCTTTTCATAAAAGCTGGATGAAGCAGATACCATCTTATGCTCACCTATGACAAGATTTGGAAGAAAGAAAATAACAGACTGTCTACTTAGATTGTTCTAGGGACATTACGTATTTGAACTGTTGCTTAAATTTGTGTTATTTTTCACTCATTATATTTCTATATATATTTGGTGTTATTCCATTTGCTATTTAAAGAAACCGAGTTTCCATCCCAGACAAGAAATCATGGCCCCTTGCTTGATTCTGGTTTCTTGTTTTACTTCTCATTAAAGCTAACAGAATCCTTTCATATTAAGTTGTACTGTAGATGAACTTAAGTTATTTAGGCGTAGAACAAAATTATTCATATTTATACTGATCTTTTTCCATCCAGCAGTGGAGTTTAGTACTTAAGAGTTTGTGCCCTTAAACCAGACTCCCTGGATTAATGCTGTGTACCCGTGGGCAAGGTGCCTGAATTCTCTATACACCTATTTCCTCATCTGTAAAATGGCAATAATAGTAATAGTACCTAATGTGTAGGGTTGTTATAAGCATTGAGTAAGATAAATAATATAAAGCACTTAGAACAGTGCCTGGAACATAAAAACACTTAATAATAGCTCATAGCTAACATTTCCTATTTACATTTCTTCTAGAAATAGCCAGTATTTGTTGAGTGCCTACATGTTAGTTCCTTTACTAGTTGCTTTACATGTATTATCTTATATTCTGTTTTAAAGTTTCTTCACAGTTACAGATTTTCATGAAATTTTACTTTTAATAAAAGAGAAGTAAAAGTATAAAGTATTCACTTTTATGTTCACAGTCTTTTCCTTTAGGCTCATGATGGAGTATCAGAGGCATGAGTGTGTTTAACCTAAGAGCCTTAATGGCTTGAATCAGAAGCACTTTAGTCCTGTATCTGTTCAGTGTCAGCCTTTCATACATCATTTTAAATCCCATTTGACTTTAAGTAAGTCACTTAATCTCTCTACATGTCAATTTCTTCAGCTATAAAATGATGGTATTTCAATAAATAAATACATTAATTAAATGATATTATACTGACTAATTGGGCTGTTTTAAGGCTCAATAAGAAAATTTCTGTGAAAGGTCTCTAGAAAATGTAGGTTCCTATACAAATAAAAGATAACATTGTGCTTATAGCTTCGGTGTTTATCATATAAAGCTATTCTGAGTTATTTGAAGAGCTCACCTACTTTTTTTTGTTTTTAGTTTGTTAAATTGTTTTATAGGCAATGTTTTTAATCTGTTTTCTTTAACTTACAGTGCCATCAGCTCACACTTGCAAACCTGTGGCTGTTCCGTTGTAGTAGGTAGCAGTGCAGAGAAAGTAAATAAGGTAGTTTATTTTATAATCTAGCAAATGATTTGACTCTTTAAGACTGATGATATATCATGGATTGTCATTTAAATGGTAGGTTGCAATTAAAATGATCTAGTAGTATAAGGAGGCAATGTAATCTCATCAAATTGCTAAGACACCTTGTGGCAACAGTGAGTTTGAAATAAACTGAGTAAGAATCATTTATCAGTTTATTTTGATAGCTCGGAAATACCAGTGTCAGTAGTGTATAAATGGTTTTGAGAATATATTAAAATCAGATATATAAAAAAAATTACTCTTCTATTTCCCAATGTTATCTTTAACAAATCTGAAGATAGTCATGTACTTTTGGTAGTAGTTCCAAAGAAATGTTATTTGTTTATTCATCTTGATTTCATTGTCTTCGCTTTCCTTCTAAATCTGTCCCTTCTAGGGAGCTATTGGGATTAAGTGGTCATTGATTATTATACTTTATTCAGTAATGTTTCTGACCCTTTCCTTCAGTGCTACTTGAGTTAATTAAGGATTAATGAACAGTTACATTTCCAAGCATTAGCTAATAAACTAAAGGATTTTGCACTTTTCTTCACTGACCATTAGTTAGAAAGAGTTCAGAGATAAGTATGTGTATCTTTCAATTTCAGCAAACCTAATTTTTTAAAAAAAGTTTTACATAGGAAATATGTTGGAAATGATACTTTACAAAGATATTCATAATTTTTTTTTGTAATCAGCTACTTTGTATATTTACATGAGCCTTAATTTATATTTCTCATATAACCATTTATGAGAGCTTAGTATACCTGTGTCATTATATTGCATCTACGAACTAGTGACCTTATTCCTTCTGTTACCTCAAACAGGTGGCTTTCCATCTGTGATCTCCAAAGCCTTAGGTTGCACAGAGTGACTGCCGAGCTGCTTTATGAAGGGAGAAAGGCTCCATAGTTGGAGTGTTTTTTTTTTTTTTTTTAAACATTTTTCCCATCCTCCATCCTCTTGAGGGAGAATAGCTTACCTTTTATCTTGTTTTAATTTGAGAAAGAAGTTGCCACCACTCTAGGTTGAAAACCACTCCTTTAACATAATAACTGTGGATATGGTTTGAATTTCAAGATAGTTACATGCCTTTTTATTTTTCCTAATAGAGCTGTAGGTCAAATATTATTAGAATCAGATTTCTAAATCCCACCCAATGACCTGCTTATTTTAAATCAAATTCAATAATTAATTCTCTTCTTTTTGGAGGATCTGGACATTCTTTGATATTTCTTACAACGAATTTCATGTGTAGACCCACTAAACAGAAGCTATAAAAGTTGCATGGTCAAATAAGTCTGAGAAAGTCTGCAGATGATATAATTCACCTGAAGAGTCACAGTATGTAGCCAAATGTTAAAGGTTTTGAGATGCCATACAGTAAATTTACCAAGCATTTTCTAAATTTATTTGACCACAGAATCCCTATTTTAAGCAACAACTGTTACATCCCATGGATTCCAGGTGACTAAAGAATACTTATTTCTTAGGATATGTTTTATTGATAATAACAATTAAAATTTCAGATATCTTTCATAAGCAAATCAGTGGTCTTTTTACTTCATGTTTTAATGCTAAAATATTTTCTTTTATAGATAGTCAGAACATTATGCCTTTTTCTGACTCCAGCAGAGAGAAAATGCTCCAGGTTATGTGAAGCAGAATCATCATTTAAATATGAGTCAGGGCTCTTTGTACAAGGCCTGCTAAAGGTATAGTTTCTAGTTATCACAAGTGAAACCACTTTTCTAAAATCATTTTTGAGACTCTTTATAGACAAATCTTAAATATTAGCATTTAATGTATCTCATATTGACATGCCCAGAGACTGACTTCCTTTACACAGTTCTGCACATAGACTATATGTCTTATGGATTTATAGTTAGTATCATCAGTGAAACACCATAGAATACCCTTTGTGTTCCAGGTGGGTCCCTGTTCCTACATGTCTAGCCTCAGGACTTTTTTTTTTTTAACACATGCTTAAATCAGGTTGCACATCAAAAATAAGATCATTTCTTTTTAACTAAATAGATTTGAATTTTATTGAAAAAAAATTTTAAACATCTTTAAGAAGCTTATAGGATTTAAGCAATTCCTATGTATGTGTACTAAAATATATATATTTCTATATATAATATATATTAGAAAAAAATTGTATTTTTCTTTTATTTGAGTCTACTGTCAAGGAGCAAAACAGAGAAATGTAAATTAGCAATTATTTATAATACTTAAAGGGAAGAAAGTTGTTCACCTTGTTGAATCTATTATTGTTATTTCAATTATAGTCCCAAGACGTGAAGAAATAGCTTTCCTAATGGTTATGTGATTGTCTCATAGTGACTACTTTCTTGAGGATGTAGCCACGGCAAAATGAAATAAAAAAATTTAAAAATTGTTGCAAATACAAGTTATATTAGGCTTTTGTGCATTTTCAATAATGTGCTGCTATGAACTCAGAATGATAGTATTTAAATATAGAAACTAGTTAAAGGAAACGTAGTTTCTATTTGAGTTATACATATCTGTAAATTAGAACTTCTCCTGTTAAAGGCATAATAAAGTGCTTAATACTTTTGTTTCCTCAGCACCCTCTCATTTAATTATATAATTTTAGTTCTGAAAGGGACCTATACCAGATGCCTAGAGGAAATTTCAAAACTATGATCTAATGAAAAAATATTTAATAGTTCTCCATGCAAATACAAATCATATAGTTTTCCAGAAAATACCTTTGACATTATACAAAGATGATTATCACAGCATTATAATAGTAAAAAAATGGAAATAGCCTCTTTCTTCTGTTCTGTTCATAGCACAGTGCCTCATACGCAGTAGGTTATTATTACATGGTAACTGGCTACCCCAACTGATTAGGAAAGAAGTAAATTTGTTTTATAAAAATACATACTCATTGAGGTGCATAGAATAATTAAGAAATTAAAAGACACTTGTAATTTTGAATCCAGTGAATACCCACTGTTAATATTTGGTATATCTCTTTCTAGTCTTTTTTTCCCTTTTGCATGTATTTTCTTTAAGACTCCCACCCCCACTGGATCATCTCTGCATGTTCTAATCTGCTTTTTTCACAGCAGATTCTAAGCCTCTTTGAATATCAACACAAACTTCAACAACTTCATCTATAGATGCCAAATAATAAATTCATTTTTATTTACTTAACCACTTCCTTTGGATGCTTAGGTCATTCTGATGTTTTGCTATTGAAACCAATGCTATACTGAACACTTCTGTCACTAAAACTTTGCACACACTCATGAATAGCTTCTTAGGATAAATTTTTAGAGATGGATTTGCTAAATCAGAGACCATTTTTTAAAATTAAAAAACAATTATTCATATCGTTTGGCATGTAAGACAGTAAATTTTCCTTTTATTTTGACAGGATTCAACTGGAAGCTTTGTGCTGCCTTTCCGGCAAGTCATGTATGCTCCATATCCCACCACACACATAGATGTGGATGTCAATACTGTGAAGCAGATGCCACCCTGTCATGAACATATTTATAATCAGCGTAGATACATGAGATCCGAGCTGACAGCCTTCTGGAGAGCCACTTCAGAAGAAGACATGGCTCAGGATACGATCATCTACACTGACGAAAGCTTTACTCCTGATTTGTACGTAATGCTCTGCCTGCTGGTACTGTAGTCAAGCAATATGAAATTGTGTCTTTTACGAATAAAAACAAAACAGAAGTTGCATTTAAAAAGAAAGAAATATTACCAGCAGAATTATGCTTGAAGAAACATTTAATCAAGCATTTTTTTCTTAAATGTTCTTCTTTTTCCATACAATTGTGTTTACCCTAAAATAGGTAAGATTAACCCTTAAAGTAAATATTTAACTATTTGTTTAATAAATATATATTGAGCTCCTAGGCACTGTTCTAGGTACCGGGCTTAATAGTGGCCAACCAGACAGCCCCAGCCCCAGCCCCTACATTGTGTATAGTCTATTATGTAACAGTTATTGAATGGACTTATTAACAAAACCAAAGAAGTAATTCTAAGTCTTTTTTTTCTTGACATATGAATATAAAATACAGCAAAACTGTTAAAATATATTAATGGAACATTTTTTTACTTTGCATTTTATATTGTTATTCACTTCTTATTTTTTTTTAAAAAAAAAAGCCTGAACAGTAAATTCAAAAGGAAAAGTAATGATAATTAATTGTTGAGCATGGACCCAACTTGAAAAAAAAAATGATGATGATAAATCTATAATCCTAAAACCCTAAGTAAACACTTAAAAGATGTTCTGAAATCAGGAAAAGAATTATAGTATACTTTTGTGTTTCTCTTTTATCAGTTGAAAAAAGGCACAGTAGCTCATGCCTGTAAGAACAGAGCTTTGGGAGTGCAAGGCAGGCGGATCACTTGAGGCCAGGAGTTCCAGACCAGCCTGGGCAACATAGTGAAACCCCATCTCTACAAAAAATAAAAAAGAATTATTGGAATGTGTTTCTGTGTGCCTGTAATCCTAGCTATTCCGAAAGCTGAGGCAGGAGGATCTTTTGAGCCCAGGAGTTTGAGGTTACAGGGAGTTATGATGTGCCAGTGTACTCCAGCCTGGGGAACACCGAGACTCTGTCTTATTTAAAAAAAAAAAAAAAAAAATGCTTGCAATAATGCCTGGCACATAGAAGGTAACAGTAAGTGTTAACTGTAATAACCCAGGTCTAAGTGTGTAAGGCAATAGAAAAATTGGGGCAAATAAGCCTGACCTATGTATCTACAGAATCAGTTTGAGCTTAGGTAACAGACCTGTGGAGCACCAGTAATTACACAGTAAGTGTTAACCAAAAGCATAGAATAGGAATATCTTGTTCAAGGGACCCCCAGCCTTATACATCTCAAGGTGCAGAAAGATGACTTAATATAGGACCCATTTTTTCCTAGTTCTCCAGAGTTTTTATTGGTTCTTGAGAAAGTAGTAGGGGAATGTTTTAGAAAATGAATTGGTCCAACTGAAATTACATGTCAGTAAGTTTTTATATATTGGTAAATTTTAGTAGACATGTAGAAGTTTTCTAATTAATCTGTGCCTTGAAACATTTTCTTTTTTCCTAAAGTGCTTAGTATTTTTTCCGTTTTTTGATTGGTTACTTGGGAGCTTTTTTGAGGAAATTTAGTGAACTGCAGAATGGGTTTGCAACCATTTGGTATTTTTGTTTTGTTTTTTAGAGGATGTATGTGTATTTTAACATTTCTTAATCATTTTTAGCCAGCTATGTTTGTTTTGCTGATTTGACAAACTACAGTTAGACAGCTATTCTCATTTTGCTGATCATGACAAAATAATATCCTGAATTTTTAAATTTTGCATCCAGCTCTAAATTTTCTAAACATAAAATTGTCCAAAAAATAGTATTTTCAGCCACTAGATTGTGTGTTAAGTCTATTGTCACAGAGTCATTTTACTTTTAAGTATATGTTTTTACATGTTAATTATGTTTGTTATTTTTAATTTTAACTTTTTAAAATAATTCCAGTCACTGCCAATACATGAAAAATTGGTCACTGGAATTTTTTTTTTGACTTTTATTTTAGGTTCATGTGTACATGTGCAGGTGTGTTATACAGGTAAATTGCGTGTCATGAGGGTTTGGTGTACAGGTGATTTCATTACCCAGGTAATAAGCATAGTACCCAATAGGTAGTTTTTTGATCCTCACCCTTCTCCCACCCTCAAGTAGGCCCTGGTGTTGCTGTTTCCTTCTTTGTGTCCATGTATACTCAGTGTTTAGCTCCCACTTAGAAGTGAGAACATGCGGTAGTTGGTTTTCTGTTCCTGGATTAGTTCACTTAGGATAATGACCTCTAGCTCCATCTGGTTTTTATGGCTGCATAGTATTCCATGGTGTATATGTATCACATTTTCTTTATCCAGTCTACCATTGATAGGCATTTAGGTTGATTCCCTGTCTTTGTTATCATGAATAGTGCTGTGATGAACATACACATGCATGTGTCTTTATGGTAGAAAAATTTGTATTCCTTTAGGTACATATAGAATAATGGGGTTGCTAGGGTGAATGGTAGTTCTATTTTCAGTTATTTGAGAAATCTTCAAACTGCTTTTCATAATAGCTAAACTAATTTACAGTCCCGCCAGCAGTGTATAAGTGTTCCCTTTTCTCCACAACCTTGCCAACATCTGTGATTTTTTGACTTTTTAATAATAGCCATTCCTAGAGAATTGATTTGCAATTCTCTATTAGTGATATTAAGCATTTTTTCATATGCTTTTTAGCTGTCTGTATATATTCTTCTGAAAAATTTTCATGTCCTTTGCCCAGTTTGTAGTGGGGTGGGTTGTTTTTTGCTTGTTAATTAGTTTTAAGTTCCTTCCAGATTCTGCATATCCCTTTGTTGGATACATGGTTTGCAGATATTTTTCTCCCATTGTGTAGGTTGTCTTTTACTCTGTTGATAGTTTCTTTTGCCATGCAGGAGCTCGTTAGGTCCCATTTGTGTTTGTTTTTGTTGCAGTTGCTTTTGGCGTCTTCATCATAAAATCTGTGCCAGGGCCTATGTCCAGAATGGTATTTCCTAGGTTGTCTTCCAGGGTTTTTACAATTTTAGATTTTACGTTTATGTCTTTAATCCATCTTGAGTTGATTTTTGTATATGGCACAAGGAAGGGGTCCAGTTTCACTCCAATTCCTATGGCTAGCAATTATCCCAGCACCATTTATTGAATACGGAGTCCTTTCCCCATTGCTTGTTTTTTGTCAACTTTGTTGAAGATCAGATGGTTGTAAGTGTGTGGCTTTATTTCTTGGCTCTCTATTCTCCATTGGTCTATGTGTCTGTTTTTATAACAGTACCCTGCTGTTCAGGTTCCTATAGCCTTTTAGTATAAAATCGGCTAATGTGATGCCTCCAGCTTTGTTCTTTTTGCTTAGGATTGCTTTGGCTATTTGGGCTCCTTTTTGGGTCCATATTAATTTTAAAACAGTTTTTTCTGGTTTTGTGAAGGATATCATTGGTAGTTTATAGGAATAGCATTGAATCTGTAGATTGCTTTGGGCAGTATGGCCATTTTAACAATATTAATTCTTCCTATCTATGAATATGGAATGTTTTTCCATGTGTTTGTGTCATCTCTTTATACCTGATGTATAAAGAAAAGCTGGTATTATTCCTACTCAATCTGTTCCAAAAAATTGAGGAGGAGGAACTCTTCCCTAATGAGGCCAGCATCATTCTGATACCAAAACCTGGCAGAGACACAACAGAAAAAAGAAAACTTCAGGCCAATATCCTTGATGAATATAGATGCAAAAATCCTCAACAAAATACTAGCAAACCAAATCCAGCAGCACATCAAAAAGCTGATCTACTTTGATCAAGTAGGCTTTATCCCTGGGATGCAAGGTTGGTTCAACATACACAAATCAATAAGTGTGATTCATCACATAAACAGAGCTAAAAACAAAAACCACAAGATTATCTCAATAGGTAGAGAAAAGGTTGTCAATAAAATTTAACATCCTCCATGTTAAAAACCTTCAGTAGGTCAGGTGTAGTGACTCACACCTGTAATCCCAGCACTTTGGGAGGCCAAGGCGGGCATATCTCTTAAGCCCAGGAGTTCAAGACGAGCCTAGGCAGCATGGTGAAACCCCATCTCTACAAAAAAAAAAAAAAAAAAAAATTAGCTTGGTATGGTGACATGCACCTATAGTCCCAGCTATTCAGGAGGTTGAGGTGGGAGGATTGTTTGAGCCCGGGAGGCAGAGGTTGGCAGCGAGCTGAGATCATGCCACCGCACTCCAGCCTGGGCAACGGAGTGAGACCCTGTCTCAAAAAAGAAAAATCACAAACAATCCTAAACAAACTAGGCATTGAAGGAACATGCCTCAAAAAAATAAGAACCATCTATGACAGACCCATAGCCAATATCTTACCAAATGGGCAAAAGCTGGAAGTATTCTCCTTGAGAACCGTAACAAGACAAGGATGTCCACTCTCACCACTCCTTTTCAGCATAGTTCTGGAAGTCCTAGCCAGAGCAATCAGGAAAGAGAAAGAAAGAAAGACATTCAGATAGGAAGAGAAGAAGTCAAACTATTTCTGTTTGCAGGCAGTATAATTCTGTACCTAGAAAATCTCATAGTCTCTGCCCAGAAACTCCTAAATCTGTTAAAAATTTCAGCAAAGTTTTGGCATTCTCTATACTCCAACACCTTCCAAAGTGAGAGCAAAATCAAGAACACAGTCCCATTCACAATAGCCGCAAAACGAATAAAATACCTAGGAATCCAGCTAACCAGGGAGGTGAAAGATCTCTATGAGAATTACAAAACACTGCTGAAAGAAATCAGAGATGACACAAACAAATGGAAATGTTCTTTTTTAACACCTTGCTTTATCTAATTCACTTATGATGAAGATACTCATTCAGTGGAACAGGTATAATAAGTCCACTCGATTAAATATAAGCCTTATTCTCTTTCCAGAGCCCAAGAAGGGGCACTATCAGTGCCCAGTCAATAATGACGAAATGCTAATATTTTTCCCCTTTACGGTTTCTTTCTTCTGTAGTGTGGTACACTCGTTTCTTAAGATAAGGAAACTTGAACTACCTTCCTGTTTGCTTCTACACATACCCATTCTCTTTTTTTGCCACTCTGGTCAGGTATAGGATGATCCCTACCACTTTCAGTTAAAAACTCCTCCTCTTACTAAATGTTCTCTTACCCTCTGGCCTGAGTAGAACCTAGGGAAAATGGAAGAGAAAAAGATGAAAGGGAGGTGGGGCCTGGGAAGGGAATAAGTAGTCCTGTTTGTTTGTGTGTTTGCTTTAGCACCTGCTATATCCTAGGTGCTGTGTTAGGCACACATTATTTTAAGTGGCCATTATATTACTACTACTCACTCTGGTCGTTGCCAAGGTAGGTAGTACTTTCTTGGATAGTTGGTTCATGTTACTTACAGATGGTGGGCTTGTTGAGGCAAACCCAGTGGATAATCATCGGAGTGTGTTCTCTAATCTCACTCAAATTTTTCTTCACATTTTTTGGTTTGTTTTGGTTTTTGATGGTAGTGGCTTATTTTTGTTGCTGGTTTGTTTTTTGTTTTTTTTTGAGATGGCAAGAATTGGTAGTTTTATTTATTAATTGCCTAAGGGTCTCTACTTTTTTTAAAAGATGAGAGTAGTAAAATAGATTGATAGATACATACATACCCTTACTGGGGACTGCTTATATTCTTTAGAGAAAAAATTACATATTAGCCTGACAAACACCAGTAAAATGTAAATATATCCTTGAGTAAATAAATGAATGTATATTTTGTGTCTCCAAATATATATATCTATATTCTTACAAATGTGTTTATATGTAATATCAATTTATAAGAACTTAAAATGTTGGCTCAAGTGAGGGATTGTGGAAGGTAGCATTATATGGCCATTTCAACATTTGAACTTTTTTCTTTTCTTCATTTTCTTCTTTTCTTCAGGAATATTTTTCAAGATGTCTTACACAGAGACACTCTAGTGAAAGCCTTCCTGGATCAGGTAAATGTTGAACTTGAGATTGTCAGAGTGAATGATATGACATGTTTTCTTTTTTAATATATCCTACAATGCCTGTTCTATATATTTATATTCCCCTGGATCATGCCCCAGAGTTCTGCTCAGCAATTGCAGTTAAGTTAGTTACACTACAGTTCTCAGAAGAGTCTGTGAGGGCATGTCAAGTGCATCATTACATTGGTTGCCTCTTGTCCTAGATTTATGCTTCGGGAATTCAGACCTTTGTTTACAATATAATAAATATTATTGCTATCTTTTAAAGATATAATAATAAGATATAAAGTTGACCACAACTACTGTTTTTTGAAACATAGAATTCCTGGTTTACATGTATCAAAGTGAAATCTGACTTAGCTTTTACAGATATAATATATACATATATATATCCTGCAATGCTTGTACTATATATGTAGTACAAGTATATATATATGTTTGTGTGTGTATATATATATAGTACGAGCATATATACATATTACCAGCATTGTAGGATATATATATGTTTATATATTAAAAAAAAGTTATAAACTTAAAACCCTATTATGTTATGTAGAGTATATGTTATATATGATATGTAAAATATATAACATATACTCTATGATAGAGTGTAATATATTTTTTATATATATTTTAACATTTATAAAATGATAGAATTAAGAATTGAGTCCTAATCTGTTTTATTAGGTGCTTTTTGTAGTGTCTGGTCTTTCTAAAGTGTCTAAATGATTTTTCCTTTTGACTTATTAATGGGGAAGAGCCTGTATATTAACAATTAAGAGTGCAGCATTCCATACGTCAAACAACAAACATTTTAATTCAAGCATTAACCTATAACAAGTAAGTTTTTTTTTTTTTTTTGAGAAAGGGAGGTTGTTTATTTGCCTGAAATGACTCAAAAATATTTTTGAAACATAGTGTACTTATTTAAATAACATCTTTATTGTTTCATTCTTTTAAAAAATATCTACTTAATTACACAGTTGAAGGAAATCGTAGATTATATGGAACTTATTTCTTAATATATTACAGTTTGTTATAATAACATTCTGGGGATCAGGCCAGGAAACTGTGTCATAGATAAAGCTTTGAAATAATGAGATCCTTATGTTTACTAGAAATTTTGGATTGAGATCTATGAGGTCTGTGACATATTGCGAAGTTCAAGGAAAATTCGTAGGCCTGGAATTTCATGCTTCTCAAGCTGACATAAAATCCCTCCCACTCTCCACCTCATCATATGCACACATTCTACTCCTACCCACCCACTCCACCCCCTGCAAAAGTACAGGTATATGAATGTCTCAAAACCATAGGCTCATCTTCTAGGAGCTTCAATGTTATTTGAAGATTTGGGCAGAAAAAATTAAGTAATACGAAATAACTTATGTATGAGTTTTAAAAGTGAAGTAAACATGGATGTATTCTGAAGTAGAATGCAAAATTTGAATGCATTTTTAAAGATAAATTAGAAAACTTCTAAAAACTGTCAGATTGTCTGGGCCTGGTGGCTTATGCCTGTAATCCCAGCACTTTGGGAGTCCGAGGTGGGTGGATCACAAGGTCAGGAGATCGAGACCATCCTGCCAACATGGTGAAACCCCGTCTCTACTAAGTATACAAAAATTAGCTGGGCGTGGCAGCGTGTGCCTGTAATCCCAGCTACCTGGGAGGCTGAGGCAGGAGAATCGCTTGAACCCAGGAGGTGTAGGTTGCAGTGAGTCAAGATCGCGCCACTGCACTTTAGCCTGGTGACAGAGCTAGACTCCGTCTCAAAAAAAAAAAAAAATATCAGATTGTTCCTACACCTAGTGCTTCTATACCACACTCCTGTTAGGGGGCATCAGTGGAAATGGTTAAGGAGATGTTTAGTGTGTATTGTCTGCCAAGCACTGTCAACACTGTCATAGAAACTTCTGTACGAGTAGAATGTGAGCAAATTATGTGTTGAAATGGTTCCTCTCCCTGCAGGTCTTTCAGCTGAAACCTGGCTTATCTCTCAGAAGTACTTTCCTTGCACAGTTTCTACTTGTCCTTCACAGAAAAGCCTTGACACTAATAAAATATATAGAAGACGATACGTGAGTAAAACTCCTACACGGAAGAAAAACCTTTGTACATTGTTTTTTTGTTTTGTTTCCTTTGTACATTTTCTATATCATAATTTTTGCGCTTCTTTTTTTTTTTTTTTTTTTTTTTTTTCCATTATTTTTAGGCAGAAGGGAAAAAAGCCCTTTAAATCTCTTCGGAACCTGAAGATAGACCTTGATTTAACAGCAGAGGGCGATCTTAACATAATAATGGCTCTGGCTGAGAAAATTAAACCAGGCCTACACTCTTTTATCTTTGGAAGACCTTTCTACACTAGTGTGCAAGAACGAGATGTTCTAATGACTTTTTAAATGTGTAACTTAATAAGCCTATTCCATCACAATCATGATCGCTGGTAAAGTAGCTCAGTGGTGTGGGGAAACGTTCCCCTGGATCATACTCCAGAATTCTGCTCTCAGCAATTGCAGTTAAGTAAGTTACACTACAGTTCTCACAAGAGCCTGTGAGGGGATGTCAGGTGCATCATTACATTGGGTGTCTCTTTTCCTAGATTTATGCTTTTGGGATACAGACCTATGTTTACAATATAATAAATATTATTGCTATCTTTTAAAGATATAATAATAGGATGTAAACTTGACCACAACTACTGTTTTTTTGAAATACATGATTCATGGTTTACATGTGTCAAGGTGAAATCTGAGTTGGCTTTTACAGATAGTTGACTTTCTATCTTTTGGCATTCTTTGGTGTGTAGAATTACTGTAATACTTCTGCAATCAACTGAAAACTAGAGCCTTTAAATGATTTCAATTCCACAGAAAGAAAGTGAGCTTGAACATAGGATGAGCTTTAGAAAGAAAATTGATCAAGCAGATGTTTAATTGGAATTGATTATTAGATCCTACTTTGTGGATTTAGTCCCTGGGATTCAGTCTGTAGAAATGTCTAATAGTTCTCTATAGTCCTTGTTCCTGGTGAACCACAGTTAGGGTGTTTTGTTTATTTTATTGTTCTTGCTATTGTTGATATTCTATGTAGTTGAGCTCTGTAAAAGGAAATTGTATTTTATGTTTTAGTAATTGTTGCCAACTTTTTAAATTAATTTTCATTATTTTTGAGCCAAATTGAAATGTGCACCTCCTGTGCCTTTTTTCTCCTTAGAAAATCTAATTACTTGGAACAAGTTCAGATTTCACTGGTCAGTCATTTTCATCTTGTTTTCTTCTTGCTAAGTCTTACCATGTACCTGCTTTGGCAATCATTGCAACTCTGAGATTATAAAATGCCTTAGAGAATATACTAACTAATAAGATCTTTTTTTCAGAAACAGAAAATAGTTCCTTGAGTACTTCCTTCTTGCATTTCTGCCTATGTTTTTGAAGTTGTTGCTGTTTGCCTGCAATAGGCTATAAGGAATAGCAGGAGAAATTTTACTGAAGTGCTGTTTTCCTAGGTGCTACTTTGGCAGAGCTAAGTTATCTTTTGTTTTCTTAATGCGTTTGGACCATTTTGCTGGCTATAAAATAACTGATTAATATAATTCTAACACAATGTTGACATTGTAGTTACACAAACACAAATAAATATTTTATTTAAAATTCTGGAAGTAATATAAAAGGGAAAATATATTTATAAGAAAGGGATAAAGGTAATAGAGCCCTTCTGCCCCCCACCCACCAAATTTACACAACAAAATGACATGTTCGAATGTGAAAGGTCATAATAGCTTTCCCATCATGAATCAGAAAGATGTGGACAGCTTGATGTTTTAGACAACCACTGAACTAGATGACTGTTGTACTGTAGCTCAGTCATTTAAAAAATATATAAATACTACCTTGTAGTGTCCCATACTGTGTTTTTTACATGGTAGATTCTTATTTAAGTGCTAACTGGTTATTTTCTTTGGCTGGTTTATTGTACTGTTATACAGAATGTAAGTTGTACAGTGAAATAAGTTATTAAAGCATGTGTAAACATTGTTATATATCTTTTCTCCTAAATGGAGAATTTTGAATAAAATATATTTGAAATTTTGCCTCTTTCAGTTGTTCATTCAGAAAAAAATACTATGATATTTGAAGACTGATCAGCTTCTGTTCAGCTGACAGTCATGCTGGATCTAAACTTTTTTTAAAATTAATTTTGTCTTTTCAAAGAAAAAATATTTAAAGAAGCTTTATAATATAATCTTATGTTAAAAAAACTTTCTGCTTAACTCTCTGGATTTCATTTTGATTTTTCAAATTATATATTAATATTTCAAATGTAAAATACTATTTAGATAAATTGTTTTTAAACATTCTTATTATTATAATATTAATATAACCTAAACTGAAGTTATTCATCCCAGGTATCTAATACATGTATCCAAAGTAAAAATCCAAGGAATCTGAACACTTTCATCTGCAAAGCTAGGAATAGGTTTGACATTTTCACTCCAAGAAAAAGTTTTTTTTTGAAAATAGAATAGTTGGGATGAGAGGTTTCTTTAAAAGAAGACTAACTGATCACATTACTATGATTCTCAAAGAAGAAACCAAAACTTCATATAATACTATAAAGTAAATATAAAATAGTTCCTTCTATAGTATATTTCTATAATGCTACAGTTTAAACAGATCACTCTTATATAATACTATTTTGATTTTGATGTAGAATTGCACAAATTGATATTTCTCCTATGATCTGCAGGGTATAGCTTAAAGTAACAAAAACAGTCAACCACCTCCATTTAACACACAGTAACACTATGGGACTAGTTTTATTACTTCCATTTTACAAATGAGGAAACTAAAGCTTAAAGATGTGTAATACACCGCCCAAGGTCACACAGCTGGTAAAGGTGGATTTCATCCCAGACAGTTACAGTCATTGCCATGGGCACAGCTCCTAACTTAGTAACTCCATGTAACTGGTACTCAGTGTAGCTGAATTGAAAGGAGAGTAAGGAAGCAGGTTTTACAGGTCTACTTGCACTATTCAGAGCCCGAGTGTGAATCCCTGCTGTGCTGCTTGGAGAAGTTACTTAACCTATGCAAGGTTCATTTTGTAAATATTGGAAATGGAGTGATAATACGTACTTCACCAGAGGATTTAATGAGACCTTATACGATCCTTAGTTCAGTACCTGACTAGTGCTTCATAAATGCTTTTTCATCCAATCTGACAATCTCCAGCTTGTAATTGGGGCATTTAGAACATTTAATATGATTATTGGCATGGTAGGTTAAAGCTGTCATCTTGCTGTTTTCTATTTGTTCTTTTTGTTTTCTCCTTACTTTTGGATTTTTTTATTCTACTATGTCTTTTCTATTGTCTTATTAACTATACTCTTTGATTTATTTTAGTGGTTGTTTTAGGGTTATACCTCTTTCTAATTTACCAGTTTATAACCAGTTTATATACTACTTGACATATAGCTTAAGAAACTTACTGTTGTTGTCTTTTTGCTGTTATGGTCTTAACGTTTTTATTTCTACAAACATTATAAACTCCACACTTTATTGTTTTTTAATTTTACTTATACAGTCAATTATCTTTTAAAGATATTTAAATATAAACATTCAAAACACCCCAATTAAAAGTCAGAGATTGTTAATACCACATGATCTCACTTACACACAGAATTGAAAAACTTGGAACTCATAGAAGCAGAGAGTAAAAACATGGTTACCAGGTGCTGGGGAGAGGCGGTGGGCTGGGGAGATGTTGGTCAAAGTTAGACAGGAGGAATAAGTTCAAGAGATCTATTGTACAACTTATTCAGTTAGATAGGAGGAATAAGCTAAAGATCAAGAGATCTATTGTACAATGTGACTATAACCAACAACATATATTGTACACTTGAAAATTGCTAACAGTATCTTTTAAGTGTTCTCTCTACAAATAAATATGTGAGGTAATGTATATATTAATTAACTGTAGTCATTTCACAATGTATACTTATTTCAAAACATCATATTGTATGCTATAAATATATACAACTTTTATTTTTCAATTTTAGAAATGTCCTTAAAAAATCAGATTTTCAGATCAGATAAAAAAGCAAGACCCAACTATATGCTGCCAACAGGAAACACACCTTAAAAATAAAGGACGAACAAACAGATTAAAAGTAAAAGGATGGAGAAAAGATACATCATATTGGTAATTAGAAGAAAACTGGAGTGACAATATGAAACAAAATAGATTTCAGAGCAAAGAATATTACCAGGGGTAAAAATGATCATTTTATAATGATAAAAGAGTCAGTTCAGCAAAAGGATATAACAGTCCTAAATGTTTTTTCACCTCATAGCTGTGTCAAAATAGATGAAGCAAAAACTGATAGAACTGTAAGAAGTAGACAAGTCCACAATTATGTTTGGAGATTTTTTTTTTTTTTTTTTTTGTCGCCCAGGCTGGAGTGCAGTGGCAGGATCTCAGCTCACTGCAAGCTCCGCCTCCCAGGTTCACGCCATTCTCCTGCTTCAGCCTCCCCAGTAGCTGGGACTACAGGCGGCCACCACCACGCCTGGCTAATTTTTTTGTATTTTTAGTAGAGACGGGGTTTCACCGTGTTAGCCAGGATGGTCTCGATCTCCTGACCTCGTGATCTGCCTGCCTCGGCCTCCCAAAGTGCTGGGATTACAGGCATGAGCCACTGCACGCAGCCTGGAGATTTTAATATCCTTTCAATGTTTAGTAGAACAAGAATACACAAAATCAGTAAGGATATAGAAGATTAGAACAAGACTATCAAACAATTTGACTTAAATGACATTTGTAGAGCACAGCAGTCCCCAACAACAATAAATCACACATTCTTTCCAAGAGTACATGAAACATGTACCAAGATAGACCGTATTTTGAGCCATGAAACAAATCTTGATAAATTTAAAAGGATTCAAGTCATAGAAAATATGTTCTCTGACCACAATGGAATTAAATTATTAACCAATAACAAATATCTGGGAAAACCTCAAAAACTTGGACACCAGCGCTTTTAAAAGACTAAATAATTTCTAAATTATCTGTGTTGGGGGGAAAAGAGAAATGGATTAGAGAGCAAAAAGGGTATCAGAGTGCTGTGGTACGATTTTTATGAAGAGTGGAACAGAATCTGCCTTTGGCGTTTCCCCACTACAGCCCATTCTTCACATTGATAACAGCATGATCCTTCTAAAATTAAATCTAACGATCACTTCTGCTTAATGGCTCTCCAACACTTACAGAATTAGGTCCAAAATTCTAGCACAGTTTCTGTTCATCTTTCTAACCTTTCTTCCCACAGGTCTAGCTAGTACGTATTTCTTTTATTGCATTTATTACACTATTCCTTTGCTTATCTATCTCCCCACCTAGGCTAAAGAACAAGATTCTTGTCTTTTTCATTTTTGTGTCTCAGTGCCTAGCATGGTGCCAGGCACACAGCATGCTTCCAGTAAATGTTAGCTGGATGGATGTAATGAGTATATTAAATATTAATTTATTTGTTTTTCCCCAAAAAGAATTATTTCCTGCAAATCAAGGAAATTGCTTTCTTTATATAATCAAAAACTTATTTTCCCAGAAGATTCTTCATTAAAAATTAAGCCTATGCACAACCTAGCTCTAAAGTTTCAAAGATTTTAGGCAGCAATTTTTCAATCTTTTTGAAGTAATACATTTGAATCTTTTCAAATTTCTGTTTCTGCATTTGTGCCACACCATCTCATCTCTTGCTGAAATGTTTTTGTTAAATTAATTGCTTGATAAATTGCTAAGTACTTTTCATCAGACCAATTAGGACAATAGTAAGTATCCATCTGTGGAGCGCGGACATTCAAGAAATCTGATCCAGTATTTAGAAAGTCATTCCTGAGCTGAGTTGGCTCAAACTGGCACCTTCTGGCATTTGCTTGTGGGTGGGGAATGTGGAATGCTTTGAAAGCTGAATGAGTTTGTCAAGTTTTAAAATTCCCTTATGGCTAAAGGAAAACAACATTCATTGTTTAAAAACACCATTGTTTGTTTTTTCTGCTTTTTTGTTCTTTGGAGCCTGAATCTGCAAAAACACTCACACCCAGCATTTTGCTTCATGTACCACTCCTAAGATGTTTTTAGAGACTTGAATAGTGTCTCCGCACTACTTTTTATTGTGATTGTTCAGAATGTTCATAACAAATGGTAAAAAGTCAGTTTTAGTGCTCAAATTGAGTTTTATGGAGAAAGACCATAATTTATGTTTGTCATTGTAAATTGATAGGAGAATTTTTGGAAGTTTGCGTCCTAGAACCAGATTTCCAAGGCTCAGATCCTTATTTTCTCACTTCCTAGCTGTGTGACCTTAGACAAGGTATTAAACCTGTCTGTGCTGCCTCAGTGTCCTCATCTATTCTTTAAGAGTAAGAATAGAACCTACCCGATAGAGTCACTTGAAGATTAAGTGGGTTAGTAAATTCAGAATGCTTGGAACAGTAACTAGCACAGAATAAGTGTCCAATAAAATTGGGTTGCAGCTATTATCAGTATTATTCCTGTCATAATCATCATCACCATTAAGCAATTAAATGTAGAGTTCCAAAATTTGATTATGAAACTACAGTTATACAGCCATGATTCCCGGTGATACCACGTCAGTAACAAGATTATTTCCTTAGCTTGAGCCAGTCACTACCTCATTGCATGTGGCAGAGTGTGTTGCCGTAGGCAAATGTCATTGTAGGGAATGAAAAAAAAATTGCCTGTGAGCTGCTCTCCAGAGGCCTCATCCCATTTTCCCATCGTCCACTTTACTCCATCTCCACTGCCACTATTAGGACCTTATCATTTCTTGTCTAGATTAATTCAACAGCTTCCTTCCTTCTAGTCTCCATGATTTCACCCACTAGCCATCCCCTCCCCTTTGCCCAATTTTCTCCATTTATGGTAGAGTGATCTTTCTAATAGGAAACTCCTGACTTGCCTTAAAAAGCCCTCATTGAGGCCGGACGTGGTGGCTCATGCCTGTAATCCCAGCACTTTGGGAGGCCGAGGCAGGTGGATCACGAGGTCAAGAGATTGAGACCATCGTGACTAACACAGTGAAACCCCATCTGTACTAAAAATACAAGAAATTAGCCAGGCGTGGTGGCGGGTGCCTGTAGTCGCAGCTACTTGGGAGGCTGAGGCAGGAGAATGGCGTGAACCCGGGAGGCAGAGCTTGCAGTGAGCCGAGATTGCGCCACTGCACTCCAGCCTGGGCGACAGAGTGAGACTCCGTCTCAAAAAAAAAAAGCCCTCATTGACAACCTTCAACCCACAATCCATGGTGAAGCACAGGAGCCTTGGGGATCTGCCCCCAGCACACCTCTCCACCCTTGTCTCTCACTGCTCCTGCCTTCATGGAGAGCCCTGATGAACTATTTGTAGTTTCCCCTGACTCACCTTGCTGTTACTGGGCCTGTGTGCGTGTTGCTCCCACTACCTGCAATACGCTTACCCACTTCACCTGGGTGAACTTTACTTAGGATTCACCTTAGGTGGGCATCATGTTCTTCCAGGCCCCTCCTCTAACTTTTAGTTGAGAGTATTCCAGACTTAAGGCTCCATGGGATAGGGATCTTGTCTATGCACCAGCTTATTCCCAACTGCCTGGCACGTAATGCATTTATTAAATATATATTGAATTGATTACCCTACTTGGGGCTCTTGTTTGCTTCTACACTTACAGTTCTAGCATAGCACTTAACTCATTATCATGCATCATTATTATGGGTTTGTTTTGTCTCCCATTAGACTGTGAGCTCCACAAGGCTGTGTCCTTGTCTTATACATCATTGTATTTCCAGCTTCCAACATAGTGCTTGCCATGACACAGGAAGTCAGTAAGCTCTGAATGAATGAATAGTATCTACATACCATTAATCTGAGGTTTAAAGTTTCCCCAAATTCTGAAGCAAGGGGATTTACGGACTTCCCTGACAATTTTTGGATGTCATCCCAATGATACCACTAACATTTTAAGGGACAGCTTGCATATATACATTTTTCTGGATGGCAGTTTTTTTTCCCACAGGCTTCATCAGATATTTCTCCATAGCCTTCCTCAGATTCTCAAAGGGGTCTCTGATTCCCCCAAAAGATAAGAAACTGTCATAAAAAATTATTTCTAAATATCAATTGTTAAATAAAATGTTTGCAAAGCAGCCTGATGAATCATTTCAGGCCACTTGACCCCGATGAGTTAGAGAGTTTGTGCTCTGCAATCTGACTGCTTCCAGCAGTCTCACTGCTGCTGGACTGTGGCACTTCCAATTGGCAGCAGGGCAAGTTTCTTCTGGATGAATATTCTGTCATAGGGGTCCCCCTTCCACACATACCTGTAGGAGCAGTTTGAAACTCATATGCATGGTCTTCCTGGTTCTAGGCACATGAGTCATTTAAGCTGCTGGAGCCAGGACCAGCTAGTATGCTAGCCCGGCATTCAGAAAGTTAAAATTTGGGGTCAAAACTGAGAACCTTCTTTGATCCACCTTGGCCAGACATTTTCTCTGGCTTCCATTAATAGCCTCAACATTTTTTTTTTTTCTGGCCTAGACCCACACAGGCAAGAGACCAGAGCTTCTCTAAGGAGCTAAGGGAAAGCACATTTTAAAAATAACTTGAGCAAATGAATTCATCTGGCAAAAGCAACCCCACTACGTAAAATAAACCTTTTTAGTTTCGCAATAGCAGTTCCTGAAAATGTAAACAACCTCAGGGTCTACATGCACTGAATCATTTGCTGAACAGAAAGTCCCTGGTCCAAATTCTGCAAGAATAAACACCTTACAAAACTAGGGGTCAATGACCTTCATATGGGAACAAGGAGGGTGTGGGGGGCAGCAACCCACCCTGAGGACAATGAGAAAGTCTTGAGACTTGATATTCAAAATGCTGGCTTTCTAAACCAAAAACTGGCATGAGTGGAGGGAGAAGGGGAGGGTGGGCACAGTCTATGCCTCAGGCTCTTGCTCAGACCCTACCAGGCCCCTGCCTTCCCTAGGGAAAGCGAGAGTCTACTCACTGTCATGAAGCCAGAGGAAGGCCCTGCAGGTTTCACTGTGTGTTCTGTTGACAAGATGATGGTTCCATTGAAACTGTAATAACATACTTGGCCAACTAAGCCCATACGATCGTAGTAACTTTGTACCCAGTCCTAGCTTTTCAAACATAATGATAATATGTTCTTTCTAATGTGGCCCATACTGTTCTAATGAACTTATGCTGAGTTTTTCTGAGTACTAGAATAATATTCGCCATAAATAATAGATATAATTATTCTCATTTAATATTTGCGTAGCTCTTCTTTAAAGCAGAAAGTATTTTCTCATTCCTTACTAGAACCTTTCTGTGTGAGGAGCACTGAGCTAGAACCCATATCTTAGAATGGTCAGAATTTGGAGAAATTCAGGGAAAAGGCACTGGACTCATTTTTAAAGACTAGAAAATGCAACCTCCAGAAAAAGATTCAAGAGTTTTTTACTCCCAGAGATGTAGGAAAGATTGGAGTAAATCTTAATATTATATTTCAGGTAAACAAAGGATCACTGTCAAAATAGCAGCATTTATTGAGTAATGGCTGTGTGCCAGGTACTTTACAGTTTCACATTTAACCCTCATAATAACCTTGTAAAGTGGATATCCCCTCAGTACATGATGAGAACACTGAAGCTTAGGTTAAATGATTGTCCAAATCGGACAATCATTTTCAAAATCTCCCCCTTTTTTTCTCCTTTCTTATCTGCAAGGCAGATTGCCCTTTCCCTTTCAGTGAAACTTGTGCATGACCACATGACTCTCTTTGGCCAATGAAACATGAACAAGCAGCGTTTATCACTTTCAGATGGAAGGCTTTGCATGAGCTTTGCCTCCTTTTCACTCTGCCACAGTGGCCACTAACATTCCAGATAGTGGCGCTCTGCAGGCTAGGTCCTATAGTGGGAGCTATGGGCAGAGCCCCCTTTCCCACCCCCATCAAGATGTGCATGCTGCATAAGCCATGCATTAATCTTTGCAGTTTTAAGCCACTAAGTTTTGGAGTTATATTAATCATTAATCATGGTTCTCAAGAGAAACAGAGTGGGGGAGTGGTATTCATTATGGGAATTGGCTTACATGATTATGGAAGCTGAGTAGTCCCCCAGTCTGCTGTTTTTGAGCTGGAGAACTAGAGGAGCCAGTGGTATAATTCAGCCCAAGCCTGAAGGCCTGAGAAATGGGATGGGGGAATTGGGAGGGTGGGTGTGCTAGGGTAGGATAAGTCCTGAAGTTCAAAGGCCAGCCAGAAGGTGGATGTTTCAGCACCAGAAGAGAGAGCAAATTCGCTTTTCTTCTGCCTTTTTGTCCTCTCTGGGCCCTCAATGGATTGGATGATGCCCTCCCACATTGGTAAGGGTGGATCTTCTATACTCAGTCTGCTAATTTCTTCCAGAAACATCTTCACAGACACATCCAGAAATAATGTTTTACCAGCTATCTCGGTATCCCTTAGCCTAGTCCATATTTAAAAATTAATGATCACAAGCAGTTGTTTGTTTCCACAGCAAAACCTGGGTGACAGACCAAGTGACCCAGATGACTAGAATTTGACCTTCTTTTGTTGCCCACACCATACTCTGAACTAACATGCTGTGCTGCCTTCCAAGTGGAGAATGATGGCTAAGTATCTTCTACCTAATTTGAGTCACAGAAAAAAAAAAAAAAGGTTATTAACTGCAGTGACAAGAATTGTGATTCCCCAGGGGGCAGATCAAGACTGATAGATAAGAGAAGTGAGGAACATCTGGGGAATGTCCATTGAAAATTTACTCAGAAGAGAAGAATAATTAATATAATAATATGATATATTGAATTATAATAAATAATATTTTGATGTATTTCCTTCCAGGCATGTTTAAGTTATAGACTTTGAGTATATTTTCTCAAAGGGGGTTCTATGTAAGAGACTATTTCTTAATATAGTTCCTAGCTTGGAATTGCTCTTGCTGGTTTAAGCTGAGCTTATTTTATTACAGACTTCACAACAATAACGTTTTCCTTCACTAGTCAGTACACAAGATGGTCTTCATTTCCAGTTTGGAATCCCACACTATCAGAGCCTGAGACAAGGACTAGTATGCAGTTAGTTTGTTTGGGAGGTGATTCCAGGAAGTGGGAATGAGAGATCAGTCAGCCTGCAACACGAAGGAGGAAAAGTCAATATAAGGATGAATTTGGCAATTGGCCGTTTCATGCAACTGGGGCTAAATTTTGCTTGGCTCTCTAAGAAATGTAAAGAATGCCTCCCGTAATTGCTCACCTCAAGTATTTATTCATTGGCTCTCATGCTCCATTGGTTGTCCATGAGAACTTTAGCCCTCCCTCGCTGCAGCACAGACACTGTGCTTTCTCCTAGGCTGAGCAAGCTCCTGCATCTGTGGAAACCGTCCCGGGGCAGATAGTGAAATAATGACTGCTGCGTGCTTGAGATCTGGGAAAGAGGCCACATCATAAGTGCACTGAAATCAGAGATGTGTCAAGAGATGTGACACAGGGCATCTGAGGTGTCTACTGCACCAGCTATAACTCCCTAAACGCTAATCTCAGTTCTTACAGAGGGGATGGATGCAAGGGAACAGTCATGATTGAGAGCACCGAAGAAGCTCTGTATGAACCTTAGGCAAGTTTCCTAATCTCCAAAATGAAGGTAATAATACCCACCATCCAAGATCTTCGGGAGGAATAGATGAACTAATGTATGTGAAAATGTCCAGCACAGGTCCTAACCCATAGTAGGTGCTCACCAAATGTTAGTTCCCTGCCCTCCACGTTGTGTGTATCCGGAGCTGCACTAGATGCTGAGGCAAATGGTCTCAAATGTACTTTAACACTTAATGACTGAGATTTTTTCTGAGCTGCCTACAGGTTATTGACTATATTCATTATTAATAATAATATATATGGCCACTTCAGGCAACTGGGGCTAAATTTTGCTTGGCTCTCTAAGAAATGTAAAGAATGCCTCCTGTAATTGCTCACCTCAAGTATTTATTCATTGGCTCTCGTGCTTTATTGGTTGTCCCTGAGGACTTTAGCCCTCTCTCACTGCAGCACAGACACTGTGCTTTCTCCTAGTTTCTGTGGCAAGTGACAGGAGCCCACCTCAAACTAAAGCAAAAGGGACTTCATTGGCTCTTGTAGCTAGGAATTCCAGGGTTGGCACTGGCTTTGGGCACTACTGGATGCAGGAATTCAAACAATGTCTTCAACTCTTTCTTTTGGTGTTTCTCTCAGCTGTGCTTCTCTTGTCGTTTCTTTTTCCCATTTTACAGATAAGTTCATCCGTAACTGAGAGAGGTGAAAAGGGGATGGCTGCAGAGAACTCTGGCTTATATCATCCTTGCTTGCTGACCTCAAGGTCCATGTATAAATTCTCAGAGAAGAAGCCCTCTGGTTGGTGATGCTTGGAACATGCCCTGGAGGGTGGGCCCCTTGAAGTGGAGCTTGCTGGAACCACATGGGCTGGAGCAAGGCGCTAGGGCCAGAAGAGAGAGGTAGGCAGGGCTGCTGGCCAGGCACTCTTCACCAAGACAAGGCAAGAGGAGGGGCATGATTGAGGCAGTGATACAGAAAGCAGACAGTAGAGGTCGTGGCAAGTGTGCCGTTACTTGCTACCTGTGGTTGATGGGAGAGTCACACCACATTTAGGAGGAGAGAATCCATTTGCCACTTCTGACAATGCCACAAGAATCACATATTTCATCCAGAGGTTGAATTTGGCCCATGCTGAGCTTTAAAATACAGAGCTGTCTTGGAACAATGGCTCAGTACATTCATTTGGTGTCCAACAAAGCCTGCCTCTGTTGCCTTCCCTCTCTCTGTGTGCCCTTCAAGATCTTCATTGTGCTTTGGGGAGAGAAAGAGAAAATGTCATATCAGGGTAGCTCACCCCATGTGTCCTGGACTCAGGAAAAGAGTATCTTATCACCTTACTCTTTTGTTATTATAAAAAATAAAGTTGAACGTCTTCAAATAAAATAAAGAAGTATAGAAAAAATTTTAAATTAACCTGTTATGATTCTACCTAGAGAACCATTGTCAACATCTTGGTATATGTACTTCCAGATACTTTCCTATGAATATATACATTGTAGATTTTTTAATATTAAAAGGCTATCATGCTGCTTTGTATACAGGCTTTCTTTACTGATATGTAATATAATACACAGACAAATATACAAATCCTAAGCCATCAACTCATTGAATTTTTATTCATTGTTTTTAATACCTGCATTGTGTTCCATTGTTAGGCTATGTCACAACATATTTAATTAAGCCCCTATTGATGAATATTAATTTACTCTATTTGCCAGTTCATTCCAGTCCAACATTTATTGAGTGTCTACTTACGGGCCAGGCACTCTTGTATTCATCAAGATCACCACATTATCTGTATCAGTTATTTATTGCCACAATAAAACTGCATAACAAATCACTCCAAAATGTAGCACCTTAAAACTACAACTACTTATTATTTCTCAAGAGTCAATGGGTCAGCTGAGCAGTTCTGCCGATAGGGGTCAAGGTCAACACATTTCAACTAGACTACTTGTAAAAAAGAATGAGTGTCTGGGTAGGTGTGTTCTTCTAAAAATAAAACAAGGAATGAGGAAATTGCAGGTAGGATAAGAGGGGTGGTTGGCAACCAAACCCCACAAAAGGCAGACAAATTTTAAGGAAACATAATGCCAGACTCCTATGTCATCATCCAAGTAGATGCAGTGAAGTATAACCTGGGGCGTAGTAGGGTAGGAGTGGGGAGAGCAGAGGAGAAGGAAGGGAGATTGCTTTTCATCACTTTTGGATTCCCTAATAACAGACATGACTGCCAGTATTAAAATTTAACAAAGGATATCTGATCATTAATTTTCCTGTATAAGTCACTGGTGATCTTCAACATCTCTCCCTCCCTTCCTCCCTTCCTTCCTCCCACCCTCCCTTCCTTCCTTCTTTCCTCTTTTGCTTTCAACTTCCTTTTCTCGTTTCCTTTTGCTTTCTTTCTCTTCTCCCTTTTTTCTGTCACTCTGGGCGTATGTAGTAGTGTAAAAAGGTTGACAGAGAAATCAAATATAACAGGAGCAGGGCCCTGAGAAAAGCACCTGGCATCCTGTAGGCAAACCATTGTTTCTAAAAGAAGGGACTGAGAGATTGAGGAGCTCAGGACATTGCCAAATGAACAAGGCAAGCACATTTATTCAGTACCAAACAAACGGAAAACGGCCTTTCCAAATAACTGACCTATAAAACAGCCTTTTCACAAGAGTACCGTAATTACTGGCCAACAGCAACAATGAAAAACAACTCCCAAACAAAGAAATATTTCTGGATTAAAAGCCATGAGATCTGGATTCTAACAAGCTGTGCTCCTCAAACTACAAGTACAAAATCTGGCTCTAAACTAACAAGCTATGAGCCTCAAACTGATGACTGGCATGTTTGGGTCTCCATCTCCTTCTTGGGGGTTGGGGTCTTAGAGACCCTTTTCCACGCCCTGATTCTCTTACTAGTGTGTATGCTTTCCTTTTGACTTCTCATGCTGACCGTCTGAGCAGGAGTGAGAAGCAATTTCAAAGGAAAACATCGTTTATCATCTGCTGAAAGAAACCAAAAAGAACACAGGAAAACAAAAAGACAAGGAAAGGGAATGAAAATGTAATTCATTTTATTAAAAAGAAGAATTATTCTTCTGGGACACTGGATAGAAACCTTAATGAGTTACCTAGCTATCATAAATCCTCTAACAGAGAAGAGAAGAGAAAGAAACAAAGACGGAAGAGGGCAGGATAAAAGAAAGAAAAAAGGAAGGGAAAAATGAAGGAAGGAAGTTATCTATTCATTTCTACAGAGACTCTGCTGAGCAGTAGACAAGAAGACTTGGGAAAAATTTAACTGAAACTTTTCCAAAAATCTTTTCAGAGGGATTTTTTCCCTCTGAAAAGCATCATTAGAGGCTGTTCAATACCCAAGGCAAGCCTCTTTCATATTACTTACTGTACATGAAACACTCATGCAATTGAGGCTAGCCAGAGGCCATTTAGAAATTCAATAATTATTCAACCCAAGGGGCTTTCCAAATGGTGAAGTAGCTTCTTAAGAGGAAATTAATATTGAGCAGTATAGCAAACCTAATTGGAATCTTGAGAAAATAGTTCTGTGTCGTTAGAACAGCTAGAGGCTAAAGAAGATCAGGTTGGATGATACCTTCATTTTTGTCTCTTTCCTTAATTATGATGTAAAGGGAAAAATCTTGTTTATTTTCTATGCCAGGAGGGTAGAGGGTGATTTGGAGAGGTTCCAAGTTTATCAAAATCTACCTTCAGTCTGGCAGTAGAAAAGTTTACTTCCTTCATTTCTTTCCTATAGACATTCAAAGAGAGCTAAGGAGATCCAAAAACCTTTTTTTCTATATTTGCAATGCAAGGCAGTTGGGAATTAATGACTGATTTGTTGGTGAGGGCAGTGGGCATTGATCACAAAAGCAGTAAAGCTGTGTTTCTCAAAGAGAGAAAGTCTCTTTGAGATCTTCATTATTTTACTATTTAGAAGAGAAAGGGGCGTTATATCACGTTGGAAGCATCCATGAGTCACTAGTCTCTTCTCTATCTTTCTATGCCTTTCTGTATTAATTACTTTGAAAGCACAACATTCCAAACCCATTGAGCACACAGTGGTCTGATTTCTCCACTTGTGAAAGGTGCTAAAGTCTCACTGTAGGATTAATTTGGGGGTCCAGGCTATGGGCTTGTAGATATGACTACCTTAGACTTTGGTTCTCCTGGCAACTAACCCTTTTTGGATCGTATCTAAGTTGACCTGTTTCACAGTGAGAGAACTCCTCTCCATTACTCAGAATACTGAGGCAGATCACAAGTGTACCACACCTGGCTAATGTTAAGCCAGACAGAAACATCAGGCTCATCTCTTGAGAAGAAGGGTCGCTTATTAAGGATACAAACTATTTTTTTTTTTTTTTTTTGAGACAGGGTCTCATTGCCCAGGTTAGAGTGCAGTGGTGCAATCATAGCTCACTGCAGCCTCAACCACATGGGTATTTTTAAATAAGAAAAAAATACCATCTGATAGATATGAAGGAGCATTGGGTCACTATAAACAAAACAGATTCTAAGAGCAGGAAGAAAGAGTACAGTCTCTTTTCAATAATTTTTTTTTAAACTTGGGAAAGAACACTCACTCTATTCCTATAGACCAGAAAGCAGATAATTGTCCATTATGATTCCACATGACACTATCTTGTTCAGCTGTCACTGAAACAACTTTGAACACTGTCATATGTTCTTCCCAGCTCCTGAACTCTGACCTTTTTATGCCTTAGTTCCACTTTCACAAAAAGGGATTGATGTAATGTGCATTTCAGAGGAAACGACTATAGACATTTAGTGTCATTATAAATGTTGAGAAGTATGCTGGCAGAAATTATGCCTTAAGATCATATATGGATTCTTGTATGGTTTGAAATTGCTTAAAAGATATATATGATCTCTAAAATGTGTGTGTATATATATATGATGTCTTCTTATATATCTATATGTGATATATTTATATATATATAAATCTGTGTATATCACATATATAAATTTGCTGTTATTTGAATTGCCATTACCTCAGTGCTTAGGGGAAGCCATGCACGTTTGTTTCTTTTCAGTACCCAGAGTTAATTAACATAAGTTATCACAGAAGCTCCCATAAGCATTGAGACAATTTCTCTATACCTGTGACTATTTAAGGTTTTGAAAACAAAACAGAAGCAGGTAAGGAGGAAGTACGCTTTACTATTGAAGATTTATTAGGTACACATTTAGATTTGTGAACTCACATTGCTTAGGATGAAAGGGACTCTTGAGGATGTCTGCTGTTTGTTAGTGAACTGCCTGTAACAATTACAATTAGCACACACATGAGCACAATGAACTGGGTAGTCAGACTCAGCCAAAATGAATAGAAATAGCCTCTTACCAAATTTACTTTGAGTAGCCCTTGGACTCTGAGCACTGCTGCCCAGAGCAATATGACTGTAGGTCCAAGTTTGTCAATGACTATGCAAATGTGCTTTCTTCGCTTTTACTCTATTGTCATCTGTCTATTACAATGTTGCTATGGTGACACCTTTCCAATATCCCTGTGCTTCTTTGGTATCCTCTAAGGGGAAGCTGTAATGAAGTGGCTTGGCAAAAGAATCCTCTTGGAATTTTTTTTTTTTCATATGCTACTGAAAACCAGCATGATTTTCCTCTTATGGGAAATGTATAAAGTATGAGTTGGAAATGATGGAAATTAATCTGTACTGACTTGGGCAAGGAATGTGAATGTTATTCATTCTGTTCCAAACTACCTGAAAATATTCTCTTTCTGTTCCTACTTTCCAGGAGATAACATCTTAAGGGACACTGAAGCTTGTGCGTGTGTGAGTAGAACACGTGCTGGGGGCTCTTGAGCTCATGAGGGAGGGGCTACATGTCGGTGGGGTGATAACTGTATGCTGGAAACAATGATAGGTGGTGACCCTGGAGCACTTACCATGTGACAGGTGTTATGCTAAGCATGTTGTATGCATTCCTTCATTGAATGACAGCTACCTATATTATCCTCATTTTATAAGATGAGGTAACAGAGCTTCAGAAAGGTTAGACTCAGCTGCTATGGGTCTGTCTGACTCTGGTGTTCTTCCTCTTAAAAACTGGGGCACTTTGGAAATGAGATTCCTCGGTGATGAACAGAAATATTGCTTAGCGGCTGTATTTTTGTATCTGGCAGTTTTCCCATATTTGAGTCTTATATTCACAATCGGTATCTTTACATTACACAAAAGTGACACAGAATTAGAGTCATTTAATCCAGGGTTGATATCATTAAGTCATGACTATTTATTAAATGTTTCTTACAATATCTGAGATGATATTGCAAAAGATGTAAGTGATTTTAGAAGTTCTCACTTCGTAGTTAGTTGCAGAAACCTCTTTTGGAGGAGGGATGTTTTCTCTATATATCCTAATTTCTACTTAATATATTTCCACACCTCTTTGAAGTGTGTAGTAAGAATGGTAAAATGCAGTACTTCGTCATTTGGTACAGTTCAATCAATATGCATTAAGATGTGATCATATGGGTAATAGAAAAATGTGAAAGATCCAATTCTTTTTCTCCAGAAGGCAGGAAGCTCATATTTGATTTCTGTTACTATAAACTATAAAAACGTTTCAAATGTAGTTTACCCGTAACCATCACCCTGCAAGGGTGATATTGCTCCCCGCCAATTTACGGAGGAGAATACTGAGGCTTTAAGGTTGTAGATAGACCAAGACCACACAAGTAGAGAGTGGCGGGCTGTGGGTTGAGCTTTAAAATCCAGGTTCATCCATGACTCCCAGTGTGTTCTAGTAAATCCACTAGAATCTGAGTATTTTCCAATGATTTATGCTCCGCTCTGTGTCAGGCAGTTCATGGTATTTTTCAACAATCAGAAAATCCTGGGGAAGGCAAACTGTTTCCCCCTCTCTAGGTGCCTTGGAAGTGGCCGTTGTGGACCCAGAGATCATCCTTTCTGATCTGACACCTTCTTCACTGCCCTGGCCCAGTGTCTTTTCTGCAAGGCTGGAAGCCCCCTTAGACTGGTCATGTCCCATCTCTTTCCGGAGGGAAGATGATCCCAAAGACGACTTTTCTCTCCACGGTGCTGCCATACCGCAGGCGGCCGCCAGGGGTCCCCGCTCGGCGTCCCCGCGAGACAGTCGAGCCCCGGCCGGCTGCGCGGCGCGCTGGGTGCATGAGGGGGCTGCTCCGGAGCGACGGCGGCTGCAGCTGGAGCCAGGCGCTCGCCCGTCCGCCGGTTGGCTCGCCGGGACCTCGCGCACCGGCGGCAGAGTCCCTTGCGTGGATTGGCAAGCGACGCCCCACCTGCCCCGAGCTCACCATTTTCTTTCGCGCTGGCTGCAGCTGACCCGGCGAAGGGAGCCGACCGGGCCCTGGGCTGGAGGTAAAACCCCACGGTGAGTAAGAACCCGCTCCAAGCTAGGGGAGGCGGCGCAGCCCGGTGGCTGCTCGCTCCCGATCTCGCCCGGGCGGGCGGCGAGGTTTGGGGCGCACCTGGGCGCGGGTGCAAGAAGGTGCGGGAGGCGGCGGACCGGTCTTCTGCCCGCCGGCCACGGGCTTCCGGGGCTGGAGTCCTCTTCAGACCCCTGCCGGCGCCTGGGTTTCTGGCCGGCTCCTCGTGTGCACTTCCCGGCAGGAACAAGGGTCGCCCACTTTCCACCCCGGGATCTTGATTTGTCCTTGATTTGAAAAGATATAAATCAATAAGATCGTCCTTCTTTCGGGGTGCAAGACTCCGAGCCCATCCCCAGCCGCGGACGCCTGCAGGGTGCGTGTTGGGCTGTGGGTGGCGGGAAGACAAACTTTTACAAAAGTGCGCCTGGGCTGGGGGACAACGCTTGGGCGTCCTGATCCTGAGGGAGGAGTCTCGGCTTGGGGCAGCGTAGGGGAAGTCCGCACCGTCAGCCAGGTCGCCCCCGGGGCTGACGATGCCTCACGGAGGTGGGGAGCGTGTAAAGGCCGTACAAATCGCGCTTAACTTTGGGGCCAACAACTGTCAAACATCTGGAATCCCAGCCCCTCCCTTTCCCTGAACTGGGGAAGAAGGTGAAAACCCTTCAAGTTTTCTTTGATTGCCCCTTCCCACCTTCAGACCCCTGCTGGGAGGGTAAAGCGCCGACCCCTGGTGCCTGGCAAGTACCAGAGACTCTAAATCTCTCGGGATCCCCCCCCTCGCGCTCTTTCCTGACCCTCTCCCCTAACCCTCCCCACAGAGATCTCTCTACGCAGCCGACTGAGATCGTGGCGAATGGCCTTTTGTTTCTCCGCGTTTCCCCTATTGTTTGCCTTTCCAACATCTGGCGGGGCTTGGGGAGAGAAGGAAGCCCCTCTGGTCCCCCTCCCCGGCCCCCACGCCAGCTCCGGCAGGGGATCCCAGCTGGGAAAGTGGAGGAGCCCGACCCCAGCGAGGCCGCCCCACCCCGCCCTTGTGGTTAGAGGGCGGAGGGAAAGTTGTTCCTTCCCCGCCTCCGCTGCTGCCTGTGGCCCAGGGCGCATTTCTCAGATCTCAGCCCAGGCGCGCCGCAAAGGCTCAAATCCGAGAAGGTGCTGCTTTCGAGACAGTGGAAGCGCGTTCCGCCCCAATCCAGAGCGTCCAGTGGTTGGTTCCAGAGGATTTCAATCTCTAGCCAAAGGCGTTGGGGCTGGGCCGCTGCTAGGGCAGTGGGAGGGGATCGGGGCACCTTTGGTAGGCGGAAAGCTGAGATTCTGGGGTCCACAAGTTTCCAAGGGCGGGAGGGCAGGCTAGTCGCCAAAAAGAGAACGAAGATGCAAATAACGAGGAAGCCTTATGACGTTGCCTGGAAATAGTAGTGTGGTGGTTCACTCCGGAATGAACGTGGAGTTCTGGCTTTGAGTACCGCTCCAAGTTTAAATCCCAAGTCCCCTTTCTTCATTGTAGAAAAAGAGGACTCAGACGACGCAACACAGATACGGCTAGAGCACAGTTCCTGCTTCCACGTCCCAGAGAACAAGTGGCTTAGGATGGTCCCGAGTTCCCCTGTGGGTGCGCTTGTTGGGTTGCAGGCGGCCCTGTTTCCCTGCACAAGTCAGATGCTTACACATTGTGTTCATTCTTAGTGTGGATTATTGATTAAAGAACTGGGGCAAAAGCAAAGTAGCTACTCTGAGAAGTCAGGGTCCCCAGATGGTGCCCAGCGAGTTGTCTTGCCTCTGAGGGGAGGCTGACTGAGACTGTGCACCTGTTAGAACCTATGCTACCCCATAGCCTTGCAGTTGACTTGCTGTTGCCAGCTTTTCCTGTGGGATCCCCAATGAGTCCCTCTTCCAAGGAAGCTCAATTACACTTTTGATTCCTCCTCAACCCAGGGGAAGAAAGAGGCTTCTGTAGGAACATTATGATCTATGTACCCACTCAGACATTGTCAGTGGATACCAGAAGCTTGGCTCTGCACAGCTCTGAGAGTTTTCCCTTTGCGAACTCAACAGAACTTTTGAGTTTCCATTTAACATAAAAGAAGTGAGACTGCTAAGCCAGGAATGCGACACATAGAGCACTTTCTCTAGTGATTTCTGGGTATTATATCTCTTTACCTTCCCAACGGTGGAACCAGGAAAAGAAAAAAAAGCAACATCTTTGAAGTACTGCAAGGCACTTTACAAACATTTCATTATGAAAATGATCCCCAAGGAAGGATTCCTTTGAAATTTAGCAGCAGCAACCCAGAAGCAACAAAAAAGACCAAAGTTACTCAAGAAGTACCCAAAGGCATCATTAACAAAATAAAAGAGCATTTCTTGTCTTGGCCTACCCCGCTAAGGAAAACAGGGTAATTATAGTGGAAGTTAAGCTTGTACAGTTTCTTTTAGAATTAAAAATCTTCCCAAAAAAATCACTATAGGAAAAAATAGAAAATATCGAATGGTGAAAATGAATGTAAAAGGGGGAGATATCATAAACCTATTTCCTTGGAATAAATTTCGGAAGACGTGATACCTAGGTCACAGGGGCTGATGCGTTCTTTAGGATATTGAAGATTGCCATATTTCCCTGTAGAAAACATGTCCCAGTTTACTTTCCTCCCAGTAATGCACAAAGGCTCCTATACCTTACACTCCACTCACATTTTATATTGTCATTCTTTTTCTTTTCTGTCATACTGATGGGAGTATCTTGTCATCTTATTTTGCATTTAAAAATCAAGTTAGATTAAACATTTTTCACATTGTCTGTAGTATTTCTTCCTTTGTGATGATGTCAGTTTGTGCCCTTGCCTTTTTTCCAGTGGAGATGTTATCCTTTTTCTTTTGATTAGATGTGATCTTTAAAAAAGCATACTGTTCTGACTTCTACCCCTGCCACACATTCAGAAAATGTATATTAACTGAAAGCTCAGCTCGGCTTTCTCAGCCATTCTCTTTCCTCCAGGATAGCAAACACTTGGCAGGACTGCAACCATAAATGACTAAAGTAATTGACCTCATTCCAGTAAAGTTATTAGAGAGAACAGGCAAAGACTTTATTAGAGAAAGTCATGAAAAATAGCAAGTATATATTTTATGCTCAGTAGCTTGCATGTCCTAACTCCTTTACAAGCTTGTAGTACTATTTTTAATCTGGAACAACTCTGCTGATAGTTATTTTTACTAAATGGTTTGCACTAACTCATTTTATTGTCTGATCCTTCTGCTGATAGCCTGCATATACCATGATCCACAATTTGTTCTTGTTCTTTTAAACATCTCTTCTAACTTCTTGGCTGAAATTTGCCTCACTTTTATCATAAGACTTTCTTTGGCTATAACATTTGGGCCCTGCGCTTGGAATAATCTTGAATCTGAACAGTTTGGCAGCATGCTGTTAGTGGCATGAGCAGGAAATGGCTTCCAAGGGCAGAACCAGGTACATTTCAGATATATTTCACCCTTTTTTGGTGCATTTGCGTAGCCACAATCTCTGTTAATTCTTGCTTGAAGGTAGATGATTCTGAAATGGGGTAGATAGAGGTGCGAGAGGAAGAGAAAATCCATGTCAGCTAGGTGGTGAATTAATATAGATGAAGGGCCGTGCTAGAAAAGTAAATAATCTAGGTAGTCTGGCTGCAAAGTAACTTTTAAAAAGATAAAAGATATTAAAGTATTATGTATTATTGGAATAGCTAGTTAAATTAACTCACAGAATGTAGTCTTCTAACTAGGAAAATCTAATGTAAAATTGTTCCATATTATGACTCTGGACATTTTATTTCAGGCACATGAAAAACAGTAAAAGACAGATTCTGTACCATACTTTTCCACAGCATTTTCCATGCCTTTAGATGTAGGAATCAAACAATATACATCAGGAATGAAGAGTGTGCTACATTAGAATCACAGACTCTCAAAGGTTAAATGAAAGCTTAATGGTCGTCTAATTCAACCATCCATCCAATTTCACTATGGATCTTCACTCTTAAAGTAATGAAATACTATTCCACAAGCATCAATTCAAACAAACCAAGCTGAGAAGGAAATGGGCCAGAAATGTCAACCTTTTTCCCCCCGAGCAGGAGGGGGAAAATGCAAGAGTATTGACTCTAGGGAGCATGTATAAGCTCTTTTAATGTGCTGAATTTTCATAGGATAAGCAACCTTGGCAGCAAAACAGTTAAGTCATTGAAATGTTACCATTTTGCAACATTCTCTGCTCCCTATCCTCTAGCCATTGTCTTGGTGAAGTCCACAGGTGGTATATATAGCAAAGCTCTTTCAAAATGGCCACAGAAAAGAGCAAGAGAGAATAGAAGAAGACGGAGAGGGAATCTTATTCCTTTAAAAATGTCTTAAAGACTTTCTAAGGAGACTCTTGGTCACCCTGAGGATGGTTGGCATTACCTCTCCTTAGAGAGGTGAGTGTCCCTGATGTTCCGAGGCTACCAGTCCAACTGAGGACAGGCTTACAGGACAGCACAACAATCCTTAAAAAGAAGTTGGAGGAGGAGAAGGAGAAAGAGATTTCGGAGGGAAAAGGAATTTTAATTCCAAAAATATACCTTATTTCCTCCTGAATAGAGCTGTAAATTTGTAAAAGTAATACAAACATCTTCTGATTTCCACTCGGACAATCTCCCAGGCACAGTCACTGTATTTCTTTTCTTTCAGGAAATTGTCTATCCTGTGGAAATATCTCCTCAGTTCCAGGCTGCTCAGCTGGGGGACCCTGGCTTCTGAGGGTTTCATCTCATTCTCTTTCATTTCTTTCATGTCTTCATTTTCATTCTTGTCTTCCTCCAAGCATTGGTTCAGGTACTCTGCTTGCTGATCAAGTCCTATTTGGATTTGTTTGAGGTGTCTCTCTTTCCAATATTTGAAGGTGTGTTGGCTGAAGATGTTGAAGGCCTGTAGGGACATTTCATAGAAGGCCTTCTTGATGTCCCTCTTCATAGGTTGGGTGTATTGCAGAAACTCTTGGGGCAACTCAAAAGCTATGTTTTCTCGTAGACATTCTACAGGAAATGAATTGCTCATACTACTCAGATGTCTCAGATTTTGCCAGGTGACTCTTCTCAGGTGAACGTTCAGTAAGTTACAGTCCAGGGATAGGGTGCCAGCAATGAATATACCCATAAGGATCTCAAGCCACAAACACTTTTGAATCATATCAGGTTTGGTGCTCATTTTTTTTGCAAGCTAAAAAATCCAGAAGATGTGTATATGACAATGATGTTTTGAGTTTTCCTTCATGTGCCTTTATATACCTGAATATCTTCAGCAGGAGGAGTTTTCTCATTCGTCATTTCACAGTTAACCAAGGTTGCGGCCCCTTTCCTTTGCCTCTGAGGCTTTTTTTTTTTTTTTTTTTTTACTTCGGGTGACTATGCCGACTTTGGAAGTGATAACTTTTTTTTTTCCCTGAAAAATGAGCAAAGAATTACCATCGTGTTACCTTAAATGCCTGGATGATCCATCCCAGCACTAAGGAATCATCATAACAAGACTGATGCAGGGTATTTCAGAAAGCCAAAAGCTGTGAGTCCATGCACTCACTCACTCACTCACTCACCCAAATCTATTACATAAGAGGGAGTGATCCTTCATGAAAATATATTTTTTGTACCTGGTGCTATAGCCAAACATCCTGTCTCATTGAGTTAATCATAGACATTGACCAAATGACTGTGATTATTTGATTGCTAGGTCACCAGAGCACAGTATAGTTTAGGTTTTTCCAATTTTGTTAAATTAAGCTTCTATATTTGGATATTTTCTCTTTTTGATTTTTCTGGATCTCCAAAAAGATGAAGAATAGAGCTGGCACTTACTAAGTAGGAGACTAAGTTGGCTTGGTTTTCTGTTGCATTAGAAAATGTTGATAATCTCTAAATATCCTTTTCTTCAGTTAAATCCATCCTGGACTTAGCCTTCCATATGCCTCTGATACCTTTCTTAAAAGTCCTGGAGGGGGTTTTATATTTGAGAATATCTTTCTGCCTCATTAACTTCTCTCTTGTAGTATCATTTTCTTTTCTTTTCTTTTCTTTTTTTTTTTTGGTGCAGTTTAGGCAGTATTTTTAAACTTTTGCTTGATTGCTTGATTATTATATCTTCTTGCCTGGTGGTTCTGGATTCTGTAAAGGCTTTTGTTTGCTCCTGTGTTTGTTGTGCACTGAGGAGGTATGTGAGTAGGAAGTCACCCATTTAGCTAAGTGAATTCCTAGCTGGACCAATGTTACTGTGGTAATGATGGCTATCTATTGTTTATGGTTTTTACTTTGTTTGACCAAATAACCTTCCTCTGATTATGGTTAAAGCAAATGGATTCTTTTCTCCAGGAAAATAAAATGGATTGTCATTTTAAAAAGGTAGCTTATTATATCTTCTCAAGAAAAAAAAGATATACATTAATTTGCAATTAAGTCATTGTAAAATGGTAAATAGCCACAGTTCCACAAACATGGCAGACTTTGATTGAAAAGTTGGCTTAAAAAGTTCTTGTCTAAATCAGTTGACTGCACCAAAGGCTAATTGTGGGTAAGTGGGATTTCTTAAAATCCTGGCTTTTAGGAAAGGTTTCTTACGGAAAAAAATATATATATATATATTATTCTATTTGTTCCATCTACATAAATTCTTATTTCATGGGCAGATTTCTTGGGCTGACCAAATTTGGAAAACATTAAGAAAACAAGCCCTTTTATATAGCGTTATAAATTGACACAACCTTCCTAGAGAGGAAAGTGGTGATATGGATCAAAAGCCTTAAAAATGTACATAATATTTGACTCAGCGATTGATCCTCTAGGAACTGATTCCCCAGAAATAATGATGATGCCCTTAAAGACTTAGCTGTAAGGAAGTTTGTCACAGCAAAAAATGGAAAACAATTTTAATGTTCAGCAATAAATACTTAGTTAAGTAAGCCATCAGTAGAAAACATATATGTAAGCACTAAAAATTATGTGTGGGAATATATTTGGTCACTTGGATAGATACACTTTGTAGTTTAAAAAACAAGCTTATATTTGCATATAGAGGCTGATACCACTTTTGTTAAATATAGACATATGCATATATATATATATATATATATATATGAAAAAATGTCTTGATATATATGCAAAAATTTTGAGTCACTATCTCTAACTGGAAGAATAATGGGTGGTTTTTATTTTTATATTTTTATTTACCTGGATTTTTTAAGTTTTCTGTGGTGAGCAAGTATTTCTTTTTCTTTCTTTCTTTCTTTTCTTTTTTTTTTTTTTTTTTTTTTTTGTGAGACGGGGTCTTGCTCTGTCTCCAGGCTGGAGTGCAGTGGCGCGATCTCGGCTCACTGCAACCTCCGCCTCCCGGGTTCAAGCGATTCTCCTGCCTCAGCCTCACAAGTAGCTGGGATTACAGGCACGCGTCACCATGTCTCGTTAATTTTTTTGTATTTTAGTAGAGACAGGGTTTCACCATGTTGGCGACGACGGTCTCGATCTCCTGACCTCATGATCCGACCGCCTCGGCCTCCCAAAGTGCTGGGATTACAGGCGTGAGCCACTGTACCTGGCCAAGTATTTCTTATTTAATAAGAGAAGGCTGTTTTTAAAAGAAGATACATTAAAAAAGGAAAAATTATTATACATCTGAAATGGGATCAATACTATTTTATTTGTTTAAACATTTCTACTCTAGAGTATTTTGAAAGAAAATGTGGATTCTCCCTAAGGCTCAGTTCCAATCAGTTGATATGAATAACACACAGTATGTGGGAATATACTATTCTTGCAGCCATGTTTATACATGTATATATACTTATAATTACACACACACACACACACACATTCTATAAAGTGCAAAGCCTCTCTGAGGGCCATGGCTTTTTACATACCTCATATAACTTCTCTACCTAAAACTTCTTGAACTGTTCCAATTAGAACTGCTTGTTCCCCATTTTGCTTTTACGATGCCTTGGCCTCCTTAACCATGGGTTTTAAAAAACAGATAATTGTATAAGTGTTGGTCTCCCAATTTAGTGCATTCCCCTCTTCCCTGAAATTGCCCGTGGTGCTTAGTATACTTTTCACTAGTTTGAGACAGTTCAATGATACTAACCAAGCTAAAAGATTGTTCAGTTCTGCTCATAGGTGTTGGAGATGGCTGCACATTTGGCTATTGTCATTCGTCTTGAAGTTGCCTGTATTTTCAGCCATGCACAGTTTTGTCATCTTTAGCCCTCTCACCCCAAATTTCCTCCCTTTACTATAATTCCATATTATATTCTCATTTATCTAAAAATGTACTTTTGTGTTTATGACATTTCCGTCACTGGCCTAGGTCCTGAAGAAGGAGGAATAAGTTGTAGTGCATGATCTCGAGGAGGCTGTGGTTGAAGAAGCAGGCATGTTCTGAGTGTTTTAGGCAGGAGGAGTAATTCTTAGGGTTCCCCAAGAGCAAGGACTCCATTCCCCATGTTCTGTAAACGTTAATAGATGCTGATATTGACAATATTCATGACAAAGAAGGAAAGATGGTTGGCATACACATCTGTCCTTCTCCCACCATTAGGATTGCCTGTCTTAGCAGATAAAAATATAGAACACTCATGCAATATTTGGGACATACCTACTAAAAAGTCATTCATTGTTTTTCTGAAATTCAGATTTAACTGGGTGTCTTTATTTTATCTGACAACCCTATCCACCATGCAAGCTCCCACTGACCTCTCACAGCAGAGCTCAGACGTGACATCCCCTGCAGAGAGCCATTCCTCTGCTACTCTTCCTCCTCCTGCAGAGTTACATTTGATTGCATTTCTCTATGCTGGCTTTACATGTGCACATACCCGTAACAAGTGTACATGGCAAAGAGGTCACCTGTCATACTAAAACAAAATAATACTGACACACACAAACATACACACACTTGTACACTCACATATAATCACTCTGATTAGAAGCATTATTGAATGATCAGTCACTGGTCATACCTCTGTTCTGTAAAGCCAGAGGTATTGAATGTATCTCAAAAATATAATCAGAAAATTGAAAACAATGACAGTGTAAGGAAACATTTTGACTCCTAAATTCGTCTGGCATAACTGCTGAGTTTGTCATCAGTAGGCTATGCACTGACATGCTAACATGGTTTCCATGATATCTGTTCTTATTTCCCTGGCATGGCTTGAGATCGTTTATACATGTTCAGGCTTTCCTCAGAGGGAGGGCTGGTTAGCAGGGGCTGCTCTGTTGTTTATGGAATTGTGTGGTGTCTATGTGGATTATGAGATTAACTGTAATGGACAAGGCAGAATTTGGCAAAATGGAGATGAGACATTTCAGTCTAGACGATATAGCTGTGATTCAGCTGAGGGGCATTTGGCATCTACTGATAAGATTTATTGCTCTCCATGAAAAGACAAGTTTCGAATCAGGACGAGAGTAACACATTGATCATCCATATTACTCAATTCTTGAAAGTACATTGTTCCATTTGTAGGGTCATTAGGCGATTGAGCCCAGTAGAGAGCCCAGGAAAAGGAAGCCTTGTGTCCAGGCCTAGCGGTACTTCCCATGGGGCATGCAGAGGATGGTCATCACAAGGTTGTGTGCAGCTATTTTATCCTCAGACAAACGCAGTCACCTCTGGCAACTAGATGTTTCACTCATTCTCACTGCCTCAGCATTGGGGTCAGCCTCATTTGGGGCCAGCTTGTCTTCTGGTCCCTTTCTTGGCTCTTCTCTTAATGATGACCCTGATAGAGAAACTGATAATGACTATTCAGGGAATACTGTGGATATGTGCATATGGTAAAAATTCAAACACTTCAGGGCAAGCGAAAGCTTTGCTTAACAGCTCAGCCTCATGTCATGCTCCTCTCCTCCCCTGCGGCAACTACAGTTATCAGTTTGGTATGTGTCCTGTTTGATACCTTTCTCTCTACTAAGCAATAAGTTCTGTGAGGGAAGGTATAACAACTGGCTTGTTTGCTTTCTCTTAAATGCTCATAGGGAATAGGAGAGACCTGGATCATATCCATGGGTGGCAGTAGGAGGACTTGGGTGTATATTTTTAAAATTGGCAATACAGGATTATAAAAATTGTGATATGCTTTGAGGTTGAATCCTAGAAGTTTATCTGTGTGACTGTATATAGGATATCATTTGGAGATGATATTAAAAATCTATATTATCAGCCCTTTATGGATATGAGGTCCAGGATAAATGGCTCACCAGACCTCGCCTGTGAGAGAGCCAGGCTATCACAGCACCTGGCCCATAGTAGGTGCTCAATAATTATTTGTTGGGTGACTGAATGATGATAATGAAGCCATGTCTTAATGACAGTAAAGTTATTTGGTGGTTTGGTTCTTTTTGTGTAGGGATATGGAGAGGACAAAGTCAGATGTCGGGGAAAATTAAGGGAATTAACAGAGTGGTAGATGGCAACTTAGGTGTCCATTTAATGTCCTATACTACTTCTGGTGCATTCTCCTTGGGATTCCCCGAGGCTGGTCAGATCATGAGCACTTTCGTACCTCTACTCTAGTGATGTCACACAGTTTTGTATTTCTTGGTTGATTCATATGTCTTCCCCTCCAGAAGAAAAATGTGTCTTTCTTAGTTTTGTATCTGTGGCACTTCTTACACAGTAAATGTTAGTTTAATCAAAAACTGCCGTGTGACTTCTTATAGTTCTCAAATCTGATTCAGTAATAACCTGTATAGGCAAAACTGCTGAGAAGTTCTAAGACCATTCCTCTCCACCACCCCCTTTTGCTGCTTTTTTGTACATGATGCTCCCTGTAGCTGTCATTTAATTTTATCAACCTTAGAGGGGCTCTTTGGACAAACTAATATCCAGTTGTCTTTTCCAGCCCAACTGAAGATTATGCACGTAGTAACTTCCCACCCAGAAATAATTTGAGCTGTTGGAAAAGAATCCCTGATAAAAAGAAATGTAGCATGATGGAATAAGTATCTCAGTAAATAAACGTGTACCATCAGTAAAACCTACTCTCTGTTTTAGGATGACCAGAACAGCCTCCATCCATATCCTCATTTCAGTGTTGATTTCCCTGGGTCCTTTTGAGCCCGAATGGGGCTTTTACTTCTGAGGATGTTAGTAAGAATTTCAGATGGCAGGCATGAAAAATGGATGTCACCTACCAGAATAATCCTTCTCTTTACTCAGTGAATAGATGTGGATTTTTTTCCTAGATCACATCCAAGAGTGGCTGTAATTGGGAAGAAATGATGAGCGTGCAGTGGGTGATGGACAGAAATGTCCTCTTGTCTTGGGTAAACATTTTAAAAGGAGTTGGCGTTGTGGAGATGAAGACAGTGTCTTCTTTTAATTACCATCAGCTTGCATGTGGTCATAAGGTTTCTTGACATTTCTGAAGAACAAAGAAAGGTATTATGATAGAAAAATTTAAGTTGGCCTTACTTAGCCTGGCAGAGGATTCACATGCTGCAAATTTAAGGATTTCTTAAGTGTCTGAACAATGCCTGAGGTTGGGGGTGGTATCTAGGAATAATCTTCTAGAGCAAGGGGGTGGACTAAGTGGGGAGGGGTCTCTTTTCTTCCTGCCAACATCCCTCCCCGCAGGTAGCCTGAGAAGAAGCTTGGAATGGGTTTCCTGAGAGATGCTAGACTTTTTCCCATGTCTGAAATTAAGTTATTTATATACTCACTTACTTGTTTGTTTTCTTTGTTTTCCATTTTATCCCCGGTGTTTAGCACACAGCGTACACTCAATAAATATTTATTGAATGAACAGATATGCATTTCAGTATTTTATCTTATGAGTATATTTTAATCTAAATTGAATATCAGATCAGTTCAGTAATTCTACCTCTTTTTTTTTTTTTTTTTTTTTTTTTGAGACAGAGTCTCGCTCTGTCGGCCAGGCTGGAGTGCAGTGGCATGATCTCTGCTCACTGCAACCTCCGTCTCCCGGGCTCAAGCAATTCTCCTGCCTCAGCCTCCTGAGTAGCTGGGATTACAGGCATGTGCCACTACGCCCGGCTAATTTTTGTATTTTTAGTAGAGACTGGGTTTCACCATGTTGGCCAGGCTGGTCTCAAACTCCTGATCTCAGGTAATCTACCTCGGCCTCCCAAAGTGCTGGAATTACAGGTGTGAGCCACCACACCCAGCCAATTCTACCTCTTGATAGAATTGTATAACTGTGTAAATATAGAATGTGGACAATAAATGATAGTTATCATCATCATCTGTTGCCTACAGTGTTAGACACAATGCCAAATTCCAAGAATACAAGGGAAAACAAGACAAATACAGTCCCTTGCAGAGGTTCCTGGAGGCAGTGATACCCAGTCTTAATCTTAAAAGGCAAGAGTTGATGAGAGTTTGAATTAGGAGAGTGATAGCAGGTATCAAGAAGAAGACAATTACTTAGAAGTTAAGGTTGGCAACTTTTGGAAATTGATTTGGAATGGGAGGCGGGGGTGAGAAGGAGGAAATAGACTAGGGAGAAACTCAGTTTTCTAGCTAGGTATATGATCGTGCCACCAGCTGAGAGATAGCCTGTGGGAGGAGGAGCAGGCTTAGGGGAGCAACTGGTGAGTTCTGTTATAGACAAGTTGCTTTGAATTGTCTGAGATAGCTAAGTGGAGATGTCTATCCAGCAGTTGGATATATGGGCCTAGACAAGAGCAGAAGACTGATGCTGCCAGGAGAGATAGATTGGAAGGTATCCACAGAAGCTGTAAGTGGTAAGACTATAAGAATCAGTGGGTCTGTCCAAAGAGAATATATGGGGAATGGAATGAAGTGGGTCTGTGTCAGAACCCTAAGAATATGCTATGTTACAGTGGGCAGCAGAAGAGGAAACTGGAGAGGATGGTCACAGGCATAAGGATAATTAGTTTTTTCTGTTTTTTTCGTTTTGTTTGTTTGTTTGTTTTGTCTCTGCATCTTTGCCCAGATGACTCCACAGAATTTTGAACATAACACTGTAATCCAGCTATTCTCAGTTAAGCTCTATTTGCCATTGTTGATCTAGGCCTAATGCCCTCCTGTTGATGTGATTCTTTTAAGCTCAGAAAGAAGAATTAATTCATTGAAGAGTATGGTCAAACTCTTTGGGCTATTTTAGTATATGCCTCCCATGAAATACATCTTACTGCCAGGCATGTATGTGTGGAGTTCTTGGCAGTCATCACTTGGACTGCAAGTTTGCCTGGTTTCTTTACTTCTGCCACTTGGGGCTGTAGGAGTTTTGGGATGTATTCATTTCCTAGGGTTGCCATAACAAATCACCATAACTTAGGTGGCTTAGAACAATGGAAATTTATTCTCTCATAGTCCTAGAGTCTGGAAGTCCAAAATCAGAGTGCCATCATGATAATGCTTCTGCCAAAGCCTCTAAACAAGAATCCTTCCTTGCCTCTTTTAGCTTCTGGTACTTGCTGGTAGTACTTAGTGTTCTTTGGTTTCTAGATGCATCATCTCTGCCTCCATAGTTACATGACATTTTTCATGCATCTGTGTGTCCCTTCACGTGGCCCTTCAATGGCCTTCTTATCAGCACACTACTTGTTACACTTAGTACCTACCCTAATCCAGTATGACATCTTCTTAATTTGATTACATTTGCAAAGTCTTTTGTTTCCAAATAAGGCCACATTATAGGTATTGGGGATTAGAACTTCAGTATATTTTTGGGGGAGACACAGTTCAATCCACGACAGGGGATATGGTACAGGGAGCCTTAATGGGGAGAGGATCTTGCAACAAATCTAGCATGTTGGAAAGAATGGCTTGGAGACATTGAGCTAGTATGGAAGTGTTTAACTGTAGGTCTTTGTTAGAGAGAAATGTGGTATATGAGTAGATAGTGTTAGTGCTCATAAGCCTGTCAACATGATAAGCCAGACATTGTCTTTAAGTATTCTTTGGTAACAATCTGTATAGCTATTAATAATAATAAAGAATAAGTTTAATTTAACAATTATTAAGTGCCAATGCTCTAGATACATTCTCTTTAATTCTCACAGTTACTATGCAATGTACATGATACTAGCCTCAGTTTAAAGAGGAGGAAATGGAAACTGGGAACTATTGAGCGACTTAACCAACGTCACAGAGCTAGAAATCCACAGAATCAGGATTCCAGCCCAGGTCTGTCTGAGGCCACATTGTCTTTTTACAGGACTAGTGTCGTAAAGGGTTTGGGTTAAAATCCACTGTGTGTATTTATGCATTAATAGCCATTTTCATTCTCAAAATAATTTGAAACCATTTATAGAAATATATATGATACAAGAGAACAAAGATTAGTTAACGAAATCAGAATTGAGGGAAAACAACAGTAAAAAAGCAAGATGAAGTCGGGGCACAGTTCAAATGTTAAGAATGCATGCCATAATGTCCAATGTCGATAGTGTAGAGGGTTGCAAATCTCAGGGCTTCCTACAAGCAAAGAGATAATATAATCTGTTAAAGTATTTATAGCATCCAAAAGGCCAAATGAAGCAACAACAAAACTAAGTCTTCAGGAGAAGGAAAGCTTCTCTTGGTACTGAGTTCTGGGAGGAATTTCTCCTGTGGGCCTTCAAGGAGGGAGCACCGTGAGATGTCCTGAGCGAAGACCCTAGTAACTTCTTTACAGGAGTTACCACTAGCACATGCATGGAAGGGCTAATTCTTACAACTTCCCTCTGTGTAGGCTGCTGTCTCCTTGCCAACAGGCATGCAGTTCCTTGGCAGACATGCTGCAGAGGTTGTTGGTTTTTCTCATGTTGAGCTACAGAAAAGAGTTCAGCTGCTCTGCTGGCTTGGGATAGCATTTCTTCATCATGGCCCAAAATGGGGAAAAGCATGGTCACACATGTTGGCATTCTCAGGGGTGTTCAATGTGGAAAGACTGCCCTGACATTTAAAGAGCCCTTGCCTAGATCTGATCCTGCATTTCCTATTATATATACAGAGGAACTTCTGGGAAAATAATCTGTAGACACAACTCTCTTTAATTCAGTCAGAACTGGGAAAACAAAACTATTCTGTCAGATTGACCCAGTGTCATAAACAAAAATGAAGTGCATGCTGGATTTCCACATTGTCAGAGGTTTGATTTGCTCTATCTCCTCTAGAGGAATAGTTCCAGATATAGGAATCTAAGGAAGCAACTTGTGGTCTTTTTTTTTTTTTTTTTTTTTTTGAGCTTGTGGTCTTATTCTGCGTTGAGTTGACTTTATTTTCTCTGAAAGAGCTTCTTCATAAATTGGATGTCTTAAAATTAAAAACCAGGATAGCCTTATGCCTCCAAATATTATAGCTAATTAAATACTGGGCTATCCTCTTGGAATTATCAATTTTGCATAATTGAGTATTTTTCCTTTAAGAGTAGAACTCACCATGTGGAAAGAGCCATATGAATGGTCCCAGAGTTAAAGCTTCTTTATATTCCCAGGAGAGATGTACTTCAGGAGAAACTGGGATTGCCCTATATACATCCCTGCCAGAATCACTCATTGCTAAATGTGATAATACGGTTTCTCATGGATGGTTCCAGTTGTTGGGTCAAATAATTCAGAAAGTATCTACTGCATGTTTATTCCATCCATCCACCCACCCACCATCCATCCATCCATCCATCCATCCATCCATCCATCCATCCATCTGTTTATCCATCCTTTCATCTCCAAGGAGATGATGCCTGACACAGGTAGTAAAAAAGAATAGGGAAACTTCATGTCCTCATAGTGTGTCCCAGTCTTCAAACAATAACAAAATTACCAGGCTTTATAAGTGCTATGAAGGAAATAAACAGGGCAAGAAGGTAACTCGGGGAGGTGATGGATGAGCTAAGACCTGAAGGGTGAAGAGCAGTCAACTGTGTACAAAGCTGGAAGGGAGCATTTTGGACAGAGGGAACAGCAAGTTCACAGGCCCTGATGGGAAGAGCTCGGGATATTTAAGGGATACAAAGGAGATTAGTTGGGCTGGAGTGAAGGGAATGGAGAGGTTGGTACTAGGATAGGTTGGGACTGGCAGGGCACAGCAAGCCATGATAGAGTTCCAGTTTTATTCTAAGACCAGTTAAAACGTATGAAAGAGTTTCAAACAAGAGAGTGGTATGATATGATGTGTGCTTGAAGGAGATCCCTTTGGGGGCCTTGTAGGGGTACAGTTTGGAGAAGGGGCTAGAGTAGAAGCAAGGAGGCCAGGTTGAGGGCAGATATTTCAGTAGGCCTGGGGAGAGTCATGGTGACCTAGATTAAGGTGGGAGCAGTAGAGATGGAAAAAATAAGACTGGTATGAAGTAGGTTGTTAGTACGTTACTTAGGGTATATTTGGGTTCAGGTTAATATCTGTGATCACCAAAGGCAGTTTTCCAGAAGTACCATTGATAATGTATTTGATTATGAGATCTTTACTGAATTAACATGATAGTTTTTTGGTAATCAGTAAATAATCTCATTTAGCATTTGATCTTTCACTGGATGGCCTTAAACTAGGTTAGCTCCCTTATACTTTAGCCAATGATATAAATAATTTACTTAATTGGTCTTAGGTTGAGGTTGAGGCTTGAATTTCCCAGGTTTGGCCTGAGGCTTAAATTTCTTAGAGTATACCCTGATGTACTTTCCTGTGTGTACATAGAACAAATGCATATTCCTATACATTATGATATTTAGATAAAATAATGTTTTTCATGATTGATTTAAACCATGGATAACTACAGTCAAATCATAATGGAATATAATCATATAATTGTGAAGTGAAAAAAAGTGATCCTAATCTATTATTTACTAAATGTAGATGAGAGCCTAGAGCTGACAATGCCAATTCTAATTTGATTTAAAAACAAAAACTCAGAAATGTCTATCTGCACCAATTCTCCGACACAAACTATACACCCATGAAACAGTAGTGTTTAACAGGGTGAATCAAGATGTCCCTGCTACTGGAGTCAAGCAATGCTAGCCTTTCTTGTGTCACAGAAAAACTAAATAAATGAAATGAATTTTCTATACTTTAAGGTTGAAACATAGAAAATTCAACCTTCAGCAATATTTTTATTAAACTTTTGGCATCTCTGATGGTTTACTTAGAGTAGAACCTAGTTTATAATGATACCTTAGTTTTAGATTATTTAGTTATTTTATGAGTTAGTGCCTGAGTCTCGGACTTGGCACACAGTAATTCGATTTATTATTTTTATAAATAATCTCATAATGTTCTGCAAAAATCTCAGGACTTCCAGATGCTTCAGACACCAGCTACTGTAAAAAACATCCAAAATTATAGGATGGCCTAAACATGATAGAAGCATTCCTCATGTGTACCCAGCTCAAAACCAGGGTACTTGAGCTGCAGTTGGGTCTCTTATAAGCAGTGGTCAGGGACATAGACCCTTTCCCTCTTGTGGCCCCGCCATCTTCCATGTGGTTTCCTTTATCAGGCTTGCAGGATTTATCTTTGTCAGGCTGGAGCAAAGGGGCAGGAGCATGGAGGAGTGTGCATGGGAAGGTTATATGGTTAGGCTTAGAGGGACACACAACACTGTCAGTCCCATTCCATTGGCTGGAACTTAGTCACATGGCCACAGCTAAGTGCGAGGGATGCCAGGAAATGTAGTCAGGTGCCCAGGAAGGAGAGGGAATAGTTTGGTGAACAGTTAGCCCATCTCTGATCTATTTAGAAAAACAATCTAGCAATCAAAATGCATTGAGACTGGTATAAGTTAGATCAGGGGGTTGGGCTGGCATAATGGGGCACATTATAGATGCCCAATAGAGATTAAAAGAAAAAAAATCCTTCTGGAGAGGATTGGAGTTGTCAGCCATAGGCAGCTTTCTAGTGATTTCTTTTCTGAAAGAGTAGAAGTACTGTTGAAATGAAGGATTTAAATTCTTTTCAAGGCTACATAAATAAGAAGCTAAATGATTAATTTGCTATTTTTTTTAAAAAAAACATACTTTCCTTGGAAGAAATCTATTTGGTAGGATGGTACCGTCATTTGCTTTCTTTAAAAAGCAGAGCCCATGGAGCTTCTTTCTCACAGGAGCCAACATCCGCAGCTGATGCTGAACTGGGCATGAAGCATGCATTGAGCACAGTGTTACCGGTGAATACATTATTTCACTTTATCACTGACGGAATGCTGCAGGATGGACAATTTTATCCCCATTTTATGGCTGAAGAACCAAGGCTGCAAAAAGTACATAACCTGGCAAAGTTCACACCGAACTAAAGGCTGCCTGATTTTCTATTAAACTGTTATTTAAGTATAAAATAAAGGGTTCTGAGTGTCTCATGTTTTTCTTTCTTTCTTTTTTTTTTTGTCAAAGATGAAAATGTTTTACCTAATAGCATCACTACCTTAACCTCTCAAAAATAGCTTTTTTGAGAAAGACTTTTAAAGATTCCTGGCTTCTGACAAAAATGAGTTAAACACACTTGGGTCCCTTCTTCTGCCTGTGGAGAGTGAGATTCTTTCCCTCTCCATGCGGTCAGTTTAGCTGCTGGAAACTGTTTATGAGTCCCTGCCGCTTGACCTGACTTATGGGACCTGGCAAATATGATCCCAGGGTGTGGCTGGAATTCATTTCTGACTTCTGTGGCAAAAGGAGGAAAAGGCACTAATGCCCCTGTGAGAAGAGGCAAGAGCCAGGGACCTGCCAAGGTCTCTGCAGTAGACTTCAGGGAGTATCTCCTGACCCCCACTGTGTGGAACTTGGTGGATCCTGGTGGAGAGACAGGCTGTGGGTAGCACCAGAGCATCATGTGATTAAAAGAGAGGATGGACTGATTTTCAGTACAGCATCTTGAGATGAAGCAGTATTCAAATCCATTTGCTCAACATTGGCTCCATGAAACACTAATTTGGCTAAAAGCTCCACAAAAGAAAGATTTTGTAGCTAAAGAAATTTAGAACACCATATATATTTAGACTTGCAGCATATGTTAGTATATGAAAAGCCTACAATATCTTGCAGCAAGGCACCTGTTAAACTGGTCTAACCTATAATATAATAAACTTATTTGACTACATACTTTTAAAAAGATCACACTTACTAATATCCTGAGGAATTAATGTTTTGGGGAACATACTTTGTGTATCACTGATCTAAATAGAGCATACAAAGAAGACAATGTTAGAAAAGAAATCCAATATCCAAATTAAGATGGAATACAGGGAGGACTACAGACTGGAAGATTGCACAGTTACTCTTGGTTAGGTAATATAAGCAGCAACAATGATCACATCATAATTTCAGTGTTTTCTCTGATTTTAAACAAAACAGAAATACGAAAAACTCAAATGTTTTATATTGTAAAATGCCTTTTGTCCTCTTTATTTTTGTTGTCTTCCCCCTTTCTCTTTTTCTATTACCACATAAGCTTCTTGATTTTCATCAAATGAGTCACTGAAAGTTGGAACAACTGGAGAAAGATGTGTTCAAATCCATTGAACAGAAAGTTATTAGTTAAGTACATAGTGTTACTCAAATCTGTTACATAAATTTGTTGGAGGCTGGGTGCAGTGGCTCATGCCTATAATCCCAGCACTTTAGGAGAGCGAGGTGGGTGGATCATCTGAGGTCAGGACTTCGAGACCAGCCTGGGCAATATGGTGAAACCCCATCTCTACTAAAAATACAAAAATTAGCCGGACGCGGTGCTGCGCGCCTGTAATCCCAGCTACTCAGGGGCCTGAGGCAGGAGGATCGCTTGAACCCAGGAGGTGGAGGTTGCAGTGAGCCGGGATTGTGCCACTGCACTCCAGCCTGGGTGACAGAGTGAGACTCCTCTCAAAAAACCTCCAAAAAAACAAAAAACAGGCCAGGCATGGTGGCTCACTCCTGTAATCTCAGCACTTTGGGAGGCTGAGGCAGGTGGAGCACTTGAGGTCAGGAGTTCGAGACCAACCTGGACAACATGGTGAAAACTCATCTCTACTGAAAATACAAAAATTAGCCAGGCATGGTGGTGCATGCCTGTAATTCCAGCTACTCGGGAGGCTGAGGTGGGAGGATCGCTTGAACCCAGGAGGCGGAGGTTGAAGTGAGCCGAGATCGCACCTCTGCCCTCAAGCCTGGGCAACAGAGTAAGACTCCGTCTCAAGTAAAAATAAATAAATAAACTAATTAATTAATTTGTTGGGCTGATAATTTCATTTCATGCTTCTTTAAATTTGGGGAACTTGAAGTATTTGGGGAATTTCCTTCCCTCCTTCTCTTCTCTCCCTCCCTCTCTCTCCCTGTCTTCCTTCCTCCCTTCCTTCCTATAGCAAATATGTGTTGATACTAAGGCTTGGCATTGGAACTATGAAAGTTACAGTATCTCTTAATGTATGTGTATATTTATGTATTTTTATGGGATGACATGTGAATAATGAGCATTAAGAAAACTAAAAGCATCTGTATTAGTCACTCAACAATTTTGCTGGCTTTTCTGTAGACTTAGACGGTGGCATGGTACACTGGAGAGTGGCAGATCTGTGGCATGTGGATGATCATTCTTTCCATAATGCCACGGCAGACATCGCCAACTGACGACAGCACTCAGTCTTGCTCTGCCCATACCTTGCTTTCTCCAGTTGTTCCAGACAGATCAACTGGAACTGGAGCTGTTTGCTTTCCCAGGAGTAGTGGAAGGATTAGCATTTTAGGAGACCTTGGTTCTATTCTAATGAAGTGTTTGACCTTGGAAAACAGCCTCAATGGGCCCTATTTTCTTCAATATTTAGACTGGGTGATTTACTGTATTGTTTTAAGCATAACATTAATGTTGTTTCTCTGTCTACAAATCGCTGTCTGGGGACAAACTTAATTTAAAGTCAGCATAGTCTTTTGCCTGCCTGTCTGAGACTCCCTTTGATTTCCCACTTGCATTTATTAGGGGTATCTGACACCTTATCTCACTCGTTTTTTTGTGTGTGAGTTAATATTTTAATATACTTCAATTTATTTTATTTAGTTTTAGAAAAATAGCCTTCAAAATGAAAAAAATTAGTTTTAATTTCTTGCCTTTGGTGATGTAGGCCCCCTGAGTTTATTTTTTCTGGAAGTGCTTCAGCCATGTTCCCAGGGAAACTGCCTCTTCACTCTTCTCCAAATCCTGCCAGGACTTCTTGAATGGTCCCTACACGTGGATTCCTCAGCTTCTGGAGAAGCTTCTGTCTTAATGGATGAAAAAGACTCTGAACAACCCTTGCGTTTTTTTAATGTGATACTTTATAAAACCTTTTCAGTTTAGATCTTGTTATGGTTTATTATTTGTGGAGTATCAGTATTTAGTACAGAGATTTCAAGAAACTCAGTCAAAAGACAGTATGTTTTAGCCCAAAGGCATTATTCTCATATCAGTGGAATACTTTCTTCAGGAACTTGTCCATAGGATTTTGATATCCTGAGTACGTATCACAGAGAAAGTCGTATTTCCCAAGTGAATTCCTTTGGTCCCCCAGAATGCTGCAGAACTCCTGGTTGCAGCAATTTAGCAATTCACTATTGGTACCCTCTTCTATACCTCCTAACCAGTTACCTTGAAATCTTTAAAAACAAAACAGATAAACAAAAACTCATCTGTGTGCTAAATCCATTTCAACAGAAAAATAATAGAATTATTGTAATTACCAGCTTTAATCGCTTGAAGAACTTAAACCTTCTGGATGAATGATTTCTAAGAATCACTTCAGAGATGAAAGGAGATCATCGTTTTTAAACAGTCTGTAGAACATGACTTTATTTGTAAATGGTCATTCTTCAAAAGATATTTTTTGAGCACCTGCTTTGTGCTGGGCATTTTGCTGCATGTTGAGATATAACTGACTCCTAGAGATTCTTTCGACTTAGCCACCCCAGTAGGTCTGAGGGGACTCAGCCTAACAGTCACTCTCTCCTTCTGTAGCTGTTAAAACAAGCATCAAGGGACAAAGTATTGCATTAAATTCCATGTACTGAATGCCATTGTATAGTTGCATCCTGAAATAACCAAGAAATCAACTGAGACCTGGAAATCCCTCATCAGAAAAATGTCCATGCCAGTCCTGGTTGCTGTAAGAAGACTTGTTCTAGACCAGTTGACATTTGGGGAGTGCGCATTGTAAGCACCATGGTAAGGGATGCAAAGTACCGTAAGAGATGTCCAGTGAGGAGAAAGTAGCTACTGTGCACAATATGACAATAACAAGACTGGGCTGACAAGTAAGTGCTCTATGAATTCTGAGATACACGGAGGATCCCACTGGCTGGAAAGAAAACAAGAAGGTAGGAGTGAAGTATGAATAGAAGATACTTGTGCACTTGGATCCCAGCCCTGCCACTTACTAGCTGTATGACCACGGATGAATTTCTCATCATATGGAAGCTTCTGTTTCTATATCAGCAAAAGAGGAATCATAACATTGACTCATAGACACAATGATAAAAATGTAAAATGCTTAGCACAGTGTCTTAAATGTGGCACACAGCAAATGGTATCAGTCACAGTAAAACTCAGTAAATAATTTTGCTTGTTTGTCTATAAAGCAGCAATACTACATCATAAGACTATGGTCAAGATTAAATAAGTTGGGCTGGGCGCAGTGGCTCATCCCTGTAATCCCAGCACTTTGCGAGGCCAAGGCAGGTGGATCATGAGATCAGGAGTTCAAGACCATCCTGGCCAAGATGGTGAAACCCCGTCTCTACTAAAAATACAAAAAAAAAAAAAAAAAAAAATTAGCCGGGGTGTGGTGGCTCACGCCTGTAATCCCAGCACTTTGGGAGGCCGAGGCTGGCGGATCACGAGGTCAGGAGATCGAGACCATCCTGGCTAACACGGTGAAACCCCGTCTCTACTAAAATTACAAAAAATTAGCCGGGCGTGGTGGCGGGTGCCTGTAATCCCAGCTACTTGGGAGGCTGAGGCAGAGAATTGCTTAAATCCAGGAGGCGGAAGTTGCAGTGAGCTGAGATCAAGCCACTGCACTCCAGCCTGGGTGACAGAGTGAGACTCCGTCTCAAAAAAAAAAAAAAGATTAAATAAGTTGACATAATTAAAGGGTCTGGCACAGTGCCTACCATACAGAATATGAACATATACAATAAATATTGGCTATTGTGATGATGAAAAATGGGGGTAGATGAGAGGAGACATTTCAGACACAGGCAAGAGGTACATAGCCTGGTATGGGCTTGGCAAATTACCTGGTTCTCTAGGATGGAAGTTTTGTTCAAGTGAGTAGTAGTTGAAAGATAGATGATGGTTGTAAAATATGTTAAACATGAATTAAAAGCCTCTTAATTGGGGATATTAAATAAAGAGTCTAGGATTCCAGAAGAAAATTTAAATGAGTGATCTCTAAGTTTCCTTCTGTTTGAGATTCTGTGGTTCCTCCAAGACTTCCAGTGGTTCCCAAGAAAAACTTGTGAGTCAACCATCCCACTGCAGTAGCGATCCAGAGCTGCAGCCTGGAACACACCAGCAATAAGGCAATGCTTCTCTGTTTTGATAACAGCACCTCATTTGCTAAATGAAAAAGAGTTTTAGTTTCCATGTGGCAATCTGCCCAGGCATTTGATTTGACAGCTAAGAGAGAGAAAGGTAAAAGCCCATGCGTGTAATTGGTGACACGTTATTTCCTGGTCATTTTTTTCCCCTTAGTTTTGAGAGCCAGAGTCAAAGAGAAGGAAGAGAGAGGGGGAAAAAATGGCTCTACGGGAAATGAGTTTCCAGGCAGAGCTGAGACACCTGAAGAATGTGTCACTTCATATACTTTGCACGTGTGAGTCAATAGGCAGTTTCAGGGTTTGCCAAAGTGCATCCAAGGGCTGGTGCAAGAGAAGAAACCACTCCAGGAGAATTAATATAATTCTGGTAAGACAGCTTCATGCATTAAGCTTTCAAGAGGGCCTGAGAGGTCTGTGGACTTCATGCAGAACTGTTTGCACAGCATTGGCCAGAGTTGGAATATAAGCTAGTACAGCATTCCCAACTTCTTCCTAAATTTATTTTATGTGAAAATACATTTAGAAAACTCAGAGTTAAGCAAGTCAAAGAGATTTCTTTACTGCAGAACATCTCAGGATCTTTGTTATGCTAATATGAATTGTGAGTGTCCAAGAAGGAGAGTGTGAATGCAGTACTTCCCACATTCACGGGAAAGTGGTAGGTTTTAATGTAGAATGTATCTAGGGACTAGAGTCTTAAGCAGCCCTTTGGGAAAAGCTGATTTGGGGCAGGAACACCAGGCCGTCATTCCTTCACTCTTGCCCTTTCCCGGGGAGGTCTAGGTACGGACACAGATGTTTGCAGGCAGCCCTGTCATTCTAGCAGCTGAATGCAGGACATTGTCCAGGAGAACACCAGTCATTTGCAAAAACATGATGCGGTATGGTAGGTAAAATAATAGCTCCCCAAAGATGTCCACATTCTCATCCATAAAGCCTGTGAATATGTTATCTTACATGCCAAAAGAAATTTTGTGTATGCGATTACACTAAAGATATTGAGATGGGTGATTGTTCTGGATTATCAGGGTGGGCCAAGTGTAGCCACAGGGTCCTTATGAGAAGGAGGCAGGCAAGCGAGAGTCTGAGGAGATGCAATGACAGAAGCAGAGGTCAGAGTGATGTGGGGCCACAAGTCAAGGAATGCAGGCAGCCTCCAGAAGCTAGAAAAGGCAAGGAAGTGGATTCTCCCTGAGAACCTCCAGCAGTAACACAGCCTTGCCACCCATTTTAGACTCCTGACCTCCAAACTGTAAAATCACCTTATGATGTTTGAAGCCACTAAGTTTGTGGTAATGTGTTACAGTAGGGGTGGGAAATGAATAATGAGGTTTGATATTGGTCCCACTTTTCCTGTGCTTGAATGTGGATGGATTGACATGCTTCCAGACCCCTTCTAAGGCCCTGCTCCTGTTCAGGACTCTGATAGTCAAGGAGGTCATCCATAACCACCCTCTGGCTAGTGTGCCCTGCTTTCTTGCTGTCCTTCCTTTATCTCCCCAAGCCCCAGGGCCAAGTATCACTCTACTGCTCAGATGTGCAGTGACCAGGCCAGTCACTGACAGTCTTTGAAAGAAGTGATGTGATTGGCCACTGGTTGTGCTATGCATCTGTCATTTTTGTAGTGTGGGCTGAAGAGCATACTTCATTCAGTTACTACTATAATATCTTGTGGTAACTGAAATTTGAACAGGGTTGTTGTAGGATGGGTGTCATTTAAATTGTGCTCACTGAAATGGGTGCATATCAGAACCACACAAAATGAGGACTGCATCTTTTAAAATCATGGTGCAAATCCTGCAGTAGCATTGTTATCACTGGACTGGGGGACAGGCAGCCTAGCCATGTCCTCTTGTGTTTGCTGAATACCAACGTATAAATGTGGCTGATGCAAGCATTAGGGATGTCAGTAAATAATGTATGAATTTAAAGTTGAGCAAAAGATGATGAAGCACTATTTGTACTTTGTGTCTGATGGTCACAGTTCAGTTATCCAGGAATCTCACTCTGAGACCCTGTGATTTGCAAGTAGGAGGTTCATTAGGGACTGCTTATGGCCACAAGGACTGGCAGGGGAATGAAAGCAGGAGAACGGAACAGAGGGAGAAGATGGCTGTGATGCACAGGGGGCTCTGGAGCCGGGACAGCCTGAAGAGTGGTCCCGAGTTAAGGCAAGGGGGCAAGGCCTTTATGTTTCTCCATCAGCCAGTCATTGGCTGTGGGTTGCCCAATCCCAAGAGGGCAAACTCCCTCCAGGGCGGTGGCTCTCTCTAACTAAGCATGCTTCTTTGAGAGGCCCTCAGCTGAAAGCTGCCAGCCTCTAACACTCCCAACTGGGAGAATAAATGCCCTAGTCCTAAAGGAATCTGATGGCACATTACAGGGTCCACTACCCTGATTATTCTATGATTCTGGTGCCACTGGACAGCCAAACTTTACAGAGGGCTAATCAGTATTTTAGCAAGGTTCAAGTCAGAATCTGGGGCAGAGTATGCAGGAAGAAGAGACAGGAGCGCAGGAGAGCTGACTGAGGCTGCTGCTGACGGAGAAGGCAGGGCCGCCTTCTAGGACAGTGGCCACCTCTCCTTCCCAAAGAACAGCAGCCAGTTGGGGCTGGATCCGCCTCCACTTTGATTTTCATTTATGGTAACTTATTAATTTGCGAGAAGTTGATGGTCTCGTTACTTTATCTTATCTTGCCCTTTTCGGGCATTTGGGCTCTGAATTGGAGCAGATGGAGAGGACAAGAACTTGAAATGAAAAGTTACTACATTTGACATTCGTGGTCAATTTTTCCTCTAGTGAAATATAGGTACCATGTAAAGGCAAATTGAAATTTTTTCAACTCCCAGTCCTTCCCTTTCCCTCCTTTTTTCTTCTGGTTCTTAGACCTCACACGTGTGTCATGTTCTTCCTCCAGTCTAGTCACCCCTAGCTCTTTATTTGAGGAGAATTAGATGCCTGAAGTCCGGCTCCTGCTTCACTGAATTGGGAAACAATGAAGTCAGCATCTCTCATTCTCTGAACTAACACTTACAGCTTTGGGAAACTACCTCTTTCCCCCAAGAAAAAGGGTCTGCAGATCTCTGAGAGAGGTTGCTAAGAATTCAGCAGGGAGATGAACAGGATAATAGAGGACTTTGTCACAAAGGGCTGACACCATGTTTTAGAATTGCTGATCTTAACACTTAGGCTAAAACCTGGATAAAAAGAGATTCCTGCCTACTTTCCTGTGACATTCTCTTTAGAAAGACTGAAGATACTCCCATCTGTAAGAATTTAGTTTGGGCATCCTGGTGGATTGAGGGCTTGGAGGCCACATGACAAAAGCTTTTCATCTGGAGGACCAAGTCTGACCCTTCAGTAGTGGCTGCCTGGAGAGGCTGTGTTAAGAAAGATTCTGAAGCCAGAAAAGCTTCTGTCTCCTTAGCTGATGGCTGCCCTGGCCGTGTTCCTGGGGAGGAAAGGGACACCTGATGTGTACTTGGCCATCTCAGGACATTAGTCTTCACACAACAGTCCTCAGTTGGCTGATGGGTGTTTTTGTGCTTAAACACTATATCCAATGCATACCTTTAATCTGGTTTGGGGTATACTGTAGTTTGTGAGTTATTCAGAGGTAAAATGCTAAGTACAGGATGACAAGTTGAAGAGGTAGCTGTCCAGTCCCTAGACTTCACAGAAAGAGTGAAAGATAAATTAAATCCTAAAATAAGTATATGAATAGGGAAGAGGTATTTGGAATTAGTATTAAGTATTATTTGGTTTGATATTGTGTGGGAGACCTAGATCAATGACTCCAGGTCCTAAAGTGCTGGACCTGAGGATATAAAGATTGCTGTGGTTTTGAAATGGAGAATTCGCTCATTGTCTCTTTTGATCTGAAAACAGGCAGTGAAGTATGTAAGTAGAGCATGCAGCACTATGCTTAGCAAATCATGACTAGAAACTGGAGATCTGTCACATTTGTAGGGAGAAGGATCGTGTATATATGGAAGAAATAAGAGAGGCAAATTGATGGCAAAAAAAGGGAAGGACAAACAGGGTCAGATTCTAGTCTTTGCCCTTTTTGTTGAGAGTGAGTGTTTTTTTCCTGAAAGAGCATCAAGGACTACACAGGTAAAACTTGAACTGTAATATTTAAAATTCCTTTTGCCTAATAACTTCTCTTTTTTTTGTCAAGTAAACAAAAGTCTACCCTAACAGTTTCGATTCCCTACTTTCCCTTGCTGGAAGTACATTAAATTGCTCATGTAGATCCCTATCTCACAAATAGCACTTTTTTTTTTTTTTTTGAGACAGAGTCTCACTCTGTCGCCCAGACTACGGTGCAGTGGGGCGATCTTGGCTCACTGCAACCTACACCTCCTGGGTTCAAGTGATTCACTTGCCTCACCCATCAACCCATCATTTACATTAGTTATTTATCCCAATGCTATCCTTCCCCCCACCCCCCACCCCATGACAGGCCCTGGTGTGTGATGTTCCTCTCCCTGTGTCCAAGTGTTTTCATTGTTCAGTTCCCATCTATGAGTGAGAACATGCAGTGTTTGGCTTTCTGTCCTTGTGGTAGTTTGCTCAGAATGATGGTTGCCAGCTTCCTCCATGTCCCTGCAAAGGACATGAACTCATCCTTTTTTTGGCTGCATAGTATTCCATGGTATGTATGTGCCACATTTTCTTAATCCAGTCTATCATTGATGGGCATTTGAGTTGGTTCCAAGTCTTTGTTATTGTGAATAGTGCCGCAATAAACATACGTGTGCATGTGTCTTTATAGTAGCATGATTTATTATCCTTTGGGTATACACCCAGTAATGGGATCGCTGGGTAAAATGGTATTTCTAGCTCTAGATCCTTGAGGAATCACCACACTGTCTTCCACAATTGTTGAACTAGTTTAAACTCCCACCAACAGTGTAATAGCATTCCTATTTCTCCACATCCTCTCCAGCATCTGTTGTTTCCTGACTTTTTAATGTTCGTCATTCTAACTAGTGTGAGATGGTATCTCATTGTGGTTTTGATTTGCAGTTCTCTAATGACCAGTGATGATGAGGTTTTTTTTTCATATGTTTGTTGGTCGCATAAATGTCTTCTTTTGAGAAGTGTCTGTTCATATCCTTTGCCCACTTTTTGATGGGGTTGTTTGTTTTTTTCTTGTAAATTTGTTTAAGTTCTTTGTAGATTCTGAATATTAACCCTTTGTCAGATGGGTAGATTGCAAAAATTTTCTCCCATTCTGTAGGTTGCCTGTTCACTCTGATGGTAGTTTCTTTTGCTGTGCAGAAGCTCTTTAGTTTAATTAGATCCCATTTGACAGTTTTGGTTTTTGTTGCCATTGCTTTTGGTGTTTTAGTCATGAAGTCCTTGCCCATGCCTATGTCCCGAATGGTATTGCCTAGGTTTTCTTCTAGGGTTTTTATGGTTTTAGGTCTAATGTTTAAGTCTTTAATCCATCTTGAATTAATTTTTGTATAAGGTGTAAGGAAGGGATCCAGTTTCAGCTTTCTACATACGGCTAGCGAGTTTTCCCAGTACCATTTATTAAATAGGTAATCCTTTCCCCATTTCTTGTTTTTGTCAGGTTTGTCAAAGATCAGATGGTTGTAGATTTGTGGTGTTATTTCTGAGGCGTCTGTTCTGTTCCATTGGTCTATATCTCTGTTTTGGTATCAGTACTATGCTGTTTTGGTTACTGTAGCCTTTTGTCTAAGTGAGGACACTTGTTTGTGCTTTCTATAATTTGGACAGCATGATAAGGTAGTTTTACGAAGGAATTTTGCATTTCTCACAAGACACTTTATATATCTATAAGTCACAGGGTTCTCCCCACCCCCCAACCCAGCACAGGGAATTTGAAACTAAATAAGGAAGAAACTAAATAAGGTGAACCAGACTCAATTCAAGTGAATTTCAGTTCTAGGTTTCTGCTATACACACTTTAATGGTGATTTTTAACCATTATTTATAAGTTATTGATAGTTCTGAGGTCTAGTCAAACCTTCCACAGCATTTAACCACAAGATGCATTTAAGTTAGATGTAAAAACCAGAAATCTAACTTGAGACCGACTTTGTATAAGACTAATTGAAAGGTTGATTGTAGATGGAAAATTCATAAACATTTAGTGATAGCTGTAGATTTCATTTCAACATAACACAATGGCAAAATTATAATTCTAATTTACATTAATTTATAAGAATGTTCTGAAAGTTGCAAACAATATCTAGAAAAAGTGATTGTCCCAAAGTTCAGATCCTTCAGTATTAGATACATTGTTTTTCTGTACTAGTGCAGAAAAAAAAACCAAAAGCCATTCATTTCCTGCTGTGACTTGTCCTTCAGAAGGTGGGATAGTTGCATGGAATGACTCATTTCCTTCACAAACTAGAAGTTGCCATTCTAACGAGAAATGGCAGTGTGGAAAGCGAATTAGTAAATGTTAAAGTATGAGTCCTAGGTAATGGGACCTGTTCATTAATTTGGACAGTGCTGTGAATATGTGAGTTACTCATTTTGAAATATACATTGAATTAGATATGATTAATATTCCAGTTGTTAAAAACAGATAAAGATGTCTTAACCTGACATATTTCCTTTCCATGAGTTTTAAATAAGAACCTGAGATCATTTTACTGGGACTATTATAGAAGTAATTTGTTTACGTGATGACTCTGTTCATGAACCTAATAAGCTTGCTTTCTTGGTCATTTTTTAGAGAAGGTTTTTATTTGATTGTTGAATCATAAAGAGACAGGACTCTTGCATTCCAGCTTCATCCTCTGGCTTTTCTGTGATTTTTCCTTGTTCCTCAGTCTCTTCATACATAAAAGAAATACATCAGCAGTGGCTCTGAGATGCAAAAATAAATATAATTGTCAATATTTAAATTGTAAAACTTTAGTAGATTATTCTTATTTTAATTAAAGGAGGAAAATAGACCCAAAATGATTTTAGGAGCTGATTCAGATAAATTGGTCAGGTGGTTTAGAATTTAAATTCATGGTTCTTTTCTACTGAATTTATTGGATAATAATTTATGCATATACAGATAAATTTGGTGCACTTTAAAATGTGCTTAAAAAATCTTGTGTTAAGATCCTCTTCTTCCTGAATCAGAGGTCCACAGGCCTATTTTGGCCCACAGAGATGTTTTGTTTGCTCATAGAAAGTGTTGATTTTTCTTTTAAGTTATCAACCTATAAAAATACAGATTTCACCTAAAAAATAGATTTCCAATTACGCTTAAAGAATCATAAGATCCAGCAATGTCAGGTCTTTATCTCTACATAGCAACTGCTGCTAGTACTGAATAACTTTCCCCTTTCAATGGTGCATGTGCCTCAGCACCAACAGTCTCTGGGATGAGACCCCAGTACTACAAATCAGGGTTTTCTCTGTTGACCTAGATGAGAACATTCTGACATTGAGAATAAACAGTTTAAGCATCATTATTAAGTGGTATTTGAATTCAGAGATTAGGCACATGAACAAAACCTAGGGTACTGCTACCTTGAACTTCTTTTAGTAAGAAGCAAGTTCTTCTAACTTTCCTCTACTTTCTTTTAAGTTTGTCCAAAGGTGCATTTGCAAAGGGATTACAAAGACCATGGCAGAACCAGCCCACCCCTCCCTAACACACACATCACACGCTTATTCCACCAGCTCCTCTAATTAAAGGTCTCGCACAGCTCATACGACTCCCAAAGCCAATTAAACAATGCTCACCCTTGTACCTCACAGTAGGTTGGGGAGTAGCTTGGAAAACGCTGTGATTGATATGAAAAGTAGTAACGTATTTTTAAGCACTTTTAGCACTGTTGTTACTCTATGAGGCACAAGCTTTCAACATAGTGGCCTTTTATTTTCTGCGCTTTTGGAGTGTGAGAACACCATAGAGGCTACACGCACCACGGCGTTTCTGTGGGCTGGGAATCAAGGCCTGGAGAAGGGGGTGGGCAGCCGGGAAGTGACAGTGCAGGGAGGGGGAGTTGGCAGCTGTCAAATGAATGCATTTCCCTCTTCTATTATCCTGCTATCCGAATGCTCCATCTATTCATATTCATGGTTTCCATCACTGTGCATAGCACCAAGGCCAGCTTCCTTTTCACATTTCATCTTCTTGTCTTTCTTGGAGTTTCATTTTGATTTACTAAAAATCAGTGGACTGCTTCTAAACAAGGATCAGCTAATAGAAACTGGAGGTAGTTGGTAGAGAATCTACTGGGAGGAATTTATTTACATACAAGAAGTTAAAGCCAAATGTATGTGGTAAGTTAACTTTTTGTTCATCCATTGTTAATTTCATTAATTTCCTACTAATCTAGTGATTAATTCCCCATGTAGGAAGACTATATTCACATTGCTAAGAGAAAGGAATAAGTAAAACATTTTATATTTTAATTACAAAGTAATATATATTTAATTTAGAACATATAAAACTACAAAAATTTAGGAAAGTACAGAAAAGAAATTAAAATCACCTGAAACTAGACATAATTATTAGTAAGTTCTGAGTTTATTTCTTTACAGTCAAATATGTATATATATTTTTTAGGAAATTGTGATAATTCTAGAAATTATTCTCATTGTCTTCTTATATTTGTATAATACTAAATCATAAATATTTTAATATCCTTAAATATTTTATTAAAGCTTTTCATATGTCTATATAGAATTCTATAGTATGGATACTCCATGATTTTTGGGAAGTTAGGTTTTTCTGAATTTAAATATTAAACAATGTTGTGATAAAGACATTCACAAGCTTTCACATCCAAGCTTTGTGGAAATCTATGCTTTTTCCTTAGGAAAATTTCCCAGAAGTGATTTGTGAGTCAAAAGGTAGTTGGCCTTTAAAGTAACCTCCACAAAGTTTGTAGGAATTGAAGCTCTCTGATGTATAAGAGCCCCAAACAGGGAGCTTTTCTAAGAATATCTTTCTGGGAAGCTACTCAGAATATTCTTTGACTGCTTTTGTCTAGATATTTTTACTCTATGAAGAAGACTAATCACTTGCTGGAGTTTCTTGGAATATAGGAAGAGGAGAATGGAATGCTGCCAACTTTGAAAATGTTTGGGAAAAGTGTGGGCCATATTAACCATCGTTTTAATTAACATTTGTTTTAGATCAAGAATGGAAAACCAACTCTTCTGGAGGAAAACATAAATGTCTGCTGGGGAACATGTATTTGCTTTGGGAACCCTTGGGACCAAGAAAATAAAATGCTTAATAACAACAGCATAATGAGGCTGTAGGAGTGCTGAAAGCATTAATTAATGAACAATTTTAAAGTTCTTCAGAAGCCCAGGGAGAGTTTAGAGTGGATGGATTCCTTTACTGACAAAGACTAATATGTTGGACTGCTTAGGCTGACTTGATTAAACCAGAGCTAAATTTTAAAACACACCTAATTACAGTTTCCCTATTTTAAATGGAATGCCTCATATTTATTGGAGTCCTATTATTCTATTGAGATGAACCACGGTTAACCACATCCATATTTTTTAATATTTAGGCTGTAGAACTAAACTTTTACATGTACCTGGAGAAGTTTAGAAGTTGACATTATACTGTCCTTACATGTGACGTCCCACTTTGCAACAAAAGAGCCATAGGAAGGCAGGCCCTGAACTGACCAATCGAATAACCTGAGAGTCTGATCAGAAGAATGCATGCTATGTAAATAGATCACGTTTGGGCAAGTGCTTCCTATTGCTGTCCATTGAAACTTAACACTTTCAGTGGTCCTTCTGAGTTTAACAGGTTTCTATCTCCTGGCAATAAAACCAGACTTTGCTATAGTGGTTTACTTGGCAAACTTAATCTCCACTTGTTCCTGCAGTAGGATTAAGCATGTAAACACAGCATGAGTTAATTGTAAAAATGGACACTGATGTGACAACTCAGTTGGAATACTTGCTGTATTTTGTCATACAAGTAATGAGAGTTTTTTTGCTCGTTTTTAGTGATATTGCTTACAGAACCTTTAAAGTGATTAGCATAGAGAGATAACGCTTCTATGTGCCTTAGAAGAGAATCTATGCTAATTATAACAGTATGCTGCCAGCATGATTGTTTTGTAAATGATGTTGTCCTAGTGATATGCTGGGAACTGTACTTACTGTTCCTCCAGGATAGGAGATGTCCCTTGAGAAAAGGGAGTTCTGGGTCTTTCTTTTGTGTGTTACAGTAAAGGGAACTCTTGAAACTTTATCTTTCTAAAGTGAATGTCCAGGATTAATCTTTCCTGATAGTTCTCTTGCCTGGATATCAAACAATAAAGCACTTAATACTCTCAATACTGGTAATATATGAAGTTAGTCCAGTAATTCGGAAACAGGAAGTTTGAACCCATTTAGACTTTAATACACTAACCAACAGTCATTTCCCTTAATTTCATTCATTACATGAATTTCATACATTCATGGATTCATTACTTTCTTCATTTGTTTACACATAGCCTGAATTGAGTGTCTGAATTGAATTCAGCAGTCCCTTGGGGCCATCAGGATGGGTTCCTTGTCTTCAAGGAGCTCCCAGCCTAGTGGAACAGGCATGGGAAAACTAATACAGTGTGGCACGAGCTATGGTGGAAATGTCCCTCAGGCATGCAGGAACAGGGATGGAGTAGCTAACCCTGCCTCACGGTCCCTCCTGACTCCCTCAGCTCCATTCATTTAATTAATTAATTTATTTATTTATTTATCTATTTATTTATTTATTTTGGAGACAGGGTCTCACTCTGTCACCAGGCTGGAGTGTGGTGGTACAATCATGGCTTACTGCAGCCTTGACTTCCAGGGCTCAAGTGATCCTTCTGCCTCAGCCTGCTGAATAGCTGAGACTGTAGGTGTATGCCACTGTGCCCAGCTGATTTTTAAAAATCACTTGTAGAGACAAGGTCTCACCAGGTTGCCCAGGCTGGTCTTGAACTCCTGGGCTCAAGTGATCCTCCCACCTCAGCCTCCTAAAGTGCTGGAATTACACTGTGAGCCACCTTGCCTGGCCCATTTTATTTTAATATATAGCAGTTTTTCCCAAGAACCTTGCCACTCTGATTGTGGCCCACAGACTAGCAGCATCAGCATCACCAGCAGTTCACTACACATGCATCACCTGAACCAGACCTGTTGAATCATAATTTGCATTTTAACAAGATCTTCAGGATCCAAAATTTGTCACATGACCACAACTCTTATGTGGAATAGGGGGAGGGGTGGCACTGTTACAAATGTATGTTCTTGGCAGGGCATGGTGGCTCACGCCTGTAATCCCAGCACTTAGGGAGGCCAAGGTGGGTAGATCACAAGATCAGGAGTTCGAGACCAGCCTGGCCAAAATGGTGAAACCCCGTCTCTATTAAAAATGCAAAAATTAGCCAGGTTTGGTGGTGCGTGCCTGTAGTCCCAGCTACTCAGGAGGCTGAGGCAGAAGAATCACTTAAACCCAGAGGGCGGAGGTTGCAGTGAGCCAAGATCGCGCCACTGCACTCCAGTATTGGGGAATCTGCCCTGATATTCACGTAGGTTCTTTTCTATTTTCCTTAAGCATCGGCCAGCTTGAGAAATAAAGGGACAGAGTACAAAAGAGAGAAATTTTAAAGCTGGGCATCCAAGGGAGACATCACATGTCGGTAGGGTCCATGATGCCCCACAAGCCGCAAAAACCAGCAAGTTTTTATTAGGGATTTTCAAAAGGGGAGGGAGTGTGCAAATAGGTGTGGGTCACAGACATCAAGTACTTTACAAGGCAATAGAATATCACAAGGCAAGTGGAGGCAGGGCGAGATCATAGGACCACAGGACCAGGGTGAAATTAAAATTGCTAATGAAGTTTCGGGCACCATTGTCATTGATAACATCTTATCAGGAGACAGGGTTTTGAGATCAACCGGTCTGACCAAAATTTATTAGGCAGGAATTTCCTCTTCCTAATAAGCCTGGGAGCACTATGGGAGACTGGGGTCTATTTCACCCCTGCAGTCTCAACCATAAGAGACAGGTGCACCTGGGTGGGGGCTGTTTATAAGCCTATACCTCCAGGTGCGTATTCTTTTTCCCAGGGATGTTCCATGCTGAGAAAAATAATTCAGCGATATTTCTCCCATTTGCTTTTGAAAGAAGAGAAAAATGGCTCTGTTCTGCCCGGCTCACCGGTGGTCAGAGTTTAAGGTTATCTCTCTTTTTTCCTAAACATTGCTGTTATCCTGTTCTTTTTTCAAGGTGCCCAGATTTCGTATTGCTCAAACACACATGCTGTACAATTTGTGCAATTAATGCAATTATTACAGGGTCCTGAGGCGATATACATCCTCCTCGGCTGACAGGATTAAGAGATTAAAGTAAAGACAGGCATAGGAAATCACAAGGGTATTGATTGGGGAAGTGACAAGTGTCCATGAAATTTTTTTTTTTTGAGATGGAGTCTCGCTCAGTCGCCCAGGCTGGAATGCAGTGGCGGGATCTCAGCTCACTGCAACCTTCACCTCCCAGGTTCACGCCATTCTCCTGCCTCAGCCTCCCGAGTAGCTGGGACTACAGGCACCCACTACGATGCCTGGCTAATTTTCTTGTATTTTTAGTAGAGACAGGGTTTCACCATGTTAGCCAGGATGGTCTCGATCTTCTGACCTCGTGATCCTCCCGTCTCGGCCTCCCAAAGTGCTGGGATTACAGGTGTGAGCCACCACGACCAGCCTGAAATCTTTACAATTTATGTTTAGAGATTGCAGTAAAGACAGGCATAAGAAATTATAAAAGTATTAATTTGGGGAACTAATAAATGTCCATGAAATCTTCACAATCCACGTTCTTCTGTCATGGCTTCAGCCGGTCCCTCCGTTTGGGGTCCCTGACTTCCCACAACACTCCAGCCTGGGTGACAGAGCAAGATTCTGTCTCAAAAAACCAAACAAAACAAAAAATCCCAAATGTATGTTCTTACATACATTGAGCAGAGTGAGCCCACTCTTGATCAAGGTGTACTGGAATGATTTAGTAATAATAGCTTCCTTTATTATGTGTCTATTGCTTGCCAAGTGTGGCTGCTAAGTAGCTTAGTATATGATCTTACTCATTTCCTTCTACAGCCTGTAAGATAGGAATACTTATCCCCATTTTGCACCCTAGAAATCAGACGTTCATAGAAGTTAAGGGATATGTCCAGGCCACACAGCAAATAATAGCTGAACCAGAATTTAAATGCAGGATTGCTTTGTTCCAAAGCGTTGCCCTTTCCCCTGCAGTACCCACACAGACTCCCAAACATTGGAGACATATCCCTGAAAGCATGCTTCATACTTAGTTTCTTTTTATCTGTCAGCTTCATGACAGAAAGTTAGTACATTAAACCCAAATAGCTCTAAAACTGGAGTTAATTACCTTCTGCTCCAGATGCAATTAGTAATTGCTGTAAACCTGCTAGCATGATGCCTGGCAGTTATCAGTTCCCAGATGCAGTTTTGGTAAATGGTTAAATCCTATTGGTCTGCTAATTTATGGTGCTAGATGCTAGATGAATTTCATTTCTGAAAACCTTTAGGTAGACCTCATCTTGAGAGTCACTTGGGCAGCATTTCGCTGGCAGACTACCTGTTTGATACCTGGGCCTATTTCTTTGCTGTGGAATACATTTTGCTCAGGGAATGCTTGGTAAATCCATTCTTTAGTGTTTTAAAAAATCTTTATTCTTAGGGTTTATTTTTCTTGTCAAGTTTTTTCTATTTAATCTTTTCTATTCAATTAAAGGAAAATTGTGACATTTTATGATCATTATAATGAGTGTGAACCTTATGCAGATATATGAAGAAAAAAGTTAATCTCTTCCGTAATCCCCCTTCATTTTTACCCCACAGTGGGAACCAGCATCCACAAATTGGCTCATATTTTTCCACAACTTTCTCCTTCCTCATACAAACAGGCACAAACAGCAATGTGCAAATACCCTGCAATTTGCTCTTAAGATGTCATGGACATCCCTCTCTACTCTCAAATCTCATTTGCAAAATTCTTTCTTCTTCACTACAAGGATTCTCAATTTGAGCAGCGAAGTGAGTAAACTACTTTCCATTTAGGTATCTCAGACAAGACTTTAAAAGAGATATGCCTATAAAAGTAGTGATATCAAATAAAGGTGCTTAGAACATAGGCAAATTCCTATATTGATTTTTGTTGTTGTTGTTGTTGAGACAGAGTCTTGCTCTGTCGCCCAGGCTGGAGTGCAGTGGTGCGATCTCGGCTCACTGCAAGCTCCGCCTTCCTGGTTCACGCCATTCTCCTGCCTCAGCCTCCCAAGTAGCTGGGACTACAGGCGCCTGCCACCACGCCCAGCTAATTTTTTGTATTTTTAGTAGAGATGGGGTTTCACCATGTTAGCCAGGATGGTCTCAATCTCCTGACCTTGTGATCTGCCTGCTCGGCCTCCCAAAGTGCTGGGATTACAGGCATGAGCCACCGTGCCCAACCACCTATATTGATTTTTAAGGAATTATCTTTCTAATTTAGAATATGGAAAAAGAATGGTTGATACAGATATATGTCTTTTTTTAATCTCTGAAAATAAAAAGTTTGACCATTTTTTGGACAGAAAATAGACTTATTATGGCAAATTCAACATGGGCCCCAAAATGCTGTAACAGTACACTGCACACTCATTTCTCCTTGTCGGTGGCTGTGCTCTCTTGCACAACTTCAAAGCCTCCCATCATCTGTGGAGAAAACTTTTTTTTCTTAGTGAATAGCATGAATACACTTCCTTTTTCTCTTTTTCTAACCTTCTGGCTTATGTGGAACTTGTGCCAAATTCCTCATCATGAAGGCATCTGATTTATATTTTGACAACAGTGATAGCTTCAAATGAACAGTTGTAAATAATATGTCTTCTTCTTTTTAGTTATGGATTGCATATTAATTTTAACCAAACTACATAATTATCTCATCGTTCCGAAGAAATAATATATACAAAGGAGGATTTTTTTAAAGTATGAGACACTAGGACCGTTTGTTGCAATTATTATCACTATTATTATCATCTTCCTCTGTCCTGGTATCCTTTATTTTCTGAATTAAAAAAAAAAAAGGCTGTATGATGTGCTATCTAGGGCTTTGATAAATACTCTTTTTATTCTGGTAGGTGTCATTGTTGTTACATTTCTCCTTCGAATTTGCTTTTCTGGGCTTTCCTCAGACCCTCTTTTAAGCTACCCATTGTGCCTACAGCATCGATGGTATTTATTATGTTAAAAATGATTCTAGTTTCACGTGGCTACATTTTATTGGTGCTAAAAGCATCAAGGTCCAGTGTAAAGAGCACTGGAGTGAGAGTCAAGAAACCTAATTAGGTGGGCTTTGGAGTTGTTTTGCTGTAGGACCTTACGGCAAGTCAAGGAACCCATCTGGACCTCCTCTCCCACTCCTTACTCCCAGCTCCTGAGCCACCCTAGGTTCCTCCCCAAGAGAACAGGTGCTTTCACACTACATGTCTTTGCACATGCTGTTTCCACTGCTTCAAATGCCCTTTCTTGTCTCCTACCAGACAAATTCCTATTCATCTTTAAATGGCCCACATTCAAATCTCATCTCCTGTGGGAAACTCTTCTTGAGTCCCTCTCTCAAACACTATTAGTTGCTTCTTAATCTGCAAGGAATCTCATAATTCCACAAACACACATAATAATACTTTTAATATTTTATTGCAGGGGTGTGAGTGTGTGTGTCTGTGTCTAATCTCTCTCACTAAACCATGAGCACCTTTAGGACAAGAACTGTGTCTCATTCATCTTTTTCTCCCCAGGGTCTAGAACTTCGCCTGATACGTGGTAGGTCCTCTATACCTGTTGGCTCACTGAAGGCATGAGCCTTAGTTCACCCATCTGTAGTAGGGGGATTGGACCATATGCTGTTAAAGTAATGCTATGGAATTCTATGTTTTTACAGAGAGCTCGAACAAGAGGCCCAGCCAGGTGATGCTTTGTGTGTGCAATGCAGAGGGGAAGTGTGTTGATGGATTGAAATTTGGCTGCATCACCATTTCAAAACAGTGGGCAAAAGAGGCACATTGGCTCTTTTGAACTTTAAGTAGCTGTCCTAATATCTTGTTTCACCACCTTAAAGAATATTTACTATATATGTGAATGAATCCATAAACAATATAAAGTCAAGTTTAATAGTTGTTTTGTTTTTTAGCTTATGTGACTGTTTTAGAGATACATTTGTGTTAATAACATAAGAAGTTAGTTTGTGTATTCTTGTATAGGTGGACATTACTTGGCATATGATAATGAGCCTTAGTGCCCTGTTGGACCAAAAAAAAAAAAAGATTATTTCCTTATCTGGTGTGATGTTTCCCTCTAGGGGCCTGTTTCCAGCCAGGAAAATTTGTGCTTCTACTTGTAGCTCCAGTGCCCTGGAAGCTACCTCCAACCCCCATCACCCACATACGTGGTTAGCCTTTATCTTCCGATTAGGGAAATTTATGCCTCACCACCTCCATCACAGGCAGCATTGTATACCAGCAACATAGCCTTTCTCTCTTTCCATAGTGAGAGAAATTAGCTTAGTGAATTTTTGGAAAATTTCAAGGCAAGTGTGGCTTGAGCTCAAGATGAGGGAGTTAACTCCCACCATACTTGTTTTTGACTGAAGTCTATTTTACTGCTTTTTAAGAGTGAGAGCTCAGGATTAGCAGCTGCTGGGTATAAGTCTAAGGTCTGACAGAAGCCTTTGCAGAGACACCTGCTGCTTTCAGGACTGCCTGGGACTGAGGGAATCCCCCACACAAAAGGCTTCTGTTGGATTTCTATGTGTAGTTGAGAATGCTTAAATGACAAGGGAAGAAAACCACAAGTGAAAGGGAAAGACGGACTAGGAGAAGTAAATGGAAATACGGTTGACAAAAGGCTATGCCAGTGCAAAAAGTGAGTATGAAGCACCAGCGAAAAGCTGGAAAGCAAACTCAAAATGGCTAGGAAGAAGACCAGGCGGCAGTATCCACATTTTCTAAAACTACCGTGGGAGCCATGATTATCTAAAATCCCCGCTAGATATTATCACTTGAAACATCATGTCTCACTCTTTTAGTCTGTGTAAGTTACCAGTCCTTCCAGAATAAGTAGGAACAATTCTGAGCCCCTGGCATGTAATGGTATAGCCCTATGCCAGTCAATTTGTCAGCCCTGGCACAACATAAGTGAATACAGGCAGCCTTGAAATGTGTACGTTATGTAAGCTGCACTTTCTCCTTTCTGTGCTGACCACATTCCATAGTGTTCTAGATAAGCAAAGGGGCATCCTGTTTGGTTGTCAGTGCTACTCGATGGGTATGCCATGACCCCTTTAGAGATGTGACACCAGGCAGGGCGCAGTGGCTCACACCTGTAATCCCAGCACTTTGGCAGGCGGAGATGGGTAGACCACGTAAGGTCAGGAGTTCGAGACCAGCCTGGCCAATGTGGTGAAACCCTGTCTCTACTAAAAATACAAAAGTTAGCCGAGTGTGGTGGCGCTTGCCTGTAATCCCAGCTACTCAGGAGGCTGAGGCAGGAGAATTGTTTGAACCTGGGAGGCAGAGGCTGCAGTAAGCCAAGATTGCACCACTGCACTCCAGCCTGGGCAACAGAGCGAGACACCATCTCAAAAATAAATAAATAAATATAAAAAGAGAGATGTGATACCAATCTTGGATCTCTGTGTAAAACATTATGTTTGCAGTGTACCTTGATATCCACTGGGGTGAATGTTGTGCTGAGTTGGGTGATATGGTTGGAGTTCTGAGTTACCGTTACCCTTGCTGCTACTACAGCAGTTTTCACAAGTTAGAGCTAAATGCAAGAAAAGTCTCTCTGTATTCTGCCTGATGCTGTCCCTCCTCTGCCTCCCATGGATACAACATAATAGGAAACAGCTAGTTGTTTGCAGACTTCCAGCTGCAGGGGAAACACAGAGAAATGTAGTAGGGCAGGTTTGAGGCTGAAACAGCAGATAAATAATCATCATGATGGTCACCTGACTCAAGGGGAGCCAGTCTGCATACTGGCAGACCTAGGGACTGGCCTGCCTTGAAAATCCCTGTCCATTCAGGGACACATTGTCCCAATAGGTTATTTCTCTCAGAAGTTTGGTTTTGGAAGTAAAGATTATCAGACAGTCAGAAGTGAAATCTACAAGGATGCACACAAAAGACCATGAGCAAGACCAAGTTAAGAGAAGGCAGAAGCCATGATGATAGCATAGCAGAATCAATAAGCAGAGAAGAGACCATAGCATCAGGGTGAGAAAGATGTACATGAAGAATCTATGGAAATAGTTGAGTCATTTTAATGGCATACGCAAAAGTGAAAAATCTTCGAACTCTTGCTTCTAAGGGTCAGGTGGCCAAGCAGCCCCTAAGGAGCAGCTTAGAATAGAAAGCTACTAGATCAGCTGGAAAGGAAATAATGAACCCAAATGTACCTATCTAGTTTATTACTCGTGGTACATCAGGCAGCATGAGCATTATGTCTGCATCATCAGTTCTCCCTGGCCCCCCAGGTCTCATGGAGGTGATGGGGATGTGGGCCTAGGTGGATACTGTGCACATAGGGGTCTGTTTCACAGCTGAGCAACACTGAGCTTTAGAAAACCCCAATTTTATAAGGAGACATGCCTATCCTCCCCTCCAGAGACGGCTGATTCCAGGGTAATAAAGCTTATTACCCTGGAATGTAAACCGATCTCTGGGCAGGGGATGTTCTCTGTCTTTACTATGCTAGTCAGGAAACACATGTGCCTTCTGATCTGCAGGGGAACACTATCTTTAGTTTCCTAGGCTGTTTGCTATGCAAATATCCCAGAAAATATAGTCTGGCATGACTTATAGAAACGTTATGGAGAATTGCCTCCCAACGCTAAGAATTATTTATTTATTTTATTTATTTATTTATTTATTTTTGAGACAGAATCTTACTGTGTTGCCCAGGCTGGAGTGCAATGGTGAGACCTTGGCTCACTGCAACCTTCACCTCCCAGGTTCAAGTGATTCTCGTTCCTCAGCCTCCTGAGTAGCTGGAATTACAGACATGTGACACCACACCCAGCTAATTTTTGTATTTTTAGTAGAGGTGAGGTTTCACCATGTTGGCCAGGCTGGTCTTGAACCCCTGGCCTCAAGTGATCCATCTGCCTCAGCCTCCCAAAGTGCTGGCATTACAAGCGTGAGCCACCACGCCCAGCCCCAACACTAAGCATTCTTAAGCTGCCTTGAGTCTTTCCACTTTATACATGGCCAAGTCCTGTTTTAACTCCTGTTTAGATTCATATGAACCTCATATTTTCTTTATTCCCATTAAATTCTTAAAGCACCACTTCTCCCCACAGTCACACTAGCCTGGGTGGATTTCTGCTTCTCATCTCTAGAAGGCCAGAGCTAACTAACATAAAGCTGGAAAATTAGATTGTAATCAGAATGCGGGCCCTTGAATGCCAGGTGAAAGTTTTAATCGAATATGAAACCCTGACACTTGGATGCCACAGGACTAGCTTTAGTTAGGCTTGATCCACTTATGCGTCTGTTCATTTGGGATGTGATTACTCAAGACACAGGAAGTTATTCTATTCATTGCCTCCATAATGCTTTGAAGGGTGCTTCAAATTTGAGCCAGAGGCAGAAGTGATCAATTTTCTATCCTATTAATTGTTTGGATTTCTTGTTCCAGATCTTCTTCTTAAAAGTCTTAATAGATTTCATCAAATGAAACTTTAGATAGGTATTGGCTTACAGGTTTACACACAGGTCTTCTCACTTACCGGTCCTCCTGCGTTGGAAGTTCTTCATACTCTTTGACTTGCTTCTAATACTGCCACCCTGAATCCTTCTAGTCTCTGTGCACAAGTATCTTCATCAAAGAGGCATTCCTGGTCCACCATCGAAACTAGCTCTTGCCCGTTGTCCTGTCTTGTGGCACTTGCTCTTTTCATTCTTGGCACACAGCACAATTTGTAATTGTACATCATGTATGTGTGTTTAATGGCTTCTCCCCCAACAGACTGTAAGCTCCACTAAGAGAAGAGTTATATCTTTCATTCATTACAGAAAACCCAGCCTAGTGTACCAAGTGCTCAAGAAATATTGATTGAACAAATTATAGATTTTTGACTCTCTTTGTAAAAAGTCTTGAATAGTTCAGCTCAGTGAGTTTGCACTTATGTGGTTAGCAATAGTGTTGGTGAGTTTTATACATACAGGACTTAACATCATTAGATAGTGTTTTGTTTCTGCCATTTTTTTCCTATTACAAAAGGAATATAATCTCAATGCCTTTAACTCAATAAACACAGAAGAGAACAAGGGGGAAAAATTGATATCATGGTAATTCTGCTGTTGACATTTTGTAGAGCTGTGTTTTAAAGAAGAGTAATTTTCCATGAGGGTAGAGAGGGAAGAGAATGTAGGATGTAAAATCAGTTTGAGATGGTCCACACAAAAGTCGATATGAAAGTGAAATGTAAAGCAGGAGCCATTGGAGTGCAAAGAAAGGGGCTAATATTGGAGACATTCCAGAGACAGAATCAGTGAGATTTGCCCAAGGCAATGCTGACATTTGGGGCTTTGTGATTGGGAGACAGATGTAGCTCTTAACAGAAATAGTGGTGTTGGAGAGGCCTTGAGTCCTAGAAAGGAAATAGGCTTTAGAGCCAGCAGAGGTGGGTTTCAGTTCTGGTTCTGCAAGCAAGTCACCTAACCTCAGTGAACCCATTTCCTTCCTGTGTAAAATGAGCTCCACAGTCCCTACCTTGCCAGGTTGTTGTTGGGTAAGTTACTTAACCTTTCTCAGCTTCTTTATCTGTTAAGATAGGAATAATAACAGTACTTACCTCATGGGTTGTTTCGAGGATTAAATGAGTTAATATTGTAGAATAAGTGATATATAGAAGTATTTGCTATGATCCTTGTTGTTATTGATATATTATCAATATATGGACTGGATGCCCTTGAGACATCCAGCTGAAACTGTCCATCTGGCCACGCAAAACACTTGTCTCGAACTTGGATCCGTGGTCTGTTTAAAAATACTGGCAAGGCCAATTTTCCGGGGTGGTTCATGTGTTGTCAGGGTTAAAGGCTGGGAGTCAAGTTTCCATTAACTGAGGTATAATGGTCACTGTACTCCATGTCCCAGAGTCCCCTTCTAAAGTGGATACCTCAACCTGACTGTGTGGATGTAGTTTACTAGCTGGTACCCTGGTGAGCTCATGCCTGGGTTTGACAGCCTGCAGAAAAAGCCTGAGGATGCATGGAACGCTGAGTTCTCAGGGCAGGGTAGAGGAGGCCGGGGGTCGGGGGGTTGATTTGTGCAAGCACCAAACCCACAGGGCAGGTGCAAGGCTCAGGAGGTGGGCAGACATGAAATGCACAGGAACAAGCAAACAGAAGGGAATTATCCTGGGACTGCTATTCATGAAGCCTTTATGGTGGCCCTTTAATGTGGATAGGTTAAAGTGACTCGAAGGTTGAAGGCTAACAAAATATTTTCAAATTCTTTATGCTTTTTATTTAAAGTAAAAATAAATGAAAAATAATGCACTTCAGTTTGCTCTCTTCTTACTGCCTCCCACTCATCAGTTTTGCACAGGGAGAAATGTCCACTTGCCATGGCTTCTTACTCCCGCCTGAGTTTTTTGTTTTGTTTTTAGCATAGACCCATTATAACTGAAAGCAAACAGCCCACCTTCTCAACCCCCTACATGGCAGACAGGGGGCTGCTGTGGAAATGCTGGGAGACCTTGTTAGATCAGTGTCTTCTGTGATGGCTGTTTATTATCTCTTCCCGTTTTTCTCTGAGTTAATGGGATCCTCTGAATGGGAGCCCTTAGAAAGACTCCTGATCACTTCTATGTTCAACTCACCCTCAGCTCCAGACAACTGTGATAGGACCTGCATTTTGAGAAGAGCATATATTATGAAATGCAGGTAACAATTCTCACTTGGGGCATCCCTGCCCCTCAAAGATGCAGGAAGAACTTGGCCTGAACCCCAATGCTTGGCATCATAAGCTCGTTATGGGCCCTCACCCTGCCCTGGCACTCCTTAGTGGCTCTGTCACCTGGACTCAAACCCTTATCCCCTACAAGAAATCCAGTGGAAAGCAGCATTTTCCAGAGTCTGTAGCTTTTTTGAAGATTTCATTCATGAAGGGCGAGCAGCAGCAAATGGACCACTCAGCTGTGACACACCCTCTGCCATTTCCCCCTACGTCGCTTCACATCCTATTAATACCAGCTCTCTTTGCACCCTCCTGCTGTACATGGGACCAGGTCTTTTAAGATTTTCTGAGGCCTTAGTTCCTCTTCTGCCCACGAGCATACCAAACATAACAACGTGCACCCACACCTCACATTAAATATAATCTGTGCAGCAAGCGATGAAAAGCACCTTTATAATTGGGCCTTTGAAATCATTTGACTGTAAGTATGTCATTCAATTTATGATTAGCTCTGTTTTCTCAGGAGCTATGCAGTCAAGAATTCTTAAAAAGAAAGTCAGCTTAACTTACTAATTGTTTTCATGCACAAGAAAATATTTTTAAAATATTTTGAAACAAAATGTTATTGAAATTTGTTAGATTTAACAATGAAAGAAGTACCATATATTGGCCGGGCGCGGTGGCTCACGCCTGTAATCCCAGCACTTTGGGAGGCCGAGGCGGGCGGATCACAAAGTCAGGAGATCAAGATCATTCTGGCTAACACGGTGAAACCCCGTTTCTATTAAAAATACAAAAAATTAGCCAGGTGTGGCAGCGGGCGCCTGTAGTCCCAGCTACTCGGGAGGCTGAGGCGGGAGAATGGCGTGAACCCGGGAGGCGGAGCTTGCAGTGAGCCAAGATGGCGCCACTACACTCCAGCCTGGGCGACAGAGCAAGACTCCGTCTCAAAAAAAAAAAAAAAAAAAAAAAAAGTACCGTATATTTGTAGACATTTACTTAAACATTTGGTAATTGTCATGTTTATCTCTTTGTATTTTGGAAACAATTATCTCTTTTAAGCCCTCAAATATGTATGTGCACCTCTTAAAGATATTAAACTGCAAGCGCTGTAGCTATGTTTTCCAGTGGATAAGACAGGTTAGCAGGAGGCCTGTTCAAGGCAAGATACTCTAGGAAAAGAGTCCAGTCCTTATCCTGGCTTCATTTCTCTCCAGAAGCAGCCTTATCAGGCCAACCCATTTTCCCCATGTGCCTTCTGATGAATACAATTTTCTTTGTCTCATTACACAAATTTTTGCAGAGTACAACCAAACTTAAAAACGGCCATGTGGTGCATTCCTTATACAGGGATTTTGTCAGGAACCTCAAGCAACTTTTAGAGAATGCTTCACTTGGAAAGGGTTTGGTGGGAAGTACAGATGGGGAGATAAAGACATCTGGGCAGGCCACCAGCACGGGCAATGGTGTAGAGGCAGAGGTTGAGATGCAACTGAGCCAGGTCTGAAAAGCCTTGGAAGCCACACTGAACATTTGAGACCTTACCTCATAGTAAGGTCTATGGGGAAGAACTGACATTCCAGGAACTGGCTCAAAGAGTAACTTAAGGTGAATGTTGTGGATTTTTCTTTTCCTTTCTCTTCTTCCTCCTCTCCATTCTTTTAGGCACAGAGCATTCCTTTTAACATTGCCGTTTTTCTTAATAGCTAGATAAGCCCAGGTATCCAGTAAGCCCCCAAAGGAGACTTGGTGTAAGCAGACCTGGTGGAACAAACATCCAGACCATCCAGACATTATTATGAGTTTTGAGTGGCCAGTGGGGCTCCATGTGCTTTATGTTTGGATTATTTAATGTTTTTCCCGTCCTTTAATGTTAGGTCTCTTCAGCCAAATGATAAGGTTGAACAGGGCGGAAATTACAGGGTGGGGATCACAGTGGCGTTTTAGCATAAGCCTTCGCTTCCATTCATGTTTCAGTGGTTTGAAAGAGTTGTTTTTTTATTCCACCCTTTTGCTTTATGTTTTTTTGTTTTTGCATTTTATTTACCGTGCTTTTCGTTCATTTGTTTCATCTTATCTCTTTTCTTCCCTCCACTGGATCAATAGCATTTTATTTCCTTTTTTCAGTGTTTGCTTTTTAAAAAAAAATTCATGGCTGATGTTTAAAATTCTGATTTCCCATAAAACTCCGAGTTCCCAGGTTTTTGAAAGTTAACATATGTGACATTGGACTGTATTCCCACATGGCAACGATCTGTAAGAACTACCTTCCTTAGGCTGGGCGCGGTGGCTCACGCCTGTAATCCTTGCACTTTGGGAGGCCGAGGCGGGCAGATCATGAGGTCAGGAGATCGAGACCATCCTGGCTAACACAGTGAAACCCCATCTCTACTAAAAATACAAAAAATTAGCTGGGCATGGTGGCGGGCGCCTGTAGTCCCAGCTACTTGGGAGGCTGAGGCAGGAGAGTGGCATAAACCTGGGAGGCGGAGCTTGCAGTGAGCCGAGATCACGCCACTGTACTCCTGCACTCCAGCCTGGGCGACAGAGCTAGACTCCGTCTCAAAAAAAAAAAAAAACAAAAAAAACAAAAAAAAAAAAACTACCTTCCTTAGACAGGTACACGCTTACCAGTTTACCCCAGGCGCCACCACACTCTATTGTCTCCCTGACCCTGAGGAGACATCAGTTGTGGTTATTTGGGTTGTTGCTTTCCTACACCTGGCTGTTTACTCAGTTATGTGACCTACTCTGCCCCAGTAAGCATTTCAGTTTGCCATCATCTTTTAGCTGGAGCATTTAGTTGATTTACATTTGTTATAATTAACTGTACCGATATATTTTAGTCCATATCTGCTGGAGTCTTTTGTGCTGTTTGTTGCACAGTTTCTATGTTTCTTCTCGCCTTTTTTGTCTTTTTATGGATGAGCGAGTTCATTGTCTCACTCTGTTTTTTCTTCTGCACCACTCTGAAAGGCATACTGTTTTATTCTTTCAGAGATTAGCCTAGTAATTATAGCATGCGTCTTTAACTTACTAAATTCTAAAGTGATCAATAGTTTTACCTTCCTTTGAATAACACCCTTCTTATTTATCCCTCCCCGCAATTCTTACACTAGTCTTTTGAGTATTTTAAGTCTATATAATTTTTCAAACTCCACAAGGCATCGTTTCTTTTATTCTTTTATAGAGTCAGTGCTTGTATTGATTTACTTATATATTTATCATTTTCTGTTCTCTTAATTCTTTCTTATATTCTTACATCCTTAAAATTCCTTCTTTTTTTCATATTTTGTCTGTATATGTCTCATTTGAGTATTCTTTTTCCCCCTTTCCTTTCTTCTACTACTTTAGAAGTTATACAATTCTGCCTAGGCACGGTGGCTCACGCCTGTAATCCCAGCACTTTGGAAGGCCCAGGCAGGCAGATCAAGAGATCAAGACCATCCTGGCCAACATGGTGAAACCCTGTCTCTACTAAAAATACAAAAATTAGCTGGGGCCAGGCACGGTGGCTCACATCTGTAATCCTAGCACTTTGGGAGGCTGAGGCAGTCGGATCACAAGGTCAGGAGATCAAGACCATCCTGGCTAACATTGTGAAACCCCGTCTCTACTAAAAAATGCAAAAAATTAGCCGAGCATGGTGGCGGGTGCCTGTAGTCCCAGCTACTCCGGAGGCTGAGGCAGGAGAATGGCGTGAACCCAGGAGGCGGAGCTTGCAGTGAGCCGAGATCGCGTCACTGCACTCCAGCCTGGGTGACAGAGCGAGACTCCGTCTCAAAAAAAAAAAAAAATAGCTGGGCATGGTGGCATGTGCCTGTAGTCCCAGTTACTTGAGAGACTGAGGCAGGAGGCAGAGGTTGCAGTTGCAGTGAGCCGAGATTGCGCCACACTCCAGCCTGGGCAACAGAGTGAGACTCTGTCTCAAAGAAAAAAAAAAGTTATGCATTCTATTTCTTCTCTCCCATTTCCTTCCTCATTTCCCCTGAAAATATTATATGAATAATATGAATGCTTAGCCTTTTTTTTTTTTTTTTAAAGAGACAGTATCTTGCTCTGTTGCCCAGGCTGAAGTGCAGTAGTGCAGTCATAGCTCACTGTTACCTTGAATTCCTGGGCTAAAGCAATTCTCCTGCCTCAGCTTCTCAAGTAGCTAGGACTATAGATACGTACCACCACATCCAGCTAATTTTTAAAACTTTTTGTAGAGACTAGGTCTCACTATGTTGCCCAGGCTGGCCTTAAACTCCTGGCCTGAAGCAAACCTCCTGCCTTGGCCTCCCAAAGCACGAGCTTAGCTTTTAAAAAGTTTTAAGTTATTCAAAATTTCTATTCCCCTATCACGTAATGCAAGGGCCATAGAGTACTTTAAGTTAATCACTCTTTCATATTATTGCTATCTGATGTTTTAGTTTCAAGTTGTTTATAATGCCTTTCCCTATTAATCTTAAAAATTTTTTTTGAGTAGGGGTGTTTATAAATATACTAACATGTTTGTCTTCTTTGCTTATCATTGCTTATTTATCTTTTTCTTAGTTTCCTTCATATCGAAGTTATTATTCTTTAATATTTCTTTCAGCAAGGGTCTATGAATTGGATAGTCTCTCTTTTTTGGTATGAATATGTTTTTATTTCACCCTCTGTTTGAATATGTCTCCTAAAATTCATGTGCTAGAAACTTAATCCTCAATGCATCAGTGTTGAGAGGTGGGAAGTTTAAGAGGTGATTAGGTCCTGAAGGTTCTGCCCTCATGAATGGATTAATGCCATTATCATGGGAGTAAGTTCATTGTAGTAGGAGTGGGTTTGTTATTAAAGGAAGGGGTTTCTTATAAAGGATGAGTTTAGCCTCCTTCCCTCTCTCTCTCTTGCCCATATGATGCCTTCTGCCATGATGTGACAGTAGTTGCTGGTGCCTTGCTCTTGGACTTCCCAGCCTCCAGACCTGTGAGGAAATAAATTTCTGTTCTGTGTAAATTAGTCTGTGTTATTCTGTTATAGCAGCGTAAAACAGGTTAAAATACCCCCATTTTTGAGCAGCAACTTAATTAGGTATAGAATATTAGTTTGACAGGTTTTTTTATTACCACTTTGAATGTCATTTCATTATCATCTGGCCTCTGTATTATTGATGAAAAGTCCACCACCAATCTAATTGCCATTATTAAGTTTGTAATTTATCTTTTTCTCTCTGGTTGCTTGTATGACTTTCTCTTTGGTGCTAGTGTTCTGCCATTTACCGCTGTGTGTGTGTGTGTGTGTGTGTGTGTGTGTGTGTGTGTGTGTCTTTTTAATCCTGCTTGGGACTTGTAATTTTCTAAATCAAGAACATATGTATTGCTTTAATGCTATTAAATTCTCAGCTTTTATCATTTCAGTATTGCCACTCTCACATAACCTACTCCTTCTCCAGAACTTCAATTAAATGTGTTTTATTTCCCCAATTTACTCTCTGTGTTTATAACCTCTCTTTCACATTTTTTGATCCCTTTTTTCTTTCTCTGCTCCATTCAGAACACTTCTTTAGACCCATCTTTCATGATGGTAATTCTCTTTTCAGCTGTATCTAATATGCAATTTAACATGTTTTTCTCATCTTTAAGAATTCAAATTAGTTCTTTTTTTCAAAGTTGCCCTTTGTTCATAAAGGATGGTTCTTTTATTATGGTTTTTATTCCTTCTTTTATGTTAAAAAAAACTTTTAAACGTAATTAGCTTATAGATCCTGTCAGATTATTCTCTTACTGTAAGTTCTTAGAGGTGCTAATTCTTCTGCTCATTGTGTACGTGGCTTCTCCTTCTGACTGGCTTCATTCTTTGTGGGTTTATTCAGCAGGAATTGTTTATTCTGAGGGAGTCTTGTAGGTCCTGAGTTATGAAAATATTTCTACAGAACAATTTGAGTTTGCTTCTTCCCTGGTTCTGGGAACATTTTTATAGTGATCTATTAGTTCAAGATACTTACACAGCCTAAACAATGTAAATTTGTGCAACACACTTGTGCATGACATAGGCTTGGTGTTCTATTTAGTTTTTTTAATCGGATGCATTTTTTTTCACCCTGATACTGGAGCACAATTCAGACTTACTTCCCCCTTCCCTGAGCTACTTGGAGCAGTGGTAGTTCTTCTAGTCCTGTTTTTATGTAAATGGATATTTTGAAGAATTCTGACTTGATGCAGTTATGTCAGTTCCAGCATCTTACCTTGCATGAGCCTTGGGCCATGTCACCTGTTCTCAAATGGGCATCCCAGCCCTAAACCCCTAAGCAGCTGTATCCAGATTCAACACCCCTCTGGGTGATAGCAGTATTTGCTCTCATTCTTATTGGTTTAGCTTTGGATTCTGGCTTCATTTCTGGCCTGCATTAAGAAGAACAGTTATGTCTTACAGGTATATGAGGTACATTCTTGTGATGGCTGCCATGGCTTATATTTTGGAACTGAAAGAGGATCTGGGTAAATTCAGACTGACATTTTTAATGTAAATTAATTCACTCACAAACCATTTATTGGCCACCTATCATGTTCCTGACTTTGTCATAGGTGCTGGGGCACAACAATAAATAACACTGTGTCTTTGCTCCTGTATAGTTTACATTCTCATGGGAAAGACAAAACAAACAATAAGTAAAACATATAGTAAAATCAGCTGGAGCGATGAAGAAAATTAAAGCAGGAGAATGGGAGAGAGAGGGACTGGTTTGGGTCATGTGCTTTATTAGGGTGGCAAAGGAAACCTCTCTGAGGAGTGACCTTTGAGCACAGGCTTACATGCAGTAATGAAGAATCATGCTGGTATCTGGGGTGTGAGTCCGTTTTCTCCAAGAAGCATTACGCCAAGGCAGGATTGGCTATGCAAGAGATTTATTAAGGCAACTCCTGTGAGCAAGAGTGAGGTCAAGGAAACAATGAAAATGTGGGGCTCCTTGTTCAAAATAACATTAAGAATTCCAAGATGGCTGCAGAGGAGTATTCAACCAAGCACAGAGCCCTTTTGAATGCCCTGTCTGACTATGAGGGAAAGTAGGAGTGAGCTGCTGGGAGCTCGGGAGACTCCTCTGATTGTGATGCAGGTCTGACCCCAGGTGAAGAAGACGGGAGGGAGGAGGGTGAGCGGAAGCATCCTACAGGGCTGTGCTGTTTCAAGAGAGCCTGGATCTCTTGGAGGAGTCTTTGAGTCCAAGCCACCTCTTAGGTAAGTTTTCATCTCCCAGGAATAGGTTTGCATCACTATGCCTGCCATGCTCAGTCACTATCTAGGAGTAGCCTGTGAGAAATGTGGCTTCAGCACAAATGCAGAGATGGATTTCAGAGCACAGCAGCTGTAACTCCTAGCCAGTAATACTCCTTGTAAGTTGGATGTCTACAAGGCATAGTCTCATGGCAGCCACACTGGGTAAAGAGCTTTTCAGGAAGAGGGGACAGTGATTGCAAAGGCAGTTGTTTTGGGGTTGAATTATGTTCCCCATCCCAAATTCATATGTAGAATTCCTAACCTGCAATACCTTTTAACATGACCTTATTTGAAAACAGGGTTATTGCAGAAAATAATCAGTTAACATGAGGTCATACTGGAGTCGGGTGGGCCTCTAATCTAAAATGACTGCTATCCTCATAAAAAGGGAAAATTTGGAGATAGACATACACACAGGAAGGATAACTTGTGAAGATGAAGGTAGAGATTGAGGTGCTGAGTCTACAAGCCAAGGAACACTGAAGATACCAAAAAACCCCACCAGAAACAAAGACGGAAACATGAAACAGATTTCTCCCTAGTGCCTTCAGAGAAAGCATTGCCCAGCCAACACCTTGATTTCAGATTTCTTGTCTCCAAAACTGAGACAGTACATTTCTATTCTTTAAGCCACCTAGTTTTGAGTACTTTGTTATGGCAGGCCTAGCAAACTAATACAGCCTTGAAGTGATAGAAGACTTGGCATGTTGTAGAAACATCAGGGAGGCCACTGTGGATAGAGCAGATAAGTAAGGGAGAGAATCGTAGGGGAAGGAGAGGTATCCAGGGGCCAGATCTGTAGATCATGACTTTGTAAACCAATATAGCAACATTTGTTTTTATTCTGAGTGTGATGGGAAGCCATTGTAGGGCTTGAAGAGGGCAGTGGCCTGATTTCACTTATATCTTTAAAGTACCACTCTGGCTCCTGTCTGGAAATAATAGTTTGCCGAGGAGCAGAAGTGGAGGCAGTGCAACCAGCCCAGTCAATGGCAGCTGTAAAGAGAGAGAATCTGGTGGTGTGGACAAGAGTAGTTGTGGTGGAGGGTGTGAGGAGTTTGGGATGTGTTGGCAATTTGAAGTAAATGATATACTTTCAAATTGATTAGACAGAGCAACTAGACTACTAGAATTGTTTTCTGAAATGAGAACACTGGGTGAGGAGCTTATCTGGAGTTTACAGGAATGGATGTCGATATCTGCCATTTTTTAAAAGTCACATGTTGTTTTGCAATTTGCTTTTTGATTTTCATGAACTTCTTTTCATATCAATACAGATATATTGACCTCCCTGTGTTTTGAGGGCTGCCCAATATTTCTTATGTGGATATGCCATTCTTGATTATACTAGTTATCAATGAATGGACTTTTGGTTGTTTCCTTTTGTATGTGATTATAAACAATGAGGCTTAAACAGCTGTATGATTTATCTATTGCTTCATAACAGAATCCCCTCCAATGCAGTGGTTTAAAAACAACAACGTTTATTATCTCGCAGTTTTTTTGGGTCAGCAGGCAGAGTACAGCGTAGCTGGGTTCTCCGGTTCAGGATCTCTCCCAAGGCTGAGGCTGCAGCTGTATCAAGGTTTGACTGGGAAGGAGCCGCCTCGGAGCTTACTCAGTGGTCATTGGCAGGATTCAGATCCTGGTGAACTGTTGGCCTGAGGGCCTTTGCTCCTCACTGGCTGGCTTTTAGCTGGAAGGCACCTTCAGTTCCTTGCTATGTGGGCCTCTCAGGAGGAGAGCTCACAACATGGCAGCTGGCATCATCAAAGCGAGAGCAAGAGTGTGTGAGCAAGAGAGGTCACAGTGTTTTATAAGCTAATCTCAGAAGAGTGCCCCATCCCTTTTGCTGTATTCTGTTCACTAGAAGTCAGTCTCTGGGTCCAGCCTTCACTCAATCAGAGCATTATACAAAAGCATGGATGCCAGGAGACAGAGATCACTAGGAGCCACCTTAGAAATCTGCCTGGCACCATAACCCAATACATTTGTGTTTTGATAGATTGTTAAAGGTGGGTTTGCTGAGGGAAAAAGTACGCATGTTTTAACATTTCATATATAACAGTGGATTTCTTTTCAAAATCTTCATTCTAGATTTCAAAGTTTGTTTTGATGAGACTATTTGCTACTGCCTGAGAAGGAGAGGCTATAGCTCCTCAAAGAGCCTTTCCAGATTTTGTCATGAATGTCTCTTCCCTTCTTGCCCTTCTTTTTCTCACCCCTCCAAAACTTCCAGAACAGGAAGTAGCTATGTGTCTTGCAACAGGAATGATACGAAGGTTCTAATCAGCAGGCACATGCATCATGGTGACTATTCTAGGGTATGATGACCTGGATTATGCCATTAAAAAATGTCATTGCCTTCACTTGTGTGCTGACATGGGTAAGGTTTATTCAGCCAGCCTTGATGAGAGGAATTAAAAAGTAATCTCTGGTATAAGGAGTCAGTTTGGGCCCATGATGTCTAGGGAAGTTCCACTTGAATAATTTCTTCTAAATCCTCAGAACTCATGAGCTTCTGGGAGGTCATACAGTAATGAGGTATACATTTATTTCCTTATTAGTCAGAAAGAAACTTTACTTAAAAGGACCCATTTGTGTTTACTAGATATGGTTGGAGGAAATATAAATTATTATCACTATTACTTTATCTCCTTCCCATACAAGGCTTTATAAAATTAAATGCATTGTAAACCTAGACTATAATAAAAATGAGATCGTGTAAATATCTGTGTGTCTTACAGGCTACCTGTAACAAGATACCTTAGACTGGGTGGCTTATAAACAACAGAAAATCTATTTCTCATAGTTCTGGAAGCTGGAAATCCAATATCAGGGTACCAGCATGATTGGGTTCTGGTGTGGGCCCTCTTGAGGGTAGAAAGCTTTCTGGGGTCCCTTTTATAATGGCTAATCTCATTCATTAGGGTAGAGCCCTCATAACCAAACTATCTTCCAAAGGTCCCACCTTTTAATGCCATCACATTGGAGGTTAGAATTTGAACACATGTAGTCTATTGCACTGTGGCTGCTATCAGGTTAGATGCCCCATTTGAAAGATTAGACTGTCTTGGCAGCTTCCCAAATGAATGCCAAGGTGCCTTCTTTCCCCTTCTGCTTGTGAGCAAGGTGGGGTGTGTGTGGAACTGGGGAGAGTGCATGACCTCTGATGAAGCTGAGGGAATGTCTTGATGGGGTCCATCACCAACATCCCCTGTTTGGGGCTGACCTCTTGGTTGGAGAAGGTGCTAGATTCCTTCCCACACTGCCCCTTGCTTTCTATTGTCAGGTCCCTGTGTTGCCCCAGAGGCCCATGGCCCTCCTTGATGTGGATTAGTTTAGCGACTAGCTCTCAGGGCAACAGGTCCCTCTCTGCTTGTCCAGCTTGGACAGCTTCTCTTTCCTGGGCACCGTGAAGGCCAGGATCCTGCCTCCTGCCTGTGCCCTCCTGTGAGCCTGGTGCTCTAGGAGCGTGGCTCTCCAAACAGGGAGTGACTCCTCTGTGTCCCAGCACGACCCCACCCTCCCCCTTTGCCTCCCTCAGACACTGGGCAGATTGTACTCACATTTCACAAGATTACTCCGCTAGATGAGAAAAACGTGTACTTTATTCAGGACAGCGAGCTCAGCTCTCTGGATTGCATTCCTTGCAGAAATGAGAATCCAAGTGTAGTGGCCTTTCAAAGCTGAAATAAATCAGGGCTCCTTGGCCATACTACCCTTGTCTGTCAGTTTTTGTCTTTTTCTAGAAGCCATGCAAGGTTAGGGAAAATTAAGGGAGAGCAAATGAGGACCAGTTCATTGTGTAATCACTTAAAATCTCTGAGTTGGAATAGCTATCTGTGATTTAAAACATAAATGTTTGCAAATGGTTTGTATCTTGATCAGTTATGTAAAGACGTGCATTTGAGATGCACCAAAGTGACTTTTAGATGCTTCTTTTTAAAAATGACAGTCTTAACTTGTGTTTGCGGAACTCTGTATTTTTCAGTTTTCACCTACGTTAAGCCTTTCAATTTTTTTGTTGACTAAAGTTGGTAGAAGAAATGATTATCAGAGTTTTTATGGAATCCTCCACCACCTTTTTCCAAAAGGAATTAGAATCATCTGGTGCTTATATAAAATCAAACACTGTTTAAACTCAGGGAGCTCTTTTTTTTTTTTTTTTTTTTTTTTTTTAGAATAAAGTGCAGTTTAAAGAGAATAGAGTGGGAGCTTTTACCAGATACCTGTTTTGGTCTCTTGCTGGGCTGATACTATTTTCCTAGGAATGGTGACTGTGTGTTTCTGTTTTTCCTCTTCAGATTTCTTAGACCAAATAGAGGAAATCCACTGGAGGCTTACCTAACAAGACGTATTGATGAATGTAGAATCTTAAATGAAAAAGAAGTCAGTGGATGTGGCTTCCTGTACTGTCAGCTTGGACCAAAAATAAAGCGAGCCCTCGCCGCAGGGGTTTGGCTCAGCCCTGCGCCTGTGGCAGATGTTGTTTTCCATGGCTTTGCTTGAGGAGTACACTTCTCTGGGCAAAAGTTCCTGAGGCCTTTGGAGACTTTTAAAGCCTTTTTTTTTTCTGTAGCTTTTATTGTTTTTAAGAAAAGTGGTGTCACCCTTACTTGTCATTAAAAAAAAAATAGTGTGGGAAAAACAAATAAACTACCCAAAGAATAAAACAAGAAAAACCAAAACAACTCCCCTAAATGAATGAAAAAATTTACACCCTTCACTCTTTTGCAAGATAACTATTTCCATGCAAGTTGGATTAGAAACTATGAGAAGATTTTTCTCTTTGATTTTTGGTTTCTTCTATTTTTAACATTTTTGACAAGTCTACACATTGTGGTTACATAAAAACATCAGGATTAAGATATTTGGTATTTAAAAAGCACCCTTGGACTCGGGATGATTCTTTCTGGCCTACAGTGTGCCAGACCCGCTGCTAACCTCTCTTCACCTACTGTCTTAGTTGATCACCACAATCCTGCAAGGTATAACCCACTAAGAGTGTTTTAGGAGAGAGGGAACGTAGCAGCCTGTGGGATCTGCTTTTCAGGAGTTCCCTATCCAGAAGGAGGGAGACATATGTATATGAGTAAGTTCAAGAAAGCATGATGTTAGTGATAAGAATTAAAGCTAATGCATATTACAAACTTACCTTGCGCTTGCTGCTATATCAAATGCTTTATTTGGATAATGTAATTTAACTCTCATGGCAGCCCTTTGAGATGGATATTTTATCTCCATTTTACAGAAATGGAAGAAGAGGAAGCTAACGTTGAGCAATGTGATATAGTAAGCTCCAGAGCCCACACTCTAGAAATGGTAGATTTGGGAGTCAAAATCGGGCAGTCTGATCTCAGATCCATTTACTTAACGACCAGTCTATACAACACAGTGACCAAGAGCCACAAAGCGCAGGGGTGGTTCATTGAACTAGCCTCTCCACAGGTGGTGTAGACCAGTAGGGGCAGGGCCATGTTGTATATTCCCAATAATGATTCAGGTTAATTCTCCTTTCCCCCAAGGACTTTTTCTGCCATTCTTACTGCTGGAAATACAACTCTTCAGATGACCACTTTTGTCTCCTGCCTATTCGCCTCAGGAAATGACTTTTGGCCCATGGACCACTGGATATGCCAGGCCAGGCATGTCAGACTCCCTGGCTCAGGGAGCTCTTAAATCCTGGAGAGCAGCAGAGTCCACACATCCACTGGTGAGGGGTGGGATGCTAGAGTCTGCATTTTAAACTTGCACCCCAGGTGCAAGTGATCTTGGTCTTTCTGCCATTTCCGAGTGTCCCCAGGAAACCCAGAGGGAACTTACTAGTTAGTCCGTGGACAGATGGTTCAGGGTGAGAAGGGGTTGTATTTTTTCCTTCAGCAGCCACCACCTTCTACCAGAGCCGCCAGAGCTCAAAAGGGGAAAAGTGAAAGAGAAAAAAACAAACAAACAAAAGATAAAAGGCCAGGGGGAGGCAGTGCTGGGGGAAGAGTATAGAACTCAATAAGAACAAGTCAAACCCATAAATATTTGCTGAGAAAAGCAAGGGTTCCAAATGAGTGCGGCAGGGATGGCAGAAACAAAGCCAGATTAGGGAAGGGTCAGGAGAGAAGGGGAAGGGGTAGGCTGAACCTCCACCAGAGGTGGCAGCTTGTGTTTGAAGCCTGCTTTGATGGGCCCACAGGGCTAACAGATGGGTGGGTGGGCCCTGATTATAGATGGGCCAGAAGTTGGGGGTGAGCTGTGAGAATAACCAACAAATCGGACTGTTTAGATACAAAGGAAGGGCTACAGATTCAGAGCTTTGGAGCAAAGGAGAGACAAGAGTCACTTCCTAACAGCACTGTAGGGAGAAGTCGCCTGGAGGCTGGAGGATTATGGCAGGCGGAAGGCAAAAGAAAGGGCAGGGGCAGGGATTTAGCCACTGACAAGTGCAGTCAGCATTAGGGGTCTGGGGAGTTGTCCGATTGATCAAGCGAAACCTGAAAGTTCTCAGAGGTGTTTCAGTGGCTGTTGAGAGGAGTAGACACCCTGCTTCAGCTGCAGAAGAGATAAATAATTTTTATTTATTTTTATAAAATTGAGGGCCTGCATAAAACTTCATTTGGAGGAACAAAGGAGCTATGTTGCTTTAAAAGGCTTAAAAATCACCAGGAATATGAATAATATCTATATCTACATCTCTCCATAGATCTAAAAAGACAGTTAAGTTGGGGTAGTTTTCTTTTCTTTTTTTTTTTTTTCTTTTAAGAGACAGGGTCTCACTCTGTGCCCATGCTGGAATGCAGTGACATGATTATAGTTCATTGTGGCCTCGAACTCCTAGGCTCATGTGATCCTCCTCCTGCCTCAGCCTCCCAGATAGCTGGGACCATAGGTGTGTGCCACCGTGCCAGGCTAATTTTGTTTTGTTTTGTTTTGCAGAGATGGCTGGGGGAGGGGGAAGGTGTTGCTTTGTTGCCCAGGCTGGTCTCTAATTCCTGGCTTCAAGCGATCCTCCTGCCTTGGCTTCCCAAAGTGCTGAAATTCTAGGTGTCAGCTACCACGCCTGGCACGAAAAGGGAGGGGGGAAGTTTTGAAGGGCCATTAAGTGTCAGACTTGCTGAAGTATTAAACAGATCCATTGCCTAGTGGAAAGAACACAGGCACTGAGGTTGAGGCTTTGTTTTCAGCCCCAGGTCTGTCCTAACTGTGAACCTTTAAATATTCACTTCAGTTTTCTGGGCACTAGCTGTTTGTTTTTGTTTTTAATAAATTAAGAGGCTCTATTGAATTAACTGATGTTCAGAAGTTCTTCCTGCTGTACAATCCTGTCAGCCATGACCTTGCTATCAGGCCTCCCTAGCAGATGCACACGGAATGGGTAGCAGGATCAAAGTTCGAGGAAAATTAATGTCGTGGTGTTGTGTGGGATGATTGAGGGAGACAGGTTAGGGGCCAGGATGCTGTCACTGAAGGGTACAAAGGCAACAAGAGTGGATGCAACAGAGACAGAAGCTTGGGCATGGACACCAAAGTCACAGAAGTTGAGTTTTCACTAAAGGAGGTGAGATGATACATTTTTTTTCTCGTATTAGAAAAAAAATTCCCAGCCAGGCACTGTGACTCATCCCTGTAATCCCAGCATCTAGGGAGGCTGAGGCAGGAGGACTGCTTGAGCCCAGGATTTCAAGACCAGCCTGGGCAACATGGCAAGACCCCCATCTCTACAAAAAAAGAAAAATTCCCAAGTTGATTAGCTTGCTCTCTTCCCCATTATTTTTTCCTCTGAGGTATATTTTTAAAACTTATTTTTTAAACAAAGCACAAAGGTAAAGGTCTTTGCGTGGTATTGCAAAGATCTTTACAAAGTTCTACCATGACTTTTTAAACATTGTTTTAAGCCAGTGGGCATGCTTCCAAAGGAGCTGACTTTTCACTGAATGCTAGAAAATGAAAACATGGGAGCTGTTTAGATTGGCCTGGGAAACATCATGTCCAGTAGCCACTGTTGATCTTTGCATGAAGTAGTTCTGTTTTCTGAAAAGATTCCTTTTGTCCATTGTCTCATTATGATTATGGGGGCCTAGTCCTCTCAACTGGAGAAAGAACTGTTTATCTGTGCGGTATTTGATTAACAATCATTTAGATACACAGTTTAACCACAAAAAGTTACTGAGTTCCTGTTTCTGCTGGGTCCTGTGTTAGGTACCAGGGATGCAGTGAAGTCTAGGGTGTGCTCCCAACCCTCATAAACTGATGGAGGGGCCAGACATGTGAGCAAAGAAATACAGCACAGTATGTGGTCCTGGGGCATTCGCATCAGAGATGTGCATGCAAGGTGCACACGATGACCAGCCATCCCGTCCTTCTTGCTCCTTCTTTTGGTACCTTGTTCCCTCTGCTTTACCAGGAGTTGAAGTTAAGCCAGAGAGAAGTTTGAGGAAATCGAGGCTGGGCAAGGGAGAGGCCTTATCTGAGTGGATAGAAAGTTTTTCAGTTCCCTGGAGAAAGCTTCTGATAATCATGTTCCCAGACAGTAGCCACATACAGGGGCATGGGACTGTCAGGCCTAAAGCTCACTGTCAATTGTGGAGGATTCAGAAGCACTTCATAGATGATGGGGGACTCTGTTCTGAGCAGTCTGTCTCTGTGTGTCTGCCACTGAGCAGTAACTGGTACAAATGCACCCTATGACTAGGTTTTCTTTCTTAGCTGAGAAATCTCTTGAGAAGGCTATGCATTTCTGGTGTGTAGACAGACTTTCTGCAGATGAGTAAGTTATGTCTTAAACAGAGTTCTTGTTGAACTAATGTCACGAAGAGTCTCTGCTAACAAAAACAGCTAACTTTGCATAGCCAAGCCACTCTGCACAACTTAACAATGTTAGTTCTCCAATAGAGCCCTAATAAACAAGTCACACCACTCTTCCCTATGTGGCTTCAAAGAAGTTGATAGTAACAATACAACAACAAAAACAAAAATCAACTTTGTTTCTTATGGAAGCCAGACTGTTAACCAATGGGCCTGTTAACTCTAAACTCTGGATTTGCCCACCCTTTCCCATGTAGCACTGGTGAGAGCAGACCAATTCCATTCATAAAGGCAGAAAGCTGGGGAAGCAGCAGGTAGCACACTTGAAAGCAGGCACTTCGCAGGAGGAAAAAAGGTCAGGCTGAGCCAGCTGAGCATGTGCGGTTTGCCAACTAAGTGAATCCATCCCTCCACTTGCCCTGGGGCGATGTTAGTAAAAGGACATAGAGAGGATAGTAGGATGCATAGGGAAAATTCTTCCTCATCCAAACCACGAGTGGGGAAATGGTGCTTCCCTCTGAGGTGCCTCAAGATTTTACACTTTTTGAGGGTCATGTGCTTAGGTCTTGTGGGGAAGAAGTCAAAGAAAGAGCACATTATGGTTGGGACTCCTATTGATCATCACACCACCTGAAATCTGATCATAGGAGAAATCCAGATTAATAAATTTAACACTTGACATTTACCTATCTTTACTTATATTATCTCACTTATCCCCAAAACCCACTGTGATATTGGTATTAGCACCCTAACAACAAAGAAAGAAATTAAAGCACAAAGAGAAAGCATTTAGCCCACAAGGGTAACTGGTCAAGGGGCAGAGTCTGGACTCAGACCTGCATCTTTCTGGCTCTAAAGGTAGACCTCTTTTCAGTCTTTGAGGAGGATACATGGTTTGCAATTACATGTCTGACTCAATTTCATTTCAAACTTTTTTTTTAACTTGTTATTGGCATGTTTGAGAGAATAGAGTGGGTAGAATCATTAATTATTTGTCTCAATTTTATCTCAGGGTTACCTGCTTTGTGTACCTGTTTTTCATGTAGAAAAATGAGAAATCATCTAGCTAGATGGTTGTCTGTTCTCTCTTGAGAGTTTCTAGAAATGCAGACTTAATCCTTCTGGCAGGATCTCTGGATTCTGATAACAGGAATGATAACAGGAATGATATGGTTTGGCTGTGTCCCCACCCAAATCTCAACTTGAATTTTATCTCCCAAAATTCCCACATATTGTAGGACGGACCCAAGGGGAGATAATTGAATCATAAGGGCCGGTCTTTCCCGTGCTATTCTTGTGATAGTGAATAAGTCTCACGAGATCTGATGGGTTTATCAGGGGTTTCTGCTTTTGCTTCTTCCTCATTTTCTCTTGCTGCTGCCGTATAAGAAGTGCCTTCTGCCTCCCACTATGATTCTGAGGCCTCCCCAACCATGTGGAACTCTAAGTCCAATTAAACCCCTTTTTTCTTCCCAGTTTTGGGTATGTTTTTATCAGCAGCATGAAAATGGACAAATATAGTAAATTGGTACCAGTAGAGTGAGGCGTTGCTGAAAAGATACCCGAAAATGTGGAAGTGACTTTGGAACTGGGTAACAGGCAGAGGTTGGAACAATGTGAAGGGTTCAGAAGACAGGAAAATGTGGGAAAGTTTGGAACCTCCTAAAGACTTGTTGAATGGCTTTGACAAAAATGCTGATAGTGATGTGAACAATAAGGTCCAGGCTGAAGTGGTCTCAGATGGAGATGAGGAACTTGTTGGGAACTGGAGCAAAGGTGACTCTTGTTATATTTTAGCAAAGAGACTGGTGGCCCTAGAGATTTGTGGAACTTTGAACTTGAGAGAGATGATTTAGGGTAACTGGCGGAAGAAATTTCTAAGCAGCAAAGCTTTCAGAAGGTAACTTGGGTGCTGTTAAATGCATTCTGTTTTAAAAGAGAAACAGAGCGTAAAAGTTCAGAAAATTTGCAGCCTGACGATGCAGTAGAAAAGAAAAACCCATTTTTTGAGGAGAAATTCAAGTCGGCTGCATAAGGAGCAAGGAGCCTAATGTTAATCCCTAAGACCATGGGGAAAATGTCTCCAGGCCATGTCAGAGATCTTCATGGCTGCCCCACCCATCACAGGCCCAGAGGCCCAGCAGGAAAAAGTGGTTTTGTGGGCCGGTCCCAGGATCCCCGTGCTGTATGCAGCCTAGGAACTTGGTGCCCTGTGTCCCAGCCATTCCAGCTGTGGCCGAAAGGGCCAACGTAGAGCTCAGGGTGTGGCTTCAGAGGGTGGAAGCCCCAGGCCTTGGCAGTTTCCACGTGGTGTTGAGCCTGTGGGTGCACAGAAGTCAAGAATTGAGGTTTGGAAACCTCCCCCTAGATTTCAGAAGATGTGTGGACATGCCTGGATACCCAGGCAAAAGTTTGCTGCAGGGGCGGGACCCTCATGGAGAACCTCCGCTAGGGCAGTGCAGAAGGGAAATGTGGGGTTGGAGCCCCCACACAGAGTCCCTACTGGGGCACTGCTTGGTGGAGCTGTAAGAAGAGGGCCATCGTCTTCCAGACCCCAGAATGGTAGATCCACTGACAGCTTGCACTGTGCACCTGGAAAAGCCACACACACTTAATGCCAGCCCATGAAAGCAGCCAGCAGGGAGGCTGTACCCTGCAAAGCCACAGGGGTGGAGCTTCCCAAAATAATGGGAACCCACTTCTTGCAGCAGCATGACCTGGATGTCAGACCTGGAGTCAAAGGAGATCATTTTGGAGCTTTAAAATTTGACTGCCCTGCTGGATTTCGGACTTGCATGGGCCCTGTAACCCCTTTGTTTTGGCCAATTTCTCCCATTTGGAACAGCTGTATTTACCCAATACCTGTACGCACATTGTGTCTAGGAATTAACTAGCTTGCTGTTGACTTTGCAGGCTTATAGGTGGAAGGGACTTGCCTTGTCTCAGATGAGACTTTGGACTATGGACTTTTGGGTTAATGCTGAAATGAGTTAAGACTTTGGGTGACTGTTGGGAAGGCATGATTGGTTTTGAAATGTGAGGTCGTGAGATTTGGAGGGGCCAGGGGCAGAATGATATGGTTTGGCTGTGTCCCCACCCAAATCTCAACTTGAATTATATCTCCCAGAGTTCTCACATGCTATGGCAGGGACCCAGGGGGAGATAATTGAATCATGGGGGCCAGTCTTTCCCATGCTATTCTCGTGATAGTGAATAAGTCTCACGAGATCTGATGGGTTTATCAGGGGTCTCTTTTTTTGCTTCTTCCTCATTTTTCTCTTGCTGCTGCCATGTAAGAAGTGTCTTCCACCTCCCGCCATGATTCTGAGGCCTCCCCAGCCATGTGGAACTGTAAGTCCAATTAAACCTCTTTTTGTTCCCATTTTCAGGTATGTCTTTATCAGCAGCATGAAAATGAGCTAATATAAAAAATAACTTTTTAAACAGTTTAGAAAGTCATTTCTGTTATCAGAATACAGAGGTTGTAACTGGATTATAACCAGGAATGTAATGTGTTAAATGTAGAGTATTTATATGCTATTCTGAAAAGTGTTTGAGGGATTAGTGGGAGGGCATGGTGGATATAATTTGCCCAAATTCATGAAATAAGCCATATTGCATTAGATTTATTATATGCAAAAAAATACTGGAACTCCCTCAAAATATTAGGGTAAGTGTGTTATAAATGTTGGGGAATATTGTTAACTCATTATCAAATCACTGAGGTTAATATTATTTCTTTTTGCCTGAGAATTAGAAGTCCACCCAAATTAAGCAAGAATGAAGCATTTTCTTTCTTTCTTTCCTCCTATGCAGGGCTTCCATTGCCACCGTGCCCCCCACCCCTACCACCTCCTGCCTATTTCTTATTCGTAAACACACATTTGCATTGAACTGAATCATTTTCTGTTTCTCACATCATTTCTTGATATTAAGTCAAAAGTCATAGTTTCTTTTATCAGTCACTATGTCAATAACCATATAATTGTTTTCCATTTGTGAAGCACTTTCACTGGCAATATCTCTTCTAATTTTCACAGTAACCTTACAATAAAGGTAAGCACCATTAACCGTTATCCTTATTATTTTTTTCTTTTTTCTTTTTTTTGAGACAGGGTCTCATGCTGCTGCCCAGGCTGGAGCACGGTGGTGCAATCATGGCTCACTGCAGTCTGGACATCCCCAGGCTCAGGTGATCCTCCCACCTCAGCCTCCCAAGTAGCTGGGACTACAGGCGTGTCCCACTGGGCTAATTTTTGTATTTTTTGTAGAGATGAGGTTTTGCCATGTTGCCTAGGCTGGTCTCGAACTCCTGGGCTCAAGCAATCAGCCTGGCTCAGCTTCCCAAAGTGTTAGGATTACAGACGTGAGTCACTGTGCCCAGCCACCATCATCTTTAAAGAAGACAAAACTGAGATTCATAAAAAGTGTCTGTTCAAAGACATAGCCAGCTAAAGTCATTGCCAGAATTTGAATCCAGGTCTTTTGAATCTAGACCGCGAAGTTTCCAGAAATAGATCTCTTCTGGAGTGGCACATGACAATGTACATAGGGCTAGGTCTCTGTTTCTCCCATTTCCTCCCTGACCCCCTTAGGTGTACCCCAGAACTTCCTCTGTTTTGTTTTTTTTCTTTAACTACCCAACTGTCTAAAGAGGCACTTTTAAGTAGGTGGTAAGAGGTTTGGAGTCAGCTTGGCTACTTACTGGTTCTGTGATCAGGATATAGCTTCAATCTCACTGTGTCTCAGTTTCCTTAAGCGTAAATTAGGTATAATAATAATAATACCTATTCATAAGGTTGTGAAAACTAAAATAAATAGGAAGTCCTTAATAAATACCATTGTTAATATTATATAATTAGAATTTTAGGCATCCTAAGATAGATTCTAGGTGACTGGTCTCTCAAGAATCTGACTCTCTAGTAAAACTTGTATCATAATATGATTCAAATGATGAACATGATGATAGCAACAACCACTATACTATATTCAGTACTTGCTAATGCTAAGTGTTTTACGTAAACTGTTTGAATTCTTGCAGCAACCCTGCAAAAGCTGTGTGCTGTTAGCCACTGGGCTTTAGTGCCTCTTAATCTTGCCTGCTCTTGGTGTTAATTTTACCTATCCCCTGTCAAACTTAAACTTATGATCTTTTGAAAATTCAAACTGTATTTTCGAATTTCCAGTCTTCTTGCCCATTTTGTGTTCTCCACCTTCCTGCAAAGATCTTTTGCAATGGTTCCAGATGTCATACATAAGTTCTCATGGTGCTAGGGCTAGAAATTTTTCAGACTTTGAGACTCAAGTTCACTTAGTGGCTAAGAGTAAACAAGTCTGTTGTCAGTTACAGGATCCAACTTCCTTGAATTTGAACCTTTTTCCTTTAAGACTTTTCCAAGAAAGGATTGACATACGCTGTTTCAAAGAAAAAGAAAGGGTAACTGACAATGACCTTTATCCCAGTATCCACTGAAGGTTCAGAGTGATATCATATCAGCTGATATACACCCATGCTTTATAAAGTAAAAATACTTATCTCAATATCCGTTCAAGGTTCAGAGTGACATCATATCAGCTGATATACACTCATGCTTTAAAAAGTAAAAATACTTACATTTTTTACCTGCCTTAATTTTTTATTTCAGCTATAACTTAAGCTTTATCTGTAGTTCTCATCCCATCCCCCATTCTTCTACCCTCACCTGACTTAGATATTGTTTTTTTCAATTCACGTGTCTTTCTTTAAGCCACAAAAATGAATATTTTCCAGCTAGTCTAAATATCTGGAAATAATATACCAAATCTCTCACTGACTTAGAGAAGTTTCTCTTTCTTTTAAAAAAAATCAGTATAATCAGTAGGATGTCATTATAAGATTTATAATCTTTATAAGATTAAATAGGTCATCTGAGCTTTTATCCTGTAATAATTTTACTTTACTATTTATTTTTACAACTGCAGTAAGATTGGATCAACCCTGCCCAAGGTTTGACCAAAAGGTCTTCATCTTTGTCATTGTTGGGAATCTAAGCTAGTTGGTACTGGTGTCCAGAAGGAACATTATTCTCTTTATTTCAGAAAACATTTTTTAAAACTCTGTCTTTTGTTCCATGGACTGTCAGTAGGTAATGTTTCAAACCATACCAAACAAATCCCACTCTTTTCTTTTACTCTTTCCATTCTTTCTCACCACTAAGTGTCCTCTTCTGAATGATGATGAATCATTATAGGTTTTTGCTGAAAACACCTGTGCATTCATCTATTGTAGCTGTTGCTGCTGCTACAGTGTATAAGGTTACAGGTAATGCTTTCATTTTGGCACTATTTACTTACACATTTGATGCTAGAATGTCTGCACTGATGACCAAAACAATAAGCCTGTGAAACAGCAAGAATGCAATTCAAACGACCATTGAAGAGCTAGAAGATGAGCAGAATAGTCCTGTGACAGACTTCTGTACGGTTACACCTATTTGTACTAACTTCATCTGTGTTCAGAAATAATGTGAGCATTCTAAGCTCTGAAACCATGCATATCTTTGAAGATTAAAATGAGGCAGCAAGGTTTCTCCCAACTAATGTAACAAAATGCAGTGATATGACAGCTCAAAGTTGAGGAGTTGAATTCGTTGGGGAAAAAAATAGCAAAGCTGCTTCTCAGGCAGGAATCTCTTCCATTCTGGGGTTGTCCTGTGGGCAAAGATGGCACCTACTAAGTAGGCATAAGGTAAACAGTGCATAAGGGCTGATGGAATTGCATCTTAGGCACATCCTTTATTGGATCCTGGAAAGGTCAGACGATGTTCATTTTATGATACACACATACATACACCCCTCTAAAATAAAAACCCAATCTACTTTAATTCAATATTTGGGAAGTGGGAGGACGATTCCAAGGACTATTCCAGCTATAAAGAGAACAATATAGTGGGAAAATGAGAAATCAGACTGGTCATTCTTTGATTCTGAAGAGGTGGAATTTCAGATAACACAGAGGAATGGAGCAGCTCATTTGAAAGAAAAGTTGAGCTGAAGTCTTGTCCTTTCAGGAGGCAGACTTGTTACTTCAGGGTATCCCAGCGGCCTCAGTGAGTTGGCAGTGAGCTTACAGATTGACATAGAGTCCCCAAATAACTGAAGACAGGAGATCCACTTTGGTTCCTCTTTTGTGGTTTCACTGTGATGTAAAATGTTCGTAATTCACTGTCATTTACTCATTCATTCAGCAAACATTCAGTTAAGTCAGCTCTGTGCCTGGCAATGAAGATGACACTAAACCTCCTTCATGCGGGGTGTTTCTGGGGCATTTCTCTTATGGCCTTCCTATAGGAAATGAATCATCCTGGCAGCTGATCCTGCCAGGAGGAGTCCTCCACCTCACAGATAAGATATTGAACTGCCTTTCCTGCAACTGGTATCAGCTTCAGTCCCTCTCCTTTCCTAACCCCCTCACCCTTCAGTACCACCAAGGTCTCTTAGAGGTGGGCCTGGCTAGAGAAGATGGATCTCTCAGGAGTGACTGGGAGAGTTGTTTTATTTCTTCCTTATCCCTGGCAAGGACTCTTTGATTTCTCAACTAATGAGGCAAAAGACATCAATAGGAAAAGAAAAATTAGAACTTTCCTTGCCAGTGCGTTGCTTAGCTACCTTGTCAACATTCCCTTGCAGCCCAGCCGAATTCTCTCTGCATGTTTTTATAGTGCACATGTTTTATTGTTATAATTGATCTATTAGGCAGAAAATATGGAGAGCACATGGAACTTCTGTCAGTTTTGTGCTATTTATTTAGATTTCTGTTTTTCTCTTTCCAAAGACCTCACCCTTTATTGTCCTGTTTCATCCCTGACCTAAGTAATACTCTGAAGGAGTCACATCAGTATGCATGTTGGTGCATTGAACTTTATAGTATTAAAAGCAAAAGTCAATAACTAACCTCAAAACTACATACCAAATTGTGAATTCTTCATAGACAGGGACCACATTTTTATGAACTCTATGTCCTTAGTGCCTAGCCCTGTGTCTGACACATAAAAAGCTTTTAGTAAATGTTTATTGATCAAATGAACCATTGGTTTCAAATATTTATTAACAACCAGAATTGTCATGGGTGCAGTTCATGACATAGAATTTACTTTCCATTTCTACTTAGAAGGAAAACTTTATGACTTTTTTTTTTTTTTTTTTTTTTGGAGACTGAAACAGGACAGAAAATAACCACTGTGTTGTTGCTAGTGCTACAGTTTATTCAGCCAAAGAAACCTTTCTGCTTGAGGCCGCAATAGCAGCAGCTGCCCTCTACCTGGCATTTATGAAAAGGTATTCACTGGAGACCTCCTAGGTGCTGGGTGCTGGGCTATACAAGTCAGTCCAGATCAAAAGACCTGGTCATTGTCACCATCTGTCAAGGCGATTGTATTCAAAACAGTATCTCTCATTTTTTTTTCTCGAACATACCCACACTCAACTGAAGACTGTTTATGAAACAATCTGTTGACAAAACAATAAATGGAAGTTTGTTTATTCATTCCTTTACTCAGCCAGGCAGGCAGCCCTCCAACCCAGCACTTCTCAGATCATATACTTTTGAGATTTTGTTAAAATGCACACTTAGATCTACCAGGTTTGGGGTGAAGCCTGAGAGTCTACATTTCTAACAAGATCACTTAGTTAGATCAGGCCTTGATGCTTTGAGTGTCATCCATGGACCAGTAGATTCAGTACCACCTGGGAGACTGTTAGACCAGCCTAATCAGAACCTGCATTTTAACAAGATCCCTGAGTTCACATTGGCTAAGCACTGTTCTAACTATTTGATTAGCCCACAGCATAAATTATGGGCAGGGGTCCCAAGGGGGCTCTGGGCTGGGAAAGTAAGTCCAGGTGCATTTACAGTTCCCTTTTTAATTTCAAAACTCTCAGGTACCTGCGCCAATATGGCATCTCACACTCAGGAAAAGACACAGATGGGTGCCTCTTTGTTCTGTCGTTCAGTGGCATGATACATCTGTTATTATCCATCCTGGATTGCCATTGTCTTTAAACATGGGGGGGGGCCTACCTGATCAACCTATTTCTTCTTAAGAAAGCTTCATTTTAGATTCAAAAGTTTGACCTAAAGAGACAGCCTCATGTCTGACCATGTCAGAATCATTTACAAATTTGAATCAAGCACTAGGAGATCTGAGTCTCTGTTTCCTTGTCTGTAAAATGGAGATAATACCACCTGTCCTTCCAGTTCAAGAGACTGGTATCAGGCCAGAGCGGGAGGATTGCTTGAGGTCAGGAGTTCAAGACCAGCCTAGGCAACAAAGTGAGACCATGTCTCTACAAAATACAAGATAAAATACTTAGCCAGGCATTGTGGCATGCACCTACGGTCCCTGGTACTTAGAAGGCTGAGACAGGAGGATCGTTTGAACCTGGGAGGTCGAGGCTGCAGTGAGCCATGATCACACCACACCACTCCAGCAGTGGCATGATCATGGCTCACTGCAGCCTCGACCTCCCAGGTTCAGGTGATCTTCCTGTCTCAAAAAAAAAAAAAAAACATATCTTCAAATTTGTTATATGAGTATCTCTAGAAGAAAAATTCCCAAATTTCCAACAGTGTTTTAATATTTATTTAAATATTTGCGAGTGCCAGTCCACGCAAGGCTTTATGATGAGGAGGATTTGTTGTGATTATTCGGTGTTATTCACATGCTCCCGTCAGAGGTGTCAGAGGGGTTTGTTGATGGCATCCACAAGAGCCTGGCACAGGTGCGGAGGAAGGTTTCCACAATGGTGTCCATGCAAGCAGACACTCCTGGCTGAGGGAAAACAGAAGGATTAGTGGCACCAAGGGTATGTATGGCCATGAAAGAAAGTTGCTCTGAGGACTGTGGGCATTGATGGTACCCTCATTATCAGATTAATAGAAGAGCAAGTCTCATTTGTTCAAGACATGAGGGGGCAGCTGTTTGGTGGTTACTGTTTTACTGTCAGCAATTAAGCATTTGAGACATAGAAGGACTATTGTCTGTTTTTTTAAAAAACAAGTCCTCACCACCCTTTCTCTGTATTTCCAACCTTCAGCTCATTCTTTTATTTTGGAAATTTCCTTCTAAAACCCTCAGGTTTCTTAAGCCTGTTTTCAGGCAAGCTAAGTCTCTTTTAGGAAGGTATTCTTTAGGAAAAGAGATCACTCCATTCTTTCCCTAGACTTTGCAGAGTTTCTGTGTTGATATCCTTACAGGTGCTATTCCAGGGTACCCAGAAGTGTGATTTCACAGACTGTCTCAGGCAGAAAGTTTCATGTGACCTGCTTTTCCACATGGATCTCTTTGGTGGGGAGTGGGTCAAAGGTCAATGTCCTGTGAATAGGAAAAAAAAAACCCACCTTGCGGATATGGCATTTCAGTGAAAACCTGTTAGGAAGAGGGTGGGGTTAAGAGGGAGGAAGTGAGCAGGCAGAGAGCCAGAGGCCTTGGGACTGGGGGTGGGGCGGGGATTCCACCGCCTGGTTAGCAATTCTGAGCGAAGAGCAGAGTTGATAAGGGGGAATCAGGATGTCTTAGGTATATTGGCCTCAATAACTTAAGGTTGAAAGTACCATCAAGCCCTGTTTGAGTGTGGAATGGCAGAACCCCTTACAGGCAGGGAAAAAACAGTTAGTGGGATCATGCTCCAAGCCCATTTTAACAGATTCCGTGTTGGGCTCTTCTGAATCTGGCCACAGCTGTTGGCTCATTTTGTTGGGGCTTGACCTATGAGTGGATCAGTTATCTCCTCTCTATTTCAAGGCCACGGAACATAGCCTTCACCTCCGACCAATCTATACAGCAGTCTTTGGGGAATATGTGGATAGAAGCTTTGGGGAAAACAAGCTTTGTAAACCAGTAGGAAAGACAAGTCGAAGTCCATTACTTTTGGGAATATATGGCCATGTAGAGAAAGCATTTGCTAGGAGTCAACAAACTGGATTTCAATCTAACAGCATGCTCCAGCTAGCTATGGGATCTTGTTAGGCAAGTAATTGTATCTCTTGGAGACCCAGGAAGAATGATACCCACTATAAATCTATTAGACCTATTATAAATCTATAAACCTCAGCAGATTTTCGTGAGGATCAACAAGTTAGTGGAGAAGAGGGCATCGAAGACTTCAGAGCTGTGCCATCCAGTGTGGTAGCTGTGAGCACCTATTTAAGTTTAAATTCATTAAAATTAAATAAAATGTAGAATTCTGTTCCTCAGTCACATTAGCCACATTTCAAATGCTCAATAGCCACATGTGGCTAGTGTGTACCATATTCAACACCATAGATATAACACATTTGCATTATCACGGAAACAGAAAGTTCTATTGGACAGTTCTGCCTCAAAGTGCTGTCTAAAGTGTGAGATGAAGGGTATAAAGGACGGCACATTGGAAGGTGACAAATACTGTCATAGTTAGGAATGTTTGGCAAGAAACAGAACCAACTCAAGTTAGCTGAAATACAGTAAGGCTTTGACTAATTCAGGAAATGTGAATGGATCCCAAAAGGCATGAAGCATAGCTAGGCTTCAAAAGGAATTGGAACCAGTTTCTAGAAGATTATCAGGATTAGTTCTTCTCACTGTCTCTCTTTTTCTCTTGTCTTCCTCTCTCTGTGGCCACTTAGGCTCTTGTCTCTGTTTCTCTGTGTATTGGCAGCCACCTTCTCCACCTTCTCCTTTTCCTCCTCTTCCTCCGTGGCTCTGCAGACCAGCTTTCTCAACTGCACTACACACGGTCCAAGCAAGATTCAACCAGACCCAGTTTTCATCACTTCTCACCCAATGCCACATCACTAATGCCCAACCAAGGCTGAGTCCTGATTCCAAATTCCCAGGAGAGACATTCTTATTAGCCAGCTTGGTGTGATAGCCACCCCTTTTCCATCATCTGTATCTAGAAGGATGGGGGAAGTGTCCCCATGCCTACTTAATAGGAGTTGTTGGGGGGTGGGGCTCTAAAAGCTAGCACACGTGGGATAGGATCAGGCCATTGATCAACATGTTCATCCTTAACACCTTGGAAAGGTCCACTAAGCCTATGATCACACAAAGAAGAGCCAGTAGAGATTTGACAAAGGCCATGAACAAAACAAGTGTGATGCCTTTTCTTCTTTAGTTATTTGCATGGTTTGCATCAACAGTACAGAGTCACAGGGCAGTGGCTTAACCCCCATGCCCATATACCTGGATGGAGAGTGGGCACAGCCAAGAACACAAGGTGGAAATCAGGTTGAAGACTGTCATTTTTTAAAGGCGAACTGGGCACTCATGTGTTCCCTTTTCTCTTCTACCTTTAGGAAAGAACATGAGGTTCCCTTGGAAATCATTCAAGAGGAAGATGGAAGGGGCTGTTTAGAAGAGCTTAAAAGCTACAGGCTGTAAGACTGGGGCCTGAGTGCTGGCAGTGGAAAACACTGTTGGGCTGTGATCTCTCCCTGAAAAGTTCCAGGTGCCTTTTCGCTTCCTGCAAAAGAAAGGAAGCGAAAGAGAAGACCATGTCCATAGCCCTGAAGCAGGTATTCAACAAGGACAAGACCTTCCGACCCAAGAGGAAATTTGAACCTGGCACACAGAGGTTTGAGCTGCACAAACGGGCTCAGGCATCCCTCAACTCGGGTGTGGACCTGAAGGCGGCTGTGCAGTTGCCCAGTGGGGAGGACCAGAATGACTGGGTGGCAGTACATGTGGTGGACTTCTTCAATCGGATCAACCTCATCTATGGCACCATCTGTGAGTTCTGCACCGAGCGGACCTGTCCTGTGATGTCAGGGGGCCCCAAATATGAGTATCGGTGGCAGGATGATCTCAAGTATAAGAAGCCAACAGCGCTGCCAGCTCCCCAGTACATGAACCTTCTTATGGATTGGATTGAGGTTCAGATCAACAACGAGGAAATATTTCCAACATGCGTGGGTAAGTTCATTACCAGCTCTCAGTTTTTTTGTCACCTGCACAATCTTCACTATGAAAATTTGCAGACTGCCTTTGAATGCTAGGTAGCACCCATGCATTAATCCCATCACTCACATACCTGTAGTGAGTGATATATAAGAGCCTCATTGAAATGAAAAAAAAAACTTTATGGACCACTTACATTTATTTTGTGGACTCCAGTGGTACACATACCACATGCTGGGGAACACTGACTTGGTGAAATATTAGGTGTGATTGTGTTGGCTTTCTTAGGACTAGATGTCAGACTCACTCACTTATCTTGATAAGATTATTATTTTTTGGTTAACTGACTAAAGTTACATGGACTCTGATGCAGTTACTGGTATTTATATCTGAGGATTAAGAAATTCCAGTGTGAGAATTCATAGATTTGTTTGGGGATCAAACAAACTGGGGGTTCAAATTCTGAGGAGAAAGAGATCCTGAAATTCTCCTCCCTCTTCTAATCATAGGTTGTTAATTCCAGGCTGTGCTGTTTACTTTAACCCTTGCGTATCTTCTGGATACACTGGGACACTTGAAATGCAAATTAGTTTGTTTGCTTTGTGCTACAGGCTAAAACACTTCAAAAGGAAGGACCAGTCAGTCTTCTCTGCCTCTTACATTTCTTCATGATGCTGGTCATTAGATTTTTCCATGCACTTTCAGACTGAATTTAGAATTTAGTGTTTTATGCCGTAGGCTGAATAGGAATCCGCAATCTCCTATGTCCACTGTTGTAGCTCCAGTGCCTAACATAATGCCCTGCCACCTTGTAGACACTCAGGAAATATTTGTGGAATGATGGAATAAATACTTGTGCTATTAGAAAGTATGATTTAAAAGCCCTGAGATGGTTGGAGTACAAAAAACGTATTTGAAACACACTGTTGAAATCACCTCTAGATTGGGGTAGGATGTGTCCCCACATAGCACCTGGAAAGTTGAGAAGGGCGTGTATGGAAGTAATTAAGTTTATACCAGAAAAAAAATGTATACATTGATTGACGCAGTATGTACATCTTGAAATATTCGGCACACAAACCAGTTTGTCAGGATCTTGGTGTTGCTTTGGCTTGTCCAGTTCCCTCATACTTCTCTCTCTCCTACCCCTTCTTAACAGGAAGGAGGTAGGTTGTATGTCAGGGCAAATCCCCCAGTTCACAGCATAGGAGGAAGAAGGCAGGTTTCAAAAACTCCCCTGGGCATAATATTAAGCACCTCAGAGTGGTGGAAATTTCTTAGGTTCATGTCTTTTGCACTTTTCATTGACTGTCATAGGCTACTTTTGGAGCTGGAAGGATTTTTTCTTTTCCAGAAGCCTTACTAGCAACTGCCAGTGCTCTATGCTGAACATGTAATAGCAATAAAGATAAATAAATGTAGGCAAGGATACCTCCTCTTTGTCCTTCCCCCTGTGTCTTCACCTGTATGCTTTGAATTCTGCATACTCCTGTTCTCTCTGCAACTGTGGCTACCACAGAGAGTACTGACCAGAAGTCATAGTACAAAGCCATGGTGTGTTACTTGAGAGAGAGGAAGTTTCTGGCTGTCTGGCTGGAAAACAGGACATCATAGGTGGTTTTGGGCTTTGCTTGGAAGAAATTAATGGATGCCTCTATGGATGCCTCTATATCCCCCAGGGTAACCGACTTTGCTTTATTTTTCTAGACATTTTCTTAGTCATTCAGTATGCTTAGGGAACGTGCTTACCTGGTCAGAATCCTCTGTTTCAGCTCTACCCCATCTAGCCTCCATTGCATACTTGTATTTTGAGAGATCGTAAAGATTTCTTCCCCCAAGGAAAAATAAGTTTGGGAAATGCTGAGTGAAATTGATTTCTTTACCACAGGACTTTTAATATGCCAATGTGCATTATGAATTTCCAAGAAAAGAATAGTATGTGGTGGTTCCTTATTTGACACTGGTACCTTTTTTTTTAAATTAATGAAAGACCATTAGCATCTTTTGGAAAACGTTAAGCTGTATATATTACAGTTGTCAAACTTTTGTTTATATCAGAATTATTTGGGCCTTCTGTTCAAAACGCAAATTCCTTGAACCTCTCTTCCCCATTAACAACTAAATCAGAATCTCTTAGGTGAGACCTAAAAGCCTGCACTTTTTAGAAAGGAAAACTGTAGTCACCACATTGTATAATTTATCTCTTGAATTTACGCTTTCTATCTAACTGAAGTTTTGTATTTTTTGACCAACATCTCCCTAACGCCCTCTCTATACCTCCAGCTTCTGGTAATCACCATTCTAACTCTCTACTTCTATGAGTTCAACAATCAACATTTTAAGATTCCAAATATCAGAGAAACTATGCAGTATTTGTTATTCTGTGCCAGGCATATTTCACTTAACCTATGTTCTCCAGGTTCATTCATGTCACAAATGACAGGATTTCCTTATTTTTTAAGGCTGAATAGTATTCCATTGTGTATATATACCACATTTTCTTTATTCATTCATATACCTGTTAGCCATTTGTATGACTTCTTTTGAGAAATATGTCAGATCCTTTGCCCATTTTTAAATTATGTATTTTCTTTCAATTGAGTTATTTGAGTTCTTTATGAACCTGTACTTTTAATAAGCATCTTCTGTTTATTGTAACCACTCAGAATTTTTCATTCCCCCAGAAGTGGTTTGTTTCTTACCACTCTGGTTTTATTCATGTTTTTCTCTCCTTCTGTAATCACTCACTTCTCTGTCTAGTGAATTCTCATGTATCCTTTGAGGTTCAGCTCAGATACCATGTCCTCTGTGAAGGCTTTCATCCATTAGAATACCAGCTCTTTAAATTATGCAATATGTCTAATTCATCTGACTATCACCCACTAACTCTAGTCCTGGTAACTTTCAAGTTATTGGATGGATGGATGGATGGATGGATGGACGGGTGGGTGGATGGATGTTTGGATGGAAAAATAATCTTTATAAAGGCCCAGCACATGGATGATTCTGGTGATCAGAGCAAAGTTAAACAAATGTTTCTGAATCCTTTTGTTTTCATTCCTGGATATTTCCTGCACCTTGCTTCCATAGGGTTCCATTTTCTCTGTTTAACTTTTCCAAGGTGAGATGTTACGGTCAGTAAAAACCATCACCGTCCACCTTCACTATGAGAGTCTTCAACCTCCTGCTCACCTCTGTGATTTGCCCTCAGTTGCTACTGTTGTGGTCTTTTGGAAGAACGTATTATTAGGAGCTACTTTCTCTGTTACACTCCATTTCCTCCTCTTTTTCCTTCTCCTGACTCCAGCCTACTTTTCTTCTTTTTGATCTTTGTGCTATCATGAGTCATTATCATGGAGATAATCAAGATGTCTGTCAGGGTAAAGCAAAAGAAGAATTCTAAGCAAACAGGACCCTGGGTGGATGAGAAATGGAGAGTTCTGCTTAGAATTACAGCTTTGAATACTGGGCATATTTCTGCTTGGGAATTGGGAGGGGTTCAAACTTCATCTCCTCCCCACTGTGATCCAAGGAAATAGAACCGGAAAATACTGACAGATGTGAAAGCTTCATCCTTAGTTAGCTATTAAAGGATATAAACAGCTGTTGATCTCTACCATTGAAACATTGAGGAAAGAAAGCTTTCATCTGTTCCTAGATTCAGTCTTAACTAGGTGACCCGTGCTATTTCAGAAGTCGAACTTTCTCAGATGGCAGAATACCAAACAGATGTGGATACCTTGTAAACCATAGTTTCCCTTACTCTCTCTTGAAACCTTTTCTGGCTTCTTTTATTACAAACCCAACAGATGTCCCTGTGAAAGCCCTTGAAAGAGCAGTAAATTCTGAAGCAAGGGCCACCTCCTTTTCAATTATATTTCTTTAACCATTTTTAGACATCACAGCCAAGACAGTAAAATAGAAAGCCATGACTTAAAAAAAAATTCTATTGCCTGACTAATTACAGTAATTTTTATGGTCCATCCCCCAGCTTCCCTGTTTTTCTGTTATATAATAGGATTTAATATTTTAGACCTGATAGAAAAAAGCCAGTAGCAAACTTAGAGGTCCTCCAACTCATGGGTTTTTTAAGTCTTTGAAAAGAAGGAATAAGAACATGTATAAAACAATTACATGATCTCACTTACCTCTGGGGTTTTAGAATAAGTGGGTGTCAGGGCAGGAAAGAACAAAGAAAGCAAGGGAGGGAACTGAGGGAGGGAATTCACATCTATTGAGCCTGCTAAATACCAAGCCCTGTGCCTGCTACTGTTAATGTTTCTTAATTCTTACAACCCAATAAAGTAAAAATGAAGTTAATATCTCATTTTACCAGTGAAGATGCTGACATTTAAACAAGCTGAAGAAGGGCTTTCCTTAGGTTGTACAGCTAATACATATTTAGGAGTCAGGGTCTGAGCTCATGAGTGTCTGGCCAGAAATCTGTGCCTTTGTCCTATGCTGCCATTCATAGCATGTATTATTATTTCACAGATTCCCCTTCACATGGTAAAGGCTTTTCAATGAATGGTTTTAGGAGGTTGTTTAGGATGGAGAAAATTTTATAAGACCTGTTTTGTTTTTGTTTTTGTTTTTTTGGCTAGAACTTTTAGATAAAGGATTCTTTTTTTTGATTATTATTATTTCTTAATCATCTCTGAAATGCCTGAGGACTGTGTCCAGGTACTGTAAATATTCCTTCATTCCATTCTAAGACTGGGCAGCAGATTACTTAGCCTCATGAAAACCCTCTGCTGGCCCATAACTCCCTGGTAATGCCATTTATTATTAATTTATTCTTTCAATGAGTGTTTGCTGAGCACCTATTTTAGGTTCCAAGAGAGAACAAAGCAGGCAGAACCCCTGTTCTTGAGCAGTTTACATAATGTCCAGAATGTCTAGTTGCTCTAAATTGATTCTGTACATATTTCTAAAGTAAGTAGTCTGTTCAGTGGTCAAGTGCATTGTGGAAATAGTTGCATCCCTTTGGTAACCTTTCCGATGAGACTACAGCTGAGTCTCATCCTCCCTCACATGCTGTGGCAAGGGATCTGAAAATATAAAAACAAGTCAACCATAGGGATAATCTTCTCAGACATGGGATGTTGGGGAGTTGAGTTTATGATTGGCCTTTACATTTTAAGTTTTTTTTTTTTTTTTTTTAATTTTTGAGACAGAGTCTCGCTCTGTTGCCCAGGCTGGAGTGCAATGGCATGATCTCGGCTCACTGCAGCCTCCGCTTCCCAGGTTCAAGTGATTCTCCTGTCTCAGTCCCCTGAGTAGCTGGGGTCACAGGCACCTGCCACCACACCTGGTTGATTTTTATATTTTTTTAGTAGAGTTGGGGTTTTGCCATCTTGGCCAGGCTGGTCTCGAACTCCTGATCTCAGGTGATCTGCCTGCCTTGGCCTCCCAAAGTGCTGGGATTACAGATAATGAGCGACATCTCCCAGCCAAGTTTTTATTTTCTATTGTATGTCTCTCACATGGTTTTTATTTTGATAGAAATCTTTGTAACGCTAGCAAGACAGAATGGGCATCAACAAAATATATTTACAGTATGTTGGAATTAGTACTGGACTTGTAGATAGACTTGGGCTTAATCAATTAGCTCTGTCACTTAGAAGCTGCTGTGTGACTTTATCTCTAAGTTTCCATTCGTTTGTAAACTAAGGGTTATAACTGTGACCTCCACAGGACTGTTGTAAGGATTAAATGAAGCAGTATGAATAAAAACACCCATCCCAGAGCCTGAGACATAAGAGTTGCTGAAAAATACATGTTAGTTATCTCTCTCTCAGTATACATTTCTTTTTAACTGCCAACCAAAACTCTTGGAGACTATTAGACAATTTTTGAACCGTATCCTCAGTAAAATAAAATGTGCTTTAAAAGACTTGACAAGATTTTTAAAAATCATCAGTCTTCATTGCTGAATCACTCTGTGATGAGGGTTATAAATACTTCAGGTTGACATCTCTCAGAGCCTTTGGAAAATTCCAGTATTTCTTTAGGCTCCTGGCTTCACAGATGAGCATCTAACTCTAGAGAGACATCTACTAGGAAGTGTCTTCTCACTTGATTTCCAGAAGACTGAATACTAAACCTGTTCATGTCCAGTGTCAAACCAGCTAACCTCAGCAGAGGGTAGGAATGGGTTAGCAGGAGAATTGGGGAGATAGCCTATTAGTCACATCTGGGATAAGCTACTCATTAAAATAACGTTGGGCAAGGTTACCTACATTTGATCCTTCAAGAGGATGGGAAAAGTGTTTGCAGAGTACTCACTGCAATAACAGAGCCCCCATAATAGCCTCATGCACTGGCAAGTTTTTCCAAGACTCTGGAAATTCAATCCACCTGTGGGATCTAGTAAACTGTTTGGCTTCCTAAGAATTTACCAGTTGGGAAGGCATATGAATAAAGCTGCCATTTTCTGAATGCTTGCTACCTTAAACACTTCATCTGCTGACATGTTTTGGCTGTGTCCCACCCCAAATCTCATCTTGAATTGTAGCTCCCATAATTCCCACGCATGGTGGGAGGGACCCAGTGGGAGATAATTGAATCATGGGGCCACTTTCCCCCATACTGTTCTCATGGGTAGTGAATAAGTCTCACAAGATCTGATGGTTTTACAAGGGGAAACCCCTTTCACTTGGTTCTCATTCTCTCTTGTCTGCTGCCAAGTAAGACGTGCCTTTTGCTTTCCACCATGATTGTGAGGCCTTCCCAGCCATGTGGAACTGTAAGTCCATTAAACCTCTTTTTCTTTATAAGTTACCCACTCGGGGATGTCTTTATCAGCAGAATGAAAACAGACTAATACACCTGCATTATGTCATTTAATCTGTAAAATAACCCTGTAAGGCAGGTAGTATAATTTCCATTTCACAGATGAGAAAACTAAGACTCAAAAGGATTAAGTAACTTGCCAGGGTCACACAGGCAGAACTGAGTTTCAGACCCAAGGTGTCTCAACTCCAAAGCCCATGCTGTCAATGACTCCAACATCTCATGTCTGTGGTGTTCTTACCCCAGAGTCAACATCACTCTTGGCTTGCCCTGCCTGTTGCAGTACATGTTAAATCCTCTCGAAGGGATGCCTTGAGACAAAACCACCACAGAGAGGGACTTGAAAAAACCCAGGGCCCTGCACCTGATGCAAACTCTACTGGGCCCTTACTGGTAGGAACTCTAAGATTCTGTTCCTTTAAAGAACTTGCCTCCTGTAGATTCTGATGCTACCCAAGTTTATTCAGTTGTCTATTCTTGGAAAACATGCAGAGACAGCTGAATCCACTCCCTGCACCCCACTGGCTGCTGGAGAATTGATGGTCTATTATGATGGTCACAGTTCCCCACCACAACCTTGTGAACCCAATACTGCAATGACTTGGTGGCTGAATTAATGAGAACAGTGTTAAATAACCACCCCTGCTCAACAAATCCCAAGAGATACCTCTGTTTAGGGCCTCCAGTGTGCAAAGAAGCAGAAAGGAAGGGGAGTAAAGGCAGGAGGCCCTTAGAGGGCCTGAAGACTGCTCTGTAAGTTACAGCTAATTACCTGCTGTCCGGACCTGCACTGGATTCTCCATTACCTGTGCTATGTAATTTTAATGGGCTGTATCTCAGGTGACAAGTTGTTACATCTCAGCACCAGCTGGGAAGGGAAATGGGATATGTGATATTCAGTGGAAGCCAGAGATTACAAACAAAGGCCATAATAGGGTGGGGATGGGGGCATCTGCTGCTTTTATTCCATTCGTCATTTGTCATTTGTAGCCATGGCATCCTTCCTTAGTCAACGAAGCCTGTACTGTGGAGGTCAGTAGAGCTTGGAGAGGCAGGCTGTCTAAGTGTCAAGCTTTAAGGGGTGTATCAGCAGGGCCCTGACACCAGAGGGCTTCTTTCTGCCCTCCCCACCAGTGCCCTGCCTTGCCTCTAGATAGAGAGTATGCAGATACTTATATGATGTCATTTTGCCAGAAGGCCAAATTATTAGCCTGCCTTACACCCCCATGTGTGGAAAGTGATTCACAAGCTTTTCCTTCAACGAACCTTTGTAGGCATAAGGACGTGTGTTATCTGCAAAGGTCTCTGCAGACAGGACCTTTGGGTGTTATATCTTAAAAAAAAAATTCATGCTAATTTCCTATTCTAGTGAATAATTCTGTCCATATTTTCTTTCACATAATCATATTTTCCCCTTAATAAATGGGATGCTCTAGGAAGACTAGCTAGTTTGGGAAGGGGATGGAGTAGTTAAAAGGAACAGAAGTGTTAGTTTCTGTTAGACCTGAGTTTGAATTCTGATGATGATTTTACTAGCATAATTTTAGTCTCTCTGAGCCTGTCTTCTCATCTGTAAAATGCATATACAGGTACCTGCTTCATGGAATTGTTAAGAATATAAAATAACATGCTACGTGTGAAGCCCCTGACACAATGCTAGGACATAGAGCAGTAAGCTTTAAACGTTAGTTCCCTCAGTATCACAGCCTCAGTGTGATACAATAGACTCATCAGGTAAATCAAGGTTAGAAAGAACTAAGGATCAAAAGTCCATAATTATCTCAAGCATTTGGCTGTGGAGTTGATCATCCATGTTCCCTTCATCTTTTGCTATAGCTTGGGGAACAAATGAAAGGAAAGGTAGACATTCATGGGATGAGATTGGCGTTGCTTGGCCTTGACAGCTAGAATCAGGAAGGAGTCTCTAATAGAACTTTAGAAGGCATTTCACAGGCATAGCACAAGTGGCCTGCACAAAGCCAGTTCCATCTTCTTTCTGCTGCAGGATGCAGCACCCAGCATAACATTCGGTATAAAGTAGACACGTGGTGAACTACTACTGTAGTGCAAGTGTAAATGAATTGAAGGATGCCACATAGTTCATATTAAAAAAAAAGATGTATTCCCAAAAATTGGGAGGCAGTTGAATTTTTTGTCACTTGGCTAACATCTTCATTTCTCTGAGAGTTCAATATTTAAACAAAACTTGGCGAAGAGGCCTTTTATTATGTGAATATCTCCTTAGTGATGTGTCTAACTGAACCTTAGTTCAGGCCTTTTGTGATTAAAACATTCGTCGTCACAGAGACTGGAGCCAGAGTTGTTAGTTCTTTCTCAGGAAAAGAAATAACCATTATTCAAAAGCAGCAATAGGCTTTTGATGTTTCTACATCATCCAGCCCAGGTCGTCAGGACTGGAGAGCAGCGAAGAATTAAGGGAGAAGCTGCAGCCAAGAGTCAGGTGTTCATTGTGTTGCCCACCCCCTGGATCATATCCCTTGACAATCCGCCGGCAATGGGAGGCTCCTGCTTAGTCTCTGGTGCAGCTGAAGATTACCCTAATGCCTGATGTGACAGCACAGTGGGGCCTCAGTGTCTGGGGACCACTGAGAATTACTTGTGGATCACTCTCTTCAATACCTCCTTGATTGCTTGACCCAGCCTGGGAATTCTACTACAGTTAACAGGAAGAAAAGAAGTTGCTAAATATTGCGGACTTACCTATTATGGCCCTCAGATAAGCCATCCATATTTGGCATCTCAAAGTGGAAAAGAAAAAGCCTGCAGCCAGGGGCATTTGTCTTCCCATGTTTTTGAAGAGAAATGTGAGCAAATGTGTCAACGAGGTACCAGAGTCGCTAGAAACTACCTGTGGGCAGTAGCTGTCAAGGCACATGGGATGGCTGCTGGCTTTTTTCTGTTTTCCAGAAATAGTGTAAAGTCCCAGAGCTCATCTTCAGTTCTGATTTAAATCTGCTCCTCTCCTTACGTAAGCTCTCCCTATGTAAGCTTGGCAAACCCTGAACTTCTCTGAGACTACCTCCCCATCTAGAAGGTGACGTGGGAAAAATAATAATACCTGCTTTGTAAGGTTATCAGAATTAAGTGACGTAATGCACATAAAGTGCTTAGGATGTTCCTGGTAGAGAATTAAATGCTGAAAAAATTTTAGCATAATTTCCCTTTTCAAAGTGATATAAAAAGGAAAAACCTCTGATTTATTACAGCTTTTACTGCTTGATTACATAGGAGAATTTTGCCTTCAGTACCTTTGCACATTTATTTACCAGCTGAAGAAAAAATGGAGAGACGCTATTGATCATGTCACAGTTCCAGTGATCTCAGAAAAGAAATAATTTTTTACATCCATTAGAATATCAGTTGATCAAAATTTGAATACCAACTAAGAGTGATACATTCCACTTTTAAAATAAGGTGGTAATTCCAAAGCTTAAAATACAGTAATAATTATATTAACTAGCATTTATTACTTATTCTGGGCCAAGCAATATGCTAGGTCTTTTATTATATTTTTTCTAATCCTCACAGCAGTCCTGGTTAACCATCATTATTATTATCCCTATTTTCAAATGAGGAAACTGAGATAAATTTCTTCTTTCAAAGTCACCCTCCTAGTAAGTGGTTGATCCAGGTTTAGAATCCAGACTTGCCTAACTACAAAGCTACAGAGTTTTTTAAGCTGCATTTGATGAAATTATAACCTTTCCTCTCTCTAAAAACATAATAACTTAAAAACAAGATGAAAGTAGTGTCTATAATTCCCTGTTTTCTGGAAATGATAAAGATTAAATTGGGATAAAGTATTTCTTTTCAAGTAGAAAAATTTAGGCCCACTTTTTCATATATGTACCTATTTAAAGTACAGATGTACTTGTGAAGATATCTTTATGATTAACTTGAAAAAATTTACTGCCTTCCCTTCTAATACCCGAGCTCCATTTACAAATGACATCTGAAGAGGTGGAAGAAAGCAGGTTGATGTGGGGTATTTTATCTTTTCCTTCCTTCCTTCCTTTCTTCCTTCCTTTCTTCCTTCCTTCCTTCCCTCCCTCCCTCCCTCCCTCCTTCCTTCCTTCCTTCCTTCCTTCCTTCCCTCCCTCCCTCCTTTCTTTTTCTTTCTTTCTTTCTTTTTCTTTCTTTCTTTCTTTCCTTCCTTCTTTCCTTCCTTCCTTCCTTCTTTCCTTCTTCTTTCTCTCTCTCTCTTTCTTTCTTTTCCCAGAGGACAGGGGTTGCAAAGGCAGAGGTTTCCATTTACTGGAATGTCACAGGAGGTGCAGAACATCTGCCATGGCCTTGTGCTCTTGAAATATTATGCCATATAATGTTCTTAGATGGGGCTCAGAGAGAACATGCTGTGGTTGATTATGATATCTGCATAGGTGCAAGACTAAAGAATGTGTATCATACATATGCCATTCATGCTCTTCACTGTTCTGAAAGGATAATTATTGACAGCCCAAGGAGAAGGCCAGTCATGTGTACATTGGTTTTCTGAAGTCTAACAACTACCAGGGCTAATAAAGCTATTGGGGCATGATCAGGAAGTATGCTAAAACCAAACCAAAATGTTACCTTCTTATCAAAACCCTGATGGTGAGTCTTGAAATCAGAGTGCCCAGCCCTTGGGGCAACTCAAGGTGGGTGTATGAGAATAGAAGACGGTCCAGGGTATGGTCTCTAAGATGATTAAGAAATTGAAAAGTAGGGGTTCCTGATTGGACTAACTTGAATTCTTCAGGAAGAGGGAAAAAGTGAAAAGCTGTAAAATCATAAAGGGAAGATGGCAAATATGGTTGGGTATTTTCCCCAACTAAATCCTGATATTTAAGAATACCTTTCGCAGTTTGAGAAGGTTCAGTGATAGACCAGTAAAAGAAAGGAAGAAATCGTTTATGTATGTTTGGAAACTTAAAAACTTGTTACTTTCAGTGTGGTATAGACTACAAATAATAGAGTACAGGATGAATAATGTAATAGAGATCTGGACTACAGTCCCAGAGTGAGCTATTGGGAGAGTTGATGTATATTTGGTGGCACGTTCCTGACTGTTGAGCTTGGTGTCAAATACCCTTAAGCTTCAAGATGCAGTGGGAAGACTAGACATAAGGACTGGCCCTGCTGCTTTTCAGTTGTGTCACGCAGGGCAGTAGTTCTCAAAGTGGGTCCTAGACCAGCAGCATCAGGATCCCTTGGGAACTTATTAGAAATGCAGTTATAGGCTTCACCCTATATTTAGTGAATCAAAAATTCTGGAAGTGGCCCAGAAATCTGTGTTTTAAAGCTCTGTAGGTAATTCTGATTCAAGCTAGAGTTTGAGACCCACTTGTCTGGGGCGAGCAAATTCTGCCTGAGCCTTATTTTTCAGATATATAAAATAATGATACTAACACTTATCCCACAGGGCTGTTACTTTGAAAAAATTATTTACTTGAGACATTGTGGTTATGGTAGCAGATGAGACAGGCCCAGACCTCATGGAACTTACATTTCAGTCAGGAAAACAGGCCCCATGCCAGATGGTGCAATGAAAGGAGCTAACGTGGAGAACTAGCACAAAAGTGCTGAGAGAGCTCAAAGTCAAACTGGGCTGGCAAAGCAACAATATAATATTATAACAAGAGCCGGAAGCCACTGCCACCTTAGGCTTGCATGAGGGAAGTCAGAGAGGGTGTTACCAGGGCTCAGGAGCCAGGGGCAAAGAGGGGAGGTCCCTTGGAGCCAAGGTGAATAGCAGTACTGCCTGACCCGAAAGGGCAGGGTGGGAGGTAGAAATACCTGGCTGTCTGCTTCCCTCCTCCAGTCTCCTGCCAATGCTTCCCACTGTCTTTGGCAAAGGAGCCTGGGAAACACGTTTTGCTGAGGAAAGATAGAGAACGGATCTGAGAGCAAGTAGGCAAATAACTGGCTTATGGAGAAAACAGATAAAACGCAAATAAATATATGACATAATGTCAGATAAGGATAAGTTCTATGAAGACAATTAAAGTAGGAAAACGGAATTAGGATGCTGTAAGATTTAAATAAGACAGATGAACAACAGTCAGTGCTCCTCAAATTTTCTGTGGTTTCAGAACCCCTTCATATTCTTAAAAATTACTGAAAATCCTGATCTTTTGTGTATGTGGGTCATATCTAGCAACAGCTAACAATATTAGAAATTAAAACTAGGAAAATTTAAAAATATTTATTAATTGAGAAAGTAATAAGCCCATTACATGCTAACAAAATAACTTTTTTTATGAAAAATAACTACATTTCCCAAAACAAAAAAATTTTTGAGTAAAGAGAGTAATATTGTTTTACTCTTCACAAATCTCTTTAACGTCTGGTTTAACAGAAGGCAACTGGACTCATATCCGCTTCTGCATTTTCAGTCTATTGTGGTTTATTGTTTTGATTCATGTCAGGGCTGACATGAGTATGTGGTTGGAAAGGGGAGGATTTTGTGTACCTTTGAAAGGGTCCTTAGGGATCCATACAACACTGAGAACACTGCTGGGGTGGGGAGGGAGTCCTTTGTACCTAGTAGGCACTAGACTATGTTGGTTGAAACAAGACAAGCGACAATTGCATTACGAATTTCACAATATAGTAGTCCCCCTTTATCTATGGTTCTGATTTCCTCTGTTTCAGTCACCTGTGGTCAACTGTGGTCTGAAAATATTAAATGGAAAATTCCAGAAATAAATGATTCATAAGTTTTAAATTGCACACTGTTCTGAGTAGCATGATGAAATCTTGCTCTGTCCTACCTGGGACAAGAACCTTCCCTTTGTCCAGCATACCCACACTGTAGACTCTACCTGCCCATTGCTCATTTAGTAGATATCTGGGTTATCAGTTAACCTTTGCAGTATCACAGAGCTTGTGTTCAAGGAACCCTTATTTTCCTTAATGATGGCTCCAAAGTGCAAGAGTAGTGATGCCAGCAATTCAGATATGCCAAAGAGAAGCCATAAAGTGCTTCCTTTAAGTGAAAAGGTGAACATAAGGACTTAAGGAAAGAAAAAAATTGTAGGCTAAGGTTGCTCAGATCTATGGTATGAATCTTCTGCCTGTGAAATTGTGAAGTAAAAAGAAATTTATGCTAATTTTCTTGTTGCCTCTCAAACTGCAAAAGTTATGGCCACAGTGCATGGTAAGTGCTTAGTTACGGTAGAAAAGACATTACATTTGTTGGTGGAAGTCATGAATCAGGCCGCACAGCAGGAGGTGAGTGGCCAGTAATGGAGAATTACTGCTTGATCTCAGCCTCCTGTCAGGTCAGTGGCGGTGTTAGATTCTCATGGGAGCACGGACCCTATTGTGAACTGCACATGTGAGGGATCTAGATTGCTCACTCCTTATGAGACTCTAACTAATGCCTGACGATCTGAGGTGGAACAGTTTCATCCTGAAACCAACCCTAACCCTGCTGTGGAAAAATTGTCTTCCACAAAACTGATCCTTGGTGCCAAAAAGGTTGAGGACCGCTGCTTTATGGTATTTACCCACCAGTACTGATGGCATTTCACATCAGTATTCACAGTTATGTGGTCTCCTTATCACAGAGTTTTTGGGAGCACCAAAGGAAAGATGCTAATTGATCTTTAAAAAAAAAATGAATCTTCTGATTTCCTTAGCACTATGTTCACCCTAACCTAATGAGCTAATTCAGACTAGATGCGTAACTGGTGGGACTTGATACACACACAGAAAATATCTTAAAATTGAATGAATATTTTATAATTATTGTGCCATACATTAGAGAGTGGTGGACCACCACCAGTTATTCACCTTGCAAATTTTATGCAACAAATATTCAGGCTCAGGAGAGCTTTCTATAATATCCAGGTCAGAGTAGTCATGAATTTCTTCCCATCATCCATTGATACGTATTCTTATAGAGTACCAAACATCAGCCAAGACCCAAGTAATACAGTAAGGTAGCTATTATGGAAAAAAAAAAAAAAGAAGGAATCATTTAGAAAGTATTTGTTCTCAGAATTATTATCTATGACTCTGCTCTTTCCATCTACATAGATAATTGAATTCAGCATTAACTGAGCCCCATGACAAGGGCACTGTGATGTAGTTGAACATCAGTCAGCATTAAAGAGACATGGCCACATTGCTTCAACCTGCAGATGGGCAGATATGTATTGCCCACTGTGGACAGACTCATTTCTGAATGGGATTTATAGAACATCTTATGCTACATGAAATGTGTTTTACTGCTAGGGTGAGACCAATCTTACACCTGCCTTGCTAACCAGGTTTTGTCATATCTAGATTTTGTTTTAGACAGTTACTGTAATAATGATGTCTACCATTTTCTCTCCACTGTAGGTTAACTAGGTGCTTTACATTGCTACCTTACCTCTCACAACAGCCTTACCCCCCACCACCGGGCCCACCCCCAAAGCATGACAGGCAAAACAGCCTTTTGCCTGTTTTCCCAATGAGGGAACTGAGCCTCGGAGAGGTTACAAATGTTGCACAGGTCACAGCTTATAAAGGTCCATAGTAGGTCTTTCTGGCTCCATTCCATTTTTTTTGCTATGCCAGAGACATCTGTGATAGGAGTATTCTGGGCACATATATGCATACCTTTGCATAAAACACAAACATGAATATATTCAAAGACAGCATGAGAGGGGGAAAAAGTAAAAGGATAATTTGAAGAAGCAAAAGGTTTTGCTTCTCTGTGACACCAAAGCATGAGGTCCCTGCAGAAGAAATCCTGCATGGATGAAATAAAGAGATTTCAAGTCATGGCTTTGCTACTTTCTCATTGTGTCTTGAATACTTGGAATTTGACTCATGGTCTGCTGAAACTAAAAAGATTTGTGCCAATGGTAAAAACCTCCCATAATAAGGTAAGACAGATGAGATGGTTCAATAATTTGTGTTTATGGTGAATGTTGAGTGTGTATATGTATGTGTGTATGTATGTATGGTATGTCTTTTAAAGATAAAAGTCTCACCGGCTAGGAAGAGAAGGAGGAAAAAAATAAATGATTATTAGAGTATGACAACTAGCCTTGTAGTTTCACAATTAAGAAATGAGCAGACCAATATAATTCAATGTCTGTAACATTTAATTTCCAGTCCAGTATATAAAGGTAGATTCTGTTTGCCTTTCCTCTTTACTCCTCAGTCTGTTAACCTTGTTTCCTCCCCTGTAACCTCAGGAAACCTAGGTCTTCAGGTTGCTGTAAGGTCTTAATAGGATAATGCATGGGACTTTGCGTGTAGAAAATGTTCAATAAATATTCACTAATATTATTGCTAATAATATTGTAAGTACCATATTTCTGCAAAGGAGCTGTTGTGTTTTTCTCCCATAGTAGAAGCTACACATATCAATAAACCGTTGAGGCTCCCAGAAGTAAAGACCCCAGAGGCCCTAAGTCTCTTTCAACAGGTAAGGTCAGTGGTAGGTTCCTGGACTTGCTGCTGAGGTGGACTTTTCGGCCATGGTTTCTCAGTCACCCCTCAAGGAGTTGACACTTTGGGGCCCATGAAGTTTTTTAGCCCTAAAACATGTTGACTCTTTAAATGGCTGTGGAATCTGGCTGCCCTTATCAGTCTACAGCGACTCACGGGGCTGATTGGACTTCATGTTATTTCAGGCGCCGCAAGTGTACGTTTCATCTCTTGCAGCTCCTTGTCCTCCCAACGGTGCTATCCAGCAGCTGCCCTTTGAGGAATGTCCTTTAACAAATATGACCAAAACTGGAGCTCAGGTTTTTCACATGAAGTATTGTAGCCTTTATAACAAACTGGCAAGGAGACATTATCAAAGTGAACTGTTAAAATTACCCAATAAATAGACCTACAAGGTCCTCTTGCCCCAGCACTTTGCCCATCTGCTAGGTCTCCTTCAGGCACCTGCCTCATCCTCTTGGCTGTATCAGGGGTCCTGAGCCTCCTTCAGCTGAAGGGGACCTCCTACCACCAATTCAGCAGTAGCAGTTCTGAAGCCTGTCACAATCTCAGACTGGGCACGGTAATTTCAACAAGGAGCAAGTAAGAGCTCCCAGACCTGGGTAGGAACAGGGCTTTGAATCCAGTTACCTTCCAGCTGCTAGTGCCCTGAATTTACTGTTAGAGCTTTCTCTAAGGTTAACTCTCTGCTCCTTTGCCCATGCTGAAGCAGTAGTATACGGTAGGGTGACGATGACCTTCCTTAAAAGATTTCTCAGTGCTCTTGGCTATTTATAGTTACTGTTACTGCCATCTGTGAATCCAGCTTCTAAAAGGTAAACTGGTTCGTACCACAATGTCTTCGTGGTGTTAGTAAATATGAGAAGGAAAAATGCATCCTGGCATATTTGCATGGGAAGCCTTAACAAGAGGCCCCTTTTCATCTAGTCCAGCAGTCTTTCTCCTTCATTTGAGAAATAGCAATGTGGTTTCTATGCTTTCATAGCTTTTGGGTGTGTCTTTGTTTTGAATAGGATTTAGCAAAGTCATTATCTCATGCTTTAAGAAGAAGTTTCCAGCCTAAAAACACATCAGTACATTTTTTAACTGACATGATAAAAAACTGAAGCCCTCTTCCCTTGGAGATAAGCCCTGTCAAATATAAGGCAGGCAGATGTGTCCCTGTGGATGACTCTCGCTTCTATTGTATAGCTCACTGCTCATAAATAATGAATTTGACAAATGTAAAATGCATCAGTGAGTTTCAAAAGGAGGGCTCTGGTGACAGTGTTGCACACTTTGTAGCAGTTGAAGGGAGACATTTATCAGCTGTTCCCTTTTTGGATTTTTTTAATGTCCATCAGCTAGATTATATTCGTCATATTCATCAATGACCAGTAATAAATGGATTGCTTATAAATAAATAAATGTGCTAACAGAGCTATGGCCCCTTGATTAGCACAATGTCCAATAAAGATAGGAAAGTTGTCATTAGTAGGACTTGAAAATTACCAAAAAGGACGAAATTCAATGAATACCTTTATAATTATATAATAGTCCCAAATAGGTCAGAGTTTAGAACATTAGAACTATTTTACTTTTTCCTCTAGTGGTCTCTGAGATTCTAAGAGGTCTTAATGCCAAGAAGGGCACAACTGTAGCCCATTTCCCACAGAGCAAATAATTTATTTTCTTAAAAAACATAGATCATATTAACTATCTACTTTCTAAAGTGCAGTATCTTCCCACTACAACCAGAATAAAATCTTAAATCCTTACCTTGGCCTACTGGACCCTTTGTGAGGAGGCCCCTGGCTACTTTTGCCATCTCCTCTTTCAGGATTTCCCCTTGCCTGCTGGACTTCAGCCACCCTAGGCTTTTTTATGCTTCTCAAAACACACTCCCCCCACCCCCAGGTCTTCCCCCCACTCCCAGCTCTTCCCCCTACTCCCTTTCCCCGAGCCTTTGCGCGTTCTGTTCCTTGTGTCTGGAAAGCTTGGCCCTGGATTTTTGCATAGCTGGCTGCTCTTTCTTCATATTCAGATCCCCGCTCAAATTTCTCCTTCCTTTGGGAGGACTCCTCTAACCATCCAATATAATGTGACCTAGATCCCTTCTGTTTCTATTAGATAACCCGCCTAATTTCCTTAATATTATTTTCACTCTGAAGTTGTTTGTCATGTATATTTATTCATTTATATTAATCATAACAGAGATAAGAAGATCAATAATTCCTTACTAAAAAGTCAAATAAAATGCAAATCATCATAACAAGTCTGAAGCATTGCCATTTTCTGTGGACACAATTGCCTGCAAGCAGTTGTCTAATTCAACTTGTATTTACTTACTATGTACCCAACAGTACAGTAGTAACTTCGGGAGGCCAATCAGACAGTCAGCAAATATTTGTTGACTGTTTCACACATGCCAGACAGTGAGCTAATGTGCGAAACACTGGAACACAGTGGGAAACAAAACGTGCATGACCTTGTCCTCATGAACTTAAAAGCAAATAGTAGAGTAAGACCTACAGAGGATGGAAGCTCCATGAGTGTAGGAATCTCTTCCACTCAGTGTTGCAACCCAGTGCCTAGATAGTGCCAGGCACATGAAAGTGCTTTGTATAAGTTGATGAATGAACAAGTGAAAGAAATAATTACAAGTGTGAAAAGTTTAACAGAGGAAAATGCAGTGTGCCAATATACAAAGTACAAGCTCACATACAAATATTACCAAACATACACAAAGTCTCTAATAGGAGCCCCTTAGAAATGATACTTTAGGTGAGACCAGAAGGGTAAATGGGACTCAGCAAGGTAGAAAGGATAGGATGGTGGTACGGGGTCTGGGTAGCGGGGTAGAACAACAGCTACAAAGGTCCTGACGTGAGAAAACTGAGGCATCCCTGAAGGACTAAAAGAAGGAAAGTGTGAGTACTGTGCAATGAGTGAGGCTGGAGTGACATGTGAGGAAGTCACAGAGGGAGCAGGGCCTTGGAAGTCTTAGAAAGAACTCTGGTCTTGGCTGGGTATGGTGGCTCACACCTTTAATCCCAGCACTTTGGGAGGCCAAGTCAGGTGGATCACTTGAGGTCAGGAGTTCAAGACCAGCCTGGCCAACATGGTGAAACCCTGTCTCTACTAAAAAATACAAAAATTAGCTGGGCACGGTAGTGGGTGCCTGTAATTTCAGCTACTGGGGAGGCTGAGGCAGAAGAATCACTTGAACTCAGGAGGTGGAGGTGGCAGTGAGTAGAGATAGCGCCACTGCACTCCAGCCTGGGAGATAAGAGTGAAACTCCTTCTCAAAAATAAATAAATAAACAAACAAATAAATAAAAGAACTCTGTTCTTTATTCTAGGGTTATAGGAAGCCTCTGAAGGCAGATGAGTGACATGTTAAGACTTGAATGTTAAAAGAATTGCTCTGGCCACAGACTGGGGAGGGGCAAGGATGGATGCCCAGTGTCATGGAGAAAAAATAATTTTTCTCTCTACTCTACCTTTCATAGCTCTTAAATGGAACTTCCTGAGAAAACACACACATACACACACAAAAGAAAACAAAAGAAGTTTATAAACATGTATACTTTATGTACACATGGGGAAAACCCCAGAGAAATGAATACATTTCTCCAGCAGAGCTCAAAGAAAAATAGTTTAAACCTCAGGTTTGTGCCATAGTTTGCTGAAACAAATTAAAAAAGGAGTGTGGGGAAACTCTGGTTATGGGAAAATGGCCAGGAAAAGAGAAAACAAGGGTAAGATTATGCAGATTTTAGTCTAGGCCTTCCCTCCCTCCTCATTTAACCATCCCTTTCTCCCTGGTGGGGAGAGAAAGAGAGAGAGAGAGAGAGAGAGAGAGAGAGAGAGAGAAACACCTTACAAATGGTATTTTCCTTTAGATGTACATTTCTCTTACAAGAGTGACTTTTCAGAGCTCTGCCTGTGTCTACAGTTTTTCAAAATAATCAGTTTGAAATAGTCAACATGCCAAGAGACATATTTTAGAGTGGTGTATTATGTTCTCCTACAGTCATGTTTTGGGGTGGTTTTTCCTGAGCCCCAGCACCAACTGAGAGCCCTTTGCAGTGGCCCAGATAAGAGATGATGAGAGCCTCAACTCAAGTGTGGAAAGAGTTGGGTTGATTGGAGAGGTTTAGGAGGACAAGCTGAGGAAATGTGTGAGGGGTAGAGCAGGGAGCAGGAGGAGTAAAGGTAAGCCCTAAATTTCCGGCTTGAGCAGGGGAGTAGAGCCATTTACTGAGATTGAGAATCTTGGAGGAGGAGTTCTTGAGGGTGGGAAGTTTGGATGAGTTGGGTTTGAGGTGCCTCTGAGATATTCAAGTAGGTATATGGACCAAGCAGGTGGATATATAGGCCTGGGATTCAGAAAAAAAGGTCTTGGCTGGGCCGTATAAATGGCAGCTGAAGTCATGGGTGTGGCTAAGAGCACTTGTGGGTTAAAGCATAGAAAGAAAAGGCCTAGGACAGAGCTTTGAGGCACACCACATTTAATGGTGGGTGGAGAAAGGGGAATTGTTGGTAAAGGAGTTTGAGGAGAAGTCAGAGAGTTAAGAGAAAACACAGTGGAGACTGGTATTCATGAGCAGAGGAAAGAGATGCTGCCAAGAGGAGGGGGTTGAAAGATTAAGTAAGACAAGGGCAGGAAAGACAAGTATATTGTAGGTCAACACAAGAGGGTCAGCAGACAGCCCAGATGAGCAAAAACACTTGTAAGGCAGCATTTGTCCTCCGAGGGGTATTCTAATCTACATCAGTATCTAATCAACATCTCTGATTCCAAATTACAAAGCCAGGAATGTCAGTCTGCAGAAGTAGTAAGAAGACATGAGGCTACCATGCATCTTCACAGAGGTGAGCAAATACCCTGAGTCTGGATTTTTTAGTTCTATTTCCATTCCCTCATGATGCTGGGCTCCACCTCCTGCTCTTGTTTCCTTTTATCAAATTGCTTATGTTTGCTTCTGTTGGCTCAAGTGGTTTTCTCTTTTCTTAAACCAAAAGAGCTTTGATTTAGCCAAGAATTCTTTGACTCGCAAGGAGAAGGCTGCTTGACCTCTGCAGGCTCTGTAAAGGTCACTCTTGGCAGTGATTCAGTAGTTTAGCAGGTTTATTACTGTAGCCTGCAACTCCTAAGCCATAAATTAAGAATCCCATGCACCTTCAATATGCATGGAAAGGCTTCATTCTCATCTATAAATCACAGGAATTCTAAAGGCCTTGACAATTCACAGTGCAACCTCCCTTCGCTGCTTCTCTTCCAGGAATTTTTTCAGATTTGATTAACTGGAGGGTGGAGATGGAGCTTTGTAGGCTCATTTGATATCCTTGGCCCCATGAAGAAGGCAGAGAATTCTCTTTTTAAGGTAGAAGGCATGAGGTTGGTTTATCTCAAAGATTTTTTTGCATTTCTGATTTCTGTGACAGTAAATGATTAAGTTTGCACCCTCAAATCTACTAAACATCTGACAGCAGTTTCACCTCTATGTGGCTTAATTCATGGCTGCTTCTCAGTTTAAAATCATCTTACTGCTTAAGATGGGTGAAGCTAATGGCTGTAGCATGGTGCAGACATAGGTGGAAAATGTGTTCAGAGCTAGAAAAGGGGAGATAGGGACTGGAGTAATTTCTGATTTAAAATTATTATATTAAAGTATAATAAAAACATACATATATAAAAAATCATTACTATCATACATAAATGAGATAATGTTTACAAAGCCCTGAATTTAATATCTCTTTTTGAGCCGGTACTAAATTTATATCAAATATGTATCTTCATATTTGAATAAAAAAAGTCATGCTGCAAAAAGAAAATCAGCAAATCTCATTTAGAAAAAAAAAAATAGTTCCTGAAATAAAGATGTTGATTTTCTTAAAGAAAAGATAATATTCTCAAGAGAAAAGGGTATTCCTGAATCTATTTTCTAACATCAGTCTGTCTCTCAGATGAATAGAGAATTCCATGTAATTGGGGAATATTTTTGTGCTTTTAGCAAAGATGGAAAACAGCTTCCTTTCTCCTCTTCTTTTCATGTCATCCTTGGAGCATTCCTTTAATGCCCCATTTTTCTGTTCAAGAGGGTATGAAATTAAGCAGGTGGAGTAAGAACTTCCTGGTTATGCATTAACACTGATTAAAATGCATAGCCCAGAATGGAATCCCACCATTATTTCAAAGTCAGGATCTCTGCATTTTTCCAGTACTATTTTTGGGCAGGAAAGGATGAGACTAGACAACTTCCAGGATCCTCTCAAATACTAACGTTCTATTATGGAAAAGGATTGTCAATGACAGTACCTGTTCTGAGGGAAGATAAGGATCAGCGGTGTGCAAACCTGGCAGAGATGCAGTTCCATTCAAAAGAGACTTGCGGAAAACCTACCATGTGCTGGGCATGAGATAAGGCATTGCAGGGCATAGAAAGAAAAGCAAAAAGTACTTCCTGTCCTTGAGGTTACTATCTCAAAGTGAAAAGAGACTACTAAAAATAAAAGCTTTACTACTATGACAATACTGAATAGAACTTTTACATTTGCAGATTATTCCAGTATCTCAAATGGCAATAACCCTGTGATTGAATTATTACTGCCTCTACAACACAGGGAAAGAAATTCAGCACATAGAGAAAAAAAAAAGAAATCTTACAGAATTGTAAAAGAAGAGGGAGCTTCTATCTGGTTGAATGATCAAAATAGGTTTTATGGAAATGACTGGAAGTGAAACCTTGGATCTACTACTCTTTTCTGTGACCATTTTAATAATAGATAGCCTTCTTCCCTTTAATTAAACTTTTATTTAGCAGTGCAAGTTTCTGGTTTATTTTTCTGAACATGGTAGTTGATCGTCTGATGTCTTTTGCTTCTGTGAAGCACACTGCCTAATGGATGTTGGACTGTTTCTAAAGTTACTTTTCTTCCCAGGCCAATATTCATTTATTCCAGCATATGCTAGAGGTGTTGGGGGAGTTTGTAACATGCCTTGGGTCTCTTGCTACACAGAGTTGTGTTTATCCGTCATGTTGATCAGTTGTATACAATTTTTAATGGGAAAAGCATGACTTTACTGACCTTTTCTGAACAAATAAATTTACTTAAGTCTGCTTGTGTCATTTGGAAAAGAATGTTCTTTCTCTTCTTCTCTGGGACTGCCTCCAGTGTTTTGCATTTCAGAATCCCAGAAGTTCCCAGCTTCACACATCCCCAGTCACCTGACTCCACAACTTTAAAAGCAGACTGGAAGGGGACCTGAAAGAAGATAGAGTGGAGACACAGAGTTCTGTGGCTGTCAGTCATCAGTGTTGTACCTTGGTCTCAAGGAATATTTACATCACTGGTCCTCATGTTATCTCCATAGTAGTTGATTCTTGCTGCCACTTAAGGTCAAGCTCTCCCTCCCAAGAAAGGCTTTGTCTTTCTAGAAGATGCCTAAGGCTGTCCTTTTTGTGGGATTGGACTCCCTCTGAATCTTGTGAAGAAATATCCAAGAAGATTCATCTGTCTCCTTCCCTGTCTCCATTTTTTTCGTGGCTCTCCTTTCAAATATGGTAATTAAGTCACTAGGCCTGTTTGGAAGGAGATCAGGAGTTAGCTTTAACAACTAAAATAAAACCACATGTTACATCTCTAGTTAAGTGAGGAATATGTTTGTTTAACTTTTGTTTCTTTGGATACAATTCATGAGGTTTATTTATTTTTAAATTGTAGGGTGATCTAGCTTCTCCTCCTTTGAGAATATAAAGAATACTGTTTTAAGGGTAGAAAATCATTTTTAAAATGAGAATTTATCTTTAAAATAATTGAATTTTTCCCAATACAGAAGGCATTTTTTCTAACTCTGCACAAAATCGCAGTCATTTACAAGTGGAGGAACCTGTTTTAAAAAATGTCTAAATTAGCATTGGCCAAATTCTTGGGGCTTTAAAGTCTCAGGTGAAATCTGATCTTTGACTGGGATTTTTTTTTTTTTTTCCCAAGCAGGCAGGATGGCAGCTTAACAAACTGTGGAACAGAATCCCATGGGGTTAATGATCTGAACGGGAGGGTTTAGAAGGTTAATGTCACGGTGGTAAGAACCAGGAGTTGTTGCGCCTACTTTCACAGAAAATACTTTAAAATAACCACCAATAAAATCCTCACTAAGAATCCAGATGAGTGGCCAAATGAGCTTTTGTGTTTCACGATGACCTGTTTTAGGAATTTTTCATCTCCTTTGAATTCCGCCTGGACGAATTCTTCTTTTACCTTGGCTTTAACTTTTCAGTTAACTATAAAAAATATGGTGTGATGTTATTGATGCAGACACACTATTTTAGTGGTTTCAAACCTTTTTATATTTTTCAAACAAAAAAAAGACTTAGAACCTTAAATGAAATAAGTAAAATTGGTTCTGCGTTGGCTGCAGTAGTGGGTGAAAGGCTCAGAGTCCGCACTCCTACCCTCCCCGCCTGGTCCTCCAAGATGAGGTAGCTTCCTTTGCTCAGGAAGCAGAACCCTAAAGCTTTGAGGAGCACAATTTGAAAACCATGGCTCCATAGCACTTGCCACTTATGATTGCCTTTGGGGCCTGCTTTCCTCTTTGTGGGAGTCAGAAATGAATCAAAGACCATGAGAGGCTGCCGGAGAGCACCATCCCTGCAGCACAGGAAAGAAAAGCCTGGGGCTCGGTTGCCAATCCCTTGTGGCCTCAGCAGTTCCTCTAAGCTTCCCTAATTGTACTAAAAAGGTGTGCCTGGCAGAGGATGTGGAGAATGAAAGTACCAGGTCAAGGAGTAGTGATGTCACCTTAAATCCAGAGAGATTGATCAGACAGGGTGAAATGTTTAAGCAACAGCTCTGGGAAGCCCTTAGAAGGCAAGTGGCACCCTCAGCAGACCATCAGGGAACTCTGTTGGAGCAAAGGGCCTCCATAGAACTTCGTTGCATTCGCTCCTGAGCTGCAGGCACTGATCTGTCTGCCTCAGACACTAACTTAGATCTTCTAACCCTCAGCACATCCTTGCTCCTCCTCTCTGATACCTAGTTTCAGAGTAACCATTAGAGACACCATCTGTGCTTTTACCTGGTGATAGTGCTTATCCTTTGAGGGGCAACCTTGAAACTCAGTATTATGGAACTTCCAAGTTCGTGACCTTGAATGGTAACTTTGAAACTAGGCAATCTTCCACCAGCACCACTGGTGGGCTGGCCCAAGCTCTCCGTCTATGCAACAGCCACAGCATCCATCTGAGTACTCCTTTTCCCAGATTCTCAGTCTCCAGTGCCCAGCCCAGCTTCCTCCTCCTGCCACTAACTGACACAGTGAACTAAGACACAGTAAGACAATGAGCCATTGTCTTAGTTCTAGTTTCTCTGTTTGTTTCCTCTGTTTAATTGTTTTAGAATCTATTTTTCTCTTAGCTATTTATCATTTTGAATTGCTCTGAGTGTGATTAGAATATTTTTAGGATGGTTTTGTCCCCTTTCTTTTCCTTTCTATGACTTCTGAGATCAGATTTCAGCTGTTGTCTGTGTGAGACACTATTATTGCTCATTCTGCATATACTACCTCCCTGATGGAGATATTTCCAAATATCACACTTTTCCATGTGGGGCTATGCAGCTGGCTGGTTTGTTTTGATGGCCATATTTCATTGGGCTTTCCAAGTGGTTCATCTTAGAGCATTATTGAGAGTTGTAAAGCCAACCAAGACCTCTTAGTTGAAGTGGGTGTAATAGGGTGTTCCTACGATTTATGAGAAGCTCTAGAAGTTTAACTCTGGGCCTTTCCCTTTATGTCATGTCATTTGTAGCACTGACCTAAAATCAGGGTGTCTCCTAAAGACTTATGGGGGTTACATATAGATTGAACCATTTTGAATTTCTAAAGTATGTATGAGTCAAGAACCAAAATTTGAGGGTGATCAGAATGTCATGTTTATTTTCCTTAGTTTAACATATCTGAGTATAGTCCCTGTTCCACCAGGTGGTGGGAAAGCCAGCTTAGACATTATTCAGGCTTTGTACCCTTCCTCAGACTTTGGTAAAGCTTCCAGGACTTAACTCAGTGCCAAAATACAAAGCAACCCACCCAGTCCCTTATCTACATGGGTTACCATTGTTCCAGCCCACATGGTCCCCTTGAGCATGCAGCATTTGTGCTAATCTTAGAGCACAGGCATCTTTGGCAGAGCTGGGAGCCATGGCACCTGCCATCCAGCCATTTTAGATATGCCCTGCAGCTATCACCTTTGTTGAGTGGCCATCTTCCCTGGCAATAAGTCATGTCAATAAATTATCCTAAAATAACTTCCTTCTGTTTAGGCTTTGGACCGCAATGAATGGAAACTCAACATTTTTACTTTGTTTTACCTTTGGCCTCTACCACGTCTTATTTCTCCACACAGAACAAACTCATCTCTTTCTAGACAACTCCTATTCATCCTTTGGGTCTCAGCTGTAATATCAGGGACTAAGTTAGAGGTACCCCTGTGAACACCCTATCTCCCCAACCGCTTTCTTACTACGTTGTACTTCAGGCATGATTTGCATCAGCATTACCTGGGAAATTGTTAAAAATGCAGAACTTTGGCCTCTGCCTGAGATCATATTGCTGAAACAAATTCTGCATTTTAACAATTTCCCTAGGTGGTCTCTGTGCACATTCCAGTGTGAGAAGCACAGATATACTAGATCATGAGCTCCTTGATCACAAGGACATTATTTTTTCATCACCATGTTGTTTTGATATGCCTAGTCCATAGCAGCCCCTCAGTAAATAGCTGCTGAATGCATGGATAGCCTGTAATAAACATGTAGACCAAACATTCAGCTTGCAGTGGCTGCTGTTAGAGAAGGGATTATGCCTAAAGTGTGACCCAGGAGGTACTAAACTGGAACAAACTGGGGATGGAAGTAGGTTGGTCACCGCTCAGTGAAACCAGAAGTATTGGGTTGGGTTCAGGCTAGGTAGCCAGGCCCACAGGTGTAAAAACCAACTTAATAGGCAAGATAGGGCCAGGTGGGCTTGGTTGGAGGGACTGCTGGAGAGCCTGACCTAGGAGGGAGGGAAGCAAAGGCCTCACCAAAGAGGCAGAAGAGAGGATAAGGAAACCTCTGTGAGGGCTCCTGAAGGGCATGATGGGAAATAAATTTGAACAGGAAGACTGAAATTCCAAAGGCATTCATTTCCCATTCAGTATTGAAACACAGATTCCAACTAGATCAAAGACAAGGCAAAAAATATGAATAGAATCTTTATTGTTCTGCACATTCCTTTTTTTTATTTGAACTAGGGGAAGATGAGCCACAAAAAAACAATGGAGTAAATCCATCTCTCGAGTTTGTTAGAAAATCTGAGATTTATTAGTGCCTTCTATGTACCTACTTATCCCAGAGGCATGACTACCTGGGCTGACATTAAGGCACTACTAGAGTAACTGGAGCAGAGAGGTGGCTGCATATGAAAAGCTTTTCCTTGTCCTTGCAGACATCTCTCTTCAAACCAGTCACTCTGAAAGAATGTTTGACGTTAGCCACATGGGAATTGTCTGGCAGGTGACGTGGTTCATGCCTGCTTGCATTTCTTTTTCCCTTGGAGGTAACCAGATGCTCTTTGGGAATGCTTGCACATTTGGGCTATATCAGTTCCTGAAGTTTCTCCTTTTGTTGAACATAAAGTCTATGGGTTGTACTAAGGAGGCTTAGCCCTGGCCTTCTGGTGGGTGGGAAAAAAAATGGAACTAGCACTGCTTTAGGTCTGCATCAAGGTGCCCTGAACTCTGATGCAGGTAGGCAGGAAGTCAAGCCTTGGAGGCATTTTTCACTCCCTGCCCTGGAATTCTGGGATCTGCTTTCAGGAGAGCATGTAGCCCTTGCTCTGCCTTTGCTCATGGCAAACTTGGATGTTCTCTTCCTAAATTGGCACCTAGAATAATCCAGTGTGTGCTTGCAGATTCATCTTGCCCACACAAGCATGGGATTCTGCAAGAAAAATCAAGCATCCCGCCTATTCCATTACCCTCCATCTCTCTGTACTTGTCATGAACTCTGAGAGCTTGCTTTTAAGCACATGGGGGTGGAGGTGGGAGGCGGGGATTATTCTGACTGAAACCAGTCCTCCAAGTCTAGGCAGTAGGAGGCTGCAGAAAAGGAAATAGTGCAAGCCTGGGAAGTGAGTCTTGGGGGAACCTAGAGGATCTCATTATTTTCCCCTTGGATTCTGAGTCGGGCAGGGGGGGACAGTGTCATGTATTATTCTGAGATTAGATATCAGCTGAGCCTGGACTCCTTTGAAGAAGCAGCAGCTGCTTCTAGGCATGAGGTAGAGCTCTGACAGGCAATGGCCATGACGCTCTGGAGCGAGCTTCAGAAATCCCTGCAGGGGTAGCATTGTGTGCCCAAACAAAAGATTCACTTCACAGTAGCTTGGTCACCTGCCTGGACCTCTGTGTGCATAAGCTTTGCCAATACACATGATATCTCAACTGATGCAGGCTTGAAAAACAGTGTATGTCCCCTAGACCTCTCCCTGCACCCCAACACTATACCTTCCTGTTCTGCTCATGCCAAGCAAAAATGAAAACAAAACAAAACGTATAACCCCTTTCCTTCCTATTTGGTGCTTGTAACTGAGAAAATTAGGTTTGAGTAACACTCAATGTACATGACTTTATTTATACCAAGTTAAACAAATTAAGAGTGTGGGCTCTGGTATCAACACAGGATAGGTTGGAATCCCAGTTTTGCCACTTCCTGGCTTACTAAGTCTCTGTGTCCTCATAGGTAAAATGGGGGATAACAGTAGCACTTACCTCCTAAGATTTACTGAGAGGATGAAATGAAACCATATATTTAAAGGCTTAGCTGTGGTAAGCACTGTGTAAATATTCAACTCCTCCTGCTTTTCCATAAAGAAACAGAGCACCCTCCTCCTTCTGCTGGGTGAATCAGGGCTATTTCGTCTAACGTCTAATGGATAAGTCAGTTTGCCGTCACTCTTCCTTCCTTACCTATGACTTTTCCAGTCCCTCATTTCAGGCCCTTTGTGGTTTGATTGATGAAAAGATGGTAGAATGTAAGCTTGAAATACATTGTTTGGAAATACCTTGGGGAGGGGGATGCTAGGAAAAGGGAAAGGAAGAGAAGGCTGACAAAAGAGCCTCATGCCTTCTAATGAACACACTGAACCCTTGACCCCTTTTAGACATAAGCCCACTGCATTGGACTTTGGGTTATAAATATAGGACTACAATCCATTATTCTGAAGTCTAGAAAAAGCCTGAAAACCATGAGTGTTTTCATCTGCATGAAACTATTTGTATTCTTTATTTATCTAACTTAATATGAACATTCATGTTTCCCTGAAAAGGTATTAATGTGCTTGATTCCAAGGTGCTGCCCCAGGCTCTGCTGGGGGTGTTATGTAATGGGTACTATATGTATCACAGCACCATTCTGAATTCTGAGAAATCCTGAATTTTAGAAACAGATCTGCCCCCAGTGACTTTGTTTTTTTGTTGTTGTTGTTTTGTTTTTTTTTTTTTTTTGAGACAGTTTTGCTCTTGTTGCCCAGGCTGGAGTGCAATGGCGCGCTCTCGGCTCACCGCAACCTCCGCCTCCTGGGTTCAAGCGATTCTCCTGCCTCAGCCTCCCGAGTAGCTGGGATTGCAGGCGTGCTCCATCATGCCTGGCTAATTTTGTATTTTTAGTAGACACAGGGTTTCTCCATGTTGGTCAGGCTGGTCTTGAACTCCTGACCTCAGGTGATCCACCTGCCTCGGCCTCCCAAAGTGCTGGGATTACAAGCACAAGCCACCGCGCCTGGATGCCCCCAGTTACTTTGAATGAGGATTTTCCTGTAACAAAAACTAACTGGAGGTAGTTTAGTTTAAGCAAGCAAGCAATAAATTATGGGTGGTGGAGAAAAATTTACTTCTAAGATTACAGGCATATTTCACAGAACCCTAGAGCAGAATGCAGCTGTCTTGGGAAGAGGCTGGAAGAGACCTGGAAGGTTGAGGACAGTTTCTGGAAGGTTTCTCTCTAGAGTTTTGGTTCTTACGACACAAGTATGGAACATGGATGGCTACTACTGATGCACCAACATAACTCTTGTGTTCTAATCTGTGGCAAATGGTAGGAACTTACTATGTATGAGTTGATTGGCAGATTGGCTTTCCAGTCTGGTATATTCTTTGCTCGGTGGCCAGTACAAATTGCATTATCCCATTAAGCTCACCATCAGCATTTGCCCTTTGTAGAGTCTGCGCACCCACTGGATTGGGCAGAAGTCATGTTGACTGAGTAGTCATGGGTCCCCATGCAGTTTATGATTGGCCCCCGGTGGTTCTTTCACTGGGTTTGGCAATAGCAAGAATCACTCAGAGTTTATCTTCCTCGCAGTTCTGGGGTTTGATTCATATAAGAACAGATGAGAAATGAAGTAAATGGGAGAAGGAAAGCAAAAAGCAATTGCTCTGAAATGACTCACTGGGGACCTGCCCTGTTCCTGTGTATCTCTTTGGGCCTTCAGTTTGAGCCTCATACACATTATTCTGTGTCCGTGGCTAGCACGTCTTGGGACATGGCTTCATTTGGTCATGGTTATTGGGATGTTTGGGATGAACCTCTAAATCAGCCTAATCATTTTTCTTCTAAGTTCATTGTCTGTAGTCTTAGTGTCTTTAAGAAGCCACAGAAACAGTAAATGTCCTTTTTCCATTTTTCTTCTCTTACTTAACAGCTTCATACCTAAGCATAGGGGATGTCAAGAGGCTAACTCTATGTGAGTGATGATTAACTGTCAGGAAGCCAGAGCTTTAAGATGCGTATGTAGTCAGCATGCACAGACATTTACACTGTATTGCCTTGAGACTAAGGGCACAGACTCTGAAGCCAGCCTGTCTAGGTTCATGTCCTAATTCCACCACTTACTAGCTATGTAACCTGGAGAAAGTAACTTAATTTTTCTGTGTCCTTATTTCTTCACCTGTAAAGTGGGCAGATTAGCACCTCCTTCGTATAGTTGTTGAGAGGATTAAATGAGTTAATATATGTTAAAGCACTTAGCACCTGTCTTATAATAAGATCTAGCTAAATAATTGATACTTTCTCTGATGAACATAAAGTCTCAATCAGTTTATTCATTTATTAAACAAATATGTATGTTCTGTGTGTTTTGCCTGCCATATGAAGGCATTGTATTTGAAAGAGTGGACAATTCTTGTAACTTCTACTCTTGTAGTGAAGACAGATACTAAACCAGTTATTACACATGTGAAGAATGTTATGACCCAAGTGTTAGGCTTTCTAAAGAGATTAGCAGAAATCAGATAACCATAAATCCAACTTTATTGATTTTTTTTCCCTCTTTAAATGCTCCACACTAAATGCTCCATACCTTCTTTAAGGATCAGGGTATAAGTAAGGTGAGAGTAGCTTAGTTTAGCCATCATACCAACAGTTGCTTGCTTGCAACAAGAAGTGACTTAAATCTTAGGTAAGTTAAAAAAAAAAAAAAAAGAGTATTGCCATTACAAAAAAAGTCATGTATGGGGGCCAAAGATATTCACAGAACAGGTAAAACTGTTATATTTATGTGCAATAATAATATTAATATTTACCAAAAGACTTTTAATGTTTAGCAGTTCATTCATCACCCTTGATTGTCATAACTGTCATGTAAAGTCAGCAGGGCAAGATTTATCTCAATTTGCAGATGAGAAAACTGAAGCCCAATGTAGTAAAATGACTGAACCCGAGTCACAGGCAAGGCCAGTGCCTAACACATAATAGGCACTAAAAATGTTTGCTTTATTGAACAGCATGAGTATCCTGACTTGCCATGTAGCGTTCTTTCTGGCTCTCCATGTGGACCCATAAGTAAAGCCTCAGCTCTGTAGTATTTTCAGATTTCATGCTCATTATTATTGGGATAATTCGTCTAATATTCACCTTCTTTCCAGATTGACTATTGAACAACACTTTTTTCCAGACCCTATCAAGATATACCAGATACATATTCCCAGCTTTTTTCTGTCTAGATTCAGGACATAGAAAACTAATTTTCAAGATTCATCTTTTAAATGTTTATGTGTACATTTAATAATTTTAAAGATCACAGTACAGTGTCTCCTGATAAATTTTTTCTGTAACTGGAATTTACAAGCAAAGTACAATTTGTGGTATACATGCTTCAACAAGACCTATGATTGTCTCTTCCAGATACAATTTTTTTGAAAGTCATTAATATTCATCAGAGACTGATCTCATGAAAAGTGTCATACAAAAAGCTTAAGAAGTGCATCACTCCCCTCAAATTGTTGGCAACACATAAAACTACATATTGCCAATGCATGAAAACAAAGATAAAATCTGTCTTCAGCTATCTTGATTAAATATGGCATCTTGGTTGCATTCCATTAATAACTTTAACTTCCATAGGGTGTCTAGAAACCTAGGTCAGACTATATCAACAGAATTAGAGAGGTGGAACCAAGATAGGTGTTGGTCATATTTCACATTTACCAAATGCCTCTATTGTAAAAGTCTCCTCTAAAAATAAAGCGTTGAAGTTGGACTGAACTATGCATTTAATGGTGGGTTGTTGATTTATTTTATTGCAGGGAAGATTAAATGAATGAACTGAGGAAATAGTGGGAAATGAAAGCTGAAATGTAAATTGCTCAGCCAGCCACCTATTTGAAAGGCAAGATCAGCCCCAGATTTGCAAGTTGAATGAATTGAATATTTGATCCTCACTATTTTCCATTTGTAACTTATTGCCCTGAAAAGAGGTAGCATTCATTCACGTATTCATGTATTTATTCATTCATTCACTCAGCAAATATTAATGGAGCCCCTACTGGGTTCCAGGCACTGTTTTGACACTTACTGAGGACACAGCAGAGAACAATAAAGACTAAATCCTCACTCTCATTGAACTTATATCTGCATTGAGAGTGGGGAGGAGAGGCAGGCCATAATCAGATATAGATGTCAGGTGGTGATAAGTGCTATGAAGAAAAGCAGCTAGAGAGTGATGGGTGCTATTTTATACAGTAGGGGCAGAAAAGAAAGCTACTGGAGCCACACCTGAATGACATAAGAAGCAAACCCTCCGACATCTGGAGAAAGCACATTCCAAGCTGAGGGAAGAGTGAATACCAAGGTTCTGGGGTGGAACCACATTTGGAATGTGTGAGGACTAGCAAGGAGGCCAGTGCAGCTGGAGTGTGGAAATGGAGGAAGTTGGAGGTAGACAAATTATGTGAGGCCACAGTAAGGTTTTGGGACTTTATTCTGAGGATGACGAGAAACCAGTTGAGGATTTTCAGCAGAAATGTGAAGTAACCCCCGCCCCCCGGCCTGGTGTTTTAAAAGAACTACTCTGGCTGCTTTGTAGAGAACTGCGTGGTTTGAAAGGAGCACCCAAGGTGAGCAAAAAGACCTGCACTTTATGCTACTCTCACTTAACTCACTCTAGGGCTGTGTGCCTCAATTCTTTGCCTATAAAATGGAGGTGAGAGTGGCCGGGCATGTTGGCTCACGCCTGTAATCCCAGCAATTTGGGAGGCCGAGGCAGGCAGATCACCTGAGGTCAGGAGTTTGAGACCAGCCTGACCAATATGATGAAACCCCCATCTCCACTAAAAATACAAAAATTAGCCGGGCGTGGTGGCATGTGCCTGTAATCCCAGCTACTTGGGCGGCTGAGACAGGAGAGTCGCTTGAACCCGGGAGGCGGAGGTTTCAGTGAGCTGAGTTTGCACCATTGCACTCCAGCCTGGGCAACAAGAGCGAAACTCCGTCTGAAAAAAAAAAATGGAGGTGAGAATACCGCTCTTCCATGTAGGGAGAAGGTGGGTGCAAGGTTACCCCTCATGGATGGTAAAGGCCTCCCAATACAGATGTGATCATTGCTGTTGTCAAGCTCTGGGTCAGTGGAAGATGTTACTGACCTTTCTATTTTCTTTTTTTCCATAAGTTATTGAGGTATAGGTGGTATTTGGTTACATGAGTAAGTTCTTTAGTGGTGATTTGTGAGATTTTGCTGCACCCATTACCTGGGCAGTATACACTGCACCATATTTGAAGTCTTTTATCCCTTGTCCCCCTCCCACTCTTCCCCCCAGGTCCCTGAAGTCCGTTGTATCATTCTTATGCCTTTGCATCCTCATAGCTTAGCTCCCACATATCAGTGAGACCATATGACCTTTGGTTTTCCATTCCTGAGTTACTTCACTTAGAATAATAGTCTCCAATCTCATCCGGGTCACTGCAAATGCTGTTAATTCATTCCTTTTTATGGCTGTGTAGTATTCCATATATATATATATATATATATATATATATATATATATATATATATATGGAATATACAGATGGAATATATAGATGGAATATAGATGGAATATATAGATGGAATATATATGAAATATATAGATGGAATATGTAGATGGAATATATATATATAATCATAGTTTCTTTATCCACTCGTTGATCGATGGACAATTGGGTTAGTTCCACAATTTTGCAATTGTGAATTGTGCTGCTATAAACATGTGTGTGCAAATATCTTTTTCGAATAATGACTTCTTTTCCCCTGGGTAGATACCCAGTAGTGAGATTGCTGGATCAAATGGTAGTTCTACTTTTAGTTCTTTAAGGAATCTCCACACTGTTTTCCATAGTGCCTGTACTAGTTTACATTCCCACCAGCAGTGTAGAAGGGTTCCCTGATCACTGCATCCATGCCAAAATCTACTCTTTTTTGATTTTTTTATTATGGCCATTCTTGCAGGAGTAAGGTGGTATTGCATTGTGGTTTTGATTTGCATTTCCCTGATCATTAGTGATGTTGAACATTTTTTTTCATGTTTGTTGGCCATTTGTGTATCTTCTTTTGAGAATTGTCTATTCATGTGCTTAGCCCACTTTTTCAAGGGATTGTTTGTTTTTTTCTTACTAATTTGTTTGAGTTTGTTGTAGATTCTGGATATTGGTCTTTTGTCAGATGTATAGATTGTGAAGATTTTCTCCCACTCTGTGGGTTTTCTATTTACTCTGCTGACTGTTCCTTTTTTCGTGCAAAAGCTCTTTAGTTTAATTAGGTCTCAGCTATTTGTCTTTGTTTTTATTGCATTTGCTTTTGGGTTCTTGGTCATGAAATCTTGCCTAAGCCAATGGCTAGAAGGCTTTTTCCAATGTTATCTTCTAGAATTTTTATAGTTTCAGGTCTTAGGTTTAAGTCTTTAATCCGTCTTAAGTTGATTTTTGTATAAGGCGAGAGATGAGGATCCAGTTTCATTCTCCTACTTGTGGCTAGCCAATTATCCCAGCACCATTTGTTGAAAAGGGTGTCCTTTCCCCACTTTATGTTTCTGTTTGCTTTGTTGAAGATCGGTTGGCTGTAAGTATTTGGGTTCATTTCTGGTTCTCTATTCTGTTCCATTGGTGTATGTGCCTATTTTTATACCAGTACCACACTGTTTTGGTGACTATGCCCTTATGGTATAGTTTAAAATCAGGTAGTGTGATGCCTCCAGATTTGTTCTTTTGCTTAGTCTTGCCCTGGCTATGTGAGCTCTTATTTTGGTTCATATGAATTTTAGAATTGTTTTTTCTAATTATGTGAAGAATGATGGTGGTATCTTGATGGGAATTGCATTGAATTTGTAGATTTCCTTTGTCAGTGTGTTCATTTTCACAATGTTGATTCTACCCATCCATGAGCATGGGATGAGTTTCCATATGTTTGTGTCATCTATGATTTCTTTCAGCAGGGTTTTGTAGTTTTCCTTGTAGAGGTCTTTCGACTCCTTGGTTAGGTATGTTACTAAGTCTTTTTTTTTTTTTTTTGCAGCTATCGTAAAAGGGGTTGAGTTCTTGATTTGATTCCCCGCTTGGTCGCAGTTGGTGTATAGAAGAGCTACTGATTTGTGTACATTAATCTTGTATCCAGAAATGTTGCTGAATTTTTTTTTATCAGTTCTAGGAGCTTTCTGGAGGAGTCCTTAGGGTTTTCAAGGTAAACGATCACATTGTCAGCAAACAGTGACAGTTTGACTTCTTCTTTACCGATTTGGATGGCCTTTATTTCTTTCTCTTGTCTGAAGAGGAGTGGTGAGAGTGGGCATTCTTGTCTTGTTCCAGTTCTCAGAGGGAATGTTTTCAACTTTTCCCCATTCAGTATTATGTTGGCTGTGGATTTGTCATAGATGGCTTTTATTACATTAAGATATATCCCTTGTATGCTGATTTTTCTGAGAGTTTTAATCATAAAGAGATGCTGGATTTTGTCAAATGCTTTTTCTGCATCTATTGAGATGATCATATGATTTTTGTTTTTAATTCTGTTTATGTGTATCACATTTATTGGCTTGCATATGTTAAACCATCCCTGTATCTCTGGTATGAAACCCACTTGATCGTGGTGGATTATCTTCTTGATATGTTGTTGGATTTGGTTAGCTAGTATTTTTTTTAAGGATTTTAGCATCTATGTTCATCAGGGATATTGGTCTGTAGTTTTCTTTTTTGGTTATATTTTTTCCTGGTTTTGGTATTAGGGTGATGCTGGCTTCATAGAGTGAATTAGGGAGGGTACCTTCTTTATCTTGCAAAATAGTGTCAAAAGGATTTGTACCAATTCTTCTTTGAATGTCTGGTAGAATTCTGCTGTGAATCTGTCTGGTCCTGGACATTTGTTTTGATAATTTTTAAGTTACCATTTCAATCTCGCTGCTTGTTTTTGGTCTATTGAGGGTTTCTAATTCTTCCTGATTTAAGCTAAGAGGGTTGTATTACTTTTTTTTTTTTTTTTTTTTTGAGGTGGAGTCTCACCCTGTCTCCCAGGCTGGAGTGCAATGGTGTGATCTCAGCTCACTGCAACCTCCGCCTCCCAGGTTCAAGCTATTCTCCTGCCTCAGCCTCCCAAGTAGCTGGGACCACAGGCGTGTGCCACCACACCCAGCTAATTTTTGAATTTTTAGTACACCAAGTTGTACTAAGTGTACACCAAGTTGTACTAAGGGTTTCACCAAGTTGGCCAGGATGGTCTCGATCTCTTGGCCTTGTGATCCACCGGCCCCGACCTCCCAAAGTGCTGGGATTACAGGCGTGAGCCACCGCACCCGGCCAAAGGGTTGTGTTTCTATTTTCTAACCCCAGAGGGTTGGTGTAAAGATCACATGAGCTCATGTATGTAAAGTACTTGTGAGTCCTCAATAAACGGTGGTTTTTTTCACCATCCCTTTGCTGCTAGAGTCCAAAGTACTAGCATTTTTGTTTTTCTTTTCCCTTGGGGATTCTCAGCAGAAGCTGAGAGGCTTAGAAAGTGTTTTTTTAAATCCCAAGGAAGAGAATTGTTGATTCCTGGAGCTGGGCACAGGGAGGCTGTGAGCAGAGGAGCTGTAATAAGATCACTCAAAGGAAACTTTATTGTTCCATTTAAAGCACAGGGTGTCTCTCTTTTTCTTTCCCTCTCATGTATGCATTTCAGGCATTTGACGTTTTGTTTGTTTGTTTGTTTGTTTGTTTTGTTTCCTTTTGTTTTTGAGACGGAGTCTCGCTCTGTCGCCCAAGCTGGAGTACAGTGACGCAATCTCGGCTCACTGCAAGCTCCGCCTCCCAGGTTCACACCATTCTCCTGCCTCAGCCTCCCGAGTTGCTGGGACTACAGGTGCCCGCCACCACGCCTGGCTAATTTTTTGTATTTTTTAGTAGAGACGGGGTTTCACGGTGTTATCCAGGATGGTCTCGATCTCCTCACCTCGTGATCCACCTGCCTCGGCCTCCCAAAGTGCTGGGATTACAGGCGTGAGCCACTGCACCCTGCCGGCATTTGAGTTTTAAAAGTAATACATCCTGTATCTTCATGGTAATAATTTAAGCAATCCCAGGTGTCTAAAATCCCAATAACATTGTTTCTTTCTCCCCTTCAATCGCACACCAGTTCTAAACTCCAGATGTAACTAACGGTAACAGGTGTCCCCTGCTTATTCTAGTAGTCATAAGCACATTTACAGACGTGGAGTGGTGGCTATCTTTTGTTCTGTTTTACGAAGAAAAGCAAAGGAAAGATGAGCTAGCCGTGGTGGCTCATGCCGGTAATCCCAGCTTTTCAGGAGGCTGAGGCAGGAGGATTACTTAAAGCCAGACGTTTAAGACCAGCCTGGGCAACATAGCAAGATCCTGCCTCTACAAAAAAAACTTAAAAATTGGCTGGGCATGGTGGTACATCATGCCTGTAGTCCTAGCTACTTGGGAGGGTGAGGCAGGAGGATCACTTGAGCCCAGGAGGTCAAGGCATTCCACTCCAGACTAGATGACAGAGCAAGACCCTATCTCAAAAAAAAAAAAAAAAAAAAAAAAAATTAAAAAGAAATTACTCCAGGGGTTCCACAGAACCTCCAAATGATATCTAAAGTCTTTAAGAATGTGTTTTATAGGTAGAATATCTATAGCTTTTTCAGGTTGTCAAAGGAATCTAGCAGCCCACCCCTCCATCAAATTAAGCACCAGCCATTTTAAACTTCCTAAAAATCCCAAACGTGGAGATTAGACCAGATTCTCTGAAGTCCCTCTACTATTGCCATTTCAAAGAAAAGCTCTTTTTTCCCTGATATGCCACTTACTAGATTTCTCTTGTTAACTGATCCTTAAGCATACCTATACTTAAGGTATGAGGTCCTACGAGATCATGAAGGGAAATCTTTATGCTTAACTGCAATAGCCAAACCTTTTCCATGAGTTTATTAAACTGTAGTTATTCAGAATTCAATAATACTTGTATATGCTGCAAAATCATTTTATCAATCAGGAAATTGTATTAACCCCAAATACATTTTTTATCATGCAATGAGAGGACAAAAACATATTGCAAGCCCAGATACCAACAAAGTTTGAATGTTTTTCCTTTTAGGATTACCTACAGATAATCCAGGGGTGAAAGCATGTGAAAAGCAAATCTAATCATATGTCTGTGTGAACTAACTAAATAAATACACGCACGAAACCCCATATTGAAATCTATATGAGTGATAAAATCCACTCGTATTGCAGTTTAGAACCAGATGTGATGAAATTTTATTTTCCTCAGCAACAGCTCTTCAGTTAAGGGGACACTTACACATCTGCTTGGTCATCCCCAGAGGATGCAGTTGTTTTTAGATCTAAAGCCAAATCCATTGAAATTAGCTAGGACCTTTTCCATTTGGAAGTGAGAAATGAGGATTTTTCTCACACAGTTAGCTGATGGGGCTCTGCTAGCCTGTTGAGACAATTAACGCAAAATTTACACTGATATAAAATGTAAGTGCCTCTCATTTATTTTTTAATAATCCCATCTAAAATTGACCAGATTAATTTTTTTACGGGAAAGAACACTTTCACAGAGAAGAATAATGAATGGGAAGACTCAGAGACTCCAATTCCTATTTTTTCTTATGTTTTATAATTGAAAATAACTTTAGACTTACAGATAAGTTCTAAAAAAAAAAAGTACATAGTTCCCATATATCATTCACCCAGCTTCTGCTAATGTTAGTGTATTATATAACTTTAGAGCCATCTTCAGAGGCAGGAAATTGACATTAATTAAATCATATTTTATAATTTTTCTAAAAGCAAACAGTACCATTTCACTTTTAACCTATGTTTGAGAGAAACTGTCATATTTGTCTTTACATATTATGCACACCCATAAAGCCATCTTCTAAAAATTCCTTTATTCCATAGGATTTTAAAATCTGGTTAGAGGGCTGGGCGTGGTGGCTCACACCTGTAATCCTAGCACTTTGGGAGGCTGAGGCAGGAGATCACCTGAGGTCAGGAGTTTGAAACCAGCCTGGCCAACATGGTGAAACCCCGTCCCTACTAAAAATACAAAAATTAGCCAGGCATGGTGGTGCACACCTGTAATCCCAGCTACTCGGGAGGCTGAGGCAGGAGAATTGTTTGAACCCCGGAGGCGGAGGTTGTGGTGAGCCAAGATCGCACCACTGCACTCCAGCCTGGGTGACAGAGCGTCTCAAAAAAAAAAATTAAAAAATAAATAAAACTGCGGTTAGAGTATCATTCAGCTAAACTGTCTCACGGGATTTCTTTCTCATTTTATATAAGAATTCTGAAGATCTGAGCAGCAATTCCTACAAGCAGCTGCTTGGAAGGCCTGCATGCATTTGACTTATTGGGGAGGAAAAAACCTCATGACCGTGTCACCTTGTGTTTATGTTGCTGATTTAAGTAGTGAGGCAGCACTTTGAAAACTGCACCACGTGTAACTGGTTCTTTATCACTAAATCCAAGGCCATAGGGAGTATAACCTCAGTAGCAGGAGCCAAGATAAACTGACTTTTGTTCAAGAGTCTGACATTTTAAACCTAATCCTCATATTAGCTGTGCACAGGCAAGAAGTGGGTCTTACTTCATGTGGGGAATCCTCAGGGTCATCCCACTGACCAGCCCTAATTGAATGGAGGCCATGAGTTTCAGAATGGGCTCTCAGCAGCTGCAAACATCTGCAACAGTCTGGTTCAGATGAACGAGCCCCCCGGGTTCACAGCTGCTTGTGTCCACCAAGGCCTTGTGGCTTTAGACAGATGGTTCTGCTCTGAACACTGAAAGATGAATGTGCAGCTTCCCTGCTTGCTGCCAGGAATCATGGCTATTCACAATCATGGTCCAAAGTTCTCTGAAGCCATTTAATCGTATATGTAGAAGTTGGCATTTATTGGCAAGAGTGGGCAAACATCATCTGCTTTGAAAAGCAAGGTTTTCCCTGGGGAAGCAGCCGTCAGAGAGATCACATGTATTCCTCCATCAGAACCCATCCAGATTTATTGAACTAGGCATGATATGGAGATGTTCCAAGATATTTGTTGCTCCTAAGCTAAATGAAAGCTTAAGTCCAGCCAACACATATGTCAGTTTTTAAAATACTTCTCAGATTCCAGCACTCGCCTTCTGTTCATTGAGATACCTCAAAGAAAGCTCTTTGGAAGACTATTTTTAAATAGCCTCAGGAACCAGCTATGGCTTGGTTTTATTAGAGGTCCCCTTTCTTCCCTACACCAAATCTGCTTCTCTTGCAGAGGTCTCTGGCTCACAGTTGTGCTGAGATTTACCCAGTTGCTCAGAAACTTAGAAAAATCCTTAATACTTTCCTCTGTCCCACCCCTACTTTCAACCAATCCTTCAAATCCTATTGCTTTCACTTTCTATTGCATGTTGGATTTCATTTCTCTTCACTGTCATTTCTGTAATCATGTCTCAACTGGAATACTGGAACACCCTCCAATTTTTAGATTCCTAACTTCGCTCTTTCCCCTCTCCAATCCAGTCCCTTCAAAATAGCCGAGAGTAAGTTTTAAAAACAAATCTAGCCACGTACATGTAACTGCTTTATCAGTGGGCATAACTCGTGCAGCAACCAAAATGCAACTTTATTCTTTGTCTCCTGCTATCCCTTTAAAGAACTTATTCAGTGCAGTGGTCCTCCCTTTGTTCTTTGATAAAATTCTTGCCAGTGTGGCTTTTCTAGTCACTCTCAGTTAATAGTCTATGTCACTTTAAGCTCCACAAAAAAAAAAAGTCCCATTTCAGTAACGAGAATGAAATGGAGAATTCACTCCAAAATAATAACCTTCCAAAAATAAGACTCCTCCCTGTCCCTTTGCCCCCGACCTCTCTGCTGTGCTAAGATCTACAATTGGGCTATTTGCCTCAGGGGAATGGAGCCATGGAGATATGGCAGAATTCCTCCTCAGTTCCTCAACTTCCTTCTTCTCCCACTACTGACTGCTATTTTGGGCCCTGCCTGGGTCAAAGCATAGGGTGGGAGCAGGAGACAGAAGATAGGAATGTTAATGTTATTACTTGGCTGGGCAGATTTGCCCTCTCTGGTCCTGTAGATGGCTAAAGCAAATTCTTTAAAGGGTGCCTTTCATTGGAGAATCCATCTAAATGAATGGTCCAGCCTGGTCCCTCAGCGTGGTCCATGTTCCTATCAACTGTGACGTCTCACAGGTAGAGCTGCCATGGGATATATACACCAGTGGAGATGTGAGTAAACCATCAGAGTGTAACTCAGAAGTAGACAGCAATAGGCTATTGACTTAGTGACCAGCTATAATAAGCTAACCCACCACGGTCACTGTTTCTGTTCAAAGCAGGCTGGAGTCGCCTTCATTTTCATCTTGAGATGATGCTGCTTAAACCCCCATCACTGTCTTCTTTCTCTTCCTAACTAGAAATAAGAATGTTTGCTTTATTTTTTATGTATGGCTGTAAATTCAGAAGACTTGCTTTGGGAAAAATGGAACCCAGTGCTTTAATTTAGAAACAAGAAAAGGGAGAGGGAGGGAAGGAGGGAGGAAGGAAAACCAAACAAGAGACTAATAACTATAGAAACAAAAAGAGAATTGACTCCTGGTACTGAGCATTTCCTCATAGCACTGAAGTATAGATAAAGAGTATATTGCATGAATGGGTTGAGTGACAACAATCCTTTTGAATCCGGAAAGGTGGGGGCTTTGCCACAAACAACCCCACCCCCACCCTTTATTAGAAGTCTACTAGGAATCTTTAAGATATTGCTCTGGGGAAGAATCTCCAGGAAAGGAAAGGCACCTGGTTAAGCAGCTCTTCCTGCTCGCATAATTTCTAGTTATCCCTGAATGGGGGTAGGTATGGCTGCCTCTCCTTGATTTTATCTTATTTTTACTTTTTTTTTTTTTTCGTCATAAGGGTAGATTTCTAGAAAAGCCTCAGTTTGTTTTTGTTTTGTTTTGATCACCTTTGCCCCATATTCTCCTTCCACACATTATGTGAATTATTTCGTTTCTCCTTGTTAATGAAACGACCCTAAATAAATGGTTCAGGGTTAATTAACAAGCATCTTCTTTTTTTATCTTAATTAATAGACTATCTTTTTGAGCAGTTTTAGGTTTACAGAAAATGGAGCAGATAGTACAGGGTTCTCACATGCCCCTTCCTCCCACAATTTCCCCTATTATTAGAACCTTGCATTAGTGCAGCACATTTGTTATAATTGGTGAACCAAAATTGATTTGTTATTATTAGCTAAAGTCCATAGTTTACATTAGGGTTGACTCTGTGTTGTGTATAGTTCTATGGGTTTTGGCAAATGTATATTGTCATATATCCCCCAAAACGGTATCATTCAGAATTATTTCACTGCCCTAAAAATCCCCTCTGCTCCACCTGTTCATCTCTCCCATTTTTATGTTTATTTATTTCTTTCTTTGTTTCTTTCCTTGGCATTCCTCACATGTGAGCAAGACTTCTTCTGTCAGTTCATTTAGAAGACGTGGTAGTGCCTCAAATTTTCAGGACACTTTGCCTAATTCTGATGAGACTAGTTAGGAAATATAGACAATTTAAAGGTCTAGAAATAGGCACAGTGTGTGCTCTGATGATGGCTGTCCTGATCCAGCCTCTCTTACCCGTCTATGGCCTCACTCTGGCCTCTGATCTTCACACTGTAATCCCAAGAAATTGGTACAAATCTGCAAGCCCTAGCTGAAACAATTAGATGGCATTGATTCACCTGCTAGATGTTCCTTCTTGGAAATTTGAACCTTGCGTGGGATGAAGAGAGAGCTGGAGTCCTCCTCTGCAATAGTACCCTTCCCTCCAACCCCAGGACTTTCTCAGGTACAGATTTCAGACTGAGAAAACGATGTGCCTTTTCCCTAGAAGAGGTACAGCTACCAGGAAAGAAGCCACTTATTAGGGAAGACCCCATCTGCCATATCTAGGGATACATCATTGTATCAAACCCTGTTATAAACATATTATCCACATTATAAGAATTCTATGCATATATGAACAAGATCATTGCCTCACAGACTCACAGCAGAACCAAGTTTCTGCTAGACTTCCATATTCGCATTCATCATATTGAATCACATATCCACAGATACAATTTTGGACAGCCATTAAAAATCATGTTTTCAAAGAATAGTTAAGACGTGGGGCAATGTTTGCAGTGTAAAGTTAAAAAATAAAGGGATACAAGATTATATGTAGTGTGATTCATATAGCTATATAGAGAGAAAGATAATTCAATCACCAAGTAGATTCCTTCTCATTTTCCAGATTTTCTACAGTGAGCATTATTAATTTTATAATCAGAAAAAAAAAGAATAACTTTCATTTTAAAGAAAGTAACACTGATCTGTGTGGTGACCATTCTGGGGATATGTGTCCAGCCTGAAGACCACCAAGCAGGCCCCTTTTCATTAGCAAGTGTTGTTGGAAATAATGGAGAGGCAAAGCACAGGTCAAAGCATTAACCCTGGAGTGGTCAGCTTGCCTGTGCTTAACTCCAGAAAGATGCAAAATATACATTCATCACAGGAACAACTGAGCTCTTACAAGGAAAGATTTTCCAGAAACTCAAGGAAAAAAAAAAAATCTTTTCTAGGCAATTTCCTAGCTAGGTGCAATTTTCTTATAGGTCTATCTAAAAACTTTTGAACCGGGTGACTCAAATTTGTCAGTTTCCAATATTCCCATGCCATCATCTTCATCAGACTGAATTCATTACACTTGTACTATCCTGACTGTGCATTTAGGAATAAATGACCCCATTGGGTAAAGAATGAGCTGAGGTCTTATTAAAGCTGGCATCTTTATTTCCCTAAATGTCATACTCACTTTGAAATCCACTGATAGAATGAATGGGGGTGTGCTCTGGTTCCCAAGAGCCCTCAATAATTGGCTGCTGACTTCTTGTTCTTGGATCGATTTCTTCTAAGTTCAAACATTTTTTAAAAATTTGTTTCTTTAGTTGTAAAATAAATATAACATAAAACTTACCATTTTCACCATTTTTAAGTGTACAATTCAGTGGCATTAAACACATTCACAGTGTTGTTCAATCATCAATATTATCCATTTCCAGAACTTTTTCATCACTGCAAACTGAAACTCTGCATACATTAAATAATGACTCTTCATCCCCACCCCTCCCTCTCAGCCCCTGATAACCTCTATTCCACTTTCTGTCTCTCTGAATTTTTCTGTTCTAGGCAACTCACATAAAGATAAATCATACAATATTTGTCCTTCTCTGTCTGGCTTATATCACCTAGCATAATGTTTCGACCATGCTGTCATAAGTATATAATTTCCTTTTTAAGGCTAATTAATATTTCATTTTATATATATACCACATTTTGTTTATCCATTTATCTATTGATGGACATTTGGGTTGTTTCTGCCTTTTGGCTATTGTAAGTAATGCTACTAGATGACCATTGAGGTACAAGTGTCTATTTGAGTCCTTGCTTTTCAATTCCTTTGGGTATATACCTAGATGTGGAATTGCCGGAGCATATGATAATTCTATGTTTAACTTTTTGAGGAACTGCCATACTGTTTTCCACAGTGGCTGCACCATTATACATTTCTACCAGCAGTATATGAGGGTTGTGACTTCCCACATCTTTGCCAATACTTGTTATTTTTTTATCTTCTTGATAGTAACCATTCTAATGGTATGAAATGGTATCTCATCATGGTTATGATCAAACATTTTAAAGAAAATCTTTCTGTGTGGCTGTGATCGTCTCTGAATTAAATAGTGTCTAGCTCTGGGGCCAAGCAGCTTTGGGTTTAAACACCAGAAGGAAGTCAGCTCCACAAGGGAAGGAGCTTTAGGCTGTTTTGTGCACCAACATATCCCTGATCCATAGAACAATAACTGGCACGTAGTAAGACATGAATAATATCTGTTGAATGGACGGATTCCAGTCCATCACTTTCTAGCTATGTGACCTAACTTAAGTTCCAGTTTTCTTAACTATGATACGGGAATAAAGACAGTGCCAGCTGCCAAGGTTGTGTGAGGATTATATGCAATACCACCCACAGGGTACTTGTACACTGGTTGGCACATAGTGAGCACTCTGTAAATGGTAGTTGGTATACCTGTTATGACTAAGCAGGAGGCTTTTTATATAGGCTAATACTGAGCCTTGATCTGCAGGAGAGGGGTGAGTTCCTCAAGGCAGGAAGGGTGCCATGGGTTCAGGGATCTGGGGCAGCTTTCATGCTAAGCCAGAGCTTTGTAGCAGGAAGGAAGGGGAAATACTGCAAAATCCATTAAGCTCAGAGCTCCCCAGAGCAAGTGTATTCCCTGGCAATAACGCTGGGGGGCCAGAGGCGGGAGAGGAGAACCAGGAGTTATGTTCTCCATCAGCCCAACCACCAGGACCTTAAGCAGAATAGGCACAGTGAGGTTACAGCATGAGGGCCACTCAGTGAGGATTAATGCCCAGTGATTGATGGTAGGTCCTGTAGCTACAGCTACTGCATTCTTTCAAGATGCAAAATAATGCACTGGGAAAATGTAGCTTCATGTAACCAAATGTTAGTGGAATGCTAATGTCCCAGGTCCAAGAGGAAGCCAACTGAAGGAAGTCAAAGTTATGGATTTCCCCCTTTGCTCACATGTTGGTAGAAAATACGTGCCCCATCTCAGTGCAGAAATATAGATTCATGGGAACTCAGACAGGCTGAAGATTAAGTCTAATGAATGGATGCTAGATAGTGTCAAGCAGATTTTTCTGAGGAAGCGGAAATTTTTACTTTCACTCCCAATTTCCCTGCTTCATCAACTCCACAGAGCTTGCTGAGTGTTTCAGACGTGGTACATGCATCCTTCCAGTAGCTGAGTCACCTCTATTGTATTTAAACCATGCAGCTTTCATGGGGTAAAAAGTCAACAGATTTTACTCTGCTCATCACATTATTTCGGAGGCACATGGTTTGTTGTGAGCCTTCTGTGTCAGCCTCGGCCAGAGATTAGGAGGAGGCCCTGGGGCATCAGTGAGCCATTGATGTCCCAAGCATCGGGCTCAGTGGCCAGAAACAGTCTCTGGAGATAGAAAGGCCTGTGAGGATTCAGTGGAGATACCAGCTAGGGCAGGTAGGACCAGGTCTCAGGTCCCCAGTATCTGAGGTGTGATGGATTATCAAAGAATGCAGAGCCCAAGTTTTAGGATCAGAGCCAAAAATGGGGGAAAAAACTGAAGGAAAGAAATCGAGAGGAAGCAATATTAGGAGCAAATAGACCTCCCAAGGATTCTACTGTCTTGCCAGAGACAACACTGGGAAGCCTCTCTCCACCTTCCCAGTGCCCAGATAGCCTCTCCTTCATAAGCCTGGGAGTTTCTGGTTTCATTTTCTGCAGAAGAGATAAGAATGACCAGTTTCCTTGGAGCAGAAGGAAGTCTGCATGGGTGGGGAAGCTGGCCTGGTGGAAGCCCAGGACTTCCTTTCCTACCTTATCACCACTGCTTCTCCAAGAAGAGAGGAAGGAAGGCCAGTACTCTGGGCCCTCCTGCCCACCATAAAATCAAGCTCTCCATGCCCCAGGGGTTCATGCTCTGGCCTGAATCCATGCAGACTACTGGAATTCCATCAAGCAGTGAGTGTGAAAGATTTTCTCCACACTTCTGAGTGAGTTGCTTCCTCTCCCTTTGATGGAAGACTCAAACCCTCTTTATAACTAAATAAAACCCATAATTATAATTCTGTGGTAACACTTCTGTAAACAGTAGCTTGAGATGAAAAGAACAGCTCCAGAATCACAAGAAATGGCAGCATCCACAGCCACGTCTGGGAATGGTTCCCTGATGTTGTGCTCTAAACATTTTTTCTAAACTCAGATGGTAAATGCAGGATGCTTCAGTCTTTCCTAGACCTCTTAGGTTACACAGAGTGGGGCTGAAATCTTACTCAAGAAATCTTTGGGCCGGGCGTGGTAGTTCATGCCTGTAATCCCAGCACTTTGGGAGGCTGAGGCAGGTGAATCACGAGGTCAGGAGTTCAAGACCAACCTGGCCAACATGGTGAAACCCCGTCGCTAATAATAATACAAAAATTAGCCAGGCATGGTGGCAGCTGCCTGTAATTCCAGCTACTCAGGAGGCTGAGGCAGGAGAATTGCTTGAATCCAAAAGGTGGAGGTTGCAGTGAGCCGAGATCATGCCATTGCACTCCAGCCAGCACAACAAGAGCAAAATCCATCTAAAAAAAAAAAAGAAAAAAAGAAATCTTGGCCAGACCAATGTCCTTGAGCATTTCCCCAGTGTTTTCTTCAAGTAGTTTTATAGCTTCAGGTCTTCGATTAAGTCTTTAATCCATTTTGATTTGATTTTTGTATGTGATGAAAAGAGAGAGAGATCTAGTTTCATTCTTTTGCATATGGATATCTAGTCTTCCCAGCACTATTTACTAAGAAGACTGTCCTTCCCAATGTATGTTCTTGGCACCTTTGTTGAAAATGGGATGACTGTAAATGCATAAATTTACTTTTGGATTATCTATTCTGTTGCATTGGTCTATGTGTCTGTTTTTATGCCAATATCATGCTGTTTTAATTACTGTAGCTTTGTAGCATAATTTGAAGTCAGTGTAATGTGATGCCTCTGGCTTTGTTCTTTTTGCCCAGGATTGCTTCGGCTATTCCAGGTTTTGTGGTTCTGTATACATTTAAGGATTATTTTTTTCTTTTTCTATGAAGAACATTACTGGTGTTATGACAGGGATTGCATTGTAGCTATTGTAAATGGGATTACTTTCTTGGTTTCTTTTTCAGGTTGTTCACTGTTGGCATACAAAAATGATACTGATTTTTCTATGTTGATTTTGTATTCTGCAACTTTACTGAATTTCTTCATCAATTCTAATAGTTTTTTGGTGGAGTCATTAGGTTTTCTAAATATAAGATCATAGCATCTGCACACAAGGCTAGTTTGACTTCATTGTTTTCTGATTTAGATGCCCTTTATTTCTTTCCCTTGTCTAATTGTTCTGGCTAGGACTTCCAGTACTCTGTTGAGTAAAAGTGATGAAAGTAGGCATTCTTGTCTTGTTCCAAATCTTAGATAAAAACTTTAGTTTTTCCTAGTTCGATATGATTCTAGCTATGGGTATGTTATATATGGCTTTTATCATGTTGAGGTATGTTCCTTCTATACTCAGGTTTTGAGAGTTTTTATCATGAATCAATGTTGAATTTCATTGAACGCTTTTCTGGCATCAGTTGAAATGATCATTTGGTTTTTGTCCTTCATTCTATTGGTATGATGTATCACATGTATTGATTTGCATATGTTGAATTATCCTTGCCTTGTTGAACTCAGTTTGCTAGTATTTTGTTGAGGATTTTTGCATCTGTGTTCATCAAAGATGTTGGCCTATAGTTTTCTTTTTTTGTTGTGTCTTTGTCTGGTTTTGGTATTAGGGTAAGACCTCAAAAATACAGGCAACTAAAGCAAAAATGGAAAAATGGTATCAGATCAAGCTAAAAAGCTTCTGCACAACAAAGGAAGGAACCAAGAAAATGAAGAGACAGCCCACAGAATGGAAGAAAGTATTTGCACACTACCTATCTGAGAAGGGATTAATAACCAAAATATATAAGGAGCTCAAACAACTCAATTTTAAAAACCTAAATAATCCCATTTAAAAAATGGACAGGTTGGGCGTGGTGGCTCACACCTGTAATCTCAGCACTTTGGGAGGCCAAGGCAGGCTGATCATGAGGTCAGGATTTCAAGACCAGACTAGCCAATATGGTGAAGCCCTGTCTCTACTAAAAATACAAAAACTAACCGGGCATGGTGGCATATGCCTGTAATCCCAGCTACTCAGGAGGCTGAGGCAGGAGAATTGCTTGAACTCCGGAGGCAGAGGTTGCAGTGAGCCGAGATCGCACCACTGCACTCCAGCCTGGGCGACAGAGCAAGACTCTGTCTCAAAAAAAAAAAAAAAAAAAAAAAAAAAAAAAAGACAAAGGTTCTGAATAGATATTTCTCAAAAGAAGACATACAAATGGCTAACAGGTACATGAAAATATGTTCAACATCATTAATAAGCAGAGAAATGCAAACTAAAACTGCAATGAGATATCCTGTCACCCCAATTAAAATGGCTTTTATCCAAAAGAAAGGCAATAATTAAGGCTGGTGAGGATGTGGAGAAAAGGGAACCCCATACACTGTTGGTGGGAATGTAAATTAATATAGCCACTATGGAGAACAGTACAGAAGTTCCTCAAAGAACTAAAAATAAAACTACCACATGATTCAGCAATCCCATTGCTGAGTATATATCCAAAAGAAGGGAAATCAGTATTTGCACCCCCATCTTTATTGAACCACTGTTCACAATAGCCAAGATATGGAGTCAACCTAAGATGAGTTATAAAGAAAATGTGGTTTAATTAGCCAGGCATAGTGGATCACGCCTGTAAATCCAGCACTTTGGGAGGCCAAGGCGGGTGGATCACCTGAGGTCAGGAGTTCAAGACCAACCTGGCCAACATGGCAAAACCCCATCTCTACTAAAAGCGCAAAAATTAGCCAGGCGTGGTGGTGCATGCCTGTAATGCCAGCTACTCGGGAAGCCAAGGCAGGAGAATCGCTTGAACTTTGCAGTTCAAGAGGTTGTAGTGAGCTGAGATCGCACCATTGCACTCCAGCCTGGTGACAGAACGAGACTCTGTCTCAAAAAAAAAAAAAAAAAAAAAAAAAAAGAAAGAAAGAAGGAAAGAAAGAAAGAAAGAAAATGTGGTTTATATGCACAATGGAATATTATTCAGCCATATAAAAGAATGAAATCCTGTCATTTACAACAGCATAGATGGAGGAAATTATGTTAAGTGAAATAAGCCAAGCACAGAAAGATAAATAGCACATGTTCTCGTTAATATGTGGGAACCAAAAAGAAAAAAAAAGGGTAGTCATGGAGATAGAGAATAGAATGATGGTTACCCAGATGGAGGAAAGTATAATAGGGAGGGGGAGATAAAGCGAGGAGGGTTAATGGGTACAAAAATACAGTTAGATATGAGGAGTGAGTTCTAGTGTTAGCACAATAGAGCGACTATAGTTAACAATAATTTAGCATGTATTTCAAAATAACTAAAAGAGTGGAATTTGAATATTCTTAACACAACAGAAATGATATATTCTTGAGTTGATGGATACCCCTATTACTCTTATGTGATCATTACACATTGTATGCTTGTATCAGAATATCACATGTGCCCCATAAATGTGTACAACTATTATGTATCCATAACAATTAAAAATTTAATAAAGAGGCCAGGCATAATGGCTCACACCTGTAATCCCAGCACTTTGGGAGGCCGAGGCGGGTGGATCACAAGGTCAGGAGTTCAGGACCAGCCTGGCCAGCATGGTGAAACCCTGTCTCTTCTAAACATACAAAAATTAACTGGGTTCGCTTCAACCTGGGAGGTGGAGGTTGCAGTGAGCTGAGATTGCACCATTGCGCTCTAGCCTGGGCAGCAGGGTAAGACCCTGTCTCTTAAAAAAAAAAAAAAAAAAAAAAAAAAAAAAAATTAGTAAAGAGCCAGACCAAGCATTAAGCAGTTTAGGAGATAGAGATAACTTTAGTGTGTTTCTCTTTGGGATCTTAACAACTTTTTCCTTTTCCCTTCTCCCTATATGTGCATATTTGTGGTTCCTGAAGCTTAAATAATTTAAAGTAACTGACTTTCTCCTAAGTGTAACTATGTTCTACCTTTCATACTTTGTTTCTCCTTATTTGTTGTCAAAAGCAGAGAGAACATTCTCCTCCCCTAAATGTGACTTCAATCTAAAATCCAGAGATATAAACTGGCCATTACTTGAAATGTTAAAGACATATGTATGGCTAGGTTAAGTCTTCCTTTCTTCACTTTAGTTCTTTTTTCTGTCTTCTTGATCAATCCAGCCCAGGATCTTTCCTGCTTTCCTAGTGGTCATCAGAGCCAGTGGTCATCAGAGCCAGATACCAAACTTTTTTTTTTCGGTCCATGACTAGTCTCCCTTTTAACCTGCTTCCCTGTTGGGAAGGTTGAATGTTTGGTGAGAGATGCAGGGAGTCAACTTAGCAGGCTCTTAGGACAAAAATTGTGTTAAGGAGCATGAGCCATATACAGTACCATGGGAGGGTCTCCAACAGCTAAAGGCTCATCGCACAATTGCAAGCTGTTGGCTGTCTCTGAGCAGACAAAAGCCAGCAGACTTCTGGAAGCTACACATTACAACCCTAAATTTTCCTGGCTTGGCAGGCTGCAGTTCAGCACTTTGCCTCTCTCACTTTCCTGGGAGGCCCACGGGGCCAAGTGAACCCTGATAGTGTCCACACAACACCAAAGGGCCTGCTGGAAACATGAAAATGAAGGCAGTCCCCATTTGGTGTTTTGTGATAGCAATTACCAAAAACAAGTTTCATAGCAATTTTTGTTAACTTAGTGGTCTCATTAGACTTTCTGTATATGGACTTGAAATTTATTCATTCATTTACTTGCTCACTCATTCTTTCCTTTAATAGACATTTATCGTGTTCCTATTGTACACCAGGCAATGAGATAAAGGACTGTATTGTCTATAATTGTCCCCAGATGTAGGCAGTACAGAAGAGGTATCTTTGTCATCATCATTATCCACATTAATTCATTCAAAAAATACAGATAGAACACCTTCTATCTGTGAAGTGCTGTGCCGGGCATTGTGTGGGAATCAAGATAGACCGAGTCCAGGCTCTCATGGAGCTTGCATTTTAATGATAGAAACATATAAATACACAACTATAATAAAGGTCCTCTGATCGGGGGAGCATATAACATTATGACCTGCCTAATTTTTAACTTCATGTGGTTCAACCAAATGTTTACCGTTTATTGACTATTCCTCATATGCCAGACACAGGAATATGTGCTTTATAAGTGTTACAGTTAACATTCCCAAGAACTCTGCAAAGTTGACTTTATTATTTCCATTTTATAGATGAAGAAACTGACACAGAGAAGTTAGGTGTATTTCCCTTGGTCACAAGTGCTAAATGGCAGAACTCAGTTTATTTGACTCTAAGGTTCTGTGCTGTATTCTCTACAGGACAGAAATATCTGCACATTATGCGCTAGGCTGTTGGAAGAGACCAGAAAAAAACTAGTAGAGCATAATACCCACCTAGTATGTGGAGTAATGGATGAAATGAAGTTTAGCTCCCAAAATTGTTGTGGTTACTCATGTTTCAAAATCTGATTTCAGATAGGAGACAGATCAGTATGTTTGCCATAAGTTTCTAACCTTTGCTTACCTGTATGTTTTTCTTTTGCTTTCCTTGCTTTGAAGTTCTTTAATGATTTTATTTCCTCATTACTTTATTAAGAAGATTTAACTTTTGATTTCTAGATGTGCTCCATTAGGTACCTTGGATGTTAGCAGATCAGAAGACTGCCACAGCCACCAGGGATGAAGGGTGAGGCAGAAATGTACTTGTAGGGCAAGTTTTTTAAGGGGTAATATACCTGTGGAGTTGTCAGTACTGCCTTTGACCTGTTTCAGATCATCTATCTTTGCTCACAGACCCAGATGAGGGTGCCTTTGTCTGTGTGATCCCACCTGTCGTTGACACAGGTCCCACCTCCGTGGACCAGGGTGGACACTGACTTGAGACAGTCACGTGACTTGTATGTCACCCAAAAGGAGCCCTGGGCCACCTACAGCCCCTCTTTCAGGACTTTTGCACTAAGATCCAGAGGGAAGTTGTTAGTCGTGAGCCATTGAATCGAAAAGTCACAGGGTCCAGGCTGAGGGTGCCAGCTGGGGCTCATCTATGTGTCAAATGAGGAGGGAGTGAAGTCTCACAGAATGTGAAACAGAAGGGAATGGCTCCAGGGAGTAGAGTGAGGCAGAGAAGGCAGACCGCGTGGCCCATGCTGGAAAGGAGCACCCGGCCCCTGCTCTTCAGTTCCCTGGCCCGGTTCCATTGCTGGGCTTCACCTTCTGCTCTTGGGTGCCATATTCTATCACTGTAAAGCCCCTGTTGCCTTCCGTAGCTTGAACTGGTTTCTGGTCCTTGTCATGGACAGATCAAAACACAAGTTCTCAAGCAGATAAAATAATTTGTATCACAACTAAATGGAAATGAGGAACCTTGTGATGTCCTACTTATGGGTCTCAGATACTTTTGCCTTCTCCACAGAAGCCTAAGCTAGATATTTAATATTCTCTCCTTGAAGAAATGCTAAAAGAAGGACTAGAAAGCATCTAAGAAAAACTGCCCCCTTTGAGTGATTGTCTTAAACATTTAATGTAACACTAGAAGAACCATCATAAAAGGCCAGTGGCCATCCCTTTCATGTACGTTAATGGACCTTCTCTAAGTAGGACTTTGTGCTAGATATAGGTAGATAAAAGTGAGTGATGTCACACCTGTTCTTGAAGTGTTCACAGTCTAGACAAATAAATCACCACATAATGTAGGAACTACTAGAGTAGAAATATACAAATGTTCCTCTGAGAAGGGAATGATTCATTTCAATTTCACCTGAGGACATTAGGGAAGGCTTTACCTAGGTGATTTTTGAGCTGAGTCTTGAAAGGTAACTGTGTGCCTGGCAGTTTGGGAAGGAAGGAGGGAGGCAGGCCCTCCAGGCAAAGGGAACAGGATGTGCACAGCTAGGCGGGCATAAAACAGCCTGTTGAGCTCATGGAACTGAGAGGAGGTCACCGCAATGGGGAAAAGTGGGTGCATTGGGTGAATGGCAGGAATAAGGGTAGGTTGAGGCCAGGTTTTGGAGAGCTGTATCTACAATTAACAATACAATCAATAATTACTGTAAGTATTATTATTCTCTGTCACAGACAAAGTAAGTTATTTATATCTATCATTCTCATTTGTCAAGGAACTGTGTTGTGGACAATGTCCAAACAATATAAAGGCTTTAAAAACACTTTTTGGGAATGAGGATTCTGAGAGCAGTTTGCAGGAGAGACTGATGTAAGGGGCAGTGAAGAGCAGAGAGGACAGGCAGGAGGCAGCTGTAATTTCCAGGGGAGAAGTAAGTACCTGATTTAAGGCAGGGGCTGTGGGATCGAAAGGAGCAGTTGGGCTTGAGATTACACTTCTGAGGGATTCATATTTAGATATGTGGAGAGAATGAAAAAGAACTTCGAGCCGGGTTTGAAGGTCTTCCTCCAGGAATGGAGTCAGTAGTGATAGCACTCACTGAGCTATGTGGCACAGGATTAGGCACGTGTAGGAAGATACGATCTCATTTGGGGACATATTAAATTTGAGATGCTAATACATTTTCAAGATAGAGAAGATCTCTTGGCAGTCAGGGAAAGGAGTCTGAGGCTTGGAAAAGAGGTTAAGATTGAATATACAAATTTGGGAGTTTATATCACTCTGTCCTTCAGATTAGCGGATGGGTTCAGAGACGTGCACAAGACAGTTTTCAAGATTTGTATTAATGGAAGGGTCTCCAGACCCCATCAGTGAAGGTCCACCTGGGTGTCTGAAATACTCTAAAACAGTTGTTCAGCAACTTGCCTCTCAGCCAAGTTCCTGGAGCTCTAACCTTCTCCCCAGTGCTTTCTGTTCCCTAACAGGGCAACCAGGTGGGAATGAGCTGAGTACAGGATGCTCACTGGCCCCAAAGCCATAATGGTCTGAAATTTGGCTTTTGCATTTCCACCTGCCCTTGTGTGCTTCGTCGTCTCCTCTCTTGTACTGCCCAGTGTGGCACAGGTATGCCATCTCTTTTATTTAATAGCCTATTTGCAGTTTCAGATGAGGCATAGCCTTCCTCCTGTGATTAATTCAGGGCCCCACTGGGAAGTGGGATAAGGCACCTGCCTCTTTTGCTGGAGGGTATTTTGAGAGCTCTATAAATTTGCATCTTGAGTTTATGAAAGAGAGAGATAGGGAAGAATGGAATGTCATTCATGCATGATAATAGTAGATCTCATGTGGGCTTGGTTTCCTCAGAGTTTTCCTCACTTAACTAAGAATAATTTATTTGACCTCCACTTGGGGACTCAATATTTTAAATATTTGAAAGAGTCTGTTTCCCACCCCCCTGCCCCCAGAACTCAGGTTGACTGCTAAAAAATTGCCATTTTGCAGATTAAAAAAAAAGTAGCCACCCATCAGCAATTGCATATAGTTTCAGCCTACTAGCAACTAGAGATGGGGATGCCTAGGTGAAGGTGACAAATTGTATATACCTTTTGAGTAATTTGCCACAACAGTCCCTGGTATCTCTCTTAGTAAATTCAGATTATACGTGACTTTTAAAAGGTATCACAGTATTTGATTATATGTAACTATTTATAGAAATACTTGGTGGTATTACATGGTCAGTATTTCTGCGTCACAGTGGTTTCTGCATCCCTGACATGGGTTCCACACTCACCCAGTCTCTGGTAGGTGGTACATGCACTGCTTGCTTTTCTACTCAGCTCTTTAAGTCTCAATCATGACTTCCAAATTAGCTCATGTAGTGATCCTGGTTTGAGATTCTCCATGAAGAGGGAATGAAAGACCTAATGTTTATTGTGCACACCTGCTCTGTATTAGACTCTGTGTCAAATGCTTTATGTCTACTGTGATCTTCAATTCTGAGTAACAACCTTACAGGTAGGAATTATTATCTTCATTTTTATAACTAAAAAAAGAAAACCATGAAGACTCTAGATTAGATAACTTGCCCTAAATTATCAAGGAGATAGTTGCCATTGGTTAGTTCTTGCTCTGAGCTACAAAATCCTCCAGAGCAAATGTTATATCCTGAAGGGAAGAAGGCAGTAAGTGAGATGACGATCCTTCTGCCCAGATTGGGAGGAGGGGTACATTTCAGGAGACATCTCTGTCCCACTGTGTGACATTGGATTCTGTTTCTCCACAATGAAATGAAGATAACAACACATGAGCTCCTCCCCGGGATGCTGTGTGATTAAAGGTAAATTTGCTTTAATTTCTACTGAGGTAACCCAGAATGCTGATCTGGGATTCCTGAAGAAGGCATGCCATAAATTTATCTTTGGATCCTCTATCAAAAGACGGGAGACTTGGGTAAAAAATTTATCAGTGGCCTAACACAGGTTCTTAACTGGGAGAGATTTGGAGACATCTGGCCATGTCTAGAGACACTTTTTGGCCCCTGGCATCTAACGGGTAGATACTACTAAACACCCTGCAATGTATGGGACAATCTCTCACAACAAACAATTATTTGGCCCCAAATGTGGATTGTGTGAGATTAAGAAACCCTGATCTAAAGAGTACTTGCAGAGAAATTGGTTTAGCCGATCTAAAAGAGCAAGTTAATTCCACAAACTATCAAGTACTTTGGAAGGATTTATTTGTACATAGAAGATTAGTATATTATGAATTATAAAATATTTAGTCATGAAAGCAATTCTTGGGAGGGAACTTCTGTTATTACTAGAATCTTGTGAGGGTTCTATGAACTAAAAAAATAGTATTTAAATAAGGAAAAAGATGTAGTCAAATTTCACAGATTTGCACTCATTAGAGCCATTGGAGGAGGTAATTACTCAGAATTAGTGAACACTTCAAAATATAGAGGCATTATTGGTTTATTCCCCTGTAATGTGTTGCTTTATATAATAATCAGTGGAGAGCCTATTGATTTGCATTTATTTGAGAGTTGTTTTCTATGTATTAACTCTATGCTGTGGTTCAATAGATGAAAAGCCTTATATTAAAAGGGGCTGTTAATATAGCAATCTTGATGATCTTTTTTTTTTTTTCTCTTTGCCACTTCTGTAAAACTCATAATCGTAGTGTCTCATCTTAGGCCTGCCACATGACTTGGAACGATTGAGTTATGGAGAATCTCTGCACCTCCGTATAGAAGAAATAGTATGAGGCATTTCTCTTGAACAGCGCTATCCTTCTTCCTGCATTTTCCCTCTTCCCCAACTTCTGTTGAACAAAGAAGAAGGACTGTCTTGTAGATGTTACTGTCCTATGACAAAGGTCTTTTCCACTACACAAAGAAAATTTGCTTGGAATGGGCCCAAAATATTATTTCCTTAAAAGCTGCTCAAAAAGATGATGAAGGCATCTTACCAAATATCAGGAGATTGTATTCTAGTTTGTCCTTGATTTGGTGTTTGGCCTTGCACAAGTCATTAAATGTCTGTCCTCCTTTTTCCTTACTGTAAAATGAAGAGGGTTAACGTGGATGGTTAAATGCGTTACCATTTTGAGATTGTAATAGCTAAGTCTTAGGGCACCTAGGATGCTAAAATTAACATTTTGCTCAGCCAAAAATCAGGCTGCCTTGAGGGTAAATGAATTTTATGGAGACACTGTGATAGTTAAGAAGAGGGCTGAACTTATTAGAAGAGACATGATGTCATCCTTATTCACAGACTGGAATAAATTCTGCCATATTCAGTGGGGAAGGAGACTAAATTTAGATAGTCAAGGTGAAATAGTGGTAGATAGTCAAGGAGAAATATGGGAAACATAAAGTAGTAAGGAAATATGATTAGAAAGGAAGAAAAAACAAGGTACATATCATTTAGGGCTCCTTGGTTGCAAGCAACAGAAACTGACTCTGACTAACCTGAGTAGGAAACAGGATTTATTAGAAAGAAGGTGACCTCAGAGTCAAATAATGATTCTGGTGTGTGTGAATTGGGGTGGATAGGAGTGGGCTTGGGGATAACCGATTGGCAAACTTGCCAGAGCCCCAGTGACTGAGGGAGCAGTTCCCCCAGGGACGAAAGCTATGAATAGAGAAGGGGGAAAAGGACTGCTGAATATAAAAAATAATACAAGAAATATAAATATTTCTTGAACAAGAAAATAAGAGAATTGCCTCAACCTACTGTCAGTGATACATCTGTTTGAAGCAAAAGAAAATGTGGTTTACTATTTTGGAGAAGGAAAAAAATACATGTAGGGAAAGTGTATCAGGAAAGGAACCTGAAATAAATTTAACCAAATTCATTTATTCTTGAGCATTTTTAGAGCCCTCCCCCACACCCCTACCTTAAGTGGCCAGGCACCTTGTGCTCAGTATCCAAAAAAGGTAACATAACCCCCGTCCTCAAAGCTCCCAGCCAGTAACACAATAATTGTGATTTCCTCACTTTTTGATTGTTCTGTACATGCCAAGCTGCTTGCTGAGTGCTTTAAAAGCATGTCTCATTTAATCCTGCAAGTGCTCCTTGAACGAGTCCTATTGTTATCTCCATTGTGTAGATGCCACTGAGGAGCAACAGAATGAGCCTAAAGTTAGAAAGCAAATCAGGCTGAGCCTGACTCAGCCCTGGTCAGCTTGGCTCCAGGACCTGGGCTCTTGCTACCGTTCTGTGTTGCCTTTCTTAGCAAGTAGAGGAGGAAAAAGAAAACAGAAACACAAAGGAAGGGACAACACACCCATATGGTATCTCCTGTTATTGACTAGATCACTGAGCGTTGCAGTATTTAAGGATTGAATCACATTCGCTCCCTGTTGATGCCTGCAATAAGTTATTAAAAACAGCCATGCACAATCAGTGAGCAGGCTAGCAACTGTTCCAAAGCAGGATAGAACCTGCCTCTCTCTGTCTGGGGCATACCAACCTATCAACAGTCTTTTTTTTTTTAAAAAATCTATTTATTATTTAATTGGCAAATAAAAATTATATGTATTTATGGTGTATAACATGTTGCTTTGATATATGTTTACATCGTGGAATGATTAAAACAAGCTAATGAACACGAATCAACTCATATCATTTTTTGTGGTGAGAACATTTACAATCTAGTCTCTTAACACTTTTCAAGTACATAATACAGTATATGCATTAACTATATGCAACACAGTATATAACACATCTTCAGAACTTTTTCCTCCTAACTGAAACTTTGTACCCTTTGATCAATATCTCCCCGCTTCAGCGGTCTTTTGATGCTTCTACAACAAGACATCCCGACTTAATGACTCCACAGATGACCTTTTCTCCACCCCCCAAACAAAGTACAGATTTCATGTCTAAATTTTTTATCCTAAGCCAAGATAAGAATGTTATTGTCTCTTCTGTGCCTGGACCTCTCATCAGCAGTGAATGGAAATCTCAATGATTAATACAATATTTTCAATCTAATAGAGCTGCTGGCTCACAGCCACTTGTCTTGAGACATCTCACTGTCAAAGCATGACTCTCAATACATGAAATATACAGTGGGCATCAAACTATATTCCCAGCTTTTAAGATAACATGATTTTCTCCTTTTCTATGTTTTACTAATTTTTATTAAAAAGTATGTTTACTTTTACAATAGAAAAAAAAAAGTCAGTTAAGAAGAATGCCTGCTATGCTGTGGTTAATCTAAAGTTAATTACTTCTCTGCCACCTACTCCTTTGTTTATAAAGGACTCTATTGTAGGTGCTGGAAGCATAAGTAGGTGTGACCGTCAGGTTCCTATACACTAAATCTAAATTTGCTGCCTACTCACTGGCATTTTGTGGCTTTTGTACCTTTTCTTCAAGCCTCCTTCTGGACACAGTTTATCCAATGGCTGGTATCATGTGGGTTTGTCAGTCTTTATAGCTCATTTGGGATTGCTTCTTTTGGTAGTTCTGTGTTTTGGAACTCTAGGCCTCTGCTTTTGTTTTCTTTTCCTTCAAATAGTCATTGAAGTCCAGAGTGTTGGCAGTGACCTTTGAAAATGTTTTTACAGCTTACAGAGACTTCCTGACATGTTTTATTAGCTCTTGGTGGTAGCTAATAAAGTGAGTCTTAGCAAAGCCGTGTAACATGACAGATTAGAGCCACTTCCAAAATAACCACTCACCAGAGTTATCTTGAAGGAGGCTTGACGACAGGATATTTGGCTACCGCTTTCTGTCCAGTTCAGCAGGGCATGTGTGATTACCTCTTGAAGAAGGGAGGTCATTCCTTTAGGAAATACAGTGACCAACTTATGATGAAAGAACCACAAACACTGAGAGCCCCCTGCACCAGTAAAACAGAGATGTGATTGCTGTAGGGATTGATTAATGAGTTATTCCACAAAACTTTTGCCTCCTACCTTCACAGAGTTAGAATATGAGCCAAAGCTGGTCATCTACCTTTTAAGAGGAGGAAAAGAAGTGAAAACAACCCTCCCTGAACACTCATGAGTGTTCAATAAGATCTCTCTTTTCTATCTTATCTTTATTTTTATTTTTTTACTTGGAGGAGTGGTTTAGCAAAATGACATGGAGTTTGGATTCTGGATTTCCACAGATCTGGATTCAAATCCTGCATCTGCCATTGATCAGCTGGGTGATCTTAAGCAAGTGTTCGCTTAAGACTTGGTTTCTTCATCTGGAAAGTGGGGATAATAATCGAAGGTTTGTTGTGAGGAATAAAATGTGGCCAAGTCTGTACACTGCTTAGCACAGTGCTTGACATGTAAGCACTCAAAGAATGTTAGCTATGAAGTTATTTTCTTAAATTCCTTGCAGAGCCATGTGTGAACTCTGTTTGTAGAATAATATTTATCTATATGCCTTCCTCCACCCAGGTCTACCATTTTGCACAACTCCTTGGGAACACAATTAGCAATGGGACATCATTCACATAGAATACAGTATCGATGGTGTCCTTCGAGTTCCACAACAGAGCAACTACCTCCTCATCCTCCACTTCCTCCTCTCTCTACCTCTCTCTGTTACACACACACACACACACACACACACTTCTCTGCACCCTATATAAATAATCATGCACTTCTCTGCACCCTATACAAACAAGCTTTTTAAGTTATTTTTGTGCCCTCTACAAATAATCACCTGGCCTATATTTACTTTGGGGAAATAACTTCTTCATAAATAGGCGTAACAGAAAAAGCAGAACTGACCTAGACAGCCTTTTAAACACCTATAGCAAGGATTTACTTGTACCCTGTGCATTTTGTGACAAACAAGGTGTAGAACTGCTATTTCAGATAGTCAGTAATAGCCAGGTATTAAGAATCTGTCTAATGTGAAACTCCGTCAGAATCTAAAGCAAGAGAAAAAAAGCTAAAAATAAAATGCTAGGGACAATCAGTTAATCAGCCACTTTTCCTCCTTTTTATCTCAAGCAACACTTTGTCTCAAGTCTGTCTCAAGTCCAACAAGGGTCTTAGTAGATTGTAAATCCATAGAAGACAAAACCAGGGAATGTGGACATTTTTTGAGTCCCTTCTGTATGTCAGTTGATTAATCCATGTAAGGTCATTAATAGTCATGACGATGATTATCTTTATTTTATAGATAAGGAAACCAAGACCAATTGGTTATGTAAGTGATGCCCAAATCACACAGCTAGCAAGAGGAAGAGCTTAGAATTGACTTTTTTATCTTTCCAAAACACTGGTCTCTCCACTGCCTGAGAGCTTCCCAAGTATCAGAGCTCCATTCATGAAAATGAATAGGACAGGACATCAAATGGCTCGTCTTTATTCCTACAGTTGTTCATGTAAAGGATTGTCTTTTATTCTGGGATTATAGCTTTCTTGTTTTTTTTCTTTTGTGGTGCAAAAATGCCCTTTTATGAAATGAGTGAGAGTTAGTGAGACTTTTTTAAGTGCCCTTTTGGCAACATAAACGTAGGCGACTTTATGTTGATCCCCTTGCCCAATTTTTAAAATTTCCTGGATTTTGAAACCCAGAAGTCTAGTCCTACTACGGTATACCATTTTGCTTTCCTCCAAATATTTGCAGATGTTTTAAACGTTCTCTTTGCATTATAGAATACTCTTACAACCTAGGGGCCTGCTATGCAGTTATTTCTCATTAAGCTTCAATGATGTTCAAGAATTACCTGTTCCCACATATGATAAAGAAAACTTGTTTCTTTATTTGAATTCCACCAAAAAATGGTTCTAAATAAGAATCCTCTAGAAAATGTATTAAAATATTAGATTCTGGAGCCCTGCCCTCAAAGATTGATTCAGTAGTTCTGGGTGAGACCCAAATTTGGATTTTTTGCAAGCCTCTGAGGGGATTCTGATGCTGCTTATATGGGGATAGTACTTCCAGGAACTCTTATAGAAAGGCATTGAATCTGATATGAAATTATCTCTCCTCTGCATTGAGAATTCTGTATTTTTGCCATAGAGACTTATAGAGGCATGGCATCATGTCAAGCTCAATTTTGTGAATTATATGAGATTTCTACATCTATTTTTGGTTAAAATACTGGAGCAGAATCATCTTATTTGCTTTAAGCACTTCCTCTCAAAATCAAATTAAGTAAAATTAATCTCTTCGAAGAAAAGCATTCTCTAAATTTGAAGTCACTTTTATGCTTAACTGAACATATGATACCTCCAAGCTGAATCCTGGGCCCGTCAGGGAAGTCTGAGTTCCGTATGTGACATCAGTTGGTTGCTATGGAAGTGTAGGCTGTGCTATAAATTCCAGCTCCACGCAGATTTCTCTTGATTGCAAGTCAATTGAGAATGATTTGTAATTTTTTGGATCACACTCAGAGATGCTATTTAGTGTAAACACTTACTTTCATTAAAATAGTTTAATAATTGATGTCTATGGTTTCCAAACGTTTTCAGCATCACATTTTGCACATGAATAGCACACTTCCAACAATAACATAACTCATTACATGACGGGATTATTGACCCAAGAGAGGTGAATCAGTTTATCCAGGACACAAAAATAACTTAAAAAGCTCTGCCCCCTTCCCCTAGGGACCTTTTAAGCTTTACCCACCACACCCAACCATTCATTTATATAAATAAACTTCACCAAGATCAGATATACTGCCAATATTTTAAAAAGAAGATTATTACTGAAGAATCTGCTGAGGTGAGAGGTAGGCAGTCGCCTCTGAATAGGATGTGCTCAGCCAAACACCATCCTGTGAACGTGGTACATTTAACCAAAGCTCTCTTCTTCCCAAGACCTCGTTTCAGAAAAGAGTAGGTGTGAGTAAAGGGTTCATGCCTTTGCTTCTCTACTTCTCTGCCTGACTAACTCAAACTTCAGAACTCCTCCAGGATTTTTTCTGATTTATTCTGTTCAGGCTGCTATAAGAAAATGCTGTAGACTGAGTAACTTGTAAACACAGTTTCTCACAGCTCTGGAGGCTGGAAAAGCCAAGATCAGGATGCCAGCATGGTCAGGTTCTGGTGTAGACTGCCAGTTTCTCAGTGTGTCCTCAGGTGGTGGAAGCGGGGAGGAAGCTTTCTGGAGCTTAAGGCTTTTATAAGGGTAATAATCCCATTCGTGAGGGCTCTGCTCTCATGACCTGATCACCACTCAAAGGCTCTACCTCCTAATATCACCTTGGGGGTTAGGATTTCAACATACAAATTTTGGGGGGACTCAAACATTCAGTCCATTGCACCCTCTGATTCCTTCAACTGGGTTAAGTTCTCCGCCCTTAGTCTCTCACTGCTGAACTCCAATACATATATTCTCACTATGGTGAAAGGATTTCGCCCTGATTGCAGGCTCTGTGATCAGACAGCCTGGCTTCAGATTACCTGTCTGCCAGTTACCCTGTGGGAACTAAAGCTTATGAAATGTTAGCAGTGTCTGGTACATAAATAATATTAGCAACTTGGCCGGGCACGGTGGCTCACGCCTATAATCCCAGCACTTTGGGAGGCTGAGTGGGGAGGATCACTTGAGGCCTGGAGTTCATGACCAACCTGGTCAACATGGCAAAACCCCGTCTCTACTAAAAATACAAAAATTAGCCACAGTTGTGGCGGGTGCCTGTAACCCCAGAGGAGGCAGTGAGCGGAGATCGCCCACTGCACTCCAGCCTGGGCCACAGAGTGAGACTCAGTCTCAAAAATATATATAATTAGCCAGGCGTGGTGGCATACACCTGTGATCTCAGCTACTCAGGAGGCTGAGGCAAGAGAAACGCTTGAACTTGGGAGGCGGAGGTAGGCGGAGGTTGCTGTGAGCCAAGATCACACCACTGCACTCCAGCCTGGGTAACATAGCGAGACTCCGTCTCAAATATATATATACACACATATATATTTTATATATATATATGCAACTATTGAAATATGATTTAGGAAATTGGTGATTTAGGAAATTGGTGTACTTCTACTTTCATTCCAAGTAACAACTTTTATTTTATTTTTATTTTTAATTATTTTTTTAGCAGATGCTTAGAGTGGAGGGTTGTGAAAAATTCAGAGGCCATATCCAGGATTAAGAGGGAAAGACTGGAGATCAAGTGGTGATGTCTCCTCGGTCTCGGTCCAGGCTGGAAATGGGAGCTGTATGCCACATATTTTCTCTTTCTGCACTAGACTAAAAGTGACTTAAAAGTGCTAATTCATTCAGGCCTTTAATTTATTTACTACTATGTACCAAGCACTGTGGTTTCCATAGCATATACATTAATGAATAAAACAGACAGAGCCCTGGCCTCAGGGAGCTAATGGACTAGTGAAAGAACCGGATAATCATAAGGAAGCTAGAAAATAAAGACAGAATACAACTAGTGATGGGGAGTGCTGTGAAGAAAACCATGATTATAGCCACAAAGAATCGAGGGTGGGTCAGAAAGCTACATTAGAAAAGGTGGTCAGAGGAGGCATCTCAAGAGAGATGGGAAAAGTGTCCGAGCAGTGAGAACAGCGCATGCCAGGACCTGAAGTAGAGAAGCTCTCGGCATGTTCAAGTAATTGGAAAGAAGCCCATTTGGCTGCAGCGTAATCAGAAAGAGGAGTGGAATGAAACGGTGGGGTCGCAGGGAGATAGGCAGGAGGCAGAGCACATAAAGCAGTGGTTCTCAGCCTCAAGCATGTATCCCAACTCCCCAGAGAGCTTGTGAAAACACAGATTGCTGCCCCACTCCCAGAGTTTCTGATCCAGTAAGTTTGGGGTGGAGCCTGAAAATTTGCATTTCTAACAAGTTCCAAGTGATGCTGCAGGTCTGGGGACCACTCTATGAGTACTCCTGATATAAGCCTTTTTCAGTCCACGGCAAAGGGCTTGGATTTTATTGGAAGCATTAGTGGGATACCATCAAAGGAGGTCAAGAGTGATAGCTTTAATTATTATTTTTAAAATGATTACTCAGACCATTGTGTGGAGAATTCATTAGAAATTGTCAAGACTAAAAATGGGGAGGCTATTCAGAAAGTTGTTTACAGTGGTCAGGCGAGGGCAGTGGCAGTAGAGGGAAGAGGAAACTTTCAAGATGAATTTAGGAGTGGCATCGATAGGATCTGCCTGTGGATTATGGAATGGGTAGGGAAGAAGACACGGAGGATGTTGACTGGGTTTCTGGCTTGAGAAAGGGAGATGGCCAAGGCACGTACTGAGATGGGGGAGATTGAAGGCAGGAACATGCTTAGAAGGGAAAGGAAAAGAATATATTCAACATGTGTTAGACAGGTTAAATTTGAAGAATCATCTCCGAAGACTCAGAGCCTAATAAGAATGATACATTGGACTTTGGGGACTTGGGGGAATGGTTGGGGGTGGCGAGGTATAAAAGACCACACCTTGGGTACAGTGTACACTGCTTGAGTGATAGGTGCACCAAAATCTCAGAAATCACTGCTGAAGAATTTATTCATGTAACCAAACACCACCTGTTCCCCCAAAGCCTATTGAAATAAAAGAGAAAAAAAAAGATACTCTGAGCCTAGTATATATAGACATTTCAATGAGTGAACTAAAAATAAAGGTAATAACCCCCTGGTCAGTGCTAATATGAAAGCTGTATGGGTGCTTGGGGACCAAGCCAGCTCCTCAGCCTCTGTCTCTGGGAGCTGAGAGTGCTTAGTAATAAATCATTGCTGCATCACCAGAGTAGCCTCCTACATAAATCATTTTAGACGCAAATCAGTCACCTTTGGAAACTAGATTAGCTCTTGGGTACCTGGAAGTTAACGGTATGTGCAACCTAAAGTGGAAGCTCCTTTGGAAACAAGGTTTTTCCAAGGTTTATCCTAACACTGGGTTTTTAAACTTTGGTACTATTGATGTTTGAGCTGGATAATTCTTTGCTATGGGAGGCTGTCCTGTGCATTGTTAAATGTTTAGCAGTATCCCTGGCTTCTGCTTGCCAGGTGCCAGTGGTAGCTGACTCCCAATTATGACAAGCAAAAATGCCTTCAGCCATTGCCAAATGTTGCCTGTGGGGGGCAAAATCATTTCTAGTTGAGAAACATGGCTGTAAGAGGACTCTGACATGTTAACCCCTTGTGGTACCCCTTGCTGCGAGACAAACTCTCTTCTCCATTTAATGTACTGTCCTTGTTTTCCATCCTAGCCTCTCAGAGCCTGTACTTTCTGTCTTTCAAGGTGACTTTCAATCCATCCGAAACGTTAATCCAGGTCAGTGGTCAAGGAGATGCTATAACTCTAACCATTTTCTAAAGAGGATATCTCTGGCCTTAAAATATTCCCATCAGTGTTGGTGATGCAGGGAACTTTAGGGTATCCTGGAGGAGGAAGAATGTACCAGGAGAATCTGATGGTAATTATGATAATGATAATAATAGTAGTTGCAGCAGCTAACATTTATATAGGAATTTGCCATACATAGTCTAAATATTTTTAACATATTAGCTTATTGAATTCCTTATAGCAGCACAGTGACTTTGGCACTATTATTATGATTCTCATTTTACAGATGAGGAAACTGAAGTGCAGTGACCTACCCAAGCTTACACAGGGAAACAGCAAAGCTGGGTTCAGATCCAGGCTCTTTACTATTTCCAAAAGAGGGATAGGCATCTGATGAGAGAATATGGGGCAGGTGTGTATAAAATGGTCTGCCTGTTAAGACTCATCACCTTTAATCCTTAATTACACTTGTAAATTTACCAAGTCCCTTCAGTAGAAAATCCCCACAGAATTTTAGAAATCATGATTCCTACCCATGATAAATATTTTAAATGAATGATTATTCATTTATTCATTCATGTCTCCCCTTTCATTCTGTTTAAAGGAGGCATCCAACTTCAGTTTTCTCAGCAAGCACACATTTAGGCCACAGATTTCATTAAGTCACAGTGATTCATTTTCACAAGCTTGTAACTTTTATTTTGGTACGCAGAAGCAACTCTGCCACATTTTGCTGCTATTTCCAGAGTTCACGGAGAAGCCAACACAAACATTTGCATTACTGTGGCAACTGCAGGCAGCTGTGAAATTACAGGTGTGCTGCGTTCACATGCCTTAGGAGGGATGAGAGCTCACACTTCTTCCAGAAACTCCTCCAGGAGCAAGTAGATTGCAGAGAGGAATGTGCTTGAATGAGGGATATAACACAAGAGTTGTGAGCTGATACTTTGATTGCTGCCTTGGCCCCTGGAAAGATAAGTTCATGACATTTTCCTTCAAGATGTGCTCTGAATGCAATTCCTGTAGCTCATAAAATATCAGTGGAACTCAGGCAGACTGAGCCTTAAGGGCCATCAAGAATGTGATGACAACTGGTACAGTGTTCCACATGACCCTGTTTGTGCTACATATATAGATTTTGAAATTCCTTTGAAAAGCGCTTCCATCTGGTGAATCTCTCTAAGGAGAGAAGTTTTAGATTTATGCATTCTAGCATGTGAAGAAAAAAATTATTCGTGCTGTTCCTGAGAAGATCGAAAATTTGCATCAACAAAGCAGGTCCTTTAATCTGCTTTAGTTTTCATTTTGACAAGCATTACTCCCAGACCAAGACTGTCAAATGGGTTGTTGCTGTTACTGAACATTTCCTTTGGCTTTGTTGAATCGTTCCTCTCCCATGTGTCAATAATAATGATAATACTGAAATGGACACTTACCATGTGCTTATCATTTTCCATGAATAATTAAACCCCTCAATCCCATGATATAGGAACAGTCACTGTCCCCTGATTTACACATGAGAAAATACAGGCTTAAAAAGAGAAGTCGGCTGCCCAAAGTCACAAATGAGGCAGCAAGGGAGGCAGACTCGAAACTTGGACTCATTCTTGGGCACCCAGTGTCTTCTATGAGCTGCCTCCTGCCTATGACTATCATAAGCCCAAGGAAAAGCAGCAGCAGGATGGCTTGTCCATGTGCTTCTTGCACATGTCTGCACAGCAACCCAGGTGTCCAGTGCTCAGCAGGTTGCAGATCTCCCTAGACATGTCTGAGGGCAAAGTGTCAGCGAATCTTCTTCATTCCCTCTCTTCACAAGGCCTGGAGGCACCCTTCATTGAGTTTGCATGAGAAGCATCCAAACCTCAAGGTGCTCCAGGGCTTGTCCTAGCAGCTGCCACAGCAAACTGTCAAAAGGAGCAAGTAGGTGCTTGAGCAAGTGCCAGGTCTGGCCAGTGCTTGCACTGCTTGAAAGCTCTCAGTAAACAATTAACTTCAAGTGTGTTTTCTCTGCCAGAATCCATTAGGGCAATCAATATTGGCATCTCTCTTTGCATGATTAATAAGAGTCCCGTTCCTGGACCTGCCCTGCAGAAAGTACCTTCAAAAATTCCTGAAGGCTTTATAGACATTAATAAATTAAGTCTCCCAACAGCTCTCCCTGCAAGAAAACACAGAGAACAGAGCTGTTTAAGTTGGTGGGGAGAGACAGAGTGAGAGAGAGGGCAGGTATGCAGGAGAGGACCCCACCCTCTCAACCCCTCACCACCCTGACACCTCACCAAGGCCCCTTAGGCACCTTTGTAAAACCTCCAGAATACAGTTTCAAAACCACCAGTCAGTCCTGACCTACCTCCTCCGTTTATCTTATTTGTCACTCTGTCTCATGGTTACCTCGTACAGGGCCTGACACTTGGAAGTGCTCAATAAATTGTTGATCAGGTTGATATGCCTTGGCAAAAAAGAATCACTGTTGTTTTGTGTGTCCTACTTTGCTATAAAAAAAAGTTACGTGAATATAAGAATTCAGAGGAGTATGTTAAACCCTACAGAGGAAATTCCGCAAGAAAACATGTTCAGGCAAATGACTTCTAAAGACCCTCCTTTTGCCCCCCTCCTCATCCCCTTGCCTTCCTGCTTCCTGCCCTGTAGCAGGGCCATGCAACGATAATTAAACAGCTTTGACTTGATGCTACTTTCTAGGATAAGGTGCCTATCTCCATCCCTTAGTTGTCCCCAAATGTTCATCCTGCTTCCTCTTGACAGGGACTGCCTGGCCAACCTACGTATTGTGAGAGACATGACCCAAGTTCCTGGCAGAGGGACTGGAGGCTGGGGCTGCTGGGCAAGGACCAGGCTCAGCGTCTCACCCTCACCCAAGGTTCTCCCCCAAGGCACAGGTGGTGCCATGGGCCAGAAGGACCCGTCTCAGTTCCTGATGCTACTCACTGGCAGAACAGCTGGGCTACTGTGCAGAGAGGCATTTGGCAGGTGTGGGGGACAGAGATGCTTCCGTCTGACACCCAGCCATGCCAGGGAAATACTGGAGGGAGCCATTGGGGAAAGAGCATTGCTGCCTTCCAGTCCTAAAGCACGTTCACCTCCACTGTTTTCTGTGGAAGAATGAGTTCTGCTGGAATTGTTCTGGAAGAATTGTTCTGGAAGAATGAGTTCTGTGGAAGAATGAATTCTGGAACAATTGTTTTAATAAGAATGATTTTGCTGTCAAATGGCCAGATTTTTTTCATTAGTCCAGTGAGGGGTGTGCCAGCTAGTTGCCAAGATGAATGGATTGAGATTGTTTGAATTACTGAGCTCTGAAATAACAGGATCTCCTCAGTCCCATCTCTGGAACCAATACCAAATGCCATCAGAGGTCAGCTTCTGGTCTGTTTCTCAGCTTTAGACAGGTGTGCACTTAAACCATTCATGAAAAATGATAGTAGTTTGTTTCCTTAAGTTTATAGTTTAAAAAAAAAGTGTATGAACTTAGGCCCAGTCCTTGTTCCAGAGGCAGAGATGTGGGTGTCTAACCGTGGCTCCATGACCTACTAGATGAGCTTCCCTGGAAAGTGGGAATAATAATTCCTCCCTTGCAGGGCTGTCAAAGTTTAGTTGGGTAACTTCAATATTCCCCAAAGTTTCTATTATATAGAAAAGGATTCTGTGGCTAAGTAGGTTTGGGAAACACCACATTGAAAATAAGCAGGTTTCTTTACTGTAGAATTTCTCAGAGCCTTTATAATGCTTATCTATACCAGGAAATTTCCTGGAAGGGGCTTGAGTAAATGGCATTTTATTTAACTATGATTCACTTTATTTTTTTAAGGAACATCTTGCTATATCCAGAGCAAACTTTGGGGAAATGCTAGACAATACAATAAATTTAATCTCATGCCAACATAGGTAAGGTAATTGCAACCATTTAATAAGTACCCACTATGTTTTGGGTAGAGCGCAGTATAAATAATAAATGAACAATGCAGTGTGCTAGCACCTGAACAGGAAATGTATTTACATAGATCTCTCCCAGACACTCTTTAAAGGCACCAGCCTACTGGGTTCACAGAGCAGCTCTGTCCTGATTTAAAGGGAAAACAATCTGCTTCTAGGACTAGTTATCCCTCTACACCCATATCCACATATAAAAAAGCAGCTTGTCCTTCTTGACTTGACCCAGGAGCCACCCCAAGTCCATTCTGTCAATTCCTTCAACAGGTTATCTGGCCCTCTCTCATGTAACCTTCATGAATCTCTGTTATTTGTCTAGAATCATTTGAGCCTGAGTTTGAACTCCCAAACTTCAACTTCCTACCCACATAAGTTATTTGTGCTTCAGTTTCTCCAACTATAAAACCTGAACCCTGCCACTTCATAAAGGCAGAAATGAGAGGGAGAGATTAAATGAGAAACTTTATTAATAATAGCAAATTCTTCTGTACCACTTTTTATGCACCAGGCTCTGTTGTAAGGGCTCCCATATATATGAATTTTTGACATCGCCATGACAGCCCTGTGGGTGAGGTTCTGTTATTACCTCCAAGGCACAGAGAGGTTGCATAATTTGTCCAAGTGATCATGTGCAAGCAGGGTGTGAACATGGGTAGGCTGGGAGTCCTAGATCCACGCTCTTAACCCCCTCACCTTCAGGTCTAAACAGTGGCTGCCACACAATAAGTGTCTATTGATGGACATTTTCTTCTCCCCCCACATTCTTTTCCCTGCTAAACTCTCTCTTATGATCTTACTAATCAATTTATTCTCCTCTCCCCCAAATACCTTCTTGCTTGTTAGTTTTATTTGTTTCATCATTCATATCTTTAACACATAAAGACCGCATAGCACTAAGTCCTGGAAGTTCATGAGATTATTGTGGGGCTTTGAAGTGGGGATTTAATTGGATTGGGTAGGGGAGAGGGAAGCACTGGCAGTTTCATACCCCTCAGGGAACTGCAAAAAGCACCAGTTCTGCAGTGAATAACATAGCAAGTGGCCCCTGGATGGATATATATATATATATATATCACCTTCACCTCTCATTTCACACCAGAGAGGCATATCTTACTGCAAGTTCACATTTATCGGGTTTTTATTATGCCTTGGGAGGGCAAGGTCCACTGAATTCTTGGTCTGGTCTTTTCTCAGCCTAGGTAGGAGCCACGGACCTGTTTGTCTGAATCATGGTGAAGGAACTCACAACATGCCCGGATTGATTAGGTGCATTTTTCCACCCTCAGCCATGGGGGTGAAGGGGGTTGGAGAAGGATTGGCCCTGATCTTCTAAACAGCACACATCTTTCTAGCTTCTGGATGAAAGAGTGAGTCAGGGCACCAGGAATAACTAGGAACAGTTGATCCTACTCAGTGTGTTAAGGGGAACCTGGGGCTTTAGGCAGAGAAGGCTGTGTAGAAAGAGAATCGATCTGATATCTGAAGCAGTGGTTGTTCCACACAGCTGGGTGTCTTTGAGCCCCTTAACTTTTTTGCTTTTTTCAGTACTCATCACATATTAAAGCTGTCGAGGAATTGACCTAGTACAAAGTGGTGGCAATAATAACAATAACATTTACAGTGCCCGACACTATGCCAAGCTGTCAACACATACAAATGTCATTTCATCGCTCATTTGAACTATGGAAAAGCTGACACTTAGACGAAATAATGTGCTCAAAGACACAGAGCAGACTGAGGGGATGTCAGAATTATGAACCCAAGGCTTTCTGACTCCAAGGCCCGAAGCTAGAGAATGCCCACTCGTATCAGGTTAATGTCCACCCCTCATCAATTTAATGTTACTTTTTCCAGACTTAGCTCACACTTGTAATCCTAACGCTTTGAGATGCCAAGGCTGGAGGATTGCTTGAACCCCGTAGTTTGATACCAGCCTAGGCAACATAGCGAGACGTCATCTCTACATAAAATAAAAATTTAGCTGGATGTGGTGGTGCGTTCTTATAGTTCTAGCTACTCAAGAGGCTGAGGCAGGAGGATTGCTTAAGCCCAGGAGGTTGAGGATACAATGAGCTACGATGGCGCCTCTGCACACCAGCCTGGACAACAGAGTGAGACCCTGTCTCTTAAACGAAAAAAAAGTTCTAGGGCTACCTGTAAGGAAAACATCTTTAATTCCATCACAAAATCAGGCAGTGCCACAAAGGGCCCAGCCTAGAGTGCGATGACTGGTGTTGCCGTTACACCCAGTTCTCTGCTATCCACATCTGGCTTGGTTTCCATAGGCACTTAGCAGAATTCCAGGGCCACTCAGGGTTCTCAGGGTCCCAAGAAGCACAGAAAATGTAGGCAGCTTCTCAGTCTTTTGGCAGAGACAGACTTGTAGCCCCAGGACTCCAGCCTCAGGGAAGATGTGTTAAGTCTTTAGCAGTCCTCAGATCAGCAGGGACTGGGGAGGCAACACCGAGAGGCAACAGCCATTTATTTTTGTGGGAAATAGAGTGTCAGAGCCATAGAATGTTAGGTCCAGAAGGCACCTTAGAAATTACCTAGGCCAGGATTTTTCAAACTTTAATTTTGTCAAGTGTAATTCTACCGAGAACTTAAACACCCACTATGGATAGATAAGAGGAAAACAGGATTCCTTGCTCCTTCCACCATTCAGCAGCACCTCCATGCCTGCAGTAGAGTTTGAGGCATACTGATCTCAGCTGCATGTCTTGTCAGCTCAGGAGCCTGAAACCTAGAGAGGTTAAACAAGTTCCTCCAAAGCTCACCCAGATCATGAGCCCAGTGAGAGGTAGTGAACTGATGTTCCCCAGATGATTTCTAGATCTGAAAAGGTGGAGTTGGCTCTGCCTCATCCCACCCCCAGGTTAAATTGAACTTCCTTAGGCAGTGTGGAAAGCCCCAGACATCTTCTTTGAATGGTTGATGCCATTTAGGCTGTCTCAATTCCCTTTTATAAGTTTTAACTAATCTCTTATGAGGGGTTAGGAACTATGAGGGGGTGGTGGGCAGGTGGGGGATGGATCCTGAAATAGCTTGAATAGCTTAAGAGCCCTGGACTACAGCAAGAACAAGGGTGATTTACAAGGGTGGGGGTGGGGAGGGGCCAGAAGCTGGACCACCTCCACTCCTCCCACCATTTGGCCCAGAGTCATCGTTAATGAGAGTTAGTTGAATAAGGCATTTATTCAACCTGGAAAATGCCCAGTGGCTTCAGCCCTTATAGTATGGAATTCCTATCTCTTGGCGGGGCGTGGTGGCTCACACCTGTGATCCCAGCACTTTGGGAGGCCGAGGCGGGTGGATCACGAGGTCAAGAGATCGAGACCATCCTGGCCAACATGGTGAAAACCTGTCTCTACTAAAAATACAAAAATTAGCTGGGTGTCATGGCGGGCGTCTGTAGTCCCAGCTACTCGGGAGGCTGAGGCGGAGGTTGCAGTGAGCCAAGATCATGCCACTGCACTCCAGCCTGGCGACAGAGTGAGATTCTGTCTAAAAAAAAAAAAAAAAAAAAAATCCTATCTCTTTTTCTGCACTTGGCCCCTCCCCAGAACTTTGTGATTGGTCCCAAGAGGGAAAATAAAACATATTTGGTGGAGAATGGGTATGCACTAAAGTTGCACTGCTAGTGGGGGCCCATAGACCTCGTGGTGGGTGAGGATTTAGACACAACTTGCAAGATACAGGGGTTGATCCAGCTTTTCCCAGAAAGGCGTGGGTGGGTTCTGCTGAACTGGCACATCAGGAGTTTCACTGGGGTTAATGTTTTAACCGTTGTGTCAATATACTTAATGACACTTTGTTTGAATATTCTATAACTGAATGGAAGCACTTTTAACGAACAAGTTTTGTTTTATTTTTAGGTGAGCGAATAGCAGTAAGATTTACCTAGGTACACTTTGTACTATATTGAAAAGTTTACATTTTGAAAAACCAAATATGATATATTTAGACCAAAGAAATAGTTAGACTTTATGCCTTGAGAGCTTTGCAACTCTTTCAGTGCTTATAATCTTTTCAAGATCTGAGGGTCTGTTTCACTCTCCTGGTGCTTCCTGGACTGTGTAGTTTTTATTTGGGAGATTAACCACTGGGGGCTTTTGTTCAGAACCTGCCTTGGACTGAATGGCTTTGGACCAGGTCTCACTTGGTGCCTTCTGCTCCTATGGTAAGGAGAAAAGATCTGCAGCCCTCACAGCCCGGCTCCTCCAACACTTTGGGGTGTGACCTTGGGCAGGAAACTTCATCTTCCTCTGTCGTTTCCTCATCTGTGAACAGGGGATGATGGTAGTACCTGCCTCCTGTGGTTGTGGTGAGGACTCAGTGAGGTAATGACTGGTCCTGGTTCAGAGTAAACCCTCAGTAATTATCGAATATTGTTGTCACCAGCACTGTCACCCCACAGCTAGCTGTCTCTTATGCCAAAAACTCAAGTCATAGAATTTCAGAGTTGAAGGAAACCCCAGTAATTCCTAAAGGTGCGTTAGAATCCCCAAGGGTGCTTTAAAAGTCACCTATTCCTGAGATGCACCCAAGAGCCAGTAAATCACAAGGGGGTCTGGGAATCCACTCTGCTGAGAAGCAATGCAGGAGATGGTAACATGCAACCAGAGATGAAAACCATCTTCCCTTGCCTGAATCCCCGCTCCAACAACCCTTGCAAGTGGTCTCCGGGCTTCTTCTTGAACACCTCCAGCCTGGGGAGCTCACTATCACCTGAGACAATGCATCCCATTTTGGACACCTTAGGCAATGTAAATTTGTCTTCATGCTGACCTAAAGGAAGGGGTTCCTTCTGACCCTGAGGAGGCAGAACAGAGCAGTGGAAAGAGAGCAAGCTTTGAGCTTTGAGCTCAGAAGACGTGGGCTAGAATTCCACTCTAGCACTTGTTAGCTTTGTGGCCCTGGATAAGTGGTTTGCAATTTTCTTTTCCCTTTCCTCTTCCAAATGACCTTCTTTCAAATATTTGAGCCCTATCCTTCCAGTCTTCTCCTAGCCTCCCTGTGTGATAAGACCTTCATTTCCTTTATCACTTTGGTCACATGCCCAGCTCTGCCCATGCACATGCAATACTCAAAGATGCACAGGATTCCCCAGGTGTGGTTCTGGGTCAGGGAGTCATCAGGGCTGGCAAGGGCTGGGAGAATGGACCAGAAAGCCATAGAGTGAGATACAGGGGGAAGAAGAACACAGACTGGCACACCAGATCCCCGGCCCTCACCTTCACGGTCCTTTGGCCAAGCTGCCCCCTGGTTCCAATAGTTCTGGGACTAAACCCTGGCTTTTGCCCTTGCGCCAGGAGTAGTGGTGAATGTAATCATTCTGGCCACATCATTGAGGGAACTAGATGGGATCAGGGCCAGCTTTGCCTCCTGTTCACTTTGTCCAGAGCTGACATCAGAGCCTGCTGGAGAGTAGGTGAGCAGCAATATGTGTCCCTTTTTACCCATGTCCAGATGCAGCATCCATCCTTATGACCTCATTCCCTCCCCAGCTGAGATTCATTCTCAGTCACACACAGTCTTTTCAGTCTAGAAGCAAAGACTCTTCTACTCATTGTGTAGGTCAGAAAGAGAAATGCAAAGGTTTTGAGATCTGATTTCTGACCTGAAGATCCTTATTACTAGCTATGTGTCTTCAGAAAGTTTAACCTCTCTTAGTTTCAGTTCCTTCATCTGTAAAAATTGAGACATAAGTAGCCCATACCTCATAGATTGCAGGAAGAATTAAATGATGTGGTGTATACAAACTCTTAGTCTAAGTGATTGATGTGTGTTGGCTTCTTGGGGGAAGGAGAGGTGACAGTGAATGATTTCTTACCCCACTACCTGTGAGAGCAGAGCAAGACAGGCTGGGCTTGCCCATCACCCTGCCCTTCAACCCCCTGTGGGGGACCTAGGGTTCAAATGAACGTCACTATCCACACTTCTGTAAAGTTGGCCAGTGTTACTCTGGGGCAAACCTAAATAGAATGTCAAACGGAATTTGAATTTTACAGAGGAAATGTGAAAGTCTTAGAGAACATTTCGCTAGTTTTTAAAACTTTTTATAGGTCACAGTTCAGTTGCCTTGCAGTTTCATGAACTTTGCCAGTGTTTTCAATTTAGCATAAAAAGTGTGGTCAGATTTGTATAAACCTCACCTGGGAACTTGTTTGAAGCACAAGTTCTCAGACCCCTCCCCAGACTCACTGAAACTCTGGGGGTGCAGCTCAGCAGTCTGTGTTCAGTGAGCACTCCAGGTGCTTCTCAGGGCTCCCGTTTGAGAACACTGGTCTAGGTGTTAGAAGGGTGGTCCCCTCCCTTCTCCCCTTCCTCCCACCCCTGGCAGTTTTGAGGTCCAGATGACCAAGCCCGGCTCTCTAGCCGTGTATTTTCAGCACTTCCGTAGTGTGAAGACAGCTCCTGAGAGAATGACTCATCGTCTCATCCTGGGAGATTCATGTATTTGTGTCACAGCAGGTGTAATCTAAATCCAAGCCTAGGCCTGGAAAAGAGTTAGGAAACAAACATCTGTTTTGGGTGTTCAGACTGACAGATCAGTTGTCTCCCTCCACCTCGGAGGCTTCCTTCCTGATCTCCTGACCACAGTAATAGTTCTCTGATGGCTAATGAAAATAGCAAATTTTATCAAGTTCTACCTTTTGGAAAATACCATTCATTATTTTCCCTTTAATCCTCACAACAGCCCAACAAGGTAGATGCTATTAAGATCCTTATGTCCTTCACAGTGAAACAGCCTCAGAGAGGCTAAGTCATTTGCCCAAGATCGTGTAGCTAATAAATGGGAGACGAGAGACTTGAGTTCAAGTCAGACACCAGATTCTGTAAATCTTCAGCCAGACTTCCCACTTGGTTAAGCAAGCTAGATCCTTGAGCCAGGAATATTCTAGGCCTGTGGTTCTTAAAATTTGTCATGGATCAAGATTTCTGGAGGACATCTTAAAGCACAGATTGCTGGACCCTTGTCCCCAAGTGTTAGATTCAGTGCTGCTAGGTTGAGGCCTGGGAATTTGCATTTCTAGCAAGCTCCCAGATATTGCTGGTGCTGCTGGTCCGGAGACCACACTTAAAGAATCACTTCTGTAGGCCAGTATTTCTCAACCAGGGCTGTACATTAGAATCATCTGAGGAACTTCAGATTCAATTGTTCTAGTGTGAGACACTGCCATTCTATTTTTTTATGTTCCCTGGATAATTCTAATGCACAGCCAGGGTTGAGAACCACTGCTATACTCAAAGGAAGACTACTAATTCCTTTTTATAGCTTTGGTTCTTGAGTCCTGTGTCCATTTTTTTCTAACGGCAGCATGCATACTTCTGGGAAACTCAGTGTGTGCAACGGGTACCAACACTGCAAGACAAATAGTGCTCATTCATTTCATTTCAATATTTTCTATGAAACAAACATCTATTGTGGAGTATAATGCAAAGTGTTCATGAACTCTTAATGTAAAATGTAATGTAAATGGGATTTAGTCCACTCCTAAGAATTTAGCCAAGGAAAATTGTCAGGACCAACTGTCAAAGATATGTACAAGAAGAGGCATCTAAGTATTACTTTGTCTTGATAATTGCTGAGTCTGTGTGATGGTTATATGGTGATTCATTGTTCAAAGAATATCTAATACTTATGTCAAGTACAAAAAGGAGGATACAAACTGAATATTTAGTATGACTCTAATTGTACTTTTAACAAAACTATATACATACACACACAGAAAAAAGACTGGAAGATAACACAACAAAATATTACCAGTGATTATTTCTTGATGGGATTATGGGTGATAATGATAACATTTTCTAATTTTTAAACAATATTACTTTTATGATTAGACCAAAAGAATTTGTGTAGGCAGTCACCTATTCTTGTAAATACATTCTACAATGTCTGCCTGAAATACAAAGCATGCATTTGTAGATTAGAAGTTTTTTCAGAGAATTAGAAAGCATCTTACAATTGTTAATTAAGGTCCCAATGGGTGCTAATGCCTTTGGGACCTGGAAATGTGAGAATCATCATAGGAACCTAGGGAGATTGTGCTGGGCAAAAGGGCTTTTGCTCTGCAAGGTGGTTCTTCTAATGGGGTTAGGCAGCAGGGGTTGCTAGAGGCTCCTCAGGATGCATGGGGTGAGTGTGGGGCTTTTGTCCTCTCCTCTAGCGAGTACACACTCCTCCACAGTGCTTCTGTGTGACATCACCAAAGCATCCACTATAATTAATGTATCATAGATCAAATGCACCCTAGTAAAGGGAATTTAGCAATGTCCATGTAGTGTGCAAATATGCAGGAGGTAAGAAAGTTAAGCATATGTAACTCAAGGACCACCTATGAATGTTAATAAAGAAAGAACATATGGAGAAAACTCTTGTATTGCAAAACATGAAGCCCATGTGCCTTCATCATCCCCAGAAGTCTGTCTGTTCATGCTCCCTGGGATTCCGTTCAGAAAACAAGTAAATGGTGCCTTCTGCACATTTATGTTAAACGGAGAACCAAAAAGAGTGACTACCCCACTCCAGTGCTTGCTGGGGCTGGGAGAACAAAGAAGCTGCAAGTATGAGGTACTCAAAGACAGTGTTACTAGGGTAATGATTTTCCAGTATGGCCAAAAGACATCTTCTATGCAACCAAGCCTCACCTGGCCTTACAAAACAAAAGTGGTTTGGCCAGAGCTTGAATAACAGCTGGGATGGATGGCCCAATGTAAAGGAGCAGGTGGCAGGCCAGTGGACCCCACTCTGGGGTGGCCCCATGGTGGACAGAGCCCCTGCTCCCTAAAATGGCCAACACCTGTCCCAAGGAAGGCCACCTAGCCAGAAGTGCCCACCATCTGCTGTAATCAAATTTGCAATCACAGGTAACTTTTCCTCTCAAGGGTCCAGCTGGCAATATAAATAAATGGAATGAATGGGGCTCCTCAGATGAGTACAGCATCTTCCATGTATGGGGAGCAGACATTACTGAGCTGCTGCCATGTGGGAATCTCAGTCCAGTTGTGCCAGGTCTTCTGAGTTATTCCAAGAGAAGCAAGAATTCGTCTTTGTGTTATAGTTTCCAGTTTCTAAATATTGGTAGCATTTTAAAAATATGTAGTCCAAAGAAGACAGTCCTGTGGGCTGACTTTGGCCTGCAGGCACCAGTTTCTCATCTCTGCTTGTGAATGTCAAGTTCTAGAGAGACCATTGCTTTAGTCACCTCTGTCCTCTCCCTCCTCTTCCCACTCCTGCCTCACCAAGACCAAATTCCAAAAGACCAGTTCTCCTCAAAAGTTGTGTTTCATAAGGACCTTAAAATTGGCTACTAGTCTAACAGTAATTTATTTCAGTTGAGGACTTTTTAAACTCCATGACTAACCATTGAGGGTACTTTCTGGATGATTAAGTTAATAATTTTAAAGGAATTGCCTTGGTTTTTGAGGGGTAGAGGGTATATTATTTGGGAAGTGGCTGTTTCAAAGTGAGTGGGATCTAGGTTTAAATCCAGCTTCACCACCTGTATCACTTAAGCAAGTGATGCAGCCTCTCTTAGTTTCTCATTATTTAAAAAAAAAAAAAAAATACTTCAGACAGATTAATGGAGTTTATTCAAGCAAAGAATTATTCATGAATTGGGCAGCCCTGAGAACCAGAACAGGTTCAAAGGGACTCCAGGGCTGCTGTTTGGTTGGATAACATTTATCAACAGAAAAAGCAAAGTACAGAAAACGGAAGTGACGTATAGAAACAGCTGGATCGGTTACAGCTGGGCATTTGCCTTATTTGAACCAGGTTTAAACAGATGTCTGTCTGTGGTTCAGCTACTGTGATTGGCTAAGACTAGGCTACTTGCTGCAAGAGTAGGATATAGCCTGTTTACTCATCAAGTTGGGTTCATTAGGTACTGACAAACCTTTAGACCAGACTTAAAGTAGAGGAGGCGGCTTTTGGCCAAATTCAATTTAACAGTATTTTTTCATCCACAAAATAGGGAAAACAACTGCAGAGTTTGTTGGTTTTTTTTGGGATAAGGATATTTACATGGCTGGTGCCATTGGATGCCCAGGAAATAAAAGTTTCTCTTCGGAGCCAATGTAATTGAGACTTTAAATTGCAAATATTATATAATAGTCACAAAAAACTTTTATGTATTTTATTTTGGAACTTAAGAAATCCTTTTTCTATAGAATTTTCATTGTAGGTAGGTAGTATTGCAGTTGAGATGGAAGAAAGTGGGAAAATAGAGAGGGTGAGGGGATGAGCCTTGTGGGTGTCTGTACCTGGGGGAGGTCCTTAGGTCAACTTCCAGTGCTGGAAACTTAGGTATAACATGACCTTATTCAATTTAACTCTTTCGCTTATTGCTGAATCCCTAGTATCTAGCACATCTGCAAACAAATAAATATTTGCTATTGTTAGCTATTAAATTAGTTAATGAACAAACAAAGGGTGTATAGTGGGAGTTGTATCTGGCAAGGATGACTCCTGACTCCACAGCTCTGTTCAGATCATATCACATGTCAGAGACAGGGCCAGCTTCACAGTCATGAAACCTGCACTCAGAATGGCCCCATGCTTGGTTTAAGACTCTGCTGTTGCCATCTTGAAGTGCTTAATAATTTCTAAACAAGGGGCTCTGCAAATTATGTAGCCAGTCCTGATCAGAGCATAACAGTAAAGACAGAAATGTTAGTGCGTAAATCAAAACGTACAAACTCATGGCCTCTGGAGCCAATCAAATATTTTTGACCCACAGAGTGTTTTTTAAATATAAATAAACTCTTAATATAAACATTTTCTTTAGAATAGTTGGTTTATTAAAAAGTTGTAAAGATAGTACAGAGTTCCCATATATCCCTCACCCAGTTTCCAGTATCGCTAACATCTCACAAAACATTTGTCACAGCTGAGGAACTAACACATGAACACTACTGTTATTAAACTCTACACAGTATTCAGTTTTTCCCTAATGCCCTTTTTCTGTTCCTGGATTCCATCCAGGATACCACATTACATTTAGTCAGCACATCTCCTTAGGCTCTTCAGACTTTCCTTGTTTTGATGAACTTGACAGTTTTGAGGACTACCAGTCAGATGTTTTGTAGAACATTCTTCAGTGTTGGTTTGTCTGATTTTTTTTATGGTTAGATAGGGCTTATGGGTTATGGGGAGGGAGACCACAGAAGTGAAGCGACTTATCGTATCAAAGCCATATTCTATGAACACGATTGATCACTGTTGATGTTAACCTTGATCACTTGGTCAAGGTCATGTTTGCCAGGTTTCTTGACTATAAAGCCACCTATACTGTACTCTTTGGAAGCAACTCACCAAGCATAGCCCACGCTCAAGAGCTTCATTCATCTCCTTGAACAGGGAGTATTTACATATTTGGAATCTCACTACACAGGAGATTTTTCTTTTCCCTATTTACTATCCAACCATTTATTTATATCAGTGTGAACTCACAGATATTTATTTTCTACTTTAGGTTATAATGCAAAACTACTCCATCTATTTTTTTGCTCAGATTGTTCCAGTTTGGGCCATTCCGGAGCTCTTTCAGGTTGGCTCCTACGCCCCTGTCATTGTGTTTTTATTAGCACTTCCTTTCTTTCTGACACTAAGGTGTCCCAGGCCATCTTTTATATTTCCTGCCTCAGTCCTAGAATCAGCCATTTTCTCCAAGGGGCCCTGATTCCTTTATTTAAAAAATGATGTTGGAAACCAAGATCCATGTGTTTCATGTGCTCAGTGCTACGAGAGTGTTTTTCTTTCCTTCTTTTTTAATTTTTAAATTTGAATTTTTAAAATTAAGCTGTCAGCTTATAGAGTCAACTTCCAGGCTGAGTGAGCTATATAAGACTAAATAATGTTAATAAATAAAACGTTTGAAAATTTTTTAGTGTCCTTGAATTAACTAAAATTTAACCACGGGGAGGTTTCATGTAAGAATCTAGATTTCTGGATTATCTTGAAAAAAAACAGAAGGTCTGGCAGTCCTAGATCTATATTCCTGCTGGCCAACAATCAGCTAAGGCTGAGAGGCTTTTTTCCTTTCCTGCATAATACACTCTCCAGGCTGGCACAGTCCACGCCACTCCCGATCATATTACACCCAGCCTACTTTACTCATTCATGTTCCTTTGTAATCCCTGAAGGCATGTGAATATGTGATATCTTGTTTAAGACATATTCAAGTAAATAATTTACTTGAATTAGTTCATGAATTTAGCTTGACTTTGACCCAGAGATAAGATTTTAGAGCCACATTTCTGGTTTCTTCCCTATCCCTTCAACTTACCTTCGCGGGATCTTACATGCAAATGCAATGACTCACCATTTCTTGCTCAGTGCTGCCTTAACCCCTCTATGTCAGGTGGAAAAAGTCCTCAGCATCCACTCACCGTCTTTCCCTCAGATTCTGTTTGTCTGGAGAAGATCCCCCAACAGTTTTATTCCTATCTCAGGTTCATTTCAGAAGGGTCACTGTTCCCTTTGGCTCTGCAAAGCCCCGCTCAAGTTGGGTTCCAATTGTTCTTTCTGGGTTCCCCCAACTGTACAAAGAGGATCAATGACATTGCTATCTTCTCCCTTGCCCCCACCTCCTCCCATTATGTGTCTCAGCATGATTTGCCAACCAAATCTGGCTTATTGCAAACTTTAATAACTCTGGAAAACTACCTGTTTGACTTTATTTAGATGAAAATAACCACATCAATGCAAATGTACAATACAATTCGAAGAGGGAGATACTTCTTCCTCGGTATCAGTAAAAATCTGATAGATGCGTTTCTCTCCGAGATCTGCAAGGTGTGAAGAGATAACTGTGTATTAATGTTCACGGTAGCGTTACTCCTTAGACGTGACTTGGTTAAACGTGGGCCTATAGCAATTCCATGGAGATCTTTCTACCAAGCAGTGGTTTTCAGATTGTGACTCAAGGGCCAGTGCTTGGAGTTGGGAAAAGTAAGGGGAACCCAAGCAGGGGAAGCTCTTCACCACTCCCGCACAACTCAGGTTTCTATGGTTATTTGTTTATTCACTGGCCTAGTCCATTCAAGCTGCTACAACAAAAATACCACAAACAGAGTGGCTTATAAACAACAAATGTTTATTTCTCACAGTTCAGGAGGCTGGGAAGTCCAAGATCAAGGCACTGACAGATTCAGTGTCTGGTGGGTTCAGTGTCTGGTGAGGCCTTGCTTCCTGTTTCACAGATGGCAGTTTTTGCTATAACTTCACATGGAGAAAGAAAAAGGACCCTCTTTTTTTCTTTTTTTTTTTTCTGAGATGGAGTTTCACTCTTGTTGCCCAGTCTGGAGTGCAATGGTACAATATTGGCTCACCGCAACCTCTGCCTTCCAAGTTCAAGTGATTCTCCTGCCTCAGCCTCCCTAGTAGCTGGGATTACAAGCATGCACCACCATGCCCGGCTAATTTTGTATTTTTAGTACAGACGGGGTTTCTCCATGTTGGTCAGGCCGGTCTTGAATTCCCGACCTCAGGTGATCTGCCCACCTTAGCCTCCCAAAGTGCTGGGATTACAGGCCTGAGCGACCGCGCCCAGCCAGGACCCTCCTTTTTAAAGGCACTAATCCCATTCATGGGGTGTCTGCCTTCATGACCTAATCACCTCCCAAAGGCCCCACCTCCTAGTACCATCAGCCTGGGAATTAGGATTTCAACACGTGCATTTGAGGGGGGCATAAGCATTCAATCCGTTGCATTCAATAATTACATATGGAGAACCACCGTGTTCTGCTATGCATTCGATGCCAGGGCTATGACTATGAACAAGAAAGATCCCTGACATTACACAATTTTCAGTCTCCTGGGAGACAAAAAAAAAAAAAAAAAAAGGACAATTAAAAGTTGATGTGGTAGTATTGTCATGGAAGAAGCAGCGGGTGTTATGATATGCCTACCTAGACTGAGGGTGAGGTGGCCAGGGAGGACGTTCTAGAGGAAGTGACAAATTAGTTAAGGTTTGAATAACAAATGGGAGTTAGTCAGGCGAAATGGAGAAGCTGAGGAAGAGGTTTCCAGCTACCAACCCTCCAGTATGTAGCAACGCCCAGAAGCAAGTGAGAAAGAGGATCGTAGCTTCAGATGGCTGGAGTATTACATGCAAGTTGGGAGAATCCAGAAATGATGGTGGACCACTGCATGTGTGAAATCATAAAGGGTCTTGCCTGCATGTTAAATAGCTTTGATTTCACCTTGGAAGCAGTAGGAGGCTGCTTTAGAGTTTTATGCAGAAAAACAGGCTTCCTGGTTAGATTTGCGTATTGGGAAGGTCCTTCACCTGCCAAGTGGAGATTGAAGAAATGCAGGAGTAAAGAAAGGAAGCTTAGTTACAAGGGACCTGCATAAACTAGGCAGGAGGTGAGCTAGGAAGGAGGCAGTGGGGCTGAAGAGAAATTTAGAGATCAGCAACTGTTCAAGACAAGACTTGGTGTTAATTGTCCCCACATAATGGAAGAAAGATTCTACTGGGGAATAAAGAATAGTTTTATTTGTGAGGATACTCACAATATTACATCCATGACAAAGAACCTGGCTTTCAAATTCTGGTTGGGGCTCATGAAAAAAACCAGAAGGTGTGGTAGTCCTAGACCTATATTCCTGATCAAACTCCTGGTACCTCAGCCTGACTTTCCAGAACCAATGAAGTTCATTAACATCCTGTTCTCAGCTCTGGCTCATTTGTCCCATTTGATTTTCAGCAAACTGGTCAGGTTTACACGGTCTAGGGTTTGTTTCTAATGGCTTTTATTGTCAATCCACAGTGAATATCTTTCACGGGTTATCTTGGGTCTTTCTTAATCTACTGCTCCTTTCACATCCATGCTGTGAAAGCAGGGGACAAAGGCAGCCATCTGGGAGCTGGGGATGCTGATGAGCAACTCAGAAGTGGCGCTCAGGGGTAGGAGGAGGTGTGACGAGCAGGCACGCTGGACTCATGGTTGCTCCTTGGGGTGGCTGAAACAGCACTTCCTATGCCCAGCACATGGCATGTCTGAAAGAATTAAGACTCTCTTGAGAACATATAATCACATACCACTGTTTGTCTTTCTTTTGGCCCAACCACCATGATAACAGACTGGAGGACAGCACAAAGGGGCTGGGGAGGGGCAGAGGGAGGGAGTTGGAAAACAGAGTAGTAGCCAGTTTATTTCTAAGCATTTGCAGCTGTCAGCTTGTTTGGGGACTTTGTTTTCTCTTTTTTTAGGCAGAGGAACAAAGTCCTGCTACACAGGATTGTTTTCCTTGGCATGACGAACAGACACTTTCTTGAGGAACGTACTGAGATAACACAAAACATCTGCTAAGAGGAATCAATCCTCGCAGCTGAATTTTCATCAGCATCAGCAAGAACACGAAGCTTCTCTCTCTCTCCCTCTCTGTATGTGTGTGTGTGTGTGTGTGTGTGTGTGTGTGTATGTATGTGTGTGTATATATATGTATATGTATGTATATATATAGACAGAGAGCAGGAGGCAGGAGAATGGATGGATGAAGGGGCAAGAGAATAAGCTAAGAGGAGGAGGATATATATTATTAAGAAACATCTGTGTTGTTCATGTGTTTTGTTTTGTTTTGTTTTGTTTTTGCCTTGTGATCCGATTGCATCTTGTTTTGCAAGTATTTTGGAAATGGTGTGTTCTCAGCCACGCTGCCAGAGGAGGTATGTTTTCTTTTTCCACGTGTGTGGGATGTTGTTTTTATTCATGAACTATTGAGAATGAGTGGTTTTTATGACTTGTAGAGGGATTTTCACATCCCTCTTATTACTGGACTCTGAAGACAGAAGGGACAGCACAAATGCCCTCAGACATGAATAACAGTTTCAAGGAGAAACATGGGCACTTCTGGTTGTTGTTGACATGCCATCAGGGGTCCCAAAGGATTGGCCAGGAAATCAGGTTTCATCATATGTCCTTTGGAAGCTCCTTGGACAGTTCACATGCTCTTCCAATATATGACATGTCTTCCAAGTATACTTTCCAAGAAGAGTTTATCCTTTGGAGAAGAGGCAGCTTCACCTGTCCTGTTTCATTTGCCCTCCTGCCACCCCTGTCTTGGCATTGATTCAGAAGAGCCGTCTTCCTAGCGTTGGTAACATCGGCTGCCATTTGCCAGATGCCTTCTGTGTGCCTGCTGGTGCTGTGCTTCTCATTTAGTCCTTGTGGTCTCATGAAGAGCTAGGTATTATTATCACCATTCCTCAGACAAGAAAACAGAGGCTTTTGGCAGTTAGCAAAGTTGCTTAAGGGCAAGCAGCACAGAAGTCCCACAGCTGGAATCATAAATGGGATTGAGGCCAGAGCCAGGCGTTTCACCAGTGTCCTAAACCCCCAGTGACACATACATTTGGGAAAGTAAAAGCCAAACTACCCTTTTCCACCTTGTCTTCTAACAAGTTTCGTTTCCCCAGCTGTGTCAATCGTATTTGCATGAGATGAAAGGAGCTGTAGAAACCCTACAAAGCTTCCTGGCAGAATAGAAGGAGCATAGGCTCTGAGACAGACTTGAATTCAGATCCCTCTTCATCACAAACTAGCTCTATAAAGCCCAAGTCTGTCCCTTCACCTCTTTGAGCTTTGATTTCAGGGTATGCAGGCGGCACAGGAGCTCAGCTCTCATTCCAACGGTCAGCAAGTATTTATTCCATACCCACCCTGCTCCAGGTGCCAGGCCACTAAGGAGACGTCACTAAGGAGACACTTGTGAGGAGGCTGGACACCGTCCCTGCTCTCACAGAGTGGCCAGTCTGGAGCAGGTAACAGACCTGAAGCAGAGACTCCCACAGATACATGTGGAATTACCATGTGTGATCTATGCAGGAAAATTTCAGGAGCAGAATAACAGATGCCAGGGAAGCTGGGTCTGCGGATGATGGGAGACACTGAGCCAAGCTCTAAAGAAAGAAGAGGCAGTAACCAGGTGCTCAATAAAGGGGCCTATCTGCCAGTTGTTTGCAGAACTTGAGGTGTTTGGGGGCAGTTCTCCAGTATCCCCAGAGACAACCTTTTGGTTCTTACTCTTCAGACCACAAAAGCCCAGGTTCAGCCCAGCACCGATCACAGATCAGAGTCTCATTCCCAGGTGTTGGCCTTTCTCTTCCAAAGAAAAGGGAAAATGATGAAAACAGGAATGATTAACAGCCAGCTCAGAACACACATCCCCACCCCCCAGTCTCCTGGACCTTCGTCAACCGAAGCATTTCTGCATATTCTAAAGGAGTTTTTCCTTTTTTGGCCTCCATAACAAGATAAAATAAGTAACACAAGCCATTTAGGCAACTTATTTTCTTTCAGAGGTGCCTGAAAAGGAAGGATTGAATGAGATGTTTGAGGGCTTAGTGGAAGGGAGGGGCAGGAGGGAAAGAGGAAGAAAGAAAAATGGGTTGAAGTGCAGAAATTACTGGAATTTTTATTAAATTTTCTTGGGGAGAAAGGAGATTTCCTAAGGCAGAGATGAAAGGCAAATCTGCATGGGGCCTCAGAGAAATTATTACGTTTCATACTCGATTTAGCTCTCACACTGAATGTGGCTTGGAGATCAGAAAGTTGTGGTTAGACACATTCATAAACTCAGCAGGGCTCTGTCAGATGCGGGTTCCTGACTGAGTACCAAGGCTTCATGAGCAACAGAGACAGGGCTACAAGGCTGTCTCATCAGGCCTTCAAGAGAGACTCCAGGCCTGCACTCTCCTTACTCTCCACCCTCACCCCAGCACCCTGGCCTGCCTCCTCCTTAGCCTAATTGCTCAGAAAACTCTAGTCTTGCTTTGAGTCTAACTGGTGAGCAGACTCCTGCTAGAAACTTGTATCAGTGATTGGTTTGGATTCTGGCCTCTGCTTAGGCATGTTGCCTCGGCGCACTCCAAAACTTGAGCTCAGCTGGCCCTGTTTCAGGCTCATTAACTCCATTTCAGTACTGGTCCGTTTGCAGAAACTAAGCTACATCACATGACCCAAGGCCATCCAGGTCCAGGGTTATCCTTGGACACCTGGATATCCATCCCCTCTCTGTGGAGCACTAGTCTGAACACTTTCTCAATGTGGGCCAACTTCTTGGAGTCTGAAATTTTCCAGCTTTTAAGCTAAGAGCCACTGGTGGTAGCTCAGGGTAGGATAGAGAGAAGGGCATGTTCTGAGTCTCAATTATTGATTGCAAATCACTTAGAGATCTTGTAATCAAAGATTGTTTTCTATATCATCAATACAGGCACATATCTAACAGTCTGGTATTATTGCTGATGGTTTGTCTGGATTATTATAAGACTAGTCAAAATCTAACTCCAAACCCTTAAGATATACAATCTATTTCAGTTAGGACTGCTGGTTAATGTTGTCTGGCATTAACTTTCTGAGTACAGTGACTGAAAATTAACTCTCACTACCTGAAAAAAAAAAAAAAAAAAAGAGAAGAAGGAAGATTTCAATGATAAAAAGAAAGTTTCAGAGTTTTTCCTTTCCACACCCTAGGCTGGATCACAGTGTTCCTCATTGCAAAGTTTTCTCTTCTCCCCAAAAGCAACATGCAGCCTTCCATGCCAGGACTATATATATCAGGAGTCTGGCAAAAAGCTATCCTTTCTGCTGTGGGTTTTCTTTTTTTTTTTTTGCCTCCCCCAAACAGGAGATGATGGATTCACATCTTGACTAAATAAGACCACTGCTCTTTTCTGATTCAATTTTGATCGATGAAGTATTCCCTGCCTTGCCTGTGCCAGGTGCTTTCAAAGGTGGAATCAAAGTATAACACAGTCCCTTTGTTCAGAGAACTTACAGCAATATAAGACATAAGTTTGAGAAACTAGTAGAAAATAATGCAAGGTAGATTATACTCCAGGGCTTATTTAGTACCTGCCACTGTAAGTTTTTTGCAAGTCCAGAATTGATGTATTAATGCCAAGACTGCTATCATGAAAATAAATAGCCAGGAATTTAATCCCAAAGTTTGTCACAAAGACCATTTGGTCAATGGGATACTAAAACTAACAATTCACAATAGAATACTGCAAGGCAGTAAGCTAAACCTTTTAGATGTTTATGTAATTAATCTGCACAACACCCTAAGCTACAAATAACATTAATATATCCCCATTTTTCTTTAAGGGATATATTCTTTAAGGGGAAAGTGAGGCTTGGAGACACTACATCATCTGCATATGGCTACATTGTGAATAAGTGGTAAAGGTAGAAATAAAGCCTAGGAGTTCTGGTTACAGACTCTGTGTTTTAAATCAATAGCTATTATAAGCAAAGGGGAATCCAGATTTAAATAGGATTTTTTGCTACAGATATTCTCAGATCCTTTACTATGCTTGGGTACGTTGTAAACCTCTATGAAAACAGCATTTTTGCCAATATATTTGGTCTCAGAATCCTCTCTTTTTAGCCAAGGATCTCTCAAGAATAGTGATTTTTAAAACACATAATGGGGAATACTGAAGTGGAGGGTCTATCGTGTCTTATGTACTCATGAGGCAGAAGGAGGGCATTGGTTATGGTCCTGATGTTGGGTCACTTGTGCCATGTAGAACACGGGTTGCCCTTTGCTCAGACCCAGCCATGCACAGCTCCCCAGGTCCAGGATGCCATTGTAGCTAGCCAAGTGTCCGTTCGAGGTGATCCAGTTGCCTTTCTTCTTCCAATTGCTGAGCTGGATTCTTTTAAAACAAACATTTTTTGAGCTCCTTCCACAAGCAAGCTAAGTGCAGGTCATAAAATGGTGTTTTTGGCTGGACAAGATAGCTCACACGTGTAATCCCAGCATGTTGAGAGGCTGAGGTGGGAGGATCGCTTGAGCCCAGGAGCTTGAGACCAGGCTGGGCAACATAGTGGGACCTTGTCTCCACAAAAACATTTACAAAAGTTAGCCAGGCATGGTGGCGCATGCCTGTATTCTCAGCTACTTGGAAGGCTGAGGCAGGAGGATTGCTTGGGCCCAGGAGGCTGAGGCTGCAGTGAGCTGTGATTGTGACACTGCACTCCAGCCTGGGTGACAGAGTAAAACCCTGTCCTTAAACAATGAATAAATTAAAATAAAATGGTATTCTTGTCCCTCACCTTCCCTGACACCATAGAACCTATAGGATGCTGAAGAAAGAGCCTGAGTTTTGAAGCCAAATCTCTATCTCCTTTTACCCTTGTGGCCTGGGGCAAATGATTTAACTGAGCTAAGCCTCAGTTTCCATTTAAAAAAAAAAAAAACTGAGCCGGGCGTGGTGGATCACGCCTATAATCCCAGCACTTTGGGAGGCTGAGGTGGGCAGATCACGAGGTCAGGAGATCGAGACCATCCTGGCTAACACAGTGAAACCCCGTCTCTACTAAAAATACAAAAAATTAGCCGGGCGTGGCGGCGGGCGCCTGTAGTCCCAGCTACTTGGGAGGCTGAGGCAGGAGAATGGCATGAACCTGGGAGGCGGAGCTTGCAGTGAGCCACGATCCTGCCACTGTACTGGGCGAAAGTGCGAGACTCCATCTCAAAAAAACACAAAAACAAACAAACAAAAAAACGAAAAACCTGAAATAATAATTCCACTACTCAGGGTGTCACTGGAATTAAATGACATTGCACATACACAGATCAGCCCTCATTTGGAATTCCCTTTTCTTTTAGTTATGTAATGGAGATTGGATACTTCTTTGCAGCACCATGAAGAAAGAAAACCACCTCAAATCAATCAGTTTTCATGAACTGGCTCTCTGGAGCCTGCCAGGAAAGGGAGTGGGTCAGCAAGCTGTATCTTGTTCTATCTTGCTGCCATGAGGTTAGTTACATAGAATGAGAAAGTTCCAGAGTCTGCAGAAGGGGTGGACATCCGAGGTCTCGCCATCTGAAGGGATAACCTCTTCCAAGTCCCACCTTCTGAGGTTTATTTAAAACACACACACAAATCTGGACGTCTGTAAGGCAGAAGGGAAAAGGGTGAAAATAGTATGCAAACTGTAGAATTGGCCTCTGAACCATCAATAAATATAAGAATTTTTCAAATGCATGTAGCTTTCCTGTTCTTTTCCCACTCTCTGTGAGCTGGATTTTGTCTTTGACTCAGCAGAGAACCCAGTGGGGTTTCCTAGGCTCCTGAGGGCTCCCAACCTCTTTGCAGTGTCTGGAGTTGGCCTGGGGTGACTGCAGTGCATGCTGAACATGTCTCAACTTGAACCGTTTGCAGCTTTTGCTTTTGAAGAATGAATTACATGGGAGGGAGGGAATGGTGGAAGAGTGGGGCCTGACTTAGCAGCCAGAGCCAAGAGATTCTGAGCCTGGAGTCCTACCTACCCGAGGAGTTCAGGTGGGAAATAATGAAAGTTGAACTTACTCCCAAAGTTCCATTGAGTGCCAAGCACAGTACAGATACTAATAAAAACACTACAAAGTAAATTTGTGTATTAGTTTTATAATAAAGTTGAGTGATGAAGACTCGACTGGATTTTAAACTAAAGACCTAGTTTAAAATCCTAGCCCTACTGCTTACTAGCTACATAGGCTACATAAGCTGTAGCTAGTAAGAAGTCAGGTTAGTATTTTAAACTAGGTCTTCCAGATTGCAAAACCAACTACTCTAAAGCCATAGCCCAAAATGGATAGGCAAGAGGCAAACCCCCTTCAAGGCCAGAGACAAGTCAGAGACCAGGTATGGAATGGAAGGCACAGCTGAGATTTCTGAGCTGAGCAGTGGCAGAGATGGGGGGAACAGAGCCGCTTGGAGACAGTCTAAAAGGGGCCAGCAATTGCCATGAGCATCCGCAGTGTGTCCAAAACTTTGCCTTATCTGTAGCCAGTGTGGAGGGTAGGGGGGCTGGCTATAAGGGCCACACAGATAAACTGGCACAGCTGAAAGTCCCTGTGTCCCCCAGCATCTGGTGAGCTTCCATGAGACTGGAACCAGGGGAGGAGAAGTGGGAGCACACTTGAGGGAGTTTGAGCTGCCCAGAAAGGAAGGGCTTCAGAGCTAAAAGTGTGTGCAGAGCCCGTGAGCAGTGCTCGTGGACTTTGGAGTCAGACTAACTGGCTAAATCTCTCCTCTACTATTTCCCCGCTGGGTGACCTTGGGCAGCTACTTAATTGTCCCAAATCTATTTCTTTATCTGTGAGATGGAAGTAATTTAAGGCCTGTTCTGAGGGCTCAGTTAGCTAATCTATAGATAGGGCTTGGCACAGTTCCTAGAACATAGTAAGAGCTCAGTAAATACTACTTTTTACTGTTAATCCCAGGTCTGTGGTCTTAAGGCCTGGGCAGAGAAAGCTAACATACTCTCGTTGAAGGCAGCAGAGTATGTTAGCTGACCTCTTCTTGCCTCTGGTTGTGGCTTCTGATGCTGTGGACATTTTTCTGTCCTTCTCCTTCTTCTGTCCCCATCCCCTTTCTTTTGCTTATTTATGTCTCTGTGCCACTGAAGAGTAACTTTTAGATGCCTCACTGTGCTTGACAATCGAGTGGTTCCTCTAACCTGGGAAGAGAGAGCGTTGTACTCTGTAATACTCATTTTTTGGATTTTAGAGTCAGGCGGACTTGGTTCAAATCCCAGCCCTACCACTTTTTAGCAACAGAATTCATGCTGAAGAGCTTCAGTGCTATTTATCTATGAAACATTAATAGGAATAATAAAACCTATTCCACAGATACATTGTGAAGACAACATATGTCGACCTCCTGGCATTGTCACCAGGTGGGTTACAGGACTCCCCATGTGAAGGAAACATACCTATCTTAGAGGGAATTTCATCACTTCTGGGACTCAGGCTTCAAAGACTCCAGACCCGCCCCCAGTGTGGCAACAGCAGTTCTGCAGGCCCCTCTCCACTGAGAAAGCAGCCCATAAACTCTGCATGTGGCTGCCCTCCACCTTCTCCTTGGCTCTACCGCACCCTCAACCCCAAATCCCAGCATCTGTTGCCCAGGCAGTCAGCTCCCAAGCAGTGCCAGAACTTCTCCCTGGGTTCATTTGATATGTTGCCACTTTGTTTCAAAGAAAAGCCATTATCAGTGTTGGGACCCAAGGGAAGCAGATCTTGTCACTGCCGCCTGCCAGACATGTTCCTTCTCATCCTGCCCTGGGGTCCCAGGTGATCCCATTACAGTGTCTCACCAGACAGCTGCTGCTAGGTTTCTGTGGAGGGAAGGACAGCAAAACTCCAGGCTTCCTGGGGACTTGGGGCATGTGCCGTGCATAGTTCTACAATTTTGCTGAAAGGCTAGTGGTCATTTCTACCTTTCTTTGACAAGGGTAATTCTTTTGTTGTTGTTGGTTTTGTTTGTTTGTTTGTTTGAGACGGAGTCTCACTCTGTCGCCAAGGCTGGAGTGCAGTGGCGCAATCTTGGCTCACTGCAACCTCCACCTCCCAGGTTCAAGCAATTCCCCTGGCTCAGCCTCCTGAGTAGCTGGGATTACAGGCGCACGCCACATGCCCGGCTAATTTTTTTGTATTTTTAGTAGAGATAGTGTTTCACCATGTTGGCCAGACTGGTCTCAAACTCCTGACCTCAGGCAATCTGCCTGCCTCAGCCTCCCAAAGTGCTGGAATTACAGGTGTGAGCCACCGCATCTGGCCGGGTAATTCTTTTCCTTATAACAACAGACCTTACCTTGTAGAGAAAAGGGAGGACATTATCAATTTAATAAGCTTTCACTATGTTCTAGGCGCTGTAGGAGGATCTTACATTAATACCTTCCCAGCCATTTAAGGAAGACCTTATTATGACCGCTCTTTTACAGATGAGAAACCAAAAGTCAAACAACTTGCCCACAGTCATACAGCTGGAAGGGGAGCAGAGTAAGAATTCAAACAATGTCTGTTTAGCTTAGGAACCCATTACAACATGTCACCACTTAAGGACAGTGCAAATAACAAAACAGCTTAAGCAGTGTTTGAGATGGAGAAAGGACGTGGGCTTGCGATCCTGCAATTTGTTGCTTTACTGAGCTGGGAGTAGTGGTCATCAGACGGGAAATCTGAGTGACTTCGATGACCACTCACCCTTTCTGTGTTATGAAAAACAAGACCTCCTCCCAACTCTTACCTTCCTCAAAGAGACGAAGGGGGAATCTGTGATGCAAAGTATCTGTGAAAGTTATTGAATTTGCCCACCTCAGAAACAGTATACCTCAGGAAAAGCTTTGCAGACTGGTAGCTTGCAGGCCCAGTGTAACTTATAGAGATGTTTTATTTTGACTCATGGTACTTTTTAAAACTTCAAGTTAATTGCTAATGTTTAAAAAATGCAGCAGGTCCAAGTATAACTCTAAATTTCTGAATTATCTTGAAAAATTAGAAGCTCTAACAACACTGGGCCTCCATCCCTATATGGCCACTGTTGGCTGTAGTCGCAGCAACTGCTCCCTTTGATGGGGAGGTGGAAGGTGCTTTCTAGTTTGCTACCAACCCCCCCCCCCCACACACACACACTCCCTATGACTCCTGTGACGGGTGCCAGTCTCCCTGTAGCATTGCCCTCAGACAGTTTTCATATTAGAGGAAAGAGGAAAAGGATCTATCCCATCATGGTTTCATTCTTTCTTCTTTTTTTCTTCTCTAGGTGTTCCCTTCCCAAAGAACTTCCTTCAGATCTGCAAGAAGATCCTGTGCCGCCTTTTCCGGGTCTTTGTCCACGTCTATATCCACCACTTCGACCGGGTCATTGTGATGGGTGCAGAGGCCCATGTCAACACCTGCTACAAACACTTCTATTACTTTGTCACAGAGATGAACCTCATAGACCGCAAGGAGCTAGAGCCTTTGGTAAGTGACACCATGAAATAATGGTATCCAAGTCACCCCAGGAGCTCGGCCATTTGTCAGAGCGCATTGTCAATCCCTGGAAAATGCTCATTGATGGCTAGCTGTTAGCCTGAGGGCTGCAGAATTGAATGGGGTTTAGTGGTCAACTAACAGCCAGGAGATGCCAAGATGTCCACTGTCACCAAATAAGTGTCCGAGATTACCCTCCAAGAGGTGGCAGAATGTTGTGGGAATATAATAGTTTGGATCAGAGGGAGTAGCTTTAACTTTCAATTCCAAAGTCATTCTTCCACTTATTGAATTCCTTAAATGGGCATCTTTGATATTTTATATTATCTCTCACTCTGTTAATCAAAGATTATCAGAAACATTTCTTCAGTCAGTAAATAAATATTTAGCACCTACTGTGTGCCAGCTGCTAGGGATACAGTCAGGTAAAACTGCCTTTGGGCAGCTTTTACTCCAGAGGTAGTGACAGAAGTTAAGCCCTAAATAAGGATACAGTCTCATAGGGACTTTGCTTTTCACATTGAGTTTTCCATGATGCAGCTTCAATGGGATATATTAGAATAGAGAACATTTGATATGATTAAATCCTTAGTGTTATTGTTTAGGTGAATGGGGACTACTTTTATTTTCTTCAAAAGCTCTCTTTCCAGTGGCACTCAATCTGTGCTTCAGAAGTCAAGGACCCCTAAAAACCTCATCACCTTTTGTAACATGCAACATCTCAATGTGGACACTTTGATCAAAGCTTTTTATAGTGGCTCTGTTGAGTACTATATTATACCCCATATAATACAAGGTGACTGTTTTGCTAAATATAACTGACAGAGCAACTACATTTCATCCAAGTTCATTTGAATGACCAGAGTACTAGGGCCAGGCTGTCCTCTTTTGCCACCCTTTATCCCTTTCTCTTTATGTACCTATTTTAAAACACAGGTTTTATTATTTTTATTTTTTCTTTGAGACAGGGTCTCACTCTGTCTCCCAGTCTGGAGTGCAATGGCAAGATCATAGCTAACCATAGCTCACCTTCAACTCCTAGGTTCAAGCACTCCTCCCACCTCAGCCTCCCAAGTAGCTGGGACTATAGCCTGGCATGGCTATTTTTTTTTTTTTTTTTTTTTTTTTTTTTTTTTGTAGCGATGGGATCTCATTATGTTGACTAGGCTTGTCTCAAACTGCTGGCTTCAAGCAATTCTCCACCCTTGTTCTCCCAAAGTGCTGGGATTACAGGTGTGAGCCACCATGCCTGGCCAGGTTTTATTATTATTTAGGTATGGTAAAGCTAACAGATCAGATGATTGTCATTGAAAAGAGAATTTGTTATACTCATCCCAAGAGAAAGAGCCATGCCACGCCACAAGAGAGCACATGGGAAAGCCCCAGGTTAGTCCGGAGACTGAGGGAGCAGAGAAAGCTTGAGCAAGAACCTTCACCATGGTTTTCATGGGAAGGAAAGGGCCAGACAGGGTAAGCAGGTTTAGGGTTGGCTAATTTGAATAATCTCTGGAGCCTAGGGGTTATTCCTAGTTATCTGATACCTTGGCCTGGGGTGGTTAGTGTGAGACCCTGATGGAGGAGGTATTTGGGGTGCAGGCTCTGCAGGATTGGTTTGTATTGGTTGTTGTGTAAACAGCTTGAGCGCAAATTGTTTACCATCACTAGGAATTGGCTAGCTCTGGGAGGGGCAGTCCCTCCAGGATCAACAAGGCCCCTTTGATGTTAGAGAATCGAAACACAAAAAATAAAAGATATGTTTAATACAGTACAGTACCTGTACCTGGCAAAGAAGATGGTGAATTTCACATATCACCTTTAGTGTTTTTCACCTTGAAATTTATTATTCTGCTGTGAGAATATATGGCAAAAAAAAAAACACATATATATATATATATATATATATTTGCATTACTCAGTAGTCCTGGAACAAAGCAAGACTTTTTGGGTTACACTTGAGATGGCTCACATCTTTACTTTAAAAAGAGCCTATTTTCTTCATTTTCTTTCACAAGAGATTTCTAGAAGGCTCTCAGGGGCAGGAACCGAGTTGTCTCTGAATGCAGTTGGACAAATAGTATGGAAAGAATTCATCGATGGCTGAGTTTTATAAAGGCTGTTTTGGGTAAACAGCCACTATGGGAAGATAAGGTTGTGCAAACAGCTCAAGGGAGTTAAGACTAGAAACAATTGATAAAGTTAATTTCAGAAAATGTCAAGGACAGAGAGGAAAGATGGACAAGGGCCACGTAAATGAAGACCCAGAAGAAACCACTGCAATCTCCTGGATGGTTTCAGTTCAGTTCTCTTCTATAGTCATGTTCAGGTCAATGGAAAATAACTTCTCCAAAGGCCCACAAGAAGGAAGAGGCTGTGGAAGCACTCACACTTTTGGTTTCACAGAGCTAAGGGATCAGAAACACCACGACAGAGCTGAAAGTCAATTTCTCCTTTATGCCTGAAAGCATAAAGACAACATTGTAGGAAAAAGCTGAGTGTAAGTTATCAAGTAGAGAAAGGCTTTCTTTGCTATCAGAAAACTCAGTTATTTTCTATAATTGAAGAAAGGGCTCCAAGGCAGTGCCAGGAACTAACTTGAAGTCTCAGAGTCACAGAATGGCCTCAAACATGTCAATATCCTAGACAAGGGCCTCTTTGGGGGCCTGGGAGAAAATTAGGTTAACCAGACATTTTTAACAGTTTAATTGAGCAAGAAAGGTACCAGGTTTTTTTCCCCAGAAGTTTATATTTCTTTAAATCTTGCTTGCAATAGTATACTTCCTACATTTATGTGTTAATTATAATTATAGGGAAATTCATTTTAATGCTTGTAAATATTCATACTTTTTAAATGCTTAATTGTCTGAACATATATATTTGTTTTACACTAACCAAACCCTATAAAGGAACAGAAATAGATATTAAGAATGTTTCTGAGGCGAATCATATAATATCAGGCTCTGGATACTTAGCACATGCAGTGTCCATTAAGAGTAGATTGTTTATGGCTTGTGGATTGCTATTGCCGAAATGACCATTTCAACAGTTGACAGTGCTAGGATGCCTAACTGCTAATACTGTTGCAATGCACCTATTCAAATCAGGCATAACATGTCAAGTCAACACATTTTTATTTGATTTGCATATATTGATACTCTATATATACAACTCAAGTTGCTCAGATATTCTATGTGCATAAAAAATCTATGCTCTCGAGGCAGGCAGATCACGAGGTCAGGAGATCGAGACCATCCTGGCTAACACGGTGAAACCCCGTCTCTACGAAAAATACAAAAAAAAATTAGCCAGGCACGGTGGCGGGTGCCTGTAGTCCCAGCCACTCGGGAGGCTGAGGCAGGAGAATGGCGTGAACCCGGGAGGCAGAGCTTGCAGTGAGCCGAGATCACGCCACTGCAGTCCGGCCTGGGCAAAAGAGCGAGACTCCGTCTCAAAAAAAAAAAAAAAGAAGAAAAAGAAAAAAACTATGCTCTCAAGAAATTTACAATACAGTCTGAAAAATATAAAATAATAAATGTCACCCATTTTTGACCCTCAAAGGATGATGAAGGAGTCAGGCATTTGGCTTCACATTCTAGTTGTACATTTTTTAGAATTGAATGCAGCTGGGGCCAGAAGGGCAGCATTTGTCCAGCCAGTTTCCCTTAGAACATTGGCATTCCCAGAGTTCCCACGCCACCGGTGGGACATTCTTGGTGTCATGCCTTGGGATTCCACAGTATGGAACTCTGAGACCCCCCCACCACCTCATCTTTCCCTCTGCCTTGCCTCCACCATGCACAGCCACACATCTCTTTGTTGCTTTTGTCTCACGTGGACTGAGTATCTACCACACAGGTTGTGCTGAGGATCCATGCAGCACCCTACTGGGGTAGGAGAGTCAGTATCATACAGTGCCTAAGAAAAGTCTTAGACTCTGTGGGTTCCAACCCTGGACCCTGCATTTACTAACGTGCAAACTTGAGCAAGATATATGGCTTTTCAAAGCTTCATTTTCCTCATCCATAGCATGGGTATAATAATAAGAGTTATAAAAATTAAATGGGTTAGTCACGTGGAAGTGCTTAAGAAATGTTAGCTAAGTGAGACAATGACTGTAACAGTAGCTGGGCTGTAGTTAGTGGATGTTCCTGAATTCTGTCTTCCCTAGCTCCCATGACCTCTTTTCTGTCTTAACGATTGATTCCCTAGGTAGACTCCTAGCAAATGTAGTTAATTGTATTTGTATCAGTCACTCCCATGGGATTGTCAACTCTTTGAGGGCTGGGAATATAAAGGACATATTCCTGCATTGCTTAGGGTTCCTGGTACCTAATAAATGCTTAATATGTTTTTGAATTGGGGAGAGTACTTTAAGGATGATGCACCTCCATTCAAAGGGATTACACACTGGTCACTCTCTTCAATACGCCCCTTATCTCAGAACATGCATGCAGACCTCCACTTACCCATTTCCATGTTGGGACTAATGCTTCATCCTGTCAGATTAGCAATAGACATTAAAAGCAAAATAAGACAGAGAGCAGGGATGCATCATAAGCTTTAGGTCTCACAGAGAAAGACGAGGCCTCAACTCTTAGTCATTCTCTGTTCCAAATTCCAGATAGATCACCCAGGAAATCTTGAATCCTCTCACACTGCTTTTGTGCCCTGGTGTGTCAGGCAAAGGATAACCAACCCTCTCTGTTTTAGCAGTGAAATTCTCATGTCCTAGGAAAACTCTTGGTGTCTGTCAAACTAGGACGGTTGGTCACCCTATCAGGCCTCTGAGTGGGAATACAGTTTGGAATTCAGAAGCTGGGAAGAGGTCACCCTGGCTAGCCTGGTGAAGACCAGCACATCCATCCACCCCCAGAGCTTGCCTCATGGCTCCCATTGGGACCTGCTGTTCAGCCGCTATGGCTGGCAGCCTGGGAACCCAGGCAAACACATGCCATTTCACTTGGTCTCCAGCAGGGAGGGGGAGCCTGGCACACTGACACAGACACAGACGTGACAGATCATCCATTGCTCATGTAAATGCAACAGCTGAAGATAACTTGAACTGAAGCAAGTTCCTTGTTGGAGGAAACAGCCCAAATGATGCTGATAATTAGAAAATGGGCCAGGCCCTGATTGAATAAGCAGGCTGCTGTTGGCCCTTGGCTGCCAGGGAGTCAGCTGACACAATTAAGCTAATCAGAATTATCATTAGCAAGCACGAATAGCCCGCAGTGTTTTGTTGGCCTTTCACTGAAAACAAAAGCAGACTCAGAGAGGGCTGTTAGCAATGCAGTAGTTGTGAATGAAGAGCTGATTAGGGCAGGGGGAGGACAGAGATTCGTGAGGTGGGGAGGACAGACAGGAGGGGACTTGTTTACCCTAATGCACCTGCTAACCCCTGGGTGACCTTGGTCCAGGACCTTCTCATTCTCTCTCCAAGGCTCCATTTTCTTGTTTCTAACAATGAAAGTGATTATACCACCACCTACCTTGTAGAGCTGCTGCTGTGAAAACCAATGTTACCACAGAGCTGTTCTGTTACCTTATAGCAGGGTGCTTGGACCATAGGGGTTTCTCAGGAGTCCACACACACACACGTGCATCAGAATCTCCTGGAGGAAGTACTTCATAAGTACATTCTTGGGCCTCACCCCAGATACACTAAATCAGAATTATTAAGATTAGTGCCTAGTACCAAGCACCCTCAGTCTGCATCTCAAACTTTAATGTGCATGTGAATCACCAGGGATCTTGCTGAAATGCAAGTTCTGATTCAGTACATCTGAGAGGAGGAGACTCGAGAATGTTCATTTTGCTCCCAGATGATATCGATGCTGCTGGTTCCCAGACCACACGTTGAGGGAAAAGACCCTAGATGACAATTACCCTCAAATGTGAGAATTACCATTTTTAGCACTTCATCTCTTCTCCTCTAGGATTGGGAGTTAGCTCAGTGGGGTGGGGAAGTAAAGCAAAAAGGAGAAAAATCTGAAGATCAGTGTTTGCCAAGAGAGCTCCTCAAAATGCCAGTCCTGAGTGATGGTCAGTGAAAACAGACTTCCTTCTGTGGTCAAATGAGTTTACAAAATACTACATCGTCTCCACCCTTGAAGATTTACAGTGTACAATAGCATATCAAAGCCTTTGAGAAGGTATCCAGTAAAGAAACTTGTTCAATTTTGTGTAGCCCGCCCAATTTAACTGCATTTGGCTACTGGACTTTTTTCTTTTGCTATCACTCATTGACATCTTAGAGATATCATGATCCATGGAACACACTCTGGGCAGCACTGCTCATCTTTGTGATGTGATGTGTCTCTAGATTTTTCTATTTTCCTCATGCCTCCACCCTGGCCTCAAACCACACAGCCACCACTGCCGCATGGAGAGGGAGGTGGGAAGGAAGTGAAACTCCATATGGGAGGGCTTCACACACACACAGGAAGTGCAGTCCTTTTCATTGTTGCTCCTCATCCTCCCACATCATCATATGACAGACACCCCTTCGTGGAATTCTTACCATGTGCATGACGCACAAGCATTTTCAAGAAATAATTAATAACTTCATTTCTTCAGTTCCAGATAATCTGTTAGTTCCTCTTGACATATATTATTTCATCTCCTCACACTTGTTACTTTTTTTTTTTTTTTTTTTTGAGACAGGGTCTCACTCTGTCACCCAGGCTGGTGTGATCATGGCTCACTGCATCCTCTAGCCTCCTGGGCTCAAGTGATCCTCCCACCTCAGCCTCCTAAGTAGCTGGGGCTACAAACACATGTCACCACACCTGGCTAATTTTTAAATTTTTTGTAGAGACAGGGTCTCACTACGTTTCCCAGGCTGGTCTGGAACTCCTGAGCTCAAGTGATCCTTCTGCCTTGACCTCCCAAAGTGCTGGGATTACAGATGGTACCTGGCCAGACTTGTTACTATTATTTCCAGCAGATGTGATGGGCAGTTTCTCAACATCTGAACCACATTCCTCTCCATCCCTTATCACTGCCATTTTGTCACACCAAAGTGCATGTCCCACCCCCAGTGTGTAGGTGCCTCTTGGCTAATGATTGAGATTTATGGTAGGCTCTACCACCAAAACTATCCTCTAAAAACGGGTGCTTTTTAGAACAATTTGAAGACCAAAGATTTGGAAAGCCTTGTCTCATAAAGGCCCAGCCACAAGCCTATCCAGGCCCCAGAATACACTGACCTCATGTTGCCCTAAGAGGTAGCCAGGCCACACATACACTTCTCTCAGAGTTGCTTGGGTGAGTGCAGCAGCCAAGGTTGGCCTGCAATGGTAAGATCAAGTCAGGACTGTGAAAAGAAGCAGAACCTCTCGCATGAGCCAGAGCTACTCCCTAAAGTAGCCAGCAATGAAGAGCCATTGTGGGGCTTTTGAAAGGACCTTTTCTTTTGAAACATCATCTGTACAGAGGCCTCTGGGTTGCTTCTTGTCAGGCGGCTTCCTTGGCCTTCAGCCAGAAGGCTTGATGTGGACTCAGCCATTATAGAAGAAAGAGCTGCAGCCTGTGAAGCTGACAGTTTGGCCTTTACAATGGCATTTCCACTATTATGCTACCACATTAGTTACCACATGGGGCAAGGCATGTAATGGCTCTGAGCCTCAGTTTCCCCACCTGTAAAAGACATCATCCCTAGAATCCTCCCAGCCTGACCTACAGAGATTACTGATGGGTCACTACTAAGATTACTGACCTACTGGGATTACTACTGATATGATGTGTCAGCAGCCCTGTCATCTTTCATCCAAGACAACCGTTTCTCTTTGCTTAGAGAGCCCTTCATGGATTAAAGCCCACTGTGGGCCAGGCGTGGTGGCTCACGCCTGTAATCCCAACACTTTGGGAGGCCTAGGCGGGTGGATCACCTGAGGTCAGGAGTTCCAGACCAGCCTGGCCAAAATGGTGAAACCCCATCTCTACTAAAAATACAAAAATTAGCCAGGCGTGGTGTCAGGTGCCCATAATCCCAGCTACTCAGGAGGCTGAGGCAGGAGAATTGCTTGAACCCAGGAGGCGGAGGTTGCAGTGAGCCGAGATCGTGCCATCACACTCCAGCCTGGGGCACAACAGCGAGACTTCGTCTTAAAAAAAAAAAAAAAAAAAGCCCACCATGGCAGCAGAGGGGCAGAGGGGGTGTACATGTTGCCAAGAGTAGCTGGAGTGTGCATTCATGGGGCTTTGCCAGTTCAGATGACAAGTATATGTGTGTCCAGGGTGGCATCGGCTGTTGGTGGTTGTTCAGGATAATGCAAAGGCTCAGAGATTAGTGGGAGGGCCTGCCAGATATCATTTTAGGAGACTTGGCAGATGTATTCTAAAGTGTCAATTGGAAAAATAGCAAAGAAACATGATTATTTCCAATGAATTGCCTTATGCTGGGTAACTGGGGATGTGGCAAAAATAGCCACATGTCTCTGCCAGTCCTATTTATTCATCCCTTGTTGATGTCCAGAGAACTTTTGCTTCTAGTTTATAGGGTGTTGGGTGGTTCATTTTTGTTTTAGGGTTTCTCTTTGTTTCTAATTTGGTCAGAGATGAGATGTGGTCTGATTTGTTTCAGGGCCTAAAATATGATCAATTATAGTTGAAGATGTCTCTCATGGGAAAATTGCTAGCATATAATATTAAGTAATAAAAGCAGGATACAAAACTGTACTGGAAAATCACTAATCATATGTCCACAGATGATAAAGGAAATAGAGCAAAAAGTGCCAACAGTGGTTCTCTCTTGGTATTACTATAGATAATGCTTTTTTTTTTTTTTTTTTGGTATATACTTTTTGGGGCTTTCTAAGTTTTCTGTCACAAACATGTGTCACTTTTCTAATCAGAAAAATCAAACTTTATACTTGAAAAGGCTTTTCCAACCACTTGTGACTACTGAGATTAACATTAAATTAAAAATTAGTTTCTTAGCCTTACTAGCCACATGTTAAGTGCTCAAAAGCCACATGTCTAGTGGCTATTGTATTGGATATCACAGATACTGAACATTTTCATCATTGTGGGACATTCTCTCAGACACCACTGAGCCAGAGGCTCTACCTTCAAGAGCTACTTTTTATAACCCACTCTTAACAACCACTCCCTCCACAAAGAGCTGCCAGATGTGTTCACATTGTCTCCATGCTGCCACATGAGGCATTTCCGTTCATTGTTTAAGCCCCCTAGTATGGTTGCTTCTCTTTGCTAAGCCACTTCTCTCCTACTTTATTGATAGGAATAAATAAAACTCAGTACCTTCTGCTCAACATTTCTCCCTAGATTTCCCATCAGAACCTCCACCTCAGGAAGCTGCTCAGTATCTTAGGGGAGCTGTTGGTCAGAGACACCAAATAGTAATTGTACTTTTTTATTTTTTTAATGTTCTCTGCAGTGTTGGAAATTGCTGCAGGATGTCAGTCACAGCAGGGATTAATTCGTCTTCATGAGCATTTACATGAAAATGTAAATAGTCAGTATGGCTTGATGCCCATATATAAGCCTGCCAAATTTTGGCTGCTATGTGTGGTCTAGACTAGTTTAAATTTCCCGGCCAGATAAGATTAGATTCTTTGGCTCCAAAAATGTCAAGCGAGTATTAACTTGGGGTTTGAATGAAGGAAGGTTTTATTTATTGAAACATAACATTATATTTTCTCCCACCACCCACCTGTCCCACCACAATAAAGGCATGAAGATAAGGCAGGTTACAGGCAGTACCTAGCCTAGGGACTTGTGTGGTCACTTGTGTGGTCTCAGGAGCACTTCCTCCTATGAAACAATTTTATACATAAAGGTCAGATATACAAACCACCAGCAAAGCCAGTTAAGCTATAATGTGGTACTGGAACATAATACTAATTAGTATTAATTCCAAGATGTTGGTGCTAATAGAGTCCTATTACATTGTGCATCTAAGTGTAAATGGACCAATAGACAAGAATAATGCCTGGAGGCAGATCTGGAAGAAGAAAGAGATATGCAGATAGCTCCATAGGGAACTTCCCAGAGTTCTTTGAATGGGCCATGTCCTCTCACCCCCAGGCCATTGTATGTACAACTCCTTTGGCTTCCATGTCCTCAGCTTAAGTCCTGCTCATCCTGCAAGTCTAGGCCTAATTGTCCGCTTCTCAGAGACAAACACCTTTCATTTGAAACGTTAGGTTTCTGCTGGCTACTCCCAGAATGCCCTGATATCAGAGAGGGCAACCAAGATGGAAATCACCATGTATCTTCTACAGACTAGAGTCAGAAGTGATAACCCAACCTTCTTCCCACTTTCCATTCATTAGAAGTAGGTTACTAAGTCCAGCCCACACTAAAGGAAAATTAAGGTCTATTTCTTTCTTTCTTTTTTTTTTTTTATTTTGAGATGGAGTCTTGCTCTGTCACCCACACTGGAGTGCAGTGGCATGATCTCGGCTCACTGCAACCTCCACCTCCCTGGTTCAAGCGATTCTCCTGCCTCAGCCTCCAGAGCAGCTGGAATGAGAGGTGCATGCTACTATGCCCGGATAATTTTTTTATTTTTAGTAGAGATGGGGTTTCACCATGTTGGCCAGGCTGGTCTGGAACTCCTGAACTCAAGTGATCCTCCTGCCTCAGCCTCCCAAAGTGCTGGGATTACAGGTGTGAGCCACCAGGCCTGGCCATATTTCTTGAAGAGAGAAATGTTAAATAATTCTTCATATGTTAAATAATTTTAAAATATTTTTAAACCACCACAGAGACCAACATTTTTAAACTGGTGATGTTTTTCTTTGACCTCTGCATTTCTCTTTCTTTTCCCATTTTCTACATCCTACAGCACAAGTCTGCTACCTCTCCAAAGTGCTCATTGCTTAAGAAATCTGACTCCGTGAAAACTCCTATTACCTCAGTGTGGTTTCTTCTTCCTCCCCTTCCTTGAAAGAAGCCAGTCTAGCCAACTATCTACACTTTCTCACTTCCCTTTCAATTCACAGTAACTTGCCCTCCACCACTCCACCACTCCAGAAACCTGGTCTTTCTACAGAAGTACAGTCATGTGTCACATAATGATGGGAATACATTCTGAGAAATGTGTCTTTAGGCAACTTTGCCATAATGTGAAGATCATAGAGTATACTTACATAAAAATAGATGGTGTAGCTACTACACACCTAGGCTATGTGGTATAGCCTATTGCTCCTAGGCTATAAACCTGTACAGCATGTTACTATAATGAATACTGTAGGCAACTGTAACATAATGGTAAGTATTTGTGTATCTAAATGTAGAAACAGTACAGTAAAAATACAGTGTGAAAGATAAAAAATGGTACACCTGCCTAGGGCATTTGCCATGAATGGAGCTTGTAGGACTGGCAGTTGCTCTGGGTAAGTCAGTAAGCTTATACTTGCTTACCTCCACCCTATACCTTCTCCCAGAATCCATCCTACACGCAACACCTTGGCTAGACCTAATGGTGTTTTTGTTACCCCCTGCTGGCAGCGATCACCACCCTACCCTAGAAGTCCATCCCCCAAGACTGCACTTCAGAAGCCTGGCACCTCACCTGTGCTATGGCACCCATTATGCAAACCCCAGTATCACCAGGGCGCTACGTTCCAGGAACATGGCTGGGTGCTGAGGATACAGTGATAGGCCAGGCTTGGTCCTCAGTGTGAGCCTGCTTCTATGTGCAGGCATATGAAAGGTCTTACTTTTCCCACTGGTAAAAATAAAAAGGCATAGCCAAGATCAGCAGTTACCAAACTGTGGCCCTTAGCACACAGGTTCTATAATTTGCTGGGTGAAGCTGGAACCTAGTTCAGGGACTTCACCTAACCTGAGCTGCAACATCTCTCTCGTGAATGGCATGTATGTAAGACCACATTAAAAGAAATGGTTTCTGCTGCTAAAATAAGTTTTAAATCCATTAGGATAGGTTTAGATTCCCTCCAGTTCTGGCATGTTGTGGATCCAGAATAACATAGATTGTCACTGCCTTTCCTTTTACTTTGTTTATTTCTAATAGTATAATTCTGTTTATTTTATTTTATTTTGAGATAGAGTCTTGCTCTGTTACCCAGGCTGGAGTGCAGTGGCATGATCTTGGCTCACTGCAACCTCCACCTCCTGGGTTCAAGCAATTCTCCCACCTCAGACTCCCGAGTAGCTGGGACTACAGGTGCGTGCCACCACAACTGGCTAATTTTTTGTATTTTTAGTAGAGACAGGGTTTCACCATGTTGGCCAGGCTGGTCTTGAACTTCTGACCTCAAGTGATCCATCCACCTCGACCTCCCAAAGTGCTGGGATTATAGGCATGAGCCACCGCACCCGGCCTCTAATGGTATAATTTTAAAATAGAGATTAATGGTAGAGATTTATGTCCACGTCTTATTAAAATATTTTCATATAGAAGAACTTTAAATGGCCTGTAATAACTATATATATTTTTTCATTTGATTTGTTCAGCTTCAGAGGATATAATAATAGGGAAGACTTTTAAGTAAAACTATGAGCCAAGTGCTGTAGGAAATGTGTTTATGTGTTACGTCATTCAATCTGCACACAAGTCTATGAGATAAATACTGTTTATCTTCATTATAAAAAGGAAGAAAATCAGATGCAGAGGTGAAATAACTTGTCCAATGTCACACAGCTCTGTGGAGCCAAGATTGAGCACATACGGTCTGATTCCAAAACCCAGATACAGCCTTTCCTAGACCATTCGGGCTGCTATAACACAATGCCTCTGGCTGGGTAATTTATAAACAACAGAAATGCACTGCTCACAGTTCTGGAGGCTGGGAAGTCCTACATCAAGGTGCTAGTATCCAATAAGGGTTTGGTATCCAATAAGGGTTTGCTCTCTGCCTGAAAGATGGTGCCTTCTCACTGCATTCTCACATGGCAGAAGGGCAAGGAAGCCCCCCATCAGGTCTCTTTTATAAGGACACTAATCCCATTCATGAGGGTGGATCCTCATCACTTAGTCACTTCCCAAAAGGCCCCACCTCTTAATACTATTACACTGGGCATTAGGTTCCAGCATGAATTTTGGAAGACACCAACATTCAAATTATAGCATGGTATTTGCTGAGGAAACTAATTTGAGGTGGATTTTTGCCCAAAGGCTTACTTACTCAACTAGATTCTGATGATCTGCAGCAGCTAGATAATTTCCAAGGGCCTCCAGCTCCACGAGCCCAGTTCTCTCCCTGTCTCAGCAGTGTGTGCTGTGGGACCACAGTCAAGTCACTTTAGATACCTGAGCCCATGAAATACACATAGTGCACATAGTTGAGCGACTCAGGTGAAACAGGAGTAAGGAGCCAATCCTAGGTGCTGCTGTAGCTCAAGAGATATGACTACTGCCCTCAAGGAGTTTGATGACTATGGATCAGAAGATCCAAAGCCAAAGTCAACAGAGTCAGGCAGGTAACAAATATCAGTTAACAGGCGAGTAGCATGAAATAGGAAGCTGTGGGGGCAACCACCATGCAACTCAACTAATAGTTTCAGGGCGGGCATAGAGGCCCAGTGCTTCCAAATCAGAAGAATTTGGAACTCTAGCATTTTAGGTGAATTCTCCAGAGTTTTAAATGATGGCAACTACTTAGAGCAGTACTTGTATTTTATTTTATTTTTAAATCTACAGATTTAAAAATCTGTAGATTTTTTAAAAACCCCTTCTGGGAGTACAGTTTGCTTAGGGATCATCTGTTTGCAGTCATGGTTCATACAGGGCCTATGGTGGGCAGGAGCAGTTCTGACCCATTACAACCTGGCAACACATCCACAGTGCCCACATTTAGAGAGCAATTTTTAGTTTTCCCTTGTCCTGAAAGCCCACAACTTTCAAGCATATGAAGCAAAGTGTTTGTGTGTGGGCTTGGGGGAGGCATATGCACCATTTCAGTGAAGACGACAAGACAGTGGTCATTTATTGGGTTGATGTCAGCTTCACCCCATGCTGCTGCATACTGGATCACCATTGCTGGCCTACAGTGACTGTATTGCTGTGGGCACCAAGAGACAGAGCATGGCTGTTCCTTTGTCATTGGCTTCACTTGACACGACCAGTGTCATCGCCAGTTGGCATTTAGGTTGTTGACCCTGTCGCGGCCAGGCCGAGACTGTAAGCAGCTTTGTTATTGTATGTGCCTATTCCAAACAGTAGAGCCTTCAGAAACCGCACTGTGGGGCACCTATGCTCTGGGAAACTGGTGGAAAGGACCAGAGTGCTCACAGCACATCCAGAAGGGATTTCATCTTATTCACCTTTGGAGAGCATTGGCAAATACACAAGAATCAAAGTAGACATTAGACCACATCCACATCCAGCTTTAATTTTACAGCCTAATGATTGAAGAAGAAGACTTTTCATTAAGGTTGGCACTCTTGCCCATATCTAAATTCCATTTTTAATTCAAGGTTTCTATTGTGGTTTCCTCTTTCTCTGGAACTCACTCTTTCCCTGACGGCTACGACAGCCTTTGTACGTATACTGCAGAGGAATCTTCATAGGTGCTCAGTGGGTGTGTTTTTTCCCTTTGGTGTCACTGGTGTAAGATGTCGGAGTTATAATAGGTTCTCAGACATAGTTACTCTATTTTGTTTTTTGTTGCTAGTGCAACGGTACTTGGCATTTTGCATTAAAAGAAGGAGATTATTCTAAATGGAATAATTCTCATTTTTCTAATACTGACAGCAATAACAGAGGGAACTGAATTAGTTGGGCATGGATGTTTTCTTGGAGACACATTACACACACAAGCACCCACATGAACATGCACTAATGCTCATTTGTCCCCATAAAGCCTCAAATCTTTCAAAACTCCTATGAGGATTTTTGTTTCGTTTCACTAATGGCCTTATGTGTAAAAATCTTCTTCCTTGAAGCTTTTGAATTTTTTTTCTAAAATGGATAGCTATGTTTTTTTTTTCCTTTCTAAATTTTTTTAATTGTGGTAAAATACACATAAGGAAATTTAGTGTCTTAACTATTTTTAAGTGTACAGTTCAGTGGCATTAAATGCACTCACATTGTCATGCAACCATTACCATCATCTATCTAGCTTCAAACTCTGTATCTTGGTACCTATGGCTTTTGTTTTTGTTGTTGTTTCTTCACATATGAATTGGGTCTTTAGGATTTGCAAGTGAGGCCAGGATGGGGAACAAAAATTACGTGAAGTAAAAGGATATCTTGCTTTATTTCTCTTGAACTGAACCAGTGCTGCTACCAATTTTCAATGCATTCCACAATTTCCCTCTTATATTGAGAGCAAACCGCAGTGTAACAACAGTAGCATAAAATGCCCTGTACTGCTAAAAAAAAAAAAAAAAAAAGGCTAAAATTCCAGCCTCATAATAAAAGACGAACAGGTGAGGAAGGAGCCCTAACAGTAAAAATGCTTTTGCCTTATTAAGTACATTTCCTGTATGTAAAATTCATATTGTTTTCATGGATCATTCACTGGGAGTCTGAGAATAAGGAAAGAAAAGGACTTGTCTCCTCTCATACTCTGAAAGCCAAAGAGGTTTAGTTCTTTTTTTTTTTTTTTTTTTTTTAGTATTTATTGAGCATTCTTGGGTGTTTCTCGGAGAGGGGGATTTGGCAGGGTCATAGGACAATAGTGGAGGGAAGGTCAGCAGATAAACATGTGAACAAGGGTCTCTGGTTTTCCTAGACAGAGGACCCCGCGGCCTTCCGCAGTGTTTGTGTCCCTGGGTACTTGAGATTAGGGAGTGGTGATGACTCTTAAGGAGCATGCTGCTTTCAAGCATCTGTTTAACAAAGCACATCTTGCACCACCCTTAATCCATTTAACCCTGAGTGGACACAGCACATGTTTCAGAGAGCACGGGGTTGGGGGTAAAGTTATAGATTAACAGCATCCCAAGGCAGAAGACTTTTTCTTAGTACAGAACAAAATGGAGTCTCCCATGTCTACTTCTTTCTACACCGACACAGTAACAATCTGATCTCTTTTCCCCACATTTCCCCCTTTTCTATTCTACAAAACCACCATCGTCATCATGGCCCGTTCTCAATGAGCTGTTGGGTATACCTCCCAGACGGGGTGGCGGCCGGGCAGAGGGGCTCCTCACTTCCCAGACGATGGGTGGCCAGGCAGAGACGCTCCTCACTTCCCAGACGGGGTGGCGGCCGGGCAGAGGCTGCAATCTCGGCACTTTGGGAGGCCAAGGCAGGCGGCTGGGAGGTGGAGGTTGTAGCGAGCGGAGATCAGGCCACTGCACTCCAGCCTGGGCAACATTGAGCACTGAGTGAGCGAGACTCCATCTGCAATCCCGGCACCTCGGGAGGCCGAGGCAGGCAGATCACTCGTGGTCAGGAGCTGGAGACCAGCCCGGCCAACAAGGCGAAACCCCGTCTCCACCAAAAAATGCAAAAACCAGTCAGGTGTGGCGGCGCGCGCCTGCAATCCCAGGCACTCTGCAGGCTGAGGCAGGAGAATCAGGCAGGGAGGTTGCGGTGAGCCAAGATGGCGGCAGTACAGTCCAGCCTTGGCTTTCACAACTTTGGTGGCATCAGAGGGAGACCGGGGAGAGGGAGAGGGAGACGAGGGAAAGGGAGACGGAGGGGGAGGGGGAGGGAGAGGGGTTTAGTTCTAAGGGACTATAGGCATGTAGAGTTCACTCCACTCTTGTTTTAGAAGCGTTTTTCTACTGATGTAACATCATTGTTCTCCCAAGACAGAAGACTGGACTATTTATAGATTAAATAAATATTGGACTATTTATTGCCAGGTCAGTTTTGGAAAGGCAGCTTGGGGATCCATTTATAACCATGTGGGTCAAAACTAGAGAGTCTCACTGGTCATGGTATTGGCATGGTGCGACGCGAGGTCAGCCAGCTTTTCTGAAAAGACCCCCATGCTAAATGCCGGGCTCTGTCCCAGTCGCTCAGCTCTGCCATGGAAGTGCAGAAGCAGCCACAGGCATTCATCCATAAATGGGTGTGGCTTACTCCAATAAAACTTGTTTATGGACATGGAAATTTGAATTTCATAAAATAATCATATGTCATAAAATATTCTTTCTTTTTTCAACTATCAAAAAATGTAAAAACCACTCTTAGCTTATGGGCCATACAAAAACAGGTGTGGACTGGATTTGACCCATGAACTGTCATTTTCTGGTCCCTGATATAGAAAAAAAGATAGGATTCCGAGGCCTGTTGATAAGATCCAAATGATATCCTGGTTTGAATTCTCGCTCTGCCAAGTATCAACCATGTAACCTTGGGCAAGTCACTAACCTTTCCAAGTTTCAGTTCCTCTCTAGGGGAAGCATAATGGCCACCCCATAGACCTGAGAGTCAGTGACAGAGTCGGGCACAAAGTGGTGACCAGCTCCTGAGGCTCTCACGAGACCAAATTTCTCTCTGTGAGAGCTTGAGAACATGTTTCAATAGGTGGTAGTCAAACTTCTAGCAAGAGATCTCATTGTATTAAAAGGAAAATTTTAGTTTTGTTTCATGTCTATTTACTCCATCAAAATAACACTTTGTTCCTACCAAAGGAGTGAGACTGCTTAGAAACTACAGACTTCCTAAATTACAGGCTCACTGAGGAAGCACATTCCCCATATGTTTTCATCAGACACACAATAGAGGTCTTATTAAGCAATGGCAAGCTCTGTCCTGTGGTGAATTCAGCTAGGCTGAACGGCTTCTATGGAATCCTTTGTTTTCCCAGGGGAGGTAAATTCTTCCTTTAGGGACCCATGCTCTGAAAGTTCAGAATACTCCCTCCAAAAGGACAAACCGTTTGTTCAGCGTTTCTTGCATGTCATTAAGAGTTGCCCCCATTAAGCTTCTGTCAGAATAAATAAAACTCTGGTGCCTGCAACCTAACCTGGAGTTTCCGGTACTCTCTGCTTCACCGGCCAGTGCCTTCCCTCCCACTCCTGATAGAAAGGCCACATGACAGAAGCAAATGTGAGAATTCCTTCCCCTGCCCTCCCGCATCCAGCCTTTAAGGAACTGCACAACCCTACAGGGGGCATTGGGCCATGCTGAAATCTGTTTCATTCCTCAAAGCGGGTGGGTGCACTCAGTCACCCTTTGCTCATCCCAGAACAAGGGGCAGCAGCAGCATCTGCCAGAAACCAATCCAGCTGCGCTGACAAATGCTGGGTATGAGAAGGAGGGAGGCAGACTCCTGCCAACTGTGCAGACCTCCATGGGGGCTCTGGAGAAGTTGGGTAACAGAGGAGGAAAGGAGCGGGGAGCAGCAGCCAAATGTCAGAGATCTCAGTGTCGCTTTGAGCAGAAATCACAGGCTCCTTTGATCACAGGTAGCATCAGTCTGAGCAGAAATCAGGTTGGATCCCCTGTCCCATCAGTGCATCAGCCAGGTTGATACAGGTGGGAAGGACATGGTAGGTGGATCCACAGAGCAAGACAGGGTGCTAAAAAAAAAGCACAGAGTTGCAGAATGAGGGGTGGGCTGCGGGGCTCTAGGGAGGGGATCTGCAGAGATACAGTGACCACAAACAGTTTTGATTAATGCTCTTGCTTTCACGATGCACTATGAGGCAACCCACCATGTGTCCGTAACCCATCTCCTGTGGTTAAATGAGAGAACTTCAAAAATGTGCAGCTCTGTCTTTATAAGAAACAATGTAAATCAGGAGGCTGAATATGTTTACATAAAGTGACTTATTTTTAATGTTTGCAGGGTTTGGAAAAAGAAGAGCAGTTTGATTTTTGTATCGGTATGAATAAATATTCTCCGTGGGTGGCGAGTGTGTGTGTTTATCTAGCCATACATATGTATATGTGCACTTGGGAGCCTGCACATATGTGCACACATTCACACACACGCACCCCTCCATCGTGGAAACGCCCTCCGTGTCAGTAATGTGGGCTGTTGTTTAGGAACAGAATTAATCAAATAAATATTGTTCTGTGTGGTTTAGGGAAGTCTGGCCTGCCTTGTTTCTATTTTTATTTCGTTTGGCTTATTTGCCACCCACATTCCTAAAAGAGAGCAGAAAGAACATTTCTAATTCCTGTGTGCTGGTTGGATCCTGTATATACTTAGAGTTGGGGAAATTTTAAAAATATTTTTGTAGACTGGCTGCCCTGCCTGCTTTATAAGAATTCAGACTTTGGGATGCTAGCAAAGGAAGAACAGCAGCCCTGGCTGTGGGCCTCCTGGGAACGGTCCTGCCAGCCGAGTCCCTACTCCCGTGGCCCATGCTGGTGTGGTACAGCCGCTGATTCAGAGACTCAACTGAAACAGCACATGTAGATATGAATGAAGATATATTCAGCACGATGGCTCAGGATATAGTAGACTGGTTAGGAGGATGGGTTTTCAAGTTTCAACCTTGGCCAGGGTAATTATTAGTGATGTGGCCATGGCCGAGGTACTTAACCTCCATTACCCCTCTGTAAAATAAGAATGATACCACATACCCCATAAGACTGATGTAAGGATTGAATGAAATGATGTCCAGCATTGAGCACAGTGCCTGGCACACAGAAAAGGTGCAGGAAATGATAGAAACTACTCCATTCGGAACACAAGACACTTTGGTTAATGATGGCTCTCTTATCACTGCCCCATCTTGTTCACTCTGACTCTTGTGACCTGGCACGGCTTCATTCATTCATTCGTTCACTTCTCAAGTTATTTATACCAATAAAGCCTAGTTCCAAAATAAATTTGGGGTGGCTGATGTCAGCCCCTACTGGAATTCTCTCTCCCAGATGCTCTGAAACAGACACAACAACGTTACAAAAAAATAGTTCCTAAAAAAATGTTTAGGCCTCATGCCTGAACCTCGCCTAAGGATTCCACCATTGACTCCTGGTCCCTTTACCCTCCTCTGAAAACAAGCTTCCAGGCAGGAAGCTCCACCAGCTTGACCACTGCAGAAAAGGCCTTGAGGGCAAGAACGAAGTCCCCTGAGCCTAGGGGGAGTGCATGGCAGGGAGACTCTCCCCGAGGGTTCCCAGGGATCCCTAACTTGCAGCACTCCCTCCACAGCCTCACACAAACAGCTGGGAATGGTCCGGGAAAGCAGATTAAGCAGCCCTGGACTCACCCTCACTCTGCACCAAGGATGCAACTGAGGGCTCCTTAGAAAGTCATGCCCCAGGAGGCCCCACTTGTGGAGTTACCTGCCTGTCCACCGGAGTCGGGGTGGGAGGGGTCCTTCCCCTGGAGTTGCCAAGGCATTTGGGAAAAGGCCAGTGTTATTTCCTCTGATACATACAGCTATTTGGATTCTAGAAAGCTAAAAGAGAAACACCACAGGAAGTGGGGAGCCAGCCTCGTTTGGACAGCTGTGGTCCCGACAGCGACACAGTGGCCTCCCTGTGCCCGAGGCCAGGCAAGAGCTGCCCTGCTGTTGTTCCCACCTTCTACGGTTCCCGCTTTGCCACATGGACTTGGCTGTAGAGTTGTTTGGGATGTTTTGTATTTGCTTGTTTGTTTTTCTTTTCTTTTTTTCTCTCCTCTCTTTTTCCGGGGATTTCCCTGCAGCAAGCAGCCTGATGTTTTTCATGGGTCTTCCTTGAAGTCAGACACTCACCTTCAAAGCAGAACTGCACCCCCGTCTGAAGGAGAGCCAGCTGCCAGGGCAAATTCTTAGCAACCAGCTCTGGGGCGCTGCTGGGATCCTCTATCTCTCTTTCATCACACCCAGAGTTCTGCTCCCTTTCTGGGAATTGCTCTGTCTCCCACCTACGTGGCTTGTAAGCTTCACCCACACCCAAGCAGGGCTGGGAAAGAGGAACTGGAGTGCTCTGGAGGAAACAAGGAAATAGGGCTCTCCATGCAGAAGGAACAAGTGTGCAAAGATGCAAGATAAACAGAAGCAAGGTGTATGCAAGGCCACAGACAGGGGCGGGAAGCAGATCCAGAAGTCCTTGCAAGTCATGGGAAGTTGAGGACTTGATCTAGTAGGAAATGGAGATGCAGGAAAACAGTTTTATTTCTCCCTGGATCTTCAGCAGTACCTTTCCAGCCAGTGCTGTTGAGGACACCAGCAGGCATTAGAGAGTGGTGCTTCTGGGCCTTGGTGCATACTGGAATCATGTGGCTGTTACCTCTAGGACCACAGGCAGCATGGTGCCACAGGGAATTCTGAGCCCTTCAAACTGGACGATTCAGAGAGAACAGTTGGTTTTCATTTTGATCATTGAATGCCTTACCACAATACCACTGCCTCTTTTGATTCCACAGCCCCTGAAAGCACACCTGCCCTTGCCTTGGGATTCTTTTGACAACAGTATCACCATGCCTCTCATAGCGCCACGACACTAGAAGAAACCTCACTGATTGCTGTCCCTGTCTACAGTCCAAGAGGATTTCAAATGGGCCCACACGGTATAGCTGAGAACCCGAATCCCTTGCTGATGCCAGCTCATTTTCTTTGGTCTCATCCTCATCACTCCTCCAAGAAAACTACCCAGTCCAGAGGGACTTGCTTTTGCTATAAGTGGGTTAGATCTTGAGATAAGGAAATAGCAAAATGTTGGTGTAACATTGAGTGTGGAAATGTGGCCTGAGGGAAGTGAGTGCTGGCAGGAGCTGAGGACCCTGTTGGGAGGGGGCCGTGAAACCTTGGCATAGACCTCGCCAGCACAGCTGTTTGGAATGGAGGCAGGAAGGGCAGGGGAAAGCCATGAGAGAGGGAATTTTCAAGATGGTCAGTGTTCTCAATCCACAGCCATCACAGAAGAAACTAATGAAATATGGGTACAATCTGGAGATTTTTAAGTCTCTAAGAAGTGGAATTTGTGAGACGAAAGGCTTCCAGAAAGCCCTCTTTCTGACCTGGCCTCTACCCCTAGAGGGCCTTAGCCTTGCTGTGGGGAATGAAACTCTTCCCGGTTGTAGGGTTTTGGTGCTGTCCACCCCCAGCCCAGCCAGAAATGTGGCTTCTGTACTTCTGCTGCAGTTCAAGCCACTTTTCCAGGTATGTCCCATCTGAGTGGAGATGGGGCTGACGGCAGGCCACAGGGCCAAGCTCGGGCACGGGGCCGGTAGCTGGGACTGAGGCTGCACTGCTGATTAATGGGCAGGGAGGCACTTTGTGAAACGTGCAATACCCTTTGACGGCCTTTTCCGGGGGACTCGCAGCTTTCCTCGTGTCTTTTCAGCAATATCACATTTGATTTTACCTTTAAAATGTATTGATGAAGCTGCATGATTGGAAAAGGTGCTGGGGGAGATGAATCTCTCCTACTTTCCGTTCTGTTTCCATTACTTCAGGGGTGTGTACGCATGAGTATACACGTGTGCGGGCGTGCTGTATTAGAGAGCCCAATTTCCTTTATATACGTGAACTCCTCCCCCTAGTAGCCACCATTAAACATCCAACGGCTTTAAAATGGTTAGTGAGAAGTACACAACATAATGTCAGATGTGGCCCTGAGAGAGGCGTACTGCTCACTGCCCTGCTTTAACCCGTTGGCTGTTTAATGGTGGTTACTAGGGGCAGGAGTTCACGTATATAACAGTCATTTTTCCAAAGTTTCCAGCACCAAGGGTCCTCCTGCTCCTTACCACACTGCGGAGCCTTCTACATCTCTTCATACTGCTTTTCTTCCTTGATTATTTTTTGTTTCAAGTATTTCTTCCTCCCCCTTTCTCCTGGTGTCTCAGAGTTAGCAGGAAGCTGGTAATTAAAAGAAGACATGGGTTTTGAAATGCTGCTGTGGTAGCTCTTCCCCCCCCTTATCCATTTTACAACAGAAACAAAAAGACTCACTCCTTTTCTTTTGCTCCTCCCTCCAGCAGAGTAATGAAAGCAGAATGTTGTTTGCTTGTTTTTGTTTTTGAGTCCACTAAATCATTATTGTTACACTGACTAGCTGGGTGAACTTGGGCAAGTTAGTTCAAATTTCTGGGCCTCCTTTTCCTCATCTGTAAATTAGAAAAAGTAATGCCTAGTTCATAGAGTTGTGAGAAAGTGCACAAGGTAAGTCTAAGTGCCTTCCCCATCGTAGGTATGAAATGCGTGTTTCCTTCCACCTCTCATTTTACTTGGGTCTGTAGACCTAATAAGTGTTCCTTTTCATTGGATTTCAGTTTAATTTAATATGTTTTAAGCACCTAGTATGTGCCAGGTCTTGAGCACCAGGGTCTACACAAATACCAGATAGGTTTTCTCTCTTCAAGAGCAGCCTGGTGCTGAAACCAGGAATGTGATAAACGGTCGCACAACAGTGTGAAAGGTGTCATGGGCACTGAGGGAATCTGGAAGAGGAGCACCTAGGATTCCTTGGGGACAGGGTGGGAGGGTAGAAGAATGTGTCCCTAAGGAGATGACAACTGGTCAAGAGCGTTAAAGGGTGTTGGCGATGGGAGAAGGGTGTTCTGGGAAGAGAGGAGCATGTGTATGGAAATCGTTGTGTGTTCCATGGGAGAGAAGGAGCGTCGGCCACCGATGGGGGATGAGGTTGAGTGCCTGAGAAGAGTCTAGATCAGGAACAGCATCGTATGTTACAGTGGAGACTTGGTTTGAAAACTACTGAAAGCCATTAATGGAGTTTAGGAGCATCATGAGATGATAAAGATTTTACCTGCAGCACATCAAGCCAGCTCTAAGAAATCCTGTGTACACAAATTGCCTCTTTCGAATCAATGTGAAGTCAGAGAGCCCACAGGCCAGCAGTCCAGTTCTGCCACTAATTAGTTTTGCCGCATTAGGGAAGTCACTTACTTTCCGATGGTCTGAGTTGCCACATCTCCGAAATTAAAGTGTTGGAGTAGGTGACACCCATGTTTCCTCCCAGCTATAACAGCAGCCTATGACTCTGTGATGATGTCACTGCTTTTTGGCGCTTGTTTCATAATTCCTAGAGTTAACTTATTAAAATTGCTGTGCAAGCATGATGACTGTCCCCTAGTAAACATCAAGTGTTCTTCTTCATATGTTCCATATGAAAATTAGCTTCTTGGGCCAGGCGCAGTGGCTCATGCCTATAATCCCAGCAATTTGGGAGGCCAAGGCAGGCGGATCACGAGGTCAGGAGATCGAGACCATCCTGGCTAACTACTAAAAATACAAAAAATTAGCCGGGCGTGGTGGCGGGCATCTGTAGTCCCAGCTACTCAGGAGGCTGAGGCTGGAGAATGGCGTGACCCCAGGAGGTGGAGCTTGCAGTGAGCCGAGATCGCGCCACTGCGCTCCAGCCTGGGGGAACAAAGCGAGACTCCATCTCAAAAAGAAAAAGAAAAAAAAGAATATTAGATTACTAAAATGTGTGATGATGTAGTGCAGTAAACTGAGAGCGTTGATTTCTTTGTAGTCTTGCCTAAGTCAGAGAGTATTTGTGTGACTTGGAATAAGTCATTTTACTTCTCTGGATCATTATTCCCTATCCTCCACTGACTACCAGTTATAAAAATGGGTACACTGAGGTTAGACTAAGATTTGACACTTAGAGTTCACGGAAGTTTGTTCAATGGCTATCAAGAACTTCTTCCAACTGCTAACAAGTACATAAAGAAGATTTAAATTTAAAAAGTGTTTAGATCAGAACAGAAAAAATTGAGTATCTTATGTAAAAGACAGGCTGATTTCATCCACCCCCACCGTCCCCACAAAAACTAGGCAAATGTCATTTTAACTTCATTTCTAAAGTGAAATATGATTTCAGATTGGAGTCTCTGTCTACTTTCCTTTTTGTTTTTTAAATAACCGGTCTTGTTTTCTTAGAAAAAAATTCATGCATATCAAAAATATCTAAAACTTCAGACTCCGCAAAGGACAAAAAAATTAGAAACAGAAAACATACACAATTGTATTCACCCAAAGATAAATTTATCATGTTGGACCCATATTTTTCTTTATATTTTTTCTCAAAATAACTGGATCAAACCATACATCCTGTTATACAATTTGAATAAAATATGCATCATACATTAATATACTAAAAAATATTAATGTTCTTCTCAGATTCAGGCAAAAATGAAATGATGAATTCCAATGTGATAGAATGCAAATGTGTGCAAAGTGATGGAGATACCCAAGAAAGGAGCTGACAATTGCATCTTAAAGGATGTCAAAATTTGCCAGGCAGAGAAGGGCAGAAAATATTTACCAGATATAAGAAAGAAACCACTAGAAACTGGCCAGTTGGAGACCTGGAGAAGTCTAGTTTGCCTGGCTGGTGTGGTGAGTGGGAGGGAATTCAGCAGGAGGTGAGCAGGGGGCGATGGGTCCTCTTTCTTTGACAGGCTTCAGAGGATGGAATTTGTTTTGTTGACAGTGGAGAACCAGGGACTTCATAGAATCAATTACTGCTTTATTTTAAAACAAATGAAACCGAGTGACCACAACCAAGATTCTACTTTGATCTTCTGTTAAAAACACATTTTGAAAAATTCAGGTGTTTTTGAAAATCTTCATATACAAGCCAAGCACAGTCACCAGGAACTTTCTCAGAAGCTTCTCATCACCTCAGCGGAAGCCTTTTAATACACGTTTTGGAGTTCTTTAGTGGCCTGCCTTAATACACAGGGCATTCAGTAACTCCAGCAATGGCAAATTCATTGTAAAGAGCACCCTGGGTAGAAGCTATTTTGGCCACACTCTCAGAGAGGAAGGAATGTGTTTGGCCCTGCTAGCCTGCGGGAGGGCTCTGATGAAGAAAGCGATGGAACCTAGCATTGCCATTTGTTTATTTAAACGAGTTTTTTTTTTTAACAGCTCATTGGCTCCACCCAGTGGGCAAGTGCTAGAATACAGCTTGCAGAGTCTTGCAGAGCTTTGAAGGATGGATCCAACTCAAATGTCTTTCCTGATGTTTCTGATCTGCTATTTCAACCATACATTCCCTTTATGAATTTAAGAGGCATCCCAGGAAACAGTTTTTATCCTGCATCTCAGTGACCTTGAATAAGTACCCTGTCCTCTCTGAAACTGTTACTCTGCTACTTAAAAAAAAACTCTGCCATATTTCTAGTGTCCATACTCTCTCAGTGGCATAATTGTTCTAGTATTTGCCCATTGTACCTATAATTCAAACTGGCATCAGTCTGGATAAAGAAAAAAATCTGGCATTTTGAAAATTCATGAATGACTGCAACCACCTATAATTATATATGTCAATTAATATATGCCAGTATTATCCGATTGCATATTCATAAGACTATCTTAGAGGCTTTAACCTACAATCACATGGTGTAGTAGAAAGAGCAAGCCTTTGCGGTCAGATAGACCTGAGTTTAAACCGTAGACCTGCAGCTTTCTATGTGACCTGGTAAGGTACTCTCCTTCCCTGAGGGTTTTTCCTCATCAATACAGTAGAGATGGCAAATCTTACTTCACAAAGTATAATATCTGTATAGCAGTAGACACTGGGACTGGCAAACAGCAGGCCTCTGTTTAATAAAAGCAGCGGTTACTGTTGAGCATTCTGTACCTTACCCATTTACCTTGAGCAAATAGCTTCTGCTCTGAAACTGGGATTCTTCCTCTGTCCATTGGAGGTCATAGTTCCCTGTCTTAGAGTTATACAGATGCAATGGTATAACCACCCCAAAGCACCTGGCATCTTATAGATATTTAACTATAGCTAGCTTCTTTCTTTTCAAAAGTACAGACCTATTGCAAATAATTAAGTTATAAAGCTAAAATTCTGTTTATCCCATGAACACACTTTCTCTCTCCCTACTTCTCTTTCTGTCTCTCTCAAACACACACACACATGCTCTTGTTGTATTCCCATCTTGTTTTCCTTGTCTGTGTCATCAAGAGTTAAGCCAAAAGCTGGGTGCAGTGGTTCACACCTGTAATCCCAGCACTTTGGGAGGCCAAGATGGGTAATGCTTGAGCTCAGGAGTCTGAGACCAACCAGGGCAACATGGTGAAATCCTGTCTATACAACAAACTTAAAAACTAGCCAGGTGTGGTGTTGTGTGCCTATAGTCCCAGCTACTCAGGAGTCTGAGGTGGGTGGATAGCTTGAGCCCGAGTGGTTGAGGCTGCAGTGAGCTGTTGCCACTGCACTCCAGCCTGGGCAACAGCAAGATCCTGTCGAAAAAATTAAAAATTGAAAAAATTAGATATACACATAGATTTGTAACTTCCTGTATTAATAATTATAGAGATGCAAAAGTGCCTAGATTCTGCCTTGTCTATTGTTATTTCTTTAACCAGCACATCTGTATGGTTTTCGAATAGAACGCTTCTCTGAACACCTTGGCACTCCCACACTCAGTCTCCTTTTTCTCGATGTTTCCTATTATATAAGGTGTGGCAGTCCAGGTCAGTATGCAAGAGATGTAGTAGCTGCAGTCAGCTCTGCAGCAGGTAGAACTTGGAAGATCGTTCATCTAACTAAAGTGACATGAAACTTGTCTTCTCAAGATGCTAAATGGCACAGGGCTCATTACTAGCCTGCTCCTCAGACCATCCTTGGAGATGAAAGAGGAGCCACTACCCTGGCACAGTGCCAGGGGCAGGGGCTACAAAGATGAAAGCACATGGGGCGATTCAATGAGTGCTTCTTTTTCCTGGCACTTAGTAGCGCCCAGTCTAGCAGGGCCAACAGACATGTCCAGAGCCCCAGTACACACACACACACACAGAGATGTACAAATTCATACACTGCATGTAAGAATCAATGTGTGCACAGGAGGAGAGAGTGGCTACCTCCACAGCGAGTGGGGCAGGAGTGCGGGAAGGTCTCCCAGCAGGTAAAAGTCACCTTACCTGAGGTGGAAAAATGAGTGGCAATTTGACAAATGAAGAGGGGCAGGCGCAGGATGTGGTAGCAGCGGACCATAGGCATGGGACTCAACCTGTGCGGAGCCCCAGGGGTAGAGAAAGGATGGCTATTCGGGATCTATAAATACCCACAAGAGCCAGGCAGGTGACGCATGTCAGACACTTTGGTGTATTATTCATTTCTATTTTTAAAAATGTCCTCCTTCCTGCTTTTCTTGACTTATACCCACTTATCCTTTATTTTTCCATCTTTGATTGAAACTTAAATCTTTCCCTACTCGAAGAAAACTAGCAGTCCAAATCCAATTACTGTATCAGTTCATAAGTGCTACATGGCTCCTGCTGGGAAGTCAGGTGGGAGTGGCAAGGACTGGGGCAAACTGGAGAGCAAATTCTTCTGCTGAAGAGGACAGCCATTCTTCAACTCCAGTTGTTCAGAAGCTCCAAATCTTGCAATTTCTCAGAAAAAGCAAGCAAGCAACCTGAATTTTGATACATGAGTCAAATTTTTAAACAGTGCCTTAATGGAAAAAAAAAATTCTGCAGAACAAACAGATGGAACATACCCTCATGCTAAGCCTTATTCATGGACCATGCTTGCAAGCTTTCATTTACAGGCTCTCGAGATTCCAAGAGCATTTTCAGGATCCTTCACCAAATCGTTGCTCTGCTTATAGTTTCTCCTAACCATCCTTTTCCCCTTGCTTTCCAGAAAGAAATGACGAGCAGGATGTGTCACTAATGCTCCACCTCACCCTTTGGAAGAAAGGAAAGCTGTTTCCTCCTGGTGCCCTGAGCGGGCAGGAGGTGGACCACCCTGGCTGAAATGACACACCTACTCCCAGGAACAGCAGAGGTGGAGGCAAGCAGTGACTCCTGAGAGACATTCCCCACTCACTTTGTGTGCTCTTAACCTTCTGAGTGCTGCTAGCCCAGACCTGTGGACGAGGCAGACCACAACGTGAAAGAAGGACCAGCCCCTTGACCGTTCTGGCTGGGGAATTGTCCACGAGGAAGCCTCTGCACTTCCACACATGGCACAGTTCTGCCTGTGACCTGCCGCCTAAGCTTTACTGGAATTCAGGTTTTGAGACTGAGATGCGTGTTCGTATTTTTCCACTTATCTGTCTTGTCAGCTGGCCGACTTCTCTGTGATTGGTTTTTTAAGTGCCGGGTGAATTTTGGACCTCTGGATGTGCAGCAAGTTTTTATGCAATAAGCCTTCCTTTCAGGTCTCTAAAAGCTCCTGCTCTGATCTGTGGTTTAACACTGTGCAGGGCTGTGGAGCTCTGAGACACCTGAACCCCTACCCATCCCCTGCACCTCCCTACTCTCCCTGCCGAGGCGTCCATAGCATTTCCCTAATAAATAGTTTTATCAGGGACACTCCATGGGGTGGCTTGTCTCTGCCCCAAACAGGGTCTTCACGTTCTAACTGCAGGGAAGAGACTGGTTACTAGCGTAAAGCTGACAAGTTACCAGTTCACCTGATCAGAATGTATTTTTTATAACCACCATCATTCCTTGTCTCTTCAGTGGAAGATATTCTTTCCTGTTTCCCAGAAGAGAGAAATAAAAGTCCTAAATAACTAAGAATGATCAGCGGGAGCGTTGGGCATGATTACTGCAGTGTTTGTTCTTTATTAAAGACAGGGAGTCGTGGCTGTCTCTACATAATACTAACATTTCAGTGAAAAAAGTACAATTGGTTATTTGGTACGTGTAGATTTAACACCCAGACGGCTGACTTGTAACCCTCCCCACTAGCCTTCTGAGCATTTAAACCCAGCCGTCATTCTCTCCCCACTCCACGCTCCCCACTCCTCTGCCACGTTATGTTACGGCACAAAATTAATTTCTGCCCCTGTGATTGGGCCACGGTTGCCAAGGTAACAGTGGAGCTGGAGCTAACTTCCTTCTTTCATCCTTTCCAATTTTTCTATTCCAGAAGACAGTCAGAATAATGCATTCTGTACTACATCCTGCCTTTTGAAACCTAAATGAGTTTTCGTTGATGAAATGTTGCCTTCTCTGATTCATTCACAAAACTGTGGTGGTTCTGACCACCTGTGACGAGGGGGGTCATAATACTTCCAGTGATCCTTTTAATTTAGCAAAATATTTGTCGGTGGAGGGAAGTAGATAAGAATGTATTAGTGTATTTTAAAGTAATAATGATTAAAGAATAACTAAATGACTCTGATTTTGTTTTATCAATCATAATGTGTTAAAGCCCTCTGTGGCTGCCACAAAAGACTAGAATCATGAAATCTTTGTCCAAGCTAAGAAAGGGCTGTCTCTGTGGGTACAGTGGCATTCTCTGTTGACCTAACCAAGCAGCCTGAACCTTGCTTTGTGTCTCGTAAAGGTCATCTCACGGAATCCAATTGCTGCTACCTCACCATGTTGCTGTGCCCTGGTCAACAATAAACATACTTTTGTCCCCCTTCCTAAGTAACTTTGAGAGGACAAGATAGGCAAAGTTTTTTCCCTACATCTCTTTTGGCCAAAAGAATATCTGACCATCACAGAGATCCAGAGAACAGAAACAAGAGCCCCTAAGTCCCAGCCTCTGCAATACACAGTTACCAGATGGGAATGCAGCACAGTGGCACAGAGAGGTAACTACGGAGCCCATGCCCTGGAGGAACTCTGTAGCTGTGCATCATGGAACGCCACAGGATTTTTACATTAAAAAGTTGAATATGTTCCTGCATTTCAGCAGTGCATAATCGAGCAGGAGGCTGGAATCTGGAGACCTTTGTTATTCATTCTTTTTAAGGTTATTTTTTATTAACTGTGCATATGAAATTTCCACTCAATTTAAAAATCCAAATCTTTTTAAGCTTCTTGGAAGAATTTCCTCCTGCTTATATTGTTAATTGCACTAATGAACTCTTCTAGGGTAAATTCTGGCAAACTACCCTTTTTTTTTTTTTAATCACAGAATATTCCTGTTCCCACAGAACTTTGGCACATTCTGAAGAAAATCTCTGCAGTCAATTTTTATCTCCTCTGCTTGACTGCATCTAACTGTTCATCTCTGTTATAAATGGAGCTTCAGCCCTCTGGGTCAGAGACTGACAACCCTCCTTCTTCTTCCTAACCTGTCCTACTCTCCTTCTTTTTCTGCTTTCATTTTAATTTTGGGAAATTTTAAAGTAAAAGTTTCAAAGTTGAAAGATTATAGTGAGTACCCTTATGTCCTTTAGTGCATCAGTTGTTAATGTTTTGCCTTGTTTTCTTTTCTTCCTTTTTTTTTTTTAAGAGAAGGGGTCTCTCCCTATTTTACCCAAGCTGGCCTTGAACCCCTTGCCTCAAGTGAGCTTCAACCTTAGCCTCCTGAGTAGCCAGGACTATGGCATGTACCACCGCACCTGCCTCACATTTTCTTTCTCACTGTAAATACACATTCTTATTCTTGAACCTTCTGAAAATAAGTTGCAGACATCATGAAAATGTAAAATACTTCATCATATTCTTTCTTTTAATAAGAGCATTGTCCTATAAATCTGCAATATTTTCACGCCCATGAAACTGAACACTGATACTGCATAAATCTAATATATGATCCATATTCAAAATTCTCCAGTTGTCCCCAAAATATCCTTTATAGCTGTTTATTTTTAAATCCAGGATCCAATCAAGAATTATACGTTATATGTAGTTGTCATTCTCTTTTGTTTCCTTTAATTGATTAGAGTTGCCCTTTTGTGTGTGTCTGAGTGGTGGGTGGTGGGGTGGTGTTTGTGTATGATGTGCAGTGTGTGTGTGTGTGGTGTGTCTTTCATGACACTGACATTATTAAAGAGTTCAGGCAAGTTTGTGGAATGTCCCACAATCTAGACTTTTTTACTGATTGTTTCCTCATTACGAGATACAGGTTACATTTTTTTTCCCAAGACTGCTACATGTGTGATGTTGTTTCCTTACTACTGCCTCACCTCAGGAAGCACATAATGTCTACTTGTCTCTTTTCTGATATTAGGACTGATCAGGTGTTGTCTGCCTGATCCAATCATTATCAAGTTCCATAATTCATTATTAAGCTCTGAAATTCAGGACACATACATTTATAGAGTGTGAGGCTGTGCATACGTACATTCATCCCTTAATGTTCTCAAGGAGGCCCAGGATCCCCAAAATATTATAAGCATTGCAGTCAGATGATATAGCACTAGCAAAGCATTCATCCCTTTCCATATAACAGGAGGGAGGGGAAGAAGGAAGTTTCCATGTGCAGGCAATACGTGAGAGCATGGGCAAGTGAGGATTTGTATGCTCCCTGTAGCCAGAGGTGAAATATTCAACGCTTTTATTTTTTCTCCCGTCTTCAATGACCTCCCATTTGGACCCATAGTTTATTTATAGAGAGCACACACTCCCTAATTGTCAGATGGTTTTTTTGGGAAAACTCTTAGATAGTACAGTGAGTTGTGACCCTCCAAAGGATCACAAGTACATAAACAGATACAAAGTATTTATGTGGTATTAAAATTTCATGGTGATGGTGCAAGGGAGAGATGATTAGGAAGAAAATGTCTTACACGGCTGTAATTGAGAAATACTGATCTAGAGTCATTTCCTGCTTCTTAAATTGTTCGTTTTCTCTTCCCTGGGTATTTTCTCATTTCCAAAGACCCAGAGTCTCAGAGCCAGGTTAAGTGGAAGAAACTTTGAGAGGTTTCTTAATCAATTCCTTCTATCTCTCAAACCATGCCAGTAACTTCCTTGGTGAAAAAATCTATACTCCTCTCACAGTTCTTCGGGCATGGAAATTCTATAGCATTCTTTGGTATAACCAACCCACTGAACCCTCCACAACATCTTGAATTCCATTCAACTCGAGCTGAAGTATTCTTTTTGAGTTTCAGTATATCTTTTCTAGTGTCCCACTTTTAGAAAGGTCCAAAGATGATATATAATAAGTGAAAATACAATTAATCAGAGCTTTATTTGCATATCCATTAAATATCTGAAGGCTATTACCAGTTGTGCTTCAGCCTCCTTTCCCTTGCAATTCTCCCAGGGTGGCATCCTCTACGGAGTCTTGTTGCTCCATTGTTGACCACTGATGTAACTCAACGTGAAACCTTCCCAAAGCTCTCCACATCACTCTCTGTTATGGCTGTGACCAGCAGTGAACATGAAAAGAACTTATTTCATGCCTTCTCCAAACTATATTGTTTCTTTGCTAAGTCCAGACCTGCTTTTTCTACATTTATAGGTTTTCTATTTTAATCGCCATGCAAAATTCTTTATCATACTCAATCATTTTGGTTTATCTTCCTGACTTCTTACCTTTAACATCCCTGTTAAAGATTACACTGTTGTTGTTTCAAAAAAAAAAAAAAAAAAACCTTAATTGGCAAAACATTAAGGGACTTGAATAGAATTACACTTATCTTTTTGTGCTGATTTATGTCAATCCATCATTCTGGTTATTGATGGAAGCAAATTGCTTCCTATGTTCTCTAAACCTTATGTCCCTTCCATACTCCATGAGTACCACACTGGGAGAAAACAAAAGCAAAAAGATTGTGGGAAAAGTATAGCCATTATCTTTGAGGAAATGTGTACCAAGGCACAATCATTAAAAGGAGTTGGAGGCATCATTTGGTTGACACTGTTGTCATTCTTGTTCTGATCATTTTGGACCTTGAAGAAATTGGTGATTCTCTCCTAGAATTAGACAAACAAAGTGTGTTTGGAAATAATGATTGTTTTCCTGCCTTAAAAAATATATTAACAGAAAGCTTTTATAACAGGCTGTTTCCCTCTGGACAGGTATTAATTCTGAGTAAGAATTTTCAGTGACTACATAAGGATTTGTGTAACTTATGAAGGAAGAGTCCATTTCTAATCAAATAATTCGCCTGTTTTACTAGCTTATAGTGATCTGATTTCAGAATTTTCCTGTATCTTTTTTACATACATCAGAAAAAGAAATGTTTACTATATTTTTGGTTCCATTTATGATTGTATTAAGCATTTGACTATAAGGAAAACTAACAATTAAATCAATTAGAAAAGCAACATAAAATTAAATGATATTTAGGAAATCAGTTATATGTGAGCTTGGGTATTCAAATGTCACAAATAAAAAGCATATAACCATTATCTAGTCTGTCTTTTTTTAATGCTTGGTTCATTTCTTTAATAAATAGGTTGTCTTGCAATGGTCCTAGAACAGGTAAATAAAAGGAAAGCTGTTAATTCTACAAAAACCAATTCAAAGTTCATTTGAAAACACATGGGTGGCTGGCAAGATGGCCAAATAGGAACAGCTCCGGTCTGCAACTCCCAGCGAGATCAATGCAGAAGGCGAGTTATTTCTGCATTTCCAACTGAGGTCCCCAGCTCATTTCACTGGGACTGGTTAGACAGTGGGTGCAGCACATGGAGGGCAAGCCAAAGCAGGGTGGGGTGTCGTCTCACCTAGGAAGTGCAAGGGGTCAGGGAACTCCCCTAGCCAAGGGAAGCCATGAAGGACTGTGTCGTGAAGAATGGTGCACTCCAGCCCAGATACTACGCTTTTCCCATGGCCTTCACAACTGGCAGACCAGGAGATTCCCTTGGGTGCCTTCACCATGAGGGCCCTGGGTTTCAAGCACAAAACTGGGCAGCCGTTTGGGCAGACACCGAGCTAGCTCCAGTAGTTTTTTTTCATACCCCAGTGGCACCTGGAATACCAGTGAGACCAAACCATTCACTCCCCTGGAAAGGGGGCTGAAGCCAGGGAGCCAAGTGGTCTAGCTCAGTGGATCCCACCCCCATGGAGTCCAGCAAGCTAAGATCCCCTGGCTTGAAATTCTCACTGCCAGCACAGCAGTCTGAGGTTGACCTGGGGCACTGGAGCTTGGTGGGGGGAGGGTTGTCCGCCATTACTGAGGCTTGAGTAGGCAGTTTTCCCCTCACAGTATAAACAAAGCAGCTGAGAAGTTTGAACTGGGTGGAGTCCAATGTAGCTTCGCAAAGCCGCCATAGCCAGACTGCCTCTCCAGATTCCTCCTCTCTGGGCAGGGCATCTCTGAAAGAAAGGCAGCAGCCCCAGTCAGGGGCTTATAGATAAAACTCCCATCTCCTTGGGACAGGAGCACTTGGGGGAAGGGGCAGCTGTGGGCGCAGCTTCAGCAGACTTAAACGTCCCCGCCTGCCATTCTGAAGAGAGCAGCAGATCTCCCAGCACAGCACTTGAGCTCTGCTAAAGGACAGACTGCTTCCTCAAGTGGGTCCCTGACCCCCATGCCTCCTGACTGGGAGATACCTCCCAGAAGGGATCAACAGACACCTCATGCAGGAGAGCTCCAGCTGGCATCTGGAGGGTGCCACTCTGGGATGAAGCTACCAGAGGAAGGAACAGGCAGCAATCTTTACTGTTCTGCATCCTCCGCTGGTGATACCCAGGCAAACAGGGTATGGAGTGGACCCTCCAGCAAACTCCGGCAGACCTGCAACAGAGGGGCCTGACCGTTAGAAGGAAAACTAACAAATGGAAAGGAATAGCATCAACATCAACAAAAAGAACATCCACACAAAAACCCCATCTGAAGGTCAACAACAGCAAAGACCAAAGGTAGATAAATCCACAAAGATGAGGAAAAACCAACGCAAAAAGACTGAAAATTCCAAAAACCAGAACACCTCTTCTCCTCCAAAGGATCACAACTCCTCATCAGCAAGGGAGCAAAAATGGATGGAGAATGAGTTTGACAAATTTACAGAAGTAGGCTTCAAACTTCTTCAAGCTAAAGGAGCATGTCAAATGCAAGGAAGCTAAGAACCTTGAAAAAATATTAGAGGAATTGCTCACTAGAATAACCAGTTTAGAAAAGAATATAAATGACCTGATGGAGCTGAAAAACACAGCACGAGAACTTCATGAAGCATACACAAGTATCGATAGCCAAATCAATCAAATGGAAGAAGGGATATGAGAGACTGAAGATCAACTTAATGAAATAAAGTGTGAAGACAAGATTAGAGAAAAAAGAATGAAAAGAAATGAACAAAGCCTCCAAGAAATATGGGACTATGTGAAAAGACTAAACCTACGTTTGATTGGTGTACCTGATAGTGAAGGGGAGAATGGAACCAGGTTGGAAAACACTCTTCAGGATAGTATCCAGAAGAACTTCCCCAACCTAACAAGAGAGGGCAACATTCAAATTCCGGAAATACAGAGAACACCACAAAGATACTCCTCAAGAGGAGCAACCCTAAGACATATAAGCGTTAGATTCAACAAGGTTGAAATGAAGGAAAAAATATTAAGGGCAGCCAGAGAGAAACGTCATGTTACCTACAAAGGGAAGCCCATCAGACTTAACAGTGGATCTCACAGCAGAAACCCTACAAGCCAGAAGAGAGTAGGGGCCAATATTCAACATTCTTAAAGGAAAGAATTTTCAAACCAGAATTTCCTATTCAGCCAAACTAAGCTTCAAAAGCGAAGGAGAAATAAAATCCTTTACAGACAAGCAAATGCTGAGAGATTTTGTCACCACTGGGCCTGCCTTACAAAAGCTCCTGAAGGAAGCACTAAACATGGAAAGGAACAATCAGTACCAGCTGCTGCAAAAACATACCAAATGCTAGAGACCATCGACACTATGAAGCAAATGATTCAACTACTGGGCAAAATAACCAGCCAGCATCACAATGACAGGATCAAATTCACACATAACAATATTAATCTTAAATGTAAATAGGCTAAATGCCCCAATTAAAAGACACTGACTGGCAAATTGGATAGAGTCAAGACCCATCAGTGTGCTGTATTCGGAAGACCCATCTGACATGCAAAGACACACATAGGCTCAAAAAAAAAGGATGGAGGAATATTTATCAAGCAAATGGAAAGCAAAAAAAAAGCAGGGGTTGTGGCCAGGCATGGTGGTTCACGCCGGTAATCCCAAAACTTTGGGAGACTGAGGCAGGAGGATCACGAGATCAGGAGATCAAGGTCATCCTGGCTAACATGGCAAAACCCTGTCTCTACTAAAAATACGAAAACAAAATTAGCCGAGTGTGGTAGCAGGCCCCTGTAGTCCCAGCTACTCCAGAGGCTGAGGCGGGAGAATAGCATGTACCTGGGAGGCGGAGCTTGTAGTGAGCCAAGATGACGCCACTGCACTCCAGTCTGGGCAACAGAGCAAGACTCCGTCTCAAAAAAAAAAAAAAAAAAAAAAAAAAAGTAGGGGTTGCAATCCTAGTCTCTGATAAAACAGACTTTAAACCAACAAAGATCAAAAGAGACAAAGAAGAGCATTACATAATGGTAAAGGGATCAATACAACAAGAACAGCTAACTATCCTAAATATATACGCCCCAATACAGGAGCACCCAGATTCATAAAGCAAGTTCTTAGAGACCTACAAAGAGACTTAGACTCCCACACAATAATAGTGGGAGACTTTAACACCCCACTGTCAATATTAGACAGATCGACGAGACAGAAAATTAAGGATATTCAGGACTTGAACTCAACTCTGGACCAAGTAGACCTAATAGACATCTACAGAACTCTCCACCCCAAATCAACAGAATATACATTCTTCTCAGCACCTCATCACACTTATTATAAAATTAACCACATAACTGGAAGTAAAACACTCCTCAGCAAATGCAAAAGAATGGCAATCATAACAAACAGTCTCTCAGACCATGGTGCAATCAAATTAGAATTCAAGATTAAGAAACTCACTCAAAACTGCACAACTACATGGAAATTGAACAACCTGCTCCTGAATGACTACTGGGTAAATAACGAAATTAAGGCAGAAATACAGAAGTTCTTTGAAACCAATGAGAACAAAGAAAACGTACCAGAATCTCTGGGACACAGCTAAAGCAGTGTTTAGAGGGAAATTTATAGCATGAAATGCCTAGAAGAGAAAGTGGACAGATCTGAAATCAACACCCTAACATCACAATTAAAAGAACTAGAGAAGCAACAGCAAACAAATTCAAAAGCTAGCAGAAGACAAGAATAACTAAGATCAGAGCAGAACTGAAGGAGATAGAGACAAGAAAAACCCTTCAAAAAGTCAATGAATCCAGGAGCTGTTTTTTTAAAAAGATTAACAAAATAGATAGATCACTAGCCAGACTAATATAGAAGAAAGGAGAGAAGAATCAAATAGACACAACAAAAAATTATAAAGGAGAGATCACCACCGATCCCACAGAAATACAAACTACCATCAGAGAATACCATAAGCACCTCTACACAAATAAACTAGAAAATCTAGAAGAAATGGATAAATTCCTGGACACATACACCCTCCCAAGACTAAACCAGGAAGAAATCAAATCTCTGAAAAGAGCAATAAAAGGCCTGAAATTGAGGCAGTAATTAATAGCCAAGCAACCAAAAAAAGCCCAGGACCAGACAGATTCACAGTCGAATTCTACCAGAGGTACAAAAAGGAGCTGGTACCATTCCTTCTGAAAGTATTCCAAACAACAGAAAGAGAAGGAATCCTCCCTAACTCATTTTACGAGGCCAGCATCATCATGATACCAAAACCTGGCAGAGACACAACAAAAAAAGAAATTTCAGGCCAATATCCCTGATGAAAATTGATGAAAAAGTCCTCAATAAAATACTGGCAAACTGAATTCAGCAGCACATCAAAAAGCGTATCCACCACAATCAGGTCAGCTTCACCCCTGGGATGCAAGGCTGTTTCAACATATGCAAATCAATAAATGCAATCCATCACATAAACAGAACCAATGACAAAAACCACATGATTATTTCAATAGATGCAGAAAAGCTCTTCAATAAAATTCAACACCCCTCCATGCTAAAAACTCTCAATAAACTAGGTATTGATGGAACGTATCTCAAAATATTAAGAGCTGTTTATGACAAACCCACAGCCAGTATCATACTCAATGGGCAAAAACTGGAAGCATTCCCTTTGAAAACCAGCACAAGACGAGGATGCCTTCTCTCACCACTCCTATTCAACATAGTATTGGAAGTTCTAACCAGGGCAATCAGACAAGGAAAGAAATAAAGGTTATTCATATAGGAAGAGAGGAAGTCAAAGTGTCTCTGTTTGCAGATGACGTGATTGTATATTTAGAAAACTGCGGTAGCTCATGCCTGTAATGCCAGCACTTGGGAGGCCAAGGCGGGCAGATCACGAGGTCAGGAGATTGCGACCATCCTGGCGAACACTGTGAAACCCCGTCTCTACTAAAAATACAAAAAAAATTAGCCAGGCTTGGTGATGGGCGCCTGTAGTCCCAGCTACTCAGGAGGCTGAGGCAGGAGAATGGCATGAACCTGGGGGGCGGAGCTTGCAGTGAGCAGAGATCGTGCCACTGCACTCCAGCCTGGGCAACAGAGCGAGACTCCGTCTCAAAAAAAAAAAAAAAAAACAAAGAAAAAAAGAAAAGAAAACCCCATCGTCTCAGCCCAAAATCTCCTTAAGCTGATAAGCAACTTCAGAAAAGTCTCAGGATACAAAATCAATGTGCAAAAATCACACGCATTCCTATACACTAAAAATAGACAAACAGAGAGCCAAATCATGAGTGAACTCCCATTCACAATTGCTACAAAGAGAATAAAATACCTAGGAATACAACTCATAAAGGATGTGAAGGACCTCTTCAAGGAGAACTACAAACCACTGCTCAAGGAAATAAGAGAGGACACAAACAAATGGAAAACATTCCATGCTCATGAATAGGAAGAATCAATATTGTGAAAATGGCCATACTGCCCCAAGTAATTTATAGATTTAATGCTATCCCCATCAAGCTACCATTGACTTTCTTCACAGAATTGGAAAAAACTACTTTAAATTTCAGAAGGAACCAAAAAAGAGCCTGCATAGCCAAGACAATCCTAAGCAAAAAGAACAAAGATGGAGGCATCACGCTACCTGACTTCAAACTATACTACAAGGCCACAGTAACCAAAACAGCATGGTACTGGTGCCAAAACAGATATATAGACCAATGGAACAGAACAGAGTTCTCAGAAATAACATCACACATCTGCAACCATCTGATCTTTAACAAAACTGGCACAAACGAGCAATGGGGAAAGGATTCCCTATTTTATAAATGGTGTTGAGAAAACTGGCTAACCACATGCAGAAAACTGAAACTGGATCCCTTCCTTACAACTTATACAAAAATTAACTCAAGATGGATTAAAGACTTGAAGGTAAGACCTAAAACCATAAAAGCCCTAGAAGAGGGCCAAGCATTGTGGCTCACACCTGTAATCCCAGCACCTTGGGAGGCCGAGGCAGGCAGATCACAAGGTCAGGAGATTGAGACCATCCTGGCTAATACGGTAAAAGCCTGTCTCTACTAAAAATACAAAAAAATTATCCAGGTGTGGTGGCGGGCACCTGTAGTCCCACCTACTCGGGAGGCTGAGGCAGGAGAATGGCGTGAACCCAGGAGGTGCAGCTTGCAGTGAGCCAAGATCGCGCCACTGCACTCCAGCCTGGGCGACAGAGTGAGACTCCGTCTCAAAAACAAAACAAAAAAAGCCCTAGAAGAAAACCTAGGCAATACCATTCAGGACATAGGCATGGGCAAGGACTTCATGACTAAAACACTAAAAGCAATGGCAACAAAAGCCAAAATTGACAAATGGGATCTAATCAAATTAAAGAGCTTCCGCACAGCAAAAGAAACTATTATCAGAGTGAACAGGCAACCTACAGAATGGGAGAAAAATTTTGCAATGTATCCATCTGACAAAGGGCTGACATCCAGAATCTATAAGGAACTTAAACAATTTTACAAGAAAAAACCAAACAACGCCATCAAAAAGTGGGTGAAGGATATGAACAGACACTTCTCAAAAGAAGACATTTATGCTGCCAACAAACGTGAAAAAAGCTGATCATCACTGGTCATTAGAGAAATGCAACTCAAACCACAATGAGGTACAATCTCACACCAGTTAGAATAGTGATCATTAAAAAGTTGGGAAACAACAGATGCTGGAGAGGATGTGGAGAAGTAGGAATGCTTTAACACTGTTGGTGAGAGTATAAATTAGTTCAACCATTGTGGAAAACAGTGTGGCGATTCCTCAAGGATCTAGAAGCAGAAATACCATTTGACCCAGCAATCCCATTACTAGGTATATACCCAAAGGATTATATATCATTCTACTATAAAGACTCAAGCACATGTGTGTTTATTGCAGCACTGTTCACAATAGCAAAGACTTGGAACCAACCCAAATGCCCATTAATGATAGACTGGATAAAGAAAATGTGACACATACACACCATGGAATACTATGCAGCCACAAAAAAGGATGAGTTCATGTCCTTTGCAGGGACATGGATGAAGCTGGAAACCGTCATTCTCAGAAAACTAACACAGGAACAGAAAACCAAACACCACATGTTCTCACTCATAAGTGGGAGTTGAACAATGAGAACACATGGACACAGGGAGGGGAACATCACACACTGGGGCCTGTCAGAAGGTGGGGGGCTAGGGGAGGGATAACGTTAGGAGAAATACCTAATGTAGATGAGAGGTTGATGGGTGCAGCAAACCACCATGGCATGTGTATATCTATAACAAACCTGCACGTTCTGCACATGTATCCCAGAACTTAATGTATAATAAAAAATAAGAAATAAATAAAAATGGGCAAAGAAAAAAAACAAGATAACGCACATGAACACATTTGCATTTTAGCAGAAGTTCCTTTATCCTATTACAGAATTTTCCAGGGAGACATCAGGCATATAGTTTAGCTTCTCAACAGATTAATGTTATCCTTTCCTGCGGTAGAATTCAATATTAAGTTTGATGATAACCTGGCTTATAAAGATAATAAAACTGGATCATAGAAAAACTTCACTGATCACAGCAGATAAACCTGGGTTTTAATCTCTGGTTTGCCACTACCATATACCTGTCACATTGGGTAGTTTATTAAACTGTGCCATACCTCAGATTTTAGAACTGCAAACTGGCCTTATGAATTTATTTCTATATAACTTATAGTCATTTTGGGAGAATAAGATAACATATTTGGAACAATAGATGTATATATAAATTCTGTATTTAATTCTGCTATATTAATAATATATTTATAGCTACTCTGTAATACAGATGATTCCAATAACAGCCACTATAGCTAATAGCAATAATAGGATACAGTATCTGATAAAAGCTTTTTATCAGATAAAATGACGCAACAAAGTGATTTATAGACAAAGAGCAATGGGGAATGAGGCTTCTATAAATCACGCATATAAGGAGTTCCTCTGCTTCTCAGTTTCACTGTGTGAAATGTACACCAAAATGTGCCACAGAAGTGGACTATGGACTGAATTTGGCCCACAGGCATGTTTTATTGGACCTATGCAGTTTTGCCCCAATTAGGCTTTTTTTAAAAAGCTAGCTACCATTTATACTTGGGAAATATGACAGATAAAAATCAGGAATCTTGACTTTTCTTACAAAATCAGATTTGGCAAAACCAAGCTTTTGTTACCCTGCGGCTGGACCTGGCTGAGAAGTGGCTGACCCGCTGAAATGGGACATAGCTTTGCTCTCCTCACGGCTCCCCATTGCCTTCCAGACACGCAGCTGACCGTTAGCTACCATTTATCTTCTTGCACTGAGATGCTTCACTCATACACATTTCTTGCCCCTTCCCTGGAGGCTTTTCAGGTTGTAGCCCCTGTTACACCATTTCTAGATAGGCCACCGAGGAAGCCACTATCAATTTTCAAATTTACCCACACACACATTGAATATCTGCTATATTCTTATTTTTTTTTCTAGTAACCAAAATTGTGTTAATGATGAGAAATGAAAAACAGTATTAGGAGACAATAAATTTCAACCAGATGTCTTCAACTCCCTACCCAACAACAAAAATTTATGTTCTCGTAAGAAGCTTACTTCCTCTATAGAAATTAAGATAATTAAATCCATCCAATCTTTTTTTTTTTTTTTTTTTTTTTTGAGACGGAATCTCGCTCTGTCGCCCAGGCTGGAGTGCAGTGGCATGGTCTCGGCTCGCTGCAAGCTCCGCCACCTGGGTTCACACCATTCTCCTGCCTCAGCGTCTCCAGTAGCTGGGACTATAGGTGCACGCTGCCATGCCCGGCTAATTTTTTTGTATTTTTAGTAGAGATGGGTTTCACTGTGTTAGCCAGGATGGTCTTGATCTCCTGACCTCGTGATCTGCCCGCCTCGGCCTCCCAAAGTGCTGGCATTACAGGTGTGAGCCACCGTGCCCGGCCAAATCCATCCAATCTTTTAATTATCCCAAATACATAAGCTTCAACTCTGCTTCCACAGAAACTTATCTGTGACAAAATTATAAATAAATGTCGCTGAAAAGCAATGGTAGCATCATTGTAATAATTATATATTTTATCTGGTTTTACTTCTCTTTCATTGTGTAATAGATTTTAGCAAAACATGTTATTTTAACTAAAACTTCTCATTGTTTTAATGCAACACTCATCATCTAATTGAGTTTTCATGAACATGAAAACCAAGCAAAAATCCCTGATTTGATAGATTAAAAACTAAATGAGGAAGTCAACTTCAATCTAATTAAACATTGATTTTGTTTGCAACTATATTACTGCATACCAAATTAAGTTGAGTGTCTACTCCAGAGGAAGTCATATGATTGAGATTTGACTTCGTATTATCAAATCAGCAAAGAATAAAAGTCTAAGCAGTTTTGAGAAATATATAGAACATGGAGGAAGATGAATATCAACAATCCTGTTTATTAACTCACAAACAACATTATGGATAGGTATTTTCCATGACTGTGTATATGTATGTCTCTGCAATGTATGTATTTGGTATGGCTGAAAACTGCTTGTTAGCTGATATCTGTAGAGGCAACAGCATTTAGGAAATTCCTAAACTGTGACTTGTCTATCTAGAGGCTAATTATCTCAATTATCTATCTCACTTAAGGCTGTCTTAATCAGAAGTATAATCACATAAACGTATAACAGGGATGTTTGGCCCACATGAGTCTTGGGAAGGCAAAACCTTGGTAAAGATGCTTAGTAGTTTTATTTTAGTCAAGAGGAAATTTAGCAGGAAAAGTTCATATTGGCTGGAAAATGAGGAACTGGGCTACCCACCGATGTCTGGTTGAGTCTCTTTTCCACTCACAACCCTGCAATACTATGCTACTCTTTTCCTCAAACTAAAAGCCTGGGCTCCCACTGCTCTTCCCCTTTCCCTCCAGCCCCTCTGGCCTCCTGGCTGGCCTTGAACATGCTGGGTATGTGCAGTGGCTGTTCCCTGCCTTGGATGCTGTCCTCCCAGATAGCCACACTTCCAGCTCTGTCTCTCTTTCAAGTCTTCTCATGTCACCTTCTCAGTAAGACCTCTATGATCACACTTGCCCACCAGAACTCACGGTCCCTCTTTCTTTGCTCTACTTTTCTTTTTCCCATAGCACTTACAGAATTTATTTCTTTATTAGGTTTCTTGTTTACTGTCTGTCTCCCCCAACTAGAAAATAAATCCCATGAGATCAGAAATCTGTCTATTTTGTTTATTGATGTATCCCAGGCACGTAGAACATAGGGTCTGGCTCATAGTAGATGATCAATAAATAGTTGGTGGATGAATGAGTACACATGGCAGATGGGTGCCTAATTAAAATCTATTACCAGGGAAAGATTAATTTGAAGTAATATATAAGAATAATATTAATTTAATGATATTAACACCCAAAGCTTACATATCAACTAAATGCTATTGAGCGCTCACTATACACTAAGTACACACTAAGTGTTTTACATGAATAATCTCATGTAATATTCATGGCAACCCCATGAGGTTGATCATCTATTTTTACCCCCATCTTATAGTCCAGGTTACTAAGTGATTTGTCCAAAGTCAGAAGCAAGAAAGTTATGGAGCAAGATTTAATGCCACATAAGTGTGTTCCAGAGACCACACTCTTAACTGTAGGGCGTAGATACCTTCACCCTTTTGGCACTGGGCACTCTTTCGGATTGTCTCCCTCTCGTTGGACACAAGCCCCATGTGGTTTAGCGATTCAGTCTTCGGTTTCTTTTCTGGCCATTTGTTACTGTAGTTTCATTAGTGCTTCTAATGATCAGTCCATCTGAGATCATACTGTATTTCTTTTCAAAAGCTGCACATTCAAGATAACAGAGGGTACCCTGAGTCAGAGATTAGGTGAGACAAAGGATCTAACGGGGGACACCAAAAAGGTCAGATTGACCAGTCCACAGAGTGTTGACTGACACAAAGTTAAGGCCAGAGGTGAAAGTGGAGTCCCTAAATTGGCAAGAGACAGAAAGACAATCTAAAGTCCGCTATTCAGGGTAGGAGCAGGGTGTTCCTATGATCACTCGAAAAGGGACCTAGGAAAGTTCTAGGTCTAGCTCCCTGCTGTGAAATAGAAATGAAGCATGCATTTCACTCACAGGAATATAAGCGGACTTTTAAGAATTAATAAACAGAAATACTCAAAGCAGAAGATATTATCTTCTAGTCAATATGAATTAATAGTTGCAAAACTATCACAGTTAATTTTTGCTAATTTTCCTTCTCTACCAAAGAAATTAACTGGCATTCATTATTCAGCCGTAATGTAAAATATCTGAGCACATGAATAATTAGAAATATGCACTCAAAGGCTAGAGCAATGTGTGGTTGTAAGATTTATTAATGCCTATATTCCATTAACTATATTTAGAAATCAGTAGGGATTGCATTACATGTTAAAAGCAGCATCTATTCGATTGACCTGACTTGTGTAGCTTCCTTTAAGGTCACTGGAAGTTATGCAGACCATAAATGTTCTCTGGTTCCTGGTTCCATCAGGAGATCTTTAATATGTTAGGATGTAATTCAGGCGTATGTTTTAAAACTTGGTGAAATATGCTGTGATGAAATGAATGTCTCTTACTTTCCCATTCCTAGGGCTTTGTCGACAAACAATTCAACTACAGAATACAGAAGGAGGCAGCTCATTAAGAGATGGGCAGGTGGAGAGTGAATTTTTTTACTGTTAAGTCATTAAAGTCAGCCATGACTTAACCACGGATGTTAAAGAAAATTTATGCAAAAAGCAAGCTCATTTCACACTTCCATAAACAATATGTAGCTCAAACCTTAGCATGAGCTTCCTGAGGTTGTGCAGATAGCATCAGGTGTAGCTTTCGTATTAAGCACCAGCAGGGCATTATATGGACAATGAATTCAGCAAAACCTTGTGAATTTATAGGTTTGAAATAAAGGAAATAAAAAATTTCAAGTCCAGAAAGTCACTAACAGCCATAAACCAGTTAATATCTATCATCTGCATTCAGAAGAAGGAATGTGCTACCTTTGGCCTCAGGATATTTAATTGGAATTTGAATTGTTTCTTCTAAGTGATTGGAAAAAGACTATTGTGTGACTTGGATAGAGAAACATAATGGGAAGGTACTTAAGTCCCTCCACTACTGCAAAAAAAAGAGATGATAAATGAAGTGATTTTTAAATGAACATCCTTGGCTGCTCATAGATTCCTGAGTTACTGTGTTAGAAAGGACTAGGAGCAGAGCAGGTGGGTATGCCAAGTGCTTTTTAAAGGAATTAGGGAAGATATTTTAGGGGAAAGAGATACCTGGAATTTATTTACTGAAGGTCCAGTTTGTGCCAAGCACCGTGCTTGGTACTTGACGTGTAGTCCCTCGTCCGATTTTTGTAGTCGTCCATTGAGGGAAGCATTGGTGACAGCAAACATTCTGTAGTCTGTGCAGATAGAGACTGAGCACTGATTGCATGCTGGGAGCAGTGGTGAGCTTAACCAGGGACAATCCCTGCTTTCATATAGAGGTAGGCATTGTGCCAAGCATTTTACTTGGGTCATCTGAATTAATCCTCACCATAAGGCTATGAGGCAGGTATCATTGCTATTATTCCCGTTTTACAGGTCAGACCATGCAGCTGGTTAGTGGTGGAGCTGGGATTGGAACCCAGGCAATCCATCTCCAGAGCCCCTGCTCTTAATCACCATGTTATATTGCCCCCCAACACATGCACACAAACACACTTTATTATTTTTTTTAATTATTCTTTCTTTTAGATTGTTCACTTGCTAAATTGGTTAACAAGGCTTCTTTCATCATGAGGATCATAAAATTAGTTACCCACCCCCGTCCCCTGCCCAAAAGACTAAAGGACCTTGGGAAGTAATGATGAAGAAGTTACACAGGACAAGACAAATGCCTCCTTCATGGTACAGAAAGGGCGGGTCTCATGAAAAAATGTCACGGGAAGTTCAGGTTGTCAAGGGAGAGGAATATGTGGGCTTATTGCCCCTGCTACAAATGTTTCTGACCTGGCCTTGCCTGCAGGAGAAAAGGGAAGAAAGACTGACAAGGGAAGCTCAACCTTCACCAGCTTGATAAGAGCAGTGAGGAGTCCCGGGGCCCTTCATCCCTTGATCCCAGTCAGAGGGGATCACATCATCCCACTTCCCACAGACAGTTTCATTTCTGACCAGACCATTGTCTTCCAGGGAAGACTAGTATATCCCGAGGGGAGGAAATAAATGCTGTCTCCTCATTTTTGGCAATGGAAATATGCAAGACTGGGAAGCATGTAGGGAAATTCAATCTAATTCAGTAAATATTTGCATCACTACTATAGCTGGGCACTCTTCGTCAACATAGTAATATCAGGCTCTTAATCAATATAGTAGGTTCTTAGTAAATATAGGCTCTCAGTCAATATAGTAATTTATCTGCAAATGCTATCATTGCATAGACTTCACAGTTTCCGTGGCCAAATAAGTTTGCAAAATACCAGGTAAAACATTAAAAAAGGGCTTTTTGCTAGAGTACTCTTGAAGCCTTCAGGGTAACGTGCACCATGACTGTCCAAAAGAGGAATGTAACATTTTGTGCAAATGCAGTTGATGACAGGAGCTTTTTATAGATCATTTTGTGGCATTGCAGTTTGATGCAACATATTTGGGCATGAGGTCTTTATTAGGTCTCAGTAACAACATGAATGATGGATATTACCCTCATGAATAGAAGAGCCCCAAAAGTGATTCTTGGCTTTTAGGGATATCTGTTTACAAACTGTTCAGTTCCAAATACTAACCATTGTAATTACAGGAGTTTTTCTCAGGATGTATTGAGAAGGCTGGCTACCTCTCTGTGATTTTCAGACACAGAGGAGAGGAGTATTGGAGGCCTCTCAGAGTCTGTTTGTCTTAGAGTCAGTGAATGATTTCAGGGCTTTACGCTATTAAAAAAGCATCTCCAGATAAGGGGTCCTAAGACAGGAGAAATATTTGCACTGCTTTCCATTATTATAATCACAAGCTGGGGATGTGATTATAATATTCTACCTTAGCACAGAAAACAAAAGTTGGCAACAGCTTCTAGAGTACACAAAAGGGAAGTCTCCAGAATGACAGTCCAACGATAAGAGGAGTGAGCCCAGAATAGGGCCTTGTCCTAGTTTTAAACAGTGTACCAAGGGCAACAAGAAAATGGGCGCCAGTCTCAAAAGTGAGATTAAAAAAGCTGCCCTCAGGCATTGGTGAGTGTAACAGAAGACAAGGTCTTTGAAGGAGTCCTCAAAATCTCCCCAGGGGAGGTTAGAGGAGGTTGGGAAACAATGGTAGGCTGGAACTAGCTTGTAATCCTGAGAGCTGATTAATGAATTTGCAAGAATTCTGCAAGCCAGATATTAAACACAGCCATTATTAAAAATAAATTATATAACTATACAATTAAATAAAGCATATTTTAAAATACAGGTAATAAATACTCAAAAGTTGACATTTCCTAATTATTTTACAATTATCTATGCTCAAGCTTATTTACATCCATTATGTGTGTATGATAGAAATGTTATATAATGCTGTGTTACTGGCTCATCTTTCCCCAACTCCGGATTCAGTGACATTATGTTGGTAGCCCAGAATCAGGTATGGTGGAGATACTTACAACATGAAAATTGGCAAATGCTACAGATCAAAACTTTTCTTTTTCTTTCTGTTTTTTTTTTTTAATTAGACAGCCAGTTAAACACTCACTAACACTCTTTTTTATGTAAAGCTGGTTTCTTTTTAAACTTAAAAAATGTTTTTAATTGACAAATAAAATTGTAGTACTTATGGGGTACAATGTGATGTTTTGATGATAATATGTATATATTGTAGAATGGCTAAATCAAGCTAATTAACATGTATATTGCCTCACATAGCACTTTTTCATAGTGAGAACACTTAAAAATCTCTCTCAGTAATTTTCAAGTGTATGTCATTATTAACTACACAACGTGGCGTAAAATAGGTCTCTTGAACTTATTCTTCTCCCTAGCTGAAATTTTGTGTCCTTTGACCAGCATCTCCCCAGTACCATCCCCCACCACCAGCCCCTGATAACCAACATTCTCTTCTCTGCTTCTGTGAGTTTGACTTTTTAAGATTCCACATATAAGTGAGATCGGCAGTATTTGTCTTTCTGCACCAACACTTTTAATGGAAAATGACATTTACTGAATGCTGAGCCCTGAGATAACTACTTTCCATAATTAACTCCTTTCAATCTTATAGATTCCTAGGTGCTAGTATCTTAGGTTTACTCTAAAGGAAAGGATGGAGATGTGGTTTTCTTCTTTGTTAATCCTAATATTCTGCTTCTGCAGACCAAAGAGCTGTAGTAATTCACATGGGATGAACAGATATTCAAGGATACACTTTTTTTAGTGACCAGCACCTGCCATCTCTAAGTCCCAGTTAATAATAGATGCTGTTGGTGTCCTGTCCATATCCCTCAGGAGGAAATTACAATTCATCCATGGGCTGTTTACCCTTGAAAATGAATGGGCCCAGGAACAATCCATAATACAAAAGAAATATGCATTATGGATTGGAACCAAGCAGATCTGGGTGGCACAAGTAAGTTAAACCAAGCAGTGGCCCAGACCCATGTCACCTAGTTATGTTGCCCCAATGCCTCTCTCTCAGCTTACAGTTATGATCTTATCCAGGACTCCCTACAAACAACTAAGGAGAAAAAAATTCAAGCCTCATTCATAGATGGGTCAGATCAATAATATGCAAGCCAAACATTCCTTGTAGCTCCACTGCTTCCCTATTGCTCCACTCAGTGTGACCCTGGAAGACAGTGATGCGGGAGGGAGTGGCATCCCAATGCGCAGATTTTCAAGAAGTGCTCCTGGCTATCAACTTTGCATGGAATGCAAAGTGAATTAATTGAGTTTAGTTTCAGGCCCACGTCCTTTGTGTGATCTTTCAGGTCCCACCATAGGTAATTACAAGGCTTTGCCTGGCAAGCTTCACCCCTCACACCAAACTTAGCACACAGCCAGAGCTTTTCAGTTTCCTGGAGGGAGTTGCAGTCAAGGACTCATTCATCCCCTGCGGGCTATATGCATATGAATACTTACAGTCCTAGTGCAGGTGTCACCATTTGTAGGCCTCCTCATCAGGGGCCCTTAACTAAGGAACTTTTCTCCACTTGACTCAGTACTTTTTTATACCTAGCCCTTCTCCTTAGATGAGGAGATGTGATGGCAAACAGTAAGGGGATCTAGAATGTGTGATAAAGAGCTGACATATGTCAAATATGGACCCAGATCCAACTTCAGCATTAGGGACTACACTTTATCTACTGGCCCTTATGTGGTGGGTCTCTTTTCAGAAACTGTGATTGGCTAATACCTTTAAGAGTCTTTGACAGCACTGAAGTAAACTCTGAACACTGATCAAGCTGCAATAATGATGTAATTGTGTTTTAGGATGGGGTCCAGGATAATGAATGAGGATGGTCCCTGAAGGCCTTACTGTGGGTCTTGTGAAAGAGAGCTAGGTCTTCCTCTTTCATAGTGGGATTCAGTAGGCATCACTTAATTCTGAAAGCCCAAAGCTATTATATTGGCGTGTTAGGAGAGATTTGGATGCAAATAACCAAAGAATAAGCTGAAGCACTGAAGATTTTTCTGGAAGATATAAATGAGGGGTACCTGGGACACAACTGTTGTTGGTAGCAAAATTTGTTAAGATGCTTGTCTCCTTAAATTGTATGCACATTTAATTTTGAGTAAAATTTTTAAAAGGAATCAGCGATGGGATAGAGGGAACTTAATGTGGGGTGTGTGTGTAACTGAGCAGCTAAGGGCTTGAGTGTAGCAGACGCTGTCATACCCCACTTTTATCCCCTTGACACTCCATTCTTGTGAGTACAAAAGGCTCTTTACTAGAAACATCTGCAACTATGAACCTGAGGGCTTGCCTGGACACAAGGAGATGCCCAGCTCGTACATAGGTGTTCCACAGTGGGCAGGCCTATGAAAGCCTACCCCAAAGTCTGAGGAAGCTGAGAGGCTGAAGAAAGAGTCTGATAAATACAGTTTCTTAGAAAGAAACATTTAAAAGGCCTTACAAACAGAAGCCATGTTTGCGTCTCAGGCCACCGCAAGACAAGATGGTGGATCCCCGCACCATTACCCCCAAGACCAAAGGCTTATACACCACAGGGAGAAAATTGGTTCAGCACAGATTTGTAGGACAATTGAAGTATGATAACATCAAAGTTATTTGACCTAAGGGAAGGATTTATGGTAAGTACTTGCTCTTACACGAGGAACAATAGATAAACTGGAAATTTTAGAGGCCTTTCCAGAATGTTGGTCAATCAGAAGCCAAAGTGGCAGATTAGCTTCCAAGATGGAGTTGCTTCAGCCTTCACAATGGGTCAGACTGGAAGAGATAGGGAGATGCCCCAAAGTGGTAGAAAGGGATCTAGACAGGGCACTGACTTTATCCACTGATGTTACTCCTGGGAGATGATCCCCCAAAGCACCAAGAGGCAAAGGGGGAAGTGACAGTGGAAGGAGCATCCCCTGCTGTGGACAACAGGAGCACAGTCCTATGAGGGACCTCTGGGAGATGATGCACACAAGCCTCAGAGTTATGGAGATAACCCCCAGGACACTGTGACCATTGCTAGGACTTCACTTGGTGAACTGGAAAAGTTGCAGGCAGAAGGGATGCACTGGTGCTTGTGAGAGACTTAGGGGAGAAGGTGAGTATGAAGACCCAGGGATCGGTTGGTAGTTGCTGAGTGTTCTTTATGCATTAAGAGGAAAATGACAGGTTCCGCTCAGCCAGTTATCAATTTAAGTCCCAACCTGAAGGTCAAAATCTTCATGGCAGCATATAGAGGGACCTGCATCTCCTGTAGTTAGTGAATAGATCCAGGACTAGATTGTCAGCAAAACTTCAGAGAAGACTGAATCTACAGCCTTGGCAAGTCTCTTATACCAAAATCAAGGCCCTGATAAGGAAGAAGTGGATCATGAAATGTGGAATAAGTATAACTAGGTGGATTTGTTCAACTGCCCCCTTGTAGAAGTATCCACTGCCCCTTTACCAAAAGATAGCACCTTCCCCCTTCCCTGAAGACTATGCAGAGGTCTCAGCTGAGGTGGCTTTATGCCCTGCAAGATGATACTTGATTTCTTTAGATATGCTGTCATCTCCTCCCTTGGCTACTAGATTAATAACTCAGGTCAAGTCTCAGCATGGCCTGATTAGGAAAGTACTGGTCCTGATATGGAAGGAATGATCCATTCGGCTAAGAAAGAGCAATAAAAATAGGAGGACATGCATGGGAATATATCTTAAACTGGTGCTTGACCAAGGGAGATAGAATATGAGGCTGGCTGGCTAAGAGAGTAGATTTGTGGGGGCATATTCTCAGGGCATAAGATTTAATGCCTTAATATACTGCTGGGATGGTTACTAGATGCTCAGAAAAACTCTGTTCCACAACTTTATGTTTCGTGAGTGTGGAAGCCCTGGTTCTCAGGGAGGAGACATTTCCATCAGAACATGGGAAGAATCCCACTAACCCTAAAGCTGTTAATGCTGCCTGGTCATTTAGGGCTCTTCATGCTAATAGACCAGCAGGTAAAAAGAGTTACCATACCGGCAGAGGTAATTGACCCTGACCATCCTGAGGAGCTAGGGTTGCTGCTACATAAGAGGGGCAGAGAGGAGTCTGGTCAGAACTCCATGTTAACTATAAATGAGCAATTACAACAACTGCAGCCTAAGTCATAGAAACCAAGACCCCAGCTGAGCAGACTAAACCATCAGAAGCTACCTTCTAGAACCAATTGTAGGGGACACAGATGATAAATGCTCATTATGGCCTCTGGACTGCCACAGCAATGAGAATTGTAGTTCTCCCATAACCCTCCTCTTAGAAGTTTTTCCCCAGAAGTTGTTACAACCATCATTCATCTTGAAGAATCCGTGACAGGATACAAGCGGATCTGATGAATCTGAGCAACACAAGGGGTGGGCTGTAGCGGATGTCAGCATCTTCCCACATCTCCCCAAACCTGTCTTTATCATTTTTAGGTACACCTGTCATCAGTCTGTTTAACTTCCAAAGCTAGCACATAGAACTCTTTCTTGGAGAACTGCCCTCAGATTCCCATAGCACACAGAAAGACCCAGAGGAACCTGGAAATTTAACTCCCCTGGGTAGCCCTTAACCACTGTCTGACATCAACATGGGATGACAGACTCAGCTCCCTTACTTTGGGCTGGGGCGATTCCGAGGCATGACTTTCCCTCCAAAATTTTCTTGAAGGATCAGGTTAAATTTCCCCTCTGTGAGACCTTGCCTAAGACTGCTCTCCTGCTTGGTGTCCTCTTTCCCTGTCCTGCTTCTTCAACTGCCTTACTTGCTTCCTATAGGAGCACTTCCTTAATCAATCACTGGTTCTCACATCCTAGTTTTGGAATCAGCTTCTAGAGGAGCCCAATCTAAGACACTTGCCAATATATACTTAACAGCATCACTTCAATTATCAACCCATAAAAATGTCCTCTTAAATTAAGCTTCATCACTCAAGGAAGCATCACAGGTATTTTTCCAGGGGTAAACAGACTTTTAAAGAGCTAGTTGTTATTTCATATTTTACAGATGAGGAAACTGAAGATCAGAGAAGTTAAACTATCATGCCATGGTCACGTATAACTAGAAAGTAATGGTGTTTGTAGTCAAGCTACATTTTATTTTTCTTTAGAATGCATGCTTCTCAACTTCACCACATGGCCTAGAAAGGAGAACAGTATACTCTTCATGTCCTGAGAAGATAATGACCTAACTCTAGTAGAAATAGTAATGAAAAGGAAGCGGTGGATATAAGCATGTCTCAAAGAAGGGAAGCCATCTGATTAGCTGTGGAGTAAGAAGCAAGGGATTAAGAAAAGTCACCTATGATACTTTATCTTCCAGCCTGGGAGACTGGAAAGTTGAGAGAAGAAGCTTATGTATATGCACATGAGGGAAGAGCCAGAAAAGGGCACAGAGCCAGGTAGAGTAGAGGCATAATATGTCTGTATTTGATCTCATCTCTAGGTTTAGAAGCTTTTGGAAAAGAATAATTTTGCCCATTTATGTGCAAATTTCCAGCATCCATTCTTATACCAATCATGTCTGGTAATTACAGAGATGTGATTTGCATTAGGGCCAGATGCAGGGATCTATTCACACAAAGAAGACACCTGATAATTACAAGAGTTCAAATGCAGCCAATCAGTGAATACAGACTGGAGAAAGCAACAATTGCCAATGGAAAGCTTGCCAAAACAGACTAGTCTGGCTGAGAGAAGAAGAAAAAGGCTTTTATTTATAAAAAGTATAAAATAAATTGCACCCCCCCCTTTTTTTGTCTCTACCTTTCATAGAAAGATTGTCCTGAAACGCAGACTCCCTCTTTTAATGAGATTCTGGAAAGACAAAATAGCTGATTAGCCCCAGCATTTGAGAAGAAAGATTTGTCGAAATTATTTTTAGAAAATTAGCACCAAAGCCAAACAGTCTCCCTTTCTGCATTTTCATGATCTCTGCATTTATTTTCATGGCCTCTCCTTTACCTCCTGCCCATTACTCTACAAATCTCTAGGCTCCTTCTCTCACCTTCTAGTTTTCACAAACTGAAACCAGACTGCTCTTTCTAAATCCAAGACCTGGTGATGACACTTTTCCTTCCCCATTCTTCCTCGGAATCCTTCAATGGCAGCCCATCCCTACCTGAATAACCTAAACTCCTCCCTCCAGAGAGACCCAAGTCAGGCTTTTCATAGGTTATGAAAAATGACCAACAGGGCCAGGCATGGTGATTCACGCCTGTTATCCCAGCACTCTGGGAGGCCGAGGCAGGCGGATTACCTGAGGTTAGGAGTTCGAGGCCAGCCTGGCTAACGTGGTGAAACCCTGTTGTAAAAATACAAAAATTAGCCGTGCATGGTGGTGGGCGCCTGTAATCCCAGCTACTGGGGAGGCTAAGGCAGGAAAATTGCTTGGACTGGGGAGGCAGAGGTTGCAGTAAGCCAAGATCACGCGGCTGCACTTTAGCCTGGGTGACAGAGTGAGACTCTGTTTCAAAAAACAAATAGAAAAAAGAAAATGACCAACAGTCCTTTCTTTCATGGGCTTCTAGATTTTTTAATTCTGTGGGCTAGAAAGTTTAAAATTAAAGAAAAGTGATTTATAGATGCAACTGTCTATTACCACCCTTATCCCATAGAAGAAAACATTTTAACACCTAAAGAGTAGAAAAGGTAAAACTAAAATAAAAGTCCTTTAGGTTCCCCTAAAGCTTCTGTGTCTTAGAGGGAACACTGGCTGACGCTATTTGGTTGTAATACAGTTGTTTGAAATAGGTATTTGCTGTTTAAGGAACAGGGAACTATTTTTGTTGTTTGTTGCTGTTGTCTTCTCCCTGGGGCATTCTGAGTGCCTGGAAGCACTTGATTTGCTTGTGCAGTCCAGCCCTTAAATGCCTGGTCATTCTCAGTGTGATCCTGCATCCCAGCCCCTGTCGCCTGACCCGGCAATGAGTCAGCCAGCCCCAGAAGAGGGAGGGCAGAGAGAGACACACACCCAGCCTGTGCTGTTGCCGCTGCCCCCGAGGTGACTTGATGATAACTCCTGCAACTCCCCCAATAGAGGAGAAATGACTCTCTTTTCTTCAGGCCGTGAGACTTCTCCACACCCACTTCTCTCTCTTCTTGCCCAACCTGCTTAGAATACGGAGAAACTGGAACCATTAAAGTCTCTTCTTTGGCTCAGGATCCTTCCTTTTCTCTCCAATGGGTGGTCTCACGAGGAAGTCAGGCAGCAATAGAGATTGTTTGTGTGCAAGCCACAGTCTGTGTTTCTGTCTAAATATCTCTAGAGGAACAATTAGCTGCTCCGTACCTAGAACTACACAATGCGTTTGTTTTGTTTTGTTTTGTTTTGTTTTGTTTTGTTTTGTTTTGAGACGGAGTCTCGCTCTGTCTCCCAGGCTGGAGTGCAGTGGTGCGATCTCGGCTCACTGCAAGCTCCGCCTCCCGAGTTCACGCCATTCTCCTGCCTCAGCCTCCCAAGTAGTTGGGACTACAGGCGCCCGCCACCATGCCTGGCTAATTTTTTTTTTCTTTGTATTTTTAGTAGAGACAGGATTTCACTGTGTTAGCCAGGATGGTCTCTATCTCCTGACCTGCGATCCGCCCGCTTCGGCCTCTCTAAGTGCTGGGATTACAGGCTTGAGCCACCGCGCCCGGCCGTAGTGAGTTCTTAATTAGAATAATACTCATCGAATCTGAGTTGGATATTAAAAAAGTAAAGAGAGATGGGGGCTGCTGGATGATGAGTGAGTGAAGAGGTCAGGAAATGTGAGACATCTAAGGGATTGAAGAACAAGGATGTCAGGTGTATCCAGAGTAGAGAGCTGCCAGGATGGAAGGATGTGGCAGAAGGTGATTTGTCTGAATGTAAGTTTCCAAAGTGTTCCAGCTATTTATTGCTGCATTGCAAAGTATGCTGAAACTTGGCGACTTAAAGCAATACCCACTTTAACATATCTCATGCTTTTGTGGGTCATGAATTCAGGCAGGGCTCAGCAGGGCAATTCTTCTGAATGATGTAGCTAATCATTTATTTTCTTTTATGCACTATGTAAACTTACTACTCAGATTTAAGGAAAATAATATTCAAATTAATTTTTTAAGCACAGTTTTTGGGCTTATATTAATGGACTGTGACAACTAATTTATACCTTGTGGAATTTATCTCCATTTAATGAATTCTCTCGAAGACTGGGATGACTCAATTAACATTCTTAATATTCTTTAAAAATATGTTTTAGGCCATTATATAAAATTGTGTTATTTATGGATGCGGTGGCTCATGCCTGTGATCCTAGTGCTTTGGGAGGCCGAGGCAGGCAGATCACCTGAGGTCAGGAATTTGAGACCAGCCTGGCCAAAATGGTGAAACCCCGTCTCTACTAAAAATACAAAAATTAGCTGGGCATGGTGGTGGGCGCCTATAATCCTAGCTACTCGGGAGGCTGAGGCACAAGAATTGCTTGAACCCTGGAGGCAGAGGTTGCAGTGAGCCGAGATTGCACCACTGTACACCTGCCTGGGCGACAGAGTGAGACTTTGTGTAAAAAAAAAAAAAAAAAAAAAATTGTCTTGTTTCTTAGTATGTGTATGTCTTCAACTTCATTCTCTATACTACTTATATGACCTACCCAATAGGATACTGGTGTACTCTGCCTCTTGAAAAAATATGGGTATATGAAAACCTCACCACATCTAATTCTTTTAGACCTGAGGAAAAATTATGTATATAAATCTGTAAAGTAAACAAGTTCAGCCCAATAAATGGGTCTTAAATAGTACTGGCTGTGAAACTTAATTTTCCCATTTTTCAGATGAGTGAAAGTTCAGGGTCAGAGAAGAGATGATTTGCCCATGATCATACAGCTAAGAAGTGATGGAGCTAATATCCAAATATATGGCCTCCTACTCTAGGCTTAGTGCTGTTGAGAGAAAAGACACAGAAATGGGAAAGGGCTTGTAATCCAGATGTGGTCAATAAACATGAAATCATTCAGGAAATAAAGTCACAGAGTACAAAGTATATTTAATGACATTCTTGGTATTAGCAAGAGATGCCTTTCAGGGTCTTCTTTAAAGACTTAAAATATGACATTATGTAGAGAAAATAATATACACTTGATTATTTTAAAGAAAAATTTATACTAGATTGTGTTATAGAACATCTACATTTATGGAAGGGCTACATTACAGCCCAAAATTATAACCTCCAGAGAGGACACGTTCAATTTTAGTTTGCATAATCTCTTCTATTTGTCTATTCTATACATTTGCTAGGGCTGCTGTAACCAGAAACGAGTACCACAAACTGAGTAGCTTAAACAACAAATTTATAGTGTCACAGTTCTCGAGGTTACAAGTCCTAGATTAATATATTGGCAGGATTGGCTCCTCCTGAGGGGCATGAGGGAGAATCTGTTCCATGCCTTTTTCCTAGCTTCTGGTGGTTTGCTGGCAATCTTTGATGTTCCATGGCTTCTGCTGTACCTCCCTGATCTCTCCCTTCATCTCCACATAGTATTTTTTCTGTGTGTCTCTGTGTCCAATTCTCCTCCTTTTCATAAAAACACCAGTCATGTTGTGTTGGGGTTTCATCCTACTCCAGTATGACCTCTTCTTAACTAATTATATCTGCAACAACTCTATCTCCAAACGTGGTCACATTTTGAGGTTCTGGGGATTAACACTTCAACATGTGAAATTTGGGGGCATACAGTTCAACCCATAACACCTCTGAAAATATGTTCTAAAAAGAATACTGATCATAGGACAAAGAAAGGTTAACATCATTTTTTTTTTTTTCTTTTTTGGAGCAATAGGTCTCGCTATGTTACCCAGGCTAGTCTCAAACTCCTGGGCTCAAGTGATCCCCCTACCTTGACCTCCCAAAGTGCTGAGATTATAGGCACAAACCACCACACCTGGCCTAAAGTCAATTTTTAAACAAACTTAGTTTCATTAAATCTAATGCTTTTTTTATAAAGCCTACAATATCTGTACTCTACCAATTCAATTACCTAGGAAGAGCATTAGTCACATTAAAAACTAACAATCTTTTGAATATAGGAGGACTCAGTGGAGAAGCTATATGATAAAGAAAATTCCATTCATGTCATTAGAAAATGCTAAGTTGACTTTTTGGCACTTAAGTGCTTCCTGAACTAAATAAAGTGTTTTATTCCCTCATTCATCAAGCACCTGTTATGGGCCACACAGTGTGCCAGCTTTGGGGCACACAGTAGTAAACATGTTTCTCCAGCTAGCACTGACTTCCCCTTTATTGCCAGGGACAGGGGAAATTCCATTGATGCCATCTTCCTCCTGGAACAACTTCTTCCGAGTTTCACCAGGGCTGAGCTATGTCATTCAAAGCTCTAAGGTGGTTTGCAGCAACATGGAGCATGCTTGCTTCAAGTCTCTCTCCTTTTCTATGTGTCACCCTGTTAGAGAGATAACAAAGTAAAGGGCTCCCAAGGCCTGCCAGCTCTTTACTCATATCTCTTTTTTTCGCTTCTCAGCTTTCACTTGAGAATAAGCTAAGGAAGAAAAACAGCTCTACACAGGACCACTTCCCTTTGGCTGACTAAAGCTTTGATGCTAAGCTTTGCTTGCCTGACCATCTTTTCCCTGAGGATAAATCTTCCCAATTTCCTTCCTCCTCCTATGCAATTAGACTCCTGGTGAATCTATCTCCAGTTCACCAGGTGTGTTCAGTAGGGAGTCACAAGTTGGACTTAATTTGTGAGCATTCATTACCCTAAAAAGATTATCAAGTCTTTTTAAAGTCATGCTTTTTTTTCTTGAAGTAATATGTCATCTTGACTATGGATATTCTCTAATGTTGAGAAGCTGTCATCAACAATAATTACATTTGAGAGTGGGGAAGTTAGGTGATCCTATCAGGAAGAGAAATGCTGCCTATTTGATTTGTCTTTATTTCTTATTACTTGAGTTATTGTATAACTAATAATGGATAATATTGCCTATACTTAAGTCCTCTTCTAACTAATTAAATATTAGATTATTTTCTCCACTTGTATGTAAAGTAAAAGATGAGTTTCATGATAAAAATATTTTAAACAAAAAAAGTTTTATATTTTATGAAAAAAATAGGTTTTATGGCCAAAAACCATGAAAAAATGCTCAACATCACTAATCATCAGGGAACTGCAAATTAAAGCCACATGAGATACCACCTTATCCCAGCCAGAATGGCCATTACTAAAAATTTAAAAAAAAAATAGATGTTGCCATGGATATTGGTGAAAAGGGAATGCTTATACACTGTTGGTGGGAATAAAAATTAGTACAACACCTATAGAAAGCAGTATGGAGATTTCTTAAAGAATTAAAAGTAGATCTACCCTTTGCAATCCCACTACTGGGTATCTACCCAAAGGAAAAAAAGTAATTATATCAAAAAGACACCTACACACATATGTTTATCCCAGCACAATTCACAATTGCAAAGATATGGAACCAACTTAAGTGCCCATTAACTGATGGGTGGAGAAAGAAAATATGGTATATATACACCATGGAATACTATTCAGCCATAAAAAAGAAAAAAATAATGTCTTTTGCAGCAAATTGGATGGAGTTGGAGGCCATTCTTTTAAGTGAAATAACTCAGGGATGGAAAAACAAATACCACATGCTCTCACTTATAAGTGCGAGCTAAGCTATGGGTACACAAAAGCATACAGAGTGGTATAATGGACATTGGAGACTCAGAAGGGGGGAAGAAGGGAGCTGGGTGAGGGATAAAAAACTATATGTTGGGTTCAATATACACTACCGGGTGATGGGCAGACTAAAATCTCAGCTTTCACCACTATACAATTCATCAATGCAACCAAGAACCACTTGGACCCCAAAAGCCATATGAAATATAAATACATATAAGACCTATATTTTATATATTATATAATTATATATTTTATAAAATATATAATATATTTATATAACTAATATATAATATGTTATTATTAATTATTTATATAATATAGGCCTTAAAATCTAAAAATGACCAGTTTTAGAGAACTTTTCTAAAGAATTATAGTTAAGATAATCCATTAACCAGAACTTGTAGACTTGTAGGGCATTTGGCATCAGAACTTGGTTTTTCTGCCTAGTTGTTTTTTTTGTTTTGTTTTTTGTTTTTTGTTTTTTTTTTTGGAGACAGAGACTCACTTCTTCACCCAGGCTGGAGTGCAGTGGTGTGATCTCGGCTCGCTGCAAACTCTGCCTCCCATGTTCAAGCACGTGGGCCACCACGCCTGGCTAACTTTTGTATTTTTAGTAGAGATGAGGTTTCACCATGTTGCCCAGGGTGGTCTTGAACTCCTGACCTCAAGTGATCTGCCCACCTCAGCCTCCCAAAGTGCTGGGATTACAGGTGTGAGCCACTGCGTCCAGCCTCTGACTAGTTTTTAAAAGATATTTTTATTGCATTTATCCAAGAAAACACATCATATTGCAATGCTTTGAGAAACAAAAAGATCTGTTCTCATTTTACTCTTAACAATATTAATGGTTGCAGGGAGCCGAAGGCTCGTGGGACGTGAGCCACTCAGCATTCCACTGGAGGCTATATGATCAAACAGCAAACTGTTTATTATGAATGCAGGATGTGGGCAAACTCACGACTGCTCCTGCCCACAGAAGGTTTGCTGGAGGCAATCACTCCCTGGCACCGAGGTTATCTACTGCGACATCTAGAGAATGCAGTGTTGCATGCCTACTCTGGACCGGGCAGCTGACCCCTTCTTCCATCCTCCTTCTCACTATCTCTCTTGCCTAATAAATACAGAGGGCTGTGTAAAGCTCAGGGCCCTTGCCCACTAGAGGCAAGGTGCCCCCGACCCCTTCTTCCAAATATACTCTTTTGTCTTTGTCTTTTATTCCCGCATTCGTCCCCCTTTGTTCAGTCCCCTAGGTCCGTGCGGGTTACAAGTGGCACCCTGACTAGCCACAGAATCGAGTGCTCTACAAATGGTTCTTTAAAATCCAGAGCCGAGTAATTAACATTCTTTTATGAAAACACACTTATTAACTTTCAAAGAAAATCTTGTAATGGTTTATTTAAAAAATAACTAAAAACCATTATAGTACCTGAGATAAAGCAGTCTTCAGACTGAGTCACAAAGCTGTTGGGAACCCCCACCCCCACCAACATTCTGATGCCCATCTGACAGTGATGTCATAATGTCCTAGTTAGACACAGGACCTGCTGGGCCACAGAAAGGAGGCTCTGGGTAGACGCACTAGATTACTGGATAAATCACTTCAATTTCCCAATGAATTTTATATTGTTTATTTTTATACCTGGAGTTTTTTCCTTAAAAAGTAGCACTTTGAAGCCTACTATTGAAGGTGAGAGAGCATTTAAAACTTTTATAAAAATAGTAGGTAAGAAGGATGACCCATAATCATGAAAAATTGGTATGTGGCAGTTTTCTACAGGAGGATATAAACTTTATTGTTGGAGCTATGGTATGTTTTAGATTTTAAATCTCTGCCTCTAATCCTTTGTGAAAAAAATGCAGTTAGAAAAAGAAAGCAGTAAAAGAAATCAACATATTTCTGATCTATGGTGTGTGATACTTTTTTTTAGCATTGCCTAATGTGCTACCTTTAAATGAAGATGTTAATAAGCAGGAAGAAAAGAATGAAGATCATACTCCCAATTATGCTCCTGCTAATGAGAAAAATGGCAATTATTATAAAGATATAAAACAATGTAAGTCTTTAAAGTGAATAGAAATGTATATGCAAAAGTTGATTATCCTGGTTTCACTTAAGTGTCCTTTTTAAATTTCCATCATTTCCCCCTGTATTTGTTGGGTATTTTATTTCTACTTCTGTGACCTGCCTGTTCATACCCTTGCCCATTTTTCCATTAGGTTGTATTTTCATTTCTTTTTAAGGGCTCTTTTTATGTAGAATATATTAATCCTTTTTACGGTAAAAGTAATAAATGTTTTCTGCCAAGATGCTGCTTATCTTTAAGGCTTATTTTATTTTATTGTATCGTATTCAGTTTTTGAGACAGAGTCTTGCTCTGTCACCCAGGCTGGAGTGCAGTGGCACGACCATGGCTCACTGCAGCCAGCCTTGACCTCCCAGGGTTCAAGCAGTCCTACCACCTCAGCCTTCCGAGTAGCTGGAACTATAGGCACATGCCATCACACCAAGCTAATTTTTGTATTTTTTTTGTAGAAACGGTGTTTCATCATGTTGCCCAGGCTGGTCTCCAACTCCTGGGCTCAAGCGATTCACCCATCTCACCCTCCCAAAGTGCTAGGATTACAGGTGCGAGCCACCACACCTGGCCAAGCCTGTTTAAGTATCTTTAATAACTGAGAAGATTTCAAGTTTTATAATATCAGTTCTGTTTATTTATTTCTTTATAATCTCTGCATTTTGTGTCTTGCCTAAGCAGGCTTTATCCAGTCCAAAATATTGTTTTCTTGAATTTTAAAAGTAATTTTATCGTTGTTTTTTTTTTTTTTTTTTTTTTTGAGACGGAGTCTCGCGCTGTCGCCCAGGCTGGAGTGCAGTGGCGCAATCTCTGCTCGCTCCAAGTTCCGCCTCCCGGGTTCACACCATTCTCCTGCCTCAGCCTCCTGAGTAGCTGGGACTACAGGCGCCCGCCACCACGCCCGGCTAATTTTTTGTATTTTTAGTAGAGACGGGTTTCACAGTGTTAGCCAGGATGGTCTCGATCTCCTGACCTCGTGATCCGCCCGCCTCGGCCTCCCAAAGTGCTGGGATTACAGGCGTGAGCCACTGCACCCGGCCTATGTTTTTGTTTTTAACTTGAGCTTTAAATCCAATTATTTTTGTGTATGGCATAAAGTAGGGATAAAACATTATGTTTTTCAAGGATGATAGCCAAGTGTCTAACACCAAGTCCCTACTGATGTGAAACTTATATTTAATTAACCAAACTCTAAGATGAAATTAGGCCAATTGTTATACTTGTTTTTTTAAACTGTCTGTCCCTAGAAAGATACCAGTGTTTCAACTTTTATACTTTCATAACTCATGGCATGAGTGTTGGGTTGTGACTTTGTTTTATTTTTCCATAGCTCTGTCTCAGGAATTGCTCAAAAACGATGAAATATTAATGGTACCGTTTTTATGTGTGTCGTCCATAATTTATCTGTTATCTTGTGGGAGAACATTTAGTCTATGTGCAGTTTTTCCCATGTACATTCTTCTCATATACACACTGGGGTGAATTTCTTTGTTCTCACAAAGAGAGAAATGAATACATATGTAAATATTAAATACACATACATTCGTGTGTGTATAGAATTTTGTATCATCTTATGAAATTTTGGAGAGAGGAGACACATGTGCATGTCCAGTCTGCCGTCTTGATCCAATTCACTTTGATCCTTTGGCGGGGGGAATATATACATTAGTTTTGAATTGCAGCCAACTCCACTAATGAGTCTTAAGAGCAGCATTCTTTATGTGCATGTGTAAATTTGAGTATATGTGAGGGACCTTAATTGTTATCAAATGATATGCTTTTTAAGCTGAAGTGTTCATTCCATAGTCTAACAGAAGGTTCAAGGGCAGGTAAATGCTTCTTACCCGGTTTTTTGATAATGTCAATACAAACAGTGATAATGTTGCACATCTACAAATCTACTTCAGCACCTGTTATGTGCTTACATATTTTTTTCCACAAATTTCTCCAAAAATTGCTTCTTGGAAAGGGTCATTTGGCATAAAGATACTAGTTTGGCTTTTTTCAATGAGTTTTAGATTTGACCCTTGCCCCACTTTCTTATTTTGTAGATGAAAAAAAAATGACTATAACTTTTTTAATTTTTTTTTAATTAGTGCATGTTTTAAGAAAAAAACTCAGAGGAAGAAAAAGGTAAAGGAAAAAAAGTGACTTAGCTAGTTGCTGAAGACTTTCGCTTTTGTTTTTAGATGTGTTCACAACACAAAATCCAAATGGCACTGAGTCTGAAATATCTGTGAGAGCCACAACTGACCTGAATTTTGCTCTAAAAAACGGTAAGAAGTGAAAGGCACCATTGCACATGTAAAAGCCATTAAAGCAGGATTTCAAAACAGCAATAAGAGACTGTTGGGGAGAAAAGAAGTCTTCGTTCCTAAATAAGACTAACATTTTCCCTCTAAAGTAGATTCTGTGACTGGGATCCAGCTTAGTTCTTGGCCATCCTCTCTGCTTTTCTCACACTTCCTCCCACACAAATACACCTGAGACTCCACATCCATTACACTGATAATTTCAGAAGCTGGGGAGGTTCTTGCATTTCTAAACCTCATACATATGGTTTATGTGGAAAGAAAAATTAAATGATAACTACATTTAGGATTCTAGGAAAATTTACATCTTTCTTAAACCCACGTTTTTTTGCCTTTCTGATTTTTGTCTTCAGCTTTAAATGGGGAAGAGAGAATGTTTCTAGCTATGGCAATGTCAATATTGAGAAATGTGAGACTCAGGAATGCCTAATTATTAACAAAGCTACTTGATAATAATGGAATATTTTGAGCAATTTCAAACCTTGGGATTTAAATGAGACAGTAACATTCCAAGGGCTTATATTAATTCAGTAAATCACTTACGGGAATCTTGCTTATCCACAACAAACAACATCTTGAGTTGTCTGGGACAAGACATGAAGAGGCAGCTCTTAAGTGTACCAGCTACCTCAAATTCCCTTAGGATATGAGTTATTGAGTACAGACTGCAGGACCCAAGGAAGAGACTGCGAAACCCTCACTTTTATTTCCACAATTCAGGCCCCCAGAGGATTGTCAGGGAAAGTGGGATTGGAATAAGACATTCCTGCCATTTTAAACGGGGCTCTGACAGAAGGAGACCTGCTGGCATGGTAGGGACGTTCTAGAGGAGCAAGCCCCCAGGAAGATGGAGATCTGCGGATAACTTTGACTAAGGGTTGCTTGCTTAAGTATAGTCCCTAAAACTCTGAAGGCAAGGGGGAAAAACTGAGGCAATCTAGATGCTTTTCTCCAGAGGATAAGGGTTGCAAAGCAGAATTTAAGGATGACTTACTCACTTTTCGAGTTCTGCTTGAATCACTATCAACTCCAGTAACTGATTCCCTTTCCCAACTTTCCTTGGCAGCAAGACACTTGTCATGGGTTTGTGGGCTTGGTGTGAATTTTTTCTGCCCCTCTGTAGAAGTCCTCCTATAGAGGGTGCCCTGTACTCCGTATGGAACTTTATTGACTCCTGTATTAAGCAGTTAATTGAAATGGCCATCAACTTGAAGAAAGGGTCTTCCAGTCACAGTTGTTACCAAACACTCCCTTAGTGACATTCCTCTAGAGGGACCCATTACAGACTGAGATATATACTAAATTAGACCTGAAAACCCTTGATTTGTAGTCCAAAATCTTTATATCCAAATGTCTGTTTCCAATTTACAAACACACTTAATACTCAGCCTCCCTTTCTTGCGTCGTTACACTGAACAGCAGCCAAGCTGCTCTGGACAAAGAGGATCATTTCACCGCCTGTGCAGGGAACCATCTGGAGCCAATTATCTTCTCCAAGAGATCTTCTTTACCTCTGAAGAAAGCCCGGGGCCGCATGTTCCTTTGCCTCTCTTTCACAAATTATAGTCATGTTAATCCCACCTCAGACACCCCATGATCACAAAAACTTTATTCTTCAATACCTTCTTCTTTCTCCTTTATTTCTGGAAAATGTTAATGTCTTTCTCTTCCGTTTCTTCTCTCTCCTTTTCTTTGTTCCATAATATCCATTTAATAGATATTAAAAAATATCTATTCTCAGATGTTTCGTCAGTATTTTTACATGCTGATAATTCTTTTTCCCTTTTCCTAGATAAAACTGTCAATGCAACTACATATGAAAAATCCACCATTGAAGAAGAAACAACTACTAGCGAACCCTCTCATAAAAATATTCAAAGTATTTAAATTACTACACTGTATTCATACCTGGAGAATATCATTATGTGACTTAAAAATTTAAGTTTCACTACTCTGAGCATTACATAAAGCCATAGCATGCTTAAAGAATTTATACTGCTACCTTTTAAAGTCACTAAAATCTTTTAAATGGTGAATGTCTAACAGTCAGTCTTCAGGTATACCTGACAAAGGATGAGAAATGAGCTTTTGTAGAAATAGAACTTTATTTTAATAAAAATGTGTTACATTTGTGTCTATATTAAATACGTACTTACAAATTAGTATATATTTATAAATATATGTCGAATGTATTTGAAATATAATTTATTTTGCTAATAATGGAAAATATTCTGCCTGCTTGAGGAATAAACTTATCTCTGGTTAGGGTCAATTATTAGTGTTTCCTATGATTATTTGAGGTTGGGAGTGGGAGGCTGCAAAATCAAAATTACCATTTTACTTCCCTGTCAAGAATATTGTTCCTTATAAAATATGTGTGGAGCCATAACAACCCAGGATGGCTCTCCTCTAAGGTCTTGAATAAGCGGCCTAATTGAAGAGAATGGATACTTACGTGTCGTTACATGAAACCCTATTTTCTCCAGTTTATGCAATCCAAGTATGTTTCTAATGTAATTATTCTGAATTAGTTTGCATTTTTAACACTACTGAAAAAAATCTTTTTTGATGTGTTTTAAAATGAAAACCTGATCATCCTGGTATTCCCCTTCTTAAACGTCTTTAGTAACTTACTACTAAGTTTGAGGTCAAGTTTTAACTCCTTAACCAAGCATTCAATTCCGAAACAATCTGGCCACTGTGAAAATTTTCCACTCTCAACTCTGGTTACGTTCTGCATCCACACCCTTCACTCAAGACTTACCTGAAGCTCCCAGAGCTTACTGAGCCTGCTTACGATTGTGCGTTTGCTCACGGCTGGAATGAGCTCGCTCTCACCTTGTTTGCCTGGTGAACTATTGCTAGTTCTCTAAGCTTATATTGGAACATCATCTCCCTTTTGAAGGGTTTCTGGCCTTAAGAAGTTAAATTAAACCCTGTGCATACCACCTGTGCATTTCCATTAACGCCTTCATTAATCTGCTACATAAGCAGCAATGATTCTTGTCTGCAGCCAAAATTAAGGTGGGTTCCTTGACTGTAATGTCTGAGCCTTGTTTACTTCTATAAGTTAGTGCCAACCACAGGTCTGACACATTATAGGAGCTCAAAGTTTAACTGCTAAATGACTAACAAACGAATGTTCCTCAAACTAAATTATTTTGTTATCCTGTTGTTTTCTTGTTGTTCTTGTTGTGTTTTGTTTTGTTTTAACAGGATCAACCCCAAACGTGCCTGCATTTTGGACAATGTTAGCTAAAGGTAAAGTCATACAGCTAGGTAGCTTGGGAAACATTTTGGTTTTCTAAAATCTTACTTAGAGCTAAGATCAGTCTAAATACCTCTAATACTGAGACAATAAGTCAACATTTTGTTGCCACATGTAATAGCAAACTTCAAAACAAACCTAGAAAGGTGATAAAGTGTCACACATTTTCTGATTACTCACTCTTTACAAAAGTTTTATTCTCTTACAAATGTTAAATGTTATTCAATTTATTTATGGTTAAAATTTTTCAATAAGATTCTTGCTCAATATCATTCATCTTTGTATTTGGAGCAGTGCATGCAAAAGCACACAGATGCATATATAAATGCAAAGTGTATACCAAAATATATGCATGCATAAAAGTGTGTCTCATAAATATGTAAGCATGCATGTATAGCATGATGTACATAGTATTTCTATGCGTGTGTGTATAAATGCATGTGCATATATGGATGTACACATGTATAAAGGTAATGCATGTATCACACAGAAATATATGCATTGTATATGTGAAATATATACCATATTCAGTTGATCATTATTTGCATATTCTGTGTTTGCATTCTGTATCACCTACTCATTAATATTTCTTTGTCACCCCAAAATCAGTAGTTGCAACACCTTCACAGTCATTTATGGACATTGGCAGAGCTTTGAAAATTTTTGATTGTCTGACACACACATTCCCAGCTGAAGTAGAACAAGGCAATATTCTGCCTTCTTTATTCAGCTCTCGTTCTGTAAATAAGTGTCATTTTTGCAGCCCACTTAATGCCACGTTTTTTGCATTTTTTGTGCTTTTTTGTTGATGATTTTGCTGTTTAAAATGGCCCCCAAATGTAGTGTTAAATTGCTGGTTATTGTTCCTAAGTGCAAGAAGGCTGTGATGTTCCTTATGGAGATAATATGTGTTAGAGAAGCTTCATTCAGGCAAGTGTTATAGTGCTGTTTTCTATGAGTTCAGTGTTAATGAATCAACAATATGTATTAAGTGAAGTATCTTTTAACAGAAACACACATAAAACAAGGTTATTTATTTATCAGTTGATGAAAATGCTGTGACCAGACTTGCAGGAATCTAACCCTGTATTTACCCTGGGAGCAACAGTTCAGTATTCGTTAATACAGTGTTTATAAGACTTTATAGAATATAACTGCCACGAATAATGAGAACAGACTGTACACACACTGGGTACTATAATTATACATACACATACATACACAGGCAATAATTTTAGTAAGTGAACGTTGTTTACCATAACCCCAATTTGTTTTAACAGCTATAAATGGAACAGCAGTGGTCATGGATGATAAAGATCAATTATTTCACCCAATTCCAGGTAAGAACAAAATATTTCAATTGACTGGGTGCAGTGGCTAATGCCTATAATCCCAGCACTTTGGGAGGCTGAGGCAGGTGGATCGCTTGAGTCCAGGAGTTCGAGACCAGCCTGGGCAACATGACAAAAACCTTTTCTCTACAAAAAATACAAAAATTAGGTGGGCACGGTGGCATGTCATTGTACTCCAGCCTGAGCGACAGAGTGAGACCCTGTCTCAACAAATGAACCAAAGTACTTCAACTAATAGACACATAAATACTCTTACACATCTTAGTGTCTTTATGATGATAATATTTTTCCTAGTGAAGTCTGGCGTATGAAAGGTGACTAACATCTCAGAGAGGACATTCACTGTTCAGGAGAGTTATAGTTCCCAAGCATTCTTTTTTAGTTATACCTCCCACATGACCATTACCACCTTCCTGTTTTGTAACATTTATTCCTGAAACCAAATGGAGGAGGTGAGTGAATAATATGTAGAATGCAGTCTTTTTTCAAAATAGACTTTATTTTTAGAGCAGTTTTGGGTTTAAAGAAAAATTTGGCAGAACGTACAGAATTTCCATATTTCACCCTCCTCAGTTTCCCCTATGTCTTGCATGATGTGGTACCTTTGTTACAATTTATGAACCAATAATAGTGATTCATTATTAATTGAAGTCCATAATTTACATCAGGATTCACTCTGTATTATACAGGTCTTTGGGTTTTGACAAATGCATAATATCACGTGTCTACCATCCCAGTATCATACGAAAGTTTCACTGCCCTAAAATCTCCTCTGCCCCATCAATTCATCCCTTTGTTCCTCTCTCCTCCTGAACCCCTGAAAACCACTGATCTTTTTACTATCGCTATAGTTTTGCCTTTTCTAGAATGTCATATAGTTGGAGTCATACAGTATGTAACCTTTTCAGACTAGCTTCTTTCACTCAGCAATATGCATTTAAGATTCCTCCATGTTTTCTTGTGGCTTGAGAGCTCATTTATTTTTATTACTGATATTCCATTGTATGAATGCACCCTAGTTCATTCTTCTACTGAATGACATCTTGGTTGCCTCCAATTTTTGGCAATTATGAAAAAAGCTATTGTAAACACTTGTGTGCAGGGTTTTGTGTGTACATAAGTTTTCGACTCATTTTGGTAAATACCTATGAATATGATTTCTGGATCATATGGTAAGAGTATGTTCATGTGCAGTGGGTGGCTTGCCTGTAATCCTAGCACTTTGGGAGGGCAAGGTGGGAAGATGAGAGTGGTTATCTTTGTAAGAAACTACCAAACTATCTTCCAAAGTATTTTTGGAATTCTCACCAGCAATCAATGTGAGCTCCTGTTGCTGGATAGAGTTTTCCTTAATGGCTTAATTATACTAATAGAGGTAAAACTCCTAATTTGAATGGAAAATTTCATGAAAGAACCACATTAATTTCCCCAAAAAAAACCTCTGTCCTACAAATAAATGGTTGAAAAATAGCATGATGATATATCTAAGACCTGTCCCCTCATTTGTGCACTGGATTGATAAGTGTGGCCATTTGCCTTGTGGCGCTTCAAGAAAATTGAGTCATTTGTCTGGGTACTGTAATCCCAGCACTTTGGGAGGCTGAGGCAGGCAGATCACCTGAGGTCAGGAGTTCGAGACAAGCCTGGCCAACATGGTGAAACCCCGTCTCTGTTAAAAATACCAAAAAATTAGCCAGGCGTGGTGTTGGGTACCTGTAATCCCAGCTACTCAGGAGGCTGAGGCAAGAGAATCACTTGAACCCGGGAGGCAGAGGTTGCAGTGAGCTAAGATTGTGCCACTGCACACTGCACTCTAGCCTGGGTGACAGAGCAAGACTCCATCTCAAAAAAAGAAAAGAAAAGAAAATTGAGTGATCCTTCTTTGTTTAGAAAAGTTATAAACAGGAATGACAAATGCTGGCTCATTTTATAAATACTGTGTCATTTCTCCTATTTAATATTTAAGTGATTAAATTCAGCTTGACTGATTTTATTGTTTATTGAGCACATACTACGTGTTAGGTGTTGTAGATACATTATTATGTTAGTCTTCACAGCAACTCCATGAAGTTGGTATTATCTTCATTTTACAGTTGAGAAAACTGAGGCTTAGAGAGAAAAGCTGCCCACGCTTGTAACTAGCTTTTCTGTCACTTCCAGTGATTACGAATTCCAAACCCTTCTCTAGTTCTGACCATCACCTAGATAAAGAAGATGTACTATGAGCACACATCTTTATTAAAAACCCTTTCAGGAGACAGAAAAGCAATTCAGGAGCACAGCCCATTTTAACGTAATTTGTTTAATTATTCCCAAAATAACAGGCCTCGAAGCATTAAAAGAGTCATTGACAACTGTATACATTTTCATAGTCTAAGGTCACACACTGACAATTATAATTTTTTAAAATCAGAGAATATAGACATGGAAGCTTGTCATTGCTTATCACCTAAATATCATTACCTAGAAAATAGTGAAAACCCTTGGAACTTTTGAGTTGGCAGATGCTGGGGGTTGGCTGGGGTAAAGGGGAGAAATAACATGTTGCCATCATTAAATGTTTATTAAGTCAGATATATATTCAGGAAAATGTAAAATTTGGCAGTAAACCTATCATTTCATTAATAGATTTAGTTAAAAAAAGACTCTTGATATCTCTGGATCCAGACATAATCTTATATTTAACTTATTTTAGAAAGTTAAATAAATTGATTCTATTTATTTTTGTAATGTGAAGTACACTAGGTTTAGTCTTTTCAGTAATAAAATGGCAAAACTAGCCCTTAAGCTTCATGGAGGAAGCATTCACTATACCACCCTTTTAGCTTAAAAGAAAAATCAGTGTATGACGCAGCACTAGAGCATGCACCTTTACCTCCTGAAAGACTGGTCCCTTGTGTGTAAGTCAATCGTTTTGAATAATAATCTCTTCAGACATGGTAGATTAAATCAGAGAAAGTCTGCTATATATGCATTTTGACATCTGGTAACCCGGATTTGCAACCAGCTTTTGCCACTTACTATGTGCTATGCGCAAACACAGAAACTTCTGTGATACTGTAAAATGGAGCTAAGGACAGCTCCTTCGGGGTTGCTGTGAAGGTTAAAGAGGCAAGTTAATAGTGCTTGGCTTTAGAGAGTAGCTTTCTCCTTTGCATTGCCTGCGGGATGGGAGACCGGCCAGTTAATACTCTGGATGGTGGAGGGCTTGCTTCTCTGTATTTGCTTTGCAATCTTTACTCCTTCAGGAGAACACACTGAACACCCTATTTTCCACTGCATTCTCTTTCTTTTCAGAGTCTGATGTGAATGCTACACAGGGAGAAAATCAGCCAGATCTAGAGGATCTGAAGATCAAAATAATGCTGGGAATCTCGTTGATGACCCTCCTCCTCTTTGTGGTCCTCTTGGCATTCTGTAGTGCTACACTGTACAAACTGAGGCATCTGAGGTAAGTCTGCAGACCTCTGCAGTCTTTACAACAAATGCATGACATCGCATTCTCTCCCTCCTCTCTTTAGTAGATTCTTAGGAATATGTGACCTCTGAATTCATCCATACGACATTCAAATTGATTCCATTTACCCTATTCGGATGGAGCACGGGACTGTCTTTAAGGGAATATCCTACTTGAACTTTTTCCCAGTAGTCATCCAGAGATAGAAATAACCTTAGTCAATTGGAAAGGATAAAGCGAATCTAGATATGCTCTTTTTTATATAGCCCTGGAGCAAATATATTTTGTTCTGAATAGCATATCTGCTTAGCATCTAATGTTTTTTATTCAAGCAAGCCTTGAGACTTTGAAAAAACAGCCAATCTCTATCACCTTTACATTGTGAGACCTGTCCAGAGGCTCTTTCTTATAAAAATATTAAATTCAACTCAAGCCTGATTGAAGGAATTATTTAACATTTTTCAGGCAGTGTAACAGATTACCTTCAAAAATCCTAACAGAATTGCTTAATGTTCATAATGATCATTAATTCCATTCTTTTCATTGTGCTGTTTTTGACGAATGGTGTATTTCTGTGGTCCATTAAAACTGTGATCCTAGGTATTTATTCCCCATCATTCAATTTCATTGTACATGTTTCTTATTAAATTTTATTAAGGCAACTTCTACTGTTTTAGTAAATTGGTTTATAAATTCTAGTAGAGATTTGAAACATGCTTCAAAGTGTTACATAGAATCAAATTACAATGAAAGAAAAACTAGGCCGGGCGTGGTGGCTCACACCTGTAATCCCAGAACTTTGGGAGGCCAAGGCAGGTGGATCACGAGGTCAAGAAATCAAGACCATCATGGCCAACATGGTGAAACCCCGTCTCTACTAAAAATACAAAAATTAGCTGGGCATAGTGGCGCATGCCTGTAGTCCCAGCTACTCGGGAGGCTGAGGCAGGAGAATCGCGTGCCCCTGGGAGGCGGAGGTTGCAGTGAGCCGAGATTGCGCCACTGCACTCCAGCCTGGAGATAGAGTGAGATTCTGTCTCAAAAAAAAAAAAAAAAAAAAAAAAAAAAAGGAAAAGAAAAGAAAAACTATATATCATTCACATAATGTTACTAAGTAACTAACACTTTGGGCAAAATTCGTATATTTTAATTTTTGAATGCTTTTCTAAGCTGAGTTACAAATGTACACAATTAAAAACAATTCTTGATATATGTTCTTTTCTTCTTCAGTTATAAAAGTTGTGAGAGTCAGTACTCTGTCAACCCAGAGCTGGCCACGATGTCTTACTTTCATCCATCAGAAGGTGTTTCAGATACATCCTTTTCCAAGAGTGCAGAGAGCAGCACATTTTTGGGTACCACTTCTTCAGATATGAGAAGATCAGGCACAAGAACATCAGAATCTAAGATAATGACGGATATCATTTCCATAGGCTCAGATAATGAGATGCATGAAAACGATGAGTCGGTTACCCGGTGAAGAAATCAAGGAACCCGGTGAAGAAATCTTATTGATGAATAAATAACTTTAATTATTTTGTCATCAAAAGACCTTTCTTTATGTCTTCTGTTAATGTCATGAGTTTGAAACTGCCGAGACAAACATTCTGGTGTCTTAAAAGGAGGACAGACTCAATACAAATTATCTCTCGGTTATAAAATTTAATGGAAAATACACAAGAAGATAATTTAAGGTGTGAGAAACTCATCAAGTAAAAACATTCCTGGAGAGTGACTTTGAAAGATATTTTCTCTAGGCTGGTTCACTTTAAAACAAGGACATTTAGATATTTACCTTCCCCAGGGGCATTTTGAGAACATCAGGGAACTCACCACTGCCTATGCGCCCCCTCACCACCGCTGAAGCAAAAAGAACACACCTGTTCATGTTTTATTGACAAAACAGTTGTGCCATCAAGAGATGAAACTAAATTAATGGTAGGAACTCTTAGCATTCTTGAACTGTTTAAAAGTCGTCAGGGGTTGCTCTCACATGACAAAAGGTAAGAAAGAAAAGATACTTTTCCATTTCTTTTCTTTTCTTTTTTTTTTTTTTTTTTTTGAGAGGGAGTCTCGTTCTGTCGCCAGGCTGGAGTGCAGTGGCGCGATCTCGGCTCACTGCAACCTCTGCCTCCCGGGCTCAAGCGATTCTCCTGCCTCAGCCTCCTGAGTAGCTGGGATTACAGGCACACGTTACCACGCCCGGCTACTTTTCGTATTTTTAGTAGAGATGGGGTTTCACCATGTTGGCCAGGATGGTCTTGATCTCTTGACCTCATGATCCGCCTGCCTTGGCCTCCTGAAGTGCTGGGATTACAGGTGTGAGCCACCGCACCCGGCCATATTTTTCCATTTCTAAAGTATCCATAATCGTTTGAGACAACACAGTGTTCCAGAAGAAGAGAGAGGAAGAGGGGAATTCCAGAAGGTAATTTCCTAGCTGGGGACTCATGGACCTTGAGTCTTTTAGAGCTGAAGTGCCCTTCTTTCTCTCTTCCCCCAGGCATCCAGGATTATTATGTTTCACTGAAAGAAAAGCAATGCTTTTCAAAGACTTATTCAAGTTTATTAGTGACTTTTGTGGCTATCCATACCAAAAGTATTTCAATTTACAAAGACAGAAAATAGGGATAAAGTTTCCTTTTTAGAAATTAGTTTCGGCTGGGCGCGGTGGCTCATGCCTGTAATCCCAGCACTTTGGGAGGCCCAGGTGAGCAGATCACGAGGTCAGGAGTTTGAGACCAGCCTGGCCAACATGGTGAAACCCTGTCTCTACTAAAAAAATAAAAAAAATTAGCCACGTGTAGTGGCACACGCCTGTAATCCTAGCTACTCAGGCTGAGGCAGGAGAATTGCTTGAACTCGGGAGGCAGAGGTTGCAGAGAGCTGAGATCACACCACTGTACTACAGCCTGGGCGAGAGAGCAAAACTCCATCTCAGAAAGAAAAAAAAAGAAGAAATTAGTTTCAAGTGGAGGGATTTAGCGACATGCATCATGTCTTTTCTGGATATGTATGGATATGGGAGAAGAACTTAGGGCATGTTTCATTGCCCTCTTCAATTCTTACCATACCAATAGCTTTCATTTACTGAGTACCTACTTTATAATAGGCACTTTAGAACATTGTATCACATTAAATTCTACTATCTTATGAAAGGTGAGTTTATTTTACAGATCAGAAAACAGAAGTTCAGGTAAATCAGATAAATTGCCTAAGAGCACCTGCTGTGATGTGCTTCCAATCTGAGGTTCTCTCCATGATCCATGAAGGTGAATAGTCAGACTTGCAGCAAAAGTCTTTAGGATCAACACAGGCCCAGCACCCAAGACACATAAGGTTCCTTAACTCAGGTGTTCTTTCAGCTCTTGGGAAACTGTTTTCCTTTCCTTTAGCTTGGGTATCTATAATTCTTCTTCCTCACGAGAATAAACACACATTTTACTCTCACCTGCCACTTCCCCTACTATCCATTGTTAGAGTCCTTCACTCCCAAATTTCGCCGCAGACTCCCGCCCAGTCTCACTCACCATTGGTTGGGAAAGCTACGAAGCTCCGCCTTTGAATAGTGATGGGCTATAAAAGACGGCACCTTTGAGGGAAAAGGCAGTAGGTCAGGCGCTCACCTTTGCCTGCTCTCTGGCAACAGTGCTCACAGTTTCTGAGCCAGTGGAGGTGGCCTGGAGCAGCAGCCCATGCTACTCTCTGCCGGTTATTTTGCCATTTCTCTGTGCCCTTTTGACAGCTCCAGGGATCGGTGCCAGCATTTGTACTGCCAGTTCAGGCACCTGCAGATCTGGTGGAAAAGTGAGGGAGGTGATTGCAGTTGCTTGGAGATGCTCCAGGTGCAAAGGAGTTGTGTTGAGTCCACAGGTGAGAAAGGGACATGAGAATATCAGGTGGGCTTGGAGCGAGGTTGATAACCAACTATTCCCACGTTTTCTCTCCACCCCTCCTTAGGAGGTACCAAGAATTTTCCTGATTGGAAAGGGGTGGAAGAGCCACTTTTCAATCATGTAAAAAGTAGTAGTAGTACTAGTAGTAGTAGTACTTGTCTTTGGTACTAAAGTAAAGCATTGTACAAAGTTGAGTACAGCATTACTCTGGCTACAATATCTAAAATGGCCAAAAGAGATATGTTAGCTATATATTTTTAAATGGGCTACTCATCCTTAGACCGTTGGCATAGTTTGCCTTGTAAAGTGCAGTGAAGGTATTTTGAGGGGGATGGAAGGGGAGTGGGCACAGGAAGAATGTCAGGAGGTACTGGTATGTGTGGTCTCTTTTCCTCCCTCTCCTGCTCTAAAAGTGAGAAGAGGGTCTCACAGCCAGTGCTGGTTGGGAGAGGTCTTCTTGTTTCTCACTGCTGACCCTCTATGCCATCCATAACTAAACCTTCATTTTCTGAACAGGTTTTCTGGACCTCTGACCTGCTTGCCCTGGAAGGCATCATAAAACCGGTTCCTTTTTAGCCTATCAGTCTCTCCCCCATTCTGAAACTCCCTCTTATTTCCTGTTGCTGATGCTCCCTAATCATCCTCTTCCCCAAAACCTCAAAGGGGACTTTCAATTCTGTTCCCCCATCCCCGTAGGTGTATTTTGCTGCTTTGTTTTCCTCTACCTTAACTACTCACAGTGATGCAGGTGAACCCCAAAACCGGGGCTCAGCTCGGGAGGGTTCTTGGCTTTGCTCAGGAAAGAATTCAAGAGCCAGCCAACAGTGAAAGCAAGCAAGTTTTTAAAGAGTAACATTGTACAGCGAAAGTGGTGGCTCCATAGAGCAGGGCTCCCTCAGGCAGAGCAGCACTTGTGGACTGCCGGCTTAGCTATATTTATACCTACTTACAATTACAGGCTAAGTAAGGGGTAGTTTGTTCACAAACTTTCTGGAAAAGGGGCAGGGAGTTTGTGGAACCAGATAAAGTAACTTTCTGCCATTGCCATGGCGTTTGTAAACTGTCTTGGCACGGGTGGGAGTGTCATTATTTTATGCAAATGGAGAGCCCAGAGCAGGAGCTACAGCATGGGTTGCTGCTATATTTATACTCACTCTTAATTGCATGCTAATCAAGGGGCGGGTTATTTTAAATTTTCTAGAAAAGGGGCAGGGAGTTCCTGGAACCATAAAAGGGAACTTCCAAGCATTGCCATGGCATTTGTAAACTGCCACGGCTCTGGTGGGAGTGTCTTTAATAATGATCATTGAGAGCAGAGGTTGCTTTCCTTGCCGTCTTCTGGTTTCTGGCAGCTTTCTCTGCTACATCCTGTTTTTGATCAGCAGGAGCCTTACTGGTGCTGGAAAAGCAAGTCCTCCTGATCTACCTCCCTACTGCCAAAGGAACCTAGGATCAGTTCCTACGGACTGGCTGTGACGGGAAAGAAGCACCAGCACTCGCCTTAGAACTAGCAGCCAAGTCCATCTAAAGTGACCAGGAGTAAGTCTTCCCAGCATCACACACCCAGGAGCAGCAGCCTTAAGTTCTAGCCCCTATTCCCTCTTTCTTCCTCCCTCCTGCCACAAGAGCGTCCTAAACATGCCGAACAGTGAGGGTGCTACAGGGGTCCTGATTGACGGTGTTTTTTGCAGGCCTTTTGGGTGGTCCCTCAGTTCCTGAAACACTGGGTTGTAGAGGGAAGCTGTCCCAGAGATGTTTGGAAAGGTGGTTGGCTTGGGCAGGCGTCAAGAGCATCTCTTCCATCCCTCAGGAGGAGCGGGCACCAGCTCCCCAGTAACCGAAAGAACTGCTGGGCCTGCGGGGCTCCACGGTGCCCCAGGTGGGTGGACCAGCGCGCTGCTCAGATGGGGGCAGGGCCAAAGTCACCAGGTCAGGAAGTCGTGGGCGAGGGGCTTGCGTGGGCGCGTGAGCTCTTTGCGAGGACCAGTAAATGGCATTTCTTGGGAACGCAGGATCCTAGGAAGGTACCTAGGATGCCGTGCATAAGATTTGCTGCTTGTTAAGAAACAGGTGCAAGGTATCCTCTCTCCGTCACTCATCCCCAAGGTGGAATTACTATAAGGAGCTTCCTGTGCTCTTGTGAAAGGTGGAAAAGACAGGAAGAAAACTGGCTGTTAGGCCTCTGTTAATTCTGGTGAAGGCAAGGAATAATTACCAATCAAAGGAGCTGTTGCCAATCAGCTCTAGCCTGAGAAAAGATTCTAAGCATGCCTTCAAACTTCAAAATTAACGCTCCAAATCTAGCTTCTGGTGAAGTTAAAAAACAGAAACAGAAAAACTTAACACTGTTCGTGACATGGAAGGAAAGTATAATCATGTCTTTTCAGTAGTGCCCCCAAAGCACTATGTAACAGCCCTTACTAAATCATTGCAACCAAATAAAACCCAGCTTAAGCAAAAGGCACTTCCACCTGCTTATCTGGAGTTTACTGCCCTTAAATTTAAAGAGAAATTAGATCCAGGCCTTTATCTTTGGATCCTAAGATAATTCTCATTCTTGTGCGTGCGCCTCTCCTTCCCCATCTATCAAAATGTCACATTTCCACTACATTGTTTTGGATTTCAATCATGTTAATTTCTTAATAGGAAATGAATGGTAAGTTGAAAGACTGTTGAGCCAGGAAAAAGCTTATTATGTGAAAAGGAAGCATGTGTGTGTTAACAACACATGTAGGTTATCTAAAATAAATTCAGAGTTATAAAAAACAATATAATTGGGACCACGTCTCAGATCTGAAATCTCTTGTTTGGGAGAAGGTATAAGTTATCCTGTAATTGATACAGGAAAGTGTATCTTGGAAAGAGAGAAGAGGTCGTATTTATCCTGGTAAAAATTAGGGAAGGAGCTGCCAGGGTGTTGTGGACAGCTGTTACTTCAAGCCTATGTCTTGTCACTCTCCTGGGTTTCCTCAGTAGTGTAGATCTAGCTAGAGTTTTGTCTGTCAATTCTTAGATTGTCATGGTTGTTAAGGGCTGGGGGTTATTTTGTGCTTGAAGCATTCTATAGATATCAGGGACCTTAGAATGTTGAGACTCACTAAAGGAAGGAAAGACTAATGCTTTAAATACATTTTTCTTGTGGACAGAGGAGATGTGCCAGTGGAGAAGACTATATACAGTTCTGTGTAAGTGGTATTCAGTTATTTTAAGTTTCCAAATTGTCATTGCTTGGTAATAAGGTGAATATTTTCTATCCAAAGTATGTCATGTTTGACACAAACAATTAAGCACAAACAAGGCCTGTCCTACTGATGTATAGTCACCTTAGTAATAAGGTGTAAATGTATTTTAATCAGTCATGGGAATGAGCTAGACATTTGGAAAACTTAAACAGTGATAGCCATTGGCTTCTCACTCTCCATCTAGAACTGATCACTTAGCAAACTACCTCCTGTATTTAAAACTGGGTTTGGAAGGGTTAATGTCCTTCTGATAGGAAGCTACTTCTCCAGGGTATTCTAGAATCTGCATTTCATCATGATTGTAATGATAAAACAAAACTTATTTTCTACTGACAGTCCTAGACATAACTATGGAAAAATTAGAACAGAAAAAATGAGTTAGTCAAGGCTGAGGTTGAAGAAGAGCAGAAGAGGATCTCCAAATGAACTTTAGCACTTGAAGAACTGACTCAAAGCCCTGTGGCCTCCTTGAATGACACAAATGTGAGGCAAGATTTTCCTGAAAATAGCCTGCTCCCAGAGGAAAAGTGAATTGCACCATCAAAGAACAAAGACAGACTGGAAAGTATGTGATGGACCTCAGATGTCCAGAGACTGATCTTGAATATGATCCTTTCCTCAATTATTCTGCGGAGGTACTTGGGGCATCTAAAGCAAAGCAGGATGAGGCTGATCAACAGCACTTCTGCCACTTGAAAACACCTGTGAGTGAAGGTCGCCACACATCCCTGGAGAGCCAAAGGCCTTCTGTTTCACCAATAAGAAGTAAAACAGATCTTTAAGAATCTGAAGATGATCTTATAATAGATGTACCTCCAGTCATGCCTACTTCTAAGAAATCTAAACTATGTAGAGGCTTCAAACATCATTATAAGGATAAATGGACACATATCACGCCCCCGGAGGAGAAAAATCTTAAAATTAGTGGCACAGAAGAAGAAAAAAACAGATAAAACCCAACTAACCACACAAATAGATGATGACAGTAACAAATTACAACTACCTACATTGCTCATGAAAACATCCCCAGGTATTAAAACTAATGTAAATTTATATCATTTTAAAACAGTACCTAAGAAGGAAAAATTTGGGGATGAAAAAAGCCATGACTGTATTTTAGAAGGAGGTTCATCTTCTGCACCTCTCAATGGCAATGAAATAATGAAAGAAAGTTGTAATAAGAAAGTTACCTAAAGAACAAAAAACAGGTAAAAACAAAATTATGATACACAAAAAGAAGAAATTAAATGTTGGTATTCACCAAGCCAGTTCCACATTTCTTATTCAGATGACCTTGCAAAAGACAATGTGCCAAGAATGCAAGGTAATAATCAAGACCTCATTACTTTTGAAGAAGCAAATTAGCCAAATTTGGTTCTGATCCAATCAAATCTGATAATGGTTGTACTGAAGATGACACCTCCTCTCATTCTGATGACACTATGAAAGAATGTCTTTAAGTTTCTAATGAGCTCGTTGAAAGTGAATCTCATAAGGAAAAGACTGCTAAACAGGTTAGCATTTTTTTTCTTTTATTGTTTTCTTAAATCTAATGGAGTTTTGCTTAAATACATATTTTATATTTGTTCTAAATTCTATACAATATACACCTACATAATACACATATTCTAATAGTTTTGATCAATAACATATTGGAGTGACAAGGCAAAAGCCTTGATAAGTGGCCAGCCATAGTGTCTGGCAGAGTTGACAGTTTCCAGAGGCCATAGTACTATATACAGTAACTTATAGTTGACTTCTCAAATTAGAGGATTTTTTGTTGTTGTTTGTTTTGAGATGGAGTCTCTGTCGCTCATGCTGGATCGCAGTGAGGCGATCTCGGCTCACTGCAACCTCTGCCTCCCAGGTTCAAGCAATTCTCCTCCCTCGGCCTCCCAAGTAGCTGGGACTATAGGCGCGTGCCACCACACCCAGCTAATTTTTGTATTTTTAGTAGGACGAGGTTTCACCCTGTTGGCCAGGCTGGTCTCGAACTCCTGACCTGAAGTGATGCACCTGCCTTGGCTTCCCAAGGTGCTGGAATTACAGGCGTGAGCCACCGCGCCCGGCCTAGAGGATTCTTTTATAGGAATCTACACAGGTAAAACTATTCAAATTCAGTTTTTTGTGAATTTTTATTAAAAAATTTGTCCACACTTTGTTGCTTAGATTCCTATGGCTTTTTGAGAAACATGCTAAATTTGCCTTTACTGTGCTGAAATTGGATAATTCTTTTTTCCACTAGGCTTCAGAAAAGGATGATATGTTATATTACAAAAACACATCTGGACCAAAAAAGAGAATTGCACACTCTGGCAAATTTGATGTGAATTATTTAGTTCCTCATCTCCCCGCTGCTCAAAGCTTTATATAAAGTGCATACCTTGTTATTTCCAGTTTTATTATTCTAGGACTATTTATCCTTTTGTCCACTAGGGGGCACAATTTACTGGCAGTCGGTACATTGATTCCTGCTTGTTAGCATTTTCCTGTCCGTTTCCCCACCCCACCCACAGATCTAACATTTTCATTGAAAGCAGGTATATTATCATTGGGTAGCCTCTTAACCATAAATTTTAAAAGTCGATCCTCATTATTCACAGATTCCAAATTTGCGAATTCACCTACTCAGTAAAATTGACGTGTAACCTTAAAATCAAGACTTGCTGTGCTTATGAGATCATTCACAGACAACGCAGAGTGGCAAAAAATTTGAATTGCCTGACATGCACATTCCCAGTTAAGGCTGAAGAAGGTGATAGCCTTCTTGTTTAAGCTCACATAATGTAAAATGTCCTTTTGCAGTCCGTTTAGTGCCAGGTTTTTTTGTATCTGTGTGCTTTTTGTTGGTGATTTTGTGCTGAAAATTGCCGCTCATTGTAGTGCTGTCTAGTGCTCCTAAGCATAAAAAGAATGTGATGTGCCTTACAGAGAAAATATGTGCTAGATAAACTTTGTTCAGGCATGAGTTTTAGTGCTGTTGGCCACGAGGGTATTAAATGAGATGTCTGTAAACATGACACATATGTAAAGCAAGGTGATACTTTGATTGACCAAAAAAAAAAATGTGACCAGAGACTTACCTGAACCTAACCCCATGTTTGTTTGTTTTAGGAGCAGTGGATTCAGTGTTCACTAAATCTGAGTTTGTGGTGACTTACAGAGTATAACTACCTGAAATAACAAGAATCGACTTTAGTTTTCAAAATAATTATAAACTTTTGTAATTTATAAGTGCTGAAGTTCTTTTATGACATAAAAAAGAAATTGAAGAAGCAGTTCAGTGAGTAGTATTCCTTTAACATTTTTGTGTTTAAAAAAGTGATATTTAGGCCAGGCGTCATATATCATGCCTGTAATCCCAGCACTTTGGGAGGCCGAGGCAGGTGGATCACGAGGTCAGGAGATGGAGACCCTCCCGGCCAACATGGTGAAACCCTGTCTCTACTAAAAATACAAAAATTAGCTGGGTGTGGTGGCGCATGCCTGTAATCCCAGCTACTCTGGAGGCTGAGGCAGGAGAATCGCTTGAACCAGGGAGTCGGAGGTTGCAGTGAGCCGACATCGCACCACTGTACTCCAGCCTGGCAACAGAGTGAGACTCCGTCTCAAAAAAAAAAAAAAAAAAAAAAAAAAAAGATATTTAATAAACTTTCTGCATGGCAGAGTCTATACTTCCAAATCACAAATGAAAACCTGAATTTCAGTTCTTCATAGAATAGTTGGGTGTCCTTGGGCAAGTTATTTAATTTTTCTGAGCTTCAGTTTCCTTATCTATGAAAGGAAAATTGAGTGCCTACCCCAGGGTCAAATATATAAGTACTTAATAAATGCTAGTTACCTTCCTCTTATTTCTTACAAAGTTTTTTTGGTGGCTAACATTATTTCCCTTTAACTGCAAATGTTGTGGTGTTTATAGTTTTAATTTTATTGTGCTATGTAAAAAAAAAAAAAAAAAAGCCAGGTGTGATGGCGCGTGCCTGTAGTCCCACCTACTCCCTGTTACCCCCTCCCCAATTCTTGTATATAAATAGTTTTTGGCTTTGTAAATAACTGTCCTTAAAATTCTCACAAGTTGAAATAATTGGACTAAAGATAAAGAATTTTAAGATTTTTAAAGCATTCTTTAAAAATCTTATTGTCACTGTATTGCCTTCCAGAAGGGTTTTCACAATTTATAGTCCTTCTCAATGTTTCAGAGTTCTCTTCCCACAAACCCTTACCTACGATGCACATTATAATTTTTTAAAGCCTGCAAATCTGGTTAAAATTTTATTGCCTTATCTTATATTACATTTCTTTAATTATTAGTGAAGCTAAACATTCTTTCCCATGTTCCATTCTCTTATAACAAATGTTGCTGTGGAGAAGTCTGCTTGCCTGCTATTTCACCCTTTGAGTCGTGTGATACTTTTGTCTGCCTATCCAAAGGATTCTTCCTTTAATTCTGAAGTCCAATAACTTTAGTAGATATGTCTTATTAGCTATTCTATTTTTTCTGTCTACATACAAAGTATCACTTTTGTATGAAATTTAATTTTTTAGTTAAAACTTTCTTAAATTATGTTTCAGTAGTTGTTCAGTTTTATTATTTCCTTATTTCTGGGGATACTCCAACTATGCATGCATTGGATCACAATCAGCGTTACAAATGTGGTCAATTTACTGTGTGGCTGGCTGTAAGGCCCCCAACGAGCTTCTATGATAGAAGAAAGGCAAAATTATCAATTTTATCAATTTTTCATCATTTTCATTTGTTTTATGTTGCTGCCCTATAGGCCTCAACCAATAAAGAGGTCATTAGACCATTCAGGGTACCAGTCCCACTGCTAACAAGCCCCACTGGAATCATTCGGGCCCAGCAAAGCAGTACAGATAAAGGCTGCCATAAAGAATGGGAAGGCTTTTATTGATGCCACTTCAGAACAGAAGAAAAATGCATCTACATGTCCAGCCTCTCAGAGCCAAAGGAAAGGTTTGGAAAAAAGCTTTTTTTAAAAAAAAGTCACTTATTTAAGAAATGGAATTTTACTTCATTTTAAAAAATATTTCTTAAAAATCCACATGCTACCAAGTATAGTTGAATCAATGGCACAGTTTTACATGAAATAATATGATTGATATTTAAATATTTTGTCTACATCTTTTTTTTTTTTTTTTTTTTTTTTTTTTGAGACACAGTTTTACTCTGTGGCCCAGGCTGGAGTGCAGTGGCACAATCTAGGTTCACTGCAACCTCTGCCTCCCAGGTTCAGGTGATTCTCATGCCTCAGCCTCCTGAGTAGCTGGGCAGGCATGTGCCATCCATCACACCTGGCTAATTTTTTTTTTCTTTTTTTGTATTATTAGTAGAGACGGGGTTTTGCCGTGTTAGCCAGGCTGGTCTCAACTCCTGACCTTAAAGCGATCCACCCACCTCGGCCCCCCAAGTGCTGAGATTACAGGCATGAGCCACCACTCCCAGTCAATACTTTGTTTATCTCTAAATGATACACAATAGTAGTACTATTTTGCAAGTATTTTACAATTGTTTTATCAATTATCTCAATTCATTCTTCTGAATTATACTGGAGTGGGTTATTGGGATTTTTTTGCATTTGAATGTTGTTTTCTTCCAGGTTGCATGTTTCAAACCTATAAAGGAAGTGTTGTGAAATTTTGAATTAATGATTAAACTCTAATCATCTGAGGTTAATGTCATTAAAATTTATCTTTTCTTTTCCTTGTTCATGAAAACTTCTTAGAATATTCACTCACAATGGACCTTCATCTGAATGTAGTTCTTTCAAGAGAAAACCCAACTGCAAAACCAACCAAATCGTTCATTCCTGTCAAAAGTATTGCTTCTCTTTCTGTTTAGGTATTATAAACTAAGTCTGAACACCAGAATTATATTTCATCATATCCTGCTTACATATAGAGTCCCTGGAAGAGTGGCTATATTTTTTTCTGAAGCTTTCAAATTCAGATAAATGCCAGACCCAATAGAGAAAAATGTCAACATTTTTTAGCTTACCGATGAATATAGTTATTTTCATTATGATGTAATTTGTGTCACTCTTAGATGTTTTGTTGATTCTATCCTTGGAAATAGTAGGCATTGTTTTAGACTTAAAACATCTATGGCTATGGTTAATTGAAACCTACTCAACATTTTTTAAAAGGAAAGTTTCAAGCTGTGTCCAGTGAGGGTGTATATTTGTTTATGTATATGAGACAGAGACAGCTCTTTACTAAATAATGCCATCAGTGATATGATGTTGTAGCCTTCTTTAAGTAATTCTTATTCTACTTGTGGCAGTGATTTTCCTCCCCTGTTTTCCAATTATTTTGTAGCAGAAAACCACCTGGCAGTTTTAAGGTTTTCTCCATCCCTAAAATGTCTTTGTATTACATGCAAACAATTACTGAGAAGTATGATGTTGGCTTGGTTTTATTTTTCCTCAAAGGTGAAGCAGATTAACTGATTTTAAAGTTCTCTGGGTCTTTTTATAAGTCCTTCAGAAGAAATGCTAAGAGTTTATAGCTGGGATCACTTTAATATTAAGTATACTCAAGTCACTCAGAAATTTTAAGTCCAAGCATTTTTCTTAATGATGTGCTATCAGAAAGACATTGGGATACATAGTTGAAGGATGGCAACCTACAAACTTTGCTATATTTGAATCAGAGGAGCAAATCCCAGCTTTAGGAATCTGGTTGTGGAACAGTAGTACAATTAGATGAGTGATCAGCTATCATTGCGTACGTGCAGGTAGCAGCACAGATGTGGCAGTCTCACTTCTCCATTTTGTGAGTTTAAGTAATTTTATACTTTGTGTTTATTCTACCTCTTCAACTTGACACTTGAAATTACTTTTCAATTTAATTTTGATATAACTGACCTAAGGTAGTTTTACTTCTTCCATATACTCAGTAGGAATATTAAACAGAAACATGTCTTCTTTTCTCTAATAACACTTTTATTTTTAACAAGAGGCCAAAAGATACATTTAACAAGATGGCTCATCGGAAAAGACATTCAGTAACATCAGAATTCTTATCCAAAGTACCTGATGAAGTAAGACAACGCTACATCAACCTCTTTGTTGAGAAGTATTTGAAAGTTTGTAAAACAGAGGATGAGGCTGTTTACAAGGTTGGTATTATATAATGTAATTTATCTGAAGACACACACAAAATTATTACATTGAATAAAAAACTCATGGAGCACAACTAGCAAATAACTTTATTCATTTTCTCTTCATTACATTTTCAAAACCAGGCCATGGGACTGGTTCAGTTCCTTCTTCCCTCTTGGATGACTTTTATGGTCTTTTTCAGTTACCAAAAGTCCCCTGGTTACTTCTAGGGGGTCTGGGCAGGGTGAGGACTGTCTGCTAGCTCCATCCTCTGCACAGGGGAGCCCCATGGCTCAGAAAACCTAACAAAGGAAACATGGGTACAGCAGTGGTAATAAGGGGCATGCTTGTCTTATTCCTGATCCTAGGGGGAAAGCTTTAAGTCTTTCTTCATTAAGTACAATGATAACTATGGGGTTTTTACATATAACCTTTATTAAGTTGAGACAATTCCTTTCCATTCCTAGTTTGTTGAGTGCCTCATTGTGTTAGATTTTGTTAAATGCTTTTTTCTTCATCTATTGAGCTGTCACACAGGTTTTATCCTTTATTCTATTAATATGATACATTGCATTGACTTTCTGTGTTAAACCTTACATTTATTTGATAGGTGTTCTTGGTCATGGCATATAATCTTTTTTTATACGTTGCTAGGTTACATTTCCTAGTATTCCATTGAGGATTTTTGTGTCTATATTTATCACAGATATTGTTCTGTAGCGTTTTTTGTTAGTGTCAATGACTTTTTAAAATTGCTATAAAATACACGTAACATAAAATTACCATTCTAACCATTTAAGTGTACAATTCAGTGGTATGATGTGTATTCACAATGTTATGAAACTATCACTACTATCCATTTCCAGAGCTTTTTTATCATTTCAAACAGAAATTCTGTACTCATTAAATAACTCCCCATTCCTCTCTCCTTTCAGTCTCTGGTAATCTCTATTCTACTTTATGTTTCCATGAATTTTCTTTTCTTTTCTTTTTTTTTTTTCTTTTTTTGACAGAGTCTCACTTTGTCACCAGGCTGGAGTGCAGTGGCGCAATCTCCACTCACTGCAACCTCTGCCTTCCAGCTTCAAGCGATTCTCCTGCCTCAGCCTCCCAAGTAGCTGGGATTACAGGTGCATGCCACCATGCCCAGCCATGTTTCTATGAATTTTCTTATTCTATTTATCTCATGTAATTGAAATGATATACTGTTTGTCCTTGTATGTCTGACTTCTTTCATTTAGCATAATGTTTTAAAGGTTTATTCATGTTGTAGCATGTATTCAAATTTTATTTATTTTTACAACTGAATAACACTTTACGGTATGTATAACCATACTTTTGTTATCCATTTTGTTCACTCAATAATGGATGGAGATTGTAGTTTTCTTTGCAGTAATGATTCTGTCTCTTTTTTGGTCTCAGGGTTATATTGACCTCATAGAATAAATTGGAAAGTGTTCCCTCCTCTTTTATTTTTTGGTTTATAAGACAGCCTTAGCTTTCACTTCCTGCTTGTGCAGGGCCTCAAGGTTGGCCACTGGTGAATGAATAGGATTTTCTCTTTTCCCAGGTCTTAAATGGAACACTTGTTAAACCCAGGATTATGTCAGAGCCTTTACAAATCTCTAGGGTCATCTAGTTCTCCAAGAGTTTCTTTTAAATTCCTAGCCAAACTATTGTTTGCCAGACTAAAACCATAGCCCTAGCTAGCTGTGATATTGCCAGGATATTGCTATTGTTTCAGTTGCACCCTGGAGATAGGGTTTTTTCCCTCCATACTCTGAACTCTGAGTCAAATCAAATACCCACAACACCCTAGGAATAGAGATTTTTCAGGGAACTGGTTTTTTGTTTGAATATTGATAGTGCTCTAGCAATAATGCTTTTAGTATGGTTCTAAAAAAGATATGTCTACTCTGTTGGCTCTCAGGGCCAACCTTTCACAACCGTGGCGCCACTAAGCTGGGAAGGGAAGGGAGGTAGGAATTTCACAGAACCCACTGTGTTACCAAGGTTCAGTAGTTTCTCTTAGACAATTTTCAGTTTGTTCTGTGGCTTTAGTTATTAGAATTTTGAAATGGTTGATTTTTAGTTGTTTTGCCAATATTTTTATTGCTTTTGTGGGACAGTAAGTTCATGAAGGTTCTCGCTCTACTATTCCAGAAGTCTGTGTCCTCTAGGATTCTATGTAGGTTAAAGAATAATGGCAAAAATAAAAAGGGACAATATGAGCCTCTTATGTGTTGTTCATTTTCTTCCAGCTTTGTCTTTTTTCATCATGTGTCTTTTCTTCCTTACTCCCTCTAACCTCCCATGGCTTTATCTCTGATGATTTAGTGTAATGAGAAGAGTCTTGGTGGCATTTGGGTACACCTAGGTTCAATTACCAGCTCTGTAACAATAAGCAAGATGTTTCCTTTGTTCAAGCCTAGTTTCATCATATAAATCAGTGATGACACCCATTCTCATACAGTCATAATGAAGATTAAATGAGAAAACATTTAATATGCTTAAAACAAACCTGCATATACTAGGTATATAAATTAATAATATATTTAATATTTATTATCATAACACTCCATTTGCTTGTTTCTTTCATATTTCATTCCTTTTCCTTTTACTGACTTAATGACCCTTGGTATAAAAATAATTATGTAATGGTTTCAGGAAGGTAAATTTTATAGAAGAAAAAATGAAGATCATGTCCTCCATTTGCTGTGTAATCCTAAGCAAATTAACCACTTTGAGCCTTAGTTTCTTTTAAATGGAAATAGTAATATATGCCTCTGGTATATTTGGGGCTGGCTGTGAGAATCAAATGAATTGATGTATATTCTCAGCTTTGTATAGGTATTGCACTATATACCGTATACCAATATACAGTAGCCTTTTGTCTATGAAGCAAGAGTATCTGGTTCTTGGGTTGGAGTCATAGAACTGTTTTTTTTCTTCTTTTTTTGAGACAGAATCTCTCTCTATCCTCCAGGCTGGAGTGCAGTGGTGTGATCTCGACTCAATGCAACCTCCACGTCCCAGGTTCAGGCGATTCTCCTGCCTCAGCCTGCGGAGTAGCTGGGATTACAGGCACCTGCCACCACGCCGGGCTAATTTTTGTATTTTTAGTAGAGATGTGTTTTCACCATGTTGGCCAGGCTAGTCTCAAACTCCTGGCCTCAAGTGGTCCACCCACCTCGGCCTCCCAAAGTGCTAGGATTACAGACGTGAGCCACCATGCCCGGACTATTTTTTTTTTTTCTTCTTAAAAAACAAACACAAAATGGAAAATAAGTTGCTTTTCATTGGTGGCACAGTTTTCCCCCATTCATTAAGTTACATAAATATTTTGCCATATTCATTATATTGCAAATGACATTTCCTGTTCATAGGCTTTTGGCTTAATATTTAATTATTCAATTTTTGACCTAGGCTAAAATAGAAAAAAAGGCAATATATGAAAGGTGTAGCAGGAGAAATATGTATGTGAACATAGCAGTAAATTATCTTAAGAAGCTAAGAGATCAAGGTAATTTATTTTTTTCAATTAATCAAGTGATAAAACCTGTAATTAGTACCTGACCCTGAATACTTTTTCTCATTAGTAGGGCCATCTTTAGCTTATACCAAGGAATTTATTTTTTAAATAGTCTCTTTAGTGGAATGTGTAGGTGGTACTTGTGGTTGAAAATCAGCTGCATTTGAAATTGGATGTATAACTATAACCTTATTGTCAGAGGTTATCACTGAAATATTTAAACTTGTTTTCTGGTTATGAAAGTAACTCACTTCTATGCGGAATAGCATTTCTCAACCTTGTTTTCGTTATCGTCCCCCTAAGAAATCTTTGCAGACATTATTTTTTCTATCACCTCCCTCTTCCCCCTTCATAAAATTAAGTGCCGCTTTAGGAGATACACCTAATGCTAAATGACGAGTTAATGGGTGCAGCACACCAGCATGGCACGTGTATACATATGTAACTAACCTGCACATTGTGCACATGTACCCTAAAACTTAAAGTATACTAATAATAAAAAAAAATAAGTGCCAAGGGATAAGATTTTATTAGGTAAGGTTGAATTTTGAAGAACCATATACCATCATAGTATTTAAGATTTTCTTCATCCCTCAAGAGTCAATTTTGCTCCCTTGTGGGCAGTATCAGTTCCATCAAGAATGTATGGCATGAATTCAAATAATATAGAAAAACATAAAGAGTAAAAAGCAGCCAAGACAACTCTTTCATATTTCTTATTTAGACCTTTCTATGTATTACTACAGAGATGTATATAGTTTTAAAATTTTTAGTGAATATGATAATTTTATATATACAGTATGTCTAGCTATTTTCACTGAATAAGGTATCAGAGGCCTTGTCAGTTAATCTAGAATCTGTTAACATCTGGATCTATATCATGCTTTTTATAATGGCTACGATATTCTATTATGTAGAATCTATACGATAGATATTCTTTTCTATAGAACTTATACTAAAGATACAAAAGTTAGCCGGGCGTAGTGGTGGCCCAAACACATTTGGATATTTGGAGTGCTTACATTTTTTCCTATATGACTTTTTCATATATGATTTTTTTCTCTGACTTTTGTAGATGATTATTTCACATAGAAAAAAATATTTTTCTATATATTCTGTGATAAATTTAAGTGTAACCTCTAACATTTTCTCCTACATGATGATATGTATCCTAGCACAAATTCCTGTGCGCAGAAGCAAGGGTCTGCGTGTTTGAAACTGGTAAATATTGCTAACTGCATCCAAAGAGTTTGCCCATTTATATTCCCCTTCGATAAAGTAGAAGTATATGTGTTTTTCTCACACCTTGCCAAAGCTTATCATTTAGCCTCTGTCAGACTGCAATGGTGTAGAGCAAAAATGAAGTTAGTTTTTTTTCTTTTCTTTTCGAGACACGGTGAGGCTCTGTTGCCCAGGCTGGAGTGCAGGGGTTCAATCCTTCGCCTCCCATGGTCAAGGGATCCTCCCACTTCAGCCTGTTGAGTAGCTGGGACTACAAGCATACTCCATCACACTCAGCTAATTTTTGTATTTTTTGTAGAGATGGGGTTATACCACATTGCCCAGGCTTGGTCTCGTGTGCCTGAGCTCAAGCAGTCCTCCCACGTAGACCTCCCAAAGTGTTGGGATTACGGGCATAAGCCACCACTACTGGCCTGAAGTTAGTCTTTTTTAAAAAAATTTATTACTGGCAGAGTTAAAGCGGTTCTTTTTTTTTCTTTCTCTCTCTTCTGCATCCCTCCTCCCACTCCCCCGTTTCTTATTGGTCTGTTCATCTGGAACAACCTTTGCCTATCACCGTTTTAATGTGCTGCAAATCCATTCCTCAGTTTATCGTTTGTTCTTCAGCCTTATTTATGAAGTATTATTAGATAGATGTGATTGCAAAGTGTAATCAGTCTCTTTGATTTCTGGGTTTTGTCTCAGACTATTCCAATCTCAAGAACATAAACTATCAATCTATGATTTTTGTGGCATTTCTTATGTATGACACTTTAGGGGTTTTTGGGTTTTGTTTGTTTGCTTGCTTGCTTGTTTGTTTTGAGACAGAGCCTCACTCTGTCACCCAGACTGGAGTGCAGAGGTGTGATCTCGGCTCACTGCAGCCTCCGCCTCCTAAGTTCCTGCCTCAGGCTGTCAAGTAGCTGGGATTACAGGTGCCCACCACTACGCCTGACTAATTTTTGTATCTTTAGTGGAGACGGGGTTTCACCATGTTGGCCAGGCTGATCTCGAACTCCTGACCTCAGGTGATCCGCCTGCCTCGGCCTCCCAAAGGGCTGGGATTATAGGCATAAGCCACCACGCCCGACCTCTTTAAATAGATTTAAATACATGTGTTAATATATGCAGGGTCTGTTAGGTTAGTCTTTTCAGGTTAAGCTAACTCTTCCCCCTTCTATTCATATTAAATATAGCACATAGAAATGGAACGTAGAGGTCTTAGTATCTGTTTTAAATATTTCCCATGAAAATAGAAATGGTTTGCAAGTTGTTACAGTTGTGGTAAATTATAATATAAAACATATTGACTCAAATTTAGACATAATCCATTATACAAAATGTATTAATTTGAGCAAATATCAAGTCTTGACATTTTTAATAGTTCAGTAGATTTAACTTTTTTCCCAGCTTGGAATTTGTTATGAAGACATTTGGACTCACATGTTGGATACTTGTTTTAAGATAAAAATAAATATTTTACCATGCTTATATCTTTTTTAATGTGCTATGTGTTTTTATGGAACAGACAAGAATAATCATTAATTTCAGAGAATTTCTTGTATCTTTTAGTCGTGCCTAGAAGCAGTAATGACAAGAAAACAATTTAGAGAGTAGGAACAGAAAAATAGGCCACACGCGGTGGCTCACGCCTGTAATCCCAGCACTTTGGGAGGCCGAGGCAGGTGGATCACGAAGTCAAGAGATCGAGACCATCCTGGCCGACATGGTGAAACTCCGTCTCTACTAAAAATACAAAAATTAGCTGGGCGTGGTGTTGTATACCTGTAGTCCCAGCCACTCGGGAGGCTGAGGCAGGAGAATTGCTTGAACCTGGGACACAGGTTGCAGTGAGCTGAGATCGCGCCACTGCACTCCAGCCTGGTGACAGAGCAAGATTCTGTCTCAAAAAAAAAAAGGGGGGGGGGGGAGTGGGGGAAGGAACACAAAAATGGTAAGCTTACTGTAATAATAGTAATAAGCCCTGTAATTGATACCTTAAGGGGAAAGTAACCCTGGTATAGTACAAATATTAAATTATTATGTTTATGAAGGGTCAACTGCATACTATGCATTTTTGATATCCTTTTAAAAAATCAGTACAAATACACCATGGAATACTGTGCAGCCATAGAAAAGAGTGAGTTCATGTCCTTTACAGGGACATGGATGAAGCTGGAAACCATCATTGTCAGCAAACTAACACAGGAACAGAAAAGCAAGCACTGCGTGTTCTCACTCATAAGTGGGAGTTGAACAATGAGAACACATGGACACGAGCAGAACATCACACACTGGGGCCTGTCGGGGTGGGAGGCAAGGGGAGGGAGAGCATTAGGACAAATACCTAACGCATGTGGGGCTTAAAACCTAGATGATGGGTTGATAGGTGCAGCAAATCACCCTGAGATATGTATACTTATGTGACAAACCTGCACGTTCAGCACATGTATCCCAGAATTTCAAGTAAAATAAAAAAAAAGTATAAATAAGGGGAAAGAACTTACATTTAAGCTATATTTGGATTGAATTCTCAACTATTTTGCTTTTTTGATTAGCATGTGTTAATTTTTCTTTTTTGGTTAACGTATGTCCAGTCAGCAAGACCAATGCTTCTCAAATGTCAAACTTTCCATGGGTTTGAATTACCCGGGACTCTTGTTAAAATGCAGAATCTGGTTCAGTAGGTCTGGGAAGGATCTCAAACCCTGAATTTATAACAAACTCCAAGGAGCAAGAAGCTACAGAAAAGGAGTTATTAGACTTTGGCTACATTTTGAATAAAAGCAAATGGTAGTGCTTCTCCTCTAATAAAGCCTTACATATGAGAATGAAAACAAAATAGATCCTTTTGAATCTCCTAATACTTCTCACAAAATAATTTTTCCTTTTGCCAAAGCGTTTACCAAAGAGTATCTAGCAAATTCTGTTAGAGTTTTAAATAAGAAAATAGATACAATTCTAAAAGAATCCGTAAAAATGAGGGGCTCTTGGTCTGGGTTAGTGATGTTGGAAATGGAACCTGAACTTGAACTCTTTTGCCATGAGAGACTTGTCGTGTTTCCCTCTGTGGTCCTTGATTATAAGCATTTGTTGTATCCTTGTCTGAATATTAAGGATAACCGCATAGTTTGGAACCAGAAGGCCTGGGTTTGTGTGTCAGTTGTGCTGTGTAACCTTGGGCATGTGTCTTTATTTTTCTGAGCCTCATTTTCCTCATCTGTAAAAATGAAATCAATGCAGTTGCCTTTCTAAGTTAATGTAAAGTTTAAACCAAAGTGCTATGCTTACTATATGCTATTACTGATATGATTCTTCCCTTCTCTCACCCAAAGCGTATGATGTCACATGGTATACGGAACAATGTCGGTTTTGTTGGTGTTGCTGGATGATGGATATGAAGACCTAGAATTTTTAGGCCACTACCTTACTTAATCAGAACCCTAGCATTTCAGATCTGAAAGGGTTGGTAAACTCTAACCTTACCACAATGTAAAGAAAGATAATGCTACATAAATTTTATGGAATAGCTTTTCTTTTTTTCTTAGTGCTCATAGGAGTTATTCTCTATAGACATCTTAAAAACTACTTGCTAACTGAGGAACAGCTACACAAAAATAACTACCCTAGACCATACCCCAACAAACCAGGAAGTATTCTTTTAAACCTAGGCATGAAAAAAACTTGGAAATGATGGTAAGTAGATGGGGCCCACAATTACCCTTTCTACATGCTAAGACTGAAACCTAGGGGGCCCAGTGTTCTGATAAATATATATATATGTTTATGTTTTTATATATGTTTATATATATGTTTATGTATAATTATTTTAGTGGAAATGAGATTTTTTGGTCAGCATAGTTATACCACTGATAAAAACATTTTTGCACTGTGTTTCATTTCCCTTTTCATTTCAATTATCTAGGTGCTTAATTTTATCTAAGTGATCTACTTTATTAAGTCCTCAAAACAACCATTTCAGGTAAGCATTGTTATTCCCCTGATTACACAAATGAGGAAACTGATGTTCAGAGAATTCAAATAACTTGTCAAAGGTCACAGAAAATAAGTGGGACAGCCAGGATTTGAAGCCAAGGTGTCCAACTCCTGAGCTCCTACTCTTCATCACTATTCATTTACATATACAATGCCATGTTTTGAAAACTATAAATTCTCACTGTGAATTATTATACAAAGATTTATAATTAGTCTTATTTTGCATGTTCTCCAAATACTAGGCATAATTAGTTAATATGTTCATCCCCACTGAGAGAGAATGCTAAACATCACAGCTGTCAAACTTTAGGTTGATGATCAGAGTATGAAATGCAGTTATACAAATATTCTACAGTGACTAGAAAATATTTGTCATCTTCTGCATCTTTAGGACTTCTCCCTTGGGATTATCTTCACTATTAGCTTTTCTCGTTTTGTTTTATTTTTTCACATCCCCTCAATGGAAGGCAATACACTTAGCAGGTAAGAATATGGACTCTGAAGGGGGAAGTCAGGCTTCCTAAAGGCTGTTTTCTCAGTGAAGTGTTATTCAAGGTCTGGATGCTAGATAAGTCATTTAACCCCTCCTACCCTCTGTTTTCTCATTCTGAATATGAGGATAATGATAACTACCCCATCAGGTTGTTGTGAGAATCCATTAAAATAATGTATATAGAGTGCTTGACACAGAGCCTGCCTCATAATCTAATCTCATCATGGATATTCAAATAAGAGTTGCTGTTATCACCATTATTATCACTATCAGAACCAGTCTGAGGTTTATTAATAAAACAAATATTCATGAATGGGTCTAGTGAAAAACGCAGATATACTCTTAATAACTTAATAATAAATGTACAGTTTATTGTGGGAGACTCTTGAAGGGATAAAATCATAAGGAAGACATGGCTCCTATTTCAGGGAGCTATTATGTACTAGAGTAGTTGACTGGTCAAGTTGGTTACAGTCAAGTTGTAACACTAAAACTACAATTGGCTGGCACTGGGCTGACTTTGGAGCTAGGTAGGGGGGAGGGGGCGCCTGTTTAAGCAGCAGCAGCCCTGGTGCAATAAGCAAGCCACTTGCAAATTCTCCCTTGAGTGATCCTGTAGCTTCTCCTGTTACTCTGTAATCACACTGGGTATGTGCTTCCCACAGGATCAAGCATGCAAAGGCAAGTCTCCACATTGGCTCATTTACCTTTTCTCTCCCATCTCATCTGGAATAATCCTACTTCATGTTTTGTTTCGGCACCTAAGAAGCTCTGTTGTCGATGTGGAAAAATATATGGTGTGACTCCCTCAGGTTGACACAGCAGGGTAGAAGAATGTAACTACCAATTTGGCGGAGTGTTGAGTCATAAAGGTAAGTATTTGGTAGTTCTGTTTGGTTTGACAAGCCAGCTGTTCAGAGAAGTGGAATGAAGTATTAAGTTCAATGTTCAGTACAGTCCAATAAAGAAAAAACTACATCAACTCTAAAACCTTTATTGTAGATACCTGCATCTGACCACCACTTGACTTACCCTTGCAGCTCATTGGCTCAAGAACCCTCAGGCTATGACAATTCTTCTTTTTTTAAGACCTTAAGTCAGTCAGCTGCCTCCTGACCTTGCCCTTTCCACATGCCAACATTGCAGTAGTTTTTGTTTGTTTGCTAATTGCTTCAATTCCTTGCAGGTGACCTTGCCTAATACTTTACTGAAAAAACAAAGCCTTTGCGAAATAATGCCCTGCTCTTCCCTCCCAGTAGATTCACCAACATCTGCTCCTTTCTGGAGTCATGATGGAGGAAGCATCCCTGTTCCCGTCACAGTTCCTCTCCATGTGCTCTGTATCCTGTCCTCGTGCACCTACTCAGGGACTCACCAGACTCCCCTTCTCTATAAGATCAGCATGTTCTCGACATACCATTCTGGTATCTCCCATTTGTTTTAGCAAACTAAACCTCCATGGTCCCGGTCTCTTGCTGCATAGCTACTCTCATTTCTCTGCCTGTCCTCCAGCACCTACTCAGGGACTCACCAGACTCTCCTCTATAAGATCAGCATGTTCTCGACATACCATTCTGGTATCTCTCATTTGTTGTAGCAAACTAAACCTCCATGGTCCCAGGTCTCTTGCTGCATAACTACTCTCATTTCTCCGCCTGTTGCATATGCTTCATGCACAACAAAGAGTTGTCTATGCTAGCTGGCTTTACTCTCCACTCACCACTGAAGCTCACATCAGTGACCTCGAGGCTGCTGGATCTAATAGACTTGTTTCTGAGTCACTTGACTTATCTTTTCAGTACTGTCTTACCTTATAGTATTCTCCTCTCTGCTTTTGTAACAACACCCACTTCTGCCTTTCTTCCTCCCTTTCCAGCTACTTCCTTTCAACCTCCTCTGCTGAATATTCTTCCTTACCAGCCTCTAGTGGCAGAAATTCTCAGAGCTTTGGGAGCCTTGTCTCTCCATATCCCCCTTCTCCCTAGATGAACTGATTCTTTCCCATGGCTTTCAACAGCCTCTAACTGCTGTTAGCCCCTAAATGTGTATCTCTAAAGAAACATTTCCCCTGGACTCCCAGCTTTGCTGAATATCCATCTGCCTGCCTATGTGGGTTTCCCTCGGGTACCACAGCATCACCTGCATGAAGATGAGCTTGTGATCCTCTCCCCACCCTGGGATCATCTCCAGCACCCTCAATTCCCTATAGTCCACTTAGGTGTATTTGTTCCCCTGCTTAACCAAGAAACCTGGTGTCATCCTCACTGCCTCCTTTTTGTACACCCTTTCATCTGGACAGTGTGCGAGTCCCACTGTTCTGTGTCAAAAGCATATCCCAAACCTCCTGCTTCTCTGATCTGGCCCCTGCCCCCTCTTCCACCCTTTCCCTTGCTGTCTTTACACCACACTTTCTCCCACCTTTCTGGAGCCTTCTTGCCTGCTGCATCCTCGACTTTTCACATGGCTAATTCCTTCTTAACCTGGAGGTCTCTGCTTAATTGTCACATCCTCAAGGTCTTTTCCTGACCGTACTTTCTAAATAGGGCCTCCCTCTTCTGCAGCACCCTGTCTCTTTCTTCTATAGCAGTTAATTATATTTTGTAATGAGTTAGTAATCTGTCCACCATCTTCAAAAAATAAGCTTCTGGAGGGACTGTCCAACATTTTTTTCTCCCCATGTTCCCCCAGCACTTAGCACAGTTTCTGACACACGCAAGCCATCAGTAAACATTTGGATGGGTGAACAGGTAAATTATTTATGTAGATGTGGACATAACTATGGATAATATTGTAATAAATCCTATAAAAAGGAAATAGAGGGGAACCATGGGAGGAAAAATATATGAATAAATAATGTCATCAAGTAAATCAGACAAGCTCAATCCATCTTTAAAGCATGGAGGGCTTAGTTTGGGAAAGTGGGAGACTGTGAATTCCAAGAAGACGAACAAGGAGGGAAGATGCTGAGGAAGAATAAGTGTAGCAAACAAACCAGTTGGGCTGATGGGACCATACAGGATAATGGGCAGAACAGGGACTTCGGAGCCAGCAGAGCTGAGAGTTGGGGCTGTTCTGCTGCTTGCTTTCCCGGGCACGTTACTTTTACACCCTGAGCTTTTCTTACCATTTTGTAGAAAGGGCTTTGTATGGCAGTTTTTACTAGAAAAACTAGTGCAAAAACTAGTGCAAAAACTCCCTGGAGGCAGAGGGACTTGTTAGGGAGCAATTGGGAGAATATTTCCTAGGGCCAGACAGAAGGGCTCAGGGTAGGTAAGGGTATGGATGAGGTGGATGATAGGAGTAGGGTAAGAAAAGAGATATGAAGTATTGAGATTATTGCTGCGAAGAACGTGCAAGGTGTCTGGCGAAGGATGCAAAAGCCGAAGGCATCAGGACTTTGAAGGTCCAGCCAAGGTTGGAGCCAACATCTGTATTGTGGTCTCAGTCTGCATAACTGGGTGATTTTTCTTGGGTTGGATAAAAATCTGGATACAGGAATGGAGAAGGTGGTAGTTGGAACTAGTCATACAGAAGGTTCTAGCAGAAAGAAAAGGTCAGGGAGTAAGAGTAGATGTTGAGAGGATGATTGAAGTGGTTTGACTGTCAAACCAGTCAATGCAGGATAAAGTAAGGAAGCCAGAGGAGAGCTGATGGGCCAGGGCAAATGATAAAAAGAGGGGAAGAAAGGTGTTCACAACATTAGCAATTATAATTCACCTTCAAGCATGGCCCGTGAGAACTCTGCTTATCGGAATAGATTTTTGTCTATTATGCAATATCTAAAAAAGTAACTGAAGAGAGGTGACTTAAAAATATTTGCACAGTAGAGTCCTTAAAGCTCTTTAAGGGTCAAAGAAAATGCATGTTCATGAGAGTTAGTCACTCTGCCTTGTAAAGCTTGTTTTGATTTTTATTTTTTCGGTTGGTTTACAGTCCTCAGTGGCTTTGAATCTCAATACGGCTGTTGTGGAGGTTTCCTTGGATCGCCCCGGTGTCAGGTCGCCAAGGTAGGACTTGTCACCCAAAGTGCTGCCTGTTTCAGAAACCAAGTTGTAGCCTCCAACACAGGCCTTGGTGATGGATAAGCTTTTGAAAAAATTAACTAATTTTCAGTTGATGACATTTTATGAGCCTAATTGTACTTAGAAAAAACAGTAATTTATTTGACAATGTTTGTTTCAGCTTCATGTTCATGACCACAAAGAAAACCTAAAGGGCTTTGTGAAGACTTTTGTCAAGTTCCCACCTGCTGATGGTAATCACCGTGTGTTTGCAGTAAGTTGTGAGATGGTATGTTGGTTTTATATTTTACTTTACTGTGGTTATTATGACTGAATGATTGTGTAGCAGTCTACCTGGTAGAAGGGTTTCCAGGGCCTTATTCCTTGACGACACAGTGCTGCATTGGTTGTTCACAAATTTTCAGATGAAGCCATTAAAGCTGAGAAGAGTTAGTGAATTGGTTAAGTTCACGCACCTAGAGCGATGGAGCCAGGAACTGTCCTGAGTGTCTTTTTATCGGTCAAATTTCTAAAATATACAAATAGTGGTAATTCTACTCATCAAATTGCTGAAATTATGTGAGTGAAAAATAATCAGCATAAAAGCTTTAATGCTTTTGGCAAAATCATTTCTAGAGACAATAAAATCTTTATAGGGACTTATGTTCCTTTACATAAGAATCAGTGCTAAAAAGTGGGGAAAACAGAATTTGGAATTACAAGACCTGGAAAGTTCTACTAGCTGTGACCTTCTGAGCAAGTCTCTTAGATGCTCTAAGCTGTAAATTATGGAGTCAGTAACAACCCCATAGTGACTATGAAAATCAGATATGCTAAAATATAGGAAAGTGCTTTGTACATGTCAAACATATGAATAGTCATCTTTAATAAAACATAAGATAAGTTTTTATTCCCCATTGTATATTTGGAAAGAAGATTTGTGGCATTTCCTTATACTAAAGATAGAAGACAGTATTCCATTTTCCAGCTTAAGATCTTTTTATTATTGTTATTATACTTTAAATTCTGGGGTACATGTGCAGAACGTGCAGTTTTGTTACAAAGGTATACACGTGCCATGGTGGTTTGCTGCACCCGTCAACCTGTCACTTACATGAGGTATTTCTCCTAATGTTATCCCTCCCCTAGCTCCCCACCCACCAACAGGCCCTGATGTGTGTTTTTCCCCTCCCTGTGTCCATGTGTTCTCATTGTTCATATCCCACTTATGAGTGAGAACATGCGGCGTTTGGTTTTCTGTTCTTGTGATAGTTTCCTGAGAATGATGGTTTCCAGCTTTATCCATGTCCCTGCAAAGGACATGAACTCATCATTTTTTATTCCATGGTGTATATGTGCCACATTTTCTTTATCCAGTCGATCATTGGTGGATATTTGGGTTGGTTCCAAGTCTTCGCTATTGTGAACAGTGCCACAACAAACATAAGTGTGCAAGTGTTTTTATAGTAGAATGATTTATAATCCTTTGGGTATATACCCAGTAATGGGATTGGTGGGTCAAATGGTATTTCTGGTTCTAGATCCTTGAGGAATTGCAATACTGTCTTCCACAATGGTTGAACTAGTTTACACTCCCACCAACAGTGTAAAAGCATTCCTATTTCTCCACATCTTCTCCAGCATCTATTGTTTCCTGACTTTTTAATGATCACCATTCTAAGTGGCGTGAGATGGTATCTCATTGTGGTTTTGATTTGCATTTCTCTAATGACCAGTGATGATGAGCATTTTTTCATATGTCTGTTGGCTGCATAAATGTCCTCTTTTGAGAAGTGTCTGTTCATATCCTTTGCCCATTTTTTGGTGGTTTTTTTTTTCTTGTAAATTTGTTGAAGTCCTTGTAGATTCTGGATATTAGCCCTTTGTCAGATGGATAGATTGCAAAAATTTTCTCCCATTCTGCAGGTTGCCTCTTCATACTGATGATAGTTTATTTTGCTGTGCAGAAGCTCTTTAGTTTAATTAGATCCCAGTTGTCTATTTTCGCTTTTGTTGCCATTGCTTCTGGTGTTTTAGACATGAAGTCTTTGCCCATGCCTATGTCCTCAATGGTATTGCCCAGGTTTTCTTCCAGGATTTTTATAGTCCTAGGTCTTACGTTTAAGTCTTTGATCCATCTCGAGTTGATTTTTGTATAAGGTGTAAGGAAAGGGGTCCAATTTCAGTTTTCTGCATATGGCTAGCCAGTTTTCCCAACACCATTTATTAAATAGGGAATCTTTTCCCCATTGTTTGTGTCAGGTTTGTCAAAGAACAGATGGTTGTAGATGTGTGGTGTTATTCCTGAGACCTCTGTCCTGTTCCATTGGTCTATATATCTGTTTTGGTACCAGTACCATGCTGTTTTGTTACTGTAGCCTTGTAGTATAGTTTGAAGTCAGGTAGCGTGATGCCTCCACCTTTGTTTTCCTTGCCCAGGATTGTCTTGGCTATGCAGGCTCTTTTTTTGGTTCCATATGAACGTTAAAGTAGTTTTTTCCAATTCTGTGAAGAAAGTCAGTGGTAGCTTGATGGGGATAGCATTGAATCTATAAATTACTTTGGACAATATGGCCATTTTCACGACATTGATTCTTCCTATTCATGAGCATGGAATGTTTTTCCATTTGTTTGTGTCCTCTCTTATTTCCTTAAGCAGTGGTTTGTAGTTTTCCTTGAAGAGGTCCTTCACATCCCTTGTAAGTTGGATTCCCAGGTATTTTATTCTCTTTGTAGCTATTGTGAATGGGATGTCACTCATGATTTGGCTCTCTGTTTGTCTGTTATTGGTGTATAAGAATGGCAGTGAGCCGAGATCGCGCCACTGCACTCCAGCCTGGGCGACAGAGCGAGACTCCGTCTCAAAAAAAAAAAAAAAAAAAAAAGAATGCTTGTGATTTTTGCACGTTGATTTTGTATCCTGAGACTTTGCTGAAGTTGCTTATCAGCTTAAGGAGATTTTGGGCTGAGACAATGGGGTTTTCTAAATACATGACCATATCATCTGCAAACAGAGACAATTTGACTTCCTCTCCTCCTATTTGAATACACTTTATATCTTTCTCTTGCCTGATTGCCCTGTCCAGAACTTCCAATACTATGTTGAATAGGAGGGGTGAGAGAGGGTGTCCTTGTCTTGTGCCGGTTTTTAAAGGGAATGCTTCCAGTTTTTGCGCATTCAGTATGTTGGCTGTGGGTTTGTCATAAATAGCTCTTATTATTTTGAGATAAGTTCCATCGATACCTAGTTTATTGAGAGCTTTTTGCATGAAGGGGTCTTGAATTTTGTCGAAGGCCTTTTCTGCATCTATTGAGATAATCATGTGGTTTTTTTCATTGGTTCTGTTCATGTGATGGATTACGATTATTGATTTGCATATATTGAACCAGCCTTCCATCCCAGGGATGAAGCCCACTTGATGATGGTGGATAAGCTTTTTGGTGTGCTGTTGGATTTGGTTTGCCAGTATTTTATGGAGGATTTTTGCATTGATGTTCATCAGGGATATTGGCCTGAAATTTTCTTTTTTTGTTGTGTCTCTGCCAGGTTTGGGTATCAGAGGATGTTGGCCTTGTAAAATGAGTTAGGGAGGATTCCCTCTTTTTCTATTGTTTGGAATAGTTTCAGAAGGAATGGTACCAGCTCCTCTTTGTACCTCTGGTAGAATCTGGTTGTGAATCCATCTGGTCCTGGACTTTTTTTGGTTGGTAGGCTGTAAATTACTGCCTCAATTTCAAAACTTGTTATTGGTCTATTCAGGGATTTGACTTCTTCCTGGTTTAGACTTGGGAGGGGGTATGTGTCCAGGAATATATCCATTTCTTCTAGTTTTTTCAGTTTATTTGCGTAGAGGTGTTTATAGTATTCTCTGATGGTAGTCTGTATTTCTCTGGGATCGGTGGTGATAACCCCTTTATCAACTTTTTTTGTCTATTTCATTCTTCTCTCTTCTTTATTAGTCTGGCTAGTGGTCTATTTTTTTTATCTTTTCAAAACACCTACTGGATTCATTGAATTTTTTGAAGGGTTTTTCGTGTCTCTAGCTCCTTCAGTTCTGCTCTGATCTTAGTTATTTCTTGTCTGCTGCTAGCTTCTGAATTTGTTTGCTGTTGCTTCTCTAGTTCTTTTAATTGTGATGTTAGGTTGTTGATTTTTAGATCTTTCCTGCTTTCTCTTGTGGGCATTTACTGCTATAAATTTCCCTCTACACACTGCTTTAAATATGTCAAATGTGTCCTAGAGATTCTGGTACATTGTATCTTTGTTCTCATTGGTTTCAAAGAAAATCTTTATTTCTGTTTTCATTTTGTTATTTACCCAGTAGTCATTCAGGAGCAGGTTGTTCAGTTTCCATGTAGTTGTAGGGTTTTGAGTGAGTTTCTTAATCCTGAATTCTAACTTGATTGCACTGTGGTCTGAGAGACTGTTATGATTTGCATTCTTTTACTTTCAATTATGTGGTAGATTTTAGAATAAGTGCGATGAGGTGCTGAGAATAATGTATATTCTGTTGATATGGTGTGGAGAGTTCTATAGATGTCTATTAGGTGCACTTGGTCCAGAGCCGAGATGAAGTCCTGAATATCCTTGTTAATTTTGTCTCGTTGATCTGTCTAATATTGACAACGGAGTGTTAAAGTCTCCCACTATTATTATGTGGGAGTCTAAGTCTCTCTATAGATCTCTAGAAACTTGCTTTATGAATCTGGGTGCTCCTGTATTGGGTGCGTATATATTTAGGATAGATAGCAGTTCTTGGTGCATTGATCCCTTTACCATCATGCAGTGCCCTTCTTTGTTTCTTTTGATCTTTGTTGGTTTAAAGTCTGTTTTATCAGAGACTAGGATTGCAATCCCTGCTTTTTTTTTTTTTTTTTTTTTTTTTTTTTTTTTTTTGCCTTCCATTTGTTTGGTAAATATTCCTCCATCCCTTTATTTTGAGCCTATGTGTGTCTTTGCATGCGAGATGGGTCTCCTGAATACAGCACACTGATGGGTCTTGACTCCTTATCTGATTTGCCAGTCTGTGTCTTTTAATTGGGGCATTTGGCCCATTTACATTTAAGGTTAATATTGTTATGTGTTAATTTGATCCTGTCATTGTGATGCTAGCTGGTTATTTTTCCCAGTAGTTGATGCGGTTTTTTAATAGCATCAGTGGTCTTTAGAATTTGGTATGTTTTTTCAGTGGCCGGTACCAGTTGTTCCTTTCCATGTTTAGCGCTTCCTTTGGAAGCTCTTGTAAGGCAGGCCTGGTGGTGGCAAAATCTCTCAGCATTTGCTTGTCTGTAAAGGAATTTATTTCTCCTTTGCTTATGAAGCTTAGTTTGGCTGAACAGGAAATTCTGCCACTTGTTTCTTTTCACTCTTTTTTCTCTAATCTTCTCAAGTTGAAAATTCTTCCCTTTAAGAATGTTGAATTTTGTCCCCCACTCTCTTCTGGCTTGTAGGGTTTCTACAGAGAGATCCGCTGTTAGTCTGATCGGCTTCCCTTTGTGGGTAACCCAACCTTTCCCTCTGGCTGCCCTTAACATTTTTTCTTTCATTTCAACCTTGGTGAATCTAACAGTTACGTGTATTGGGGTTGCTCTTATCGAGGAGTATCTTTGTGGTGTTCTCTGTATTTCCTCAATTTAAATGTTGAGTTGCCTTGCTAGGTTGAGGAAGTTCTCCTGGATAATATCCTGAAGAGTTTTCCAACTTGTTTCTATTCCTCTCATCTCTTTCAGGTACACCAATCAAACATACATTTGGTCTTTTCACATAGTCCCATATTTCTTGGAGGCTTTGTTTGTTTCTTTTCACTCTTTTTTCTCTAATCTTCTCACTTTCATTGAGTTGATCTTCGATCTTTGATATCCTTTCTTCCGCTTGGTCGATTCAGCTATTGATACTTGTGTATGCATCACAAAGTTCTCGTACTGTGCATTTCTCAGCTCCATCAGGTCATTTATGTTCTTCTCTAAACTGGTTATTCTAGTTAGCAATTCGTCTAACCTTTTTTCAAGGTTCTTAGCTTTCTTGCGTTGGGTTAGAACATGCTCCTTTAGCTCAGAGGAGTTTTTTATTAACCACAGTTTTGTTCCCTTGCTGGTGAGGAGTTGTGATCCTTTGGAGGAGAAGAGGCATTCTGGTTTTTGGAATTTTCAGCCTTTTTGCGCTGGTTTCTCCCCATCTTTGTGGATTTATCTACCTTTGTTTGGCCTTTGATGTTGGTGACCTTCAAATGGTGTCTTTGGATGTCCTTTTTGTTGATGTTGATACTATTCCTTTCTGTTTGTTAGTTTTCCATCTAAAAGTCCGGACCCTCTGCTGCAGGTCTGCTGGAGTTTGCTGGAGGTCCGCTCCAGACCCTTTTTGCCTGGGTATCACTAGCGGAGGCTGCAGAACAGCAAAGATTTCTGCCTGTTCCTTCCTCTGGAAGCTTCACCCCAGAGGGGCACCTGCCAGATGCCAGCTGGAGCTCTTTTTTATGAAGTGTCTGTCGAACCCTGCTGTGAGGTGTCTCCCAGTCAGGATACATGGGGGCCAGGGACCCACTTGAGGAGGCAGTCTGTCCCTCAAATGCTGTGCTGAGAGATCCGCTGCTCTCTTCAGGGCTGTCAGGCAGGGACATTTAAATCGGCTGAAGCTGCGCCCACAGCCACTCCTTACACTAGGTGCTCTGTCCCAGGGAGATGGGGGTTTTATCTATAAGTCCTAACTGGGGCTGCTGCCTTTTTTTCAGAGATGATCTGCTGAGAGAGGAGGAATCTAGAGAGGCAGTCTGGCCGCAGCGGCCTTGTTGAACTGCGGTTGGCTCCGCCCAGTTTGAACTTCCCAGTGGGTTTGTTTACCCCGTGAGGGGGAAACCCCATACTCAAGCCTCAGTAATGGTGGACGCCCCTCCCCGCACCAAGCTTGAGCATCCCAGGTCGACCTTAGACTGCTGTGTTGTCAGTGAGAATTTCAAGCCAGTGGATCTTAGCTTGCTGGACTCCATGGGGGTGGGACCCGCCAAGCCAGACCACTTGGCTCCCTGGCTTCAGCCCCCTTTCCAGGGGAGTGAATGGTTCTGTCTCGCTGGCATTCCAGGTGCCACTGGGGTATGGAAAAAAAAAAAAAAAAAAAAAAACTCCTGCATCTAGCTTGGTGTCCGCCCAGCCACCCAGTTTTGTGCTTGAAACCCAGGGCCCTGGTAGGGTAGGCACCAGAGGGAATCTCCGGGTCTGCCGGTTGCAAAGACTATGGGAAAAGCACAGTATCTCGGCTGGAGTGCACCGTTCCTCCAGGTGCAGTCTCTCATGGCTTCCCTTGGCTAGGGGAGGGAAATCCCCCAACCCCTTTCACTTCCCAGGTGAGGCGATGCCCCACCCTGCTTCAGCTCATCCTCCGTGGGCTACACCCACTCTCCAACCAGTCCCAGTGAGGTGAACCGGATACCTCAGTTGGAAATGCAGAAATCACCCGCCTTCTGCGTCGATCTCACTGGGAGCTGCAGACTGGAGCTGTTCCTGTTCAGCCATCTTGCCAGCCCTCCCATCTATTATACCCTTATTTGTTCTTATTCTTCCATGAGTTTAATAGAATCTTCCCTAATTCCTTTTTTTGGAACGAATCAGGAAATAGGTAACTATTGATATTCATAATGACAAAATGAGAACTGAAGGGCTGACATTAGTTAAAAAACAAAACAAAACAAAACAAAAACCTTTGAATCTTGAAAACATTCAAATGCATTTGATGCATTACATTCTTTAGAAAATATTTTTAAACAAACCCATGCACTCCATCTATGCTAACTTCTTCTTGATCTAAATGTCTTATTAACTATGTGTCATATTCCCTAACTAAGCCAAGTAATGGAGCCAGGTATCTTTTGCTCCTTACAAAAGACAATATCACCATATAGTTTCAGTTAAAAATACTTGTGCAGTATTTTTCTCCCTTAGCAGTAGCTGAGTTCTAAATATTTATTTTAGTGTGTGCTTTATGAAAGCCACTAGAGTAGTCACTTTCCTGCATGCATTTTCATTGGGTCCTCATAAACTAGTAGGTTGGTAATTATCCCTACTTTACAGAAGAGCAGACTGAGACCAGAAGATTAAATAACTACCTGAAAATAACATATAGTAAGTAAATGGCAGATCAAAGCATAGTTCAAACCCAGGTTTTCTAGAATCTGCCCAGGGCTCCATCTGTTCGACCATGCTACCCATATTTTGTCTTTAGGCTTATGTTACTGGGAGACAGGATACTTAACAAATGGTATTGAATAAAATTCAGATTATGCAAAGATCAGAATTCAACAGGAACTCTGAACTTGTAATAATGTATTCTCCCCTCAGCCTTGCATTATGGAACCAAATGATAAATTTTCCTAGTTTACCAATGTAAACTAGCAGAGAGGTAGTTGACAGTCATGCAGATAAGATCTTTGTTTCATTCAGCTGTTTGTCACATTGGGTCAATAATGTGTTCTAACTATAACTGATAAAATTCATGGAGTTAAATTTTTATATGCTATTATATGTCATCTTGGGGTAGGTTTTCTGGTGTGGCAGAAGATGACTTGAAGAACATTAAAACATCAACCCGTGATGTCCAAGCTATCTTGTTGAACCTGTTTAGTGCTGACACTGTACTAATGTGTCACTAAAGTGATGTATTAATCGGACATCACTTTGAACATAGTCTATACCCTTAGGTAAAGAATTAGAAGCCAACATATTTTTTTACAAAAAAAATGTATAAAACCACATGTGTTAAGATAGCAGTCATTATCATTATGTTATAATTGATACTTGATTTGCCCTGTTAACCAAGAAGACAATAATCGCTGTCTTTGCTGATGATACAGTCTAACTACCACAAACTAGAAGCCGTGTCAGACAGTTCACATCATCTGGCTAATCAAGATCATAAAGAATAGTCCCTCATCAATTATGATAAAACCCAAACCATTGTTTTCACAGACTTTCCTTAATAATCAAATAGACAAGACTAAATTTATTAACTGATTATTTTATTCACATACTTAGGGGTCTTTTTCCACATTAAGTCAGGTAGGCTCAAAATTAAATGTTAGGTTCATTTTCTTGGCATAATAGACATGAAAACCTTTCCTTAATATACTCCAGGTTAAAATGTGTGTGTTTTGCTCTACGTTCTAGACCTGGGCCAGTGAACTACGGCCCATGGGCTGGCCACCTGTTTTTCTAAATATTTTTCTTGGAATGAAGCCATCATACCCACTCATTTACAGATTGTGTATGGCTGCTTTCACACTTTAATGATATTGTTGAGTAGTTGTGACAGATCATGTGACTTGCAAGCTGAAAATATTAAATCTGGCACTTTTAGAAAAAAGTTTACCCATCCCATCGTAGAACGGTGTTATCCAAAAGAACTTTCTATTCTACATCTGCACTACCCAATATGGTAGACACTAGGCACACTTGGCTGTTGAGCACTTGAAAGATGTCTAATGTGACTGAGGAAATGCATTTCTAATTTTGTTTAATTTTAATTTGAATTTCAACAGTCCCATAAAGCTTGTGGCTACCACATTGCACAACACAGCTCTAGAACTTTCGGGACCTTTAGCTGAGTGTTTGTCTCAGCCACCCCTAGGACTAGCCTTCATGCAGAGAAGGGCTAGCTCTTCTTCAGTGCAAAAATATGAGTAAGGCCATTTAATTTTCATAGATGAATATCAGCCTTTTTCTTGATGAAGCTGGTATCCAAAGTATAGGATATTTGTTTCAAAGAGTAATGTTGTCTCTGCATGTGACAAATGAGACTGGAATGTACTTGCCTCTGGACCTTGCCAAACTGTAAGAAAAGAGAGTTGGGGACATGAGTTTTTCATAAGAAAAAAGGGGTATCCTCTTGTCCCCTCAAAAACATCATCTCCCAAACTGCACCTCTCACTATGACTTTCCTGCCCCTGATTTCTCAGGAACCATTCTATCCTGCATGTCCTCCAGACCAGAAAATTTCAAAACATTGCATTTCCTCATTCCTTGGAATCGTTCTGTTTCTTCCACCCAGAAGACTCATGGATTTTCATACTTTTCTCTATTTCCACCATCAACTTCTTTTAGAGTCATCTTATGGAAACTTCCCTTGTCCCCCAAGCTGAGTTTTGTCTGTTCCAACCCCTGTTTCACCTTTCCCCACTACTCTGAAAATCCCTGAGAGTAGGGACACTGTGCTAGGATGCCCCAAAGTGGTACCTGCTGCGGGAGTTCCCCACTCCCTCCTTCTCCCGTGCAGCTTCTTGATCATTTCTCCTCTTCTTGTGCTCTGTGCTCCCTACAGACTACCCTGCAGGTAGGAACCAGTGCCGAGCATGGTGGCTGGCACACTGAATAATCATTTAAAGTGTTATGTCAGGCAAGGCATAGTTGATACTAAATTTTAAATTTATGACTCCTCATTTCTTAGTCTTCAAATTACTCTTGTTCTCAGGCTAATCTTTAAATGCTTCTTTCAAAGTACAGTTCTCCTAATAAGGAATCCAAACTGGTACCTGACTTCCTGAGCCCTTAGATTATCTGACCCCTCTCCCTCCATATCTATTCTATCAATAATATTTTCCACATCACCAAACTTCAGTAAAAACATATTCAGCTTCTTCCATGTGTAATCATGGGGGATTTGGAACTAGATAGGCCTGAGCTGTTGTGTGTGCCTTCTCCCCAGAGGCAGATAAGCAAACCACTGAAATGCGATATGGCATGTACTGAACTGGGGTGTGCCCCTCTCAGCCAAGTCACAATGTGGGCAGAGCCTGGTTCTCTGCCTCCCCGAGTGCTTGTGAGAACCTCTCTGCCCTGATGTTGCCCTCTGGTGGTTCCTCATGGTAGAAAAGTGTGGACTCTGAAGTTAGACTGTTTAGATTTTATTTCCTTCAGCTCTACTAAGTAAGTTTAGGCAAGTTTTTTAACCTCTCAAAATTTCAATTTCCTTGTCTATGAAGAGGGACAATAAAAATACCTATCTCATTAGGTTACTCTGCAAAGTACAGCAGGATAAACTATGCAATATACTTAGTCCAGTAACTGACACATCACGACTGTTGCCTGTTCTTGTATCATAGTCCTTGTTCCTAAGTAGTTATTGCTGCTATCAGCATCCTTATTTTGGAGTTTTTACTTTTATTTGAAAGTTAAAGGTGTTTTTTTTTTTTTACTTTTATTTGATAGTTAATTCACACTTCAGTTGTGGACATATCGGTTATGTTTCCTCATCAGCTTGGCTTGCCTCCCAAAAGACCCCTTAGGAGTCTAATGGCTGATTGCCTGCAGAGAATCGTTCAGGATGATGGTAAGAGCCCATTTGCTCATGACTGATGTCAAGACCCTCAGTCTGACTTGACTGAACAACAGTGAGGTTCATCATAAAGGTCTACTGTCTAAGATGCTTAAGGTAGGAGACCAGGTTCTTTTCTGGGGGTTCTCTCCTCTGGTGGAGAATCCTAAAGCATCTGCCTGTGCTTGTGTAAAAAACCATTATATGCCATTGCCTGGTATAGTCCTGGGTGTTCCTCATGAATCAGAACAGCAATCTCACTGAGAACAGTGGTCAGATCATTGGGTCTGGCCTTTGAATTCATGCACAGAACTTTTGTTGTTCCATTCTAAATCTTGCTGTATACCTCTTTTCATATGTGCTTCTCATTAGAACAAAAGAGGTTCTTTCTACATTTGATTGGGTCCAGGTTATCTCACCAAGAGAAAATTTGTGTGTGTGTGGGGTGGGGGGGGGGGTATGGCTCAAATTCAGTCATTATGTGTGAACTTGATTTATACCAGATTTGTATATCTTGCTGCCAATTTTTCTATTTCTGCTTTTTCTGATGAAATATACCCAATGTTAAACAAGTTAATCAAGTACAACAAATCTAGCCACCAATTACCTGTTCGTGGCATTGCTATATGCACAGTTTCACCAGTGTCTGGCGTGGAATGGAGGATACCTGTATATTCATGTATGCCTATATAGGCCCTTCCTGTGTACAAACAGTAGAGCAAGTTAACTTTAAATATGTTAAAATTATATTACGCTGCTTTGTTTCTAAAGATTCTCGAGATATGGATGTTCCTCTGATCATATCATTCATTATACAAAATGATTTCATTTTATGATGAACTTACACTCCTCTCCAGAGAATCTTTTACATCCTCTGCTTTGTTAAGAATACTCATTTCAGAAAGAATTCCCATAACATTCTATTATAGAATTTGTAGGGCCTTCTGTTGAAAATAATCTTGAACCATGGTCATAATCTTTCAGTTAACAAATCTGTTTAAAACAAAATCTTCTAAAAGTTAAAAAAATATCAGAGCTTTCTTGGGGTAAGACACAAGTAAAGAAATGAAAACTATTACACCATTTTAGAAGCATTGACCATACGACTTTCTCACCCAATCTCAGATATCATTTATTATTCTCACCAGAACTATACAGCTTTATGTTTTGGGTAAATTTTATCTACTTTTTAAAACCATATAAACTTGTGCCTAAAGTTGTTCTTTTATTTAGAGAGATTACTTTTTTTTTTCTTTTTTTAACCATTCGACATTTCTGGCTTCTAGGCAGATGTCTTGCTTTGGTGATCCCTCCACTTTCTTCTCATACCTCCCTGGGAAGGAGATACACAGCTGAGGGTACCGATGTGCTAGCCAATCATTGCAAGGTAGTGATAATGTGACAGAGGAAAGACTACCTAGAAAAAGAACAATGTTTGTTAATCTAGTACATTCATGTAAAACATTTATAAAGCAATCATTGGAGGTTGTATTAGGTATTAATGATATTTCGATAGGTGAGCAGTGTTAACTTTGTTAGAAACATAAATTGAAGGCTTAATTTTGAGAAATATGTAAGTAACATCAGAGATTATGGTTGTCTTATGTCTAACACTTTAAAAAATATTCTGTACTATTTGGAGGTCACAATGCTAGTGAAAATGCAAAAGCCTGCATGGATCTGGTCATTTGGAAGGTAAAAGAAGACGTGAAAGGAAAGAAGTAGTCACCTTGCCCAAGAACATCTTTAATTTCTGAATTGCTGTTTCGGTGACTTCTCTGGCCCCTACTACTGGCAGTAGAGTTTGGTCGATGATGGTATGGGGTTTCTGGACACTTTCAAAGAGAAGAAGAGGAAAAGCGCTGTTGAGGTTGAGTTACTACATTTTTTTATTACACTTTAAGTTTTAGGGTACATGTGCACAACGTGCAGGTTAGTTACGTATGTATACATGTGCCATGTTGGTGTGGTGCACCCATTAACTCGTCATTTAACATTAGATATATCTCCTAATGCTATCCCTCCCCCTGCCCCCACCCCACAACAGGCCCCGGTGTGTGATGTTCTCCTTCCTGTGTCCATGTGTTCTCATTGTTCAATTCCCACCTATGAGTGAGAACAGGCGGTGTTTGGTTTTTTGTCCTTGTTATAGTTTGCTGAGAATGATGGTTTCCAGCTTCATCCATGTCCCTACAAAGGACATGAACTCATCATGTTTTATGGCTGCATAGTATTCCATGGTGTATATGTGCCACATTTTCTTAATCCAGTCTATCATTGTTGGACATTTGGGTTGGTTCCAAGTCTTTGCTATTGTGAATAGTGCCTCAATAAACTTACATGTGCATGTGTCTTTATAGCAGCATGATTTATAATTCTTTGGGTATATACCCAGTAATGGGATGGCTGAGTCAAATGGTATTTCTAGTTCTAGATCCCTGAGGAATCACCACACTGACTTCCACAATGGTTGAACTAGTTTACAGTCCCACCAACAGTGTAAAAGTGTTCCTTTTTCTCCACATCCTCTCCAGCACCTGTTGTTTCCTGACTTTTTAATGATCGCCATTCTAACTGGTGTGAGATGGTATCTCATTGTGGTTTTGATTTGCATTTCTCTGATGGCCAGTGATGATGAGCATTTTTTCATGTGTCTTTTGGCTGCATAACGTCTTCTTTTGAGAAGTGTCTGTTCATATCCTTTGGCCACTTTTGGATGGGGTTGTTTGTTTTTTTTCTTGTAAATTTGTTTGAGTTCATTGTAGATTCTGGATATTAGCCCTTTGTCAGATGAGTAGATTGCAAAAATTTTCTCCCATTCTGTAGGTTGCCTGTTCGCTCCAATGGTAGTTTCTTTTCCTGTGCAGAAGCTCTTTAGTTTAATTAGATCCCATTTGTCAATTTTGGCTTTTGTTGCCATTGCTTTTGGTGTTTTAGACATGAAGTCCTTGCCCATGCCTATGTCCTGCATGGTATTGCCTAGGTTTCCTTCTAGGGTTTTTATGGGTTTAGGTCTGACATTTAAGTCTTTAATCCATCTTGAATTAATTTTTGTATAAGGTGTAAGGAAGGGATCCAGTTTCAGCTTTCTACATATGGCTAGCCAGTTTTCCCAGTACCATTTATTAAATAGGGAATTGTTTCCCCATTGCTTGTTTTTGTCAGGTTTGTCAAAGATCAGATGGTTGTAGATATGCGGCGTTATTTCTGAGGGCTCTGTTCTGTTCCGTTGGTCTATATCTCTGTTTTGGTAACAGTACCATGCTGTTTTGGTTACTGTAGCCTTGTAGTATAGTTTGAAGTCAGGTAGTGTGATGCCTCCAGCTTTGTTCTTTTGGCTTAGGATTGACTTGGCAATGAGGGCTCTTTTTTGGTTCCATATGAACTTTAAAGTAGTTTTTTCCAATTCTGTGAAGAAAGTCATTGGTAGCTTGATGGGGATGGCATTGAATCTATAAATTACCTTGGGCACTATGGCCATTTTCACATTGTTGATTCTTCCTACCCATGAGCATGGAATTGTTCTTCCATGTATTTGTATCCTCTTTTATTTCATTGAGCAGTGGTTTGTAGTTCTCCTTGAAGAGGTCCTTCACATCCCTTTTGAGTTGGATTCCTAGGTATTTTATTGTCTTTGAAGGAATTGTGAATGGGAGTTCACTCATGATTTGGCTCTCTGTTTGTGTGTTATTGGTGTATAAGAATGCTTGTGATTTCTGCACATTGATTTTGTATACTGAGACTTTGCTGAAGTTGCCTATCAGTTTAGGGAGATTTTGGGCTGAGACAATGGGGTTTTCTAGATATACAATCATGTCATCTGCAAACAGGGACAATTTGACTTCCTCTTCTCCTAACTGAATACCCTTTATTTCTTTCTCCTGCCTGATTGCCCTGGCCAGAACTTCCAACACTATGTTGAATAGGAGTGGTGAGAGAGGGCATCCTTGTCTTGTGCCAGTATTCAAAGGGAATGCTTCCAGTTTTTGCCCATTCAGTAAGATATAGGCTGTGGGGTTGTCATAGACAGCTCTTATTATTTTGAGATACATCCCTTCAATACCTAATTTATTGAGAGTTTTCAGCATGAAGGGTTGTTGAATTTTGTTAAAGGCCTTTTCTGCATCTATTGAGATAATCATATGGTTTTTGTCGTTGGTTCTGTTTATATGCTGGATTACGTTTATTGATTTGCTTATGTTGAACCAGCCTTGCATCCCAGGGATGAAGCCCACTTGATCATGTTGGATAAGCTTTTTGATGTGCTGCTGGATTCGGTTTGCCAGTATTATATTGAGGATTTTTGCATCAATGTTCATCAGGGATATTGATCTAAAATTCTCTTTTTTTGTTGTGTCTCTGCCAGGCTTTGGTATCAGGATGATGCTGGCCTCATAAAATGAGTCAGGGAGGATTCCCTCTTTTTCTGTTGATTGGAATAGTTTCAGAAGGAATGATACCAGCTCCTCCTTGTACCTCTGGTAGAATTCGGCTGTGAATCCATCTGGTCCTGGACTTTTTTTGGTTGGTAAGCTATTAATTATTGCCTCAATTTCAGAGCCTGTTACTGGTCTATTCAGAGATTCAACTTCTTCCTGGTTTAATCTTGGGAGGGTGTATGTGTCGAGGAATTTATCCATTTCTTCTAGATTTTCTAGTTTATTTGCATAGAGGTGTTTATAGTAGTCTCTGATGGTAGTTTGTATTTCTGTGGGATTGGTGGTGATATCCCCTTTATCATTTTTTATTGCATCTATTTGATTCTTCTCTGTTTTCTTCCTTATTAGTCTTGCTAGCGGTCTATCAATTTTGTTGATCTTTTCAAAAAACCAGCTCCTGGATTCATTGATTTTTTTGAAGGCTTTTTTGTGTCTCTATTTCCTTCAGTTCTGCTCTGATTTTAGTTATGTCTTGCCTTCTGCTAGCTTTTGAATGTGTTTGCTCTTGCTTCTCTAGTTCTTTTAATTGTGGTGTTAGGGTGTCAATTTTAGATCTTTCCTGCTTTCTCTTGTGGGCATTTAGTGCTATAAATTTCCCTCTACACACTGCTTTGAATGTGTCCCAGAGATTCTGGTATGTTGTGTCTTTGTTCTCATTGGTTTCAAAGAACATCTTTATTTCTGCCTTCATTTCGTTATGTACCCAGTAGTCATTCAGGAGCAGGTTGTTCAGTTTCCATGTAGTTGAGCTGTTTTGAGTGAGTTTCTTAATCCTGAGTTCTAGTTTGATTGCACTGTGGTCTGAGAGACAGTTTGTTATAATCTCTGTTCTTTTACATTTGCTGAGGAGTGCTTTACTTCCAAGTATGTGGTCAATTTTGGAATAGGTGTGGTGTGGTGCTGAAAAGAATGTATATTCTGTTGGTTTGGGGTGGAGAGTCCTGTAGATGTCTATTAGGTCTGCTTGGTGCAGAGCTGAGTTCAATTCCTGGACACCCTTGTTAACTTTCTGTCTCGTTGATCTGTCTAGTGTTGACAGTGGGGTGTTAAAGTCTCCCATTATTATTGTGTGGGTGTCTAAGTCTCTTTGTAGGTCTCTAAGGATTTGCTTTATGAAACTGGGTGCTCCTGTATTGGGTGCATATAGATTTAGGATAGTTAGCTCTTCTTGTTGAATTGATCCCTTTACCATTATGTAATGGCCTTCTTTGTCTCTTTTGATCTTTGTTGGTTTAAAGTCTGTTTTGTCAGAGACTAGGATTGCAACCCCTGCCTTGTTTTGTTTTCCATTTGCTTGGTAGATCTTCCTCCATCCCTTTATTTTGAGCCTATGTGTGTCTCTGCACGTGAGATGGGTTTCCTGAATAAAGCACCCTGATGGGTCTTGACTCTTTATCCAATTTGCCAGTCTGTGTCTTTTATTTGGAGCATTTAGCCCATTTACATTTAAGGTTAATATTGTTATGTGTGAATTTGATCCTGTCATTATGATGTTAGCTGGTTATTTTGCTCATTAGTTGATGCAGTTTCTTCCTAGCCTTGATGGTCTTTACGATTTGGCATGTTTTTGCAGTGGCTGGTACTGGTTGTTCCTTTCCATGTTTAGTGCTTCCTTCAGGAGCTGTTTTAGGGCAGGCCTAGTGGTGATAAAATCTCTCAGCATTTGCTTGTCTGTAAAGGATTTTATTTTTCCTTTACTTATGAAGCTTAGTTTGGCTGGATATGAAATTCTGGGTTGAAAATTCTTTTCTTTAAGAATGTTGAATATTGGTCCCCACTCTCTTCTGGCTTGTAGAGTTTCTGCCGAGAGATCAGCTGTTAGTCTGATGGGCTTCCCTTTGTGGGTACCCTAACCTTTCTCTCTGGCTGCCCTTAACATTTTTTTCCTTCATTTCAACTTTGGTGAATCTGACTATTATGTGTCTTGGAGTTGCTCTTCTCGAGGAGTATCTTTGTGGTGTTCTCTGTATTTCCTGAATTTGAATGTTGGCCTGCCTTGTTATATTGGGGAAGTTCTCCTGGATAATATCCTGCAGAGTGTTTTCCAACTTGGTTCCATTCTCCCCATCACTTTCAGGTGCACCAATCAGACATAGATTTGGTCTTTTCACATAGTCCCATATTTCTTGGAGGCTTTGTTCATTTCTTTTTATTCTTTTTTCTCTAAACTTCTCTTCTTGCTTCATTTCATTCATTTGATCTTCCATCACTGATACCCTTTTATCCAGTTGATCGAATTGGCTAGTGAGGCTTGCGCATTCATCACATAGTTCTCGTGCCTTGGTTTTCAGCTCCATCAGGTCCTTTAAGGACTTCTCTGCATTTGTTATTCTAGTTAGCCATTTGTCTAATTTTTTTTCAAGGTTTTTAACTTCTTTGCCATGGGTTTGAACTTCCTCCTTTAGCTTGGAGTAGTTTGATCGTCTGAAGCCTTCTTATCTCAAGTCATCAAAGTCATTCTCCGTCTAGCTTTGTTCCGTTGCTGGTGAGGAGCTGCGTTCCTTTGGAGGAGGAGAGGTGCTCCGATTTTTAGAGTTTCCAGTTTTTCTGCTCTGTTTTTTCCCCATCTTTATGGTTTTATCTACCTTTGGTCTTTGATGATGGTGATGAACAGATGGGTTTTTGGTGTGGATGTCCTTTCCGTTTGTCAGTTTTCCTTCTAACAGTCAGGACCCTCAGCTGCAGGTTTGTTGGAGTTTGCTGGAGGTCCACTCCAGACCCTGTTTGCCTGAATATCAGCAGTGGAGGCTGCAGAACAGCAGATATTGGTGAACAGCAAATGTTGCTGCCTGGTCGTTCCTCTGGAAGTTTTGTCTCAGAGGAGTACCCAGCCATGTGAGGTGTCAGTCTGCCCCTACTGGTTGTTGCCTCCCAGTTAGGCTACTCGGGGGTCAGGGACCCACTTGAGGAGGCAGTCTGTCCGTTCTCAGATCTCCAGCTGCGTGCTGGGAGAACCACTACTCTCTTCAAAGCTGTCAGACAGGGACACTTAAGTCTGCAGAGGTTTCTGCTGCCTTTTGTTTGGCTGTGCCCTGCCCCCAGAGGTGGAGTCTACAGAGGCAGGCAGGCCTTCTTGAGCTGCTATGGGCTCCGCCCAGTTTGAGCTTCCTGGATGCTTTGTTTATCTACTCAAGCCTCGGCAATGGCAGGCGCCCCTCCCCCAACCTCGCTGCCACCGTGCAGTTTGATCTCAGACTGCTGTGCTAGCAATGAGCGAGGCTCCGTGGGTGTAGGACCCTCTGAGCCAGGCTCGGGATATAATCTTCTGGTGTGCCGTTTGCTAAGAGTGTTGGAAAAGCGCAGTATTAGGGTGGGAGTGACCTGATTTTCCAGGTGCCGTCTGTCACCCCTTTCTTTGACTAGGAAAGGGAATTCCCTGACCCCTGGCACTTCCTTGGTGAGGTGATGCCTCGCCCTGCTTCGGCTCACGCTTGGTGTGCTGCACCCACTGTCCTGCACCCACTTTCCGACACTCCCCAGTGAGATGAACCTGGTACCTCAGTTGGAAATGCAGAAATCACCCGTCTTCTGCGTCGCTCATGCTGGGAGCTGTAGACTGGAGCTGTTCCTATTCAGCCATCTTGGCTCCACCCCCTGACTTACTATATTTTTAAAGGTTACATTTCCACAGTAATTTCTAAAATTGGGACTGAGCCAGGTGAACAGGACAAAGAGAAATAAAGTTGGTTTGAATTTTCAGCTCATCTTCAAAGTAGTGGAAGATGGTTTAGATTTGAAGCAATGAGTCTGTGACTTTCATGAGGATCATTTCTCAGGTTACCTCCATTTCTTTTTCCTCTGAGATACCTGAAACCATCATACTTCTTGAAGTTAAAAACATCTTTACCTAACAAAATTATAACAGATTTCTTTAGCTCTCGTATCCATAAATAGAAGTTGAGATTTTTCTCCCCCTCACAAAATATATGGAAGTAAATGTAAACTTCTCAGTGCACTCTGTTGACATAAAGGTTTTGGTCATTTGGCTATTGTGTAATGTGTTTTTATTCTAACTTGTGCAGTTACTTGATTTTTAATTCATAACAACTCACTGATTATTTAAGGCCGTCTAATATGGATCTTCTAAACACAGGAAGTTCTAGACTATATCCCTAGTACCTGAATTGTCTAATCTCTTTAGGGGGTTAGTTCTTTCCTGATAGAGATAGAGATAGAGAAATATAGAGATACATATAGAAATATATAGATATATATATAGAAATATATAGAGATACATACATATGTGTGTGTGTGTGTGTGTGTGTGTGTGTGTGTGTGTGTGTGTGTGTATGGCAGTGGGATCTGGATCTGTCTCTCAGGCTGGAGTGCAGTGGCATGATTATAGCTCACTGCAGCCTCAAGCTCCTGGGCTCAAGTAATTCTCCCACCTCAGCTTCCCAAGTAGCTGGGACCACAGGTATACTCACCATGCCCAGCTAGTTTTATTTTTTGTAGAGAAAGTCTTGCTATGTTGCGCAGGCTGTTCTCAAACTCCAGGACTCAGGTGATTCTCCTGCCTTGGCCTCCCAAAGTGCTGGGATTATAAGAATGAGCCACTGAGCCCAGCTTGGACCTATATTTTTTAACTGAAAAGTAAAAAAATTGTATATTTATGGTGAACAATGTGATATTTTGATATACATATGTACATTGTAGAATAACTAAATTTATTTAACATTTGCATTACCTCACATATTTTTTTGTGGTGAGAACACTTAAAATCTACTCTCCTAGCAATTTTCATGTATACAATATATTATTATTAACTGTAGTCACCATGATATACAATAGCTCTCCTAATCTTATTCCTTCAGTCTAACTGAAATTTTGTGTCCTTTGACCAACATCTCCAGTGGCCCTCACCCCCAGTCTCTGGTAACCACCACTTTACTCTCTGTTTCTGTGGTTTGACTGTTTTACACTTCTCAAGTGCATGAGATACTGCAGTATGCATCTTTTTTCTCCTGGCTTACCTTACTTAATATAATGTCCTCCAACTTCATTCATGTCACAAATGACAGGATTTCCTTTTTTTTAAAGGCTGAATAGTATTCCATTGTGTATATATACAACATTTTCTTTATCCATTCATTCACTGATGGACACCTAGGTTGATTCCATATCTTGGCTATTGTGAATAATGCAGCGAACATGAGCGTATAGACATTTCTTTGATATACTGATGTAATATCCTTTGAATATATATCAAGTAGTGGAATTGCTGGATCATATAGTAGTTCTATTTTTAACTTATTGAGAAACTGCCATACTGTTTTCCATAATGGCTATACTAATTTACATTCCCACCAACGGTGTGCAAGGATTCCCTTTTTTACACATCCTCATTAACACTTGTTATCGTTCTTTTTGTTAATAGCCCGTCTAACAAATGTGAGGTGAGAACTCATTGTGGTTTTAATTTGCATTATTCCGATTATTAGTGATGTTGAGCATTTTCTTCATATGCCTGTTGGTCATACGTATATCTTATTTTGTGAAATGATTTATTCAGGCCCTTTCTCTATTTTTTCAATTATTTGTTTTCTTACTATTGAGTTGTTTGCATTCCTTATGTATTTTGAGTATCAACTCTTATCAGATGGATGGTTTGCAAATATATTCTCCCATTTTGTAGGCTGTCTCTTCACTTTGTTGATTGTTTCCTTTGCTGTGAAGAAGCTTTTTAGTTTGATGGAATCCCATTTGTCTGGTTTTTCATTGCCTGTGTTTTTAGGGTCATATCCCAAAAATCTGCTCAGACCAATGTCATGGAGTTTACCCCGGTGATTACCTTAGTACCCCTAGAACTACTTCTAGTAGTTTTACAGTTTCTAGTCTTACATTTAAGTCTTCCATCCATTTTGAGTTGATTTTGTACGTGGTGTGAAATGGGGGGGTAATTTCATTCTTCTGCATATGAATATCCAGTTTTCCTAGCACAGTTTATTGAAGAAACTATTGTTTCCCCATTGTGTGTTCTTGGCATTTTGTTAAAAATTGACCACAAATGTGTAGATTTATTTCTGGACTCTCTATGTTGTTCCATTGGTTCATACGTCTGTTTTTATGTCAGTACCATACTGCTTTGATGACTATAGCTTTGTAGTAGATGTTGAAATCAACTAGATGCCTCCAGATTTGTCCTCTTGCTCAAGATTTCATTGGGTATTTGGGATCTTTTGTGGTTCCATACAAACGTTATGGTTGTCTTTTCTATTTCTGTGAAAAATGCCATTAGAATTTTGATAAGTATTGAATCTATGGATCACACTGGGTAGTATGAACATGTTAACAATATTAATTCTTACAGTCTGCGAATGTGGAAAATTATTTCATTTATTTGTGTCTTCTTTGATTTCTTTCATCAATGTTTTATGGTTTTCATTGTACAGATCTTTTACCTTTTGGGTTAAACTTATTCCTATTTAGTTTTTAGTAACTATTGTAAATGGAGTTTTATTTCTTTTTCAGATAGCTTGTTGTTAATAGATACACTACTGGTTTTTGTAGGTTGATTTTTGTATCTTGCAGCTTTACTGAGTTTATTTACACTAACAGGGTTTTTTGGTAGAGTCTTTAGAGTTTTCATTATATAAGATCATGTTGTCTGCAAACAGAGACAATTTAACTTCTTCCTTTCAGAACTGGATACCTTTTCTTTCTTTCTCTTGCTTAATTGCTTTGGCTAGGACTCCTAGTATTAGGTTCAATAGAAGTAGCAAGAGTGGGCATCCTTTTCTTGTTCCTGATCTTAGAGGAAAAATTTTCAACTTTTCACCATTGAGTATAATGTTAGCTAGGGGACTGTCCTATATGGTGTTTACTGGGTTAAGGTACATTCCTTTTTATACCAATTTTGTTGAGAATTTTTATCATGAAGAGATTTTGTTACATGGCTTTTCTACATGTATTGAGATGATCATATGGTTTTTGCACTTCTTTCTGTTAATGCCATGTGTCACATTTATTGATTTGCATATATTGACCCATCCTTGCAACCTAGGGATAAATTGCACTTAATTATGGTGAATCATGCTTTTAATGAGCTGTTGAATTTGGTTTGCTAGTTTTTTGTTGAAGATTTTTGCATCTGTGTTCACCAGGGATATTAGCCTATAATTTTCTTTTCTTGTAGTGTCCTTGTCTGGCTTTGGCATCATGAAATGAACTTGGAAGTTTTCCTTCCTTTTCAGTTTTTTTTGAAAGAGTTTGAGAAGAATTGGTATTATTTCTTCCCTAAATGTTTGATAGAATTCACCAGTGAAGGCATCAGGTGCTAGGCTTTTCTTTCATGGAAGATTTATTACTGACTCATAATCTTCTTACTGGTTATTGGTCTGCTCAGGTTTTCTATCTATTAATGATTCAGTCGTGGTAGGTGGTATGTATCTAGAAATGTGTCAATTTCTTCTAGATTATTTGTTGTCATATAGTTGTTCATATTAGTCACTTATGATTTTTCTTATTTCTGTAATATTTCTATCTATTCAGATCTATTAATATTTGCTTTATGTATTTAAGATGCTCTGACATTAGATGCATACATATTTACAGTTACTATATCTACTTGATAAATTGCTCTTTTTATTATATAATGACCTTGTTTGTCTCGTTTCACAGTTTTTGGCATAAAATCTATTTTATATAATAGAGACACTCCTGTTCTCTTCTCGTTTCTATTTGGACAGAATACCTTTTTCTATCCTTATACTCTTATTCTGTGTGTATCTTTAAAAGTGAAGTGAGTCTCTGTAGGCAGCACATAATTGGGTCTTATTTTTTTATTCAGCCAATCTATGTTTTTTAATTGGAGAATTTAACATTTACATTCAAGGTAATTATTGACATGTAAGGACTTACTATTGCCATTTTGTTAATTGTTTTCTCTTTGTTGTGTAGATCTTTTTCCTTTTTTCCTTAAGATGATTTTCTCTAGTGGTATGTGCTTTGATTTCTTACTTTTTTATCTTTTGTGTATCCTGTGTAGATTTTTGCTGGTGGTTACCTGGAGGCTTATATAAAAATCTTACAGTTATAATAGACTACTTTAAGCTGATAACAACTTAATTTTGATTGAATAAAGTAACTATTCTTCCACCCCCAACATTTTTTGATGTCATAATTTATATTTTTTATATTGCATATCCCTTAACAAATCATTGTAGCTGTTATTTGTGATAGTTTTCCATTTTAACATTCGTCCTAAAGATAGTGATTTACACACCACAATTACAGTATTATTCTGAATTTGTGTTTTAACTTTTGCCAATGACTTTCATATTTTCATGCTATTAATTTAGCAGCCTTTTCATTCAGCTTGAACTCTCTTTAGCATTTCTTATAAGTCAGATGTAGTGGTAATGAAATTCCTCAGCTTTTGTCTGGGAAAGTCTTTATTTCTTCATTTCTGAAGGACAGCCTTACCGGATACAGGATTCTTGGCTGACATTATTTTCTCTTCAGAACTTTGACTATATCATTCCACTCTCTCCTGGCCTGTAACATTTCTGCTAAGAAATTGGCTGCTAGTCTTATTGGAACTCCGTTACATATGTTAATCTTCTTTTTCCTTGCTGCTTTCAGGATCCTCTTTGTTTTTTGACAATTTGATTATAATATATCTTGCTGTAAATATTATTTGGATTGAATCTGCTTGTAGACTTTTGACGTTCCTGTACCTAAATATTTATCTTCCCCAAATTTGGAAAGTGTTATGCTGTTTATTTCTTAAATAAGCTTTCTACCCCTTTCTGTCTCTTCTCCTTCTTGAACTCTTATAACTCAAACATGTGCTCTTTTGATGCTGTCTCACAAATTCCATATGCATTCTTCATTACTTTTCATCCTTCCCCCCAACCCCATGACTACATATTTTCAAATCACATATTTGAATTCAAATTCTTTTGCTGCATCAATTCTGTTGTTGTTGTCTATCGCATTTTTCATTTCATTTATTTTTCAGCTCCAGAATGTTGGGGTTTTAAAATATAATTTCCATCTGTTAAATTTCTCATTTTGATTGTTTACTGTTTCCATGACTTTATTGAATCATTTCTCTGAACACTTTTGAAGTTTGCTGAGCTTTCTTAAAACAATTCTTTTGAATTCTTTATCAGGCAGTTTGTATATTTCTTTGGGGTTAGCTACTAGATTATTGTGCTCTTTTGGTGGTGTTGTGTCTGTTTTTTTTTTTTTCTTTTTATGTTTCTTGTTGCTTATGTTGATACCTGTGCATTTGGTGGAACAGTCACATTTGCAAAACTCATGGGCTAGTTTCACTGTGGAAAGACCTTCCTCTCCATGGAATATCAGACCATTTGCTGACTGTGGTGCAGTAGTTCTGGCACCAGTTCTGTCAGCAGAGGTTGGTGTTGACAAAGGTGGCAGGCCTCCTCAGTGGTCAACACTGTGGATGTCCACAGTGCCAGCAAGGGTTGTTGAGGTCTTCAGAGACAATGGCTGAGGAGATCCTCCTGATCTCTTTTCTCCCACTAGGGAAGTTATAGCTGAAAGGGTATGTCTTGGCACTGGGTCTGGTTTATGGGCTGTCTTGCAGTAGTGACAGTACCAGTATTTGAGTGGTACCTGTGGAACAGTCATGGAGCTGAGGCCTGAAACATGAGAACATGTGGAGAGTCTGTTGCTATGAGATCTGGGAATTAATGGCACTGGTGCCTGGGGCACAAGCAACCCTCCTACAGTAACAGTATGCAAGCCACAGATGCTCTGGAGCGGCTGGTAGAGACAAGAATGGGAGCACAGACACGCACAGTGTTAGAGAAGCTCCAGAGTCAGGGCAGGGCCTCGTTCTCTATGGTGACTGAGCTGTTGGCTTGAGGCACAAGCACCCTGTCTGTCATGTTGGTAGCAGCTTTGGGCTACAAATGCTTGTGAAGTAGCCAGGGAACCAAGAATGGAAGCACAGGTATACACAGAGTTAGCATGGCTCTAGGGTTAGGATGGAGCCTAGTTATCCATGCGGCTGAACTGGTGTGTAGAGTATGGACTCTAGGGCCCAGGGTACAAACTAGCTCACTATGGCAGTCGCTACAGTGTCTGAGACGAGGGTGGGCCCAATGCAGCCACAGAGCCTGAGACTGGAGCTTGTGGGCTCTTATGAAGTGGCTGCAGCCCCAAGATTGAGGTATGTACAGGGTTAGAAGAAATGGTGGCTCCTTTCTTAAAGTGTCTCAACAGCAACCACTTCTGGGGGTAGGGGTTTTTAGGGATGTGCATTTCCTTTTCTAAGGTTCTCCAGTGGGAATGACTATCTGATACCTCAGTGGCAGGAGATGCTGGTATCCTCTGTAAAGCAGGTCACTGTGACCACAGTAGTTCTGCTGTGTGGCTCATACCAAGGCCTCCACCTTTGTTCGTAGACATCTCCTGGTGTATTAAATATGCTGATCACAATCCTTTCTGTGTGATTATTCTCCATTATTGTGCTCCACTGTATTGCTGCATATCCTATAATGGGCCCTTGCACTCCCTCTGGGTTGTTTTGGTATGTGAATAGTTGTCTGTGTTTATTTATCTATTCTTTTTTTTTGTGGGAAGATAAAGACTGGTATCTCCTAGTATGCCCTCTTGGTGAAGACATGCTAGACCGATATTTCAGTGGCTTTTCATTCATGTTTCCATTTAGTTAAGTGTTATGTGAGCAGCCTTTATTTTGCTCTGTGTCTTTGCTTGAATATGCTGTTGGGAATAAAGAGTGTTCAGGATGAATTCAGTTGCCTAGTTGTAATTCCTGAATACATAAGAATATGTAAAGTTTGTGCAGCATGTAGAACTACAATATGTCCTCAATGTTCTCAATAGGTTCTTGGAAACTGACTTAAGTGAAATAATGTACTGTATGCTACAGACACTTAACTCTTGTCTCTTTCTTTATTATACTTTAAGCTCTGGGGTACATGTGCAGAACGTGCCGGTTTGTTACATAGGTATACACGTGCCATGGTGGTTTGCTGCACCCATCAATCTGCCATCTACATTAGGTACTTCTCCTAATGCTAGCCCTCCTCAAGAGGCCCCGCTGCGTGATGCCCACCTCCCCCACATCCCCCCATGTCCATGTGTTCTCACTGTTCAACTCCCACTTATGAGTGAGAACATGTGGTGTTTGGTTTTCTGTTCTTGTGTTGGTTTGCTGAGAATGATGGTTTCCAGCTGCATCCATGTCCCTAAGAAGGACATGAACTCATCCTTTTTTATGACTGCATAGGGTTCCATGGTGTGTATGTGCCACATTTTTTTTTATCCAGTCAATTATTGATGAGCATTTGGGTTGGTTCCAAGTCTTTGCTATTGTGAACAGTGCTGCAATAAACATACGTGTGCATGTGTCTTTATAGTAGAATGATTTATAATCCTTTGGGTATATACCCAGTAATGGGATTGCTGGGTCAAATGGTATTTCTGGTTCTAGATCCTTGAGGAATCGCCACACTGTCTTCCACAATGGTTGAACTAATTTACACTTTCAGCAGCAGTGTAAAAGCATTCCTATTTATCCATATCCTTTCCAGCATCTGCTGTTTCCGGACTTTTTAATGATCACCATTCTAACTGGCATGAGATGGTATCTCATTGTGGTTTTGATTTGCATTTCTCTCATGACCAGTGACGATGTGCTTTTTTTTTCGTGTTTGTTGGCTGCATAAATGTCTTCTTTTGAGAAGTGTCTGTTCATATCCTTTGCCCACTTTTTGATGGGGTTGTTTTTTCTTGTAAATTTGTTTAAGTTCTTTGTAGATTCTGGATATTAGCCCTTTGTCAGATGGCTAGATTGCAAAAATTTTCTCCCATTCTGTAGGTTGCCTGTTCACTCTGATGGTAGTTTCTTTTGCTGTGCAGAAGCTCTTTCGTTTGATTAGATCCCATTTGTCAATTTTGGCTTTTGTTGCCATTGCATTTGGTGTTTTAGTCATGAAGTCTTTGCCCATGCCTATGTCCTGAATGGTATTGCCCAGGTTTTCTTCTAGGGCTTTTATGGTTTTAGATCTTACGTTTAAGTCTTTAATCCATCTTGAGTTAATTTTTGTATAAGGTATAAGGAAGGGATCCAGTTTTCTGCATATGGCTAGCCAGTTTTCCTAACACCATTTATTAAATAGGGAATCATTTCCCCATTGCTTTTGTCAGGTTTGTCAAAGATCAGATGGTTGTAGATGTGTGGTGTCATTCCTGAGGCCTCTGTTCTGTTCCATTGGTCTATATATCTGTTTTGGTACCAGTACCATGCTGTTTTGGTTACTGTAGCCTTGTAGTATAGTTTGAAGTCAGGTAGCCTGATACCTCCAATTTTGTTCTTTTTGCTTAGGATTGTCTTGGCTATGTGGGCTCTTTTTTGGTTCCATATGAAATTTAAAGTAGTTTTTTCCAGTTCTATGAAGAAAGTCAATGGTAGCTTGATGGGGATAGCATCTCGTTTCTATGAGTTACTCTATGGTAAAATTGGTTTCACTACATAGTACTGCAGTTTCCACAAACCTATCAATGACATTGTGTGAGGACTTTATTTAACATTGTAACACAATTAAAAGGAATTCCAATTCTAAGCCCTTGGTTCACACTGGAACACTCCCAAAGGTGTACTGCCTGTTGCAAGAAAAAGAAATAAGCAGTAGAACACTTCTAGGAGACCTTTTCAATCTGATGAGCTTCAGATTCCGTAACTGGTGGAGTATACTCGCACTACTCTAGGTGCTAGGGATGGATAATTTAAACGATTTTTCTTTAAAGTATAATAAGGACATGTGGCAATAGCTATGAGACACACTCCTGGATGAGACGTGAGTAGGCAAGACATTTATTCACTCATGATATATCAGTGCAAAGTGTGCCTACAGTATACAAGGTAAACTCACAACTCATCAAAACTAAAACTTTTTACAATGTGCAATACATGTAGGGATATTAATTCAATATATAAATGTCACATGTCTCCCAAATGTCACCCAGGCTTTCTGTTATTTCTTAAAATATACAAGTCAATATTACCAGAGAAAAGAAAAGAAAATCCCATTATTTTATCCTAAACTTATGTATACTTCTCTAAAGATTCTTAGGCTTGTAAGCAATGAGATTTAAGTCTATTTTTAGATGTTAGCATCCTGGACTGACTTGCAGGCTGTGGAAACACAAGACAGAGTGGTCACATGACTAAATGAAACGGGACTGGCTGCTACAGGTGAGGGATAAAATTGAGAGAGAAGAATCTGATTTATATCACTTAGATTTTTCAGTGTCTTAAATATTAACCTATGACTTGTTAGAATTCATATAGTTCTCTCACTTAACCTGTACTATCAGGGTCATTGTTAGGTTTATTAACAATATTTTACTTTGACACAGGAAAACATTTAATAGCATTCAACATAAAGGTAAATATCAAAATATCTAGGACAACAATGAGTTATGCATTATACTAATTGTACTCACGCCTTCCTATGAAGTCCACATTTTTAAAAAAATATATTATTGCATATGAAACCACAAACAGGCATTCTGATTTCAGCCCATTCTTAAAACAGTATATACAGTCCTATTAGAGTCAGAGCATACTACATAGATCCATGCATGGGATCTACAGTGGTGAAGGTCCCAGGTGTACAGCACATATGTACACTTATATATCACATCCTTTGGCAGAGGCATGTTTTCTCAGCAGGTGTCAAGGGTCTCCCATGCCAGTGAAAGGGAAACAGAGGGTATACAGATGTTCTGTCCTAGGCCGCTTCTTCAGCAGAACAGTCAATTCCTGCATAAGTAAACTTCTCATAAAGCGTGGTATTCACGTAGGTCTGGAAGAATGAAAATGGTTCAGAGACATAGGCTGCTTTGATTCCACCTCTGCCAGCGGCAGTTACAGCAATACCTTGGTTTTCTTAGTTTGTTGCAACTCATATACTAAGCACTTGGGGGATACTTTTCTGTCCTCAGTCCCTCTGTTGTATTTGATGACTTTCTTCCTAAAATGCATCCCCTTGCGTTCTGCAAGTAAGATTTCATACTGTATCCTCAGTTTCTGAGCTTGCCTTTCTCACAGTGTCTTATTGGTACCTCCTAATGTGTTCAGCTTCCCTAGGGTTCCTTCTTCTGGGTTCCTTCCTCTGTCTGAATCTCATTTTCACATCTGTGTGATCTCACCTGCATCTCTAGTTGAATTACCACTTGGGTTTTGATGACTATTTCTTTAAACTGTGTTTACTTTTATTTTGACTCCCAGATCGGTACAGCCAACTTACTTCTAGAAATTTTTATGGAGTTCCTGACCCTCATTATAGTAACCTGCAGGTCAGGCTCTGTTGTCTACTTGCTGTGTGTCCTTGGTCAAGTCACCCACTTCTGAGTCTGTTTCTTCATCTATAAAATTAAAGGGTCAGGCTATATGACGAAAATTCCTTCCAACTCTAATAGGCTAATTCTGTATGTTATTCTAGTGTGTACGTGACTGTATCTTGTATAGAAATCTTATTTCCCCCCAAAATTGTAACTTCTTCAAAGTCGCGGGGGTGGAGGGACATCCTTTGTTTCTATAATACTTAGGGCCATGCCAAGAAGAACTTCTTCAATTATTTCAATGTTTTTTATGAACCACCCTGGGCACATCAGGTATTCCAATTAAAGATCTCCTGCCTGACTTTAATACTTACCTTTCGCTCCTCTAACATTCTGTTTAAGGACACCAATATCTGGGCAAATGATGGCCTCTCATAAGGCTTCTCCCGCCAGCATTGTCTCATTAGATCATACCTTCGAAAGCAAAGAATTAAAGGGTTAATTCTATAACTGTGCTTCAGTCCTAGGCACGGCAGGAAAAGAGAGGAGAGAATGAAGCCACCCAATGCATGGTTATGAAGCTTAACCAAAGTACAGCCCCTAGGAAGTTTCTATGAGGACTCCCACCTCCCTAAGCCAGTCTCATTTCAACTCCTCATAGATTTAGTTCCTACCCTCGGTACTGTTTCTGCAGGACCTTGGTCTCAGCTATTGCAATCATCTAGAAAGAACTGGGTATGTGTCTAGAGCAGCATTTGCCTTGGAATGCTGCATATTTCAAAATGTTAGTGTCTCTTAAAGGGCCCATGCTCAAACTTGTAAAATGCCACCCACATAAAGTCCCTTTAAGAGGCAGGACTTTTAGAAGCACTGTCATTAAAAACAAAAAAATGCCTGTTTAACCAGGTGCTATGGACTGAATGTTCATGCCACCCAAAAATCATGTGTTGAAACCATGTGATGGTGTTTGAAGGTAGGTCCTTTGGGAGGTGATCAGGTCATGAGGGTAGAACCCTCATGAATGGGATTCGTGCTCTTACACAAAAGGCCTCAAAGAGCTCTTTTGCCCCTAGTGCCACGTGAGGACACAGCAGAAAGATGGCCATCTATGAGCTAGGAAATGGCTCATGGCCACCAAATCTGCTAGCGCTTTGATCTTGGATTTCCCAGCCTTCAGAACTGTGAGAAATACATCTCTGTTGTTTATAAGCCACCATGTTTATGGTATGTTGTTACAGCAGCCGGAAATGACTAAGACAACAGGTTTAACACAAAGTTTCCAAAGTAATTGACCGCAGAACTCCTTTCCCCTTGCATCATGTATTTATATCTTGCACAACACGTGAAAACATAGTTTGGGAAACACTGACCTAAGACAGTGCTTACTCAGTTGTGCTCAGAACTACTCTGTTATTAAAATGCAGAATTCTGGAACCTGCCCTAAACTTACAGAATCAATGACTGACAGTGGGGACCAAGAGCCCACATGCTGAACAAATGACTCTGGGGAACCTTATGTGCATGGAAGGCTATCAACCATTGGCTTAGGGTGTCACAGATCCCAGAACAGCTTACACTTTAACATAAGTTTCTTAAAGACTAAAAAATCTTCTCACCCCTTATGAAGTGAATCTCAAAAGGTGGAATTTTAGGGACTGTCTAGTGATGGTCAACTATGTCCAGGTTTTTCCAGGATGGTATGTATGCTTCTTGCTCCAGTGAGATTAACACCCTCCTTCACTCTTAGAAGTAGCTCCATTTAGACAATAAATTATCTGCTCAACCTAGAGCCTTGCAGTCTTCAAACATGCCAGTTAGCTTCTACCACGGATAGTTCTGGGAATGCTGGTATCACTACAGTTCATTATTCTTACCCTTGGAATAAATCTTACTTTTGAAAGTAATCTTAGCAGAAGCAAGGTTCTAGGCAAGAAAATGTATCTTTATTTTTTTATTATTATACTTTCAGTTCTGGGATACATGTGGAGAACATGCAGGTTTGTTACATATGTATACAAGTGCCATGGTGGTTTGCTGCACCCATCAACCTGTCATCTACATTAGGTATTTCTCCTAATGCTATCCCTCCCCTAGCCCCCACCCCCCGATAGGCGTGTGATATTCCCCTCCCTGTGTCCATGTGTTCTCATCCTTAAACTCCAACTTATGAGTGAGAACATGCAATGTTTGGTCTTCTGTTCTTGTGCTAGTTTCCTGAGAATGTTGGTTTCCAGCTTCATCCATGTCCGTCCAAAGGACAAGAACTCATCCTTTCTTATGGCTGCATAGTATTCCATGGTGTATATGTGCCACGTTTTCTTTATCCAGTTTATCATTGATGGGCATTTGGGTTGGTTCCAAGTCTTTGCTATTGTGAACAGTGCTGCAATAAACATACGTGTGCATGTGTCTTTATAGTAGAATGATTTATAATCCTGTGGGTATATTCCCAGTAATGGGATGGCTGGGTCAAATGGTATTTCTAATTCTAGATCCCTGAGGAATCGCCACACTGACTTCCACAATGGTTGAGCTAATTTACACTCCCACCAACAGTGTAAAAGCATTCCTATTTCTCCACATCCTCTCCAGCATCTGTCATTTCCTGACTTTTTAATGATTGCTATTCTAACTGGTGTGAAATGGCATCTCATTGTGGTTTTGATATGCATTTCTCTAATGACCAGTGATGATGAGCTTTTTTCATGTTTGTTGTCTGCATAAATATCTTCTTTTGAGAAGTGTCTGTCCATATCCTTTGCCCACTTTTTGATGGGGTTGTTTTTTTCTTGTAAATTTGTTGAAGTGCTTTGTAGATTCTGGATATTAGCCCTTTGTCAGAAGGATAGATTGCAAAAATTTTCTCCCATTCTGTAGGTTGCCTGTTCACTCTGATGGTGGTTTCTTTTGCTGTGCAGAAGGTCTTTAGTTTAATTAGATCCCATTTGTCAATTTTGGCTTTTGTTGCCATCGCTTTTGGTGTTTTAGTCATGAAGTCTTTGCCCATGCCTATGTCCTGAATGGTATTGCCCAGGTTTTCTTCTAGGGTTTTTATGGTTTTAGATTTTACGTTTGTCTTTAATCCATCTCGAGTTAATTTTTTATAAGGTGTAAGGAAGGGGTCCAATTTCAGTTTTCTGCATATGGCTAGCCAGTTTTCCCAACGCCATTTATTAAATAGGGAATCCTTTCCCCATTGCTTGTTTTTGTCAGGTTTGTCAAAGATGAGATGGTTGTAGATGTGTGGTGTTATTCCTGAGGCCTCTGTCTTGTTCCTTTGGTCTATATATCTGTTTTAGTACCAGTACCATCCTGTTTTGGTTATTGTAGCCTTGTAGTATAGTTTGAAGTCAGGTAGCTTGATGCCTCCAGTTTTGTTCTTTTTGCTTAGGATTGTCTTGGCTATGCAGGCTCTTTTTTGGTTCCATATGAAATTTAAAGCAGTTTTATCTAATTCTGTGAAGAAAGTCAATGGTAGCTTGATGGGGATAACACTGGGCAGTGTGGCCATTTTCACAATATTGATTCTTCCTGTCCATGAGCATGGAATGTTTTTCCATTTGTTTGTGTCCTCTCTTATTTCCTTGAGCAGTGGTTTGTAGTTCTCCTTGAAGAGGTCCTTCACATCCCTTGTAAGTTGGATTCCTAGATATTTTATTCTCTTTGTAGCAGTTGTGAATGAGAGTTCACTCATGGTTTGGCTCTCTGTTTGTCTGCTATTGGTGTATAGGAATGCTTGTGATTTTTGCACACTGATTTTGTATCCTGAGACTTTGCTGAAGTTGCTTATCAGCTTAAAGAGATTTTGGGCTGAGACAATGGGGTTTTCTAGAAATACAATCATGTCATCTGCAGACAGAGACAGTTTGACTTCCTCTCTTCCTATTTGAATGCCCTTTCTTTCTTTCTCTTGCCTGACTGCCCTGGCCAGAACTTTCAATCCTACGTTGAACAGGAGGGGCGAGAGAGGGCATCCTTGTCTTATGCCGGTTTTCAAAGGGAATGCTTCCAGCTTTTGTCCATTCAGTGTGATACTGGCTGTGGGTTTGTCATAAACAGCTCTTAATATTTTGAGATACGTTCCATCAATACCTAGTTTACTGAGCGTGTTTAGCCTGAGGGGGTGTTGAATTTCCTTGAAGGCTTTTCTCCATCTATTGAGATACATGTGGTTTTTTTCATTGGTTCTGTTTAGATGATGGATTATGTTTATTGATTTGCATATGTTGAACCAGCCTTGCATCCCAAGGATGAAGCAGACTTGATCATGGTGGATAAGCTTTTTGATGTGCTGCTGGATTCTGTTTCCCAGTATTTTATTGAGAATTTTCGCATCAATGTTCATCAGGGATATTGGCCTGAAGTTTTCTTTTTTGTTGTGTCTCTGCCAGGTTTGGGTAACAGGATGATGCTGACCTCATAAAATGAGTTAGGAAAGATCCCTCTTTTTCTATTGTTTGGAATAGTTGCAGAAGGAATGGTACCAGCTCCTCTTTGTACCTGTGGTAGAATTCAGCTGTGGATCCGTCTGGTCCTGGACTTTTTTTGGTAGGTAAGCTATTAATTCTGCCTCAATTTCAGAACTTGTTACTGGTCTTCGACTGGGATTCGACTTCTTCCTGGTTTAAACATAGGAGGATGTATGTGTCCATGAATTTATCCATTTCTTCTAGATGTTCTAGTTTATTTGCGTAGAGGTGTTTATAGTATTCTCTGATGGTAGTTTGTATTTCTGTGGGATCAGTGGTGATATCCCCTTTATCATTTTTGTTGCATCTATTTGATTGTTCTCTCTCTTCTTCATTAGTCTGGCTAGCAGTCTATTTTGTTATCTTTTCAAAAAACTAGCTCCTGGATTCACTGATTTTTTTTGAAGGGTTTTTCATGTCCCTGTCTCCTTCAATGCTGCTCTGATCTTAGTTATTTCTTGCCTTCTGCTAGTTTTTGCATTTGTTTGCTGTTGCTTCTCTAGTTCTTTTAATTGTGATGTTAGGGTGTCAATTTTAGATCTTTCCTGCTTTCTCCTGTGGGCATTTAGAGCTATAAATTTCCCTCTACACACTGCTTTAAATGTGTCCCAGAGATTCTGGTATGTTGTGTCTTTGTTCTCACTGGTTTCAGAGAACATCTTTATTTCTGCCTTCATTTCGTTATTTACCCAGTAGTCATTCAGGAGCAGGTTGTTCAGTTTCCATGTAGTTGTGTGGTTTTCAGTGAGTTTCTTAATCCTGAGTTCTACTTTGATTGCACTGTGGTCTAAGAAACTGTTATGATTTCCGTTTTTTCGCATTTGCTTAGGAATGTTTTACTTCCAGTTATGTGGTCAGCTTTAAGTGTGATGAGGTGCTGAGAAGAATGTATATTCTGTTGATTTGGGGTGGAGAGTTCTGTAGATGTCTATTAGGTCTACTTGGTCCAGAGCTGAATTCAAGTCCTGAATATCCTTGTTAATCTTCTGTCTCGTTGATCCGTCTAATATTGATAGTGGGGTGTTAAGACTCCTCACAATAATAGTGGGAGACTTTAAGTCTCTTTGCAGTTCTCTAAGAACTTGCTTTAAGAATCTGGGTGCTCCTGCATTGGGTGCATATATATTTAAGATAGTTAGTTAGCTGTTCTTGGTGCATTGATCCCTTTACCATTATGTAATGTCCTTCTTTGTCTCCTTTGATCTTTGTTGGTTTAGTCTGTTTTATCAGAGACTAGGATTGCAACCCCTGCTTTTTTTTATTGCTTTCTATTTGCTTGGTAAATATGCCTCTGTCCCTTTATTTTGAGCCTATGTGTATCTTTGCACGTTAGATGGGTCTCAATATTATAATGTGTGAATTTGATCCTGTCATTATGCTGCACTAGCTGGTTATTTTTCCCATTAGTTGATGCAGTTTCTTTGTAGTGTCGATGGTCTTTAGATTTTGGTATGTTCTTGCAGTGGCTGGTACCGGGTTTTCCTTTCCATGTTGAGTGCTTCCTTCAGGAGCTCTTGTAAGGTATGCCTGGTGGTGACAAAATATGTCAGCACTTGCTTGTCTGTAAAGGATTTATTTCTCCTTCAGTTATGTAGCTTAGTTTGGTTGGATACGAAATTCTGGGTTGAAAATTCTTCTCTTAAGAATGTTGAATACTGGCCCCCACTCTCTTCTGGCTCGTAGGGTTTCTACAGAGAGGTCTACTGTTAGTCTGTTTGGCTTCCCTTTGTGGGTAACCTGACCTTTCTCTCTGGCTGCCCTTAACATTTTTTCTTTCATTTCAACCTTGGTGAATCTAACGATTTATGTGTCTTGGGGTTGCTCTTCTCAAGGAGTATCTTTGGGGTGGTCTCTGTATTTTGTGAATTTGAATGTTGGCCTGTCTTGCTAGGTTGGGGAAGTTCTCCTGGGTGATATCCTGAAGAGGGTTTTCCAACTTGGTTCCATTCTCCCCATCACTTTCAGGTTTGGTCTTTTCACGTAGTCTCGTATTTCTTGGAGGCTTTGTTCATTCCTTTTCATTATTTTTTCTCTAATCTTGTCTTCATGCTTTAAGTGTATCTTCAGTATCTGATATCCTTTCTTCCACTTGATCCATTCAGCTATTGATACTTGTGTATGCTTCTAGAAGTATTCGTGCTGTGATTTTTAGCTCCATCAGGTCATTTACGTTCTTCTCTAAACTGGTTATTCTAGTTGCAATTCATCTAACCTTTTTTCAACGTTCTTAGCTTCCTTGCATTGGGTTAGAACATGCTCGTTTAGCTTGAAGGAGTTTGTTATTACCCACCTTCTGAAGCCTACTTCTGTCAGTTTGTCAAACTCATTCGTCCAATTTTGTTCCCTTGCTGGCAAGGAGTTGTGATCCTTTGGAGGAGGAGAGGCATTCTGGTTTTTGGAATTTTCAGCGGTTTTGCACTGGTTTCTCTCCATCTTCGTGGATTTATCTACCTTCAGATGAGGTTTTGGTGTGGAGGTCCTTTTTGTTGATGTTGATACTATTCCTTTCTGTTTGTTACTTTTCCTTCTAATAGTCAGGCCCCTGTGCTGAAGGTCTGCTGGAGTTGGCTGGAGGTCCACTCCAGACCCTGTCTGCCTGGATATCACTAGCAGAGGCTGCAGAACAGCAAAGATTGCTGCCTGGGTTCATCCCAGAGGGGCACCTGCCAGATGCCAGCCAGAGCTGTCCTGTATAAGATGTCCTGTCGACCCCTACTGGGAGATGTCTCCCAGTCAGGGAGCACAGGGGTCGGGTCAGGGACCCACATGAGGAGGCAGTCTGTCCCTTAGCAGAGCTCAAGTGCTGTGCTGGGAGATCCACTGCTCTCTTCAGAGCTGGCAGGCAGGAACGTTTAAGTCTGCTGAAGCTACACCAACAGCCACCCTTACCACTAGGTGCTTTGTCCCATGGAGATGGGAGTTTTATCTATAAGCCCCTGGCTGTGGCTGTTGCCTTTCTTTCAGAGATGCCCTGCCCAGATAGAAAGAATCTAGAGAGGCAGTCTGGCTATAGTGGCTTTGAGGAGCGGCGGTGGGCTCCACCCAGTTCGAACTTCCCTGTGACTTTTTTTACATTGTGAGGGGAAAACCGCCTACTCAAGCCTCAGTAATGGCAGATGCCTCTCCCCTCACCAAGCTGGAGCGTCCTCCCCCAGGTCAACTTCATACTGCTGTGCTTGCAGCGAGAATTTCAAGCCAGTGGATCTTAGCTTGATGGGCTCCACTGAGCTAGACCACTTGGCTCCCTGGCTTCAGCCCCCTTTCCAGGGGAGTGAATAGTTCTTACTTGCTGGTGTTCCAGGTGCCACTGGGGTATGAAAAGAAACTCCTGCAGCTAGCTTGGTGTCTGCCGAAATGGCCACCCAGTTTGGTGCTTGCAACCCATGGCCCTGTTGGCATAGGCACCAGAGGGAATCTCCTGGTCTGCAGGTTGCAAAGACTGTGGGAAAAGCTTAGTATCTGGGCTGGAATGCACCATTCGTCATGGCACCGTCCCTCCTTCGCTAGGAAGGGAGTTCCCCAACCCCTTGCGCTTCCCAGGTGAGGCTTCAGCTCACCCTCCATGGGCTGTACCCACTGTCTAACCAGTCCCTATGAGATGAGCCGGGTACCTCAGTTGGAAATGCAGAAATCACTTGCCTTCTGCGTTGATCTCACTGGGAGTTGCACACTGGAGCTGTTCCTATTCAGCCATCTTGCCAGCCCGAAAATGTATCCTTCTTAATTAATCTTAATGAACAGCTTTGAAATCTTTATCCCCAAGGATAGTGTTGTATGTTTAAAGAATTTGTTTCAGAGCTTTTCTGCATTTGTTGCCCTTCCTCATTTCAACCTTCCCAAGAGTCATTAAATTCCTCCTGAATTTCTATGCCTGTAAAGCTAATACTTCTTGTGTATTATATAACAGTATTAGGTGAATAAAAGGGGAGGGGTTCCTATTTGGGATCTCTGTGTGTAGGTGTTTGTGTATAGTGTATACCGGCTGACTTTGCTAGAGTCAGCTGGCCCCAGAAACACACAGGGGGAAGGTAAGACAAAATAGCCCCAGGATGAGGCCTGACTTACACCTCATCATCACAGTTCAGGGGCTTCTCCAGTCTGTAGCCCTGGGGCAGCTTCTCGTAGAGTTCTGCACAAGTCATCCCGCAGTAGGGTGTGCCTCCTGGAAGACAAACAGTGCCACTCTAAGTCCTCTCTGGCATGAAAAGCAATGCTTCCTGTCCAGGGTTTCTAAATATAAGGGGCCAGGAGGAAGACATGGTATGGCAAGAGAGGGTGAGCATCCTGCATGCCTCCCTTGGCAAACTCACTGCACATCAAAGCTGGGCTTACACTATAGACTATGCCAAAGCATGATCATTGCTTCAGGGGAAGGAACCACCACAGGCTTCCTTAGTGCCTGTTCTAAGTCTCCCCACACAAAGCACATCTATTATACCAATAAGATTAACCTTTATTATACCAATAAGATTAACCTTTTTTTCTGATTGGAAGTCCATAGTTTTATAACTCATATTTTATCAATGATAGTTATGGCCAGTTTTTTAATTACAAAAGCCATGCATGTTGGTTTATTGTAGAACAGTTTTTTAAATTTTAAGTTCTGAGATACATGTGCCATGGTGGGTGGTTTGCTGCACCTATCGACCCATCATCTAGGTTTTAAGCCCCACATACATTAGGTATTTGTCCTAATGCTCTCCCTCCCCTTGTTCCCTACCCTCTGACAGGCCCTAGTGTGTGATGTTATCCTCCCTGTGTCCATGTGTTCCCATTGTTCAACCCCCACTTATGAGTGACAACATGTGGTGTTTGGTTTTCTATTCCTGTGTTAGTTTACTGAGGATGATGGTTTCTAGCTTCATCCATGGTCCTGCAAAGGACACGAACTCATTCCTCTCTTTTTTGTGGCTGCATAGTATTCCACGGTGTATATGTACCACATTAAAAAGCATGAAGAATAAATGTTATTACCTTTCTGTGTAGTGCCTTCCAGTTTTTTAAAATATGCAATATTGATAAAACTAGGATCAGGGTATACATGAAATTATTACATATTTTCACATGCTATTAAATGGCTTTCAAAAATGTGACTTTTAATAGCTGCATAATCTAAGAGTTTTAGAAGTTAACCTGGCAACTTGTACAAGCGGAGCCAATTAATATATAATAAAGTTCATGGCCTCCAGGTCATTAGTGTTAAATATGACGTTAGGTATAAGGCTTTTAAAAAGAAAAATATGGGAATTAATACACTATGTTTCTATTTCCAAGTCACATCTGGTAGAACCACATACAAACGGCATCCTGTGGAATTATGCAGCAAGGGAGTGCTAGAGGCTTCCACTCACTTTGCCTAGAGTCTCACCTGGTAGATAAACATAGATACTCACCTAAGCTAACAATCTCCCATAGTAACACACCATAGGACCATCTGCAGGAGGGACAAGTGTGAAACCAACAATCAGCAAACAGAGTCACCGCTCATTTTCCGGCCCCAAAAGCCAGGGAGACCCACCCTTTCTGAGAAAAGGAGATGTTAAATGTCTACATCCTAGGATAGGCCCTTGCACACAGTGTAGGTTTCTCTCCTCTTAGCTCAATGGAAGGGTTACAACAAAGAAACAGTGTTCACTTTGCCAGAGCCCCCAAATCACTTTAACTAGAGACTACAAGGTGGTACTGTCCAAAACAGATGAAATTTGTTGTGGAGCTTGACAGATCTGAGTTAAATCCAATCTCTGCCACCCAATACTTATGTGACCTGGAAACAGTTGCTGAACCTCTTGGGACCTCTTAGTGTATTCTTCCAAAAGTGGGGACAATAATCCCTGCCTCAAAATTATGCAGAGAAACATAAAAAGCACCTTGCATACAGTGAGGACACAGCAATTGCCCACCCCCTCCTCATGCCCAGACATCAGCAAAACCCCTTGGACAAGTCACCACCCTCGGGGCCTTGGTTTTTCCTCCTGGAAATGGGGTACAAGGCAAGATGACCTAAATCTCAAGCCAATCCTTCCTTTCACCGCCAGCCTCTGATGCATCACTGCAGGCTGCAAGCAGAGACGACCCCCGCCACTGTCTGGCCTTATTTTGTCCCCAGCAGCTATTCTGGGTTGCTTCCTCTGATCTAGGTCTGGGAGAGGAGCCACAGGAAGGCCGGTATGTCCCTTCTTCCTGTTGAGTCCGAGAATTCGCAACTTGAAGCACATGAGGAATACACAACTTCAGTATGCAGAGGGAAACCCAAAACCTGCCACAAGTGATTCTGCACTCCTCTGGAAACTGTCTACTCTGTGGCTTTATTCTGCTAATTTATTTCCTGAGCTTTTTAGTTACCTTTGTTCCCGAGAGCTACAGGACATTCCTGTATCTTTTTAAAACCTCTGTCAAATGTATATGTTTCTGGGAGGGAAAAAAAATCCCTTGGCAATAAGAAGTTTACTCACACATCACTGTTGGTTGTGTACACACTGTAATTCAGTGACTCGATGGCCATCCAGCGCACTGGGAGCCTTCCCTGGAGAGAACAAAGTGAGATTTCACTTAACTGGGACAGGGTCTTTAAGAGGCTCTCAGCCTGCCTGAGCTGTGGCTCCACAAATGATTGCTGGGTAGACTCAGAAATCATTGCTTTGTGTATGTCCCAGCTACATGTGTTTTCAAATTTCAAAACATGCAAACAAACAGTATAAGTCCTATTTATCTTTCGGGGTCCAGCAGCGTTATATGAATGGAAGTGTGAGTGTGCACGCATGGTAGTCGGTCATTCCTTATTCACCTTATAGCCCTCAGAGGCACTCCGAGGCTTGAAAGGGGAGACAGGCATAGACACTGAGTGAGAATTTAACTGTATTAATAATATGGAAAAGGGAAGCAGGGTGGAAAAGGGAAACTGGGGTAGGGTGAAGAGAACAACTACGCCTGGAGATGATGGAGGGAGATTCTCCAGAGGACGGGATATCCCAGCATGGTTCTATAAGATGTTTAGGTGTCATTAGGTAGATGGGAGAGGAAAGAGCATCTCTGGACAAGGGGAACAGTGTGCATGTGTAACAGTAGAGATTGAGCTGATTTGTAGCTAGTGTAGTTTATGTTGGGTTTGGAGACATACTGATCCTTTCGATGCCTGGTCCTGACTGCCTCCAGGCTCTCCCCATATCTTGTTTTACTGATCCCAGGCTAGGCAAAATCAGATGTGCCTGGACATTGTAAAGCTTGACTTTAAAGTTTTATTCCTAGTTTCCTCAAAGTCTCTATGATTTGGGGCTCCCTTCCTATCTACTCATTCAAGAATCATAGGGTTGGTCATTGAGAGGTTGATCCCTCCCTCCCGGAGATTTGTCCAGACTTTCACAGTGGCATCTCCACCTAGATTAGCCAGTGGGTGGAACAAAACCAGGAGCACTTGAGGGACCTTTCTCAGCTCTCCAGAGCAGGTGTTCTCCTAGGTCATGCATTTATGAGACCAGCCCTGCCCTAGATCCCAAGGACGATTCCTGAATGTGCAATTGTCTCCCAGTTCTTTGTGGAGTGGCAATATTCTGATGCATACATTTCTAAACATAAATTCTAAATGGTAATTTTGTACTTTTAGGTTCAAGTATGGAAGTATTTTTTCTCACATCTACCTATTTATTGTTCTCCTCCACATCCACACCTCCTCCCTTCACTCTCTGTCCACACCACCCCATCTCCCAGCTGTTATTCTAACTCTCTCTACAGTGTTATCTGTTTTCTTTTTGCCCTCATTCACTCCCAGCCTGCTGGCTTCCAACCTCACACCTCCTAATTGTTAAGTTCCTTGTGCACTTTTTCATTTATTTTTTTATTTGACTTCTTTTGGATCTCGTCACTTCTGTCTACTGTATCACCTCAGTTCAGTCCACCATCATACCACACCTGATGACAACAATCTCTCCTGGTCTCTCTGCCTAACTGATCTCCCTCCCTAATTGTCTGTTCTCTACCCTGTAGTCAGGATGATCATGCTAAATGGCAAATTTGACCATGTAGTTCTATTCCTTAAAATTCTTTAATGTCCCTATGGTTCCAAGATCCCAAATCCTTAGCTGGAATTCAAGGCCCTTCAGGACTTTATCCTTGCTTCCTCTTCCAACCCTGAAGTTTAACTCTCCCTTCCTCTCTGCAATACACCCCCAGCCATAGTGAATTACTTAAACATCTCCTAAAGGTTTCATGCTTTCCTTTTCCTCTAGGGGTTCTGTATGTACTGTGTCCTCCAGCTCATCCAACTTATTCTCACATCCTCACTGCCTATCTAACATTTACTATGAAACTCAGGATTTGACCTCCTCCAGGAAGCCCTCCTTAACTTCCTTTCAGCTTGGTTCAGTGCACCTTCTTTGTGTTCCCGTAGCATCTATGCTTTCCTTGCTCTTTGCATTTATCAGCTGTTACAATCCTGAGTCATATGTCTACGAGCTCTTTGAAGGTGGAGACTGTGTCTGACTTATGTTACCCCAAAATCTAGCACAAGCATGAAACATTGTACTAACAAATCCATGATGACGGGATGGATATATTAATCTATGATAGTGAAACCCCAAATTGCTTAGTATAGTAGTTTGCAGTAATACTTCCAGTATTAAAATCACCCTGGGTAACTTAAAAAAAAAAAAAAAAACCCTAATGCAGGGTTCTCACCCTAGACCAATTGAATCAGAATATCCACAGGATAGGACTCAATCATCTGGGGATCTTTAAAAAATGCAGATGCTTTGAAGTACAATGAGAATTGAAAATCTGATTTTAAAATTGGCTGCCAGAGAAGGTAGCCACTGTGTTCTCTAGGAGTGTCTTGCCACACTGCACCTTTCTTGCAGGGAACTTGCTCCTCTCCAATCCTTCTTTCTTCCCCCTTCCCTCAAACCTGGCCCTTTCCTCCCCAGCCCCAAGGTGCTAAAGAACACCTTTACCCTGTTTAGTCTATTGTAAGATAGAGTTGAGACCTGATAGGTGCTCTCCCCCTGTAAATAACCCCAATATTGCAGAAATCACTGCCCTTTATGAAATGCCAAGCAAACCAGTGCTAGTCTTGGGAGGCTGAGGAGAGCATCCAAATAGAATGGGTAGATTGTGGAGTTATCCTGTGTTATCCCTCCACCTTCTCACCCAGGGTACCCACATCCCCCAAGTGCTGGAGTAAAGCAGGGAAAAGGATTTCAGGAAGGAGATTTGAGGACACCAGGTGGTGAGGGAGGAGTTGGGAAAGCTGGAGTAGGTAGGTGAGTGATGGATTCTGCTTCTTTAAGAAAACAAGCCCACCCCTGCTCCAGAGAAGCATCTGCTTTGAGTATGCCTGAAAAGGTTAGGGAGAAAAGCATCACCTGGAAGCCAGCCCTCAGGGAGGCACACATGGCTTCTGAAAGTGTTGATGTTGATAAGCATGCAGGGCCCTCGAAGAGCCAAAGGGACCCAGCTTCACACCCTCATCAGAAAGGAGAGTGGAAAGATCCAAAATGATTACGTTCACTGTGGTTGTAGCTATGTAAAAGGATGTATGCTGTGAAAGGCAATAAGCCAAAATGAAAAAAATATATATGCCAAGGTGGTGAATTATGGGTGATTTCCTTTCAAAATGTTCTTGAGTATTGTTTTACTTTATCTTCTCAGTAACTAAAATAAGTATGATGGGAAAAAAAGAAGCCTGGAATTGAGAATAAATGCCGGAACCTGAGCCTTGCTAAGAGACAATTTGGTGTGCCCACAAAAGCAAAAAGATTGTCTATATCTTATGACAACTGGAGCCATCCCAGGAAAGCTGGGACCAAGTAATGTTCATCAGACCTAAAAAAGGGAGAGCCATCCACCAGAGTAGATCTGCCAGACACATGGAAAGGCTGCAGGGCTTGTCATCCCTAAGGCCCCTGCATTCTGCCCACCCAAGGAAAAGAGAGGATGGTGACATTTCATCCACACAGCTGTAACATGCAGGGATGCGGTACTTCTAGGACTATGTGATTCTAGACTGGGCACCAAAAGCAGAATGAGTATCTCTCTTCCTCTAAGACTGTATGGTTAGGTTCTCCTGCAATCTTGTACTTAAAGATAAAATATTACTGTTTGGGAGAGTGGATTTTATTTGGGTTTGAATAGTGACCATTGAGGTTTCAGTGAAGAGAGAAATCTTAGATGAGCCTGTAGAAGTTATGAATTTCTCTGTAGAGCCTCCTGGTGATTTAGAAACCATTTAGTTTGTCTTCTTGACTTTTGGAAAATATGTTAATTTTTTTCCTTGCTGTGTCAGCTGTGCATGAAAGGGGATTGTGCAAGCTCCTCAGAGGTTCCTGAGTGAGATGCCTTGGGGTCTGGACTGGATAGAACCAAGACCCCAAACCACTAGGTTTGAACATTCAATCACTTGGTCACACATGACAGTGCCTTCTTCATTATTAATTAATGCAGATGCTGCAATCATGTTAGGAACCAACATTTAGAAAGAATGTTTCCCAGGGCACACAGTATCTACTGGGACATACAGTCAGATGCTTCAGTCACCACAGAGCACTGACAGTCTCAGAAGCAACATCAGGAGACAGGGGAGTACCTCGGAAAGGATGCGATCAGTGTCTGTGTCTGGCACTTACCATTGTCTTTTTCACATACACCTCTTGACCTCGGGACAATCCAAAATCTGCTATTTTTGCCACATAGTTTTCACCAACTAAAATGTTTCTGGCAGCCAGATCCCTGTGGATAAACTGAAATTTTTGAAAACATTATGTATTTTCAGCCTAATGAAAGCCCCAGGGCTGAAAACTTTGGGGAACAGGAAAGAAAACAATAGTATAAAAAAGGATTTTAAACAGTCACAATCCAGTTCCCTTAAAGTTCCCCTCCAAAATTCCCTGGTAATGGATTCTGCCAAATGACACACCACATCTTGGCAGAAGAATTTCAGAAAACGAACAAATAAAAAACACAGGTTGTTAAATCCTCCAGCTGTAATGTAGTGTGTCTCTGTTATTACACATTATTTAGAGGCAAACCAGGCTAAGAGAGCTTAAGGTACCTCGCTACGTATTAGGAAAATTATAAAATTTGCATATATGAAATTAGATAGAAGAAAATTATACAATTTTCATAATTATGAAAATTGCTAGATAAACATATTGTCAGTACTAATTTTTCTTTAAATAGATGGACTATTCACAGAGAGATTAAAATGAGGGAGATTTTAAGAAGGAGTTAAAGAAGAGAGGTTGACAGACCCTACAAACATATTGAAACTGACTTTAGAGGGAACTCCACAGGAAAGATATCCAAAGCGAAGTCCTCCGGACAAACCTGTTTTTGGCTCAAGTAGTCCATGCCCCGGGCCACGTCGGCAGCGAAGTGAAGGAGCTGCTGGGAGGACAGTGTGGACGCGGTGCTATTGGCAATGGCAAATGCTGGGTCCGTCTCCAGCACACGGCTCTTGCGAAGGAAGTCCAGAAGGTTTCCATGGGGCGCGTACTCAATGGCCAGGTACAAGTAGCCTGGAGGGAAGGAAGAGAGCATCGACTCATCAGTGGCCCTGAACAGCTATGACATTTAAGAGATGTGCTGTGGAAATTGCCTATAAACTCCATTTTGTCTAAAAAACACATCTAGCAACACCACCCAGGGAGCACTGGGGGACAGGAGGAAGACGGGTGACACCCTCCTGCAATACTCAAAAGGGGCCAGGCTGCAACGCTTGGTTTTGCTCCTTCCCACCCCCTCTCCATTCCTACCAAACCTGCACTCACACAGAGGGCTTCCTGAAATGCTTTTACCCACTCAGTAATAACAGTAGAGTGAGTCAAAGCATGCTCTTCCAGATCTCAGACACGTTCTTCACGTCACCTTTTCATTTGCATTCCATTTTGATCAAGGAGCTTAGTAACATGAGCCAGGCATGTTATTCTAGTCTGCCTCTAGCTATTCCTGAGGTTGTTATTATTTTTCAACAATTAAATATCCATGTGGAAGGAGCCACAACAGGTAATTGTCTCTCCTGCCTTCTACTCCTCCTCAAAACCCATCCTAAGTCACCATATTGCTGATTGGGTCTCTGGCCACCAGAGGTTAGTTTCAAAGATTGCATTTTGCTTCAAGATACCAGAAAACTCAAGCTTTTAGGAAAAAATAAAACAATAGTTCCTAGAAAAACTTATGGTTCATTGTCACTTTTTTGTTCCACATCATTTCTCTCTCTCTTTTTTTTTTTAATAAAACGTTATTTGCCCAGTTTTGTTACTTTTGTTTTCTTGGAATTTTTAAAAAATAAATTATCCCCTTGCGAAAATTTTTTTAAAGGGAATTTACTTGCTAAAAACATCGACATTTATACCTACTAAAAATGTAAAGTTAAAGTTATTTTACTGGTTTTTTTTAAAGAAGAATTTTTTGGGCAAACCATGTTTTTAAAATGATGTATGAATTAGAACTTGAAGCCCAGTGCAGTGGCTCACACTTGTAATCCCGGCACTCTGGGAGGCCAAGGCAGATGGATTGCTTGAGCCCAGGAGTTTGAGACCAGCTTGGGCAGTATACTGAGACCTAATCTCTACAAAAAATAAAAATAAAATAAAAATTAGCCAAGCATGGTGGTGCATCCCTGTAGTCCCAGCTACTTGGGAGTACTTAGGCTGAAGTGGGAAGACTGCTTGAGCCCAGGGATGGGGAGGTTGCAGTGGGCTGACATCGTGCTACTGCACTCCAGACTGGGCAACAGAGTGAGACCCTATCTATCTATCTATCTATCTCAAAAAAAAAAAAAAAAAAAAAAGCTTGAAAGATCTTCTAAGAAATTGAAATTCTAGCAAAAAAGAAAAGTAATATTGAAACCTGTTGCACTATAATGAAAGTTAGACCTAAATTATGGTATACATGTGCTTTCTCACATCTTTACTGAATTATTTTAAAATAATTTAAATATGTATTTATTAATAAAGATAAAGGTAATTTACCTTAAATACATATATATGCACATATATTCATATATATACACATATATTCATATATATACATATATTCATATATATATATACACATACATATATTCATACATATATATTCATATATATATATATTTTTTTTTAAACTGAGTCTCTCTCTGTCGCCTGGGCTGAAGTGCAGTGGTGCGATCTCGGCTCACTGCAACCTCCGCCTCCCAGGTTCAAGCGATTCTCCTGCCTCAGCATCCCGAGTAGCTGGGACTACAGGCATGCGCCACTAGGCCCAGTTAATTTTTTGTATTTTTAGTAGAGACAGGGTTTCACCATGTTGGTTGGCCAGGATGGTCTCGACATCTTGACCTTGTGATCTGCCTGCCTCGGCCTCCCAAAGTGCTGGGATTATAGGCGTGAGCCACCACGCCCGGCCTATCTTAAAATTTTAAGAGCCAGCTATGTGCTAATGTGATGACGAAGCAAAATTTTAAGGGATATATTTTTGTTGTTGTGGTTTTTTTTCCCAAGAAGGAAGCTGCATTAATATCATGGTTTATTCTCTCCCTAAAGACCAACTGCAACCAGATGAAGTAAACGTAACCTCAAGATTTTATTGTCCTCAGAATAAAACAAAAGCTGAAACTTAGAACTGGATCAACTGGCCATTTCTCTTCTTATCTCCTCCTAGTGCAAAGTGCCTGGATCCCTTAAGAGCCAGCATTCTCTTAGATCTGCAGTGGGGTCAACACTAAAGCCTCAGCACAGTCTTCTTTGTAGTTTTAGCCTTTTTCCAGAAAACTGGTTTAGTCTGTCCACCACGGCCACTTGGCTTCCTGTCATAACACCACTTTCCCTGGGCATCCAGAGAATCCTTGCCCTTTTGTACTGTGTCATTTGTAGGGTTTGTACAGAAAGTCAGGCGGGTTTTAAGAACACTCACCATGTTTGTGGGAGTGCTATCAGCAAGGACAGCAGGGTGTGTGTGTGTGTGTGGTATGTGTGTGTGTGTGTAACTTTCATTTACACTCCTGTGCCATGCTCATTACTGTTTTCAGGAAGTAGCTCAAAAAATAAATGTCATTACTTCATTATTTAACCTAAGGGACATGATCTGGCTTTCAGAATTACACCCTTATTGGATCATAGAATGATAAATTGTTTGAAGCACCAGTATTTTTAGTTTAATAAATTGAGGAAATGGAAGTAGTCTCTTTTCTATTGTTGGTGTTTGTGCTGCAAAGTCAACAAGAGGCTGTCAAGTTTGTAAATAATTACTGCATGGAGCTTTTTGTGGGAGCAAACTTTTCCACGAGAAGTGAAGTTTAAGCAGAGATTCAGAACTACAAGGCCATGCTGCATGCAGAGGTAAACCCATAGAGGATTTTTGTTGTTACCTACTCACTCACCAGTAATTACATGCATTACAGTAGAAAGTACTCAATAAACATTTGAATTAATAACATAAATTTAACTTTAAATGCATGTGCAACACAGGATAGTTGTAAAGCTCCATTGTAATTGTACATGAAAGCATTCTGGATAAAAACAAAGCACTATCGCATGAAAGCTTCTTATAATTATTTTTAAAATCCAACCATCCTTAGTTTTCATATTACACTAGATTGCTGGCATTCATGGCTTTTAACATTCAGAATACCAATTCCCTGGGTTTCCAGGAAAAATGTAAAGGTAGGCAATTAAGAAGCTGATGGTGGGGGCTCCCCTACTATAATAGTAGTGGTAGTGGAGAAAACCTCTGCATGGCCAAGGATGGGGCAGGTAGGAGCCATGAATACCTTTGGGCAGTAATGGCTGAACCACATCAGAGGCTAAATAGTCCAGCCTCGGCACCTCCCTCCAAAAACAAGGCAAACCACAGCACAGTCTATAAATGGGACTAGACAGACATTCAGATAGAAGATGCAACTTTAAAAAAAATAGGCAACATTCTTAAGATCATTATCTTTCCTTATATCCATATGGAATTTGTCTGTTTTATAAAAACTCTGGCAGGAAAGACAGGAAAAGAGCATCTTACCTCGATGTTCACATGCTCCTAAGAGATTGATGATGTTTGGATGGTGTCCAAGTTTACAAAGAACTTCCAGTTCTCCTGCAAAGTCCCTGTGATCATCTTTGGAGGCATATTCTGGGAAGAAAGTCAAGGGTTGTGATTCTTCTTTGTTACACCTTTTCAGAATCAGCTGTCCCGTCCTGCCCCCTAAGAACCTTCAGCTACCCTCAGTCACCATCAACTGTATACAACCAAAGAGATTACTCTAAAGTAGAGTTTCTCGGCCTTGGCACTATTGACACTGGGCTGATAATTCCTTTGCAGGGGCCTGTCCTGTGCATGGTAAGATGTTTTGCAGCCATCCTGGCCTCTACTAACTAGATGCCAATAGCCAATCAAAAATGTATCCAGATATTGCCAAATGCCCCCATGGGCAAAATCACCCCTGGATGAGAACCACTACTCTAAAGTTTTCTTGTTGAAGCTCCCAGATCCTCAGGTAAATGACTTGGTAGAGGTGGAGCTGTATCATCTTTTAGATTTTAGCTCTTCCAGCTAAATCTACCATCCAGAGACAACTGAGGAATAGAACCAAAGTTTCCATGAAACATCACCAATAATGCATGCCTCTTTGTTCACTAACTGTAACTTATTTTTTACAAACCAGTCTCAATCTGGTTGATTGAGCTAAACAAATCAAATCCAAATGGTATCTTATGGAAGTTGCATGGGAATCAGGAAACTGAGTTGCATCTGCTTCTATTCTTTTTGCCTTGTCTCTCCACTAGCACTTTAACCAGAGGGAGAACACAGCAGGCACCAGAATGAAGAGAAGGCTATTGGTTGGTGCATAAACTGATCAGTCTTGAGTCAGGGACAATGAGCTATGGCTGCTTTAAAAAAAAAAACACACATTGGGTGGCAAGGAAAGGAGTGAGGTGCTGGTGGCCATAAACATGGCTGCTCATGCTTAGAAACTGTGACAATCATCTCATGAGGGAATAATGGTACTCATAAGTCAAGTGCTCTGTTCATACTACAGAAGCCTCATGGAGGGTCAATATCTTGGGAATATTTTTTTAAAGTTCTTTATAGTGAGGTTGTCCACTTCAGTAACTGCCCTTCTTTGGATGCACTGCTTTGCCTGCAGGATTTATCTGCCCTGGTGCCTTATTAAGCTATTTTCCCTCTTCACATGGGCACAAGGTAGAAAATCAGGCTCACAATAGATCCCAATAAAAACTGCCTTCATAAGATTCTACACCCCTCTCCTCTCACTATCCTCACTGCTCCCCAAAACTCCCTGTGACTAAAGTAGCAAAACAGAAAAGGGATTTGTGGCTGTTTTGCAAGTAGTTTGTATTGTTTTTAAAGAAACATATTGCTGTTTCTAATCATAGATAATATTTTGTTTTGTTAGTCTTCCTAACAATGCAGAAAGCAGAGATGATTTAATAAGATTTAGAGGTAATTCATAGATTCAATAGTGTGGTCCAAAAAAAAAGAAAAATCTGCCAGCATCCTTAGAGAGCTCTTAAGATGGAGCTGCACAATGATAATAGTTCATCATATTCTCTGCTTTAATGCACCACATTCCAAGCCTGTATTTTGTAAAATCAATAGTGCAGCCTCACAGTCAAGTCTTATACAAACTGCTCTTTCATGCAGAAGAGAAGACAGCTAGCTAATTTGCCAGTGAACTAGTCATGCTGCTTTCTCTGAAGATATTATCAAATATTATTAGATGGGTAGGTACCAAACAGTCTTGAGATGAACAAAGCTGGAAAAGATTTAGTTCTTATGACCTTAAGTCAGTGGTTTTCTCTGCAAACCTGAGTGTACAGAGGAACCATTGAGAAAGCCACTTAAGAACACAGATTTTCATATGCTACCCAAGAAACTCAGATGTAGTCAAGGAGTAGAAGAAACCCAAGTGAATGCATTTCTAACAGTGTCCCCAGGAACTTATATACAGTTAACCTATGAAGACTGTGGTTTGCAAAATGTGGTCCCCAAACCCACAAGATAGCATCACTGGAAAACTAATGAAAAATGCAGATTCTCTGGCCCTGCCCTAGACTGAGTCAGAAATTGTGGGGTAGGGCCCAACAGCCTGTTTTTAAACAAGCCTTCCAGGTGATTCTGATGCACACTCAATTTGGAGAAGCACTGCTTTAAGAGAAACAATGATGCTCCGCAAAAGTTAGCCATATATGACCAAGAATCTATAGTATCTCATCCCAATGAATCAAGACAGTGATGTTTAAATGGCTCCTGCCTTTGTATTGATATCCTGACTATCACAGGCTCAACTTCAAAGGAAGCATAACCTTCAGTTGCAAATAACAGCTATGTCTGATACCATGCCAATTTTTTGTAAGACCATAGAGGAAAGAATGAGCAGGAAATCAAGTTTTCTCCACACCCTCACGCAATGCTGACTCTATCTGGTCAACCACTGACCTTTCATTCTTTTGATGGCAGCATCCATCCGTAACCCATCCTTCTTGATGCGCGCCTTAAGAACTTGGCCAAAATTGCCCTCCCCAATCACATCTTGAAATTTGATGTCATTCCAGTCAAGCACTGGATAAATTGTAGGATCTGGGTTGTTTTTGACCTTCCTGTTTAGGGCCAGAGTCCCTGAGTTGAACTGCACAGCTGGTTCTTCCCTCTGGAAAAATAATTATTTCATCATTTTGTGTCAGGATTTTTCATAATTCTAAGGGGCATAATGTCTTCTGGTTGGCATCCACACCAGATGAAAAAAGAAATACTGTATTTAATTCTAGACTGGAAAGGGAAATAGGTTTTCATCACACAGGACTGCCCTGATAAACCAGCTGCCCACAGGGCTGCACGGGCACAATTCTGGGCCTCCCCAGAAAAGCCTGTTGATTAGCAATGTCTGTAAAGGGTGACGGAGGAAGGAGTAACAGTACATATTCCATGTGTTTGCCATCCTTGCGTTAGTTGTACGTGAGTTCCCTACAGTGTTGTGAAATGAGCAAGCGTTCAGTTCTGGTTTGGAAACTAACTTGGAGAGCCTATGTGGGGCAGCCACAGGATGCGCCTCAGTGAGAGCTTTCTTAGCATTATCTTGATCCTACTCTATTTTTAGTGCACACTCTTTCTCTCTCGTAGTAAGGCTTAGAATCTCTAAGTCCACTCTGGCCACAAGATGATTGAAGCTTAGAGCCAAACCCAACACAGTATCTCTTTCTCCTGAATTCAAATAGCTGCTGGTGCTACCATGAAAAAGCACCGGTATTTTGACAGGCTCAGCACTCCCAACCCCCTTGCTGGCCCTTCTTCTCCAGCGACAGCCTGAATTGAGCCAGCTCTGGCATGGAGTCAGATAGTGAAGTTCCTCTTGTCCTCCGTGGAAGGGAAACTCGGGGACTCATGCACATGGGGTACACCTCATTTGAATCATTGCACTCAATGCATTATATACAGAATTGATAAAGTCTGGTTCAAATTAATTTTACAGGGCCTGAACCCACAAACTAGATACATTTTCAGGCTTTAGTATACCAAAAGAACTCAAATAAGATGCCTCTTGGTAAAGTGTGATTTTTATAGGCCTTTGCTACTGGTTAGAATTCCTAGATGAAAAAAAAAATGAGGCAGTACCAAGTGCCAGGAACTCTGACTTCAGACTGAGGGTACACAGGAATGGAAGACACACACAGGTATATACAATTCTTACACATACGAGGGGTGATAAGATTGAGGGACTTACTAGAAAGAAATGGGAACTGGAAATAGGCAAATGTGAGGAAAACTTGTCTAATATATTACGTCATTACCTATCTCACTGAGGTCTGGTTACCCTCTGTCCTTCCTTACCAAAAATGTTCAATTTATTCTGTTGCAAGATATCATCTCTGGGGACTTACTACTAGGATGACCATATGTCTCATTTCAGCAGGCAGGGGCAGACCTAGTTTCCTGCATAATTTACTAAGAGCACCCTTTTCACTCTCAAAATTGTTCTGGTTTGGATAAGAAATTAAAAAGTCATACTTTTTATCTCCCATTTCATAATGAAAGCCAAAGAGAAGATGAGGCTTGCCTAAGGGAAATATTTACTTTATAAGTAAATTTCCTGGTCCATATCTTTAAAGTGAAGGTTCTGCCTGTACTTGGACTTGCCCTTATTAGCTAGTAGGAAGATGAGACACTACCACGTTTTGGAAGGCTTGGGCCATTCTCCTTTGCACATTTGCCCTCTTCAATTGCAATATGATCAGAAAGGCCAACAGCACAGTCAGGCAGGTCATTCCAGCAGAGCCAAGGATGGCTATAAGCAGCATCTTCCCCCCTCCGAGGTCCGCTGGTGCTGTGCAGGAAGACAGAGGTGAAGCAGGTAGTTTAGTTTACATAGAGAAACAGACCCACACCGTATGTGGGAGAAGACACAGTGTAATGGGAACTTAACAGCAGCCTTAACCCTGCCACCTAACCACTATATGACCTCGGGCTACTCATTTATATTCCAAACTCAGTGGAGATGAGTCTGACTCACAGGGTTGTAATAAGATTAAAAAAAAAAAAAACATGCAAAAGTGCTGTTACAATTAGCAATATGCTAATCATTAGTTGTCATTTGTTCAACTTTTATTTCCAAGTAGAATCCCAAGCAAATGAACAATGTTGAATAATAGGGAGAATTACTACAGGTATAACTTTGAGAGAGTGACTAAACCTCCCTAAACCTCAATTTCCCCACCTAGAAATGCTTTAAAGTTCAATGATGCTAAGAGCTTACAGTCTATCAGGTATTTTGTTTTGTTTGTCTTGTTTTAATGAGTTAATGAAGAAAACCTAATGATACCCAATAGAAGAAGAGAGAGAGGGAGGGAGGAAGACAGGAAAAGACAGAGGAAAAATTAAATTTAGGGCTCAGGTCAAAATAAACTATTAAAGACTATGGTCAAATCTATTTCTTTTCCTTATTTAAATAAAATTAAACTCGATATATTTTTATTAGCAATAGCACATAGAACATGATCTCGTCCTCTTAAAAGTATCCCTCTCTTCTCATTTATCTTTTCTTCTATCTCTATATATGTACAGATACAGAGATGTCTAGAATGGTGAGAAACTTTTGGTTTTGTCTTGTTTTAAAAGTTTTCTCTTGGTATTTTATGTATAGCTTGAATTTAGGAAGTTACATTTCGCCAAAACACAAGTAATTACAAAAATGGGGCATTCACTAAGAGTGTGACCTGAAAACCATGATTTTCTATATTTGGCAGACTCTTCATTCCTTGAGCATTTCAAAAATGTTCCAAAGAATCAGCACTGTTAAAGCGACTTGTTTGATTTTGTTTCTTAAGGTCTAGGTAATCCTCCAAGAGAACCAAGAAGTTTTCAGATTTAGTTATAGTATTTTCTTTAAAAACAGACTGTAATCCAAATCATAAATTTTCAAAACTTGCCTCTAACGTGCCTCCATCTACATTCTCTGGCACACATTGTACACAACACAGAGAGCCGGGAGGTGCCTCTGCACAGACTTGAAGTCAATCCTCCTGCTGCAGCTCCACCCACATGGGACCCTTGTTCACTTAATTACACTCAACAGACTTTATCAATCACAAATGGTGGGCACAGTATGGCATCCAGAGAGGATCTCTATCTAGCTCAAATCACATACTTTTCCTGGGGTTGGGGTTAGTGGTGGACATGGAATAACCTGCATCAGTAAAGTAGAAGAAGACTCAGAATTGCACAATGTCATCCAAGCTAAAAAAAGGAGTGTTTGAGGAAGAATGGAGCATGGTTCTTGGAGCCTCCTACTGGAGCTCTTGCATAGCTTGCCTTCTATAAGCAGCTCCCACATTCTTCTTTCTCCTAGGAATTAAAATTCATATTCCTCAGAGCTTTCTTCTTAGATTGCTGGATGGGGTATGCTGATAGACTGATCTATTCTAAGGTTCAATAATAGAAAACGGACCAACAGGGATCCTTCTCAGAGGCATTTTGATATTAAGGACCTCTCTGTAAATGCCTGTCCATTCAACCACCGACTTTTCATAGGCTTTCATCTCACAGGCCTGTCCTGATAAACCAGCTGCCTATAGGGCTGCACGGTAATCCTATGTAAATACTTGTCCATTCAACCAACCTTGAGATTCTGGGAGGGTCACCAGTTCATGAGAAAAGGCTGGGTTGCTTGACCCTATGTTGTTCTCTGCAAAAATGTCCACCTGGTATGCTGTTTCAGGCTCTAGGCCCTTGAGCTGATACTGAGTGATGGTGGCATTCTTTATCTTCACATCAACGTGCTGGTCTTCATTCTTGCCTTGAACCTTGTAACGGATAGTAATAGAAGAAATAGAATAGCCATCCAATATTGTCCAAGAAATCACAGCTGAGGAGTGTGTAATGTTGGAAATCTTGATGTTTTCTGGTTGAGGAGGAAGAACTAGAAATTAAAAAGAAAAAAGATTCACTTAAGATATACTACCATGGCCTAGATCATTATGCTTTTGAGATAGAGTTCATGTCAGCTCATATAAGGCAAACAAATGTTTTCTCATATGGTACCCCAATCAATTGGTAGTGGCTACTGGACTCCACGCAGACTTGAAAGAGTGGCACAGACAGAGAAATGGCAACACATATCATCTATCTGTCATCTTGACACTAAATGAAGGCCTTAGAAATTCTGTTATTCCACAAACCTGTACTTACTATTCTTGATGCTGGGAAGAATGGAAAGCTTCTGAGGGCTGGCATTTATATAGTGCTTACAATATGGCAGGCATTGATCTAGTCTCTTGTATATATTAACTCACTTCCTCTTCATAGCAATCTTTCTGTAAGTGCTGAGGTCTGGAGAGATTAAGTGACTTAGCCATGGTGACACTACTGTTAAGTAGAAGAAACAAGATTCAACTCCTGGCAGTCTGGCTCTGTAGTCCATAGTCTTAGTGTCATGTGGTCAGTCCTTGCCCTCAATTTATGGAGCAGCAGGCAGGTCAGTGTATACATGAGAAAATGTGCTAATAACTTTTAGTAGACAAAGTATTATAGGGATTTGGGGAAAAGTGGAATCACATTCCATTCAGGGACACGGGCAGGATGAGAAAGAGATGCCTTGAGGTTTTCCACATGTGAAGATGACAGGCACCGCAGCATCACTACATTCTCACTCAAACTCTAAAGGGCACAGGCTAGAAGGGAAGTTCGTGATCCAATAAAGGCTAAGCCTATTTGATCCAGGAAAAGAATGGATTCGAGCTCTTGTCCTTAATAGTAACTGTACCTTACATTTATGAGGCTATTTACAATGTGCTTCCACATGCAGACACTCTCTTGACTTGTATAACCACACAGTACTGAGATTTTTTATGATCCACATTTTAGAGATGAGAAAACTGAGACTTCAAAAGTTTAAGGGGTTTGTACTTGTCCCAGTAGGCGAATAGTAGACATAGGCTGTTTCATTCCATACACCATTGTTTTTCCACATGAAAGTTACTGCTTATAAACAATTTAGAACCTTTGAGAAGTATCTCAAGGTACATCCTTTCTATTTTAAATTTCTTCTTTTCATTATGTTGACTCCCCCTTGTTACTCTTTAGGGGACTGTGGCAATTTATGAGAATTAGGTATTGGATTTAGAACCTTCCAAATCTGATTGTTATGTTCTATGTCTAGCAGATGGTACAGTATCCAAAAATCACAATTAATCAACAGTATGTCTTAACTTTCTTTACATCCAGTACCAAGTCTTTTGTATATTTTTATAAAAATATACAATAGCCTTTCTTCCCACATGAGATTGAAGGAGTAATAGAAATACCAACATTTTCAGATTACTATGATCACATAGTTAATATTTGTATAGTTGTGGCTCAAAAAATTCAACTTCATAAACCAGTGGTCTTCTAAGCCTGTCACAAAAAGCAGCAGTGTCTTTTAGAAGCTTGTTAGAAAAATAATGAATATAATTTTTGTGCCAACTAAAAATCATAAATTTGCATCTACCAACTTACCATTTTATGCCTGAAAGGAGTCATTCTTAGGGATAGCTCAATAAACCTTTGATTTAAATTCAGCGGGTCTGGACCCAGCAATCTACATTTTAGCAGGTTCTCTGGGTGACTCTACAATAGATTCTAAAATGCTTTAGGAAACACTAATCAGACCTTAAACAATTTAGAAACGGGATATCACTACTTAAAGAACCTCTAGAAGCATAGTTGCTTTGAAGCAGTGGGTCGCCCATCCAAAGAGACAAGTGCAAGACATTTGTAGCATGGTGGGGGGAAAAATAGAACTAAAATGTGGATTAGAATCCTAATCCCCATGCCGTACTAGTTCCATAATTTTGGGCAAGTCACTTACCCTCCTCTGTGCCTCAGGTTCCTCATCTGTTAACTGTGATAATCATTCTTACTCTACTTTCCTCAAAAAGTCATTGTAAGGGTCAAATACTCCCCATGTAAATGTTTTCCAACAGGAAAACATAACACACATATATTATTTTTAACATATGATTGGGGTGATACGCCAAATCTAATTCACTCCACTTCTTACCCCTGGACCAGATGTAATTGCTAGGCTGGAAACCAACACAAACTTTATAACTGGAAGTATTAATTTTACTTATGAACATACATGATCAATGACAACACAGCATATTAACAAATATTTTCAGGTAAAAATGAGATGTTCTCATTCACATCCTCCTTCCTCGGATTTCCTGACCCTATAGGGATCAACTCCTACCCTGCCAATCTCACATCCCTACTACCACCACCAGCATTGACCCTCCATCAAACTTCATACAATCATCCAAGGCAAGTCGACTCCCAGTGACTATTAACTAGTTTTTGTTTAATCCTATAAATATGATAATGATAGTGTGATTTTGAGAGTGTATCATTCTAATGAGGATGAAACTTATGTAGTTTAGGTGAGTGAGCACCTCAGATAATTTTGAAATAGGAAATAGTGATTCATCCCATAGTTACTGACATTTCACAAGTTTATAGTTAATATGCTGGAAATGGTACAGGAACAAACAGATCAATGGAAGGGAACAGAACATCCAGAAATAGATGCAAAATGAATATGAGAACCTGGCATATGATACAGAAATCATCACAACTCACCATGGGGACTACTCAATACGTGGCATTGGGACCACTGACATGCCATATGTGAATAAATAAGATTAAAATAAAAATATTAAAATATACTGCACCCCAAAATAACATTTTTATATCTTAAAGACCTAAATACACAAAACAACACTAGAACTACTAGGAAAAACACAGAGAATATGTTTATGACCTTGGGATAGGGAATAATTCCAAAATGCAAAAAGTATAAATCACACAGGCAAATACTGACAGGTCCAGCTGCATCAAAATGTCAAGTGTCTGTGGGTTAAAAGCCACCACAAACAAGGTTACAATAAAGGGATTAGGAGAACATATTTGCAATACACATAACAAAGTATTTAGATTACACAAATAATTTTTACAAATCAGTAAGAAAGACAACCTATTCCAAATGAGCAAAGGATATCAATAAGTATATCAAAAAAGAGGACATCCAGTATATCAATAAGTATATCAAAAAAGAGGACAATTAACATAAAAAGATGCTCACCTTTGCTAGCTATCAAGGAAATCAAAATTGAAATTAACAATGAGGCACCATATTTTGCTTTTGAGATACGCAAAGTAAAAAGGTGTGACACTATCGAGTGATATAGGGAAAGGATATAGACATAGAGATGGGTATAAGGAAAATGGCACTGTCATACACTCCTGAACATAGTACACACTGACTAACCACTTTAGAGGGAAATAGCCCATGAGTTCCACCACCGGACTTGTTCCTAGAAAAACTCTCACACCTGTCTATGCACATGGAGACATGCATAAGAATGGGCATTGCATTTTGTTCATGATAGTAAAAAATGAAAAAACCTACATCTCCCTCTAAAAGGGAGAGGATGAATGACAAGATACATTCATAAGATAGAATATTATACAGAAGTTAAAATTACATGCATCAAAGCTAAATAAACATGGATCGATAAAATTCATAATGTCCATTCAAAAAATGAAGAATGATATGTATGCATGTGTATACTTTCAGAGATATTAAAATTATAGAACATTGGGCTTGGCACAGTGGCTCATGCCTGTAATTCCAGCACTTTGGGAGGCGAAGGCGGGAGGATTGCTTGAGCCCAGGAGTTCCAGACCAGCCTGGGCAACATAGGGAGATCCCATCTCTACAAAAAAATTTTTAAAAAAAGTCAGGTGTGGTGGCGTGTGCCTGTGGTCCCAGCTACTCAGGAGGCTGAGGTGGGAGGATTGCTTGGGCCCAGGAAGCCAAGGCTGCAGAAGCCATAATGGCACCACTGCTCACCAGCCTGGGCAACAGAGCAAGACCTTGTCTCAAAAAATATATACATACAACATTAAATTAAAATATACTTAACAAACTCATAATTTTGGTTGTCTCTTGGGAGAGGGGAATAGAAATAGATAGGGATAACAGTTGCAGGAGATACTGATACACCTGTAGTGGGTTATTACATAAGTCAACAACAAATGCTGAAAGCAAATATGACAAAATGTTAACAGTTGTTAATTCTGGATGGGAGGAATGTGATTGTTCGTTGTGTTACTGTTAGCATGATTCTGCACCTTGGAAATTTCACAGAATTAAACATTATATATGAAGAATTCCTAAACACTGACAAAACAATTCAGACTTTCATAAGTCACTGATGCAATAAAAGAGTGGCCAAAGAAACACTGAGCCAGCTTCCACACCTGTTCCTGAGGAAGTGGAGAACCAGCTGCAAAGACAGCCTCAGACTCTGGGAGGTGGCAAGGGACCACATAATCTCCCATCCAGGCCTGACCCTGCTTAGCTTCCAGGATCAATGAGATCCAGTGTGTTCAGGGTGGTAAGGCCATAGACCACATGATCCTGACTTCAGTGGTAGTTGTGTGTGGCCAAGAAATAGTTTACCTTTCCAAGGGTTCCAAATGCACACAGTTCTAATTTCAGTGAATCAAAATAAAACTCTCTGCTTAGTTTAGTAATGAATAGACTTTCAATACTACAAAGAAACCCAAGAAATTCCCATTAATTTTAAATGACCAATCTGAAATTGAGAAGCCTGAAATGCAAAATACTTTGGAAAAAAAAAGTGATTTTATTACTCCTAGATAAATCTTTTAACTTTTAAAATTACCTGTTTTCAAGGGGTTTCAAGCAAAGTTATTTGGTTTTTATGGTTAGGTAAGACCCATCTGGAATTAACTGACATCTGTGTACATGTAGATATATGATAATTCTTCAAAACTACCCCATAAATGGTTCAACAAGCCCTAGAAAAACTTCTTGTTACTAATTTACTAAATAAACAACTGCACACCAAGGGAAGGTAAATTTTAGCACAGACCTGCCTGAATTATTGCAAATCCAAATATATGTTATATATTGCAAGTTATTAAAATGATTAGGTGGGGGGCACTAATTAGCCTTCTCTCACAACTAACTTTCTTTCATAATTTCCAATAGTCCTGCAGTGATGTTAGCTAAGTCTGCATGGCGGTAGCCCCTTATTGCTCAGATGAGGCTGGAGCAGCATGAATTACTTACTGTCACTAAGGGTCCAAGCAGTGAGATCTTCACTCCATTCCCCCTGGGCCTTGGTGTTGACTCTAGCTCGGACCACGTACTGCTCCCTGGGATGTAAGTTGTTAAGTAGCACCGAAGTCAAGTTGCCTGGAACTTTAATATTCTGCTGATCACTTTTTTGCACAGACCTTCTCTCCACTTCAACATAAAAGTCATCTTCCGAGCTTGGAAATATTGGTTGCCAGGTCAAATTTAGAGTGGTCTGACTTTTAGGCAGGAGATTTAGACCTCTTGGAGGAGGGAGTCCTAGGAGAATCCAGAAAAATCATTATTTTTATATATGGCTGATATAGTTTGGATTAGTGTCCCCACCCAAATCTCATACTGAAATGTAATCCCCAGTGTTGGAGGTGGGGCCTGGTGGGAGGTGATTGGTTGATGAGTGTGACTTCCCATGAATGGTTTAGTACCATCCCCCTTGGTGCTGTCCTCCTGATACCGAGTGAGTTCTGATGAAATCTGGTCATTTGAAAGTATATAACAGGCCCCAGTGTGTGATGTTCCCCTTCCTGTTTCCATATGTTCTCATTGTTCAATTGCCGGGGGAGGGGGGAGGGATAGCATTAGGAGATATACCTAAAGTTAAATGACGAGTTAATGGGTGCAGCACACCAACATGGCACGTGTATACATATGTAACTAACCTGCACGTTGTGCACATGTACCCTAAAACTTAAAGTATAATAAAAAATAAAAAATAAAATAAACAGGAGCTTTGTCAGAAAATAAAATGTTAAATAATTTCCATGGAAAAATAAATAAATTATGAAACAGTAAAAAAAAAAAAAAAAAAAAAAAGTGTATAGCACCGCCCCCCCTCACTCTTCTGCTCCTGCTTTCACCATGCAAAGTGCCTGCTCCCACTTTGCCTTCTGCCATGAGTAAAAGCTCCCTCAGGCCTCCCCAAAAGCAGATGCTTCCTATACGGCATGCAGAACCATGAGCCAATGGTTACTGTTTTTACTGTTTGGCTTGGTAAAAAGCCAAACCTCTTTTCTTCCAAATTACCCAGTGTCAGGTATTTCTTTATAGCAATGCAAGTACAGACTAATACAAGGGTGGAGTCAATGACAGCGCTAAAGGGCACCTTTTAAGAGTAACCTTGGCTTCTAGAATAAGATACCACCTCATAAGCTATCAAAGAAACACAAGCAAGTGGCCCATATGATACTTTTTTCCCTACCAAAATGATTCATTACATTATTTATAACAGCAAACAATTGGAAGAAACCTAAACACTCAAAATAGGAAACTGCTTTAATAAATTATGATATAGCCATTCAGTGGAAAAATAGATAACTAGGATAAGTATGAAAGCCCAATAAAGAGACTTCAAGTACATGTAGGCATGCTAAAAGTTATGTCTACAATGGTGAAGGATAGGAAGGAAACTGATAAAAATCAAAACAGTAGATTTGCCAAGGTTATGGGATTATGGGAGAGTATTTACCGTTTCTGTTACCATTTTGAGCAATACATTGTAAAGCAATTTAGGGGTTCCTTCCCCTTAGCAAGATTTTCAGAAATCATACAGCTGTGGTGGCAGGGCCAGGCCTATTCCTGCTCTGATCACATCAAGGTATCCGCTATGACTACGTGATGCCTGGCCATAATCACCCACAGGAGCCTGGGCTACCAAGACATCACTGAATAGAAACAATATGGGTTTTAAAATCAGAGAGACAGGAACATGCCACTTTACTTTTGCAACCTTGGGCAAATTCATAATCTCTCCAAGTTCACCTGTAAAATAAAATTAAAATATCCATCTTCCAGACTCAGGAGTAATAAGTGAGAAAATGGATGTGAAAATGCTTGGAAGGTGTTAGGGGCTCTATTAACACTGGTTTCCTCCCTCCCTTCCTTCTTTCGAGATGTCTTATGTCACTGGACAAAGGAGGAAATAGTGTGTTTTCAGTTAATAATAGTAAATTGATTTTTAAATTCCAGATATGAAGTCCTTCCAAAACGTAGGATAGAGATCCTCTAATTCATGCATTCTCAGTAGGGACACAATCACTCCTATGGGGCAAAAAAATTTGTTCTTAGTGTATGAGAAAATTTCAGATTACTACAATTGTTTACAGAGGACCATAATACAGAAACAGATATAGAGCATATCTGTGGTATTAAAATTTCACGGGAGGCAGGATCTACTAGGATAAACGTATCTGAAACAGCTCACTGGGGATGAGCAATACATTTTTTTTTAAAGGTTGAGAAACACTGCTCTTACTCTTGGTTCGAGGTGAGAGGAAGGGTCTGTTTCCATCTACTGGGAATTAAGTCCCACCAGCCTGGTTCTGACTACCCTCAGACTAGTGAGAACCAGCAGCTAGGCATGCATTTTCTTGGCATTATGCAAAAGGTCTGATGGCCCTTTCTCTGTAACCTTTGCAAATGGAGAGAGGTGATGCCATCTCCTCTTGTTAACCTCTGAAGTTTAACCTCCAAAATAGCCACCCAGAGTGGTTTAGGCAGGTTTGCAATGACAAAGGAGAATGGGGAGTTGATATTTTGGAGAATACATTTACACCTCCTAATCCTGTGCCTGGTACAGAAGAGTAACTCAATAAATAGTCATTTCCCCTTTTCCCGCCCTTTGGGAACATGATTACCCCATACGCCTCCCTGTCTGCCCCTTTCTGCACTATGTTCAGAAAGTGTTCTCTTCCTTCCCCTCCCGGACTCCCTGGCCTTCACCATCTCAATCAACACACATAAACAGTGCAACTGCCAGACGAAATGAAAAGCAAACAGCAGCAAAATTCAAATGATGGGAAAAGAAGAACCTTCAATAATCCCCTTCCCGCCTACCCCTGAGAACTACTTTGAAATATTCTGAGAGACCTCCTGGCTGCAACACATTCTGAGGGCTGAAGACAGTACAGTGTGGGGCTGTGAAGTGTTTTATGTTCTGTTCCATAAATACTTTCCATCTGAGTCAGTTTATGCTCTTCCCCTCTTGACTCACCAACAGTGACTTGAGAGAGAATTAACTACCATTTGCCTTTTAGCAGTAACATGATGACATATCAGGGATCCCTTGGGTCATGGTTGTAGAGGTCCCTTTTTCCTCTCTATATAGTTTCTGGGTTTATTTTTTATATTCACAACCAGGTGGGTCCCCAAGCAGCCATTTCTTACTTGTGTGTAATGCTTCTATAAGTCTCAGAGTAGCTTTTGAGTCTCATTTGGTTCTTTAAGGATGCTGCTAGTAACATAAAAACTAGGTGGGTGGTGTGAAGGAAGGATGTTTCTGTTAAGGGTGCACAATCTCTGCAGAAGAAAAGTGGATGTTCTTCCTGGTTTTTTCACTCAATCATAACATATCCTTCTACTTTTAGTAAATGGAGTAAAACACAGGCAAATATGTGAACTGGGATAATAAGCTGGTGCCTTTGGGATTCTAGGTAGAAATAATAATTGGAGAAACAAAAGGATATGGAGCCTGGACTGGGAGTGGTGACTCATCCCTGTAATCCTAACACTTTGAGAGGCCAAGGCTGGGGGACTGCTTGAGGCAGGAGTTTAAGACCAGCCTGGGCAACAAAGCAAGACCCCGTCTCTACAAAAAAAATTTTTTGAAGTAGCCAGATGTGGTGGTGTGCCTGTAGTCCCAGCTACTCAGGAAGCTGAGGTGGGAGGATGACTTGAGCCCAGGAGATAGAGGCTGTAATGAGTGTTGATCAAACCACTGCACTCTCCAGCTTGAGTGACAGAGCAAGATCCTGGCTCTAAAAGACAAAGATATGAAGCCCGAAGATTTAGTATGGTGATGCATCTTACTGTTATTAAGTACTCTGAGTCTCTACTTTTCAATCTGTAAAATAGGGAAGATGATAATTCTTACTTTCCTAGGTGATATAAATCAAATATATATGAAGTTGAAAGTATAAAGTACTGACCAAGAGAGAGTAACAGAATGGTTATACACAGTGAACAATTCAAAGAACCAGGAATGGAACCTTACAAAAGATCACTCCAGTATTTCAATGGAGGGTACCTGGGTAACAGAAAGCTGGAGGTCAGGTTAGCATCAAGGAGGCTTCACAGAGTTAATTAACGCAATAGAAGGCCAGTCAATACCAAACACCACTGAGAAGTCCAGAAGTAATTTTACACATGTTATCTAGAACGTGTGGACCCAGGACCAGCAGCATCACTTGGGAACCTACTAGAAATGCAAATTTTTGAACCCCGGCCCCATCCTCACCTCAAAACCATTGAATCCGAAACTCTGGGGACGAGGCCCAGAAACATCTTTTAACAAACTCTCTGAGTGATTCTGATGGACACTTAGGTTTGAGAACCACTGATTTAGAAAAGGGAGGTAAATATAAGAAATAGCTTAAGGAGATGAAAGTGGCTACCTATAGGAAGCAGGACTGGGAGGTGGAGGGTGGAGCAGGAGAATGCTGTTCTTTAGATAAAAGCTTCTTATTCTATTTGATGTCATGACTCTGACCATGAATTACTTTGAAAAATTGGAAATTATTTTTGAAAATAAATAAACTGGGACTTCTAAAATATGCCTGTGGCAAGAGCCTGGTCTGGGCCCTTAAGATGGAAACAGGAAGCCAGTGATAAAATGCAGGAGCTGAAGCTCAGCACAGTTGCTGCTGTGTAAATCCCAGCTCCTAGGGGAGGCCCTGCCTTCCTGAAGGCTCATCTGCTTCCTTCTCTGTCCCTACAGAGTGCTGCAGACCTCCTCCCCCAGGGAGACAGACCAGGAGTCCAACCCAAATAAAGGAACAGTTTGGCTTGAAGTTGCTAGCCTTCCTGTCACTTTCCCACCCATTCAAAAGCGAACTCCTGCCACCTCCATCCCCACCCACCCACTCACCCACCACCACCCTTCCTGGTCTTCCTTCCTCTTTCCCCTTCCTCCCCCTCCCACCCAGCTCATGAATAAATGCCTGTTGGCTTCCACTGACCGATAGAAGCTGTTGTGAAGCGTCTCACAGGTCCAGGATGCCCTTCCCCACCCTCTCCACGACGGACCAGTTGCACACAGAGTTCATATTCTGTCCGAGGTTCCAAATAGTTGAGTGTAACAATCTCATTTGTCACTGAGAAGAGAAAACGTCCAGGAAACTTAAGTTGGCATTCTCTTACATTCCTTAAGCCGGGGTTGTTGTTATTGCGATGTGAACTAATTTTAGGTTTTCAAAACTACGTCTTAGTGAAACAGAGAGGCAATTCCATCTTCAAGGCCTCATCCTTCCCAATATGAGGAAAATTAGGCTTTTGAAATGTTTCCAGGTTACAATGTACACATTAAAGTGTGTATTTCTGTGCCACTTACACATTTCTGCTCTGGTGCTTTTGTCTTTTCATTTGTAGAATAAAACCTCACAAATCTATATGGAATACCAGATTGGGGGAATACTCAATTAGAATAATTTAATTGCTACTGTTTTCAAGTATGTACACTGATTGCAATCAAGCTATCGAGAGAAAAAGATGCTTAGGAGGTTTGCTCAAAATGACCAGAAAACTGATTTGCAATGGTCATACTATTACAATGAAGCATTCTGAAGTCCTTGAAAATAGCACCCATAAACAAATGGTATCTGTCTCTTTTCTCCTTACCTATTTGCTTTAGTCAGCCTCTGTTTCTCCATGGATACTGCAAAGATAAATTTCTGCCTTATCATATGATAAATTCCTACTTGGTAAGAAAAAAAACTGGGATGTGTTTAACAGTTCTTAGAAGACCACTTTGTGGATGTCCACTTGTAGACAAAGGTGATGGATTATTACCACCATATGACAGCAAAAGACCTAGCCATTGATGTTGGAAACAGCAATTCAGCAAATCAGCCTGACATCCCTGGAATTCTGAATTTTGATAGAATCTACAATAGTATGTGAAGGACTCAGTAATAATACCATTTTATTCGGTCTACCCAGGTCAGCTAGTGTTATTCAGCCCAAAACCCTCCTCCTCTTCTCTTTTTTTTTTTCCATAGTTTTCTTAATTATCTCCATATAGTGAATAGAGGGTCATTTTAAGGAAATCATAGGCATAGTAAGACAAAGGTATGGGCGGAGGAGGACATGCTGCCTACAAGCATGTTAGTGGCAGGTCTTTTTACAGAATAGTCCAATTGAAGCAGCATGGTCACTGATAATGCTCTTTGCTTTTTAAAATTGTGATTTTACATTATCATACAACAAATATAATTGTAATTTGTGTTTCAAAATAAATTCAACTGTTTTCATGAACTTTTGGCATTTTGTCACATTTTGTTCAATTATTTTTTTCTTTCAGGAAGTTAGGGGAGGGGTCTGTAGCTCCCTTTGCCTGTCCTTGTCCTCCCCCGAGCCCATTCCAGTCTGCCACAGCCCAAACTTTGCAGGTTCAAATTCCTTCAAAAATCTCTCTGTGTTAAGAGTCTGCAGGACAGGGCAAGACATGAAATGAGAAAAGGAATAAACAACTCAATACAGCAGCAACAATCACCCCCAGGATTTAGGCAGATTAAGCCTCTCTGCCCTTCCAGCAGGCTCTGGACTTTCCTGCTACCATATTCATGGCATAAACAAGTGCCTTTCCCCATGACCAGCCAAGATAGAATAACTAAAAACAGGACTGGAGATCCAAAAAGAAATATTGATATAGATAGTAACTCATGGTGTGAGCTGGTTCTGTGTTCTAGAGCGCACAGTGACTTCAGAAAGTTAGCCCCAGAGCTCAGGGGCCCCCTGCACTCTCTCTTGAATACTCTGAAACAGAATCCTCTGCAACAGCCACCACCTTGAGGTAGAGGATTGAGGCAGGGAGAAGGGAATTTCTAGATTTGGAGAAAAATAATTCTCCTGGTGCCACATCCCCAGCTGGCATCTATCCTGTCCAAAGCTTACCTTGAATATGTTGCCAAGCCTCATAGTGATTAACGGGTTTGTATAGAAGCTTCTTGGATTTGATTGGTCCATCCCCAAAGTAAGGCTCAGAGCTGATGTTGATGACAGCAAAGTTATGTCCAGTGTCAATCACGTTTGGGGCATTCAGGGGCTTTGGAAGAACTAAATACAATTTCAGAAGGCAGATTAGTCCTTCGGCTTTGAGGTTTTGTGATTGTTCTTAGGTAGAGGTAGAAGATATGTTTTACATGTCCAACAAAGTCCTCTTAAAGTTTTCTGCTCAGACTCAGTGAGATCACCTGCTCTCTAAGCTCTCTGCTTTGCTTTTGCTTCCCCAACCCATTATCCTCAAAGTGCTTCCTTAAAATAAATGTGCCCCTTTGCTCAAGACCCTTCAATGGATTCTCATCACATGTAGGATAAAACCAAAAATTCATATCGTGACCAGCCAGGCCTTGAGTGATTAAGCCCCTGCCCACTCTCCAGCCTCCTCTTCCCCTCACCTAGTACCCTCCAGTCCCACTGACCTTTCACTTCATCCAACTAACAAAGCACGAACCTCCTTTCTTTAGATTGATTGTGGATGTCTCTCTTCTGCAAGGAATGCTCCACCTCCCATTATTCTCCCAGTTAATTCTTAGCTCTGATGTGAATATTTCACAGGTGGCTATCATAGAAACTGAATTAAGGTATTGTATACTTTCACAGAACCTCTACTTTTCCTTCATGGTGATTTTTAGGGGTTATTACTCTTTGTAGTATGATTATTTGATTATTTGATATTGGTCTTTCTTCTAGATCATAATTCATTCTCTCTCTATATATATATATCTCTCTCTTTCAGCCAAACAACTCAAATTTATTATAGTTCTAGAAGTCAGAAGTCAGACATGCATCTCACTGTGCTAAAATTAAGGCATTAGCAAGGCTGTGTTCCTTTCTGGAGGCTTAGGAGACCATCTGTTTCCTTGTTCTTTCTAGCTTCTAGAGACTGCCTGCATTCCTTGGCTCAAGGCTCCTTCCTATCCCTTCAAAGTCTACAACATCAGGCCTCTCTGATCCTTCTCTGACCACCACATCTCTGACTATTGTCAGGAAAGTTTCTCTACTTTGAATGACTCAAGGGATTGGAATGGGTCCACTCAGATAATCTAGAACAATCTCCCCATCTCAAAGACCACATCTTCTCAATGGGGATGACAGCGCCCCAGAAACAATGAAAATTGGTTCTTGGAGGATGCAAAAATTTTAGATATTACAATGGGTTGCAGCCCGCCAAAGAGCCATAGTACATAAAGAGATATAAAGTACATCTGTGATAATAAAATCTTATGGTGATGAGGGAGAGTTCTGGAATACAATTTCTAAAAGAGCTCCTTAGTGGGATGATAATAAAAAGGTTGTGAAACACCACACTACACTCTAAATTCCATTAGGGCAAAGACTGTGTAGTTTGTTCACCAGCACCGACTAGGTGCTGAGTTATTGTTTGTGAAGTGAATTTCCAATGAGCTCTATAGTTCCCTTGGCCCAGCCTTCTTAGAAATGCATAACTCGTTTTGTTTTTCCTCCCCAAGAGTGTGTATTATACAATGCAGAACCTTTCAGATTTCAGAGGACATTGCAATGTTCAGTAATTTTTCCTTTTCTTTCTGTCTCAATGCTTTGGCTCACCTTCCTTAGACATAACCTTCAAGTCTTTGCTCAAATATCTTCTCAGGAAGGCTTGATTACCCTATTTAAAATTACAGTCACCACTCCAGCCCTGCCCCAGCATTCTCTACCCCCATTTCTGCTTTAATTTTCTCCAAGACACTCAGCATTTTCGTGAACTGTACATTCTACTTATTTATTTGCTCACTGTTTATCTCCCTGTGGGAATGTAAGCTCCATGGTGAGTCTTTTTCCCCCTGTATTATTCACTGCTCTATTCCCAGTGCCTAGAACAGGGGCTGAAACATAATAGGCCTAAAGTAAATTCTATTGACTAAGTGACGACTTAGGAAGTTGTCCAAGGTCAGGATAATAAAGCCAGTAAGAAGCAGTATCCCCTAACTGGAGGCAGATCATGCCAATATTAAGTTAGATAAGTCTGAGTACACATTTCACTTAGGCTAGAAAGGAGGGCAGTGCTGTAAGTAAATTTGTTCAAGTAATGCTTTCCTTGTATGATAAAATAAGGCCACCCCTTTCTTTAAACCAGCAGATGCACATTTTATTACAGCCATTAATGTCAGTCTGTGATACTTCTACAAGGGTTTAAAAATTGCTACAAAGGCTTCCTCTTAGTAATCTACTATTTTATTTTTTGCCTTTTAATCATTTTTACTGAGATGGAACATACATATTGTAAAGCGTGAATATCTTAAGTGTATTTAGCTCAAGGGACTTTACCTATGTGTACACCCATGTAACCACCACTCAGATTAAGATAGAAAATATTCCCAGCCCTCCAGAAGGCACCTGTGTGCCCTTTTCCAGTCAATATCCTCTACCCAGAGGTAGCCTCTATTCTGACTTCTGTGACTGAAGATTAGTATTGCCTGTTCTTTAGCTTTATATAAATGGAATCATAAAGCATGTACTTTCTTTCACTGGTTATCATGTTTGCAAGATTCATCCATACTGTTGCGGAAATTAATTCTTTTTTATTACTGTTTAACATTCCTCTGCATGATTTTATGGGCTAAATTGTATTCCCCCCAAATCACACATTAAAGTCTTAACCCCTAGTACCTCAGGATGTAACCGTATCTGGACATAAGGCCTTTAAAGAAGTAATTAATTTAGAATAAGTTTATTAGGGTTTGCCATAATCCAATATGACTGGTGTCCTTGTAAGAGGATTAAATTAGGACACAAGTACAAAGGGAAGACCCTGTACCTGTGTCCTAATTTAATCTCCCTGTGAAGATACAGGGAGACAGTGGCCATCTACAAGCCAAGGAGAGAAGCCGCAGAAGAAATAAACTCTGCTGATGCCTTCATCTTGGACTTGTAGCCTCCAGAATTATGAGAAAATAAATTCCTGTTGCTTAAGCCACTCAGCCTGTAGTATTTTGTTATGGCACCCTAGCAAACTAATACATATGAATATACTACAATTTGTGATTAGTGTATCCTTTCTAATGTTGATGGACATTTGAGTTAATTTCAGTTTGGGGCTACTATGAATACAACTGCTCTGAACATTCTTGAAGATGTCTTTTTTGAACATAATACAGCCATTCTTTTGAGCATATACCTAGGGGTGGAACTGCTGGTTCCCAGGCTAAGTAAATGTTTAGGTTTAGTACAAGTTGCCAGTTTTCCAAAGTGACTGTATCAATCTGTACACTGGTGTTAAAGCCTAGTATCTGTTTTTGTAAATACTATAATAAAAGATGCTGATTAAATTGATTAAATTCCCTAATGGCTATTTACATTTTATGGCTGCCAGTCAATGTGACAGCAAAGAGACAGCAGTGACTTAGGACTGGAGAAGCTTCTACACATTGATGTTGTGTGCCGTGTCTTTCACTACAAACTAAAAACTAGACCCAGTGACTCTTCTGTGTATTCACCACATGGTTTGTTTTGGACGTATGTCCATGGGTAGCAAACATTCCCAGAAGCTTAAAAGTAGGGTAATTTTTCTTGTCTGCATATCATTTCCTTTCTTCCAAGAACATTCAAGATGCAAGAAATTATTTTAATCACGTGAATGTTCTACCAAATAAAACAGATTTGGGCTCTTTCCTATAACCAAAAGTAATAATAAGAAGGAGGATTCTGAGGTGGTTCATATGGATTCTCAGGGCACAGAATCCAAATCTATGGGGTTGCATTTACGCTACTGTTGTTATTGGCCTTTAAAAAACAGATTATGTTCTGAGTATTTACAGCATTTCATTTATAGAAGTTACCTCTGAGATCTCCCAAGAGATTACTAATGAAGTAACGAAAGGGGGCCAAATACAAATCAACTTTGGTCACCTCACAGTCTCCTCCTCTGTAACACAAGAGACTCAGAAAGCAAAATGGTCCAGAAGAGATAGTGCTGGGTTTGGAGTCAGAAGATCCAGGTTTAATACTAAGATTTGTGCTTACAATGTGTGCTACTGTATAAAGTTGACCCTTTGTATCTGTGGGTTCACATCTGTGGATCAGCCAACTGTGGATCAAAAATATTCAGAAAACAAATTGTGTCTGAACATGTACAGACTTTTTTTCTTCTCATTATTCTCTAAACAATACAGGATAGCAACTATTTACAGAGCATTTACAATGTATCAGAAATTACAAGTAATCTTAGCCTAGTATCTTTCCTAGAATATATGCCAGAGAGCTGTTAGGTATTCTTGTCTAAACAGGTGATTAAGTAACTTGCGGATTTAAAATTCCTTGCTGTAGCTACGTACACCAGCCAAGTTAACGTGGACTTACCTCCATTTTAGTTCTTCCACTCAAGCCACAAATCTACACACAAACACTCAGATTAATTTGAATTTTGAAATACTAATTTATAGCAGGAAAAATGCCCACAGCCCTGAATGTGAAAAGACATTCATGTTAATTATATAGCATAGCCTGGGCTTCTTATTAAGTGAGTAATCCTCAAAATAGGGATTCTCCAAATAATTCTCTACAATAATGAACAGGAAGTCACAACGGCAATGCTAACCTTCTTGTGAAATATAATCACTACCAGATATGTTGTGCCTGACACAACTCCAAGTATTGTATGTGTTTAACAAGGCTTCACAATAACCCTAAGAGGTACCTAAATTATGCTTCATTTGCAAATACAGAGACACTCAAAAAGGTAACTTCATTTGGTCAAGGCCACCCACAAGATTATGAGCTGTTAGGGACAAAATCAAACCTGGGGCTGTGTGACTCCACAGTTCATACTCTTAATTTCTTCACTCTAGTTTCATGCATATAATTTTTTAAAGGCTTACTATCCTGGAAATTACCCCAAAGGTATTTTAGTGGTCGCATACATTTCTGTCTAGAAGCAGCAATACAAAAACATAATGCATCAAGGACACAATCCCTTTTTCTGGGAAATGAACTTACCTTTAACAGAAATGTTGAAGGGCTTTTCCACCATCCCAGCCACTGTGTTCACACTGCAGACCCAAACTCCTGAGTCAGGGGGGAGGATCCGGTGGATGGTGAATATGGCTACTGAGAAATGATCCGTATGGTTAAAGTCTTTTGGCTGAAAAGGTCAAATACAAAAAAATAAAAACTTCTAGGGAGGCATAAACGCAAAGGTCCATAACATTGACCCCATCTCATTGTTTAATAAGAAGTTTCCTAGGAGAGATCAAGAAGCTAAATGTAATGCTAATATAATTATTGGCTTATTTCCAAAGCTATTGTAGTAGCCCTGAAAGTTTATTTTGGATTGATGCCCTGTCAGATCCTGCTGTTGTATTTGTGTGTTTAGGAGTACGGGGTAAACACTTACAAGCAAGACACCTGAAGCATGATTTCTTTTAAACTCCTCCTCATAAGATTTGTTCCTTTCCTATCTAACACAGAGATGGCTGCGTGGGAGGACAAAGTGACTTCCTAAGTGTTTGAGAGGCTGTCAAGTGGGGAGTACTGGAAAAATCCAGGGTTCTGAAGAGAGATGGACCTCTGCCATTTTTTTTTTTTTGAGAGACAACAAAGTCTTGTTCCTTGGCTCAGGCTGGAGTGCAGTTGAGTGATCATAGTTCACTGCAGCCTCAAACTCCTGGCCTTAAGTGATCCCCCCACCTCACCCAAGTAGCTGGGACTACAGGTATATGCCACCATGTCCAGCTAATTCTTTTTTTATTTTTTAAGAGATGGGGTCTTGCTATGTTGCCCAGGCCGGTCTCAAATTTCTGGCCTAAAGTGATCCTCCCACCTCAGGCTTCCAAAGCACTGGGATTGCAGGCATGAGTCACCGTATCTGGCCTCTTTGCCATTTTTGACCAATTCCTTAGTTACTTAACTTCACCCAGCCAGTTCCCACTTCCGCCAAAAAAAAGAGACACTAGGCAATGTTAAGTAAGAAGTTACATATAGTTATGGCCAACCTTACTAAATAGTAGCCATTACTTTCATTAACTCATGAAAAAGCCAATAAGATTTTGGAAGCCATCAATTGGCTTCTTCTACCTGATGGGTTGTTTGAGTGGAATCAGGGACATTGAAACGTGGACCCTAGTAATGGTACATTCTACATATTCCTCCCTCAGAAGGTCACTCATACCTGCCTCTGGTCAAGCTGATTTTGGTCATCTTTGATAGAAAAATAGGATAATAAGTATTTCTAAATTTTTAGATTAAAAAATACATCAATATCCTAAGGATCACTTTCAACACAAGAGAAATTTGGGGTGGCTCCTGTCTCTGCTGCATTTGGTATAGTTGGGAGAGAGAAGGAAAGCATGTTCGAAAAGTAGCTTGATCCTTTTAAACAAAAAATAACTGCTGTGATATTACCTGACCATGGGTGAGCATCAGCAATGAAGGCAAAGGGAAGAGGTGGGTAGAAACCCAATGAATGCATTCAGACCTAAGGGATCCCGTGGATTGTAGTTTCAGAACTGGGGAACTCTCCTCTTCTATGCTCCCCTAAACTGCTGCTCCAAAGAGCGTAATAGGAGTGGACCGGTCATCAAAACTCCATGTCCTGGTTGCACTTGGTAGCACGTAAATCTGCTGATTCATGGGTTGCAACACCACCTTACTCTCCTGATATGAGTAGTTAGAGATATGGGGACACTGCGAGAGCAAAGCTTTGCACAGATTGACACGTACTTCTCCCCATACCAGCTGGACAGTCCTGCAGGATGTGTGCCATCCTTGGCACCCAGCTCTGTCAGTTCCCCAGGAGGCATATTCCCAACCATGCAGAGCAGTACTGGCCAACAGAAGAAATCAGTGAGGCTGCAGTGAGTCAGTTCTGCCTCTCCAGGAATAGGGCATTTTATCAAAGCCAACAACACACTAGCCTAGGAGGATAAAAGCACTGAATGGTATCTATCATTTAGTGGGGTGATTACTACACTGAAGCATCTCATGCTTTAAGAAGGGCAAATTAAGAATGGCTCTTACATGGAGCACTGTCCCATCCGGCTTCACCAGGGTCATTTCTTCATTAGTAGGTAGCGGCCAGCCAGAAGCTTTGCAAATGGGATTAAATTTACCACTGTTTACTTCTATATGATCTGGCAAATCCACTATCTTTGGGGTCATCCTCTGTATGCCTGAAGGAAGAAAACAGCACTGTGAAATCTAATATTTAACAGAGCCAGCAGCAGTAGTAATAATAAAAATAGCTACTTTAGTAAGTCATGCACCGGGCAAGAACTTTGCAAATATTTTACTGTTTTGTCATCACATAAGACACCTGTGATGTGGATGATATTGTGGTCTCCCATTTTATGGATGAGGAGACAGAGGCTCACAGCCCAGATTCAGACTCAGATCTTTATAAATCCAGAGTCCACGCTCTTTGCCATGAGGCTGTGCTCCTTTCATGGACCAGGGAGGAACAGTCTCAATATTAAAATGATTATCATGGCCATATCTCCCCTAGACTTTGCTGTTCAATCCCCCTCTTTCTTTTTACATGAATGATTACAAAAATACAACAAACAAAAAACTAGTTCTTCCTCCACTCATCAAATAACCCCATGGTATTGCTGTTCAACAGCATTGACCTCAGTTTAGATATACGAGAGATGTCTCATTCATTGGGAAGTCTGCAAATAGCAGATAACTAAGAGGAAAAGGTGAATAAAGTTGCTCACAAAAGAAGTACATCAAAGAAGTGAAATATAACTTCCCCAAATCAGTATCCACTCAACAGCCAAATCAAAAATGTTGCTGCCAATATTGAAAGAAGGAAAAATGTCTGTAGTGTCAATAAAGGTAATGGTGTCAGGATTTCTTGCCTAACATCTACACAGTAGAGAATGAATAACCCTGAAATATACCAATTTTATTCTGAACCATAGGGACTCAGGGAACTGTGGACTATTTGTAATTGAATGTGAGACATGTTTGAAAATTGTCCAACACTCAGTAAACAATGTAGGCGATAGAGGTGCCCTCAGAGCAGCAGTAACTACAGACTGTTTCTTATCGGTGGTGGGAAGAGGCGGGGTCAATAATGATATTTTATACTGATATCCTACTTCTCAGGCCTAGAATGAAATGGGTAAAGGTGTGGAGGAGAAGGGAAAGAGGTCTAATACTTACAAGGTTATTCCTTGATATATCTGTAAACTTGGAAAGATTATGGAAAACGTGCCAAGTTTTTCAGCCTAAGTAGCTATTTGAATAGGAATTGAAAAACATGTTTTGACACTTTTAAAGCATTTCTTTCCTTCATCGTCCCCTTGTATTTTCTGAAGCTGGGTGGGGGTGAAGGTGGATGTGCTGGGCTAAAGTGGAATCTGGGAAGGGAGCTACTCTCTGAAAGCCCTAGTGACACCCTGGTTAACCTGTCTTAGATTCTCCCATCAGAATGCACTCCTTTTGCAGCATCAGCAGAAGGGAACAGACGGGAAGGAACAAAGCACAAAATTCAAATCCTTAAACTTGTTAGCTGCCCACGTTCAATACAATCCCCTAGTAGCCCCATGGCATTTCCTTCCCTTTCTAACCACTCCCTGATTCCTGCCCTGTAGTAAAGTCCAGGCTTGGCAAAAGAAGAAAAAATATAAAGTTTAAGGACTTTGAGAAAACACTTACTGGCATCCCACCCCCACTCCCAATATTTGTTCTGATTTCCAAAAGTAACAGAAAAAAAGGCCATAGCTGTATTATTGTGAGTGTAGATTTCACTGGATATGTATTTATTTCAATGGCATTTATATTTATATGATTGAAAAAGCAATACATATTTATTAAGTTTGAAAATACATATGTCTGCTTCTTTTAATTTTAAAAAGTATATTCTACGACAGTGGATAGCAAACATTTTCTGTAAAGAGAGCAAATACAGTCAGCTTTGCAAGCCATGTTTTCTGCCCTTGTAGTACAAAAGCAGCCACAGACGACATACTATAAATGAATGGAGGTGGCTGTGATCCAAAATTTTTTTCTTTATAATAACAGATGGTGAGAAATAAAAAAGGAATGAAGTACTGATACATGCCACAACATAGATAAACCTCAAAAAAGGTGTGGCAAATGAAGCTAGTCACAAATGACGACGTATTATACAATCTTGTTTACAGCATATAAAATGTCAAGAACAGGCAATCTACAGAGACAGAAGATATGGTTGACCCTTGAACAATACAGGCTTCAACTGCATGGGTCCACTGACATGTGGATTTTTTTCAATAAATATATTGGAAAATTTTTTGGAGATTTAGGATAATTTGAAAAAACTCACAGACAAACTGTGTAGCCTAGAAATACCAAAAAAATTAAGAAAAAGGTATGTCATGAAGGCATAAAATATATACAGATACTAGTCTCTGTGTTAATTGACTATGTTATTGGTAAGGCTTCTCGTCAACAGAAGGCTATTAGTAGTTAAGTCTTTGGAGAGTCAAAAATTATATGTAGATTTTCTACTGCGAGAAGGGTCAGTACCCCTAGCCCCCATGTTGTTTAAGGTCAACTGCAAATAAATGGTTGTCAGAAATTAGGATGATTGGAAAATGGAAGTTTCTATTAATGGGTACAAGGTTTGTTTTGGTATGATGAATATGTTGTAAAATTAGATTATGGCAATGATGGCATAGCTCTGTAAATATACTAAAAACCACTGAATTTACATTTTAAAAAGTTGAACATTATAATATAAAAAATGTATCTCTATAAAGCTGTTTAAAAAAAGATAGTGGGCTGGATTTAGTCTGTGGGTTAAAGTTTGCTGACTCCTGCTGAAGAGTAACTTCTGAACTAGAATGACATAAAATTTCATTTTGAGCATAATCTTTTCTATTTGTTTTATTCTTTCTATTGCTTTAAAAATATCCCCTGTCTAAATCCATCCCAAATTGCTCTTTCTCTGTTACGCATGTCCAGGGAAAAGGTTGGTCCTAGAGAAGGGAGCAGAAAAGGTAGGAGAGCTCTCAGCTGGCCAGTCATCACTTAAGCTGCTACAAAGAGCACGTGGTTTATGCCTAGTGCAAAGACAAATAAAGCCTACTATTAGGGTCAGTAGAGCAGAATTAAAATGCTGTGCTTTAGGATTTAGGATAAACTATTCCCAACTTCTGGATGGAAACAAAAGAGGCTTGAGGATCTTAGAATGCCGGCACAAGAATTACACTACCAAAGCTCAGTTCAGACATGCTGAACATGGCCCTGACTACAGTGTTACCTTGCTTTACCTTCTCTCTCACACTGGAGCCCCTGCCATCCTGGAGAGCAGAGACATCCTTGGAAGCGATCACACATCTCCCCATTGTTGCAGCTGCACCTAAGCTTACAATCTGGCCCGTAAAAACCAGGGTGGCATGCTGTAAACAGAGACATCAAAAAACCAGTATTAATCCAGGGGAAGAGAGGAAACTAAGACTGCAGGTGTTTAGTTTTATTTTTCTCTCTAAGCCATCAACTTTGCTGATTTGTGTAAGGTAGGGGGTAATTTATCTGAATTACCAGGAACTTAAAAAGCTGGGGAGTTATGCTTCCAAAAAAAGTTGAATGAGCTCCTATCATGCCAACTTTCTTGTAGGTACAACTACATTTAGAAAATAACTTCCTGAAAGCACTTAAGAGTGGGATAGGAAGAAAAAAGACCTGGAAGATTCTGGAGGGGAATTGAAATTTGGAAGATGGGAATGATGTGTTTCCCAATTTTCAGCTTTTAGCCTAACTGTTAGGTACAGTTGACACCACGTATGGAAGCTACAACTCCAAAGAAAACCTGCAGTCTACTGGCCTGATGCATCAGAGACAGAGTCAGGAAAACCACAGCCACTGGAGAGAGAGGGAAAACCCAGAAAGAGTCAGAGAAAAGTCCCAGATCTTTGGCTGATCCTTGATCCATGCATGCTCAGTATAGACTCAAAGCAGCCCAGCTAAAGATAAAAGAACTAAACTGAGTTTGACCTGATTCCTAACAGTGAGAGTTTGAGGTTTGAATCCTACCAAGTTAATTGCCTGCTAAAACAAAACAAAATCAACATTCCCAAAAGGAATGTATCATATTCCAGAGTCTCCATAATGTAACATTTTCAATGTTCAAGATACAATCCAAAGAAGAAATGGAGAATTAAGGCCCGTTTTTTAAAGGAAAAGAAAATAAATAGAGACCAACTGTGATGACTCAGATGTTGGAATAGACAAGAATTTTAAAACAACTATAATAACTATGCTCAGTAAGGTAAAAGAAGATATGTTCATAACAAATGCAACAATGAGAAACTTCAGCAGGGAAATAGAAACTATTTTTAAAAAGCAAAAGGAATTCTAAAACTGAAAAACACAATATTTGAAATCAAATAATCACTGTATGGACTTAGCAACAGAATGGAGATAACAAAAGAAAGAGTCAATAAACTTGAAGCAACATCAATAGATAGCCCATCTAAAGAAGAAAAGTAGGAAAAAGGTTGGAAAAAAATGATTTTTAATCCTTAGGGACCCAAGAGACAAAACATCTAACACACATGTAACTGGAGGTCCAAGAAGGACCAGAGAGAAAGGGTTAGACAAAATATTTGAAGAAATAATGGTTTAAATTATCCCAATTTGTTGAAATTTACACATTCAAAAATTTGTTAAGCCCTTAGCAGAATAAATATAAAGTAAACTATGCATAGGCACATCATGGTTAAACTGCTAAAAACTAAAAATCAAGATAATTTAAAATGTTAGCTTTTTAAGACTGTTTCTTTATAGTAGAATATTTAAGCCATTCAAATTATGTTTTGATACTTGTAATAAGCTCCTGGGAAGACAGGGTAGAAGCATTATTTTCCCTTGGAGCTCACTAAACCTGCCAGGACAATTCTTAGAATTTGGTACATGGCAAATGGATTCTGTTAACTGGGTGTCCTTATTTTGGTCAACTGTAACATTACTAGAAGGCTTCTAACCAAAAATTAATGCAAAAGCTTGTCTTTTGGGGCTATGATGATTTGTTTTGATTTTGTATTTTATTCACCCAGCTAAAATGCAGTCTTTATTTTTAGTATCAATCACAACTAAGTTATCTACAAATTCAATACAATCACTATCAAAATTGCAATGGTATTTTTCACAGAAATAGAAAAAACGATACTAAAATTTATATTGAACCACAGAAGGCCTAGAATAGCCAAAGCAATATTGAGCAAGAAGAACAAAGCTAGAGACATCACATTACCTGATTTCAAAATATATTACAAAGCTATAGTAATAAAAACAGTATGGTACTGGCATAAAAACACACATATAGACCAACGGAACAGAATTGACAGCCCAGAAATAAATTTACACATTTACAGTTAACAGATTCAACAAAAGTATGAAGAACACACAACAGGGAAAGGATAATCTCTTCAATAAATAGTCCTGGGAAAACTGGATAACCACAAGCAGAAGAATAAAATTAGAACCTCATCTCATTATATTCAAAACTCAAAACAAAATTGACTAAAGACACAACATAAGACCTGAAATTGTAAAACTACTAGAAGAAAACAGACGGGAAAAGCTTCTTGATACTGATCCGGGCAATGATTTTTTTGGATATGACCTCAAAAGCACAGACAACAAAAGCACAAATAGACAAATGTGATTGCATCAAACTAACAAGCTTCTGCACAGCAAAGAAAACAATCAACAGAGTGAAGAAACAATGTATGGAACAAGAGAATGTATTTCCAAAGTATACACCTGATAAGAGGTTAATATCCAGAATATATAAGGAACGCAAACCACTTAATAGCAAGAAAACAACCTGATAAAAAAATGGACAAAGGACCTGAATAGACATCTTTTTTTTTCTTTTTCATTTTTTGAGATGGAGTTTCACTCTTGTTGCCCAGGCTGGAATGCAATGGCATGACCTCAGCTCACCACAACCTCCACCTCCCTGGTTCAAGCGATTCTCCTGCCTCAGCCCCCCAAGTAGCTGGGATTAAAGGCATGCACCACCGTGCCTGACTAATTCTGTATTTTTAGTAGAGACGGGGTTTCTCGTTGTTGGTCAGGCTGGTCTCGAACTCCCAACCTCAGGTGATCCGCCCGCCTTGGCCTCCCAAAGTGCTGGGATTACAGGCATGAGCCATCGTGCCCAGCCGACATCTCTTAAAAGACGACATACAAATGGCCAACAGGTCTATGAAAAATACTCAACCTCACTGATCATCAGGGAAATGAAAATCAAAACCACAATGAGATATCACATCACGCCTGCTAGAATGGCAAGGATGTAGATAATAGGGAACCCTTGTATGCTGTTGGTGGGAATGTAAATTGGTACAGTCATTATGGAAAACAATAAGGAAGTTCTTCAAAACACTCAAAATAGAACTGCCATATGATCCAGCAATCCCATTTCTGGTATATATCCAAGAGAAATGAAATCACTATCTCAAAGAGACATCTGTTTTCTCATGTCCATTGCAGCATTGCTTACAGTAGCCAAAATATGGACTTGACCATTCGTCCATCCATGGATGAATGGATAAAGAAAATGTGGTGTGTACACATATATAATGGCATATTATTCAGCCTTTGAAAAGAAGGAAATCCTGTCATTTGCAACAACACGGATGAACCTGGAGGGCACCATGCTAAGTGAAATAAGCCAGGCATATAAAGACCAATACTGTAAGATCTCTTCTATAAGTGGAATCTGAAAAAGTCAAACTTATAGAAGCAGAGTAGCATAGTGGTTCCCAGGGACTACAGGGTGGAGGAAATGGGGAGATGTTGGTCAAAGGGCAAAAACTTTTAATTACACAGTAGGATAAGTAAGTTCTGGAGTTCTAATAGACAGTGTGGTAGCTAAACTTAATATTACTGTATTGTACACTTGAAATGTGCTGAGCAATTTTAAATGCTCTCACCACACCCACACACACAGATAACTGTGTGAGGTGATGGATATGTTAATTAGCTTAACAGCAGTAATCATTTCACAATGTATAGATATATCAAAATATCACATTTTGCACCTTAACTACATACAATTTTTATTTAGCAATTAGACCTTGATAAAGCTGGAAAAAAACTTAATCACAACTTCTTACTCAAAGCAGATGGTAGAAAGGTTAAGAACTATTAATAAGCATAAAGGAAATCTGACTACTGAAATCAAGTTTCTGTTGGGATGGCAGAAGACCTTAAAATATCATGAAGCCTTGATTTTTTTAGTTTCTAGAATACACTAGAACTTTCTTCCTGGCAAAGTGTTCTGAATGACTTTGAATTATCACATATTTGCACAGTGGAATTCCCCTGTTCTCTTTATTGTCCCCACTATTTGCTTCAAAAATTTCTATTATTGCTTATTTCCTCAGATAGAAACCAGCCCTGATACATAAAACTTGCCAGTGTACAATCTATTGTTGACTATTCTAAATCCTGGACTATTAAAGGAGACCATGTCCTTAAGTAGTTACTGTTAGAAATGTCTCCTTGCTTTCCTACTGCTTTTTGGATGGAATGAACAGGATAGTAATTGTTGAAAGGAGTCTGGAAGAATATTAGAACAGTTCTATTCATAAAATCTTGGTGATTTCTTGAGCCAGGAATGGGCTGAGATGAGTTCATGAAATGTACTCTTATAAACCTGGGCAAGAAACTACCATCAGAGTGAACAGGCAACCTACAAAATGGGAGAAAATTTTCACAACCTACTCATCTGACAAAGGGCTAATATCCAGAATCTACAATGAACACAAACAAATTTACAAGAAAAAAACAAACAACCCCATCAAAAAGTGGGCAAAGGATATGAAGAGACACTTCTCTAAAGAAGACATTTATGCAGCCAAAAGACACATGAAAAAATGCTCATCATCACTGGCCATCAGAGAAATACAAATCAAAACCACAATGAGATACCATCTCACACCAGTTAGAATGGCGATCATTAAAAAGTCAGGAAACAACAGGTGCTGGAGAGGATGTGGAGAAATAGGAACACTTTTACACTGTTGGTGGGACTGAAAACTAGTTCAACCATTGTGGAAGTCAGTGTGGCGATTCCTCAGAGATCTAGAACTAGAAATACCATTTTACCCAGCCACCCCATTACTGGGTATATACCCAAAGGATTATAAATCATGATGCTATAAAGACACATGCACACGTATGTTTATTGTGGCACTATTCACAATAGCAAAGACTTGGAACCAACCCAAATGTCCAACAATGATAGACTGGATTAAGAAAATGTGGCACATATACACCATGGAATACTATGCAGCCATAAAAAATGATGAGTTCATGTCCTTTGTAGGGACATGGATGAAATTGGAAATCATCATTCTCAGTAAACTATCACAAGGACAAAAAACCAAACACCGTATGTTCTCACTCATAGATGGGAATTGAACAGTGAGAACACATGAACACAGGAAGGGGAACATCACACTCTGGGGACTGTTGTGGGGTGGGGGGAGGGGGGAGGGATAGCATTAGGAGATATACCTAATGCTAAATGACGAGTTGATGGGTGCAGCACACCAGCATGGCACATGTATACATATGTAACTAACCTGCACATTGTGCACATGTACCCTAAAACTTACAGTATAATAATAATAATAATAATAAAAAGAATTAAAAAAAAAACAAAAAAACCTGGGCCCAGAGACACATTCACTACAAAGCTGATGAAGTTTATGTTCTAGAGACTGCTGGCATGCACCGCTTCCTGGGTCCTAGCAAAGTGTTCATAGTTTGCGTAACATTTTAATTTTTTTTAAAATACAAGGGATCTGCCCCCTGCCTGGAGTCACCTTTTACCTTAACATACACACTTCAGAGGCCAGATGGGATTTCTCCACTGCTGTGGCTCACTGCATGTTCCGGGGGGCAGACATAGCATTTAGAGGGAACTGAATGAGGTATTGCAGGTGGCTGAAGCTTACTTTTGTGTAACTCTCCTCTTTGTCCTCCTCCTCCAAGCCCCTGGAGCTATGCTGTCCAGTACAGTTAGCCACGTGTGGCTATGGAACTCTTAAAATATAGCTAGTCCAAACTGAAATTTCAAAGACTTACTATGAAAAAGGGAATGTAAAATATCTCATTAATACTTTTTTCTATTGATTACATGTTGAACTGATAATGTTTTTAACATATTGGGTTAATAGATCAAAATTATTTCACCTATTTCTCCTCACTTTTTTAATGTGGACACTAGAAAATTTTAAATTCTATATGTGGATGGCTTATATTTCTACTGAACTGCTCTGCCCTGGAGCATTGTTATCAAGTTGCTGGGACCCCATCGTAGCTACCTTTAGTGCCGGATATGGGAAAAGCTGACTTTGTGAGATAAACACTGAAAAGCCTTTGAGCTCTGGCTAATTCACAGTATTAATATACATTAGGGAGGTTCTGTCACATTTGTCTGCAGGTTCATGTTGAGCTACTATGCAACAGTAGATGTGAAATGCATACTGAAAAGTGGATGTCAGATGCACTCCACAGAGCCTGGTCAAATGGGAAAGCTTATTTTACAAAGGGCAGAGGGACTCTGAGTAGATGATGTTAGTACTACTTGCATAAGGTCCACGGCAGGTAAGATTTTAACTTCTTCAATTTTTGAGCCCCAAATCCTGTCTGGATCTGACATAAAAGCTCTGATTTTGATTTTTTTTTTTTTAAACGAGGTCTCACTCTGTTGCCCAGGCTGGAGTGTAGTGGTGCAATCATAGCTCACTGCAGCTTCAAACTCCTGGGCTCAAGGGATCCTCCTGCCTCAGCCTCCTGAATAACTGGGACAACAGGCATGTGCTACCATGCCTGGCTAAAGCTGTGATTTTATGATTCACTGAAAAAAAAAAAAAAAAAAAACCAAAAAAAAAAAACAAGTCTTCTATGGTCTTCCTACTCAAAGCATGGTCTGAAAACCAGTAACATCGGAACTACTTGGGAGCCTGTTAGAAATGCAGAACCTCGGGCCCCAGTCCATGCCTACCAAATCAGAATCCGTGCTTTAGTAAAGATCCCCAGATGATAGTTATGAGAAGTACTTTCTATGCGGTCTAGATTTTTACTGTGAAAGTATAATTAACATTGGATGTAAACATCCATGATTCAAAATCCTGTTGTCCAGTAGTGGGTAGCTAAGCAGTCCAGGTATATCCGATGTTGTGATTGACAGCAAACTGGATCTCCTTTATATACCTGCTAGAACATCCTCTGTCCAAGGGTGTGATTGGTGCATACCTTCATTGCACTGCAGACCCTTCCAGCCTGTGGCACAGGAACACCCATAGGGGTCAGGGAGACAGAACACATAAGACTTGCATCCCTCTTGTCCACTGCACCTTTCTTTACAAGTTCTGCCAAACGTGTGCAGTTCACAAGCTTTGGGAGGAAAAGAAAAGATGATTCAGAGTCAAATATGCAACCCCTTGAAATACATAATTCTTTAGATTCATTTCTCCTAGTCTAGTGAATATGGGAAACAGTCAAATCTCAGCTGTGGCATGGTAGGATGAACATACCCTTATGGCCCATTTTACTGATAATGAAACTGCCCCACAGAGCAGACATCAGGGACATCACTCACAATCATGCAGGTTTGTGCAGTGCACAAACCTAGGGGGCAGCATTCACACTGTAAACATCACGGATCTGTATATTTATTATAACTTTCCAGTGGTTGGCATTAAAGAACCTTTAGGAAAAGGCACCTTTTTCTAATTCACACACAGGTACCATCTGACCTAACAGAGGCCATTTAGCGTCCATTCCCATCTGTGTCGAGATCTAAAATTCTAGATCCAGCAACGATGGCTTTTTAAATCCACAGCTTACTTATCAAGTCTCTTTACTTACCCTTCTCACACGTCCTTCCCATAAACCCAGGAGGGCAAATGCATTCTCCAGTATCTTCATGGCAGACACCATTGTTCATACAAGCAGTACAGAGATGGTTGCATTCAGGTCCCCACTTCTGGGCTTCACATCCTTTTGTTAAGGAAAACAAGGCTGTGGTGAGTAGAGCGCATTCGCTCAACACATCTTTATTGAGCACCTACTGTGTGTCAGTCATTCAGTGGACAATGGTGAATAAAGATAAAATACAGGCTCTGCTCTCTAAAAGCTCATCATCTAATATGGGAGACAGACATGTAAACAGGAAATCGCGACAGAAACAAAGACAAGGAGTACCTAACTCTGTCTGGTGGATAGAAGAGGGCATAAAGGAAGGCTTCCCAGAGGATATGGTATGCAAGCTGAATCTGCAGGACCAACTAAGTAGCAAAGAAGATAAGGCTGGAGAGTGTCTTCCAGGCAAAGACAAGGCATGGGAAGACAGCATGGCATGTCCAGGGAGCTGCAGGTATGGTTACAGGCTGGAGCTGTGGTTTTCAAAGTGTGGTCTCTGACCAGTAGCATCCCCATCATCTGGGAATCTGTTAGAAATGCAAACCCCAGATCCCACCCAACCACGACCTACTGAATGAGAAATTCTAGAAGTGGCGTAGTAATCTGTGCACATTGGTGTCAGAAGTGTTGTGTTCAGTGAGAGCAGAGATTAGGAAAAACACTTTGGTTTTCCTATCTCAAACAACTATATATCAACATGTATAGGTATGTCTGACCTTCCTAGAAGATGTACCCCATTTACCCTCTGAGTACACCTAGTACATGGTGTTATATCAGACTCCAGAGAAACTAGCTAAATGAAATAAAGGCAAATTGCTTCCTTGACATTCAGACTCTCCTGAGTAGTGGAATAAAAGGGGATGTCACTTGCTTCTCCCAAGTCCACAGAAACTTCATGTAAAGGTAGCTGTGAGGCAAGCTACTAGAAGCTGAATATTGCAGTTTTGCTATCATCATAAATTATATTTTTTAAGATTCATATTACAAAAAGGCTGCTCTGACATTTAATAGAAGTCAAGCACAGTAGTCATCCAGAAGGAAATAGGTCTTGGGTACGTGGAAAGATTCCCCTCGACTCAAGCCCAAATAGTCCTGCCTATAAAACACCTTGCTATATTTTATGTCCATAGAGGTGGCTAAGCATGGAGCATAAACTAGAGGAACCACACTTCTCATACTTCTATTGTCATTTTTCAATATTTATTTAGCTAATTATACACGTGCCTACTCTGATTGGGAATGACCCAAAGGACACGGATTTATCTTATGATCCTGTATTCTCAACACCAACACAATTCTTGGCACAGAGTTATGACCAACACATTTTGGTAAATGAATGGGGGAACATAACGCAAAGCAAATGAATTGGAGATGGCAATCGTTAGAGGAATGACAGAGAAGCCCAGGCATTTAGACCTGAAGACTTCAATATTTAATATTATGAAAACCTGATCTAGCTGGGGAAAATTCAGGGCAAATCATTTTCTTTCTATTTGTGAAGTTCCTGTAAAAATTACAGGAAAATGTAATGGTGATATTTATGCCCCCACTTCAATAGTTATAATGGAGAAAAAAAGTTTTTACTAGTTCTAACTCTTACATTTTTCAAAACTGAAAATAAAAATCACACATAAGAGTTAAATGACCTGGGAAGTGTGGGATTTACAGGAGGCAATGTTTAAGCAGATGTTAGTCTAACCCAAGAGGTCCAACTCATCCCCCTAGAGCAGACACGTTTCAGTGAGACTGCTTTACTCGTTGTGATCCCCCTTTTTATATGGATGATTATGCTGTACAAATGTGAGCTTCTAGTGCCTGTAACGTGTAGTACGTGACTCCACCCTTGTCTATAGCTCACTGGTCTAGGCTGATAGACATCTAATATATGTTAGGCCAATCTGATTATTTATCCTGGAAATTCAAAATTTGGAAGTGAAAGAAACATTGCTGAAGCTGAGACATGGTAAAAGCAGCATCTTAGAGAGAAAGCCCACTCCCTTACCTCCCCACACCCACCACAACTGAGCCTCAGCTCTTCCTTGAAGCTTATCTTTTCTGGAACTTGCTTTATAGTTTTTGTTTTTGTTTTTGAGACAAGGTCTTGCTCTTTCAACCAGCCTGGCCCACTGCAGCCTCGACCTCCCGAGCTTGAACTATCCTCCCACCTCAACCTGTCAAATAGCTAGAACTACAGGCATGCATCACCATGCCTGGCTAATTTTTGTATTTTTTGTAGAGACGGGGTTTTGCCATGTTGCCCAGGCTGGTCTCAAACTCTTGAGCTCAAAGGGCCTCTCAAAGTGCTGAGATTACAGGCATGAGCCACCGTACCCAGCCACTTTTCAGCTTTCCCATCAGTTTATTAAGAGTCCTTAGTGTCCCCGTCTGGTATGGTTTGGCTGTGTCCCTACCCAAATCTCATCTTGAATTGTAGTTCCCATAATCCCCACGTGTTGTGGGAGGAACCCAGTAGGAGGTAAGAGGTCATTTAATCATGGAGGCAGTTGCCCTCATGCTGTTCACATGATAGTGAGTGAGTTCTCATGAGATTTGATGGTTTAATATGGTGCTTCCCCCTCTCCTTCACTCTCATTCTTCTCTCTCCTGCCGCCATGTGAAGAAGGATGTGTTTGCTTCCTCTTTTGCCATGATTGTAAATTTCCTGATGTCTCCCCAGCCATATTGAACTGTGAGTCAATTAAACCTCTTCCCTTAATAAATTACCCAGTCTCAGGTATGTCTCAATAAAGAGCATGTGAAATTAGAAATGATTTGCCCTGAGAAAAGAAAATGATTTGCCCTGAGTTTTCCCCAGCTGTATCAAGTATTTGTAATATTAAATATTTAAGTCTTCAGGTCTAAATACCTGGGTTTCTCTGTCATTCCTCTAATGATTGCTATCTCTTATTCATTTGCTTTGCAGCATAAGAACAGACTAATACAACCTCCAACCAATGCCTGGTTTTTGCTTAAGAAGCCATGGTTAGTTTCTGTTATTTGCAACTAAAAATCCTAACAACCTAACAACTACACCATCACAAATGGTGGCCTCTCCATCACTTACTCCGGACTATCAGCCTGGTGAAGGCCGAGGTGAAGAGGTTTCCTCCTATATACCTGGCCGAGTACACTCCAGCATCCTGGGGCTGAGCATGAGGCAGGTGTACTTCTAGAATATCAGGTACTTCATGCCGGGGCACTGAATGGATGAAGGAACCTAGTAAGAGGGAAGAGTGAAGAACCGTAGGTCACACTGAAACATACCTGCTTCCTTGTCTGGTTTCTCCACTTAATTAGCTTTCCCTGACATGGTCAAGAAAATGTGCTCTCACATATTGGATGTGGGAGAAGAATGAAAATGCTGAACTATTCAGTACTCTCTCAATAGTCAAGAAAGTCATAGTGATAGAACAGATAGGTTAGTCTGTGGGATCTACCACCAAACACATGAAGATGGGGGTGGTCTAAGTTCTTACATTCTACAGGGAGAGGCGAACATAGTTGGCAGGCAAAGTTAGGTGAAAAATGATAGGTAACCCTGTCAACTAACCAATTAACCAGGAGATATCTATAATCGCTACTCCAATCTGGAAGTCCTATCCACTCACAGACTTCAGAATGATCCCCATCAATATTCCAGCTGGATCAGGCAACTGACACTGGGTGGTACGAAACCATAGCTAGGACCTAGACACATTTGGATTACACAGTTGGACTGCCAGAACTGCTAACAATTGGCTTCCCATGTTTACTGTGGTAATTTCCTAAACCTTGCAATCAACAATGTCACAATCAAAGAAACTCACACTTTATATGGCTGAAGTTGGGATCTCACATTATGATGGGGTTTTATTGTATGTACATACACCATGTACATTCATATATATGAATTCCACTTTAATATCCTTAAGTAACCAAATATGTCACCTAAGAGGGCTTCTATCATACACAGAATTTGAAAGCTTGCATCATAGCAGCTTTAATTCAAACATCTGCCCACAAGACCACAATAGGAAAATGATTCAATATGTTGTATGTTATCTGATATCTCACATCATACTGGGGAAAGCAATGAAACACATACTCACCATTTTTGTAAATCACTGCATCTTCTTCTTTAATCAATACCTTTTTGAAAGATATGTTCACGTTATCTCCCTTGTCCACAGTCATAGTTAAAGTAGCTGGTAGGAAGGAAGCTTTTAAAAGAGAGAAAACAAATACCAAAAATGGGATCACACATTTTCTCCAGGAGCAATTGAGCTTTGAGACTCAGAAAATGAGGGCTGGCACTTGCTAGGTGTCAGATGGTTTTTGGAAGGTGAAAAACAGTGGTGGCTAATGCGTTTTAACCTTTCTTAACATTATGTACCTTTCTAAGAATCTGATGAAAGGGATGGTCACTTCCTTTATAAGAGTGTAAATATATACAAACAATATGCCTATACACAATTTTTCTATTCAGTGGTTGGGGAGATGAGGACTTTGTGTTGATTAGTTCAGAATGAATATCCCTTATCTCAGATACTTAGGACCAGAAGTGTTTCAGATTTTATTTTTCCATTTTGAAATATTTGCATTATGCCAGCTAAGGATCCCAAATCAGAAAATCTGAAATCCAAAATGCTCCAATGAACATTTCCTTTGAGCATCAAATTGGCTCTCAAATATTTTTGGATCTTGGAGCATCTCAGATTTCAGATTTTTGGATTTGGAACACTCAAACTGTACCTATTATCAAACTAAGTCCTGATACTAACAATAAACTATATTAACTATGAATCTGCCATCCTTCTCCAATCCCAAGTATTCTTAAAGTGGGAAAAAAAAAACATGAATGAAATCTGAGTTTCCCCAAAGTGAAAGAGAAAAAAAATTTACCAAATGGCTTTTCCCCTGGTCCTTTTGTGTTGCTGTTGTTCCAAATAATTCTAATTGCTTTAGAATGCCCCATGCGTTGCTCAAATAAAATGAGCAAAATGCTGGACTTACTACTTATGGTGTAAATATTGGAAGATTGAAGAATAAAGACAAGGATGGAATCTAATATCTTGCCTTCTACCTTTTAATTATATATGTATGAACTGACACAGTTATGGAACTGGACAGTACTGACATGTAACTGGGAAAATTATTTTATATTTGACTTACAAAATCATAAGCCAAGGCCAGGCACAGTGGCTCATGCCTGTAATCCCAGCCCTTTGGGATGCCACCGTAGACAGATCACTTGAGGTCAGGAGTTCGAGACGAGCCTGGCCAACATGGCAAAACCCCATCTCTACTAAAAATACAAAAATTAGCCGGGCACGGTGGGACATGCCTTTAATTCCAGCTACTCGGGAGGCTGAGGTAGGAGAATTGCTTGAATCCGGGAGGCGGAGATTGCAGTGAGCCAAGATCATGCCACTGCACTCCAGCATGGGCAACAGAGCAAGACTCAGTCTCAAAAATAAAATAAAATAAAATAAGCCAATTGATTGAAAATTTCTGTTACTGTGTCAAGCTTGCCATGCAACATTGACTGATTCCCTTGGCTTATTGGACAAGATATGGGAATAAAATCTTCTAACTTTCTTCCAGCAACAAGAGTTTCTGAATTCCCTTAACTTATATCATAATCTGCAGAAAGCCAAACTCTGTGACATAAGGAGGCATTAGCTTTAGGCTTTAAGTTAAGCCAATGTTAACAATATAAGGATCACCACTAAAGGAAGAGAAACAGTCTATCTAACTTTCCTCAACAAGAGGGCAAGAGAGAAGATAAGGAAACAAAAGACATAAAATGAGAAAAAAAGGACCAGAGAAAATCATGGTGTGGAAAAGATAGGATAAGGTGGCAGACATTATGCCAAATGTATGTTAAAAGACAGGAGCTCACATCAAATTCAGATCAGAAAATCTTAGATTCTAGAATCTCAATTCTAAAACACACACACACATAAAACTGTGTGCTCTTTCATGAAGTATACATTCGACATAATGGCACATAAGATTGTGAATAAAGGGATATAAAAATATATAGCAAACTAATACTAAATAAAGCTAGTATTGCAACATTTATACAGAAAAAATTATTATAAAGCTAAAAATTAGGGATATAGATGGTCATTATGTAATGATAAAACAGAACCATCTACTAACTGATAAAACCTTGTTAGATTTTATTCACGTGTCATGTTCAGGAAGATATTGTAATCCTGAAATTATATATGCATCTAACAACAGAATTTCAAAGCTCATGAAACAAAAAGTGTCAGAATTAAAGAAACTGACAAATCCGTGAACACGGTGGAAACTTTCAGAAATTAATCAAAAAGACTGAAAATTACTAAGGAAATATTTAGAAGATTTTAATAACACTATTAGAGATCTGTTGAATATTCATTAACCCCTTGCTCAGTTATTGAAATACACATTATTTACCAGAACATTGCCTGTTTATCCACAAAGCACATCTCTGTTAATAACAAAATTCTCTGACCAGAATGCACCTAAATTAGAAATTAATAGCAAAACATCCTGTCCCCCAAAGTAAGAATTCCTATAAAGATTCAGACCAGGACCAAGCCTTGGGATCATAGGGATCCTGCTGAGGACCTTGTGATGAACCAGCTGGTCGCTGTGCCCTCATTCTCATCTCATCCGTGGCTTTCAGATGGTGGTTTGAGAAAGACTAATCAAGCGCTGTGCGCGCCACTGGCTGAGACAACTACCCTGTGAGGGCAAAAGATGCCTCCGAACCATGCTCAGAAGGACCTGGGCTTTAGGTTTGCCTGCTTGCTTTCATCGGCTGTGGGCTGTGCCTGCGGATCCTAGCATGGGTGCCTTGCACAGACTCCCCTGGTGGTCAGGTATGTGAATGCCTTTGGTGCAGATGATGACCTGGGGGCAAACCCAGAGAGAGCACGGGGTAGATCATTCCAGCAGTGCGAGCGCTGGAATCAGACACATTCCTGGGCTTGGATCCACCCTCTGCCACCCTTTTTGAAAGCTGCTTCACCTCTGCAAATCTCAGTTTTCTCATGTGTAATTGAAAAGTAATGATACCTACCTTCAAAGGTTGTTAGTAATATTAAGTGATGTAGGCTAAGCCCTGAGGTGCCTAGAAGAGGTCGGTATCCTTCTAATATAAACAGCAACACTGCTGTGCTGACATTTGTGATATGAGCATGAGGGACACTTTTCTCCAGAGCACTAAAATGAGCCAGCCATAAAGGAAGAGCAGACAGGGGACTGGATGGTGAGGGGGGCTGTCTTTGTGGGGCTTCTGCTCACGTTGCCAAGTGCTTCATTTAGACCTCCAAATGCATGCAGCTCTTGCTCTCTGTGGCATGCTCCTGGACTCCTACGAGAATTTTTTTCTGACCATTTCATGCTGTTGTTCCTGTCTATATGGTTTGTTTATATTTTCTGCTCCTTTGTGTGAGAATTGTTTAGCTGACCGTGGGACTTCTCACTCAGTATTGTGTTCTGAAAGGAACCAAGGTTCCCCAGTAGGCTCAATTCCAAGTAGCTTTCCCCCCACCACTCTGTGGCTCTTTATTATTTAGGACTGTGCTTTTTAACCTCCTGTTTTCTTAGGGGCATTATCACACCAGAGTTTCACTGCTGTCCAGAGTTTACCTCTGCATGAATGTCTCTAGGCTGATTGCTCTCTGTTGAGTACTAACGAAGGAAATCCAACATTCATGTTCTACTTTGGGCTTTCTGATGACACAGGAGCCTGGCTTGTATTCAGTACACATATATTGATGTTATGTGACTTGACTAGGCCATAAAAACGATAAATACCTTTTAATAGCACCTACTATGGACCAAGTGCTGTTATAAGCACTTTACACAAATTTAATTGTCAACCTGGGGGCGGTGGCTCATGCTTCTAATCCCAAAATTTTGGGAGGCCAAGGTGGGAGGATCTCTTAAGGCCAGGAGTTTGAGACCAGCCTAGGCAACACAGTGAGACCCCCGCTCCATACAAAAAAAATATTTAAAAATTAGCTAGGTATGGTAGCACATGCTTGTAGTCCCAGCTGTTCAGGAGGATCACTTGAGCTTAAGAAATCAAGACTGTAGGCCAGGCGTAGTTGCTCACGCCTGTAATCCCAGCACTTTGTGAGGCCAAGGTGGGCAGATCACAAGGTCAGGAGATCGACATCATCCTGGCTAACACATTGAAACTCCATCTCTACTAAAAATACAAAAAATTAGCCGGGCGTGGTAGCGGGCGCCTGTAGTCCCAGCTACTCAGGAGGCTTAGGCAGGAGAATGGCGTGAACCCAGGAGGCGGAGCTTGCAGTGAGCTGAGATTGCGCCACTGCACTCCAGCCTCAGTGACAGAGTGAGACTCCATCTCAAAAAAAAAAAAAAAATCAAGACTGTAATGAGCTACTGCACTCCAGCCTGGGCAACAGAGCGAGACTCCAACTAAATAAAAATTACTTTTTATAATATCCCTATGAGATAGGTACTACAATTATCCTAATTTTACAGATGAGGAAATTAAGGTACAGAGAAGCTAGGTAACCTGTCCAAGATCACACAGCATATACATGGGAGAGCCAGGATTTGAACCAAGGAATCTCGCTCTGGATGCTTTCATAGATTATGTAATGTTAGCACTCAGAAGGCTTTAAGGTCCAACCACCTCATTTTAAATTTGATACTGCTGAGGCCTAGGTTGGAAGATAACTTGCTTAAGATCATTTGGATGGGCTAATTCATGGGCAGAACTTAACTAAAAATATAATTCCTTATTCCATAAGGTCTGGAGAAGAAAGTAGGTGGTAGTAAAAGTTATACACAAGTGAAAACACAGATGAAAAACAAGTGAGCTCAATTTCAGTCATCTCCTTTCAATTTAATTGTTGTGTAAGTACTACAGGAAATAATGTAGTTTCATATCTGTGATTATTTTGTGCAATTTCACCACAGTCCTGTGAAGACAGTATAGCTACAGTTTATCCATATGGGAGATGGAGTTAAGGAAGACTAAGTCCCTTACCCAAGGCCTATCAACAGTGAATAAATGTGGAAGTTGAGACACAAACTCAAGACCTCCACCCCTAGTTCTCCAGACTTATCATTCTCCAGGTCCACATCCTTAGCTCTCAATTCCAGCCACTTTGAACTGTATTCAGTTCCTCAGCCAGATCTCATCACTCATGTCCAAGTCATGAGTTTTCTTTCTTCTTTTCTCCTCCTTTTCTCCTCAGCCTCACCAGCTCCTGCTCATTCATCAGTTTCCATTTAGGAATTTTCAGAGACCTCACACAACACCTGGAACACAGGTTAGATGCCCTCATAGCTACTCCCTAAATACCCTGCATTTTTTCATTATAGCCCCACTCATGGTATATATCCCCTACTAGATTGGGTGTTCCAGGAGGGCAAGATCACATCTGTTTTGAAAGGTAGCACAGGGTGATGGTTAAAGCCAGGCTTCTAGAATCGGGCCTGACTTCACCTTCCCAGATCCAACACTCACTAGCTAGTAAATGCACGTTAAGTTACAATAGCCAAGCCTCATCTATTATTAGTGGGGTCTTAAAAGTCCTCATCTGATATATATTTGATAAAGACTAAGTTAGTAATACATATGAAGTTGCTAGGGGAATGTCAGGCATACAAGTATTCAGGAAAACATGTGGCAAAAATAGAGGCTCAAGAATAATTGTGGTGGCTGGGCGCACTGGCTCACGCCTGTAATCCCAGCACTTTAGGAGGCTGAGGTGGGTGGATCACAAGGTCGGGAGATGGAGACCACCCCGGCCAACATGGTAAAGCCCTGTCTCTACTAAAAATACGAAAACAAGCTGGGCATGGTGGTGCGCACCTGTAGTCCCAGCTGCTCGGGAGGCTGAGGCAGGAGAATCACTTGAACCCAGGAGGCAGAGGTTGCAGTGAGCCGAGATCGCGCCACTGCACTCCAGCCTGGGTGACAGAGCAAGACTCCGTCTAAAAAAAAAAAAGAAAAGAAAAATTGTGGAATGAAAGTATAAATGAACTAAACTGTTTCAGATTTTCCCATTTTCTTGATGCTTTTAACATATTCCTTTGGTTATTTAGGTGCAAATGGCTCTTCTCTAACAACTTCGTAAATTATGTTTGGGAAGTTTGATATTCTTAATATAAAGCTATTTCTCAAATGAAAGTAGGAATAAAATAACCCTCTGTTTCTTCTAATGGATCAGTTTGAAACAGGTCTTTGGATCTGAAAACGTTTCAAACTTTATATATAATTTCCTACCCCCAAATGAAATCACCAAGGAGGTTTGAGTCAAACTGCTGTTGACTATTTTGGATGATGCCATTGATAAAATCCAGTTTGTCTGTTTGGAGTGTGTGAGCCAATTTAAGCTGTGTTTTGGCACATCTCAAATGGATTTTCCACTTCCTCCACAGATGTACGAGTCAGCAGCAAGCAGGAATATATTGATGTTTATTTTATCCTGCTGTGTCCCTAGGCAGGCATTTCTGAGTTTCCATGATGTTTTAATAACGAATTAATAGTGACATGAAAACATAGTTTTGGAGGTTTTTCCTGATTCATCATAAAGGATTTCACTTTCCTCAAACCAGATTTCCCCCACTGGATGGTCAGCAAGAAAAACAGAACCTGTTCATCAGCCTGAGATGCTGTTATTGTTAAAATACAGGAGAGAACATACCTATTTTTCCATTTTGTGTAAAACTCCATAATATGTGAATGCATAGTAAAAATTTCTACAATTGAGTCGGAAAATTATCTCACCTATTACTCAAAGAAATTACAATAATCAGTTGTTAAACATTTACTGTGAAGCAGATAATGTAATTGGTAATAGTTAAGTGCCTCATTTAATTTCCAAATATGTGTGATAAAATCTCTATCCTTATTTTTTTTCACATGAGGAAAAAATATGACTTCAATTAAGTAACTTGTCCTGAGCCACACCACTCAGTTGCAGAGGTAGACTCGAACCCATATCTGTCTGACTTCCACTCTCATACCTCTACTCTGTGCCCTGGGTTGCTTTTTAGGACTTCAGGTAGGATCATTGTACTTTATAAAACAAGAGCTCAGAATCAGGGAGAGTTGCTAACATTAAGTGAGAATGATATCCAAAGGGTAGCGTAGTGGTAATAAATACTGGCTCTGAAGTCAGATCACTCGGCATCAAATGCCATTCCCACCATTTACAAGCTGCTATTATTCTTATTACTATGTACCTTATTCTGCAATATATTGCTTTACCTAAGCTTTTAGGGACAACGTTCACTGTGTAAATCGATGCTTCTTGTATATACCAACTTATTTAAAACAAAACAATTTTGTAGGTATTATTATACCCATTTCACAGATGATGATAAATGAGACCAATAGAAGTTAAATAACTTGCCAAAGGCCACACAGCTGGTGAGTGATGGAGAACGAATTAAAACTCAAGTGAGCATAATTCTAAAAGCCATCTTCTCGTTAGTGTTTCTCACTATCCAGGTCTGCCTTTGCCTTATTTAACTGAAGTTAAGCCATCCTTTACCTGTGATCACCTAGCCTCTCAGTTTGGGGGGATCATTACAGCGGGTTTTTAACTCCCAATGTTCTGGTCCAGTTTGCTTTACATGTTCTTATTTATACATTGTCAAGGATGACCTCAGGACAGTACAGCAAGGACACAGTGGCACTTCACATTTTGTTCCCACGAAATGACTGGGGCATAATCTCAGATCATCTTCCTTTAGAATGTGGAAACATCAGCAGAAGAATATTAGTCTTTATACAAGTCAAATCCAAAATGACACATGTGAAAAATAATAGAGCTGACTTTCAGCCATGATAGCTTTGGCACACCTCACATCCCTTTGTTCAACCTCTCTTCCCTCAACGGAGAGCTGCATTCCTGGGAATTTCTGTTGTGCACTTTTCCCACTTGCCCTGCTGTCATTTAAAGGTGAACATTCTAGTTTTGCTAAGAAAACCCTTTCCTTCATTTGGAATGAACAGCAATTTTATTACTTTTGACCTTAAAATGAGTTTGCTGCCTTCAAATCTTTTCATTACTACCATTAGTAAATTCAAAGAAATATTTTCAGCTGGACCCAAGTTAGAGGCTAACTCTAAACTGCTACTCAAAGCGTGGTCCATGGTCGAGCAGATTCTCATCACCTGGGACCTGGGTAGAACTGCATAATCCCAGGACTGTCCCAAACAACCTATTAAATCAGAGTCTGCATGTTTACAAGAACTACAGGTGATCTGTAAGCATGTTCAACTTTAAAAAGCATTGATCTAAAAAAAATGCAGACTACAGATGGTTAGATTATAAAAGAAACAGCCAATCAGCAATGTGCAGAGGTGTGTTACTTAACTGGATCAGCTTTCTAAAAGTCAGGCCTGGTGGGCTCACACCTATAATCCCAGCACTTTGAGAGGCCATAGTGGGAGGATGGCTTGAAGCTAGTAGTTCAAGACCAGCCTAGGCAGCAAAGCAGGACCCCCATATCTATGAAAAATTCGTTTAATTAGCCAGGCATGGTGGTGCATGCCTGTAGTCCCAGCTACTTGGGAGGCTGAGGTGGGAGAACAGCATGAGCCCGGGAGGTCAAGGCTGCAGTGAACTGTAATTGTGCCACTGCACTCCAGCCTGGGCAACAGCAAGACCCTTGTCTTTAAAAAAAAAAAAAAAAAAAAAAAAAAAAAACCCTAAACAGCTGACAATGTCATTATTTTATGTAATGACAAGTCCTCAGTCCACAGCTCCTGTGGTTGTGATGATACTAATTTGGAAAAGACTCCTTCATTTTAGGAATCAGCAGCCCAGACAAAGTGGCTGATAGGGGAGAGGCCAGATCATTCCAGGCAGAACAAAGAGAGGTCACCTTAGCTGGAATTCTGTACCTTCCTCCCAGCAGACAGCATCAAGAGCACCAGAAGTCTGCCTGCCTGTCCAGGACTGGAACCTTATAATACAATTATTAAATAATATTTGCAACACCATCTCCTTCAACTGCCATCACACAGGTGGACTGGTCTAAAGATTTAGCTTAAGGCCCACTTTTATTTTGGGAGGAAGACTTCATCACATCATCACCTTGTGGGGTGGTAGCAAGTCTTAATAATCCTCCCTTAGAGGAGGCTTTCAAAATCCTCCGGCAAAATTCTGGTGTTTTCTGAGCTGGACCTGGGTACTCGACTGCTAAAATTAAATCATGGTCCTTTTCCAAAAATGGTAGCCTGCAAAGAGGGCCCTAATTCTTCATCCCTCCCTGTATCCCTGACTCTTTGTCATTTCAGTTTGTAGTGCCCTCTCACTCTGATACTAGGCTCAGCTACTTAACTGGCTTAGGTTGATAAAATGAAGCAGAAGTGATAGTGTACAATTCTGAGCCTAGGTTGCAAAGAGCCTCATGTCTACATCTCATGTACATGAAATGTAGATGGCAGTGGTACAAAAAAATAGAAACACATGAGGCTCCTGGCAACCTAAGCTGAGAATTGTACACTATGACCTTATACTACCTTAGCCTGCTATAGTATAAGGAACTGAGCAAAGTTGCCCCAGCCAAGGCCAGCCTACTAAGCCTATAGCCAGGCAACACCATATATGTAAGGAATCCCAACCAAGGTCAATACATCCATCTAATCAACACAGCTGACTTAGACTCACAAGCTATAAATGCTCATTATTGTATGCCACTGTGGTTTGTGGTTATGTTACACAGCATTATTGTGGCAATAGAAAATTGATACACTGGCCGGGCATGGTGGCTCACGCCTGTAATCCCAACACTTTGGGAGGCCATGGCGGGCAGATCACGAGGTCTACAGATCAAGATCGTCCTGGCCAATATGGTGACACCCTGTCTCTACTAAAAATATAAAAAATTAGCTGGGTGTGGTGGTGCTTGCCTGTAATCCCAGCTACTTGGGAGGCTGAGGCAGAAGAATCGCTTGAACCCGGGAGGCGGAGGTTGCAGTGAGCCAAAATCATGCCACTGCACTCTAGTCCGGTGACAGAGTGAGACTCCACCCCCCCAAAAAAAAAAAAAAAGGAAAAGAAAGTTGATATACCAAATAACTAATTAAATTAAGTTACTGATGGATATTCCCCTTCTAAAATTCTTATTTATATTTAATTTTCTCCTGAAAATATTAACTTCCATTAAGGGTATTTAGGGACAAGCAAAGCAATGTATCACATGAAAAATCAAATAAGAAAGCTCAAAATAGTAGTTTGGCAATGAACACTTGTTTTCATTGCTATGATTTTCATATTACATACATGTAACAGTCAACTATCCATAAGTACCATGATGCCCTTAGAACATATGAAATATTTCATCTCACAAAGTAGGCACAGTATCTAGTTAAGGGGTTGGACTGGGTAGTCTCCTTTATCTCTAACATTCCATGTACCAGACACGGTGATGCATGGAAAGAGACAGGCAAGATCGTCAAGCTCTACATTCAGGTAGTGCATGCCCTGCCCCTGAGGGAGCAGCTGCCAAGACAAAAGGTGTGTGTGTTCCTCAGTGGGCCTCACCTGCCCAAAACTTAGGGGCATGTTACCTTGTTGACGCATCTTCATGGTTCGTATCCTGATTGCCTCTCCTCGAACTCGCCCTTCACAGAAATAAGCACCATTGATCTTACTAGCCTTTTCTCTCTTCCAAACAACTTTTTTAGCCCATTCTCTGGTCACATCTTGAGTAACTTCCAGCGGATCCTGGTGCTGGTTCATTAAGGCTTCAAAGTCCCTTCCTATGGTGATGGGCTCATGGGGGCGCCACCCAGAGGCAATGCAGGTGAGAGATGTTTCAGCATCAGATACAAGAGGTAGGGAATTGATCAAGATCAAGTCCATGGCACCTTCCACAGTTCCTAAAAGGAAAGAGAGACAATAATGTATGACTAAGGTTATTAACATGACCCCATTGGGTAAACTGGTGCTCACAAAGCCTTGTCTTAAAGTTGTGTGAGGATTCTTTCTAAAATGCTATTCTGACCATGTGCCTATCTTCCACTGGACAAAATCCAAAACTCTTTACCAAGGCATCAAGACCCTTCATCAGCTAGACCCTGCTAACCTCTCCTGCCCCACTGCATACCCTAGTTGCAATGGACTACCCATTATTCCCCCAACAAGCCATGCACTAGACATAGCTGGGTATTCAGGAAATGTATGTAGTATTAAGATGAATTAATAATAATGACATTATCATTATTCATTTAACTATTAGTTATCAATTGATGCTAATGTGATACTGTCACAATAATAAAGTATTCTAAAGAAATATATCAACTACATAAACTTATGCCTTATAGATTCTCATTTTTAAAGAATTGCACAATTCCACATTAAATACCTCAAGATAAGTGACAGACAGTGACTAAGTGAAGTCTTCATTTCCCTCAGGGCCTCATTTACTCCATCAGGATTCTTGTAAAGATTAAATAAGATAAAATACATAACTTGCCAACCACTCTGTCTGTTATATATTGCATACTCAGTGATTATTATTTCATTTCTCTTTATTCTGTTTCCTGAACACTTAGCCCCAAACCTTACCCTCTCCCCAAATGTAAAAACAAAAACAAAACCTTACCCAAACTTTAAATTTTATGAATTTGTTCTGTAAATGAGGAAGTACACTTTTAAAAAGAAAATCCTCTCATGTTATTTTCTCACTATTTCTCTTTCTTTCTCTCTCTCCCCTCCCCACCCCTCCCTTTTTTGATTTCTAAAGGTTCTAACATGAGCAGATAGAGTCTGTGTCTATTCTCTCCTCTTTAAATGTGGAAATATCAGGGATGGAAAATGTTCTCTAGCTCCAGTGATGGTTGGCTCTCAAATGTGCATAAAACAATCAGGAGACTAGAAAAATCAATTGAGTGATGAGGGCCCAACTAGAGTCTCAGAGACCTTTGTGTAGAAGTGATTCAAATAAGCTACATGTTATCTTATTGAATACCCATTAAATTCAGCAACTCTGTGAGGTATGCACCATTATCTCAATTTTAAATATGAAGAAATGAAGGCTCAAAAGATTGAGCAGCTAGTTTCATTTTCCACAGCTATTGAAGGCAGAGCTGGGATTCAAATGCTCACTGGTCTTTGATTCCTTGGATACAAGATACTCTTTCCTACCTCAAAGCCTTTGCTGTTCCTTCTGCCTGGAATGTTTTTCTCCACTCTTGGCATGGCCACCTTCTGCTTGTCCTTTGGGTCTCAGCTTAAGTGCCACTTTCTCATAGAAGGCTTCTCTACCTGCCTTATCTATAATACCTATACACTCTCATCCCATTGACCTCTAATTTGGCCTCCTGTTTTATTCATACAGATTACCATAATTTGTGATTATTTTATTTACTCTCCCTCTAAATGATAAACTCCAAATGTTCTGTATAGGAAGAGGAATTTAGGAATTGGTTTACAATGGAATATTCTCCGTAATCTCAACATATAGAGGACTTAAGTATTTGTTGGATGAGTGTATGGATGAATGGGATGGATGGATGGGCAAATTTTATTTCAGATCTGCCTGACTGAAGTCCATCCATTTGCTCGGCTTCCAATTCTAGAATAATAAGGTTAAAAATGAAAGTGCGGGCCAGGCACAGTGGCTCATGCCTGCAATCCCAGCACTTTGGGAGGCCGAGGCAGGGGGATCACCTGAGGTCAGGAGTTTGAGACCAGCCTGGTCAACATGGTGAAACGTTGTCTCTATTAAAAATACAAAAATTAGCTGGGTGTGGTGGTGGGTGCCTGTAATCCCAGCTACTCGGGAGGCTGAGACAGGAGAATCATTTGAGCCCGGGAGGCAGAGGTTCCAGTGCTGCGCACCAGACTGGGCGACAAAGAGCAAAATTCTGTCTCAAAAAAAAAAAAAAACAAAAGTGCTCCCCCGAGTCTGAACTGACCTCCTTGCCCATATTTAACTGTTTTGGGGCAAAAAAACATTATTCCCAATGTTTTGGGGAAAAAAACATTACAATTTTTACAAAATGCCAAAGAAAAGTGACCAATGACTGCTGAGCGTTTAAGGCTAATATTCATTTACCAGAATTTTTGAGCACCTACTTATGTCAAGCATTGTACCTGATATAAAGTCCTCATATAATTTGTTTTTAATGGCAATTGCCAGTGTTTACTGTATTCAGTGATGTTTTGAGGATAATCTTGGTACAAATTAAACCTTTATCTGAATGATTAGAAAGAAAAATTTCAAAGTCAAGTCTTCGTGTAAGCAGGAGTTACACCTGCATTTTATTGTAATATTAACTCATTACATGAGATTGAGGGAGAAAATCTCCACTAGAATGAGTTCCCAAGCCTGGCCTTGAAGCATCCATTTTACTTCTAGCCTCATTGGTAACTTTTAAGATCTCAGGACAGAGAATACAAGTTAGGATAGTAAAAACATTGAAAGAGACGACGAGCTACAAAGCCTAACAGTGGAATTACAGCCTCCAAAAATAACACCAGCACACACCTCCCCTTCCACGTACATACCCAGGCCTGACTCTGAGTGAACACCACTTCATCTCTCACACTCACACATTCCAGGCATGTTCCAGAAAGAGTCATCAAGAGGAAGGAAACACTGTAATTCTTTCAACTCCAGTTCAATCCAGCCCCATTTCTAGGGCCAGTCAAGAGTCTTGCCAAAACCACAGGATCTGCTCTGAGCTCCCAGCGGTGGCAGTGGCCGTGGTTTATTTAATAGCTTTAGGAAATAATACAAAATGCAGTTGATTTGAAAAGACAACCAAGCTATGTATAAATTATTTCTAGGTATGTATCTAGTTTCTTTTTCCTCTTGCTCCTTTCAGAGATCTCCCTTTACTTTCAGTGACGGAAAAGGAAATTGTGGCCTCTGGGAGTCTGGACTTGACTATACTTCGCTACCCTTGTTCAGCATGCCGGTTAAGGAAGACCTCTTCCACCAGCCAGTACTCTGTCCTTTGTAACCCCATTTACAGTACCAGAAGGATCTTCTATGTGAGCTTTGGGTATAAGAAGACATACCTACCAGCTTCCTAGGATGAGTCTTGAAAATCACCTGCTTAGTTTTCTTAAAATGAGAATCTATAGTTGTATTTGCTAGTATCTGCCTAAAGAATTTCTAGAAGGTGACACATAAAAAGAAGAACAACGATGACCTATTCGGGGGAACTGGGTAGTTGGGGCACAATGGTAAAAGGAAGACTTTTCCCTATATGCTTGTGTGTACTGGCTTTTGAACAATTTGACTATTATTCACACATAAAAATTAAACGTAAAAAAAAGTGTTATGGCCCATTTCTTAAAAAGGGGCAGCTGGAGGCTGGGCGCGGTGGCTCATGCCTGTAATTCCAGCACTTTGGGAGATTGAGGCAGGCGGATCACCTGAGGTCAGGGAGGGATAGCCTTAGGAGAAATACCTAATGTAGATGACAGGTTGATGGGTGCAGCAAGCCACCATGGCATGTGTATACCTATGTAACAGACCTGCACGTTCTGCACATGTATCCAAGAACTTAAAGTGTAATAAAAATAAATAAATAAATAAAAGAGAGACAGAAAGAGAGAGAGAAAAAAATGGCAGCTGGAAAAGAATCAAGAGCCATGGACATATATGTCCCTTTATGTCTCATCCTTCAGCCCTATATCTACTCCAAATTTCAAATTACATCCAAATAATGCATTTTTCTCTTTCTCTCTTCTTTGAACTAATAATAGGAAATGTGATGTTATCTCACAATGCTGAAAAATAAAGGAGTTAAAACTTAATGCTGAAAAAAAAAGTAGCCAAACAGCCTTTCAGAAAGAATAGAGCAGAGGCTCCACGACAACGAGTACAACTGTGGTCCGTGGCTTCTTGAAAGAGTTCTGCTGCTGACACCATGAAAGGCATGGCTGCCACTGCATATCTGGTGCCACTCAAGACATTTTCTAATAGAGACATTTCCTGAGAATCATTGCCAGAAGACAGATCCTATCTGGGCTCATACCAATATCAATCTCTCTGCTTAATACCCTTTCTTACATTATAGCGCTATCCTCTCCAAATCATGTTGGGGACGGATAGTGAGTTGTTTCATCACAACCATATCTAAAAGGCTCTGATCAAATTCATTAATAGTTTAATTCATACTTCTATCATGAAGGCTAATAATTTGCTGAAACAAGATGCATATTTAATATCATACATCTTATAAGTTTTAGAGATTAATGCTATTTTTCCTTAACAAAGATCTCTCAAATACTTTTTCTTTTTTTGAGACGGAGTCTCGCCCTGTCGCCCAGGCTGGAGTACAATGGTGCGATCTGGGCTCACTGCAACTTCCGCCTCCCGGGTTCAAAAGAATCTCCTGCCTCAGCCTCTCGAGTAGCTGGGATTACAAGTGCCCGCGACCACGCCCAGCTAATTTTTTTTCTATTTTTAGTAGAGGCGGGGTTTCACCATGTTGGCCAGGCTGGTCTTGAACTCCTGACGTCGTGATCCACCCGCCTCGGCCTCCCAAAGTGCTGGGATTACATGTGTGAGCCATGCGCCCAGCCTCAAACACTTTTTCAATGTTTGCATAAAAGTGTGTCCTTGTTTATAAGGAACTACTTGGCATTGTGGCATGACGTCTACCAAGTTAACAACCAAGCATCACAAGTGAAGCATAACAATCCTCTAAAATGTTTTGCTCACTGTATTTTCTGTGTTCTATATTGAACAGTATCTAATCTTTCTTAGTAGCGTCTTCTCACTAAATCTTATTATGGTGAACTCAAAATGTTGTTTAACTCTAGTTTTTATATTTACATTTTCTTGTATTCAATATTGCTATGAATAATGAGCCATTAACTAAGACATGGGAATATTTTTATTTAAAAATAGTTATGGAAATTATTGTGGGCCTGAATCAACACCCATATTATAGAATTTAATTACATTAGAAATTAGAGACAGAGCCATGTTAAACTGTGTTTAAAGAAACTGTAATTTCTCATGTTCTAAAAAGGTGCTCCAGAAGTTTCTGAGAGTGGAAGAGGTGAAATCAACAGAATGGACTCTAGACCCACACCCTCACCCACTCCCAGTGAGCTACTCAACTTTATTTTATTTTATTTTTTTGCGGCGGGGGGGCTTCATATAAGATTTTATTTGAAAGAAAAAAATTTTGCTTAATTAAAAACATAAAACCTCAAAGGTCAGCAATTTTCATTTTTTCACAGATGAAGGGGATGAAAGGTTAAACATATCAATGAAAATACACTCCACTGCAGCACAACATGCTTGCTCCAATTAGCTTTTTTTTTTTTTTCCACATTCCAGTTCACATACAGCTGCAGATGAAATCAAGTCCTGATTTACCCAGTTCCCTGATCTTCGAAGTGTTGGCAAGCTAGGAGACAATTTTAGGCAGATTAAATTATTGCATCGCAGGCTTATTCCCTTGTGCTTCTTACTACCTCAGAATTGTAGTATTGGGTGGAATTCTGCTAAGGTGTGTTTGGAATAATGCGTCATGTCTTCAGAACAACTAACTGTATGGTCACTGTATGGTTTTTTGGAAATTTGGTATTAGCTATGGTTAAATTTTTCAAAAGGTGTTCATGGTAATTTCATCTTTGTAACAGAAGTAGGTATCTTAAAGTTCTAAATATTTGAAATACCAATTAGCACTTCCTTGGCCAAAGGCATTTCAGAAATCAGGGAACTGGCAATGAACTGAAAAGGTCTGAGTCAAAAGCATTTCTGGAATTAAGGCCGTGGCAATGAGCCAAAGAAGCAAAGACAACTCCCAAACTATCCAGGATATTTTGCGAAATTGTTTGGATTTTAGTTTAGGTTTTTTGTTTTTGCTGTCCTGAAAAAGAAAAATTATCTTCAGTTCAAAAAGCACTCATTAAGTTGTTTATGTGTCCATTCATTCACTTACCACGCAGACTTATTGCATGCTTCCCCTGTGCCCAGTACTGCACTTGGCCCTGGAGACACAGCAGTGAATATACAACCGTCTCGTAGCTTATAGGCAAATGTAGGAGACAGACATGGAAAACTAATCACATAAACACATAAATACAGACAGGTACTAAGAGAGAGAATTACAAGATGCTTATGAGACACCATAATGGTAAACTTTATCAGACTTGACTGTTTTGAAGGAGGGTTTGTGGACTTTTAGTCTAAAGGAAAGTTGGGGTTAGCCAGGCAAAGCAAGAGAGAGATGAGAAGATAATCAGAAAAATCTTCCCCAAAATGGTAACTACTGAGCAGTAGTTACTCATTTTTCAAAAATGAGTTTTTAGTAGGACTCAATTCTAGAATGTTCTTTCTCTATCTTAAAGTTGCTATTAATTTCTTTCTGTTGGGCCCTAAGAACTACCAGCACTATTCCTCTGTGTCAACCCTTATGTTAAAGTATTTTCAGTATCTTTTCTGCCTTCTTGTCTCCCATGAAGAAATCCAGTTCCCAGGCATGTTTCCAACACTTTAATCCTTTTTTATTCTCTGTCTTCCTTTTGTGTATGTAGTAAGTCTCTGAGCAATAACTTCTTCCTCAAGATTCCTTCCAAGAAGATATTGGGCAGCTAACAAGAAGATACCAAAATATACAAGACTGGAAATAACTAAAGGAAGTTGCTAACATTTTTATTGTATAGCTGGGAGTTCAGAGTTATCCAGGGGCATCCTGGATGTGACTGGGCTGTGACTCTCTAACAACAAACTCCTGTGCTCACCCAGGAGTTGTACCAAGCCAGTTTCCCCAAAGGCCATGCCCGTTTCCCATCCCTGCTTTCCAGCCAAATGGCACCCTTGTCTGTCTGCTGGAGGGAATGACATCCTCTCGCCACCTTCAAACGCCGGAAATTTTCCATCTAGGCCAAATAACACATGTGTTAGTTAGAATGAGGATCAGTCAGCTGGCAGGAAACTTTTTATTTCCAGGGAACAGACAGAGCATCCACACAACGAGACTTTACTGAACATTCATTTATATGCAAACTCCATTCTGTGAGGCAGTGGGGGTGCAGGAAGCATGGTTCCATCAAATCAAGGATTGTTTACACCGGAAGAGGTTTTACAGACTGCTTGGTGCAAGCCTCACACCTTATTTTTTTGAGACAGTGTCTCACTCTTGTCACCCAGGCTGCAGTGCAGTGGCACAGTCACTGCTCACTGCAGCCTCGAACTCAAGGGCTCAAGTTATCCTCCCACCTCAGCCTCCTGAATAGCCAGAACTACAGGCATGCAACACCCCTCCCCCCAGCTAATCTTTAAATTTTTTGTAGAGATGGGGGTATCACTGTGTTGCCTAGGCTGGTCTCGAACCTCTGGGCTCAAGTGAAGCTCCTGCCTTGGCCTCCCAAAATGCTGGGATTACAGGCATAAGCCAACATGCCTGGCCAAGCCTTACACTTTATAACAGGCAATCTGAGGCATATAGAAAAGAGACCAGTTGGTGATTGCACAAAGGGTAGTGGTAGAGCCAGCCCTCAAGTGCTGATTTCTCTCCAGGGCCCTTTCTGTCACCCCAGAGTAGCAGTGTTAACAGCCAAGTCCTTAGTGTGAGGGAATATGGAATGTATATACATCTGGCAGGAGGGCGCCTGGAGAATCCTGGAGTTTGGTAGAAATTGGGGGAAGAGAAAAAAGATTTTGAGGAGAGGTGGCTAAAAAGCTAGAAAGGGTACAGGACAGAGAAATTGAGAATATCTAGAGAGGAGTTTTGGCCACCTTACAGATTCCCTTAAGCCTGGCAGTGCTGCCTCATCATCTTCCCTACTCACTTTGTCTCAGGAGTGGGATGCTCTCTAAATGCACTGTGTTTATCAGCACCAGGATACCCGGTATGGGAAAAATGCATCTTTGGAACCAGACCACCTTTTTCTGGGCTCTTCTCCTGATTCAATTACCTGCCAAGTTCCCAACTACCCTTATGCTGCTCAAAGACGTACATACCCACACCCACAACCAAGCATATCTATCTTCCAAGACAGCACTGAACAAAATTCAGTGTCTCCTCAGTGCCCTGTTCTTCTGCTCCCAACAGAGAAGGCAATTTGACTGACTTGCCTGCACAAAGAGGAGAATAAGCAAGAATTGCTCAAAGTGACAATTCACGGAGAACGATTGGAGGAGCAAATCAAAGAAACGAGTCTATAATGGAAGAAATTCAGGATTATATTTGCTAAGAGGAGATTGACAAAAGAAGTCACCTAGCCTTCCTAGTAGGCCTGAGATTATACCATGTAGAAAAGGAAGCTGACAATTTTTATTATATAATACATAATAAACACAATGCTAAGTGCTTTACAAACATTGTCCACTTGAATTCTCACACTATTGAAGGAAAGCATTTACACTCAATTTTATAGGTTAAAAAACCCTGAAATTCAGGAATGTTTAGGGATATGCCCAAGGTCACATAAGTAGAAAGATACAATTTGAACCTATGTCTCATTGATAATAAGTTCCATTACTACCTACCATGCTTTAGTCTAAACACCATCTAAAAGTCAATTTTGCCCATCGCTGTATCTCTAACAATGAGCACAATGCCTGGTTTATAATAGGTATTCCATAAACATTGATGAATGAATAAATAAATAAATGAGTGAGTGAGATTGGCCTTCAGTGAATGCATTCATTCAATAAACCTTTATTACTATGGGCTGGGCTCTGTGCTGCTTTCTGTGGGTCAAGAAAATAATAAAAAATAAAATATGGTTTCTGCCTTCAAAAAGCTTACATTCTGGCCATCCAATGTCATGAAGAAAAAACACTGATAGATTTTATCACAGAAAAAGCCAAAACCTTCTATACAGCAAAAGATTATATAAATGAAGTTAAATGACCAAGTAGAAAAATACTGTTACATGTAAAACGTATGTTACATGTAAAACTTAAGGAGTTAATATGTATAACATATAAAGAAATTTCATAAGTCGTTGAACCAATAGCAATTCACAGAGAAGGAAACACAAACAGCCAGTCGCAGTAGATTCATGAAAAAGTGGTCACAATATTTTGCATTTCATTCCATCAAGAAGTGGAGTTTCTTTCTCCATCTCTTGAATCTAGGCTTGGCCATGGGACTTCTTTTGATCAATGGAGGATTAGCCAATGTGGCATAAGCAGAGGCTTGAAAAGTGCTTGCCCACTGGGCTCTCCCACTGGGCTTGCACTCTTGCTGCTGCTCTATGGAACCCTGAGGCCATCATGAGGAGACGCCAAGACTAACCCGCTAGAGGATGAGAGACCAATCCAGCTTAAGCCAAAGAGTTTCCCAGATGACATACAGAAGCATAAGTCATAATAAATGTTTGCTGTTTTACCATTATGTTTTGGATGCCTTGTTACTCATCAAAAGCTGATATACTCACAACATGTGAAAAGTTGAAAAGATGTTTAACCTGACCACAGATCTCAAAATACAAACTAAAAAGACATCTCATTATTTGCCTATCAAATTGTCAAAGAATGGAGAGGGTCATAATATCTGGTGCTGGCTGTTGAATAGAAACATCTATATTGTTGATGGGCAGTGTAATTAGTAAAACATGTTTACAGGACGTGCTCGCAATATCTACAATAACTGAAAAGTTATATAAAAGCTAACCCTAATTCATCACTTATTATGTCAGGTACTACTCTAAGTGTGTCAACACATAATAACTCAATCCTCATAGCAATCTAGGCAGTAGGTACTATGACTGTTTCCATTTAACAGAAAAGGAGACTATGACAAAGAAAGATTAAATACTTGGTGATTGTTACACAGCTAATTTGTAGCAGAGCTGAGACTGAAATTTAGGTGGACTGGTTTCACTCCATTCTTTCAACAATTAAACTATATTACACCATCTCACGTCAAAAATGTCTAACAATTCAATGAAGTTGTTTTCAACAAATAATACTGGAACACTTGGACATCAATATGCAAAAAAAGAGCCCTAACCTAAAACCACCCATGTATACAAAAATTCACTAAAAATACATCGTGTAAAACATTAAAATACAAAACTTTAGGTATATAGAAGAAAATCTTCATGACACTGGAGTTAGAAAGTGATTGTTAGCTATGACACCAAAAATTAGCTGTCATAGACACCATGAATAAAAAAGAAATTGTTACGCTAAATTTTATTAAGATTTAAAACTTTAGTCTATGGAAGACATTGTTAAGAAAATAAAAGGACAAACCATGAACTGGGAGAAAATATTTGCTAATCACATATCTGGCAAATGACTTGCATCTAGAATGCATAAAAAGCTCTCAAAACTCAACAGTAAGAAAACAACTCAATTTTTTTAAATGAGCAAAAGATTTGAGACACTTCACCAGAGAAAATGTATAGATGGCAAATAAGCACAAAAGATGTTTAATATCATTAAACATTATGGAAATGCTAAGTGAAACCACAATGAGATACTGCTACAAACCTATTAGAACAGATCAAAAAACAAAAAAAGAAGAAAGAAAAAAGAAAACCTGATAATACCCAGTGCTAAAGAGAATGTGTAGGAACTGCAATTCTCATCCATTGATGGAAGTAATTTAAAATGGGTGGTATAGCCACTGTGGAAATTGGTTTAACAATTTCTTATAAAGTTAAACATACACTTACGTATCACCCAACAATCCCACTTGTAGGCATTTACCCTTCAGAAATGAAAATGTACATTCATACAATGAATGTTGGCCGGGCGCAGTGTCTCACGCCTGTAATCCCAGCACTTTGGGAGGCCGAGGCGGGCAGATCACAAGGTCAGGAGATCAAGACCATCCTGGCTAACACGGTGAAACCCCGTCTCTACTAAAAATACAAAAAATTAGCCGGGCGTGGTGGTGGGCACCTGTAGTCCCAGCTACTCGAGAGGCTGAGGCAGGAGAATGGCGTGAACCCGGGAGGCGGAGCTTGCAGTGAGCCGAGGTCACGCCACTGCACTCCAGCCTGGGAGACAGAGCAAGACTCCGTCCCCCCCGCCAAAAAAAAAAAAAAAAAAAATAGAATGTTTATAGCAGCTCTATTTATTCATAATCACCCCAAACTGGAAGCACCCAAATATCCTTCAGTGGATAAATACATAAACAAGCTATAGTATATCCATGCTACTCAACAATGAAAAGAAAAAACCTATTGCTACTTGCAGCAACATGGCATTATGCTGAGTGAAGAAGCTAAAATCATCTTCTACCTACTGTCCGACTGCATTTATATGACATTCTAAGAAAGGCAGGCCTGTAGGGATGAGACCAGATGAGTGGCTGCCAAGGATTAGGGCTGGGAGAAATCTGACTACAAAGGGGCAGCACAAAAAAGATTTTTGGGGTGATGGTACTATTCTGTATCCTGATCGCTGTTCTTAGTGGCAGATACATGAGTGTATGTGTTAAAACTCATAGAGTTGTATACACACAAAAGCCAATTATACTGTATATTAACTTTAACAATTATAATAAAAATGTATCTTTCATATTTACCAGTAAAAATATGCAAAGATATGGCAAGGATATTCATTGCAGCATATAGCCACAAACTGTAAACAATATAAAGTTCATCAACAGAAGCATCTCTAAATAAATAACGGTACATACATGTAATAGGGTATTATAAGTTTGCATGAGCCTTGAAATATAAAGTGAAGAAAACAAGATGTAGAACAGTACGATGACATCTAAGCTTAGAAGTCATACACCAACCTGATAACAGTGTTACCTGTTGCTGATAAAACTGGCAGGCACATGGGGGCTGAGAGAAGCAGCACCATAGAAGATATTCACTTATTGCTTTGCATGCTTAGTTTTGTATTTCATTTCCTCTATAATTTTAAAATAAAGATTTTTATTTATAGGAAGGCACACACAACTAATCAATCTAATGACATTGTTCTAATTAAATATTGACATGTCTGTCTTCTTCCTTAGACAATGAGCTTTCTGTCTTCAACGCCCCAGCACCAAGCACTGTGTTTGACAGACTACTCATTTTAAATATGTATGAGTTGAACTGGAACAATTCTAGCAGTAACTGAAAGTAATACATCTTAAACCCAGGTGACTATTTTGTGAATTACTAATTGCCTGACATGATTAACAGGACAGTGGAGTCATTAAGAACTTTGGTCTTGAAGTTCTGTCTTAGTTTCCTCATGTGTAAAACAGGGTGATAGCTTCTAAATCATTGATTTCTGTGTAAAGGACTATTGGTATTATCATGGCACAAAGCCAGTTTGATCAAGTAAATCTGTGTGAAATTATGGCCTGTGTCATCCCCAGAGGAAGACTGTTTTTAAAGTCATCTTGGAGCTAAGACACCCTTAGAAGGAAGGACGGCTCATGGCTTTGTGTCCTGCTGTGTGCTTACCCTCCCTCACACTTCAAACCCACATGGGCAGGAAACAGGCCGATCAAGAGCTAAGGAAGAGTTCCTGTGTTTCCTTCAAGAGTCCTTTGATTCTTGCCCCCTTTTTTACAGGGCTGACCTTAACAGGAGACCAGTTCTCTGCACGTGCAAGCAATTCTGGAAAAGCAGTTTCACAACCAGCCTGGCAATGTGGTGGCAGCCTTGGGGAGATCAGGGGGCTATTTGGAGATGAGCTTAAGAAGTTGCTTCTTGGGTCTTTGCCAGCTGAACCTCAGGGAGACCACTCACCTAACCTAACCCAAAGAGCCCACATATGTGTCTCTAAGCCCAAGAACCCCCACTTACATTTTCTTCATCTTTAGAAGTGTGTGCACAGTCGATATTCTATTCCTGGCAACACTGTCTTGTGGAATTCTGTTTGTTCAACCTGACAATGAAATATACTCTCCCAATATTTTGCTCCAAGAATTCTCTTTTCCCTCCCTATATGTTGCTTTTCTTCCCTCTCGAACAGGACAGGAGCTCTAGGTTCTGAAGCACAGTTCTCCAGCTCACTAGAGGGGACATATTCTTAGCTCAGTACTGGAAGAGGGCTCAGAGGCCCTCCAGCCTTGTACCATTTAGTTTAGGAATTGCTTTACTACAATTTTGGAATCTATTGTCTTCCAGGCCATATGTGAATTATTTCTGTGATTGTGTGCCACCTATTTGGGAAGTAGCTTGTCTGATCACATTCCCTCGCCTCAATTAAAAAAAAAATCCTGTGTGCTTCCAAACGACAGATAAACATTTGCCAGGTGAAATTCCAACTGGATTTTATGTCTGTTTTTCCTCTATCAAACTGCAGGCCTAAATATCTCAAGAGTCGGAGGCCTATGCGCATTCGTTAAGAGAGAGTTCTTGAGAAACTTTAGGTATAAATGTATTAAGTGTAATCCCCATGGGCCCCTACCAGTCCCCATATTCATTCCGATGGCAGTAACATCATTCCAAACACACTGGGAGCTCTTCTTTATGAATCATCCATAGCATCTTCGCATGAGCTACGCTCTTTACATATTCTCCTTTTCCTTTTTTTTTTGAGACGGAGTCTTGCTCTGTCTCCAGGCTGGAATGCAGTGGCGTGATCTCGGCTCACTGCAAGCTCTGCCTCCTGGGTTCAAGCGATTCTCATGCCTCAGCCTCCCAAGTAGCTGGGACTACAGGCATGCACCACCACGCCCAGCTAATTTTTGTATTTTTAGTAGAGACAGGGTTTCACCATGTTGGCCAGGATGGTATCGATCTCTTGACCTCGTGTTCTGCCCACCTCAGCCTCCCAAAGTGCTGGGATTACAGGCGTAAGCCACCGCGCCCAACCTCTTTTCCAGTTTTTCATGAGCTATACTCCCTGTCTGCATTGCCTTCCTCCAACACTTCTCTTCTCTCCACATTCAACTGGCTAACTCCTGCTCAGCCTTCAAGACTTGGCTCATGCTTTCCTCTACCCTGGGAAACCTGCCAGATGCCACATGGAAGGGGTTATGTCTTACTGACTATATAAACCTGGTAGCCAGTAGGTATGGCAGTATGACAGGCCATGATCCTATATACAGCAGCTGCCATGCATTTCATGACACTAATGGCTTAGGAAAACAACTTCTCCTTTATCTTCCTATGTAGACAATGTGCGTGTGTACATATATATATATGTTGTTCTGGAAGTAAGGAGACACAGCCTATCTCTGCAGTCACTTGAGGAAAAGCCATCTAAAACATGAAAGCCAGAGAGGCAATTTCATTAAATGTTCAAATCAGATATTCTGGTCATGGGCTGGCTCTATTCTTAAGTCACATTTAGTACACAAATTTCAACATCACAGTGTATGAGTCTCACTTGCTAAAACCAGGCTGTTTCTCGGTTCTTCTCTTCATTCTGACAAGGTGTGCCCCCTCCCTGGCTGCTCTCCTCCCTTCTCCACTCAACCCTGGATCCATGATGGCTACCTATGTCCCACTGGGTTCAGGTAGCAGAAAGTGCCAGCAGGACATACAAGGGTGGAAGGACAGTGTGGTCAGGCTATTTATTTTCCCAGCTCCGTCTCTGTTGAGCCATCTACAGAAGCCACAGTTCTTGGGGACAACCCTCTCTTGCCAATGCTCTCTCTAGTTTCAATCACCGCTCCCTCCCCTGGTGCTTTTAGGTCTACCTACGCTCATTTCAAGCAACGCACACAGATAACACCATGCTTCCTGTGGGTTGATAAAGAAACAGAAGCCCAGCTTTGTACATGCTCCCTCAATCTTGAAGCACTCCCTTTGGGTACCTCCCTAGAGCGGCTCTTTAAAGAGCAGTGTGCAAATCACTACTATCAAGTGTTTGCTAGTTGTGTTTCACAATAGCAGTGTTTCAATGACACACGAATAGTTACAAAAATCATTAACAATAGCTTTAACTTATTAAGTAACTTCCACAGTCTAGTTACTTTAACGTGCATTGTTTTTAATGAGTTCTCACAACCACCATATGAATTAGACATTATACCTCCATACCACGGATGAGGAAACTGGCTTAGACAAAATAAGCAACAGCGATGACTAAAGGAGATCTCAAATGTAAAACATCCGGAACAGTGATAGAATTCATAACTCTTCCTTTTTCCTAACAAAGTTGGGCACAGTAGCTTCTCCATATCCATTGTTTGACTGGGAACCCCTTTGCCTTAGTACTTTGATCATCCCAGTAGAAACACGAGTACTCTCTGGACCACATGTAAGACTATGAATCTAAAATAGCAGATTTCTCTTGGATCTCATTTCCCATTCACCCTCCTTGCCAAAACTCAGCAAGTGGCTATGGCCTTAGCCCAGAAATTATGGCCTGACCAGTGCTACGGAAGTCCCCATTTCCGTTTTCACAGTGATCTCACCAACTTTCAGGACTTTGCTTAGCACCTGTTCCAAATCTAGGTCTCTAATTCTGTCTTCCCAATAATAAATGCATGTTATGAAAGTGCCTGCTGGACACCTACATAGGCATCTCAAATGCAACATGTCCAGTAAGAACTTAGTATCTTCTCTCCTCTCAACCTTCACTCTTTCTCTCATTGTATCGTAAAGATTCACCTTCACAAGTACAGATGCTTAAAAACTCCAAGTTATTGTCAACAACTCTTTCACTGCTAATATCCAGTCCATTGTCTGTCCATTCTAGCTCTGTATTGTCCCTCACATTCCTTTTCATATCCTCATTCTCTCACTTCAACTACTGCAAATTTTTACCTTTGGTCTTTTTAGCCCCAAACTCCCTGCAAGCTTTCCTTTCCTGGACATTGTGACATTATTTCTCCTGCCAAGGATGCCCTTCTCTACATATGTTTATCTGCTGAAGTCCAATCTCTTCCAAGATGCAGCTGAAATCTCAATGGTAATAGAGATTTATGTTCTGTTACTTTGCACAATTCAAAAAAATAAAGTTTAAATGTGCAGACTGTTATAACTAAAAATCCAAACCCATTATACCTGTTTCTTTTTTAATTAAAGAAAACAAAGGATTTTAAAACACACCAATGTTAGGTCACATTTAATTAACAGCATCATGTAATGGAAGTATATCCACTTAATTCTGAAGTCCGGACCTCAGATTTAAAATGTCATTTGACTAGCATCCTTGTCAGTCTCTTCCAACTTCCCACTAAAGATGAGAAAATATTTTTTAAAAATTGTAACTACAGTGCTAACCAAGTAGTCAATAGACTTATTGTCACATCTAGTAACCATAAAGGCCAATGGAATTAGACTGAAAAATGTATTTTCATCATGAAAGTATATTTTAAGTCAAAGTTCCTCTTGAAAATAACTACTGCAAAAAGTAACATATATCTCAGATTTCATGGTAAATTAGCAAAGACTTGGAAGGGAAAAGGAAGGATGAGAGAAAGTTACAGTATGCAGAGTTCCTCATTGACACATGAGTGTTCAAAATATACTTTCACTATTTAATACTAGAAATAGAGAAGTACAGGTTAAATAACACTTTTGAAAAACTTGAAGGTGGCCATTAATAAAATAAAAAACAGGGTGTATACATCAAAATAACCAGGGAAGATAAATATAAACAAAATATAAGCCAAATAAGCAAAAGAAAGAAAACAAAAACCAAAAAGGAAAAACAGGAAAGTGTAAAAAATAAAGTATAAAACAATATGTTAGAAGTTAAGATTGACTAGCATTTATGATTTAAAGGTAAATGTTTTAAGTGACCTATAGAAAGACAAATACTTTCAGACAGCAGAAGAAAATTAAATCTTCCAAGATGATGCTTGTGGAACATTCACTTAGAACAAAAATCATAAAATCTTAAAAACAGAGATAGGCAGAGAACTTAACGAATAAATTAAAAGAAAAAAGGACCAATAAAAGAATGAAGAAAGAAAAGAAAGCAAAAATAATACTAGTTTCAGACAAGGTAAAACTCAAGATTGAAGGCATAAAGTAGAACATAGTCTCTCATATTATGTTGCTAGAAAGTAAAATCCACAGTAGAGGCATAACAGCTATGTATCTTTGTTCTCCAAATCATATAGGATCAAATATATAAAGGATAAACTGTTAAAAGCAAAAAAATGTAAGGAAAACATAATAGTTTTAGAAGATAGCACCACACCACTCCCATTTTGACAGATAAAGTAGACTAAAAATCAAATATAACATTTAAATAATTATAAAGATATGTATATCTTTATGTAAGACATATATAAGATATATGTCTTTATAATTACATATATAGCCAGTGGAGCAACACATTCTATAGGAGTCGAGGTTACAAAGATCAGTGCAATCGTATATAGACAAAAGGACTCTTGGCAATCCTTAAAATAACCCATAAAGGGAAATGTGGACATATATCATTTATTCACCAATGAAACAGGTAGGTTTTCCTCCAGCATTGGAAGAGATTAATGTTTCTTTTTTTTTTTTTTTTTTCTTTTTTGCTAATGTAAGTTTCACAAACAGATCCCTGTTTCTTTGGGTGAGAACCAGATAAAGTGGTGTTCAGGAACCAGACAGCATAAAAAGTATGTATGCCTTCAAACATGGTGAGCGTATGAGAGACCACAAGAATTGGGACTAAGCTCAGTGTGGGGCATATGAAGTGAAAGGGCAAGTGAAATCACCTGCATTGTTTATATTATACTTATTTTCTACATGTTTTCGATCAAGAATTATATAGTTGAATTTGCCTAACTTAAATAAGTTTGGTGTTGCTCAAAGGTGAAATTCAACCTGGACCAACCGATTAAAATGGACACTGATCTGAGCACCAGGAAATGGATCTGAAAAACCCTAATGGGCTAGCATTAACCCTTTCATTGCTAAATTACTGGGAAGTCTAGAGAGTCTAAGGTAGCGGGACTGGGGAAGCCAAGGTGGCAGGACAGGGGGAACATAGGCGGCCCATGCAGCAGTTATTTACCAAATCATACACAATTATTTCACTCTTTTAACAACTAATACAGACAAACTAGTATACAACTGTGGAATATCAACCCTGTTGTTACTCCTGCTGTACTATACATACACACACTCTCTCTTCCTCTCCCTCTCAACTCACTGAAGCCCAACAAAAGAAATTTTCCATACAATACTCTCAAACCACAACAAAACAATCCCACACCACAACACAGTAAATCAAGTTTAACAATATATTGTTGAACAAAAAAAAAGAAAACCAACTTCTCAAAAATCATAAAGCTGTCAGCCAGGCATGGTGTCTCACGCCTGTAATCCCAGCACTTTGGGAGGCCGAGGTGGGCGGATCACCTAAGGTCAGGAGTTCAAGACTAGCCTGGCAACATGGTGAAACCCCGTCTCAACTAAAAATACAAAAATTAGCTGGGCATGGTGATGCACACCTGTAATCCCAGCTACTCGGGAGGCTGAGGCAGGATCGCTTGAACCCAGGAGGCGGAGCATGCATTGAGCCGAGATTGCACCACTGCACTCCAGCCTGGGCGACAGAGTGAGACTCAGTCTCAAAAAAAAAAAAAAAAAAAAAAATTGTTAAAGCTGTCTTCCAAATAATTATTAATTCTCAGAAAAAAATCAAAAGTAAAAAGACAGGATTTTTAGACAATAAAAAATAAGAATCCTACTGTTTTTTTTTTTTTGAGACAGAGTCTCGCTCTGTCGCCCAGGCTGGAGTGCAGTGGCGTGATCTCGGCTCACTGCAAGCTCCGCCTCCCAGGTTCACGCCATTCTCCTGCCTCAGCCTCCCTCCGGAGTAGCTGGGACTACAGACGCCCACCACCATGCCCAACTAATTTTTTTGTGTTTTTAGTAGACATGGATTTCACCAGGTTAGCCAGGATGGTCTTGATCTCCTGACCTCGTGATCCACCCACCTCGGCCTCCCAAAGTGCTGGGATTACAGGCTTGAGCCACCGTGCCCATCTAAGAATCCTACTTTCAAAACTGCTACAGTGAATCTAAAACATTACATAGCTGTTCCTTGGTACACACAGGGGATTGGTTCCAGGACCACTTGTGTACAACCAAATTCACACATACTCAATTCCTGTACTCCACTCTAGTAACACGCATATACGAAAAGTTGGACCCATCTGTTTATGTGAGTTTCAGATCCTGTGAATACTGTATTTTCCATCTGTGATTGAAAAACAGCTGGGTGTAAGTGGGCCCATGAAGCTCAAACTTGTGTTATTCAAGTGTCAGGTATAGTTTCAAATACTTTGCTTACTACTGAATATAAATAAATCAAGAACTCTGCTCAACAGTTTTAAAAGTGAGAGGTGAAGCCAGCTGGACTTCCTGGGTCAAGTGGGGACTTGGAGAACTTTTCTGTCTAGCTAGAGGATTGTAAATGCACCAATCAGCACTCTGTAAAAACATACCAATCAGTGCTCTGTGTCTAGCTAAAGGATTGTAAATGCACCAATCAGCACTCTGTAAAATGGACCAATCAGCACTCTGTAAAATGGACCAATCAGCTCTCTGTAAAAAGGACCAATCAGCACTCTGTAAAATGGACCAATCAGCTCTCTGCAAAATGGACCAATCAGCAGGATGTGGGCAGGGCCAAATAAGGGAATAAAAGCTGGCCACCTGAGCCAGCAGCGGCAACCCGCTCAGATCCCCTTCCACACTGTGGAATCTTTGTTCTTTTGCTCTTCACAATAAATCTTGCTGCTGCTCACTCTTTGGGTCTGCACTACCTTTATGAGCTGAAACACTCACTGAGAGGGTCTGCGGCTTCACTCCTGAGGTCAGTGAGACCACGAACCCACCGGAAGGAACAAACAACTCTGGATGCGCCACCTTTAAGAGCTGTAACACTCACTGGGAAGGTTTGCGGCTTCACTCCTGAAGTCAGCGAGACCACAAACCCACTGGAAGGAAGAAACTCCAGACACATCTGAAGGAACAAACTCTGGACACACCATCTTTAAGAACTGTAACACTCACCGCAAGGGTCCACAGTGAGACCAAGAACCCACCGGAATGAATAAATTCCGGACACAAAAGAACTAATACAACCAGGAAAGGCAGAGAGAAAAAATAAACCTAACTAAAGAGAAAAATGAGAAGTCTAAAAGATGTTCTTAGGTGTGGGTAGAATTCACAATAGTGAGCCTCTGGGATCTCTTTGTAACTAAAATTGAGAGTAAAACGAAGTAAATCTTGTTAAGAAGATGCTTTAATCATACGGGAACTATGTACAATTTTCAGGTAAGTTTAAAAATATATATAAAATGATTTTTATTAGGAAATATAAATTCCTAAAGTTGAACTCAAAAAGTAAAAAGCCTAACTTATCTCACCAAAAATCCATAGGGCCAGCTGGTTTTGCTAATGAGTTTATGTAATATAAGAACTTTGTTTTAAATTAGGTATCTATTCTTTTAAGCTAGTAGAATTCTGTTAGCTAACCTAAAATAGCTGAAAAAAGAAAACTACTCCTTACATGTGAAAAATCAAAAATCCCAAATAAAATATTAGCAAATTATTTCAGCGACTTATTAAATGATTTATCTTCCATAGATACTAGGGTATCTGATTAGTAAATCACAATTGTAATAGCACAATGTGAAATGCATAGGGTACATATGAAAATATCCGTGAAGTTTTATCAAAAGATAGATTTAGGCCAGGCACAGTGGCTCACACCTGTAATCCCAGCACTTTGGGAGGCCGAGGCGGGTGGATCAACTGAGGTTAAGAGATCGACACCATCTTGGGGAACATGGTGAAACCCCGTCTCTACTGAAAATACAAAAAAATTAGCCAGGCGTGGCAGCAGGCGCCTATAGTCCCAGCTACTCGGGAGGCTGAGGCAGGAGAATCGCTTGAACCCGGGAGGCAGAGGTTGCAGTGAGCCGAGACTGCGCCACTGCACTCCAGCCTGGTGACAGAGCGAGACTCCATTTCAAAAATAAATAAATAAACAAAGATTTAAAAACATGGAGAGATTTTTTTTCTCTTTAGCAGAAAGGTAGAACATTGGAAAGATGATAATTCTTCCTAAATTAATTCATAAATTTAATATAATCCAAATTGAAATTCCAATGGATGGCACAAAAGGAAAGAGAAAAAAAAAGAATGGCCAAGCAATACAGTATGCAGCTGAAGGACTTGAACAGATAGGGGAGACTGATACTTGTGAAGTTCTTTGCATTGCCTCTGTAGAAACTGCTTCTTTGTCTCCAGTCGTCAGTTCAGTGTGTTGTACTCACAATACTCACAAATGTATGTCAGTCCCCGTGTCTCTGTATTTATGATTGTGGCTGTATGTCCATCTGTACCTGTGTGTCTGTCTGGGGGTGGAGAAATTGCTCCCGTTCTTAGTTTTAGTTGAGGTAGAAGGCTGAGCTGCACATCTGGGTTGACAAAATTTGAACAGAGAGGCATAAGAGTGAGTGAATTAAAGTAAAGTCAATTGAAGCCGCAGCTCAGTGTCAGAGGTAACTACAAGAATGTAAGTAGGGACCGGCGCAGTGGCTCACGCCTGTAATCCCAGCACTTTGGGAGACCGAGGTGGGTGGATCACGAGTTCAGGTGTTTGAGACCAGCCTGGGCAACATGGTGAAACCTCGTCTCTATTATAAATACAAACATCAGCTGGGCGTGGTGGCATGCACCTATAGTCCCAGCTACTCGGGAGGCTGAGGCAGAAGAATTGCCTGAACCTGGGATGGGGAGGTTGCAGTGAGCCAAGATCGTGCCACTGCACTCCAACCTGAGTGACAGAGCGAGACTCCATCTCAAAAAAAAAAAAAATAACTGCCCTGGGAATTCACAGAGGAAACCTCGTAGAGGGCATTTGAATTCCGCAGAAAAGGATATAAAATTCAATCTTATCTAGAAAATATTAACAGTGGCTATCTCAGAATGACGGTACGGTACACACAGAACAAAAAGATAAACATTTTTAAAATTGAATCTTTTGGCAGGAATGCAAGTGACTTGGGCTCTGCACATTTAGTCTTGGAATTTATATTAGCACCTTCATCATGGTGATGTTTTAAAGGCGTCCTCTCTGCTTCTAAGTGCCTGTGCAGTGCTATGCCTATCTCAGATCAGATTAAGGTCTGCTCTGAGATAGACCAGGAAGCTTCATGGTCAGAGTCCAGGGATTCAAGCCATCCTGGGTTTGAATTCTAGATCTGCCACTTACAAGTTAAGTTATTTAGCCTCTGTGCCTCAGATTGGTCATCTGTAAAATGAAGCTGGTGGTACTTATTTCTAAGCATTTCCCTGAGGATGTATCAATGTATACATACATACGAAAAAAAATTTTCGTAAATTTTATGGAGGCTGTATTAACAGTATGTGGCAAATAGTGGAATATTCAATAAATGATTACAAAGACATGATGATAAAGGTGATGATGATTTGTGATTCCCTAAAATTTTGAGACTAATGAAGAGAAACAGGATTTTTTTCCCCTGCAAAACAGTCACAACTAGACCCTCCTAAGGTGGCAACCTACCCTACAGAGCCCATCACAAGGAAAAGCTAATGTTTGTGGTGGCATTTTTTATCTTATATGGAGAGAAAATGAGGTCTAAGGGTGGGCTAATGAATGCCAACCAGCTCAAAAATAGTACACTAAGACAAGAATCCTTTGTCTCAAAAAAAAAAAAAAAAGTCTCACTCTGTCACCAAGGCTGGAGTGCAGTGGCACGATCTCGGCTCACTGCAACCTCCACCTCCTGGGTTCAAGCGATTCTCCTGCCTCAGCCTCCCAAGTAGCGGGATTACAGGCATGCACCACCATGCCCAGCTAATTTTTGTATTTTTAGTAGAGACAGGACTTCTCCATGTTGGGCAGGCTGGTCTTCAACGCTTGACGTCAGGTGATCCACCTGCCTCAGCCTCCGAAAGTGCTGGGATTATAACAATTTATTACACACCCTTTTTGTTTCTTTTAAATCTAGTAACAGCCCAGAGAAGCAATACAAACATGGGCAAGAAATGAGCCACAGCAGCATACGTATTTCTGAAAACTCAGACCTATATTCCTCCTATGTTCTGGTATTCTGAGCACATTGCTAAGGTTTCTCTTCTTTTTATTAGATCTTTAAATGGACTTGACTTCTAGTAGGGGATCATGAAAACAAGTTTTAGTTTATGGATTATTTAATGATGATATCTGACTCCTTCTAAGGATGGCATACATGTATCATCTAGGGTTACACTGGAAAATGAAGTTTGCCATGTACTCTAGGAACTGAAGTCTAAGATCTCTAGATTCAGAATTTTAAAATATGACTAGTCAGCAAGAGCCCTAGGCTTCAAATCATATTTTTGATACTCCTAATTTTGGCTCATAAAAGAGATAGAAACTAGGTTAAATTGATTTTAGTTCTTAGACTGTGTAACGTAGAATGTGTTCAAAGAAAAGCAAAATTTTGCTCTGTTGTGTGATTGAAACGAAAACTTGGTTGCTGAGATTTGAGTGGCGAATTTTAAATTTTTAATGTCAATTTAGAAGGAAATAACTGTGTACACTCAATAGAGTCCCTAAACTCCTACAAATCCTTGAGTTTGTGGGCAGTATATCTCACAGAGTAAATGAGCTGATGTTAACTCTCTAATCCAAGTACATACAATGTTAATATGAATACAGTAACAGTTCATCTACCTAAAACTTTGCTTTCTAGCAAACATGCTTAACCATACCACTGACAAAAATCAATGTCATAAAGCTTATGACTTAAAATCCATCCCCTCTACTAGAACAGCCTGTCACTCAAACCTTCGATCTAAGCATTACCAGCCTCTACATACGAGCATGATTATCTGGTTTCCAGTCTACAGCCAGTGGAAAATACAAGTCAACTTCCCATGCCTCACAGTTCAGTTTCAAACCTGTACCTCTAACGACTATTGGCTTGGCCAGTAACTCCTCACACAGGACACCTATCCATCACTTCCAGCTCTGGGCTGTCTTTGTCTGAGCAAATCCTGCAACTTATGTTAGGGGTTCCCCAATGTGTTTTTATTTAAGCAGAGGCATCGTTTTACCAAATTAAATATTATGTAAAAGACAATATGTTACACCTAAAGAAAAGTATAATTACTCTGGTTGAAATTGGGGTAAAATAGGGGTAAAGATCCCAGAGACGTCCAGGCATGGGTCTCACCCTCACCATCCATGACAGTCCCACAGGCATCTCCTTTGGAACCCCTCGAGCTCCATAAAGCAAGTATGAAAGCCACTAGCCTGCAATCTAATAGGAGATTTACGGAAAGATGAGGCATGCACTAGCAATTGATTTGGATACAGATACTAAAAAATAGCAATAAGTGGAGGACACTGGCTTTCAGGTTGGATGCATCATATGGTCACTGACATAACAAAGGAGGCTATGTTGGAAGATTGTAGAGGGCATCAAAAGGCTGTAGGCTTCACCTGACTCAAACTCAGCCGACTGTGGCTCTTAAGGCTCATAAGGAAAATGGTAAAGTGAAGGGCAAAAGACAGACTCAGAAGTACACGACATTTTGAAAGATGCCCTTTTGATGCCAGAAATTCTTAGACCTTTCCAACTATTTAATGATCCTAAAAATAAGCCATGACTTGTCCAGATTTTTTTCATTAACAAATATTGTATATATGACATTCTAATCCCATTTCTGTTATTTACCCTCACACTTCTGCCATTCCTCACTCCATCCTTCAGGGTTAAGTCTAAGTGATGAGAGGAGGTCCGGAGAAAAGAAGGAAGTATTTATTTCAGGCATTACTCAGTAACAATATGGCAGCTTCGGAAGACCTGGATTAGTTCTGTGACTTTACTTTCCATGAGATCTCTCTGGTTTATAGTCAATGATCCTATGGTTGAAACTGTTTTCCTCTTTTTTAGCTACCCCTACCATCATACAACAGAACATGTACAATTGTGTTTATGTTTAAAGGTAATAATTACCAAATGTTTAAACCAAACAGCCAAACCTGTCTCTCTCTCTGTCATCTCTCTATTTCTCTGTCTCTCTCTCTTTCTACCTCCCTCTTGATTGCTATAGATATAGATTTCTTGTATCATTAAAGAAGCACATTTGTTAACTCTGGTGACCATACATTTAAAAACATTTTTCTGTATGTCTACATTTTCCCACCTGAACATAAACTATTTTTATAATCAGAAAAATGTATATTTTAAGGAAGCTAAAGCACACAAATGCCATAGTTTGAAATAACTCAGAGTTCTCATTTTATAGTTTTTGTTCCCAAACTTTAAAAATCAACTGAATACTATGAAAGAAACATTTCTCACTGTCTCTCCTTGTCTCATTTCAATAGGCCATCTGAATGCCCCGGTGTCCCAATAAAAATATCCAGGAAAGACACTGTCTCTGGAATCTTTTTCCATAATAATACTGCATTAATTCATGTATGATAGTCTTAGATATTTTATGTACTCAAAATAGCAGTCCTGATAAATATGGGTTCTTCTATAATTATTTTTATCCTGTTAATTGGTACTGATTTAAGAATAAAAAAATCACACTTTCGGAGGCCGAGGCAGGCAAATCACAAGGTCAGGAGTTCAAGACCAGCCTGACCAACATGGTGAAACCCCGTCTCTACTAAAAATACAAACATTAGTCAGGTGTGGTGGTGCACGCCTGTGATCCTAGCTACTCAGGAGGCTGAGGCAGGAGAATCACTTGAACCTGGGAGATGGAGGTTGCAGTGAGCCAAGATCATGCCACTGCACTGCAGCCTGGGCGACAGAGCAAGACTCCGTCTCAAGAAAAAAAAAAAAAAAAAGAATAAAAATAAAAGATGTCTCCAAAACCACAAAAATAATACAGAGGTCTTAGAACATTCCAAATATAAATTATTTAGAAATATATACCATCATTGTGAAATCCTTCTTTAAACACTAGATCCATTCTATCTAAACACAGTACGAAATGGTTAGAAAGGAACATTTTAACCCTTGCTGACATTTTGATGCATAACTTTCATTTCTTTCCTAGACTATTTAGAGGGGAAACTACAGAAACAAACATATATAGCTTTATCAAATTTCTTTCTTTTTTTTTTTAAACAAAATCTCACTCTGTCACCCAGTCGGGAGTGCAGTGGTGCAATCATGGCTCACTGAAGCCTCTACATCCAGGGCTCAAGAGACCTGCCTCAGCCTCCTGAGTAGCTGGGACTACAGGCATATACCACCACACCTGGCTAATTTTTTTTTTTTTTTTAAGAGACGGGGTCTCCTTATGTTACCCAGGCTGGTCTCAAACTCCTAGGCTCAAACGATCCTCCCAACATGCGGGGATTACAGGCATGAGCTACCACGCCTGGCCAAATACTGTTTCATATTCGAATTTTTACTTAATTTTATCATAACTTTTTTTTTTTTTTTTTTGAGACAGGGTCTTGTCCTGTTACCCAGGCTGGAGTGCAGTGGCATGATCTCAGCTCACTGTAACCTCCGCTTCCTGGGCTCAGCTGATCCAACCTCCTCAGCCTCCCAAGTAGCTGGAACTACAGCACCACACCCACCTGATTTTTGTATTTTTAATAGAGACGGGGTTTTACCATGTTGGCCAGGCCAGGCTGGTCTCGAACTCCTGACCTTAAGTGATCTGCCAGCCTCGGCCTCCCAAAGTGTTGGCATTACAGGCATGAGCCACCATGCCTGGCCTATCATAACTTTTTAAAAGCTCTTGGTCTACACTGCCAAGTTTATTTCTAAAAAGGTGTAGTATGTAAGAGAGTGAACATTTCACCAACCTCAGCCATGTATTACTGAGCCTTTTCACTTGTTTTTAATCTTCGCTAGTTTGACGTGGAAAATTGGTATCTTGTTTTGATTTGATTTAAATTTGTTTTAGAGGGTAAACTTTTCGCATGCTTATAAGCCATTTGTATTTCCTCCTTTTGTGAATTACTTGTTCCTCTCTTTTTCTATTGATGTTTTTATTTTTTTCTATCACTTTCAATGAGGTTTTGTTTTGTTTTGTTTTTTAAAGTACTTTGGCCGGGCGCGGTGGCTCACGCCTGTAATCCCAACACTCTGGGAGGCCAAGGCATGTGAATCACGAGGTCAGACCAGCCTGATCAACATGTTGAAATCCCATCTCTACTAAAAATACAAAAATTAGCCAGGCGTGGTGGTGCACACCTGTAATCCCAGCTACTCAGGAGGCTGAGGCAGGAGAATCGCTTGAACCCAGGAAGCGGAGGTTGCAGTGAGCAAAAAAAAAAAAAAAAAAAAGTACTTTAATCTTTTATTTACCATATTTGTTCCAAGTATTTTTCTCTTTTTGTTCTTTGCCTTTTATTATTCTTGAATTGACACTTTAAATATTTACATAGCCAAGTGTGCTGATTTTTAGTTTTGTGGTTTCTTCTATTGTGTTTTAAACTTAAAAAGTCCTTCCCATATGAAAATTCAATATATATTCATTTCCATCTTCTCCCTTTGATGGCTTGAGTTTTTTTACATTTAACATTTTAATCCATTTTGAATTTATTTTGGTGTGTGGTAAGAGATGGTTTTTTTAAACAACCCTTTTTTCCAAACAGAAAATTAGTTTTCCTGTTATTTCTTTCTCCATTGATTTGTATGCTTTATAAGATTATTTAAATTTTATATAAACTCAAGTCTGGTTCTGGCCTTTCATCTGTTGATCTGTGCATCCAAATTCCTGGAACTGTAACACTGTTATTACAGTAGCATATTCCACCTAAGATCCAGTAAAACTATTCTCAAGACATTACTTTTCTTTTTCAGAATTTTTTCAGCTATTCTTCCTGCTTATTCTTCAAGACAAAGTGTATAATTATTTTGTTAAATTTCAAAACCAATATCTTTAGGTGATTGGATAAGAGTTATTAGAAGGCAATGCTTAGAACTTATGTGATACGAATTATGAAACTTTGCTGTGAAATATATAAGAAAACAATACTTAAACCTACCTATGAGTTTTATGGAAGAAAATATTATACAATATCTCTTTCCCCAAAGCCATCAGTTTAGTGGAAATCTATTCATTTATTGAATATCCAGTGTGGCCAGAGCCTGGTCTAGGGTCTTTAGAAATTGCAGAAACCATGGATCATGCGTTTAAGATGAGAAAAATGCTTATTCTGTCAGGAATAACAGGCAGAGGCAATGATAGGGAGGGGCAACTGATCTGGGACCTTGTACTTCTTTATTGCTTGTGCCAAAATATGAAGGAAATATTTTATTGGGTGAATATTTGCATAAGCCCCTTGGAAGGGGCTCAATGAAGGATGGAGTAAAAACTGAAAGCCATGCTTGAGTAACAATACAGAGCTCCTGCTAAGATTTCCAGAGGAGATGGGCTTAGATAACTACCTGGTTTTTGTTCTGCCAAGTGGTATATATGCAAGGGGGAAGTGGCATGGGGATGTATGTGCAAAACTGGAATTTCCAGGAATAGTAGGGGCTGTGGAAGAGAAGAGAAAGAGTAGGCTGGGAACTGGAAAGGAAATTAGTCATAAGAACAGAGAGATATCTACTTGTGCATGTATTAAGTTTTATTTTACACACTGTACAGCACAAATCATCTTTTCCTTTGACCTGCTAAAAATTTTATGTTACAAACATAATCCATCACATAAACAGAATGACAAAAACCACGATTATCTCAATACATGCAGAAAAGTCCTCCGACAAAATTCAACACCCTTTCATGCTAAAAACTCTCAATAAACTAGGTATTGATAGGACATATCTCAAAATATTAAGAGCTATTTATGACAAACCCACAGCCAATGTCATAATGAAGGGGCAAAAACTGGAAGTATTCCCTTTGAAAATCAGCACAAGACAAGGATGCCCTCTGTCACCACTCCTATTCAACATAGGATTGGAAGTTCTGGCCAGGGCAATCAGGCAAGAGAAAGAAACAAAGGGTATTCACGTAGGAAAAGAGGAAGTCAAATTGTCTGTTTGCAGATGAAATGACTGTATATTTAGAAAACCCCATCATCTCAGCCCAAAATCTCCTCAAGCTGATAAGCAAATTCAGCAAAGTCTCAGGATAGAAAATCAATGTGCAAAAATCACAAGCATTCCTATACACCAATAGCAGACAAACAGACAGCCAAATCATGAGCGAGCTCCCATTCACAATTGCCACAAAGAGAATAAAATACCTAGGAATACAACTTCCAAGGGATGTGAAGGACCTCTTCAAGGAGAACTACAAACCACTGCTCAATGAAATAAAAAAGGACACAAACAAATGGAAAAACATTCCATGCTCATGGATAGGAAGAATCGGTATCGTGAAAATGGCCATACTGCCCCAAGTAATTTATAGATTCAATGCTATCCCCATCAAGCTATCATTGACTTTCTTCACAGAATTAGATAAAACTGCTTTAAATTTCATATGGAACCAAAAAAGAGCCCGCATAGCCAAGACAATCCTAAGCAAAAAGAACAAAACTGGAAGCATCAAGCTACCTGACTTCAAACTATACTACAAGTCCACAGTAACCAAAACAGCATGGTACTGCTACCAAAAGAGATACCTAGACCAATGGAACAGAAAAGAGGCCTCAGAAATAACACCACACATCTACAACCATCTTATCTTTAACAAACCTGACAAAAACAAGAAATGGGGAAAGGATTCCCTATTTAATAAATGGTGTTGGGAAAACTGGCTAGCCATATGCAGAAAGCTGAAACTGGATCCCTTCCTTACACCTTATACAAAAATTAATTCAAGATGGATTAAAGACTTACAAGTTAGACCTAAAACCATAAAAACCCTAGAAGAAAACCTAGGCAATACCATTCAGGACATAGGCATGGGCAAGGACTTCATGTCTAAAACACCAAAAGCAATCGCAACAGAAGCCAAAATTGACAAATGGGATCTAATTAAACTAAAGAGCTTCTGCACAGCAAAAGAAACTACCATCAGAGTGGACAGGCAACCTACAGAATGGGAGTAAAATTTTGCAATCTATCCTTCTGACAAGGGGTTAATATCCAGAATCTACAAAGAACTTCAACAAATTTACAAGAAAAAATCAAACAACCCCATCAAAATTGGGTAAAGGATATAAACAGACACTTCTCAAAAGAAGACATTTATGCAGCCAACAAACATGAAAAAATGCTCATCATCACTGGTCATTAGAGAAATGCAAATCAAAACCACAATGAGATACCATCTCTCATCAGTTAGAATGGCAATCATTAAAAAGTCAGGAAACAACAGATGCTGGAGGATATGGAGAAATAGGAACGTTTTTACACTGTTGGTGGGAGTTTAAATTAGTTCAACCATTGTGGAAGACAATATGGCAATTCCTCAAGGATCTAGAACTAGAAATACCAAATACCATTTGACCCAGCCATCCCATTACTGGGTATACACCCAAAGGATTATAAGTCATTCTACTATAAAGACTCATGCACACACGTTTATTGTGGCACTATTCACGATAGCAAAGACTTGGAACCAACCCAAAAGCCCATCAATGATAGACTGGATAAAGAATATGTGGCACATATATACCATGGAATACTATGCATTCATAAAAAAGGATGAGTTTATGTCCTTTGCAGGGACATGGATGAAGCTGGAAACCATTCTCAGCAAACTAACACAAGAACAGAAAACCAAACACTGCATGTTCTCACTCATAAACGGGAGCTGAACAATGAGAACACATGGACACGGGTGCGGGGGCCATCACACACCGGGACCTGTCAGGGGATTGGGGGTTGAGGGAGGGATAGCATTAGGAGAACTACCTAATGTAGATGATGGGTTGATAGCTGCAGCAAACCACCATGGTACATGTATACCTATGTAACAAAACTGCACTTTCTGCTCAAAATGTACCCCAGATCTTAAAGTATAATAAAACAAAAAAAGTTGTGTTACTAGCTAACATCACGGAGTTGCATCTGTTTTATGTTGTTTTGGCATCTCTAAGTGTTGGCTCTTGCTTGTAATGGGTGTGAGTGAGGAGAGGCCTGCTTCGGGGAATCCAGTCAAATCTGGGTTACACTGTACAGTGATGGAAGCCAAAATCCTTCCATCCTCTGGCCCCAATCTGGGTAATCTGGCTGCATTTAGCCACATATTTTAATTCCTCCTGCTTCCATCACTACTGTCTCCTCTGTGTCAGAAATGTCCTTAAAAGTCTCATTTCAGTTAGTGGAGCCTGATTGATTACCCTAGACTGGAGCAGTTTCTCTCTGGTCTGTGCTATATTGCCCTGTATTTCTATGGAAACTTTATTGCAGTCTGACTTGCATAGTCATTTTTATATACAGTGTATCCTCATCATTTATAGATTCTGTATGTGTAAATTTGTCTACTGGCTAGAATTTATTTGTAACCTCAAAAGCACTTTCCCAGTCATTTGAATACATGCACAGAGTCCCTGGATAAACACATTCCCAGGTGAAGCAGAACTTCTGCTCAGCCCTCATACTATAAACAAGTGTCCTTTTTGTGATATATTTAGTGCATTAGTTTTTAATATTTTTGTGCTCTTTATTGCCATTTTCACCATTTACAATGGTCCCAAGTCTAGTGCTGAAGTGCCATCTACTTCTTAAACATCACAAAGCTGTGATATGCCTTAGGAGAAAACTTATGTGTTAGGTAAGCTTTGTTCAGGCAGGAGTGCCTCTGGCTATGAGTTCAATGTTAATGAATCAGCCACGGAGACCAAATGGTTTGTCTTTACACCAAGACACAAATAAAGCAGGGTTATGTATTAATGTGTTGACGAAAATGTCGTGACCAGAAGCTTGCAGTGACCCTAACCTCGTGTTCGTGGTTTACAGAACATAAGCACCATGAATAACAACAATCTACTGCATGTCTAGCTGTGACCCCAACAAAAACCTCCTTAGCTGCAAGTTTCTGTGTTTTTTTCTGTTTATATCTTCTGAGTACCTGACTCAGTGTTGGGCACAGAGTAGAAGCTCAAAAAATATGTATAGAATAGAAAGAGTTGGAAAGAAATGAGATGTGTTGAGAGAGGTGGGATGGAATGGAACAACATTTATACAGATTCTTGGAGGCAGGGTACTCTTAGGAGCAATTACCCTAGTAGCACAGGGAGATACAAAAAAATAATGATAGTTAATATTATATTGAACATTTGTTATACACCTATATTTTGCTAAGCATTTGACATGCTTCAAATCATGTAACCCTCATTAAAGGGTAATATTGTTATCCTCATGCTACAGAAAGGTGAAACAACTTACCCAAGGTCACACAGCTGTCACATTTTTGAATGGGGCTCCAACCCAGATTTATCTGGCACCGGAGTCTGTGTTCTCAACTGCCTGGGCATAAGGTGAAAAGATGGGCTTGGTAGGGGTTATAAGCCATGAGTTTCATTAGAAAGATCTCTAGGAGAGAAAAAGGGGGCCTCTAATAGAAGCTAGTCTTAGTCACCGGCTCTCCTAGCCTGAAAAAGAAGACAGTGATGCACTTAAAGGTGACTTTTTCCTGGCTGGCAACAGCACTGTCTTTTGTTTGATTCCAGAAGCAGCTGGCAGAACTCATGTATTACTCATGCTGCAATCATAATTTACTGATGGGCTTCCATACTCTAGAGTTACTCAGCAGTCAGAGCTGTATCCAAGCCTGTTAGGCGATTACTACAGGCTTCTGAATGTGGCTGAGCTTCTGCAGCTGTTGTGTGTTTCTGGCTCCAGCTCCACATCTCTTGGCAGATGGTTTGTGTGAAAAGCACTGCTGACTCTGGGTGTGAGATACACAGGGCCGAGGCGGGTGGGGAGACCAGGCAACACAATGCAAGCCCATGCTGGTTGGGTCTTGAGTTTGTGGCTATGATGCAGTTATGAGAGAGGAAAAAGGGGACTTATAAATGAGCGACTGGGGACTGTTCCGAAGGTCACTCCTTCAAGCCCTTCTGCTGGAAGAGAATCAGCTGACACTAGGCCAATCTGCGAAGTCAACCCTAACCCTCCTATAGCCACTCTGGTGGGATAGACCTCATATGCACAGGTGTTGATGGTTAGATGGATTAAATATTAGTACTGTCACTAATTTTCTTTGTGTTTTCTAAATTTAAGCATTGTTCTAAATGGTTTATAAGAACTACCTGAATTACTTGCTCCTCCCTCCAAAAAAAACCCATGAGGTAGGTACTATCATGCTGCATATTTTACAGATGAAGCCGAGTGAGTTGCACCACAGTGCAAAGCTAGTAGTTGTTATAATAGGTTGAATTATTGGCCCCAACTCTCCATCCTTCCTTGCTTCCACATTTCTGCTTTGGCCTCGTTGTGGGCAGAGTGTATTTCCCGTCCCTTGACTTTGGGCACATCACTTTGGGTGTGACAACATGCTAGTTCTGAGCCAAGGCCTTAAGAAGCCCCACTTGTTTACTTGTTTCTACTTAGCTCTCTTGTGTTTCTAACATCACGAGTAAAACATGCCCTGAGTGATCCGCTGATCCAAGAAAGATGATATGTGCGCAGAGTCATCCAGGAAACCCACATACCTACAGCAAGGAGCAGAGCTGCCCCAGCTGCTGCAACCTGAAGCAGAGCTACTCAGCTGTGTCAAGCATAGATCAGCTGAACCTTGAATGAGCCAAAAACATGGGAGTAATTATAAATGTTGGTTTAGCCACTGAGTTTTGGGAGTAGTTTGTTACATGGCAACAACTAACTGATACAGTAGTAAGGCTGGGATGCAAGCTCAGCCTGTCTGACTACACTGTACGTGCATTAAGCTGTAATTTACATTGCCTTCCATGCTCTTTTAAAGTGAAGAAATTCGCCAGCTGCGGTGGCTCACGCCACCCACCCGGCACTTTGGGAGGCCAAGGAGGGTGGGTCACCTGAGGTCAGGAGTTCAAGACCAGCCTGACCAACTTGGCGAAACCCCATCTCTACTAAAAATACAAAAATTAGCCGGGTGTGGTGGTGTGCACCTGTAATCCCAATTACTCAGGAGGGTGAGGCAGGAGAATAGCTTGAACCTGAGAGGCGGAGGTTGCAGTGAGCCGAAATCATGCCATTGCACTTTTGCCTGGGTGACACAGTGAGACTATCTCAAAAGAATAAATAAAATGAAGAAATTTAACCTCTATTGAGTTGACTGAATCTGAACAAAATGCTGACTTCTCTGGGCCTCAGTGTTGTCATCTGTAAAATGAGCAGGTTAAACTGAACCAGAATTTTTCAAAATATAGAACATTAGCTCCACGTGATACTCAAAAACAATAAAAAAGATTATGCAAGTCTCCTAGAATTGGTATTCTGTTAAGAGATTTCAGAAACACTGGGCTAGATAATCTTTTATGTCTCTGACAGTTCCAGTATTCTGTTACTCCAGGTAACTGTGCGTGGCCTCTCCATGAAAATACCTACCCTCATTACAGTGTATTTATAAAACTAAAATATCGCCTAATTCAGGTGATTTAAGGGACCACATGCAGGGGAAGGAGAGTACCTGTGATGGCAGAGCTCTTTCCTTACTCCCTTTACACCCCCGCATATCCTTTTAGTACCTTGAGCCTATGACGGCAGAGAGAAGGACCTAACCCCTTTCAGCAGCTCACCCTATAATTAAGCTTACAGAAAGCACATGGAAATAGGAACCTACCAGGATGTGAGACATCTCCCAGAAAGGAATCTATGCTTACCCGCCCCATCTCCCTCCCTTCCCACTTTCTCCTAAGCCCAAGCCCTGCCCATTCACTAAAAATGCTTCGCAACAGCACCCAGCTGCTAATTCTCTAGTCTCTCTTCCTAGCCTGCTCTTTCCTCCAGTTTTTTTTTTTTTTTTTTTTTTTTTTGAGACAGAGTCTCGCTCTGTCACCCAGGCTGGAGTGCAGTGGCGCCATCTCGGCTCACTGCAACCTCTGCCTCCCAGGTTGAAGCGATTCTCCTGCCTCAGCCTCCCAGGTAGCTGGGACTACAGGCATATGCCACCACGCCTGGCTAATTTTTTGTATTTTTAGTAGAGACAGGGTTTCACTGTATTAGCCAGGATGGTCTCGATCTCCTGACCTCGTGATCTAGCTGCCGTGGCCTCCCAAAGTGCTGAGATTACAGGCGTGAGCCACTGTGCCCGGCCTCTTTCCTCCAATTTTTGATATAGTTGAAGCTCCTCCTTCCTTGGCACATCCTTTCAGGATCATCAGTCTCCTCTTTCTCTACCCGTATTACCTCTCGATGTAGGTTCCCAGACCTACCTGCTGTCCTCCTCTTATCTCCAGACACGTCTCACTACCTCACACCGCTTCATCCTATACCCTAAAGGCTCTTATAAGTGTCTCTGTCCCTGCCCACTTGGCCAATCTCAAACCAAATTACCTTTTCTCCAACCCATCTTCCCACTTTTAATCCCTGCCACCTTCTTCAATGAACCCATTGTGTAGCCGCAAAAACCACTGCATAAAAGTCTCTTAAACATTTTATCCCAAATTTTCATGCTTTCCCCTCTGCCTAGAATGCCCCTCCTCCTCACTTCCACTCCTGATCTTCCATAATCCTGTTCTCCCTTCTCAAATGTCACCCTCCTGGTGAGATCCCTGTTTTCTCTCAGAATTGCTCACTCCAGTTTCCATGTTTCCATCTGCCTTTATTAGGGCAGGGTTTCTCACCCACCAGACTGCAACTGCTTGAGTTCAAGTCCCTCTCTTAACTATCTTTGGAACTCCAATGCCTAGCAGATTCCTAGTACATAAAAAGGGTTCAGTAGATGCTAGCTGGAATGGATGAGTAGAACTGACCAACCATTTCTCTACTGACGGGCATTGCCTGCTCGTTAGCTGGGCCTTTTGTGAGGAAGCCCACTGTGCCCAAGGTCTTGTCTATAATTTTATTAACAAATACCCACTTTCCAGGTTTCCTGGGAGAAACAAAATTAGAATCCGTGACGGTGCTTTGAGACAGGTCGATCACTGTGAAACTCTGTTTCACTTTGTTTATGTCACTAGGATAGCATTAATTACACGCCCAAAATGCTTTTGTTATTTCTTTGGATACACATGCACATACACAGTTCTAAAAAGGACAGGATTCGAGTGGCTAACTCATCTGGTTATAGCAGTGTCTCTCAAATTGCATTCATTCATGGATCACTTTTGTGATTCTTACTGAGTCTACATATCACCTGTGCAATTTTTCTATCAATCATTATATTTAAATTAACTTTTTTTCTTATCCTCATATTAACGAGGACTAATCATGAAATCACATGACTGATATGATACATATGCACACATATATACATATATCTATAAACAGATGCAAATAAATGTTTATATATGTAAATAATTTTGCATATTGCATATAATATGGAAAATATATTTATACATATAAAAATACATATGTATACAAATAAAATATGTATATAAATTTATAAAATATATTTATAAAATAAAAAAAAAATTTATTTATGAAATATATATACAAATCATCTTGCAGGCCAGCAGTAATATATACAACACACTTAAGGTAACCCTAACTCAGAACATTTAATACAAAGCAAAGCTATTTTTTTTATTTATTTATTTTGAGACAGAGTTTCACTCTTGTCGCCCAGGCTGAAGTGCAATGGCACGATCTCAGCTCACTGCAACCTCTGCCTCCCGGGTTAAGTGATTCTTCTGCCTCAGCCTCCCAAGTAGCTGGGACTACAAGTGTGCACCACCACGCCTGGCTAATTTTTTTTTTGTATTTTTAGTAGAGGCGGGGTTTCGCCATGTTGGTCAGGCTGGTCTTGAACTCCTGACCTCAGGTGATTCGCTGGCCTCAGCCTCCCAAAGTGCTGGGATTACAGGCGTGAGCCACAGCACCCAGCCAGCAAAGCTATTTATTAAAGCATTTCTTCGTCAGCTAGTACATCAAGTCAGGTACTGGAAATACTGAAATGCCAAACACAGCTCATAGTCCAGCGGGCAAAACCAACCAGTAAACTGTACATTGTAATTAAATTTTCTAAGTATTATGACAAAGGCAAGTACCAAGGTGCCTGTATCTGAAACCTCTTAGGCACCAGTGCAAACCCTCCTCATCCCAGCTTTTGCCCTGGCTGCTCCTGCAAGGGCCACTTCTGATCCTTGAGCAGGTGCAGTCTCAAAGTAGCTCACCTAGAGCCCAGTCGAGTATATCTTACTTCCTCACCTATGGTAACCTGCTAGGTTCTTAGGTCTACATAACCCTTGAACAAAGGGAATAGCAATAGATGAATGCCTCCCCTTTTCATTTGCGGATGAAGTTCTAAGTCTCATTTCATAAGGCTCCTCAGAAAGTCTGGAGCACCAGGCTTCTGTCGCTGCAGCCAGCTTGACAATGCATCCTTGTAGAGTTTCATTCCACTAGTCCCTCACTCTTGCTTCCTGGGATCATTATCCCACATAATCCACCTGCACATATGCCTTGGCCTTCAGGCCATGTTTTCGCCTCAGGCTAAGGCAGGGCCCTAATCCATGCGAGGAGGTTAAAGAAGACTTCTTAGAAGATATAACACCTGAGCTAAACCTCTAATCATAAATAAGTAAAGCAGGTGAAGAAGAGGTGACAAGGGCATGCTAGAAAGAGAAACCAGCATACACAAAGGCATAAATGCTTGAACATGAATGTTTGGAAACTGCAAAGAGTCTGGTATGACTTGAGTACACTTCCATCATAGTATGTGGGACTGAGAACCACGAGAGGCTGGTGAGGCAGGCAAAGACTGTCTCCTGAAAAGCTGCTGACCACAAGCAATCACCACTGCCACCACCGTCTTCTTCGATTCTGAAGTGGTAGCAATGATTAATAAAATAGATGGATGTTTAAATCAACCCCAGAAGATTAGAACATCCTTTCCAGATGCAAGGGGTATTGGACACAAAGTAGAATGGAGACTAAAGGAAGGTGGAATTAGAGCAAATATGTGCTGAAATGGGGGGAGAGCTATTTCTTTCTCTCACACGTGTGCATCCACACCCACATGCACACACACACACGCATGTGCACACAGACACCAGGATGGGTCCAAAAATGCAACAAGCTTAGTCACAAGTGAGGCAGATTCCACTAGAAGTAAAAAAATTGTCAAGAAATAGGAATCAATAGGTTTGGGATAAATGAGGTGGGAACCTTCAAATGACAGATCATCCTAGAGCCCGTGATCAGTCACGACCCAGAAATGAGAGGAAACTGGGGGCTGGCAGGAAAAAGGTTGGGAGCCCAATGTTGCCAGCTCGTTGAGCAACAGAGAGGAATCTCCCCACCCGACTCTCCACCCGACTCTCCACATTTTTAGCAGAAGCCCAAGAACCCACAGGTGTAAGCCTCTCTCACCTTGTCCCCACTATAAGGCCAGACTTAGGACACCAAGGGAAGCCAGGGAGCCTCATCTGCATGGAATGTGGGTTGCCTGCCCTCGTGGATAAAAATGTGCTTTGAAAGGAGTAACATAAGGTAACATATGAGACACCAGTTTCATTTATAACCAAATCTTAATAACATCTGATTTTTATCGAGTGCTAACTATGAGCCGGCACTGTTCTAAGTATTTTTAAGTTATTTTTTTTAAAAGGTCTTCCCCAAAACCACATGAAGAAATGCTGTTACCTTCATTTTCTAGGAACTAACCTGAGGTGACCATGAAACACTAGTTCGAAGGCAGCACAGTGAGGTGTTTTAAAGAGCCCAGGATTCGGGTTCAGGTCATTTTTCAGTGTAACTCTTGTCTCCATCATTTCCTACTGAGACATGTGGTCAGTCAGGATGATTCACTTCCAAGGGATAGAAGCTAACTCAAAATAGCTTAAACAAATAAAAGAAACTAGCTCACAGAACTGAAAGAGGCAGGGCTGCGTGTTTGAAAATCCTTGGACCCACGTCTCAAATGCTATCAGAGTGCCTGTCTTGGTCCATCTTTTGTTATTGGCCTCATTCTCTCGTACTAAAGACTAGCTTCCTTCAAGTGGTCAGCGAAGTTGGTAGCTCCAGGGATACAGTGTCCTCTATGAAGAAAGAGAGGCTTTTGCTTTCAAAGTGCTCATAAATTCCCAGGGAAAGAGTCTAACTGGCCCTGTTGGGTTGTGCATCTTCTGTTTGAACCAACTGCTGTTGTTAGTTGGCTGGGACATTCTGTGACCAGTGATTGGCAGACCCATCAGAATCACCTAGAGGGAAAGCACGGCAGTTCTTGAAAGTTTGAAATGTTAGGCATCCAAAATAATGGATGGCCGCCATTTTCCGGTTTGTTGTTGTTAAGATGAGGTCTCACTATGTCACTCAGGCTGGAATGCAGCGGCATGATCACGACATTCATGCAGCCTAAAACCCCCAGGCTAAAGCGATCCATCTATCTCAGCCTCCCGGGTTGCTGGGACCACAGGTGTGTGCCACCATACCCAGCCAATATTTGTATTATTTGTAGAGATGGGTCTCCCTATATTGCCCAGGATGGTCTCGAACTCCTTGGCTCAAGCAATCTGCTTGCTTTGGCCTCCCAAAGTGCTGGGATTACAAGCACGAGCCACCACACCTGGCTGGTCACTTACATTTTAACCTTGGACATGTCACTTAACCTTTGTGAGCCTTGGTTTCCCTGTCTATTAAAAAAATAATAATACCTATAGTGTAAAGTTGTGAAATATTAAAAATCATATTTAACACTTGGCACATAAAGGCATTCAACCTAGGGTAGTCATTTTTGTTATTACTGGTACTCTTATTGTTTTGTGGTTGTTTCTGACACAGGGATCAGAATTTGAAGCCCATCCCAGATTCCCAGATGTCTAAAGCACTCCTGTCCCCAGGGTGGAGTCCCCTTTGGCTCTGCAGCCAGACGCCTTGCACAACCCAGGCCCTGTGTGCCAAGGTTAAGCTGGTTCACCATCTGACGGCCGCAGAGCAGTGAGTGCCTCCCCAGCCCCAGCAATGTCAATACTGCCTTCCTGACTCCGCCTATTGTATCTGGAGGAAAGTGGCCGAGCATTGTCTTCCAGTGCTCCCCCCAGGAAGCATGATATCACCCTTTAACAAAAGCGGGAAAGCTGACAGATCTGCTGAGATGGGTGTGACCAGCACATACACCTCACTGGTCAAGCCCTGGGCAAGGGGCTGTGACAAGCAGAGAGCAAATGACAGCCGCCCACGATGCCCTTCAAACCCCACGCCTGACTGGCTTCTTTGGCTAGTCCAAATTTTCTCCCTCTCTTTGTCACACTCATACCACATTAGACATGAAACCACCAAGCAATGGGTATGTACTTCCTCTAATATGCAGATGTGTTGAAAAGTGTCAGGACTCTGCATCTGGCACATCCACGTCTTCACACCTGCTCCTGCAGCCTTTGGGAAGGAGCAGGAGAGAAGAATGATCAGATTCCTGAAGGCACACAAGGGGACAATGGGGGTGGGGCTGGGGGAAGAGGTCACAGCTAGATCTAAAACTCATTCTGCAGGTGTAACACGAGTTAAGGAATCGTCTGGCCAGATGGGTAAGAATAGGGTTATCAGTTCAAAATTCCAAAAATAAGGGAGGCAACTTTAGACATTCCCTTTCCTGAAAGCCAGGAGTGAAGCCAGCTGCTCTCTTCCAGCTCTGGTTTGGTGATGCTGCCGGTGCAGCTGGCTCTCTGTAAAATAACACACCTGCAGGCTGGTGCTCCAGTGTCAGGCCCGGAGGCTGTTACTCTGCTGCCCCATCTTACTGTCTTCTTAAAATTCTCTTTCCGGCCGGGCGCAGTGGCTCACGCCTGTAATCCCAGCATTTTGGGAGGCCGAGGCAGGCGGATCACTAGGTCAGGAGATCGAGACCATCCTGGCTAACACAGTGAAACCACGTCTCTACTAAAAATTAAAAAAAAAAATTAGCTGGGCGTGGTGGCAGGCGCCTGTAGTCCCAGCTACTCGGGAGGCTGAGGCAGGAGAATGGTGTGAACCTGGGAAGCGGAGCTTGCAGTGAGCCGAGATCGCACCACTGCACTCCAGCCTGGGGGACTGAGCGAGACTCCGACTCAAAAAAAAAAAAAAAAAAAATTTCTTTCCATGGCTGCTACAGCAGCAATTCTCTAAAGTCCCAGGATAGGAATGTCATTGGTTTTGCTTCTCCTGTCAGCTCCTTACCTGTTTCTTCTTCATCAAATTTTTGGGTATCTGCTCTTTCTCGTTCCTTCATTTCAATCTTGAAATATAGCCATGCCCGTGGCTTCACTTACCATATACCAAAGATTTCTACATCTCAATCTCTTGCCCAATCCCCTTCCTCTGAGCTTCAGATGTGGGCAGCCAAATTTTGATAAATATCTTCCTTTATGGCCAGGTGCGGTGGCTCACGCCTGTAATCCCAGCACTTTGGGAGGCCAAGGCAGGTGGATCATGAGGTCAGGAGTTCAAGACATGGCCAACGTGGTGAAGCCCCGTCTCTACTAAAAGTACAAAAATTAGCCGGGTGTGGTGGCAGGTGCCTATAATCCCAGTTATTCAGGAGGCTGAGGTGGGAGAATCACTTGAACCGGGGAGGTGGAGCTTGCAGCGAGCCAAGATCGTGCCACTGCACTCCAGCCTGGGCGACACAGCAAGACTCAGTCTCAAAAAAAAAAACTTCCTTTACATGTAGCCTCAAAATCAACATGAACAAAATAATTATTTGCCTTATCCCAGCCCACCTCCATTCAGCACACTGAATGGCACCACCATTATCCAAATCAGAATGCTGGAGCAATGACTTATTCTCCTCCCTCCCTCTCAACCTTCCATATACAACCAATCACTAACTCCTGCAGTTTCACCTCCTAAATCTCTCTCAAGCCCCCTGTTATCCTCACAGTCCTCTTGCCTGGAATGTTAGGAAGCCAACTTGGTCCCAGCCTATGGTCTCTACCATGTTAATCCATCCTGAAAACTATTATTAGAGTGAATTTTTCAAGACATAAATCTGATATATGACATGATAGAACAAACACTCTGCTAAATTTCAACATGTACAGAATGAGGGACAACCTACTTAAAATGGCCTGTGAGGCCCTTCTTGATCTGACCCCAACTTTAATTCTCTACCTTCATCCTACATTACAGCTTCACTCAGCTTCCTTAAGCCTGCCCTGCTATTTTATACACACCCCCTTTGTATAGGTTGCTCCCTCTATGTCCTTTCTTCCCTTTTCCTTTTCATCTTGGTTTCAAAATCATTTGGCTATGAGCAAGTTATAACTATAACTGGACCTGACTTTTGGCAATATTCACAACTATTTAGGAGTTCTTGCAAAGACAGAAAAATCAACCTACAAGTTGTTTTCAAAATACTACTCATTTTCTTTAGTTGACATTCCACGTTTTTAGACATTTAATTAAATATTTATGTTCAATTTAGTTTCGTTTGTTTGTTTGTTGTTTTTTTTGAGACAATGTCTCGCTCTGTTGCCTAGGCTGGAGGGCAGTGGTATGATCATGGCTCACTGCAGCCTTGACCTCCCAGGCTCCAGCAATCCTCCCACTTCAGCCACCCGAGTAGCTGGGACTACATGCACGTGCCACCATGCCAGGCTAATTTTTGTATTTTTTGTAGAGATGGGGTTTTGCCACGTTGCCCAGGCTGATCTGAAACTCCTGGGCTCAAGCGATTTGTCTGCCTCAGTCTCCCAAAATGCTAGGATTACAGGTGTGAGCCACTGCACCAGACCTTTATGCTCAATTCAGATATTGCTATTTCATTTTGTATCATTGGACCCAATAAAAACTTTTACAGCCCTTGAAAAGCTCAGATTTTGTAAATACCTTTATTTGCTGTAATATCTCTATTAAATCATTTATCACAACATTTTACAATTCATCCGCCTATATTCATTTTTCCCACTAAAATGTGAGCTTAGCAAAGGGAAAAAATTATTTATCCTTATTTATATTCCTAGTTTCCAGGACAGTACATGGCTCAAAGGAAACCCTCAATAAGTCTTTGTTTATTGAAAGGATAGATGAGTGAATGAATGAATGAATGATTGGCACACAGTAACTCAATAAATATCTATTGAATAGAAAATACGACTATGTTATAGGTAATATTCAACAATCATACAATACCTCATCTTAAGTAAGGCCCTGGTTAGAACCACTTTTATGAGTATATCTTTTATGTTTCACACCTAACAGAAGAAACTTTCTTTCAACTTTATTTACATCAAACATTTAATATAAGCTAAACTTTTAAGATGAGAGTGAATATCATTTACAAGATATATAAAATTGATTATCAGATTGGTGCAAAAGTAACTGCAGTTTTTACCACTACTTTTCACCAACCTAATATTAAATTTTTTTTTATTTTTTTTTGAGACGGAGTCTCACTCTGTCATGCAGGCTCGAGTGCAGTGGCATAATCTCGGCTCACTGCAACCTCTGCCTCCCTGGTTTAAGAGATTTTCCTGCCTCAACCTTCCGAGTAGCTGGGATTACAGGCACATGCCACCATGCCCAGCTAACTTTTGTATTTTTAGTAGAGGCAAGGTTTCACCATGTTGGTCAGGCTGGTCTCGGACTCCTGATCTCGTGATCTGCCCACCTTGGCCTCCCAAAGTGCTGGGATTACAGGCATCAGCCAACGTGCCTGGCCCAATGTAATATTATTATTTCGATGTTACTGAGATCCTTTCTACAATGTTCTCTTTTCCTTTCAGCTCCGCTGTGAAGTACCAACATTTTCTTACTGTGACCATAAAACTCCATTCAACAGAAATTACTAAACATTAAATACATGTACTAATGAGAATAGAAAAGAAATAATATCTGTTGTGAGAGATTTAGAGGCTAATTGGGCTAAATCTGGCTGCCCAAAGCTCAAAGACACAATCTGCATGGTAAAGGAGCCTAAACTTAGGGGAAGAACATCAGGAGGAAGAGTTGGCCTGGGCAAATTGAGTTGAATTGTGTTTGCAGAGTAGAGATGAAAGATGCCATTTCTAAATGGATGGAACAGCATGAACAAGAGCCAAGAGGAAAGAATGTGTAGATTGTGGAGATGGGCCTGGTTGAAGCAGACAAGATACAAACAGGGATAAATGGATAAGTGAGGGGAGGGTAGATGGGTAGTTGGCAAAGTGTTTGGGTTTATTCAGTTGGAATTGGCCAGCACAAAGTTTGAGAGACAGGATTATACTGAGGTTTTGTAGAAAGAGACAGCATCTATGAATATTAAGTGGTTCTCCTACATCCTGGGGCAGATTAGATCAGTCTTGACTAGCACAGTGGTTCTCATAGCAACACTTCTCTTTTGATTATACTAGCTTCATTATTTATTTTATTTTATTTTATTTTATTGAGACGGAGTCTCACTCTGTCACCAGGCTGGAGTACAATGGCGTGATCTCAGCTCACTGCAACCTCTGCCTCCTGGGTTTAAGCGATCCTCCTGTCTAAGCCTCCCGAGTAGCTAGGACTACGGGCACACACCACCACACCTTGCTAATTTTTGTATTTTAGTAGAGATGGGGTTTCACCATGTTGGCTAGGATGGTCTTGATCTCTTGACCTCATGATCCACCTGCCTGGGCCTCCCAAAGTGCTGTATTACAGGTGTGAGCCACAGCACCAGGCCCCAAGCTTCATTTATTAAGAGAGTTCTCACTGGCTAAGCATTTCACAGGCATTATCACATTTGATTCTCATCACAACCCTGGAAAATGGGTATTTCATCCATAAAAGATGAGAAAAATGTGGCTTAGAGAAATTAAATAACTTGCTTATGGTTATCCAAGTTGGGCTTTGACTTTGTAATCCATGTTTCCTCCTTCAGTTTGCCTGCTATGTTCGCTGTTAAATTTCTCAGGTCTTCAGTGCTTCATGGATGTGCTCTTAGCAGTAGATTTCAGTGAAGTGATTACCATTTCTGATTTGGACTTCATATTTCTGCTAATACAACATATGACAGCTTATGCAGTACCTTTTTAGCAAGCAGAGCCTATGTTGTCTTCCATGACTTTTGTGTATCCCCAAAACCTAGGTGTCATTCACAAGAACTTTCAACAAACCAGGTCTCTCCCACATTAAATATACATAACTTATTTCTTGAACCCAAACACAGAACCAGACATTTACCTATTTTGAAATGGTATCTTTTTGTTTTGGTTTTCCACCCTTCCAGCCTAGAACAATCTATTTAAATCCTGATTCTGTGAGCTCACCAGTAAGCCATCTACAGAGAATAAGCAGGTGATACAATCACACAGATATCCTTTGGGGAGATAGAGGCTCAGGAGGCAAACTGATAATTTCAGAAGAATTTAGAGCCCACCCACCTAAATTCCCCAGAGAACATCACATAGTCTTTTGAGATGAACTTAGAAGACTCCTTCCCTCCTGGAGAGACGCCTTGGAAGAACTAGACTCTTCCAGGAAGCTCTCCCAGGGCAGGGCTGAAAGGGAAATGCTGAGACCTAACAAACAATAAAGACAATGCTTGGAAGGGAGCATCTGTGAAAAAAGCAAGCTCCTCCCTCTGAGAATAATTCCAAAGGGTGTCTCCGATCCCAGCTTTCAGACCTCCACCCTTGATTACTCAGACTTGACACTAGCCTTCTGAGACCAGCCCTAACAAGGGGGTTTCATCTGGGAGCACTTCCCTGACCTTACAACTGTTTCCTCTGCCACCCCAGACAAGATGTCTGCTATCTCTGAATCCAGTTGTTATTTAAAATGTCAAGTGACAAGGGCGGGCGTGGTGGCTCATGCCTGTAATCCCAGCACTTTGGGAGGCCGAGGCGGGCGGATCACTTGGGGTCAGGAGTTCGAGACCAGCCTGGCCAACATGGTGAAACCCCGTCTCTACTAAAAATACAACAAATTAGCCAGGCATGGTGGCGCACGCCTGTAGTCCCAGCTACTCGAGAGGCTGAGGCACAGAATCACGTGAACCTGGGAGGCGGAGGTTGCAGTGATCTGAGATCACTCTACTACATTCTAGTCTGGGTGACAGAGCGAGACTCCATCTCAAAAAAAAAAAAAAAAAAGTCAAGTGACACAGTAAAGAGGTATGAAAGCATGAGACTAGAGACTTCCTATTAGATCATTGTTGATCACGTAGAAGATACTATGATAAATCACAGTGATTTTTTTGTTAGTTTTCTACATATACAACTTTTTAAAGAGAACAGCCTGGTTTTATGAGGAAGAGTAGGGAAAAGCTAATATAATAGAACCTGTTTGAAAGCTGAAGTTAGCAATGATTCTCAATTCAGAAAAGGAAAGCAACAGAATCTAGGAGTATTTGTAAGGAGCTTCTGAGAGCTACACATCCCCTCCAGCCCTCTTATGGGTAAACAACTCTGTCATCCAGAGCCACCTTCACTAAAAAAAAGTGGCTTTTTTTTTTTTTCAGTCTGTGGGTTCAGAAAAAAGAAACAAGAAACAACCCACTGGACTAGAGAGATAAACCTTTAAGCCATAAGCCCCTTGCTCCACTGCTTTAGTCTACCAGGAGTTTGACTAGAGGAACGGGCTCCTATGGCTGTGGACATTATCTAGCTGGATTCTTGTTGCAATTATCAAGCCTTGAGCAGTCATGCTCATGGAGGCTTAGACTAGGAATGCAAGCTACGATCAAGACAACAGACCTACCTCAGAAACTAACCTTGCTAGTGTCACCCTTCCTAACAAGAACATGAACCTACTTCCTCTCCTTGGTCCTCTGCCTTTTAAAGGCAGTGCTGTTTTTTCCAGGGATCTGAGGTCTAGACATGGAACAAGTATTTTGGCTACATACCTTTTTGTTTGATTTTATGACAATTCTTCTAAGCCTGTATTGCAAAGTGCTATAACACAGTTGCTTTAGGAGTAAAAAAAGTGAATGAAAACAGTTGTGTGTGTATTAACCTACAAAGTACCTCAGAGAAACTATAGACACCTGGGCTTCACATCACTATAATCCCTGGTATAGAGTAAGTTCCAGATTTCATGTCACTGGTAAATAATGGCACTCAGAAAAAAAAAAATCAAAAATGGAATCATGATAATTATTTGAAGTACATATTATTGGAGAAGTCAACATTATTTAAACAATTTCCACATAAATACTGAAGCCACCTAAAATCTTTTAATTTTTAGCAACTTGTGTTACACATTCTTAAAGAATATTATTAAATTCTCAAAATATTGGTTGTTGAGAGCTATAAAACAAACTGTATTCAACTCAGTTATTTCATTGGATTTGTTTTTTGAATATTTAATAAAATAGTTCAAACACCTAGAAAATATAGCAGATACTTATGTATACTCGAATCAAATTATATTAATATGCCCTATATCCATGAAGTTTAGTGAATTTTCCCAAATTCATCTCCAATATCAATTCGATTTTCGTTATTAAAATTAGAATGTTTTCAAACCGAAGGGGAGAGACTGATGGCAATGATAAATGTATTTGTGATATGTAGTTCAGGTTTGGATACTGCCTTCTACCTATGTCACATAGGCTGAGTGAGCTACAGAGGCACACCACTATCTGGAGTATCTAAGCAATAAACACGCTGAACCCAACACACTGGCCAACCACTCCTTCACTCTACAACAGGCTTCATATACTCTCCTGTGTTAAAGATTTTGGTAACTGCCTAAATTTTTGTTTCATTGGGCCAGTAAACCCTTTATGAATTACTACATGGCAAACATTTTTTAAAATAAAACAAAAATTCTAATAGCCCCAATCTCCCTGACCCTAACTACAAGAAAAAAAAAAAAGCCTACAATTTCATTGCTTTGCTTAAAATAGGATGTAGATATAAAATCTTTTTACAGAAAAGCATCTTTGTTCCCTTTTAACAGTGACAATCTATACACTGCCTTAATTGGGCCCCTGTATTTCTCAGCATGAATTTCATTTTTTACTGAAGATTTTCTTTAAAGCAGGTAAAACCGGTTTGTTCTTTAAAAAAAAAATCAATAAGAAAAACACTCCAGAATGAGGAGCAGGAAAATAATGCATGATAGTAAGGGGATCTCTTCAAATAAGATGATTTAATCGGTCCTCAAAGAGTTTCTAACACAGGGGCCAATCACCCAGAAGACAAACTAGCAAAATCAGTTCATGCCACAGAGCCTTTGCATTTCAATCCTTCCACACATATTGACTGGAGACTCACAGAGAAATGGTGCCTTTGCTACAGCCACCCCTTGTTCATCAGCACTGATGAGATTTGGGGAGAGCACCCAGAAATCACTAACTCTGTTTTTTAAAATACTAAATTAAAAAAAATAAAGCCAAACCTTACCAGAAAGGAGCAAGCTGACTCCACAGAGAACTAAGCTGGCTAAAGAGTCCATGCTTCCCCAAATCTCTCCATCCAGTTTCCACAAATGTGCATGAGGTCCCAAGGATCCTTTCAAAAACCCAGCGGTTTGTGACTTTCCATTAGCATCGTCCTACTACGTCTTGTTTACAAGTTAGAGGCAAGAAGGAACAGCACAGAAGCAGGCTGTAACAGTCTCATTTCTGTCTGAGCACAGGGAGTTTTAAGTTCCTTTTTCCTGTTTCCTTTGTAGATTAGGATGGGAAAGGCTGTATCTTAAAGGCATTTGGTATCAGCAGGGCTGGGGGCACTCAAGCCCTATCCATCTCGCAATTCATCAAAACACTTATCTGTTGCTGTTGCTTCTGCTGCTGCTTTTGCTGCTGCTGTAGGGGCAGAGGAATTTTTGTTGGAAGTGTGGGTCCCGGTCAGCATTTTCAGAAACAATAGGGGTATCCTCTCATAGGCGGGAAACTGAGAATAACAAGCCCTCCACCTATGTATGGTATGCGATGATGACCAATCCTTCTCAGACTTCTAACAGCTCTCCCGGGGCTACTGGGATCTCTGACAGAAGGAGCTTTTGGGTGTGGGAAGCCGTTTTGGCTTTTGTTTTCTCATTTTAACCCACATGGTTTGAATTGGGAGAAGAAGGTTTCCGTGATGAGAAAATACAACCTGAAAAGCAATTAATTTCAGTGAGCACCGGTGAGGTCAATGCTCAATGTAGCCCCAAGAGACCAGAGTCCAAAATTGTTAGCCTGTTTTCTTTCACACAGATGGCCTGTTGGTTGGCCATTAGCCCAAAGATACCCATGTTGCCGGCTATAGCTTTAATTTTCATTAACAATTCATCTAAAGGTGATCAAATTTCTTGAAGAAGTTGGCATAGAAGGATTTTGGTAATGAGAAAGATTTGGTAGTCATTGAGCAATGGTGTTTCAGAAGCAAATTATATATAACATTTAAAAACTAATCTGTGTAAAAACACAAACATACAGGATTAGATTGGGATAAAAATGGTGCTCATGAGAGCAAAGAGAGTTCATGGACCAAAATGAAAATAGCCATGGAATGTACAATATCTAGAATGAGGTCAGAGACCCTACACTTATCCAGATAATTACTCCACAATATGAATTATGACATTAGATTAGAGAGTATACACTTTGCTCATCATCGACCTTCATGCCTGAGGAAATCATTATACTCCTCCTTTTCCTACCCACCAGAGGAAAAGGCAGATGCAGCTAGTCTTGACTAATTTCTGTCCCAGGTTTTATCACATCGATGATGATCTTAAGAACCAATTAATGTTTCCAGTTTGCAGGTGTGAAAAAGCCCAGGTTCTGTCTGCAAACAGAACTGGGTTCAAATACTGGCTCAGCCACATGTGTAGCTGAGAAAAGTTACTTAGTCTTTTTGAGCCTCAGTTTCAACAGCTGTGAAATGGCAAAAATATCTCCTTCCCAGGTGTTTTGAGAGGAATAAATGAGGTTTAAAAATATAAAACCATTTGGTACTATGCCTAGTTCTTTGAAGGTTCTCATTAAATGTTAATAAGTTTATTTTCTTTCATCTTTCCATTCAGTCTCAATTTAAATTCCAAGAGCTTCTACTAAAAAGCTATTTTCTATTCCTATGAGATGACTTTAAATTTGTCATCACGAAAAAAAAAAACAAAAACAGTGGGCCTGGCACAGTGGCTCACGCCTATAATCCCAGCACTTTGGGAGTGGATCACCTGAGGTCAGGAGTTTGAGACCAGCCTGGCCAACATGGCAAAACCCCATCTCTACTAAAAATACAAAATTTAGCTGTGCTTGCTGGCGTGCACCTGTAACCCCAGCTACTCTGGAGGCTGAGGCAGGAGAATTGTTTGAACCTGGGAGGCAGAGGTTGCAGTGAGCCGAGATCGTGCCACTGCACTCCAGCCTGGGTGACAGAGCAAGACTCTGTCTAAAAAAAAAAAAAAAAAAAAGAAAAAAAAGAAAGAAAAATGAAGTTCCACACAGGCTAAGTTACTTGCTCTGCTGTGAGTAGCAGAGGTAATAATATCTGAATCCTGAGCTCTGGACCTCCAATTTTTCCCTTGTTTCATAGTTGAAAAGTAGATCAAGAGTAATGTAGGACATCACAAACACCAGCAGGGTACACCTAGACCTTACAGAAGTATTTGAAATGAAACTTTGACAGATAAGAATAGTTTGGTGACACTGAGAAGTGCGGTCAGTTCTTAGTGTGCTTCTGAAATAACTAATGTCAGGATCGGTGGGTGCTGTATTAATTCACTTCAGGAAAATGAAAGGGGCCTCCTCATGAGTCAAGCTCATTCCATTTAATTTGATTTTTCCAGACATACCTACAGTAAAAGCATAAAGAAAACCAAACCAAACTAAACAAACAAACAAGGCTCTTGGCTGATTCTTCATTTTCTATTTCCTGCTTTTTGCACTCAATACATGAAAAACACTATAGACAACATTAAAAGTCTTTGAGACTAATTAACAAAGGTATCAATAGATAACAAAACGGTTTTTCTGAAAGAGGTGGAAAATAACTTACATAATACTACTATACACTGGTATCACATGTCAAGAGGTCAACATCACAAACACAAAGCAAAAGCCTTGTATGCATACCCTTTGGCCCAGAAAATCCAGTTTTTTTTTTTTTTGAAATAGAGTCTCACTCTGTCGCCCAGGCTGGAGTGCAGTGGCACTATCTCGGCTCACTGCAACGTCCGCCTCCTGGGTTCAAGCGATTCTCCTGCCTCAGCCTCCTGAGTAGCTGGAATTACAGGCGTGCACCACCACACCCGGCTAATTTTTATACTTTTTAGTAGAGATGGGGTTTCACCATATTGGCCAGGATGGTCTTGAACTCCTAACCTCATGATCCACCCCCCCCCCCCCTTGGCCTCCCAAAGTGCTGGGATTACAGGTGTAAGCCACTGCGCCCCACCAGAAAATCCATTTTTATGATATACACCAAGCCAAAATCAAATATGTGCCCCCAAATTTGTGTATAAGGACATTATAGAAGCATAGTTGATAATAATCAAAGCCTAGAAATAATCAAAATGGTCAACAAAAATGGATTATTTATTAAAAATCATGGTATACAATGAAGTTCCAGACAAGTGTTCAAATACTATGGTGAAATCAGATTGACATAAAAAGATGTGAAAATGTTTATGGTATACTGTTGATTGGGAAAAAAACACAATTTAAACAGAATGAAATTTATACACACTGAAATACACACCACAGATATACAACAAATAAATATCAAAGCGTTGAAAGTGACTATTTCTGAGTTGTTGGAAAACATAATTTTTATTTTCTTTTTTATACTTTTCTATAATTTTAACACTTTTAGAAATAACGAACATATATGTAAAAATGAAGAAGACTGAGGGGACGTCCTTGAGAAAGTTGACCCAGGGCAATAGGATGTATACTTTAAAACATCCACTGGCAAATAAGAAACAGAATCCAGGCTACCATATGACCCAGCAATCCCACTGCTGGGTATACACACCAAAGAAAGGAAATAAGTACATCAAAAATACATTTACACTCCCATATTTGCTGCACCACTGTTTACAATACCTAAGATATGGAAGCAACGTAAGTGTCCATCAATAGATGAATGGATAAAGAAAATGTGGAACATCTACACAGCAGAGTACTATTCGGCCATAAAAAAGAATAACATCCTGTCATTTGCAACAACATGGATGGAACTGGAGGTCATTATGTTAAGTGAAATAAGCCAGACACAGAAAGACAAACATCACATGTTCTCATTTATTTGTGGGATCTAAAAATCAAAACAATTGAACTCAGGGAGATGGAGAGTAGAAGATGGTTACCAGAGACTGAGAAGTGTTGTGGGAGGGTGGGGGAGGTGGTGAGGATGGTTAATGGGGACAAAAAAAGCTACTTAGAAATAATGAATAACACCTACTATTTGATAGCACAACGGGGTGACTATAGGCAATAATGACTTCATTGTATATTTTAAAATAATGTAATTGCATTGCTCATGACACAAAGGATAAATGCTCGAAGGGATGGATACCACCACATTCTCCATGATGTGGTTATTTCACATTGCATACCTGTATCAAAACATCTCATGTACCCCATAAATATATACACACCTGCTATGTACCTACAAAAATTTAAAATTAATAAATTAATAAAATAGGATAATTTTAAAAAGAAACAGAATCCAGATACATAAAGTGTGGCCTCCAGGAGGTGACCAAGAAGATGGGGTGTCAGCCACCTACAGTACAGCCCGGACATTCTGTCTTTCACTGGTCTGTGGGCACTGAGCCACCAGAGCCATCCCATCTGACTTCTTAAGGACATTAATGAACTTTTTTGTGAACCCACTGTACATAACAGTGGCTAGCAGAAAAGGAAGGGTCAGGCTAGGCATGGTGGCTCACGCTTATAATCTCAACACTTTGGGAGGCCAAGGAGGGCGGATCACGAGGTCAGGAGTTCGAGACCAGCCTGATCAACATGGTGAAACCGTGTCTCTACTAAAAATACAAAAATTAGCCAGGCATGGTGGTATGTGCCTGTAGTCCCAGCTACTCAGGAGGCTCAGGAGAATTGCTTGAACTTGGGAGGCGGAGGTTTCAGTGAGCCGAGATCACACCATTGCACTCCAGCCTGTGGGATGGAGTGAGACTCCATCTCAAAAAAAAAAAAAAAAAAAGAAAAGGAAGGGTCATCAACAATTAAGTTTTGGCCTTCAGCCAGGACACCACAGTTAAAGGGACAACATCCACTCTGGTTTGGCTGTGGAAAATACCTGACCCTCTCCAAACCCCATTTACTCTAAACCCTCTCAGCTATTGCAGCATTTTTCTTTTTCTTTTGTTAACATTGAAACGGCAAGGACTATATTATTCACCGTAGGAAGAGACACAGAAATAGAAGATGTTGTCTCTGCTTTTGAAGCTCATAATTACAAAATCCCAGCGTGGTGGCACTGCATCAAAACAGGAAAAGTTAAATCACAAAATCAGGCATTGTGCTGTTGAATACCAAAGGGTGGTACAAGGAATAAAGTTCTAGCAGTTGTTTGCTTTTGTACCCTTTAGACTAGAGAACACCAATTCTCATACTTTTTTTTTTCTTTTCCTGGTATTTCCTAGACACAGGTGGCATCTTTCCAGATAGACTGTAAGCTCTTAGGGCAGGAGCTCTGTACTTTATTTCGAATCATCCTATGCCTTCTCTCAATGGCTTAAGAGAAGGAGTAACCTGGATGTCTTTGCAACCATTGTGAGGTCATGTGGCCGCAGATAACATAGACTAGGTATAGATAGAATAGATAGGACACAGATACAGGTATTCCCCTGCCTTGAAAAAAAAAAAAAGCTTTAAAAATGATAAAATAACATGAAAAGAAAAAGTAAACTCCTATTCCTCCTTCAAAATACAATCCAGGCCGGGCACCGTGGTTCATGCCTGTAATCCCAGCACTTTGGGAGGCCGAGGTGGGCAGATCACTTGAGGTCAGGAGTTCGAAACCAGCCTGGCCGACATGGTGAAACCCCCGTCTCTACAAAAATACAAAAGTTAGCCAGGTGTGGTGGTGCATGCCTGTAATCCCAGCTGCTCAGGAGGCTGAGACCGGAGAATCACTTGAACCCAGGAGGTGGAGGTTGCAGTGAGCCGAGATCGCGCCCCTGCACTCCAGATTGAGGACAGAGTGAGACTCTGTCTCAAATTAAAAAAAAAAAAAATTCAAATGTCATCTCATCTATGAAACCTTCCTCTTGGTAGCTACCAATACCTAACAAACCACCACATAATGTAGCAGCGTAATACAACAATCATTTATGTAGCTCGTGACTCTGTGGGTCAGAAGTTCGGGCTGCCCTGCACAGTTCCCCTGATCTCAGAGGGCCTCCCTCATGTGTTCACAGTCAATTGTCAGCCATTAAGGTAGTTCAGCTTCAGGTATGGGCTGACTGCCTGTGTGGCAACCAGGATGGCAGAGCTTTAACTCTCTCACCTTCCAGCAAGCTAGTCTGGCTTCTTAACGTGGCAGGCTCAGAAATCCAATAGAGTGGAAATAGACAAGTTCTCTTGAGGCCTAGGCTTAGGATTAGCATATCATTACTACTGTACATTCTGTTGGCCAAATCAATTCATATCACTCAGACTGCATCTAGGAGCGGAAACATAAACTCCACCTTTTGATTTGAAGAATTATAAAGTGTGAAACTAAAATAAAATCAAGAATTTTGGTCATTTTTTTCAAAAAGGTTTGTTGGAATATAATTTATATACAGTAAAATTCACCACCTTTTCAGAAAATTGTGGTGAAAACATACATACCATAAAACTTACTATCTTAACTGGTTTTAACTGTACAGGCCAGTAATGTTAACTATACTTACATTCTTGTACAACAGATCTCTAGAACTTTTTTGTCTCGAAAAACAGAAACACTATATCCATTGAACAACTCCCCATTTCCCCTCCCCTAACCCCTTCGACCACCATTCTACTTACCTCATACAAGTAGAATCCTGCAATATTTGTCTTTTTTATGACTAGCTTATTTCACTTTGTATAATGTCCTCAAGGTTCATCTAAGTTGTAGCATGTGACAAGACTTCTTTCTTTCTAAGGCTGAATAATAGTCCATCATATGTATATACCACATTTTCTGCATCCATTCATCAGTCCGTGGACATTCAGGTTGCTTCCACCTCTTGGTTGTTATAAGTAATGCTGCAAAGAACATGAGTATGCAAAGATGTCTTCGAGATCCTGCTTTTAATTCTTTTGGATATCTACCCAGAAGTGGGGTTATGAGATTATACGGTAATTATATTTTTAATTTTTTAGGAATCTCCATACTGTTTTCCATAGCAGCTGCTCCATTCTGTGTTCCCACCAACAGTGCACCAGGGATCCAATTTCTCCATATCCACTTGCTGTTTTCGGGGTTTGTTGTGGTTGTTGTTGTTGATGATGATGATGTTGTTGTTGGATAGTGGGAATCCTAACAGGTATGAGGTGGAAATTCACTCCATTTAAGTACACAATTCCGTAACTTTTGGCAAATGCATACCTTGGTATAATAAGTGCTCCAATCACCCCAATATCCGTCACCCCAAAAGTTTTCTTAAATCCCATTGTAGTAAAAATCTCCTCCCCCAACGAACAGCCACAGGGAATCACTGATCTGTTTTCTATCCCTATAGTTCTGAATTTTTCAGAATGTCATATAAAGGAATCATACAGAATATAGCTTTTTAAATCTGGTTTCTTTCATTTGGCATAATTCATTTGATAAATTCATGTATTTGCATGTATGAGTAGCTTGTTCCTTTTTTGTTCCTCAAAAGTATGCCATTGTATGGACATACCACAATTTGCTTATCTATTCACCAGTTTATTTATCTATTCGCTATTTGGAATATTTTCAGTTTTGAGTGATTATGAATAAAGTCCCTATAAATTTATTCATCTTTATAATTTAATGTTCAGAAATCCACATACATATTTTTGTGTGAGCATGTTTTTCATTTCTCTTGGGTAAACACCTGGGACTGAAATTAGGGAACTCCTAAACTTTTCTGTTGTGGTTGTGCCATTTTTTTTTTTTATTTCCATCATCAGCATGTAAAGTTCTGTAAGTCACCATGGTGTTTGCAGAAAAAAAATCTGAAAAAACAAAAACAGTCTTAGTTATCATGCATCCTTGCTAGCTCTTGTTATTGTCACTTTTTGTGTGTTTGTTTTTTAGCCATCCTAATAGGTGTGCAGAGAAATAAATCAGTGTGATTTTTAAATCTACATTTCCCTAATGACTAACAATGCTGAGTATTTTTTCATGTTCTTTTTGCCATGCATTTATCTTCTTTGGTAAAGTGTTCAAATTGCCCATTGTTCAATTCAGTTGTTTGTTTCTTCTTGTTGAGTCTTAAGAGTCTTTTATGTACTTTTGTCAAAATACGTGATTTGCAACCATTTTCTCTCAATCTGTGGCTTGTCCATTTTTTTTACACTGTCTTTTGCAGAGCAAACATTTTTAATTTGAAAGAAGTGCAATTTATCCATTTTTTTCTTGAATAAATAGTGCTTCTGTGTTATATGCAAGGAATCTTTGCCTAACACAAGGTCATAAAGATTATTTCTTATGCTTTGTTCTAAAGGTTTCATAATTTTAATACTTAGGTAACATTCTTTTTGAGTTAATTTTTCATGTAAGGCATCAGGTATAAGTTGAGGTTTATTTTCCTGCATGTGGATGCCCAATCATTCCAGCACCATTTTTTGAAAAGACTATCCTTTCTCCATTGAATTTTCTTTGCACCTTTGTCAAAAATTACTTGGCCACAAAAGTGAGTACATTTCTAGACTCTCTGTTGTGTTCCATTTATTTACGTGTCTTTTTTTTCTTTTTCTGAGAGACAAGGTCTTACTCTGTCACCCAGGCTGGAGTATAGTGGTGTGATCGTGGCTCACTGCAGCTTCAAATTCCTGGGCTCAAGTGATCCTCCCACCTCAGCCTCCCAAGTAACTGGGCTGCAGGCATGCACCACTATGCCCAGCTAATTTTTGTAAAGACAGGATCTCTTTATATTGTCCACACTGGTCTCAAACTCCTGGCCTCAAGGTGATTCTGCTGCCTCGGCCTCCCAAAGTGCCTGGATTAAAGGCATGAACCACTGCACCAGGCCTATGTGTCTATTCTTTTGTGAATACTATACTGTCTTGGTTACTATAACGTTTTTGTTTTTGTTTTTTGAGATGGAGTCTCGCTCTGTCACCCAGGCTGGAGTGCAGTGGTGTGATCTCGGCTCACTGCAACCTCCACCTCCCAGGCTTAAGTGATTCTCCTGCCTCAGCCTGCCAAGTAGCTGGGATTACAGGCATCACCACCATGCCTGGCTAATTTTTCTATTTTTAGTAGACACGGGGTTTCACCAAGTTGGCCAGGCTGGTTCTGAACTCCTGACTGCAAGTGATCCGCTCGCCTTGGCCTCCCAAAGTGCTGGGATTACAGGCGTGAGCCACCGTGCCCAGCCAGTTACAACATGTATGGTAGATATTGAAATCAGGTAATAAGAAGTCCTTTAACTTTGTTCAATTTCAAAATTATTTTTGGTTGTTCTCGTTCTCTTGCATTCTTTTGCTTGCTTTGGACTTATTTGCTCTTTATTTTCTAATTTTTTAAGATAGAAACTTGTATCACTAATTTGAGACCTTTATTTTTTGTAAAATATATTTATGTAATGATATAAATTTTCCTCTAAGCACTGCTGTAGTTTCACCCTACAAATTTTCATATGTTGAACTTCCATTTTTCTTTAGTTCAAAATTTAATCTAATTTCCCTTTAACCCATGAATTATTTAGAAATGTGTTACTTAGTTTCCAAAATCTGGGTGGATGTTTCAGGTACCTTTCGGTAAATAATTTCTTTTTCTTTTTTTTTCTTTTTTTTTTGAGACAGAGTCTGGCTCTGTCACCAAGGCTGGAGTGCAGTGGTGCAATCTTGGCTCACTGCAACCTCCACCTCCCAGGTTCAACCAATTCTCTGCCTCAGCTTCCCAAGTAGCCGGGATTACAGGCGACCACCACCACACCCAGCTAGTTTTTTGTATTTTTAGTAGAGACAGGGTTTCACCATCTTAGCCAGGCTGGTCTTAAACTCCTGACCTCACGATCCACCCGCCTTGGCCTCCCAAAGGGCTGGGATTACAGGCGTGAGCCACCGCACCTGGCCAATAATTTCTAGTCTAATTTTTTTGTGATCAGAGAACATACTTTGTATGACTTCAGTTCTTTTAAATTTGTTAAAGTTTGTTTTACAGCCCAGAATGTGGTCTATCTTGGTATGTGTTCCTTGTGCACTTGAAAATGTGTATTCTGCTCTTGTTGATGGACTATTTTAAAATTTTCAATCAGGGCTGATGAGGCAGCTTGTACCTGTAATCCCAGCAGTTTGAGAGGTCAAGGCAGGAGGATTGCTTAAAGCCAAGAGTTCAAGACCAACCTTGGCAACAAAGCTAGGCCTTATCTCTACAGTTTTTAAAAATTAGCCCATCTTGGTGGCACACACCTGTAGTCCCAGCTACTTGGGAGGCCGAGGCAGAAGGATTCCTTGAGCCCAGGAGTTTGAAGTTATAGTGAGCTATGATCACACCACTGCATTCCAGCCCGGGCAACAGGATGAGATCCTATCTCTAAAAAAGTAAAAAGTTTCAATTAGGTACAGTTGGTTCATAGTGGTTTTGTTTTTTGTTTATTTGTTTCTCTTTTTAAATTTTACTTTAAGTTCTGGGATACATGTGCAGAACATGCAGATTTGTTACATAGGTATACATGCCAAGTCTTCTACATATCTCTACTGACTTCCTTTCTACTCTTTTTCCATCAGTTCTGAAAGCAGAGTATTAAACGTTCTGCCTATGATTATGAATTTATAGTTATCCTTTCAATTCTGTCAATCTTCACGTATTTTGAAGGTCATTTGTTAGGTTTATTCATATCTAGGATTTCACATTTGTTATGTATCTTGGTCAATTGAACTATTTATCTTTATTTAACATCCATATTTATCTCTGGTAATATTCCTTATTCTGAAGTCTACTTTGATATTAGCAGACATTATTTATTCACAGTTACATTTTTATTCACCTTCGAAAGGCCACATACAAGAAGGGACTCTTGAGCTAGATATTGAAAGCTGAGGTGCTTCCCAGGTGAATCATGGCAGCGGGCAAGGAGGTGGGATGGGCATTTCTGATAAATGCACCAGTAATCTGATCCAAACATGAAAGTATGATATAATAAGTTATAGCAACCGGCTGGACATGGTGGCTCACGCCTGTAATCCCCGCACTTTGGGAGGCTGAGGCGGGTGGATCACAAGGTCAGGAGATCAAGACCATCCTGGCCAACAGGGTAAAACCCAATCTCTACTAAAAATACAAAAATTAGCTGGGCATGGTGGCACATGCCTGTAATCCTAGCTACTCGGGAGGCTGAGGCAGGAGAATAGCTTGAACCAGGGAGTCGGAGGTTGCAGTGAGCCAAGATCGTGCCATGGCACTCCAGCCTGGTGACAGAGAGAGACTCCGTCTCAAAAGAAAAAAAAAAAGAAAGTGAAATAATATACCATGTGTTAGTCTGTGTTGCTAAAAGGAATATCTGAGACTGGGCAATCTATGAAGAAAAGAGGTTTAAATTTGGGCTCATGGTTTTGTCCGCTGTACAGGAAGCATGCTGGCATTTGCTTCTGGTTAGGGCCTCAGGAAGCTTACAATCATGGCAGAAGGCAAGGGGGAGCCAATGTGTCACATGGTGAGCAACAGAGTAAAGAGACAGAGGTGGATGTGCCAGTCTCTTTTAAACAACCAGATCTTGCATGAACTCATTATTGCAGGGAGGGCACCAAGCCATTCATGAGGGATCTGCCCCATGACCAGAACACCTCACACCAGGGGATTACATTTCAACATGAGATCTGGAAAGGACAAATATCTAAACTATATCATTCTACTGCTGGTCTCTCAAATCTCATGTCCTTCTCACATTGCAAAATACAATCATCCTTTCCCAATATTCCTCAAAAGTCTTAACTCATTTCGGCATTAACTCAAAAGTCCAAATCTCATCTGAGACTCAAGGCACTTTCCTTCCACCTATGAGCCTATAAAATCAAAACCAAGTTATTTACTTCCAAGAAACAATGGTGGTATAGGCATTGGGCAAACGTTTCCATTCCAAAAGGCAAAAATAGGCCAAAAGAAAGAGCAACAGGCCCCACACATGTCCGAAACCCGGCAGGGCAAACATTAAACCTTAAAGCTCCAACATAATTTCCTGTGACTCCAAGTCCTGCATCCAGGGCACACTGGTGCAAGGAATGGGCTCCCAAGGCCTTGGGCATCTCTACCCCTGTGGCTTTGTAGGGTGTGGCCTCTGTGGCTGCTCTCACAGGTTGGAGTTGAAGGCCTGCACCATTTCCAGGCTCAGGGTGCAAGCTACTGATGGCTCTACTATTCTGGGGTCTGGAGGGTGGTGGTTCTATTCCCACAGCTCCACTGGGCAGTATCCCAGTGGGGAGTCTGTGTGGCGGATTTAACCCTACATTTCCCCTTGGTGCTTCCCTAGTAAAGGCTTTCTGTTGGGGCTCTGCCCATGCAGCAGGCTTCTTCCTGGGCATCCAGGCATTCCTACACATTCTTTGAAATCTAGATGGGAGCTGCCAGGTTTCCTTCACTCTTGCATTTCACACATCTGCAGGTTTACCACCACATGGATGCCACCAAGGCTTACAGCTTGCACCCTCTGAAGCCACAGTCTGAGCTGTACCTGTGACCCTTTGAGTTCTGGCTGGAGTCAGAGCATCCAGGATACAGGGAACAGTGTCCCAAGGCCATACAGGGCAGTAGCTGCCTGGGATTGACCTTTGAAACCATTCTTCCATTCTAGGCCTCGGGGTCTGTGATGGGAGGGGCTTCCCTGAAGACTTCTGAAATGCCTTTGAGGTCTTTTTCCCACTGTCTTAACTATTAGCACTTGGCTCCCTTTTAGTCACGCAAATATCTCTGGCAAGTGGTTGCTCCAAAGTCCTCTTGAATTCCTCACCTGAAAATGCTCTTTCCTTCTCTACTACATGGCCAGGCTGCAAATTTTCCAAACGTTTATGCTCTGCTTCCTGTTTAAATGTAAGTTCTAACATTAAGTCATTTCTTTGCTCCCGTATCTGATCACAGGCTGTTAGAAGTAGCCATACCACTTCTTGAACACTTAGTTGCTTAGAAATACTTTCTGCCAGATATCCTAGGTCATCACTCTTAAGTTCAACCTTCCGCAGATCCCTACGGCATGGACACAGTGCAGCCAAGTTCTTTTCTAGGGCATAACATGGGTGATCTTTACTCTAATTCCCAATAACTTCCTCATTTCTATTTGAGACTTCATTAACCTGGTCTTCATTGTCCATATTTCTATTGGCATTTTAGTCACAACAACTTAAGCCTCTAGGAAGGTCCAAACTTTCCTTCATTTTCCTGTCTTCTTCTGAGTTCTCTGAACTCTTCTAATATGTGCCTATTACCCAGTTCCAAAGCTGCTTCCACATTTTCAGTTATCTTTATAACCACACCTCACTCCTTAGTATCAATTTCCTGTGTTAGTCCATTTGCGTTGCTATAAGGCAGTGTCTGAGACTGCATAATATGTAAAGAAAAAAGGTTTAAATTTTGGCTCATGGTTCTTTGGGCTGTGCAGGAAGTATGGTGCCAGCACCCACTTCTGGTGAGGGCCTCAGGAAACTTACAATCATGGCAGAAGGCAAAGGGGGAGTCAGTTGTGTCACATGGTGAGAGAGGGAGGAAGAGAGAGAGGTGGAGATGCTAGTCTCTTTTAAACAATAAGATCTTGTACTCATTACCACAGGGAGGGCACCAAGCCATTCATGAGGGATTGCCCCCATGATCCAAACACCTCCCACTAGGCTCACCCTCCAACACTGGGGATACATTTCTACACGAGCTTTGGAGGTGACAGACAAACTATATCACCATGTAAGGGGAAATGTAAGCGACTGAGCAAGGATGAATTATATAAGAGTGAGAAAGGGTGTGGCCAGAGACAAGGTGCTTTATACAAACTGGGTCCAGACTTGGTATTCCCTACCAAGGTCTATAACAATGAGAAATAAAAGGTTTTAAATCAAGGAGTGTCACGATCAAATTTCTACTCTGGGAAGATTACTCTGAGAGCAATAACATGTTAAATTGGTAGAGATTACAGCCAGGAAAACACACGATAGATGAGTATTGCAATGTGGCATTTAAAGATCATGAAAGTCTGAAATAAGGCTATAGCAGCATCAGAGATGGAGAGAGTTACAAATGTTAAAGCAATGAAAATATTAACTTTAATGACTGTTAGACGTGGCACAGAGGGAGGAGACTAAGACAAGTTCAAGGTTGCTGTTTTGTATAATTTGAGAAAACATCTAGCATAATTCCTGATAATGACAGCTATTAGTATTATCATCATCGACTACAACTCACACATTTCACAGGTTAAAAAGCATCAACAACCTGTGGCCCCCATAGAAAGAGTGGAATCATACTCCTACTGGAGAAGCTACCATGCTTTATTGTAGAATAACTGTTTGCCCACCTCTCTCTCTCATTGTTAAACTGTGGACTCTCCAAGGGCAGGAATCCTGTCATATTTATCTCTGCATCTCCAGCAGCTACTTTTATAAATGTTTGTCGATTTGAAACATAAAATACGGAGCCTTTAAATGCTATTTAGTAGCCATTCCTGTTTGAAGAACTTTATTTTGATACCTTGGAAAACCAAATAAAGGCAGCTCAACTAGTTCCTACTTAAGCAGGACTTGTTCAATTCAGTGCTGTTAGCACTGATGGTTTATACGTCCAGGAAAAGCTCTCTGAATAGAGGCTGTGTTTTGCATATAAGATTTACAGTATCCCTGTGCACGTGTTCATAAATGACATTCAAGATATCCTGCCAGACCAGTCAGGAATACAGGCATGTCCCTGTAAAATAACAAAACAACACTCCTCTGACCTTCTAAACACCACTCACAAAACTGCTAGAAACTCAGGTCCAAATCATTCCCTTTTGATTCCCTGGGGATAAACTAATAGACGCTGAATTCCAGACCACATGGAAGTCCCCCACCCTTTGTGACTCAAGGCCTCCTCATCAGCTCTGTATTGTGACTCCTGGCATGGCTGCAGTCCCATACAGAAGCCATCCTGCCAGACTCTCCAGCTTTGTCTGCAGTTGCCCTCCCTGTGCCCTCTGCACTCTACACATCATAGCCTTCTCACTGTTCCTGGAACATTCCAAGCCCACAGCCCATGAACTCATCCCCCTAAACCTCCAAGGGACTTTGTAATAGGTTCTCCTTTGACTTGAAAGCTCTTTCAGTTAATCACTTCAGTGAAGTGGGTAAGAGACGGAGAACAAAATTAACCTGGAAAGAATGTTAGATTGTGTGTACCATCTTTTCACCCACACCCGCTCTCTGAGATTGCAATCAGCCCTTCTCAGATACAGAAACAAACAAACAAAAAACAATTGTAATGAGGAATTTCACAAAGACCACTTAAAATAGAAACTTTCTTTTAAAGTAAGGAGCTATTTTTTTTCTCTTGCATTTGGCAAAATACTCTAAGTTAGAGGCATGGAATCTGTGCTTTACTTTTTTTTACACTGGAAAGTCCATATTGGAGTTGGCCTCTAAAACTGGCATCCCAGTTCTCATAAAGTTAATGGTGTTAATTATTGATAATCTTCTGTCCTTCAACCTGGCTTACTCTAGCTTCAATAAGGACAGACAATCTGCAAGCAGGAAAAACTTATTTAATTACTTATAAGTGTTTAAAATATAGATACATATTAATACCACCTACACACCCATGCACAATATATAAACACATAGACAAACAATTCATGCTATGGCAGGTTTAGCCAACCTGGCCTGTCTATAAATCAATCAAACTAGGGTCTCTCCAAGTATAGTACAGAATATTGTTAGGACACCAGGCCTTGGAATCAGAAAAGCAAATACAAATGCCTAAGTTCACCATTTCATTCCTAGCATGTTACACCAGAGATTTAAGCCTTAGCTTCCTCACCTCTAATAGTATTTTTAAAGTACTTACCTCACATATCGTGTCCGGAATTGGTGGGTTCTTGGTCTCACTGACTTCAAGAATGAAGCTGCAGACCCTCGCCGTGAGTGTTACAGTTCTTAAAGGCCGCGCGTCCGGAGTTTGTTCCTTCTGATGTTCAGATGTGTTCGGAGTTTCTTCCTTCTGGTGGGTTTGTGGTCTCGCTGGCTCAGGAGTGAAGCTGCAGACCTTCGCGGTGAGTGTTACAGCTCATAAAGGAAGTGTGGACCCAAAGAGTGAGCAGCAGCAAGACTTATTGCAAAGAGAGAAAGAAGGAAGCTTCCACAGTGTGGAAGGGGACCGAAGCGGGTTGCCACTGCTGGCTCGGGCAGCCTGCTTTTATTCTCTTATCTGGCCCCACCCACATCCTGCTGATTGGTCTGTTTTGACAGGGCGCTGATTGGTGCGTTTACAATCCCTGAGCTAGACACAAAGGTTCTCCACCTCCCCACCAGATTAGCTAGATACAGACTGTGGACACAAAGGTTCTCCAAGTCCCCACTGGAGTAGCTAGATACAGAGTGTCGATTGGTGCATTCACAAACCCTGAGCTAGACACAGGGTGCTGATTGGTGTGTTTACAAACCTTGAGCTAGATACAGAGTGCCGATTGGTGTATTTACAATCCCTGAGCTAGACATAAAGGTTCCCCAAGGCCCCACCAGAGTAGCTAGATAGAGTGTCCATTGGTGCATTCACAAACCCTGAGCTAGACACAGGGTGCAGATTGGTGTGTTTGCAAACCTTGAGCTAGATACAGAGTGCCGATTGGTGTAATTACAATCCCTTAGCTAGACATAAAGGTTCTCCAGTCCCCACCAGACTCAGGTGCCCAGCTGGCTTCGCCCAGTGGGTCCCCCATCGGGGCTGCAGGTGGAGCTGCCTGCCAGTCCAGCGCCGTGCGCCCACACTCCTCAGCCCTTGGGTGGTCGATGGGACTGGGCGCCGTGGAGCAGGGGGCTGCGCTCCTCGGGGAGGCTGGGGCTGCACAGGAGCCCACGGACGGTTGGGGAGGCGCAGGCATGGCCGGCTACAGATCCCGAGCCATGCCCTGCGTGAAGGCAGCTAAGGCCAGGCGAGAAATTGAGCACAGCAGCTGCTGGCCCAGGTGCTAAGCCCCTCACTGCCCGGGCCGGTGGGGCCTGCCGGCCTCTCTGTGTGCAGGGTCCGCAGAGCCCACGCCCACCCGGAACTCGTGCTGGCCCGCAAGCACCGTGCGCAGCCCCCGTTCCCGCCCGCGCCTCTCCCTCCACACCTCCTCGCAAGCTGAGGGAGCCGGCTGCGGCCTTGGCCAGCCCAGGAGGGGGCTCCCACAGTGCAGTGGCGGGCTGAAGGGCTCCTCAAGTGCCGCCAAAGTGGGAGCCCAGGCAGAGGAGGCGCTGAGAGTGAGCGAGGGCTGCGAGGACTGCCAGCACGCTGTCACCTCTCAATATGAGATAGTATATGTACAATGTTTAGTACAGTGCCCGGGATAGAGTATGTAAAAAATAAATATTACTATGTATTATTATTGTTAAAGCTTTAAAAATGAAGTTAATAGCCATCACTTGTATAAAGCTTGTAATAATGTCCCAGTGATTAATTTAAAAGATGAAAACAATACAAGATATGTTCATATAACTTTAAGTGATCACAAGAGAGACAAGCCATTATAAATAATGCAAGTATGCTTCTGTGTTCATTTCTCTCCAAAAGTAACATTTCACTCAAGTGTGACTTATGGCTTGATTACCCCTTTCAGAAACAGGAAACATTTGTTAAACCTTATTCTCCTTAAAAAAAAATTCGAATAAAAAAACTTAACTTCACAGTGCAGATAGAAATGAAAATAAACTTCTAGTTTAGAGAGAATGAATTACTCATATGCACTAGCTACGTCTCTCTCTCAAAATTCATTAAAATGAAGTCCATGAAATTTTTAAGGACATAAGACCAACAAGACGAAAACAAAACAGAAGACAGAAACCACAATATTTTGGAAGCTAGAAATCGTTCGACCAGAGTTAACTAGACACAGAAATGGTACTAACTAATTGGTGGGGGGAAAGCAATCTGCACTGCAGAACCTCTAAAAGAGCATGAATTAGTGTCTACTTGTACGTTTGGAATTGGGGATCAGGTAAAATTAAAATTAAGAGGAGTAGTTGAAAGTATGTTTAAGGCCAGGTGTTGTGGCTCACGCCTGTAATCCCAGCACTTTGGAAGGCCGAGGCAGGCGGATCACGAGGTTAAGAGATCAAGACCATCCTGGCTAATATGGTGAAACTCCGTCTCTACTAAAAATACAAACATTAGCTGGGCGTGGTGGCACGCACCTGTAGTCTCAGCTATTTGGGAGGCTGAGGCAGGAGAATTGCTTGAACCCTGGAGGTGGAGGTTGCAGTGGGCCGAGATCGTGCCAACACACTCCAGCCTGGCAACAGAACGAGACTTGGTCTCAAAAAATGAATAAATAAATAAAAATAAATAAAGTATTTTTTTTCTTTTTTTTTTTTTTTTTGAAACGGAGTCTCGCTCTGTCACCCAGGCTGGAGTGCAGTGGCGCAATCTCGGCTCACTGCAAGCTCCGCCTCCCGGATTCATGCCATTCTCCTGCCTCAGCCTCGTGAGTAGCTGGGACTACAGGCGCCCGCCACCACGCCCGGCTAATTTTTTGTATATTTAGTAGAGATGGGGTTTCACCATGTTAGCCAGGATGGTCTCGATCTCCTTACCTCGTGATCTGCCCACCTCGGCTTCCCAAAGTGCTGGGATTACAGGCGTGAGGCACCGTGCCTGGCCAAAATAAAGTGTGTTTTTAAAAAAACAGGCAAAATGTGATACCAATTCATTTATACCAGAGTGGGTGGCTATAATGAAAAAGATAGTAACAAATCTTATATAGGATGTGGAGCAATGGAGACCTCATATGCTGCTGGTGGGAATGGAAATGGTGCAGCCACTTTGGAGACCAATAGTTCCTCAAATGATTAAGCACAGTGTTAGCATATGATTGAGCAATTCTACTCCTAGGTATATACCCAAGAGAAATGAAAATATGTCCGCACAAAAATTTATTCAGTCTATGATTGTTCATAGCAGCATTATTCATAGCAGCATTATTCATAGCAGACAAAAAGTAGATATAACTTCAAGCCATCAAATGATGAATGAATATATAAAATATGGTATATCCATACAATGGAATATTTTTTGGCAATAAAAAAATGAAGGACAGATTCATACTACTACACACATGGAAACAGAGGCTAAGAGAAAGAATCCAGTCAGAAAAGACTGCATAGTGTATGATTCCATTTCTATGAACTGTCCAGACTAGGAAAATCCATAGAAACAGAGAGGAGATTAGTGGTTGCCTAGGTCTGGGGTGGGGTGGAGGTGGGGAGTCAGTGAAGGATGGGGGCACTGGTTGGGAAGGATGACTTCTAAAGGGCATGTGGTTTCTTCTTGGGATGATGAAAATGTTCCAAAATTGACATGATGGTTGCACAACTCTGACTAAATATACAAAAACCATTAAATTATATACACTTTTTTTAGATGGGGTCTTGTATTGCTGACCAGGCTGTGGTTGAACTCCTGGGTTCAGGTGATCCTCTTGCCTCAGACTCCCAAGTAGCTGGGATTTCAGGTGTGCACCACCATGCCCAGCTGAATTTTATACTTTAAATGGGTAAATTGTGTGCTATGTGAAGGATATTTCAATCAAGTTGTTCAAGAAGAGTGGGGGTCTTTTCTTTGGAGGGAGTAAAAGAGAGGTTCACTGGTCCACACTGCATGGGCAATAAGATTGGGCTGATTTAAATCTTGGGCCTTTGTCCCTCTGTTGGCTCTCCGAAAGCTGTCAAAAGTTTATCCTCTAGAGAGATCAGTGGATCTCTGGGGAACCTGACTAGCCCAAGTGAATAAAGCTGAAGATGTTAACATGTGTCCAACAAAGTCATTCCTCTAGTTTTGCTACTGTGGTGCTCGCAGTCAACAAACTGAACTCATGCTCAGTCAGCGTTTTGGTGCCCCACTCTTAAATGGACAGCCAAGACAACCAGATTTTTTTAGGGAAGCGTCTAAAGCAGAGGCTCACAAAAATAGCCAGAAGAAAAGCAACCTGGAGGAAGAAGACACTACTAAGGAGAAGGAAATGACAAAATGTTTAAGGGACTAATATTAATATCAGAAATATATGACATGTTGCATGCATGAAATAAGAACAGGATGCTATTCTTAAAATACTCAAATACATTCACACAATAGGATACTATTCGGTGACAAAAAGGATGAGCTATCAAGCTATGCATAGATAGGGATTAATTTTAACTGCATATTGCTAAATGCAAAAAGTCAGACTGAAAAGGTCACATCCTGTATCCTCCAATTATATGACATTCTGGAAAAGGCAAAACGATAGCAACAGTAAAAAAGACCAGCGGTTGCCAGGGGTCTGAGGAGAGTGCTAAATAAGCAGACCACAGCAGATTTTTAGGGCAGTGATACTATTCTATATGATACTGTAATGATAGATACACGACATTAAGACACTATGCATTTGTCAATTTAAAAAAAAGTAAATCTTAATGCAAAATTTAAAAATTATTTAAAAGCTAGAGGATCTCAGGATGGAATACAGAATGTGACAAAACAATCTAACTGCATTACAAGTGCGTGAAACAACCTCACTGAACGGGGTGGGGAGAAAAAAGGAAATGCCTTACTTGTTTTAAATCCCAGCATTCCAAACATTTAACCACGAAATTCTATTAATATTAGTGAAGTTAGCAAACTTTTTCATGTAACATCTCCAAGTAGATACTGTAATACTCAAAAAATGACAGTGCTAGTTACAAAACAGCACAAGAAAAACTTGCTTTCTAGATAGAGTATCCCTAATCTTGAGAACAAGTTAAGCAGTCCATTTCTTTTTTATGATTTTCAGAAATCACCTGTTTATAAAAGAGAAAGAAAGACATTTATGCCACAACACAGGCCAGGCACTTGCACATATGTTATCTCATTCAATCTTCTTCACCTTTGAAAGATAGCAATTTCTATTCCCATTTTACCAAAAAAAATTACATAAATAATGTCCAAGATCACAGAATATGTGGTAGATTTTCAGTGAGTGTTTACTGGAAATGAATAAAACAATGAGTAATTTAAACACAAGTCATGCATATGAAACAAAAAGTATATCATAAGGCCGGGCACAGTGGCTCACGCCTGTAATCCCAGCACTTTGGGAGGCCAAGGTGGACAGATCACGAGGTCAGGAGATCGAGACTATCCTGGCTAACATGGTGAAACCCCCATCTCTACTAAAAATACAAAAAATTAGCTGGGTGTAATGGTGGGCACCTGTAGTCCCAGCTACTCGGGAGGCTGAGGCAGGAGAATGGCATGAACCCAGGAGGCAGAGCTTGCAGCGAGCTGAGATTGCACCACCGCACTCCAGCCTGGGCGACAGAGCGAGACTCCATCTCAAAAAAAAAAATATTTTATACATCGCTGAGCATGGAAATACATAATGAATTTAAATATTACTTATTTAGAAAGTTCAGTTATTGTTCAATGTTCACTGAAATTTTCATAAGAGGTTTCAGTGAGGGGAAAATATTTGAGTTGGGCTTTGAAGTATGGATAGACTATAAATAAATGGATGGGAGGGAGAAAGTTGAGGTGGAGGCAGCTACAGGCAAAGTCATGAGTGGGCAAGAACATGGCTGTGTAGAGTGAAGTGGATTAAAACACTTTCCTAGGAGCCTTTCAACTCTAACTTTGTTTCCCCACAATATGTAGAGGCTCTGCAATCAATGTCTACTAATGTTATGGGTCTTGTTAATATTTAACTTTCTTCAATATAATAACAAATATGGAAACATCATCAGATAAATAATTAAGTCAAAGAATGTAAGAACTAGGAGACCCTTAACATTTCCCAGGGCAATACACATGGTAAATGGCAGACTTGGGTGTGAACAGATATTTCTGGTTTCCATGTTCTTTATTCTTTCTACCTACAAGGTTTGATTCCTCATTTACAAATGAGGAATGAAGTCTGGAGAACTTATATTACATAGGTTTGTTGTTGTTGTTGTGGTTGTTGTTTTGGTTTTGAGACAGGGTCTAGCTCTGTTGCCCAGGCTGGAGTGCAGTGGCACGATCTCGGCTCGCTGCAAACTCCACCTCCTGGGCTCAAGCAATCTTCCTACCTCAGCCTCCTGAGGAGCTGGGACTAGAGGTGCACGCCACCACGCTCTGGCTGATTTTTGTAATTTTTGTAGAGACAAGGTTTCACCACATTACCCAGACTGGTCTCAAACTCCTGGGCTCAAGCGATCCGCCCTCCTCTGCCTCCCAAAGTGCTGGGATTACAGACATGAGTCACTGCACCCGGCCCATAGTTTTTATTAAAGAGCAAATGCAGTCAGGTTTTTGCATTCCAGTTTCTCTGGGAACACAGAATAACAATATATAATATAAATAGAACGCAGATACCAGGCTCTGTCACGCAGAAACAGAAGTCAAAAGCAGAGGAGTAGGTTACGGAGGAAGATGAATCTATTTGGTTTGTGTTGAATTTGAGTTTCTGCTAGATAAGCTTTGGATTTCCAGAGCACCCTTCTCAGAAGATTCTCCAAATTATGGGGAAACCACTTAGAGTTCTGGCAGAAATAATAAACTGTTTGTATATGCGTCTGTTTATTCTAATTCCAAACATTCCTTTTCTCCTTCAGTTAAGTGACCAAGTTGTGAATCGGCCCTTTGACAGTTAGGTATTATGTGTGTGTGCATTTTCTTAGCTTGATAGTTTAAATTACCCTGTAATCATTTGCTTCTTTGAAGGTTTAGGCTGAAAAGAAGACATATGGCACTTCTTAGTCACTCCCACGCTGGAAGATATGCCTGGTCTCTACCTTCACCCACTTGTCTTCATTTCAGTGGAAACCTCATAAAGACCAGGCCCACTGCTTGTCTAAACCTAGAGCTGATGAGAAAAGACAATCCCAATGTTACTGTAAAAGAATATTCTGTGTCCTGCCCCTGACTTTCCCCAGGAATTGGGGCAGAATCTCTCTTCCTTTTCATGAACACATTGCCCACTTAATTTGAGTTAGTGTTTTTTTAAAAAAATAAAATTGAGTTTCTGCAGTCCTTTAAAAAGATGACAAATGTCTTAGAAAAATAAATATTTTCCAGGATGCTCTCATCTTAAGGATAGTTGTGATTCAAGAAATAAGAAAATACAACTGATAAGAAACTCAGATAATATTCTCATTGCCTAAGTTTCTCGATGTGTTGAGAAAGAAAGCTAATAACACTTAGATTTATGTTTAAAAATGTATTTTCATGTTTAATGAAACATATGGGATAGTTTTGTTCTTTAAATAATTTGAAATTTCATAGGTACTTTGTTTCAAATTTCATTTTCATGGTGTCTTTTAAATTGGTTCATTTGGCCATGGACTAATCAGATTTTTTCCTGTTGATCTGCAGGCTAGAGGTTTCACAGTTTTAAGTCTTTTGCATTTTGAACAGTTTCCTTTTAGCCAATTTTTTTTTTTGCCTTTTTTTTGGTTGTTGTTGTTGTTGTTTTGTTTGTTTGTTTGAGACGGAGTCTCCCGCTGTCACCCAAGCTGGAGTGCAATGGCATGATCTCGGCTCACTGCAACCTCTGCCTCCTGGGTTCAAGCGATTCTCCTGCCTCAGCCTCCTGAGTAGCTGGGATTACAGGTGCCCGCCACCATGCCTGGCTAATTTTTGCATTTTTAGTAGAGACGGGGTTTCACCATGTTGGTCAGGCTTGTCTCGAACTCCTGACCCCGTGATCTGCCTGCCTTGGCCTCCCAAAGTGTTGGGATGACAGGCGTGAGCCACTGCGCCCGGCCCAATTTTTACTTCTGTATCACATTTTTAAAGTAAATGTGCAGATTAAGTATGTTAATATTTTTACTTATTTTATATCTACTATGTACAGGACTAACATTTCTTAATGGAAATTACTAATGAAGAAATTTAAAAAAGCTAACTAGCCTCTATTAGTGTTCTTATTAACAGGAACGGCCCGATAAATATGTTTCATGAAGTGTTTTTTTCATTCCAACTTGTAAATCATGGTATTTTATCCTGCTCCCTATAAAGATGTACTGTTCAATAGCAGTGAATTGAGCAATTAACTCTGCTAAGACTTCTTACGCACTTGTTTAAGGACTTGATAGCATCATCGGTATATCACAAAAAGCCCTTGTTCTTGGAACTCTCTCCCCTTCCTCCACTCCCTACCACAGAAAAGTAGTGAAAAATGTTTGAGTAGTATTTATCAGCATGCTGCACACCACAAAACATTTTGCCAAAAAGAAAAAGCAGCTAATGAGCTTGGAAGGAAAAGTGTGTCGCAGCAAAACAACTGTGTATTCCTAAGATGATCAGACATCCTGTTTTAGGACAGCACTATTATAGAAAGTCACTATTGATGAAAGTGAACTTGGAAAGATTTGTATTTCCGTATTCTTTCTTCTTCGAGCTTCCTGCCCCTGCTCCAATCCCCTACCGAATTCCACTTTCTAATAACAGTAATTTTAAAGGAGGGCATATCCCGATGGAATGCTTCTTTGTTTAGAACTTCCTTACCAGAAATTGTTTTCTCTTTTTTAAAAGATGTTACATTTATTGCTACATAACTGTTGTACACAAGTGACATTTTCTATAAAAGTGACCTAAAATGTCACTTGCTGTTATATTCCCTGCTGTTAATGGAAAAGATTCATCAATATCTATTAAAATGTAAAATGCACATGTCCTCCAGTCTAGCAATCCTACTCCTGTGAATCTATCCCAAAGAAATAAACAGATCAGTAAAGACATACAAGGATATTTATTGTAGCAGCGTCTGCATTGCCAAAAAATGGAAACAAAATCAACAGATGAAGGATTGCTCAATAGATAATGCTACCTCTAATCATGCAATATTGTGCTGCCATCAAAAATATGAATTCAAGGCCGGGCACGGTGGCTCACGCCTGTAATCCCAGCACTTTGGGAGGCCGAGATGGGTGGATCACGAGGTCAGGAGATCGAGACCATCCTGGCTAACACGGTGAAACCCCGTCTCTACTAAAAATACAAAAAAATTAGCCAGGCATGGTGGTGGGCGCCTGTAGTCCCAGCTACTCAGGAGGCTGAGGCAGGAGAATGGCATGAACCCAGGAGATGGAGCTTGCAGTGAGCTGAGATCGTGCCACTGCACTCCAGCCTGGGCAACACACCGAGACTCCATCTCAAAAAACAAACAAACAAACAAACAAACAAACATATATATATATACATGAATTCAACTTTATACCCAAATGATTTGGATGTATTTCTCCCAGGTAATGTTGGGTGAGAAAAGTAACCTGCTTTATAATATGGCCCCATTTTTAAAATTAATGATTTTTAAAACCCTGCATTTGCAATATATGTAAGTATATGTATGAATAGTTCTGCATGGAATTACATAAATCAAGAGTAAAAATGTAAGGATACATACTAGGCTATTAACATGAATTACAATGGAAATGGGATGTAAGGAGGTTGAAGTGGGGAGAAAGGAGATGAGATTTTTAAAAATTCATTATGAAAGCAGGTATATAATCACATTTATGTATTATCTACAATTATATAGAAAGCCTTAAAGATAGGAACATTTTTAAAAACAAAAGGCTTAGGCAACAATACCTGAAATTTGTCCAAGTCTATAATAATTATCAATGGAAACTGGAAATCAAAATAGAAAGTACATCATCTGAGACTATTTGTTCTTATAGCGAAAAGGCACTCCTTAATACATTATAGCCATAATGCAATGTGTAAATGCCATTAAAATTTTAAATTGCTGCATTGCCATTATATAATATCTGAGAATGTATAATAACTTCCATTTAATAATACTAACTGCTACCATTTTTGAACACTTTGGTGTTGGGTACTGTGAAGAGGCTTTAATACATTAGGTCATTTAATCCCAATGGTTTGCTATGAGAGAGACATAATTTTTCTTATTTTGTATTTGTTGAAATTGAGAATTAGACAAGGTAGGTGATCTAAGTTTATCCGGCTAACAAGTAGAAGACCCAGGGTTAAAGCCCAGTTGGGCTGACTCCACAATCCATGCTATTAGCCACTATTCTACATGCACTCCCTTTGTTCTGAAACCCAGATTTGCTCTGTTTTGTAACCTTTTCTTCTCCTGCAAAGGTTGTTGTGTGATATCTCAATCCTCTTAGCTGAGGTAAGCCTGACTGTGGGACTCATAGGATGTGCAGTATATTTAGAAAGAAGGAAACCCCATTAAGAAAAACTCTATGATATGTGCTACTTCTCTGCTTTGATCACTCTCAGAATCAGAATCTTGACTATCCAATACAGGGTATAAGTTTCTTAAGTTAGAATTTTATCACAGTAACAAAAATAATCATTCATTTATCCAACAAATATTTGTTGAATACCCGCTACATGCAAAGCATTATTCTAGGGACTGTTGGGAATGATAGGTTCATCCTCCATTATATTCCACGATATACTACAAACTATACACGATTTATAGTAAGGTTATTGTTTAATTTTTTTTTTTTTTTTTGAGATGGAGGAGTCTCACTCTGTCACCCAGACTGGAGTGCAGTGGCACGATCTAGGCTCACTGCAAGCTCTGCCTCCCGGGTTCACGCCATTCTCCTGCTTCAGCCTCCCGAGTAGCTGGGACTACAGGCGCTCGCCACCTCGCCTGGCTAATTTTTTGGATTTTTAGTAGAGACGGCGTTTCACCGTATTAGCCAGGATGGTCTCGATCTCCTGACCTTGTGGTCCACCCACCTCAGCCTCCCAAAGTGCCGGGATTACAGGCGTGAGCCACCGCGCCCGGCTGGTTACTGTTTAATTTTAACAAAAACTTAGTACTATTATCTAATTTGTTTTTAAATGTCCCTTTGATTAAAAATTTCAAATAACAAATAATATCTTATTTTCGGTTGGTGCAAAAGTAATTGTTGTTTTTGCCATTAAAAGTAATTGCAAAAATCCCTTTAAATTTCTATAAAGTGAAAAGATAAGGCTTAGACTAAGAGAAGATATTTGCAACATAAAACTTCTAAAAGACAAACAATACAATAGAAAATGGGCAATAGATATGAAGAAGATAATTCATAAAAGAATGTCCAATTGTCATATGATCTCATTAGTCATCACAGAAATCCCATTAAAGCAACAATTAGAAAAAAATTTAAAGTTTGAAAATACTGAATCCAGGATTCATAACTGGTGAGAGTGTAAGTCAGCACAACCTCTTTGGGAAGATCTAATTGAAAATGTGCATTCCTTATCTTGCAATTCTATATCTAGGTAATGAAAGCTGTATACATGTGCACAAAAAGTCACCAGTGAGCTCACTGGGGCATTGTAGTAGAGAAAAACGTAAAGCAACTAAACATCAATCTGTAAGACAATTGAAATAATAATGATGTATTCACACAGTGGAATACAATACACAGCAATTAAAATGGAAAAACAGGATCTATAAGAATCAACAGGGATAGCCTTCAATTAAGTAATGTTCAATGGAATAAAGAAAGTAGAGAATGATACCATTTATGTAATTTTTAAGGATATAAAACCATTCCATATTTTGCTTGTAAACACATATATAGAATAAAAGTATAAAAACAGCCTGGAAGGATAAACACCAAATTTAAGGTGGTGACTAATTCTAGACTATGGGAATGAGGAAGAGAACAAAAAGGACATCACCGTATTTGTAATGTCCATTTCTGTTACCATATTTGTAATACCACTCATATGTAAACACAAATTATTAACAATTTGTAAACTCTAGGTAGTGAAAACACTGATGTTTGTTGTAAAATTATTTATATTTACTGAACTTTCAATATTCTTTAATAAAATCAAAAGTATTACTGTGACTGCTCTTGAAGAATGGATTGCAGAGAGGCGAGAGATCAATTCAGGTCCAAGTATAACATGATGGTGGCTTGGATTAGCATTATAATAATGAAATGGAAAAAAATTGACTGATCAAGTGATTTTCTGTAGGTAAAATTTTAGAAGATACTGATGAACGGAATGTAAGGGGTAAGGAGAGAAAGGAATGAAGGATATCTCTGAATTCTAAATCATTTTTTTGTACACAGATTTATTTTCTGTTTGCAGTCTGATCTTGTAAATAGTTCCTCAGTTGGGTAAAAACATGGATAGTATGAAATTATCTGTATAGTCCCATTAAATGTCATTCAAAAAAAGTCACTTGGAACAATTACTGGTTAATAACTTCAGGCATAAATGTAAGAATATTATACTTCCACATCTTGTTGAAAAGTGCTTTATCCACAAATAATGCAAAGGGAACATACTAACAGGGCTTGGGTATTACTGGTCGTATTTCTAGTTAACCATGCTTTTTTATTCCCTGGAGTTCAACCTTCTTTTCTGTTTGGCCAGAACATGACATGTAGGCTAGAGGTGGATAATAGGGACAGAGGCTGGAGAATGGCAGTAATATTCATTTATGCCTTCTTTAGAAAGTGATTGTGAGAAACACATTCACCCATCCAAACTCAAAGAATGGACTTGGAGACACAAAGAACAGTGGAAGCAAGACTTTGCATGGTGGTCTTGCAAGATTGGGTGTCTGGTAGGCAGGCACACCCAATCTCCTAATTTATCTCCTAATGATAAATCAGCATGTAATTTATCTCCTAGCATGCAAGTCCCTGCCCCAGTTCCTCACTGGTCGAGTACTATCGGGTTACAATCTTTCCAGACAAAGCCTAAGTTTTATTACCCCCCTTATAAGGTTATACCCTCCCATCGCCTTCCCAGCTTAAGTTTGATTTCCCAATAATGAAACTTTCTTCCCTTTTATGGGCTGACCTCTCCTTTACAGTCTGTTCGCTTATCGTGACTTTCCAGGTGCACAAGCTGTGTGGTTTTTTACATCCTTAGGCTGGCTGCCAGTAGTTAGATTTATCATGCCTTGAAAATGGACCATTTAAAATGTTTTTTTCACAGTGATTATCCCATAAAATTTGAGAAAATTGATGTGAAATGAAATGGCAGGCCTTGAGGAATCCCTGGAGGTTTCACTTGAATACCTGAGGAAAAAACATTTTACAGTTAGTAAAGGGTTCATGAACCTGGAAGTTGGGTTTATGAAGGGACACTTGATTTACTTTTCCAGAATCAGCTAGTATTTGCGCTTTCCACAGAAAGTGTATCTTTACATAAAATTGCGTAATATATTTATTGCCCATGTCTCCCATTAGAATGTAAATTCCAACTGGGTGGGAATTTTTATTGGTGTTGGTCACGTCTTTTTTTTTTTTTTTTTTTTTTTGAGACGGAGTTTTGCTAAGTCGCCCAGGCTAGAGTGCAATGGCACGATCTTGGCTCACTGAAATCTCCACCTCCCAGATTCAAGTGATTCTCCTGCCTCCGCCTTCCAAGTAGCTGGAATTACAGGCATCCGCCATCATGCTTTACACATTTTTGTATTTTTAGTAGAAACGGGGTTTCACCATGTTGGCCAGGCTGGTCTTGAACTCCTGACCTCAGTTGATCCACCACCTCGGCCTCCCAAAGTGCTGGGATTTCAGGCGTGAGCCACAGCACCCGGCCGTGGTCACTTCTTTATTCAATAAGTTTTAGTTAAATGAATTTGATAAATGGAAAGTTTTACTTGCTGATAGGTTGTCTTTATAGTACAAACATATTTTGTTTTACCCATATGATGAACTTTACATCGTTAGTGCTTCCTGTTATTGGCAATGGGATTATGATAAGTATAAGGATGAAAACTATAGCTGGTGAAAAAAAAATAACTGCAGAGGGTTGAGGCATATGTTGTGTTCATGCTCTGCAATGCTTGCTGTATTAGTTTTGTATTGCTGCTGTGATAAAATACCACACATTCCATGACTTAAAGCAGCACAAATTTATTATTTTACAGTTCTGGAAGTCAGAAGGCTGAAATGTGTCTTAGGGTAAAATCCATCTAGAGGCTCTAGGGGAAAATCTGTTTCCTGGCCTTTTTCAGCTTTTAGAGACTGCTGCAATTCTTGACTCACACCCCCTTTCTCCATCTTCAAAGAGCATCACTCCAACCTCTGCTTCTGTTGGTATAGCTTCTCTCTGACTCTGGCCCCCTTGTCTCCCTCTTATAAGGATATTTGTAATTATATTTTGCCAATCTGGATAATCCAGAATAATCTCTCCATCTCAAGACCCTTAAGTTGATCACATTTGTAGTCCGTCTTGCCATGGAAGGTAACATATTTGCAGGTTCTAGGGATTTGGATGTGAACATTTTTTGAAGGGGGAACTGTTCACATCCAAATCCCTAGAACCTGCAAAGATGTTGTCTTCCATGGCTATTCTGGTTTACCACCACCATTTAGAAATTTCACTTGCATTGAAATTTTCACTCTTTGCTCATCCACTACTGTTGCTTCAACGGCAAAAATACTGAAAAATTCTGAAAATTTACAGGCACTCAGCAGAGTTTCACCCTGAATCAAAAAAATTTATTCCTATCTCAGCTGAGAAGTTCCTCATTATCTTGATAATAAATGGGAGGAAGGGAGAACATTATGTCTTTTATCAACTATTTTAAAAGATTGAAATATAAGTTATAAACAATAATTGTCAAGTTGTAAGGCAGGTTTGCACCTCACCTGGCATTTCTTACCTTCTAAACATGCTGAAATTTTCTTTTCAGTTACATTCAAATGTGTGTTGTGCTTCAAAGCAGCAAACTTGGTAGGGCAGGCTTTTAATCACAAGGATGTTGCTTTTATTCTCAACATTTTTATAGTTTCTTTTTTTGAATTGTCTTTAGAGACAGTTCACTAGACACGCAGGAAAACATGGCTCATTATTTTAAGGTCACAAGGTACTTTGCTTGCTCTGTCTTCTTCCCTTCCCCATTGTTTTAGTCTAGTTAGCCTCATCTCCACTCCTTCCTCTGCTGATATTAGTGCCAGAGATCTGTGAGGTTGAGAGGAAGGCCTGGGGAGCCCAGAGTGTAGCTGGGAAGGGAGCAGGAAGAGCCTCACAAAGGGCCTACAAAGTAACAAACTCTAATGTACATTTGTGTGATCCAGTTCATTTTACATACTATTAATAAGTTGCTTGAGCATCAGTCATGTCATTAAAATAAATATGTATTGAGAACTGTATGTAATTTAATCTAAACTTTTATTAGTTCCCAATGTAAATATTATCTTAAATAAAAAGGTATACTCAAACAGACTTTTTGATGTATTGCTTTTTAACAGGAGAGGTGGGATCAGTAAAGGAGAGACTGGAAAAATGTTGGAAATTTTCTGTACTGACTCTTCTCAAAGTATGTTTCAGTTTAGAGATTTTCTTAGAACAGCTCTATGATTTGAAGCTTTTCAACTTCAGTAATGAAAGTTTACTAGTTACGTAGGTACACGGATAAATTTAAAACATTTTAATAATGACATCATATGAAATATTTATACCATATAATACAGGCTACAAATATTTTTGAATACTGGAGTTATTAAATGTAAACACAATTTACAAACCTTCTGATATTTTCAGTTTTTGAATTTACAAAATATTTGGACAGATTCTTTCAGAGGCCCCATTCAGAAGAAAGTTTCTAAAATATTTGATATATATATATATATATATATATATATATACACAGACATATAATATTTTCCTCATAAACCAATTAATATTACTAGTCGATAAAATATATTTGTTATATATATACAGACATATAATATTTTCCTCATAAACCAATTGAGATTACTATTTAATAAAATATGTCCAGCCAGGCGCAGTGGCTCACACCTGTAATCCCAGCACTTTTGGAGGCCGAGGCGGGCGGATCATGAGGTCAGGAGATTGAGACCATCCTGGCTAACACAGTGAAACCCGTCTCTACTAAAAATACAAAAAATTAGCCAGGCGTGGTGGCGGGCGCCTGTAGTCTCAGCCACTTGGGAGGCTGAGGCAGGAGAATGGCGTGAACCCGAGAGGTGGAGCTTGCACTGAGCCGAGATCGTGCCACTGCATTCCAGCCTGGGCGACAGAGCGAGACTCTGTCTCAAAACACATAAATAAATAAATAAATAAAATATGTCCATAACTGAAGAGTAATCAAACGAAGTGCAATGATAAGTCCTATTTTAGGCTCTAATTTCACATAAGAAAATTGTTTTTTTCTTTTTCCTTACAAGACAGATATCCTCTATTTAACAAAACTGCCTACAGCCTAGTTAGTTGCTGCTCTCACTGTGTCTTTCAGAATAATCTATTTTGGTCTGAAAGCCATCAGAAAACTTGAAATAAGTGAACCATGTAACAAGAGCTTGTAGAAAAATAAAGAAACTGTATTAGGCCATTCTTGCATTGCTATAAAGAAATACCTGGCCAGGGGCGGTGGCTCGCGCCTGTATTCTCAGCACCTTGGGAGGCCAAGGTGGGCAGATCACAAGGTCAAGAGTTCGAGAACAGCCTGGCCAACATGGTGAAACCCCGTCCCTGCTAAGAATACAAAAATTAGTAGGTCATGCTGGCATGTGCCTGTAATCCCCGCTACTCGGGAGGCTGAGGCAAGAGAATTGCTTGAACCCAGGAGGCAGTTGCAGTGAGCCAAGATCACGCCACTGCACTGCAGCCGGGGTGACAAAGCAATACTCTGTCTCAAAAAAAAAGAAAAAAAATCTGAGATGGGGTAATTTATAAAGAAAAAAGGTATAATTGGCTCACAGTTCTGCTGGCTTTACTGGAAGCAGGGTGCTGCTCAGCATCCGGGAAAGCCTCAGGAAACTTACAATCATGGTGGAAGGCAAAGGTGGGGCAGGTGCTTCATAAGGCAAAAGCTGGAGCAAGCAAGGGGGTAGGGAAGGGAGGTGCCAGATACTTTTAAATGACCAGGTCTTGTGAGATCTCACAGGGAGAGCTCACTTATCACCAAGGGGATGGCCCAAGACATTTGCAAGGAATCTAACTCCATCACCAAACTATCTCCCACCAAGCTCCGCCTCCAACATTTGGGATTACAATTCAACAAGAGATTTGGGCAGGGACGCAAAGCCAAACCATGTCAAAAACAAACAAACAAACAAAAGTTGCTCTTCGGCTTCCTTTGATGGCTCATCCCTTTGCTATAATAAGAATAGAAAGCTCTAAATTCTAAATCCACACTGTCCCACATGCAGCCAATCTCTGTATGTGAACATCAAGCACTTAAGTGTGCGTAGTGTGAACTGAAATGTGCTGCAGGTGTAAAATACACATCAGATCTCAAAGACTTAGAATGAAAGAAGAATGTAGGGGCAGTTGGCAAGATGGCTGGCTAGAAGCAGCTAGTATACATGGCTCTCACGGAGAGGAACAGAAAGGGCTAGTAAATACAACACCTTCAACTGAAACATCCAGGTACTCGTATTGGCATTAATCAGGGGAACAACTCAACCCACAGAGAATGAAGAAAAGCAAGACAGGATAATGGCCACCTGGGAGCAACATGAAGACAGGGTATCCTCTGTCCAGGGAAGTGGTAAGTGAATGAGCAACCCTGGGAGACCATGCTTCTCCCACAGATCTTTGCAACCCTTGGGTCAGTCAGATCTCCTTGTGAACCCACTCCACCAGGGCCTTCTGTCTTCAGTCTGACAGACAGAGCTACATGGAACCTTGGCAGAGCAGCCACTAAGGCACGTGTGGAGACCCTGGAGGCTTAGATACTTGAGCTTTCTGGCAAAAGTAGCTGCAGCTCTGGCAAAGAGGGAGGTTAGACTATTGTACATACCCCTAGGAAAGAGGCTGAATCCAGGGGGCTGAGCAGCGGCAGGCCGCAGGCCTCATTTTCATGGCACCTCACAAGATAAGACCTGTTGGCTTGGAATTGCAGCCAGCTGCCACTAGCAGCATTGCACCCCCCTAAGAAGGAGTTTCCAGGGGGAGGGGTGGGCCACCATCTTTGCTGTTCAGGCACTTTAGCTGTTCTAGCCTTCAGGCTTTGGAGTGTCTGAGCCAACCCGGGGCAGAAGGGGATCCCCCAGCACAGCACAGCTGCTCTACCAAAATACGGACAGACTGCTGCTTTAACTGGGTGGCCAATCCCGTTCCTCCCCGCTGGGCAGGACCTCCCAGCAGGGGCCTCTAGCTACCCCCGACCCAAGCTTTCTAGCTGACAGAGATCTGAATCCCCCTGGCACAGCACTCCCAGAGGGTGGGGCAAGTGTATTAGTCCATTTTCACACTGCTGATAAAGACATACCCAAGACTGAGCAATTTACAAAAGAAAGAGGTTAAATTGGACTTACAGTTCCATGTGGCTGGGGAAGCCTCACAGTCATGGTGGAAGGCAAGGAAGAGCAAGTCACATCTTACGTGGATAGCAGAAGGCAAAAAATGAGAGAGCTTGTGCAGGAGAAAGCCTCTTTTTAAAACCATCAGATCTTGTGAGACTTATTCACTATGACAAGAAAAGCACAGGAAAGATTTGCTCCTGTGATTCAATTACCTCCCACCAGGTCCTTCCCACAACACATGGGAATTCAAGATGAGATGTGGGTGGGGACACAACCAAACCACATCAGCAAGCCACCATCTTTGCTGTTTGGGCAACTTAGCCATTCCAGCCTTTGGGCTTTGAAGTGTCTGAGGTGACTGGGGGCTGCAATGAACCCCCAGGACAGCATGACTGCTCTACCAAAATGTGGCCAGACTGCTTTTTTAAGCAGGTCCTGATCCTGTTCCTCCTCCCTGGACAAGACCTCCCAATCAGGGTCTCCAGCCACTTCCTACAGGTGCCTTTGGGCTGACAGGAGGTCTGTATCTATCTGGGACAAAGCTCCCAGAGAGGACAGGCTGCCATCTTTGCTGTTTTGCAGGCTTCGCTGGTGAGACCCACAGGTTCTGGAAAATCTGAGGTGACTAGGGACTGGAGTAGGCCCCAAGCATACTGCAGAAGCCCTACAGAAAGTGGCCGGACTGTTATGTAGGTGCCCATTCCCATACGTCCTCATCAGGCAGGTCCACCAGGCCTGGGCCTCCAGCCATCCCCTGCCACAGCTATCAAACCAGTACCAACTCAGCAACTCCATGGACAGAGCCTCCAGGGCAACTGAAAGCCTCTCTGCCACTGCCTCTGCAGTGGAACTGCCCTTGCCACCGTTGGACTAATGAAGGAACAAAGACCCTAAGTGCCTTATCCACACCTCCAACAAGCTGCAGTTGACCCAAGGAGCAGAGACTAGTCTGCTCCCATGGGTCCCACACATGCCCCACAGCTCATCACCAGACAGGGAACACCTGGCTTGGGCCCTGTACAAACCCTCCATGTTGGGCTGATTGCACTGAATGATTGCTGACCTATATCCCTCTGGGGTGGAGCCCCCATGAGTCAAGCAAATGACCCCTGGCACAACCACTACTAAAATCTCTTCCTCTTCTGCCTCTAAGCTGGGGAAGGAACATAAACACTGAGATCACCCCAGACTGGCAGTGGGCAGCCCAGGAGTGCCAAGTTGTGAACTACAGCCAGCATTCAAGGGGGAGTGGAACTCACACTTTCAGAGCATTGAAAGGGAACACAGCTGCAACTGTGAGGAAACACAGGGAATCCACACAATTGGGCAAGCGTCAACCAACTGACCAATAAGCCTAAGTGTCACCTACTGGATCACACCCCAAAGTTTCAATACCAAAAATACCTTATTAACATATTTCCCTCTGAAACCAAAGATAAGAAGTCAGCTTCAAATAAAAAGCATAGCTACACAAAGCCTCAGCCCTGTGAAAACATCCAGAAAAGAAGTCTATTGGTTATACTCTATCTACACTGCAGTTAAAGTAACACCCACGCACAGAGGTGAGAAAGAACCAATACAAGAACTCCAGTGACTCAAATGGCCAGGGTGTCACATATTCTACTAATGACCAAACCAGTTCTCCAAGAGTTCTTAACCAGGCCGAACTGGCTGAAATGACAGAAATAGAATTCAGAATATGGACAGGAACAAAGATCACTGAGATTCAGGAGGATGGCAAAACCCAATCCAAGGAAAATAAGCATCACAATAAAGTGATACAGGAGCTGAAGGACAAAATAGTTGGTACAAAAAAGAACATAATGGGTCTGACAGAGCTTAATAACACAAGAATTTTGCAATGCAATCACAACTACAAACAGCAGAATACACCAAGCTAAGGAAAGAATCTCCAAACTTGAAGATCGGTTCTCTGAAATAAGACAGTCGGACAAAAACAAGGAAAAAAAAGAAAGAACAAAACCCCTGAGAGGTATGGGATTATGTAAATAGGCCAAATCTATGAATCACTGGCATCCCTGAAAGGCAGGGGGAGAAAGCAAACAACTTGGAAAATATATTTCAGGATATCATCCATGAAAACTTCCTCAACGTTGCTACAGAGGCCAACAGTCAAATTCAGGAAATACAGAGAACTCCTGCAAGATTCTACACAAGAAAATCATCCCCCAGGAAAATCTGACATAATTGTCAGATTTTCCATGGTCGAAATGAAAGAAAAAATATTAAAGGCAACTGGAGAGAAAGGGCCGGTCACCTACAAACTGATTCCCATCAGGCTAACAGCAGACCTCTCAGCTGAAACCCTACAAGCCAGAAGAGACAGGGAGACTATTTTCAACATTCTTAAAGAAAAAAAATTTCAACCAAGAATTTCATATCCAGCTGTACTAGTCCATTTTCATGCTGCTAATAAAGACATACCCGAGACTGAGCAATTTACAAAAAAAGAGGTTTAGGCCAGGCGTGGTGGCTCACGCCTGTAATCCCAGCACTTTGGGAGGCCAAGGTGGGCGGATCACGAGGTCAGGAGATCAAGACCATCCTGGCTAACATGGTGAAACCCCGTTTCTACTAAAAATACAAAAAATTAGCCAGGCGCAGTGGCAGGCGCCTGTAGTCCCAGCTACTCGGGAGACTGAGGCAGGAGAATGGCGCGAACCCAGGAGGCGGAGCTTGCAGTGAGCCGAGATAGAGCCACTCCAGTCCAGCCTGGGCGAAACAGCGAGACTCCGTCTCAAAAAAAAAAAAAAAAAAAAAAAAAAAAGAGGTGTAATGGACTCACAGTTCCACATGTCTGGGGAGGCCTCACAATCATGGTGGAAGGTGAAAGGCATCTCACATGGTGGCAGTCAAGAGAGAGGAAGAAGTGAAAGCAAAAACCCCTTAGAAAACCATCAGATCTGGTGAGACTTACTTACTACCATGAGAACAGTATGCGGGAAACTACCCCCACGATTCAATTTTACCTCCCACTGGGTCCCTCCCATAACTCATGGGAATTATGGGAGTATAATTCAAGACAAGATTTCGGTGGGGACACAGAGCCAAACCATATCATTCTGCCCCGGCCCCTCCCAAATCTCATGTCCTTATATTTCAAAACTAATCATGCCTTCGCAACAGTCCCCCAGAGTCTTAACTCATTTCAGCATTAACTGAAAAGTCCACAGTCCAAAGTTTAAAGTTTAAAATTTACAGATTTGGGCTGGACATGGTGGCTCACTCCTGTAATCCCAGCACTTTGGGAAGGCAAGGTGGGCAGATCACTTGAGGTCAGGAGCTCAAGTCTGGCCAACATGGCAAAACTCCATCTCTACTAAAAATACAAAAAATTACCTGGGCGTGGTGGCACTCACCTGTAATCCCAGCTACATGAGAGGCTGAGGCAGGAGAATCACTTGAACCTGGGAGGTGGAGGTTGCAGTGAGCCAAGATCGTGCCATTGCACTCCAGCCTGGGTGACAGAGTGAGACTCCATCTCGAAAAATAAAAATTACATATTTGGCTCACATTTGTAGCTCATATTGCACGCACTGTTCTAAATCATAAGGGCAATATTTTTTCCCGTACAATCAGATAGCTTCACTACCAAGTAGATTTGTTTAAATGAGTTGCAGTATACTTACACATTAAAATATCTTTAATTCAAAATATTTTAAAAGCATTATCTATTTAATCAGCATCTTATTCTATAAGAGTAGATCATTATGTCCCCCATGTTCCAAAGGCAGCACACAGAGATTTAAATGACTGACAACTATAGAAGTTGTACAGGTGCTCTAAGTCTATAGCTAGATTAAATTACAATGCCTTCAATTTTACTTTTTTTTTCTTTTTTGAGATGCAGTCTCGCTCTGTTGCCAGGCTGGAGTGCGGTGGCATGATCTCGGCTCAATGCAACCTCCGCCTCCCGGGTTCAAGCGATTGTCCTGCCTCAGGCTCCAGAGTAGCTGAGACTACAGGTGTGCACCACGACGCCCAGCTAATTTTTTTAATTTTTAGTAGAGATGGCGTTTCACCATGTTGGCCAGGATGGTTTTGATCTCTTGACCTCGTGATCCACCTGCCTTGGCCTCCCAAAGTGTTGGGATTACAGGCGCGAGCCACCGCACCCAGCCTCATTTTACTTTTCTTTGCATACTTCCTTTAGAGAAGCAATGGTCATTTTATCTAAAAAACAAAACAAAACAAAACGTTTGTCTAGAAAAAAGCAAATCATTGATCCTGGGAAAGAGGCTTAACATATGGGAGCTTAAATGATGAATCTCAACAGATTTTCCCTCGATGACAGTAAAAGACGAGAAAAACCTGAATCAATTGCTGCAGTTGGCAAAAGCGTTATAACAGAAAAGCTATCGAAATTCTCACCAATTCCGGTACTCCACAAATAACTCTTGCTGAATTATGTTTACAGAAGGGCAAGTTGGTTGGTTTTCACCAATAAATGTGGTCATCTCCCTCTTTTTCTCTCTCTCTCCATATATATATATATATGATATATATGATATATATATCATATATAGCCATCCATATATTCATATATATGTGTCTATATTTTATATATATCCATCCAACCATCCATCGCCAGAGAACCGAAACCTGGACTGTTTTTTAATAAGCTTCAAAAAGCTCCCTTTTCCCACAGCTAACGTTAAACTCAATGGTGAAAAGCTTTTCCTCTAAGAGATCAGGAACAAAACAAGGATGCTCACTCTCATCACTTCTGTTCAACACAGTACTGGAAGTCCTAGCCAGAGTAATTAGGCAAAATAAAAATAAAAATAAAAAGGCATCCATATAGAAAAAGAAGAAATTCAAGAAGTGTCTCTGTTTACTGATGACATGATTTATATATAGAAAACCCTAATTCTCTACAGCTAGTGACAAAATAGAAGCCTATGGAAAATAAGTAGTCTGATCAAATTTTCATTACATAGTTATCCCAATCACAAAGTCACTATCACAATTTGAGATTAGCCTGAGAAATAGGGATCTTTGAGATGATTCCAATAGCCATGGGGTCCCATCATAACCCTGGAAATAGACTCAGGGAAACTGAATGACTTGCTCAAAGTCCTCCAGCTAGCAGGCAAAAGAGGTGCTTCAGATTCAAACTCCTGTGCCCTTTCATATGCTACATTTCCTTGACAACAGTAGTCTCCCCTTAGCTTCGGTTTTGCTTTCCATGGTTTCAGTTACCCAAGGTCAACTGCAGTCCAAAAACATTACATGGAAAATCTCAGAAATAAATAATTCACAGGTTTTACTTTGTGCACCGTTCTGAGTAGTATAATGAAATCTCGCACCATCCTACTCCTTCCCACCCAGGACATGAATCATCCCTTTGTCCAGTGTACCCATGCTGTAGACCTGACCCTCTTGTTAGACACTTCAGTAGCCTCCTCAATTATCCAATTCACTGTCTTATGACAGTGCCTGTGTTCAAACTGCCTTTGTTTTACTTAATAATGGCCCCCAAACACAAGAGTAGTGATGCTGGCAATTCAGATATGTCAAAGAAAAGCCACAAAGTGTTTCCTTTAAGTGAAAAGGTGAAAGTTCTCAAAAAAAAAATTGTATGCTCACATCTACTGTAAGAATGAATCTTCTATGCATGAAATTGTGAAAAAGAAAAGAAATTCATGATAGTTTTGCTGTCACGCCTCATACTGCAAAAGTTATGGCCAGTGTGTAGTAAGTGCTTAGTTACGATGAAAGAGGCCGAAAATATCTAATAATCTGATTTTAAAATGGGCAAAAGATCTGAATAGACATTTTCTCAAAAGAAGACATACAAATAGCCGGCGAGTATATGAAAAAATGCTCAACATCAGAGAAATGCAAATCAAAGCTACAATGAGATACCATCTCACCCTAGTTAAAATTTATCCAAAATACAGGCAATAACAAATGCTGGAGAGGATGTGGAGAAAAGTGAACCCTCATGCACTGTTGGTGCGAATGTAAATTAGTACAGCCACTATGGAGAACAGTATGGAGGTCCCACAAAAAAACTAAAAATAGAAGTACCATATGATACAGCAATCCCATTGCTAGGTAATACCCCCCAAAAATGAAATCAGTGTTTCAAAGAGGTATCTGCATACCCATGTTTATTGCAGCACTATTAACAATAGCCAAGATTTGAAAGAAACCTAAGTGTCCATTAACAGATGAATGGATAAAGAAAATGTGGTACCTATATGCAATGGAGTACTATTCAGCCATAAAACAGAATGAAATCCTGTCATTTGAAACAACATGGATGGAACCAGAGGTCATTATATTAAGTGAAATAAGCAAGGCACAGAAAGATAAACTTTGCATATTCTCACTCATTTGTGGTAGCTAAAAATTAAAACAACTGAACTCATGAAAATAGAGTAGAATGATGGTTACCATAAGTTGGGAAGGGTAGTGAGGGGAGCACGGGTGGGAAATGGGGAGGGTTGATGGATACAAAATATGGTTAGAAAGAATGAATAAGACCTACTATTTGATAGCACAACAGGGTGACTATAGTCAATAATAACTTAATTTTACATTTATTTTTATTATTTATTTTTATTTTTGAGACAGAGTCTTGCTCTGTTGCTTGGGCTGGAGGGCAGTGGCGTGATCTTGGCTCACTGCAACCTCCTCCTCCCAGTTTCAAGCAATTCTCCTGCTTCAGCCTCCCAAGTAGCTGGGATTACAGGCGCCCGCCACCACACCTGGTTAATTTTTTCGTACTTTTAGTAGAGACAGGGTTTCACCGTGTTGGCCAGGCTGGTCTGCATCTCCTGACCTCGTGATCCGCCCACCTTGGCCTCCCAAAGTGCTGGGATTACAGGCGTGAGCCACTGCGCCCAGCCCTGATAAACTCTTTTTAACAATTCTTTTCATCAACAAGCTTAGCAGGTACTGATGCCGCCTGTCTTAATTCCTAAGACAATTAAGAGCTATGGCATCAATGCCTGCTATGCTTGTGATTATTGGAGATGTGGATGGCAGTGCACAGTGAGGTCATGAAGTATTGTTGGAATTAAATATTTGACAAATCAAAGTGTGTGGTTAGGCAAACCCATATTAGACATTCAACCTATGTTCAATGAAAAGGTTCCGGACAGAATTTTAAGGTAAATTTCTTAGAGCCTTTTTTGGTTTGGTTTCTGCTCAAGTGGAGCCCTTTAGACATAATACAGTGGCAAGTGATTTTGTAAGAGGCTTGCTTACCTTATTACCTGACACTCTTCAATTAACTGTTTCTTGAGGTCTTTTTATGAACACCTGTTACCTAACTGGCTACCTCAACTGTGCCATAGGAAAAGGAAACAAGGCAGCTGGACTTTTACAGCTTTTATCCCCTTCTCTGACTTTGATATTTCTGGCAGAAGAAGGAAGTGAGCCAAGGAATGACTTTAAGGGGAGAGGCTCCCAGGAAGATAGGACCAGTTTATAGTAAATGTGCATTTGGCCTTCCGATAAAGGCCATTATAAGGGTAAGAGCTCCAGTACACTGCAGGGATGCAGGCTTCATACATCTATCTATTGTTGGCACTTTTGTTATTTCCTCCCAAAGGGATTCTTGCTTTTCTCTATAGGCTACATAGGAAGTTGAAAAAGCTGGAAAAGCAATTTTCTTTTCCTCTCCTTCTTAACCATTTCCCCTGATCCTCAGACACAAGGTCCCTGCTTTGTCCTTGGCGGGGAGGGACAGGGTTGGGGCTGGCCAAACTCTAAGGCAGCCCTCTCCCCACCCAGTAAACTAAAGTGAGTTCATTTTAACAAGAAGCTAATTAAAGACCTAGAAATGCTTTTAACAATGAAGTATATTTTCCTTTGGTTTAAAAAAAAAATCAGATTGAGCTTATGGATTTTAACAAATATTTTCACCTTCATGTCAATCTGGACTTCCTCTATTAGAGGGAGTTTATCTACTGAAAATGATAACACAGAGAATGAGATAATATTTCAGTTTGGTTAGTTGGCTCAGCTATTGTCTTCTAATCTTAAATGGCCAATTTAATAATAGTTCTTTCTCCACCCTCTGCCAAAAGTAATTTTAATTGATTAAGTCTGCCTTTCTTACATGGTATTACCATATTGTTATCATGTTAAGAATATTGTTTTACAAAATATTTTGAAAGAAAACAGAATTTTGAAAACCTCATTTTATGTTTTTTTTTTTTTTCTCTTGTAGAAAGCTTTCTGTAGTGTGCCTGAGCCTTTTTTTAGGTAGTAGACAACTCAACTTCTGACTCATGCTTTCTCCAAACCCTCTTGTATACTGGACTCCCCAATAAATAAATGGGTATTTCTTTTCCATCCTGTGACATACTTTTTTTTTTAGACGGAGTCTCGCTCTGTCACCCAGGCTGGAGTGCAGTGGCATGATCGCAGCTCACTGCAAGCTCCGCCTCCTGGGTTCTCGCCATTCTCCTGCCTCAGCCTCCCGAGTAGCTGGGACTACAAGCGCCCACCACCACGCCCGGCTAATTTTTTGTATTTTTAGTAGAGACGGGGTTTCACCGTGTTAGTCAGGATGGTCTCGATCTCCTGACCTTGTGATCTGCCCGCCTCGGCCTCCCAAAGTGCTGGGATTACAGGCGTGAGCCACTGCACCCGGCCGACATACTTGTTCTTTATGTGCAACCACTTGACTTGCAGGAGGCTAGAGACAATGAACAAACAATACAGCCTTGGTTACTGAGTAGATTATTCTTACACAGGTTATTCCTATTTCTCTTAAAGTTATGCAGTCAGGTTTTCAGAGCAGCAATTCATTACGATACATTATGAGGAAAAATATTGAGGCAGTAAAGTATGATCTAATATATTCTAAAAATTTGCTTTCGATGTATATGACAAAGCTATAATGAATATTTTTAAAGAGATTTTTAAGAATCAGACTTTGTAATTTTTGATATGAAAACATCTTGCAAATTAAAATATAGCTTCTAATTGCAGTAATGCGGCAGTTTTTTTTAAGTAAAACAAATGAGGTAGTGCACTGTCAGCCTGGTTAACACCAGTGTTGGTGAGAGTGCAGGGAAACAATCAGTTTTGCATACTGCTAATAATGACACCTTTCCCAGGACGATTTGTGTCACACGTCTTGGGTTCTGCATACTCTTTGAACCAATCTTATGAGTTAAGCATTATTATTCCATTTGTAGACGAAGAAACTGAAATTGTGAGACCAGCTTTCCAAGGTCATATAACAAATCAGTGGTGAAGCTGGGATTCACATTTCCAGCTATCTGATCTAAAGCTTACATGTAACCTCTATATCATAAATCTCATTCGATAATGTAGGATTTGTTTTTGAAAGTTTTGCACAATGAAATAATATGCAACAATTTAACATGTTGTACAACAGTATATAATGACATACAAAAATGTGTGCTAAATTACAAATAGCAAATGTAAAATTAAAAACAATATAATTTTAATTTAATTAAAGGTGCATAAATACATAAATAAAACAGATATGTGTGACATAAATATAGATGCGTATCTAAAAAGACTGGTGAGATCACAAGTAACTTACTTTCTTCATTTTATTTATCTGTCTTCCTAAATTATCTACCTTTGTATTAAAAATTGCCTTTTTAAAAATGTTTTTCAGTTATCAAACTGTAAACTTACAATTTTAAGACATAATCTACTTTTATTTCAAAAGTTATACAAAAATGAGACACAATATCAATTTAAAAATAGATTACTACAATTCTCTAGTGGTCCATCTTTATTTCTTCTTACTTTGAGTCTAAACATTATAATTTCCCTAAGGTTGTTTACACTGCAATTGTATAGCAAAAGGAAAGAAGTCTAGAGAAACTGAGCAAGGGAACAGCAAAAACCCCTGGAACTACTACTAACTGGCCTTTCATCTCTGGTGTGAATATGATTACTCCATGCTGTAATCCTCTAAGCAGGCACTGAATTTTGTACCTTAAAATGAGACTATAGTATTGTCCAAACGAGGGGCTCCACAGGAAAAAGAATATCAAGAACTCATGTTTATTTACTGATAAAAGATAAGGATGGGAAAAACAAAGACTTGCTAACTTTCCCATGTTGATCTTCACTAGTAAAACTGCTCAGCATGTTTGTTCAGTCTGCAGCTTCTTTCCATGTGACTTACAAGGTGTTATTTTAGCATGAATGGAACCCCCTGAGTAATGTGACTGACTCAGGAAGAGCCAGTTCATGCAGCTATTAGCCTCCAGTTCTATCCCAGTAAAGAGAATATTCTTGTTGGATTTGTGGAAAGGCTCTCAGAGGAAGGAAGAGAGACATTAGTGAGAATTTCCCTCAGATAAAACATGTTTTAATTTAAAGAAATCCTGCTCAATTATTTGCCCCCCACCAATATTACATATGAATAAATTAGGATGGAAATTGAAAGCCTTGCTTTTTGTCAAGAAATTTTTTTCCTGCCAAATTTCCCATTGTTATAATGCAAACACATATATTTAATGGACAGGCCAATCTTCCTCCTACTTTCTTTCTGCGTAAAGATTGGTTCAGTTCTAGAGTCAAGGACTTAAGAGTTTTTACTACATCCTTTCTGTCAGTTAAAGTAGTAACTGCATATAGTACTTTATTTGAATTTTATTGCATTTCTAAGTATTAAATGTACATCACAGACAATTTTGAAAATACCAAAAAGCCCAAGGAAGATTACAATCACCCATAATCCCACCACTCAGAAAAAAACCCTTATTACTAATAGTAAAAATTACTAAGTTGGTTATTTAAAAGGGTGCAGTAAAATGTCAAGAACACTTAAGTAGAAATCATAAAAAAAAACCTAAGGAAAAAGTAAAGGCATTTAAATTTGCTTTCAAATGAGGAAAACAAAGATTACCTATCCACAAACATGTTTTCCAGATTCCCTTCCTCCTTGGAAGTATCCACGAAATAGAATCAATGTGATTAAGAGACCATAGTAGTCAGTTCTCTTGCCTAAACTCTATGCTCAATCATACCTCTGTTTGTTACTGTATAAAAGATGAATGTTTTTCAGCAGTCGGGTATATCCATAAAGGCTCCTAATCACCAAATTACAGTAATACTTTATGAATGAACGAAGGGCTGCAAACTGTCATCAAAATCTATTACCTGTTTTATCTACTGAATTTCAGATTTCATTCTCTTTAACTGCTAAAAGAGTTTTTTTCCCTTGTGAAATTTTATAAGCACTTTCTGCTACCAATTTCCAATAGAAAACCCCATACAATCACAGCATAAAACAGCTGAGGGTGGCTAAAAAGAGACATACTCAGGAGTCATCTGAAAAAGGCCATAGAGCCACCCAGAGGACTTGAGTAGATGAAATTATTTTAGTGTATGAAGTCTATTTGGTGTACAAAGTCTATTTCTTGGAATGACACATCTCATGTGACCTAGGCTCTGTGAAAGTTAGGGTTTTGTGGACAACTATCTCTGGGAAATGCTTTACAGTATATATTCTTCTTGAGCTTATTATACATTAGCATATTAAGGGTTATGAGCAGTCAAGAAAAAATAAAATAATTCACCTTTGTTTCAGACAACGTTTCCCAAACTTCTTTGACCATGAATCCTTTGGAGGCATAACACTATTAATAACTCAAGATGCTCAGGATTTATGGAACACATTTTATGAATGCTACCTTAATGAATGTCCAGGATCTTCAGCCATATTAGTAATCCAGAGTTCAGCAAACTCAACAATGCTCACTCCTTTATTTAAATGTATATAGACTGAATTTGAATAATTTACCATTATAAATATTTATTTTTAAAAATCAACATATATGAGTAAATTTTAAAGTATGTAAATAATATCTCAATAAAGCTATTTTGGTTTAAGAAATCAATGTGTTGTTTCAGAAATACTGAAAAGTAGAGTTACTTAGTGAACATGATATCAGAGCAAAAACAGGATAGTTTTAAGTAATATTTTATGCTGGCCAAGGTGACTCATTCCTGCACGATAAGAGAAGATACATCTACAGTTAATATAATGTCTTCCAGACTCTATGCCTCTCTCCCAATCCTACCTCTTCTAGCTTTTTTCCCCAAATATTCTGGCTAATGTTTATAAATTAATCTACTTAAGTTCTCCTAATAGTACAAGAGAGTAAATGCATACTGCAGGGTGGCAATGAACAGCAGTAGCCATAGTCCAAAACAGCCCACTATAAATGTAGTCTTTTACCTAATGTTCTTCCAGGTATATATATGTGAAAAAATATTTTAAGAATTGCAAAGATTAAAAGTTTCTAATTCCAAATCTTTAGGTATAACTGCTATATAAAGAATATATGTTATATATTTACCTGTGACATTATATGGTCTAATACACATCAAATATAACCTATTTGAGAAGTAACATTCAAAGCTAAAAATCTCCCTTCTAATCTTACTAATTTTTTCTAGAAGTAAAAATTGACAAGGTTGATCTAAGTGCTAAATCAGAATCATACTCCATGCATCCGTCCTAGAGTTGATACAAGAAAAGCTTATCTCATTTGTTGCCATAGATGGATTATACCAGCTAAATAAATTTCAACGGTCACTTTTAGTTTCTTTATCTCTTGGTTCAAATACAAGTAGCATAAAAAGAAAAGAAGATGGTACTTTTTAATATGCAAACCATTTATTGAACTATTTACTATTTTAAAATATCATTCTTAAAAGAGGCCACAAAAATTATAACATTCAGAAATTTTAGGTAAACTCCAAAAGTAAGCTTTTTTTTTTTTTGGTAGTCAACTTGTACCAAGTTTAGCAGCAAGAGGATACTTCCTTAGAGACTTTCAGTGGACTTAAACTCAGTTTCCGCTGGTGCTATGTAAAGCATCCACGATGGTTTTATTGTACTCTGCAATCTGCTTGGTCACATTTTTCTTAATTGGCTGGTAATCACTCTCTTGACTCTTGGTTGCTATGACTAATTACATGAGTTAAGGGGGAAAACAATGTCAATAAAAATCTAATTGTGCCTGAGAAAGGAACTAAATACTGACATTTTTCATACTGAAGATGGTACAAAAAAGCACAATTAGAATACTTTAAAATACAGTACATCATTTTAACAGATTAAGCATCAATTAAAACCTAAAATGCCAAGCTAAACTTACCGCAAAAAATTCATATACAATATAAACACTTTTTAATACTTAATATGTTATGCATTTTTAATCTAATTCTGGTCTTAGAACAATCTAACGTTCAATGAACTAGTTCCTATATTCAAACACACATACACACATACACATACCACGTTCTCTAGAGTACCACAAATAATTTAAGGCAAATTTCTAGACTTCGCTCTGCTCCAAAATCACCTACTTTATGTTGCACAAAACTCCAGTGTGAGACTTAGAGCATACTGTGAACAAGTCCTCTATTTTTAAACTAAGTTGCACTAACACTGGCAACAGAGTACCTAAAACACCTTATCTGGAGGTAAGATGGGGTCCAGGCTGCTTCTGAGCTGAAGTTCAGCACCACCCTGGGGGAGAACCTATGCTGCCACTGAGTCAGGATCTAGTTCTCCAGGCAGAGACATCCTTGAATGGGTCAAAGAAGGGAATAGGAAACAACTTTTAAGGAAATATCTGTTACAACTTCACAACACATGTTCTCAACAGCTGCTTGCTGCCTCCTGTAATCAAACTAAAAGTAAACAATAAGATGAGACATAAGTATCATCTTTGTAGACATATAATGGAGTTGAAATGGCTAAAACATGGATGAGCTTGGAAGTCAAACTTCTCAGGATCTTACTTAGTTTACCTCCCTTTGCTGCCCAGATATTCAAGGTAGAACCATATAAACAACAAACAACTATATATTATATATTATGTACATATATATATATATATATACTTGTGGATATATATAACTATATGGTTATATATAATTCTCCCAACACTATGAGAAGGTAATATTAACTATATTTTAGAGATTTTAGAGATGATACAATTCTGGGGCCGAGAGCAGTGGCTCATGTCTCTAATCCCAGCACTTGAGCAGGCCGAGGTGGGATTGAGCCTAGGAGTTTGAGACCAGCCTGGCTAAGTTGGCGAGACCCCTGTCTCTAAACAAAAGAGAAATTCTTGCCATGTTTATCAGAAGATTTACTGATAATGTTTAACTTTACCCAAGCCCTGTGATCCCGGAAAACTGAATCTTAAGAGATGATACAGTTCTAGCTTGAACAGATTAAATTGTCCAGTTTGTAACTTACAAGCAGTAGAGTTGACATTTAAAATTGGATCGCCCAACTCCAAAATCTGGGCACTTAATCACTATGCCACATTAAGTCTTTGTACTCCTTTTTTGGCAACTCCCAAAATCTGCTTTCTATTAGTTACTTGAGGGCACGTGCGTGCGCACACACACACACACACACACACACCTCTTAACTACTGTAGAATTGAAACAGTCATATTCATTTAATTTGGCCCAGGGTTTTGTACATATCTGGTATTTAATAAGTAGGTGTTGAACTAAATTTGAGTCTTTAAAAAAATTCCTAGAAAAAAATAACTCAGTCAATTTCATTTTCAGCTTTTTTTTTTTTTTTTTTTTTTTTTTTTTTGAGATGGAGTCTTGCTCTGTCGCCCAGGCTGGAGTGCAGTGGTGCCATCTCGGCTCACTGAGAGCTCCACCTCCCGGTTTCACGCCATTCTCCTGCCTCAGCCTCCCAAGTAGGTGGGATTGCAGGCACCCGCCACCACGCCCGGCTATGTTTTTTTTGTATTTTTTAGTAGAGATGGGGTTTCACCGTGTTAGCCAGGGTGGTCTCAATCTCCTGACCTTGTGGCCCACCTGCCTCGGCCTCCCAAAGTGTTGGGACTATAGGCATGAGCCACCGCACCCGGCCCCATTTTCAGCTTTTTAAAGGATACATTCTTTCATCGCAAAATTATTTTGCTCAAGGTGTTGCCACTTTCTCTCCAAATTTGTAAGCTAAAAACATAAAAGAAAAATATTAATTAGGACCCATATTTAAAACAATTAAATGCCTTTCTAAGAGGATAAGACAAAAAAAATCTCTCCAACTTTAAATCTTATCAACTTACATTTTATTGAGATAAAGCCACGGTAGAAAAAAAAAGATTAAATAATAGTAAATATATTAATACAGTGATGAATCCTATAACATGTTTTACTCTATATATTTATTTTAATTATATTTTAAATGTTTATTATACCAATGAACATGCCAACTGAAAGACAATTTATGATTTTCCTTTCCCTAAAAAAACTTTTAAAAGAAAAATGGGACATGATGGGAATCTCTTCTTAAAATCTGGAAGTCTAATGCCACAAATATAATACATATTCAAACACTGTCAAAGGTTCAGCCATATAGGAGAAACTTCCTTATTTCCAGGGCTAAATTTCCTGTGTAATTCCACAAGCTGTGATAAGAGCAGAGCTGCAGTGTGAAGATTATAAGAGAGCTGGTAAAAAGCTGGCACTGTTACAATAATTTCTGCATCAACAGGAAGCTAATGTGGATATTATATTGATGGTTGCTTCCTCAGAAGACAATTTTACTGTTATAGAATTATATTGTTTTTCTGATTTAATTAACCTTGTAACTCTGGTTATGGTCTTTCTTTTTTAAGATGCACATAGTTTTTTCCAAAGCAAAGGACCATTTGAAAATTGAAATGCTAAAATTATGTTCCACCTGGACATTTCAAAGAAGTAATGATTATTTTTAAAAATACAATAATTGAAGCAACAGTGGAAATGTTTCTATCCTCATGTTAAAATAATTTTCAGGGCGTAAATTCAGGCTTGATGTAGATCCATCTCATTGTTTCCTCCAAAGAGATAAATCTAGATATTAGAATGAATCATAGCTAATTAATTATGTGAACTGTATGTGCTGTGAGCTGGTATTACTAATCACATCAATCTCCCCCAGACAGGACCTTGAAGTTAAGATGGACTTAAGGAAGCAGTCAGCAGTTTCTGGCAGTAAATTTCTAATAACCTTCAGCAAAGTCAAGTACCAGACTTTTTTGTCATTGTTTCATACAAACAGGTGGCCTTCTTATAATGCATCAGACCTGTTAAGTGCTACAGGAATGGTATAAAAGCAATGCTGTGTCAGATGGTCAAATTCCTTTTACATTATACCTCTATATTATTGACTCCTTTAAACCTCCAAGGACATCATGAAGCAAAAATTCATTTTGAAAATCTGTTTTTCCCTAACTAGTTTAAATAATCTGTTACATAAAATTCTTTAGAGATGCCAAAAGCCAGTTTTCAAGAAGATAATTGTGAAAGATAGGAAGACCAGGATTTGACTTAATCAGTTGGGATTCACAAAAGATGACAAATAACACAGAGAAGGATTCGAAATTGTGGCTTATGTTATGATTTCCAGTTATCAATACATGGAGTTAAAATTAGCAATTAATGTGGGGATAAACAAGTTAACCACTCACTGGCTCTAAGAAATGGTGTTTTTCAAGTGCTTTCCACCTTAAATCATCTATTCAGTGAATGAGGAGGGCTAATATTCCATAAGAAGTATCAGTATTTTTTTCCAAGAATTGCTGAAGACAATGACCTCCCAAACTTTGTCTTGTTTCTTCCCCAGCACTCATCCTCACTCTAAACAACCTAAGAAAATTGTGTCAATTATAAGTCTATATCTAGGTTTCCATATGAAGTAGAACAGAATAACTGGTAAATTTGAATTATGTAAATTAGTGATTTCTAAGCTTTTAGTAGTTGTAGCAAGCTTTCATGAGATTCTACCCTTTTCAAAAAGAATGTAAGGTGTATGTTGTTTTCAAATGGTACATCCATACAATGAAATAGCTAATGCTATAGAAATGTCACCAAAGGCCGAGTGTGGTGGCTCACACCTGCAATCCCAGCACTTTGGGAGGCCGAGGCAGGTGGATGACCTAAGGTCAGGAGTTCGAGACCAGCCTGGCCAACAAGGTGAAACCCTGTCTCTACTAAAAACACAAAAAAATTAGACAGGCGTGGTGGCTGGCGCCTACAATCCCAGCTACTTGGGAGGCTGAGGCAGGAGAATTGCTTGAACCCAGGAGGTGGAGGTTGCAGTAAGCCAAGATCACACCACTGCACTCCAGCCTGGGTGACAAGAGCAAAACTTCGTCTCAAAAAGAAAAAAAAGGCTAAGCACAGTGGCTCATGCCTGTGATCCCAGCACTTTGGGAGGCTGAGGCAGGAGGACAGTTTGAGGCCAGGAGTTCAAGACTAGCCAGGGCAATACAGCAAGACCCTGTCTCTATAAAAAATAATAAAAATTGGCTGAGCATGGTGGTCTGTGCCTGTAGTCCTAGCTACTCAGTGGCTGAGGCAGGAGGATCGGTTGAGTCCAGGAGCTCCAGGTTGCAGTGAGCTACAATTATGTCACTACACTCTACCCTGGGCAACACAGTGAGACTCTGTTTGAAAAAAAAAAAAAGAAGGCTGAAAAAAGTTAAGAAAATGTTGAAAGACTGTATGAATAGCATGGTTTTATTTTTTGTAAAAACAATATGGATGTATGATTGCAAAGGATGAAAATACTACAAGGATATGGCACCAAAATGTTAACAACGGTTGTACCTATGTAGTGGAAAATCAAATGACATCATTTTTATTTTGCTCTATCATGATCACATAACCATATGAAGAAAAAGAGAGTTTTGTTTTTTTTTTGAGACAGAGTCTCGCTCTGTCACCCAGGCTGGAGTGCAGTGGCGCGATCTCAGCTTACTGCAAGCTCCGCCTCTCAGGTTCAAGCCATTCTCCTGCCTCAGCCTCCCGAGTAGCTGGGACTACAGGCACCCGCCACCACTCCTGGCTAATTTTTTGTATTTTTAGTAGAGACGGGGTTTCACCGTTGTTAGCCAGGATGGTCTTGATCTCCTGACCTCGTGATCCGCCCACCTCAGCCTCCCAAAGTGCTGGGATTACAGGCGTGAACCACCGTGCCTGGCCAAAAGAGGGAATTTTTAATGCATTTAGGGTTTTAAACCATGTGTGCAAATTTCTAATATAGACTAATTAGATATAAGAATGATCAATTTTTTTCAGACCGTAGTTATTGACTTTGTACATGACACATAATGCTTCATTCAATCATTCAACAAATAATTGCTGAGTACCTACTATGTGCCAACCAATACCACAGGGCAAGGAATAAAGTAAACGAGACAGACATTGTCTCTGTCCCGTCAGAGCTCTCAATCTAGACCTCACACACTGTTCAAGTAATTATCAGCAAGATGAGTGATATGAAAAGGGGGCTGCAGGTATATATATCTACGCATCCTATGTAAATAATTGGAGATATGAATTAAGAAGTTCAAGGATACCTGGATTGCTCTTTATAGCATTATTTCAATGGTTTTAAAACTAGAAATTACCTAAATATCCAACGAAAGGGAATTGGTTCAATATATTATGCGACATCCATGCACTAGAATATCATTAAGCTATTAATATTTTTTAAAAGTCAATATATATATTGACAAGGGAAAGTACTTATGATGTATAGTTAATCATGAAAAACAAGCTCCTAAATGATATGTACAATATGGCACAATTTCTATAAATGCATAGAAATAAATGTGTACCTAAGTATATGCATAAATATGTGTATACACATATCTATCTATCTATCTATCTATCTATCTATCTATCTATCTATCTATCCATTGACTAAAAGAACCCACACTAAAGCAACAATAAGCATTCTCTCTTCTGGGTGGTGGGGTACTAATCATTAGAATTTATTTTATTTGTGATTTTATGGATTTTTAGTTTCTGTATTAGTAATGTTTCACTTCCAAAATTTTTAAAATATACTACCCCATATATCTTAACAGTTGTGCCCAAGACAGTATCTAACAGAGTTGGCTTTCAATATAGGTTTATGGAAGGTAAGAAAGCAGGAGTCCATTCATTCTGAATGAAGACTGTACAGAATCTGGCTGTCTTAAAAGTCAGAAAATCTAGAAGGTATATAAAGCAAATTTTAAAATAAAAAATTGATTGTTTTGGGGTGAAAATATAGACTAAGACAATTTCAAAGTCATTTAAAACATTTTTTACCTGAGAATGTGTCTCATTTTCTTGCAATTGTGTTTTTAGTGCCTCATACTCTATGTTTTGCTTCTCCATTATTTTCTTAAAGGCATTTCTGTGGGTTGATAATATCATTCTCTCCTGATGTAATTTCTAGAAAGATCCAAATAGAAGTGACAGGTTATAGAAAATATGTAGTAAGCCAATATAAATCATATTTAACTTAATTTCAATAACTATATTCTGGTAAAATTATATCAAGGCTATAACTACTCTAAAACCCGTTTGTAAAAATATCCTTTGAACTATAAGCTATGTTAACATTATCTGTATTAATAACTCTATTAATGCTGCCATATCTCTCCCGACCCTACCAAATTAAGTCTAAATTAATGTAAATGGCAATGGAAAGCCACTGACAAGTTTCAGGTAGGATAGAGTCATAATCTAAACTGCATTTAACAAAGCTCACATCTGCTGAAATGCTCTGTATTAAGTAGCAGCTTATACCTTGCTTTTCAATTTTTGCTTTTCTTTAAAACTTTAAGTCACTCTAAATTCCAACTACATATGTAAACATTTTTATTTTTTCTCACTTATATATATAAAATAATCAACTTAAAATAATAAATCCTATAAACCACAAATATATTACATTTGATCAAGAAAAAAACAATCTGAATTGTAATTCTGTAAGACTTGGTTAACATTTACCTTTATCTTTTCTTCACCTGATGATTTTAAAGCTGGCAAATCATTATATATCTCCAGATCAGTTGTCATTTGCTTAATTTTGCTTTTTAGAGAATGCTGTTCTTCAGTCATCTTACTTTCTAGAAGCTCCATTTTCTGCAGATCCAACTGCAGACGTTGAATGTCTGAAACATAAGAATTTAAGGTGATAATTAATCAAAATTTTATTCCTTTCACATAAGGAAATGTAATGCAACTATTAAAAATCATGTTTTTTAAGAATATCTGTAAAAGAAATATATGTTCACTGTAACCAGTGAGATAATATAAACTAAGAAAAAAAAATACTCATCCCCTCAATAACCAATTTCAGGTAACCAATATATTAGGGAATCAAGGTAACCTGATGTCTATTAGCCACAGCTGTCTCCATGCTAACAAACATTTAAGTTTTTTTCTTGCTTAGTAATATAATCTATATTATGAGATAAAGACACATTATTTTTAACAGAAGCATGACACAGTTATGTAGGGAAAAAACCAAGTTATAAAACATTATATATATATTTGAGCACAATTTTATAATTGCACACATAATCAACTCTTACTATCTGTGGTAGTTATGTCCTATGAAGTTATTGTGAACAATGAGTTAGCAAATATTGAACTATTGCTCCCAAAGGAAATACAGAGTTAAGTTCCTGTGAGCCTTTAGTCACATTTTAGTCAATTAGCCAATACATAATCTTGCTTTATGTTTGTTTAAAGACATTTTATTTACTATAGGTTGTAGATTCACTAACATTGAACTCACAGCCAACAGCACTGTAACTTATGCCTGAATTAAGTTTACCTATCACACATTTTCTCCATAAGGCTATGATGTGCCTTAGGAACACTTAGCACATCAGCACTTTGCTTGGGGCCATTTTAAATGGCATGATCACCAACAGAAAGCACAAAAATGCAAAAAACATGCCACTAAATATACTGCAAAAAGGAAACCTCTTTATAGTATGAGAACTGACATAAGAAGGCAGAGTGTTGCCTTTTTCAACTTCTGTTGGCAATGTGCATGTCAGGCTGTTGAAATTTTTCACGAGTCTGCACATGCCCACAAATGATCATGAAAATGCTGCAAGGATTGATTTGGGGGGTACAAAGTAACTTTAGTGAGAGGGCAAATTCACAATATGAAATATATGAATAATGAGGATACCTGTGTGTGTCTCATTCTTCCATTCAAAAATATCAAGCATCTACTATGTGCCAGGTGCTGAGGATATAATAGCAATCAACAGAGACATGGTTTTCACTCAGGGAGCTGTATTTTAGAGGTAGAAGCAGGCAATTAAATAAGTATTTACAATAAACTGGATAAATATGAAAAGAGTAGCACAGGGTGCCATAAAAGCATGTAGCAGGGATGAAGAGAGCTCTCTAAAGATATGCCTTTCAATTAAAGGCTTAAGGTTTATGAATATCACACAAAGAGGAAGGTAAAAGTGTTCCAGCAAAAACAATCAGCATGTGCAAAGTCTAGAGGTAAGAAAGTCTAGTACCTTTGAGCCAGTAACAAGTTCAGCATACTGAATAGTAAATGAATATGAATGAATTTGAAGAGTAAAAAACAATGCTTCGAAAGTCACTGATTTGAGAAAACAGGCTGTTATCCAACCAAAATTTTTAAAGTTAGTATAATTAAGCCAGTATTTCTTGAATGTTTCCTTTTATCCCTTTAAGAGTTTTAAAAGTCAACCACAGCGACATACACTATTTAAAAATATATATGTGTATGTACACGTAAATACAAATATGTATATAGCAAAACTTAAATGTTGTTGCAAAGAGTTTTGTTTTGTTGGATTCTTATCTCTACCACGGTTAGAAATAGTTATGAGAATCAAAGAGCTGAACAAGTGACTAAGGCTTATGCTATTTTAATGCTCGAAATAGGAACTGTTTTTAGCCTGTAGATATTTTGACTATTTGGAGTAAACACTGATATAAATCTAACTGCAAGTTTAATTTGAATATATACTAGGGAAATACATTTAAGAACCATACAAATTGATTTTTCTTGATAAAAGGAGAAAATGGCTGGTATAGGGTAAAGTTTATCTTCCTTTAACAACAGGTCCGCAATGAAAAGCTAAATGCTACTCCAAGGGAAGAGACAGGAAGAGGATGCAGTCTAGTTCCTTCTGATATGCCGTGAAGTTGCAAAGTTTACCAAGCAGTGTGTACATAGGAGCAAAATCTCAGAAGGAACCACTTTGACCCGGGGAAGTGTTTCTAAGATAGTCTGTCATCAGCACATTTGTTTACTCTCTGGAGTTTCCTTTCCAAAAATATAAATAAAAAATATTGCTCATAAATCCCTTGCCTCTTTGCCCATGCAGTACACCAGTGTTTCTCAACCTTTTTCTTACATTATTGATTCCCTAAGAAGTCGATTACAGACTCTTTTTCCCCAATCACCTCCCTCCCCTGAAATTTTTACATCACCCATGTGGTGTGTAGCCATTTAGGTATGGTGACCTCTGGAGGGCCATTATAATATCTAAGTTTTCTTCACCCTTCCCCCAAGAAGTGATTGCTCCATTAAAAAAAAAAAAAAAAAAAAAAAAAAGGCCAGGCGCGGTGCTCACGCCTGTAATCCCAGCATTTTGGGAGGCCGAGGCGGGCGGATCACGAGGTCAGGAGATCGAGGCCATCCTGGCTAACACGGTGAAACCCCGTCTCTACTAAAAATACAAAAAATTAGCCGGGCGAGGTGGTGGGTGCCTGTAGTCCCAGCTACTCGGGAGGCTGAGGCAGGAGAATGGCGTGAACCCCTGGGGGCGGAGCCTGCAGTGAGCCAAAATCGCGCCACTGCACTCCAGCCTGGGCGACAGTGAGACTCCGTCTCAAACAACAACAACAACAACAACAACATGGAGTACACTAAATCCATTCTATCTGAAAGGCGAACAAGAATATTATAAACCTCTCATGGTGTTTTGAAGATACAAAAAAATTTCTTGAGGTGGGGGATGGTGTTAGGGAAGGAAAGAAAGAATAAATTATATGGTTGGTTGAAGTTAAAATGAAAACAATGTAGTAAATGAAATTAATTATAAGCATCAAAGAATTTAACCCTTACAAAGAAAAATTTCCAGCAAAATCCTTATCATACTATTAAACTGGATTTTTATCTCCATTGAAGCCAGTTTTCAATTTTTTTTCAAACTGTACATCTCAGGAGAACACATAATGACTACTTTTTTTTTTTTTTTTTTTTTTTGAGATAGATTTTCACTCTGTTGCCCAGGCTGGAGTGCAATGGCGCGATCTCGGCTCACTGCAACCTCCACCTCCCGGGTCCAAGTGATTCTTCGGCCTCAGCCTCCTGAGTAGCTAGGATTACAGGCTTGCACCACCACACAGGCTAATTTTGTATTTTTAGTAGAGATGGGGTTTTACCATGTTGGTCAGGCAGCTCTTGAACTCGTGACCTCAGATGATCCGCCCGCCTTGGCCTCCCAAAGTGGTGGGATTACAGGCGTGAGCCACCTCCCCTGGCCCATAATGACTAGTTGTTAAAAGGAATTATAAACACAAAGTATAAAGTACGGAATGAATACAAAGTCTTGATTATTGAATTTGTTTCCTGGTATTGATTTTTGCCTTTTAAAAAATGTACATTTCTTGACAGCTGTTACAGAAAGATAGCTTAAAGGGGGAAAAACTTGTTGAATTTACATTGACTTTAGATAAATGAAAAACTTAGGCATGAAGGTCTAAAATACGAAACAGAGGTTTTCTAAATGAAATAAAACTATAAAATTATTTAGTTTATAGAAAAGAGAAAATATTCTTAAATATTCATATATGTCCAAAAGAAATGAAAATAGGATCCTGAAGAAATACTTACACACCCATGTTCACTGCAGCATTATTCACAATAGCTAAAAGGTGGAAGCAATCTGTCTGTCTACAGATAGACTTTAAAATATGATATATACATGCAATAGAATGTTTCAACCTTAAAAAAGAAAATCCTTCTTTGCTACAACATGGATGAACCTTAAGGACATTACGCTAAGTGAACTAAGTCAGTCCCAAAAGGACAAATACTGTATGACTTCATTTATATGAGGTAATTTAAAGTAGTCAGACTCATAGAAACAGAAGTAGAACGGTGGTCTCCAGGGGTCAGGGGATAGGGAAATATGGAGTTGTTATTCAGGAGGTAAAGTGTTTTTGTTCTGCAAGATGAAAAAGTTCTAGAGATTCGTGGCACAACAATGTGCATATAGTTAACACTACTGTACTGTATACTTCAAAATGGTTAAGATGATAAATTTTGTTATGTGTTTTTTTACCACAATAAAAATATACTCACAGTCAAACCAACAGTAGTTATATATCAAGAATGTAACTCCTCCAGTTACTTGGCATATAGACATACAAAAAAAAACTACGGCAAACAAACTCTCAACAAATCTGGATATAAAATAGGCTTAAATATAGCAATTATATACCTATATCACCACTACTAATGCAATTAATAGCATTCAGTATGCATTTATAGGTCCATAATCCCTTATCTAAAACCCTTGGGCAGTTCTATTTCAGAATGCAGAATTCTTTGGATTTTAGAAAAGTAATACAGCACATATACTTATGATTACATAACTCCCATGGCAAAGTCTGAGGGAATACCTTGTCATCAAGTACACGAATATTTCTATAGCAAAAAGCATAAATAGTCACACTAGGTAGGATAATTAAAAACTATAAATAGCCTCACGTCAGTTCAGGTCAGGTCAGGTTTTGCTGCCAATATCTTTTTAGATTTTGGGAATCCAGATAAAGGTATTATGGATCATTATTTCATTTCAAAAATCTTTTATATATATATATTATTATACTTTAAGTTCTAGGGTACATGTGCACAACGTGCAGGTTTGTTACATATGTATACATGTGCCATGCTGGTGTGCTGCACCCATTAACTCGTCATTTACATTAGGTATACCTCCTAATGCTATCCCTCCTCCCTCCCCCCACCCCAAAACAGGCCCCGGTGTGTGATGTCCCCCTTCCTGTGTCCAAGTGTTCTCATTGTTCAATTCCCACCCAAAAATCTTTCAACATTCTTAAGTTAGCAAATATTAATTAGGTCTTCATTTCTCACTATCTCACTAACTGTAGTAATTCCAGGTAGACAAAAACATAGCTAATTCAAAGCTGCAACACACCAGCATAAAGAACACCCACAGAAGCCATTAGTTCATAAACCAAAGATCCCATACAAATTTTTACATGACCTTATCCTAGTCTCTTTAACCTCAACTTTGTTTATTTGTATCTAATCTCCACCTGCACCATCCCAATGGCAGCCATTAGCCACATGTGATTTTTGAGCCCTTTTAAGTATGTCTAGTCCAGGCCAGGTGCAGTGGCTTACGCCTGTATTCCCAACACTTTGGGAGGCCGAGGTGGGCAGATGGCTTTAGCCCAGGAGTTTGAGACAAGCCTGGAAAACATGGTGAAACCCCATCTCTATTAAAAATACGAAATATTAGCTAGGCGTGCTGGTGTGTGCCTGTAGTCCCAGCTAGTTGGGAGGCTGAGGTGAGAGAATCACCTGAGCCCAGGAAGTAAATGCTGCAGTGAGCTGTGATCACGCCACTGCACTCCAGCCTGGGCAATGAGAGTGAGACCCTGTCTCATAAATAAATAAATAAATAAATAAATAAGGCTAGTCCTAATTGAAATGTCGTGAAGATAAAATATCTCTTTGATCATTTTTATATAGCTTACATGTTGAAATAATAACTTGGCTATATCAGTTTAAATACAATATATTATTAAAATTAATCTGTCTCTTTTTACTTTGTCAACATGGCTACTCGAAAACTTTATATAAATATAATATATACTGTCATTAAATTTCTCTTGGACAGTGCTGCTCTAGTCTCATGATAGCAAGCATGACTGAAACTAATTAAAGTGAAACATCATCTCTTCTTAACTATCCAAGACTAGGCTGGATATGTGCCCTATGTACTTCCGTTGCTCCTTATGCTTACTTCTATCATAGCATTATTTCATTGTATCATAACTGTCACTCCACCAAGTTGAAAGTTTCTTGAGGAAACAGATTAGATTTTTTTAAGCCTCTTATACTGACAAAGATTCAATCCTTGACCAAACTAGCTAGGCTCCTCTGAGCTCTCTTCTCAACTAGGCCTCAACCTCTGCCTATAAAAATTCCACTCTCAGCACAAATGATTTCATGCACCACCTTCTACCCACATTAGAAGATTTAAACAAACAGTTTCTAACAGCTCAAGTCTGCATCCCTGGGATGACCCTATCCCCACTTAAAGTGCCTGCCAGACAAAGCTCAAGGCCGCCGAAAGAATGTACTATTTATTCTAGCCCGTACTGGTCAACAGGCCCCTGACTACCCTTTCTTAGGGTATCCAGTTGTGAATCTTTCCTCTGTACCTTTAAGATGTATATGTGTACTAGTCTATTTGCATTGCTATAAAGGCATACCTGAGACTGGGTAATTTATTTTTAAAAAATAAGTTTATTTGGCTAATGGTTCTACAGGCTGTACATGAAACATGGTGCCAGCAACTGCTTCTGGTGAGGGCCTCAGGAAGCTTACAATCATGACAGAAGGCAAAGGGGAGCCTGCATGTTACAAGGCAAGAGAGAGAAGGAGGAGGTACCAGGCTCTTTTAAACAACCAGATCTTGCGTGAACTCACAGAGAACATACTAATTACTGCAAGGATGACACTGAGCCATTCACGAGAGATCCGCCCCCATGACCCAAACATTTCCCACTAGGCCCACCTCCCACACTAGAGGTCACATTTCAACATAAAATTTGGAGGGGACAAAAAATCCAAACCATATCTGTATGTACCTCCCACAACTCAGGAGTATTTTCCTCAAGGACCTAAAAGCCATTCCATTAAAACGTGATTATCAGGAAAGTTAGGGCCTCTGTCTGCTAGTCTGTGTATAAACATAGACTCCTAACTTGATAATTGCCAGCTAACAGACACAGCTGGCCTAACCAGCATGTACATTGATGAACCCTGTAATTTTTCATTTCCCTTACTACTCCCTCATTCTCCCTTTAAAACACTCAATCACCTCTGTACAAATCAAAGTTGATTTCAATTCATGCTGGACCCTCCTGCCTTACTGCCACGCTGTATTACTGACTAAAATCTATCCTTAGCACTTTAACATGCATCCAGCTTTGTTTATCTTTAACAATATCCAGAATTATATAGCACAGGCTTGAAATAAGTATTCAATAAATGTTGTTAAATCAGTGACAATATACAACATAATACTAGCCAGCTGATGAAAAAAGCCACACATAATTCTGGGGCAATAGGCAATCATAAATTATAGCCTCTGTCAATGAGGCTTTAAAATAATCAGAGAATAACATTGATATATTTTAAAAAAAAAGAATATTAAAATCTAGGTTGTTTTCTCACCTGAAGTCAAATTCTGAGCTGTACTTTGTGATTTCTGCACTTCAGTAGATTTAAAATTGAGGTCATCCTGCATCATCTTTAGCTCTTGATTGGTGATAGAGGATATCTGTTCTATACGATTTATATTCTGCATTTGCAGAGAAATAAAAATAGAAAAAAATCCACTGATTTAGTTAGTTCTCAATAAAACTCTTGGAAAACACTGTCAAAGGATGAGATGTTTGGATCAGGTATTTTTTTTGAAATACACCATTCAAGTTATATATTGTATAGAAAATGAGATTCCAAATTGGGTTTTCTCAATAAAGACAGACTATAAATTCAAAATTGTGGGTTTTTTTTCATTTCCTTTATTTCACTGCAGAAAAAATTCAACTACACTATTTTAGAAACTGGTTGGAGTCTTAAAACACTAGAATATTGAAAGGGGGGCATGCATTTCATAATAGATGCCCAATAAACATTTTTTGATAATTTGAGATACTCATTACATATACATACAAGAATCTTTTTATTTACAATAAATTTACAGTATAAAAATACATTAACATTTTCTAACATGTCTAGATTTTGAAATTATCTGTGCAAATGTTACTTTCAAAAGTTCAGATAGATTAACAATGGAAGAAGATCATAATAATTACTCTGAATTAGTGCTTCATTTACTGCTGAATATTGATATTATACATGTCATCCTTTTTCTCTATTGCCCTAATTACCTGACATTTTGCTAGAGTGATAAAAAAGTTAATAGCTGAAATAAATAGTAACAAGTAAGGGAATTGAAAGGAAGCAGTTAAATGAGAAGATACAATAGTGAGCCGTTCTATTTTTTGAGTTGTATTTGGAAAGTTAATCACGGCAAAAATAAAGAGGACACCAAGACAGGCACATGGTACTCACTCGACTGCAGTGCTCCAAGAGTGCAACAATGTTGGCTTCTATCTGTGCCTTTCGTTTCAGTTCCTGATTCTTTGTTTCCTCAAAAGTCTCAATAAAAGCTGACAATTGGAAAACATAAGAGAGATTACTGCTGATAGAGTTAACACTATATAAACTCTGATTTGCAGTTCTTAAGAGTGCTTTTTAGAATTTTCTTTTTTTGAGACAGAGTCTCACTCTGTTGCCAGGCTGGAGTGCAGTGGCACGATCTCGGCTCACTGCAACCTCCACCTCTGGGTTCAAGGGATTCTCCTGCCTCAGCCTCCTGAGTAGCTGGGACTACAGGCATGCACCATCACGCCCAGCTAATTTTTGTATTTTTACCAGAGACAGGGTTTCACCATGTTGGCCAGGATGGTCTCGATCTCTTAACCACGTGATCCACCCGCCTCGGCCTCCCAAAGTGCTGGGATTATAAGCTTGAGCCACGGCACCTGGCCCAATTTTTAGAAATTTTAAGCTGCCACTGTTTAATTTGTTATTAACCCAAAGGTAATTATTATTCAATAAGAACTTTATATACTTTCAAACTGCCTAAATCCTGTGACCTTGATATAAGTAAATCAGAAAGTTATAAATATAAGCTCAAAAGAAATAGCTGATAAAATGACAATCAGAAGAAATTTGCTTTTATAAAGATCTCCTTTGATACATCAATAATTATTAACACCCTGACTACTAACTTTATTTCTATAATTTCCAATGCTGAATACCCATTTTATCTGAAAATAAGTATTTTATTTACAATGCTGGATTCATTTCAACTAAATGAATTTAATAATGTATTCAGATTGTAAATAAATATTCTAGGAAATTATCTTTTTACTTGTTTAATATAGAAACAGCTCTTATTTACATTTTCGAGTATTTCTATGGAGCATCTAAAAAATAGAAACTTTCAGTCAAAAATAATTTTACTGTTAGCATGAATAACATCAATAGCTTGCCTTCTGTAATGGATTCCCATTATACTTTTTTCTTATATTTAGCATATTTTTTAAAGTAAAACAGTCTTCAACAAAACATTTTTTATTTGAATATGGTGGTAGAGGACCACAATCAACATTTTTTATAAAACTGAATTTTCTTTAATGTCCTGCTTCAGCATTCACACAGGTCTTATGTGTGAATATCCTGCTTCTATAATCTGTTGATCACACATTAAGTGGACATATGAGATTTTTACATATACAAAGGCATAAATGAACATTGTCTTTCAGGGGTTATTTTTTAAGGAAAACAAACCATAATTAATATGTGGAAAGAAATCTGAGCTAGGTGACCTTCTATTTTAAGATTCTGTAGTATAGGAATTCTTTCCATTCATTCAGTAAACATTCATTAAATGAACACTTATTGACACCTAAGTGCCAGATACCACACTAGGTAGTATCTAGTAATTTCCAATACTGTGGTGTCATGACACATTGTTCCTTGATTTTACACCTTTCTCCTTTACCAAAAGACTTAAAAAAATATTTTTGAGATAATTTTTGGTATTTACTGACATTTTAAAGAAAACTTGGTACATTGTAAAATAAGAGGTGACAATTACTCTTTTATTGCATGCCTCCATGAAGGTAACTATTGACATCAGACCTAGATGAAATTCTAGCACTTCGCTAGAATTCAGATTCCAGCAAAATGATAACTTAAAAGGAAACCAGTAATTGAGAATACATGCCAATTTTTTAAAAAAATTATAAATGTATAGGTTTAAGTGAAAACCAATTTATAAAATCAGGCTGAGATTTTTTTTAAGTGAATCAAAACTAACAAAAGGCAACTAAAATTATAGCTGGTGATAGAAAAAAGTGACAATATCTGATGTGAGGGCTAATAAACAATGAGATAAGTATTATGGAAAGCTAAATATAAAAGTGAAAGATACTAAAGGTGAATATAGTGAAGCATGTAAAAGAGAACATTCAATCAATAAATGATCTATAGCAGCAGTCCCCAACCATTTTGGCACCAGGGACCATGGAAGACAATTTTTCTATGGACCAGGGCTGGGGGCAGATGCGGGTGATGGTTTTGGGATGAAACTGTTCTACCTGAGATCATCAGGGGTTAGATTCTCATAACAAGAGTACAACCTAGATCCCTCATACGCGATAGGGTTCACACTCATATGAGAATCTAATGCTGCTGCTGATCTAACAGGAGGCAGAGCTCAGACGGTAATGCTCGCTTGCCAGTGGCTCACCTCCTGGTGTGCGGCCTGGTTCCTACCGGTCTGCAGCCTGGGGATTGGGGACCCCTGGTCTATAGGTTTCCTCTGTACAGACTACGAATGTAAGTACTAGCTTTAGAATCTAGCCCCAACGTATAGACACTCATCACATATCTTTTTAGAATTTTCTACCCATCTCTAAATTATGCTAGAAACTATTCTTCAAGGCAAAATGCTTTGAATGTCCACACTTCTGCATTTATTAGCCATTATATCTGCCCAAAATGAGGTCTCTGATTTGGTATAAATGAACAGCAATCTGAAAATATTATATTTTTATATCTACAAGAATATCACTTACTGTCCATATGTTCCTCCCTTTTCTTTAGCTCCTTGTATTTCTGGTTCATTTCACCTATGAGAGATATAAAATACAACATGAATTTCAAAAATTGCACATACAGGGCTCTAAATTAAAAATCTCTCTTTGGTTCTCTCTATGCCATTAGTCATTGACTATTCGACGTGTTCGATTAGGTGAAATTCTTTTACAATGACTTATAGAGACTTTTCAAGTAGACATATGCATGTAACTTGAATATGTGGAACAAACAATATGATTGGAAAGGACTTAAAGGCTTTCCATTCCCAACCTGGGGCTATTCAACCTATACATGAACACTATGGGTGCTGAGAAACATAAGTTCCCAAGAAAGTCCATTCCATCTTTGAAAGATCACCAGCAAGACAGCAGAGTAACTTCACTCACAGAGTTTATACTCTAAAGATTGAACAATTAATTAAAATTAAAAGGTACTAACTGCTATCATAGGAAAAATAAAAGATGCTATAGGAGCACACAGCAAGGGCAACTAATCTAGGTTAGGGTTACAGAGAAAGTTTCCCTAAACAAGTAATATTTAAGTTGTATTATAAAGAATAGTAGGAGTTACCTGGTCAAAATACAGAAACTGCAAATGTCAAAGCATTACCAGTAAAAAGTTTCAAACTGAGGATGAATATGGTAGCATAAAGAACTGAGGGAGTGGTATGGCCGAGGCAGAGAATGAAGTGAAAAAGTAGCACAAAGATGAGGCAGCTTACGAAGCACCTTATAAGATCCATGTTAAAGAGTTTGGACTTTCTCCTAAGGACAATTACTAAAGAATTTTAACCAGGGAGATGAAATAATCCGTTTGCAATTTTGAAAAATATTTCCAGTCTGGAGAATAAAAGAGAAGTAAGATTGGAGGCAATAAAACCAGTTAGAAAGTTGTCAGGATAATCTGGGTGAAAGATGAAAGCTGCCTTGAGTAGAGCGGTGGTAATTGGGATGGAAAGTAGTGAATTATTATTTGTGACATTTAAGAGCCAGAGTGATTGGCTTGGTGAGGGTTAAACAGGGAGGAATCAAGTATGATTCCCAGGCTTCTGGCTTGGGCATCTGAGAAGATGGTAGTACAACTAACCTAAATGGGGAAAAAGGTGAGAAAGAGTTGCTTACAGCAGTTTTGGATATGTTGAGTTTAACAAACATGAAAAGCATGTCTAAAGAGACAAAAATCCAAGGCCTAGAAAAATGAATGAATTCTGCCATTTAGGCCTCACAGAGGGACCCATTAGTAGGAGTGGATCATGATTATTTTATGACAATAGGATTTCACTGTAAGAAAAACTGAGCTTTGAAGGAACATGGCAGCTGCCTTCTGTAGAGAAAGCAGACAGAGACATGAACCTCCATCTGTGCATATACTTGCTTGGCATTAAGTGAATTATGAGAACACAAGGGTGATGGCAAAGTCAGAGACGTGGATTAGCAAACAGCTTTTCTGCCTTCTGGTCTGAAGAGTTTTCTGAAATTCATTGACGACAACCCTGATGCTGAGAAAATCTTATGTTAAGGCTTCCAAAATATTACTGGTAGTAAAAAGCTGCAAGTGAAAGCTAATGTTTAAGGACAGTAAATACCTAATGGTCACAAATTCCTAGCCAGGCTACACCCAGCACCAATAGGAAACCCTGGATCCACTCAGATAAGGCTCTAGATGGATTAGCAACTTTACTCAACTACTACTCAGTTCAAATGATCAACCATGGTCTCAAAATACACTGACGCCCCCTGATTAACTGTGAAGAGGAGGCCAGAGGTACTCTGTTATTAAACAAACTTTGTCTGTATATGTGTGTGTGTTTATATATATACACACATTTGTAAAATATACTACAGACAGGTTTTTGAGTGGGAAACAGAAAGAGTTGGAGTTTGCAGCACACATGATCTGGGATACCCTTATAGGAGGAAGATGTGCATATAAATATCATTGCCCATGTGAAGTGGCAGAAAAGCTACTATCTCCTGAACCTGCCATGGCCCATGTTTCCAAGAAAGTCCTAGTTTCTTGTTCTGGCTATTTAAGTTCCACTCTTGGGAGACTGGTCAGGCATTAAGGGATTAGGAGGGAGGCCTGGATCCTAGACTTTACAAGGATTTAACTATCATCTTATCTTTTTTCTTTTAATCTTAAGAGAATTCCTACACATGATGTTTCCAGTTTCTCATCTTGCTTTTAAACCCCAAGACACTGCAATGAGGCTTTTCCTCCTCCTGTTCCAATGAAATTGTTCTCAGTGAGATTATACAACTGCTTAATGATCAAATTCAAACGGCAGTCAGTTATCTTACTCTGTAATATTTGACACTATTGGTACAACTTTTCAATTTTCTTTGTTTTCCTCTATGTTTTATTTTTGCTTTTTGCGGGGATGGGAGGGCTTCTCTGGCGTTTCTTACTCTCAGATCATTATTTTTCTGTCTTCTCTTCATGGGTCTGCTTCCTTCTTCATTTATATTCTAGAGTTCTGTTCTTAATGAACTTCTAACGCTATATCCATGGCAATTTCATACATTCTTGTGGTTTAAGAACTGTCAAATTTAATATATTCTCTGAGTTTTAGATTCTTTAATCTAAATGCTTACTATATATATTGATTTGGAAGCCCTTTCAGGACATCCTAACTCAGTATACTCATAATTAAACTCATAGTCTTCCCTCTCTTTATTCCCTATTACATTTGGCTGTCCTTACCATCCATTCATCATTCAAGTCAGAAACCTGAGAGGAGACTCCTCCCTCCTTCTCTCCTAAAAGTCATCCTCCTAGTTGCCAACAGATTGAGCTGGAAGATGTAACTGGTTAACATTTACAGCTGTACAGCTGGCCAGCTGGATTAGATGGGACAGAGCTCCTACACATCTCAGCAGATTCCCAAGCTTCATAAAACTTCCTCCAATATCACTATTGCTAAGAAGGAGAGTGGTCAGAGCATTAGTGAACTTCTCTATTTGGTGATTTCTCAGTGGAGGATTAGTATCTGAGTTGCTCATAAAGGCAGTGTAAATGTAGGCAGTCCTAAGGTAGGGTAAAACATAATGGTTTTTAGCAAATATATCCTTAGATTCAATATCACAGGACAGGATGAGATTGTAGATAGACGGAAGCAAATCAGTGTATCACAATGGAGGTACCAGCAAGTAAGCAGAAGGGTCTAATGTAGTAGAATCAACAATGAGGAGACCAAGGGAGAGGGAAAGGGACACAACGGTAAAAGGAAGGTAATTTTGGAGATATCCTTTAATTCGGAGCATTTGATGTGCGCATACTTCTATACTCATTTATTTATTTCCGATAAATTTACTGATTATCAGATACTAAGTGCCAGATACTGTAATAGGTTTTGGGATATCAAACTGAGTAAGACAGTTTCCACCCTATTCTCAAAGGGCTTACACTCCATTAGGTGTACAAAACCAAAAATTTATAATGCAACATAAGTGCTCTGACAGGAATGTATGAAGTGCTGTGGTAACCAGATGCGTGAAAAGACTTCAGGAGGATTTTACACAGGAATTATACCAGCAAGGTACTTTATCGGGTAACATGGGGATTAAAGAAAAAAGTAAAATATTTTCCTCTGAAGAATTTATACTCTAATAAGACAAGTATACAAAAATGTATACTATAAATTCAGGCTTTTTCATCCCTCAAGTAGGAAAGAAGAAATGCGTATGTGCTGTTAACAAAAGACTGGGGCTACTGTAGAAAGGACACCATTGCTTTTTTATAGTCTCTGCTATAGCCAGCAGTGCAGTAAGGGAGATATGCTCTTCTTGCACTGCCAATAGTCTGAGCACCACCAAAACTACCTCTGTCCTCACTGCAAGGGAAGTTCACCCCATACTTTTACTTCTCTGGCATCAAATGACGTTCTCCTGACTCAGGCTTTATAGGCTTTTATACTCTGAGAAGTAGTTCTGCCCCTAAGAAGGTCTGATTACCATTTTCCAAATAGGTGGCTATCCCAATCTTCTCTCCTGATCAATACACAACAAGGCATGTACTAGTAACTCTCCTGAACTCAAGGTCCCCAACTCAGCAAAGCCTACTGATTTTGGAGTTGAAAGGTCAACAGAAAACAAAATCAGGGAGACGGGGCAAGAAAAAACTCCACAGGACTTTTGCACAGCCAGACTGTTTCTTAGCACTTGGAATACTTCTGAAGCACGCAAAGTCTCCCAGTACCTTTCCTTCTTTTTTTTTTTTTTTTTTTTTTTGAGACAGTGTCTCGTTCTGTTGCCCAGGCTGGAGTGCAATGGTGCAATCTCAGCTGCAACCTCCGCCTCCCAGGTTCAAGCGATTCTCCTACCTCAGCCTCCCAGCTAGCTGAGGCTACAGGCACACGCCACCATGCCCAGCTAATTTTTGTTTTTAGCAGAGACAGGGTTTCACTATGTTGGCCAGGATGGTCTTGAACTTCTGACCTCAAGTGATCCCCCCACTTCAGCCTCCCAGAGTGCTGGGATTACAGGCGTGAGCCACTGCACCTGGCCTCAATATCTTCTATATGGCATGGTTTCTATCCCTATTACCATTCTGGTCACTCTGCTATGAACGAGCTCTAGTTTTTCTCTAACCCTTTTAACATATTATGCCAAGAAACTTAAGATTCCAAGAAGATGTCACTCTCCATAGTCTACATAACCATTTTTTGTTATGCAATCTAGGATTTCAGCCGTTTTCAAGGCTGTATCACATTAATTCATATTGAGTTATCTAAACCCCTTCTAACATTTTCACATATTTTAGTGAGCCAGAACACTTTCTCCTCCCTGACTCCTATTTCAATTTTAATTAGTTGTGGGGGCCTATAAAATTCCATCTTTTTGCATTCAGTCTATCTCTCCCATCTACTTTTCACATACCATTATTACAGTAAGCAGCAAGTTAGTATATAAAATAGTCATTCCTTGGTATCTGATGGGGACTGGTTTCAGTACCCCCACCCCTCTGTAGATAACAAAACCTGAGGATGTTCAAGTCTTTTACATAAAATGGCACAGTATTTGCATATAACCTACATATACCCTCCTGCTACATACTTTAAATCATCCCTAGATTACTTATGATACCTAATATATTGTAAATGGTTGTTACACTGTGTTGTCTAGGGAATAATGACAAGGAAAATAAGACTGTACATGTTCAGTACAGATGCAACCACTGTAGGGCAAACTACACAGTATACATCAGCAACAATGTAACACTTTTTGTTTTATTTTTATTTTAAAAATAGAAATGGGGTCTATGTTGTCCAGGCTGATTTCAAGCTCCTGACCTCAAGAAATCCTCCTGCCTCAGCCTCCCACAGTGTTGGAATTACAGGCATGAGCCACCACGCCCAGCCACATTTTCTATCAACACTTGCAGATGACTTTCATTTAATGACCTGAAAGAGTACATTAAGACGCATCAAAACTCTGGCTCTTCTGGCTGAGCACAGTGGCTCACACCTATGATCCCAATACTTTGGGAGGCCAAGATAAGAGGACTGCTTGAGGCTGCGAGTTCGAGACGAGCCTGGGCAAAATAGTGAATCCTGTCTTTACAAAAAATTTAAAAATTAAAAAAAAAGAAGCATAAACTGTCGCTTTTCTCTCTTGATAACCCTCATTTGACGATGATGACGATTATAATTTCTATTTGGTGCCCATGGTGCCCATATGGTGAGGTGGTGAGATGCGCAGCACTGTAGGTAAGTGGTGAAACACAAGGCTAACTTGAACCTTCTAACAGGACATCGGAAAGATCATTTATGCTGGAAGAATCTTCAAGCGTTTAAGGTCGAGGCTTCATAATACAGACGGCTTTAGTTGGGAACATTGTTCTAGGAAGCTGTTTCTCCTTTTTTCTTGAAGCATCAAACAACTCTTGCAGTGCTTGTAGGCATGTTGCTATCCCTCAGGTGACACGGAGGCTTTGTTCCACTGAAGGATCATACCCTTTAACACTTGCACCTGTTGAAAAACTGCTGCAAATTTTTCAAGTATCCAAATTGAGGACTCTGTTTCTGCTAAATCTGTTATCACTGTCATCATCTCCTGTAGAGAATTTCAGCAGAACCTTGAGTTCCTTGTTGGTAAGGGTTTCTCTATGCTCTTCTATGTGTTCCTCGAAGTCACCCTTGATCATGTCAGAGAAGCATTCCTCATCAACTTCCTTTGCAACATTCAAGATATTCCTGGGCCGGGCGCGGTGGGCTCACGCCTGTAATCCCAGCACTTTGGGAGGCCAAGACAGGCGGACCACGAGGTCAGGAGTTTGAGACCAGCCTGGCCAAGAGAGCAGCCTGGGCAATATGGTGAAACCCATCTCTACTAAAAATACAAAAATTAGCCAGGCGTGGTGGCATGTGCCTGTAATTCCAGCTACTCAGGAGGCTGAGGCGTGAGAACTGCTTGAACCCAGGAGGCAGAGGTTGCAGTGAGCTAAAATCGCGCCATTGCACTCCAGCCTGGGTGACAGAGTGAGACTCTAACTCAAAAAAAACAAAAACAAAAACAAAACCATATTCCTGACTTCTGCACCAATAATGGGGAAGCTCCTGAAATCACTGACTACCTCATTCCATAATGGCTTCCAACATGCACTGACTGTCTTGGGCTTTGGGGCATCTACAGCCTCTGTAAAAAGCACAACTACATTTGCAATTGTAAAGCTCTTCCATAAATCCATGACACTGTAGTCAAGGTTAGCATCAAGGACAGCACAAATCCTCCCAAAGGTGAGGTGGGTGTAAGTCATTTAATGCACTTGCTGATGCCTCGATCAAATGGCTAAAACAGTGAGGTAGTACTTGCCTTAGGCAAGAACATCACTGCAACATTGTCATTAGTGAAGTAGAGAGATCAGGGATGGCTGTGAGTAATGTCAATTATGAGGATGACCTTGAATGGCACCCTGTTCTCTTCCAGGTATTTCTTCATTTTAGGAATAAAACTGAATTCCAGGAACAAGATGGCCATCACCCAAGCCTTCCTATTGTGTTGCCAGAACACAGGTAGGCAATTTTTGATTTTGTTCTTAAGGACCCAGGGACTGTTTGCTTGGTACACAAGACCTGGCTTGACCATGTAACCTGCTGTGTTGCCACATAGCACCAGAGTAAAACGATCTTTCCAGGCTTTGAACCCCAAAGCCTGCTTGACACTCTTACGGATGTAGGTATTAGGCCTCTTCTTCTATAACAAGTTTCTTTCAACACAACTGAAGACTTGCTATGAAAGGTATCCTTTGTCTTCTGAGTTTCTTGAGCTCTTCTGGGAATGCTGATACTGCCTGGTCATCAGCTAATGCTGATTCTCCTGTGATCTTTAAGTTCGTGTGGCTGTACTACTTTCCACAGCTAGCTAGTCATCCCTTACTATCCTTAAATTCCTTCCTCTCACTCTCTTCAACTTCCTCATAGGAATGCTCACAAAGGCTAAATGCTTTTTCATACATAATTTTGCCATCAACAGGGACATGCTTCTGTGATATTTTGTCTACTCATACATTTGATGTTTTCTTAGTCTCTGCAAGCTTTTTTTTTTTTTTTTTTTGAGATGGGATTTCACTCTTGCTGCCCAGGCTGGAGTGCAATGGCACGATCTTGGCTCACTGCAACCTCTGCCTCCCAGGTTCAATCAATTCTCCTGTCTCAGCCTCCCTAGTAGCTGGGATTACAGGTGCCCACCACCACTACCGGCTAAGTTTTTGTATTTTTTAGTAGAGACGGGGTTTCACCATTTGGGCCAGGCTGGTCCTGAATCCTGACCTCAGGTAATTCACCCGCCTCAGCCTCCCAAAGTGCTGGGATTACAGGCGTGAGCCACTGTGCCCGACCAGTCTCTGCAAGCATTTTATCATGAATCACAGCAATAATTTTTTTTGCCATTGTAGGGGCAGCACTAAAACTTCCACAAATGTCAGCTTCAGCTTCCTTCTGTTTTATTGTGTCACTTTGGTAAATCACACGCCACTTTTCAAAAGATCTAAGAATTTTATTTTCTTGTTGAGAGACAGCACTTTACGCTCTCTCTTAGTCTGTAAGGGATTTCTTTCACCATATAATTGATTTTTAGGAGTCTTTTTTTTTTCACAGAAGCAAAGAGTGAACACAAGTAGCCAATGAATAAAATGCCAGATGAACACTGCTCAAACAGTGGGTGCTAGAGAGAGACTGAAGATCTGTGAAACAATGGGAGGCTATAGCAGGGTATTCTTCAGTTCAAATGGATTCAGCATAGTGCTTAGCACATGGCAGGTTCAAACTTGCTTTTTGAAACTTCCTGTATTTTTTTCAAGTATTTTCCATCCATAGTTGGTAGGATCTGCAGATGAAGAACCCGTGGGTACAAAGAATTGACTATATTACAAAATTGCTGTGGTAAAAAGAGTACATATAAGCTTAATGTTTTAAACTAACTTTGGCATTAGGTTTCACCCAATTTTCTAAATATACATTCTCTGGGAAATACAGTTGACCCTTGAAAAACAGAGGTTTGAACTTGGTGGGTCTACTTACATGCAGATTTTCTTCTGCCTCTGCTACCCCTGAGATAGCAAGACCAAACTCTTCCTCCTCTTCCTCAGTCTACTCAATGTGAAGACAATGAGGATGAAGACCTTTATAATGACCTACTTCCATTTCATTAGTAAGTGGAAAATAATAAAAATCTTTATAGTTCTCTTAATAACATTTTCTTTTCTCTAGCTTACTTTATTGTAAGAATACAGTATATAATACATACAAAATAGTGTTAACTGTTTATGTTATTGGTAAGGCTTCCAGCCAACAGTAGACCTTTGATAATTAAGTTTTTATGGAGTCAAAAGTTATACATGGATTTTTGACTGCATGGCACACTCAGTGCCCCTAATCCCAATGCTGTCTTGAAGGGTCAACTACATTTTAAATTTTAAATTACAGGTATGCAAACAAGATCAGATAATTCTATTTCTAAAGACAGGAGGCACTTTAAAAACTGTAATTATAATTTTTACATATTGTATAAATTGTATAATTTTTATTATCTAATTATGTAAAACAAAAGGACTATGTAGAAGTTTGTTCCAACAGAGTACTGTATATAAAATCATACAGTATAATTGGTAGTAAGCAGCATATACTAAACATATGGTCCTTAATCATTTTCGAAAGTAGTGGTTATAAAACTTTAACATGAATCAGAATCACCAGGAGGACTTACTGAAACACAAATTGCTGAGCCCTCTCCTTAGGGTTTCAAATTCAATAGGTCTGGGGTAGAGCCCAAGAATTTGCATTTCTAACAAGTTTCAGATGGTGGTGATGATCCTGGTGTAGATGTAATACCACCATTTTAATGAAAGATTCAATGTATAGTTTAAACAATTTCTAGATTGAACAATAATAATTCATTCTTCTTCAGCAGATATATGTTGGAAAACCACAGAATAGTAATGGATAGATGCCATTTGAAATCTCAGATACCAGAAGATAAACCACTTTGAAACTAAATAGGTTATTTTGTACATCCTGAAGGAAATACTGACGGGAAAATACTTTCTAATGTATGCTTTGGGAAAATAACTGCAGTAAAGTTATTCAATTTTGCTTTTATAAAGTAACAGCATTAACAATAAGTCACTAATTAATATTTATGAGCATATTTTAAATTGACTGCTATTATGAATGTGTTTTGTGTTTATATATGTTTACCATTTATGTTATTGGTAAGGCTTCCAGCCAACATTAGACTATTAATAATTAAGTTTATTTAATTATCTAATCTAATTCTCACAATAACCCTAAGAGGTAGGTACTGTAATTACCTCCATTTTAAAGAAAAAAAACTAAGATAAAGTAAGATTAAATAGCATAAATAGCATGTCCAAGATCAAACAGCACAGCCTGGATTTGAATCCAGGCATTCTAGTAACAGGACATGTGCTTAAAATAAAATGATTCTGGCCAGGCGTGGTGGCTCACGCCTGTAATCCCAACACTTTGGGAGGCCAAGGCAGGCAGATCACCTGAGGTCAGGAGTTTGAGACCAGCCTGACCAACATGGAGAAACCCCATCTCTACTAAAAATACAAAAAATTAGCCAGGTGTGGTGGCGCATGCCTGTAATCCCAGCTACTTGGGAGGCTGAGGTAGGAGAATTGTTTGAACCTGAGAGGTGGAGGTTGCGGTAAGTCAAGATCACACCATTTTACTCCAGCCTGGGCCACAAGAGAAAAACTCCGTCTCAAAATACATAAATAAATAAACAAATAAATAATAAATAAAAGTATTCTGTCTTTAACATTGTTTATTTTACCCTCCATAATTAAAGAAACAATGGTCCTAACCAAGGCTTTAGAACTCTGAGTATGAAAAAGTATACTATAGACAAACCAAAGTATTATATTTTGTTATTTTACTACTTTGAATGACACATATATATTATGCAGAAAGTTACAATGAATTCATTCAGAATTTAAGACAGTAATTCAATATTCCTATAGCACTTTGCATATATTTCTATTATGACATATTTACCACATTGTAGCAACTAGTTATTTATATGTATTATGGTATTTTAATAATCATATATTTGGTTTTACAATCAACTCCACATTTGGGAAAATACTTGAATCTGGAAAGTAATCATTTTTGGTGAGTAATAATGCCCAATAATCCCTCCTGGAGAGACATATGACAGTGACCGTACAACATTTGTTAACTCTATTTGTCAATCCTACTGTGTATATATTAATAGATGCTCAGAAAATTAGCCCCATCTTGTGGATCGCGGTGGTACTACAAATTCAGGCCTAACAGTCAAAACTTCGGAACTGTCAGTGATGTGTACCTTATCTTGACTGACAAAAACTAAAAAACTTATGGCTAGCATTGGTAAGGAACCACCTTCACATACTGCTTTTGGTTGTATAACATAATACAACCTTTTCTGGGAAGAAATTTGCAAACCAGTTGTAAATATAAATAATATTCCATTCAAAATTTCACTTCTAGAAATTTATTCTGTGGAAATAAACAGACAAGTTATAAACATGAATGTACTAGTGCAGCACTGTTCTTGGGAGTAAAAAATTAGAAACAGCCTAAATATCAATGTGGATACAATGAATCCTATGTAACAACAATCATAGGGGTAGCTAATGGTTGTCAGAAGCGCTTAATGTGCACCAGGCACCATTTTTTTTTTTTTTTTTTTTTGAGACAGGGTCTCACTTTGTTATCCAGGCTGAAGTGCAGTGGCATGATTTTGGTTGGAGTGATTTCGGCTTACTGCAGCCTCGACTTCCGAGGTTCAAGTAATCATCCTACCTTAGCAAATAGCTGGGACTACAAGTCAAACACACATCACCATGCCTGGCTAATTTTTGTATTTTTTTGTAGAGACAGGTTTTCGCCCTGTTGCCCAGGCTGGTCTCGAACTTCTGAGCTCAAGCAATCCACCCCCCTCAGCCTCCCAAAGTGCTAGGATTATAGGCATGAGCCACCACACCTGTACCAGGCACCATTCTTAAGTCTGACTTTAGAGCCCTAACATTGACCACTATGCTATACCATTTCTCAGAATGAAGTATACATCCTCATAGGGAAGAATGTATATTATACAGTTAAATGAAAAGACTCAAGCTCAGAAGAACTGTATATTAGTATTACTCCATTTAAAAATATGTTTATCAATGTATTAAAAGTCTAAAAGCCTAAACATTAAACTGTAAACCATGATTACCTCTGAAGACTTGGATGAGGAGAAAGGAGATGACATTTTACTTTATATACTTTTCTGCTTGCATTTTTCATGTTAAATACATGCCAGATTCATATTTAAAATTACAATTTTAAAAAATTAATCTGAATCTTTAAAATAATTTTAAGTAGTTTAAAAGACTTTTTTTTTTCTTTTTTTTCTTGAGATGGAGTCTTGCTCTGTCGCCCAAGGCTGGAGTGCAGTGGCGCGATCTTGGCTTACTGCAACCTCTGCCTCCCGAGTTCAAGCGATTCTCCTACTTCAGCCTCCTGAGTAGCTGGGATTACAGGTACACACCACCATGCCTAGCTAATTTTTGTATTTTTAATAGAGATGGGGTTTCACCATGTTGGTCAGGCTGGTCTCGAACTCCTGACCTCATGATCCGCCTGCCTCAGCCTCCCAAAGTGCTGGGATTACAGGCGTGAGCCACTGCACCCGGCCAGGACACTTTTTTTTTAAGCTGAAAAGGATGACCTCCTATAAGCTGAGGCTAATTGCCCAGTTAATGAAAGCATGAGGATGGTCATTTAAGGCAAAACACACAAAAAAAATCTTTTTAAAAATAAGTAAAATGATCTACCTTCAAGGTGCTTAAAGTTTCAGAAATTCTAGGTAATTAAGGCTTATAATTGTCATTTCCTGGTATGAATGGCACGTTGAACATGCACATCTAATTTTGATCCTCCCGCAAACCCCACTAAAACTATAGCAAAAAGAATTTTTAAAGGTAGAAACCCCCAGCATATAGAAATAGGAGACAACAGCAATAACATTTTGGAAGCTGAAAGGAGATGGAGAACTGGTAACTGACCTAGCAGACTTGAGAAAGTTGAAATCTAAGCCAGCATTGGGTGAAGCTGAGAACTACCCTGATTTCAAAAGGCTCAGTATTTTTGCATAGAAAACTGATCACTTTTTTTGTGATTTGTGTAAGGCTTTGACATGTCTTATAATAGTAATGCTGTTCTTTATAGAATTTATTCAATGTAAGGGAATACACTAGTAAAGAGTAAAACACCAGGCACAGTGGCTCACACCTGTAATCCCCACACTTTAGGAGGCCAAGGCAGAAAGACTGCTAGAGCCAAGCACGTTGAGATCAGCCTGGGCAACAGAGCAAAACCCTGTCCCTACAAAAAAAGTTTTCAACAATTAGCTGGGCATGGTGGTGTGCACCTGTAGTCCTAGCTACTCAGGAGTTTATTTTACATTTTATTTTATTTTATTTTACATTTTATTTTATTTATTTTATTTTATTTTATTTTATTTTATTTTATTTTATTTTATTTTATTTATTATTTTATTTAGCTAAGGCAAGAGGATCACTTGAGCCCAGGAGTTTGAGGCTGCAGTGAGCTATGTTGTCACACCACTGTACTCCAGCCTGGGTGACAGAAAGACCCTATCTCATTAAAAAAAAAAAAAAAAATGAGTAAAGTTAAGGGCCTGATTTCAGCTAAGTGGTCGAAGAAACTATTTACTCTGAAGGACTTCAATATAAGATATAAACTCTCAAGTATTAATCTGTAGTAAGAATAAAAGAATTTCTTTTTTTTTTTTAAGACGGAGTCTCGCTCTGTCACCCAGGCTGGAGCATAGAGGCGCGATCTTGGCTCACTGCAAGTTCCGCCTCCTGGGTTCACACCATTCTCCTGCCTCAGCCTCCTGAGTAGCTGGGACTACAGGCGCCCACCACCAGGCCCGGCTAATTTTTTGTATTTTTTAGTAGAGACAGGGTTTCACCGTGGTCTCGATCTCCTGACCTGGTGATCCGCCCACCTCGGCATCCCAAAGTGCTGGGACTACAGGCGTGAGCCACCGCACACGACCTAAAAGAATTTCTTAACAGATTCCTTAACAAAAACAAGCTGGGCACAGTAACATGGACCTGTAGTCCCGGCTACTTGGAAGGCTGAGGCAGTAGGACTGCTTGAGCCCAGGAGTTCAAGGCCACAGTAAGCTATGATCATGCCTGTAAATAGTCACTGCACTCTAGCCTGGCCAACACAGCAAGATTCATCTCCATTTAAAAACAAAAAAGTCACTTGGCTATATGTTAGAAGTAAGCCTTGAGGATAAAAACATCCTTATTAAAAATAGTATCCCATGTTGAGTGAAAATATAAGCTGCTATTGTCCACTTGGTGTGTTCTGCTTTACTTGGAAGAACAATACTTTTTCTATTACTTTCCCTTGCTTATACAGAGCCAATATTTTAAAAAGCAATAATTAAGCAAATATGCAATTGTTGGCATTTCAACTAAGAAAGGAGAAATCAGGATGGGTTCAGGCTTTTTGGAAAGTAGCATGACATCTGCCAATAATACTCCGCTTTACTAATGATGCAGAGCTTGTAGCCAAATTCTGACCATATAACTTTCATTAGAGCTATTTCTCATTGTTTCTAGTTAGCACACACATACACAAATTCCTTCCCTGCTAAAATATAGAACAGTGTACCCTTTTTTTTTTTTTTTTTTGAGACGGAGTCTTGCTCTGTCACCCAGGCTGGAGTGCAGTGGTGTGATCTTGGCTCACTGCAACCTCCGCCTCCTGGGTTCAAGCCATTCTCCTGCCTCAGCCTCCCAAGTAGCTGAGATTACAGGCATGCGCCACTACTAAAAATTTAAAACTTAGCTGGATGTAGTGGCAGACGTTATATATTCCCAGCTACTCAGGAGGCTGAGACAGGAGGATCACTTGAACCCAAGAGTCTGAGGTTGCAGTGAGCTGTGATTGAGCCACTGCACCGCTATGAATGTTTCCTTAGCCATAACAAGAATACATGTACATGTGCACACTGTTTATACCATACCTAACTCATAAGAATATACAATCAATTCTTGATAATCCAAGAGCATAGTAACTGGTTTGCAGTTAAACTATGATTAAAATGCTATGGAGAATCTACTTTTATCTTTCTTATTAGGGAGAAGCTTGTTAGGAAACTGATGCTCAACCTCCTCCTTTAACCATAAATAACAATGTAGCCCCCACACCCAAACCCCCACCACAGTATTTCTACATAGTCAAACCCCAAGCTCCCTCAGGTGTTCTGGTACCTGCATTAGTTCTTCAAATTCCACTCCTGGGGAAAGTTGGGGAGGATAAGGTTAATCAGTCTTTGCTACTTCATTACTAGACCTGGGTGGGGAATTAATTCTGTCTGGATTATTTGTGTGGTATTTGTGATTTGATTTTCATCCCCTCTAACGCTACCAGTTACTGCCATTAGTAGTTGACTATATTATTATTATTTAATTAATTTATTTATTTATTGAGACCGAGTTTCACTCTTGTGGCCCAGGATGGAGTGCAGTGGTGCGATCTTGACTCACCGCAACCTCTGCCTCCGAGTTCAAGTGATTCTCCTGCCTCAGCCTTTCCGAATAGCTGGGATTACAGGCCTGTGCCACCACGCCCGGCTAATTTTTGTATTTTTAGTAGAGATGTGGTTTCTCCATGTTGGTCAGGCTGGTCTCGAACTCCCGACCTCCGATGATCTGCCCGCCTCAGCTTCCCAAAATGCTGGGATTACAGGCGTGAGCCACCACACCCGGCCGACTATATTGTTTATAGTAAACTATTGACTATTACTAGGAAGGAAGTGTAACTTAGGAGGAAGTATAACTTAGGAATCTCTAACAACTTTAAACATTTTACTTCTGTTTTTGTAAAAAAAAAAACAAACTGCTTGGCAAAGCTAAATAAATTTTATGCAATCATTTTAACTCATAAGTGGTCAGTTTAAATCATTGCTTTAATATTACTCATACAGTATATATTTTAGTAAAGTTAGTAATATCATAGAGAATTAAATAATAAATCCCAGGTAGTTGAACAGTCTCTGAGACACCAGTTAACACTATATTAATACTGCTAAACATCTGTTAATCTACATTATAAAAATACCAGAAGCATACCTTGGTGTTCCTCTAAATCCATGTCAAGTTGTCTAATTTCTTCAATAAACTGATTTATCTTTTCTTTTGTATCTGTTAACCTGTTGAAAATATTTTTAATGAATTTATGAAGGAAATATAGACATTCAATAAAAACAATTGATGGGGAGGTTAGATATCTTTTCCAAGTTGCATAAACAATATCTAAAAATAATATGTCTTATTCTAAGGACAATACTATAACTGACGATGACATTAGGATATCTTTTACAAATTGCATAAATATCGAAAAATAGCATATCCTATTATGAGGACAATACTATAAATTTAGAGAGGAAGAATCTTGTCTAGATCTTTTTTTTTTTTTCTTTGAGACGGGGTCTCGCTCTGCCACCAGGCTGAAGTTCAGTGGTGCGATCTCGGCTCACTGCAATCTCTGCCTCCCGGGAAAAAGCGATTCTCCTGCCTCAGCCTCCCGAATAGCTGGGACTAGAGGCACGCGCCTCCATGCCCAGCTAATTTTTGTATTTTTAGTAGAGACGGGGTTTCACCATGTTGGCCATGATGGTCTCGATCTCTTGACCTCGAGATCCACCTGCCTCAGCCTCCCAAAGTGCTGGGATTACAGGCGCGAGCCACTGCGCCAAGCATAGATCTTTTTTACTGATTCATATTTGGAGCCCAGGTATATTCTGAGAACACTAGTTGCCTGAGTTAAACAGCACACCCCCTCCCAACTTTCCTTTGAGTTTGATTTGCAGTATTAAGAAAATGAAAAATATTTAACAATACTTTTTGTAGGTTTCTATAAGCCAAATTAAGTTGGAAAATTAGTCTCAAAAATGAGAAAATAAGGGAAAACCTACCACTGGCAGAAGATTATATAGGTTAATATTTTAACATAAAGCAGTTATACTTACTCTAAAGCTACCATAACAAAACAATGTAGTATAGGCATAGGGATAGACATATATATCAATGGACTAAAATTGTGAGTCCAGAAATATGACCATATATCTATAGCTAACCGATTTTTGATAAGGGTGCTAAGGTAATTAAATGGGGAAAGAAGAGTATTTTCAATAAATGGTGCTGGGAAAAGTGCATATGCAGAAGCTAAGGGACTCCTACCTCACATCATACACAGAATTAACTTGAAATGGATCAAAGATCTCAATGTAAGAACTAAATTACCAAACTCTTAGAAGAAAACATAGACATAGTCTTTATGACCTTGGATTAGGCATTGGTTTCTTAGATATGACACTAAAAGCAAGAGCAACAAAAGAAAAATAGAAAAACTGGACAAAATCAAAATTGGAAACTTTTATGCTTCCAAAGACACCAAGAAAATGAAAAGATAATTCATAGAATTCATAGAACAAGGGAAAATTTTTACAAATCATGTATCTGATGACACCTCTATCTAGCATATATAAGGAAATGTTACAACTCAGTAATCAAAAACAATCTAGTTTAAAAAATGAGCAAATGAACTAAGTAAACATTTCCCCCAAAGAATATGGCCAATAAGCATATGAAAGGAACCTCAACATCATTAGCCATCAAACAAATACAAATCAAAACCATAGTGAGACACCGCTTCATACCCATTAGGAATGGCTATAATAGAAAAAGAGATAATAACAAGTGAGGATGTGAAAAACTGGAACCCTCACATGCTGCTCATATGCTGCTCTTATTATATTACATAGAAATGTAAAACAGTACCAATTCTTTGAAAGTCTGATAGAATTCAGCTGTGGCTCCATCTGGTCCTGGACTTTTTGTTGGCAATTTTTTTTTTTTAACCATTTCAATCTCACTGCTCGTTAATGGTCTGTTCAGAGTTTCTATTTCTTCCTACTTTAATCTAGGATTGTATATTTCCAGGAATCTATCCGTCTCCTCTAAGTTTTCTAGTTTGTGCGTGTAAAGGTGCTCACTGTAAGCTTGGTCTTTTGTATTTCTGTGGTATTGGTTGTAGTATCTCCCATTTTGTTTCTAATTGAGCTTATTTGGATCTTTTCTCTTCTTTTCTTGATTAATCTTGCTATTGGTCTATCAATTTTGTTTATCTTTTCAAAGAACCAGCTTTTTGCTTCATTTATCTTTCAATTTTTTGTTTCAATTTAATTTAGTTCTGCTCTGATGTTTGTAATTTCCTTTTCTTTTGGTGGGTTTGGGTTTTGTTTGTGCTTGTTGCTCTAGTTCCTTGAGGTGTAACGTTAGATTGTCTATTTGTGTTCTTTCAGACTTTTTGATGTAGGCACTTAATGCTCTGAATGTTCCTCTAGGCACTGCTTTTGCTGTATCCCAGAGGTTTTAATAGGTTGTGTCATTATTATTGTTCAGTTCAAAGAATTTTTAAATTTCCATCTTGATTTCATTGTTGACCTAAAGATCATTCAGGAGCAAATTATTTAATTTCCATGTATCTGCATGGTTTTTAAGGTTCCTTTTGGAGTTGATTTCCAGTTTTATTCCACTGTGGTCTGAGAATACTTGATATAATTTTGATTTTCTTAAATTTATTGAGACTTGTTTTGTGGCCTATCATATGGTCTGTCTTGCAGGACGTCCCATGTGCTGATGAACAGAATGTATATTCTGCAGTTGTTGGGTAGAATGTTCTATAAATATCTGTTGAGTCCATTTGTTCTAGGGTATAATTTAAATCCATTGTTTCTTTGTTGACTTTCTGACCCGTCTAGTGCTGTCAATGGAGTATTGAAGTCCCCCACTATTAATTGTATTGCTGTCTATCTCATTTGTTAGGTCTAGTGGTAATTGTTTTTTACATTTGGGAGCTCTAGTGTTAGGTGCATATAGATTTAGTACTGTGATATTTTCCTGTTTGATTAGTCCTTTTATCATTACATAATGTCCTTCTTTGTCTTTTTCAATTGTTGTTAAAGTCTGTTTTGTCTAATATAAGAATAGCTACTCCTACTTGCTTTTGGGACCATTTGCATGGAATAACTTTTTCCACCCTTTTACCTTAAGTTTATGTGAGACCTTATGCATTAGGTGAGTCACTTGAAGATGGGAGATACTTGGTTGGTGAATTCTTATCCATTCCGTTATTCTGTATATTTAAGTGGAGCATTTGGGCTGTTTATATTCAATGTTAGTATTGAGATATGTGGTATTGTTCTATTCATTGTGCTAGTTATTGCCTGAATACCTTAGTTTTTCATTTCCATTGTGTTGTTTTATAGGCCCTGTGAGATTTATGATTTAAGGAGTTTCTACTTTGGTGTATTTTGAGGTTTTGTTTCAAGATTTAGAACTCCCTTTAACTGCTCTTGTAGTGCTGCCTTGGTAGTGGTGAATTCTCTCAGCATTTCTCTGAAAATGACTTTATCTTTGCTTCATTTATGAAGCTTAGTTTCAATGGATACAAAATTCTTGGCTGATAATTATTTTAAGGAGTCTAAAGGTAGGACTCCAATTCCTTCTAGCTTGTAGGGTTTCTGCTAAGAAATCTGCTATTGATCTGATAGGTTTTCCTTTATAGGTTACCTGATGCTTTTGCCTCATAGCTCTTAAGATTCTTTCCTCTGTCTTGACTTTAGATAATCTTATGACTATGCCTAAGTGATGATCTTTTTGTGATGCATTTCCCAGTTGTAATCTTTGACATTCTTTCTTTTCTTTTCTTTTTTTTTTTTTTTTTTTTGGAGATGGAGTCTCACTCTGTCACCCAGGATGGAATGCAGTGGCATGATCTTAGCTCACTGCAACCTCCACCTCCCAGGTTCAAGTGATTTTTCTGCCTTAGCCTCCCAAGTTGCTGGGACTACAGGTGCGTGCCACCATGCCCAGCGGATTTTTGTATTTTTAGTAGAGACAAGGTTTTACCTTATTGGCCAGGCTGCTCTTGAACTCCTGACCTCATGTTCCGCCCACCTCGGCCTCCCAAAGTGCTGGGATTACAGGTGTGAGCCACCGTGCTCAGCCATGACATTCTTATATTTGGATGTCTACATCTCTAGCAAGGCCAGGGAAGTTTTCCTTGATTATTCCCTCAAATACATTTTCCAAACTTACAGGTTTGTCTTCTTCCTCAGGAACACCCATTATTCTTAGGTTTGGCCATTTAACAGAATCTCAAACTGTTTGGAGCCTTTGTGCTTTTTTTTTTTTTTAATTCTTTTTTGGTCTTTGTTGGATTGGGTTATTCTGAAAGCCTTGTCTTAGAGCTCTGAAGTTCTTTCTTCTGCTTGTTTGATTCTATCGTTGAAACTTTCCAATGTATTTTGCATTTCTCAAAGTGTGTCTTTCATTTCCAGAAGTTGTGACTGTTTTTTTATTTATGCTACATATTTCTCTGGAGATTTTTTTCATCCATATCCTGTATTTTAAATTTCTTTAAGTTGGTTTTCACCTTTCTCTGCTGGCTCCTTCAGTAACTTAATAACTGACCTTCTGAATTCTTTTTCTGTCAATTCAGAGATTTCTTCTTGGTTTGGATCCACTGCTGGTACTAGTGTGATCTTCTGGGGATGTTACAGAACCTTGTCTTCTCATATTACCAGAATTGTTTTACTGGTTCCTTCTCATTTGGGTAGACTATGACAGAAGAAAGATCTGAGACTCAAGGACTGCTGTTCAGATTCGTTTGTCCCATGAGGTGATCCCTTGATGTGGTGCTCTCTCCCTTTCCCTAGAGATGGGGCTTCCTGAGAGCCAGACTGCAGTGATTGTTATTGCTGTTCTGGGTCTAGCCACCCACCAGAGCTACCGGGCTCTGGGCTTGTACTTGGGAGGGTCTGCGAAGAGTCCTGCGAAGTGATCTGTCTTTAGGGTCTCAGCTGTGGATACCAGCACCTGCTCTGGTGGAGGTAGCTGAAGAGTGAAGTGGATTCTGTGAGAGTTCTTGGTTGTAGTTTTGTTTCGTGCACTGGTTTTCTTGAATGCTGGTTATGCTGGCAGTGAAGCTGTCATGTGAACAGAGTCAGGGCCTCTGGTTAGTGTGGATGTTACAGGCAGTGGAATTAGCTGTTGTTTTCTCCTTCCCTTGGAGCAGGATTGTTCTGTTATGAATTGCTGTAATGGTTTGTGTTGGTTGGCCTCCAGCTAGGAGGTGGCACTTTCAAGAGGGCATCAGCTGCAGTAGTATGGGGGGATACAAGCTTGCCCTAAGGTCACCTGAATAAATATTTGGGTTTCTCAGGTGATTGGTGAGGCCATAGGCCTGCCACAAGTTTATGTCTTTTGTCTTTGGCTACGAGGCGGGTAGAGAAAGACCATCAGGTCGGGGCAGGGTTAGGCGTGTCTCAGCTCAGACTCCTCTTGTATGGGGCTGGCTATGGCCAATGTGGGTGATGGAAGGGGTGGTTTCAGGCCAAAGAAGTTATGTTCAATGGGGGAGATGGCAGCCTCTGCTGCTGATCTTACTGAAACTATTCCAAAAGATAGAGAAAGAGGGAATCTTCCTTAAATCATTCTATGAAGCCAGTATCACCCTAATACCAAAACCAGGAATGAACATAACAAAAAAAAGAAAACTATGGACCAACATCCCTAATGAACTTAGAGGCAAAAATCCTCAAAAAAAAATTAGCCAACCAAATCCAGCAGCATATCAAAAAGATCCTCCATGATCAAGTGGGTTTTATAGCAGAGATGCAGGGATGAGTGAACATACACAAGTCAATAAACGTGATACACCACATAAACGGAATTAAAAACAAAACTCATATGATCATCTCAATAGATGCAGAAAAAGCATTTGACAAAATCCAGCATCCTTTTATGATTAAAACCCTCAGCAAAATCAGCACAGAAGAGACATATCTTAAGGTAATAAAAGCTATCTATGACAAACCCACAGCCAACATTATACTGAACAGGGGAAAGTTGAAAGCATTCCCCCTAAGAACTGGAACAAGACAAGGATGCCCACTCTCACCACTTCTATTCAACACAGCACTAGAAGTCCTAGCTAGAGCAATCAGAAAAAAGAAATGAATAAAGGGCATCTACATCAGTAAAGAGGAAGTCAAACTGTCACTGTCTGCTCTTGATATGATCATATAACTAGGAAACCCTGAAGACTCAACCAGAAAACTCCTAGATCTTATAAATAAATTCAGTAGTTTCAGGACACAAAATCAATGTACACAAATCAGTAGCACCGCTATATACCAACAGCAACCAAGCTGAAAAGAAATCAAGAACTCGGTCGGGCGCGGTGGCTCATGCCTGTAATCCCAGCACTTTGGGAGGCCGAGGTAGGCAGATCACAAGGTCAGGTCAAGACCATCCTGGCTAACACAGTGAAACCCCGTCTCTACTAAAAATACAAAAAAGTAGCCGGTGTGGTGGCACGTGCCTTTAGTCCCAGCTACTCGGGAGGCTGAGGCAGAAGAATTGCTTGAACCCGGGAGGCGGAGGTTGCAGTGAGCCAAGATTGCGCCACTACACACCAGCCTGGGCGACAGAGCAAGACGCTGTCTCAAAAAAAAAAAAAAGAAATCAAGAACTCAACTCCTTTCACAACAGCTGTGAAAATAAAATAAAATAAAACAAAATATAATACAATACAATACTTGGGAATATGCCTAACCCAAAAGGTGAAAGACCTCTACAAGGAAAACTACAAAACACTGCCGAAAGAAATCATAGATGACAAAAACAAATGGAAACATATTCCATGCTCATGGATGGCTAGAATCAATATTGTGAAAATGACCATACTGCCAAAAGCAATCTACAAGTTCAATGCAATTCCCATTTCACCATCATCATTCTTCACAGAACTAGAAAAAAAAATCCAAAATTCATATGGAACCCAAAGCGAGCCTGCATAGCCAAAGCAAGACTAAGCAAAAAGAACAAAGCTGGAGACATCACATTAACCAACTTCAAACTACACTATAAGGACTATGAGGTCACCAAAACAGTATTGTATTGGCATAAAAACATGTACATGGACCAATGGCACAGAATAGAGAACCCAGAAATAAAACCAAATACTGACAGTCAGCTGATCTTCGAAAAAGCAAAAAAAACATAAGGTGGGGAAAGGACACCCTATTCAACAAATGGTGCTGGGATAATTGGCAAGCCACAAGTAGGAGAATGAAACTGGATCCTCATCTCTCATCTTATACAAAAATCAATTCAAGGTGAATCAGAGACTTAAATCTAAGACCTAAACCCATACAAATTCTAGAAGATAACATCAGAAAAACTCTTCTAGACATCGGCATAAGCAAAGACTTCATGAACTGAAAGAACCTAAAAGCAAATGCAACAAAAACAAAGATAAATAGATGGGACTTAATTAAACTAAAAAACTTCTGCACCACAAAAGAATCAGCAGAGTTAATAGACAACCCACAGAGTTGGAGAAAACTTTCCTAAACTGTGCATCTGACAAAGGGCTAATATCTAGAATCTACAACAAGTTCAAACAAATCAGCAAGAAAAAAAAATCCCATAAAAAAGTGAAAAGTGGGCTAAGGACATGAATAGATGACTCTCAAAAGAAGATATACAAATGGTCAACAATCATAGGAAATGATGCTCAACATCATTATCAGGGAAATGCAAATCAAAACCACAATGCAATACCACCTTACTCCTGCAAGAATGGCCATAATTAAAAAATTTTTAAAAATAGATGTTGGTGTGGATGTGGTGAAAAGGGAACACTTTTACACTGCTTGTGGAAATATAAAGTAGTACAACCACTATGGAAAACAGTATGGAGATTCCTTAAAGAACTAAAAGTAGGTCTACCATTTGATCTAGCGATCCCACTACGAGGTATCTATCCAGAGGAAATAGAAGTCATTATATGAAAAGACACTTGCACACGCATGTTGACAGCAGTACAATTTGCAACTGGAAAAATATGGAAACAGCCAAAAAGCCAACAATCAACAAGTGAATAAAGAAAATGTGGTATGTATGTGTGTGTGCGTATATATTTATACATATACATACATATATATTTATACATATACATACATATATATATGTTTATTCTACTCAGCCATAAAAAGGAACAAAATAATGGCATTCACAGCAACCTAGACAGAGTTGGAGACAGTTATTCTAAGTGAAGAAACTCAGGAATGGAAAACCAAACATTGTATGTTCTCATTTATAAGTGGGAGCTAAGCTATGAGGACGTAAAGGCATAAGAATGATACAATGGACTCCGGGGACTTGGTGGGAAGAGTGAGAGGTGGGTGAGGGATAAAACACTACACAGTGGGTAGAGTGGACACTGCTTGGTTGATGGATGCATCAAAATCTCAGAAATCACCACTCAAGAAATTATCCATGTAACCAAATACCACCTGTTCCCCAAAAACTACTGAAGTAAAAAAGATAGGCCAGGCGCGGTAGGTCACGCCTGTAAACCCAGCACTTTGGGAGGCCGAGGCGGGCAGATCACGAGGTCAGGAGATCGAGACCATCCTGGCTAACACAGTGAAACCCCGTCTCTACTAAAAATACAAAAAATTAGCCAGGCGCAGTGGCGGGCGCCTGTAGTCCCAGCTACTGGGGAGGCTGAGGCAGGAGAATGGCATGAACCTGGGAGGAGGAGCTTGCAGTGAGCCGAGATTGGGCTGCTGCACCCCAGCCTGGGCAACAGAGGGAGACTCTGTCTCAAAAAAAAAGAAAAAAAAAAAAAAGAAATAAAAAAGATAAAATAAAGCTGCTTTAAATGTTCCTAAAAGAAAAAAATATTCTCTTAGCCATAAGAATATAGAAATTTGCTTACAGTTACAAAAAACAGAAAAAAAAAATTAGTTTCTTAGTACCTTAGCCAGTATTGCAAAACACTTGACACGGGCTGCAATTCAGCTGATACTAGAGACTGTGATTCCAAAATTTAATTTCATAAGTTGTAATCAGCAACAAAAACATTACAATAGAATATGAGAGACATTAAAAGGCAATTTCGTCATTGTTGACTACTTATTAATTTACAACTTAGTTGATTAAAATTAAAACAATCTTAGCCGGGTATGGTGCTGTGTGCCTGTAGTCCCAGCTACTCGGGAGGCTGAGGCATGAGAATCCCTTGAACCCAGGATGTGGAGGTTGCAGTGAGCCAAGATTGCACCACTGCATTCCAGCCTGGGCGACAAACTGGGACTCTGTATCAGAAAAAAAAAAAAAAATTAAATTAAAACAATTGGTATGCTTTCTGGTGACTGGTAGTAAAATGATTGTTTTACAAATTTCAAATAAATGTATTCAAATACAAATAAATGAAATGTAAAATGGTAAAGCTGTTTTGGAAAACAGTCTGGTAGTTCTTCAAAAAGTTAAACATAGTCATGAGTCAGCAATTCCACTCCTAGGTATATATACAAGAGAAGTGAAAACATATGCCCACACAAAAACTTGTACATGGATGTTTATAGGAGCATGACTCATGATAATAAAAAAATGGTAACAGCCCATACATCCATTAATTGATAAATAAATAAAATATGGTATATCCATACAATGGAATACTATTTGGAAATAAAAATTAATAAAATACTAAGCATGTATTAGTATTAATAAAAACTAATACATGCTTAGTATTTTATTAATTTTTATTTCCAAATAATATTCCATTTGTCTTAGTTTTCAAGGCTCACCTATGAGCCTTGGAACAGAACAGAGAACCCAGAAATAAAGCCAAATACCAATAGTCAGCTGATCTTCGAGAAAGCAAGGCTCACTGTGCTAAGTGAAAGCATCCTGACACACAGAAGCACATATTGAATGATTCCATATATATGAAATGTCCAGAATGGGCATGGCTAGAGCTGGGAGAGGGATAAGGGAGGTGATGGTTAAAGGGTGCAGGGTTTTATTGGGCTGACTGAATAGTTCTAAAATTGACTGGGGGCATGGCATACTGGCTCACATCTTTAATCCCAGCTCTTTGGGAAGCTGAGATGGGAGGATCACTTGAGGCTAGGAGCTGGAGACTAGCCTGGGCCACATAGCAAGATCTCGACTCTACTAAAAATAAAAATAAATTAGCCAGATATGGTGGTGTGTGCCTGTAGTCCTGGCTACTTGGGAGGTTTGAGCCCAGGAGTTTGAGGTTACAGTGAGCTATATCATGCCACTTGCACTCCAGTCTGGGCAGCAGAATGAGACCTGGTCTCAAAAAGATAAAAATAAATAAAAATTGAAAAATAAAGGTGATCTAGGTGATGGCTGCACACTTCTGTGAATATACTAAAATGTTTTAAATTGTTTACATTAAATATGTCTATTATATGGTATAAAGTATATCTTAATAAAGATACTTATAAAAAAATTATACTATGCAATGGCTCTTAAACACTCAAAGAAATATTTAAAGCTATAAGTAAAATTGAAAGAATGAAAGCCACTCCTGTACCTTTAGAATGTAATTTTTAAAGTGAGAAATGGATGTAAAATGTCCTAGTATAAAGATACTTACTGTCTTTCCATGCTGGCTATTTCCTGATTATCATCTTTAATCTACAAAGGCATAAAAAGAAAGTAGTATTTAAAAAAATAACTCATTGTAAGGCTATCTTAAAGATAATTTCCTTCTAGAGTACAATTGTACTAAAGTGTCAAATCTACTCTCTTTCTTGAAATCTATTTTTTAGATTTCAACCTTTGAAGTTAAAGGGAACAGCACCAAGGAACCATTCACAGATTCCATCCTTTTTCCTCAAAGTAAGGGTAGTAACTGATATACTCACAGCTACCCTCCAGGCACCATGAGGATAGCTCATCTTCAGGCCTGGATAAGTTGATATAAACATCTAGGATTTCTGAGATTCCCCTCAGTTTCCCACAAGGTAGGGTTGCTAGATTGAGCAAGCCCAGTTAAATCTGAATTTCAGATAAATAGTGAATACCTTTGAGAGGATATATGTACCATGTAATATTTGGAATATCCATATCATTGACAAGCAATAAATAATTTTTCCATATACATATATATATCTGAAAGATTATTTATTGCTTATCTGAAATTCAAATTTAAGCAGCCATTCTATATTTTATGTGGTAGGCGTACCTCAAGATCACTCCTCCCCATCTTTCAATGATTTCTCTCCAAGGAACTACACAGGTTCTAGATTTAATACCTTTTTGAAATGATTCTAATAATTAAATAGTCCCTGAATTGATACCTACATTTCTTCTAAATGCACTGGGCTTGATCTAAGTCTAAGGGCAAAGGAGTCCCTGACTGGAGCTGTGCCCATATACATATGAAGTTCTCCTAAGGCCCTTATAGTTAGGATGTGTCAGGATAAACAACATGCTAATTATAATTTGGAGCTAAACTAAATCCACCCCTGGGGTAGTAAGAAAGCTACTAAATACATGTTACATGTGTCATGACTTTAGGACATACGATAATTTCACAGGACATTTTAATTCCATTCTCTTCATGGAGGCACTGATAATAACAACCACAAAAAGTCATTAGCCTTGGGATACTCCATTTTCTAAATACAAGGCCCAAAACAATAATGAAACATATCTTCAAAAAGATTATCTAAATATTTAATGACCAATAAAGAAGAGTTTCAAGTATTCCTAATAAGGAAAAGTTAGCTTCACCTAAGTTACTATGAAATACTTGATTAAGAAAATCTAGGCTGGGTGCCTATAGTCCCAACACTTGGAGAGGCTGAAATGGGAGGACTGCTTGAGGCCAGGAGCTGGAGACCAGCCCAGGCAACACAGTAAAACCCTATCTCTACAAAAAATAAAAATAAAAAATTGGTGTGTTGGCACATGCCTGCAGTCCCAGCTACTCGGGAGGCTGAGGTGGAGGATCACTTGAGGCCAGCAGCTCAGGGCTACAGTGAGCTATGATTGCACCACTGTGCTCCAGCCTGGGTTACAGAGCAAGATCCTACATCAAAAATAATAATAATAATAATAATAAAAGAGGAAGAAAATCTAGATTAAAAAGTCATTTCTTCACATAAACTATTTTTAGACAATACACTTACTAGCTTTACTACTTGCATTAATATCCCTTTAAAAAAAACAAATCAATACATGTACCAAAACCAGACATCTTAAAATAAGTATGTTTGTTTTGCCCACCTGCTTAAGTAATTTCTCTCTCTCTTCCATTGGAGATCCTATGCTTTTGTCTTCTGCAATCATTTGATCTCGATGGGACTCCAACTCATAAAGTTTTTCATGCAGCAATACCGCCTCCTGTTTCACCTGGGAGTGAGCTATTTCCTAAAGGAAAATAAGAAGGGAAAGTTTTAATTAGTATTTTATCAATAATTATTCTAAAATAGGTTTCAGTTTATAAGAATGGGGGTAAATTTAAACTACTAGCATCTTTAAATACAGACAGCAAATATCATTAGTACTCAATAATGCTACAAAGCACATTCCTAAATTGGAAGAATAAAAATAAATCCTGCTATTTTCAGTCTAAGATTCACAAGAAGTTGATAGCCTTAGTTTATTTTATTTTCTACATATAAGACCTGAATAAGTATAGGACAACTCTACCAATGGGAGGATAAAGACAATGTCAAAACATATGTACAACTTTAAACACAATGTCTGATTCAAAGTCCATAGAAGTGATCTTTGGAGAGAAGATATTTTTCCCTAAATAGGTCATAACATATATTTTCCCACAATTTTGTGGGTTGAATTGTGTCTGCTCAAAAAGGTAAGCTGGAGTCTTAACATCATAAACCTGTCAATTTGACCTTTATTTGGAAATAAGCTCTTTGCATATTTAGTCAAGTTAAGATATGGTCATTAGGGGTGGGCCCTAATCCAATATGATGGTGCCCTTTATAAGAAGAGTACAGACACAACAGAGACACACAGGGAGAATACCATGTTATGACTCAGGCAAAGACTGGAGTGATGCAGCTGCAAGTCAAGCAATATCAAGAGCTAATGGATACCACTAGAAGCTAGGAAGAAGCAGAGCAAGATTCTGTCTAGAGTCTCAGAGGAAGCATGGCTCTGCTGACACCGTGATTTCAGACTTCCAGGCTCTGGAACTGTGAGAAAATTTGTGTTTCTTTTAAGCCACCCAGTTTGTGATATTCTATTATAGCAGCACTAGGAAATGAACACATGAAATAACAGTTACTGTGTACTCACCACTATCCCACCTTTCACAAAGAAAAAAATAAGGATGTGACAAAAATGTTATTAGCTAACAACACCAAAAAAAAGGTAGGAATGGTGTTGGTGATGATTAAAATGACATTTGAGACTCTTGTTTACTGAGCATCTGTTCTGTGCCAGGCACTATACTACATGTTATTTATATGCTATCTCTACTATCCAAAGTGATACTCTACAAGATAGTACTATCATCTCTATTTTACAGATGAGAAAACTAAGGATCTGACATGTAAATAACTTTTCAAAGTTAACAAAGACATAAGAGTTAACAGTGACATTTGAAACCGGACCTACAACTTGAACAAAATAAAATTCTTAGAAGGGAAGACCTCATTTTTTTTTCTTTTTTGAGATGGAATTTCGCTCTTTCACCCAGGCTGGAGTGCAGTGGTGCGATCTTGGCTCACTGCAAACTCCGCCTCCCAGGTTCAAGCGATTCTCCTGCCTCAGCCTCCCAAGTAGCTGGGATTATAGGCGCCTGCCACCACGCCCAGCTAATTTTTGTATTTTTAGTAGAGATGGGGTTTCACCATGTTGGCCATGCTGGTCTCAAAACTCCTGACCTCGTGATCCGCCCATCTCAGCCTCCCAAAGTGCTGGGATTACAGGTGTGAGCCACTGTGCCTGGCCAACCTCTTCTCTTCTAAAAGTATGAAAGAAGGAACCTCCAAAAAAGGAACGAGTAGACGAGATAATTTTTCAAAGTCCATAAGCAATGGATTATATATACAGTTCAAGTAACAGATTAGGCATCAGATAAGATTAAAAAAAGCCATGCTAAAAAGACATAGAAGAAATGCAGATATTTTATGCTATCCTTTTTCATAGTATCGTCTCCTTTTTGCCTAACAATCCTATAGATTTGTTTGAATTTCATCTTGATAAAATTGTTCTGGAAGACTTAAGCTCATGTTAATCCTTCACCTGATTTTTTCCACTCTTGTGAACTGAATAAGCATGACCTAATACGTTGTACAGCAGTGAACATAAAGTATTCAAAAAATACTAGTTGATTGACCACTATCTGACAGGTATTTTCTTGAAGAACAAGTCCTAAACAAATAAATAAAAGAAATCTGGGCTGGGCGTGATAGCTCACGCCTGTAATCTCAGCACTTTGGGAGGCCAAGGCGGGTGGATCACAAGGTCAGGAGTTCAAGACCAGCCTGGCCAACACAGTGAAACCCTGTCTCTACTAAAAATACAAAAATTAGCCGGGCATGGTGATGCACGCTTGTAATCCCACTACTCGGGAGGCTGAGGCAGGAGAATTGCTTGAACTCAGAAGGCGGAGGTTGCAGTGAGCCAAGACTGTGCCACTGCACTTTAGCCTGGGCAACAGAGCAAGACTCTGTCTCAAAAAAATTTTTTTTTTTAAAAAGAAAGAAATCTGGCAAAAGTTAAATAGAATTAGTGACATGTTATCTTAATTTGCACATATTGTGTATTTTTAAAACTCTTGTTATTTTAGGCATAAATGTACTGACATCAGAGAAGAACGGCATCAGTACAAAAAGTAAATCTAAGGTTATAGCTTATGATTTTTCCTATGGAAACCAAATTCACCAAGTGAAGTAAGACTTGACTCTCTCAAACCCACTCCAAAAAAGAACCATGAGGAATTCTGCAAGCTGGTTGTATTAATACTAAATGTGGTCCTTCTTTCTTTAAGCGTATTTCCATCACCAGAGATCCAAGGAAATAAAAATTAAGTGTCTTTATAGATGGACAACCAGACACAGAAAACTACCTGCTTTTTTTTTACTTTTTTTAGACAGAATCTTGCTCCGTCGCCCAGGCTGGAGTGCAGTGGCGTGATCTTGGCTCACTGCAAGCTCTGCCTCCTGGGTTCATGCCATTCTTCTGCCTCAGCCTCCCGAGCAGCTGGGACTACAGGTGCTTGCCACCATGCCCGACTAATTTTTTGTATTTTTAGTAAAGACGGGTTTTCACCACGTTAGCAAGGATGGTCTCGATCTCCTGACCTTGTGATCTGCCTGCCTTGGCCTCCCAAAGTGCTGGGATTACAGGCGTGAGCCACCACGCCCAGCCAACTACCTTACTATTTTTAATTAAATAACTTTTTCAATAGCAAATTCTCAAAAGAATTAATTACAAAATACTCATTTCTTTTGCAAGCTAGGGTGTCAGCAATCTATCAGTCTACAACAGTTCCTAATACTGTCATCATGATGTCTACCTGAATCCACAGGAAATCAGGAAAGGGAGGCAAGATTTGAGATACAGACAGTATACTGAAACGCCAAAAATATGAAAAAGGAGTTCAAAGAAAAAGAAATTCATTGGCCAAAAATGATATAAATAGATACTCAACTTTATTCATAAATAAATGAAAATTCAAATAAGGTAGTAATTTTTACCTATCAAAATAGCTAAAACTGGAAAAGTCAGATAATATTTGCTGTCAGTGAATGCAGGGGAAATAAGCATTCACATACATTACATCTAGAAGTAAAAGTTGGAACAACCTTTTTGAAGGCAATTTGGCAATCTGACAACATTTTTAAACTGTATACCTTTTGACCCATTGTGAGAATTCAATCTTATGATATAACTTCGCATAAAATGTATGCTTTCACAGGAGTATTGTTTATAATCCCGGAAAACTATAAACAACCTGTTCATTTACAAGGCTGTGTTATAATTATACAACATAATACATTGTAGCAATTTAAAATAATGAGGAGGTTCTCTAGGAACTGATATAAATAGACACTGTAGATACAATGTTAGGGTGAAAAAAGAAAGCTGCAGCTAGCATAGCACGTAGGAACCCCACTTGAGGTTTTCCACAACTGTAAAACCAAGATGGGATTTAGGACTCTTGTGGGGATTACATGAAGATGATGCTGATATGTGTTTACAGCTCAAAAAAGCATACAGTAAGCACTTGATAAATGTCTTTCCAGTAGTTCTATCTGGAAAGAAGGACACAAAACAGACATTTTGGCTGGGCGCAGTGGCTCACGCCTATAATCCCAGCACTTTGGGAGGCCGAGGTGGGCGGATCACAAGGTCAGGAGATCGAGACCATCCTGGCTAATACAGTGAAATCCCATCTCTACTAAAAATACAAAAAAATTAGCTGGGTGTGGTGGCGGGTGCCTGTAGTCCCAGCTACTCTGGAGGCTGAGGCAGGAGAATGGCGTGAACCTGGGAGGCGGAGCTTGCAGTGAGCCGAGATCGCACCACTGCACTCCAGCCTGGGCAACAGAGCGATACTCTGTCTAAAAAAAAAAAAAAAAAAAAAAAAAAACAGACATTTTTACTTTCCTCTTGTTCAACTATTTTTAAACCATATGCACATTTTGTTTTGTGAAATAAAGCGTTTTAAATAAATGAATAAAAAAAGTAAGTTTTTACATCCTTAAAGAGATGAACTCATGTCTCTCCCTCTTTCTTTGTTTTTATAATCTCTTGTGTATGTGTCTTTAAATTGCCATTAGAGGCTGAGCACAATGCCTCATGCCTGTAATCCCAGCACATTGGGAAGCCAAGGCAGGAGCATTGCTTGAGGCCAGGAGCTGTACATCAGCCATAACGAGACCCTGTCTTTACAAAAAGTAAAAAAAAAATTAGCCAGGTGTGGTGGTTCCTGCCTGAAGTCCTAGCTACTTGGGAACCTGAGGAGGGAGGATCGCTTGAGCCCAGGAGCTTGAATTTACAGTGAGCTACGATCATGTCACCGCACTCTAGCCTGAGTGACAAAGAAAGACTCTGTCTCTAAAAAAATAATTTTTTTAATTGCTATTGGATTTTGCATGTCCTAGGTAGGGCGGAATGATTTGTTTTATACATAGTAGGTACTCAATAACTGAATCTAATTTCTTACCATACTAGGATCTTTGTGGGTCCAGAATAGGAAGAAAAAGTATTAAACTCCTATTAGTAAGCTGCCAGATCAATATGTAGTTGAATTAGTTATATTAATATACTTGGCTGAATTAACTTTTTTAGCTGAGTAGTATGAGAACCCTTATTTGATTTTATACTTACTGCTTCCAGGCTCTCTTTTTTCATGTTCTGTGAATCCAATTGTTGTTGAAGTGTATCTAATTCCTAAGTGGAAAAAAAAAAGCAAACATAAATCCAAATTACATTAAGAATAATTTGTTGTAGTGGGGGGAGGGAGCTGGGAAAAAAAATTTATTTCTCTGTTTCTCAACATTTCAAAGTGACTAAGTAAATTTTCTAAATATCTTCACTGGCATCTTACATTTTGACTAGAATTTATTAACACTTCATTATTTCTATTTTTCCCAACTTCTTTCATTATTCTTAAAAACTTGCTGTGTGCCTTCAAAAAAAAAAAAAAAAAACTTCATGAGTTTCTCAAAAGTAGCTAGACCTTAGACCTTTTCACACTGAATCATCACTATGTTCTGAGACATCAAATATCAGAAGCTTTCAAATTATGTCATTGTTTAAGATTATTATTTAAAATTTTGATTTGTAACCGTGTTTTCACATCTTTTGCCTAATTTCTCTATACTGTGTACACACACATATAACACATGCACACATACATACACATATATGTAAATATAAATATGGTTCACATGTACACATACATACACGTATATGTAAATATAAATATGGTTCACTCCTAAGATAAGATCCTTAAACTGTTTACTCATTCATTATCCCATACAAGATTAACTATATTTTGGTACTATTTTGGCATTTCTATCATACTCTTTCTTTTTTCTTTTTGAGACAGAGTCTCGCTCTGTTGCCCAGGCTGGAGTGCAGTGGCATGATCTCGGCTCACTGCAACCTCCGCCTCCCGGGATCAACCAAGTACCTGCCTCAGCCTCCCGAGTAGCTGGGATTACAGGGGCCTGCTACCATGCCTGGCTAATTTTTGTGTTTTTAGTAGAGACAGGGTTTCACCATCTTGGCCAGGCCATACTTTTTCTTCAACGCTTCACAGTATCTTAGAAATCTTCTCTAAAATAAAAAGGTTACTAAATTGTCAGCAAAGGAATGTCTAAGAAACTAAAACTATAATCATTATTGGCATTTATGGGGCCTAATTCTTTGCTTAATCTTTAGTTAAGGGCCATCTGGGCATGAAAGGGAACCACCATGACTGAGTATTGAGAGGATTCTCAATATGCCCTCAACAGGGACTTAAATTGCTTATTTAATATTGCATGTTCTCACTCATCTGTAGGAGCCTAAAAAAGTGGATCTCGGCCGGGCACAGTGGCTCACGCCTGTAATACCAGCACTTTGGGAAGCCGAGGGGGGCGGATCACCTGGCTAACACGGTGAAACACTGTCTCTACTAAAAACACATAAAAAATTGGCCAGGCGTGGTGGCGGGCACCTGTGGTCCCAGCTACTCAGGAGGCTGAGGCAGGAGCATGGCATGAACCTGGGAGGCGGAGCTTCCAGTGAGCCGAGATCGCGCCACTGCACTCCAGCCCGGGCGACAGAGCGAAACTCCGTCTCAAAAAAAACAAAAAAAAAAAAACAAAAAAAAGGGGGTAGTAGAATGATGGTTACCAGAGGCTGAGAAGGTGGTGCCCAGTTGGGGGCATGGGGTGGTGTGGGGGAGAGAAGGAATAAATTCTCATGTTTGATAGAACACTAGGGTGGCTATAGTTATCAGTAATTAATTGTATGTTTCAAAATAGCCAGAAAAGGAGATTCAAAATGTTTCTAGCATAAGGCCGGGCGCGGTGGCTCATGCCTGTAATACCAGCACTTTGGGAGGCCGAGGCAGGCGGATCACGAGGTCAGGCGATCAAGACCATCCTGACTAACACGGTGAAACCCCGTCCCTACTAAAAAAATACAAAAAATCAGCCGGGCGTGGTGGCGGGCGCCTGTAGTGCCAACTACTTGGGAGGCTGAGGCAGGAGAATGGCATGAACCCGGGAGGCGTAGCTTGCAGTGAGCCGAGATGGGCACTGCACTCCAGCCTGGGCGACAGAGCGAGACTCCGTCTCAAAAAAAAAATTTTTTTTAAATTAAAAAAAAAAAAATGTTTCCAGCACAAAAAAAATGCCAAATGTTTGAGGTGATGAATATCCTAATTATCCCGATTTGATCATTATACATTGCATACGTGCATGGAAATATCACATGTACCCCATAAATATGTACAATTGTGTATCAATAAAAAAATTAATTTTTAAAAATGGAAATTTAGGCAATATAATTACAGGACAATAGCCATTCAAATCATAATGCTAACAGGTAAAAAGGTTAGCTGTTTATTAAGCAGGAAGGAAAAGGAAAGTAAATATATATATGGATCTGGTCTATGAGGCCTTTTTTTTTTTGAGACAGAGTCTCGCTCTGTTGCCCAGGCTGGAATGCAGTGGTGCAATCTCAGCTCACTACTGCAACCTCCACCTATGAGGCCTTTTAATGTTTGCATTAAAAGTCTGTAACTGCAAGTATTTACAGACTTTTTAATTTACAGACAAGTATTTTTATCAATGCAAACATTTATAGAAAAGTACTTTTATAAATGCAAATATTTATAGACAAGTATTTTTATAAATGCGAGTATTTTCATGTCTTTATGAAATGCAAAATGAATAAATAGAAGTAAACCAAAAATAATAAGAGTAAAAGCTAGGTCATCAAACAGCAGATGAAAATGAAGTTTTCTAAATAAATTCTTCTGAAATGTGAATATACGTATGAATCAGATGGGGACCTTGTTAAAATGAAAACTGATCTCAAAGTATAGTCAAGTTCTCAGGGGATGCTGATGCTGCTGATATTCAAACTATACTTTTAGTAGCAAGAATGATACATGCTTGGCACACAGCAGTAATTTGTATTACCTGTAACAGTTTCTCATTTGTGGTTTTCATCTCTAGGTACTTGACTTGGTTTTCAAAAGACATATTTTTGATAATGTCATCTGTTGCTTGTTTTTCCTGTTCAATTTCTTCTTCGACACTTCTGATTTGTTTTTCTTTCCTAAAATCAGAAGCACGTAATATTCCTGATACTATATTGAGGAAAAAATATCCAATTATTTTATACAAGTCATGGTCCTAATTTAATAGGATACTTAAAGACATTCAACCACAGTGTGTGACTGAAAAGTCTTTATATTTGTACTAAAAAATGCTATTTGACCTATATAAAATTTGGCCCCATTAGCACAAACTTATTTTTACATCTTTCTCTTCTCCATCCCTAAATTCCTCTATTTCCTTACTCTCCATTTTATTTTACTAAGAAATCACAAAGATTACCAAAAAATCCTTAATGACTTATATATATGAGGATGCATTTATACTTTTTTAAAGTTATACCTTCAAAAGACAAATAAGAGGCTGCGCTCGGTGGCTCACGTCTGTAATCCCAGCACTTTGGAAGGCTGAGGCAGGTGGATCACCTGAGGTCTGGAGGTCGAGACCAGCCTGGGCAACACGACAAAACACCCATCTCTACTAAAAGTACAAAAATTAGCCACACGTGGTGGCGGGCACCTGTAATCCCAGCTACTTGGGAGGCTGAGGCAGGAGAATCGCTTGAACCCAGTGGGGAAGAGGTTGCAGTGGGCTGAGATCGCGCCACTTCACTCTAGCCTGGGCAAAAGAGCAAAACTCCATCTCAAAAAAAAAAAAGACAAATAAGTTTTAGAATTGTGGTTTTAAAGCATCCTTTAGCCATAAGTTTTTCTGACTAAATTAAATACTGTATAGAAGTTTCCCGTGTAAATCATCCAGTGTGGCTCTGACAGAACTAGGGAGTAGAGAGGCCTGCAGTGCAATTTGATTTTTTAGTTATGGCTTTAGATTAATAATATGCTTTGCTTAAGTTCTCTTTTACTTACTGCTTTAGTTAACATTGCTATTTCACAAATTTTTGCTATTTTTTAGCATTGTAAAATATTAAGCTCATTTCTCTAAAAACACAATAAACATTACAAACATAATCCTATAAAAGTAGTAATAGTGAAATTAATTAGAAGCAATAACCATTTTTATCACGTAATCAAAAGAAATACCAATGACATGTCACTTGTTGCCTAGGCAAGGTCAATTATTGATAGGGTAGAGAAAAACTCTGAAAAAAGAATAGGTAAGATGCCACTTATCTAAATACTTTCAAGATTTACATTTTATAAAAAGCTGGATTGAACACACATTTTCACTCCCAAGATCATTAATTTCTATTTTGAGTTTCAAAATCTGATTAACCTATCACTATTTACTCTCTTTCGCTCATAGATACCAACTTCTATAGTTTTCACAATCACCAGCTAAGCTTGTGGATCCACATATCCCCTACACACCTTCTACACATTCATATCCTACTACTAGAATAAACAACCTAAACTCAGAAATTTCCCTACCAAAAAAAATCTCAAAATAACCAAATAAAAGATGAACATAGTAAAGCAACCTGGAATTTCAATTTATTTTTGTTTCACTGTTGGAGAAGAAGTGGTATCTTCACTTGGAGCTTCAATTACAACAGTAAAACAAATGTGTTTCCTGCTGCTACAATTTGTATAGGTATATGAGCTCAAAGAAATTGAAAGGAAAGTATCTATTTTCATAAATTAAGGATACTGAAGCCCAGTGGAATTAATCTTTTGGAAGGAATTCATTCTAAATTTGATTACTGACTACCAACAGTGTTTCTTCTTTCAATGTAGGAAGATGAGAACTAATGTTATAAAGTATTCCATTTTACAGAGGAGAAATTACAGCATAAGAAAAGTAACTGACTTTCTAAAGGCCATATGATGTCCAGGTGTAAGGTCTTTTTGATGCTTTGAGTACTTTGCTCCTGTTATAACTTGGCAGTAAAACCACTGATGATGGTGTCATAAAAGTAAGTAAACAGGCTGGGCATGGTGGCTCATGCCTGTAATCCCAGCACTTTAGGAGGCCGAGGCGGGCAGATCACGAGGTCAGGAGATCGAGACCATCCTTGCTAACATGGTGAAACCCCGTCTCTACTAAAAATACAAAAAAATTAGCTGGGCGTGATGGTGGGCGCCTGTAGTCCCAGCTACTTGGGAGGCTGAGGCAGGAGAATGGCGTCAACCCGGGAGGCAGAGCTTGCAGTGAGCCGAGACTGCGCCACTACACTCCAGCCTGGGTGACAGAGCGAGACTCCATCTCAAAAAAAAAAAAAAAAAAAAAAACACACAATAATAAGTAAACAAAAACGTTGAAACTCAATAGAATACAAAACTTGGTGGTATCTTTACAATTTGAATCCCTCCCTACCTCCTTTCTTTTCTCTCTCTCTCCTTTCCTTCCTTCCTTTTCCTCCCTCCCTGCCTCCTTCCCTTCCTCCTCCTCCTCCTTCCCCTCCCCCTCCTCTCTCTTCTCTTCTCTCTCTCTCTCTCTTTCCCTCTCCCTCTTTCTGTCTTTCTTTCTTGACAGGTACCACTTGTCACCCAGACTAGACTGTGGTAGCACAATCATGGCTCACTGCATGCTCAAACTCAAGCCATCCCCCCACCTCAGCCACCCAGGTAACTGGGACTAAAGGCACACAACACCATGCCCTGCTAATGTTTTTACTTTTTATTTTGAGTAGAGACAAGGTCTTGCTAAGTTGGCCGGGCTGGTCTCAAATTCCTGAGTTCAAATTATTCTCTCATCTTAGCTTCTCAAAGTGCTGGGATTACAGGTGTCAGACTCTGCACCTGACCTCAGTTTGAATGCTTCTAAGCACAAAATACCATCAGGACAAACATAAATTAATTTAGCAACAGTATATCTTTCAAAAGTATGCATTTTCAATATTGTAAACTCTAAATCAGTAAGTAAAATTGTTAATACTTTAATAAAATTTTCAAAGAGTAATTAAGAAACACAAAGGTAGGCTGGGTGCAGTGGCTCACACTTGTAATCCCAGCACTTTGGGAGGCTGAGGCAGGGGTATCACCTGAGGTCAGGAGTTTGAGACCAGCCTGGCCAACATGGTGAAACCGCATCTCTACTAAAAATACAAAAATTAGCCAGGTGCAGTGCCGGGAGCCTGTAATCCCAGCTACTCAGGAGGCTGAGGCAGGGAGGAGAACTGCTTGAACCCAGGAGGTGGAGGTTGCATTGAGCCGAGATCATGCCACTGCACTCCAGCCTGAATGACAGAGCGAGACTTCATCTCAAAAAAAGAAAAAAAAGAAAGAAACACAAAGGTTAGGCAAACAGCCTTACTTGTTATACTAAAAAAGGAAAAGATGACTTTAAGAAATTATTCTTCTAGTCAATCTTTTGCTAAGGAAGTCTAGTTTTTTTTTTTAAATCACCTGTTCACTGGGTACAAAGGTTAAAACAAAGTGAAATGTAATCATACGATGTACTTTTTTTAATGCCGTTGAAACAGAGTTAATTTCCTTTAGCACACAAGTCTTAGAGACAAAAGAAAAAAAGGTAAGATATGTATATTTATAGCTTTGGTTATTGTTGTATTTTTTTTAATCATATTTAAGTTTGTTAAGTCTGTACAACCATCTTTGCCTTTAAGAAGTGATGAAAAATAAGAAAATATGATTATATTTTCACATGGTCTACCTCAAAAATACTATATACCTGAGACATGGCCAAAGGGTCTTTCCTAAATAAAGTTAGAATACAATACTAAGTAATTGTTTTGCGGGGGGCGGGGGGGGAAATGGTTTCATCTAGCCAATCAAATTTATAAGAATTTTTATTTTAAAATATGTTAATCACAGAGCATTCTGAAGTGACACTAATCTAAAAGCCAATTGGCAAGATAAAAAAAAGACTGGCCATGAGTTGATGATTATTGAAGCAGGCTGATAACTATTCTTCTTACTTAGGTTTTTTCCTTGAAATTTTCCATTACAAAAAGGTTTTAAATCTGAAAAAAATCTACACAATAGTTAAATAAGGAAACAAAGTTAATTGTGTATTATTAACATCATTCTCTAAATACATTGAATTCTGGCATAAATATCTAAAATACTTAATGGAAAAACTACATTTAGATTTTAACAAAACCAAAATAATTACAGCATCTCTTTATTTCATAGCATATAATAATCATATAAAGTAAATAACTTAAGAAACATGTACTTGAAACTTTATTAAGAACAATGCTTCTTTTTCAGTATCTACCATTTCCTTTGAGTAAAGCTCTTTTTTTTTCAGTAACGTAGATCATATGCTAGGTAAAAATGCACGTAATTTTGTGAAATAACAAAAGAAACTGATATTCCATCTTCTATTCCAGTTTTCTATTTTATATTAGCTCCTAAGTAATCACTATATGAAACTCAACTATCATTTCAAAAAAAATCCAAATTAGAAAATATTCCAAAAGGAGAAAGAAAGCAACAATGACTGACTTCCTTTTAAACCAACTGTTGAAACAGGCTAAACTGACTGATGGATAATTTCTGCATAATCTACTTGGCCAGCTATTCTGCGTATCTGATTTTCTTTTTTTAAAGACACCCAATAATGCTAGCAAATGCTTTGTCTGGGGACTTACTCAGTGTCATGATAATCGACATCACCCCCTCTTTCAATCTTTCTCCTCTGAAAAGGCACACAAATATGTGAAAACTCTCACAGATAGTATGGATCAATCAATGTATTTCACAGCTTCAGACCTAACGATGCTTTAGATTTGTTGAATGCTTTCTTGTACAGAATCTACCTTGAGCTGAGTATACACTGCTTCCAAGATCTATCCAATGGAAAGGAAAAAAAATCCTTTTCTAATCCTTATGATTTTTTTCTTTTAGCGCACTTGAGAAAACAATTATTAGCATTAAATAGCAGATACAGATAATAAATATAAAACCATACTCCGTCTCCATTTCCACATAAGCTCACAGTCCTGTCTTGCCTCCATTACTTTTTTCACCTGCTTCTATTTCATATCAACTTTTAACTTAAATCTAGTTCATTTTCTTTGTAGCCTATTTGCTTTCTTTCACTATCCCCATCCTATTTGTTTCTGGAAAAAAAACAGCACTTCCCTTACCCACCTCTCCTCAGTCACCTCTGCAGCCTACTAGAGACATCAGTAAGAATTTCACCACATCATTGAGAAATACTGAAACAAGCCATTGAAGGAGCTGAACACCTATTCCTATAAATCATTAAACATAGGTAAACTACCTTTTGTAAATGATTTAGGCATCCCTCTTCTATGGGCAATCATCTTGAATAAGTGATAGTTTAAATGCACTTCTGGCTCTAAAAGGGATTCTATTATGATCTACATCCAAATTTTATAAAATATAGGAGGCAGAGTAGCTTTTCCTAACAAATTTCATTTAACTATGGAAAGAGAAAAGGTAGAAGGGGAATGTGCATAAATGGATCAACAAATCAAAGGCAATGAGGAAGTTGACTAGAACAGACTAGCACTAAAATAGCAGTAAATTCCTTATTGCTAACGAGGCGAGAGACTTTAGTATGCTGCATGGATTCTTGCCTACTCTGATTAGTTTTTCTTTTTTTTTTCTGAGACAGAGTCTCACTCTGTCACCCAGGCTGGAGCACAGTGGCATGATCACGGCTCACTGCAACTTCTGCCTCCCAGGTTCAAACAATTCTGCTGCCTCAGCCTCCCAAGTAGCTGGGATTACAGGTGCCTGCCACTGCACCCGGCTAATTTTTGTAATTGTAGTAGAGATGAGGTTTCGCCATGTTGGCCAGGCTGGTCTCAAACTCCTGACCTCAGGTGATCTGCCCGCCTCGGCCTCCCAAAGTGCTGGGATTACAGGCGTGAGCCACTGCACCTGGCAGACATGATCTTACACTTAAAAAATTAAAAAAAAAACAAACCCTAAATACTCCACAAAAAATCTGTAAAAACTGACAACTGAATTCAGTAAAGTTGCAAGATATAAAATCATCATATAAAAATTGGTAGAATTTAGATATGCCAACAGTGAAGAATCTGAAAAAGAAATCAAGAAAGCAAGCCTGTTTACGATAGCTACAAAGAATATAAAATACCTTGGAATCAATTTAACCAATGAAGTGAAATATCTATATAACAAAAACTGTAAAACACTGATGAAAGAAACTGAAGAGGATACAAAAAAAAATGGAAATATAATCCATGTTCATGGAGTGGAAGAACATTGCTAAAATATCAATACTAACCAAAGCAATTTACTGATTCAATGCAATTCCTATCAAAATACAGTGACGCTCTTCATAGAAGTAGAAAAAAAAATCCTAAAATTCATATGGAACCATAAAAGATCCCAAATAGCTAAAACAACCCTCAGCAAAAAGGAACAAAGCTGGAGGCATCACACTACCTGACTTCAAAATTTTCTACAAAGCTATAGTAACCAAATCAGCATGGTACTGGCATCAAGACAGATCCATAGACCAATGGAATGGAATAGAGAACTCAGATATAAATACACACATTTACATCAACTCATCTTCAACAAAGGTGCCAAGAACATAAAATGGAGAAATAATAGTTGTTTCAATAAATGGTGCTAGAAAAACTGCATAACTATATATGGAAAAATGAAACCAGACCCCTATCTCTTGCCATATCCAGGAATAAAAATGGATTAAAGACTTTAATAAGACCTCAAACTATAAAACTGTTTCAAGAAAACACTGGAGGGCTGACTCTCTTTTCGGACTCAGCCCACCTTCACCCAGGTGAAATAAACAGCCATGTTGCTCACACAAAGCCTGTTTGGTGGTCTCTTCACATGGACCCGCATGAAAGTGGCACATGCCTGTAGTCCCAGCTACTCAGGAGGCTGAGGCATGAGAATCACTTGAACCCAGGAGGCAGAGGTTGCAGTGAGCCAAAATGGCATCACTGCACTCCAGCCTGGGCAACAGAGCCAGACTCTGTCTCAAAAGAAAAAAAGATCTGGTTGTTTAAAAGTGTGTAGCTCCTCCCTCTGCTCTTTCTTCCTCCTTCTCTAGCCATGTAAGACATGCCTGCTTCCCCTTCACCTTCCACCATGATTGTAAGTTTCCTGAGGACCCCCCAGACGTGCATCCTGTACAGCCTGTGGAACTGAGTCAATTAAACCTCTTTTCTTTATTTAAAAAAAAAAAAGAGAAAAAAAGAAAACGTTGGAGAATTGCTCTAGAACACTGGCCTGGACAAAGATTTTTTTGTGTCTCTAAGACCTCAAAAGCACAGGAAACCAAAGCAAAAATGTACAAATGGGGTTTCGCCAAGCAAAAAAGCTTGTGCACAGCAAAGAAAATGATCAAAAAAGTGAAGAGACAACCCACGGAATGAGAAAATATTTGCAAACTACCCATCTAAAAAGGGGTTAATAATCAGAAGATATAAAGAGCTCAAACAGCTCACTAGCCAAAAACAAACCGATAAAAAACAAATAATCCAAGTAAACATGGCAAAAGAACTGAATAGATATTTCTCAAAAAACACACAAAAGACAAACAAGTATGTGGAAAAAATGCTCAACATCAGTAATCACTCAGGGAAATGCAAATCAAAACTACAATGATATATAATCTCACCCCCATTAAAGTAGCTTCTATCAATATGACAGGCAATAACGGATGCTGGTGACGATGTGGAGAAAGGGGAACCCTCATACACTCTTGGGAATGTAAATTAGTATAGCCACTCTGGAGAGCAGTATGAAGGTTCCTTAAAAAACTAAAAATATAACACTTACATTTACATTTGATCCAGTAATTCCACTGGGTATACATTTAAAAAAAAGAGATGAATATATTAAAGAGATAGCTGCACTCCCATGTGTATTGGAGGACTATTCACAAGAGCAAAACTATGGAATCAACCTAAGTGCCCATCAACAGATGAATGGATTAAAAAAAAGTAGCATATATATACAATGGAATATTATTCAGCCATAAAAACAAATGAAATCCTGTCATTTGCGGCAACAAAAACGGAACCGGAGGTCATTATGTCAAGTGAAATAAGCCAAGCACAGAAAGACAAATATCACACATTCTCACCGGCATGTGGGAGCTAAAAAAGTGGACCTCATATAGATTAAGAGTAGACTAGTGGTTACCAGAGGCTGGAAAGGGTGGTAGGGAGGGAGGAATGCAGAAAAGTTTATTAATGCATACAAACATACAGTTTGCTTAAAAAAAGAAGGCCTAGTGTTAGATCAGTAGGGTAATTATAGTTTACAGTAATTTTTTTCCTTCAACTTTTATTTTTAAGTTCCGGGGTACATGTGCAGGTTATGCAGGTTTGTTACATAGGTAAACATGTGCCACGGTGGTTTGCTGCACAGATCAACCCGTCACCTAGGTATTAAGCCCAGCATCCATTAGCTATTTTCTGATGCTCTCCCTCTCGTCTAATTTACTGTACATTTAAAAACAGCTAGAAGAGAATTTGAATGTTTCCATTATAAAGAAAAGACAAATATTTAACGTGTTGGATATCCCAAGTACATTAATTTGATCTTTAAAAATTATATGAATGCACTACTTTATCACATGTACCCCAAAACTATGTATATCTACCACGCCTCAATAAAATTTTTAAAAGTTACCATGGGGGGAAAAAGAGTGCTAAAGATTCTCATCTCCCACAGTTTTAAGTCAAGAATAATAGATAGATAATGCCAATAGATAATGCCTAAAATTGAAAAAATCAAGACCATCAATATAAGCATATACTTAAACATGCATAAATATACGTTTTCCTGAATTTCTTTTGTGCACTTCTATATTAAATTTTTAAAATTTACAACCACTTAAATTGCTTTAAAGCTCCTTTCATGAGATCTAGAAACTAATGAGACACACTTAAAAATATTAATTTTCTCTAAAAAGAAAAAATAGAAATCAGTCTCATTCTTCAAAGGGGCTTTCTAGTTTATTAAGATCAGAGTGCAAGGATGGTGAATGGCCATGCACTTGTTTCACATTTTATGTATTTCAAGAAAAAGTAGATTTGAAAGGCCAGGGTAAGTGGCTCATATCTATAATCCCAGCACTTTTCAAGGCCACGCCAGTGGCTGGGGGGAAATGGCTCGCACCCAGGAGTTTGATACCAGGCTGAGTAACACATGGTGACCCCATCTCTACAAAAATTTTTAAAATTAGCCAGGCATGGTAGTGCATGCTTGTGTTTCAGCTACTTAGGAAGCTGAGTTGGGAGGACTGCTTAAGCCTGGGAGATCAAGGCTGCAGTGAGCTGTGACCATGCCACCAGGTCTGTGTGACAGAGTGAGACCCTGTCTCAGCCAAAAAAAAAAAAAAAAAAAAAGAATAAACAGATTCAAAAGAGGGAAAAATAAAAATGTCCTTAATGAAAATACTCTCTTTTCTATCAGGTCTGCAACATGAAAGTCACAGGCATCACAATCCTCTTTTGGCCCCTCTCCATGATATTATTATCAGACAAAATCCAGTCTTCTAAAAGAGTAAGTTTTTACAATCAAAATAGTAAAAATATTTTCAAAGGTACATTTTCTGTATATTTAGTAAAATATAAAAGGGCAATAAGAAAGCAAAGAAAATCTGACCTACTAAAATTAAGAGTTTATTTAGCTCTGTATATCCAAATTCCAATTTGACAAAAGCAGCCTTCATTTATAAAAACTGAGTTCTTTAAAAGTTGATTAAAGGGAGAGATCTGAAAATTTTCACTATAAAATCAGAAATTAGTTTTAAGAGTAAAATCTTGTTTAAAATGTAGGAAACTTTTTTTTAAAAAGCACATATTTATGAGAGAAACTGCTATTGAATTATTATTGGTGAAAAAATCTAACTGCAAAAACAGTAATAAACCAGAACTATTCTTAGTTCTATTTATTCTTAGTTTACTGTTCAGTAAAAACAAGAACTATTTCTTTCTTTCCATCTATATCCACATAAAGAATTTCAGATTGTGTGGCTCTTTAAATTCAATACCTGGCTCCATTTCTGATAAAAGATAAATATTTCCTTTTAAAACACCAAACTTTGAGCTGTTAAACCCAGAGAGTTTAAGAGAGTTAAACCAGAGAGTTTATTCAGACTGATTGATTGATTGCTTGCTTTTGAGACGGAATCTCGCTCTGTCGCCCAGGCTGGAGTGTAATGGCATGATCTCAGCTCACTGCAACCTCCGCCTCCTGGGTTGAAGCGATTATCCTGCCTCAGCCTCCCAAGTAGCTGGGATTACAGGTGCTTGCCACCATGCCCGGCTGACTTTTTTTTTTTTTTGTATTTTCAGTAGAGACAGGGTTTCACTGTGTTGGACAGGCTGGTCTTGAACTCCTGACCTCAGGTAACCCGCCTGCCTCAGCCTCCCAAAGTGCTGGGATTACAGGCGTGAGCCACCATGCCCAGCCCATTTATTAATTATTGAACAGCCCTAGGTATAATGTTGTTAGCTCTGCTGATTTTAAAAACACATATAGTTTAAAATAATTTCCTCACTATAAAGCAATTGTGCACACTGGAATATTAAATGTTAACAGAATTATTATTTACCATACATTTCCACATATATAAATGGGAATATTCCAGTAGCATTACTTTCTGTAATGATCATGTAATAACAGTTGGAAAATACCCGTATGACAAATTGGAATCTCTTTGTTCAATTGTATGTATCAGAATATCCTTAATTTTTAGTATTTCATCCCAATAAAGAAAAAGATTTGCTCTACTGTAACACCAAAATATTAGATAGTAGGTTTTTTTCCCAAAATAACGTCCTTCTAATGTCTAAGTGCTTAAATATGAAATTTGGTGAAATTCTATTAATTTTTTTTCTGATTAATGCCTTTCTTTTTTTTGTTTTTCTAGGAAGTCCAATGTAATTTTACTGAAAAAAATTATACCTTGATTCCAGCAGATATCAAGAAAGATGTTACTATACTTGATCTCAGTTATAACCAAATTACTCTTAATGGTACAGACACAAGAGTTCTACAGACATACTTTTTACTCACAGAGCTCTATTTGATTGAGAACAAGGTTACTATCTTACATAATAACGGTTTTGGTAACCTCTCCAGTCTAGAAATTTTAAATATCTGTAGAAACTCCATCTATGTAATTCAACAGGGTGCATTTTTAGGCTTAAATAAACTAAAACAGTTATATCTCTGCCAAAACAAAATAGAACAACTGAATGCTGATGTATTTGTGCCTCTAAGAAGCCTAAAACTTCTGAATCTGCAAGGCAATTTGATTAGCTATTTGGATGTACCACCACTATTTCATCTGGAATTAATAACTTTATATGGAAACCTATGGAACTGCTCTTGCAGTCTATTTAATTTGCAGAACTGGTTGAACACATCAAATGTGACATTAGGTAAGCTATCATAATTAAGCAAAACCAAAATGTGATTAACTCAATGTTCCACCACAGAAAAATCTCTCATATCACGTTTTAAAGAAAAGGAAGCAGCCAGGCGCAGTGGCTCATGCCTGTAATCCCATCACTATGGGAGGCCAAGGCAGGGGGATCACCTGAGGTCAGGAGTTTGAGACCAGCCTGGCCAACATGGTGAAACCCCATCTCTGCTAAAAATACAAAAATTAGCTGGGTATGGTGGCGCATGCCTGTAGTACCAGGTACTCAGGAGGCTGAGGTGGGAGAATTGCTTGAACCTGGGAGGCAGATGTTACAGTGAGCCGAGATCGTGCCACTGCACTCCAGCCTGGGCAACAGAGTGAGACTCTGTCTCAAAAAAAAAAAAAAAAAAAAAGGAAAGGAAACAATTTCTGTTTAAGCAAAACAGGAAGAAACACTAAAAAGTAACAGCTGCATAGATGCTCTCCTTCCCCATTACCAGGGGGAAAAATTAAGAAATTTTTTTTTTTTTTGAGACAGAGTTTTGTTATTATTACCCAGGCTGGAATGCATTGGCGTGATCTCAGCTCACCACAACCTCCGCCTCCCAGGTTCAAGTGATTCTCCTGCCTCAGCCTCCCCAGTAGCTGGGATTACAGTCATGAGCCACCACGCCTGGCTAATTTTTTGTATTTTTAGTAGAGATGGGCTTCCTCCATGTTTGTCAGGCTGGTCTCAAACTCCCGACCTCAGGTGATCCACCCGCCTCGGCCTCCCAAAGTGCTGGGATTACAGGCATGAGCCTCTGCGCCCGGCCAGAAATGTAAATGTTCTATACATGTGAGATGATAATGTCATTTCATGTATTGTTAGCAAAGTCAATATGTCAGACTAATTTTTTAAAAGTGCTTCCTAGACTAAGTGAAAACAAGTGACGTATTTTAACTGCAAACCATACTGTGCCTGAGATCCAGATTGTAACCATGTAACCACAATATTAATAATAAAATCTACACTAATACAGATAAACTAAATAACAAAGATACTGCATTTAAGCCATATTTATAAAATAATAAACAGAAATGTGCATCATTCTTTCATTATGTTGCTAGACAAATACAACAGGAATTTCTTATAATGCCTTTAAGAATGACAAATATGTCAAAAATTCTAGATAAAACAATTATAAAATGTTGTTAACTATTATTTTTCTCTATACTAAATCTTATTCTTTCTGATTTACTAGAAAATGAGAACATCACCATGTGTAGCTACCCCAACAGCCTGCAGAGCTACAATATCAAAACAGTACCTCATAAGGCTGAATGCCACTCAAAATTTCCTTCATCAGTAACTGAAGATCTTTATATTCATTTTCAGCCCATCAGCAATTCAATATTTAATAGCTCTTCGAACAACTTAACAAGAAATTCAGGTAATATACTGGTTCTATATATTAACACTGCTGAATGTATCATACTAAATAAACTGAGGTAGTTATCTTTATTTTAAATTTGTATAAAAAATGTAAAAGAAAGATTCCTCATCTCAACTAAAGATTTACAAAATATTGCTCTTCCAAACTAGGCTCTGCTAGTTACAAGCCAAATGCCATCGTGCAAATTATTTAACTTCTCTGAGCCTTTGTTTTAACTAGTCTAGTCACAAATCTTAACGAGTATAAATCAATAATGGTCTTAGGTAAAAGGGTAACAAAATTGCAAACACAGCTATTTTGAACAAAGAGAATTCATCCACCAAACAAAATCTAAAGAAAACTACAATGTATGTTTATTTTTAATACCAATATTGAGGAGAATTAGGATATATAATTATGATTATTTTGCCAACTTAACAAATTTTCTTTCTCTCTCCTCTCTTGGTATTCCATTAAAGAACATGAACCTCTTGGAAAAAGTTGGGCTTTTCTTGTTGGTGTTGTTGTCACTGTACTGACGACTTCACTTCTCATTTTTATTGCTATCAAATGCCCAATATGGTACAATATTCTGCTTAGTTATAATCATCATCGCCTGGAAGAGCATGAAGCAGAAACCTATGAAGATGGTTTTACTGGAAATCCAAGCTCTCTTTCACAGATACCAGAAACAAACTCTGAAGAAACTACAGTAATATTTGAACAATTACATTCATTTGTGGTAGATGATGATGGATTTATTGAAGACAAATATATAGATATCCATGAATTATGTGAAGAAAATTAATTTCTTTCAAAGTTTGCTTTTTAAAGCAAAGTTATCAGCTCACTCAGTTTAGATATGGAGATTTTGCTATGTGACATAACAAAATACAGCTGGCAGGCATTCATATTAATGACAACATACATGAATATCATAAAATTATGTTCTTTGCATTATATTGAGCAAGCAGGTTCAAATACAGTAACTGACACTCCTCGGTAGTTGACAGTTACATAGTCTACAATACTAGCACTACTATTCTTAGCAGTGCTTGGGTGACCATACGAACTAGTAAAAAGGTCTAAATTATTCATGAATTAAAATGAATGGATTCTCATATTAACACAGGTATTTGACATAATATGTATTAAGTTATACTAATGTTTCAATCAGTAAAGAAATAAAAGTTTAGGATTTATTAATATATGGAAGTCAAAGTGAGGAACAGAGATAGCTTAAATAATACACTAAGATTGATTTTATGCTCCCAGAATAAAATCATAGAGTTGGAAAATATTTTTTTGAAATGCTTCCTGAAATAGCACAATAAATTTCCTTAAAATTTCATAGCAATTTAAAGCACAAGCACAATGTTCAGGCATAATCCCTAATAAGTCACTATTGATTCTGGTTATAAAGAAAGGCTGTCACCATAATGCAGGATCACTACAGTTTAATGTCATACTGGCTTCCAAAGTGGGCATCACAATTATCTATAAATCTTGTTTTAAAAATACATATTTCCACCTCTCTCTGGGAGATTTTTATTCAAATTGGTCTGTGCTGACACTAAGGAATCTTCATGTGGTCCATGGACAGCTATTTCTATCTATTCAGTAGATAGAGCAATGTTTCCCAAATTGTTTTTCTAGAATACTAATTTCCAGAGAGACATTCACAAGTATTTACAGAAGAAGAAGGAGGTACATGGTCAAATTACTACAGGAAAAACTAGTAGTTTAAACAAGGTGAAACAAGATTCTTTTTCTTTTTTTTTTTTTTTTTTTTGAGACAAAGTCTCGCACTGTCTCCCAGGCTGGACTGCAGCAGCGCAGTCTCAGATCACTGCAACCTCCGCCTCCTGGGTTCAAGCAATTCTTCTGACTCAGCCTCCCGAGTAGCTGGGAGTACAGGTGCACACCACCATGCCTGGCTAATTTCTGTATTTTTAGTAGAGACAGGGTTTCACCATGTTGGCCAGGCTGGTCTCGAACGCCTGACCTCATGATCTACCCGCCTCGGCCTCCCAAAGTGCTGGGATTACAGGCATGGAGCACCGTGCCTGGCCAAGATTCTTTACAATAGGATTTATGTAAAACTTTACTAAGCTAAACTGCTCTCTGATTATTCAAGAGCAAAGTATTAAAAATTTCTCAAACTTACTTGACAACAAAACCCATTCTTTCAGTTACATCTACTAAGAGCTCGTAGTTCAATAACATTCCAAAGAACGTAGTTTGGAAAACACTGGCCTATCGGCTGTAATAGGAAGGGTCTAAAGAAAATTATTTGCTGAGTCCTCATAATCAATTGGCTATAATCACAATTTAATAATTTATCAATGCAAACAGTACATTAAAAACTGTAGCACAATCTATAATTTTTACCTTCATATGCAGAGAAATTAAGAATTTACATCTTTTACAAATATGTATATCTCTGAAATAATGAAATATATTGATGGGTGAAATAATATTTCTGGTATTTTCTTCATTATAACACGTGGAATGGAACAGTGGCTAGAGGTATGGATGGAGCAAGGTCAAATATGAGCTGATGGAGCTGGGAGCTAAATAAGGGTATAATATGCTACTTCTGTGTATGTTGTGTATGGTATAGTATGCTATTTCTGTGTATGTTCAAATTGTTTATGTATATAATAAAGTTTTAAAAATTTGTATGTACTTGACAATTCCTTAGAAAAAAGAGGCTAAAATAAAATAGATCTATGTCATAATCTATAGAATAGTCATTTTAAAAGTTACATAATTAGTAAATTCAATACAAATGTCTACTGAGAGAAAATAAAAACTAGGATGATATACCTGTAAAATAGAAGAACTTACTAATTTATAATACATATTTGCTTGTGTTTACAGACACATGTTTTCAACAAAGGATATAAGTATATTATGGCTAATGTTTCTTTATATATCAATTATACTTTGTTTTAAACCTTAATTATAAGAATGAGATGATTATAGGAACATAAAATATCTTTTTCTAAACAATGTATCATTCTGCTAAATTATTTCCTAATTATAAGATGCAAATATTAATATTTGAGAAATGTAGCAAAATGAAATATAATTGCAAATGAGCAAAGACTACACTTAAGCTTTTATATTCAAGGGCCTCTGTTGAATATGGGGTATTCAATAAATATCTGACTACACAAAGAAAAATAAATGGGTATAAAATTATAATTACATATATTTTTACAGGACAACTGATCTTGACTAATATTAACTAGAAAGTGCAGGATTAGAAGAGAATCATTAGTTCAAGCAAGACTGTGAAACTGAATTAATGCCAGGTGTCTTACATATTGTTGTTGTAATATATTGAGGCTGTTTATTATAACCAACTTTTTATAGATGAGTTTTCCATAATAAACCAGATGGTCAGACCACACTAAATGGTTGTATTGAAAGAGAAGAGAATGAAAACAGAAGCTTTTTACACCTGCCTTCTCGAGGTATGGCATTTCTTGGTCACTCTGTGTAGAGTCAAGATAGATCTTTGTGTTATTGAGACGTTGGCCATCTGGTTAACACAAGAAATAAATCTATTCTACTGCTGTATAGAAAAGTAACCTTCGTAACAATACTTTTTGTTATTTTTTTTTTTTTGAGACAAAGTCTCGCCCTGTCACCCAGGCTGGAGTGTAGTGGCGCAATCTCGGCTTACTGAACCCTCCGCCTCCTGGGTTCAAGTGATTCGCGTGCCTCAGCCTCCTGAGTAGCTGGGATTACAGGCACCTGCCACCTCACCCAGCTAATTTTTATATTTTTAGTAGAGACAGAGTTTCGCCACATTGCCCAGGCTGGTCTTGAACTCCTGACCTCAGGTGATCCACCCACTTCAGCCTCCAAAAGTGCTGGGATTACAGGCATGAGCCACTGCACCTGGCCAATTGTTGTTCTTAATTTCAATTTCTGCCTAAAACAGACAAGAGAACCAATTTCACTCAGCCTCAATTACAAATTACAGACAGAGTTTTTAAATGGTTTGGATGTATCTTCAGGACAAATTACCATATTTGAAGATTTTCCTAAATAAAAAAAACCAAATAGATGTAAAAATCTATGACATTCTTTAACTTTTATTCTTGAAATTATGTTTTCAGATGAAATATCTGTAAAATATGTAAATATAATATTTAAAACCTGACCTAGGTATTATATAACTTTGAGATAAATGATGAAATAAATGAGAACTTAAATGTTCTAAACTCTTTAAGGCCTTCAGGGGATTATAGCTTATATATTTCTCTATTTTTTTTTTTTGAGACGGAGTCTCGCTCTGTCACCAGGCTGGAGTGCAGTGGCACGATGGCGCGACCTCAGCTAACTGCAACCTCTGCCTCCCAGGTTCAAGTGATTCTCCTGCTTCAGTCTCCCGAGTAGCTGGGACTACAAGCCCGTGCCACCATGCCCAGCTAATTTTTGTATTTTTAGTAGAGATATGGTTTTACCGTGTTGGCCAGGATGGTCTTGATCTCCTGACCTCATGATCCACCCGCCTCGGCCTCCCAAAGTGCTGGGATTACATGTGTGAACCACCACACTGGCCTATAGCTTATATATTTCTTATTCTTTGAAGTACCTAAGAGAGTATCTTATATATAGTAAATGATAAATATTTGCTAAATGGATTAAAACCAGGATAACAAAAAAAAAAGGAACGTTTTCAAGTAAGAGCGTGGTTACCATGAACAAAATTTTCCTTGTAAAAGGAAAAAGACTGCTAGTATTTTGAGTTTATAAGATACCACTTTACAGCAGCAGCAAATGATAGATGGTGGCCGGGTATAATGGTTCACTCCTGTAATCCCAACACTTGAGGAGGCCAAGGTAGGAGGACTGCTTGAGACCAGGAGTTTGAGACTAGCCTGAGCAACGTAATAAGACCCTGTCTCCCCAAGAAACAAAAAATTAGCTGGGCATAGTGGCATGCACCTGTAGTCTCAGCTACTTGGAGGGCTGAGGCAACATCGCTTGAACCCAGGTGTTCAAGGCTGCAGTGAGCCATGAGCATGTCACTTCAATTCAGCAAGGGCAACAGAGCAAAACTCTACTTAAAGGCAGGGGAAAAGAGATTCTTGTTTTTAATCAATAGAAGAATTACATTTATCTTTCAAATGTTTTATCAGTATATTTTAACATCTATCCATCATCAAATATTTACTGTTTTATGCAGAGGTAACAAGAGAGTGTATTTGCTGTTACTGAATTTTGGTAATTGAATATGGTAATTTGGGTTTATTATTGTCTTTGCTCTCAAAGAGACTAATATTAACAAATTTCTGGGAGAGAATGTGCTTGTATGTGTGTTTACACAACATAGCTCATTGTGTTTGTGTTGCCTTAGAATAAATAATTCAGGAATAAAATTTGTGTTGGTTCTAAATTAATTATTCTTCATCAACTTTTTGACCTTAGAACCAACACAAGTTTTATTCTTGAATCATTCAGGATTTTATCTGAGTATCCCTAGTTAACTCAACCTGTGCATACCCAGCCTAGAATATGGACCCATCCCAAACAACTGACAAAACACAAATAAGTTAACTACATCACATCTATTATTATCTTTGTAGGCATTACTCCCACTGCCACAATTACGTTATTTCCAGCGTTAGTTGGTATTTAGTCTTTAGATAGGTTATATATAAAGACACACATACAATCTATATATGACGTAGATTGCTAATATAACTATTAAATATCAATGCTAATGAAATAATGTAAATAGCTTCCTAATGAATAATGTGTCTTTCACTAGATTGGGGATGAAACACCAAAATTCAAATTAGTTAAAAGCCCAGGTTAAAACCAAAAATAGTAGATATAAAGATGTTCTTATCCATCATAAGTGTTCAGCTGCTAGCAGCATAAATCCTATTTATATAAGCTATGTAGCAATAGTCTTTATACAGAATTTAGGTATTTAATGGTAAATGAAGATAACAAGTATAAGCAACAAAATTTGTGTTGTAAATATTTTTAAATGAAAAAGGCAATGGGGAAATTGTTAAGAAAATTTACAAGGAAATAACTGGATCACAACTTAAACTACCTAATAAAGCTTACTTATGAATCTAATTTTTAAATTAGCTATACTTACGCTTGTCTTTCAGTAAATATGACATCCAAACTTTGTGTTTCTCGATCATTTTGAGCTTTAAGCTGAATAAAGTTAACACATAAGTTAGTAAGAAATAAATATTAAACCAAATTTTTTCTTTGTAGGTTATTTTGGCTAGGAACTAAATGAGAAATTACTATAATTATCCTAGTGCCACATACAAAGTTTAAGAAGAAAAATAAAGTAATTGCCTCATTTAACAAACAATATCAGATTTTTAAAAAGTCTTTTTAAGAAGCATTGTAATCTTATACCAAAAATATTCATTGTTCTTCAGTGATCTGTCAAATAATTCAATGTAAATTCAATTTATGTAAACAGCATTCAAAGAATATATTGAGTGTTCAATAAATATTTGATTAGTAATATGTTAAATTTAGAACCACCACAAGTTTTATTCCTGAACCATTCAGGATATTATCTGAGTACACCTAATTAACTCTACCTGTGCACACCCAGCCTAGAAAACAGACCCCCCATCCCAAACAACTGACAAAACACATAAGGTTTTTACTTTTTATATCTGGCATTGAAATAAGATTCTTAATTAGTGAATTCTCTTGTGTTCTAAAGCTAAAAGTAACTAAATTATCATGGTTTGAGAACCCCAAATTTAGAAGAGTCATTTTATCAATCCTATGTCTTCATAGAACAGTCTTTACTCATGTAAATAAATTATAAACTATATAAATTATAAATTGTATGTTATTTTCATCCAAATGCTTATAATCAAAATAAGCTAGCTATTAACATATTTTATTGTTTTCTACCAAACAATTAATCTAAGAACATTGAATACAAATTTGTTTTTATTTTAGAATCAGAGGTACATGTGCAGGTTTGTTGCATGGATATATTGTATAACGGTAAGGTTTGGGCTTCTAGTGAACCCATCACCCAAATAATGAACACTGTACCTGCTAGGTAATTTTTCCACCCTTATTGCCCTCCTACCATCCCCCTTTTTGGAGTCCCCAGTGTTATGTCCATGTTAAACACAGATTCTCATTTACCAATCAAAAATTAATATTTTATGTCTGGAGTCATATCTATTCATTTTTCTCCACTGGTGACAAAAACTATGTAAAGTTATCATTTGTCACATTGAGTATTCATCAACATTTGTGCTTAAACTAAGCCAGAAATACTGTAAACTAATATATATAAGGAAATGGAGATGGCACTCCCTAACTAATGTTGCACGTGACACCAGTTCAAACACAGTAGACAGTCACTAAACACCCACTTAGGAAAGCCAATCAACAGGAAGAAAATTTAAAAGAGCAACTAAGGGAGCTCAAGGAATACCTAATAGTGGTATTTACAATCAGAGTAATATTCACCTCTATAGCACTTAAGGTTTTATCAAACTATTTCTAGATATAAATGCTTTGTTTTGTAGGATATGACTTACATAGATCAATTTGCTTTTATAAATTTTCTTACCATATTGTAATCATTCATTACTTCTTCCATTTCAGTGTTGGTATTAAGTTTATCTACCAACTAAAAACAAAAATACAAACAAACAAACACCATTTTGTTAGTCTTTACACATGTTCTCTATAATTAATAATATAGGTATTCAGTCTTACAAATAATGAGTAGTAACTTAAGTATTAATACTTTTGAATATTTTCTATTTTAAGATAAAAACAAATATTGAGCTACCTAAGTAAGCATATATTATGCACCTGGCCAATAAACAAATCACATTTTTAACATGGATAAATGAGCAGTAATAAACAACTCTTCCTGAATATTATATCTTGTGGAGCTTTGCCTGCTCTGAAAAGATGGCTGAGCTTATAAATAAGGGTTTGGAACAGACGAGAGTTTTGGAAAGATCTATCACCCTCTCTTCCCCTGCCAACATCCCCAAGGAGAGAGGAATGTTAGTAGATTTACAAATTTACACTAGTAAGCCGGGCTCGGTGGCTCAGGCCTGTAATCCCAGCACTTTGGGAGGCTGACGCGGGCGGATCACCTGAGGTCAGGAGTTCAAGAACAGCCTGACCAACATGGAGAAACCCTGTCTCTACTAAAAATACAAAATTAGCCGGGTGTGGTGGCACATGCCTGTAATCCCAGCTACTAGAGAGACTGAGGCAGGAGAATCGCTTGAACCCGGGAAGCAGAGGTTGCGGTGAGCCGAGATGGCACCACTGCACTCCAGCCTGGGCAACAAAAGTGAAATTCCGTCTCAAAAAACAACAACAACAACAACAACAAAAAACAAATTTACACTAGTAAAAACATAAAAAGATATTCTTTATCTTCTAATAATTAAAAAAAAATCAACAGGGCTTGCACAGATGGAACAGTAGTAAGTCTACTTCAAAAAGTTAGGCAAGGATATCAGTTGTCAACATAGGATATTTACCTAGTGTCAAACACTATTACATATGTGTTAACTCAATTTTTACAATTACTGTATGAAGTAGATATGATTGTACACATTTTACAGAAAAAGAAATTTAGCAAGCGATAGAGCCAGAATGTGAACAGAAGGTCTACTAAAAGCAAACTATTTGGGTGTAAGGTATATCACATTTTTCATTTATGATATAAATAATAAGTGCTAATAAGGCCTAACATTTATTGAGTGCTAACTATATGTCAGATACACAGCTAACTGCTCTGTATCAGATATTAGCTCATTAAATCTATAAATAGCATATTTTATATGGTAGTATTTTTATATGAATATGCCTAATTTGTTCCAGCATAACTAAAACTCCCTTTCATCTCATGTCATTTCATACCTTTAAAAACTACTTTTCTCGGCCGGGCGCGGTGGCTCATGCCTGCAATCCCCACACTTTGGGAGGCTGAGGCGGGTGGATCACGAGGTCAGGAGTTTGAGATCAGCCTGGCCAACATGGTGAAACCCCTTCTCTACTAAAAATACAAATATTACCCAGGCACCTGTAATCCCAGCTACTCAGGACCGCACCTGTAATCCCAGCTGGTGGCAAGCGCCTGTAATCCCAGCTACTCAGGAGGCTGAAGCAGGATAATCACTTGAACCCAAGAGGCGGAGGTTACAGTGAGCCAAGATCACGCCACTGCACTCCGGCCTGGATGACAGAGCGAGACTCCATCTCAAGAAGAACAAAAAAACAAAAAAAAACTATTTTGCTCACATTTAAAACAGAACATCATTTACTAAAGAAAATCCCAGTGAATAATGGGCTCTACAAAATGTTTGTGATGAATTGTGTAGTCCAGGAAATTTAAGAATTATAAGAGGGCTGGGTGCAATGGCTCATGCTTATAATCCCAGCACTTTGGGAAGCTGAAGCAGGAGGATCACTTGAGCCCAGGAGTTCAAGACCATTGTGGGCAACACAGCAAGTCCCCATCTCTCCAAAAAATTTAAAAATTAGCCAGGCATGCTGGCATGCACCTGTAGTCCCAGCTACTTGGGAGGCTGATGCAGGAAGACCACTTGTGCCCAGGAGTTTGAGGCTGCAGTGAACTACAATCATGCTACTGCACTTCAGCCAGAGCAACAGAGCAAGACCCTATCTCTAAAAAAATTAAAAAATAAAAATAGTCCAGGCACAATGACTCAAGCCTGTAATCCCAGCACTTTGGGAGACCAAGGTGGGCAGATCACTTGAGCCCATGAGTTTGAGACCAGTATGGGCAACAAGGCCAAATCTCATCTCAACAAAAAATACAAAAAATTAGCCTGGTGTGATGGCATGTGCCTGTAGTCCCAGCTGCTTGGGAGGCTTAGGTGGGAGGATCAATTGAGCTCAGAAAGTCTAGGCTGCAGCGAGCCATGATTGAGCCACTGCATTCCAGCTTGGGCAACAGAGCAAGACTGTCTTGAAAAAAAAAAACAACAAAAAAACAAAAAACAAAACCCACCACCACCACCAGTAACAACAACAAAAACAAAAATAAAAAGTTATACTATAATTAGCAAAATTTTTGATAAGCACAAGGTAACACTATCAAGTAGGTATATCATAACTTATCTTATCCTAACCATTATGATAGAATGTTTATTTCTTGTAACACTATTTCTTAATAAGGGTAGTGAGATAAAAATTTGACTTTTTCATTAAATCCAGACATCACTGCTCCTAAAGCAACTAAAGAGTTAGAAAAAAGAAAATTCTGACACTAGAAATTTTCATGGGGCCAATATCACCCAAGGACTGAGCAGTTATCAATATTGCCAGGGGGACTGTTTCTTCTGAAAGTCCACAGGTAGAAGCATCTTTAGTGGAACTATATCATGTTATATACTCTATTTTGACAATGTACACAATATTTCGAGTAAAACATCAAGATGGTGGAAATCTGTATGTTTAATAATTAAATTTCAAAATTTTCAAGATGACAACACTTGATAAAAAATGTGTTTTTAAAGCAATGATCACTGATAGGACCAATACATTTTAGCCACTTTTAAAATTATTTAAATTATTATTTTAACATATTTTAGGGAGAAAAGCATGTGTGCATTTGTGTATGTGTCAGTAAACGTATTTTACAAAAAACAATGGAAGAATATATATTAATCTGTTAAGCCAAGTTATTTCTGGGGAGGGAAATGAAGCAGAAAGTAAAGGGATACTTTATTTGTTGTAATTTTTATGGTTTCATCTTTCCCAATAAGTATGTATTCATGTACTATTTGGTATTTTAAATAATAAATTAATAAATATATTTTTTCATCAAATGTTTTATTGTTTTTGAAATTTTTGAAATTTTTATTTTAGGTTCAGGGGTACATGTGCAGGTTTGTTTTACAGATAAACTGTCATGGGGGTTTGTTGTGCAGATTATTTAATCACCTAGGTAACTAAGCTAATACCCATTAGTTATTTTTTCTGATCCTTTCCCTCCTTCCAGCCTCCAAACTCAAGTAGATCCCATTATCTGTTGTTCCCATCTATGTGTTATCATTTAGCTCCCACTGGTAAGAGAGAACATGCAGTATTTGGTTTTCTTTTCCTGTGTTAGTTTGCTAAGGATAATGACCTCCAGCTCCATCCATGTTCCTGCAAGGGACATGATCTTTTTCTTTTTTATGACTGCATAGTATTTCATGGTATAGGTACCACATTTTCTTTAACCAATCTGCCACTGATGGGCATTTAGGTTGATTCCATGTCTTTGCTACTGTAAACCGTGCTCCAATGAACACACATGTGCATGTGTCTTTATGGTAAAATGATTTATATTCCTTTGGGTATACATCCAGTAATGGGATTGACGGGCTGAATGGTAGTTCTGTTTTCAGCTTTTTGAGGAATCGCCACACTGCTTTCACAGTGGTTGAACTAATTTACACTCTCACCAACAGTGTATAAGCATTCCCTTTTCTCTGCAATTTCACCAGCATCTGTTATTTTTGACTTCTTAGTAACAGCCATTCTAACTGGTGTGAGATGGTATCTCATTATTCTTTTGATTTGCATTTCCCTAATCATCATCAGTGATGATGAGCTTCTTTTCATATGCTTGTTGGCTGCATGTTTGTCTTCTTTTGAAAAGTATCTGTGCATGTCCTTTGCCTACTAATGTATTTTTAAAGCAGTAGTAAAAACTAATGAAAATATTAACAGTAAATTCTCTTAGAAAAGATAAAATACCATGTTGTAGTCTGCTAGTTGTCCTTGAAGCTCTTTTATCTCAACAGCTAAAGTCTCAGCCCTGAAAGCATAAAATAAATACATTCATAAATATGTACATAAAAATATACATAAGAAAATGAACATTACAAACAATATGGATAGCTACAAAGTTAGTATTATAAGCACAAAATACTGAATGAATACTGAATACTTATTACTCACCTCTTTTCATATGACAAATATACTGAATTCTCTTGATTGTACATTTCTATTCCCTTCTGAAGTTTATTAACTTCAGTTGTAAGTTCACTTATTTTACTTCTATTAGAAAAGAAATAAGAATGTCAGCAATACTTTTAATCCAGAAAACTCTAGTTAAGCAAAATTTAAACTTTCCATTAATACGTAATAATAATATAAATAGTTTTGTGAAATTCACTAAAAGAATGCAGAAAGTTTAGGTGGCTTATTTCATTAAGAATGAGGTATATTCTGGCTGGGTGCGGTGGGTCAAGCCTGTAATCCCAACACTTTGGGAGGCCGAGGCAGGCGCATCACGTGAGGTCAGGAGCTCAAGACAAGCCTGGCCAACATGGTGAAACCCCATCTCTATTCAAAATACAAAAATTAGCTGGGCATGGTGGCACACGCCTGTAGTCCCAGCTACTAGGGAGGCTGAGGCAGGAGAATAGCTTAAATCTGGGAGGTGGAGACTGTAGTGAGCCAAGATCGTGCCACTACACTCCAGCCTGGGAGACAGAGGGAGACACCATCTCAGAAAAAAAAAAAAAAAAAAAAAAAGAATGAGGTATATCCCATCCTATTCTACTCAACTGATGAGAAACTGAGGAGAAACTGACATAGATTCATGAAGAAAGATGAAATAGAACCAGAATGAAAGCCTGGTCAAACTAGTACAAGCCACAGGCAGATGTAGGTGCTTAACTGTCATCATCACAGCTGCTACTACCCTCTAGAGCACAGTTTCTCAACAGTAGCACTAATGACATTTTGGGTCAGTGATTAGCACCTCGTGTTGAGCACTATCTTGTACACTGCAGGATGTTTACCAGCATCCTGGATCTGAGTATCAGTAGCACTTCCTCCAACCTCACTTGTGACAACCAGAAACATGTATAGAAATTGCCAAATGTTCCCTGGGGGCAAAATCACCACCAGTTGAGAACCACTGCTCTAGAGCCAGACAATTACACAAATAGCTAGAACTATTCTTTGATGTGGAAGCACAAATCCTGGGGGAGAAAGGCAATGCAATCATTAGGAATAACTATATTTCCTTTCCTTCTTTTGATTAAAAAGTGGCTGAATGTCAGAGATACTAAACAACTGATGGCCTTACTATCTTTCTTACTACTCTTAGCTTTGAGAACAGATGGGGGGAAACCATACTTTTCTTTATTGCCTTCTAGGAGTTTGAGACTCAATAGGATCCAGGTAACTGAGAAATAAAAGAAAACAGGGCTTTCAGGGCATGATGGGAGGGTGGATTAAACAAAAGCGAAATAAAAGAGAAAGAAGATACAAATAATGTGCCAAAAAGAAAATGAAGTAAAATGGGAAGATGGAGATAGGACAGTAGAACAAGTAAGTGGGAAAATAGTAAGAATAAGAAAAAGTCATTGATTTAGAGATGCATCCCCAGAGACATATAACAAAAGTTTATGAGGCCGAGTGCGGCAGCTCACGCCTGTAATCCCAGCACTTTGAAAGGCATAGGCAGGTGCATTACCTGAGGTCAGGAGTTCAAGACTAGCCTGGCCAAAATGGTGAAACCCCCATCTCTACTAAAAATACAAAAATTAGGCCAGGTGCAGTGGCTCACACCTGTAATCCCAGCACTCTAAGAGGCCAAGGTGGGCAGATCACCTGAGGTTGGGAGTTCGAGACCAGCCTGACCAACATTGAGAAACCTCGTCTGAACTAAAAATACAAAATTAGCTGGGCATGGTGGTGCACACCTGTAATCCCAGCTACTCGGGAGGCTGAGGCAGGAGAATCACTTGAACCCGGGAGGCGGAGGTTGCGGTGCCAGAGATCAGGCCATTGCACTCCAGCCTGGGCAACAAGAGCAAAACTCTGTCTCAAAAAAAAAAAAAAAAAAAAAATACAAAAATTAGCCAAGTGTGGTGGCAGGCACCCGTAATCCCAGCTACTTGCAGATTACAGGCACGAGGCTGAGGCAAGAGAATCACTTGAATCCAGGCGGTGGAAGTTGCAGTGACGTGAGATCCCATCATTGCACTCCAGCTTGGGTGACAAGCAAAACTCCGTCTCAAAAAAAAAAGAAAAAAAGCTTATGAATTAATTAAAATTAGGCCACATTGGTAGCAACTGACCAAATACATACTTATGTAAAACTTACTGATTAATATAACATAAATAAGTATACATATTTTCCCTTTCTTATTAGATGTAGCTGGTAACATTTTAATGATATGAGTAACACGTTTCAGATTAATTACTGAAAAAAAACATAGAAGATTATTCTTGGCCAGGTGCGGTGGCTCAGCCTATAATTTCAGCACTTTGGGAGGCTGAGGCAGGTGCATCACCTGAGGTCAGGAGTTTAAGACCAGCCTGGCCAATATGGTGAAAGCCCACCTCTACTAAAAAATACAAAAATTAGCCAGGCATGGTGGCGCATACCTGCAGTCCCAGCTACTCACGAGGCTGAGGCAGGAGAATAGCTTAAACCCGGAAGGCAGGGGTTGCAGTGAGCTGAGATCACACCACTGCACTCCAGCCTGGGCGACAGAGTGAGACTCTATCTCAAAAAAAAAAAAAAAAATTATTCTTATCATTAGATGAAAAAAGTGAACTTTTAAAATGCTACAAGGGGTTGGGCGCGGTGGCTCATGCCTGTAATCCCAGCACTTTGGAAGGCCGAGATGGGCAGATCATTTGAGGTCAGGAGTTCGAGACAAGCCTGGCTGACATGGTGAAATGCCACCTCTACTAAAAACACACACACAAAATTAGGTGGGTGTGGTGGCAAACGCCTGTAATCCCAGCTACTTGGGAAGCTGATGCAGGAGAATTGCTTAAACCTGGGAGACAGAGGTTGCAGTCAACCGAGATCATGCCACTGCACTCCAGCCTGAGCCACAGAACAAGACTCTGTCTCAAAAAAAAAATGCTATGAGGCCAGGTGTGGTGGTAGCTTATGCCTATAATCCCAGCACTTTGGGAAGCTGAGGCAGGAGGATCACTTCAACCCAGGAGTTCAAGGTTGCAGTGAGCTGTGATCATGCCACTGCACTCCAGCCTGGGCAACAGAGTGAGACTCTGTCTCTAAAATATAAATAAAATAAAATAAGTTTGCTATGGTTTGAATGTTTGAGTCCCTCTGAAATTCATATCAAAACTTAATCTCTAATGCAATAGTATTAAGAGGTAGGGACTTTAAGAAGTAATCAGGACATGACGACTCTGCCCTCATGGATGGGATTAGTGCCTTAGAAAAGGGTTGAAGGAAACTAGCTCAGCACCTTTTGCCCTTCCACTCTTCTGCCATGAGGACACCTTGACGGCACTATCTGTGAGAAACAGGTGCCCACCAGACACTGAAGCTGCTGGCACCTTGATCTTGGACTTCTGCGTCTCCGGAACAGTAAGAAATAAATTCCTATAAGTTACCCAATCTCAGGTATTTTATTATAGCAGCACAAACAAACTGAGGGAAAATATAGCTCATGTACATGCAAATTCATAAAACTATAAATCTCAGACTAATTATACTATCACATTTATTTTACAGCATAGCCAAATTAACCAGAAATTGTTAGAATACAAAATAATTTTTAGAAATCAATAGATACCTAATTATCCTAATAAGTGCCTAGCTAAAACTTCATATTAAAGTTATATACTCTATTTTGACAGAAGGTACACAATATTTCGAGTAAAACATACGGATGAAAAGATATGTTTAACATACCTAAGAAGCCCAAGATAGTAAGATTTGTCTAAAATTTGCCTCTGGGGACCTAAAAAAAAATGTTTTAAGTGTTAGTGTTCAGTTCGAAATGCCACCAGAATAGCAAATCCAAAGCACAATCAGAATTACACTCCACAATTCTCAAGACAGTCTTCATGAATGCCCCAATGAATCAAGAAGAATCACTGAAACTGAAAAGAGAACTAATACCTTAGAATCACAACATAAGGGAAGCTTCAATTAAAACTACGAAGATGGGACTAGAGGTGGGGCTGTTAAAAGACAGTAGACTCTACAGAACAGGACGATGGAATGAAAATTGAGTCTAAGGGAATCTGGAACAGAGCTGTCCAGAGTAACTTTCTGCAGTGACAGAAATATTCTAAATTAACACTGTCCAATAAAGTGGACAGAGGGACTACAGAAGCACTTAAAATTTGGCTGGTGCTACTGGGGAACTAATTTAAATTTCTGACTACTGGCTGTCATACTGGACACTGCAGACATTACTCAATGTGAGAAAGTGACTATGATTTTTTATCATTTGTCTCAGAGACTTTTTAAGAAATGGTCTTACATTTCAGTAGAACTAAGAAAGTATTCCTGGCCGGGCACGGTGGCTCACACCTGTAATCCCAGCACTTTGGGAGGCTGAGGTGGGAGGATCCCTTGAGGTCAGAAGTTCAAGACCAGCCTGGCCAATATGGTGAAACCCCATCTCTACTAAAAATACAAAAAAATTAGCTGGGCATTGTGGCATGTGCCTGTAAGCCCAGCTACTCAGGAGGCTGAGGCAGGAGAATTGCTTGAATCTGGGATGCGGAGGTTGCAGTGAGCCAAGATCACATCACTGCACTCCAGCCTGGGCGACAGAGAAAGACCCCATCTCAAAAAAAAAAAAAAAAAAAAAAAAAAAGAAAGTGTTCCTAGGTTAAATGTCTCAAACCTTGTAAGAGATGAAGTGCCCTGCAAAGTATGAGAGGTAAAACTAGGTGTATTAACTATAAGGTCTATGCTGAGAAGTAGAGGTAGTATCTTATTATACTGGGAAATGGGGCACTAGAGAAGGTAAGAATGAAAGTCACAGTAGACAGTTCTGTGTAGTGGTAATGTTCCGAATTCTCTCTTAAAAGGCTTTGAAGTATACTTGTAGAGACTAACAATCTTAAATTATATTGGTTCTGTTTTGAAGGATAAATTAATACAGAAATAAACATTTGATAAATTTACTATAGAATTTTAATATGTTTTTACCCTCGATGTTTTAAAATACTATTAAACATATAAATATTTCTGTGCATCCACTTTCAAAAGGCTAGTTAAATGACTATGTAATTTTGAAATATTTTTTCATGGTACTGATAATCATTAAGCAAACATTTCTAAATAATCAATTCATTTTTAATATTTAGTGATTTAGATGTTATTAGAATGTAGATGAAAAAATTTAAGTCTCAAAAAAAAAAAATTTAAGTCTCTTGAAAGGGATGATATACTGTATTATAGAAAGTAGCATGTATGATATAATTAATTTTGTACTAGCAGTATATCTTCATTCCTGATAGATCATCTGTCAAAAATACAGAAAACGAAAAACTCTGAAACAGCTCACCACAGGCTACTGACCACTGCCTATGATAAAAAGAAAAGAAAAAGGAGTTTACCATAGTTTGGTTTATATATACCACAGATCTAAATTTTAAACTCTAATATATAGTATATTCTTATGCTTCTCTAAATACATATGCAGAAGCATAATGAGAGATTTAATATAAATCTAGGAAATTAGATTAATATAAATGAGGAAATTAGCCTCATTTCCTTACATAAGTATTAGAACAGATGCTAATTATCAGAAAAAAAGTAACATTTCTTGACTCACTTCTCATAAATACACAAGTATTTTAAGTGTCATTTTAATATAGGAACTATCTAAACTATTTCAGAGTATTTCTATATAGTACCAAAAATCTAATTTTCAATCTTGAACTTTTCTCCAAGACTATTTCAAAGTTCTTCAAGTTGTACTACAGCTCCATGTCAGAAAAATGAAGACTGAAATAGCTCATATCTGTATATAGCTTTCTAATTCAAACTGTATTTTCATATTCACTCTGTTGTTTAACCATCACAATAATTTTGTGAATCAAAGAATAACGATTAGATGCCATAATTCTGATTACATGCCATAATTACATGTAATAATTCTTACATGCTATAATCCTGATTTAAAAAAATGGTACTGTAATACTTATTGTTCAAAATATACTCAACTTTTACTTTTTTAAATTGTTCACAGTTATTTATTTCTTACAAAACACAGGCCCAAGTGTCATACTTATCTTAAAATAGGTACCTTTCGTCCCAGTTTTCATTCCAGTCAAACCTTGTTGTGTTACAGGGCGATGGGCAACTTTGATTTGAGAAGACAGAACTCCACCAGTCCCTATGGGACAACCACGAGAACCTGGTCTTGCTGTCCCAGGTGGCATCTAAATGACAAACAAGATTTCATTTTTAGTAAACCAGAAAAAACACTGTACATCTTTTATTGTAAAACTGCAAAGACAATTTTTTAAAAAAACAAAATTCTACTTGATTTGTAAAAATTTCCTTATTTTTTAAATGTCTGAATTATTAAATACTGTTGTTCAATTTATTAACATATTTCTTTAACATTTAATGTTCTATGACTATTTAAAAATACATTTCAGGAAAATTTTAAATTCTATATGTAGACATTATTTATAATACCTCAAAACTGGAAAGGAGTTAAATGTCCACAGCAGAAAATGGTTAAATAAGCTGCAGTATATAAAAAGGGCAGTTTAAGTTGGGTGTGGTGGCTCACGCCTGTAATCCCAGCACTTTGTGAGGCCAAGGCAGGTGGATCATGTGAGGTCAGGAGTTCAAAACCAGCCTGGACAACATGGCAAAACCCCATCACTACTAAAAATACAAAAGTTATCCAGGCGTGGTGGCACACGTCTGTAATCCCGGCTACTTGAGAGGCTAAGCCATGAGAGTCGCTTGAATCTGGGAGGTCAAGGCCGCAGTGAGCCGAGATCATGCCACTGCACTCTAGCTTGGGCGATAGAGTGAGACTCAGTCTCAAAATAAGTAAATAAAATAAAAATTAAAAGGCAGTTTACAAGATGGTATTTATAATTCCGTTTTTGTTTGTTTTAGAGACAAGGGCTCACTATGTTATTCAGGCTGGTCTTGAACTACTGGCCTGAAGAGATCCTTCTGCCTCAGCTATCCAAGTAGCTGGGATTACAGGTGAGAATCACTGTGCCTGGTTCAAAACTCTACTTTTTTAAAACAAAAAAAGGCTGGAAGTTTGGGCATGGTGGCATGCACCAACAGGCCCAGCTACTTGGCAGTCTGAGATGAGAAGATTATTTAAAACCCAGGAGTTCGAGGCCAGCCTGGAGAACATAGAGAGACCGTCTTTTAAAAAAACAAAAAATATAGACAAAAATAAAAATTTTAAAAACTATGTGAAAAAATAGTAATGATGATCGATAATGATATTATAGTTGATTTTTATTTTCTCCTTTATACAATTTGGTATTTTCCGCCTTATTGCAATGAGTATCTATTACCCTTAAAAATCAGGAAAAAATAAGAAAACTTTAATCTTGTAAAAACAAATGGATATAAATCCATCCTAAGATGACCATGTAAGTACTAAAGGGCTTACATTGTTAAACAAGCATTCATATTATTACTCAACAAGATTCTCTACTTCAGGTATGCAAAATCCAACATAACACTATACGACCTCAGGAAAGGCCAAAAGACTCCCTTTATGTCAGTTCATATAATACATACAGGCATGAGAAGATATAAAAGATGTGAGATATGGCAAGGTTTCTCTTCAAATAGCCTGCTCAGCTACTTATTCTCTAATTCCAGGTACCCCCTGCCTTTCTTCTCCTTTTTTCTTCTTTCTGATTTTACTACATGCCCAGGCATGCCACAGCCCCAGCTCACATTCCTTTCCTTATTTAGGAAAAGACTGGCTCTCTAGTCCTCTGTAGATGACCCCTTCCTCCTCTCCCCTCTCTCCCATCATGCGCCCACCTTATCTAAGAAAGTTTAAATGTTTAGCCAATTGGGTCTAGTTTAGATTGTGCAGTCCGACCCCAGCCAATGGGGAAAGGGCACGAGGGCAGGAGTCACATTAGGAATAAAAGCTTCTACTCTACTTTCTTCAGTGTGCTCTCATGACAAGCAGCCCTGTAAGAAGCACCCTACTGCGCAAAAGTAAATTTGCTTTGCTGAGAAATCCTTTGTTTGAGTACTCGTCTTTCTTTACGACTTCAAGCTTTCTTTCTAACAATTCTGGGGGCTTGTCGGGGATTCCCATTCTCCTTCAAGAAGAGGTCTTCAGTCACCCCACCCAGGGGGAGACGTGTCCCACTGTCGCATTGCAGTGGCCTCAGGGATGGGAGACTGAGACCCACCCATTGTGACAAACAAATCCAAGCTCTCAGCAATGGGGAAAGGAGAGGCTTACAACACCGCGGCGACCAAGTAACTCTGTGCACAGACCAAGGTGAAAAACGGTACAAGAACAACAAAGTATTTCCTAGGTGGTCAGGGTATCTTGGAGGATAAAAGTGTATGTAGATGATGTTAACACTACTGCTGTGTGGATTGAGTGGGTCCTATCTGCACGGTCCCGTGGTCACCTCATGTGGCAGATCCTGCCATTTCCCACAAGGGAAGCAGCCAGAGTGGAAAAAGCGAAAGAAGGATGCAAGGAGCCTCCAACAGGTGGGGCTAAAGGATAGGCAAGAAATCTCTAATACGAGGGACTGAGCCTTAACAATGCCTATGGAAATCGATAGGCAAGAAATCTCTAATATGAGGGATTGAGCCTCAGAGCCTCAGTGAGCTTCTGAAAGGACGGAGGGCGAGAAATCTCTAGTAGGAGAGGTTGAGAAGCTCCAGGGAAAGGCCTATTTCAGTTAGACACCATCCCAAACCTCCAAGATGGGAAATGTTTCACGTAAGACAGGAAAAATAAACAGCCAAGCGCGTGATGAAATTCCTCCTGATAGTCCCTTGGGACTTATGTTAAAATATTGGAAAGATAATGAAAGAACTAAACATAAAAGAAAAGAGCAAATGATACAATATTGTTGTTTTATTTGGACTGAAGGCCCATCCTCAAACCCTCAGTTTTCCGGCCAAAATTTGGTTCCAATGAAGAGTGGATTTGTCAGCTCTTAATCGAACATGTTAATGACAAAAGCCCTGTCTCCCAAAAGGAAACAGACTATGCTCTTTTTTGGAGGCAAGAACCTGTCCTCCTTTACCCTTTAAAAACCAGAGGGAACAAGCCAGAAACCAACTCCTCTAAAAGAGAAAGAGTCCCTGTTCCTAAACAACCCACACCCACCAACACATGGGATCCTCTGGATCATCTTCCTCTGCTCAGTGCCCCTGACCCTCCCCCTCAGGCAGCTGCTGCCGCCTCAGGTCTCATTCCAGATCCTTTCCCTGCTCACGTTATTCCTCCTCCTTATAACCCTGACTTTGGGAATTATCATCCCATGAGCCTGTCCCCTCCCAGCCTATTAAGTACCCCTCCCTGAAAGGACTTCAACGTGAGATAGAACAATGTAAAAAGGATATCCAAAATTTCCCATTTCCCTCCACACCTAAGGAGTCAGCCCCGACTCTCTTCCCCTTAAAAGAGGTTCCACAAGGAGGGGGAGCCATTGGCTTTGTAAATATTCCCTTGACCAGTTCAGAGGTGCAAAGTTTGAAAAAAGAGCTTCAGCTCCTGTTGGATGACCCTTATGGGGTGGCTGATTAAGTTGATCAATTCTTAGGACCTCAATTATATACCTGGGTCGAGTTAATATCCATCCCAGGCATCCTCTTTTCGGAGGAGAAAAAAAGCATAACCGTAGGGCTGCTATGGCAATTTGGAAACGTGAATACTCTCCTGGTCAGAATGTCCCTACCGCGGACCAAAAATTTCCCGCTTAAGACCTCAGGTGGGACAATAATAATGCAGCTCACCAGGAAAACATGGAAGATCTAAGGGAAATGATAATAAAAGGAATTAAGGAATCAATACCCCAAACTCAAAACCTCTCTAAAGCATTTGATATACAACAACAAAAAAAGATGAGGGGCCTATAAAATTCTTAGACAGGCTAAAGGAGCAAATGAAACAGTATGCAGGCCTAAATTTGGAAGATCCCCTTGGGCCGGGTATGTTTAAGCTCCATTTTGTCACTAAGAATTGACTAGATATTTCAAAAAAGTTACAAAAATTGGAAAATTGGGAAGACCGACCGCTAAGTAAACTTCTCAGGAAAGCTCAAAAAGTGTATGTAAGGAGAGACGCAGAAAAGCAAAAACAAAGAGCAAAACTTATGCTATCCACCTTTCAACAGGTGGCTCCAAACCCATATGCTTCTCAACAAGACTTCCAGGGAGCCAAGAACTATAAAGGATCCAAAAAACCCCCGTTCAAAGGAACCAAGCCTCCAATTAGAGGATCTGGGCCTTCATTTCCTAGGCCCTCTAAAGAGTGTGGGGGAGCAAAGTCAAAGAATCCCAGAATTGAAAGGGAGGAAGGACAAGATAAATGTTACAAATGTGGAACAGGCCACTTCAAGAGACAATGTCCCAAATTAAAAAGGGAAAAAGAAGTCCTTCCACTCATGACTTTCAAGGAAGAATAGGGGAGTCAGGGTCTCTGTCTCTTTTAATTTGAGTCCCACCAGGAGCTCTTGATAAATTTGGAGGTGGGACCTAAATGTGAACTTATCACCTTTTTAATTGATTCAGGAGTGTCTCACTCCTCTGTTTGTCTCACTCCATCTAATCTTGCTGGCTCTTCAGAAGAACTGGGGTAAAAGGAGAAGGAGAAGGATTTAAGGCAAAAATCTTGGAAAATACAAAAGTCAAACATCAAGATCTATTAACTCACATTCAATTTTTGTTGATCCCTGAGGTGGGAACTAATCTATTAGAAAAAGACTTAATGCTAAAATTAGGAATAGGCCTTCAAGCTGGCCCTAAGGGATTCCTCACCTCATTAAATCTACTCACCACTGTGGACGAAAAATACATTCATCCTGATGTCTGGTCAAGAGAAGGGAATCGAGAAAAACTTCAAGTTCCCCCAATAGACATCAAACTAAAAACTCCTGGGGACATAGTAAGGAGAAAGCAATACCCCATTCCCTTCGAAGGCAGGATAGGGTTAAAGCCTGTAATTGAGAGTCTCATTAAAGATGGACTCCTTAAACCCTGTATGTCTCCCTATAATACCCCAATCCTGCCTGTCAAGAAATCAGATGGGTCATACTGATTAGTACAAGACTTCAGAGCTATTAACCAGATAGTCCAGACCACTCAACCTGTTGTCCCCAACCGTTACACCATTCTCAGCCAAATTCCTTATGATCATCAGTGGTTCACAGTAATAGATTTGAAGGATGCTTTCTGCGCATGCCCCTTGGCTGAGGATAGCCGAGACATATTTGTCTTTGAGTGAGAAGATCCCCATTCTGGGCAAAAACAACAATATTGATGGACAGTCTTACCCCAAGGGTTTACAGACTCCCCTAACGTCTTTGGTCAAATTCTAGAACGAGTATCAGAAAAAGTTCTTGTCCCAAAGCAAATATGCCTGCTTCAGTATGTGGATGATATTCTCATATCTGGTGAAGATATAAAAAAAGTGGGTGACTTCTCTATACATATTCTTAACCACCAACAGTTTGAGGGGTTATGGGTCTCAAAAGGAAAGCTTCAATATACAGAGCCCGAAGTTAAATATTTAAGCCACCTAATAAGTGCAGGCAAGCAAAGAATAAGGCCCGAATGGATTGAGTGAATTGTGTCCTTACCCCTGCCTCAAACTAAGCAAGAACCAAAAAAATTTTTAGGATTAATTGGATATTGCTGTGTATGGATTGACTCATACTCACTAAAAAGTAAATTTTTGTATGAAAAACTTACCCAGTGGAAGCCTGACCGTCTCTTGTGGACTTCGATAAAATTCATCAGATTGAAGAGCTGAAACAGATGTTCATAACTGCCCCTGTTCTAGCCCTATCTTCCCTAGAAAAGCCATTTCACGTTTTTGTTAATGTGAATGACAGGGTAGCTTTAGGAGTGCTTACCCAAAAGCATGGAGGCAACCGGCAGCCCGTGGCCTTCCTGTCAAAAGTTTTAGACCCAGTCACCTGTGGATGGCCTCAATGCATCCAGTCCATTGCAGCTAGAGCAGTGTTGGTTGAAGAAAGTAAAAAGTTAAACTTCGGAGGAAAATAGACAGTAAGCACGCCCCACCAAGTTAGAACTATCTTAAACCAAAAAATAGAGAGGTGAATCACTGACTCAAGAATTTTAAAGTATAAGACCATTCTGTTAAAAAAAAAGATGATTTAACATTAACTACTGATAATTCACTCAAACTAGCTAGTTTCTTAACAGGGGATCTAAACCTAAAAAGGGAGCACACATGTTTAGATCTAATTGATTACCATACAAAGGTCTGGCCAGACTTAAGAGAAACTCCCTTCAAGACAGGGTGACACTTATTTATAGATGGGTCCTCCTGGGTAATTGAAGAGAAAAGACATAATGGGTATTCAGTAACTGATGGAAAAACTCTTGAAGAAGTAGAGTCAGAAAGATTGCCCAATAATTGGTCTGCCCAAACTTGTAAACTGTTTGCACTCAGCCAAGCTTTGAAACATTTGCAGAACCAAGAAGGAACTATCTATACTGATTCTAAGTACACCTTTGGAGTGGCTCATACATTGAAAAAAAACTGGACGGAGAATGGTCATAATAGTAAAGGCCAAGACTTGGTCCAAAAAGAACTAATTGTCCATGTCTTAAACAATCTCCAGCTGCCAGAAGAGATAGCTATTGTACATGTCCCAGGGCATCAAAATGACTTTTCCTTCCCAAGTCAAGGAAATAACCTTGCAGATCAAATAGCCAAACAAGCCGCCATTTCTTCTGAAACACCTGTCTTTCACTTAACTCCTTGCCTTCCTTCCCCTACCACAGTCCCCATTTTCTCTTCCACTGAAAAAGAAAAATTAATAAAAATAGGAGCTAAAGAAAACACAGAAGGAAAATGGATATTACCAGATCAAAGAGAGATGTTATCCAAACCTCTCATGAGGGAGGTCTTGTCTCAAGTACATCAAGGAGCCCACTGGAGACCCCAAGCTATGTGCGATGTGGTTTTCAGAGTTTATGGGTGTATCAGAATTTACACCCTAGCCAAACAGGTCACAGAGAGTTGCTTAATATATAAAAAAAACTAATAAGCAAGCTCTAAGAAAATCACTCCTCAGGGGAAGAGATCCAGGGCTAAGACCATTCCAAAGTGTTAAAATTAACTACACTAAAATGCCCCCCATCGGTTGCCTGAAGTATTTATTGATAATAGTGAATCACTTTACTCACTGTGTAGAGACTATCTCCTTCTCAAGCGCAACTGCTAGTAATGCAGTTATAAAGGCATTAATTGAAAACATCATACCCAGGTTTAGACTAATAGAAAACATTGATTCAGACAATGAAACCCATTTCATGGCACATGTCATTAGAGAGTTAGCACAGGTGCTAGACATAAAATGGGAATACCATATCCCTTGGCATCCACCCTCTTCAGGAAGAGTAGAAAGAATGAACCAAACCCTAAAAAGTCAACTGACCAAATCAGTCCTAGAAACCCGGTTACCCTGGATTAAATGTCTCCCCATTGCCTTGTTAAGAATCACAACCACCCCTTGAAAAGATGTCAGTTTATCCCCTAATGAATTACTTGGGAATTATTTTGAGCATAGGGGCCAGGAATAGTACTAATTCTAGAGAATGTGTTGGACACAGGAAGACTGTCAACTACAAATTCAAATAAAATGAGTTAAGGGTTAACCCGAGTGATCTTTAGAAGACAATGTTATATCTCTTCCTGGTAAATGTTCTGAATAATTTCTTCTTTGGCTTTATGCAAGCATAACTGTGAGACCTACTCAACTAATTATGCTACTTTTTGTTTTCCATTCACCAGGTCAAAGTATAGAGAAGAACATATAAATTAAAACTGTACACATTAAAAATAATGAAGTGGATGTATATGTATTCACTTGGCCACATATTCATAATATATTGCTGAAAGAAATAGATGAGAAAAATAACAATGTATACAGTACTATCTTGATTTTGGAACAGTCCAAAGTCATACAAACTGTGTATGTATGTGTGTGTGTTTATAAATACATTAAAAAGTCTAGAAGATACAGTTGATAGTGGTTATACCTACAATAGGAAGGAACTCTGATACTTCTCCATTGTTTGTATGTTTTACTACAAGCACTACTATTTTCAAAAATGCAAATATTAAATAGGTGAAGTCACTGCAAAGAAAAAGTCATTTTTGCAATGCCCTCACCACAGCATATTATCAGAATGTCTGAAGTCAATGCGAAGGAAAGAATTTTAAAATTAATAAGAGAAAAGTATCTAGTCACCTACAAAGACAATCCTATCAGAATAAAAGCAGACCTTTCAGTGGAAATTAAAAAAAACAACAACAAATAAAAAAGAGAATAGGAAGTCATTTTCGAAGTGCTAAGGAAAAAACCAAAAAACAAAACAAAACAAAAAAATTGTCAGCCACGAATTTTATACCCTGACAGGATAAGATTCATAAATGAAGGAGAAATAAAGTATTTCCAGGACAAGCAAATGCTGAGGGAATGTGTCACCACTAGGCCATTCCTAAAGTAAATGTTCAAAGGGGTCTTCAACATAGAAATTAAAGGTGGATATACAGTATCACAAAAACGCATAAAAATATTAAACTCACAGTTCTTATAGAACAATCACAAAGGAAGAGGACAAAATAATCAAATACCAACATGAAAGAATTTCATCAAAACATAAAGATAAAAAGACAGAGAAAAAGAAAGAAACATAATTTATACAACTTAAAAACAACTAACAAAATGACAGGAACAAAGCTTCACATATCATTATTAACTGTGAATGTAATGTAAATGAATTGAAATATTCACTTAAAAGATACATATTAGCAGAAGATTTTAAAAAAACAACAACAACATAATCCAACTATATCCTGACTATGAGAAACGTATCAAGCCCTAAAAGACACACATAGGCTAAAAACAAAAGAGTGGGAAAAGGTATTCCACACTACCAAAAGCAAGCAGGAGTAGCTATACATACATCTTCAAATCAAAAACAGTTTAAAAAAAAAGACAAGAAGATAATTACATAATAATAAAGGAATCAATTAAGCAAGAGATACAACAATCCTAAATATATATGTATCTTCTCTGACCATAATGGAATAAAACCACAAATTGATAACAAGAGGAATTTTGGAAACTATACCAACAAATAGAAATATGTTCCTGAATGACCAGTGGGTCTAAGAAGAGATTAAAAAGGAAATTTTTTAAAACTCTTGAAACAAATTACAATGGAAACACAACATATCCAAAACCTATGTGATACAGCAAAAGGAGCACTAAGAGGAAAGTTTATACCTGTAAGTGCCTACATTAAAAAAGTAGAAAAACAAAATAAACAACCTAATAATGCATATGAAAGAATCAGATAAGCATGAGCAAACCAAACACAAAATTCATATTAGAAATTCATAAAGATCACAGTAGAAATAAATGAAACTGAAACAAAAAAAATATAAAAGATTAATGAAACACAAAGTTGGTGTTTTGAAAAGATAAACAAAATCAACAAACTTTTAGCCAGACTAACTAATGAAAAAAAGAGGGAAGACTCAAATAAATATAATCAGAAATGAAAAAAAGAAGATACTACAACTGATAACAGAAACTCAAAGGATCATTAGAGGCCACTATGAGCAACTCTATGCCAATAAGTTGGAAAATCTGGAAGAAATGAACAAATGACTAAACACATACAACCAACGGAGACTGAACCATAAAGAAATCCAAAACCTGAACAGACCAATAACAATAACGAGATCCAAGCCATAATAAAAAGTGTCCCGGCTGGGCGAGGTGGCTCACGCCTGTAATCCCAACACTTTGGGAGGCTGAGGTGGGCGGATCACGAGGTCAGGAGTTCAAGACTAGCCTGACCAACATGGTGAAACCCAGTCTCTACTAAAAATATAAAAATTAGCCAGACGTGGTAGCACATGCCTATAATCCCAGCTACTTGGGAGGCTGAGAAAGGAGAATCGCTTGAACCCGGGAGGCAGAGGTTGTAGTGAGCAGAGATTGCGTCACTGCACTCCAGCCTGGGCAACAGAGCGAGATTACATCTCAAAAAAAAAAAAAATTTTTTTTTAATTTAAAAAACGTCTCCCAGCAAAGAAAAGCTCAGGACCTGATGACTTCACTGCTGAGTTCCACCAAACATTTAAAAAAGAACTAATACTGATCCTACTAAAACTATTCTGAGAAATAGAAGAGGAGAAAATGCTTTCAAACTCATTCTACAAGACCAGTATTATCCTGATTAAAAAAAAAAAAAAAAAGACAAGACATATGAAGAAAACAGAAAACTATAGGCCAATATCCCTGATGAACATTGGTGCAAAAATCCTCAACAAAGTACCAGCAAACTGAATTAAACAACACATTAAAAAGATCATTTGTCATGACTCACTGGTATTTACCCCAGGTAACTAAAGATAGTTCAACATGTGCAAATCAATCAATGTGATAAATCATACCATCAGACTGAAGGACAAAAGCCTTCCGTTGATATTGTAAAAGCATTTGATGACATTTAACATCTCCTGATGATCAAAATCCTCAAAAAACCAGGTATAGAAGGAACATATCTAAATACAATAAAAGCTATATATGACAGATCCACAGCTAGTATCCTATGGAATGAGGAAAAACTGAAAGCCTTTCCTCTAAGATCTAGAACACAACAAGGATGCCCACTTTCACCACTGTTATTCAACACAGTACTGGAATTCCTGGCTAGAGCAATCAGACAACAAAAAGAAATAAAGGGCATCCAAACTGGAAAGGAAGAAGTCAAATTAACTCTGTTTGCAGATGATATGATCTTATATTTGGAAAAACCTAAAGACTCCACCAAAAAAACTATCTGAACTGATAAATAGTAAATTCAGTAAAACTCAGAAAAATTGCAGGATACAAAAATCAATAGCATTTCTATATGCTAACAGGGAACAACATGAAAAAAATCAAGAAAGTTATCCCATTTACAATAGCTACAAATAAAATAAAATACCTAGGAATTAACCCAAGAAGTGAAAGATCTCTACAATGAAAACTATAAAACACTGATGCAATGAACTGAAGAGAACAACAAAAAATAGAAAGATATTCCATGTTCATGGATTGGAAGAATCAACATTGTCAAAATATCCAGAATATCCAAATTAATCTACAAATTCAATGCAATCCTTGTCAAAATATCAATGACATTCTTCTCAAAAATAGAAAAAAAAATCCTAAAATTTATATAGAACCATAAAAGATCTAGGATAGCCAAACCCATCCTGAATTAAAAAAAAAAGGAAAAGAAAAAGAAAAGCATACTGGCATAAAAACAGAATAGAGAACCCAGAAATAAATCCATATATCTAGAGTGAACACATTTTTGACAAAGATGCAAGGAACATACACTGAGGAAATGCCAGTTTCTTCAATAAATGGTACTGGGAGAACTGGATATCCATAGACAAAAGAATGAAACTAGACCCATATCTCTCACCATATACAAGAATCAAATCAAAATGGATTAAAGACTTAAGACCTCAAACTATGAAACTACTAAAAGAAAACACAGGGGAAATTATCCAGAACATTGGTCTAAGCAAAGATTTCTTGAGTAATATCCCACAAGCAAAGGAAACCAAAGCAAAAATGAACAAATAGAATCACATCAAGTTAAAAAGCACCTGCACAGCAAACAATCAACAAAGTGAAGGGACAACCAACATAATAGGAGAAAATATATGAAAACTATTCATCTGACAAGAAATTAATAAACAGAATATATAAGGTGCTCCAACAACTCACTAGCAAAAAAATCTAATAATACAATAAAAAACGGGCAAAAGGTCTGAATAGACAACTTCTCAAAAGAAGATATACAAACGTCAAACAGGTATACGAAAAGGTGCTCAACATCACTGATCATCAGAGAAATGCAAATCAAAACTACAGTGAGATATCATCTCACTCCAGTTAAAACGACTTTTATCCAAAAGAAAGGCAATAGCAAATGCTGACAAATATATAAAGAAAAGGGAACCTTTGTACAGTGTTGGGGGGAATGTAAGTTAGTATAACTACTATGGAGAACAGTATGGAAGTTCCTCAAAAAACTAAAAATAGAACTATCATATGATCCAGCAATCCCACTGCAAAAGGAAAGAAATCATTATTTCAAAAAGATACCTGCATTCCTATGTTTATCACACTACTTGCCACAATAGCGAATATATGAAAAAAAAACCTGACTGTCCATCAATGGAGATGGAGGGCTACGTAAAGAAAATGTGGTATACATGTATATACATATATATACACACACACATATACACATATATATATATACACATACTATGAAACACTACTCTGCCATAATAAAGAAATCATGTCTTTTGCAGCAATATGGTTGGAACCAGAGGCCATGATCCTAAGTGAAACAATTCAGAAAGAGAAAGTCAAATACCGCATGTTCTCACTTATAAGTGGGAGCTAAACAATGGGTACATACGGACATACAGAGTGAGATAACAGACACTAAAGATTACAAAAGATGAGTGGGAGGAAGGTGAGGGTTGCTAAATTACATATTGGGTACAGTGTTCACTATTCAGGTGATGGGTACACTAAAAGCCCACACTTCATCATTACATAATATATGCATGTAAGACAACTGACCTACCCCATGAATACATACAAATTTTAAAATTTTACAAATAAACAGATAACGTGCCTGGCAAATAGTAGGTGGCCAATAAATGTCAGATTCTTTTTATAAATATTTAATTATCAATTTTTACTGGAATAAAAGAAAAAGATACCCTTACTATCCTATGTATGAAGACTTCAGAAAAATTATTTCAGTCTAAGTTGATGACGATGTCCTAATATTATTACCTGAAACTCTAGAAAAAAAATCTGAAAACTTTAGGAAAATCTGACTTTAACAAAATTATTCCCTCCAAAAAATGCTGCTCTTCTTATGAGTTAACCATAGGACCCAACATTATCTGTAGTTTGCACTTAGCCTACTGTAGGAGGTTGAGTATTGGCCCTCTGCACCTTCTCAGTTGAAATCACCTGTGTGAAAATCAGATAAATTTATGGACATTTTTGTCTATTCATTTATTTCCATTTCAATTCTATGTATTTATAAATTTATGTTTTCTATGTTAAATTGATATCACTTTTAAACTTTTGTTAAAGTATATTATTTTCTGAAATATCTTGAAAGTAGTTTGTAATGACTATCTAACAGCCTTTATAGGGATATACATATCATTATTTAAGATTCACCTGTTGTAAGTCTTCTAGGTTGTTTCCCAATTTTTACATTATAATGATAACGAAAATGTAATAATTATCTTTACAGGATATCCTTCTGCTTAGAATATCAACTCATAAACTTCATCTAACTTTTCCTCATATGATGTGTTTCTCTTATTCACTATTTATGACACACTCTCTTATATTAAGCTCTTTAACATTTACTAGAGTTTACCTCCAGGTGCCGTGGCAATCAGAATATTGTTTCACTCATTGTCTATAACATATTTTACATTAGAGTACTGTACTTTTTCTTATTTTTGTGGTATTGTTCTAGATGAGTTTTAGAATAGTTTTATAATATTACCCCTAGCATCAAAAGAAATGTCATGAAATTTTGATTGGACATAAGGCTTGTGGTCTTAATACAGAAAGAGCACTTAAAAATTAGTAAAGTTTACAACAAATGGAAGAACATTCCATGCTCACGGGTAGGAAGAATCAATATCATGAAAATGGCCATACTGCCCAAGGTAATTTATAGATTCAATGCCATCCCCATCAAGCTACCAATGACTTTCTTCACAGAATTGGAAAAAACTACTTTAAAGTTCATATGGAACCAAAAAAGAGCCCGCATCGCCAAGTCAATACTAAGCCAAAAGAACAAAGCTGGAGGCATCACACTACCTGACTTCAAACTATACTACAAGGCTACAGTAACCAAAACAGCATGGTACTGGTACCAAAACAGAGATATAGATCAATGGAACAGAACAGAGCCCTCAGAAATAACGCCGTATATCTACAACTATCTGATCTTTGACAAACCTGAGAAAAACAAGCAATGGGGAAAGGATTCCCTATTTAATAAATGGTGCTGGGAAAACTGGCTAGCCATATGTAGAAAGCTGAAACTGGATCCCTTCCTTACACCTTATACAAAAATCAATTCAAGATGGATTAAAGACTTAAACGTTAGACCTAAAACCATAAAAACCCTAGAAGAAAACCTAGGCATTACCATTCAGGACATAGGCATGGGCAAGGACTTCATGTCTAAAACACCAAAAGCAATGGCAACAAAAGCCAAAATTGACAAATGGGATCTCATTAAACTAAAGAGCTTCTGCACAGCAAAAGAAACTACCATCAGAGTGAACACGCAACCTACAAAATGGGAGAACATTTTCGCAACCTACTCATCTGACAAAGGGCTAATATCCAGAATCTATCTACAATGAACTCCAACAAATTTACAAGAAAAAAACAAACAACCCCATCAAAAAGTGGGCGAAAGACATCAACCGACACTTCCCAAAAGAAGACATTTATGCAGCCAAAAAACACATGAAACAATGCTCATCATCACTGGCCATCAGAGAAATGCAAGTCAAAACCACAATGAGACACCATCTCACACCAGTTAGAATGGCGATCATTAAAAAGTCAGGAAACAACAGGTGCTGGAGAGGATGTGGAGAAATAGGAACACTTTTACACTGTTGGTGGGACTGTAAACTAGTTCAACCATTGTGGAAGTCAGTGTGGCGATTCCTCAGGGATCTAGAACTGGAAATACCATTTGACCCAGCCATCCCATTACTGGGTATATACCCAAAGGACTATAAATCATGCTGCTATAAAGACACATGCACACGTATGTTTATTGCGGCATTATTCACAATAGCAAAGACTTGGAACCAACCCAAATGTCCAACAATGATAGACTGGATTAAGAAAATGTGGCACATATACACCATGGAATACCATGCAATCATAAAAAATGATGAGTTCATGTCCTTTGTAGGGACATGGATGAAATTGGAAATCATCATTCTCAGTAAACTACCGCAAGAACAAAAAACCAAACACCGCATATTCTCACTCATAGGTGGGAATTGAACAATGAGATCACATGGACACAGGAAGGGGAATATCACACTCTGGGGACTGTTGTGGGGTGCGGGGAGAGAGGAGGGATAGCATCGGGAGATACACCTAATGCTAGATGACGAGTTAGTGGGTGCAGCACACCAGCATGGCACATGTATACATATGTAACTAACCTGCACAATGTGCACATGTACCCTAAAACTTAAAGTATAACAAAAAAATAAAAATAAAAAAAAGAAAAAAAGAAAAAAAAAAAAATTAGTAAAGTTTACCTTTTAATTTTAAGATTCTGATCCTATATATGGTATATATATTATAAATGTTTTTACCAGTTGTCATTTCTAATTTTTTATGGTGTTTTATTTTTTGTAAATTCAGATATATAATAAAAATATTTTCCTTTTCAGTACTTGTTATTTCTGTCATGTTTAGAAAGCCTAGCCCATATCAAGTTTATACAGAATACTTGCCAACATTTTCCTCTACTACATTTATGGTTTCATTTTTGAAATACCAAGTTTCTAAGCTATGTAGAATTCTGATAAAAGGTATAAGAGAGGATTAAAAATACTTTTAAACAAATGGTTTAACAATTATTGGAATGTTCTATTGAATGCTCCATGTTTTGCCAACTAATTTGAAACACACATTAATCATTAACTAAATTCTTATATGCTTGATTCTATTTGAGGTCTATTCCATTTCATTTTATTCTGGCCCCAATACACTATTCAACTAAAATTATTGCAGCTTTAAATTGAGTATCTGCAGGAGCAGGCATCTTCTTCCCAGAGTGTCTTTCAAACACTCTTCCACATTTACATTTCCAGATGCTTTCCAAAAAACAAAACAAACATGTTTAATAATATGCTTATGAAATAAAGAAACAACAAAGTAGAATCTCTTATTACAGAGGGGATTTCCAACTTCTACCACAATATATGCACAAGCATTCAACAGATTTTTGAGACAGTCTCAAAAACTCAAAAACTGGGGTGCAGTGGCATGATCAGAGTTCACTGAAGCCCCAGTCTCCTGGACTCAAGTGGTCCTCCCACCTTGGCCTCCCAAAGTAAATAGATTTGTTTCAAACTTACTGCAGTTGCCACTCGAATATTTCCTGATAGGGGTCGTATCCCAGAAGGAGGCCTTCCTGTTAACCCAACTCCACCTCTTGAAACAGGGCGAGCTGCTGAAGATTTGTGATTGCTGGCCATTGTTTCTTCACTTTAATCGCTGTTTGGAAACAATAAATAGTTCAATCCTTTGATGTCTTCTCTAGCAAGACAATAATGACCCATCATACCCTTACATTTAATTCACAACAATTGTTCTTGCAAACTGCCGTTCTGTGTACCACTACAAGGCTAATTTTGTTCAAATATGACATCGTGCTCCATTTACAACTATGAGATTGTTTCTTGCAACATTCCTTCCTCATCTTTCTATTATCTTACCAAAATGCAAGCCCCTCTATTATCTATTTCTTTAGTATTCTCATCCCATACTCTGGTAAATTTTCTCTCCCATCATAGCCAACATCTTTCTTTGCCCCTAATCCTTTCTCTGCACTTTCTGGTCCATGATTAACTCTTATATTCTGAATCTTGTTACAAATACTTTCTATTTTCTTAACTTTAACAGAATCTTGATTTCCCCTGAGAGTAACACTTTCGGTAGTCCAAGTGTTTTAGCTTCCTGTCCCACAATTTTAAAGAAAAGGAGGTGGCACTTTTCTTGCTCCTCAGGGTCACTTTCAAAACATTCTTCCACACCTTTAAAAAAATTAACAAGAGGCCAGGCGCAGTGGCAAACGCGTGTAACCCCAGCACTTTGGGAGGCCAAGGCAGGTGGATCATGAGGTCAGCAGATGGAGACCATCCTGGCTAACACAGGGAAACCCCGTCTCTACTAAAAATACAAAAAATTAGCTGGGCGTGGTGGCGGGTGCCTGTAGTACCAGCTACTCAGGAGGCCGAGGCAGGAGAACGGCATGAACCTGGGAAGCAGAGTTTGCAGTGAGCCGAGATTGCGCTACTGCACTCCAGCCTGGGCGACACAGCGAGACTCCATCCCCCCACCCAAAAAAAAAAAAAAAAAACAAGATTCACTTCTTCTGAGGATCTGGGAATGCAACAATATTGCCTTGATCTTTCCTGGTTGCTGGTAATTAGTGACTTCCTAATCTCTCCTCTATCTTTACTAAAGTCTTTTGTACCTAGTTCACAGCTTCTCTATTCCAATCTCACCATCACCCTGGATGACTTCCATCTAGATACTAGATCCAATACCTAACACTCCAGCTTCACAGTTCCCTGACCTCAACTTTAGCAATGATCTTAACTCCATTTCAGTAATTTATAGCCATGGCGAGACATGGAGCTTGTCATCATCTGGAATTGCTTCACCTCAAACATCTTAATTGAAATACTCTATTCTCTGGTCTTCTCCTCTCCTACCCTTTTCTCATCTTCATTCTGCTACACCTGCCTTTAAACCATTTCCTTAATTCACTCATTCTCTCCCAGTTTATCAGCCCTCTCCTTTATTCATCAGAATATAACATTATTTAAAATTCTGTCTCATAATTTAGAGTAGTAGTTTTCAAATTGTTGGTCACATCCGTTAGTAAGTTCTGAAAACAATTTTGTAGGTTATGACCAAGATACTTAAACGTGAAATAAAATTTAAACAAAAAGAGCTCACTGAAAATATGAAGGGTAAACATTGTTTCAGTAAATTTTTGTTTCAGCTATATTTACATAAATTTACACATATGTGTTTACTGGGCTACAATATAAAAATGTATGTCCTATTGTAGGTCATATAAAATAGTTATGAAGATACTTATCTAGACAAAGAATATGGAGAAAAAGAGAATAGTGCCCAAGATTCTGTCCTGAGGAACATCAATACATACAGATTACACACAAGAGGAAAATCTAGTATGAGAGACTGAAAATTAAGGCCCAGAAAGCAAAGAAAAAAACCAGGAGTGTGTGTCAGAGACGCCAAGAGAAGGCAGGAATCTGAGCCATGCCATTTACGTTGGAAATTCAAGTAAGATGAAAACTGAAATGTCCAATGGAGTCCCCATTCAAGAAGTCACTAGTGATACCTTGACAAGGGTGTTTAAGAACTCTCCTCCTTCTCTCAAGAAATTAGTGTCTCATGAGCACTATCAACTAATTTGTATCCTTGAACTATTCTCCAGCCCATCTGGCAAAATCAGAAACCCTTCTCTACATCCAATCTGAAGTGCTGAACATTGCTGATGGAAATCATACAACTGTACAGACTGGGGTACTGCAAAGTGATAGTCACAAATCTTAGCTGGACCCTCATTTCAGAAATGATTTATCCTTGTTAAGATACTTCTCTACTTGATGATTCTCACCCTTAACTACTTTTCTATTTAACCTCTGTTCCTGCCACTCTCAGCAGATGACTCATTTAAAAAAATTACAACTTGAACTCCATCACCTTTGGGGCACATAAACTTCTCTACATCCATCCTGCCCTCCAGTCTCAACAGCCATTCCTTCTCTCATTCAAGATCAATCTTACTCTGATTTACCCTTGATCCCATCTTTTTTGTGGCATTAACCTCACTGCTACCAATTATCTTTAAACTTTCTCCTTTCCTTCAGTCTGTTACCATGTTCAATTCTTTCCTACCTTCAAAAACTTATTTCTTGATCCTGCAACCACCTCTATCTAACTGTCCCATACATCCTTCCCTTATGCAGCCAAATTCCTAAGAATAGCTTATATCCAGCCGGGCGCGGTGGCTCATGCCTGCAATCCCAGCACTTTGGGAGGCCGAGGCGGGCGGATCACGAAGTCAGGAGATCGAGACCATCCTGGCTAACACGGTGAAACCCTGTCTCTACTAAAAAATACAAAAAATTAGCCGGGTGTGGTGGCGAGTGTCTGTAGTCCCAGCCAATCGGGAGGCTGAGGCAGGAGAATGGCGTGAACCCGGAAGGCAGAGCTTGCAGTGAGCTGAGATCGTGCCACTGCACTCCAGCCTGGGCGACAGAGCGAGACTCCGTCTCAAAACAACAACAACAACAACAACAACAACAACAACAAAAAGAATAGCTTATATCCACTATTTTCTACTGCTTCATTTCCCAGTATCTCCTGGATTGCTACCGTTTGATTCAAATGACCCCTGCCAATATTGCCAGTGCTGTAAATGTCATCCTACTTTACTGGTGTCCACATTTATATGAAACATCTCCATGACACTTCCCTCTCTTCTGGTTCTTTTTTCTGTCTCCTTGATCTGTCCTTATATAGAGCATTTTCTAAGATACCATCCACCATCTTTTTCTTTTCTCTCTCTAAACTCCCCTTGGGCCCCCTTATCCACACTCAGGGTTTTAACAATTAATAAACTGATTCCACACAACTTCCTTATTTTAGCACTCAGCTTGCGGTGTTTATATCCAAATAATAACATCTCCACTTAGATGTCTAAATATTTCAAAATAAACATATGTAATCCAAACTCATTATCATCTGCTCAAAATTTGTCCTTCCTCTTGGTGTCACCTCCTAGTCACACAAGTAAGAAATTTAGTCCTTGACATCTTCCTCTCCCTTACTCCCATGGCTGGTCACATAGTTCTACTGAGTTTGTTTTGTTTAGTTCTACTGATTTTGTTCCTAAGTGTTTAACAGGTACTTTACTCTCTATTCCTACAGCACTGGCCAATTCAGGGCATCACTGACTCAGGTGGACTATTATACCAGCCTCTTAAGTGGTCCCCTTGCCTAACACACATTTTGCCTATTACTTTCTCTGGGAATCCTTCCATGACCAGTCCATAACTGGTCTTGGAATCTTCGTCTTCTTCAATTTCAGTGTATAGGCCTGTTCTACATGCTACCATGCATCCTGTGTATTACTTTATTCCAGAACCTATCACACCACTTGAAATGATCTGCTTAAGTATTTCTCACCCTTTATGGCAAGAGCTGAATCTTAATCATCTTTATATCCCCAAAATCTGTCTCAGTGATAAGCAAAAACTTTGTTCTCTCTTGTATCTTTTAAATTTCCTCGTACATAAAGGTATTGCCAATTACAAAAATTTACTAAATTGTTAAAAAGCAAACAAAGCGACCGGGAGCGGTGGCTCACGCCTGTAATCCCAGAACTTTGGGAGGCCGAGGCGGGTGGATCACGAGATCAGGAGATGGAGACCATCCTGGCTAACATAGTGAAACCCTATCTCTACTAAAAATACAAAAAAAAAATTATCCGGGCGTGGTGGCGGGCGTAGTCCCAGGAGGCGGAGCTTGCAGTGAGCCGAGATCGCGCCACTGCACTCCAGCCTGGGCGACTGAGCAAGACTCCGTCTCAAAAAAAAAAAAGGCAAACAAAGCGTGTGTTGGACTAAAATGATTTCTCTGTTTCTACACTCTATGTCCAGTACTACTTTTCTGACTTTTCTTAGCATTACTCGTAATCAGTCCTTGGACTGCTTCTATCCTTTCTACAGTCATGCATCTTTATAACTCCAACTATGTGTACGGCTCACTAATCAATGTCTACAGTTCTGCCCTTTCAACTGGGCACCAATTTTGAGTTTTCAATTGTTTATCTGAAATTTCCATTCAGATATCTCATTTGAATATGTTCACATCAATCTTCCTGACCCCACTAGCTCCCTGATTCTAATTCCTTGCCATTTTGAACTCTATGTACAAAGCAAAAGAATTTCAAATGGAAAAAGGAATTTCATGAAATGACTCTTTGAAAAGGAAGACGGTGTATGATCAAAATGGTTTTTCCAGAAGAAAACGAGTACAATAAACATCTCTTTCCAGTGGAAAAGATATTACTCTAGGTTTCCTGCTAACTTTGAGAAAATGTACAACATAAAAAATTTCACCCAATTTTCTTTGCCACCGTTTTACTGTGGTGAAAAAAAGCTTACCATTATATTATTACCAGTGGGATTAAGAGGCGGGCATTAGCAACAAATATACCACTAACTTCGGGGTTATTCAATCAAAGAGTCACACAATTTCCAATTATTCACACAGAGAGGCAGCCTGGCCTTTGGATCCAGAATGATTAGCGATACAAACTAGTGCTGACAAAGTTAGCGGCTGCATAATCTTGCCACCTTAATTAACCCCTCAGGATTTCATCTTCTGTAAAACAGAAGGGTGACATCTACCTTGCAGGGCTGTTGTGAAGACGATAAGTATTACATTTAAAACATCTGCTTCTAATTATTATTACTATCGTTATCCTCCCTAAGCCAACCATTCTCACACAGGTGAATAAGTGGAAAGTTGCTAACTGCCCGCACTGTGATCAACAGACAGAAATAAGTCCCTTCCACTGTAAGAGGCAGAAATGTATTGCTTTGACTAAAATCCTTCAGCCCATCGCGGTCCTTCCCTCTGCTCTGTGCTTGGCGGGTCTCCTGCGGGGGGTCGGGGAGGGGTCGGGCTGTTGGAGGAGGTCTGTTCGCAACCTTCGCTCGACTAGAATTGGTACATGCCTGGCCTGGCTACAGGCCCGACGGTAACAGTTAGCTAAGACCGAGTTTGAATTTGTTTTGTTTGGAGCGGATCAGCATCTCCAAGGCAAGAGAACAGACGTGGGAGGGAGGGAGGAAGAGATGGGACCCGGGGATTCTCACCTCCGCCGGCGCGGAAGGAGGGCAGTTGCCCGGCTCGCGGGTGCCTTAACTTCTTTCTGAGGCCCACGCTCAGTTTTCCTCGGCTCTCAGGCCTACCCACTAACTGCCGTGCGCCGCGGCGTATCCCGGCAACGGGGGCGGGATAGCGGAGGCTCCTCATCCTGAGTGACCAATCCTCCGCCTCAGCCCTTGGTTACACACGGAGCTCTCGCGAGAATTGAGGATATGTTTGTTTCTTCACCACGCTTCAGTGCTTTTTGGAAAAAGTGGAAAACAGCGGGGCGGCTGGAAGACAAACATTTTATGTGAACGTTTGGTTTTCTTGATAATCAGAGCAACCTCCGTGTGCCTTACTTGAAGTAACTCTAGCGAGTTTTGCTATGTCCCTAGGTAACCTCACGTCGGCTAACGTTGTTAACAGGTTACATTTGAAGTTAAGTGGTAGGCAGCATTGTGCAATTTTCTAAACTCCTAATTTGTGGTAGTTTTCCTTCCTATTAGGACGGCATAGCGTACACAACGCATCATGAAGTATGGATGCGATTCTGGCACCAACTGTTCCGTTCCTGCTTTCACCAGAAGCTTTGCGTCTTTAAGCTTCCTTTCATTAGAATTTGGATCCAAGTTTGTGGGGAAGACTGTGAATTCAATGGAAAGTGTCCTTTTTTTTTTTTTTTTTAATTTAAGAACTACTTCACCTTAAATCCCACTTCTCTAATAAAATAACTTTTACTGTATGTTTCCTTCCAATCTTCATTGATAACAGCTTAAATGTGATTGCATATGTATTGGGATTTTAACATTATTTTACACATTATTTCCAACTTGCCTGCCTTCGAGGAGTTAAAAATCAATACAACACAAAATGAGATAATGTTATGTGGCTGAATTCTCCCTTAGTTTGTGAAACATTTTCATGTAATTATCTCATTTGAGCTCACCCTATTTGCAGTGGCCATTTGTCATCCTTTTGGCAGAGTTTCTCCCTTACCCTGCCCCCCAACACCCTTACAGGAACTGAAAGTGACAGATACTGGCTTTCCTAGTCTTCCTTATTACTGGGACATGAGTATTATTGCTTGCTAGACTCTCCAATCTAATTTGGTGGACTCAACTCAAACTTGAATGACAACCAGAAGCAGGACTTCAGAGAGTCTGTTGAAGTAAGGGTGACAGCCGCAGTAACTACATCGTTTCCGAGACTGCAATGTTCTATCACCAGCAACCAGTGTCCAGCATCAGTGTGTTGTTGCAAGCTGCAGTGTTAGGTACTCAGAGGCTTTATTGGGAGGAGAACCTCTAGCTTGTTTCTTCAGCTTCTGGGAGAGTCTGTGAGCTGCTTAATGTCCTTTAATAAATTCATTTTCAGCTTTTATATCATTTATAGATGATTTCTGTTCCTTGCACTTAAGGACCCTGACAGATATTAACAGTTGAAATTGGCAGGACAGATACTATTATCCAAGTTTTAAAGAGATTAAATAATTTGCTTAAGCTCATTTAGGTAGTAAGTATTGATCCCTGTCCCCATTTCTTTTTCATGATGAAAAAGGAATAGAGAATAGGAATACATCTCACTTATTTGCCTCTGAGCTTCCTTAGAGTAGGCACCATATCTTATTTGACTTTGGATCATTATGTATTAGGTTCTGTTGCTTTTAAGGTTATATCAAATTGGAATTAGGTTATATCAAGTTGTAATTTGGTTAGTAATTAGGTTATGTCAAATTTTAAGTTTATTGTAAGACTACTTGTGTTTCAAGTTCCTTTCTGTCTCTAGTCCTTTTCACTGCAATTCTCTCTTCCTGGAATCTTTGTCCCTCTGCTTTTCACTGTCCAAAGTCCTGTTCATCATTCAGGTCTTAACCCAAATGTCTTTTATTAGAGAGGTCTTCTCTGCCAGTCCATACTAGATTAGTGCTCCAACTCCTTCTGGCCCCCCACCTCATTATATGTCCTCAGTGCACCCTGTACTATTCCTATCTGTTAAAAGGTAAACTTTGGCACATTAAAATTTTAAAGAGCTTATTTGAACAGACAGCAATTCATGAATTAGGCAGCTCCAAATCATAAGTGGTTTGGGGCTCCCCCAGAGGTAGTTGAAAGCTTTCAGAGAGTAAATGCAGAGCACAGCAAAGAAATTATTTGACTGGTTAAAGTTTGAGCAGTTGCCTTATTTGGACTGTTCTTGTGGGAAGTTCAAGACGATATAACTGATGACTAGTTGGCCACTTGTGATTCCGTTTTAAGTTTCAGTTTCCTCATGTAGGAACTCAGTGCATTAGAGCGACTTCAGTCTAATGGCCTCCAATTTAATTATTTTAACACTACATATCACTCATTATAACTTGCAGTTATATGTTTATTTTTGTTGTCAAAGATAACAAACCCTGACAGTAGGGACACATTTTTATCCATAATTTACTACTGCAATAGGGAAAATAGTCCAATGTGAAAGGAATTCAACCTTGATTTGTACAGCAGTGATTGGATGTTTTAAAGGGAGAATGAGGGAGTAGGGAAGGGAGCAAGTGGGTACTCAGTAGAGTCAAGGGCAATAAGGCCCAATGAAGAGGATACCACTTGGTACTGAATATGGCCAGTTACGCTTATGTAGCCCAGGGTGCACAGAAGAAAAATGTTAACAAAATAACTCAAAAATGTCTTTGTAGGATGTTTGTAGGTTTTTTAAGAAAATAAATTTTTTGGCCAGGTGTGGTGGCTCATGCCTCTAATCCCAACATTTTGGGAGGCCAAGGCAGGAGGGTCACTAAGGCCAGGAGTTCAAGACTGGCCTGGGCAACATAGTGAGACCCCCCCCCTACAAAAAATGAAAACAAAAATGAATCTTAAAAAAGAAAAGACACTTTGAGGAGTGACATCATTAAGGTATTCTACTGTAAAATAGAGAAAAGTTAGTGAACTTACTAGTGAATATGTACATCAACTGAAATAAGATTTTTGGATACACTGGTAGGAGTGTCTATTGAAAGAAGATGGCTATAGAAATCCAAATGCACATGTCCTTTGACCCAGTAACTCCACTTCTAGGAAGTGAGCATATATTCACACTGAATTTATACATATAAATGACATATGCTGATGTCCAAGGTTATTTATTTGAGCAGTGTTTGTTACAGAGAAAGATTAGGAAAAAAATCAAACAACACTGAATTAATAATGCTATAGTCATAAAATCACATAAAATTTGGCCATCTATAAAAAAGAATGCTCCTTGTATACTGATATTGCAGAGGCTGACTAGGAACCCCAGAGCTAGTATAAAAATATTATTTTAACCTGAAGGCATTTGATGAAGGGGGAAAAAAACCTTCTCAGAGAGTTCCTTATCTCACTGAAAGCAAAATTTCTGGGGAATGATGCTACCATAAATACCCTAACTTATGGCCCGGAAGAACACCACTCCTAACTGTATAGATGAACGTGAACACAAACTTTCTTATTTGTTCTCCTAAAAGTCAATGTTTCTATTTTTTTCCCTGTAAAAGCTGTTTCTCCCCCACCATTTTCCCTACTAAGTTAGTTATATAAGCCTTTAACTTTAATCATTTGACTAGTCAGCTGCTGCTTTTGTTGGCTGTTTTATGCATAAGAAATTGATATTTTTCTCCTGTTAGTCTGTCTTTTTTCAGTTTAACTCATAGGCCCTTGAATAGTGAACATGACAGGGTAGAGGAAAAGCTTTCTTCTTCCCATACAATATGGAGAGTTTTCCAAGATATATAAAGTAAGGTGAGTAAGTATTCAATGTTAACATTTTCTTGCATCTGTATAAACAATCTTTGGGAAGAACACAAGAAACTGATAAGCCTCCAGAGAGGAAAACTGGGTGGTTAGGGTTTGAAAATGTGCATCCTTTACGTCTTTTGAATTTTAAACCAAGGAATGCATTATTATTACTTTTTAAAAATAAACTTTCGGCAAGGCACAGTGGCTCACGCCTGTAATCCCAGCACTTTGGGAGGCCTAGGCAGGCGGATCACCTGAGGTCAAGAGTTCGAGACCAGCCTGGCCAACATGGTGAAACCCCGTCTCTACTAAACATACAAAAATTAGCCGGGCATGGTGACAGACGCCTGTAATCCCAGCTACTCGGGAGGCTGAAGCAGGAGAATTGCTTGAACCCTAGAGGCAGAGGCTGCAGTGAGCCAAGATCGCGCCATTGCACTCCAGCTTGGGGACAAGAGTAAGACTTCGTCTCAAAAAAAAAAAAAAGGTTAAAAAAAATTAAATAAACTTTCAATGAGGGGACGATAAAAATCATAATGAATATTCACATTAGCCAGCTTTTAATGAATTATGCAATTATCTAGATAATATTTCAAAGCATATGAAAACAAAGGAAAAAGTGTCCTTAAATGTTTAACAAAAAAACTCACTAAAAGCCAAGAAAAACGCTTACTAAATGTATTGGCACTAGAAGAATGTTTTTCTCCTCTTTGGGCACCAAAAGCTTGAAAACAATTATCTTTTGGGAAATTGAAATGTATTAGCTTTGAAACATTTTCTGTCATGTTCCACAGTACTGGCAAGACGAATGTGATTTAGAAGCTGATAACCATCCTTAAAGATGAAGTTCATATTTCACTTGTTTTTTTTTGAGAGAGTCTTGCTGTTTCACCCAGGCTGGAGTGGAGTGGAGCTATCTCGGCTCACTGCAACCTCTGCCTCCCAGGTTCAAGTGATTCTTTGCCTCAGGCTCCCGAGTAGCTGGGACTACAGGCGCATACCACCACACCCGGCTAATTTTTTGTATTTTAGTAGAGACGGGGTTTCACTGTGTTGCCCAGGGTGGTTGTGAACTCCTGAGTTCAGGCAATCTACCTGCCTCAGTCTCCCAAAGTGGTAGTATTACAGGCGTGAGCCATTGCGCCCAGCCCATATTTCACATTTTATGGGTTTTTTTCTTATATATATGGACTTTGTTTTTTCAACATTCCCCTTATGGGGGACATATTTGTAGCCTCAATTTTCTAAGATCTGTACATGTAAAATTTCTATCATTTTCCAATGCATTTTAATATTTTATTTCATGTATGTATTGTGCTATACCAGCCCAAAGTTTTGGCACCAGAGTCTATGTGGCGAATTTTAGTTAAAAAAAAAATGCTAAACAATATTCTGTCACCATCACTTTCACACACAAGCCAAATACCATCCCTGTTACAATTCCTTTCTTTAGTTTGCCTGGGTTTTCCTACTAAGTTGCCAGCCCTGAACCATATTGACCCCAACTTCATTCCTGTATAATCTGCATTAATGCTGTTCTCAGTGCATTGAGGGCTTTTAAAATTAAATTTTAATGAAAACATCATATTGAGAACATAAACTGTGATGTTTACCTCAATTTACACAAACTGTGATGTTTAGTCCAGCTACCCAACTATTCCATGCATTTTCTCTGAGAGAACTACTGTCATTACGGACATTTTTCCTTCATGCCTTCAGGCATATGGGAGGGGGATCCAGAATTGTTATTTGTATGCAGACAGACAGTTGACATAAATGATTTGTTTTAAACCTTTGAACTGCTGAACACATAAAAACATTAAAATTATTTTTAAAGTATCAAGAACCCAATTTAGTGTTCATAGAATTTTAGTCCCAGCTGCACTATGTTCTAGTTATGTGACATTAAAATAGTTATTTCAGTTATTCATTAATTCATTAAGGTAACCAATAACATCTACTGAGCATTAACCTCCTATCAAGCTGTTAAAAGACAACACACATTAAAGTATTAAACAGTTCAGTTGAGCAGACAGTGATTCATGAATTGGGCAGCACCAAACCACAAGTGGTGAAACTCCATCTAGGGGCACTTAAACTACCTTTGCAGAATTATAACTAATGAGAGAAATCTAACATGACTGACTCCATTTTGCTCAAAACCTCACAGGCTAAACTAGTTTTTTGTTGTTGTCGTTTTATTGTTAGTTTGTTTTTTGCTTATTCTAGTGTGGAGGCTAAAATAACTATGCCAGGAATTTGGTTTATAGTTAAACTTTGAGGCAAGGAAAAGTGACCCCCCACCCCAACTCCTTGTATGGAGATTGAAGCTACATTCATAAGACAAGATTAGAATTATGGTAGAGGCTTGAACTTTGCTAAAGAATAGACATGCTCAAACAATAACTTGGCATTGTTTGATTAGCTTGCTTTTCTTTCTTTCTTTTTTTTTTTTTGAGACAGAGTCTCGCTCTGTTGCCAGGCTGGAGTGCAGTGGCGCAATCTCAGCTCACTGCAACCTCCCCCTCCCGGGTTCAAGTGATTCTCCTGCCTCAGCCTCCTGAGTAGCTGGGACTACAGGCGCGTGCCACCACACCCGGCTAACTTTTTGTATTTTTAGTAGAGACAAGGTTTCACCATGTTAGCCAGGATGGTCTCGATCTCCTGACCTTGTGATCCACCTGCCTTGGCCTCCCAAAGTGCTGGGATTACAGGCGTGAGCCACCTCACCCAGCCTAATTAGCTTGCTTTTCTATAGAGCCTCCTGCCCTGGAGTCACGTAACCAGAGGTCACAAGATTTGTAACTTCGCCAAGTACTCCTACAGATAACATCACTATTGTGAAACCTAATTAACTGGTCTTTGAGATATTTTTCAAATTTAGCATTTTGGCAGACCAACAGACACAACCTGGACCTGTGAACCCCACTCCTCAGAAATGACTCAGGTTCACGAAGATAGTTCTGACACACCTGTGATTCATCCCTGACCCAACCAATTAGCATTTCCCATTTCCTAGCCTCCTGCCCACCAACCGATCCTTTAAAAACCTAGTCTCTACATTCTTGGAGGTGGATTTGAGAAATATCTCCCATCCTCCTCGTTGGCTGGCCCTGTGATTATTCATCTTTCCCTGCTGCAACATTTGTAGTTCTCAGTGCATTGGTTTTTTGGAAGGCAGCAGGCAATTACACAGGGAAATGTGAAATTACACATTTCCCTGTGTAAAAGAACACAGGGGCAATTACAGCACGAGGGGAAAACTTTTATAAGGGGTTGGTGGAAGCAAGACTAAGAAAATATACTTACTTGATTGGTTAAAGTGGAAAGTCCTTAGTTAGAGGTTTGTCTGTTTCTGTTAGTTAAGCTTAAGTTTCATTTTACTGTTTACATTGAGTTGGGCTCCAGAGCTGGAACTATCTCAACCTAATGGCCTCCAAATTAACATTTTTTAAACAAGGCAAATTCTTCATGTGTGAAATGGGAATAATACTATCTACCTTGCAGGGTTATTGTGAGAACTAAATGAGAGACTGTGAAAATTGGTAAACTGAATACTATACCAAGTTGAAAAACATTTCCTATTATATAGGAGGCAGTAAATTAGATGGTTAAGATTCATGTAAAATAAAGGTCTTGATAATAATAAAATGTAGTCCGGTAGAAAAGACAGACATAAAAGAACATATTAGAATGCAGTAAATACTATATTGACAACAGACAAAACTGCATTGGTTCCCCAGAGGAACTAGAAAAAAACAGAAGATAAACTGGTGTTGAACTATGACAGATGGAGAAAGTGGAATTCTAAGTTTAAAAAAAAAATGCATGTACAAAGAGCATAGAGACATGGAGAGCATACAGCATAATGTGTTCAGGGAATTGTGACAAATTCGAAATGTCTAGAGTAAGAGAGATAACAGAGGGAGATGAATCTAGTAAAACAGATTAGGGAGATTGTGTGAAAGGCCCTATGTAATGCTGTACTATAAGAATGGAAAGCCGGCCAGGCGTGGTGGCTCACGCTTATAATCCAGCACTTTGGAAGGCAGAGGAGGGCAGATTATGAGGTCAAGAGATTGAGACTATCCTGGCCAACATGGTGAAACTCGTTTCTACTAAAAACACAAAATTTAGCTGGGCATGGTGGCGCGCTCCTGTAGTCCCAGCTACTCGGGAGGCTGAGGCAGGAATCGCTTGAACCCGGGAGGCGAGGGTTGCAGTGAGCCGAGATCGCGCCACTGCACTCAGCCTGGCAGCAGAGCGACACTCCGTCTCAAAAAAAAAAAAAAAAAAAAAAAAAAAAAAAAAAAAAAAATAATGGAAAGCCATCACAGGTTGTCAAACAGAGAAAAAACAATTAAGTGTATATTTCAGAAAGATAATTATATTTTAATGTGTAGGATTGGCTGGAGAGAAGGGGTAGAAAGGCCAGAGAAATGTTGAAATAATTTAAGTAGGACTAATTGGTACAGATTTCTAACAGATAGCTAGAAATACAGATCTAGAGTTTGGAGAAGACAATATGGGAATACAGCTCTAGAAATAAGCCAAGTAGTAAATAATCCACCCAGGGAGGGGATATGATAGCAAAGAAGTATCAAAAGTCAGCATTTCAAGAATGATCTCCCAAACCAGGGGAAAAGTGATTCCAAACCTAGAGTAGGAGTTTTAGGAAGGGAGAAGTCAGAAAAGTGTGAATTGGGCTTAGCAATTTAGAAAGGTTTGTGGAAAAGTGTAGTTGGATGCGAGAGAATAGCGGATGGGAAGAAAACAAAGTAAGGAGACAGGTCATGTTTACCCTGGCACTCAATAAGGTCTGATAATGACTAGCAAGTAGCACCACGGGTGGGTGGGCGGCGGGGTTGTTAAAAATACGTATCTCAGCTCTAACTCAGACCTACTGAATCAGAATCTACATTTTAACAAGCCGCCAGAGAAAAGTAGTTATACCTTTAAAAAATTGACTTGGACCACCGTATTTGCTAAATTTGACAACAGAGAGTAGGAGATTCAGATAACTTGAAACGGAGGAATAGTTCAATGATTAATAGTTCCCAATTTGGCCTCAAGCTTTCTCGTTTTAATTGAAAAACAAGGTTAACTTGCAAAAACCTCGAGATTCTCAGGGAAAAGCAGTGAGGATGACCTAACAGTAGACACCAAACAACCTCACTCAGCCATTCCGCCATGCCCAGCGCGAAAGACTCAGGTTTAAAATATCCGGATTCGGCGCGCCGGATGTCCACGCCAGCTGGCGCGGCATTATGGGAATTGTAGTCCCGGCCCGCTTCCCGATTTACCACAAACTGTTGGGCCCGGAGTCGGAAGAGACCCGGGTTTGGGAAGGACCCCAGGGTCAGGCGTCCTGGTGGAAGGGCGGGCCTCTTTCTCTCTTGCTCAGCAGGGAGTCCAGAGCCCTGGAGGAAAGCCAGCTCAGCTCCGCATCGGCGTCGGCGGTTGGGACGCACACACTCTGCGTCATGGAGGGCTGAGGCCGATGATGAATTCCGGAGTGCCTGTCAGGCTTGCTGTGTCACTCGGCCCGCTCGGCGCGCCCCTTCCCAGCCGCCCTTCCGTACCGGCTCTCGGGCTCTTCCGGTCTCCGGCCGCCCCTTACCTGCAGGCTCTTCTCCCGCCGCGGCCCGGCGCTCTCCGAGTCGCCCCTGCGGACTGGTCTCGCACAGTGCCTGGGCACCGGGCGCCAGACAGACACTGGCCATGACGAGCGGCGCAACCAGGTACCGGCTGAGCTGCTCGCTCCGGGGCCACGAGCTGGACGTACGGGGCCTGGTGTGCTGCGCCTATCCGCCGGGAGCCTTTGTGTCCGTGTCCCGAGACCGCACCACCCGCCTCTGGGCCCCAGACAGGTGAGCGCTGGGAGTCGGGTTGCCCCGGCTGTGTTGCACGCTTCCCGGAGAGTGGAAGGAGAGTGACCCTTCCCTGTCAGTCCTGCCGTCTCTCTCTCCCCCCAGCCTTCCCTCTGCTCTCCGCTCCCTTCCAATTCTCAGACTATTAGAACTCTGTAAGAAACCATCGGGATTTAAGTGGAAAGAGCACAGGGTTGGGGGACCAAAGACCTGCCTTGTTGTGCTAACTTGACCACAGACGAGTCTCCTACCTTTTGGGCCTTCAGTTTTTGGACGATGATCTCCCAAGTTTCTTTTAGACTTGAAAATTTACTGATTGCAGTTGCACCCTCCGAAGTGAGGTAGTTTGAAGGCATCTGAAATGTCCTCTTTTTTTTTTTTTTTCGAAGAAGATGCTCTGTAGTCTTCTGTAAAATTTAATTTTTGAAGACTTTAGTTCTCAAAAATTGCACTGGTGAATCCTCTTTTCGTCCAGGTTAGAATTTTAGTCTGTGGTCTGTGCTGGTCCTGAGGGAGTGAAACCTCTCGGATGTTTTGTTTCTGTGCATGTGCTGTTTCTTGAGGAGAAGCAGCATCCATTGCCTTCAAAGGATTTATCAGAAGGGTTCACGAACCAAAAAAAAAAAGAAGAAAAAGGTTAGGAATCAGTCCTGATCGAGTTCACGGGTTCAGCCCTGATTTGGCTGGTTGTAACAGGATATTTAAGACCTAGAAGACAGATTGCAGTTCAGAGAAAGAAAAATTGAGGTTAGTTATTTTGTTATTTAGTAGGTCTCCCACTGCTAGAGATTTTAGAATTTGAGTCACCATCCATAAATTCAGTTGATAACTGTTGAGTGCCTCCTCTTTGTTTGGGATACTGGAGAGGAATAAAGACAGACAAGTTGCCAGTGTTTCTGGAGCTTTCTTACAGTCTGATGGGGAAGATAGATTAAAAAACAAGCCAATAAATAATTAAAAACTGGCATGTGAAGAAAACATACAGTTAATTAGGTGGAGAGATATATTAAAGGAAGCCTCTCTGAGGAGTTGTTTGTTTAAAGTTGACATTTGAAGCATGAGATGGATGGAGCTGGTCGTGGAAGAGCAAATAGGGAGGATTGAATTGGAAGAGCATTCCAGGCAGCTGGAGGAGCAAACAGGAGGGAATTAGCTGTGAGGTGAGGGCAGGTTTTGAGGCTGGCAAGAGCCAGGTTATGGAGTTTGCAGATGGAAGCCTTCAAATAGTTTCAAGCAGGGAGCAACATGATCTGATTTCCGTGTTGAGAAGTTTCTGCTAGCTGATGGTAGAGAATAGATTGAGAAGGGATAAGTGTAGAAGTGGGTTTGCTTGGAGGCTTTTGAAGTAGTATAATCAACACAAGATGGTCCACTAGGCTAGGGATAGTATAGAGCAAATTCCTGTATTGAATTGAATGAGATGATCTCTAAAGATCTAACTCTAAAATTCTATAATATCCAAAACTACTTAGTAATACTAATATGGAACTTTTTGTTTGAGTACAGTTATTAAGTTTTTGCCTTTAAAATTGAATCCAGTAGAAGCATAAGCCCAGTAGAATATAACCATTGCAGTAAGGAGTATAATCAAGGATGCCTGTTTTAATAATGGAATCCTGTCATTAAACTTTTGGGACTGTACTAGTTTGACAAGGGTTTAATCACTGGAGTGGTTGTGCTTACCAGGAACTTGAAGAACTTTGGGCTGAACTGATTCTCTATTTGAAAAGTGATTTTGTTGTTCATTGAACTATTGATTTTTTTTTTTTGAGACAGAGTTTTGCTCTTGTTGCCCAGGCTGGAGTGCAATGGCACAATCTTGGCTCACTGCAACCTCCGCCTCCGGGGTTCAAGCGATTCTCTTGCCTCAGCCTCCCAAGAAGCTGTGATTACAGGCATGTGCCACCATGCCCGGCTAATTTTGTATTTTTAGTAGAGATGGGGTTTCTCCATGTTGGTCAGGCTGGTCTTGAACTCCTGACCTCAGGTGATCTGCCCACCTTGGCCTCCCAGTGTTGGGATTACAGGCGTGAGCCACCACGCCTGGCCGAACTCATGATTTTTTTGTTTTTGTTTTTCAAAATTCATTCCTGTATGTATTTATCTAACACTGATGAAGAACTTGCATTTTGCCACAGTGTGTGTTAGTGCGTAGTGAGATAAGATTATTTAGTCTCTCATATCCTGCTGGTTAGGTTAGCAAGCTTGTCCATCCTGTGGCCCATGGGTGGCTGTAAGAGTGGCCCAACACAAATTTCATAAACTTTCTTAAAACATTATGAGGCTTTTTTTGTGATTTTTTTAAAAATGCTCATCAGCTATTGTAATTATTAGTGTATTTTATGCGTGGCCAAAGACAATTTTTCTTCCAATGTGGCCCAGGAAAGTCAAAAGATTGGATACCCCAGGGTTAGAGTGTTTCATAGTCATTAGGTGATTAAGCTCTTATTGATGCCAACTGAAGTGTCTCAACCATACCTTTAATGTTGTAAAAGTGTCCTCAAATCTGACATATTGACAATTTTTATTTCATGATACATGTCTTCTCTTTTGTGTTGCTGTAGCAGAATACCACAGACTGGGTAATTTGTAAAGAAAAGAAATGTATTTTTCATAGTTCTGGATGCTGGGAAGTCCATTATCAAGGTATCGGCATCTTGAGAGGGCCTCTTTGCTGCTGTATCATCCTATGGTGGAAGGGTAGGAGAGCACACAGCAAGAGGCGCAGAGGGGCCAAACTTGCTTTTGTAACAAAGCCACTCTCTAACCCAGTCCCGCAATAATGACATTAATCTATTCATGGCGGCAGAACCCTCTTGATCTAATCACCTCTTAAAGGTTCTACTTCTCAACATGGTTGCATTGAAGGTTAAGTTTCCAGCACATGAACTTTGGGGGACACGTTCAGGCCATAATAGAATATTTGTGTGATTTTGTTTTTTTGACACAGGGTCTTGCTTTGTTGCCCAGGCTGGAATGCAATGGCATGATCACTGCCTTATTGCAGCCTCGACCTTCTGGGCTCAAACAATCCTCCCACCTCAGCCTCTTAAGTAACTGGGACTACAGGCAAGAACCACTATGCCCAGCTAATTTTTATTTATTTATTTTTGTAGAGATGAGCGTCTTACTAGATTGCCCAGGCTGGTCTCAAACTCCTGGGCTTAAGCAATCCTCCTGCCTCAGCCTTCCAAAGTGTTGGGATTAAAGGTGTGAACCACCACTCCCAGCTCATAACAGCATATTAATAGAGTTAATGAAATGCTATAAATGTTTGGAGTGAAGTCGTAAATGAAATTTGCTTTCCCATGTAGCCAAGTGGTAAATGAAATTTACCACTGTAAATTTGAATCAGTACCACTGATTCAACTTCAAATTCTTTGTTCATTACTGAATTGCCTCTTACTGAATCTGACCTGGTCTGTCTACCTCTGATGCAAATGAATTTACCACTGCTTTCCATGTATGTTGTTGCTAAGGTTCTAGATCAGGGTAGTAAATGTAGGGATGGACTGGGAATAATGGGGAAAGTTAGTTCTAGGGAGGCAGAAATAGTTCTGTTTTAGAGTAGACTAAACCAGGTACCTAGTCTTTCACAAAAGCCCTTTGAAAACCCAGAAAGTCTTTGGACCTTCAGAGTGGAGACATATCTGTTGGTTGGGCATTGAACTGAGCCAGCAACATGCCATTGTTTCAGACTACTTCAGGTCTCTATAAGCTAGCTTCAAGCTAAATTACATTTCCCAAGTCTGTCGTTGACTTCTGGGTGGGGAGAGATGAGTGAGATAGGACTTCAGCAGCTTTGCCTTTATATTGCCTTGCCTTTTGAAAAACGACCCATGCTTGAAGACACATCTTCAGATATAGGATCTGATTATATTAATCTATATTAATAGATTTTTTAGTTGTAATCTATTAGTTCCTACTGTAGAATATGAGAATTTAGCTCTCTTTCTGCCTTCCACTCACCCCATCACGTATGCATCTTTTTCTGTGCCTTTTTTTTTTTTTTTTTTTTTGAGACGAGTCTCGCTCTGTCGCCCAGGCCGGAGTGCAGTGGCGCTGTCTCGGCTCACTGCAAGCCCCGCCTCCCGGGTTGACGCCATTCTGCCTTAGCCTCCCGAGTAGCTGGGACTTTAGGCGCCCGCCACGGCGCCCGGCTAATTTTTTGTATTTTTAGTAGAGACGGGGTTTCACAGTGTTAGCCAGGATGGTCTGGATCTCCTGACCTCGTGATCCGCCCGCCTTGGCCTCCCAAAGTGCTCGGATTACAGGCGTGAGCCACCATGCCCGGCCTCCGTGCTCTGACTCTTATAATTTAAGCTGTGGAATAATCTATGATAACTCTTCCTCAACAATTTTATGATCTGCATGTGGCTAATAATTGTTTTATTTTGGTTTTCATTTGCTTAGCTTACTATGTATTTATCACTGAGTCAATTTCAAAGTCTTTGTTCGTTACCGAATCACCTCTTAAGGCCTTTAGATACATTGGATATTTTACAATTTCCTCTCCTGACAATGCAAACTTTCTGACCTGGTCTGTCTACCTCTGATGCACAACTAATCCTAGGATTTCCCTTCATTGTTGTTTCCAAAACAACTTTTTTGAACCTCATATGTTGGATTTTTATTGTCAGTATCCTTTAGCTTTCTCTTGGTTGGTTTTCTTCCTTGTTGCCTTATTGGAACATAACCTCTAAGAGCTTCCTGAAATGTAGTGCATCAGTAATAAATGTTTTAAGACCTTGCAAGTCTGAAAGTTATTTTATTTTGCCTTGTTACTGGCATGATAATTTGAATGGTTGTAGCATTCTAATTTTAAAATAATTTTCTTTCAGAATTGTGATGGAATCCATTGTATTTCATCTTCTAGTGTTACTGTTGAGAAGTCTGAAGCCATTCTGATTTTTGAACTATTTTTTTTTTCTTTCTGGAAGGCAGTCTACTTCTATCCATTGTTCCAGGCCATTGGCGGGCCCTTTTAATATGAAAACTCATGTCCATAAATTCTGGGAAATGTTCTTCAATTAATTCTTTGGCTGCTTTCTCTTTATTTTTTCTGTCTTCTTTTTTCTGGAACTGTTTTTATTCAGATATTGAACTTGCTTTCTAAATTTCTCTCTTTTTTTTTTTTCTTGGCTGTAATCTCTAGCAGGTTGCCTTGACTTTGTGAAATTATGTCCTTGTTTCATGGTTGCAATATCTTATACCTCTAAGGATGATAATGACAATTTAAAAAAATGTTTTAAGGTATTTCCTCCTTAATGGTCTGTTTTCCTCCATATTGGTTTTTTTCTCATCTCTATTTGTTTTGATCACTGTATTTCATGCTGGAGGCTTTCCCCAGATGTCTGGTAATCTTTATTGTGTGCTCAGTGTTATGGGTAGAGAATTAAGAAGCTCCTGGGAGATCTGTGCTCCTGGATGGGGCTTGCTGGTTGTGAGTTTTACTGTTGAGTTATCTGGTAGGGCCATTATATTGGGCTGATCTGCTGCCTAGAGGATGAGGGTATGGTTTCCAGGGTTTTCTTTTGGTGGTCTTGGGCTCCAGTAGGAATATACACATTCTTCACACTCCCAAGACTCAACTATCCTTATGTCCCCCCATTCAAAGATTTTCTTTTTAAAGAAAAAGCTTCAGACTTTTGCTGAGTACTAGCAGGACAGTTGTCTGGCTGGGTTGTCTAGCTGCACATCCCTCCCCCACCCCCCGTGTTTTGTTTTTGTTTTTTTTTTTGTCTTAATACCTTAAGTATTTTTTAAAATCAGTTTAAGAAATACTTAATGCTAACCATTTAAAACATTGTGCTAGGGACTTGGGAAGACACAAAGAACCTAATCTGGATTCTGCCATTAAGAACTTCACAGACCACTACCGAAGATGCACACAAACATCTATGCTTTGAAGTGTTAAGGGTTACACATAGTGGGTAGATTTAGTGGTTTACATAATACAGATTTTAAAACATGTTCTATCTTTTGACTTCCTCTGGGCTTATTGATAAAATGGTTTCAAAAGCATTAAAAAACAAAAACAACACCCCCTAAAATGAAGTGAACAAGTTGAAATTGGTTACTACCAGGTATCTTTCTTTGAAGACTTTTTCATAATGCTTCAGATTCTGAAGACTTTCGATTAGTCTTTCTTATCTTAGTTCCTGCCTCTTTGTCCTCACCTCTGGAGGTATATAGTGCTGTTAATTCTTTTCCTCCAGTTTTTTTATTGTGATACAATACACAAAACATAAAATTTGCCATCTTAACCATTTTAAACTGTACAGTTCAATGGTATTAAGTATATTCATAATGTGTAACCATCACCACCATCCATCTTTTAACTCTTTTTATCTCTTTACACTGAAACTGTACCTGTTTAAGCAATAACTCATTGTCTCCACCCCCAGACCCTGGCAACCACGATTCTACTTTATGTCTGTATGATTTTGACAGCTCTAAGTTCCACATATAAGTGGGATCATACAGTATTTGTGTTTTTATAACTGGCTTATTTCGTTTAGCACAATGTCCTCAAGGTTCTTCCATGTTGTAGCATATGTCAGAATTTCCCTCCTTTTTAAGGCTGAATAAAATTTCATGTTTATACCACATTTTGTTTATTCATCCATTGATGGACACTTAGGTTGATGCCACATTTGAGCTATTGTGAATAATGCTACTATGAATATGGTTATACACATATCTCTTTAAGATCCTGCTTTCATTTCCATTGGGAATATATCCAGAAATGGAATTGCTGAGTCATATGGTAATTTTATTTTTAATTTTTCTAGGAATTTCCATACTTTTTTCTGTAGCAGGTGTCTTTGCTTTCACGTAGTATATTCTGTATGTCTGTTAGTTCTAGTTGATTTATTTTGTTAAGTCCTCTTTTTCCTTACATGTTTTCTGTCTGATTATTCTATCCATTATTGAGATTGAGATATTGAAGTCTTCAACTATTATTGTAGAACTATCTATATATCACTTCAATTATGTCAGTTTTTGTTTTATATATTATGTGCATAAATGTTTATAATTGTTATATCTTCTTCCTGTACCGAACTTTTTATTAATATATAATATCCTTCTTTGTCTCTTGTTTTCTTTTTTTGATTTAAGGTCAATTTTGTCTAATGTTAATATAGCTGCTCCTGCTTTCTTTTGTTTGCTGTTTTCATGGAATATCCTGTTTCATCCTATCACTTTCAGTATATTTGTGTCTTTGGATCTAAAGTGAGTCTCATAAACAGCACCGAGCTGGATTATGTTTTTTAAAATGGTTTCTGCCAATCTTTGTCTTTTGATTGGAGAATTTAATTCATTTACATTGAAAGTAATCACCGATGCCATTTTGCTGTCTGTTTTCTATATGCCTTAAAGTTTGTTTGGTTTTTTTTTTTTTTTTTTTTGGTCTCTCATCTCCTGCATTACTGTCTTCTTTTGTGTTTAGTTGATTTATTTATTTATATGTTTGTTTATTTATTTATTTTATTTTTATCTTTTTTTGAGACGGAGTTTCAGTCTGTGGCCCAGGCTGGAGTGCAGTGGCGCAATCTCGGCTCACTGCAAGCTCCACCTCTTGGGTTCACGCCATTCTCCTGCCTCAGCCTCCCGAGTAGCTGGGACTACAGGCCCCTGCCACCACACCTGGCTAATTTTTTGTATTTTTAGTAGAGATGGGGTTTCACCGTGTTAGCCAGGATAGTCCCGATCTCCTGACCTTGTGATCCGCCGGCCTCAGCCTCCCAAAGTGCTGGGATTACAGGCGTGAGCCACGGCGCCCGGCCTAGTTTATTTATGTTTAAATTCCTTCCCCATTTCCTTAGTGTATATTCTATTTTTGTGTGTGTTTACCATGAGGATTATATTTAATATCCTAAAGTTGTAATCCTCTAATTTGAATGTATACATTTAACTTCAATAACAAACAAAAATTCTTCTTTATAGCTCCATCTTCACCCCTTTTGGTTGTTGGTGTCACAGAATTACATCTGTATGTACTCTGTGTCCTAAAAACATAAAGTAATAATTACTTTAAATGCCTTAATTTCTGAAATTATGTAGGAAAAATTTGGAGTTACAAACCAAAGTTACAATATCATTAGCTTTTAGGCTAATTTTTTTAATGTAATGTTTCTTAAATGACATAGAAATCAAAAGGTAGAGTTATAAACCACTATCGTATTTACCATTATTGAGATCTTTATTTCTTCATATTGCTTCAAGTCTGTCTAGTGTGTTTTCATTTCACTGTGCGAGAAGGCTCCTTTAAGCATTTCTTACAGGGAGGTCTCATGGCAGCAAACTCCCTCACCATTTTTTTTTTTTTTTTTTTTTTTAAGAAATGGTGTCTTACTCTTTTGGCCCAGGCGGGCATACAGTGGTACAGTCATAGCTCACTTAAGTCTCAAACTCCCAGGCTCAAGGGATCCTCTCGCCTTAGCCTCCCAAGTAACTGGGACTACAGGTGTGTACTATCACACCTAGCTAATGCTCCAAAAAAATTTTTCAAGATGGGGTTTCGCTATGTTGACCAGGCTGGAATGCAGTGGCTGTTCTTGAGTGTGGTCGCAGCACTCTGCAGCCTCCAACTTCTGGGCTCAAGCGGTTCTCCTATCTCAGTCTCCTGAGGTGCTGGGACTACAGGTGTGTGCTACTGCACTCAGTTTGACCTCCAAAGTTTTTGATGAGAAATCTACTAATTATATTATTGAGGATCCCTTGTATGTGATAAGTTACTTCTTTCTTACTGCTTTCAAGATTCTTTGTATCTCCCTTTCTTAAGTTTGAATATAATGTGACTTGGTGTGGGTCTCTTTGAATTTATCTTCTTGGAGTTTGTTGAGTTTCTTTGGATGTTTATATTCATGTCTTTCATCAAATTTGGGATGTTTCCAGCCATTATTTCTTCAGATATTCTCTCTGCTCCCTTTCCCCTCTCTCTAGGACTGCCACAATCTGTATGCTGGCCTACCTCATGTTGTTCCACAAGTCCCTTAGGCTCTGTTCATTTTTTTTTTTTTCAGTCTTTTTTTGTGTTCTTCAAACCTGATAATTTCTACTGTCCTATGTTCAAGTTTGCTAATTATTTCTTCTTGCTTGAATCTGTCTTCAAGTTGTCTAGTGAATAATTTCATTTCAGTTATCATACCTTTCATCTTCATAATTTCTTTTTGGTTTCTTTATAGGTTTTCTGCCTCTTTACTGATACTTCAGTTTTCTTCATGCATAATTTTCTTGACTTTCTCCATCTTCCTTTAGTTCTTTGAGCATGTTTAAAACAGTTGTTTTAAAGTCTCTGTCTAGTAGATCTGCTGCCAGGTCTTTTTCAGGGACAGTGTCTATTGACTTAATTTTTCCTTTGAATGGGCCATACTTTTCTGTTTATTTGTATGCGTGTGATTTTTTTGTTGTGGTTGAAAGTGAACATTTAATCTAATAATATAACTCTAGAAATCATATTCTTCCCCTTTTCCAGGGTTTGCTGTTTTTTGTTATGTTTTTGTGTATTATCTTTTTGTTGTTGTTGTTGTTGAAGGGTGTCTTTGTTTCAAATATCGGGCTAAGATGTAAACTTAGTCTTCTCAGTCTTTTCTGAGCCTGTGCTTTTCCCTGGGCATGCACTTTCACTTTCTAATTTTTTCCATATATGTAGTTCCTTTTGAATATCTTAGTCTTTATTATCTTGCTCCCAGAAGAGGAAAATGAAGGTGTTAGGGGAATGGACATCAGCCTTTTTTTTTCTTTTTTTGAGAGAAAGTCTTGCTGTTGTCCCCCCAGGCTGGAGTGCGATGGCGCAATCTTGGCTCACTGCAACCTTCTCCTCCCGGGTTCAAGCGATTCTCTTGCCTCGGCCTCCCAAGTAGCTGGAATTACAGGCACCTGCCACTACGCCCAGCTAATTTTTGTATTTTTAGTAGAGACGGGGTTTCACCATGTTGGCAAGGCTGGTCTCCAACTCCTGACCTCAGGTGATCTACCCACCTCGGCCTCCCAAAGTGCTAGGATTACACGCATGAGCCACTGTGCCCGGCCGGGCATCAGCCTTTTAAATCCTCTTGGAAGTCACTTCAGCTCAAGTGGTAGAGGCTTGCATCAACCGGGGGAGGTGCAACAACAATGGCTGCCTGCCTCTTTGTTGTTGCTCTGTGATCAAAGCAGCAATCAGTGATCAGAGAACAGATCTCTGATATTTGGAGGACAGGATCCTTTTTGCCAACCCTAGTTCCTACAGCTGTGAGCAAGGTTCTCTGGGAACAGATGCATGACTGCCTGCCATGGGGCTAGAAGGGTGAGGTGTGGGTAACTGCTACTGTGCCAAGAGCAGGCATTGATCAAAATTAACCTCAATTTACAATCCAAGCCTTCCCCTAGAAGTTGCAAGCTTTCAAATGACTGCAAAGTTTCATAATAGTTACATCAGACAGATTCTGCCAGTGCCATCGTTGTCTAGGTGGGAAAACAGATGCCTGGTGCTTCCGACTCTGCCGACTTCCCAGAATATTCTCTAGTTCTTAAGCCCTTTGTTGGTAAATTGGTTCTTCGGTTGTCCTGCTGCCTGCTAGGACTCAGGTCTCCTAAGGCCCTTACTACTTTTCTGTAAGCTTTAAATATTCAAAGTTGTATTCATGTATTTTTTTTTTCATTCTCCTTGGCCTTGTGGGTTTAATTAAGCCTTTATTAAAAAACATAAGTATTTATTGTTTTTAGTGGAATTTGGGAAGGAAGTGAAAATAGATGAGTTTGTTTAGTCTTTATCTGGGAGTCTTACCTCTTTATGTACACTTATCTTCTTCAACTAGACTGCAAACTCTTTGATTTAGCTGAGTCAGGGATATAATTCTTTTTATCCCTCTCAGCAGGTAATTTATTGCTTTCCACATAGTAAATCATAATCTGCTGGTTGAACTTGTTAAGTAAGGCAGTGATGCTAAGTGATTGATACATGTCACAAACTGGTAATCATTTTAATCCCAGTGCAATTATTAATGTACTGTGTTCATTGATATATATAATTATATATAACATTATATATTATATAATATTACTCTAGCCATTTATATATTTCTGTATTAGGTGGGGTTTTTTTGTTTATTTGTTTTAGCTTATCAGTTATCATTAGTGTTAGTATATTTTATGCGTGGCTCAAGACAATTCTTCTTCTTCAGTGTGGCCCAGGGAAGGCAAAAGATTTGACACCCCTGTTCTAGCTATGTAGAAACACATGCTGTACTATACTACTGGGCTCTAAGTCAATGCTTCATAATGTGAAAAAGTCCTCAGTATATTTAGGTCTTCTTAATAATAAATTTCATTATCTTAATTGCATGTATGTTTCGTTTAACCAGGGATTTCTTAGGGTAACAGTCACTAATGTGTAGAAGTGAAGATGGAGATTGAGAAAAAACCCAGTCATGATTATTTATTGCCCTTTCTTTTTTCCTTGTTCTCTATGTTAACGTATTCTTATCAAAGAAACACTAAACAAACTTCTCTTTATCTCATGTAATTCTCTATAGTAGTTCATATGAATTATGTAAGGTTCAATTTTAAAACAATAGATTCTTAAGATAGTATATACTCTAAAGTTTGTCTAGACACTAAATGAAAATGAGTGCTTTGACAGTTTATGTCCTAGGCTAAGTCAGGGTACGAATATGTATCTATTAATTATCTTGTCTTTCCAGTCCAAACAGGAGCTTTACAGAAATGCACTGTATGAGTGGCCATTCCAATTTTGTATCTTGTGTATGCATCATACCCTCAAGTGACATCTACCCTCATGGCCTAATTGCCACCGGTGGAAATGACCACAATATATGCATTTTCTCACTGGACAGTCCAATGCCACTTTATATTCTAAAAGGCCACAAAAATACTGGTGAGTATAATAATGCTTTGGTGTTTTTCTATTTGAAGTTTTATCCCTTTGAAAGTAAAATTTACATATCCATTTTCTCAAGTTTTTATTATATTTTGTTTTACCTATATCTGTGGTTTGGTAATGGAAACGCTTTTGGGCTATCTTAGTTCCGTAAAAATTCTGTTACAAATTTGTTGTGATCAGTAAAGGTTGATATGCTTATATATGTAAAAAGTAATCTGTTCAGTTATTGGCCGGGAGCGGTGGCTCACACCTGTAATCCCAGCACTTTGGGAGGGTGAGACAGGCAGATCACTTGAGGCCAGGAGTTCGGACCAGCCTGGAAAACATTGCAAAACCCCGCCTCTACTAAAAATACAAAAATTATCCAGGTGTGGTGATGCCCACCAGTAATCCCAGCTACTCAGGAGGCTGAAGCACGAGAATGGCTAGAACCTGGCAGGCAGAGGTTACAATGAGCCGAGATCCTGCCACTGCACTCCAGCCTGGGTGACAGAGTGGAGACTGTCTCAAAAAAAAAAAAAAAAAAAAAAAGTAAAGTGTTCAGTAATAAAAGAGGCTATATAATTTGAATATACTTCATGAGTCTGGTTTTTAACTATTTCATGCAATGAATGCATTTATTCAGAAAACTAAAAGTATTTAATTGAAGACCCAGAGCAGTGTGTTTAGGGCTCTGGTATTATTGAGGAGTATTTAATATATTTGAATATTATTTTCTGTGATTTGTGTATATTCCTGATTCTGTGATAATTCTGGATTTCTGTGTGGCTTAACAGTTCTTTATTGTAGAATGACATGCTTAATCGGTGCAGTAAGTGTACTTTTTTAAAAATATAAATGAAATAGTTTGGAACATGTTTCATAAACACTTAAATTCCTTTAAACAATTTGTATAATGTGCCAGGCACCATGGCTCATATGTGTAATCCCAACACTTTGGGAGGCTAAGACGGGAGGATTGCTAGAGGCAAGGAGTTTGAGACCAGCCTGAGCAACATAGGAAGACTCCATCTCTACAAAAAATTAAAAAATTAGCTGGACATGGTGGTGCATGCTTGTAGTCCCAGCTACTCAGTAAGTTGAGGTGAGAAAATTGCTTTAGCCCAGGAGTTGGAGGCTGCAGTGAGCTGTGATCACACCACCACACTCCAGCCTGGGTGATAGAGTGAGACCCTGTCTCTAAAAACAAAAAATTTTTTTTTTTTTTTTTTTTTTTTTGAGGCAGAGTCTCGCTCTGTCGCCCAGGCTGGAATGCAGTGGCGTGATCTCGGCTCACTGCAAGCTCTGCCTCCCGGGCTCACGCCATTCTCCTGCCTCAGCCTGCCGAGTAGCTGGGACTACAGGCGCCTGCTACCACGCCCGGCTAATTTTTTTGTATTTTTAGTAGAGACAGGGTTTTACCATGTTAGCCAGGATGATCTCGATCTCCTGACCTTGTGATTTGCCCCCCTCGGCCTTCCATATTGCTGGGATTACAGGCGTGAGCCACTGCGCCTGGCCAACAAAAATAATTTTTTATTTTAAATTATTTTTTAATTTTAATTTTAATTTATTTTGAGACGGAGTCTCGGTCTGTCACCAGGCTGGAGTGCAGTGGTGTGATCTTGTGATCTCGGCTCACTATAGCCTCTGCCAGGACTGCCTCCCGGGTTGAAGCGATTCTCCTGCCTCAGCCTCCAGAGTAGCTGGGATTACAGGTGCCCACCACCATGCGCAGCTTTTTTATGGTTTTTTTTTTTTTAGACAGAGTCTTGCTCTTTCACCAGGCTGGAGTGCAGTGGCGTGATCTTGGCTCACTGCAACGTCTGCCTCCCGGGTTCAAGCAGTTCTCCTGCCTCAGCCTTCTGAGTATCTGGGACTACAGGCGCGCGCCACCACACCCAGCTAATTTTTGTATTTTTAGTAGAGACAGGGTTTTACCATGTTGGCCAGGATGGTGTCGATCTCTTGACCTTGTGATCTGCCCAACTTGACTTCCCAAAGTGCTGGGATTACAGGCCTGAGCCACCGTGCCTGGCCCATTTTTGTGTTTTTAGTAGGGATGGGATTTCACCATGTTGGCCAGGCTGGTCTCGAACTCTTGACCTCAGGTGATCCACCCGCCTCAGTCTCCCAAAGTTCTGGGTTTATAGGCATGAGCCACTGTGCCCGACCAAAAACAGAAAGAATTTTTTAAATGTTTGTGTGCCTGTATGTGTGTTTGTGTGAGAAGTCTTCAATACAGAGGGATACAGATTTTTAAAATTTTATATAGAAATCAAATGTACACAGAAGTAGAGATATCTTATTTTTGTTTCATCTTCCCCCCTCCTTCCACTACATCATTTTAAAATTTCTGATATTCTGCTGTTTCATTTATAAATACATCCTTCATTATGTGGCTCTAAAACAGGGGTTGGCAAACTTTTTCTGTAAAGGATCAGATAGTAAATAAATTTTCTGCTTTTCAGGCCATATGGTTGCTCTCATAACTGCTCAACTCTGCAGTTGTAGTGCACAGCAGCTATAGACAGTAAATAAATGAATGAGCATGTCTGTGTTTCAATAAATCTTCATTTGTGAACACTGAAATTTGAATTTCATATAATTTTCACGTTAGAAGATTGCCTTTGATTGTTTTTCTCTCAATTACTTCAATACGTAAAAAACATTCTTAGTTTGTTAGGTATACAAATACAGGTGGCTCACCAGCATTAGTTTGTTGACCCTTCTAAAAGATAAGGACACTCACGTCCTCAAAAGAATAACCACAATATTGTTATCACACCTAAAACAAAACAAAACAAAACAAAAACATCCAGTGAATGTTCAAATTTACCCAGTTGTCTCATAAATCTTTTTTTACAGTTCATTTGAATTCTGACCCAAATAAGGTCCACATCTGTTTTGTTTGTTTGTTTGTTTTGTTTGTTTGTTTTGGAGATGGAGTCTCACTCTTTTGCCCAGCCTGGAGTGCAGTGGTGCAATCTTCAGCTCACTGTAACCTCTGCCTCCTGGATTCAAGTGATTCTCCTGCCTCTGCCTCCCAAGTAGCTGGGATTACAGGTGCCCACCACCACGCCCAGCTAAGTTTTTTGTAGTTTTAGTAGAGATGGGGTTTCACCATGTTGTCCAGGCTGGTCTCAAACTCCTGACCTCTGGTGATCCATGTTGTCCAGGCTGGTCTATAACTCCTAAACTCTGGTGATCTGCCTGCCTCGGCCTTCCAAAGTGGTGGGATTACAGGCATGAGCCACCGTGCCCAGCCCTACATCTTTCAATCTGTCAGTTTCTTTCTTTTTTTCTTGTTGCTTAAAACCAGATTATTTTAGCTGTAGAATTTCCCACAATCTCAGTTTTACTGGTTAAAGCCTTGTTTCCTTTAATGTGTTCTTCAGTCACCTATATTTCTTGTAAGCTGTTAAATAGATCTAGTAGCTTTATCAGGTTCAGATTCAAGTTTTTGGCAACAGTATAGGTGGTATTCTGTATTTTCTATTGTATCACATCAGGAAGCACACAATATCTTTTTGTGATATTAAGATTGATCAGTGGGTTCAAGTGTTGTATCTTTCTTTCATTATAAAGTTCCCATCAGCCTTTCACATAATGGTAATTTTTAGCAGCTACTGATAATCATTGCCTAGATTCAATATTTTATTAAGGTTTACAAAATGATTGTACTGTAATTCTAATATTATTTCTGCATTTGATCGCCAAGACTTTTCTGTATAGATCTTTCCACATCAACTGGTTACCATGTGGGACTTCTATACAGAAAAGACAGAATAAATGCTTTCCTTGACCCTTCTCCCAATTTATTTACTGGTTTGCAGAAGGAGTTGTTTCCTGAATTTTTTTTTTTTTTTTCAGTTCTCAAATTGTTCCATATCTGGCCATTGGAAACCTCTTTAAATTGGCTCCTGTCACCTTTTTATAAGACCTTCAGTAGTCTTCCTTGCTTTATTACAGAATGTTCTAGGTTCAGTTTGTACACTTCTTGCTCTAGACCTCAAACCAGCACTTTTGCCAAGAAGTCCTGTTTTTTTTTTTCTTTTACTGGGAAATGGTATTTTATCCAATTATATCATACTGATTTGTGGAAGAATGTAAAGAGCACCCAAGTTACAACTATTAAGATCTCAGACTGGGCATGGTGGTGCATGCCTGTAATCCCAGCACTTTGGGAGGCCGAGGTGGGTGGATCACTTGAAGTCAGGAGTTCACGACCAGCCTGACTGACATGGTGAAACCCTGTCTCTACTAAATACAAAAAAATTAGCCGGGCATGGTGGCGCATGCATGTAATCCAAGCTACGTGGGAGGTTGAGGCAGGAGAATCACTTGTGCCTCGGAAGCGGAGGTTGCAGTGAGCCAAGATTGCACCATTGCACTCCAGCCTGGGCAACAAGAGCAAAACTCCCATCTCAAAAAAAAAAAAAAAAATCTCAGTGATGTAACATATGAGTATTTCTCATTAACCCTACATGTTCAACATGGATTAATAAAGGGACTCTGTTCATCAGATTTTCTCAGGGACCCAGGCTAATGGGGCTTTCTCTCCACACATGCTTCAGTAGTTGTTGGAGCAGTCAAAGGGCAACATGGTTAATAAGGCACTGGTTGGCTGGGCGAAGTGGCTCATGCCTGTAATCCCAGCACTTGGGAGGCCAAGGCGGGCGGATCATAAGGTCAGGAGATCGAGACCATCCTAGCTAACACGGTGAAACCCCATCTCTACTAAAATACAAAAAAATTAGCTGGGCGTGGTGGCGGGCGCCTGTGGTCCCAGCCACTCGGGAGGCTGAGGCAGGAGAATGGCGTGAACCCGGGAGGCAGAGCTTGCGGTGAGCCGAGATCACACAGCTGCACTCCAGCCTGGGCGACAGAGCGAGACTCTGTCTCAAAAAAAAAAAAAAAATAATAATAATAATAAGGCACTGGCTTTTAAAAGCATGTGCCTTCCTTGAATGTCACAGTAGTAGAGAATTAAAAAAATCAATTTTAAAAAAACACCAAAAACATGTGTGTGACTGAAAGTGTCAGCTACCGTTTTGTCTGGTGACTAATGCAAGTATCATGGCTATGCCTAACTTCAAATGGAGGAGGAAAGTACCATTCTCCCATGTGTCCAAAAAGGGAGAGTTACCACAGCATGCTTTCTGGTCATCAACGATTCAGCTTCATCAAACAATCCAAAAGTCTCCTCTGAGTGATGCTAAGTATTCTAAACATCAGAGAGGTGATGCTTATAAGTAAGCTGTCAACCATACCCAATATACAATTATGGAAAAGGAATAGGATAATCAGAGCAAACACTCATTCAGAAGAGGAAGCAGTGCAAGACAACAGTTTTTGATCTAGAGCCATTCTGAAATCCAAATAAGTAGCTGTCTCAAGGATCCTCAGCTCAGGGTAGAGAGACTTTTGTGATTGCTTCCTTCTGGTCTAGGAAAAAGGTTTCCCAATCCAAGGTTCTTTATGGCTGTGCTTCGACCGCCAATGATACTCTTCTTTCCTAAGATAATTTTTCTTTTTTTTTCTTTTATCTTTTGAGAGAGGGTCTCACTTTCTTGGTCATACCAGAATGCAGTGCTGCTCTCACAGCTCACTGCAGCCTTGGCCTCCCATGCTCAAGCAATTCTCTTACTGGGACGACAGGCGCGTGACACCATGTCTGACTAATTTAAAATTTTTGTTTTAGAGCTGGAGTCTCACTATATTGCCCCAGGCTGGTCTCAAACTCCTGAGCTCAGTTCAAAATGCTAGGATTACAGGCATGAGCCACTCCACCTGGCTAATTTTTCTTTTCTTTCTTTTTTTTTAAAGACAGAATCTTGCTGTGTCACCCAGGCGTGAAGTGCAGTGGTATATGATCACAGCTCACTGCAACCTCTGTGCCCTGGGCTCAAGCAATCCTCCCACCTCAGCCTTCCAAGTAGCTGGGAACACAGGCGCATACCGCCACACCCAGCTATTTTTTTGTATTTTTAGTAGAGATGAGGTCTCTCCACATTGCCCAGGCCGGTCTCTAACTCCTGAGCTCAAGCAATCCGCCTGCCTTGGCCTCCCAAAGTGCAGGGATTACAGGTGTGAGCCACTGTGCCTGGCATAATTTTTCATATTTGTAATTTTTAGCCTGCATAATTTCACATCAAGAAAGTAAGACATTTAATTAACCACTTCATTACTTTTGGACATTGAGCTTGGCTGCAGGTTTTATGGTCACTGTCATGAAAGCAGCCTTAAATATTTATATAAACAGTGTTTCAAAATCATTTACATTATCTCCCTATTATGATTTGTTAAAGCTGGAAGGATTGTGTAGCTCACTTAAGTTCCGCTCCCTCGTTTCACAGACAAGGAATCTGATTTTGAGTAATATTTCTGCAGTTACGTGGCTTGTAAGTGGCACAGCTAGGCCTTGCGCCCAGGCAGTCTGGCACCAGAGTCTGCTCTTGACCACTGTACTCTTATGCGTCTCTGCTGAATTGAGCCTTAGTTAGCTAAGATACTGCCACTTCAAAGAGTGTTTTTAAAATTGGAATGCTTTAGTAACTTTCAATGTTGAGCATTTTTCTGTATGAAAATGTGTTATCCAATGATGTTTTTTCCTTAGTTTGTAGTCTATCATCTGGAAAATTTGGGACATTACTTAGTGGTTCATGGGACACCACTGCTAAAGTCTGGCTGAATGACAAGTGCATGATGACCTTGCAGGTACAGTAGTTCTGTGTAAATATTCTAAAGAATAATTAAGTTGAATGATTCTGTGGCAACTTAAATTGATACTCATTTTACTCACAGGGTCATACAGCTGCAGTGTGGGCGGTAAAGATCTTACCTGAACAGGGCTTAATGTTGACTGGATCAGCAGACAAGACTGTTAAACTGTGGAAGGCTGGAAGATGTGAGAGGACTTTTTCAGGTAAGATCAGGGTAGACAAGTTTTATAATATCATTGCTTTTTATTTGCTCAGATTTTTTTTCTCAGAAGTTTACAAGCATGAAAATATTTGAAAAACATTAGTATATTTAAGCTATTAATTTGAGTTAATGTAATTTTTCTGATGAGTTAATATCTAATACATTTAAAAAGATAATGAAACCTCTCATAAAACAGCCAAATGTAGACTGATAAATAGCTGTCTGATAAGCTATATATAATATGCATATGTGCTTCTGCATATATGTATGTAATTTTTGGTATATAGTTATATTTTTGGTTGTCATTTTAATACTTTTAGCCTGAAACTTCTAAACATAAGCCTTACTGATGGTCAGTCAGCAGTGTTATCTTCATATATGGAAGAAATCATTATTAGTGTCTTTATATTGAAGCACATTGTTTATAACGAATTTCAAGCTTTGTTTATGTTGTGGTTTATGGTGAGTATTCTTTTTAAACCCCAGCTATTAAATAATGCCAATACTGATGCATCTGCTATCTAATAGTAATATCATTGATTTATTTGTAGGGTACTTAAGTATTTACTGTTAATTTTAATTGGTGTTGTTTTTCCTTTTTGAATTTTTTCCTTAAAAGTTGGTAACTACCCTAGATAATATGCAAGAAGTCCCTTTGTACAGATAAAAGTATCTTTTGGCTGGGTGCAGTGACTCACAACTGTAATCCCAGCCTTTCGGGAGGCTGAGGTGGGTGGATCACTTGGGGCCATGAGTTCGAGATCAGCCTGGCCAACATGGTGAAACCCTGTCTCTATTAGAAATACAAAAAAATTCGCCAGGAGTGGTGATGCACACCTGTAATCCCAGCTATTCGGGAGGCTGAGGCACAAGAATCTCTTGAACCCTGGAGGCACAGGTTGCAGTGAGCAGAGGTAGTGCCAGTGCACTCCAGCTTGGGCCACAAAGTGAGACTCCATCTCAAAAAAAAAAAGAAAAACAAAAAAAGTATCTTTTGATGGAAAGTGGATGATGACTAAACATCCTTCTGTTTCTGCTTCAGTATATAGTCTATATATATGTATCAAGTCATTATTAATCTGTGATAGCTACTCTTAAGTCAACAGATACTGAACATAGGAAATCTGACTTCACAAGCTTCAGAGAATGTTTTGTTCTTAAATTTATGGGCTACTCTTTGTTATATATTTCTTTTATATTTGAATATTATATATTTTATAAATTACTCTTGTTGGGGAAGAAAAATTAAAAATGAATTTTCAGGTGAAAACAAATTATTGGGGTCAAAATACTATTTCTGGAGGTTTTTGGAGAAGGTAGGATGAATGTAAAATAACTTCTGAAGACTGGTGATAAAAAAATATTGCTAAACCTTAAATACAAATTTTGGTTATCAGGCTTTCAACAAAAAAAAAGATTTCTCTAACTTGAAAATTAATTTTTACTACTCACTGATATGTTTTATAATGTTAGTAAAATGTATAGAGCCATCAGCCAAATTATCAGTTTTATTGATTTGCATTATTGTTTTTTAATGCAGGGCATGAAGACTGTGTAAGAGGTTTGGCAATTTTGAGTGAAACAGAATTTCTTTCCTGTGCAAATGATGCTAGTATTAGAAGGTGGCAAATCACTGGCGAGTGTCTTGAAGTATATTATGGACATACAAATTATATTTATAGCATATCCGTTTTTCCAAATTGTAGAGGTAAGATTATTTTATGCTATTTATTTAATGTTTTGTATTGAGCATTATTCCATCCCATTTGTGAGATGGAGGGAGGAGAGCTGATTACTTAATTTACTATCTATGACTTGAATAATTTAGTAAATTTATTTCATTAAGTATCTTTCTCCTGTTTACAAAGAAGAAAATTGTATGGCCATCTTTATATTAATTCAGATTTATGTTGTGCTGTAAAAAGTTCTTGGGTATCTGAAGAAACACTTTGTAAGATGTGACATGAATAAAAAATGTGATTTTGAAGTTGTATATGTTGTAAGTGACAAACATATGAAATTTAAAACTGTAATTTTGAAAGTCTCTGGGTTTCAAAAAGTCAGTGTATCTAGAAAGATGGTATGTATAAATGTACTTAATTTTATTCAAACTAATACTTCCTATATTCATTAATTTTAGACTTTGTGACAACAGCAGAGGACAGATCTCTGAGAATCTGGAAACATGGGGAATGTGCTCAAACTATCCGACTTCCAGCTCAGTCTATATGGTGCTGCTGTGTGCTCGACAATGGTGACATTGTGGTTGGTGCGAGGTATTTATATTCTAGTCAATCATTAAATGTTATATGTCTAGGCCTTCAGTAGGAACTAGAGTGTACAGAGATAAGCCATAAGGAATTTCACGTGACTTGAGGAGACTATATGGACACTTCAATTACTAAACAAAACAGTAGTAGATATTATAGCTTTCATACTAAGGGATGCATGATATACCAGTATTGTACTGCAATTGTGCAGTCAATGATGCATGATATACCAGTATTGTACTGCAATTGTGCAGTCAAGATATTGACTACAAAAGAAGTTAGAGAAGGTAGAGATTGGTGTGGGAAAACTTTCTGTAGAAGAAGAAATTTGAACTGGATTTTGAAAGATTATGAGTGAGAAAAGATACGCAAATTTTTGTCAAAGCTAAGAGTATAAGTTTCCTTCATGAGAATGAATGCAGCATGCATAGGAAGTGAAGGAAAATGGTGGAGTACTAATGCTGAGATAATAGGTACAATGGGGCTTAACTGTGGAGAACCTTTAGTGCTTTCATGCCAGGCATTTTTTAGATTCATTGCCTGGGGTTGAAGGGTTGTAGTTCTTGAGCAAGAAATAGGATTGAAGCAGAACTTATGAATTACTAAATATGTAGATTGGATTTAACTGCTGGTGACAATGGACAGGAAAGTAAATTAGAAAGCAAGTACAGAAGGAGTGTGAAGTTATAAGACATTGGCCCCACAATGCTAATGGGTAGGAAATAAGTAAATGAGATAATCCAGAAGGAAAACAATCAGAAAAAGTATGAAAGAAAAGGATAAAGCTTCAAACTGTTAGTGATTGGAAATCTTCATTAATAAAAATGGAGAAGTGGGAGAATTGGTTGGGTACAGAAGGTGATGACCGTGGCCTTAGACTTCCTGAGGTCTGCAGTGGTGGTGAGCCACACTCATGCCAGTGGATCATGGTCATTTGAACTGGAGCTTAGTATAAGAACTGAGGCTAAGATAAAGATTTCGCAAAGCTTCCAAAAGCAAAGCATAGAACACCATTCTCTGAGGGAAGAAATACAGGGGAGGAACAGAAGACTAAGAACTAAGTTTTATGATATACCATTAGTAGAGAAAAAGAAGTTAGTAGGTTAAACAGAACAAAGGAATTCAAATGTTGAAATTTCTGGGAGACAGAAAAGGAGAGATTTTGGAGGGAGATTGTCATCAGTGTCAAAAGTGTTTGAGGAGTCAAAGAATGGAAAGTTTGAAAAGCATTTGGATTTGGTTTGAAAGATGTTATTAGTGACTTTTGGCATCAATCACATTTTGAATAGAAAATGATAGAAAAAAAGGCAAATAAGAGGAAATAAAGGGTTGGAGGAGATGGACGAAGGATCATAGACTACTCTATAATGCTACTCTAGCATTGAAAGCAATAAGAAGGCCAGCTGCTGTGGCTCACACTTGTAATCCCAGCACTTTGGTAGGTCCAGGTGGGAGGATCGCTTGAGCTCAGGAGTTCGAGACTATCCTGGGTGAGCTACCGAGACCCTGTCTCCATACAAAAAAAATATTTAATTAGCTGGGCATGGTGGCATGCATTTGTAGTCCCAGCTGCTCAGGAGACTGAGGTGGGAGGATTGCTTGGGCCCGGGAATTTGAGGTTGCAGTGAGCTGTGATTGCCGCCCCTGCACTCCAGCCTAGGTGACAGAGTTGGACCCTGTCTCAAAGAAAAAGAGAAGAAAAAGAAGGTGACAGCTATAAGGGATAGAGGGTCTAATAAAGTGGGTGTTTTATTTTTTGGCTGGGACAGAGGCTGATTTATAGGCTTAGTTTTTTTCCCTCCTAAGCATATGAAGAAAAACCAATAGAACGAGTGATGTACATGTTTGTGGACGAATAAGTTAGAAACAGGTTTCCTGTAGAATGGGCCAGGATTAATACAGTTGGAAGTGTCTAATTTGCTTCTCCTATCTCAGAATTTCGAATTAAGAAATCATGGAGATAAAGTAATTTTTCTGAGAAAAGAGGTTAAGGACGGCCATCTAATCCAAACATTAGGCCATTTTTTTTCCTTGATTGAAGTTACATTGCTAGTTACTGGCATAGTAAAGGATGACCATATTTGTCTACTGAACATCTGCTAATTTTAAGCCCTACATTGGGTCTTTGAGCCCTTTATAAACTAAACTAGCCCACTACCCTTCTCTATATGGTAATAACTAAAAAATATTGACTTTAAAAGTACATACTATAGCTCTAGATTCTTATGATGGTAAATATTTAACTTGGAAATTGTATAAAATACATGTTTCTCTGTTCTTTGTCAATAACTTCTCTATTAAATAGTTGACATAATAGAGTAGCATGTGCTGAAGTCAGCACAGTGCTGTAATCAGCAATTAATAACATGCTAATATTTCTCATATTCACAAACACAGATTATTTTTACTATGGATCATTCAGGTGTGATAATGTTAATGTATTATGGCAATGACTTCTAAAATCAGTTTATTTTTCCTTACAGTGATGGCATTATTAGAGTGTTTACAGAATCAGAAGATCGAACAGCAAGTGCTGAAGAAATCAAGGCTTTTGAAAAAGAACTGTCTCACGCAACCATTGATTCTAAAACTGGCGATTTAGGGGACATCAATGCTGAGCAGCTTCCTGGGAGGGAACATCTTAATGAACCTGGTAAGTATTTTATTGTACCTAGTAGAAAAAATTCACCATATTTGGCTTTTGGAACAATTAGAAGAAAAATAAATGTTGTTTTGCTTGTGTTTTTCATTGCTAGATGCTGATTTTTGAGGATTTTTACTATTACATATAATCACTATGAGAAACCATGTTCTTGCCTCTGTCTCACAGAAGACTTTGAATTAAGCTTCTCATAAACAGGAATTAAAAAATAAATCTCCCAACACTTAGATCATTTACAGTAGACACTCAAAAGGCACTCATTTAATACTTTTTGGTTGATTGGATTCTCTGAGAGGGGTTACAAACTGAATATTAAAATGAGTTTAAATACGAAATTAGCCAGGTGTGATGGCATGCGCTTGTAGTCCCAGCTACTCAGGAGGCTGAGGTGGGAGGATGGTTTGAGCCCAGAAGGTTGAGGCTGCGGTGAGCCGACACCACACCATTGCATTCCAGCCTGGGTGACAGAGTGTGACTCTGTCTCAAAAAAAAAAAAAAATGAGTTAAAATCAAGCATTGTCTGTGTAATGAGTTGGGAATCATTCGAGTTTGAAATCAGAAGACCGTAGTCATCTCAAATGAAATCTTGGGTTGGATGTATCTCTTGATTGCATTATTATACCAGTGCTTCTCAAAGCTTGATTCATGGACCTCTGGGGATTCTGAGATCCTTTCAGGATGTCCATGAGGTCAAAACTAATTTTTGTAATACTAGATATTATTTGAATGTTGTACATTGTATTAATGTTTGCACTTATGGTGCAAAAACAATGGTGGGTAAAACCACTGGTTCACTAGTATGTAAATCAAGCCAGGGGCTTTAAACCATTCTGGTAAGTTACTATGTTCTACTTGCATGCAGTTGTAGTTTAAAAAAAAAAAACAATAAAAACAAAAAAAAACAGTTTGCCATTAAGCATGTCCTTGATGAGGTATTAATATTAAGAATTATCAGTTTTATTACATTTTGACACATCTTTTTAAATATTCCGGGTGAGAAAACCTAAAGTAGACATAAAGTAAGTCAAAATACTGTGGTGTCTCAAAGAAAAGAACATGCGCAGTCATTTGAGTTGCAGGCTAAACTACCAGTTTTTTCATGGAGTGCTATTTTTATTTGAAAGAATGACTACGGTTATTCAGGCTTTGGTATTTGGCAGACGTTTTTTGAAAATGAACAAATTGAGCATGTTCCGTCAAGGAAAATAACTGATAATATATGTTGCCAAAGATAAAATTCAAGTGTTTGAGTGAAAATTGAAATGTAGGAAAAATGTATCTCCACCAGGAACTTAGTAGCTTCCCATTTGTATTGATACTAGTGGTAATAACATTAACAAATGCCATTTTTTAATATTGAATAATAAACTGTATGAATATGCAGAAGATCTGCGTAAGTTATTGAACCATTATTTTCCATATGACTAGTATCTGATACCATCTCAGACATGGGTAAAAGATCCATTCAAAGTACAAGATAGACCAGTGGATTTTAGTATAATAGAGCATGAAAAATTCATTGATGTGGTTTCAGATTGTACACTGTAGCGTTTAAAAAACTAGTATTTCTGGCCTATCCACATTTTCTGAAAAGACTTGTCTTCTCTTTTTCAACTACCTACGTGTGTTAGGCTGGATTTTCTTTTTGTAGTCAACCAAAATAACAAATTGAAACAGATTAAGATGGGGTAAGAGGGGAGATTAAAGTATGATGGACTAGGCCAGAACTGGCATATATCACATCCACCCAGATTCCACTGACCATTACTCAGTAATGTGACATCATGTGACTGCCCAATGCAAGGGGACTAGATAATGTAGTCTCTGGCTAGACAACTACAGCTGTATCTAATGGAAGAAGAGCATGATTCTTCGGAGGATGGATAGCTGTCTCCGCCACTGAAGGCCTTGTTGAGAACATGACATTTGTGTAAAGTTGTTAAAGAGGGAAAGGAGCAAATACTGCCAATATCTGTGTGAAGAGCATCATAGGCAGAATAAACAGCTAATACAAAGGCTCTGTGGCTGAAGTTGGGAGATGAGGGGACAGGGGGAATAGTAGAAAGTAAGGTCATGTAGGATAGTGTGGACAATTTATATTTGGTCTTGTACACTACTCAAGAGTTTAGGCTTTTACCAAGTGAGATGAAAAGCATTGATGGGTTTCAAGCAGAAGAGTGTCAGGACCTACTTAAACTTTTGAAAAAATTCCTGAAGTTGCTGGGTGGAATATACACTGTCGGGGGCCAAGAGTACAGGAAAGAGGCCGTTGAATCAACCCAACTGAGAAATGATGGTGGCTTGGACCAAGGGATGATGATGGAGATATTAAGGAGACAGTTTTCTAGATATATTTTAAAGAATGAGCTGATAGCAGTAGCTGAAGGGGGTGCTGAGAAGTAGCCGAAGGAGCGATGGGGTTGAGAGAAAGGTATCAGGCTTTTCTACTTTTCAGTTTGAGCCACTGGATTAATGGAGAGCCATTTACGGAATGAAATGTGTTAGGAAGATATATTCACTAATAAAACTTGTTTTATTTTTGATGGGCCAGTTGCTTCCTAGTAGAATCACGTTTTGTTAACCTTCCTTTGATTAATAATATTTCCTTTTAACTGTTATTTTCTTTTGGCCACATTTTTAAATCTTTTATTTGATACAATTTTATTTTGAAACAAAATCCATATTCTCTTATGTGTAAATTTTAATGTTAAGAATTTTCTATTTAAATGTTTTTCAATTTTACATTGCCATTCTACCTTTGATTCTTAAAATTTTTATTTTAAGGTACTAGAGAAGGACAGACTCGTCTAATCAGAGATGGGGAGAAAGTCGAAGCCTATCAGTGGAGTGTTAGTGAAGGGAGGTGGATAAAAATTGGTGATGTTGTTGGCTCATCTGGTGCTAATCAGCAAACATCTGGAAAAGTTTTATATGAAGGGAAAGTATGTCGACTTCTACTTTCTAATTACTATTGTCTTAAATATTAGGCAAATTAAAGGTTTCCTTTGCCCCATAGTGATAAAATTTCCTTTGTTTTGACATTTAAAAATCCATTACTGTGGGAAACTAATCTTTTTTTTCCCTGTCTTGAAATAGATATTTTAAAAGTATCTTTCCATGTAGTGAGAGCTGCATTTGAGAGACAAATTAGCAATTGTCTGTCATGTAGTAGTTTCTATACAAAAGCTGTTCCCAGCCATTTTGGATTGGGAGCTTCTGTGCCACCTTTCATCAAATGCCTCATGCCTGGCTATATTTAACTTGACAAGACATGAGAGACCCTGCAGGGCAGTGCTTAAAATGCCAGCACGTTTTGGTGAGTAGGGCACAGTAACAGCTGATAATTTTGATCTTGATATCAAACCAGTTGGAAACTCTGCTTTGGCTCTAGAGTTAATATGTAGTTGTAATCCATCCTTCATCCTCACCCCCATCCCCTAATGAAATACTAATTTTGCATCACATGCAGATGGGGGCTGTTAATCTTTATCTGCCAAAAACGAAGATTTTAGCACTGCACTTTGGAGAAAGTTTAAGTACTGTAATTATTAAAGAACACATCTGTGTTATGTTGTATATGTCATTAATATATGTGAACAGATAATAAGCATGTATCTCCTTTTTATATTCCTACTTTAGGAATTTGATTATGTTTTCTCAATTGATGTCAATGAAGGTGGACCATCATATAAATTGCCATATAATACCAGTGATGACCCTTGGTTAACTGCATACAACTTCTTACAGAAGAATGATTTGAATCCTATGTTTCTGGATCAAGTAGCTAAATTTATTATTGATAACACAAAAGGTCAAATGTTGGGACTTGGGAATCCCAGCTTTTCAGATCCATTTACAGGTAAGTTAGTGTTTATATTGAGTCTTATGTAGTTCCATTAGTGTTGATTGATTTTTTTGATGTTTTCAAATAGTCATGTGATTAGCTTTTTCAATAAATACCAATATCTACAGCAGGGTTTTACTTCACATTCATATGTTTAAGCCTCAAATGATGAAGTAATTCTGTATTTTACAGAAATAATAGTAAATTGTTGTCTTTCAAAAATACAATCATACTATAATGGAATTTCAGTTATTTGAAACAAAAATAAACTTGTAAGTTCTTTTATATAGTGTTTCTTTTAAAAAATTATATTTTGGCAAAATTTAGTAAATCTTTTTTTCACATGAGGCTAAATTGGTCAGTCATGCATCAAATCTAAAAGTGAACCCTATGGGTAGTTTTAGTTTATATGTGATGTGTATTCTACACGTTCATTTTAAGTTAATTGTTTGTAACATCGTATACATCGTATCTCATGTTATAAATGCAGTTAGGTGCTCATACCAGTCTGTAAATTGTAATCCTAATGGTACTAGTCCAAATTCTGGCCCCTAGGAAGTGGAATCTAATCCTAGTAATATTAACGTGAGTTCTGGAGACTGGTGTAGGAGGAAATAAAATGCCTCCTCTAAATAACATTTTGAGATAGGCACTTTACTGTTAATGTTTTCCTCTCATCATTTCTGACTCAACATTTTTCAGGTGCTAGTGCTCTTCCTTGTTTTACGAGGACTTTGTATTATATTCCTGTCTCAAATCCTTATGTAGATCCACCTTTTCTTCCCTGACAGCTACTCCACATTCCCAAATTATCTCCTCATTCTACTTCAAAATTTCATTGCCCATTCATAAAATAAAACTAATGTTACCTGCATGTTGATTTAAATAGAATTATCAGGCCAGGTGTGGTGGCTGACGCCTGTAATCCCAGCACTTTGGGAGGCCAAGGCAGGCAGATCACAAGGTCAGGAGTTCAAGACCAGTCTGGCCAACATAGCGAAACCCTGTCTCTACTAAAAAAAAAAAAAAAAAAAAATACAAAAAATTAGCCAGGTGTGATGGATGTGCGCCTGTAATCCCAGCTCCTTGGAAAACTGAGGCAGGAGAATCACGTGAACCTGGGAGGCAGAGGTGGCAGCGAGCCAAGATCGCACCATTGCACTCCAACCTGGGCGATAGTGCAAGATTCCGTCTGAAAAAAATCAAAAAATTTTAAAAAAAATTATCAAAGTAACTTACTACTGAATTACAGATGATCTGATCCTCCAAATACTTGCACTTAAAAAGAAAATAATTGTTTAGTATGTGGATATTTTTGTTGTTGGAATTTCAGACTGTAGTTCAAGAGTGAACACAGATTGTAGTACTGTGTAAGCTATTTTGCATGTGGGATACAGGAAAGGAATTAAAGCAGCTGACTTTGTCTGGAAATCTAGGAAGCACTTGGCTTGTTTTGCCCTTCTGAGACTCTTAACTTTTTCAGCATCCTTACTGTTTTTTGTTTTTTGTTTTTTGTTTTTTTTGTGGACAACCTGATTATTTCCCTAGAGGTACTAACAAAACATAGGCACATACGCCACACATTCGTAAATGTATAAATGGAAGTCTCTTTCCTTTGTAGTTTTCATCCCTTTTCTAATTCTCTTCTCCAGTAGGTTGTAAGCTTCAGTGGATATAAGCAATTTTGTTCCCTTCTGGATCCCCAGCCCTGAGTCCATTGTTTGACACATGAATTAATGAACCTAGAGCTCTAAATGATTAACATTTAGTGCCTGTGGTTTTGATAACAATAACAACAGCAGGAACTCTTGTGAATTTGTATAGGAACAGGGACAGGAATTGATTGTATGTTTATATATTTAGGTCAGATATTACCTGCAATTCTCTTTTGATATTTGAATTAAGTTTTAATATTTAAGTGCTGGGGCTAAGGTATAATAAAGCATTAAAGTTAAGAAAACAAAACTTGGAGAATCATTAAAATTTCAGTTTTTTCCCAGTTATAAGACTTCTGACTATAGTTTCTGTCATTCTATCATGTGAAAGTTTTGCTCTTCTGTTTTTCTCCAAATGTAGGTTCTTCTAAAACAAGCATTGTGCTGTTTGAAAAATTCAGAACTTTGGTGCACTTCTGCCTTTTCTTTATTTTGCATGCACAGGTGGTGGTCGGTATGTTCCGGGCTCTTCGGGATCTTCTAACACACTACCCACAGCAGATCCTTTTACAGGTGGGATGTAGTTTTGATTCATGTATCTTTCTTCACTAAATGTATAGCATCTTGCATCACATGGCTTTACATCTTGGAGATGTCATCCAGTAATTGGTAATTCCCTTATCTGCATTTCCAATTTTGATGGATTTCCTTTTCTTTAACTTCTGATTTTTGCTTTTTCCTGGAGTGGTTGTGTAGATTCCCTCGTGACTTTTAAATAGCATATTATTAGAATTCATTGTTTTCTCCAGGGGTCCTTCCCACCAGGAGAGCAGTATAGTTAAGAATATAGGTTTTAGAGTCAGACAAACCTTGGTTCAAAATTGGGCTCTACCACTTACTTGCTATGAGAAGTTGGCAAGTTACCTAACCTGTCTGAGCCTATTTTTTTTATCTGTGAAATTAGATAATAGGGGAACCCACCAACCAAGACACAGCATGAGTGCTATCACTGGCGAGATGCTACCAATCACGAGCAGAGAAGGAGCCATGTGAGCCCTGATATTGGATGGAGCAGTACAATCAAGAAGTCTCCCCAGGCATATTTTGACTTAACATGGAAGGAGACATTCCACCCAACTACCCAGGAGTAGTCTTCCTAATCTAAGTTATTAATGTCCTTCTTGAAGCCCTTGAAGTGTTGGTGTATCTCTTCAAAATGAATTTATTTACCAAGGTATGCATGCCTCAGCATCAACACTACTGGAAAAAGTGCCAGAGTTGGACTTTAAGGCAGCTGAAGAAGTCTCTATTTTCAGAATGGCTTTTGATATCTTGTATAATGCTGTTGTTGGATCTTCAGACAGAGTTCCTCGACAGTATACTCAGTTTGGGAAGAGATCATAGCGTTTAGGTATCCACTGGCCTTGCAGACTGGTACTGTGAGCTATAAAAATGACAACCTACAGTCCTCTCTAAGTCATAGAGATTGGACAAACATACAACGTTAGGTCAGCATCATGAAGTTGTGGATTGCTGTCCGTGAGCTTCCTTTTTCCTGTGAATTTATTGATGGCCCAGATGGAAATGGTTGTACCATGTGCATTGATAACAAGTAAATGAAAATAATTAACTATCACACTAAATGCTGTTATGGCACAGTGGCTGTTAAGGAAGTCTTTGATAACATAATGTGATTTCAAATGGTAGTAAGGATCTGAAGAGTAGATAAGATGGCTTTCTCTCTATCAGCAGTTCAGAAACAGTGATGCCCTGAAACTTAATACCAAGTGAGAATCCAAATCACTTTGGCGGCTTTTTTTCTGGAACAGAAAGAACATATCAAGCTTCAACTAATACCAGCAAAATCAAGAAAACTCCTGGGGCCATTATAACCAGAGCATATCTCACTGTTCCATAATGTCAGTAACTCAGAAGATGCAGTAATTATGTAGATATGCAAGATAGCATACACAATGTCCAAGAGAATTAGGGTATCAGGATAATTGAATACACTTTTGTATAAATATATAACAGCATCTACCATATTGAGGTATGAAAATAAAATAGCATAATATGTGTAAGTGTTAAGCAAAATGCCTGGAGTATATTTAAGCCACGGTATGTATTAGTTGTTGTTGATGATGATGTTTTCCCAACTTTGTCAGTGGCACTGGGGCCAAAAGATTTCCCTATCTGGCTACAACTTAAAGTCAGTCTTAATTCTTCTTTCTTTTCCTTATTAATTTATGCAGTCCTTAAACTGCTAATGTTTATTAGAATGATCTGGGAAGCTTGTTTAAATTACTTATCCCAGGGTTCTATGGCCAAGAGATTCTGATTCACTAGATTAATGAGGAGGTTAAAACTAAAATTATTCATGCTCTGATCTCTCACCCAAGGATTCTAATTAAATAAATGATCTTGGTGGTAGTTTGATCTTAGATTTTTTTTTTTTTCGAGTCAGAGTTTTGTTCTTCTTGCCCAGGCTGGAGTGCAATGGTGCGATCTCAGCTCACCACAAACTCTGCCTCCCATGCTCAAGCAATTCTCCTGCCTCAGCCTCCCGAGTAGCCAGGATTACAGGCATGTGCCACCATGCCCAGCTAATTTTGTATTTTTAGTAGAGACAGGGTTTATCCATGTTGGTCAGGCTGGTCTCGAACTCCTGACCTCAGGTGATCCACCCGCCTCAGCCTCCCAAAGTGCTGGGTTTACAGGCGTGAGCCACCATGCCCAGCGATCTTATTTTTTAAAGTTCCCCAAGTGTTTCTAAAGTGGAGCCAGTTTGGAGTAACCCTGGGTTATGGGTGGACTCTGGGAATCTGTGTATTGAATCTGTGATTCATTCAGGTGGTCAGAAAACCATATTTAGAAAAGTGTGAGAGTGTACTTTACCTTTTAACAGCTTAATGCCTTGGGCAAGTTATTCAACCTTCTGCTTCTAAAATATTGTGAATTATAATGGTATCTATATAATACTTTAATGAATATATGCATAGAAGATGATTAACTGGCATATGGTTAAATTTCAACAAATCCATTTATTCTGTGTTTCTCATTATTTTAATTAATCTTACTTTTTTTTTTTTGGTTTTGCTTTTTTAATTTTCTTTGGCATTTCTGTATGTTTTGCGCCGGTTGTAACAACTCCTAGAGTATAAATTGAGAGAGGCTAGAACAGTAGCTCATTTTTCTTCTTCCCATAAAGGCTGATCCATTATTCTGAATATCTCCAAATCCTGCTGATTCTCTCTCTATACTTACTCTTTAAGTTTCCTTCTTTCTATTTTCAATAGGACAGCCACAAGTATTATCTATAATAAAATGTGACTGGGCTGTTGTCATAGTATCTCTAACTCTTACCTGAGTCTTTTCCAATTGTCTTATGTGCTAGTTAGTCCCACCCCTTTACTTCAATAGAATAGTGTTCACATTTTATTCTGGAAACTTTTATTTCTCTCCAATCCACTTACATTTTTGTAGTTTACTAAACTTCTACAATTATAATATATAAGGCATGTAATGTTTACTTTGTAGCTAACACTTATGATATGCTCAGGCACTGTTCTAAGCACTTTTCTGTATTAAATTTGTGGCATATTTATTATGTATATAATGACGCCATTGTGAAGTGTGCTTAATACTGGAAATAAGCGAAGGAGCAGTTTGAACTTTATAATTTACAGTCACCTTTGCTTACTAGGAGTATTATTGTATTGTAGGTGCTGGTCGTTATGTACCAGGTTCTGCAAGTATGGGAACTACCATGGCCGGAGTTGATCCATTTACAGGTACATACTTTTTATTTCTTTTTCTTTTTTTTAGATTTTAAAAATTCGTTGGAACTTTAATAAAAAGAGTAAGAAAATTTGTGTCATTTTCTTGCTTGAGAACTTTTTATATAGTAAATCGAGACCAAACTTGTCTGGCTTTTTGAGTTTTCTCAGAATTGTCTGATTACTACATTTTAGAATCATCTGGGGAGCTTTGCAAACGTACTTCAGCCTTATCCCCAGAGATGCTTACTTGGTCTAATTCTGCTCTGAGATGGGGGCTTGGCAAAGGGTAGTTTTATAATCTTCCAATGTGATTCTAATATGCATCTAGGATCGGAAACTACTGTTTTACTGTCGTAAATCTGCTTTCCTCACTACTCTTACAAAGTCTGTGTTTATTCTCATCTCTTCATTCTTAATGTGTTGAGAATGTTATTCACTGGATTATACATTGTTCTCTTTAAGAAGACTCAGGAAAGAATTTGCTTCTGTGATTTATGCCTGGAATAGCTATAGTTCTTCTGAGCAACTAATTTTTTTTTAATCCTTAGTTACCTAGTCTACAGTCTGACATACCTCACTTGTTCATTGAATATGTGCTGGCATGTTTTCCTCTGTATTGGCTGCCAGTAAAACACAGAGCTAAATTTGTGGTTCATCTCTTTCAGGTTTGACAGATATCTTGGCATATATTTTTTTCTAGTTAATTTTTATGTTCTTTGTAATTTATATGAGAGAAATTGAGTAACATATATGTTATTCAGCATTAAAATAAACACCCATAAACCTACCACTCAATAACTAACCTAGCATGTGTTTTTATTTTTTATTACTTTTGAGATGGGATCTTGTTTTGTTGCCTGGGCTGGGCTCAAACTCCTGGGCTCACATGATCCTCCCACCTCAGCCTCCTGAGTAGTTGGGTTTACATGCGCACACTACCATGTCCATCACTTGGCATGTGATTTTGTAAGCTATTTTTTAATTGCAAAAGTAACATTGGTTAGCAATACTGAAGTATAACATAGTACCTGTAATTAAGATTATGGATTCTGGAGTGAGAATCTAAATTCAAATCTCAGCTCTACTACTTTTTATCTGCTTGACCTTGAACAATTTATTTGATGTGTCTGTGCTTTTGTTTTTCTCATTTGCAAAGTTGAGGTCATATCTACTTCCTAGAATTAAGAACTTAAAATTATAAAATTTATGTAAATAACTTTTTACCAAATTAATGCTTAGTAATTGTTAGCTGTACTTGTTAACAAAGGTTAACAGTGCTCCCTCCCATTTTCCAGAAGTTAGTTTTTAACAGCATGGTGTGTATATTGAAGCTTTATATACCTTAGTACAAGCTAATGTCACCTCTCGCCTGGAATAATGAAATAACTTCCAAATTGGTCTCTCGATGATCCATATTGCAGACAGTGATCTTTTTATTGTTTACTCTGTTTATGCACCTCCCTTGATTAAAAAACTCTTCAGTGGCTTCCCAGTGAATATTTTTCTTTTGCCTTGCCCCACATTCCTCATTGCCTTTCTTCTGTCCAGCCATACTGGCTGGTGTCAGTTTCTTGAGCATGTAATAGTATTTTCTACCTCCAGAGCTTTGAACTCACTGTTTTCTTTTGGCATACTTATGCATTGCCCTTTGCCTTGTCATTTAGACCACAAATTATTGGCTGTTTTTCTCCCTTTTCTTTTTTATTTAATTTTGTAATACAGTATTTATTAGATAAGCTCAGTGAAACTTTTCTGAACACCCACATGTGTCCTTGCTAGATCGCCTACTCTTATCTTTCATTGCATCCTGTACTTTTCCATCAGGGAACTTTTCATTATACTTATTTGGATGATATTTGATTAATATTTGCATTCTTAACACAGCTCCTAGACTGTAATGACCAAGAATGCAGGCAATGTGTGTATGGCTCATTTTTATGTCAAGAAAAATTTATTGTTTATAAACAATTAATTTTGTACACCAATCTCACTAAGTGTTTCGTCTTTATCTACCTTCATCCCTTTCTATTCCTAATGTAATCAGAATATTAAGATAAATCTTTTATTCATATTTTTGCACAATATCTTAACTGTACATTTGAACAAAATAGGGTTTAAATTGATTAAGATTTGAAATGTGAGATGTAAATTAGATTTAAATTATACTTTAGTTGAAGGTCACTTTATTTATTGAATATTGCTGAATTTTCATCATTTGCCAGTTTGTTCATGATCAGATACTGAGTTTCTGTTAATATAATAGAGACTTAAGATGTAAAAAAAAGTATAAAAGACTAGGACTCAGACGGGCCTGGTGGCTCACGCCTGTAATCTCAGCACTTTGAGAGGCTGAGGTGAGCGGATCACCTGAGTCAGGAGTTCGAGACCAGCCCAACCAACATGGTGAAACCCCTTCTGTACTAAAACAATGCAAAAATTAGGCTGGGCATGGTGGCTTATGCCTGTAATCCCAGCACTTTGGGAGGCCAAGGCAGGTGGATGACGAGGTCAGGAGTTCGAGACCAGCCTGGCCAATGTGGTGAAACCCTGTCTCTACTAAAAATACAAAAATTAGCCGGGCGTGGTAGCTCATGCCTGTAATCCCAACTATTCTGGAGGCTGAGGCAGGAGAATTGCTTGAACTCAGGAGGTGGAGATTGCAGTGAGCCGAGATTACGCCACTGTACTCCAGCCTGGGCAACAGAGCGTGACTCTGTCTCAAAAAAACAAAAGGGCTAGGACTCCTCAGCAAACCACCATGGCATCCATTTACCTATGTAACAAACTTGCACATCCTGCACATGTACCCTGGAACTTAATAAAATACTTAAAAAAAAAAGAAAGACTAGGACTCCTGTCCTTCAGGGATTTACAACTTGGGGATTTATAAAGATGATGCAGAAAAAGATTAGAGAAAATGATAATACCTACTACATCCTTTGGAATAAGCAGTAAAAGACATAAAAGGAGAGATCAGCATGCCTTAGAGAAGATGAAAATGGAAAGTTTCATATAATCATATGGTATTCTTTGACTTTTTTAAAATTTATAATTTAGATTTAATCTTAGACCAGGCTCGGTGGCTCACACCTGTAATCCCAGCACTTTCGGAGGCTGAGGTGGGAGGATTGCTTGAGCCCAGGAGGTCGAGGCTGTAGTGAGCTGTGATTGCACCACTGCACCCTGTCTCAGAAAGAAAAAAAAGAAGTAAAAAGTGTGAGATGATCTTGTTCTACATTTAAGCTTCCATTCCCAAAACCAAAAAATATTATATCAATAAATATAAATTATACAAAATATTTTGGATATTTTTCCCCTTGAGGTTCCTTGTTTATTGCACGCACTGAATAGTTGCATATCTCAATAATTGTGAAAACTAAGTCATATAGTTAGAAAAATCTCATTTTTGATCACTCCTTGTGATTATCATCATCTTCTATTCTTTAAATAGGGAATAGTGCCTACCGATCAGCTGCATCTAAAACAATGAATATTTATTTCCCTAAAAAAGAGGCTGTCACATTTGACCAAGCAAACCCTACACAAATATTAGGTAAGTTTCTTTAATTAATTTATTCACATATTCACAGACTGTTTGAGATGTCATCAAGGTTGTTTCTCTTGCCAACATGTGTCAGGAATTGGGTACTTAATATGAATAGATATTTCTATTGCAGTATTAAACAACTGTGTCCACCACAAATATACAGTCTGGTAAAGGATCCATAATACTTTCTAAGAAGTCTTACACAAACATAAAGTAAGTAATTTATGATGACTGTAATAAAAAAAATTAAAGGTGGAAAATGTAAATTCTACCCACCCAGGCTCTTAATGTTTTCAAAAAAAATTAATGAATATGAATGAGTAAAGCATTTGAAAAATTAAGATCTTATCTTTAAAAGATTAGTGGCCCTCAGAAATAATACAAGTTCATTTTAAATTGCCCATTAGAAATGAATCTGCTGGCCTGGTACAGTGACTCATGCCTGTAATCCCAGCACTTTGGGAGGCCAAGGCGGGCGGACTGCCTAAGGTCAGGAGTTCGAGACTAGCCTGGCTAACATGGTGAAACCCCGTTTCTACTAAAAATACAAAAATTAGCCGGGCGTGGTGGTGGGCGCCTGTAATCCCAGCTACTCTGGAGGCTGAGGCACGAGAATCACTTGAACCTGGGAGGTGGAGGAGTTGCAGTGAGCCCGAGATCGCGCCACTGCACTCCAGCCTGGGCAACAGAGCAAGACTCCATCTCAAGGAGAAAAAAAAAAAAAAAGAAATTAATCTGCTTTAGTGACTTTGATTGCTTTTTCTGTTTGTGTTCCTCAAAACAAAATACAGTGTTTTGTTGTTGTTGTTGTCTTGGACTAAGAGTACTTATTAGCTTTGTTTGCCACAAAGATTATGATGAGAATTAATTGGGTTAACATAACGTAACATACTTACCAGAGTATAAGGCAGAGTCAGTATTGTAAAAATTTATAAAAATCACTCATTAATATTTTCTTAATTGCTTTATTTTGAATAATGTAGTATATGCACACTTTTAGATTTTTTTTAAAAAAACTTGTGAAAATCTAACAGGTATTTAGACTTTTGCATTCCTTAATGAACTTGATTTTTATTTATTAGAGTTAAAGCTGTTAATACCTGAGATTAGTGAAACAGGCCCTAGTTTCCATTTATAATTGATTTCAATGGTGTAAATTTGGATAATTTTCCTTATTATCGGAATTTGGACTTTTTTATTCTTGAGATAAAGATTTTTAAAGAAACACAGTAACTCAAAGTCATGATACAAAGGATACTGATACTAAAGATACATGCGAAGGATTTGAAGGAAATTGTTTCATGAAATGAGAACATGGGAAGAAAGGGCAGTATGTCCATTAAATAAATTTTTAAAATAATGTGACATCAAATATGCATATGGAACTAAGTCATAAATTAAATGTTATCAGTAGGCATTTAACTCTTTGACTATTTCATTGACAGCTGTAGAATTTGACATAAATTGGCTAAAAAGTTGTTATAAATTTTCTCATGGAGAAACTAGGTTATTGACTTACACTTGAATATATATTACACATGATACTGCTTTGAAAGTCATCCAAAATGGAGGCCGGACGTGGTGGCTCATGCCTGTAATGCCAGCACTTTGGGAGTTCAAGGCAGGTGGGTCACTTGAGGTCAGGAGTTTTTCACCATGTTGGTCAGCCTGGCCAACATGGTGAAACCCCATCTCTACTAAAAATACAAAAATTAGCTGGTGTGGTGGTGCATGCTGGTAGTTCCAGCTACTCGGGAGGCTGAGGCAGGAGAATCGCTTGAAAATCCTGATGGCGGAGGTTGCAGTGAGCCGAGATCATGCCACTGCACTCCAGCCTGGGCAACAGAGTGAGACTCCATCTCAAAATAATAATAATAAGGCCAGGCGTGGTGGCTCACACCTGTAATCACAGCACTTCGGGAGGCTAAGGAGGGTGGACCACGAGGTCAGGAGATTGAGACCATCCTGGCTAATGTGGTGAAACCCCGTCTCTACTAAAAACACAAAAAATTAGCCAGGCATGGTGGCAGGCGCCTATAGTCCCAGCTACTCAGGAGGCTGAGGCAGGAGAATTGCTTGAACCTGGGGGGCGAGCTTGCAGTGAGCCAAGATGGCGCCACTGCACTCCAGCCTGGGCGACTGAGCAGGACTCCATCTCAAAAAAAAAAAAAAAAAAGACAAAGCTCATAAGCCTTATCCTTACTTTATGGTGTTTGATAATTGCTGAGTAAAGTCTTAACTCCCCATGGTGTACACTAGAGTACTTTTATTGAAAGTCTTGGCATTTATATATTATCTGGCCAATTACAGTTAGAGAATTTTGAAAGTTTGGTTTTGGGTTCTAGGTAAACTGAAGGAACTTAATGGAACTGCACCTGAAGAGAAGAAGTTAACTGAGGATGACTTGATACTTCTTGAGAAGATACTGTCTCTAATATGTAATAGTTCTTCAGAAAAACCCACAGTCCAGCAACTTCAGATTTTGTGGAAAGCTATTAACTGTCCTGAAGGTAAATAAACACTCTTCAAAAATGTAACCAGAAAGCAAGAAGTTTTATCTTCATTTCTATCAATATTACTGGTATTTGTGGATTAAATGAAAGTTAACTTCGGTAGTTCTAAATCACTATGGAAAATCTTCACGAAAAGGGTTCACTACACTACTGGAATTGATGATCTTGTTTCCGTTACATGCCTTTTGAGAATCTGAAGGTAATATATGATCCCCATATATGCACCAGTTTGTTTTTTTGTTGTTGTTGTTTGTTTTCTTTGTTTTTTTGTTTTGTTTTGTTTTTGTTTTTGAAATGGAGTCTTGCTCTGTCGCCCAGGCTGGAGTGCAGTGGCGTGATCTCGGCTCACTGCAAGCTCACTGCAAGCTCCGCCTCCCGGGTTCACGCCGTTCTCCTGCCTCAGCCTCCTTAGTAGCTGGGACTATAGGCACCCGCCACCATGCCCGGCTAATTTTTTGTATTTTTAGTAGAGACGGGGTTTCACCACGTTAGCCAGGATGGTCTCAATCTCCTGACCTCGTGATCCTCCCGCCTCAGCCTGGGATTACAGGCGTGAGCCACCGCGCCCGGGCATGCACCTGTTTGTTTACTGTTTCAGAGCATTTGTGGATTCCTGGCCAGGCATCCAAGATACTCTTAGTGACCTGTTAACCCTAGGCTACAAATATTTACTGTAAGTTTTTTTTTTTCCAATTATGTCAGTTAAGTCTTTTTTAATTCTCAAAGAGTCCTTGCCTGTTATTTTTTTTTATGCCACTGATTTATTGGAGAAAAAGTCTTTTTTTTTTTTTTTTCAATAAAATGTCCCATATTATGGATTTTGCTGATGTGTTCCTCCATCTCTGTATTTATTGCTAGTGGCAAAATTAGATTCTGGTTCAGTAGGTGTTTTTTTTTTAGGTGAAATCCTTTATAAATGATGATGCATACTACTTTTACATTACGGAGCACATAATGTTGGATTTCCTCACCTTTAGTGATGCTAAGATTATTTTGTGCATTCATTCAGATGGCATCTACCCAGGCCCTTGATTATAAAGCTCCCACCAACCTATAAGCATCCTATCACTTGTTAACTGGAATTCTTCTCTTAAGAACTTTCCGGCTGGGCACGGTGGCTCATGCCTGTAATCCCAGCACTTTGGGAGACCAACTTGGGTAGATCACCTGAAGTCAGGAGTTTGAGACCAGCCTGACCAATATGATGAAACCTCGTCTCTACTAACAATACAAAAATTAGCTGGGCGTGGTGACGTGCACCTGTAATTCCAGCTACTTGGGAGGCTGAGACAGGAGAATTGCTTGAACCCGGGAGGTGGAGGTTGCAGTGAGCCGAGATCATGCCATTGCAATCCAGCCTGGGCAACAGGAGTGAAACTGTCTCAAAAAAAAAAAAAAAAAAAAAAAGAACTTTCCCTGTTTAATTGTTCGGTCTTACAGAATTTTTTAAAAGCAAAGTCTGCACCCCATTCTTTCCATTCATTTTTGAATACTCACAGTGTGTAGGCTGTTTGAGAGAGTTACCTTATTTTTAAAGCGAATATGATCTTACAGCAATAAATCTAGTTTATATAAATATGAAAAATTAACAAAAGTTTCAGAAATATATGCATTTTTTTTAAAGCAGACACATGATTTTTCACATTTTCTAAAATGGTTAGTTTTGCAGTGGGAAAATAAAATCCTTCAAAGTCGATAGTCAAAAGAAATTTTCTTTATTTTCATAAGCATTAATGACTTTTTTTTTTTAATAGATATTGTCTTTCCTGCACTTGACATTCTTCGGTTGTCAATTAAACACCCCAGTGTGAATGAGAACTTCTGCAATGAAAAGGAAGGGGCTCAGTTCAGCAGTCATCTTATCAATCTTCTGAACCCTAAAGGAAAGCCAGCAAACCAGCTGCTTGCTCTCAGGACTTTTTGCAATTGTTTTGTTGGCCAGGCAGGACAAAAACTCATGATGTCCCAGAGGGAATCACTGATGTCCCATGCAATAGAACTGAAATCAGGGAGCAATAAGAACATTCACATTGCTCTGGCTACATTGGCCCTGAACTATTCTGTTTGTTTTCATAAAGACCATAACATTGAAGGGAAAGCCCAATGTTTGTCACTAATTAGCACAATCTTGGAAGTAGTACAAGACCTAGAAGCCACTTTTAGACTTCTTGTGGCTCTTGGAACACTTATCAGTGATGATTCAAATGCTGTACAATTAGCCAAGTCTTTAGGTGTTGATTCTCAAATAAAAAAGTATTCCTCAGTATCAGAACCAGCTAAAGTAAGTGAATGCTGTAGATTTATCCTAAATTTGCTGTAGCAGTGGGGAAGAGGGACGGATATTTTTAATTGATTAGTGTTTTTTTCCTCACATTTGACATGACTGATAACAGATAATTAAAAAAAGAGAATACGGTGGATTAAGTAAAATTTTACATCTTGTAAAGTGGTGGGGAGGGGAAACAGAAATAAAATTTTTGCACTGCTGAACTGTGAGATTTTCCTGTGTAATTTGGGTAGATTTTCAAGAGTGTGAACACAAATTTAAAATAAGCTATAATCAGCAACAACACAATGACAATGACATCTTCCCCTTACCTTAGCCACTAAGAAGACAAGGGCTGTTACTCATATAACTTGCTTTTATTACTTAATGTACACCAAACTGTTGTTGTCAATTATCTTTTATTTAACTTCTCCACCTTCATTGCTAGATCCTTCGAACAGCACTGATACATTTCAAGGTCTTGTTTTAGGATAACTACTTTAAAATTTTTTAAATTATATTAAATTTATAAAATAATTTATAAATTCATATATTAAAACAATATAAGATAATTTCTTGATTTGTCATTTATAAATCCTAAAGTATATTTGTTTAATGGCCTATTTTTAGATGAAGAAAAAGCCAGTTGGTAAGCTGTGTTAGTCATGTATCAGTTCAGACAGACGAGGTCTCAATTTAACTCCAGGCTTAGATCCAGTTTCTTTTGCCCTTCACTATTTGAGGTAACTTCATTTTTCATTCTAGTTTTGATATTTGGCTGTTTATTTTTGTCATTTTCCATTATTTCAAAGGGAATTTGGAACATGTTGAATTTTATCAGGTGGTTACATAAGCAAGAGTACATCAAACTGTATTATTTGAAAGTCTAGAACCTGTCATGTGAAATTACTATTTTTGAGCCCTCTATGTGGTCCAGGCAGAATAGTAGACACACTGATATTTAATCCTTAAAACCCCTTTAAATGAGGGCCAGTATTATCTCTGCTTTCAGAAGTAGACATAATAGGATGAATCATATAACAGAAAAAAAAAAGTGAAGCCAAGAGGGAGTTAACTACTTAAAGTACATGCTATGCTATACTTTCTAGAGAGATCACAGATGTGTGTGAACATCCTAGCAATTAACACAAAGAAGGAACCATCACATTAATTACACAATTTATTGTGTCTGAGGTAACCCAGTTTCTTGAGAGAAGCGTAACTATTTTCAAAAGTGGGAAAGATCTTTTCATAAAGACGTTGCCAGAAATAGCAACATTCTCAATACTCGTGGTGTAAAAACCATGAATCCCCTGGCTTAATGCCAAATTATAGCCTTAGAAGAATAATTGTTCCCCAAATGGGCAAGAAAGGTTCTAATTGTCAAGAGTAACCCAAGTAAGAACTTTTGGAATATCAAAAGGAAATGAGCAAAATGTAAATAGAGGGGATATGTACTTTGCTGAGTATTAAATTGGAACTACCTGGTGTGTACCTGGACTAAATATTCTGTTCACTGGCTCAGTTGAGTACCTATACTTTTCGTTTTTTGATTGGGTTTAGGTGGTTATGTCAAAGTTAAATGGCAAAATTAGGAATTTAACCCAGGTCTGGCTGGTTCCTTTACAATACACTGCTTTCTTAAGTACAAATAATTTAATTGCAATATTTAGGAAAAGTAGGTACCTTTGAATAATGATAAGAAACAGTCTTGGTTAAGAATATGAGTTCCCTCTTCAAAATGTAAGGGGTGGCAAAATGTAAACACTGCTTCCTATTACTGTGCAAGTTTTTTTATGTCAACTTTACTATTTCATGTTTGTTGTGGAGATTACAAAATATAGCTTAGCAAAAGGAAACAATCTCACTTGAAGGATATGTTAAATAATTTAATGATATTTTAAAGATTTTCTTTTTTAGTTAAACTTTCCTATGATTCTCTTAATGTTTTTTCTGAATACAAAAGTAATAAATATTTATTGAGTAAAACACACACACCCCAAATAAAAATTGCCTGTAAGGCCACTATCTAGAGAAAACTATTCTTAACATCTTGTGGCATAGTGACTATGTATGTAAATGTATTTTATTTTATTAAAAAAGCGTTGTATCATACATACTCTTTGATAACCTGATTTTTAAACTTATATTTGGTACAAAGAGCTCCACATTAATAAATACAATATTCTATCATATGGATATACCCATTTCTTATTAACTGGCACTGTTTCCAATTTTCAGCTATCAAGCAATGGTAATGACAAATCTCACAAGAGTCTTACTAGTTCCCTAGGAACATTTTATACATGGAATTGGTAGATGAAGATAGTGTACATTGTTTAGACTGTTTACATTGCCATCGCACCTCTAGTGGTACAACTCTTGGAATTAATGTACTTCATATTGCATTTGAAACCCCATTGCCTACAAAAGAGTTAAGTTATTATTGTCTCCATTTCATAACTATTATCTTCTCTCTGGCATTAGGTTCCTTTAGATGAGTATGTTACTGTTTATATGACTAGCTGAATTTATAACTAAATAGCAATGCAATGAAATTTATTATCTACCTCATAATCTTAAGTGATGGAAGAAGCATAGGTAAAAATGGATTCTTTACATAGATAATTCTGGGGATAAGAGTAGGAGGTAGGTTCCTCAGCAGTTATCACTTTGTATGTTATGGTTATTTTTTTTTTTTTTTTTTGAGACGGAGTCTGGCTCTGTCGCCCAGTCTGGAGTGCAGTGGTGTGATCTCTGCTCACTGCAAGCTCCGCCTCCCGGGTTCACGCCATTCTCCTGCCTCAGCCTCCCGAGTAGCTGGGACTACAGGCGCCCGCCACTACGCCCGGCTATTTTTTTGTATGGTTATTTTATGAGGAAATGATAAAATGCATAAAAGGCCATTTGTGATATGTCATCCTTCCTGGAAGTCTTAGATAAATTCCAGGCCTTTAAAGTGTTATTCAATCCTTTTTAAAAAAAACTATTCTAATTTCTAATGCATTATTTTCTGTAGAAATTATATGCCGTATACTTGTGATTATAAATAGTTTTGAAGACTTTAATAGCATTTTTTCATGAGTTTTCCTTCAACTTTTTAATAAAAATATTCATACATAAAAATTTTAAAAGGCTGGGTGCAGTGGCTCACACCTGTAATCCCAGCATTTTGGGAGGCTGAGGCGAGAGCATCGTTTAAGCCCAGAGATCAAGACCAGCCTGGTCAACATAGAGAGATCGCATCTCTACCAAAAATTTAAAAATTAGCCAGACATGATATTGCGTGCCTGCAATTCCAGCTACTCAGAAGGCTGAGGCGGGAGGATCACTTGAGCCTGGGAGATCAGGATTGCAGTGAGCCATGATTGTGCCACTGCACTGCAGCCTGGGTGTTGACAGAGCAAGACTTTGTCTCAAAAAAAAAAAAAAGAAAACTGAAAGAAAAGTACAGTGAACATTCATGGACTTGTTAACTAGATTCCACAGTTATTAACATTTTGCCAGATTTGCTTTATCTCCATAGTATGTACTTTTTTTTGAAATTACTTAAATGCTTATCAACTGGATACTTCCATATGCATCTTATAAGAATGAGGGCATTTTTAAGAACATAACTTGCCACTGATAATATCACACTTAAGGAAATTAGTAATTTCATAATATCTAATATCTAGTCCATATTTCAAATTTCCTCATTGCTCTAAGAATGCCTTTTATAACTTGCTTTAAAAAGATCTAAATAATCAAGGTTTGTGTACTGTATCTATGAATAGTTTAGATATATGCTTCTTTGACTTCTTAATCTAGAATAGTCTTTCATATTTTAAAACTATCAGTGACTTTTTGAAATGTTTAGGGCACTCCAGCATGTGAAGCACCTCACATTTTGTGTTTGTAAAATATTTTTCTACAACCCTTTAGTATTGGTTATCTATTGCTGCTTAATAAATGACCCCAGAACTTTGTGGATTAAAATAGCACATATTATCTCAAATGTTCTGTGGTTCAGGAATCCTAACACAGCTTAGGTGGATCCTCTTGAGGCTGTAAAGTATCAGCCAAGGCTGGTGTCTCATCTAAAGGCTCTACTGAGGAAGGTTTCATTTTCAAGCTCACATCGTTGTTGTTTAGATCTTTTGGGGTTGGACTGAGGACCTCAATTCCTAGCTAGCTGTTGGCCAAAGACTGCCCTCTCTGAGTTTTGCTATATGGGCCTCCCCAGTGTGGCAAGTTGCTTCATCAAAGCCAGCAAGGGAGAGACTGCTGGCAGGACCAAAGTTGGAATCTTTATAATCTAATCACAGAAGTGACATCTCAACATCAAGGTATTGTATTGGTTGGAAGTTAATCAAGGGGAGTAGATTATGCAAGGCAGTGAATACCAGTAGGGGAGGGATCACTGGGGGCTATCTTGGAGTCGGCCTGCAACATCTATTTCCTATAAACTGAAAGCTTGTTTCCACTGAGATTAAACTATTTGTAGGAATACTTTACAGGTGATATGTACTTGTTATTTTGTCTTGATTATATCATATATGAGCTTCCTTAAGGGGTAAAATAGTCTTCAGAATAAGGTGGGTAATGGAAGCTGTAAAGAGGAGAAAGTTGCCTAAAGTCCTTTTGTAAAGTAGATAGTCTAATATTGGTCCTAGGCCTAAAATGAGATGTTGGGGCTTAAAACCTGACCTTGGAATTCCTGGACACTTGATAAATCAGAAAAATAAAATGTCCGAATGGCTGTGATCATCACATTTCAAGTTATGTAGCAACATTTACCACAACAGTTTGCAACTTGATTTAAATCAAACCAAATAACAATGCAAAGAACAACTAGGCAGCCTGCATTAAGCACTTATTCTTTTCTAGTTGTATATGCATAGTTTATCCTCATTATCTCTATGAGGTAGGTATTACACAGGTGTAGAAACTGAAAGAAGTCAAATCTGTATGACAAGTCAGTAGTAACCAAACAATGGAGAAGATAACAGTATTTAATCAATGATGTTGCCAAAACTGGATATCAATATGAAGAAAAATACCAGTTTGTAGTAGCCACTTTAATAGCAACTACAGTGGCTGCTAGTGCCATATAAGAATGACATGGATCAAAAGAAAGTGGTTTTAAGCCATTAAATGACATTTCTTTCATTCCTGTGTCCTCAAAGGAACTAATAAATTCAATAAATGTTCACTTATTTCTATATTATTCAAAATTTTCAGTAGTAATAGCAACCAAAGCTGCAGTATAATATAGTGAAGGAGCACTGGCTTTGGAGTTCAAAAGGCATATATTCCAATAGCCTTACCATCACTTAGTAATGAATTAAGGCAAGTTGCTTAACCTCAGCCTCAGTCAGTCATCTGTTCAGTGGGACTTCATATGACAGATGAATAATTTAAGATTCATGTAAAAGCCTAGCAAAATGATGGCCACATAAATGCTCAGCAAGCATTTCTTCCAAAGACAATACAAGGCTACCATGTTCTTTAATAATAAGAATAATTGCCTTTACAAAAACAAACAAAAGGGGGAAAAAAGTAATTTGGTTTTATTTCTACTGTGGAAGAAATGCCCTTGGGGCAGGGGGTAATCCTGAAGGACATTTATAAAGTTGTTTAGAACTCAAAATCCTTACCCTTCTTTTAAACTTCGTATAGTGCCCCAGGACCCAGCAAGAAAGTGTTTCTGTTGGACTGTAAAAATCACATATATGCATACTACAGCCCTAGCAGTGGTCTCATGATTTCTTGTAAGACTTCTGTGTATCGAATAGTGACAATATCAAACCAGTTTTGAAGACTTCTTACTGCTAACAGAGAAATACAGGGAAAGGGTCTCTTTTAGACAGAGTGCACATTGGTTAACTATAGCCACAGTAATACTGTGCAACAACCAACAACAAAAATAATAGTTTTTATTTAGCTCAGGAGTTTCAAGCTTGGGGTAGGATGGTCCTGGCTGGGCTCATTCATGTTTCTACAGGTTGTCTGAGGACTCAGCTCTAGGCTAGGCTCGTCTGAGTAGCTTAGTTGAGGCAGCTCTGCTCTACTTGTTGCTCATCTTTCTTCTAGGACCAGTGGGCCACTTTGGGTATATAATTTTTATGATAATGGTGGAAGCACAAGTCAACCATCCTAATTGCACAAGCTTTTTTTGAGACTCCACTTGCTGCACATCTGCTAACATCCATTTGGCCAAAGTAAGTTAGATGGCGTAGCAGAAGGGTAGGGAATTAGGTCTCACCTGTAGCAGGAGGGCACTGCCAAATTACATGGCAAGCTGTGGATATAGGGAGAGGTGAAGAACTGGGGTCATTAATGCAATTTGCCACAAGGGTGATAGAGAAAGAAGCTCTGTGTGGGTCCTGAAATTATCAGTTTAGAATTTTAACAAATATTTGCATCCCTAGCTTCTTCCAGGTAATGTATCAGGTGTTGAGACTACAAAAATATATATGCATAGTTCCTGGGAACTAACAGTATATTGGAGAAGATACTGAGCAAGTGCCTGCAGTAAAGAGTTCTGGACACTCTGTAGGGAGAATAGTGGGTTGCAAAAAAAGAAGTGGTTAATTTTAGGAGGATTGAGAATGGAAGTGATGTGGAAATGTTTTAAATAAGTTATACTTAAAATGAATCTTAGATACAATAAGTGTAGGTAGGGTTGTTGAATAGGCCTGAAGAGTGTATTTCTAGGAAAGGCTGAAGAGAAAAATGCTGTTCAGAGCATGGAAGGTCTTATGTTGTACTATGCTGTACTATGCTGTACTTATGCTGTACTATGTTGTATTAATTAGGACTTCAGGTTGCAAGTGACAGAAATCAACTCAGATCAGACAGGGCACTGTGGCTCATGCCTGTAATCCCAGCAATTTGGGAGGCCGAGGCGGGGGATCATTTGAGGTCAGGAGTTCAAGACCAGCCTGACTGATACGGTGAAACCCTCTAAATTAGCCAGGCATGGTGGTGCATGCCTGTAGTCTCAGCTACTCAGGAGCCTGAGACAGAATCGCTTGAACCCAGGGGGCGGAGGTTGCAGTGAGCCGAGATCGCACCATTGCACTCCAGCCTGGGTAACAGCGAGGCTGTCTCAAAAGAAAAAAAAAAAAAAAATCAACTCAGATCAGCTTAATTGGGGGAGAAAAAAGAATTACACTGGCTCACTGATGGAAAATGATAGTATCAGGATTTTTTGTTACTTGTTTCAGCAAGTGCTTTTGTTGGCCTAATTTTCTTAGAATTGTCACAAGACAGAGAACATGACAACAAGCAGCTAGGAGACAATTTACTTCCAGTTGACTGTAATGAAGTTAAGTGATGACTTAGTGTGAAAGAGCAAATTTCTCACCAAATATCTCTTTATAAAATCCCAGAGAAGAACTGATTGACCCCAGCATTAATGCATGCCTATCCCTGGCAATCACTGTGATCAATGCTCAATGCATTGCTGAAATTGGTGTATAAGAACCAATCTCTGTCCACCCTCCCTTATATACTTGTTCTAGGCAGAAAAGCAGTCTGCATTTGTTTGCAGAGCTTTAAGTCCATAGCAATGTTTAGTGCTGGGCCTCTTAAGCATATTAAGGTGAACCATATGAAATTGTCAATATTCAACTACTTTTTCCTTTTTTTTCTCTCTGCTGCTTGAATCAACATTCAACCATTTTCAACCTGTAAAAAGCCAGTTTCATATGGGTTCAACCTAAAAAGACATCTCTCTGACTGTAAGTCAGGCTTGTGATGTCTCTATGGCATGTTCTTAGCATAAATCAAAGTCCTTTCCCCATCTTCCATTCAGCAGAACCCCATGTAGAAAGCAGTTTGTACCTGTGGTTCCAAAGCCCACTTGACTGTCAACTTCACAGTAGCAGCTAACTCCCTATGGCTATATCTCTCCACCATGCGACGTAAGAGCGCCGCAAACCTCCTCCCAACCTCATTTATTAAAGACTAGTTTCTAGCCATTAATTTTACTCACTCTGTCCCCCATACTGGAGTGCAGTGGTGCAATCACAGCTCACAGCAGCCTCGATCTCCCCAGGCTCAGGTAATCCTTCCACCTCAGCCTCCTGAGTAGCTGGGACCACCATGCCAGGCTAATTTTTTTTTTTTTTTTTGTATTTTTTGTAATGATGGTGTTTTGCCATGTTGCTCAGGCTGTTCTTGAACTCCTGGGTTCAAGGGATCTGCCCACCTCAGCCTCCTAAAGTGCTGGTATTACAGATTGGGCCACTGTGCCTGGCCTGTGCCAAATTTTTATTCAGGACAGTGGGATATTGGGAATAAAAAAGCAAATAAAGCCAGGAGCGGTGGCTCACGCCTGTAATCCCAGCACTTTGGGAGGCTGAGGCAGGCGGATCACAAAGTCAGGAGTTCTAGACCAGCTTGGCCAACATGGTAAAACCCCATCTCTACTAAAACTACAAAAATTAGCTGGGCGTGGTGGTGGGTGCCTGTAATCCCAGCTACTCAGGAGGCTGAGCAGGAGAATTGCTTGAACCCGGAAGGCAGAGGCTGCAGTGAGCTGAGATCGTGCCATTGCACTCCAGCCTGAGCAACAGGGTGAGACTCTGTCTCAAAGGAAAAAAAAAAAAAGCAAATAAAACAAAGTCCTTGCTTTCAAGGAGCTTACATTCAAGTGGAAGGACACAGATAAATATATGTGTGGTGGTGTTTAAGGGTGCTGAAGAAAAACAGGGTAAGAAGAATGCAGAGTGCCATAGTGAGTGAAGATAGAAGCACTTCCTATTGTGTATTTTCTTATTGTTTCCCCTCACTAGAAAATTGCTTATGAAGACATGCATTTTGTTCTATTTTCTCCCCTTCTCTATCACCAGTGGTAGAACAATGCCTTTGTGTCCTAGAACAAGTGTGTGAGAGGGCAGACAAAGACTGTGATTCATCTGCCAAGTTCATAAATACTGTACAGCAATCTAGTGAGGAGTGCTTTGCCTCCTTGGTCCACCTGAAGAAATATGAACACCGTTTGTCAGGTTGCTGTAGAACAAAGTGGAAACCTAGAAGCTTCTCAATTGATTTTATAAGAGAGTAATTTGCAGCCAGGTAGCTCTATCCAGGCACACATAACATTTTAGGTCTGTATTAGCTAGCTCGGGCTGCCATAACAAAGTGCCACAAACTGGGTGGCTTAAACAGAAATTTATTTTCTCAGTTCTGGAGGCTAAAGGTCCAAGATCAGCATATCATCAAGGTTGGTTTCTGGTGAGGCTTCTCTTCCTGGCTTGTGGATGGCTACCTTCTCACTGTGTCTTCACATGGCCTCTCCTCTGTATGTGGTGAGAAGACAGGGCAGTCTGTTCTTTTCTTTAGAGGCATGGTCTTACTATGTTGTTCAGGGTGGAGTACAGTGGCTATTCACAGCTGTGACCTCATTACTAATCAGCATGGGAGTTTTTGTTTTGTTTTTTGAGATGGAGTCTTACTCTGTTGCTCAGGCTGGAGTGCAGTGGCACCATCTCGGCTCACTGCAACCTCCGCCTCCAGGGTTCAAGCAATTTCTGGCTAATTTTTGTATTTTTAGTAGAGACGGGACTTCACCATGTTGGCCAGGCTGGTCTTGAACTCTTGACCTCAAGTGATCCGCCTGCCTCGGCCTCCCGAAGTGCTAGAATTATAGGTGTGAGCCACCACGCCCAGCCTAGCGTGGGAGTTTTTACCTGTTCCATTTTGGACCTCGGCCAGTTCACCCCCCTTAGACAACCTGGTGGCTTCCACTCCCAAAAGGTCACCATATTAGTGCTGAACTAAGTGCAGACAACTGATCAGTACAGCGCACTACAGCCCAGAATTTCTGGCCTCAAGCAATCCTCCCCAGTTTGCCTCTTGAGTAGCTTGCACTGCAGGCATGCACCACTGTACCAGGCTTTTTTTTTTTTTTTGAGACGGAGTCTTGCTCTGTCGCCCAGGCTGGAGTGCAGTGGTGCGATCTTGGCTCACTGCAAGCTCCACCTCCTGGGTTCACGCCATTCTCTTGCCTCAGCCTCCTGAGTAGCTGGGACTACAGGCGCCTGCCACCACGCCCAGCTAATTTTGTTTTTGTATTTTTAGTAGAGACGGGGTTTCACCGTGTTAGCCAGGATGGTTTCCATCTTCCTCATGATCCACCCGCCTCGGCCTCCTAAAGCACTGGGATTACAGGCGTGAGCCACCATGCCTGGCCCAGACTCTTCTTTTAATAAGGACACCAGTTATATTAGATTAGGGACCCACCCTTATGACTTCATTTAACCTTAATTACCTCCTTAATGACCCTATCTCCAAATTCAGTCACATTGGGGTTAGGGATTCAACATATGAATTCTGTGGGTGATGTTATAGGACCATCAGGTTCTATTAACCACTACATGGTACCAGACCAATACATGGAAACAGCAGGAGTTGCAGCAGAGAAAGAGTTTAATAATGGTATGCCAGCCAAGGGAGAAGATGGGAGGGAACCTCAAATCACCTCCCCAGTAAGTTTTTGGACAGGGGTTTTTAAGGGAATTTTGGTGGGTAGGGGGCTGAGGAGCTAGGGGTTGCTGATTGGTTAGGGCATGGGGGATGTAATCATAAGGAGGTAGAAAGTGCATTCTTGTGCTGAGTTCGTTTCTCAGAAGGGGTCTTCAGACTGAGTAGCATCAGTGACCCCACTGATATGGTTCCAATGACTGGAGGAACACCACAGTCTTTTGTCTCGTGCTGGTTTAAATAAAACGATACAGACACAAGTGGAATTGTTTTAAGGAGCGGAGAATTTAATAGGCAAGAAAGAAGAGGCTCCCTCATACAGAACCAGAGGGAAGAGGGCTCCCAGATGAAAGAGGGAACCTTGGGTGCAGCAGACAAGAGCCAGTTATATTATGAGGCTGGAGGAGGTGGTGACTAATTTGCATATGACCCAGGGAATTGGTTTGACCAGGTATGTCATTCACGTAGCCTGCAAAAAAAGTGGCCCTCCCACCCTAGCCTTTTAATATGCGAATGTAGGGTGCCACAATGTTCTACACATGTGGGGATATGTGGGGATGGCCATGTTGCTAGGCACATGTGGGGACAAGAAGAAGAGGGGAATCGCCATACTGAGTAAACCCAGTTTCTAACGGCCTGCATTTGCATATCATAGCTTGCCAGCCCAGCTTTTTTGCTAGACAAGAAACATTTCTGGAGCTGCTTTAAAAGAAAAAAAACTTCCCAAAGACCCCTTTACCTCTCTATCTGCCTAAAATAATTTCTTAACTTCTGTAACACCATTGGAGTACAGAATCTGGTAAATATCTCAAAATGGAAAACTTGAGATTTCTTAACCGAGTCAAAGATATCTATAAAGCAATAAGCAGCTATAAGGAAGTGGGCTATAGGAAAAGTTGGTTAACGTTTAGCTATGCTTCTACTAAAAGCTTATCTTTTGTCACAAATCCAGCAATTTGGCAGGGCACGATGGCTCACGCCTGTAATCCCAGCACTTTGGGAGGCTGAGGCGGGTGGATCACCTGAGGTCGGGAGTTCGAGACCAGCCTGACCAACATGGAGAAACCCCTTGTCTACTAAAAATACAAAATTAGCCCTGCATGGTGGCGCATGCCTGTAGTCCCAGCTACTCAGGAGGCTGAGGCAGGAGAAATGCTTGAACCCGGGAGGCGGAGGTTGCAGTGAGCCGAGATTGTGCCATTGCACTCCAGCCTGGGCAACGAGAGTGAAACTCCGTCTCAAAAAAAAAAAAAAGAAAAAAGAAAAAATCTAGCAATTTAGTTTTATTAAAATTATGATGGTTTCAGGGACACAATTCATAACAGGTTTATAAATGTAACATGTTATTAATTTTATGTGTTTTTCCTATCTGTGAACACAACACTCTCAATCCTTTCAGGTATGACTCCAATGAGTGTGATACTTAACGGAACTCCTGGGAACACAGTGGGCTCAGCCCCAGGATTTACCTTACAAGGCCAATTTAAGAGTGGGGCCTGGGGGAAGACAGTTTTCCTAGGGCTGGAAGTGTCCCTATTTATTAACCCTAGGCTGGTTTTAGGCATTTAAGTAGTTGTTGAATGACTGAGACAAATAGGAGACAAAGAGAAGGGAAGCTTCTTTAATTGCTTCTTACCCCAGGGAAAGGCACAGAATTACTACCACCCAGCTAGCTTTGCCCCAGGCTCTACCTTTTTCCCTCAGTGGCTAAAGGCCCCTGCTGAAACGACAAAGACCTTGGTTCACGTTTTAAGTGTTCTAGCTCCCTTGTCTTAAAATCTGCCTTCTATTTAGATTACATCCACCCATAAAATCTCATAAAGCTTTGACCCATTCTCAATTTTCAAAAACGAACTCAAGCTCTACTTGTCCATGTCAGACTCTACGCAAGAAATACCTAATTTGCCCAGGTGATGAGGAAAATGAGATGGAACAACTTTTCCCTATTCTCTTTATTGTCATAGCGTTGTTAATATCTTAAGATTTGGAGGTAAACGGAAATGGAGAATCAGCAACTATACTTCAACCTTATTGTAAACAGACAAAACACTAACAATAAAAAGTTTTGAAGTTAAAAGGACGTAAGTTCCACCTTCTATCCTTTGTAGAGATATAAAAACAAAACAAAACAAACTCTGACTAGACAGGCTACCCGCTACACACTCAAATCGACCTCCGCGACCGGAGGGGGAAGCGCAACTGGTTATGGCAACCCCCCTGCCACCCCGGCCCATAACGCTTCACCACGTTCTGTGCCACGGCCGGAAGTGACGCATAACCTGCGACGCCAGTGCCTGCCGCCCACGGCCGCAGGAGTCGGGCTTCGGTCGCACCAGAGACAGCGGACTTTCCTCCGATGGTTGCAGCAGAGGGATCATGACGGGGAAAAAGTCCTCCCGGGAGAAACGGCGCAAACGTAGCAGTCAGGAGGCGGCCGCAGCGCTCGCGGCCCCGGACATCGTACCCGCGTTGGCCAGCGGCAGCAGTGGAAGCACTAGCGGCTGCGGGAGCGCCGGGGGCTGCGGGAGCGTCAGCTGCTGTGGGAACGCCAATTTTAGTGGAAGTGTCACCGGCGGTGGGAGCGGCGGCAGCTGTTGGGGCGGGAGCAGCGTGGAGCGCAGCGAGCGCCGGAAGCGGAGGAGTACCGACTCTTCCAGCGTCTCGGGCTCCTTGCAGCAGGTGCGTGCGCGCCCCTCTGGCCGCTTCCTGGAGCTGCTGCTTTTTCGGAAGAAGTCGGGCTTCCAGAGGGATGGGGCGCAGGCTGGAGCTCACTGCTAGCGCGGCAATCTCAAGGTCGTCCGTCCTTGAGGTTCATGTTCCTACCTAAGTCCTGGTGAGCCCCACACTCCCATCCGTGTCTTGAATCTTGAACTTCAAGTTTCTGGATTTCCTGATCACTTTTTTTTTAATTTATTTTTTAAACTCTTGGCTCCTTCCACTCCTATGGTTTCACTCTGCCGGAAGAATACGAGTTGGAAGCTAGCCTTCATTTCCCTTGCGAGCCAAACACTTCTCCCTTCGTCTTCACCTTTTCGTAGATATGGTTAACTCCGCATTAGAGATAAGAAAATTGAGGCCCAAAGAAGTTAAACTTTACCCACGGTCACAGAGTTTGTTAATAGCTCCTAGGTTTGAATCCAAATATCTGACTACAAAAGCCATGTTCTTTATACGCCACCAGTCTGCCAAGAGAACGCCGTTTTAAAAAAGTTCATAATTTGTTTGAAAACAAATGAATGAATAGGTACTTTAAATTCATTCAATGAGGAAATAAAGGGAAAGCGTCAAGTCCCTTTTCTTGCCCCTCCATTAGTATTTTGATACGCGGCCTCTTTTAATCACTCCTCGTGAGATACGTGTTTTTAAGTTCCTACACTTAAGCTGTATTGTGTTATTCCCGCTGTTGAATACCTGCATTGTTGTGATAGGCTTCTTTATATACGTGGTTTGTTATTTTTACTGACTGCCTGGTATTGTATTATATTTTTCTGATATTTGGGTGTGCAGGTTTTTTTGTATTGTTGTGACTACAATACAAACACCTTTATGTATATATCTCCTACAAGAGTTATGTTGGGAGAGAGTGTGAGAACTGAAATTCCTGGGTCAAAGTTTATGCTATTAAAAACTTATGAATGCCACCAAATGCTTTCCAAATGAGACTTTACAGATTTATAGTCCAAACAGTATATATATAAGAATACCTATTTCTGAGATTCTTAACTAGCTTTTGATGACATTTTGATGGCATTTTTTAAAAAAATTGCCAGACTAGTGGGTCAAATTAATAGTTTGTTTTAATTTTTATTTTCCTTATTAGTGAGATTGAACATTTTAATATTTTTATTTGCCATTTGATTTCTTCTTATGTAATTTTCTGTACATATCCTCTGCTCATTATTCTCTTTGGTAGAGTAGAAACAGTTTATGTAGAGATTTTATCAGGTGGTTTTCTGGCATTCTGTTGAGATGATCACATACTTTTTCTCCTTTAGTCAGATAATGTAATTTGTTGATAAGTTAGTTGATGTTGAACAGTCTTTGGAGTCTTGGGACAAGTGCTGTTTGGTTTGTTGAGTTTGTTGTACTTGGCTGGAATTCAGTATTTTTACTTTCATGTATGTGTTTCTTTTTTTTTGTTTTTTTTGAGACGGAGTCTCGCTCTGTTGCCCAGGCCGGAGTGCAGTGGCGTGATCCCGGCTCACTGCAAGCTCCGCCTCCCGGGTTCAGGCCATTCCCCTGCCTCAGCCTCCCGAGTAGCTGGGACTGCAGGCGCCCGCCACGACGCCCAGCTAATTTTTTGTATTTTCAGTAGAGACGGGGTTTCACCGTGTTAGCCAGGATGGTCTTGATCTCCTGACCTCGTGATCCACCCGTCTCGGCCTCCCAAAGTGCTGGGATTACAGGCGTGAGCCACCGTGCCCGGCCAACTTTTATGTATATGTTTCTAAATTAGATCAGACTGTAGTTTTTATTTTTGTAATGGATTGAATTAGGAAGCTTTGTGTTTTTTTGGTGTGTTCTAGAATGGTTTATATTTTCTTCTCAAATATTTGTCAGAAGTATCTGGGTCTAGTGGAGTTTTTTAGAGTGATTTTTTAAGACACTCTTTAAAAAAATTATTTAATATAGATCTATTCAGTTTTCCCACCCCTTCTAGATTCAGTTTTGGATATTACCATTCTTATTTTAAATAGTTTCCTTTTTTTTTTTCTTTTTTTGAGATAGGCTCTCACTGTGTCGCCCAGGCTGGAGTGCAGTGGCACCATCTCAGCCCACTGCAACCTCCGCCTGCCAGGTTCAAGTAATTGTCCTGGCTCAGTCTCCTGAGTAGCTGGGATTACAGGTGCCCGCCACCATGGCCAGCTAATTTTTGTATTTTTAATAGAGGTAAGGTTTTCACCATGTTGGTCAGGCTGGTTTCCAACTCCTGACCTCAGGTGATCCACTCGTCTCAGCCTCCCAAAGTGCTGGGATTACAGGCGTGAGCCACCGCGCCTGACCAGTTTCCCACTCCGTTATGATGGGGAGACCAACAACACTGGTCAATTGAATATTGAAAACATTTTGCGTACAGAACTAAACCCATCTTCTAATGAAAAATTAGTGTATTTGTGAAGAAAAGGTCATTGCATATTAGGCATGTAGATAACATTTCAAACTTTAGAGAGTGCCATTATATCTGTTGTGTATTGAGGTTCCTTTTTTTTTTTTTTTTTTTTTTGAGACAGAGTCTCGCTCTGTCGCCCAGGCTGGAGTGCAGTGGCGTGATCTCGGCTCACTGCAAGCGCCGCCTCCTGGGTTCACGCCATTCTCCTGCCTCAGCCTCCAGAGTAGCTGGGGCAACAGGCCTCTGCCACAACGCCCAGTTAATGCTTTTGTATTTTTAGTAGAGACAGGGTTTCACCGTGTTAGCTAGGATAGTCTAGATCTCCTGACCTTGTTATCTGCCCCCCTCAGCCTCCCACCTCGGCCTCCCAAAGTGCTGGGATTACAGCTGTGAGCCACTCTGCCCGGCCGAGTTCCCTATTTTCTTGGGAAGAACTTTATTGAAATGTAGTTGACATACTGTGCAATTCACCCATTTCACATGTACAGTTAAGTGATTTTGTATATATTCAGAGTTGTACAACCGTCACTACAGTCAGTTTTTGTTTTTGTTTTTGTTTTTTTGAGATAGAGTTTCCCTCTTGTTGCCCAGACTGGAGTGCAATGGCGCCATCTCGGCTCACTGCAACCTCCGCCTCCTGGGTTCAAGCAATTCTTCTGCCTCAGCCTCCCGAGTAGTTGGGATTACAGGCACCCGCCTCCACACCCAGCTAATTTTTCTGTTTTTTATTAGACACGGGGTTTCACCATGTTGGCCAGGCTGGTCTCGAACAGCTGACCTCAGGTGATCCGTTCGCCTCAGCCTCCCAAATTGCTGGGATTACAGGCGTGAGCCACCGCGCCGGCCTAGTCAGTTTTAAAATATTTTCATCACTCCAGAAAGCAACCTTATGTGTAACGTTTAGTTTATATAATATGTGGTGTTTTGTGTCTGGCATCTTTTACTTAACATAATGTTTTTAAGATTCATCCATGTTGTAGCACATAGGGTTCATTCCTTTGTATCACAGAGATTCATGCCTTTTTATGGTTACTATACCACATTTTGTTTTGTTTTTGTATAGCTGTACATATGTACCACATACGTATAGATAACGCTATACAGCATTTCATTTTTCCATTTATCACTTGATGGGCATTTGTGTTGTTTCTGCCTTTTGGCTATATGAATAATGCTGTTAAGAACAAGTACAAGTTTTTGTGTAGACATATCGTTACATTTCTCTTGGGTATATATCTAGCAATGGAATTGCTGGGTCATATGGTAACTTTTTGAGGAACTGCCAAATTAGCTTCCAAAGTAGCTGCACAATTTTATATTCCTGCTAACAGTGTATGAGGATTCCAGTTTCTCTACATTATTACATTGTAAACTGTTAGAACAAGTGCTGATTCTTTTACTTTTTCAGTCTAATTATCATAGTGTTCATTAAAACTGACCCATTTTAAAACTGCTTTGTAAACAACTATCTGACCTCTGTGGTCAGGGAAGATTTTCCAGAGGAAATGACTGTTGAATTGTCTGAAGTATCTGAATTTGTTAATCTTGTGAATATAGTGTGATAGATAAAGGAGGGAGGAAAGACTGTCATAGGAAAATGGTATGCAAAAGCCCTGCTTCTATGAGCTGAAGGAAGGAGAATAGGTTACAGTCGAGTAATTCAAAGAAGATTGTGTCCTAAACACAAAGAATGAGCATGAAGGCCAGGTAGGCCATATTACCTTAGGAGCAATGGGAATTCATTGAAGAGTTTTAAACAAGAAGGATGAGTACGTATACATTTTATAAAATCCATTCTGCTAACAGTGTACAAAACAAAGAGACCTCAGATTAGATGCAGGGAGTCCCATTAAATGGCTATTGGTGTAACCCAGGCAAAAAATTGTGGTAGTTTGGAACAGAATTATGGCAGTAGATTTGGAGAGACTGGATAGAGTTGGGAGACAGAAAGTAAAATGGACAGAAATATCTTAAATTACTGAAATTACTTGGTTACTTTGATTATGATTATAAAGTTTTAAAAATGATGATAGCTCCTGGTACGTATGTTACTTTTCTGTATAATATTTGTGATTTGTAACATCTTTACTTCAATTTATTTATATGAATTTAAGTACAGTGATAATGCATACATAGAGCTTTTGGGTGAATGGCCTTTTAGGGGAAAATCCTAATTCTTCAAAAGTCTAAAATTTTAAGAAATTATTCAATATTTACTATACTTTTGTTTGTGTATCCTAAATATCTCTTCCCTTATAGCTACTCCTTGAGTTAATTGCAGTGTGGAGAGAAAAATCAAGTAATATTAAACAGATATTCTCTCCTATGGTTTTGATAAATAATTATGCAAAGAATTTGGGAATTTTTGATGAAGAAGAATTTATTAAATGAAAACGTATGATGTCATGTACGTATTCTTTATATTTTAAGTAGTATTGTTTAATGGTTCTTTATTCTTTTAACTTTAGGAAACTAAATATATTTTGCCAACTTTGGAAAAAGAATTATTCTTGGCAGAGCACAGTGACCTTGAAGAAGGTGGACTGGACCTGACTGTGTCATTGAAACCAGTTAGTTTCTATATATCAGACAAAAAAGAAATGCTTCAGCAGTGCTTCTGTATTATAGGAGAGAAAAAGTTACAGAAGATGCTTCCTGATGTGTTAAAGGTACTTCATTACACATCAGACTAGATACATATGTAGAAATACAGCCTTCTTTGTAGCAATTTTTTGTTTTACTTAATGCGGTTTTGTTTGTTTGTTTTTTTGAGACGGAGTCTTGCTCTGTCGCCCAGGCTGGAGTGTGGTGGCGTGATCTTGGCTCACTGCAACCTCCGCCTCCCGGGTTCAAGCAATTCTCTTGCCTCAGCCTCCTGAGTAGCTGGGACTACAGGCATGAACCACCATGCCCGGCTAATTTTTGGATTTTTAAGAGACGGGGTTTCACCGTGTTGGCCAGGCTGGTCTCGAACTCCTGACCTCGTGATCTGCCCACCTTGGCCTCCCAAGGTGTTGGAATTACAGGTGTGAGCCACCGTGCCTGGCGTTAATGCAGTTTTTAATTGGATGTTTACATCTAAAATAAGCTACTTGAAAAGATTTTGTAAAATAGAGAACCATAATATATTTGGTTCTTGGAGCCTTGTATATTTAAAAATTTGCCACGAAGAAATGTTTAGGCAAGAAATGTGTTGACTCTGTGGAGATAATTCTGTTAAATGCAGGGAATGATAGTAACTAAATTGGACATACAATCTTTATGGTGCTTTAAGAAATAATGTCACAATATGCTGCTGTGTAACAACAAACAGCAATGGTTAATAATAGCTTATATTTCATTAGATTCACAAGTATTTTTATTTATTTTTGAAAATTATTTAGGGAAATATTTGTTGTTTTAATTTTACAGTTGTAGAAATTGGCCTTGGTCACTAAAGTTAAGCCTGAGATCATATATCTAAAGATACAAGACTTGAATATTTAAACCTTTAGAATAATTACTTAACATAAATAGACTGCTTAAGAATAGCTGGGAAACTGACTCACTCTTTAGTTTTTTTCTTTGATAGTAAATACAAGTTTATGCATTCCCTTCAAATATGCAGTGTTCACATATTAACTGGCAGTTTTTCAGATTTCATCCCAGGAAAAGATGTATGTGAATCTACTTGAGGCTTTAATTTATTTTATTGTAAGATTTTGCTAACTTAAATTTTTATGATTGAAATTTTCCAGTTTACATTGGGGCTGTGTTACATAAATGCATTTTTTTAAAATGTCATTTCCTTTAGAACTGTTCAATAGAAGAAATTAAAAAACTATGCCAGGAACAGTTAGAGCTCCTGTCTGAAAAAAAAATTTTGAAGATTCTTGAGGGTAAGAATACATATTTTTACATTCTGGCAACTTCTTAGTTAATACTATATTCAGCATAAATCCTGAGGTATTCTTTCTCCTACTTGGATATTTAATTTCATTATTGGGTTGTTGTTGAAGAGTATTTTTACTTCTATTTGCACTAAAAAATATAGTTTACATATCAGAAAAGCGTTTCAAGAATAGACAATATATTGTTTTTCCAGGTCAAGTGTATATAGGTAAGAGTATAACTAATAAAATGAAATAAAAAATGTTTACCAAAAATCTGTAAAAAAATTAATTATTGGAAAGGCAAAGATTTCCCTTAAAATCTTTTTAATTTTCTGCTTTAGATTTTTTATAGTGTTTAGTCACCTATTGCATATTGTTTACTCTCTAATAAGACCCAGATATAGAGTTAGAATACTTCCATGCAATTTACCAATATTTGTTTGTCTGCCTGTAGTGTGACTACTCTTGGTGATACTCACACCTCTAGAATTTTGGATTATCAGGCATTTTTTTTTTCTTTTGGGACTTTGCAAGGATTTTAGCTTTAACATGACAGAAGAAGAAACAAAAATTGGAGCCTTTCAGTTTCCAGTGATAGCTTCATTTTTAAATGTAAAATTGATGGCATTTTGTAACTCTGGAAATAGATATATACATATGTACATAGTGTGTAAGTGTATATACACACATTGTTGTCTGTATACATTTATATAATAGAGAAAAAGAAGTCAATGAGGCCGGGCGCGATGGCTCACGCCTGTAATCCCAGCACTTTGGGAGGCTGAGGCGGGCGGATCACAAGGTCAGGAGTTCGAGACCAGCTTGGCCAACATAGTGAAACCCCGTCTCTACTAAAAATACAAAAATTAGCCGGGCGTGGTGGCGGGCGCCTGTAGTCCCAGCTGCTCGGGAGGCTGAGGCAGGAGAATTGCTAGAACCCGGGAGGTGGAGGTTGCAGTGAGCCGAGGTCATGCCACTGCACACCAGCCGGGGTGACAGTGTGACACTCCGTCTAAAAAAAAAAAAAAAAAAAAAGCAATGAGAAATACCTAATAAGGCATTGAAAAAATTATTTTAAATACAAGCAATTAAAAATTTAAGTTTTGACCCAGTATAAAGTTCTTTAATCTGCATCACTTTTAAAGATTATACTTTTTAATGTCATGATTGCATCATTTTAATGTTTTTATAAGTGTGCTTTCAATAGTTTCTTTCATTTATAAGGTGACAATGGAATGGACTCTGATATGGAAGAGGAAGCAGATGATGGTTCTAAGATGGGATCTGATTTAGTCAGTCAGTAAGTTTAAAAACTTTCATTTTTATTTCAAAATTTCTTTGTTATTCCTTTGGTGATTTCTTATGTCAAAGATATGATTGTTTTTCTGTGTTTTATTTATAAAATCATTCAGTGGTATAGAAAGATTTATTTGTCTACTTGTAATGATTGGTCCTTTTGGTATATGTGAGGATGGAGTTAACTACTTTCAGGATTAAGATGATTTTTTAAAACTACTCCACATAGATACAGAACAATAGCAGTGCCAACCTGAAGCAGAATCACTCCCATTTGGATTTTGAATACACTATTCACGATCCTCACTATTTATTTATTAAGCACTTACTCTACCAGGTACTACATTAAACAGCATAGAACACTTGATCTCATTACAATAATCTATGTATTTATTAATATTAGGCAATAATAGCCTCATTTCACAGAAGAGATAGTTATGTTCATGTAAGTCTGCATATTTTACCTATAAATGTATATTATTTGACTGTCGGGATGATAAAAAAAATACCTGAAGTTTTGGGATGCTGACTAATCAAGAAGCTACATGCTAATTATTAGTTTTTTCTTCATTAGTGCACTTCAAAGTTTCACCTTTTAATTTGAGCATCTATTGATGCTATTTGCTTAAAACAATTAACTATTTTGGTAGTTTCCAAATAATGACTTGTTCTTTGCAAAGCTTAGCATTTTTCCTGAAGAATATAAGAGATTTGTGCTAGATCTGAAAAAGATAAAGTATAAAAGAAAAATAAATACTTGTGTCACAGGCAGTAGTACACGTAAGAAGAGGTTACCAGGGGCAGTAGCATAGAGAAGTACATAGTTAACCAGAAATACAGAATTTTTTCATAAATGCTATTGGGTAGGAGTGTTATAGGGTAATTTATATGAAAACATAGAGTAGAAAATGTACACATTTTTAATGTCTTACTATTGGCGTTCCTGCAACATACTTAGCTTTAGATCATTTATGTAGTATACTAATTTAGTTCCACTAGTTTAAGCATTTACAAGGCCTGTTAACTTTTTAATATTTTAAAGTTTCTTAAATTATCTAAATTAATCACTTTGTTTCTTTTTTAAAAAATTTCTTTGCCCCATTCCCCACGTTGATCAACATTTTGTTTCTTGATGCTACTTACAGAGAATCCTGAATTGAGCTTTTGCTTGATTATATTTGTTATCCCTTTTTAAAAATCTATTATTTTTTTCCAGTTTTTGAGGTGCCATTAGGCTTAAGTGCTTTGCTTCTTCATACTTGAGCATTAGTGTTACCTTTTCAACTGTTAGAAGCCATTTAATGATGTATTAGTCTGTTTTCATGTTGCTGATAAAGACATACCCAAGACTGGGTAATTTATAAGGAAAAAGAGATTTAATGGATTCATAATTCCACATGACTGGGGATGCCTCACAATCATGGTGGAAGGTGAAAGGTGCTTCATACATGGCGGCAGCAAGAGAGAATGAGGGAACCAAGTGAAAGATCTGATGGATCTAAAACCACCCCCATGATTCAGTTATCTCCCACTGGTTCCCTTCCACAACATGTAAGAATTATGGGAGCTGTAATTCCAGATGAGATTTGGGTGGAGACACAGCCAAACCGTATCATTCTGCCCCGGCCCCTTCCAAATCTCATGTCCTCACATTTGAAAAACGAATCATGCCTTTCCAACAGTCCCCCAAAGTCTTAACTCATTTCAGCATTAACTCAAAAGTCTACAGTCCAAAGGCTCATCTGAGACAAGGCAAGTCCCTTCCGCCTATGAGCCTGTAAAATCAAAAGCAAGTTAGTTACTTCCTAGATATAATGGGGATACAGGCATTGGATAAATACACCCCTTCCAAATGGGAGAAATTGGCCAAAATGAAGGAGCTACAGGCCCCATGCAAGTCTGAAATCCAGCGAGGCAGTCAAATTTTAAAGCTCCAAAATGATCTCTTTTGACTCCATGTCTCACATCCAGGTCACACTGATGCAAATGGTAGGTTTCCATGGTCTTGGAAAGCCCCGCGCCTGTTTCTTTGTAGGGTACAGCCTCCCTCCTAGCTGCTTTCACATGCTGGTGTTGAGTGTCTGAGGCTTTTCCAGGTGCACGGTGCAAGTTGTCAGTGAATATACCCTTCTGGGGTCTGGGGGACGGTGGCCCTCTTCTCACAGCTCCACTAGGGCAGTGCGCCAATGAAGACTGTGTGTGGAGGCTTCAACCCCACATTTCCCTTCTGCACTGCCCTAGCAGAGATTCTCTATGAGAGCCCCGCCCCTGCAGCTAACTTCTGCCTGGACATGTAGGTGTTTCCATACATCCTCTGAAATCTAGGTGGAGATTCCCAAACCTCCTGCAGGTGCACAGTTCTTGACTTCTATGCAACTGCAGGCTCAACCCCACATGGAAGCTGCCAAGGCTTGGGTCTTGTGCCCTCTGAAGCACCAAGTCCCTAGGGTACACATAGCAGGGGAGCCCTGAGCCTGGCCCATGAAACCATTTTTCCCTCCTAGGCCTCCAGGCCTGTGATGGGAGGGACTGCCATGAAGACCTCTGACATTTTCCCCATTGTCTTGGCGATTAACATTGGGCTGCTCGTTACTTATGCAAATTTTTGCAGCCTGCTTGATTTTTCTCCTCAGAAAATGGGTTTTTCTTTTCTGTAGCATTGGCAGGCTGCAAATTTTCTGAACTTTTACGCTCTGTTTCCCTTTTAAAACTGAATGCTTTTAATAATACCCACATACCTCTTGAATGCTTTGCTGCTTAGAAATTTCTTCCACCAGATACCCTAAATCATCTCCCTCAAGTTCAAAGTTCCACAAATCTCTAGCTCAAGGGCAAAATGCTGCCAGTCTCTGCTAAAATATAGCAAGAGTCACCTTTACTCCAGTTCCCAACAAGTTTCTCATCTCCGTCTGGAACCACCACACCCTGGATTTCCTTGTCCATATCATTATCAGCATTTGGTCAAAGCCATTTAACAAGTTTCTAGGAAGTTCCAGACTTTCCCACATTTTCCTGTCTTCTGGGCCCTCCAAATTGTTCTAACCTCTGCCTGTTATCCAGTTCCAAAGTTACTTTCACATTTTCGTGTATTTGTACAGCAGTGCCCCACTCTACTGGTACCAATTTACTGTATTAGTCTGTTTTCACACTGCTAATAGAGACATAACTGAGACTGGGTAATTTATAAGGAAAAAGAGGTTTACTGGACTCACAGTTCCATATGGCTGAGGAGGCCTCACAGTCATGGTGGAAGGCAAAAGGCGCTTCTTATATGGCGGCAGCAAGAGAGAATGAGGGAACCAAGCAAAAGGGGTTTCCCCTTATAAAACCATCAGATCTTGTGAAACTTACTTCCACCAGAAGAGTATGGGAGAAACTGCCCCCATGATTCAGTGATCTCCCACCAGGTTGCTCCTACAATATGTGGGAATTATGGGAACTACAATTCAAGTTGAAACTTGGGTGGGGACACAGCAAAAGTATATCAAATGGATAGCCAATTATAGTAGCTATTTAACTTTTTATAACGATTACAACAACGACTGTGCATGGTGGTTCACACCTGTAATACCAGCACTTTGTGAGTACAGGTTGAGAGGATCACCTGAGGCTGGGAGTTTGAGACCAGCCTGGGCAACATAGTGAGACCCTGTCTCTACAAAAAATTAAATTAGATGGGGTCTTGCTGTGTTACCCAGGTTGATGTTGAATTTGTGGCCTCAAACTGTCCTCCCACCTCAGCATCCCAAAGCATGGGTGACTCAATTTTGATTTTTAGTTAATGTTTTTTCTAAAGTTATGGAATAGGATTTAAGGTTTAAAGATGAAAGAAAGAGAGGGCTTGGCACACTTGCTTATGCCTGTAATCACAGCACTTTGGAAGACTAAGGTGGTTGGATCACTTGAGGTCAGGAGTTTGAGACCAGCGTGGCCAACATGATGAAACCCGGTCTCCACTAAAAATACAAAAATTAGCCAGGCATGGTGATGTGTGCCTGTAATCCCAGCTACTTGGGAGGCTGAGGCAGGAGAGTCACTTGAACCCAGGAAATGGAGGTTGCAGTGAGCCAAAATCCCACAACTGCACTCCTGGGTGACAGAGCAAAACTCCATCTCAAAAAATAAATAAAGAAAGAAAGATGACAGGTTTTCACAACTTCTGCTGTACTGCTGACCCACTGTGACTCTCCAAGGCTGGTGCCATCTCTAGCTCACTGAACTCTAGGTGAAGGAAAAGGGGACTAAGTAAGGAGGTTGCTATATGGTGGCTCCTACAAAGCAGACTGCTTGCACATTAACTGGTGGTAAAGCATCCAGGAAGCAACTGACTACAAAGGCTGCTTACAAGAGTGCACCCTCTCCTGGAGTGGTGAAGAAACCTCATTGTTACAGGCCTGGTACTGTGGCACTCCATGAAATCAGTTGTTTCTGGAAGTCCACTGAACTTCTGAATCACACACTTCCCTTCCACGGTCTGGCTTGAGAAATTGCTCAGGACTTCAAATCAGACCAGTGCGTCCAGAGCGCAGCTATTGGTGCTTTGCGGGAGGCAAGTGAGGCCTATCTGGTTGTCCTTTTTGAAGACACCAGCCTGTGTGCTGTCCATGCCAAATGTATAACAATTATGCCAAAAGACACCCCGTGAGTGTGGAGAACATCCTTTTAAGAAACCACTGTGATGGGAAACATTACATTCTCTAAAAGAGACCCCCCCCCCCCGGATTTTTTTCCTATTATTGGTAGTTTTGAGCTTATTTTTTTGCCATAGAGTCAAAAGATACCTGTATTAGTCGGGGTTCTCTAGAGGGACAGAACTAATAGGATATATGTATATGTGAAAGGGAGTTTATTAAGGAGAATTGAGTCACACGATCACAAGGTAAAGTCCCACAATAGGCTGTCTGCAGGTTGAGAAGCACGGAAGCCAATGGTGGATCAGTCCAAGTCCCAAAACCTCAGAAGTAGGGAAGCCGACAGTGCAGTCCTCAGTCTGGGGCCAAAGGCCGAGAGCCCCTGGCAAACACTGGCATAAGTCCAAGAGTCTAAAAACTGAAGAACCTGGAGTCTGATGTTCAAGGGCATCCAGCATGGGAGAAAGATGAAGCCTGGAAGACTCAGCAAGTCTACTCTTACATCTTTTCCTGCCTGCTTTATTCTAGCTGTGCTGGCAGCTGATTAGATGGTGCCCACCGATTGAGGATGGGTCTGCCTCTCCCAGTCCACTGACTCAAATGTTAATCTCCTTTGGCAACACCCTCACAGACATACCCAGGAACAATACTTTGCATCCTTCAATCCAATCAAGTTGACACTTAATAACCATCACAGTACCTAAGTATATGATTGTTAGTGAAAAAATAGGGGATAGAAATCAATTATTTCCAGTTTTTCCATTTTTATTCATGTGTGAATTTTTAACGTAAATTCAGGGACGTAAAGCATTAATGCAAGTCAGAATATTTCAGTGAACAAGTTTCAGTGGTTCAACTTTATAATTATAAATAAATCTGTTAAAATGTTCTGGAAAAAAATGACATCATAAACAGCAGTTTTGCCCTTCTTAGAATTTACTACAAAGCAACAACAAAAATAAACAGAAATAGAAATTATCTTGGATGAAATTAGGAGATATCCTTAACTTCAAATCACTTTGAGGAGCTATTCTTAAATGCAGTGATTTTCAAGTAATGTCATGGAAAGATACCTGTGGAAAACTTCCATGTATACAAATCTCAAAGAATCAGTGTACATTTCTCCAAAGTCAGAGGAAGAGATTCAGGGAAGAAGGAAACTTGAATGTTGCTCCTTTTTTCTTTGACTAATAAGCATGTAGTGTATCTGTTTCTCCAAAGTAAGATGGATGTTGGTTGCAGGTAAGATTTTGGCTTCTTGGGAATCTTGGCAAAGATAATAACTACAAAGTGTTTACTTTGGGCTGGATAGGTACTTATTGATTTGCATTGAAGATCCTAGAGGAAAGCGTTGGATTTTTTTTTTTTTAGACACTGTCTCACTCTGTCCCCCAAGCTGGAGTACGGTGTGCAGTCTTGGCTCACTGAAGCCTCTGTCTCCCATGCTCAAGCGATCCTCCCACCTTGGCTTCCCAAACTGCTGGGACTAGAGGCTTAAGCCACCATGCCTGGCCAAAGTGGTGGAACTTGGTTTACTGAGGTCTGAGAACTGTGTGGAAGTGGAGGAAGATGGAGAATGGGAAGGGGAAAGTTAACATGTATCTTGTGTGAATATGCCTGGTTTCTTTCATTTTATAAGTTGAAGATAGAATTGAATGGGCCAGCTGTTTCCTGTCTCTGAGTCTGGGAGAACCTGAAAAAACTGGGGAGTAGATATCTCAAAGTATAGTGGTTTACTTCTTCATTGTGGATCTGTGGAGGGAGAGACTGCTTTGCTTTCTGCCAGTTTTGGAGTAGCTACTAAACCTGAGCGCCAAGGAATTGACCATAATGACCATATACATAAACACATGCATGAATACATATATAACATCTTTAAAGGATCTTGATATCTAGAGAGAAGATTACTTGAAAGAAACAAAGCACATGCCAAGCTAAATTAAGCTGTTAGAGGAATGAACAATTGCAGGGAATAAAATGAGCTCTTATAAAAAATCAAGTGCAGCATGAAGAATTATTCTTGGGCTGGAAAATATGATTTTTTAAACTAAATTCTGTAAGTTAATCAGAATAGGGGATTGTTACCATTAAGTCCCAAATTAGATCCCTGAAAGAATGGATTCACAAAGCAAAAATATGAAAGATGGAAATCATAAGAGAAAATAGTCGAGTAAGTTAGAAGGCTTTATCATCCTCATGTATAATAAGTAGGAATCCTAGAAAGAGAAAATGAAACATAGAAAGGAGAGGTAAAATACTAAAACATTAAGAAATTATTAAATAATAATTTAATAATATAGGAAATTTTTCCTGTGTAATAAATATAGGAAAATATAACAAATATAGGAAATATATGTAATAAATACAGGAAAATTTTTCTGACCTGAAAAACAAATTTAAGTCTTCAAATTGAAAGTGCTCACTGAGTTCTAGGCAGGATTGCAGGGAAAAAATAACATGGAAGCAGATTTTTTTTTATTAAGTGAAAAATTTAGCAGCCTTCCAGTCAACAGAACACATCAAAGAAGGAAAAGGATCAGATTTTTCATCCACAACACCAGAAACTGTAATAAGATAATGGAGTAACATGTTCATACAACTGAAATTGAACCCTTGCTCCTATACTTGGTCAAGATACCATTCATTTGTTGGGTGAAAGAAGGATGCAGATAGGCAGGAATGTAGAGATGATATACGCATGTACTCATCTGAGGAAAATACAGTCATGTGACACTTAATAATGAGGAATTGCACTGAGAGATGTATAGTTAGGTGATTTGTTGTGCAAACGTCATAGAGTACACTTATACAAACCTAGATGTTACAGGTTCAGTATCCTTTATTGGAAATGCTTGGGGCCAGAAATGTTTTGGATTTCAGATTTTTTTTTCAGATTTTGGAATATTTGCATATACATACTGATATCTTGGGGATGGACCCAAGTCTAAACATTAAATTCATTTATGTTTCATATACATCTTGATACATGTAGTCCGAAGGTAATTTTATACAATATTTATTTATTAAACAAATTTTTTTAGAGGCAGGTCTCGCTCTTTTGCCCATGCCGGAGTGCAGGTACATAGCTCACTGTAGCCTCAAACTCCTGGGCTCAAGTGATCCGCCTCAGCTTCCCAAGCAGCTGGGACTATAGGCCTGTGTTACCATCCCTGGCTTACTTTTAAATTTTTTGTAGAGACAGGGTCTCACTATGTTGTCCAGGCTGGTCTTGAACTCCCAGCCTCAAGTGATCTTCCCACCTTGGACTCCCAAAGTGCTAGGATTACAGACATGAGCCACTGCACCCAGCCAATTGTATAAAATTAAAGTATTAAACTTCTATGCACCTGCCACAAGAGGTCAGGTGTGGAATTTCCCACTTGTGGCATTATGTTGGTGCTCAAAAAATTTCATATTTTGGAGCATTTTGGATTTCGGATCAGATTAGGGATGCTTAAACTATAGCCTGCTACATACCTAGGCCATATGATATAGCCTCTTATTCCTAGGCTCCAAACCTGTACAGCATGTTATTGTAGTGAATACTGTAGACAATTGTGGTACAGTGGTAAGTATTTATGTATCCAAATATTATCTAAACATAGAAAAGGTACAATAAATGATACACCTGTACAGGGCACTTACCAATACAGAAGCATGACCATTTATATAGAAAGTTTTAAGGAATCTCAAAAAAAAAAAAAAAAAAACCTTCTAGAATGCATATATGATAGAATAATGACCTCCCCCTCACCCAAGACATATCCAGATTTTAATTCCCAGAATCTGTGAATATGTACTTTCAAAAGACAAAAGAGACTTTGCTGATGTGATTGATTAAGTTAAGGATCTTGAGATGGGAAGACTTCTGGATTATCAAGGTGAGACCAGTATAATCATGAGGATCCTTATAAGAGGGAGATAAGACAGTCGAAGTCAAGAGATGCTGGAAGCAGAGATTAAAATGATGTGCTTGGAAGATGGAGGAAGGATCCACAAGCCAGGGAATATAGGCTACCTTTTAGAAGCTGGAAAAGACAGGATGGAAGTAGATTTTTCCCTGGATCCTCTGCAAGAAATGCAGTATTACCTACAACTTCATTCTAGTTCTTAAGACTTATTTTGGACTTAACAACCTTCAGAACTGTATGAGGATAAATATATGTTCTTTTAAGCCACTAAACTTGTGATAATATATTAGAGTGGCAATAGAAAACTAATAAAATGTGCTTGATTAAAACCTGGACAATAAGCCAAAGTTATAGATTGGTTGCCTAGAGCAATAGGGTTATTTTCTATGACCTAAGCGATGTTTTAAAATTTTTGAAATTGTTTCCAACATTCCAAAGGAGATCACACCACAATCTGGATTTCTTAGTTGCTTGAAAAAAAATCAGATCAAGCAACTTTCCTGGGCATGCAAAAAATTAGAGCTGACTGCTGCCGTTCTTTATATGACATTGTATTTCAGTGCACTACCTAGTACTTCATTTGCCTGAATGTTTAATATACAAAATGTTTATAAAATGAGACTCTGATTGAAGGGGAAAATACATAAAGGACAAAGGCTGGCTTTAGAAACAATTATATCAGTTTGTCAGCTTCTTATCAACTGAGACATACAGCTTTTTTAAAGAAGAAAAATAATTTCAAATATGTCTAGATTAAAGCAATCTGTGTTATTAAAATACATGAAAAAATTTGATGTTTTCTTTTAGTAGGCGACCTATGCTCTTTTATTATAGTGCTTTTTGTTTTTGTTTTTTGAGACAGGGTCTCACTCTGTTGCCCAATTTTGAGACAGGGTCTCACTCTGTTGCCCAGTCTGGAGTGCAGTGGTGTGATCTCAGCTCATTGCAGCCTCCACCTCCCAGATTCAAGCAATTCTCCCACCTTAGCCTTCCAAGTATCTGGGATTACAGGTGCATGCCACCACGCCTGGCTAATTTTTGTATTTTTTAGTAGAGTTGGGGTTTCACCATGTTGCCTAGGCTGGTCTTGAACCCCTGACCTCGAGTGATCCACCTGCCTTGGCCTCCCAAAATGTCTTTTATTATAGTTTTAATTAGAAAGAGACATAACATCAGTAAAATTGTCTAAGAAGCTGTAAAGTGACATCTTTCAGTATGAGGTGTACATATACGTGTGTGTGTATGGTATTTAACATACCCTGTGTATGTTAGTTTTCTTACATTAAATATTTTAAGATACAGAATTATGCACAAGTGTTTATGAACAAGCTTTAAAGATTATAAATTTATCTTTGCAGTTTATCTTCTTATATTGCCAGCTTTATATATTCAAATTCTATTTCTCCTCTAAGCTCAGCTTACAAATGTATTGTTTTTTTCCAGATTTCTCTTTCTGTTGCTGTTTTAAAGATTATTTCCCTACTCTTACCATACCTTAAGATAGCTCCTTTTTACTACCAATAGTAACAAGAAAGCAGTAGTCATAAGAAATTTTTGTTAGTGTGCCAGTTTGAAACTTGAAATTAATGAGAGTGACAAAAATTTTAATGGGGATGAAGATTAGGAACTGTGAAGATACAACATCCATCATTTCTAAATACCTTCATTTTTTAAGTGAGAAAATTGATTTCATGGAGGTAATTAATAGAAAGGTGGTTACCAGAGGTTGGGGTGGGTACAGGGAGCGTTTGGGTAAAGAAAGTTAGTTCAGTAGATACAAAAGTATAGTTAGATAAGAAGGAATAAGTTCTAGTGTTCAGTAGCACAATAGGGGTACTGTAGTTAACAATAATTTATTGTTTATTTCAAAATAGGTAGAAGAGAAGATTTAGAATGTTCCTAGCACAAAGAAATGTTGAGTTTGAGATGATGGATATTCCAGTTATGCAGATTTCATCATTATTCATTGTATGCTTGTATTTGAAATATCACATATACTCCATAAATAAGTACAACCAGTAGGTATCTGTAAAAAAAATTTTTTTTTTTTTTTTTTTTTTTTTTTGAGACAGAGTCTCACTTTGTTGCCCAGGCTTGAGTGCAGTGGTGTGATCTAGGCTCACTGCAAGTTCCACCTCCCGGGTTCACGCCATTCTCCTGCCTCAGCCTCCCGAGCAGCTGGGACCACAGGTGCCTGCCACCACATCCGGCTAATTTTTTGTATTTTTAGTAGAGATGGGGTTTCACCATGTTAGCCAGGATGGTCTCAGTCTCCTGACCTCGTGATCTGCCCGCCTCGGCCTCCCAAAGTTCTGGGATTACAGGCGTGAGCCACCGTACCCGGTGCAGGTATCTGTAAAATTTTTTAAAGAGTGAAAAAAGGCGAGGAATGGTATTGTCACCTTAGGGAAAAGAAAATGAGCAAATTTATATTTTATTTCGGGTTGTCTAAAAACTTTAGCATGTATAGTTTTATAGTGTTTTAAAACTATTAGGAATTGTGACAACATTTGTAAAAGTTACAGATTAAGATAAAACCGCTTAACAACGCAACAATTTTAAGTAAGTAGGTAATATGAAGTCTTGGAATTAGAGTGTTGTCTTTGATCGGAGATGGGCTGGGAAAAAAGCTTTATTCCAGTTAAAATAGCACTGAAAATGAGAACAGGTATTAGTTTGGCCTGTAATGTTAGATGATTATGTTCCAAAGAATGTGCTTATAATGAAATTTAAGTCTTGAATAGCACAATAAAATAATCAGGATTGAGATTTCATATATAAGGAATAAAAGTATACTGTAGGGAAATCTTAGCAGTTTTAAAATTGCTTTCTCTAAATATCTTTATGAATTTTAAATGAATGTGCTTTTATTGAGTGATTTTGAGGGAGATACCAGTGAAAATGGTGCTGCATTTTCCTACAGATAATAAACAGTGTTGAGATAGTATCATGGTTGTAGAAGATAAAGAAATTTTAAAAATCTCAAGTTCTCAAAATAAGTTAAAACACAAAGTAGGTACTTTTTCTTTTTGAGGCAGCTGCTCACTTGTCACCCTGGCTGGAGTGCATTGGCTCAATCACGGGTCACTGCTGAAGTGATAAGTGATCCTCCCACCTCAGCCTCCTGAGGAGTTGGGACCACAGGCATGAGCCATGACAACCAGCTAATTTTTAAATTTTTTGTAGAGACCATGTGTTGCCCAGGCTTGTCTCAAACTCCTTGGCTCAAGAGATCCTTCTGCCTCAGCCACCCAAAGTGCTAGGATTATAGGCATGAGCCACTGCACCCAATCAAAGTAGCTTCTATATGAGTGTTTTGGAGCTGTTGTTTCTAGCCACTACTGCTTCTTAGTAGAGGATGGGTGTGTTCTAAATTAGTTACCAAATTTTAATTTCAAATTATTAACTTAAAAAAGATATTCCTAAATAGGCCTTACATTTAGGCAATATGTATAAATGGAACCATTTTATTTCCATGAGAATATTTAAATATCTAGTATATTCTTTAGGGAATTGTTTGTAATATGAGTAAATCTTTGATAAGAATTATTTTAGGGGATGGTGGCTTATGCCTGTAATCTGAGCACTTTGGGAGGCTGAGAGGGGAGGATTGCCTGAGCCCAGGACATTGAGGCTACAGTGAGCTTTGATTGTGCCACTGCACTCCAGCCTGGGCAACAGATTGACACTCTGTCTAAATATATATATATATATATATTATATGTATATCTATCTGTCTATTTAAAATCTCCATTTAAGTTGCCTGTTTTATAAATCTGAAATATGAGTGCTTTTGTTTGCAATAGAATACATATGTATTCTTAAAATATAAATTGGTTAAAAAGCAAGTTGGTGTCATGTAGTTATTAGTTACTACTGAAAGTGTACTGGTTACTAGTTATACTAGATTTTAGTACATTGTTTAACAGTTAGGTTTCTTATGTAGTCTGCAACTTATTCCACCCTTCAAAACAGGAGTTTCCTGCAGACTGCTATTTATGCTCAGGGTAGGCATTTAGAGAAGATAGAATGAAAGAACACAGTGCATAAATGTAGGAGGTTTAATGACTGCTTTTGCAGTAAGATATTTATTCTTGAAAAATACTGGCTATTCCTTTGGCTCAATCAGTTGTCTTATTGAGAGCAGTAACTAGAGTTACCTGTATAACCACTCTTTATATTGCTGAACCCTAGCAGTGATATGTGGTAGAACTCTTGCTGTTTGTTAGTTTAATAAATTTTCATGAGTGTATAGAGTTACATAGCCCATCCACTTACAAAGCCCAATTGAAAGCCAGAGATTAGCAGCTGCATTAGATTTTTTATTTTATTTATTTATTTATTTATTTATTTATTTTGAGATGAAGTCTGGCTCTGTCGCCCAGGCTGGAGTGCAGTGGCATGATCTTGGCTCACTGCAACCTCCGCCTCCCAAGTTCAAGTGATTCTTCTGCCTCAGCCTCCTAAGTAGTTGGCACCCGCCGCCCTGCCCAGCTAGTTTTTGTCTTGTAGTAGAGATGGGGTTTCACCATGTTGGCCAGGCTGGTCTCGAACTCCTGACCTCAGGTGACCCACCCACCTCGGCTTCCCAAAGTGCTGGGATTATAGGCGTGAGCAACCATGCCTGGACTGCATTACTTTTTCTGCTGAGCTATTATAACACAGCTACTCACCATCTTTTTTTTTTTTTTTTTAAAGACAGAGTTTTGCCGTGTCACCAAGGCTGGAGTGCAGTGGCACGATCTTGGCTCACTGCAGCCTCTGCCTAGCACGTTCAAGTGATTATCCTGCCTCAGCCTCCTGAGTAGCTGGGATTACAGGCGAGTACCACTGTGCCTGGCTAATCTTTGTATTTTAGTAGAGACAGGGTTTCACCATGCTGGCCAGGCTCGTCTCTAACTCCTGAACTCAGGTGGTCTGCCCTCCTCTGCCTCCCAAAGTGTTAGGATTACAGGCATGAGCCACTGCGCCTGGTCTCTTTTATTTTTAATAAGGGAAAAACATCCATGTCCTTTTTGATGAGTTGGAGCCATCCAGTAGGTTTAGCTCATGTCATTAGAATACTAAGAATTTGAATTGTTTCAATTTAGGTGACATATATTCCCTGAATATGTATGTATAAATAACTTTCAGAGGGTCAATGGTGTTCAGCCAAATGATAACCTCTCTCAGTAAGTGTCAGCAAAACTGAACTTGTTGGGAATAAAAGAGTCCTCCTTAAACCACTATTAATAAACTTGAATGCAATAAAGTATTTGAGTAAAATTTACTGTGCTCTATAGAACTGCATTGATGGGCAGCATAAATCTGCAGTACATACCTAAGGAAATATTTTTATCAAAAATATAGACCTGCGGCTGGGCGCGGTGGCTCACGCCTGTAATCCCAGCTCTTTAGGGGGCCGAAGCGGGTGGATCGCTTGAGGTCAGGAGTTTGAGACCACCCCAGCTAACATGGTGAAACCCCATCTCTTCTAAAAATAGAAAAATTAGCTGGGTGTGATGGCGCATGCCTATATTCCCGTCTACTTGGGAGACTGAGGCAGGGGGATCACCTGAACCGGGGAGGCAGAGGTTGCAGTGAGCCGAGATCGCGCCATTGCATTACTCCAGCCTGGGCAACAGAGCAAGACTCCTTCTCAGAAAAAAAAATATATGTATACACACACACACACACACACACACGTATATATGTGTGTATTTATACGTGTGTGTGTGTGTGTGTATGTGTCTATATACACACCCCTGAGATCTAGGCGTCTTGGGAATTACCCACTTAGGAAATTGACCTGTGATTCAGACAACTTAGATAACCACTCTGGAATGCATCGATTGTTATGTACCAGTTACTTATTTGCTTAACTCTACGTAGAGAAATTTTAACCTACAAAAAAGACAGCAGTAGGATGAACCCTTGCATATTTATCACTCACTGTGTCCCTTCCATATTATTTTAAACAACCTCCTCCCAGTTTTTCTAATCTGATTACTTTGAAGCAAATCTTGGTATAGTTACTTTTAAATAGGAAGCAGATAGGCACCTTTCCAGAATCTATAGAACTTTTCCTTAGAATGGCAGGGCATGAGTTTGTCAGAAGCCCCAGATGGGGTCTTCATTTCAATCAGGTGTTATGCTTGGCAACGGTTTCCCTGTGGGGAACTTTGAGGGACTTGGGAAGCATTGTTATCTGTTTTTGTAGCTGCATCTGCGTTAAAAAAAAAAAAAAAAAAAAGTTATTCTTTCTATTACAGAAACCTAACTTTTAAACTGTATCTATTGTCATTTTTCCATCAGTCAATTTACTGCCTCATCCTGCTGCTCAAGCACTGGGTTAGATGATTAGCAGGTATTTTTCCTTTTTTCTACTCTTTCTCTATCACCTTTTTAAAAAATTGAAGTTTCTCTTAATCACTTAACTGATTTGTTTTATTAATTGTTCATTTCATTTGAAAAATAAATTCACTAATGTTCACAGTGTCCTAAATTGGTTGTTAATAACTTCTCTCTAATAATGCCCATGTACCTCTCCCACCATTTAAACTGTTGGCTTACCAAGAGTTACTCATCTGTGTTTCCAAGGCAATTTATAATTGTGTAATTTAAATATGTAAACACGTTAACTATTAATAAGAAAAGATTAATTGATTAGATTGTTTTGAGTTTGGGAAAGCTCGGGTTGCTGAAAAGTTGTACTCAATTAGCTGTAGGGAAACAGAATATCTGGAGGGGCATTGTATAAATATAAATGGTTTTTTTTTCCACATTCAGATTTTTTCATTTTAACTAAGCCAAAACTAGAAATGTCAACAATGGTTTATGTGAGTAGAATGATATGGAACTCTATTCCATGAATTTGTATTAAAGGTAAGGCCATGGCCCCATATCCAAAGATTGGTGAATTAAAGATGTGTTTTTAATTTTAAGTTAATAAAAAATGCTCAGATTTACATATTTTACTTTAAAAAAGTGTTTCCTGTGGTAATAAGTTTCTTTTTTACGGAAGTGACATTTTCTATCTGAGTTAAATAAAAGGAATTTCACCGTATTAGGTTTTATTTTGGTTTATTTATTTTTTTTTACTTTTTATTATGAAAATTATCAAGCATATAGAAAAGTAGAAACAATAGTGTATCAACTCCCATATACCTGTCATCTAGATCTAACAATTATTATAGTTTTCCACATTTGCTTCATCTATTTTCTTATAGTATTTTCAGTATATTAGACATTTTAAATCTAATTTTTTAATTTTAATATTTGTCTCTGCAGTCATATCTTTATAACACTTAACGTAATTAGCAATAATTCTCTAATATGTGATATTCATTTCATATTCAGATTTTCCCGGATGTTCCGTAAAGGTCTTTTACATGTGGTTTCTCTGAAGCAGAGTACAAGCAAGAGTACACATTGCATTTAGTTGTTCTCTCTCTTAAGTCTTTTTTAATGTAAAACTGCGTCCACCTTCCTATTGTCTCTTGTTTGCTTTTTTATTAATAAATGAACGTGTTGAAGAAAGTAGGTAAGTTGTCCTGTACACCTGTTGGCTTTATCTGATTGTATCTTCATGGTGTTATTTGACTTGTTCCTATATCCTCTGAGTTTTCTTGTAAGCTGGGATTTATTAACTTTTTAAAATTATAAGTGTGTTAGTTTCCTATTGCTGCTATAACAAATTACCACAAACTTAGTGGTTTAAAGCAACACATATTTATTTTCTTATAGTTCTGGAGGTCAGAAGTGAAAATCAGTTTTTCTGGGCTGAGGTCAAGGTGTCAGCAGGGCTGGTTATTTCTGGAAGCTCTGAGGGGAGAATTCATTTTCTTGCCCTTTTCAGCTTCCAGTTACTGCTTATATTCTCTGTCTTGTGGCCCTTTCCTTCATCTTCAGAGCATATCACATCATTCTCTGCTTCCAGGGTGATATTGCCATTTCTTCTAACTCTGACTTCTCTTACATCCTTATAAAATGATTACTGTGACCACATTGGGCTCATCAGAATAATGCAAGATAATCTCCCCATTTCAAGATCCTTAATCACAATCACAAAGTTTTTTGCCGTATGAGGTAACATTCACTAGTTCTGGGGAATTAGAATGTGGGCATATTTGGGGGGCTGTTATTCAGCCTAGCATAATAAGGAAGGAATAGTACGAAACTGAAGATAACTCTTATTGACTTTCAAATAAAAGCAGAGTTGTATGTACATAAATAGTAGATAGATAAATTCAAATAGTACACAAGTTTAAAATAAAGATAAAAACCTTTCTGTTTCACCTTCTGATCTCACCCCATCCTCCTCCCATACTTGTTCTTTCTCCAAAGCAGTACCATACTTCTAAAACTTTTTTGTGTCAAGGACCCTTGGAAGTCTAGTGAAGCCTATGGATTCTTTCTCAAAATGATGTTTGCTCTTTTTTTATTTTAAATTCATGGATTAAAACAGAATTAGAAAGGAAATTAATAATAAAATAGTTAATATTAAAATATTTTGCAATATGGTAATATACTTATGGACATATTAATAAGATCTAGCAGCAGTTCTAATAACTTTAATAATTTTAAAGTATAGGTTAAGTATAAACAGTATTTTGGATGTGTGCAACAACTATATTATGTGAAAATATGTTGATTTCTAATGATGACAGAATCACAGATAATGCTAATACCTAAAAAAAATGGATTCTAGTGAAAATACAGATGTAATTTTTCCCCATCTGTGGTAGGCTAAAGAAAATCCCCCCACATAGCCACATCTTAATCCCTAGAATCTGTGAATGTTAGTTTTTATAGCAAAAGGGACTACAGATATGAATAGGTGGGATGGTGAGTTGGGAAGATTTTCCTGTATTGTTTTTGTGGGCTCTAAATGCAATCACTTGCATGTATCTTTATATCCAGTGTCCTTATATGAGGGAAACAGGAGGAGATTTGACGGTCTTTGAGAAGACTATATGATAGAAGCATAAGGAAGCAGAGTCAGAGATGTTGGCTTTGGAGATAGAAGAAAGGGCCTTAAGGCTTGTGAAACAGTGTCTTCTATAGAGCAGCGATCCCCAAGCTTTTTGGCACCAGGAACTGGTTTCATGGAAGAAGATTTTTCCATCAGGGAATATGTGGGGAGGATGATACCAGGCTGAAACTGTTCCACCTCAGATTATCAGGCATTAGATTCTCATAAGGAGCATGCAACCGAGATCCCTTGCATGTGCAGTTCACAATAGGGTTCACATTCCTATGAGAATCTAATGTGGGGTGGAGCTCAGGCCGTAATGCTTGCTTGCCCACCACCGCTCACCTCCTACTGTGCGGCTCAGTTCCTAACAGGCCACAGATTGGTACCGATCTGTGGCCCAGGCGTTGGGGACCCCTGCTGTAGAGCATCTGGAGGGATTGTGGCCCTGCCAGTATATTGATTTTGGGTAATTTGTAGTGATTTTGGGCTTCTGGCCTCCAGAATTGAGAGATAATAGATTTTTATTGTTTTTCAGTCACCAAGCTGTGGTAGTTTATTACAAAATTCATAGGAAACAAATACACTAGGCAAATTCACAAATCTCCTGAATTCAATCCGTATACCTGGCAGTAAAGAGGTGGAGATGGTCCAAGAATCCATGTTAAGGTCCCAAGCTTCAAAGGTAACCACTGTTAACCTTTTCTTGTGTATGCTCTTATTCAGAAATGTTATACCAGAGTGTTTGTCTTCATGTATTGTCTGTTTTTTAACAACTTACTTATTTGAATTATAAACACATACACATAATACAAAGATTTTAAAAGGATATAGTGAGAGTAAGTCTGTCCTTTTGCCATTCCTTATTCTTTCTTCCTATAGGCAACCACAGTAAACCAGTTCTTGTGTCTCCTCCCACAGATATTCTATACATTTACATATATATGTACATATTTTCTTCTCACACAAATGGTAGCATATTGTGCAAACTATTCTGTACCTTTTCCCATTTATTTCTTCCATATAATAATGTCTTTTTCTTTGACTTTGTCCTACCCAGTACATATACTTATGCCTATTTACTATACCATTTTTTGGTATACCAGAACATAAACAGTCTCTTATTAGACATTTAAACATTTTATTAGTGTCCATTTAAAGTTATTTACTGGCCATGTGTGTGGTGGCTCACGCTTGTAATCCCAGCACTTTGGGAGGCCAAGGTGGGCAGATCACTTGAGGTCAGGAGTTTGAGACTAGCCTGGCCAACATGGTGAAACCCCGTCTCTACTGAAAATACAAAAATTAACCGGGTATAGTGGTATGTGTCTGTAATCCCAGCTACTCGGGTGGCTGAGGCAGGAGAATCCCTGGAACCTGGGAGGTGGAGGTTGCAATGAGCTGAGATCGTGCCACTACACTCCAGCTTGGGCAACAGAGCAAGCCTCCATCTCAAAATAAATAATAAATAAATAAAGTTATTTACTGTCTTTAGTTACTACTACGAAACCTTCCTAGGCCTCAGTTTTTCTCATCTGGAAAATAGAATCCTACCTCATAGGATTGTTATGATGATTAAATGAGAAAATGATTTAAAGTCTTTAGAATTAGTACTTGCCATATGGTAAGCATTGGAAAAAAATGTTACAAAATTTGTTTTGGAATTTTTACTTGGAATCTGTAACAGTGACTGTTCCTAAAATTCTACTTTATACTGATGAGTATTGGGGATTTCCCCCTCCATTCCTTTTATGCTACACAAACCTAAAGAAACCAATAATTTTTTTTTTTTTTGAGACATAGTTTCTCTCTTGTTGCCCAGGCTGGAGTGCAATGGCATGATCTTGGCTCACCACAACCTCCACCTCCCGGGTTCCAGTGATTCTACTGCCTCAATTCTCCCGAGTAGCTGGGATTACAGGCGTGTGCCACCACACCTGGCTAATTTTGTATTTTTAGTAGAGATGGGGTTTCTCCATGTTGGTCAGGCTGGTCTCAAACTCTGACCTCAGGTGATCTGCCTACCTTGGCCTCCCAAAGTGCTGGGATTACAGGCATGAGCCACTGCCCCTCGCCAAATTTCTTGTGATTTTTAATCTTTACTTTTGCTTAAAAAATTCATTGGTATGTGTCTATTTTTTTCATTTATTACAAAAATCATTTAGGAGAAAACATATATATTTGAATGTATAAAAGGATTTTTCTCACAGTTGAGATCAATCTGTTATATTGACATTATTTTCTATAAATTCAATTCTCTTAGACACATATAAAGAGCAGACTGTGCTTTTGGGTTGGTAAAGGATCATAAATTGGTTATCTGGACACCACTTAATGTTCTCATATCCTTTGTAAATTGCTATTAGGTTATATAATATGTAGAATGTTCTGCATAACATAATAAGTTTATTCAAAATAACAGTTTTTCAGAAAATCTTTACAGAAAGTATTACTAATCACTGGCAATATTGTGACCTAAAATGGTAGATAGCATTCCACATTTTGAAACCTGCATGTTTGCACCTTTAAATGTCCATACAAAGTGATCTAACGCTGATTTTTGAAGTTGGAAAGGACATTAAAACAGTAATATGGGGATAGAGCAAAGAAGAGATACTATACTCACCTCTGTGATTCCCTTTAGTCACTTTAAAATAAAACAGAGCCCCCTATTTAGGAAAATGCCTATTCACAAAATCTTGGAGTCGCAGGGTGGGGGACAGTTTATATACAATGAAGCCTTAGAGAATCACAGGTCAGAAAAAGCACCGGGGTGTGGTAACTGATCGTTTGATTTATATTATTTGAGCAGAGGAAACAGAGATAAGTTTCCTTCAGCAGGTGTAGGATTAAATTTTGCTGTCTGAGGAAGGGGCTTGATGAGGGACACAATAGAGATGTGAGTTGATTTATTTGCCATTATTTTACATTTGGACAAGAAATTTACCCCCACCCCCCATATTTAGAAATATATTTTTAACTTTTAGGGGTTCATATATGTGGTTCTTTATTAAGTTCCACAGATCTCCCCAGTGTATTACTCTGATTTTAAAAAAATCATTGAACTATAAGAAAGGATGGACAGTGGATAGCTTGTGGAGGTAAAATAAAGTAAGTTGGACTGATGTTGGTTTCAGAACTTAAATCTCAGTCATAAGTATAGGGCTCTCTTGTGATTCAATGCCAAGCTTGTAAATTAAGCTGCTTTAAAGGAGTGTTGGAGATAGGAGAAGTGAGTTAGAAATATAAAAACAGAGCTGGGTGAGGTGGCTCATACCTGTAATCTCAGCACTTTGGGAGGCCAAGGAGTTCAAGAACAACTTGGGCAACAGGGCAAAATACCACCTTTACTTAAAAAAATTAGCCGGGCATGATGGTGTACATCTGTAGCCCTAGCTACTTGGGAGGCTGAGGTAGGAAGATTACTTGAGCACAGGAAGTCGAGGCTACAATGAGCTGTGATCACTGCACTCCAGCCTCCTGGAAGACGGGACAACAACCTGTCTCAAAAAAGAAAAACAGGCTTTTTTTTTTTTTTTTTTTTTTAATTTAAACGGAAGGGAGCACAAAGATAATTGCAAAATTCTTAACCCAAACTGGCTTTGGCAGTGTGTTCCCACCCTCTCCCCATTCCTCTCTTTACAGTTGTTTATAAAATTCTTCCTTAAAGTGTTTGATAGAAATATTTGAATGTCATTTAAATATATATCCTGATTCTGGCACTTAGTATGTCTTACCACCTGAGAGTGGACAAAATTTTTATTTTCATAAAACTAGAAATAAAAAGACCTGTACACATAATTTTCTTACAATTTAAGATATTTCCTTTTTGTAAATATCTTGCCTTTTATGCCATTTATTGGAGATCTTTAAATTGTATTAGAGAACTTTATATTTTAGTCATAAAGTACATCTTGTAAAAATTAGCTAGTATAGATTTTAAATTTTCAAACTATTGAAGACTTTCTGGGATTTTTTTTCCCCATTTACTTCAGGTAATACTGACAGCATCTAACTTCACTTTTCTGCCACAGGGTGGTGTAAAATACTTACTGTCTGAAATTCTGTTTGGCGACTTCAACAGCCTAATAGAACCCAACTTAAAATAGAATGTTGTAGAAGTTCACTTTGGGCACTAAACTAAATTGTTTATGAGAGAAGATAGTCCTTATAGAGGGGTCCAATTTTTATTTAAAGGGGCTCTAAGAGGCTTTCATAGGGAAGGCAGTTACATTGCATTATTATTAAAACATTTGGAAATACTTTCAGACTTATTACAATGTTGCAAGAATAAGAATAGTACAAGAAACATCCATATACCCTTTATCAAGATTTACTTATTATTGACCTTCTATCCCATTTGCATACTTCCTTCTTACATACATGTTTTTTTTAATGAAACATTTGAGGCTAAGTTATATACACCATGACACTTTTCACTATATGTTACATTGTGTTTTTCCAAGAGATAGAGATACTCTATTATGTAACCATAACAGAGTATCAACTTGAGTAAATTTAACATTGATAAAATACTTTTATCCAGTTCCCCATCAGTATTTCAGTTTGTCTTTTGACTCAGTAATGTCCTTCATAACGTTTTCCCTACCAGTTCAGCAGTCTCAGGTCAGTTATAACATTTAATTGTCTTGGCTCTTTAGCAACCCTTTAACCTGGAGTAGATCCACAGCCTTTGTATTTTATAACAATGACATTCAACTTTCCTTAACAGAACATTACTCATTTCCATTTTGAGTTTGTCTGGTGATTCTTCATAATACAGGTTATATATTCTCAGCTAGAATATTATATAAATGATGTTGTGTCTTCCTTAGAGTATTACATATATCCATCCTCCTCTTATTGGTGATGTTACATTATATTTTGAAGTCTTTTTTTTTTTGTAAATTTAGATGTGTATGTTTAGAAGAATAATTAAATGCAATTCTAGGATGTGTGAAAGCAAACGTTTTCTCTAAAGGAAGATACTTAAGACTAATGCTCCCAGTAGGTAAAATCTAATTTGACTGGAAGGTTTGAGGTAGCACATTTTAACTTTAAACCTTGCAAAGCTCTTAATGTAGTATACTGGCATTTAATCTTTCCCTGGATTGCCAAGGAGAATTGTTGATATCCTCCTTGGGACCTGCCAGTCATTCTGGTGAACGAATAAAATCTGAGTAGGTGACTTTGGACAGAAGTATAAAACACTGAGATCTCAATTATAAATTTCTGATGTCATAATTAACAGCAAAGCCAAATAATTTTGTATTCTCTGAGTTTGGGCTTGTATTAGTGCAGTTTTAATACAAAACACATTTAAGTGCCAGAGGTGCTGACTGGAAAGAATATTGTAAACTTCTCAAAGAAATGATCACAAGTCTTTTTTAATCCTTCGGTTATTTGACAGATTTGTTACTGTTAATGAACAGACACAACTTTCTGAGTAGGAAGATTTCCTAAATATTTCTAGTATGTTAGCTTTAGGATATGTATAAGAATTCTCAGAAGGCAACAGAGATACCTATTTTGAAGAAAATTGTCACATAGCTCATTTGAACATTTATAATTTCTTGACCTTTTTGCTGAAAAGTATATTAATATTAAGATGGTATAATGCTAAGAAAGCACATTATTTTGCAGCTGTATTCCAGAACATAGTGAATTGAAAGTTTTTTGCATGATCTTACATTTAATCCTTTTACTTTGATTACATATGTATATTACATATAAAATATGTATTTTCCACATACTGTAGACATTAAAGCATTTGAGGTATGAAATTAAATGAATATAAAGTAATTTGAGTGCCAAAATGCTCATTAAATTTAACAGTTGAACTTGAAAAATTATTGGATACTGCTGTGAGTTGTGATTTCTCCTATCAGCTACCCTGCAGAGTATTGTAAGGGAGAAAAAATTACTTCCATGTTCCTTTCAGGTTTGCCCCTTGATTTTACAAAGAAGTATACTGCTTAAATTGCTAGTAGTTTGTAGCTGCTGCTTCTGACACTTGAATACTTGTTTCTGAGCTTCCAGAGTACACTGAATGATACCCTGGGAGCTTAGAAGAATGTAGCCTGTCTTCCCTAGTGCCTAACTTAATTCTGGGAACCTGGGTAGTAAATATTATGTGATTAAATATAGTTTTAAAGGTTGATCTTATTTTCATTTCCCAGGCAAGACATCTGTATAGATTCTGCTTCATCCGTGAGAGAGAATAAGCAACCTGAAGGTTTGGAATTAAAACAAGGTATGAACCAAGTACTTGATTATTGTATAAAATTTACCTGAAGAATAGAAGCATTTTACCAAAAATAAATTTTCAGTGTCTAACTCACCCCATTTTACAGATAGAGGAAGAGAGCAATTTATTTGGTCAAAAATCAGTCACTTCATGATTCTTTTAGCTACTGAAATGATTATATTTTATGATGTTTAGTTAGTTACAGAAGCCACCAGAATTATCATCTTGAATAGTTTTATTTCAGTAATTTATTAAATTAAATTTATTTATTTATTTATTTTGAGACAGAGTCTTGCCCTGTCGCCCAGGCTGGAGTGCAGTGGCGCGATCTTGGCTCACTGCAAGCTCAGCCTCCCGGTTCACGCCATTCTCCTGCCTCAGCCTCCCAAGTAGCTGAGACTATAGGTGCCAACCTCCACGCCCAGCTAATGTTTTGTATTTTTAGTAGAGACAGGGTTTCACCGTGTTAGCCAGGATGGTCTAGATCTCCTGACCTTGTGATCCACCCGCCTCGGCCACCCAAAGTGCTGGGATTACAGGGGTGAGCCACCACGCCCGGCCTATTTTAGTAATTTATATATCATCAGCTGCAAGACATTGGAGATATGTTAACTGGGTAGCTTTGGGTTGTATGTGGGAAAAAACCAGTAAGTTTTATAGCATAACTTTTTTCCCCCTGAGGTATTTTGTCCTTGTTTACTTACTTTCTTCATCATTTATTGCTTTCTTTAAATCAGTAGTTTTTGACATTACCAGCTAGCAGAAATAAAGTGGTAATTTTAATTTATTCAAGCCAAGTACATTTGTAGGGCTAATCTTTTAAATGCCTTTTTTACTTCTTTTTATCTTTAGTAGGAAGAATTGAAAGTAAAATAAGTTTTTATTAGTTACTCAAATGCCAGCTCACATTTGTTTCTGATAAAATTAATTCAGAACAGTAAAAATTTGTTGCATCCAAGAAGATTAAGTTATCTATCATGTAATCACCTAATCTTTGATGGCTTAGAATAGTTTCTCTTAAATATGAGTCATATGAACTTATTTGGTAGAGAGAAACAAGTCATTATTTAGGCAGAATTTGTTTAAAAACTGGTCTTTTATTACTGCTTAATTTAAAAAGTGGAAAAAAAGGTTAGACAGCGAATTTAGTGATTTGTTCAATTTATATGTAGAGAGAGCAAAATCTAGATTTTCTGTAATTCTGATTTATTTACTGTAGGATTTATGAATATTTCTGATTGTTTCAAAAATTCCCATTGCTTTTCAAAAGTCCTGTTGTGATAACCTCATATAAAGCCAGACAAAATTACGTCTTTGTACTCTGACTTCTTCTGAGCACCGCCATAAACTCAGATTCATAGTTTAATTGACATTTATTTGTCACATATAAATACATGCTAAACACATATTATTTTTATATAATATAATCATAATCATATTACCTTACACCTCATGTATAATTAGATTACACCTCATGTATAATTAGACTACACTGCTACTGTTTCTTCTTTGTTTCTGCTCTTTGTATCAAATGAACAGGCAGTATGGAGGATATGCTATTACATCATCTGAGGAGAAGAGAATGTTCTATAAAGGATAAGAAAAGCTAGAATGGGCAGGTTGATTTCCAGTTCCTAGGAAAAAGGAATGGAGACCACAAATTAGCCAATGTTACCTTGTAAGAGAAGATGTTTTTCTGTTCCCATGTTCACACACTCAGAATTGTTTAGAACTCCCTTCCTAGTGTCAACAGGCTGTTGTACTGTGATTTCTTTATGAGAACTTCAGTCATGTGAAAAACCAGTCATGAAGGTGCAGAGAGGGAGAGAAGAAGACCTCCAATGAGCCAGATGTCAAAAGTCCAGGCCTTTTATGCTTAGGAGCCTGTAACCACACTCAGGTTCTCAAGGAGGTATGAGACATTAGGAACACACTGATGGCATCAAGCAGAGTTGAGAAGACATAAGATCAAAGTGTAGCAGTACCATTGTACAATACAGTTCATGCTCATGTTGTGACTAAATGATTAGCAAATAGTTAAATTAAGTTTTAACCTTTTTTTTTTTTTTTTTTTTGAGACAGTCTCTCGCTCTATTGCCCAGGCTGGAGTGCATGGCGCAATATCGGCTCACTGCCAGCTCCGCCTCCCAGGTTCACACCATTCTCCTGCCTCAGCCTCCTGAGTAGCTGGGACTACAGGCACCTGCCACCATTCCTAGCTAATTTCTTTTTCTTTTTTTTTTTTTTTTGAGATGGAGCCTCCCTCTGTCGCCCAGGCTGGAGTGCAGTGGTGCAATATCAGCTCACTGCAAGCTCCACCTCCCAGGTTCACACCATTCCCCTGCCTCAGCCTCCCAAGTAGCTGGGACTACAGGCGCTCCCCACCACGCCCGGCTAATTTTTTGTATTTTTTAGTAGAGACGGGGTTTCACCGTGTTAACCAGGATGGTCTTGATCTCCTGACCTCGTGATCTGCCTGCCTTAGCCTCCCAAAGTGCTGGGATTACAGGCGTGAGCCACCGCACCCAGCCAGTTTTAACCTTTTTTTAAAAAGCAGGGAATTAAAGTCTTTTAGAAGAATATCTACTAAATGATTAAAATATAAAATGTTTTATTGCATAATGGATAAGTTACTTAGAATATTTATTTATGGAAAACATCTTCCAGATAAATATTAATATAGCTGAAATCTGACTAGATAGTAACTTGCTTGAAGTTACCAAACAAGCTGAGGTATATCAAGAAATAGAAATCCTGATAGGCTCAATAAAGATTATTCCCTGTTTTCTAAGTGCACTAATATTGTCTATTTGTAATGTGCATAACCTGCAAAATCTAATATCTCTAACTTTTCTTGCATAACTAGCTATTTTTGTTCACAGTGAGCTCAATAAAAGCAGAATATAAGCTCCTTGTGAATGCATTGTCATTTTAATGGCTTGACCAATTGAGACAATTCACTGAAGCTTATTTAGTACGAAAGTAACCTTTTGTTCAGTAGACCAAAATATAAAGCAGCATTGAATTTTCTTTTTGCTCTTTCAGAATAAAATAAATCATATCATGTGACCTATTAATGGTATATAAGTTATTTAAATTACATTATCAGTATTTAGAGCATTTAAAATACTGAAGTATTGCTTGAATAATACACAAGTATTAATTATGAATTAAGTTGAAATTGGCATTTTTTTGTCTAGTACTGGTTTCATTCATCTTTGTTGCTAGAAAATATTTTTGAAACCGGCAGTACTGAAGATGAGTATCAGATTTTACACTAACTTCCACTGCACTTTAATAATGAGCTAATAAAAGGAACTACCTTTACAGTGAAAATGTTATTTAAATGTAAATATAATCTATTGGTTCAATGATTGGTACTGTAGTAAAACAGAAACTCTTCTGTTAGAAATTCTTCCTTTCTTTCTTTTTTGTTTTTGTTTTTGTTTTTTTGCTCTGTCACCTAGGCTGGAGTGCAGTGGTGTGATTTCAGCTCACTGTAACCTCCATCTCTTGGGTTAAAGCAATTCTCCTGCCTCAGCCTGCCGAGTAGCTGGCATTACAGATGCCCACTACCACACCCGGCTAATTTTTGTATTTTTAGTAGAGATGGGGTTTTACCATGTTGGTCAGGCTAGTCCCGAACTCCCTACCTCAGGTGATCCACCCACCTTGGCCTTCCAAAGTGTTGGGATTACAGGCGTGAGCCACCATACCCGGCCAGAAATTATTTCTTAAATCATTCATTTCACTCAGAATGTAGTTGTATAAGAAACATCAGTTATAGTTTTTACTCATTAGCACAGCTGTAGCACATGTGTAGGTGTATGTGTGCATGCGCATACCTGTGCAAGCTCACATGTACAAGTTTCAGATCTTATGTTAATTTCCTTGAGGATTTCAGAGATTGCTGCTTTTCATATAATGGTGGCTTATATAAATTTTCTGAATTGGTCAGTTGTGCTCTAGTTAAAAATAAAAACTGTTGAAGGTATTTCATTTGTAGACAATATTTTTAAAATATCAAGTATCTGCTAATGTTAAGTTTACTCAAGACATTCAGCAATAGTAAAATATTGGTCTGTATTTAAATTGTTGCTTTAAAGTTTACAGTTGGAGAAGTATGTCATTTTGTGAACTATTTTCCTTTGTAAATTCAAAAATTAAGTTCTTATGGTTTTTGTATTTTTTCTTGGAAGTTTTCATGAGAGAAATTTTAAAACTATACATGAGAAATAGCTTTGTTAAGTTAGATTGAGGAGTTGAGGTTTATAGTTGCTGTAAAATATTTGAAGGACTATTAAATGGAAGCGTGATTAGATTTTTTTCTGTATGGCCTTGGAGAAAAAAAATAGAACCAATAGATAGCATTATCATTAGACAAAATTTTTTGGTCTAACACAGTGGACTGCCTTCTAAGACATGTTTCTGATGCTGAAGGTGTTTGGACACAGGCCACATAAATAGCCACTTGGTGGTGCTGTTGTAGAGGATTCAAGCAATGGTTGGCTGTTTGGCCTTGATCTTCTAGTTCCTTTCTAGCTGTCAGGTTTTAAGACCAGTGCCTAGTGCATTGTTTGTACTTAGGAAGAATGGTTAATAACTGTTTTCCTAAATTGTTTAATGGAAGCAATGTGAAATATACACTCTTTTTTGCTATCTCTACATTTTTTATTCTATTGGAAGAAAAGAAAATATGTTTGATTTAGTCTTTGATCTGTTTAATGGTTCCTTAAAATATATTCATTTGAATACAGTCATTAAAATAAATAATATAATTAAATGGTATATAAAATGACCAAAATCAATGAAGATATTTACATCTTATTTTGAATATTTGTACATTAACTGTCGCATGTGAGAATCTTTTCCCTAAAGACATGCAAGCACAAAATATGCACACAGAGTTTTGCTTTAAATAGGCTCAAATTCTACCCCCCCCCTTTTAAAAAAAATTACTGGCCAGGCTCATGCCCACACCCACAATCCCAGAGTTTTAGGAGGCCGAGGAGGGAGGATCGCTTCAACCCAGGAAGGAGGTCGAAGCTGCAGTGAGCCATGATTGCACCACAAAGATTTCAGTATTTTGAGAGAAATGTTTATTTTTATGTGTCCTTAAGTACTCATTTTAAACATTCTATCCTGTGATGTGTATCATAGGATCTTAGACACACTCTTAAGGCATCTACTTTGGAGGTCACATAGTGTAAACCTTCAGTCATTATTGGGACACTGAGTTCTTTTTAGTCATTACGCTCTTACCCAGTTCATTAGGGAAAGCAGCTCTTTACCAAAGTGCTCCTACCAAAGGAAAGACAGTAAATACTAGGCTTGAATCCAGATTTGGTTACCAGTTTCAGAACTCTTTACACACAGCACATCATAGTCTATGATTTAATTTGCAGTTTTGGCTGCTACATCGTATAGTTGATACACGATGAACTTACATTTTATTTTTTATTAAAGGCTTTTTTTTTGGTAGCAGCTTTAGGTTTACAGAAAAAGTGAGCAGGAAGTACAGAGAGTTCCCATATACCTGCTTACCAACTCTTCCCCAAGTGAACCAATTTGTACATTATTATTAACCAAGTCCATAATTTATGATTAGGGCTTAACCTTTGTGTTGTACATTCTGTGGGTTTTGATAATTTTATAATGACATCAATCCACTATTACAATATATAGAATATTTTCACTGCCTTAAAAGTCTTCTGTGTTCTACCTATTTATCCTGCCCACTCTCTCCCCCCCAACTCCTGACAACCACTGATCGTTTTATAGTCCCTATAGTTATGCTTGTCCTGGAATCTCTGTAGTTTTGAATCATACAGTGTGTAGCCTTTTCAGATTGTTTTCTGTCACTCAGTATTTGAAGTTCCTCTATGTCTTTGTGTGGCTTGATAACACATTTTGTTTTATTGCTGAATATTTTCCATTGCATGGATGTACAGCAGTTTGTTCATCCATTCACCCATAACATCTTGGATGCTTCCAAGTTTTGGCAATTATGGATAAAATAGTGTGCAGGTTTTTGTGTGGACATAACTTTGCAACCCATTTGGATAAATACCAAGTTTAGTTTTGTAAGAAATTGCTTAATTGTATTCCAAAGTGTACCATTTTGCATTCCCACTGACAATGAATGAGAGTTCCCATTGCTCCACATTCCTATCAGCATTTGGTAGTGTCAGTGTTTTGGATTTTGGTCATTCTAATAGGCATATAAGTAATCTCTTGTTTCTTATGCAATTCCCTAATGATATGTGATGTTGAACATCTTTCATACACTTATTTGCCATTTCTATATTTTTGGTGAGTTGTCTTCTCAGATCATTTGTGCATTTTAAAAACTGGGTTGTTTTCGTATTGTTGCTTTAAGAGGTCTCTATATATTTTGGATACCAGTGCTTTGTCACATATGTTTTGCAGATGTTTTCTGTGAATCTGTAACTTGTCTTTTTGTTCTCTTACTATTTATTCATATTTAATACACAGACTCTAGGTGTATGTTTGGTACATACTATGTTTATTCAGGTGAGACTTTGTAAATATATCATTTAAGGGACCCACAAGAAGAAGATACATTCAGCTGAACCCAGCATCCTAATTTGTGAAGCTTCTGTGGTTATTTTGAATCTGTTAAGTTCTGGGAAATAGTATAGAATGTTTTAAGTGCATAGGTTTTGGAAACTTACTTGGGTTTGAATTTTGTTTCTGCTACTTTAGCTATGTGAACCTAGGGCAAGTTACTTAAACTCTCTGTTCCTCAGCTTCCTCATTTATAAAATGAGGATAGTAAATATGAATGCCTATTTCATTATGTAGGTGTAAGGATTGAATGAATTAATACATGCAAAATGCTTTAGAGCAGTGCTTAGTAGATATTAAATGCTCAAAAGTATCAGCCCTTGTAATTATTTCTGTTATCATTGTTGTTTTCTGTCTCATCACCTCAGTATCAACCTGGCAGTTTCTAATTGGTAAAAGGGTCTCTATATATTGAATCATAATATGCCTTTACGTAACTTGTACTCATTGGTTTCTCTGTGCCCTTTGGTTTGAAGAAAAAGAGTTTAATACATCTTCTAAATAATAGCTCTTCAAATTTTGAAGTTCACCCCTTCATCCAGCAAACCTACTGTTTTGTTCTAGGCACTAGGGATAGAAAGATAAATATGTCTGGATCTGGAAAGAACTTGTCTAATAAAGGAAAACAGATATGTAAATAAATTTTTTCATATCTATCTGTATCTGAACCTGTATACTCCCCTTATCTCCTGTTAAAATGGATGAACTCTTTGTGCTGCCGAGACCAGACCCTCTGTTTGAGTACTGATCCTGCTACCTTTTGGTACCTGCGAATACTTCATTTCTCCACCTAATTAATGTTCCCCTCTCTAGTGAATTATTGCCAGCAGCCATTTCACTCGTCATTGCTCAGTGCTCATCTTGACCCATCAGCGGCATTTGACAGCATTGGTTATTTTCTCTTTCTTGACACTGGCTTTCCTGGCTTTTTATGACTTCTAAAGGATGAGTGCCCCAGGACTGACTTTTTTCTACACTGTCTAACTGATGATCTTATGTAGTTTTAAGACTGGCAACTACTAACTTATTTCTACAATTCAGACTTCTAACACTTGTGTATCCAGTTTACTTATTAAATGTCCAATAAGCATTTTAAGTTAGCATGTGCCTGAATAAATTCTAGATCCCTCTGTGACTCCCCACCCACCCTAAAAACAAGAAACATAAAAACAGCAATACCTTGCTGCTTCTACCATCCATCTCGTCTTAATAAATAGCAGTTACATTCTTCTCAGTGTCCAGGCCAAGAACCTTGGAATCATTCCTTAGTCCTTTCCTTCATCTCCATCCTGATCCCACTGTTTCTATCCATGCTCCCGGGAGTCTCTTTCACACAGCAGTCTGATTATTTTGTACTGTATGAATGGTCATGTCACTGTTCTTTATCAAAGCCTTCTAATAGCTTCCCATCTCTACACAAAATCCATAGTCCATCTTTCCTTTGGCCAGTATACAGCCTTAACATGATGTGACTTGTTACTCTCCACCTTGCTCTCTCTGCTCCTGCCTCCTTGCTTTCTTCTAGCACTCCAAACACTCCTGTGTCAGAGGCTTTGCTTTTGCTGTTCCTTCTGCCTGCCCGCTTCCTCCTCAGATAACCATATGGGTCTTCCATGCATCATTTAGATTCCTGATCAAATGTTACCTGATCTGTCTAAACTAGTTGATACTAATTTTTTTTTTTCCAGAGCTCGTAAACCTTCTAATAAACCTAGAATTTCACTGGGAATTGATGTCAGATTTACTGTACTGTAGTCTTATAGAAGTCACCTTTTGAAAAGCAGGACTGTGTTGATCTATCACATGTCTACTTCACAGCCTATCAGTTGTGACTGCAGGTTTTAATACATGTGTTCCAATATGTCAAATCTGAAATCTAAACTTATTTACACCAGTAGTGTACTCTTATTTACATCAAACTACTGTTTTTAAGATTATCTCCATTATCTATGAAGCCTTCCCTTCCCTAACCTACTTCTGTTCACCTCCCCTCTTCTCTCAATACCCTTTTTTTTTGTTGTTGGTTTTTGAGACAGAGCCTCTCTCTGTCACCCAGGCTGGAGTGCAGTGGCGTGATCTCAGCTCACTGCAGCCTCCGCCTCCCGGGTTCAAGCAATTCTCCTGCCTCAGCCTCCTGAGTAGTTGGGATTATAGGTGCACACCACCACGCCCAGCTAATTTTTTGTATTTTTAATAGAGACGGCGTTTCACCACGTTGGTCAGGCTGGTCTTGAACTCCTGACCTCAAGTGATCCACCTCCCTTGGCCTCCCAAAGTGCTGGATTACAGGCATGAGCCCTGGGAGACTGAGGTGGGAGGATTGCTTCAGCCAGGAGGCAGAGGTTGCAGTGAGCCATGATTGGGCCACTGCACTCCAGCCTGGGTGACAAAGTGAGACCCTGTCTCCAGAAAAATTAAATTTAATTTAAAAATAAATAAATAATTTTACATTATCTAAAATTAGAATCAAGTCTCTAGTATCTCTTTCTGAGCTTATATTTATATTTAAACAAGCAAAAGCAGTGCCACAGGAAACATGGTAGTTTATGAAGTAGATAATGAGTTTGAGCACACTTTCCTAGGATGGGTAGATTATGGAGCACTGAGATGTTACTAACAGAAAGTATTTGAGTGTGATGCCCTTTTGAATGAGTGTAAGTTCCAAGAAATCTTGAGGGGGAAAAGTTGCTTGCTTCCAAACTCCGATGCTTGGAAATTGAGACAGCTGTTCTGCCTTCATTTTTCCCTTTTGGGTATTTTCATTTTTGATATCAAACTTTTATTCTACCAGAACCCTGTTTAATCAGTGGTAGGAGAAATGATAAATGCTATTTTAAACAGTTTTTTATTTACTTTCAGATTACTCAACAAAAGATTATAGTCAGGAATTGCTTATGTCAGCCTGTTATTGTGCCCCAATGCAAGACCAAAAATATCCACTTATCTGATCCATTGTAAAAGACTAGCAGGGAGTCCCTATTGTGCTTTTTATCCTAGAATGGTGATGTCTTCAGAGACAATAATTTTGGATACTGCCTTTTTTTATATATTCTCACCTGTGCATTTTATTCTGTCAGGCTCACATACCTCTGTACTGAGCTTTACATGTAGCATTTTGCTTGTGCCCATTCTGTCCCTCACACTTGCAGTTTCCTCTTCTGTTAATATCACCTATTAGATTGTACCCATTCTTAAAGGCCCGTCTCATATCATATATCTATGAATATCTCCCTGATTTTTGCCTGTTGCCTTGTATATTCTGAAATTCTGTTATATTTTGTATTGCGTAATTTGGTATGTTAAAGTATAATGCCATACATTAAGCATACTGTGAAGGCAAAACCTGTGTCTTAATCATGTCACAAATATTTTGTCACCTACTTCTAAGGCCTTTGCAGCACCATCATGACATGTGTAAAAGATACTTAGTGAATATTTATTTGATTCTTGGAATAATCTCTGAAGGGGATAGTTAATGGATTTGTGAGTCTTAAAAGTCAAGTTTACAGGCTGGTGGATATTCATGTTATTTGGAAGTTCAATAATGGTTCAGTAGAATACTAGACAGGTTTTCTTTACTGAATCATTTGCATTTTTTCTTTATCTTTAGAAATCAGTCATGCCACAATTAAATTTTATAAATGATGGTCAACCTAATGCACTTAAATCTAAATTAGTAGCTTAATACACTACACATAAGAAAAAAAAAGCCAAGTTCTCTATAACACAGTATTGCTGAATGCCTTCATAGGTTTCACCTGTCCATTATAACTGCATCATAGATGCCAAAGCTTTTTATACATCTGAAATAATTTAGTATACGTTAAGTGACTTGTACAATAGAACATGGCAAATTATTGGAAGAGCTTCATGCTTCAAGTCTTTTCAGTATTTCTTAATTTTCATCATTCCAGTAGAATCAGTCAGTAACTCATTTTTAAAAGCATCATCTGCAAACTTATTAATGTATTTCCAAAGATAATTTACTCTTGTTTTTGGTATTGGGGAATTATGGGGTTTTCCCTATCAATCATGATCCTCAAACAGAAGAGGTAAAACTTGTACATTCTTTCTAAAGAAGTAACTTCATCCTCAAATAACTCATTCAAAGATCTCGACATTTTTGGGGTAGTCATGTTCTGTCTCTCCAACCCCCACTCTGCCCACGTACTTGTGTGTTTGTGTGTGTGTGAGAGAGAGAGTTTTCAGGAAGAAGTGAGGTAAATTATTTCTACTCCTTCAAATAAAGTCTAGTCAGTAGCAAGAAATATAACAGGTAATGTGATACCTATTTTGATAAAGCATTAAAATAAGTCTTCATAAAGTTTTGTTAAAAAATTGTTTTACTAGCCGGGCGTGGTGGCTGACGCCTGTAATCCCAACACTTTGGGAGGCCAAGGGGGCGGATCACGAGGTCACAGATCAAGACCATCCTGGATGACACGGTGAAACCCTGTCTCTACTAAAAATACAAAAAATAAGCTGGGTTTGGTGGCGGGTGTCTGTAGTCCCAGCTACTCGCGAGGCTGAGGCAGGAGAATGGTGTGAACCTGGGAGGCGGAGCTTGCAGTGAGCCGAGATCATGCCACTGCACTCCAGCCTGGGCGACAGAGTGAGACTCCATCTCAAAAAAAAAAAAAAATTGTTTTACTATTAGAAGTAATCATATAACATGGTTTATGGTAAAATGTCAAAAATCTGTTTATGAACTAAAGAGGTGTTTGGGTTCTACAAAGGCACTGCTAGTACTTTAAGCCCACTTAATTTAAGCTTTTTAAAAAATACCTAAAGAAAAAAAGGAAATAAAAACAGTTTTGATGTATGCATGATGTTAAACTAATGTTATTGAAATCCACCAAGAAAAATAAAAGACAGTTGGGCCTGAGGTAAAATATAAAAAATGCAATTAACAATAATAAGAATAAAAATTCAGACTGTTAACTAGAGACATAATAATCAAAGTGGCACAGGAAAGATAGCAAGTAAAAACTTAGATCTAAGTTACTGATGTTACAGAGCAGCGAAAGAACTAAAGTTAACTTTAAACAATACACAAAGAAACAAGAAGATACGATATATTCCTTACATTAACTGTGCTCCTTCACTAAGATGGGGTTTGAAATACTACATACCATTTAGGGCACTTGAGAGAAAAACAATACAAATGAAGAAATGGAGCAAATAGCTTATGAGAAAGGAGTAAAGTAGTTTAAGAGCTTGACTAGGCAATAGTTATAGGAAGACAAAGATGTAAAAGATTTCTCAGGGAAAAAAAGGGCTTTATCATGCATTCATCCCTTATAGTTGATCCTCTGGCTAGCTACTCACCAATGTACCTTTGTTGTATTACACTGTCGTCTAGCCTGTATACTTTCACTATTTCTCTTGTTTTCCTGCTATCTTCAGTCCTACCGACTTGATTCATATCTCAAACTCCGCACCCAAGTACTGAAGATTTTTTAAATAAACGAATCCATCTAGGCTTAGTGTCTAGACAGCAGAATGAACCAGTCACTGCTCAGATTCATCACTGACATATAAATAAATGGAATAATTTTTCAGAACAAAACAAAAAAAATTTATATGTTTATGTTATTCAGTGAGCCATAGTTGTGAATATGGGATAAAACCATAAAGGCAAAATATTTGGCAGCTAAATAGAACAGCCAACACTCTAAACATTTTATTAGCCAGGAGAAAAAATAAACAACATAAGACCCAATCTCTCTAAAAGTAATATACTCCTAATATAAATAAAAAGGAGTGTGCCACATAATAGAAAAAACTAAAATGTAATACCACTGTTTTTATTATCATCTATAACAAACCTCAGTGCGTGAGAGCTGTGGGATTCTCTAAATTAGATAAAAGTAAACACTTGTGGCATAGGTTTGCTTTCTGTTGAAAGTTTTAAATAGAATATCCAATGAAAGTAAACAAACATATAAGAACTATTTTTTCTTTTTTTGAGATGGAGTCTCGCTCTGTCGCGCAGGCTGGAGTGCAGTGGTGTAATCTTGGCTCACTGCAAGCTCCGCCTCCCGGGTTCACGCCATTCTCCTGCCTCAGCCTCCTGAGTATCTGGGACTACAGGTGCCTGCCACCAGGCCCGGCTAATTTTTTTTGTATTTTTTGGTAGAGACGGGGCTTCACTGTGTTAGCCAGAATGGTCTCCATCTCTTGACCTCATGATCCGCCCATCTTGGCCTCCCAAAGTGCTGGGTTACAGGCATGAACCACCACGCCTGGCCACATATAAGAACTGTTAATCACATCACAAACATTCTGAGTTATAAAAATAAAAGGAACTTTTAAGTTATGCTAAAGTATTTAAACCTTGATAGGACTTATAAATATTCGAGTTGATAATAATTCAGCTTATCAGAAACAGTTCTTATGCATAAGATTAAAGTATATCTAGTGTTTTCAGTGATATGCTTGTGAAACCTCTTGATAGTGAATTATTAAATTAAGCCAAGACAAACTCTAGAACATGGATTATTTAGATACTGGTGTGAATTTCCTCTAAAGACAGCAAATTGAACATACGTATCTACTTCCCCTCCCTACCAAGAACCCACTGAAGTGACAGAAGAGGGATACTTAAAATAATAACATAAGTTGTAAATTAACTGATGACAAAACTAATAAACAGCAGTCCTTCCAAAGTAAACCACAAAATAGGGAATAAACAAAGGGAAAAAAAATCAACAGATTTAGCTAAATGTTAATATTTCTGAGAAAAAAAAACACCATAAATAAAATTATAAGACAGGAAAACTACAAAAAAAGGACAAATATAAGAATATATAGAATGTAGGTATTATTAAGAAACAAAAACATGGGCAAAGGGTAGAAACAAGTCAGATATTTCACAAAACTGGAAATACAGAAGGCAATACACACGTGGAAAAGAATGCTCAACCTAATTTCTAATCAGATAAATGTAAATTAAAAAAATAGTGCTTTTGGCCGGGCACGGTGGCTCACTCCTGTAATCCCAGCACTTTGGGAGGCCGAGACGGGCGGATCACGAGGTCAGGAGATCGAGACCATCCTGGCTAACACGGTGAAACCCCGTCTCTACCAAAAGTACAAAAAATTAGCTGGGCGTGGTGGCGGGCGCCTGTAGTCCCAGCTACTTGGGAGGCTGAGGCGGGAGAATGGCGTGAACCCGGGAGGTGGAGCTTGCAGTGAGCCGAGATCGCGCCACTGCACTCCAGCCTGGGTGACAGAGCAAGACTCCGTGTCAAAAAAAAAAAAAAAAAAAAAAAAAAAAAAAAAATATTGCTTTTTACTTACTAGTAAAAACGAGGATTTTTATCTGTCTATAAAAGAAGCTAGTACATTGCTAAGATGAAAAAAAATGACCAAGATATATTTTTAAGTCAAAAAAGTAAGCCAAAGAGTGATAATTATGTTTTTGTTAAAAATAAAATAAATAAGTTATTAACAGTGATTACTTCTGGGAAGGGGAGTAAAAGAAGAAGAAAAATTGGCCGGGCGCAGTGGCTCATGTCTGTAATCCCAGCACTTTGGGAGGCTGAGGCAGGCAGATCACCTGAGGTTGGGAGTTCGAGGCCAGCCTGACCAACATGGAGAAACCCCGTCTCTACTAAAAATACGAAATTAGCCAGGCATGGTGGCGCATGCCTGTAATCCCAGCTACTTGGGAGGCTGAGGCAGGAGAATTGCTTGAACCTGGGAGGTGGAGGTTGTGGTGAGCTGAAATCGCATCATTGCACTCCAGCCTGGGCAGCAAGAGTGCAACTCTGTCTCAAAAAAAAAAGAAGAAAAATTAATTTTCCCATTTTGCTCTGTGAACATGTATTTCTTCAACCTTTTACAAGAATGAACTGTAAAAAGCGTTAAAAGAAAAAATGAATTTACAGTATAACAAAAAAGATATAATGTAAAGATTAGAAATTTTATGGTTTTCACAAAATATAAGTAGACAGGATCAAATTGACAAAAGAAAGGAAAATCATAGCCAAAGACACCATAGATAAGTGTAAGTCTTTCTTTTTTCTTTTTTTTCTTCTTCTTTTTTTTTTTTTTTTTTTTTTTTGAGACAGAGTCTCGCTCTGTCACCCAGGCTGCAGTGCAGTGGCGCAATCTCGGCTCACTGCACCCTCTGCCTCCTGGGTTCAAGCAGTTCTCTGCCTCAGCCTCCATAGTAGCTGGGATTACAGGCACCCGCCACCACGCTCGGCTAATTTTTGTATTTTTAGTAGAGGTGGGGTTTCACCATCTTGGCCAGGCTAGTCTTGAACTCCTGACCTTGTGATCCACCTGCCTTGGCCTCTCAAAGTGCTGGGATTCCAGGCGTGAGCCACCGTGCCCAGCTGGTAAGTGTAACTCTTTCTTGAGTCTTGGAAAGAAGGAAGAATTGGCTGTGGAACAAACAACATGGCAATTAAAATTAAATTCATTTTGAATAATTAAGCCAACTGAACTCCTCCTCCTTTCCCTCCTTTTCACGGCCATATATCCAAGCACTCTACTCTGAGAGGCCTACCCCTCATCCATTTTATATCAAAGAAAAAGATCTGTTAGAGAAATAAACAACTGCTCAAAAAAACCAAACCAGCTACCAGAAAAACATAGCTAAAACAAATGAAGGACCAAGATAAACAAAAGAAGAAATAAAATTCAGGGATCAGAAGATAATCTTTTGGAGAAAAGGGAAGAAGAGAGTCCATTTAATATCCTTATGAGAGAGACTAATGTGGACACTGCAGCCATAAAACAGGGTGCAATGATAAAAAGCCAGAGACCAAGAATTGTTAGAATTTAAAATTACAGATATCGGCCAGGCGTGGTGGCTCATACCTGTAATCCTAGCACTTTGGGAGGCTGAGGTGGGTGGATCACGAGGTCAGGAGTTCCAGACCAGCCTGACCAACATGGTGAAACCCCGTCTCCATTAAAAATACAAAAATTAGCCGGGTGTGGTGGCACGTGCTTGTAATCCCAGCTACTCAGAAGGCTGACGCAGGAGAATCGCTTGAACCCTGGAGGTGGAGGTTGCAGTGAGCAGAGATTGTGCCACTGCATTCCAGCCTGGGTGACAGAAAAAGCAAATATTCAGCAGTGCTGGGAGATCATGTTAAGGAAATATCTCAAAATCCAGAAAAGAAAAATATTTTTAAATGTGCAATAAAAGTTAAGAGATGAAGATGAACAACTCATGAAGTCCAACATGAACTGAGTATAATTCAACAAATATTACTGAGCACCTGCTGTGTACAAGACACTGTTTTAAGCACCAAGGAAACAGCAGGGAACAACAACAAAAATCTCTGCCCTACATTTAAGTAGTAGAGAGAGAGTAAAAATACATAAAAATGTCAGGTGCAATGAAGAAAAATAAAACAGGATAAGAAGACAGTAGCAGGATGACACTTTCACAGAGAGTGATCACTATGATCTGATAAGGTACCATTTGAGCAGGGACTTGATAAAGTGACAGAATAAGTCAGAAAGCAAGAAAGTAGATAGTGAAAAGGGAAAATAAAGAAATAATCTGGATAAAACTGTTAGGAGGTGAAGAAGGCCGTCACCCTGAAAGGGCTTGCCACGTGTAGAACATCAAACCTAAGACACATCCTGTGAAATAGAATTCAAGAATAAAAAAAGTTCCTGAAAGTTGCCACAGAAAAAAACTAGATTACAGACAAAAGCATTACAATGGTTAGGTTCAGGGAATCAAGAGTATTCTCATCAGCCACTGTAGACAATACCCAATCTCAATGGATACTGACATGATCACAAAAAGAAAAGCAATTATATATTATGTGCTGGAAGTACACAACGTCACTTCTAAATATTCTTACCAGAAAATTGAACCTGAGTCTGATCAAGCCTCTGAATCAACTACCGTTTACCTCTTCTCCACCCCCTCATTATATTATTCAGCTCTTCATTCATTATCTCGCAACAACCCCTAGTCTGAAAAACAAGTCACATTTTTCAAAAATTTGTATTTTAAAATATTTTATACAGCCTGTAGTTTCTTATTCAGAATCAGTGACTATACACTTTAAATTTTAGGTAAAGCCTCGGAGACACTAAAGTTAATTTTTTGAGGCTGTGAACAACTTAGCACTTATTTTCTTTTTTTTTTGAGACGGAGTTTCACCCTTATTGCCCAGGCTGGAGTGCAATGGCACGATCTTGGCTCACCACAACCTCCGCCTCCCAGGTTCAAGTGATTCTCTTGCCTCAGCCTCCCGAGTAGCTGGGATTACAGGCATGTGCCCCTACGCCTGGCCAATTTTGTATTTTTAGTAGAGATGGGATTTCTCCATGTTGGTCAGGCTGGTCTCAAACTCCTGACCCCAGGTGATCTGCCCACCTCAGCCTCCCAAAGTGCTGGGATTACAGGCATGAGCCACTGCACCTGGCCTTATTTTCTTAAATCTATTTTAGTCTCAAGTTAGAATACTTGTATAAAATATTGTTTCTTGAAAGGTTTTATTCAATTTTCTGTAGTTTTTTATGCTATTTGGAAATATTTGTTGCTTTGCGGACATATATAAAATGTTCTTTGCCATCAAATAAAATGATAATCTTATTTTTACAAGTTCTATTTATGGACACAAAAATAATTTTTTGTTTTATTTTCCACTTTAATTTTGGAATGGGGGTGGTTTTTCAATTATAAGCATGTAGGAGGATCACTGAAGGTCAGTAAATCATCATTGATTATAAAACCAATGGAGTATAATTGTTTATGTCCTTCCTGTACAGTCTGTTATCAGAATTTACCATCTGTCAATCTATGTTTTGTAAAGAAGCTTTCCCTACTGTAAGGAAAGCGCTATCAAAGCTTTCTTATATTAGGGAAAGCTAACATTTTGGGGATCATGACTTTTTAAAAAAAAAAACATATTCATGGGTGCAGCACACCAGCATGGCACATGTATACATATGTAACTAACCTGCACATTGTGCACATGTACCCTAAAACTTAAAGTATAATAATAAAATAAAAAGAAAAAAAAGAAAATGCAAGAAAAACACACAAAAAACATATTCAATATTTAAAAGATAAATTAATTAGGAATATAAGTGAGTATTCAAAGTTGCAAATGATGCCTGGAATTGAGTAGTATTCAATGCCAAGAACAAGGTGGTCGAGAACCATAATCTGTGTTTATTTATGTTGTTAGCATCAGTTATAGAAGTTTTATAACAAATGCATTTTTTAAAATTATGGTGAACTAACTTTGTTAATTAAAATCCTCGTCATTAAAACAAATTTTACCTTAGAAAATGGCCTTAGGCATTCTTCTTTAATTTATTGATTTGGAACAAAGTGTTTGAAAAAGCGTATGAAAAGATTGGGATAATTGCAATGCATATGTTGTCCTGCTTGCTGATGATACTTTTTCTTTTTTGTAGTTTATAAAGCAAAGTATTTAAACACCTTCTAGAATGAAATTTTACTGCTTGAATAGTAAGCCATACTGTATCCAGAGGATTTCCAATGTCAGCTTTCATTTTGTAGTGCAGAAGCTTTACTGTGATAAAAATGTTATGACATTTTAATTAGGAAAATAGATCATGGGTACTGCATATGATGGAAGAAATTTCTTAATGTTCCCATGTTCTACTAAATCAGAATGAAAAATACATTTGAATTTACATTACATTAGATCTGCTTTGAAGGTTGAGGAGTCAGGGGAAAAGAGGGTGGCATGGGGATTATGGAATGTGTTTGGGACTCCATAGTGGGAGGTGGGATCAAAGCAGTTTTTAAATTATAAACAGTAAGGAAATTGTGACCCATGGTATTTAGGTTACATGGATCTTTCTCCTTTTTTGGTTACAGGAAAAGGGGAAGATAGTGATGTACTCAGTATAAATGCAGATGCTTATGACAGCGACATAGAAGGCCCATGCAACGAAGAAGCAGCTGCTCCCGAGGCACCAGAAAATACAGTCCAAAGTGAAGCTGGTCAGATAGATGACCTGGAGAAAGACATTGAGAAAAGTGTGAATGAGATTCTAGGACTGGCAGAGTCTAGCCCAAACGAACCCAAAGCAGCCACCCTGGCTGTTCCTCCACCAGAAGATGTTCAACCTTCTGCACAGCAACTGGAGCTGCTAGAACTTGAGATGAGGGCAAGAGCGATTAAAGCCCTAATGAAAGCTGGTGATATAAAAAAGCCAGCCTAGGTATTTAACTTGATTTTGAATTTTAGGTATGTTTGAACAAAGCCACATCATTTAATTTTGTATCTAAAATTTATTTGGGGTCTTATATGTTATTTCTCATGTAACCCTTATTAGGACTCATTTTAGCCCTAAATTACCTGTGGCTGTTTCTTTTTATTTTTTTGACTACTTTTATATTATAAATGTGTGTTACTGTCTTATGAATTCATGGCAATATAGTTGGATAGCCTGGATACTTTGTTAGATGAGTATTTAGCTGTGTCTGCAAATCTTAAAAGCCATTAGCAAAGAGTCGTGGTATTTTTTTCTTTATTTTTAAATGTTTGGGCACCAAACCTAAAAGCAAAAGATTGACGAAGCATGTTTCTCTTAAGGCTACTTGTATTTTACAATACAATATTAAATTATTTAATTTGAGAAATTTAGTTTTGCTTATATGCACTTTTTAAATATATACTATTTTGAAGATTCCTTATGTAAATGCAAATTTCCTAGTTAAAACCGAATAACAGAGATCTGAAATGACTGAGAAAAACTTTTTTATTAAAGGAAGGAATTAATTTAAGGCAATTTTTAACTATGTAGAACTAATTGCCCATGTTTAATTATAGCAGACACGCCATTCTAACAGGTATTTGATACCATTGGATGCATTATTCTAGGTTTTTTCTTTAATAAAAATGGAACAAGTTTTCATTTACATTCCAAGCTGTCAGGAAATGAAGAATATTTTATTATCTAGGATTTTATCTGATGTAGTTGCTTAAAGATCTGATGTGCTATAATTCCATGAATCAGAAATAATAAAATGCTATCATTCTGGATCTGAAGACTTTTGATACTTTTTCAAAAGCAAAATTAATTTCAGGAACCTTTGATAAGTTGTTGTTATAATTAATCTAATTTTGTATAGTTTTTGTAAATAAATTACCATCCTTCCACAATTAGGGATGCTTTTATCCCCCCATCACTAATTGCAGTTGTTTGATACCAAAATAAATTTACGTAGAGATCCTTAACTTAAAATAAATTAATTTTTTCAAAAAACATAAATCTGGAACTGTTGTTTCTATATTTGATAACAAATACAGTATATTTTATTTATAAGCCATGGTCTACTGATACTGTATGAGGACTTTCCTTATATATAAAAGTTGCAGGGATTGTGTTTTATTAGCTGCTTTAATTATGTTAATTTTAGAGAGTTTTTAAATGGAAATAGAGGACATTTATGAAACGCTGGAATTGCAGTTACAAATTCTTTTTGTTGTTGTTGTTCCTGAACATGCCTTGGAATAATTCTACCATTTTTTCCCCCTCCATAAATCTTTCTAATAAAGCATAGAAAAAGCCTATATGATTTTAAATGCTTCTCTTAAGCTGGTAAACAGATTTGAGTTATGAGTTCATTGTTATTGCTTCAAGATGAAAAGACAGTGATATAATTTTTCTATTTCAACTTAAAAGTAATAGTTAATATGCTAAAGTAGTACAGAATAAACTTTATTGCTGCTTACTAACTACAAAATACTGTAGATGGCATCTGTATGATTAAACATATAAAGTAAAACAGGTCTGAGGGCTTTGTAGATGATTAAAGTCTCCACCTTCATGAAGCATTGTGTGTCTGTTCTACTCTATGCAGAATGGTTTACAGGACATTTGACTGGAGTGTATATGTGTGAGGTAGAATGAACAGAATAAATTAGAGGCTACTTAATTCCCTACCTTGGAAAATCAAATTTTTATCTTCTTTTAAAATGTTGAAAGACTTGAGAGCTTTTTGAAAATGAATGGCGTTAGAGAATGGGAATATTTGCTTTAGAAATGCCTAAGTAATGGGAAAATACCATGTATCGATCTGATGCTGCCATTTAAATAATCAGCCCAGAGGTATTTATTGAAGGCCTATAAGGTTCTCAGTCTTGTTCAAATCTTAAACCTAGAGGCCAGGTGCGGTGGCTCACGCCTGTAATCCCAGCACTGGAAGGCCGAGGCGGGTGGATCATGAGGTCAGGAGACAGACCATCCTGGCTAACATGGTGAAACCCCGTCTCTACTAAAAATACAAACAACTAATTAGCCAGGTGTGTTGGAGGGCACCTGTAGTCCCACCTACGCGGGAGGCTGAGGCAGGAGAATGGCGCGAACCTGGGAGACGGAGCTTGCAGTGAGCCGAGATCACGCCACTGCTCTCCAGCCTGGGCGACAGAGTGAGACTCCATCTCAAAAAAAAAAAAAGTCTTAAACCTAGAGATCTTACAATATAGATTTTATCATGGAGTAGACTGGTTAATAAAGACATGGGTGGGTGCTGCTGGTTTTTATGCCCGATTCCTTCCTTTTGTTAAGGTGAGCAACATTTCTAGGCAATATTTAATTAGTAATTAAAACAAAAAAAATTGGCGGCTGAATTTTTTATTCAATGTCAAGCAATCCTGATATTTGATGAAGAACTTGACTTAAATCCTTTTTATTTTTATTTTTTTAGAGATGAGGTTTTTGCTATGTTGCCCAGGCTGGTCTCAAGCTCCTGTGCTCAGGCTGTCTCTCCCACCTTAGCCTCCTGAGTAGCTGGGACTACAGGCACACGCCACAGAGTCTGGCCCCTCAAATCTTGAATGCTGGGTGGCAACTGATAATAAGTCTTCTGTGTTAATGAGCAGATACCTCAAACTAAGCCTTGGTTCACATTTAGATGTTCCTACTAATCCACACAGATACATCCTAAAAATCTATCACCAGGGTACCAGTAACATTTCAGTTATGAAAAATCACTCAAAATCCACACATCTTTTTGTTGAACACTATTAATTCCTCAAGTTAATCAGGCAATATATTCTTTCCTTATATCTTTTGGCCAAAACTTACTTTCAGCAAAATGTTAGATCTTAGGATTTGTTATCTGATTAAAGGTATTCTGAACTATTTGGACAGTAATACAAACTGTAATACAATCACCATTTTTCAATGCCATTTTCAAGGTAGATAAAGCAGAGGTGAACCTGTAATTTGGGCCGAATATTTGGGCTTTAAAAATTCTCAGTTCTAGCCCATCATAAAAAGCAAGAAGAGGTCAGTTATGGATACTTTTCTTTGATTGTATCTTCTTAATTCTTTAAAAAGGCCAATATGTTTTAACTTAAAACTTCATCTTTAGATGTGTTTACATTTTCTTTATATTCTTCAAATAAAACAATGAAGTATATCAATAGGAACTCATGTAGTCAACATACTGACATATTTGATATTTGATAATTATTTTTAAGTGCTTTGTGATACAAGAAAAAGAATGTGAGAGTTAAGAGCAGAAGGGTCTGATTCTGCCTAACCAGCTGTGTTACCTTAGCAAGTAACTGTAAAATGAGGGAAATAAATTGTAGCCACTATGTAAGATTTCTTTCAGCTATAATAGTCTGTGATTCCAATACAGAATGCTGTAAACTTTGCCAAACTTACAGAACTCTTTTGAGTTCAAGTATTTCTCATCTCTCTCTCTCTTCCTTTCCCTACCCAATTCAAAATGAAGCCATTTGTTTAGTCTCTCTTGTCCCTCACTGTTGCTGGATGTGAACAATCTAGTATTCTTTCTTTCTTTTACCTGTTGCAGTCTTCAATGTCAAGATTGCTTGGTAAGTATTAATATATATTGTGTAGAGTTATTCGCTGTGGTCCATAAATGTAGCTATTTAGCTGTTACCTGTAATGTTTATCTCTGTATTTTTAAATAACATGATTGTTATCCCTTTTTTAAATATTTCAGTTTTAGATTTTATCAGTTGGTCTATTTTGGGATTTGAAGATTAAGCTGTAATTCCTCTACCTCTCCTCTAAGCGCATACCTTCCTCTCTGATTTTCACAGTAGAGTGCAGTTACATCACACTTTCTGGTTAAGTTAGCATTCAATATTTATACTATTTTGACTCTGTAAATACTATTCACAACTGGAATGTGTGGTATCTGTAATTATATTTCCTTTTTTGGTCCAATTTTTGGCTTGAGTTTTTTGGAATTAATAATACTGCCTTATTATTTTATTTGTTGAGTGGTCTATATAGCAGAAGACTGCTATATAGTAGTATTTTAAAACTTCCCAGAACAGAATGACATGAATTTACACTCAGGCTGTCCTCCAGAAGTGTAAATCTCTTCTCAGTAGGTTCAAACACATCATATAATCCATCACTTTTTTCTTCAAAGATATTCCTTCTGGAGCTCTCTGTACTATTCTAATCTGGATTGGTTGCTCTTCACCTCTGTTATGTTGGATCCCCCATTTCCTGAATTCTCTTTCTCTTTTGGTGGCATACCTCTTCCGACAGCTTCCTGTGAAAGACTGCACGCACAGTAAGTTATTTTGATTCATTGGTGTGACCCCACATGGCTGAGTTCTGCCTACATACTTGATTGAAACTTTCTGTGAATAATAATGTTTACATGCCAGAAATCAATGTCCTGAATTTTACAGTATTGCACCAGTGCCTTCCAACTTCCATTAAATTTGTTGAAAATTCATTGGTCATTCTGATTCTTTTTTTTATTATTATTATACCTTAAGTTCTAGGGTACATGAGCACAACGTGCAGGTTTGTTACATATGTATACATGTGCTATGTTGGCGTGCTGCACCCATGAACTCGTCATTTACATTAGGTATATCTCCTAATGCTATCCCTCCCCTCTTCCCGCCACTCCCCGACAGGCCCCGGTGTGTGATGTTCCCCTTCCTGTGTCCAAGTGTTCTCATTGTTCAATTCCCACCTATGAGTGAGAACATGCAGTGTTTGGTTTTCTGTCCTTGCGATAGTTTGCTGAGAATGATGGTTTCCAGCTTCATCCATGTCCCTACAAAGGACATGAACTCATCCTTTTTTATGGCTGCATAGTATTCCATGGTGTAAATGTGCCACATTTTCTTAATCCAGTGTATCATTGATGGACATTTGGGTTGGTTCCAAGTCTTTGCTGCCCACTTTTTGATGGGGTTGTTTTTGTCTTGGAAATTTGTTTGAGTTCTTTGTAGATTCTGGATATTAGCCCTTTGTCAGATGAGTAGTAGATTGCAAAAATTTTCTCCCATTCTGTAGGTTGCCTGCTCACTCTGATGATAGTTTCTTTTGCTGTGCAGAAGCTCTTTAGTTTAATTAGATCCCATTTGTCAATTTTGGCTTTTGTTGCCGTTGCTTTTGGTGTTTTAGATATGAAGTGCTTGCCCATGCCTATGTCCCGAATGGTATTGCCTAGGTTTTCTTCTAGGGTTTTTATGGTTTTAGGTCTAACATTTAAGTCTTTAATCCATCTTGAATTAATTTTTGTATAAGGTGTAAGGAAGGGATCCAGTTTCAGCTTTCTACATATGGCTAGCCAGTTTTCCCAGCACCATTTATTAAGTAGGGAATCCTTTCCCCATTTCTTGTTTTTGTCAGATTTGTCAAAGATCAGGTGGTTGTAGATGTGTGGTATTATTTTTGAGGGCTCTGTTCTGTTCCGTTGGTCTATATCTCTGTTTTGGTACCAGTACCATGCTGTTTTGGTTACTGTAGCCTTATAGTACAGTTTGAAGTCAGGTAGTGTGATGCCTCCAGCTTTGTTCTTTTGGCTTAGGATTGTCTTGGCAATGCAGGCTCTTTTTTGGTTCCATATGAACTTTAAAGTAGTTTTTTCCAATTCTGTGAAGAAAGTCATTGGTAGCTTGATGGGGATGGCATTAAATCTATAAATTACCTGGGGCAGTATGGCCATTTTCACGATATTGATTCTTCCTACCCATGAGCATGGAATGTTCTCCATTTGTTTCTGTCCTCTTTTTCATTGAGCAGTGGTTTGTAATTCTCTTTGAAGAGGTCCTTCACATCCCTTGTAAGTTGGATTCCTAGGTATCTTTGAAGCAATTGTGAATGGGAGTTCACTCATGATTTGGCTCTCTGTTTGTCTGTTATTGGTGCATAGGAATGCTTGTGATTTTTGCACATTGATTTTGTATCCTGAGACTTTGCTGAAGTTGCTTATCAGCTTAAGGAGATTTTGGGCTGAGACAATGGGGTTTTCTAAATATACAATCATGTCATCTGCAAACAGGGACAATTTGACTTCCTGTTTTCCTAACTAAATACCCTTTATTTCTTTCTCCTGCCTGATTGCCCTGGCCAGAACTTCCAACACTATGTTGAATAGGAGTGGTGAGAGAGGGCATCCCTGTCTTGTGCCAGTTTTCAAAGGGAATGCTTCCAATTTTTGCCCATTCAGTATGATATTGGCTGTGGGTTTGTCATAAATAGCTCTTATTGTTTTGAGATACGTCCCATCAATACCTAATTTATTGAGAGTTTTTAGCATGAAGGTTGTTGAATTTTGTCAAAGGCCTTTTCTGCATCTATTGAGATAATCATGTGGTTTTTGTCTTTGGTTCTGTTTATATGCTGGATTACATTTATTGATTTGCATACGTTGAACCAGCCTTGCATCCAGGGATGAAGCCCACTTGATCATGGTGAATAAGCTTTTTGATGTGCTGCTGGATTTGGTTTGCCAGTATTTTATTGAGGATTTTTGCATCGATGTTCATCAGGGATATTGGTCTAAAATTCTCTTTTTTTTTGTTGTGTCTCTGCCAGGCTTTGGTATCAGGATGATGCTGGCCTCATCAAATGAGTTAGGGAGGATTCCCTCTTTTTCTATTGATTGGAATAGTTTCAGAAGGAATGGTACCAGCTCCTCCTTGTACCTCTGGTAGAATTCAGCTGTGAATCCATCTGGTCCTGGAATTTTTTTGGTTGGTAGGCTATTAATTATTGCCTCAATTTCAGAGCCTGTTTTTGATCTATTCAGGGATTCAGCTTCTTCGTGGTTTAGTCTTGGGAGGGTGTATGTGTCGAGGAATTTATCCATTTCTTCTAGATTTTCTAGTTTATTTGCATAGAGGTGTTTATAGTATTCTCTGATGGTAGTTTGTATTTCTGTGGGATTGGTGGTGATATCCCCTTTATCATTTTTTATTGCATCTATTTGATTCTTCTCTCTTCTTTATTAGTCTTGCTAGCGGTCTATCAATTTCATTGATCTTTTCAAAAAACCAGCTCCTGGATTCATTGATTTTTTGAAGGGTTTTTTTTATCTCTGTCTCCTTCAGTTCTGCTCTGATATTAGTTATTTCTTGCCTTCTGCTAGCTTTTGAATGTGTTTGCTCTTGCTTCTCTAGTTCTTTTAATTGTGATGTTAGGTTGTCAATTTTAGATCTTTCCTGCTTTCTTTTGTGGGCATTTAGTGCTATAAATTTCCCTCTACACACTGCTTTAAATGTGTCCCAGAGATTCTGGTATGTTGTGTCTTTGTTCCTTATTTCTGCCTTCATTTCATTATGTACCCAGTGGTCATTCAGGAGCAGGTTGTTCAGTTTCCATGTAGTTGAGCGGTTTTGAGTGAGTTTCTTAATCCTGAGTTCTAGTTTGATTGCACTGTGGTCTGATTTCTTGATACTTAATGTGTGTCCTGTTTCTCTTTGGAAGCTGTCAGAATCTAACCTCTATCCCCAATATTCTGAAAGTTTTTGACTATATGTCAGGATATGGATTTTTTTATCCATTTAGTTACTCATTTAATGTTAATGAGTTAATCATGAGCCTTTGCATGATCTTTTTCTCATTTGCCGTTCTTTCATCGGGGAGGCTCCCTGTCTTGCAGGAGGATGTCTTCTTCAGTGGAGAAATTCATGTCATTCAGTTCTGGAAGTTTTAAAATACTGCTTGAAAAGTTCCTTCCCTCTGTTTTTTCTAGTGTTTATTCTAGAACTCTTTTTATTCAGATATTGATATCTAGGCCTGATTCTTTTTTCTTATTGTTTCTATTTTTCATCTTTTCTACTTTCCTTTATATTTTCTCAATTTTCTCTTCTGGTTCTTCCAATGATTTTTTTTTAAAACTTCAAACATATGTTTAATATCCCAAAGATCTTGTTATTTTTTATTCTCTGAATATTCCTTCTTTAAAATAGCACTAAAATTTTGCGTCTGTAGGGCAGTGGCTCCTGCTTGGCATCCTGGTGACCCTGCATGTATCTTGATAGGCCATGCAGGTGGAGCCTGAACCTCAAACTGAACTAAGTCTTGGTAGAACACACCCTGTGATCCTCCCAGGAGCATAGCCAGACAGTTTTGTGAGGAGCCTTTGCATGGTCTTTTTCTCATTTGCCGTGCTTTCATCTGGGAGGCTCCCTATGTTGCAGGAGGATGCCTTCAGGCAATTTTCTCGTCTCCCTCACTGTTTCCTTTGAGACACGGGACTTTCTACTCCCACTTGCCTCACCTCCTCCCCACCCGGGGCACAGCTGCAGGCTATAAAATTGCTTAGCGGCAGCATGGCATTAGCTCTACAGCAACAGGAAGTCCCTCACTCCTGTTGTGTTGTCTGGTCCCTTTTGTGTTGATGTCCCCGCACAAGGTCAGGACCTTGGAGGTTTGGCACCTTTGACTATGATTTTTCACTGTCTATGTAAATAATAAGCTGTCTGAATCTAAAACGAACTCATTGTTTTTATTGTTGTTGTTTTGTTTTGTTTTCTGGCTAAATCTGTCAGGACATGCTTGGCCCCTTGCGCTTGGCCTTGTGCTTGATGATTTCATGGATATAATATTTACTTCTCTGAGGATGTTAATTTTAGTCGTTGTTTTCAAGTTTTCATCTGCTTCTTGCTTGCTGTTTCTTTCAAGTTAATTTTTTCTTGTTTTGCTGTCTCTGATGTTTTTTCAAATTTCCTTAAATCTTTGATTATGTGCTGCTTTTTTATTTTATTTTATTTTTTATTGAGACAGGGTCTCACTCTGTCATCCATGCTGGAGTGCAGTGGTTGATTCATGGCTCACTGGAACCTTGACTTCCCCTGCTCAGGTGATCCGCCCACCTCAGCCTCCCAAGTAGCTGGAACTACAGGCATGTGCATCCATGCCTGGCCAATTTTTGTTTGTTTGTTTTATAGAGACGGAGTTTCGCCATGTTGCCCAGGCTGGTCTGGAACTCCTGGCCTCAAGCAATCCACCTACCTCAGCTTCCCCAGGTGTTGGGATTATAGGCATGAGCCACTGCACCCGGCCATGGCTGCTTTTATATGTAAGAGTTAAGACACTAAAAAGCTGATTGGAAGTTCTGTGTTTATGGATGAAGGTTCTTAATTGGAGGAATTCTGTCTTTTCTCTTGGGCTGGCTGAAGATACCCACAGATCACTATGTAGACTTTTACTTAATCCCCCTGTTTTCAATTGGCTAACCCTCCAATTAACTCTCCTTGGTACACCTGAGTTTAGAATCTCTTACTTTTTTGAGTCTTCTGTGAAGATGGTGAATGGTTGCCTGTTTGTGAGGAGACCGACTTTCATGTTTTGCTCCTTGCACTCTGTCTTAGAAGAACCTAGGATCAGTACTGAGCCTTACTTTTGTTTGTGTTTAGAACCAAGTTCTTAGGTTTGAAACTGCCTTTGCAAAAACATTAACAAGTGAGAAAATTATGACAGTGAAATAAGTCTGACCTAACTAACCTCGTCTTGCTTCTAACCTCCAAGCTGTCCTTGTTCATTCCTGAGCTGTAGGCTGAACTAACTTTTGGAGGAACTTAGTTTATAATTTACCTTTGAAACAAAGATAAATGATAACAGCCATTTCCTGAAACGAAGCTTGCCTGGGGACCAGACTGCCTTTGTAGGACTAACAAATTATCCACAAGATTAGAAATTATGGTTTAGGAGTCATGCATGCAACTAGAGGCCATCAGATTCTAAACCTTCCCAATTGCTCCTAGGGATAACATCACTATTGCAAAACCTAAGATTGGTGCTCAAGATATTTTTCAGACCCTGCACTCAATAGATCAGCTGGTGCCACCCAGATTGATAAACTAGCTCATCTGGCCCAGAAACTGACTCAACGCAAAAGGACAGCTTTGACTCCCTATGATTTTTGTCTGACCCGACCAATCAACTCTCCCCACTTCCTGGCTCCCTACCTGCCAATTATCCTTAAAAATCCTGTCTCCAAATTTTCGGGGGTATCTCCTGCTTGGCGTGGCCAGCCTCATGTCAATTGTACTGTAATGTTGTGGATTGGTTTTTGTTTGTGCAGTGGACAGAAAGAACCCATCAGGTGGTTACAGTTTCATCTTTTCACAGGCCCCTAGGTTGAAACCTTCTTCATCTGCTAAATCGTTTCCATTCACTTATTTGTCTCCAGCTTCCAAAATTTTCTTGACTCACCTCTGTCATTTCTTCCACTATCTAAATAGGATAATTCTTTTAATCTCTTGAACTTTTAGTGGACTTTCATGAGGGAGCCATGGTAAATGTGATGTTCAGTATACCATGTTTAAGCAGCTGTTACTTTTTAAAAATCTATTTTTGCTTTTGTCAATCCTAATTTTTATTTTTTGCTGAATCCAAGTTTAGTGAAATTAATGTAGAATCTTAATAGATTACAAGCGGAAAGGATGTGAGAAAAACAGACAAGAATGGCAGCAAATAAAATCAGTGATACATGAGGCTGGCAATGACACTCTTCCTTATAGGTGGCCATGTTTCTTCTTTCTTTGGCTTCAGTAAGTTTTACTAGAATATGTCTTGGTATTGATTGTTTAGTATTGACATAATCAGATATGCAATGTGCTCTTTCATTATGTAATTTCACATTCTTTGAAAAAAATTTCAAGTACATTTCCTTGAATTATTGTTGTAGTATTTGTTCTTGGTTCGATTTTTCTCTTGGATTTCCCATTGTTGGCATTTTATCTTCTTTGCCTCGCTTCAACATATGTCACTTTCTTAAATCATTTGGTTTTCTTCTTTTTGAGTTTAAAATTTTTCCCTTTTCCCTTGCTTCTTTTCAGGCTTTATCTATTGTGTTTGTTCACTCCTATGTTCCTTCTAGTTTAATGTTCATTTCTGAAATTTTTTTCTTTCATTTCTAATTCTCTGAATTCCATCATTTCATATCTAATGCTGATTTTTGTTGCTATGCCTTTTATCATTTTCACAAGTTTTATCTCACTTTAAAATACAAGTAATAATTTTAATATGTGTACCTTTGTCTGTAGCTATGTTACTCTGCTCATTTTCTCTTTATTTTTAACAACATTGCCTGGGATTTGACCTTAATATTTTTGTTTCTCATTTTTATGTGAAGCTTGTTTTCCTGAACTTGTAGAGGGAACTTGGCACAGGTTAGCTTTTCTACCTTTATGCTCCTTTGTCTGTTTTTGTTCTCTAATGTTCAAAAATATGGTGGCTTGCTTTCTGAGATTAATCAGCTCTGTTCCCTTCCCCCATTTTTAACTGGGCTTCATTCCATCCTGATGATTATCACTATAAGGCTCAGCTCAGATATTGTGTCTGGAATTTATTCCTTCTGGTGGGTTCTTGGTCTCGCTGACTTCAAGAATGAAGCTGCGGACCCTCACGGTGAGTGTTACAGTTCTTAAAGATGGTGTGTCCAGAGTTTGTTCCTTCCAGTGGGTTCGTGGTGTCACTGACTTCAGGAGTGAAGCCACAGACCTTCACAGTGAGTGTTACAGCTCTTAAAGGTGGCACGTCTGGAGTTGTTTGTTCCTCCCGGTGGGTTGGTGGTCTTGCTGACTTCAGGAGTAAAGCCACAGACCGTGGTGGTGAGTGTTATAGCTCATAAAGGTAGTGTGGACCCAAAGAGTGAGCAGCAGCAAGATTTATTGCAAAGAGCAAAAGAACAAAGCTTTCACGGTGTGGAAGGGGACCCGAATGGGTTGCCACTGCTGGCTTGGGTGGCCAGCTTTTTTGGCCACTTCCACATCCTGCTGATTGGTCCGTTTTACAGAGCGCTGATTGGTCCATTTTACAGAGTGCCGATTGGTCTGTTTACAAACCTTTAGCTAGATACAGAGCGCTGATTGGTGCATTTTTACAGAGTGCTGATTGGTGCATTTACAAACCTTTAGCTAGACACAGAGCGCTGATTGGTGCGTTTTTACAGAGTATGGATTGGTGCGTTTACAAACCTTTCAGCTAGACACAGAGCACTGACTGGTGCGTTTCCAAACCTTTAGCTAGACAGAAAAGTTCTCCAAGTCCCCGCTCGACCCAGAAAACCAGCTGGTTTCACCTCTCAATCCCCCCTCTAAACAGGACACCCCAACTGCTGTTGGGAATTGGGCAATGACTGTTCTAGCTAATTCCTGCTGGATAGGGGCAAAGAACGGGCCCTGCCGTTGTAGTGTCCTCCAGAGGGGAACTCTTTAGGGTTCCATTTGTAAGACCATCTGTAGCTTGATGGCCTCGATTCTAGAGGAAACAAATTTAACAAGGAGGTTAAAAATACAGGGTCTGAAGGCAAGTAATAGCAAGATGGCTGCCATGGGACGTAGAAAGGGGAGAAGCCATGTTGCCCAACTCCAGAGGTTGGTATAAGAGTCTGAAAGCCATTGTCTGATTTCAGAAGCCTTTTCCTGTAAATGCCGGTTGGCATCTCATACTATCCCTGACTGGTTAGTGTAAAAACAACACTCTTCCCCTAAGAAGGTGCAGAGTCCTCCTTTCTCAGCAATGAGGAGGTCTAGGCCTCAGCAGTTTTGGAGAGTCACTGCAGCCAAAGAGTCTATTTGGGATTGTAATTACTATCCTTACTGGATAGATTTCGTTATTTCTTGCAAACTGTCTGAGAAATCCTTTGAGAGTGTGTGGTAGTAGGATAATGCATATTACCCTGTTAACTTAGCAAAATTTACTTTAGTTGAAAACCTTGTAAGTTGGGGATTTTAATTTTTCTTTGCTATTAATAAAACCTCATTCAGTCCTATTAACTTAGAATTGGTATAGATGGCTCCTTCCTGATTCTGTAAGTACTTTAAGATTTGGCTGAGTGCAAACAGTTTGAGCAGACCGGTTATTAGGCAATTTTCCTAACTGCTTATCACTTACGGAATACCCATTGTGTCTTTTTCCCTTAATCGCCTGGAGGAACTATCTATCCTCCTGTCCTGAAGAGAGTTCCTCCTAGATCTGGTTGGACCTTTGTGTGGTAATTAATTAAGATTTAGATCCCATGTTAGGAAACCTGCTGGGTTAAGGATTTTTGATAAGAAGACTATGGGTTGTCAGTGGCCTCAGTGCTTTCAGGCTACGCCCTTGTTTACACTGACAACAAAGTGGTATTGGAGTGTTATAGGGTTACAGAGAAGACCTTTAATTATCAATTATAGGTTTTAAATTTACCCTGGCTTTTAAAGGAATGGGGTACACTGTTTTTTCTTTACTACTTCTATATCTCTCATTCTCTCACTTTGACTTCTTCTTTGTATCTCTCTTTCTCTCTGACTCCCTTTTTGTCTCTTCCTCTCTCTGTCTCTCTCTTTGACTCCTTCTTTGTCTCTGTCTCTTCCTCTCTCTCTTTGACTTTCTGTCTCTCTCTCTGACTCCTTCTTTGTCTCTTCCTCTCTCTCTCTTGTTCTGACTTTCTGTCTCTTTCTCTCTTTCCTTTGTGCTGGCCTTTTCCTGCCTCTGCCAGCCACTTATGCAGCTGTTCTCCCCTCTCCTTCCCCTTTTTGATGGCTTCGGCAGTGTAAGACTGCCACCTCCTTGGGTTTTTGCACTGCATGCAATAACTCCATGATTTCCTTGTGGTATTTAATGGGGGTTCCCCCAAAGTTTAGGAACTCCCTTTCTTTCTGTATTGCAGCATGGGCATGTAGGATTATATAAGCATACTTGCTATCTGTATACCCATTTATTCTTCTTCCCTTTCTCAGTTCTAAGCCTTGGGTAAGTGCCACTATTTCTGCTAACTGGGCGCTGGTTCCTGGGGGAAGAGGCTTACTTTCAAGTACGGTTACATCACTAACTATGGAATAACCTGCCCTTTGCATCACACTCTCCACAAACAAACCTCCATCGGCATATAGGTTAAGGTCAGGATTAGCCAAGGGGACTTCCAAGAGATCATCTCGGGCGGCATAAGTCTGGACTACAACCTGTTGGCAGCCATGCTTGACCGGCTCCCCATCCTCTGGGAGAAAAGTAGCAGGGTTGAGGGCAGCACACGTACGCACTTGAAGCACCAGTCCCTCAAGGAGTAGTGCCTGGTATCTAAGCAGGCGGTTGTCTGACAGCCATAAACTTCCTTTGGCACTTAGTATGCCATTTACATCATGAGTAGTCCAGACAGTGAGATCCTTTCCTTGTATTATTTTGATTGCTTTTAACACTAAGACAGCCACCGCCACAACTACCCATAAACAGTGAGGCCAGCCTTTTGCTACTGTATCAGTTTCCTTACTTAGATATGCCACTGGTTGTGGGGTTGTCCCATGAGTCTGAGTAAGGACTCCAAGAGCTATCCCTGCTCTCTCTGTGACGTATAAAGAGAAGTTTTGTCCTGTGGGAAGGCTTAAAGCTGGAGCTTGTACTAGGGCCTGCTTTAAGGTTTCGAAGGCTGTTTCTGCCTCTGGTTCCCATTCTACTAGATGAGTATTTGCCCTCTGGGTCTCCTTGATTAGAGTAGAGAGGGACCTGGCTATCTCACTGTATCTGGGGATCCATAGTCATAGGCAAAAGCTGGTGATTCCAAGGAACCTCCGCAACTGTTTTAATGTCTTAGGGCAAGGATAAGCCAGTATAGGCTGTATTGGTTCCTTGCTGAGGGCCCTGGTCCCTCTGGCTAAGATTAGGCCTAGATATTTGACCAGCTGTAGGCAAAGCTGGGCCTTCGACCTAGACGCCTTGTACCCTTGATTAGCTAGAAAGTTGAAGAGATCTAGAGTAGCCTGCTGGCATGAGGCTTCCAAACTGGTAGCCAAAAGTAAATCATCCACATACTGAAGGACCAGAGTGCCTGGACTTGAGAAGTGGCCTAGATATTGGGCCAGTGCCTGACCAAACAGGTGAGGGCTATCCCAATACCCTTGGGGCAAGACCGTCCATGTAAGTTGGGAGGTGTGGTCTGTGGGATCCTCAAAGGCAAAGAAAAACTGGGAGTCAGAGTGCAGGGGAATACAGAAGAAGGCCTCCTTGAGGTCCAGAACAGTGAACCATTCTGCGTCCTCTGGTATTTGAGAGAGCAGGGTATAGGGGTTGGGTACAACTGGATATAGAGGAATTACTGCCTCATTGAGGAGTCTAAGATCTTGCACTAGTCTCCACTGACCATTTGGTTTTTGTACTCCTAGAATTGGGGTGTTGCAAGGACTGCTGCATTTCCTTACTAAGACTTGAGCTTTTACATGTTTAATAATATCCTATAATCCTTTATGAGCTTCAGGCCTTAAGGGATATTGCCTTTGATAAAGAAAAGTGGTGGGATCTTTTAGCCTGATTTGGACTGGGTGGGCAATTGTTGGCCTTCCAAATTGTCCTTCCAATGCCCAGACTTCAGGGTTTATTCCCTCCTCAAGTAGGGGACAACAAATGGGTAACTTGTTTCCCATATTCATGTACATAATAGCTCCAGCTTTGGCTAATATATCCCTCCCTAATAAGGGTGTGGGACTTTCAGGCATAACGACAAAGGCATGTGAAAAGAGCAAAGTCTCGCAATTACAACTGAGGAGGTGGGAGAAACACCTGGTTACAGGCTGTCCCAGGATTCCTCAGATGGTAATGGACCTTGAGGACAGTCATCCAGGACAGGAGATTAACACTGAGAAGGCCATGCCAGTGTCCAGGAGGAAGTCAATTTCCTGGCCCTCAATGGTTAAACGTACCTGGGGCTCAGTGAGGGTGATGACATGAGCTGGCCCTTGCCCCGGGCACCCTCAGTCCTGTTGTTGGATCATCTGGTTGGGGGCTTCTGGCCCAGAGAACCTTTGCCCTCTGGGGCAGTGTGCCTTCCATTGATTGCCTCAGCACAGGGGACATGGATGACGGGGTGGCTTGTTTCTTGTTGGACCATCTTTTTTAAAGTGTCCTTGTAAACCACACTGATAACAAGCCCTACCAGGTGATTGGCCTGCTCCATTTTCTGTCCTCTCTGAACCACCAAGGTTTGTTTGTCTGAGGGCCATGACTAAGGCTGTGGCCTTTCTCTGATCTTGCTTTTCCTTTTGGGCCTGTTCCTCTTGGTCCCTATTATAGAACACCAAGGTTGCCAGGTTTAATAATGCCTCCAGATTTTGTTCAGGGCCCAGGGCTTGTTTTTGGAGCTTTCTCCTGATATCTGCGGTTGATTGGGTAATAAACTTATCTTTTAGGATCAATTGACCCTCGAGGGAGTCGGGTCACAGGGGAGTATATTTCCTTAAGTCCTCCCGTAGCCGCTCGAGGAAGGCGGAACGATTTTCTATATCACAACTAGCTCTTTCTCCTTAGTGTGGAATTCTGTCCTAGAAGGGAGTCCTGGCTGGTCAGTTTCTGGAGTTCTTAGGGGTTACACTGTTCCGGCTCTGTTCAGACCTTATTATTTCTTGCATTCTTATTAGAGACAAAACCTATCCTAATTGGCTTTCCTTTGCTTTCTTCCACAGAAATGCTGATATTATGAAGGTTTTATGACTTGTTAGTGGCCTGCTCTAATAATAAATAATAATTTATATTATGGAGTTCATGAGAATATCATAGGAATGTAGTCTTAACTTATGATGGTTCAACTTAGAATTTTTTGATTTTATATTGGTGCAAAAGCAACACATTCAGTAGAAACTGTACTTTGAATACCCATACAACTATTCTAGTTTTTACTTTCAGTACAGAATTTAGTAAATTACATGAGATATTCAACACTTTTATTATAAAATAGGCTTTGTGTTAGATTATTATGCCCAATTGCAGGATAACGTAAGTGTTCTGAGCATGTTTAAGGTAGGCAGGGCTAAGCTATGATGTTTGGTAGGTTAGATGTATTAAATGCATTTTTGGCTGGGTGCAGTGGCTCACACCTGTAATCCCAGCACTTTGGGAGGCTAAGGCGGGCAGATCATCTGAGGTTAGGAGTTCTTCTTGACCAGCCTGGCCAACATGGTGAAACCCCGTCTCTACTAAAACATATACAAAAATTAGCTGGTCGCGGTGATGGGCACCTGTAATCCCAGCTACTCAGGAGGCTGAGGCAGGAGAATCGCTTGAACCCGGGAGGCAGAGGTTGCAGTGAGCCAAGATCACACCACTGCACTCCAGCCTGGGCAACAAGAGTGAAACTCTGTCTCAAAAAAAAAAAAAAAAAAAAGTATTAAATGCATTTTTGACTTATGCTATTTCAACTTATGATGGGTTTTATAGGACATACTTATAATATGTCCTTATAATAACATCTATACTTAGCTTGAAATGTTTTGGTTTTTCTTTCTATTGCTTTGCCTGTTTTATGTGGGGATTTAAAGAGATTGAAAAACTCTACTTTTGCTTCCCAAGATACAACTATGTTTTCATTTTAAAATATGCATTCAATTTTCTTTGTATACAAATTATAATCCAGTATTTTATATCACGGAGAACTAATTTATGTAAAATATATTACTGAATATTTACAAAGTCAAAATTATTTTGTTAATTTTGATGTTATTCAAGCTTTTTTTTTTTAATTTTAAAATCAAAGCTTGTTTGTTATTTGACAGAAGCAACTGTTAGCCTGAAGGTAAAACAAGTTAGCACTGCTTCTTAATAGCAAAGGAATTTAGTTGTATTAGGTGTATTGTTATAATAGATAGTTATTGTCAGTTGAAAAACCTGTTTTATCATAAAATTGAGTCATTTATATAAAAATAAAATGGTACAACTATAGATTTAAAAAGATCAAAAATTTAATAGTTTTAATTTTTTAAAGGAGAAGAATAGAATTTAATGTGTTACTTTTGAAAGATAACTTGCTTCCTTTGAACAATTCATATTTGTTCATTACTCTTCTATTTTAGCATTATCCTTTCTGCTTGGGACTTTTTTTTTTCAAATTCCAGGGAAGAACTAGAAGTTTTGGTAACTGATTTGTTTTCCCCTCTAAATACATTTGACCATAGCATTTTTGTTTTTTAAGAGATAGGGTCTCACTCTGTTGCCCAAGCTGCACTGCTCTCTGTGATATGGACAGGAAGCAGGGAAATACTGGGTAGAAGAGGGTGGTCCCAGCGAGGGCCACACCCTTAAGCCTGTGGCCCATAGTGAGAACATAAATTCCTGTCTTCCAGCTTGAATGTTGCTTTTTGGCCTGCCCCACACCCCATCCTGTACCCATAAAAACCCTAGGCTCCACTGGCAGAGGGACAGGGTGGCAGAGTGGAGAGGCAGAGGAAGAGAGAAGAGAAGAAGCAGCCAGATGTCAGAGAGAAGCAGCTTGACTTCAGCAGGACAGCTTGACAGTGGGACTTCAAAAGAGTTTGGCCAGGGAGAGCTGAACTCTAGGGGAAGACTACATTCCCACTCCATCCCTGTTCCAGCTCCCCACCTCACTGAGAGCCACTTCCACTGCTCACTAAAATCCTCCACATTCACCAACCCTCAGATCATTTGTGTAACCTGATTCTTCCTAGATGCCAGACGAGAACTTGGGTACAAGAGGGTGGGTGCAAAAGGCTGTCACCCTGACCCTTCACTGAGTTGTTTAACACTTAAGCTGTCCATGGAAGGCAAAACTAAAAGAGCACACTCTTTTAGTAATACATACCCTCTGGAGGTCCAGGGGCATCACAGGTACCCCCCTAGACACTGCCATGGGGCCACACAGAGTTCTACTCCTGCCGGTGTCCAGAAGCACTTGTACGGGCCCCCGCACCCACTCAGCTGCGTGCTTCCCCTCCTATGAGGGGTTGAGAGCCGTGGGCTGAGTAAACTAGCCAACCCCAAAGGGGTTAAGGGAACTATCCCATTTCAACTGCAGCCTCGAACTTCTTGGCTTAAGGATCCCTCCACCTCAGTCTCCCAAATAGCTAGGACTGCAGGCAGGCACCACCACACCCAGCTGATTTTTATTTTTTTATAGAGATGGGGTCTTCCTATGTTGCCCAGGCTGAAGTCTTGGCCTCAAGCAATCCTCTTACCTTGGCCTCCCAAAGTGCTAGGATTACAGGCTTGAGCCACCATGCCTGGTCCGACATAGGATTTTTAATAAGATTCTGTCGTTAGTGTGATTTTTAAAAATCACCAAATTGGCCAGGCACGGTGGCTCAAGCCCGTAATCCCAGCACTTTGGGAAGCCGAGACGGGCGGATTACGAGGTCAGGAGATTGAGACCATCCTAGCTAACACGGTGAAACCCCGTCTCTACTAAAAATACTAAAAATTAGCCGAGCGTGGTGGCGGGCGCCTGTAGTCCCAGCTACTGGCGAGGTTGAGGCAGGAGAATGGCGTGAATCCGGGAGGTGAAGCTTGCAGTGGAGCCGAGAAAAAGTGCTAATTAAGCTACCTTATTTATGCCAAATTTAAAAGTTAAAATTCTGCATTTGGGGGGTCAGGTTTCATGTTTTATAGTTCTTGCTATTCGCATTAAAATATGTAACATAATACTTATACATTCTAAAGCCTGTAAAATGGTTTTTGCTGTGCACTAGTTAATCAAACTGCTGCTATAATCACAGAAAGAACCAAAGACTATAACTGTAAATACCATATGCTTGTGAAAATATGGAGGACAACCAATAACTAATTATCTTTGGGGTTTTTTTAAGTACTTTTTTTTGTTGTTTTTTTGTTTTTTGTTTTTGAGATGGAGTTTCAGTCTTGTTGCCCAGGTTAGAGTGCAATGGAACGATCTCGGCTCACTGCAACCTCTGCCTGCTGGGTTCAAGCGATTCTCCTGCCTCAGCCTCCCAAGTAGCTGGGATTATGGGCATGTGCCACCACTCCGGGCTAATTTTTTATATTTTTAGTGGAAATGGGGTTTCTCCATGTTGGTTAGGCTGGTCTTGATCTCCTGACCTCAGGTGATCCACCTGCCTCAGCCTCCCAAAGTGTTGGGATTACAGGCGTGAGCCACCATGTCCGGCCAAGTACATGTTTATATAATTAACTATTCTCTTTAAATATACCTTACGATGTCGTCTTTTCCCATCTAATCAGTAGTTGGAAAATCTTTATCAGAATTAAAAAATCTGTTTTGTCAGGATGTGAATTTCAACCAATTTGGCAAAAATCAGTCTTATATAACTTATGGCTTTCCGAGTTGAGTAAATGAAATCAATATTCCCAGTTTTAGAACATATTTACATCAACATATAACTATAAGAACTGGTTTTCATGTCTCCGCCTGTAAATTAATGTCAGTTGAATTTTCAAAAGCTTTTAGTGAAGAATAGGCATTTCATTGAAGGTTATTTTTGAATCCTCAAAATTAACTTTTATTAAGTGCATTGATGTGGAATTTAGGAACTCTTAAATAGTAGCTCCTCCTGAGAGTATCTAAATTTGTAAGGCATCAAGGAGTGTGGTGCATGCCTGCAGTCCCAGCTACATGGGAGGCTGAAGTGGGAGGATCACCTGAGCCTGGGAGGTTGAGGCTGCAGTGGGCCATGATGGTGCCACTGCACCCCAGCCTGGGTGACAGAGTGAGACCCTATCTAAAAAGAAAAAAAAAATGACAGTCTCAATATTCTAGAGTTGTATGTTAACTATGGTTGCTCATTCTTCAAGCTCAGAGGATGTTGAAGGTGTGGGAGAGAGTGCTGGGAGATGTGCATAGGAAGTACATGCAACAGGGAGAAATGACGTCTGGCAATGAAAGAAGTGACAGAGCTATAGTTACATGGTTCTTGAAGCCTATTTAGTGCAAGGGCAAATAATAACACACTCAGGAGTTTTTGCTTGCTCTAAATATCGCAGTACTATATGATAATTGATGTTTCTAATCATGAGTCAGTCTGCAAGAAATGGGGTTCATGTGCAGTTGTGTGCAAATAAGCTTTGCAAAAAACAGATATTTTGATGTAGGAAGACTATATGGGCAGCTTCTGTTCTTGACTTATTGGTTAAATGAGGCATTATCTTTAGGCAACTATTTGAAAACACAGTGTTATATTCACTTAACATTTACTTTGAGTCCTGGTTGTAGTCAAACTCTAAATTTGCTGGAAATGCTAGAAATGGTGTAATTTCTGTTCACTGAAACAATAGAATAAAGGAAATGGACTTGTGCACTCTGTGGTAGATTGCCACTTAATGTCATTTGAAGCATAAGATATGTTGATTACTGAAAGCTAAAATTAGCCCCACAACTAGTAGGCTGTGTTTGACACTTTAAAGGTATACACTTGATGAAGAACATAATTAGGGATAACAGGCTTTTATGCTTGGCAGAGGTAGGCGTCACATTTTATTAACATACATTGCTTAATATTACTCTCTTGACAGATTCTCCAAATACAATTTTTTTTTCCCATGGCAATATGAGCCACTATGTCTGTGAGTCAATATGAACAAGATTTTTTTTTATGGTTGATTGCCATTGAATGATGTAAACCTTGTGGTATTATCAAAGTGAAATATCATATACTTTGGGTGTAACAAGTATGCGTTTTGTAACATGTTGAAGAGTTCAATTACACTATAGTTAACAAATTGAGGCCAGGCGCGGTGGCTCATGCCTGTAATCCCAGCACTTTGGGAGGCTGAGGCAGGCGGATCACAAGGTCAGGAGATCGAGACCATCGTGGCTAACACGGTGAAACCCTGTCTCTACTAAAAAATACAAAAAATTAGCCAGGCGTGGTGGCGGGCGTCTGTAGTCCCAGCTGCTCGGGAGGCTGAGGCAGGAGAATGGCGTGAACCTGGGAGGCGGAGCTTGCAGTGAGCCGAGATCGCGCCACTGCACTCCAGCCTGGGCGACAAAGCAAGACTCCGTCTCAAAAAAAAAAAAGTAAAAAGAAATTGAACTTTTTATTAGCTGTGAGTTTGCTGTCTCAGTCTTCCTCGCAATTCTATGCAGAATTGCAATGGAAACTTTCTCTGAATGCCTTGTTTAAAATTGTTGTGTTTGTGTATTATCTTGATAGGTCCAAAATTATATTTTCACAATGATCCCTGTAAACATTTAAACTTAACTAGTAAAAGCAGTGAATAATCTTTGTTGCAGAGTGTTCAATAAACAAACAATACTTCAGTAAAATAATAGAAACAATAAACTTAGAATTTTTTTAATGTTTTAAAATTGTGTCTCTTTTTAAAAGATGGGGTGGGAGAGAAGAGTGATCTTTAGATTTTTATAAAATTGAAGTAACAGCATGTGCTGACAAGTAATAAATAACAGGGCCAGGCGCAGTGTCTCATGTCTGTAATCTCAACGCTTTGGGAGGCCGAGGCGGGCAGATCATCTGAGGTCAGGAATTCGAGAGCAGCCTGGCCAACATGGCGAAACTCCATCTCTACAAAAAATACAAAAACTAGCTGGGCATGATGGGACGTGCTGGTAATCCCAGCTACTCGGGAGGCTGAGGCAGGAGAACTGCTTGAACCCAGGAGGCAGAGGTCGCAGTGAGCCAAGATTACGCCACTGCACTCCAGCCTGGGCAACACAGCAAGACTCCATCTGAGAAAAAAAAAAAGTAAACAGAGATTCAAAGTGGCTAAATAAATTGGTTTCCATTCATCTTTTGTTTTTCATTGCCATCAGGCTAAGTGACAGTTTCTCTTTTCAGCCTACAGGAAAAATATTTGGTAGTGTAACAATCCTGTTTCTATTCCTGCAGTAGGAGCTCTGTTACCTTCTGTAGGAGCTGCATTTTAAAGTATTTAAATACAATAATTCAGTCTACATTTGGTTGCTCATTTACCTAAAACTTTGTGAAGTTATAAGTGCTCAGTGTCTGTGGTGCTTTACGGTATTTCTGGTAGAATTGTTTCCTTCCTAATTTTTCTTTGACCCATGGGTTATTTAGAAGTTTCTTTCTTTCTTTCTTTCTTTCTTTCTTTCTTTCTTTCTTTCTTTCTTTCTTTCTTTCTTTCTTTCTTTCTTTCTTTCTTTCTTTCTTTTTCTCTCTCTCTCTCTCTCTCTCTCTCTCTCTTTCTTTCTTTCTTTCCTTCCTTCTTTCTTTTCTTTCTTTCGACACGGAGTCTTGCTCTGTCACCCAGGCTGGAGTGCAGTGGCACGATCTCCGCTCACTGCAAGCTCCGCCTCCTGGGTTCATGTCATTCTCCTGCCTCAGCCTCCCAAATAGCTGGGACTACAGGTGCCTGCCAGCACGCCCGGCTAATTTTTTATATTTTTAGTAGAGACGGGGTTTCACCGTGTTAGCCAGGATGGTCTCGATCTCCTGACCTCGTGATCTGCCCACCTCAGCCTCCCAAAGTGCTGGGATTATAGGCGTGAGCCACCGTGCCTGGCCAGAAGTATGTTTTAGTTTCCTAATATTTGGAGACTTTTCTAGGGATCTTCTGTTATACTGATTTTTTATTTCATTCCATTGTAGTCAGGAAATACTTTGTTTGACTTGAATCTTTTAAAATTTATTGAGATTTGTTATTATTGCCTAAAATATGGTCTATGTTGGTAAGCGTTCCATGAACACTTAAAAAAAACAAAACAAAACAGATGTATTCTGGGCCGGGCATGGCGGCTCACGCCTGTAATCCCAGCACTTTGGGAGGGCTAGGCAGGCGGATCACGAGGTCAGGAGTTCGAGACCATCCTGGCTAACATGGTGACACCCTGTCTCTACTAAAAATACAAAAAATTAGCTGGGCATGGCGGTGGGCCCCTGTAGTCCCAGCTACTCGGGAGGCTGAGGCAGGAGAATGGCGTGAACCCGGAAGGCAGAGCTTGCAGTGAGCCGATATTGTGCCACTGCACTCCAGCCTGGGTGACAGAGCGAGACTCCGTCTCAAAAAAAAAAAAAAAAAAAGACATATTCTGGTATTATCAGGTGGAGCGTTATGTAAACATCAGTTAAGTCAATTTGGTTGACAGTGTTGTTCAAATCTTCATATGATCTTATTTTCTGTTTATGTCTTCTGTACTTACTGAAAGAAAGCATACTTTGTGTTGATGCATAACAAATTACCTCAAATTGGGCTTCAAAGAGCACACATTTATTATCTCTGCTCCTATGAATCAAGAATTGGGATGGTTTAACTGAGTCCTCTGCTCAGAGTCTAGAAGATGGCAATCAGGGTGTCAGCTGAGTTCGCTCTTGTTGCCAAGGCTAGAGTGCAATGGCGTGATCTTGGCTCACTGCAGCCTCTGCCTCCTGGATTCAAGTGATTCTCCTGCCTCAGCCTCCCAGGTAGCTGAGATTACAGTCTCCCACCACCACACCTGGCTAATTTTTTGTGTTTTAGTAGACACGGCGTTTGGTCATGTTGGCCAGGCTGGTCTGGAACTCCTGGCCTCAAGTGATCCACCCACCTCCGCCTCCCAAAGTACTGGGATTACGGTTGTGAGCCGCAGTGTCTGGCCTTATTTTTTATCTTATTTATTTATGTATTTATTTTCGAGATGATCTCACCCTGTTGCCCAGGCTGTATAGTGGTATGATCTTGGCTCACTACAACCTCCATATCCTGGGTGCAAGCAATTATCCCACCTCCCAAGTAAATGGAACTACAGGTGTGCACCACCATGCTCGGCTAATTTTTCTATTTTTGTAGAGATGGTTTTTTGCCATGTTACCCAGGCTGGTCCCTAATGCCTGAGCTCAAGCTGTTCACCCACCTCAGTCTTTAAAAGTGCTGATATTATAGGCGTGAGCCACTGTGCCCAGCCAACTACTGCTTTCTTTTGATTAATGTTAGTATCTTTTGATTAGTGTTTTGCTTTCTGTTGATTAGTGTTAGTATGGTATATGTTTTCTAACCTTTATTTTAACTCCATTTGTGTCTTATATAGATGATCCCCAACCGTGGTTCAACTTAGGAATTTTTGACTTTGCTATGATGTTAAACTGTTGCAATTTTGACATATTATACAGTATTAAATAAATTACATGAAATATTCAAAACTTTATTATAAAATAAGCTTTGTGTTAGATGATTTTCCCAACTATAGGCTAATGTAACTGTTCTGGCCATGCTTAAGGTAGTCTAGGCTAAAGTATGATGTTTGGTAGGTTAGGTGTATTGAATGCATTTTTTACATATAATATCCTCAACTTACAATGGGTTTATCAGGGCGTAGCCCCATGGTAAATTGAGGAGTATCTGTATTTAAATTAAGTTTCTTGTAGTTGGCATATGGTTGGGTCTTCTATTTTTTAATCTAATATTAGTCTCTACCATTTAATTAGGATATTTTGGCAATTTATATTTTTAAATTTTTCTTTACTTATTAAAAATAAATAGTATTTGTACATAGTACATCATTTGTAACACTCTCTTTCTAGATATATTCCACAATGTATTTCTATCATTTATTTTGACAGCTTTGTTAATATGTCATTCACATAGCATAAAGTTTACCCTTTAAAAATGTACAATTCAGTGGTTTTTACAGAGTTATGCACCCATCAATACTAATTGCAGAACATTTTAATCACCACAAAATCATCATCATCATACCCATTAGCAGATACCCTCCAGGCCCAACTTCCCCCAGCCCATGGCAACCACTAATATACTTTTTGTCTGTCTGGATTTGCCTATTCCTCATATTTCATATAAATTGAATCACACAATAAGTACCATTTTTTCTGGCTTCTTTATTTTCATCCTTCATCCATGTTATCACACTTAATTCCTTTTAATGGTCAAATAATGTTCCTTTTATACAGATATACTATGTTTTATTTATCCATTCATGAGATGGCTGATTATTGTGTTTTCACTTTTTGGTTCTTATGAATAATGCTGCTACAAACAATCATGTGCAAATTTTTGTGTAGACACATATTTTTATTTCTCTTAGGTATTTACCTAAAAGTGGAACTGATGGGTCATATGGTAACTGTGTGTTTAACTTCTTGAGAAACTGGAAAACTGCTTTCCAATTAGCTGCACCGTTTGACATTCCCACCAGCAATATATCAAGATTCAAGTTTCCTTGCCAACACTCGTTATTGTCTGCCTTTTTCATTTGATACTTTAAAGATATTGCTCCACTGTGTTTCCATTAAGATATCTCTGTCATCACTGTTTCTCTGTATATAACATGACTTTTTATAGGACTATATCACCAGTTTTGAACAATTTTATTGCAATGTGAACTCATGTTTCTTGTGATTGGGAGTTAATTGGAATTCTTGGATTTGTGCATTTATCATTTTTAACACATTTGGAAAGTTTTTGGCCATCATTTCTACAAATATTTTTCTATTGCCCCGTTCTTCCTTTGGGGACTCTAGTAACATATACATATATATGTTATCATATATGAAGAAAGACTAATAACATATATATATGTTATTACATATGAAGATTATATATATGTTACATACTATATATACATATATATAGTATGTAATCTTTCTTCATATGTGTATATACAGTATGTACATTTTATATATATATATATAATGTACTTAAAGTTTTTACCATAGTTCAATGATGCTCTGTTTATTTTATTTTTTTAATTATCTTTCTGTCTTTTAAGCTCATTAATCTTTTATTCTGCAATTAATCCCATCCTTGGCATTAATCCCACCTAATACATTTCTCATTATACATTGTAATGGTTTCATTTTAAGAAGTTTGATACGCATTTTTTTTTATTTGAGATGAAATCTTGCTCTTGTTCCCCAGGCTGGAGTGCAATGGTGTGATCTCGGCTCACTGCAACCTCCACCTCCTGGGTTCGAGTGATTCTCCTGCCTCAGCCTCCTGAGTAGCTGGGATTACAGGCACCTGCCACCATGCCCAGCTAATTTTTGTATTTTTAGTAGAGACGGGGTTTCACCGTGTTGGCCAAGCTCGTCTTGAACTCCTGACCTCAGGTGATCTTCCCGCCTCAGCCTCCCAAAGTGCTGGGATTACAGGCATGAGCCACCGCGCCCGGCCTGATATGCATTTTTATATCTTTCATGCTTTAACTTTTTGAGCATATAGAAAACAGTTACAATAACTGTTTTTTTAAAGTCTTTGTCTCCTAATTCTAGCAACTCTGTTAGTTCTGGGTTATTTTCAATTAATTAGTTTTTCTCCATGATGAGTCATATATTGCCATTTCTTTACAGATCTGGCAATTTTGATTGAATGTCACACATTGTGGATTTTAGTTTGTTGGGTGCTGAATATTTTTATTCCTATAAATAGTCTTAAGCTTTTTTACTGAGATACAGTTAAGTTGCTTGTAAATAGTTTGATTCTTTCCATTCTTGTGTTTAAGATTTATTAAGCAGGACTGCTATGTGCTCATCTAGGGCGAATTATCCCCCACTACTGATAAAATACCCTTCTTTGTCCTTAACTCAGTGCCGTTTGTAGGACTCAAAAGGCATTCCACTGTCTTCTGGGCTTCATAGTTTCTGATAACAAGTCCATGTTATTTGAATTGTTGTTCCTTTGTATGTAATGTGTCATTTTTCTTTGGCTACCTTCAAAACTTTTCCTTTGTCTTTTGTTTTAAGTAGTTTCACCTTGATGTGCCTTATCATGATTTTCTTTGTATTTAATCTTTCTTCATATGTATATACACAGTATATATATTCATTCTTCTTCTTCAGGACCCCAGTTACTTATATACTAGGCCTTTTGATATTGTCACACAGATCTCTGAAGCTTTTTTTTTAAGATCATTTTCCTCTCATGTTCAGATTGGATTATTTCCATTGCTCTATCTTCAAGCATGCTAATTCATTTCTGTTTTGTCCCAATTCTGCTATTAAGCCCATGTAGCAATTTAAAATTTTTTTGATACTATTGTGTTTTTTCAAATAACATCTCCATTTGGTGTTTTTTCAAATAACATCTCCATTGGTGTTTTACATATAAAATTTATATTTATATATTATATAAAATTTATATTTATATATTATATATTATATATAATTTATATACATATAATTATATATAAATATATAATTATATATAATATATAATTTATATACATATAATTATATATAAATATATAATTATATATAATATATATTAGGAGACAGGATCTTGCTCTGTCACCCAAGCTGTAGTACAGTGGTGTGATCATGGCTCACTGCAGCCCCAAACTTCTGGGTCCAAGCGATTCTCTTGCCTCAGCCTCCTCAGTAGCTAGGACTACAAGTGCACTCTACTGTGCCCAGCTAATTTTTAAATTTTTTTTGTAGATATGTGGCCTCACTATGTTGCCCAGGCTGGTCTTGAACTCCTGAGCTCAAGCAGTTTTCCTGCCTTGCTCTTCTGAAGTGTTAGGATTATAGGCATGAGCCACTGTGCCTAGCCTAAAATATATTTTCTTTGCCTGTGCTAAGATATTTATCTCTTCATTCATCTGGACATTATTTATTTTTACTTTATTGAATGTAGTCATAATAAATACTTTAACATCTTTGTCTGGTAATTCCAATATCAGGGTTATCTCAGTTTGCCCTTCATAGATTGTCTTCTCCCTTTTGAATAAATCAAATTTCACATTTTCTTGGGTTTACATTTTTTGGGCACTTTTGGATTCTTTTGAATAGATAGTGTGATTATTATGTTGTGGAGACCCTGAATTCTATTATATTCCTTTATGTAATAGAATATGATTTATTTTCTTATATTCCTCTGAAGAGTGTTGGCGTTTTGCTTCAACAGGCAGCAAGCTCAATTAGACTCAAATTTCAAACTGTAACTGATTGCAGCTCAAATCTTAGTTTAGTTCCTCTAGCCTTAAAAACAAGTTGCTTTGATTCTGCCCTACATATTTCATGCATGGTTTAGGACAGTCAAAAGACTTGGGAAGAGTTTACACATAGAGTATGTGAGCCCTTCCCCTACTTCTCTTCTTTCTAGAATTACTCCTCTTAGTTTATGGAGTCTGTGGCTTCCCCCAGCTCTGTCCTCATCTTCATTAGCTAGAAAGTTGTCATGTATTCTATGGGAACTCAGCCACCCTTAACCACATTATGCTCATAGACTATTCTCAAGCCAAAGCCACAAATGGTAAGGAACTCACACTGTGTTAATTCCTTTGTCTAAATTTTTACTCCAAAGTCTGCTTACTCTCCAGACCCTTTTGATACTTGTTTCTTATATTTTAGCCAGAGTTTGTATATTTTTTATATTCATGAGAGGAACAGTCTTTTAGAAGGTTACTCCACTATAACAGAGGTAGAACTCTTTTTATTTTTATTTTTATTTTTTTTTTTTTGGAGACAGAGTCTCGCTCTGTTGCCCAGGGGCACAATCTCGGTTCACTGTAACTTCCGTCTCCTGGGTTCAAGCGATTCTCTGCCTCAGCCTCCCAAGTAGCTGGGATTACAGGCATGCACCACCATGCCTGGCTAATTTTTGTATTTTTAGTAGAGACGGGGTTTCACCATGTTGGCCAGGCTGGTATCAAACTCTTGGCCTCAAGTGATCGACCTGCCTCAACCTCCCAAAGTGCTGGAATTACAGGCGTGAGCCACTGCATCCGGCACAGAGGTAGAGCTCTTTATGTCTGTGTGTACCCAACATTTAGTTTCTACTTAAGTGAGAACACGCGATATTTGGTTTTCTGTTTCTGTGATAATTTGCTTAGGAAAATAGCCTCAAATTTCATCCACGTTGTTGCAAAGAACATGATTTACTCTTTTTTTATGGCTGTGTAGTATTCCACGGTGTATATATATCACATTTTCTTTATCCAATCCACCACTGATGGTCAACTAAATTGACACCCTGTCTTTGCTATTGTGAATAGTGCTGTAATGAACATACAAGGGCATGTGTCTTTTTGGTAGAACAATTTATTTTCTTTGGGTATATACCTAGTAATGAGATTTCTGGGTTCTAATTTTAGTTGTTTGAGATGGCAGTTCTAATTTTAGTTCTTTGAGTCATCTCCAAACTGCTTTTCACAGTGGCTGAACTAATTTACATTCCCATCAACAGTGTATAAGTGTTCCCTTTTCTCCGCAGCCTTGTCAACATTGTTATTTTTTTACTTTTTAGTAATAGCCATTCTGACTGGTGTGACATGGTGTCTGATTTTGGTTTTTATTTGCATTTCTCTGATGACTAGTGATGTTGAGCATTTTTTTGTGTTTGTTTGGACGCTTGCGTGTCTTTGAGAAGTGTCTGTTCATGTCCTTTGCCCATTTTTTAATGTGGTTGTTTCTTGATGGTTTAAGTTCCTTATAGATTCTGGGTATTAGACCTTTGTCAGATGCATTGTTTGTGAATATTTTCATTCATTTTGTATGTTGTCTTTTTACTCTGTTGATAGTTTCTTTTGCTGTGCAGGAGCTCTTTAGTTTAATTAGGTCACACTTGTCCATTTTTGTTTTTGTTGCAATTTCTTTTGAGGACTTGGGCATAAATTCTTTGTTAAAGCTGATGTCTGGAGGAATATTTCCTAGAGTTTTTCTAGATTTTATAGTCTGAGGTCTTATATTTAAGTCTTTAATTCATCTTGAGTCAGTTTTTGTGTATGGTTATAGGTAGGGGTCCAGTTTCATTCTTCTGCATATGGTTAGCCAGTTTTCTCAACACCATTTATTGAATAGGGTGTTCTTTCCCCATTGCTTATTTTTATTGACTTTGTTAAAGATCAGTTGGTTGTAGATATACTGCTTTATTTCTGGGTTCTCTATTCTGTTCCATTGGTCTATTTATCTATTTTTGTACCAGTACCATGCTATTTTGATTACTGTAGCCTTCCAGTATAGTTTGAAGTCTTATAATGTGATGCCTCCAGCATATTCTTTAACTTTAAAAAACTAACACATATGCAGAAAAGTGTATAAAAGTATAAATAGCTTAAAGAATTAATGCAAATTGAACAGATATATAACTACTATCTCAATTAAGAAATAAAATATTATCAGCCTTCCAGGAACTATGGGAGTTTTTTGGTTTTTTGTTTGTTTCTTTGTTTGGTTTGTTTTTCAAGAATGGGAACACTTTGATTATATTTATAGACATGAAGAAGATAACTGATGACTCAAATTCCTGAAAGAGGGAAGAAATAGTAAGGTTTTTAACCTTATTAGTCATTAGAGCAGCTCTATAAAACCACAATAAAGTATGATTGAACTGCCATCAGAATTGCTAAAATTTAAACCATGAGCAACTCATGCTGTCATACACTGCTGGTAGGAGTATAATGAGTACAACTATTTTGGAAAACTGTTTAGGAGTAACTTCTAAAGCTGAACAAACATACACCCTGTGGCTTAACTTTTTCACTCTTCAGTATGTACCTGTTAGAAATATGCTTATGTTACCCAAGAAGAGATATATAAAAATGTTCATAGTCAAAGTAGTTTTAATGCCAAAATTTAGAAACAACACAAATGTTCATTGGTAGCAGAATGAATAATTAGTTTGTGCTCTATTCATATAATGGAATGTTATATATCAGTGAGTATGAACAAACTAATGTTACATGCAATATGAAAGAATCTCACAAACGTAATGTTTAATGAAAGAAGCTAGACATGGTTGGGGAGTGAGGAGGACTTCTGGGTGCTAATAATGTTCTATTTCATTGTAGATGATGGTTACACTGGGACATTCTTTGGCAAAAATCTATTGAATATTATAATTTATTGGCTTATCTGTATTAAACCTTAATAAAAACTCAACTTATTCTTTAAAAAAAGTCCTCCTACTGTGTTTTTGTTTTACTCTTTTAGCAACAATAAGCTACATTCTCTGCATATCAAAACGCATTTATTTTTCCTATATCTGTACATTTAGTGAGATATCAGATTTCTTTTTCTTGTTTTTTTTGAGACAGGGTGAGATATCAGATTTCTTATGATTGGAATCTTTAAATGTTAAACTTAGTTCCCATGGACATATTCTGTACATTCTATAACTGTCCCAGAGACAATATGTATCTCTGTTGAATTCAGTTTCCACATTGGAGTTATTTTAAGATATTATTTGTGTGTTGCTAAACAGTCCAGAATCTTTTATACACAGATAGTTTAAAGACTTTACAGAAAGAGGTTGTGAATTATTATGACACTATAATTCTTAAAGGAATAATGCTTTTTAAAGCCAGTGGAGAATTTAGCAGTAGAATTGCTGTACAAGATTTAGGGGGACATTTGAACCTCATTATAGAAAATACTTTGATTCAATGGCTTCGGAAAACAGGCTGTATTAGTTATCTATTTGTGTGTAACTAATTATTCCAGAACTTTGTAGCTTAAAGCAACAAACATTTATTAACCTCACAACTTCCCTGAGTCAGGAATTTGGATACAGCTTAACTAGATCCTCTGGCTCTGGATCTCTCACAAGGATGCAATTGAGATATCAGTGGGGCTGCTGATCCAACTGATGGCAAGGCCTGAGGGAGGATCCACTTCCAAGGTGACTCATCTGATATTTGGCAGGATTCACTTCCTTGTGGTTGCTAGACTGAAGACCTTAGTTACTCCCTGGCCATTGGCCTTTGTCAATTTCTTGCCACGTAGGCCTCCCCATAGGGGAGTTTATAACCTGGCACATGACTTCCATTAAAGCAAGCAAGAGGGCAAGAAAGGATAAGCAAGACAGGAGCCAGAGTATTTTTGTGACATCTGTCATTTTTAAGTGAGTTCCCAGGTCCAGACAATATTCAAAGGAGGGGGTTGTACAAGGACATAAATATCAAAAGGTTCAGGTCATTGGAAGCCATCTTAGACACAATCTATCACACTGGGCTTTGGCTATAGCCAAGATGATAATGTCTGTAACTGGGCTGGAGTGCATATCAGAGTGTTTTCAATAAAGATTTTCTTTTGGCTGGTTTATTCTGACTTCTGTTCTTTAGGGTATTTCTCTAATTTCAATAAATTGGGGTCAAAACATACTCTTTGGATATCTTAAGACTTGTCTTTCCACCTGTTTACTCCAATTTTTCCTCTATTCTCTGCCCTACATGGCAAAAAACTGTTTTTCCATTTATTTTCTATGATCTAGTGTTTGAATCTAGAGGTGTACTTGTTTCTGTGTTTGAAGAAGTAGAGAAGTAAAAAAAATACTTGATTTATCCATATGCTGTTCTCACATGAGAAGATCCTTGCCTATGTAAGAGCACTAGCAGAACTGTCAACTGGTAGTTGTTGGTGCCACCCTCATTTCTTTTAACAGTGTGAGTTGATTGAGGTTGTCATTTTTTCTTCTTAACTATTTCCTCAAAAGGAGATAATTGAAGCTTCTAGTAAGTTAAAAAAAACTCTTCAAGGCCTTTTTCATTTACAATGACATACTGTATTATCATCTGTTTTTCTTAGTATTGTAGGTAATGAATTTTAAAAATAATTTAAATGATGCTAGCTTTAGGCTCTTTTTAAACAGCAAAGAAAAATTACTGGGGAATAAATGTACAAGTCTATGAATAACTGCTTTCTGGTTGTACAATAATGTTTATTTGTTTAAAGTTTAAATAATACAAAGACAGATGGTTAATAATTCCTATCTGCAACCATAAAAGTAAAATAAGTTTATTTAATTTTTTAAAAAAATCAAATGGGCATGTGAGCAGTTAATCTGTTGCTATCTTTCCATTGGAAACAAATTAAAAATAGTAGAAAAATATTTAGAAACAATTTCTCAGTCATAGAACGTAGTTTCTTATTTTGTTCTCATTGGTACCTCTCTTTCTTGTTGGAAATGCTGAAGTATTGAAATACTTCTTTTCTGTAGAAGGTGGTTCTCCCTTCTACCCAGGAATAATTTTGTGGCAAGTCATTGAGTCAGCAGTTATTTTGACCCTAACTGAAAGAGATAAAGTTCCTAAGAATTTATTATATATGTTTCTTGCCACTGAGTGAGCAAGAAAAATACATACCCATCAGTGCTGACTGGTTGGTAATTTCTGAAACACAATGCCACAGCTCTTCATGAATAACACAGTAACAGAATTACAGAGAATTTGGAAGAGATCAATCTCTAGATGGATGAGTTAGTCTATAAACAAATAGCTACTCAACTTCTTTTAACTTTTAAGAATGCTGTATGTGTTTTCTAATCCAGATCCTTGGGTTTCAGTGAGTCTCTAGAAATCAAGAAATTTTTACAGATTAATGGATCAGCAAGTCAGCATTGGTATATGGACAAAATACCTTGTATTATTAGTGAGTAATAAGGAGAGCTTTCCCCTCTACCCCATGTCACTTCTAGAAACTCTACTCTTTAACTTGAAATTTACCATGACTGTTTAGTGAGTTGAATTTAAACCTGATGTCATGGGATGAGAAAGGAGTGTAAGTTTATCAATGATCTGTGAAACCCTGTCAATAAAATATTTGTGTCTTTGTCTCTCCATAATGTCAGGGTGTATTGTAAATGTCAGGGTGTATTGTAAAATATAAGTAAAGTATTTATGTGGCTTAATTGTTTTATTTGTGGCATATTCATGAAGCTGTGTTATGCAATGTCTTTGCTATACATATTTGTCAATTAACTTGTATTAACTTTATGCAGGGGGCTTGTATAACTTTGATAGCCAAAGACATTTCCAGGCCTTGCCATGTTTCTGTAGAAAATGTGCCACAGGGAGTATAAACTTGTAGCTGTTTGATAGGTATTGATATGGTTTGGCTCTGTGTCCCCACCCAAATCCCACGTTGAATTGTAATCCCCACTTGTTGAAAGTGGGGCCTGGTGGGAGGTGATTACATCATGGGGATGGTTTTGAATGGTTTAGCGTCAGCTCCCTAATGCTGTTTTGTGATAGAGTTCTCACAAGATCTGATGAGATCTGACGGTTTAAAAGTGTGTGGCAGTTCCCTACTCACTCTCTCTCTTTCCTGCAGCCATGGTAAGATGTACTTTCTTCCCCTTTGCCTTCCACCACGATTGTAAGTTTCCCGAGGCCTCCTAGCTATGCTTCCTGTTAAGCCTGTGGAACTGTGAGTCAATTAAACACCTTTCTTTCATAAATTACCCAGTCTCAGGTAGCTCTTTATAGCGGTGTGAAAACAGACTAATACAGGTATATTACCTGATATTTCTGGTTTCCGTCTTTGAAGCCTGCCAACATTCCCACCTCTGTAAATGAACAAGCAGATAATTTTAAATCAAGTAAATATGACTTGAACTTTCACGTGAGATACAAAACCCAAACAATCCCTTATCCATTTCTGCAGACAAGAAATGAGGTGGCAGGAGATGCCTTGAAATGATCTGTGAGGCACCTCCAGTATTTTGGCAGGTGGAGGTAGGCAGGGTGGTTAGAGATTTGAAAACAGTTAAAAATCATGACACATTTTTAATAGTCTGCATACAGTGTTTGCTTCATTTGCAGTGCTTTTATAGGTTTTTTACACTTGGACAAACAGGTTTTTCTTTTTTTTTTTTTTTTAAGATTTTTGTTTCAGTATGTCACTTGGCAGGGGCAAAATTACTGAATGGGGAATGTTAACTACTTTGGGGTGGATAACCTTAGACAAAATTGTGAATTAAGTCAAGTGTCTTTGTGGCAATCCACTGCCTCCTTTGAAGTATTCTTCCTGCCAAAGGGGCTTGTGCTATCAATACCGCCCTGGCCACAGAGAGGAAAGAAACCTTCATTCACACAGAGACAGTAGGGACTTAATATGTTACCCACACCATCAATAGTGGCATTTTTTTTTTTTTTTTTTTTTTTTTTTTTGGAGACAGAGTCTCGCTCTGTCGCCCAGGCCGATCTCAGCTCACTGCAAGCTCCACCTCCTGGATTCACGCCATTCTCCCGCCTCAGCCTCCCAAGTAGCTGGGACTACAGGCACCCGCCACCACGCCCGGATAATTTTTTGTAATTTTAGTAGAGACGGGGTTTCACCGTGTTAGCCAGGATGGTCTCGATCTCCTGACCTCGTGATCCGCCAGCCTCTGCCTCCCAAAGTGCTGGGATTACAGGTGTGAGCCACCGCACCCGGCCAACAGTGGCATTTTAAGAGAGAACCAAGGGAAACAGCAATGCTTAGCAATAAAGGTAATAATAATTATTGTTATTATTATAATGTTATCTACGGTGTGTCAGGCACTGTGCCAAGGACTTTATATGTGTTATCTTTACTCATTAAGACAGCCTTATGAAGAATGATTATTATCCTCATGTCAGAGATGCCATACCCACAATAATACAAGAGAATAGCAGAGCCAAGTTTCATCTGTGTGATGCCAAAGTCAGTGCTCTTTCCTTTGCACTGTGATTTTACTAAGATTTTGAGCATCAAAATAGGACATAACATTTGGGTGGGGACCTTCCTTAACTTCTTCAAATTATGGAGAGACAAAGTTCATTCTGTAATCAGAGGCTCTTTCACACACCAGGCAAATGTTTTTCTGGGTCTGATGCAGCGAATACATTAAAATGTGTGAGAGAGCTATGAGTCAATGATAGAAGACCAAAAATAACGACAACAACAAATAAAACAAAAGTCTGAAGTGATGGGAGGTTCCTCTGGCCACTGGAATAGCACCCCGGGAAAGAGCAGGGTCCGTGGACCATTGATCCCTTTGCTCTGTTTGTATCTGAATGCCATCAGTGACTTTCTGTGTGTGTCAGGGGACGAGGACTGGTATCTTCTTACTTCAGTAGCTGCAAGGAGAGTTAAGAGCATTATTAATCATTGATAGTGGTACTATATTTTCCAGCTGTGCTCCAATAGCCTAGTATACAACAATCATATATTTTCCATGAGAAAGTTCTCATTCAATTGGAAAGTAAAGCAAAGAGGGCAGGAAATTGGTAGTGGTACATGGGTCTCTTTTTATATTCAGAATCTCCAAAGTGAAGCCTAGAAACCTGTATTTTTTAGAAAACTCTCAGATAATTCTGATGCCCAACTAAGTTAAGCTTAGTTTATTTATGGATTTATTAATAATTATATTATTAAATTAAATATTATTAATACTAAATTATGGATTAATAAATCCATAACTAAACTACATGGATCCTTTGGATTCTATTTTATTAACTCCCATTGTCATTTTAAAATCAATTTAGTTAGATGGTTAACATTTTACCAGTGTTAGAATCACCTATACTTAACTTCAGGAATATTTTTTGGTTATGGGCTAGGTTGTAGAAGATATTTGCATTGCTTTTATCACATCTCACATCATTTCTAAAAGCACTGAGATAGCTTGATTAAGAAATATATGTGGCCAGGCATGGTGGCTCATGCCTGTAATCTCAGCACTTTGGGAGGCTGAGGTGGACAGATCACTTGAGCTCAGGAGTTTGAGACCAGCCTGGGCAACATAGCAAGACCTTGTCTCTAAAAAGAAAAAAAAAAAAAAAAAGAAAGAAATATATGTGGCTGAGCACAGTGGCATGCACCTGTATTCTCAGCGACTTGGGAGGCCTAACTGGGAGGATCACTTGGGCCCAGGAGTTTGAGTCCAGCCTGGACAATATAGCAAGACCCTGTCTTTCAAAAAAAAAAAAAAAAAAGTGAGAACTATATGTGATGAAGTTCATTCCACAAATATTTAATATCTACTACATCCTACTTACTATGTGCCAAACACAGTACTAGGTGCTTGTAACTGGTTAAACAGGCAAAAAATCTTGCTGTTGGGGAGTTTAGTATATTTAAGCTTGTTGGAGTATTTCTAAGAACCAAATAAGTAGGCCTTCATTGTGGTTATAATTTGAAACTTAACAAATGGGCAACATAGCGAGAGTTTGGAAGGTTAATACCAAGGAAGTTTACTACCATACGTATTGCACTTAATATTTATTTTATTTTTTATTTTCTTCTAACATTTTGTTATGAAAATTTTCAAGCATATAGCAAAGTTTTACATTTTACAGTAGACACCCACATACTAGATTCTATGATTACCATTTTACTATACTTGCTTTATCATATATCTATCCATTCATTAATATATCTTATGATTTGTGACATATGTCAAAGTGAATTGAAGACACTAGCACACTTCCCCTAAATACTTCAGATATTTATTATTAACTAGACTTTAATATTTGTTTACATTTTTCTTTTGATTGAAATGCACCAACTTGAGTATATTTACTGTTTCTTGTTTTGGTTTTTTTTTCATACGGAGTCTCGCTGTGTTGCTCAGGCTGGGGTGCAGTGGCATGATCATGGCTCACTGCAGCCTTGACCTTTTGGGCTCAAGTGACTCTCCCGCCTCAGCCCCCTGAGTAGCTAGAACTACAGGCACACACCATTACACTGGCTAATTTTTTTCATTTTTTGTAGAGAGGGGATCTCCCTATGTTGCCCAGGCTGGTCTCAAACTCCTGAGGTAAAGCAATCCTCCTGTCTCAGCCTTCCAAAGTGACGGGGTTACAGCGTGAGCCACTGCACCTGATCCTGAGTTTTGAGGAATAGCCACACGTGTATTACCTATCAAGATATAGAATACAGTAAGTTTTCTCATTCTCCTTTTCAGGATATCCCTCCTACAACCCCAGAGGCAACCTTTGTTCTGAAGTTTTCGCACTCTAGATTAGTCTTGCATATTCTAGCATTATATAAATGAACTCGTAAGATATACAGGTATATACTGTTGTGTAAGACTTCTTTCACACGGCATAATGTTTGTGAGATTTATCCATGTTGTCTCATGTATCAGTAATTCGTTCTTTTGTGTTGTTCATCTCATTGCTTACCAGTCTATCTGTTCTCTTATTGACGGACACAGATTGTTTCTAGTTTTTGGCCATATGATAAAAGTGACTATGAGTATTCTTGCACAAGTCTTTTTGTGAATGTATTTTTCTTTCTTTCTTTCTTTCTTTTTTTTGAGATAGAGTCTTGCCCTGTCACCCAGGCTGGAGTGCAGTGTGATCTCGGCTCACTGCAACCTCCGCCTCCCAGGTTCAAGTGATACGCCTGCCTCAGCCTCCCAAGTAGCTGGGATTACAGGCGTATACCACCATGCCCAACTAATTTTTGTATTTTTAGTAGAGACGGGGTTTCACCATGTTGACCATGCTGGTCTTGAACTCCTGACCTCAGGTGATCTACCCACCTCGGCCTTCCAAAGTGCTGGGATTACAGGCGTGAGCCTCCGTGCCCGGCCCTGTGAATGTATTTTTCATTTAGATTGGGTTAATAGCTACATGTGGAACTGCTGGTCATGTGATAGGTATAGGTTTTCTTTTTGGAGAAACTGCCCGACATATTCCCAGTGTGGTTGCATCATTTTACCTTTCCATCCAAAGTGCTGTTGCATGCACTCCGTCCCTGGCCCACATGTGATGGTGTCAGTCTCTTTAACTATAGCCATGCTGGGGATGTGTGTACTGGTGTCTCTTTGTGGTTTTAATTTGCATTTTCTTGATGATGCATGACATTGAGCACTTTTTTGTGGGCTTATTGACCACTTGTGTGTATATATGTATTTGAGTGTGTTTGTAATTTGACTCTTTAAATCTTTGGCTTATGTTTAATTGAGTTGTTTATGTTTCTATTGTTGAGTGGTCACAGTTCTTTGTATATCCTAGGTACCAGTCCTTTGTCAGATTAAGGTTTTACAAATGCTTTTTCCAAGTCTATGACTTGCCTCTTCATTTTTCTTAATGGTGTCTTTTGGTGAGTAGAAGTTTTTAATTTTGATGAAGTACAATTTATCTCTTTTTTCCTTTATGGTTACTGCTTTTGTGAGCTAGGAAATGTTGGCTACTAGTAAATCATGAGCATATTCTCCTGTAAAATTTCTATAGTTTGAGCATTTATGTTTAAAATATTTTTCCCTTTTCACTAATGTTTATAATTTTTGAGAATAAATCTTCTAAATGATGTAAAATAGTACCCAGTTAAAATTATTTTTATATATACACAAATAAATGAAGTTTAATCAGGTTATGAGAATCTCATTATGTCTTTCCTGTGAAAATATGTCCAAATATGAAATTATTGAAAAGGTAAGACCATCTTGCATATTCATCTTTTGTTTTCATGCATATAGTTTATGAATAATAAAGGATTCTCTGATTAAAGAACAACCTTAACTTAAAGAGGTGTTATAAATACACATTTGTTCAGGTGAAAGATAATGGATACTCTATTAGCCAGGCATGGTGGCAGGTGCCTGTAATCCCAGCTACTCAAGAGGATGAGGCAGGAGAATTGCTTGAACCTGGGAGGCGGAGGTTGCTGTGAGCTGAGATCGTGCCACTGCACTCCAGCCTAGATGACAAACCAAGACTCCATCTGAGAAAAAAACAAAAAAGACAAGGAAAATGGATACTCTGTGCATTTATACATAATGGTGAGTGGCAGGGAGGGAGGAGTAGCACCTAGTCCTGTGCTTCAGTCTCCTGGCACAGAAACTTTGGGAGGACAGTGAGAGTAAAAACTGCACCCTCCTGGGTTACCTTATTCCTCCTGTTCCCGGTTGTCCTCACATTTGTCTTCTGTCTCACACCTCCAGATCTGATGGTCAGATGACTTTGGCGACAGTCTTTCTGGCAAAGGTTGTAGCCTGTGTTCCTTTACACAGCTGTTACATCTTAGAGGAATCTGACCCACTGGTAAATATGATCAGGGCACCTGATATTCAATCAAACAGAGGGCAGTGGCTCATTTAGACTCTCACATAACATTTGCTCCGAAATGGATTTTCTGAAAATTTCCACTTAAATAACTATGGATTAACTTTTAGTGAGGCCAACATGGCTGAAGCTAAGCAGAGCGTATAACCCCAGACTATTGGGCAGCTGCACTTTGTCACGGTTCCGCCTTAATTCACTGCGTATTACTTCCTTTGAAATATGCAACCAGATTCTAAATTATTCACCTTTTAATGTCTGGAAAATGCTTAAAGCATTTGGCCATTTATTTACCTTATTTGAGCAATACACCCAGGTAGGGTAAGAATATATTTGCTAAAGCAAAGTATACTTCTCTAAAAGATTAGAGTAGTATATTCAAAATGTCTTCCCAACTTAGACAAGCCATAGAATGTTAGTGATAGTGTTTTTATGCAATCCTATTAGAGATAGCATTCTGTGTTGTGATGAGTCCCCTAAAATATTTTTTTATGAACTTAAAAAAGTTTCTAATATAAAGGTTATATTATCAACAAATGCTAGAACCAAATAGGATTTTGAAGATTATCCTTCTTTAACAATGCCTTAAATTTTTATCTCCTTATCCATTCCTCATTGCTTTCTTTCTCAAGACATTATGGTTTATTGTGTCTCCACTAGGTACCTTGCATGTGATTTACACAGTGAATGGCCCTGCTTTCGGAGCAAGTTAATGATATAATATCCCCATTTATATTCAGAACAGTCAACACTTTCTAGCTTTCAGAATAATAAAAGCACCTGCATTTAATATACATGGAAGAATGGGAAGGCAAATAGCAGATAAGGCACAATCAGGTAAGTGTAATCAGATAAAATATCACAGTATTATAGTAGATCAGCATCTGGTAATGACTTGAATTTTGAAAGACTGACAAACAGCTTGGCCTAAAGCAGCCAGGCATACCTCATTCAGAGCAACTCTTCCCAGAGTTGATTGCTCCTCTCATGTGTTTTCTGGCAGATTAAGCAGGTAGGGTTTCTTATTTTAACTCTTCTAGAACTGCATTGTGCCACTGGAAAAACATTAGCAACGTTTCTTTTGAGCCCAGAGTGGAAACAAAAACAAATGACATATCTAAAAGTAAAATCTTGCGTCTTCTAGCAGTTATCTCGAGTTGATCCCAATCAATTTTATTAACAAACAAATCTTGCAGTTGTAGACAGAGCTTTCATTTCCATATCTGTACTTGCCTGCATGGCACTGACATTTTATTCTAATTTTTTTTTTTTTTGTAATAGCCAAGGAAAACTGTTAGGTTATTAGAAACTGATCTCTCTCTGAGAGGTTCTTTCATTCTTGACCACTGGCAGCTGGTAGACCTAGCTGTGTATCTTAGCATTGATGAGCCCTAATGTAACAGAATCATATGGTGCCAAAGAGAAAGTTTCAAATTTGCAAAAGTCAAAACTGAACAAACTGGTTTGTCAAGTGGAATTTAGTGGTTTCCTTTTTCTTTTAAGTAATTCTTTGTTGGGGGCAAATTATCTCTTCAAATACCTAACTTCAGCTTACCAGGTGCTACAGTGGCATGGGGAGTGCAAGGTACAAGGCCTGAAGAGGGCCCAGGTGCAGAAGGGCTGCAGCAAATAAATGTCCGGCCTTCTGTTGGTCCCAGTGTCAGCCTCTCCATCAGCAGGGCTCCAGCATTTTCCACAGGATCAGGAAGTGTCTTTGCTCTTATCTACTACAATTGGAGTAGGACATCAGGTGCAGAAAATTGATGATCTCAGAAGATCATCTCAGAAGATGGAGCCATCTTCTGAGAGGCTCTGTGTCCACTCTTTTGTTCCTCAAATCATTTGCTTTTGTTTGCCGTTCTGAGGGTGGCAGGCCTGGGTGCTGGCCAAGTGGTGTTTAATGAAACTTTCATAAATACTAGTATGAAGAAGATGAAATATCTGGCCATTTCATTTAGAACAACTCTGTTTTTGTAGAAATGACTCTTCTCAAAATATTTCTGCCTTTCCACCTGACTTAGCTTGGGCTATAATAACAAATACCATAGACTGGGTAGCTTAAACAACTGGAGTTTATGTTCTCTCAGTTCTGGAGGCTAGAAGTATGAGATTAGGGTGCCAGCATGATTAGGTTCTGTTGAGGACTCTCTTCCTGGTTTGCAGACAGCTGTCATCTCACTGTGTGTTCATATGACCTCTTCTTTGTGTGCACAAGTGCAGGGACAGAAAGAGTGAGCAAGCTCTTTGTTGTGTCTTTTTTTTTTTTTTTTGAGACAGAGTCTCACTGTCGCCAGGCTGGAGTGCAGTGGCGTGATTTCAGCTCACTGCAACCTCCACCTCCCAGGTTCAAGTGATTCTCCTTCCTCAGCCTCCTGAGTAGCTGGGACTACAGGTGTGTGCCACCACGACCAGCTAATTTTTGTATTTTTAATAGAGAATGGGTTTCACCATGTTGGCCAGGATGGTCTTGATCTCTTAACTTTGTGATCCGCCCACCTTGGCTTCCCAAAGTGCTGGGATTACAGGTGTGAGCCACCATGCCTGGCCTGTTGTCTCTTCTTATAATGATACTAATTCCATCATGTGAGCCCAACCCTCATGACCTCACCTAAACCTCATTGCTTCCCAAAGGCCTTGCCCCCAAATACCATCACACTGAGGGTTAGGACTTCAAGAAATAAATTTTTTTTTAGGGTTGGGACAAAATTGAGTCCAAAGGACCACCCAATTGTATTATTATTAGCAAAGTTAGTAAGAGTAAGACAAAGAGCCACTGTCTATTCAGAAAAGTTGACATCAGAAATAACTATTGGGTACTAGGCTTAGTACCTGGGTGACGACATAATCTGTACAACAACACCTGTGACATGAGTTTACCTGTATAGCAAACCTGCACATGTACCCTTGAACCTAAAATAAAAGTTAAAAAATAATAATTTAAAAAAGGAATATAGTAGTTCAGTCTATAATGGAGCAAATTTCAATTGACTGGAAGTCTTGATAGCCAAATTGTTCATTCCTTCTTCTCACGCATACCCATATCCGTACTCAAACATCGCTGCCACACCTACGTTGGGCTTTAGAGGAAGAGAGCAATCACTAAAGAAAGTGTTTGTGTTAGGAATTAAATGAAAAAATAATAGCTTTCAGGATATTTAAGGCATCAATAATTTCTTGTACTTTCTATTATGTTTTCTACCCTTGCAGTAGCATGGACTGATCACTGATTTCAGAATGAGGAATTAACCCACAAGGGAGCTTCAACCACTAAGGACATTTTTAGTTATATTCTAAATATCAAGGTTGGAAAGACAACTGATTTTCAGAAAGTTTCCAATGACAGGAGTAGAAAGCAAGAAGGAATTCATGGAGAAACGTGAGTCAATTACAACACCCTGTTTCTGGAGCATTTTGTTTTATATAATGTTTTCTTTCACATAATTCATTATCATATGCTTTGGGGAGGTGGGCTGAGATTTACATTTTACAATAGAAAAACTGAACTTCTTCAGGTCATGAGATGAGATCTGGATCATCAATTTAGACACAGTTTGCAAAATATTGAAAATTGAAAATTCCTCCTCCCCCAGTTTTTTGTTTCATTTTGTTTTGTTTTTGCATTTTAGTTGTAGCCTAGGAGGAACAATAAAAGAAGCCTGTTGTTACTATTTTAACTTGTCATCTTGTGAGTGTGGGCCACGAAGAGCAATGCTGTCCATGTTAAAAGAGACATGTATCATTATCAGATTTGTGGTAGGCAGCTTAGATAAAGCACAATCGAAGCTATTTTAACTTCCAAATTGAAAACGTGTGCTTCTGCCTGAAGCCACATTAAGAGGTATTTCATAAATAGTGATGGTGATAACATAATCAGCCAAATAATTTTCTGGTTCCCCCTGCATTCTTCACCCTTCTTCAGAGACCTCTTCTTGGAGGTCAAAGATACTACAGTAAGTATAGCTTACTGTACTTATAGCCATCTGAAGTATAGTGTGAGCATTAATTCATCCTGAGTGTTTAGGTATAGACTGTGCTACAGGTAATTGGGTGTGAAGCATAAGCCTTGCTACTTTAAGACTATGGCTTATGCATTTTGCCACCACCATCCCATCTGGGGCAGATAAAGTGCTGATCTCTCGGGAGATAATAATGGGAAATTGATTGAGGACAATAAAGAGACTGGGAAGACATGTGGGTGTGATGGCATTCACCCCTAAAAGAAGGATAAGAATCACCATCCTAAGAGAGAATTTGTGATTACTTCCTAAAAACTGTATGTATTGTGCTTTTCCTCTCTATATAATTTGACGATTTTAGATGACCAAAAAAAAAAAAAAAAAAAAAAAAAAGATACTTCTTAGTTACCTTTTCAGTAATATTTGTATCCTATACTCTGATCAAGGGAAATACCTGAGTTTTCCTTTGTTAAATGCATACCCCCAAATCTAAACTTGGTACATTTCAAGCTTCTGGAATTTGAAAACATTCGATTTTATTGTGTGTCAGGTCTTGCTGCCTGTTCTTAGGAAGTAATTTAACTTTTTGTTTCAGTTTTCTTATTTTAAAAGCGGAACATTTGTGGCTCTCCCCTGTAATCTCAGCACTTTGGGAGGCCGAGGCGGGCGGATCACGAGGTGAGACCATCCTGGCTAACACGGTGAAACCCAGTCTCTACTAAAAATAAAAAAAATTAGCTGGATGTGGTGGCGGGCTCCTCCAGTCCTAGCTACTAGGGAGGCGGAGGCAGGAGAATGGCGTGAACCTGGGAGGCGGAGTTTGCAGTGAGCTGAGATCGCGCCACTGCACTCCAGCCTGGGGGACAAGGCGAGGCTCCATCTCCAAAAAAAAAAAAAAAAAAAAAAAAGGCAGGCACATTCCATGTCTGACTAAATGTCTTGATTTTCGATTTGAAAAATAGTTGAGTTCTCTCAGATAATAATATTCAAATCAGGGTTTCTAATGGTTATTGCCACCAGAAAATTGCTAATTTCCCAAAGCCTCGGAGAGAGGCTTCTGGCAGCAGCAGCCCACAAGTGGAGCTGGGAGGGAAATCCTTCTGAAGTTTGCAGCCATAAACATAAAATCCTGTCATTTGCAGCAACATGGCTGAGCATGGTGGATAATACGTTGAGTGAAATGCACAGAAAGATAAATACCGCATGTCACCATTCATATGTGGGAGCTAAAAAACGTTGGGTTTCTAGATGTACAGAGTAGAATTGTGATTATTAGAGGCTGGGAAGGGTGGGATGCGGAAGGGAGGATAGAGAGATGTTGGGTAACAGATATAAAATTATAGCTAGATAGGAGGAATAAGTTCTAGTGCTCTAGTGCACTGTAGGGTGAATATGGTTAACTATAATTTATTGTGTATTTTCAAAAAGCTAGAAGAGAGGATTTTGAATGTTCCCACAACAAAGAAACGATTACTGTTTGAGGTGATGGATTTGCTAATTACCCTGATTTGAACATTATATATTGTATACATGTATCAAAATATCACCCTGTATACTATAAATACATACTATTATTACAGTCAATTAAAATAAAAGGAAAATAAATCAAATGTAGTAAAAAAGAAACATATCTATTTGACAGACCTGGAGCAGTTACTGTCTGCTGCTAAGGTTTCCACTACAGATGCAAGCAAAAAGTGTCCTTATACTTTCTGTTTGTCTCACTGTGGCAGCTAACATTGAACAGAGGATACAGGGGGAAAATGAATGAACAAACAAACAAAAAATACCAAAGCTTAAGAGTTAAATGTTGTTAGTCCTAGGGTTATAATTTATCTTTATGTAGTCAAATTTATCAATTCCTATGTGGCTAATACTTGCTTTCTTTAAAATTAAGGTATAACGTTCATACAACAAGCATATATTCTTAAATATCAGCCCAATGAATAAACATATGTATGTATGTAACTACATACCACAACCAAGATCAAGATGTAAAACATTCTTAGCACTCCAATAGACTTTCTAATGTCTCCTCCACCTTGGTGCCCCTCCCACTGTTCTGACCTCTTTCATGATAGATTAATTTTGCCTGTTCTGAACTCCATATAAATGATACCATACCATATGTATGTATTCATTTGCGCCTTCTTTTCTTTTTTATTTTAGGTTTGTGGGTACATGGGCAGATTTGTTATATAGGTAATCTCATGTCAAGGGGGTTGGTTGTACAGATTATTTTGTCATCCAGGTACTAAGCCTAGTACCCAATTGTTATTTTTTTCTGCTCCCCTCCCTCCTCCCACCCTTTACTCTCAAGTAAGCCCCAGTGTCTGCTGTACCCTTCTTTGTATTCATGAGTTCTCATCATTTAGCTTCCGCTTATAAGTGAAAAAATGTGTTTGGTTTTCTGTTCCTGCATGAGTTTGCTAAGAAAAATGGCTTCCAGCTCCATCATCCATGTTCCCGCAAAAGACATGATCTTGTTCTTTTTTATGGCTGCATAGTAGTCTGTGGTGTATATGTACCAAATTTTCTTTATCCAGTCTGTCATTGAAGGGCATTTAGGTTGATTCCATGTCTTTGCTATTGTGAATAGTGCTGTAGTGAACTTTTGCATGCATGTGTCTTTATGGTGGAATGATTTATATTCCTCTGAGTATATACCCAGTAATTGGATTGCTGGGTTGAATTGTAGTTCTGCTTTTAGTTTTTTGAGGAATTGTCAAGCTGCTTTCCACAATGGTTGAACTAATTTACACTCCCATCAACAGTGTATAAGTATTCCTTTTTCTCTACAACCTTGCCAGCATCTGTTATTTTTTGACTTTAGTAATAGCCACTGTGACTGCTGTGAGATGGTATCTCATTGTGGTTTTAATTTGTATTACTCTAATGATCAGTGATTGAGTTGTTTTGCATATGCTTGTTGGCCACATGTATGTCTTCTTTAGAAAAGTATCTGTTCATGTTCTTTTCCCACTTTTTAATCGAGTTGTTTTTCTTGTAAGTTCATTTAAGTTCCTTATAGATGCTGGATATTAGACCTTTGTCAGATACATAGTTTGTAAATATTTTTTCCCATTCTGTAGGGTGTCTGTTTACTGTGTTGATAGTTTCTTTTGCTGTGTAGAAACTCTTTTTTTTTTTTTTTTTTTTTTGAGATGGATTCTCACTCTGTCACCCAGGCTGGAGTACAATGGTGTGATCTCGGCTCACTGCAACCTCAGCCTCCCGGGTTCAAGTGATTCTCCTGCCTCGGCCTCCCGGGTAGCTGGGATTACTGGTGCCTGCCACCATGCCCAGCTAATTTTTTTTGTATTTTTAGTAGAGACGGGGTTTCAGCAAGTTGACTTGAACTCCTGACCTCCGGTGATCCACCCACTTTGGCCTCCCAAAGTGCTGGGATTGCAGGAGTGAGCCACCATGCCCGGCCAAAACTCTTAAGTTTAATTAGATCCCATTTGTAAATTTTTGCTTTGGTTGTGATTGTTTTTAATGGCTTTTTAATAAAATATTTCCACATTCCTATGTCCAGGATGATATTGCCTAGGTTGTCTTCCAGGGTTTTTATGGTTTGGGGTTTTACATTTAAGTCTTTAATCCATCTTGTGATGATTTTTGTATACAGTCTAAAAAAGGGGTCCAGTTTCAATCTTCTGCACATGGCTAGCCAGTGATCCCAGAACCATTTATTGAGTAGGAACTCCTTTCCCCATTGCTTGTTTTTGTCAGCTTTGTCAAAGATCAGATGGTCCTGGGTGTGTGGCCTTATTTCTGGGCTCTCTCATCTGTTCCATTGGTCTATGTGTCTGTTCCTGTACCAGTACCATGCTGTTTTGGTTATTGCAGTCCTGTAGTATAGTTTGAAGTCAGGTAACATATTGTCTCCAGCTTTGCTCCTTTGCTTAGCATTGCCTTGGCTATTTGGGCTATTTTTTGCTTCCAAATGAATTTTAAAATAGTTTTTTCTAGTTCTGTGAAGAATGTCATTGGTAGTTTAATAGGAATAACATTGAATCAGTAAATTGCTTTGGGCAGTAGGACCATTTTCATGGTATTAACTCTTCCTACCCACGAGCATGAGATGTTTTTCCATTTGTTTGTGTCATCTCTGATTCCTTTGAGCAGTGTTTTGTAATTCCCATTGTGGAGATCTTTACCTCCTTGATTAGCTATATTCCTAGATATTTTATTCTTTATGTGGCAATTGTAAATGAGATTGCATTCCTGATTTGGCCCTTGGCTTGGCTGTTGTTTGTTGAGCCTTACTTCTTTCACAAAACATTATGTTGGTGAGATTCATTCATATTGCATGTAGCAGTAGTTCATTCTATCTCATCGTTTGTGGTATTCTATTGTATGAATATACCACAATTTTTTTCTACTGTTGAGAGACTGTCAATTGTTTCCATTTTGGGAGTATTATGAATAATACCTGTATGGCCATTTTTGTCTATCTTTTGGTGGACATAAGTACTTATTTATCTTGGGAATATACCCAGGAGTAAAATTGCTGTGAGATCAGGTGCATGTATGTTTAATATTCATAGATAGTATCAAAGAATGTTCCTATGTAGTCATAATAATTAAATTCCTACCAGCAATGTGTGAGAGTTTTGTTGCTCCACATCCTCACCAACACTTGATAGTACCAGTCTTTTTTACTATTAGCCATTTTTGTGGGGAAAATAAAAACAAAACTACCAATTTTGAAATCAAGAAGAAACAGAGTAGGAAATGTCAAAGAAACTGAAATGTGTGACCCTTGTGTGTTTAGATGTGTATGGAATACCTGTATACGTTAGTGAAAGCTGTTTATCGTAATGGGGAAAACCAGATTCCTTGCATCTGGGCCCTCTACTGATTGTTAAAGGACTTCCTGTCACCTGCTCTCCCCCTGTTGCATGCGTCTGTCCACTTGGCTAACTTTTAATATGTGTATTTTTACATTATGTAAATTCTTAACTGGCCTTTCTCGTTTAGACTGTATACATCATATCTGACATTATTGTAACTACTGTGTGATCAGTAAGATTCCTTATAAGAAATACTGCTTTTTTAAAAAAAAAATAACATGCTGAGGGGTGATCTATATCCCACTTGAGTGAGTGGTCACTTTATTTATAGGATCTTTGAAACAAGTACATTTTTAATGAACTAAGTTGAATAAAGGCACAATTAAAAACTGTCAAAAAAAAAAAAGAAACTGAAATGATACTTAAAAACTCTCTTCATCCAAAAAACGGAAACAAACAAAAAAGCCTGAGGGTTTTATAGGTCATTTCTACCAAACTGAACAATGTGGGTTGTGTGTTGGGGGGTGGTCGGTGAGGGGGTGGGGTGAGTATGTGTGTGCATATGTGTGTGTATATTACACATTGTTCAGAAAATGGAAAAAGAGTGAAGATTCCCAATTCATTCTGAAATCAGAGTAAGACTAGTTAAAAGAAAAATTAGGCCCATTTCAATTATAAATAGATTTTTAAAAATCTTAAACAAAATATTAGCTTAATGAATCTAAAAGTGTGCTTTCTTTAAAAATGCATTGTAATCAGGTAGATTTCATTCCAAGAATGTAACATCAGAAAATCTGTCAACATACTTCATTAATAGAGTAAAAGAGATGATTCTTATGACTATATCCATTGAAAAATATATTTTTTCTTTTTTTGCTAAACATTATCACCTATTTATGACAAAGAATAAATAACTCTTAGGAAACTGGAAAAAAAAAAATGCTGTAAGTGTCCTCAGAGATTGGTGGCCTGAGAATTTGGCCTTGGGCCTTGCTGGCTCTACCATAGACCTGAAAAAATTTTCTTAAGTTAAAAAAAACAAAAGCAGGAATATATTATTTTAATGCCACCTTTAACAATCTACTTATTTCTTAGCTAAACTCTCTAGATATTTATCAGAAAATTTTGTCATTATGTGATGGGGCATGACAATTGTTCAGTAAATTATTGTTATAAAAACATTATAAAAATACATACATAAGTAGATTTCTAAGGAACAAGTGTGCTTAGCTGGAGATGAAAAATTGTTAAATATCAAAAATGATCAGTGGAGTAAAACCCTCTGAAAAAAATAGTAACTTGGCTAAATAATGAGTGCTATGATTAACATATTCTACAAATCTATCAATACTATGGCTCGGCATGTCCTCGTTCCTTGCCAAAATTAATAATGAGAGATACCAAGGCCCTATTAATATTTTAATAGTCTAATAGGCACAGGCAAGCATGCAGCAGAGAAGAATGTAAATCAGTGGTCAGGACTGCCAGATCACATCAAGAGAGTTTACCAGGTGGGTGAGTCTTCCTAACACTTTCTTAACTCTTTCCTGGATTCATTCTCATCCCAGCACCCAATTACAGAAAGTATACTAATTTTGAACAGAAGGGTGTGCAAGTACAAGGCAAAACTCACAGAATATTTAGGATTCTTTATGCTGACTATGTATTTTAAGAAATACAATTGTGGGGTGGGCACGGTGGCTCATACCTGTAATCCCAGCACTTTGGGAGCTGAGGCGGGTGGATCATCTGAGGTCGGCAGTTCGAGACCAGCCTGACCAACATGGAGAAACCCCGTCTCTCCTAAAAATACAAAATTAGCAGAGTGTGGTGATGCATGCCTGTAATCCCAGCTACTTGAGAGGCTGAGGCAGGAGAATCGCTTGAACCCAGGAGGCGGCGGAGGTTGCGGTGAGCCAAGATTGCGCCATTCCACTCCAGCCTGGGCAAGAAGAGTGAAACTCTGTCTGAAAAAAAAAACAAAAAACCCCAAAAAAACCCAAATGTTCATGTCAGTGTGTATCTTTAAATGCTCTGCTATCTGAAAAATAGTAGAACTTTTTATAAAGCACATATATCTGGGAGTTTGAAGAAACAGGTTTTATCTGATTCTAGCACTGGTAGTCTCCTTGTTGTAACCATTAATCTCCAAATTCATCCTTCACAGAAATGACATAATGTATGTAGACTATTATGAGACAATGGAAAGAAACTGAATGAAAGAAGGAAAAAAGGAAAGAAGGAAAGAAAAATATTACTATTATTAGTAAGGTAATTAGAGTGGTGCCCAGCACTATGTAGGCCCTCAGAAGTGTTAGTTTCCTGCTCATTTTTCCTTCTGAGAGTCCCATTTTCTCAAGAGACTTTGCTTGACTTTCCTGTGGGGCACACAAGGTATGTTGCAGCTCTCATAAAATGTTCTTCAGAGTAGAGTTGGAGTTGTAGACATATCAGTAGTTCTCTCTTGTGCTAATACGTTCATACTATTGATACCTGTAGGGTTGTTCCTTAGTGAAGGAGGATCTGCTTCTTGGGGACTATTCATCTGTGCCTCATCTTTGGATGATTTTAAAGGATCATTTGTTGGAGACCACACAGAACCAGAGTGATCACACCATAAAGACCACGTATTTTTCAACTGAAATTTCAGATTTAAATACAACTGTTCTCTACGGCAAGAGAGTGGGGAAAGCCAGTGGGAAAAAGACATGATTCTAGAAAAAAGGGAACAAAAGGAATTTTTGCCAAGAAGCCAAAATCTGTATGCTCACCCCAGGACAAACACCCCTAAATATAGGTTTCGTAGCAGCTGTTGGAATCTGCACGAGACCAGAATTTGTTCTGTTCCTGGAGGCTTCTTATGCTTCAGTCAGTGATGACTCATTTTTAATCACCTGATTATAGTTAGAGCTCACAGACAAGAAATGAATTTCTTCTCTCCCCCTTTTAAAAAACATTTTCTTACCACTTAAAAGAGCTTAGTTTTTCCTTTGTTTTGGACTCTTCTGCCAGCTTGCCTGACTAGGATTTTTCTCTTCACAAACCACTCCCAACTTCCACACTATTATGCTTGCTGTATTTTCTGGCAATTCTCACAGTTCCAGTCCTCACCAGCTTTCATGAAGCTTTTGCTCCAGGCTCTTATTATTGGAACGGGCTACCTTCTTGTCCTGCTGTCTACTGGTCAACTAACTACTCTTCCTCAGGGTCGGCTCCAGCATTCTCTCTCAGTGAAGTTTTTTGTTGTTGTTGTTGTTGTTTTTTTTTTTTTTTCCTTCTCTCCCCTTTAAGTCCAATGAGCTGGGTTTTTTTTTTTTTTTTTTTTTTTTTTTTTAAAGACAAAGTCTTACTATGTTACCCAGGCTGGAGTGCAGTGGTGCCATCTTGGTTTATTGCAGCCTCAACCTCCTAGGCTCAAGCAATCCTCCCACCTCAGCCTCTTGAGTAGCTGGGACTACAGGTGCATGCTAATTTTTATATTTTCTGTGGAGATCGGGTCTTGCCGTGTTACCCAGGCTGGTCTCGAACTCCTGGGCTCAAGTGATCTGCCCATCTCAGCCTCCCAAAATGCTGGGACTACTGGAGTGAGCCACCGCACCCAGCCTGAGCTCCATTCTCTTTAATTCCATGTCACATTGAATATTACAAAGTGCATAATATTCTTCACTGTATTGCAGGCTTCTTGACAACAGTGTCTATGCCATTTGTTTTTATGTGCCTGACATATAGTAGGTGCTGATAGAACATTTGCAGAACAAATGTTCATTGCATTCTCTTTTGTTACATGCAACAAAATAATTTGAAGTCAGTAAGGGGCGTCTGATATGAAAGATATTGGTGAAAAGAATAAGTGCTTATACTTTATGCTTTAAGACACAGAGAGCTTCGTTTGTTTAATAAATGTGGGTAAAAATAATTGACATGGTGATGATAATGGGACATCCACCTTGGAGGCAGCATAACGAGGCACAAGAGCACTGGTTTCAGGGTAAGCCAGAATTCTAGGCATAGCTGTGCCATACAACCTTGCCGTGGTACCCAGGGCCCTCCCCTTTCTGAAGTTTATTTTCTCATCTTGTAGAATGGGGAGACAGGATGAGATCATCTTACATGAATTTCAGTTCATTTAAGCTCTGAAACTGTATCATCTATCGTAGCTCCAAGTAGGGATTGCCTCTCACTGCCAAAAAGCCCCAACCCCTCAGCCACATATGTAGGTACCCAAACAGTCCTTGTACCCTAAATCCTTTTCTCCTTTCATGCTTATCTCCCTCTTCCTCTGATCCTGTAGGTTTTGCCTTGAAGCTTCAGAGTAGTTTGAACTCAGTTTTTCCTACAGGTTGGTTTTATTTACCTCCTCACTGCCTGCCTGTGATCCCTGCATGTCCCTCATACAAGTCTTAGCCCCTCTCCAGCCAACCCGTACTTCCAACTGGCCTTGATAAGATTTGAATTCCTCATTATACTTTTCCCTATCTTCATTTTGTGTGTGTGTGAAAGCTATATTGCCATAAAAGTCTGCAGGAATTTGACCATCAGCTCACATCTCTGTTTTCTATTTTCTCAGAACTCTCCCACCTTTAATATGATAATAGTAATAAGTACTGTTTATTGAGGGTTTACTATGTGCCGAATATTGTGATGCCAAGATGGTTGTCCTATCACCCGCTTACTGTTACCACATCAATCACATCTCTAAGGACTTACATCTCTAATCCTTGTACCATTCCTGAAGGGTGGCTATATCAGTTGTTGAGATGGAGAAAGAAGAAACTGACTGTACGATTGTTTAAATAACTTGCCAAGAGTGTCTGACTCCAAAGCCAATGCTATTTCCAAAGCAAATGTAACGCTGTCTTGCTACATTTCAGCATATGTAGATCTAGATCAATTTTTTGTTGTTTTATGTCAGCATTCATTTTGTTTCAGAAACAATATCATAGTACCAGTAAGAAAACCCACACTTTAAAGACATATCAACTTACTGTTTTTCTTATTTACTCTTCTACTCTTTGTTTATATTCATACATATTTTAAAGAGTATGATTCTAATGTAGATTTAGTCTTTATTCTAAAAATAACAACTCTGTAAGCTTTTTCTTTGTTGTCCTCCTCCTTTCTGTCATTTTAATGGCTGCATAATTTCCATCAGATTGGTTTAATCATAGTTTTATTTTTTTGTTTTTTGGGTTTTTTGTTTTTGTTTTCTATGATGGAGTTTCTTTCTTGTTGCCCAGGCTGGAGTGCAATGACACAATCTCGGCCCACTGCAACCTCCGCCTCCCGAGTTCAAGCGATTCTCCTGCCTCAGTCTCCCAAGTAGCTGGGATTACAGGAACCCGCCACCAGGTCCAGCTAATTTTTGTATTTTTAGTAGAGACAGGGTTTCACCATGTTGGCCAAGCTGGTCTTGAACTCCTGACCTCAGGTGATTCGCCTGCCTCAGCCTCCCAAAATGCTGGGATTACAGGCATGAGCCACCACACCCAGCCAGTTTATCATATTTTTAAATAAGTTTTTGCTACTGTAAAACATTTAGATTATTTCCATTTTATACTGAGATAAATTATGTTATAGTAATGATATTTATGCACTTTAAAAAGATTAATGGTTAATATGTTGGCTTTTAAATAACTTTTTAATTGTGGAAATATTGAAATATTCTCAAGAGACTGGAAGGAAACTATATGTACCTGTAACTCAGTTTCAACAATGATCAACATTTTCCCATCTTGTTTCATTGAATCCCCTACTTTTTTTTGAAAACATTAAAGAAAATTTCAAATTTCTTGAAATTTCACTTTTAAATACTTCAGAATAGACTTGTAATGGATAAGGACTTTCTCCTAAAGTCATCTCATACTCTGTGATCTCCCTGTACTCTCTAGGTTCAAATTTCCTGATCATCACTAGACCTTTTTCACATTTGGTTTGTGTAAATTAGGATCTAAATATGGTCCACACATTGCAGTCAGCTGTTATGTCATTAAAGTTTCATTCATTCTAAAGAGCACACACACACCCACACACACTTTTTTTAATGCCATGACTGGTGGAAGAAACCATATCATAAGTCTTGCAGAATGTTCCACATTCTGAGGTTGATTTTTCCTCAAGGTATTGTTTAACTTGTTTCTCTAGCTACTGTATTTTATTAATAATTGGTAGTTAGATGTTGTCTTGGTCCATTTTGTGTTACTGCAAAGGAATACTTGAGGCTGGGTAATTGATAAAGAAAATAGATTCACTTAGCTCACAGTTCTGCTGGCTGGAGTCTTCAAGATTAGGCATGTGGTGAGGGCCTCGGGCTGCTGCCACTCATGGCTGAAGGGAAAGGGCAGCTGGCCTGTGTAGAGATCACATGGTGAGAGAGGAAGCAACAGAGCCAGACTCTTTTTAACGATCAGTTCTTGCAGGAACTAATAGAGTGAGAATTCACTATTCCTTGGACCCAGGGAGGGCATTAATTTATTCATAAGGGTTCCACCCCAATGACCCAAACCCCTCCCATTGAGCCCCACCTCCAACACTGGGTATCAAATTTCAACATGAGATTTGGTGGGGCCAAACAAATCATATCTGAACTATAGCAGATATAAAAGGCTTAACAGGATTGTGCTCAATTTTAAAGAAAGAATACTTCGTAAGTAGGATCCTTTTCATTTTGGGATCAAATTTAGTATTCTTCTCAGAACACTTTACCAGATCATAAGCTTCTTTCCTGTTCTGCAAGAAAGCCTCTTTTATAGGGAATTTCCTCAAACTAAAAGCCCATTTTTTTGTTAGATACATGTAACTGGATCCCTACTGATATAAGCTTCTGCTCTTGGATCCTGGACCCACTGTTAACATTAACCAATTTTCTTCTAGCCACATCAACCTTAACAGAAGACTAGGAATTGCCAGAAATAATTTTGAAAGCTGTTGGAGGCCCAAGAAAAAAAACCTGGATTTGGAAGAGGAATAATTGAGATTGAGGAAGGATGCCTCAACCTTAGACAGTGAATATTCTGGTTCATAGGCTGAGTTCAAATGGATGGGACATGGCCAATTTGTTGCTGCCCTTACAGGTCAGTGAAGGGCTAAGATACACATCTGTTTTCTGTCTCTATACTCTTTGAGCTTGCGGTAGTTTAAGTGAGGGTTCTCTGGGAGTGTTAATGTGGACAGCCATTATAAAGCAGTAAGCTCTGATGAGTCTTGTTCCTCATAACGATTCCTTGGGCACAGTATGGGAGCCATGGCTGGAGCAGGGGACTAGCGAGTTTTCCTATCTCCCCACAACACATTCCTCAGTGTATTTTAGATGTGGTGTTTGAGGCATCTCTTCAGGGCCACATAATGCCAAGAGTCCTACAAAATGGAGCAAAGGAATATCCAAGATGTGAGACTCCTAGAATTGTCCAGGAATAAGGAGAGGGAGAGTGATTCTTCTCTTTTCTTTCTGGTCTCAGGAAAGTGAAAAGCATGTATGGCTTCTGCTTTAAGTAACTGGGCAAAGTTACACCTCCCATATCCTGGTTTGCCTGGCCATTCCAACCCACTGCATCTTCACACAGTACTGGTAAACTCCTAGCACTACTGGCCAAGAAGACATGGGTCCCCTTCTTCTCTGTCGTCCCTGAAATTGGAAATGCTACATCAAGGTGCTACTACACTTTTCAAACGTATGCCAGAGGCAGTTACAGTATTGTGTTAATAGGAACATGGATGGAGATGGCTCATGACAATAGCTTCAGAGAGAGAAGGGCTCTGAAGTGCTTTATTTAACAAAGTGGCCTTTCTTTTGGAACAAATTCAAGTATGAATTTTTCTCTTTTATCTTATTAGGCTCTGGAACGGAAACTTTGAATTTTGACTTTAAGCTGTAGGAATATAAAGACTTTGCTCATTCTTTTAACATCTGGTTACTCATTTGTTTTATTCATCATCATTGTATGGTATAGGGAACATCACTGGAAGGTCAGCCACAGAAATTGAGAATCTGAAAATGCAAAAAAAGACTCAACATTAGGTTATCTAATTCTATGAGTCCTTGTTTAAAATTATTTATGGCAACTTGATCTTTGCCCAGTTTAAGCTTAAGTATTAACCATTTTTTCTTCTTTATTTCTCTTATAAAATAGGTGTGCCATTTATTAACTTTTGCTTAGAATCCTTGTTACTCTTCTGTATTTTCCTGATTGTCCCCACATATGTCTCTTTGGATATAGTAAACAATTCTTTTTCTTTCTTATTTAACCTTTAAAATACGTATAGGTTTTAAAATTGACACTCTGGTAAACTATACTATTTTTAGCATTTGTTTTTGGCCATTTGAGTATTGACCCTTTTTTGATAGTTCTATAATGTGTATGTAGTGAGTGTAGGTAATGTGTGTGCAAGGAGTAATGTGAGTGCAATGAGTAATGTGTTACTAGTTTTCATACTAATGTGTTATATAGTGTTAAGTATTAGTATTAACTAATATTAGTGTTAGTATACTGATAGAGCATTAGTAAACTATCATAAATGAGGAGAGAGAAGAGTATCATATTTCTTTTGGTTTTGGACAAGTCATATAAGGAAAAGAGTGAAATTGAAAGGAGAATATTGCTTTAGGTTTCAGTTTATACCAATAATTAGTTTTAAAAATCCTTTAGGCTGGGCGTGGTGGCTTACACCTCTAATACCAGCACTTTGGGAGGCTGAGATGGGCGCATCATGAGGTCAGGAGTTCGAGACCAGCCTGATCAACATGGGGAAAACGCTATCTCTACTAAAAATACAAAAATTAGCCAGGCATGGTGGCAAGCACCTGTAATCCCAGCTACTCAGGAGGCTGAGGCAGGAGAATCACTTGAATCCGGGAGGCAGAGGTTGAAGTGAGCCGAGATTGCACCACTGTACTCCAGCCTGGACGACAGAGTGAGACTCCATCTCAAAAAAAAAAAAATATATATCCTTTAAATGTTCTTGCTCAGTATTTCTTAGGGGTAGCAAGACGTAGGCTAGAAAGTGTAGTGTTTTATTAAACTTTAGTAATTTGTCAGTTAAGCATACCCAATAGAAGAGAATAATAGTAATATCATGACTCTTAGAGTCAATCATAGTATTTCAGGCTAAAAAAGCACCAAAGAAATCACACTATTTGATACTCTTACCTCATACATGACTAAACTGAAGCTCCTGAGTTTTTCTAGATCAAATGGCTATTTAGTTGCTGAATCTAGTTAAGTTTTCTCCCCGATCTCTATGATTTGTTAAATGTAATCAACATTGAGTAGGAGTGACACAATTTACCTTAGGAACTATTAAACCAATTTTCCTTTACATTTTTTAACCTTATGTCATGGATTATTTCTCATTTTGTAATAAATCTTAGTTTGATCTTCCACATGGGTGCTTAATACTATTATTGTGTAAATACTGAAAAATCGACGTGTGAAGACCCTACAGTACAATGCCAGGCTATGAATCCTTTCACTGTGCATTCTGAAACATGCATTCTGAAATGCACAGCAAAAGGTGACTAGCTCCATTGTGTTGTTTTATCTGAATTTTCATCGGTATCTAGTGTATGTGTGTGTGTGTGTGTGTGCGCGTGTGTGTGTGTTTACCAGTACAAGGAACACACAGAGGATTCAAATAGTAAATGAAGAAGGCTGGTTATTATTTCCAAGATCAGTCAAAAGCCTTTGTCCTCAGACTCTTCAAACGGAAAACAGAAACAAGTTGGCTCCTAAAACTGAGGATCAGTTTCTGACTTGAGATCTGTATGGACATAGCTCTTTGCTAGAAGAGGAAAGGATACTTTCCTCTCTTCTGTGTGCTTATCTTTCTCCTTTCCGTGTTTTCCATTTATTGAATTCTCATCTTCTGGAGCTTTACTTTTGGAAAGAAACTTGTGTAATTCATGGACACCATTTTTTCTTTGTCTTGTCATGCTAATTTGCTGCATCCTAGTCTTTCCCTGTGAATATGTACAGTTTACAAGCTGGGTCATTGGTATGTGCTACCTAGCATATCCACTTCCTCAGTCCATATTCACTTCCTCCTGTTGCATAGGCCATTTTGGCTTTTAAGCAAACAAGGGAGTACATTTCTGTGTATATGGATGAAGTCAAAATAAAAAAGCTTGACTATCAGACATGAATCAAATGTGCTGTACAGACTAATCCATTATTTGAGTATATCTGGGACTACGTGTATTAATCTTAATCATGTTTACTCTTTTAAAATATCAACAGTTAAAAATTGCACATCTTCTTATTAAACATGGCTTTGGAGCTGAGATGTAATCTCCTAAATGAAGGAATAAAAATAAGAGCAGGATGAGCCAGCTAACCATTTTTCTTCCTAAAAACTTGAAATAAATGGAGATCAGGAATGTTAGACATCGTTCAATAAATCAGAGGTCTTATGACATTTCTAATATTTTATTAACAAAATTTTGATTTGATTTATCTATTTAAAATAACTAGCAAGGTATTCTCTAAGTGCTGAAACATAAATTACAAACACGAAGCCTTGATTTATGTTAATAGTGGATAATATGTGAGACATGGCAAGTGATCACAGATTTTGTAATATTCCCTGAGTTGGGGCTTGGAATCAGAGAAAATTACTGAAGAAAGTGCTGCCTTAGTCTCCATTTGTTAATGTATAGATGATGGCTGTCTTCTAAGAAATGATATAATCTTGATGATGTGAACTTTCACTCCATTCCAGATACTTTCAGATTTTAGTGACAGTTCTGGGTGCTTTCATGTCTCCAGGATGGATGAAAAACAGTCAGTTCTCTAGAAGGATAGCATAAAAGTTTTTTTTTTAAAAAAAGAGAGGGTTTGCCTATGTAAATATTGGATCTCACTGATCTCTTCCAGTAATGTTTTCATTTTTTCCATCTCTTGGACCCTAAATGACACCTACAGCCAATTCCCAGTTCTATGTCAATCCAAAATATTCCTTTTCTATTCTTTACCTGGGCTGCTGAGCTTTACTGGAGAGAAATCACATGGTTATGCAACTTGGCACCACTCCACATTTTTATTTTCCAGCCTCAGGAACTTTGGTTTGGTTTGCTTCATTCACCTACCTCCCTGTTCTCTGCATGGCTGTCTCCTTCTGATCCTTTGAGTCTCACCTTAAATGTATATAACTGCCTCAGGGAACCCTCCTTGGATCTCCCTATGTAAGCAGGTTCCCCCTCATTCAGTGCCCTGTTCGTTTATTTCATGACACTTTGCACTCTTTCTAATTGTTTACTCAATGCTTGCCTGACTTATTGTTTGTCTCCGTAACTAATTTCTTGTGCATAGGGATACATCTGCTTGATTAGTTACTATAGTACTGTGCTTTCTGGCACACAGTAAGCACTCAGGAAAAATTTTTTATATAAACAAATAAATTGTGAGATTGCATTTGAGAAAGAAAAACATTCCCTTATTTTTTAAAAAAAGTATTAAAAACACTACTGCAAGTCAATGTTGCCATAAGCCCAAGATATATTCTTACAGATGGCAGATTGCATTACCTTCAACTTATGTGTGGTTAAACAGTTAAACAGACTCTTGTGTTCTGAATTATGAACTCGTAGCAGTTGGTGATCATTTATAATAGTGGTTTGCGGCCGGGCGCGGTGGCTCACACTTGTAATTCCAGTACTTTGGGAGGCCGAGGTGGGTGGATCATGAGGTCAGAAGATGGAGACCATCTTGTCTAACATGGTGAAACCCCGTCTCTACTAAAAATACAAAAAATTAGCCGGGCATGGTGGCACGTGCCTGTAGTCCCAGCTACTTGGGAGGCTGAGGCAGGAGAATCGCTTGAACCCAAAAGTCAGAGGTTGCAGTGAGCTGAGATTGCGCCGTTGCATTTCAGACTGGGCGACAGAGCGAGACTCTGTCTCAAAACAAAGCAAAGCAAAGCAAAGCAAAACAAAACAAAACAAAAACAAACCAAAAAAACAGTGGTTTGCAACTTCTTTTTGTCTGCAGGTAACACACAGGCCAATGCTCTGTTGACATGTTCCACCTCAGCACACCCAGGGTCGCGTATGACTGTTCCTGCGCCTCTTTCTTCTCTACTCAATAAATATTGTGATGCAAGTGAATGAGTGAGTGTCTGTAAGGCTACTGGACAGATAACTGTAAGTCTGTTCTAATTTATATTAAAAATGAAAAGATAAAATACTTACAATTTTGGGGGTTTTATTAGTAGTAATAAATTACTTGCTACACACTTCACTGCTCATCAGGATACATCAGTGTCATGATGTGGATATATTTTTTCTTTTTTTAACTTTTATTTTAAGTTCAGAGATACATGTGAAAGTTTGTTACATAGGTAAACTTGTGTCATAGGAGTTCGCTGTACAGATTATTTAATCTCCCAGGTATTAAGCCCAGTACCCAATAGTTATCTTTTCTGCTCCTCTCCCTCCTCCCACGCTCCCATCAAGTAGAACCTAGTGTCTGTCATTTCCTTCTGTGTGTTCGTAAGTTCTCATCATTTAGCTCCCACTTGTAAGTGACAATGTGATATTTAGTTTTCTGTTCCTGCATTAGTTTGCTAAGGATAATGCCCTCCAGCTCCATCCATTTTCCCACAAAAGACATGATCTCATTCTTTTTTATGGCTGCATAGTATTCCATGGTGTGTATGTACCATATTTTCTTTATCCAATCTGCCACTGATGAGCATTTAGGTTGATTCCATGTCTTTGCTATTGTGAATAGTGCCTCAATAAACATCTGCATGCGTGTGTCTCTATGGTAGAATGATTTATATTCCTGAGGGTATGTACACAGAAATGGAATTTTTGGGTCAAATGGTAGTTCTGCTTTTAGCTCTTTGAGGAAATATCATACTGCTTTTCCATAATGGTTGAACTAATTTACACTCCTACCAACAGTGTATAAGTGTTCCTTTTTCTCTGCAACCTTGCCAGTATCTGTTATGTTTTGACTTTTTAATAATAGCCATTGTGACTGGTGTGAGATGGTATCTCATTGTGGTTTTAATTTGCCTTTCTCTAATGACCAGTGATATTGAGCTTTTTTTCATATGCTTGTTGGCTGCATGTATGTCTTCTTTTGAAAGTGTCTGTTTATGTCCTTTGCCTACTTTTTAATGGGGTTGTTTGTTTTTTCCTGTAAATTTAAGTTCCTTATAGATGCTGCATATTAGGCCTTTGTCAGATGCATAGTTTGCAAATACTTTCTCCCATTTGGTAGGTTGTCTGTTTACTCTGTTGATAGTTTCTTTTGCTGTGCAGAAGCTCTTTCATTTAATTAGGTCCCATTTGTCAATTTTTGCTTTTGTTGTGATTGCTTTTGGTGTCTTTGTCATGAAATCTTTGCCTGTTTCTATGTCCAGGATGGTATTGCCTAGGTTGTCTTGCAGGATTTTTATTGTTTTGGATTTTACATTTAAGTCTTGAATCCATCTTGAGTTTATTTTTGTGTATGGTCTAAGGAAGGGGTCCAGTTTTAATCTTCTGTATCCCAGCACCATTTATTGAATAGGGAGTCTTTTTCCCATTGCTTGTTTTTGTCAGCTTTGTCAAAGATCAGATAGCCATAGGTGTGTGGCCAAATCCTACTATGCTTTTTCCTATGCATATGTGCATATGATAAAGTTTAACTTACAAATTAGGCACAGTGAGAGATTAACAACAATAACTAATAATAAAATAAAACAATTATACCAATATGCCACCATCACCACTCTTGCACTTTGGTGTCATTATAAAGCACAGTAAGGGTAACTTGAACACAAACAAGCACTGTGACACTATGACCGGCAATATGATAACTCCTAGGTACTAAGTGGCTAACAAGCAAGTAGTGTCTAGGGTGTGGACAAGTTGGACAAAAGGATGATTCATGTCCAGGGCAGGACAGAATGGGATGTCATGAGATTTCATCATATTACTCAGAACGGTGCATATTTGAAACTTATGAATTGTTTATTTTTAGAATTTTTTCATTTAATATTTTCAGACCACAGTTGATTGTGGGTAGCTAAAACGGGGGGAAGCAAAACCATGAATAAGAGGGGATGGCTATATTCTCTTCCTGACACATGCAAATAAACATATGCCATACACATTTTTTTATTATACTTTAAGTTCTAGGGTACATGTGTACAACGTGCAGGTTTGTTACATAAGTATACATGTGCCATGTTGGTGTGCTGCACCCATTAACTCGTCATTTACATTAGGTATATCTCCTAATGCTATCCCTCCCCGCTCCCCACCACCCCACGACAGGCCCTGGTATATGTGATGTTCCCCTTCCTGTGTCCAAGTGTTCTCATTGTTCAATTCCCACCTATGAGTGAGAACATGCAGTGTTTGGTTTTCCGTCCTTGCGATAGTTTGCTGAGAATGATGGTTTCCAGCTTCATCCATGTCCCTACAAAGGACATGAACTCATCATGTTTTATGGCTGCATAGTGTTCCATGGTGTATATGTGCCACATTTTGTTAATCCAGTCTATCATTGATGGACATTTGGGTTGGTTCCAAGTCTTTGCTATTGTGAATAGTGCCGCAATAAACATACATGTGCATGTGTCTTTATAGCAGCATGATTTATAATCCTTTGGGTATATACCCAGTAACGGGATGGCTGGGTCAAATGGTATTTCTAGTTCTAGATCCCTGAGGAATCGCCACACTGTCTTACACAAGGGTTGAACTAGTTTACAGTCCCACCAACAGTGTAAAAGTGTTCCTATTTCTCCACATCCTCTCCAGCACCTGTTGTTTCCTGACTTTTTAATGATCGCCATTGTAACTGGTGTGAGATGGTATCTCATTGTGGTTTTGATATGCATTTCTCTGATGGCCAGCGATAATGAGCGTTTTTTCTTGTGTCTGTTGGCTGCATAAATGTCTTCTTTTGAGAAGTGTCTGTTCATATCCTTTGCCCACTTTTTGATGGGGTTGTTTGATTTTTTCTTGTATATTTGTTTACGTTCTTTGTAGATTCTGGATATTAGCCCTTTGTCAGATGGGTAGATTGTGAAAATTGTCTCCCATTTTGTAGGTTGCCTGTTCACTCTGATGGTAGTTTCTTTTGCTGTGCAGAAGCTCTTTAGTTTAATTAGATCCCATTTGTCAATTTTGGCTTTTGTTGCCATTGCTTTTGGTGTTTTAGACATGAAGCCCTTGCCCATGCCTATGTCCTGAATGGTATTGCCTAGGTTTTCTTCTAGGGTTTTTATGGTTTTAGGTCTAACATTTAAGTCTTTAATCCATCTTGAATTAATTTTTATATAAGGTGTAAGGAAGGGATCCAGTTTCAGCTTTCTACATATGGCTAGCCAGTTTTCCCAGCACCATTTATTAAATAGGGAATCCTTTCCTCATTTCTTGTTTTTGTCAGGTTTGTCAAAGAGCAGATGGTTGTAGATGCCACACACATTTTAGGATCGTTTTTATCGTGTAACAAACCATCAGTATTACCCTATGTTATTTTAGTGTTTGAAAACACTTATAATATGTATGTAATTTTTATCATATGAATATACTTGAACATGACCAGATTATTGAATGTTTGTTTCCCTTTTCTTCTCTTAAAAATGATACTTAAAAATGATTTTTAGTGCACATGAACTTGGGGCAATTTTCATACTTTTATGAGTTGATCATAAGAAAGAATGTATAATGTGAATATTCATGAATTTCCTCTTTTTATTACGTTTTTTAAATTCAAAAGCAACACATTTAAACTCTACTGAAATCTCTAAAACTGAAAATGAAAATCTCCCTCTGTTCTGGTAGGTTTACTTCCCCAAGGAAAATAAAATATTGTGAGGTCTGTGGCTTTAACCTGTGCATGTGCATCAGAAATTATTAGGAGTGCTTCTAGCAACTGTGTAAAAATGCAGCTTCAACCCTGAGCTATTCATAAGTGTTTAAAGTTCCAGTGAATTCTCAGGAAGAATATTAGAGGCCCATTATCTTTTGATTTGTTGCTGGGGTGGTATTGCTTAGGTGTTTCCTGTAGTTGTGGTGGACTTTTTTTTTTTTAAGAATTTTGCTGCTCCTTTGTCACTTAGGAGTCAGTTTCATTACTAGGTAATAGGCATCAACACCAGGGAAAAAGGACCCTTGATTGTCCCTGCCTTTCAGAAGAGATAATTCATCCTGTTCTCAGGACGTTGAGCCCTGTTGGGCAAAGCCCTGGCACTATAGTCCTCTGACACTGTTGTTCACCGTGAGGCAGCATCAGGGAAACATCTTGGCACCCCTGACTCCCAAAAGCCACAAGCCGCAGTGACTGGACGTTGTGAGCTCACTGTTGATGTAAGGGCTTACTACTACTAGGGAATAGGATGTGGAGAGTAGTGTCTCTGGAGTTAGGGCTGGGCTTAAATCCTGAATTTCTTTCTTTCTTTTTTTTTTTTTTTGAGATGGAGTCTCGCTCTGTCACCCAGGCTGGAGTGCAGTGGCACGATCTTGGATCACTGCAACCTCCTCCTCCCAGGTTCAAGCGATTCTCCTGCCTCATCCTCCCGAGTAGCTGGGATAACAGGTGCACATTACCACACCCGCCTAATTTTTTGTATTTTTAGTAGAGACAGAGTTTCACTATGTTGGCCAGACTGGTTGCCCACCTCGGCCTCCCAAAGAACTGGGATTAGAGGCGTGAGCCACCGGGCCTGGCCAAATCCTGAATTTCATACCTACTAGGAACTCTTTGACTTTAAACAAGTAACGGAGCCCCCTGAGCCTAGCTTTTTTTAACTGTAAAATGAGATTTTTTTACAGGCTATTGTATAATTTGAATGAAAGTGAAAATGTCTGATACAGTGCCTGGCACATACTGCAGCATTTGATAAAAGTTTGTTAAATGAAGAGATGGATGAATCACCTACCTAGCTGGCTGAACATGTTATTTTCAAAACAGGAGGTGTGGCCATTTGTGATAGAAAGAATACTAAATATAAATGAATTAAATGGCAACTTCATTTCTTCCTCAAGGTTGTAGGTAACAGAAACCAACTCTAGCTAGCTAACATAAAAGGAATTTATTGACAGGACACTCAAGTTTTGAAACCTAAGTTAAAACAATCAGTCCTTGGATGACCAAGCTTAGACAGCTCCAGGGACCTAGAAGCAGAAAGTAATGTACCTTTCCCTTTTTTTTTCCCCAGAGACAGGTCTTGTTCTGTTGCTGAGGCTGAAGTATAGTGGCATGATTATAGCTCATTGTAACCTTGAACTCCCGGGCTCAAGTGATCCTCCCACCTCAGCCTCCTGAGTAGTTGGGATTACACATGTGCACTATCACACCTGGCTATTTTTTTTTAAAAGATGGGGTGTCACTCTGTTGCTCAGGCTGGTCTTGAATTCCTGGCCTCAAGTAATCCTCTTGCCTCGGCCTCCCAAAGCACTGAAATTTATAGGCATGAGCCACCACACCCAGCTGGACCTTTTCTCTGGAACGTTGATATCTTTGTTTCTCATCTTTAGTGACCTGCCATTAGATGGATCTGCTCTGGCCAGGAAGGCAGGGTCATGTAGTACAAATGTGGCAGCGGGTGGCCCCTCCTCTATGTCAGGGGCAATTCACAGGACAAAGGGCATGTTGGGAGCTGATAAAATTGTAAGGCTTTATTGAGGCCTAATTAACATACAATAAGCTACACATATTTAGAGTCTACAATTTGTTACATTTTACACATGTGTTCACACCCAGGAAACCATCATCATGATGAAGATAATGAATATGCCATCATCCCTGACAGCTTCCTTGTGTTCCTTTGTATTCCCTCCCTCTCAACCCTCTACAGCCGTTCTGCCTATCCCAAGGCATCTGCTGATTTGCTTCTATCACTGTCAATTCATTTGTATTTTCTAGCATGTTATATAAATGAAATCATACAATAGGTACCCATTCTTGTCTGACTTTTTTCACTCAGCATAATTATTTTGAGAGTCAACCATGTTGTAGTATGTCTCAGTACTTCATTCCTTTTAATGGTTTAATAATATTCCATTGTATGGCTATGCCACAATTTGTTTATTCTATCTATTTACTTGCAGATGGACATTTGGATTGTTTCTAGTTTGGGGCTATTACCAATAAAGCTGCTGTGAATCTTCATATACAACTTTTTTTTTCTTTTGACATACGTTTTCATTTCTCTTGGATAAAAACCTAGGGGCAGAATAACTAGGTCATGTTGTAGATGTAGTTTAACTTGTTCAGAAACTGCAAAGCAGTTTTCCAAAGTGGTTATACCATTTTATATTTCCACCAGCAATGTATGAGAGCTCCAGTTGTTCCATATCCTCACCCATACTTGGTATGCATGCAGAATTTATTTTTTATTTGATTTTATTATTATTTTTTGAGATGGGCTCTCACTCTGTCACCCATGCTGGAGTGTAGTGGTGCGATCTCGGCTCACTGCAACCTCTGCCTCTTGGATTCAAGCAATTCTCCTGCCTCAGCCTCCTGAGTACCTGGGACTATAGGTGTGTGCCACCATGCCCGGGAAATTTTTTGTATTTTTAGTAGAAACGGGGTTTCACCCTGCTGCCAGGCTGGTCTGGAACTCCTGACTTTGTGATCCACCTGCCTCAGCCTCCCAAAGTGCTGGGATTACAGGTATGAGCCACTGTGCCCAGCCGCAGAATTTATTTTAAAAACTCTGAAAATTCAGTACTAAGAAGAGCAACAATCTAATGTTTAAAAATGGGTAAAAACGTTGAACAGATGATCCACCAAAAAAGATAAACTCACAGCAAATAAGAACATGAAAAGATACTCAAAATCCTTAGCCATCAGACAAATGAAAATTAAAATCCAATCACATGCTCATTCACATGGCTAAAATTTAAAAAAAGCTAGTAATTTTATATGATTATAATGCCCATTTTATAGATGAGAAAATTAAGCCCGATGTTAAGTAACTTGATCAAGGTAGAATTAGAATTTGAACCTAGGTGGGGTTAACCTTTATACTGTGCAAGCAATGGTCTTTTGAAAGAGGCTTAAAAAGCCAAAGTTGGAGACAGGGGAACTCATTTATTATTTAGGAATACAATTTCCACTTCCTCTCCTGATAGGTTAGGTTACCACCAGTCACAATGCATATTATGAAACTTCTATGCAAATTTTGGCATCTATTTTTCCCAACAGGGTAAAATTTATATTTTTCTGACATCTAGGTTTATCTAGATGCCTCTTGAGGGAAGTATTCAAAGCATGGAAAACCCACCAAGGCTTCATTGGCCCCCCAAAGATATAGATGTGTTTAACCATAAGGATTAGTAATTAAAGTTTTCTTGGATCAGACATCTGAGTTTTTACCACAGCTCTACTATTTCTTAACTATGTAACACCTGAGCAAATTACTAAACACTTTGAGCTTCGATTTCTTCATCTGCAAACTAGGAATACTGCTCCTGATCTCACAGTGTTTTAAGGGTTAGAGGCTGCATATAGTTTACCACAATGTCCTACACTTGATAAACTCAAAACATTGATGCTACCATTCACAAATACTTATATATAACCACACTGAGAACAGGTATGTTAAGCTTTGCATTCAGTACAAATCTTAAAACACTAATTCATTACTGGCTGATATCTTGCTTCCCTCTGAGGACTTGCTCTTTCCTTTAGAAAATGCTAATCTGAGGACAGATGATGGCATTTAATTCTGTAAGAATTATTAAGAAGTGAAATATTTATCCTTTAGTTGTAAGCGTTAGAAATATTCTTGGAAGGGAGTATCTATGACTGCTGTTGAGGCACGGCAGCTGAGTATCTGCATGGAGTTTTAGAGTTCAGTTGTCAGATATGCAGGAATCACATGGCATAAAGAAATCAAAGTCAACATAATAAAGAGCTCTACAGAGCGCTGTTATTCTGCTAAGATAACTAAAGCCCAGCTGCAGTTTTGCATGGCTCATAGACCTTATCAGGCACTCACACTTGGTACACTGCCTGTATCCTTTACTTGCTCTAACACCACCAGCTGTTTTTTCCGGGCCCCTGGAAGTGCTACTTCAGCTGCCAATGATGTATTTTTCTCTGTCCTATTAGTTTTTTTTTCTGAAATATGATCAATATTTTCAGTCAGTACTTGGGGACTATAGTGAAGTTTCCTCTAAGCCCTTAAATGTAAGATCATGAGGAGAGACAAGCCAATTTCTCTACTGGATGCCTCCAGCAACTTTCCCTCAAATAGTCCAGTAATGAGCTGGCCCTGCAGAGAGAGGCAAGAGTTCTACTGGTTGGCACTAATGCTGATATGCAAGCTTCTCAGAAGACTGGCACTGAGAGTAGAATAATTTTTTGCACTGGCAAGGCTGTGCCTTGTTTCAGACCAACTGGGTCAGATGATCTCTGTCAACTCCTAGTTACAAGTATATGAGGAGTCAGGGCATTGGAGGTCTCTCACCAGCAGCACAATTTAAATGGTCTCCAGCAGTGCCAGCTTAAAGAAGAGATCCTCACCTTAAAGCAGGGCATTGTGAGAGACTAGGGGGGCACCTCCATTCTGTTCCTCGAGCCCAAATGTGGACATATGTCTTCTTTGTGTGTCATTAGGGTGTTTGACCCTATCTCTTTTACAACAGAAAAACAATACTTGCTCTTTCATAATTTAACTTAAAAACAAGCACTTAACACTTTAGAGCAGTGATACCTAAATTTAACTCCAAGGCCTGTAAGACACCCATAAGCCATCCATCCATTCATTTTAAAAAATGTGGTAAAATACACATAACATAAAATATATCATCTTTGCTATTTTTAAGGGGACAATTCTTAAGAACATTCACATTGTTGTGCAACCATTACCATTCTTCACATTCAGAATGTTTTTCATCTTGCTAAACTGAAACTCTGTACCCATTAAACAATAACTCCCCATGCCCCCTTGTCTACAGACCCTGGCAATCATCATTATATTTTCTGTCTCTATGAATTTCACTTCCCGAGATACCTCATGTAAGTGGAGTCATACAGCATTTTTCTTCTTGTTCTATTTGTTCGTAAGGTACATGGATAGAATTAGAAGTTAGCCGGTGAACTTCCTAGTACCCTTGGCAAGGATACCCATGTTGAGAGTTGGTAGAATCCTGCTATTAATGTTGATGCCATTAAACATTTGCATGTCTGGCTCCCTTTATTCTGCTTTCATGTTCACAAAGCAACCTGCTGATTATGGTATGACTTCCTACAGTAGATAGAATTACTTTCCTCCCAAGCATCCATTCTGTCTTTATCTACAAGGGGTCTTCAAAAAAATTCATGGAAAATGTGTATTATGAAGAAACTGTGTGATGATTTCAGTTTCTTTTTTTGTACCAAAATAAACTCATACTAACTTGTTATAGTATGTCTGAAAAGGGTTTAGTTTGAGGCCCTAAGGATAAGATATCAGCTTGAAAAGAGCCACTATCAGAGCAACATAAATTCGCTAAAATTGAAGCAAGGCTAAACATTAATGTATCGTGAAACTAGGGTAGCAGAATGGTGAAATCACTGATGCTTTATGAAAAGTTTATGGGGACAATACACCAAAGAAATCAGCAGTTGACAAATGGATTACTCATTTTAAGAAGGGACAAGATGATGTTGAAGATGAGGCCTGCAGTGGCAAGCCATCCACTCCAATTTGTGAGCAAAAAATTAACCTTGTTCATGCCCTAATTGAAGAGGACTGATGATTAACAGCAGAAACAATAGCCAACAGCATAGACATCTCAATTGGTTCAGTTTTTATAATACTGACAGGAAAATAAAAGTTGAGCAAACTTTCCACTTGGTGGGTGCCAAGACCATTGTGCCCAGATAAGCTGCAGACAAGAGTAGAGTGTTCAATGGAATCAAGATCCTGAAGGATTTATTTGAAGACTTTTAACAGGAGATGAAACATAGCTTTACCAGTATGATCCTAAAGACAAAGCACAATCAAAGCAATGGCTACCAAGAGGTGGAAGTGGTCCAGTCAAAGCAAAAGCAGACCAGTCAAGAGCAAGAGTCACGGGAACAGTTTTTTGGAGATGCTCAAGGCATTTTGATTGTTGACTTTTTGGAGGAGCAAAGAACGATAACATCTGTTTATTGTGAAAGTGTTTTGAGAAAGCCAAGACTTTAGCAGAAAAATGCCTGGAAAAGCTTCACCAGAGTCCTTCACCACAACAATGCTCCTGCTCATTCCTCTCATCAAATAAGGGCAATCTGGGGAGAGTTTCATTGGGAAATCATTAGGCATCCACTTTATGGTCCTGACTTGGCTCCTTCTGACTTCTTTTTGTTTTCTAATCTCCAAAAAAATCTTTAAAGGGCATCCATTTTTCTTCAATTAATAATGTAAAAAAAAGAATACATTAGGCTGGGCACGATGGCTAGCACCTGTAATCCCAGCATTTTGGGAGTCTGAGGCAGGTGGATTGCTTGAGGTCAGGAGTTCAAGTCCAAGACCAGCCTGGCCAACATGGCAAAATCCCATCTCTACTAAAAGTACAAAAATTAGCTGGGTGTGATGGTATATTCCTGTAGTCCCAGCTACTCAGGAGGCTTAGGCAGGAGAATCACTTGAACCCTGGAGGTGGAGATTGCAGTGAGCTGATATCACACCACCGCACTCCAGCCTGGGTGACAGAGCGAGACTCCATCTCAAAAAAAAAAAAAAAAAAAAAAAAAAAAAAGACTATATTGACATGGTTAAATTTTCAGGACCCCAAGTTCTTTAGGGATGGACTAAATGGCTAGTGCATCATTGCCTACAAAAGTGTATTTGTATTGCCATCCCTTAACTCTGGAGATCCTCCATAAGCCAATTTTCATAAACCCATACTCTTTATCACAGTGATTGATTCAGAGATAGACATTGACCCAGGCCTAAACCAGTCCTCTGGCTATAGGGATTAGTTCGTGGACAGGTATTTTACTACAGAAGTCCGATCGAAGTGAGATTTAGGTCTTTATTTGTTGGTTGGGCAGAAAGAAGCCTTCCTTCTTTTACTGAAGTTAAATAAATAAAATGCATATTATCTTATTGCTGCTGATAACTATTTTGCAGCCATGGAAAGAAGTAGTTTAGGAAGATGCCAATACGATAAGAAATAAAGCTAATCTGTGGAAAGAAATTTAACCCTTGGTGATAGTTTTAAGCTGCTGGATCAAGTCTTGCCTGAAGCACTTTCTACCACATACCTTTTCAGTTATAAAGTAATTAAATTCTCTTTATTGTCTAAACAAATTTGAGCTGGGTTTTCTATTACTTGCTTTTAAGTACATTTTAACTGACTCTCCATGAAGAGTTGTCTATAGAGTCAGAAAACAATGGCTTTCAAAGGGGCCAGAATACAGAAAATCTATTTAATCCTTGTTTTCTATTGGACTTTATATATTCTGGCCCCTTTGATACTAATTTCTCATTGTGAAAAAAATATTGGTATTCTGATTTTACATATTAGTTTGTTTAGCTTGTATAATGTGAGATATGGATTCATTCTCAAGATCCTGACAAAAATCCAATTTCTGAGTTTGTCCTTTTGGGAACCATGATCTACTCTCAAGGCAATGAATATCATCCTGTGGAGGCATTCTGGGAGAAGACCTTGGTGAGCATACTGGTCTGCCTTGAAGGCTTTCCTAAAACTTGCATTTCCTTTTCTTCCCCTTGAGTTTCTAGAATCACTGGAAAGTCTTCTGTACATCAGTGAGTGCTCTCAAATAGTAGCCAGTGCTACCTTGTCTCTGACACTTGGCCTCACAATCATGGGAGCCTCCTCCTTAGGTGCTGCCACTTTTTCTGGCTAGCAAAAGGCAGCTGAGTTCTTCCTTCGAGGGTATGAGTTCTTTGTATGTGGTCATAGCAGAAGTGATATCATCTAGCATGATGCCTAGCATATAGTGCATTGACTCTGAATCTGAGGGGCCCCTCTTGTTCTGTCATTGGCAACCTGCAGAAGGTTGAAAGATCCCAAGTGCAGTGAAGGCTCAAACTTTTCCTGATCTTGCGTAGCCATTCTTTCGACTTATCCAGAGGCCTTTGGTGAGACCTCTCTTGTGGTATAGTTGTGTGTACTCAGTGTTTCCCTGTTCCTACTTCCCTTTAAAAAAATCTGTGCATCAGCTGGGCGTGGTGGCTCATGCCTGTAATCCCAGGACTTTGGGAGGCCGAGGCGGGTGGATCACCTGAGGTCAGGAGTTCAAGCCCAGGCTGGCCAACATGGCGAAATCCCATCTGTAGTAAAAATACAAAAAAAAAAAAAAAAAAAAAAATAGCTGAGCGTGGTGGCAGGCGCCTGTAGTCCCAGCTACTTGGGCGGCTGAGGCAGAAGAATCATTTGAACCCGCGAGCCGGAGGTTGTGGTGAGCCGAGATCATGCCATTGCACTCCAGCCTGGGCAACGGAGCGAGACTCTGTCTCAAAAAAAAAAAAAAAAAAAAAAAAAGAAAAAAAATTCTGTGTATCATTCCTCTTTCCTCTGCAGGCCCTGAGTAAAAATATGTTATACACAGAATAGGAACAACACATTAACAGTAGGGTTGTTCCCACATGGTGTACTTATGAAGCATTTCTTTCTAAAAGGACTCAATATTTTTTTAAAAAAGCAAAAGCAAACAAAAGATTGCAATTATACCGAAAACCTGAGTGTTTATTGTTTTTAATTTCACCCTAGAATTTTCAGGCTCCTTAATTGCAGGGAAAGTCATAGATGAAATTTTGTTCAGCTATCCCTTGGGAAATGTTCATGGACATGCATTCCATCAATTGTGGCTAAATGCAGAACTATTTGCCCTGTCAGCATCAAGATGTACTTGGGATTCCAGCCCATAAACATTTAAATGCAGTCATTCTAAACCTATCGTGGCCCTGACTTATATTTTCTCATGTTCAGTGATGGGACCATTTATTAACAAAGCATGCTGTCTGTGTGAACCAGTTGAATGGAGTGCCCTGAAAATCTTTAATAAATTATAGGTGAATTTATGGGTTCTGCTCAGGGCCAGGGTAGGTTGGCTGAGTTGAAATGAAATGAGACTTATTTATCTGGAAGGTCCAGTGGATCCTAGGTATTAGAGGAAGAAGGTTCATGAGTGGAAGCTACTTTTTTTTTAACCTTATAGACTGCTTGCTCTCCATAGACAACTGTTTCTAGTATTGAATAATCCCATCACATTAAAGTGACATGTTGTCTAATTGGTCACTTAGGAAAACTTCCTCAGTGTAACTCAATTTACTATCGGCAAAATCATAGCAGTGAGAGAACTCTCAAAGCCAACCCCACACTTGAAACAGGAAAGCATCAAAGCAGTCCAAAATAGATGGGCTGCCTTTATCTGCTTAGTACCTCTAAGAACATATTCCACATCTTGTGAGCTAGTGTTTCTCAGCATTTTCCACCTCCTCTGCTCTTATTAGGAGGAGAAGATGATTGTAGATGAAATGTCAGAGCTTCTGCTGAGCTTGGCCACTTTTAGGATGTTGTCGGTTTATCAATCCATTGTGACTTTTTGTACTCATAAATAAACCTTTTGTGAGCTGTATTCACGAAAAAATGTGAAGATGAGTAAGAGTGAGATTCTAAATTAAAGAGCAGTGTTTCCTTACGTTGGGGCCAAAGTGTTAGCAGAAGCGGTGGTGTTTGGAAATTACTGCTGACTAACCGGGGTTCTTAATGGAAAGTTCATAAACCCTGAAGGTTATGTATAAGGAATATTGTATACCGAAGGGGAAAGAACAGTTCCACCTCCCACTAAAAGCAGTTATGCAGACCTAATTCGTAACTGAATGATGATGATGTGCATTGTACCTCTCCTTCCTTTGACGTGGAATTTCTCTTCCAGCTCTCTCTTTGGTATGGTTGATTCCTAACCTGAATATAAGTTGTCAGCCTTTAGTGAACTTGTGTGTTCTGTGGCTGCTGCTGAAGCTGGGTATATAACTAGTCATACCATTTGGCTAATGACTAACATTTCTGAAGAAAAACAAAAAACCATTTTATAAAAAAAAGTCCATCTTTTATTTTCCTCTTCCAGAAGATGACTGAGATGGCTAAAATTTATATGTTGTTTGTGCACTAGAAGAGCTTCTGGTAGACAGTGCAAAGGATGAGGAAAGACAGTAAAGAAGAAAAGATAATGAGCAAACTTCTCTTTGTTGGCAAAAACAATATTGCCGCTTTGCTGCTTCAAAAGGCTTGTGTGAAGATTCCATTTACCTAGAAGCCCGTGTGCTTTCTGAAGGTCCTACTCTGTGTGAAGTTAAAAGCCAGCAAAAGCGCAGTCTCCAATGCATCGGATGGGATTGTCTCTCTTTCCTGTGGAGTCAAGTTATGAAATGAACCTGGACATTTGTCAAAGGTTTACACTCAAAGCAATTGATGCAAGGGTGCAGCATTGCTTTTAAGAGACTGCTGAGACTATGTCACACAGGGAATGGCCTCCTTATAGAAGTGCTAGAAAGTCATTTTCAAAGAGATGAAGGTTCACAGTGGCCCTTCTTCCTAGAATGCCCTTCCCTTACTTGGCCAACTGCAAAAGCCTAATCACCTTTTAGGAAACGTCAAGTGTTTTTGACCTCTCATTCCTGTGTAGAACTGTCCCTCCTCTGTACCCTTAATATTTACTACTTAGTTTATTAATTTCTTGCCTGTTAATAACACTTTTCACGGTAAAACAAATATCTATTGCTTTACTATAAGTCAGGAATTGTGTTAGGTGCTTTAAGGGTAAACTCTCTTATAACCAGCCTAGCATTGTCTCCATTTTACAGATAAGGAAATAAGGTAAAAGTATGAATAAATAATTAGTATCCAGCATAGAGCAAAATGCAAAATAAATTATTAGAAGTAATTAATATTGTGTGTTTATATATTGACCTAATGTCTCTTTGAGGTAAGAACAGAGGCCTATTCATCTGTGTAGTCCCAGCACTGACACAGTGCCTAAGGTCTAATAGCTGCTTGATATATCTCGGTGAAAGGTGCAATTGATTGACCAGTTTGTCTGAATCTTCCTAAGAGTTTAGAGTAGAGCAAAAGTGATTCAGATTAGATAGACAGCAGAGCTTTAGGCTGGGTGAGGTGGCTCACACCTGAAATCCCAGAACTTTGGAAGACCAAGCCTAGAGGATTGCTTGAGTTCAGCCTTGGCAACATAGCAAGACTCCATCTCTACAAAAAATTTAAAAAATTCCAGGCGTGGTGGAAGGCACCTGTAGTCCTAGCTACTCGGGAGGCTGATGCAGGAGGATCACTTGAGCCCAGGAGTTGGAAGTTGCAGTGAGCTATGATGACATACTGCAGCCTGGGTGACAGAGCAAGACCTAGTTTCTAAGAAAAAAAAAAAGTAGACCTTTATATATCTTATAAAGTATTTTTCTAATCATAAACATAATAGAAGTCCATTAGAGAAAATTAGGATAATACAGAATATATACTTTTCATAGTCATCTATCACCCTGAGATAATAATTTTCCTTTCAATCTTTTCTGTGTGCATTTTTACTCTGAGATCATAATATATATGCAGCTTTTATTTTGCTTTTGTGCAACTTCAATATTAGGAATATTTTCCCATACCATCAGAAACTTTGTGTCAACTTTAGTTCTAATTTGGTATATATGTAAATATATTCATTAGGTAAATTTACTTATTCTTTCCCTCTATGTTGAATATTTAGGAAGATTATAATTTTTCACATAAGTAACACTGTAATGAACATTTTGGGCCATATAAAGTCTTTGTGCACATCTTTGATAATAACTATTGGTATAGGAATTCCTAAAAATGGGCTAGTGGTCACTGGGTATCAACATTTTTAGACTTGATACATGTTGTCAGTTTGCACCTAAGAGAGGTTAAATCAGTTTACACACACAGTAGCTGAGCACACTCACCAACACTAGTATTACCTTTTACATCTCTACTAATTTGATCCACTGAAAAAGACTTGAGCCAGACTCAAAAGGCTACATACTGTATTATTCTACTTCTGTGACATTCTGAAAAGGGGAAAACTGTAGGGGAAAAAACTGGATGAGGGTCTAGGCACGAGGGAAGAAATTGACAGCAAAGAGGTCCAAGGAAACTTTTTGTGGGTTATGGAAATGTCCTATATCTTGATTTTGATGGTGGATTCATGACTGTACATATTTGTCAGAACTCACTGAACTATAAACTTGAAGACTGAATTTTACTGTATATGAATTATGTGGCAACAAACTTTTTTCTTTTCTTTTTTGAGACAGAGTCTTGCTCTGTCACCATGGCTGGAGTGCAGTGGCGTGATAAACTTGTTTTTTTTTTAAATGACATTACATTGTGGTTTTAAATCACATTTCTTTTGCTTTCCAGTAAAGCTGAACAGCTTAACATTTTATTAACCATTGATATTTCTTCTTTAGTGAATTGTCTTTTTATCCCATTGCATACTTGTCTACTAAGTCTGCAAATTTATCTTATTAATTTGGGTTGACCTTTGAATATTGCCTGTCATACTTAAAAGATATATTTTTCTAAATCTATTTTAATTTTATTCATGACCGTTTTTTATATTTATTTGACCTAGCTAAATTAATTGCCATTTACTTTAAGGGTTTATTTAATTTTTAAAGGAGACCTAGATGATAGTAACCTTTGAAACACTGAATTTACTGAAATGTTTCAGGAAATTCTACTTCAGTTTTTCTTGAAAATCTACCAGGTTTGGTCTGGGTAGACTTTGCAAATCATGAAAGCAATCCCTCTATGCATGAGTGTAGTTGTTGCCTTCCTGAAAGATGCTCATTGGGTATATCCTCTCATCTGATCTTACTGGCACCACTGGGCTGAGTGGATCTAAGATCATACCTGTGGACTGACATTCACCATTGTTTTCCCACAGTGGCAACAGCAATAACAGTTTAAACACAGTGCCTTGCAAAGTGATATGTATTTAATAGAAATGGGATACAGCATTGATCAATGGAAAACCTCATTTAATATTTCCCGCTGCTGCCTGGCTTTTGGTAGTTCTATTTTGTCTTGATTTGCTCCATGTGGGATTGATGAGAAAAAATATGACTTCACTTGTATATTTTAGTAAATATTTATTGAACACTTATTATATGCCTGGTGGTTTCTAGGTACTAGACACACAATGGTTGTATTAGTCCATTCTTGCATTGCTACAAAGAAATACCTGAGTCTAGGTAATTTATAAATAGAAGAAATTTAATTGGCTCACAGTTCCACAGGCTGTACAGAAAGCATGATTCTGGCATCTGCTTGGCTTCTGGGGAGGTCTCAGGAAACTTAAAATCATGGTGGAAGGCAAAGGGGAAGCGGGCTCGTCTTACATGGCTGGAGCAGAAGGAAAAGAGAGAGGAAGGAGGTGCCATCACTTTCAAACAACCAGATCTCATGATATCTCACCGACTCACTATCATGAGAAAAGAACTCAATGGATGGTGCTTAACCATTCGTGAAGGATCCACCTCCATGATCCAGTCACCTCCCAGCAGGACCCACCTCCAAACACTGGGGATTACTATTGAACATGAGATTTGGGTGGGGACACAGATCCATGGTGAATAAGATAGCCTTAGATACTGCCCTCATAGAACTAGCAGGCAAGTTATGTAGATAGGCAATTAATATATATCAAACAATGGTATAAAACAATTGGAAATTAAGGTAAGTGCTCTGGAAGGAACAAAGAAGATGTTGTTCCCCTGACACAAGTGGGGATGTGAAGAGTGACAGGATACCCCCTCTTCTGACTTCAGTTGGAGAAGTTTTGTTTGGCTTCAGGCTTCCAATAAGCTTTCACTTTCAGGAAGACTTCAGCAGAAGAAAAAAGTCTGCAAACCAGTGCCTTATAGAATTATATACAAATGTGAGAAGCTGAATGATCTCGGGCAAGGCCAGGTTTCCTCCTCTGTGAAATATAAAGGTTATCTCTCCTAGGAGTTGCTGTGGGAATTAGCAAAAATAAATGTGTGAGGTCAATGAGCTACTGGCCCAACACTCTGGAGGCCAACAGCCCAGGTTGAAATTCTGGCTTCTCCACTTATTAGCTGCTGCTGCCTCAGGTAAGTCATTTATCCTTTTGGTGTTTCAGTTTCCTCATGTAGAGAATAAGGATAATAATAGTGTCTACTTCTTAGGGCTCGTTTGAGAATGAAATTTTTAAGTAGTGCTTGGTGCGTGGCAGGTGTTCAGTTAAGGCTAACTTCTATCATTTTCATCACATTGTCATCATTATCATCATTGTAATCACTGGTTATGGGTCCTAACATAAGCAAGAGCAAATCCTCTCATGTACTCTAACTGGGTAATCAGATTACCCTGAAACAGCTAGAACCCTGGCTCTGGAAATATGAGGAATAGGTATGTGGCATAAAGCGAGAATGTGAGCAGCACAGTGGCTATAGACTTTCTCTGTAAACGGGGTCAGGGATCTCATCTCAATTGCAACTCCATCTCCCTTTCCTGCTTTACTGGGGAGAATGACCTTGAAGGAGGGAGACCTATACTCTGAGTAGATAGAACAGCCTTGGCTACAGCCCAGCTCTGCCCCCCAGGCACAGAGGAGAGCCCTTTGATGTCTCTTGAATGATTTAGCTTTATTGCCTATTGTCTCTCTCTCCAAATTGCCTTCAGGATGAACGTCCCAGCCAGAACCTATAGAGAGGACACCAGCTTCGCAAGTACCTCACAGATGCACAGATGCGGATGCTCTTTCCTTGTATTAAACATCCCTCAAAGTGACCATTAATGGAGGCTGTATTTTGCACCTTGTGAAGAGGAAATTACACTACATTAGAAGTTCTGCACTCTGGCTTAGGCAGTGAATTAGGTAAGGGATACAGGCTAGGGTGCTTTCCTACTGGGCATAATACCCAATTTATTTTCATTTACATTAATTTCTCTACATCACTGACTGCATGAGGCATTAAACTGTTAAATGCAAGCAATTCCCAATTGCTTGACACAAATAGAAATGTTTAATGAATAATAATAAAAAAGGAGCCTATAGATGAAACCAATATGCAAAATCGTGAGAGCGTGTTAATCAACCTTTTCCATTGCATAGGGCTTGACAAACTTATCCTTGTTTCTTTCCTTCCTTCCTTCTTTCCTTCTTTCCTTCCTTCTTTCCCTCCATCCCTCCCTCCCTCCCCCACTCACTCTCCCTCCTCCATCCCCTGCTCCCTCCCTCCTTCCTAAGTTTTCTTTGAAAAGACAAAGCAAATGCATTTAAACAGAATTAAATAGAGTAGTGTCCTATTGGTAACACAACGAATAAAACTGATATGAAAGCCTTTATCTGGAAGATTCCATGAAGGTATAAAAAAATCCCACCTCTGTTTAGCTGTAGCAATGGAATAGTTTGGCTGATGGTAGGAAAAGGGATTTTAATTTACGCATTTCATGTTTTCCTGGCCTCATTGACCTGTTAGTAGAGGAGTCAACTTAGGAAAAAGAAAGATGTTTCTTTCTCATTAGCACCTCATTCCAAACCTTCTAGTTTCTTGGGGTTACCTCTAGCAGGAGTAGAATCTTAAAGCCTCCATCAGAATTGCTGGATCTTTGTCCCTGACAGTTTTATTCCCACCCACTAACTTCATAGTGTCGGGTGGTAAAATGGGATTTGTTGTTAAGAGAGTCCCAGGTTGGAATCCAGACTCTGTTCGTGAGTGGTATGACTGGGCAAAATTCCTTAACTTCTCTGATCTTCAAATTCCTTATTTACAAAATAAGCAACAAATACTTCTTTCCCATGATTATTTCGAACTTACTGGTAGCTAATGCTCAGGTATATAAAAATACACATAGAAAAGAGACTGGAAGGAAAAATGATAGAATGTCAGCAATAGATGTTTATTTTTCCTCTTTTTCTGTTCTGCACTTTTCAACTTTCTATAATATGCAAGCATTATCTTCAATAGGAAAATTATGATGTACAAAAGCACATCATTTCTTTGTTCAAGCTATGTAGATTAAAATAACTATTGAATGTTTTTTTTTTCCTCTGCCCCATGCAATCTACCCCTTTCTCTTCCTCTTTTGAAAGGAAAGAAGATATGGGGTATATTAATTCTCAATTGTCATTGTAACAATTTCCTTATCACAGATTTAGTGCTTAAAACCACACAGATTTATTCTCTTTTGATTCTGGAAGTCAGAATTTTGAAATGAATCTTATAGAGCTAAAATCAAGATGTAGGTAGGTCTGTTTCTTCTGGAGGCCTTGAGGGGGGAAACTGTTTAGAAGCCTTTTCCAGCCTCTAGTGGCTGACCTTAGTCTTGGCTTCTGGCTGTTTCCTCCATCTTCTAAGCACATCGCTCCATCCTCTGCTTCTGTTATCACATCATATTCTTACCATATAAGGGCCCTTGTAATTACATCTGACACACCCAGATATCCAGGATAATCTACCCATTTTAAGATCCTTAATAACATCGGCAAAGTCCATTTTCCCATATTAAGGTAATGTATGGAAATTTTGCGGGGTGGTGGGGGACAGGCTTCATTCAGTCTATGACATGTAAGAGGTTATGTAAGAGGTGAAGGATGAAATAAAAGCTGGGCAAGGAAAAGCAGCAACAAAGTTCCTGATGACATAAAATAACAAACCAAGTGCTTCATCTAGACTACCTGTTCAATTCTTGTAGACTGTGACTGTATTGAATCCCCTTCCCTGCACTGTCAGGGAATACAAGGCATTTGGATCTGATGTGAATACAGAAGCTGATGTGTCCTAGTAGAAAAAAAAAAAAACCCACAAAATCACTATATATGACAATGAAAAACTATCAAATCCTTTCTCTCACAATCTTTAAAAGGCCAGAAATTCAGTCTAAAATTATTATTATTATTTCTTTGAAATATCAGTTCTTACTATTAAAAGGCACCAGGAAGACTCATGTCAGAGACTGCTCCTGGATTCAAAAGCAGCCTATTTTCTCCAGCTTGGTACTAAGATGTGCCAAGAATGATTTTTTTTTTTTTAAAAAGCAAAAAGGTTCAAATTATTGTTTTTTGTTGCAAGAATGCCAGAGGTTACTAAAGTAACATCAGGAATGGATATAATCAGATCTCATCTATTATTAATGAGATTCTGCCTTAATGTGATCATTATAGGTATGTGCCTTACACCTAGAAGCTATCATCTAACATAATAATAACCTCAAATAATGAGTTGCCAGCATGATTTTTCTTGTGCTAATGGTTTTACCCATAGGGTTGCTTTTTCCTTTTCTTATAACAACAACAATAATAATAAGCCATAACATTTTAGACAGAGACAGGTGTAAGTTTTATTTGTAATATAATGGTTACTGTTTAACATCTTTATAGTTAAGATTTGCTACCGAGCCAACACAAAAATGTTTTGAAAACCATATTATTACTACTTATAATGATGATCCCAGAGCTAGAAAAACCTCATATGACTTTCTATAACATCTGCTATATGTGTGTGTGTGTGAGAAATTGAGAGAGAAAAAAAGAGAGAGACAGAGACAGTGAGACAGAAAAAGAGAGACAAAAACTATCAAATCCTTTCTCTCAAAACCTTTAAAAGGCCAGAAATTCAGTCTAAAATTATTATTTCTTTGAAATGTCAATTCTTACTATTAAAAAGCATCGAGAGTTCCAAGATATGATTATACTTATAGTTTGATTTACTAAGAAATTAAAAATTATTTTTTCTCATATATAAGCCTCTTAACTGCAATCCCTTTTCTTCTCCAAGACATAGGTTAAGAAAGGACATAAATTAAGCCTTCGTGAACAGAGGCAGAGAGAGACCACATCCTGAATAGTTTAGCTTCCAATAGCATCTGTTACAGCAGGTCATTTCAAATAGCTGTGCTGAGGCTTGCTCACAAACTCCTATTTAATCGTTAACACAGTTGAATTCTACAGGGTACAGTTACCTGGAGACCAGATCAGGCAAATTTAAGTGTCAAGAATGCGAGTGGATGCAAAAAGGAGGGAATGAGGCCCAAATATCCAAGTACCTGACAACAGCCAAATCAATGGAGAAAAGCTCAAGGCTGGCCAATTAGATGCTTCACCCCTTAAATGGTTATTCCACTATTTCATCCCTCACTCTCTTTGAAACCCAGTGTCCCTGGGTGCTCTATGAAAGGGTAACCCCTTGTAACTGTGGCACCTTGAGTTTCGGTGTTTCAAAATGTTCCAGGAAGAAGTCCAGCTATGGCAAAACAAAAAGTCGCTGGAACCAGAGATGCCTGAGTTAGAGATGAACTTTGGTGAACTCTCCAAATTACCATACTAAAAACCCCGCCCAGGGAGGAGCTTGTTCACTATTTCCCATACATGTGGCATATGAAGCAACGTGATTGGGGACTGTACCTGTGCTGCCTTTACCCTGCCTTTACATACAAAAACTCAGCCAACTAGCACAATAAAAGCCCCCTTTCCATCTTTCTTCCAAGAAACACTGCTTTGGGAACGACCCCCTGTGTTCTCCTTACGTGTTGTTGCAAGTAATAAAATCCCCTTGTTAAATCCTCTTTGGTTGTGGTAATAACACCCACCAAGAAATCAAACTCATTTCACTGCTAGAGTCCACTTCCTCATAGTCTACTTACTCCCAACTCTGCAGGATGACTTCTCTTCCACTGGTCTGGTTTGGGGCAGTCTCCAGTGATCTCTCCAAATTATTCTCTTTGTAGGATTTAGTGCTGCTGGTCAGTTGTTGCTTCTGGGAGCTTTCCTCTCCTTTAGCTTCTTCAGCACTAGGCTTTCCCGGTTCTTCCCTTGCCCTTCTTCCCACTGGGCTGTGCTGGCTTCTGTGTCCCTATCCACCCTCAAGATATTATCATTTCCTGGGTTCTTTTTCTTCTCCAGCTCCTATGATCAGATCTTTACTGATAAATCCTAAGTTCACATCTTTAGCCCTTTTTCTGCTAATGAGATTCAAACCTGAATTTCACCCACTTGGTGGACGGCTCCATATGAATGCCAACAGCATCTCAAACTCTGCAAGTCCAGTTTTGCTCACTGGCTTCTCTGCTATTTCCATCTTCTGTTCTCACTTGTCCTGACTGACTCTCTTGGTTAACGGGCTCCTCTTCCTCTGACTCCTTCAGTCTGGAAACATCTTTGTTTTCTTTGCAATTGCTAGGTTCTGTGCTTCCTTGTTTGACCATGCAACATATCTCTTCCCTTATTTCTATTCCTGCTATCATTACCTGGACAATTAGTAACTTCTTAACTAGCCTCTTGGCCTCCAAACCAGCCTTCACTCTCCTACTCAAACTAACTTTTTAAAACATTGATATTGAGCTTCAAGTCAGGGTAAGTTAAAAAAAAAAAATTAAAACATTGATAGAATCATGATATTGCTAGTAGTACTATTTCACATAGTAGTTGCTCAAGAAATGTTACTTCATTACTTCCTTAGCTTCCATGACTTTATCTGGTAAATTGAAATCCAGCCTGGGCCTGATATCTTACACGTCTCGTAGAAATAAAGGATGGAGTTTTCATTTGACTTATGCCTGAAAATCCTATCACTGATGAATCTGGGCCCCGCTCTAAAGAGTGTTCCCAACATTTAAGGCTCATTTTTTACACTAAAACCTTCTCTGTGCCCCATGGATTGAGCCATTGTCAAGGCACCTAAAGCTCTAAAGTCAATGATGCTCCCAATATAAAACAGACTATGCTGAAAGATAGGACATTGAACCATTTTCTATAGAGTGGGCTATTTAAAATACCTTCTTCTTATGTATAAAATAAGCAGGTTGAAATAGTGAGCTCTAGGATCTATTCAGCTTCCAAAAAGTCTGTTTCTTCCTGGAACCTCATTTAGAGGCTGGGCTGATGTTTTAAAATAATTTATCCACAAAGAATCACATACTTTTGTGTGTGTGTTCTTTATAGTTTTTTTTTTTGAGGTGACCATGAATATGCATCTTTTAGATTTCTAACTGCAGGGAGTGTAATTATCCAAGGCCCAGCTGCTGGCCTAGGAAATCCATCCCTGCATTTTCTAGGCCATGCTTCCCAAAGGCTGCTGCCAGTCAGTAACTGAGTGTAGCAGGAATATAAAGTAGGTCCATTCCTGGGAGATGCAGGACTCCACTGACCGGTGACTTTGGCTCATGAACTTCCTGCTGGCCTTGCCAGACTTTTCTTAGAACTGAACTACATTCTCTGGCTGGGCATTGTGGCTCATGCCTGTAATTCTAGAACTTTGGGAGGTTAAGGCAGAAAGAATACTTGACGCCAGGAGTTTGAGACCAGCCTGGGCAACATAATCAGATTCTGTCTCTACAATAATAATAATAATAATAATAAATTAGCCAGGCATGGTGGCATATTATTGTAGTCCCAAATACTCAGGAGGCTGAGGTAGGAGGATTGCTTGAGCCCAGGAGGTTGAGGCTTCAGTGAGACATGATCATGCCACTGCACTCCAGCCTGGGCAACAGAGTGAGACCATGTCTCAAAAAACAAAAATAACTGAATTGCTTCCACCCATTCTTCCTTTCTTCTCTTTCTCTTTCACTCTGGGTTTGATTGCATTCCCAGCCTCCCCTGGCTCTCTCCTTCTTTCTCTCACAGGGATTTCTGCTAATAAAGTCCTCCCATGTGTTGGTGGCTGCTTCTCAGATGGCCTGGACTAATGCACAAACTGTATTTGTCATCATAAGAAGTTCACCTTTACCCACGGAGGAAAATGGAAAATTTGATCTAGTTTTAGCATTGTGATGGTTTGAATGTGTCCCCTCCAACATTCAGGTGCTGAAACTTAAAGGCCAATGTGGTTGTAGCAAAAGGTGGGGCCTTTAAGAAGTAATTGGACTTTGTGGGCTTGCTCCTCTCTCAGGAATGGGATTAAGGCCCTCAAAGAAGACATTTCAAGCAGTGTTCTGCTGGCTTGTCCTTCCACCTTCCTCCATGTGAGTACACAGCATTCATTCCCTCCAGTGGGTGCAGGGCCTCCTTGGCACCATCTTTGAAGCAGAGGCCGGACTCTTACCAGACAACAAAGCTGCTAGGACCCGGCCTCCAGAACCGTGAGAAATAAATTTCTGTTCTTTATAAATTACCCAGCCTCAGGTATTTTGTTAAAGCAACACAAATGAAATAAGAGAAGTATCATCTGTACATCTGCAATCAGTCCTGCAGATTCTCTTTCCATTACAAAGGCATACATTCCTTCACCTTTTCGATAAAAATGTTTTTCCCTAAATTACAAAAAGTACATAACATTTGATGAAAATATACATATGTAAAAAGAAAAAAAACCTGTATAACCAGTTCTTTCAGGCCTTTTCTATAATAAGCAACAACAAAGGTTTTTTTTTTAAATAACAACAACAAATATTAATACATACAGTGATTTAGTAGAGGAGTGACAAACTTTTTCTATAAAAATTAGTTAAGTATTTTTAACTTTATTGACCATACACACTCTGTTGCAACTTTTCAACTCTGCCCTAGTAGACTGAAAGCAGCCACAGCCAACACATAAGATGGGGCTGTGTTTCAATTAAACTTTGTTAAAAACAAAACAAAACAAAACAAAACAAACAAAAAAACAGATAAGGGGCTGGATTTGGCCTTGGTGCATAGTTCACTGACTATGATTTAGTAAAAGAAACGATCTTGTTAAAAGACTTCATCTGTGGCTGAATGGGAATTTTCAGACGTTATTTAAAATGACCCAGAGAGGTCTGTAGAAATCAGCCCCCTTTTGCAAAGTGGTAGCTGGAGTAGAGAGCCTGGTGGTATCCTGGCAAGAATGGCTCGCTTACCGTGGTTGTGGGATCCCAGGCCACAGGGGACAGCCCCTGGGATGTGAGAGGAACTCATGTTTGTATGGAGCTTTCTCCCAAAGAACTAGCTGTGACTTAAAGTGAGAAGGAGAATGACTAAGCTGACAGCTACATTGTGGTCTTTTGCTGTTGTCAGGCATGAGTTAAGTAGGTTGCAAACCCTTCCTAATGTGCTTTTCCCATTTAATTTTGTGGCTGCATAAACTTTCATAGCAAATAATGAGTTGGGGCTGCAGCCCAAATGTTATGGACTCTTTATGTATCTGGAGAGCATGCGGAGTGAGGCTCTGCATTCTAATGGTCTGCTTATCCAGCGCCGGCTGGGCCGAGCAAGCTGGTTTTGGCTTGAAGAGGGATTCTGCAGAATGCGAGGGGAACCCACCAGAGAGGCCGTTGGCCTCACTGCTGCCCTTTCCTCTCCACAGAAGCATTTTTCCCCAAGACTTGACAGCTGTTTCTCTTGGGTCAGAGTGAATTTGTCCCTCAGCTAGAATCCTGACTGTGTCTGTCTTGATATGAGCGTTGAAGGATAAATTCTTACCTAGGAGTCCTGTTTTCAACATCCACTCTTGATACTCCTATTTGTCCATGGAAATGAACATTGACTACCTATTTTCTGGCCCATCTGCTGGGATGGCATCGTGCCTGATTCCTGGCAGGGCAGGCACACTCCAAAGGGCTGGAGTTTTAGTGCACTGTGTCTGGAAGGGTAGCTGTGAGGGGAGGGGAGGGAAAGCAGTGGCACAGGGAAAAGAGAGGCAGAAAGCTGCTTTTCCTTGCTTTGCCCTCAGTCTCTGGCTCCTGGACCCTTCCATCGGCGGTCCCTGCTTTACCCCTTGCTATGGTTTGGTTAGTATTTATTTGTCCTCACCGAATCTCATGCTGAAATTTGATTACCAGTGAGGAGGTGGGGCCTAGTGGGAGTTGTTTAGGTCTTTTCCACAGTGGGTGGGTCTATGCAAACCTACCCCCAAAGTCTGAGGAAACTGAGAGGCTGAAGAAAGACATTGACATATCTACTTCCTTAGAAACATTTAACAGGGACAAAAGCCATGTCTGTGTCTCAGGCAGTGGTGAGACAGGATGGCACGCCATTACCCCCTAGACCCAGGGCTAGTGTACTATAGGGAAGGGGTGATTCAGAGGAATGTGCAGGACAATTGAAGTACAATAACATCAAGGTTCTTTGACCCAAGGGCAGGATTTACTCTAAGTATCTGCTCTTACACAGAAACAATAGGTAAACTGAAACTCTTAGAGGTCTTTCTGGAACTGGGGTTAATCAGAAGTCAGCATGGTGGATTAGCTTCCAAGATAGAGTTGCTTTAACTTCCACAGGGTTGTGAGGGGGCAGATCTCTCATGAATAGATTTATGCTCTCCCTTGGGGTGGGTATGAATTCATTCTCTATTAGCTCCAGCAAGAGCTGGTTGTTAAAAAGACCCTGGCACCTCCTCCCTCTCTCCTGCTTCCTTGCTTACCATGTGATTTCCGCGCACACTGGCTCCCCTTCACTTTCCACCATGAGTGGAAGCAGACTGAGGCTGTCATCAGACGCAGATGTTTAATCTTTAACCTATAGCCATCAGAATTGTGAGCCAAATAAGCTGTTTAAAAAATAATTTTCTCAACCTCAGGTATTTCTTTATAGCAACACAAAATGGACTAATGACTCCTCTTTAGGAATCAAGGCCTTTAGAAAACCTGGGCATGAGAATTGCGTGTGTGCGGGCAAATGGCAAATGTTAGAATCTGGCTTCAATCTCTCCCCAGCTACAAATATCTATAGGAGTCAAAACAGAGTGCAGTGGAAAAAGCGGATTACAAAATGGTAATGCATGGTGTTACCCTACTAATGTAAAATATTGTGTGTGTGTCTGTGTGTGTGTTAGTATTTCTAAGGCAGGTGGTGGAACTGTAGGTGTTTTTATTTTTTATTTCTTTTTAATTATGTACTTTCACATTTTTCCACAACAGGTATATGAATGATAACAAAAAGCAAAACAAGACAGAAATAGCTGCAAAATATTAGGTATAAGACTTTACTGAAAGACCTAAGCTCTGGGCGAGGAAGAATTTTTAAGCGCTCTGTAAAATGTCTGTCAATGGGTGCTGGCAAAATTCAACCTGGAACTTCAGAACGTGACAGCAAAGACCTGGTAGCAGAGGAGTAGGCAATGTCAGTTCTCAGAGAATGGTGAAGGGGAGTGGTGCAGGCCAGACCTTTGGAGAAGAGTCAACAGTTTCTGTGTTATTTTCTCTGAGAGGCCTTCAGTTTCCTCCACTACCTCTGTATTGGTCCGTTTTCACACTGCTAGTAAAGACATACCCGAGAATGGGCAATCTATTAAAAAAAGAGGTTTAATGGACTTACAGTTCCACGTGGCTGGGGAGGCCTCACAATCATGGTGAAAGGCAAGGAGGAGCAAGTCACGTCTTACATTGAGGGCAGCAGGCACAGAGAAAGAGCTTGTGCAAGGACACTCCCTCTTATAAAACCATCAGATCTCATGTCACTATCAGAATAGCACAGGAAAGACCTGCCCCCATGGTTCAGCTACCTCCCACTGGGTCCCTCCCACAACACGTGGGAATTCAAGATGAGATTTGGGTGGGGACACAGCCAAACCATATCAACCTCTATCCCCAGGCTTCCCTGGAAGCATTGGTTGCTCCTTTTTTTGACTCCATGGAAACCTTTTGCAGGCTGCTCTCAAGGTGGTTTTCCCCTTGTAGGTGGAATTCATTGATGCATTTCAATGAATGATACATGCTCCCTAAAAGGTGCATGGGCTCTTGGAGGGAATAAATCATCTCCTCATTGTTTAGAAGAGAACCTGGTTGGTGGTGAAGCTCAAAATAAATCTCTTCATTCCTCCAGCCAGAAAACTATTTTTTTTACAGTTTAGTTCATTTTTAAATTTTTTATTCTTTTGTGGTAAAATATACATAATATGTACCATTTGAGTCATTTTTGAGAGTACGGTTCAGTAGCATTACACATATTCAAACTGTTGTGCACTCATCGTCACCATCCATAGCAGTTTTCTCATCTTCCTAAACTGAAACTCCATGCCCATTAAACAATAACCCTCCATTCTTTCCTCTCCGGTCCCTAGCAACCACCATTTAACTTTCTGTCTCTATTAATTTTCCTATTCTAGGTACCTCATAAAAGTAGAATCAGATATTTGTCCTTTCGTGACTGGCTTATTTCATTGAGCATGATGTCCTCAAGGTTCATCTGTGTTATAGCATGTGTCAGAACGTCCTTCCATTTTGAGGCTGAATAGTATTTCATTGTGTGTGTATATACCACATTTTGTCTATCTATTGAACTGTCAATGGACACTTGGATGGTTTTGGCTACTGTGAATAAGGCTACTGCAAACATGGGTGCATAAATATCTGTTTGAGTCTTTCTGTCAGTTCTTTTGTGTATATACCCAGAAGTGGAATTGCTCAGAAAACTACTTTTTAAGTATGGTTGTCACTTGGTGTGAGGTGAAAGCAAGACTAAAAGGGGGCCATAGCTGTAGGAGTTAGAGTCCAAGTGTAGTTGGAGAACTATGTACCACAGGTTTACCTACTGAATCAGGATTTTTCTGGAAGCTAGACTAGGAATCTGTATCCCCAGGTGATCCTGATGATCAGCTAGGTTTGGGGACCACAAAACTTCATGATTTTCAAGGCTTGTTTCCACTCTACAACTGAATAAAATCTGTTACCCCTTGTCACCACAGGACGTCCATAAAATCCTTGGATGTTTTTCTTGCAAATGGAAAACAGAATTTCAAGATTATATTATCACTTTTGGAAGTATTGCATCTAATTTCCTCCCAAATCTTGCAAGAGACATATTCACCTTCTATTTTACAAATGAGGATACTATGGCATTGAGTACTTCTGCATTTTGTCTGAAGTCACCTCTGTGTGTAGGTATGCAATAACATATCAGAAATTTAGAGTCTAAGGTAAACACAATCTAATGACCTCATTTTCCAGATTTATAAATAGAGACGAAGAGGCAAAATGATTAGCAGAGTATCCATATTGGATGGCATTGGAATCAGAATTTGTGTTCCCTGACTCCACTCCTACGTGCATGTAGAGACTCATTCTCTTGAAATTCTGTGTTTTCTCCCAACTGGGTTGTGAGCTTCTTATAGTTGGTGCTTCCTTTTACACCTCAGTCTCCCATCGTGTCTAGGATGGGACTAAGCACATAATAGGGAATGACTGAGAGAGCGGAAGGGGCAGTGCAGATGAGAGGTAGAAACATGGCATGCAGAATGATGCCCCTTAAGCAGTGTGATTTGACTCTATAAATGCAAGGAGGAAGAGTTATTTCTATTGCTTGTCTATGTAGTGGGAAAAAGTACATGACATTTAGAGCAAAAAAAGGCTTAGATTTTAATACAATTTCACTGTTTATTATTTTCAGACTGTAAGCATATTATTAAACTCTCAGCCTCAGTTTCCTCATCTGTAAAATGCAAAGATTAATACTTATTTCAAGGAGTTATTAGAAATAGAAAGTAAAAGCGACCTGAACAGAACCTGATACATTGAGCACAGTAAAAAATATTAGATTGTTTCCAACCTCCTTCCTAGGAGGAAGAACACCAGTCTCAAGGAGAAGGCTAGTTTATCTGTCACAGGGGCCTGCATTGCCACGGCAACTGGGGCTACTGGAGGTTGAACTTAGGATCAATTTTTTGGCCCAGAAAATGTGCCTATTTATATCAAATCAGAAAGGAGTCAGTTATATACCCATGTTGTTAGTAGCATTATTCACAATAGCCAAGATGTGAAAGCAACCCAAATATCCATCGATAAATGAATGAATGAACAAAATGTGGTATATACACATAATGGAATATCATGTAGCCTTAGAAAGGAAGGAAAGTCTGACGCATGCTACAATATGGGTGCGCCTTAATGACATTATGCTAAGTGAAATAAGCCAATTACAAAAGGACAAATACCACAGGATTCCACTTGTATAAGGTAGCTAAAGTAGTTAAACCCATAGAAAGAGAAAATAGAATGGCGGTTGCCAGGGCAGGGGGAAGGGAATTTGGAGTTGCTGTTTAATGAATCTAGATAGAGTTTACATTTTGCATGATGAAAAAGTTCTGGAGATTGGCTGCACAACAATAGGAAGGTACTTAATGCCACAGAACTGTACTCTTAAAAATGTACAGGTGGTAAATTCTATGTCACATGTATTTTGCCACAATTTTAAAAAATTTAAAAAAGATTCCGGGAGCTATAACTATTATTTTATTCCTGCTGCACATAAACCACATCTTTTCTTTCTGAGTCCACTCAGAATCTGAAGCCATTTCTTCGGACAGAAGTCCATCCATGCTGCAACAGGTCAGAAATAGCGTCATAATTTTGAGATTAGCAAACTTTCTCTGCTAATGTCTTGCTAATTATCATATACACTTAACATTGAGCCATAATTATTATCAGTTAATTAGACCTTAAAATTTATCTTTGATAACACCTCTGGCATTTAATTATGTAACCGGTAACTCATGAATGTTATTAAGTGATGTATGACTACAGTAAAGCATAATTAGATCTCATATTTGTTTCATATCATATTGATGGTGATAATAGTTTCGTAGTTTTTACAGCTTATATAGATATGGCCACATTAAATTGATATTCTATAAGACAAACAAACATTTTAACAAGTATTCTAAAAGCATATTAAAGAGAGGCCATGAGGAAAGGAAAAGTAGATGATCATATCTGATGCCATTTAACAGAAGTTCACAACAAATAAATAGCCTGATTTCAAGGCCCCATTTTAACCTAAAAACAAATAACATTCAAATACTTATGTCATAAAAAATTAATTCCTACTGTTGTAAAACAGAGAAAAACAATGACCAAACTGTTTCTAGTACTGTTAAAGTAATAAATATGTTCCCCTAAATGTTGTATGCACATTAATTCATATTTTAAATATGCTAGTGTACTTTTAGGAAATGTGCAGTGAATCTTTTTGTAAAAGGAAGAATCTCTTTTTTAGAAAATGTGGTTACTTTCATATCTTTGTAGGAGAATTAAAAGTCAGCTAGAAATCAGGTTATCTAGTAGGATGGACTGGTAGATTCTAAACCCCTTGAGGGCAAAGTTCTTTTGCATCTTAATATCATTTACAATTCCTAATGTGGTGGTTCACCCATAGTAGGTATTTAATGAATATTGATTGCCTATTGTGTGAGACAGCTTGGGGGGAAATTAAAGAAACTCTGCTTTATGCACTTTTCTCTGAAATGGGGACAAAGAAACACACTGTATTCATCAGGGTTTTCCAGAGAGACAGAATGAGGAGGTTGGATGGGAGAGGATTTAGTAAGAAGAATTGGCTCACATGGTCACAGAGGTGGAGAAGTCCCAGGTTAGGACAACTGCAGGCCGGAGAACCAGAGAAGCTGGTAGCGTGGCCCAGTCCAAGTCCAAAGCCTCAGAATGAGAAAAGCCAACAATGTAGGCTCAAGGACCCCCTGGAATGTTGCTGGGACAAGTCCCAGAGTCCAAAAGCCAAAGGACCTGGGAGTCTGATGTCCAAAGGCAGGAAGAGAAAAAATATCCTGCTCTGGAAAGGAGAGAGAAAACAGAGTGAGTCCCCCTTCTTCTGCCTATTTGTGCCGGCCTGGCCCCCTGCTGTCTGGTTGTTGTGCCAGCATTGAGGGGATTTTCCTCTCCCAGTTCACTGACCCATGGAAACACCCTTACACACAAACACAGAAACAGTGCTTCACCAGCTACTGGACATCCCTAAATCCAGTCACTTTGACACCTGAAATTAACGAGCACATGTATCTTGAGAAAACAAGTCAAGATTCTGATGTGGAAAGGAAACTCAGAGTCTGGTGAGTTACCAGATACTTGACCATGGAGGAGACCGAGACTTTGCAAACCAGGGAAGGAAACTGTGCTAGTCCGTTCTCACACTGCTGTGAAGAAATAACTGGGACTGGGTAATTAATAAAGGAAAGTGGTTTAATTGACTCACAGTTCCACATGGCTGGGAAGGCCTCAGGAAACTCACAATCATGGTGGAAGGGGATGCAAACACGTCCTTCTTCACAGGGCAGCAGGAGAAAGAAGTGCTGAGCAAAGGGGGAAAAGCCCATTGTAAAACCATCAGATCTCGTGAGAACTTACTCACCATCACGAGAACAGCGTGAGGGTAACTCCCCCCATGATTAAATTACCTCCCACCAGGTCCCTTCCGTGACAGTGGAGATTATGGGAACCATAATTCAAGATGAGATTTTGATGGGGACATAGCCAAACCATATCAGAAACTCCCGCAGCAAGGTCAGGTGTGAAAATAAGCTACAGGAAACATACTCAGATTTTGAATTTATACAACTAATCTAAGTCAGATAGATGGATTGATTTATTTTTAACTCCCTGTCTTGATTTGTAATAAAAATGTAATAAATTAGGTGGAATAGTACGCTATTTGAAACGCAACACAGATGAGGAAGCTTATTGCTCAAAGCCACACAGAATGAAAGAAATCATTGTCTAAAATCACAGAACTGTGACGCATCAGTCATTAACTGAAAGTTTTTGTAAACACAATTCTCATTTTTCAATTGAGATACAATGAGGAGATATTAGAAACATATTTTGATAACTTACCTTTACTATTCCCAGAGGAGCTACTGCCCTGATGCCTTCCTCTTGCTAAGTAGCAGTTCGTTGGTTTGTAGTCATTCTCCCTTAACCATAGGGGATACATTCCAAGACCCCCAGTGGATGCCTGAAACCTCAGGTAGTACCAAATCCTATACATAATTTTTTTTCCTATAATGTATACATACCTATGATAAGGTTTATAAATGTAGCACAGTAAGAGATTAACAACAACAATAAAATTGAACAGTTATAATAATATACTGTAATAAAAGTTATGTGGGGCTGGGTGTGGTGGCTCATGCCTGTAATCCCAGCACTTTGGGAGGCTGAGGCGGGCAGATCACCTGAGGTCAGGAGTTTGAGACCAGCCTGGCCAACATGGCGGAACTCCATCTCTACTAAAAAAAAACCAAAAATTAGCCAGGTGTGATGGTGCATGCCTGTAATCCCAGCTACTTGGGAGGCTGAGGCACGAGAATCACTTGAACCCCAGAGGTAAAGGTTGCAGCAAGTCGAGATTGTGCCACTGCATTCCAACCTGGGGGATAGAGCAAGACTCTGTGTCTCAAAAAAAAAAAGTTATGTGAATGTGGTCTCTCTCTCTCTCAAATCATCTTATTGTACTGTACTCACCTATTTTCAGGTGGTGGTTGTCTATAGATAACTAAAACCATGAAAAGTGAAACCAGGGTCTACTGTGAATACAGCCTAAGGGTCAGAGTGAGAAAATGCTTAACTCCTTTCCTTTCTTAACCTGATGTGTTTTCTTCTTATTTGAGTAAACTGATTTACATTTCCTTTCCCTGAAATAGGTGATCCTTTCACAGACCGGAAGAATGCGGATGGTCAACATGCTTACTCAAAGAGCTGAGTCATAGGCCATAGGGCTTAGTGGAAAGAAAGCTAGGATAGTTGTGAGTATGCCTAACTGTGTGTGATCTTGGGAAACTTATTTAACATCTCTGAGACTATATCCTCACCTGTAAAATGGAGCAATTAATATCTTTAGGGCAGGGTTGTTGTTAGGATAAGAGAAAATACATGTAAACGTATGACATTTAGTTGATGCTTAATAAATGGTAGCTAATTTTCCTTTTATGATTGTAAGGAGTTGAGATGCAAATTGCAATGCCACTGAGAAGGGAAACCAATTAACCAATGAGGAATATAAAAATAGAAGTAAAACCAGAAAGACGAAACCATGAACTCACAGAATCTGTAGATGTGCTTTGGTGAAGGAATAGCTTTGTTTACCTGAAGCAGCTAAGCTGTATTTTGTTTTGAGAAGAATAGAGTGATATCATGTAAAGGGGCCCAGATGAGACTGGAAACATGGGTTCTAGGTCCACTTCTTCTGTGGATGGTATGACCTTGAACAAGTCACTTAAATGTAAAGAAAGGATATTGAGTGACTCTCTCAAATTCCTTCCAGTCCTATGATAATGGAGGCCTGGAAACAGGAAGAGTAGAGTTTGGATGCAGACACACAAAAAATCTTATTTTGGATCCCAGCTCTTTAAGCCTGTTTCTTTCTGTAAAATAGTATAAAGATCTATATTTTGGTGAGGTTATTGAGAAGAACTACGTAGTAGACTACGAAGTTGCCTCACAGTGTGATAAGCATTTTTCTATTTCCCTTCCATTCCTTTTAGCCACATTATATGTCAAGAACTACATCTCAGGCTTCTTAGTTGAGGAGACATGTATGAAATCAGCCTTTGATAAGTGTTGGCTGATAATGATTTTATTTGTTTCTGTAAGGCCTTGCCCACCCAGAGAGAACTCCCTTCTTTTTTGTGGCATTTCATCTTCCTATTTACTTGTTCCAAAATTCCTTTCACTAGGTTATTCCTGACTTAGACAACCAAGGCAAAGCATTGTCTGTTGATGACCATGTCACCAAAAGCGGGATGAGGATACTGAGGTGTTTGTGTGTGCGTAGGTCTTTTACCATTTTGTATTAACCAGATTAGTTCAAATTAAGTACTTGTTCTTGGGAAAGGAAAGAAACTTTTAGCAAGACGAGCAGTATAGTGTCATATGTAGTAGGCTTAGAGTTAGCCAAACTTGGGTTCGAATCTGACCTCCCATTTCCTAGTTCTGTCCCACTTAACCCCTCTAAGAATCAATTTCCTGAGTCTTGTGGGGCTAATAACACTATTCATTTCATAGCATTATTGTAGGGATTAAATAAGATGATATTTGTGATATACTTTGCGTAATACTTGGCATAAAGTAAATGCTTAATAAACAGAACTGTGTGTTTCAGGCCGAACACATACTTTGGTTAAATAAAATTTATGAGAGGCCATTGTTTTGAAGTAAGTTCTGACATTAGGCCCTAATAGAACAGACCAAACCAAAATGGGGTCACTCATGCTAAGGTTCCATGTTACCAAATTGAATTCGTCATTCAACCTTCTGAGAAATCAAGAGAGAGAGATGACAGCCGCAACACTCAAACAGGCCAGTTTTAGCCAGTATGATAAGGAAGTCCCCTCTGCTTTAATTCTTATAAAGAAGGTAACCTGAAGTGACCTGATGTTAACCAATCTGTTTTTTTCTTTTGTATTATGCTATTTCCTTGTTCCTGTTCAAGGTACCTTATGAAAACTGAATGTTCTGCCATGCCCAATGGAGTGTCTTTTATAAATCTTTAGATGAGATGCTGGCCAATTCATGAATCACTAATAAAAGCCAATTAGATCCCTTAACTAAATTTTTTGAAATAAAAAGAAAAATGATTTTAGAGATGAAGAGAGTGAGGCTCGGGGGAATCAGGAAACTCATCTAGGCTGCTGCACCATAGGAAAAATAGGTCTTTGGTCTCCTGACTCCCAAGGCTGGAATTTCTATTTGTCTTTCTATTTCATCACTGTTCTGAAGTTAGAATTTAAGAATCACTGCAATACATCTGCTAATGTAATATATTTATAAAATACATGAATCATATTTCTGATGAATTTCTCTATTCACAATGCTTAGTATCTACAAACTCTGAATAATAAAAAGGAAGTCTGTTTCAGGTGGTATTAATAGTTTATCAAGGAGAAAATAACTGAATATCGTATTAGCATCATTTTCCTTTTACAGAATCTGGCTACTGCCCCCTGGTGCTAATAATATGTAATTACACTTCATGAAAGTTGCATTCAGCATTTAGGTTTGAGTCAAATGTTGATAGAAATTAAACTTGTTGCCCTCCAAACATCTATGCACATTATCTGGATAGGAAATATAAAGTTACAATCCAGAGTCCACCTAGGCATACCAATGGGTAGCAGAATGACTTCACCTTTTAATTGAAAGTAATCCATTTCTGAGAAACCATCACAGGCAATTTGGTACAATTGAACTTTGTCTTTAACCTTTTACTATGATTTATGTGATTAGGCCAATGGAGGAAGTGGTTTTCAACAGCATGATTAAAACACTTTGAGGAAATAATTTCTGTCTTCAAGCACCTTGCATGATTTTTTTTTTTCTTTTCCAAGTGTTTGTCCTTTCTCATCAAAAGGAGAGTCAGGAAATGGAGAAATACTGACTTTTAAACACTGTCTTGGACAGAAATGAAAGCTCATAAAACAGCAAGGTCAAAGCCAGGGTGCTGGTTTTTAGCAGACCTGTGCAGCATGACTTCTTGCCTGATGAACAGCAGGACTAGAGATGTACTAATTTCAGTATTTTCCAAATTTAGGAATTTTACCCATCTATCAGGGATTTTTCAATTTTACTAAGCAAGGATTAAATTTCACCAACTTTTCAATTTTATTAAGCAAGGACTTATTTAAAAATAAACAATACATTGTGGCTACCATCTACTAAGAACCTATTTTATAAAATAAAGGACACTTTAATATCAGTAAAGTAGGAAGGACACAGTTTTATAATAATGGGCAATTTTACTCAACAAAATACAGTTGTTGCATTAGTCTTTGGTTTTCTCATTTTGCCAGGTGGCAAAATTGGACAATGGACCAGGTTAACGTTCCCTATTGAAATGACCTGCTCAAGTTCAGACTAAATTTTAGGCTGAAAATATTCCACTCTGCTTCTGTATTTGCCACTGTGCTTCAGAATATGTACAGAGGCTCCCAAATAGTCTTCAACATGCATGAAATTTATTGGCAATATGTATTCTGCCACATTTTTGGAGTAGGGAGGGTTGTTATAAGAATTCAGCTAAATGTAGCAAATTTTGCAAATCTCAAAATTTTGAGTAATCATTCTGAACTGTCTGTCCTTTGCCATTTTCTTTTGAGAAACAGGATCTTGTGCCACTGCCCCACAGTACTTTACATCTCAACAAGAAGAAAAAGAAGGTATTTTTTTTTTCTGGAAAGAGTAGGTTGTGGGTGACCTATCTGAGTTCACTGGCTCACTGAACAGTGATTAACATTTAAAATGTATGCAAACTAGACTCCTAATTAAAGCCCAATAATGTAGGACTTTGAACCTATTCACTGCCTTTGAAAATAATCATAGATGCTGGCTGCTTATCATGAAAAAGTCATTATGGTAAATGACCAACTCCCCCACCTTCTTTCCATCAACTGCAAAAGTGATTCTCCATTGCAAAGATTTGCAAATGGTGCATGTTGCAGTCACATGTCTCCTGGTAGCTGTAATTGTTATGCAAATTTTCTTGGCTCATGAATAATAACATTTACAGAGCTCCTGTTATATGTGAATTTGCAAGCATGAACTGAATTCAGGGTGGGTGGACAGTGGTGTTGATCTGAGAGTTCGTCAGGAACTCTCAAGGGCAGTTTGGAAGTGGCAGCGAAGAAGGGGAGTGACCCTTCCTCCCATTCTTTATTCTTCCTCCTTTGCTTTGCTGACTGTTTGTGGGAAAGGGGATATGAAGCGCAGAGAGGGAATTAAAAAAAAGTAATGGAATCCAAAATAGGTCAGAGGACAGAAATATTCAGGAACCAAATACTAGTTGCAGTATTAATTAAAGTCAGTTTGTCAAAGGTAGAGAATCCAGATAACAAAGACAGCCTCAGTGGAGAAAAAAGGGAAATGTGAGAATGAACATTTATTGTGCCTCTGGTAAGTGCCAGAGACTCTTGTACATAGGCTACATATTTTATTATTGACCCATATAATAGCCTGATAAAATAGGTTGTGTTTTCTTACAGGTGAGGAGCCTGAGGTTCCCAGGGGTTTGTGTACATGAGGAAGGTTCTCACATCTCAGAGCTAAATTTCAACTCTAAATATATCTGATTTGAAAACTTTCCCATCTCCAAGTTTCCTTTCAAAATTACTCCAAAATGTACCCATTGAAATGAACTTCCAGGAAACATGATTTCAGAGTAGTGGTTTCATTACCTTATTTCCCTGGACATCAGTGACACAGAGATGATATGGCTAAAATGACTGTTTATTGCCTAAGCAGCTGCTGACATGACCAGCACACCATGGTCCTGGAATCGAATGCAATGGAATATATGGCTACAAAAGGGGTCTGGGAGCTCTTCAGTGTGGTTCCTCAAGACCTGTCACTGTGTTCTGTGGGTAATTTAATGTTTACTAAGGAAATACTGAAATGTGCCAGCAAATGATCATTTTCACCTTTGGGAAATCACTCATTTGATGGGGACATTTAAGGAATTTATGTTATTCTTTGAAGACTTATAAACAGAAAAAAAGTGACTATGAGCTATGGGAGAAGAAAATTTCCCCTCTTCTCTTGTCCATTTCTCTGGTCTGGCAGTCCTTCCCAAATATTTGTGAGATACAGGACAAGGATACAAATAGAGGCCCAGATGTTGTGTGGGCTATATATTTAGGCTACACAAATAATTATCCTCTGTCTCTCCATCTCAGGACTAGGGCTGTGTACTCTGGTGGTGTAGTTTGTACTCTGGAGGACAGACCTGGGAAAGAAAATCATACGGGGCCTAGAAGCAATTTGAAGGCAATATGGGGAAAGGATTTTAGGGTCCCTGGAACACAGAGGTTGGTTAGTAGAGGAGAATAAGGGTTCTGGGTTGACATGTCCTATTGCCACACAAACTTCTCACCCCAGGCAAAGCTCTGTGGCTGGAGGAAGATGACAGAGTGGTGGCTTTTAAGCACAGGACCCGGGGCATGGTTGGAAGCATGCACAGACACACACTTATAGACACATGCTTGATGAAACCGCAGATCACCTGTAATTTTTCCTCTGGGGTAACTTGACAGAGCAGAGACTTTGTTCTTTATTTTTTCTAGCTCTCACCATAGTGATGATTCCTTTTCAAGATGGTATAATTTAAGTAAAATAAATATTCTTTATTTTTCTTCCAACTTTTATTTTAGGTTGGAGGGTATATGTGCAGGTTTGTTACATGGGTAAACTGCATGTGGCTGAGGTTTGGTATAATTGTTTTCATCACCCAGGTAGTGAGCCTAGGGACCCAGCAGGGAGCTTTTTGATCTTCATCCTCTTCCCATCCTCTACACTCAAGTAGGTTCCAGTGTCTATTGTTCCCCTGTTTGTATTCATGCGTACTCAAATGTTTAGCTCCCACTTATAAGTGAGAATATGTGGTATTTGGTTTTCTGTTCCTGCATTATTTCACTTAGGACAATGGCCTCCAACTACATCCATGTTGCTGTGAAAGACATGATTTTGTTCCTTTTTTATAGCGGCATAGTATTCCATGATGCATATGTACCATATTTTCTTTATTCTATCCACCATTGATGGGCATCTAGGTTGATTCCGTGCCCTTGCTATTGTGAAAAGTGCTGCAGTAAACATACACATGTATGTGTCTTTTTCTTTTGTTTTGTCTTTTTTGAGACAGGGTTTCACTTTGTTACCAGGCTGGAGGGCAGTGGTGTGATCTTAGCTCACTACAGCCTTGACATTCTGGACTCAAGTGATCCTCCCACCTCTGCCTCCCAGAGGAACTACAGGCACATGCCACTGTGCCCAGGTAATTTTTTATTTTATTAATTATTATTTTTTTTTTTAACAGAGACTGGGTTTTACCTAGTTGCCCAGGCTGGTATCATGCATTTGTCTTTATGGTAGAATGAATAGACTATTATTTTGGGTACATACCCAGTATGTATTGGTATTGCTGGGTTTAATAATAGTTCTGTTTTAAATTCTTTGAGAAATCTCCAAACTACTTTCACAGGGGCTGAACTAATTTATATTCCCACCAGCAGTGTATAAGCATTCCCTTTTCTCTGCAACTTCACCAACATCTGTTATTTTTTGACTTTTTAATAATAGCTATTTTCACTGGTGTGAGATGTATCTCATTGTGGTTTTGATTTGCATTTCTCTAATGATTGGTGATGTTGGGGATTTTTTCATATGCTTGTTGGCTATATGTATGTCTTCTTTTGAAAAGTGTCTATTCATGTTGTTTGCGCATTTTTAATAAGGTTGTTTGTTTTTTACTTGTTGATTTGTTTAATTTCTTTATATATTCTGGATATTAGACATTTGTTGGATGCACAGTTTGAAAATATTTTCTCCCCTTCTGTAGGGTGTCTGTTTGCTCTTTTGATAGTTTCTTTTGTTGTGCAGAAGCTCTTCAGGTTAATTAGTTCCTATTTGTCAATTTTGTTTTTGTTACAATTGCTTTTGGAGTCTTCATCATGAAATATTTGCCAAGGCATATGTCCAGAATGGCATTTCCTAGGTTTTCTTCCAGGGTCGGTCTGCCTTGCCTCGCCTCTCCTCTCCTTTCCTCTCCTATCTGTCCTTTCCTTTTTCAATTTTAGGTTTTACATGTAAGTCTTTAATCCATCTCGAGTTGATTTTTGTATATGGTGAAGGGAAGGGGTCCAGTTTCTTTCTTTTGCATATGGCTGGTCATTTATCCCTGCACCACTTATTGAATAGGGAATCCTTTCCCTACTGCTTGTTTTTGTCAGCTTTGTTGAAGATCAGATGGTTGTAGGTGTGCAGCCTTACTTCTGGGCTTTCTATTCTGTTCCATTGGCTTGTATGTCTGTCTTTGTATCAGTACAATACCGTTTTGATTACTGCAGCCTTGTATCACAGTTTGAGGTTGGATAGTGTGATGCCTCCAGCTTTGTTCTTTTTTTTTTTTTGCTTATGATTGCTTTGGCTATTTGGTTTTTTTTTTTGCTTCGTATCAATTTTAGAGTAGTTTTTTCTAAGTCTATGAAAAATGACCTTGGTAGTTTGATAGGTATAGCACTGAATTTGTAAACTGCTTTGGGCAGTATGGCCATTTTAACAATACTAATTCTCCTATCCACGAGTAGGAAATATTTTTCCATTTGTTTGTGTGTAATTTCTGACTTCTTTGAGCAACGTTTTATAATTCTTGTTGAAGAGATCTTTCACCTTCCTGGTTAGCTGTATTCTTAGGTATTTTATTCTTTTAGTGGCCATTATGAATGGGATTGTGTTACTGATTTGGTTCTCAGCTTGGATGTTTTGGTTTATAGAAATGCTACTGATTTTTATACATTGATTTTATATCCCAAAACGTTATTAAAGTTGTCTATCAGTTATAGGAGCCTTTGGACAGAGACTGAGGGGTTACAGAGTCATATTGTTTGCTAAGAGAGATAGTCTGACTTCCTCTCCTTCTATTTGGATGCCTTTTATTTCTTTTTCTTCCCTGATTGCTTTGGTTAACACTTCTAGTACTATGCTGTATAGGAATGGTGAGAGTGGGCATCCTTGTCTTATTCCAGTTCTCAAGGAAAATACTTCTAGCTTTTGACCATTTAGTATGATGTTGGCTGTGGGTTTGCCATAGATGGCTCTTATTATTTTGATGTACGGTTTTTTGATGGCTAGTTTGTTGAGGGTTTTTAACATGAAGGGATGTTGAATTTCATCAAAAGCCTTTTCTGTGTGTATTAAGATGATCAAATGGTTTTTGTTTTTAGTTCTGTTTATGTTATAAATCACATTTATTGATTTGCATATGTTGAACCCATCTTGCATCCCAGAAATAAAACCTACTAGATTGTCGGGGATTATCTTTTTGATGTGCTGTTGGATTTGGTTTGCTAGTATTTTGTTGCAGACTTCTGCATCTATGTTCATTGCTGATATTGGCCTGAATTTTTTTTAATTTTTAAATTAAAAAAAAATTTTTTTTTTTAAATTTTGCCTCTGCCAGGTTTTGGTATCAGAAATATACTGTCCTCATAGAATGAGTTAGAGGTGAGTCCTTCCTCTTTGATTTTTTATGATGATTTTGATAGGATTAGTACCAGCTCTTTTTTATATGTCTGGTAGAATTTGACTGTGAATCCATCTGGTCTAGGGTTATTTCTGGTTGGTAAGTTTTTTATTACTGATTGGATCTGGGGACTTATTGGCCTGTTCAGATATTCAATTTCTTCCTGGTTCAATCTTGGGAGGTTGTTTGTTGTGATGAATTTATCCATTTCTTCTAGGTTTTCTAATTTGTGTGCATAGAGGTGTTCATAATAGTCTCTGAAACTTTTTTGTATTTCTGTGGGGTTGGTAGTAATGTCCCCTTTGACATTTCTGGTTGTGTTTATTTGGCTTTCTCTCTTTTTTTCTTTTAGCCTAGCTAGTGGTTTATCAATATTATGTATTCTTGAAAAAAAAAAAAAAAAAAAACAAGTTTTAGCTTCACTGATTTTTGTATGGCTTTTCATGCCTCAATTTCGTTCACTTCAGCTCTGATTTTGGTTATTAACTTTATTCTGCTAGCTTTGGAGCTAGTTTGTTCTTGTTTATCTAGTTCCTCTAGGTGTGATGTTAGGTTGTTAATTTAAGATATTTCTACTCCTTTGATGTAGGCATTTGGTGATATAAACTTTCCTCTTAACCCTGCTTCAACTATGTCCCAGAAACTCTAGTATGTTGTATCTTTGTTTTCCTTAGTTTCAAAGAATTTCTTGATTTCTGCCTTAATTTTGTTATTTACCAAAAAGCCATTCAGGAGGAATCTGTTTAATGTCCATGTAATTGTATATAGATTTTCTTTTCTTTTCTTTTCTTTTGAGACAGAGTCTCACTCTGTTACCAAGGCTGGAGTGCAACGGCTTGATCGTAGCTCACTGCAGCCTCAACCTCCCCAGGCTCAGATGGTCCTCCTGCCTCAAATTCCGGAGTAGCTGGAACCACAGGCATGTGCCACCAAGCCCAGTTAATTTTTGTATTTTTTTGTAGAGATGAGATTTCACCATGTTGTCAGGCTGGTGTCAAACTCCTGGGTTCAAGTGATCCTCCCTCCTTGGCCTTTCCAAGTGCTGGGATTACAGGCATGAGCCACCACAAATGGCTACTAATCATATGGTTTTGAGAGATCTTCTTGGTATTGATTTTTATTCTTATTGTGCTGTGGTCTGAGAGTGTGGTTGGTATGATTTCATTCTTTTTAAATTAGCTGAGAATTACTTTATGGCTGAGCATGTGGTTGATCTCAGATTGTGTGCCATGTACAGATAAAAAGAATGTGTAGCCTAGTGTTGTTGGGTGGGATATTCCATAGATGTCTGTTAGGTCCATTTGGTCAGGTATCAAGTTTAGATTCTGAATATCTTTGTTAGTTTTCTGCCTTTATGATCTGTCTAACACTGTCAATGGGGTATCAAAGTCTCTCACTATTATTGTGTAATTATCTACAAACTCATAGGTCTCTAAAAACTTGTTTTATGAATCTGGGTGCCCCAGTGTTGGATGCAAAAATATTAGGATAGTTAAGTCTTCTTGTTGAATCTAACCCTTTATCATTATGTAATGAATGTCCTTCTTTGTTTTTTTCTTTTTGGTTATTGTTGGTTTAAAGTCTCTTTTTTCTGAAATAAGAATAGCAACCCCTGCTCTTTTTTGTTTGCCATATGCTTGATAGATCTTTTTCTGTCTCTTTACTTTGAGCCTATGGGTGTCATTGCATGTGACATGGTCTCTTGAGGACAGCACACAGTGGGTCTTGTTTCTTTATCCAACTTGCTACTCTGTGCCTTTTAAGTAGGGGCATTTAGCCCATTTATGTTCAAGGTTAATATTGATATGTGCAGATTTGATGTTGTCATTGTGTTGTTAGCTAGTTCTTCTGTAGTCTTGATTGTATAGTTGCTTTATAGTGTCAGTGAGCTATTTACTTAAGTGTGTTTTTGTGGCAGCAGGGGTTAGTCTTTTGTTTCTGTGTTTAGCACTCTCTTAAGGACTTCTTGTAAGGCAGGTCTGGTGGTAACAAATTCTTTTAGAATTTTCTTGTCTGAAAAGGATTTTATTTCTCTTTTGCTTATGAAGCTTAGTTTGGCTGGATATGAAATTCTTGGTTTGAATTTTTTTTAAGGATGTTGAATATGGGCCCCTGATTTCTTCTGGCTTATGAGGTTCCTGCTGAAAGGTTCACTGTTAGCCTGACAGGCTTCCCTTTGTAGGTGACCTGGCCCTCCTCTCTAGCTGCCTTCAATATTTTTTCTTTTGTGTTGACCTTGGAGAATCTAATGACTAAAATAAATTTTCTATTATCAAGTTGAGATTATATAGTTTCTGTTTTGTTCTTCTTTTGCTGTTTTTCTACATCTGTTTTTCACCTACTAGTCATTTCACTTCTCTATTTAGGGACAAAAGAGGACAAAAAGGTTTGCTTCTTACTTTAGGCTTATGTCATGGAACCTTACATTATAATCCTAATACTTTAATGTTATAGATTGAATAATATTTTAATATTATGGCTGAATAGAAACAGCTCCGGTCTGCAGCTCCCAGTGAGATCAATGCAGAAGGCGGGTGATTTCTGCATTTCCAACTGAGGTATCTGGCTTATCTCATTGGGACTGGTTAGACAGTAGGTGCAGCCCACGGAGGGCAAGCCAAAGCAGGTTGGGGCATCACCTCACCCGGGAAGCATAAGGGGTTAGGGAACTCCCTCCCCTAGCCAAGGAAAGCCATGAGGGACTGTGCTGTGAGGAATGGTGCATTTCGGCCCAGATACTACACTTTTCCCATGGTCTTTGCAACCCGCAGACCAGTAGATTCCCTTGGGTGCCTATACCACCAGGGCCCTGGGTTTCAAGTACAATACTGGGTGGCTGTTTGGACAGACACTGAGCTAGCTGCAGAAGTTTTTTTTCATACCCCAGTGGTGCCTGGAATGCCAGTGAGAAAGAACTGTTCACTCCCCTGGAAAGGGGGTGCTGTAGCCAGGGAGCCAAGTAGTCTAGTTCAGCGGATACCACCCCCCACTGAGCCCAGCAAGCTAAGATCCACTGGCTTGAAATTCTCACTGCCAGCACAGCAGTCTGCAGTCAACCTGGGATGCTCAAGCTTGGTTGGGGGAGGTGCATCTGCCATTACTGAGACTTGAGAAGGTGGTATTCCCCTCATAGCATAAACAAAGCCTGGGGAAGTTCGAACTGGGCGGAACCCACCACAGCTTGGCAAAGCCTCTGTAGCCAGACTGCCTCTCTAGATTCCTCTTCTCTAGGCACGGTATCTCTAAAAGAAAAGCAGCAGCCTCAGTCAGGGGCTTATAGATAAAACTCCAATCTCCCTGGGAGAGAGCACCTGGGGGAAGGGGTGGCTGTGGGCACAGCTTCACCAGATTTAAATGTCCCTGCCTACTGGCTCTGAAGAGAGCAGCAGATCTCCCAGTACAGGGCTCGAGCTTTGCTAAGGGACAGACTGCCTCCTCAAATGGGTCCCTGATGCCCATGTCTCTTGATGGGCAGACACCTCCCAGCAGGGGTTGACAAGACACCTCATACAGGAGTGCTGTGGCTGACATCTGGTGGGTGCCCCTCTGGGATGAAGCTTCCAGAGGAAGGAACAGCAGCAATCTTTGCTGTTTTGCAGCCTCCGCTAGTGATAACCAGGCAAACAGGGTCTGGAGTGGACCTCCAGCAAACTACAGCAGACCTGTAGCAGAGGGGCCTGACTGTTAGAAGGAAAACTAACAAATAGAAAGGAATAGCATCAACATCAACAAAAAGGACGTCTACACAAAAACTCCATCCGAAAGTCACCAACATCAAAGACCAAAGGTAGATAAATCCATGAAGATGAAAAAGAACCGGTGCAAAGTAGCTGAAAATTCCCAAAACCAGAATGTCTCTTCTCCTCCAAAGGACCACAACTCTTTAGCAGCAAGGGAACAAAACTGGATGGAGAATGAGTTTGATGAATTGACAGAAGTAGGCTTCAGAAGGTGGGTAATAACAAACTTCTCTGAGCTAAAGGAGCATTTCTAACCCAATGCAAGTAAGCTAAGGACGTTGACGAAAGGTTAGAGGAATTGCTAACTAGAATAACCAGTTTAGACAAGAACATAAATGACTTGATGGAGCTGAAAAACACGAAATGAGAACTTAGTGAAGCATACACAAGTATCAGTGGGTGAATTGATCAAGCAGAAGAAAGGATATCAGAGATTGAAGGTCAACTTAATGAAATAAAGTGTGAAGACAGGATTCGAGAAAGAAGAATGAAAAGGAACAAATAAAGTGTCCAAGAAATATGGGACTATGTGAAAAGACCAAACCTACATTTGATTGGTGTACCTGAAAGTGATGGGGAGAATGGAACCAAGTTGGAAAACACTCTTCAGGATATCATCCAGGAGAACTTCCCCAACCTAGCAAGACAGACCAACAATCAAATTCCGGAAATACAGAGGACACCACAAAATACTCCTTGAAAAGAGCAACTCCAAGACACATAATCATCAGATTCACCAAGGTTGAAATGAAGGAAAAAGTGTTAAGGGCAGTCAGACAGAAAGGTCAGGTTACCCATAAAGGGAAGCCCATCAGACTAACAGTGGATCTCTCTGCAGAAACCCTACAAGCCAGAAAAGAGTGGGGGCCAATATTCAATACTCTTAAAGAAAAGAATTTTCAACTGAGAATTTCATATCTGGCCAAACTAGCTTCATAAGTGAAGGAGAAATAACATCCTTTACAGACAAGCAAATGCTGAGAGATTTTGTCACCACCAGGCCTACCTTAGAAGAGCTCCTGAAGAAAGCACTAAATATGGAAAGGAAAACCAGTACCAGCCACTGCAAAAACATACCAAATTGTAAAGACCATCAACACTATGAAGAAACTGCCTCAACTAACAGGCAAAATAACCAGCTAGCATCCTAATGACAGGATCAAATTCACACATAACAATAAGGCTAAATGCCCCAATTAAAAGACACAGACTGGCAAATTAGATAAAGAGTCAAGAGCCATCAGTGTGCTGTATTTAGGAGACCCATCTCACGTGCAAAGACACACTCAGGCTCAAAATAAAGGGAGTTTACCAAACAAACAGAAAGAAAAAAAAAAAAAAAGCAGGGGTTGCAATCCTAGTCTCTGATAAAACAGACTTTAAATCAATAAAGACCACAAAAGACAAAGAAGGGCATTACATAATGGTAAACGGAGCAATGCAACAAGAAGAGCTCACTATCCTAAATATATACGCACTCAATACAGGAGCACCCAATACAGGAGCACCCAGATTCACAAAGCAAGTTCTTAGAGACCTACAAGGAGACTTAGACTCCCAAACAATAATAGTGGAAGACTTTAATACCCCACTGTCAATATTAGACAGAAAATTAACAAGGATATTCAGGACTTGAACTCAGCTCTGGACCAAGCGGACCTAATAGACATCTGCAGAACTCTCCACCTCAAATCAACAGAATATACATTTTTCTCAGCACCACTTTGCACTTATTCTAAAATTGACCACATAAGTGGAAGTAAAACACTCCTCAGCAAATGCAAAACAACAGAAATCATAACAATCTCTCAGATCACAGTACAATCAAATTAGAACTCAGGATTAAGAAACTCACTCAAAACTGCACAACTACGTGGAAACTGAACAACCTACTCCTGAATGACTACTGGGTAAATAATGAAATTAAGGCAGAAATAAATAAGTTCTTTGAAACCAATAAGAACAAAGATACAATGTACCAGAATCTCTGGGACACAGCTAAAGCGGCGTTTAGAGGGAGATTTATAGCACTAAATGCCCACAGGAGAAAGCGGGAAAGATCTAAAATCAACATCCTAACGTCACAATGAAAAGAACTAGAGAAATGAGAGCAAACAAATTCAAAAGCTAGCAGAGGACAAGAAATAACTAAGATCAGAGCAGAACTGAAGGAGATAGAGACACGAAAAGACCTATGAAAAAATCAATGAATCCAGGAGCTGGGTTTTTGAAAAGATCAACAAAAAGATAGATCACTAGCCAGACTAATAAAGAAGAAAATAGAGAATAGACACAATAAAAAATGATAAAGGGGATGTCACCGCTGATTCCACATAAATACAAACTACCATCAGAGAATCCTATAAACATCTCTATGCAAATATACTAGAAAATTTGGAGGAAATGGATAAATTCCTGGACACGTACACCCTCTCAAGACTAAACCAGGAAGAAGTTGAATCCCTGAATAGACCAATTACAAGTTCTGAAATTAAGGCAGTCATTAATAGCCTACCGACCAAAAAAAGCCCAGGACCAGACAGATTCACAGCCAAATTCTACCAGAGGTACCAAGAGGAGCTGGTACCATTCCTTCTGAAATTATTCCAAACGATAGAAAAGGAGGGGCTCCTCCCTAACTCATTTTATGAGGCCAGCATCATCCTGATACCAAAGCCTGGCAGAGACACAACAAAAAAAGAAAACTTCAGGCCAATATCCCTGATGAACATTGATGTGAAAATCCTCAATAAAACACTGGCAAACTGAATCCAGCAGCACATGAAAAAGTTTATCCACCACGATCAAGTTGGCTTCATCCCTGGAATGCAAGCCGGGTTCAACATATGCAAATCAATAAACGTAATTCATCACATAAACAGCCAATGACAAAAACCACATGATTATCTCAATAGATGCAGAAAAGGCCTTCGATAAAATTCAACACTCCTTCATGCTAAAAATTCTCAATAAGTTAGGTATTGATGCAACATATCTCAAAATGATAAGAGCTATTTAGGACAAACCCACAGCCAATATCATACTGAATGGGCAAAAGCTGGAAGCATTCCCTTTGAAAACCAGCACAAGACAAGGATGCCCTCTCTTACCACTCCTATTCAACATAGTATTGGAAGTTCTGGACAGGGCAATCAGGCAAGAGAAAGATATAAAGGGTATTCAAATAGGATGAGAAGAAGTCAAATTGTTTCTGTTTGCAGATGACATGATTGTATATGTAGAAAACCCCATCGTCTCAGCCCAAAATCTCCTTAAGCTGATAAGCAACTTCAGCAAAGTCTCAGGATACAAAATCAGTGTGCAAAAATCACAAGCATTCCTATGCACCAATAACAGACAAAGAGAGAGCCAAATCATGAGTGAACTCCCATTCACAATTGCTTCAAAGACAATAAAATACTTAGGAATACAACTCACAAGGGGTGTGAAGGTCCTCTTCAAAGAGAACTACAAATCACTGCTCAAGGAAATAAGAGGACACAAAACAAATGGAAAAACATTCTATGCTCATTGATGGGAAGAATCAATATTGTGAAAATGGCCACACTGCCCAAAGTAATTTATAGATTCAATGCAATCTCCATCAAGCTACCATTGACTTTCTTCACAGAATTAGAAAAAAACTACTTTAAATTTCATATGGAACCAAAAAAAAAGCCTGTATAGCCAAGACAATCCTAAGCAAAAAGAACAAAGCTGGAGGCATTGCACTACCTGACTTCAAACTATACTACAAGGCCACGGTAACTAAAACAGCATGGTACTGGTACCAAAACAGAAATATAGACCAATGGAACAGAACAGAGGCCTCAGAAATAGCACCACACATCTATGACCATCTGATCTCTGACAAACCTGACAAAAACAAGCAATGAGGAAAAGATTCCCTATTTAATAAATGGTGTTGGGAAAACTGGCTATCCATATGCAGAAAACTGAAACTGGACCCCTTCCTTACATATTATACAAAAATTAACTCAAGATGGATTAAAGACTTAAACGTAAGACCTAAAATGATAAAATCCCTGGAAGAAAACCTAGGCAATACCATTCAGGACATGGGCATGGGCAAAGACTTCATGACTAAAACACCAAAAGCAATGGCAACAAAGGCCAAAATTGACAAATGGGATCTAATTAAACTAAAGAGCTTCTGCACAGCAAAATTAACTATCATCAGAGTGAACAGGCAACCTACAGAATGGGGGAAATTTTTGCAATTTACCCATCTGACAAAGGGCTAATATCCAGATTCTACAAAGAACTTAAACAAATTTACAAGAAAAAAGCCCATCAAAAAGTAGGCAAAGGATACGGACAGACAGTTCTCAAAAGAAGACATTTATGTAGCCAACAAGCATATGAAAAAAAGCTCATCATTACTGGTCATTAGAGAAATGCAAATCAAAACCACAATGAGATAGCATCTCACGCCAGTTAGAATGGTCATCATTAAAAAGTGAGGAAACAACAGATGCTGGAGAGGATGTGGAGAAATAGGAATGCTTTTACACTGTTGTTGGGAGTGTAAATTAGTTCAACCATTGTGGAAGACAGTGTGGCGATTCCTCAAGGATCTAGAACCAGCAATACCATTTGATCCAGCAATCCCATTACTGGGTATATACCCAAAGGATTATAAATAATTCTCTATAAAGACACATGCACATGTATGTTTATTGGGGGAACTGTTCACAATAGCAAGACTTGGAACCAACCCAAATGCCCATCAATGATAGACTGGATAAAGAAAGTGTGGCACATATACACCATGGAATACTATGCAGCCATAAAAAAGGATGAGTCCATGTCCTTTGCAGGGACATGGATGAAGCTGGAAACCATCATTTTCAGCAAACTAGCACAAGAACAGAAAACCAAACATCGCATGTTCTCACTCATAAGTGGGAGTTGAACAATGAGAACAGGTGGACACAGTGAGGGGAACATCACACACTGAGGCCTGTCAGGGGTTGGGGGGCTAGGGGAGAGATAGCATTAGGAGAAATACCTAATGTAGATTACGGGTTGATGGGGGCAGAAATCCACGAAGCCATGTGTATACCTATGTAACAAACCTGTACATTCTGCACATGTATCCCAGAACTTCAAGTATAATGATAATAGTAATAATAAAAGAATAAGGCCCAGACAGGTGGAGAGATGGCAGGATATGCGGAGGAGGTAAAGGCCTGCATTTCTATTTTGTCATTAATTTCTTTTTGTGGAAATAGTTACATGACTTCTGCTTTATGATAGCTGAATTGGTGTATGGCTGAAGGAAACTGTTTAGGAAAATGGATAAGATTCTGGATTATGGAGCATGCTTCTTGGCTTCAATTCCCAGACCTGCCATGTGGCAGCTGGGTGATTGCTGTAGGCTGGAAAATGAATACTCAGAGAATATTCATGTCCTAATTCCTGGAACCTGTAAATGTTACCTTATATGAAAAAACAATCTTTGTAACATGATTAAGTTAGGGTTCTTGAGATCGGGGAGGTTATTGTGGATTATTAGGTCGGGCTGTAAATGTAATCATGTATGTCCTTTTAAGAGGGAGTTGGAAGGAAATTTTGCAGACACACACACACACACACACACACACACACACAGACACACACAGAGAGAGAGAGAGAGAGAGAGAGAAGGAGAGAGAGAAGGTGGCAAAGTGAAGAATGGGGCAGATTTCGAGTTATGCAGCCACAAACCAAAAAACTCTGGCTGCCACCAGATTCTGTAAGAGGCAAGGAATGGATTCTCTCCGAGAGCTTCTGGAGGAAATATGGCCTTGCTGACACTTTGATTTCAGTCCAGTGATACTGATTTTCCATCCTCCAGAAATGGGACAGCATAAATTTCTGTTGTTTTCAATCACCAAGTTTGTGGTAATTTACCATAGCAGCCATGGACACTGAAGCAGTGATTTTAGGCAAGTTAAAGTACTCCACATTAACTCAGTTTCTTCAGTTGTAAAATGTAAATGATAAAATTCTGTAACTCAGAAGGTTCTTATGAAGATTAAAATTATGTTTATGTATTTATGATGCAAGATAAATATATGTATATGACTTTAATCCTCACAATAACCCATGTGAGATAGATATTCTTATTTATTTGCACATATATTAATTATATATGTATGTTTCTCTTGAACATTCTACACACACTCCTGCAGGCAGAGTATTCTAAGGCCATAGGGACCTGCGGTACCATAAATTGAAGAAACCTAGATCTGTAAATTACCATATGGAAGAAAGCTATCCATTGCTGGGAACACCTGCATGGGATTAACACGAGAATAAATAGAGGTTTACTTCTGTCTATTGTGATAAGCCATTAATTTGATGGCTTACTGTTACAGTAGCTAGCATTATGCAACTAATACAACTACGGAGTTATTTGCACTTGCATGAAGTGAAAAGGTCACCAGCCAGATTTCCTAGACCTTATATCTTGTTTGTAGAGAGTTTGTCAGGGAAAAAATTGTTGATGTGTACCTAACAATTTTAATCTTGAAGTTACTAGAAGAAAATGAGCACAGAATCCATAAAGGCCATTTTCAGAGAGTCACTTTTCTGATTCCAGTTACACTCTAATTAATATCATGAAGCGTTAGCAGACGAAGTAAGGAGCAATTATTAGCTATCAGATTCTGGTTTTGGGAGAGAAATGATGGTATACTGTGCATAATTTTTGCATCATTAAAAATTAAATCCCATAAGCATAATGACTCGAATATCAAGCCCTGACAATATCTGCAGATGATAAACTATGGTGTGTAAGAAAGCAATTTACTAGGTAATGATGCAATATTTTCTGTATTTAGACAGAATTTTGCCCAAAAAGGCAAAATGATGTTTTATATCAAATTATTTCCAGTCAGAGATTAGCAGAAGAATAACAAAAATTACTTAGTGGTATTCACTTTTATATTCAAGGTAATTTAATGAGAAAGGCATACATTTCTTTGGCAAATAGACTCATTGTTGAAGCTTACCAACCTTCATGACCCTACTAACTGTGTGAACTTGAGCAAGTTTCTCAACCTCACACATTTTCAGTTTCACCACCTGTCAAAATGAGGTACTCTGCCTTAGCTCATCAAACTTTTGTGCAGATTAAATGAGATAACGTAGTTAGAACACTGAACACTGAGTCGAGCACATTGTAGACACGTCATAAATGTTAGTTCCTTTCTTCCTTCTTTTTTCCATGTTGTTGAGCTCTCTTCCTGAGGAGAGTACCTAAAATGAGATTCTGATACTACTGCATAAAACCAAGCTCACAGGATGAGTCACAGTGGGAATCAAAAACTCCTGATTAAAATCTCCCAGGAGCTCTTGAAGACATATCTGTGAGATTTCTGAGCTCCAAGCCAGTTACTGATACCACATACCGCCAGACTTTGTGGAGGTTGCTAAGATTTCCAAGAGGATGGAAGACTCACTGGCATTTGTGTCTGTCTTCTTTTTTTTTCTGGGAGTTGTCATAATTCCCTCAGTGATGATTTTATATGTTCAAGAAAATGAAATGGGGCTTATGTATGAGACCACTCAAGAGTATTAGGGCATGCACTAATGAGAACAAGATCATGGATTTGATCTTGATCAATTCCAGACCCACAGCACTGCCATCCTAATCTCTGACTGGACATCACACAAAGGTTTACTCTAGCTCCAAGTTGGGACTAGGAGTGAGACTGTGGCTGGTGACCATTAACTGGTGATGAATGACTATCTCTTCTTGAATGGAGCTGGTGATTTCCGTTACTCTAATCAACTGATTTGTCCTCTGCATTCCTTGGGTTTCTTCCTGTAAATGGGATTAGCCATCTTTGCCTTACTAACATTCTTCCTTGAAAATCCTCAGGCAAACCAAACTACCTGTACCATTCACTGTCATTAATAATGTTGTATCTGGTCCCATGCCTGTCATATGGCAGTGTCCAATAAGTGTTTGCCCTTCCACTGTGTGAGGAGACATCTTGGTGTAGTGGAAATTGCCCAGGCTTTAAAGCCAGAAATACCCATGTTCCCATCCTCATTCTGTCACTTACTAGCAAGGAGGTCTTAGGTTACTTCCCTGGAACTCGACTTCTTCATCTGCAAGGTGGGGATAATAACACTAAATCTATAAGGTTACTTTTAGGACTAAATAAAATAATATATAAATATTACTCCTTTTCTCATTCTTCTTAGCTCCTAAACTATATCACATAATTATATATGATATTATCAAAATAATATAAAGGAATATGCTGTGGTTTAGTCATGGAGTAATTAATGAACTATTGTAAAGGGTATGCAGAATTTCTCTGTTGCTTCTCAGAAGCTTTATGTATTTCAGAAATTTCCTACATTTTTGTGGTTATTGGAAGTGACCTTTCTTGTTTCCAAGCATCGTATACATGCATATTATGTTTATTTAAAAAACATTTAATCTTTTGATTTGTAAAGGGAGAGGGAGTATGCTATATGTTCAGTCCATCATCTTGAAACTTGAAGTTCTATGCTTGCAAATGTTTTTAGCTTCTTAATTTTCTTATTTTACTTGAATTTCCTCTTAATTAAGAAGGTTGTGCATAGTAGCAGTGTTGGGGCAGTGTGGTGCTGAGAAAGAGTCATGGGTATATCAACATTTTTATTTATACAATGTGAGGTGGAAAGAAAAAGAGAAAAATTATGCATGAAAGCAGAATGAAAAGAGGTTAGAAATAATGAAATAGTTCCCTTCAGACATTCAATATTTGAAAGAAGGCTTAAGGCTTAGGGGTTTCCAAAGAGGTAACAAGATAAAAACAAAGAGAAAAAACATTGGCTTGAAATTCAGGGGATGGAAACATCTTCCCAGTTCTGCCGTTCCCACTTGGTCATTTGGCCAGCTGGCATCAGGTCTCTGGGCCTTGGTTTCCTTCTCTGTAAAATGGTTGTGAAGGAGGGCTATTACTCAGATGGTTTTAATTGTCTGGTTCATGTCTTGCAACAATTAAATCAACACCTGATTCATCAAAGCTCTGGGGAATTCCTTGCTGGCGGTTTAAAAATAGAGTTCTGTGGAAAAAAACAAATGACGAATCCAATATGTGAACATGCCATTTTGTTTGAAAAGAGGGAATGAGAGTGAAATGCTAGAAACCAGAGATGCTAGACTATTTTTAGCAGGAATATTAATATAGAAGTAGTAAACTGTGAAACTTTAAGTTTGGCATAACCTAGCCACAAAAAAGGAGATCAATCACACTGAGCAAAAAAAAAAAAATAATCATATGGAAACAGTGTCCATTTTTAACAGTGACTGTCTGCCTCACCACCTTTGTGGCAATAAGGTAGATATAAACAAATTGATTTTTGAGAAAATGAGACCAACTCACCAAATATTTAATTTATATATATACACACACATGCATACAGCTACAAAAACTATAACTGAATACCAATAACTAAATATGACTTGTCCATGTGGATACTGTGCCTAAGTGTCTTATCAAACAATGGAACATACAAGAAAAATTGAAAGTAGAGTGCTTTTTGAGTAAAAGAGGGTTAGACATGAGGACACTGCCTTATATCTTTGAATATCTTATATCTCTTTGTGTCTTTGAAGATTTGTTTTTGTATTATACTATTAATGGAAAGAGTAGAACAGAAAGGGGAATATGACCCAAGTTTATTCTTCCTTGCTCAGAGTGAGGAAATAGCAGCTTTCAAAAGGTAAAAGCCAAAGAATTTGAAATAGGTGGAACAAAAAAGATTGATGATTGGAATAAATGGAGATTTCCTTAATTTTTTATTCAGCAGATATTTGCCAATGGCCTATTATGAACCGTACCCTAAAAGCTTCACAAAGGAAAAGTGAATGGGCAGACGGGAATTTGATGTTTCTAAAAGACATGTGTGACCTGATGTGGAATTAATATACCAATATGTGAAATTTCCAGAAAGTAAGAGAATGTAAGTGGGGAGTGAGGAGTAAAGGTGAGTAAAGGTGTGTGGTAAATGAGATGGGGGTGGGGGGGAATGACAGTTCCAGAAACCATATGGGAAGAGAATATGAAATGCAGAAATGTTTTAGATAAAAATGTCATGAGCATTGGCAAAATAATTAGAAGCTGGGCTGCCAGAAAGCAATGGAAAAGAATATGATTAACATAAAAATGTATTGACAGGCTTGAAGGAGTTATTGTGATGATCACACCTGGAATTAAGGCACCATGGAGGAGCTAACTGGAATGAGACTGCAGAGATACAATGGGCACAATACAGTATGTATTGTAATGAAGGAGGAAGCACACGTTTATTTTTGGTAAGAAAAGAGCATGACTCTTACTTGCTGTAAACAGGAGAACTTGAACATACAGAAGGTGAAGAGGAAAGGAACCAACATTTTTTGGCCTTACTGTCTTTAAGCCACTTGACATAGGTCATCTCGTTAAGCATAACAGCTCTAGGATATTATACCCATTTTGCATAAGAAAAAAACCAAAGCTCAGAAATTGTAAGTAATTGGCCAAGATCACACAGCTAGTAAGTGGCAGTGCTGGAATTCCAACTCAGGTGCACCTGCTTTAAAAGTAAGCAAGGGTGTAGCAGTCAAGATCAGACCAGGAGACCAAAACCACACCGATTCATTTTACTAAATTGAATATTAAAAATTGCACTAAAGGTGTTAATGAACTGAAAATGCAAAAAGTGAACATTAAGATAATCACAGATGTGGCAGCTTCGGGAAGCAGTGACAAGGCATTGGGTTGGGGGAACAAATGTCTGCGAGGAGGTTGAAATCGTCAAACCTAGGAGCTTGGAGGAAAGGCCCCCTGGGGCTGGAACCCAGAACTCTGGGGAAGATGCACTCCTTGCTGGTGCTGGTGTCTACGAGAGCGTGAGTCGAGGCTGTTTTGTAATTGCAGGAAAAACTACAAACTGGAATCAAATCCTGCTACAGGAGCAAGTTGCTGCTGCCAGGGTGAAGAAACGCTGCTGGGGTGATGCCCATAGCAACATGACGCCGACAGGACAGGCAAGTCCCTTCCACCCTCCGGCTTCCCTTAGTGCCCCCTGTTGGCTGAGTCTAACAAAGCAGCTGGCAAGGTGGTTCTCAGAATTCCTGCCCCATCACAAAGCCCAGCACAGAAGGGTGGGTCTGAAGCGGGATATGTAGCTTGATGATTGGAACAAAGAACAGAGGCTAAGGAAAACAGTTTCGTTATCTCCCCCATAACAGTTCAGAAGAGTTTTATGCTTAACAGAAGGAAAGACAGATTTTAATATTGGCTTTGGAGGAAGGGACATAAACAAGTTACGTTTCACTGATTTCTGCAAATTCGTGCAAAATTAAAACTACAGAATACATTGGAAAGAAATATACCTTTAGAATCTCCAAGTACATAGAGAACTGCTTTACTTAGGCGTTACATAAATACAAACGCATATTAATTACCCTGTTCAGTGAGGTAGAAAAAAGACAATTAATTGTTTAGCTGCTGAAGATTCTTTATTATTAGGACAGAAGGACAATTAGCTTTAAAAGCATTGCTCAGAACATGTATTTTTTTTTCCCCAAATGTTGCTTTTTTTTTTTTTTTTTTCCGAAACAGAACAAACCAAGCCCTTTCCCGCAAGAACTACATTGTGAAGAAAGCAAATGCTAAGTAGGAATTAGAAAAAAGAAAACATGCCTAAAGCCCATGGGAATGACAATTCCTGGTTAACTGTAAAAAATGGGGAATGTAATTGAGACAGATGACCAGATTTAGGAAAAATAAACCTCACCATTAAAATCTAATTAAATATTTACATTTCAGCATTAAGTTTCTTCTCAAAAGTTTTGTGAGCAGCGGGGTGACAGTGAAGATTATTGACTATAATTTGCCGAAGTTTTTTAAACTAAATTAGTTTTGTGCAATGTATGGAAGGTTTACTCAGCCGCACTTATCCAGCGGCTGCTTTATTATTCTTTTAAAGTGAATCATTTATAACTGTTCTCAGAGATCTTTTATCAGCTACTTATCTCCTTCAACTGGACTTGTGATGCCAAGGGATAAAATGAATTGCTGGCTAATATTGTGAGAATTAATCAGACCACAACAGCAGGAGAGTAATGACTTACTTACAGTCAGATATTTGCATTTGGCAGTAAAATCACAACAAAAATATAAGGATGTTTAATCTTTTGCTTCGACTGGAGCACGGGAACATGTTGGCAATACAAAAGAAATACAATAATCGTGTGTTTTAATTTTGGGTGTTTACCTAATCTGAGGGATTTATTTATTCTAGGAAGAAAGCTCTTATTTGATGTGAAGATTTTTTTTTCATTTTGCAGCACCTTAGATTGGTCTTGTTTCCTGAAATTTTTTTTTTTTTTTCTGTTAGAGATCTTTGGACAGATGAACTGAGCCTTTTGCCCCTCATCTCACCTTTCTCCAAAATATGCTGGTTCTGTTATCTTTGTTTCCTTTCTGTCCCTTGGCCCCTTGGTAACTTAGAAGAAAGGAGTGGCACAACCAAGACCAAGGGTGGCAACGTTACTGCTGCTATTCTGTTGAAATGATTTCATGTGCTGCTTGTTCTCTTTTCTTAGAGTCTGGCAGTTTCAAAAAGTAGGATTAGGTTCTTAGTTGCTATGTAAACACTAAAGAAGGTATGCAGTGAGAAATTATTTCCTGATTTGAGTCTATAAATCAAATGCTTTGGAGAGCATTTCCTATAATCAGAAGCCACTTTCTTCAATTTATATGTCTGTATCAGTGTGTTAATGGCATCCATTACTGTTTGGTTCTGGTAAGTTGTAGAAAGTTGTCCTCCTCAGTAACTGTATGGTTTTTGGCCTTTTCTGGATACATGCCCATGTGTATGTCGTATACATATGTTAGTGTGCCTGTTCACACTAATACACATATTTTTTCCCTTTTCAGAAGTCGTGTAGTATCTAAGTGGGAAAGCTAAGTAGAAAAGCACATAAACTCAAAGAGACCTAAGTTTAAATCTCTTTTAAAGGCTATTTCCTGGTCATGTTATTCACCTCTTGGAACTTTATTTTCCTCATGAATAAAATGAGGATTACAAACCTACCTTGCAGAGTTGTTGTGAGGATTAGAGATTATAAATGAAACGTGCCTGACACTTGCTCAACAAATGACAGTAGCGATTGTTCCTATAATCCACGGATAATCAGCACCTTTGGATTTCTTGCACTTCTTGTGGGTTTCTGGTTAAAGCAAAGAATAAAGCCTGTACATTTGCCTGGAGCAGTCCATGGATCGTAGCTTTGGAAAAGTCTAAACTCCGAGTCTACCTTCAGACTGGTAGCTCTAGTCAAGGACAGGGAGCCCCCACACAAAGCAGAATCTTGTGCATCTTGTTTTATAGTCTTTCTGAAGTCTATCTTCCTAATTTCCAGAGCAATTTGCTTTTTCTTCTAAACTTCTCAGGGGCAGAGACTGTGTTTTAGTTTTCTTTACATCACTAGAGCTGATACACAGTAGGTTCTTTTTTTTTTTAATTTTTTTTTTTTTTAGATGGATTCTCACTCTGTCGCCAGGCTGGAGTGCCGTGGCATGATCTTGGCCCACTGCAACCTCCACCTCCCAGGTTCAAGTGATTCTCCTGCCTCAGCCTTCCAAGTAGCTGGGACTACAGGCGCGTGCCACCACACCCAGCTAATTTTTTGTATTTTCAGTAGAGATGGGGTTTCACTATGTTGGCCAGGGTGGTCTCGATCTCTTGACCTCGTGATCCACCTGCCTCAGCCTCCCAAAGTGCTGGGATTACAGATGTGAGCCAGCGGACACACAGTAGGTTCTTAGTAAATGCTCAGTGAAATGAATGACTATACTGAGTGTTTTTTTTTTTTTTAATCCCAAACTGGCAGTGACATCAGTACTCTTTTTCCAAGATGCCACTCACTTCTGCTTTGCTATTTTGCTAAGAAACTGGTTGTTTGACCTTTGATCAGAATTTGATTCGGAATAGGATCTAGGGATGGCAAATGGGTTGCACCTTGTGTACCAACACTATTGGGAGCAGATCTCTATTGGATTGTCATCCAACCTTTAGTTTGAAAGAATGGCAGTCAGTTAGTGGTGGCTGTCACAGACCTGGGAGTGGGGAGAAAATATGTCACGTATTTACTCTCCTTGATAGAGTTACTTCTTTTACCCATTAGAATTTTAACCCTCTTTGAATGTTTTCCTTGCATTTCATCAGCCTGGCTGGTTGGAGTGGAGGGAGATTGAAAGGATGAGAATCCCTGAATCTCATTCTTTCCTCTAGCACTACTTGAATGTCACTGTTGTAAAGGATGACCCTCTTTATTCACAAGGAGACAACACTGGCTTTAGGATATCTCTTACGGCCAGAGGCTGGGCAAATGTCCTACTATCAGGTCAGTATCTGGTGATGTCTGAGTGGGGATCAAACTTCTTAAAGTCTTCTGTTGAGAGTGAAAAGGAAATGTCCAATGTAACAACAGACAATGACATCACCTTCCATTTTGGCAAAACCTGGACTTAATTTGGAATCCTGATCCAAAATCCTTACTGATGTTAGGGAGGTTATTTCCTTGAGCTCCTATCTTCATTAAAATGGGAATAGAAATATCAGACTTATCATAGGCATAGGGAAGGTACAGAAGGAATTTCTTGTTATAGTGTAATTCGAACGGATATTATTATTATTATTTTGAGACGGAGTCTCACTCTGTTGCCCAGGCTGGAGTGCAGTGGCGTGATCTTGGCTTACTGCAAACTCCACCTCCTGGGTTCACGCCATTCTCCTGCCTCAGCCTCCGAAGTAGCTGGGACTACAGGTGCCCGCTACCATGCCCGGCTAATTTTTTGTATTTTTTAGTAGAGACGGGGTCTCACCATGTTAGCCAGGATGGTCTCGATCTCCTGACCTTGTGATCTGCCTGCCTCGGCCTCCCAAAGTGCTGGGATTACAGGCATTAGCCACTGAGCCCGGCCAGGATATTATTATTATTGAAACTAGGTTAATCTTTTAAAATACAAATGATTCATGTTGTAAACAATTCCAACAATACAAACAAATAATAGGAAGAAGAAATCAACTCAAATCACACCACTCAGAAATGAGGAGGCATAACATTGTGATACGCATCTTCCAGAAATCTCTCTTCAGGATAAATCATAAGATACCAACAAACTTAGTGACTTATTTTATTCAAGTGAACAATACATTCATAGATATCTTTCTATGCCAGTGAATTTTAATTTACATAGTATTTCTTTTTAACTTTTCATTATGGAAAATTTCAAACATACAAAAACATTCAAAATATTATATAATCCCCCCATGGATCTATTATCTAATTTTGTTTCATCTGTATCTCTCTTTCACTCCTCACCTCATCACTGGATCATTTTTAAACAAATCCCAGACATTGTGTCTGTATTAGTTTCCTAGGGCCGTCGTAACAAACTATCACAAACAGAGTGTCTTAGAACAACCAGAAGTTTATTCTCTCACAACCAGGAGGCCAAAAATCTGAAATCAAGGTTTTGATGGGTTGGTTCTTCTGGAGGCCTTGAAGGAAAACCTGTTCCATTCCACTCTCCTGGCTTCCTGTGATATTGACCATCCTCAGTGTTTCTTGGCTTGTGGCTGCATCTCTCCAATCTCTGCCTCCATCCACATGGGCTTCTTCCCTGTGTGTGTCTGTGTGTTTCTCTGTGTCCTCTCCTTTGTTTTTAATAAGGACACCAGTCGTTGGATTTACAGCCCACCCTAAACCCAGGATGATTTCATCTTGAGATCCTTAATTACATCAGAAAATATCCTATTTCCAAAGAGGATCACATTCTGAGGTTTCAGGTAAATATGAATGTTGGGGGGACACTATTCTACCCACCTATATCTGAAAACTAATGTTTTATTGTCTGAATATGCCACGGTTTTTAACCTATCCTGCTAATGACAGTACTGGTTGTTTCTGGTTTTTTAATGAAGCATACATCTTTTCACTCTTGGGTAAGATGGCTGAGTCAAAAGGATTTACATTTTCCATTCTGATACATGTTGACAAACTATTTCCTAGAAGAATCATACTAATCTGCACCCCCAAAAGTACACCAACACTGGATTTTGTCCATTTCATCCATTTAGTAAATGGGAAATATTTTTATTTTTATTTTTATTTTTTCAATTTTAAATGAGTGGGGGTGACTTTTTTTTTTTTTTATTTAAAGAAAGAATATGCAACAGTGGTGGAAATGAGAGAGAAGAACAGCTAGGAACGCTTGAATGCTGAGGCTCAAAAGTGATTCAGATCAAATCATTTCCACCACTTGTATCAAGAAGTTCAGGGGAAAAGCAATAGAGAAATGCTATTTATCTTCTATATGTAGGGTATATACATTACACTATGGGATGCTTATAGTAGAAAATGAATGCCCTGCAGATCAAGGAAATAACCTCTTTAAGTTTCTGTGGACAATTGTAACAAAATGTTCAATCTAGAGGAATTATTGCCCATTGGAGGTCACTTCTTTAACCAAGGGGCAATACATATTTCACAGCCAGGTTGTACATTAGGCTTTTGTTCATTTTGAAAAAAGAAAAAAAAAGTCATTCTAGGTATTCTCCTATCATCACTCAGACCTATCAAGTGAGCTAACAGAATTGTAGGGCGTGGCCAATTCTCTGGCTAAAAGTCAAAGGACCTTGGGGACTAGAATCATCAAAAAGGATAGTTTAAGACTTTAACAAAGTCACGCTTTATCCCATATTTTACTTTATTTCTGTTAATAATTTAGATTTAATTATATAATTTTTTTGTTTTTTAGTTACCAAAGGAATGCATGTTCATTTATAATATTTAAATGTTTAAGGTACTACATAGAGTAGAAAGTGAATGCCCCCTCATGTCACCCTGTGGTAGATAATTTGGAATAAATATACATTCCCAGGTTTTTTCTATACACAAACATAATAATTATTATTATTTTTTACAAAATTGAGCTCATGTTGCCCTGCAATTTTCTTTTTCCACTTATTCATACGCCTTGCACATTTTTATCATGGAAGTATATGTAGATCTATTTCATTTTAACAGCTGCAGTGTATACCACTAGAGGGATACATCATTTCCCTACAGATTTGGTTTGTTGCTGATTTTTCACTGCTGCAAACAGTGCTTCACACTATTTGTGTAGAATTGCACATTTTTTGCAGGTATTTCCATAGGATCCATTCTGAGATGAACAATTGCTGAATTCTTTTCACTTAACATGGGAGCTAAACATTGGGTACTCCTGGACATAAAAATGGCAACAATAGACACTGAGGACTGCTAGAGGGGGAAGGGAGAAAGGGGGGCAAGGGTTGAAAAACTGTTTGGCACTGTGGTCAGTACCTGGGTAACTGGATCATTTGTACCCCAAACCTCAGCATCATGCAATATGCCCAGGTAACAAACTTGCATGTGTACCCCTGAATCTAAAGTGAAAGTTGAAAAAGAAAGAAAACCCAAATGTGCAGCAAATTTTTTTAAAAAAGCAAAATAACAATGCAACAATAAAAAATAACATAAATTTAAAAAATAGTAATGGATACTTTACACATTGATAGATTCTGTCAGTTTGTCTCCCTTCCTCCCTCCTCACAAGAAAGGTTGGTCCAGGATCTGTTCCCACTAATGATGCATTCAAGTCCCTGATATTTCCTTTTTTTTTTTTTTTTTTTTTGTAAGTTGGGCACTATCTTTGATTACATGAAACCAAGGCTTCTAAAGTTCACCAAAGACTTCAACTTTCTCTCTAGGAGACACTTTTTGAGTCCATGTCATTCTTCCTTGGCCAAGAGTCAGACTGGTCTGGTAGATGCCCCATGAGACAGAGCACCCAAGACATCCATCTGACCACCTGGAGGATTTAGGGACATTCCTGTTACAGGAATGGTCAGTGCTGGATCAAAAGCCTAAGAGCAGTCCTTAATTTTGTACTCTTGGGCTCCTGGAAGGCAGCACAAATACTCTTCACCTAATAGGCTGTGTAATAATGATGACAGCAAATACCTACTGCGTGTCTACTATGTGCCAGGCAGTATACATATTTCATCCAACTTCATCCTCACCGCAAACCTGAAATGACAATATTATCCTATTCATTTTACAGATGGGGGCTCTAAGACTCAGAGAGATGAAGAGACTTTCCCACAAAACTACTACGCGGCAGTTCCAGGATTTGTATCCGTTGTCGAACCCCAAAGTCCAGGTTCCTTTCACGATCCAGGGCTCTGTCAACAGCGGTACCTTCAGCTCAGGCTTTCATTGGGTCATAATGGGCTACTATAGTTCTCCGATGGGGGTTTTGAACATATCACCTGCTTTTTGAAATTAAACATTATCTCTAACATTTTTTCCTTCTTTCCTTCACTCATTCACTTATTCACTCATGAAATATTTATTAAACATATGTCATGTGCCAGGTAAAAGAAGTGTGGTTCCTTCCCTTGAGGATCTCAGAGTTCAGCAAAGGTATAACCCTGATGTTTACAGCAAAGACATAGCTGTTATAACAAGGAATGTATTCCGGATGTCCTGGTGTGGGGAAAAGCAAGAGAGATCAGATTGTTACTGTGTCTGTGTGGAAAGAGGTAGACATAGGAGACTCCATTTTGTTCTGTACTAAGACAAATTCTTCTGCCCTGAGATGCTGTTAATCTGTAACCTTACCCCCAACCCCGTGCTCTCTGAAACATGTGCTGTGTCAACTCACGGTTAAATGGATTAAGGGCAGTGCAAGATGTGCTTTGTTAAACAGATGCTTGAAGGCAGCATGCTCGTTAAGAGTCATCACCACTCCCTAATCTCAAGTACCCAGGGACACAAACACTGCGGAAGGCCGCAGGGACCTCTGCCTAGGAAAGCCAGGTATCGTCAAAGGTTTCTCCCCATGTGATAGTCTGAAATATGGCCTCGTGGGAAGGGAAAGACCTGACCGTCCCCCAGCCCGACACCCGTAAAGGGAATATGGCCTCGTGGGAAGGGAAAGAGCTGACCGTCCTCCAGCCCGACACCCGTAAAGGGTCTGTGCTGAGGAGGATTAGTATGAGAGGAAGGCATGCCTCTTTGCAGTTGAGACAAGAGGAAGGCATCTGTCTCCTGCCCGTCCCTGGGCAATGGAATGTCTCGGTATAAAACCCGATTGTATGTTCCATCTACTGAGATAGGGGAAAACCGCCTTAGGGCTGGAGGTGGGACATGCAGGCAACAATACTGCTCTGTAAGGCATTGACATGTTTATGTGTATGCATACCTAAAGCACAGCACTTAATTCTTTACCTTGTCTATGATGCAGAGACCTTTGTTCACGTGTTTATCTGCTGACCTTCTCTCCACTATTATCCTATGACCCTGCCACATCTCCCTCTCTGAGAAACACCCAAAAATGATCAATAAATACTAAGGGAACTCAGAGGCTGGCGGGATCCTCCGTATGCTGAACGCTGGTCCCCTGGGCCCCCTTATTTCTTTCTCTATACTTTGTCTCTGTGTCTTTTTCTTTTCCAAGTCTCTCCGTTCCACCTAACGAGAAACACCCACAGGTGTGGAGGGGCAACCCACCCCTTCACCTGGGAACCCAGAAAGGAAGCATCTATTTCTGCCTCCAGCAGTCAGGAGAAGCTTTGCAAATTAGGTAACATCTGAATAAAGATAAATCCTTCATCTCCCACAAAACATCCCTTGATGCAGCTTTCAAAAACTGGACAGGACCAGACCAGCAGTTTGACTTTTGAGGAGAAAAGAGCAAGGACTTAGTGTTTCAAACGGAAAAATGTTATCCTTTTTATCTGATAATAAAGTTTAAAAAATTTAAATAATGAGATGAAACTAATACCTCTGGTAAGTTGGCTGTGTGACTTTATGCATCTTTCAATCCACCTCCATGCACAATTCTATTATAACAATCTTCTAAAATTTGCTTCCTTCACTCCAAAATAAATAGAGGTTATATGTGAATACATTCCTTATCTTTAATCTTTTAAACAGGAGTATATTTCAGTATATGGACTTGTCAAAATTTATTTGTTCAATATCAATGGACACTTTGGTGGGTGCTGATTTTTTATATTGCAAACAACATTGCAAAGGATCTCTCTTTCTATATATACTGCTTTAGAACCTTAAGACTTTGGAATCAGAGAGAACCAAGTGCAGATCCTGGGTCAGACACTTCCTAGCTGTTTTCAAGTTGGCAAGTTACTTATAACTGAATCTCAGCTTCTTCATGTCTGAAACCCATTAACAATACCTATCTCAAAGGGTTATATAAATTAAGTGAGATAATCTTTATACATAAAGGACCTAGTGTGGCACAAAACAAGCCCTCAATAGGTGATAGCTACCAAGTCTGTAGAAAGCTACAGTTCTAGGAAAACAAAGAGTAATTTTTCATCCTAATAGTAATGGAGCTATTTCAGGATTGTGGTATGACGAACTATCTAATGCATAAGGAGATCATAGAAATGGCCTTCCCGCAAAAGCATAAGCCCTGTCTGCACATGTCTTTGTAGTCCATATCCTTGCATGGATATGAAGGTCCCCCTAGCATTTCCCTCCATTTTATTTATCAGATTTAATGTGTCAAGGACACCACCCTGTGTGCCTCAATGGCCAGGCTTAAGAATGCTTTTTCTTTTTATAATGTAAGGCCTTTAAAAAAGAGTATTGGTGATCTATAATCTGGAGCTGTTTCATGAAGTCCTAGATCACTTGCAGTGAGATAAATTGGACCCACATAGTAACACATTAAAAACAGGGACATCTGCACAGCTTCCCCCTAGTGCTTTATAACTGGTCTCTTCCTTTTAAATCCACATCTGTTATATAGCTCCCAAGTAAATGGCACACATTTTGCTTAAAGACAGGACAGACTGTAAGGACTAAATTTTATTTTTTTCTGACCATTAGTGCTTGCCATCAAACAGATTGTGAAAATGCACACATTTTTGAGCTGTAAGCAGGCATTTTGTATGCATTCCCACAAGGAAAACAATTAATTCCCCTTAAAAATATGAGTGTATAAATTTATTTGTTAATATACATATTTGCTTCTTTATTTAGGGAATATTTTAAGATTTGCAGTGGGAAATTCTGAATTTGCATATTGTTATATAATTTAAAGGGGTGTTTTAAAAACTATTTTTTTTTTCAAGAATGGCAGAATCAATAATAGTTGAGACCGGCTGATGTGTACATGTGGATTCATTATACTATTTTTCTACCTTGTGCATATTTAAAATTTTGCTTAATACAAATTAGATTAAGAAGATTTTATTTTTCTGAGCCAAAATACACCCTGTTTCACTGTGCTCTTTCCATAGTAGAACATTAAAAATTTTACATTAGACTGGAAAAGATCCTTAGAGCTTAGTGTAAAATCAAACGGCTGAGAGCAACCAATGTTCTGTTGGCCTTTGATGAGAGTTAAGTGTTTTTGTGGTATTACAATCTGACTGAGATATAGACAGTCAGTGCAATTTACTTTGAATTGTAAATGTTAAACATAAGGATTTTTAAATCACATTCTGTGCTCTCATCTTTTGATTATTTGAGTTTCAGTCTAAGTTTCATTCACTCTTTTTGTCCCCCCCTTTTAACGGCTATTTAACTTTACAAGTGATACAAGCTAAACTCAGAACATGAGAATTAGCATTAGAAGATGTGGTTTTGAATCTCAGTTCTGTGTAACCTTGGGAAAGATTCTCTCTGAAAATCTATTTTTTCATATAGAAAATTGATGTAAAAATAATCCTTCCAGAATTGCTACAAAGATTAACATAGAGAGTGAATAAAATATGCTTTACAAACTGTAAAGCCCCTGCCTTGGAGTATATTGAAATTGCATCCTTATAGGGCTCTAGCATCTCAGAGAATAAACACTTCTGCACTCAGAGTACAGAATATACACAGGGAAAGGTAATAGCCTTCCTTCCCCTCTGTGGGACAGTGGAAAGGGAGAGTTTGATAACCTTATTCACACCACGTAGTGATTTTCAAATGTTAACATGCCCCTGGGAGCTTGTTAGGATTCCAGACTTCCAGACCAATCCCTGGGATGCTGATTGAGAAGGTCTAGGATTGGGGTAAGAATCTGAATTTTTTAATAAGCATTACTGGTAGTGATTCTGATGTAGATGGACCAAAGATTACAATTTGAAGAACATGGTTTCTAAGGTGCAACAAGTTATCCTTCTGAAGGATATTTTAGTTTGAAAGAAGACTCTGGGGGAAAAAGGTATTTAACCCAAAGAAATAAGGCACCAGGAATGAAATGCTAGACAGCAGTGTAGGAAAGAATTTTGAATGGGACCTCCCCAGGGTCTTTCAAATGTTACTCCATGATAATTGCAAGTAGATTTAGATAAGAGCATGGGTTTTTAATTTTTTTAAACTGTGGCTGCCTTATGTTGAAGTCCCTCCAGGTGATTTTGCTTCTGTGTGGATTTGTCCTTAAGGGAATGTTATTCTGGAGACTTTATTTGTATTTTCTGAATTATTTTGAGTGTGATTATTGTTTTGTCAGAATATTATAGCTTTTCCCTTAGTTAATTGACTTTAAAGGTGTTTGTAGCATTGTTAAATGTGATTTTTATTTAGACTTAGGGCTAAAATATTTCCTGTGGGGAACACATCTTTGGCTCAATGGAAAAATAGGTTTAGATTAAAAGAAAATTGCTTTACAGTCAATTTTTTTTTTTTTTTTACAAATTTGGGACAATTGCATTAGATGAGATTGCCCTGTATACTGACTCTCTAAATGTTATTTACCTTTTATAATAAAACTATTATTCAATGTTCTCTTTTTCCTTTTAGGTTTGCCTTCTCCATTGACTGTTACAGTTTGATTTCCTAATTATGCAATATTTAAGTTAAAGAATATGAAAAATGCAAAAGCATTTTGGAAACTCTGGCATCATAAAAATGTAAGAGATTTTTAATGTGAAGCTTATTTCCTCTTCTGTACTCTCTGTGCCATGCCTAGATTCTCAAGAGGTTTGGCACAAAGACATTCTAAATGCACAGTATTCTCTGCCTAGGTAGAACTGTATCTGAAGTCCCTACTCTGTAGCTTGAGATGAGCAAGTTTCATATGTGATGTTTAGTTTCCCTTTGTCTTTTCTAATTCAGGGCTGAGGGTGAAGTTACAAGTGGAGCGATAGATACATCAGGGGAAAAAAAATCTTGCCGGACTATTTTCCTTAATGCTAGTTTTAAGCAGGCTGCTGAGGTATTTTACTATATATACTAGATTTTGCTAATGACCGTTTCTCAAAGTATTTAAAGTAAAACATATCTCCTTTTTATTGTTGTTTAAATTAGGGTGCTATCGGAAGGTAGAATTCATACCAGATGGCTCAAATTAAGGGACTCTAATGGTTTGAGTGTATTCAGATGTGTGAGCAGGGTTAAAAACGTTGAGGCACGCAGACACAGCAATGATGAGAAATTGGTTATATCTAGGTAGAAGCCAGTTGACTGGGAAACCCAGCTGATGGGATTCATCAAGTGATGAGTCAATAAGGATCAACCTCCTGGGATGCAGAACAGAAAAAGTTAGAGAGTAGACTGGGGACGGGAGGAGTTGACAAAGGATATCCAGCACAATTGTTCCTTAGCATCGACCAAATATTTTTTCTTCCATTTGCTTCTCATCAGGTAACATCTTTTTATAATGCAACACTTTGAGTTATTAGTGATTCTTAAGTTAAAGTACTTTCGGCTATAATGTGTGAGCATAGTGATTGGCCAGAGAAATATTAGCTGATCCATTTTTTTTCACATGAATAAGGTGGATTTGGAAATGTTCTAAATGACATGAAACAATTTGTATGTGAGTTTATGTTCTGAGTCACTAGAAAAATTGGATAATATATTTTGCAGGAAATGCATTAGTAGTATCATGGTGCTTAACACATTGTTAATTGTGTACACATGAATAAAGATTGTTCAAAGTGGGTGTTTCAACATAGCTTTCTGATTCCAGGAATTTTTTTGACTTTGTGATTTTTATGTAGCTCCTTTGATTGAGGTACGTTTTTATCATTAAAATTTCTACTTTTATTATAAATATTACCAAATGTGCAAACTATTTAGTTTTATCCTAGACCTAAGACTCATTCTCTTGCTCAAACCTTCTCTCAGGGATGTATTGGAGAGTGAGAGTGAGGCAGAGGTGAAGAATGCATAAATTCCTAAAAAATGATGGCCACACTAAAGAAAATCATGGTATCAAAATGGCAGTGGCAAATTGACTAAATAAAAAAAAGTTATACTTATTTGCACATTATTCTCCATCCTAAATTATGAACAGTTCAGCAGATACTGAGTTTGAGTTTACCATATGAATATAAACTGGTTAACTGCTCAATCACTAAGCTTCAATATTGCCACTTGTCCCTGTTAAACAATTTGGGTTGAAGGAAGGGGAAACCACAAGAGTCTGTAGCATTTGATACAACTAGAGGTCAGAGGAGAACACTAGTGGTGACTGTGATGAGGAGATAGTAGACAGAGTGGCGATGGTTGGTGGACAGTGTTGGTAAGGATGGTGAAGGAACTGTGGAGATGGATATGGGGATGATGAGGATGACGGTGGTAGTGGTGGAGCTGGCAACATTGGTGATTGAACTGGTGCCATTGGTGGTAGAGCTGATGTCGTTTGTGGTGGTGGAACTAGTAATGGAGGTTTTAGAGGTGAAGATGGTGAGCTGGGAGCAGAGCTGGGATTGGAAGTGAGGAAGTGATGGAGAAAGTGGTAGTGGTGGTATTGATAATTGCAAAAGTGTCAGTAGGGCTTAGAAGTCATGAAAGGGGACACCATATGACCTTAAAAATTTTAAAAAATGTGTATTTGGTTGGAAAAAATGATGAAGCTCAGTAAATTTACTTGCAAAGAGATTTATCAAACTAAACACTTTGCAGATGCTCTTGAAGCTTTTCCTTAATTACTGATATTAGCATCATGCTGAGCCAAAAAGTACCACTCCTGTCAATTTCAACACAGTGCACAAGTTCTTCTTATAAATATTATTCAACCCCAATTATTGGAAATTTTTGGAGTGAATCTGGCTTCTCCTATTGAACACTATGCACTTGAAATTTGATTTTTATCTTGAAAGGAATGCTATTTCTTCAGGGATTATCTTTTATCTCTGTTTGCGAAACAGCTGGAAGTGTAGCTACTGAGATTTGATATTTGTCTTCCTGCACTTGACTACCAAGCTAAATAATTTTATTTGTAATCAACAGAATGTACCTTCACAAATTAGCATAAATATATACCACTGAAAGACTGAATCTACAAGCCTGACCTTCTAGTAGATATATGTTCTTTTTTTTGAGAGACAAGGATTTTCTTAGCCTCTCAGACTGTATATTTGAAATTAAACAAAAATACTCAGAGAAACATTTTCCTTTTTTTTATTGTTTAAAGTAAGCCTCCTGCCTTCTCCCTGGCAACAGGTGACTTATTCTTCCAGCTATACAAACCATTTTTGATTCTAAAGACCAGCATGAAGTCTATTCACCAAACTTGTGCTGCTTAAACAACTGAAATATGTGTTCCTATTTGATATAGTTAAGAATACCAGGTACAGAGAAATGTACATTTAATTACCATGGTTCGTATTTGTTGAAATTTGTTATGCAGCAGGAACTTTTCATGTATGATCTCATGGCATGTTCTCTCCATTTTACAGATGAAACGAATGAGGCTTAGGGAGTCACACTGGTACATGGGTCCAGGCAGGATTTGGATTCACCTGCCTACTGGAACCTACATCTTAACCATGATGGTCAGGTTTCTGTCAATGTGGAATTTAAGTCAATTTTCCTTTTTCTACTTGGAAAACCAAGTAGATATATTCTTTTTAAAACCTGTTCAGTTTATTGGAGAAGAATAAGAATTGTCTTCTAAGAGGAATGGAAACCATATGGAAAGTATCCATTTTCTTTTGACTTAGACAGTATTTATTTGAATGAAGAGACTGAACTTGGGGTTAGAAGTCCCAAATGCTAGTTTGGGTTCTGCAATTTTCCAACCATGTGGTCATGACTTGGTCTCTTAATCCTCAGAGGCTTGGAGGTTTAGAGGTTGATTTTCCTCATCTGCCAAATAGAGAAAAAAATCTTCCATACCCATTTTTAGTAACAAATCTGTAAAGATTAAGCATTCTTAGTAACCCTTTACTGAACTACTATAGTAACTTCTTGATTAGTCTCCCTTCCTCTGATCTCCTTGCAAAGTTATTCTGCATACTTTTGCCATCACACTTTTTCTGAAGTGCAGCATTAACCATGGTGCTTGTCTGCTCAAAAACCTTCTTTATCTAACCAGTTACCCATAAGGTAAAGTAAATTTGCTTACTCTGAAATTCAGGGTTCCTCTCCATCTGGTCCCAACCTAGCCTTCCAATCATAGCTCTCAATATTCCCCTTTCATTCGCCTATATGCTGGGTTAAACAGAATTAGTTGCCCATTTTTCCTTGCCTTCATGCCTTGACTTGCTTGTCAGTTACTTATTTTTCGAGCACTGCTATGGACTGAACTTTGCCCCTCAAAATGTATGTGTTGAAATTCTAACTTCTAATGTGACTGTAATTGGAGATAAGACATTTAAGGAGGAAATTACAATCAAATAAGGTCATATGGGTGGGACTCTAATTTCAAAGAACTGGTGCCCTTAATAGAAGTGGAGAGAGATTGCTCTCTTCCCACATGCACCCACTGAGGAAAGACCACATGAGGATACAACAAGAAGGCTGCTGCCTGCAAGCCAGGAAGAGAGCCTTCACCAGAACGCCACCCTGCTGGCTCCCTGATCTTGAACTTCTAGCGTCCAGAAAGGTGGGAAAATAAATTTTTCTTGTTTAAGTCACCCAGTCTATGGTATTTTGTTATGACAGCCCAAAAAGACTAAGGCAAGTACCTACCATGGTTAAAAATTCTGATCTAAAGGGAGCACAGATTTCATTTTTTGATTCTGTGATCTGGATTGCTTTTGATTCTTCGATCTGTGATCGATTTGGGGTTCTGTGATTCTGTGATGGATTCGTGATCTGGATCACTTTTGATTCTGTGATCAATTTGTGATTCTGTGATTCTGTGATTGATTCTTTTTAATTCTGTGACCTGTGATCGATTTTTATTCTGTGACCTGGATAGCTGACTAGTGAGCTTTCCCTCAATCCCAGTGTTACCTGGCTTTGGCTAATCTCCTCCATTGCCCCAGAGAATTTCTAGATTTCTAGTATGACTTAGAACAAGGCTCATTTAGGATCAATGTTTCCATAATGATGGGAAGTTTCCCCACAAGTAACGTGTGAAGATGTGGATGCCTATTCCTTATTGAAGGTTTGAGTAGATAAATCCAGACTGCACAAGACTAATTTTTTTCTGCTTCTAGTGTGAAGATTAATTGCTGAAGTGATCATCAAAATGATTGGCATCTTCTGTTATTTCAGCAAGAATATAAAACTGAGGGGAACTGTTGAAAGAGGACAAAATAAGAAATAATACATTACTGAATAAATTGGTTTTGGAAAAAACAAGGAAAATGAAGTTAATTAAATATGAAATATAATTTTAAGCAAATTGTTTTTATTTTTTAAAAAATTATGTATTTGTTCACCTGTCCTAGTTTTTTTTTTTTTTTTTTTTTTTTTTTTTTTTTTTGAGATGGAATTTTGCTCTTGTTGCCCAGGCTGGAGTGCAGTGGCGCGATCTCGGCTCACGGCAACCTCCGCCTCCTGGGTTCAAGTGATTCTCCCGCCTCAGCCTCCCGCGTAGCTGGGATTACAGGCACGCAACACCACACCAGGCTAATTTTGTATTTTTAGTAGAGATGGAGTTTCTCCATGTTGGTCAGGCTGGTCTCGAACTTCAGGTGATCCGCCCACCTCAGCCTCCCAAAATGTTGGGATTACAGGCGTAAGCCACCACGCCCGGCCCTGTCCTAGTTTTCTATTGCCATTTTATTTGACAGAACATTGATCCTCCTTGAATCATGGTGGAAAATTAATCTTAACTTTAAATTGCAATGTAGTGGTGTTGGGGTGGGAAAATCACCTCCGATGTGGTTTTTATTAAGACTGCTGTGTAAACTCTATACAATAAAACCCCATTAGTGACATCTTCATCCTTGGGAGATCAGATGAATAACAATTCACACCTCACACCTCAGTGGGTACGTCCCATTCAGGTCATGGAAAATTATGAGACTGATTCGCACTTCCTGTGCATGTCTCTCTTTGCTTCCAAGTCCTTTACAAACATATGAATCATAATTAAGAATGGAAACAATGGATGCTCAGAAGGTTTGACAGAGCGGGTGGCATGCAACATTTTAAAGGTTGAGTTGGATTTCTCTCAACATGTTAACAGTGTCCCATCAGAGTCCAGGAGGCAGGATGTCCTCACTGTATGACCCAGCAACTAGGGCTTGGTGTTTTCTGATATTAAAGTGTGTATTTATTAATGGCTTACAATAGTATTAAGCACTCTATTTTTTATACTTATAATTTCTTGCACACTACGACGTTCTAGAGCCTTTTCTAATTTTATAGCAGCTCTTCCAGGTGAATATAATTATGCTCATTGTCCAGATGACAAAACCAAGGATTGGAGAGAGAAAACACTTCTGCAAAGAGAGGTTGCGGAAGTCTTAGAGTTAGTAGTTGAAAGGGACACGATTTAAATCCAGCTCATGCTCCTTTCATTTCACCACATGGCTCCCTGACTTGGATCCAATTATTACCAAGTTACTTTTTGAATATGAATTGGATTTTCATGTTGCTTTACAGCAGGTGCTCAAGAATCCAAACCCTCTAACGGATTCTGTCTTTGCAAATTAGGGCCGTGTTCTTTATACAAATGCCTTCTTCATACTCCTGTGTTTGATTAGCACGGTCCAATCTCCAGGATACCAACCTGATCTTAGCATGTTGACAAATGCATTTGGTGGTACAAAAAACAGTTGACCAGACTCAGGAACATGGAGACTTCCCCTAGTTACTCTCAACATGGGTGGAACTATCTCTACTGGCTTTCCCTCAGTGATAGTGTATCTTATGGTCTTGCCTTTTCAAATGCAATAAGACCATACTCCGCAATGGTAAAGCAGTATTGTAATGATCTGCTTGGCTCCCTATACATTGGACCCTGGATCCCATCTTGTCCCTAGGCTGAAGCATTCTAAGGAGCCTGTGTTTAGGTTTCCATGGATTCTGTATCCGTGCAGCCTGATAATTGGTCCTTTTCTTGTCTTGTGTGATAGATTGATTAATGTTCACAGTTCCTCCCATCTGGTATGAATTCCACTTTGCAACATGACTTCGCTGCTCCTCTCAACCAGAGTTGAAGTCTGTTTCTCCACACCTTTGAATAGGGCTGGCTTTGTTACTTGCTTTAAGCAGTAGAATGTAGTGGTGGTAAAATTATATGCATTACAGTCAAGGCCACAAGAGCCTTATAGCTTTCACCTTTCATTTCTTGAACTGTTGCCCTGACACCACCATATAAGGAAGCCTACTGGAGGATAAGTCAGCAGAAGAGGACCAAGACACTAATGCTCACAGCAATGCTAACTTCTACTTGTGTGTGGTCATCTTAGATCTTCTTGTCCAGCTGACCCTCCAGCTGCATACAACTGTGTAAGGGATCATAGAAAAAAATCCCGACCAACCCACAAAATCTTAAAAAATACTAAGTCATTGTTTTTAAGTTGCTAAGTTTTGTGATGGTTTTTTATGCTGCAAAGGCATACACTATGTTCTCTAGTTCCAGTAATTCTGAGACTAAGTTTCCTAGGATGAGAGTGAATAGTTTGGATAGGATCATTTTCAAGGATGTTTCTATTGCTAATATACTAGGCATTAAAAATATAGAACAAGAAAAAGAATAGAATGAGTAATACAGAAGCTATTTATAGGAGACAGTATAGTATGTGAAAGTAATCATTTGGCTGGAGCAGAGACTTCAAGAATATCATCTAATCTAGAAAGGTAATATAGAATAAGACTGAGGAAAGAGTTTCATGCAAAGGTAGTGAATATTCATTTTAGTTGCTAACCTATGAAAAGACTGCAATGAAAATAAAAGTCGGAATGAGAAAATGGGCTTTCATGGGCATTGGTGAAAGAGTCCAGCATGGCTGATGAGTTCTGAGGGAGGAGACCAGGTTTTTTTTTGAAGCCTACAATTCTCTTGGCCTCTTTCATGGTTTAGGATAGAGCTCAAACTGCACACAGGTGGATTCTGGGATACTTGAAGTTGTGGAGGCCAAAAAAACTCCACCAAATCCCCCAAAGTGAAGTTTGGCTCAAAAATCAGTAAGGCCAGTTGTTTTGTCCCATGGGTATGTTAGCCACCATATAGACACCATCTGTGTATAATGAGGCAGCACTCTAGAAAGGATTTTTAACTGCATCATTATTCTCCATGTTGTCTGGACTTGGTTGCAATTATGATTTTTCACTTTTTCACAGAGCCGTGGGAAATAAATGCTTACAAATATAATAGTTCCTAAGGCATATCCAAGCCTAGGGTAAAGTAAAAATCAGTTATGAATAAAGTTTGCATTACCTTTTAAGAGTAGTACAATATTGACCATTTTATAAAAGGAAAGCCTTAGAGATTTCAAAGACTAGATACTGAGAAGGAACTTATTTCATACACCTCTGCCAGCTTCCCATTTTATATTTGTTTTCCTTTCCTTTGGAGGTGGAGTGCTAATCTTATTGGTCACATTTTATGACCCTACTGAGACCGTATTTACTGGGTCCAATGGGTTTCTCCACATTAAAAAGACCACTTACCTAGGTGTGACTCTCTTCTGTCTTCATATTTTATGCAATATTCTTGCAATATGGCCAGGCTACCCAATATTCTTTTTTTTTTTTTCTCCCACCAGTGTGTACTTGGGAGCACTGATCTCTTTAATTTTCTTTTCTTTTTTTCGCCAAATGGAAGGCTGAAGGTGGGATTCAACTTCAGAGACTCCCTGTAGGTCCCTGTACCCAAGCCAAGGGGTTCATGCTCAGTTTACCAAGGAGTTTTATACTGGGAGTTAGGGCCTAAGCCCAGTGAATAAAAAAGTATGAACTTGCTTTCTTTTGCCATTGAGCAAAAGTTATGTGTGCTTGAGCACACACAAATAAGCTTCAGAACCTAGCAAGAGTAGATATTCTTGGTTTCTTGTTGTCTAATGGTACCTAAATCTCTCCCTTCTAGTAGATATCAACTGTAATGGAGGTTCTGCTTTCACACTTACTGAATGAATCCAAACCTTTAAGGATGGAAAATCTTAGACATGAAGTTTTAACTCAAGAATTAAGTAGTCCTAACACACAGATGCATCATCTTTTAATGAGGTCAGTGGTAATGATGGTTCCTTTCCACTGGGAATAGCTCAAGTCACATTTGGCCAGAACAGAAGAGGAGACCAACCCACACATAGTAAATATTGCATGAAGACTGATGACTGATTTACTCAAACCACACATAGTAAATATTGCATGAAGACTGATGACTGATTTACTTTCCATTGTATCATTTAGGATGCTTTCTGTTGCAAGTAATTGAGAATCCCAACTCGAATGACTTAAACAATAATGGCCGTTTATGTCTCATATAAAATAACTTTAGAATTAGGCAAGGTCCAAGGTTGGCTAATTCAGTGGCTCAATAACATTATTAAAAACCCAGAGTCTTTTCATTTTCCTACTCTGCCATTCACAGTGCATATTGGCTTTTATTGTCAGGCATGCCTCTATTTGTGTGCCAGCTTTCTGCAGCAGCTCCCAACAGAGACCAGTATCCAAAGCCAGAAAAGAAAGCAGCTTTTCCTTATGGTGGTTCTGAAGAATAAGGGAAAACTTTTCTGGAAGTGTCTCTGCAGACCTTGTTTTCTGCCTCATGTCCAAGATTATGTTGAATGCTCTCTTCTAAACCACTTAAGAAGAATGGAACTAACACAATTAGCTGAGATTAATCAAGTGTCATCCACTGAGCACTGGGTGTGGCCAAGTGCTGAAGTACTTGGCTGCCTGAGAGCCAACCTTAATTGAGTCTCTGGGAAGCAAGGGAGAAAGGAAGGAATGGGAAACCAAGGGTGTCTGCTGCAAATGACTTGTGGAGAATCTTTTCATGTGTTTAATTGTGTAGCATCTGTGATGTCCAGTCTTCCACATGTGCCAAATTGGAGGCAGGGTTTGTTTTCCATCAGTGGTCACTTCCACCAAAGCTAGAGTTTTCCATGTGTCTGTTCTACATCCCCAGGTCACATGGATTCCATGATTCTGTTCTACATACACAAGTCACATGAATTTTTGTTTCACAGAAAACAAACAAAAAACCACTCTTCCCCCACCTCAAATTCCAGTGATGTATGTGGCAGTCACTTGGTTAAATTTGGCAGGGCTAACCCTAGCCCAATTCTGAGGTAAGTCTCTGCTCTTTCTCTAACTTGGAAGGATCCTGTATTAGTTTCCGATTGCTGCTGTAGTAAATTACCCAAAATAGTGGCTTAAAACCACACATATTTATTATCATATAGCTGCAGAGGTCAGAAGTCCTTAGATGAGTTTCACTGGGCTAAAATCAAGGTGTTGGCAGGGCTGCATTCCTTCTGGAGGCTCAAAGGAAATTGATTTCCCTGTCTCTTCCAGTTTCCAGATGCTCCATTCCTTGGCTTGTGGCCATCTTCAAAGCTAGTAACATCAGACAGAGTCTTTTTTATACTGTCTTCTCTCTGGTACTCTTCTGCTTCCCTCTCCCACTGAGAGCCCTTGTGATTACACTGCGCTCACTTGGACGATACAAGATAGTCTGTCATCTAAGGTCAGCTGATTGGCAACCTTATTTCCACCTACAACCTTAATTCTCCTTTGCCACAAACCTAACATTTTCACAGGTTCTGGGGGATTAGATATGTAGACCTCTTTAGGAGGTCATTATTCTGCCTAATACCATTTTCACCCCTCAGATGCTAAGGGCTCTTACGGCAGTGTCTGTGGACTGAGTACAACCTCTGGATTTGAATCTTAGCTTCTGCAATTACCTTTCTAATTACATAGTACAGCTATGTGTATCTTTATAAGTTAAATGACTTTTCTAAGATTTTGTTTTCTCATATAATAATATTTATCTCAAAAGCGGTTGTAATGTGGAAAATGCCTAATATAATGCCTAGCTCAGAATATACAGTCAATAAGACAGGATTACTGCCACCTCTTTGCTTTCTGAAAGCATATGAGTATTTTATAATCATTGCTTCCATTACTAGATAAAGATTTCAGTGCTAGCCTTCCTTTTTTAAAAAAGTCAGCTTCTATTTTAGATCCATGGGGTACACATGCAGGTTTGTTACATGGGTATATTGTGTGATGTTGAGGCTTGGGGTATGGATGATTCCACTGCTCAAGCGGTGAGCAGAGTATCTGATAGGTAGTTTTTGAGCCCTTGCCCCTCTCCTTCCATCCCCCCTCTAGTCATCCCCAGTTTTATTGTTCTCATCTTTATGTCAGTGTGTACCCAATGTTTAGCTCCCACTTAGTAAGAACATTCGATATTTGGTTTTCTATTCCTACATTAATTCATGTAGGATAATGGCCTCCAGCTGCATCCGTGTTCCTGCAAAGGACTTGATTTAATTCTTTTTAAGGGCTGAATAGTATTCTGTGGTGTATTTGTACCACATTTTCTTTATCCAGTCCACCACTGATGGGCACCTAGGTTGATTCCATGTCTTTCTTATTGTGAGTAGTGTTGCAATGAACATACAAATACATGTTTCTTTTTGGTAGAATGATTTACAATTTTGGGGGGGGTATATGATCAGTAATGAGATGGTTGGGTTGAATGGTGGTTATATTTTTAGTTCTTTGGGAAATCTCCAGCTGCTGACCACAGTGGCTTAACTAATTCATATTCTCACCAACAGTGCATAAGCATTCCCTCTTCTCTGTGGCCTCTCCAGCATCTGTTATTTTGTGGCTTTTTAACAAAGCCATTCTGACTGGTGTGAGATGGTATCTCATTATGGATTTGATTTGAATTTCTCTGATGATCAGTGATGATTAAATTTTTTTTATATGTTTGCTGGTCATTTGTATGTCCTTCTGAGAAGTGTCTGTTCATACTGTTTGACTACTTTTTAATGGGATTATTTGTTTTTTATTTCTTATTTGTTTTTTATTTATTTCTCTTGAAAGTATGAACAGCTGAAAGGGTTATTTGTTTTTTGCTTGTTGAATTAAGTTCCTTATAGATTCTGGATATTCGACTTTTGTCAGAGGCATACTTTGTGAATATTTTCTCCCATTGTGTAAGTTGTTTGTTTATTCTGTAGATAGTTCCTTTTGATGTGCTGAAGCTCTTTAGTTTGATTAGATCCTACTTGTCTGATTTTTTGTTGCAATTGCTTTTGACGTCTTAGTCATAAATTCTTTGCCAAAGGAGATGTTCGGAAAGATATTTCCTAGGTTTTCTTGAGTTTTTATAGTTTGAGGTCTTACATTTAAGTCTTTAATCCATCTTGAATTAATTTTTGTATATGGTGAAATGTAGGGGTCCAGTTTCTTTGTGTATGGCTAGCCAGTTATTCCAGCACCATTAATTAACAGGGAGTCCTTTCTCATTGCTTATTTTTGTTGACTTTGTTGAAGATTCGATGGTTGTAGGTGTGTGGCTGTATCTCTGGGTTCTCTGTTCTGTTCTATTGGCCTGTGTCTGTTTTTGTACTGGTACCATGCCGTAGCGTTATATTATAGTTTGAAGTCAGGTAATGATATGCCTCTGGCTTTGTTCTTTTTGCTTAGGATTGCTTTGGCTATTTGGGCTCTTTTTGGTTCCCTATAAATTTTAGGATGTTGTTTTCTAATTCTTTGATAAATGGCACTGGTAGTTTGATAGGAATGTCATTGAATATGCAGATTGCTTTGGGCAGTATGGCCATTTTAACTATAGTGAGTCTTCTAATTCATAAGCATGGAATATTTTTCCATTTGTTTGTCTCATTTCTGATTTCTTCAAGCAGTGTTTTGCAGTTCTTGTAGAGATCATTCACCTCCTTGGTTAGATGCATTCCTAGGTATTTTATTTTGTGTGTGTTTGGTTATTGTAAATGGGATTGCATTCTTGATTTGGCTCTCAGCTCGAATGTTATTAGTATATAGAAATACTATTAATTTTTGTATATTGACTTTGTATCCTGAAACTTTACTGAAGTCACTTATGAGTTCTGGGAGTCTTTGGGCAAGCACTATGGGGTTTTCCAGGTACAGAGCCATATTACCAGCAAAGAGATAATTTGACTTCTTCTTTTCATATTTGAATGCCTTTTATTTCTTTTTCTTGCCTGATTGCTTTGGCTAGAACTTTCAGTACTATCTTGAATAGCAGTAGAGAGAGAGAGCATCCTCATCTTGTTCCTGTTCTTAAGGGGAGTGCTTCCAGCTTTTGCCCATTCAGTATGATGTTAACTGTGGGTTTGTCATAGACAGCTCTTATTGTTTTGAGGTACATTTCCTTTGATGCTTAGTTTGTTGAGGGTATTTATCATAAAGGAAGATTGGATTTTATTGAAAGCCTTTTCTGCCTTGACTGATATATGATTTTCATTTTTAATTCTGTTTATGTGGTGAATTATATTTATTGTTTTGCATGTTGAACTAACTTTGAACCCCAGGGATGAAACCTACCTGATTGTGGTAAATGAACTTTTTGATGTGCTGCTGAATTCAGTTTGCTATTATTTTGTGGAGAATTTTTGCCTCAATCTTCATCAGAGATACTGGCCTGTAGTTGTCTTTTTTTGTTGTATCTTTGCCAGATTTTGGAATTAGGGTGATGCTGGCTCCATAGAATGAGTTAGGGAGGTGTCCCTCCTCTTCAATTTTTTGGAATGTTTCAGTAGAATTGTTACCAGCTCTTTTGGTAGAATTCACTGTGAATCCGTCCAGTCCAGGGCTTCTTTTGATTGGTAGGTTTTTTACTACTGATTCAATTTTAGAACTAGTTATTTGTCTGTTCAGGATTTCAATTTCATTCTGATTTAATCTTGGGAGGTCGTACTTTTCCTGGAATTTGATTTCTTCTAGATTTTCTAGGTTTTGTGCATAGAGCTGTTCATAATAGTCTCTGCAGATCTTTTGTTTTTCTTGGGATTGGTTATAATGCCACCTTTGTCATTTTTGATTATGCTTATTTGGATCTTCTCCCTTTTTTCTTTGTTAATCTAGCTAGCATTCTATTGATCTTGTTTATCTTTTCAAAGGAACTAACTTTTGGTTCTATTGATCCTTTGTATGGATTTTTGTGTTATATTTTTATTTGTCTCTGCTCTGATTTTCGTTCTTTTCTTCACTTAGCTTTGGGCTTTGTTGGTTGTTGGTTTGTTCTTGTTTTTCTAGTGTTTTGTTTAGGTGTGATGTTAGGTCACTAATTTGAAATCTTTCTAACTTCTTGATATAAGTGTTTAATGGTATAAACTTTCCTCTTTATACTGCTTTTGCTGTATCCTAGAGATTTGGGTATCTTGTGTCTCTGTTTTCATTTATTTCAAATATATATTTTTAAAATTTTTACCTTAATTTTGTATTTTAGTGAAAAGTCATTCAGGGGTAAGTTGTTTAATTTGCATATAATTGTGTATTTTTCAGGGTTCTTTTTGTTATTGATTTCTGTTTTCATTCCACTGTGGTTCAAGATAATGGTTTGTATGATTTTGATATTTTTGAATTTATTGAGACTTGCCTTATGGGTGAACAGGTGTTGAATGTTAGAGTATGTTCAGTGTGTAAATGAAAAGCATGTATAGTCTATGGAGGATGAGTGGAGTATTTTTAGATGTCTATTAAGTCCAATTGGTCAAGTGCTGAATTTAAGCTCAGAATTTTTTTGTTAGTTTCAATACCTCAATTATCTAATGCTGCCAGTTGGGGTGTTGAAGTTTGGCACTATTATTGCATGGATGTCTAAATCATTTTGTAGGTCTAGAAGTCTTGTTTAATGAATCTGAATGCTCCAATGTTTAGTTCATATATATTTGGAATAGTTACATCTTCCTGTTGAATTCCTGTAATACCTTTGTCATTTTTTACTGTTCTTGGTTTAAAGTCTGTTTTATCTGATATAAGAATAGTGACTCCTGACTTTTTTGTTTTCTCTTTGCATAATAGATCATTCTACAACCCTTTACTTTGAGCCTATGGGTGTTGTTACATGTAAGATGGTCTCTTGAAGACAGCAGATAGATGGGTCTTGTTTTTTTCTCCAACTTGCCGCTCTGTACCTCTTAAGTGGAGCATTTAGGTTAATATTGATACATGGGGTTTTGATCCTATTGGGAAGTTGCTAGCTGGTTGCTTTGTAGTTTTGGTTGTGTAGATGCTTTATAGGGTCTGTGGGCTATGTACTTAAGTGTGATTTTGTAGTAGAAGGTATTGTTCTTTCAGTTCCATGTTTAGAGCTGGTTTAGTGGTAACAAATTCCCTTAGTACTTCCTTGTCTGGAAAAGGTTTTATTTCTCCTTCACTTATGGAGCTTAGTTTGGTGGGATATGACATTCTAGGTTGGAATTTCCTTTTTTAAAGAATGCTGAAAATTGGACCTCAATCTCTTCTGGCTTGTAAGATTTCTGCTTTTAGCCTGATGGAATTCCCTTTGTAAGTGATCTGACCCTTTTCTCTACCTGTCTTTAAGTGTTTTTTTTTTTCTTTAGTGTTGATTTTGAACATTCTGGTGACTATATGCCTTGGTGATGTTTGTTTTGTATAGTATCCTGCAGGAGTTCTCTGGATTTCTTGTATCTGGAATTCTACCTCTCACATAAGATTAGAGAAATTTTCTTGAATTATTCCCTCAAATATGTTTTCCACACTGTTTACTTTTTCTCTTTCATAGGTTTGGTTGTTTTATAGGATTCCACATTTCTCCAAGACTTTATTTTTTAAGATTCTTTTTTCTTTATGCCTGCCTGAGTTTACTATGAAGACCAATTTACAAGCTCTGAAATTCTTTCTTCTACTTGGCTCAATCTATTGATAAGGCTTTTCATTGTATTGTGAAATTCCTTAAGTCAGTTTTTCAATTCCAGAAGCTCTGATTGATTTCTTTTAAAGATGTTTATTACTTCCTTTATTTTCTGGATTGCTTTAGGCTTTGTGTTTATTTTGAACCCTATCTTGGATCTTTTTGAGATTCCTTGCAACTTATGCTTTGAATTCTTTATCTGTCATTTATGAGTTTCTCTTTTGGTTGGGGACTGTAGCTGGAGAGCTAGAGTCATCTTTTGGTTGTGTCATGACATTCATCTTTTTCATGGTGCCAGAAGTTACTGGTGTTGGCAGTATCTTTAATGCAGGATCTTTCACAAATATAACTGAATTTTAACATTGAACAAAACATCACATTAAAGATTTAACTAGGAAATTTTAAGCATCATCCAGCAGGTAAAGGAGGTATTTTGAGAGGACACTAGATCTTGGAAGTGTTTCAGAATTATAACATATATGAGACCAAAAAGAGCTTAGGTAAGGAGAAGATAGAAAACCCATAGTTAAAATGAGTTACTTAGATCTTCTATGTATTTTTTTCTATTAATTTTGTCCCCATTAACATGGAAAGTGGGAAGTTGGTGGTGAAATATCAAGTATTAAATTACAGAGATTTCAGAGGTCATTTAGATGACCTCTGTTGATGCTTCCTTGTTATGTGATAAAAGTACATTAATATATCAGCATGTTTTTCACTCTGACCAAACTACTACTACCTTGATGGTGCCTTATATGTGTTTCCATGAATGATATTCTCACATGAACCAAGAGAATAAAAGTGTATGGAAAGACACTGAGTTTCATCATCCAATCCATTTTGTTTCTCCTTTGCTGGTAGGTAGGCTTTTTAAAAATTTATTTATTCCAAACAGTTCTCCACCCAAATAATAACTCTACTTTCAGTATGTAAATATACAGTAATAAGGCTTTAAAATTATTTCAGCTTGTCAGGAATATTAAATGCAAAGGAGCAAATTGCAACATACCAGATAATATACAGAAGACATTTTCTCAGGGAAATTATTTTTCAACCACAATTGCTTCTAAAGAGGAGAAATTTAATCCACACATGCTATTGGCTATGTTTTTTTTTTCTTACATGAAATGGGAGGCAAAATTGTGACTACAGAAGGCTGTACTAACTGAATTCCCAAGTTTGTAGATTCAGAAGGGATTCTTACTATTCAGTTATGCCTGGCTGAAGACAGTGCATTTTCTTCTATGATGTATATGTCACTTTTCATTAATTCTGAGAGGCCTGTTCCTTTAGAAACCAGGGTAAACAGAGTAGTGCATTGGATTAGATCTCTACCGTGAATAAATTTATTTTCTAGCAAGTGTAAAAAATGAGCAAGGCCAAAACCCCCCAGAGCAGAAAATGTCACAGTGATTGCTAATACATTACTGCACAGAGAAAGGCCTAATAAAACCCCTATTAGGATGTCATACCTGCTTATGACTGAATTCTCCAGAAAGTTTATTTGATATGTCTAAGCCAATTATCAAAGTCTTAGTGATAAGAAGCAGCTCGCTGGGCCTGAATTTGTCAGAATAGAATGACTAAATTGTGGGAATTCATGGGCCTCTGCTTTGAATAATTAACTTGGCTCTTTGTAGAATGCATATACTTTGAAAACTAATTTTCTCTTTGCACAAAGCATTTTGCCCTTGCGCTGCCTTTGAAAAGTAAACTGTTTAGCTGTAAGTTTATTCTCTTTTTTATTATATTGGCTTGAGCTTCCTTCCCTGTCTTTCAACCCCACCCTTCCCCTAGTTCTATGTCTTGGTGGCATCATTCAGACTGGGCTGATGTAGCACTCAAACAGAAATATGATATGCAGTGATGACATTTCCTTTAAATGGAATTTAAGCATTTGCTCTGCAATGATAATATAATGTCTTGTCGATTTTTGGATTTTGTTATGACTAAAACACTCAGTTTATTTTGAAAGAATTTGAAAATTTTTTTTCCCTAGGAGAGAAGCAGATGGATTGGTTGCATAAATAATTTGGTAGATAAAAGCCAGAATTCATCTTAATCTACTTGGAATTACAAAGTTAACAATTTGGACCAGATTGGTAGCCAGTTTGTGCAAACAACCAGGCAAATCAAAGGGTATTTTCTACCCCATAAGTTTCTCTACCTAAGTGGGCCAAAAAGAGTCCTTGCTCTAGGATGAGGAGACAAGTGTCTCTCAGTCTGTGGGTTGAGATATGCCAATATACGAGTTAGCACGTGGAGTGGCCTTGTGTTCCCCTTCTAGCTGCAGGGTAGCTCTCACAGTTAATTTCATCAGCATTGTGTGCTGTTATCATCCCTTCCAGACTTCACTTCCCTGACAAAACTATGCCTTGTCCCGTTGGAGACCTATTAGTCCACTACGGAGAGAAAAGAATTACTGGAAAGCATGGATAGAAACTGGCAGGGAGATGGGTGTTTTGGCTTGTTACATGATCTAGGACTTGACTTTTCTTCTTCCTGCACCTTTGTTAGGAAACTGCAATTAACATCTGGTGGCTTCACACGTGGCAAAAGGGTTATGAAAATCAACAAGAATTTAAAGTGTATTGGAAGAAACACAGTATAGTGTTAGTTTCCAGTTACATTCATAGATGACTTATTTTTATTCAATAGAAAAGATCTCTTCCAACTCTGATTCTAAGAAACCTGTTTAAGATTACCTGCTTTCTTTTTTTTTTTTTCTTTTTCTTTTTTTTTTGAGGTGGAGTCTTGCTCTGTTGCCCAGGCTGGAGTACAGTCACACTACCTTGGCTCACTGCAACCTCTGCCTCGCAGGTTCAAGCAATTCTCCTGCCTCAGCCTCCTGAGTAGCTGGGATTACAGGCATGTGCCACTACGCCTGGCTAATTTTTGTATTTTTAGTAGAGACGGGGCTTCACCATGTTGGACCAGGCTGGTCTCGAACACCTGACCTCAGGTGATGTGCCCGCCTTGGCCTCCCAAAGTGCTGGGATTACAGGCGTGAGCCACTGTGCCCAGCCCAAAATTACCTCCTTTCTTTTAGGAAAGGAATGAATTACTCTGCTTCATGTCTTGCACTTTGGCTTATACAGAGAGCTTCCAATAAAGCCTTATGAAAATAATTAAAAGTTGACTTAAAGTAAACTGCAAAATCAGGAGTTCTGTGTATGGTTGCTTTTCTTACACAGTCATACAAATAATCAATACAACCTATGAAAATGGCTTAGCAGAATGGAGTTTGCAATGAAGTGAATCACTGAGGTCTGTGGAGATGGATTCTCAACACTCACATTTACCTAAATGGAATACAAGTGTATGTGGGAAAGAAGACATGTCCCACCAACATTCCTTCCCTGCTCTTCTAGGTCTATTTCAAAATGTCCTATCCAAACTTCAAAAGCTTACTGTGGAAATAACTTTCGCTCCCGTTTTCTTCCCTCTGTGTACATTCTTTACCATTACCTATGGATGATTAAATATCTACCATAGGAAAAAATGCAAAGGGCAAAGTTCCCTGGATTCTTAACCACTGGTAACTGTACCGACTCGTATGATCCTCTAGGGTGATTCTCAGAGAGTAAAAATAAAGGCAAACGCTTGAGAATAAAATTATTCCTTCTCATTTAAAAATATGCTTTTGGGAGGAGGTTGGTGATGATCATAAAAAGCAAATAAATGATGATAAGATGTCACAACTCCAAAAATGATTAAGAATCACTGCTGCAAGAACTTACATTCTAAAGAAAGCATCCCACATCTGTACAAGTGTCTCTTATACATATGCTAATCAGCTCCACTGATAATTTTAGCTTTCGGTTTGTTTTCTTCCCGTCATTATTTTATGTTCTTATTTGCTAGACTTCATATGCACATCCGGGGGGAACACAATTGCTTATCATTGAAGTTTGGGGAGTATGGTGGGAATATGTAATAGTCCTTTACACTGGATATTTTCCTTCACAAGGCAGAATTTGGTGAGCTCTTTTGAATAATGAAAAGGGTTTTGGGTGAATGGAAGAAATCAGAGAGTAAGTACAGTGTGGATTTATGTCTCCAGTCATATTAAAATATTTAAATATTTCTGGTCATAATGACCTACTGATTCCCTCATCTGTTCTCTAAATGGATAGTATTAAAATGAAATACTTGAAGTGTGGCATTGCAGCAGATTCATGAACCATTTATTCTTGCTACCTTTTTACACCTGAAGATAAACACCCCTCTTCAACTACAGCCTGTAACAAGGCTTCTTAGGCCATGTGTGAAGCATCTCTCAGAGGCAGATAAAGACTGCACTGAAGATGTAGACACCTCAACAAAATCATTTTGAGAATATAACCCTCTGAATGGTTTTCAGGCACACGAATCCAACGCAGAGTCCTGCCCTTTGTGCAGCACAGCCTGAGCAGTGCTTCTGTCAGAGAGCTCTTCTGCCTAGGCCTTTCTTCCCCAGGAAAGCCAAGCCCATCCTCCTGGGTTTTGCGACCTTTGCTTTATTGCCTCCCTTAGGCTCTCAGCATTATATTTAATTCATCTTTCTGATTTGATCTCTCCGTCTTTCTCAGTTCTTTCCATCTTTCTGATTTGCTTCCTACTTACTTCATGATTTTATACCCTCCTCCAGCTTCCAACCCCTGCTCTCCTCCTACCCCTCATTTCATGGTTATTACTCCCATTGGCAGAAACTAGCTGAAAGCCAGAGGGCAAGGGTGCCTACCGATATGGTCCATTTAGGTTAGTCTCCTAGGTAACTGAGCAGGCTGGAAAAGGGTGGATGGTGAACCTGGAGAAGTAGGCAGAAGACACCTATCATATTGGGTAGAATACCTGGCACACAGAAACTATTATTTTTTGGATTCTCTGCCTACTCTTGCTTTCATGTGCAGAATTCTAAGCACTTTTATTTTTCTATTTTTTTAGGTAATGTTTCTCAAAAGACCAGAGTGCTCTGAGTATGTAATAAATGTTGATTATTATCTTAAGATATTCAAGTATCTAGGCCTTGACTCTACTCTAAAAATGCAAGTTTTATGCTTTCTCATCTATACTCAGTGACTTCTCTTCTTGAGGGTCAGTGTTACAGCATCCTTCTAAAGTAGCTGTCTCAGTGAAAAATCACTTTAGGGAAGGTTGCTGTTGCTTTATAAGACCCTCCTAGGGTGTGGGAAAGTGGAATTTGCTTGGAGGAAGAGAGCATTCTCAGTGATCCTGAGAGAGAAGGGTTATGGCTTCTGTGATGTGTACCTCTCCTGCCTGAGAAATGCTGACTGGAATTCTTTTGATTCTTTTAGTTTCAAGACTTTTCTAATATATGTTTAGGTAAATAAGCTTGGCATAGTTGACTCTCAACTTCCATAAAAGTCTAACATTATCTTTTAGTATTTAATTTAATTTTTAAAACTGTCTTTATGCACATTCGTTTGATTTAATTTTGATCTAAATTTATGAAGGTACCGTTGAGTCAGAATTTTCCACGTAGTGGTTTGTTTAATCGGGTCCACTAAATATGTTTTTTTTTTTGTTTTGTTTTCTGCAAGTCAAGTATTAAGACAATTGAAAAATGGGAAAAGGCTGATGGCACCGCATCTTAAACTAACCAAATCTCATTTCACCTGCTTGGTTTGTCAAGAGTTGTGGGTGCTTGGGCTGACTATAAGTTCCTGGTTTTTAGAAACAATTTGTCTTAGGATTTTTTTTTATTTTGTTTATACTTGACACATAATAATTGTAAAGCTTTTGGGGTACAGCGTGATGTTCCAATATATGTATGCATTGTATAATGATCAACTCAGGGTAATCAGCATGCCCACCACTTCAAACTTTTATCTTCCCTCTTTGGTGATAACTTTTAAGATCTTCTTTTCTTGTGGTCTTGAAATATACAAATATTGTTCTTAGCTATCCTTACCCCACTTATTATATCTTATTTCTTTCTACTTTGGAGATAATCATTTGTGAAGTCATAACCAGGCCCTGTATTTTGAAGAAAATTTATATACATTGGTTAGATATTGCTTTATAAAAGGAACAATTGCTTTCTATGGCAATCCCAAAATTGTTAAAATGGAACACTGTTATAATACAAGGATTGGTAAATTGGCTTGGTATTTATGATACATGTTAACCACACTACATATTACACATATTCTATTTTGGAAGATATAATTTTGGTTCAGGATCTAGCTGACTACCTGTTATAATAAATAACATTGTGTTGGACTGTTTTAAGCTGGCAAAACTGAACATTGAGCTTGTGATAGGTAGGGATATTTTAAGTGGCATCGTGGGAAAATTCTTCACACTCTTTAGCAGAACAGATAGGGCTTCAATGGCCTGAGGAGACTACCGAGCATTATGTTATGGATTTGGCTAATTCCTAGAAAGCTCTGAGCCAAAGGCTCTACCTTTCATATAGAAACTTATAGCATGAGCTTTGGGCATTCATCATATTCACAGATTCATCTTGTTTTCCTTTTGGCTCAGTTTCCACATTTGTTTATTAAACTGTAAATTAAGAGATTTTTTGAATGGTGAGTCTTGACTAACAGTGTGATCATGCAAAGCTTCTGGGTTCCACTTTACATCAGACCTCAGAAAATCATACTTAGAGTCTAATCCTTCATGGTACAGACAAATGATATAGCATCCGGAAAGAGCTGGTAACTTCGCAGTGTGGATCTTGCGCTCCATTTAAGTTAAATCCAAATCTTCTGTACTTATGAAAAATGAAGGTTTCTTCCCCTTTGGAATAAAATCCAGTCTTAGCTACTCTCTTCTTGGGATCTTAGGAAACATGGCAAATTCTCAGCTCATTTGTTTCTTAAAGTGTTTTGGAGTGTGTGTTTAAGAAAATATGATAGTCATTATGTATTAAAAATTGAATGGCAAAGGATTTTAAAAATATTTATCTTTAGAGATATGTATTTGTCCATGTGTCATCAATCCTTAATATTGAATATTATCTGCTTTCTGACAATTAGATGATAGCTATAGTGATCTGTATGAAGTCAAGTTTACAATTTAAAGTCAGACTAAAGGCCAAATAAATGGAGAGAAGAATATAATGAACTAATAAAAAGTTGTTTAGGTACAGTTAATTTCGATTCAGTGTAAATCAAATGAATGATGCCAGGGGAGTTCTTAAAGAAAATCACAAAATGAAACGAGAAAAAAAACTTCATTATCTTGAGGGACGATGATTCAAACAAGTGAGAGTGGAAAGTATTCAAATCTAGAAGGCCATTCTCAGCCGCAGTGGTGAAGCTAAATCACCACCTCTCTTATTTTTTAATAATCTCTCCAGTATCCAGAAGCTTTTGTAAAGCCAGAATGCTGTTTGTTTATTTAAAGAAGCTCATTATGTAAGGATTCCGCACATATCCCTTAGCAAATCCCAGACAATCTTGCTTAGAGTCTTACAGAATTTATTTCCCTCTTTAAATCTCCAAACCTAGTATCAAGTTTCATTTTTCCTTTTTCTTTGGCATTTATTGTCAGTTCAGATTATCATACCGCACGCACTACTCCCGTCGATCTAAGCATGGGATTTCAAATCAAGTAGCATTGCTGAGATATCCTGCCAGCATTTAGGAGGGTCTGGCAGTCACTTTTGCTTGTGCCCTGTGGTTCACATGTCTGTCTGGCATGAGTGAGGTGGGTTGACCTCTTTCTGGTCTTCTGATAGAGGAAGTGGAAATGACCAGAAATCTCCAAGTGCTCAGTGGTCAGTTCTGACCCATGAAGATGAAGGATAACCAGGATGGCCAATGTTTCTTTGGGTTATGACCTATAGTCACATTACCTTGTAAGTCCTGATAAAAGCAGGTGCTCGGCAAATCTCAGTTGTATATATAAACAAATGGTGCTGAAGCCTCCTCAAAGTGTGACTAATTCTTTACAGTCTTTATTAATGTTATAATTTGATATCTATTTGTGTAATTATTTGATTGATGTGTCTAATTCTCAACCTTGGCTGTTCTTTGGAGTCATTTGGGGACCTTTGAAAAATATTTTGAGTCTCATACCTGGAGATTTTAATTTAATTGGTCTGGAGGTGGATGTGCATTGGAAGCAGTCAAAGCTCTTTGGGGGATTCCAATATGCAACCAATGTTAAGAACTGCTGCTATAGAATATACACACCATTAAGTGGTGGACCATACGTATCTTCTGCTCATCATTATATTCCAGCACCTAATTTAGTGCCTGGCACCTAGTAGGTGGTTAATAAATGATTGTTAAATGAATTAACAGAAGTTTAAAAGCATGGCTTCTTCTAACTCTTAAAAGTACAGCACAATAAAAAGGGATTAAAGAAATTAGATCTTTTGAAGATGGCTCTTGTGTCTTACCTGTGATCAAGCTCAGATGGCCATAGCATGGCCTCAAAGGACCCTGCCCTTGAAACATCTAACGATTGTGTCAGGGGACACAGGCCTCCCTGTCTCCTGGAGTTTTAGAGGCTGCTGCTCACACTGGCCTGGTTTAAGATGGATAGTCTGATGGTTGAGCACATAAATCTCTTGGAAAAAGCATTTTTGAAAACCCCAAAGCTCTTTTTTAAAACTCCTAATCAGAAGGAAAAATTTAAAGCTGGGAGATTTTGTATGAAAAGCTGCTTGACTGTTAATTAGGTGAGCATAAGGGGAAAAAATAAGAAAAAGTAGTATCCTCAGTAAATGAGGAGAAAAACACTTACACAGTAGTAGATCAGCAGGTAATTGAAAGATGTGAAAAAATGAGCAGGGGAAAATTCGGCACTAGAGTTGTGTGATTTACCAAGAAACACATATTTTTTTTTTAAACGAAAAAGATGAGGTTTAATTTTTTTAATATCATTTGGAAATGTTTGAATTTAGGTGAAATATAGTGCATCTGGAAAGATACAGCTTAAGTGGCGAGATTCTGAGATGCAATGTGGTTTCTCATCCCCCTTCAGTTTCCTGTTTTGCTGGGTGATCTTGGAGTTCTTTCCTTCCCCTTGACAGTTCCTGGCTGCTTGCCATCATCTGGAAAAGTGAAGTCCACACCTTGCCCCAGCCTTGTAGCTGTCTCTGGTGAAGAGAGGGCAACAGTGTAGAAAGCTCTGGGACAGAAGATCGCTGCCAGGGGTTACCTGCCACATGCTGTGAAAAGAATTTCAACACTAAACAGTGCCTGTGCCTCTATAGCATGTGAAATAGAGATTGTCACTCAAAGAGGCTCTCTCTCAGCCAGCTCTCTCACTTTCTTCATCCTCCTCAGATATGTAGGAGGAAGATATAACCAGGCAGTGTTTCCGCAGTGTTTGATCATGGAATAGCCTCATAAATGAAGTGAAAGCCCCTTTGGAGTCATCTCATCCAGTCACCCATAGGCCAGGCAGCATTGAAACTGTCTATAGGATAAAAAATTGTGTATCTTTTAAAATATTTCCATGGAGAGAGGCTTCATTCCTTTTTGGTTACTTTGACGATCAATAATTTCTTTTTAAGTTTATGACAGTCTGGTTGTGTGATGCAGTTGCTTGAAACTCTTCAGTGGTTCCCTGTCATCTATGGTTAAAGTCCCCAAATGTTAGCAGATATTGAACATTTTTAACAACCATCATGCCATCAAAATGGACACTGCTATAGAACTAGAGAGGAGACTGGAGGCTGCAGTTCTAGGCATTACCCTTGAGTCGGTGGATTATGAGGAGGTCTGAAAGTCCCACTGGAGGGAAAGTGTCTGGAGAGGAGGATGGAAACAAAAGGCCCCATTCTAATTGACGTGGAAGTATTTTGATTTTGTAACAAAATATCGTAACTGCCTGGATATAAGCCTAGCTTATTGGTGTACGTAAAAACATCTCCATTATCTAGCCCCAGCCTATGACTCTGGCTTATCTCCTGCTTTTCTTCTCTTATACTCCAATTTCCTGCTTTGTTGAACTCACTGCAAGTTCCTGAATGTGCTAGACAGTTTCCCATCTTCCTACCTTTCACATATTATTCCCTCTGCTTGGAATACTCTTTCCCTCCTTGAATTTCTGAAAAACCTGCTACTCTTCTTTCAAGACGTGATCATCTCCCCGCATCTCCTCCACTGCCATAGGGTTTACCACTTCCTTCATTGTATCCTTCTGCTCTTCATATATGCCTGAATTATAGTAACTATCATGCTGCAATGTTGTTTATCTTCATGTCTAGCTCTTCGCTAGACTGTGAAGTTCTTTCAGGATATAAATTAGAAGTGTTTTCCACATTTGTATCCCCAAGCACATAGGTCCTTGATAACTGTTCATCCAAACAGCCAATGGATAAATTATTTTGTGTAAATGGAGAACAAATGGTCATTATTCTCTTGCAGGCATATTTTATACAGTTGAGATCTTTTCATCTCAGTATTATCTCATGTGGGTTAAACAACATTAAAGATTTTAATCTTTCTCCAAAGGACTTTGTGTCCTCTTTCTAGTCAACTTTGCTGTGACTTTTTGGCCTTTATCTATTTTCTCTCCATTATTAAAAAGTGTAATGGCCAGTACTGGACACAGAACACATTTAAGGTGTAAGCTGATGAATAGACACTGGAAGGCGTATTTTAGAGTCCTTGCAAGTCACACTCCTCCCAGGGCATTTCACAATGATTTTCCTTTTATTCCTGATGACTATACTTCATTGCTGACTCACATTCCATTCATCTGCTCTGACCCCTGCTAGGATTATTGTGACTTGGTCCTTGGTTGTCTCTTCCTATCTCTATTTATCCATGTCTGGTTTTGTCCCCAGATACCCCAGCTTGATCTGTCCTTATTTTTTTCTGCTCTTGGAGGGGGTGTATCCTGGTTGTCAAGCCTGCTTTTGGCTTTTATTCTTGTCTGTCAGAGTTTCTGCAATCGTGTCTCTTTTTGTCACAGCTTTGGATTTGAGGAGCTTATTCTTGATAGAAATAGCCTGTTTGTTGGCTGGCTTGATTCGAATAGGAGCTGTCACTGTGGCAATCCTTAAGGAATTGAGTGGAATATTAGTTCCAGCAGGAGATGCACGTAGTTGTGTCTACAGAGTGTGGTAAAGCCAGTGAGAAGTTGCCTTCTTTCCATTTTATCGGTAATACAATTGGGTAAAAAATAAGTCATGGTAGCCAGGGTGTGGGTGGCAGAGGTAGGTGAGCACAGGGGTAGGCACCTTGCCACTTAAGCCACGTGCCTGGGTTTGAACTAGCTCTTCTGCTTCTTAGCTGTGTGATCTTGTGCTAGTCATTTAACTTTTCTGAGCCCAAACTTCCATCTGTTTATAAGAATAGTACCTCATGGGGATTTTGTACAAATCAATTGTGTTAAGACTCATAAAGCACTTGGCACTATTTCTAGTGGGTAGCAAATGCTCAATAAAAGTTAACTGTTATCACTTAACCCTTTAAAAAGATGAATTTACTCTTGATCTCCCAATAAGAATCTTTGTCAGAATGTGGTTTCACTTCTTTCCTCATCCCTCACTCTAACTTTACTTAATGATCTTAAGAGAGTTAGTCTGCATCTTTTAAATGAAGGTGGCAATGGCCTAGATCAGTTGCTTTCCAAATGATGTGCCCTAGTAGACACTCAGGGATTCCCCAAAGGCTCTTGCAGAGGGGTTGGGCAGTGAGGGACGTGCAGAAGTGGGACAGGTGAGCACAGCTGCAGCTCTCCCTCTCCCTTCACAGTGAGCAAGATTGCATTAATCTGTTTTTCACATTGGACTTTCACCTGAGTGTTTACCTAAAGAAAGAGTTCTCGAAGCTAAAGGAGGTTAGATCATTCTTTTCCAGCTTGAAAATCAGCGATTTTGAATGTAGAACATGATGATAATTTGATTTCTACCATTATTTTGTGAATGGTGAATTAACAATTTGGGAGAATTGCATTACAAGTTTCCTCATCCAATGATGTAATAATCAAATAAAATGGATTCTGATCCTCTTTAGCCAGCTTCCCTCTGTTGTTCTTAGTCTGCTTTGAGAGGACTGTCAAATTGAATTTGCTGTCTTCTGTGTTTGCCAAAGTTTATTATTTCAATTTACAGCAGCAGAGATGTTATAACCTGGTCTTTTCTGTGGTTTGTTGTGTTAGCTCTGATATTGTGTCAATCTGCACAAGAGAGTAATTATGGAATGATGGGCCTTCCTTTGTTTCAAAAAAGGAATGGTTAGGTCTTCTGATGCCTAGAGGGGTTGTATATTGGGAGCCTTGAGGCAGAATTGGGACTAGGGGATTTAATCTACTTTTGTTCATAACTACCTTTAAAAACACCCAACAAAACATTATTTAAATATTTTCACAAATCCACAAGTAGGCTAACGCCTAGTAAAGCATAGGCTATATTTGAGAAAAGATGCTTTGAGAAGAGAGGGATAAGATCCGGCTCTGGAAGCATTTCATTCATTAGCCATAAAGCATGCAGAGTTGGGTTTGTGATGATATCAGAACACCCAGGGAAGGATTCAGAATGACATGTCAAAAACCCTTGTGGAAGCTCCTGTTAATGTCCACATATGCTCTGTAGCCACTTCGGTCACATTATCTGCTGCTGTTAAGCAGGGAGGGAGATTAGGCTCTGCTTTTCCATCTGCAGGCTAACATTGAGCCTCAATGCCTAAATTTACCAGTGTAATAAAAAATTAAGCAAATGGGCGAAATTACTTCTTTATTAACACTTAAAAAATGATAGTGGCAATATACGCTTGTTGTAAAAATTCTAACTATGCAAAAATTCGTAGTAAAATTCCTGGTTTCTGATTTCTCATTCTCTCTGAATCTCAAAGAAACTTCTGGTAGTATTTGAAAGTGAATCCATCCAGACCTTTTCTTTGTGTAGACAAATATATACATGTATATATATACACACACGTACATATCAATACATAAAATAGATGTGCATATATACACATATAGTGTAAAGTGTAAATGGGATTTTAAAATTTTAATTTCATGCTTTCGATATTTTCGTGTCAGCATGTTTAGATTTACTTCAGTTTTAAAAAATAAGAATCACATTTTGAATGGACTTTAAAACGATTTCCAACTTTCAATAAAAACGTGGACAACTAGCAGAGGGAGGAAGGTTTCTGCCTCCACCTGCAGTCAGTGCCTTTTGCCTCCTACTCACTTGACATTGAAAATGGTTCTGTTTTTAAAGGAAGCCTCAGGCATGGTTAGGGAGCAATGCCTCCTTTTCACTCTGGCTCAATGCCTCCTTTTCACTCTGGCTCACGCTCCTGCTGTGGAAGAAAATGACACACTCATCAAGTAGGTTTTCTGTCCAGCAAGTTACACCAACTTCACTTTGTGAAATAAGGAAACCCTTGTGTGACTGGGGTCCACATCCATCAGGTCAGGTGGGGCACAGGGGACCCTCCTTCCACAGGACATTTTCCCCATGAACTAACAGGGCTGGGTTAAGTGAGCCATCAGTGCAGCAGGCCTGGCTGATTTGTTGATTCACTGGGCTAGTGGGGAAAGTTCTTAAACTAATTCACTTAAGATAAGGGAATGGCTTCTCCTCAAAGGCAAAGCAAGGAAAGATCCTCACTTCTCAGTAAGCCTATCCAAACTGTCTGCCAGCCACTCAGGGGCGAAATTGAGTCTAACACTACAGCATGTATTACTGTGAGTAGACTAGCCAGTAAATATTTAAAGGATATAAGCTGAGCTTCTCCATCATTTACCTGCATTTTGTTTGGGTGACAAAAAGTGGCAGAGTGCACTGCAAAGTGAGATTAGGTGCTTGAAATGCGGCTGCGGAGATTAAATGGGCATTTCCTGAGGTGCCCTTCAGTGTGGTGAAATGGTAGAAGCCAGGCTTCCTGAAGGGTTTTCTACTTGGCTCCATGATTAAGTGTTCAGGGAACTATATAATTGGCAATATACTTTTTTATATTCCTGTGTAAATAATTTTTTTATTTAAACTTCACAATGTATAATATTTAAACACTTGTCAAGCAATAACTCACTGGTGGCAGAAACTTATAAAAGTCTAACAGCAGGATTAAGGTTGTTATGGCTGGGGCTGATTGATCTCTATAGTCTTCTTGAAGAGGAATCTTACCACAGAGGTATAATTTGTGAAATAGGACCACACAGTCTCAGTAATTTGAACAGTTATGTGAGAAATATTGAATCTCCCTCAATTTCATCTATTTTTATTTTTTTTAACCAGAATGTAAAGTATGTTTTTAATTTTCTGCACATGCATTCACATATGTATTATAGTCAGCTTTTGTTTTTTTAAGTATAAGCCAAATGAGGAATATATATGGCTCTACCCTAATCTGTGAGATCTGTCACGGGTTTAAGTATATTGCTCACGTATCAAGACAATGCCAAAGCCATTTGTGTAAATAATAACAGAAGGAATACTACCAATTCATCATGTGTGGGGATATAGAGTGTTGAAGGAATTTACTAGGAAATCAGTATTTGTCATCACGTTTGTCTTGGTTTATAAGTCCCAGCCTAATTTACAAGGGTTTAAGGCCTTTCACCCACATATAAAAAGGGACCCATTAAAGTTAACGAGCCTTCTGTATCTGGACTCATCTTTTAAATTTACCATGTGATTAAATATAATGAAAGGGGGGGTGCCATTTAAAATGCAGCTGAGAGTGCTGTGGTAGGAGATGAGGGCTCCAGGATATGCAAAGAATTCTGAGACCAGGAGCAACTGGATTTGCAAGCGACAGAAATAAAAACACTGGAGGAAGCTGACACAAAACAGTATGTTACTCATAAGTTTGATGGAATATTGGTAGACAAACACTTAAGATCAGTAATAGATGCAGAGGGATTTGAGTAGAATGGAAAAGACCCTGAAGTTAGGATCTATCACGGCAAAACAGATACATGGTTTATAAACACGTTTGAGGATAAGAGGAAATGTTATTACTGACGAAACATTTGGTTAAACTCAAGCCTGAGATTGTTCCCAGCCTTACCATCAAACTGTTGGTTTGAGACAATTACTAAAAAGACACCTGGCCAGAGAGATAAATGACACAGAGGTAGACCACTGGCCAATTGAACAAAAAGACATTTGGCTAGACACTGTTGGAATTGGGCCATACAGATGAGTGATCATATAGTTTAGTTATCTGTATAGAACAGGTACCCAAATATCTACAATGAATAGTTCAAATGTGAACTATAAGGAAAACCAAAAAAAGAGACTGTAAGCTTCATGAAGGCAGAGGACAAAGTGCCTCCAGTACCTAGCCCAGCCCTGTGAACACTTACCAAGATTGCCTTAACACTGCCCTCAGCTTGGCTAAACTTTAGATGAACTTCTTTCTAACTATAAGCCCCTGACCTCTCTTTTTAAATAGCATTTACCTTAGAAAACTTGCAACTGTAAATTTTTTCTCTGCCCTTTTGAGATGTAAATCTACAACCCAGGAATATCTCAAGGTCCTGGGAGCCACCCCTTTGAAAAGCAATAATCCAAAGTGATAGGGTTTCTATTTTCCCATTCTGTGAGAGTGTAGAATCTTAACTTCCGTAAGTGACAGTTATCAAACACAGATGGCGTAATTACATTAATCACTCCTCCTTTAACTCACCCCAGTGGTTAAAAATCTCCCCCTTCTTCCCTTTCTTTTCATCAGAGTTGAGTTCAGTCTCTCTCTTTTATTGCAATACTCATGAATAAAGTGTTTCTTACCTGTTTAACTGGATCTGGTGCAATTTTTCTTTTACAGCACCCAGTCAACATTTGTTGAATTGAATTTGAAGAACTTCAGACTTCAACTTTTTATTCTCATGTATAGCATCAGTTTAGAAAAAAAATCAGTCTTCATGAAGAGTACCAGTGCTGGAGAAGACATTACAAAACAAAGCAAAGTAGCTGGGGGTGGTGGCACATGCCTTTAGTCCTAGCTACTTGGGAGGTTGAGGCAGGGGGATTGCTTGAGCCCAGGAGTTTGAGGCTGCAGTGAGTGATGACGGCACCACTGTACTCCTGCCTGGGTGACAGAGCAATACCCTGTCTCTAAAACAAAAACAACAAAAAGCGAAGCAAAGCAAAGTGATCTAATAGATGGCTCAAGGTGTCCACACCAGGAAGACAATCAAATATAGTTTGAAACATTGGATAATATTTTAAATAAAAATTTAAATAGCTCAATTATCTTATTTAGAATAATTTAATTAAACTATGTACAAATGCCTAGCAAATCACAAGTGCTCAGGAATGATTATTAAATAGCAAAGAGTAAAATCTTTCCTGAGTGGTGCTGATTTCTCATATTATCTTGATGAAACAATTCCCATGGACTAGGATTTTGGGGCTGGTTTTTATCCTCCACTGTATTGATCAAGAAACAGAGAACCAAAGTGAGGGCTGTGACTGTTTGGTAGAAGGGTGGTATCTAGAAACCAGATTGCTTATGTCTAGTCTTGTGTTCTTTTTACCCTCTTCTAGAAATTTAAGGTTAACTTTGGTGTTGTATTTTAACTGGAAGGAGAAATATAGCTGGCAAGCCTGACACAAAAGGCAATTAACAGAATTGTGTAGGTAGAGAAATACAACTTGAAGAAAGAAAAGCTTCTTGGCTTATCCATTGTTCTTTTTGGTAAATTGCAGCCACATAGAATTTTACAGTTGACATAGCTCTTTCACTTGCATCATTTGATCTGATCCCCCAAACAAGCTCGATGAGGCAAGAAACAGCTTGATTAAATAATTTGCCAAAGGTCACCTGGCTAGTAAGTGGCAGATTGAAAACTAGAATAATATTTTTAGTTCATCCAGTTAAAAAAATCTGTGTGCTTATTATGGGTAGATGTTATGTTAGATCTTGGAGACAGAGTGTGGACAAAAACAGGGAACAGACAGCAAACAAATTATGTTTACATACAAGAAAAGTATAGATTGCAATGAGAATTTATAAGGGGGCCATAACCTTGCCTGGGAGTGGAGTTAGGATCAGGAAAGTCTGGTCCAAAGATGTGACATTTGTGCACTTAGACCATGTTCCTAGTTTAAGAGTTTAACATAATTGGGCTCTATACTCTGGTTAAAACACCTTGTTTTGGCCGGGTGCGGTGGCTCACGCCTGTAGTCCTAGCACTTTGGGAGGCCGAGGCGGGTGGATCACCTGAGGTCAGGAGTTCGAGACCAGCCTGACCAACATGGCAAAACCCCATCTGTACTAAAAATACAAAAATTAGCCGGGTGTGGTGGCAAGCGCCTGTAGTCCCAGCTACTGGGGAGGCCGAGGCAGGAGAATTGCTTGAACCCAGTAGGTGGCAGTTGCAGTGAGCCGAGACTGCGCCACTGCACTCCAGCCTGGGTAACAGAGCAAGACTCTGTCTCAAAACAAACAAAACAAAACAAAACAAAACAAAACCTTGTCCTAGCAATATATGGAGAAATAAGAAATAAAATGAGAGGGTGGGGTGTTTTTCATCAAGGTCTATGTTACTTTATGGCATTGTCTTTCCTTTTTCATGGTTTCAAAACACACTTTCTTTTACACAATGATTATTATGGTAAATAAAAATGTTCTCTTAAAAAAATCAGTGAATTACTTAGGGCTGTAATAGAATTTAAATCTTACATCAGTCTCTCCAGTTTCCTTTAAGATATTTTTAATCAGTGAAATCCTGAAGTCTGGGAACCAGTGATCTCTATCCTGGTGTAACCCCCATTCTAATTCTTTCATTTTATTTTATGAGTGGAGGAAAGACCTTTTTACTGGCCCAATAAGTCAAAGAAAGGAGATGGTACCTTTGCACTTATGTGGGAGAGAGAGAGAGGATTAAAAATAATAATGAGACAAACTCAGATGCATAATGTCATTTCAGAAAATGAGAATAAACAGAGAACTTAAACACGTTATTTTGTATACTGGCTAGGAAGTTTCCTAGCAAACCATCAAGTCAACCTTTATAGATGAGGGTGAGAGACAGGGCAGGAGAGCCAAGTTGAAATTGAAGGCTGCTCTGACAAAGAGAAGGCAAAGGCTGGCTGGGGTGAGAAGAGAGAGAGGTTTCTTGATCCCTGTTGCTCTTTCTGTAGAGAATTTCTTTCTCTGCCTCTCCTCCTGGCCTTGCTTGCATCTATCAACAGATTCTGTTTATGCCTTAACTTTGTTGAAGGCAGCCAGGCTGGCAGAATGCTTTCCCTCATTGGAATGTGTCACCATGCAGAGGATAAAAGCAATCGATGGCCCTTCCTGGCCCCCACCCCTCCTCCTGCCCTTATAAATACTTTTATTTGCATTCTGTCACTGTGGTTGTGGCTTATCCCTTTGCATTCACCCTTTCTAGTTGAAAGTCATTAATCTGCAAATGCAACTAATTAGCCCTTCACTGTTACAGGAGCAGAGAACCTTGCTTGCTCATCGTCCTAGTTTATTGGATGCCAGAAAATGTACACTTAAGGATCAATGGATCTTGCCGATAGAAAGAGTGCACTGTATAATTACACAATTGTCCCTGGTAAGTTATAAAATGAGAATTGCACAGAGGGCCTAAAACCTGCCTCAGAATAGTGCAGTTACTTAAACCACAGGCCTACATTTCTTATTTTCTCAAGTGAGTCATGCCCATTTTGTGAGGTGAGCCATCTTAATCCATCTTCTTGAAGAGTGAAGCACAGAATATTAGGTGAATTTGGTGCATTTCAGCCCTGACATTTTTCTTTTTGGAGAAAGGTTGAACTCAGGACCTCAGGGTTGGTGTAAGATTGGAAAGGCCAAATCGCTTTATCTTATTGTTTCAATGGGGACAAAAATCTCTTGATCCCAAATAAAATAAGAACTAAAATGCTTATGCCTTGCTTTTTTTCCTTTTTTTTTTTTAAAGGAAAAAAAAGAAAAGAAAAGAAAACCAAACAAAACACAACTGACTACATGCTTCCAGAGGAAATTCCTGATTCCCTTAAAGGAAAATCATTTTTCTACAGAGGCAAATGTGTTAAAGCAAGTGAGAATCAGGGCACCACTGGGAAGCTGAATTAGCTAAGCAGTTTAACCTAATAACAACATCCTCCCTAGCCACGAACACAGTATCCAGTTGTGCTGTGGGTGTATGTATGTCTTTGTGTGTGACTGCTAGTGTGTACATGAACGCAGAACGGTCTTTCGCCAAAGGGAAATGGAAAGTTGAAAAGTACCAGCAAGAAAGATGTGGAAAGTATTACATCCACAGGACCAGAAAGTCCAGGGCGAGAAAAATATGTCTGGCAATATTTGGAGAAGTGGCTTATTCCTGGTAAGCTTAGGGAAGGGAGCTAGGTAATTTGGGTAATTGAATCCTGCAGAGAAGGAAGTAGGTTTTAAAGAGGATTGTTGCCATCACCAGCAAAAAGTGCCTATGATTTCATGTCATCAGTAGAAACTCTGCACAGGTTTATGTAATGGATCTGCAGCTCTGTCTACCAGCTATTGTAAGCTGGGTACTTTTTGGTCCTGTGCTGAGAGATGGGATTTAAGATGTTGATGCAGCACCAGGAGCTTCCTATCTTTATCTTTGCCTGGTGGTTAAGTAGTTCTTTGCACAAATGGGAATGGGCGTTGAAATAAACAAGTGGAACTGTTTTTTTCTCTTCCTCAGAATAGTAACTATATTTTAAGAATAGCTAAAAAAGTTGGCTTTCCTTGAATAATATCCCTTTGAATAATTTTTTTTACCATTCTTTTTTTTTGCTCATCCTCACCTCTACTTTAAAATTCAGAGTTATAAAACAATGATAATAGACTTAAATTTATTTAGATCCCACTGACACCTAATTAGTATTATGTAACCTTACTAATTTTCAGAGAGGTATTGTCACAACAGGATGATAAAGAATAAGCCCCCTTTGTTCTTGAATGTATAGTCTAATGCAGTGGCTCTTAACATGTTTTTGGGCCACAAACCCCTTTATGAATTGTTGTCACAATAAACCTTTCTCTCCCCAGAAAATTGTACCTGCCAATGTGCTGATGCATCTTCCTTTGGGTTTTAGGGAATTCATCCTCCATATTAGCAATTGCTTTCTGGAGTCCATGTTTAAAACCTGTGATGAAAGGCAATACCTATGAAACAGTAGAGAAATTAAAGCATATAGTAGAATCTATGAGCACATTTTGTTGCAGAATAATAGTAGACTGCTGGTTTATGGTAATGACTAAGATTCAGTCTTTGGAGTTCCACAAACCTGAGTCTAAACATGACTCTTCTACTTATTGGGTGTATGAGAAATTAATCTTTTCTAGCCCCAATTTTTCTCTTTGTAAAAAAAGGGTAGTAATGTTCACCTGGTTGGGTTGCTGTCACTACGCACAGAGCTTGGGACAGTCAGCCCTAACAGATATTGGTGATTGTAATTGTTATTAATAATGGGGAGGGTATTTTAGAGTTGATTAAGGCAGAACATCCTTTCTTCCTTTGCTTGTCAACCATCAATGCCAGCCTCAGGGAAACAGATGGTGTTGGACATTCCTGAATGCTCAGCCCCTTCCTTTAAACATTCTTTTCTAGTTAGTTACCAAGACTCATCTTACTTGAGGAGAAAATTTATTTTTAAACTTTGAAAAGCAAAGAGGTCCATGTTTTTTAACAACAATTCATTTTGTGTTGGTTTGATGTGACTGTGGAACTCAAAGAAGGGAATGCTTTGTTGTGTCGTGGGCATTGTTTATCTAGAACATTCCTCAACAATCGCTTCTTGGCCTTTTGGCTAAGATCAAGTGTGAATATTCCTCAACAATGACCTGATGCTTACCTCTTCCACTGTCTTTTTACACACTTTGGTTTTTCATCATGAGCTCTCTGATTTTTCTTCTCTTGGCCTTTCTCTTTTCTTAACAGTGGCAATTCTCTGTTCGGTTTTAGTCAATTTTGCTCAAAAAACGATAATTGAGATCTGTCTCCCGGTCACTGAGCTGGATACTAGGGACAGGAAAATGAGTAAAATATAGTCCTTACACTTGGAAGTTCTTGAAGACCTCATAGTCTATAAGGTATAGTATCATTGTCATCACAATTGTATTCAGTACTTACTCTGTGTCCAACATTGTACTAACCGTGTTACATACATGATTTCATTTCTCTTCACTATATGATACTCTTTCTAGAATTACCCCAACTTTTGCCTCACTTATCCCAATACAGAAAGCATTTATTTGCTTTTTTTAGTCCTATGCAGCAGTTCTCGCTTCTCCCCATGGCGTTTATTCTCAGTATCTGCAAGGTCTTCTCTTGGTCAATCACAGGGTGCTTGTAGCCCTGAGGTCCTCCAAAGCCTGGATATGGCTGTACTTTCTACGCCTTCTAATCTTTGAAACTAAAAAATAATACGGTTGTGCTTCAAGAAATCAATGACTGGCCAGTTTTCAGGCTTGGATGACTCACACTTATTTCAGGTCAGATTAGGAGATGTAAATATGGCCCATACAATTAGGAGCCCCAGAAGTCTTCTGAGTCCACTCGAGAAGTGGGATAAACCCAAAAGCTGGGATTCCAGCCAGAATGGTAATGAAACCATGTAGTCTGAGTTTACTAAGTTTTAAAAACATAACATTACAATCTAAAGTGGCATTAGAAAGCAATGACTAAATATTTTGCAATGTGAAAAGTACTATTAAAAGGAATCTCACTTTATTACCATGTTTACAATAGGCACGGAATTATGGGCTCTCTCCATACAATGTGAAGAGGTTGGTCATTTGTTGATATGTTAGATCTACATGACCCCCAATATCTTGATGCTTGGAATGACAATCTGTTTGGCATTGAGTATACTGGGGTTCCCAAACTTTCTGTGGGAGGAATTATTTTTTGTTTACTAGAAGACTTACAGATACCAGTCAGACAGAAGCAAGTACCAGATGCTGGCAATCAGTCATAGACTCCAGTGTGGAGAGAATGAGTGTACTGTAGTAGGATGGAGGGCGGACAGTAGGTGCTGTTAGCTAGAGTTGCCCTTGCAGATATGATGAAGCTTCTGCTGTTCTGCTATCCTTGCACACAGTAACTGATGCTGAATCAGAGATCTTATATAAGTATATTAAGAGCACGAGGGATGTCTAAGATAAAAGTTTTTGAAGCAATAATAATTGGAGTTTTGAGTGCCTAATATGGGCATTCAGATTACACATATTACTACAAATTTCTAGGGAATTTGCACACATGGCCAGTACCCCCACTGTCATACTAAAGGGTTGACATGGTTATTCACATTTAACAGAGGGGTAGATTGAAGGCTGAATGTTAAGTGACTTGATCAAGATCATATTGCTCACAGGAGGCAGACCTTGGATTTTGTCATGGAACATTTCTATTTTTAGGATTACATTCTTTTGGAAAGGTACATTATTCTCATTGGTTTCTTAACTATTTAAAACAACCTTTTTGTGTTCAGGAACAGTTCTACTTTCCTGGTGTTGCTTTCATCCTGCTCAGGGGTGTGGTTGGAAAATGTTTCTAGATGAAAACCATTTCTATTTGCAGAAATGGGCCAGATTAAAAATTCTTGAATGTTGCTGAGTTGCAGCAGACACAATTGAAAAAATGTCATCCCTCTGTCTTGTCTTTAAGTGTAATGATTAATATACCATTGCAGGATGATCTATGTGCCCATAGATTACTGCCTGAATCACCGTGTCTACTTTATGACTTATTGTCTGCCTGAGATAACTGAACATTTTATTTAAAAATAAGTGAGGGATTAAAGCACTTTTCTTTCCTGTTGGTCAATTTTTTTTTAAAGGAGGAAAGAAAACAAAAACTAGGTAGAAAAAGGACTGCACTGAGGCTCAGTTGAAATTAAGCAACTAGAGTCAAATCAATCATTTGTTGGTGAGATGTGTGAAAAGCTTAACAGATACTTAATGTTAACCAAACCTAAGAAATTTTACTGTAATAGATAGCTGATATTATTGAATATCAATACTTTTCTGAACATCATGAGACCACAAATATGGGGATGTCTTAGCAACTTGTGTAATTTTATAATATTCTTGAAAAGCAACTGGAGAAGGGACAAATAAAATTCAGGTATCCAAATGAGTAGAATTTAAAAGGTACACACGTTACTAATCCAGCTCCATTTTGCAATGTTCTTGGTTCATGTTTTTCTGCAGTTGTTTTTTTCCACTGTGGCAGAAGAAGGGAAAAGCAAGCTGGTCTTTTAAATTGATTGCATTACATTAGTTGCACTATAAGATTCTTTGAAGATGATTATCTTGTGGATTCTAGTTCCAGATCAGTGGACATTTGGCTGGAAGGATTTATATTGTGTGCTCAGAGAATTAGGCCTTAAATCAGTGTTACTGTAGGCTGTAGAGGGTTTGGTTTTTACAACTACAATAACTAACTCACTGGGGAAGTATATGTGTGACCCTTTCCTCATATTCCAAGGGAAGTGTGTGTTTGATCATCAGTGCTTTAAATTCTAAAAAGCAGTACAACAGAAACATTAGCTTTCCTATGGCCATGAGTTTGTTTCACTTGGTAAAGAGATTCTATATAGAGGGGAAATAGTTGCATTAGTCTGTAATTTGTGAGAGAATTGAACTTTTGATTCCACAGAGAAGAACACTTAGATTGTATTATATGAGGTTTGGGGGACATTTTTTAAGCAGAAGGCTGCCTAAGTCCTTTTTAACATTTCTGTTTTTCTTTTTCTGAAAAGAGATTTTTCTAAAAGTAATAGTAGAAATATTTTCTAGGAAAGACAGGGGAATACAGATTTATGTCCATCCATTTTTATATTTGTTCTTTTATCCAACTATTTGTTCTTAAAACAATGAAGCACTCATGGAAGCTAGGCTCTGCCTTTTAGGGAGCTCCTAGTTTGGTGGTAGAAAGCAGATTAAGAATGACTCTTTACCATTCAGTGTGATAAGGGCTGAGAGAAAGAGAGAGAGAGACAAGCACAAGGTGCCCTGGGAACATAGAGGCTGGCATGATGAACCACCCAGAAGAAGAAAGCTACATTCTTAAAATGGGAAGAAAAAATGCTAGAGTTTGGTTTTTGTGAGCATTTAAAATTGAGGCAACGTTAGTAGATCTACACATTTTGCATACCTGGCAGTGGGATGTAGTGTGAATGAGATATGGAAATTCATAAGAAATTCATTGGGAGGGACCTTAGGGATCATCTGGTCCAGTCTCCTCAATGCAAGAATCCCATCAACATCCACTTTAACAATGGTTTGGTTGCATTCTTTCACTTCCTTACAAGTCAGCCTGTTTCACAATGAAATAAAAAATCTGCTTTTTTTTTTTCCAGATTATTGGTTCTATTACAGCTCTCCAATGCAAAGCAGAGCAAAGGCATGCTCTGACATGACTGCCTTTTAAAAGTTCATGTTAAGTTTGCGATCAACTAAACCCCGTAGGCACTTTTTTTTTATTCATACAAAGCATTATAAAACATATAAACGTTTTTTTTGCATCCCATTTGTGCAATTGATTGTTTTCCATCTAAAGCCAGGACTTCACATTTTATTTCTATACAGTTACTTGAGTTCACTTTAATGTTCCACTTTAAAGATAATTTTATTTCTGTATTCTGACATCTCTCATATTAGCCATTCTGCTACAATCTATGCTACCTGTAAACTTAATTAATATGCAGCCTATATCTTTATCCAGGTCACTGATGAAAATGTTATAGAGAAAAGGTGGGAGGACAGAGTTCTTGGAATTTTCACAAATCATCTTCTTTGGGATATGTTTGTTTAACTAGACACGAGTCAACTTAACCACTCAAACTCATTGTCTTATTATTCAAAGGATGTTGTAGATAGGATGACCATATAGACTGGTTTGCTCAGGAGAGTTCCAGTTTACCCCATTAAGTTCTGCTTTGCACCTGCTATTGAGGCATAATTAAATAGCACACCTTTTCACTCTCAACAGTATTCTGGTTTGGTGGAGAGTATTATGGTTACCGTAATAATCAGAGACTACACCAAATGACTTGGGAGGAACTCTACAACTATCATAATCATGGAGCTCTCCTGGGCCCTCCAATTTACTAGTCCTATCATACAATGAAACGAGATTTGTTTGCCAAATTTGTTCTTAATCTATTCATTGTTCTTGGTATTCATGAATTTTTCTAAATATTTGCAAATCATCCAAAGCTTTTTATTTACCATTAGGAATTACATTTAAATTTACCAGTTTGTAATTACAGTTTTTGTTTATTGTGTACTTACTATGTGCTAGGCATTCATCCAAGTGTTTTACAAGTTTTACCTCATTTAATCTCTCATAACCCTATGAGGTAGGAATTATCACCCACAATTTACAAGTAAAGAAAATGAGCTATAATAGGTTAGAAAACTTTGCCAAAGACTCAGAGCTAATAAAAGGTAGAGAAAATATTCACACATAGGCAATTGGATTCCAGAGTCCTTGCTCTGTCACACTAATTTCCAGAATTCATCCTCTTCTCTATTTGAAATGTGACATCAAAAAAAAAAAATAAATAAAAGCTAAATTGAAAAATACCCCTCCTCCTAGAAAATCGTTTAAAACTAGGCAAGAAAGCTAAGATAATATAAATTTTCCAGGACACTAGCAGAAATTGATGGAATTATACAATTTAAAGGACAAAGCTGAGGGACACCCCACAAAGCTTCTGACAAATGGGCCATAAAAGTGCTCACAGACCACTGTAGCTCAGAAACATTCTTCTAGCCCTTGAACTTCCCTGGCTCCTAGATTGGCTTACAACATTTGTCATCACTTTTCTTTGGCCCAGGGACGGAGAAAAAGATCACAATGAGCCTAAAAGCCCATTTTGGGTCATTTTTCTTAGAAAAGTGGCCAGTTTCATATTATGGGAGTTCATGTCTATGTTCATGCATACGATAGCAAAGTGTTTCAAGGTAAAATGAAAAAAAATGGTTTTAGAACTATTTTATTATTTTTGGATGCTTGTTTTTGCAATACCTGGCACACAGAAATACTGAATACATGTCTGTTGAATAAATGAACATATTCCCACAAAAATTCTCTGTAATTTAGGGAGTAACAAAGTAGGGAAGGATGGGGTATATCTTCAAAGGTCCTTTGTATCTTTTGCTTTTTTTTTGGTTCAGAATGCTCAGCCCTGCAGTTTCTTATACCTACAGCTTTTAAAGAATGTCACTTACCATGGAAGGGATATTCCTTTCTCACCCTCTCCAAGCACATTCTTCATTCCAAGGCACATAACTTATTTATTATGTTATGCTAATGAAGGTACAGCACTGCTTTAGAATATACCATGCTCTGTGTGAAAGGCAGAAAGAAAAGGACCCCATAAATACAAAGAATCTGGACCAGAGAACATTTTATTACAAGACTCACTCCTTTCTTAAAGACAGTAAACATGATGAATTTCTCTTTGCAACTGAATTTATGAAGATAGATGATTCTCTCTGTGGTTGTTTTAACTGGGTTTGCCTTGCGGTCTGATGCAGAGTTGCAAACCCACACAAATACATTTATCGCCATCCCTAATGACAGGATACAATGTCTTATTGTATCATATGACTGAGTGGGACCTAAGAAAGCCACATTATGTTTCACCACAGGGATAGAAAAGGATTCATCTGACTTAGCTGTTTCAGTAGGAAAGGCCCCAGTGTTTTCTGTAAGGGAAGCCTTGAACTGCCTTAAATATAACTTTTCTACAACTTTTTGTAGTACTCTTTTCAGAGTCAGCCTGAAAAAAAATCTTTTGCTGAGACTTTTTCAAATGCCAAAGCAGGAATTGGGAGAGCTTTGTACTTGATTCTCATACATTCAGTTCACAGTTTGGCATTCTGCTGAGCTGACACAGAAGGGAGAAGTAAAATCAAGGGGGGAAGGGAAGGGAAATGGAAGGTTTCTGAGCTCAGTGTTTAAGAGTCTTTCTCACTCAAAACGCTGTTCAAGCCTGAGTGCACATGCACAGCCACACAAGGGAACTGGCTCCACTTTGCTAATGATGGCAGCGCGCATCATTTGCTATGCAGATCACAGAAGAAAGCCATTCTGCTTAGCTCTAATTCCATCAGGATCATTTACCTTTTGAAGGATAGAAAAGAATGAATTGAAGATCAAAATCATCAGCCTTATTGGCTTCATCCAAGATTTATGGCAGCTGCTTTCAAGGGCAACTGAAAAAACCAACTGCGGAATTCACATCTGTACCATTTCTTGTCTTTCAATATTTTATAAATGTTACGAGCAAAGTCAACCTCTGGGGATATTAAAATTAAACAACCTCTATCCCTCCCCTATATTGGAATGAGAGCATATATCAATAATTGCTATATTTAACTACTCTCATCTGTATCACACCTTTTAGGATTAGCTGTCTCAGAAGCCTGTATTTAGTTTACTATTCATTTGGCAAAGGTTATTATAATGTGGGATCTGTGTCTTTGTGATGTCAAAAGCATTAAACTTTGATTTAAATCGTTAATAATACAGTGTCCATTATTGCCAGTTTTAGACTTGAATTAAATTTTTTTAAAGAGCAAACATTTAAGGGATATCAACCAGCATTTGAAATGAAGATATATTGTCCTTAATTTAAGTGACCTGATGTGTGGACAAAAAAACCAAAAAAAACAACGTATATAAAAAAAATACCAGGAGGACATTTGCTGTGATCTCTGAGGAAGTAAATAAGGTTGCTTTGGTTTCTTTAGATGCTTTGATTAGTTTTGACAGCAAGAAATATATCTTGCTTTCATATGATAAAAGACTACAATGTAAGTGAGGCTGATACAGTGGCTCACAAATTATCCCAAGGATCAAGCACAGCAGACAAAAATTGATAAAGCAAATTAGCTTCCTATTTGCAAGATGCTCACAAGCTCTAAACTTCTCTTTTCTTAGTAAAACATTTACTCTTAAATCCCTAGTGAAGTAGCTCCTACAGATCTTCTTTGTGGTGTCTTCTGTTATTTCCAACAGATAAATGCCTTTCTCAGCTGGGTCTGCCAAGGTCTTGGCTCTTAGCCGTTATGCTCCGGGTCACAAAAAAGGTAAAATGCCAAATGTCAAAGAGAAATGGGCATGAGCTAACTAAATAAAGTCTAACTCATGAGAAGTGCTTAATATGGAATAAATTGCTCTTGCTGGAATGAATGGTGGAGCCAGAGAGTTCTATGTTCAAATCCAAGTTCTGCCTTATTAGCTGGGTCACCTTGGGCAAGTTACTTAACATCTCTGATGTTAAGCTTAATATCTTTTCTGTAAGATGAAGATACTGATAGGTCCCTCAGAAAGTTGCTGTGAGAATTAAGTGATTTAACATATCTGTTAAGTGTCTAGAGCAGTGCTTGGTGCATAGAAGGGGATGGATAAATGTTAGTTCTTTTTCCTAACCTCTTCTTATTAGGATTCAGTATGATATTCACAAAATGGTTACCAGTATCTATTTCATGTGTTTACCTTTGAGAGTATGTTTATTTAAGAAACTCAAGAGAGAAGGTTAATAGTATGAGAATTACTCCTGAGTATGATCCTGTATTATGGGCATTGCTGTCACAGTTCATAGAAATGGAAAGTGGAGTCAGAGAGTGAGAGACAGAAAGAGAAATTCTGTTATATTCCAAAGGGCATGTGACCTAACTGGAGTGCATTGACACTGGGATGAACTCTTTAGCCTCAGATTGTCCTTCCGTTCTCCTTGGCTCACTTTTCCATTCTCCTTGGACTCAAAACTCTCCCTTTGGCTTACTCAGCTCAGCCACATCAGGACTCCTAACAGTTTGTAGAACTTGCCATGCTTCTTTCTGCTCCAAGGTCTTTGCACTTACTCTTTCTTATGCCTGGAACAAATTTCCTTCTGGTATTAGCACAATTGACTTCCTCTCATCTTAAATACTAACTCCTCAGAGAGGCTTTCCTTGCTCATTCTAAGCAAGGTAGCTCCCTCACCACCATTTTTTGTGCCGTAGCAACCTTTTAATTTCCCCTTTCCCCTTACGTAAAACTAGTTACTGTTTTTGTTTGTTTAATCATCTGTCTTTGCATGTCTGTCTTCTTTCTTGCTCTGGCTAATAGCCTAGCTCAGTACACAACAACGGGTTAGTTGCTGAATAATAATAATTATATTAACAATAATAATAACTAACACTTGAAAAGTGCCTTCTATGTGCCAGCTGCTGTTCTTTACTTATATCAGCTGTTTAATTCTCCTCAAAACCCTATTCCCATATTACAAATATAGAAAATGAGATATGAGGCCGGGCCCAGCGACTCATGCTGTAATCCTAGTATTTTGGGAGGCTGAGGTAGGCCGATCGCTTGACCCCAGGAGTTGGAGACCAGCCTGGGCAACATGACGAAACCCTGTCTCTACAAAAATTACAAGTATTAGCCAGGCATGATGGTGCACAACTGTAGTCTCAGCTACTAGGGAGGCTGAAGTGGGAGGATCACGTGAGCCCAGGAGGGAGAGAGGTTGCAGTGAGCTGAGATTGCACCACTGTACTCCAGTCAAGGTAACAGACCCAGAGACCCCATCTAGAAAACAAACAAACAAACAAAAAAATGGAGACATAGCGTAGTCAAAGAGTTGTGTAATATTACACACTATTATATATTGCGTATTAGCTAATATATGTGTGAACTCTAACCATGAGAACAAACCTCTTTTCTAGCTTGGCTTTCACGGAGGCTTCCTCGTTCTTGTACCAATTAGTTGATGGAATTCAGGACATGGGATCCCAAAATATGGTACTTTAGTATTGGAGAAAACAGCAGTAGTAGGAAAGTCTCTCTGACCTTCCTCTTGCCTTTCTCTCCTAAAGCAGGCCGTAAATGAATTCTCTGACCTTCCTGTAAAGTAGTTCATAAGAGGTACCCTCCCTGTACCCTGAGGAAGGGAATATCTTTATCCTGGAAGACACAGACACACTAAGAAGGATTTGAACGAAACAGACCTTGCTAAAATTTTCCCAGTTTATTACCATTAGATCATGCCCTTTTGTCCTCCAGTTATAGTTCTCCACAACTATCTACTTCTTCATCAAACTTAGTATGAAAATACATAGATTTCTCTGTTTCTCTGGGTGTTCATGTCTGAAGGCTCTCTGTCATGTAAAACTTATAGTAAATAAATCTGTATGCTTATCTGTCATATGGAGGTCTTAGCTGTGAACCTAGCAATGGGTTAGAATTTTTTCTGCTCTTGGAAATTCCCTTTATTTGAATCTGCAAATGATCATAGTTTCGTCTTTATCACCTTGCTGTATCCTCTGTGTGCACCTGGCTGGCTGTGCCCCTGCCGTCCTGCATTGTAAATTGGCTTTAGGTTGCATGTTTCTCCAGCTTGGTAAGGAGAGATCGGGACTAAATAATTTCTTACTTAGGTCATTTGTATAAGAATTTATAGTGGTGCTCTGAAGTTTGTTTTGGGATTCACTTATAAGACCTTGGTAGGAGGTGTGAAGACTTCTTGAGAGGAGAAGTTTAAACACAAATAATTGGTTCTAACCTGTACCTGATGAAAGCATGTATCACTGACACCTTAGTTATGCAAAGCAGTCATGGGGTGACACATCTTTTCCGTTTTAGGGAAGTTTATGTACTGCTGAAACAGTTTTAATTTTTCACTCTGGCAGGCACACATTTCTGGGATCTTTGACTGTGTCTTTTTGCTTATACACCGAGTGTCTTAGACATTATATTTATTCTCCTGAAGACTCCCTGGAACATCAGCCATTGCACTAAGTGATGAGAGAGTGTCTCCTGGGGATGCTAGGTGCTTGGGACAGTGGCCCCCAAGTGAAATGCCTTTAGACTGCTGTACTGCAGAGCCAGGCTGCATTTCTACACTCTGGCTCCTTCTGCTGCTGTTGGCTGTCACTTGATAGCTGTCGGGTGTCCTAGCTGCTGTCATTCCCTGCATTATTTTATGCCCGATTGTCTGAATCATGGCTTGAGGGTGGATCCACGTCTCCTAAAGAGTCAAGTGTGTGGGCTTTATGACAGTCATTTTCCCCATAGATTTTTTTCTTTTTACTTTTAAGTTCCAGATGGTTAAGATGACTAGAAAGTGTGGCTCCTAGGTAATAAATTGGGTTTTAATTTTTCTTTTTATAATTACAAGTTTTATACATTGTAATTGTATATTTTATGATATAAAATGTATAATTTAACATTAACACAAACATATTGATGCATTTAACCCACAAAAATTTATTGTGTGCCTACTAAATGCCAGGCACTGTGCTAAGCACTGGAGTTATAATAATGCTGAGCCAAACCAGGTGGGTTTCTGCCTTCATGGAGCTGTAGACTGGAGAGGCAGACAATTCAGTAAGTGCATCAATGAAAACTGTGACTCTAATAAGGTGAACAAAGAAAAAGGTATACTATAGGGATTGAATCTTATCAAGAAGCTTGGGGAAGGCTTCTCTGAGAAAATAACTTTGAGCTAAGCTGTAAAAGATGAATAAGAAGTAAGGAGGCTACAATTTATGAAATACTCTATTCTTTTTCAGTTTTTTCTTGTGTGTGTATTTTTTCTTTTTTCTTTTTTTTTAAATTTTTTTAGTATTTATTGATCATTCTTGGGTGTTTCTCGGAGAGGGGTATTTGGCAGGGTCATAGGACAATAGTGGAGAGAAGGTCAGCAGATAACCATGTGGACAAAGGTCTCTGGTTTTCCTAGGCAGAGGACCCTGCGACCTTCCGCAGTGTTTGTGTTCCTGGGTACTTGAGATTAGCCAGTGGTGATGACTCTTAAGGAGCATGCTGCCTTCAAGCATCTGTTTAACAAAGCACATCTTGCACTGCCCTTAATCCATTTAACCCTGAGTTGACACAGCACATGTTTCAGAGAGCATGGGGTTGGGGGTAAAGTTGTAGATTAACAGCATCCCAAGGCAGAAGAATTTTTCTTAGTACAGAACAAAATAGAATCTCCTATGTCTACTTTCTACACAGACACAGTAACAATCTGATCTCTCTTTCTTTTCCCCACATTTCCCCCTTTTCTATTCGACAAAACCGCCATAGTCATCATGGCCCGTTCTCAATGAGCTGTTGGGTAGACCTCCCAGATGGGGTGGCTGCCGGGCAGAGGGGCTTCTCACTTCCCAGATGTGGCGGCCAAGCAGAGGGGCCTCCCACCCCCCAGACGGGGCGGCCGGGCAGAGGCGCCCCCCACCTCCCAGAGGGGGCGGCTGCCTGGCGGGGGCGCCCCCCCACCTCTCAGATGGGGCGGCTGCCGGGCGGGGGCGCTGCCCACCTCCCAGATGGGGCGGCTGGGTGGAGACGCTCCTCACTTCCCAGATGGGGCTGCTGCCGGGCGGAGGGGCTCCTCACTTCTCAGACGGGGCGGCCGGGCAGAGACGCTCCTCGGTTCCCAGACGGGGTCGCGGCCGGGCAGAGGCGCTCCTCACATCCCAGACGAGGCGGCGGGGCAGAGACGCTCCTCACCTCCCAGACGGGGTGGCGTCTGGGTAGAGACGCTCCTCAGTTCCCAGACGGGGTGGCGGCCGGGCAGAGGCGCTCCTCACCTCCCAGACGGGGTGGCCGGGCAGAGGCGCTCCCCACATCCCAGAGGATGGGTGGCCAGGCAGAGACGCTCCTCACTTCCCAGACTTGGCGGCCGGGCAGAGGGGCTCCTCACATCCCAGACGATGGGCAGCCAGGCAGAGACGCTCCTCACTTCCTAGATAGGGTGGCGGCCGGGCAGAGGCTGCAATCTCAGCACTTTGGGAGGCCAAGGCAGGCGGCTGGGAGGTGGAGGTTGTAGCGAGCCGAGATCACGCCACTGCATTCCAGCCTGGGCAACATTGAGCACTGAGTGAGCGAGACTCCATCTGCAATCCTGGCACCTAGGGAGGCCGAGGCGGGCAGATCACTCGAGGTCAGGAGCTGGAGACCAGCCCGGCCAACACGGCGAAACCCCGTCTCCACCAAAAAATACAAAAAGCAGTCAGGCGTTGCGGCGCGCCTGCAATCCCAGGCACTCGGCAGGCTGAGGCAGGAGAATCAGGCAGAGAGGTTGCAGTGAGCCGAGATCGCAGCAGTACAGTCCAGCCTCGGCAACAGAGGGAGACCGTGGAAAGCGGGAGACGGAGACGAGGGAGAGGGGGAGACCGTGGAAAGCGGGAGACGGGAGACGGGAGATGGGAGACGGGAGAGGGAGAGGGAGCTTTTTCTTTTTTTTTTGAGATGGAGTCTTGCTCTGTTGCCCAGGCTAGAGTACAGTGGTGCGATCTTGCCTCACTGCAACCTCTGCCTCCTGGGTTCAAGTGATTCTCCCACTTCAGCCTCCTGAGTAACTGGGATTACAGGCACGTGCCACCATGCCCAGCTAATTTTTGTATTTTTATTAGAGATGAGGTTTTAAGATGTGGGCCAGATTGGTCTCGAACTCCTGGGCTCAAGCCATCTGCCTGCCTTGGCCTCCCAAAGTGCTGGGATTACAGGCATGAGCCACTGTGCCCAGCCAGTTTTACCTATTATTTCATTTTTACTTTTCCACCAACCCAGTGATCCCTTTTATCAGCTGATGACTCAGGTATCAAGGGAGTTTTTTTGTGACTTGCCTCAGGTCAGTCACACAACTAGCAAGAGACGGAATGGGGACCAGATGCCCATCTTCCATTTATAAGAAATGGAGGTGATAGATCTAGGCTCAAATTATATTCCTCTAGTTATTTTTTAGGTAAATAATATTCTAGTTATTACTTAGCCTTTGCCATTATCAAGTATAAAATCGTGACTATTAATGCTTATTTTACTTAGCTGTTGAGAAGATAGGATGAGATGGCATAATACTTTAACAAATGATCATTCTTTTCCTTTAGTGCCTTCCTTGGTGAACCCCTTCTCTCTCCACTGCTCTACACTTTGCATGCTCTGCAGGAGGAATGCATCCTGTGATAAGGGGGAGTTCTTGCAAATCATCCCTATATTCTATGTGTGTATTAGTTCTATGAACTCTATGTGGATACATGTGCTTAAAGTAAATACATCCTTTCTAATATATCAGGACAGGACATTGCACATTTATTATTACATACCTAAAAATGGAATCTGGAGAAAGTTAACCCTCCAACGTAGCTGTTGTATGCTGACTCACTCATAGGACCAGTCCAGTACCTAGAATTTTTGCCCTAGCTGGCAGGCAGAAGCTTACAGTTAAGTTAATATTCAACTGTAGCAACCAAGACATCCCAGCTATCTAGTACATCTACTTCTCTTTTCTTTAAAATGTATTTTTGATTATTAAATTGCATGGTTTTGTATTTCTCATGGCAGACTACTCTTGAGAGGCAGGATGAAAAAGACACCCTGCTTTGATGTCCTTCCTCCTGCAGGATGAAAAAGACATAGATTGTAGAGTTAGAGTCCTGGTTTTGAATCTGTCCTGCCACGTGGAACAGATGGCTGGCTTTGATTATTCAAGTTATTTAATTTCTTTAGTATTCAATTTCCTTGTCTAAAAAATGTGGACAGGAACAGCTTCTTTATAGATTCTGGTTAAATAAAAGAGATAAATAAGAGAGATAAACATGTGAAAGTTTCCTTATCTATAAAATGAGGATAATAATAGTTCTAATTCTAGTGTGGTTGGAAGGCTTTTGTAAAATGCTGAGCAGAGGGTATGGTGGATGATAAGTGTTGGCTATTATTATGATGGGTCAGATATTATGCTAAGTGCTAGAGGTGCTTGAAACTCAGCAAGATGTGTATGTGGGTGTGTGTATAACAGGGGGAGATTGAGATGCACTGGGAGAATAGTGCAGGAGCCTTGGTGCAAGTACAGCTCTGGGTTCTGAGCCACTGTTGACTATCTCTAGGGTAATAAGTGTTAACCTTGAGTGGTTTACTCCATCTAGAAAGTCACTGGATAATGTGAAATCCTTTCTGGGAGGAGATTTTTTACCATTCTTGATTAGACTTCAGGACCAGGTCTGTAACCATTTTTTCTTTCTTCTTCCACCTCACCTTCAAATATCCTAAAGGGTTAGTTTTTCTGTAAAACCGAAATGACTGCAAGTCATTGTGCAGAGCTGGGGTGTGTGGATAGGCTTTTGATGGATGGAGTTGAGCTGTGGAGCTTGGATCACTTGCGACGTTGCTGATGCAACCTCTGAATGGGATGGAACTTTTGAGAGGAGATGGGGACTTGGCACTTATGATGTTACCTGGAAGAAAAATGACAGTTGGGTGGACCAGAGCACGGGGGCTATGCATAAGGAGTGGGACGCTGGCAATTAGGGGGCGTGTCAAGCATCATATCTGACAAGAAAAAGGGGTTGGTGTAAGGACTTTCCTGGAGCTGCCAGGGACAGTGACTAGATTGTTGGAAATTTTACTGCTTGGGAGATGAAATTAGAAAGCTAGCTTGATATAAGTAAAATATATTATAGACTTGAAGGGGAGGGCATCATGGTAACAGTTTTGTATAATAAAAGGTATTTAGGGGTTTTCACAAGGTCTAACATTCACGGGAGCTCTCTAGCCAAAAGAAATTTAATGACCACCTGAAATCTAGGTCTTTTAATGAATAAATGACATAAAGAGATGAAAGATGAGGAGCAAAATAATGAAAAGAATTATAGTGTTTGAGTACTTATTTACTTAAAAATAACTGAACAATTTATAGGGATTCTGATCTATCACAGGTTGAGACCAAAGTTTATCCCTCCCTCCCTCCTTTCCTCCATCCCTTCATCCCTCCCTCTCTCCCTCCCACTCTCTCTCCCTCTCACCACCCATCCATCCATCACCCACCCACCCACCCATCTGTCCATTTATTCAATAAATATTTATCATGTCAAATGAAGATAGATATCTTGTATTTTGTTCCAGAAGATAGCAATAGGAACAATGCATGATAAATTAGGTAGGCTGTTTTCAGTTAAGAGATGGAATGAATAAATTGTCTTGGGAGAAGGTGAATTCATCATCATTCCTCCCTTTTTCCCTTCATTCAATAAAGATTTCTTTATTTTCTTCTGTGTGCCAGATATTTTTCTGAGTCCTGGCGATTTACAGTGTTGTGGGGGCAATATTAAAGAAGACAAACAAATTAATTGAGTTGTTGATTGGTGCTATAAAAGTAAAGTCAGATAAGGGGGTGCAGTGATGTTGAGGTGGGGAGAAAGAACCATTTTAAAAACAATGATTCTAGAGGCCTTTCTAAGGAGGTGGCATTTAAGTAGTGTTCTTGATGAGGTGTAGGAATTGTATGTGGAGAAAAGTGTACAGATAAAGAGAACAACAGGTATAAAACCCCGGGGAGAGAAACAGCTTGACCTGCTTGAGGAATAAGGCTCACGTGGTTGGAAGTCAAGTGAGAGGGGAAGGTGAGAAGGAAGTCTAGAGAGGAGTCCAAGGTAACATGTGGTAAGACCTTGTAGGTCGTAGGAAGGAGTTTGGATTTCACTCCATGTGTGATGAGAAGCAGCCTGTAGGGAGCTTTAAGCAGGGGGATGGTTGGATCTAATTTCCTGTTTTAAGAGATTATTCTGGTTGCTGTGTGGAGAGTGGTGTGTATGGGAGAAGACTGGGTCCTTTTGATTCAGTGTTCATTTTATATGTTAAAGGAACAAACATTCATATTTTATAAAATTAGATAAGTTACCAGATCATATGGATACTGAATTATTTTCTGTCCTGTAGAATCGTGAAATACTTCAAAAAATTTTCTCATCTGAATTTAACTTTTGCAAATTTAGCTATGAATAGATCAGACCAAACCATGCATTTGATATAGTCAGAATGTAGCAAACTGATCATTTATTGCTTTAGTGATTTGAGTGTTTTTTTTTTTCTCCTGCAGAGACCTATTTGTATTCTGTTGATTTGAGAAGTTTGTCATCTTTGTCTAGGTCCACTCTAGAAACCATCATATGTTTTTAGTTATGAAAGCCACCACTCTAGGTAACAATGATAATAGTCATTCGTAACACAGTGTTGCTGCGTGCCAGGCACAATTCTAAGCATTTTGACTAAATTAATTTTTGCAACAGTCCTCTGAGTTTGATATTATTATAGTCTCCATCTCCTCATGAGGAACCTGAGGCTCAGAGAGGTTGAGAAACCTGTCCAAGAATGTGTAACTAGCCAGGATTGAACCCTGGCGGGCTAGGTCAGTTTTCTATACTGCCCTTCCATATGAAGAGGAACACCACTGGCCAAACCACAGATGCCAAACTGCAGGTCCCATCACAAGGTTGTTTCAGAAATGTCTTTACCATGCTCAGACTGCAGTCAGGGTCCTGCTCCTTTACTGGGACTTCAGTCTAGCCTTGCCGCTCCATGGTTTGGAATAGAAGCTGCTTTAGCTACCACATCTACTTCCACCTCTCTCCCCTGCTATGGCACTACAGCTTCCAGCCCTGTTCATAGATCTAAATACAAGCTAATTTCCTCTTGCCCTCAGCACAGACAAGCTCTGATCCAGGCTGCTTGGAAGGGAGGAGGAGAGGTCTGGCCTGGCTTTGCGATGCTGGCTCGCATGCTCTGGGACAGAGACGAGGGACAGGAAGGTCCCTTCATGGGACTGCTGAGATGCCAGTGGAAGGGATCCTGGTCCCTGGTTTGGGTGGTTCTATCAAGTTCCGTCTGATGCTCGTGGCCTCTACTGTCATGGTGATCATTATGGGGTTTTCAGCTTCATGCTGGTCTCTGCTGTCACTGACGGGCCCCTCTCGAGGGCATCCAGTGTTCTTTTGAGTTGCACTCATTGAACCCCCTTCTCAGGTTTTAAAAAATCAATGTACACAATTCATTCAAAGTGTACCTGTAGGTGGCTGAATATGACAAATCATTATTTCACGTATTATTTGCTTAGTTACTGTTTCAAGACAACAATTACTAGTGTAGTGGCAATTCTTTGTGTAATTGGCTATGCACACACTTGGCCCAGTGCTACCCAGGGAAGCTCCAAGGCTCCTGACATGCCCCTCCCAACTCCTGAGCTGTCGTGTGAAATTGAGGGAACTGCCCCTCTGTACTCTCTGAGGGGACAGAGAATGGGGGTGGGATGGGACTATTTCCAATCAACAGCGAGATGCATTGAAAGCATCTCTTGGTGCTTCTCTTGTGTGTCTCTGCTGAGGGAGTAACCTTTCACCCCAAGCCCATACACCCCACAGGGTTTGCCTTGCCTTTCCCTGTCCTCTTGTAACAAAGGATGGGCTGGAAGTTGTGGGTGGTCGTTAGTGGTAGAGCCAGGTCTGTCCCAGGGCCTCACAGAATGCTGTGGAGGGATAGTTGGTTGTAACAGCTGAACATTTTTTTAGCACCTGAGATGCTTGTTGATTTTAGTATTCAGCTTTGTGCCTTATTTACACTATAAGGACAACAGAAAACAAATCCCCTTTTGGCATCCTAGTGCAGAATTTGTCTCAGATTTTCTGTTTTTTTCTCCTTTGTCTTTTTAACTAGAAAGGCTATTTTCTTAAAGATGTATGGCAAAATGGGAGCAGATCCAGGGCCAGAACCTAGGTATTGAGTTTATTCCAGGATTTTACTTATCAGTGTTATTACGTTACTCACTTTTTTTCCCCATAAAATAGGAAAACTTCCTTTGTTGATCTCTGCTACATAGGAGGTGAATCATGGAGTGTGTGATAACAAATGTAGTCATAGACTATCCTGGGCAGCAAACCACCACGGCACATATTTACCTATGTAACCAACCTGCACATCCTGCACATGTGCCCCTGCACTTAAAATAAAAGTTGCAAATTAGAGAAAAAAAGACTATCTGCTTTCCTTTGGCTTATACCCTGTGCCAAGAGCTCCAAGAGGTACCAGACATGACACTTCAGCTGATCTAATCCCTGATTTTGCTCAAGATGCAGAATGTTTTAGGCAAAGTCTTCTTAATTTATCTTTACTGTGCTGGTGCTCAGATAGGGTAATAGTGGGTCACCAAGAGTACCATTGTGACCTTGTATTGGCCTCACTGTCAAAAGCCAGACCTGGTCCCTGGGTATAGAGATTAGGACCAATCATGAAGAAAAGGGAGATGATTATGTTATCCACAGACTGGTCCAAGAACACAGTAGAGAGTTTTCAGTTTCTTCTCTAAATTGTGGGCCAGCATCCCTTCCTTCCTGAACTGCTCTCCTCCATCCTGTGTGGTTTCATTGTGACAATCTTTTGTGGTGCCAGGAGCTGATATGCAACACAAGTGGGGCTAATCACCACAGTTTTCCTTAAGTGATAACAAAAGACTATTTTATGCTTTTTTGAAGTCAAAGTGCTGGGGTGGAGATGTGAATACTCCACTGCTGATTGTCCTTACCCTTACTATATGGAGAGATCCTGTCTGCAAAAATAAAGCCACATATGAAAGGAAATAAAGCTAAGTGACAGAGGGAAAGTCAGATAGCCAGTGGCATTGTTTAAGACCCTGGATCCAGTGGTGCCTGAAGCCTACGTAGAATTCAAGTTATTTGAGTCAATCTACTTCCTTTTCTTTTTTACTCCTATTCTCAGGGCATTTGAGTTGTATTTCTGTCATTTGCAGCCCAAAGTCTTACAGGGGTGCTCTGTAATAGCCTTAAATTATGACCAAAATTTTAGCAAAATTAGAAATCCAGGAAAAGATAAATGAATCTTTCATTCAAACCAAACAAGGAATTGTCTCTCTCTGTATTTTTGTCAATTCATTTCCATTAAATTCAGAAAGCAGAGATTGAGACAGATGTTCAATATGAGGATATGATGTTTGTAATATATTGAATTAGATCTCCAGAAATGGTTGGAAAAAAGGCATTGAAAATGGAATTGCCATTCTTCTGTCTAGCCTGCTTTGTGTGGTACTGCTTGAAAACAAGTGACAAATGGCTTCCTAAATTCCTCACAACCATCATTTCCTCAAAACAGCACTGTTTGTGGCAGCACTTGCCTTAAAAGCCCTCCCCACACACCATCTATTTGTTGCACACGGTGAAGCTAATCCTGGGCCGGCCCCAGGCTGATTCCTGCTTCATCGGCTTTCTGCGACAGGTGAAAGATGGAGAAAACAGCTGGTGGAGGGGACAAAAGGGCTCTGCTCCACAGAGGGGCTCCCTCCAGCCATAAGCAGGTGGAATCTTTATGTCCCATGATTAAAGAGGCCGATGGAAAGCCCACCTCACCACATGCAGCTCTGCTGGGAAGGAAAATAGGGCAGGCAGGGGTGTTTTTCTTATTCTTGAGTCCTGTTTTTGAAAGAAGGAGTGTTGGAGTTCCCAGAAACACTCAGAGGGCCTGAGGTGGGGAGAGAGGCTTGCTTTTCGGGGATGGGTGGAGGAAGGCACAGTTGGACCTGGTGTTGGGTGATCTCGCCACAAGATGGCAGCCCTACTTTTCAATCTTTGTTTCTAGCTTCAGTCGTGAGGAAAAAACTTGTTCCAATCGTTGCAGAACAAATGCAATCTTGACTTAGGTTTCATAATTTATGAAGCTGACTTCATATCCTACCTGGAATCGTGTGTTACCATGTTTCAGACAGAGTTAGTAGTATTATGGTATCATTATTATTAATGTGGGCTCGCCTCTTCCTATTTCCTGCTGGCTTTGCTTCTGCTCCGAGGCTGAACTTGCCCCCCAGGCATCTGGGAAGCAGCCTAGGGTAAAAGCAGTGCTCCTCAAACTAGCTGTGGTGCTAGACGAAGTATGTTAAAATTTCCAGTCTGTCTTGGGCTGACAATATTATCAAACAAAATACGAATCAATAACAAACAAAAGAAATGAAAAGACATACCAAGTATAAGCCCAATTCATTACTTTTGGTTTCAACAGGAGTAAATTTACATTTTAATAAAGAGTCAAAACAAAATAACATTGGAAAAAATATTTACAAAAACGGTATAGTTGCTTATTAAAAGTATGAAGTTATGCGATTAATATAAAGAACCACTATCACTCTTGCACATTTTTTGTCTCATAATCATAACGAAATAGTAACAGTTTCCCCTATTAAGCTGCCTATATGCACACTTTGAATTAACTGTGAGTATAAAAAGTTTTTAGTGTGAACACACTAGCTTATTTCTTGTTTCATTCGTCTTAATCTAAGTTGGATTGATGGCAACACTACTTATAAGGGCTAATGTATATGTCAACTATTTCTAGGTTGAACATAGGTTTTGTGTTCATAACAGAAAAATGGGGGTATAATGAGAGAAACAAATTAAATTGGAGTAGCTGAAAGGAAAGCTAAGAAAGAAAAGGTAATTTTTTCTCTCTTCCTCTCTCTGCTCCATGAACACTTGCTTTTTCCCGTTTCCATGCGCTTTTCCTCCAGTCCATGTGTTTTTACTTCTGAGGGCCACCACAGAGCACATGTGACTCTTCGTGGGTGGATTGCTCTAGAGAGCAGGAGTGCCTGGGATGTTATGTCTCATCTTCTGGGAGGACCCCAGCCCATGACTGACAGGTACAGCTGTAGGAACGCTCCAGGGGCTGTACTTCACGTCGGAAACATTAACCCTACACAGTTCTCCTGAAGGGCCAGGCCAAAGCTGCCTTCCACAGGACAAACCTTACTTGTCCTCTTTGCCTTCTCTGGCCAGCTCTTCTTCTCTTCCTTTCCACTTCTTCCCCCTGCTGCTCACCCACAGCACTTTCTTAATAAGCCACTTGCACATGAATCTTTGTCTCAGTATCTGCTTCCAGGGAACTCAGTCTAAGATACTTTCCGACGTAGAGTATCTCAGAAATAGGCGTGGCCAACCATGAAACTGTCTTTTTGTATTTTGAGTCTTTTGCTTTCAGAGACGCTGACATCCCATTTTTGATAACATAATCCAAATGATCACTTCGGAAATAAATAAACCTAATTTAACTTCCTTGACTTTTTAGAAACCAGACAAACCAGAGATATTTAATGTACCAACTTTCTTACCACGTATTTGGAAACACTTGTCATATATACTCTGCTTTACATAGATCTGTGTTCTTGTTTTTTCCCCATGATTTCAATTAATCTAAACCCAATTGTTTATCCTTGAAGAAGATAAATGTAAAAGTTTCTTCCCTCTGAGGGTTTGAGGTGTGACTAAAAGAGGTTTTAAATTTTGTTCCCCTGGATACTTTTAAAACAGTTGCATCTACATTAATCTGTTTTAGATGATACTCTCTTAAAAAGCCATTCTGAGATGGTTGCTTTTCATAGAGCTTTACTTGGAATTAAACGATATGACAAAACATAACAAATTCCAACTAATTTGGAGAGATGCTGTTGTGAATTAGTGAAAACAATTAGAGAACATTAAAAATCAAGATCAGTTTTATTACTTTAGAGTATATATGTGCTATAATGTCAATTATCCATTATTATAGACACCTATTATATATGAGGCATTGCATTATGTCATTTAATTATCACAACCACCATGAAAATGAGGTATTTTTTTCCCACTTTTAAAAAATAGATGAGGCATAGAGAGAGTAAATAACTTTTGCAAGGCTTGCAATTAGTAAACAACAGAGCTGGTATTTGAATCTAGGTCTTTCTAGTGGCCATGCTGCTTCTACAACTCAACAAAATTAGCTAACTAAATATTAATGTACCTCTTCAGCCTTAAGGAAGGGTCAACACCTGTGTGTAATTGACATAGTCTTTTGTCTATAAAGAGAATACTTGTTAAAGTGCTTGTAATATTTTAAAGAATAATAATGGAAATCTCCCCTGCCATCCTGTTTTAACAGCAATAGCTATCATCTGATTATTTCACATACCTTATATCCCTGTCTCATTTAGTTTTCACAACAATTGAGGTGGGTACTATTAGCCTTCTTGTATCAGTTGGGTAAATGGAGAAGCATAAAAACTTTAGATAATTTGTCCAATGTCACATAGATAGTAAGTAGAAAAATGGGATTTGGACCCAGGAAACCACGAGCTTAACTGCTGTGTTATTCACTACTAATGCTTAGCTGAAACTTCCATATGGGGAACGCTAGGTCAGCTGAATCAGTGAGTGGAAATACAAAAGATTGAAGTTATGATTTCCTGAAAGTATTTTGTTCCTCACTAATGCCAAGTATGTCTAGAACAAGAGGAAGCAAAACCAGAGGCATGGCAGCAGCTTGGTTTCATGTTAACGGGATGCTTTTTTTCCTATTCCACCATATCCATTTCTTCATCTTTGATTCCCTTCCTATAGCTTACTTGTAAACAAAACCACTGTTCACCATTTTTTGGACTGGGCTACTATGAAATTCAGAGAGTTCATCATAGCCAGGTGTTTCCCTGCACCTGGTGTGTCTGATCTGCAGAGCAAAGGGATTCATAGACAAACAACAGGACTCATTGTGGACCACACAATTAATCATTCTAGATTTCTGATTTGTTTCTTGAAACTCGCTATGTTCCTGTAATGGGAAAAAGACAGCTTCATTTATCACGCCGTCCTTCATGCTGCTCCTCAGCACCCTCCCCCGGGGTCCTTCACCATCCTGAAACTTCTGAAACATCTGCTGTAGATACCATGGCAGGAGTTTCTTCATGTTCCTTATTACTCTTGCCTTCTCAGCATCCTGGTTTTAACCTCTCCTATTGTGACTGAAGACTAACACGCCAATATCCTCAGTGGAAATGAACAATTAGTGAGTTCATTACTTATGGTGCCATTCACAGTTCTTTGCCAATGATTACATTTGTGTGTGTGTGTATGACATATTGCCTGATGTTGTCACAAGAGCATGGGACTAGGAATCAGTTGTGCTGGATTTTTGTCTTGGCTCTGCTATTAAAATTTGTCTGGGCTTGGGTGAGTTGCTTCAGCTTTCTGTACTTTCATTACTTAATGTAACAAAAAAATCTAGTCTAGGTTAGTGTTTCTCAACTTTGGGTGCACACTGGAATCACATGAAATGCAGAAAATACTGATGCCCAGGTCATACCCTAGATCAACTAAATCAGAATCTCTGAAAGAAAGAATCCTGACATTGCTATTCTTGTTAAAATTCCCCATGAAATTCTAGTGTTCCCTCAGGTTTGAGAACCACTAGCTTAGATGATCTGTAAGGATCCTCTAGTCTCTAAAAGGTAAGCACATGCGCACACACACACGCACACACACACACACACACACATGCACACACAGAGAGATAATGTGTATGTATGCATATATTTGTATATACATACATTTATAGTTTTAAGATGGAAAAATTTAAATCACATTTGTACGAAAAGGGAAAAAGATTAGCAGAAAAAGAAGTTTGTTGAGGATAGGTGAACTGATGGATACATATCCTTGTGTTTTAGTCAGTTCAGGCTGACATAACAGAGTACCATAGACTGGGGGGTTTAGAAACAACAGCAACATATTTCCTTCAGTTCTTAAGGCCAGAAGTCAGAGATTAGGGTGCCAGCATAAATGGGTTCTGGCAAAGGCCCTCTCCTGAGCTCTGGGTGTCTGTCTGCTCATTGTATCTGCATGTGGCAGAAAAGGTATGAGAAAGCTCTCTGGGGTTTCTTTTAAAGGGCACTAATCCATTCATGAAGCCTTCTCTTTATGACCTAACTACTTCCCAAAGGCCCTACCTCCTGATATCATTATATTAGGAGTTAAGATTTTAACATGAATTTTGGGTGGGCACAGACATTCAGTCCATTTCACTTCAAAAAGGCAAAAGACCTAAAAAGTGCTCAGGTGGAAGGACAGACGTATGGAGAATATGCTCATAGGTGGGAAACCAGACTATATGAGTACAGATGTTGGTAGGTAAGTAGGTAGAGACAGAGGTAGAAGTCCATGGAGGTTCTCTTCTGGTTGCTTCAATTTTTTAAAGTAAAGGTCATCAGAATATATAGGGAAAGGCAGTGCTGGAGAGGTCTGAGAAGAGGGAGTTGTGAAAAACCACTCTGGGAATGGGAGAGTAAATGTGCTTTGGAAATGTGGTGTGATTGCCAGGAATATTAAGAGCCTGATATGGTTTGGCTCTGTGTCCCCACCCAAATCTCACCTTGAACTGTAATCCCCATAATTCCCATGATTCAAGGGCAGGACCAGGTGGAGGTAATTGAATCATGGGGGTGGTTTCCCCCATGCTGAGGGTGAGTCTTACAATATCTGAATGTTTATATAAGCATCTGGCATTTCTCCTGCTGGCCCTCATTCTCTCTCCTGCCGCTCTGTGAAGACGTGCCTTTGGCCATGATTGTAAGTTTCCTGAGGCTTCCCCAGCCATGTGGAACCATGAGTCAATTAAATTTCTTTTCTTTATAAATTACCCAGTATTGGTATTTGTTCATAGCAGCTTCAGAATGGACTAATACAGAGCCCATTTGAGGTTGGTGGTCATACATTTAAAGTGGAACCAATTGGTGGTGGTGTTTGCTTTTTGCTGGCTGGGGTCCTGCCAAGATTGGATGGGCTTTCTGATGACTTCCAGAGTGCCAGATATTGGTTTCTTCCTGCATACTAGGTGCTATGTTCTTCTGTCCAATCTTGGGTCAGCTGTTGCCTTTGTACATCTGGAATGGTCACCTTTTATTTGCCTGAAGCTGGCTGTTGCAGCTGGCTGGAATCCCCGAACTCCTTTCTTACCTTGGAGAGTGGGCCGTGGCCTTGTTCCTGGCTTACCTGGGTTCCTGAGGTCTTACTGTTCTTTCCTCCAGAGTCGGTCAGAGATGAGTTCTAGAAGGTAGTGAGCTATGTACCATGAAAATAAAAGTGACAAAAGAATAGGTAGTGATTTGGAAGCTTGTGCTGGAGAAGCTGCCTAGGAGTCCTTTTCCCTGATTGGAACAAGACCATCATGGGGGGGTTTTGTCCCCCTCCTCCTTAGACATGCAAATGACATGCTGCCCATGAATAGTAAAGTCATATATCCAAGATAATGTTTTAGTTACATTAGGGCAAGTGGCTTTTGATTATCTAAAAGTCATCTAAAGTGGTAAGTGGTAAACTGGGTCATCTAAGGTAGAAACTTTCAGGCCAAGCTGAAGCAAATGGCAGACTTCAGAAAAATTCAGGCTCCATGATGACCTTTATGTGAGATAGTGGAGATTGAATAAATGAAATTTTTACCTTGTTCATTTCAGCTTCGATTCAAAGAGATTGGGAAACTAAGAGCCAGCAGGTGATGAAGTGGGACTATTCAGATAGAACAAAATGGACTTTGTCCTCTTCTTGTTGAATAGGTTCTGCATAATATCTTTGGATTTTGGCATTGAAAAGTAGAAGGAAAGAGTCCTCACCATTAGTTTGGCAGATTTATCAAGCTGAGCTATGTCAATTGTATTATGCTATTTCCAAGAAGACAGTAGAGTTTGTGAAATTTAACAGTGTCTGTCACCACTTGACATCTTGGCTAAAACAAAAGCAGATTGAGGAAATGACTCACAATAGTTAATTGTTTCAATAGTCAGTCTTTTCCCATCTGCACAGTGTGTTGAATTTGATGACATCTGATGGGAACTTTGTGGAAAATTAATGCATCAAATTGTTTTCAAGAAGCAAACCCCCCTTTGCTTTTTAAGTATTAAACTGGTGCAAAAGTAACTGTGGTAAGTAATTGCAGTTTTTGTCATTAAAATAATTATTTTTAATGGCAAAAACAGCAGTTACCCTTGTGCCAATCTCATAGCTGTATGTCAGTATCTAAAAATTTCCATTTTATCTCCTTTACAGTTTAGGTCAGACTACAAAGTATCTTGACTTAGGGAATAGAGAAAGCCTGGACATTTGTAATAAAGAAAACAATATTCAGTGAAAATAACTCAAAATCAGCTTCTTCACCTAAAGAATGATTTTTATGTTGTGGCTTTGATAAACTCAAAAGCAAAGGGAAAAATTGTTCAGCATTTCATAAAGAACCAAATTCAAGAAGATCTATGCAGAAAACATTCATCTTCTGTTATCACATGAATATACACAGCACATCTGGCTTTGAAATGTATGATGCCAGTTAATAAAATGTATCATTTTTGATGGGAAACATTAATTTACAACAGTTGCGTTGAATGTATAGGTTGGTGCTTTAAGTCTACCTTTGATAGATCTAGGGCTTCTCACCACTCTGAATTCCTTTATAGACCCCACTTAGAAATGCAACTCATTATTACTAACCTACTGACTTATCTGACCTAAAGAACAGCTTTATGTACTAGAGGTGTGGATGTCACGTTTGGACAGAAAATTTCCTTTATGGAGATCTGCCAATAGGGATAAAGCTTAACTCTATGAAAGTTAATTCTTTTGGAAATGTTTCTAGCATTTGTTTTCTTGTTGGACATCTACAAGCAAGTCTGCATTTCAGCCGTGTTAGAAAGAAATACTTATGGGGAGAAAGGATTAGAGTTGTCTATTCCCTACAGATACATTTTTTTGCTGTTCCTTAAGATATCAATGCCATATTTTTGTAGTTATGCAGAAGTGTGATGCTTTCTGAGTGGATTGGTTATAAGGAATAATGTCCTGTGTAGTAAAGAACAAAATAAACCAAGAGGGAACATCAAGACTTTGAAGAGCCGTGATGGAGAAGAAACACACTTATTTTATACAACTCAGTAGGGCAGAACCCAAGCTGGTAGCCAAATTGTAAGCAGGCTATGGCTTATACTAGCAAAAGGATGTTTCAATTGAACATTCTAAGGACATAGCTGCTGCAGAAGGAGATAGCTCCTCATCCCTTCCTTTGAGAATTCTGCTGGGCATTGGCAGTTGAGAAAACTTGTCTGCAGTCTGAGGCAACCTGTCTACCATCTAGGAATATGTATTCCCAGCTCAGGAACAACTGCCACATAATTAGAAGCGTATACAAGTTCTTTTTTTCCTTTTTTTATAGTTAGAATTTAAAAAGAAGGTAGGTGGGGGAGTGGAGGGAAGGGTGTGGTGAGGATAATGTTTAGCATCTTTTTTATATGACTTGTCTCACTGAGTTTTGTTTGTATTCTCTAAACTGAGAAGAATGCAAAGATCTAAAATAAAGTGATGCATAGCACTTATCAGACAGAAACTGTACACTGTCTGCTATCTTTGGATAGGCCCCTGAATATATTTGTTTCACCTCAACCTAAGAAGGCTAGTTTACAGGTGGCAAATTTGCAAACCCAGCATTCTTCTGTCTTTGGAGATACCAGTAACTTACTTGCCATCCCTCACCTAATAGGAAGAGCAAACTATTCATACTCTTCTGCTGCAACAGAGACCTTTTAGTTTCTGTGGACTCCATCTAAAGCTATCACAAAGTAGAAACCATGAATCAGAAAGAACATTAGTGAAATAATTTTGCTCATGTAGACAGATGAGAGCTGAATTTTTTTTTCTTTGCTGTATTCTGAATTCCAGTTCATATTTCTTCATGTGAAAGTGGCTTTTTTTTCCTGGATTTATATGAAGCTGAGCAAGCAGTTCTGGTAAAATTAAACCCACATATAAACAATAGATTTGGACAACTCAATTTTGGTTCTGAATTCCATTAGAATTTTTCCCCTCCTCTACTTTATTACAATTTCTGATTCTTTGCTTCTTGCAACCCACTTTTATATTGAATATCACATTTGTGCGAGGGCATGCCAAATTGGTATTGGTATAGACTGATTGTCTTGGCTTAGAAAAAGTGCTAAATTCAAGTTTGAAATGTTTGCACTTGACCGTATTTTGGAAAAGAAGATAATTGTGATGTTCGATTAAAATTTAATGAGGGCAAAAAGAGGGTTAAGAAGGGATAAAAAAGAGCACTTTGGGATGCCAGGAAGTGTAATGACCTCTTAACAAGGATAATCTCATTGAATCCTGGCAGCAGCAACACTGAAGTACTTATTGGGACCCCCTTTTACAGATGAGGACATTGAGTTTCAGAAAGACTATTTGGTTTGCTCACACTGTAAAGATGTAATGTGAATCCAGATCTTTAAGATTCTCAAACTCTGTACTATTTCATGATCTGTGAAGAAAGAAGCTTGTCTGGATTTTGTGTGTATTCTCTTCACAAGGTGCCTTCAGGGAAGACTTAGCGAAGGACAATAATACCAACAAATGAAAACAAAAATGGGCAAGTGCCTTCCCAGGAAGGAAGCAGCTTCCTCTGCAGAGCTGGGAAAGATCTTGAAACCAGAGAGAAGTTGTAATTGGACAAAAAATTGAGTTGGAGGTCCTGATAAAAAAATCAGAGCACAAATGTGGTGTAAAGTTTGAAGCAGTATATAATATGGTTATTTTCTTCAGGGAGAAAAATATAACATCAGTCATGGGACTTTAAGTCATCTAGCTAGGAGAAAACTAGGCAGAGATGGTTAGAACGGGCGAGCTGCAACGGTGAAGTTGCAAATGTGAAATGGTCATAGAAGGGCATGGTAACAGGGATTTGGGGGAAGACATGAGTAGTTTTCGAGAAGGTTAGGATATATTTGTAATTTCTCAAGTACTGTTAATTATGTAATGCCTTTACCTCGTATAACTCAGATTTATTCCATCCATACAATACTTCTGTTTTATTTAGAGTGCAGGAGAAACGCAGGGGAAAAGATGGATTATCCTAGGTGGAAATCAGTTCTAATTAGAGTTTATAGCTTTCAGACAAGAACCTTTGAAAACTCACACTCCAAATAACCCTTCTTCAATTGCCAACACATTTATTCTTATTTCATTTTATTTTTAGAAATCCAAAACTTAATTGTCTCAATATGACATGATTTCTTACTGAAATCTCTAATGAATTTAGCTACTTAAAAGAGAAAGGCTGTGGAAAAGCAGGCCTAGATACACAGAGGATGGTTGGTGAAAGCTGGAGAACATTTACAGGTGCGTAGGCTGTGCTTATTCTGTGTTCAGGGAAAGGGCTGCCCCACAAGGAACAAAGAAACACATTTAAAATAATGCCTTTAATATATTATAAACTGGGGGCTTTTCCTTAGTGTATACTGTATTATTCCATTTCTTTTTCTTGCTGAATATATACAAGGCACAAAAAAAGCATTGCTTTTATGTTTTAATTTCCCAGCAGCTCTCTGTATTGGAGACAGTAATTAATGAAAATTATAGGCTAAACATTTTCAAGTTTGCATTAGGTGCCTCAATCCTTATTTTAGAAAAGATTTCTACTCTACCTAAAAGAGTATGTGAGTATGTGAGTGTGTGAGTTGTGTGTGTATTGTGGGAGGGCACACGTGTAAGCTATCTCTCTTGAAGTTCTCAACCAACTACATACATACGGTGATGTCTACAATATGAGGCCCCATGTAAAAGAGATTATGTTTCCCTACACCTGCAGTGTGACTTTGAATGTAATATTCACCTCTTAAGAAACCCTTAGCTACTAGATCCATTTACATTTCAAGAATGAAATAATCCAGACAATATGTACTACTAACAAAATTAAGTATTGAGCTATTTTTTAAAAAGCTTAAAAACATGATTAGGGCATGGTGAATAATATTTTATAACCTGGCTCATGTGACCATATTATATAAGAAAATTGGGTTTTCTTTCAATTTTTCATTTTATAATTGAGCATAGCAACAAAGAATATTGAATTGGGTTAGGTGACCTAAGAAAATGAAATTTTTGCCCTCTTTTAGAAGTGAATACATTTTTTAAACAGCAGAGAATATTGTGCTTAGAAAAGTTAAATGAGAACCATAGGATAAATAAACAGTGATTTTCCAAACTTTTCACAGATTTATTCAAATCTTGCAGTCTTAGGTTGAAACAACTTAGACACCTCATCATTACTGTCCCATAAAATACAATACTATCTCCTGAAAACTATGAAAATGGGTGAAAGGATTTGTGGTGTAAGAAAAATGAAGGTGGAGGCAGGTAGGGAAAGAGTGGGTCATAAAATATACGGTTACAATTACACAGCTGTACTTCCTAGTAGACATTCAAAGAATGAATTTTTAAATGTGCTGATCAAATTTAATGCAGCAAAAATTTTAGGCACCTGCTGGCAATGGAGGTGAGTAAGCAAGATAAATAAGGCGTAGTATTTCCCCCAAGGCATTTGTATCCTAGGGTACATGTTTAGGTGTATGTATGCATAAAGTGAGGTGTGGGCAGAGGACAGGATGAGTGAGTTCTTAGCACCTTGTCATAAGAGGTGGAAAGACTGAACACATCAGCATTCAAACGAACGAGTAAAATCCCCTTAAGTAATAAATATTCCATGGAATACCTGCCATCCTCAGAGGTTTCTTCTCCTCAAGTCATGGCCCATTTCGTGGCCAATTTCCCTTTATTTTAGTTTTTTTTTTTCCTGATTACAAAACATTTTAATAGGTACTTGGAAAATTCAGAAAGGAGAAAATAAAAATCATCTTTAATCCCTTCACCTAGAGATAACAGTAATTATATCTTCCCAGGTTATTTTTCTCTGAGTATGCATGCATATGAGTATATATATATATATGTATATATATACTCATATATATGAATGTGTATATATACTCATATATGTATGTGTATATATACTCATATATATGTATGTGTATATATACTCATATATATGAATGTGTATATATACTCATATATATGTATGTGTATATATACACATATATATGTATGTGTATATATACACATATATATGTATGTGTATATATACACATATATATGTATATATGTATATATGTGTATATATGTATATATGTGTATATATGTGTATATATGTATATATGTGTATATATGTGTGTGTATATATATGTAATGTATCTGTGTATACATGTATATGTATGGATGACACAAAATTGAGACCAAAATTACATGTGGTTCTGTTACTTTTTTAACTTATTAAAATCTATTTCAAATATTTCTGCATGCCATTAAAATGCCTGTACAACTTTTTAAATGTTTGCATAACATTCCAATATGTGGCTATGTGGCAATTTATTTAAATATTCCCTTATTGTTTTGCATTCAGAATGTCCCTGAAATTTTTTTTTTTTTTTTTGCAATCTAAGGGGATGCCTCAATAGATATGTTTGCAGCCAAATCATTATGTGTACTTCTGATTATTTCCTTAGTATAAATTTCTAGAATTGTTGGATGAAAGGAAATGCATACATTAAATTTTTTGATCTCTATTAATTAGGGGCTATTTAAAGAATCACTTTCTTGACCTGCAGTGAGCATGCTCAGTGACTAGCAGGAGTTGGGGGGTCCAGAGAAGGCAGACTCTGGCTGGACCTGGGTGGCAGTTACTGGCTCAGAATGTGGAAGCACCGCTCCCCAACTGAAAGAGACCAAGCTGCCTAGCTTTGCCCAGGCAGCTTCAGAGGACAGTTGGATATTTGTAATATTGGAGGCACGGTCAAGAGGAACATGGGCTATTTTAGGCTAAAGTCATTTTACCTTTAAAATTCAAGTAGAGGCAATAAATAAGATTTGTGTGGTAGGGAGAAGAGTGTATTTCTTATTGGTGGTACACCCTGTTTGCTGAAGTCTAGCAAAACTAGTTGATTATTCAACTCATCCCTGAACTTTCTATAGATAAAATCAAGATGGACAAGATTAAAGAGAGAAAAAGGACTCAATGGAGTTGTGAAGGAAGAAGCTGTTGGACTTTGAGATGGGCATTTGTGGAGCCTCTGTAGAGGCTGATAATCTCTCCCATCACCCAAACCAGCTCTTTTTCCCAGTTACTCCATATCTGTCAGTGCTTGCACCTGTCCCCTAGGTGAGAAATTTGAGATGATTCTTTATCGATTTCCGCTATCATCTTAAATATGAAATAAATCAAGGCCTATAATTCTGTTCCATTTGTAATGTCTCTCAAATTTTCCTTCATCTCCACTTCTACTGCTGTCATCCTTTCCCAGTCTTCAGCATACGTCAGCAATTCTGGAGTAGCTTCAGACTGCACGTTCTCCTTCTCCAATTTCTCCCCTACTGTTTCCAGCTTACTGTTTCCCAAATGCCACTTAACTGTTTCTCTCAGAGAACCTGAAGCTACTGCAAATAACCACAGACTATGAGCCTTTTCAAAACTGGGGCTTTATCATACTCACTTTTGTAGCTCCAGTGTTTAGGAAAGTGGCTGACACCTAACCCAATTTTAGCCTTGCAACAACTCCATGAAGTTTTTGAATGGGAAATTGAGGCTCAGGGAGGGAAAGTGACTGCCAAAGCCTGCATAGCTAGTAAGCATTAGAGCAAGACTCTGTCATAGGCAGGTCTTTTTTTTTCCTAAACCACATGAACTCAGCTGCACCTTGCTACCTCCACTGTCAGGAATTGGAGACTTTCTCAATCAAATTCACTTATTGTACCTCTAGCACTTTTCTGCAATTAGTGCTATGTCAAGTGGTATATCACCTGCTGCAAGAAATATATTCGAAAATTTGCCAGTTGAATGTCAGAGAAGAGCTGATAAAGACCAAAGGAATTGAAGGTGGACCTTAAGCAGGGCTTGCAGGTTGAAATAGGATTTGGTCAGCAGGATACCAGGGTGGAGGGCATTCCATATCATGGAGGCAGACAGCAAAAGCATTGAGACAGAAATGAAACAATTTTTGCGTAAATGATAAAGAAATTAACTTATCTGGGGAAATAGTTCATGTAGTCTTTCTGGAAATAATCTTCCTTTAAAGTAATGGTTTCACTAGTGCCCTGGAAATAAACCCCGTAATTTCATGGATTTAGGTGCTAAGGACTGGAGAGAAACAGTCTTCTTTCTGTATGGCAAGAGCAGAGAGAAGAAAGCTCACTTGACTGTGGCATTCCCACACTCAGGATTTTGAAATGAGCCTGGATTTTGTGAGGATTCCCATGGCAAATCCTAGAGTACAGGAACCAGATTTGTATCTGAACACGGCTTCAGTTTTCATGATAACTTTAACCTTCAGAAACATTTTCACCCCAACTTTAGAAAAGAAGCATAAGATGAATTGGCGAAGGGTTTGAACATATTATTGCAAAGAGAACATTTTTTACTGGCCAATGAACTTCGTAGCCAAAAACATGTTGTTGAAAGGGGCCTGGCTGATGGCAAACAGTAAAATGAGACATTTGGAATCATAAACCCCCAAATAATTATCACCTGTAAATCAATGTCATAAAATTAAATAGAGGCATTTAAAAAGTATCAGGCAAGTTAAAAAATGGCAAAGAACAGAAAATTGCATTTCAGTAAATAAAGTAAATTTATTAAAAATCTCATTTTGCTTTGAAATTTGTCTTTTTAAACTTACGGATAAAGAACCAAGAAAGATTAGCTTGTAAGTTATGCTACAGATATGTGTGCACATTGAGAAGACAAGTAGTTTTAGTAGATTGCGACAGTATTTTGTATTTCTGCTTATTTGAACATCTGTGGGGGTCAGGGAGAATGTCACATGCATCGGGCCCTATCTCTTCCATTTTGCAGCATCACTGCTCTGGGATTCCAGTGAGTAACTATACAGTTTAGGTGTTTAGCACTGTCCTTCTCTGAAATTTCAACAGCCAAATTGGGAGCAGAATGTATGCGAAGTGTATTTTTCAGCCCTAAACCTCAGTCTCCTTCCTAGAGAGGACGGGCTTATAAGCTGCTAAAACACCCAGGTAACTGATATGCCTAGAGATCATGGTTTACCTACTTAGATATTGACAGTGGAGGTGAGTCTTTGCTGAGAAGGGCTCTTTCTCTAAGGGATTTTACTGCAGTTGGTTTAGAATTTCTAGGGGTAGGAGGTTTCACCTGGAGAGAGAGGCCAACTGCAAAGATCTTGGCTAAACACTCCACATGGCTTTGTCTTTTTAAAGAAGCTGATCCTTTTGAACTCTTGCCTCTGGGCTACCCTCTGTGAAGTTCTCTCCATATGATGATCACATGGTTTAGTCTACATTTTTGACCCAGTTCTGGTCTGTTTTGTGTTTACTGTGTTCTGGAGTGAAAACCACTTTGTGCATAATTGATACTTGACAGCCTGTGCCCAGCTTCTACCCAGACCAGTTAGGACATGCTTCTTCCTGACACAGTATGGACAGGTCCCAAACAGTGGTGGCTGTGACCAGGTGATGGCAGCCTTAGCTTTGGGGTTAGCTGTCCCTCACTTAGCCTCTAAAAGGTAATATTCAAGGGAAGGAGCTGAGGTTAGGGTCTGACATAAGAGATTCCTTTCCTCCTTCCTAAAGTACCAACAGGTCTAAACATTCTCATCTCCGAAGCAGTGGGGGCAGTTATGGGGCTGGAGTTATAAAGGCAACATCAGAGACACAACAAAAACAGGAATGCCCCTCCTCCCCACATCAGGCCGTCCACATCTTCAGAATAGGATTGGTGTCTTGGTCAGGGTTGAATGTCCAGCACAGTATCAGTAATATTTGTTTCATATAAAGATTAGAAAGGTGGATAAGGATGAATGCGAGCGATTATTCTAGCAGTTATTATGTTCTAGGCATTTTTTTTTAGTGGACAGTGCTATTATGCAGTTATTATTTAAGTAACCCCTTCACTGCCCTTCTGCCTTGAGAACTGAGCCTAGGACTACTGAGTTTTTGGGGGAGTATGGGGGTTAATAGTTCAGCCTCAAGTCAGCTGCTAAAATCAAGTGGCCGTCGTGTTCTTCCCATTACCTATGCCTTGTATCCGCGGCCTCCTAACAGGTCACTGTCTTGTTCTGCTGTCTTTGTGTACACTTCATGTTTCCTGTTAGCACAAGATCTGCCAGGATCTTCTCACACTCCTGGGATATGGGGACCCTGACCCTAAGCTTCAGTCTAGCCCTTGCTGCTTGGCCGCTCTGCTGCCAGATGCTTGGCCAGGCTGCCCATTTCCCATGATGCAGTCCTCTGCCCCTGTGCTGACTCCCTCACCTGCGGCTGACCACTGGGCCTCTCCCGTATTCATTAACTTGGCTATGTTTCTGCCCATTGCCTACAGCTGGGGGACTTCTTGTATTGTGTTTTCCTCCTATGCCCAGTCTGGCCCCCCACACCCTAGCCTTCCCTATCAGGCCCACCCTGCTGCAGACTGAGTCCTTTTTCTGAGTAACAGCATATTTGCTGTTCTTCTCTTCCCCCTCTCTAGTGTCTCCACCATGTTCTGATTTGGAAGCCTCTCTGTACTGTTTTCAAGTTGATTTTATTCTCGGCTCTGGTTCATAAAGAAATAATGTTTTTTCATGGCCGGACGCGGTGGCTCACGCCTGTAATCCCAGCACTTTGGGAGGCCGAGGCGGGTGGATCACGAGGTCAGGAGATCGAGACCATCCTGGCTAACACTGTGAAACCTGTCTCTAGTAAAAATATAAAAAATTAGCCGGGCGTGGTGGCGGGCGCCTGTTGTCCTAGCTACTCGGGAGGCTGAGGCAGGAGAATGGCGTGAATCCGGGAGGCGGAGCTTGCAGGGAGCCGAGATTGCGCCACTGCACTCCAGCCTGGGTGACAGAGCAAGACTCCGTCTCAAAAAAAAAAAAAAAAAATATATTTTTTCAGTGACTGATCCTAAGTTTAGGGGGGGAATCTCAGTTTTTGGAGGCAGCATAAGCTTGTGTATGAAGCTGTGTGCCTCTTTGTGGAGGCTGCATATTCTGGGGCATGGTTCATATTTTGTGCACTTTGTGTGTGTCTGTATGAGACAGAGAGGGAGGGAGAGAGAAAGAGGACAGAGGGAGAAAGGCATCTCCCTTTTTAGTATTTTCTGAAAAGCATGTTAATAAATGGAGCAAGGAGAAAGAACAAGGGGAAAAGGAATAGGTTCAGCCCTTTTATTCTTCAGTGATTTGGAGAGAAACAAACATATATCATGTTTAGCTAGTCTACCTTTCCCATGTCATAATTTTCTGGACGTCATTCTTGGTCTCCTAGTGAACTCAAGGCAGATATGGTGTTTTTATAAGAGGTGTCAGAATAAAAATGATGGCCATTATGACTGGATAAAACTTAGCAGTAGAAAAACAGGAATTTAAAAGGATAATACAGTATAGTGTCTGATGAAGAGACAAGCAGAGTGATCCCATTTGGTTATTACATGCTATGTGTCTATAAACATTTGGCACAGAGCAATTTAAACTTGCTATTCCATTTTAGGGAGAACATTTTTCATATTTACTGTACTTCATTTATAGGTGGAAAGAAAAAGAGGGATTGATTTACTTTAATACAACATTTGGATACTCTCCCTAACCTTAAACTTTTGTTAAATAACAGCTATATGAATATTACCTTGCAGCTGACCTTTTGGGATTGCTTTTCCCTAGTGAACATTTTTTCTAATTTTCTTCACGTGCATTTTAAACAGAGTTGCGGTAGGGATGGAATTTAATTGCTGTATTTGTATTTTATTCACTCGCTTTTATGTCTGGGGCAAAGAGGTGCATTTTGAATACATCTAGGAGGTAATTTAAAACTACTGCTGATATTGACAAAATACATAGCTAGAGGATGTGCATTTTCGTGAATATGCCCACAGGAAGGATCAATGCGTCTGTATGGGAGGGTTGGTATGAATGTGTCTCTCCTCTTTAGCCTTTTTGCTAAATTCAAAATCTGGAATTGGGATTTTCTGCCCTTTACTGTATTGACAGAATAGCTGATTAGGGTGTCTGAAGCTACACATTTCCAGTATGTGCTTTATTTCCTGTCATTTACATCATGGTATAACTGCAAATGTGGAGTGCATTTTTCTTGGTTGATGGAAGAATTGCTTTTTAGGCCCTCTAGAAGTAGATCTTCTCCTTTATGCTTTCAGGGTGATCTCTAAGATGCAAAATCACTACTGCTATGTTGGCGTTAATGGTGGCTACGCTGCAGAGGAAGGTTAATTAATTGGTCCACTGTTGCTAACTTACCTACCAGTGGACCCATGCAGCTTTACTGCTGTGCAGACTACTTCAGGCAGAAATCACCCTTTTAAAATCTAGATGTGCATATGATCATTTTTCTGGTACGTAAGTTTGAGAGCATTTTAATAATTTATTTTAAAAAATTCAAAGCAAAACATTATTGAATTCAGGTCAGATGAAAAATGGCTATATCTGCCATTTAGAGGGGTAGTAAAATCACAGAGCTTAGAGCTTCCCAGTTGTGGGGTCCAAGACAGACTTTTGCCCACAGGCCAATTGGCAATATAGCAAAGGTAGCGTGTAGATCTGTTTTGGGACAGGCTTAAAGTTTGGATAGAGGCAGAGTGGCATCATTTTGGAGACATTTCACTGTTAAAAATAACCTCACAGAAGGCTGGACAGCAATGTCCTTTGGTTGACATTCTAGGTTAGAAATTTCAGCAGACTTTTCCCTATGAATGAGATTGGAGTGGTTTTATTTTTGTTGTTGGCAGGAGACCAACAATACAGTTAAATGTGGACTAACTTGATTCTAGGTCCTCCTAGCACAGTTTTGGAAACCCATGGTCTAAGAAATGGATGCTGGGTAATAAAGCATGCTCCAAACCCTCCCTACCCCAAGTACCCTCTGAAAAGCTTATTAAATGAAACATTACAGGCGCAAGTTTGTGTTAAGGAAGAATGGTTCCTAAGAATGCATGGGGCTAAAAGCCAACCTTTGTTTTGAGTATGTTTATCTCCATGACCAGATGGAATATATCCAGTGACTTTATCACTTTGGTGACTTCACCATCTTGATTTTATTTGGTTTCACATGCCCATTTTTGGGGTGAGATTATCCTGGGGGAGCCACTGTGATTTAGCCATGTTCAAAATGGAATCTGTATTGCAGATATTTGGCATCTCTGCTACTGAGGAGGGGCACCTGGGTATCAACTGTCTCAATGCCTTCAAGGAAGGGTCATCTTTTCCATACTTCATAATAAAGTGGAACTGTGTGTTCATTTTCTGCCAGAGCATTTGAGTAGATTCAGAGCACAACATAAGCAGGATGAGGAAAGACTGAGTACATCCATTTTCATCCTAAACCAGCTCCTTGCCATGGGTGAGCTTCCTCTGAACTGAGGAAAGGATAGAAGCACTCAAAAATGGGTGCTGAATTTAGTGGTATCAATGAAGTATTTGGGGAAATCAGAGGAGGGATGATTGACCTTTGACTTGGGATAGTTTGAGTTGGTCTGGGGAGAGGAAAGGGTCTCAACTGGACTGGATGAAGTAAAGAGTTTGACTAGCAAGGAAAAGGAAAGGAGGACATTTATTCTGTTTCTGCAGCAAGATAAAAATATGCAGGTAAGGAGACAGGAGAGATCAAGGAGAGCAAGGGGAATGGAGAGGAAACAAAGTTAAAGAACTTTAGATCTGATGTATTGAGTGTTAGGACACCCTGTAGGTGTCTGAGTTAGGGCCCTAGTGTGTGAATAAACATTTTTAAAATGTAATACTAACATATTGCAAAAATAGGTTGATTAGATATATCTTTATTGGGATGATAATTATTTATGGTATTTGGTAATTTTGTGTCAATATATGAGTTAAAAATAGACGAAAAAAACAAATTGTGTGACATTTTGATTCTTGTCTACATAAAATGGAGGAGAAATATGTCTTCTAAGCACCCAGACTTCCTTTTCTCTACTCTCTTCCTTTGTGGATGAGCCATGACCCTCGCTTCCCCATTACAATGCACGCTCCCTGGAAAGGGACTCATTTAAGCCATTCAAATGTTAATATGGTTAAGCCCAGGGCCCCTTGCTCTAGAAGCTTGATCGCTCATGAAGAACAGGCCTTGTAATAGGTGGGGCAATGTCATTCATTGGGAATAGAGGGAAATAAGGATGTTGGTGGGTCAGAGCCCTTTTCCAGAGACTGTCACTCCATGCATAATAGGTCCCTCACCTCAACTCCCCACTCCCACTTTTTCCAAATGTCAGTTTGCTGTTATAATGGATTTGCCCTCCTTTTAAAACATCTATTATTATTTTTATTTATTATTATTTCCTGGGAGCATAGATTTGAGTTGCCCTGAAAATACACTCCCTGCCCTCCTTTTTTTCCTGCAATGTGGAGCCTTTGGACTTGTGGGTGAAATCCCTTTAGAATCAGAAGCTTCCTGGCAGGCTTTTCACTGAAAACTGCTTCTGTCCACAGATGAGGCTTAGGCAAGAGATGGCTGGGCCCTTTCAAGTAAAACATTCCTGTTTTGAGCAACTTCCAATGGTCTGCTCACTGGATGTGCAATCATAAACAGATGATTAATGAAAACTTTTTAGGAATTTCACTGGGAGCTGATGGATAAGACATAGTCCATGCTCCATAGGGGCTTAGCAATTCAGATTTTGGAGTTAGAAGCAAACGACCTAAGGCAAAAATCCCCTCTTGGTTTCCATGATGGTGGTTTGCCATCTTGCTCAAGTCCTTTTCCATGACCCTCTTTCTGTGGCTGTTCAGTCTTTTGTTGAAGAGCTCCAGTCCTAACAAATTCCCTCCTCAAATATTGAACTAAAAGCTACTTGCTTGTAACTTCTTGCCATTGTCAAAACAAATCCTTTTCCATTATGAGAGCTTCTCAGGGCCAAAAGAATGTGGAAGGGGCCACATAACCAGACACCCAAGGGAGGCTGAATCATGAGCTTGACTGCTATAGAAGCCTGAATCTCGGGATAGGGCTGGACAGGGTTCCAGGACAGGTGCTACACGGATTCTGTGTTAGCTGGTCACTGCACCTGTCCCAGTTGTGGTACTACCTAAGGTTCTTAGAGGAAGTAGATCATTTAAAGACAGAGACAGAAGAGTAAAAGGGCTTGGCTATGGAATTTCTTATTGAGTCTATGATTGTCACCTGGCCTGGGAGGAAAAAGAATGCAGCAACCCCTCAGGGAGAAGACACTTTAGTAGTCGTGAAGGCCAAGAATGAAAAAGAAATGTCTAAAGTGGGTGAGGGCTCAGTTTTATAGGGCCAATTCTAGGCATATGTCAAGACTCTTAACTTGGACCTTGTATTCAATATGGAATCTCTGGACCTCCCTTGCTATCTTGGGAGCTTGTCATGTCAGCTTGTCATGTCAAGAGACCGGCTCCTAATTCTTCCCTCTTCAATTGTTTGTTAACAGGGAGCAAACTTTCCTGTGGGTCAAAGTTAGACATTTCTGTCCACTTTCTCGTCTTATAGGTGATGGCATTGGCACTCCTGGTTTAGATATCACAGGGGAAGAAGGTTGTGAGAAATTTGTGTATTTCCTAGACCAACCCTGCTGAGTGAAAGTCCCCATTGGTGCTTCATCTCACCCCTAACATTGCAGGCACACCTGGGAAACTAGTCTCTACAGTTGAATTCAAGTTTACATTTTGGCCCAGTATCCACAGAAATAATGATATCTGCTAAATACGTGGGTTTCTGGAGACCACACACTCAGGAGTATTCTCTAAAAAAGGGTGCAAGTATAATTCCCTTTTCCCCAAGGCTCCTTCTTGTCAGGAGGCCTTCATCTGCTCCAATATGTGCCTTCTAGGTTAATGACCTCAGCCCTGAGAGTCAGTTGAGAAGGGATCTTCCACAAGGGACTATATCTTCTTCGGGAATTGTGCTCTCTCTCCTCTGCTCTGCTCAAATTTTATGGAGCAGTTCACTTCTTTTCTTCAGCCATGCCAAGTCTTAAGTTTGGGAAGGAAGCATTATCATTCATCCATTCCCTACCATTTGGTTTTCTATCATGGAGGAAATTTTTTATTATATAAACAGAAGCCTTGAATCTCACTTTCTTCATCCTGAAGAGGTCTTCAGATTCTTTTTTTCCTTTCCGGACTGGCAAGCATTGGCTAAATACTCTGTCATGTAACCCTGGAGAAGACAGGAGGCTCCAGTTGGATTTGAGCTGTCCTGGCATGTCTTGCTCTTACAAGGAGCCCATGCAACTGCTAGAGAATTGCATCTCTCTTCTTTTTGTTTTCCCCTTTCTTTTCTTTGCTTCTATCCTCTCTCCATCTAGAAAGGATCTTATCATTTAGACAAATCTGGAGATTTCACATTTCAGCTTATTGTCTGCAATACATTTCCCACAATTTGCGCTTCAATAGAATATCTCCTGAGGCATGTTGAATACTTGGGGTTCTAGAAACCACTCCTAGATAGGTATTCCTTCAAGATCTCTGGGTTGAATCTAATTGGACAGGCCTTTACCCTGGTGGACTGCAGCCGCATCAGGGAGTCGGGGTTGGAGCTGAGGAAGATCACCTCTGGCACCTTCTTTCTGGAGACTGCCTTCAACCAAGGTGATGAGCCACATGGTGTTGTATAAATGTTAATCTCCTGTTCCTCTCCTTGCAGCCCTGTGACCTTCAACATTGCCTCTCGGAGGCTGCTGTGGTCCAGCTTAGACCTCCCCCTAGAAATTCTGCATTGGCTTCTTGACTGCTCCTCTCCTGTTTTCTTCTTGATATGATCCTTGACTTCTTCTTTGCTCCTCTTACCTCCTTTGCTTAGTTTTCTCCCCCTCTTTCTGCTGCTCTTAATGCTCGGACATCCTCTTTTTTTCTTGTGGCTGTGGATATGTATTGATATGGTTTGTCTGTGTCCCCACCCAAATCTCACCTTGAATTGTAACTTCCTTAATTCCCAAATGTTGTGGGAGGGACCCGGTGGGAGATAATTGAATCATGGGGGTGGTTTTCCCCATACTGTTCTCATGGTAGTGAATAAGTCTCACGAGATCTGATGGTTTTATAAGGGGAAACCACTTTCACTTGGCTCTCATTGTTTCTTTACTTGCTGCCATGTAAGACATGCTTTTGTTCTTCACTTGCCTTCTGCCATGATTGTGAGGCCTCCCCAGCCACGTGGAACTGTGAGTCCATTAAACCTTTTTTTCTTTATAAATTACCAGTCTTGGGTATATCATTTTCAGCAGCATGAAAATGGACTAATACATGTGTCTTCTTGTCAGTTTCCTGCTACTGCTAATAGACAGTACGAATCCCTTAGAAATGTGAGGGACACATCTTCACTGTGCCCAGTGACTCTGTCTGCAGTCACTGTCCCTAAGACAAACATCTCCTATTTCCTTTTTGGTCTCTGTAAATTGGACCACTGTTTCAGGTCTATAGTCCCAGATTTTTTTTTTTTTTTTTTTTTTTGCTATTGAAAGATGCAGATTGCTAGGTGGAATCTCAAGGAGGCAGCCAATTGGGAAGAAGGAGCCAGGTCCATTCAGCGGGTGTTAATAATGAAGCAGGCCGGGCGCGGTGGCTCACGCCTGTAATCCCAGCACTTTGGGAGGCCGAGGCGGGCGGATCACGAGGTCAGGAGATCGAGACCATCCTGGCTAACACGGTGAAACCCCGTCTCTACTAAAAATACAAAAAATTAGCCGGGCGTGGTGGTGGGCGCCTGTAATCCCAGCTACTCGGGAGGCTGAGGCAGGAGAATGGCATGAACCCAAGAGGCGGAGCTTGCACTGAGCCGGGATAGCGCCACTGCAGTCCAGCTTGGGTGAAAGAGTGAGACTCCGTCTCAAAAAAAAAAAAAAAAAAAAAAAAAAATAATAATAATAATAATAATAATGAAGCAGTGAACTTACATAAATAAAGACAGCCTAAAATATTTAGTATCCTACAAGAAAAGTATACAGGGCAGTCGCTCAGCAAGTCTCAGATCTTCTTGAGCTATTGTCTTAAAATTTCTTTTCCCTTTAAGGTTGACATTAATAAATATTACCAGCATGCTTTTTTACCTTACATGTAAAATTTGGCATGTAGCCTATTAGGAGAGGAGCAAATAGATATGCTATTGTGAGTCCTGTTGACATTTTTGGTGTGGGATTCTTCCCTGATTCTGAATGCATAAGGACTTATTCTTGTCACCTGTTGGGATGCCCAGGTTTATTGTCTATTACTTCTTTATTACCTTGTGTGAGGTAATCCTGATATCTTTATGTAAAATAGGAAGGTTACGTCTGAGACTGACTTCCTAGAGCTGCTAGGCCTTATGTTTGAGACCAAAGGACATCACTCCAAATGCCAAACTTCAGGGCTTCTTCTCATTTTCCCTTTTGCTGGTAACAACATCCTATTTGCTCTCTTGATGGAGGCAAAAGAGTGATATGGACCAATTTATGAAATGTCTTCACTTCAGGATAATGTGTATATCACACAAATCATAAAGGACAGCCTGAATTTCATAGGATAAAAAAGATGAGGAAAGAATCCCTTGGAACCAGAACCAGAAAGAGGAGCCCTCACCAATGAGTGGATTCTTGGATACCAAGAACAAGGGTGGTCCTGATCCTATGACAGAGTCACCTCCAGCTTCTGAAATACACTAGGAGGCTCATACCAAGGCAAAAAAGAAAACAAAACAAAAAACTCACAGTGATCTCTCTATGGCAGTGACCACTGCCCTCCTGCTCATGTTTTGGTCTTGATCTTGAGTCATTCTTTCTGGTCCATCTCATCTGTGATTTGATGAAGTGGGTTACAGAGCAGGCAAAGCCCGCTTTGAGCAGGTACTGAAAGGGCACCATAAGTGCCTTCAGCATGGAAGACCACTAGGGGCAATCAAGCAAGCAGTAGGAGGGGACTGTCCAAGGTGTTCCCCCAGTCAGGGGTCCTGGATTCTGTGGACAGCCAGGGTCAGGGCAGTGTTTTCACAGTGATGCTCTTACTTTGATATCTTCTTCTTCCTTGTGGGACTCACTGCTTTTAAAGAAGTTTGTGGTGGCACCTTCTTCTTTCCGGAAAGGAAAATCTATGGTAGTCTCCTCATAAAGGGACTCAATAAACTTTAGGCCATACTACCTGTCATCACCTGGAATCAACTGACCTATGATGTATGATTTTTTTTTTTTCTTCTTGGCATATAAGTAGAATGGCTTTGCAGAGGCCATAACTTGAGAGCAGTAACAGTTAGAAAAATGAATGTCCCTTCTCTTGTGGAATTGAATTCTGTGTATATTCTGACCTCCTAGAGTATCTAACTATCCCCTTCTTCTCTCTACGTTTTTGAGGAAGGGAATAGGTTGTCTTTGTACTTTACAAAGTCTTCATATTTCTCAAGTGTCTATTATGTACTAGGTACTATGGAGGGCGTTTCACTTGTAGACTTTACTTCAGGTGATCCTCCTCATGACTTAGAATTTTAGAGACTGTTGGGGAGATGGACATTCTCCTCCATTCCCTGTCTCCAGCCTTCAATTGTGGGAGTCTCTGCCCCAAAATCCTGGAACACTCTCCTAGTCAAGCCTGGTATTACTATTGTCCCACTACCGCTAACGCCAAAGCAGGCTGCAACAATTATCTTTCAATTTGCATAATTCTGAGGAGGAGGAGGCCTCAACTCCTCCTCCTCTTCCTCTCCCTTACTCTTCCCTTCCCCAAGGGAATTAACTGTAGACCACTTGTTTTATTTTAACTCAGACAATCTTCACTGCTTCTTGGGGATGCTCCAGCCCTCATTTTTAATAGCTACTGTCCCTGTATCCTTGGGTTCCTTATTATCTATCATAGTCTCATTCTTTCCCTTGCTCATCTTCACTTACTTGCATTTACCCTGTGATCCTCCCAGGCATCTATGCACAGACTAGAGCCTTCAGTGAAGTCCTTTTTTCCAAGGGAATATTTATTCCATGTGCTCTTAAGACCAGGGACCCATATCCAAATTTCCTCTATATTTATTCCCTACAAAAACCTGTTTTGATCAGGAAACATGGAGCTGCCAGAGCCTGCCAGTGGGATTCACAATGGCAGCTGCCATCACTGGCTAGAATTCCCTGATGTGTATTCACAGTCAAAGCAAAACCACTTCTTGGGCTCTCTACTCCCTTGTTCTCAACTTTTCCTATCACTGGATCTTGGTTCTGTCCTTTGAAAAATAAAGGACTGGACATATATTATTATTTATTTCTCTTTTTGCTTCCCAGGTGGCTCCTGCAGTGACTGACTCTAAGGAATCAGCAACAGCACCTTTGTCTCTACTTAGGTGAAAGGACTGCGCTAGCCATGAATAGCCGGCACAAGTCCCTGACTTGTTCAGTGTAGGAAGAGAAACCCTCAAGGAACAGGAGCTGGCTGCTTTGCAGGTTCTATAAATCCTCAGGCACTGTTGGAGTCTTTCTGAAGGACGTAATAGCCCCACTATGAATGCTAAGATCTCAATTCACCCTTTTCTTGGAAAGCCTGATGCAGCCCTCTTGTCCAAAGGTATTGAAACCACCTCTTTTTGAGCGTATTTCACCTCAGCTTATTCCACAGCATCATTTCTTCTGAGACTCTTTTTCTTAGCAAATTTCTTTGGGCAGTGACATGAATGGCTTCTGGGAAGTCTCCTCATGTGAGGCACCACTTGTCCCTGTAGCTTGTGTGTTCTTGAATTTTGAACAATTAGTTGATAATGACCTACCTCCAACTGGGATGATTTTCACTTGCCATACAAGTTTTAGCAATCTCTACAGGAATAAGTGAAGGGGGAATTATCAAAGCTCATTCCATTCTGAAGTTCACCAGGGCTTGTGTAAGATTCTCTGTCCTATTGGCAGGACTGAGAATTCTGCGTCTCCAGCTGAACAAACTTCTTTTTCTATGTTCTTGGGGGATGGTGGAAATTCTCTCTTACCAATGGGAAATCTTCCACGGAGAACACTTTAATGTTCTGAGTGATTGCTGAATACAAACAGGAATAACTTTTTGGCTTTAGGAAAGAAAGGTCTTTAATTTCCTCTCTCCACCTTCCCTCAGGTCTCTGGAGCCATGTTCTTCATGTCGTAGTTCTGATGCTCTTCCCATTCATTCCTGTCTCCTAGATGCTCAGATTCGCCAAGATGCAGTTACTTCCCTCTTCTGCAAATATTCCTTCAATTACTTTGTTTTTGTTTTTTAAATATTTATTATACCAATATTATAACAATAAAAATATTTTATAAGTGAAAAGATATAAATCCAAGTTCAGAAATCTTTCATTTTTTTCATGTTCTCTTCCGGCCTTGTTTATAAGTGGATGACATATTTATGCAGTTTTCATACTTGAATAAAATTTTTATAGTCCTGTATAATCTGCTGCACCTGGGATCAATTTCAGGGGGACATTAAAGGGTTGTCAATATTGATGATCAGACACATGGCACTTATCTGTTTATGGCCACTTGTGAGAAAGGTATTTTTTTTAATAAGGCTAGAAGTAGATACTTCCCTCTTAAAACTCTGTTTTTGGTCCTCCATGTTGCTGCTCTTGTGTCTAAGCAGCCACAGTCTCAAATCAGTGAGATGGAGATTTCTCTTGTGCTTTATTAAATGGTCTCTCCCAGGGAGAATGAATCTCCCAAGGAGAGAGGAGTTTTACTTGCCATTTTATGAGTTCTGCAAACCCTTTCTAATTATATTCTAAGAGAAAATGCCACAGACAGCATATTCCACAGAAGTCCAGATGATGGAGGCTAAAAGGGAAATAGGATCACATTTATTTATAAGCATTTGTTTAGCTACCACCCTGTAGGTTCTGGCTAGGAGATGGAGAGTGCCAGTGAGGTGGAGTTCAAATACAAGTGAGAAATTGTCCTACGATCAAGAAATTAGCAGCCAGAACATTAAAATTTTCAGGAACATTGGCTGCTGGGACATTACTTTCATCCAGACTTTCTCTTAGGTCCTTGTTCCTGCTTAATCCCTTCGAAGTTGCTCACAGACCTATTACAGCTCTCATCTCACCCTGTGCACTCTTTCTGGGTTGCCCTAGGTACAACCAGGAAACTCTGTTTCATGATTCATGAAACTCTATTCTTTGTGCTCGGTATATTCAGATCTGTTTCTTTAAATTGGGGTAAGAAATTTCTTTTTACTTTCTTAAATTTAAGGCCATTGCTTTTAAATATAAGAGTAAAACATTATTATTATGGAAGGCTGAGAAAGCGGAGATGAGCAAAAAATACTAAAGGAGTCGGTCACTGTTAACATCTGTGTGTATATCCTTCTCAACTCTTGTTCTTTCTTTAAAGATATTTCGTCCAGTTTTTTATGTACATAAATATGGTTTTGTAAAAATGTGATCATAGCCATATGAACAGCCACTATCATTCTCCATGGAAAATATCTTGAGCATCACATTTAAATAATTTGTATCCAATATCTGGATCCATTCACCTTCTGCTCAGTACTAGCCACCTCCTATTTTGAGTGATACCACCATGAACTAAATTCTTTAAGTCTGAACGACATGAGTCTATCCGAAGAGTCAGATTAGTACCCTTCATATCAAAACGTCTACTGGGTGTTGTCAATTTGATGTCACAAACACCTCAGGACTTTACTCAGCATCTCACTGTTTTTGCCTTATTTTTGGTCTTCACTAAATCTTGCCTGAATGACCTTGATTCCAGCCCTATCCCAGATGATCAATCTTTCATACCCTGTCAAAGCCATTTTTCTAAAATGCAAATATGATCCAATTCTTCCTCTGCTTAAAACCCTTCACTGGCTCCCCATTGCTTACAGGATAAAAACCCAGGTAGCAAAGCCTTTAATGATGCTATCCCTGAACAGCTCTCATTTCTTTCATCCCTCCACTCCTCTTTCTATCAGCTTTGGATCCACATGTAGCACACAATGTCTCCAAGTTTTTGTGCCTTCCGTTCCCTTTTACTGGGGATGCTCTTTATCTTTTTCCATTTTTGGCTAACTTCCGCATGTCCTTCTACAGTAACTGTCCCTCAGCTACACAGAACTCCTCTTGGTCCATCACATGTCTGACCCATCTTTTTGGGCACCTGTTTTAGAGCCTATTCTGCTGGAGGTTGGAAAGAGACTTAGAGAGTGGTTAGTGATGCATCTGGTAAGGGAAACATGGAGGTTATCTCAGCCTCTGCTAAAAAAGGAGGAGGCTCTCATTCAGAGCAAACACATGGGCCCTGCAGTACTGGAAGAAAGACAGTGAATGGCCATCATGCTTTTCCAGGCGCCCTCAGATTGCTCACTGGGCTTTATGACTTCTTAAAGAAAATCTATTGCCTTATTCCCAAAAGGATTTAACGTGTCGCACAGAGATGAGATACTGTAATAGAATGGGATAAGTTAAAAAAAAAAAAAAAAGAAGAAACTGTACTACAGGGAAAACAAAGCTCATAGTAAACTGAAGCCAAGAGAAACCACTCTATAGAATGAATATCATTACTCATTGCATATTTGCTAGAGGAGGTCTACATATTTAGCTCTGTGCATTAAGTTATCTCACTTAAAAGAAGGAAGTGTGATCATCATCACTGACCAGACCTGTGACTAAGGAAAAAGACAGTTATTCATAAGACTGGGATCGAAGAAGCGTTTCTGTTGGCACTATCTACAAAACTTTTGACTTTTCTCAGTCCCAATAAAAAAGTCCCCTTTAGAGGACTGAGGTGTTTTTTTTGTTTGTTTGTTTTTTTTTAGAGATGGAGTCTCGCTCTGTCACCCAGGCTGGAGTGCAGTGGCGAGATCTCGGCTTACTGCAACCTCTGCCTCCCAGGCTCACGCCATTCTCCTGCCTCAGCCTCCCAAGTAGCTGGGACTACAGGCACCGGCCACCACGCCTGGCTAATTTTTTGTATTTTTAGTAGAGATGGGGTTTCACTGTGTAAGCCAGGATGGTCTCGATCTCCTGACTTTGTGATCCACCCGTCTCGGCCTCACAAAGTTCTGGGATTACAGGCGTGAGCCACCGCGCCCAGCCTAGGACTGAGGTGTTTTAACTCAATTTCACTTATGCCAGTTATATGGAGGGGTGCCTTGTAGGAAGAGGAATTGCAGGGATTTGCTCTGGGTCTTCAAAGCCTTTTGGGTGCCTGGTGGTTCCTATTGACTAGATGGTTTTCTCAGGCCCAGCAATCTCCTGTGAGTAGATTTTAGTTATTTTTGAACCTATATTCTGTCCTGATTTAAAATGCTCCAGATTTTGTCCCCTCACTGCCCTAAGTCCTCTTTCCTAGGATCTTGTTTCTATATCTTGCAGGAGACATAGAAATCAGATCCACACTTGGAGTAGATTTCATTTATTCAACAATCTTCTCTATGTCAGTAATTGGGGTATATATAAAAGATGGCAGGCATAAAGAGGTATGTGTAGGCAGTTAACCCCTGAGCAAGCATCTTGCCCGTGTAGCCCTGTATATATGTTTCCTCCCTGCTTGCTAACTTCATTTAAATATTCTCATGGTACAAAGATAGTAACCAAACCCCAAAAGGCAGTTCTGATCTATTTGTGGAATGTTTCCTCTTGATCTTATGTACTTCTTTGTGACTATATAGGAAATTATAGGTCTTTGGGATTCCAGACCCAGGATGTGATCTTAAGGTAGGCAGACTGGCTCCATGTCAAATACTGGAGACATCTCTTTAGAGCCTTCTGTTGCTGTACCTCCCTTGCTTGCTCTGTCTAGGAAGGGATGTATGAGCCTAGGTGGGTGGTTTCTTCCTGCTTCTGGTGCTTTTGCTACCTGCTCACAAAGTAGGTGGGTCTCTCAGCAATGGGGATGGAGAGGGTGACTATGGTTCCTATAAAAGATGTCCTTGTTGAGGGTTGCTTCTTTCCAGGATGAGCTTGTCTTTATACCTTTTCTGAGAAAAGTGCATGGTCTGAATGGAGACATTTCAACCCTGGCATGATTTGTGTGGTTGTGGACATTGGTGTGGGTGTTGCGGAGACTGGACTGGGATGCTGAAGAGAGCCACACCCTATTTCAAAGTCCCCTCTGCTTAGGTTGCTTTACGTTGGCTCAAGCACGTAGCAGTGACACTTACTGAAGGTCCTTCAAGGAATCAGTCTCTTGGATGTAGCTGCTATATGGGTCTTCATCCTGTTCTTGGCCTTGATGGTGCCCTTTGTCGTGACCCATCCCAAACCAGAAGCCTGGTTTCACATTGTGTGTATGTTCCAGGAGGGCTGGACTACAGGTTGGACAGAGGCCTGCAGGTTTTGTTGGTTCTGGGTCTCTTGGCCACATTATTATGTCATTAAGGGGGTCCCTCTGGTTGCCTCTTATTTAATAACTTTTCGTCTGCATTATTGGTCCAGGAATTTGGGAGGGGTAAACACACCACTGCTGGGAAATTGGATTGTAAGTACCTCAGTCTCTTCTATGTATGCCAATTACCACAAGTCCACTCTAGAGTTTTGTCTCCTCTTGGTTTGCAAATGCATTTGTAGGCCCCATTCTTGAGAGAGAGAAAAAGAGAGAGAGAGAAAGGGAGCCACAAGGCTTTTGAGAAGTAAAGAAAAAGCTTTCTGGAGCCCCAAAGTTCCCCTTTCTATCCTGGCCCTGAGTTTTAGTCACCTCTGAGATTCTTGGCTGAGGTAGTGTCTTTTTCTACTTTCAGATTAGGACTGACAACTGAATGGAAAAAAATTAACATTGTTTCAGTGCTTTCTGTCCTAGGATTTCCCATGCTGATCTCACCTCTGGTGATTTTGCTGTGGTGGCATGTCCAGAGTTGCTGAATGACAGACCTTGGGTTACCCTTCCTGGGCTGGCACTGACCTGCTTTTCCAATGCTGTCTCCCAGTTGCCCAAGATCATTTGGCTAGATACTGGCTCCTCCATATCCTCCTCTATTTCCCCGAGGGAAGGTTTTAGGTTTGTCACTGGAGTTGGGGTTTCCCTGGAATTTGGAGCCTGCTTGATTTTTCTATGTCCAACCATGGTCCCTGGGTGGCAGTGGCTTGCTTGGTCTCCATTATCATTGCTAGCCTTTCTCATTCCTCTTTTGTTCCCTGCCTGCTGGGTGTTCATATCTCCTATCCACTGCATTCTCAGCTTTTCTCCCATTTTCTCCCTGCACTGTGAATCTCAGAGACGTCTAGGCACTGTGGAACTACAACAAATAGTTTCCCTGTGAGAGGTCAGAGATCTCCATAATCACATTCTAGCTGGGACTCTGGATAAGAACATTAACCTTTTTAACTTTTTTTTTTTCTATTTCCTTTCTAAGTTACAAAAAAATCAATCAAGAAAGCTAATTAGCATTATCAGAGGTTGCTGACCTTTGTCAGATTACCCTCAGTTCCCTGCTAAAGGCAAATAGCCACTGGTTCATGTTCCTCAGAGCTGACTGATCGGCTTTAGCAAGAAGTGGTATTCTTTCTTATATAGCAATTTCACTTTCTGTGCCTCAGTTTCTTTTTCTTTAAATGCAAGGAAATGATACTAACGGGTATTTACTGTGTCACTCTTTATTCCCTCGTTGCCCCCTAATTAAGCCATGGCTCTTGTTTCGGGTTTAAGAGTCACTCATACCATGTACTCACAAGGCAAGGGAAGTGCAGCTCCTGGTGACATTAAGGAAGAAGAGCTTGTTGGTTAGGGTGGAGTCATCTGTGAGTTCTGTGCATCCTCAATTTGATCGCTTCTTGAAGGTCAATAACAGCATAGTCTCCCACAGTTCTCTTTTGCTCTCTTAAACTTTATTTGAAGTTTGCAATTGTGGATTCTCCTCAACCATTTCTTCTGAGGGAAAACTCAACCTAGTCATCTCTGGTTTCCATGCCTTTCCCTGCCCTAACCTGCTGGAGAGCTTATTTGATATCCTCATTATCCCTAATGCTTTTTTTTAATGTCTCTTCATGTTCAGGGAGCCAGTGTATCCTGGGATGATTCCTTAAGACTGGATGCTCCTTTCTCTTTGACTGATGTGTTCTTGGTACTCAGACATTTGGTTGATGTTGAGATGAAACCAAGAAATCATCACAGAGAAGACTCTGTTCTCACTGAACCAGGAAGCAGTGGCCTTTGGGAGGATGGCTATGGTCCCAGTGACCCCTGGCTGCCCTTTCTCGAAAACATTTGACCCTCTCTGGAGCTCTAGGATAAATTGCTAAGTGTAAGGTTCTCAATACTTCTCCCAATATTTCTTTTTGTTTCTCCAAAGGAGAGCTCTCTCACAGGCCTATTTTTAATGTGTTGTATAACAAAAGAAAGTTTTAAACAGAGCCAAAACAAACATCCACCACTGCACTTAGGGATGAGCAGCTTCTTTTCTTTTGGGAAGAACAATCTGTTAATTTCCCACCTCCAGTGTTGTGTCAACCTTTTGGTCAGAGAATGTGGAAATGATTTACCAAGACAGAAGTTACTCCCTTCTTAGGTAACTAGATTCATGAATGAGCGTGGATTTCATATTCTGCCAGTATTTTTTCTATTCTAACATTATAATAAAAAGAAAAGAAAGGCAAAATAACTTATGAAAAAGTTTCCATTTTCACTTTCCATAGACTTTTCTGTTATTTGATCATATGTAGATATGATTATTATGTATTTCCAGCCAGAGTTGGGATACAATTCTGTTATTTTAAAATATTGCATTGAATATTCTTCTGTGTTATTGTCTTCTAATAAATATTTTCAATGACCATATATTTTATTGATTTCATAAACCACGTCATATTTTTGTATGTTCCATTGTTTTTTACCCCATTGCTTTTATTACAAACATTAAAAATAAACATTTTTGTATATAGCACTTCTTTCACTTAATTCCCTAGAGTTAGACTACTGAGTCAGAGGACGTGAGGGTTTTTATGGGTTTTGAAACTCTTTTTTCCAAATTATTTTCCAAAGTGGTGAATCTGTCATTTTTTTTTCAATTGCCAGGGGTGCTAAATGCACCTCTAGCCATTTATGGGATTTGAGTGGAGGACAGAATATGTAGGTGGCCTAGAGAAAAATGATTGAACAAATGGTTTCTTTCCCAAACAATCAAACTCAGGTTTATAAACCACAGACTCAAGATAAGTGGCTAAGTAGTTAATTTCTGGATTTTTATCCCCCACGTGTTATTTATGTACTCTGGTCCCCTCTTTTGTTTCAGACTACACATGCCTTTCACCTACAGATCCAGCAAATCCCTGGAAAGGCCCTTATTACTTCTCTGCCAAAGGCTTAACAGGAAGTAATAGGCTCAAGAATTCAGTTTACAGAAGCAAGCATTCCTGCCTTGCCTTCTTCATTTATTTATTTCTTTTTTTAATTATACTTTAAGTTTTGGGATACATGTGCAGAATGTGCAGGTTTGTTACATAGGTATACATGGGCCATGTTGGTTTGCTGCACCCATCAATCCGTCATCTACACTAGGTAATTCCTCCTAATGCTATCCCTCCCTTAGCCCCTACCCCCCGACAGGCCCCAGTATGTGATGTTCCCCTCCCTGTGTCCATGTGTCTCATTGTTCAACTGTAAGTGAGAACATGTGGTATTTGGTTTTCTGTTCCTGTGTTAGTTTGCTGAGAATGATGGCTTCCAGCTTCATCCATGTCCCTGCGAAGGACATGAACTCATCCTTTTTTATGGCTGCATAGTATTCCATGGTGTATATGTGCCACCTTTTCATTATCCAGTCTATCATTGATGGGCATTTGGGTTGGTTCCAAGTCTTTGCTATTGTGAAGAGTGCTGCAATAAACATAAGTGTGCATGTGTCTTTATAGTAGAATGATTTATTGGGTATATACCCAATAATGGGATTGCTGGATCAAATGGTATTTCCAGTTCTAGATCCTTGAGGAATCACCACACTGTCTTCCACAACGGTTGAACTAATTTACACTCCCACCAACAGTGTAAAAGTGTTCCTATTTCTCCACATCCTCTCCAGCATCTATTGTTTCCTGATGTTTTAATGATTCCATTCTAACTGGCATGAGATGGTATTTCATTGTGGTTTTGATTTGCATTTCTCTAATGACCAGTGATGATGAGCTTTTTTCCATGTTTGTTGTCTGCATAAATGTCTTCTTTTGAGAAGTGTCTGTTTATATCGTTTGCCCACTTTTTGATGGGGTTGTTTTTTTTCTTGTAAATTTGTTCAAGTTCCTTGTAGATTTTGGATATTAGCCCTTTGTCAGATGGATAGATTGCAAAAATTTCCTCCCTTTCCGTAGGTTGTCCGTTCACTCTGATAAGAGTTTCTTTTGCTGTGCAGAAGCCCTTTAGTTTAATTAGACCCCATTTGTATATTTTGGCTTTTGTTGCAGTTGCTTTTGGTGTTTTAGTCATGAAGTCTTTGCCCATGCCTATGTCTTGAATGGTATTGCCTAGGTTTTCTTCTAGGGTGTTTATGGTTTTATGTCTTATGTTTAAGTCTTTAATCCATCTTGAGTTAATTTTTGTGTGAGGTATAAGGAAGGGGTCCAGTTTCAGTTTTCTGTATATGGCTAGCCAGTTTTCCCAACGTCATTTATTAAATAGGGAGTCCTTTCCCCATTGCTTGTTTTCATCAGGTTTGTCAAAGATCAGGTGGTTGTAGATGTGTGGCTTTATTTCTGAGGCCTCTGTTCTGTTCCATTGGTTTACATATGTGTTTTGGTACCAGTACCATGCTGTTTTGGTTACTGTAACCTTGTAGTATGAAGTCAGGTAGTGTGATGCCTCCAGCTTTGTTCTTTTTGCTTAGGATTGTATTGGCTATATGAGCTCTTTTTTGGTTCCAAATGAAATTAGAGTCGTTTTTTCTAATTCTGTGAAGAAAGTCAATGGTAGCTTGATTGGGATAGCATTGAATCTCTAAACTACTTTGGGCAGTATGGCCATTTTCATGATAACGTGTCTTCCTATCCATGAGAGTGGAATGTTTTTCCATTTGTTTGTGTCCTCTCTTATTTCCTTGAGCAGTGGTTTGTAGTTCTCCTTGAAGAGGTCCTTCACATCTCTTGTAAGTTGTATTCTCAGGTATTGAGTGAATTGCCTTGCCTTTTGCCAACTTCTGCCTCAAATAATAAAACCAGTATTTAAGTAACTTGTATTTCCCCGAAGTTCGAAAATTATTTAACACACATGCACACACCCACCCTCCTACCTTAATTCCATGAGGTGTATGGTAATTTGGCTAGAGAGAGAAAACAGAAATCTGGTTCGATTTACTAATTGAACTTTGATGTCAGGATGGGCCAACTCAAAAAATAGCTGAGTCCTGAATAGAGAAAGAGGCACAGCAGGCAAAACCCTGGGGTGAAGCAGAGGGTCCTGTCAGAGTCAGAATGAAGACAGGGGAACTGCACACCACACTCCAGGCTGTAAGTTTACTATCCTTTACCTACATGTCCACTTACACAAAAGGAGAGGGAGAACTAGGGACAACAGAAAAGGAGAACGCTAATCTGCACAAAAAGGGCCACCTGTAATCCTACTCCTCCAAATCTTGCACCACAAAGGGTTGGTATGTGGAGGTCAGCCATCACACTGACCCTTCAGGGCATTCTGCATCTCTTTTAGATGAAGACCAAAGATGCCTGTCTAATTATTCAGGAAGACAATAGTGGATCTAGGAGAGAAGCAAAAATATTAAACAGCTACTAAATAATAGAGCCAGAGAGGATACCAAAGGGGGTGAACAAACTATGACAAAACTAATCTTAAATTCTACTAAAGCAGTTCCTAATTTCCAGGGAAGCCTTTATGGATGGGACCTCAGCAGGATGGCCACAATCCAATACTGAGATTTTTCTAAGTTGGTTTGATTGTTAAGGGCATCAAACCAAGCTGCTTTCCCTCAAAGCTGGATGCTAGTAAGCTTTTCTTCCTGATCTCTATAATTCTGTCAAGGAAGTTCAGGGATGGGATTTTTTCCAGCTGAACTTTTAAACTTAAGGTAATTAATTCTTTGTAGTGGAAGCCATGATTCCAAGTACAGGCTCTGTTTATCTAATTCACTATTTTTAGATAATTCACATGTATCTAATATCAGTTTTTTTCATTTCCATCACCATGTAGCTCTTTAGATACACATATAGATATGCATATCAAGATTTTTTTCAGTCGGAGTCTCCCTCTGTTGTCCAGGCTGGAGTGCAGTGGCAACATCTTGGCTCACTATATCAATATTTATATCTAAATATATCTATATAAACCTGATAGAAGGTATTATTATTAGAAGGAGATTGTCTCCAGAATAGGCCTTAGAGGACCAGGATGTTTTGAGAGAGAAGAGATAACAAGGAGCATCTTATTATTTTTTGAGATGGAGTTTCGCTCTTGTTGTCCAGGCTGGAATGCAATGGTGTGGTCTGGGCTCACTGCAACCTCTGACTCCTGGGTTCAAGTGATTCTCCTGCCTCATTCTTTGAGTAATTGGGATTACAGGCATGTGCCACCATACCAGGCTAATTTTGTATTTTCAGTAGAGATGGAGTTTCTCCATGTTGGTCAGGCTGGTCTCGAACTCCTGACCTTAGCCTAAGAGGTGAATAACATTCCCAATGCCATTTAACTAACAGGAAGCAGAAGCTGTCTAACTCCATTTGTCCCAAATTAACCACCACTCTCCAGTGCGTTTACTTTTTCTTTATTTTGCTTTGAGCCCACATCAAAAACAAAAAACAAAACTCTGGTTCATCGACCTGACTGCTGATTGAAAGAGCTGACAGTGGTAGATGAGCAGGAGATCTCTTTCAGAAGACCAGTACCTTTGGAAATCTTGAGGAATCCTCATTGAGAGGAAAAGTTAAGACCTAATAGGTTATTTTAAAAGAATACATTGATTCCAATGACTTATGTTTTAGAATGTCTTTCGTATCATAAATTACTTAATTTTAATAAATAAAGTGTATAAATTAAAAAAAGAATACATCGTTTCAAATGAAATTCTCTTAAACATTTTCATTTGATATGACAGTAGTTTGTCCTCAAAATGATGAAAGTTTGTTATCTGATATTGGAATAATTAATGTTCAGCCACTTAAGAAAAAAATAAAAACTCAAAGCATTGAAAGAAATTGAATTTATATTTGCAGAGTAGACTCCTGCAGTGTATTTATCTTTACTGAGCTCAATGTCATTATAACCAAATTATCAGAGCATGCTCATCTTTTATACAAATGAAATTTCTTACTTCATTAATATGATGAAAGTTACATCCAAAAGGGAAAATGCATAAAGTAAACTTCTGGTGTCCTTTGAAGCCCAATCATATCACTGAAAACAAACCTGCTGGAGCCTACTCAGTATGCCTTTGAGTTTAAAAGGTACTGATAATCTAGAATTTTTAAAAACATAGTTACTTCTAGGGGAAGTTAAGTCCCTTAATTGTATGGTAACAGAGCAGTAGTATCTGGGCTACTAAATGTGATCATTGTTTTCCTTAGTTCCCTAGTACTGTGTATTTAGAAAGTACTTATTTCCACTTGTCACTCAGTGAACCCTTCTGTAAGAATTGAAATTACTTGGACAGGGTAGATGCCACATTCTTGCTATGTTGTAGAGAAAACAAAGGAAAACCAAGAATCAGTGATTCCATAAGTAAAAATCACTTTATATTTTTAGAAAACAGAATAGTATAAAGCACTTGAACTAATTTTGAGCCAATAACTGTACGGGTGTGTTCAAGGGCAAAGAGATAAGAATTGTCAAACTCAAGATTCAAATCCATGATTTCTGAAAGCTTTTACTAATGTCATTCTTGTAAAAGACTTTGAGGGTAATTATTAATTTCTAAAACAATTTAAAAATATTATTGGTGGAAATATAAATAGCTAAAACAAACAATATCAAGCTACTAATACATGCAAAAACGTGGATGGATCAGGCATAATGTTGAGTTGATGAAGTCTGATGCAAAAGAGAACATACAATATGATTGCATTTAAATAAAGTTCAAAAACAGGCAAAACAACGACTTCTACTTCTGACCAAGGGCGATGACCTGGGACCAGATTTATTCTTCCTGAAACAAACAATTTCAGACAAAATATATGAAACAGTGGTTTTCAAGATACTAGACAGCAGGCAACAGACAGTGATCTTTGAGAGATGAGAAAGAAAGTAGGTGAAGCCTGGAGAGAGTTTCTAGATTGCAGTGCTCAGAGGAAGAATGTAGATGAAGGTCTGCTGAAGGTCTGCAGCTTCTCTAGTACAGGAGATGAAGCTGCCAGTCTAGGAAGTCAAGGTAGTTAGAGTTCTCAGGGCCAAGTACTGGAGATGAGAGAAATCCAAAGATTCTTGAGAAGGACTCCTTTGAGACTTCAGCCAAATACTTATTGGTGCTTGCATGTAAGGGAAAGAACCATCCAAAAAGATTAGTGAGAATAATCCTTGGAGATCACTGTGTGACCAGACTGGCTCCTTTTCCCATCACCCCGAATATAAAAACCTCATAATTTACAGAGAATTGGGTAGAGTACTAACTCAGTAGTTGCAAAATATTAGCCCTAGCTCTGGTTCCACCTAATAAAGCTCAAAGCAAGACCCAAAATAATTCAACTGTTTCCATGTAACTGAACCATGTCCCAGAATAAAGCTCAAGAATATTTATAGAAAAAAATAGCCAGTACCCTAAAGGTTAAAATATCTGGTATCTAATAAAAATTATCATGCATGTAAAGAAGCTGGAAAGTATAACCCATAATGAGGAGAAAAATCAATCAATTAAAACTCAGAAATGACACAGATTATAGAATTAGTATAAAAAGATATAAAAACAGTGATTATAACCATATTCCATGTACTTAAGAAGACAGAGGGAATACTGAACATAAGTAGAGACATGAAAGATGTATAAAAGACCCCAAAGTAGGCACAGCTAACCTAAAGTGATAGAAGTCAGAATAATATTTAGTCCTGGGGAATATTAATGGTGGGGAACATGAGGATGTCTTTTGAGATGCTGAAAATGTTTTATATCTTTATCTTGGTGGCTTTATATGTGTGCGCACATATGTAAAGATCCTCTGAGCTGTACATTTAAGATATATGTACTTTATGTAAGTTAAACCTCAAAATAAATTTCATATTATCTGATACTGTTTGCAAAGCAAGTCAGCCAATATGAGTAAGTAAACCTTTTATTCCATTGGATGGATGGAATTGGATGCATGTCCTCAGGAATGTATAGTATAATTCCTATAGGAGACAGAGATTAGATACCATGGAGGAGCTAGAAACTACGTGCATAATAGTGACTTATCTGTCATTTTAGTTATATTAGTGCCAACTGGTCATTGAAGACGGGACTCACATTAGTGGCTCAATAAATGTTGGTTGCCCTTATCTCTTGCCAGTTTTTGTCTATGCAGGTCTAAGACGTAGACACAGGGAAGAAAACCAGTGATTTAATTTTATGCATTTTGGAGAAGAGATATGAAGAGAAGGTCTAGTGTACCGAAAAAAATGAGTGATCACATCTTTTTTCCCAGGAAGTCTGCACATGTGATACAGAACAAATATGATCATGCAAGTTTTCAAACCACATAAATCAATCTGCCACTTCCAAGATACAGAATGTGTGAGGACAAAGGGGCAAGAATGGAGTCTGGGCTAGTCTCCATCTTTAAATGAGAGTCCACACTATCAACAGAATTAGCTTTCTATTGTTTCTGTGTGTCTGCACCATCCCCACCAAATACCAGATACAGGCAACTAAATAAACACTTTTCGTTCTCAACAGGCTCACATAAGATTTCCATTTCTGTGATTCCCTGGAAATTCCATAACTAAATAAGATTGTTTTAGAGTATTTTTCTTCTATAACCACTCATACAGGTACCACTTCTTTTTCTTTTTTTTGAGATAGAGTCTTGCTCTGTCAACAGAGATTGCAGTGGCATGATCTTGGCTCACTACAACCTCCGCCTCCTGGTTTCAAGCGATTCTTCTGCCTCAGCCTCCCAAGTAGCTGGGACCACAGGCACGTGCCACCATGCCCAGCTAGTTTTTGTTTTTTTTTTTTTAGTAGAGACGGGATTTCACCGTGTTGACCAGGATGGTCTAGATTTCCAGACCTCGTGATCCACCTGTCTCGGCCTCCCAAAGTGTTGGGATTACAGGCGTGAGCCACCGCGCTCGGCCTGATACTGCTTCTTAATTACAATAAGTCTCTCACCTAGAATTCCAGTAGGTCAAGTTACGGATCTGAGAGCAAGAAGTTAGCTTTCTTTCCCGTAAGGGAAGCACATTTTGGATGGAGAAATTTCTCACAGGGGTTTCCTGGAGACAGAGTGAGTTATTTTGAATATTGTCATTAATTAAATAACAATGGTCACCCATATCCCCTTGCAGGTAGGGAAGCAGGCTTCCTGGCACTCTGAATTTGATATTACTTTGTCACCATTGTTTTAGATGAACTGTCAGATAAGCTTTTCACTGGAGTGTTTTGCAGGATACTATCTCTGTGTGCTGTGTTTTTTGGACACTTGGCAGAAGAGCCATGGTAGTGGCCAAAAGGGGAAGAAATGAAAGCACCAGATGGTTGTGTTTAACCTTTTTACTCAGAATGTGTATCAGCCTTAGCCTGGAAGCATGGGCAGTGGTCATAGCTGCAAATGCTGATTTTCCTGGGTACCTTTGGGAAACACTGTGACCCAACACTGGGAGGGGAGATTTGTATGCCACCAGTTTTGTAGAACTCAACAGTAAAACTGTCCCTGGTATCACTAGTGACTCACTAGAGTTGTCTGGATAGGGTAAAAAAAGGGTCACAATAATAGAGATGAGTATTGCTCTAATTCTGCCCACCCCCAGCAACCCCTCTACCCCCTATTCTGTGGGCATCTTATCTCTATATTTCTCCCTACTCGTTCAGGAAGTTCCCACAGGTATCTCCAGGTGGTCATGATTAAGATTTGTTTTTCAACTCATCACATTGTGCCTAGCAGTTTTTCTCCTTTCCTGTTCTGGTTGTCTAATTTTAATATCATGGAAGCTGTTGTGGAAGATTGATTACATTGATGACACCATTTCATGGCCTCTCTGCCCTTTGCCCTGTAACACTGTAGGCAACTCCCGCTCTGACTCTGGAGGGACTTAGCCCAGTGTTTGCTTTGACCAATGGGGCTTGCAAAAACACTTGAATGCTTTTGTTTCTTGTTCCTCTGCCTTTGCCATGAGAATATGGCCAGACTAGTCTCCTGGAGGATTAGAGACCTTGAGGGACAAAGGCAATTCATCTCAGCTGAGGCCATTCTGGGGTCCCCTCAGACCACAGAATGAATATTGCTTGAGTGAGCCCAGCTAAGATCAGCCAAGTCTGGCCCAGACCAGCAGAACTATTCAGTCAACCCACAGACTATTGAGTGAAATAAATGCTAATCATTTTAAGCCACTGGATTTTGTCGTTGTTTGTTATGCAGCATTATTGAGGCAATAGATAACTGATATACCTGCCTATGCCATGAATCCCTTTGAATCAGATCCACATTTGTTTCTCTCATTCCACATATTGTGGGTCTGGCTCATAGCTCAGGTTACTGTTTCTGAGTTCCTACAGTCACCCCAACTAGGAAACATATGCTTCAGTCTCCCAAACACTGCTGCCTTGTACTCTCATTGCTGTGTCATCTAGGGATCTCGTTTTTAAAAAAACATTATGAACTACCTCAAAAATAAAAATATAGAGAATCCTATGACATACATCGTTCTATATTCTTATCACATAGAGTTTCCAAATTATTTTTCACTTTGTCATTTGTACCTGTTTCCTAGTGCTGCTGCTTCAAAGTACCATGAAATAATTAGGTGGCTTAAAACAGTAGAATGTTATCATCTCACATTTTGGAAGCTAGACATTTGAAATCAAGGTGTTAGCAAAACTATGTTTTCTTACTTTTTTATGAGGCACGGTCTGGCTCTGTCACCCAGGCTGGAGTGCAGTGGCATGATCTCAGCTCACTGCAACCTCTGGCTCCCAGGCTCAAGCAATCCTCCCACCTCTACCTGCCAAGTGTGGGCGGCAAGCCACCCAGGTGCCGAGGCAAGAGACTGAGGACACGAGCTGTTCCAGTATAATAAAATATAAAATAAGAATAGTTATACCAGATATAGATCTTAGATATAATTATATATGAATATCATTAATCATTAGTTTGTAGCAATTACTCTTTGTTCCAATATTATAATAATCCTTGCTTTATAATCATAACCTAGGAAAAACCAGGCCATACAGAGATAGGAGCTGAGGGGACATAGTGAGGAGTGACCAGAAGACAAGAGTGCGAGCCTTCTGTTATGCCCAGACAGGGCCACCAGAGGGCTCCTTGGTCTAGCGGTAACGCCAGCATCTGGGAAGACGCCCATTGCCGAGCGGACAGTGGTCTAGCGGTAGCCTCAGTGTCAAGGAAAAACACTGGCTACTTAGCAGACCGGGAAAGGAAGTCTCCCTTTCCCCGGGGGGAGTTTAGAGAAGACTCTGCTCCTCCACCTCTTGTGGAGAGCCTGACATCAGTCAGGCTCGCCCACAGTTATCCAGAGGCCTAACCGTCTCCCTGTGATGCTGTGCTTCAGTGGTCATGTTCCTAGTCTGCCTTCATGTTCCATCCTGTACACCTGGCTCTGCCTTCTAGATAGCAGTAGCAAGTTAGTGAAAGTACTGAAAGTCTCTAATAAGCAGAAATAATGGTGTAAGTTGTTTCTTTCTCTGTCTCCTCTTTCTCTCTGCCTCAGCTGCCAGGCAGGGAAGGGCCCCCTGTCCAGTGGACATGTGACCCACGTGACCTTACCTATCATTGGAGATGACTCACACTCTTTACCCTGCCCCTTTTGCTTTGTATCCAATAAATAACAGTGCGGCCAGACATTCGGGGCCACTACCGGTCTCCGTGACTTGGTGGTAGTGGTCCCCCGGGCCCAGCTGCCTTTTCTTTTATCTCTTTATCTTGTGTCTTTATTTCTACACTCTCTCGTCTTTGCACATGGGGAGAGACCCACCGACCCTGTGGGGCTGGACCCTACACCAAGTACCTGGGACTACAGGTGCAAATCACCATGCCCAGCTTTTTTTTTTTTTTCTGTATTTTGGTAGAGACAGGGTTTCACCATGTTGTACAGGCTGGTGTCTAACTCCTGAGCTCAAGTGATCCTTCTGCCTCAGCCTCCCAAAGTGCTGTCATTACAGGTGTGTGCCATTGCACCCAGCAACACTGTGTTTTCTTGAAGGTTTTAGAGGAGAGTCTATTCTATTCCTTTCTCTTAGTTTCTGGTGTTGCTGGCAATCATTGACATTGCCTCCAGCCTCTGACTCCATCGTCATAGGGTGTTTTCTCCTTCTGTCTTCATGATCGTATAAGGACACTAGTCGTATTGGATTAAGGACCCATCTTGCTCTAGAATGACTTCATTTTAACTAATTACATCTGCAACACTCTTATTTCCTAATAAGTTCACATTCTGAGGAACTGGGGTTAGGACTTCACATCTCTTTTGGGGGAACACATTTCAACCCATAACAGGATTACTAATATTTTAGTTTTTTGCATCTATTTTTATAAGTAAGCTTTGTCAATACTTGTCCTATTCTTGTCTGGTTTTTGTATCAAGTTGTTTAGCCTAATAAAAATAGTTTGAGAAATTTACCTTTTTTACTATTTTCTGAAACAGCTTGCATTAAGTAGGGATAATCTGTAACGTAAAAGTTTTGTCACATTCGTCTGCAAAGCAATTTGAGCTTATTATTTGAGAAGGGGAGGTGATTTTTTGACTCATGATTCTATTCTTTTAATGGCTATTGGTTTCTTCAGCTTTTCAGCTTCTTCTAGAGTAAATTTTTATAATTTATATACTGTTGAGAGAATTTATTGACATAAAGTTTGTATAGAGCACCCTTGACATAAGTAACCCCATCTTAGAAAAAGACTGTCTCTTACACTTCATAAGGCACTTTGCCAACAGGGACCAGATGTTTTGTGTGATCAATGAAGACTGCCTCCAACCAGATTAAGAACATAACCAAGCACACTCTTCCACTATTAGTCTTCACCCCAGAGGACTCTGGCCATGAAAAGAGCAGGACTACAACAGCTTTTAATGGCTGTCTTAACAGGCTGTCGCTCGTGATAACACCCAGCATCTGCCTACGAAGGCTGTGCCCACACCAAAGACTCTTCCTTGCAAGGAAAACAGACAACTTGAGCCAGACCAGGACAGTTTTTTTATTTTGTTTTGTTTACATCCCTCTCCCTGGGATGCTTCATTAACCATTTTTTCCTATCCCCTTTCTTTTAATGTTAAATGTTACTTTGTTGTGGAATGTTTAATCTATAACATTTATATATTGATTAAATATATATATTGGATTTTGCGGTTGTTCATTATGCGGCATTATTGCAGCAGTAGATAACTGATAGGTAACTATTATATATGGTTTGCCATGTTGACTGATTAGTTGAGTGGCTTGAGCCTGTGTGCCCATGGCTCTAACTGCTGAATGAATGGAAAGTTTACTAAGAAGAATGGCCTCCTTGGAAACTCCATGTAGCTCATGGCTTTTATGATTGAGACAGCATTAATAAAAATCTGACATCGTGGAAAGACACAAATATGTGGGGACCTGGTTATCTCTGACCTGCGCCATTCATGATAAAATTGTTTGCAGTATTTACTGAATGCTTTAAGAAATCTATATTTTTAGTTATGTTCCTTTTTGGTCCTAATATTATTGATTTATTCTACCTATACAGTTTTTTGTTTGGTTTCTGCTTATTTTGGTGATCAGTCTTACTATTAGTTTGTCTATTTTATTAGTATTTTCAAGTAATACTTTATTTAGCTTTATCTGTTGTTCATTTTCTAGCTTATTGAGTTTAATGTTTAATTAATTTAATTTTAGTAACTCCTTTTGCAGACAGTTAATTTGAGGCTACAAATTTACCTATAAGTACTACTTTAGCCAAAGTATATAAATCTTGATACATGGTTCTTTCATGATAATTTAATTTTAAACGTTTGAGAATCACACCCTTTAACCTATAAGTTGTTTATATGTGTTCTTTTTACATTTCTCAAAATACATCAGTTATTTAAAAAAAAACTTAAAAAATTGTATTGTGGTGAAGGAATGTAGTAAGATATTGCTTCCTTAAGATTTATTGAGAATTTCTTTGTAAATGGGTACATAGTGAATTTTTATGTGTGCTGAAAATGAATGTGTTATTATTAATTATTGGGTGTGGAATTCTATGTATCATTCTTAGAAGAAACTTGTTAATTACATTTAAGAAATGTTCTATATGATATATAAGTTCTACATATTATATAAATTTCTATAGTGGATACTTTATAACCCACATTGCCAATTTTTCTTGCAATTTTGTTATTTATTGTACTGTATTTAGCAATACACTCTTGGGTACATTATGTCATGATTTTCATCTTCATGGTGAAGTTTTATTATTATGTAATGTTTTGCTTGGTATATGTTAATAATCTTATCTTTAAATTCTATTTTATCTAATATCATTTCCCATCTCATTTTCCTTAAAAAATAAAAATCAAGGATATTTGTTTTTAACTGGTTATTTTAACTTGTTTTCATCTATTTTTGATATTACTGATACATTTGGAGTTGTTTCTACTGTCTTCTTACAGTCTTTTAAATCAATATTTTAATTGACCATTATTGTTTTTTAGAGACAAGGTCTCACCATGTTGCCCAGGCTGGTCTTTAACTCCTAGCCTCAAGTGATACTCCCTCCTCAGTCTCCCGAGTAGCTGGGATTGCAGGCACAAGCCACTGTGTCTGGCTATTAATAATTTTATTTTACTTTTATGCCTTGTTTATATCAATAATATTTTCATTATTTTTTTTTGGTTTCCTTTGCTGGGTTAGAAGCTACAGGTTTTATTATATATGTATTTAATATATATTAAACTCACAATACATGTATGTGTATTGAAAGTATATTAAACACTTAGTTCATGTATATGCATTAAATATACATTTGTATTATTTGTAAAATATATTTTATGGTATATTTTTCTGAAATATTTAACACACCTACTTAATTATAAAGATTTTAAACAAAATATAAAATCATTGAATGTTGCTTTTCTGCTCCTTAATAATATAAGAACTTTAGCATACTTCATATACCTATTGAATAATCCTCACTTCTTCCTTCTTATTGTCTAGAGTTTTAGTGTCACTTTAACACAAAATTTATTATTTTTAATAGTTAAAACTAATTTTAACAACTTATTAATTTCTGTGCACACCGTATTTCTTTCATCCCCTTCTTTCCTCTGGGCTCCCTTTTCTTTTCATTGAAGTACTTTCTTTAGTAGTTTTAATGCAAGAAACTGTGTGGAAACTACCTCAGTCATTGTATATATTAGTCTTCTATTGTATACCCTAGTCATCGATTGTTACTGATTAGACTTCTACTTTCAGGCCAGTTGTCATTACTTTGTGGATCACTTTTTTTTTTCCGGTAGTGTTTAAAGATTTTCTTAATTCATCCTTCATGTTTTCTATTGTCACTAGATGTATTAATGTAGGTGTATTAATTCAACTCTCAGACTTTTAATCTGCGAATGTGATTCTGCTGCCATTTCCTTTATCCTTCTTGAGCTCTCATTTGATTATTTAGATAAATGTTGGATCCTCTTAATTGATTCCACATGTCTTCTCACTCATATTTTTGATATCTTTGTTTTACTGTGCAGCATTTGAGTTGATTTCCTTTGTGTTCTGTTTTGCAATTCACCATATTTGTCTTTGACATTTATTTTATCTGAACTTTTAATTTCTGTAACCCTGTTTCCTTTAGCATTTCTGATTGGTCCTTTTTTATATATACATTTGTTTCATTTCTGCCTGTTTCTGTTTCATAATGTCTTGTTCTTAATGAATTTATTCTTTCCTTTATATCTTCAAGAATGTAAAATATTATTTTAGGATTATTTTATAATTGCTCTATTACTGTCATTGTGGGGGCTGGGGAAGGAGTTAATAGCCTATTGTTGATTTTCTAGGTTCTCTGTCTTAGCATTAACTTTCTCAAGTATGTTGGAACTTTATGTACAGGCTTAACTTGAGTTAGTATTTTTTATTTTTCTCTGTACTAGCCCCACCCTGAATAGAGATTTTTATGGTTTCCTTCATTGAGTAGTTTGGGTCTCCTGTTCACCATCAGGGCTCATATTGATGACTTAGAGCTCATGTTCTATTGTGCTATGAAGGATGTTACAAATGCTGTCTTTCTGGGGGGTCCTCAAGGCCCACCCACACATTTGGTGATTTTTTAGAAAGCCTCATGGGACTCAGCATATAGTTGTACTCATGGCTAAGGTGTATTACTGCCAGAGAATAGATGACACGATGAGCAAGGGCCAAAGAAACAGGAAAAGTCTGGAGCAATTCATGCACGGACCGTTTTATACCCTCTTATTCCACGAGGAGACACACATAGCATGTTTCTTTCTCCAGCAGTAAAAAAAATGCAGAAAGATGTGGCAATATTTCTGCCCAGGGAAGTCCTTTAGAGACTCAGTGTTTGTATGAGATTCCTAGGGCTGTGTATTAGTCCGTTTTCACACTGCTATATAGATACTACCCGAAACTGGGTAATTTATAAATAAAAAAGGTTTGACTCACAGTTTCGCTTGGCTGGGGAGGTCTCAGGAAACTTACAATCATGGTGGAAGGCAAAGGAGAAGCAAATACCTTCTTCACAAGGTGGCAGGAGAGAGAGAGAGAGAGAGAGAGAGGGAATGAGAACGCAGGGGAAATGTCAGGTACTTATCAAACAATCAGATCTCATGAGAGCTCACTCACTATTATGAGAATAGCATGAGGGAAACCACCCCCATGATCCAATCACCTCCCAGCAGATATCTCTCTCAACATGTGAGAATTACAATTTGAGATAAGATTGGGTGGGGATACAGAGCCAAACTAGATCAGGCTGCCATAACAAATAACCACAAACTTGATGGCAAAAAACAACAGAAATGTATTCTCTCACAGTTCCAGAGGCCAGATATCTGAATTTAAGGCATTGAGAGGTTGATTACTTGTGGAGAATTTGAGTGGGGAGCCATTCTTTGCCTCTCTCCTAGCTTCTGGTGGCTGCCAGCAATCCTCAGTTTCCATTGACTTGTTGACACATCACTCCATTCACTGCCTCCATCTTCACAAGGTCTTTATAATGTTCTCTTTGTTTCCAATATCTGCCTATCTCTTATAGTAATACCTGTCATTAGATTTAGGGCCCACCTTAAATCCAGGGTGATCTCATCTCAAGATACTTACATTTGCAGATATCCTTTTTCCAAATAAATCACATCTACACGTTCTGGGGGTTGGAACTTGGACATGAATTTTAGGGACCACTATTTAATCTACTATAGCATCAAAGGGTTTTACTGGGAGCTGATCACATAGGCACCCTCTGCTTTAGAATGTACAAAAAATGCAAACTCTCAGGAAAAGCGGGTGTTCACTATAAATTATGCTGTTTATATAAATAGTCTAGGCACAGTGAGCCTCCCTTATTAGTCAGGGAATAGTTTGAGTGCCAAGTCACAGATGCCAGCTAAAGACCAATCTTGCCAGCAGGCCCTTCTAAAGATAACAGCCTCAGGCCTGCCATATTGGCTTTTTTCTCTTTACCCTTATCCAAGCATTTTTACAGCAAAATCATTATTATTAGGACTCCATGGTGCAGGGACCAACCTGCAGAATTAGCTTCAGTCATGTCCTCCAGGGGTTCTGAATTCAGCTAGTTAACCATAATCCTGTTAACCATAAACATCTATATTAGAAACCCTGGTGGCTTCCTCAAGAGATGTGTCCTCCCTCAACTTATAGCTTTTGGCAGGAACCAAAAGTTATGAGTGCAATTAGTACCAGTAGTATAGAGCCAGCTAGCAGCTCAATGTAACACATTTTCATAAGAGAATAAACCCTTTTCCATGGGCATCTGTATGTAACCCATATAGGCCATCCAGCATGCGCGATGATTTTACAGTTTGTAGCCCCACTGAAGGGTGTTGTAAATCTGCAACCACCCCAGAATTTAAGTCCTGCTCATTGAGCAGAGAGGTCTCATCTGATTTCAGTTTGACACAGTGAGTGCTAAAGCTGAAACATCCCATACATAGTATATAGTATCAGGTTTCACCTTAGAGTCGGAACCAGACAAGTAGAATCTTGAATTCATGATTCCCAAAATGCCAGTAACTTTTCTTCTGTAGTAGGAAACCTAAGACACTGCAGGGCCAGACATTTACATACAAAGTCCAAGCAACAAGGCTTTCCTAGGATCCCTTTTTTTAAACCTGATTTGAGTCCAAATTGACCCACTCTAAACTATGCAGATTAGGCTGGAAAATCATCAGCCATTTCATTTCAACAACAGCTCATTAGCAAACTAAAACAGCTTTTCAAAACTACAAAAGTATATTTCCATCTGGAGATTGCCTTTGTTTTCATTTTTTCTTGCTTTTTTCAGAGGCTCCAATGGGCAAAACCATAGCAAAAATAATCAGTTATGGAGATTTGTTGTGTTTCCGATACTCAAAGTGTTTAAATTTCAATTTACCTACCCATGCATGGCAAAAAGCAAGGGAATTGGGTACCACTAATATTTTTTCTTTGCAGCTTTCCCTGATCGGGATAATCTCTCTATAGGTTTTATGAAATTAGAGGCATAAGATATTTTTTAAACCAATTTTTATCATACATAGATGAAATAGCTGCAAGATACAAGGCCATTAAAACATCTTTTTTTTTTTTTTTTTTTTTTTTTTTTAATGGCAAGTTTTACTCCAAGCTTTTGCAGTGAATTCAGCATTTATAGGATAAAAATCACAGTGACTAGGAGATTCCAGCTAGAATACAAGATGTAGGGGGTGCTGCAGTTTAGGCTTGAGAAAGGGCTTCAGTGATTCTCTCCCTTTTTTTTTTTTCTTGGAGGAGAGAGCAACTAATCAATTAATTTTATTGTCTTTGACCCATTCAGAGCCCATCTTAGGGACAACTTGGGCCGTTTTTACTTTCCCTTGGAAGAGACCACAAGAAACAAAGTCACCGTGGGGACTTTTCTATTTTCTTCATTTTAGTTAGTGTGGCCAAAAGAAGCCAGTGGATCCAATGAGCCAACTCTCCTGGGGTTGAATCTATCATTTTCAAATTCCTTTTACCTCTCACAAAAGATAGCAGCTCAGCTGCAGTTTTGTCCCATGGGTAATGGCATAATCACCCAAGCACCAACATTCCATCATTTTCTGCCCTTTTCTCCAAAATCACACTGTAGCCGTATTCTAGTTGGAGTTGTTCTAATAAATCCCATAGCCACTACAGTTTTAAAGACCCTCAAGGTCACACACATTCGGAGGTTCTTCAGTGGCACTTATGCAACTCAGCATATAGTTGGGACTCATGACTAAGGTTTATTATAGTGAAAATACAACGGGATCACCATGGGAAAAAGACACAGGTAGATTCTGGAGAAATGCCTGCAGACTTCCTCGTACACTTTTCCTCCAATGAGGAAACACACTACATGAGTGGGTTTTTTTTTTTTTTCTTCCAGCAGCAAAAACTAGAAATATGTGTATCATATTTCTGCCCAGGAGAGCCTGCTAGAGGATCAGAGTTCAAAACATTTTTAGGAAGGCTGATCATGAAGGCACCTTCTGGTTAGCACATACCCAAATTCCAGACTCCCAGAAGGGAAACAGACATTAACCACAAATCACATTTTTGGACAAACACTCCAGGTACAGTTAGCTGCCCTTGTTATTAGGGCGTGATCTGAGTGCCAAATTCCCAGATGCCAGCCAAGGGCCAACCTTGGAAGTAGGTCCTTCTAAGTTGGCAGCCTCAAATCTGCTATGTAAACTCTTCACACAGTTGTTGAGCCAGGAAGTAGGTTGGCTCAGATCATGACTAGGAGGTTGTATTTGCCTCAGCTTCCCTTATCCTTCTTGGTTATGAAGCTGTGTTATATAGAACATAGCCCAACTCAGCGCTGTATGGCTTTTTAAAGCCTCTTGTCATTGCAAGGGAGTCCTACCATAGCTGTTGATTTCAAGAGAGACCATCTCAGGTCCCTTGTGGAGCATAAAGGAGTGGGGGTTTTCTTTGAATTCCTGTCTGCCTCTGAGACTGCAGACCCCAAGCCCAGATGATCTGTAGTTTCAGCCCCACTTACTGCTTGTATTCTAGTTTATTTTCTTCTCAACAAAGAGATGCCTATGTATTTTGGATTTTCTTTCTTTTTTTTGAGAGAGAGTCTTGCTCTGTTGCCCAGGCCGGAGTGCAGTGGCATGATTTTGGCTCACTGCAAGCTGTGCCTCCTAGGTTCATGCCATTCTCCTGCCTCAGCCTCCCGAGTAGCTGGGACTACAGGCGCCCACCACCACGCCCGGCTAATTTTTTGTATTTTTAGTAGAGATGGGGTTTCATCATGTTAGCCAGGATGTTCTCGATCTCCTGACCTCGTGATCCGCCTGCCTCGGCCTCCCAAAGTGCTGGGATTACAGGCATGAGCCACCATGCCCGGCTGGATTTTCTTTTTAAAAATGTGATTTATCAGTGCTATTTGTTTGGAACAACATATGATGGGGAAAGGTGGCTTAGACTGCAAACTTATAATGGCATCTTAGCCAGAAGGGGCTCTTTTACTTTTTTACACATCACTGATACTTTTTCTAAGATCCAGGGCTGAGCCGGTGGCGCTTGGCTGGCCTGGAGGATAACTTTAGAGACAGATACTGTGCTTTATTCAAAATTGCCTTTCAACTGTGTTTCTGTCCTATTGTCATTGTGTCTCTTGACTCTCTTCCTTTAGGTTGAATTATGCCCCATGAGACTCATTAGTGGGCCTGCCTTGCACTGTCTGTTTCTGAGGGGGAACCCCAGCTGGAGACGCAGAAGAACCAACAGTGTAAGTTCCAGTCCAAATCTGAAGGTCTGAGAACCAGGAGAACCCATGATGTAAGTCTGAGACTGAAAGCAGGAAAAGGCCATTGTTTCAGCTAAAGCAGTCAGGCAGAAGAAGTTTCATCTTACTCAGCCCTTTTGTTTTATTCAGGTCTTTAGTTGATTAGATGAGCCCCTCCCCCATACTAACGAGGGCAATCTGCTTTACTCTTGTTACCAATTCAAATGTTAATCTCATCCAGAAACAGCCTCATAAGCATACTCCAAATAATGTTTCACCAAATATTTGGGCATCTGGTGGCCCAGATAAGCTGACATGCAAAAACTTAAACATCACATAGGGTAAGAATTAATTAGTTATTTAGCATATACTCATACATCTAGTAAGTGGTGGAGCAAGAATAAAATCTCAAAACCCAGCATTCCAAAGCTTCCCTGTGAAATGTGTACATTCCTTGCCTGGTACTTGGTAATGACTTAGGCCACTTTAAAGTCAATAAGCAATTTGCAAATGTCATTCTCTGGTCTTCTTTTCTACCTTATGTCTCCAAATTAGAGAGACTGACACTGATCTACATGTGGCTGGGAAAATCTTCTGTTGTGATAATCACCCAGGCAGGCAACCTACCCCAGTTAATGCATTTTAGCTAACCCTGAGCCCTTTCATTTCATTCCTTTTTGATCCATAACAGGCCACCAGGACAAATTCTGCTTACAGACATATAATGTAGAGTCTTCAAGGCTTGGCTGTGACACCAGGTCAGATGATTTCAGCTGAACTGCAGCCCATGTGGGAATAGAAAAGTGAGACTTTGCTGTGTTTTGTAGCAGATAATTTCAATAAGAAGTCCCTTTCAGAAGAGGAGAAGGGAAGAGGAGATAGGAAAGTATAGCAGCCACCTTTTCAATTCTTTTCAAAGTGAATGAGATTGCCACTCCCATGACAACCATTTAAATCATGTGGCTGAAATGTTTTTCTTGAAAAGCATAAGCTTTAAGTTCAGTTTATAGGACTGGTGGTAGGACATCCCTCCACCTCCACCCCCATACCCTACACAAACATCTGTTCGAAGCCCAGAGGACTGATGAGCTGATGCACCAATAATGTGGGCTCTTAGTGCAACTGGGGGAAGGTGTAGCACACAGTTTTTGAATTTAATTTTCGAAGACAGAAGATAAGGAAACAAGGCAGAGTGTACACAATGAAGTGGGAAAACCTACTTCTGCAAGCTGGTTTTAAATAGGGTTGGAAAGGTTGACTTATTTGAGGGGCCAATTTCTTCTTCTCTTTTCCCATCATCTAGGGCTTTATCCAAACTTGCCCTTTCAGATGCAAAGAAAGAATTAACCTTTTCTTCCACATGAAATAGTCAATCACTTGAATCCCTTTCCCCATAGTGACAGAGATTTTCAAAAATCACACTCAATGTTGGCATTATTGCTGCTACTATTGCTGCCAGCCCCTAATCCTTCACACATGAAGAAGTTTCTTTGCTTGCATTTATGCTGCTGGCCTCCTGGTTCCTACTCTGGAAAGGAAAGGAATTTGTATCCTCCTGATCTGGAGGCTCTGGAAAATTAAATAGGGGAAAATAAAACATCAGGAATTAGAGAGGAATCCTGTTATGGCACTACTCACCTGGTATGCATTTGAATATGCTGCAGGCTAATTCACTTTCTGGAAACACAAGTACAGACAAAGATGGTCTGGCACAATCCTTTACCCTGCACTAAAATTATAAAGGGAACCCTTCGATTGATTTAGTTTTAAAAATTATTTAAAACCATGATTAGTGAAGAAAAAGTAGAATATTCAGATAAGCAGGAAAGAACATAAAAATAACATACACCTCTCACACAGAAGTAACCTTTGTACATATTTTGGAGTATAGATTTGAAGACTTTTTCCTTTTTATAAATATACATATTCACACACTAATACATGTCATAAAAATTTAATCATTGTATGCATACTGTTTTAAAATCTGCTGTTTTGGTTACTAGTTAAAAATTTCTATCTTAATATACTACAAAAGTCATCTGTTAAAACAGTGGCCCACTATGCACAATTGCGTAAATGTGCCATATATTATTTACATGGTGCGTAATTGTTGAGCATCTTTTAAAAATTTTTTTTTTCTTTAATGTAAATAATCTTATAATAAACCTCATTTGAAAATGCTTACAGCTGGGCGCGGTGGCTCATGCCTGTAATCCCAGCACTTTGGGAGGCCGAGGCGGGTGGATCACAAAGTCAGGAGATTGAGACCGTCCTGGCTAACACGGTGAAACCCCATCTCTACTAAACAAAATACAAAAAATTATCTGGGCATGGTGGCGGGCGCCTGTAGTCCCAGCTTCTTGGGACGCTGAGGCAGGAGAATGGCGTGAACCTGGGAGGCGGAGCTTGCATTGAGCCAAGATTGTGCCACTGCACTCTAGTCTGGGTGACAGAGCAAGACTCTGTCTCAAAAAAAAAATATCTATATATCTATATATCTATATATCTATATGCTTACATTGTGCTTGTTCAAATGTTTTATCTGGAGAAATTCCTATAATTCATTATATTTTGAGAATACTTGCTAAGTCTTAAAATAATAAAGTATGTATCAGTTATATCTATTGCTGTATCTATTGCTATTTGCTACCCCAAAATTCACTGGCTTCAGACAACATCAATCTTTTATTTTGCCATAAATCTGCAATTTGGGTAGGGTTCAAATAGTCTCTTCTCAGGCTTGTCTTTATGCTTTTTGGTGTTGGTTGAGTAAGTTAACCCAGGAAATAGAGGATCTACTTTCAAGATGACTCAATTACAAGTAGATGCTGATTGTTAGCTAGGAATTCAGCTAGTGTTGTCGACCAGGGTTTTCAGTTCTTTGCACACAAGTCTCTCCATGGACTGCTTGAGCTTCTTCAGAGCATGGTGGCTGGGTTCCCAATAGTGAGTATCCATAGAGAACAAGGCAGAAATGTATGACGTTTTTATGATCTACTCTGGAAAGTCCCAAAGAATTTCTTTTATTGTATTTCATTGGTTGAAGCAGTCACAAAGACCTGCCCATGGTCAAGAGGAGGGGAAATAGACTTGACCTCTTGATGGGGAAGTGGTGATGTTTCAGGAGAGCATGTGTGATGGGAGATGCTGCTGCCATCTTTGGAAAATGCAATTTGCCATAAAGTATAGTAAAAATAAGACGATTTAGGACTCAGAATTTTGAATTTTAAGGTGAATCACATGCCTTTGTGTGCTGTTCTCATGCTGCTATGAAGAAATACTCAAGACTGGGTAATTTATAAAGGAAAGAGGTTTAACTGACTCACAGTTCCACATGGCTTAGGAGGCCTCAGGAAACTTACAATCATGGCAGAGGGGGAAGCAAACACATCCTTCTTCACATGGCAGCAGGAGAGAGAAGAATCAGAGCCAAGCAAAGGGGGAAGCTTCTTATAAAATGATCAGATATCATGAGAACTTACTTGCTATCATGAGAATAGCATGGAGGAAAATGCCCCCATGATTCAATTATCTCCCACTGGGTCCCTCCCACCACATGTGGGGATTATGAGAACTTTAATTCAAGATGAGATTTGGGTGGGGACACAGCCAAACTATATCAAAAGGTACAGATTTGTGTTCACTCAGTGGTCAGTACAACGACTGGGTTCTAAAACTAGAACATGGTGAAGGTTCTCCCTGATGGTCTAACCAATCAAGGAGAATAAGAGGGTCAAGTAAAGTCAAAATGCATTTCGATAAGAAGACAGTCAAATGCCAATGAGACCAATTACAAATGCCATGTGCAAGTACTCTGGTGCATCATTAACCTCAGGTTGTAGAACAAAGAGTACAGGTTTTTCTTAGTTGGTTGTTGTGTGCTATGTGGATGTATCAGAGCCCAGGTGAACAGACATTCAAATTAAAGGGAACCTTGTAGAGTATAGGGCTTAATATCATAAAATAGTGTTACTTGCTCATCCAAGACACAAACAGCCTCACATGAAAGTCTCAGGATAGGGATACTGATACAGTCTTGGAGAAGATTTGGATTCAGAAATCTTTCACAAACCCATAGAAAAGAGGTAGTGTCAGAGAAATGTTGGAGAAGGCATGAATGGCCACCTCCTCCACAGACTTGGCCATTCAGAAAACCGCAATAACATTCTAATTGTTTCTGGAATGCCACAATGTAACTATGGTTTTCAGTATTCTTACAAGAATTCCTCTTTAGGAGCCATTTTCATCAAAATCATATAACTGGTAGTTGATCACTGCAATCAACTCTGCCATGAGGACAGTACTTTCGATATTTTTATTTTTTTCCCTCCCTGTTCAAGCTGCTCCAGACACCAATGTGGAGACCCTGTATGAATCAACAAGTGAATCAATTAAACCTAACTTTACATAGATTAAAAGTGCTTATAAGAGTACAGGCCCATCTCTTCCTTTGCGGTTTGAATTATTTTCAACAATAAAGGACATATTTGTTGGAATGACAAGAGTTGATTGTAATGTTCCTCAGAGGGTGAAGAGAAATGCTTTTTCCAAATGCATATGTGTATTTAAAAAAAATGAACAAACAAAAAGCCATGCACTTCTTTCTCTCTCTTGTGCCCATACACACTCTTATTTTGTGGTGGAGAAATTTGGAGAGATTTTATTTTAACACTGACAGTTTAAGCTGACTAATAACTTCCTGCATGCAAGTATATAATGACATTGGAAAAATCGAAGTCACCTTTGGAAATCTGATTTAAAGAGATTAAGAAATTCGAAAACTTAAACTTGAAATGCTCCAAGGTTAGTATGTGCAGTAGCAATTATTACCGCTATTTGCTAGGCAATGTTCAAATAAGATCTAAAATTTATTTATTCTTAGTGTTCCTCAACAAGGGACAATTTTGCAACCTGCCCTCCCAGAGACATTTTTGGTTGACAAAACTGTGTGTGTGTGCGTTGTGTGCATGTGCATGAATGTGCATGCATACTACTAGCCAGAGAGGCTGTTAAATATCCTACAATACATAGGGCACCTCTTTTCACAAAAGAATAACCAATCCAAAATGCCAAAAGTTCTGAGATTGACCATCCTTGGTTTCGGTTCAGACACAAGGAATTGACTAGTGCAACTGTTATGAAAGACCTTGTCTCCTCTATTACTGCCAAGTCACCCAAATTAGATGGTTATATATCTAGTTGGACAAAAATGTTTCTCCTTTCACACCTGAATAGGATTCTTTGAGTACTGTAGACACAAATGAATTAATGAACATAACTAGATTCACACAAAGGGTGAACTAAACACAAATTTTTAAAATAATTGGCTTAGGCCTATCTATAGGCATAACTCTTAAACTACTGGTTTCCCTTATTAGAATCTGATAAAATCCTTGGTTCATAGAAACCATTCCTTTCATTAGGTCCTTAATAATCAGTTTTGCATAAATGAATATGTCTCTAGTAGTATATGCAGGCGTATTAGGTTCTCAATATATTTACTACTTATTTTTTAAATGTGAGATTTCTCTCCTTTATCTCTTGCTGTTTATTGATTTGTTCTTTTCTGGTTTATAAATCTCTTTGTGATTTCACATTTCTATATTGCCTTACATAGCTATGTAAGCAACTCTTCTTGGAGGGCCAAATACCTTAAGCTCTACAATTGTCTAATAAGAGCTTCCTAATCTTTATGTGTCAATCTTCTTCTGCTTTTTGTGTCTCTTTCAATAAGGTTATACTTTTTCACAGACTGTTTGCTAAGAACTCCCAGTTGTTTGTGGAAACCGAACACTTATCTGGCTATGTGGATACTGGGTTAGTGATCTCACTGAACAATATTTCTGGTTTTTAATAATTTGCTTATTATAAATAATTTACAGTGTTTAATGGTGTTTACCAAAATACTTTTCAGGGCTTTCTAATTTAACTATACTGCCTTGTAGCCACACTGACTATACTTTATATAGATTTATGGGCAAGCTGTTTTTGATCTTTGGGTATTGACAATCCCTCTTCTCAGGATCCAGGAAAGGACTGTTTGTCTAGCTATTGAAAACTGAATCAGATAGAAACATGTCTGGCAAAGTGCCACTAGGAAGTCTATTTTTCTTAAGACACCTTTCTTTCTATCATCTTTTCTTATTCCACAGTTGGAAAATTTCCCTTTATCTAAGAAACTAGGAGAACTATACTTAATATGGCAAATCTATGGATCCCTCTCAAACAACTGCTACTCCAGAAGTGAAATTATTTTTATCTTTTCTAAATCTTTTTTAACTCTTCCTTGGTCTGTTACAAGTGATTTGACTAAACAAGTATAGACATATTGGTTAAGTTTCTGGGTCATACAGAACTAGAAAGAGCAGTTATTACTGTGTAATGATAATTTGAATGGTTAAAATGGTAGAAAACCACTTAGTCTTTCTATGTATCCACGGAGACCTGGATTTTAGAGTTGGGGCATTTGGCAAGATTCCCAGAGCACTCACCCTATTACTCTAAGAAGGACAAGTGTGGGCTACAGATCCTTTATTAAATTTAAAGCTCAGTGACATATTGTCCTGTTGCAGTTGAGGACTTAGCTTTGAAATCACTCCTGCAAGAATTTTCTCATTTTTAAAATCTCCTTTGGGCAAAACCTTCCATTGGCTCTAATCAGAAATTTAATTTATTCAGAGATAAGGCAAAGGAAGATCTTAGCTTCTCTGATGTGAGGGATCTGAAAAAATTAGGAGTGAGCAAGATAAATATCACAGCCTCAGCACTACACAAGTTTCCTAATGGATAATATCTTTGCTTTTGTTATTTTAATTTTCTCCGCGTGGAATCAGATAGCCTACGTGCTTTCAATAATGATGATGCAAGCTTGCTAGCCTTTTAGGTCTCACGAGAAAGGCCTAAAGTAATTTTAAAATTTCATTTGGGTCCAGAGGGAATATAGATTCTCATTCATTCATTCATTCATTCATTCATTAGTAGAAGACTGCTATTTAAGTGGATGCTGTGGTAGGTTCTGGATTTGAAAAGAATAAGACAATATATAATTGGGAATGCATGATATAGTGAGGAAAAAATTAAATATAGGATATAAGAGCAATAGGTTATAATAGACTACACACTGAAAGAACTGATGAATGCTTTTTAGGTGATTTTGGAAACACTTCACATAGAAGGCCCTTGAGCTGGGTCTTGAGGAATGAAAAGGACATTATCAAGCAGATGAGATGGGAAATGGCATTCAAGGCAGATAACATGTGTGTGTGAAAAATGACCTGAAGATGAGAAAATACCCTGGTGCTTCCTGAGAAAAATATGGTATGGCATTCATTCAGGGACTTAGTATTGGATAAGGTTGGAAAAGCAATCAAGAGCTGGATATGTGCTAAGTTTAGGAATGTGGGCTTTATTTTGCAGATGACACATTCCTCCTATGTAGCATTGGGAATTTAAAATTATTTCTTCTCTTTGTCAGAAAACACTTTTTAGATATGTAATGGCTCCATGGCTAGTGCAAAGAGATATAATGAGAGGGGATGAAGGGCAGGGAGAGAAGAAGAAAAGCATTTTTTTTTCCTTAAACACAGAGGGGCTGGGCGTGGTGGCTCATGTCTGTAATTCCAGAACTTTGGGAGGCCGAGGCGAGCAGATCACGAGGTCAGGAGATTGAGACCATCCTGGCTAACATGGTGAAACCCCGTCTCTACTAAAAATACAAAAAATTAGCCAGGTGTGGTGGCGGCCACCTGTAGTCCCAGCTACTCGGGAGCCTGAGGCAGGAGAATGGCGTGAACCTGGGAGGTGGAGCTTGCAGTGAGCCGAGATCGTGCCACTGCACTCCAGCCTGGGTGACAGAGCGAGACTCCGTTTCAGGAAAAAAAAAAAAAAAAAAAACAAACAACTAACACAGAAAACAGATAATAGAGACTATGATGAGGCCATTATTTATGGCTAAGCAAGAAGAATATGCCTGCCTAACACATTGGTTCCCTTGAACAGCCCCTTTCAATAATGGTAACATTAAAGAACTGAGGCACAACCAAAGACGTTGGAAAGGCAAGTCAGTGAATACTTGAGAGAAACATTTCTACTCACAAGTCCCAGACTATGTAGTATGGTAGTTTGAATGTGAGGCTGGAGATAACAAGAAATCCAACAACTCTGCAGTGACATCAGCAAGATGGCAGAAGAGGAGTTTTCTACCCTCGTTTCCCTATAGTGCACTGACATTGACAATCACCCACAGAGAGTCCCTTTGTGGCAGTCTGGAAGTCTAGCAGAGAAGTTCTAGGACACTGTTGGAGCAAATTTTCTGAGAATAGGTGCATTGAAAAGGGTAAGAAATACTTTATCTGCATCATCTCTTCCCCAAGGCAGCACAGCTTGGTGCCGAGAGAGACCTCCTTAGTCCATTATTTCTCCCATGGAGGAAAGTGAGAATGTAGTGAATGAATGCCTAGGTTCACCAGATGTACAGAATGCTGCCCAAGAGGCCCACTTTTTTCTTGCTCCACCCGGAATACTGAGTGGATCAGCATGGCTGAGTGGCTGGAAAGGCTGGGAACAGAGAAGAGAGGTGGGAACTCACAGCAACCAGGGCTCAAAATTAAAGCGCTGGGTAGCCTACTAACTGCTTCTTGAACTTTATTAGGAGGCCTTCTATTAACCACTTGGGATGACTTGCCTGTACACCATCTTCCCTTACTGTCCTGCAGGTGCTCCTAATACTCTGCACAGCTCCTCTCTCCCTCCCCTGTGGCTGACTCACTGCACATGCCCCTGCCATATAGCAAATGTGAGTCTTTGTAGATGGTTTACAATCATTTCCAGTCAGTCAACTTGATTCAGGAAAGTGGAGGCTGTTAAAACCCAGCCTGGCCTTTGCAAGATGAAAAAAGGCATATAATCTTAGACTCCCCGCAAACCTCCAAGAGGAAACTAGAGGAGTAGAGTGCGCACATCCAAAGAAAAGTACTGAGACAGCCTCAGAATCACTAGCTGGGCTGACTGGTGAAGATGTTTCTTTCCCAAAGCCAGCCACTACATACTGGGGGAGGTTATTGTTTCTTCAGATGTGAAGACAGCAATGCAAGGCTGAAAGGAACAAGAAAAAATAAATAAAACAATCAAGGAAACATGATAACACCAGAGGAACACAGTAATTTTCCAATAAGCGACTCCCAAAGTAATGGAGGTATATGAATAACCTGACAAAAAATTCAAAATAATTGTTTTAAGAAAGCTCAGCAAGCTAAAAGAGAACACAGATATACCACTCAATGAAAACAGAAAAACAATTCATGAAAAGAATGAGAAGTTCAACAAAGAGATACAAATCATACAAAAATCAAAAATCATTAAAAAATGAAAAATTGTAGAGCTAATGAATACAGTGAATATAATAGAAAGTGCAATAGAGCATCAACAGCAGACTTGATCAGGCAGAAAAAAGAATCCACGAAATAAAAAATTCTGTAACATCATTTGAAACTGTGGAGTCAGAGGAGAAAAAAAAAAGGATGAAAAGAAGTTAAAAAAGCTGATGGAACTTATGGAACACTGTCAAGAGAAATAATATTTAAATCATGATCACAGAAGGAGAAAATAGAGAAGAAAGCTTATTTAAAGAAATAGTGGGGGAGGCTGAGGCAGGTCAGGAGATTGAGACCATCCTGGCTAACGTGGTGAAACCCCGTCTCTACTAAAAATACAAAAAATTAGCCAGGTGTGGTGGCGGCCACCTGTAGTCCCAGCTACTCGGGAGCCTGAGGCAGGAGAATGGCATGAACCCGGGAGGTGGAGGTTGCAGTGAGCCTAGATCGCGCCACTGCACTCCAGCCTGGGCAACAGAGCGAGACTCTGTATCAAAACAGTAACAACAACAACAACAACAAAAACAAGAAATAATGGTCCAGGCGCAGTGGCTCACACCTGTAATCCCAGCATTTTGGGAGGCCGAGGCAGGAGGATCACCTGAGGTCAGGGGTTCAAGACCAGCCTGGCCAACATGGTGAAACCCTGTCTCAACTAAAAATACAAAAAAAAAAAAAAATTTAGCTGGGTGTGGCGGCAGGTGCCTATAATCCCAGCTACTTCAGGAGGCTGAGGCAGGAGAATCGCTTGATTCGAATTGGGAGGTGGAGGTTGCAGTGAGCCGAGATCACACCACTGCACTCAAGCCTGGGCAACAAGAACAAAACTCTGTCTCAAAAAAAAAAAAAAAAAAGAAAAGAAAAGAAAAGAAAAAAAAGAAAAGAAATAACGGCCTAAAACTTCCCCAACTGTGGGAGAGATGGACATCCACATACATGAGGCTTAAAGGCTTCCAAATCAGTTCAACCCAAAGAGGACTCCACCGAGATACATTATAATTAAGTTGCCAAAAATCAGAAGCAGAATTTTGAAAGCCACAGGAGAAGAGACTTGCCATCTTCAAGGGAATCTTCATCAGACTATCAGTGGATTTCTCAGAATAAACCTTGCAAGCCATGAGACAGTGGGATAATATATTCAAAATGCTGAAAGAAAAACATTCACAATGAAGAATACTTTACTGACAGAGATAACAATTGTAAATATATATGCACCCATCATAGAACCTAAATATATAAAGCAAATATTAATAGATCTGAAGAGAGAGATAAGACTGAAATACAATATTAGTAGGGGACCTCAACATCCCACTTTCAAAAATGGACAGGTATCAAAACAGAAAATCAATAAGGAAACATTGGATATGAACTACACTTTAGTCCAAATGAAACTAACAGACATATATAAAACATTCCACCCAAGAGTAGCAGAATACACATTCTTCTCAAGTGCATGTGGAACATTCTTCAGAAGAGATCATGTCTTGATCACAAAACAAGTCTTAACAAATTTAATAAGATTGACATGTCAAGTATTCTTATGACTACAACATTATGCAATTAAAAATCAACAAGAAAAACACTAAAAAATTAACAAATAGACTGGGTACAGTGGCTCATGCCTGTAATCCCAACACTTTGGGAGGCCAAGGCAGGTGGATCACATGAGGTCAAGGGTTCAAGACCAGCCTGGCCAATGTGGCAAAACCCTGTATCTACTAAAATTACAAAAATTATCCAGGTGTGGTGGCATGCGCCTGTAATCCCAGCTACTCAGGAGGCTGAGGCATGAGAAACACTTGAACCTGGGAAGTGGAGGTTGCAGTGAGCCAAGATTGCGCCACTACACTCCAACCTGGGCAATAGAGTGAGATTCCATCTGGAAAAAAAAAATTACAAATATATAGAAATTAAACAACACACTCCTGAACAACCAATGGCTTAAAGAAGGTTCAAAAAGAGGAATAACAAATACATTGAAACAAATATAAATATAAATATAACAAATCTAAGAGAAAAGATTATAATAATAAATGACTACATTAGGAAAAATGAATGATCTTAAATAATCAGACTTTGTACCTCAAGAAACTGAAAAACAATATCAAATTAAGCCCAAAGTTGTCAGAAAAAGGGATTAAAGAAGGAATAAATCAAACAGACTACAACAACAATAGAAAAGATAAAAAAACCCAAGAGTTGAATTTTTGAAAAGGTAAATGAAATTGACAAGTGTTTAGCTTATCTAAGAAAAAAAAGAGAGAAGACTGAAATAAAATCAGAAATAAAATATTTGTAATAGAAGACTTAATAATTGATACCACAGAAATACAAATGATCCTAAGAGACTACTATAAAAAATGATATGCCAACAAATTGGATGACCTAGAATAAACAGATAGACTTGATGCATAGAACCTACTAAGATTGAATCATGAATAAATAGGAAAGCAGAACAGAACAATAATGAGTAAGGAGATTGAATTACTACTCAAAAATCTCCCAACAAAGGAAAGTCCAGAACCAGATGGCTTCACTGCTGAATTCCACCAAACATTTAAGGAAGAATTAATCTTTTCCAAGAAACCAAAAAGAAGGGAACAGTTCCAAATTCATTTTATGAGGTCCAATTTTAAGGGGCCAGACAAGCGTGGTACAAAGAAAGGAAATTAGAGTCCAATATCTCTAATAAGCATAGATGCAAAAATTCTCAATGCAGTACCAGCAAATTGAATTCAACAGCACATTAAAAGGATTATACGGCTGGGCATGGTGGCTCATGCCTGTAATCCCAGCACTTATGGAATTAGTGTGAGGATCATTTGAGCCAGGCTTTTGAGACCAGCCTGGGCAACATAGTGAGACCCCATCTGATATGGTTTGGCTGTGTCCCAACCCAAATCTCATCTTGAATTGTAGCTCCAACAATTCTCATGTGTTATGGGAGGGATCTGATGGAAGGTAATTGAATCATGGGGGTGGTCTTTCCATGCTGTTCTCATGATAGTGAATAAGTCTCATGAGATTTGATGGTTTTGTAATGGGGAGTTTCCCTGCACAAGGTCTCTTTTCTTGTCTGCTGCCATGTGAGACATGCATTTTACCTTCTGCCATGATTGTGAGGCCTCCCCAGCTATGTGGAACTTTGAGCCCATTAAACCTCTTTTTTTCTTATAAATTAGCTGGTCTCAAGTATGTCTTTATCAGCAGTGCAAAAATGGATGAATACAGTCAATTGGTAACAGTAGAGTGGGGCGCTGCTGTAAAGATACCCAAAAATGTAGAAGCCTCTTTGGAACTGGGTAACAGGCAGAGATTGGAACAATTTGGAGGTGATAAGGTTTGGCTGTTTCCCCAGTCAAATCTCATCTTGAATTCGCATGTGTTGTGGGAGGGACCCAGTGGGAGAATCGGGTCTGTCCCTCCACGAGGGCAGGTGTTTTCTGTGCTGTTCTCATGGTAGTGAATACATCTCATGTATCTGATGGTTATTGTAAGGTGGAGTTTTCCTGCACAAGCTCTCTGTCTTTGCCTGCCACCATCCACATATGATGTGACTTGCTCCTCCTTGCCTTCTGCCATGATTGTGAGGCCTCACCAGCCATGTGGAAATTTAAGTCTAATTAAACCTCTTTCTTCTGTAAATTACCCAGTCTTGGGTATGTCTTTATCGGCAACATGAAAATGAACTAACACAGGAGGGCTCAGAAGAAGATGGAAAATGTGGGACAGTTTGGAACTCCCTGGAGACTTGTTGAATGGCTTTGGCCAAAATGCTGATAATGATATGAACAATGAAATCCAGGCTGAGGTGATCTCAGATGGAGATGAGGAACTTGCTGGAAACTGGAGCAAAGGTGACTCGTTATGTTTTAGCAAAAAGACTGGTGACATTTTGCCCCTGGCCTAGAGATTTGAAGAACTTTGAGCTTGAGAGAGATGATTTAGAGTATCTGGCAGAAAAAATTTCTAAGCAGCAAAACATTCAAGAGGTGACTTGGGTGCTGTTAAAGGCATCATTCAGTTTTATAAGGAAAGCAAAGCATAAAATTTTGAAAAATTTGCAGCCTTACAGGGCGATAGAAATGAAAATCCCATTTTCTAAGGAGAAATTCAAGCTGGCCACATAAATTTGCATAAGTAATGAGTAGCTGAATGTTAGTCACCAGTACAATGGGGAAAATGTCTCCAGGGCATGTCAGAGAGCTTTGAGGTGGCCCATCCCATCACAGGCCTGAAGGCCTAAGAGGAAAAAATGGTTTCGTGGGCTGGCCCCAGGGTTCCTCTGCTGTGTGCAGTCTAAGGACTGGGTGCCCTCCATCCCAGCTGCTCCAGCCATGACTAAAAGGGGCCAAGGTACAGCTCAGGCCATGGTTTCAGAGAGTGCAAGCCCCAAGCCTTGGCAGCTTCCAGATGGTGTTGAGCTTGGGTGGATCACAGAAGTCAAGAACTGAGATTTGAGAACGTCTGTCTAGATTTCAGAGGATGTATGGAAATGCCTGGATGTCCAGGCAGAAGTTTGCTGCAGGGGTGGGGTGCTCATGGAGAACCTCTGTTGGGGCAGTGCTGAAGGGGCAGGTGGGGCAGGTTGACTCCACAAAGAGTCAACACTGGAGCTTTGCCTAGTAGAGCTATGAGAAGAGGGCCACTGTCCTCCACACTGGCAGCTTGCACCATGTGCCTGGGAGGGAGCCTGTATCCTGCAAAGCCATAGGGGCAGAGCTGCCTAAGACTATGGGAACCCACTCCTTACATCAGTGTGCCTTGGATGTGAGAAGTGGAGTCAAATGAGGTCATTTTGGAGCTTTAAGACTTGACTGCCCTGCTGGATTTTGAACTGGCATGGGTCCTTTAGTCCCTTCATTTTGGCCAGTTCCTCCCATTTCAAATGGGTGTATTTATTTAATGCCTGTACTCCCATTGTATCTAGGAAGTAACTAACTTGCATTTGACTTTACAGGCTCATAGGTGGAAGGGACTTGCCTTGTTTCAGATGAGACTTTGGACTGTGGACTTTTGAGTTAATGCTGAAATGAGTTAAGACTTTAGGGGACTGTTGAGAAGGCATGATTCGTTTTGAAATGTGAGGACATAAAACTTGGGAGGGGCAAGGGGTGGAATGATATCATTTGGCTGTGTCCCTACCCAAGTATCATCTTGAATTGTAGCTCCCACTATTCCCAATTGTTGTGGGAGGGACCTGATGGGTAATTGAATCATGGGGATGGGTTTTTCCCATGCTGTTCTTGTGACAGTGAATAAGTTTCATGAGATCTGATGGTTTTATAAAGGGGAGTTTCCCTGCACAAGTTCTCTTCTCTTGTCTGCCACCATGTGAGATGTGCCTTTCATTTTCCACCATGATTGTGAGGGCTCTCAGCTACATGGAACTGTGAATATATTAAACCTCTTTTTCCTTATAAATTACCCACTCTTGAGTATGTCTTTCTCAGCAGCATGAAAATGGACTAGTACACCATCTCTACAAAAGAAAAAAAATTAGCTAAGTGTGGTGTCAGGTGTCTGTGGCCCCAGCTACTTGGAGGCTGAGGTGGGAGGACTGCTTAAGACTAAGAGGTTAAGGCTGCAGTGTGCAGTGATTATGCCACTGCAATCTGGCCTGGGTGACAGAGTGAGAACCCATCTCAAACAGGAAAAAAAAGATTATACACCATGATGAAGTGGGATTTATCTCTGAGATGCAAGGATGGTTCAATATAGGCAAATCAATAAACATGATATATCACATTAACAGAATGAAGGGTAAATATCATATGATCATTACAATAGATGTAAAAAAAGCATTTGACAAAGTCCAACATCCTTTCATGACAAAAATTATCAGCAAATTAGGTATAGAAGGAATATACCTCAACATAATAAAGGCCATATATGATAAGTCCACAGCTAACATCATACTCCATGGTGAAAAGCTAAAAGCTTTTTCTCAAATATTAGGAGCAAGACAAGGATGACCAATCTTACTACTTCTGTTCAACATGGTACTGGAAGTCCTAGGCAGACAAAATAGGCAAGAGAGAGAAATAAAAGTTATGCAAATCAGAAAGGAAAAAGTTAAATTGTCTGATAGACTGGATAAAGAAAATGTGGTACATATACACTATGGAATAGTATGTAGCCATAAAAAGGAATGAGATCATGTCCTTTGCAGGGACATGGATGAAGCTGGAAGCCATCATCCTCAGCAAACTAACACAGGAAAAGAAAACCAAACACTGCATGTTCTCACTCATGAGTGAGAGTTGAACATTGAGAACACATGGACACAGAGAGGGGAACAACACAAACCCACAGCCTGTTGGGAGACGGGGGTGAGGAGAGGGAACTTAGAGGATGGGTCAATAGGTGCAGCAAACCACCCTGGTACACATATATCTATGTAACAAGCCTGAACATTCTGCATATGTATCCCTTTTTTTTTTTTAAGGAGAAATAAAAAAAAAAAGTTAAATTGTCTTTGTTTGCAGATGACATGGTCTTATATGTTAAAAACCCTAAGGATTCCAAAAACTGTTAGAACTAATAAGTGATTTTATTGTGGGCTGAGATGATGGGGTTTTCTAGATAAACAATCATGTCGTCTGCAAACAGGGACAATTTGACTTCCTCTTTTCCTAATTGAATACCCTTTATTTCCTTCTCCTGCCTGATTGCCCTGGCCAGAACTTCCAACACTATGTTGAATAGGAGCGGTGAGAGAGGGCATCCCTGTCTTGTGCCAGTTTTCAAAGGGAATGCTTCCAGTTTTTGCCCATTCAGTATGATATTGGCTGTGGGTTTGTCATACATAGCTCTTATTATTTTGAAATACATCCCATCAATACCTAATTTATTGAGAGTTTTTAGCATGAAGGGTTGTTGAATTTTGTCAAAGGCTTTTTCCGCATCTATTGAGATAATCATGTGGTTTTTGTCTTTGGTTCTGTTTATATGCTGGATTACATTTATTGATTTGCGTATATTGAACCAGCCTTGCATCCCAGGGATGAAGCCCACTTGATCATGGTGGATAAGCTTTTTGATGTGCTGCTGGATTCAGTTGGCCAGTATTTTATTGAGGATTTTTGCATCAATGTTCATCAAGGATATTGGTCTAAAATTCTCTTTTTTGGTTGTTTCTCTGCCCGGCTTTGGTATCAGAATGATGCTGGCCTCATAAAATGAGTTAGGGAGGATTCCCTCTTTTTCTATTGATTGGAATCGTTTCAGAAGGAATGGTACCAGTTCCTCCTTGTACCTCTGGTAGAATTCGGCTGTGAATCCATCTGGTCCTGGACTCTTTTTGGTTGGTAAGCTGTTGATTATTGCCACAATTTCAGCTCCTGTTATTGGTCTATTCAGAGATTCAACTTCTTCCTGGTTTAGTCTTGGGAGAGTGTATGTGTCGAGGAATTTATCCATTTCTTCTAGATTTTCTAGTTTATTTGCGTAGAGGTGTTTGTACTATTCTCTGATGGTAGTTTGTATTTCTGTGGGATCGGTGGTGATATCCCCTTTATCATTTTTTATTGTGTCTATTTGATTCTTCTCTCTCTTTTTCTTTATTAGTCTTGCTAGCGGTCTATCAATTTTGTTGATCCTTTCAAAAAACCAGCTCCTGGATTCATTGATTTTTTGAAGGGTTTTTTATGTCTCTATTTCCTTCAGTTCTGCTCTGATTTTAGTTATTTCTTGCCTTCTGGTAGCTTTTGAATGTGTTTGCTCTTGCTTTTCTAGTTCTTTTAATTGTGATGTTAGGGTGTCAATTTTGGATCTTTCCTGCTTTCTCTTGTGGGCATTTAGTGCTATAAATTTCCCTCTACACACTGCTTTGAATGCGTCCCAGAGATTCTGGTATGTTGTGTCTTTGTTCTCGTTGGTTTCAAAGAACATCTTTATTTCTGCCTTCATTTCATTATGTACCCAGTAGTCATTCAGGAGCAGGTTGTTCAGTTTCCATGTAGTTGAGCGGCTTTGAGTGAGATTCTTAATCCTGAGTTCTAGTTTGATTGCACTGTGGTCTGAGAGATAGTTTGTTATAATTTCTGTTCTTTTATATTTGCTGAGGAGAGCCTAACTTCCAACTATGTGGTCAATTTTGGAATAGGTGTGGTGTGGTGCTGAAAAAAATGTATATTCTGTTGATTTGGGGTGGAGAGTTCTGTAGATGTCTATTAGGTCCACTTGGTGCAGAGCTGAGTTCAATTCCTGGGTATCCTTGTTGACTTTCTGTCTCGTTGATCTGTCTAATGTTGACAGTGGGGTGTTAAAGTCTCCCATTATTAATGTGTGGGAATCTAAGTCTCTTTGTAGGTCACTCAGGACTTGCTTTATGAATCTGGGTGCTCCTGTATTGGGTGCATATATATTTAGGATAGTTAGCTCCTCTTGTTGAATTGATCCCTTTAACATTATGTAATGGCCTTCTTTGTCTCTTTTGATCTTTGTTGGTTTAAAGTCTGTTTTATCAGAGACTAGTATTGCAACCCCTGCCTTTTTTTGTTTTCCATTTGCTTGGTAGATCTTCCTCCATCCTTTTATTTTGAGCCTATGTGTGTCTCTGCACGTGAGATGGGTTTCCTGAATACAGCACCCTGATGGGTCTTGACTCTTTATCCAACTTGCCAGTCTGTGTCTTTTAATTGGAGAATTTAGTCCATTTACATTTAAAGTTAATATTGTATTGAAGGAAACAAAATCAACATACAAAAATCAGTTTTGTTTCCATATATTGAGAATAAATTGCCTGAAACTTAAATTAAGAGAACAATCCCTTTTACAAAGCTATCAAAAAGAACAAAATACTTTGGAGTAAACTTAACCAAAGAGGTGAAAGATCTGTACACTGAAAACTATAAAATACTGATGGAGAAGACATATATAAAGGAAAAGATAGCCTGTGTTCACAGATTAGAAGAATTAATATTGTTAAAATGTTCATCTGACTCAAAGCAATGTATAGATTCAGTGTAATCCCTATCAAAATTCCCATGGTATTTTCACAGAATAAAAAACCTGAACTTTGTATGGACCCACAAAAGACTCTGAATAGTCAAAGCAATCTTGAGCAAAAAGAACAAAACTGGAGGCATCGCACTTCCTGATTTCAAATTATATTACAAATCTGTAGTAATCAAAACAGTATGGTACTGGCATTAAAAACAGACACATAGACTATTGCAACATAATAGAGAACCCAGAAATAAACTGTCACATGCATAGTCAACTAATCTTTGACAATGGTGCCAAAAATAACAATGAGAAAAGGATAGTCTTTCAATACATGGTTCTGGATAGACTGAATATCCACCTGCAGAAGAATAAAATTAGACCCTCATCTCACACCGTATACAAAGATCAACTCAAATTTACTAAACACTTAAATATAAGACGTGAAACAGCAAAACTTCTAGAATAAAACACAGTGGTAAATCTTCTTGACATTAATTGGTCTTGGCAATGATTTTGGATATGATGCTGAAAGCACAGGTTAGAAAAGCAAAAATAAGTGAAACTACATAAAATTAAAAGTTTCTGCAGAAAAAAGGGAAATCAACAAACATGCAACCCACAGAATGGTAAAAAAATTTGCAAATCATATATCTGATTAGGGGTTAATATGCAAAATATGTAAGGAACTCATACAATTCAATAGCAAAACAACTAAATTAAAAATGATCAGAAGACCTGAATAGACAGTTTTTCTGATAGAATACTTACAGATGGTCAACAGGTATACAGAAAAGTGATCAACATCACTAAGCATCAGGGAAATGTAAATCAAAACCACAGTGTGATATCCCCTCATGCTTATTAGGAAGTCTACTATCAAAAAGTCAAAAGATAATAAGTGTTGATGAGGATGTGGAGAAAAGGGAACCCTTGTACTCTGTTTGTGGGAATGTTAATTGGTACAGCAATTATGAGGAACATAACATGAAAATTCCTCAAAAAAGGAAAAATAGAACTACCACATAATTCAACAATTTCACTTTTGAGTATATATCCAAAGGAAATTAAATCACTCTCTTAAAGAGATTATCTACACCCCCATGATCATCACAACATTATTACAATAGCCAAGATATGAAAACTGTCTGCCTGTTGATAGATGAATACAGAAAATGTGCACCCACACATACACACGCATATATACACATACATATATACACACACAAGGGTATATTATTCAGCCATTTAGCCATAAAAATCATAAAATTCTGCCATTTATGACAACATGAATGAACCTGGAAGATATTATTCTGTGAAATAAGCCAGACACAAAAGACAAATACTGCATAATCTTATTTCTATGTGGAATCTAAAAATGTCTAACTTATAGAAACAGCATAGAATGGTGGTTACCAGGGTTTGGGGGATAGGGTAAAGAGGGAGATGTTAGTCAAAGAGCATAAACTTTCAGTTACAAGATGAGTAAGTTCTGGATATCAAATGCCTACCTTGCTGAATATAGTTAGTGATAATGCATACTTGAAATTTGCTGAGAGAGTTGATCTTCAGAGTTCTCACCACAAAAAAGAGTATCTGTGTAAGGTGATGGATATGTTTATTAGCTTGATTTTAGTAATCATTTTATAATATATGTATATCAAATAATCACATTTTGTATCTTAAATAAATATAATTTTTATTTGTCCATGATGCTTCAATAAAACTGGAAAAGATGTTTAATTTCAGTCAGAGTCCTGACACCCTGAAGTTTCCCTCAGTTGTTTGCATAACCATTCAAAACTGACTTAGGCAGGGATGAGGAATACCTAGGACAGAACATAGAGAAGATAACTTTCTAGTTATAAAGGCCAAAATAAATAGCAAAAGGAAAGTGTGGGTGTGTATCTGTATGTATGTATGAGTAAACACACATGTTTATATTTCAATACACACACAGCCATGTATTTTCATAACACAACTTTATATAGTACCCACACATCCAAAGTAAGCATTGACTCAAACCCAACCATAGTATTAATAGATTTTCATCAGTTTTCTAAAAACAAAAAAAGAAAATCCATGGATAAGTTGTCTGGAGAAGTCTGACAAGAAGAGAGAGAAGGAAAGAAAAAGGGATTAGGAATAGAAAAGTCATGTCCAGTATTTCATTGGTACCTTGACTTTCATGTGTCCCCATTCCATGGACAATAGAGAGCAAACCCATGGATTCTTGTACTAGCTTGAGGGCTATTTATAACATCATGCTGTTTCTAGAAGAGTTAAACCATGGAGACATGTGACATTTTACTATACACGGACTAGATTTGGTTGTCCTTGGGAATTGATTTAAAGAAGACAATAAAAGGGAGAGGAGGCTTGGTGAAGGGGGTAGTGAAATGGGATTCATGAAGCCTATGTATTATTTTCTGCTTCATTCTGCACTTGCTCTGTGACCTCAGTTAAGTTAATGAAGCCTCTGCCTGGTTTTCTCTATTTGGAGTAGTGGTAGAAATGCCTCTCAGAGCAGTTGAGAGGATTCCTGTGCTTTAAGAGTTTTAAACCATAATTTACTTCCCAGGTTAAAGGTGACACATATCGTTTTTTGGCCTTTATTATTTTGTGCCAGAAATAATGAATTCAATTTCATGGATAAGAAAAGGCCAGGTCACTCATATGTATCCTGTCTTTCTTTTCTGATCTCCCTAGTCTTGTTTAAGCTAAGTGGCTTCTGGACTGTTACCCCTAAACCTTTCTCACTTCCAATACCTAGCCCTCCTAAAGATCAGGTCTTCTTCAAGGGGTTCTTGATTCTTGAATCCTCTATGCACCCTAAGTCCATTGTGGTAATTATGGGGATAGTGGGAGTGGAACAAGGGTAGCCTTATTCATTGCAACATTTTGAATCTATTCTTCTTTCCCATTCCTCTAAATACCTCTCTTTCAATGAAAAAATTCCTAACTTATCCTTGGCTTCTTCCATTTCTCAAATCTATTAATTTATTACTTGTTTAGAAAAATTAGATGCTCTCAGGTCCAGCTGGCATACATAGAATATTTTTCTGAAAGAATTTGTGTCGATGAGAGGCTGTGAGGAAGAAAGGCTAGGGAATACTCACAAACAGATGGTGGGGTAGCCTAGTGCAGGAATGAGAGAATGTGTTGTCTTTATGAAATTAAAAAACATTTTAAAAAGTGACTAAAAGTTGGTCTGCTTTGTATTACAACCATGAACCAGCAATTCTAAGCAACGTCAGTGGTAAAACATTCCCATCCTTTGTACACTGCTGCTCACAAATGCATATTCTGGTTCCTGCCCCACATTGATATTTTTTGTCTTTGTTGCATTAAGTGACCTATCCTCTGGGATCATGGGTTTTTTTTTTCTGTCACTTGATTCTGAGCAAATTTTGTCTGCCTGGTTCCCTCTGTGAAAGAGAAAGCTGTTCATATGAGGGACACTTTTCAAGTAAATGGAACTTCTACCCATAACAACAAAAACAACAATGATGATGACAACACCAAAACAATTGATTTCTGATGGAAAGTGAAACAGAAGTGAGCCTTGCTATCATTCACATTGTCTAGAATCAATGACACTTTGAAATAGTGTTAACTAGCCAATTCACATATACAAATAGGTTCTCTCCATTGATTGCTGCTGAGTTCAATGACAATTGTTTGCCTTGACTACAATTGCACTTAATTCTCAGAAAGAGAATAATGACTTTTTACAAGCTTTTTATACCATTTTGCCTTTAGAATGCTCCTTTGCATAAAGAACATCCCAATAGTCCATTTTTATGTAGTCAGACACCAATCTAACTTGCTTTGCTTAAGTGATTATGTATATAGAGAAGATAGCCAGAATAATTAATTCATATTTTTGTTTAACTTCCAGACTGATTAACCTGAAAGATAAATATTGACTAAAGCAAGGACTTATTGCCTTGACGTTTTTATTTGTAGAACTAGTATCACCTTCAAATCCATGTTACTAGCTTCCATAAGGTTTGGTGTGAATTTTCTTTATTCCAGTTCACAATCCACTTTCCAATTAATGATGTAACTGCACTCACTGTATATCTATAATTGGGATCTGTAGGTATTGGAAGGCTGAGAGTAAAACCTTTGTGTACCTCCTCCACCAACAGAAATGAAACAATTCAGATATCAGGGAAGAACTTGACTTTACTGGTGAGGCAGGACTTGACCTGTGTGTTCTTGAGCTGGGAGACCCATACAACCTAAGATCCAATCCCAGACATTATTTTACCCAAGCATACCTAAGACTTACCAAGAATGAAGAGTAACAACCTCAGAAAACAACTTAAAAGTCATCTCGCCCAACTCTTTGCTAGATGCTTGAAACCAGCTAACTTATCCTTAGCTCCTTCCATTTCTCAAGTCTTTTTATTCATTACCTGATTAGCAAAGCTTTCTTTTTTTACTATTTTAATCATTTAAAGACGATTTTTAACTGACATGTAATAGTTGTATAATATATGGGGTACAGTGTGATGATTAAATACATGCATACAATGTGTAGTCATCAAATCAAGGTAATTAGTACATCTATCTCCTCAAATATTGATCATTTATTTGAGAACATTGAAAATTCTCTTTTCCAGCTATTTGAAAATATGAAATAACTATAGAACACTAGAACTTACTCCTGTTATTTAGCTGCAATTTTGTATTTATTAACCAACCTCTACTTATATTCCCCTTCCCCAACCCTTCCCAGACTCTAGTAATCGCTATTCTATTATCTATGTCTATGAGATATACTTTATTAGCTTCTACATGTGAGAACCTGCAGTGTTTATCTTTCTGTGCCTGGTTTATTTCACTTAACATAATGTCCTTCAGTTCCATCCATGTTGTTGTGAATGACAGAATTTTATTCTTTTTTATGACTGAATAGTATCCCATTGGGTATATATACCACATTTCCTTTATTCATTTATCTGTTGATGTAAACTTAGGTTGATTCCATATCTTGGCTATTGTGAATTGTGCTGCAATAAACATGGGTGTACAGATCATTTTTTTTTAGCATAGATTTCTTTTCCTTTGGATATATATCCAGTACTTGGACTGCTGAATCATATGGTAGCTTTAGTTTAGTTTTTTGAGAAACCTTGATGCTGTTTTCCATAATAACTATACTAATTTACATTCTCACTAGCAGTGTATAAGAGTTCCCCTTTCTCTGCATCCTCACCAGTATTGTTTTTTGTCTTTTCGGTAATAGCCATCCTAAATACGATGAGATGATATTGCTTTGTGGTTTTCATTTAAATTTCTCTGGTGATTAGTGTTGTTGGGCATTTTTTCATATACTTCTTGGCCATTTTTATGACTTCTTTTGAGAAATTTCTATTTAGATCATTTACCCATTTTTAAATTGGATTATTTGTGTGTTTATTTATTTATTTGCTGTTGAGGTGTTAGAGTTCCTTGTATATTCTGAATTTTAATGCCCTATCAGTGTATAGTTTGCACATATTTTCTCCTATTCTGCAGATTGTTTCTTCACTGTGTTGATTATTTCCTTTGCTGTGCAGAAGTTTGTTACTTTAGATATAATCTCATTTGTTATTCCTGCTTCTGCAGCCGGTGCTTTTGAGGTCTTATCCATAAAATTTTTGCCCAGACTAATGTCCCAAACTGTTTCTCCTGTGTTTTCTCCTAGCAGTTTCACAGTTTGGGGTCTTAAATTTAAGCATTTAATTCATTTTGATTTGATTTTTGTAAATGGCGAGATATAGTGGTCTAGTATCATTCTTCTGTGTATGAATATCCAGTTTTCCCAGCAGCATTTATTGTAGAGACTGTCCTTTCTTCAGTGAATGTTGAATTCCTTCTAACAAAATCTTGACCAATGGTTTCTTCAGTTCCTGTTTGAATGAGTACTTCTAGTAATGAAGATATTATTACTTTCGGTTATATCCCATTTTATGCTATAATAGTATAGTTCTAATTCTTAGTCATTCTTCTTCATTTGGGGTCAGAATCTATCCCTTGCTTGTCTTCTTGGCTGACAAACAACAATAACAAAAACAACAACAACACCCCACAAAACTAGCCAGGCATGGTGGCATGTGCCTGTAGTTCCAGCTACTCAGGAGGCTAAAGTGAGAGGATTACTTGTAGTGAGCTGAGATTGAGCCCCTGCATTCCAGCATGAGCGTTAGAGTGAAACTCTGTCTAAAAAAACAAAAAACAAGCAAAAAATTGAAAAATGAACACTTGAACATCCTGTTTGCTAGTAGAAGATTATTGGAATCCCAGTTATTCCATGCATATTCTTTACACCTTAGGGTACAAACTGAAAACAGAAACCCTGGAGAGTAAGAAAATTCAAATCTGAGCTTCAGAGAAGTTATGAAATACAGGATCTACTGTGGAGTAAGGTACCTGGAAGGAACTACACTGTATTTTTATATTTTTTATCCCCCACCCCACCCTCGGTTTAAATAAATAAAAATGGAGGTGTAAACAAATAGGAAAATTACAAAATGACCCCTGGCTAGGACAATTAGGGGTTGTAATTGTTGTTGTTGTTGTTATTTTTGTGCGTGTATGCATGTGTGTGTGCAGCTGGGGAACTAGGGAAGGAAATCGCAAAAAGGAAAGAGAAAACCCCAATCATTTTATTTTTGTCATGTGGGAAGATAAAATTTTGCTGCCACTTCTCCCTCCTCACCTCCACCCCACACTTACATTGAGCAGCTATAGCCACCTCTTATTTTTCTTTTCGGATATCCAGCTGCCCTCTGAGCCAGAGGCTTTGGTAATATCTATTTATACCAGGGCTGTACCATCTTAGAAGGGGTATTTCTGCTGAGGCTGAGCAATGAGCCACCAGAAGCAATGGCTCATTGCTCAGGCCCAGCAGGAATTCCCCCCATCCACCACCTCTGCCACCTCCCTATGGCTCCTCTCGATGAGATAGGCTTGAAGAGGGCTCTTTAGATTTAAGGAAAATGGAGGCAGAAATGAACAGTTTATGGAAAATGATGAGTGGCATCTGAGTTGAAGTCAGAGGTCCAGAAATCAAGCAAGACAGGTGCAGCACTTTGGGGCTTACTGAAATTTCTGCTGTACAAGATCTTGAGACCATTAGGGAAATAAATCTCAATTATGTTAAACCTATCAAGACCTTGAACAAATGCTTTCCTTTTTACAGATGTCTGTCTCCTTGACTGTAAAATGTGTAGGTGGGATTGAGATGGAATCTAAAGTCTTTTTCAGCTCTTACCGTCTGAGAATCTAAGCTTGGTGTTAAATTTAAAAAGTTCAAAATCAGGTTTGAGCTGAGAGTGGGGAAGAGAGACTGTGTTGTTATTAAAACTCTTTGTAAAATCCTTTTGAAAATATTCACCCTGAACTTGAAAGGGATTTACTTTCTCAAACACTGGCAAAGCTTTCAAACCAAAGGACTTCCTTCCAGTATATAAGGTGGAGGAAGCTGTGTGTGACAGACAAAAGTGAATGCTTTATGTTTAGTTGGGTTTGAACACATCTAAGACAACTATTACTTTGATAAAAACGTCTTTCAGGGGGAGTTACAGAGATGAAAGCACAAATTTGTATAGCATAAGCGTATGGAGTGTGCTTTACTAACTTAGATATTGTTACAGAAGCAATATTAATCAAAAGAATCATGTTCATTTAGAACAAAATCCATAGAAGCTACAGAATTGATCCCTAAGGATATTAAAACACTGCTAGTGATCAGGAAGGAGAAACCAAAAAGTAATTGATCCTCTAGTTTGATGAATTTAATTTTTATATTGAAATCTTTTATTGTTCTCTAATTCCTGATCCTCAATAAATCCTTGTAATTTCTCTCTTTACCACCATTATTAAGCAATAGTTTTGGTTAACCACATATTCTAATCAATGAGGACCTGTCATATACATCATGTATAGATCACCAATTGAAAATAACTTCTAAAAAAGAAAATATACATTGGTGCCTTGCATTCATTCAGCAAAATTGGGGTGCTTTTAGCAAAAGAAGAGATAATTGGTGTTAGGCAAACAAAACAAAAACAATCTTGCAGAAACCCAAAACTAATATGTCCATTTTAAGGGGGCGTAGTAGTGAGGAACTATTGTGGTAAATTAGGTTCGAGCAGATGCTTAGGGTTTAAACCAAGGCAGGGATAGTAGAAATAGAGAGGAGACTAATTTGAAAGATACTCAGGAAGTGAAATTCACTGGACCTCACAGAGGTGGTAGGGACAGAGTAGGAGAAGGAGAGAGAGGAATTAGAGATGTTTCTTAAGATTTCTGTCTTGGAAGACTGGGTGAATGCTAGTGCCACCCACAAAGGAGAGATTATGGAAGAGAAAGATTGCTTTGGGAAAAAGAAGACAAATATGTCTTGACATTTTGCATGTCAGGTACATATGCGCATCCTTGAAGTGAAGTACCTATTAGGCAGATAATATCCAGTTGTATGAACACATGAGTAATAGTGAAAGTTATAGGCATGGATGGGATTTCCAAGGGACACCAAAGAATGGGAAAACAAAGTGGTATCCCCGGGGATACCCCATAAAGGAGATAAAATAGGGCATATCAGAGTATTAGGAGGAAAACCTAGAGAAGGGAGTTTCTTGAAATTTGAGGCAAAAAGATTTTCCAGAGGAATGAAAGGTCAACAGTGCAAATATCCCAGACAGCTCAAGTAAATTAGAGATGCAAACAGTAACTCTTAGAGGGGAGCATCTTTTTTCCAGTCTTCTAGTTTCTGTGAGGGGCTATTGCCCCCACATGCTCTGCATCTACTTCCTCATCTCTTTCTTGGGTCTTAGGTAATTGCTATTGGTCTATTTTTTCTTGATTGGAGCTTACTAGTCACAAACATGATCACTGGAACAGGGTGATAGTTGCACTCTTTCTCCTTCCCCTTCTACTTACAATAGTGAGACAGAAACCTGGGTTAAGTGTATTTGCAGTCTTGGATCCAAGAGCGTAGGGAGTTAATAAGCTCATTTGGCTCTCACATCTAAGCCACATTTCTTCAGTGTTGGTGATATGTTTTGGATGTTTTGTCTCTACAAATCTCATGTTGAAATGTGAGCTCTAGTGTTGGAGGTAGGCCTAGTGGTAGGTGTTTGGATCATGGAGGTGGATCCCTCATGATTGTCTTGGTTGCCATCCCCATGGTAATGACTGAGTTCCTGCTCTGGTAGTTCACATAAAAGCTGGTTGTTTAAAGGAGTCTGGCACCTCCTTCTCTCTCCCTTGCTTCCTTTCTCATCATGTGACATGTTGGCTTCCCTTCACCTTCCACCATGATTGTAAGATTCCCAAGGACTTCAGCAGAAGCAGATGCCGGCACTATGCTTCTTGTACAGCCTGCAGAACCGTGAGCCAAATAAACCCCTTTCCTTTATAAAGTTCCCAGCCTCAGATATTCTTTTATAGCCATGCAAACAGACTAACGGAGAAAGCTTCATTTTTTTTCTTTCTCTTTTGATGCAGAAATCAGGGAATGAGTGTGCTATTCATAGCGCCTCACCAAACCCTTCGACAATAAGCAGTAAACTTGGCAAATATGACTTCTTGTTGTTTTTTTATGGCCAGATTTCAGAGTGCTGTAGAATAAGTGAAAGAAGAGGAAATAGAAGCTGTAATAAATACACCCTTTTAGGAAAGGTGAATATGAGGAAGAAGAGGCTTGCTAGGGGAGATGTAATATCGTGAGAGACCATTTATTTTTAAGATCAAAGTTCACATGTTTGATTGTAGCATTTGTTACAGATGTTTGATTGGGAAAGAAGCAAGTGTGAAGATTTAGGAGAAAAGAGGTAATAGAGTAGAATTAAAGTCTCTGAGAGTTTGGGGAAAATTATAACACAGCCTGGGAATGGGCCATGGTTTGAGAGAGTAACAACACTTTCTTTCAGATAGAAGGGGCTAATAATGGATAAGTTTTGTAGAGATTGGTTATCTGTGGTCTTTTGGGGAGTTGATGGAGGAGAGAAAGTGGGTAACTGGGTATTGAGGTAGTTCATACATTGTTATGAATCTCTGTCATAGCATTACAGAATATGAAACTGTAGCATTGAAAAAGACTGAAAGTTGTTGAAGATTGGGATATTGGTCCCAATTCTTCAGTTCCCTGTGACAGTATATTGATACCATTTGCTGTGTAATATTACAGTGGTTTTCCTTTGGGGGTAGAACAGAGATCTCATTGAAAATGGGCTTTGCCATGTGACTTGCTTTGGACAATGAGATGTTAGTAGATATGACGTGAGCAGGGGCCTTATATGTGCTTGTGTTTCGCTTCATCACCATGAGTAGAGCATTCTATGAATAGCCACCACTCCTTCATCCTGGACTGCAGAATGAACATACACAAAGCAGAACTGATCTCAACTCAAAGGTGTGGATCCCAGTGAATACCCTTTAAAGAGATGTACCAAGACAAATATGGGCAGATATGGAGGGCAGAGGTGGAGGCCATTTTCAGCTGGCAAGCAAGTTCATGAAGATTTAAAAGCCATTGAATTGACCGGGCTCAGTGCTCCTCTGTCTAGTCACCAGATCCATAAATGTTAAAAGGCAGTGGTGGTCGTGACAGCAATCATAACTTTCTGATCTCTGCATTGTAGTTATGGTGGAAGTTCTTCAAATTGGCTAAGTGGCAGCTTGTGGACTTGTTGCACATTATTCTTTCTTCTACCATTTCTGTCTACACTGAATTTTCAGTATTAAATCTTTTTCTACTTTAAATGTCTACAGTGATTTCTGTTTCCTACTTTGAACCCTGACTGACTCACAGTCTAAACTTTCCTCCTTCCATTTATTTTTGGTGTATGCAGGTTTCAGTGCTACTCATATTGTGGTCTCTGGTCGGCCATCTGTTTGCGACCAGTTTGCATCAGGATGTAAATTAGTTTAGCCATTAAGCATGCTTTTCAGTTCATCTGATGTATGTATGTATGTATGTATGTATGTATGTATGTATGTGTTTATTTATTTTGGTAGCAAGACTTGCTCATAGAAGGAAGTAGTGTGTTCATTTACATTCCAGCACAGGTTCCAGATCTTATTGTGAATGGGTACTTTGAGCATCACTGGCTTACTCAAAGGCCACACACAGACCACATATTCTGTATTTTCTTCCTCTAGACATTAAAATGGCTTCTTCTTATTTCATTTTTATGGATATTTCAATTTTACCCCAGGGAGCATATGTGTCCTGGCATTGGATTATCTCTCTGTAATGGAAAGAATTTTTGAAAATTACGTGACTTTTTGGAAGTCATCTATGCTTCTTATTTTAAAATAATTTTTTAAGTAATTTCTTCTTTCATTAACAAAGAAATGCATACCCATGATAAAAGTTCCAGCACTTTCACTAAAGTTTAAGCACAGAATAATGTAATATAAAAAGAAACAAATTATCTACCTCCCCCATTCCTTAATCAACTTCTCTGAAGTAACAATTAACAGTATTTTTATATAAAAAGCTGTTTGTTTCAGCGGAAATAGCCTTCACCAACCTTAGTTAAGCTTCACAACTACAGTTGTGCCTTTACTTTCCTCACCCAATGTAGACAATGTGAATTTTTTTAATTGCATATCATTGAGATTTTATCACAATGACCTTTATATGAACCAAAGCACCAGATAGACTCGGTCTCTATGCTATTGCCTCAGGATGGGGATTTAATTTTAACATCAGTTTTTGATCATATTAGAGATACCTATCTCAACAAGGCAAATAACATTTGTTTTGTTCAAATGTTCAAACTATTCCCATTATGGGTAAGATATTGGAATTAGGGACCTAAATATTCAAACTTCTGTTTAAAATTTTGTCATGGTTAGACTTGAAACATAAATTATTTTAGCTGCTTTTTTCCTTCTGTTCTAAACAATAACAAAGTTTATTTCAATGCAAAAAAAGACAATACAATTCTGATGATTTCCCTTAATAACTTAAAAAATTGTTTTATTTTCAAAAAATATACATACTATTTCTTTTTGTTGGTTTTCTCAATTGAGAAGATACATTTTGATCTTCAGTTGTGTATTTTAAGTTAATAGTCTTGGTTTGGGTGATCCCAGCGGAACATAAACTTTAAATCTGTAGTCATAATCACGGGGACTATCAAAGCCATAATGCGCAATATTACTTTCATAGGTTTGGGAAAAATGGACTGTATTTTCTGAGTTCACCACTTGTCAGCACAGAATGCTTTAAAACAACATAAAGCAAAATGTTGCCAAGCATTTCAATCAAAAAGAACCTAAAGAAATCCAGGGGAAAATATCTACTTACGTAAAATACAATGTGGAATGCCTACCCTTTGAGAGTTCTTAAAGATTCCAACCTTCATAATTCATGTGATATTGAACGCTGATGTGTACTACATAAGTTGATTTAACTGATTTCCTTGTTCATTCAAAATACAATCTTGTAGAATTCTCTTTTGGCCCTTGGAAATGCTGTGCTGAAGAGACTTCAAGGCTTTAATGGAAATGCCATTTCCTGTAATAAAGGTTGGATTTTAGATCTAGCTATCTTACTCACTGAGTACATGATATTGGGCAGGTTATTTTACTTTTAAGTGCTTCAGTTTTCTTCTCTGTGGAATGTTGGGTTGAAATGCCCATCACAAAGGGCTATTATAAAAGTGAGATTTAATTAAGGTATTAAGCAAAATGTATGATGCCTGTTCCGTAGCAGTTGCTTAGTAAGTGTTAATTCTCCTCACCTTCCTCCTCTGTCTTTGGCCTTGGAGACAGCTGAGATGCTAAAGAGAGAAGTCCTGTTTTATTAATATGTATGTACTGCATAGTGAGGACAAATATCTCAGAGGTGAAGAGGCCTAGGGTTACAAAAACTGTGTTTGTATTTTAACAATTAGTGATGATGAACATATTCTTTCAGTCCTCTTGGTGTATGTATGTAACATCTCATTTGGAGAAAACACTGGAAGTCCAAATTTGAGTGAGAATCCTGACCTAATTGACACTCTTGCACTCTCCATGATAGGCCCTGATCACAGGGTCCTTTGTTAAATTTCAAAAGTTGAGTTTTAAAAAAATACCTTCATTGTGGCATAGTTTATTTCACAGAAGTCGCCCAGTTTAAATAAATGATTCAATTATTTTTAGTATATTTGTAAAACCGTCATCAAAATCGGTGTTAGAACATTTCTACCACTCCCAAACTATCCCTTGTACCTATTTGCAGTCAGTACCTGTTCTCATATCCAGCCCCAGGATAATACTAATCTATTTTCTATCTTTTTAGATTTACCTTTTTCAGCGGTTGATTTTTCTGGAGGTTTTATTCACTTGGATTCATATTGATTGGAAGAATGCATGAGACCAGATTTGTTAGTAGTACTGACACAGTGGTTGCTGTTGGCTTCCTGGTGATGAAAATGAGCTTCTTTGCAGCTGCTCTGAGAGCTCCCAGTCTTATTGATGAGAAATAGTACCAGAAAGCAACTAGCTGGGGACCTGTACCATTAGGGTCCAGGCAGGAAACAGAAACCACTGCAATCATTTTAACAGAAAGAATTTAATATAAACAATTGCAAAGGGTATCGAAGAATTGAAAGATAAACAGAACTAAAGTATTAGAGAAGGGAGCAACAGTAGGAATTAACTACCAGCTCCTGGGTTGGGAAACAAAGGTAAATAATGGAATTATCACAATTTAGAAGTTTGGAGGAGGGTATCTCTGGGGTTGGGACCCATGAATTTGAGGGGGTGGGGACAGACAATTGGTCCAGATATTTCTTAGTGAATGTGATGGGACTGGTCTGCATGTGTTAAAAAAAACTGCAAGTTAGATTGAATTGAATTCAAATTCTGCTGATAGAACAATTGCTTCTGAAGTCGTTGTTAAGATGATGCTGATAGCAACAGAAAACCGAAAGGAAACAGACCTCAATGAACATCTTTCTTTTCCTCTGGCAGAATTTAATGGGGAGGAGAGGGCAAAGCAGAAAGGTGGTCCACAGAACCTGAGATTGATCATAATCTTGAAAGACACAGTCCTACAGGCTCTGTTCCCAAATATTGAAATCCCAAAGAGCAAAATCTCTAAAGTCTAAAATTCCTGGTGTCTAAAATCCCAATAATCACAGTCACAAGATGGTTGCATCATGTTAGGCAGAGCTATTACCTTGTTATCGTCCTAACACAGAGGAAAATGGATTTCACTTGGATCCCCTAACCCTAATGACAGATTTGGAGCCAGGAATGACCAAGGCTTCTAAAAGAGAATGTCAAGGTATTACCAGTAAAGTTTGTTTTTTCCTTTCAGCCCAATGCATTTGGCAGAAAATTCAGATGTGTTGATTGGCCATGTTCTATAGCAACGACAAAAACTTCAGTTAAAAAATGCATCATTTGCCTGCACTGACATTCCTTCCAGCAGATGACATTTCAGGAGCTTTTAATGAATTAAAGCCATATTTGCTGAAGAAGTCAGCAAAGCCACTGACTGGTTCAAAAATAATTATATGCGTGGTAGGATAAGAAGACACTTACGCAATGATGTTACTGTTCAATCATTGTATTATTTCTGCCAAATTTATGGTCTATGTATAAATGCATGTAGAATGGATTTCTACATACCCAAAACAACATGGAAGCATGGCACTGAAGGTAGGAAGATTTAATAGGGAATGCTTGTTTTGGTGTATGTGGAATCACAGAAGAATTTCGAAAAGAGCAGTACCATGTAGAAAACGAATATTCTCTGAGGAAGGCCAAATCCTAAAAAAAAGGCAGCTATTCGTTGTGATGCAAGACCTCAAAGCATATTTAATGATCATGAAATTTGGCCAGCTCTTAATGAACTATCTCCATGCAATTGCCCTTAATCTTTCCCTGTAATACACTATTTCATATGTCAGATTTTCTTTTTAGTTTTTCCTTTTCTTTTTCTCCCTATTTTAAACTGTCAAAACGATCTCCTAAAATTTGCTATGCTACATCTTTTAACTTGCATTATTTCCAATACCGGAAATATAAATTATGTAAGGACTTTTAGAGAGTTCTAATTTGTTTTATGCAGTTTTTTTTTTTGCAAATTTGACTTCATGAAAGTGCTTTATCACAATGTGACTTTGTAAGCTTTGTGCATGTATGTAAAAATGTTGGAACATCCTCAATAAATGAAGATATGTCCATACGACTGCATTTGTGTAAGATATAATTTCTCAAAATCTTAGTTCTTCAGACAACTGCATATATGGCGGTGATTCATCACAGTTTTTCCTCCATCTGATCAAAAGACTTCGGTTGTTAGTCTTGGGTTGGGTATTTCAGATGATGGCAGCTATAAAGCTAGGTGCACACATTACCAACCATAGTGATATGCATTTATACATTTCAATTTTTGACCCATTTCTTTATGAATACAGTTCATCGCTTATAACTGTCATACCCATGTGACTGTCATTGGTATACCTGAGTGTTTATGCTTGCAAAAATATGTACGTTGTTATTGACTATTTTATTGTGCAAAGTGATCTATGAAGTGTTTTGTCATGTTTTTACATGCTTTTGAATAAATCCCTTTAAAACACAAATAAATATCTTTTAAATAATTTTAAAATTATTTTTTCCAGAATTATAATTTTGAATTTTTGATCTTTCAGGCTTTTGACATTTGAGATTACGGTGTTTGGTAATTGTGTCCTTCAGGATTATGATCAGCTCCTAAAATCCACCATTCAGCCCACTACGATGTTCTATAGAGCTGATTCTTTAACCCGTGAACTTCTGGTTGCAGTTTCCCATTAGTACCTTGATATAAATCATATATCACAGAATTAATAAAAAATAAAAACTGCATTTATATTTTTGAAATATTTTAACTAAATATGCATAATTAGGAATGTCATGGGCCAAAGTTGGCTGAGTTAATAATTCTTGAACAAGGTAAATGAGTTTGCATTTGAGTCAATGTTGAGATTATACAACTATTATTCTGAATAAATGGTTATAAAAATGACAGAGAGTAGCAATTATACAAATTATCTTTTCTTCCTGGAAAATGGAGTTTGTATCTGTAACAAATCCATTTTTTAAAAAAAATTTGTTCAGATTCCTTTCCTTTCTATTTACTCATTCTTCTGTCTCTATTCACCATTTATATCATATTGCAAAACAATTATAGTAATTATCAATGTATTACAGGCATTGTGCTAAGCATTAACAAATGAATGAGACAGATACTTTAATCCTTATTTTACAATTGAGGAAATCAAGAGTTAGGAACTATAAATAATATTCATTGAGTGACATACTTTGTAAAAGACAAAGTCGATTCTCAAATTCAGGTCTGTCTGATTTCAAAGCCTGTGTTCTGTATCACTACTCCATACTAATTTTAATTTTAAATTAAAATTTAATTTTATTATTATTGTTTTTTAGAGACAAGGTCTGGCTCTGTTGCCCAGGCTGGAATGCAGTGGTGCAATTATAGCTCACCAGCAATCTTGAACTCCTGGACTCAAGTGATCTGCCCGCCTCATCCTCCCTAGTAGCTGGGACTACAGCTGAATGCCACCATACCAAGGTAATTAGAATTTTTTTTTTTTTTTTTTTTTTTTTTGTAGAAACAGGATCTCACTGGTCTGAAACTCCTGGTCTCAAGTAATCCTCCTGCCACTGCCTACCGAAGCACTGGGATTACAGGTGTGAGCCATAGTGCCCACCCCATACTATTTTTATGTTTATAGTCTACGTCTTGTTTATGAAGTCCCAAACATTGGTATACTTCAGTAGTTCAATGTCTCAGTTTTCCACAGATGCAGGCATTGAGAATTAGAATATATAGTTTTTTCCTGTTTAAAATTCATACTTTGCTTTATAGATTTCTTCTTTAGTCTTTCATTCAAAAATGCCAACTTGGAATCATATTTTTTTCATCTGAGTTCAAAATTTCGTTGATACTCCAGGTTTCCACAAGCTCCTCATTGAGCTATCCTTAATAATCCAAGGGAACAATACACATTTGCTACCTCTTTATTAATACCTACCTATTCAAAGGCATTGTATTGATGAGTTTGGGTGCTATATGCCTGCATATGGTGAGGGAGACATTGTTCCTCTTTAACATAGTATCTTTTCTGAGGGTAGATAAAACGGATTATCTATCTCTAGGCTGTTTGGAAAGTTCTTTTTTTTTTTTCCTAAACTCTGAGTAAATTGAAACTAAGATTTTCCACAATTACTTTTCCTGACATGTTTTTCATATGAAAACTTCATTTATAATGCATCTTACTGGAAGGATGGACAATATAAAGACCAACACTGTTCCACCAATGTTTTAAATCGTCCTAATGCCTAGCAGCGTGATCAATAAATATTTGTTGAGTAAACGTGTACATGAATAAATTATTTTCTTTTCTGTCAATTTGAAAAAAAAATTCACTTAATCTAGCAATACCTTACCTATCTGTTGTCTTGCTGGGAATATTGAAACTCAAAAATCTAAAACTGAAGTTACTGTATGTGTTTGTTTAGTGGGTGTGGCAAGTGGTCTAGGTTTGCTTTATTTTCACTTTGTCCATTTTGCAACTTTGTCATTTGTTTGAAAAGCCAGTGCCAAACATTTCAACTGAAAATGATTGGAAAGTACAACTCAACAATAAAAAGGCAAATGACCAAATTAATAAAAAATGGGCAATAGATTTGAGTAAACATTTCTCCAAAGAAGGTATACTAAGTACATGAAAAGTTGATCAGCATCATTTGTCATTGGAGAAATGTAAATCAAACTGCAGTGAGTTCCCCCTCATACCTGCTAGGATGGCTATAATATAAAAAATGGAATATAAGTGTTGGTGAGGATGTTGAGAACTTTGAAACCCTTGTATGTTGCTGGTGTGAATGTGAAATGGTGTAGCAGCTGCAGAAAATAGTTTGGCAGTTCCTCAAAAATTAAAAATAGAATTGTCATACGATCTAGCAATTCCACTTCTAGATATATACAAGATAACTGAAGACAGGTGTCCAAACAAAAACACCTACATGAGTGTTCATAATAGCATTATTAGTAACATCCAAAAGCAACCCAAATGTCCAGCAACTGATAAATAAAGACACGATGGTATATCCATACAATAGAATATGACTCAGTCATAAAAGGTACTTCTATATGGATGGACCTTGGAAACATGCTAAGTGAAAGAAGCTAGACATATAAAGCCACACCTTGATCAAGCTCATTTACATGAAATATCCAGAGTGGGCAAATCTATAGAGGTAAAAAGCAGATTAGTGGTTTCTGGGGCCTGAGAGGGAGGGAGGAAACAGGGAATGGTTGCTTAATGGGCACAGGGTTTTTTTTGTGGGGTTACAAAAATGTTTCGGAATTAGATAGTGGTGATGTTTGCATCACATAGTAAATGCACTAAATGTCACTGAATTGTACACTTTAAAAATAAATTTTACTCTGCATTTTTCAAGTATACAACATGATGGTAAGGGATACATGTAGATAGTAAAATGCTTACTATAGTGAAGCAAATTAACATATCCACCATGTCACATAATTACCCATTTGTTTTTTGTGTTGCAGGAACAAATAAAATTTACTCATTTAGCAAAACTCCAGAATACAATATGTTTTATTAACTATAGTCCTTGTGTTGTACATTAGATCTTTAGACTTGTTCATCTTACATATTTGTTACTTTGTGTGCTCTCACCCGCATGTTCATATTTCCTCCTCCTACCCCATTAACTAGAGTTTTATTTTCTCTCTCTGTGTGTTTGACTTTTTAAAACATTTTCTAAATTCACTAAACACTTTAGTGAATTTCATGTAAGTGTGTGAGTTTTATATGAGTGAGGATAAACTTAATTTAAAAAGATGAGTGAACAGAAACTCATTCAGCAAAAAGGGGTATTTATGACAAAGAAAAGGGGGTAACATGAGGAATGGAAGAGCAAACAAGGGACTTAATAATAGACCGATTAATAGTCGAACAGGGAGTAAAACTACATTTCTTCAGCTGTTCTGCTTTTCTAAGATCTTCAAATAAGACTTTTATTAAAAATGAAAACCCATTTGGAAAAAAAGGAGAAGGATTTTCTGTATATTGGAAAACATGAAATATGAAACACTATTAAAGAGAATCTGCTTTTTCTGATAATAATTAAACAAGCCCCTATATCCTGGTCATTGTGATTGGTGTCACCAGTGAGCCTTTCTTTTTTGTTAAGTGTTTTTCCCTCTTAATAATTTTATAGTCTTATTCACACAGATTCACAAGTAAGAATTAAAGTGATACTGATTTAAATGTGCAGCTTGAAGATGTAGAACATATTCCAATCTAATTTACCTGTCCAGAGGAGACCAAGGTGTAGTCAGAGAAGGACATGATTAAAGTAGTATTAAACATTTCCATTTTCTGAGTTTCCTTTCAAATCCTATTGCTTCATATTTCTGTTTACTCCTGAGTGAATATGGGAATGCCAAAGTCTAAATCAAAACTCCTCTTCCCCATCTGATGTTTCTAGTGACTATGGTGAATAGTCTAGGAAGAGGATTTGTGTCTTCCTGAATGCTTTCTCTGGGATTGGATGGCCCTTGGTATAAAGTGGCAAGAGCTAAGTGATTGTCTGAAATTGGATGATGTTGGAAACCAAGGCTGGTGGCCTAATAGTCATGAGCCTGCCTAATCCTTAGTGCCTGGAAAGGTCAGACTGGGGCTAACACGCAGCTGGTATGCTCCAGGACAGCTGTATAAATTGTTAAAATACTGCTTGGTGGTAAATATCTGATGACTTGAGGTTTTTCACTGTTCTGCCACCCTGCTTATAATCTGGAAACCAAAGAGTTAATGCATGGTTTAGCAGGGAGCTTCTAGGTCCCTGAGCTAGTGCCCTGGCCAGTGCTGTTTCTGATGGGCAGCTGCCTGTGCAATACCATTTGCTAAGTATATTGAATATCATCTCTGAATGGGACCCACTAGGATTGAATTTTTAAGACCCTGGTGTTCCCTCCTAACCCTCTCAGTTGATATATTCCCAAATTAGGAAATACATTGTTCCTCGCATCCCATTCCACACACCCTGGTCTTTAGGGTATCAAGTTTTGATCTTTAATCTGAGTAGAGAGTTTTGTTAATCTCTTATGGTTTTACAATCTTTACAGCAGGGAAAAAAAAGCAATGTGATTGTTTCATGCTAAGCTGCCTAGGAATTCTGTTTTCCCCTTAGAACTAGGCTGAGGAAGAGGAGGGGTTTGAGAAACTTTAAAATCTTTACCCTCCTATCCCAGTCACCAGGCAAAGATTCAAAGACAGTGTCTCTGATCAGCTTTTTAAATAAAGTCCTTTCACTTCTCTTTGATTCATGACTTCACATTTCAAATAGCCCTCAGACATTAATGAAAACTTTCACACTCAAGGTATGGCCTCAATGGTGTTTCTTTGTAGTGGTTTTATTTTCTAGGAAACAGTTAATTTAATGCCATTAGCTAAAATCCTGCATTGAAAAATGAATGAACAAACATAGAATAGTTGGAATCTGTTATCATGATTTTTTTCCTAGTTCAATTTTTTTAAATTTTTGGTTCTTTACCAGTCAAAAGTAAATATGGTATTCAAGGACTCCCATGTATTGTGGGGTGGAAGTATTAGGTTGGTACAAAAGTAATTGTGGTTTTTGCTATTACTTTCAATGGCAAAGCCTGCAATAACTTTTGCACCAGCCTAAACTTTCCCCCACACCTCGCCTCCTTGAATTAGTGAATAAACATCTGGCACTGTGGGCAGGAGCTAAAGGAAGGTTGAGTCATTTGGAGGAGGCAGGTGTTGGGTGGTGGATGGTCGAAGGCTGATGGAATCATAGAATGGTTTATTTACAGCCTCCATCCAATTGAAAGATCTCTAGGTTGCTGGGAAACAAAATCATGGAGATGGCCAACTCCCTGAGATCAAGCAGTCTTTGCTCAGAATTCTTTTTTCAAATGGAGCAAAGGAGAAAAACATCTAGTTCTTTCTTTCTGCTTTTTCTTAGCTGAGGGGTATGCTAGTTCTTAAGAATTTCAAGAGAATTTGTTGATTCTTCTAAAATATTGAACAAAAGAGAAATGGCATTAATGCCTAGTAGTTTCTATCTTTTCTTCCTACATTCTAGAGAAGATTTTAATTGATATGCAAATTAATCTCTTATCCTTATTTTCCTTAATGAAAGATTATAGACTTTAAAGTGCAAACATTGCTTTCCAGCTAATAGACTAAATTTCCTAGCCTCACTTTGTAGTTAAGTGTGACCATATGACTGAATTTTGACTGATTAGTGTAATTGAAAGTATTGTGTAAGGCATCAAATAAAGGTGATCTTCCCTTCTTGGCCTTTATTTCTACTTTTCTTCCTCTGCCTGGAGTAAAGGCATGGTAGCTGGAACTCTCATAGCTATTTCAGATCTTGAGGGTAAGGACCAGACATAGGGATAGCAGAGGAGAGTGTTGAAGTGATCCCTGATCACTTTGTGGAACTGCAGTACCAGCCTCAGCATTACCTAGTTTCAGACTTTTAAATGTGAATGAGATAATAAAATTCTATCTAATTTAAGACACTTGTATTTTGGACTTTTCAGTCACTCAGAGCCAAATCAATTTCACATCTACCTTGAGGATCTAGGCTTTTGTTTCATTGTTCTGTTTCACTGTAGCATTATATCCTTTTAAGTTTAATAAATATTTATTGACTATCTGCTATTTATCAGGCATTGTACTAGGCACTATATATTTGATGATTAGCAAAACAAACATAGTCTCTACCATCTGAAGCTTATAGTCTAGTGAAAGAAATGATAATAATGTGTGAGAAATGATTTTTTTTGTTTGTTTGAGATGGAGTCTCTCTCTGTCACCCAGGCTGGAGTGCAGTGGTGCGATCTTGGCTCACTGCAACCTCTGCCTCCTGGGTTCAAGAGATTCTCCTGCCTCAGCCTCTTGAGTAGCTGGGATTACAGGCACCCGCCACCATGCCCAGATAATTTTTGTATTTTTAGTATACATGGGGTTTCACCATGTTGGCCAGGCTGGTCTTGAACTCCTGACTTCAAGTGATCCACCCACCTTGGCCTCCCAAAGTGCTGGGATTACAGGCATGAGCTGCTATGCCCGGCCAATTTTTTGTCTCCTATTTTTACTACCTTTTTCCCTCTTTTGATTACATTGAGTTATGACCTCTACATATGCTTTAATTCTTGTCTTCAAGTCAGAGTAGGGGGCTATTAAACTTCATTATTTCCTGGGAAATAATGAAGCCATTGGCACATATGAGTTTCAAAATAAGAGCTCTTTGGCTACTTCCCTTTCCAGGTAAGATTTTTAAAAATCCTATATGAAATGCCAATTTTAGCAGTCAGTATGGCTACAGTTTGAGGACCGTCTACCTAGCATAGTGAGGGGCTTGTGGGTGTGTGTGTGTGTGCACATGTGGGCATGTGTATGTTTGTGTGTGTGTGCATATACACGCCTGAGTTCTGGTTTCTTTGCTCCTTTTGTTTATTTAACAGATGCTAGGATTTGTTTTTGTCTTCACCTTGACTCTTTCAATAATCCATATTTGTTCTTTAATTGCTTTTTTATGGCTCTCAGCCATTTTATGGCTTTCCTAATTAGGTATTTTCTAACTCACAGGTTGTCAGAATGATGGCCTAAGACTACTCTCTCAAGATATCTGTCAGAACCATAGCAGAAGCTATGGGTCCTGTCCTCTTAATTGACTCTATTGGCAGCGTCAGTCTTCAGGGCCATGGAAGATTCACAAAAGATAGCTTTGCCTAACACATTGATTGTTCCCTTGTTCTCTCTCATTGATGCTGTAATTTTGAATGGGTATAGGTGCCTTGCCCATAACTCTCTATGCCTTTGGTTGACTTACTCCCTCACTGATCTGTCCTTTGATCTTAGTCTTTTTTCATCCATCCCCTCCTCCACTGTATTGTATTCCCTTCTATTCTGCTGCTGCCACCTCTGATTGTAATGACTTTTTCACTGGGCTGGATAGCAGCTAAGGCATCAAAAGCATGGTTTCCTTTTTCCAAAATCTCTGGTCTGTCTGCCCCGCCCGCACCGCCCCCCCCCCCCCACCCCCGGCCTAAGATAATCTTTGTGTGGCATCTTTTATTTATCTAAATAAGATTTTTGGTCATTGTGCTTTTACTTTTAGACCCATGACTTTGGTAATTCATTTATCACACTAAAGATCATTTCAGAGCCTTCTTATGGCTCAATGAGTAAAATCCTAAGAATGTTTCTTTTCCAAATAGCAAATTGCTGGAAGTGAGAAGCATTATTTTGTCCATGAGAGCAACCTAAGAGAGAGCAGTTGGAGTTTATGTTAAAGACAGCAAATGGTTTATTGACTTCAAAAAGTTTAGCCCCTGCTGAAACAGTCTGAAGGAACCAGCAGCACTGGGCCCATTAAATTCAAGAAACAATAAATTTCCGTTATTGGCACAAACATTAAGTCTCTTGAAATGTAGAGCCACAGTGATAATATTGCTAAGTTTGGGTTTGTCATGACAAGATATTGAGAAATCTATGAAATTTATGACATGTTAGGGAAATGTGATATGCCATTTAATTGATGAACAATCCATCCTCTTTGACTCATGTTATGAAAACTGCTAGCAAATAAAAAGAGGACAAAGTTCAGGACAGATGGGTGGAAGCTTCAGAGGCAAACACTGATTAGGTTATAGCAATCCTTTCAAAATATCAATCTCTTTCCTTAGAGTGGTGGGACGTGTCTGTTCTTGCATTCTCAAGTTTGTGGAAGCAGTTTTAGATGTGCAGAAGGTTTGGCCATCCAAAATAGAAAATCTAGGGCTGCCTTTATTTAAGCAGTTCTTTATGTTCACACACTTCAAGTCTCTCAGTCCTTATAAGAGCATAAGTAAACAGAAGAGAAGCAGTGGTTTAAAAATAGGTTTTTGAGTCAAATTTACCTAGTCAATGGTGGCACGGGTTTGCGATTCTGAGTTTTTGTTCTAGTTATGTATACCATACTTTCTCTTTCATTATAGTGGTAGATGTTCCACGTGGACTTTTTGTTTGTTTTCTTCCTCATATGTTATCTCTCCCATTACTGTCTCTCCTTATTATGGGTCATATATTTCTGCTTCTTTACATGCCTAATCATTTTTTATGGGATGCCAGACACAGTGAATTTTACCTTTTTGGATACTGGATATTTTCATATTCCTATATATATTATTGAACTTTGTTATGGCACATGCAGTTACTTGGAAACGGTTCAGTTTTGTGTGTGGTGGGACTAAAGCAGCTGTTATTAGTCCATTCTCACACTGCTAATAAAGACATACCTGAGACTGAGTAATTTATAAAGAAAAGGAAGTTTAATGGACTCACAGTTTGACATGGCTGAGGAGGCCTCACAATCTTGGTGGAAGGGGAAGGAGGAGCAAAGGCATGTCTTATATGGCGGCAGGCAAGAGGGCATGTGCAGGGAAACTGCCCTTTATAAAACCATCAGATCTCATGAGACTTATTCACTATCATGAGAACAGCATGGGAGAAACCTGCCCCCATGATTCAATTACCTTCCACCAGGTCCCTCCCATGACACATGGGGATTTTGGGAGCTACAATTCAAGATGATATTTGGGTGGTTACACAACTAAACAGTATCAACAGCCTTTAGACTAGGATAATTTTTCCATGCTATGGAGGCACTACCCTTCTGAATGTGCCACCCAATTCTCGAGAATGATGAGGCTTTTTCACTTGAGCAGGAACAATTGTCAGTCTTGTGTGAGCACCATAGATTGTTCCCTCTGATCCTTCCAGGTTGTTCTTTCTGTGGTCTCAGGTAGTTTCTTCACTTGCATGAAGTCAGCTGAAGACTCAAATGGGACCCTTTACAGACCTCTGGGGTTTACTCTGTGCAGTTATCTGTTTTGTGACACTCTGCCCTATGAACACTGGCTGTCTTGACCTCTCCAGACAATCAGCTCCTTCTTCTCAATTCAGGAAGAATATCCATACTGCCTGTTGCCTGATTTTCCCCTTCCTGTGCTTGCAGCCTGAAAACTCTCCAGGCAGTAAGGCATAATATTTGTAGGGCTCATCTTATTTACTTCTCCATCTCAGGAATCACTGTCTTTTGCCATTTGATTTGCAATGTCTGAAAGTGATTTTTTTTTAAGTTGTTGCAAGTGGAAGGGTAAATCCAGTTCCTTTACTCCATCTTGCCCAGAAGATGTATGACATCATATGTCTTCATGTCATTCATGTATGACAACAGGTAAGTTCCCTTAGTGGGGTCTGTATGCTAGACTGGGGTCTTGCCTCAGGGTTGTGGTATTTGAGGAGGATTAAAGAGAACTCATCCTAGTATAAACTCAGCTCTTATTCATGCAATTACACTGCCACACTAGTTTCCACTTCTTAGTCATGGTCCCATGTTGTGTTCCTGAGAAGGTTTGTTCTTTGGTTCATTCACTTATCCCTTAACTATGAGTTAAGAATATTTTATATAATAAAACTCAATTATTGGGGCAATAGCAAGAAATAAGACAGATTTGGTGACTTCCTTCTGAGAGCCTATGTTCTAGCTGGGGACTGCAGCAGATAATGATCCACATGGTTAATTGTAATAGTTGCTATGAAGAGAAAGCACAGGATGCTACTACAAGAGTACACAGTGGAAGCCTAACCTCATCTGAAGAGTCAGAAAGGTTTCCCTATGGAGGTGACATATGCATTGGGACATGCAAAAAGCTGATTATAAGATAGGGCTGTTTTTCTCAAAAGGGGCTGCACTATTCAAAATTTTTATTGAGGATTGAGCATTGTTTGTGAGACATACACTCTAGTGTTTGATAATGAAAATATTTTTTGATTTATTATCTAAGATCTCAATTGCAGAGAAAGACAGTAAAATGGAAAATGTTTATCAAAACTTTTCTAAATCATTAGATATAAATTAGAAGTTAGTGGTTAAAATGTTAATATCCTAGTGAATTTTTTTTGAATTGTGGGACTCTGGATGATTCTTATTTTTTAAATTTTTGTTTTCTCTAATTTTTTACATGAATCTGCATTGTTTTTATAATTAGAAAAAATAAAAGAAAGGGAGGGAGGAGCAAAAGGAAAAATAAGAAGTATAATATAGCTGCTATTCTTTAATTGGTGCATCAGTGAACTGATCTGTTAAGTACCACATTGTGACATTATGTGTCATGTGGCACAATATCAGTGTTGCTTCCAAAGATACATTCTTAAGCATCAAATTGCCCATTTTATGAAGCATTTAGAAAACAAGTTCAAAAGAGGATGGTGACTTCAGTTTCTGTAAAGTGTGAAGCTTGTCCTTACAACTGATCTTGAAGGGCGTGAGCAGGTGTCTGAGAGGCTGGTAGTGAGCTTGTGCTTGAATGCTATCTCTTCACACTTGTGTGGTTGCTTGGCACACGGAAATCATGGCAGCTCTGGTCCTGGGGAAATTGTGTAGCAATGTCAAGGGATGGGAAATGGGAACATCTCTGTGTTTACTGCTATTTTTGAGCACAAGTCTTTTCATAGTCAGAAACACGACTTTTCTAAAATTGGTGCTTTTAAACTACATGTACTTTTTTTAGAACTCTGCATGCAGACCTCTTGGGGGTCCAGCTAGAGAAATAGGGGACAAATTTGAACTTGTGAATTATTTATTTATTGTTTGAGAAGACACTGATGGGTTTTTTTGGGGATCATTTTAACTTAGTTTATTTATTTTTTTATTTTTTCATTTTACTTTAAGTTCTGGGGTACATACGCAGAACCTACAGTTTTGTTACATAGGTATACATGTGACATGGTGGTTTGCTGCACCCATCAACCCATCACCTACATTAAGTATTTCTCTTAATGCTATCCCTTCCCTAACCTCCCACCCCCCGACAGGCCCCGGTGTGTGATGTTCCCCTCCCTGTGTCCATGTTTTCTCATTGTTCAACTCCCACTTATGAGTGAGAACAAGTGGTGTTTGGTTTTCTGTTCTTGTGATAGTTTGCTGAGAATGATGGTTTCCAGCTTCATCCATGTCCCTTCAAAGGACGTGAGCTCATCCTTTTTTATGGCTGCATAGTATTCCATGGTGTGTATGTGCCACATTTTCTTTATCCAGTCTATCATTGATGGACAGTTGGGTTGGTTCCAAGTCTTTGCTATTGTGAATAGTGCCACAGTGAACATACGTGTGCGTATGTCTTTATAGTAGAATGATTTATAATCCTTTGGATATATACCCAGTAGTGGGATTGCTGGGTCAAATGGTATTTCTAGTTCTAGATCCTTGAGGAATTGCCACACTGTCTTCCACAATGGTTGAACTAATTTACACTCCCACCAACAGTGTAAAAGTGTTCCTATTTCTCCACATCCTCTCCAGCATCTGTTGTTTCCTGACTTTTAAATATTGCCATTCTAACTGGCATGAGATGGTATCTCATTGTGGTTTTGATTTGCATTTCTCTAATGACCAGTGATGATTAGCATCTTTTCATATGTTTGTTGGCTGCGTAAACGTCTTCTTTTTAGAAGTGTCTGTTCATATCCTTTGCTCACTTTTTGATGGGGTTGTTTTTTTCTTTTAAATGTGTTTAAGTTCTTTGTAGATTCTGTATGTTAGCCCTTTGTCAGATGGATAGATTGCAAAAATTTTATCCTATTCTGTCAGTTGCCTGTTCACTCTGATGACAGTTTCTTTTGCTGTGCAGAAGCTCTTTAGTTTAATTTGGTCCCATTTGTCAATTTGGCTTTTGTTGCCATTGCTTTTGGTGTTTTAGACATGAAGTCTTTGCTCATGCCTATGTCCTGAATGGTATTGCCCAGGTTGTTCCTAGGATTTTTATGGTTTTAGATCTTACTTTTTTTTTTCTTTTTTTTTTGAGATGGAGTCTCGCTCTGTCACCCAGGCTGGAGTGCAGTGGCACTATCTCCCAGGCTAGAGTGCTGTGGTGCGATCTTGGCTCACTGCAACCTCCATCTCCCAGGTTCAAGCAATTCTCCTGCCTCAGCCCCCCAAGTAGCTGGGATTACCAGCATGCACCACTATGCCCAGCTAATTTTTGTATTTTTCATAGAAACAGGGTTTCACCATGTAGGTCAGGCTGGTCTCGAACTCCTGACCTCGTGATCTGCCTGCCTCTGCCTCCCAAAGTGCTGGGATTACAGGCATGAGCCACAGCACCCAGCCTTAACTTAGTTTTTAAAAACAGCTTTATTGAGGTATAATTGATATAAGAAGTGTACATATTTAATGTATGTAATTTGATGAGCTTGTAAGTACACATACACCTGTGAAATCTTTATTGCAAGTTTATAACAAACACATCCATCACCTCCAAAAGTTTCTTTATGCCCCCTTCCTTTTTTGTGGTAAGAACACTTAGCATGAGATTTATCCTCTTAACATTGTTTTGAAGTGTACAATACAGTATTGTTAACTATAGGCACGATGTTGTACAGCAGATCTCTAGAACTCATTCACTTTGCATAACTGAAACTTCATACCCATTGAACAAGCCCCTATTTCCTCCTCCCCCCAGCCCCTGGCAGCACCATCTTACTCTCTGCATCTATGAATTTGACTATTTTAGATGCTTTATACAAGTGGGATCATGCAGTATTTGTCCTTCTGTGACTGGCTTATTATTAACACAGCATTTGTAATTCATGGACGAGAGTTGGCTGGAATTACTCAGCTCAGGAAGGGTTTTGTAAATTCATGCGTATAAGTACGTGACAGGATTTATTAGTAGTAGACTTGAATATTTTTGATTTTTGTAGATGAAATGATATCAAGGAGCATATCTTAAAGCTCAGCAGGCTGCTGGCATGGGTGAAAGATTACTCATCCCTGCCTAAAATACTTACCATCAACTTTCATAGATTTATAATGGCCTATATTTGATATCAAGAGACTATTTTTAATGAAGATTATGGTTTATAGTTTTTAAAAATAGAAGCCATAGGATGTTAAAAAATGAAGTAAAACTTACATGATAGAAAACTAACCATTTTAAATCATACAATTCAGTGGCGTTTAATGAGTTACAATGTTGTACAACCTTTACTTCTATCTACTTTTAAAACATTTTCATCACCCCAAAACGAATTCCTATATTCATTAGAACAGTTATTCCTCATTCTGTCCTTTTCACAAGACTCTGGAAACCACAAATCAATCTACTTTCTGGAACACTTGTACACTACTGATGGAAATGTAAATCAGTACAGTCATTATTGAAAACAGTATGATGGTTCCTCAAAAAATTTAAAATGAACTGCCGTATGATCCAGCAATCCCACCACTGGATATGTATTTAAAGAAAGTGAAATCAGTGTGCCAAAGAGATATCTGCATTCTCATGTTCATTGCAATATTATTCACAATAGCCAAGATATGGAATCAACATAAGTGTCTATCAGTGGATGAATAGTTAAAGACAATTTAGTATACGTACATAATGGAATATTATTCAGCCATGAAAAAGAAGGAAATCGTGTCATTTGCAGCAACATAGATGAACCTTGAGGGTATTATGTTAAGGTGAAATAAGCCAGGCACAGAAAAACAAATACCATGTTATCTCATTCATATGTGGAATCTAAAAAAGTTCATCTCATAGAAGTGAGTAGAATGATGGTTACCAGGGACTGCAGTGGTAGTGGTAGGGGGTACTGGGGCAATGTTGGTGAAAGAACACAGAATTTTGGTTAGATAGGAGGAATAAGTTCTAGATATCTGTTGTACAACGTGGCGAGTATGGAGAATAATAATATATCACATTCTTGAAAAATGCTTAGAGAGTAGATTTTAGTTGTTCTCACCACAAAAAGGATGACTTTGTGAGGTGTTGCATATGTTAATAAGCTTGATGTAGCCATTTCCAAATTATATATATTTTAAATTATCACCTTGTTCATGATCAATACATATACTTTTATGTCAATTAAAAAAGCATTTTTGAGGTTTAATCATGTTGCAGCATGTATTAGTACTTTGTTCCTTTTTATGACAGAATAATATTCTATTGTACAGTTATAACCACATTTTGTTTACCCAGTCATCCAGTCACAGTTGGATTGTTTCTACCTTTTAGAAAGTTTGAATAGTGCTACTGTGAACAATAATGTCTATGTTTTTGCTTGAAAACAATTCTTTTGAGTATACATGTAAGAGTGGAATTGCTAGGTCATATGGTAATTCTATGTTTAACTCTTTTGAGGAAGGGCCAAACTGTTTTTTATAGAGACTACTGTATTTCGTGTTCCCAACTGCAGAATCCACAGGGCTTTAAATATGCTTTGGTTAGCCAGAAGTTCCACATCTTTTTCATTGATAATAACAATTTTTACTGAAGCTTTAACCCCAGATAATAATCACTGAACACATGCATACACATGAGGAGGCAAATAGAGGTTTAAGAAAACTGTTTTGAGCTATGTTGACTTGACTGCCTGGCACCTAGAATTGAGACATGTCTTAGAAAGCATCCACTCATTCTTCTCATAGGAAAACAAGGTCACAAGAGGTGGAATGACGTGATAATAAAAAAGAAGCCACTCAACAATTTAGTTATTGTCAAATTTAAGGTTCAAACTGTGATCTTGTAATGCTGAACCTATTGTTATTTTACCTACACTATGTATTTGATTCATTTTTGGTTAAATTATCAGATGATGGCTTTTTTCTTCACTCAGAAATCTTAGAAAAGTGATGGGTATATCATCTAATCCAGACCAGCCTTATTTATCCATTTGTTTCTTCACACATTTATTCTACAAACACTTAAGGAATGCTAATATTTACCAGAGGGTGTGTTGAGAGCAAAGGATACGGTGGTAGACTAACTGCAATGAGACTGTCTTCATAGTTAACAGTGTGGTAGTGAAGATGGCCCCTTGATAAACAGGTACACAAATAATGAATTATAACTGTGCTAAATGCTATAAAGGGAGGAGGTACATGGTACTCTGAGACTTTATAAGACCTGCACTATTTCAGTGGTTGGATGTGTCAGAAAAGGCACTTAGATTTATAAAATCTAATGTGTTTTGATTTTAAGGACACCTTAAAGATTCTCTTATGCCTCAAAATTTTTCCTTCAGTTTTTCATTCATGTCAGGATTTAAAGATTTGATGTGCCAGTTTATATTTTTTCTAATGTACATTTGAATTTTAAAAGTCTGTTCAAAATTTAAAAATTCTTTTGTGGACTCCCTAAAATAACCTCATATGCCAACCGTTGATTCACCTACCACATGTGGACACTGCTGCTCTGGGCGTTGACGACTTTTCTGTTATTTCGAATTCATGAACTGGAACACTCCAAATCAGACCAGAGGTGTGTCAGCCACACAGGAGCAGGGAAGGGAAGGAGAATGATGAAAGCTAGAGGGAAGAAATGGGAAAGATGTTGGTGACTGGGTAAATAGAAGTGATGCAAACTGAGGAAAGGGGAAGACACAGGGAAAAAGGATAGACTCAGGTGGAGAGAGATAAGCTGGTCCTTAGGAGAGCTGGAGTCTGATTACGTGAAGTTTCACTCTCTTAGTAGAAAATGAAATAAACACCTTGGTTTTCCATTTCATTCCATTTATTTCATTCATCAATAATCTAGATACGAATGACAAACCATGGAATGAGAGAAGGGTGTTGTGGATAAAGTTCACTCTTGATGGATTGAAAAATAAGCACAACTGTTACTTTGAAGTTTCAAACTGTTTTCCTCTTCATTAAGAGATGGAGCATTGAATTGTTCTTTGGGACTTATCACTTCTTTGTTATGTTTTACATTTTTGTAAAGGTACTCGTTGAAAATAGTACGATATATTTTTTTACACTGAGTAGCCTAGTGCTTTGTCTGAAAATATAAATGGCTATTTTATTGAGCCAACAATCCATCTTGGAGACTTTGCTGGGTTTTAATGTCTTTGTGGAGGTGGGAAAGGGAGTTAGGAAAATAATTTATATATATATATATAAATGTTAGATTTACAATGTCCTGCGCCTATGAACTATTTTTTTAAAAAATATTTCATTTTCCTGTTTGTAGTCACTAGCAAAAAATCTGAAACTACTGAGTTTCAAAGGTCTATTTTCCACCTACCAATGGAGGGGAGACCAAAAAGAAAGTGGCCTTATCTAAACACAATTAAAACTGAATGTCTGTATTAGTTTTCTAGGGCTGCTGTAAAGAAGTACCACAGATTGGTGGTTTAAACAACAGAAATTGGCCGGGCACGGTGGCTCACTCCTGTAATCCCAGCACTTTGGGAGGCCGAAGTGGGAGGATCACCTGAGGTCAGGAGTTCGAGACCAGTCTGACTAACATGGCAAAACCCCATCTCTACTAAAAATACAAAAATTAGCTGGGCGTAGTGGCGGACACCTGTAGTCCCAGCTACTCGGGTGGCTGAGGCAGCAGAATGGTGTGAACCCAGGAGGCGGAGCTTGCGGTGAGCCGAGATGGTGCAACTGCACTCCATCCTGGGCGACAGAGCGAGACTCCATCTAAAAAAAAAAAAAAGAAAAGCAAAACAAAACCCAGAAATTTATTTTCTCACAATTCTGGAGGCTGAAAGTTCAAGATCAAGGTGTTGGCAGAGTTGGTTCCATCTGAGGGCTGTGAGGGAAAGATGTTTCAGGCTTCTCTCCTTGGCTTATGTAGATGGCTGTCTCCTCTCCATATCTCCACATCTGTATTCTCCCTGTACACATCTATGTTCAAGTTTCCCTTTCTTATAAATCCCTCACATTGGATTAAGGCCCACCTTAATGACTTCATTTTAACTTAATTGCTCTTTAATGACCCTACCCCCAAATACAATCAAATTCTGAGGTACATCATATAAAATTTTGAGGGGACACAATTCAGCCCATAACAATGTCCTACACATTATTTTGGATATAATAATTAGAATTTATTGAGGTTTTCAGGGTATGTTATTTTGCAATTATTCTGTTGTGGTCATATAGTGAGTTCTCCTGTTCTGGAAGAGACTGATCCAGAGACAGAAGAAAATCTAGGAATCAGGCCAAAGATTGGAGAGAGAGAGACAAGCTTTCTCTCTGGGCTTCAGGGCATACAGGCCTGGACTTTGGGTTATAGGGATGATGGAGGACATAGTGGTGAGATGAGGTAGAGTCGGCCTCTTGGGGGCTGGGAGGGAGTTAGGTAGGGTGACTAGGAGGCGCGACAGAGGGCAAGCCTAGAGCCTGTTGGCTCTCAGAGTAGCACATGTAAAAGCAGAAATAAACTACTAAATGTAATGTAATTTCCTTCTTTAATGCTTAAACTTTCAGTATTTTGTAAAAAATTCAAGCTGGGTCTCAGTCATACTGTAGAGAATCAAGGGAGGTTCCTTTCCAAACTTGGGCTTGAGTGACATAGGGTGACCAACACAACTTCCTCAACCTCATTTCCCAAGGTGTGTGTGGTCCCGGAGCTGCAGCAGATCATATCCAGAGGCCATAGCATGGGGCTGATGCAGAACTGGAACATGAAGAACAGAACAGACTCAGAAGTAATGGAGCAAGGTGTGGTATTTTGAGTTCCAACGTATCGGGGAAGGGAGTTGCTAAGTGATTGTGATTTGGGTGTTACTATAAATGTGACCTCATGTTATTGTCATTAGAAATGAAACTTTTGGTATAGTGTTCTCAGGAGTAATATTTCTGAAATCAAGTGTGTTGGTTAAAAAAAAATCTTTTGTTGGTTATTCATCTTTATGAAGTCAACAAAAATGTTTTGGGGAAAAAATAAAAGCTTTGTAACCAAGCTTTGGCAAATGCTAAAAACAGTTGAGTTAGTCACCTCATAGTTTCACATTCTTTAAATAGCAAACCAGAGGCACTTATTAAGGTCAAAATTAGTACACATCCACTGTTCCAGTAATGCTTTTTGTTCCTTTCTGGTCCAGGATCCTATCCAAGAACATGTTTGTATTTAGTTGTCAGGCCTAATCAGTCTCCTTCAATGTGGAACAGTTCCACAGTCTTTTCAGGTTTCCTACACCCTTAACACTCTTAAAGAATATAGGTCTTTCATTTTATAAGGTGACTTTTAATTTGGGTCTGTCTGATGTTTCCTCATGACCAGACTCTAGTGCAGGGTGGAATTTAGAAACCACCATCTGGATGTCCAATGTGGTCATTGCTTCCAGGGTGCCACTGCATTGAGACCCGCTCAGAGAACAAAGTTGGGAAATATATGTATATACATACACACACCTATAACAACAACCAATTCTATATTTAGGTGAATATGTATACTAGAAAGCCTACAAGTTCATACTGATGCCTAAAGCCCCGGTCTAATATTTCAAGGTTCCTTTTATTCTTCCCTTTTCCCACGCTTGTAAAATCCTTTTACAAGTAATGAGAAACCTGGCTCTCATTATCCTCAATCTATTTACTTGTTTGCACAATCTTCCAAGTACTCCAGTCATCTCTTCCTTCTGCCCCTTCCATTCCCCAGCCTCTCACCACTTGGCTTTTGCAGATGCCAGCATCTCTGCCCAGAATGGGAAATGAAAGGAATGGAAGAATGGAAGAAAAATAAAGATAAAAACAGCAGGGAAATTTCTTTATTTTTAAAGTCAGTTTAACTCAGTTTTTATGTTAATTGCAGCCTAAAGCATGCTAACTGATGTAACATACAACACATTATATTGCATTTGTTTGTTTACAATTACACCTATGCCACTTGAATATGAGCTCCTGAAAAGGAGGTCAACATCCGATCATCTCTATATCTCCAGTGGTTTCCACAATGCTTGTAGTGTGGTAGGTACTTGGTAGTTGCATTTGGTGCTAGTGTCACAAAAATCATTAAGACATAATTGTTGTCCCCAAGGAGCTAGCAGAAATTGTTAATACGCTCAGATAATTTCTATAATAGATACATATGGAAAGTGCTATGGCACATAGGAAGAAATCATGTCTAAATGGGACTTTGCCAGTATAAACAGAAATCAGAGATGTCGTCAGATAAATATGTGTATGTTAAATACGTTTCTTTAACTTGTGTAGAAACTAAGAATTAGATGCTGGTCAAGTAGCTGTACATTCTGAATGAGTGGGTTAGAATTAGAATTAGAAGCTGAATAAATGGTTGCATAAAGTCCTTGAAAACTGTGAGACTGTTCAAATGGCACCTTCCCAGTGGCAAACCTATTTTAGTAACATGTATTTAAAAACCTCTAAAGAATTTTGTGTTTTCCAGCAGGAAGAATCAGGACTAATCCAATTTTCAACAACAGGACACCAACAACAATAGTAATAGCTTACATCTCCATAGTCCTTCATATTAAGAAGTCTTTGGCTATGAGCACCAAGAGGGTAGGGATTGTGTCTGTCTTGCTCATCAGTGTATCCTCAGCACCCAGCTCAACACTGAATGAAAAATGCCTTCCCATTTATACTTTCATTCAGTCCTGAAAGTGCACTGGAAATGAAGGACATTACACCTAGGATCAACAATGTCTTTACTCTTTAAATAGATCTAAGTATCTGTAACTCTAAACTGAGCCACCTCCTCTTTGTCAGCTCCCATCTGCAGTTTCTTGAGTTGTCCTTTCTTGGATTTTTTTTTTCTTTTTCCTTTTTTAGGTCTTGTTCTGTCGCCAGGCTGGAGTGGAGTGGCATGATCTCAGCTCACTGCAACCTCCACCTCCCAGGTTCAAGCGATTCTCCTGCCTCAGCCTCCCGAGCAGCTGGGACAACAGGTGCGCACCACCATGCCCAGCTTGTTTTTGTATTTTTAGTAGAGATGGAGTTTCACCACATTGGCTAGGATGGTCTCGATCTCTTGAAATGATGATCTGCCCACCTTGGCCTCCCAAAGTGCTGGGATTACAGGTGTGAGCCACCATGCCCGCACCCTTTCTTGGATTTTTAAGACTCCCTATGCTTGGCTCCATATCTTTCCCTTTCTGTTTTTCACTTGATCTACTTCCTTGTTGATTAATCAATTTTTCCCGACTCATCTTTCCAGAAAACAACTGTGAAATGCTTCAGGAAGCATTCTGTGGGTATTCCAAAACCAGGAAATAGACAGAAAGCAAAGACAGAGAAAAAGGCCTAAGGTCACAGAATGTGTGGGGCACAGAGCCAGAACCAGACTCCAGGTCTCTGATCATTCAGCTACAGGGTCTTTTCAGGAGACCACAATGAAAAGGAAGCATGGAAGGGCAATTTGTACATTTCTGTGAGGTTTTCAGAGAGTCTGCAACCAAAGTTGGTTCAATTATTACACATTTTATGTGCCTTCAGCAATAGCTTCACTTCACATGGTTAAACTATATAGTCAGGCAAGTAAATCAGTTCATTTGAGTTACTGTTTCTGTTTTTATAACTTAAACAGTATGGTAAGTGGCAGTGATCAGGGCTAACAGCAAACACAGAAAAGATCACCCCAAATAGAATATTAACTAATGCAGATCTGCTGTGTAAGTGGCTTGATGCATGGTAAATTGCATTTGCAGTTGGCCAAATGGAAAGTGATATATGTTGGGCTCAAGAATAATAAATACAAAGAGAGATCAATTGAACTGAACTAAAGTGGTACGGTTTTGAAAGACGATGTAGAATTACGTCTTCCAAACATGGCTGACAAAAAGGACTCAATTAAAAAGTAAATTGGAAAACTATAAAGTAGCTGACACAAATACAAGGTTGAGTTTATGGAAGTTATAAATGCTAAACAGTTTCCCTCTCTGATTCCAATTTCTGCCCACTCCCTGATCTTCTTGTGCCTTCCATTTCTTTTTATGAGTATTATTACTCAACGGGAGAACAATCAGTTATATCAGAGCCATTTATTGTAAAGTTTGTGTCAATTTTTATTGAAATAGGACAAAAACACCGGAGTTTGTGTCTATAAGCATGCATAAAGAGGAAAGAAAAACCAATTATTATGCTATCAGGGTACCAGGAGAAGTCTTTGAACTGAAGGGGAAAAAAGAAAAAAGCTCTCCCTGTGGAGAGAATAGAATGTGCTTCATTTCAATATCTATTACAATTATGAAAGGGCCAGAGAATTCCACGGCTTTGAACAATCTTTGTGAACAGAGCTTTGTGTCAGGGCTGTGGTTATGATTTTCAGGCCCTGAGGCTGGTTCTTCAATAACTAGCAGAAGTAGTCAGGGCTTTGGGGATGGACAGTGAAGAGAGGGGTGAAAACCAAGCTCCTCTCGCCAGGGTGATCATAAGAAACCCTTCAGGGGATTTTTATTTTAAATATAGATTTTTGTGCCCTTATGGAATCTGAACTTCCTGAGGCACGGTAGGGAGGCAGATTAACTATCATTCCAATTTCAGGGTTTGAAAATTACAAACATATAACTAGGACTAAGCCTAGTGCCAGGGATTGTTCTGATAGGAGGGATGTTGAAACTGGGGGAAAGAATGAGGTAGGAGATAAAAATCTCTCTCTCTCTTTCTGTCTCTTCTGTCTCTCTCTCCCTTAAATGAATACCCTGCCACTAGAATGTAAGCTCTTCTAGGCAACTAAGTATCTTCATTAATTTTCGATCTCCAGCTATCCAGTGTTTGCTCCACTCTGGCACCTGGTGAGTGGATCCTTTCTTGCTGATTTGGTCACTGCCCTCTATTCTCATTGCTGTGAAGTTTTCAGAATGCTGCACGCTTGCCCCTTGCCATCTAACCATGAAGCTATACGGGAGGAAACTCGGTCTTGATGTGCAAGGCTGGGGTCTCTCTCTCTTCTCTCTCCCAGAAGAGCACTTTTAGAGAATTGTATGGGAGATAAACGGCAAGCTGCTCTCTTTTATAAGACCTTTGGTTTTGGTTGTGTCATGTGCAAATTACCCAAACCCAGTGTGTTGATCTCAATAGAGATGAACCATTTACATGAATATAAATGCCAACCCCAACTGGCTAACTGACGTAGCGCATAACGTGTTTATAAGTTAATTTCTTTATCTGTCCTGGACATTCTTTGTTTATTGCCAGACTTTTTTCTGTCATCCTTTTTGTCTACTAATTGTTGTTCCTTGATTTCCACCCTGCGTGCTTGAGGTCCTCTTGCTCTCATTAACAACCTTGACTTGGCTTTTTGATTCTAATCTCAAAAGTAAAACTGATGCTAACATTTTATATGGTTAATTCTTTTTTTATTATTATTATACTTTAAGTTCTGGGGTACATATGCAAAATGTGCAGATTTACATAGGCATACACGTGCCATGGTGGTTTGCTGCACCCATCAACCCATCATCTACATTAGGTATTTCTCCTAATGCTATCCCTCCCCCAGTCCCCCAGCCCCCGACAGGCCCCAGTGTGTGATGCACCCCCCACTGTGTCCGTGTGTTCTCATTGTTCAACTCCCACTTATGAGTAAGAACATGTGGTGTTTGGTTTTCTGTTCTTGTGTTAGTTTGCTGAGAATGATTGTTTCCAGCTTCATCCATGTCCCTGCAAAGGACATGAACTCATCCTTTTTTATGGCTGCATAGTATTTCATGTTGTATATGTGCCACCTTTTCTTTATCCAGTCTATCATTCATGGGCATTTGGGTTGGTTCGAAGTGTTTGCTATTGTGAACAGTGCCGTAATAAACATACGTGTGCATGTGTCTTTATAGTAGAATGATTTATAATCCTTTGGGTATATACCCAGTAGTGGGATTGCTGGGTCAAATGGTATTTCTAGTTCTAGATCCTTGAGGAATCGCCACACTGTCTTCCACAATGGTTGAGCTAATTTACAATCCCACCAACAGTGTAAAAGCCTTCCTATTTCTTCACATCTGCTCCAGCATCTGTTGTTTCCTGACTTTTTAATTATTGCCATTCTAACAGGCGGGTTAATTCTTTTTAACACTGCAAACATAAACACACAGCAGCAGGCATAGATTACAGACAAGTTTGAAATTACTGATCCAAAGCTAAGCTACACAAGCTAGTCTGCCCTAGGTATGCGGAGAATGTGTTGGTGTCAAATATGAGCCCGTAGTTGAGTTTTGTTGGTCCTTCATAGTAGTGTGTACGTATGTTAGTGTGTGTATTTAGTTAATTAGTTGCTAACTTTAAAAGAATGAACAATTTCACATGAAACCATTTTTCTCTATATTCAGCTTCTCCAGGAAAAAAGTCAAACTCATAATAACAGAGAGTAGAATGGTGGTTACTAGGGGCTGGGACGTGGAAGAAAAGGGGAGTTATTGAACAAATGGTGCAAACTTTGATAAAGAAGATGAATAAGTTCTGGAAACCTAATGCACAGCATGGTGATTTGAGTTAATAATGTATACTTAAAATTTTCTAATGGAATAGATCTCAACTATTTTCACAACACACGCATACACACACACAAACATACAGATACACACAGTGGTAGCTGTTTGTGATGATGGATATATTAATTAGCTTGATTGTGGTAATCATTTCACAATGTGTATGTATATCAAAACATCAATTTTTATTTGGCAACCCTACCTCAATTAAAAAAAAAAAAAGAAAATGGGAAGATTCATGGACTGAATTGCAGCAGCCTCATTTATAAACACTTCATATGTGCTCTCACATTTTCCGAGCTGGCCTGCGTCTTTCATTTACGTTTCCTGCCTGGTGCCTGTAGGCCTTTAAATTTGCCACCCCCAATTCGGAAAAGCAATCTTAGTCTCTTGCCTGGCTTTGAAGATCCCTTGCTGTGAGTTCTTCCCTCCAGCCACCAGCCCTTTAGTAATGAGCATAGCCATTTGATAGCAATGGGCCCTTGAAGGCAGTACAGATTCAGATTCAGCAATTATCAAATGCGTTGTATGACTCAGTCCCTGAACTTTCTCTAGGAGAGACTAAATCTCACCTGGTATCCTTAAGACTTGATGTTACATTTGAACTTCATGGCTACTCACAGCATGTGTCAAATCCCCCAGAATCCCTGAAAAGCTTATTCTTATAATGAAAAGTTATGACCAGAGCTGGTAAAGATCAGGTCAGTGAAGTTACCCAAGATCTCTCTGTATTTAACTCTTGGGGATGCCCAAAGCTGTTGGAGAAAAGGCCTTTTCCATAGACATACCACAGACCTCCTCCCTCAGGACACTTCGGTTAGTAGGAATAAGCAGTAGAAGCTTCTTTTTTTTCATTCAATAAATATTTATTCTTATGTTACTGTTTCTTTTTTTAACCTTTATTTTAGGTTCAGGGGTATAAATGCAGGTTTGTTACAAAGGTAAACTGGTGTCATGGGGATTTGGTGGACAGCTTATTTCATCACCCAGGTAATAACAGAGTACCCTATAGTTATTTTTTCATATCCTCTCCCTCTTCCCAGCATACACCCTCAAGTAGGTCCCAGTGGCTGTTGTTCCACTCCTCATATCCTGGTGTTCTTGTTGTTTACCTCCCACTTAAAAGTGAGAACATGCAGTATTGGTGTTCTGTTCCTGCATTAGTTTGCTTAGGATAATGGCCTCCAGCTCCAACGATGTTGCAGCAAAGGCCTCAATCTCATTCTTTTTTAGGGCTGCATAGTATTCCATGGTGTATATGTATCAGGTTTTCTTCAGCCAGTCTACCACTGATGGACATTTAGGTTGATTCCATATTTTTTCTATTGTGAATAGTGCTACAATGAACATATGCATGTATGTGTTTTTATGGTAGAATGATTTATATTCCTTTGGGTATATACCCAAAAATGGGATGGCTGGGTTGAGTGGTAATTTTATCTTAAGTTCTTTGAGGAGTCACCACATTGCTTACCATAATGGCTGATCTAATTTACACTCCCACCAGCAGTGTACAAGCATTCTCTTTTCTCCACAACCTCACCAGCAACTGTTACTTTTTTGACTTTTTAGTAATAGCCATGCTGACTGGTGTGAGATGTTATCTCATTGTGGTTTTGATTTGCCTTTCTCTAATGATCAGTGATGTTGAGAGTTTTTTCATATGCTTGTTGGCTGCCTGTATGTGTCTTCTTTTGAAAAGTTTCTGTTCATGTCCTTTGCTCACTTTTTAATGGGGTTGTATGTTTTTTGCTTATAAATTTAAGTTTCTTATAGATTCTTGATATTAGACCTTTGTCAGATGCATAGTTTGCAACTATTTTCTCCTATTCTGTAGGTTGTCTGTTTACTTTAGTTGATAGTTTCTTTTGCCGTGCAGAAGCTCTTTAGTTTAATTAGATACCGTTTGTCGACTTTTGTTTTTGTTGCAATTGCTTTTGGTGTCTTCATCATTAAATCATTAAATCTTTAAAGGTCCTATATCCAGAATGGTATTTCCTATGTTCTTTTCCAGGATTGTTATAGTTTTAGGCTCTACATTTAAGTCTTTGGTCCATCATGAGTTGATTTTTGTATTTGGTGAAAGGAAAGGGTCCAATTTCAATCTTCTACATGTGGCTAGCCAGTTATCCTAGCACCATTTATTGAATACGGAGTCCTTGCCTTATTGCCTTTTTTTGTTGGCTTTGTCGAAAATCAAGATGATTGTAGGTGTGCAGCCTTATTTCTAGGCTTTCTATTTTGTTTCATTGGTCTGTGTGTTTCTTTTTGTACCAGCAGAATGCTGTTTGTTTACTGTAGCTGTATAGTATAGTGTGAAGTCAGGTAATGTGTTTCCTCCAGCTTTGTTATTTTTTCTTAGGACTGCCTTCACTAATCAGGCTCTTTTTTTGGTTCCATATGAATTTTGAAATATTTTTTCTAGCTCTGTGAAGAATGTCATTGGTAGTTTGATAGGAATAGCATGTAATCCATAAATTGCTTGGGGCAATATGGCCATTTTAATGACATTGATTCTTCCAATCCATGAGCATGGACTGTTTTTCCGTTTGTTTGTGTCATCTCTGATTTCTTTGAGCAATGTTTAATAATGTGACAATTGTGAATGGGATTATGTTCCTGACTTGGCTCTCAGTTTGGCTCTTTTTGATGTATAGGAATGCTAGTGATTTTTATACATTGATTTTGTATCCTGAAACCTTGCTGAAATTGTTCATCACATCAAAGAGCTTTTGGGCTGAGACTATAGGGTTTTCTACATATGTAGTCTTATTATCAGCAAATAGGGATAGTTTGACTTCCTCTCTTCCTGTTTAGAGGTCTTTTATTTCTCTCTCTTGCCTAATTGCCCTGGCCAGGGCTTCCAATACTGCATTGAATAGAAATGGTGACAGTGGGCATCTTTGTCTTGTACTGCTTTTCATGGGGAATGCTTACAACTTTTCTCCATTCAGTGTGATTTTGGCTGTGGGTTTCTCATATATGGCTCCAATTATTTTGAAGTATATTCCTTCAGTGACTAGTTTATTGAGGGTGTTTAACATGAAGAGTTGTTGAATTTTATCAAAAACCTTTTGTGCATCTTTTGAGATTGTCACGTGGTTTTTGTTTTTAGTTTTGTTCATGTGATGAATCACATTTATTGATTTGCATATGTTGAACCAACCTTGCATCCCAGGGATAAAGCCTGCTTGATTGTGATGGATTAGCTTTTTTTTTTTTTTAATATGCTGCTGGATTTTGTTTGCTAATATTTTGCTAAAAATTTTTGCATTGATATTCATGAAGCATATTGACCTTAACTTTTACTTTTATTTTTTTGTTGTGTCTCGACCAGGTTTTGTTATCAGGATGACGCTGGCCTCATAGAATGAGTTAGGGAGGAGTCCTTTTTCCTCAGTTTTTTGGAGTAGTTTCAGTGGTACCACTGAATGATACCAGCTCTTTATATATCTGGTAGAATTAGGCTGTGAATCCATATGATTCTGGGCTGTTTTTGGTTAGTGGGTTTTTAATTACTGATTCAGTTTCTGAATTCATTATTAGTTTGTTCAGGGATTCAATTTTCTTCCTGTTTCAGTCTTCCTGGGAGGAAGTATGTGTCTAGGAGTTTATCAATTTCTTCTATATTTTCTAGTTTGTGTGTATAGAGGTGTTCACAGTAGTCTCTGATAGTTTTTTTTTTATTTTGTATTTCTGTGGGGTCAAGGTGACATCCCTTTGTTATTTCTACTTGTGTTTCTTTAGATCACCTCTCTTCTTTCTTTCTTAGTCTAGCTAGTGGCTTATCTATCTTAATAATTGTTTCAAAGAAACAACTCCTGGATTCATTGATCTTTAGTGTGTTTTTTTGGTGTGTTTTAACTTCCTTCAGTTCAAGTCTGATTTTGGTTATTTCTTGTATTCTGCTAGCTTTGGGGTTGATTTCTTCTTGCTTGTCTAGTTTTTGTATTTTTGCTGTTACGTTGTTAATCTGGGACCTTTCTAGATTTGTGATGTGGACATTTAGTGCTATAAACTTCCCTCTTAACCCTACTTTAGTTGTGTTCCAGAGATTCTAGTATGTTGTATCTTGTTCTCATTAGTTTCAAAGAATTTATTGATTTATGACCTAATTTCATTATTTATCCAAAAGTCATCCAGGAGCAGGTTATTCAGTATCCATGTAATTGTATGATTTTGAGTGATTTTCTTAGTCTTGATTTCTAATTTTATTGTGCCTTAGTTTGAGAGTGGTTGTTATGATTTCAGTTCTTTTGCATTTGCTGAGAAGTGTTTTATGTCTGATTATGTGGTTAATTTTAGAGTATGTGCCATGTGGCAATGAGAATGTATATTCTGTTGTTCTTTGGTGGAGAGTTCTGTGGATGTCTATCAGGTCCATTTGATCCAGTGCTGAGTTCAGGTTCTAAATATCTTTTTAAATTTTCTGCCTTGATGATCTGTCTACTGTCAGTGGAGTGTTAAAGTCTCCCACTATTATTCTGTGGTAGTCTAAGTCTCTTTGTAGGTGTCTAAGAACTTGCTTTATGAATCTGGGTGTTTCTGTGTTGGGTGCATATGTGTTTAGATAGTTAGATCTTCTTGTCAAATGGAATGATTTACCATTTTAGAATGCCCTTCTTTGTCTTTTTTGATCTTTGTTGGCTTAAAATCTGTTTTGTCTGAAATTAGGATTGCAACTTTTCCTTTTTTTTTTTTCCGTTGCTTGGTAGATTTTTCTCCATCCCCTTATTTTGAGCCTATGGGTGTCATTGCATGTGAGATGGGGTTTGAAGACAGCATACTCTTGGGTGCTGCTTCTTTATCCAGCTTGCCACTTTTTGCCTTTTAATTGTGGCATTTAGCCCATTTATATTCAATGTTAGTATTGATATGTGCAGATTTGATCCTGTCATCATGTTGTTAGCTTGTTATTACGCAGTTTTTTTTGTGGTTGTTTTATAGTGTCACTGGTCTATGCATGTAAGTGTGTTTTTGTAGTGGTTGGTAATGGTCTTTCTTTTTCATATTTAGCACTTATTTCAGAACCTCTTATAAGGTAGGTCTGGTAGTAATGAATTCCCTCAGCATTTTCTTGTCTAAAAAGGATCTTATTTCTCCTTTACTTATGAAGCTTAGTTTGTCTGGGTATGAAATTCTTAGTTGGAAAATTTTTTCTTTAAGATTGCTGAATATAGGCCCCTAATCTCTTCTGGTTTCTGGGGCTTCTGCTGAAGGGCCGGTGTTAGCCTGATGGGTTTCTCTTTGTAGGCGACCTGCCCCTTCTCTCCAGCTGTTTTTAACATTTTTTCTCTCATTTGGAACTTTGAGAATCTTATGATTATGTGTCTTGGGGATGTATTCTTGTGTAATATCTTGCAGGAATTATCTGCATTTCCTTAATTTGAATATTGGCCTCTCTAGCGAATTTGGGGAAGTTTTCATGGACGATATCCTGAAGCTTGTTTTTCATGTTGCTTCCTTTCTCCCTGTCTCTTTCAGGGACACCAGTGAGTCATAGATTTGATCTCTTTATATGATCCCATATTTCTTGGAGGTTTGTCTCTTCCTTTTGCTTTATTTTTGTCTGACTGATTTATTTCAGGGCACCCATCTTCAAGCTCTGAAATTCTTTCCTCAGCTTGGTCTCTTCTTCCGTTAATATTTGCAATTGCATTATGAAATTCTTGTGTTTTTTCAGCCCTATCAGCTCAGTTTGATTCTTTTTTATAATGGCTGTTTCATCTGTCAGCTCCTGTATTGTTTTATTATGATTCTTAGATTCCTTAGATTGGGTTTTAACATGTTTCTGAATCTCAATGATCTTCATTCCTATCCATATTATGAATTCTATTTCTGTCATTTCAGCCATTTCAGCCCAGTTAAGAACCCTTGCTGGGGAACTAGTGCAACTGTTTGGGGAAAAAAAGACACTCTGTTTTTTTGAGTTGCCAAAGTTTTTCTGCTTGTTCTTTCTAATCTGTGTGGGCTGGTTTTCCTTTAACTGCATTGTAAATCGAGTACAGTCAGTAGCCTTCTTTTCTGGAAGTTTTCAGAGAGCCAAGACTTTGTGTAGTGTCTTTATCTGTAGCATAATTCTTGTCCTTGGTTTCACAGGGGGGCATATTAGCAAAATATTTTTGGTGTTAAAGTTTTGGACTGTGATCCGGTAGATGGTGCTTAAGTCTAATAGCCAGTAGATAGGCTTTTACTCAGTCATGTGGCTCCTCTGTGTTTCCTCATGATTGCAGCTGTGCACCCTTCTCAGTGTTCTGAAAGTGTGGCCTTTTTTCTCACTAGAGTGCTGGCTGCAGATCTTGACCTGGAACTCATGGACTGCACATCACAGCTCTGGGGCGATCTCAGGCTTTATGTTCCCTCCTCAGCTTGGAGGCAGCACAACAAGGGACCTTAGTAGTGGTTGAGGCAGAAGGTTTTTCACTTGTCTCTTGAGGCTGCCCCTGGAGAGATGTGGAGCTGCTGTTGAAACGTCATTGTTTTCTGGTGTAAATAACCAAAGTTCATTATCTTGCGCAAGAAGATTAAGGACATGGACACACACAAGGAGTGAGTTTAGGAGCAGAGGTTTAATAGGCAAAAGAAAAAGTAAGGAGAACAGTTCTCTCTTTTGAGAGAGAGGGGCACTTGAATAGGAATTCCGGCCCATGGAGGAGTGCACCAGATTTTATAGACAGGCTTGAGGAAGCAGTGCCTGATTCATGTAGGGCACACAGATTGGTTAGACCAAGTGTTTATATAGAGAAGGCTGGTCACCCCACCCTAACTTATTATGCGTATTGTGTTTACTGAAGTTGCACGCATGCTCAGTTGAAGTATTTTTCTCATACAAGTCAAGCCTTCCTGGAGGAAAGTCATAAACCAGTTAAACTCCACCATTTTGCCTTAGTGTGCATGCTTGAGCCCACTCACCCAACTTTTGAGATCTTATTGGGAAACTGCTTATTACAAACTTCAGGTGTTTTCTAGTTATTGGAAGCCTGCCTTGCCTTGGTGCTAGCTGCAACCAATTATTATTTTAGAGTGACAGTTAAACAACTGCTCGACCATCATCTGATGGTTGTCTGGCATTCCTGGTCATGGTGCCTCTCCTGCCCTGCTCATGTCTGCCTAACTACCTACTCTAACAGCGGCCTGCCTCTCCCCTGAAAGCTCTGTCCCAGGGAAGTGCAAAGAAGCTACTGGCCTGAGAGCCCCAGCAAAGAGTGGCTGGTGTCCCAAGCCAGTGGACCTTATCCTTCAAGGTACAGTGGAAGCAAGGCCTGTAGTCTGTCACTGCTCAGCCCTCTGGATTCTGCACTTTTTCTAGGGGCACGCAAGGGAGTCTGTCCTCTCCCATTGCCAGAGCTGCAGCTGCTAATGCCAAGATGCCCAGTTATCCAAGGCTTTAGAGATTCCAGTTGTGCCTGAGCAGTAGCTCTGCTCAGATTCCATGCAGCTCTTTGTGTCAGTCTGAAGGCCTTGGTAGGGTGGGGTCACTGGGGAATCTCCTGAGGCCAGGGTTTTAAAGGTCTATGGCGGAAGTATGGGTCCCTGGGGACTCTCATTCACTCACAATTTCCCATGGTAGTGGGGAACCTCCCCTGGCTCCATGTCACTCCTGGGTGGGTGGTTATCCTAGCCAGTTCCTCTCCATTCCTTGTGTATTGAGTTGATTCATTAATGAATCCCAGTGTGTCCACTTGGGTGTTCTAGTTGTAGATCTATTATTTACTTGCCTCTTTTTCTTTTCTCCATGAAAGCAGCACGCACTAGCTGCTTCTAGTCAGCCGTCTTCCATATACTCTCTAGAGGCTATCTCAGAGCCACAGTTACTATTGAGGAAGATAAGTAGAATGCTGATGAGGAAAGAACCGATTCAGTATTGGGCAGTCTGTAGAGAGTTGTTCTCTTTGGGGGCTGAGGAGGTGCTCTCTAATATGCAAAGATGGTCATGCAGGGATGATCTTCTATGTAGGGAGGTAGCACTCATCAACTTGAGGTGAGATCACATGTTATCTTGTATATCTTCCAGTCTTCCAGACTTCCCTATACTTGCCTTTCTTCCCTGAAGGGATACAATCTTACATTCTACAAACAAACAAACAAACAAACAAACAAACAACCCAACATTCTCCCAGCCCAGAAATCCTATGCAAATGGCCTGTTACTTATTAGAACAAGATATTTACCTAAGAGGATAATGTGATGGTGAGGAGGGTGTTGCATGGGGCCGGTAAGAGGATGGGATGAAGAAAGTTAAAAGATCAAAAACCCAGCATGAACTTAAATGGGAAATGGAGGAGACACACTAAAGCCAGAGAGATATCTTTAAAATGCAAAATTAATCATGTAACTTTCTGGTTTGATGAGCTCATGTTGATCCTGTTTGATAGAAATATGATATGCATAAATGGGAGCCATATATGTAATTTAAAACTTTCTAGTAGCTACATTAAAGAAGGAAAGAGACAGATAAAATTTATTTTAAGAATATATTATGTCTAACCCAGTATGGTCAAAATATTATGATTTCAACAAAATCAATATAAAAATTATTAATTCAATATTTTACATACTTTTTTATATAAACAGTTTATAAAATTTTCCATGAAATACTTTCTATTTGAGCATCTCTCAGTGTGGACTACCCATATTTGAAGTCCATGCAGGCACATAGGTTTAGTGTCTATCATACTGGACAGCACAGCCTTTGATGATTTCCCATTGCCTTTAGGACAAAATCGAAATCTTCTGTATGATTTAGTAGGTTCTTGATCTAATTATCTTTTTTGTCTTATAGCATGCCATGCTCTTTTTCTTTGTATTTGCTGTGGGTATAACGAATTTCTGTTTGTTGAATTGTTTTCCTCTCAAACACCTGGGCCCTTGAGAATGTGAATTCATTTGCTGAAAAACTCTAGCTCTCATTTTTTACCTGAATTACTCTTACTTATGTATATGTATTTTTATATATTGATTTAAATCTATTTTGGGTTTTACATTTATTCTTAAACTGTTTTTATTCTGTCATCAACCCTATACTGTATGACTCGTTGTCACTCTTCAGTGTGTTTTACTATCTAGATTCTAGAGAAATGATGATCTTCTATTATTATTTTCTCTTTTCAAAGATTTAAAAAAGTTTTTCACTTGTTTATTTTTTCAGTTAGATGTTTTTCTCTTCCACACAATACCCAAATAAAGTTGATGAAAATTTGCATATTTGCAATTACTGAGGCCTCCTACCAAGAATAGTGTTATGGCTTCTTATCTGACTTTTCAGTATTTTCTTTTTTCCTGAAACACTCTTCCCTTTTTCCTTTTGAAATACCACATAATGCAGCATGAGTTCCCCAGAAAGACAACTTTGAGACAGAGATCAGCATACAGGAAGTGATGACGGAGTGCTCTTGGGATTCAATAACTGTGGGGGAAGGGAAGGAAATAGAAAAGAACAGAAGGCGAAGTTGGGCTGTGATGCATGTCCACAAAAATTTTGGCCAACCCCATGAGACTGAACAGGCCCTTCAGAGTTGTCCTGAGTGGTGGTGAGGAGGCTGCACCTTTAGACCCCCTGAACAACCACTGGACGCGGCTGTCCCTGAGGAGGGGGATGTGACTGCAGTCAGATAACTCCAGCTGAAGGCAGGTCCCCAGTGAGAAGGTGGGGTAGGGGAGTAAGTCCTTTCTTTCTGAATAGGACTCTGAGTGGCAGGCACATCATGACACCCACTATACCCCAACTTTTCTGGTGTATCTCCTTCCTCTCTCTCCGGCTACTCAGTCTTTGCAGGTTTTTGTTTTTTGTTTTTCCCTCCACCCAAAGTCTAAATATTTAAGTACTCCTAGGCTCTTACATCCTCTCAATGTTTCTCCTTTAGTCAGTATGTCCTGAATGATGTTATACATTCTCCTAGAGGAGTCAAAGCTGATTTTAGATGGTATATGGGCAAACATTTTTCCTTTAATGGTTACATATTTTTTATACTTCATGTTAAATTAGAATGTAACTTTCATATTAAACAGGCAATTTCACAGTTATGATTGCTTTGGAAGGCATTAAAGGGGGTATTTAAGTGGACATTTTAGAAAAATGATTTCTACAAAAAGTACATAGATGTGCTACACAGATATGGCAAATATTATGACTCAGTTTCGAACTGCTCTCCTGGTTGATTTCATTCTTTTCCTGGTTTAAGCCATTGATGTGCTGACAGCTCCATTTATATCTTTAGCTTAAATCTCTTCTTGGAGTTTAGGCTCTTAGGGTTGACTGCCTACTTGACAGCTCCTCTTAGATATCCCACAATCATTTTAAATGTACTATGTTCAAAACTAAACTCTTGAGCTCTCTTCCTTGAAACTCTTTTTGTCTAGTCTTTGCCACTTCACAAAGACCTGTGTTGTTTAAGCCAGAAACCTGGAAGATTTCCTTGATTTTTTTTTTCCTGTTTCACCTTGTACATATAATCTCTAAGAATTCCTTTTGATTGCAATATATTAGCTAAATATGTCCTCTTCCCTCCATCTCCATTGCCACTTTAGTCTGAGCCATGCTCATTTCTCCTGTGCTATGTCAATATTTTCCTGAATGATCTCCCTGTTTCCACTCTCCCTTCTCTGGCTCATCATGCATGCTGCAGCCAAAGTAATTTTTTAAGAACCATAAACCTTATAATATAACTGTTTTGCCTATTACCCATCAATGTCTTCCTATTGCACTTCAAATAAAATCCAAACTGCTTAATATGGCTTCCCAAGCCATTCTCATTTCCCTCTCCAGTTTCGTTTTGCACCATTATCCTTTTTGCCCACTGTTTCTAATGATATTGGCCTCTTTTCTGTTCCTGGAACACTTCTAGCTCTTTTTGAACCCAGGGTTCTTGCTCACATTGTTTCTCCTTCTTGAAATACTATTCTCTTTGCTCTTTGTGTAAGTGGTCTTTTCTGATACTTCAAGTCTCACTGTAAACATTACCTTCTCTTACTGTCTTTTTTTAATTAGCCTATTCTAGTTCCATCCCCAGGGGTATTCTTTAGCACTGCCCTGAATTTATTTGATTTCTAATGTTTGCCATGATTTTAATTATAGATTCATTATTTGCTTATTTTTATTGTCTTTCCCCCTAGATTTTAAGCTCCATGAGAGTTCACCATTGTCTACTTAGCATTTGTGACAGTGGGTGGCCGGCTAGGTTCTCAAAAAATATTAGTCAGTGAATTAACGAGTAAGTGGAATAAAGATATTTATTGAAATATTCTTTAACATTTCCCAGAAATTTTTTGCTTTTTCTTAATGGAGGTCTTGCAATTTACTAGTGAGGAGGCAGAAAAGTTTTATCTCCTGTGTGGCCTTGGAGGCAGTCTCATTCTCATTTCTGGTATCTTTGTTATGAGCTATCAGCAGGCCTATGCTGGCTCAACAGGACGGCAATTTATCTGGCTGATACAGATAGTGCTGATTTTTAAGATCCTGGCTGAGCTGGGGATGCCTTAGCTTGCTGCCCTTTTCTAAGAAGACTCTTTCCAAGAACACATAGCTCACATCATTGCACATTCAGTTGGTGTTCTCCTGTGTCCCTCCTCCCTTATACAAGTAAGTAAAGTAATGTGGGGCCAGGGCCCTCTCCTGGAGCACAACCCAGCCCAAGCATGACTCTCAATGGGATAATGAGAACTTGGGGGATCAGATTTGCTCACTTTGCTTATGTGCCATTGCACTTAGCACAGCAATTTGTTAGCTATATTACTAGAAATTGATGTTTGTCATTCCATTACTAATGGGATATTTTTTGATTATATATTCTGATTCATTTCTATTGATATGTAGACAAACTATTGGTTTTCTACTTTTTTCTGTACTTATCTATCTTCCTAAACTCATGTTAGTTTAAATAGCTTTTCAGTTGATTTGTTTGGCATTTCTAGGTATATATATATACATCATACCATCTGCAAATGATGACTTTTTTGTCACCTCCTTTCCAATGATTATACATCTTATTTCTTTTAATTGTTATATTTTAATCCCTAGAATTTACATAATAACAGCAGATGACAGTGGCAACAATAAGCATCATTGTTTTGTTTTTGAGTGGAAATGTCTCTGGTGTTTTACTGTTAAATAGGAAACTGATTGACATAGCTAGTCTTTACTACATTGGAGATGCCTTCCTTCCTGCTTGACTAATTTTTTTTCAGTAGGTTATTCTCAAGTGTTAGAAAATCTGTCTAATTTTAGTTTTTTAATGATTTATTTTATTAAATTCACAAATAAACTTGTATACGTTTATCGTGTACAACATGATGTTTTAAAACATATGTACTTTGAGGAATGCCTACCTCAAGCTAATTTACATATGTTTTACTTTACATAGTTATTGTTTTTGCAGTGAGAACACTTATGACCTACTTAGAATTTTTTAAGAATGCAATTTTTGTAGTCCATTTTCTGTTGCTGTAACAGGATACTATAGATTGGGTAATTTATTTAAAAAATAAATTTATTTCTTAGAGCTTTGGAGGCTTGGAAGTCCAAGTGCAAGGTGGCAACATCTGGTGAGGGCCTTCTTGCATCATAACATGGTGGAGGGTATCACACAGTGACAGGGAAAGTGTATACCAGCTCAGGTCTCTCTTCCTCGTCTTATAAAGCCACAGGTCCCATCATAGGGGCCCCACCCTTATGATTGTATTTAACCTAATTACTTCCCAAAGACCCAGCCTCCAAATGCCATTGACATATGAATTTGGAGATTAATTTCCAAATGAAATTTGGGGGATACATTCAAACCATAGCAGCAAAATATCACTATTAACTATAGTCACCATGTTGTGCAATAGATCGCTTGAACTTATTTCTCCTATCTAATTGAAATTTCGTATCATTGATCGACATCTCTCTCCTCCATCACCACCTCAGCTCCTGGTAGCAACCATTTTACTCTCTGTTTTTGAGATAAAATTTTTCATATTCCAAATATGAATGAGGTCATATGATATTTGTCTTTTCGTGGTTGACTTATTTCATTTAACATAATGTCCTCAAGGTTTATCCATGTTGTTGTGAATGACAAGATTTTCTTCTTTTTTGTGTTCAAATAGTATTCCACTGTGCATATATATCGCATTTTCTTTAACTGTTCATCCATTGTTGAACATTTGGGTTGATTCTTTGTCTTGATGATTGTGAATAATGCTGCAGTAAACATCGGAGTGCCATTATCTCTTTGACATACTGATTATGGTAGATATGTACCCAGTAGTGAGATTGCTGGATCATATGGTATTTCTATTTTTAATTTTTTGAGGAACCTCTGTACTATTTTCAGTAATAGCTCTGCTAATTTATATTCCCATCAACAGTGTGCAAGGGTTTCGTTTTCTCCACATCCTCACCAGCACTTGTTATCATTTGTCATTTCGATAATAGCCAACCTAACAGGTGTGAGGTGATATCTCACTGTGGTTTTAATTTGCATTTCCCTGATGATTAGTGATATTGAGCATTTTTTCATAAACCTGTTCACCATTTGTATGTCTTCTTTTGAGAAATATCTATTCAGGTGCTTTGTCTATTTTTAATCTGGTTAAATTGTTTTCTTGCTATTGAGTTGTTTTAGTTCCTTATATATTTTTTGATATTAACCACTTATCAGATGTGTGGTTAGCAAACATTTCCTCCCATTCCATAGGTTGGCTTTTCACTCTTTTGTTTCCTTTGCTATGCAGATGCTTTTTATTTTGATATAATATTATTTATCTATTTTTGCTTTTGTTGCCTATGCTTTTGGGGTCATATCCAAATAATCATTGCCCAGATCAATGTCATGAAACATTTCCCTATATTTTTAGTAGTTTAATAGTTTCAGGTCTTATGTTTCAGTTTTTAATACATTTTGAGTTAATTTTTGCATGTGGTGTGAGATAAGGGTCTAGTTTCAGTCTCCTCTATGTGGATATCCAGTTTCTCCAACACCATTTATTGAAGACTGTCCTTTTCTCATTATGTGTTCTTATTATCTTTTTCAAAACTCAGTTGTCTGTAAATGTATGGGTTTATTTTCTGGTCTGTCTGTACTGTTCCATTGGTCTAAGTGTCTGCTTTTATGCCAGTACCATGCTGTCTTGATTATTATAGCTCTGCAGTATATTTTGATTTCAGGTAGTATTATACCCCAGCTTTATTCTTTTTCCTTAAGATTGCATTGGCTATCCAGGGTCTTTTGTGGTTCTATACAAATTTTAGGATTGTTTTTCCTATATCTGTGAAGAATGTCATTAGAATTTTGATAGGGAAGGCTGTGTCATTTTAGATTGAATCAGTTTTTATGTGACTTCTTCCTTTTGCTTTCATTTTACAGGTAAGTGTGTTTCTTGTCCATGTGTCTGATATTCGTGATCCTACTATGCTTCCCTCTTCTCAGGATTCCTCCCTCTGTACCATATGGACTTGATTTTTAGACGTCTCACCATATGAGTTACTCTCTAGACCTCCTCAAGTTATTGATGTCTCTTTTAACTTGTGGCTGGTTAACTCTGCAGGTCAGTCATTTTCATTCCTGGAAAGTGTGTATGGAATTATCTCTAGTGTCCTAAATCCCTTATTCATAGAAATACAATGAGTAGTCCCTTGGGAATATAAGGTCAGCTGGAGGAGAATAATGACCTTCGTTCTAAGAGTTTCAGACTTTAGAGCAGGAGTAAGAGTACCCATGATTTCCAAATACCATAGAATCAAAAAAGGGCTCTGACTCTCAAAATAAATTCTATAATTTTAGAGTCATGAAAATAAGTGTCATTCATGACAAAGCATAAGCACCGAGATATGAAGTTATGAAGTATGTTTTAAAGAGGTTGCTATAAGGGGTTTCAAATGTTCATAGCCTCAAAATCCATGAAGCAAAATGAAGAATGGCTCCAAAACCTGACAAGAAAAATATGACCTGCCCATGGGCATCAGTAGCAGAGCTACTGAGCAGTCCTGGGAGAAGGTTCTTACCTGTAAACCCTATGAATTACTCTATATTTTTGACAATCATAACACAATAATTTCTGTTGTGGGTTTGTTTTCATGCCAGCAAATTTTTCTATGGATGGAATAAATAGGCTACTTATACCACCTCAAATGCCTATTTCAGGACAACTGGGAGCAGGAGGAAAGACACGTAAACTTTCTATCTCTGTTTTCACACCTCTATCCTAAACTCTAGAGACATGTGTCCAACTGCCTCCTAGGTATTTCTCATTGAATGTCGCCATAGCTACCTTAATGTCAACATTTATTGCTCCCTTGGTAAAACTTGCTTCCTCTTCTCCATTCCTTGTTTGATGGTGGCAGAAATCGCTACTTGTTTCGACTGTATCTTTCTAACGTTATAACAGAATCTTTATTAACTGGGAAAATGGCGACCCCCAAAATATGTACTTTTTAAGCCCCTGTTGCTTATTTTTTCTAGTAAGAAATAAGTGAAAGTATCATGTGCCAACGTTTGGGAGCCCTGTTTAAATGACAGCCACTGAAAGCACTCTTCCTTCTTCACCTATTTCTTCCTTCCTGATGGCTGGGATAAAGAGATGGTGGTTGGAGCTGGAACTTGTGCAGCAACCTGGACCATGAAGTGACCTTGAGAGGAGAGTCTTTACATGGAGAATTAATAGACAAAAGGACCTTCTGTCCCATCATCGTAGGGCATTGTATCAGTCCTGGATTGCCTAGCTCTGGACTTCTTGAGAGAGAAACAAATTTCTCTGTTGCAACACCTGTTATTTTGGGGTGGCGATGACTTTTCTGTTATTGCAGCTGCTCTCTAAGCCTAACTAAGGCACCTGGTAAGATGTTTCACTATCATCCTTCTTGTCATCCTAAACAGGAAACTCAGTCATCCTGTTACCTAATTGCTCACTGAAGCCTAGGAGTTTTAATTCAGAAAAGTCTCTTGAACCCAGCCATAACTATCATCTCTTGGCAAGACTGTAGTCACACACTCTTAATAGTTCACTCTGCTTTTAGGTTTTTCTCTCTTTATTCCATCTTCCATACTTTCTAGTAAATTCACATTATGTTACTCTCTTGTATACACATATCAATTATCCTCAAGATAAAAAGGAAGCATTGAGAATGTCATTCAAGATCTTTTGACAAATTCCCCTAACTTAGCGCGCCAGAGTCTTTCTGTCGTCACCTCCATCCAATACAACTACTGCAAATGCCTTATTCATTCCCCTGTCTCAGTTCACTATGTTTTATATCTGCCTGCCTGTGCACAGGTACTTTCCACTGCCAGGATTTTTTTCCTTCTTTTATCTTTCTGGAAAACACCCCCTAGTTATTCAAAATCCAGCTCACATATTGTAGCACTAATAATAGGCAATATTTTCTGACTGCTTTCCAGGTCCCAGGCAATGTATTCCATGCACGTCTGATTCAGTAGATATGTAGCGTAAGGCTTGACTTTCTGCATTTTTAACAGGCTCCTAGGTGAAGCTGATGCTGTTGATGTGTGGATCACACTTTGAGTACCCTAGAGCTAGCTAGAATGCCCTTTCCCTCTTAGCCTTGGTAAATCCTTCCAAATTCACACACTGAATATGAGCACCACCTCTTATAGTAATCACTAGACTCCTTTCTGTCTAGTGAGGAGTGACAGTGATGCTCATTTCTGTATTCTCAGCTTCTCGCTCCCTACCTGGAATAGAGTGGGCATTCAACATATTCTCACCAAGTGAATGCTGACTGTTCAGTTAGTGGGCAGAGTATTTACAGAATGGCAGCCTAAGCCAAAGAAATGTGCATGGTGAAAGGAGACACAATCCTACCTATAAACTAACTGACTGAGAGCCTCTTCTGTGTGAAAAGAACTGTGACTGGTGCTTGGGTTGCAGAAAAGGGAAAGATACAGTTCCTGCCCACAGCTTTCTACAGAGAAGCCAGGGAGACACACCAGTGTTTAGATCAGTGTGGAACATAGCATGGTATGATGCAAAGAAAAATTGATTTATTAATGATGAGCTTTCCAAAGAGGGAACCATTTGTTTTTCATGGATATTTGGGGATGTGTTCATGGCCATATGAATTATGACTTGAATAAATAGTAGATGTTCAACAGGAGATTGTGAAGGGAGATGTTTCAGACAAAGGCAACAGGATGAGAAAAGTGTGTAGCTCTTAGCATTTTTAATGCTACTGAAATGTTCATGATTCAGTAGTGCTTCCATGTGCCACATATTCCTATGGGCATACCCATTCTCACTGCAGCTCTTTCTCCCTTCTTTCTCTTATTTCTCAAATTTCAGGTAAATGAGTGCTATGTTATTGTATGTAGAATCTTGAGTTGGCTCTAATTTATTTAAAAAATAATTTGGAAATGCAACACTCGTACCATTGTTAAATAGTGTATGGAACTTCTCACAATATATTTAAATATAACAATGGCTTAGCACTGCAGCTGAGAACTGATTAGTAAGCACAAAGAGGTGTGAGATTGGATACTTTAGTGGGCATTGTCAAGTAATAAAGTGGCAGTGAAGTCTAGATTCTGAGCCATGCAGGTTGGTCTGAGAAGCAACATCAAATTTACTGTTCACTATCTGTATATCCTTGGGCATAGTGGGGATAAAGCCTTGTGACAATTAAATGAGTTGATACAAGTTAAATGCTTACAATGATTCCAGACTCATGGTACACATGCAAAGATTGCTAGCAGCTATTATTCCAGCATACTTGGTGTATAGGCAGGCCTACCTTATTATTTATTGTCCAACTCAGGCCCTTTGAAAGTAAAAGAGTGATCTGTAAGTACAGTAGGATAACAAGCATAAACCAAGACAGCCTGACAAACTGGAATATGTAGTTACCCTAACTATAAGTTATGTTGTAGGAGATGTCGTTGGGAAAGTGAGTTGGGGTCATTTGTTGATTATTTATCTCTTGGAAGCAAAAATTAGGCTTATTCTGTCAAATTTTGATTTTAACATCTGCATGTATACAACCTGGCTAGGCAATAATGATAATCACAATAGTTACTATTTACTGAGTGCCCACTTTGAGGTTTCTAACTTACATTCTCATTGATCCTTACACTGACTCTGCAAGGTGCCTATTATGCCTGTATTCATGCCCAGTGGCTGCCCAAAATAATGACTGCAAACTTTGTGGCTTAAAACAACAGAAGTTTATTCCTCATAGTTCTGGCTAAAGTCTGAAATCAAGGTGTCTATAGGGCCACACTCTCTCTGAAGGTTCTAAAGGGAGAATTTGTTCCTTGCCTTTTCCAGCTTCTGGTGGCCACGTCACTTCAATCTCTGCTTCTGTGGTGATACTGACTCCTTCTCCTCTGCATGTCTCCTCCTCCATGCGTCTGTCTGAAAACTGCCTCTGCTTCTCTCTTATAAGGATGTGTATAATTACATGTAGGACCATTTAGAATATCCAGGATAAGTTCCCCCTTTCAAGATCCTTAAATTAGTTATATCTTTTGCCATATAAGGTAATACTCATTTATTTTCCCTATAAGGTAATATTCACAGCCTTCGGGAATTAGGATGTGGACATACCTTTTTGGGACCCACCATTCAACTCACTTCAATTCACATTTTTACAGGTGAGGAAACTAAATCTCAGAGGAGTTCATTAAATGTCCTGATATTGCGCAAGTAGAAAGAGGATGTACCACAATTAGAAACTATCTCTCTGCTTCAGAGCCCATATTCTTTCTAGCAAATTTACCACAGTGTTGCTTAAATGCCAAATTTATCATTAAAGTTCCGGGTTGGCAGAGGACACCATATTTAAGATCAGAGAACTAAAGTTCATTGTAACAGCACATGCTTACGAAAGGATTATACAAGCCCCAGAAAGGAAGAGGTTAGACTCCCAAATATCACCTTATGTGAAAGCTGCATGAGTTCAGCACAACATCATATGACGCCCTCAAAATGGAAGTATATGGATAAGCATTCTTCTTAAGCCTTTGAAAACGGAAAAATAAAATGGGAAACCTAGAAAAATAATTTATGCAAGTCTTGTGCATTTCTTTAGATTGCCTTAGCATTATAAGTAGCTCACATGGAAATACTACTAGCTGATGCTGCATTAAATATTATCTAATAAAAAATTGTGATGTGTCTTCTTTGTGCTGGTCACTGTGCCAGTGCCAAGGGGAAACAGGATAATGTGGATAATGCAACAGAGTATTATATTATTGGATATTTAGAAGAGATATTATTTAGACGAGATATATTCTTGGGTGCTGGTATATCTCTCATTTTCTTGGAAATATTACTACATATAATTGCTTCAATAAAATCTATATACAGCAAAAAATATTATACACAGTCACTAGTAAACTGCAACAAAGTAGAACTTATATATGGATACTGAATGGTTGGATAGCCTCACTCACTAATTAATGAATTTCCAGACTTAAGAAGCTCCAGATCCCAAAATGTACCTCAACACAATGACAAGTATGACATGCCATGGCCTTTTAAAATTGCTCCCAAACAATCCAAATGTAAACATTCAATTTGTAAGTGCGTGTTCCCTAATGTGGCTTTGAGGTTACTGGCCTACATGGATATTGAACAAGAATAAGTAACATTGAGCTCTATCCAGTGATGGCTCAGTCCTTAGGAGGAAGGGAAGCCATATTCAAAACAAAATTCAACAGATTCAAAACAGATTGACATTTTCACCATCTTCTATTTCACCTGTTGAACAAATTTTATTGTTAAGTTGTTCACAGAATAAGCTATGAATCCTAAGCAAAGAGACAGATGCAATGAGGTTTTGATGTTTTTCATATTTTATTTCAACAAAAGTTTTGAAAACGATCCAAGTCATTTGGTTTATTTATTTTTTCTTGAGTGCTCTGCCTTCCCTTGTCAGCTTGGAAAGTGATAGGGAGAGGGACCCAGAGAAGCAGACCTCAGCACAGGTGCTGATGTTGCTGGGGATGGAAAGATGGTGGACGTGAGGTTGTAGAGAACACCAGTTGATCAGATTTCTTGAGAACAAGAAATAGCTCTCCCTCAAGAGTATCCCAGTGTAAAACAATCAATGCCACTCATAAGAGATACTTGAAAAACAGCCGGAACATGAATTTGGCTCAACCAAAGTGAAAGAAATAAAACCCTTTTCCATGGATATCCCTGGGTCTGCTCAGATTTCACATCCATTCTGTGCTTTCAAAACACTCTCTACTTAGTGTAACATCACTTTTCCCTCTCTATTGTAAATATCTTCTGGTTTGCCTCTCTTTTCTGTTAGACTGTGAGATCCCTAGCATATTGAAAATGGGCTTGGCACATACATGTTTGTTGAATTCAACAATATATCGTTTATTCTCAATAACTAGCATGGGTCCTATGCAAAGAAGGTACACAGTAAATGTCTGCTGAAAGAGCGAGTGAATCAACTAGAAAGATATAGTTAAGAGACTTACAGCATCTAGAGGAAGTCATTTAGGAAAAATTGATAATGGATGATGAAAGAAGAAGCTGTGAACAGAGCGTGATGACCAGGGAAACACGTAGAATACCAGGTTCTGATTGCATTCCTTTTAGCTGCCAATGCACATACATGCACACAGCACGAGCAAGCAGACATTTCCCAGGGGAGGGACATCCAAGTGAAGAAAAAGATAATCCAGGTGGCAAGTAGTGAACATTTCTATTTTATTGGAAATGTATGGGAGTAACCTTGCCTAGGAAGTAGGTTGATCTCTCCTTCAAAGCTTCAGCAAATCTAATCTGAAAAAGCTTGTACAGGATGAAAATATATGATAAAGGGCACATATTCTGAACTTTGAGTCTCTTAAAAGGTATGAATACCAGAATGATGTTTTCTCATTTCTTTTTTTTTTCATTCTGGTCTCAATCCCTAGTAGCTCAAAACACAGAGACTGCACTTGCTAATAACTTCAGTATAGCCCAGTCTTGTGTTGTGGACACAAATTCCATAACTCCACAGGGCTCGGTCAGCAGACCAAGTGGGTGAGCAGAAAAACTCCTGTGGCATCTTCACTTCCTGTCCCTGTGATTCAGGCTGTTAGCTGAACAGCTGCCTTTTTTGTTGTTAAGGTGATTTTCTTGGAGGACTACATCAAATGAATGACTTGTGATGAATGGGCTGGGGAAGATGCTTAAATTGAGTTTCCTGTGCAAGTCCCCTGGTAGCCCACCCATCTCTGTCAGCTTGTTAATATTTTCAGCATGTGGGCAAATAATATTGAAGCTGTGTTTGCAATTGTTGTAAGAAGTCTTAACTCCATATGAGTATCTTCCTGGTGCCAAAGCTCCCCTGTGAATCCATGCGCTTATTCCTGTAAGGTTTCTCTTGCTCAAAAACATTGTATAAAGTCCTATTTTAGACTGGACTTCAGAGTATCTGAAAATCACATCCACATTTTGGATGCAAAAACTAATTTAATGGATTTAAACTGATTGCTGTTGATTACTTGCCTCCCATCCCCTATCATGTGGCAATAACAATCTACTTTTCATTTAGGGAGCCACCCCTTCCCCTGATAGAGTTGTCCCTCAAAAGGCTCCTCCTTCACCTCGGCTGGACAACAGAGTCTTCCCTTCCAGTGACCACAGTGATTTGATAGTGGCCAGGGCTGTGTCACCAACTAGGACCACACACACAAAAATCCCCCAAAATTGTGAGGCAGCACTGGGGTATATAGTCAGAAATGAGCGTTGGAATTGGAATGAGGACAGCAGAATGAATTCAGAAAATTATTTAGAGAGGGACTCATCAATATAAGACCCAGAATCGTATCTGGCCTTCTCTGCCTATGGAAGGATTTGATCCAAGATAAATTGAGCAAATACCGAGAATACTGGCAGACAGCTTTACAACTTATTCTTGATTGATCAATGATTGATAAGAACATTCTGGTAAATGGGATACTCTTGCTCTACCCCTTAGGGAAAAGTTAATTGTCTCTTCGGTTACAAGAAAAGCTAAGACAGTAGGACCCAGTTTATAAAACAGGATTGGAAAGAAATGCACAGTTTGATTTTTTTATTTGCTACAGTTGCTGCTATGTTAACAGTTGCTTCTTGGCAGAGAGTAAGAGATATAAAGAAAGCCTAAGGTTTGTTTCTCTAGAAATCATAGAAGAAACAAAGGAAAGCTGTTTTCATAGACTGGAATGGGTTTGCCAGCAATTATGTTTTGCAAAAAATAAATAATGCATTCTGTTTCCAAAAGGCCCTGACAAACTTTGATAGAAAAAAATCAAATCTTTTCCCTTGGTTTTAGGGTGGCGAGTTTCCTGACAGAAGTAAAGTGAGTCTGTGTTCTCTAAGTAATTTATTAGTGCATCTTGGCACAGCAGCACTAATGGGCTTGCAGCCAGGTATTCTGAGCTGCAGTTTGTCATGTCTGACTCTTTAATTCTTTCAAGCAATTGAAGAAATGGCCTTCTGCAGGCTGTCAGTGACAGATTCTAGCTCACTCACATAGATAAAGCTCAATTAGCTCCTGGAAAAAAACATCTTTTAAAAATGCAATGAGCTGCACCATGAAAGACAGGTAGACAGCCACACCTGAAACAAAATAAAATGTTACTGTTGAGGAAAGAACGTGTCCACAATGAGCAAGCGTGTAGTTGTCTTATTGGACAGCTCACTCCACTGCAAGCAAAGAGGTGATAATTTCTAATTACTTCAAGTGTTAAGATAGATCTTTGCTTTAGATGCACGATAAGGTCAACAATCTTGAAGAGAGCATGTCATTCATTCATTCATTCATTCACTCATGACTAAGACTCATACTCTACAACTTGCAAGGAATTCTAGCCTCGAATAGGGGTATCAAAGCAGCCTCTCACTGAATGAGTGTAGCCATGTTGATTAATCCACACACTATTTGAAATATTGAGGCAACATTCTAAAAATCGGCATATTTTATGCACATGCAAATCCAGGCTTTTGGCATCTCAAAAATAAGGAAACACCTGGTACACTGGATGTTAATGTTTTTGGCATGAAGCCTGAATTATGCTAACTGCTTACTGCAACCCGAAGGAGAGGCACGACTTTCCCTGTTCACCATGCAACCCACAGGCTTGCATCACTCATTTCTGTTACTTGCCTTGCCCTGGTCTAGACAGAAGCCTAATTTAAACTTGTAAATCTATTATCTCCAACAGTGATTCTGAAGGCCTCCTGCATCAAAAAATACTTAAGATTGTATTTGAAATAGAGAATCTTGGGTACTTGCCCTGAAGTAAAACATAAAAGCATATGGATGTAAGGCACGATGGGTCTTATGAAAACTAAAGTTGATGGAACTACTGGTCTCAAAGACCAGAGAGAACTATAGTCTTTAAAAACAGCTGAAAATCTTAATATCATAAATAGACTATGGTTAGGACACAATATAAACATATATTTTTCTCCAAATCACCTTACTCTTAGTGGCTACTTTCTCTCTGAAAACATCAGCTAACTAACATTGCTCCACTGAAAAAAACTCAAATGACTTAGTGTCTATTACTGACTTAGGCCAAAATTTCAATTTGGAGATAAAATCCAGTACATTTTATGAACTAATTTGTTCTCTGTGCAAGTGGATGAACTTGATAGCTATATTTGTTTCTGGCACTGCTAAATCATAATTACAGAACATAGTTCTACAGCTAGAATTCAATTGGAACAGAGCCTAAATGAATTAATAAAAACCCTGTTTTTCTCCCCGCACCCTGCTCCAGGTATTCTTCTCTGACTCCTCACAGATCTTAGCTAGGAAGAGTCTATTATACATATTACAACAATATAATCCCTTACGTTTTTATGGTGTTTTAGAGTTTACAAAGCAGTCTCAGATAGTTTATTCCCTTTGATGCTCTCAGCCACCCTGTGAGATGGGGCAGAGAAGAAATGAAGTCTCAGTTCCTGCTGCAGATGGTTGTAGAGTGAAGAGCAGATTCCCAGGTTTTCCAAATCAAAGTCTGCTTTTGTTCTATTACATTAAACGTACATTTGTAATACAAAATCTGTCACCTATTAAAATATCTTTGCAGGTTTATCCCAACTAGGTGCCATATCTTATAAAAAGAAAGCCCTAGGGATCGTTAACTAAATCTTTCAACTGCCTCAAAGATCCCTTTTATTATTATTATTATTATTGCCCTATCTGCTGATTTCCTACTGGTAGAAAAAGAATCTGGTAAGAAAAAAAATAACAAATTTGACTGATTCTGTGAGATCGCATCATTCAACATTCGTCTAACAACCTCCCACCATTCCAGGAACATACTGCCCTCTTTCAACTGTGCCCTAGCTGTTTGGAGTGATCAGTTTTTGGTGGTCCTGGCTCTTTTGTTGGTTTTTAAGAGTATCTCAATTTTTGAAAATGTATATTTTGGAATCCTGAGTTAATGGTTGAGACGGAGAAGTAAATACTACGCAGCCATAAAAAAGGATGAGTTCATGTCCTTTGTAGTGACATGGCTGAAGCTGGAAACCATCACTCTGAGCAAACTATCGCAAGGACAGAAAACCAAACACCGCATGTTCTCACTCATAGGTGGGAATTGGACAATGAGAATACTTGGACACAAGGCGGGGAACATCACACACTGGGGCCTGTCGTGGGGTGGGGGAATGGGGGAGGGATAGCATTAGGAAAAATACCTAATGTAAATGACGAGCTAATGGGTGCAACAAACCAACACAGCACATGCATACATATGTAACAAAGCTGCATGTTGTTCACATGTACCCTAGAACTTAAAGTATAATAAAAAAAATAACTAAATGAAAACTTGCATGATAGTCATGACAAAACCTTGACTTGAAAACTGCCCAAAGTGCTGACTATGTGGGCTGTAAACATGGCTCACGTAGGCAGCTGAGAATTCATCCTTTGCATCTCTATCCCCCAAACAACACTTGTCCCCAACCAAGTTTTGACTGGTGTCTCAACAATTAAAAGTAAAATGCTCTTCACACATTAGTTTTTGGAGCCAGGCGGTCATGGGCAATGCCTGAATTGCTAGTCACTAACTTTATGACTTCCCATAAGTTAGGTAAACTTAGTTTCATCATCTGTGAAATGATTTGGTGAGAAATGAGATCCCACATGGTAACTATTGAGAATCTGCCTGGCATGTTTTCAATATAAGAACATATTAGCTATCATTCCTATTATTCTAGGAAGGTTAAAATTAGGTTACTCATTTCTGTTAACCTTCTAGCTACATCAAAAGGCTCTGCATCAAAAATACTTAAGATCTTATTTGAAATGGAGAATCTTGGGTCCTTTCCTTGAAGTAAAATATAAAATGAACAGAATGCTGGACAGGTAAGTTAGATGGGTCATAAGGGAGGCAGGTCAAGTCTAGATCCCTGTCAGAGGACACATGAAACTGCATGAAGGAGCGGGCTCCAGGAGAGGTGGGGATATCAGGAGCAGGACAAAGACACAGCAGAGGGATTGAGTGGCACTTAATACATGCAATGTGATAATATGGTGGAAAGAACATAGATTGTGTAGTGAGACTGACCTAAGTTGACATTCTGGCTTCTAACACCTGATATCAATATGATTTCCTGGGGACTCAGTTTCCTTAGTTGTAAAATTTAAATAATTTTGAAGCAGAATTGTTGAGAGAATTTCAAATAGTATATGCAAAGCACCTGTTACATAATGTATACCTAATAAATGGTAACTTTATAAACAGCTGTGTCACCTATTATTTTATATAGCACAATAGGGTGACTATAGTCAATAATAACTTAATTGTACATTGTAAAATAAAGATGTAACTGGATTGTTTGTAGCGTAAAGGATAAATGTTTTGAGGAGATAGATACCCTATTCTCCAGGGTGTGTTTATTTCACGTTGCATGCGTGTATCAAAATATTTTGTGTACCCCATAAATATATATATATATATATATACCTACTTACTAAGTACCCACAAAATTTAAAAATAAAAAAATAATAAAAACGGCTGTGTCTTTGTTTGCGACTTTGTATTGCCAGGCTCCTCTGAATTCCTGTCTCTGAGTCTAAGGATAATCAAATGTACTTTAAATGGAGCCTCGCCTGCCACTGATCCAGTAGAATGAAAGGATGGAAAAATAATTGGGCTCAGCCTTTGAGAGACATGAAGATTTGCTAATGTATGATGATGGTGGTGGTAGTGATAACAGTGGTGATAATTAACATTTATTAAGTGCTTGCTGTGTGTCAGGAAATAATATGATAAACTTATTACTTTTTTGTTTTATTACTGGTCCTCATAACAGTTCTAGACCAATACCTAGACGAAGGCACAGAGAGGGTTCATAAATTGCCCAAGGTCACACAGATTGTTAGTGGCAGATGTAGTGTTCAAAACCAGGTAGCCCAGCTCCAGAGCCTACTCTCTAAACTGTCTTTGATAAGAAATGAATTTTAACCAAAGAAAACTATGCTTTGCTTTATTATGACTTTGGCTGAATTGCTGGGGTCAGCAAACTTTTTGCCAGGGAAAGCTGTTCTGCAGATGTCAAGAGGAAAATGAGGTTATAGATCTCTTCCTGTCTGGGATATATATTTATTGTACAGTAGAATGTAATCTAAATTATTCACAGTTTATATTTTATGGAAATTTTAGCTTCTGTAAATCTGAGTTAGATTTCAGGACTAGAGTTATGTGTAATAAAATTCTTATAAAATCCATTTAAAAGATTAATGATAGATGTAGAAAATTAAATCTGGGTATTTTATTTTCTCCAGTTTCCTGGATCTTCCAATTTCATTTGCAGAGATTGTCTTTGTGACAAAAATCTTCTCTTTAGATTTCCTGGGGAAAGGTAAGAGCAAAGTGGCTTTCTTTGCTGGTCCTGTGGATACAGAACATGCTCTTGAAAAGAAAAGATCAGTTAATTCTCCTTGGAATAGGTTTCTTCTAAGATTTACATTATAAGTTCCCTTTTTTAGACTTGTAATCAAACACCTTAGGAAGAAATCTAGTCTCTACCATTTATTAGTGTAAGGAACATGGCTGTGCTTTGATCAAGGATAGGCCCAGGTAAACATCCAAAGTGACTCCAGTGAGTTTAGAGTACAGGCATATAACTCCACTTGTTATCACAGTCACGTAGCCATAATATGGGAAGGCCATCCCTTGGCCCTACGCCACTATTGTCTGTAAAAGGTATAGTTGCCCTGCTGACACTGTACGGGCACGCTCACACCCAGAGAGAGGGAGAGAGCCAGGGCTGTCCACCTTTGCAGATGGGCAGCGGGGAGCCAGGACACAGCTCCTGCCCAGAGAGAGAAGGAGTTTAGCTGCTGACCCTGAAGGGAGAGACGGCCACAGCTGAGACAAGGCGGACAGCGTGGGAGAACTAAGTGTGAGTTAGCTGCTGACGAGTGAGCTGCTGATGAGAGAGCTGATGAATTAAACCACATTTCATCTGGCTATGGCCCCTTGAGTGTTCTTTCAGCTATACGCTTATCCACCCATTCCCTTCAGACCTGACCCCAAGGAGAACATTTGGTGTAGTCGTGAACCTGACAATTAGCTAAGTGAGTTGATGGAAATCATAAAGCTGTCTCTGAACATCTGTTTCCTCAGTGGCAGAATGAGGTGAATACATCTTATCTCACAGGTGGTCATTAAACTTAAATAAATAAAAATAGAATGGGAATGAAAAAGGTGGGTCGTGAGTTGGATCTTGAAACACAAACAGGCCAATATGTAGAGAAACAAGTCAATACCACCAGTTATGAGTATTGTGGAACCGTGTTATTGGTTGATGGACTTAACATAAGGAGAGTTTGCCAGATAGGACAACTTCCTCCCCTTAATTTTATCAGATCATTCATTAAAAGAAAAGGGACTATTTAACTTTGTATTCATTTCATCTCAATAAGCATTAGTTGGATTCTTCCTCTGTTTTAGGCACTGGGTTAGGTGTTAAAGATCTATGGATGACTAAGGCATGGACCTCCCTGAAGGTGCTCAGAGCCACATCATAGCCCTATGAGAATTAGCTCTAGAGTGACCTTTTTAGTTGAAGAACTGGTTGTCTTTGGTTATGATAAATGGAAACCTGTTGAAGTTTAAAAGAGAAAATATGTTCCTTCAGTACACATTTGTTGGAGTAATAAAGATCTCTCAGCAGTATGTAATTATTCTTAAAAAGGTGTTTTGTTTGCTAATCATGTGTAGGTGAGTTGAGAGATTCAGAGAAAATTTAGCAGGGCAAACGTGGTTGAAAGTGATCAATGAAGAGGTAGTTTGGTACTAAGGATAGAGCTTGTACTTTTGACTCAGACAGGCCTGGATTCAAATCCGGGATCTGCCTTTTATCAAAAGTGTGTCATTGGGCCTGTTATTTTCCTTCCTTGAGATGATTTCTTCATTCGTGCAATGGTGACAATAGTGTTTAGCTTGCAAAATTATTGAAAATTAAATGAGATAGCATATTTGAAAGACAAGTCTACCTTATTTTAAGAAACACAGACTATGATAGTATATGACATACAAGATCTTCAATATGTTATTAAGTGAAACTCTCTTATGTTGATCACTTTACCATCACCTCCATCTTTTGAAAACCTAATCATCCTCAAAAGCTTAGGAAAAACCTCATCTCTATCTTGGCTTTCTCTGGCCAGCTAGTCTAAAAGTGATCTCATCTGTATCTACAGAGTTTTCAATTTTTATCCCACTTATGGGTTTTCTTACGTTCTATCTTAACTATAAGTCATGTGTCTGGTTTTCTCATTGCTTCCACTAGATTGCAAGCTCTCAGGGGACAGGCCTGTGTCTATTCCTCTCTATAGTTGTCCCTTAGCATGATATCTGGTACATGATAGGAAATCAGTGAATGTACAATACATGCAGTGGGGCTATTCATAAAGGAAAGAAGGCTACTAATATCTTGAGCTTCCCCTGTCTCTATTCAACCCCTCTCTTTCCAAAAACCACTTGTGCCCTTTCTTTCATTTGTGGAGAATAAGGCTTTTCTCCTGTGGTTCTGCACTCAGAACCAAAGTTGACTGTCTCAAGGACCAAAATCTATTGATTAACTAATCTCTCGCTATTCTCCCTCCAGATTCCCTTTTTAATCTTTAACCTCTTTATGCCCATCACAGTGCAAAGAACAGTTTAATACACAGAAGATGCTCAATAAATGTTTGCACAATAAGTGAAAATACATCTTGATTTGCCAAAGGATTCCTTCAAATTGTTTGTTCCTTTGGTGCAATGGTTTTCAAAATTTTCAGCTGTGAAAAAACTTTTGCTCAAACACAATCTTACCTGGAGATTGTTTGCAAGTTGTAAAAGTTCAGCTGCTCTAGTCAGAAATGACAGGCAGGGAGAGTGGGGGTCAAAGCTTTGCATGCTCACTTCCTCCCTTTCCCTACTTTTGTGATGGAGTTTCTATGCTGTACACTTGGCATGTCACGGCACATTAAAAATGCAATTTTAGTCATTACATTTATTAAACACAACTTTTGAGGCTCCCATCACTTTCATTTAGACAGCTTGAATATCAGTCTTATTCTCATTTCTAGAGTTGTTCACATTGTTGACATTTACTGCCATGCGTGGGTAGATTTTCTATTTTGGTCAGCTTCAATAGGAAGTATAACAATCAAACACAAAGTGGTGCCTGAACTCTTCTCCTGCTTGGGAAGGGTTGGCAGGGCAACAAAAAGGAGCCATTCTCCTCAGGTCTCAGGATATAAGCAAATAGTGATAAATATATTGTCATACATGAGAAAAGGGAGTCACTTCCATTAATCTCTTGCTTTTGTTGATGGCAGAACACAAAACTCTCTGCACACATTGTTTCCTCAATCCTCAAAGACATTCTATTATGCCAAAAAAAGCCTCATCAAACCTAGCTTTCTTTGCTTCCCTATTAAGCCACCAGTGACTGCATGGGATGAGTTTGGATGATGTTATTTGCTGGTTGCCAGGTTCCCTCCCTCCCCTCTTGTCACCATTTTTCATTTGTTCCCTTGCTTTTTGCTCCTGCTGCATTTCCTTTGTTGGGGTGCCTGATGAGTATTTGCAATCCTTGTGTCAGATTTGCAAGAACCTGGGTTACCTTTAGTGCTTCACAACAATAGAAACCAACAGAAATTCATCTAAATCCCTTCCCAGAAAACTAAGGAGATACATCTTTTGGAAACTCCAGTAGTTTTTCCTCAACTTCCCCCATTGACAGTAGGTTAGTATCAAAAGATGATTTATTAAAACTGAATCAACTTTTTCCAATGCCAACAACAGCTCTTCCAAAATTTAGCAGTTTCCTCAAGCCTCCAACCTTACATCTCCCTGCCTCAGCAGAAAGCCTTGTTGCTACTGCTTCTAAAAAGAAAGAAGAGCAACAGGCAAGAACAAATGCCTGAAAATTTTATCCCTCTCACCTCCAGACTTGTTTGTCTTATTTATATTTACCTTATTTTTCTACTTCTTAGAAGAGAAGGGTTCTCCTGAGTAGCTGGACTATAGGCACATACTACCACACCTGGCTAATTTTTTAATTTTTTTGTAGAGATGGGGTCTCACTATGCCACCCAGGCAGGTGTTGAACTCCTGGGCCCAAGTGGTCTTCCCACCTTTGCCTCCCAAAGTTGTGGGATTATAGGTATAAGCCACGCGCCTGGCCTGTAATTTACATTTTGCCAGCATTCTTTGTTGTTTTCAGTAGGAGAGTCCATCAAGAAATCCAGTCTGAAAATCTGCTGGAAACAAAAGCTTCTTTTTTCTTTTCAGAATACTTTCTACTAGGCTTCTTAATATGGCAAGATGGGATTTTTACCTTGCTCTTTATTGTCCTCTTTATTCCCCCAGGTAGGAGAAGTCTTTGGTCTTTTATAAGACAGAGTGAAGAGACAGAAATTCCGTAAACATATCATATATAAAAATTATGCTTATGCTTTGTGAGGTCCCCAATATGAGCAAGAGAACTGTTTTGCCCTCAGACCTCACACTCTCTTGAGCTCTAATCCTTCATGTTCACTTACCTAATAAACATCTATACGTAATAAGCCCTCAAACTCAACATCTTTCAAATGAAACCATTTTCTCCATCCAATTCTGCTTCTCTTTCTGTATTCTCTACTTCACTTAGGAGTTCTACTGTCTAGCCAATCACTTAACCAGACACCTTATGTTAGCTTTGGGACTCTTTTTTCATGGACTGGTCATTTCCCTGGGGTGTTTTGGGAGTCAGTTGCCATTTTAACGGCACAGTATAGCTGTGTTTCTGTTTTTCTGTTTGGTTTAGCACAGTCTTACTGATTATAGCTCATTGCAGAAGCTGTTGGGCTTCTCAGAAGCCAGCTAAGGGCTTTTGAACTGTAAAGGTCTTCCCATTCACTTTTTCTTTTCTTTTCTTTTTCTTTCTTTCTTTTTTTCATTTCTGTTTTTTTCTGAGACAGAGTCTCACTCTGTCACCCAGGCTGGAGTGTAGCGGCATGATCTCAGCTCACTGCAACCTCCGCCTCCTGGGTTCAAGTGATTCTCCTGCCTCAGCCTCCCAAGTAGCTGGGATTACAGGTGTGCGCCACTATGCCCAGCTATTTTCTTTTGTATTTTTAGTAGAGATCAGGTTTCACCACGTTGGCCAGGCTGGTCTTGAACTCCTGACCTCAAGTGGTCCACCTGCCTCGGCCTCCCAAAGTGCTGGGATTACAGGTGTGAGCCACCATGCCCGGCCACCCCATTCACCTTTTCACCCTTGTAACAGTGCTTCCTAATACATCTGCTGATAAACACTGGCACAACCTATTCATTTGGTCCATACTCAGTTTCCTACCATATGCAGAGGGGCACAGTTATCCAAGAGAGAAATCTGGGTATGTGTATTATTAAGATTCTTATGCTCTGTGTTCATTTTGGTGCCATGCTTTCTCTATGAACTCCAAATAACTTATCTTCAATTTCCCTTTAGCCTTGTTTTCACTACTGTGGGTATCTCACGCTACGAGATTAACTATACTTCACCTGTGCAGCCTTATTTGATCTATTTGCACTGACTTACCATCCCACATCCAGTCAGTCACCAGTCCCTGTCAGTTATTTCCCCTACATGTCTCTCAAATACCTCTTAAATTATGGCATTTCCTTTTCACTTTTATTTATTTCATATGTATATACCCATTGTATCTCTCTTAGATTTCTGTAACACGCTCCCAACTGATCTTTCTTCAGATCTCCACCAAACATCAGATGGTACTTACTGCATCCAAAGTGATCTTTCCAACATGTAATTGGATCACATTCTGTTTAAATCACTGAGGCAGAGCTATTACTGGAGGGTGGTGTCTCCTTCTACAACTGGCATCTGCTGTTGGCATCTGTACACTCTGCTGAAGACAGTTACTGGAAACATCTCAATCCACTCAAGTGGGCTCCATTATCCACTGAAATTCCTGGGTTGCTTTGTGGTTATCAAATGGGCCTTGTATTTGCCATTCCTCAAACCTTTGCCTTAGCATTAAGTTGCAAAAATTGAAGCCAATCTGATTATAGTTGCACTTCTTGTGTGTAGGAACCACCTAGAAGCAGGAATCTGCAGGAGCAACATGTTTTCTCCTTTTTGGAGATACTTCCCTTTACGTAGGACATATTTCTCTCCTCGGCTATAGAATAATATCTAGGCTTATCACTATTAATCCGTTTATCTTAAAAGCAAGTAAATCCTTATTGTCTTTTACTTAGTTTTCTTTACAAGAGTGATGGTCAGGCATGGTTGCTCACATGTGTAATCCTAGCGACTCAGGAGGCTGAAATGGGAGGATGGCTTGAGGCCAGATGTTTAAGACCAGCCTGGGCAACATAGCAAGATCACGTGTCTACAAAAGAATAATAAAAACTTAGCTGGGCTTGGTAGCACATGCCTGTAGTCCTAGCTACTCACTTGAGCTCAGGAATCCAAGGCTGCAGTGAGCTACGATTGTGCCACTGCACTCCAGCACTGTAGCCTGGACGACAGAGTGAGACACTGACTCTTAAAACAGGGCAGAAAAGGTAGAGTGATTTGGAGGAAACTCTCAGAAAACTTTAAGAGAACACTTTTCTTTAGCTAGCCCTTAGCCCAACTACTCCCACTTGCTAGTCTAGTAGAAGCTGAGGATTATCTTTCAAATTCAGTAAACATTTTTATTAATTTCCTTTTTGTTATTCTGAATCTCCTTCAATGTCTGCTTCTGAGAAGTAGTTCGTTGCTTCATGTTGATAACTCAATTTTGTTCTCAATTCAAAGCCTTCCAGTCGATATATTTTAATTTCTTTTTCTCTTTTTCAAACACTTTAGCTAACTGGAGTCTTGTTTTATCCCTAGAGAACAACTTCAGGTGATAGGTAGATGGCATGGATACCTGCTGTTAGCTTTGTATAAGAAGACAACAGAAATGGGATCACTGTGTATGCATGCCCAAGGTGAAATAGATATCAAAGTCAGTTTCAAATATTTCCACCAAGAGGGAGCAGAAGGAGTAGAAAAGCTATCCATACAATAAAAAGAAGAAGAAAAGGAAAGGAAAAAAAAAAAAAAGGAGCACAACAATTTCCGGTAAAGTTAATAGAAATTTTTAAAATGCTTGAGGCCGGGCGCGGTGGCTCACGCCTGTAATCCCAGCACTTTGGGAGGCCGAGGCGGGCGGATCACGAGGTCAGGAGATCGAGACCATCCCGGCTAAAACGGTGAAACCCCGTCTCTACTAAAAATACAAAAAAATTAGCCGGGCGTAGTGGCGGGCGCCTGTAGTCCCAGCTACTTGGGAGGCTGAGGCAGGAGAATGGCGTGAACCCGGGAGGCGGAGCTTGCAGTGAGCCGAGATCCCGCCACTGCACTCCAGCCTGGGCGACAGAGCGAGACTCCGTCTCAAAAAAAAAAAAAAAAAAAAAAAAAATGCTTGAATATATGTTTCTAAAACAACCAACCGAGCCTGTGAATTTAGATAAACATGCTCAGATCTCTTAATGCCCATGCTGGTTGTGCATGTTAGGCAACTTGCTTCCACCTGTAAACCAAAATTGTGAATCTGACCATTTCTTAAAATATCAGATACCTGTTAGGTTAAAAAAAAAAACAACCTCACAAAAATTTTACTTTTGAATTCTAAGCCAGGATGAAATTTAATCGCAGTTATAAATCCTCCAAGCAAGGATTTGTCTGGAATTGCCAACATCACCCCTAGTTCAGCAATGCAAATGACACTGCTATAATATAAGAAATAAGAAAGCTTTCAGTATGTTGTCTAAGAACTTGAGCACATTGAAAGTGATTTATGAGCCAGCAGACTAAACATTTAAATGCCTTTCCTTGCAATGGTATATTTTTCAATACAGCAAGCATTCTCATATATGATTCTACATTCCACGACAGCACTGCTCCTGACAATATAAGCCCTTTCTGATAGGGTAACATTTCCAATCCAGGATTAAAATCTTGGAAACTTGTCAACAGAAAAGGATGATAATATGAGCGAAACTGCAGCTATTAAAGAAAAATGCCTTGCAAGTAATTTCTGTAATGGTCAACTTCTAGTAAATTTCTCTTCCCCCTTCACTGTTAAGTAGAGGGGTTGGCCTGAAGGTCATTTTAATATTTTGGATAAGTACAGTTACAAAGCAGAGATTCATGAACACAGGAAAAAGAGGTCATTTTATACCACAAAATCAACTTTTTACATTGCCTGCCTTATTTTCATTTTCAATGCAGACTATAGGGAATGTTTTCTTTTAATAAATGGTGGTTTAAGCAATGAGTTGACAATAAACTCTTGAACTTCATGAGGCACTAAAAATTAGAGAATCAGAGAGTCTTAAGTTTTCTTGGGTATATTTCCATATTTTTTTCTGTGCTATTTTATTAATCTTCCACTACTGTAGAGACCAGAACTGAATGACCTACTAGGTCTTTTCCATTTTTTTCTTCTTATAATTCTCTTTTTCTGTTTAGGTTGTGGGTGATCTTTCTGATCTTTGGTGTGCCTTTGGCTACACTGTAGGTAAATTGGGGTGATTCTTAGTTTTACCAGCTACACAAGATGAAGTATGAAAAGGCATTTGTAGGCCAAAGAGCATAAGTGACAAAGTTGAAACCATTTGTACATTTTTATTACTGTTATCTTTCTAAAATATTTTATTTCCATCATATACTATAGTAACTAAAGCAAACTTTTAAGTTCTAATTTTTAAGTCTTTCTCTGATTAGACTTCTCTTTGTTTCTTTGATGGTTTTTTTTTCCTGGAATACACAGTATTTCTCTTATCACTGCTTTGAATATTTTAAATCACAAATATACATATACACATGCATACACATACACACACATATATGTAGTCATGCACTGCCTAACAACCTTTCCATGAACGATGAACTGCATATATGACAGTAATCTGATAAGATTATAATGCCATATTTTTACTATACCTTTTCTATGTTTAGATATGTTCAGATACATAAATATTTACCATTGTGTTACAATTGCTTGCAGTATTCAGTACAGTAAGAGGTTTGTAACTTAGGAGCAATAGGCCATACCATATAACCTAGGTGTGTAGTAGGGTATGTACCATCTAGGCTTGTGTAGGTATACTCTATGATATTTGCAGGACAACAAAATCACCTAATAATGCATTTTTCAGAAAGTATTGCCATTGTTAAGCAGTGTATGACTGTATGTACACCCACACACACACACACACACACTCTCTCTCTCTCTCTCTCTGTTTTCTTCCTCAGAACTTAAATTTGCATTTATTTATTAATCAAGTATTATTCAGCATATAATTATTAGCCATCTACTACCCTCTACCAGCCCTATGCTGTGCTCTGGGGGATATAGGTTGTAAATCAGACATGTTCTACAGACATGTAAATCAGATGCTTGTTTCAGGGAGCTCATGATCTGATAAAGGAGCTAGACGTGTCAGTCAGCCATCATACTTCAGAGTGATACTCCTAGAAAGGCGTAAGCAGAGAGAGGAAAGGAGGCTCATAAGAAGATCGTTGAACCCAGTTTCAGGGATAGGGAAGTTTTCTGAAAAATATGGTTCCTGAATCTCAGCATCATCACCACATGGGAACTTTAAAAAATGCAAATTCTCGGGCCCCATCCCAGACCTACTAAATCGAAAACTCTAGGGATGAGTCTTCCATCTGTTTTATAACAAGTCCTCGGGGTGATTCTGATACATGCTCAAGTTTGAGAACCCTTGTCCCAGAGGAAGTAACAACTTTGTAAGAAAATGATGCTCTATTTACCATCAGACTCATTTACATAATTGATACCTCTTGATAATTAAGTCATCTGTTAAGATCTCCCATTGTTTTGTCTCTAAACTGTAAAACGAAAGCAAGAAAGAAAAAGGCAAAAAAAAGAAACAGCTTCTATTTTTAACAAATGTTACTTATACTATGTTTATCCAGAACAAATTTAAATGGCTCAAAGGTAAAAATCAAGCAAATAACTAATTAGAGTTACGCAATGCAAAGAAACACCATTAACAACAACAACAACAGGTTTCTTTTGAAAACTAAATAGGCCGAATTGACCAAATTAATCAATCCTAGAGCACTACTTTGCTTTGTGAATGTGAGAACATCTGTGTCTTAGCACAAAATATTTTGGAGCACTCTTTTGAGATATCTCTGGGAGATGATAGAGCAATCAATTTTCATTCTCATTCCTATGGAGTTAGAGTAGAATTCACTGTCTTCTTACTCCATGCTCTTTTCTTCCTGGGAGTAAAGGCAAATGGAAGAAAAGGAAACATTGCTAAACAATTAGAGCTGAACTAATTAAATGATCTTTTAAATTATAGTTCTCCATTAGAATTAACACTTGATAGTCATTTTTTATGAGTATATACATATTTTTATGTATAAGAATGAACTATATAAGATTACTGTGAATTGTTTTATAAAGAATTCTTTGAAAATTAAATTGGTATCTTAAAAATCGAAATCCAAAAGTGTTCATTATACAGTAGCAATATGAGATTGTTTCAAAATTTTCATAAACATTATGCTATATTTTTATCTTACTAAAATATTATTTATAATCTAATCTACTATTCTAATAATTTAGATATGTCATGTTACAAATCATTCCATGAAATATCATTACTTAGCTAGTGGGTCTAAGTTCTGTACATTAGAGCTTCCAAACATCTCTCATCATTAAAAATACATTCATGTACATACAACAATATTAATAATATTCTTAATCTGTTCTTCTCATCCTGATTTATTTTAAGCTCCTATTGTCTCTTGGGCTTTTTCAATATTTGCTAACTTGCTCCCAGCCCTCTTCTTTCCCTCCCACCGGATTTATTTCTCTAGCATGCATATAAATAATATTATTCCCATAATTAAAATGTTTAAGTGGCCCTTTCTGGAATAAAGGCTTTCATAGTCTAATCTTTGTCAATTTGTTGTTTTCATCTTCTCATAGTCCCGGTTTACCTATTTCTTAAAGCTATATACAATCATTTGCAATTTTTTGGATTTGCTTACTCTTTTCTTGGTTCTGTGAGTTTGAGGCACAGTTTCCTTTATCTGAAATTCCCTCCTCTCCCTGGAATGCCTAAATAACTCATCATTCAACAGTAGGCAGCATCTCTTTTGCGAAGGTGTCCTACTTTCTCCAGTAAACTGGACCCTTCATATTAGTCTCTTTACAGTTTTAAGTTTCATATTTGTCTCTGTACAGTTTTAAGGTTATGAGTCATGGGTTCTCCGCTCACTTTATATTTGTGTTTCAGTCCACATTTCAGAATCTCTGTTTACAGGAAACCCACTACCTTTCAAGGTAGCCCATCTGGAACTCCTGCTCTGTCCCATATCTCCTTCTTGGAGGTTGTTAATGTAGTCATGGGTTCTCTCTTTTCAATGCTTCATTCTGTCTTCTCCATATGATTTTATTGATATCTCGTCATCCTCTTGATCAGTCTTTTTGGGATACTATCTAGAGCAGTGGTCCCTAACCTTTTTGGCACTAAATACTGGTTTCATGGAGGACAATTTTTCCATGAACAGTGGTGGGGGGGTGGGGATGGTTTCAGGATGAAACTGTTCTATCTCAGATCATTAGGCATAGATTCTCATATGGAGCATGAAACCTAGATTCCTTGCATGGGCAGTTACACAATAGGGTTTGCGTTTCTGTGAGGATCTATGCCACTGCTGATCTGACAGGAGGTGGAGCTCAGTTGGTAATGCTCCCTTGCCTACCACTCACCTCCTACTGTGCATCCTGGTTCCTAACAGGACATGGACAGGTACCAGTCCATGAGTCTCTCAATGTATGGAGTCCAAAAGTGAACACACGCTATATAGAGAAGAACAGAAGCACTGCTTGAATTAATTTTAGACACTGTACTTGTCTGACATTATCTCAGGCTTACATTGAGGTTTTTGAAAGCAAAATCACACAAATGGATCATTTGAAGGCTGCTGTTGGCAAGTCTGGATTCCTTCATTCTATATCTGTACAAATAAATCCCTAGACTTCAGCACAGTGGCTAACATAAGAGATAAAAATATGTTAATTGAATTGAAATGTTTCATTGAATCATAATGACTCATTAATTCTTTTGTATACTAATATTCCATTGGCTATAAGTCTGCAATTATAACATCATTTAGGCTGCTTTTCCCCATCTTGCCCTCAAGAGTGTCATGAGAGAACTTGTCAAAAGGTTTTCTGAAATCTAGATACACTATTTCTACTCTATTTCTCTGATCTCCCAGTGCAGTAACTCTGTCAGTAGGAAATGAAGCTAATCTGACAGGACTATTCTAGTGAGCTCACGTTGAGTTTACCATTTTCTTTTCTAAGTACTCACAAGCCATTGTTTAAAAAAAAAAATCATTCAAGAATCTTGCCCAGATCAATGTCAAGCTCAGTGCTCTGTAGTTCACAAACATAAATTCTTCCTTTTTTAATAATTCCAAATGACATTTGCTTGTATCCAATTTTCCAGAAACTCTTTTCCACTGTGGGGTTCCTTCAGTTTGATGACAGCAATTCAGCCATAGGTACAAATTCTCTGAGTACATTGAGACACACTCCTCAGGCAAGAGACGAGAATTCATTTGGAGCAGCTCTTTTTAATCTCTTCACCTATTTAAGAATAAATTTATCATTGATGTGAGAAGGGAATAGAAAATTGATTAGCCCAAACTATAGCTGTGGTCCTGTTTGGCTTGATGACCAATATCAAAGCGAATCAAGTTAAGTGAATAATGTGTTATTAATGGTTTGGAAGCATATGCAGAGCCGTGCTAGGTGCTTAGAGGATATAATAAAAATAGAAGTAAGGATAGAATCCCACACTTTTAACTCTGATAGTCAAGTTGGGGAAAGTAAAACTTGTAATGCTCTAACCCATATAGTTCAATTTGGGAGCAAAGCCGAGCTTCAAAGAACAAAATCCTTGCCATCAATAGAAATTTAAAAATAAGTTCTCTACTTATATTTTTTGGACACTATCAAGTATACCCAGAGACTCTAGAAGTACTCCTTACAATTTCCTTTATTCCACTCCTTTCACGTTACAACTGATCCCACTCCCATCTCTTCAGCCTCTGAAATTCTCCTCTTGCTTCCCAAATCATCTCTACGCTCCTCTTGTGTGTCTTCTCATTTCTTTTCTTTCTGACCATGCATCTCGAAAGCCTTCAAACTGGTCTGCAAGATGTCTCCTATAGGAGGGATGGGTCAGGGAAGTTACTGAAGGAGGCTGAGCCAAATTTCTTATTAGTAGCATAGAAAGAATACTGAGAACACCCATAGGTTAATGCTTTTTATTCTGCCATAATTTTACTTAATACAAATATGGCATCAGATAATATAAAGAGTGGACTATGTGGCAGACAGTAGTTTGTAGAGAAATGAAACATCAACCCACCTTCAATAAATCAAGGCATTTTGCATAGAGGATTTTGAACTGGCAGAGAAGGGAGAAAGTATATTAAAGATGTTTTGAGGGTTGCAATATAGCTATAGTGTCTGCTGGCTGCTTCAGCGACTAGAGATTGTTAGCAAATTCTAAGACTGAGTATAAGCTAAGATAAACTCTCATTTGTGGCAAAATCAGTATGTGAGTTGAAATATTGTATGACATTAGAAGAAGGAAGGGGTAATTGTCTGCTTCTAGGCCAGCCTCTTGTGTTACCAAGATTGATGTGAGGGGATAAAGTGGGACTGGAAAGCAGGCAGCAGGGAAAGTGGCTGACAGAAACAGTGCCTTGGAGATGGGGGTCTTTCCACATGTCATCTGCTATGTTAAACGGTTCCCATTTATTGAACACTTACTTTGTGCCACAAATGCTGCTAGGTAGTTTAGATACCTCAACTTCATTATTCCTCCATGATCCTGTAAAATAGATAGTATGGTTGTCATTTTACTGGTAAAAAAAACTGAGCTCCGAGAGGTGAAGTCATTTGCTGAAGGTTCATATTACTGCTGAATGTCAGAGTCAGGATTTAAACTCAGACAAATCTGATTTCAAAAGTATTCCCTTTCTATTGAATGATGTTGTCTAGATGAAAATTAATCAAGATTCAAAAAGACTTTTCCTTTTGTCCTTATAAAATATCTTGTAATCAAAAGGCAAGGCTGGATTTTTTGCCACCTTGTCAGTAGATTGCCATGTTCTGCTGGTTTCATTAAATATATTTTTCCTTCTTATGTTATAGAATAAGTGTAGTATAACTATTCCAATGAAGTAATGTTACTGCAGTACCACGTACAGATGAAATATATTTTCACATGAACATTCTATTTTGGAGTTAACATTATCAGAAAAGTGAAATCTGCAAAGATGATAACTCTGCTATCTGATTGTTTACTGCATTAGAGCAATGCTTGGTGAATGCCTGGCCCTTGGCTGAACGGAGCTTTCTGGTAATTAATGCAACAGGTGCTACAAAATGAGGCCCATGAACTAAAGGCTGATGTTAGTGCAGAGAATAAAATGTGAAGCAATAGAAATCTCAGGAGAGGACATGGTATATAGGGATATAGTGTTCCTGCAAGCAACAGATGCATAATGCTGAGCAAGGGCTCTTCTAAAATGCCCTTGCCGTTAATCCAATCAGAACCCTGAACTCTAAATTAAAGCAGAAAAAGAACAGCAGAAAGACAAAGTACCCATGACCTAGAGCAGAAAGGTCCTGAGAGAGAACACTGCAGGAGCAATAAGCATCTTTTTCTTTTTGTTTCAACTTGCTGTCATTTCTTTACAGGGATTTAGAATGCGGGTTGGAATAACGAGTAAAAAAATGCAGATGTGTGAGTGGGGAATCAGATTTTGGAAGGGAAATGAACCGGAAACAACTTGCAATGCTGGGATATTCCTGTGTAGACATAAAAGAGGTGTGTGTACATGTGCATGCATGTGTGTTCATGTGTGTGTGTGTGCATTTACAATGTTTTCTTGTATTCTGCTTTACTCAAAGTCTATACATCTAAAAGGTACCCTCACAGCAACGTCTATACTGGTGTTTGGATAGGCTCAAAACCAAGCAGGACGGTGTATAAATGATTGCTTCATCTTTCTGTACACTGCATCCTTTCCTCAAATCCTGTAGCTCCATCTTTTCTTTTGGTTGGTTCTTCTTCAGGTATGGTCTCCTACCAGCAGCAAGTTAACAAGGAGTGTCCCTGGTGATCTTTATCAGATGATCTGTAACAGGAGAGTCTCAATATTTAGTTACTGAATAAATGGATATAAGAATCAGGAATTGTGGGTTTTGTACCTACCTCTATGTCTAGTGGGAGATTGTGAGCAATAGAGCAGATGTTTGAAAATGTGGGATCTGTGTCAAGGCTGACTGGCATGGATGCTTCCTAATGGTAGGACCTTAGACAAGTCCTGTGAGACCTCTGAACTGTTAGTTTTCTTCTTTATAAAGTGTGGGCAATAATAATGCCAATTTAATAAGGAAGTTGGTAGTACTAAGATAAAGAGACTATGATGGTTAATAATCTGTCTCAATTTGACTAGGCTATGGCATCTAGTGATTTTGTAAAAAACCAGTCTAGATGTTGCTGAGAAGGTATTTTTCAGATGTGTAGACTTTAAACAAAGCAGATTACCATAATGTAGGTGGGCCTCATCCAATCAGGTGAAGGCCTTAAGAGCAAAGACTGAGGCTTCCTGAAGAAAGAGCAATTCTTTCTTAATACTGCAACATAGAAACCCTGCCTGAGTTTCCAATCTGAAGATTTCAGGCTCAAGAGTGCGACATTAACTCTTACCTTAATTTTTAGCCTGCCAGCCCGCTCGACAGATTTCAGATTTACCAATAACTTAGGTGCCGATTCCTTAAACACTTTTCTCTGTATCTCTCTCTCTCTCTAACATATATACACACATAGCTTATATATACATACACATATATAATACACACACACACACACACACACACACATATATATATATAGAGAGAGAGAGAGAGAGATTCTATACGCACACATTTCTCTGAAGAACCCTGACTACGCAGGATATAAAGCACTTGGCACACTTCTTCCTGGCACACAGGCATCCATTTTATGAGAAACTGTTATTATTAAGCTTCCTGAATCTAAGAGTCCTCATTTACACAATAAGGGGTTGAGCCAGTAATCTCTGGGATATGATCCAACTCTAACATTCTAATACTCAAAAAACTTAATGTATTAGAGTCCTACATCATAAAAGTTCACCTTACATGTAGGAAAAACAAATTAAAGTGCCTAAACAAATTTCTGACATAATTGCAGTATTATTTATGCATTACTAATGTTTTTAAGTTTCATAGTGTCCTTAAAAGTATGTTCAATGTGTTCTTGTTAAAATGTTGAATATAAAAATAAACTTTGTAATGTCCCCAAAATTTCCACATCAGAGAGAACTGTGTTCTTATCCTTGTTATATCATAGGCTGGGATTTGTTGTCCCAGTGGGAAAATTCAGGTAAAGAAGAGGTTGGGAAGGAAGTCTCATTTTCTGGGAACCTTAGTACTGTGTGCCAGTAGATTTCACAGCGGAAAAGTGAAATGAGAGGTGGGAATTATTAAGGTAAAAGCGTGGTTTTGATTTCTGAGTTTGTTTTATTTATTTTATTTATTCTTTCCTTTAAAGGAAAACCAACAGAACCTTTGTTTTTAAAAATAATGCAAGTTTTCATTTCTGAGAGATCCTATTTATATCAGCACACTCCTCTCTCCCCAACTAAAGATTTATTCTCTTATGTTCTCCTTTTTCTGCTTTATTAATAGAATTTGTTATCTCCTGACATATTTGTCATTTTGTTTTTTGTTTGTTATTCCCACTAGAAGATAAGATCCATGAGAGCAGATATTTTGTCTGCTATATTCAGTACTATATCCTGAGAGTTTATAACTATATACAGTAGACACTCAATAAATATTTGTTGAATATGAAAAATAGCTGGAAACAAATATCCTATTCTCTGCCACTCTGACAATAATTATTGTTATTCACTGACAGTAATCTTCATGGTTGCATTATTTGTTCTTTTACTTTACAAGGCAGAGGTCTTGGTGGAGAATATGGCATATCTTTGTTCATCTTCCCTTAAAAGACATTTAAGAACTTCCCAGTTGCAAATCTTTAGGGAAAGGTGAATAGCTTTATTTCCAGGTTAAAACTATAGTTATGATAAAGTTGTTCCTGTTGAATCTTCTTGTGATAAGCTGTAACAATTTCAGTAATCACAACCTGAAGTGATTGGACGGTCATGGGATTTGGAATTAGATGACCCAGGCTTTGGTTACTTCCTCAGTAAACCTTCAACATGTCTCTTTTTGTCTGTATTTTCCCATGCACGTCATAGAGTTGGTTTTAAATGAGATAGGTTTATAAAAAAATCTCAGTAAATGTTAAACTCACTACACAAGTGTTCTTTACTATATACAAGAACACAAATATTGCAAAAGGAAAGGGAAAGTTAAATTTTCTGAACATCGATTACATGCTTACATGTTATTTAACTTAGCCCTGGCATCAGTCTTGCAAGGTTTGCATTATCATACTCATTTTAAAGATATGGGAACTTAAGCTCAGAGACGTTACTTAAGTGTTCCAAGGTTAGGTGGCTCAGTTGGGATTTTGTTGAAGGTTTGAAGACTTCTGGGCTAGTGCTCTTTTCATTATGTCATACTGGCAAACAGAGGGAGAGTCATGGCTGGCTTTAAGGCACCTCTGTGTGAATTAGAGAAAGGTGCCTTTTCTGGGTGGCTGCAGTGCTCCAAGTATAAGGCTTGGTCAGCATTGGAAGCTTCCCAGGGAAGGAACAGTTGTGCCCCTCTGTGGGTGGATATGGCAACACACCACAGGAAGGGATTTGGCAAGCCGAGCATGAGCTACTTTGAGCCCTACTTTCCTCTCATCTGCAGAACTGTGAGTGCAGCTCTCTGCAAGGAAACATTTCCTTCGACAACCTCAAATAGCTCAGTAAAAGCTTACACAAAGTTATTGTCATATTCATGAACATCATATTGTGGGAAAGGACGATGTGGCAGAGCTCAAAGCTGCATGTACCATGTTTCAGAGGAGAGTAGTTGGAATTGTTCCTCTATTCTTTATTCAGGTAGAAACTTCTGAAAAGGCAGCAGGAAGAAGTGATGTGCAGGAAGAAGTGATGTGCAGGAAGAAGAGCTGTCATTTCTGGTCTTTGTGACCTCAGTGATGAGAAGCATTTTGGTTATTCCTCCCTGATCACAGATCTTCAAATCATCATAGCCTTCAGACCAATTAAGACTGTGTAGAATTCCCCAGGCCTTACTGGAATGTTTGGGAACTTGTCTCATCGCAAACAATGACCCTGCAGAAGTGCCCCAATTTATCTGTAGCAAGTGCTGCAATGGCTAGGCATGTTAGGAAGACAAAAAAAAAATAGCTTTGCACTGACATATGTTGCTTTGTGTGTGTGTGTGAATATATGTATATATGTGTGTATATATATACACACATATATACACACATATATACATATATACACACATATACACATATATACACATATATATATACACATATATACATATATACGCATATATACATCTATATACACACATATATACATCTATATACACATATATACATCTATATACACACACATATATACATATATATACACATATATATGTATATATGTATTTGTTTTAGGCATTGGCTGAGTAATTCAAAAGAGTGATTGAAGACTGGAAAGTACCTTAACAGATAACTTGGGAGATTTCTAATGCCTGGAGGTAAGTAATCACTATGAAACATGCTCCTTAGCATGCAGGATGCAGTTGTTTTCTTTTTTTAATTCCACCTGGCTGCAGGCTGCATGCCATGGTTACCGAAGGACATTTTTCTCCCCTTGACTGCCCAGTGGTGGAGAATGGGTCACTGGGTGGGGTATGCATATTATCTTCCACATTCTATTTTCAGATGTCTACCTATGAGGACCTTCATTCTATAGGAGTGCTTCTAGCAACAGGACACTGTTAATAATTGAGAATTGGTGCTATTAATGTCCAGACCATTCTTCTTGTTTTTTTTTTTTTTTTTGGATTACAGGCATGAGCCACCACGCCTGGTCCCAGCCCATTCCATTCTGATAAAATGTGAAGATGGTTCCCAATCTAGAATATTTGCTGTTCCAGCTTTTCTAAGAATATTTGTTACCACCATTCCTTCACTGAACTCCTCTAAAACAACCACAAAAGATTTCATGTTTTTTATTATTATGATTAATGGCAGATTTGTTAACAAAAATAGGGGATTTGGAGAGTGCTGGTTTGTGGGGCAAGTGTTTCTTTTAAAAACGATTTTTAAAGTTTTAAGTTGTTACAGAAGAATATTTAAAATGTGTATGAGGTATAAAGAATAATGACAGAATGAACGACTCTATACCAATTACATAGTCTAAGGAAAGGCATGTTACCATTATTTTTGAGGCTTCCTGAATGCCTCCCTCCATTTATCCCATGCCTTCTTTTTCCCTTGTTTTATTTTATTGTATTTTTAAATTGACACATAAAAATTGTATATATTTATTTTGTACAGCATGATGTTTTGAAATGTGTATACATTGTGGAATGGCTCATTCAAGCTAGTTAGCAAGTATATTACCTCACATACTTACCTTTTTTTACGGTGAGAACACTTAAAATCTACTGTCAGCAATTTTCATAATACAGTGATATGAACTATAGTCACCATGTTGTAAGATAGATCTCTTGAACTTATTCTACCTATCTAACTGAAATTTTGCATCCTTTGACCAATATCTCCCTAACTCCCTCCACCCTGGTAACCACGATTCTACTCTGTACTTCCATGATTTCAACTTTTTTAGACTCCACGTGTAAGTGAGCTCATGTGGTATTTGTGTTTCTATGTCTGTTTTATTTCATTTAACCTAACGTCCTCCAGGTTCATCCAACTGAATATAGGAATTATTCTTTAGTAGTTTGATTTTATTATTATTTTGCAGAGCAGCAAGTTAATCTTTTTCTGTAATTAATTAATTTTTACTGTGTAGAGTATGCCACAATTTATTTATCCATATGAATTGGTGGCCGTTTAGGTTGTTTTCAGTGTTTTGCTATTTTAAACAGCGTCGCAATGAACATACTTGTTTACAGCCCTAGAGATCATGTCCTGGAATTTCTCTGGGTTACAGACCCAGAAGTGCACAGAGTTTGTGCATACTTCATCTAGATTATACCTAATTAGTTGCTAGGGTGGTATTTACTAACTGACATTCCATATGTTGTTTATACATCGTGTTCAGACTTTTGTCAACCCTGGATCTGTCCGACTTTTTTCAATCTTTCCCAATCTTAAGAATCTTATACATTCTCATACATTGTGAAATATCATTTTAGTTATTCTTCCATCTTAAATATATATATATATATATATATATATATATATATATATATATATATATATACACACACTTTTTTTTTTTTTTTTTTAAACGGAGTCTCGCTCTGTCGCCCAGGCTGGACTGCAGTGGCACCATCTCGGCTCACTGCAAGCTCCGCCTCCCAGGTTCACGCCATTCTCCTGCCTCAGCCTCCTGAGTAGCTGGGACTACAGGCGCCCGCCACCATGCCCGGCTAATTTTTTTGTATTTTTAGTAGAGATGGGGTTTCACCGTGTTAGCTAGGATGGTCTCAATCTCCTGACCTCGTGATCCGCCCACCTCGGCCTACCAAAGTCTATATTTTTATAATAAATATTCCTGTCCGTATTTATTATTATTTTTTTTTTGAGACGGAGTCTCACTCTGTTGCACAGGCTGGAGTGCAGTGGCGCGATCTCAGCTCACTGCAACCTCTGCCTCCCAGGTTCAAGTGATTCTCCTGTCTCAGTCCTGTCCATATTTTTATATGCAGTACATATTTTTATTTTTTATTTATTTTTGAAGAGAAAACTACCCAAGTAAAAGAAGTAAATTTGCACTGGAACAATGTAAACAATTCAGAAATGGAAGAATAAAGTTTTCTTTTTTTCCACATCTTCCCTTCTTCTCCAACCTCACTCTACTTCTTTTTATTTGACCACTTGAAAATTTTAGAAAATTGATACATAAAAATTGTATATTTTTGAGTTACATATGATATTTTGATACATGCATACAATGTGTAATGATCAAGTCAGGATATTCAGGATATTCATCACCTCAAATATTTATCATTTCTTTGGGATGGGAGCATCCCAAATCTTCTCTGTTAGCTATTTTGAAATATGCAATACTTTGTTGTTAATTATTGTCACCCTACTCTGCTATCGAACACTAGTAATTATTCCTTCTATCTAACTGTATGTTTATAACCACTAACCAATCTCACTTTATCCCCTGTGCTCCCTGCACAGTAACCACCTGGTAACCATCATTCTACTCTCTACCTCCATGACATCAACTTTTTTAATTTAATAGCTTCTACCTATGAGTGGTAACATGTGATATTTCTGTGCTTGGCTTATTTCACTTAACATAATGTCCTCCAGATGTATCCATGTTGCTGCAAATGACAGAATTTCATTCTTTTTATGGCTAATATTCCATGGTGTATATATACTACATTTTCTTTATCCATTCCTCCACTGATGGACACTTACGTTAATTCTATATTTTGGCTATTGTGAATATTATTGTAATAAATATGAAAGTACAGAAATCTCTTTGATATACTATATATAAAAGTTTTGGGTATACATCCAGCAGTGAGATTGCTGAATCCTATGGTGGTTCTATTTTTACTTTTTCGAGAACCTCTGCACTGTTTTCCATAGTGGTTATACTAATTTACATCCCCACCAACAGTATACTGGTCTTCCTCTTTCTCTGCATTGCAGCCAGCGTTTGTTATTTTTTGGTCTTTTTCATAATATAATCGGCATTTTAACTGGGGTGAGATGATATTGCATTGTGCTTTTGATTTGCATTTCCCTGATGATTAGTAGTGTTTAGCATTTTTTTCATATACCTGTTGTTCTTTGTTTAAGTTATTTCGTGAAATGTCTATTCAGATAATTTGCCCACTTTTAAATCAAATTATTTGGCTTTTCCCTACTGGGTTGTTTGAGTTCTCTATACATTTTAGTTATTAATCACTTGCCAGATGATTCTCTTTTCACTCTGTTGACTGTTTCCTATACAAATGGTATAACCCATTTGTCTATTTTTCCTTTTGTTGCCTATGCTTTAGAGGTCTTACCAAAAAAAAAAAAAAAAAGTTTGCCTAGACTAATATCTTTAAACCTTTCACTAATGTATGCCTCTAGCAGTTTCACAGTTTCAGGGCTTAGATTGAAGTCTTTAATCCATTTTGATTTGATTTTTGTATATGGTGAGGTAGGGGCCTTATTTCATTCTTCTGCATATGGATATCCAGTTTTCCCAGCATCATTTATTGCAAAGATTGTCTTTCCCACAGTGTATGTTCTTGGCATATTGTAGGAAATGTGTTGAATGTATGTACATGGATTTATTTCTGGGTTCTCTATTTTGTTCCATTGGCCTATGCATCTGTTTTTATGACCGTGCCATGTTGTTTTGATTACTATAGCTTTGTAGCATATTTTGAAGTCAGGTAGTGTGATGCCTCCAGTTTCCCCCCTGGCCTCAGGATTGCCTTGGCAATTTGGTGTCTTTTGTGATTCCATAAATTTTATCATTGTTTTTTCTAGTTATGTGAAGAATGTCATTGGTATTTTTGATAGGAATTACATTTAATCTGTAGATCTCTTTGTGTTGTATAGACATTTTAACAATGTTAATTCTTCCAATCCATGAGCATGGGATATATTTCCATTTTTGGTGTCCTCTCCAATTTCTATCATCAGTGTTTTATAGTTTTCATTGTATAGGTTTTTCACTCTTTTGGTTAAAAAAGAAAGTATTCCTAGGTATTTTTTTTTGATAGTGCTGTAAATGGAATTACTTTATTGATTTATTTTTCAGATTGTTCAATGTTGATATATATAAATGCTACTGATTTTTATATGTTGATTTTGTATCTTGCAACTTTACTGAATTCATTTATCAGTTATAACAGCTTTTTGGTGGAGTCCTTAGATTTTTCTAAATGTAGAATAATATTGTCAGCAAACAAGAATAATTTGACTTCTTTCTTTCTTTCTAATTTGGAAGTTCTTTATTTCTTTCTCTTGCCTAATTGCTTGGCTAGACTTCCAGCACTACGTTGAATAACAGTAGTATAAGTGGGCATCCTTGTCTTGTTCCAGATATTAGAGAAAAGGTTTCCAATTTTTTTTCCATTCAATATGATGTTAGCTGTGTGTTTGTCACATATAGTTTTCATTATTTTGAAGTATATTCCTTCTTTACTGAGTTTTTTGAGAGTTTTTTTAATCATGAAAGGATGTTTAATTTTTTTAAATACTTCTCAGCATCTTTTGAAATGATTATATGGTTTTTATTATTGCTTCCATTAATGTAATATATTGTGTTTGTTCAATTGTGTATGTTGAACCATCCTTCCATCCCTGGAGTAAAGTCCATTGGATTGTGATGTATTATCTTTCTGGTGTGCTGTTGGATTTTCTTGCTAGTCTTTTATTGAGAATTTTTGCATCTATGTTCATCAGGGATATTGGCTTGCAGTTTTCTTTCTTTCTTTTTTTTTTGTTGTGTCCTTGTCTGGTATTGGTATTAGGGTAATTCTGGCCTTGTAGAATGAGTTTGGAAGTATTCACTTCTCTTCAATTTTTTGAATAGCTTGAGTAAAATTTTTATTTGTTTTATCATTTACATTATTTTAATTTGTGTTTCCTTGATTATATAAGATGAAAGCATTTACAGTATATATTTATTGGGCATTTTCATTTTCTTTTCTGTGATATATTTTACCTAAATTTTAATTTTGCTTCTTTAGGGAATTCTTTCTTTATTCTGAATACTAATCCTTTTTTAGTTATATTTGCTGCAAATGTCTTCTCCAATTGGCAGCTTATTAGCTTTTTTTTAAAAAAAAAAACTTAAAATGTGTTTTGGGAAAATTATTGTTCTGAATTTAAAATAGTCAAGCTTATTAATTTTTCCCTTATTAATGGTTTGCATTTTTAGAGTCTTCCTTAAGACTTTTTTTTTTTCTAACACAACAGTCTTAAAAATTCTCCTGCGTTTTCTTTCAGAAGTTTGGCCAACATACCTTTCATATTTAAGTATGCTTGGTGTTGATTTTTGAGTGCATAATGAGATCAGTATACAAGTTTTTTTATGTATATCCAATTGTCGGAAAACCTCTGAAAAGCTCATTACCTGTCTTCTAATCTACATTGCTCACTATCAAAAAAGAAGTTATTCTATATGTGTGATTGTGTTTCTGGACTATTCTTTTTCATTGATCAGTTTGTCTAAACGTATGTCAATCTCATACCGTCTTAATTATATAGTTAGTTTTGATATCTGGTAGTTCCTTGTCAGGAGTTTTTCTTTGCTTTTCCATATAAATTTTAGTGTTAACTTTTCAATGTCTACCCAAAAACATGGTATTTTTTATAAGAATTTCTTTGGATCTATAGATAAATTCTGGGAGAATTGACATCATTATAATATTCAGTTTTTAAATCAGTAAAAATAATATACCTCTCTATTTTAGTTCTTCTTTAATGTGATTTAATAAAGTTTTATAATCTTCTCCAGGAAGATCTTATACTTTCTTCATTAGAGTTATTAATATTTTTTCAAATACATTTTTATCTTATTGAAGTAGTATCTTTTAAAACACTACATTTGAAAACTTCTTGTAGATGAAATAGATTCAATTTCATTTTGTACATTGATTCTGATTGCAGCAAACTTGCTATACACTTTTACCATTGTGATTTCAATATGAAAATAACAGTTTGTTTTCTTTTTTCAACTCTTATATCTTTATTTACTATAATGCACTGTCTAGAACATTGTGTATAATAATGAACAACAATCTTTCTGATCATCACAGCGAAATTTTCACTATTTTGTCATTCAGGATAATGTGTACTTTCAGTATTTTGCAGATAATCGAATTATGAATCAATGTTGAATTGTATTCACTGCATTTTCTTTATCTACTGAGATAATGACTTACCACCTTTCAACTTTTAAAGTTTACAGTGAATTACATTAATTGATGTTCTAATGTTAAAATAACATTAATATTGCTGAGATAAAGTGAACTTGGTTAGAATATATTATCTTATTTACACACCGATGGATTTGGCTTGCTGATATTTTATTTAGAATTTTTTTATTTAGGTGCATGAATGGCATTTATCTAGAATTTTATTGCCTTCTATGGTTCTTGTCAAATTTCACTATCCACTTTATGTCAGCTTCATAAAATGAGTTAGGTAATATGCTTTCTTTTACCTACTCTGAGTTTTTTAAAGAATAATTAAAATTTCTTGATTGTTTTGTATAAGCCATGGGCAAATTTGTCTGATGCTGATGTTTTCTTTGTGGTAAGAGTTTAAGGTACTGTTTCAATTACTTTTAATGGCTATAGGGTTGCTCAGGTTTTTTGTTCATTTCTTCTTCAATCAGTTTTGGTATGGTATATTTTCTTGGAATTTCTCTGTCTCTTCAAAATTTTTGTATTTATTGACATAAGTTGTTCATATTATTCTTTTAATGTCTTTTAAATCTGTGTAGCATCTGTAGTTTTTTATTTATGTGTTCATAATATGGCTTATTTGTACATTATCTCTTTTTATCTTGATTAAAAGTTGGTCTATTGTACTAATCTTTTAAGTTAATAGCTTTTCAGTTTATTCTTTTTTATCTTGTTTATTTCTACTCTTATCTGTATTATTTCCTACTTTCTACTGTATTTGGCTTGATCTGATTTCTCTCCCTAACTTCTTATGTTGATTTCTTAGGTCATTTGTTAATAAGTTTCCTTCTTTTATAGTATACATATTTAAATGCATATTTTTCTATCTTAGTATCCTATAACTGTATCCCAAAAGTTTTGAAACATAATATTTTTATTACCATTTGGTATTAACATTATTTGATTGAAGCAATAATTTCTTCTGTGACTCATGAGTTAATAAGAAATACATTTGTTAACTTTCAAAACTTTAGATTTTTCTAGTTATATATTTTTGCTATTAATTTCTAACTTAAATGGTGACCAGAGAAAAACGGAAAAGAAGCAGAGCAAGATGGCTGAATAGAAGTCTCCACTGATTGTCCCCTCTCCCACCCTTGCAAAGGCACCAAGTTAATAACTATCTACACAGAAAAAAACCACTTTCTTAAGAACCAAAAATCAGGTGAACACTCATAGTACTTGGTTTTATTATTATTATTATTATTATTATTTATTTTTATTTTTTAGTATTTATTGATCATTCTTGGGTGTTTCTCAGAGAGGGGGATGTGGCAGGGTCATAGGATAATAGTGGAGAGAAGGTCAGAAGATAAACACGTGAGCAAAGGTCTCTGGTTTTCCTAGACAGAGGTCCGTGCGGCCTTCGGCAGTGTTTGTGTCCCTGGGTACTTGAGATTAGGGAGTGGTGATGACTCTTAATGAGCATGCTGCCTTCAAGCATCTGTTTAACAAAGCACATCTTGCACTGCCGTTAATCCATTTAACCCTGAGTTGACACAGCACATGTTTCAGAGAGCACTGGGTTGGGGGTAAGGTTATAGATTAACAGCATCCCAAGGCAGAAGAATTTTTCTTAGTACAGAACAAAATGGTGTCTCCTATGTCAACTTCTTTCTACACAGACACAGTAACAATCTGATCTCTCTTTCTTTTCCCCACATTTCCCCCTTTTCTTTTTGACAAAACCGCCATCGTCATCGTGGCCCGTTCTTGATGGTCGCTGTCTCTTCAGAGCTGTTGGGTACACTTCCCAGATGGGGTGGCCTGGCAGAGGTGCTCCCCACTTCCCAGACGGGGCAGCTGGGCAGAGCTGTTTCCCACCTCCCAGATGAAGGGTGGCCAGGCAGAGATGCCCCTCACCTCCCAGGCGGGGCGGCTGGGCAGAGGCGCTCCTCACCTCCCAGACGGGGCGGCTGGGCAGAGATGCCCCTCACCTCCCAGATGGGGCGGCCGGGCAGAGGCGCCCTCTTCCCAGACGGGGCGGTCGGGCAGAGGTGCTCCCCACCTCCCAGACGAAGGGCGGCCGGGCAGAGGCACTCCCCACCTCCCAGATGAAGGGCAGCCGGGCAGAGGCGCTCCTCACCTCCCAGACGGGGCGGCCGGGCAGAGACGCCCCTCACCTCCCAGACGGGGCGGCCGGGCAGAGGTGCCCACTTCCCAGACGGGGCGGCCGGGCAGAGGCGCTCCTCGCCTCCCAGACGGGGTGTTGGCCGGGCAGAGGTGTTCCTCACATCCCAGATGGGGCAGCCGGGCAGAGGCACTCCTCACATCCCAGACGATGGGTGGCCGGGCAGAGACGCTCCTCACCTCCCAGACCAGGTGGCGGCCAGGCAGAGGCGCTCCTCGCCTCCCAGATGGGGTGGTGGCCGGGCAGGGGTGCTCCTCACATCCCAGACGGGGCAGCCGGGCAGAGGCGCTCCTCACATCCCAGATGATGGTCGGCCGGGCAGAGACGCTCCTTGCCTCCCAGACCGGGTGGCGGCCGGGCAGAGGCGCTCCTCACATCCCAGATGGGGCAGCCAGGCAGAGGCGCTCCTCACATCCCAGACGATGGGCGGCCGGGCAGAGGCGCTCCTCACCTCCCAGACAGGGTGGCGGCCAGGCAGAGGCGCTCCTCACATCCCAGACGATGGGTGGCCGGGCAGAGATGCTCCTCACTTCCCGGACAGGGTGGCGGCTGGGCAGAGATGCTCCTCACTTCCCAGATAGGGCGGCCGGGCAGAGGCGCTCCTCGCTTCCCAGACGGGGCGGCCCGGCAGAGGGACTCCCCACATCCTAGACGATGGGCAGCCAGGCAGAGACGCTTTCCACTTCCCAGATGGGGTGGCGGCTGGGCAGAGGCTGTAATCTTAGCACTTTGGGAGGCCAAGGCAGGCGGCTGGAAGGTGGAGGTTGTGGCGAGCCAAGATCATGCCACTGCACTCCAGTCTGGGCAACACTGAGCATTGAGTGAGCGAGACTCTGTCTGCAATCCCAGCACCCCGGGAGGCCGAGGCGGGCAGACCACTCGAGGTCAGGAGCCGGAGACCAGCCTGGTCAACAGGGTGAAACCCTGTCTCCTCCAAAAATACAAAAACCAGTCAGGTGTGGCGTCACGCGCTCGCAATCCCAGGCACTGGGCAGGCCGAGGCAGGAGAACCACGGGAGCCCGGGGCAGGTAGGCTGCAGCAAGCCAAGACCACGGCAGTACAGTCCAGCCTCGGCAACAGAGGGAGACCGAAGAAAGAAAGAAGGGAGAGGGAGAGGGAGAGGGAGAGAGCGGTTTTAACTTTATATCACTGAGACACTGAAGAGTTAGAAAAAACAGTCTGGAATCACTGATGTCTCATTTACCCTCCCTCACCGTCCTACCACATAGTGTGGTGCAGAGAGCTGCAGCTGGGGGAGGGAGAACACAGCAGTTGTGGGGCATTTAACTCGCTGCTGCCCTGGCAGAGCAGAAAGGAAAACCGGACCAAAATCAGCTGATGCCTGCCCATGGAGGGAGCATTTAAACCAGCCATAGCCATAGAAGAATCACTAATCTCAGTGGTCAGAACTTGAGTGCAGCAAACCTTGCAACAGAGGGCTACAGTGCTCTGTATCTCCAAGTAAATTTGAAAGGCAGTCTAGGCCATAAGGACTGCAATTCTTAGGTGAGACCTAGAAATAGGTTGAAATAGGCCCAGGGACAGTGGACTGGGAGGGGATGAGACATACTGAGACACCAGCTGGGGCAGCCAAGGGAGTGCTAGCATCACCCCTTCCGTAACACCATGCTGCACAGCTCATGACTCCAAAAAAGACCCCTTCCTTCTGCTTGAGGAGAGGAGAGGGAAAAGTGGGGAGGACTTTATCATGCATCTTGGATACTAGCTAAGCCACAGCATGATAGGGCACTGGACAGCATTGTGAGGCCCCCGTTACAGGGCCTAGCTAACAGATGACATTTCTAGACACACCCTGGGCCAGGAGGGAACCTGCTGCCTTGAAGGAAAGAACCTAGTCCTGGCACAGCATTCATCACCTGCTAACTGAAGTGCCCTTGGACCCTGAATAACCAGCAATGATACCCAGGTTCTACATCAAGGGCCTTGGGTGAGCCCCTGAAACTTGCTGGCTTCAGGCACCAGCATAGCCACAGTGGGGCAGAGCATCAAGCGGCCTCTTGGGGTCCCTGTTTCCAGGACTTGACTCTTGGATGGCATTTCTGGACCTGCCTTGGGCCAGAGGGGTGCCCACTGTGTCCCAGGCGAAGAAGCATTCACTACAAGCTGACTTAAGAGATCTTAGGCCTTAAGGGAACATTGACTGGTATCCTGAAAGTACTCCTTGTGGCCTGGAGTGGCAGGGCTACTGGATGAGGCTCCTCTGGCTTTTGGAAAGTGGACGGAAGAGTGAAAAGGACTGTGTCTTGTGGTTTGAGTGCCAGCTCAGCTGCAATATGATAGAACACCAAGTAGACTTCTGAGATATTGGACTCTAGTCCCTGACTCCAGGACAGCACTTCTGGACTTGCCCAGGGCCTGGGGGAACCTTTCCATCTTGAAGGGAAGGACACAGGCCTGGTTGGCATTGCCACCTGCTGATGGTAGAGCCCCAGGGCCTTGAGTAACACAGGCAATAGCCATGGAGTGGTTATAGCAGGCCTTGGATGAGACCCAGCACTGTGCTTGCTTCAGCTCTGACACAGCACAGTCATAGTGGTGGTAGCCATAGGGGTGCTTGTGTCATTCCGTCTCCAGCTTTAGGTGGTTCAGAACAGAGAGAGAAAATATGTTTGTTTGGGAGAAAGTAGGGGAAGAGAATAAGAGTCTCTGTCAAGTAATCTCTATGAGTCTGCAAGAACCACAGTGTTACTGGGCTTGGGCTGCCCCCTAAAGCAGATACAGCTTATATTGTAACACTCAAGTCCTTTAAAATATCTGGAAAGCCTTCTCAAGAATAGCTCCAAATAAGCCCAGACAGTGAAAACTACAACAAATATCTAACTCTTCAAAGCCTAGACAACAAGGAACATCTACTAGGATCAACACCATTCAGGAAAACATGATCTCACCAAATGAACTAAAGAAGCCACCATGGACCAATCCTGGAGAGACGGAGATATAACGGCCTTTCAGATAGAGAATTCAAAATATCAGCATTGAGGAAATTCAAAGAAACTCAAGATAACTCAGAGAAGGAATTCAGAATTCTATCAGATAAATTTAACAAAGAGATTGAAATAATTTAAAAAAATCAAGAGGAAATTCTGGAACTGAAAAATGCAATTGGCATACCGAAGACTGCATCAACCCTACTTTAAACAAAAAAAGACAAAGAAGGGCATTATGTAATGGTAAATGGTTCCATTCAACAAGAAGAGCTAACTATCCTAAATATATATGCACCAACACAAGAGCCCCCAGATTCATAAAACAACTTAGAGACCTTTGAACAGACTTAGACTCCCACACAGTAATAATGGGAGACTTTAACACCCCACTGACAATATTAGACAGATCATTGAAACAGAAAATTAACAAAGATATTCAGGACTTGAACTCAGCTCTGGATCAAATGGACCTGATAGATATCTATGAACTCTCCCCCCAAAAACAACAGAATATACGTTCTTCTCATTGCCACATGGCACTTACACAAAAATTGATCACGTAATTGAAAGTGAAACACTCCTCAGCAAATGCAAAATAATTGAAATAATAACAAACAGTCTCGCAGACCACAGAACAATCAAGTTAGAACTCAAGATTAAGAAATTCACTCAAAACCACACAACTAGGTGGAAATTGATCAACCTGCTCCTGAGTGATTCTTGGGTAAATAATGAAGTTAATGCAGAAATCAAGAAGTTTTTTGAAACTAATGAGAGCAAAGATACAATGTACCAGAATCTCAGAGGCTTTTAATAGTAGAATAGATCAAGGAGAAAAAAGAATTAGTGAGCTTGAAGATGGGCTATTTGAAAATACACAAAGGAAACAAAACAAAGCAAAAGAATAAAAATCAATAAAGCATGGCTACAGAATGTAGAAAATAGCCTCAAAAGGGCAAATCTAAGAGTTACTGGCGTTAAAGAGGAGGTAGAGAAAGATATAGGGGTAGAAAATTTATTCAAAGGAATAATAACAGATAATTTCCCAAACCTAGAAAGAAATATATCAATATTTAAGTACAAGAAGGTTATAGAACACCAGGTAGATTTAACCTAAAGAAGACTACCTCAAGGCATTTAATAATCAAATTGCCAAAGGTCAAGGATAAAAAAAATCTTAAAAGCAGCAAGATTAAAGAAATAAATAAAATACAACAGAGCTCCAATACATCTGGCAGCAGACTTTTCAATGAGAACCTTATAGACCAGGAGAGAATGGCATGACATATTAAAAGTTCCGAGGAAAAAATATTTTACTCTAGAATAAAATATCTGGCAAAATTATCCTTCAAACATGAAAGAGAAATAAAGACTTCTCCAGACAAACAAAAGCTGCGGGATTTCATCGATACCAGACCTGTTCTACAAGAAATGCTAAAGGGAGTACTTCAATCAGAAAGAAACGGACATTAATGAGCAATAAATAATCACATGAATATACAAAACTCACTGGTAATAGCAAGTACACTCTAACTGTGGTGTATAAACTATTCTTGTCCTAAGTAGAAAGACTAAACAATGAACTAATCAAAAATAATAACTACAACAACTTTAAAAGTCATATTCAGTACAATAAGATATCAATAGAAGCAACAAAAAGTTAAAAAGTGGGGGGACAAAGTTAGGGCATAGAGTTTTATTAGTTCTTTTTACTTGTTTATGCAAATAATGTTAAATTGTTATCAGGTTAAAATAATGGGTTATAAGATAGTTTTTGTAAGCCTCCTGGTAGGCTCAAACCAAAACATATACAATGGATACACAAAAAATAAAAAGCAAGAAATTAAATTATATGACCAGAGAAAATCACCTTCACAGACAAAGGCAGGAAGGAAAGAAAGAAGGAAGAAAACACCACAAAACAACCAGAAAATAAGTAACAGGAATAATTTCTTACTTATCAACAATAACATTGCATGCAAATGGACTAAACTTTCCATTTGAAAAACATAGAGTGGCTGAATGGTTGAAAAAATAAGACCCATTGATCTTTTGCCTACAAACAATACACTTCACATATAAAGACATATATAGGTTGAAATTAAAGGGATAGAAAAAGAAATTCCATGCCAATGGAAGCCAAAAGTGAGCAGGAGTTTGTATATTTATATCACAAAAAATAGATTTTAAGACCAAAACTATAAAAGAGACAAAGAATATCACTATATAATGATAGAGGTGTCAGTTCAGCAAGAGGATGTAACAACTTTAAGTATATATGCACCCAACACTGGAGCACCCACATATAAAAAGCAAATATTATTATAGGTAAAGAGAGAGGCCCAATACAATAATAGCTGGAGACGTCAATGCCCAACTTTCAGCATGAGACAAATCTTCTAGACAGATAACCAACAAAGAAACATTAGACTTAATCTGAACTATAGACCAAATGGATCTAATAGATATTTACAGAACATTTCATCCTAAAGCTGCAGAATACACATTATTTACCCCAGCACAAGGGCCATTCTCCATGATAGACCATACATTAGGTCATAAAATACGTCTTAAAATGTTAAGAAAAATTGAAATAATATCAAGCGTCTTCTCTGACCCCAATGGAATAAAACTAGAAATAAATAGCAATAGGGTTTTTGAAAGCTATACAAATACATGGAAATTAGGTTATGTGCTTCTGAATGACCAGTGGGTTAATAAAGAAATTAAGAAGAAAATTGAAAAAAACCTTGAAACAAATGATAATGGAAACACAATATATCAATGCCTATGTGACACAGTGAAAGTAGTACTAAGAGGGAAATTTATAGTTAAAAGTGCCAACCCTAAAAAAGAGGACAAACTTCAGATGAGCAATCTAACAATGCATCTTAAAGAACTAGAAAAGCAAGAGCAAACCAACCCCCAAATTAGTTGAAGAAAGGAAATAATGAAGATCAGAGCAGAAATAAATAAAATTGATGTGAAAAGACAATATAAAAGATCACTTTTTAAAAGTTTTTTTTGAAGTTAAACAAAATTGACAGACTATTAGCAAGACTAAGAAAAAAAAAGATCCAAATAAATAAAATCAGAAATGAAAAGGGAGACATTACAACTGATACTGCAAAAATTCAAAGGATCATTAGTGGCTACTATGCACAACTGTATGCTAATACATTGGAAAATCTAGACGAAATGGACAAACTCCTACATACATACAACCTATCAAGAGGGAGCCAGGAAGAAATATAAAACCCGAACAGACCAATAACAAGTAATTAAATCAAAGCCATAATATAAAGTCTCCCAGAAAATTAAAGACTGGGACCTGATGGCTTTACTGCTGAATTCTACCAAACATTCGAAGAACTAATGTCAATTCTACTCAAACTATTCTGAAGAGTAGAGAAGAAGGGAATACTTCCAAACTAATTGTAGGAGGCCAGTATTACTCTAATGCCAAAACCAGAAAAAGATACATTGAAAAAAGAAAACTACAGGCCTCTATCTCTGATGAATATTAATGCAAAATTCCTCAACTAAATACTAGCAAACTGAATTAAACAATACATTAGAAAGATCATTCATCATGACCAAGTGGGATTTATACCTGGGACACAAACATGGTACAACATGTGCAAATCAATATGTGTTACATCATATCAACAGAATGAAAGATAAAAACCATATGACCATTTCAATTGATGCTGAAAAAAACATTTTATAAAATTCAACATCCCTTCATGATAAAAACCCTCAAAAAATTAAGTATAGAAGGAACGCATCTCAACATAATAAAAGCCATATATGACAGACCCACAGCTGGTACCATACTGAATGGGGAAAAACTGAAAGACTTTCCTCTAATATCTGGAACATAATAGGGATGCCCACTGTCACCATTGTTATCAACATAATACTGGAAGTCCTAGCTAGGGCAATCAGACAAGAGAAAGACATAAAGGCCATCCAAATTGGAAAGGAAGAAGTCAAATTGCCCCTGTTTGGGGATGATATAATCTTACATTTGGAAAAATCAGAAGATTCCATAAGAAAACCATTAGAACAGATACACAAATTCAGTAAAATTGCAGAATACAAAATCAACCTGCAAAAACCAGTAGCATTTCTGTAGGCTAACAGTGAACAATTTGAAAGAGAAATAAAAATAATAATCCCATTTACAATAGCCACACATAAAACTAAATATCTAGGAATTAACCAACATGTGAAAAATCTCTATAATGAAAACTATAAAATGCTGATGAAATAAATTGAAGAGGACACAACAAAATGGAAAAATAGTCAATGTTCATGGATTGGAAGGATCAATATTGTTGAAATGTCTATTTTGCCCAAAGCAATCTACAGATTCAATGCAATTCCTATAAAAATACCAGTGACATTCTTCACAGAAAAAGAAAAACTACACTAAAATTTATGTGAAACCACAAAAGACCCAGAATAGCCAAAGCTATTCTAAGCAAAAAGAATAAAAACTGTAGGCCTGGCCTGGTGGCTGACACCTCTAATCCCAGCACTTTGGGAGGCAGAGGCGGGCGGATCACGAGGTCAGGAGATCGAGACCACGGTGGAAACCCATCTCTACTAAAAAATACAAAAAAAAAATTAGCTGGGCGCGGTGGTGGGCACCTGTAGTCCCAGCTACTTGGGAGGCTGAGGCCGGAGAATGCCCTGAACCCGGGAGGCGGAGCTTGCAGTTTGCCGATATCGCGCCACTGCACTCCAGCCTGGGGCAACAGAGCGCGACTCCATCTCAAAAAAAAAAAAAAAAAGTAAATAAATAATAATAATAAAACTGTAGAACTCGAACTACCTGACTTCAAATATACTATAGTGCTTAGTAACGTAAACAGCATGATACTGGCTTAAAAACAGACACATAGACCAATGGAAAAGAATAGAGAACCCAGAACAAATCCACACACCTACATTTTTGACAAAGGTGCCAAGAACATACACTGGGGAAATGACAGCCTCTTTGATAAATAGTGCTGGAAAAACCGGACATCCTTATGTAGAAGAATGAAACTAGACCTCTATCTCTAGCCATATAAAAAAATCAAATCAAATGGTTTGAAGACTTAAATCTAAGACCTCAAACTATGAAACTACTACAAGAAAACATTGGGGAAAACCTCTAAGACATTGGTCTAGGCAAAAACTTTTTGAGAAATACCCCATAAGCACAGGCAACCGAAGCAAAAATGGACAAATGTGATCACATCAAGTTGAAAAGCTTTTGCACAGCGAAGGAAACAATCAACAAAAAGAAGAGACAACACACAGAATGGAAGAAAAAATTTGCAAACTACCCATCTGACAAGGAATTAATAACCAGAATATATAAGCAGCTCAAACAACTCCATAGGAAAAAAATCTAGTAGTCTGATCAAAAAAGGGGCAAAATATTTAAATAGACATTCCTCAAAAGAAGACATACAAATGGCAAACAGGCATATGAATAGGTGCTCAACATCACTGATCATCCAAGAAATGTGAATCAAAACTACAAGGTATTATCTCACCTCAGTTAAAATGGCTTATATCCAAAAGACAGGCAATAACAAATGCTGGCAAGGATATGGAGAAAAGGGAATACTTGTGTACAGTTGGTGGGAATATAAATTAGCACAACCACTGTGGAGAACAGTTTGGAGGTTTCTCAAAAAACTAAAATTAAAGTTCCCATAAGATCTAGCAATCCCACTGGTGGGTATATACTCAAAAGAAAGGAAATCAGTATCTGGAAGAGAATATCTGCACTCCTATGTTTGTTGAAGCACTTTTTACATTAGCAAAGATTTGGAAGCAACCTAAGTACATCAGCAGATGAATGGATAAAGAAAATGTGGCACATGGCCGGGCGTGGTGGCGCATGGCCGGGCGCGGTGGCTCACACCTATAATCCCAGCATTTTGGGAGGCGGAGGCGGGTGGGTCACGAGGTCAGGAGATCAAGAACATCCTGGCCTACATGGTGAAACCCCATCTCTACTAAAATACAAAAAATTAGCGCATGGTGGCGGGCGCCTGTAGTCTCAGCTACTCGGAAGGCTGAGGCAGGAGAATGGCATGAACTCGGGAGGCCGAGCTTGCAGTGAGCCTCTGCACTCCAGCCTGGGCGACAGAGCGAGACTCTGTCTCAAAAAAAAGAAAAGAAAAGAAAAGAAAATGTGGCACATATACACAATGGAATCCTATTCAGTCATAAAAAAGAGTGAAATGTAGTCATTTGCAACAACATGGATAGAACTGGAGATCATTATGTTAAGTGAAATAAGCCAGGCACAGAAAGACAAACATTGCATGTTCTCTGTTATTTATGGGATCTAAAAATCAAAGCAATTGAACTCATGGATGTGGAGAGTAGAAGGATGGTTACCAGAGCCTGGGAAGGGTAGTGGGAGGGTTGTGGGGGAGGTGGAAATGGTTAATGGATATGAAAAAATAATAGAAAGAATGAATATGACCTATCATTTGATAGCACAATAGGGTGACTATAGTCAATAGTAAATTATATCTTTCAAAATAAGTTAGAGTGTAATTGGATTGTCTGTAACTCAAAGGATTAATACTTGAGGGGATGGATACCCTATTCTCCATGATGTGCTTATTTCACATTACACGACAGTATCAAAATGTCTCGTGTACCCCAGAAATATAGACACAGACTCAGTACTCACAAAAATAAAAATAATAAATAATAAATAGGGAAAAATGTCACCAGAGAATGTGATCTATTTGATTGAATATTTGAAATTTATTAAGAATTACTGGCCAGTTATGTGGTTACTTTGGTAAATATGCTTAAATGTGTATATGCCTAAAAATGTGTAGTTTGTGCTTTTTGGGTACAGTGTTTTTTATATATATAAAAATATATATTTTTTATATATATCTATATCCAGTGATAAAACCTGATAATTATATTTTTCAAAACAGTTATATCTTTGCTTATTTTTGTCTGCTTGACAAAATAATCCAGAGAGTTGCAGTAATTAACATTTTTCAGTATGATGGAGATTTTGTGTATTTCTGTTTGTAGTCCTGTCAATTTTTGTTTAACATATGTTAAGGTGGTGCTATTGATGTATACAAAATTAGAATTGTTACATCTACCAGGTCAACTGAAACTTTTATCACTATGCTGTCACAGTTTTAATCTATGGCAATGCTTTCATTCAGTGTCTAATTTGAGAGATAGTAGTATATGTATATCAATTTTCCTTTTTATAGTTTTACATCCTTTTTTTTATTCTTATTTTTTTGACATGGAGTTTTGCTCTTGTTGCCCAGGCTGGAGTGCAATGGTGCGATCTTGGCTCACCACAATCTCCACCTTCTGGGTTCAAGCAATTCTCCTGCCTCAGCCTCCCAAGTAGCTGGGATTACAGGCATGTGCCACCACGCCCAGCTAATTTTGTATTTTTAGTAGAGACGGGGTTTCTCTATGTTGGTTAGGCTGGTCTTGAACTCCTGACCTCAGGTGATCTGCCTGCCTCGGCCTCCCAAAGTGTTGGGATTACAGGTGTGATCCACTGCACCTGGCTAGTTTTACATCTTTTTACATTAAATCTTTGTGGGATTTTCTTGGCTATGCGGGCTCTTTTTTGGTTCCATATAAATTTTAAAGTAGTTTTTTCCAATTCTGTGAAGAAAGTCATTGGTAGCTTGATTGGGATGGCATTGAATCTATAAATGACCTTGGGCAGTGTGGCCATTTTCATGATATTGATTCTTCCTATCCATGAGCATGGAATGTTCTTCCATTTGTTTATGTCCTCTTTTATTTCATTGAGCAGTGGTTTGTAGTTCTCCTTGAAGAGGTCCTTCACATCCCTTGTAGGTTGGATTCCTAGGTATTTTATTCTCTTTGAAGCAATTGTGAAAGGGAGTTCACTCATGATTTGGCTCTCTGTTTGTCTGTTATTGGTGTATAGGAATGCTTGTGATTTTCGCACATTGATTTTGTATCCTGAGACTTTGCTGAAGTTGCTTATAAGCTTAAGGAGATTTTTGGCTGAGACGATGGGGTTTTCTAAATGTACAATCATGTCATCTGCAGACAGCAACAATTTGACTTCCTCTTTTCCTAATTGAATGCCCTTTATTTCCTTCTGCCTGGTTGCCCTGGCCAGAACTTCCAGTACTATGTTGAAATAGGAGTAGTGAGAGAGGGTATCCTTGTCTTGTGCCAGTTTTCAAAGGGGATGCTCCCAGTTTTTGCCCATTCAGTATGATATTGGCTGTGGGTTTGTCATAAATAGCTCTTATTATTTTGAGATATGTTCCATCAATACCTAGTTTATTGAGAGTTTTTAGCATGAAAGGCTGTTGAATTTTGTAGAAGGCCTTTTCTGCATCTATTGAGATAATGATGTGGTTTTTGTCATTGGTTCTGTTTATATGCTGGATTACGTTTATTGATTTGCATATGTTGAACCAGCCTTGCATCCTAGGGATGAAGCCCACTTGATCATGTTGGATAAGCTTTTTGATGTGCTGCTGGATTCCGTTTGCCAGTATTTTATTGAGGATTTTCGCATCGGTGTTCATCAGGGATATTGGCCTAAAATTCTCATTTTTAGTTGTGTCTCTACCAGGCTTTGGTATCAGGATGATGCTGACCTCATAAAATGACTTAGGGAGGATTCTTTTTCTATTGATTGGAATAGTTTCATAAGGATTGGTACCAGCTCCTCTTTGTACCTCTGGTAGAATTCAGCTGTGAATCCATCTAGTCCTGGACTTTTTTTGGTTGGTAGGCTATTAATTATTGCCTCAATTTCAGAACCTGTTATTGGTCTATTCAGAGATTCAACTTCTTCCTCGTTTAGTCTTGGGAGGGTGTATGTGTCGAGGAATTTATCCATTTCTTCTAGATTTTCTAGTTTATTTTCGTAGAGGTGTTTATAGTATTCTCTGATGGTAGTTTGTATTTCTGTGAGATTGGTGGTGATATCCCCTTTATCATTTTTTATTGTGTCTATTTGATTCTTCTCTCTTTTCTTCTTTATTAGTCTTCCTAGAGATCTATGTATTTTGTTGATCTTTTCAAAAAACCAGCTCCTGGATTCATTGATTTTTTGAAGGATTTTTTTGTGTCTCTATCTTTTTCAGTTCTGCTCTGATCTTAGTTATTTCTTGCCTTCTGCTAGCTTTTGAATGTGTTTCCTCTTGCCTCTCTAGTTCTTTTAACTGTGATGTTAGGGTGTCAATTTTAGATCTTTCCTGCATGCTACCTGACTTCAAACTATATTACAAGGCTACAGCAACCAAAACAGCATGGTACTGGTACCAAAACAGATCTATAGACCAATGGAACAGAACAGAGGCCTCAGAAATAACATGACACATCTACAACCATCTGATCTTTGACAAACCTGAAAAAAACAGGCAATGGGGAAAGGATTCCCTATTTAATAAATGGTGCTGGGAAAACTGGCTGGGCATGCGTAGAAAGCTGAAACTGGATCCCTTCCTTACACGTTATACAAAAATTAACTCAAGGTGGATTAAAGACTTAAATGTAAGACCCAAAACCATAAAAACCCTAGAAGAAAACCTAGGCAATACCATTCAGGACATAGGCGTGGGCAAACACTTTATGTCTAAAACACCAAAAGCAATGGCAACAAAAGCCAAAATAGACAAATGGGATCTAATTAAACTAAAGAGTTTCTGCATAGTAAAAGAAACTATCATCAGAGCGAACAGGCAACTGACACAATGGGAGAAAATTTTTGCAACCTACCCATCTGACAAAGGGCTAATATCCAGAATCTACAAAGAACTCAAACAAATTTACAAGAAAAAAACAACCCCATCAAAAAGTGGGCAAAGGGTATGAACAGACACTTCTCAAAAGAAGACATTTATGCAGCCAACAGACATTTGAAAAAATGCTCATCATCAGTGGTCATCAGAGAAATGCAAATCAAAACCACAATGAGATATCATGTCATGCCAGTTAGAGTGGTGATCATTAAAAAGTCAGGAAACAACAGATGCTGGAGAGGATGTGGAGAAATAGGAACACTTTTACACTGTTGGTGGGACTATAAACTAGTTCAACCATTGTGGAAGACAGTGTGGCAATTCCTCAGGGATCTAGAACTAGAAATACCCACCCAGTGATCCTATTACTCAGTATATACCCAAAGGATTATAAATCATGCTACTGTAAAGACACATGGACACACGTATGTTTACTGCAGCACTATTCCCAATAGAAAAGACTAGGAACCAACCCAAATGTTGGTTCCTAGTCCATCAATGATAGACTGGATTGAGGAAATGTGGCACATATACACCATGGAATACTATGCAGCCATAAAAAAGGATGAGTACATGTGCTTTGCAGGACACAGATAAAGCTGGAAACCATCATTCTCAGCAAACTGTCACAAGGACAGAAAACCAAATATCACATGTTTTCACTCATAAGTGGGAGTTGAACAATGAGAACACATGGACACAGGACAGGGAACATCACACACTGGGGCCTTGGGGAGGGATAGCATTAGGAGAAATACCTAATGTAAATGACGAGTTGATGGGTGCAGCAAACCAACATAGCACATGTATACCTATGTAACAAACCTGCATGTTGTGCACATGTACCCTAGGACTTAAAGTATAATAATAATAATAATAAAATATTTGTGGGACATTTACTTCAGTTATGTGCCTCATTAGCAGCATAGAACCAGCTTAGACAATCTGTTTCAGAAATTTGCTAACTAGAACATTGATTTCACTTACATTTATTGTAATTACTAATGTGTTTGAATATTTTTTCTAGCAATTTATTTTGTGACTACTGTTTGTATTACCTTATGTTTCATTGTTCATGTTACCTTATGTTTATGTTTCATTTCTAATCCTTGGTTTATTCAGGACTGATTTTTTTCCATTCCTTTTTATGCTCTCTATTGGTATAGAAGATTTTCACTGTGTTTCTTTTCATTCAGTGGCTTCTTTCTAAAAATTACTATGCACAGTTCCCAAAGGCCAAAGTCACTCAATGTTTTTACACTTCTCCCAAATAATATAAGAACCAGTCCACATGTTAACGTCCATTACCTGCCTCCCTAATCACCTCCTTTGACTTCACTTTTACTGCTATGTATATTAGTGCTATTTTTTCTTTAGTGACATAAGGCATTGTTATTTTTGTTGTATGTAGTCCATGTCTGTTTAGATTCTCCCATGTATTTATTATTGTCTTTGTTCGTATCATTTCACTTCTGCCTAAAGTACTCCTTTCAGAATTTTACTGTTGGTTGGTGTTGCTATTGATGTTGGGTTCCAGCTCTTGCTCCTTGATTAGTGATCAGCCTCTATTGTTTGCCTGATTGTAAGATAATTTCATTGTCTTTGGTGTCTTAGTTAAATCAGGATGACTTTAGGTATGAATTTCTTTTTATTTATTCTGCTTAGGATTTGTTGGGCTTCCTGAGTCTGTGGGTTAATGATTTCATCTGTTCTTGAAAATCATCTTTTCTTTCTTCTTGTATTTTTTTTTTTTTTTTTTAGTGCATTTGCTTTTCTTTCCCTTTGGAACTTGAAATAGGCATATACTAACTTTCTCATGTTATCCTCAGTGTCTCTTCTTTCAAGTTTCTACATTTCTGTCTTTCTCTTCTCTATTCTGATTTCTTTTCTTTTTTTTTTTTTTTACTTAGCTCTATCTTCCAGCTTATTCTTTCTTTAGCCATGTCTGTTATCCAATGTTGTATAACCAATTTCTCCAAAACTTAGCAGGATAAAATAGCAATTTCTGAGAGTCAGGAATTCAGGAGCTGCTTAGCTGTGTGGTTTGGGCTCTGGTTTCTCATGAGGTTGCAGTAAAACTGTAAGCCAGTGATACAGTCATCTGATGGTGCTGAAAGATTCACTTCCAGACTCACTCATGTGACTATTGGCAGGAGGCTTCAGTGTCTCACCATGTGACATTTTGGGTTCCACCAGGGTGAGTGATGACCTGAAGAGAAAGAAAGTGAGAGAGAGACAGAAAGAAGGAGGGGAAGGGAGAGGAAGTGGTGAGAGAGTGAGAGAAAGAGGGAGCAGAGACAGAGAGAGAAAGAGAGAGAGAGAGAGAGACAGAAATACTGCAAACAGAAGTCACAGAGAGAGACTACCCCAAACAGAAGTCACAAGTATCTATTAAAACCTAATCACAGAAGTACACACCATCATTTGTGCTATAATTTGTTGGCCACACAGACCAACTCTGGTACATTCTAAGAGTGGACCATACAACATTGTGGTCAGGAGGTAGAGATTAATTAGGAGTCATCTTGGAGGCTGGCTACCAAAGCAATGAAACCTATCCATTTAGTTTTTAATGGAAATTATTATATTTTTATTTTTGGAGTTCTGTTTTCCCCTCATTCTGCTTCATTGTGCTTTGCTCACATTTTTAACCTCTCCTTTTCTTTTTAAAATATGTCAAATACTTTTATTTTATATTCTGTGTCTAATAACTGAAGATTTTGTTGGTCTGAATTTGCTGCCTGTTGTTTCTTCTGGTTGTCGCTTAAAGCGTCTTGATCTCATTCATGTTTGTTTAATTTTTTTATGTGACTTTATTTTTCTTAGAACTTCATGTATAAGTATTCTTCAAGAACAGCTTGGGGTGTTCTTCCAAAGAGAATTTGCATTTGGTTCTGTCAGGTGCCAGAAAGCCCATAACCAATATAAACTAAATTCCTGGCTTGTAATTTTTAAATATCACCCAGGTAACATAAATTTAGGCTGTAAAACTACATGAATATTAGCATATGTTTATAAATCCTTATGAGAATTTCCTTCTTTCAGTCACTATGAAATCTTAGATCAACAATTATTCCTGCACTGTCTTGAACTAGGTTTATTTGTAGCTTACCCTTACACTAAGGTTGAATGCTTTTGTGGTTGCAAATTCATGCAGAGGAGTCTCCTATTAGACTGCCAACCATAGACAGGGCATGGCCTTGTCTTTCCTCTGTATCTTTTAGTAGTGTGAAACTGAAGCTCAAGTTTACCTGGAGCAAATGTGCTCAGTGTTCTATTTCCCTGCTGGGGTTTCTACTTTTGCCTAGGTTTTCACTTGTGAGTATAATTTGCTAGCTCATCAATGCATTGAAAAACAAAAACAAAAACAAAATATTGTTAAAAACATTTTATCCAGCATTTCTAATTATTTTCATTTGGAAGGGTTGGCCAAGGAACCTCATCCCCAATGTTGCTAGAAAAGGGTTTTCTCCTTACCATCACTACCCAAGTTCTATTGAGGTTTATTAAAGTATATAGCCCAGAATTGAAATACAGTGACAGAATGCATGTTATCTTTCAACTATTTGTGGAAGATTGTATTTTAGAACAGTATGCAAAGAGTATTCTCTTGCTTGTGGGTTTTGTCAGTAGATATTAAAAAAGGATGTCAACTTTTCTGGAATTCAATGGTTTCTACCGCACGATCTGCTAGACTTGGAGAAATTTAACTTCTTTATTTTAGTAAGTTCTGAAGTTTTGAAATTTTTAGTATAGACAACAATCCAAATAGGAATCTAAATTATTGATTTTTCCAAACACAGAAGGATGGGCTAATGATGACAGAGAACCTTTTAAACCTATGATTTCTTGCTTATTCATGATATTATACTTTCTCTTTCTTGGTTCCATCTTTCACATTAAATACCCAATTTTAAATTCCATTGTCTAATTGATTTAATGATTAAGAAAATGTTCCTTATATTCAGCCTAAATTTTTCTTCCTAATTTATTCCCATTACTCTTGGTTAAATCTTGAATAACTAGGATTGATGAGGCACTGAGAGCTAATTAATTGATTGCTAAAGCACTGTGGTATTATGCAACTCCACAGTGAATTCTCTTAGTTTTAGGAAACCTTTTAACAGTAAACTGCATTATAAGGCTGTTTTTTTCTTATTTCTAGGTGTTTTTCACAGGCCAGTTATGTTTAAGATTTTCCCCAAAGATGCCACATGCAGGCATAAACTAATAAAAGGCTCAATTTTTACTTAGACATGTTCACTTTGTCTTTTGTTTATTGTATTTGTGGAAAAGGCTTTCAAAAGTAAGTGACCCTGAGGGAACCGGTTAAAACTTACGGATACCCTTGAACATCAATTGACTCTCACTGAGCATGCTTCTGACTTCTGGGTCCAAAGCTTCCTCAGTTGCTTTTTACTCTGAACTCTCCTTACACCTTGCGTTGCGCCACTGAGTACAACCCTGTATGGTTTCCTCTGGTGAGTTTTGTAGCCCAAATGTGATTAAAGCTCCTTGAGTGAGAACTTTTGTGATATCTTCCATTTTCCAAATACTGTGCTAAAGACTGAAATAATAAGCTTTTAGTTAAGAACAAAGTGTTCCCTTAATGTCCAGAACAGAGATATTAAATTTGGTTATGAAATCAGGGAAGGTTCCTCAAAGAGAGTGGGGTTTGACTTGAATCTAGATAGTTGAGTAAGATTTAGGCAAATGGAGAAGTGAAGACAGGCTTCTTAACAGAAGGTAGTGATGTGCAAATTCACCAAGGTAGGGCTGGTTGGGAAATTACTGGTGGTAGGATATAGGGTGGGTGAGTGAAGCTGGCAGGGTCATGTCACAGAAGACCTGGTGTGCTGTAGTTGGTACTTAGATTTGGTCTTGAATGAGATGGGGAGTTCATAATGGGTAGCTTCAATGTTTTTGTAGTTGAAGATGTGAATGGGATTTTACATAATGAGATTCGAAACTCTTTTTTAAAAGGAGTCATTTGAGTGGAAGAAAAATGACTGGGTATTTTATTTGCCACATATTGGTTTGCAAGTTGCTGCAAATTCCACAGATAAAAACATTGCCTTATATCCCACTATTCAGATATTTTTTAAGGTCTGATTAATGAGATGCTTTTGTGGGAACTTTTAGTTTCTCCCTGGTTAAAAATGAGCATGACTTACAAAAAACACGATGAAACAAAATAATGTGGATTTGACAGTTTTGATATGTTCAATTCTTAGCTACATAGCTGACCTGGAAGGGCTGCTGTTAGGCATTGCTTTTCACATCTGTGTGTCAGGTGAGGCATATCACCTGCTATAAGAAAAAGGACAGAACAAATAAGGTAAGGTTTAGTTATGAAATTTAAATATTCATTGTCACTAGTAGGACAAAATGGAATATATTTTTATTAATTTATCAATTTCTTGTTTTGTTTTCTTTACTAACCTTTAGTAGAATGCCTTTAAAAATGTTGTATGGAACTGAGTGTCTTTTTAGTAACCTTCTAGAATTTTAAGCACTCTATCTTCATTTTGATGAGATCCGGGAGATGTTGCCTTGTAAGTGCCTTATCTTGGTACTGTATTAAAACATGACTGTGGCATTTATAAAATTACCTCAGAGCAGCGCCCACAGGATTCTTGGAGTTTTCACCTTTCCTTGCTAATGAGCCGCATGTGGGAAGCGAGCAGGGCCAAGGTTATTCAATGATGTTTTGTGCGTAGTTTTTGTTGGCCAAGGTGGGATTTAACTTAATACACTCAGAATTTATTGGTTGGTAACTATGTTAACAAAAAAAAAATTCTTTCCCTTCTGGGAGCTCTCTTGGAATCCCTGTGAGTTCTTTCATGTACTAGTAATTTACTTTTAGATTAGAGGGTCACAAATGTTCCACGCCTTCTTTCATTTTGTCTCTTCCTGACTGCTTACTCCAGTATACTGGGGCGGAGGGAAAAAAATATATTCTAGGAGAGAGAAGGTAGAAGATGAGAGATAGGGAAGATAGAAGATGGGAGATAGGAGAGGGGAGATGGGGAGGAGAAGAGAGAAGAGAAAGAGTGGGAAATAAAAAATGAAAGAGAAGAGAAAAAGGAAAATGAGAAAAGAGATTTTCTTTCCTATCTCTCAGTATTTCAATTTACTAGACACATATTCATGGAGTGGTGTCTTGGGAATATAGAGGAATAAAGGTTGACTTACTGGTTACCACACAAGAAAATTCAAACTAACTCATGATCTCTGAAACAGTTTGAGACAGCAGCTGTAAAGAAAAGTAATAGGGCTAAAATACATTGGACATGTGGTTGTAACTTTCATTTGTGTGAAGGTAAAATGCATTAATAATTTATGTCCTTTTTGATTAACATCTTGAGATGTATATGTGTACATGCATAGATCTATTTTATTTACAACTTTGTTTTAGTAATCATCTGGCATCTAAACCACTTTTTGAAATATTGCATAAGGTCAAAGAAACAATTCTAAAGTTGGTAATAATAGAAATTAAAAGGTAAAGGAAATGGAGGAAGGCAGTTTACCACAGAGATATTAAATTTTATTATAACGTTTCAACCTGAAGTTCAACATAAAAGATAAATCTTTCCCGGCAGCATAGGCTAAGGAATATATCATATCAACTTGGAAGTTATTAACTGAATTTTTTTTGAGACACATATCACCTCAGTAACTGCTCCAAATGCATTTACTTTATTTTAAAGGTTGTTCTTTCCATTATTAATGCCATACTGAATCACAGAGCTGTTTATGATGAAATGTGCTACTCTAAAAATCCTGTAAATGCATCTGCAATGGCTGCTGATATGTTTCAACTCATCCTAAAATATACTGTAAATTTTTGGAAGATGTTTTTATCTTACTGTATATTCTCTGCAGACTGTTAGAATCCAATTTATTAACTCTCTGGAAGGTGAAAGCTATGCTTGAATAAAGTGACATGAATATTTGTCAGGATTGGCTCAAATTATGTGTTTTATGAGATAGCAGCACAATTCTAGACTTTGAACGTCTTACATCAATAACAATTCTGGAGGGGGTAGTGTAGACAGGTTTAATGAGCTTCAGAAGGGATTTTTTTCCTCATTAAAATCAGAAAATATATCCTCTACCACATTTGCAGTGTCTCCACAGAAAATGGAAAATTTTACTTAAAGGGAAAAAAGCTTTAATCAATCTCATAAATGGTTTTAAAACTTATCCAGGTGTAAATATGCAGGGAGAATTGTGTAGGAAACCTTAGCTGGGGTTCTGAAGACCTGAATTTAAGTGACATATTATTTGTTTTGTGTTTTCTTTTACTGTCTGGATACCTTAAGGCTAGTCAATTAACCTCTCTGAGAATCAGTTGCCTCAAGTGTCAAACAAGGAAGAGAAAATGGTGACTTTGCCTCGGGATTTTTGGTTTAGATTGTCATCTTTCTAGACCAGAGGGAGTTTTTCATGGCTCTCAGAGCAATGAGAAAGTGGATAGATGGTCATTTAGTGAGACAAAGGTGCTCGTGTGATGCCTAGGTTATTTAAGCGAAACAGAGAAGTAGATAGGCTTTTCTAGACTACAGATTTAGATTCGGGGGTCATGACATGCAAGAGGACTGATTTTAGCACACTTCTAGAGATCATCTAGATCGGGCCCATACTTCTTACTTTGCAGAGAAGGAAGCTGAGTCCTAGAAAGATTAAGAGGTTTGGAAATCTCACACACCAAGTAAATGTTGACAATGCTTGAAACCCAGACTTCTTATCCCATTTACTGGCTATGATTTGGCAACATAGTTTCCCTTTTCTGCTGCCTTTCAAAACTTGCTCTCAGGAAAGGACATCATAACTTTGGTTTAGGGGCAAATATAAATGACTGATGAGTCTTCAATTATTTTTCTCTGGGACCTAATAATGACATTTTATTACTGACAGCAATAAACTGAGAGAGGTCTGATATTTTGAGGGCACATGAGAACTTCTTTTTCAGTCTCTCAAATTGGCTTCCATGCTCTTTTACTCTCCTTGTCAGTACTTTTCCCCTCTTCTGGCTTTTCAAGCGAAAAAAGGCCTGATCACTTCTCCAGTATTAACTGAAAACTTTGCATGCATTCATTTTCATGTTTTCAGGGGAAGAGGGTCAATTTTTCATTGATTTAGCAAACTTTTATTGAGGATCTATGATCTCTAAGTATTATCTGGGTTCTAAGGCTAGAGCAATGAGTAAGACTTCAGTTCTGACCTGATAGGTTTGTATTCCAATGATAGATACCATATCTCTGTCTCTTGGGCTAGCAGAAGAGGAATCAGCTATGAGGCATATGTTCAGAAGTTCCTGGGTGGGCCTTTGTGATCTTGTTTTACCCACACACTCCTTTCAAAGATAGAAATTGCTTTATAAGGAGTAAAATATTGTCTGTAAAATACAAATAGTTATAAATCTCTTTCTTGTTGCCTTTTTTCTCGATGCACATTCTAGGTCTCAGAAGATTTTCCTGAAAGAAAATACTTAATGTTAATTCATTCTTCCTAAATTCTTGGCCAATTATGTTGGACCCAAACAGGAACACAAAAGTGGGCCTCTTAGGAAACTCAAGATTCAAAGGGATATATAAATATTCTCTAGGCAAAGGAAGTCACAAAACAGACTATATCTAGAATATTTTCAAAACCTGCAGCCCACAATCTTTGTTACTGCAATATTTTGGTTCTGCTTCAAACAATTTCTTCCACCTTGTATAATTATGGCACTGGATAAATGTTCGACACTAAAACAGTTACTGCTTTTCAGCTCCAGAATGGCTGTGTTTCAAAACTGAGGGAAGTATGTGCCTCCTAGATGAAAGGTGTAGTATAAATGCAACTTATTACCATTTTAGGCAGAATTCCCAGGCTGGCATTTAGCAATTAAAAAAGCAAAGCTAAACAAGCTCAGGCGATCAACAATCCATTTTTTTTTTCAACCCAAGATGCTCAGTTATTATGGACAAATCACTAGAAGACTCTATTGTCCCTTGCTGACTCTCTTTGGAGCCTCTAAGGCAGCACAGGTAGGAAGTAAGAGAATTATTTTTTCATTTCTATTACTCAATGGAGAGTCTAAATGAAGAGGTAAAACTGGCTCTTTCAAGAATTTATCAAAGCAAAATTCACATTAGAAAAGGTTTACAGATTTCCCCCTCTCAATAGAATAATCTGTCTTGATATTTTCAGGCCTTTATCTTCTCTTCAAAGAACGCTCTCTCCTGAGCTTAGGTTTGTGAGGTGCATGGTTGGGGGGAAGATTATCTTCATAGGAAAAGGTAGATTTAGAAAGATATACTTCTGGGAGGGCTTGGTTTAGCAAAACAGGTATTTCCCTAACTCAAAGAAAAGAAACTCATCATTTTCGAATCCTTATATACTGGTGATTCCTGAGTGAGTAATGGATGAAAAGTACTTTTCTCATATATTCTGTTCTGTTTGGATTCAGGAGTTTACTAAGAGAGTAAGTTTTTCTTCTAAATGTTGTTACTTTTAAATATTCAGTATTGATTTCTGTCTATTCTCTTCCATGTTCAGGGTTATGTACTCTTTCGACTAGTTTGTAAGGTGTCTGTACTTACAAGTAAATGTGAGATCTCTTTTCTGGGGAGTGCTACAATTGTCTTTCTAATATTGTCACGAATCTGTAAACTCTCAACTGAAGGCCAAGTTATTTACCATTAGTGGTTTGTGTTGGGATAAATCACACCAATGGAGAGATGACAGTAATGTTTATCATCAAAACAAGTATATTAGTTTCAAGTATATGAACTTAAATTCAGCTTGAACATATTTTAAAATGTTTTCTCTATAATTTTTTTTGCTGAATAAGCAATAATAGAATGGAAATATGCATTAATCTAAAGGTAAAATATCTTTCAGATGAAGATCTTATCTTTTTAACATCTTTGGTTTTTCTTTGCTATAAATGTAAACGTGATTTTGATTTTTACTCAAGTATCTACCTCTGGTGCTTCATTTGATATTTTTCCTAGAGGGTAGCAACCTATTACTCTACAAGTTAAGAAATACGTTAGAGTGTTACATACCAGAGAAAAGTACGCTCAAATATTTGATTATAGCTATTATTTCAAAATTAATACTTGTTATTTGTTTATTTATCTAAGGCTTAACGACAACAAGATTGAGCAAAGGAGGCATCCTGCGCCCTGAATGTGGGCTGCACATTGCATTCACTAAAGAAATTGCATGATGCAAGTGCACAAAATCACCAGTCTAGCTAGAATCATTCTGTATGACACTGTAGTGATTCTATGTATCACTATTCATTTGTCAAAAACCCATCGAACTTTACAGCACAAAGACTGAGCCTTAATATAGACAAAGTTAAGAAAATTATTTAGGAGGTCAGAGAATCCCAGGGTTAAATGCAGAATATGACAAAAGAGTCTAACTGCATTACAATGTAGGAAACAACATCTCTCAAGGTGAGGGCAGAAGGTACTGACCTAAGTAACTCTGGAAATGAGTGGAATCTATAAGAACAAAAACAAACATAAATCTGGACATAAACACTGGACTCTAATTGATAAGGTTATTTCCCACAGAGGTACAACTGTAAATTCTGAAATCATACCTGCATATTGGAATTGAACAATTAAGTAAATGATTGACAAATAGGAGGAATCAGGTTTCTCATTTCTGAAGTGGGATGTTACAGTTAAACAAGGTAGAAGGCTAGAATGATATGTGTGCTAATGGATTAGAGTTGTAGACATCAATATAGGTGCAGGTGGTTACACATAGAAATATTTATAGTTATGTATATATACATGTATGAGTTAGTATACACACATATATTTCATTGCTGTGCACTACAGGATGAATGTTTTTGTCCTCCCCTCCCACCCAGTTCATATGTTGGAAGCCTAATCCGCAGTATGATGTTATTTAGAAAGTAACTAGGTTATGAGGTGGAGCTCTCATGATGGGATTACTGTCTTCTAAGAAGAGACACAAGAGAGCTTGTTTCCTCTCCCTCTCCCTGCCATGTGAGGATGAGAAGGCAGCTGTCTGCAAGCCAGGAAATGGGCACTCACCAGAATCCACCCATGCTGGCACCCTAATCTCAGACTTCTAGTATCTAGAACTATGAGAAATATTTGTTGTTTAAGCTGTATAGTATTTTGTTACAACAGTTTGAGCACACCAAGTCATTCTGTCAGCTGAGAGGACCTATAAGCAAGATACCTACAGTAGCCATGAGTATACATAGAGCCCAGATCTTGGTTTCTAACACCGTTCTTCAATTAAAAAAAACACACACACACACACACAAAACACCAGGTATCCTTGGAGAAATGGCTGATTCCAGGACTGGGCAGAAAATACACAAGTTGAGCCCAGAGCAATATATGGTGCCAGAAAACAAGAAAGTGCTCAAAAAACCCCACTAGGATGGAGGTATGTCAAAAAGGATACAGGAGCCAACTGAAAAAGTCCCCAGTGGTGAAAGCTGGAACAACTTGAGCAACAAAACAAAGTGGTACTAGATTATAAACCAAAGTATTAAATAGCTATATATGAGCTAGTACTTACATAAAACAATGATTGAATAAATAAACACAGGGGTAAGAATAGAAAACTCTGCTATGCAGAATAACTCCAAATAATCTATGCAGCATAGATGCTCTGCTTTCAAGAAGGTGGAGCATAACTCCTACTCACTGAATGTGGGCTGCACATAGTGACTTCCTTCCAAAGGAAAGGGTTAGAGGGGAGGTAATTTAACAGTGGAAGAAACTGCAAGATACCATCTCAGCCAGGTAATCAGAGTTAACATCACAGTGAAAAGTCCGTGTTGATGGTGTGTATCCTTTATATGGTGTGATGAGAATGGCATTTTACCTCTGTCATCTCCCTCCCCAAAACCTTTAAGTCTAGTTTAATAATAAGAAATACGTTAGACAAGTCCCAGTAATGGGACATTCTACAAAATCCCTTCTCAAACTGTCAAGGTCGTAAAGAAACAAAGAAAGCTTCAGAAGCTATCGCAGCAAAAACGAGCCTAAGGAGACATAACCAACAAATATAATGTGGTATCCCGAAGGATATCTACAACAAGAAGAGGGAATTAGGTAAAGACTAAGGAAATCTGAATACAGTATGGACTTCAGTTAGTAATGTGTCAATATTGGTTCATTAATACTGGCATACATACCATGATAATGTAAGATGTTAGTCATAGGAGAACCTGGATGTGGTGCACACAGAAACTCTGTGCTATCTTTGCAGTTTTTCTATAAATCTAATTTAAAAGATTATTTTAAAAAGTCTGGCTAGAGCATGATTTAATCTGGAGGCATACAGTTACTGTAATGTCACAGTTTTTTTGCATGGTACTTATTTCAGAAGTTTCTTGTTTCTTCCACCATTGAGTAGAAACTCCCAAACAGCTTTAGAAACCCTCCATAATTTTACCACACATTTGTTGCATCCTTTTCCTTGCATTATTTCTTACTTACTGAACTATAATTTATTACTAATATTCTAGTCAGACTGATGTCTGACTAGATTCAAAATCTGTCATTACAGATGTTGGCTTTCTCTTTGCTTGGAACACTTTTACCCTTCTCCACCTATAACCAGCTTTTACGAAAAAAAATCCCTTATTTATAGTGTTTGTCCATTTCTGTGACATAAATGCACAGGTCATGGCTGATTTCAAGTTACCAATGGTTTAACAGCTAGTTAGAAAAATTCCTGAATGTTTAGGAAACTGCTGTCACAGATAAAAATATGTACCACCTTTTCTCAGACAGCCTTAGCTCCCTTTAAATTCATTCTCTGCTAAACTCTTATTTCCCAAGCACCTTTGAAGAAAGTTCATTGAACAGTATTCTCTGGAGGTTATGAAGTAGTTCCAGGAATCTAGGAAAGCTAGGTTTGAACACTGGCTCTGCTACTTAGAAGCCATGTAAATTTGAGAAATTACTTCAATTTTTTGGAACTCAGTTTTTTCATCTGGAAAATGGGAATGATAATACCTACTGTATTTTCCTTTCAGAGCTGATTGTAAGAATGGAATTACATAATAGGAAAATATGTTGAGGAAAGTGCTCATAAATACAGGGTGTTAGCAGTATTATCTGCTGTAAAACAAATGTATGTGTTCCAAGTTCAGTATGAGATCTTTCACTTGTTCAACAAATGTGTACTACATAATAGACTCTGTTCTAGGCAGTCATCTTCTCTGAGATAAACTGACTTTATAGAGCCATATTAGCTTAAGAATAGGGTAAAGGTGAATTAATGAGGTTCTTGGGGCTGTTGTTCAAGGATTCTGAAATTAAAATTTCAGGAAAAACTGGGAGACAATGAGGTGGACTTAAACAGGAAGTAAAGGCAGAAAGTCCATCATCTGGAACATTAGAAATGTAGGCTAAAAGAGCTGCTCCTGCACGAAGTAGGATCTTTACAAGATGGAACTGAGGGGTCTGATTCACTCATCTGAAGTTTTACATTGTGGTTACGCATGTGGACACAGAAATTGGTCCAATGGATTTTGCATCCTACCTATGGCTTGGTCTAACTACTTCACATTTTGAACCTCTATCTCACGATCTCCTTGACATAATAATTATCTCTAACTGATACGATTTTTTTTTATAAGGATAAAATGTGATAATGCATGTAAAAATATTTGGAGAATTGTCTGGCATAAAGTAAGTGCTCAATATAATTCCTGAAAGTTCTGCATGAATTGTGTATGCTTAGAGTTCCAAGTGCAACCTTTTGATGGTCCCAGGTTAGTTACTTCTTTCAATATATATTTGTTTAAGGCAAAGTTATCCTTCTCTGGACACTGGTGCTTTATATATACAGCCAGTTTCCTAACTGATTCCCTGTGACTTCGGGAAAACCACTCTAGCTCTCAATTTAACAGCTTCTATTCACTTAAAGGTGGCACACAGCTAATTAGCCAGTAGAATTGCAAAGTCATGGTTCACTTTTTTTTTTTTTTTGACGGAGTCTTGCTCTGTCGTCAGGCTGGAGCACAGTGGCGCAATCTTGGGTCACTGCAACCTCTGCCTCCCAGGTTCAAGTGATTCTCCTGCCTCAGCCTCCCGAGTAGCTGGGACTACAGGCACGCGCCACCTCGCCCAGCTAATTTTTGTATTTTTAGTAGAGATGGAGTATCACCATGTTGGCCAGGATGGTGACCTTGTGATCTTCCCGCCTCGGCCTCCCAAAGTGCTGGGATTACAGGCGTGAGCCACTGCGCCCGGCCCATGATTCACGTTAACATAAAAATGGCAACATCCGGCTAGGCGCGGTGGCTCACACTTGTAATCCCAGCACTTTGGAAGGCTGCAGCGGGCAGATCACCTGAGGTCAGGAGTTCGAGGCCAGCCTGGCCAACATGGTTAAACCCTGTCTCTACTAAAAATATAAAAATTAGCTGGGTATGGTGGTGTGCCCTTGTAATCCCAGCTACTGGGGAGGCTGAGGTAGGATAATTGCTTGAACCTGGGAGGCGGAGGTTGCAGTGGGCCAAGATTACACCACTGCCTGGGCAACAGAGTGAGACTCATCTCAAAAAAAAAAAAAAAAAAAGTCAATATCCAAGTAAAGTGCTTTACCCAAGAAAGGACTACATACACCGCAGATGTTGATATGGTTTGGCTGTGTCCCCACCCAAAATCTCATCTTGAATTGTAATTCTCATAATCCCCACTTGTTGTGGGAGGGAGCCGGTAGGAAGTAATTGAATCGTGGGGGCGGTTTCCTCCATTCTGTTCTGGTGATAGTGAGTTCTCAGGAGATCTGATGGCTTGATAAGGGGCTTTCCCCTTCACTTAGCACTCATTCTCTCTCCTGCTGCCCTGTGAAGAGGTGCCTTCTGCCATGATTGTAAGTTTCCTGAGGCCTCCCCAGCTGTGTGGAACTGTGAATCGATTAAACCTCTTTCCCTTATAAATTACCCAGTTTTGGGTATTTCTTCATAGCAGTGCGAGAATGGACTGATAAGATGGACACAGTGTTTTTGAACAAGGCCCTGCATAAAAATCGCCTGTGGAATTTTATTTATTTATTTTTATAAGCATGAAGCTATCCTCATTTTCAGAGATTCACAACCAGTAGCTTTTGGGTGGTTCACTTATTAAAGAGATCAATGAATGTTAATATAACACGAACCTAATATCATATGGAGATTTAATATTTGTATAGAGTTGGGATGAATTATACAGAAAGATTTTATATCTGTTCCTTTACCCTTTCATCTGTGTTTTAACCAGAAATCTTTGTGCATTACATATTCCCAAAGGATGAACTGACTTGTAATTGCCCTTTTTCTTCTCCAAGTTAAAATTTTTATGGTGAAAAATACCTTTCTCTTTATTCTGTATTTTTCCTTATGTCAAGGCTAATTTCTGCCTTGAATTTCAATGGTTATAAAACAGGAAAAACGTATGTTTTTCATTTATGTTGTGAAAAGTATGTAAAAGAAGATTTTTGATGCATACATACTGGTCCTTATAAATAATATATAAGAAATTAAAATATCCTGACACATCAGAAATTTGGAATGGTTAGAAATATATTGGGCTCTATTTAAAAATTTTGCAGTGGTAGAAAGTCAAAAAGAAAATTAGACCACTGACAATGGAACCTTCAGTGCTAATAATTTTTAGGCTATTTTAGTGATGGGGTGGGGGAAGACATTGGGAGCTGACAAACATATTGTAATATTGGCAGGTCCTCTTGATAAAATATTATTTTTTTGTTTTGATTATTTTTGAGATGCAGTTGAGTGGTTTTAATTAGGGTCATAGGTAAGACATTATGAGGTCAATTAAACCTCTCTAACACCGTGCATCCAACTGGCCTATGATCATCCCTGTGTTATGTGGAATTTGTGCGGGGGATAGCTAAAGGAGAAAACCACTGGTATTATCCTGGAATCTATCTCTGCACTGTTTTAGGAGACACTAGATTAGACATTAGTTTGAAAGTTCTTTGGGAATCTTTTACTCATGACACTTTAGTATAATAATGTGAAACTGCATTCGTATGTTATCTATCCCCATGAAATTGCTGTAGAGTTGTGTTCTGGGAACTGAACATATTCTTTACAATCTTTTACATAAATCTGTATGTAAATATACATATACATGCACACATTAGTGAACAGTTACAAGTGTTTTATACCACAGTTTAACTTACGCATACAGTAATGACTTTAGAGATCTAGAGATCCTCTGTCCAGAAAATCCCATTTAACAATGAGGTCTTTGAGATTCCAGGAAGGAACACAATGGCAATTCTAATTTGCATTACAATATGGGAAGGCAAGGCTTGAACCCCAAGCACAGTTCTCTTTTTGCCATACAACACTGTGTGTGCAAGTACATAGAGGCAAGTGTACAGACAGATATAGGTATACAGCTGTAAGACAAAACTGGTTGGAAGCAAGTAATTGGTAATCAATCTACTATGAAATAAGAACCACTACTTTCAGTTTGAGTTTGAGTTTAAGCGGCTTATTTGTTTTTATTATTTTTCCATACTGAACACATTCATCCTGTAAAGAAAAATAAAGACTTAAAAGGCTAAGTAATCTTGATTATTTGCTATGATAACCAATGAAAAGGCATTTCAATAAATGCCCTAATTTCATACACTTTGTGTAATAAGACTTTCTAACCTTTAAGCACTTACCACAAAGTTTTTCCTGTAAATAGTGCTCAGTAAACTTATGTCAATTTATTGAAGAGATGAAATGGAGGCCTTTATTGACAATGAACAAAAAATCCTCTCTCATTTGTCACAGAATTATGTGGAGCTGCTATGGGGATGATTGTATTTCTATGTATTTAGAGGAAAAAAGAAAGAAGATACATTGTAACGTCATTATCTCATTTAATCTTCATCACACCTTATTGTCATAAGAATATCATCTCTATCTACCGGTGGTAAAACTAAGGCTTAGATCAAACAACAAGAAGAGGTATGGTTAGAGTTGGAACCAAATTCTGTCTTATCACAAAGCCCATGCTTTTTCCATAGTAGAGTCAAATCCATAATATAGTAAAGAAGATTTTATGCGCTTTTCCTATGGCTAATTTCAAATGTCTAAGTGTCTTCGTGAGGCAGGAGAGAAAGGAAAAGAAAGCAGAGTCAGATTTTATGTAGAAAATATTTTAATCCAAATGGTATATGCTGTTCTTTGTTTGCACGATTTCAGAATACATCCCAATACTGTGCAACTCTATTCATCTCAAGACATATGGAAAGAGTTTTATGTTTTAAACAATTAGACTTGACAGTGCTATTGTTTCTTTCTTATTTAATACCCCTCAAACCTGGAGTCCAGCCAGAATCTGCATTCTGTCATCAAATTTAATTCTTATTCCTTTTACATACCACTGAGTTGTCAGAAAACAACAACTTAATGACATTTTCCCTTGTGTCTTAGGATCATCTGGGTTATGTCACTTTTCAGCTGACCTGCTTAGCTCAGAGGGAATAAAGTTCTCTGTCTAATGATCTTTTGGGGGCTTGTATCATTTGTGATTTTGCTTTCCAAACCCTATGTTGTTCTGCAAATGTCATGAAATGACAAGATTTCTACGTATTAATTTGTCTTTGCTCAAAGGAGGAAGGCAATTATAAATATGGAAGAAGCGGAAAATAAGGATATTATAGAAAAGAAACTAGCTAAGTCCTACTTGTTGGTGCATAACATGCTGGTATGGCAAGTCCAAAAATCCAGGGGAAATAGAAACAGGGGCTATAGAGTGAGGGAAAATATACCTCTACCTTGTGTATCATTTGAATTCAGTTAGATTCAATTCAGTTCAATCCAGTTCAGTTCAGTTCAACTCAACAGATAGTTCTTTGAGTCCTTTGTAAATAGTAAGTACTGTCCTAGGTGCTGAAACAACATAGCTTTCCTTAGGGATTCATGTGGTTAAGAAAAACAAGACTATTAATGTGGATAGCTTTGAGACAGTCACTTCACCTCCCTGGGCCTTGGTTTCCTCGTGTGTTAAATGGTGATCTCTCTCTCTACTCACATTTGGTGGCAATCTTTATGGGAAGGCAATATGCTGTAATAGAAGGAGCACTTGCTTTAAAATTGGTGATGCATATTTCAGGCCTGGTTCTGCTACTATTTGACTGTTTGAACTTGGTAAGTCACTCACCTTTTTGGGTTTCATCTGAGGTCAGGTGAACTGATGTTGAAGGTTGCCTTATTGGCATATATTTCTATGAGACTGGATATAATCCCACTTGTCCATATTAATGCCTTGCTTTGAGTAGCAGTGAAATAATAATTTTTTGTTGTTGTTGAACCTAATTTTTGTTCATTACTCAAAAGTGATGTACTGGTATGATTTGTAAACTGTTACCACATAGATATGCAACTGGTGTCTGGCAGAAAACATGGTTCTGTGACCAGAGGGAGAGTGACTATAAAGTCAAAATTTCCCAGAAGTAAAAATGTTTTTGAGTAACAGTGAAGTCTATGGGAAGATTTCAACTGGTGTGGGGTTTATACCTGTCAACTTGCAGCAAAGTAAGATTTTCTTAAACTAACATTTATTGAGAACATTTTTAATAGATACTACTGGTCACTAAGTATTTTAGTTTCCATCTCTGTGGTACCCTTTTTACATAAGAATTTTCCACCTGATTGACATAAATCTTTGCCACATGACTTGCTTTAGCCAATAAAGTATGAGGAGTAATTAGGTGTGCCCCTTCTGAATGGAAACCTTAAGAGAGGCAGTGAACCATTACTGTGTTCCTTTTCCCTGTACCATGAGATCAGCAATGTTCCAGAATGTAGGAAGGGAGGCATCAGACTGGGATTCAGCATGAAAACACTGTAATGAACATGTATGTATTATGAGCAAGGACCAATCCTATGTCATTGTAATCTGCTAAGATTTTTTAAATTGCATTATAACCCAGTTCACTTCGATTATATTGTGCTTGCTCCTGAGAAAATACAGTGGTAAGCAAGGAAAATCTAATCTTAGGTCCTTCATGGATATTTCAATCATGTAAGATATTATAATAATGGATGATGCATATATAGTAGAGGATGCATGCAATGAGGAATGTATTGGAGGAAGCAAACCCAGATATGGAGTCAGAGAAAGCTTTCTCCACATTATGCATTTAAGCTGAAAGTTCATCAATTAATAGGAGTGAGGCTGGCCAAGGGCCAGGAGGAGGAAGAGAGTATTGCAAACTGAAAGAAAATCATATATAAAGTTATAGCAGCAAGGAGGATCATGGAGGGGTTGAGGAACTCATTGTTGAGTATGGCTGCATGATAGAACAAAGGGGGAACTGAAAACGAATTTATCTGGTAAGATAACATCAATAATAATAGTATTAAGCATTTATTGGCTTTGTGCTCAGTGCTTTACATTCATTTTCCTCATGATTATTATCACCATTTTGTAGATGAGGAAATTGAGCTGTGGAGAGGTTTAATAACTGCCTGTAGCTGCACAGCAGGAATGTGATCTTATCTGATGGGCAATAGGAAGCTACTGAATGGTGTTACCCAGAGGAGCCTCATGATCATATTTACATCATAAAAATTTAACTCTGGCTCTGGTCCCCAACTCAAAATCCTACCCTGGTTTGAATGGGTGTGGACCTCAATTTCTACTGTTTTTATCCACCTGACTCCATTGGCCAAGGCAGATGACAGAAAGGAAGATGAAAGTTGTGGCATTGCAGGAAAGGTGATGTTTTGAAGGGCATCGGGATGGTACGTGTAAGGAAAAATATTTGTGGGTCCTAAGATCATTAAGATTTGGGTAATAGTTTTAATGACAATATAAATATAATCAAATGATCCCCAAATGAGCTCTTATATCTAATTTAAATAGTGAATATAATATTACATCAATAATTTGAGCATTTCAATTTTCTTTTGACTATAATGCAGATAATATAGTGGGTAAATTAAAGGCCATGCTAAAAATCTTTAAAGCAGGATTTGTTAGTGGTTTGTGTATTCTTTCTTCTTTGTTTACTGAGTTTGAATCAGAGGATAATAATTTGTGTTTCTCTTTGTCATAAATAGAGACATATATAGACTATGAGGGAAAGAGTTCTTCATAGATGGCCATGACATCTCTGACAGTTGTTTTCTGCGAGCTGTTTGTCTGGTATCCATCAGAGGCCTCTGGAGACCTGGGCCTGACTGGAGAGGCCCCCATCAAGATGCTAGGGGCTGTGATTAACATGAATGCTATTCAGGTCTTTGTTGGACCCCCTTCGGTTTCAGTAGAATTCAAAGAGCAGTTGTAGGTAATTTTGACATTTACAGTTTGTTTCCTCATAACCTCCTCTCTACATTATCTCCAGATTCAAACTATTTTCCACTTTCCCTTTTCTATTCCTCCTTTCCTTTTATTTTCTTTCTTCTTCTCCTTCCTTGCTTATTTCCTTTCTGCTGTTTTTTTCTCTTTTAAAAAAGCTAGTGCCTGCAGAACATAATATGCTAGAAATAAGCTAACTGCCAATATGCATAAGAAGATTTATTGCAACAGAGAAAGGATATTACAAGACATTGCATATATTAATCTTTCCCTTTTTGTCTATAAAGACCTGGGCTTGGCTGCTTTTCACTTATATATCTTTAAGGAAAGCTGTTGGGTCAGAACAGAAGATTTGGGGGATGACAGACAGAGATTTACAGCTCAAATGTCCAGGAATGCAAGTTGACTCTACAATTGTGGTTTCTCCCTAACAGACACAGAAAGACTGCATCCTTTGAAATATTCCAAGAGGATGACTTGGTGGAGGTTTTCGATGCCCCTGTTCCCAAAGAAACAGCTTGGCCAGGGAACTTGTCAGAAAAGATCAGTGCAGGTTTAGGGACAGTTTTTTGAAGTGTTCCTGAAATAACCAATAATGAGTTGCCAGCTTTGATAGCTCTTTTTATAGATCTTGCAGCAGCTGGATCAAAATCTAATGAAGATGTTTGCATCTGACAATGGCAGGCCTGCACATTTCTATCCTATTTCTTGAGTGCACAAATGCATTTCATTTGGGAACATGAAAGCATATTTAGTGACAACTGATGGTTCTTTGTTTTATAATTCCCAATAATGTCTTCAGTAAGTGCTTTTGTTAACATTTTTGCATTATACAATAGGTGACACAGGAAGATAATCGGTGTGCTGAAAGCAATTAAAGAGTTTATATCCAACTTGTTCTGCCTATTAAATGGATCCATTCGGCAAAGAAGCACATTAGCATCTTTACAGTGGAATGATTGTGGAAATAGGTTGTTCACGGGGACTGTGCATCTTCCTCCCTTTGCAATAAGACATATCTTCAAGATTGGAGAAAAGGAATTAGCTATTTCTCTCCCCTTGGAACCGTAAACAGAAGTAAAACTATTAATAGATTCTGTAGCTAATCCCAAGAAGCTGCAACTGAGAGATTAAATAATGTCACGAAGAGAGAAAGCTGGAATGTAGGGAAGGGAGAAGCAGAGGGGAGGGTGAGAGGCGAGTTGCCTGATCACTGAGTTGCATTAGACAAGGACAAACTGAAGGATTCTCGCTTACCTTAGGATTGGCAATTGGTATAACGTGAGATTCCTGTTATCAGCAAAGTCAATATCATTCCATCTATTTCCTGAGTACTGTTTTAACAGGAAAACTTATATTTTAGTTTTAAAGAAGTGATCAAAATGATTTTAAATGGGGTTTGGATGCCACGGAGATGCAGCTGAGCCTAAAGGGGACGAATGGGCTTTGTGAGCCAAAAACTGTGTTTTGTGCTAAAAGAAAGGGGTAATTAGGAGGCCTTTGGGTAAGTTCACAACTTGAGACTGGGACACTAACAAAGAATATATTATAACAAGAGGGATTTGAATATAATGAAATCTTGTACCTGGCCTATTAGAAATGGTTAAATGTCCCTAAATTTTATTCCTACTAATACTCCTGGACTTTGTTGATCCTTTATTCAGTGTTGACTGAGAGGCATTATGAATCAGCAGCTTTGCTAAGGATCATCTTCTCTCTTCAGAGCTTTTCAGAAATTGTGAGATCAGCATTATTGATACAATTTAGTATTACTCAAAGTGTAGCCCACAGTTATGATCATGATCATCATCATCATTACCATCACTTGGAAACTTATTAGAAATGCAATTCTCTGGCTTTACACCAAATGTAATAAATCAGAATCTCCAAAGATGGGACCCAGGAATGTGTTTTAATGACATTTATGGGCAATTTTTATGCCTACTAAAGTTGGAGAAGCAATGTCTTTACAGTTGAGAAGTCTGAAGCTCAGAGGGTTTGGGTGAAATGTTAAGATCACACAACTTCAGAGAAACATAATTGAATTTTGACTCAGGATTTCTTATTATGTCCCAAGGTGGTCTGTTTTACAGCATCATTGGAATACCTGGTCACTCACTCGTAGAGTTAGGGGCTTACTTGCTTTCTGAGGATGGTTTTTCCTTAAAGGATTGTGACTGAGGATGCTTGGAATTTATGACTGATTTGAATTGTTGTTCCCTTGCCAGGATACAAGTTCTATTGTGTCTGTCAATGTGACTAGCTTCCGAGAGAGGCTAGACTGGCCCACTTTCTGGTTTGCAAAGAGACAAGGAAAATATAAACAATTATAGTTAGGCCAAAGGTTGACAGTGTGGAAAACCCATCTATTTTATCTACTAAAACACCATGGAGAGGAGTGAGTGTTGATCATTTTCAACATTTTTCTCCTTATTATGTTCTGGGGGAAAGAAAAGATCCAGAAAATGTTATAGAAGTAAATCAAATTCATTTGTGATTTCAGGTCCCTAATATCAGCAGTGAGTTGACTTAGATCAAGGAATCCATTGGGTGCATGAGAATATAGACCAGTACCTGGGAAACAGGCTTATTGACGTCTGGCCTTATTGACTGTCATTCTCCATGCTTGAGTAAGCATTAGCTCATGCCTTTGATAGTCAGGCTGCATCGAGCACTCAAAGAGAGCCGGATACACATTAGGATATAACTGCTTTCACTGGCATCATTTTGCTTTCACTTCACAATTTTTTTTGCCCTCTTTCTTGATAGCATTTGGAAGTCATGACCCAGAGCTTGAAATTTGCTATTCACTCAATAAAGGCAAACTTTCAAAATGAAATTAATGCTGTCATTTGATAGCTGATATCTTGAATAAAGGGTTTCAAGGAGGAAGCATGTTAGAGGAAAAAACCTCTGGCATCTTATAGACAGAGGTTCCAACCCTGGGTCTGCCTTTTGCTAGTTTGTACATCCTTGGACTCATTACTTTTAATCTCTCTGAATCATAGTTTCCCTCAGTAAATTATAGCTCATACAGTGATTGTGTGGATTAAACATGGGCATTCATATGTTCAATTTGTCCAGGACCATCTGGGTTTATACCTGTTGTCTTGATTAATTATTTATAGCATTCTCTTTTACTCTGAATGTGTCTTGATTTAGATGATGAATTATATAGTCACACTAATTAAATAAGATAACATGTAATATGCTGATATATGTAATGTACCATATCTCATTGGTATTCAGTAAATGAGAACTATTATTTCACATATTACATCTCAGATCCAGTTGTATATCCCAACTAAACCAGACTTGGTTTTCTTCCCTGGAAATTAAATTTCCAAACACTCAGGACTGTGTGTATCTGTGCTAATGGGTTTGACAAACCTGTGCTTCCCTGTGCCACCCCTTTAGCCTCAGCCATCTCTTAGGTCAGTAACAGCAAGAACCCAGAGCAAAACTGACTGGTTACTTCTGCAGAATTGAGTGTTGCTGTCACCTAGGAAGAATTGTCCCATTGGTGTAGTATTTGAAGCTTTTAGAGGAAAATTTATGTTATAGTAAAAAAGTATATTACATTTGTTGAGTACCTATTTAATGCCAGGTACTCTACATCTCTGAACTCAAGGTGGGCATTCTTATCTCCATCTCACAAATGAGGACCCTGAGATTCAGCAAAGAAACAATTTTTAACTACATCTGAAAAGAGGAAAAACCAGGAGTAAACATTGCATTTTTCTGTTTCCCAGGCACATGCCCTTTCCACAACAATACACAAATGCCATTAATGATGACCAGTTCTAACACCACATAAAATATGAGTAATACTGATGAGTTTAAAATGATTCTTGGCTTCCTATCTTTGACAACTGGAGTAAAGCACTTTGTGTTAAGGAAGGAGGATATTTCTAAAACTAACCTGCCACTTCTTTGATCTCAGTGTTTCTCTTCTACATGCCCATCATGAATACAGCTTTTCACAGATCACTAAGCATCCTGGCTATTAATTGCTGCTATCCTGCAGCCTCTGTGAAACATCCCCAAATTAGGATTATTATAAAGCAGAAGGTCTGATTTGGGCCTGATGTGGGAGACATTAATGGATAGAACGGGAGGAAGAGGAGAAAGAGGAAAAAAAAAAAGGCAGGAATGACAGTCAGATTAGGACAATTTCCTCTTAAACAGATGGGGAATTTTTTGAAGAAACCCATTTCTTCCCCATTTCCCAGCCATTTTAGGCTAATTCTGACCTGCATTAGGTAGATAAAGATAAATGTGAATTTTAAATTATATTTAATCTTCATTAAAGTAATTATCTCTCTTAATGAAAAATTTGCTGGGTTGTGGTTGTGCAATGGAGTATAAAATCCTAAGTGAATAAAATCAATTTCATTTTCAGGCTAGCTTTTCTGTCCATTAATAAACAAGACACAGAAAATATATTTGCTCAGAGTCATGAAGCCTGCTCATAGCTCACCAAAAGCCAATACCACTTACAAAAGCAGGACAGTTGGCTCTCCATTTCTCACTCTTCATTTTTCAATCTAAAGGAGAGCTTTCATCCTGAGGAAGTGCCATGAGTTTCCACCCTGGCACTGTTTTACTGGGCCCAGCAGTGAGACAACTCTGGGTGATATCTCACACCCAAGTGGCTGCTCTAATGGAATGGTGTTTGTGCTGTGCAGTGTATTTCATCTAAGTGCTCTGGTTTATTAATCACATACGTATGTATGTATTAGACTCTGGCATGCTTATGTTTCCTAATGTATGAAAATTGCTTATTTATTTCTATGCTGTTACAATGGAAATAAACAGACTGGTTCTAGATAGCAGTGTACTGTAGTGTGAAGCAATTAAGTGAGTTATGCATGCCCTTCAGAAGGAGGATAATGGGAAATTGTTGCCAGCTAGTTCTCACTGCTGCTGGTGAAAAAGAAAAGGACATGTCACAGAGGAACAGAGACTTGTCCATATTTCAGTGCAAACATGGGGGTCTATTATTGTAGCTAAACCCTAAGATTTATGTATTTATTTATTCTGTTTTACTTTATTTTTTTGGGGACAGGATCTTACCCAGGCTGGAGTGCAGTGGTGCGATCACGGCTCACTGTAGCCTCAGCTTTCTAGTCTCAAGCTATCTTCCCACCTCAGCCCCCAGAATAGCTGGTACTACAGGTGCATGCCACCATGCCCAGTTAATTTTTGTATTTTTCATAGAAACACCATCTTGCCATGTTGCTCAGGCTGGTCTCGAACTCCTGAGCTCAAGCCATTGGCATACCTTGGGCCCACAAAGTGCTGAGATTATAGGTCTGAGTGACTGTGCCTGGCCTAAACCTTAAGATTGAGCTTCCATGACTTGCTTAGTTAAAACTTTTGAAAAAAAATACAAAATAACTGAAAAGAGTACCATCCGCAGAAGGTAAGAGTTAAAGATGTCAATGACAAACTTTCCCTTTATGTCTCTTTCTTTTACACCCTCCAAACTTAAGAATAATAGACACAAACCACCCCCAAACCAGAATGTGCATATGACACCAGCCCTGCTAGTTGCTGGTGGTGCTATAGTGCAGTGAAACGGGGAGCTCTACATTTCCTTCCATGGAGTATGAATTTCTATGTATTGAATTCATGACATATATATTACTTATTATTCATTCAATTACATAGTGCTTTTATGTACTACATTTTGTTCCAAGTGCTCAGTTATCTAATAACAACCCTATGAGGTAGTTTCCCTACTATTCTTATTTTACTTATGAGAAAACTAAGCAACAGAGAGATTAAATAACTTGTCCAAAGTTACACAGCTGGTAAGTGGCAGGGCTGGGATTTGAACCTGGGCAGCCCGGCTCTAGAGTCAATGCACTTAACGGTCATGCCTCCTTGATTCTCTCATTTTGGTGTGACCAGGGTCACATTACTGAATCCCCCAGAACTTTATAAAAGAGAAAGGTAACATTTACCGAGGTCCTGCTTAGGTACTGTGTTAGACTCTATGCGGATATCATCTCATTCACCTTTTATAATTACCTATAAGGTAAGCAAATTTTCTCCAGTTTATGTACGAAGAAACTGGGTCAGAGAAATTTTGTAGCTCACAAGGCATGCAAGAGATGAAGCAGTTCGAGGCTTAGGTTTGCCTATTCTAAAGCTCACATTTCTTCTACTATGTGATACTCTCGGGCTCTTAGGGGGACACTTAATAAATATGAAAGTACACTTCCTGGTACATTATGCACTCAATAAAGGTAAACTCTGTAAGTGTCTGGCAAATTGCATGGAAATGTTTATCATTATGGTCAGTGCCTTGGTCTGATGGTAGCAGAGGAAAATGTTCTTAATGGAAGGGTGTGCCCTCCAGGATACTGATCTATCAATAGTCAATAGTGATGTTTACTGCACTTATCACTAGGAGACTTTAGTTTAGAGAGTTCTGAAATAGAAAAGACTGATATAAATTGCTTAATTACAAAATGATAGGCCACATTCCTCCTAAATTCTCTGCTAGAACTTGGTTTCTGTGGCTATCAAGGGGCTGAAATTTTGTAGGCAAATTGCTTCTTGAAATCTTTGTTTTAGAGTGAGAAAATAACATACTCTAAAAAGGATACTACTGTAACAAACACTATGTCTTCAACCTCGGGATGAGTATGTTATAGGTAATAATGGCTTCAGATTATTTTTTAAAGAAATAAATCACTACAGTTAGATCAGAGTCTCCAATATTCCTCTTAGCAATCGTGATCCTTCTTTTTCCTTCTTCCCCTCCATCCAATCATCATCATGAATTTTGTGAATATCTAATTTATATATTTTACTTTTAAACTAATATATATGTAATCACAATAATGACATTGTTTTAAATTTAAATATTTACATAAATATTTACTTCAACTGCTCTTTTCATAATGAATCTCATGTTACTGATATTTAACCATGTCAGTACAAATATATCTAGTTCATTCATTAATTTTTATATGGTATTTCATCTTCTAAATACACACAAATTTAATAATACCCCTACTTTTTGGACATTTAAATTATTTACAGTTTTTGTCATGCAAAATTAAACACTGAATTTTTAGTTTACATTTTTAGGATTATGTAAGTATTGCTCACAGCTGACACCATAGGTTCCTATTTCTTTTTTTCTTGGTAGTATCATTCCTCAATTCCTTAACCCTCTTGCTTTGATCTGTACTGGGCCTGCTTCTTTGCTGTCCTCCCAGATTTCTTTTCATTATCTTCCTGTCATTTCCTTCTTTTTGGTTGGTCTGTTTCTGGGCCCTGTTAAGGAAAATGTTACTCCTGACACTTGGCAAAGATGATAAAAAAACACTTTGTGCAATAAGGACTACTACAATGGGGTTTTGTAGTAGGAAGGAGAAACAAGGCTCAACAGGGAAAAGTGGGAATTTATAGCCAAGGAGCAGGGTGGGGCTCAGTGGATAGAAAATTGCGAGAGGAAATTATATCAGGAGCAAAGGGGGATTCTGGATAAAGTGACCTAACAGGATTCTTGCTGAATGCAGGCCAGGGCAATAGAACACAACCTGGAAAAGGGTGGAGAATTAGGAAACAGAAGACCCCACATAGCCAAAATAATTCAGAGCAAAAAGAAAAAAGCTGGAGGCATCCTACTACCTGATTTTAAGATATACTACAAAGCTATTCTAACCAAAACAGCATAGTACTGGCATAAAAATAGATACATAGACCAATAGAACTGAATAGAGAACCCAGAAATAAATCCGTATATTTGGAGCAAACTCATTTTTGACAAATGCATCAAGAATTTTCAGTGGAGAGAGGAGAGTTTCTTCAATGAATGTTGCTGGAATATGAATATTTATAAGCAGAAAAATGAAAGTATATACAAAAATCAAATAAAATAGATTAAAGAACTTAAATATTCAACTTGAAACTATGACACTACTAGAAGAAAACATTGGGGAAATGCTTTCGGAGATTGGTCTGGGATGAGATTTTTGGTTAAGACCTCAAACACACAGGCAATGAAAGAAAAAATAGACAAATTGGATTACATCAAGAAGAAAGCTTCTGCATAGAAAAAGGAAACAACAGAGTGAAGAGAAAACGTATGAAATGGTAGAAAATGTTTGCAAATCTTCAGAAGGGATTAATTCTCAGAATATGACTTAACAGTAAAAAAAAAAATCCCCAAATAATCTGATTGTAAAATGGGCAAATGATCTGAATAGGCATTTCTCAAAAGAAGACATACAGATGATCAATAGACATACGAAAAAATGTTCCACATTAACTAATCATCAGGGTAATGCAAGTCAAAATCACAATAAGCAATCATCTCATCATAGTTAAAATGGCTTTTATCAAAAGGATGGAAAATAGCAGATGCTGGCAAGGAGAAAAGGGAATGCTAGTATATTGCTGATGGAAATATAAATTAGTATAACCACTATGGGAAATAGTATGACGGTTACTCAAAAAACTACAAACAGAAATACCATGTGATCCAGCAATCCCACTGCTGGGTACATATCCAAAGTAAAGAAAATCAGTAGGTCAAAGAGATATCTGTACATTCATATTTATTGCAGCGTTATTCATGATAGCCAAGATATGAAATCAGCCAAGTGCCCATCAATTGATGAATGGATAAAGAAAATGTGGTATATATACACAATGGAATACTATTCAGCCATAATAAATAATAAAATCCTGCGATTTTTTAGCAACGGATGGAACTGGAGGTCCTTATTTTAAGTGAAATAAGCCAGACACAGAAATACAAATATCCCATGTTCTTACTCACATGTGGAAAGTAAAAACGTTGGTCATGGAGGTAAGCATAGTATCATGGTTACCAGAGGCTGGGAAGGGTGAGGGAGAATGAAGAGAGGTTGCTGAATAGATACAAAAATACAGTTAGATAGGAGGAATAAGTTCCAGTGTTTAATATCACAGTAGGGTGATTATAGCTAACCTAAGTTATTATATATTTTAAAATAGGTCAAGGAGAGGATCCGAAATGTTCTCAACATGGAAAAATGATAAATGTCTGAGGTGATGGATGTACTAATGACCTTGATTTGATCATTACACATTTTACAAGTTTATCAAAATATCACATGGACCCCATAAATATGTACAATTATTATGTATCAATAAAAATTATATAAATTTATGGTGGGTAACATGATGTTTTGTAATATGTATACATTGTAGATTGGCTAAATCAAGCTAATTAACATATCTATTACCTCAAACACATCATTCATTTGTGGTGAGAACACTTAAAATCTACTCTTTTAGCAATTTTCAAGTATACGATACATCATTGTTACCTATAGCCTCCATGATGCATAATAGATCTCTTAGCCAACATCTCCCCAATCTCCTTCCACCTCATCCCTGGTAACCATCATTCTACTCTCTGTTTCTGTGAGTTATACTTTTTTAGATTCCTTATGTGGGATCATGCAGCATTTGTCTTTCTGTACCTGGCTAATATTACTTAACATAACGTCCTCCAGTTTTATCCATGTTGTGGCAAATGATAGGATTTCCTTCTTTTTAAAAGCTGAATAGTATTCCATTGTGTATATATACTATATTTACTTTATCCATTCATCCACTGAAAAACACAGGTTGATTCAATTTCTTGGTTATTGTGAATAATGCTGCAATAAACATGGGAATGCAGATATCATTTTGACATACTGATGTCATTTCCTTTGGACATATACTCAGTAGTGGGACTACTGGATCATACAGTAGGCCTATTTTTAATATTTGGAGGAAACTCCATACTATTGTTCATAATGTCTGTACCAATTTGCATTTCCATCAACAGTGTACAAGAGTTTCCTTTTCTCCACATTCTCACCAACACTTGTTATCTTTTGTCTTTTTGACAATAGCTATTCAAACAGGTATGAGATGATATCTTATTTTGGTTTTAATTTGCATTTTCCTGATGATTAGTGATGTTGAAAAGTTTTTCACATACCTGTTGGCCATTGTATGTCTTCTCTTTAGAAATGTCTATTGCGGTCCTTTGCCCATTTTTAAATTGACTTATTTATTTTCTTACTAATGAGTTGTTTGAATTCCATATGTATTTTTGATACTAACCCCTTATTGCAAGTATGATTTATAAATATTTTCTTCCATTCTATAGGTTGTCTCTTCATTTTGTTGATAGTGTCTTTTGCTGTGCAGATTACCTTTTAAGCTTTTATTTTCTTGGTAATTGATTTGAATGCTAAATTGATTTATTGTCTACATATATATTTTTATTTTTATTTTATTATTATTATACTTTAAGTTTTAGGGTACATGTGCACAATGTGCAGGTTAGTTACATATGTATACATGTGCCATGCTGGTGTGCTGCACCCATTAACTCGTCATTTACATTAGGTATATCTCCCAATGCTATCGCTCCCCCCTCCCCCACCCCACAACAGTCCCCAGAGTGTGATGTTCCCCTTCCTGTGTCCATGTGTTCTCATTGTTCAATTCCCACCTATGAGTGAGAACATGCGGTGTTTGGTTTTTTGTTCTTGCAATAGTTTACTGAGAATGATGATTTCCAATTTCATCCATGTCCCTACAAAGGACATGAACTCATCATTTTTTATGGCTGCATAGTATTCCATGGTGTATGTGTGCCACATTTTCTTAATCCAATCTATCATTGTTGGACATTTGGGTTGGTTCCAAGTCTTTGCTATTGCGAATAGTGCCGCAATAAACATACGTGTGCATGTGTCTTTATAGCAGCATGATTTATAGTCCTTTGGGTATATACCCAGTAATGGGGTGGCTGGGTCAAATGGTGTTTCTAGTTCTAGATCCCTGAGGAATCGCCACACTGACTTCCACAATGTTTGGACTAGTTTACAGTCCCACCAACAGTGTAAAAATGTTCCTATTTCTCCGCATCCTCTCCAGCACCTGCTGTTTCCTGACTTTTTAATGATCGCCATTCTAACTGATGTGAGATGGTATCTCATTGTGGTTTTGATTTGCATTTCTCTGATGGCCAGTGATGGTGAGCATTTTTTCATGTGTTTTTTGGCAGCATAAATGTCTTCTTTTGAGAAGTGTCTGTTCATGTCCTTCGCCCACTTTTTGATGGGGTTGTTTGTTTTTTTCTTGTAAATTTGTTTGAGTTCATTGTAGATTCTGGATATTAGCCCTTTGTCAGATGAGTAGGTTGTGAAAATTTTCTCCCATTTTGTAGGTTGCCTGTTCACTCTGATGGTGTTTCTTTTGCTGTGCAGAAGCTCTTTAGTTTAATTAGATCCCATTTGTCAATTTTGTCTTTTGTTGCCATTGATTTGGTGTTTTAGACATGAAGTCCTTGCCCATGCCTATGTCCTGAATGGTAATGCCTAGGTTTTCTTCTAGGGATTTTATGGTTTTAGGTCTAATGTTTAAGTCTTTAATCCATCTTGAATTAATTTTTGTATAAGGTGTAAGGAAGGATCCAGTTTCAGCTTTCTACATATGGCTAGCCAGTTTTCCCAGCACCATTTATTCAATAGGGAATCCTTTCCCCATTGCTTGTTTTTCTCAGGTTTGTCAAAGATCAGATAGTTGTAGATATGTGACATTATTTCTGAGGGCTCTGTTCTGTTCCATTGATCTATATCTCTGTTTTGGTACCAGTACCATGCTGTTTTGGTTACTGTAGCCTTGTAGTATAGTTTGAAGTCAGGTAGCGTGACGCCTCCAGCTTTGTTCTTCTGGCTTAGGATTGACTTGGCAATGCGGGCTCTTTTTCGGTTCCATATGAACTTTAAAGTAGTTTTTTCCAATTCTGTGAAGAAAGTCATTGGTAGCTTGATGGGGATGGCATTGAATCTGTAAATTACCTTGGGCAGTATGGCCATTTTCACGATATTGATTCTTCCTACCCATGAGCATGGAATGTTCTTCCATTACTTTGTATCCTCTTTTATTTCATTGAGCAGTGGTTTGTAGTTCTCCTTGAAGAGGTCCTTCACGTCCCTTGTAAGTTGGATTCCTAGGTATTTTATTCTCTTTGAAGCAATTGTGAATGGGAGTTCACTCATGATTTGGCTCTCTGTTTGTCTGTTATTGGTGTATAAGAACGCTTGTGATTTTTGTACATTGATTTTGTATCCTAAGACTTTGCTGAAGTTGCTTATCAGCTTAAGGAGATTTTGGGCTGAGACAATGGGATTTTCTAGATATACTATCATGTTATCTGCAAACAGGGACAATTTGACTTCCTCTTTTCCTAATTGAATACCCTTTATTTCCTTCTCCTGCCTAATTGCCCTGGCCAGAACTTCCAACACTATGTTGAATAGGAGTGGTGAGAGAGGGCAACCCTATCCTGTGCCAGTTTTCAAAGGGAATGCTTCCAGTTTTTGCCCATGCAGTATGATATTGGCTGTGGGTTTGTCATAGATAGCTCTTATTATTTTGAGATACGTCCCATCAATACTTAATTTATTGAGAGTTTTTAGCATGAAGGGTTGTTGAATTTTGTCAAAGGCCTTTTCTGCATCTATTAAGATAATCATGTGGTTTTTGTCTTTGGTTCTGTTTATATGCTGGATTACATTTATTGAGTTGTGTATATTGAACCAGCCTTGCATCCCAGGGATGAAGCCCACTTGATCATGGTGGATCAGCTTTTTGATGTGCTGCTGGATTCGGTTTGCCAGTATTTTACTGAGGATTTTTGCATCAATGTTCATCAAGGATATTGGTCTAAAATTATCTTTTTTGCTTGTGTCTCTGCCCGGCTTTGGTATCAGGATGATGCTGGCCTCATAAAATGAGTTAAGGAGGATTCCTTCTTTTTCTATTGATTGGAATAGTTTCAGAAGGAATGGTACCAGTTCCTCCTTGTACCTCTGGTAGAAGTCGGCTGTGAATTCATCTGGTCCTGGACTCTTTTTGGTTGGTAAGCTATTGATTATTGCCACAATTTCAGAGCCTGTTATTGAGCTATTCAGAGATTCAACTTCTTCCTGGTTTAGTCTTGGGAGGGTGTATGTGTCGAGGAATTTATCCATTTCTTCTAGATTTTCTATTTTATTTGCGTAGAGGTGTTTGTAGTATTCTCTGATGGTAGTTTGTATTTCTGTGGGATCGGTGGTGATATCCCCTTTATCATTTTTTATTGCGTCTATTTGATTCTTCTCTCTTTTCTTCTTTATTAGTCTTGCTAGCGGTCTATCAATTTTGTTGATCCTTTCAAAAAACCAGCTCCTGGATTCATTAATTTTTTGAAGGGTTCTTTGTGTCTCTATTTCCTTCAGTTCTGCTCTGATTTTAGTTATTTCTTGCCTTCTGCTATCTTTTGAATGTGTTTGCTCTTGCTTTTCTAGCTCTTTTAATTGTGATGTTAGGGTGTCAATTTTGGATCTTTCCTGCTTTCTCTTGTGGGCATTTAGTGCTATAAATTTGCCTCTACACACTGCTTTGAATGTGTCCCAGAGATTCTGGTATGTTGTGTCTTTGTTCTCGTTGGTTTCAAAGAGCATCTTTATTTCTGCCTTCATTTCGTTACGTACCCAGTAGTCATTCAGGAGCAGGTTGTTCAGTTTCCATGTAGTTGAGTGGTTTTGAGTGAATTTCTTAATCCTGAGTTCTAGTTTGATTGCACTGTGGTCTGAGAGACAGTTTATTATAATTTCTGTTCTTTTACCTTTGCTGAGGAGAGCTTTACTTCCAAGTATGTGGTCAATTTTGCAATAGGTGTGGTGATGAAAAAGATGTATATTCTGTTGATTTGGGGTGGAGAGTTCTGTAGATGTCTATTGGGTCTGCTTGGTGCAGAGCTGAGTTCAATTCCTGGGTATCCTTGTTAACTTTCTGTCTCATTGATCTGTCTAATGTTGACAGTGGGGTGTTAAAGTCTCCCATTATTATTGTGTGGGAGTCTAAGTCTCTTTGTAGGTCACTCAGGACTTGCTTTGTGAATCTGGGTGCTCCTGTATTGGGTGCTTATATATTTAGGATAGTTAGCTCTTCTTGTTGAATTGATCCCTTTACCATTATGTAATGGCCTTCTTTGTCTCTTTTGATCTTTGTTGGTTTAAAGTCTGTTTTATCAGAGACTAGGATTGCAACCACTGCCTAGTGGTTTGTTTTCCATTTGCTTGGTAGATCTTCCTCCATCCTTTTATTTTGAGCCTATGTGTGTCTCTGCACATGAGATGGGTTTCCTGAATACAGCACACTGATGGGTCCTGACTCTTTATCCAATTTGCCAGTCTGTGTCTTTTAATTGGAGCATTTTGTCCATTTACATTTAAAGTTAATATTGTTATTTGTGAATTTGATCCTGTCATTATCATGTTAGCTGGTTATTTTGCTCGTTAGTTGATGTAGTTACTTCCTAGCCTCGATGGTCTTTACAATTTGGCATGATTTTGCAGTGGCTGGTACCGGTTGTTCCTTTCCATGTTTAGTGCTTCCTTCAGGAGCTCTTTTAGCTCTTTCAGTCACCCAGTGAGTCTCATTCCTGCTTTCTCTTGAGATAAATTGGACTCTCATATGCTGGCCTTTTGTACAAAACTAGGTAAAGCATGAGCACAGTCTGTCTGAAGCTGTTGCAAGAAAGCCACCCATGAACAGCTATTTGTGCTGTGATAAAGCTTCCCTGGAGTACTGTAGCCATGGGATGGGGCTACATAGTCCTGTGTGATTTTGTCAGAGATTCAGAAGTGGGATAGATTGAACTTACTGTCCAGTCAAAGTTGTCAATAACCTGTGATATGGTTTGGCTGTGTGTCCCCACCCGAATCTCACCTTGAATTGGAATAACCCCACATGTCATGGGTGGGGAGGGGGGAACCAAGTGGGAGGTAATTGAATCATGGGGGCAGGTTTTTTCTTTGCTGTTCTCATTTGGTTTTATAAAGGGGAGTTCCCCTACACAAGCTCTCTTGCTTGCTGCCATGTAAAATGTCCTTTGCTTACCCTTCGTCTTCTGTCATGATTGTAAGGCCTCCCCACCCACGTGGAACTGTGAGTTCATTAAACCTCTTCCCTTTATAAATTACCCAGTCTTGGGTATATCTTTATTAGCAGCATGAGAACAGACTAATACAACCTATTCCTGAACACTGTCTACAGCATTTCTCCCAAGAAATTTTTTAATCTTCCCCTGATGCCCCTGTTCATATATGTACTTTTTCTCTCTGATTCTCATTTGCTTTAAAATGTGGTGCTAATCAATGAAGTAATACTTGACACTTTTAAAAAATTATAGAAAACATTTTCCCTGTCTCAATTCCAAGGATACAAGTAATTCTTTATTTTTAATTTTTTTACTGTAGCAGTCATCAGGGATCTTCTTAGATTTGACTAAACTTTCACACACACTACACTCCCGTATGCTACACTTGACATTAGACCACTCAGAAGACATAGGACAAGAACCAGAGTTGGTCCCCAGGGAAGCTTCAGACATTCCTCTCCACTGGAGTCCTTACAGCAGTCTACACAGCAGAAGGCACAACTGCCCATGGTCAACTCACTTAGGGAGAAGTGAAATCCACATTGGACAGGTGTGGGGGCTGCCCTGGCTTGAAAGCCTCATGCCTGATAGGAGTCAGTATCTGTTGTGACAATTCCATAGATAGAGCTTTCAGAGTCTCTACGGAGAGGCAGGCCAATTATGAGTCATCACATTTAGGGAAACCCAAAGTTTGGCCTCACATCAAGGATTTATAGTTCTCCCAGGTTAGATACAATCTGTCTATCAAAGGTCACTTCTTTTCATCATAATCAATGTTGCTTAATAACATAGTTGACATCTACCATCTTTATTTCTTTCCAAGGTAACAGCTAGGAAGACCACCAAAGATCAGACCCACACAGAAACAAAAAACATTGTGTTAACCCTTTGCCCAAACATAAAAATATTGTGAATGTTATAACTACTTTTATTTCTTTGGATTGGTTCAGGAAGTTTGAAACCTTGTAAGTAGATAGCAAGGGGTGAGGGAGTTCTAATCATGGAGCATTGATTTGCTCAGATGATATTTGGATTATCTTGGTTATCACTTAACAGCTTTTTGGGGTGGTGTAAAAGCAGTAGCATCACGGTTTTAAGAAACTTTAAGAAAGATGAATACTATATTTCCCCTAATTATAATAGATTTGTTGAGCAATGACTATCAGCCAAACACTTTAATTATGCTAGCGTGAGGAATCTTTAAAATGATATGAAGTGCCTCTATTTCGTTAATGAGAAATTAGGACTTGGAAGATTAAACCATTTGCCTGATTCCACGCAGACAAATCTGTACATGCTATCAATCAACCGATTTAAGATATTGCCTCTAGAACTTACTAATGAGTATACACGGTTTTCAAAAGCTATAAATATATTTTGTCATGTTCTCACCTAAGATTTTGTCATAAACATTTCTAATAATTTTACCTAGTCTTAATGATCATCATGTATAAATACCAGCATACTGTTATAATATACTGAAATATAATAATTTAGTTAACAAAACCCTCTTCTCACAGATATATTTTAGTTTCAATATTTCACTTCTGTCATTAATGTTGCCAGGGCATCTTCTTGCATGTAATTTTTTTGGAGGGGTTCTCCAGTTATTTATCTTGTGATTTCTTCTGCTGTAAGGAGGAGAGAGTGATCATTTTTTTCCCAGATCTGATACATACAAATTATATTCTGCTAATTTTACTATGGTTTGACTTTATTTACATTTTTATTCCATACGGAGATATTTTGCCTTTTAGAGAATGATGTGGATTCAATTTGTTCTTTTTTCAAGTTGTTAACCAATATTCTCACTCCATACTTAAAATGATTCTTTTATATTGTTTATAAGAGTGTAATTGTAATAGAGGAAGTTCTTAAATATTTTGATTCAGTTTCTGATCTTTCTCTTCTAATTCACTGAATGATATATTCATATGGGAAGTGGTGTCATGGAGTTTTAATTATTGTTTCTGTGTAATAGTTCTGTTAAAGTTACTCTTCGCTTTCTCCTTACATACTGTTGATGTTATTTTATGACTACTGCTTGATATTTTCATTTGTTTATTTTTCAAAATAAATTTCAGAATCATTTTGCTAAATTCCACAGCACAAAAAAGTACAGATTAAATTTTAATTGAATTCTAACTCTAATTCTATAAGATAACTAGACTAGACATCTTTGCAACATTTTGTCACCACTTTCTGAAATACAGTACACTTATCCACATGTTTCTCTTTCTGTCTCTCTCTCTTTATATATAAACATATATATGTCTTGATTTTATTTTATTTTGTCTTTTTTTAAAGCTAGGTTACATATATATACACATATATATATATGTAATGTTCTTTAACTATTTCATTTTTCATGATTCCAAATGAAACATTTCTTTTTTCCATTGTGTTTTACTTCTGGCTGTTATCAATGTTTAAAATATAATTTTTGGCATAATTATGTTATATTCCTACATTTAAATGTCTTGTGATTCAAACATTTTAGGAGTTTTAAAATAATTTTTAGGTATACCTTATTGATTTCAAAAATGATTACTATGTAACTTTCCAATACTTAAACAATTACTGAATTCCCCGGAACTTTCCAAATAACACTATATAATAACAAGATCCTTATTTCATTCTTGATTTAAACGGATTCACTTTAAAAGTGAATGGTGAGATATGCATGTTTTGTTCAATAAAAAAGTAAGTTGTAAAATTGAAGTAAATAATATTTTATCATTAAATTGATTTTTTGGAACAAGATACTCTGCAACAAATACAAATGAATTATTCTATTCTATTTTCTATTTATTAAAATAATAAATAATTACCAAAGATATTTTGCATCTACTGAAATGATGACGTGATTCCTATTACTTAGGCTGTTTATATTATATATTACAGTTATGGATTTCCTAATGTTGAGCTGTGCTCTTTTATACTCTGAATTAACATAGCTGATATACTACTTGGTCAACGTATAAAAACAATGTTTTAAGGGGATTTTTAACAAGTGAGAGTAAACTCACAAGTTGGCCATTAAGGTGGTGAAAGATGTGGAGAATGGCATAATATTAGAACTAGAATATTTAGCCTGAATTTCTAAGAAGAGAAAACTTAGATTATCTGCTTTAGAAAGAAAATCATAGTAATTTTTAAGTTTAAAGGCCTTTTATTGGAGAAGATTATTTTGATTCAAAAATTTTCCAGAGGGAAGAACTAGTTAAAATGGGGTTAGAGAAATACAGATTGAAAACATTTTCTATTAATTACAGAGTTTTAAAATTTAAATGTCCCGTTTCAAACGATTGAGCCTCATCATCAATATAAATGTTGAAGCAGAGGCTGGATGACCTTCGGTTTGTAGAAAATCTTCTGCATAGGTTGAATGGTTGGTCTGGATGATCTTTTAGGTACTTTCCAATTGCAAAACTATGAAGCTGATTTTTTGCCTAAAGAACACATTATGCGTTATTATTTCTATTTTATAAATATTTTTTGAAACCAATATGGTAGGCAGAATTCTAATATGATCCCCCACATTCCTGGCCCCTACTATATGTTTTTAGGTAAAAGGGTAGAAAAACCACTCTATCATAAGCCTCTTATAAGTTAGGTGGTGTAAAGTCCCTCAAAAGATTGGAGAGCATAAAAAAATCTCAGAAACTTAGATATCTGGATACTGTAAATAATTCAGACTGAGAAAAAGTGAGGATTAAATGTCTTAAAGAGAGTATTAGAGTTGGTAGAAAGTTACATTCTAGAAGGGAATTAAAACTAATGATAACCCTATTTTAAGTAGAAATAAAAGCTGAATAGAATAAGAGGTAAATGTAAGTTCCATTTAGAACATAGGGCCAGAAACTATAAGACAGTTTGCAGTAGTCACTAATTTGAGAGTGGGGGGTGGGGATGGCAGATGGTAAATGAACAAGGAATTCTGACTCCCAAATTCATGAAAAAGCTCTTAATCGTATTTTAGGAAATATTATTTTGCCAGGTTTAACAGGGTTGTTGTGGCTTATAAAAAGCAAATGAAGCCAAGAAATATATATATATATATATATATATAATTTAAAAAATATTATATAAATATATATTTTATTGTATGTGTAATGCATAAATAAAATATATACTTTCAATTTTTAAAAGAGTACTTTAAAAATATTGAGTGATAACTGCTTTATTTTGGTTATTCATTCAATAGGTATGAATAACGAAATTCATTCAATAGGTTGTTCGTACCTATTGAATGAATAACCACAGTAACTTAAAATGAGGCATTCAAATAATCTAATGAAAGGTTCATTAGAAGTCTTGGTTTCTTGGAGATAATTGGGAAAATATTTCTATGACTTGCTATGAGATCTCAGGATAGAGGCAGAAACATCACAGCGTCACACAATGGCTAATTATAATGACTACCATTAATTGAATAGCGTATTAGAGAGTATGTATTCATTCATAGCTGTTCTTTTCCTCCTTTCCTGGCCATAGATTCCCTGTGAGTGGAATATACTTCCCTGTCACAATGACTTTGGGGTTATCCATGTGGCTTGCTATAGCAGTGAGCAGAAGTGATAGTGTGTGAGGTCCAAGTAAAGTTTTCCCAGCCTTTTTGCACTTCTGCTATCCACAGTGAAAAGAGCATGCCCAATGTAAGCACTGTCCTTTCATCCTGAATCCTGGACAAAGAGACTTATGGAGCAGGTGTGAACCCAGTCTGCATACTGGAGCCACATGCAGCTTAACTGGCCAGGTAAGCTCAACCACTTCCAGGAGAGCCACAGACAAACTGAAGATTCCTGAGTGAGAAACAAATGTTTGCTGTTGTAAACCATCAAGATTTTGAGGTAGCTGAAGCTTCTTTACTTAAGCAAGGTCTGACTGGTACAAATGCCCAATATTTTCTAAGAACTGTGCTAGGTGCTTAATTTTTGTTATTTCAAACTTACAAAAAGTATTATAAAATTATCATCTCATAACAATATTATAATTATTAAAAAATAAAGTGATATCAATATCTCAGTGTTATAAATGAAGAGACACATCTGGAGATTTTAAAAATTAACTTACACAATGCAGGTAATAAGTGGTTTAACTAACACTGGAATCTGAATGTGGTTCTAAATCCAATAGCAGTGTTCTTTTCAGTACTTTGCATAAATTGAGGAAGGGGCTCTTAATTACTTTTCCTTGTGCACATTGAAAAGTCATGGTGAGATATGCTTCATGTTGTAAGGACCAGAATGTATTTGGAAAGAGAGGTTTTAGCTTTTGAATCAAGCAGTACTTCTTGAGTATGTCTGTGGATATGAGGTGTGTGCAAATGCATAAATTTTGGCTGTTGAAGAATTATAAAATAAAAATGTACATTGAAGTTACTCTAGAAATGCAATCCATGTTAGAGAATAATGTGTGGCAACCATATGCAATAAGTAGAGATGAGATGAGAACATCATCCTGTTACACTTACATTAACTCTAATCACATTTTGTAGCTGATGCTCTTATGAGGGCTGCCAACTAACATTTTAGGTAAATGAAGAGCTAGGATATATAGCCTTCAGAAAGCAGGCACCTCTCCTGTCAAATAGGTAATTACAGAGGCTATGACTCCATTAGGAAAATGGCGGCCAATCAATGTAAGCCCTAAGAGCTCAGATCCTTTGTAACTGATTGAGAGATTCAGTGACTTTGATGCAATTGAGTTTCAAATGTAAGAAGCCAATATTTGGCCAGATGGCTGCCATGAATTCCAGAGGGAGTTTATGAATTTTAATAAGAGCAATAGCTGCACAATTTAAGTCACATGTACTGACGCTAAATGAAATATGCAGATGAATATTGAAACTGCAACCTGGGGTATCGAAGCTTCCATTTGTTGTGTATTAATATTGCTATTTATTTCTGCAGGTATGCAATTGCTTATTATATGAGGTCTGGAGGAACTTGTTTATGCAACTCACAACTGATGTTTGGGACTACAGCCTACTTCTTATTTCTGCTGAGATGACCCATTATGTAGTTTAGGATAATTTAGAGGTTCTATTTCAGATGCACCCAGTTGTGCAAACAAGAGATATTTAGGCTTATTCAGTCACTTAGTTCCCGCAAGGCTAATGTGGATAGCATTCAAGAATGGGGATAATTCATAAATGAATCAAGCATGGTTATTAATTTTGTCATAGAAAAACTTAAAAATTGAATGAAGGAGGAGAGAAATATTTTAAAATGATTATAATAAAAGGTTGGAAGGGATAAATATCATAAGGGAGGTATAGATAAAGCAGTAGGTCTGTTCAGTAGTTAGGTTAATTTATTGCGGGTGATTAAATAAATACAAATAAGAGGAGAGACTTTCACTTTGGATAACTGATAATTCTAACCAACATTCTGAATAAAAAAGAGAACAGCTAAATAACAATAGGAAAGCGTATACTTGAAGGTATAAAATAGTAAAAAATATACTGAAGGATTATGGAGCCAAGGATTCAACAAGAATAGATGTATAGAGAGGTTAGCCCAGCATTAATGTTGCTTATGTTTGCTGATTGTTGAAAAGAAAATAAAAATACTGAGAATTATTTCTGATAGCCTTGTGAGACTAAGGGGACAAAAGTTGGAGTTGAAAGCCTGTCCAAAGTAAGAACCCTGGTAAAACTCCCTGTTTATGATTTAGGTTTGGACTTTGAAGGGCCACATCCCAAGATTAGGGATGATGGGAAGTCACCCAGCCCAGGCTCAATCCCAATAAAAAGCTGAGAGTGATTTCTGATGCTTCACTGGCTCAAACAACAAACAATATTTTCATTGTTTGTTGGAAGTTTAAAATTATTTGTAACAACGCAAGGTCCATTGCATGTTAAAAATTGACCTGGCACACTGAGAGAGAAGCTGATATGAATGAGACTATGTAGAATTATCAAATACTTTAAAATAACTAAGTTTATATATTCAAAAACATAAAAGGAAGGGTTGACAACATTACTGGAAATGATTTTTAAAAAAGACAGAAATTCTAAAAAGAAGCAAAGAAAAATTATAAAATTAAAAGATTTAAAAAATGAGTGGTAGTATTTACTTTAAAATTATTTATTTAGCTATTTAGCTAATTATTTATATATATAATGCATTTATATTTCGTGAACTTTTCTATAAATGTGTCATATTTCACAATAAAAAGTATAAAAGATGTATAAAAGCTAACATGTTTTTTATCAGATTCCAAAGAGTATGTTAAATCTTTGAATCTATAAATTTATTCAAACTTTAAAGCCTAGTTGTGTTCCTGGGGTGGAGGAGAGGGTACTGGGTCCTAACAAATGAAAACTTTCATTTCTCTTTTTCTCCTTTGACTGCAAGGAGGAACCAGCCCTCTTGTCCTATTGCTTTATACCACCAAGGTTGCTTTACTGCAGGTGCTTGGTTGCTTTGCTCTGCCTTGAGGCCCTTTGTAGTCTAGCTCCTTTGTGTGCTAGTTCTTTCCCTCCCAGAGAGCCCTTCTCCTCCAGTTCTTTATGCAAATTGCTTCCTTCTCATTCCCCTTCAGAGCTTGGAACTCAAAGGGAAGTTGGGAGAAACAGATTTGGCCAAGTTACAGGAAAACAGATTCTTTTTGTACTTTTCTCCAGGGTGATGGGCATCTATTTGCCTTACAATTTTGCAACTAATGCCATCCAAATGATTCTTCCAGAAAAGAAAGATTTATTCAGAGGTCGTTTGTTCTTTCCATTTCTAGATATAGAAGTGGCTGGTATTTTTAGTTCTTGCCTCTTCTGGTTGGTTTCCCTCATTAGGCACTCTGCCACATATCATAAACAATGAGACTCTTTTCTAACCCAAATAAGTTCCATCCACAGCTGCTTGTGTCTTCTAGTGACTTAGTATTCAGCAAAACAAAGTAAAACCACACTGTCCAGGCCACAGGTAATCAGTGAGCTACTGTGCTAGCCACACATGTCTGATTCTCTCCGGCTGTGACCGTCACATTTCACAAATGACATTAAAAAGGAAATGGTGCAGAGTAAGGCATGAGGGCTGAAATCCACATTAGGAGAAATGATACAAGGAATTGGGCACATTTACAGTGAAGTGAGGGCAAAAGAAGCAGGATGGATCCTGGCTACGATAGTAGGAATTGCCAGGTGGTAGGTGGATACAGATTGCAGCTCAGTGTAAGTACATTTTGCCTAATGTACAAAAGGACTTATCCCACAAAAGAGATGAGTTACCTTAAAGTTGTGAGTTTTATCAGTAAAAATGTTTAATACTCGGTGAGCAGACAGTAGCGACTGTTAGGGAGGTTTGATATAGGGTTTTTGCAATATGAATGTGGACTTGTCTTAGAAGTCGACAGTTACTGTTTCCAAGAAAAAAGTGTTCTAAGCTTTAACAAATTAAGGTACAATTTTTAGACCGTAGTTTACTTGTATGTTGAGCTACTTATATAAGCTTTTGTACTTTCTATTATTAAGAAAAAATAGGAAGAATAATACAAATTTTGGACAAATCATATATAATGCTACATCACTGACCTAGGAATGAAATAGAAGGCTGAACTGGTGTTTTTCTTAGTTTATAGGCATCCTAAAACCTGAGGTTCAGGAAAGAGCATTAAATTTTTATTTGTTTCTTTATTTCCTTCTCCTTGTTAGACAAGCATCTTCATTTTTTGTTAATTCTCTTGTTAAGCTATGTAGCCGCCATGACATGCCATCTGGGGTCTGTAAGAAGTCACTTCACAGTTTAGTTAACAGGTGACGTAGCACAGGTAGTACAGACTAGTTTAATCCAGAATTTGTTCAAAAATTTGTGCTCTGAGTGTTGTGTGGGGAAGGAAAGAAAAGATGCTTTGAGGCATTGTTTTCTGAAAACTGGTATTGAGTAAACAAGGCTTTCACTTACCAGAGTAAGTCTTTTAATAATATAAAAGCAGAAAGAGCTCCAAGCTCTCTGATTTAGGCTTTTCTGACCTATTTGGTGTTGAAAGTTAGAGAGCCTTGGCTTTTCTAATCAGTTTTATCTCAATAATGTCTGACTTCAGAGACAGCAGTAACAGAACTCACCGGGCAGAAAAAAATTCCCCTGAGAGCCATTTCAATTTGTAAACCTTTAGTAAGCAGTTTAGCATGAGGATCTTCAACCCTGGAGGAATCACATCAGGGTTTAATAATCCTAAGCCAAAAACAGACTCTTAGATATATAAGATTTTATTTGAAGGCAAAAGTAAAGACAGTGGGGAAAAGTAGACCTCTGGTTTCAATTGCAGATAAAAACCATTAATGGTTTTATTTTTAAACTTAATCACAGCTTAAAAGAGTGGTAATTCACCTTGGGTTTCAGGATTTTTTTCTTTTTTTTACATTTTTTTCTGTGCCTGAAGACCTGAGCTCCTTATGATCTTAATCACATGCCTCTGAGTAGGTGGACTTGCACAATGGAAGAGTAATTCTATTTTCCCAGAACAGAAAAAAATGAAAGTCAGATATGAAAATGTGAGCTCCTTTATGTTATCCAAAACCTGTGCTTCTCTTGATTGAAAGATCTATTTTTCACATGTGCAAAACACAAAGTTTTCAGATCAAAATTTCTCTTAAAAATATTTCTTGAATCTGATTGCTAGGTTTTTTCCCCCCTCTCTGAAATTTCTACCATCTATAATCTGGCTCCAAATATTACAAGCTCTGGAATGGCTGCTTTTACACTTGGATTTTGGATATGTATTTTTTTTTTTACTTGTGTATGCATTAAGTAATACAAGCAATTCAAAATCTTGGCAAATGTTTCCTCTTAAAATTATTCCCCAGAATTAAGGTATAAACAAGAGAGGAGGATGGGAGAGAGAATAGGATGATGGATAATTCCAAGGGAAAAGATAGAGGTTTTTAAAAATAAATTGCTACTTTGTTACATTTTAGGGATTAATCAGTGCTGTTGAACTTCTTCTTGACCACAGCCATTTTACTGAAGCCTATGGCTGTATCATTGTCTCAATTTTCAGCAAGCCTGTCAGCTGTGATGCTACATTTTATAAACAATCTATTGTTTTGCAGCCTCCAGGAGTGATTAGATTCAGGGTTTTTTTTTTTTTTTTTTAAGACTCATTTATATAGATGAGGCAAGCCAAAGTGACGGGAATTTATGAGAGCAATATGACAAATGATCCTCTGTTTTAAGCACTGGATGGTCCTTTACAAAAGTAGTTTATGTGAGTGAATTTATAGCTGGCATCAAAAAGGCTACTCAGCCCTATCTAATCACTTGAATGCTTTTCAAAATGTCTCCTTCCAAAATAGATCTATTTTGGAATCACATCTGGTATAGGTGTAGTGGTCCTGCAACTGTTATTGAGTTCTTATGACATGCCAGTCAACATGCTAAGCACTTTATATGCATTATATATTCATTCAATCTTCAGAATAATCACATGTGGTAGGTTCTATTATTATTATTATTTTTATTTTATAGATGAGGTCATTGAGGCTTGGAGAGGCTAAATTGCTTATGATCATTGAGGAGCCAGGACCTAATGTCAGGCAGTCTGACTTCAGAGCTTGTACTTTCATCACCCTGATCAGTTATTTCATTGACCTATTAATGGATAAAGGGAAAGTTAATTTACATATTATATATCTTTATACACACACACACACCGTACACGGTAGCATGCCATAATGGTATATATGCATACACACAGAGAATGCAATATTTTTTTTCATGACATTTTCTGTCAAAGCCTGTGACTGCTTTTGAGGCATGCTTTTTTTTTGGTGATAAGCTATATGTACTTTTAAATGAAACTAGACAAATAAATGTTGTCTAGATCTCCCTTCTGGCAAGTGTATTTTATAAGCTTAGTTCAGGGCCAAAAAGAAGAGTTGTTTTATCTTCCTTATATACCCTTCATACTTCCCCAGGAGCTATGTCAGCTTGTTTCTATCACTGGTAGAGACCAGAAGGAAGGCTGTATTAAAGACAAAAACCAACAACTTTTAATTTTGAGATTGCTTATGAACTAGGAGTAGTTTGTACTTTGGCAAATGCATTTGTGTTTGTGTGTGCATGCATTTGTGCGTGTAGGCATATATATTTTCACATACTTCTATGGTTTGACTGTCCCTGCCGAAACTCAGATTGAAATTTAATTGCCCTTGTAACAGTGTTAAGAGGTGGGGTCTTTAGGAGGTAATTAGGTTATGAGGGCTCTACCCTCCTGAATGAATTAATTTGGGAGGAGGTTAGTTACTGTGGGAGTCCCACCCTCCTTTCCTTTCTGTCTCACATGCTTGCTTCTGCCTTCTGCCCTGTCATAGGATGACCCTTGTCAGATGCTGGCACCATGCTCTTGGGTTTGCCAGCTCCAGAACTGTGAGAAACAAATTTCTTTTTAGAATAAATTACCCAGAATTAGGTATTCCTTTATAACAGCAGAAAACAGAATAAGACACATAGCAAACATTTTGCGTATTTTCTTGGTTCCCGACACACTCAAATAGTATATAACATGCTTTTTTTTTTTTTAAGAAGCTCATTGATGAGTATGAAATCTGTTCATTTTCTGGAATTCTGTTGAACAACACAAACTAAAAAAGCAATCATTTCACCTCCCATGCATTTATCTAAATACTTAGTTTCTAGAAGATTTTGTCTAATATGACTCCAGTTTTCTTATCTCCTAAAATTTCTGTTGTTTTTTGCTTGAATTTTTCACTCTTTATGTTATTTAACTATTATATTTCCCTTTACTCATGCTTTTACAATGCTCTTTGAGCTGTTTTTTTTTTTTTCTTTTTATCCCGGATAACTCTTATTTAACTCTTAAGACTCAGCTTGGGTAGCCCCTTTCCTAGAGGGCCTCCTACTGTCCTGCTACTATCAGACTAAGTTGGTAGATGCCCCTGTCTGGATCTTATGGTATTCTGGACAAAGTAACCTATGCACATCTCTGCTGTAGCTATTCTTATACCATTTGAATTGTCTGTCCATGTGTCTGATCCCCCTCTAGACTCTGAGCTTCTTGAGTGCACTATGTTGTGTGTTCTAATCTCTGTGATATCTGTGTGCAGCTGAGTGTCTGACACATGATGAGTGTTGGGAAATGCTTGTTGAATTAAAATTTTTTTAAAAAATGTATTATTTTATTTCAATAGGTTTTTGGGAAACAGGTGGTATTTTGTCATACAAATAAGTTCTTTAGTTATGATTTCTGAGATTTTGGTGCACCCATCACCTGCGCAGTGTACACTGTACCCAATGTGTAGTCTTTTATCCCTTACCATCCCCACCCTTCCCCCTGAATCCCCAAAGTCCAATGTGTCATTCTTATGCCTTTGTGCACTCATAGCTTAGCTCCCATATATGAGGGAGAATGTAGGCTGTTTGACTTTCCATTCCTGAGTTACTTCACTTGGAATAGTCTCCAGTTCCATCCAGGTGGCTGTGAATGCCATTATTTCATTTCTTTTTATGGATGAGTATTATACCATGGGGTATCTATATATCTATATCTATATCTATCTGTATCACATTTTCTTTATCCACTTGTTGATTAATGGGCATTTGGGCTGGTTCCGTATTTTTGCAATCACAAATAGCGCTGCTATAAACATGCATGTGCTAGTATCTTTTTTGTATAATGACTTCTTTTCCCCTGGGCAGATACCTAGTAGTGGGATTGCTGGATCAAATGGTAGATCTACTTTCAGTTCTTTAAAGAATCTCCACACTGTTTTCCATAGTGGTTGTACTAGTTTAGATTCTCACCAACAGTGTAAAAGTGTTCCCTTTTCACCACATCCCCGCCAACATCTATTTTTTTAAAAAGTTTTTATGGCCGTTCTTGCAGGAGTTAGGTGGTATTGCATTGTGGTTTTGATTTGCATTTTCCTGATAATTAGTGACGTTGAGCATGTTTCCATATGCTTCTTGGCCATTTGTATATTCTCTTTTGAGAATTGTCTATGTCCTTAGCCCATTTTTTGAAAAGACTGTTATTTACTTGCTGATTTGTCTGAGTTCTTTGTAGATTCTGGATATTAGTCCTTTGTCAGATGTACAGATTGTGAAGATTTTCTCCCATTCTGTGGGTTGTCTGTTAACTCTGCTGATTATTTCTTTTGCTGTGCAGAAACTTTTTAGTTTAATTAAGTCCCATTTATTTATCTTTGCTTTTGTTGCATTTGCTTTTGGGTTCTTGGTCATGAAGTCTTTGCCTAAGCCAATGTCTAGAAGGGCTTTTCTGATATTATCATCTAGAATCTTTATGGTTTCAGGTCTTAGGTTTAAGTATTTGATACATCTTGAGTTGATTTTTGTATAAGATGAGATGAGGATCCAGTTTCATTCTCCTACATGTGGCTTGCCAGTTATCCCAGCACCATTTGTTGACTAGGGTGTCCTTTGCCCGCTTTATGATTTTGTGTGCTTTGTCAAAGATCAGTTGGATGCAAGTATTTGGCTTTATTTCTGGGTTTTTCTATTCTGTTTCGTTGGTCCATGTGCCAATTTTTTATACCAGTACCATGCTGGTTTGGTGACTATGGCCTTACAGTATTAGTCTGAAGTCAGGTGATGTGATGCCTCCAGATTTGTTCTTTTTGCTTAGTCTTCTTTTGGCTATGCAGGCTCTTTTTTTGGTTCCATATGAATTTTAGGATTGTTTTATCAAGTTCTTTGAAGAATGATGGTGGCATTTTTATGGGAATTGCATTGAATTTGTAGATTGCTGTTGGCAGCTTGGTCATTTTTACAATATTGATTCTACTCATCTGTGTGCACTGGATGTGTTTCCATTTGTTTGTGTCATTTCTGATTTCTTTCAGCAGTGTTTTGTAGTTATTCTTGTTGAGGTCTTTCATGTTCTTGATTAGGTGTATTCCCAAGTATTTAATTTTTTTTGCAACTATTGTGAAAATGGTTGAGTTCTTGATTTGACTCTCAGCTTGGTGGCTGTTGGTGCATAGCAGAGTTACTAATTGGTGTGCATTAATTTTGTATCCTGAAACTTTGCTGAATTCATTTACCAGTTCTAGGAGATTTTGGATGAGTCTTTAGGGTTTTCTAGGTATATGATCATATCATCAGCAAACAGGGACAGTTTGATATCCTGTTACCAATTTGGATGCCCTTTTTTCTTTTTCTGATTGTTCCGGGGAGGACTTCCAGTACTATGTTGAATAGAAGTGGTGAGAGTGGGCATCCTTGTCTTGTTTCAGTTCTCAGAGCGAATGCTTTCACCTTTTCCCCATTCACTATAATGTTGACTGTGGGTTTGTCCTGGATGACTTTTATTACCTTAAGGTATGTCCCTTCTGTGCAGATTTTGCTGAGGGTTTTAACCATAAATGGATGTTTGCTTTTGTCAGATGTTTTTTCTGCATCCATTGAAATGATCATGTGATTTTTTTCTTTTTAATTCTGTTTATGTGGTGTATCACATTTATTGAGTATGTTAAACCATCCCTGCATCCCTGATATGAAACTCACTTGATCATGGTGGATTATCTTTTTGATATGTTGTTGGATTTGGCTCGCTAGTATTTTGTTGAGGATTTTTGCATCTATATTCTTCAGGGATATTGGTCTGTAATTTTTTTTTTTTTGTTATATCATTCCATGGTTTTGCTATTAGGGTGATACTGGCTTCATAGAATGATTTAGGGAGATTCCTTCTTTCTCTGTCTTTTGGAATAGTATCAGTAGGATTGGTACCAATTTGTTTTTGAATGTCTGATAGAATTCAGCTGTGAATCCATCTGGTCCTGGACCTTTTTTTCGCTGGCAATTTTTAAATTACCATTTCAATCTTGGTGCTTGATATTGGCCTGTTCAGAGATTCTGTATCTTTCTGGTTTAATCTATGAGGTTTGTATAGTTCCAGGAATTTATCTATCTCCTCCTCTAGGTTTTCTAGTTTATGCACATAAAGGTGTTTACAATAGCCTTGAATAATCTTTCATATTTTTGTGGTATTAGTTGTAATATCTCCCGTTTCATTTCTCATTGAGTTTATTTGGATCCTCTCTCTTCTTTTCTTGGTTAATCTTGCTAATGGTCTATCAATTTCACTCAACTTTTCAAAGAACCAGCTTTTTGTTTCATTTATCTTTTGTAATTTTTTTAGTTTCAATTTTATTTAGTTGTGCTCTGATCTTCATTATTTCTTTTCTTCTGCTGGATTTGGGTTTGGATTGTTCTTGTTTTTTCAGTTACATGAGGTGTGACCTTAGATTGTCTATTTGTGCTCTTTCAGACATTTTGATGTAGGCATTTAATGCTATAAACTTTCCTCTGAGCACCACCTTTGCTGTATCGCAGAGGTTTTGATAGGTTGTGTCACTCTTATTCAGTTCAAATAATTTTTTAATTTCCATCTTTATTTCATTGTTGACCCAATGATTATTCAGGAGCAGGTTATTTAATTTCCATGTATTTTCTTGGTTTTGAGGGTTCCTTTTGGAGTTGACTTCCAATTTTATTCCACTGTGGTCTGAGAAGGTAGTCGATATAATTTTGATTTTCTTAAATTTCCTGAGACTTGTTTTGTGGCCTGTCATATGGTCTGTCTTGTTGCCTGAATACTTTTTTTCATTTTGTTATTGTTACGTAGATCCTGTAAGATTTACGCTTTAAGGGGGTTCTATTTTAGTGTATTTTGAGGACTTGTTTCAAGATTTAGAGCTCCTTTTAGCAGCTCTTGTAGTGCTGGCTTGGTAGTGGCAAATTCTCAGCATTTGTTTGTCTGGAGAAGACTGTATCATTCCTTCATTTATGAAGCTTAGTTTCACTGGATACAAAATTTTTGGCTGATAATTATTTTGTTTAAGGAGGCTGAAGATAGGACCCCAATCCCTTCTAGCTTGTAGGGTTTCTGCTGAGAAATCTGCTGTTAATCTGATAGGTTTTCCTTTACAGATTACTTGATGCTTTTGCCTCAGAGCTCTTAAGATTCTTTCCTTCATCTTGACTTTAGATAACCTGATGAGTATGTGCCCAGGTGATGATGTTTTTGTGAGAAATTTTCCAGGTATTCTCTGAGCATCTTGTATTTGAATGTCTAGATCTCTAGTGAAGCCAGGGGAGTTTTCCTCAATTATTCTCTCAAATATGTTTTTCAAACTTTTAGATTTATCTTTTTCCTTGGGAACACCAGTTATTCTTAAGTTTAGTTATTTAACATAGTCCAAAACTTCTTGGAGGCTTTGTTCATTTTTTAAAATCCTTTTTTCTTTGTCTTTGATGGATTGGGTTAATTTGAAAGCCTTGTCTTTGAGCTCTGAAGTTCTTTTTTCTGCTAGTTCAATTCTATTGCTGAGATTTTCCAGTGCATTTTGCATTTCTCTGTTTCCTTGATTTCCAGAAGTTGTGATTGTTTTTATTTATGCTACCTATTTCACTGAAGAATTTTCTTTCATATCTTGTATCATGTTTTTAATTTTTTTAAGCTGAACTTCACCTTTCTCTGGTGTCTCCGTGATTAGCTTAATAATTGATCTTCTGAATTTTTTTTTTCTGGCAATTCAGAGATTTCTTCTTGGTTGCATCCATTGCTGGTGAGCTGCTATGATTTTTCGGGGTGTTAAATAACCTTGTTTTGTCGTATTACCAGATTTTTTTTTTCTGGTTTCTTCTCATTGGATAGACTATGTAAGTAGGAAAATCTGGAATTCAAGGGCTGCTCTTCAGATTCTTTTGTCCCACGGGGTGCTCTCTTGATGTCGTGTTCTCCCGCTTCCCGGAGGAACGGGGCTTCCTGAGAGCTGAACTGTAGTGACTGTTTTTGCTCTTCTGGGTCTAGCCACCCAGCAGAGCTACCAAGCTCTGGGCTGGTACTGGGAAGTGTCTGCAAAGAGTCCTGTGATGTGATCCATCTTCAGGTCTTGTAGCCATGGATACCAGCACCTGCTCCAGTGGAGGTAACAGGGGAGTGAAACGGACTCTGTGTGGGTCCTTGGTTGTGTTTTTGCTTATTACTCTGGTTTTGAGTTGCATCGTCTCCCGCCAGGAGGTGGTGCTTTCAAGAGCACATCAGAGCCGGGCGCGGTGGCTCATGCCTATAATCCCAGCGCTTTGGGAGGCTGAGGCAGGTGGGTCACCTGAGGTTAGGAGTTCAAGACCAGCTTGGCTAACACGGCGAAACCCTGTCTCTACTAAAAATACAAAAAAAATTAGCCAGGCATGGTGGCAGGCCCCTGTAATCCCAGCTACTTGGGAGGCTGAGGTAGGAGAATCGCTTGAATCTAGGAGTTGGAGGTTGCAGTGAGCGGAGATCGCGCCATTGCACTCTAGCCTGGGCAACAAAAGCGAAAATCTGTATTAAAAAAAAAAACAAAAAAAATTAGCCAGGCGTGGTGGCAGGCCCCTGTAATTCCAGCTACTTGGGAGGTTGAGGTAGGAGAATCACTTGAATCCAGGAGGTGGAGGTTGCAGTGAGCGGAGATCGTGTCATTGCACTCTAGCCAGGGCAACAAAAGCGAAAATCTGTATTTAAAAAAAAAAAAAAAGGCCGGGCGCGGTGGCTCACGTCTGTAATCCCAGCACTTTGGGAGGCCAAGGTGGGTGGATCATGAGGCCAGGAGTTCAAGGCCAGCTTGGCCAAGATGGTGAAACCCATCTCTACTAAAAATACAAAAATTAGCTGGGCATGGTGACAGGTGCCTGTAATCCCAGCTACTCGGGAGGCTGAGGCAGAGAATTGCTTGAACCTGGGAGGCGGAGGTTGCAGTGAGCCGAGATGGCTCCACTGCACTCCAGCCTGGGCGACAGAGACTCCGTATAAAAAAAAAAAAAAAAAAAAGTACAATATAGTACTATAGGGAGGAAACAAACTTGCCCTAGTGTGGCCTGGTTAAGTATCCTGGTTTCTCAGGCGGTAGGCAGGGCCGTAAAGCTCCCAAGAGATTATGACCTTTGTCTTCCGCCACCAGGGCCGGTAAAGAAAGACTACCAGGTTGGGGCAGGGATAGGCGTGTCTGAGCTCAGCCTCTCCTTGGATGGGGCTTGCTGCAGCTGCTGTGGGGGATGGGGGTGGGGCTCCTAGTCCATTGGAGTTATATTCCCAGGGAGATTATGGCTCCCTCTGCTGAGTCTGCTGAGTTGCCAGGGAAGTGGGGGAAAGCCAGCAGTCACCGGTTTCACCCCGCTCCCACACAGCCTGCAGTCCTAAAGGCCCGTCTCACTCCCACCGTGAGCAGCTTGGAGTCAGTTTCCAGGAAGCCAGTGACCCGGGCTGAGAATTTGCCTCAGACCACAAGCCTCCCCATTGAGAAAGCAAGCAGACTCAGTTTTTTGGCGTCTTAGGGACCCCGCAGCAAGTTCCTTCAAAGGGTGTGTGGATTCTCTCGGGTTTCCTGGTACGTTGCTGTGGTAGTCGCTGGAGCAAAAGTTCATGATGTAAATCTTCACAGGCTGCTCCGTCTATCCAAGTGGGAGCTGCAAGCAAGTCCTGCCTCCTCTCCGCCATCTTAACCCCTCAACCAGTAAATGTTTAAAGACACAAATCTCAAGCCCTCTCAGTCTCCACTCTTCAAAAGTCCGTCCTTTCCTGACTTTACGTGGCAGGTACAAACTTTATCATTTATTTGGGAATTAATCATATGTTGCTCTGGGAGTCTCCCTTATATTACTGCTATTTAAACCTTATAATGGTATTTACTATTTTCTCTCTTTTCTCAGCTAGATTTTGAACTCCTTGGAGGTAAGAGGAAGATTTTATAATTTTGGGTGTTCTCAGTACCCAAAATAATATTTTCTATATATTACCTCCTTGATAATGTTGGCTCATGAATTGTTAAAACACTTCAAAAAGCAATAACGGGCTCCTTCTAGAGCACAGATTTCACTGCCATTGCTTTTTCACTCTCCATTTCCTCATACATTAGGTACGTTGTCTTAGAGACTTCAGAGAAGCCCTTTTATTTCTCAAAGAAATCACAAGAAACTCTCAGGGAGAGAGAATGGAAGTTTTTTTTTTTCCTTAGGGAAAGATAAAATAGAGGGACTGTGGAAACCTTTATTTTGAGCCCTCAGTTTCTTTATTTGTAAACTTAAGGTAATAGATAGATATATTTCCCTGATAGACTTGTGATGAATGGTCAATGAGAAAATGTATGTAAAGCATGTAACAGTGCCTTGCACACGGTGAGTCATAGTAAAGGTTAGCCATTATTACTGTGAGCATTCAGTATGGGCGTGATTGTTTGAAAGAGTTTCATAGAAAAAAAGCCACTTGGAGTATATTCAATTGGTTTATTCTTTTTAAAAATAATAAACACTTACATAGTGTTCTTATTCCTATGTTTAGGTACTGTTCTAGGTTCAAACTCATTTGAACCTTTAAACACCCCAGTTAAGTACATGCCATTATTATCTTCATTTCAGAAATGAAGCCACTGACACACAAATTATCCAGTCACACAGCTACTAAGTGGTAGAGCTGGAGTTTGAACCCATGTGCTTTGGTTATAGAGTCCATGCACTTAGCCATTATAAAATAGAGGGCATCTTCTAGAAACATCTATTCAGCATCTAATTTGTGCTGGACACTGAGGTTAGACGAATATATACAGTCTCTGCTTTAGTGGCTTTCACAGAATAAGGTGGGAGATAAACAAGCCAGTACACAATTACTGATTAATATAATAGGAGCTATAATTAGGGTTATCTTATGTCCCATGTGCCTGAGATAGTCCTAGTTGATACCTGTCATTCAGCATAATTATTAATAGTGTTTAATTTGACATTCAACAGTGTGTTGGTTTAGATGATGAATTATATAGTCTCTGTTAGTTGTACTAAGGGGATGCACGAGGTATTCTCGCAGCTCAAAATGGGAAGGACTGACTTCCTTGAGTGGGGCTTCACCTGACTGAGTCTTATAGGATGAGAAGCAGTTTTTGCCAGGTAGGCAAGGGATATTTGAAGCAGAAGGGCATAGGAGTGTGAGAGTGCTGGCTGTGTTCAGAAAAGGTCAAGCAGATTGGGGGCGTATGATAAGGTGATTCTAAAACCTGGATGCACATTAGAGTCACCTGGGGAGTTGGAAAAAAACTCCATGGCCAGGTTGCACCAATTAAATCAGAATCTCAACAGCTGATTTTTAAAGCTCTCCAGGTGATTACAATATGGTTTGAGACCCTCAGAGGTAGAGAGCCCTTGAGAGACAGCAAGGATATAATGGTGGATGGGAGAGGGAAAGTAGGAAAGGACCAGCTCATGGAGGGATATCGTCATAATCAAAGGTCCTTCGACTTGTCCATGAGTGAAATTTCTGGCTTTTGGCAGAGCTTCAGTCTCGTGGGCATGGGTATCTTGAAGCCCTTTCACTACTGGCTCTTTCCTGTGAGGGCAGCAGCATGAGTCAATGACAAGCTGTGAATAGTAGCTTATAACTTGTATTCACAACCCTCGAAAAGTGAGTGTTATGGCCTAATTCCACTTGTAAAAGGTCTTTCTGTGGCCCAGAAAAATCTTTTAGCAGTGCTAAGACTGCCAAATATTATTAGACATGTGAGGCAGAATATACTTTTATATGATAAGGATGAGCATGAGAATACCTTAGAACAATTTTTTCTATGAAAAAGAATCCCTAAAGTACATATATATGACATATATATGTCTCCATAGATTTCTGTGAAGAAAATTGAAGTTATTTTTTCCTGTCTCTTGATAGGAAACTAGCCCAGCTAGTTGTTTAAAATGGAACATGTTAATTATCAGGACTGATTTAGTGTATAAAAGTGAAATTAGAAGGGTTAATAATGATGTCCATACTTTATCTTGCAGAAAGACAATCTGCCTTGCAGCAAGTTTATGGATAACACGGAGTTCCCCTGCAATGAATATGTGAACCCTCTGTTCTTCAGGATAGCACTTGGGATGATGTGGAGGTAAACTCGACTGAGCAAGTAGGTTTTACTGAGCCAGGGCAAGAGAGACCCTTGTTTTGGGCTCCATGTAGTACAGGCTCCGATCTGGTTCTCTGGTCCTACCCTTTTACATGGGGCAGTGTGTCTTCAGAGCCACCTGGAGTCCTCATGGCCACCTGGTGCCTACCACCCTCATTTCTGGACATGTTTTATGTACCTGAGACCCTGGAATTCCTAGATTCTAGAGCTCACAGAGGCCTCTTCCTTAGGAATTTCCTCTGGGAAAGAACCAACCATGATGTCTGTGGATGTGTCAGTGGGCTTGATGGGTAGTTTTGGGGTGGTCAGTGGGGATGGGGCTTGGATATGCGTGATCCACATGCATAGACGGCTGACTTAATTGGAGCACACATGTGTGTGCAAGTCCTCTCATTGTGTAGGATAGAGCTGGGGTGGAAAGAGAAGGAAGAGCTGGCTTTTCCCACGATACTATGTCTTGGCGCAGAACTCCAAGTCCTCTCACAATTATAAATTTGAATCTAGGCTTCCACGTCATTATGAAGGTACTTCTGTCTAGGTTATAGGAAATAATCTATAATATTCATTTAAATTTTGTCAGGTGTTTTATGCATTTCAAATATTTAGGAATATGGATTTTCATTGGGACTCTTGACCTGGACATTTCAAAAGTTAGAGACAAGCCTAAACCAGGTCACAAAAATGCTACATAGAGAAACTTGAATCACCTGAGAGAAGGGTGGAAAAACTATATACCTGCTTTTTTCTAATTAGCTGAACTTTATTCGTCCAATATTTTATATAACATCACATTAAACAATTCATCCAACTATTGTTCCGGCACTGAATGTAGGTGAGAAAACTACTATGTCAAAATCTGTGACTAGATCAGAACCTTCTATTGCAGAACCGGGAAGAGGAGATCTTGCTTGTATCTTGGAACTTGCTGGTGAATCCTGTAAGGGGTGAAATCAATAGTAATTCAGTACCTCCCAAGTGTTAGGCACTGTATTAACCACTTTGCTTTTGTTAAATTTTATTCCTTGCAAAGCAGGAATTATTATTCAAATGTTAAAAATGTAGAAACCTTTGTTCGGGTGATTAAACAACTTGTCTAGGGTCCTGGATCTATTTATTGGTCTCTAACCAACTCAGCTTCTAGAACTCATGCTTTTTCCTAACTCTGATTCCCTTCCATAAGAATGGGGAATGTCCTTCAAGACAAAATTACAAGCAAAGTCATTTTTACTAAGAAGTTGAGTTTGGCTTTTTGAAAATGGCTGTTATTTTCTTCCTTGCATTTCAACACCCCACCCAGCTGTCTGCCTTCCTTCTTTGCCTTTTGAGTAAATCATTCTAATTATTAACTTTGTAAATGAAGCTCTAAATAAGCTATTTAAGTTTATTCCTATTACATGGGGCAACGGATTAGAAATCCAGTGCCACCTGAGGTGGGAACGTGTTAGATTTCCATGCTAATGCCTCATGCATGTTTTATGCCTTAGATTAGTAGCTAATGTGGTCATTGATCATCTTGTGTCATATGAGCTACAAACCTGCTGCTTTGAGCTAATTCTTTTAAAAACTTGTTTCCAAATCAGTATTCAAAGTCCAGACCAAGGTTTCTGGTTGGGAAAAGAGGTTATATTTGCTTTTGTTGAGGGGTCAAAAACATTTTTGTACCTATTTATCCTCTTTGTAGATAATAAACAGTGTAATATATCATTGGAATAAGTTAAGTTTGAGAAACTGACAAAGCAAAAATATTTCCTAAAATCTAGACCTGAAAGCACCTTTATATCCTATGTAGCTCCTTTCTGTGCTGCTTATAAGTAAAAAAATGGTAAAAGCTATCATTTGAAAGGCTATTCAATTTGTATTTGAATTTCTTAAGCATTTATCCTATTAAGTAGGAAATTGAGAGCATTTTTACTTCAAGTTATATAGCTCTGCCATTAGTGCGGTCAAGTTCACGTTCTGCTCCATCCACTTAGGAACTGTGTGACCTTAAACAAAAATTTTATCCCTGAGTCTCAATTTCTTTACTGGAAACATGAGGCACGTGATAGTGCTTTCCTCAGAAGGTGGTTATCAGGGTCAACTGAGGCAATGAATTTAAAACATTTACTCACATATCTGGCAGTTAGTAAATACTAATGTAAACAGTTGTGATCATTTGAATCTTCTTCCATGTAGAAAGTCATCTTGGCTAAAATATGACAAATAAAAATGTAACTGAAGAAATGGGGGTGGTAGGAGCTCATCTTGCCTCTTTCCTGCTTAGGGGTAGAAACCAGCCACAAGTCAGTCCTATGCATTGGAGAGCTGGTGATAGGTTTTATGTTTACTGTTCAGTAAGGACCCTTTTAGTCTTTTTAGAATCTGAGTTGAACTTGCAGCTAAGTCAATAATAGAGCAAGAAGTAAAGGACATTGAACAATGCCAACTTCGAGTGGAGCAATCTCAGTACTGGGCAGGGAAACATCCCCTGCAGCCTAGAAAGAGCAAGTTCACATTGAGATTGACACAGTTGGTCACGAAGAGGTATCCTACCACCATTAAGAGAAATGCCAATGCTTTTCCTAGTTCTCTTGATGTCCTCCTCTTTCTATGCATACATCTCTGAAAATTTCCACATTAATATATTCCTAGATGGACAGGGGTAGCCCATTTTAAAAAGAATTTGTGGGGGAATTTCTCCAGGAGCAATCATGAGGGAGCCAGGGCTGCTTTGGTGCCGGCAGAGTGCTGGATCTGTTAGGCTCTCAGCTTGGCTTGCAGCTCTTTTTTGGTTGCAGCTACCTCACAAGAGCCTGGGGAGCATTAGGCAGCCATATGTGTCTCTGGATGATTCTCTGGCTGACAATAACTTCATGAGTTTCAGGCTCAAGAACAGAAGTTTTGGTGATCAGGGAATATTTGATTCAACAAGAAAGTCCCTGAAGTGTAAGTGGAACTAATCATGAGGAGTTGAAAGGGTTGGGACAATTATGTCTTTAAGTGTTGGCTGGGAAGTTTCTTATATAATCTTGTGTTTTCTTTAATGGCCAGGGGGATTGGGTTGAAGCTGTCACCAAATCTACAAACCTGTTGCAGAATTCAGTTAGTTTTGCTCTTTTCTTTGTGATCCTATGCAGTATATTTTAAATTATAACAGAATGTTTCACAGATAATTACAGGATAGTTTCCTGGCAGGATACCTGCAGTTTTCCTGATCCTTTTTATTTCTACATACAGAGTAACTTTAGACATAAAATATGTGTATGTTTGCTAGTTAGGCTCTCCTCTTTTAAGTAGAGATCAGATATATAATTTTATAATTCATTGAGAACAATTTTGTTTAGATATTTTGTCTTCTCTGTTGAATGTATGATTAGGATTTTTTGTTAACAAATCAAAACACCTTTCAGATTTAGCTTAAGCATTACCCAGGCTCTTAGTATAATGATGAGAACATGATACATGTGTAGCACATTGACAAATGAAAAAGCTTGAATTGCAATAAAGAAAAATACAGGTATTAACCTAAAGAAGGAAGTTTTCAGATACTCAAGATGGTAGTAGTAGGCTTACTTGGTCGTAGAGTTAAAGTAAATGTTCTAGATACATTAGACTGCAAAAATAAATCGGAATAAAACTATGGTTGCGACCATTTTCAGAAGAAAATACAGGAACTGAAAATTGCTTTCTGTATTAAAGGATGGAATAATAGTGTAGAAGAATGTCATAGAGTGCAGGCTCTGGAGACAGACTGCTGGATGCAAATCCTGAGATTGCTCTTTTGATCCATGGGATCCTGGGCAAGTAGCTTCGTTTCCTCTTTTGTAAAAGAGGCATAACAATAATATCTGCCTCAGCGGCATGTTGGTAGGATTTAAAGAAGTAGCTCACATGAAGGGCCTGGCCAAGAGTAAACACTTAATAATGAGGACCATTATTATTACTACCATTTATTATTCAGGAGCATCATAAACCTTTTACTAGAACATCTTGAGAAGATGTGAGTGTTTTTCTTGGGTTTCTGATTTTTGAAATCTAATTTCTTAGAGATGCCAGAGGCAGAGAAGATGTAGTCAAAGGTGACAGTGTCTGTAGTGGCCTGATTATGTGTTAGATTTCCAGCTGGTCTCCAGATCCTGTACCGATGCTCTTTCCCTTTTCCCTTACTGTGCTGTTCTCTGCCCTGGTGACTTTGCTGGGCTCAACAGTTGCTTTAGTGGCATAGCCAGGACTATGAGATTTGTCCTGCTTTCCTCTTTCTTAATCAGATCCTGAAATTGATAAAGATAGCATGCTATCAAATCTGAGGATACCATTGCTCTGAGAGGGAGAGCTAATGCCTGGATAACCAAGCAAGGATTCAGAGGTCACGACTAAACTAAAAGATAAAATTTACTAAGATAAATACATAGTTTATTTTTTAAACTTTAATATAAATGATATTCAAGCACAGGCTTGGACAGAGTTGACTCAATAATCTAGGTAATTTTCTTGACTTAAAGGTCAGAAAGAGATAGAAATATGAGCTGGTGCCTATTACATTCTGTACCACAGTTGACTATTGCTGCACATGCAGGATTTGGTCTAAACTCCTCAAGTCCTTAGATCTAAAATGATGTTCATCAGCATGGGAAGACTAAGCAGCTATCTAGACTCACTCACTAGGCAAGTGGCTTACTGGTAAATACTAATCTTGAAGTGCATGTGCTAAAAATTAAGCCATGATTTTATCTTCGTTATTTAATAAAAGCAGACTATAAAAAACACATTCATATTCTCATTATGGTATGCATTTCAAGGATTTACTCGTGGCTTACAAAAAGTCAGAAGTAGCATTTAATCAGAAATGCTAAGGTTCTTTGGTCTACCAGAGACAAGGACAAGGGAGGGTAGAATTCCAGTACTATTTCTAATGGTCAGCTCATATCTGAAATATTGTGTTTTAGTCTTGATGCCATAACTTAAAATTGTTGTTGACGAACAATTGTGGTTAGGGGAGAGCAATCAGAATGTGGTAAGAATGGGAAGTATGTCATAATAAAAAATGTTGACAGAACTAGTAAGTGTTTAGTTTGTAAAAAGGAGGTGTGAAGGAAACGTGGTTGCTCTTTTTATATACTTGAAGATATGTCACAAATAGAGGCATTTGATTTATTCTGAGTTGCTCTAAGGGGTTGATCCAGGACCAAGAGATATAAATATCAGTTATATAGATTCGATAGAGGAAGGACTTGCTGAACAGGAGATGCTAAAAAATACCATGGGTGGCCTAGAGAGAAAATGAGCATCCCTCTTTATAACTGCTTAAGCAGAGACTGCCTAACCACAGATACTGAAAGACTGTCTAGTATAATGGGTAAGCACTGGCGCTGGCATGGATGCTCTTCTGGGCTCTGTCTCTGCCCGTTGCTAGCTAGGAGATCACAGAGAAGTTATCCTATGACTCTTTGTCTCAGCATCTGCTTTGTAAATCCTCATGGATATTCATGGGTGTAAAGTAACACATAGTGACAATGCAGCAAGTGTTAGCATTTTGCATGATTGTTATCTAGAAATGGCGTAGAGGGGATTTCTGTGAAAAGTAAAAGGTTTTGTCAGAGTTTTTCTATTTTAAGGCTATTGCTACAATTACTTGTAATGGTACTGTCAAACTCTGTTAATTTTATGGGTAGACCATGGAGCCTATAAAACACCATATGTCTCCAAACAGGGACAATATGATATATTTCACTTTACTACCATAAATAAAACCCAGTACAAATGGAGACATATAGATAAAATGAAAGAGATGGGCATATATTTTGTAAGGCTGTACATTGATAGCTATTCTGAAGAGACTGGCTTAAGCGTTAATTTTGGGAATTTATGTTGCCCATTCTATCTGTGAGTTATATTGTGCATAAACAGCATAAGGTATTTTATGTTAATTCTTGAGAGCGCTTCTTTAAATTTCATGTGAGTAAACCAGCCATACTGTTAACAATATAATTTGGGTTAAATTGAGCTCCTAGTAAATTGTGAATGGTTTGTTATTATTCACTAGAATGCATTTACCCTGCTAATGCAGTATTGCAGCTTTTTATTATATGTTAATAGTTTAACAGCCAAAGTTAAATGCTATTAATAAAATGGTGCAACTAATAGATCTCATTTGTAGTATTCTATGGTTTTCTTCAACAATTTATTAGTAAAGTTGAAATATGTGATGTGAGAAAAAGAATACAAAACAAAAGCAATTATTAGACTCGACACAGAGGATGGAAAACTTGAATTGCATGGTCTCAGCTAAAGCAAAGCAAGGTGTGGCACAGTGCCTGGTACATTGCTCTACAACAGCTTAATGCATACTGTTTGGTCAAGAAACAGTTCTATTGATGGCTTTATTCCCTTAAATTAGAATTCTTATTCTAGCTGTGTACCTACAGGTAAACTAAGCAGAGAATTGATATTTGTTTGCTAGATTAAGAAAAAAAAGTATATGAATACTGTGTTCTATTCTCTCTTCATTTTCTGGTATAGTAGATGATTTCTCTCCTAAAGATAATTTCTACTAGCTTTCTACTTTATTTTGTCTATGTAGAAGTGAATGATATGATCATAATATATAATAGAGTAGAAATGTGGGAGATTTTAAATTTTTCCAAACATGAGTTGGGTGTTCTTGAGCAATGAGTACATCCCTATTAAAAATAATTGAGATAAATCTAGAGTCCAGTTTTCAAGTCTAAAAGCATAATGACATAATTACAGAGTAGAAGAAATATAACTTCATGAATATAAGTACAAGGTTTTAGGGGATGTCCTCCACAGTGCACTCAATGTCAGTCAATAATGTGATTAAACCTCTGAGAACGTAAACACATTATCCTGCTGCCCTAGTACCCAGAGGGAGGGCCAAGACTCCTGTTCTACCCAGCACTAGTCAACAACTGAGAGTATTGGGTCATATTAGAGAAAATGTACTTTATGAAAATGCACATAACATTCTAAATCTAAATCCAGGAGTCAAAAATCTGTTTTCTGCTAGAGGTCTTCATTGTCTTTACAGATGCACTAGGACTCTTCTGCCTTGCATTTCTTCCCATCAAAACTTGCCTGACCTAGGTTTTTTTTTTCTGTCAGGATCCTCCTAGGGAATTGGCTAATTACCTGGATTAATTACAACCAAAGAGTTGGTGGCTTATAACTTGCTATATCAAAATCACATTTCTACTTCAATAGCATTTACTTACCCATAGCTTTTTCCCCAGTGTATAATGTTGGTAGGGCTTTCTCACATTAGATTAGAAACAATGGGTGAGATATGAGGAAAGCATCTTTCTTCCTGCCTTTCACATAATGCAAACACTGGAAAGTTTACATTCTTTTATTTGTTAATCTATTTATTTAATCACAAACATCTATTAAGCTCCTACTATTTTCAAGTCATTCTGAAATTCTCTAGATAAAATACAGAGATGAATAAGACATATCTCTTAAGGATATTACAGTTTAGTAAGATAGATAATAACAAATACATGACTAATAATAGTACAAGGCTTAATGGGATAAGGACCATAGAAGAAGGAGGTGGGGAACAAAGTAGCCTGGACTTAAAGAGAAAGGATCTCTTGTCAATTAAACCGATTAAAGAGTCCTTCATGGACAAAATAGTCTTTCATTTGAGTTTTAAAAGATGGATGGAATTTCTAATAGGGATATATATGAAGGTTTGAAAGGGTTTTCTAGATGCAACATCATGAACAAATGTAGGAAATATGAGAAGTACAGAGAAGTCCTATCATGGAGTATAGCTTGCAATAAGGAGATATAGGAAGATCGGTAACTTTTAAGTGACTTCTCCTGAAGTACTGAAGATTAAATCCTTGGTTATTTGTAGTGATTAGCCTAACCTGAACTGTTGTTGAATATCAACAGGCACTGTCTTTTGAACTGAGGATACATTGATAGTTGATATTTTGGAGCTCACTGTCCAGTAAGAGTTAAAGTATTTTGTTATTTACTATAAAGTGAAGAGAAAAAGGTGCTAATGGAGGTATGAACAAACTAGTATTCCACCAAGAAGGCCCTCTTGCCCATGGGATTTTCCTCTTATTTCCAGATCATAGAAATTACCATAAAATGTTTTTAGCATTATGCAAGTATTTATAGCATGTCTGATTTTTAACCATGCTCCTAGCCAAAATAAATAATTGTAAGATTTTTATTTAGTATATCTCCATCTTCGTTGATTTTACCATTATGTAATCTCTCTCTTCCTCACCCTCTTCCCCCTTTCCCTCTTTTTTTCCTTCTACTAATATTTACTGAGTGGATCCAATGTGCTAGGTACTGCAGTGGAGGCTGATTTAGTGATGTATGAGGCATAGTTCCTGGTTTCTGATGACATCAGCCTAGATAAAGCTGATAAGTGCCTATACTCAAGAGGGCAGCCAATATACATAGATCAAGGCATTCATTCTCTTCAAGAAACAGAAGGTAGATTCGCTTGCATTTACAGTGTGCAGATAGTTTCTGTGAATGTGGACTCTATGAGAAGGCTTCGTAAAGTACCTATTAACCCCTCTTTGTGTCTTTAGGTTAGCCTATCCCTGTACCTGCCAAAAACAAGGAGGATGATTGAAAGCAAAATCCCCATACCTCTTTTCTGGAGTGTTAGCCTTATTCCAAAGTACAGCCACTTGATTTTCCCTCTAGTCTGAACTCCATTTCTCCTCATGTCCACTTATAACCCATGTATAATTAAAACCCAGGCTTCTTTGTAGAAGTTTTATTTGTAGTAGCTAAAACCTGGAAGCAACTCGGATATCCACTGCAGGTCAACAGAATAGCAAATTGTGGTACATTCAAACAATAGAATACTATCCGGCAATACCAAGAACAAACTGTTGACATATACAACAACATGGATGAATTTTAAAATAGTTACGCTGAGTGAAAGAAGGCATATGAGTAAAAATACATACTATATGATTTCATTTCTATAACTTTAAAAAATGCCAACTAACCTGTAGTGATAGAGAACAGATCAGCGATTGCCTGGAGGGAAGGCATATGGGGAGACTCAGGAAGGAAGGATTACAGAAGAACATGAGAAAACTTTGAAGTGATGGATGTGTTCACTATCTTGAGTATATAGTGATATTCTCATTGGTATATACATGTGTCAAAAGTTTATTGCGTGTCAATTATGCTTCAACAAAGCTGCCAAGAACAAAACAAAAACAGGCTCCTACTGTAATTATTTGATCTCTGATTCCTTTAATAGACTCTAAGTAATGTGATGAGAGTGAACAGGACATCCTTATTCAGTGATGTATCCCCAGTAAATGGTCCAAAGTGGATATTCAGTAAATATTTGTCAAATGAATAAGAAGTGGTTAAAATAAATTACCGTTGAGCTATATAATATTTTGATCTTGCTTTGGTTCACATATTAAAATGCTGATCATGTCAGAATATTATTCATTACCCATATTATTTCCCTTGTTGTAAAGTCAACTATAGCATAAATGTCCTTGAAGTAGATTTTTTTGAAAAGACAACTTTATTCCAAATGTACGATAAACCCAAAGTGAACTATCAATTTTAATAGGAATTTTTATTAGAAATTAAAGCCACAAAAAGTTAGTAAACATCAATACCCAGCTAAATATGTTGCTTATAATATTTAATATAAGTTAACTTATAAAGGAATACCACAGTGTGTAATCCCATTTGGGTAAGTGAATTAATGTTATAATAAAATAACTACTAACTTCAGCTTTGCCAAATGTTTACGACTACAGATGATGTCCATCACATCAGTGGGGAGACTGAGTTCAGTTTCTTTAGTTTATGAATATGGTTTCTGAACAGGGATGGGAGGCAGAAGTCTGCAGTCTATGTGCATCCTTTTTATTACTTTCAGCGTCATCATTTTTAAATTCTGATTTTCTTTTTGGCTTAGAGGTTGTTAGTCATTCAGAAGTTGCCTCTACAAAATTTTTGACTCTGAGGCATTTGAGAAATTATGAGGCAGTTAAACCTGGAGTCTGTCTTGGAAACTGGTCTATCATTTTCTTCCTAGTACCCTCAATGGCAACACCATTATGCATTAAAATGGTAAAAGCATACATTGCGACAATCCCATAAACAGCCCTCTATATAAATGTAAACACTGAGGCCGAATTGCCTCAAATGTGGCAGCTCTTACTTTTTAACAGTGTTTTATATTCTTCATACTTATTCATTTCACTGACTCCCTGCTGCAATACTCACTTTGCCTGCCAGCTTCCCTTGCCTTAAAATAGTTGTTTGAGCAGCTGTGAATGCTCTCGATGACAATTGCTTTTGTGATTTACTCAAAATCCTGACAATTTTTAGGTCTGGAAGAATAAAAAGCCTAAGATCTCTGGGGATATCACTGTTCAAGATCATATTTAATCTTCCTGTACTGTCTTCCCTTAGTACTTTTCTGTTTCAGTACACTGCCACGGGAGTTGTGAAAGACACCCTCTCCCATTGCCCCCCCTCTGCCAGGTATTATCTTGAAGCTCTGTTCTTTTATTTCATTTGGTGCCAATAACACATTTTTTTTTTGGCTGCATTCACCAAGAATAATAGATACTAGCTCAGCTTGCAGGGTATAATTTGTCCCCTAGCATTCATGTTCTAAGTTGCTGTTAAACTATCTGTTGAATATTTGAGGATTACTTTTTAAAATGTGGTCATTAGTACTGCTTCATCTTTGGTTGACAATAGGAAACTGAGAAAATTAAGAAGAATTAGTTGGTCCTGGATCTTGAAAGTCTAAATTCATTATAAATACAAAGAAACTCCTATTTCATAGAGCTTCTCTGTGTGGTTTTAAAACATTGTGACGAGAAAAACTGCATTGTCTAACTTTTAAAAAGTCACCACTTTTCCATAGGCAAATTAGTGAAGAAAAAAGTCTGTTGTGACTTGATGAAAAGCCCACAAATATACATAGATATCAGACACTTGACGTTAGCATAAAGATAAAAAAATGGATCCACACCAGTCAAGTGTATATTTCCCCATTTACATGATAATAAACATTTCTTGTATCTTTCAAACTGTTTACGTAGATTCCTTTTCCTTATGACTTATGAGATTTTTGCAAACCTTTTAGGATATTTCTCAGTTAACGCCTATAAAAATATAATTGACACTAGGTATAGTTGCCCTAAAAAATTGGAAGAAATAATGTCTACAATTTGTCTAAATGGTTTACATATTTTGTTTTGCTACCAAAAAAAAAACACAAAAACCCCAAACCTATTGAGTTAGTAGTATAATGACCCTCATTTTACAGATGAGAAAGTGAGAAAACTGAAGCTTGGAAAGTTTTAAAAATTTTCCCAAGGACTCATACTTAACTGGAAATCCAGGCTGAACTCAGGCCTGTGGGGACCAAAGCCTGTATCCAGTCTAGCCATAATACCCCTGAGATGTGCTGAACTTTCCTTAGGATGCTGTGGAAGGAGAAAATAGTATGTTTCCTCTCCAGTTTGGATGTCTGCCATAAAGCAAGCCATAAAGTATTAGAAGTAGTTTTGTAGTGAGTTTAAATACAGAATTGAGGCGGGAGAGGTGTTGTTGAATTATTTTTGTGTTTTCAGGTTTAATTGTGAACAGAAGTAACCTAGGCATTGTCTTGGTCTGTTCTGTCTACTAAAAAATACCATAAACTGGTAGCTTATATACAAAAAAATTTATTTCTCACAGTTCTGGAGGTGGAAAGTCCAAGATTAAGGAGCAAGCAGACTCAGTGTCTGGTGAAGGCCTGCTTCCTGTTTCATAGACAGTTGTCTTTTTTTGCCATGACCTCATGAGACAGGAGGGTTAAAGGAGCTTTTTGAAGTCCCTTTTATGAGGGCACTAATTTTATTTGTGAGGGCTTTTCCCTCATGAACTAGTTACCTCCTGAAAGCCCCACCTCCTAATACCATCACCTTGGTGGTTACGATTTCAACATAAGAATTTTGGTGGGGGACACTAATAGCTGGTCTGAAGCAGCCATCTTTGGAAATTTTTACTTAGCCTCATGTTTGAAGATGATGATTCACTAGGCTTTAGGGCCCAGAGAGTAAAGGGTGATTTAACATTTTTCTCAGGTGATTCTCATGGGGGTTATTGGGTTAGATGTCTTCTAAAGGATCATGTAACCTTGTGATTTTATTAGTATGACTTGAGGATTCCCGGAGTTGGTCGCATCTCACCATTCTGCATCCTCTGCACCATTTCCCACACTCAGAAAAGCATTCCTTTATTGTGCAGTGCTTTCTCTTATTCAGATGAAGAAATTGCTGGGAAGTCACATTTTGTACATGATCAATCACATGCAATTTAGAGAGTAGTGTGGTGTCTGAAAGATAGCACTAAAATTCGGAAGTGCTTCTTTCACCGTCCCAGAATGACTTTATTCGTTCTTTTATATCCATTACTTTCACAAACCTGAAGAATAAAGGATACTCAACATTTTTTTCTATAAAATTGGCATATGACCTGTTACCCACCAACATTGATTCAACAAACTTTTTGTCAGCTAGTCTGAAAAAGAAAAAAAAAACCCAAAAACAAAACAAAAAAACCAGACACTGTGCTAGATGCCTTGGATACCTAGGTGAGCAAACCAAATTCAACTCTTTTCCGGACAAGATACTATAACCCACTGAAGCAAATGGACCAATGAAAGAATCTGAGAATATAGATTTGCCATCAAGTGAAAGCTGCTTGTCAAGTGTTGGCCTTGTGGAAGAGACTACTAATTGTTGCCTAATATTTGTTTTTCTCATCATCCACATAAGAGAATTTGAAGCTGTATGCAGAAAACATCAGCCAATCTTTTTTTTTTTTTTTTTTTTTTTTTTGCAGTGAAGTGTGGTCATGTAACTAAGTTCTGATCAACAGAATAAATTTGAAAATACATGTGGCAGTTTCTAGATACCTGATGGATATCCTTTGTCTCTTGTTTTAGTCCCTTTCTTCTGTCCTGCTGATTGGAATGTGGACAATGGCCAGAGCTGCATTTGGATCAAGAGAATGAGGGAGACTCCATAAGCCATAGTAGAGCGAAAGACCAGAGAGGGCCTGAGTCCCTGGGAAGTTTGGGAAACAAAGCCACCATCCTATCCCTGGATTGTCTTCCTTGGGAATTTTACATGGTATTCTGAGAATAAATTGTGGGAAGATGGGGATTTGATCTAGTCTGGGAATCAGGAAACTATTTCCCAGAAGTGGTGAGACTTGAGCATGTATTTGAAGGTGAGGTAGATGAAGTACTGAGGATGAAGTGTACCAGGGGGAGGAACAGTAAGGGAGGATTTCAATCTATAGGAAGAAGATTACTGTGAGAAAATAATGCATGTGAAAATAATTTGCAAAGTAACATTGCTCTAACTGTTAAGATACTCCTGTTATAAAGTCTGTGCTTCTCAGTTCACGATTCAAGGACTGCTTGCAATTAATTAACTGCCCACATCTTACCACTTTCATCGCTCATTACCCTCTGTCACAGATTTCAGACTAGGCTCATCAGTTTGAAGTTTCCTTCTTGCATTCTTCTCTACTAACCTTTGCTATTTTCAAATGACCATTTAAACTCTGTCTCCGTCATGGAGAATGTTCTAAATAACCCTATCCTCCTCCCCAGAGCTCTGATACCTGCAGTTCCTTCATCTGTTTTCATCTGTACTCATTCTTAGGCTATATGACTTTCCCTATATTTTTCTTCTATATCTGTTTTCTCCATTTCCTATATGGATTATCTAAGAGCAAGGACTATTACCATACTATCTTTTATATCCTGGAATGCCTAACTTAGACTTCTGGCCCAGTACATTTTGTTGACTGAATGGCTTGAGCTGGGTTGAAAATCCTTTCCAGCAGTCCTGCCCATAGATGCTGACTGTTTAGTGATGAGGCTCTTTGAGGACCAGTCAAATGTAATCATTCCTCATCTTGAAAGCTTCAATATTAAGGTCGGCCCTGAAAAATTCATCAGGGGAATAAAATTTTGCTTATCACGTCTGCTGCCTTGAAGGCCTTTGGGTAAACGATGGCGGATGGATTGAGGCTATAATGGCCAAATGCAATATTAAATCCACTTTCTGTCTCTCACTGGTCTGCCTGGTAGATTTTGATGTATTGAGTTTTACATTTAGGAACCAATTTCCTTTTGATAAATTCATGCTCCAGGCTGTACAGGGCTGGCCATTGCATTAGAGACATTCAGACAAATGATCAGGTATGCAGGCAGAGTATGTCATCCATGAGGTGAGTGGCTTCTCCTGAGGTCTTTGATGGTGGAGAGCTTTTGACTCTTACTCAATTCTGGCACTGCTGGCTATGAAAATAGGTGAAGAGAGTTTGCCGTCTTTGGGGACTTTTCTACCTCACATTCATTCAACCTTTGCACTTGAGTCCTTCCATAAAAATTCAGTGCTAACACTGATAAGCAAAATCTCAGCTGCACAGAGCCAGGGGAAAATTAATTACTGTAGATAGTTGAGGTTCCATATTAATTGAAAGAGCTGACCCAGCTAATGTAAGTATATTTTTTCAATTTAAACATTTTTGAAGAGACTTTCTTTAAAATTTTCCATTTGCCTCTTTGCCTTTTTACCTGTAAAATATGCAAAATATTTCCATTTTAAAAAGATTCATTTATTCAAATAACATTTGTTGAGTATCTATTATATGCTAAACACTAAAGATAGAAGTATAGAAAATAGTCTCTGACCTGAAGGAGCTTACAGTCTAGAAAGTGATTGGCAAACCTTTTCTGTAAAGGGGCAGATAATCAATATTTTTGGATTTGCAGGCCGTGTATTCTATATCACAACTAGTCTGCCATGAGAGTGCAAAAGCAGCTATAAATTCTAAGCCCATTTTATTCATTTGTCAAACACCTAGTCATCATTAAGACTCTCAGACTGTTCGGCTGGGCGCGGTGGCTCACGCCTGTAATCCCAGCACTTTGGGAGGCCGAGGCGGGCAGATCACGAGGTCAGGAGATTGAGACCATGCTGGCTAACACGGCGAAACCCCATCTCTACTAAAAATACACAAAATTAGCCAGGCGTGGTGGCGGGCGCATGTAGTCCCAGCTGCTCGGGAGGCTAAGCAGGAGAATGGCGTGAACCCGGGAGGCAGAGCTTGCAGAGCAAGACTCTGTCTCAAAAAAAAAAAAAAAAAAAAAAAAGACTCTCAGACTGTTCGTAGGAAACATTTCCTAACCATGACAAGTAGAAAAAAGCTACTCCCTCTTCTGTTCTGCTGTATTCAGTACGGCTCTTTATCAGAGAACCTCTAACTCTCTCCTTTGTCTGTTTTCCATTTGTAAAAGGAGTCCAAGCAGAAAACAGAGTCTCAGCAGAGCCATAAAGACAAGGACTGTCCTGGGATGTTTACTAAACTGTCTGGCTAAATCAGGTATGAAGATGAGAGGTCTAGTACAGTAAAGTGTGGGGTGGGGGTGTGATCACTAGGGCTGGGCACTGGCCAGCCCATTTGGACTTGATTTAATATAGATTAAAGGTCTACTAAAGGGCTTTCTGAAGGGGAGTGATGTGATCAGATTATTGTTCAGAAAGATCACTGTAGTAGCCTGGTGAAGTGGGTTAAAGCTTGAGACAAGGAGAACAGATGGATGGTAGCCAGATTGCCAGGATGATTGTCAAAGAAGGCAGAATATTGCTTTTGGTGCAGAGGTCTTGGTTGCTATCCTTACGTAAGATCAAGTTGCACAATAGAACCATGACGAGGATGGGTCCTGAATTGGAATTGGAAATTGTTCTATGGTCTAGTCTTCGCAATTCTCAACTGTACACCTCTGGAAAACCCATTTACCCGCTTTTGAGTTTATATTGTTAGTTGAAACATGAAGAAGTGATTTAATAGATTTCTAAATATTTTTAGCTCTACATATCAGTAAGTTAATTGCTTGACTTCCAACTATAATTTTTCATATAAGAATTACTCTCCATCCTTCTGCCCCTCTTTTGCTTTGGGAAATCTTAAAAGTAACTCCTAATATTTTTGAAGAGTACCGTTTAGGGCTTAGTTGTATAAAAGTTATGTTGAAACTTTGAAGACACCTTAGAATTTTTCTCTTGTTCTCCTTTACCCCCACCGCCCACTGATTCTCCCCATGAAATATTTATTTCATGAATGTACTTACTTTCTTTCTTTTCTCAATTCCACATCCTGCTCCTGGGTTGTGGTTCCTTACCCTGGCTTTTGTGGCCCTTCACTAGGACCCTACCTTGTTTTTCCATGCTCATTTTCTCTTCCTTTCCATGCATTAGTCAAAAATGCTCCTCTGCTTTGAGCCTACTTCTTTGGTATGTATCACGTGGTACTATAATAATTACCTTACTTGTTTGTTTCTTTAGTAAGACTGGGACTGTGACTGATTTATCCTTGTATCTCCAGAGACTAGCCCAGTGCCTAGTACACACAAAAAACTCAGTTAGTGCTTGAACCCAGGGCAGGTTTCAGTTTATGTCGGTTCTCCTGTCTCCCTAAAGTATCTTTCTCATTTTTCCTGTCCAGTCCTTGCTACTTATCTCCTGGCTTCAAACACAACCCTTTGCATGACACTTTTGCTGCGTGCCTCAACAGGCTGTGAATTCCCCTTCTCAGAGTTCCTTGTAGTATAGTTTTCTTTATTTCTCTTTTGCATTGATCTAATTTCTGCTTACATTTTAGTTATTATGTAGGGATCTCTTCTCTCTACAAGAGAATAATATCTGCAGCACAAAGGATCATTATCTTATTTTGTATCTCCTCTAGCATCTATTGCAATTCTTATCATCAGTAGCTGCTCAATTAAGGGATTCACAGTGAAGTAAGGAATCAACCTTACTGCAACCCAGACACTATAAGAATTGGGCTGCCTCTTTCATGCCAAACAACCATGATTTTTGTAGAAATGGACAGTATCAGCTGTCTTGTTCTACTGTGGTCTGATTCTGATAACCTGGGAACAATTGAAAGCAAACTTCCTAGAGGAAAAAAAAAGAGTTCACAATCTCTGCATTCTAAATACTAGAAGGGATTTACCTGTGGGGTCTACAAGCAACAATTTGCATCCCGGTTTATGTGAAAGATAGAAAGCCCAAGCATCTGAGTGGGGCTGCTGACACAGCAGGGATTCGATAAGCAGCCATGGGAGCAGAAGCAGGGGCTCAGGGCCAGAATGAAGAAATTAATAATACACTTATTATTCAGAACAGTGAATGGCTGCAGGCTATTGGCAAGAGGTTTAGCAATTATCTGATTAACTGCTAATGTTACACCAAGAAACCTCTTCAAGACTGCACTTTTTTTGTTAAAAGACACAGAATGGTAAGAAGCTGCTATTTTGTGCAAAAAGCTGAGAGCTGCAGGTAGGTGGGCCATACTGAGACCCTGGTGGGCTGTCACTCTTTCAAAGTTAGAAGCAAATGGCCGTTTTTGCTGCTGTTATAACTCTTCCTGGAAATATCAGCTTCTCTATAGCACCATATCTCAAATTTAATATGAGAGCTGAAGTTGTTTTCCTTTTCATTTTGAGCTCTTGCTTAGAAAAGGAGGGCCAGGTATCTATCTTTTCAGTGGCAGTTTAGAAAACAGCCTTGCATATCTCTCCCTGTGACGCCCAAGCCACACCAGGGCAGGAAGACATCTACCCTTGCTATGTGCTGTCCGTCAGTTCAGAGTTCACCAGTCTATGCTGTGTGCTGTAGTTAGTTTCAAGATATTGCCCTTATTTAAAAGCCAAATGCCACCACTGTGGCATGCAGGTCTTCTGTTTGCGCCTGTTCCTGCTTTTCTTTAGGCTGCTCATCTATTTGAGTAGTCAAAAGGAATTGCAAACCCCACGCTGTCTGGAGAGGAAAACTTGATTAAGATTCATCAAGACTAAACTGTGTGGGTTGATGGTAAGCCACCTTCTCCAACATTTAAAAATAAACTCAGTCCTTAATTGTATAAAAATAAATGTGAAAGTACTTCTTTCTAACCAGCAATGATAACTAGAATCATCATCACAATTGACCCCCTTCACTTTGTGTTCATGATGATTCAGGATTCTGTAGGAAGTGTCTGTAATGATGGTGAAAAGCAATTTCCTATTTCTACTGATAATATCCTAGAGTATTCTCAGCAAATCCCACTCTACCTTTCACTTCCCAACTGTAAATTCTTCCTCCTCTCCCCTCCAATCTGTGGGGAAAAATTGACTCCTCAAATGCAAACATTTGATGTAATTTTTCAGAGGGGTAATCATTGATGTCAGTATCAGGGAAAGGTTAAGCAAGAGAATGTTCACATAAAAACTTTTCACTTTGTAACAGTTCATGAAACAGAGGTGCTCTGAAAGCAAAGGCATTTTGCAGCTGAAAAGGCATTTAAGTGAGAAGATCAAATCCTGTATAGAAGTATTACAGTAGCTTTATTTCTAAATTGGTTAATGGAAAGTCTTTTATGAGGATATCAATTATACCATGGCTAAAAAGTCAATTATCTAGTAATTGGAGGATAAAATAATAGATTTACCTTAGGTAAATTGAAAGTCATGTTTGAAATGTAGCTCTTCATTATTGCATCTTTGACAAACAAAATTAATTTTACCTATATAATGATATTCATTAAATGCAAAGGTTTAGTGATAAATGTCTTATACATATTTGAAAACTGCCATATGAAAAAGAAGGGGTTGAATTTTTAACGAATACTATTGGTTTTTTAAAATTACTAATCCCACTTCCCCTTATCACTTGCTTAAAATAAATTTGACTATTAAGTTTCAAATTTATATTTTCTTAACAAAATACATTAAGGATAAAAAATTGATTTCTACATTGTCATTATTCAAGGCCTGTTTTGCTCTTAGCGAGTCTTCAGTGAGAACATCAATGAGCAAGCTTAGCTGAGAACTTGGGCTGTTGTGTGGATATCCTTCTTGCACTGCTGCTTCAATGCTCCTTTTCCTTCTCTGTGTAAGAACACTGTCACGCAGAGGCAGCAATGATTTTTTCAGAAGATCAGCAGGCTCAGTAAGGGCTGTATCCCGCACTGCTTCCAAAAGAAGGGAGCCCCACTGGTTTCTTGACTAATAGATATCTCCAGATAATCAGAAGGTGGTAGGAAGGACTTTCCAGGGCTTACTTACACAGATTGACTGAGTGACAGCCCAGTGCATCTTCTTCTGAGAAGTAATCAACTTGTGTTCTACCCCAGTACTCCTCCTTTCTTTAATCCCTGAAACCTAGAATCTGGAATTTATTAAAGCTATTCAGTCATTGATTATCCTTAAGTCAAAATCAGCTTCCAGGTGTGCAGTTTGACAATCCCAAATTTTGTATCACATTCAATTATTTATTCATTAAACAAATAATTATTGAACACCTGCCTAATGTGTTTCAGACACTGTTTGTGAAAATCTTGAAATTTACTTTTATATAGAAGATTAAAATGTAAACATTTGAAAACTTCTCTACTATTGGTATTTTATATCATTCACTGATCTTAAAAAGAGATAAAAATAGAAAATAAAAGAAACACCAGACAGTTTGAATGTTAACCATGTAATCAATGTAATCAATTTCTAACATCTGAGCTGCAGTTGCAATGACAACACATGTTATAGTGATTGTCATATTAGAACTTTTCTTGTCTGTTTCCCCTTCTAGGTTGTAAGTGCTCTCATGCCAGAGTGTTAATTATTATAATCATGAGTTTTGCAGTCCTAAGAAATTACATTGCATGTGGTAGACAGTGCATAATGCTTATTGAATTGGAAGGGAAAGATTTTACAAATCTCCTACAGGGTTTTAGTTTCCTTTAAGACACCTTTTTGTGAGCTATGTGCCAAGCCCCTACTCAGTGTAACTGTTGAAGAAAAAGAGGCAGTAGGAAAGCCTCTATGCATGGAGGATGTGAGCTGGGGTCAGTGGGACAGGACTCATGGCATGGAATGATTAAAGACACTTACTACTCAACTTGTGAGTGAAGGGAGAGAATAGTGTCCCATAGTGTGATCCAACATTAAATTTCTTGAATCTTGAGAAATATTCTTTGCTTTACATCTGGCAATTGCTCTTATGTTGAATTATAAAGTTATAAAGTTAAAACTTTTATTCTGTAGTAATATTTTTACAAATTACAGACAAGTTAGTGAAACACAGCTTCAGTTTCTTAAGACAAAATTTCATAACAAAAATCTTGCAGACCTGGAGGATACGATTGAGAAATACTGGAATGTAGAAAGAGTTTACCTGAGCTGTGTTCTTGCCCAGTTCTGCTATTGACTGGCTTCAGTATCTATTGGACAGATCTCTAACACCTCTGTAACTTTCCCACTTTTAAAATGAATGTCCCAATTCTGGGGCAAGTCATTCTGTTTTTAAATGGAATGGTTCTTCTTATTTCTGTTTTTCGATTGATGACTTATGGAGGCAAAGTGAACCGATATGGAAAATAATTTATCCGCTTTCCAGAACATTCCTCCAAATACTCAATAAAGGCTGATATTTCACACAGATATAGTGGGATGCCTAAACTGAGTATTTTAGGACAGCCAAATGTTAAAAGTGTTTTATGTGCCTGTGGTAATAATTTTAACCTTTCTTTCCCTCTGCTAACCTGCTAGACAGATTTAATACCTGGTTCGGTATGTCTCTGCAAGTCCCTGTGCGTCTGCCTGTATGTTTTAAGTTTACTTGTTTAAAGAAGGGTGAGGAGCTCTTCAATACGGAATTCTGAAGAGCCAAAATGTAGCAAACTGACCATGAAAAGTGCCTCCAGTTGTGTTACATAGACCTGACAAAATAGTTATTTTGTAATTATAGAAGGTATATTTGGTACTAAATAGAATATACTTATCTTCCTTGTTAGGACTTCTCTCTAGTTTCTCAAAGTGATATGCATTTGGCTAAAATGTTGTTGATGGAAAATACAGAGTTTGCAGTTACTCAATAGAAAAAGATTTTTAAAACCCCACTCCAAACAATAAAAATAACAATATAACAATAAAAATAATACAAATAAAAATACAACATAACAGCTATTATACAATATAATGCTTATATTGTATTATATATTTTAAGTAACTATAGATTATTTAAATAGGCAAAACTGTACTTGAAATTTAAATGTTCAATGCCACTTACCAAACTGAAATACGTAGCTAAAGATAAAATACTCAAACTGGAAAGTAATTGCAATAATAATCATAATGTAGTTGAATAATAAGAGTGCTCACCTACTATAGAAAATGGAGTTGCACAGTGGACCTAATTCTTTGGTTGGGGAGTTGGATGTCTCAAGGTTTCTTTAACATTCATTCATTCAGCAAATAATGATTGAAAATCCGTTTTGTGTCAAATTCTTTTCTAGGTCCTGAAGACAAAGCAGTGGAAAACACACACACACACACACACACACACACACACACACACACACACACACACACACTTGTGGAGCTCAGAGGAAGGAGAAAGAGAATTAGAACATATAAAAACAAATATATAATATTCCTAATGATAATAAGAGCTCTGTTTTGAAATAAATCAACAAGGGTGATCAGAGAAGATCTGTTGAATATGGTGACATTAGAGACATGAAGGAAGTGAGAGACTGATGTATGAACATGCCCAGGTAAAGAGTTGCAGGTAGAGGAACAAGTGCAAAGGCCTTCAGATAGAGCCATGAGAAAGTTCTCTTCTGACTACTTGTGCTTTCTGAGTGAAATAGGAACCGATGCCATCAGAATGGTGGGGGATGGGAGGAGAAAGTGTTAGAAGTTTGAGAAGGGAAGAAAAGATGTAAAATGTTTTTCTAAAATCTTGGGATAATGGTATATAGAACTATACTATTACTAGCATTTCTTGACCTTGGGAAAGCACTGCTTGAGATAAGCGGCCATAAACCTTGTACGAGACCAGTCAGCATGCTCATGTGATTTTCTTAAGTTAAGATCACCGTGCAGGTGCAGATGTGGAATAGGCAGGCACTGGGATTTATCTAGGGTTAGAGATTTATCAGGAAAATATAATAGAGGAGAAAGACACAAGGAAGTTTAAGGTATAAGAGGTCAGTGAAAAGGAAGTTGGAGCAAGATAATTTACATTAAGGTAATTGATCATTTAAAATACTACTGTTGATTACAAACTCTTTCTCCTACCACCCCAGTATTCATCTGTAAAGTTATGAATCTATGAGTAATTGACTTCCTGTCTTGGGTTAGGTTCCCTAGAAGCAGGTCCCATAACAGGATTCCTTGCAAATGACTTATTAAGGAAAGAATCATGGGAGACTGGTAAGGAAGTTATGGAAACAGAACAGGGAGAAGAAGATGTCCATCAATAATGAGATCTCAGGAAAAGTTCCCATAGAATGTAGATTCCACCAGATCTCTCAGGGAAACTCAAGACTCTAGTTTAAATCTCCAGGTTGTCTTGACCCTAGTTGGAGCTTTCATACTCCTATACTCACTAATCATTTGTTAAAAACTTTTCCAAGGGAACGTGCATTCCCACATTCTGAGCTCTCTCTGTTGTGAGCCAAGTGGCTCCAGTAGCTCAACAGCAGTCCTCCAAAGAAATCATAAGTATTGGCTAATGGAAGCAGAGATTCACCAAAGAGGAGGTAGAGGTGCACACAAAATGGTTAAAAGGAATCCAAGGTGATGTGGGTAGAGCCTGCTATGCTATTCTTTCTTCTCCTTTATCCACAGTATCCAATTTATCTGTAAATACTGTGAATTTTAAGTCCAAATATATAGTTGTTTATATTCCCTCTTTCTCTAGTCTATCTACTTTAGTTCTTCTTTCTTGATTCCATTTTAGTTAAGTCCACCATAATGTCTTCCTTCCAGTCTCCTAACTAGTCTGCCTTCTGCCATTGTCGATCTCATCAATTCATTCTCAAGCCAGAAGAAAAATGTTCTCACGACATGAATCATATTGTGAGTCCTTGACCTACATTACAATTCAAACTTCTTGTAAAGTTTTTCAAGTTCTGCCTCTATCTCTTCAGCTTAAGTTGTCAGACTCATTGCCTCACTATTTTCTCTAGTAAAGATCTTAGTTTAAATTCTTCGAAAATGCCAAGCTACTTCCTGCCTCAGGTCTTTTCTGTCTGGAGACAGACATACTCTGTCACTATTCCAATGGTGCCACTATTTGCACTATGCAGAATTAGTTCCTGCTGCCGTTACTATTACCACTTGCCTTCGTTATTCTCAGTTTGTTTGTTTCCATTATAGAATTTTCACAACTTGTGATTATTTTTATTTATAAATCCGTTCTCTCCACTACAGTGTAACCTCATGAGAACAGTGACAGTGGTATCACCATGTTTAGTGCAGTGTTCAGCACACAGTAGATGCTCAACAAATAATTCTTGGATTACTGTGTTAAAGCCTGGGTGGGTTGGCTGCTGGTTGTTGTTTCCTTGAGCTCAGCATAGTTAAATAGGAAGATTAACTTTCTGTTAGAACTTCCTGCTATACATTCCTCCTTTCTGAAATTGCCTGAGCCTGAGGTTTAAATCCTGATACCTTCCGGAGGTGCAAAACACTAAATCTCCCACCTAATGTGGCTATGAAGTGATGGGGCAGTGGATATTTGAGGATTTTGATACATTTTATTATTGTGTTGAGTATATAATTATTACTCAATGGAGAGTGTTTGGGTGGGATACAATTAAAAATATTGTCTATATTCTTTTGAGTAGTGATAATTTTACAATGTTTAGGTTTTGCTTTACAAATAATTTAAACCCTGGGAATTTAGAAGTATAAATTACTACCTACCCTTATAATATGAGCTCATAAATGGATGCTTAGTGAAAATTCTATGGAGACCAAATCACAGTTCACTCAAATGCATTTAGATGCTTTTCTATAGATAGTTACATAACAATGGAAATAGCCAAAGTATTTAAAAATATAACTAGTTAAAATAATTAGAAATGTTACACTTTAAAAAAAAAAACACACAACATTTCAAGCCTTGCATGGAACTTTCAAATCTCCTGTAGTGATAAATGAATTGTATCTGTTTTCTTACATGAAATATATATTTACCAGAGCCAAAGTATATACCATTTTAAAAGTATGATTTTATTTTAAATATCTAGGGGAAACATTGATCCCACAGTTTTCATTTTCTACACATGAAGCTGATTGATTTCTAAATTACTTTGCTACGATGATCCGATTTAGGATTTAAAATCCCACAATGACAAGATTTTCAGGTTATGAGGAAATTTTAATGCTCAGTGCCTAAGTCACTTTTTATTATTAAGCCAGACACTTGGGGAGACCATCAGCTCTTTTCACTGCCAGAAAACCATTGGTGCATTGCAGCTGCACTCAATCTAACTGTGATCTGACCTATTGTGAAATTTTAAGAATTCTGGCTTTTGATATGGAAGCAATATGTTTGTTTACGACTCTGTGAGCAAGGCGTAGGCCCAGAGGCCCTGTTCTCTTCTATTTTGAACTGTTCAGGGCTTCAGCAGCATTAACACCTATGAAAAGCTGACATCAAAAAACCAAAATACTCCAAATTCTATAGGCTTTAAAAAAGAACTTCATTATAATTTACATATCATAAAATTCACTCATTTTTACTGTACAAGCAATGATTTATAGTAAGTTTACTGAGTTGTGCATCCATCCCTATAATCCAGTTTTAGAACATTTTCATGACTCCTGCAGTATCCTTCATGCCCATTTGCAATTAATCCCCATTCCTACGCTGAGCCCAGGTAACCATTAGTTTACTTTCTATCTCTATAGTTTTGGTTTTTCTGCATATTTAATATAAATGGAATCATATAATATATCATCTTTTGTGTCTGGCTTTTTTCACTTTGCTAATGTTTTTGAGGTTCATCTGGATTGTAGCATGTATCAGTGCTTTGTTTCTTCATTATTGCTTAATAGTATTCCATTGTATGGATGTCCTATATTTTGTTTATTCACAAGTTGATGTACATTTGTGTTGTTTCCAATTTTGGGCTATTATCAATAATGTTGCTATGAAAATTCATATGCAACTCTTTGTGTGAACACATATCTTCATTTCTCTTCGGTAGATACCTAGGAGTGTAATTGCTGAATCTTACAGGAAGTCGTACTTTTTAGAAATAAAAAAAATAGTTTGCAGTGCATTCAATGAGCTGCAGAGTTCACTGAGATAGATGTGAAGAAACAATCCTTTCTTCAAGAAGCTTAGATCCATAAAAAGGTACAACAACTTTACAAATCACCAGACTCCTAGAAATCATTGGACCTTGAGGGAGAGTATGAACACCGTAAAAGTTTCTAAAACAGAGCTCTCCTCAATATGTGGGTGGGGAGAGTATGTTCTAAGATGTGCCTTTGGGAGTGGTTTAAACGTTTTAGGGAGATGACAAAATAATCAAAGTAAGGAAAAAAGAAAATGCAGAAAGTGTTGAACAAACACTCAGCCTAATATAGCATATATTCAATTATGACTTCTTGGTCTCTTTTTTGCCTGAGAGCTCTAAAGGACTAGAATATGACATTAGAGGCCAAGTCACCAACATTCTAAATGGAGTTGCCATGAACCTGTACACAACGTGCTAAAAGTTTAAGAAAGCAATTTTTCCAATGACCATCTATCAAAGAGTAGGATCTGAGGTTTGGAAGAGAAATTAAATAATTGGGCAAGAGAAAAATTTTTCCATTGTAATCGTCTTTGAGCTTTCCATTTCCCATTCCTATTCCATCAGCAAGGGAAAGGGGAATGGTCTTTCTCATCTCCAGGTGGGTTAGGGGTGCTTTAAGAGGGACACGTGGTTCCCTTAATGTGTGTTTCCTGAGGTTTCAGCTTAAAATAAACAGCCAGCTGGACTGGTGCTGCCTGGGAGTGAGTAATGTGTGTGAAATTCCCATGGGCTAGGTGGGTGCGTGAGTGGGCCAGGGGTTATTTTAATGAGTATCTGGTCCAAGAGGACTGCCTGGAACAGCAATAGGCCATGACAGAGAGTCTGGGTGGGATAAACTGCCTGAATCCCAGAAGCTGAGGGTGGAACCTTAAGTATCCACATAGAGAACGGGCCTGGTTCACGTCTGGGATGCTACCATTAGGTACTCTGTGGAAGGTTCTTCCAAAAAGCCAGGAGATCCCATGCAAAGGGAGCTTTCAAAGGTAGCCTGTGTAGCACCAGTATGTAAGGTTGAATTCTTTTCCTTGAACCTCTAACCTACTCAGCTCAACCTCAGGAGGGTCAGAGGCCTTGGCTAGTTTTTGGTTAGAGAAGGTAGGGCTAAAAGAGAGAATTAAATTTTGAAAGACATTATAGGCCTCTAGGAGGGATTTACGTTATTACTCTGTGAGTGGTAAGCAGATCCATAACAATAGTTATATGTTAAGAAGTTTAACCTGGAACTTGTGTGTAGGCTGCTTTGAGACAGAGTTCAAAATCCAAAAAATTGTGAATTGTGTACTAGTTAGAAACACAGGATAGGGTTATGGTTTGCAGTGGTATTAAAAAATATAGTTCTTTTAAAAAGAGGTACATATGAGCAAACTTTGCCTTTCAAAGTAGGCAAAAAGTTGCATAACCATTTTTTTTTCTCATTATGTTTAACCTCTTGAGTCCTCAGAGAAGCCCCTGGAGGCCTGAAAGAGTTAATGTTCCATCCTAAGTACCCCAGTTAGCACCAGGATATTTTTAAGACGGATGGTGAGGAGGAGAGAATTTAGTCCATTTATTCACTGAGCTTCCACAGGGCTGCGTGTAAACCAAGTATAGAAAAATCCAAGAAGGGGAGAAAGATCAGTACGTATCACGTTATTGCTAAAATTTTAAATCAAGCAGCATGTTCCTGCATATTACTCCCCTGAAAACCAAGAGGAAATTAGGAAGTTCAGGCTGTAAATGTCAGTGAACTGCTAGATTATAGCGTTAGTAGAAAAAATATTTGTGACCCTAAATGCAGTTAAGCAGAGCTTCAGGGAGAAGCTGGAATTTTCTAATAGCAGTTTTGATTTGCATTTAGTTTGCTCAGGCTATTATTAGAAGAATAAAGTTGCTGTGGTGTGTGAGTGGGAGAGGGATTGTCCAGTTTTCCACTTAAACGCAGTTTTCACGTTCTCTTTTTAAGGAAGAGTCAGGCCTACTCAGTACCCATTCTGCTTCTTGGGAAAGACACTTGGATTCTCTGAATGATGAGGCTTACATGATTTGTACAGTTGTGTCTCCCACGATCCTGTAATTTCACAGGTCACAAGTCTCAAAGACAGCTATCTCTTCTCTTGGTTACAGTCCCTCCATTTGAAATATTAAGTCCTTGTAGTTCGAACATGAGGCCATTAGTAGTTATAGTGACTGTTTATTGAGCACAGGACAAAATACAACATACATTATCTCATTTAATTTTGCCAGAACCCAGCAAAAAGGCTGTTGTTTTATGGATGAGAAAACAGATTCTGACAAAGATTCTGAGTCTTGCCTGAAGACACATGAGTAAATGATGGATCAGGATGAAAACTAGGTCTGTCTTACTCCAAAGTTAGCTTTGTCCACACCGAGTCACTGTCGGAAACAAAACCCTGAGGACTTCAGAGATCCAGAATGATATTCACCGCTCGTGTTAGTTGTTGCCACACTAACCTAATACTCAAAGGCTTTATGTGGGTGGAGAATAAGCCCTCCTATTTGTCTAACCACATTTTGTAGGCATTTTCATGTAGCAGCCTACCTGTCACCTATTTACATCGCATTTGTGTTTCCAAGAACACATAGAACATGTCAGTTTTATTCCCTTCTCATTTTTCTAAAATGCTTATCTTGAATTCCTAAGGAATTTGTTCTTCTATGTCCTGAAGTTACTTTACTGTTGCATGTGTTTTCTCTTCAGGGATGTTTAACTCATGCACATTGAGGTTCAATTTCCCCCTTTTCTTTTTCCCTTATTTACAAACCATTAAAAAAATTTCTTCTATGCCTAGTCTTTTGTTTGTTTCTCATGGTTTTTCTTGATTGCCTCCTATTCTGGGTTTGTCAAAATCCTTTCTTTTGCCCTTCATCTACTTCAGTGTCATAACTTCATTTTTCCCTTCTGGACTTCGGATAATTTCATTTCCTCTGAAAGGAGCTCATCCAATCTCCTTTCTCTCTCTTTTCTGGTTCTTTGGCTTTTAGAAACAATCAGGCCTGGAACTAAATTGTTACCACTAGAATTGAAATTCTACTACCTGTGAGGCATTGGGCAGGTTACCTAACTTCTTTGACCAAAGTTACTGCATGAGTAAAATGAGAATATTTACTTCATAGTGTTGTTGAGAATGTGAAACACATAATGGCTATAATGTTTCTGGTTTATGGTAAGATTTCTTTTTTTCTTCTTTCTTATTTTTACTTTACAGTCTTAACATTTTAGCTTTTTTCTGCAACTTGTCTTTGTTTCTACAGTGATAGCTAACCCTGACGGTAGTCTAGGAAATAGCTTCGCATTGCTGCTGTAAGTCTGGCCCATTATATTTTATTGCAATTTTTATAGTTTAAAACATTAACTAGTATTTATTCATTTTTAAATATGTGTCAGGCACTGGGGGTATAATGTTGAACAAAACAGGCAAAAATCTCCTACCCTATTAAAGCTTATATGTTATTGGGGTGGGAGGAGGAAAGATGAACAATTCTTAAGAAGTTAAAAAAAATACAGAATGAAATTTCTGAGTTGGTCAACACATCACGGTGCTAGGAAGATGGCATGCCCTGAGAGGGCATGGAAGATCCATACCACCCCAGGCCGTATACCTTGCCCTATATATCTCTTCCCTTTGGCTATTCCTGAGTTACAGTTAAAAAAATGAATCTAAACACAGACCTTAAACTTTACAAAAAGTAACTTAAAATGGATCAAATACCTATATACAAAACTGTAATACTGAACACAAAATGATAAACCTCCTAGAAGATAATGCAGGGGAAAATACAGACCTTGAGTTTGGTGATGGCTTTTTAGCTATAACGCCAAAGGCATGATCCACAAGAGAAATAATAAGTTGAACTTTATTAAAATTAAAACCTTCTGGTCTACAAAACACATTTTCAAGAGAATGAGAAGATTTTATATGTGTGTATATATATATATACACGCACATATATAAAATCTATCTTGTGTCTTTCTATATGACTTCTCTATATGTCTTCTCTGAGATATATATATGTGTATATATGCATAGACATGTATATATGTGTGTATATATGTATAGATATGTATATATGTGCATATATGTATATACACGTATACACGTATATATGTATATACACGTATACGTGTATATATGTGTGCATATATGTATATACGCGTATATATATATGCGTATATATGTGTGTGTATATATATATATATATATACACACACACACCCCTATACACATACTCTTAAAACTTAACAATAAGAAAACAAACCCAGCCCTGAACAGCTCCTAAGGAAGGGGTGAGTGAAGTCACTGCAGGACAACCCATTCTTGCCAGGGACCTCTGGAATCCTAGCTACATGACCCTGACAGGCATTTGAATTGACAGGGGGATCTACTTGGAGAGTAGATAGAGACAGAGCTCCTGCTTGCAAGGAACCCAGATTATGTGGTGCATGGGGCAGCTGCAGCAAACGCAGCCATAGGCACCCATTCCCCAAGGCTATCTATCTTCCTTCAAGTAGCTCTAACCCCAGCTGACTGCTGGGCCAGTAAGGAGCAGGTCCATCTTTACCATGGGACTAGGGTGTGTCCAGTCTGTTCTGCATCTCCCCCATCTGCCAGCCCTTCCCAAGGCCCTTGCCCAGCACTCCCACAAGAGCATGTACACAGCACAACTTCCACTGCCCCCAGCCTGAGTGCTTTGTTGGCAACCTGGGAGCACTTCGGTTCCCCCAGCAGAGCCAGTGGCTGACCCTGAAGGGCTAGAGGACAAAGCCCCTGGCAGGTCCCAATGCCACAGGGTTGCAGCACATAGCTCAGGAGTGCCAAGCTGAGTTCTTTGGCTGGCACTTGAGCAGGGGAGGAGTCCCAAATCTCAGAACACTGAGAAGAGTGAGATGTAGGTTTCTTGGCTGGTGCTGGAGTGGATCCTGTTTCCCTCTGTAGGGCTGTCCGGGAAGTATGAGGCCTATCTGCCAGCTATAGCCTCCTCCTGAGGGAGCCCCACAGTCTAGAACACCGAACAAAGGAAATGTGGGCATGGCATCAGTAACCAGCAGAGTGTCCCTTAAGGCGTGGAAACTGACCTGGTGAGGGTGTCATCTCTCTCCCACCCCTACTATAGAGCACTGCTGTGAACACACTTAAATACAAAAGAGCCACACAGCTAAGAGACCATCTGCCAGTCATTACTCTTAAGCACTATCTACTGGACTGTAGCCCAAATTACAACACCAAAAATATTCTCCCAGTATACATCCTCCGTGAAACCCAGGACAATGATCTAGCCCAAATAAAGATCTCATACAAAGGCTTGGCCCTCCAGAAATGAAGCCAATCACCTATACTCAACTTACACCAGAGTTAAACCCTCAAAGGAAACAAAGAATATAAAAACAAAAAACCACATGCAAACAACATCAAATTCAAAAAATTAAAAGAGCACCAGCCCTCTCAGATGAGAAATAATCAGCATAAGAACTCTGGCCATTCAAAAAGTCCATGTTCCCTTACCTCCAGATGAGCATACTAGCTCCCCAGCAATGGTTCTAAACCAGATTGAAATGACTGAAATGATTGCTAGACATAGAATTTGGAATCTGGGTGGCAAAGAAACTTATTGCGATTCAGGAGAAAGTTGACACCCAATCCAAGGAATCCAGTAAAATGATCCAAGAGTTGAAAGACAAAATAGCCCTTTTAAGAATCAAATGGAACTTCTAGAATTAAAAAATTCAGTATAAGAATTTCATAATAGAGTTGGAAGCAGTAACAGCAGAATAGACCAAGCTGAAGAAAGACTCTCAGAGCTTGAAGAACAGTCCTTTGAATCAACTCATTCACACAAAAATAAAGAAAAATATTTTTTGAAATGAAGAAAACCTCAGAACAATATGGGATTATTTAAAGATGCCAATAGTACAACTTATTGTCATTTTTGAGAGAAGAGGGAGAGTAAGCAACTTGGAAAACATATTGAGGATACAGCCTGTGAAAAATTCCCCAATCTTTTTAGAGGTTGACATGCAAGTTTAAGAAATAACAGAGTACCCTTTTAGAATATTATATAAGACAACCATCCCAAAGATGCATAGTCATCAGATTTAGCAAGGTGAACATGAAAGAAAAAAATATTAAAGGCAGCCAGAGAGGTGTCAGGTCACTTATAAAGGGAACCCCATCAGACTAGCAGCAGACTTCACAGCAGAAATCTTACAAGCCAGAAGAGATTGGGGGCCACATGAAGAAAAAAAAAAATCCAACCAAGAATTTCATATCCAGCCAAACTAAGCTTCATAAGCGAAGGAGAAATAAAATCCTTTTAAGGCAAGCAAATGCTAAGGGAATTTGTTGCCACTAGAACAGCCTTACAAAAGGCTTTTGAGGGAGTGCTAAATATGGAAATGAAATAACAATACCTGCTACCGTATTGTAAAAATCACACTTAAGCACATAGCCCACAGACATTATACAGCAACTACACAATCAAGTCTTCAAAACCAGCTAACAACATGATGACAGGATCAAAGTCTTACATACCAATATTAACCTTTAGTGTAAATGGTCTAAACACCCCACTTAAAAAACACAGAGTGGCAAGCTGTATAGAAAGACAAGCCAAATGCTGTCTTCAAGAGACCCATCTCACATGTAATGCCACCCACAGGCTTAAAATAAAGGGACGAAGAAAGATATATATATTATGCAAATGGAAAACAGAAAAGAGCAGGGGCTGCTATTCTTATATCAGATAAAGTAGACTTTAAGCCAACAACAATCAAGGACAAAGAAAGGCATTATGTAATGATAAAGGCCTCACTTCAACAAGAAGACTTAACTATCCTAAATATATATGCACCCAACACTAGAGCATCTGGATTCATAAAACAAATTCTTCTTGAACCCAAAAAAGTCTTAGCCAAACAACAATAATAGGGGGAGGCTTCAACACCCTACTGACAGCATTAGACAGATCATCAAGGCTGAAGACTAACAAAGAAATTCTGGACTTGAACTCAACAACTGACCATTTGGAAACACACAGGCTTTCAAGGAAGAAAGGGAAAACCTGAACAGACTAATAATGAGTTCTGCAATTGAATCATGAATAAAAATCCTAGCAACCAACAAAAACTCTGGACCAGATGTATTTATGACTGAATTCTACCAGAAGGACAAGAGCTGTTACTAATCCTATGGAAACTTTTCCAAAAAATCAAGGATGTGGGAGTCATCCCTAACTCATTCTATGAAACCCGCATTATCTTGATACCAAAATCTGGCAGAGACACAATGAAAAAAGAAACTTCAGGCCAGTATCTCTGATGAACATAGATGCAAAAATCCTTAACAAAATAATAGTAAACCAAATTCAGCAGCACACAAAAAGTTAATTCATCATAAACAGGTAGGCTTTATTCTCAGAATGCAAGGTGTTTTTAACATATGTAAATCAATAAGTGTGATTTGCCATATAAACATAATTAAAAACAAAAACCATATGATCATCTCAATAGATACATTAAAAGCTTTCAATAAAACCCAACATTCCTTTATGATAAAAACCCTCAACAAACTAGGCACTGAAGTAACATACCTCAAAACAATAAGAGCCATTTATGACAAACCCTTAGCCAACGTCATACTGGATAGACAAAAGCTGTAACCACACTCTTGTTAGTCAGTTTTCATGCTGCTGATAAAGACATACCTGAGACTGGGTAATTCCTAAAGGAAAGAGGTTTAATTGACTCACAGTTCCACAGGACTGACGTGGCCCAGGAAATTTACAATTACGGCAGAAGGGGAAGAAAACATGTCCTTTTTCACATGATGGCAGGAAGGAGAAGAATGAGAGCTGAGAGAAACGGGAAGACCCTTGTAAAGCCATCAGATCATGTGAGAACTTACTATCATGGGAAGAGCATGAGGGAAACCACCCAGTGATTCAGTTACCTTCCACTTGGTCCCTGCCACCATACATGGGGATTATGGGAACTACAATTCAAGATGAGATTTGGGTGGGGACACAGCCAAACCTTATTATTCCACCCCGGGCCCCTCTCAAATCTCAAGTCCTCACATTTCAAAACACAATCATGCCCTTCCAACCATCCCCCAAACTCTTAACTCATTCCAGCATTAACTCAAAAGTCCAAGTCCAAAGTCTCATCTGAGACAAGGCAAGTCCCTTCAGCTTATGAGCCTGTAAAATCAAAAGCAAGTTAGTTACTTTCTAAATACAGTGGTGGCACAGGCACTGCGTAAATACACCCATTCCTAATGGGAGAAATTGGCCAAGACAGTGGGGCTACAGGCCACATGCAAGTCCAAAATCCAATGAGGCAGTAATTAAATCTTAAAGCTCTGAAATATTCTCCTTTGACTCCATGTCTCACATCCAGGTCATGCTGAGGAAAGAGGTGGGCTTCCATGGCCTTGGGCAGCTCCACCCCTGTGACTTTGCAGGGCACAGCCCCCCTCCAGGCTACTTTCATGGTAACCACCTTCTCACAGTTCCTCTAGAGAGTGCTCCATTGATGACTCTGTGTGGGGGCTCCAACCCCATATTTCCCTTCCACACTGCCCTAGCAGAGGTTTTCCATGAGGACTCCATCTCTGCAGTAAACTTCTGCTTGGATATCTAGGTGTTTCCAAACATCCTCTGAAATCTAAGTGAAGGTTCCCAAACCTCAATTCTTGACTTCTGTGCAGACCCACAAGCCCAACGCTATATGTAAGCCACCAAGGCTTGGGGATTGCACCCTCTGAAGCAATGACCTGAGCTGTACATTGGCCCCTCTTAGCCACTGCTAGAGCTGAAGCACTTGGAGGAAGGGCACCATGTCCCAAGGCTACATCAAGCAGGGGGGCCCTGAGCCTCGGCTCATGAAACCATTTTGTCCTCCACATCCCAGGCCTGTGATAGGAGGGGCTGCTGTGAAGGTCTCTGACATGCCCTGGGGACATTTTCCACATAGTCTTGGTGATTAACATTTGGCTCTTTGTTACTTATGCAAATTTCTGCAGCTGGCTTAAATTTCTCCCCAGAAAAATGAGTTTTTATTTTCTATTGCATTGTCAGGCTGCAAATTTTCCAAACCTTCATGCTCTGCTTTTCTTTTAAACTTAAGTTCCAGTTCCAAACCATGTCTTTGTGAATGCATAAAACTGAATGCTTTTAACAGCATCCAAATCGTGTCTTGAATGCTTTGCTGCTTGGAAATTTCTTCCTCCGGATACCCTAAATCATCTCTCTCAAGTTCAAAGTTCTACAGATCTCTAGGGTAAAGATAAAATGCTGCCAGTCTTTTTGGTAAAACATAGCAAGGGTCACCTGTATTCCACTTCCCAAGAAGTTCCTCATCTCCATCTGAGACCACCTCAGCCTAGACATCATTGTCTGTATCACTATCAGCATTTTGATTAAAGCCATTCAACAAGCCCCTAGGAAATTCCAAGCTTTTCCACATCTTACTGTCTTCTTCTGAGCCCTCCAAACTGTTCCAACCTCTGCCTGTTACCCAGTTCCAAAGTTGCTTCCACATTTTCAGGTATCTTTACAGCAGCACCCTACTACCTGAGACTGGGTAATTTATAAAGGAGAGAGGTTTTATTGACTCATCATTCTGTAGAGCTGGGGAGGCCTCAGGAAACTTACGATGGCAGATGGAGAAGCAAACACGTCCTTCTTCACATGATGGTAGGAAGGAGAAGAATGAGAACTGAGCAAAGGTGGAAGCCTCTTATAAAACCATCAGATCTTGTGAGAACTTACAAGAATAGCATGGGGGAAACTTCCCCCATGATTGAATTTCCCTCCCACCACACATGGGGATTATGGGAACTACAATTCAGGATGAGATTTGGGTGTGGACACAGCAAACCATATCACACACATTGAGAAATGGAGCAAGACCAGGATGCTCACTTTCACCACTCCTATTTAACATAGTACTGGAAGTCCTAGCCAGAGCAATCAGGCAAGAAAAAGAAATAAAACACACCCAAATAGGAAAATAAGTCAAGCTATCTTTCTTTGTTGATGACGTGACCCTATACCCAAAAAACCCTAAAGGCTCTGCCAAAAGTCGCCTAGAACTGATAAACAAAAAGAAATAAAACACATCCAAATAGGAAGATAAGTCAAACTATCTTTCTTTGCTGATAACATGATTCTATAACCCCAAAACCCTGAAGACTCTGCCAAAAGGCTCCTATACCTGATAAACAAAGTTCAGTAAAGTTTCAGGATACAAAATCAATATATAAAAGTCAATATCGTTTCTATACACTAATAATGTTCAAGCTGAAAGCCAAATCAATAATAATTCAATCCCAGTTAAAATAGCCACAAAGAGAATAAGATACCTAGGAATACATCTAATCAAGGAGGTGAAAGATCTCTACAAGGAGAAGTATAAAACACTGCTGAAATAAATCAGAGACAACTCAAATAAATGAAAAATATTACATGCTTACAAATTGAAAGAATCAAAAGCATTAAAATGGCCATATTGCTCAAAGTAACTTCTAGATTCTATGCTATTTCTATCAAACCACCAAATTATTTTTCAGCAAATTAGAAAAATCTATTCTAAAATTCATATGAATTAAAAACCCTAATAGCCAAAGCAGTTCTAAGCAAAAAGTACAAAGCTGGAAGCATCATGTTACCTGACTTCAAACTATACTACAAGGCTACAGTAAGCAAAGCAGCATGAACTGGTACAAAAACAGACTCATAGGCCAATGAGACAGAATATAGAAGCCAGAAATAAAGCTGCACACCCACAATCATCTGATCTTTTACCAACTTGACAAAAATAAGCAATAGGGCAGTGGCTCCATATTCAATAAATAGTACTGGGACAACTGGCTATCTGTATGCAGAGGAATGAAACTGGACCCCTACCTCACCATATAGAAAAATTAAATAAAAAAGGATTAAAGACTTAAATATAAGACCTCACACTATAAAATTCCGAGAAGAAAACCTAGGAAATACCATTTTGTACACTGGCCTTGGCAAATAATTTGTGACTATGTCCTCAAAAGGAATTATGACAAAAACAAAAATTGATAAGTAGAAACTAATTAAGGAGCTTCTGCACAGCAGGAGACTATCAAGGGATTAAACAGGCAACCTAAAGAATAGGGAAAATATTTGCAAACTATGCATTTGACAAAGGTCTAATATCCAGAATCTATAAGTAACTTTAATTTACAAGCAAAAAACAACCCCATTTAAAAGTGGGCAAAGGTTATGAACAGACACTTCTCAAAAGAAGGTGTGTAAACAACCAACAAACATATAAGACTTTTTTTTATCATTGCTAATCATCAGAGAAATGCAAATCAAATCCATAATGAGACACCAGTCAAAACGGCTTTGTTAAAAAGTAAAAAAATAACATGTTGATGAGGCTTCTGAGAAAAAGGACATTTAGGCACTGTTGGTGGGAATGTAAATTAGCATTGTGGAGAGCAGTTTGGAGATTTCTCAAAAAACTAAGACTTCAACTACCATTGGACTCAGCAATCCCATGACTGGATATATACTCAACAGAAAACAAGTCGTTCTACCAAAAGGACCCATGCACTCAAACGTTTGTCACAGCCGGGCGCGGTGGCTCACACCTGTAACCCCAGCACTTTGGGAGGCCTAGGCGGGCGGATCACGAGGCCGGGAGATCAAGACCATCCTGGCTAACACGGTGAAACCCCATCTCTACTAAAAATACAAAAAAATTAGCTGGGCGTGATGGCGGGCGCCTGTAGTCCCAGCTACTCAGGAGGCTGAGGCAGGAGAATGGTGTGAACCCGGGAGGCGGAGCTTGCATTGAGCCCAGATTGCGCCACGGCACTCCAGCCTGGGTGACAGAGCGAGACTCCGTCTCAAAAAAAAAAAAAAAAGTTTCCTACAGTTCTATAGGATGTTGTATAATTTATAAATAGTGCTTCTTTGCACAACAGAGAGTTAGAATGTTTGATAATGTCATTTAGAGGGACAAGTTGATAGTAAATACAGGAGGGTATTATAACTCTTGTGACTTTTATGCAAGAGGTAAGTCTTCACATCCAATATATATATGTTGCTCTTTGAAAAGCTATCAATATTTTCTCTTACTGAAGGGCAGCAGAAATTATCAGAGTACTGAAAGCAGAGAAAGCACAGCATAGATATGTAAATAAAGAGAGGACATTCCTATGTAATTCTTTATAATAACATGGATAACCATTTAAGGACAAGATTTTCAGCAATTGCTGACAAAGGAAGAGTATTTTATGTAACCAGCAAATTAAGAGATATTAGGGAGTAACTTTTAATTCTCAACTCTTAAAACAATAGTACAACAGAATATCAACCAGATCAAACCCAAAACAATTTCCTTAACAACAACTGCTAAGGATTTTCGTGTGTGTGTGTGTGTGTGTGTGTGTGTGTGTGTGTGTGTCAGAATGGACAGTTGTAGCAAAACATCCATTCTTCCATAATAGAATTTTAGCTAGGCACATGGACTGGACACCTGATTAAATACTCGATTTCTCATCCGTCTTTGGAGGTATATGGGATTGTGTGACTAAGGTCTGGCTAATGGAGTGTTAACGGAAGAAAAATGTGAAAGTTTCCTGTTGTGCTTGAAAATAGGGGGATTCACTTCCCTTCTCCAGATTTGAATGAATATGTAATAATGGGATCTGGAGCAGACATGTTGGACCACCAGGAAGAGCCAAGCATTGAGGATGGTGGAGCAACTAGATAGAAGTCTGCTTACCTCCTTTTTGTGTGACAAAGAAATAAACTCTGTGTTCTATTATTCTTGGTCTCTCTGTTACAGCAGTGGAACTAGTGCCTAATTAATACAGAAGTTAATGACAAAACTATAATATATGCAATTTGTGATTTATAACATATTATTTAGTTCTAAAACTAATAATCATAGCCATGTTTATTCTCTCTCCAGAGTATAGTTTCACTCATTCTCATTCTTTTTGACATCTTGATAAATGTTAGAGTTAATAGGACCTTGTATGTGTTATTATAGATCATTATTTGGATTGATAGTGCTCCAAAGTTGGTGGGGGGAGACCACTTAAATTACAATAGTAGTAAAAATCTGGTTCCTCAAGTGAACATATGAGCTTTCAGTGCTTCATTCAGTATGGGGTAGTACCAAGGCCGACTTTATCTAAGTGATCCAAATGATCGTCTAAGTGATCCACTCACTTCCATCTCTCACTTAATTAAGTCCTTGCTGTGTTATATACACAGTTTCAGTTTAAATAACATTTCTAAGATTTTATTTCCTTATCTTTAAAATGAAGATAATAGCTTTCAAATGCCCTCAAGCACTGCTTGGTCTATATTTGATGCTCCAATAATGTTTTTGTCTTTTCAAGAGCATACAAAAATCTAGCCCCCAATGACAACACAATAAAAATGGGAAAGGGTAGCAATATTATCTGTTTTTCAATTAAAAAATAGAATCAGTCAGAAAAAGAAATATTACTAATATACAAACTTTTATACTTTGGTGCTAGAACTTTGAGTGAGGTCTCCTTACTGCAATAGGCATTAATTTAGGCTGCCAGTTCCATGAAAGGAAATTAGGCATGCTATGGAAAGGCTTCTCTACTTAACCTGCATCTATTTTGGATGTGTGTGTTCGAGCCAAAAGAAGTACTTAAGCTGAGAACCTATTGATTTAAGCAGTACCGTTCTCATATGTTCTTTTTGTTCCTACTGCTTCCTCATTATTCTTGCCTTTTTTATTTGTTCTTCAGACCTCTGTTACTTAATGAAGTCACATCTTCACTGAATTCTCCACCAGGATGCTTATTTCCTGATCCAGCAAATTTGTTAACATGCATAAATAACAGAGACTTAGGGTAGAAATGGCCAAAGCAATGGATTGGCTCCTAGTCACAATTTCACAGTCTTCTCTGTCTCCTGATCTATGTATCATTTTTGTTATTAGAGAGAGTTTGAGAAGTAGTCTGGAAACAATAAAGTATGAAAGAGCTAAAGGGTATTGAATACATGTACAGGGCCAATTTAAACTTAAGAATAGAATTAAAATTGCAGCTTGAAAAATTTCAAATATATAAATTTTTTTAAGAAGTACGCTTCCCATATTTTGAGATTTTGTGCAACAGTAAAATTTGAAAAGAAATTTGGCACATAGTCATCAACCCTTTTATCTTTCTCAGATTGACTACAAGAACTGTGATGAGAATGCAGAATAGGCCTTTCTCAAGGCACAAAAATTCTAGTTTAGTCACAGCAGAGAAGAGGGAATATTAGAGCATTATTTACCCTAACTAATATAACTAAAGATGAAAAAAGGATAAATCATAATAAAGAACAGGTTTTTTTGAGTAGAATAAATTCATCTCTATGAAATATTCCATATGTGGGTCTCATTATTATTTTTAAAAAATTTTAGCCAGGGACTGATGAAATAGCTCCATTAACCCATAACCAGATTATGGACAAACATTATGGTTTGTGAGTGTAAACCACTCCTTCAATTGAAGGTTATTTGTGCCTGCTCTTTTATTGGACACTTTTGTCCAGTTACCCACGTTTGCGTTATTTCTGAGGCCACACACTTCTTTTTGGTCTGGATCTAATCTTCAATTGCTGGGACATTTTGCCTTATTACTTTCCAGGCTCCTTCCCTGTCTTTGGGATATTGAACACCATCACACTTTCGTTCAAATGATCTATCAGTTGAACCTTGCATCTCCCATGAACCTTTCCTGAGACACAGCTGTGATTTAAAGTCATTTTTTTACACATCACCGTGATCAGTTACTTGCTAAGGTAGGGGAACCTTGACAGCTGTGACAGATGTTTCTGTGGATAAAATACGGCGGGGAAAAAGGTTGAGACTATCCTTTTAAATAGAATCAATGCCTGCCAGCTGCCTTACCATCTTGTATTAACATTACATTGGTGGCTAGAACTAGGCTAGCTTATGATAAATACCTCTTCTAGGACCCCTCTTCTCCGACAAATATCTTAAAAGTAACGTAAGAACAGTAATCCCAATAAACTACACTAACCAACAACAGAAATAACATTTTGAAACTCTTTTTCTGTTTATCTCTATTTATTAACTGATTTTTTTCTTGGGGAGTTATAAGCAAAAATGTGAGAAAATTTTGTTAGGATTCTATTGCTCAAAAAGTTAAGATTACAGGCATATTGCTATTATATGATTTTTATATATTTTAAATAATGTATCTCTTTCAAGCCAACAAATGGCATTGCACTATATTCCTTCTCAGGCTGTTCCTCTTTTGCTATTAACCATCTGTACTGTGCAACCAGAATATTAGGGGCCGGCTTCCATTATAAGAGTGCCAATAATTCACATGGAAGAACAGTTGTGACCATGGCGAACACAGCCAGACAAATCTCAGGATGTGTTGCAGAAACGCTTGGGGGCAGTTGTATTGTCACATAAGGAAATGTTACTCGGAGGAAAATTAATGCAGAAATTAATTCTCCTATACTCTTTTTCCCTTTAAAGGAAAAGGTGATGAAAATCTTGCCTTGGAAAATCCCAGACAAAATTTCCTTCATGTGACCAGCTTAGAAATTTCCCATGCTCTGGCTTGCTGTCTCACACCCAATTACAAGGAAGTAATTAACTATTTTGATTTCAAAGAAAGTGTTTCAGACCTTATTCTTTCCTACCTGTTAGCCTGTAATATTGAAGTAGTAATGGTGACAAAGGTATTATTTAAGCAGGAGGAGATAAAGGTTAAAATGTTTTATATTAATTAATAACTACTTGAGCAACTCACATGCTAGTTATTTTCATGGTTAATGGAGAGACAAACACATCTCAAATATACTACCTCTCCTTTCAGTGACCCATAGATTCTTTAGAATTAATGGTATTTTGCTGTATCACTCAATTGACACACATTTATTGCATAAAGTATCTATTTTCTTCTAGATTTTATAGGCGTAACTTAGTTTGTGTTTCCTTGATAGTAGAGCCTGAAACAAAGGCTTTTGTGCTAATATTTTATTTGGGAAGTGATCTGGAATAGGAGAGACGCCCCTACAAGGATGGCCCTTGCTGCAGTCAACCACCTTGGTATCCAATGCAACAGATTAAGAAGAAAAAGATGTAGCATTTATAATGGAGTACTTTATGATCTAATTAGTTGAAGATGTAAAATTAATACTTGAAAACTATATTGAAGAATATTGAGGATATATGCTTGAGGACAAAATAGTTTCACATAGACAAGGATTTCTGAACCAGGCCTGATTTTTCAGCCTCTGCAGGTGATACTTAGCAATGTTTGGAGACATTTTTTTTTGTTGTCACAGTGCAGCATTGGGCTGGAGTGGGAAGGTATGCTACTAGCATCTAGTGGGTAGACGCCATGGATGCTGCTACACATCTTACAATGCACAGGACAGCTCCCCGTAATACAGTGAAATATCTGGCACAAAATGCCAATTATGCTGCTGCTGAGGAACATTCCTCAAGCATTGAAATGGCTATGAATCACCTGTGAATCTCATTAAAATATAGATTCCAGTCAGTAGGTCTGGGGAGGAGCCTGACAGTCTGTTCTTTCTAACTAGCTCCCAAATGATGCTGATGCTGCTTGGTCTATAGGCCACAATTTGAGTAGCAGGGCTACAGACAGTGAGCGTTGTAAAAGATTAGAAAAGTGAGAGATTAACAACAAATAACACAACTTTTCTTAGGGGAAAGCCCTGGGAAAAGGTGAAATTGATAGTGGCTGAGATTTCTTGGTAGGTATGGCGGTGAGAAAAAAGAACAAAATGAGTGAAGAAGTGAGGATGACAGTTCTCAGCACAAAATAAACCTGGCTCAGGAAGAGAGACAGTGTGAAGAGAGTATGTGGTAAGAAAACTTGGGTTGCAAGATTTGCCTCATCCTTGATGTTGCTCAGTGGCTTTAAGCAAGTTACATAATCTTTTGGGTCTCAGTTTCCTCATTGTAAAAAGATACTTCAGAGCTTTCTTTTATGGAGATTAATATGAAATGAAATCACATGTGTAAATTTAATACTTTTCACACGTAATTCTAGAGCCAGACAGCTTAGGTTTGAATCTCTGCTGTGCTTCTTGCTGTGTGACCTAGAGCAGTGCTTTAATGGTTTTTATAATTTTACTAGAAAAGAGTTCAGTAAAAGTCAGTTTTCATATGAAATACGGGATGGTGTCTTACAAAACTAATATTCATAGATGTTAGCCTTTATTCCATGTGCTTTACATGTATTCTGTATGACGTTTTAAGTTTACCCAAGCTACTGGATGGAGATATTTATTGGGATCCGCATTTTACATATGAGCAACTAAGGTTAAATAAGTTGCCCAAGATCCTACAGCTAGTAAATGGCACAGCTGAGGTTTAAACACAGGCCACCTGGCTGCAGAATCTGCTCTGTTAGCAACTATATTGTTGGAGTTTTCTTAAACACAGGTATTCTGTCTCCTTATTTCTAGCTTTTGTTTCCTAGAAGACTTTTGCTGTCTCAACTGGCTTGCTCAGGAAACTTCAGTATTTTCATATTTTTAGGTTACTAGAGAGGATTCAGCAAACTAGCTTTTTAACTGGTTGGACATTTGCAATTTTTCTATGTATGGGGGTGGAGGTAGGGACATCTCTCTGGACTCTTCTAAATTTATTGTTCTTTACCTTGTTTTTCCAGGATCCTAAGATCCCACTGAAACAGTAATAGGTATTTACAACCGATCCTAAATATTTCAGAATGCCTAATGTACACTATATATTTATCCCATGATAATACAACACTGTTCTACAAAAATATCAAAGTGGTGTGGTTTTGAGTGGAATTGTACAACTCAATAGATTCACAATATATAGCTCATGCTAATCATAAATTATAATAATGTAATGTTAAAAGTTCTTGTAAAAGTTTTGGTGATCACTGATGAGATAATGCTATCCCTCCCCATCATGACTAGGTAAAACTAGTTTACGTACCTGAGGTTTTGCTCTGTGAAAACCTGTATTCTCATTAAACAGAGTATCCAATTATTTTGTCTCTTATAGGGACATTTTTGATTTATCAGAGAAAATCATTTAAGTTGACAACTTTTAAAAACCGAGACCATTTCAAAGTATGTCATACACTGCACATGCCCCCTACCTCCATTTCCCTTGAAGTGGGGCATACGTGGTTTTCTTGACAGCAGCCAAGGTAGTGCTTGGGCAGAATGTGACATTGCTGATTCCCCATCTTTTATATTCTCTGAGGGGGATGTGTATGGGACAAGAACATACCAGAGATTTTTTTTTTTTTTAAGTAAATGTGTCATGAAATCTGTTGTGACAGATTTTAAACAAGTCCTTGTAACTGGGCAAAGTGAAATGACAGCACAGGGAGACTGGACAGAAACACATCAACCCAGCAAGTTTCTTGATTTCTGTTGCCTTTGTCTGTTCCGCTGTGTTGAAATGCTCCTCCCGTGGAGCGGGTGATGCCCAATGGAAGGTCTCTGGCACTCCAAAGCAAATATCCTCCACCAGCCTCTAGCTCCTAAATAAGAGGCAATTACAACCCCTCTTTCCTGGGACGTGTCAGTCATGAAGGCAAAGGAGCCTTTGGAGGCGGGTTGGAGTGTGTCAGTCAGTCAAAGAGTAAACTCAGGCATTGAACAAACGGTGTGTTACTGCATGCAGTGCCAGCAGGCAGCTTCTGGCTACAAACTGTTTTGCAGGGATAAAAGCCTTCCTACTGGAGTTCTAGCGGTTCTAAATATTTCATACCTGTGCTTGAACAAAAAGTTGCCATGGGAAGGCTGGCTTGAAGATGTATTATCAGCTTGGTATTTTCCAAGTTAAAGTTTCTCATTACCTTGTCCTTCTTTGCCCCATTTCCACCCAAGTCAGAAACTCCAATTGCAAGCATTCTTTACAAATTACGGTTTTTATCTTACGTGTCTTTTCTATTGAAATCTATTGGTTCCGCCTATGAGTTCTGCTAAAGATACCACACACTGTAATAGGAGAGGAAGCAGAAGCTGCTTTATTCTAAGAAGTGGTTAGAAGTATTTGTGGTAACCAAGTTGTATTAGTGATCTGTTGTTGGGAAACTATCCCCAATCTAAGTAGTTTAAAAAATAATGAGTATTTATTATCTCTCACGGTTACTGTGGCTCAGGAAGTCATATAGGACACAGTGGAGATATCTTTGTTCCATGGTGTCTGGCCTCAGATGAAATGTTTGAAAGCTAAGGGCTGGTGTCATCTGAAGACTTATTTTCTCACATGTCTAGCAGTGGATGCTGGCTTTCAGCTTGGAGTCTAGCTGGGCTGAACTTGTAGCTGTGGCTTCCTCAAAATAGGTTGGCTAGATTTCAAGGACAAGTGTTCTGAGAGATATTAATTTTTATGACTTGCAGAAGTCACTCAGGGTCACTTGTGCTCATTTTATTGGTTAATGCAGTTATAGAGGTTTGCCCAAGTTCGAGGGGACTGCCCTATCAAGGTATGTCAGCAACACATTTTAAGAAGAGCATGCGAAATGAAACACATATTGGTATGGTCTTCTTTGGAGAATATAATCTATTTCTAGAGTATAGTTGAGAAAAGGTTAGACTAGCTAGTGGTTTGGGAATAATGTCTATGCTTCATAGTTATTTGGCTATGTAACTTATAAACTAATGGAAACTGTTCAGTTGTCACATTCTGGCATATCCAGGTAGTGATTTGTAATATTTCAGTTGCTTTTATATTTAATATTTATTTTAAGTATCACGTAAAGTATGGTCAGTCAGGAAATCTCACCCTCACATTATGCATGAAGATGCTGATGCTCAGAGAAGTGTAGATATCTTAAAGTATAGATATCACCCAGTTATTTAATGGCAGCTTTGGGACTAGAACACAGCTTCTCTAATGCCTAGATCTTTTCATCAGAACTTATAACACCTACAATTTGTAGCATCCTCAACAAATGAGGATTTATTGAGTAATTTTCATAGTGGAGGAACAGAGGTGGATAATGAGCTTATAAAGATGAATATGACCATAGTCTCCACCTTTATGGAATGTATGGTCAAATGGAAAAGATAAACACATAAATGCAAATGTTCTAAAGAGTGGGACAGTTACAGAGATAAAAGTAGGCAAAGATACTGTTTGAGCACAGAGAGAACTACTTGGTTCATTTTGGGTTTAGGGATGACTTTTTTGGGAAAAAATATTTATTTTTATTTTTAATTTTTTTATTATTATACTTTAAGTTCTAGGGTACATGTGCACAATGCGCAGGCTTGTTACATATGTATACATGTGCCATGATGGTGTGCTGCACCCATTAACTCATGATTTACATTAGGTACCTCTCCTAATGCTATCCCTCCCCCCTCACCACACCCCACGACAGGCCCCGGTGTGTGATGTTCCCCTTCCTGTGTCCAAGCGTTCTCATTGTTCAATTCCCACCTATGAGTGAGAATGTGCAGTGTTTAGTTTTCTGTCCTTGTGATAGTTTGCTGAGAATGATGGTTTCCAGCTTCATCCATGACCCCACAAAGGACATGAACCCATCCTTTTTCATGGCTGCATAGTATTCCATGGTGTATATGTGCCACGTTTTCTTAATCCAGTCTATCACTGATGGGCATTTGGGTTGGTTCCAAGTCTTTGCTATTGTGAATAGTGCTGCAATAAACTTATGTGTACGTGTGCATGTGTCTTTATAGCAGCATGATTTATAATCCTTTGGGTATATACCCCCTGACTTCAAGCTATAATACAGGGCTACAGTAACCAAAACAGCATGGTACTGGTACCAAAACAGAGATACAGACGAATAGAACAGAACAGAGCCCTCAGAAATAATACCACACATCTACAGCCATCTGATCTTCGACAAACCTGACAAAAACAAGAAATAGGGAAAGGATTCCCTATTTAATAAATGGTGCTGGGAAAACTGGCTAGCCATGTGTAGAAAACTGAAACTGGATCACTTCCTTACATCTTATACAAAAGTTAATTCAAGATGGAGTAAAGACTTAAATGTTACACCTAAAACCATAAGGACCCTAGAAGAAAACCTAGGCAGTACTGTTCAGGACATAGGCATGGGCAAGGGCTTCATGTCTAAAACACCAAAAGCAATGACAACAAAAGCCAAAATTGACAAATGGGATCTAATTAAACTAAAGAGCTTCTGCACGGCAAAAGAAACTACCATTAGAGTGAACAGGCAACCTACAGAATGGGAGAAAATTTTTCAATCTACCCATCTGACAAAGGGCTAATATCCAGAATCTACAAAGAACTTAAACAAATTTAGAAGAAAAAATCAAATAACCCCATCGAAAAGTGGGCAAAGGATATGAACAGGCACCTCTCAAAAGAAGACATTTATGCAGCCAACAGACCCATGAAAAAATGGTCATCATCACTGGCCATCGAGAAAGGCATATCAAAATCACAATGAGATACCCTCTCACACCAGTTAGAATGGTGATAATTAAAAAGTCAGGAAACAAAAGGTGCTGGAGAGGATGTGGATAAATTGGAACGCTTTTACACTGTTGATGGGACTGTAAACTAGTTCAACCATGGTGGAAGACAGTGTGGCAATTCCTCAAGGATCTAGAACTAGAAATACCATTTGACCCAGACATCCCATTACTGGGGAAAAATATTTAAGCCTACATTTTCATTGCTCAGCTCACTAGGAAGCTGTCTGGAAAACAGCCCACTGGACAGTTACATTTTAACAAATGTATTTTAAAATAATATTTGTTTTACCTGAAATATGGTATGGCAATTCCTTTTTTCTTTTGTCCTCCAATAAATTTATACACTTCTAAAATCTTAATGATATGTATGTCTTGCTTGTTGTTCTTTTGTATAGTATTATTATCAAATACTGTGGTTTCTGATTGGTTATTGTTGGTATATAAGACTTCCAGTGTCTTTCTGAAAGAATAGATCTTCTACACAGTGATCCTGCTGTGCTTTTTCTATCTTCTTGAGTAGGATGCTTAGCTTACTGATTTTCAACTTTCTTTCCTAATGTTTGCATTTAATGCTATGTATTCCCTTCTATTATGACTGTTGCTACGTTCCACAAGGTAGATATTTATGTTTTCATTTTTTCTCAGTTCTGTATGATGTAATTTTTATTATGAATTTTTCCTGAAAACATGTATAAAATGTATATTTTACAAGAGTGTATTTTAGTGTCCAGACACATGAAGGTTGTTCTTGGTGATCATTTCTTTTGCATTTTTATTTATAAATTTTTAACATATAACTTTTTTAATAGTTAATATTTCAAAGTATAAACTTACACTTACAAAAAAGTTCATTATCAGTGACTTTTGTTGTAAATCCACATTCAAACAGTTTTCTTATTTCAATTTTTGTCTGATTTCCTCACATAATTTCATTTTTTTTGTGTATATTTACAGTGTAGAGCATGATGTTTTGGTATATGTATACATTGTAAAATGATGAAATCAAGCTGGTTAACGTATCCATCACCTCACATACTTACTTATGGGTGAGAACATTTAAGATCTAATCTCTTAGCAATTTTCAAATACACAATACATTATTGTTAATTACAGTCACTATGTTGTACAGTAGATCTCCACAACTCATTCATTCTGTTTAACTGAAACTTTGTATCCTTTGACCACCATCTCATTATCTCCCTGCCCAGCCCTGGGCAGCCACCTATTGGCTCTATTATTATTATTATTATTATTATTATTATTATTATTATTATTATTTTGAGACAGAGTTTCACTCTTGGTTGCCCAGGCTGGAGTGCAATGATGCAATCTTGGCTCACTGCAACCTCCACCTCCCAGGTTCAAGTGATTCTCCTGCCTCAGCCTCCCGAGTAGCTGGGGTTACAGGCACCCACCACCATAGCCAGCTAAATTTTGTATTTTTAGTAGAGACAGGGTTTTGCCATGTTGACCAGGCTGGTCTTGAACTTCTGACCTCAGGTGATCCGCCTGCCTCAGCCTCCCAAAATGCTGGGATTACGGGTGTGAGCCACCGTGCCTGGCTGGCTCTATTTTTAATATGTTGAGAATTTAACCACGTAACACAACATTCTCTGTTACCATTCTCATGTAAGTCATCATCTCCCTCTGAGATTATTTTAGTAGGCTCTAAACTACCTGCTTCCAACTTTGCCCCACTAAAGAGTATACGTCACATATCAGCCAGATGTTTCAGCTATGAGTAAGATGATGTTAAGCCTCTACTCAAGCCTCCAATAGCAGGTATACTGTTTCCTCTGGATTTATGCCCTGGCTCTTGCTTCTTGCTGGAAGATTTTTTTTCACCAGATACCCACATGACTCATTCCCTTCCTTTCCTTGTTCAAATGACATATTTTCAGTGATGTGTTTCTTGACCACTCTATTTAAAATGGAAACCACTATTCCTGATTCTTCATGTCCTCTTTCCCTGTTTAGCATTCTCCAAAGTATTTGTATCATCTAATACCCTGTATAACATATGATTCTGGCTGTTGCCTTTTTCTCCTCAATGGAATGCAGTCATCATGGAGGCAAGGAGTTTATTTCTGTTTTATCTTTTATTTACTTATTTTTAGAGAAGGGGTCTTGTTCTGCCGCTTAGGCTAGCGTGCAGTGGTGCAATAATAGCTCACTTGAGCCTTGAACTCTTGGGTTCAAACAATCTTTCTGCCTCATCTTTCTGAGTAGCTGGCATGCTCCACCATACCCAGCTACTGTTTTTTGGTAGAGATGGAGTTTTGCTATGTTGCCTAGGCTGGTCTTGAACTCCTGCCTCAACCTCCTGAGTTGCTGGGATTACAAGCGTGAGCCTCCATGCCCGCAGAGTTTGTTTCATATAGTACTATGTTGTTATTAGAACAGTACCTGGTAAATATAGGAGCCCCACATATATATTTTTTGAATGTATGAATAAATGAAATAACCATTTTTAAATTACCAAAGGGCATTTGCTTTAGAGACTACTTTGCCATATTGTATTTGCCCAGAGTAGTTTTTCCATCTATATACTTACTTTCAATCTTTCAGTGTTGATATGCTTTGAGGATAATCCTTTTAAAACATATTGCTGGATTTTTGTTGTTATTTTCCAATCTGAGAGTCTTTGCCTTTAATCAGTGAATTTAATATATTTACTTTTGCTGCTGATATACTTGCATTTATTTTGTATGTTCTATTGACCTCCCTTTTATGTTGTTTCTTTTATTTCTTAATTCTTGCCTTTCGTATAAACTCTTTCAGTCACTTTTTCTTTATTTCCTTTTTGTTTGGGAAGATATGCATTGTACTTATTTCTGTAGTTACATCTTGTTTATTTCTGTCTGTTAAATTTTAACAGCCATACTTGAACTACATAGTGTGAATATTGTCTCTCAGTCTTTGGTTTGCTTTCTCATTCTATTAATAGTATTATTTAAAATGCAGCTTATAATTTTAAAATTTTAATAATAGTATTTTTACTATCCATTTTTGTTGTGTATTCTTATACCAATATCACACTGTCTTCTTCTCGTTCCCTCTGGATGGTAAGCCCCTCGTAGTAAGAAAATTTTATGTATTATTGATCTTTGTATTCCTACAGATGCCTAGTGCAGGTTTATTTGGTAATGCTTGGTTCATATTCAATAAATACATGTTTGGTATACTGAATTGAGAGAGGAATATAATTAAAAGATTTGTCAGGAAATTTTCAGACTTTCCGTTTTTGTCATTTGATTTCCTCATTTTATTGTTCTGGAAACTGAGGATCAGAGAAATTACATGCTATACTGATGCTTATACAGCTAATTAAATGTTTGAACTGGAATCGGAACCCAGGAATTCTTATGGATAGTTGTTTTTTACTAACCAATTTGGCCATGGTTATTGCTTTTTAGTTGAGATAAAAAAATGCGGATAACATTTAAAATGATAAAATTTTTATTGGGAACACCTTTTTTAGGAGCTACTTCAGCATTTTCAGGATAACGTTTATTAATACCATTGTGTGTTCCCAAAGTATGATTCTCTATAGCTTTTTGAAAATCATTTTCATTTTGGCACACTGGCAAGTAGAAAAGATAAATGCCAAAAAGGGACAGAATGATGTCATCTTGGAAGCAAAGAAGCATAAATTGTGTGCACCAGACACAAACTGATTCCTCATTTTTATACTTGAGCAAAACATATTACCATGAATTATTAAAATTATTTCCCTATCTGGTTATTGGAGTTAGAACTGAATCTCATGTTCTGTTCAGGACAATGTATAATGGAGGCAAGTTGCTGAAATAATTTAGCTATTTCATGTTCACTTGGTATGATGGTTAATTTTATGTGCCGGCTTCACTGGGGTGCCCAGGTATTTGGTCAAACATTACTCTGGGTGTGACTGGAAGGATGTTTCTGGGTGAAATAAACATCTGGATGGTAGACTGAGTGGAGCAGGTTGCAGTCCTTCAGGTAGATGGGTACCATCCAAGCGGAGGCCTGAATTCAGGAAAAAAAAAAAAAAGCTGACGTTCTCACAAATAAAAAGGAGTTTCTCCTGCCTGACTGCCTTGAACTGGGTAGGGCGTTTTTTTTTTTTTTCTGCCTTGAGACTCCAACTGAAATATCAGTTCTTCTGGTTCTCAAGCCTTTGGACTTGGACTAGCTACACCATTGGCTCTCCTGGGTCTCCAGCTTGGTGATTGCAGATCTTTTAAGCTTCCACAATCTCCTGAGCCAATTCCAGTTCCTTATAAGAAATTTCTTTATACACACACACACACACACACACACACACACACACACACACTGTCTCTCTCTCTCTCTCTCTCCCCTCTGTTTTCCTGGAGAATCCTAACTAATGCATTTAATGATTACAGTTTTGAATACTGTATTCTAAAACATTTCTACTCATCAAACAGTGCCATAAGAGGGGCAAATCTAGGTGTGCCTACATAGTTAATTGAACTTCCTTAGATAAATGTGTGTGGAGAAATATGGTTGGGGTGCTCCAAAAAAATAGAAATGCATCCTTTTAAAATTCTAAATAAAAATATAATTACTAAGTAATTCCTCTTGATTAGCACCTCTGTTCTCATAATAAGCTAGGAGTCTGTGATAATGTTATAAGAATGACACTTAGTGAAAAGTTCAAGTGATATGCCACAAGTATAAGCAGTACAATCCGGATCTCTTTAATTAAGTATGTTTAGCAGCAGGTGGGAGGTTATTTTTCTCCATAGAAATAAAGTGAAAACCTTTCCTGATGATAAACTGATTGTTTTCTCAATAGCATATCCGAAATAGAAACCTTACCTATGAGGTCCTAATATCTAATGTTTTATTCTTCTGTGTATCCTGTTGAATAAGTTACTCATAAATAATTTACCTTTAATAAGATTAGTGGATTCTTCTTTTGTATTATGCCAAAGAGTTATTCATAGACAACAAATACCCTCACACCACTGAGAGTAAATGGCTATTTAAGCTGAGTTTGTGTGTGTGTGTGTGTGTGTGTTTTCTCCAACTCCAAGTAACCGAATTGGATTAACATTGACAGATTCTTAGCATAGGTAGATCTGGTCTTAGTGGACAATCTTTTGATGAGTATTCTTAGAGTATGGCTGGGATTATCTTCAAAGTTCTCATCAGCCCCAGGCCTATTGTGTCATCTTATGGGAAAAATGTGTAGGCTTAGGGGACTGTTTTGAAGGTCAAGGTCATCTGATTTTAGTACAGCCCTACCTCTGACAGATAATAGACTCTTTAATAGTAGACAAGTTTTTTTTTCTTGCTTAGGATGACATACTTTATGAAATTTTCTGTAATTCCATATTAAATATATGGCTCCTAATAGTTTCTAAGCTATATTCTGAGACCCATATTCTGCCTACTTTCTTGAACTTTTCTGAGATTCAGCACAGTGCTGTTTCTCTTGTCAGTTCTTAGAAATTTTATTCATGTCCAACAATGCACACGTAATTATTTATAAATGATTTGTAAATAACCTTGATGTCAAAATGAAGTATTCAATCCAGCAAGCACTTATTGATCAGCTACTATATGGCAAAAAACCCATATTTTGCCCTGGCAAGACCAAGTTGAGTAAGATTCATTTCTTGATTTCAAAAAGATAGTGTATTGGAAATGGTGGAGTGGTTTGATTGGAATAATCCTCTGCATATAAGAATTATAAAACTTGGAAAAGTGTATCTATATGTATATTCATATCCTCTATATTCACCAAACAACTTGAAGGCAGAAGAGAATGAACAAAAGCAAGCGAGAATTATAGATGATGATACACTTGAAAGATGAGTATAACAGGTGAAATTTGCTATTTTTAAGCTCTTTGCTGGAGGTCATGCTCAGACCTACCTGAGGCTCTATAGGAAGAAAGCCACTATTTTACTGGCTTGAGCTGTCAGAGAACAGAGTTTGGGAACCTAGCCAGAAAATTAGCATTAAATCCTGAAAGAAAGGGATTCAGAGTGGTTCAGCCCCTAAATCAGCATATAAAATTCATGCACATTCTTAGCTATGTGCTAACCTGGCTAAACTAGCTGGCATATGGGGAATAAATCCTATAGGACTCAGCCAAAAACAACAAACAACAACAAAAAAGCAGCATCTGGAATCTGAAAGAGCCATGCAGAGGTAACAGATTATGGTCTTTGCAAAAATACAGAGTTTGGAGTTGGAATCCAGACAAGTTACCTGGTTTTCCATGAAAAGAAATCAGTCATCACAGTAATATAGCAGTGTCTATATTTACAACTTATTATTCATAATTTGTAGTATATACAAATGTGAAAAAGCAAAAATGTTACTTATTTTCAAGAAAAAATCAGCTAATATAAGTTGATCTTGCAAAACCTAGATGTTCCATTTAGCAGAAAAGGACTTTAAAGCAACTATTTATAAATATTTTAAGGACATTAAAGAAGATACATGTATAATGAATAAAATGATGAAAAATCTCAGAGATATAGAAACAAAATAAAATGAATAGTCTAGAGCTTAAATATCCAATAGCTACAATGAAAAATGATTTATCATATTGAAGATGGCAAGAAAAAGAATATGCTTTTAGATATATTAACAGAAAGCATCAATGTGAAGAACAGAGAGAAAAAAGAGAAAAAAAAATGAACAGTGTCTTAGGGACATGTGAGCAGTAATAAGTAGTTTAACATACATGAAACTGGAGTCTTGGAAGTAGAGGAGAAAGAGATTGGGCAGAATAAACAGAATTTAAGTTCGATTGCATAGGGCCTGAGTACGTCTTATTCATAGTTGTATCCCCAGCACCCAGGGCAGTGTATATTATACAAGCATATATTTAACACGATCAACATTTGGATGAATATATCAGTAAGCCTCAGGACCTGAGAAAATACATTGTTTAAGTACTTGCTTTATGAAGTCACGGTGAATAATTGAGTGAATAATACATGTAGGGATGCTGGTAAATTGTAGTAGTGGATGAGGTCCACTAATGTCTCACTCTTTAGAATGTAAAAACTGGAATACTGGGTGCTATGGAGAATTATTTTGGTTAATTCATGGTTCCAAGTAATTGGCTTTCTGTTTTTTTTATTGTCTTTCCAGTGACCAGCTTTATTTTCATCTCATGTTCTATTTCTTAGGTCTAAGCTAGGTGCCAAAATTCAAGTGTACCATTAATTACTGAGTAGCATTAGCTTTCTGGTCAATAGATTGACGTTCAAATTGCATTGTCTGGACATTCTTCGGTCAAGGACTTACAAGGCAAAATGAGTTAAATATGGAGTTAGGGTTACTGTATAAGGGAAGAGACTGACAGGACTAAATATGATGTCTTATTGTCCTCACATTGAAGATTTGGGATCCTTACTTGAATTGAATTCAAGAGTTGTTTTTGAGTTCTGGACATTTCTAAGAGCATGCATGTGAGGGCTGGAAAGATACGGTGAATCTGCATTGTGGTGCCTCCATCTATGAGCATATCCATGCTGGAGTAGTCATAGACCAAAAGAATACACGTTATTTCCAGTGTGGATCAGGTGAATATAGAATAACTGAAAGTTCTGAGTGGAGCATACACATTCTTTTTTTTTTTTTTTTTTTTTTTGAGACAGAGTCTCACTCTGTCGCCAAGGCTGGAGTGCAGTGGCGTGATCTCAGCTCACTGCAACCTCCGCCTCCCGGGTTCCAGTGATTCTCCTGCCTCAGCCTCCCAAGTAGCTGGGACTACAGGCATGCGACACCATGCCCGGCTAATTTTTGGATTTTTAGTAGAGATGGGGTTTCACCATGTTGGTCAGGCTGGTCTCGAATTCCTGGCCTCGTGATCTGCCCGCCTCAGCCTCCCAAAGTGCTGGGATTAGAGGCGTGAGCCACCATGCCCGGCTGCATACACATTCTTAAAAATAAACTAGCAATATAAAATTTGTAAAGGAAAGTGATTTCTTGGGAGCGAGGGGATGAGGTTTTATCTGTGGTCTAGTTCTACTCAGGATTTCAAAGATCCACTCTAATGATAGGTTAAAACAAACTCAAATATTTTGTGGTGCATTTGGTATGCAGGAAAGCAAAAAAATTCACCCATATGGTAGAATGAAAGTAACACTTGGCCTGGAGCTAGGTGACTTCAGCCACATATTTTTTTTTCCCCTAGCCTATTGCGTGACTTTGTGTAATCATGTCCTCTGACTGAAATTAAGTTCCTCCTGCATAACATATGGGTTTCTTAAGTCCTTTTCAGTTTTGTGAGACAACAGAAAAAGATATTGTAAGGGTTTGCAATTATTTTCCGTAATGAGAAATTACTCCAAGGACTGTTTCTGCTATCATGTGCCCACCAATACCAACATCATTATGTTTAAGCAAAAGCATATGTGACTAGGTTATTGATTTCATTGATTAATCTTGTGACTATCTGGTATACTGAATATTTGAGGGAAGAGGTACAAACACATTTAGAAGCAGGAAGCCTAAAGAGTTTGAAGATATATTAGGGAATGTCTTTTTTCCTCTGTTCTATTGCTGTGGTATTTCTTTACAGATATGAGTTGTTATTTACTTATTCAATAAATATTCACTGAGCACCTACTATGTACCAGGCACCGTTTTAGATGCTGGAAACAGAGTGTAAATGGCTGCCCTGATGGCAGTTGTAGTCTGGGACTACTCACTTTTGTGATCCATCTTGTTTAATGTCATTAATTGATCCTCAATCCTTTAAAAAATAAATTTCAATCTTAACACAAACTGGGGAAAATATTTTGTACTGAGTAAAGAAATGTCCTGTTTGGGAAATACAATGACAGGAGACAAATTTGCCTGCTAGGAATCTGAGAGGATAGAATTCTATAAGCCCTGAATTGTATTTTGTGCTTTTAGGTGGAAAGCGCCAACACGTTCAAAGCCAAATCCATCCAAAGTCACCCATTTTTATATAAAGCCATCTAGCACAGACACAACCATCATATGTTACAATTTCCCTGCCAAAAAATTAATTGGCTCAGGCTAACTTTGAATTCATCCAAGATTTGCACAAAACTTGCTGAAAGGTTTGTCTACCTCAAGAAAACTTTTCATGAACCCAGTTCCACGTTTCAAATTTTTATAAAAACCTGAAACCAAGGAAGATTTTCTTGGTTTTCTGTTTGGTGCAGAGGTACTGCAAGCTCTAATTATGGGGCCTCAAGGGAATATGAAGAAAGAGAGACACAAAAAGAAAAATCTCTGAGACAGGTAATTAAGGAGGAAAAACACTTCAGGGAAACAGATAGGAATCAGAATCTTAATTTGAAATTATAAAATTATTAATAATATATTTACAGGGAAAATGTTCATGTGGTATAATGCCACTTAATCAGTATGCATTTCTAGGTGCATTTTATTGCTGAAAGTAATTTTCAGAATGAATGCCAAACCTATACAGAGGGTGATCCATAAATAGAAAATAGAGATCACAGCATTCTCTCTACTGCCCTCAACTCTGCAAATTTCATATTTTTTCCCTCTTGTTTACTGACATTCAAAGATGAGTTAGCATAAAATAAAAAATAATTGAATTGGAAATGGCATTTGAGTCATATAGAGGGCATATCATAATGTGGAAATTTAAATGATCAAGTTAATTTGCGTTTGGGAAACTTAATCAACAGAATTGGTCTCAATATTTGATTTTAGCCTTTTTATTCAAAATGATACCAGGTAATCAAATTGTGTTATTACATTTTTCCCACTTACCCTTAGTTTTAGGTCAAAGTATATCAAGAGAGTTAACTCAGGTTGCTTTTGTTCTTGACTCTGGCTTCATAAGATCTTTTAAATGTAAAGACATTTGAACTGTTTTTATTTTAAAGAAAGGCTTATTTATTTTTAAGAGAAGCTTATTTCCTCTAAGTGTTCTTTTGAAACTGAAGCTCCTTTGGGTTTCTCATTGAAATGGAAACATCTGTGAATATGCTTTTGTTTCACTACTGAAGTAGGTTTTGAGCACCTACTATATGCTCACTCCTAGGTGATATATAAACTCAAGAATTTTCTCACTTAACACAACATGAGAACAATGATAAAGCATAAAAGTACATATTAAATTATGTTGAACATACACATGGTTTAAACAAAAATTGGAGAAAGAATGGGTAGTATAACTGAAGATGGTTGCAGTTTATCTGGATGGCTAAGGATATATATGGCTTGGAAGGGAGTAAGACACTAAGCCAAGAAAATGGTATGGTTAAAGGGAAGAATTAAGGAAGACGAAGTATTAAGGAGGAACCAAAGAATTAAGAAGGATGATATGGACTGACATGAACATACTTACTAAAGTCATTTTTGTGTTTAAGAAGTGTCTGAATTTCAATAGAATACACTGGGTGTGTTTGGTAAGATGGGGGAGCCATTTTGTGTTTGACAGCAAAGCATAAAAAATTAGTCTTTGGTTGATTTGTCTGTGTTTTTCTAACCTTTCAATATTCGTTTGTGCTTTTTGATGATATATGCCAATGAGAGACAGATAGAAGCAGTTTAATGTAAAGAACATTTCATGAAGGAGAAATCTAGTAGGCAGTAAAGAACTGTATCTCTGAAGGCACATGTCTGCTTCTATGCTGTTTCTAACAATTAGTGGCTATGTAGCCTTAGCCAATTTGCTTTATTGTTCATATAAAAAATGAGCAAAATGGACAAACCTCATAGTTTTCTTAATGAAGAATAAAGTTGTTAATGGATGCAGAGCCTTACATCTTACATATAGAATATACCCATATCTTAGCTATTATATTGTGATTAATATATCATCTGCTTGAATCAAATAACTTGGTTTAGTTGTTACAGGTACCTGCCCTTGAGCAAGTCACTTAACCTCTCAACTTCACTTATCTCAAAAGGAAAATAGGAAAGGTTGTAAAAGTACCTACCTCAAGGTAGAATTAAAGAATTAATGTATATGATAGCACATTGTACATTATAAAGCACTATGCCAATATATATTTTTGACTGTAACTGATTTATGACCTTGGCGTCCATAGCTTTCTCAAATGGATGAAATTATTGAGGATAAATACAACAAGAATGAATCTCAAAATATCCCAAAGTTTAATCGAATTGTAATAAAATTACAACGTTAGTGATCCAAAAGGGATGAGCCAATGCCAGTATTATCTGTTTACAAATGTTTGTCTCCCATTTGACCATAAAACTCTTGAGGGCAGAATCCATTTTTCAATTTTGTTTTCTAAATGCCTGTCCAAGGCCTGGCTTGTGAACTGGCATGCATTAATTAACTTATAGGTACAAAAAGGAAGGATAGTTGCAATCAAGACTGTGACCCAAGTTAGGAATGTAGGGTCACTGTTACCAGGAGGTATCTTCCTGTGTCAAAGCAGAGTCTTAATTCTAAGGGTGACCATGCCATAAATTTTCTATAATAACTCAGAAGACAGAAATTATAAATGATAGAAGAAGAGAATCACTTCTTAGGTTTAGTCCAAATTACTTCGATCTTCTTATATTACCATATGAGTGATTTTTTTTTAAAAAAAAATAGCATGTTTATTTCAAATAAAAGAGATTGTCATGAGATTTCAAAAAGACAGCAAAGAGCACAGATACTATGGCTGTATGAGAATGATGCATTTTAGATCTGCAAATTTACTAAGGAGATATAAGCAACACTTTCATATGCATATCATTTTGGGAGGTTAAAATTTCAATTAGAATTAAGGTTCTAAATTTGGCTCATTCAAGATGGCACCCTGAAGTAAAACTTTTACTATTATCAAAATGCCCACAAGAAAGCCTCAGGGGCTTGAAAAGAATGTCTAATATTTATATTTTCTGGTATTCAGTATGGCATTTTTTTCTTTTTTTTAACCTGAATATACCTTTCTGTCCTAAATGTCATTAATGAAAACAATTGGATATTAACATAGTCTTTAATAATAATCTGTTGATTAAGGGCATGAGCATTTCAGAGAGTAAATAGAGAAACAGTGCAGTCTCAATTTAAGTTTAATATAAATTAAAGAATAAGCCCATTGGAAGTAGAATTTCTTCTCTAAACTAAATTGGCCTTCTAAGGGTGGTGGTTGTTCTCTCTCTTCACGCATGTACGACCTTAGTGTTATGAGATGAAGGGTGTGAAAGTTTCTGGGTTGTGCCTCTTTTCACAATGCTGTGTGTTCCCTTCTTTGCCGGCTCATCTCTACTTGTCCTTTAAATGGTTGCTTCAGGCGTCATCTCCCACAGGACTTTCTTGATTTTACTTGCTTGTTTATGATTTCTCTCTAAGCTCCTGAAGAACTCTTAGTCAGTTAAGTCTCCTGCAACAAAAGTACCATACGACAGATGGTTTGAACAACATAATTTTATTTCTTACCCTTCTGGAGTTTGGAAAGTCAGAGATCAGAGTCCATGGTTAGGTTCTGATGGGAGCCTTCCTCCTGGTTTGCAGTTAGCCATCTTCCCCTTATGTCCTCATGTAGGGGATAGAGAGAGATCGAGAGCGGAAGCAAGCATATTAGTGTTCTTATAAGGCCACAAGTCCCATCATCAACCTCACTTCACTCCGTTATGCCCTAATTAACTCCTAAAGGCTCACCTCCATCCTCATGCCCTAAGATGCCCTCACCTCCATCCTCATACCCTAACTACCTCCTAAAGGCTGCATTTCCACATACTATCACACTGGGGATTAGGCTTTCAATATATGAATTTGTGGGGGAGACACATACAGTCCATAGCATACCTTGTCATCTCTATTGTTGTACTGACCTTATTGACTTGAATTTGTCCATTTTTGCATATCTCATATACTAGATCCTCAGGTCTTCAAGTACAAAGGTTATGTCTTATTCATCTTTGTAGCACAATGTTTAGTACGAAATAGGCGTTCCTTAAATGTTGAAATTGGTAGAATGGTTACATTGGTACTAATTGTGATGTAGCAATGGTCAAAACCAAGTTGTACTCTTTTTAGACTTCTTTTACTTTAACAAATTACTTATTACTTAGTAGACTTTTCAGAACATAATACAATTTGTTTATCCTCATTCCCTAGTGTGAAATTCAGAGCTTGTAAAATTTAAGCATGTCTTTACAATTCGAACTTATTTGCATAACTTTGTGTAATGAATGACAAATGGCCTCAGATGATAAAAGTGAAAAAAATTTATTCATTTGCTTTTTACCCAATCTAGGCATTAAATAGAACCTTTTAAAAGTAAAGACATATATAAATCATGCCTACACTACTTGAATTATGTGAGTATATGTGTATAATGTATGTAAATAAGTATTTGCAAATGCATATATATGCAATTTTAATATAGTGGGTTAAGAAAGTCATTAATTTAGCAAAGAGTAGTATAGTACAGCCAATTTTTTTCTTTTTAATGCACAGGGCTTACAACCAAACAGATATGGGCTTAAATTTTGAGTCTATAACTTATCATCCGTGTGATTTTGGACAAGTTATTTCACTTGTCTCATCCTCAATATCCCTCACATGTAGTGTGAAGACAATAATATGTAGCTTGCAAAATTTTTTTATGATTGATGAGGTATTATATTTAAAGTGCTTAAGATAATTCCTGCCATCTATTAATACCAAATGGCCAATAACTGGTGGTCTTGTTTTTATGGTTATTGTTGTTAAATCAAGTTTAACCTAAAGCTGCCTCCTTACATATTTTAAGTTCAGCGTAAATGATTCTTTGTACATAATGAACTGTAACCTAACTGGATGGCTAAATAGACTAACCTACTCTTGTGCCAGTCACTGAGTTTTGGCCAATCGAAAGCTGCCAGTTATTCAAACCACGTTCAAATAAGGCAAATGCCCAGCTGTGACCAATCTGGCTATTTCTGTACCTCACTTCCCTTTTCTATACATCACATTCCTTTTTCTGTCCATAAATCTTCCACTTTGTGGCTATGCTTGAATCTCTCTAGATCTGTTTCAGGAGGCTGTCTGATTCAGGAATTGTTCTTTGCTCAGTTAAACTTTTTAAATTTAATGTGTCTAAGGGTTTTTTTTTTTTTTAACATTGTCATAAGCAGAAGAGCAAGCAATTTCATAATTTTATTTTTCTTCACTGGCTTTAGTTTCTTCATCTGTCAGATAGTAATCATAACTCTACCTCATTGGTGGTTAGGAAGGTCAAGTAGGATAATGTCTCTGAAAACACTTTGTAAAATGTAAAGTGTTATTACACAAAATAAACTAACACTTGAATTTTGCTTTTATTTTAAAGAGGTGGAATGCTGGCTAGAGACAAAGTAATGTTTAAAAATGCTACTGAATTGTAGTTCTATAAGTTACAAAACAACCACGCTAAATTTCCTGCCTCACTTCATTTTCAATTTCTAGTATTTGGTAACCGGGACTCCTTTGGTTTCCTTCATTGCTCAGTGTGTGGAAGACCTAATCAGTATTGAAACAGGCTCCACCAATTAATTGGAAGAAGCACTTGTCTCTCTTTCTGATTGTGTAGAAGACATTAGGCTTTGTTTTATCAGTTGAAACAGGTTTGCTACGTGACTGCATCTTCAAAAGTGCCAGTAAGTGATTTCGACTTAAAAAAATTATGCCCAAGTGAAGGTTTATTTCTTTCTGTTAAACATTCTTTCCAAATATGCATGTGTCATTTTCTGTCTTATCTCTAATCTTTCAGTCAAACTTGGTTTGGTCCTTTGAACTCTTAGTGAATTCATTTTTCTTTCTGGTATTGATATTTATATAATTATACTAAGCCTGAGAATTTCAACTTGAACTTCTTCCTTGAAAAACTACAGCCCTAGTTATTTTCAAGAGTTGTTTTTTCCTCCCAGAGTTTAATAGCACAATTTAGCGTCCTTTACAGGTTTGTTGAAAATATCATGTAGCAAAAAGCCAACAGATGTTATATGTATACTTGTTTCTGAACAAGAAGATTCTCAGAAACTGGAAAGTAGCTTAAGAATTATTATTTACTATTTCTCGGCCGGGCGCGGTGGCTCACGCCTGTAATCCCAGCACTTTGGGAGGCAGAGGCGGGCGGATCATGAGGTCAGGAGATCGAGACCATCCTGGCTAACGCGGTGAAACCCCGCCTCTACTAAAAATACAAAAAATTAGCCGGGCGTGGTGGCGGGCGCCTGTGGTCCCGGCTACTCGGGAGGCTGAGGCAGGAGAATGGCGTGAACCCGGGAGGCGGAGCTTGCAGTGAGCCGAGGTCGCGCCACTGCACTCCAGCCTGGGCGACAGAGCGAGACTCCGTCTCAAAAAAAAAAAAAAAAAAAAAAAAAAAAAGAATTATTATTTACTATTTCTTAGTAATTCCCTTCCAGACATCTCAGGATATTGTTACATAATTTTTATCATCCAGTTTTCAATAGCATCTACTTCCCATATATTTGTACATGAGGCATAAAATCAACAAAATCTTGACCTTACTTCCTTAACCATTAGTAAATACTCCTCTTTGAATTGCCAGACTGGGTTCTTATGGCCTCACTCTTCAATGGAGCAGGTCCTCCATTGGTCAAATTTGCATGCCTTTCCAAAGTACCAAGTCCAAAGATGTAGACTGTGGAGACCCCTGAATGTGAATTCCCAGTTATTTAGAAAAAATTTCAAGAAAGATCTTTTACTGATATTACAGGACAGCTGAGTCCCCAGACTGGGGCTTCATACAGGAAAGTACTCAACGATAATCTAGTGTTGTTAGCAATCTTTAACTGAACTGTACTGCTTCTTCCAAAGCAGGGCTAACTCATAGGCAGTGCGCCTAGAGTCAATAAGGTATGAGCTTTTGGCAACTCTGTTTATACTCAGGCAAACTCACTTTCAATTTTATGCAAATTAAGGGATAAGTCAATGCAAATTGACAGGGGCAGGGTATTTAGAAATTTCTAGAAAAGAGGCAGTAATTTTTAGATCATTGCCATGGAAAGAGGTGGTAACTTCTGGATCATCGCCAAGGCTTTTGTAAATTGTCATGGCATTGGTAGGAGTATCTTATGCTAATGAGCAATGAGGGCAGCTAGGGATAGCTTTCTTTGCCATCTACTGGTTCCTTCCCATTTTTTCACTTCATCCCTTCTGGACTGGATCTTGTTTTGGTCAGCAGTATTGTGACCGGAAAACAAGTCCTGTTGGTCTCCTACCACATTATTGCACTACTGGGGAGGCCATAGTGAAGAGCATGAACTTTCTAGTTGGATAAAATAGGTTTAGAAAGTGGAAGACCTTGTGCCAAACTGAGTTTCTGTTTCACTATCTGTAAAATAAGCACAGTAGTGCCTATTTTGTAAAGTCAGTTCTTTATGAAATTAAATACAACAATTAATGTAGACTCTTATTATTACTATGATTATTGTTTGTCCTTAAAAAAAAAACACCACAGTAAAGTGGGACTTCCGTGTATTCTTGAGTAGTTCTAAAATCCAGCATTCCCCAAGTGGCATTTGCATCAGTTAGAGTTGCTTTTGGCTTCAAGTAATGGGAATCCCAACTGTTCTGGACTATATAAACCAGGGTTTGTTTTCTACCCTACAAAATAGTCTGGAGGTAGACAGTTGTTGGTATTGGTTTAGAAGCTTAATGAGTCAGAGTTCATATCTCTCAAAAATCTCTTGTACATTTCCTCATGTTGTAAGAAGGTTGTTGTCGTCCCAGATATCACAAAGATGCAAAAATCCTTAACATAGTATCACCAAGGTAAATTCAGTAATCTATAAAAACAATGAAACATCATGACTAAGTAATATTTTTCATCAATATTTTTATATGATGTAATGTACAATGATAAATTTAAGTGACCAGATTATAAACATTAAAAAATAGAATCTTAATACGTGTAGAAAAGCATTTGACAAAAATTAAACACTTAGCAAACCAGGATATAAAAGAAAACCTCCTCAATCAATCAAATCTCCACGCAAAATCTCCAGATACATCATACCTAATGATGAAACATTAAATACTAATCCTCTAACAATGAGAATAAGTCAAGGATGTTTATTCTTACGATTTTATTAAAATTGCAGTGGAAGTCTTAGGCAGTAAAATAATGGAATAAAAAAGAAATAAAAGGCATATAGATAGGAAAGGAAGAAATAAACAGTTCCTATTCACAGATGATATAATTCTTTATGTAGAAAGTCTTAAGAAATCAACTATAAAGCTGCTAGAACTAACATGTAAATTTACCAAGATCCCAAGATACAAAGACACATAAAAATCAATTGCATTTCCGTATACTAGCAATGAACAATTGGAAAAACAACATCATTTATGATAACATCAAGACATGAAATACTCAGAGAAAAATTTAACAAAATATGTATTTATCCAAGAGAAATGAAAATGTATATTCACAGAAACATTAGCACATGAACGTTCATCACTGCTTTATTCACAATACTCACAAACTAGAAACAATCCAAATGTTTGTCAGCTGGTGAATAGGTAAACAAATTGTGATATATTCAAACAATGTACTGATATGTGGCAATGAACAGGGATGAACTTCTAGTATACTCAACAACGTGGATAAACTTCACAGATATTATTTATTTATTTTTTTTGAGACAGAGTTTCTTTCTTGTTGCCTAGGCTGGAGTGCAATTGTGTGGTCTCAGCTCACTGCAACCTCTGCCTCCTGGGTTCAAGCAATTCTGCCTCAGCCTCCCAAGTAGCCAGGATTACAGGCACCTGCCACCACGCCTGGCTAATTTTTTTTTTTTTTTGTATTTTTAGTAGACACGGAGCTTCACCATATTGGCCAGGCTGGCCTCGAACTCCTGACCTCAGGTGATCCACCCACGTTGGCCTTCCAAAGTGCTGGGATTACAGAAGTGAGCCATCATGCCAGGTCCACAGACATTATACTAAGTAACAGAAATCATACACAACAGAGTACATACTATGTACATATAGATTTACACAGAGCAGATCAGTCATTGTTTGGGATGAGAAATATTGGGTGTTTTGACTATGAGTGGTATAATAGACCTTTTTGGGATGATGGAAATGTTCTATATTTTGATGATAGTTACAGTTGTAAAAATTCACTGAAGGGTTGACTTTTTCTGTGTGTAAATTTTACCTCAATAAGATTGGTGCATAAGAAAGAAAGGTTAACCTTTCTAGTCACAGTTACTCATAGAAAATGTTGTAGATAGAAAGTGAAGGGGCGATGGTCCATCACTGACTCTAAATGATACAACTGTCCTCAGAAAGTAGGGGGTTAATACTGGTGCCTACATGTGAATCAGAACCTGTTGAATCTCTTAAGAGAACAAACCACTGAAAGGCAAAATTCTGAAGTGAATGAAAATATGTCCAATTTACAATCAAATAAAAATGCTGTAGGCATAAAGCCAAAGAATATTCTTAGATTGGACTTTGTTTAGCTTTCTAAATTTAACCAGCTGGAATTCTTTAAGTACATCCTCATTCAACATTTTGAAGTGAAGTATGTGCTTTTTATATTAAAAATTGTACTTTCTCTGAAATATATAGGAAAGTACATTTTTCTTTGTAATAAAAAATATGATGGCTTATTATAGGTTTGATATATAGTGAGCACAGATTGCAAACTCCACCCACCCCCCAACATTGGGACAAATTTGTGGCAAGGCTGGTGAAAAGACAGAAAATATAAATTAAGCTGTACTTATAGAGGTGACATTGCTAAACTCTGCCTTGTGGATAGAGATATATGTAGTTCAAGTTCACAGAACAACAACAAAGTGCTTTATAATATATGATAAAATATTTTAATTGTTGATAGTCAAGAAATATGGAACGTTTTCCAACAGGACAACACTGTATACTATGTCTTATATTTTAATAAGAGTATAAGGCTCTCATAATGTTTTTTCTATCTTTCAAAAATCTTTTTTCCCAAATAAATACAATTATATTTAAAACATGAACTTATTTACTGGCTCAACACTCATTCTTTTGTGTTCCTTTGTTCATAGATTATCCATGCCAATGAAAATTCTTTCCATACTAGCACTTGACAAAACAATTAAAGCAGAATATTGAACTAGTTTTAACAAATTTGGGGAAGCAATTTGTTATATTTATCAAGAGATGTTGTTCCCCCTTAGGGAATGGAAAACCTAGTTCAAGATACTAATTTCTTCCTAAAGAGATTTGGAGGGATTCTTTTTCCCATAGAGCCAATAATCCAATTAATTCATCCACAGAAGGAGATTTCTCATGTTGAGCCAAACTTGAAGCACCGAGAATGATGTCATGAATTTTAAAAAGGAAACCACTCTGCCAGATACTTGAGGCTCCAGTACACAAACTCAGTGCTTCAGAATTAGGTTCATTGACTACATGGTTTGTCAAATAGCCTTTCTGCTAAATAAACATCTTTCATTGCTAAAACCTCATTGTTTTTCTTTTCTTAAAAATTGCTGAGACAGCATAGATAAAATTCTTATTCGTTAAAGCATCTGATCTTTTTGAAAAGGTTCCTAAATATTCTCTGCTTCAAAGGAGTGCCAAGAAATAAAAGACAAGATGAAAGCTAGGTAATACAGAAGATTTATCTGATTCATATGCTTTTGAACGCTTTCACTAACATGGATCTGATATTTGGTTGTGTAGTTCCTATCAATTCAGCTAGACTAGGTTTTGGTCTGGATATGGCTCTGAAGTGTAGGAGCCTCTGCATCGAGAACTATAAAGCACTAGAGCAACACATCTCACTGCCTGGAATGAGAACACAGGCATCTAAATCAGAGGGATAGCAATTATTAAAAAATGAGGACAACGGTATTTCCACTTGACATATTGAATATGTCTCCCTCCTTGTTTCCTAGTTAGAAGTTGAAGTATGCAGCTGTCTTACTCAAAATTTGGCACTTGGGAACGTTAAGTGACATAGTGACTAGGGAAAAAGTTATATACATGTCTAGAACTATTAAGAAGGAAGAAGTAGAATACATTATTTCTAAGAGTAAACAATATTAACAAGGAGTTTGTTAGGCATGCTTTCAAGAGTCATGTTATAAGACAAAAGCATAATCTATGCTTGTTGCACTATGCTTATTCACTAGTCCTCAGGAAAGTCAATTTTTCTGTACTAGTATGTACTGAAGTAAGGAATACATATTGTACATGATTTTTAAAACATATTTCATGGAAAATTGTAAAGCAACCAACTAACAAAGTTTCTAGCCTAAAAGGAAGTTTGTTTCGCTGTTTTGTAGCTTGCCTAAATATTACCATGTTTATGGGTGTTCTGAAGTTGCTGATTAATATACACTAGGGATGCCAAAAGGCATCTTTTCAGTGATATATTTGAACTGTAAGGTCACATGCTGAATTTTTAAGAAATTGTATAGGAGAAAGGAACTGTCATTAGGCTTTGAGTATGTGTAGTTATTGTTCTGGGTTTGCTACAAATTGGTATCATTTAACAGAATAAAAAGACAATGTACATATATTAATGAGAATGTTGCATTTTGGATATATAAAGTGATGTATAGTCTTTCAATAAGACAGATGGTAACTGTAAGAAGTCATTTTGAGCCAACTGCATTCTTTAAAGCATTTCATTTCTGTCTGGTGATAATTAAATGTGGAGCCATTTGATTTGGAAAGCAAGTATAAGGCTACAATAGCAATAACAACCCTTTTACAGGTGTTGAAATTATTCAAACCTTTGGACATTCAATGTCATGGGCAAATGGTTGCCAAAAATGCCAAGAACGTTGATAGAATTCTAAGAACTCATCAACCAGAACTGTATACATAGACTACAAAATCAAATGAGCGAAATAATTGAGCAATATATTCCTGATTTTCACAGTCTCTGCATGTGGGGATGGGGGACATTATTTAATAGTGTTAAAGAGAACATCTTTGGCTCAAATGACTTCCACAGAGATTGGCAGAAAGACATTTTTAATATAGGCTTAATTAATAAAATCTCTCAACAGGAATCAGAGTGGTACTTCAAAGGACACTCAGAACAGAAAAAAAAAATGAAAAGTTAGAGGAAAACACAAATAGTGAGATACCTTGAGTAATAGAATCTGAAATTTTACAAATTTTATTAGAAGCATCAGTAACTTTCCTAAATTATTTAAAATGAAGAATAAATGTTATGTTACAAAAAGTATTGAAGGCTTGCTACCTGATGTCTAAATGTGAATTAACTTCATGTTAATTCACAGAAAATCAGAATATTCTGCAGTTCATATTAATGGAGTTTACATAAGAAATTATGTTCTCTCTTTCTGTTTTGTTGTAGTAACATATAACATATAACTCTTAAATTTCAGTGGCTTTAAATGGAAAATGTTTATTTTTTTGTTCACTGGTCTGCAGATTGCATACATCTCTATGTGACCCTGCTTGTCTTTATTTTTTGTGTCTTTTCAATCTTGAACCCAGGATGACAGAGTAATCTCTATCTGAACTATACAGACTATGCTGTTCTCATTGCCTAGTGAAACAGGAAGGCAAGAGACCAAAAAACGATACAATTCCATTTAAAGCTTCTGTTTCAATGTGGCATACATCATGCCTGCCCACTTTCCACCCCAAAGAAATTGCCTAGATTAGCCTGAAAATGAGGTAAGGATGTATACTCTCTGCTTTCAAGCATAGCCACTAACATGGCAAACATGTCAAACCCCTTCATAGGGGATTAACTGGAGAGTTGGAGAATTATAATTTATGTCAGGAACACATACTATGTTAACTTTCATTAAAGCATACATGGCATTTTATTCAAAATAATTATTTTTATTTAAATGTGCATTTGTTTATCCAGCTTTATTGAGGTATAATTGACAAATGAAAATTTTATACATTTAAGGAGTACACCATGATTTGGTATAACTATACATTGTGAAATAATTAGCAAAATGAAGCTAATTAATTTATCCATCAATTAACATGGTTACCTTTTTTAATTGATGTGGATACTGAACATATAATTTCTTAGCAAATTTCAAGTAAGCAGTACTTTATTCTTAGCTATATTTACCATGCTGTATATTAGATTTCCAGGATTAATTCATCTTATAACTGAAATTTTTTACCCTGTGACCAACATCTTTCCATTTCTCCCACCCTCCAGTTCCTGATAACCAGCATTGTACTCTCTATTTCTGTGAGTTTGACTTTTTAATAGTTCACATATAAGTGATGTCATACAATATTTGTTTTCAATTCTGGCTTATATTGCTTAGTATAATGTCTTCCAGGTATCCATATTGTTGCAAATCTATGATTTTCTTCTTTTCAAGGCTGAAAAGTAGAATATTATTATATCATTACATATACATCACATATCATACATACACATATCACATTTTCTGTATTATTCATTCCGTGATGGACACACACAGGTTGTATCCATATTTTCGCTTTACAAATAATGCTGCAATAAACATGAGAGAGCAGACACCTCTTTGAGATACGGATTTCATTTCCTTTGGATATATACTCAGAAGTGGGGTTGCTGGATCACATTGTAGTTCTAGTTTTAATTTTTTTGGGAAACCATTTTCCATGACTCTACCAATTTGCATTCCCATCAATAATGCATAAGGGCTCCCCTTTCTCCACATCCTTGCCAACTTTTGGTATCTTTTGACTTTGATAGTAGCTTTTATAACATATATGAGGTAATATCTTATGGTTTTCATTTGCATTTCCCTGATGATTTGTGATGTTGAGCAGTTTTCTTATACCCATAGTCCATTTGTATGTATTCTTTGGAAAAATGTCTATTCAGGTCCTTTGCTCATTTTTAAAAAATTGAGTGGTTTTTTTTGTTTTGTTTTCTGCTATTGAGTTGTTTGAATTCCTTATATATTTTGGATTTAACCCCTTATCAGACATACGGTTTGCAAATATTTTTTCTTATTCCATAGTTTACCTTTCTATATTGATATTTCTCTCCTGTGCTGTGCAAAAACTTTTTAATTTGGTGTAGTTCTACTTGTTTATTTTTGCTTGTATTGCCCATGCTTTTGGTGTCATACCCAAAAAATTATTACCAAGAATATTGTCAAGAAACATTCCCCTATGTCTTCTTCTAGGAGTTTTGTGGCTTTAGGTTATATGTCTAAGATTTTAATCAATTTTAGTTTATTTTGTGTATGATGTAAAATAAGGGTCCCATTTCATTCTTTTGCATGTGCATATTCAGTTTTTCCAGTACCATTTTTGAAGAGACTATCCGTTTCCTATTGTGTCCTCTTGGTACTTACACTGAAGATTAATTGACTGTATATATATGGATTTATTTCTGGGATCTCTATTTTGTTCCTTTGGTCTACGTGTCTGTTATTAGGCCAGTATCATATATTGTAATCTATGTGTATATATGTAATATTTGTAATATATATCAGCTTTGTAATAGAATTTGAAATAAGAAAGTGTGATGCTTTCATCTTAATTATTCTTTCTCAAAATCATTTTAGCTTTTCATGGTCTTTTGGGGTTCAATACAAATTTTAGGATTTTTTACTATTTCTATGAAAAATACCTTTGAAATTTTAGTAGTGATTGCATTGAATCTGCAGATTGCTTTGGGTAGTATAAACATTTTAACATTAATTTTACCAATCGATGAATATAGGATATCTTTCCATTTATTTGTCTTCAATTTCTTTCACTAATGTTTTATAGTTTTCAGTGTATAGGTCATTCAACTTCTTGGTTACATTTATTTCTAAATTTTTTTTCTTTCTGATGCCAATGTAAATGGCATTGTTGTCTTAGTTTGTTTTTATGGATAGTTCATAGTTAGTGCATAGAAAACAATTGATTTGCATGTTAATTTTTCATCCTGCAACTTTACTGAATTTGTTTAATAATTCTGAGTTTTTGGTAGGCCACGTAGGGTTTTCAATATATAAGATCGTGTCATCCTTAGAGAAAATTTTACTGCTTCCCATCTGATTTTTAAAATTAATTTTTCCATAAGTTATTGGGGGTACAGGTGGTATTTGGTTACATGAGTAAGTTCTTCAGTGGTGATTTGTGAGATTTTGGTGCACCCATCACCTGAGCAGTAAACACTGCACCATATTTGTAGTCTTCTCTCTCTTACTCCACTCCTACTCTTCCCCCCAAGTCCTAAAAGTCCATTGCATCATTCTTATGCCTTTGCATCCTCATAACTTAGCTCCCACATATCAGCAAGAACATACGATGTTTGGTTTTCCATTCCTGAGTTACTTCACTTAGAACAATAGTCTCCAATGTCATCCAGGCCACTGCAAATGCTGTTAATTCATTCCTTCTTATGGCTGCATAATATTCCATCATGTATATATATATATATCTCTCACAGTTTCTTTATCCACTCGTTGATTGATGGGCATTTTGGTTGGTTCCACGATTTTGCATTTGTGAATTGCATTGCCATAAACATGCATGTGCAAGTATTTTTTTTTTGAATAATTACTTATTTTCCTCTGGGTAGATACCCAGTAGTGAGATTGCTGGATCAAATGGTAGCTCTACTTTGAGTTCTTTAAGGAATCTCCACACTGTTTTTCATAGTGGCTGTACTAGTTTACATTCCCACCAGCAGTGTAGAAGTGTTCCCTCTTCACCACATGGTGAACAAAAAAAAATCTACTGTGTTTTTGATTTTTTGATTATGGCCATTCTTGCAGGAGTGAGGTGGTATCACATTGTGATTTTGATTTGCATTTCCCTGATCATTAGTGATGTTGAGCATTTTTTCATATGTTTGTTGGCCGTTTGTATATCTTCTTTTGAGAATTGTCTATTCATGTTTTTAGCCCACTTTTTGATGGGATTGTTTGATTTTTTTTCTTACCGATTTGTTTGAGTTCATTATAGATTCTGGATATTAGTCCTTTGTCAGGTGTATAGATTGTGAAGATTTTGTCTCACTCTGTCTCACTCTGTGGGTTGTCTGTTTACTCTGCTGACTGTTCCTTTTGCCATGCAGAAGCTCTTTAGTTTAATTAGGTCCCAGCTATTTATTTTTGTTTTTATTGCATTTGCTTTTGGGTTCTTGGTCATGAAATCCTTGCCTAAGCCAATATCTAGGATTTTTCCAATGTTATCTTCTACATTTTTTATAGTTTCAGGTCTTAGGTTTAAGTCTTTAGTCTATCTTGAGTTGATTTTTGTATAAGGTGAGAGTTGAGGATCCAGTTTCATTCTCCTACATGTGGCTAGCCAAATATCCCAGCACCATTTGTTGGAAAGGGTGTCCTTTTCCCACTTTAAGTATTTGTTTGCTTTGTCAAAGATCAGTTGGCTCTAAGTATTTGGGTTTATTTCTGGGTTCTCTATTCTGTTCCGTTTGTCCATGTGCCTATTTTTGTACCAGTACCATGCTGTTTTGATGACTATGGCCTTGTAGTACGGTTTGAAATCAGGCAGTGTGATACTTGCAGATTTGTTCTTTTTGCTTAGTTTTGCTTTGGCTCTGTGGGCTCTTTTTTGGTTCCATATGAATTTTAGCATTTTTTTTTCTAATTCTGTGAAGAATGATGGTGGTACTTTGATGGGGATTGCCTTGAATTCGTAGATTGCTTTTGCCAGTGTGGTCATTTTCACAATATTGATTCCACACATCCATGAGCATGAGATGTGTTCCCATTTATTTGTGTCATCTGTGATTTCTTTCAGCAGTGTTTTGTAGTTTTCCTTATAGAGGTCTTTTGACTCCTTGGTTAGGTAGATTCCTATGTATTTCTTTTTTTTTACAGCTATTGTAAAAGGGGTTGGGTTGAGTTGAGCTTTTTATTTGATTCTCTGTTTGGTTGCTTTTGGTGTATAGAAGAGCTAATAATTTGTGTACATGAATCTTGTATCCGGAAACTTTGTTGAATTATTTTATCAGTTCTAGAAGCTTTCTGGAGGAGTCCTTAGGATTTTCAAGGTAAACGATCATATCTTCAGCAAACAGTGACACTTTGACTTCCTTTTTACTGATTTGGATGCCCTTTATTTCTCTTGTCTGATTGCTCTGGGTAGGACTTCCAGTACTATGTTGAAGAGGAATGTTGAGATTGGACATCCTTGTCTTGTTCCAGTTCTCAGAGGGAATGCTTTCAACTTTTCCCCATTTGTGTTGGCTGTGGGTTTCTCATAGATGGCTTTTATTATATTAAAGTATGTCCCTTGTATGCCAATTTTGCTGAGAGTTTTAATCATAAAGTGATGCTGGATTTTGTCCAATGCTTTTTCTACATCTATTGAGATGATCAGGTGATTTTTTCTTTAATTCTGTTTATGTGGTGTATCACATTTATTGACTTGTGTATGTTAAACTATCCCTGCATTCCTGGTATGAAATCCATTTGATCAGGGTGAACTGTCTTTTTGATATGTTGTTGGATTTGGTTAACTAGTGTTTTGTTAAGGATTTTAGCGTCTGTGTTCATCAAGGTTATCAGTCTGTAGTTTTCTTTTTTGGTTATGTCCTTTCCTGGTTTTGGTATTAGGGTGATGCTGGCTTCATAGAATGAATTAGGGAGGGTTCCTTCTTTCTCTATCTTGTGGGTAGTGTCAAAAGGATTGGTACCAATTCTTCTTTGAATGTCTGATAGAATGCTGCTGTGAATTTGCCTGGTCCTGGACTTTTTTTGTTGGTAATTTTTAAATTACCATTTCAATCTTGCTGCTTGTTATTGGTCTGTTCATGGTATCTAATTCTTCCTGATTTAAGCTAGGAGGGTTGTATTTTTCCAGGAATGTATCCATCTCTTCTAGGTTTTCTAGTTTATATTCATAAAGCTGTTCTTATTAGGCTTGAATGATCTTTTATATTTCATTGGTGTCAGTTGTAATATCTCCTGTTTCATTTCTTAGTGAGGTTATTTGGATTTTCTTTCTTCTTTTCTTGGCTAATCTTGCCAGTGGTCTATCAATTTTATTTATCGTTTCAAAGAACCAGCTTTTTGTTTCATTTATCTTTTGTATTTTTTTTTGTTTGAATTTCATATAGTTCTCTTCTGATCTTGGTTATTTCCTTTCTTCTGCTGGGTTTGGGTTTGTATTCTTCCTGTTTCTGTAGTTCCTTGAGGTGTGACTATAGAGTGTCAGTTAGTGCTCTTTCAGTCTTTTTGATGTAGGTGTTTAGGGCTATGAACTTTCCCCTTAGCACTGCCTCTGCTGTATCTCAGAGGTTTTGATAGGTTGTATCATTATTGTCATTCATTTGAAAGAATTTTTTGATTTCCATCTTGATTTCTTTTTTGACCCAATGATCATTCAGGAGCAGGTTAATTTCCCTGTATTTGCATGATTTTGAAGGTTCGTTTTGCAGTTGATTTAGTTTTATTCCACTGTGGTCTGAGAGAGTGCCTGATATAATTTCAATTTTCTTTAATTTATTCAGGCTCATTTTATGGCTTATCATCTGGTCTCTCTTAGAGAAAGTTCCATGCACTGTTGAATAGAATGTGTATTCTGTGGTTGTGGGATGAAATGTTCTGAATATATTTGTTAAGTCCATTTGTTCCAAGGTATAGTTTAAATCCATTGTGTCTTTGTTGACTTTCTGTCTTGATGACCTGTCTAGTTCTGTCAGTGGAATATTGAAGTCCCCCACTATTATTGTGTTGCTTTCTATTTCATTTCTTAGGTCTATTAGTAATTGTTTTATAAATTTGGTAGCTCCAGTGTTAGGTGCATATATATTTAGGATTGTGATATTTTCCTGTTTGACAAGGTCTTTTACCATTATATAATGTCCCTCTTTGTCTCTTTAACTGCTGTTGCTTTAAAGTTTGTTTTGTCTGATGTAAGAATCGCTACCCCTGCTCGCTTTTGGTTTCCATTTGCATGAAATGCCTTTTTCTACTTCTTTACTTTAAGTTTATGTGAGTCCTTATGTAACGCCAAAGGTTCTTGCCTTAGCCACGCCAAAGATTTGGTGTGGTGGCAGCCTGTGGTGAGAGAGAGACACGGATCGGACCAAGAGAAAAAAAAACTGTAGGCTTTATTGAGCAGAGTGACAGTACAAAGCTTCCACAGTGTGGAAGGTGTCCCGAGTGGGTAGCCAGTGTTAGATTTTTTGATCACCTTTTAAACTCTTTAAGGCGGGAAATACATGGGGCAGGAAGGTGGGAAGATGTTACCAGAATGAGAAACAAAGACAATTAACATGTCTTAGATCTTGAGGAAAACCGGAATTGTAACTTTTTATCCACTTTATAACCTTATGGTGGCATGGCAAAGGAGACAGGATCTCACAGGATTTTACAAATTGTGTTTACAAGGAATTGGAATTGGGAGCATAGATAAGGTCTGCTGGTCACAGAAAAATGGGCTTTTAACATTCCTTTTAGTTTCAGGGGAAGGGGAAGGGAGAGAGGGAGTGAGGACACAGGGAAGCTTACAGCAAAAGTTTCGCTGTTTATAGCTTTCTTGGGGAAGAAAACACATGCACAAATTCCGATATTAGGAATATTTTAAGCATATGTCTTTAATATTATTCATCCAGGACCAAAGTAAGTCCTGTTGCAGGAAATGAGTGAGTTTCACAGCTTTCTGAGCCCTCCTCGACCTGGGAAGCCCAGTTGAAATCTCCTCTCACTTATGTGTTAGGTGAGTCTCCTGAAGGCAGCAGATAGTCGGTTGTTGAGTTCTTATCCATTCTATGGTTCTGTATCTTTTAAGTGGAGCATTTAGGCTATTTACATTCAATGTTAGTATTGAAATGTGACGTACCCTTGCATTCATCACGGTATTTGTTGCCTGGGTACTTTTGTTTTTTCGTTTTTTGTTTTTTGCTTTTTAACTTCTATTTTTGTTTTACGGGTCCTGCATGATTTATGCTTTAAAGAGGTTCTGTTTTGATGTGTTTCCAGGATTTGTTTCAAGATTTAGAGCTCCTTTCAGCAGTTCTTGTAGGGGTGGCTTGGTAATGGAGAATTCTCTCAGCATTTGTTTGTCTGAAGAAGACTCTATCTTTCCTTCATATATGATGTTTAGTTTCACTAGATACAAAATTCTTGGCTGATAATTGTTTCGTTTGAGGAGGCTGAAGATAGGGCCCAAATCCCTTCTAGCTTGTAGGGTTTCTGCTGAGAAATCTACTGTTAATCTGATAGGTTTTCCTTTATAGGTTACCTGGTGCTTCTGTCTCACAGCTCTTAAGATTCTTTCTTTTGTCTTAACTTTGGATAACCTGATGACAATGTGCTTAGGCGAAGATCTTTTTTGTGATGAATTTCCTGGGTGTTCTTTGAGCTTCTTGTATTTGGATGTCTAGGTCTCTAGCAAGGTCAGGGAAGTTTTCCTCAATTATTCCCCCAAATTTGTTTTTCCAAGCTTTTAGAATTCTTCTTCCTCAGAACACAGGTTATTCTTACGTTTGGTTGTTTAACATAATCTCAGACTTCTTGGAGGCTTTGTTCATATTTTCTTATTCTTTTTTCTTTGTCTTTGTTGGATTGGGTTAATTTGAAGACCTTGTCTTTGAGCTCTGAATTTCTTTCTTCTACCTGTTCAATTTTATTGCTGAGACTTTCCAGAGCATTTCGCATTTCTAAAAGTGTGTCCAAAGGTTCCTGACTTTTTTATTGTTTTTTCTTTAAGCTATCTGTTTCCTTGAATATTTCTCCCTTTACTTCTTATATCATATTTTGGATTTCCTTGAACTGGGCTTCACCTTTCTCTGATCCCTCCCCGATTAGCTTAATAACTAACTTCCTTAATTCTTTTTCAGGTAAATCAGGGATTTCTTCTTGGTTTGGATCCATTGCTGGTGAACTAATGTAATTTTTTGGGGTATCGAAGAGCCTTGTTTGGTCATATTACCAGGGTTGGTTTTCTGGTTTCTTTTCATTTGGGTAGTCTCTGTCAGAGGGAAGGTCTAGGACTGAATGCTGTTGCCCATATTCTTTTGTCCCATGGGGTGTTCCCTGGATGTAGTACTCTTCCCCTTTTCCTATGGATGTGGCTTCCTGTGAGCTGAACTGCAGTGATTGTTGTCGCTCTGCTGCGTATAGCTACCCAGCGAGTCTACCCAACTTTGGGCTAGTACTGGGGGTTGTCTGCACAGAGTCCTATGATGTGAGCCATCTATGAGTCTCTCAGCTATGGATACCAGTGTCTGTTCTGGTGGCAGGCAGGGTGCAATGGACCCGTGCGGGTCGTTAGCTTTGGTGGTTTAATGCTCTACTTTTGTGCTGGTTGGCCTCCTGCCAGGAAGTGGCACTTTCCAGAGAGCATCAGCTATGGTAGTGTGGAGAGGGACCGGTGGAAGGTGGGGTCCTAGAACACCCAAGATTATATGTCCTTTGTCTTCCACTACCAGGGTGGGTAGGGAAGGGCGAGGTGTGTCTATTATATGACATATATATTATATGTCCTTTGTCTTCCACTACCATCAGGTGAGGGCAGGGCTAGGGTGTGTCTGAGCTCAGACTCTCCTTGGGCAGGTCTTGCTGTGGCTGCTGTGGGAGATGGCAGTGAGATTCCCAGGTCTCACAGTGGATGGCAGGCAGGACTAGATCACAGCTCCGGACAGAGCAGTGGGCAGGGGCTCACATTATGAATTTTAGCTCCAGATTGACTGCAAGAACAAACCAGCAATCCCAAGAGGACCCACAGACCCTCTGAAGGCAGCAGACTGTCCCTGCAGGACCTGGGAGACCCCCCCCCCCCGCCGCCAAAAAAACTGTGAGGGCCCTAACTGCAGAAATGGGAAAGGGAGACCCTCCTCTTCTGAACACATACCCCCACTGGAGAAGCTCTGTTTGGAGAAGGTCTGTTTGGGGGAGATGTTTCTGACTTTACCTGGAGCTGAGTCAATTTGGACAGCCCAGTGAAATACAGGGGTAGAGAAAGCAGTAGAAAGGCCCTGGGAGCTTGCTGGGTCCCCTAGCAGGCCTTTCCTGCCTGACACCACAAAGATCCAATGGGAGAGGAGCAGGGGTAAAACTACACAGGGAGAAGAAAATCTCTAGGTGAGCTCTGTAACAATTTGAATGGGTTGAGAAACCTCCTGGCCAGAACGTGGGGGAGGGCACAAATCCAGTGTGCAGACTCCACAGGTGGGGGAAGAACCAAGCCCTTTTTTTTTCTGCAGGTGGGAGGCAGGTAGCCTGGGGCAGGTTTTCAAGCCCATCTTATGTGAATGCTCTTCATTTCTTTTTCTTGTATAGTTGCTCAGGCCAGGACCTCCAGTACCATACTGAATTGAAATGGTAAGTGAACATCTTTGTCTTATTCCTGGTCTTAGAGTAAAAGCTTTAAACTTTTACCATTGAGTATGATATTAGTTGTGGACATTAAGTTGAGGCACATTCCATCTCTACCTAATTTGTTGAGAGTTTTTATCATAAAAGGATGTTGAATTTTGTCAAATGCCTTTTCTCTATACATTGAGATAATTTAAAAATTTTTATTCTTCATTTTTTTTGGTGTTATCACATTTATCAGTTTACATATTTTGAGCCATTGTTGCATCTCAGGGAAAAATTATACTTGATCATGATGTATAATATAATCCTTTTAATGTACTGTTGAATTTAGTTGGCTAGTATTTTGTTGTGGTTTTGTGCATCAATATTCATCAGACATATTGGTCTGTAATTTTTTTCCTGGAGTGTCCTTGTCTGGAATTGGTATCAGAATAATGCTAACCTTGTAAAATGAGTTTGGAAGTGTTTTCTTAATTTTTTGAGGAGGATTTGAGAAGAATTTGTATTCCTTTTTAAATATTTGGTAAATTCGTCAGTGAAGCTATTTGGTCCACGACTTTTCTGTGTTGTCCAATTTTTTAAAATTGTGCTTCAATGTCCTTACTTATAATTGGTCTGCTCAGATTTTCTATTTCTTTATGATTCTGTCTGGGTAGGTTGTATATTTCTAAGAATTTGTCCATTTCTTCTAGGTTATGTAATTTGTTGTCGTGTTATTCTTTATAGTAGTCTGTTATAATTCTGTCTCGTATATTTCTTATATTTCTGTCTCTTATGTATTCTGTGACATTCATTATAATGTCTCCTCATTTATCATTACATATATTTGAGTCTACTCTTCTTATTCTAGCTAAAAGTTTGTTGATTTTATCATTTCAAAAAGTCAACTATTAGTTCTGTTGATCTTTTCTATTACTCTCTAGTATCTGTTTCATTTATTTCTACTCTGATCTTTGATATTTTCATCTTGCTACTAGTTTTGAGTTTATTCTTCTTTTACTAGTTCCATGAGGTATATAGTGTATAAGATTTTTCTTCTTACTGTAAATTTCTCTACTGGAGCTGTTTTTGATGCATCTCATATGTTTTGACATGTTGTGTTTCTATTTTTATTTGTTTCAAGTTCTTTTTTGGTTTCTCTTTAGGTTTCTTTTTTTGAGGCATAGGTTATTTAAGAGTGTGTGGTTTAATTTCCTTGTATTTTTGAAATTTCCAGTTTTTCTCTGTTATAACTTTCTAGTTTCTTACCACTATGGTTAGAAAAGGTACTTGATATAACTTTAATTTTCTTAAATTTGCTAAGACTCGTTTTGTGGACTAATATACGATCTATCCTGGAGAATGTTTTATGTATGCTTGAAAAGAATATTTATTCTGCTGCTGTTGAATTGATGTTCTATGTGTGTTATGTCCATTTGCTCTGAGTGAATGTTTCCTTATTGATTTTATGTCTGGATGATGTATCCATTGTTGAAAGTGGCTTACTGAAATCCCATACTACTTTTGAATTGCTGTCTACTTTTCCATTTAGATCTGTTAATATTTGCTTTATGTATTTAGGTGCTCTGATGTTCAGTGCTTGTATACTGACAGTTGTTATATTGTCTTAATAATTTGATCCATTTGTTATTAAATAATGACTTTCTTTGTCTTTTGTTGCAGTTTTGTCTTAAAGTCTATTTTAACTGATATAAATATAGCTATCTCTGCTCTTTTGGTTTTCATTTCCATGGAATATCTTTTCTCATCCCTTCACTTTCACCCTATTTGTGTCCTTGTAGGCAGCATATATTTGGGTCTTGAGTTTTTAAAAATTCATTTACCCATCCTGTGTCTTTTGGTTAGAAATTTAGTCCATTTACATTTAATTTTTTATAGGTAAAGACTTAGTATTACAGTGTCTTACTTGCTTTCTGACTATTTTATGGTTCCTTTGTTCCTTTCTTCCTCTTGATTTTCTTCCTTTGGAATTTGATGATTTTTTATACTGGTAGCTTTAATTCCTTTCTTTTTATCTTGTTGTATCTACTATGGGATTTTTCTTTGTGATTGTCTTGGGGCTTACTATAAAATATAATAGTCTGTTGTAAGCTGATAACAGCCTAATTTTGACTAAATGCAAAACGGTACACTTATATTCTCCCAGATGTTTTTGATGTCTCATTTTAATTATTTTGTATTTTCTATTTATAAGCAAATTATTATAGCTCTGGTTTTGTTTAAATGCTTTTTTCTTTTAATCTTTATACTAGAGTTAAAAGTGATGTCTATATCACCACTAGAGTATTAGAGTATTCTGCTTTTGACTATATACTTTACTGATGAGTTTCATACTTTCATATGCTTTCATGGTTACTAATTACTATCTTTGGCTTTAGCCTAAAGAATTTTTCTTTTCTTTTTTAGAATTTCTTCTAAGGAAGGTCTAGTACTAGTGAACTAGTGAATCCCTTCAGATTCTTTTTTTTTTTTTTTTTTTGATCTGGGGAAGTCTTTATACTTGATTTGTGAAGGACAGCCTTGACAGGTAAAATGTTCTTCACTGGACAGCTTTTTGCTCTTCAGAATTTTGATTATGTCATCCTACTCTCTCTTGCCCTGGGAAATCTACTAATAGTCTAATTGTGGCTTCCTTGTATGGGACAAATCTCTTCTCTTTTGCTGCTTTCAAAATTCTGCCTTTGATTGTTGACAAATTGATTATATTGTATCATTGTGAAGTTCTCTTTAGATTAAAGCTTTTGGGGTGCCCTTGAGTCACATGTTCCTGGATGTCTATATTTCTCCCACGGTTTGAGACATTTTCAGTCATTATTTATTTAAATTAGCTTTCTGTCCCCTTTCTCTCACTATTCTCCTTCTATGACTTCCATGATACACCTACAGGTGGAGAATTTCAAATCTGAAAATCTGAAATTTGAAGTGCTCAAAAATCTGAAATTTTTTTAGGGCTGACATTTGCAAAGGAAATGCTCACTGGGGCATTTCAGATAAATTCTAGAATGGCTAGACATTAATGACAATTCTAGAATGGCTGGACAATAATGTCAAAGACATTAAGTCAACAGATATATCAGTCCTTTTATGGCTTGGTGTCATAAATCTCCTTATGTTCTGTCTGGTTTTTTCTGACACTTTCAAATGTAATGTGGAAGAGTGTTAGAGCAACATTAAGGAAACTAATGAGTGGGAGTGGGAAGAAACAGAGGAAGCACATGGAGAATTAATAACCTTGTGGAGGATCAAGGTGATATGAGGAACACATTGACTTCTATGAGGACCATAAAATGTTAAGATTCATAAATTACATATTGACTATAAGGTATGAGGATAAATACAGTCATGCATTACTTAACAACAGTGATACATTCAGAGAAACACATCATTAGGTGATTCTGTCATTGTGCAAACATCATAGAATACTTACACAAACCTAGATGGTATAGTCTATGCTACCCTCCCAGGCTATATGCCCATTGCTTCTAGGTTACAAACTGATACAGCATGTTACCATACTGAATACTATAAGCAATTAAAATACAATGGTAAGTATTTGTGTATATAAAGTTATCTAAATATAGAAAAGTACAGTAGAAGTATGGTATAAAAATAAAAAATGGTACAATTTTATAGGGCAGTTACATGAATGAAGCTTGCAGGACTAGAAGTTGTTCAGTGTGTCAGTGAATGAGGAGTGAGTGAATGTGAAGGCCTAGGACATTACTGTACACTACTATAGACTTTATAAACACTGTACACTTAGGCTATACTAATAAAAAATTCTTTCTTCAATAATAAATTAACCTTAGTCTGTCATAACTTTATAACTGTAAGTTTTAAATTTTTAAAACATTTGACTCCTAATAACAGTTAGCTTAAAACACAAACACATTGTACAGCTGTACAAATTATTTTTTCATTATATCCTTGTTCTATAAACTCTTATCCATTTTAAAAATTATTTATGTTTACTATTACTTTTATTTTTATTTTTTTTAATTAAAAATTAAGACCCAAACACACATTAGCCTTGGGCTGCACAGGGTCAGCATCATCAGTATTACTGTATCCCATCTCCATATCTTATTCCACTGGAAGGTTTTCAGGGGCAGTAACATGCATGGAGCTATCCTCTCCTATGGTAATAATGATCCCTTCCTCCTGGTATTCATACCCTTGTGTAATCTTCTATTCTTGAGTGTGGGCTGAATTTAATGACTTACTTGTAACAAATAGAATACAGCCAAAATGATGGTATGCCACTTCTGATATTAGATTATAAAAAATATTGTGGTTTTTCTCTTGGGTTCCCTATCTTGCTCTCTCTTGGATACCTTACTCTGGGAGAAGCCAATTGCCATGTAGTGAGGCAGCCCTGGATGGAGGCCCATGTGCATGAAATCAGAAACAAACTGTCTGAGGCCTTCCTGTAGCCACATGAGTGAGCTTTGAAATGGATCTTCTATGGCCTGAAAACTCCCACACAAGTGAGCTTAGAAGCAGATTTTTTCTAAGTAGACCCTTGAGACACTTGTAACCGCAGCCAACATCTTGACTGCAGCCTCTGTGAGAGAACTTGATATAGGGTCATCTAGCAAAGCCACTCCCAGATTCCTGACTTGCAGAAAGTAGGAGATAATAAATATTTGTTGCTTCCAGCTCCTCACTTTTAGTACAATTTATTATACATAAATAAATAATACAGTTTTTAATAATTATGATTCTGTTTTGTTGTTTCATAGTTTACATATGTTAGGCATCAAGTGATTTGCACAATGACCTTATATGATTGTCACTCTTTACAGTAAAATAATTGAGGTTTGAAGTCTTGTTCAAGATTTCAAAGCTAGAATAAATTGAATCAAGATGTGAATTTACAGGCTGGGTGCGGTGGCTCATGCCTGTAATCCCAGCACTTTGGAAGGCCGAGGCAGGTGGATCACCTGAGGTCAGGAGTTCGAGACTAGCCTGGCCAACATGGTGAAACCTCATCTCTACTGAAAATACAAAAAATATTCGCCGGGCACAGTGGTGGGCACCTGTAATGCCAGCTACTTGGGAGGCTGAGGCAGGAGAATTGTTTGAACCCAGGAGTAGGAGGTTGTAGTGAGCCAAGATCGCGCCATTGCCCTCCAGCTGGATAACAAGAGCAAAACTCTGTCTCAAAACAAACAAACTCACACAAAAAAAGTGAATTTACACCTTCTGACTCTAAATATAATGCTTTTTCAGCCGGGTACAGTGGCTCGCGCCTGTAATCCCAGCCCTTTGGGAGGCTGAGGTGGGTGGATCGCAAGGTCAAGGGATCAAGACCATTCTGGCCAACATGGTGAAACCCCGTCTCTACTAAAAATACAAAAATTAGCTGGGCATGGTGGCACACACCTGTAGTCCCAGCTACTCAGGAGGCTGAGGCAGGAGAACCACTTAAACATGGGAGGCGGAGGTTGCAGTGAGCCAAGATCGTGCCACCGCACTGCAGTCTGGCAACAGAGCGAGACTCTGTCTCAAAAAAAAAAAAAAAAAAAATATATATATATATATATAAATGCATATATATTTATATAAATGCATTTATATATAAAATACATCTTATATATTGTATATACAATACATATCTTATGTATTGTATATACAATACATATCTTATGTATTGTATATAAAATACATATATTATATATAAAATACATATCTTATATATAAAATATATATATATAAAGCACTATATATATATATAGTGCTTTTTCAACTAAGACCCTGCTTTCCTTCTTTTTAACTAAATGCTGGAAAAAAGGGAGAACAATGTAACTACTTAACTTTCCTGAATACATTAATGAATTGTAATTATTCTGTCTTCAGCATCCAGTGGTTATTATGATATAAGATCAAATATTGGCTCATATATAATATTAAGTGGTTAGATTCTGTGGTAAGAGGTTATTGTCATATATGACAATGACATCAGGTTGAATTGCTAAATTTTGGGGGAAACGTATGCCCTTTGATTTTATTAAATTGACTCTTTGTTCTCTATTTCAACAAATTAAGTGGCCCCATTTGAAAGGACTTCAGTTTGTCTCATCAGTATTAAAATAACTGCACGAAGGTGACATTTTGTGCTTTCTTGTGGGTTCCCCTGGCCATGGGCTTCTATTGTAATGTCCCCGGTGTTTTTCATCTACTCATTCTAATTGCTATACTTTTGGATGCTGGCCCTGATTGGGACAGGCAGTTGAAATGGCTTGTACTTGGTGATTGACACTGCCTGTATAAATACCTATTCTCTTAAGCCCACACCGTGTCACTGGCTGTCAGAGCTAGTCTACTGCCAGGGCCTTTTCAAAATCATAATTAAAGCATGATGCTCACTAGTCAATTATAAGCTCATAAATTAGGCTTTATGAAAAAAAAAAAAAGCTACTCGTAGGCCTCTACACGTAAGACTTGAACACTCTTTTCCTCTCCTGTTTTTAGAGTTGGTGCCAGAGTCTATGGTTTCTAGATAAAATTGGTATTTAAATTAATCATATTTGAATAGCTGTAAAACCTACTAAAATGCCAAGTATTCTGCTCTGTCCTCAATAAAGATTGTTGGTGGATGAACAGCTGTTTGATAGTGAGGAGGAGGCTTATGTGGCTTGTTTTACTAGGTAAACGCTCTAGTTTTACTAGGTACGAGGAATGAGCAGAAATCAGGTGTGACAGATAAATAATTTTTAAATAGTTATAATGATATATCATAATTGCTGGATTCCAAGAAGTCAGTAGTGAAAGAGAAGGGCCTATTTCTAAATGTGAAATGATCATACAAAAGTTACATTGGTTGCAAGATGACTTAATTTTAATGATCTCTAGTTAAAGAGAAATTTCTAGAAACTCCTGTGATTGCATTTTGATTTTCCTCCTCCCGGTTATTTCTTCTACTCATTCTCCCTTTACTCTATGGCCTTAATTAGCTTGAGTCTCAGTTCCCTTCTTGGTAAGACTGGTACTCTCACTGCTCCAGGTTTGTGAGAATTAAGAATTATGTATGTAATATACATGTCACAGAACTACACAGAAAGAGCTTGATAAGTAAAAGTTATCGTTAACAAGTTTTTTAGAATACCGTTCTCATTTCAGATCTTTTATTCTAAATATGGATCTTGATGTATACATCTATAAAAAACTATGGGAAAATTCAAAGAGTTCCTTAAAAAATTAAAAACAGAACTACCACATGATTCAGCAATCCCACTTCTGTATCTATATCCAAAAGAATTGAAATCAGGATTTTGAAAAAATATTAACACTGTTCATTACAGCATTTTTCACAATTGCCAAGATGTGGAAATAATCTAAATATTCACTGATGAATGAGTGGATACATAAAATGTGGTATACACATACAATGAAATATTATTCAGCCTTTAAAAAAGGAGACAATCCTGTCATATGCAACAGCATGGAGAAAACATCAGGACATTATGCTAAGTGAAATTTGTCACAGGACAACTGTATGATTCCATTCAAATGAGTTATTTAAAATAGTTAAATTCATAAAAACAGAGCATAGAATGGTGGTTAGCAGGGGCTGCAGGGAGGGAGAAATGGTAAAAAGTTTCAGTTATGAAAAATGAATAATTTCTAGAAATCCACTGCACAACATTGTACCCATAGTTAACAATATTGTGTCATGCACTTAACAATTTTAGATGGTAGAGCTCATGTTGGATTCTTATCATCACAACAAAAATAGCTTTTATAATAATAATTATTATTTTGAGATTTACCCCCAAAATTGGCCTGCTCATTATTTCCGAAATATGTGCTTATTTTAAAAAATTACATAGCTTTAAAATCTAAGACTTTTCCATTTCTAAAATCAAATTTGAGAGATAAGGGAGTCTTGATCAGATCAGAATCTTGATCAAATCCAAATTGTCTTATAGTTTGGTAAGATTGAAAAAATTCACATGTATATATCTGAAATCAGATTTGTAATGGATTTTTAAAAATGTTTTCAGATTATAATGATAAAATGTCTATATGGGGTGGGTAAGTTAATGCAATTAATGTGTACTCAGTGCACGACTTAACTGAGCACCCACTTTCAAATAAATGCTGAAGTTTTTCACAAAAAGTACCATTTACTAAGCACTGACAATATGTCCAAAATGTTATTTATTTTAAAATAATCATAAAACCCCATAAAACAGATGTTACTATCACCATTTAACAGAAGAGGAAATTGAGGAAGAAAGAGTTTTAGCAACTTGTCTAAGATCACATATCTTGCAAGGAAAAAATGTGGCATGTAAACAGGTGAGTTTTACCTCAAAACCCATAGTTTCCACCCGATTTTGCTGCCTTCCTGGAGCCCTTGTCTAGTACTGACACATATTCTGTTTTAGGTAAGATAGGGTTCCTCAGCCTGTGACAAGAGTTTGGGAGCAAGTGATTTGTGGAAGGAGCGCTCTAAGGAAAAAGAGAATGAGGAAGCAGGACAGAGAAGGGGTGGGAGACAAGTAACAATGTCTAGAGTCATCTCAAGGCCACCCCTGTGGGGTCTTCTTGTATCAGTCATAAGGGAGGACAATGGGAACGACCAACCACTGCAGTTACTGGAGACTAAGACGTTTTCCCTGTTGCAGAACTCTCAGTGCTAAAAACTGGGAGAGGCTTGGACAAACCAGCTGGTTATTTCTCCACCCAGTGGCTCAGTTGGTGCTAAGGGAAATTCTCTAGAGAAGGGGGAGGCTGTGAGTCATTAGCACAAAACACTCACAACAATTGGGGATAAGCTCGCAGTCTGGTAAAGGGGATCTGCCTTGGGTACCACCAACAACCACTGAACTTCCCTTCCTTAACTCACTGTGATGGAGAAATCAATCAGGCAAAGTGACTGAAAAAAGCTGTATTATGTGAGTACATGTACTCTTCAGATTCAGCTAGTGAGCTTTGGGGAAACTGACGCTTTAAGGTAAGAAGAGAACAATTGATTTGGACAGATTTTAGACCTTGAAGCACCCAGCAACTAACAATTCAGTTGTGAATTGGATTCTTTGACAGAAAGATTATTCTTCCCTGAGCAAAGCTATGGTGCTGTGGTGTAAAAATGGCACGATAAGACTGACAGTGTCCACTCTGCCTCTTCCTTCAGCAACATTCCTACTCATTCCTGGAAGTATGTCATGCAACGGTGAGAAAGATGCTGGTTGAGAACTGGATGGTGAAGTCAGGAAGAACAACTCCCTGTGGCTAACAATTTTTGATGTAAATATATATGATAGTGGTTGTTTTCTCTGATGTGAATCACCAACACCCCAGTTTATGGTTTTTATTTGGGATTGTACTTCTAAAATAGCCCTGCTGTGCAGAAACTATTTTAGGGTTGGATATGATAAGTATTAAATAATACTCATTATCATCATAACAAAGTTGTACTTATTAAAGGGTTTCAGTACAGAATAAGAAGTTCAAAGCATGTTTTTAAACTGTATATTGAAATAGTGCAAGGAGTGATTTCTGATAGTTTTGCACAAGATTGGAAAGATTGTCTCCACGAATCATAATCCAAGAGGCATAAGCATCAGCCTCAGTAATGAAGTATTTTTTTCTTCAAAATTTCACAGGAAATTATATTTGATTGAAAATTATTCTCTAGGCTCCCATTACTGTAGTTACTGTACTAGATAATAAAAGGCTTAAATTACAGTTTAAAATGTGTGAGTAGGGAAAACAGCAGCATTCATATGAGGGAGGCCCTCAAATTTCCCTCTCATATATATCCTGCCCTGTAGTTAGTTTGTTTCCTTAGAATCACTCTCAGGGCAGAATTTTAGGATAAGTTCTCTCTTGGAGACATTTTGCAGTTGCTGCTATAGTTTCCTGAGATTACACGCACAGAGGTGATTTTCTAGCGGATGAGGGACCTATTGCTAAGAGGTCTCTAATTTTCCTCAAATGAGCTCCGATTTTGTTTTGAAAGACCTGTGTCTTCAAATATATGGAGAAAGACAAAATGTGATTTAAGTATCACTTTGCTGACCCACTTAGGAATCTCCTTCTGATCCTGCTCACATTTGGAATGGTAGAAACCTGTTAGAAATATGCAAGAAAGCAGCATTTCCCAAAGTCTGCTCTGTAGGTGACCCGTCTCCAAGGTTCCTTGTCAAAATATTTGGGTATGACTATTTGATCCTTCAAAGACACGACAATACACAGAAGAATATTAAATCCTTTATCTAATTCAGCATCATCCTAATATATTTAACAACAAAGTTCTTTTTACCTTGAAACTCTAATTCACCCTTGATGGGACGCATGCATTCCTTAGGAAAATGTTTCCAGGAATGCTGGGTTATAGCAAGGAATTTTTGTAAAAAGGACAAATAGGAGCAACTGTGCTTTTCTCATATCACTTATTGATCCCCTCTGAGCCCTATTGACCCTTACCCTTGTAGCATCTCCACCCCTTTGAATAAAGAGAATAGTGTGGGAAAAACAACAGCACTTTTAGAAATACATTGTGGTACTATTGTGAGATATAAATAAGAGGCCATCTATTTTCTCTATATCTGAAACTGTATCTATCTATATATCTTCTTTTGCTTTTCACAAATGAAAAACCTTAGGTGCCAAAAGGAATAGAGGAAGAGAAAGAAAAATCATATTTATCAATTTTCTTTCCTGTAGGTATATAAACATGTAAACAATATTTGCATATATATACATACATATAGCACATATATATGTGTATTATATATATGTGTATGTATATATATATGTATATATATGGCCAAATAACACTATCAGAGATGAAGTAGTATATTTAAACATTTGAACATCAAAATCTATTAAATGAAGGCTGCGATGGAGAAATACCCAAAACATTCAATAAAGCTTTTCAACCTTGAATATAGGGTTACCATGACAACACAACCCAAAAATCCCTCTTCTTCATATAAAGTTGCTGAAAATATGCCCATCGTGGAAGCAGCATGGAGTACTCAAATTTATAACTACTGAATAGATGTACAAAGAATCTCCAAAACATTTGATAAGCTTCAGGGTGAACATTTTAATATCCTCCTTTAAAAAATAATAAAAAGACTTAAGGCATTTTCCATACTACTTCATTTTTTTTCTTTCATCTAAACCATTTTGAGAATTTCATGCTATTTTTACAAGCATTTTCTATGAAAGAAAACAGTGGTGATTACAATCACCTAATGAGAAATATTAATAACATTGATCTTAAAACAGGTTTGGAGAATACCAAGCATGGCATGGAAGGGGTTCCCGCACAAATAAAGCAGCGGTTGCCAGATTGATGCTGACTCAGTGCTGTAAGGGTGTGACTTATACTTTCTGCATCTTCCTGGGGAAACCTCGAAATATGCAAAGGCACACTCTGCTAAAGAAGACAGAAGCAAGACACCTGATTATCTTATTTTCAGCCCTTAAAGAGTTTCTTAGAAGGACAATATGTGCATGAACATGCGTGTATATATGTGTGTGTTAATTTCATGCACATATCTACATATGCATGAGTATATATATATATGTGTGTGTGTGTGTGTGTGTGTGTGCACCTGTTTGCAAATATACTCTACGTGTCAACACACAGGAAGGATTTCACACAGGAATGGTGTGAAATTATTGGTACTTAGAATTTCCTCTCCATAATATGTGCTATGAAGGAAATTAAGATAGTAGATTTGCCAATATCTAATAATATATATAGTTTCTCCTATGTTTTTCATCTACATAAAAGTAAAATTTAGAAAGTAAAAATTTAATCATAATGTTCTTACTAGGAAAGCTTTGGAGTCAAGTAATCCGCATCTAAAGGGTCTGAATAATACACATCAGGAAGGACTGTGTCAGATCTTGGATATAATTTCTCATTTTCTGAAGGTAATTTATGACTGTATAGTGAGAGCAGGTGTTTTTTAAGTTAACGTATAGTGCTGTTGAATTGATTTTGTTTGTGAGTTACTTTGTTTGCTTATGCTTTCTACAGCTCAAGCCTGCTCTGCAATGAGTAGTTTATCAAATTGAGGGGAGTGTTGCTTCATCTCAGCCTGTTTTCATTTGGAGGAGGGTAGCAATCCTGTAGTTTCAAATTGCATGCATTTAGCAATAGGCAAAGAAACTTTCCTCTAATTAGATTGATCTGTGAGGTAGATCAGGCAGAGTTTTCTAAAAACACATGTCATAATTGATAGTCCTTAGGCAATGTGCTTTCTAGGCAAATGTCTACTGCTTTTGGAGCTATGTGCCCATTTCTTTCTCCACACCTTGCTAATTACTCCTTACTGAAAAGTATCCTAATTTAGCTTGTATGAATGATCTAAGTAGTGGTTTTCAAACTGTAGACTAGACCATCATCATCACCTAGAAACTTTAGAAACGTAAATTCCCAGGCTCTCTACCAGGCCTACTGCACCAGAAACTCTGTGGATGGGTCTTAGAATCTGTTTGGTAATCATCACTGAATGTCTTCATATACACTAAAGTTTCACAAACACTGCTCTACAGGGGAGTATTTGAGATGATAATGTTGACATTGACAGTGACAATGAGGAGTAGAAAGAATGGATAGAGGAAAAAGCGAGAAACTCAGAGCTTCAGAATCAAAAGGGAATGTGGGGATCATTTGATGGTATCCCTTCATTTCATCCATGGGCCTTTGAAAGATTAAGTAGCTGGCTCAAGACCAGAACACTTCAAGAAAAAGACATAATACTTGCTGATTCTAAGATGAATAAAAGCTGAATATCAAATGAAAAGTAGATGGAACTCTTTGCATCTGTGATGTGCTGCATGTCTTCTTTGACATTGTGGCCCATTCCCTTGCAGTGTTGAATTTAGCTTCCAGTGAACACAGTGTTGGCTTCCTGAGATTTTCCTCTAAAGAGGTCATTTTAGAGATGGAGCTATGAGTGATGATGTTGCTTTCTTATTTTTGGAAAACTCAAGAGCAATTGTTGAAAAAATATGCACATCTAAAGTAATACAAAGGCAAATGTCCTATCACATAGAACATAAAGCTACACAGGAATCACTCACAATAAAATGGTATATATATATATATAATATATATAAAATAAAAAAATAAATATATATTTATGTATAATTATATATATTTATATATATAATTATATATATTTAATAATATATAATTAATTATATATGTAAATTATGTATATTTAATATATAAATATATATTAAATATATACATATAAAACCATATATTTTATATATATAAATATATACATATATATAAAACCATATATTTTATATATATATATTCATATATAATCAGACCTTTTGGAATGTAAACTTCTGTAGCACATTAGTATCACCTGAGAAGTTTTAAAATCCCTGATACTCAGCCCAAACCAATTAAACTGAAATCTCTGGCAGTGGGACCTACTCATCAGTGCTTGTAAAAACTCTCCAAATGATGTTAAGGTGCAACCATGTTGGACAGCTTGAGTTCTATGGCCTTGACCCTAAATATGTGGTCCTTGGATTGGCAACTTTTGCATCACCTGGGAGCTTTTTACAACTGCAGAATCTCAGGTCCTACCCCAGACTAGTGAATCAGATTTTGCATTTTAACAAGTTTACAAGTTGATTTGTATGTGCATTAAACTTTGAGAAGTACCAGCTTCCCTGTTTAAAACTTAAAAGGAACTCTGCTGATGTACATCATTCTTTTAAATACGTAAAAAAGTGGAAAACCAAAATTATTCAGAATCTTGCCATTGTTAGTTTTTGCCATTGTTAATTTTTTGCATACCTACATAAATATATGTTATATATGTACTTTACATTTTATATATAGTATTGAGATCATACTCTTTATACAGTTTCATGTCATAACTTTTAATCACTGCTGCATCTTTTAATATTAGGAGAATTTTTCCATGACAGATTAGAAAACTATTTGTAGAAAGTCCTACAATATGTTTATTATTCACATGTAATAAAAATTAATCAGGATTTGACCTTTGATTTCTAATGACTTATTTGAAATTTCCAACATTAAATCATATTTTTAAAATCCCACTCATGTCTGATCCTGGTGGGCAGTAAGTGGGACTTGTCTAAGCCTGTGACTTAAGTGGACAAAAATACACTGAAGGAAAGCATTTTAGGATGAATCAAGACAAACTAACCTTAATCTGAAAATAACAGTCAGGGAGAAATCATTTCCATTTGTTATGCTTTGTTATATCAAGGCATTTTCATGTTTCAAAAAATTATTGAATCCGTGTATTATGCTTGTTTTAAAACACTCATTCTTTGGTGAAATGAAGGTGAAGGGGGTTAACATTGAGCAGTTGTGGTAAAGTGAGAGTTTTATAAAATCAAGCTGTGTATTTTTATGGGCTGTTGAATTTTATGGGCTTATAATATGTGTCCACGGAATTATGAAATGAAAGAAAATTGTTTGACACTTTAGACTGGCTCTCACTGCTTCATTGTGCTAAGTAGAATGTGGCCTCTTGGGCAGTATGGTATAGTGGTAGTGCTGGCTGACAGAAAGTGGGACAGAGGGTCATAGGACTTGGGGATTTGTAATGACCGTTAAGTCCTGATTTGCTAAGGACAGACCAGGTTGTTGTCTGTTGTCATTAAATAATTTTGAGTGTTTTCTTTCACTCACAAAAATGTCCTGATTTGGAGATTTGTGTTGTACACATAGAACACCAAATCCAACTCTATTATGTTCTAAAGCAGGAAAATCTGAAGTGGTTGACCATATTATTCTTTGCAACCACAGGAACAGCAAATAAAGCTTTTAATGGCTTTCCATTGTCCTCTGGATCAAGTCCAAAGTCTGTAGTATGATCTCCAAAGCCCCAGCATGATCTGGGCTCTTCTTACAGCTTCAATCTCTCTTCCTCTCTTTTTGTCTCTCTCTCTCTCTCTCTCCTGTATTTTTCTTTTACTTTTGCTTTTGTCCGCTTCTTGTTACGCACCTGTGATTCTTGTGTTGTATTTTCACATACACGAACTTAGATCATTATTTGTGCTGTTTCCCAAATATTAATATTTCGGGCTTTTTTTTAGGTACATGATAAATTTGTACCTACAAGCTTCCAGTCATGCCTGTTTGGTCACACTGGGTAGCAAGGGTGTAGGTGTCTATGTTTTCTTTTTGAACCAAATGCCAGAAGCTGAAAATAATTTCATTAGGAGGTCATATTTTTATATACCAATAATTTATATAAGTTGATCTTATTTTCTTATTTTCATTTTCCTTTAAATCCAGTTGTTTTATGGGTTATTTTTCAAACCCTAATGTTACCTTAAATCTTTTTAGAGGTGAGGCATAAATAGATATAAAAATGTCAAGCATAGTCCTGGGCACTGAAGATCTAAGAATCAAAGAGATAAGGACTCTGCACTGAACTACCTCATGGTCAGGAGAGCCATATCAGTAACCAGCAATTTTTCCACATTGTATGAAGTGTCACCAGAGTACGTCTTTCTCCTCGTTTCTCTGGTTTTCATAAGAATGAATTCTTTTCGACTCAGGTTCTATACTTATTCTTATCCATTACTCACCGTGCCTCTGGAGAGACAGAGTAACTTACATGATTGGTATATTTGGGAAGAAAAATTTAATGATGCTTGGGGGCAGGGAAAACCAGGACTGCTGTATCTAGATGGATAAAAGCTCCCTAAGTCTGAGATTCAGTAGTAGGAAAACTAAAGACCCTCATGCTAAGCTATATTCTCCAACTTGGTCTTTATTAATAATAAAAGTAATAATGATTTAAGTTTTCTGTTTGTCGGTACTTGGTTTTATTTCTCAATTTGTTGAGAACCTGGGTAAGAAGAGGTGTGCTATTTTTGGGGCATCTCTTGAAGACTCCAGCATTTGGTGCACTGACTGGAACAAAGAACAAAAAATAAGAGACTTGAAATTAGGGGAGCAAATACACTCTAGGAAGGTTTTTGGTGAGGCAGGCCATTGTGACCTTGGCAGTTTGCAGAGGCTTATATGAGGCCAGGGAGAGTTTTATAGTTGTGTTGTTTGCTTTTAACTGCTGTGGCCTGGGCCAGAGGCTTTAAACCAGTCACATGGTGTTCTGACCTTGGCGATTGACTATAAGTAAACGGCTATTATAAAAGTATTTGGCTCTGGCCGAGGTGTGCAGAGGGCCCATTTGAGTGCTGTGTGAATGGACTGGGAAAAGGCTAGACAGATCTTTGCTGGGGGCCAATGGGTTGTAGAGGCCTTAATGAATAGGCACAGTGGAGGTGAGGATTCATTTAGAGTAAGCAGGTCTGATCTCCCTGTGCAGGCAAAGAAGCAAAAGCATGGGTCACAGGGCCTTAGTAAGGGAAAATTTCAGAGTGGAGCTATAGCTAGGGCTGAAGCAAAAAACATTATTATGGGACAAGAGAGCTTTCAAGTATTTTAGCTATGGGTGAACAGAACCATATTTGCTGTTTTGCAACTGGAAGGCACCTATATGGCTTCTGTAGGAACCTCTGAGCACTAGGATGTTTCAAGATTTAAATTGTTAGTGCAAGGCCCTGGGAGGCTGGGCATTGATGGGTGGCCCCAAATTCTGTTCTGTATTCAGGGCCAAGGATAAAAATGGAGGGACTATGCTTATGTTTAGGTGGCTTTCTCGTCTCTCGTATGTGGACTTAAGGTGGTTCTGGATTGGCAAATTACTTAGAACCGAGGAATATTCCTCAGGAGGCCCATTTCTGAAGTAAGGAAAGTTATAGTGAGAAGAGGCACTGAAAATGTCTGCTCATGTGGGTGCTGCATCACTAGAAAGAACCCATATTCAATTTGGAACTATGGAAGGTAGAAATTAAGAGGTTTTAATAAACTCCATGGGAAAGAAAAACAAGACAAGATCTGGTGAGTAGGGCTGCCATGATTGTAGATTTCTAAATTTTGTAACATAAAGTCTTCCTTTGAGGGGTGATAGGATGCGTAGATAGACTCCTCTCTCTAATACTATAAATGGAATAATGCCAAAATTAATCTCTAAAAGAAATGATTTTTGGATTACAGTTCACAGGCTAAGGAATCTGAAAAATTGGCATTGACCGACTGACAACCAGGTGAAGCTGAGCCAAGATTTTCTCCATTTCTCCTTTTTCCTTTTGATGCCATTGAGTTTCTGCTGTGATCTTTGGTAATAGTACTGAATTCTGGAAACATAATTTTGAAGGTGTTTTGGGGAATAGGTATTGCTGCGATTTCTAAATATTGTGGGTAGAAGGCCAATACTACATACAGTATCTTTTGTGTTCTATCAACTCCATGGACTTTTAAAAGAAGAGATTCTGAGAGTTGAATTAATTCAATGTCTCCAGAAACCCACAGACGTTACTTTAACAGTCCAAATTAAAGCAGCTCAAAGAATCCGTATCTATCCAGACTTTGAAAAACCTTAGCTCAAGTGAGCAGAATACGAGATTGCAGAGTGTCATTTGAAGATGCTAATTTAGCCTAAGAATTTTTCTTTCGTAATAGCAAGATAATTTAATTTGGGATTTTAATTTTCTTGAACTTTAACATCTTTAGAATTGAACTTGCAAAAAGATTTAATTTTTTAACTATGATTTCTCCCTGGAGATTTTGTAATGGAGGCGGGGTGGTTAATTCAAATTTGGGGATCTCTATGTTGTTTGCATTTTGTTATGAATTTTATTTTAATATTGTCATTTGAACTAATTGCAGATTTTCTGATATGCAATGAGGATAATACAGTTGGACAAAATTGGAGATAGGTAAATCAATATTAATTGAATTTTCAACCCTATATGAAAAAATGGTCTTGGAGTTGATTTAATTAATGATATGGTCCAGGGTCTACTTTGAAAAAAATCTGAACTGCTCACCAGTGGCTGTAAGGTAATACCTTCAAGGGCTGGCGCTGGCATTGAGAGAACAGCTTCATGAAGGTGATAAAACCTGATCACCTCCTTTTAGGGGCTAAACACACCCCTGGTTTGCTATAGATTTGGTAGTTAAATGAGAATGGTATAAGAGGACCGAACTAGGGAACTTCAGAGTGAAACATTTCCCATTTCTCTGATTTCCATGTGGAGATAGTTTTAAACCCACGCTTGGTCTCTCTCTGCACTTTACACCCGCCCTCTATACCTGTGGACGTAGAGTTACTTATTTGACTACTTAATTCAAGAAGGATAATTCAATGGATGTGCCCATTTGAGCCTTGCTCTTCTTCTTGGGAGTGAACTGCCCACTGGCAGCCATTTACCTCTCTTCCTCCTGGAACAGGCTTTCCAGGGACAGGGTTTGACTTAGTGACTTGTTCAGACTCCTTCCTGGGAACAGGGGAGCTACTTATTAGAGAATACCCTTGGTTATCTATAGAGCAGGTGGAGCTATTGTGGATCTGCTTATAAGATGAATTATCAGATTACATTTTTAATGTAAATAGTTTATCAATTCCAGTTGTTAGTTAAGATTTTCCAGTGGATTTATTTGTTTAGAATTACAAAAAGGTACTATAACTCAGTGGCTACAAATGCATCACTGTTGAAGGCTCTTCTCTAATTTGGAAATCTGGTTCGCTCTTCCTGGAGTCAAAGCAATTGAACAAACTGAGGAGACGTTCACATTACCATTACATATACAGTATAATAAAAAGCCTGCTGTGAGTTTATTTTAAAATTGAGTCTATGACTGCAGTCAGATTGCTCACTACGGATTTTAACATAGCCGAAAATTCATTCTCCAGAGAGATTCTTTTGTGTTTCCCTTGAACATTCCACATCAGCTTCGAGTATCTGAATAATATCTGTATGCATTCTATTTCATTTTTATCTTACCTTTGTTTACCAAATACTGTCACTTATGAACCTATATGTTAACGTTGTTCCTTTACTATTTGGTTACATTTTTTTTTCAATTCTTTTTTTGTATTTCCACCGGCTCCTTGGAGTTGGTAAGAGCCTCACATTGGAACTGAATATCTGGGTGTATTTGGTTTTGCTTAACAGTACTATTAGGAATTAAGAAGTTACTATGATTTAAAAATTGTTATACTTAAGGAACTAGAGTGGAAACATTAGACAACATTATAGCACATATGAATCTCATTTTCCCCTGCTTTTACACTCCAATCAGAAGCATTTTAGTCCTCAAAGCCAAAGGCTAAGCAGGATATTTTTAGTTCCTTTGCAAGTAAGAAGTGACAATTTTCAGTCTTATAGGAAGGAAGTCAGTGAAGCTGCCTAGGTTACTCTTGACAATCATAGTGAGGGTTAGAACTACAAACGAAAAAGTTTTAAATGAAAACCTTTTGTTTTAATAAAATGTATGTCTTTTGTTTCCTTTTAAAAAAAATCTCTCACACCAATTATATCTGGAATAAGCTTAGTAGCACTAGATTTTATGTAGGTCTCTTGTTATTAATTTCTTTTCTTTTGTGCTGACTAGGATAAAATGGGCCCCTGAAAGTTTAAGACAGAAAATTTACCATTTTCCAGTAATTTTATTTAAGAGCTGCAGCTGATCTTTAGGTGATCTTTGCTGCGCTTTTAGCAGCGTGGAAGTGCATCATTTTACCAACAGAGGGCAGTGTGTATTTGCAGAAAAAATGCTCACCAAGTCCCAGGGTTTGTGAAACTGTCCTTTGCAAACAGTAGAAAGGACACTGGGAAACAATTTCGTTCTTTCAATTCTGATTCAGTACCTTTGACTCCGAATGCCATTTTTTGATGAAAATTATAAAAAATATCTTTTTCTCCCCCAATGTCCCTGTCGTCCATGGAAAAAATGGAGAACATTAAAGGCAAAATGCATAGAGGGAGGGACCTAGGATCCCTGATCACAATATTGCATATTTGCCCATTGCTGCATCAATCTCACTTTGGTCCTTCTAGGTAGACTTTTGTCTTTGAAATAAGAAAAGGGTTCATGATTAGACAGGCTGTGTCAATGATGGGATTCCTTTTGTATGTTTTCTGTGCATTTTGGGTCTGTCTGGTTCCCTGACAGAAAAGCAGCTTGGTGTGGATTGTAAATTGTGACATAAAATTTGATGTATATAGCTTTAGGGTTGGTCACTTAAAAGATGTTCAATTTTTCCACCTAAGTCCTGAGACTACCTTCTCGGCCAGGAATCCTTGTGAAATTATAGTTGGTTGATGTAAGGGAACTAATAGTTATTGAATACTTATTTTATGCTGGAATTACCACGTTATACAATTCATCCTGTTTAATTTTTATGACACTTTTAAGAGGTGAACATTATAAATATTGTTTTTTAGAGGAAAAAGTAGAGCCAAAGAGGTCAGACAACCACCTTAAATCACCCAACCAGCAAGTAGCAGAGCTAAGAATTAAACTTAGGGCTCTCTGATTTTAAAGGCTGGGTTCATTCCAAATCTCCCAGCTTCTCAAGTCTTTATTGAACCTCTGCTAAGTGACTGGCTCTGGAAATTCTTTACTATTCAAGCTATTGCAAGTTAGAATCATGGAAAGCCATGACTCAGTATGTTGAAAACCTAGACATATAAATGTAGGGTGGTTGATGATTTTCTTCTTATCTAATTTAAAATTTTTTCTTTGCCCTTAAGAAATGTCCTCCTTTTTTGTAACTTCTTTTCTACTGTATCTGGATGAAAATGCCAGATAGGCAATAAATTGAGGCTCTGCAAATGGATAGAGGGCCCCTGTTCATATAGTTGGTTGAGCTGTCAGAGTTATAATTTGAATCCATGTGTGTCTGACTTTAATCTTAAAGCTTTTCCTATCATTTGAGATTACTTTATGGAGACAGAAGCAACAAAAGGCTAGAGGAAAGGGAAGAGATTGCCTGAATGACTATTTCTGAGGAAATAGTATCTAGACCAACTGAAAGAAATAATCACCCAAAGAGGGGGCCAGCAGTAGAACCGTTCAAAATCTTGAGCTGGAAAGCTAGTGAGTAAGTGAGGCACAGACCAGGGTGTTCAAACTTCCACGTGATCTCACTCAGACGTCCTCATCAGTCACCAGACCACCAGACAGGGTGGGCGCAGATTGCATTAGCCTCACCATTATCTTAATTTCTTTTCCCCAAACACGGCAGCCTGCTTTTTGAAGAGTATTCTTATTGTCACAGAGAGCCTCTTGTCTTTTTCTTTCCTTTTTTTTCCATAATGAGTAAACACAGAGGTTCAGGCAGTCAGAGGTGGAAGCCAAACACGAGTGTTTTCAAAAAGATCTCTGAAATAAACACTGAACTGCTGTATTTCATAACCCCACACAAAACTGACAGTAGCCAGCTGTTGTCAGAGCTAAGCACCATCCTAAAGAGCCAAGATCCACGAGGCGAAAAGGGAGAGAGAGAAAATAACTCCTCTCCTACTGAACCATAGATGACAGATCAGCCAAAAAGGACCCTGGAGAAAGCAAAAGTCAATGAGGCGAAAGTCCTTGCAAATGACCCCTGCCGGCTCCCCTTTACCACTCCAGAAATAATCCACCCAAATGGACTTTTATTGGTGAAGCATCTGAATGCAGTCTCTTCTTTATACAATTCTATGTATTTCCTCTGAATCTTGCAATAATTATAACACCAAGCTTCCCAAAATTTGGACCAGTTCTTAGGGCTTCTCTCCTCCCATATTTTCTATATTTCTCTTTCCTCATCCCTGTAGTTCCTCTGAAATATGGAAAGTAAAAATAAAGTTAAGACCTCATTTTGTCTTCGCTTTCCTGTACTCTATGGTCAGAAAAAAATTCTCAAACTCCCAAGGACTTTCTAGACTAACCCTGTAAATTGTTCTTCTTGGAGCTAGAAATACATTATTGTTTAAAATATGAGTCCTGATTGGTGGGAGAAGAAACTCTGGATAAGAATTTAATTTGGCCCAAGGTAAAGAAAAGCTAATTTTAAGGCTCTGTTTGATCTCAGTTGTAGTAAGAGTGGAGATGTGTTGTAGCAACCATTTTTTTTTTAACAAAACACCAGAAGGCTTATTTAACATGGGGTCTATGAAAAGGTGCTTTCTGGGAAGGCTAATGTAGAAAAGGGTTTGAAAGCTGAATTCTCATGTATAATAAAGTAACATCATTTTGATTCATTTCTCTGAAGAAGGGACATGGCTTATCAAATGTGAAGAAGGGATATGACTTCAGAGAATATATCTATTACCTAATGACTGGAGGTTCGTGAAAAGTACAACTCTTAAACCATAATTCTATGGTAGTTCTGGCCAAGAAATGTTTACAGTGTTACCTGATATTGACTTTCATGTTGTTTACTATTCTATGCTCTGGTCTAGTCACCCTATGGTGTCTTTAACTTTTCAATGTAAGTTCACTACATGTACTGGGCTTGTAAGAAAGAAGTAGTGCTTTGGTGGTTGAAGAGTAGGAATAATGGCCAAGTTTTAAGTAGCCATGGGTCAAGAAGAGGAAAACAGGCACAGGATCAGGAATAATGGGAATGTACTGAAAAATCATTAAGTACAGAAATACCTAAAGAAAAATGATGAGAACAATGAGCCCCACCCTCACTTTAAATCCACAGATTCTCCTAGAGTGTGGACTATACCACAGTACACAGAATGAGAAATCAATCCATTTTATTTAGTTATCAAGAGTAAAAAGGACCTCTAAGAGCTGTGGATATTTAATTATATTTATTTGCCCTTTTATGTTGAATTCAATTAGGTTTCGTGTGGTGATTTTTTTTTTTAGGTTGAATTGTTTATAGGCTGTGTTGTGTTCTGCTGAAGGTTGATCTAAATCACATAAGGTGATTTTCAGTTTGACTGTCATTCAAGTTTCAGGCAGATACCTTAGCTCTCAATTTGCATTTTTAAGAAGAAATATTGAGGCCGGGCGCGGTGGCTCACGCCTGTGATCCCAGCACTTTGGGAGGCCGAGGCGGGTGGATCATGAGGTCAGGAGATCGAGACCATCCTGGCTAACAGGGTGAAACCCCGTCTCTACTAAAAATACAAAAAAAATTAGCCGGGCGCGGTGGCGGGCGCCTGTAGTCCCAGCTACTCGGGAGGCTGAGGCAGGAGAATGGCGTGAACCCGGGAAGCGGAGCTTGCAGTGAGCCGAGATTGCGCCACTGCAGTCCGCAGTCCCACCTGGGCGACAGAGCGAGACTCCGTCTCCAAAAAAAAAAAAAAAAAAAGAAGAAATATTGAGTCAGTTTTTTGGTAAGAAATCTACACTTAAATTTACTTTTACATACTTTCTGAATAAAAAAGGTAAATTGTCAATAATCACATAGTGACAATTTATAAAATTCCATTCTCTCTCACCCATCTGTTTTGTAGGATGTGCCTGATTCTCATAATACCAAGTACTGTATATGTCCTTTGCTATTACTGTGAAAGACAATAAAAGTAAAATCTTGCAATTTCTCAACATCAGTTAGTGCGAAAACACAAATGATACAATATGGAAAAAATAAACTGTTTTGATGTCCTCTCCAGGTGGACCTGCTGTGGTGTTACAACAATACTTTTTTTTTTTTTTTTTTTAGAAAATAAACAATTTTTATCTGTTAATTTTTCCTTTTTGTTTGTTGTATGGGTTAAACTATGTCCTCATCTCCATACCTCAACACATATTTCTTTTCCTTTTCCAATAGAATCCATCAATAAGATCTTCTATGATTGCTTCCATCTGAATATAGACAATAAACTGGCAAAAAAGGTTGTTTTGATTTCTATTTTATATTTGTTGTATTTGTTTATTTTGTATTAGAATTTTTACTTGCTTCAGTTTTATTTGTTAGGTCTTCTTGAGGGATTTTCCTTTCAGGTTTGAATCTACTTGTCTTCTTTCTGCCATTTGCCTAACTTTAGCTTTAAATGTTTTTGTTTTACACTTCTGCTTTGGCAGAGCAATCAGGCAGTGGTGATTGCTCACACCTACTTGGTATAGCCATCTGGGTATCCTACTCCTGGCATGTCCACTTCAACAGTTTCAATCTTTTCTTTCATGTGAGCTTTTTTTGAGTGAATATGCCAGAATGAAGACTCCTCTTTGGTCAACAGAATTCTGTCTCTTTGTTTCCTGCCCACTGGCATTTCTCACTGGCGCATTGCTCATCTCGCTGGCTGTGGGCAGCCCTGCCTATCTGGCACTCAACTGTGTTGTTACTGGGCAATTCTGACTCCTGCACCTGCCACTGGTCTCTTGTCCAGAACATCGGGGTTGCCTGTGCAGTCCTGGCAGTGATCTCTCATCTCATTGTGGGCAGAGTTGCCTAGCATACAAGGGTCAAGTTTGGCTCTCATTTCTCTCTCCACAGTGTATTTTGGTGACTCTTCTTTTGGAGCAAGCAGAGAGGCAGAATTCCCTTGAATAAAATTGCATATCTTATCGCCTTGAGTGACTGTATATCTGGTTGGATAGTGTTAGGGTTTTGTATTGGCAGCAGGGATAAATGAAGCAGGTTCAAAGATGAATCATTTTAAGCCTCTACTCTTTGCAGGGCAAGTCTAACTAATAGGTAGCATAACTCATTTGAGAACTATCCTTACCTTTCAGATACTTTTAATTAGGGTAAAAATGGTTAGGCATCACTCTCATAGTCTGGCATTATGAGAATGATTATGATTTGAATTATGGATTCCTACTTATAAAAAACAATTCTGCCCTTTTCTTGAATGCAACCATGAGACTTCTCAAATATAGAAAGTGAGCTTTTCACATTGTCCAAGTTCTCTGGAGGCTGGCAGGGCAGAGCGTGGTTCTGCCCCTGTTTTACAAAGACAAATGTGGTTCATTCCAAAATAAAGATTTGATCTCTGGCAGGAAGGACCTGGGTGATGGGATCCTTTGTGTTGGCCTGTGAACAGATAAGACTAAAAATGCACTATTTAGATTTGAAGTCCATGGGTCATTTATTGCCCCCTCATCTCCTTGATTTCCAACAAGATGTCTTTAAAACTGAATTATACCCTTTGGCAAATCTCAGCACAGAGGTGGCATCAAACTCATATTCAAGAATATTTTTCCACTACGATGGTATTGGTGGTAATGGGAAGAATTTCATCTTCACAATGAAAATTAGGTCCTCTTCTGTAAAATTATTCCTCTAAAAGGGGTAACCCACGTAGGTTACCATCCAAAATAGTACATTTCTTAGAGCAAAAAAAGAAGCCAAAATACTTGGATGATATAATTGTTAAAATATTCTTATATATATACCCCTAAAGGGATTGGCTTTCTACATTGGTGGATTGATTATAAAATATTTCTATTCAAAATTGCGTTCAAAAACAAAATCCATTTTAAAAACTAGAAATAACATGTATCCACATGAAGTGGCTTTTCCAGTCAAGGCTTCATTCTTCAACAACGACTTTAAAAGTGTTATTCCTTCTGACTGGAATTTTATCCCTCACTAACCCCATTACCATGGCCGTCTCTCATCAAGCTATCTTAAATGCAATTTTGATGGTTGAGAAATAAATTTTATTCATTTTAGTACCCCCTAGTATAACCTGGTGCCTGGAAAATAAGTTAACACTAAAAAATACTGAATAAAATGAATCTTACAAGCCACAAATCAGGTTAAAATCTTCAATGTGATTTTAAAGAATTTATACTATGATTCCTAGAGCCTCAACTGGTAGGAATCTTCCATTTGCTCTGTAGTTAGGCTGATATTCCAGTCTGCCCAGGCTTTCCCTCTTGTCCTAATATTTGGGGCATTTATATTAGATTTTCACCTTTTAAATAAATTATTGTTAATAGCTGCATTAAAATAAGCCATGATATAATTCAAAATTGCTATATATATGAAGAACCAGGAAAATGTGACCACAACAAAAGGGATATGTTATAGATCAGCATCCTTCTCCAAAGGAGATAGGCCAAGCTATGCAGCATGTGGAGGTACGAATATGTTTGTGACTAGAATGTGAAACTGAAAATCAGGTATCTAAGAAACGTTTTACAAATTCTTTTTTTAATTGAAATAGTACAATTTTATAGTTTAGAAAATCAAACACTTGCCCAAGGCACATTAGGAAAGCTGGTAGATCCCTGGCCGGGTGCAGTGGCTCACGACCATTTAGTAATCCTGGAACTTTGGGAGGCTGAGGTGGGCGGATTGGTTGAGGTCAGGACTTTGAGACCAGCCTGTACAACATGGTAAAACCTAATCTCTACTAAAAATACAAAAAATTAGCTGGGCATGGTGGTGTGCACCTGTGGTTTCAGCTACTTGGGTGGCTGTGGTGGGAGGGTTGCTTGAGCCTAGGAGTTGGAGGTTGCAGTGAGTGAAGATTGTGCCACTGCACTCCAGCCTGAGTGACAGAGCAAGACTGTAAATAAAAAAAAAAAAAAAAGAAAGAAAGAAAACCTGGTAGTCCATGGTAGTCCCTGACATTCCCTCTCTAAACTAAACCCCTTTCCTAAGAGATAATAAATTTCTTCTTTATTTAAAAGTTTAATCTATTCCTCTTTCATTTTTCCTATATTGATGTTTCTGGAATTTTTAAGCATAAGCATTATCCTCAGCTAAACCGTTTTATAAGGAAATTGTTGTAAAACATAGTATATAATTATCTAAGCTTTCCAGTTGCTAGTTTTATATACACCTATCATTAATTTTTTTCTTCAAACATTATGTAAGAATGTGTAAAATTCCATTAAATACGGTCAAATACATTAAGTAATGTATCAGTTCCATTTGTTTTCCCCCCTGAACTCTCTCTCTGAATTCTCATGAAGGCTTGTGAGTCCCTATGCCTAGTGAATAAATATTATGCTGAGGCTCCCCTCTTCCACCATGCTAAAAATTTTACTCATCTCTCTTGTGGTTGTTTCTGTGCCTTCTGAAAGTCCGTGTATTCTTTCCTGGTATATCCTTTCATTCTCTAGTAATTTTCTGAGGGGTCATTTTAAAAACATGATTATCTGAAAACATCTTTAGTCAACTCTGATTTTTGATTGATATTTGATTGGAAATCTAATTTAGATACAATTTTCTGAACTTTGAAGGCGTTGACTTGTAGTTTCTAGTCTTAGTCTACAAGTCTTATGTCATTATGATTATTTATCTCTTATGTGTGACTCACTTTATAATTTTAGAAACTTTTTGGAAAATTAATTTCCAAATGTACTGAAATTCTAGGTGGTGTGTTTGGTGTGGCTCTTATATTCATTACTTTGGAAAAATCTTCTTGTATTATTCCTTGATAATATTTTTTGCAGTTCTCTCTTTTTGGAAAGTTGGTCATTGAACTTGCTGTGTTGATTATTTAATTTCCTTAACAAATTTTTTCCATTTCCTCTCCCATTTGTCTCTTTGCTATGATTTTTAGAGAGATTCCTCAGTTTTATCTTCTAATGTCTTTATTAAATTTCATTTATGTTGTCGTTTTTTTCTTTCTGAAAGTTTTCTTATGTTTTCTATGTTTTTTTGAAAATATAAAATTCTTTTTTTTTGGTTAGATGCAGATAATCTCTTATCTTTTTGAATATATTATCATTTCTTCATCCTGTTGTCTGTATTATAACTGTTTCTTCTGAATTCTTTTTACTATTTGGCTATTGCAGTCTCTGTCTTCAATATTTGACGTTTTCTTCAAATACCTGGAACTCTTTTTCTGTCCATTCATATTTAAGAGTGAACAATTAAATAGTTGATAGAACACTTGTGTGTGGAAGAGGCTTGTTGAGATGTGAGTCTTACTGTAGGCTAACAGGTATGTTATTGTAGGAGCCCTATATGTAAGTACCTATAGGTCTTTTCTCTAAACTCTTTAATTCCTTAAGAGAAGATCCTCCAGTCTCTTTCACTGAGGAATGTGGGTACTGCATAGGCCAGTTTCGCAGAGTGGGAAGAACTGGTCATTTAACTGTTCTTTTACCAGGTTTTTTAATAGCCCTCCCCACCCCATTTCAGCCCTATCGTTTGCCTTTCTTTCAGAGATATTGGACCACAAATACACAGGTTTCCTAAGTATTGAATTTGCTTGCCAATGCTTAGGTTTTAACATTTCTCTGATATTTTATGCTTGTTATCATCAGCCCAATTTTGTTGAAACCTGTCATCTGTTAAAATAGCTTCCCTTGACTTCTGTTGTTCTCTTTGTCCTGCTTTGATTATACTTCCTATATTCCGTTTAGTGAGTGTTAGGATGGAGGAGAGAAGAGCTATGAACACATGTGCTTTGGCTACCTTGTTCAACTGGAAGTCTAGAGAAGCTATCAGTAAGTTACAGATGTGGTTTTGAAAAAGTGTGCTTCCTCTTATATTTGTATGGACTCAAAAAGTGAGTCTATAATCCTGTAGCACAGCTTTTAGTGATTACCTTGCTTGCCTCCAGAATGCAACGTAAGTGTGATTTTAAAAACTGGCCTTAGATATAGGAGTTGCAAGTATTTCTCGCTTGGCTCACTCCAGGTGGAAGATTTTTACTGCCTTAATAGAAATAAGTACATAACTCCTGTTCCCCTACTAGGCTAAATATTCAAATGGAATAGGAATGTTAAGGAGCAAGAACAGAAAGCCTCTCCCTCCCACCTCCACCCCTGGATTTCAGGCTTTCCTAATTCAAACCACACTGAAGCTTGGAAAACTCAAAATTATCCACGTAGGTCTCAGCAGTTAGGGAATGGAGGCTGGTGACTGGGGGCCAAAGAGCAGAATTGCAGAACGTAGCTAAGAAACGTACTCAGAAAATAAGCCACACTTATGCAGTAAAACTTGGCTGGTTCCAGAACCCACTTAGGAAACACTGCCCTAGATAATCTCCCACTCCTTCTTTGTTCTCCTGTAGCACATACTTCATCAGCACATTTGATACATTCACAAATGCTTATTGATTCCTACTGTAGGTAGCCCTGGCTGTTTGGCAGTTAAGCTGTTTATGGCAGCCTCCTTCAAGAGGCTGTGAGCTCTTTGAGGCCACGGGCTATGTCTAATTCATTTCTGTATCTTTAGGAAGTGATTGAACTATTTAGCACACTAACTAAATATTTGTGGCATGAAGGAAAAAATAAATATATTTTGTTCAGTTATATGCCTACTTCTAAATACTATAAGTAGGCAAAAGGGGTGAGATATGAAAAAAATTATCAGCCATCATTATGATATTTGTGAAGTTGATTTTCTTGCTAGAAGGCAATATTAATAGATTCCTATTCCAATGTCAGGTTATCATTCCAATTGCTAGATATGATAATTAACTAAGGCAACCACAATCTGATTGTTACATGTTTTTATCAGCCAACTTCTTGATAGTATGAATTATCAATTCATCCTGATTTTAAATTCAAGGGGCTTTGAGAAGTTAATGGCTTATCATCCCCCACGTTTTTACCTGAAATCACTTTAGCTTTTTTATTGAGCTATACAGTATGAAATTCTGAGCCCAAGGACCTAGAAGTAAGGTTCAATTCTGTTGCTTACTAACTCAATGATTTTGAGCAAAATAGTTAATTTTGCTCAGTGGTGCAAATGGTGGTTACTTCAGTGACTGAAAGAACACAAGACGGCTGCAAAGATTATATGAGAAAGCACATCTGAACTAAAATGTGATGAACACCTTTTGATAAATATAATTAGACAGTACACATATATACATATAATGTACTAGGAATTGTCATCATGACAATAAGATAATCGTGTATTTTTTTAATCCCATAATGTCTACATTTTGAGAAATCTTGCATTTTTGAGATCAATCGTGAGTAAAAATTGGAGGATTTTTCTTTGTGAGAATGCCTATTTTTAGAGGGAGCTGTGATGGGCAGAAAACTATGTTTTTACATAATTCCTAGATGTATCAACATAAATGTCATTACTGAAAAAAGTCACCTAATAAGCACCAAACACCTCACATCTCCTGAAAAAAATAGGTTGAGCACAGGGAAGAGGCAGAGTTTAGATGCTTAATATTTGTGAATGAAAATAGTGGATTTCTTCCATCCATAATCCACATTCACTGTTAACACTTTAGGGCAGGATTTAGCTAAGCAGATTAATAATAAAGTTGAATACGAAAATGGAAGACTTATAACCTATTGTTAAGGAAATTTGTTTTAAAATCTGTCAGACAGTCCTTGGCCAGACTGATACAAAGGTGTAAGCAGAAAATTCTGTTTCTTCTTTATTCCTTAAGTTATGAGGATAACATGGTAATACATTGTCTTTACCAAATATTATTCAAATAACATAAAAGCTAAATAATAAAATGTGAAAGTTACTCTTCTTAGTTTCTCCTCCCCATTCTTCTTCCCAGAGATAACTGCTCTAAAGTATCTTTTTTTTTAAGTAAAAGGAATTCAGGTTGTTTAAGTCAGAGCATCCTAAATTCAAATTGCTCTTTTGCCACTTAGCTTTGTGACCTTTAGCGTATTTCTTAAATTTTCTAATCTCTCAATTTACTCAGTTGTGAAATCAAAGTAAAAACACTGTGCAGAGTTGCTGCAAAGAGTAAATTACATGGATTCACATGTTGTTGAAATGAATAAAGTATCATATATCATGTAACTTTCAGAAAAATCGCAGAAACAATATATGTTAGTTCTCATCTCCTCTTCCTTGCTCCTCTATTTCTCTGCATCCTAATCAGTCTTCTCTTCTTTCTTCATTAATTATGATTTTTGTTAAGATTGGATCACTGTCTCCTTGAGGAAGATGCTGGGCCTGTAGTATGAAAGATTATCACAGCAGAGTGGAGAGAAGTCTCCAGTCTCTGAAGTCACAGAAGGTTGAAATTGGGCAGATGTAAATAGTAGATTCTCTAGCCCAATATTTCTCTCTGCCTTACTCCCTCCCCTCTTCTTTCCTTCCTTCCTTGTTGAGAAATGAGTTGCTTAAATGGGATGTAACTGGAGCTGCTGGTAGGGTGTGGGGGTTGTGGACAGAGTAGAGTCTAGTTGTTCAGCCTCCTTTTTATTTTCTGAGGAATCTGAGGTGCCTCCCAAAACCTTGATATTAATATGAAGTATGACCCATTCATCCAAATTCTCTCATTTGTAAGATGAGGAATGCATTTTGGAGTGTTCATTTCAGAGTCAGACAGTCATCAAAATGTAGGGCAATTAGCTTGATTGGAAATTATCACCTTTGACTTTCAGCTTGAATATACCACACCTTGAAAGCTGTTTTAGTAATTGCCGGATCTGCAGGTGTTCATGGTCTCTGGGGCTGCAGTCCAGATTTTAGGAGAGCAGAGTAGCCGGCGACCTCTCCAGTGGTTTATCAAAGACACCTCAATTTTATTCTGGTGTTTAATCTGCCACAGAAGCCGTTTATTGCTTCATCTTCTTGAGTAACGTGGACGCTGTCACTTAATTAACTCACCATTTGACTGCATGTTTAAAACTGTCAGGTGGGAAGTAGATTTAGTGCTGTCTTATGATTAATAAAATGCTAAATTCTCATTTTGTGAGAGCCACGTAGCTGGCACCTGAACAAAAGCTACTAAGTTTGTTGGTTGTTATTTGGCTTTATAATTACATGAACTGTCAGGAAAATAGCTGCATTCATTTGTTCTTTTTGTATATTTATTTTTAAAGCATGTCAATATGTGGGTGTTGGGGGGTTCGTGTGGTTGAACTTACAAAAATATTTTAAATTCTAACATATTAAATGAATTATATCTTTAACAGGTATACTTTATTGAAGAATGTTTTAGAATCTTAGAATTAATAATTGCATATTTACTGAGTGATTATTTATGCTAGCCACTGACCTAGGGTTATTTAAATATGTTGCTCCACCTAAACTTCACAGTAATTCCAAGAAGTAGGCATTGTTCTTCCCATATTACAGATAAAAAAACAGAGCTCTGAGATGATTACTTATTTGCATAAAAGCACCTACCTTAATATTAACAGGGATCAGCCTTAAATACAGGATTTTATGTCTAAATTTATGAATTCTGTTTATTCCAATGGGAGAATCGCTTTGATTAAGCCCACTGAAATTGTTACGCTTTTGTAGCAATTATGCTTGGAGCCCTTGGCCATTGTTTATTTTTTCTCTTGCTTCATGCACCCACAAAGGGTTCTGTGTTGAGGATCCCCAAGACCATTTCTATATTCAGTGATTTGCTAAAAAGACTCATAGGACTCAGCTTATAGTGGTATTTATGGCTAAGATTTATTATAATAAAAGGGTACAAAACAAGATAAGCGAAGGATAATGACCCTTGGGCAAAGTCTGAAGGAAACTAGGTGCATGCTTCCAAGGGGCTTCTCCTGGTGGATTTACAATAGACACACTTAATTCCTCCCGCAGTGTCTTGTGACAATGTGTGAAACGTTGTCTACCAGGAAAGCTCATTAAAGACTCAGGACCCAATAGTTTTAGGGAGCTGTTCACAAAGGCACTCTCTGACTAGCATGCACCAAAATTTCAGACTCCCAGAAAGAAGGCAGGTATTCAGCATAAGCAACAATGTGCAATTTAGACACAGTAAGATGTTTTCATAATTTAAAGAAAGTGTTATATCCGTGTAGACAACTGTTTACCAGTTAAGTTCTCAGATGCCAGCTAAGGGCCACGTTTGCAAGCAGGCCTTTCTAAGGATAGCAATCTTGGCTACGATGTTAACTCCTTTTTTTTGTTTTTTTTGCACAAAATTCAAATGACCTCACAGAATGATCCCACACCAAAATGTTTTGTCACTTGCAGTTCTTGAAATTAAATCAGAAAAGGAGTAAGGTTCATGCCTTGGAGTGCTAAAAAGGACATGATGCATGTTAGAAATAGCCCAAAACCTTATTCATTTTGAGATTTTACTTCTTCCTTTATTTATTGACCCTCAAAATATTTATTGAACACGCATTGTGCTAGGAAATGGCAGAGCAGAGTGATTAAGATCATAGCCTCTGAATCAAGATGCCTGGGTTTAACTCCCAATTCTACCACTTACCAGTTACATACTGTTAGACAAGTTTCTAATAACTTCTCTGTGGTCAGGTTTTCACATCTGTAAAACAGAGATTATAATAGTGCCTATTTTGTAGGGTTAGGGAAGATAAGACAAGCTAATTTGCTGTCTGGCATCTGAGTGGGTAATAAAAGTTGGCTCCTATTATTATGTTCTTCACATTGTGCTGGCTCTGGATATACAGTGATGAATAAGGCAGATATGGCTCCTGCTAGAATAGAAATTCTAGCCTAGTGGATGATACAAGCAAATAAGCATAAAATTATTTTAGAGAGTAATAACTGCTCCAGTAGGTAAAATCTTGGGTATATGAGGGCACGTAGGAGAAAGCCTCACCTAGCTTGGAGGAAGATAAGTAGAAGTCAGAGAAAATGGAGAAGGAAGTTAGAAGCGGAGGGTGACTATACCAGGCCAAGGGAACGTCTTGGGCAAAAGGTATTGAAATGAGGATGGGAGGTAGGGAGAGAGAATTGTATATTGGAATAGGTGAAATAATAAGTGATATGGCCGTAGGAGAGATGAACTTGTAATGATAAGCAGGGACCAGAGGATAAAGAGCTTTTCAAGTCCTATTAGGGAGTTTTCACTTGGCTTGAGAATAATGAAGAGTTCTACAGGGGCCAAACCTGGGGACAATTCCCTTTGGAAACACAAGCCGGCATGATCCTCATGGAACTTTCTTTTGTGTGTATGGCTTCCTCTCTGAAGATTGCGTCGTCAGCTTCCCTTATCAACGGACAGTGAGGACTCCTTTCCCTTTGTGCTTCCTCTTTGTATATCAGGTATTGATCTGGAACATTCTGGACCAGGGCTGAGGCAATTTTAGGGGCTGTTAACAACAAATCAAACCTTCTTCAGCTTGCTGCACATGAAGATTCTGGATGTGAGAACAATAAAAGAACAGAATGAGGACATTTGGTTGTATTCATGTCTAGTGAAACTGGTAAAGAAACTACCTGCAAGTACGCATGTGTCAGTGCTCACCTATGTGCAACACAGTCCAGCCCCTCAGAGTGAACCCAAGTAGTGATCAACACTAGACTTTATGTGATGTTTTAATTCTATGATTTGACCTCCTACATTTTTTTATTGTTGATTTATTCCCTTTTTTCCATATGCTTCTCTTTTTATTGGTAATTCTTTATACTTTATTTTATGTGCTTTGCAAATCATGCTCACATATAAGCACACATGGGAAATGATTTAAATTGAGCACACCCGCCATAATGAACATGCCATTATTTGCGGGGTGGGAGTGAAAACTAGTATTTACCTGCTGCTTTTTACTTTACTGATATTGCCACTTTTCTTTATGACACATTTTTTATTTTGTTCTAAGTAAAAATGTCTTCTTAGGCTGATTGAATATAACGTTAGGATTACACGAAAATTTCTAATATTTTTTGCCTGGGACCATTCCACTATCACTTAGTCAACAGTGTTCCTAATCCACCAGGATTCCACATTTTAGAGGAAACTTTTATGTTTCTTTCTGTCTCACACACACACACATGCACACACACGCACACACACAGACACACACATTTATTGAGAGCTACAGAGACACCTCTACCACTTTTGACCTAGCATTAACCCCAAGTATTCAATTTCATGCTTAGTACCATTCAGGCTCCTGAGTAAAGCTACACCACATATTTTACTCTATGTCCTTGAAATAAAAGATGGCTGATTCTAAATGTAGTAATTGCTTGTGGGTTGGGCTGCTGCTGATGTTACAGACAGACCCTGCTTCAAAGAGTGGGAATTATTTGAGCCATGGAAGTACCTTTATAAAGAAGACAAATCAATTGATGTGTCAAGTCTTCCTCTGTTAGCATGAACATGAAAGATCTTGCATAATGAAGTAACTTTCCCAGAAATGATAAATGTCCATTTTCTTGCTTATTTTTTTGTTCCAATGCATACTTTTAGAGTTTCTCATGAATTAGCAAAATATTGACAACGTTGCATATGGCAGCTGAGGAATATTATCATAGATCTAGGTATGATGGCCACTAGTCACAGGTGACTATAAAAATTAATTAAAATTAAATGATATTAAAATTTAGTTCCTCAGTTGCACTAGTCACATTTCAAGTGGTCAATAATCACATGTGGCTAGTGGTTGTTATACTGGATGACACAAAAATAGAACATTTCCATCATTGCAGTAAGTTCCGTTGGGTTATACCTGTTTAGATGAAATGTACAGTATTTCAATTCTTTGTCAGACCTGTACCCTGGCAACTATATGGACATTAGATACAGGAATTATGAATAATTGTGATTAAGTATTTAATTATAACTTAAAAAATATGATAGTCTCCCTTATCTGCAGTTTCACTTTCTGCAGTTTCAGTTACCTGCACTCAACTGTACTCTGCAAATATTAAATGGTCTTAGTGAAAGGATAAAGTTTCATTATTTTATAGTATTAAGACTAGTAGGTCTGAAGTCTTTATATAAAGTAATGAAACTTTACCCTTTCACTAAGACTATGAGGGCCTAAGAAATAGAAAAACTTGTCAAAACCCCAAACACCATGTACATATTTAAGGAAACAGGTAGTATATTATTTGTTTTTTTAAAAATCCTCCCCTGAAAGTCTACTTTTGAACTGGATAATTTTAAAGTGAAATAGAAGAAATAAAACTTTCTTGTGTTTTGGTAAAAAGATATCCCGTGAAATCATCACAGCTCTTTCAAGAAAACTGTGAAAGGAACTGGAAGCTGGTAAAGGTGGTCAATATTTTAGGGAAATTGCATTCTATTGTTTACATTTATAACTCAGACTTTCGGTCTTGTTTATGGAACATTTCCACACAAGGCTCATTGATTCTTAGATTGCTGAATCACACAGCAGCTGCTCCTATTGAAGCACAGTTACTTAACTTACTACTGATTACCTCATAAGTGCATAATTTCTCAGTCATAGTCTCTGGTATACTGTTCTTGCTCTCGAGATCATCTTTAACAGGGTGATCTTTAACAGGGAAAAGCTCTCCCCATGATGTGCCCATCCATGTGGCAATATGTTGATGACATTTTCCCCTGTTTTCCATTTCTCTGTCACTTAGAACAACCACATTTTTTAGAGGGAAGATATATTTTTGTGTCCTATTTCAAATCTGCTCTGGCCCATATTATCCTAATATTTAAGATGGGATAAATAGAAGCAGAACTGTCATAGAATTTGTTTTGGTGGTGAAATGGGGGTGGGAGAGAAAACTAAATAAGTAAACAAGAAAAGTGCCTAATGATAAAAATAATAAAAATGATAACAATATTGCAGACACTCATTAACTGGACAGGGCAACACTTGTAAAGCTATGATTCATCTGCTTCTTGTTCTGATGTGATTAGACAATGACAATGTTTTTTTGAGTTAATTGTTCATTGCAATACACATTTTGGGTGTATGGTTTCATTATTTATAAGCTTCTATGTCAGATTATCTGGCACTGAAGTTATTTGCATAAATTAAAGCACATTCTCAGAAAGTTTGCTTGCATTTTCTCTGATATGGCATATAGGTAATTCAATATCCTTGTGGAAAGAAGAATCTAGATGGCACTGCACTAGCGACCCTGGGGTGGCGGTGGCTGAGGCACTCATTGGAGGAAGATAGAAGATTCTTATTAGAAGGATAGTCCTTGAATATCAAAGGTGCTTGAGATTTTCAAACTCATCAACTTTTAGAGGAAAATAAGTGTTATGGGAAACATCAGCTTTGAAATCAGAAAAGTCTATGTTTCGATCTCAGCTGTGCCGCCGGAGAGCCTATGGATTTGTGGAGTACATAGCATGTTGGACACAAATTGATGGTAATGATTGTTGTTTGTATTGTTAATTTCTCCTTTTGTGTAACATACTGTGTGACCTTGTTACTTAATATTTTTACCCTTCTGCTTTCTTATTGCAGCAGAATGATACCCACCCAATAGGATCAAATAAGAATTCAAATTTGGAACCTTGTAGGTGACAAGTGACAGGATGACTTGTATCAGATTTAACTGTGTCATTCTGCTCACTGTTAATTCTTGTCTCTAGCCTGAACATGGCAGCATTTTATCTCCTAAACGCCTTGATATACATATATAAATATCTACATGTTGTTCAGCCCAGACCTGTGGAAATGTCATAGAAGAACATTCTTGATGGCATAGCATTCAAAGAACTCTTTGAATAATTCTAGAAAAGTCTTATGGATTTTTAGAATTCCTTTGGGGTTGGTAAATATTAGCTAGAATGACAAATATAAGAAAAGAAGAGCTAAAAATGTTAACCCTTCAAAATCCGTAGATAAAAATGTGACCCAAAGGAAAAGTGTTTCATTGTTATCAATTATTCATTGATTCTTAAAAGTAATAATAATAAACATCCTTGAGGCTGCTGTGCAATGTGAGCTCAGGGCTTAGGGCAATGGCAAAATAAAGATGTAATAAATATAATTGATATTCACTGATTCTGTATTACTAACAAAACAACCTCCATAACTGAACAGAAAAATGACTTTTAAGAGGGAGTCAAATTATCTTCTTACATTCTAAAAAGTACATTTTCCCCCATGGAAATTTGCTGTGAACCAAAATAGCACATATTAATAGTTATCATTTACATAGGGCCCACTATGTAATCGTGCTTTTTATTTCTAATCCCTATGGAAACCTTGCAAGACAGATTTCATTATCCCTATGTTCCTGATGAGGAAATTGAGCTTGAGAAGGGTCAAATAATTGTCCAAGGAAAATTCTACGCAGCCACTAGGAATAAGTGTTGTGTTTGAAATGCCTTAAGTGTTACTCTGACTATAATGACACATTAACATTTCCTCTTGAAAAAAAAGTTATGCAAGTTATACTCAAGTATTGTGTATTTACTATACTGGAAAAGAATGAGTATGGATTCCTTGTGTGGAGTTACAGATTGTGATGAGTAGTTCTTGATGTTACTGTTTACAATAAACTTTTATGTCAGACACTATGCTAGGCATTGAGAATTAAAAAAATTAAGTACATTTATTTACCCTAAAGCACTCATAGTCTAGTGCAAGGATAACAAATAACTGGTTCCTTTGCTGATTCCAATAGTAGATACAGCTTGGGTGCAGCTCAGGTTGAGTTTCTTAACAGTTCTTTCTCAACAGTGATTCCAGACAATTTCTAAACATTGATTAAAATGAGTACACATTAGAAATAAAGCTCATTTACCACTCATATTTTAGGAAACACATGTAATCCATCATTTGAAATCCACTGTGACAATTTGGATAGAGTTGTGAGTAGTTTTGTCTACAGTACTGTGGATTTCCATGTATACTTATAGAGAAGGATAATCACCTCTAGTTATGGAGGGTGGGAGAGAGAATATAGAAAGCTTTATACAGAGATTCTTAATCTTTAGGAATGGGTAGAAGTATGACAAGGGATGAGACTGGTAATTTAGCAGGGATCAAAGACTAGAGGAATTTATATGCTATCCTATGAACTTTAGAATCTATTCTGTAGGTAAAGGATTGGTTTCTGAAGGATTTTACAAAAGGAGTAAAGCATTTTAGTAGAGGGGAAGTTCATGGGGCATGTGGCTGAGAGAAGACATGAGATACTGCATGGGAAGATAAACTGAGGGCCGGTATCATAGTAGCAGTGGCTGTACTCTAGACCAGAGGTCTGGTCAGAAAACAGTGTATAAAGTTGATGTAGATTTAGAACTGATAAACATTAGTAATTGGACATAGTGAGGGGATGACGTGAAACAGAAAGTAATTTCTAGGACAACGTCTAGATTTCTGGCTTGGATGACTGGGTTGATGGCAAGAAGAGAGTTGTGAGAATAAGATGTAGTGATTTCACTGAGGATAAACTACAAAGACATTGATTTATATTACTACACAGAAATATTTGGAAAAATCTTTGTTTTTTAAGGCCAAGTGCTTGCTTCTAAAGCCGATTTTAAAATATTCTCATGAGACACTAATAAATTGATTTTGATGATAATCATTAGTAAATTTTGTATATCACTCATCTATATTTTTATATGCTTTTTTTCAATTGTGAAAAGTTGGAATCAGTAGGGACCTGAACTTTATTGATTAAATCTTGAGTATGGAGCCCTGTTAGAGGAAATGATTATTACACAATCAATTGTATTCTTCCACATGGATACCAGTGATGATTTTTTATTTCTATTCTGAGTTAGACCTGTGTTAGCTTTCTGTGGTGGCTATGATTCCAACTGGTCAACTCCAATAAACTCTCTGGGGCATTCATCTATTTTAAACCCACTGGGCACAGTTAACTCTACATAAATCTTTTATTTTTGGTCTTTCATTGACAAATATTGACCACCCAACTTCAAGTCAACACGGTCTAATCAAAAGTGAAAATATTATAGAATTGATGATTCCTGATTTATCATGTGCTGACCACAAATGGATATTTCAGGTTACTCTCAGAAAGCTCCATTATGTGGAATACTGTGTGTGTAGAGGGGGCCATGGACTAGAATGTAGTCTTTGAGTCATGACACCAGATTTTCCTTGTAGGCAGTAACTACTTGGTTTCCTCAAACTGTATCTGAATCCTTTTACCTCTTATGATTGTAAAACTTGAGAGTGTATGTGAGTGTGTGTGTGTGTGTGTGCGTGCGTGTGTGTTGGGGAGTTGTATTTTTATCTGCTATATTTTATGCAGAGAAACTGCCACTAAAAATTGCTAATGTGTAGAAAACATTTCCTCTACTATTTTCCTGAGTTGAGGATGAAAATGACATTTTGGAGTTTTAGTGATTCTTCTGTGAAGCTTTGTTAAACTTTAGAATAAATGTTTTTATTCATTTAGAATATGTTATAGAATACATAGACAAGGTACTATTTTGCAATAGCACAGGAAGGCATCCATTCTTTTATTCAACCTTTAATAGAATTGTTGAGTATCTGGTTTTTGAATAATACTCTCCTTCTTGCTTAGGTGGTATGAATAAATATTTTTTTTACAGCATAAACTCAAATTAACTTTGGATCCAGTTGTTGGGATAAGAGATACAGCATTAAACGATATAAGAAATCTTCTATTGGCCGGGTGCGGTGGCTCACGCTTGTAATCCCAGCACTTTGGGAGGCCTAGGCGGGTGGATCACGAGGTCAGGGGTTTGAGACCAGCCTGACCAACATGGTGAAACCCTGTCTCTACTAAAAATACAAAAATTAGCTGGGCATGGTGGCAGGCACCTGTAACCTCAGCTACTCAGGAGGCTGAGGCAGGAGAATTGCTTGAACCCAGGAGGTGGAGGTTGCAGTGAGCCGAGATCACGCCACTGCACTCTAGCCTGGGCAACAGAGCGAGACTCCATCTCAAAAAAAATAAATAAATAAAAGGAAATCTTCTATTTGGTGCTCTTTTAACTCTGACTCTTTAGATGTGGACAAGTTATTTATCTTCTTAGTTTTATTATCTTCAGAATGGAGGAGGTGGGCTAAGTAATTTTGGACTAAGTAGTTTAAGAGATTTCTCCCAACTATAACCACAATTCTTTGGCCCTATTGATTGTCATATGAGCAAAAGAGACAAGTGCAATTTTAGTAATAGCAGTAATTACTATGGATAGACCTGCCAAACTGTTGATCGCACCTAGTTGTTTTTACTAAAAGAGAAAATCATATGAGTTGGTAATGTGACACGTAGAATTCTATACCAGAGGATGTCTTCTGAGTTCAGGGCATTGGTGTGGTACCCAACTCTATGAAATAGTCTCACATGGAATTCATGAGGACAACACCTTGTTTGATGTTGTGCTCTTTTAGGCTGAGTATGCTTCAGGGCAAATCTTCAACTCTAATGTGACCCTTAGCCAAATGACTTTGTCATGGGAAGGGGGTATTTGAGCCATATTGCATGAAATTATAAAAGTTCTGGAAGATATAGAAAGATGAAATTTTTTGAGTAAAGAACTAAAATTTCATGCAAAGTCTGTTGTTTTATGGTCCACTACTGACACGTATAGTGAAAAGAAATTAAATTGATGGAGGAAGTATAAGACTGACCGAATGAATACGCATTTGTAAAGTCACATTTCTTGTTGTTTGTGGCACACTGAAGTTTGTCAGTGGAGTACTTTTTTTCCTTTATTACTATTGTTTTTAAAATTCTTAAATGGTACCCTTAGAAGGATTATATGATAAGTGATAGCAACAAACACATGATCTAGAATTTGAAGCCGTTGTGAAAACATCCCGCAAAGTAGTTATTTCCATATTTATCTATGATCCATTACTGTGAGGGATATGGGATATGTAAAGCTATTGTTTCTTCTCTGCCTTTCTATGACAGTGGGTGAGAGTGATCCCAGAGTCTAAGGTGTGACTGTTGATGGCAGATTATAAAAACCTATTCTGAATAGAAATGTTTTATCTCCATTAAATGCATATTCTCTTTTGCAGAGTTCTATATTTGTGTTTAAACTGCCTTTATAAATTTAGTCTGCATTTTCCATGGGTTAAAAATAAGCTGTTATTTGTAGCAATTCTGGCTAAGGTTTTGGATGAGTTTTCTTCGTCATCTTCTTTTTTTTTTGCTGTTCTCTATCTCAGAAATAACAAGAATTTATTATTTTATTCTCTCAAATTCCGTCAATTTTTTTGTAGTTAGTAGACAAGACAGTATTCTTATGTCTCAAATAGAATTGTAATCTACATTGCTTTGCAATTTTACACAGCCAAACCACTTGATAATGTCAAAACACTTTTATTTCTGCTTGGGAGGCTTTCTACCTTGCTCTCATTAATGTTGCACCTGTTTTGTTAACTGTAGAATCACTGATAGGGTGCCAAATAGAATTCAGAGAGAGAATCTTCATAAGTATAATGAATTTGGGTTGAACTGAGAGATTCTGCATTATTTTAAATATTTGACCTAGACTGATGGTAACTTTTGCTTTGTCTGTACTAAAATGCTTTATGAAGTAATTAAAAAGCAATCAAAAGATTGTAGAGAAGTAAGTATACTTTTTGGGGGATTTCCTTCATTTTATAACTTTAAACTTTTTGTGATTATAAAGGTAAGTCATATTTCTTAAGACTTTTTGAAGCATAGGGAAAGCAAGAATAAATAATCATATATAATCAAACTGAAGATAAATAGCTACTCTTAAATTTTTATACTCAAACTGTTTTACTTAAAAGTTACTTGGCCCGGCACCGTGGCTCTCGCCTGTAATCCCAGCACTTTGGGAGGCTGAGGCAGGTAGATCAGTTGAGGTCAGGAGTTCAAGACAAGCCTGGCCAACATGGTGAAACCCCATCTCTGCTAAAAATATAAAAATTAGCTGAGTCTGGTGGCACACACCTGTGATCCCAGCTACTCAGGAGGCTGAGTCAGGAGAATCGCTAGAACCCGGGAGGCAGAGGTTGCAGTGAGCAGAGATCATGCCATTGCACTCCGGACTGTTCGACAAGAGCAAGACTCCGTCTCAAAAAAAAAAAAAAAAAAAAGTTTTACTTAAAAATAAGAATAATCATACACTTCATATTATTTTAAAATGCTCCATTGTTACATTAAAACACTCTAATTATATGTATAACTTTAATCATTCCCTTTATTATAACATAGTTGAACTAACTTTTAAATTATTCATGATTATAAATAATTTTGAAATGAATATTGTTATATCTAATAAAAATGACACTTGATGAACACTTATTAAAGTCCATACACTACTCTTTGTTTCAATAATTTTATTATATCCTCCTGATAGTCCCATGATTTAGATAATTGTTTCTGTCTTAAAAAGGAAATGACTAAGTACTAAAGATTTTCTGTAACTTCACAGTAAGTGTGATATTTAACTTCTGTACTATGTGACCCAAAGTCTATGTTCCAAGTTACTAAACCTTATTGACTCTTTATGTATGAAAATAATTTTCTCTAAGGATGAATTTCTATAAATACAAATGTTCGTTCAAAATATATACACATTTTAAAGATTTTATATGTTTTGACAAATTACCTTTCAGAAGTATAGTTTCAATTTATAGTCCCAACAAGCTAAATCAAGCACAGAAGAATACTTGGAAGAACTTGGTAACCTGGATAATGTTGCCATAAATAATAATAACAACAATAACAATAGTGGGGGTGGCGATGGTGTCATTATAATAATATGCAATAGCTGTAATTTATATAGTGCCTTTTATATGCCAGGTGTTCTATAATGACCTTTACCTATGTTAGATTTTTTAGACCTTAGAACAGTTTTGAAAACCAGGACTAACTATCTCTGTTTCAGAGCTAAGATTTGCAGATACATGATTACTCAAGCCACAGAATTAGAAAGCAATGGAGCAGAAATTGGAATGTCTCTCAACTCCAGATCTCCTGTTTATATGTGTAACCTATCCAAAAAGATACTTCTTGAACTCATATGCATTTTTATTGCCATATCACTATCAATTATAGCAACTGTCAGAGTACCATTACAATAATTACATACCCATCTCTTTCTGTATTCTAAATTTCTTGAGAAATACAGGTATTTCATCAATTGTTATAACTTCTCAGAGTTCTTAGGATATCTCTGATGAAGACTCTACTCTTCCCTCCTCTGTAGATGTACCATGGTCCACAGTGTGTCTCAAGACGCATTTGACAAAGGCTGTATCAGATTACATATAAACTATCATCCAGTCGGGGTACTTTTGAGAGTAAAAAGGGGCTACTATAAATAGTGATGCTGTGGTTAACAGGTAATCTGAAATTGTCATGGGAAAACTAGAAAATATTTTCATCTGTGTCAGCATTCCCTTGTCCAGGTGCCCTTGTGTCCTAGGAAATCTCTGTCTTCAACTCTCATTGTGTCCCCAAGATTCCTCTCTCCAAAGTTCCCACCCTAAAGGCGAAATATATCATGTTCCTAAGAAGAGGTGACCACAGAAAAATGAAAAGCAGGGTCTTAGAAAATGCTATAAAAATAATTATTGAATAAAGAGACCCTTAACTCTAAGGAAATAAAGTTCTTTTAAAGATTCCCTTAAATTACTTACCTGAATCACTGAGCTAGTTTTGCAAAGAATAACTAAAGGAATGGTTTTGACCTTTAAGATACTGTTGTAGTGCCTTTCAGAAGCTCGATGTACCTTCCTACCCAATCCAAAATTTGGTTTTGATATCAAGACTGAGGACACCACACCCATACCAATAGCATATTAAAAGGTTTATTACCCACATAATGAGGGTTTCTGAGAAGAGCGGGACAAATTTCCCAAGTAGATCCCAAAATAGATTGAATGAATAAGAAATAATAAGAAATGCATTGCAGTTTGGGGCTTTTATAATGGTTAGGTAGTGGGGATAGGGTGAGTGCAGTTTGAAGTCCCTGCTAGTGCCAAGGAGAAAGAGGAAGAGGGTGGGAATGTTGAAAGCTGTCAATAGCCAAACATCAAAAATGAATTCAGGCTATTTATTACATTTACTAGGACAACTGGGGATGAGTCATTTCTGTGTGCTTGGAGCCATTAGGAACAGCTTGGCTGGCTGTCGGCTGCACACCTCCATAGAGCACCATTTTCACAGGGCACCATTTTCACAGTTGCAACATGGAGGTCCTGTGTGTGCTTCTCCCACTTTTCCTATGTGCAACTATAATAAATGTCTTATTTTAAAAATCTGGGTCTGTGGACTTCATTTCCAAAACTTTGCCAATGTTTATGAATTTAAACCATTTAGATAGGAAGACTTTATTATTGATCCAAACTAGTGTATTTTATTATGATTGTGGTACATTTTCAGAGATGGTAAAACAGATCACTAACATTTATCAGACTTTTACTTGCAAAGTAGATTTCAGTTCACAAAATAAAATTAAATGTATGCACATATGTACGTGTATATATGTATACATAGTATTAATAATAATAATGTTTGATATTTATCAAAAGTGTATAGTATGCAGGCACTGTTTTGAGAACTTGTAACCCTCATGACATCTCTATGAAATTTATACTGTTATCACTCTCATTTTTCAGATGAGGCATGTGAGATACTAAGAGATCTCACTCTCGGTTCTCTAAGGTTACTGGGTAGTAGTGGGATTTGTACACAGACCATCTGACTTCAGAGGCTGTACTCAACCAGCGAGAGTAATAGGGATAGAGGCTATTTATATTTCAGGGCAACCTACTGTTTGAACAAGCATTATGCAAAGGGAAGAACACTCAGTTTAGAGTTGGAAGTCTGTTTTCTCATTTACTGTGTTACTGTGGACTTTTTTAATCTTTCTGAAGTTCAGAAAAGAGTTTTAATCAAATTGTTTAGATGAACTCGTAATGCTTGCTTCTCATTGATTTTGTAAGAATAACTGTCTTGTTCACTACTTTATTCCTCAGAGCCTGGGATCAGGGCAAGTTGCTCATTAATGCAACTGTGAATGAATATGTACTTGGTATCTGGATCTGCATGTGATAATTACTAGCTTTGTATCTGTTGATTTTCAAATTCGTCCTCTAAAATCATAAAATATTTATCATCCCCAATCCAAACTGTTCCAATATAATCTTTTTATTACTTCAGTATTAGAATCTAGCAATCTTTCCTGTAGAAAATGTAGTCTTGATTGCCTGGGGTCTGGTCCCTTATCAACTTTAGTCAGTGACTTTTGAATTATTTTCTGTCTACAGTAGCTCAAACAACTCATTGGACTCAATCTGTTTTCTGCCTTAGAAGATTTGAAAAGGCCTATCATTGAACCAGAGAGATCTTGCTTAATCTTCTCATCTCTAAGATAGGAAGGTTGAATCCAGGCTAATCTTCATAATTCACAATCTTAAAACTCTAAAAACTTTCAATTCTTTGGGGTGTCTGTTCATGTCCTTCTGCAGCTTTAGCAGTATCCTTCCAATTTGTATGCTCAGATTTAGCATGAAGTGACTTGTCTTAAGAGTCTTGGGCAGGAGGTGTTAGCTATAGGTGTGCTTTTCTCAACATTTATCCTGCGTCTGAAATTTAAAAGAATAGAATTTGAATGCTAAAGATTTATAGAACTTTTTAACAAACTCATATCTAGGCTCAATAAGAAAGCATCAATCAGACTGGAAAAAAATGAGTTTGCTTTAAAAGAAAATTGTTTTATTATTGGACAAGTTGTTGTCAGTTTATTCTATGTGATTTTCCAACCTAGGAAACAATTATTACAAGACGTATTCTTTCTAACAGTGTTATGAGGTGAACTCTACTGAATTTTATGGACTTCAAAAAAAGATGGATCCAGAAGAAAAATAGGATTAATTATAGATTAGGTAATTTTATAGCCATCTCTCCTACTTCACAGTAATAACATTACCCAAAAGTTTTAATCCAGTTGTTTAGATGTTTCAGGCAAATTTTGAGATGTAATCTCTGTTCTTGGTTATCTTACAGTCTCAGTGAGATAATGTTGATTCAGAAGGAGAAAAAAGTATCCAGATAAAAAGGCAGAAATGTGGTTATTGGGTACATTATCAATCTTCAAGAGGTGAGAAGTTCTGTTGAATTTTGTGTGTGTGTGTGTGTGTGTGTATACAATGGAAGTAATAGCTAATACTCTAGGACATCATTTCACTAACCTCAGATATCATTTTATTTATTGCTCATAATAAATCTAGGAGGTGAATTCTGTAATTCTCACTTTATGAATGAGGAAGTACATAAACATATTTCTGCTTCATGCTTTATATTTCTCTCTATAAAGAGATGTTAAAATACCTTGCCTAAATTTATACAGAACATTTTTGCTAGACTACAGACTTAAATGCAAGCTTTTCCGACTCCAGGTCCTATGCTCTTAACCACTGAGATTTCTTTCTTTTTGGAGGAAAGTGTTTCTCAAAGTAGGGTCCAGGATTCTTTGGTGGGCTACTAGGATTCTCTAATAGCCTAGAATAGAATTTTTAAAGTTGAGTCCTTTCTTTGACTTTTTATAAGCTTCGAAATATTGACATTTCATAGGCATGATTTTTATGGACTACTAAGGTTCATAATCTACAAGGTTGTTATAATTTGGTATTTATAAAATAAAACAAGTGTGTTTCTATAGAATGCTAGAAATGTTTTCTATTGAGAAGAGCGGCTGCTCAGATTTACCGATTTTATAAATGGTAGGGGTAGAATTTGAACCAAAGTGCTTTGCTTCTTAGTTGCTCCAGGTCTTCCTGCTGCATGGCCTGATTCTTTGTGATAGTCCACTGCATCCTTTTTGAGTCCCCTCACTTGATCTCATTTGGAAAGTCTTTTATTCCTTAGAATCAAGGGATTCCTGTCTAGAACAGACATATAGTTTTAATTGCTTCAGGCAGAATGGGTTGTGATTAAGACTTTCCTAAACCAGATTCCAGGAGTGGAAGAAGCAATGGAAGGTTTTTGAATAGAGGACCTCCCATACTTGGACACTTGTTAACAGTCTCAAATTTGTAAAAGAGATTTAAAAAATACTTTTCAATTGCCTTGGATTATTTTGTCAATCAGAAAATGAAGACAACAATTTGAGGAATGCAGAGTCTGGAATTAATCCTGACCATAGAGAGAACTAATTATTAATATGAAAAGTGATAAGAGACTCGGGACAAAGTGACTAAGTTATCTTAATTAATTTCATGATAGTAAAGGAAAAATAGTGAGTATAGCCGAAGAATTTATTCATATCATTAGCAAATGAAATTGTAAATTATAGACGAAACAAACCAAAGCAAGAACAATGAAGAAAAAATGTGTGTATTTGTGTGTGAATATGTGCAGTAATTCCAAAAATTGATTTGATTTAGAAAGATGGGTAGCTATTTAAGAAATAATTTTAATTATACTCACAAATAAGCCCAAAGAAGAAGGAAAGGGTAGATGACCTAAATAAATCAGTACTGTAGATTTTCTTTACCAAAACAAGCTGGGGTCAGAGTTAATAAGAATTTTATAAGAAACTGTTAGGTTGTGGAGTTCAGAAGGTGATAGGCTAAATAGATTATCAGTTAATCTGTGAGTAGAACTTCTCCTCTACAAAATTAAAACTCAGAAAACATATTTTTCTAACCAAATGAACAAAGTGAAAAATGAACTTCAATAATAAAATATATTCATAAATTGGAGTTTGCATTTGGGTACATCTATACATATAACTCCTGAGCACATATGAGAATAAATGATTATATACATAAGGAATTTTATAAATACTGAGCACCAACTATGTGCCTGACACATGCTAGACTGAATAAATTCGAAGATGACTAAGCCATGATTTCTGTATGTAGTATTTTGGGATTACCCTTAGAATATAAAATAGAGCTAGTTTTGAGAATAAAATTGTAAAAGAAAATTAAAAAGTAATTGTTTGAAGTGTGGAGGCAAAAACCAGTTTCATTCATTTATTTATTCAGTAATCATGTATTGAGTGCCTACTATATGCCAGACACTGTTTTAAGTACTAAGGATATTGTGGGAAATAAAACAGATGGGATTCCTAATCTCATGGGATTAACACAGTGGGGAAGACAGGTAATAAATCTATGCCTTGAAAAATTTCAGAAAATTGTAAGAGCTGTTAAGAACATAAAGTAGGTGATGTGACAGAGAGCATCTTGGGCAGCTACTTTGGACACCATACTCAGAGAAGGCTTTTAGAGGAAGTATCAGTGAGCTAAACTAGCCCTGTGAAGATACGGAAGCACAGAGTTGCAGGCTGAGAGGATGGTAAATTCAATGTACTAATTTGGAAATTACCTGGATGTTCCAAGACCATAAAGAAGACCATTGTGGCTGAGATGCAGTGAGCAGGAAGAAGAGAAGTATCAGGGGAGGATGAAGACATGTACAAGACAAGATCACCAAGGCCAGAAGAGGGAATTTGAATTTAATTTTAAGTGCCTGTGGAAAATCACTGGAGAAATTTAATCAGGGAAAGGAAATGCTCTAATATATGCTCTCATAAGATCAGTCTGGCTTCTGTATGGAAATGGACTTGAGGCGTTGGTGCAGGGTGGGAGCAATTACCATAGACATTAAGTCAGAGAGGAATAAAAAGCCCATGTCTAGACCAGGAAGATACATAGTTCACTACCTCCCTCCTAAATAGTGCTCTGGAGAAGAGATAAAAACTCAGATGTGTATTTGTTAAGAAAGCTTTATTCAGTATTGTCATGTTAAAAACAATAGGCAATACATTATAGAAATGAAAAAAAAAGTGACCTATATCTGCCCTCAAGGAATTTACAGGACAGCAGAAAATAAATACCATTTGAATAAGTCATTCTATTACAGATGGAGAAATCTAAAGATGAAGAGAATTTTCCCTCACATGGGCAACCAAAGGAATTGTTTTGTGGTTGCTTAAAAGATAGAAGAGGGCTGGGTGATGTGGCTCACACCTTTAATCCCAGCAGTTTGGGAGGCCAACGCGGGTGGATCGCTAGGTCAGGAGTTCGAGACCAGCCTGACCAACATTGTGAAACCCCGTCTCTACTAAAGGTACAAAAATTAGCTGGGTGTGGTGGCATGTGCCTGTAATCCCAACTACTCAGGAGGCTGAAGCAGGAGAATTGCTTGAACCTGGGAGGCAAAGGTTGCAGTGAGCTGAGATCTCACCACTGTACTCCAGCCTGGGTGACAGAGTGAGACTCTGTCTCAAAAAAAAAAACAAAACAAAACAAAAAAAACACAACACCAAAAAAAAAAAAAAAAAAAAAGATAGAAGAAAGAGTTTGTAGGAAGGACAGTAACAAAACTCCCTACTCTTGGAGTGGAGCATGGCTCTTTGGAAGGCCTTGAATGACTCAATATGCAGTGGCTGGAGGATTGGGGAAGGCAGGTGAGGAGTCCCAGACTCCTGATGAAGGACCTTGACTAGAGACTGGATTCTGAATGATAAATTAGTACATGATCAAATCATTAGGAATTGCCAACTTGGAAAACACACTCTGCCCCATGGCTGAATAAAGAAGGGTTTATCTGTAATGAAGATCTTTTGAGGGGAAGTTTACCATGGTCTGCTTAGCTGATGATGCTTGCTCTCTTTTAAATCTGTGGCCATGTGGTGAAGTGTGAGGGCTAAATTGTGGCAGGTACTGTAATTGATTGGCTAGGTACTCATGTCATATGTTTTCACACTCTTGAAAATTTTAGTAAAATTTATTCATGAGGTATATTCAGCAATTTTATCATCTGTAGTATGTACTTTTTAGAGAAAGAAAAACAGATGAAATATTGTTAGAAAACAGTCATATTTTCTAGGTATTTGAAGGTGACTGTGTAGTGTGGCATAGAAATGTGCAAACCTTCTACACATTTTTAAAGCACTCACAGGTAATTGTAATCCTCAAAATAAAAGAGAAGAAAAGAGAAAATCATCCTCATTCTGGAGCTGACAACAAGTTCCAGAAAGTTTGTCTTCTGGTAAATTAGTGGTTGACAGAAAAAGATCCTGGGCTGCTCTTGTTCTATTTCCAAAATATGTTATAGTTGTCTATAAAAGCTATTAAAAATTGTGGACAGTATATCACAGAGTTCTCTGAAATGTGGTAAATTACGTTTATGATTTTCAGTATTGTATGCCATTTTGGCAATACACAAAGCTTTTAAGGGTATTTGATAAATATAATGGTATTTCTACGATATTATCTACTAAACTTTAATTTATGAGTTTTTGCATGTGTCAGGAATTTTGTTTGATTCTCTATTTAAAATTGGTTATGCTATTTTTCTTTAATCTCTTTCTAGAAAAGGCAGGATTGCGTTAAACTCTATGGGGAAAGCACACACAAGACTGTATTTTAAGGGTTAAAGCTTCTTTGGTAGTGTTCTTTTCAGCACTGTTCTTACTAAGGAAACAGCATCTAGAATCTAAACGTTTACATACTTTTTAAGGCAGAAACTCTTAATTGCTGATATTCTACACTTCTGAAATGATAAATTTCTTTCAGTTAGGCTCACAGCATAAAGTAGTTTTCTAGCTATTTCTAACCTGCCATCCCCAAGCACCATCTAATTTCAAAGCATAGTAATCTAAATCTCAGTTTGCCTAACATCTTTGAGGCTTCCTGTGTTTGCATCAGGAATTCAAAGACACATTATTTTAGAGAAGTTGCACTGTCAATATTTTCAGCATGGTTTTTCTTTATTGTAACAAGACCATGGTTCTAGATGGCAGTTGTAAAAAAAACCTGTGTTTTTTTCTCTGTGTGTATGTTTAAAACGCAGCATATATCATCACCATTCAGTAAATTTTGGAGAATGAGGAAGGTATTTCAAGCTGAGAAAGAAGCTACCAAGGCATTCCAGGAAATAGAAACAGCATGTAAAATGGCACAGAGTAATAAAAGGACTGGGCAAGTTGCATGAAGTCTAGTATCACAACCATGATGTTCAACATTGTGGGTTCCTCCTGCCAGGGTCCATGCCATATTCATTTTTGTTGCTCTGAAAATCTAAAACAACATTTGTTACATTACAGGTGCTCAAAAAATGAGTCTCATTTATAAAAGAAGGAATTAATGTGTTTTATGAACGTAAAGATACATATGTACAAAGTACAAGGGTAACTTGTATCTGATATTGTTTGTTAGAGCTAAGAGTTACTCCCCTTAGAAATATGGCCTATCAAGAGGAGCTACAAAATATATTTTTCTGGTCTAAATATATTAATTACATAAGAAATATTTATGACCTGTTGTCTGTGTGCTAGGGTCTGTGATAAATATGGTTCTTATTTCACTGAAGTTGCATTTAAATAGCAGATAGGCAACTAACAAATGATAGTAGTTATGAAAGAAATAAAGAAATTTTAGAGAGAAAAACCAAGCCAGATGCTATTGACTGGTGGCCTTGACATTTAAATTGAGTCTCAAAGGATGATAAAAAGCTGACTGTTTGAAGAGATAAAGGAAGAGCATTTAAGGGTGGGTGTGTGTTACGTGGGTTAGTTAGATTTTGTAGTTAATAGGAAATGGAAAGGGACATTTTGATATTTTGTCATTTCCTTTTCTCATTTGATTTGCAACTTCTAGTATTTTAAAATTCAAGATGCAGGACTAAATCCTTAAGTCTTTTTGAAAACTCTCTTTACAAATAATGCACAGATGCTCTCTAGGATTAGAGAGAACAGTGAATGAAAGATTATATAGTACTTCCAAGTACAAGTCAGATAGCACCTGGGGAACAGGTAGGGTTCAGACTAAGCTGGATTTGGTCTAACTTGGAGGGTTGCACTTACTTCTGCGTTCTTTATGATGCAGGGCAGGAATCTGTTTATTAGACTGTATGATAAGACTGGCAATAGGCACGGTTCTGCCTCCTAAACAGTGTGAGAAGCTTGCCCCAAACTGATTTCCCAAATGATCAGTCAGTTTACATTTCCCCAAATGCTCTTTTATTGAAGTTTTTCTCTTCTCTTTGCGTTGTGGCTCCTCCTGAGACATTTAAATTCTCGCCTCTCTTCCATTCAGGCTCTAATGCTATGTAGTCATCTTTTCCTGACTTCACTCCCCTAGTTTTCACATTCCTTGTATCTCCGGAGAACAGTTCTCCAGTGGGCTTTAACAGCTCAAGATGCTATTATAGAAGGAATATGCTTCCACATCCCAGGGAAACCCAAGGGAAAATGTGCTCACCCTAGGCATCTACGTGGGAGGATATAACCATACTGCTACTCTGTTTTACCTTCATAATAAAGTTGCTTAAAACAGTCATGACCGTATAGAACAAAAGTCTCAAGAGGCCCAACTTGACTTCATAGATGTGGAAATGCAAAAGAGAAAAAATAAATTGCTAGTAGGGTCTCTTAAAACCAAATTCTCAGTACTCAAAATTATAGCAAGAACAATGGGAACCTACTAAAGTCACTGAGGTTTTGTCCACCTCGTTTATTTTTTTTCTGTTTTCTCCATAAATTATTTTCTCAATTACTAAATTTTGATATTTTAAAAACACAGCACACAGGGCAGTACTTTTTGTCCATTATCAACTATAGAGGGAAAGGCAACTCAGACACGAGGACAAAGAGAGGTCTGCGAGACCCACTCAAGTGTGCACTAAGAGGTAACAAGGCATTTCCCTTCCTGTCCAAATGCTCCTCCGTGCCTTTCTGCCTAATCAGTTACAGTGTTCAGCATTGGGAAAGGCAAAACTCTAATGCCAGCTCACAATGGCATCCCATCATACCCAATTTTTTGCCTATCCCCTGTGGAGATGAGCACAGCAGGGGTCATAAGTGGTGCAGTCAGCTGCAGTGACTGGGTGATTGAAATAATAGCCAGTGGGTTAAATACAGATGAATACGCTTCTCTGGCATTTAAAGTATTATGGACTGGTGCCCAAATGGTAGGATTAGACGACTTCAGGGTATACAGCACCCAAATCAGTCTCTGAGACTCTGACATTTTCTTTATTATAAGAACAACTAAAATTATATCACAATGTGTTAAATTCTGGAAAATTCACACTAATGCTTTACAGGAGTTTCATTCTTTTGCATTGAGAAAAATCAGAAATTAGCATCGCTTTGGTTGTATTTTCAAAACTTGATAATATCATCCAAAATGTGGAGACATTGTCCCTACTCAGGAGGCCTAGATAAGATAGTGGGCTTTGGAACAGTGATTGAGGGATGTATTGAATTGCAATCAAAATGGATTGTTTATCAAGTCTTCATTTTTATTTCTGCAAGGTCTTGATAGCTGGTATAATGTAATAATATTTTTCTGTAATGTAGTTAAGAGAATTATTTCACAAAAGTTATTAAGTTCCTTGCTCTATGATCTTTAGCTTCCTTTAAAAATAAAAAAGAAATGTAATCTCAAACAAATTAACTATAAAATCTTGTATCATAATGTTATTTTCTTTTTTCATAATAGGATAATATATTGTGATGTTTATTATGCTTACAAGATTGCTCGGTGGTAGGTTATGTGAATAATTTAGTTGCACCTTTAATCCTCACGATTAAGAAATTTAGATTTTAATATTTACATATATATAGAAAATATCTTCCAATGAAAAGATGATGATTGGTGGTGATGACATTTTGCTGGAAGTGTAAAAAATGTGAATATAATTATTAAAATTGCTTTTTAAAGTTGAGGTATGTTAGTATTGTTATCTTTTTATTTTTAAATAAAGGAAGCAATCACACTTTTCTTTATATCAGTGGTTCCTGGCTGACTCCACATTAGAGAGCTTTAAAAATTCCTATGCTTGGCTAGGCATAGTGGCTCATGCCTGTAATCCCAGCACTTTGGGAGGCAGAGGCTGGTGGATTGCTTGAGGTCAGGAGTTCAAGAGCAGCCTGCCCAAAATGGTGAAACCCCATCTCTACTAAAAACACAAAATTAGCTGGGCATGATGGCCGGTGCCTGTAATCCCAGCTACTTGGGAAGCTGAGGCAGGAGAACTGCTTGAACCCGGGAGTTGGAGGTTGGGGTGAGCCGAGAGGTTGGAGGTTGGGGTGCATCACTGCACTCCAGCCTGGGTTGCAGAGTGGCAGGGGCCGGGGGGGACATGCTTTGGGCATATCTCAGAATAATTAATTCAGAATTTTCGGGGGCGAGAGTTTATATAAACTCCACAGACTATATTTTTAATGAGTAATCATAATTGCAAACCATTTATTCAGATCTGTAGTCCTCAGTTCTGTCTGCACCCCGAAATCGCCTAACTTCATAGTAGTACCTGGTCTTTATTTTCAGATACTCTGGTTCACCTGGCCCATGGTGGGTCCCAAGCAGGGGTAGTTTTATGAAAATTTGGAATGTTTTCAGCCAGTATTATTTCAAACATTTCTGTCACTTTCAGTCTGTCTTCTTTTAGGGTTTTTTTTTTTTTTTGACGGAGTTTTGCTCTGTCGCCCAGACTGGAGTGCAGTGGTACGATCTCGGCTCACTGCAACCTTTACCTCCTAGGTTGAAGTGATTCTCCTGCCTCAGCCTCCTGAGTAGCTGGAATGACAGGCACCCACCATCATTGCCTGACTAATTTTTGCATTTTTAGTAGAGATTGGGTTTCCTCATGTTGGTCAGGGTGGTCTCGAACTCCTGACCTCAAGTGTTCCACCCACCTCGGCCTCCCAAAGTGCTGGGATTACAGGCATGAGCCACTGTGCCCAGCCTCCTTCTAAAATTTTAATAACACATGTTGGTATACTTGATGATGTCACCCATATCTCTAAGACTATGTTCATTTTTCTTCAGTGTTTTTGATCTGCTTCCCAGAATGGATAATGTCTGTTGACTTATCTTCAAATTCTCTGATTTTTTTTTCTGCCAGCTTAAGTCTGCAGTTAAGCCCTATTAGTTACTTTAAAATTTCAGCTGTTGTACTTTCAACTCCAGAATTTTTATTTGGTTCTTAAAAAAAATCATCTCTTTGTTGATATTTGGTGAGACATTGACGTCATTCTTTCCTTTGGTTTTTTACGCATGATTTTCTTGAGTTCTTTGAACTTATTTGTAATAGCTGGTTTGAAGTATTTTTTGTTAAGTCCAACATCTCAACCGTCTCAGAGTCAGTTTTTGTTGATTGCTTTTTTTTTTTCTATCCATAAATGACATTTCCTTCTTTATTTGCTTATGTTGTAATTTTCATTGAAAACTGGATATTTTAGATGATATGTTGTGGCAGCTATAAATTCTGATCCCTTTCCAAGGAGTGGTAGTAGTGATTGCTTATTGCTGCTCCTGGTGTTTTTTGTTTGTTTACTAGTTTAATGACTTGATTGAACAAATTATGTAGAGTAGATCTCCTGTGGAGTGTGCAGTCACTAATATTCCTGCTCATTCTTTGTATTCTTGTGTTTATTTTTAAGGCTGGCTTCTAAAGTGTTGCATCTTTGGCTAGCAAATCCTCAATGTTAGCCAATTATTGGTCAGAGGTTGTGCTCAGACAGCTTGAGCCTATAGGGCTCCCAACTGTTGCTGAAGAAATCTCTGCGTAGATTGAGGCATATGTTCAAAATGGCAATAGTTTACACATTTTTTACCAGCTTTAACTTTCTGCTTGTGTAGGACCTCCAATTCAGGAAAAGACGCACGGATAACGGGCCGATTCTGGTCTCTCCTTAACATCCACACAGATTGCTTTTTCTCCCCTCTCTTCAATAGGAATATCTGGGAGTTTATCAAAGCCCACTATGTCTATCTCATTGCCTAGATCTCTTTGTTAATTTTTTGGGCTGGTTTGCCCCAACCAATATTTCAGCTTCAGGCAGCTCTGATCTTGGCCTTTTTTGCTTGATTGCTGAGCTAGAGATCACTGTTATTTTCAGCAAAGCTCCTAGGCATGGGCCTTTGTTTTTGTTTTTGTTTTTTGTTTTCTTTTGCAAGTGTTCAAATAAGATCAGTCCAATACACAGCTTGGGAAGCACTGCTAGACTAGTATAATGAGTACCTACGAAAACGTCTTTCAGGAAGTCCTAGCCAGAGCAATCAGTCAAGAGAAAGAAATAAAAGGTATTCATATAAGAAAGGAAGAAGTCAAATTCTCTCTTTTCCTGATGATATGATGCTGTACATAGAGAACCCTAAAGACCCCCAAAAAAGGCTCCTGGAACTAATAATCAAATTTTGTTTCAGGTTACAAAATCAACATACAAAAATCAGCAGCATTTCTGTAAACTAATAATGTTCAAGCTGAGAGCCAAATAAAAAATGCAGTACCACTTACTATAGACACACACACACAAATAAAATGAAACTGAAAACCTAGGAATACATCTAACCAAGGAAGTGAAAGTTCTCTGCAAGGACAACTGGAAAACACTGCTGAAAGAAATCATAGATGACACAAACAAATGGAAAAACCGCTCTGTGCTCATGGATAGGAAGAACCAATATTGTTAAAATGACCATACTGCTAAAAGCATTTTATAGATTCAATGCTATTCCTATTAAACTTCCAACATCATTTTTCACATAAATAGAAAAAAAGTTGTAAATTCATATGCAATCATAAAAGAGCCCAAATAACCAAACAAATCCTGAGTAAAAATAACAAAGCCAGAGGCATCACATTTTCCCAACTTCAAACTATACTAAAAAGCTACAGTAAACAAACAGGATGGTAGTAGTACAAAAACAGACGTATAGACCAATGGTACAGAATAGAGAACCCAAAAATAGAGCTGCATGCCTACAACCATCTGATCTTTCACAAAATTGACAAAGATGAGCAATGGTGAAAGGACTCTCTATTGCATAAATGGTGCTGGGATAACTGGCTAGCTATATGCAGAAGAATGAAACTGGATCTCTACCTTTTACCATTTATAAGAATTAACTCAAGATGGATTAAAGATTAAAAGTAAAACTTCAAACTATAAGAATCCTAGAGGAAAATCTCAAAAAGACCATTCTTGACCTAAACCTTGGCAAAGAATTTATGACTAAGTCCTCAAAAGCAATTGCAGTCATAACAAAAATTGACACATGGGACCTAATTAAACTAAAGAGCTTCTGCACAGCAAAAGAAGCTATCAACAGAGTAAACAGACAACCCACAAAGTGGGAGAATATATTTGGAAACTGTACAATGACAAAGGTCTGATATCCAGAATCTATAAGGAACTTAATAAGGAAAAAACAACCAGCCCCATTTAAAAAGTGGGCAAATAACCCCATTAAGAAAGTGGGCGAAGGATATGAACAGAATTTTTTTTCAAAAGAAGACATACAAGTGGCCAACAAACATAAAAAGATTTAAAAAAATCACGAATTATCAGGGAAATGCAAATCAAAACCACAATGTGATGCCATCTCACACCAGTCAGAATGGCTATTATGAAAAAGACAAAACATAACAGTTACTAGTGAGGCTTTGGAGAAGAGGAAACACTTAATACTTTTGATGGGAATATAAATTAGTTCAGCCACTATGAAGAGCATTATGGAGATTTCTCAGAGAGCTGGAAACAAAACTACCATTCAATCCTGTAATTCCATTACTGGGTATATACTAAAAGAAAAATCAATTATTCTACCAAAACACAAATATACTTTTTACATTCATTGCACTGGAATTCACAATAGTAAAGACATGAAATCAACCTAGGTGCCCACAGACCGTGGATTGGATAAAGAAAAAGTGGTATACGTACACCATGAAATACTACACAGCCATAAAAAAGAATGAAGTCAAGTCCTTTGCAGCAACATAAATGCAGCTAGAGGTCATCATTCTAAGCTGATTAATGCAAGAACAGAAAGCCAGACAATGCACGTTTTCACTTACAAGAGGGAGCTAAACATTGGGTACATACGGACCGAGGGATGGGAACAATAGACACTGGGGACTACTAGAGAGTGGAGGAAGGAAGGGTGGCAAGGATAGAAAAACTACCTATTGGGTATTATGCCCACTATCTGGGTGATGGGAAAATTTATATTCCAAACCTCAGTATTACATACTGAGTATTACATACTGCATGTAAAAAACCTGCACACATACCCTCTGAATCTAAAATAAAAGTTGAAATTATTAAAAGATTATTCATAAAAGCAATAAGAAAACTGATAAAAGTTATCTAAATCAACTATTTCAGAATACTGAAAAGTAAAAGGTTTAAAACAGTCTGAGCAAGAGTTATTCAATAAAAATTGCTGAATTTCAGCAAGAACAGTGAGCTTTGTGGTGTTCTAACTTCCCCTATTGCTATTCTCTTTTACTAGCTCCATTATACCCTTAAAAGCTAATATTCTCCCAAACATGGTATCTGTGAAAACCAGGAGCCTCATAGTCATTAACAGCAACAGAATGGTTTGGTAGCTTTCCAGAAAGCCCCATTACCAAATAATTGTCTTTTTTTTTACTTTTATTTTAAGTTCAGGGGTACAAGTACAGGTTTGTTGCACAGGTAAACTTGTATCGTGGAGGTTTGTTGTACAGAATTGTTATTGTATTATTTGTTTGGTAACTTATAGTAAACTTCCACTCATAAGGCGTATCTCCATCTGCCCTAACCCAGAACTCAATCAATGTGAACAGCTTTTTCTCTTGAGCATTTGTTGAAAACAAAAGATGGTGATGATTTAATTGTAGCTGCCTGACAGAGGGCTATCAGCTGGAGTGAATTATCTGCCAAAAAGAAAGAAATTTAAATAGAAAATCTGGGAATAAAATGTTCACAGGGGACTTTGAAAATCGCTGATACATTCCTGGGGATCTAGACAACAGCATACAGATTTAGAAGTGTGTGCCTGTTCAGGGTTGGTTGCATGCTGAGGAAAAGCTTGAGACAGCTCTAAACTCTCATGTCTAGCTCAACTTGAGGCTCTGTATAAGTAAGAAGTGAAAGCTAAGGCAGAATTGTCAACTGCTAGATCACTGATGATGCATGTCAACTTATACAGTGTCCTTTGGTGAAGAGGTGAATATTTGGTGAATATTTATTGGTTTAGGCATTTAAAATGCTTTGTTCAAACATTAGCTGACCACTAAACTAACTAGACACTTAAAGTGATCAACAGTGTAAAGAATTCAGACTTTACACAATAAATTTTAGAAGGTATGAAAGAAGAACTATCACCAACTGGCAGCACAACAGCAAACTCGGTTATTATCAGAGTTGCCACGTTATATTATTTATAATTTCCAGTTTTTAAAAACAACATAAAATATTAAGAGATATGCAAAGACACAGGAAACTAAGGCCCATACAGAGGGGAAAAAAGCCTGTAACAGAAACTGTCTGGGAGGAGGTCCAGGTGTTAAACTGACTAGATGAAGACTTTGAATTAGCAATTCTAAATATGTTTAAAAAGAACTAAAGGAAACCATGCCTAAAGAAGTAAAACAAAAGAGATACTGATATCTCATCAAATAGAGAATATTAATAAAGAGATACAAATCATTTCAAAAAGAGCCAAATAGAAATTTTGGAGTTGAAAATTATAATAGATGAAGTAACAAATTCACTAGAGGGCATTAATAGCAGATTTAAGCTGGTAGAAAAAAAAATCAGGAAACTTAAAGATAGGTCAGTGATATCAACCAGTCTGAGGAATAGGAAAAAAACTGTATAGAGTAAAATGAACCAAATGCAGAGATATATGGGACACCATCACATAAGCCAGCCTGCACATAATGAGAGTCTCAGAAGAAAGGAGTGAGAGAGAAATGGGAGGAAAGAATATTTAAATAAAAAATGGCCAAAGGATTCACACATTTGAGACAAACATGAATCTACACATTGAAAAACCTCAACAAAATTGAAATAGGATAAATTCAAAGAGATCCACACCTAGTTACGTCCTAATTATACCTTTGAAAGACAAAGACAGAGAATGTGGGAAACATCAAGAAGAAGCATCAAGAGAGAAGCATACAAGTGATCCTCAATATGATAGCTGATTCCTGGCCTTCTTATGACAGGAAGTAGTGAAATAATAAATTCAATCTGCTGAAACAAAAAGATTATTAGGAATTCTATATCAATTAAAATTACCCTTGAAACCTGAAGAAAAAAAATGCATTTTCAGATAAACAAAAACTTAGAAAACTCATCACTGGGAGAGAACTGATGTGTGAGAAATAAAGGACACTCGAAAATAACTTGAATGCAGAGAAATAAAGAATACGAATAAAGGTAACTGCACTGGCAAATATAAAAGACTGAATGAATTTTTTTTGGTAACTTTTCGTTTAACTCTTATTTAAAAGACAACCATATAAAACAATAATTATATCACTGTGTTGATGGACTTAGAAAGCATAAGGATGTAATTTGTATGACAGTAATAGCACATGGGAGGGAGAACAAGTAGAGGCAGATAAGAGCAAAGTTTTTGTATACTATTGAAATTAAGTTGTATGAACTGAAGTAGATTGTTACAAATTAATTGCAGTCCTCAGGCCAACCATTAACAATGAATTTAACTTAAAAAATTTCAGTAACAAAACAAGAGAATCAAGGTAATACACTAGAAAATATACCTATTTAACACAAAAGAAGGTAGTAAGAGAGAAACAGAGGAACAGAAAACGTAAGTCATAGAGAAAACAAATAACAGATGGCAGGTATAAATTCTACCTTATCAGTAATCTCATGAAATGCAAATTATTTAGACACTACAGTCAAAAGCTAGAGGTTGCTGAGTAGATTAACAAGGAAAGATCCAACTATCTACAAGCAACATGTTTTCGATTGAAATATTCAATGTATTTGTTCAAAGACACAGATTTCAAGTAAAAGTATAGAAAAATACATGCCATGCAAACTGTAGCCAAATAGAGCTAGAGAATTTATATAAATGTCAGAAAAATAGACTTTATATATGATACTAATTATAAAAAATTTAACTGGAGACACATAAGGACATTTTATAATTGTAAATGAGTCCGTCAATCAGGAAAACATAATAATTATAAACGCATATGTACTTGCCAACAAAACCCCCAAAGTACGTGAAATAATAACTGATGGAATTGAAGGCAGAAATAGACAGTTCAACAATAATAACTGGATACTTCAGTAACTTACTTTCCACAAGGCAAATGATCAACAAGAAAACAAAGGACTTGAACCACACTAAAGCTAAAGAGGCTTAACTGATATCTATACTCCTCTCGAGAACAGCAGAATACCCATTCTTCTCAGGTGCCCAAGAACAAATTAAGTCAGCCCTCTTCTGCTGACAACCAAGCTGCTGATCCTCACAGCTACTCTACTAGTGGCTGAGTGAGGTGAATGGAAAAAATAAACCTTTTTAAAAACATGACATACCCCACTATTCTTACAGAGGTTAAGTAGTATTTTGAATAAACACTTTTCAACTTGTTGAATACCTTTTGTTAATTTCTAGAGTCCTGAAATAACTGTGACAGTTTTGTATAGTTGTATCATAGTTATTGGGGAGTAAGATATGTCAAGCTCCTCATTCCATCATTTTGAAAGTGCTTCAATGATCAGCAGTCAGTTTTAAAAAGCATCCTTGATGAATCAAATGTGAACCAGGGGGGAGAATCGATGTTCTAAACATCTCCTTTGAATACTCATAGCTCTGTATCTGCATTTCCCTCATGGCATCTATCCCCTCTGCCCTGAAACTTGGTTATATGTACGTAACTCCTGCATATTACAAGTTTATTGAGAGCAGACACTTGTGTCTTCTTCTATGTATTTCTTATAATCTTATACATTTTAAGTGCTCAATACATCATATGTTGAAGTAATGGATGGAGAAGGAAGTGATTCTAGTAGGATGGGTGTCAATACAGACAAGTGGAAAAGGAAATGGGACTAAGGTGGGGAGCAACCAAAAGAGAGATAGAGAATGGGAAGTGAAAGACAAGCAAAAGTAAGGAGGAAAACATTATATTCCAGGGAGAAGAAGGGAACTATTACAGTTTATAACCACAGACTGTGGCTGAGCTTATCTGATGAACTTATATGAACCCAGTTGTCTTGTTCTGTTGCCTTTCAGAGACTTTAGTCTAGGTAGACCCTAAAGATTCAAAATTAGATCACAAGTCATTAGTTCAGTGATATGGTTCCCAATGACCCTAGCAATTCATTCACTTACTTACTCATCAATTAATCCATTTATTCAAAATGGCTTAAAATCCTAGACATTGGGGGTTCATTGGTGAGTAAGAATTAAACAATCCCTCCCCTTTCAAAGCTTATTCTTTATTGGCAGAGACAGACCTTAAACAAATAACTACAGATTTAATTACTTACACTTATGAATATTTCTCTTTAAAAATTTAAGGATTTTGAGTATCAAAGAAGCAAGGGTCAGGAAAAAGTAGTTGCATCAGAGTACAATTGTAAATAAAGAGCAGAGGTACTTCCTTATAACTGTGACAAAGTTGGAAATATAAATTATTTTTTCTTTTTTTTATTATACTTTAAGTTGTGGGATTCATGTGCAGAACGTGCAGGTTTGTTACATAGGTATACATGTGTCATGGTGGTTTACTGCACCCATCAACTAGTCATCTACATTAGATATTTCTCCTAATGCTATCCCTCCCCTTCCCCCGCTCCCCCCAACAGGCCCTGGTGTGTGATGTTCCCCTCCCTGTGTCCATATGTTCTTATTGTTTAACTCCCACTTATGAGTGAGAACATGCGGCGTTTGGTTTTCTGTTCCTGTGTTAGTTTGCTGAGAATGATGGTTTCCAGCAAAGGACATGTACTCATCCTTTTTTATGGCTGCGTAGTATTCCGTGGTGTATATGTGCCACATTTTCTTTATCCAGTCTATCGTTGATGGGCATTTGGGTTTGTTCCAGGTGTTTGCTATTGTGAATGGTGCTGCAATAAACATACGTGTGCATGTGTCTTTATAGTAGAATGATTTATGGTCCTTTGGGTATATACCCAGTAATGGGATGGCTGGGTCAAATGGTATTTCTAGTTCTAGATCGTTGAGGAATCACCACAGTCTTCCGCAATAGTTGAACTACTTTACACTCCCACCAACAGTGTAAGAGCATTCCTATTTCTCCACATCTTCTCCAGCATCTGTTGTTTTCTGACTTTTTAATCATCATCGTTCTAACTGGCGTGAGATGGTATCTCATTGTGGTCTTGATTTGCATTTCTCTAATGACCAGTGATGATGAGCTTTTTTTCATAAGTTTGTTGTCTGCATAAATGTCTTCTTTTGAGAACTGTCTATTCATTTCCTTCACCCACTTTTTGATGGGGTTGTTTTTCTTTTCTTGTAAATTGGTTTAAGTTTCTTATAGATTCTGGATATTAGCCCTTTGTAGATGGATAGATTGCGAAAATTTCCTCCCATTCTGTAGGTTGCCTATTCACTCTGATGATAGTTTCTTTTGCTGTGCAGAAGCTCTTTAGTTTAATTAGATCCCATTTGTCAATGTTGGCATTTGTTGACATTGCTTTTAGTGTTTTAGTCATGAAGTCTTCGCCCATGCCTATGTCCTGAATGGTACTGCCTAGGTTTTCTTCTGGGGTTTTTATAGTTTTAGTTCTTATGTTTAAGTCTTTAATCCATCTTGAGTTAATTTATGTATAAGGTGTAAGGAAGTGATCCAGTTTCAGTTTTCTTCATATGGCTAGCCAGTTTTTGCCACACCATTTATTGAATAGGGAAACCTTTCCACATTGCTTATTTTTGTCAGGTTTGTCAAAGATCAGATGGTTATGGAGGTGTGGTGTTATTTCTGAGGCCTCTGTTCTGCTCCATTGGTGTATATGTCTGTTTTGGTAGCAGTACCATGATGTTTTGGTTATTATAGCCTTGTAGTATAGTTTGAATTCAGGTAGTGTGATGCCTTCTGCTTTGTTCTTTTTCCTTAGGATTGTCTTGGCTATATGGACTCTTTTTTGGTTCCATATGAAGTTTAAAGTAGTTTTTTTCTAATTCTGTGAAGAAAGTCAATGATAGCTTAGTGGGAATAGCGTTGAATCTGTAAATCACTTTGGGCAGTATGGCCATTTTCATTATATTGATTCTTCCTATCCATGAGCATGAAATATTTTTCCATTTGTTTGTGTCCTCTCTTATTTCCTTGAGCAGTGGTTTGCAGTTCTCCTTGAAGAGCTCCTTCACATCCCATGTCAGTTATATTCCTAGGTATTTTATTCTCTTTGTAGCAATTGTGAATGAGAGTTCACTCATGATTTGGCTCTCTGTTTGTCTATTATTGGTGTATAGGAATGCTTGTGATTTTTCCACATTGATTTTGTATCCTGAGACTTTGTTGAATTTGCTTATCAGCTTAAGGAGATTTTGGGCTGAGACAGTGGGGTTTTCTAAATATACAACCATGTTATCTGCAAACAGAGACAATTTGACTTCCTCTTTTCCTATGTGAATACCCTTTATTTCTTTCTCTTTTCTGATTGCCCTGACCAGGAGTTCCAACACTACGTTGAATGGGAGTGGTGAGAGAGGGCATCCTTCTCTTATGCTGGTTTTCAAAGGGAATGCTTCCAGCTTTTGCCCATTCAGTATGATATTGGCTGTGGGTTTGTCATAAATAGCTCTTATTATTTTGAGATACATTCCATCAATACCTAGTTTATTGAGAGTTTTTAGCATGAAGGGGTGTGGAATTTTGTCGAAGGCCTTTTCTGCATCTATTGAGATAATCATGTGGTTTTTGTCATTGGTTCTGTTGATGTGATGGATTATGTTTATTGATTTGTGTATGTTGAACCAGTCTTGCATCCCAGGGATGAAGATGACTTGATCGTGGTGGATAAGGTTTTGATATGCTGCTGGATTTGGTTTGCCAGAATTTTATTGAGGATTTTCTCGTTGATGTTCATCAGGGATATTGGCCTGAAATTTTCTTTTTGTGTTGTGTCTCTGCCAGGTTTTGGTATCAGGAAGATGCTTGCTTCATAAAATGAGTTAGGGAGGATTCCCTCTCTTTCTATTGATTGGAATAGTTTCGGAAGGAATGGTACCAGCTCCTCTTTGTACCTCTAGTAGAATTTGGTTGTGAATCTGTCTGGTCCTGGGCTTTTTTTGGTTGGTAGGCTATTAATTACTGCCTCAACTTCAGAACTTGTTATTGGTCTATTCAGAGATTCAACCTCTTCCTGGTTTAGTCTTGGGAGGGTGTATGTGTCCAGGAATTTATCCATTTCTTCTAGATTTTCTAGTTGATTTGCATAGAGTTTATAGTATTCTCTGATGGTAGTTTGTATATCTGTGGGATCAGTGGTGATCTCCCCTTTATCATTTTTTATTGTGTCTATTTGGTTCTTCTCTCTTTTCTTCTTTATTAGTCTGGATAGTGTTCTATTTTGTTAATCTTTTAGAAAAACCAGCTCCTGGATTCATTAATTTTTGAAGGGTTTTTTGTGTCTCTATCTCCTTCAGTTCTTTTCTGATCTTCGTTATTTTTTGTCTTCTGCTGGCTTTTGAATTTGTTTGCTTTTGCTTCTCTAGTTCTTTTAATTGTAATGTTAGGGTGTCAATTTTAGATCTTTCCTGCTTTCTCTTGTGGGCATTTAGTGCGATAAATTTCCCTTTAAGCACTGCTTTAGCCATGTCTCAGAGATTCTGGTATGTTGTGTCTTTGTTCTCATTGGTTTTCAAATAACTTATTTATTTCTGCCTTAATTTCATTATTTACCCAGTAGTCATTCAGGAGCAGGTTGTTCAGTTTCCATGTAGTTGTACAGTTTTGAGTGAATTTCTTAATCCTGAGTTCTAATTTGATTGCACTGTGGTCTGAGAGACTGTTTGTTATGATTTCTGTGTTCTTTTGCATTTGCTGAGGAGTGTTTTACTTCCAATTATGTCATCGATTTTAGAATAAGTGCTATGTGGTGCTAAGAAGAATGTACATTCTTTTGATTGGGGGTGGAGAGTTCTGTAGATGTCTATCAGGTCTGCTTGGTTCAGAGCTGGGTTCAAGTCCTGAATGTTCTTGTTAATTTTCTGTCTCATCGATCTAATATTGACAGAGGGGTGTTAACATCTGCCACTATTATTGTATGGGAGTCTAAGTCTCTTTGTAGGTCTCTAAGAACTTGCTTTATGAATCTGTGTGCTCCTGTATTGGATGCATATATATTTAGGATAGTTAGCTCTTCTTGCATTAATCCCTTTACCATTATGTAATGCCCTTCTTTGTCTTTTTTCACCTTTGTTGGTTTAAAGTCTGTTTTATCTGAGAGTAGGATTGGAACCCTTGCTTGTTTTTGCTTTTCATTTGCTTGGTAAATATTCCTCCATCCCTTTATTTTGAGCCTATATGTGTCTTTGCATGTGAGATGGGTCTCCTGATTACAGCACACCAATGGGTCATGACTCTTTATCCAGTTTGCCAGTCTGTGTCTTTTAATTGGGGCATTTCAGCCATTTACATTTAAGGCTAATATTTTTACATGTGAATTTGATCCTGTCATGATGCTAGCTTGTTATTTTGCACATTGGTTGATGCAGTTTCTTCATAGTATTGATGGTCTTTACATTTTGGTGTTTTTGCAGTGTCTGTTACCAGTTTCTTCCTTTCCATATTTAGTGCCTCCTTCAGGAGCTGTTCTAAGGCAGGTCCAGTCTTGACAAAATCCCTCAGCATTTGCTTATGTGTAAAAGATTTTATTTACCCTTCGCTTATGAAGCTTAGTTTGGCGGGATATGAAATTCTGGGTTGAAAATTCTTTCCTTTAAGAATGTTGAATATTGGCCCATTTCCCCTTCTGGCTTCTAGGGTTTCTGCAGAAAGATCCGCTGTTAGTTTGATGGGCTTCCCTTTGTGGGTAACCTGACCTTTCTCTCTGGCTGCCCTTAACGTTTTTTTCCTTTATTTCAACCTTGCTGAATCTTACAATTATGTGTCTTGTGGTTGCTCTCCTTGAGGAGTATCTTTGTGGTGTTATCTGTATTTCCTAATTTTGAATATTGGGCTGCCTTGCTACGTTGGGGAAGCTCTCCTGGCTAATATCCTGAAGAGTGTTTTCTAACTTGGTACCATTCTCTCTGTCACTTTCAGGTATACCAATCAAACGTAGGTTTGGTCTTTTCACACAGTCCCATATTTCTTGGAGGCTTCGTTTGTTCCTTTTTAATCTTCTTTCTCTAATCTTCTCTTCATGGTTTATTTAATTAAGTTGATCTTCAATCTCTGATATCCTTTTTTCTGCTTGATCGATTTGGCTATCGATACCTGTGTATGCTTCAGAAAGTTCTCATGCTGTGTTTTTTGGCTCCATCAGGTCGTTTATGATCTTCTCTAAACTGGTTATTCTGGTTAGCAGTTCCTGTAACATTTTATCAAGGTTCTTAGCTTCCTTGCATTAGGTTAGAACATGCTCCTTTAGCTCGGAGGAGTTTGTTATTACCCACCTTCTGAAGCCTACTTCGGTCAATTTGTCAAACTCATTCTCCATCCAGTTTCATTCTCTTGTTGGCGAGGAATTGTGATTTTTTGGAAGAGAAGAGGCATTCTGGTTTTTGGAATTTTCAGTCTTTTTTTGCTGTTGTTTCCTCATCTTTGTGGATTTATATACCTTTGGTCTTTGATGTTGGTGACCTTGGGATGGGGTTTTTGCATGGGCATCCTTTTTGTTGATGTTGATGCTATTGCTTTCTGTTTATTAGTTTTCCTTCTAACAGGCCCCTCTTCTGCAGGTCTGCTGGAGTTGGCTGGAGGTCCACTCCAGACCCTGTTTGCCTGGTTATCACCAGTGGAGGCTGCAGAACAGCAAATATTGCTGCCAGCTCCTTCCTCTGGAAGCTTCATCCCAGAGGTGCACCTGCCAGGTGCTGGCCAGAGCTCACCTGTGGGTGAACTCACTTACAAGGTGTCTGTCAACCCCTGCTGGGAGGTGTCTCCCAGTCAGGAGGCACAGGGGTCAGGCACCCACTTGAGGAGGCAGTCAGTCCTTCAGCAGAGCTCGAGTGCTGTGCTGGGAGATCTGCTGCTCTCTTCAGAGCTGGCAAGCAGGAACGTTTAAGTCTTCTGAAGCTGCACCCACAGCCAGCCCTTCCCCTAGATGCTCTCTCCCAGGGAGATGGAAGTTTTATCTACAAGCCCCTGGCTGGGGCTGCTGCCTTTTTTTCAGAGATGTCTTGCCCAGCGAGGAGGAATCTAGGGAGTCAGTCTGGCTACAGTGGCTTTGCCATGCTGTGGTGGGGTCCACACATTTTGAACTTCCTGGTGGCTTTGTTTACACTGTCAGGGGAAAACCACCTACTCAAGCCTCAGTAATGGTGGACACCCCTCCCCCCACCAAGCTCAAGCATCCCTGGTGGACACTTCAAACTGCTGTGCTGGCAGTGAGAATTTCAAGCCAGTGGATCTTACCTTGCTGGGTTCCGTGGGGGTGGGAGCTGAGCAAGACCACTTGGCTCCCTGGTTTTAGCCCCCTTTTCAGGGGAGTGAATTGTTCTGTCTCACTGGCATTTCAGGCACCACTGGGGTGTGAAAAAAAAACCCTGAAGCTAGCTCAGTGTCTGCCCAAACGGCTGCCCAGTTTTGTGCTTGAAACCCAGGGCCCTGATAGTGTAGGCACATGAGGGAAGCTCCTGGTCTGTGGGTTGGGAAGACCGTGGGAAAAGCGTAGTATCTGGGCCAGATAGCACCGACTCTCATGACATGGTCCCTAAGGGCTTCCCTTGGCTAGGGGAGGTAGCTCTCTGGCCCCTTGTGCTTCCTGGGTGAGGCGACTCCCCACCCTTCTTTTGCTTGCCCTCCATGGACTGCATCCACTGTCTAACCTGTCCCAGTGAGATAAACCGGGTACCTCAGTTGGAAATGCGGAAATCACCCACCTTCTGCATTGGTCTTCCTGGGAGCTGCAGACTGTAGCTGTTTCTATTCGGCCATCTTGCCAGCCCCTCTGGAAATAAAAATTATGATATATTTAGTTTTTATTTTAAAAAAGCATAGAATTTCTTTGATTTGTGTTCTGAAATAGTGAAACTCTTTTTTTTTCCACATAGTATTTAACATGAGATGAGAGCATGTTTTAGGTAACAGAATCGCTAAAAAAATAGATACATGTCTAACATATAACTATTTCTTACATCAACTTCAAAAAAATTGAAACTATGATAAGCTGTCATTTTGTAAAAAGAAACATATAACCAATAAAACCTGTAAACAATAAAATTTGGGATGCCACTTTAAGATTATATGACTTTTCAAATATAAGAAGTCTTTAGAAAGAATATTTGATATTACAATTGGACTGTCCATCTCTATGCCAAGAATTTAACAGACTTATATATGGCAGTCAGTTAACATAAGAGTCATTAGAAGCTCAAGTTTTTAGTATATTTTTGTCTTATATCTATGGTTCTTTATGTTATTTTGGTCATAGAACATTATAAAAGTTAATGAGAACTATGGAACCATTTCTCAGAAAAATATGGAATTTATAACACTTTATGTATGCCATTACTTTTAATAGCAAAAATCACAATTACTTTTGCACCAACCAAATAATTTCCTGAACTTGATGGAGTTCTAAAGTTCATCAGTGGCTCCTTAGGGCTTAAGAAACCCTTTTGTTCAATGGTAAAGTTCATAATATGTATTGGTTTCTGTGCCTTCAAAGGCCTGGCATTAAACAGAATAGATGCTCAAGAAATATTTAATTTTCTTCAAGATAGGCATCTGAATATTTACACTTAAAAATGATCTTTAAATAAATATAGTTAAAATGGTCATATTTCCCACAGAAATATACAGATTCAATGATATTCTTATCAAACTACCATCAGTTTTAACAGAAATTAAAAAAAAAAAAACTAAAGTTCATATGAAACTAAAAAAAAGTCTGAATAGCCAAAGCAATCCTAAGCAAAAAGAAGAAAGCCAGAGATATCACATCATCTGACTTCAGACTATACTATACGACTATAGCAAATGAAACAGCATGGTACTGGTAGAAAAACAGACACATAGACCAATGGAACAGAATAGAGAACTTAGAAATAAAGCTGCACAACTACAGCCATGTCATCTTCTACAGAGTCAACAATAATTAAAACAATATAGAAAGGATTCCCTATTCAATAAATGGTGCTGGGATAATTGGCTAGTCATATGCAGAAGAATGAAACTGGACTCCTACCTTTCACTATAAACAAAAAATTAACTCAAGTTGGATTAAAGTTTTAACTGGGACAGGGCATGGTGGCTCATGCCTGTAATCCCAGCACTTTGGGAGGCGAAGGCAGGTGGATTATCTGAGGTCAGGATTTCGAGATCAGCCTGGCCAACATGGTGAAACCCCGTCTCTACTAAAAATACAAAAATTAGCTGGGCGTGGTTGTGTGTACCTGTAATCCCAGCTACTCAGGAGACTGAGGCAGGAGAATCATGAGCCGAGTTTGCACCACTGCACCCCAGCCTGGGCGACAAGAGCGAAACTCCATCTCAGAAAAAAAAAAAAAAAAGTTTTAAATGTAAGATCTCAAACTATAAGAATCCTGTAAGAAACCCTCAGAAAGATTATTCTGGACATGGGCCCTAGGAAATAATTTTAATTCTAGTTAATTTTCTGACATTCATTTGTTGGATGATCTTCACAAAATCTCTTATTTCCTCAACTGAACTCTGTATTTCTGCCTACCTCTCATAATCATTGTTATGATCAGATGAAATTATTGTCTGAAGAGAGCTTGAAAACTATACAGTTATATACACAGGAAACATAACCATTATTTCCTGATTAATTAGATTTCCTGTAAGTTGTGAAAGACATATTGAAGGCTTTCTTTGTTTTAAATCTGAGAAGATTGTATTTGTTCTTGGCTATATAAGTTAAGAAAATTGTTCACTTCCCTAGCATATGTTTGCCTCTGGACTCTTTCAACAAATTTTTCCATTTCAAGTAGCACTAAAAGGAGATAAAGGGTGGATAAAATTTGCATGGTCTGAAAACTTTCTAAAACTAAGTGTCCAACAAATATTTTAGTGCTTGTGATAATATTTCAAACAGACATTATTGAAGGAGAATGGTGTAATGGGGAGAGCTGGACACAAGACAAAGAGGAGAAGGAGAAAAAAAATAGGATGTAGAGAGGGAAGGGATGAATAAATGTTTCTAGAAAGCTTGAGGAGTATAGTAGCTAACCCAGACCAGGGCTAAATCTCTTTTAGAAATCTGTATTATGTTCTCTGTTTATGGAAGTGTCAATTAAACTAAGAAGCAGTGCAATAAACCAAGAAGAATACAAGTATTTGAGCCAGAGCGACATCAGTTTGCATACAGGTTCAGGAAGTTTCTAGCTACCTGAACTTGGGTAGGTTATTTGATTTCTGTATAGCAGTCTCCTCATATATAAATAACTACCTGGCATAGTCCTGGACCCATGGTTGATGCTCTGTAAATGTAAGCAATTATTTTTGTACCCAAGGTTGGATAAGGATGGTATTATAGGACAAAGATGTGTTTAGTTATTGGATAGGAGAAAACAAAGTATTGGGTGGGTATACATTGTATGTATAATTGAGACTATACTATACTCATAAATAATGAATAAGAATCATTTTTGGTAGGAGTAAATATATCAAGTGACCAGAAGTTGAAATAATGAACAATCATAATTGTATGTTTTCATCCAATTTGAAAGTGTATGGGGATTATATTATTCTAAGTACTTTGAAGCTTCGGGGAAGCTTGGAGTTCATTCACTTCATGGCACTCAGCCACAGTCATTGACCAAAAATAAATTTGACCATGGCGTATCGCCATATATTTGCTATCCCAGATCTTTGTGGGGTCTTGAAGCAAGAAATAGAACTGTGCTGAAGCTGTGAACGTCTTAGAATTTTCATATAGTTTGAAAGACCTATGTGGTGGATGAATAGGATAGCTACACTTAGATGATAACACAGCTGCTCTGTAAATATTGCAGAAAAGGGTTTAGTTGGATCACAAAATCTCCAGTCATGTGGAAAATGTTCAGGAAACATGGCTATTAGAGAAATTGGGTCATCTATCATAGAGATTATAATCTAATTTTCAAGATCAGAGAAAGATACTTTATCTCACCCAGATCTTACTAACCTTCATGTGCTCAGAAAAGAAACCTTCTTGACTCTGCCATGCTGCGGGTCATCTCTGCAGTTTGCTTTCTTTTTGGATGCGGATTAGCCTGGCTCCCTGTCAAGTCACCTTCTCCTCCTGTTGGTTGCTAAGACTGATGCTGTAGACCATGTCTTGCTTTTGTGCTCCCTAAATGAGAACCTAATGCTTGCCTCACTTGTGTCTCTTTTTTGGTATAAAGATCCAACAAAAAAAAAAAATCCAGCTATGGTGGACTTTTAATAACTTTGGACCTAACTCTTTAATTTTCATATTTTTCTTCTCTAGTTTTTAACTGGGGCTTCTGGCAGAAAAGTTCACACCAGAGAACACCTGGAGAATAATAATTATCACCCAAATTTCCCCTCTTGTTTGATATGGACTTTTGCTTGAAGGGGATTCCCCTCCAGAAAAGGTTTCTCTCTCAAGAAACAAAAACAAACAAAACTTTGTTGAAGGCTCTCCTCCAGGAAATCTTACAGGTGTTTAAATTCTAAGATGATCAAATATTGAGCCATTTCCATCCTGTGGTGTTTAACAGTTTTGAGTTAAAATAGGTCTTTGTGTAATAAAACATTCTCCTGGTAATTTTACATCAAATAAAGTTTTGGTAAAGCATTTTATAAAAATAGATTATTGTCTGTTTTAACAAACATTTTTTAACATTGAGAAAGATATCCTAAGTAATTTCTCATGGAACCTGGGTGACAAAGAGGAGGTTTTTTTTCTGGAGAAAAGAGTAAATTAAATCTGCAAGTTACAAACACAATAGAAGAATGGCGTGTTTATAAAAGTTCTTACAGGTAATAAAGCAACTGTTTAGCACTGAGATTAAGCTTGAGTTTCAAATTGTTTGCCTTTAAACAGCAATTTCTGCATTGTGCTTTGGAAAGCCCCGATTTGGTTCTGGCTGCTTAATTAATAAATGCAATTCAACTTTCCCCTCAATGAAAAAGTAAGGCATTAGACTAGATGTCTGTGGCATGCAGAGCAATAAACAACACGGCTCCAAATTTTAATAGGAACAATGCCATTTTTTCTAGAATCGTTAATTCCTTATCTTGTGGATGCATGCCTGCTAACTAGCCGTTTGTATTTACTTCAAATTCATCAGTTTGAGATGTTGCTGGACTCTATTCTTACTGATTAAAAAAAGTATTCTTTATTGAGAGCAAAAACACATCATCTTAGTTTCAGATCATGCCACGTCATTGTTGAGAAGATTTCACATTCAGTATTTTAACTTTGTAAGCTGGATGGTTAATGCAAAGTTTACTCAGAACTCATTTAGGTGGTTGTGAACCCATAACAAGCAGCAAGCTTGTTTGCTGTGTAACACTGAACTTTCACATTATAGCTGGGCTGTTTTGGGTGGCATATTTCCACAGCATCCTCAATTTGTCTCCCAAATGGATTAAGCCAGAGGGTCCTACTTCACCAGATTGTCTTATTGCTTTACAGATATACCCTGGTTAGTAAAATTAATGAAGTGAGCACTAGGTTTTGTTTGCCTTTCCTTGAGATATTTATCTAGAAGAGTGGGTGGTGATTTCTTACATTGATTTCATGTATTTTGTAAATTTAGAGTTCAAACAAAGATCTATTCTTTCTCTCTCCTGTCTTCCTCTCTTAGTTGTCACTCCCTTCTGTCACCTCATTTACAAATGAGGGAAATGAACCTCAGGAAGGTGAAGAGGCTAGCTCATGATCACATAACCAAGTTGCTCCGAGTCAGACTTAGGAGTAGGTTTTTTGATTCCAGTGAGAGGTCAATTCATCTAGGATCCAAAAATAATTAATTTACTTTATCCCCATGGTAGTATTAGTAATGTCAGAGTAGGTAGTTAGGCAATATGAGTAGGGCAGGAGAGCCCCCGCTTCCCCCAACCAGGAATGTCAGGCAATCATCAGGTGATGGTCTGGCAGTTGTTAAACTGTCTCTCTAAAATAATAATTGGTTGCAGCTGGTGCCAGGAAAGGCAGCTCCCTATATATAGAAAACACCTGAAGCTGGTGATTAGCAGCTTCCCGATAACATCTCAGGAGTTGGGTGAGTGAGCTCAAGCATATGCACTGAGAGGCAAAATGGCAGAGTTTAACTGGTGTGTGTAACCTTCCTCTAGGAAGGCTCAACTGGTAAGAGAAAAACACCTCAAGTGAGCATGTGCACAACGTTGGTAAACACACTGTACATGCGGCTCCTCCCAAGTGCTGGCAGGCTACTGCGTGTGCAGATAGCCTACCTCCAGGAAATACCAGGAGAGAAGGAACACAAACCCTGGAACCATGTCAGGGTCTAAAACCACAAGTCAAGGGTTGGACTGTGCACTTGGATTTCTCAAGTTGCCCGCATGGCCCTCTTTCAAATGTACTATACTACCTCTCATTCTTGGTCTAAAACTTTTTTAGTAAACTTTCACTCCTGTTCTAAAATTTGCTTTGGTCTCTCACTCTGCCTTATGACCCTGACAAATTGTTTCCTCTAAGGAGGCAAGAATCAAGCTGCTGCAGACCCATATGGATTCACTACTGCTAACAGTAATAGTTAAGAAGCCTTATGTAAAATTACATAAGAATACTTACTAATATGAACTAAATGCTGTAATGCTGATGAGGAGCCCAATATTTAGGTGGGCAAAGGCTCGGGAGAGATTAAGCAATGTTTCCAATTAGGAATATTTAGACCACTGTCACCTATTCACAAAAGCAGCAATTTCTGAAAGTATCTGTGTGTTAAAAATGGACACTCATGGAAAATATTGCCTCTGCACCATTACAGCAATTGATTTTTATTACTCTGAGTCTAGATTTATGTATCAAAGTTCTAACATCTAATGGGAACTTGGCACGGCTTTGCCTTAGTGCTGCAAGATGATAGTCAAAGACTTCTTTTTTCTTGAGTTCTCTTGCCAGTGATGCATCATAATCAGTTTTCCCCCTAATCCTAAATCCCAGCACTTGACTCAAAGTTTCTTCTTCTGTGGATATTTTGCTCATTTAAAGAGATAACATATGCTTGTGCCATCTACAACCTGCCAGCTCCACCTGACTTTTAGAAGTCAACACAAAATAACTTTTTTTTTATTATTTTTTTTTAAAGAAAGCATCCTCTGCAGTTTTTGTTCAATCACATACTTTGCAAATGTAATGTATCATTTGTGCAACATCTTAAGAGGTCTTGCTCTGTTAGTTTTTATTCATGACTTGACATAGCTGAAAGATTTCTCCTTATACTCAGCCATCACAATCTCTTCCCTCAACCCTTGGCAAGAAAAAATGAAACAACCTGGATAGCTACAATTATGGTTCTCTTTTTGTGTAACTCAGGAAGATTTGTCGACACTGATAGAGCACAATTTGAAAAAGGGTGGGTGAAACAACGGGCTATAATAGTCAAAACCAAACTATTTTTCAAGTGACTTTTTTGTTTATGCAACTTTTCGTTTATTATATTTGCTTTCTATGGATAGATTCTTTTCATATTCAATATTCATGCTTTTTAAACATTTAGGTAGTTTACTGTTTATGTTTTAATGGAGATTGAAGGAGTCAAGTTCACTCTACACAGTAGTAGTTATTCTAATATATGCAATTCTTATTCCTCATGAGGCTGAGGCTAAAATTATTAACCTTCTTTTTAGGTTTCAGGCTTGCTAAGTATGCAACTGATATTATATCTGTAAAATAAGCAAATAATATAACCTACTTATATGGATGATGTGAAAATAAAGTGAGATGATGCATGTGAAATGCTTAATATGGTGTCTGGTACATAGTAAACATTCAGTGAATATTAGCTGTGGTAATATTAATAGGAACAATAATCTCCTCTTCAGTAAGAAGAGGATTGAGGTAATTAATTAATTGTCACTAAGAAAATCTGTGTATGATTAAAAAGTAAAAATCAATTTCTAGAAAATACTTTTGATACTGCTATTTTTCTCTATAATTTTAAATGCTGTTTCAAAATTTATCTGTGAAAAATCCATACCTCTTTTGACACAGGATTTAAGAGGATTGTAATAAAAACAAAGAAACATTTTTATATACAATAGAAATAGAAAAGAAAATAATATACACAGGGTGAGTTACATGTTTTTGCTCGGTTGAATTTCAGATTGGCCTCAGAACTTGGCACAACTAGGATAAGAGGACCATTTAGTTCTGACCTCACATCCATGAAAAGGCCTTGAATTTAGACTTTTAGTATTATCTGTTAGTAAGTTATATAAAGAGCCCCAGAAAAATCCTAACAGACTCACATCTCCATCATAGAACTTTACTCCTGTGTCTTTTTTTCTGAACTTGCCTTCAGTGTTCTAATTACTTAATTAATTTTTGTAAATCCTGCAATTATCTTGGAATAAGGTATTTAAATTTATTGTATTTGGGCATGTGTGCCAAAGGCAAATCATTAATTTGCTAAATATAAGCATTTTAGAAAGCTGTTTTGTAAGTCGTTGTTGTAACTCTGTTTTGACTTCCTTCTTTTTTTTAATTTAAATATACGTGGTGTCTCCAAAAGTGGAAATTTTCTAGGCTTTTATTTTGACCCTCAGGAGTGCCTAGCAAGGAATCCAAGTGGAATTGCACTTAACAGATAGCTTTAGAAGGCATGAGTGGAGTATAGAAAATGGAGGGGAGCAAGACTGGTCACGGTGGCTCATGCCCGTAATCCCAGCACTTTGGGAGGCCGAGACGGGCCGATCACGAGGTCGGGAGATCAAGACCATCCTGGCTAACATGGTGAAACCCCGTCTCTACTAAAAATACAAAAAAATTAGCCTGGCGTGGTGGTGGGTGCCTGTAATCCCAGCTACTCGGGAGGCTGAGGCAGAACAGGAGAAGCACTTGAACCCGGGAGGCGGAGGTTGCAGTGAGCTGAGATCTTGCCATTGCACTCCAGCCTGGGTGACAGAGAGAGACTCCGTCTGAAAGAAAGAAAAGAAAAGAAAATGGAGGGTTACAGAGAAACCAGGGAAGTTTGGGACAGCCTTAAAGGCCCATTGACAATTGCTGCAGAAACAATGATTGTTTATTGTTGTGTGGATAAAGTTAGAGTCAAAAATTTTCCTATAGAACATAGTAGTAAATATTACATGCCTTACCTAAAATTATTGAAGATCCTCTTTTGAAGTTTAAAGTCATTAAACTAAAAAGTTAACATTCTGTTGCAATGTGCCTAGTAGAGATATACTGGTGAAAGACAAATGCAAAAGAGAATGTAAAAAAAATCAGTGATGGATTTGCAACTGAGATATTTGAATAACTTGAGTTATTTCTCTTCACAACATATACAAAAAGCCTATTACCTGCCTTGAGTACAAAGGGATAGCATGCATAAATAGCTGCAGAATTTATGTTAATTTTAGAATATGTAAATTACCTTTATTAATAGGTCACACTGAATGTGAAATGTGTCCTCAACCACTGCAGACCTTTAATAAAATAAGAGCAACAAGAAATCTATCTTCTCTATGATGGATATAAAAATACAAATTAAAAATCAAACAGAGTAGGGGGAATAGAAAGTTGTTAGCTGTTGAAAATGAATATATTTATTCAAATATATTTGTCCTTTAGCACTGATAAATTTTGTATATGCATCAAAGAACAGAAAATATTTTTTATTATTTTTGCTTTGGGTTAATGTAGTCATATGCAGGGCTTGACCAAATACATTTATTCCAAGAAATTACATTCAAATTTGAATCCAGTAGATTGATATGTGGTTATAAAAAAGAGATATTAGTTGTAACTTGCATTGTCTTGTTATTACATTGTTGTGCTAATCTAATGTGTGTTCATTTTGTAATCCAAAAGAAAACTGTAATTTATAAATCTTTAATCTTAAAAGGGACTTATTGCAAGAACTATTTTTAAATTTTTCATATATATTATACATATATACACATATATAAATTTCATATGTAAATTGCACACATATATGTAATGGTGTTCACCATTAAAATATGGACCAGTTGGCATATTTCTGTTTAAACCAAGGTGATATGTACCAGTTAAATGTGTCTGGTATTTATAAAATGTGGTGCAGAAACGTATCCTAAAATACTGGGTCTTTTATTGGAGAAACCTAAAAGGGGACTATCAGTCAGAATTAAAGTCAACTCTATGGGCCCCTGATTTATGGGGAAGAAAACTGCAGATGGCTAGATCTTTTCTGTGTTTTGCTTTTATTTCCCAGTATTTGCTTATATCGTTCTTTATCATTTAGTGTTCCAATATTTAATGATGTAATGATACCTTCTACTGTAGATTCTATGTAGTCTTGGTGTTAGCCTGATGCTGGATAATATAAATGTGATAGCCTTGACACCAGAAAATCAGAAGAATCTCCATGTGTCTGAGAAGTATTATAGACCTAATGGGCACATGCCCTAGGTCACAAGATGACAAGGCTATCCAAGAAGATATGGTCACTGGAAGAGAATATCAAGGAAAACATCTCTAGTTAGTCTGACATTTGTATTCATAGGTTCACTGCTTCTAACTATTGTGATGGTGCCCTTACTGCTTATTATATGGTCTGGCAATATTAAGGTGAAGTGAAATGGTTGAGCTGGAAACAGATTATGCAGTGAGAATTCTGCTTTTTTGCAAACCATGGAAAAGTTCACCTTCTTTCCGTCATCTGTATCACCAGACAGGTCATAGTTTTCCATGTAAACAATAGTAACAATGAATATTTCTGTTTTAAAAAATTAATGTATTATTTAAAAATTATATTAATTTTTTAAAATTGATAAATAAAAATTTTATATATTTATCATGTAAAACAAGAAGTTTGGAAATATGTATACATTGTGGAATGGCTAAATAGAACTAGTTAATGTATGTACTGCCTCACACGCATCATTTTTTTGTGGTAGGAACACTTAAAATCTACTTTCTTAGTGAACGTTTTCAAGAATACAATACATTGTTATTAACTGTAGTCACTATGTTGTACAATAGATCTCTTAAACTTATTCCTCCTGTCTGTCTGAAATTTTGTACCCTTTGACCAACATTTCCCCAATCCCTATCTCCCAATCCCTGGTAAGCACAATTCTGCTTTCTGCTTCTGAGTTCAACTTCTTTAGATTTTTAAAAGAGTCAATAAAAATGTGCAAAATTTAGTATAGTTTCATGGCAGTTGTCACTAAAACAATTGCTTCATTTTTTACCATCATTCCTCTTTCATCTTCACAGGTGGACGTGCTTAGTGCACTTGGCTTAGCTTAGTGCCAATTTTATCTCTGGGTGCCTGAATCATTGGATTTCTTTGTGTGTCTGAATCATTGGATTTCTTTGCTGCATGGCAATTTTCTGCTTCACTCTTTAAGTGGTTTATACATTGACATTTATGAGTCTTAGTTACTGGGTTTCCATAATCTATTTCAAGGTATTAGGTTACTGAAAATCAATCTATTTGGTCTATATCAATTTTCAGATATTTGGATAGTCATATTTGTTTTTTTTTCTTTCATTCCTGATCTAGATTTCTGATACTTGACCAACTGACATGATTTCCAAGTTGTAAATCAGCTTTCTGTGCTCCTGACCTCAGAATAATAGAGCCTTGTACATTCCACCAAACATTCACAGCATGACTTGGGTTTGCCTAGACCTAAAGATTTAGTCATTGTAATCTGGGCAGTAGCATTGTTGCCTGAATCTGATTGTGACAGAAGGCTGAGACTCCAAGGCCTTGTACTTCGAACCAACAGCTTTAGTGTCAGGAAACCATATTTATAGAGAGAGAAATCCATTTTGACAGTGAATTTTAGATGGTGGACGTCTTTATTTTCTTCATCTACTTTGCCTTAGATACAATCTTTTCTCTGATGATTTCCTCATATTATTATAAAAAATGATATTTCCTTTCTATTTCTTCCCAGCAGTTTTACTACCAAGAAAGTACTTCCTTTCCACTTTCTTTCTGCTCAATAGTTTGAATATAAAGAATATATTTTTGGAGTTAAACTACAATATTAACCTTTAATGGATCAGGGTAAACACTATATGACCTTGTAACATTTAGGACTGTATTTAATGATAAAAATAACTTAAGACCCAATTCAAGTAATTAGAACAATAAAGAGGAATTATTGGCTCCTTAGGTTAGACATTCTGAGGTAGGATTGTGCCTTAATTATCTAGTGATATGTAAAAAATTATCCCCAAACTTAGCAGCTTAAGATAATAAACTTTCATTACTTTGTAGTTTCTGTGAATCAATAATTAAAAAATGGCTTTGCTTGGTGGATCTAGGTCAGGATTTCCCATAGGTTGCAGTCAAGTTGTTGGCCAGCACTGTAGTTATCTGAACACTTGCTTGGGGTTGGTGAGTCTCCTTCCAAGATTACTCACTCACATTGTAGGTGGCAGAGACCTCGGTTCCTCTCTGCTCTTAGCAGGAGGCTCATTTCCATGGCATGTGGACCTCTCAGGGCTGCTTGAGTGTCCTTATAGCAATGCAGCTGATTTCCCCTAGGATATGTGATGAGAGAGAGAAGGAATTTGCAAAGCCTTTTATGGTCTAGTTTTAGAAGTTAGATGCTGTCACTTTTGCCACACTGTACTTGTTAGAAGTGAGTCATTAGGTTCAGTCCAAGAGAGGAAAATTAAGCTCTATCTATTAAAGAAGTAAAAAAAAAAATTGTAGACATACTTTAAATTCTCCACAGATTGTCTTCAGGAATGGTTTGATTCAGCATATCTACAGTGTCATCTCAGACCAGTTTTGACCTTTGGGGTCTGATTTGCAGGATGAGCATCATCCAAAGGAGTGGTTCTCCATGTGGTATCAAAATTGTTTCTACAATTCTAACCTTCCAAGATAAGAGAATGTGTTGGTAGTTTTCTGAGAAGAGCAAGACATTCTCCTTTGGAAAGATTAGTAGCATACCACCCTTCATTTCTTATTTGGTTTAACTTTTCAGCTGTTATGAATTAACTTTTATAAATGAACTTTGTGGGAACAAGGCATTTTGATCATTGTCTCTTGGCTGGGTCATCTGCATCAATCAATGTGGCAGAGGAAATGGGATTATCTTGATTAGATTAGAAAATTTGTGTTCTCACCTGAAAATGAGGTTAGGTAATAACTATGTTCCCCTTCTATATCCCTACCCAAACTATATGGTTGCTCAACTATGGGGAAACAGTTTAATAGATATTGATGAGGCAGAAAATTAAAGATCTCTATCTGTGCCACAAAGACATCAGATTCTGTGTTGGCAAGAGTAGACTGAATCTTTATAAAAAGTATTAATATAAGTAAAAGAAACAGAAAACTAAAAAAGCAAAAAAAAAAGTAGAAAATTTACTAAGGTAAACTAACAGTTGCATTTATATTTTAATCATACGTTAACAATTTGGAATTCTGATTTACATATCAGATTTAGGAACTGAATCAGTTAGCATAAGTCTGCATGGTTTTATATTCTCTCTGTGTACTGTCAAAATCTGAGCCCTCCAAAAGGCAAAGTCTGGCCTGAGATAAATTTGGCTATAGAATATTATGCTTATTGATACTACTTCTGTAATAATTAGACATTGATTTTTTCTTTAAAATTTTTTTTAACTTTTAGTTTCAGGGGTACACGTGCAGGTTTGTTATATAGGCACACTTGTGTCATGGTCATTTAGTGTAGAGAGTATTTCATCAGCCAGGTACTAAGCACAGTGCCCAATGGGTATTTGTTTTGATCCTCTCCCTTCTGCTACCCTCCACCCTCAACTTGGTCCCAGCATTTGTTGTTCCCCTCTTTGTGTCTATGTGTTCTCATTATTTAGCTCTCACTTATAAATGAGAATATGCAATATTTGGTTTTCCGTTCATGTGTTCTGTTTCTGTTTGCTTAGGATAATGGCCTCCAGCTGCATCCATGCGTCTACAAAGGACATGATCTCACTTTTTTTTAAGGCTGCATAGTACTCTGTGGTGTATATGTACCACATTTTCTTTATCCAGTCTACCATTGATGAACATTTAGGTTGATTCTATGTTTTTGCTATTGTGAATAGTGCTGCAATAAACATATATGTGCATGTGACTTTATTGTAGAATAATTTATATTCCTTTGGGTATATGTCCAATAATGGGATTGCTGGGTTGAATGGTAATTCTGTTTTCAGTTCTTTGAGGAATCACCACACTGCATTCCACAATGGCTGAGCTAATTTACTCTCCCACAAGAAGTGTGTGTTTCCTTTTCTCTGTAACCTCACCAGCTTCTGTTATTTTTAAATTTTTTAATAATAGCCATTTCTACTGGTGTGAGATGGTATCTCATTGTGGTTTTGATTTGCATTTCTCTAATGATTAGTGATGTTGCAAATTTTTTCATATGCTTTTGGCTGAATGTGTGTCTTTTGAAAAGTGTCTGTTCATGTCTTTTGCCCACATTGTAATGGGCTTTTTTTGCTTTCCTTTCATTATTTACTCAAAAGTCATTCTAGGATCAGGTTGCTTAATTTTTATATGACTGTATGATTTTGAGCTATTTTCTTTGTATGATATTCTATTTTTATGGTGCTGCCGTCCGAGTGTGTGGTTGGTATAATTTTAGGTTTTTAAAAATTTGCTGAGGATTGTTTCATAGGCATCTACAGAACTCTCCATGCCAAAACAACAGAATATACATTCTCCTCATAATGACATGGCACGTACTCTAAAATCAACTAACCTTTTTAAATATTTTAATTCTGCATCTATCATAAAACTTTACTAATTAAGATCTAGAACCTCTAGCTAAAGTTAATACCCCCCTAACACATCTAGATGATAGTAAACAACAATAAATCCAAGCATTGCCTACGGTTTTAATTTTTAACTCTTTAACATTTGTTGAAGAAAACTCTTTGCTGTATGTCAAGAAGTCTTTAACATTTTTTTTCTCTTTTTCAAAGTAATGATTTATGGGAACTATAGTTTTACTCTTTTCCATTGATTCATTGACATTTCATAATGGGAGTAAGCACTTTGACACTGGAAAAAATGGAAAAGATTGCATCACATTTTATCATGACTGAAATATAAAATGATTTATATTTTCTAATGAAGAATGCATAATCTAACATGCTCAATAATGTTAAATATAGAATTCTGTCCTGTTTGGATTAATCATTAAGGATAGAGGATAAATAACCTTATATTTTGATAAAACAGATGGAATCTGCTTTTGGTTTTTATTCACCAAGTGCCATATGATTTTGAGAGAAGAAGACTTAGATCATGAATTCTGCTGCATGACTGGCTGTTTCCTAATGTGAACTTCCCCTCATGTTCAATAGTATACTGTTTATATTACTCAGGAAGTAATATATTTTCTACTATTATTACTCAATTACCCTTATAAAACTATAGTGTCTAATGTTCTGCCTGGATGAAGTTCAAATATGTTTTAAAAGACTTCTGATAACTGTACATAGTACCAGGAACAGCAAATACCATAAATGTGTATATTAATGTATGTGTAAATGTAAGTTTTTGAAACCATCCTTATAAATTTTATAAAATGAATCAGGGAAGAAGGGGGTAGTAGAAATGAAAATACACCAAGCTTAATTATGCAGAACATTCAGATTAATGTAGCACATTCAGCATTAATGATTAGGTCAGCTTGCTTTCTGACCTGCTTCCTCATAGTGTTTTGGTGCCTATTGTTCTAGACTCACGTAGATCCTAGATTATAGTTCCCCTTAACTGCTTTGTAGATAACAACTTAAACATTATGAAATGTTAAGTTTTCCCCTTGAGATACTCTTTCAGGTCCTACATTCCATTGAAACTACTAACATCCACTTTTCCAAAGGACGCCACAGGAGCTGACTCACCAAAGAATGCAGTTTTCCCATCCTGATAACTTTATTACCCTTACCCTGACCACTCAATGTTTCCAGTTTTCTAGCCCCTCACCCTCCATGATCTCCTTAAAAACCCCAGCCCAGAATCCTTGGGGAGGTGGATGTTAGGGTCTTGACAGCAGGGGCACCATCATCTTGGACAAACACCACCTCTTTAAGTTCTAGCTCCCTTTCTAACCTCATGCATTTCAAGGAAATCACTTCTCTTCTAACAACAAGCAGCAAGAAAGAGCAGACAGTAAAACACAGATAAGACAGGTCAGACACAGAGGGAGGGGGAAAGTCTCTTGGGTAACCACCAAACTTCACACTCACACAATGGGCCCCAGTAAAACAGTGGGCCCTGGTAAGCACATTACTTTCCCTTTAGGTGCACTAAGATAGGAAAGCTAAAAGAAGACTCAGGGGGTATGCCTGCAGCTGCAGGAAGATGTATACAAAAACTCTCCCTCCCACATAAGCAAGACAAAGAGACACAGAAACATTCGAAGCCTGTGATAAGGTATGCCACCTGAATCCCTAAAAACTCTTAGTCTGTGAGAGAGAATGCCTCTGACCTAACTCGGCCAGAAGTCCCTCTCAGGTTTATTCCCCAAAATAAACCTGTCTTTGACTGTTGAGCTGCTTTTCATGTTTCTTTCCTCTTTCTTTAACTCTTACAGGTCTCCTCCCATCTCCTCACTTGATGCCCTGCAATTATGAAGCTCTGTGCTGCAAACCCTCCTATCTCTGTGTATTGGTCTGTTACTGCACAAGAGACATACAAACCTGTTGGTCTTCTAACATTTTTATTATACTTATTTATAGGTGGCTTTCTATGGCTAACTGCCCCTAAACCCTGAAATGTTCCAACTAATAAACAGGTATTTCAAGATTTCTGATGTAATAGAAGTGCATTAATTCCAGGAATCATTGTACTTGTGTAAAGTCTGTGCCTATGGAGAATGAGAGTGTTGTTGATAGTATTGAATTAAGTAAAGTAGAAATCATTTTTAATTAAAAAGTATTATTCTTAGCTAATGTTTTTCTGTCTAAATTCACCTATTCCCCCCTTCACCCTTTGTCTGTGTAGACAGAGCCTAAAGTAATCTATGTAAAGATCATGCATATAAAAAAAAAGAGATTAATCCTGTCTCCTCCACAGAATATTGTTAAGTGCATTAGGTGAAAGGCTAATCACTGTTATCAACAATAAAGGAGGGAACTAATTGGAAAGATTTTAGAAAAGATCAATAAAAATTAATTAGAACATCTAAAGTATTTTTTTCAAAGCAAGTACAAAGGAGTTGAAAACATAGCCCTTTGTTGAATAAGAAATAGTCTACTTGAAGAGGAGAATAATCAAGATTCAAAAAGTGCTTGCTCTTTCTGAACATAGACTTTGGGAGTAAATCTTTTGTGCTCCTCATGACCATCACACACGCAAATAATATTGGAAAGAAAGACTAAATATAAATTAATTTGCTGCTATTTATTGGATACCTACTCTGTGCTGGTCACTGGGCTAAGGGTACTACATAACTCACTGCATCAAATCTGTATGATGACTCATTGGAATGTATACTATTTTGACGACCTCCTCCCTCTTCCTGCTTTCTAAAATAGCAAAATCAACTTTAGGGAGGGTAGCCAATTTGCCTAAGGTTAAAAGCCAGTAAGTATTGTATCTGGGGTTTGGACTTCGGATGATGTGTAGGATGATGTGATTTTAGAGCCAGAACTAAGTCAGACATCATGCCCATTTGGGCTGAATACTTTTTAAAAAGCATTAGATTTGGCTGTAGAGTTCAGAGGCCACAGAGACCTATTACAGGTGTTTAGCTTTCCCTGGCAGATGCCTTAAGCATGAACTTCAAGCTCCGCAGCAGCTGGACAAAGACAAGACAGGTTTTCTTCTCCTCTTATTTCTAGTACATCAAATAATCATTTTTCAAATCTAATGCAATGAAGCCTTGTATTAGAAATGCCTTTGAATCTGTATGTTTGGCTTCAATGAAAAGAAAGAATTGTTTAGTTCTTAATGTTGTCACTGAATTGGAATTTAAATGTCTTTGTTCTGTGAGCTTTTTGTATTAAATGCAGGATGGCTTAGATTATGCATTATTTCACAACCTAGTTATATCACCTGAAGATGAATAATATTCTTTGGAAGGTTTTTCACAAATGAGAACTTTTTAAAAAAACATAGGACCATGCATACTGAATAAAATAATTAAAATAACATATTAAAAGGTCATTTTCATTGGTTGTTTGTAATTTATTCTGTAGAGCAAGAGCAGAGAACATAGGAATTAATTAGCATTTCTTACCAAAGCATGTGATTGCTGTTTCCATTTACCACTGAGGTAAATTTTATTTGTTTCCTCTATAATATTCAGTAGAAGGTGTTTATTTTTTCCTCCCAAGCATAACTTTCATTGAAAGTTTTTATCAGCTCTGGACTTCATAACAAATATTGAATACATTCAGTTCTCCAATAGATGACATAATTGTTGGCTCAGGGTAGTCCATATTTTTAATTTTACTTCGTCTGAATAAATGCTTTTTGTAATGAGCATCCATGGTCAAGAAGGGATTAAATAAGTTCCAAGAAAATTACCTCTAGGCTTGGCACGGTGGCTCAAACCTGTAATCCCAGCACCTTGGGAGGCCAAGGCGGGCAGATCACAAGGTCAGGACATCAAGACCATCTGGCTAACCCGGTGAAACCCTGTCTCTACTAAAAATACAAAAAATTAGCCAGGTGCGGTGGCAGGTGCCTGTAGTCCCAGCTACTCAGGAGGCTGCAGCAGGAGAATCCCTTGAACCTAGGAGGTGGAGGTTGCAGTGAGCAGACATTGTGCCACTGGCCTGTAGCCTGGGTGACAGAGCGAGACCCTATCTCAAAAAAAAAAAAAAAAAAAAAATTACCTCTAAACCTTTTGTGCTTTTTGCCTCATTTAAATGTCACTGATGAATTTTCTATATTGGTATGAAATGACCAGATTTGGGGATTATCTCTTATGATTTAGGATTTATTGTGTTTCCTTAGTATAATGAATTTATTTTAATAATAATTATGATACTATGATTAGCCAAGAAAAACTTGAAACCAAAATGATTTTGGACTTGGTCATCCAAAATCTGAACAAGAGGGGTACAGAAGTCTAAGGAATTATACTGGATCAGCACAGTTGCTCACACCTGGAATCCTAGCACTTTGGTAGGCTAAGGCAGGAAGATCTCTTGGTTCCAGGAGTTCCAGACTGGCCTGTGAAACAAAGTGAGAACGTGTCTCTATAAAAAATAAAAACATTAGCCAGGTATGGTGTCTCATGCCTGTAGTCCCAGCTATTCAGGAGGCTGAGGCGGGAGAATCACTTGAGTCCAGGAGTTCAAGGCTGCAGTGAGCTATGATGATGGTGCCACTGCACTCCAGCCTGGGTGACAGAGTGAAATCCTGTATCAAAAAAGAAAAAAAAAAGGAATTATGTCGGATAAGAGTACTCCTCTTTGCTCCAGTAGAATAATGAGGAAGAAGATCTTGTCACTAGATCACACCGAACATTCCAATACAACAAAATCTCTATAACTTGCATAAAAAGATTATGTGTAGCATCTGGTGCCTTTCTAAAAATAATATAAAACAAAAAGATAGCTTCAAAAGTAATTTAGATATCTTCTACAAGTTACCTGCATTAAAGTACAATCTATATTTCTTTAACATTTATGTCATAATACTAAGAAAGTATTTTATTTATATATACCATACCTTAAACTAGATTACAAGAATCCAAAAAAACCCCACAAAAAATAGTATACATTAGCAATAGGAAGTAAAGATTCCCTTATTAGTTCTGTTGAATTTGGAATGGAAATTGTGAAGCAAGTGTACAGTTTGATCTTAGTATAACTCAAACATGAAGAATTTTTATTTAGTTTTATAGGCTCTGTGGTCATTGTGACTTTTTTAGACATCTTTGTAATTAGTCTTAGCAAAATTCCAAGAAACCTGAAAGTAATGTGATAGAGTGGAAAGGTCATCAATTTAGATTTAGAAGGTATATTTAATTTTAGCTCTAACACTGAGTAACGGAGGATTCTTTGGCTACTTACTTAACTACTCTAAGCATCAGGTTTCCCACTGTAAAATGGGGATGATAAATTCTACCTTGTTGAGTTGTTGAGATGACCAAAGGAAATGCTGTATGTAGGTAAAATACCTACCGAACCACTTGGCAATATATAAAGATTTGTTGCCCTCTTCACCTTTTCTTAATACTATAAAGTATTACACACAATGTGGAAATTTCTGGTATTGGCGTATAATGAACGTGTTCATGTACAGCTAAGAAAAAAAGCTACCACAAACTGTATGCATTCTAATATATGTTTTAAATAGACATACTTTTATGCAGGTTTTACTCTAACAAATTATTTGAAGAAATCATGATACTAGTAATGGCAAATGCCCTTTTCCCAAAATGGCTTTCCTAGTTCCACAAAATAAGCACCAGATTTTTGCAAATAATCTTTCAAGCCTCTATCAGATAACTTTTATTCCTTGTCATTGTGGAAAATGCTGAAGGGCTACAATTTGTTCATAAATACGTTTAAGGAAAGTGTTCTTTGTTGTTTTCAAAACTTCTACTTTTTTTCTCAGATGTATCTCACATGTATTTCATTTCTATCTTTTATTTCCTACTCTTCTGATTTAGTTCCTGCCTGGCAAAAGTTTAGTTTCTATTTTCTTTTCTGTAAGTTTCTATTTAACTAACTGAAGCTAGTGTTAGCTCATCTGAGCCATCATCGGTATTTTCTGAACCAGAATGATTTTTTTACACTTGTCAATAGTCCCAAGGAATAGATTTGAAAGTCTTGCCTTGAAAAGTAAAATGAACAATGCTTGTGCAGATTGTGCCAAAATGAGTTGACACCTGATGAAAAAAATGATTAGGAAAGATAGTGTTCTGTCCCTTGATAGCTGGGAATACTTTCAGAGTTCAAACTACTGTTTATCTCGGTAATTAACTAGAATTTAAAAAATGATTTTGAGAACCAATGTCAGCTCAAAGTGTATGTTAGGAATATTTTTTTTTCTCACTGGGAGTATTTTCCCTGATGTAAGAAGAACTTGAATATTCATCTTTGAGACAGTCTACCTAGTCCCCTGGTTGGTTAGAGTTCTCACATTATCTCCAAGGCATACCAAAATGTGGTAAGTGCTTTTTGATGAAAATAGTGTTTTAAATTTTAGGAACAAGATACCTCTAGAACTTTATAATATTTCTCTGTCAGGGTTCTTACAGGGTAAGTTATGAAGAAACTGAAAGTTAGAGGAAGGAATGGAGGGATGAGAACAGCCAAGGCTGGAAAATACCCCAGGGCCCAACAAAGGAAAGGTAGAGTTAGAACCATACCTTTTCAATTGTTAAATAATTTAAAATTTTAAAGGTAGCTTTATAACTTGTAAAAGGATAATATGTTTCAACAATGTACTCCTAGTTCAAAGTAGAGTTTAATCTGGGTAAGCAATCCAAGATATGTGCACTAGTTTGGTTTGAGAGGACTCTAGGAATAGAGAATTTGTATCCTTTCCTCATGGACAGTAACACAGGACTTAACAATATTTAATATAGAAATGGCTTTATCCTAAATCTTTCTGGCTTTAATTTTAGTCCTTATGTCCTCTCTAGAAATGAGAAAGAGATGGCTTAGCTTCTTGAAAACTCTTACATTTTTCAAATATGGACATGCAGGACATAAAATTCCTGCATGTCCATACAGGTTGAAGATCTCAATATCTTTTAACTTGCCTGGACTTCACCATATTAGCAAAAGGAAGGAAGCTTGAGTTATAATCTGCATTCAAAAAGTCCTGATGGAAATTATACTGTTTCTTATGACAAGTTAGTCCAGGCTAAAGAAAATGTCAAGTCACTTTCCTTTTAGCTAGAAGGATATCAAGTCAATGTTGAAATAATATTTATATTAATCATGATGACTAGAAGCCCCATGTGGCAGAAAGCTCTTAGGGAGGTGAGTTATCTTTGATAAGTAAAGTGGGAAAATAAATTTATCATTTCTTTAATTTGTATAATTACTGAATGTAATACATGAAGGACAGACTTGTATCTGGGGCCTGATGAGGGTGGGTATAAAAGAATTTGGGTGAACATGATGGGGACTGGGTAATTGAGGTACAGAAGATTCTGAAGTTATTTATTATTTTTTTGGCTTAGGTGAATTATTATTATTTTTTATTATTATTATACTTTAAGTTTTAGGGTACATGTGCACAATGTGCAGGTTGGTTACATATGCATACATGTGCCATGCTGGTGCACTGAACCCACTAACTCGTCATCTAGCATTAGATATATCTCCCAATGCTATCCCTCCCCCCTCCCCCCACCCCACAACAGTCCCCAGAGTGTGATGTTCCCCTTCCTGTGTCCATGTGTTCTCATTGTTCAATTCCCACCTATGAGTGAGAATATGCGGTGTTTGGTTTTTTGTGCTTGCGATAGTTTACTGAGAATGATGATTTCCAGTTTCATCCATGTCCCTACAAAGGACGTGAACTCATCATTTTTTATGGCTGCGTAGTATTCCATGGTGTATATGTGCCACATGTTCTTAATCCAGTCTATCACTGTTGGACATTTGGGTTGGTTCCAAGTCTTTGCTATTGTGAATAGTGCCGCTATAAACATACGTGTGCATGTGTCTTTATAGCAGCATGATTTATAGTCCTTTGGGTATACACCCAGTAATGGGATGGCTGGATCAAATGGTATTTCTAGTTCTAGATCCCTGAGGAATCGCCACACTGACTTCCACAATGGTTGAACTAGTTTACAGTCCCACCAACACTGTAAAAGTGTTCCTATTTCTCCACATCCTTTCCAGCACCTGTTGTTTCCTGACTTTTTAATGGTTGCCATTCTAAGTGGTGTGAGATGGTATCTCACTGTGGTTTTGATTTGCATTTCTCTGATGGCCAGTGATGATGAGCATTTTTTCATGTGTTTTTTGGCTGCATAAATGTCTTCTTTTGAGAAGTGTCTGTTCATTTCCTTTGCCCACTTTTTGATGGGGTTGTTTGTTTTTTTCTTGTAAATTTGTTTGAGTTCATTGTAGATTCTGGATATTAGCCCTTTGTCAGATGAGTAGGTTGCGAAAATTTTCTCCCATTTTGTACATTGCCTGTTCACTCTGATGGGAGTTTCTTTTGCTGTGCAGAAGCTCTTTAGTTTAATTAGATCCCATTTGTCAATTTTGGGTTTTGTTGCCATTGCTTTTGGTGTTTTAGACATGAAGTCCTTGCCCATGCCTATGTCCTGAATGGTATTGCCTAGGTTTTCTTCTAGGGTTTTTATGGTTTTAGGTCTAACATGTAAGTCTTTAATCCATCTTGAATTAATTTTTGTATAAGGTGCAAGGAAGGGATCCAGTTTCAGCTTTCTACATATGGCTAGCCAGTTTTCCCAGCAACATTTATTAAATAGGGAATCCTTTCCCTATTGCTTGTTTTTCTCAGGTTTGTCAAAGATCAGATAGTTGTAGATATGCGGCGTTATTTCTGAGGGCTCTGTTCTGTTCCATTGATCTATATCTCTGTTTTGGTACCAGTACCATGCTGTTTTGGTTACTGTAGCCTTGTAGTATAGTTTGAAGTCAGGTAGTGTGATGCCTCCAGCTTTGTTCTTTTGGCTCAGGATTGACTTGGCGATGCGGGCTCTTTTTTGGTTCCATATGAACTTCAAAGTAGTTTTTTCCAATTCTGTGAAGAAAGTCATTGGTAGCTTGATGGGGATGGCATTGAATCTGTAAATTACCTTGGGCAGTATGGCCATTTTCACGATATTGATTCTTCCTACCCATGAGCATGGAATGTTCTTCCATTTGTTTGTATCCTCTTTTATTTCCTTGAGCAGTGCTTTGTAGTTCTCCTTGAAGAGGTCCTTCACATCCCTTGTAAGTTGGATTCCTAGGTATTTTATTCTCTTTGAAGTAATTGTGAATGGGAGTTCACTCATGATTTGGCTCTCTGTTTGTTATTAGTGTATAAGAATGCTTGTGATTTTTGTACATTGATTTTGTATCCTGAGACTTTGCTGAAGTTGCTTATCAGCTTAAGGAGATTTTGGGCTGAGACAATGGGGTTTTCTAGATATACAATCATGTCATCTGCAATCAGGGACAATTTGACTTCCTCTTTTCCTAATTGAATACCCTTTATTTCCTTCTCCTGCCTAATTGCCCTGGCCAGAACTTCCAACACTTTGTTGAATAGGAGTGGTGAGAGAGGGCATCCCTGTCTTGTGCCAGTTTTCAAAGGGAATGCTTCCTGTTTTTGCCCATTCAGTATGATATTGGCTGTGGGTTTGTCATAGATAGCTCTTACTATTTTGAGATACGTCCCATCAATACTTAATTTATTGAGAGTTTTTAGCATGAAGTGTTGTTGAATTTTGTCAAAGGCCTTTTCTGCATCTATTAAGATAATCATGTGGTTTTTGTCTTTGGTTCTGTTTATATGCTGGATTACATTTATTGAGTTGTGTATATTGAACCAGCCTTGCATCCCAGGGATGAAGCCCACTTGATCATGGTGGATAAGCTTTTTGATGTGCTGCTGGATTCGGTTTGCCAGTATTTTATTGAGGATTTTTGCATCAATGTTCATCAAGGATATTGGTCTAAAATTCTCTTTTTTGGTTGTGTATCTGCCCGGCTTTGATATCAGGATGATGCTGGCCTCATAAAATGAGTTAGGGAGGAATCCCTCTTTTTCTATTGATTGGAATAGTTTCAGAAGGAATGGTACCAGTTGCTCCTTGTACCTCTGGTAGAATTCGGCTGTGAATCCATCTGGTCCTGGACTCTTTTTCGTTGGTAAGCTATTGATTATTGCCACATTTTCAGCTCCTGTTATTTGTCTATTCAGAGATTCAACTTCTTCCTGGTTTAGTCTTGGGAGAGTGTATGTGTCCAGGAATTTATCCATTTCTTCTAGATTTTCTATTTTATTTGCGTAGAGGTGTTTGTAGTATTCTCTGATGGTAGTTTGTATTTCTGTGGGATTGGTGATGATATCCCCTTTATCATTTTTTATTGCGTCTATTTGATTCTTCTCTCTTTTTTTCTTTATTAGTCTTGCTAGCGGTCTATCAATTTTGTTGATCCTTTCAAAAAACCAGCTCCTGGATTCATTAATTTTTTGAAGGGTTTTTTGTGTCTCTATTTCCTTCAGTTCTGCTCTGATTTTAGTTATTTCTTGCCTTCTGCTAGCTTTTGAATGTGTTTGCTCTTGGTTTTTTAGTTCTTTTAATTGTGATGTTAGGGTGTCAATTTTGGATCTTTCCTGCTTTCTCTTGTGGGCATTTAGTGCTATAAATTTCCCTCCACACACTGCTTTGAATGTGTCCCAGAGATTCTGGTATGTTGTGTCTTTGTTCTCGTTGGTTTCAAAGAACATCTTTATTTCTGCCTTCATTTCGTTATGTACTCAGTAGTCATTCAGGAGCAGGTTGTTGAGTTTCCATGTAGTTGAGCGGTTTTGAGTGAGATTCTTAATCCTGAGTTCTAGTTTGATTGCACTGTGGTCTGAGAGACCGTTTGTTATAATTTCTGTTCTTTTTCATTTGCTGAGGAGAGCTTTACTTCCAACTATGTGGTCAATTTTGGAATAGGTGTGGTGTGGTGCTGAAAAAATGTATATTCTGTTGATTTGGGGTGGAGAGTCCTGTAGATGTCTATTAGGTCCGCTTGGTGCAGAGCTGAGTTCAGTTCCTGGGTATCCTTGTTGACTTTCTGTCTCGTTGATCTGTCTAATGTTGACAGTGGGGTGTTAACGTCTCCCATTATTAATGTGTGGGAGTCTAACTCTCTTTGTAGGTCACTCAGGACTTGCTTTGTGAATCTGGGTGCTCCTGTATTGGGTGCATATATATTTAGGATAGTTAGCTCTTCTTGTTGAATTGATCCCTTTACCATTAAGTAATGGCCTTCTTTGTCTCTTTTGATCTTTGTTGGTTTAAAGTCTGTTTTATCAGAGACTAGGATTGCAACCCCTGCCTTTTTTTGTTTTCCATTTGCTTGGTAGATCTTCCTCCATCCTTTCATTTTGAGCCTATGTGTGTCTCTGCCCGTGAGATGGGTTTCCTGAATACAGCACACTGATGGCTCTTGACTCTTTATCCAATTTGCCAGTCTGTGTCTTTTAATTGGAGCATTTAGTCCATTTACATTTAACGTTAATATTGTTATGTGTGAATTTGATCCTGTCATTATGATGTTAGCTGGTTATTTTGCTCGTTAGTTGATGAGGTTTCTTCCTAGTCTCGATGGTCTTTACATTTTGGCATGATTTTGCAGTGGCTGGTACCGGTTGTTCCTTTCCATGTTTAGCACTTCCTTCAGGAGCTCTTTTAGGGCAGGCCTGGTGGTGACAAAATCTCTCAGCATTTGCTTGTCTGTAAAGGATTTTATTTCTCCTTCACTTATGAAGCTCAGTTTGGCTGGATATGAAATTCTGGGTTGAAAATTCTTTTCTTTAAGAATGTGGAATATTGGCCCCCACTCTCTTCTGGCTTGTAGAGTTTCTTCCGAGAGATCTGCTGTTAGTATGATGGGCTTCCCTTTTTGGGTAACCTGACCTTTCTCTCTGGCTGCCCTTAACATTTTTTCCTGCATTTCAACTTTGGTGAATCTGACAATTATGTGTCTTGGTGTTGCTCTTCTCGAGGAGTATCTTTGTGGCGTTCTCTGTATTTCCTGAATCTGAATGTTGGCCTGCCTTGCTAGATTGGGGAAGTTCTCCTGGATAATATCCTGCAGAGTGTTTTCCAACTTGGTTCCATTCTCCCTGTCACTTTCAGGTACACCAATCAGACGTAGATTTGGTCTTTTCACATAGTCCCATATTTCTTGGAGGCTTTGCTCATTTCTTTTTATTCTTTTTTCTCTAAACTTCCCTTCTTGCTTCATTTCATTCATTTCATCTTCCATCGCTGATACCCTTTCTTTGAGTTGATCGCATCGGCTCCTGAGGCTTCTGCATTCTTCACGTAGTTCTCAAGCCTTGGTTTTCAGCTCCATCATCTCCTTTAAGCACTTCTCTGTATTGGTTATACTAGTTATACATTCTTCTAAATTTTTTTCAAAGTTTTCAACTTCTTTGCCTTTGGTTTGAATGTCCTCCCGTAGCTCGGAGTAATTTGATCGTCTGAAGCCTTCTTCTCTCAGCTCGTCAAAGTCATTCTCCATCCAGCTTTGTTCCGTTGCTGATGAGGAGCTGCATTCCTTTGGAGGAGGAGAGGCGCTATGCTTTTTAGAGTTTCCAGTTTTTCTCCTCTGTTTTTCCCCATCTTTGTGGTTTTATCTACTTTTGGTCTTTGGTGATGGTGATGTACAGATGGGTTTTTGGTGTGGATGTCCTTTCTGTTTGTTAGTTTTCCTTCTAACAGACAGTACCCTCAGCTGCAGGTCTGTTGGAGTACTGGCCGTGTGAGGTGTCAGTCTGCCCCTACTGGGGGGTGCCTCCCAGTTAGGCTGCTTGGGGGTCAGGGTTCACGGACCCACTTGAGGAGGCAGTCTGCCCATTCTCAGATCTCCAGCTGTGTGCTGGGAGAACCACTGCTCTCTTCAAAGCTGTCAGACAGGGACATTTAAGTCTGCAGAGGTTACTGCTGTCTTTTTGTTTGTCTGTGCCCTGCCCCCAGAGGTGGAGCCTACAGAGGCAGGCAGGCCTTCTTGAGCTGTGGTGGGCTCCACCCAGTTCCAGCTTCCTGGCTGCTTTGTTTACCTAAGCAATCCTGGGCAATGGCAGGCGCCCCTCCCCCAGCCTCGCTGCCGCCTTGCAGTTTGATCTCAGACTGCTGTGCTAGCAATCAGCGAGACTCTGTGGGCTTAGGACCCTCTGGGCCATGTGCGGGATATAATCTCCTGGTGAGCTGTTTTTTAAGCCTGTCGGAAAAGCGCAGTATTCTGGTGGGAGTGACCCGATTTTCCAGGTACCATCTGTCACCCGTTTCTTTGACTAGGAAAGGGAACTCCCTGACCCCTTGCACTTCCTGAGTGAGGCAATGCCTCGCCCTGCTTTGGCTCGCGCACGGTGCGTGCACCCACTGACCTGCGCCCACTGTCTGGCACTCCCTAGTGCGATGAACCCGGTACCTCAGATAGAAATGCAGAAATCACCCGTCTTCTGCGTCGCTCACGCTGGGAGCTGTAGACCGGAGCTGTTCCTATTTGGCCATCTTGGCTCCTCCCCCCGATTCTGAAGTTATAAAATGTTTTTGATCGACTAAAGTGCTTTTGTGAGTCGAATTAAAGAACACTGAACTTCATGAGACTGAAGCTTCTGGTGATGAATTGTTTTAGAACTCAGATCGAGGGAGAAATTTCAAAAGGAATGAAGTATAGAAGAACTTGGAGAGAACTGAGCAGTTGATAGAGTGGGAGTAGTGGGAGGGTCTGAGGGCTCGTATGATACACATTGGAGGATTGAGAGGATGATACACATCTGTGGAAAAATTTGGGAAGTACCCTTACATCATAGCATTGCTTTGCATTCATTCATGTTATATCCTAAAGTAACAAAGCCCTTTGGTGCTTTGGGAGTCTATGGAGAATTGATTCACAGAAGAGTTGCCATTGATGCAAATTTAGTTCCTGTGATCAGGTCAATGAGAACACTTTTGCACTAATGAGTAAGGGCTTACATGGGGTCCAGGAAGATGGGATCAGGGGCCCTGGTTACAAGTAAGGGCCTTGAGTTTTACAGAAGCCTTGATGAGGGTGGGACATAGGAGTGTATTCCTTTTTAGAATACCTTATCCTAATGGAATCTCTAAGTTGAATACACATTAAGAACAGATAATGGGTGCTTTATGTATATCTGTTAATGGAATGAATATTTGCTTTTAAGAAGAATGATTAAGAAGACAGTCTCACTTCTCGCAATGGCTCACTGTCTTTTCTCAAACCGTATGCTCAGCCTGTATTTAATGACTTATATAATTCCTTCAACTTTCTTTGTTCTCTCACCACACCAGTAATTTGAACTTGCTGTACCTCTTGTTGGAAATTCTCTTCCTCACTTTTTGCTTCTTTCTATTAGACCGCCATGAAGACTCCTGAGAGGTGAGATTTCCTTCAATCATCCTGACCAAGACTCTTCTTTCTGCACCCTTGGTTCTCTGTACTTGATCTATCGTAGTATCAAACATGTTGTCCTGTTTTAATCAACTGAGTTTTGAAATCAGAGGCTATGTCTTTTCCTTCCTATTACTTATATCATGGTGCTTGGCACAGAGTAGTTGTGTTCAGTAAATATTTGTTGGGTAAATGAATGAATAAATGAATGAAAGTAAGCAGAACCAAGCACCTTCGGGCACCATATGTGCTTATACTAGAATTCTACAGCCTTTAACCATGAAACCAAAAATATTTTGCAGATAGAATTTCATTGTGAGTCCAGTTTTACAGGGGCTCTTGTGCTTACTGAGCATAAGAAACATTCCTCCTGAGTCATGTAAATTATACAGATAAAGAACTGATTATTTGATAGGTGGATCAGTGTATCTACTGTCTCATGGTTCCATTTCATGTGTTCTCCTAAGTTAGACAACTAGAAAGTAAGGATTTGTGGGTCTTAATATCAGGTTTAGCACCAAAATTGATAATGAATTTGGTCACATTATATTATGTTCTATAGCCATATCCACATTAAGAAAATCATATTTCCTTTTTGTAAGCTGCTGCAAAACCTGTTTAGAAAGAAGGATATAAATAGATTCAATACAATCATAACATTAAAATTATTCTCTAGAGGTAGTTTGAGGGATTGTGTTGCATGCTAACCATCTGAGTGATAAAATCTTTCCTCAGGAGACTTCTGAAGGAAAAAGAAAAGAACCAAAGACTCATAGATCCATTAATTATCCAGGTTTTCCTGGAGAATATTTCCCTCTCAGGGTGGAGCCCAATTGGCTTGTCTCCAGTTCTCAATGATTTTCTCTTCTCTGATAACTTCATCCTCCCCTCTGCTATTCATATGGTTATAATGACAGCAGCTTGCCTCCCCAGTATGATCTTGCCCCATGGCCTCAAATGACCCAACAGGGCTAATGAGTTAAAATTGAGTCTTTAAGAAATTCCAGGCCAGGCGCAGTGGCTCAAGTCTGTAATCCCAGCACTTTGGGAGGCCGAGGCGGGCAGATCACAGGGTCAGGAGATCAAGACCATCCTGACTAACACAGTGAAACCCTGTCTCTACTAAAAATACAAAAAATTGGCCGGGCATCGTGCCGGGCACCTGTAGTCCCAGCTATTCAGGAGGCTGAGGCAGGAGAATGGCGTGAACCCGGGAGGCGGAGCTTGCAGTGAGCTGAGATTGTGTCACTGCACTCCAGCCTGGGCGACAGAGTGAGACTCTGTCTCAAAAAAAAAAAAAAAAAAAAAAAAAAGAAATTCCAGAGTTCAAGTCTTTCTAAGGTGTGGCTGACTTTAGAACAGAGATGTATGCTAGGTAACTATTGATGGTAATGGGTTTTTCTGTGGAATCCGGAAAACAGAGAAAGCCAGTCTTTACTGGGGAAGAAGAATGAATCAGAGACAGATGAACATAGACAAGAGACAAAGATAGAGGACTTGCTGGGTTATCTGTAGTACCAGGAGGAGTTGGTTCATGTTTTTTTCTGAAGATGTCTCCAGACACCCTGTATTCCTATAATAATTTAACCCCATTTGTCTTCCCAGCTCAAGGGCATTTCTGTTACTTGCAACCAAAAGATTTTGATTCTGAAACCATCCCTAAGCTACTGGTCACAGAGGCACAAACTGGGCTTTCTGTTACTGCTGTGGGCACAATAAAAAATAGTAATGAGTGTTGCGACCTGGACGCTGCAGTCAGGGAACCCTGCATAAGGTTTCCTCCTTTTCATAATCTGCTCTCTGGGCCAGGTAGAGTGGTGCATTCCTATAATCTCAAAACTGGCTTGAGCAACATGGCAAGATCTGTTAAAAAAAAAAAATCTGCTCTCTGTAATCAGAAATTAATTCACAGTAAGTACACATGACTGACAATATTTCAGAATCCATTTTGTCCCTTACCAAGCATTTTCATTTTTAAGGAATTCAAAATTTGATCTGAAAAAAAAAGGCACTGTGTGAGAAGATTTCCCTCCTCTCCACCCCCTTCCCCTTCCTTCATAACACTGCTTAGAAACTTTTTTCTTTCTTGCTCCTTTGAAAGAGTTGATGGACTCATAGCACTAAGTAGCCTCCAATTTTGTCTAAGTCTGTCTAGAACAAACTTGCACATATTGGGTTTCTAACTGACGAAGCTGCATCAACCCCTATTTCTTCACATCTGTGCATTTTAATACTGCAGTGCGTATGTAGTTGTTAAGATAGAGACTTGGGAGTCAAGCCACTGGTGTGTTCTATGACATTTGCAAGTTACATTCTGATTATTAGTGTCCCCATCAGGAAAGTAAACATAATTTTATTTACATTTAGGGTTATTGTGAAATTAATTGTGAGAAAACATATATCACAATAAATTATAGGTCTTATTAACAAAAGTGCTTCATCCTAGCACTGTCTTTCTTGCCAGCTCCTCTTCTCCTGTTTCAACCTCTAGTTTTAGACCAGATGTCTTTATTTTTTATTTTAAACAGTATAAAATTGGTACCTCTTTCCATTCTTCCAGGAACTCTGCACCCCCTACTTCTGTCCATACAGATTACAGACTAGAATGGAAAGAAACATTAGAAATTTAATCTGATCACCTTGTTTCTCAGTTGAGAGATATAAGAAGAGTAAGTGTGGAAGCTTGACCTAAATTTATAGAACTACTCGTACATGATCTCTTTCAGGTAGCAGAAAGTTTCAAAGTAAACATTGCCTATCTTGTTGGGTGTCTTAAGAACCCCTCAGACTATGGCTTCTCCAACTTTTGTCCTAGGGCACTTCTGAAGACAAAGGAGAGGAAAGGATAACTTGGTGGCCTGTCCATAAAATATTACCACAATCATGATTTTTTAAGTCACGGTTTATTTTTAAGATTGATACACATTCTGCATTTTTCTCTACAATATACCATATCTGTTTTAATATGAAAGATAAGTTTTAAGTTTCATACTATTGAATTAAATTGTTGTTTCATGGAGTAGTGCTAAAATTATCCTGTGATCTCTATTCTTCCAGGTCACTGCTATATATTTATATTTTTCCAAATTAAAAAATAAGGCATTTGGATGTCACATTTTAATATGCCCTCTGACTGCCCACTGCCCTCCACATATTCAGAGGGAGGCTGGAAAGGCTGACTCTAATAATAGCTTACCTTACAGGAGTAACAGCAGTAAATGACTGTTAAAAACAGATAGCAAAATATTAAGTACCACATATACAGCAAGGTTAGTGCTATAATCTCCTATTTCTTCACTCCGGTGCTTTGGAAATATCATTGAACTAAACAAGTTATTTCCTGGCTCTAATTCATCCATCTATTTTAATACTTATAATATTCATCTATATTATAAAAATAATGCAGTAGAAGTTTAAAATTGGAAACTAAATTGACAGTTTTTCAGTCATGGGATGAATATACAGGGTGTTAAAAAGAAACTGGGAAGAGTGTTGGTTCTTTAACCAGACCCAAAAAAGAATGACTCTACTTACAAAATCAGTGAATTGCAAAAAGCACTGCCAGTTAGTCATTATAGGCCTCTATGCATGGATTCTTCATTAAGTAGTGAGCTAATGTAGTTAGCAGAACATTTTTTCAAAGTGCACATCAACCCCAAAGATGAAATGCAGTCATGAAATAAGCTTCTAAAGTTCCAGTAACTATAAATTCCCAATGCTATAACTTAATCTTCTGGAAATTCTCCAAATAGCAACCCTGAGTTCCCCTGAGTGAAATGCTCTTATTTTCTTCCCATATGCATTTAACTCTATTCTTTATTGAATACAAAAGGATAAAAAGAGGACTTGGTTTATTGCTTCTAATAAAAGTAATGCAATCTGAATATTCAAGGATGTAACCAGGTCATAGCATTTCAATTGAATTACCAATATAGCCATAAAATAAATAAGTTGTGTGCTGAAAAAGCAAACACATCTTGTCGCTGTGTCCCATCCATCTTTTCTTGCCATTTCTAGTCTGTCAGCATTTTTTTTCCTCCACTTTTTGGGTTGTACCTAGTGATTTTTCATATATCTTTCTCTGCTGTCTTGTTACCTTCCAGTTTAATATATAGAGATAGAAATAATTTGTTGTATGCCATTTATGCATCTTTAGTTTTTGGACTCTCAATTTGTCACCTGACCACTCTGCCTGCTCCTTTCTAGCCTGCTCATTAAATCAGGTACTAATGCATGAAAGTGGATGTTTCTCATATTGATGTTTGTGAACAATTGGCCTTTAAACTCTTTGAACCTTGCAAGGTGAAGTTTGTTCCTGATGATAATCTCTAATAAAAAAATTAAAGCAATAGCAATTAAAAAAATCTTCTTAAGTAAATTTGGAAATCACAGGAAATAAGAATCTCCTTACAAAGATTATTAAATAATAAGTCAAGAACTAGTTTAATTGGCTTAATTTTGGGCAAGGGGTTGAGTAATCTTTTCTCTTAGCTTTGGAAGGTTTGCATTTATCTAAAGCAGTTTATTTCTTAAGAAACAATAAATATGATATTCATGCATATTAGATTATCAAAATTTTGACTAATATTAAGTCTTGATATCCAGATTTACCTCAGCACAATTAACTGGAATCCATAGATTGATCTTTACTCAGTAAATATGTGAGCAGTGCTACATTAATTTTATTAAAGGAAAGATCATCACAGCATTCACTGATAAGCATTAGTATTGCTTAAGTGAAAAATCTTATTTGATGATCTAATTTTGTATTATTCAATGAAGAAATTAGTATTTTTAGAAAAATACATATTTTATATTTATATTGAATTCTGGAATGATTTTCTCTTCTACTTTGTCATGCCTCATGGGCACTAGCGGGGAATCATTTGACAGCAGAGTTGAGTTATAGCTCTATTTATTGACCCCTAATGGCAAATGACGTGCACCATGGAATTTACTGAATCATCATGAGTGTTTTCCCAGCCGGAAGGATTTAGGACAAATATTTTCCTTTTCTTTATTTTAGTTTAAACATCACCCAGTTGCAATAATGTCTCTAATATACCAGCTCATTTAGATCTTGTTCTTTGAAAGAGTCTCTTCGTAATGTTCTTTTGTTCAATAAGATTAGTGTTTATTTTGGAATTGAATGTCCTTTAGTAAAAACAACCCATGTCTGCTAAGGGCTATGGATATAACTCTTTTTACTGAAGTATTCAATTCAGTTCAATAAACTATTAAACAGATCTCCCATCCCTACGTTAGGATTGATTTGTAGTTTGCCTGATTTGATAGAATAGTTGTTTTGGCATTATATGGGTAAAGCCGATGCTGATGGTGAGTACACTTAGGAGATAGGGGTGTGTAGTCAAAAGTCCAGTGAGCGTCACATAAGCACAGGCCTTCTTTAAGTCTCACAGTGTTAACTATTCAGAAACCACTCAAATGAGCTACTACTTTATCTCAAAGTGGTAGAAAGTTCAAATGGCTCACCAAAGTTATTTCACTCCTTTTCTAGTGTTCTATATGTTATGCACATCATAGGTGCTTAGTTGGAGAGAGAAATGCTAACTGTCCCACAGATTTTTACTCTTGTGACTTCCCTAGTCCTTCAGGTATCCAAATTCCAGACTCTTGCCCCAACTCCTCTGCTCAACAGCCATAATCCTCTTTGCTCAGTATTACGTGATCCATTAGTGATTATATTATTGTAGTGATTATATTATTTAGACCAGATGATTGCTATAAAAGATAGGTTCCTTGAATAGAGATATGATTCACCTTCAACAAAGCAAAAACAACAACAAAAAAAACCAAAAAAAAAAAAAAAAAAAAAAACCAACCAAACAATTATAAATGAAAGTAGATTTTTCCAAGTATAGAAAAGAAAGAGATCCTGTGGAATAGCATTGAAAAATTTAAGTATGTAAATAAAGACATTGCAGCATAAGTAAAGAAGTTAGTTACTGAAGAGAGTTCAGTATTCATCTTCTGTCTAGCTTTTCATCTTCTGGCCTCTTTATCTAGCACATCTAGCTTGGGTACAACATTGATTCATATAAGTTGGCAGATTGATGGAGGGGAGAACCTATAAAAAGATACACTGAACGTTAATTATCTTGGTGTTGAATTTTAAAATTCTTTTACATGTTACTGAGTGGATAGTTCAGATACCATGCCTGGAAAGATATTTTATTTATTAAAGGTCCAGTGTCATTTTCTAGGCCACTTTCTATACTTGTTGTATGTAAAAGCCGTAGCGATATAAGTACTCTTGATTTCCGCGCTATTGATATTACTCATTTTTAATTAACTTGAAATATAAATTTTTCTTGTAGCTCATTTATGTAGATAAATACATTACCAAACTGTTTCAGATTTTAGACCTCTGTTGTACATTTTATTGGAAAAATACATATTATTAATTTATAAATTTAAACATGAATTTTAAGGTTCAACTTCTCTGAAAGAGATAGTTTTAAACTTTGAGGAGAACTGGGTTCATCTTCAAGTCATTATATTTTATTTATAATTACCTCATGCCTAGCTACCTGCCCTGTACAGTAGCTTTAAGGGATTTTCAAAGTATTTTATAAGTTATTTATGGAGGACTTACTATGTGCCAGGCCATGAATTGATTTATTATATATTTAATGATCAGTATAATCCTATGTGGTAGATAATCTTTTCCCTATTTGAGTAGTGATGAAGTAAGCTTAAAGAGATTAAATAGCATGCCTAAATTTACACATTAAACAAGTAGCAGAGCCAGAAATTGAAGCTAAATCTGTCAAAGTCAAAAAAGCCTGTATTCCTAACCTCTGTGTTTTATTACTCAAATCATCAAGAATGGAACTCCTAATTTCAAAACTGTACATTAAGGACAGTATTGAAAACTTTTTTAAAGTTTTTCTTCCCCATAAAACAACTGCAATAATAGATACTTAGGAGAAACTAGATTAGCATCTATTCGAATATCCTGTAATTTATTAGCAGAAACTCTTAAAATGTTTACACATAAAGGTATCTGTGCATTCATTCATTCTTCAACAAATTCATTCAGCATTTACTAGGTAGCCAGTTTTCACTGTGCTATTGCAACTGTTTTTCACTGGGCATTACAACTGTTTTTGAGGTTCTGTCTGGTACACAGGTAGCAAATAATACATGTATTATATATTTTTCGATAACAACCAGAAATGCACTTACTTAAATGTGTTTTTTTCCCCTAAACATTGAAGGAAAGCTTCAGAGCTGTTTGCAGTAGTTTTACTATTTGTTCAAAGTGTCTGCCACTTTTTGGATGTGTCAGTTTTGATTATTTTGCTTAATTGAAGGGTCAATATAGCATAGGTAAATGCCAATTTATTCAAGTAACTCATTAGTGAGTCGTTATTGACAGAATAATTTAGATAAAAATGTAGTATCTGTCTTGAATGTAGATTCAACCCAAATAACACCACTGAACAGGCAATTAATACTAGCTTGCCTTTAGTTTTTGTATTACTATAGAGTTGGAGGGGTTGGGAAAGACTTCAAATTATTTAAAGAGACAAGAAGTACATTTTCAAATAAAAGTCATTTTAATTCTTAAAACATCCCAAGAGGCTTAATTCAGAAGTATCTGAAATGTCAGTGAATAATAGAATTCTTTAACTAAAAATATTTAATGCATATCTTTTGTTTTTGTTTTTGTTTTTGTTTTTTTGACACTCTGTTGCCCAGGTTGGAGTGTGGTTGCACTATCTCAGCTCATTGCAACCTCTGCCTCCCAGGTTCAATTAATTCTCCTGCTGCAGCCTCCCGAGTACCTGGGACTACAGACACATGCCACTATGCCCAGCTATTTTTTGTATTTTTAGTAGAAAAAGGGTTTCATTATGTTGGCCCGGCTGGTCTCAAACTCCTGACCTCAGGTGATCCACCTGCCTCAGCCTCCCAGAGTGCTGGGATTACAGGCATCAGCCACAGCGCCCAGCCATTAGCGCATATCTTTTGAGTACCTACTATATGATAATCCTTATATTAATCTATTTATGTGCCCAAGGAAGTTGTGAAGACTTTAAGGATTGCATGAAATTCAAGTAAAGCAATAGCATAAAAACTCTTACTTGAGTTTAAATTCTTGGCCATATTTATGTTTACTGGTCCATTTGTCTTTCAAAACTACTGTAATAACTATTTAATCCAGTTAGTTCATTTTTAAATAAGAAGATAGAGTAGATGAGAGGATTTGTTGAATATTAGCTTTCAGGAAGAGATTGAATAAATAAAGGATTTGGAGGTGGGAAAGGGGAAGAAGCACTTATTTTATTGAAATTGCCTTCTCAATGGAAAATTTAATGGAGTAATTATTTTCATCCTTGTCAGCCACTGGATCCATGTCAGATAGGAGTGGTACTGATTCCTATTAAGAAAGGCAGACATTTGCAGCTTGCACACTGTGGCTGGAGGATTTGATTTGTACAATTCACATGAAAGAGTTCTTGTTAGATTCTCTTGGAATTGACCTGTTGTGAACAGAGTATGTCTGACTTATTTAACATTGAATGGTTTTCATTTTGGAAATCATGACTGAGTGTGACTATGTCTTCTGGCCAAATTGATTTAAACTCTGCATGCCCTAATCCTTGAATATTCCTACTGGGATGCAAGGAGACCAGTCTTGAGGTCAGTGAGATTACACAAAACGTGCATGAACCAGAATACAGCACACCGAGACATGTGTTCAGTGTCTCATCTCTAAGTGTGTGTAAGCCAATGCAGAGGTGGAATTAAAAAGAGAGGGGCAGATAGCTACACTTTAAATATCTTGAGACAAAAAATGCTGGCACATTGGCATTCATTTCAGGTAGCAGCTGTTCTCCAAAACAAGTGTCATTCCAAATCACAGACTTCAGAGAAGCAGTACACTTATTTCTTTTCCTGAGATATAACTCTATCTTATTATTTTTTTCTAGAGCACATTCCACTCAATGTGAAACTAAAACTTTTCATCATTAATACTGTAGATGAGTAATTGAAATGAATTAGTTGTCTATTTTATACTGCGCTGGTAAGAAATCTTTTTCTAATATTAATAAAATATTAATGGCCCTAGTACTTCACTTTTTGCTTAAACCTCATTCAGTCATATTTTAAGTCAATAAGAGTGATGACTTTTGGGATTCAATTGCCTATAAGCAGTTAGGAGCATCCTGTGGATCAGAGACCACCCGATTTCATCACAGTTCAGTACTGGCTTTATGCTTTTTCATCCAAATGTCAGAATTTTAGGCCTGGCTAGCAGTTGAGGACTTGTCAATTTTCCTGCTCATTTTCAATCCCTATAATAGCTCAGAAATTACACAACAGGTAGGTTGGTATTTTTCTTTCCGATGGTGGTCTCTTCCAAAGGAAATGTATCATTTTCAGAAGAGCTAAACACAGGAACTATAGGATGTAAGACCTTAAATATACAAATATTTTTCTTCATGTGTTTTTTTTTCTCCCCTGAATGGAGAATAGCCTGAAGAGAAATTGCAGGACAAGTGATTTGGTTGATTTTAAATTGAATTAAGCTATGTAAAAGAGACATTTTGTGTTTGTAGCTTGACAGGAAATGAAGGCAAAAGAAAGATATCAGAAGTAAGAGAATGGTAGAAAAGGTTGTCCTGAGTAAAGGGGGAAAATGAAAATATGGACCTCATGCCAATTTTTCTAACATAGTTGCTCCCTTGGAACCTCTAAAATATATTAAGTTAATGCAAATCAGAAAAATTAAAACTAGAAATCATTTTAGATATCATTTGGTCCAACCCCTACATTTTATAGACAGTAAGGAGAGAGTAAAGAAAAGTAGAAAATTGGAAGAAGTGGGAAAAAAATAAAGTAGAGAGAGAAAAAGAAAGAGAAAGTCTGATAGACTATCTTCTGGTAAACTTTTCTGGGACTTTTTTTTCAGTTCTAAAACTCAATATATAAAATTACAAGGAATGGTAGAGAAAAGTTTATATTCATTTTGTATAATTGTTAATCTGTTTTTTTCCCTGCCAGTACATAACATTTTGGTTTCCAGCTGTTTATTATCCAAATCATTTCCTGCACTAGATAAAGTGCTACCAGCAGGACTCTAAGATGTTTTATGCTAATGAGGGGAAAAAATCTTGGACGAGTTGCAAAGCATAGATTTTTGAGTGACATGGCAAAATAATCAGAATCTAAATGAAAAGAAAACTTGGGTAGCAGCCATTATATTTAATATGCCAGAATAACTGATTGACATTTTAATTAGATGAGAAAATATAATTATATTTTTAACTCTGAAAGGACCCCTTGCAAGAAAGATGGACATTCAATTAAAAAACACTTGCAAGAACACAAAGGAGTAACAAAGAATATTAAGATGCACTCAGTTTTCATTGTTCATGACATGAGTTATTAATTCCATGGATCATGAAGCAAAACTTTTTTGAAAGTTAACTTGCATTTATCCTTTTGACAACAGTTTTCATTATAGTGATTGAATTTTATTAAGAGAATTGTTTGCTATGGCTATTTGTCTTTGTTTTGGCAGCTCTGGCATAAATATTTAATTTATGTTACAAACTTTAAAAAAGTCTCTATAAAACTGAGTGGCTGAGATGTACCTACCTCCCCACTATGAAAAAAATGAGGCATATATATTACTGCACACAATATAAGGTACATCAACTTGAAAGAATACTTTGACTTGAAGAAGTTAACCATTTTCAAAGTTTGTGGAGAACAGATGCTAGTATAAACCAAATATAAGAGAGATAGCAATTTGAGCTGGAAGTCATAACTTTTCCAGACTAATTGTTTTAATTTTTACATTTTTACTCTTGTGAGGTACTTCTGATTAATACTGAATGTTAAAAAACTGGATTATATCCTGAAAAGAGTTAAGTAGACAAATATCAACATGGGAACAGAATTCATCATGTGGGAGGATCCAGGAAGTGAGTTAAATACATAAGGGATCTTATTATAAGATGGTACCATAGCCTTACCTTCAAGTACTGACGTGTGAATACCTCCCTCTCTCTCTCACAATCCCTTACAAATCGTAGAAGGGTTATGGCAGGTTGTATATTCTAAAGTTGGCCCCAACACCATCTGTCATCTCACGTACCCATGTGCAATGTGATCTTATTCTTCCAGGAAGGGTGGAGATTAATTCTTCCTCCTTGGAATCAGGTTGGCCTTTTTGACTCATTTGTTATGAATAGGATATAGTGGGAAAAAATACTGTGTGACTTTTGTAGTCAGTTAAGAAGAAACCATGTAGTTTCCGCCTATTTTCTTGTACACTAACTTTGGCAGTATTTTCTCATGAGACACATTCTCTTAGAATCTAGCTAAGATGCTCAAATCACATGGAAAGGCTATGGATAGATGCTCAAGTCGACAGTCTCAACTGAGCCTGGGCTTTAAGTCATACAGTCTGGATGCCAGACATGAAAGTGAAAAAGCCTCCACGTCAGGAGTTGGCAAGTTACAGCCTGTGGACCAGCTCTGGCCTGCTGCCTGTTTTTGGGACACCCATGAGTTAAAATTGATTTTTTAAATCTTAAAGCATAATTTTAAAAAGACAAATGTGCAGCAGAGACTGTATATGGCCCACAAAGCATAAAATATTTACTTTCTGGCTCTTTAAGGAGTTTGCTGACTCTTATTCCAGATGATTCCACCCCTAAACATCATGGAGCCAAGACTTCTTTACTTTTTCGTATCCAAATGCATGAATCACAGAATCTGAGATATTAATAAAAGAGTGTTGTTTTTGTCTGTCTGTTATCTTGGAGATAGTCTTAATGTGTCGCTTAGTCTGGACTCATTCTCCTGGACTCAAGTGATCCTCCCCCTTTAGCCTCCCAAGTAGCTGGGACTACAGATGTGCACCACCTTGCCTGACTAAACAGTGCCATCTTACTTCAAAAAGTTTGGAGAGGTTTGTTATGCATCAGTTGGTAACCAAAAGTGTTTTTACTGAAAAAAGAGTTACAAGCATGGCCTTTGTAATAACAAACTATCCATGACAGAGAATGCCCAAGTTACTTGGAAGATATGACTTTGCTATCATGGGTCTAGATTATCCTTAAGTAGTTGAACTTGTATTTTTAGAAGATCTTCTCTGCATTAGCTGTTTAGTGAACACTAAATTGTTAATTCTGTGTTGAGAATCTTAAATGGTTAAATGGATAGTAATAAGAAAGCTCTCCTAACAGGTTACTTTATTAAAACAGTTGAGAATTACGTGATGCAGTAAAGCTTACCTTGTTGGATAAATAGTTGTGATGCTATATAAACTCAGATACTGTGCATGTGCCATAGAGACATTCTTTGATTTTTCTTCATGCACAGTTTTGTGTAAGTTTGAGCTTTCCAGGTAGATTAGAGTAGACCAAAACCTCCTTTTTAATAAGAACACATTGACATTCCCAGACATTCCTTTACTATCTTAATCTTTTGGGAGTTTGACTGAATCTCTCTTGAGGTAATAATCTATTTTAAGCTTTTATATTTTCATAAGAGAATGCCAACTTGGCTACTCCATGCAAATAAAATCTAAACTGTATGGGGATTGTTTAGTCAACAGCACTAACTGGCTGCACTATAAGTACTTGTAAGTAAATCCTTACTTGATAGTCAGTTGTCCATTGTTCAAGAGGTAGCATTTTATCCATTTCTTCTTTAATTCTTTCAGAGAATTTTTATGCGTATACAGTCTTCACATGTATGTATAATCTTCCTTTTGTCTTATATAACTAGGGTATACTATACATCCCATTCCTCAATGTACCACCTTTCTAGAATACCTTGCCATACCAACACATGAAGATCTAGTTTATTGTTTTTAATGGTTATGTAATTTTCCAATGTATAATTGTGTTGGGTGGTGTCCATGATCATTTTTTAAAGTAACCCAGTCTACACCTTGATGAGATCTTTAATTATGTGCCAAAGACTTTTGGTCTGAGGTCTAAATGTCATATTTAATCATTCATATGAATTAAAGAGATATAGAAATCTTCACATGGAATGAGTTTAAGGCAATGTCTAGAAAAAGTAAAATACTCAATGGTTTGACTGTTGTAGTCACAGGTCATAGAGAGGACTCCCAGATTGACTGACAATTTGATTTGGTACTAATAATGGCCTAAATACTGCATCCTTTATTTTACCAAAACTTGGCAGCTGTTGGGACAATACAAGGTCTTATGCAGGTGTGGACAAGAGCAAACAAAGAAAATCAGTTTACTTCCAAACATAGTGAAAGACTCTAGACACAGGAGTCAGTGTTTCTCACACATCTGTCCACAGACTGTGCCAATCAGTTCTTAAGCTTTCATCAATGTACAGCACAATGAAAAAATAAAGACAGGGCAGTGAGTCTTCCATTAAAATAAATTTAGTTACTTAAGTTAATTATTCAACTTGAAGAACTGTTATTTATTCTGAGATTAAGTCCTAAATATATTGGTTAACATGTCTCTTCTATCTTCTGTGTAGTAAATTGTATATTTTTTTAAACAAAAATGTGCTTGTAAAATTTAAATGCTAGGAACTACTGTTCTGATTATCTTCTATTCCCCCTACTGGCAAAGGGGAATTCTTCTGCCCTAAATAGGATGAGGTGGCTGACTATGTGATGCCCAAAACTGGACAGATGAGATGGACAACAGTTTATTAGTCACCCTCATCACCTGGGGGAGGACACTTCATGCTCTTCAGGGCCACACAGGGGACCCAAAGAGGCTGTTGGAGATAGGTTTTGTCATAACAGGAGCAGGGGTGCCCCCTCATTCCTGAGGGAGGATGCAATTAGATGTTTGAGTCATTCCATGGGCTAGCAGGGAAGTGAAAGCTGTTAGGTTGAAGACTGGGTGGAGTGCAGTTGGTCTGGTGTGGGTGGAGTGCCGCTGGTCTGGTGTGGGTGGAGTGCCGCTGGTCTGGTGTGGGTGGAGTGCAGCCAGGTGGGAAGCCTTCCCCTTGAGTGAGGAGCATATCTGGGAAGAATAAGGGAACTTGCATTTAGGGGTTTGGGGCTCTATAAGGCTCGAAAATGTCAAGGCAGCACTTAAGATGTTAGGACTTATAATAAAATCACTGACTGTAATTGTGACACAATTCAATATACAATGTCAAATAGGTGGTTAAAGAATTTGAACTAAGCAATCGTACACATTTTGAGTTGTGGAGTCTACACCATTGTCTCAGGTGTTGCTTCAGAAGGGTGAGAGAAGGGACTTAACAAGGGTCGTGTGTGGGCATCAGAGCATCTCTTAAACAAGGACAATCTGAAGTGGCTTGGTTACACTCAGCAGTTGAGGCTTTAGAGCTGTGGGCAGTGTTGGCATTTGTTCCAAGTTAATAATCCAAGCTCTGTGAAGCTGTAGGAGGTGTTTTCTTGCCACACACACACATACTGTCCACTGTCATGCTTAGAGGAGGCGAAGAGGAGGAAAAGAGAAGATACACACACCCCACTGATAGCAGAGTAGAAAGAAGGGGCAATTTTGTATTTGCAACAGAAATGTACCATAACAGATATATAACCTGTGTGCTCCATATTGGCAAGTCTCATTTGGATAAGAAAGTTCATGGGCTTTAGAAGCAAGAGCAGTAACTCAACCTCTTTAAGTTTTAGTTTTCTCATGGACGACACTGTGATTGATGCTGTCATCTACCTCATGGTGTTGCCATGAGGAGTGGATAAAATAGATCTGTAAAGTGCCCTGTGAGGCAGGTTCACAGCAAGTATTCAATAAAAGTGAGATTTAGATAATGTGACCCAGTGGCAAAGTGACACTGATAACTTGGATTGCAAAGGTGCAGCTAAATTTTCAGGAATATTTATGTTCTAAATTTAGAGGTTATGCCTAGACCTTTTGCAAAAAAAAAAAAACCCTCTAAAAAGAAGAGTTGACTTAATGATAACAAGCCACCAAGTATCTATGTGTATATAAAACTGCTCAGATGCTCATTTCAAAATGTGAAATGTAACCGGTGTAATTCAAAACAAACTTTAGAACTTTTCAGACCATAAATTCCGTCAGCCTAGATTAATGACTCTATCACTGTTTGTCTTCCACTTAAATGGGATTTTGCTAATAAATTTTTTAAATAGACCAAAGCATCCCGACTTATTTTGGAATAAACTTACATATATTTTTAATTAGAATTAAATTGTCAACCATCATTTCTCTATCCCAATCATTTTCTATAGGCACAGAGCAATGACTAGCTAGATGTCACATGTATCCTTTGTTACAGTTATAGAAAATATCTTTGAGTTATAGATTCCTTCTAAAGAATTTCCAGTTGGAGTTTACATTTTATGGCATAAATTCAAATGACATTCTGAATTGCATTAGGTCTCCAAACTGTATTCCAAATTGTTTATCTGCATGTGTCAAAAAGTGTTGGATGAAAAGATGAAAAGAAATTATGATTTCAACAATAAAAAAAATACTATAAGAAACGACTGCACATTATTATTGTAAAGTGAGTTAGTATCCCAGGAAGATATTCCTTCTTTTACACATGATCGCAAAGGGGTCAAATGTAAAGGTTGAAATGTAAAGGCGAGACATATTTGGATCTTTATGCTGAGCAAAGAGGAAGTGGAACTAAGCTGAGACTAAGTACCTGACTCTGTTAAACTGTACTATGCTTTTTTAATTTTTGTTTTTTGAGACGGAGTCTCGCTCTGTCGCCAGGCTGGAGTGCAGTGGTGCGATCTCGGCTCACTGCAGTCTCTGCCTTGCGGGTTCAAGTGATTCTCCTGCCTCTGCCTCCTGAGTAGCTGGGATTACAGGTGTGCACAACCACACTCAGCTAATTTTTATATTTTTAGCAGAGACGGTGTTTCACCATGTTGGCCAGGATGGTCTCGGTCTCCTGTCCTCATGATCTACCCACCTCGGCCTCTCAAAGTGCTGGGATTACAGGCGTGAGCCACTGTGCTTGACTTTTATTTACTTATTTTTTTGAGACGGTATCTCACTCTGTTGCCAGACTGGAGTGCAATGGCACGATCTCGGCTCACCACAACCTTTGCCTCCCGGGTTCAAGTGATCCTCCTGACTCAGCCTCCTGAGTAGCTGGGACTACAGGTGCTCACAACCACACTCAGCTAATTTTGTATTTTTAGTAGAGATGGGGTTTCTCCATGTTGGGTCAGGCTGGTCTCAAACTCCTGACCTCAGGTGATCCGCCTACCTCGGCTTCCCAAACTGCTGGGATTACAGGCTGAGCCACTGCATCCACCCTGTAGTATGCTTTTTATAGTCATAAACTTATCTCATAACTCAGTAACTCTCTAAAATAGGTACTTGTATTAGTCACTGTAGACTAACTGCCATAACAAATAACCAAATATATTAGTGGCTCAACACAATAAAAATTTTCACTGATGTCACAGTCCAATATAGGCCAGTGAGGCGTGGGTGGTGGGGTCCAGAACATTGCAAATTTTGTTTATTAGAATCATTCAGAATCCAGGTTTCTTCCATTGATGGCTTTACCACCTAAGATCTTGAAGTCCTTCACTGGACAACTGATTAGCAAGTAAAGAAAGTATGAGAAAGAATGAATTACACATAGGAGGTTTTAAGGATCAGGACCAGGCTGATAAACGGACTGTCTACTTTCTACCACCATTTTATTAGCTAGTTCAGTCAAATTACTCCAACTAATTGCAAAGGAGGCTAGAAAATGTAGTAAGACAGTCTTCCCAAGATAAAAATGACTCTGATTTTGGTGAACATATTGCCGTGTCTTTGCTGCAATGTAATTAAGTTAATTTTATGTACTGAGAAAACTGAACCTTGGAGAAGTTAAATAACTTACTCATATCAATGTAGCTAGTATGTGAGAGGACTGGTTTGTCTACCTAGAAAGTCAATGTAATTTCACTACTTGAGAAATTTCTTTAGAAAAATATGAGAAAGGTACATTTTCAACCTTAACAACTAATGAAACTATATAAGGATGTCTTGACAGCCGCAGAAAAAAAATCAGAATATTTTATCTTTTAGTGGACAATTCTAGGCAAGTCTAACACACTGTTTAAGTCTAAAGACTGAAATATGTATGATACATACGTATCTTAAATTATATATGTCTTTATCTGGCATTCATTATTTCCCCTAAATCATTGTATGGCTTTTTGGAGACATTATGAATTAGGTTATTAAGGTGCTCAGCCAACTTTCTCACAGTGTTTCCGTTTATGTAGCAACTGGATGGATATATTATCACCATACTTTATTCCTAATGTCTCATGATAACTCAGGCTAGGTTGTGGGTTTTATGCTGGCATGAAATTCAGATATTATAAATCTGAGCTGTTCACTCGGTAATCTTAATGTGGAGGCAAAGATGCTGACTGATCGCTTGTGTAATGATCTACTGCATTCATTCTCCATGATCCATTTGTTTCACTCCTAAAACCAAAATCTTTTTTTTTTTTTTAAAAGGAATCATTTGACACTAGCCAATGTTGAATTTCAGCTTTTCAGTTTTCTGTGACTTGAGACTGTATAAAATATACAATGAAGAGTTATTAAAAATAAATCAAACATCTTGATCTGGAAAACAGTTTTTCTCTTTACATCCCAAGAATGTGAATAATATATTTAGACATCTACAGTCTGTTTTGATAGTTACTTTGGCAGAATGAAAAGTACCGTGCAGTTGATTTGAGAAGTCCGAAGTGTGGGTTCTGGCTCTGTAAGCATTGGCTATGGATTTTGGTGGACTGATTCATTCATTCATTTATTCAAAGCAGTTCATGCATTAATTCATTCAGCACATGTCAACTGAGTTCCTACAATGAATCGAACACTGTGATGTGCTGCCAGTGTGCAAAGAACTTAGAAGCAAAGAAAATAAAAAGAAAAAAGTTTTTTTCTGTTAAAGTAAGCACCTCAAAATCTATAGACATGTGATAGACCAGAGTAGAGCTATGTATAGATATCTGAAGCAAATGTGTTCTCAGGCATATTGATTAGCAGAAAGAATGAAGTGCATACATAAGGAAAAGGTATAATATGAAATTTTATATAACTATTCTTATCTTTAGAATGTTGAATCTGGGCTGAAGGGAAGAGGCACGTGTCAAAACATCTTAAGCTGTTGAATTAAAGATGAAGGCCATAAAAGCATATCCTTAAGAAAGAGGGAATTATAAGAAGAGAGGACAACATGGACAGATTAACTGTATCCACCTCTATTATCTTGGAGTCTAGGTGTATAGACACCCAAAGTTGTAGTTTGGGAAGTTCTGAAGGGTGGGTAATAGTACATGGGAATGACACCCATCAACTTCTAGAGAGTGTCTCCTGGTAATTGAGGCCAGTATGAGAGGACACTATGTTACAATTTAGCTATATGTATAGTTATTTACTTTAAAACCATACCTAAATCAAATAAAATATATTTTTATTATCTATTTAATGCCAGTGGAGAGGACACACATGTGGTTTATGGATTTTTTGAAACTTCTATGCATATCTGAAGTTTTTCATGAATTGAAAAAGTTTATAAAAAAGATTTAACATAAAATGGAATAAAATATTGGCTTTTTAACTGTCTATTTTAGCTTACATTATGGCTTAAAAACATATCTTTGCTTCTAGCCAGCTGAAACTTACTGAAGCAACAGAAAAATGGAGACATAACAAACATGAGGTGTGAGCAATATAAATGAGTGATGTATTTTGGGAAAAAAAAAAAGCTTGTAAGTATTGACATTTAATGAAGATTCCTGCTATTAGATCATTCCAAGACGCCAAGTATGTTTTCCTTAATGTCTAGTTTTTCCTTTGTGCTGCCCTTTCTCTTTCATTTCTTCCTTTAACTTATCTCTCTTTCTAGTCCGTATTTGTTTTCTTCTCCTTTTTTAGGCCTCATCTACCCTTATCTTTCTACTTATTCATAACTGTTCTTGCCCTGTGCGCTTCCTGCTCTTACATTTACTCTCCAAGGTCCTTAAAATCTGTGCCTCTACTTCTTTTGATACTGAGCCTTATTCTTCACCTAATATTCAATAGTAATGACAAAACACTGAGGAATGTGCCATGAGGGCAGGAGAGGTCAAGATTTCTACAAAGAGAGATGAAAAGGTGATAGTACAGCTTACTCTCTTTAACCCATGAAACATTCACACACTCCTGCTGGCTCATTTTTCTTAAATTCCAAATTAGAGAGAAACTCTGTTATTTCTCTTCCCGACTTTCAGCCTTCCTAGGAGAATGAAGTGGAGGACGCATAGAAATGTGATCTAAATAACTCCCCATGTTGGATGTATTCAGTAGTACACTCCATTAAAACTCCAGGTGGGAAAATAGTTTCTTAGGACAGCTGTGTCATGAATGCGCCATCACACAGTATGCAGATAGGTTCAGTTTTTTTAATGAGTGTTTTGAAGATTGAAAGATTATGTTCACTGTGACCTTCTAAAGAAACACTGTAAATACTTTCTTTAGAATTTTAAATCTCTGATTTTTATCCTACCCGTAAATAAATGGAATATTCACTTATTTAATAGCATGTCTTTTGCAATTTTGTCCTTCTTTCCTTATCCTGAGAAGAAGTATGAAACAGAGGAGAGTTGTGCAGAAAATAGAGAACAAAGTAAATGTAAAATGGCCTTTCCATATAGAAAGCTGTTTGATATAGTGAAGAAAGCATGGTTACTAGGGTCAGAAACTTGGGTTCAAGTGTCTTGTCTAGCTGTGTAAGGCTGTACAGGTTGCTTGTTGTTTCTTATCTTAGTTTCCTTATATCCTTACATAGAGGTATTTAATAATCCCCATACCTTGGAATGCAGTAAGAATTAAATAAGGAAGTATACACAAAGCATCTTATATAGGTATTGACTCATTTTAGTGGTTGAACTGTGTAAGTATTCTCTCCCTTTCTTCTTCAACCTTCCCAATTTTACTGCATGGACTGTTGTTGGCAATGGTGGTTTGAAAATTCATTTTTTAGAGACTTACTTTTAGATTGTGTGTTGCACTGACTTTAATGGCATTTTTTATTGGGTAAATTGTTGTTTTGGTGCTCATACATTCATTTTGGTCACTTATTATAAAGAAGAAATGCTAAGAATTTTCTATGGATATCTGATTTAGAAAGCCTCAAGTAATAAAATACAAATTATGGGGTGTTAAAGTGGTAAGAGATCTTAGACACCATCAGTTTAACCATTTAATCTCGAAAATAAAGAGGTGAGGCCTAAAAATAACAAGACATACTCAAGGTAACACAGCTAGTTAGGAAAGAGTTTGGTTATGAACTTGGTTTTTCTGATCTCCGTCATGGTCACTTTCCACCACATCAGTCACCTATTTGAAATAGGAAGTTGAACACCATATGATTTTGTTGCTTCTCCATGAGGGGATGAATCATTGTGTTACTGATTCCTAACATGGGAAATGACACAGTGTAGATATTCAGTAAATGTAGGCTAAATGAATGATTTCTGAATAATGGTGTAAGCTGGTTCCCTTTTACATCTTAACTAGACAGAATATCCCATGTCATGTTCACAATGCTAGTTAAAAATATGGGTAGTGATTCTGATAAATACTATCTCCAGTTCCATATCCATGATCAATCTTATTTCTGGCTCTCAGTCCCATAAGTGATCTGTGTTTTTACTTTTTCTCAAGCTCTAGATTAAATTGGGTTAAAGTCCTCCCACCAATTCCATGACTTCTTTAATATTTCTGAAAATTCAAGGGGACATTTTCATGACTACCTTGGTCTCATGGCTCTTGTTTCTATTCATGCAAACTTTAATTCTACCAACCCTGATGCAAAATTCTGTTTGCTTTGATATATATTCAAACATGAACACATATATACAACTTTACTCACAAAAAATCATTTTTAAGTGAAACAGCCTTGTTGAATATTTAGAAAGGAGGAAACATTTCAGTAATGCAAATAACTTTTGACAATTTGGCATTATTATCTTGTCCTTGAAAGCCTTTTAGTCATCCTATACCATGGAATTTTATTGGCCCTTCTACTCAAACTGCTTAGCCTCTTTCCATCCTAAAGAGCCTGCCTCTCATCTACAACTTCTCTATTCTCCTTCTACTTCAATTCTAGAATCAAAATTAGCAATACTCAGATTTGTCTTTTCAACTGACATCTTGAATAATCTATAATCCAAATCCTGAGAGGGTTAGATGAACAGAGGTGTTGCATCTTATCTTCTGTACCAAGTAATGCTTTCTGCTTTCTCATGTTTCTATATGAAAGGACTTTTCTGGAGTACCACTCTGTTTCTCTGTCACCCCTATTCATTCCACCCCTTGGAGGAGGAGTGAGTTATCCAACTGATGTCTCAAAAAATAAACTGAATGTGATTGGCTATTTTTGCTTCTCTTGCATCTCCTAGGCTTGTCTGCAGAGAAAGGAACATATTTAAACAAATTATGAGCATATCACACACTTTTTAATATCCCACCCTTTCATTTAACATAATCGAGGATTTTTTTTTAAAAGGGTCCTTTTTAACTTTGACTTTTTGAAATTAACAAAGGATGAATCGTAAGGAATTGACATTATATCAAACATCATCTTACCTTGAGAAGTGATAAAAATTATTAGCTTCTATAGGATTTAGCATGCTTTCTTTCCTATTATATGTTGATGACAGTCACATGTGTAAATTAATATATATCCATTCCCTTCCTTTGAGAAGGAAATAAATATATTTACTATACACCTTTTTATTTCTAAAAATTACGTTCTTTCTGTCTTCTTACTTCTGCCTTCTTCCTTTTACATAATATCCCTATGAAGTCAGTCAGATGTAGAATGCCAAGGATAGATGGCTGTTTACTCTGGGTTAGGAGGAAAGTTTTCAACTTTGAAATGATTGACTGACCAAGGCTGAACCAAGCAAGCAAGGTATAGGGTGTAAAATAGTTTAGCATATTGTAACCTAGATAGGCTGTTCCCAAAGGCACAACAGGGAGCTCAGCAGGAAATAGGCACTAGGAGTGGGGGGCAAGTGCATGTGCAAAGGCAGTCCTGTGCAAGACAGTTGCATTATACAGCTGAGAATTCACTGGATTATAAAGCTGGCCATACAGGGAATATCCAGCAGCTCCAACTACACTGAGGGAAGAAAGTGGTGAGCTCAGACTTGACCTGGATCTATACCTTATCCAGGAGAGTCCAACAGGACAAATTGTAGTTAGAATAGGAGTTTTCTGATGGTGATAATAATTGAAGCCAGAAAGGCATTAAGGTTCCTCATGATCTATTTAGTTTGAAACCACTTGCTGGATAGTAATAAGGGATATGGGATCAAGATCTGGTTTCTAGCAATTCTGTGCTGGGAAGGACTAATAAAGTTATTGGGATTCCTGCTGAGAGGGCTAAGCTCCATTTAGTCAGAGCACAAATAAGGAATTGAGGTTGAAGTCCAGGTATACCTTGTAAGCACCCACTTCACCTTGTTAAGTAGAGGCAAGGGTAAGGGCCTTGAAAATTTTAATAATGTTCAGTAATTTCTGTGGCCTTGGCACATACACCTAGAATTCACCCCAGGCACATAACATCCCACGATTGAAGAAATGCTATTTCTGCACTCTAGAAATTTAACCTCCAAATATTGAGTTTGCTTATCTTCAAACTCAATATTTCTTTCTGTTCCATTCTTCTTTAATTTCTCTGAACTTTCTGATTGCTTTTCTTCTAGCCTAAATTTTAAAGATAAAGTTGAGTATGGAGGTGTAAACAAGTGCCTTGGATATGTTAAAGGTAAAAATTAAAACATTTTCAAACAAAAAATAAGCCATCTTCAAATAAAGCACCAAGCCATCTTCAAAGAAAGTACCCCAAATACAAAGAACTAGGTTGTATGGAAGTAAAATGGAATGTTGTTTTGATCACATTAGTAGAACGGGGCCTATAGAGCAGTCTTTTGTGTTAATCTTAAGCATAAATGTCAGGCTCAAACTGTAAATAGTCTGCACATTATATGAAAAATACACACATTTGATTTAGTAGCTGGTGTTCATCGGAGCAAATTCCATATATTTATATTTTGCACCTTTGAGAAGCATGACCATTTCAACCATCTGTAGATCTTCTGGTCATTTCCACTTATTCCTTGAGAATTTTGGCAGCTGGCTCTTTCAGATTTGAATACCCACAGAGAAGATGCTTCTCATAAGCTGGTCTCTGAGGTTTTGGAGCACCTCATTTTCAGTAATTTTATCTAGCACTTTGCACTAGCTATATTTCTTTCTCTAGGGTTTATAAATTCCTTATAAGGTCACAAAGAGTAGAGTTTTGGACTGGGAAACAGAAGAATTATCAGTAGCAATGCTACTAAAAAGTTGTGTGATCCAGATAAATTCATTCTACCACTTTGCCTCAGTTTTCTAAGCCATCAAATGGGGCTTGAAATGTATTCATCTTTATCCTTTACTAAATTTGGCTCCTTATAATAACAAGAAGAAAATATTCTGAGAACTATAAAAAGAGAAATATCAAGGTACAGGATAAAATATTATACATCCACTGGGAGATCTTGAAGAAAAGCAATTCCATTTTTCATATTCTTTACTCTGGCTCTGCTTCCCTGTGATTGCACAATTTAGCACCACAATCTGACATCCAAGAAGTAAACTTGTACAGTGACTATTTATTCTGCTACTCTCAAAAGCAAAGTAAAATATAATCCCACCAAGTTAGGGGGCAGGGGGAGACCTGTGTGGGAAAATTGGAGGAGAAAGAGAACTATTTGAAGGATATTCATATCAAAGACTTAATTTTGTCATTTTGCAGAGCTGAGTTAATGGATTAAACTTGTGGCTGTTTTATGTAGTTTTATCATAAAGTGATGTGTCAGAATTTTTACATCTGAGATAGTTGCTCTTTTAAGTTGACTGGAAGCATCAGTCATAGGTAAAATTTCCCCGCTGATAGTTCTCTTTTCTCTCGTTATCAAAAAAGAGGAATTTATATGTGATTTTTCAATAGAAATAGGAGTAGAAGAAAGCCAGTTCATTTCAAAGACACTTTAAAAAGCCAGAATTTCTATTTAACTTTGAAAGCAAACTTAAACGGATATTCTGAATTCTATTAACAATCACGACTGCACAGGCCCCCATTATCATTCCTTACACCTTGACTTAGGCGATCTAATACAAAACCTTCCAAAGTATGATGCTCTGGTTATTTTGGGGCTGAATTCTGCAGATTCTTGGAGAAGGAATGGAAGTTTACATTCTACAGATTCACTAGATGTCAAGAACTATTCTAATTTGGCTCTTTGCATTCATAGTTTATCTCACATATAATCCTCATGTTAACCATTTGAGATAGGTGTTACATTTCCCATTTAACAAGTGAGGTTATTGGGGCTCAAAAAAGTTAAGTGACTTGCCCAAGGTTATTCAGCTAATAAATAGCAGATTCAGGAATCAAGCTCAGACCTTTTTCTTTCAAAACCTGAAGTCTTTGGCATAATATATTTGCAGTTAAGATTGACTTTCTGAAAATTATGAGATAACTCTAACCTAGATTTAGATATAAATTTGGGGCAATTAGTTTTAAACTGAAACACATGAGTAGAAAAATAACAGAAGGAGATAGACAAATACAAGAAAAACCTACCCAAATTATTGTGCTGTAATACAAAATGACTTAAAGTGAGATTCAGAAGATATTCTTTTTGGTCCCAACTTTCTCACTAACTAGCTATGTGACCTGAGGCATCACCTGGGAACTGAGATTTCTCATCTGTAAAATGAGGATGTTGAACTCAATGATCTTTACATCCTTTCCAGCATAAAAATATTCTGTGTTTCTGAGTGAGAACTAGTTGAAGTATATTTTCATCTTTTCAAAGTCATATTAGTAAGGCAATCAAAAGAAAATAAAAAAGGGAAAGGGGAACAAAAGTACATGCTATGCATTTATGCCATGTCACGGTTTTCTTTACACAGTCTCATTAAATTCCCGCAACAAACCTGTGTGTTATTCACCCCATTTTACTGAAGGAAAAAGACTCAAAGAAGTCAAACAGTTCACTGAAGTTTGCTAACAAGATACAATATCTAAAAAGTATTTGAAAAGCTTAGCTGGAGGAAAAATAACCACTTTTATCATTCTTTAAAACAAATACAGTGCTTTGAAAGCTTCTATTTACTTGAACTAGACCATTTGATCACACAAAGTTAGGTAAATATGTACTGTAACATATATCACACCTCATTCTTGTGTAGTTTTCTTTCTTTTCTCTCTCTCTCTCTCTTTTTTTTTTTTTTGTTGTTGTTGTTGAGACAGAGTCTCACTCTGTCCCCCAGACTGGAGTACAGTGGCACAATCTTGGCTCACTGCAACCTCCGCCTCCCCAGTTCAAGTGATTCTCCTGCCTCAGGCTCCTGAGTAGCTGGGACTACAGGTGCGCACCACCACTCCCGACTAATTTTTTAATTTTTTTAGTAGAGATGGGGTTTCACCATATTGGCCAGCTTGGTCTCAAACTCCTGACCTCGTGATCTGCTTGCCTCGGCCTCCAAAAGTTCTGGGATTACAGGCATGAGCCACTGCACCCAGCCTAACTGTGTAGTTTTCATATGACTAGAATGAATTTATGCTACAATTCTGCAATGAAGAAATTAACTTTTGATACAACATATTTTATGTTGTTTATGAATACCCAAACCTCAGTTCTCCAGCCGTAAATCAGATTTATTATTTTGAATATTTATTCAAAGTATGTACCTTAATTGGCCTACTGCAAAGTAATGTGGACAGAAGAAACTTGTTCCTTACATTGTAAACATAGATTATTGTTAAAATCAGTACAGAAGGTTAGGAGGGAAATAAAGCCAGATAGAGGATGGAAAGGTATGCGGATAGAAATAATAAGACTTTGCAGAGAATTGGCCAAGCTAAGGATTTTTATCTTTTCCTTAAAAAAAAGAGAAGTCTTTAAGAATTGCATGATCCACATTGTAATCCAAAAAGATCATTTGAGCTGCAGTAAGGAAAATGGATAGTTGCAGTGCTGGAGAGGGAAAATAAACTAGTTGTGATGGTATTGTAGTAAACCAGGTAGGAGAAAAAGTGACTTATACTAGGATGGTAGCTATGGAGATGGAGTGAAATGGATTGGTTTGACGAATACATAGGAGATAAAAACTGATAGGACTTGGTTATAGAGAGTGAGCAGAAAAGATATGAGGAAAAACTCCTAGGTTTCTCTTGCATACAACTGGATGGTAGTTCTGGAAATGGCCCACGTATGGGGTTGACAGTAGTGGGAAATGGATATTGCAATAAATTTATAAGAGCATGATGCTTTGCAGCTGAAATTTCTTCTAAAGAATGTTTTCTGATATATCCTCTTGTTCACGACACTATCCTTTTTAGAACAGAAAATTCCCAGGAAGAAAATAAGTATAACAAACATTATGATGTATACCTGAAGCAAAAGTATTTTGATAACTTATTATTATTCTCTATTTTAGACTAGCTTTGTACTTTCCCTTTAATAGTCTTGTCACAAAATGTGAAATTTTATTTATTGTGGATAACAGCTGACATTTTTGGGAAATGAGAGAAATACAGGTGACTTTGGCTTGATTAGAAACATTATACGATATTATCTACTTGGTTCTTTGATCAACGTAGTTACTCAAAAAGAGATAGTTCATTATTTGGGGGTTATATATATTTTAATTTCAGGGCGATTTGCTTTTTAGCCTCCAAATTGTCAAAAAGATGTGCTCTCTTCAACAAGTCTATCTTCTTTAACCAATGATGTCTCTTGGATAAAATACTCATGCAACCATTTTTTTGTAGTGAAACTTAGACAGTATGAGCACCTTAGGGATATCCAAAATGAGAAAAAAATATTGTACAGGAATCTTATTTACGATATTACTCTCTAGAGGACATTAAGTTATCAATGGTCCTGCATTATCTCTCAGAAATTTCCATTTGAAATTTGGACTTCAAGGGGTTGAGCTAAACTTCTTATTGGAAGCATACACAAACACATCTCACATTCTGTGAGTGAGTCATTCAGTGACTATTTACTAAAGTCTACTATATGCTAGGTTTTATACTATGTGCCTTTCAAGTATTATCCTATAAGAATGCTCTCCAGCAGGTACTATTGTTCTGGCAATTAGACACAATTAGCCATAGAGGCAAAACAGATCTAGATAACTCTAGATTTTTATTTTTATACCCTTTATAGCCAAAATACCTATTTAAGATAGAAAGAAGGAAAAATATGTAGAAAAGGGAGAAAAAGAGGGAAGGATGTTTCCTCAATTATTTCAGAATGTGAAAGTGCTTTCTCTTGTAAATACTTGCCAAGAATAGTAGCTCAAAATATGTCTGGTCATCATTATTCTCTTCATGATAACCTACTCATGATTTTTTTTTCTGGTATTCTGTAGATCTCAGAAGAGCATTCCCTATAAGTGATCATAGAAAATCAAAGAATAGAGAACCTGAGCATCTCTAGTCAAATGAATCCACAGATGAATCCATTTAACTCTGAAAATCTACCTCATACAATCATGAAAGTAAAATATTCTTCTGGGGACACAAAAACTATGTTTAAAGTATCCCTGAAATACAATCCTTTTTACTACAGAGTTCTCCCCAAAGCCATGAGAAATTTGGCCATATCTTGGTCTCCTTCCAAAACTCCACTTGTTCTCTCATCTCTTAGCCACTGCCAGATACTTAGTGAACGTTGGTGGGCTGCCTGCTTAATTCTGAATACTGTGCTGCAGACAAGGGATACCATATGAAGGGCATTTTCAAGCTCAAATTAAATGCAAGCCTTGAATAATTAAAAAGCAAAAGAAACACTAGGTGGAAAGGGGTAGGAATGGGGTAGTGGGGGTGTGGGGAGGACTTAGTCCATGTTCAGATTTGTCTAATTTTTCTGGTATGTAATTTTTTAAATCATCAAACAAAAATATTTTGTATTTCTTGTTTACTCCTTCTTACATTGTGGGGATTAGACCTCATGTATTCCCCAATGTATCATATATTCTAATTTGGTAAATATGGGGCAGGGCCTACAAATCTGCATCTTAGACAAAATCTCCCAGGTAATCTAGATATACACTGAAGTTTGAGACCCAATTGTCTAAAGAAGTCTCTTTATGTCTGCTATGCATATTCCTTGAGAAATAAGTCAGCCACACCTCAAAAACAAAAGAGGTTTAATTTATATTTTTAAAAAAATGCTTGTCTGGATGAGTAGTCCTTGGGGATGTACAGTCCCAGTGATTTGTACTTGAGGGATGACCTCCTTCACAGCTTTTAGTTAGGATGAAACACTTCATGAAAAAAAAAAAAAAAAAAAAGGCCAACCCAGTCTTTTTGCTATTCTAGCTGTTAACAATCTGAAACATATTCTGCCTTCTGAAAGTTAAAATTTACAAGTAGATCAGAAAATGGAGGTGGGGAATATGGTGGGAAATGAAAGCACTTTCATAAGGCTGTTCAAGATTTTAACTATTGGAAGGTTATTCACTCAGGTACACTGTTTTATTTTTATCTCCTCCCTAGAATATTTAGATCTGACCGGTATGCCTGACGGCTTCTCTCCTGGTGCTGTCGTGGGCTGCCTCAAAAGAAAAATGCTTATGTAAAGAAGACAAGTGTGGGAAGGCAGGCATCAGCTTAACAGACCTAGGAGCTCAGCAATTCCACCCACCGCTTCTTTCCCGGAGCAAACTCCCGAGAGACGCTCTTCTAGCGAGATGTCTAGTGCTTTACAATGCTTCCCCAGCCCTTTCTGATGCGATGATTTCCTCCTGATAGCTTAATTTTATTAGATCATAGGAGCATAGTCTGTAAATGTGAAAACACTTAAAGGGAGAAAGAAACTTCCAAGGCAGCTGTTTAATGTAGGGATTTTTTTTTTTAAGAACCCATAACGGGGGGAAAAGAAAACTAAATCTAAAACCTTACAAAATGAAAGCTATTTAGGCAGGCTAGCTTTCCTTTTCCCTCTATAAGTAAAATATTCATGAATTCTACTGCTATGGTACTGTATGCTAGATGCAATCAAAAACTCTTATGCAGAGCAAAAATCATTGAAAAGTGTACTGATACCTTACAATGCTTCACAGAAAATCCATGAAATGTGCATCGCAAGGCACTGTCTATTACTGTAGCAACATTGCTTTACAAATTTCCAGGACAGGTAGCGAATATCTTCACTTGCTGTAGTGCTATTCCTAATAAGATGCCTGGAGCAGGTAGCTGGCTGTTGTAAGGGCTAAGGATTCTATAAGGCTCTGATAGGATAAAGCATTCAAAGGAGCAGATTTAAGGCCTAGTCAATATCGGTCTCCTATAATTCAAACTAGGGAAACATTTGGTGAACTGGAGAACTGATGTACCTGTTCATGAAGGAGAAAAACAACTCCAAAGACATGCTCCAAAGGACAGCTCACCCTTCCATGAGTGATGGATCACCAATCTCTTTGAACACTAAGAAGGTGCCCTCTTGGGGCCGGGCGCGGTGACTCACACCTGTAATCCCAGCACTTTGGGAGGCCGAGGCAGGTGGATCACGAGATCAGGAGATCGAGACCATCCTGGCTAACACGGTGAAACCCTGTCTCTACTAAAAATACAAAAAATTAGCTGGGTGTGGTGGCGGTCGCCTGTAGTCCCAGCTACTCAGGAGGCTGAGGCAGGAGAATGGCGTGAACCCGGGAGACGGAGCTTGCAGTGAGCTGAGATCGTGCCACTGCACTCCAGCCTGGGCAACAGAGCGAGAGTCCATCTCAAAAAAAAAAAAAAGAAGGTGCCCTCTTTCATGTGTCCATCCATCAATCCATCCATCTATCTATTCTTCCATTGATCCATGCATTCATTCAGTATTTTAGAGTGTCCACCATGTTTTGTGTATCATGAATGAGAAACACTAGGATTAATGAGACGTAGTCCCTACTCCTTCACCCCACAAAAACCTCTCATGTTTAAATAGATAAAAACAGATTGACAGATTTCCGGTTAAAAATGGTGTATTAAACACATATTTACCTCAGGTCATCCTCAAAATAAACAGCATAGGAGGGGATGAGTGGTAACTAATTTAGAAGGCCTCAGAAAGCTGCCTCCTAAGTGGGCAGTAGGGAGTTCTAGAAACCACCCATTTTATATGAAGGGAGCATCGAGGGACTTGGATGAAACCCAAATCATCAAAAATAATGATGAAAATCTGTTTAAGAAGCAGTAATAACACCAACATTTCTTTTTTTTCACACCCTCCAGCCAAGGTAAAGCCTCTTTCCCTCTAGATAGAATAAACAGGAGACTTACTTTCTAGTAAGTGAGACCACAGACTCTGCACTTGTAAAACACAAGGAACAGGGAAGAGCAGGGATCCTGTGCTGAAAACATGGGGAGTTATTGCAAAATTATATATTGAGTGTTGAGGACCTCCCATCCTCCTGTTTTCCTTGGTCAGCATTCTGTACACCCATTACTAAGTATACACCTTCCAGCCAGATCTTGGAAGAATGTTTTCTACTGCATCTAACAACCTGAAGGAACTAACATGGGATTCTCTAATTTAAGAAATAAACAAGCAAAGACTATTTCTGTCACTTCAATGTGCAGCAAAGACCATCACCCACAAGCCCTACCGAGAAGCACAGACTTCCATTCCATTGTTAATTTCCACACTCTTCTATGTGAAGGAAAAAAAAAAAAGCCAAGGACCAGTAGGTTCTTAAGGAAAATCTTTAATATGAAAAAGAACAAAACAAAGAAACAGAAAATGCATCTTAGTAAAACAGAGTCTGTGCGGGAGAAAAAATATTCGAAAATAAAGCCATTTATTGACAAAACTGAGAAAGGAGATATTTCAGCCATGGGGAGGGTGAGGCGTAGTGTTTCCCAGCGGGTACTAAGAGTAGACAGGAGTGCAGTAGAGTAGCTGTGCAGTAGAGTAGCTGCTAGCCACGTGCAGCTATTTAAATTAAAATTAATTGAAATTAGACTAAATTACAAGTTCATTTCCTCATTTGCACTAGCCGTATTTCAAGGGCTCAACAGTCACATGTGTACTATATTGGGCAGTGCAGACAGAACATTTCATCATTGCAGGATGTTCTACCGGGAAGACTTTGAGGGGGAACTTGGGCTACAAACAACAGTGAAAAATATATTAATATTTCTTCTTAAATGTTTGATTAAAGTAATAATGACAGCATAAACAAAATGATGAAAGAATATGGAAGATAATATTAGTAGCATTTACTCAAGGAGTTGAAGAGGTGACATTTCGCCTGAGTCATGCTTTGACACATTGGAAATGGGGTAGGAAAAAGTCTTGGGTTTGAGACCAGCCTGGCTTTACGTGCTTTGGCCCTTCCTGTGCCTGCTTCTGCATTTTCAGTCAGAAGAAGCTACAAAAGCAGAAATAAGTGTTCTAAGGACCAAATGCAAACATACAAAATGTAAGAAGACAAGGGGGCATTTAATGTTGAAAAAATCTCTGAGCAGTTGGGTCAGTGGAAGCAGAGTGAAATTTTGTTAAATGGACATTGAGGAAGAGCATAAAGACCATAGTGAATGTGAATAGTATGACCAGTTTTGGAAAGGTGTATCAAAATGTCTTTGGTTTAGTTACTTTTCACAGAACCATGCTTCCCCCCAACTCCCTCTATTATATATTTAGAATTCCATTAAAACATAAATTTTACACCTGCACACTAGAGGTACAGTTTTTAAAGAACAGGAAAAAAAAGGGAAAATGTGCTTTCCCTCTCACTACATTCAAAACCATCATTAAAATCTCATGTTATTTTTTGTTCAGCCACCATTTTCTGGCCAGTGATTTACAAAAAAGAGCATAGGAAGAAGCAGGAGGGAAGTTGTCAGATGGAACTGAAATAATTAACTTGAAGGTAGAAAAGAGATAAGATGAGGAACACATGAGTCAGCACAAAGTTACAAAAATCAAACAAGTTGAGGTCTTTCTGAACTCTTGCTTATCCTAACTAGGTGTCATTTGTTATTCATAACCATTGTAAATAAGAACAAGTCAAAGACGTGAAGGTAGGAAGGCATTCACAATCTTATTTCCAACACAATAGAAATGTTATTGATAATGGCAATGGTTTAAAGACTGGTTATTTATGATATTAATAAATTTACATTTGCAATTCATATTAGCACCATTCAGGATCTAGGCATTGTTATTTTATAACTGTAAGATGTGTCGTTGGTCTATTAGAGAATGTCTCTTGCAGGATTCATTATTTATTAAGCCCATATTTTTTGAGCATTTATCAAGAGCTATGGTTCTAGGTTGTAAAGACACAGATGCCTAAAACGAGGTAGTTTTTTTTCTGTCATTGAACACAGTGAGGTATTTTACCATTAAGAAAGTGTATGTGGAGCTGGTAGAGAGGCAGAGTTCAGCTGTGCCTTGTAGTAAAGATAAAAGTTACCAAATGACTTTTCAGTTGCAGGCACTATATTGTTATTTAATCATGGTAAATATCTTGAGAAGGAACTGTGATTTCTCCTTTGAGTGTTAGGGAAGGTGAAACTGTGTTCATTGAAGGATATTCTACCCAAGTAAAATGTAGATGTACTGAAAATATATTTTGAACTATTATTATTATAATAGTTCAGGCTGGGCATACCTATAATCCCAGCACTGTGGGTGGCTGAGATGGGAGGATCACTTGAGCCCAGGATTTCAAGGCTATGATTCCACCACTGCACTCCAGCCTGGGTGACAGAATGAGACCTTGTTTCAAGAAAAATTTTTTTTAATTCAATTTTCTAAAAGCAATACACTTACTCAAATATTGATGAGCATTTACCATGTGCCCAGCTCCCTTCCAGAAGCGGCAAAACAAAATAAACCAGCCTGTCCCTCTCCCTCTCCCTCTCCCTCGTCATCTCTGTCTCCCGCTTTCCACGGTCTCCTCGTCTCCGTCTCCGTCTCCCGCTTTCCACGGTCTCCCTCTGTTGCCGAGGCTGGACTGTACTGCTGCAATCTCGGCTCACTGCAACCTCCCTGCCTGATTCTCCTGCCTCAGCCTGCCGAGTACCTGGGATTGCAGGCACGCGCCGCCACGCCTGACTGGTTTTTGTATTTTTTGGTGGAGACGGGGTTTCGCCATGTTGGCCAGGCTGGTCTCCAGCTCCTGACCTCGAGTGATCTGCCCGCCTCGGCCTCCCGAGGTGCCGGGATTGCAGACGGAGTCTCGCTCACTCAGAGCTCGATGTTGCCCAGGCTGGAGTGCAGTGGCGTGATCTTGGCTGGCTACAACCTCCACCTCCCAGCCGCCTGCCTTGGCCTCCCAAAGTGCTGAGATTGCAGCCTCTGCCCGGCCGCCACCCCATCTAGGAAGTGAGGAGCGTCTCTGCCTGGCCGCCCATTGTCTGGGATGTGAGGAGCCCCTCTGACCGGCCGCCCAGTCTGGGAAGTGAGGAGCGCCTCTTCCCGGCCGCCATCCCGTCTGGGAAGTGAGGAGTGTCTCTGCCTGGCTGCCCATCGTCTGGGATGTGGGGAGCGCTTCTGCCCGGCCGCCCAGTCTGGGAAGTAAGGAGCGCCTCTTCCCAGCCGTCATCCCGTCTGGGAAGTGAGGAGCATCTCTCCCAGGCCACCCATCGTCTGGGACGTGGGGAGCGCCTTTGCCCGGCCGCCCCTTCTGGGACGTGAGGAGCGCCTCTGCCCGGCCGCCCCGTCTGGGAGGTGAGGAGCGTCTCTACCCGGCCGCCACCCCGTCTGGGAGGTGAGGAGGGCCTCTGCCCGGCCGCGACCCCGTATGGGAGGTGAGGAGCGCCTCTGCCCGGCCGCGACCCCGTCTGGGAGGTGAGGAGCGTCTCTACCCGGCCGCCACCCTGTCTGGGAGGTGAGGAGCGCCTCTGCCTGGTCGCCACCCCGTCTGGGAACTGAGGAGCGCCTCTGCCTGGCCGCCGCCCCGTCTGAGAAGTGAGGAGCCCCTACACGCCGCAGCCGCCCCGTCTGGGAAGTGAGGAGCGTCTCCGCCAGCCGCCCCATCTGGGAGGTGGGGGGGCGCCTCTGCCCGGCCGCCCTGTCTGGGGGGTAGGGGGCCCCTCTGCCCGGCCACCACGTCTCAGAAGTGAGGAGCCCCTCTGCCCGGCCGCCACCCCGTCTGGGAGGTGTACCCAACAGCTCATTGAGAACGGGCCATGATGACGATGGCGGTTTTGTTGAATAGAAAAGAAGGAAATGTGGGGAAAAGAAAGAGAGATCAGATTGTTACTGTGTCTGTGTGGAAAGAGGTAGACATGGGAGACTCCATTTTGTTCTGTACTAAGAAAAATTCTTCTGCCTTGGGATGCTGTTAATCTATAACCTTACCCCCATGCTCTCTGAAACATGTGCTGTGTCCACTCAGGGTTAAATGGATTAAGGGCGGTGCAAGATGTGCTTTGTTAAACAGATGCTTGAAGGCAGCATGCTCGTTAAGAGTCATCACCACTCCCTAATCTCAAGTACCCAGGGACACAAACACTGCGGAAGGCCGCGGGGTCCTCTGCCTAGGAAAACCAGAGACCTTTGTTCACATGTTTATCTGCTGACCTTCTCTCCACTGTTGTCCTATGACCCTGCCAAATCCCCCTCTCCGAGAAACACCCAAGAATGATCAATAAATACTAAAAAAATTAAAAAAAATAAATAAACTAAATATAAGCTAAGAATAGCTAAATATGAGCTATTTTCATATTCTAATGGGAGAATTAAGGTAACAAAGAAAGGGATAGTATGTGGCATATTGATGAAAAATAAGGGAGGCCAATGGACTTCCCTAGAGAATCAGGGGGAAAAGAGCAGAGTCAGCCTCCACCCATATTTTTTTGCATTTCCAACCCAATTGGATTATCTAGTGAGAAAGTGTTACTGGTTTTCCTCCAACATTTCTGTGCTACTGGACAACACTCTTAGCTCACCTCTGAGTGGCAGTTCACAGCAGTGTGGCAGATTCCTCTCTTGAACTGAGTCCTCTTAGGGTAATAGGTAGTAACAGATGCAAGTATCATACTTTTGATTGTCTCTTCAGTTTTCCTCTGCCATACACTGTGTAGGGGCTGCTACTAAAGTTACGTGACCCTGATTCATCACAGCAAAAACTGCTCCAGCTGCCCCAGCCCCCAAGAATTCCCTGGGTCAGTTAATTCCATCAGTCCCTGGAACTTCACTTGTTTCCCCTGGGGGTGCAGAGGCACCTGTGCCCATTTAGTCGAAGAAATACACCTAGGTAGCTTATATTTCTTTTTCTTTTTCTTTTTTTTTTTTTTCAGATGTAGTCTCACTCTCTCGCCTAGGTTGGAGTGCAGTGGTGTGATCTCGGCTCACTGCAGCTTCCGCCTCCCGGGTTCAGGTGATCCTCCTGCCTCAGCCTCCCTAGTAGTTGGGACTACAGGTGTGGACCACCACACCTGGCTAATTTTTGTATTATTAGTAGAGAGGGGGGGTTTCACCATATTGGCCAGGCTGGTCTCGAACTCCTGACCTCGTGATCCACCCACCTCGGCCTCTCAAAGTGCTGGGATTACAGGCATGAGCCACCGCGCCCAGCCAGGTAGCTTATGTTTCTTCACAGTAAAAATGTAAATCGATTTTTTAATGTATGTGTTGTGTTCACATGGATTTTAGTGTCTCCAAAAGTAAGTGGGAGCCCTTCAGGGGCATTGGACAGTGTTTATTGTTTAGTTGTTTATACTATTATTTCCATTCCCTCTTCTACCTAGCTTGTGCTTTGAGTGCAGTAGGTTCTCAAACCACATTGCTAACCTGTTTCCATTCAAACAGGTCAGTTTATCCACTCAACAAAATTTTACTAAGTATGTACTGCAACATTCCCCATAGTTTAGTGGCTTTAGAGGCACCAAGAAGTGGACAAATTGGTTGTTGCTTTTGAAATGTTCTTAATCTGTTTGTGGAGATGAATGCAATCCATGCATGGATAGCTATAGGACATCTAAAGGCAGCATATGGACAGGATAATAACTGTGGTAAGAGTTTAAAATCAATATACGCTCAGGCTCAGGGAAATTAGGGCAGAAATTAATTTGTGAATCTTGAACTAAGACTTAATGAAAACAAAGAATTTGAATTAAGGTGGCTATTCCCGGTGTGAAGAATGTCATGAACAAAGATATAACTTCTGGAAAGAGCTAAACATAAGTGGAATGCAGAATTTATATTAGCCTTGCTAAGTAAGAGAGTTCTGTGAGTGGGGAGAGACAAGGTCAGATAGGCTAATTGGGACTAATTAATAGCAGACTTGGAACTCAGAAAGAAGGGTATAGCTTTATTCTAATAAGTAACAAAAGTAACTATTTATTTTTAAACTGGAGACTCATTAAAAAAAATGAGAACATGAAAACATTAGAAAGTATTCACAATGGGCTGGGCGTGGTGGCTCATGCCTGTAATCCCAGTACTTTGGAAGGCCAAGGTGAGTGGATCACCTGAAGTCAGGAGTTTGAGACCAGCCTGACCAATATGGTGAAAACCTGTCTCTACTAAAAATACAAAAATGAGCTGGGGGTGGTGGCGTGTGCCTGTAGTCCCAGCTACTCAGGAGCATGAGACAGGAGAATTGCTTCAACCCGGGTGGCAGAGCTTGCAGTGAGCGGAGGTCGCACCACTGCATTCCAGCCTGGGCGACAAGGGTGAAACTCCATCTCAAAAAAAAAAAAAAAAAAAGTATTTACAATGAGTGGTCATTAATTTGTCATCCTAAAAATCAAAAAAATAGTATGTTTTTTTGCATATGTAACCGAGATGCCACCATGGCCAACCTATCAACTTAAGCCTGCATAAGGGTGGCTCAGTTGTCTATTCCACACCAGGAACAAGTCAGTCTACCCGCCTTCCTCCATCCAACACACATACACAGACACATATTTCTACTCAAACAGGACCTTCTTTATGTAAAACAGATTGTTTTCCGGTTTGAGGAGATGGAGAGCTTTAGGTAACAGGCATACAAACCACTAAGCATTGAATGTTAGCTATACCTAGAAACTTCTTGTTTAGTGATCTTTTATTCCCTCTTCTACTAGAATCTCTGCACTCTTCTGAGAAACAAAAATCAACCAGGAATTAAAAACAGGTACTAGTACAACACTCCCATTTTATTAATAGAGGTATTAACTTTTTCTAGCTTATTTTCTGGCCCCTTTCAGAATTCTGGGTCACCCTGCAATGGGTGGGACCACTTTGCCAGGAGAGAGGGGAAGTGGATTGCTTATATGGGTGCATTATTCTCTTCCTGACCCTGCATGCTCTTCAGGTCTTCCTACCAACTTTGCAATATTTGGTAAATACGATGAAGGAACGGCATGTCTATCCCACAAATTATTCCCTGGAAAGCTCTTCCTGAAGCCATATTTATAGTAGTTAAATAATGCCATACATTGAGCTCCAGAGGCTACCAGGTAAAAGCAGATTTTATATTTTATTCTTTTTGTCAGCAAAACCATCTCTTTATTTCCCTCTATATAAACTTTCATTAATTTATAAGGACAGCACTTGCCCATGTTTTTATTTTGAATGTCACATTAATAAATTGAAACCCCTTTTGGTATCTTAATGAAGTGGGTGACTGAAACAAATTATCTCTATTTCAGAGTCACAAATTCTGCCTCATCGCTCAGGAAATTTCTAAACATTATCTCTGGACAGTCTATAGTGCTTAATTTAATTTCAATAACAGAGTCTTTTTCTAGAAGGGCTTTTGTGTGCTTCCAGGGCAATTTTTGTTGGCTCTTCGATTTCAGTTACATAATTTGTGTGCTGATTTTCTCCCTCTCTGATTTGTAGAACTCAGCATTCTAAAAAAGACAGATGTTGGCAGAGGGTTGAGGATAGTCTGTGATATCTGGACTGTGGTTGGGCTGACTCTCTCTGTAAGGAGGGAAGGGGGAGAAGGTAGAATTCTTTTCTCCCTCTGACTGAGGGGTGGGTCCTAATGTTCATTGCTGCTGATGCAGAACTCAGCTTAAATGATATAGGACATGAGGGGGTGGTGGCAAGTACAAAACAGTGAAATAAATTACCATATATATCATGTTCTGGTGGGTGAGATAGAAGTGATGTGTGTAATGAATCAGAGCTGGAAGCAGTTCTGGTGCATGGCGATAGTGAGGGAGACAGAGTTTTCTGTGGCTCAGCCTCAGCTTCAGAGGGCTCTGTGTGAGAAATATGTGAGTAAGCAGAAACCAGTCACTGTAATGTGACAAGGGAGGGCATTTGTGAGGACACAGGAGACCTTTCAGTATTGTAGTAAGGATCTGTTGTTTCGCCAGCCCAGCACTCTGATTTTCCTATGGGGAACTTCTCTTCCCCTGCTGCATGCACTCAATTAGGGAACCTTACCCTCCCCTGCTGTGGTACGCACATGTGACCCAGGCTGGACCACACTCTTTCTCTCTTTCGGATTCTGAAGCTTGAGGAGAGTGGAGTGATACAAACGTGGAAATAATCTGCAGCTGATTCATTCCGGCAGTGGAGCCCTGAAGAGATGACCCATTTGTTTCTTCTCCCCAGAGTTAACCTGTTTGCCCTCTTTCTTTTAGCCATGGCTGTTCTGGTTCTCTTTGATTATGTAAGCTACTGCATATGCCTGAAAGAATTTTTTTTTCCTGTTCAAGTTAGCCAGAGTCGGTTTCTTTTGCTTGCAATAAAATATTTCAGTTGTTGAAATTTTGAGTGCTAAGTGTCTTGGTTGTGTATCATGTTAACATGCAGACTGTTTGCTTAAAGATTATTTGCATGAATCTCATGTAGTCAGAGTGGAAAAGAGAGATGGTGAAACTGAAAGAGTAAAATCAAGATTAGAGTTAGAGTTAGGGAATTGTTCTACGACCCCTGTGGGAAGCATGTAAACTCTGAACTCTACTTCCTCATCTGTTGCAGAGTGATAATCATTCTTTCACCCCCATAGAAGTGAGAGTTATGTCAGATAACATTGGCTGGTACCTAGCACAGGGCTTGGTACATTGAATGTGCCTAATTAATCCTTGATGCTGTTCTTCTCTCTATATGAGTTCTCTCTCTGTTTCCCTGTGAAAATTCTAATGAGGCTGGCAGATTAAACAATGCATTGAGATGATATACATTTTGTTTCCGGCTTCTTTATTATGATTACTTTCCACAGGGAAAGTAGGTGCTACACTGCACTGATGTGCAGTATCTAGACACAGGTATGTGTGTCTTCTTTTGGAAACTTTTCATGACTATGAAATATTTTGTTGACAGCAGGCACAAGAAGTTTTAAGAAACTCAGTGGTTTAAAGATGATGAAAGCCAACATGTTACATAAATTTCATGGCCTAGGCTTGACTAGGTAGTAGGTATAAATTGTATTCCAATAACATTTCTTCATTTCAGTAATTCTCAAACTCCCTTTGCTAATGATCAATTAATCCCTCACTTGTGTCTTTTCTAGGACTCAGTGAGGGATCTGGCTTGGGCCACCACTCTTGTGTCACTCGGACACTGCTACTGTTGTGCTGATGCTTTGAGGTTGTGATCTGATTCTGCTGCTGCTTGCTCCTGACATGAGGAGAATGTCTGCCTGTCCCCTCTTGTGTAACACCCATCTCATGCTGAACTCATTTCACTTGCTCCTTGTGCTCCAAGGCAATCCTGATTGTCATCATCATTTGCCTCTTCATTTTTGACCTCTCTTCCTTCTTTTTCAGGCTCAAGCCTAGTCTATTAGTGCAAACTGAGGGTGAGAGTGTGGATAGACAGAGGCCATGCCATTGTTTGCATCATTCTCATATTCATATATCATTGGATCCTTTGCATAACTCTTTTCTTCTCTAAAAATAAATAAATGTTTATTGTTTTATATATTTATGTAAAGATATTTAAATTCATATATAAATTTTTTATTTTATATATATATATAAATTAAGCAAGCAGATACTTAAAAGAATGATATCACCCAACTCTACTCTTCATATTTCAGACATATCCAGTCTCAAACCTGGACTAACTAGGACACCATATTAAAAGAAGTTAAATCAGGGGATATTTTCTCAGTAACTAAACTATTTTGCTCTCGACCGTGATTTGATTGAAATGTCTATACTATGATTGAAGAGTACTATTTTAACTGTTATCCTTTAAAGAGCAAAATAAGTATTGACAGCACATTTTCCATCTTTTATAGAGAGGTTTTATTAATATTAACAAACCATAATCTTGGGATATTGAGAAGACAACTTGAAAGCAAGACTGTCAATTATATTCTCAAAAGAAGTAACATTCTTTAAAATAGAGAAAGGTAAAGAAATTGCAGTTGCTATGACTAACTTCCGTCCAACATAATTTATAAAATTTGGTACTTAGATAAAAACTTTTTAAGAAGTAAACACCAATTGTTTCCCACTATATTGAGATAAATTATTGATTATAAATTTCAGTATTTTGCTTTTTTCTTTAAGGCAAACATCTGATCATTGCTCAATCTCAGGAAAACAAACAAATATTCTATGAAAATATTGTGGATTTATTAAGATTTTTTCTGTGAAGCAAATTATCTTGGCTAGGAGGATGTTTATTTATTTATTTTTTTCTGAGATTAGAAAAGGAAGTGTTGGCAAATAAAGCTGGTCATTTTGTACTCCTATATGCCTTCATCTTGCTTCCTTTCTCTATTAATTTAGTCTAAGTTCTGGAAATTCTCTATGAATTCTTTCTCAAATCTGCTGCCATCTTTTCATTCAGTTAGAAGTTCTTGCATTTCCTACCATGTCCTTCTTTTCTTCTAGTAATTATGAAACCACAAGTAATATGACACCAATGCATTTCAAAGCAAGAAGCAGAACCTACAGCCCATAGTTATTGTCTACACAATGCATACTACTGTAATAAAGAGAACAGGGATTTTGAAATCTGACAGTGATGAGTTCAAATCCTGGATCTGCCATTTGCTTGCTTTATGATCCCCCACTCCCACCCTAGTTCTTCAATTTCTTTAGGTGTAAAAAGGTAATACCTACCTCAAAAAGTTATTATAAAATTAAAAAGAAGTATATTCTTTCCTCTAATATAAGAAAAGAAAATCTTTTCCTTTGTTGTCATCCTGGAGATCCACTTACTTTTCCAAGACACCCAACTGCTATTTGGAAAATGATTTTTTCTTCTTATTAGAGGAGCTATAGGCCATTCCAATCTAGAGCAGTTTTGTCCTTTCACAGAGGGAATGGCCCTAATAGTCAGAAGATGGGACATAAATGCTTCGTATTTCTATAAAATGAACAGTTAGTCAGTTTATTAATGCTCCTAAGGAGCTCAATTCTGAAATCAGGATTTGATGATGGAGATCTGAACATTACTTTTTCTCAGCATTTGATCTGTTGTTGAAGGGATACAGCTAGTTACTGAATATGTTTGTTACATACATTTTAAATTATCAGAGGTGCACTATGTGTTTGTATTGTTTTCAATGTATGCATGTACACTTACTTGCAGGCAACATTGAGTATTTTTCTCTTTGTTGTAAAGAGAACACTGTCACATTTTATGGGGTAAAAATAAAAGTGCTTGGAAGTCTTATTTGTAAGAATGTATACTGTAACATTATTTAGAATTAGATAGTTTTTTAAAATGTCCAATGATGGGAGATAGGGAAATTATTCTACATTTTAATGACAGAATCTTATAAGATTTTAAAAATTACGTGTAGTTGTAAGACGAAATACAAATTAAAACCAAGAGGCTTCGTGCTCCTTGTTGAAAATAATTGATTTGCCTCTGCTGCTTTTTTAGAGCATTTATTTTAGAAAACTTATAATTGCAAATACTTTCTTCTCTCTTTGAAATATATATAAATCCTTTTGAAAACCAGCTAGGACTTTTGTTAGCTTTATGACCCAGAAACGTCTTTCTCAGGGATCTTGAAGCCATGTTTTCAGAATATAAACATTAAGGAAGATAGCACCCTTATCTGCCAGTTTCTGGGTAAAAGTCTAATTTTGGTGGGCACCTTGCTCCAAGTTGCAGGTGAATTTAGGATGAACTCTGTGTGGCAAATAGTGATGTCAAGTTCACTTACTTGAAGACTAGTTATTGTTTATCTTGAAAACATGCATGTAATGAATTGTGTCTGCCTGGCTATTTAAAAAGGAGAGGTGTTTTTTTTTCCTGTTTTTGCAACCTCTTAGCAGATTGCCTATGATATGCATCAGATTTTGGTTTAATGCTTATTCAAAAATAAAATAGCTTTCTTTCTCTTCTACCTTTGTGAAGAGGTTTTCTAGGTTGGAAGATTTTGTTTTTAATTGTGCTTCCCCAACAATAAAGAGTAGAAAGACATCCATACAAAACAGTTGGTGGTATTATGGGTAATTTCAATTTGTATTCCTTTTAATTGTTTTAAATATTTTTCCATAATTTCACATAGTACTTCTAAGGCTAGAAAATAAATTACTTAGAAATAAAATGACTTGATCTCTTTCAATGATATTCTAGAACTTGACAATAATAATCAAATAAGTGAGAATAAACTGAAACTCTATTTTTTTCTTCCAAACATCATGTATGTTTCATAAAGTTATTCATGAATGCTGAGGGAAGACTTGTCTTTAGAACTGAGAAAAAGCAGTCATGGGTATGAGGGAAGCCTCAGTAAGCCATTGAACTATCTCATCTTGTGGTGGCACATATACACTGTGGAATACTACGCAGCCATAAAAAAGAATGAGTTCATGTCCTTTGCAGGGACGTGGATGAAGCTGGAAACCATCATTCTCAGCAAACTAAGACAAGAACAGAAAACCAAACACTGCATGTTCTCACTCTTAAGTGGGAGTTGAACAGTGAGACCATATGGACACAAGGAGGGTAACATCACACACTGGGACCTGTTGTGGGGTGAGGGGCTAGGGGAGGGATAGCATTAAGAGAAATACCTAATGTAAATGATGGGTTGATGGGTACAGCAAACCACCATGGCACGTGTATACATATGTAACAAACCTGCACGTTCTGCACATGTATCCCAGAACTTAAAGTATAATTTTAAAAAAAAGAAGAAGAAAGTAGTTGGAAAATGTCTCTTGGCTGTTAGGTGTCATGTTACCTTACTTATTTAACTTCTCTCTAGAAGTGACCACATCTAAATTTAAAATGATGACAATTGAGAATAGGGACTAATATGACTGTGCCAATGACAGCAGTGAGTTAAAAGCAGAAAAAAGAACATGGATTCTGGCATAAGAGAAAATCCAGTAGCAATTCTCCACAGGCAGCAAATAATTTGTTTGAGTGCATAATTAATAGATTTGTCAGAAAGTACTTAGATTGTGAAATACTGCGCATAGCCCTCTTTCCAGATGGATTAAGATGAATGGGTCCTCCAGCAGCATATGAAACCTCATTGCTCAGCGGCTGGAGAATTGCTGCATCTAGAGTTGTTTGAGTCTCTGCCTCTTTGTGCTCTCCTTTCTCTTTCCCTGGCTGCAGGGGGAAAGATGAACATAATGCTTCTAATTCTGATATTGAATGGTGTCCTTCACCTAAAGGGCATCCAAGCAGACAAAATTAAATCAGATGCTCAATGGCGAAACTTTCCACTAAGCAGGAATTTTAAACAGGAAAATGTATTAACATGTTGAAAAATGGTTACATTAAGCCGATTTGTGGATCAGAGGTGTGACTTTTCAGTAACAAGCCACAGTTGTATTTCATGTGCAATTGCCCGCACATTGAGAGGTGACACATACCTTCTTTACCCTTGGAAATATCCATGTAATATATACCTAGAGGACTCTGATATAAATTGGCTGGTTTAAAACAGTATGATGGGAATCCAGTTTCTATTTCTTTTTAGAATACAACTCATGAAAAAAACTTTCCTATCAATAATTTTCACTTGAAAATTCTTGCTAAAGATAAGGACTATGGGCCTTCGTTAGTGGGGAAAGAGGACTGTTAGCGCTGGTAGTAGGCTCCAGGATTTAGGTGCTCAGACCAGTTAAAATACTAATGAATAAGATTATTACATTTCCTAAATTTTCACCTATGGTAAACTATCCTGTATTTTGGGGAAAATAAGTGATGTTTTTAATTTTGTTTTGTTTCATTTTTATTTTTTATTATACGAGGAGATGAGATGGAGACATGGCTCAGGATCTCATTAGGACCTGTTGTGATGTCCTCACATTACTTTTTAGTTCTTTCTCCTGGGCAGATATTTAGCAGAACCATGGAGGTCAAAGCTATTGTAGTATTGAGGGGAGACGATTATAAAACTGGTGGTCATTGCTGACTTACATAAATTATTTTCCAGAGCAAACAATTGAGGATGATACGAGTAAGCACTTAATAAGTTGCTGTTATTTTATCTTCCAGTTGAAAGCACTGGCCTACCCAATAAAGCCAGGAGTGGAGTCTAACCAGGGCTGGCATTCATCAAGTTTCATTCATTGACTCAACATATATCGAGTATCCATTTCATTGCTTTTCAAAATGTGATTCTGAGACTATCTAAATCCAAATTGCTTGAGGTATTATTTAAAAATGTAGATTTCTGTGTTCTATCCCTAAACACTGAATCAGAATTGCTGCATAGTAGGCCTGGGAATCACAATTTACCAAGTTTGGAAGCACGTTCACATACTAAAAGCTTAGATAGACTCTTTAGTTATAAGCTAGGTGAAATGTTCTCTTGCTTCAGCCCTTACTGTGCCACTGCATTTGACCCTGAATGAGGAAATCAATAATAAAAGGAAAGGATGAATATTGTGAGATGGTTTTAGGATTTAGCGGGATCTTTTAAATTACTTACAGTTTGCTGCTTTAGTTTTCATTTGTTCATTTACTCATTATTTTCTATTTCAACAAATATTTATTGAAAATTTTTCCTGTATCAGGTACGCATGAAGTTCTAGGGATATGAAGGAAATATAGCATCCTGTTCCTTGTACCTTTTGCTCTGAAATCCATTCAGTTATAAGTCCTATAAGGCTCAGAAGACAGACTTGGCTCTCAAATCTGACCAGATTGTATTTCAGAACTCTTGCTTCTTACCTTGTTTTAGAATTTTTTACAGACTCTCCTGGAGTTTTTGAACCTCAGATTTTCTACAGGTTTTTACTTTTATTTTGATTCCTTCTATTTTTAAAAACTACTTTTTCTAACCCAAAGCCTCAGAGGTTGAGGAGTGCAGACTTGACAGGGAGGCAGAGAGGAAATTATATGTTATCAGAAAATGCAATAAATGAAACTAAAGCTTCATATAAAAAATTTGTTTCAGATCAGAAATTATTTTATTTAAATCAGAAATCCAATCTAAAATGAATTTTCATGTAAGAAAATTCATTTTAGATCAGAAATTCTCAATAACTTGAATTAAGAGTAGGTTAGAATGAGAGTTAAAAATGAACACCTTTAATCTTCTTGGTCTGTTCAGTGTAAGGAAAAATACAACAACTTACTTTATGATAAATTAGAGTTGTTCAAAATTACCATTTCTGTTTTTCTGACTTTGTTGGTTAGAATCAGATGAAACTCTGCATTTATTCAAATAAGTGTAACTATGATGCTAAAATCATAAGAGTGTAGTCAAATAAATTACCTTGACACAAAGATTTCTGGTAGATGAAGTGAAAATATTCTAGAAATAGAAATGTGGGCATCACATGACCTTTAAAGTCACTTTGGTAGAAAAATTAAATGGCAAATGAATTCTAATTCTTATCTCTCTCAATATATCACAGCAAACTATATGGAAATATATTCCCATGGTAAGCTAGAAGGAATGGCTTAATGATTTAAAACATCAGGTTTGCAATGATTAGAAACCATGGAACAGTCGGTTTGAATCTCAAACACTTAGCTTAATCTTCTTTCCTTCTAAAACATGTCAATAGAATATCTAATTCAGACTCTGTTTGTGTATGTGCTTTATGAAGGAAGCAACAAAACCCAAGGATTTTCAGAAAAGTAAAAGTTTCATAACACTATTTTCTTCTAGAAACAATTGGTCTCACGGTCTTCATTCTAAGACTTGTGTAAAGTACTTGATAAAACTGGGGAAATTCATTGTTTATTTCTCCTCCATTCCAGGAAAACAAGCTTCAAATTCTCTGCATAATGTTACACTGACCATTTTTAATTAACCCCAAGGAATCTTGAGAATATGCATTCAGCCTAAAGGGCTTGCTTGCTGCCTAAGCCCATTGCACATGATAAAATTGTATTTTCTCAGTCTTGGAGATGAGATCCTGAGGGTGACAGTTCTTAAAAGCGTCAAGAAAGACCTTGGAAAAAAATCAATAACCATCCAGTGTTATATTCAATGCCTATGGAGCAAATGTTATTTTTTGATATGACTATTACAAAAAATTCCTAAAAGTGTAACTAATTTAGGTGTAAACTGTGTCAAACAAGCATGACTGGGTGCTAAAAAGATATGGATGCACCGCTGTGCTTTCTGCTGATCAAAAATCTATTCTTCTTTGACAGGTTGAGTTTGGTATTTTACTCAGTATGAAAGTTTTACCATTAAAAAAAAATCAGAATCTATCAATCTAAGAGGCTAATATCATGAAGAACACTTATAAAAGTCCTCCCTATAACTCCAAGCAAACAAGTATCAGTCAAAACCAGGCAGGAGACATTGATTTTAGCAAGCCAAACTGCCTAAATTATGTATTCCTAGTAATCTTTAGAAATGAAAAGAGAAAAAGGCACACTGAATTTGAACATTTACATTTTTTGGAGAAGTTTTACTCTTCAGGGACTTAAATTTCAGTAGGAAGAATTCATTCTGCCCCAATGATTCTGATGATAATCAGCTTTAGCATCCATGTCAGCATTTAGCACAGTGAAGGCAGCTCTCACAATGGGGTTGAAAGGAATCCAAAAAATACTTCAGTTAACTTTTCAAAGAAATGGTACCCTCTCAAGCTGTATCACCTTCAGTGTGATGGCAGCTTAGTTTCAGAAAAAATCTTCACAGAAGAGCCCTAGGGATGTTTTCTTTTTAAATAAAATGAATTTTTTTCTAATAATAAAATAAAACTTAACAGAAAAATTTGAAAAAATTATGAAGAAGTGTAAAACAAATCTATGATTACTTCCCTGATAAATGACTACTAAAAACATTTTGATATACTCCCTTTTACCAAATGAAACCCTTGTTTTATTTTTAAAATAATTTTTTAAAATTGTGGACAATTTCTAATGAAAAAAATATATATAATAGCACAAAACAACTCTAGTATTCACAACTCTGATTAACCAAAGGTAAACATTTTACTATATTTGATTCAGATCCTTTTTAAAAATTTTTCAAGATTTTGAATATAATTGAAACCTTCACTGCACACTGTCACATCATTCACTCTGAGATGCAGCCACTACCTTGAGGTTTGTGCATATAATTTAATCACCGATGTATCTGTCCATGAGCAAACAATGTAGAATTCTTATTTGTGTGTATTTACGCTTTATATAAACGATATGTTGCACCTATATTTCTGCATTTTTTTCACTCAACATTGTTTTCTATATTCATATATTTATTCAGGTTAATACAACTCATTCATTTTAACTGATCTAAAGTATTCTACTGTATAAATATTTCACAGTTATCCATTCTCCTACTGATGAATCCTTAGATTGTTCCTTTTACTTTTATGATAAAAAATGCTTTAATGGATATCATTGTTCAAACATGCACAAAGAGTATTTTCAACTTGAATATCCCACATTGTTCTCAATAACAGTTATAAAATATACTTATTCCTGCTGTGTAAGACAATGTGCATTTCTCCATATCCTTGATACAAAGTGGTATTTTCAGATTTTATTTATTTATTTTTGGCTATGTGCAGTGACATAATAGCTCATTGTTTTAATTTGCATGTCTCAGATTACTAGCAAGGTAAATATCTCTTTGTAAATATAATATAATTTGCTTCTTCTTTTTTTGACCTCTTTATCCATACTTTTGCAATTTTCTTCTTCAGTATTCCCTGATTTTCACAGTGATTTGAATGTATATACAAATCAGTTAATTTTGACAGTTTTATTCATTACAAATATCATCTCCCAGTCTGCTGTTAATGTTTAAAAATTGACATATGGGGTACATTAATAACAGTATAGCCAAATATATAAACAATTTATTTTTGTCTTCTTTGATAAATTCATTTCTGTTCCATTACATGAAGATATTCTTCAATATTGTTTTCTGAGAGTTTAAAATTCATGCTTCTTTTTTCACATTAGCTGATTAGTGTATCTTGAATTTATTGTTTTATTTGTTGTGAGGTAGAGACCTATATTTAAACATATATATTGACTATAGCACATTATCATTTATTGATTAGACCATCATTATATATATGTTTGTCAGGCAATAAATTTCTCTATAAATTCAGACAATTACTGGATGCAAAGCATTTTCATTGTTTTAAATACATCATTATTTTAATTGTGAATTCTTCTTTAACACATTAAACATTAAAAATTGTTTTTTAATTTCTAAGGTATTTTTGGTTAAGCTTATTATCCTCCAATTTTTTGTTGTTAATTTCTAATGGATAACATTAACATCAAATAACCTATTTTGTGAGATAGTTATTCTTCAGTATTGTTAAGACTCTCTTTGTTGCATAGTTCATGCTCAAATTTTGGAAATGATTCTATATGCTTGAAAAGATTGTAACTGCTTTTTATGTGGTATAAATTTCAGTATATGTGCATTAGACCAAGTTTCGTATTTTATACAATTTGACTTAACCAAATCTCTTATTGAGAACAGCTATTTGTGGCGACTAATAGAAGTAACAGATAAAATTAGTAAAGATACAGAAATTTTGAATTTCAAGATAATAAGCTTGATTTTATGCATGTATCTAAAACCCTGGAACTGACCTTCAGAACAGATTTGCTCTTGTTAAAACACAAGTGGCAGTCACAAAAAGTGTCCATATATAAGGCCAAAATGAAGATTTCATGTATACCAACGAACAGATGTCACATAGTTTTAGAAATTAAGCAGAAATTCAATAGTTATAAGATGAAGGAGAATTACATGGAACAAATATTATGCCTTTAATATCGCCTTAAAAGGAAATACTATTACTTCCTCCCACAAGGCTTGGTCTAATCAAGTGGGAAATTACAAGATACTCATGTAATATGAATCTCACCAAATAACTCTTATGACAGAAATAGAGCAGGCTTTTGGAACTGGAGAGCCAAGGCAGAAGATTTCAACAGCCTTGGATCTTCCTTGAATATTCTCAAACTAGTTGAGAAGAGAGGTCCACACAGCAGATGCAGGGAAGATCAACAGAAGGGAAACCGAAGTCTGAAATAGTATTCTGCAGGCTGAACTGACAGATATTTCATCTTCTGCATCTGATGGGTTGCAATTTAAGACTTAAATCTTGTTCTGATATCTTTCGTTTGCTTCACAGTGAAGAGTTTCCATTATCACTACTCCCTCCAGGAACCTAATTTCTGAATCATACATTAATTCCACTCTTTAAACACTTAATAAAGCATGCCAACATTGTTATCAATAAGAATGTTCCTTTTGCAAATACATTTTCCTACTGAATATATGATACACTTCTTAATAACCATGGTTTTAAATGTGAAATGAAGAAGTAAATGAGAGCGGCTGAGGCTCCCAAAAGAAATTTTTCTCTCATATCATGTGTCCTACAATGATATTCTATTGATATTTTCCCTTTTTTTGCCAACATGTCTTGAATTCTGGTGGAAACTGTGAAAGTTTGGACACATTAATCATCATGATCATTTTTTTCTATTGTGGTAAAATATATATTTACTCTCCAACATGTTTTAAGTGTACAGTTTCAGTGGTTATGAGTACACTTGTATTTTTGTGCAGTCATCACTACCATCCACCTTCACGACTCTTTTCTTCTTACACAAGTGAAACTCTATATCCTAAATCCCATTCTTCCCTCTCCCCAGCCCCTGGCAACTACCATTCTATTTTCTGTCACTATGATTTTGACTATTCTAAGTACTCTGTTAAGCGGAATAATGCAATGTTTGTATTTTTGTGACTGGCTTATTTTACATAGCAAAATAGAAAGTTCATCCACATTGTAGCATATGTCAGAAGTTTCTTCCCTTTTTAGTGCTGAACAGTATTCCATTGTGTGTGTGTGTGTGTGTGTGTGTGTATATATATATATATCACATTTTGCTTATCTATTCATCTATTTATGGACACTTTGCTTGCTTCTGTGTTTTAGTTATTGTGAATAATGCTGCTAAGAACATGGGTATACAAATATCTTTTTGAGACTCTGCTTTTAATTCTTTTGGGTATGTACACAAAAGTGGAATTGGCAGATCATATAGTAATTCTATTTTAAACTTTTTAAGAAACAATGACACTGTTACTCATAGTAGCTGTATACTATTTTACATTCCCACCAACAGTCCACAGGGTTCCAATGTCTACATATTTTCATCAACAGTGGAATATTCTGTTCTTTTTTAGTAGCCTTTCTAATGGGTATTAGGTATTATCTCATTGTAATTTTGATTTGCATTTTCATGATATTGACAGATGTCATCATTTTCCATGTGCTTATTGGCCATTTGTATATCTTCTTTGGAGAAATGTCTGTTCAAGTCCTTTGCCCATTTTTGAATTGGGTAGTTTGTTTTCCATTGTTGTTGGGATTTAGGAGTTCTCTATATATTCTGGATATTAATCCCTTATCATATATGATTTGCAAATATTTTCTGTCATTCTGTCAGTTTCCTTTTTACTCTGTTGACAGTATAATCTCAGATGCATACAATTTAAAATTTTTCCCAAAGTCTAATTTGTCCATTTTTTTTGTTGCCTATATCTTTGGTGTCATTTCCAAGAAATCATTGTCACATCCAATGCATTAAAAGTTCTGCTCTATGTTTTCTTCTAAGAATTTTAAAGTTTTAAGTTCTTATTTTTAAGTTGCAAATCCTTTTTAAGTTAGTTTTTGTATGTGGTATTAGTGAGGGTCCAGCATCATGGTTTTGCATGTGAACATTCTGTTTTTCAGCACCATTTTTTGAAAAGATTGCCTTTTTCCCGTTGAGTGGTCTTGGCACACCTGTCAAAAATCATTTGATCATATATGTAAGGTTTATTTCTGGATTCTCTTGTCCATTCCATTGGTCTGTCTGTCAGTTTTTATGTCAGTACTACATTGTTTTGATTACTTCAACTTCGTAGTAAGCTTTGAAATCAGGAAGTGTGAGTCCTCCTGTTTTTTTTTTTTTTTTCAAGATTGTTTGATACTCCATGCCCATTAACCTTCATTATATATTTTCCATCTTATCCTCCTGAACTGCATCCTGGATAATATTCTCATATCAGCCCAACAGCCCACAAATTATCTTTAATGTTTTATTTAATTCTTTTATTTTATGTATCTTTCTAAAATTTCTAGTTGTTCCTTCCAAATCTGCCCATTAGTTTTTATGAGCATTGTTTTATTTTCTTATGGATTTTAGGCCTATTTATTCATTTCAGTAATTTTAAACATACTACTTTTATTGTCTCATATTGTTATTTTTTGTACTTTGCCACTTCCATTTCAGTATTTGTTGAGTCTCCTTTATGGATTTGTTTGTGTGTTTTGTTTTTTCTTTGTACTTTTCACTGTGGACTCTACTTCAGCTGTGGTTGTTTACTCTAAGTTGTACATTCCATGAGCAAAAAAGAATACCTACCTGGCCTTATGTTATTTCCCTCTGCTGAATCTCCAAGTATATCTTTGGCCTTAAATCAGAATTTCCACACTTTCTTGGTAATACACACTTTGATTCTTCATAAAAATATGGGAAACATGGTGTGGGGCTCTACCCACCCCAAGCCCAGAGCAGTTAGCACATTTTATTTCTGTTTCTTTGAGACTTTTACAATTATTTTTTGTTAAAGAAAATCCTCAATGTGAGATTTCTTTTTTTTTTTTTTAAGAGTCCTAGTTTCATGGAGAACCCATAGTTTCATCTCCATGATTTAAATAGACCTGCAGTTAGGTACCTGTGAATCTATCATAGCTTTATAAGCATTGAAGACTTAGCTTGTTATTCCCAGGGCCTACATCCAGTGGCACTGTTCTTCTGGGTCCATCACCATCAGCTAGAATTGATTACTTTGGCTTTGAGTTTACTTTTTATTTTAGCATCTGGAACTTTTGTCTTTTTGTTAAATTTTACTTTTAATTTAAATTATTTTTCTTTGTTTTTAATATATTTTTATCCTGTCTTCCTAAGTGTTTGTAGTGGAGGAGACTGTTTGTATTAAATTATTCCTCCAGTTTACTGGAATTGCTCCACCATTTTTTTCTATGAAGTTTTCTCCATAGTTACAATTGTATTTTGTGTGCAACTCAAAGCCTTGGTTTTCAATTTAATATTATAATAGTAAGATATTCCTGTGTTACTACAAACTACTGAAACTGTTACTCAAATTTTTGCATGGATATACCATATATTACTTTACAATTTTACTGTATTTTGGCATTTAAGTTGTTTATAAGTTTTGTACTCCTGTAAATAATGCTATAGTAAATATTTTTGTCTCTTTTTTTGGCTTTTTAGATTATTTCCTGAGGACTGAGTCTAGGAGTGAAAATTCTAAGCATTTTACAACAATTTTTAATAAGTACTATTGATGGAATAGGCATGTGTTTATATAAATTAAGATTTCAAATAATGTGAAGAGAATGGCTTAGATATATACCACAGATGATGGCCAGAAGACATAATTAGCTCTAAAACATCATTTCCCAACAGGTGGCCATTTCTGCCTTGAGTAGGTACTCAAGTGACAGTGATTGTACACCCTTTCTTGGTAGCTCATTTCATTACTTAATTTTCCAACATTACTGTTATAAAGATTTTCATAATATTTAATATAAATGACCTCCAAGCTATAAATATGTATCTGTGTCCTCTCACCTGCTTAATAATTAAGAGCTAATTGGTATCTATGTTAAAAAGTGTAGCTCATAGACAAAAAAAAATTGTTCAAATTTCTTCACATATAGAAATGAAAGCTTCAAGAAATGAAACAGGAAATGTAGCCCAGAAATAGTATCAGAGAACCTCAAAGAGAAATAAATTATCTAGCTGCCCAGCTATAGGCCAAAACTGGTGAAAGATCAATAATAGTTACAAAACATTAAGTCTTCTGCCTTCAGGGAAGCAACTAAAATCTCTGCCAGCAATTAAATAGCCCAAAGCAAGAATGTGAACCAATTGATCAAAGTTATAGGGAGGACAATTTTGGCTTAGCATAAAACTTTCTAAAAGTTGGAGCTATCCAAGCACATAATGAGGTGGTGAATTGCTTAGCATTTAAGGTCCTTCGGCAGAAGCTGGGATATTTCTTATCAGTATATTAAAGAGGAGATTCTCACATTCTTGTCCTTCAAACATTTTTTTAGAATCATTTCTTCAGACAAAATCTTATGGTGAAGACTCATTTTATAAAATAGGGCAGCTCTCGTTATAGTGTGAGCTGAGCCTATCCACATGGCTACCTTCTAAAAACTCAAGTAGACCCTAAGGCAACACAGAATGTAGTTTGAAAATCCTTTGATGAAAATAGATGAGCTATGAAGACATGAAAAGACACGAAGGAAATTTAAATGCATTTTACTAAGTGAAAGAAGCCAATCTGTAAAGGGCAATCTGTAAGAAGCCAATCTGTAAAAAGCCAATTGCCGACTGTGTAATTCCAACCATGTGACATTATGGAAAAGACACACTATGGAGATAGTAAAAAAAAAAAAAAAAAATGGTTGTAGGGGTTGTGGGAGGGAGGGATGAACAGACAGCACAGGTTTTTGGTCAGTGAAATACCCTGGTTGGTACTATAATGCTAGATACATGTCATTATATTGTTGAAACCCATAGAACGTACAACATCAAGAGTGAACTCTCATGTGAACTACCAAGTTTGAATGATAATATGTCAACATAAGTTTATCACTTTCAACAAATGTACCACTCTGATGAAGGATGTTGATTATGGGGGAGTCTATTCATTTGTGGGACAGGAAGATATTTTTATCTTCTTCTCAACTTTGCTGTGAGCATGTAACCTTCTTAAAAAGTCTTTACAACGTCGTTTGATACAGAAAACTAAACCAGATAACTTCCAAAATTTCTCCATAAGCTGAGATTTTGTGAAATTCTCTCGTGTGTGTTTGTGTGTATGTGTGTTTGTGTGGTTTGGAGAAAAGTGAGGAGCTGTTTTGTAGAAACTCCATAATATTTTGACATCATAATCTGTACCATTTTAATCATAATATATACCAGCTTTCCCCAACTTTTTGGCACCAGGGACCAGTTTCATGGAAGACAATTTTTCCAGTGACTGGTGGGAGCGGGTGGGGAGAGAGAGGAGATCATTTCAGGATGAAACTGTTCCACCTCACATCATCAGGCATTAGACTGATTCTCGTAAGGAGTGCACAACCTAGATCCCTCTCATGCACAGTTCACAATAGGTTCGCTCTCTTGTGAGAATCTGATGCCGCTGCTGATCTGACAGGAGGCGGAGCTCAGGCAGTAATGTTCTCTTGCTTGCTTCTCACTTTCTGCTGGGTGGCCTGCTTCCTAACAGGCCATGGACCAGTGCTGGTCCATGGCCAATTTGACTCTTTCTGAGAACACATTTATTGGTTTACAAATAGACACCTTCTTGCTGTGTCCTCATATGGTGGAGAGAGATACTCTGTCTCATATATCTGCTTAGAAAGGCACTAATTCCATTCATGAAGGCTCCCCACCCTCATGGACTAATTATCCCCTAAAGGTTCCACCTTCCAAATATCATCACATTGAGGATTAGAGCATTAACACATGAATATTGGGAAACACAAAATTCACCCTACAGCAATTTTACACATTGTTTTGCACTGGATTTTTTTAACTTAAAAATTTATTTAATAATTTATTTTTTACTGACACATACAGCACAACGTTTACATCTAAAGCTGTATCTACAGTTCTCTAGATAAACACACATACACCTCTAATCCCATGTCACAACACATTATTTCTTAAGAATATTGTTTCTTGGCTCTTTAATACTACTACTATTGTTTCAATTCATTTCAGTAAATTTCTCCACCACCCTGGTTTGTTAGTTCACTGATTTCTTCTCCTCAATGATATTTACATTTCTACCTCAGATACACATCTTATATTTATCCTTTAGATCAGGAGTCCTCACCTTTAGGACTCACCTTTAGTGCTCACCTTTAGCACCTTTAGCATCATACAAGAAATTATCTTTCGTAGAAATCCAAAATCTTGGACCTCTTGAGTCAGAAGACATCGAATGAGAAACTCTGGGCATGGAGCTCAGCAGTCCATATTTAACAGGTTTTTCAGGTTTTGCTGACACAAACACATTTGATAACAAATACTCTAGAATCTTATCATTATTGGCAACTGCTAGACAATCAGTTTCATGTAAACCACTGTCTAACCAACTTCCTGTCTTTCCAGATTCTTCCCTCCAGAACCCAGTTCCTATTTTCAAAGTCTCTGATCCTTCCTCCATTCCATTACCTACATAATGCCACTACTTTTACCTTTCGCAATTTAAAGTCTACTGTTAGACATAATGAATATTCCAATGCATGTATCAACTTCATAGGTCCTCTATTACTTTTTTCCTTGTTGAACTTTCTTGGCAAAGCAAATATCCTTATTTTAAATCGAATTCTGCAGCTATCCTAAATTGGTACCTTTTGAAGTTGAATGGGGCTACAGAATAATTTACAGTCCCACCAATTGGTCTTTAAATTCAGTGAACCTCTTGAGGGTCCCCATGCTGCCTGGAAATCATACTTCTCATCCTTAGTCCATTTATTTTTCTTTGTTTTTTTTCTAGGCAAGAAATGTATTCCTTCTCCTCCTTGCTCCTCGAACAACAAACACCTAAATATGCTAGGGCTGCCATAACAAATTAGCATGGACTGGGTGGCTTAAACAACAGAAATTTATTTTCTTACAATCCTGGAGGCTAGAGGTCTGAGATCAAGGAGTCAACAGGAAAAATTTCTTCTGAGGCTTCTCTCCTTGGCTTGTAGATAGCTGTCTTCTCCCCATATCTTCACATTGTCATCTCTCAGTGTATGTCTGTGACTTAATCTCCTCTTCTCATAAGGACACCTGTCATATTGGATTTGGGTCCACCCTAATAACTTATTTTAATGTAATTACATCTTTAAAGACCTTATGTCCAAGTACAGTCCCATTCTGAACTACTAGGGGTTAGGACTTAAATGTATGAGTGTAGAGGGGGACATAATTCAGCACACCACACTTTCCTTTTTTCTCATCTGATTATCTTGCTTTTATAGTGAGAAAACTAAAGTGATCAGAGACTTCAGATTAATCACCTTGAAATTTTATTTCTGTAGCTTCCAGGACACCACCCTCTCTTGCTTTCCTCTTTACCTTACTACATGCTTCTTTTTGATCTCTTTTGTTGGTTTCTCCTCTTCTCCCAGTTTTTCAATGATAGAAATATCCAGTGGCTCAGCTATTTGACATGTCCTCTTCTCTCTGTATACTCCCCATCTCTTTGTTTTGCTGATCGTTAAATATCATCTAAAATACAAATTCAAAATTCAAATACTGTCTTAAATTATTTGGGCTGCTATAACAAAATACCATAAACTGGATGGCTTATAAATGACAGAAATTTTTTTCTCATAGTCTGGAGGTTGAAAAATCCAAGATCAAGGCTCTGGTAGATTCAGTGTCTGGTGAGCGCTGGCACTCTGGGTCACAGATGACACCCCCCAGCTGTGTCCTCACATAGTGGCAGGGACAAGGCAGCTCTCTGGGGCATCTTTAATAAGATCACTATTCCCATTCATGAGGACTCCACCATGATGACCTAATCACCTCCCAAAGGCCTCACTTCTTATCATCATCACCTTAGTGACTGTGATTTGACATGTGAATTTTCTGAGAACACAGTTTTCAGGTCATTGCATATACCTACCATCTCCTCTTGCTGTAGTCTAAATATTTGTGATTCTCCAAAATTTCTACATGTTGAAATCATAACTCCTAAAGTGATGGTATCAGGAGGTGGTGCCTTTGAAAGGTGATTAGGTCATGAAGGCAGAGCCCTCTTGAATGGAATTTGTGCCTTATAAAAGAGGCCCTAGGGAGCTCCCTGGCCCTTTTGTCATATGAGGATAGAGTGAAAAGATAGCTCCCTATGAACCAGCAAGTAAACCTCACCAGACACTGAGTTTTTCAGCCTTTCCTCTGATTTTCATTTCATACCATTGTGGTCTGAAAAGATACTTGATATGATTTCAGTCTTCTTAAATTTGTTAAGACTTGTTGTGTGGCCTAATATGTGATCTATAAGTGGGGTACTAAAGTCTCCTACTATTATTGTATTATAGTCTATCTCTCCCTTCAGCTCTATTATTATTTGCCTTATATATTTAGGTGCGCTGATTTGGGTGTATATATATTTATAATTGTTCTTTTGATGAATTGACTATTATAATGACCTTCTTTGTCTCATTTTGTGGTTTTAGACTAAAAAGTCTCTTTAGTCTGATATAAAAAATAGCTACTTCTGCTCCCTTTCAGTTTCTATTTTCATGGAATATTTTCTTTCATTTCTTCACTTTCACTCTATATATGTCCTTAAAGTGAGTCTCTTGAAGGCAGCATATAGTTGGGTCCTGTTTTTTCTATATCCATTTAGTATTGATTGGATAATTTAATCAATTTACATTCAAGGTCTTAGGTTTTTGCTATTACTTTCAATGCCAAAGCCACAATTACTTTTGCTCCAACCTAGTAGTTATTGATAAGTAAGGAGTTACTACTGCCATTTTTTTGTTTTCTAGTTGTCTTGTAGCTCTTCTGTTTCTTTTTTCCTCTTTTACTGTCTTCCTTTATGATTGGGTTATTTTCTCTAGTGGTATGCTTTGATTTCTTACTTTTTGCCTTTTGTGTATTTACTGTAGATTTTTATTTTCTGGTTACCATGGTGATTACTTAAAGCATCTTATAGTTATAGCAGGCTATTTTAAACTAATAATTAATTAACTTTGATGACACAAAAACCCACCACAGTTTTATTCCACCTTCCCCACATTTTATAATTTTGATGTCACAATTGACATTTTATATTGTATATCCCTTAACAAATTTTGTAGGTATTATTATTGTAATAGTTTTGTTTCTTAAACTTAGTGCTGAAGCTATAAGTGATTAACACACCATGATTACAGTGTTAAAGTATTCTAAATTTGACTGTGTTTATTTTTACTGAGTTTCATACTTTCATAGGTTTTTGTGTTACAAATTAGCATCATTGTCTTTTACCTTTAAGGACTCTCCTTAACATTTTTTTTTGTAAGACAGGCCTTGTTGTGATGACTTTTCTCAGTGTTTGCCTGGGAAAAGCTTTATATCTCATTTCTGAAGGATGACATTGCCGAGTATAGTATTTTTAGTTGCCAGTTATTTTTTTTTCCCCTCAGCACTTTGAATATATCATTCCACTCTTACCTGGCTGTAAAATTTCTGTTGAGAAATCCATTGGCAGCCTTATTAAAACTTTCTTATATGTGATTTTTTTTTTTTATTTTACTGCTTTCAGAATCCTCTCTTTGTAAATTCTTGACAGTTTGATTATGTCTTGATGTATTCTTGTTCAGATTGAATCTGGTTGGAGAGCTTGGACTTCACCTGTATATTTGTATCATTCCCTAGATTTGGAAAGTTTTCTGCCATTATTTAAAAAAAATCTTTCTGTTCATATGTCTCTCTCTTCTACTCTCTGATTTGCTATAACTTGAAAAAGTTGTTGTTTTGATGCTGTCTTATAAATCCCATACACCTTCTCAATTCCTTTTTTTATTCTGATTGCATATTTTCAAGTAACCTATCTGAATCCACAGATTCTTTTTCTTGATCATTTCTGTTGTCTGTGCTCTCTATTGTATTTTTAATTTCATTCATTATATATTTCTACTCCCTAATTTTTATATAATTTTTTTAGAATTTCAATTTTTCTGTTAAATTACCCATTTTGGTCATACATTGTTTTCCTACTTTTGGTGAATTGTTTCTCCACATTTTCTGGAAGTTTGCTGAGCTTCTTTAAAACAATTACTTTGAATTATTTGCCAAATGGCTCATAGATATCTTTTTCTTTAGAGTTGGTTACTGGCTCTTCATTTTGTTCCTTTAATGGTACCATGTTTTCCTGATTGTCCATGATCCTTGTGGCTTTGCATTGGTATCTGCATATTTGGAAAACTAGGGACTTACTCCAGTCTTTGCAAACTGGGTTTGTCCAAGAAAGCCCTTCAACATTCAGCTCATCCAGAGATTCTGGGCAGGCCATCTGGTGTGGTCTGTGAGTGGCTTTGCTGCTCGAGTTCTCAGGCCAGCTGATCTGGTACCTGGGTCAGCAGGTGGGCAGGCCTAGTACTTGAGTCTGTAGAATTGAGCCTAAATCCTGGATACGCTGTAGTGGACTTGTTGATCGGGTCCCCAGTGTTGACCCTGGAGGCTGGTATATAAAGGTGGCCTGAACCCTTTATCTATTGGGACTGATCTGGTACTGGAGTGGGCCGATAGCCTTAGTCCACGGGGCAAGCCTGGATCATGGGTCTTGTGTCCACAGGGGCTGGCCTGGAGCCTGGATTTGCAGGAATGCTGCCAGAGCCTCAGTCCTTTGGGGCCAACCTGGCACCAAGGTCTACTGGCATGGCCTGGACTATGGGTCCACTGGAATCTGGGGCCATGGGGACTATCTTAGAGCCTGGAATTGGCCTGGTTTTGGAGTAAGCATGGGGCCTGGGTCCATGGGGACTAGTCTGGAGCCTGGTATCATGCATGTTGTAGTAGTGTCTGGAGAAATGGGGGCTGCCCTGGAGCATGGGGCCTTGGGGTCTTGCCTGGAGCCTATGTGTATAGATATTGACCTGAAGGCTAGATCTATGAGGACTGCCCTGGGTCCTAGGGTTGCAGGGACAGAAGTGGAATCTGGGTCCACAGGAGTGGTCCTAGAGCTTAGATCCATGTGGCAGGCCCAGTGCTGGGGTCTACTGGAAAGGGCCTGGACCTTGGGTTTGCCTGACATATGGGCTGGCCTGGAGGGTGGAGTGGCAGAAACCAGCTTGGCACTGGGCAGGTCTGGAGTCTATGTTCACAGGTGCCAGCCTGGTCCCTGTGGCATAGTGCTGACCTAGTACTAGAGTGGGCCTGAAGCCTGAGGCTATGTGGATACCTACCTGGCTCTGGGCAGTTCTGAAACCTGAAGTAAACCTAGAGCCTGCAGTCACAGGGGATGTCCTAGTCCTGTGTGGCTCTAGAATATGTATCCACATAAAGCTGTGTTCATGAGTGCCACTTGATGACTAGGGCAGTGGAGGTCAGCATGATGCGGGGTTGGGCCTGAGCCTGACACTGCAGGGCCAGCCAATTTCTGGGGGCAGACTGGAGCCTGGGGCCACCAGAGCCTGACTGGCCCTGGAGCAGGCCTGGAGTCTGAGTCTGTTGGGGTGGGTCCTGGCACTGGGGTGGCCTGAAGCCCAGAACCACTGCTATGGTCAACCTGGTGGTGTGATGAACCCAGAGACTCAATTCACAAGTATTGATCTGGAGTTTGGGGCTACAGCGGCCTGCCTGGTGCTGAGTTTTACCAGAATTGGTCCATTTTTAGAGTCCAAGGTGATGTCCAGTGCTCACTTCCTTCTCCATCCCCCGTGTGGACAGTGTCTCTTTCCACACTGTGGTTGGGAAAGGGGTGATGTGTATAATATAAACTCTCCTTCTTGAACCTGCTTCATCTTTTCTTATTTATGTTCCACACCAGGTGCTGTAATCTGTCACTTGGTTTCCTTAATTTCTTGTGAAGGTATTTTCACAAGTGGGTAGATATTCACATGGATATTTCTGTGGGGAGGGAGATGAATGTTGGAAGGTCCTAGTCTGCCATCTTGTTGATATTTATCCTTTGCAAATGAGACCACTTCAGATTTGTCGTCTTAGCAATTTTCAAGTATAAATTAGATGATTTACTAGAGTCATCATGCTTTTTGTTTTGGCAACGATTGTCTTAATTTTTCCCTCAGATTGATTCAATTTTAGACAGATTTCTTCCTGTGTTAAGGATTTTGATCCACGGCTCACCCTAGCCCTTATAGAGTCTGGATAGTCTAACCACAAAGCTCCCTCCCCTAGGTTTTTGGAGCATTTACCCTAGAAAACCTAGAATTATAACCATGCTTTCTTCACATTTGAGATGTAAATCGTTTAAAAAGCTTTTTGTCACTTTTGTAACCCAGGACTTATTTAAGGAACTAAAAGCCATCCCTTTGAAATGTAATCATAGCACAAGATAGAGTCTCTATTTCCCAGTCTCTGTAGGATGGTAGAGACCTAAACTCAGGAGGCAAGCACCTTGCTTTAAGTTATAAAATTAATTTTTCCTTTGGGTAATGTCAAAGGAAACAGAGATAGCCTGTGATCCTTTTAATCCCAGCTCCTAAAAATTCTCCTGCCCTATGTTTCAGCAGAGTTGAGCTCAGACTGAGTTTTGATCTCTCTCTCAGAGATCAGAAGATTGCAGCAGCCTTGAATAAAGTCTTCCTTGCTTGTTTATTTTGGTACAATGCAATTTTTGCTTTGACAGTTTTCATTGTAATTTTTTGTGGTGTTTTCTAAGAACCTAGAATAGTGCTTGCCTACCTATTAGGTGCTAAAAAATAGTTATTGAATGAGGGAACGAGTAAATGAATTATTTTTCTTTTTTCTAGTGGCCAGATTTCTAAATTGTTGACACAAGACTTTCTAAAGCATTCTTTCCTTCAATCTTGAAATCCTAAAGTATTCAAAATGGTAATTACTTAATCAGTCTCAGAGCAAAACCCTTGGCTTATCCAGGGTAAATGGATAGCATGAATAATAAGTTATTGATTTTGGAAGCCACTGAGATTTGGGGGTTATTTGTTATTATAGCATAACTTTGCATATCCTGATTGTATTGGGCCTCTAAAATCACATTGTAGAAGGAAATTATGGAAAATTAAAATAAAAGATTGATGATAACTTTTCTTAACATTCCAGTGAATTTAATTAAATAAAACTTTCCAATGAGTGGAAAGAAAAAAAAATCTATCTTCTGTTCATCAACTGAAAATACAAGATATTTGATTCTGTAATTTTTTTTTTTTTTTTTTTTTTTTTTGCAATGGAGTGTCGCTGTGTCACCCAGTCTGGAGTGCTGTGGCGATCTCGGCTTATTGCAACCTCTGCCTCCCAGGTTCAAGCAATTCTCCTGCCTTAGCTTCCCAAGTAGCTGGGACCACAGGCGCATGCCACCACGCTGGGCTAATTTTTTGTATTTTTTGTAGAGATGTGGTTTCACCATGTTATCCAGGATGGTCTCGATCTCCTGAGCTCATGATCCGCCTGCCTTGGCCTCCCAAAGTATTGGGATTACAGGTGTGAGCCACTGTGCCTGGTGGATTCTGTAATTTTAATGTGATCTCTAATTAATAATAAATAATAGGCAAAGTGAATATTATTTTCTCTGAAAGGATTATATCAAAAACTTGACCCAAGAATGATAATTTTCTCAGTTTGGTTTTTATTTAACCCTCTCAGTTCTCAAATTCTAAATAAATAGACTTTTAACTTTACATAATAAGAAATAAAAAGCCTTTCTACATTTCTGTTGTAATTTGAAAATATAACACAAACTTTTGTAATCTTTGAAGAGTATTTTGAGGGGGGTATTCAAAATAACTCCAATAAATAAGGTTTTCTCTCCTTCCACTGCTCATTTCAGCCGAGGGTTTCCAACTGTCACCCGCAAGCCTATGGCCAGTTACCCTTGAGGATTTATGGGTTCTTCAGAGAAAACAGATAAAAACCAGAATAAGATAATTATTTCTTTCAGTTTCTAAAGTTATTTCTCTTTCCCAATGTCTCTTTTCTGTTCTTCCAAATGTTTCTGTTTATTTCTTCATTATCTAATACCATTATGACAGTTTTTATTTAGTTATACTCTACCCCTGTTTTCCTTTGCTGAGTTCTTCCTTGTGAGATAAATTCTGATGCTAAAGTTGAAGTATAGCATGAAGCACAGGGTAATATGCAAAAAAAAAAAAAAAAACTGGGCTTAAAAAAAGCTGTCAAGAATTAGGGATAGAAAAGGAATTCCATGTAAGGCAGTTTAATAGGAGGATAACGACCTGGGCTCAGAAAAAGAAATAGAGGTGAAAGAGAGAGGGAGGGAGAGAAGAAAGCATATGAATAAGGGAATCGAGACAGAGGAAAGAGGTTTCTACTGGATTTAGAAAAAGGAAAACATTCCAACATGGCACATGTATACATATGTAACTAACCCGCACGTTGTGCACATGTACCCTAAAACTTAAAGTATAATAAAAAAAGAAAACGAAAAAAAAAAAAAAAGACCAGCCTGGCCAAAAAAAAAAAAAGAAAGGAAAACATTTAGGAGAAGGCCATGAAAGGCAACTCAATCTAGTCAGGCGTTTGAAACTTGGAGTAAGGAATAAAGGGTTCTCTGGGAAGGGCATGAAATATGCCAAAAATGAATTTGGTGTGCAATATAGTTCTCTCTGTAGTTAGCTATATAGTTGAGGTTTTAATGTTGGAATTTTTTTTTACCACATTGATTCCCTCACTTACTCTAGGGGTTGATATTTTTAGTACTGTCAGTAACCTAGAAAAAATACAAAAAGGAATGAAGTGACAAACAAGAAAGCTGGGTGGAATAATAGGGGATGAATGTGGTCACAGGGTAATGAGTAGAGTGGTCATTAGCAGGTCCTTGGGCACCATGTAAACACTGCAGTGTTAAGTACTTGCAGGATGTTGTGAAGGTTATGTAGTATCACACATGTGAATGCTCTTTGCACAGTGTCTGGTACATAGTAAGAACTCAATATTCCTTCCAAAAGAGGCCAGTCATTTTATTAAGGTATGGAAGCAGTGTGGCGGCCAACAATAACTGCATCAGTATTTGTCATGTAACAACCATCTCTAGGATATTTGATTGCACCCGGAACATTGGGAAAAAGCGCTGCATTATAATGCAGCAAAAGGAAACTGATGTTTAGTGATGTTTACAACATGCTACTTGGCATCTAAATCTATAAACAATTCCACCAATTAGATATTATATATATCAGTTAGATATTTTATATATATTCTGCTCACTGTAGAGCACATATAAAAATACATTTTATATATTAAATTACGTATTGAGCTTCAGAGAGTTGAGGGATCTTGCTTGATATGTCCAGTAAATTTCTAGTTGAACTCCAATGTAAAGCCAAATCTGTGTCCAAAGTTCAAACTGTTTTTCATCAAACTACAGTTCCATTTTATATGAAATTATGAAAACAGTGACAAATTTATCAAAAAAGGCAACATCATATTCCATCTATTTATTGTACTAAATGTCTATTTGGGAATTACATTTCCATCCAAAAGTTAATACCTTATTTTTATAGGCTTCCTAGAACTTTGCATCAAGTGTAGAATGGAAATGGCTCCTGGGTTTGCATGAATATATTTCTTGCAGATAAATATATTTTTATGGAGATAAATTTTTTAGTCTGAAATTTTGCTCTCATTTTTTAAACACTTATAAAAACTGCTTTTTCAGTAGAATGTGTTAATGTACCTTGAACATTTCTACATGTCTTTTGGAATAACAGACAAAAACATTTATAAAACAGATTTGTCTTCAAGGGACTCCTGCACTGGGATGCCCTGTTTGAGCCGCTTGCATGCAGCTCCTTCTTTGTTTCTACTAGAGTTGAAGGCGAGGCTTCACCACAGTTTATATCTGTGTAGTTTATAATGTACTCTAAGTTCATAGTTTCAGAAATCACTAGATCTGAAAGGGACATTAGAGGGGATTTATTCTAGCCAAAACACCTAGAAAATAGACTAAGAGAGATAAACTTTCTTGCCCAAGGTGAGGCAACTAATTAATCATAGAACAAAATGAACTACATTGTATTAGCATATAAATTTAAAATTTTCTTACCTAAAAAAGTGAAAATACAAAATGAGGGAGGTGGTTCTGAACTATTTTCCCTGAGAAGGGCAAATTTAGGTTCCTAACTGTGTATAATTGCCACAAAGTAATTTGTGTCACTCTGACACAGTGCTACTACTGTATCTCTGTTCCTTTGAGGGAGAGGGCCAAGTACTGAATGACTCAGAGGGAGCAAAAGCAGGCTCTCAAAATGCCAAAATGTGCTCATGAGGGGCTGATACTTCAGACAGGCTTTCTTCTTCTGAGGGTGCCTAAACCATAGTCTTGAGTTAGCAAGACCCCAGTAGAATGAAATCAAATACTCAAGTTAGCATGTATGAAACAATGAAAGGAACTCACAAACACGATGAAAGGAACCACTACCGGCTTTCTTTAGATTATATTTTCTTCTAGTGAATATAAAATAAGAAGTTGATTTTAGATATTTAGCCCAGTCTTAAAGACACAAACTCTATTCAAAGACTAGTGGGTGAAGCATGAGGCAAAGAGTCAGAATCCTTGGGACCCACTTGGGTATATTTGAGACTCTGGGCAAATCCCTTTACCTAATGGGGACCTCAACACTCATTATTAAAAAAAAAATCAACATGGGGTATAAAGCATGGTTTTTATGTTGAAAAGGAAAGAAAACACACTCATAAAGGAAAATGCAATTTATTCACTTGTTTTATTAATATAATGAAAACCCCAGGGATAATGTGTTTTACACTTGATCTTAGCCAAAAGGCTGAGAAGTGATTGGGATACTATGTTTTAGAGCTAGCTTTAAGACAAAGTCTGTTTTTCCGGGTTGGGCACCATTCTTAGAAAGGTGTTTTCCGGCAGCTTCAGGCTCAATTCTCTCTTCTTAGTAATCCTAATGGATGAGGCTATCTGTATCCTGAGAGCTCCCAATTAAAATCCCCTCAGTATTTCTGGCTTTAATTGGTCAGCCTTGATCACATACTTTCTCTACTAGTTATTGTGGCCAGATTGACTGATTAAAAAAAAAAAAAAGATCAGCTATCTTTACTACTGTAGCCAATGGTAGGGACAGTTCTTCCTGAGTTACAGACAATGCAGGAATTGTGGTGCCCGCAGGCAAATCAGGGACCCAAAGAAAGGAAAATAGATTTTGGGAAAGCAAAGCAACAGATATCCATCACGAATGACCAATCATCTTTCTTTCTTTCTTTCTTTTATCCTTTTTTTTTTTTTTTTTTGAAATAAGGTCTCACTCTGTTCCCCAGGCTGGAGTGCAATGGCATGATCATAGCTCACTGCAGCCTCGAACTCCCAGGCTCAAATGATCCTCCCACCTCAGCCTTCCCACTAGCTGGGACTACAGATGCAAGCCACCATGCCCAGCTAATTTTCCTGTATTTTTTGTAGAGACGGGGTTTCACCATGTTGCTCAGGCTGGTCTTGAACACCTGGGCTCAAGTGATCCTCCTGCTGTGGCCTCCCAAGCACTTACTGGGATTACAGGTGTGAGCCACTGTGCCTGGCCACCAATTATTTTCTTAAAAGGCCTTCCATTTTTATAGTCAGTGGGCCCAACACAAAAGGAGATGTCTTAAAGAAATACAATGTATAAGCCATATTAGAGTAGAGTCTGTTTACAGCTGGAGTAGTGTTGGAGACATTCCTGCTGAGCTGGTTTTTCTTCATCTCCCATGGTAGTGCCTCTGCGTGAGTCTTCTAGGAATTACAGGAGGAGAATTTGAAAGGCATTAGACCAGATGTCTCTCAGGAGACTTGTAAACAGAACGTTCTATTATTACCATCTCTTCTTGACTAGGTCATAAGCTCCCTGTGGGAAAGTACTCAGTCTTTGCTTCTGAGCTCCATGTTCCCTTGTTACTTATCTCAGTATACACTCATAAAGGTGTCAGTTATTTTCATGGATATACACCTGTTTTTCCACAATGTTAACCCCTAAATATTTTTGCCAGTCGAATCTGCCCCTCTTTGGAACCCAAAGTGCTCATAAAGCTGTAAGATAGATGCAATCAGCTTTTTTTCTCCCACTCAACAGGCACAAATTACTCTTTGCTATAGAGGAATATGCTATTTACCAGGCTGCTCTATCGAGTTGTGTGTGTGTGTGTGTGTGTGTGTATGTGTGGAGTGGGAGTGTGTGTGCACATGTGCGTGTTTTTGTAAATGGTAATAACATTAAATCTCTTTGCCTAGATGCTCCATTCCATTTTAGAAAATGTGGAGTGAAGACTGGGGAGAGTTTTAGTTAGATCTGGCCCATGAGATAGTAATAAAAGTCAGCTGCCTAAGCATTAAATAGCCTTGTGAAGCTCTCCTTGCAAATCTCCACCAAACTTGTGCAATGACTTTCTCTTTCCACCTCACAACTTAGCTTTAATACTGTAGTTGCTAATGATAATGCCTATTTTTTTTAAATAGTGCTGGTGGTCTTGATTTTTTTCTAACTCTTTGGGGATATTTTAATGTTTAACCAGCATGAACTACTTGTTCTTCAGTATTTTAGCAAGTGAGGCTCTGCTTCAGTTCTGTATCAGCTACAGGCTATAAACACTTCATGCTATAATGTATTGTGGAAAAGGAAAGAGAAGTTCATCTAGATAACTGCCATAGTAAATATTAACTTTTTGTTTGCCAGAATTTTCTATACAGACACTCATTTTTGTGTAATATTATGTATTCCCATACAAAATTAAAAAGTCACATTGTCATTCTATTGAGTCTAAAGATGAGGTAGTTCAACAGCTTTAAAAGGAAATGAATTTTGTTTATTTATACAATCAGGACTCTTGCCTCAGATGCGCTCCCAGAAAACAGAACTATGGCATATCTGCATGACACCATGTACTTACTACAAATGCTATATATGTATAGTACCAAGTATAGGTATAGAGTTATGAAAAGAAAAGAAGAAAAACAAAGGTGTGGTTTGGTGTGGTTTTTTTTTTGTTTTTTTGTTTTTTTTTTTGCTTAAAGAGCTCATAGTCTAATAGAGGAGAAAAAAGCAGAGTTATATCATTGGATATGTTTTCTTGATCTTGCGTACTGTTGTGACTGAGTTGAGCTTTGGAATTAGATTCTCATTCATTGAGAAAAGCCTGAGGAAACATGTTAATAGAAACATGTATCTGTGTAAGGTATTAACTGGAGAGATGTAGGGATCATAGTGTCCTCAGTGGCAATTCCTTAAGGAAAATTATTTTCATAATTCTATGACATAAATAATCTTGTTTCTCTGTGCAATTGAAATATGTCCTTCCCACTGCCAATGAGAAATATGTGCCAGACATTTCTTGTTTTTCTTTACCTGTCTGGAAGCTCAGAATCAAATTCAACTTAATAACTGTGGAATTAATTTAACAATTTCTTCATGATTTGTTACTTTTACTCTACTTCAATTTTTCTCTGATCCTGGATTTTTTCATATTTTTATAGAGTGTGGAATATATTACTTGTGAGCCGCTTTAAATATTTGTAGAATAAGATTTATCTATAAAGAAATGCCTACGTATTAGATTGTGTCTTTATCATTTAACACCTACTCAAACACTTGTATCAGGAGTGTTTTGTTTCATGTGTATATTTTCTATTTGAAAATATATAGTGAAGTCACATTTTAGGAGAAGTTGAGGTTCTGACGTAAGGGTCTAAGGCAAGAAGGTTTCCCGTGAAAATCTTTTAAGGAAATACCGTGTAAGAAAATGCCTTGTTTCAATGAATACAACACAGTTAGGATTAAACAGGAAGCTATTTCTTTGGTCAAATATCACGTAAAGTAGTTGGTTTGTGTTAGTGATCATATTGTGACTGTATATATAATCTTTAAACATTTGAAAACATTCAGCAGGTGAATTGTTCTGTCATTAAGAGGCAGAATTATATCTCCATTTTATTTTCATCCCAGAACATTCACTATTTAAACTGATCTTGTTCCCTTTCTCCCTTTTCCCCACTTCTGGTTATTCACTGCTGCATAATAAATTGCTGTGTCACTAGTCCAGAGTCAAAGGTAGGGAAATTAGACTTCAGCTCTCAATTGGAAGAATATTAAGTATTTGTTATCACCCCTAAACTATCACATTCTGTTTTCCATTTCTTCTACGTTCCTTTCCTCCATTTATTTATCCTCAACTTAGTAGCTTAAAACATAATTTATTTTGTTCATTATTTTCCCAGTCAGAAATACGAGAAAGGTTTTGCTGGACCAGTTGATACTTATATGTTATGTCCAGAAATCTCCCCAAATTCATAATGCAAACTTTTTTTGTTCCCATGCTATGGCAAGCAACCATGTTGCCAAATTTTTTGTCACTACATGATCAGGATTCCTTTTTCTTTGGTATACAATAATATTTTCCTCATTGTCCTTCAAGTCTTCACCAGCAGACTCTTTGGAGTCCTTCCAATTTTTACCAGCTGCCTCATCTTCCAGTTTGTACCAGCCAGCAGCCAAGGCTACATATTTTAGTTTTCTATTATGGTAACTATTCACTTCCAGGTATTGGATTCTGTACCATTTATTTATGGCCATGTAACAAATTACTCCCAAACTAAGTATCTTCAAACAATAAGTTTACTTTGCTTCCAATTTTGTGGATCAAGAAGTCTAGAAGGTGTTGTCTGGGCAGATTATCTTATATCTACAGGGTGTCAGGTTCCAAGACTACTTCTTTACTCACAACTTGTTGCCTGAACTGGGATGTCTGACAGCTGATGCTGGCTGTTGACCAGGAGCTCAGCTAGGGCTGCTGACCAGAGTGTTCATATGTAAACTCTCCATGTGGCTTATGATTCAAGATGGAGCATGGGTTCCCACAGGGAGCATCCTAAGAAGAAATGCACTTGTTTCCTATGGCTACCATAACACATTTCCAAAAACCAGGCAGTGTAAACACATTTCCAGAAACTGGGCAGTGTAAAATGACACGAATTTATTCTCTTACAGTTTTGGAGGCTAGAAGTCTGAAATCAAGGTGTCTATGGAGCGATGTTCCCTTTGAAGTCCCTAGGAAAGAATTCTTTCTTGTCTCTTCCTAACTTTGGTGGCTCCTGAAAATCTTTAGCAGTCCTTGGCTTGCGGCTGCAACACTCTAATTTCTGCCACTGTCTTTACATTCCTGTCTCCCCTGTGTGTGTATCTTTGTGTATCCAAATGTCTCTCCCCATATAAGGATATCAGTCATTGAATTTAGGGCCCTTCTTACTTAATCCAATACAACTTCATCTCAACTTGATTATAAGTGCAAAAACCCAACTTTCCAATAAGTTAACATTCACAGGGACTGGGGGCTAAAACTTCAACATATCGGCCGGGTGCAGTGGCTCATGCCTGTAATCCCAGCACTTTGGGAGGCTGAGGTGGGCGGATCACAAGGTCAGGAGATTGAGACCATCCTGGCCAACATGGTGAAACCCCATCTCTACTAAAATACAAAGTTAGCCAGGCGTGGTGATGTGCGCCTGTAGTACCAGCTACTCGGGAGGCTGAGGCAGGGGGATCACTTGAACCTGGGCGGTGGAGGTTGCAGTGAGCCGAGATTGTGCCACTGCACTCCAGCCTGGGCAACAGAGCGAGACTTCTTCTTTAAAAAAAAAAAAAAAAAAACAAAAAACAACAACAAAAAAAAACTTCAACATATCTTCTGGGGACAGAAGTTTACCCACAACATTAAGTGATATAAAAGGCCTGAACTGAAGCTGCAAGGCTTTATATAACCAATTACCCTTGAAGGTCTAGACTGTCACTTCTGCTACATTCTATTTATCAAGAAAGTCTCTACTTTTTGTTCAAATTCAAGTGTAAGAAAATTAGATTTTATATCTCCATGAGAGGAGGGCTGAAGAATTACCACTGTTTCACACCTATTTTGCTCCCTTTTTACTTTTTCCTATTCTTTTTTCTTTTTCTCTATCTCTCTCTCTCTGGTGTACTTTAATTCTTTAAGTTAAATGCATTTATTATGCAGCTCCCCTAAAAGACTGATAAAAACATTTGAAAAAATCCTTTTTGTTTTAGAATATTTCTATGATTTTTAATCAAAAGTTTTCCTGAGAGTTTGTGGGGTATATTACTGTGTGTATGAGACAGGCGGTGGGAGGAAGGGAGAAAGAGAGAGAGAGAAAGAGACAGACAGACAGAGAGACAGAGGAAGGTAAGGTAGAATGGGGAAAGAAAAGTTTGTGTAGTAAAAGCATTAAAATGAATAGCCTGTGCTGGATCCTCCCACAGATCCCCACGATTGATGAAATGCCTTCTCACCAAATACCAAGTACAAGCATTCTTTCTATTTCTAGAAGTTGATCTGCTCTTTACTCAGAATAGCCTAGATCAGGTAGAAATTGAATAGTTTCTAGAGCTCCCATTTAAGAGATCATGGAACAGATTTATTGAAAAGGAAAGGAACCTGTGCTGTCTCCAGAAGAAATCCTGTTTGGAAACAATTGGGACACTGCATGCATTTGCCTTATGATGTCTCTGATATGTTACTGTTTTGAGGTTCTAAAATATTGAATGTATAACTCTTCCATTTCTGGCACTTGGCTGCCACATTAGGATTTCTTTCTCAAACAGGTACCTCCAGAGAACATACAGTTATGCGCATTTTGAATAAAAAGCTATTTGTCTTTCATGTGACAAATGAATCACTTGGATCATTTTTCTTTGTAATTGTAAAAAGGTAGAATTATTTTTCAAAAATGTTTATTGTTTTTACTACCAAGATGCTCTTTCCCTGGCCCTTCTCTACTTCGCTTCTTCCCAAAGAAGGGCTATATTTTCTGCCCACTGATGTCACACTTGGCCACTTGACTTGCTTCAACCATATAAACTGAGTGCAAGGGGTCTGTGTCACTCCTGAGTGCAAACTGCAGGAGCCATCATATGGTTCTGTTATCACTCTGCCAGAGACTGGCATGTCCCAGCAGGAGGATCTGCATCTTGGGATGATGGAGCAGAGCCCATGTCACTTCACAATGACAATACAATATGAGCCAGAAAAAAACTTTGAGTGTTTTAAGTCCCTGAAATATTCATATTGTCTGTGGCTGTAGCATAACTCAAAATGGCTGACACATTGTCTATGAACATAAAAACTTCCCTGGGAAATGGAATATGTGCTTTCTCAAAGGGGCAGAGCCTGTCCATTTCTGTATGGCTCTGAGAAGATATCTATGGATACACAGAACTTGATATTCCATTCACCTGGATCTTGGAGTGAGGTAGTTGGGTTCAATGATTATATTATTGAGATCTTCAGTTTATTTGATTTCCATTTTTATCTGTGTGACATTGAGCAAATCAAGCAAATTACCAAATTTCTTAAGCATCCGTCACCTCACCTAGAAAATAGAGGTGGTAATGCATTGCCTCATGGGATTATTGAGAGAATTTAATAATCTAAAGCAGTGGTCCTCAGTGGAGGCAATTTTGCCACCAGGGGAAATGTGAAAATGACAGGAGGCATTTCTGATTGCTTCAACGGAGCAGAGAGTACTACTGTCATCTAGAGGGTAGAGGCCTGGGATGCTGTAAAACATTCCACAATCCACAGGACTCTCCCCCCACAATAAATCACTTTCTGGCTCCAAATATTAAGAGTTCTGCAACTGAGAAACCCTGAGATAAAGCAAAGTGCTTACTTACCTACCCCAAGTTTGGGCACTCGGTGAGAGAAAAATGTTTGTCATATACAATATTATTTAATGGGCTTAAATAACAGCCTGATCATATTTTGCAATTATGAGTTTATTCATCAACCCCAATTTTTTAAGTTTACCATCAATATCTGTGTTTGACTACAAATATATAATTATAGAAAAATGATCAGTCTTTGAGATAGTTTGGCAGTGGCATTCTGTAAATCCAACAGTGGTTATACCAGTAGTAAAATAGAAGATGCTTATAATTCTCTCAAGTTTCATAGAATTTTTTATGATATACTTCAATTTCTGATAATTATTGTGGGCATACAATGTATTTTAGACAGGGTTTATAAAACCATATGCATTTAAAATATTATATAAATATGTAGTGCATAAAAATAAACTGCCTGAATAATAAATATATTTACCCAAAAAGTAAATAAAACAGCTCATAAGAAGCTGTTCCAATTATTTAGGTAAATACTACCTTCTGTGTTTGACTTTCTTTCATTGCTTTGAGTCATGGGAATAAAACCAAAATACTTTCTTGCAATGAAATTGGGAAATGACATCACCTAAAGCATCCCAAAAATCTAATATAAAAGTGTCATTATCCTAACTCTCTCCCTTTGTCAGTGCCCAAGGGCATTCCAGAATTGCTTCAGAAGTCTGATTTTCCTCACAAGAAACTCTACTGTAGCTGATAATTAAGAACAGGAATGAATTGTGTGGAAAGCTGTTGGTCTTTATAGAAAGACTGGCAGATACTTGGGTTCTAGTGTTGGTAACTAACCTTCTAGTGATCTTGAAATATTCATTTTCTGGCCAGATGCGGTGTCTCAAGCCTGTAATCCGAGCACTTTGGGAGGCCAAGGCAGACAGATCACTTGAGGCCAGGAGTTCTAGAGCAGCCTGGCCAACGTGGTAAAACTCTGTCTCTACTAAAAACACAAAAATTAGCTGGGTGTGGTGATGTGTGCCTGTTAATCCCAGCTAATCTGGAGGCTGAGGCAGGAAAATCGCTTGAACTGGGGAGGCAGAGGCTGCAGTGAGCTGAGATTGTGCCACTGCACTCCAGCCTGGACAACAGAGCAAGACTCTGTCTTAAATAAAATAAAATAAAATAAAATAAAATAAAATAAAATAAATAAAAAATAATAATAAGGCCTGATGTGGTGGCTCATGCCTGTAATCCCAGCACTTTGGGAGCCCGAGGTGGGCAGATCACGAGGTCAAGAGATCGGGACCATCCTGGCCAACATGGTGAAACCCCGTCTCTGCTAAAAATACAAAAATTAGCTGGGCGTGGTGGTGGAAAAATAAACACTCATTTTCTAGGCATGAATTTACTCATTTCTAAGATGAGTGTATAGAATTAGATCTTGTCTGTTTCTTTCCAGCAATAAATTATATGAATTCATGTCTCCACTTGCTCTATTTTACATACATATCTTTTAAGCTTCATAGGAACACTGTCCTTGTTTTGAATGGCATTTAAATGAAAACAAGCCTTCTAAAGAGAGTCTTAGCATTGCTTTCCCTCTTTGAGCCTTGTTTTGCTTTTAGGTTGTAGCTGGCTGGGATTTGTTTTTGTTTTTGTTTTCTTTTAATTTAAAAATCTAGCAGAAGGCTAGTCTTTATCATTGAAAAATAAAAAATAAAACTATTCTCATAAATGTTTTAATTAGCAAACAATAATAGCAATAATAATAGCTATCACATTCTGGTAACATGCTATGTGCCAAGCTTTGTGCTATATTTTGCATACATTATCTCAGTTACTTATCAAAATAACCCAGAGATAGAGACATTATTACTTATTTTACCTGTGAGTTAACTAAGATTTAGAAAAAAATTCAAGGTCACATAATATGTGTGACTCTCATAAAGACTGTCAAGCCAAAGCATGCTTTTAACCTCCATGCCTTAAATCTGAAACACCGTTAGTTGACATCTCTCACTGAAAATAATCACAACATCGACTTCTTAGAAAGATAAGATACATTTGTCTTTCCTGAATATATGATTTGCTTTTGCTGTTTTGTGGAGATGTTCCTTGTTCTTTGTATGTGTCTTCTCATGTGTGTCTCTGTACTCACATTGCTAGCTGTGCGGTCTTTGTCTCCCTTCCTCTCATGCCAGCTAGTGGCATGATGGAGAGACTGTGGTCTAGACTGAGGATTATGACAGCATACAAAACTGACTCAACACTTACAGGTAAATAAAATGAGCAGTGGTTTCCTTTATTTATTTCTGTTATCCACTACATAGATTCCATGTGGATTTAAGAAACTCAAATTCAAGTAGAAATATCTATTAATAGCTATTAACCAATCATGCATCTCATGTCTTAGGAGATTCTATCCTGTAGATAAAATGAGGAAATCATTTATTGACTGCCTTTTTGGGAAATAACTCTATGGTCTCTAGAAGACATCTTCGTTTACTTCAAGTGCCATGGCTTTGAGTTTCATTCAGGAAGATGGTCCAAAATATGAGAATGTGTTTATTCTTTTAAGATATGTAAATTGTTTATATCAATATCAACTTATCCTTTTTGGGAGAGAAATACATAAGTAGTACTTCACTTTCATTAGTTATTTAACATTCAAAATCTCTCAAGTCATTTAACCAGGTGCAATGGCTCATGCCTATAATCCCAGCACTTTAGGAGGCTGAGGCAGGAGGATTGCTTGGGCCCAGGAGTTCAAGACCATCCTAGGCACACAGTGAGACCTCAATCTCTACAAAAAAGAAAAAAAAAATTAGCCTGATGTGGTGGCATGTGCTTGTGGTCCAGCTACTTAGAAGTCTGAGTGGGGAGGATCTCTTGAGCCCAGGAAGTTGAGGCTACAGTGAGCAGTGATCGTACCACTGCACTCCAGCCTGGGCAACGGAGTGAGACCCTGTCTCAAAAAAAAAAAAAAAAAAAAAAAAAGTTATTTAGGGCATCCCAAATATATTCGAGGATATTTCTATTTATACCTTAAAAACAACATACCATGTTCCACTTTTTCATGAATTGTTGTTTAAACCACATAACAGCCCTCTGACTAGAGTACTACTATTATCACTATCTTACAGATGAGAAGACCAAGGCTTAGAAAATTTAATAAAATTTAATAACTTCCTCAGTGTCCCACTAGTACATCCAGGACTCAGGGTTAGGGAACATGATTGTACTGCCAATGCCCTTGACTATTATTTCACCTCACTAGGCAAAAGGAAATCATATTCAACCACCACCCCAAATTCTTCCATCCTGAAAATTCTAAAGTCTTGCCAAGAAGAAATTTGTTACTCAAACATTTGTTTAGTTTTCAGAGTTCTAATCTGAGCAACTTACACAAAATTACTTGAATAATACTTAGTTGTAAATCTGTATCTGTGTGTAAAGGCTGGCTTCATGACAATGACTTCTTCTATTCCATATAGGTATCTCCATGACTTCCATGAACACTTTTTGCTGTAAGTTAAATATGCAAACTTAACTGGATTCGAAAATGCAGCTCTGATCTGACTTTCATTATTATGAGTTGTGGCAATTTTGCAATTAGAATAGAGCAGATAGATTGTGCCTACAGGACTAACAAAAGGTGAGTCAGGTTTTCATAGGCTGGCTTGGAACTGGAACAGACTAGTCCTGGCACAGCTCAAATTAGATATCATCAGAACTCCTATTGTGTGTACCTTGCTCTTATCTAGTTTCTTAAATTGCAGTGAGAAGGAATTAGTTACATTGTTCTTAAAAAAATTAAAGAAGAAATTAACCAACAATTGTGCTGAAATCTCATGAACGCAAGATGGAATCTGTTTACTGTGCAGCGTTTGGCAGCTTAAACTTTGTAATTTGTATCCCTTTCTGTTATTGAATTTATAGCTGAGTTCCTGGATTCTTTTCTGTCTTATGGTGTCTATATATATATTTTGTTCTGTGATTAATATAAAATGTTTTCTTTCAGTTTCTGTTATTTAATTTAGTGAAGTCCTTTAGGATATGGTTTATAAGTTGGTCATTTTTATCCTTCAAAAGTGGGAACATTTCTGTTGAATCTTAGTAAATTCTGGTTTACTTCCATTCCTATAAAAGGAAGAGAATTTACCAAAGTAATAATTCAATTTGTAAACGTGGAGAACGTTTCTTTTTGCCTTGCTCCATTCCTTTTAACTCTTACCTCATTTTTGCTGCTTCCCTTCTCTCCAGTCATCCTTGAAATCAGAATGTTCCTGAAATTTGCATAGAGGAAGGAGACTAGAAGGAAGAAAAAACAAAGGGTAGGGAGGGGCTGCTTCCCAGGATTTTTTTCTAAAATCTAATTTAGGAATATTCCCTGAGCAGAGCTAGAGAGGAAAGCAATAAAATATTGAAGATCAATCTTGAGCAAAATTTTTAACTAGTAAAAACATGTCTTTGAGATTCCCAGTCTTTTCTGTCTGTGTTCCACATCTGCTTCTATTTTCCACCCTCCTCAGTCTATCACCCTATCACTCTGAAAAGGTTCTTAGGATCCACCCAAAGTCTCATTCCTATGAAGCAGGAATGAGAATTTCCCACGTGTAGGAAAATATGTCACTCTATATATTTGTTCCTTTAAACAACCAGTGAATAAACAGATTCTGGATCTAGGTATTGGAATGTGAATTCTGAAAGAGAGTAGAATAAAACTTAGTTCCATAGTTCCAGGATAGTGAGGAGGATAGCAGAGTCAAGGAGGGAGAGAAATCATCATACTACTTTAATTGTGCATGTAAGTTCTTTGAAATGCTTATAACCGCAAGTTGTATATTTATATCTCTGTCTATCTATCTATCTATCTATCTATCTATCTATCTATCTATCTATCCATCCATCCTCTTTCCCAGTGATTTTTGTATTTTAAAACTTACATTAGAGGTTTTGTTCCGTGTTCAAGAAATTCTAAGAATAAAAAATATGTGAAAGAGGCTTAAAATTATATATATATAGATATATATATAGATATAGATATATAGATATAGATATAGATATAGATATAGATATATAGACACACACACACAAGGCATTAATTTTTTTCAATTAGTCTTTAACAATTGGGTCAGTCACTGAGATTTTAACAAAAATTTACCTAACTAACCAGTAAACTAAAACCGCCCTTGAAGTGTTACGGTATAAGTCCTGGTAGGAAACCAGATTTAAAAAAAATGTAAGAGGGAAGTTCTGATCAAATAGTTGATTGACCAAGTTCACAAACAGATTCCTGTAGGAAGCATAGACACATGAAGTTGGTTATTTTGTCCTGAAGGTGTCAAATATGCAAATCAGCCAACAATTCTCTTGTCTTTGAGTCTCTGTTTTCCAAGCATTTTTATGATTATGATTCAGCATCCAATGTAGATTTGTTCAAAAGGAACAGAGTATTCTGGCCATGTGATTTTGTATGATTGTTACAGTTTCCATTGTTGATTAATGAATTGATCATTTTACATACAATTCGATGAATATGGACTGCCCTCTTTTCTCCAGATTTGATAAATTAGGTTTCTGAGCCTATGTAACTGAAGGACGGACCTCGGACAGGATGAATTCAATAAAGGAAATGTTCTCTTCCAAGCCTCCTGGAAGCCAGCCTTTCTGCTTCCCTGGGGACACTGTCTCTTTACTTTGTTCTTTTATTTTGAAATTCCACATTTATAATTAGAAGACAGAACTCAACACATAAGAATGTGTTTTGTTGCAGGACGTTTGTCTCCTTCCAGCTAAATACACAGAGATGGGTTTTTTCTTTTCTTTCTCCTCTCATTTTTCTTTTATGTAGATCTTGCTTCTGGAGTTAACTGGGGTTAAGCAATGTTTATACTAATACATTGAAAACTGTGAGAAGACTGTGCAGGGCTCACTTCATGGTGGGGGGAGGAGGAGAATGACAGAAGTTTTGTCATTGCATTTTATATTTTACAAACCAGCTCTCTTCTGTGTTGTTAAAAGATGTGTAATATGTATTGTTGCTATTCATGCTGATGTCAAAGGCAAAGACAACTTAAGTAGCTGGTTAATTTGTATGTTTGAAGCAAAAAACAAATAAACATAACTTCATGAATAGATAATGTTGCTGATGGCAGCTGAAAGTATTTCTGGTCATCAGTATGGTCTTTTTCTAAGGTCATCTCTGCCTGTTTGCTGGTGAAATTGGTGAATGGTTTTATTATCCTGCTCAACCTGTGTCAAAGCAGCCACTTGATTTCTGAATCACCTATTCTGGATTCTGTGCTGAGTCACTTTATTTGCTGGTGTCTCACAGAATTCCAGAACTTGGAAGGACTGACTGGGAAATGTTATATCTTGTCCTTTTCCTATCTCTGGATAGAATCCTCTGTTACATTCCCAGCTATGGTGGCTTGATTTCCAAATAAAAAAGAAACTCTCATGGAGGTGTGTTAAGGACATTTCTCAGGACACTGATCAGAGTTTTATGAATTAATACAGGGAGGTAAGATAACTCATAGAAATGGTAGAATACTAATAGAAACTAATGACACTGTCATAGCAATCTACATAGTGTTCTCTTTTTTTTTGTTCTCTTTTAAAATGTATTTTTCTTACTATAAATGCAAACCCATTCACCCTAGAGAAAATTTGGAAATATTTTCATCTAGTATTTTTTCTAGGCATAAAGAATATTTTTCTACAGTTTATTGAACACACACCTTGAATTAGTACTTAAAGGAAGAGCAAATGCATGTTTCCAAGGTAAACATTCTTAATTTCATGATGATAAAGATTAGCATTAATAGACTCCCTAGATTTTTGTAGCATCTTATGGTTTGTCAAACATTTTCACATATTACTAGCAGGGAAATGTAACATTATTCATCCCAGATTCAAATGAAGAACTAAGATTAATTAGATGGCTAATGGCAAGACCCAAATCACACAGCTTATAAATACTAGTGGCCAATGCAGGTCTTTGGCTATATAGGACATTATGAAGTACACAGGTCCAAAAAATCTTCACATTTACAATATAATATTCTCATTATAGTGCACTCCACTGTATTAATGTAAGAACACTAAAAAAATTAAGCTAAAGTGAGAAAAGCATAAAATCATTATACTGTACTGAAATGTTAAATGAGCTCATCACAGTAGCCAGCAGAACATAATGGTGGAGGAATAAAAACAGAAAGGAATATCCAAAATGCATATTGCATTCATTAATTCATTTTTTTCACTTTTTCAACAAATAATTAGGCTTTATTTGCCAGTTATTATTATATTAAATTTCAAGTTACCATCATAAACAAAACAGATAGGATCTCAGCCGTCATTGAGATTTTAGTCTAATGAGGGAAACAGGCATTAATTATGTGAGTATATAGTTACAAACTGTTCTAGAAGCAAGGAAAGAAAATTATTGAGACTATGAAAGTGGAGAACAGAGGCACCTGATTTAGTCAGAGCTATTGAGGTAGCTTCTCTGAGGAAGGGTAGGATAGGATATGTGAAGTCTGAACTTGAATCTGCAAGGTGAAGGGAATTAGGGGGGATTCATTCATTCCTGGCAGAGAAAAAGCATATGAAAATGACCTGAGTTAGTTAGTAGGAAATATGCTAGTTTGAAGAACTGAAAGAAGAGACGTGCACGTGGTGCAGAGATCAGGTAAGAGCATTTTTTTTTATTTTGCTGAGGGAGAGAGAGTAGGAGCCGTAGAGGATACTGTTGATTAATTATAGCTTTTGGATTTTTGCCTAAGAATGGTAGAAAACTACTGAATGAGTTAAATGAGAGACATAAATTGATTAGGTATGTGTTCTGAAGATCTAGTTTTAGTAAGGCAGATGGCTCTGAAGGTGTAGTTTTAGTAAGGCAGATACCTTATAGGAAGCTGACCCTCCTACATATTGCAATAATAAATCAGAATAGCCCTTATGTCTCTTAAGGACATGGAATTAGTCATTAAAACTCTCTCCTCAAAAAATCTCCAGGCCCAGATGGCTTCATTGGTGAATTCCATCAAAGATTTAATTAAGAAAAATTACCAATTGTACAAAAAAACTTTCAAAAAAAAGATGAAGAAGAAACATGTTCCAACTTGTTTTGTGAAGTCAGTGTAATTCTGATACCAAAACCAGATGGTTTCATTCCAAAACATACAGCCCAATATCCCTCATGAACATAGGTGTAAAAGTCTTTAAGGAAGTATAAACAAATCAAATCTAGCAATACTATATATAACACTTGAATGCATCATTCCAAGTGAGGTTTATCCCATGAGTGCAAAGTTGTTTTAATAATTTAAATACAATCTAATAAGTCATACTAGCACGTTAAAGAGGAAAAAGTCATGTGACTATCTCAAGGCAGAAAAATAATTTGGCAAAATTCAATACCCTTTCATAATAAAACCTATGAAAATCTAGGGAGAAAATGAAATTTCTTCAATCTGATTTTAAAAATCTATCAAAATCAGGCCGAGCGCAATGGCTCACGCCTGTAATCCCAGCACTTTGGAAGGCCGAGGTGGGTGGATCATGAGGTCAGGAGATAGAGACCATCCTGGCTAACATGGTGAAACCCCACCTGTACTAAAAATACAAAAAATTAGCCTGGCTTGGTGGCAGGCGCCTGTAGTCCCAGATACTCGAGAGGCTGAGGCAGGAGTGTTGCTTGAACCCAGGAGGCGGAGGTTGCAGTGAGCCGAGATCGTGCCGTTGCACTCCAGCCTAGGCGACAGAGTGACTCCATCTCAAAAAAAAAAAAAAAAAAAAAAAAAGAATTATAAACTGCTAATTAAGCTTGATTTCATAGAGATCTAATTAGTACTCTGAAAGCCCTAGAACAGAATTTCCCCTAACTTTATATTACCTTGAAGTAGTTCCAATACTTAAGGCCTGGAAAGCCATTTAGATATTTTAAAATTCTTTGCTTGTCCAGTGTCTTCTTTTGAGTTGTCTGACTTCTCATTAGCTTTCCCATCATAGCTGTGTGGCCAGTTTCTGAACATGAAGGTCAATCAGATAATAGGGCCACTTCCTTGAGCCCCTCATGGAGGATATTGTAAAAGGAAATAGGGACATAATGGATTAAATTATTACTTGTTAATTTATTGGCAGATTTTAATTTTTTCATTTATCCCTAACCTCCACCATCAAGGACAGTTTATAGTCACACTCTAGCTCTTTCTTCTGTAAAGTAAGTCATGTTCTTCTTATAATGAATCTACCACAGGAGAGAATCACTTCCTAAAGAGGTCTGCACAATATAGAAAGTGATCTTAATGCTTTCTTATGTTCCTAACTTCTTGCACTATACTAATTGCAAAGCTCAAAAGTGTCCTTGGTGCTAGACAGAACTTTATAGCAGGGAAACTGGGAAGTACATGATATTTATGCAGAAATTAGCAAGGTCATCATTTTTTCAGACTTTTTCTATTATTGATAACATATAAATCTTAATGAGATTTTCCCCCCTGAGGGCTCAGGTGCTTCTAATTCAGATGGCAAAATGTAAGAAATTATAATTTCACAATAATAATGAAACAATAGTTGTTTTTTCACATGACTCAAAGAAATTCACAAATCTTATGTTAATCCATTGATTGTCACAAGTCCTGCATTGTAGTTCAGACATATTTCTCTCTTTCTATTATAATTTTGTTTTAGCCAAAGGAGAGTCTAGATCTGGGACTGTAATAATGAAACTATTATTTTTATTGGAACCCAAAATTTGAGAAGTCAGTGGTTGTCTGGGTGAACTGTTGACATCTGGCAACACAATAGGCTCCGAGATTTGCAAGGACTTTAGAAATCATTTCTTTCAAATCTCTGATTGTATAGAGGAGAAAATATTATTCATCTAGAAGTAAGGCCCCAAAGGTCAGTGGCTAAATTTCAGACTCCAGAAGAATTTAGGTTAAGTTAGAATTAGGGGTAGGATTCAAGGATATTGTCAAATGGGGCAAGAATGGCTAGGCCTAGGCTCAACAGGCCTAAACAATAACCTGAGAACTGGAGATGAGTTGTAAGGCAGGATGTTAGTCTCACTGAACAAGGCTAGAACACAGGTGCTGGGATCTGGTATGTGATCATAAAGAATCCACAGCAAGATTGTCTTCTGGTAAGTCAGAATGTGATGGCCTAAGATCTTTTACTCCCTCTCTCTGATGAAGGGATATCTCCAGATTCTGAATTGACACTGGGACTTTAGTGTCCCAAGGGGAAGATTTGAGGCCAGAGGGTCTGAGTCTAACAATTGGGGCTTTTCGCTATAGTGGGTAGGGTTAAGAATGGTGAAGACGCAAGCTGTTCTTTCCTACCGATGCCCCATCCCAACCCTCTATACTTCTACTTGTCCCTTTTTCCACTAATTCCACTAATACCTTAAGGGCCATTCATCTGGAATAATATCTCAGTTACACAGTAGTATAATACATTGAAATGATAGAATTCTTAGAGTATGGATTAACTTTTCATGCTAGAAGAATGAAAAAAATCACATATGACAGTAGATATCATGATAGTGATGTCATCATTTGGGGTCATCATAGGGACTGAATATTAGCTAGGGCCCAGGTAGATCCGATTTTCGGTATTGTCACATTCAAAGAAGTCTATTTCAGCAACTGAAAAGCAAACTGTTTCTAAACTTTAATTGCATATCCTAAAGTTCATAAAGGTGAACTGCATTATAAGCCACAGCACCAATTCTTAAAGTCTCTGGTTTCTCCTTCCCAATTCTCTCATGATCCAAAACTTCAGCAGAGGCTCTCAACCTCTGAATCCTGAATATTTACCTCAACACTGTGAAAGTGCCTCTCCAGTTCACTTACCCTTTCCCTACCCTACTTTGCACCCTTTGCTTCTTACCAGGAAGAAGCTGCCAGGTTTTAAGCAACTTACTACTGGTAGCATTGAATCGCTCTAGGATGACCAAAGGATACAGAGAATTCCTTTGCTCCCCCAAATCATAATGCACAGAAATCCTAGTGAGATGAGAGAGTTCCCTTGACCTTTTTGCAGGCGGAACTGGAGTGCACTGGCTCAGGGTCCAAGTGGCCACTTTGGTGCCAGCAGGGATGGATTTCACTCACTCAAACCCACTGGGCTCAACCCTTCATGGGAGGGAGTACATAGGTGAGCAGGTGCTGGGGCCAGGGCAAGCGCTTTTGGGCTCTGGCCCCATGGCAGCATCTAGGGGTGTGTTACCATTAATGCTCTTTTAGCAGTTGCTGTCTGTGGACTGCTAAGGTGTTAACCAGCTTAGTGGAGAGTCAGGGTGACAGCCTTTTATACCCTGCCCCCTTCGTAGTTGGGTCCTTGTCTGGTGTCCAGGAAAAATCAGTTCACATGAACTTGAGGGATGGTGAATGCAGGGATTTCATTGAATGATGAAGGTGGCTTTTGGCAGGATGGGGAACTAGAGAGGAGAGGGAGTGGGAAGATAGTCTTCCCCTGGAGTTCCGCTGTCCCAGATTGAACTCCTCTCTGACTGTCCCCAGCCAAACTGCTTTCATCCTTCAGATGCTTCTTCTTTTCTCTCCTTTTCTGCCACGTGGCTATGGTCCTCTACCAGTGGAGTTTGGGGTTTTTATGGGTACAGGATAGGGGTCTTGGCAGGCTAGGGTGGTTTTGGAAAAAGCAACATTTGGGTGGGAAAACAGGGATAAATTTTCTCATTTAGGGCCGTGGTTTCCAGGCTTGAGGGTAGGGTCTTTGCTGGGGAACTGCCCTCTTCTACCCAGTATTTCCCTGCCTCCTGTCTGTCTCACTAGGTAGTTTTTTTCTGCTTACTTTTTTTTTCACAAAATGTTTTGCAAGTAATTTCTAGATAATTAAAATTCTCCACCTTATTAACAATGAAATTAAAGTCAGGAACTCTGAGAAGTGTTCTAAATTTGAAATTGAATGCATGAAACAGAATGGAAAATTACACACAAGTTTAAATTTGAAATGTTGAAGGACTACAGCATGAATGATCCTCTGAGTCATGTTTGAACTCATCAAAACTAGCAGATCCTGTCACTGAGTGATTCCATCTGGAGAATTTTCTAGTTTAATTCTACCTAAACTAGTAAGTAAACCTGTGACCTTGAGCCAGTTACTTAAACTCTCTTGTCCTCCTTTATACCATAAGTAAAGTAGAGAGAATTAGCCTAGGTTAATCTCAGATTTTCCTATAAAGTGTACAAATTCATGAAAATAATGAGGGATGAGATGATAAATTCTTAGGGTTTTGGCTTTAGGACTTTGTGTATGAGTTCCTTATAACCTCATTCGCTATCCATTAATGTGACATCACCCATATTTCATTGAAACAGTTCTCAAAATTTCCACACAAAATGCTTCTAAAATGTCCTCTTATGTTATGGTTATCAAAAATTAGGAATTTTTGGTAAATTACTGTAAGGTAATTAAAATGAATGAATAATGCATACCTTTTCTCCTATAAATGACAAATAATAGATAGCCCACTTTTTGGATCTTTTTGGTATTGCTTTTAGTTTGTAATGCATTTTTTTAGATATGTAGTTTTTTTCTTATTTATTTATTTTTTTGAGATGGAGTCTCGCTCTGTCGCCCAAGCTGGAGTGCAGTGGCACGATCTCAGCTCACTGCAAGCTCCGCCTCCTGAGTTCATGCCGTTCTCCTGCCTCAGCCTCCCAATTAGCTGGGACTACAGGCGCCTGCCACCACACCGAGCTAATTTTTTGTATTTTTTAGTAGAGACGGGGTTTCACCATGTTAGCCAGGATGGTCTCGATCTCCTGACCTTGTGATCCACCTGCCTCGGCTTCCCAAAGTGCTGGGATTACAGGCGTGAGCCACCGCACCCGGCCTTCTTATTTATTTTTCATGGAAATCAACTTCACTTGACATTTATGCTTTTAGTAATTTAATCCAATTCAAGTCTTTTGCATAAAGCAAAAACTTTTGATTTATTGTTTTCAATTTAAGACCTAAAGTATTAATACAAAGGTAACATTTTCCAATTATTTTTAGTTATTAAGGCCAGAAAAGAAAGGAACTAGCTAACTTTTGAATGAGAATTTACTGTTGCCGCTAATGTAATATGCTTTATTTCCTAAGGACCAGTAAATTCGACCTTTGGAATTTCATGTCTACAACTAAGAAGAATATAGACATGAAGCTGTTTCAAGTTTTATCATTTATTAGCTGTGTGATCTTTGCAAAATCATTAAAAATTTCTAGGCTCTGTTTCTACAACTAGTCAAATGTGAAAAATGTTAGCTATCTCAGTGGATTATTTAAGGATAGAGGTAATACATATAAAACACTGGTGAATGCTAAATAATAAATAGTATTATTTCTTTAGAGGATTTTTTTTCTTATGAGTTGTTAAGAAACTGAAAATCAGGAGATTCTCAGAAATAGAGATAAAGAATGGGGTCAAGGTAAGGTGATGTAGGAATCATTTCTGTTGTGCCCTCGGTGGTTTAATTACAACTGTGTTTTTTTCAGAAGAACCCATAAAGACAACTGAATTAATGTAGGCATAATTCACCCTTCTATAAACTAAATGGTCTAAAAGGTGTCCAGTTAGCATGAATTGCCTTACTCTAAAAAATTGATGCATGAAGTAGATGTAATTATCCAAAGTGATGTATGTTCATTATTTTATGGCATATTTTAAAAAGGTAATTTGCTACATCTATGGAGGATATGACATTTGAGGTTACTGAGAAAGAACATTTGCTTAGAAATGAGCAATTGAATTCTGCTTCCATCTTCAGTCAAATTCTCTATTATTCTTTTATTTATTCAAGGGCTTAACATGTTCAAGTCATATGACAAGAGTCTGTCACAGAGTTTACCATCTAATATGGATCCTGACACAGAATAGGTGCACATTCAATGTCTGGTGAATAATGTCATAAGGAAGATGGTATGAAATCAATGGAAAATGTGATTATTAAAAAGTATTAAAGTATCTTATAGGAAGAAGAGCAAATCTTTCTGTTGTGTATACATTAAGGGATGAGTAGGATTCAAATAGAAGGAAACGGAAGAAAAGAGATATTGGATTCTAAGAGAGTAGATATGAAATTTCTTACCTAAAAAGTCACTGTGAGACTTGGCACAGTGGCTCACTCTTGTAATCCCAGCATTTTAGGAAGTCAAGGTGGGTGGATTGCTTGAGCTCAGGAGTTCCAGACCAGCCTGAGCAATAGGACAAAAACCTATCTCTAAAAAGAATACAAAAATTATCTGGGCATGATGGCACATGCCTGTAGTTTTAACTACTTTGGGGGCTAAGGTGGGAGAATTGCTTGAGCCCAGGAAGTCGAGGATGCAGTGCAGAGGATGCATGCCACTCCACTCTAACCTGGGTGACAAAGCGAGACCCTGTCTCACAATAAAACCCGAAACAAAACCCCCAAACCAAGAAGCAAACAAACAAAAGTCATTGTGTAGTCAATGGGCAGAGTAATATACACCCCTGTCAGTTTTAAGTGGTTGGCCTGACAAAGTACTCAGTTCCTCTATTCCATGTTGCCCAAGAGGGAGGTTCAGGCTCTCTGGTAATTCCCATTGATCCTACACTCCAGATCTTCAGAATATACCTTTACCTTATTATATGCCACAAAGTTCTTTTCTTTCCAGATTTCAAGCACTTTTTCCACGCTGCTAGCACCCTCTTTCTAGATGATTGCAGGAACCTCATGAATTAACTGACATTCCTGTTTCCATTCTTGCCCCACTTTCCCCAGCTTATTATTCCCCACTTTTCCTAGCAACCTGGCAACCAGAGTAATCCTGTTAAAATTTAAGTTGTAGCAAATTAGCCAGGCCTGGCGACACATGCCTGTAATCCCAGCTACTTGGGAGGCTAAGGCAGGAGAATTGCTTGATCCTGGGAGGCAAAGGTTGTAGTGAGCCAAGATCACACCATTGCACTCCAGCCTGGGTAACAGAGTGAGACTCCGTCTCAAAAAAAAAAAAAAAAAATTAAGTTGTAGCATGTCACTCTACTGCCAAACCCTCCGATAGATAATAATTTTTGTATTTTTCATATAATATCCAATAGTAATTTTCAGAACCTTACAAGATTCTATAGAACCTAGCTCCCTGCTACCTCTCTGCCTTCATCCTTAATACCCTTTCTTTTGCTCTCAGCTGCTGCAAATGGGTTCTCAAATGTAACAGACTCAGTAAAGCTTCGATGAAGATCCATTTGAAATTTCCATTCTGCTGTCACTTTGCTTTTCCCCTTTCTGCTCTGCCTTTGGCTTTTTATTCCTTGTTATCTTAGGTTAGGTTTGCTGAAAGGAAGAGAAAAGACCCTAATGGATCACTTGAATCCCAAACTAATGAAACTGATGATGGAACTTGTGTCCTTGTCTGCTGCTCATTTTTACCAAAATATCCAGTTACTTTCATTATCTATCTAGGTCCTGGCAGGATTTTCACAGAGTGGTCACTCTCATCACTTGTTGAGACCTGATTCTAATAGAAACTCTATTAACAAAGGCGAGAAATGAATTTGGTGTCACATGATTTGTTGCAGGAATGTTCTCAGATTTGAGATGTCTGCGAAGTCCCATTCCCTCTTACCATTTAGAGCTTAATCTTGACCAGAGAGTATTAAGCCTGAATGGATCACTTGAGTCCTGGATACATTGCTCTATGCTCCTAGTATGTAGCAGCATTTCTATTCTGTCCTGATGAGCAGGGTTAATTACCCCTCCCAGTATTATAACTCTTTTTTTGTGCTTATTGGTTTATGGGCACAAGAAGCTTAAACTAACCAGCTTAAAGTTTATTGGAACTCTTACTATGTCCCCATCCATCTTCCCCTGATGAAAGCATCCTTTTTCTGTGAACCAGAACCTCTTACACACACACAGTCCAATGGTCTAAGTTTCCCCATACTTTTCCATCCTACTTTTCTGATGAGTGCTTGATGTGTAACAGACACTCAAGTAGTTTTTGAAAGAATGAATAAACAGTGCCTAGCTCATGAGACATTGTTTAGTTCCTGGCTGACTTGCTTTTCCCCTTTTCTGAGAAAATAAGTGCTTTGAATTTTAACAAGGTTCTGTGACCAGCTACTTAACTTGTCTGTGGCTGTGCACCCATGTGTATCTCTAATATGCTTGATTATTACCACATGGTGGATACTACTGAAACTGCTGGTGGAACTTCTTTCCTTGTCTGCTGCTCATTTTTACTGAAATATCTAATTACTTTATTATCTATCTAGGTTCTGGGCCTGGACATTTTCACAGAGTGGTCACTCTCATCACTTGTTGCGACCTGATCCTAATAGAAACTCTACTAACAAAGATGAGAAATTTGCAGACTTGTTCAGGGATTGTCAAAGAGTTGAGTTCAGCTTGAGAGCATATCTCAGGGAGTTATGAATACTTACTCTCTGTCAGACACTAGGCATCAAGCTATGCTTTCCTTTTTGGGAGATTATATTCACCATTTTCTCCTCTGGTTTTGTATTCTAAATTCTGTATTTCTTGATTTCATCTAGCTTCTGAGATGCGGTCTGCTTAGACAATTCCACCTAAAGGACATATCCATTAAGACTGATCAATCATAATCATCAAGACTGGCCATTATTTTGTGGTAAAGTTTGTTGATTATCTCTTTTAAACTCGTATTAAATTAATGTCAGTCAGTATACCTCGCAGTAGAACTACTCAGGAAAGAAAGAAGTTGTCATTAGCATTCAGATGTATACTGTCAAAAACTCCAGTAGGGATTAGCTGAGCAAAAATGACACTTTAGGTTGGGGAGTGGGTGGGGAACTTCAGTGTAGTTTACCTCCAAAGATTCCTTCATGTCGATGTCAAATCTGGCCATGTATTGAACTACTCTGAATGTGCTCAACTATATTTGACAACACAGGAAAAAGAGTCATTATTAAAGAAGTAATGAAAAGCCAAACACTAGGGCCAAGAAGAATGGCCTTTAGATGAGATTTTTTTTTTCTTTCCGTAAAAGAAAAGCAGAGAATTGGTCTTTCGACCCAGTGCGTACCCAAAGGTGATTCTCAGCCACTGAAATCAAAATATAATTTATTTAACTATAAAAAATAAAACAAATCAGACATCTCATGGTCAACTATATTAAAAATTCATGCCTCAATTATTGCTGCTGACTCACATGTCTTAACTAAATATAACCTCTAGCTTTTACATCTGTCACCTCTGAAGCAGCTTCCTCATTTTTAACTCTGGCCTCTGGATATTTTTGTCTTCTTACTGGGATTCAAATACATGGCTTTAGGTTCATGTTGAAACCTCTCCTACCAATTCATTCTGTACAACTCATTTCCCTTTTATGATTGCCACATATCCACTGAGGAACTAAAATCCAATATCCATGGTAAGACGAGAAACAAATATGGTAGATTTTTATCTCCTTCCCTGAAGTCGGTCTCTATCACTGTCAACCATAACCAAAATATTTTATCACAAATGTTCTATCTATTTTACTGACTCCTCATTTCCTCCATCTAGTAGATGTGTCATACAGTCAGTGAAAAGAGAAAGGTTCTTTGATTCAGACAGATCTTGATTGGGTTTTGCCTCTGACACTTAGTATCTGGGATTCTTGTGGCAATACACTAGCTATCTGAATGTAAATTTCCTCACTGATAAGGCAAAATTAATTATGTCTATGTTAAGGGCACATTGTGAAAACTGAATGAGAAAATATTTGTGAAAAGCCGAAGAAACTGGATGTTCTTTGCAAGTGTTGGTTTACTTTCTTTTCTCACTCATATCTTCCTTTCCTCAATGAACAAAGTGATTATTAAGACCCTACAATTTGCTTCACTACATGACTGTTTGGGGAGGTGAGTGTTATAATATTGTTACTTTGCCAGTATAAAAATTATGGACTTTGTATTAGTTGGTTCTCACATTGTTATAAAGATATTCCTGAGACTGGGTAATTTATAAAGAAAAGAGGTTTAATTAGTTCACTGTTGTGCAGGCTGCACAGGAACATAGCATCAGCACCTTCTTAGGGAGGCTTCAAGGAGCTTTTACTTGTGGCAGAAGGCAAAGCAGGAGCAAGTTCATCACATGCTAAGAGCAGGAGCAAGACAGTGAGAGGGGAGGCATTAACACACTTTTAAACGATGAGATCTCATGAAAACTCACTCACTATCATGAGGACAGTGCCAAGGGAGATGGTGTTAAACCATTCAGGAGAAATCTGCCCCCATGATCCAATCACCTCCCACCAGGCCCCACCTCCAACATTGGGGATTGCATTTCAATATGAGATTTGGGCAGCGACACACATCCAAACTATGTTAGACTTATTAACTGAGGACTTTATATTTTTTTTTGGCTGACTTATGTATTCTGTCATTTCATTTCTAAACAAGATGCTTATTTTTGTCTGGATTAGACGATTGCCAGAAAGAGCACTGACCTGGCTCTGAAGGCAGGTGCAGAGTCAGAGCAGTAGCAGCCTGTATTAGTCTGTTCTCATGCTGCTAATAAAGACATACCTCAGACTGAGTAATTTAGAAAGGAAAGAGGTCTAATTGACTCACGGTTCCACATGGCTGGGGAGGCCTCACAATCATGGCAGAGGAAGAAGCAAAGTCACATCTTACATGATAGCAGGAAAGAGAACGTGTGCAGGGAAACTCCCCTTTATAAAATCATCAGATCTCGTAAGACTTATTCACCATTATAAGAACAGTGCGGAACAAATTTGTCCCCATGATTCAATTACCTCCCAGCAGGTCCCTCCCACAACAAGTGGGGATTATGGAAGCCACAATTAAAGATGAGATTCGGGTAGGGTCACAGCCAAACCATATCACAGCCTTTTTCACTCTACTAAACCGTGAACAAGAAGTAGAAAACTGATAAAACTTTTACATTTTTTATAGCTGATTCTTTTCCTAGGAAACTTCATATTTATGTATGCTGTTTCACTTGGGTTTATTCCCCAAATTAATAATATTTTTTCAGAAAACTATTCTTAAAACTTAATATAGTTTTCTATTTTACCATTTCTAGACTATTGTCTTCCAAATTAGAAAGTTTTCAATCTGGCTCAGTGATTCTTGCTGAAACCTTGTGCAAATTTCAGGAACATCCCCTGACATTTTTCCCAGAATGTGAAAAATTGTCATTATTAAATATTTCTAAAGATTTAGAAAGAGTGCTTTTAAAAAAGTACTATATTAAAAGCATAGAGTATAAAAATTCTAATCACAAAGAGTTTAACTCAGAAAAAATTCTGAATCACAGTGTGATATAATGTTATTTATGGATATTATAAATTAATATTTACAATACTGGCATTAATATGTGCCAGTATGGTGCAATGCTGTGGTTAACTCTTTAAATATGAGAGTAGTAGGTGAGTTTGTAAGCACAAAAATAGTTAAAAACTTGAAAATTTATATAAGAAATTAATTGCTTCTCATGACTGAATAACCTGATTTTAAAATACAAAACTTAATGCTCAATCAGAAGAATTTTCCTTGAAAATGAATCCGGAACCCAGCAGAAGTGCTTGATGTTGAACATGAAAAATGTTGATAAAATTCACTAAAGATTCTACTTTATTAGCACATTTATTCTCTTAGTAAAATACTTACTAAATGCTTTCTATGTATAAGGTGCTAGGTTGGCAATGTGAATGAAAAGTGACTAAGATTTTGTTCCTGTTTTTGAGAAGTTTGTAGAATAGTGAGGGAGATAAAAATGCAAATATAGGGTTTGGAATTTTTGATAGGTGCTGAGATAGAAGTAGAAAAGGTGAAAAGTAGAAAAGATTGACAAAGTGCAGCAAGAAGAGGAAAGTTCACGTTGGCTGAATCTCAGTAAGTTAAGCCTTGCATGAAAAATAATAATTAAGGGGAACTAATGCCAGTTATTAGATCGTGCAACAACTCAAGTACCTGGATAAAGAGATTCTATTGAGATAACTCCTAATTCATAAGATGGTAATTTAAAATTTCAGAAAATATCAGGAATAACTGCAGATGAAATGTCTCCTTCAAGAAGTTCTTGATTAGGGTATTCATAAATTCCTTAAAATGGCAGGTAACAAACTGTACACATAATCTGAAGAGCATTGTTACAGGTAAAGCGTCTATAGCTTAGATCAGAGTCTCTAGGGAGTTCATAAGGTTAAGAATTTTTGACCTAGATAATTTGGCAACCCATATGTGTCACTATTGAAAGTTGAGTATTAATTTCTATCATTAATTTTACATTTTAAGAAAAAATGATCTGGCGTATGGAGTACATGAAGTTGTAGTGATTGATAAATCTAGTAAGTCAAGTTTTCCACTAGTCCCAATCTGTTTTCCCCCAAAAGTAACAGAATTAGATAATTTTTATTTTTTGACTTTTATACCTTTTATTAAAAATAGTAGAACAAACCTATAGTTTAATTTACTGTTCAGTAGCTGTGAGACTAACAAAAATTTTCCTTCTACTGATGGCTCAATAGTTAAGAAAAAATAATTTTTCTGTATTTCTTACCTTGAGAATAGTGTCATTGTATTATAGTTATAAATTTTAACATTGAATTAACCTGTTACTGGATGGTATATGTTTACTATTTTCTTCTCTGTTCCTTCTTATAATTGAAGTTAGGTGATTTAAATTTTTTCTGTAACAGTATATTCTGTTTTCTATTTTTAACCAAGGCTTTGTATAAAGTTATGGTAGCTGAATTTTTATGATTATGTTAATGTGCATCTTTGTAATTAAATTAAAACATAACTATAGGATATCAGGCAATTAGAGTATGAAGTTATTAATGTATTGAGAAACATTATTGAAATTATGGCCCACCTGGATTTGTTAAAACATCACAAACTTTAGGCTTCAGTAATTTCCTATTAATTCAGTTCACTATTTAATACCAGTAGTATTAGTTTAGTCATCAAACAAAAAAAATGCAACCATATGTTGAAGCAAATGATAATTTAACTCTGCATCGATTAGTAAACTTTAGTCCATGTGTGAAAAACTTCCCAGATGGATTTTCCCTCCTTTTTAATTATGTCTGGATCAAATGATATGGCCAACTGAAGTGGGACCTAGCATGGCACGGCAAAACAGTATAGCCTTTGAAGGTCTTGTCCTACCATTTACTGCTATTTGGGGCTTGGGAATGTAGTCGGTCTCAGAATCAGATTCTTCATGTATAAAAATAAAACATGGACTATTATAATTGTTATTAGTAATGCACATAAAATATTCTAGTAGTTTGCACATACTGATTATTAGTAATATTATTATTTATTGTCATGTAGAGAGGAACAATTCCACTGATTAAAAAGAATAGAATGGTGCCTACTAAAAAGTGTATGACAAAGTCATCCATTCTTCTCTAGGCTTTAGTTTTGTCATTTACAAAATGAAATTATTTGAGTTTCTAATATGTCATCCAACTCCAATTTTCCTACTTTTTTTAAAAAAAACAACTGAATATGTGTCAGTTGAATTCAGCTCAGTGATTTGGATCAATAAGTTAGATCTAATCAAAGGCTAGGAAAGTATTTTGTTCACATAGATTAAAATGGAGTGTTTGATACCAGAAATCAAAATTTTCTAACTAAATGTGCTTTTAAATATAAACTGTTTAGGTATGAGTTAACCCATTTTTCTACTATAACCTATAGAAAAATAATACAATTTCTTCACTGTGTCACTTTTGAAATATATTTTCAGGATTTAGGCTGTTCCATGTCTTACAGTGTAACTTGGGAATGTTCTCTTGACAAAATAAAGTAGGTATTAAATGTCACAAAAAGCCAAAAGAGAGAATCAAGTTTACTTTTAAGCAACCATTGAGTATTAGATATATTTGATTTTTGCCACTATTCCTTATTGGGTCGTGGACAACATAATGCTCCAGGAGGCTTTATTTAGCATGACTTCCTCAAGAAAATGGGCTGATCCTCATTGTTTTGATGTGAAGGTAGGTGAGTAGCAACCTTATCAAGCCAAATTGATAGTGTGTTGTTTCTCATCTCAAGAGACTTTCAGGTGAAAACGAGTTTTCACATCACGTAAAGAAATGAGGATCAAATGGTGCACTCATTTCAATCAAAGTGACTGTGGAAACACAGGTTTATTTATTAATGATTATTTTGGTAATGAGGTTACTGAATGTATTAATACAATGTGAAATAACATTACATTTCCTAAGCAAGAGGTGACTTTGTTGAAGAAAATTTTCTTTTTTCGCTGTCACAATTTTGATTTGTTTCTCTATGTATTTATAACTGTACTTAATTTCAAATTAATTTTCTTTATCAAATGAATAGTTTAGGAATAACTATAGAAATGTTAAGAACTACTAAATATAAAGTGAATCTCTCTTAGCTGAGGGAAATTCCTGGAAAAAACCCTAAGGAATCAGTTCATGAAAATATGTTATTTTAGTCTTACTAATTTGTTCCTTAATTTACAGAAACAAAAATATTTCAAGAAGGGAAGGATTTTCATTTGAGTAAAGGGGGGTTAATTTAAGCTTTTGTTAATTGAACTGTATGGACTTATTTCAAATGATAAATGTAGAGCATGTCCAGGGTTTTGAATTAAACAGATCTACAAAGCTGACCATAAAAACGAGCTGACTCTTGGTCAAACCCATAGTGACTATCTGCTTCTCCCTCTCTCCCTTCCTTCTTTACTTCCTTCTTTCCCTCACCCCCCTTCCTTCCCTTCCTTCCCCTGCCCTTCTTTCCCCCACTCCCTCCGTCCCTCCCTCCCTCTCTTCTTTCCTTCCTTCCTCCCTCTCTTCTTTCCTTCCTTCCTTCCTTCCTTCCTTCCTTCCTTTCTTCATACCTTTCTTTTTCTTTTTCTCTATTTCCTCTATTTCTTGAAATTGTAGACATATCTTTCAGGGTTCTTTGTCTCCTTCCTCCAATCTAGATTGACTGATTCCTGGGCCTTCTGCACAGCTGTATTCCAATAACACTCATTTTCTGACGCTGGAAATTTCTTTCAGCTCCCATTGTTATGTGAATCTACTTTTTCCAGAACTCCTGCCTTGACCTTTTTTGCTCTTTTTTTGCCTCATATTTCTAATAGTTTCTTAAGACACAGTGCTTTGAAGGTAAACATTGAATTTATCCTAATACACAATTGCTACTTTGGCTAGGGACAGAATTCTGAGTTTCAATATCATTTCCATTTAATTTTACTGGCATTGATTTTTAACTTCCAGAGTGCCACTGAAGAGACTTGATAGCATTCTAATACTCAATCTTCTGTATGTGATGGGATTGTTTTTCTTCCTGCAAATGATGATTGTTTGGTGTTCTGAAATATCAATTACGCTTCTTTGTGTGGGTATGTTTTTATTTGTATTCCTTTTATTTTCTTCAGTTGGCCTTTTCAATATGGAAACAAATGTGTTTTAGTTTTGGGAAATTCTCTCATGGTATTTCTTTCCTTTATCTCCATTTTCTGTGATCTTTCTTTTAAGGTTGTTAACTAGTCTGATGTTGATTATTTTGAACAGAGATTATTTTATTTATCTCCTGTTTTCCTCTTGTCTTCTCTCTGCTTGACTCTCATACTTTTAAAGGCTCATGTAATTAAATTGAGCTCACTCAGATCATCTTTAAGGTCAGCTGATTGTAATGTTAATTTCATCTTTAAAGCCCTTTCATAGATAGTACTATCCAAATTAGCATTTTATTAAAATAACCATAGAGTGAGATTCTTGAGGTGGGTGCCTTTGGAAATGTGCTCGCATATATTCATATCTCATCAGTATTCATCATCTGAACAGCGGAGACTTCCAGATTTCCTATAGTAGAATTTCTCTAGACCAGTTGCTCTCAAACTACGGTGTGTATCAGAAAAAGCTAGAGAATTCTGGGCTCAGAGGCCCAAGTTTTTAAAGTAGCAGAATGCCTGGCCCTTCATATTTTTACCAGGTTTCCCTGGTGATTCCAATACCCACCAAAGTTTGCTCAACCTTGGCTGAGAAATAGAAATACTTGGGGAGCTTTTAAAAACCCCACCTCATAGGATACACCCAGACCAATCAAATCACAGTCTCTGTGGGTGGTGATCCATGTTTCAGTATTTGCTAAAGCTCTAAGGGATTTAGTTTTCTAGACCAGTGCTTCTCAAATGTTTATCCATATATAAATGACCTGAGAATCTTGTTAAAATTTAGGCTCTGATTCAGTAGTACGTTGGTGGCTAGTGAGATACTGCATTTCTTCTTCTTCTTCTTTTTTTTTTTTTTTTTAGTATTATAGAGATTTATTCTGAGCCAAATATGAGTGACCAATAACCCGTGACACAGCCTCCAGGTGATCCTGAGAACATATGCCTAGAGATACTGCATTTCTATCAAGTTTCTAGTTCATGCCCCATGTGCTGCTAGCCCAGAGATCACACTTTGATTAGCAAGACCATCGCATATTTTAACGTTCTGTATTATCCAGAAACACTGCTAGGGTTTCTGTGAATATTTCCTTTTTAGCAAAATTGGAAATTTAATGTGCCAAATTATAACTCCAGCATTAAGAGTTATCAGATTTTGTTTAAAATTTAAGCAAAGCTTAGAGGTGGCATTAAGTTTAATTGTGTGTGTGGTACACAGTTGCATGCATACATATGCATTTACACACTTTTTTTTTCATTCAAATACATTCTACCATCTTGGAAAGCACACTGTAGTATTTGTTCTCAAAACAGCCGTACTCTCTTATACCTACTTTATCAGTTAAAACACAGAAATTTACCTATTGCTCTGTACACCTTTGTCTATAGAATTACTCCGTGTGATATCTCACACTTAGATATTTAGCTGTCACGGTATGTGCCATTTATACAAAGAAAAAAATGCAATGTAGAAAACTTGTGCTAGGTTGCTGAAGTTATATTTATAAATCCAAGCTGATTAAAATAATGTTATGGATGTTTTATGACAATTCATTATTAAACAAAGATGTTGAATCCCTACTATGCTGACATCCCCTAAGTTGGAGAAAGATTCACAGGTATAAAAGTCGTTGCACAAAGTGCTGAAGAACTATTGGAGAATGAGATGTTTGCCAAAGAAATATATATATATTTCAAAAGACTGGGAGGGTTGAGAAGGGACTTATCAAGAATACCTGAAGAAATCTAGCATACTCAGATAGAGGAAATAGCATTTGAGCTGGACTTTGATATTCAAGTAAGATTTGGACCAATGACTATTTATGAATAAAGGTATAGAGAAGGGAAAATGCAATATTGTATAATATAAGAAATAGTACTGTAATTACATCTAGGAGCATGGAATGGCAGAGAAACAGTAAGGGATGTTCGGAGCCAGCATTGGCAAATTTTTAATGGCAATCTTCAAAAAGCTTGGACATTATTTGCTGGACAGTTGGGAAGAAATGAAGACTTTCAAGCAGGGAGCTGATATCATCTGACTGTGCTTTTAGAAACATCACTCTGACAAAATAGAGGATGAGCTGGAGCACTGCCACAGAGCTGACTTCACTAATCCAACACAGAACTCTCTACTGAGCCCAGGTGTGTTCTCGGAATCTTTCTCAAGGTAGCATTCTGGGCTTCCATTACCAATTAATTGGAGTTGGCACAGGGGATGAAAACAATTTGCCATTCTGGGACAGGAGACAAGGGGGGCACATTGGGAGATTATTATAAGAGTAAAGATGTAAGGAGGGCATTCATAGTACCACCATAATAGCAAAATCCAATACAGGGATGGTTCTGTAAGAATGTCCTTAGACATGAAGACCTATAATTTAAACAATCCTGCATATTTTATATCTAAAGGAAAACCTATGAACAATGTGATATCTCTGTTTAAATATATGGGACAGATTTTGACCAGGAGAATTCAGATTGCATTGATATTTGAACTAAAATAAAAAGAGGAATCAAAGAAATGGTTTGAAAATGTGGCAAGAAAGGTAAATAGCTGAGAGAGCTATGTGAGGGTTTTATATTCATTCATTTGTAAGTTTTTGTAATTTTTGCACCGGTATGTACTGCTATGGTCAAGAAAACAAAAAAACCAAGTGAAGCGTAAGAATAAGCCATTAAAAAAAACACTTTGGCAAATGTTGAAATAGATTATGGAGAAGGTTTTAGATTTCTGGAGATAGTAAAGATAGGCCAAAAAGTCATCTTCTGCATGTTTTAGTTTATATATTGTCCAAAAGCCATAGGGCAATTGAAACTTCATAGCCATAGTTTTATGACATATATTGCCAGTGGTTGATGCATAGGTAAGACCTTTTTAGATATGAAGTATTGTCTGGCCTCCACCTCTGACTGGCAAATGTCAATTCAATTGCACTTGTTAGAGCTGAATATAATTCAGATTTCAAATTTTGTTTATCAACAGAATCATAACTAAGAGTAATTCAAGACTACTGGATGAACTTGGCTATTATAAGAATTATGAAATTTCATAGCTTCATATTAACAGCGGTCAAGAAAATTGAGGTTAGAACATTAAAATTATAATTTAGTGTAATTTAGATCTTGCTAGAAATATTTACCACGTATTTTTATTATTAAATATTGTAGTAACTATAAAAACCCATAAAGCTGAATGTATTAACTATATCCAAAACATACGTGTGAAAGGGTCAACCACTTTTAGATTTTTCTTTATTAAATCATTTTATCCTATTACTGATTAAAGGTTAAATTAGCGATTTTTACTGAAAACTCATCCTTGAAAGTAGCTCAATAAAATATTTCACTGTAATCAATATTTCTGACAGATTTTGATTTGAGTCTGTTGCTGATTTTTGTACTTTCTCAGTTTGTTATTGAATTTTTAAAAATCTACAGTTTTTTCAAGCATATATAACTTGAGAGGCTTATCATTAAAACAAGTTTTTTATGCCAGAAATAATTTTGTCAACTTTTAATGATACTAAAGAAAGAGTACTTGCTATGTGTTTGTGCTATACAAACTCAACTTAGACATATAATTGAAACAAAAGATTTATCACTTCTAAGTTTTAAATGACAGATGTAAAGAGATCCTGTTACATCATAACACAATTTAAAGTGATCTTTGAATTTCATGGTGAGTTTTACTCCTGCAGTCTGAGGGGGGAGTCCACAGAAGAAACATAGATGAAATACCTTCAGCTCACTAGTAAAAACTATTTTGTTCTATGATATCAATTTTATTTTCTTAAACTAAAGTTTATTCCTAGTTTTTCTCACGCACACTCAGCTCAATCAGTAACTTCTGTAACATGGAAAAGAAATAATAACATCATCTGTCTTCTATGTTTAACTCTGAAGCCCCTGTTGAAAAAAATGAAAACACTAAATGGAATATGCTTTTAACTCATATTCTAGCCTGAAACTTTTCTTAAACCACAAAGAAGTACAAAATATTATATGCATCAAAAATAGTCATGACCTAGATTAGATGAGCTTTCTTTCAGATATTAGTTGTTAATTATAAATGACAAAATATAAATATGTTGAAATTCAGGTGTAATCGTTAGAAATCTACTCCAAGTGCTGTTCTTGATAGGGAAATCACTAATGTTCCAAGCAAAACACTGTAGTCACAATAGCTGGTATTTCAAATAATAACAATAAAAATAATAGTGATATATTAACTAAACCAATTATAATTATAGCACAGTTTTCAAAGTCAGTGTTCTAGTATGTAATCTCATAACATCTAAGAAATGAAGAAATATTTGCTAAACAAATACTAATTTTGATATAATTAATAGGATTTGTGTTGTTCGTTGCACCACACAGAACCAAAAATTATTTGTAGTATAGAATTACTAAGGGCCAAATACCTAGGCTCATTCTTCACATTCCACATTGTGCAACTTTAGACACTGTCCATAGTGACCTTATGGAGCATAAAGCATGGCACAAATAAGTGTTCAAAGCATTTACTTCTATTTTTAATCTATTTTTTCAGTTGAAATGGATACATGAGCATTTTACGTTTTTAAGGTGCATATTGGTAATATCTAATGATATTAACAGTAACTCATTAAAGAGATAAAGGGTTCTGTAGTCATAATAATCAAATACAGTTATTAGAAAGTGATATTTACACATTTGGGGCATAAACTCTGATGGATATTAAGAATATGCAACATTATGTATTCATAGAAATAGGATTTTATATTTCCAAAGAGTCAAATGCGATCAGTAAATATTTTTGAAATATGCTGAGGATCTTTCACAAACTATATCATATTTCTATAAATAATAAATTTGTTTATAAATGTATAAAATAATTTCTATATATTTTTTATTTTTTTTATTTTTATTTTTGGAGACAGGGTCTCACTCTGTCACCCAGGCTGGGATACAGTAGCATAATCATAGCACAGTATAGCCCAGTCTCTCAGGCTCAAGCGATCTTCTGGCCTCAGCCTCCCAAGTAGCTGGGACTTCAGACACGTGCCACCACGCTTGGCTACTTTTTCAAATTTTTAGTGGAAAGGAGGTCTCACTATGTTGCCCAGGCTGGTCTCAAACTCCTAAGCTCAAGTGATCTTCCTGCTTCGGCATCCCAAACTGCTGGGATTACAGGCCTGAGCCACTGCACCCGGCAGTTATTCTTTTTTGTACCACTCTGTTGATTCAACAATCTTGTCATTCTAGCTGAAAGGGAAAAGAAAGGATGATAGGAAAATTTTTATTTCATAAAAACTTAAAAACATAATTCTTGAGATCACTCTTCAACCTTCTTTGCTTAAATTATTTCTTTAAAATAGAAAACTTAGATTATGTAATGAGAATAAAATAAGCCTGATTGTTCCTGTCATCTTGAAATTTCAGTCCTTGTGTTATTGGAAGAAGTTTGTTTGAGTTTCAATGTAAAATGGTAAAAGAGAAATATAAAAACACTTAAAATGAGTCTCCTTGAATTTCCAAACATATAATTGAATTTTCTTGCAATATCAAGTAAGAAAGGTGGAAAAGAAATTTCAGCACTGTTATAAACTCTTGAAAAATGTGGTTAATAACGAAAGTGCTAACCTACTCTTAAACTATGCAATAAAATCTTACATGGAAGCATAGCTGAAGTAGAAATGAAAGGAAAACTTTTTGTTTTATTTTCTAGAATGCCAAATATTTGTAATGCATTGCTTATATAAGAAAAGCAGTTTCTTTAGAGCAGTAACATTTAGTTTTAGCTATTTAGCTTTATTTTTTGCCCAATAGTTTTAGCTGTAGTTTGCTTAGTAGACATTCTAAGCGGATTCTTTTTTTTTTTTTTTTATGAATTAAAGATGTAAATACATGGCTATGGCAAGACCTTATACTATATATGCAGAATTATGTCTGCAAGAGTATTTTTCTTGGAGACAACATGATCGGAAAATTGTATTGGGAAGATGGAATATATACAATTTGTATCTACATTTCTGAAAGGAAAACAATTAAAACTGGATAATGGTGAGATATAAACATTTAAAATTGTGTTTGATTTTTGCAACAAATTTTGGCCTCCTGAAAGTTACTATTTGCAATAAAAGATTTGATTTTTTTTGGCAGAAAAAATAATTTATTCAGTCTATATTTTCATCCTGTGCTTACATGGAGAAACTTGTTGAACTGATTTCACTTTGGATTAAATCCATCTTTTAAATGTCCTTTTTATTTCTATATGATCAATGGAGGTTTGGAAGTATTTTTCATACGGTCAGTTTAGGTGGATAAATTTAAAAAGTGGGTTATTATTTTCATTTTATCAAAAGACCATGCTTCTGAATCAAACCATCAAGAAATGTGAAATTAGATAAATGCTTTAGTTTTGTTTAATAAAAGTGATTCAGTTTTTCTTCATACAAGTTTTGTAATAGGAATTTAAAAAAGAATACTTGCTAATAAGATACTAGGATAGTGACGTTTTATTTAGAATCTTGGATACAAGTCCTATCATCAACTTATTATTGAGGCAGCTGGGTGGGAGGGGGTCCCCGGAAAAACTCCAACCAGGTTGCGCACTGGAAGGAACGCACACTGGGGTGGACCCACAAAAGTTCGCACTGTTTGCAGCCGGGAGGAGCCTGGTCCTTCCGCTTTCTGTGTGGAACCTGGAATTCAAACTACGAGATGAGAAGCGCGCTAGCAGGAGCTCTGGCCTTGTAGACAGTCCCTGTTCCCTCTTTTTTCTTTTTTGCCCAATAAATCCCATTATTCTCACTTTCAATTGTCTGGAAGCCTAAATTTTCATGGCTGTGGGACAAGGACCCCATCTTTAGATGAACTAAGGAAAAGTCCTGCAACATTATTTAGTATCAATTTGTGGAGTTTGTTATATAGGCTGCCTATTTTGAAATGAAAGCAATTTAAAGTTGTTTACGTCTTTTAAAAAACTTACCATCTCATGATTACCACTTTTCTCCATAAGTTGTTTCATCTCTTTTGATGTAAGGGATATTTTAGCTCCTTTTCTGACACTTTCAGCCCTGTTCCTAGTCTTCTACCCCTCTGCTAATCCCTCTTCTTGGCCACCTTCTCTCCTCCAAGCCTGTTCTAGAGGAAGAATCGGCCAGTCTGATTGTCATAAGATGGGGATTAATTAGCTCCATTTTATTAGTGGTTGGGATTAGTGTGTCCCAAATTTCAAACCAAAGTTCAGACTTATAAGGGAATGCTCATTTCCTTTCTGAATTTTTAGGTTAAGCAGCTCTGCTCATCTTCGTTTTGAGAGAACACAGAATCTTTTGTTCTAAGCCACATTCTCCAGTCCAGCTTTTATTTAAGCACCTTGGGTTGGGTGAGGAGCATCCTAGGGATGTCTTGGCATGTGTTCAGCTACTAATAAATCAATGAAATGCTCCCCATTAGGCAATGCGCTCTCACATTTTCAGTGCCTTAGAGGATATATGGTAAAATTTAGGCACCAAAAGCCCACTGGTTCCACAGGTTCTTAGAGCCAAGGCACATTTTCGAAGGATACAGTTTTATAAATAGGGAAAGAACCCTCTATATTCTTTTTACTTCTGATTTGTTCAAATATCTTATGCTTGAAATAAAACATAAAAAATAGGAAATATCCAGTTTCCTTTTTTATAGGACTAAAAATAAACTGCTTAGAATATATTGCCACTTAAAACATCTTTAATATCACATAATAGGAAATAATTCAGGGCAAATTTTTAAAAAATTAGTAAGGCAAAGCTAAAAAATACATTCATAGATCATTTTATTCCATTAAGATTTAAAAGGTATATTGAAATTTTTTGAATATAAATAATACCAAGAATTTAAAAGATAGTTACTAACACTATATATAAACATATATTAATCATAAAGCCTATGGTTTATATAGACATACATATATGTCTTAAAAATAATTTTTCTTGGCACTTCATTCTTTGAGAAATTTGATTCATAGCTTGGATGCAAAAATTAATATGATGGGTGATTTCCCCAACTGTGGACAAACTTTTAGAAGAAACCTAACTCAAGCTTGCTTATTTTATAATGGAATAAAAAATACTGATGGGAATTCTGTCTACATTTTTAAGTGTTTCACTCAAAACTTAAAAATGTAGGCCGGGCGTGGTGGCTCACGCCCGTAATCCCAGCACTTTGGGAGGCCAAGGCTGGTGGATCATCGGGGGCCATGAGTTCCAGACCAGCCTGGCCAACATGACAAAACCCCATCTCTACTAAAAATACAAAATTAGCCAGGCATGGTGGCACGCACCTGTAATCCCAGCTACTCAGGAGGCTGACACAGGAGAATTCCTTGAACCCAGGAGGCGGAGGTTGCAGCAAGCCGAGATTGTGCCATTGCACTCCAGCGCCTGGGCAACAAGAATGAAACTCCATCTCAAAAAACAAACAAACAAACAAAAAACCAAAAAACAAATTGTATACAGAGTACCTATTCACCGAGTGCCTATTTTGTAAGACTCTGTGTTGGAAATACAGTAGAGAAGAAAACTGATCCAGTTCCTGCCTTTATAACATATTTGTAAATTAAAGGCTAGAAAAGTGGCGAGGACAAGTCTTGAACTCTTTGTTTTCTAATGCAAAACTGAAGAAGAAATTAACGAGAAGACTAATTCAGTGATGGAAACCAAAAGTGGAAAAAAAAATCTTACAAGTTAGTGAAAAGAAACACTAAACATGAAGTTGTGTGAGAGACATCGTGAAAGTGGAATAACTAATCACATTTTACTGAAGGTAGTAATCCATGCTCTGCATGTCTTAAGTAAGGAGACATGAATTTTAGACATATGTGAGCTGCTCACAGAAGACCTCTAAGAGACAGTTGCATCTGCCTGTTTCTCAGGATCAGACATTAATCTATACATTTAAATATATTATTTCTCCAAGGATGTTATAGAAGTTAGTAGCATAGTAATTTGTAATTTTCTGCTGAGGAAGTAGGTGGTTAAGGCATCAGAACTCTAAAGTGGTTGGTGTCATGTTCTTCCTACACAAATCACAGGTATTTTCAAGTTAAAACTTTTGACTTCCTAAGTGCTAGTTGCTTGTACTGCCCACAAGCCTATGGTACCTGAAGTACATGGGAGCAGAGATTTGTATTACTGTTTATTCATGCAAATATCTTTTAGAATAATAGAAGTCAAGGTACTTGAATACAATTTTGGTGCTGCTGTGTAAACATAGACAATGCATTTAATGTCTTTGAATCAGTTTTCCTCAACTATAAAATGAAAAATTTAGATATATCACCTCCCAGATCACTTCATATTTAGGCTATTGTTATTATTCTGTGACTCTGTAAATATTAATAAATTTATTCTCTTATTTGTCTGAAAGCTATATTGATCCAAAGCATATTGTTTACTGACAAGCTGTTCCCCTTTGAGTTTGATAGGGGGTTATTTATGTCTAAGTCTAAATCTGAAAAATGGATTTGTATACACCTGGCAGAAGGAAAGAAACAGCTGAATAAATTTAGATAAAAGAAAATAGAAAGTAATAAAACCAGGAATAAAATCAGTATGAATTAATACCATATATTCATATATTATTGTTACAGGTGGGCGGCAAATTCGGATCTAATTTTCCAGCAGCCAATGACATAGAGAAAAACAATAATTTAAAAGACTCATTGAATAAAAAGGTTTGACTTTTCCTGAGGAAAAAAGCTTTTTTTCCTCAAAGAGAACAGTGTTTAATATGGTAGATAACATCCTCAATATCTCAGAATTTTATACAGCTGAGTCTCATAATATTTTCAACAGCTTGACAGTGAATGTAAAAGCACTCATTTGGTGTGACATTATACCATTGAGCTAGACAGGATTTCTACGCGTTAGCTCTTACGACATTTTGGTCTGGATGATTGTTGTACAGGGCTGTCCTGTGCGTTGTAGGATGTTTGGCAACATTCCTGGCCTCTACTCACTGTATGCCAGTAGCAAGCCTCCCTCAACCCCTGTTGTGATAAGCGAACATGTTTTCACACATTGCCAAATGTCCTATGGGGGCAAAATCACCCATAATTGAGGACCACCGAACAGCAGTAATTAACTAATTTCCAATTATTCAATTACAATTGTAAAAAAATGCAACAGTCAAGAATTAAAGAAACTGGTTTTGGGCTTAAGAAATGCTTGTCTGAGAAAGTAAGACCCTGTTGGAGACCTGAAGAGGAAGGAGTGGTTAGCTACATCAAATGTAGGATAAGGAGTATTCCAAACAGATGTAACATGCAGAACATGCGCTGGCCATGAAGTGGGAAGGCAAATGTGGCTTGCCAAGAAAGCAATGTTAATGACTAGGATGACAAAAGCATCGCCTTTTATTGTGCAATCAAGAAACGTTGACTGAGCGGTGGTCTCCTAGTAGACTTTAAGAAGACGGTGTCTAGATTTTTTACCTAGGAGCTTACAATCTGGTAAAGAAAGCAGAAATGACATCAACAACAACAGCATAAAACTGAGTAATAAAGCTAATTTGTGAGGTACTTCCTCTAAGTGCAATGGAATAATGAAACAGAAAGAAGCCAATATGCACTGGGGAGATTAGGAAGGGTTGTGATGAAAATTTCTGCTTGAAGGACTAGTCTGACTGTCACAGCTGGATGGTGGAATAAGGGTGTTTAGTAAGGAACAACATGAAGAATGACTGGAGGTGCAAATGAATTTATAAACTGGGCAAGGACACAACAAATTCCAGAAATTGTTAGAAATTCTGGAAGTTTTGAGCTTCCAAAGCCAGCCCTATCTATTTCATGGCCAAGAGAATATGACCTGATTTGTTTCATCATTTTAGAAACAGATTAAAACTGATAAGGTTAGCAGTGAATGGGGAGGAAACAAAGCAAAACAAAAAACTAAAATAGCTGCTATGTTAGAAAGCTGGAGCAATGGTAGAATCTCTACAGTACTGTCTTAGTGAAGTTGATAGATCAGTGGGCTGAATGAATCCATAAGAGTTTCTATCCCTTTTTTTAGGTAAGATCCTAATACTGATGAGATCCTAATACTGAAAAGCTTGAGGTGCAGAGCAATTACCTTAATTACTTTTCTCCTAGAGTTGACTCGGAATGAAAGTGGGGTGGTGTATTAGGTACTGGTCAAAATTGGGGTGATTCTCTTTATTAAACCGAGACTAACTTCAGTTTTTAAAAATATAAGTGGGGCAAAAATTTAAAATAAAAAGGACCTGGAGACCAGTCAGATGCTTTTTTACCAACTTTTTATCCGATCCACAGAAGTTTATTATGCAGCTTTCAGATATTGCTAAATTGATTTCAGCTCTAGCGCTCTGCTTTTCAAGTTGGAGAGTTTGGACCATCACATTTTTGGGAGAGTTGATACAAAGAGCTTTGCTGTTTTAAAGAAAAGGAGAGATGTTATCTCTCCTGTGTATAACCTCTTCTGTGGTAGAAATGATCGACAGTGATGACATCCAAAATACAGGCCATTATTTCACATAAGGAAATTTTAATGAGCAGGTGACTCTCTCTTTTCAGTTATTACCTTAATTACAAGAAATTTTAACAGTGATTTCTCACAAGGATTTTACAATAATTACATACTTACTGCAAATATGTGGAATGTATCTTTTAAACAAAAATGTACACATTTTTATGTGACTTAGGAATAATTTTTAATAGTGAAATTATTTTTTTGCCAAGGATTAAAAAAATTAAAAATACTGTGATAATTAACTTTCTTCATGCCTATCAACAGGAATTTGACGAAAAATCTTTTTGAATAGACAGTTAAGACAGGATTAGGTAATGAAAATACTGGAAATTGGAGAGGTGAGTTTGAAAGTGATTTGATGGGCAAGAAAGAAACATTGATGTTTTCTGACTAAAATAAGGAATACAAAGTTTGGGGGAGGTAACCTGGCAGGTGCTCATGAAGAGGGAGAGCATGAGGACAGGAAAACCTGCTAGTATGCACTGGAAATAATAGAGTTTTTTATTTATGAGTTCAAGGATTACTGGAAAGTATTGGGAAAGGGAGTAGGAAGGGATTTGAATTGCATTGTCAGTACAAATACCCCCTAATTATGTTTTCTGGTTTGATTTCTTAAATTTTGTTTTTGTTTAACCAATGGTTTGTTAGCTGTTGTATCAGTCAAGTTTCTCCAGAAAAACAGAATCAATGTGAGAAATGTATAAAAGGACATTTATGATGCAGAATTGGCTGACGCAGTTATACAGGCTAAGAAGTCTCATGATCTGTTGTCTGCAAGTTGAAGACCTAGAAAAAACAGTGTTGTAATTTGGCACAAGTCCAAAGGCTAAAAACAAGGGAAGCCCATGGTGTAGATTACAGTCTGAGGGCAGGAGGAGATGAGATGAGATGTCCCAGCTCAGCAGTGAGGCAGAAATAAAAGGGGGCAAATTTGTCCATCTTTAACTTTTTTTTTTCTGTACCTCAGTGGATTGAATGACACTCAACCACATTGAAGAGGGCAATCTACTTTACTGATCGTACTGATTCAAATGCCAATCTTATCTGGAAACATCTTCACAGACATAACCAGAGATAATGTTTAATCTGGGCACTCTATGGCCCACTCAAGTTGACATACAAAATTAAGCATTACAAATGCAATCTCTTTATGTTGTATTTCCTTCAAACTCACTGTATCTTAATCAAAGCTGATAGGGGTAATTGGTTTTTTTGGCTAGAAGTAACAGAAACCAGTTCTGGCTGCTTCAGGCAGGAAAAGAAAATCCAAAAACATATTGCATAGCCAAGCTTCAGAAAGTAGAAAAACAGGCCATCTCTGGGATGCTCAAGGATGTGATTTGGTAAGTCAACCCCTCAGCATGCTTCCATTCTAATCCCTCAGCTTTCAAGACTCTACTCTTTCCATACAATTGGTTAACAAATTCAGGGAGCAAGACTCTTACTAACCCAGTGGAGTCCACGAAACTGCATTATAATATAGACACATGACTGTATTATTGTCCTGCTGAAAATCTAATTCCTCTTCAGAGGAGAAGGTAATTTTCAGAACAAGAAGGCATTTTGAGCTGTTAGAATGACAATCACATGCTAGAGATGGTGGAGTGGTGAATGGAAAGGAAATGCCACAGCAGCATGTACCTGCTCTGGATACACAGTACATCTAGGTTTACAGTAGCAGCATGGAAGAAAAAACACAGGGGTGTCAAAGAGCACATACTATGTATCTTTTAAGATTTCTCAAAAGCTGTCATGTCATAGTTCTTACATATCACATAGCTGGCTGGTAAACATAGGCTTTATTCTAGGTGACAGTGTACACTGCTAAAAATTGGACACTCATTACTAAAGAAGGATAGAATTGATAACTGACATAAAGAACTGAGAGTTTCTGCCATACCTGGGAAAGTAAATTTCCGTATATGCATATACAAAGACACATAAACACACATAAACATGCATAAATATCTGGTTTTACCAGAAACCATAAAGACTGAAAAAAGTCACTTCATGATTTGTAATTAAATCCGTATTTATCAATATGTTTACCGCAAATTCTGGTCTGGAGTGATGCATCATAAAAAGGAGAGGGTGGTCAACTCTTCTAAAGAAATACTTTATACAGTAGCCCCCAGTACAGATTCATAATGCACATTAGCATGTTAAAAGTCATGGGAAGTTTCTGCAGTAAACTAGCTTACTTAATGTTAGCCAGAATATGTTAAATGGATCATGGAACCCAGTTTTTCTTTGTAAATTTCTATCTTTACATATTTATGTTTTGGAAAACATGGAGCTAGTAAAACCAAACTAGAATTCAGATTAAAGAATAAATTATTAAATTCATAAATTTAAAAAAGTATAGTTTAAAAAACAGTAGCCATATTTTTGTGTTTAATTATATAAATATTTCTCTAATATGCTATTGAAGATACAGAATTACAAAGCAGAAAATAACTGCTTGGTTTTATATCAAAATTTTTATTTTATTTAAATAATTTGCATAATAACACAATAATAATTTATTTCCAAATTATTTCAAAATCAAGCTTTTAAATATCAAATCTGTACTTTCATTTAAAGCCAGCTGAAACATCCAAACATAGTTTAATATTACCTATACAAATTACCTGAAAAAGAGTTGTAACTGGCTGTTTATAGAGACAGCTCTAAGAATTTAAAAATTTTTATGTTCATGCACTATTCTTTCTGCAAATCATTTGTCTTTAGTGGTCCTTCATCATTTTAAATGTAAAAGTCTCATTGAGAAAGCTGTCCTTTAATTTTCTTTAACAAGATGGAAGGGTCATTAAGCTTAATAGGTCTTAAACATCCCTGTACCTCACACCTTTGGAACTGACAAGGGAAACTGATTTAGTGGTCTGAAAATTCTGAAGACAGTATTACATTAAATGTATGCTTTGTAATTGCTTGTGGCAAATTATCCTATTGACAGAGAAATATGTATCCAAGTTCCATGTGGATATTATTTCTTTGAACGTTAGAAATGATTCTAAGTAAATGTCTTCAAAGTAATCTTTTGAAATGAGTTAGCTATGTCTTTGGTTTGTAAATTGCACAATATGTACTATTTCCAATCAAATAGTGACCACTAGAAATCAAAGAATTTGTATATTAGGAGGATAATTTTCAAAGCTCACTGCTTGAAAAATCACCTAGAAATTAGTTTTATTTTATCTTCCCAGGCACAAAGGTTTTAAAAGATGTGGTTATTAAAATTACGTTTCAGTTTTTTTAAATCAGCTTTTTCATTTTCTTTAACTTATGTTTGTAGCAGCATAACATTGGGAACAGACTTTATGAAAGTTTGAATTTCCCAAGTGAAACCTTATGTAAATAAATCTGCAATTAAATTCTGAGGGAATGTCTTTTTTTTTTTTTTTTTTTTTTTGCCAGGCTGGAGTGCAGCGGCGTGATCTCGGCTCACCGCAAGCTCCGCCTCCCAGGTTCACGCCATTCTCCTGCCTCAGCCTCCCAAGTAGCTGGGACTACAGGCGCCCGCAACCATGCCCGGCTAATTTTTTTTGTATTTTTAGGAGAGACGGGGTTTCACCGTGTTAGCCAGGGTGGTCTCGATCTCCTGCCCTCGTGATCTGCCTGCCTCGGCCTCCCAAAGTGCTGGGATTACAGGCATGAGCCACCGCGCCCGGCCGGAATGTTTTTTTTTTTTTTGGTTAAGATTTTAAAAAGTATATTTTTGTTATTACTCCTATTTCCAAAAATATTCATTGATATAACTATAAAGCCATGATTGGGATTTGTGTGGATTTTGTCTCTTTACTCAGAGGCATTTTCCTTGCTTCAGTACATATAATTTCGTGAGCAGAATCAAATATTTCCTTGATAACAATAAATTTTGTGATATTTTAGAGACATCACTCAGGAATTCATTGATGATGTAAATGTCTTTGACTTGAAGTCGAGTCTAATATTTGAGTTTTGGATTAGCCACTGAGTGGTGATTGGCCTTGAGTTCTGAATTAGATCACCAATTGATGACCACTTCACCTCTTTGATCCTCCACTTATTCATTTGTAAAATTAGATTATTCATCTCTGAAGCCCTCTCTAAACTCAAATTTCCTAAGACTATAATTGTTTATATTGTTAATTTGTAGGAAATCAAATATTTGAAAGATTGTGACAGGTCTGGACATCCTTTAGAAAACTTTTTTCTAAGTAACTACTCAATATTAATTGATATTCTTATGGTTTACTTTTCATCTATATGCATAATGTCACAAACAATGTAAAATGCATATTTGAGTAATTGAAGATTTGTTGATTTTAATGCTTGTTTTATTGTAGCTTGTTTATTATATATTATATTAGATCTAGTGAGCAGTAGTACAAGTTCAAATCAAAGGGCCTATACCTACACATGGTTGTAAAATAAACAAGATATATCTATGGTATGCTTTCTACTGACCTTTAGTGCATTTGTCACTCCACTTATGAATTAGCAAAGTTAGCTCTCAGCAAAATACCAGCTGTAGATGACAACAGTTTAAACCATTTCATTTCTTAAAACTAAAAAGATGAATTTGCAGTGTATTTTCTGGTAACAGCCAATGTATGAAAATGACATGTTTTGGGCAATGTACCTTCCTTATTTTTATTAATTATACAAATTGCATGTGACTTACCACGTGTGTGTTGTAAAAATGCCGGAGATAAGCACTAAATAAGACATATATAGTCCTTGCCTTCACATGGCCTGAAAAAGCTTACTATCCAGTGAAGAAGAAAGACACTGAAGTAAGTCATCATCACAAAGCATAATGACTTCCATGCTGGGTATATGGCTTCTGTGATGGTCTGATACAGGAACACACTCAATGATACTTAATTCTGCTTTCCTGGTACTTAATATTTTGTATAACAGGAGAAGTTATAAGGCTCTTCTCCTCTGTTTAATGTTAAAAAATAAAAACAATAGTAAAGAATATTTTCATCAAGGAAAATATCAGTAATTGGACTACCCTGAATTAACAACTTTTCATGTTTTTGCTTCCTTTTGTAGGAGCTATATGAGGTTATATTTATGTTATATAGTTATTAACATAGCATAATTGAAATTTTATATGGTACTGCTTTTGCCAATTTCTTTCATAAAATATTGTAATAATATCTTTGTAATTATTTCTTTTAGTGTGGACATAATATTACATTATGAGGGATGCCATAATCTACTTGAGTAATTGTTTTGTTAAATATTTATAATTTTCCTAATAATACTGTCCAGTACAGAACATCATCATGAATACAGCTTTATTTTTCTATTGAACTATTTCATAGAAGTTAAATTACAGGGTCATGGGGAGTAAGCATTTTAATATCTCTTGTTATAAATTGTCTGTTGTTTTTTAAAGAAGTTATACCAATTTACTCTGCCATCATGACTATATAGTTATTGTATTTTGAATAAATTATTTCTTTTATTCAATAAACATTCTCTGGATACTTAGTATGTCCAAGGTCTGGGGTTGAACAAATTAGTGAGATTTAAAGCTAATTATATCTTTGGGATTATCTGAAGGGGTGGGACAAAATAAAGAATAAAGGCTTTTTGGAGCTATAAAAGAATCGTGAGGACCCAGGAGGAAGAAGCTGTGAGTGTTTTAGAAAAGACATTTCACGAACTCTATCACAGTGAAGCATTGAGACATGATCTCTTTAAAGTCTGGTTCCAAACAACATTGACCTCTACGCAGCATTCCGGTAATCCATCTAGCCTACTCTGTTTCTCCCTGAGGACTGCTCATGGTACAATCGGCTTTTCAAAGTGCTCTGCCTGTTTATTGATGTCCTGTCTAAAAAATTCAACAGGTAAACATATTCCTGGCCCAAACAGCGATAACAAGGTGGCATGGCTGTAGCTTGGCTAGATTACTTTAAAATAGTCTGGGAAGCTGTTTTTATTTCAGGGAGAATCACAAAATAAACAGAGCATCTTTCATATCAACAGCTATGGTGGGCCAGCCCATATACAAACGTTGCACTAATTTTACCCTTTTACATTTTCCTCTTGGGGTTTATTAAATTTCAGGGCTTTACATATGCTATCTCCCTTAATTCTCACAACCTATGGGGCAGTCCTTATCAGGTCCTTTTTATAGATAAGAAAATGGAGGCTCAGAAAACTTAAGCAATCTGTTTAATATCATTCAGCTTGTAAATTGTGAATCTGGGATTTAGAACCACAACTGGCTGATTGAAAATCCTTTTCACTGACTGTCACTGCTTGGTTTTCATTTTGAGGTTCAGGTGATGTTTTCTTAGACACTTTCACATTTATAAAGTGGCCTTTGCTTTTTTTCCTACTTCTCATTTATTCTCCTACTTAGTGAAGTAATCGCCTAATGTTTAGTGAGTATTGATTCTATTCATAGTCCTAAACAATTGTCTCATTTAATACTGACAACAACCCTGAGAAGTAAATATGTTATCATGACTATTTTATAGTGGAAGTTTTTGAAACTAATGCTAGGTGTTCAGGCCCACATACAGAATCAAATAATTACATTGATCACCATTTAGATCAATAGGTTTGGGGCCTTGACTACATTATCTTTGGCTCCCAACGAGGGCTGAAGAGGTTGGCCAGCCAGGCAGCAAGTAGCCTTGGACTTAATCTTCAAGCAATCTTCAAGTTAAAACATTGCTGAGATAAACCAGAAAAATAACTGTTGCCAGTTAACTCAGGTTTCTACCTTTGACTGCTACAAGCTATGCCACAAAAGTCACAGTAGATACTTGACAGTCATCTGATAATCGCATGAAATAAAATTTTGAAAGTGAATAATGAATGACATAATGCTGTTTACATAGAGTGAGATTTTAAAATTTCATTTCTATAGTTATAGCTATCCTGAGTTAGAGTTAGCTAATGATATCTAATTAGGAGTTAATAAATACTGAACAACAACTCCAAATACAGTCATGTGTTGCTTAATGATGAGATATGTTCTGATAAATATGTTGATAGGTGATTTTGTCATTGTATGAACATAAAATAGTGTATTCTTCTACAAATCTAGATGGTATAGCCCATTATACACCTAGGCTATATGGTATAGCCTGCTGTTCCTAGGTTACAAACCTGTACAGCATGTTATAGTACTGAATATTGTAGGCATCTGTAAAACAATGGTAAGTATTTGTGTATCTAGACATATCTAAGCATAGCAAAAAGTACAGTATTTTACTTTTATGGGCCACTGTCTTATGTGTGATATGTCATCAACTAAAACATCATTATGAGGGGTATGACTGTATTTAAAAATGTTATGTTGAGTGTTTGTAACATATTCCTTTTAAACATAAATGGATTCAACCTTTTATTAAAACAGGTAATTTTTTCTATACCTCAACAGACAAATTTTGAATATATAATTTAAAACATTTATTTTGTAGGTCATTAAAGTATTACCTTGCCCAGTAGGCCTTGACATCTTCACCAGTTGCTGCTCTTGGTAACAATGAATTTGTTCCACCCTCTCTCATTCCTCACACGGTTCAGTGATGCCCACTGCCTGCAAGATATGTGGAGTCCAGGTTACATTCTTTGTTGTTGAAGGGAAACTTAGAATTCCCTGTTTGAAAAGAATCAGAAGATATGAGATATTAGACTCAGGTAAATAATATGCAAATAGAATCAGAATTAATGTCTGTAAAAACAAAATGCTAAGAAGTTTTAGGAAGTCATACTATCCACTGGCTTAAATATTTTATCCTGGGATTCACTTCAGTCGTACTACAAATTTCTTAATGCCTATAAAGTACAAGTCCCTGAACCAGACATCACAATGGATACAGTTAATAGAATCTAGTTCCTTCCAGCCTGGAACTTGTATTCTAAAGGGTTTGACAAAAACAACTGGTGGATCAAGAAAAGCTTTTCAGTTGCCAGATGGAACTGCAAACAATGTGCTGTATAAGGAGAAAGGCTGTAGAGATCATTTACATTGGTTTGAATAGGGAAGACAGCAGAAGCAGGCTTAGAAATGTATCTTAAAGGACATGGCATTTACTAAGGCTCAAGTTGGGGGGCAGAGTAGAGAAGTGCGAGTAGGAAGAGAAGGATTACTTCAGGTGGAACATTTGCATGAGCAAAGGCACAGAAAAAGAAGGCGCACAGGATTGGCTGGGGAAAGGCTTGTGGAGTATGGTTGGGAGTGGAGCCAATGCTTAGCAAAGGGAGGTGAGGCTTAGAGACAGTGGTGTAGTGGCTTCTTGGTGTAGTGGCTTATTTTTTATGTAAGGCCATGGAGTGATACGGTGCCAAGAGTATTTGATTTTCTATGTTTTTCCAGCAATGATAGTGCAGTCCCTTACGGACTGCTTGCCAGATGGGAAGCCATACAAAAATGGAACACAAAAACAGATGTTATACTTTCCTTTCTTCACCTTTCTGGAATAGTACTATTTAGAGAATCATTGAAATGCTTTCTTTGTATTCCAGCCCCAAAGATTTCAAGGGCTGAGCCATAAACACCCAGCCATTCTCTTATTCTATCCATCCAACACATCTTGAGTACGGTCTGGTTTTCAGATTTTGTGCTAAATACTGGGGTTTCAATTAGAAAGGCCCTGACCTCAAGAAGTTCACAGGAGTCCACTGGGAGAAACAGATATGGCACCAAATAATTAAAATGTGGATGACGTTTCATGGAAAATAGAGGGGCGAAGTGCCTAGCTATGATTCACAGGAAAGGTGACCTTTTATTTGAGTTACGAAGAATAAATAGGTATTCTTTATATAGAGAAGGAAAAGAAAGAATGAAAGTCATTTATTAAACTCTTTTTATGATAGACACTGGATTGAATTTCATTTAACATAAGATAACATTTAGTTAATCTGGGAGGAGTATTATTATCTCCATTTTATAAATGGCAGAATACAGAATCAGAGAGGTGAAGTGACATTCTTAAGATAATATAGGCAGTGCTGTTAAGAGCCAAAACATGTTACCAGGTCTCCAAAATCAAGAGGTTCATAGTATTTCCACTATGATATCCTGAAGAAGGGAATATCATTTTTCCAAGTATTGTTTAATTTTAACTGAAAGAGGAAAACAAGAATGACTCAGATGTGAAGCACTCAGAGTGTATCTAATTCATGTCACTAGTTACAGTGGCCCAGCATTGCAGGCCTGTTCCAAACCAAAGAAATGTTCCACAATCTAGACTCTTAAGTGTTGCCTTCAATGGAAGCATTCGCCTGTCATGTTTTCCATTTTCTCAAAGTCTGTTGCTCTGCCACTATGGCAATGGAACTAGAAGTTTTAAATAGGCTAATCTGTAAACAAATCAGGATCAGTACAAATTTCTCAAGCTAATATCTTTTCCATATCAAAATCATTTTCCCAGAATAGCAATTTCCAGTCACGTATGTACATTTCTATTTGCTACAATACAAAAGTTTAAAAGGCCAAATTAAATTAATTTTATTAGTAGATTTTATTTAATCTGTATCCCAAGTATTATCATTCCAGCATGAAATCAGCATTAAAATTATTATTTTGGTATTTATACGTGCTTTATTTCCTGCTTAAAGTCTTTGAAATCTAGTGTATACTTTACTCTCACAGCACCTCTCAATTTGGAGTAGCCACATTTCTGTACATATACATTTGTGTACCTAGACATATCTAAGCCTAGAAAAGGTACAATAAAAATACAATAGTATAATCTTATGGGGCCACTGTCCTATATGTGGTCTGTCATCAACTAAAATATTGTTATGAGGCATGTGACTGTAATTAAAAATATTATGTTGACTGACATTACTGTATTTATTTGTCAATGAATACAGCTTGTAGGAAACATAAAATGAGTTGTTTTAATAGTGTAATTAAAACATTAGAGCAAGCTAGTGGAAGGGATACTTTTGGCATGGAGTGCTTTTCTTGCTTCTCACATCTCAAGTTAAGTAGTTAAGGCTTTCAACCTTAGCTGAACTTTAGAATTACTTGGGGGGCTGAAAAGTCTAAGGGTCCCACTGAAGTTCACATTTGGCTGGCCTAGTGTGGGATTCAAACATAAATGTGTTTTCAAAACATCTCAGATGATTCTAACATATAGCCAAGGCTGGGAATCACTGAGGCACTAAGGTGAATAGAACCAATTCTTAACCTTGTTATGACGGGTGCCAAGGATCAGGACAAATTGAGGAATAGCAGGAACTTCCTTATTATCTACCATAGTGAAAAATAAGCGATGACAGCTTTCCTTGGAATTTCTACTGACTTGTCATGCCAATATTTGCTCTGGTTTGAAGATATTGAATACCCATTATGGACTATATAGTTCAGTGATCCCATCCCTACCAAACTTTTATTGATATTGGCTTTTTTTTTTTTGTAAAAATCAAAATAGAATGAACTCAAATCTAAAAAAAAAAGACATGTTGTAAGTGTTTGATGAATTACTGAACTAAAAGGCTCTAGTTAGATGATCTTTAAAAATTATACATATACATATAATGTATACATGTGTATATATATAATTCAGGGTTATATATACTTCTGCAGGAACTTATTTAACGTTGTGGAAAAATAATGCTTCAGATCTTTGCACTTAATGTAAAGCAATTCAGCCTTCTGCATTTGTATTTCTCTGCTTGGTCTGTGTGGTGTACGTTTTGTGAGTTGATCAGGGGCAGGAAGAGGCAGGATGCCTACCACCTGTGCCACAGGCCTGATCCATTGTCAGCCATAACAGAGCATACAAATTCATGAATGTTCTCCATTTCATCCTTAGCTAATGTACCATTTGTGTATACTGTTATAGATGCTATTGTAAATTACCCTTAAATTAAGGATTGCAGGCTCTCAATAGCAGGGTCAAGTTAATAACTCGAGTTTAAAAGGAAGACATCAGCCTTCCTAGTGCTGAAGCAAATACTGTCCAAATGAGTAGACCAGTATGACTTGAAGTCTTCATTAATATAGTAAAATTATTAGCACCTGGTTACCCAGAGACTGTCTAACACTGGCGTGCAATTGCTTTTTTATGATTATTACAATAGTGATGTATTCCCTGTTAACTTCTAACCATTCTCTTTAGAGAGTACTTTCTTCTAATGTGTATAGAGAAGCCTTAGGCTCATGACAATGATATTTACTACTCTCAACATTAGGATGTCCTCCATTTTGTACCCATTTACAACATTCACAAAACATCTGCTAAAATGCTGAAATCAGCTTTGGGGAAGTAAACTAATGGTGCCCTGTGAAATAAGGAAGTTTGAGAGTTTAGGATTTGGAAGGCTATAATTACTCCAGTTCTTACACTGTAATCTGTATCTTTAGCATTAGTACACATGGTGAGTTGTGAAATGAAACACTGATGCTCGCAAAAAGTCTCCTGTAAAGGAAGCTACTGTGCTAAATGTAAGCCAGGCTGAAACCTCTGTACAGATGCACACAGACACATATGTGTGCACACACACACTCACCCACTTCGGGAGCAGAATTGAAAAATACTTTAAAGAGGACTTTTGAACTCATAAGCTTCAAAACCCACGGTCATCCCGTCAATAGTGAAGTAATGTATTATTAATGATAGCCTCTGTTTCCATTTTTTGTACTCTGATGACATTTGCTAGTGGTGGTCGTATGCCCAAATCGAGAAATTAGAAATCAAAACTTTAAGAAAATAGTTAACTTTCTTAAATTTGCAGAGAAGCAAACATAGAAACATCTATGACAAATAGTCCATAGTCTATAATATTATGATGTAGCCAGTCACATTAGGGACAATTTAATATAGGAAAAAACCAGTCAGCTGCATTGAGTCAATCCCCAAGGGTTCCATTAAAATCAGATGAATCAGAGCAGTATGGCTGCTAATCTTGTGCTCATACAAATTGTATGTGGATAGCTTGAGTCTGCAGATTCAGGTTGAGAAAAACCTAAATGCAGTTTCTTAGATATTTAACATATAAGCTGATTGGTACATTTTTAAATGGGCCTCAGTTAGATTAACTGAACAAATTTTACGAAGAGCTTCCTTGTCTCTTTCAAACACACATTTAAAGAAGTTTTCAGTCATTTTTTGAGGGTTTTTTTCTCTTTTTTTACATTTGATGATTCAATAGGAAGTTGATGTAGGGAACTTATAAAGATTCAATCTGTTTCTTCATTTGGTTTGATCTTTTGGAGTATGCCTGAGGTCCATCAAAGGTAAAACACAGCTCTAAAGTGTTTTGTTTCATTTGAATACTTGTTACTGTGTTTTTTGGCATAGACTTCATCAAGTCTCTTTGGATTAATCTTCTTTCAGCTAACAACTGTAAATCATGGCAATATAATCATTAAAAAAGATTTTTCCCTCGTTCAGATGAATATCTATTTGAAAATGCAGCAGTGTGCATTGGGAAGCATTCTTATCAGCAAGGATAATGTAAGATTTCTTTATAAATCATTTCATGGGAGACAAGCAGTCAGAGTTTAGCTTTGCGAAGAGTAGTAGGAATTGAAGTAGCACTCAGGAGAGTGCTAAGGCACATAGGATACTTAAAAAATAAAAAAATATATAATTTCTTCATTAAGTACCCAACTGTGGTAAAATTACAATGCAAAATTCCTATTAATTTTAAAATGTCTGAAGTATTGCATAGATTTAAATTTGATTTAGGCCTGCATGTACATTTTTTGATCCCTCAGAAGCTGATAATATTGATGAGAGAAAACAAATGTAGATATTTCTAGGCAAGACACATGGCAAATCTCATAATGGAAAATCCAAAAGTGTTTTTGAAGTCAAATTTGCAACATAGTCTTTCATTTTACCAATATTGTATCAATAGCAAGTTATTTTAAGGGAAAGGCACTTGATGTATGTTAATTTTAACAAAAAGTGATCATGTTTTCAATCTTTTAAACAGTCCTTGTTCTAATCTTGTGGAAACAAATTGATTTCTTGGTTTCAAAACCTAGTTTAGAATTTATCATCATTGGAATGTGAAAGAGATAGAGAACAGTGATTCTGAGAGAAAAATAGCATTTTTGTAGATCATCTGCTTTGAACTGAAATTACAATACATATTTTCATGCAATTATCATTGTAGTTTAACCGATGAGGGATATGATATCCATCTCAATAAAGAAACATGAAATTTCCCAATTATATAGTGTAGCAGAGCCAAGATTTATCTAGAACCAGTATTCTGGTTAATAAGCCCTGCAAAAGAGCACTAAAGTTGAATTTCTAAAACTCTAGCTTTATTTTTGACTGATTTCACTTAAACTAGCATTTACTGGGCAAATATTTTATGCAGGGTGCTATGTTCTCAGAGTTTACACTTGAGTAGGTGATAAGATAATTATGGAAATAACATGTGCATGTATATGTAATACACAAGGGAACATTTCCTGCCTCCCTCCAATGTTTGGATTAAGTGCACCTTCTATATGCCCTGTACACGTCAAGATAGTTTATGTTATGCTGCCGTAACAAAAATACCCAGATTTCAGATGGTTAAAACATTAAAAGTTTATTTCTTGCTCATGCTACATATTTATCATCCATCTGATTTGAACCTTATTCAACATTAACTTCATTTCAGAACCCAGGCTTCCAGATCAGCCACCCTTGGTAATGATGTCAGTTACAGTGGGGTAAGCTGGGTAATTTAGGTAATTTTCCAGTTTCTGGCTTCAAATCTCAAGAGAAAACAACAACAACAAACAAATCTTGGGCAAGTCCCACATACATTGCCATAATAGATATTATAGAAAAAAAAAGTCAACTAAAAATTCTGATACTACATAGATAGAGTCTGAGTTTAACCTTGGAAAATGATTGGAAAATCTCCACCCATCTTTCATAAAGCGGTGGCTTATTTTTCCTGCTTGTGTAATCGTGATACACAAATCACATATAAACAGACTCATCCAAGGGTCATTATCATCAATTACAGAGCGTTCTAACAACATTCTATCTCGGAAAGCTTCATAGTTTTCTCAAGTGTGATTTCTTTCCCTTTTCTTCTTGAGATGAAACACAGATCGGTATAGTTGATATCAGTGCTGTTACTTGGCATAAAACCATTTTCTATCTGACCATTATCCTATAAAATAATCCCATTATTGCGTGAATTTTAGAATTGACTTTATCCTTTTTCAAACCTCAGTCCCTTAAGGCAGTCTTTGGAGTAGATTTTAGTACTAGTCTCTTTAATATTTGTAAAAACTTTTAAAAATTGTCACATTTACCTGAGATAAAGTTAAACATACTAATAAAGAGGTCAAGTTCATTTGCTTTAAGTTAGAATTATATTAATAAACTTCATAAACCTAGTTATTTGACAGAAGTCTCTGATTAGAAGTTGTAGATGTGATTAAGAAAACTTTTGGAAAACAAATTCTTACAGATTTCAGATTATTTAGAAAACAAATGTTTTTAAACATTGAGATTGGCAAGAGTTGTAGATACGATGTTGATGCTACACAGAAGCAACTTCTGATTTATTTACAGCGACAAGAATGCTTGCTAGGTAAGGGATGGAATGCGTTAGAATGTCTGTCCCATTTGAACCTTCTTCTCAGAAACTGGCTCCTGTTACTCATCTTTGTTGAGTGGGTAATAGGCTGTATCACCCAGTGCTTTTGACCATAGATCATTGAAGAGAGGGTGGGAGAAAGAGAAAGAGAGAAGAAGGAGGAGGAAAACAAGAAAAGGAGAGAGTGACCTTATTAGAATAATCTCGTAAAAATAATGAACTCTCCTAGAGCATTTAAACAGAAAAAATATGCACTAATCCTGTTAGGCAACGTATCTTGTAGACAGTTGTTTCTAGACTGGATTTTTTTCTTGCCTTTTGTCATGTTCTTATGATAGTAATTTTGTCACTCATACAGCACTGAGATTTGTTATAATAGATTCCTTTTTTTTTTCTTTGAGATGGAGTCTTGCTCTGTTGCCCAGACTGGAGTGCGGTGGTATGATCTCGGCTCACTGCAACCTCCCCTTCCTGGGTTCAAGCAGTTCTCCTGCCTCAACCTCCCAAGTAGCTGGGACTACAGGCACCTGCCACCAGGCCTGGCTAATTTTTGTATTTTTAGTAGAGATGGGGTTTTACCACATTGGCCAGGCTTGTCTCGAACTCCTGACCTCAAGTGATCTGCTCGCCTCGGCCTCCCAAAGTGCTGGAATCAAAGGTGTGAGCCACCGCGCCTGGCCGATTTGTTATAACAGATTTCTCTTTACACATATTCAAGGCCTCTAAGAAGAAAAGAAAAGAGAAGAAAAGAAAAATACGAAAAGCAACAGCATTAACACACTCCCCACTTACCCATAACAACTGGCTTTGCTTGGCTTAAAATGAATATGGCATCATATTATGAGCTCTACAAGCAATAGCTGTGGTTTTTCATTTTTCTTATGCAGTTTCGGTTTCTTATTTGTAAAGTTTTAGAAACATTTGGGTCAGTTAAAAATAGGCAATAAGAGGAATACTAGCTAACATTTGGATCACATACTATTTTCCAGATAACTGTGCTCCCAGAACTGTAATTTGAGAAACTGAGGCTAAGTCACATTAAAGATGTACAGCTAATAATAAATGCTGGGCTTAAATTGGAAGCCAGGTAGTCTGACTCCAGAGCCCACCAAGCAACTATGGTTCCTAGGATATTTGACCATGTATGCTTCTAAGAGTCTTTAGAGATTGCTAGGACTCTAACATTGACAGACTTTTTTTTTTTTTTTTTTTTTTTTTTGCGTATTTTAACCATTTATATATCTGAGGAAGTTAACACGTGTATTTTATATTCCAAGGAGTAATCTCACTGTCAATTTTTTTTCCTCTGTTAAGCATAGGTTTTTCACATATTTCTTACAGAATATGAATCCCAATTTTCAGATAACCCAGCTCATCCAGTGTTAGTAGAAACATGTCTGTCTTATCCTAGATTTATTCAGTCTTTGAAGTAACTACAATAGTGTCTCATTAAATTCCCACTTAGAAGGTCAAAATGAGAAAATAATTCAGAGTCCACTGTACTTGGAGAGCAGCTTGGATGTATTTACTCATCAAATTAGCCATAGCCTCTTCTTCACAATTGACCTATTTAAGTCTTACATCTATCCTCTATTTTTTTTTCCAATATGGTGAAAAGTTTTAGTCTATAGTATTGGTAAGCAATGACAGCTGTTCATAATATGGATCAATGTATGTAAGGATTAATAATTATTAAGAAATGTTTAAAACCATTGCTTTTACCTCTCTTGAAGTGGAACAGAAAGTGAAGGTTAATTGCTTAAGTAATGGGTCTGACTACCCAAAGGTAATACAAAGCAATTATTTCTTCACTTTGCAACTTTCAATGCAAGGCCAAGACTTTCATAACTCATTAGGTCTAAGTAACTGGCAGTTTACAAATCACCAAGAATAAACTTGAATGTTCTCTGTAGCACTCAAGATATATTATGTGTCACTGCATTTACTCAAAGGACAAATAAATATTTACATGTGCTTCTTTGAATACTCTTTTTTTTTAGTGAGAGGGTCTCACTGTCACCCAGGCTGGGTGCAGAAGCATGATCATAGTTCACTGCAGCCTTAAATTCCTGGCCTCAAGTGTCCCTTACCCTCAGTCTCCCGAAGTGCTGGGATTACAGGCGTAAGCCACCATGCCTGGCCTGAATACTCTTTATATGAAGAAATTTCTTGATCTTTTGAAAAAAATATGATCACTTGCTTACATCTTATCTTAAAGCTGGAGAAAAAGGAAAAGGAAAATAGTCCTTGACTTTTATCTGTTTGTTCATTGAGTATCTCCTGAATGTCTACAGGGGTGGTGTTTACACAGTGGTCAAGCATGTGGACTCTGAGGTAGCAGAGACCAAGTAGGATGTTGCCAATGCGGGATCCTAGGTCCGTGGGCCATACTCTCTACCTCTCAGCCTCCCAATTTACAAAACAGGTTTAATAATGTGACTGATTTTGCGTAGTTTTGAGAATTGAATGAGATCATGTTCTAAAAGCCCCTATCAGATACTTGTGGCAAAGATGAAGCACTCAATAAAATGTAAGAGATTATTATGCTAGAGTCTAGAACACATCAAATGCTTAATACAACTCTGAGGAAGAAGCTACTCATGAGGAGTTTATGTTAACGTCTGTGTAGAAATAGGATGCATAAAAAAATAGCCCCTGCCTTCTTGAAACTTGTACTGTGAGAGTGACGGAATACAGATAAGTAAAGGTGGAGGGTGGGGAGAAAGAAATAAAATACCATATGAATTTAGGAAAGGAGAACCAGTTCACACATCTGGGTGAAGCTACAGGGAAAATTTCATGAAGGGGATTACTCTGAATGGAAACATGAAAAAAAAGAATAGTATTTGTGTTTGTGGAAATAACACCCTGAGAGTGAAGATTTTTCCCAGGGTTCTGCCTTCAGCTGAAGGTGTGCATTGTTATGATACCTGGAAGGAAATAAATATTTCTTTCTAAGAATTCACATGAGTTCCTCACCTAAGTGCAATAGTTGTAGCAATTACACAAATCTGGGGAGTTGGCTAAGACTTTTATGGACTTCAGTAAGGAAAATTAAAACCAACATTAAAAAATGTCTTTCGGACTGGGCACGGTGGCTCACTCCTGTAATCCCAGCACTTTGGGAGGCCGAGGTGGGCAGATCACGAGGTCGGGAGATCAAGACCTTCCTGGCTAACATGGTGAAACCCCATCTCTACTAAAAATGCAAAAAAAAAAAAAAAATCAGCTGGGCGTGGTGGTGGGCGCCTGTGGTCCCAGATACTCAGGAGGCTGAGGCAGGAGAATGGTGTGAACCTGGGAGGTGGAGCTTGCAGTGAGCCGAGATCGTGGCACTGCACTCCAGCCTGGGTTAGAGAGTGAGACTCCATCTCAAAAAAAAAAAAAAAAAAAAAGGTCTTTCAGAATTCTCTAGCTTGTCAAAGTAACTTGTGCAAGTCTCGTACCAAAAACTGGCAAGGGCAGGATTGAAAATTCTGATTTTAAAGAGTGCATTTTTAATTACTATATTTCCTAGGTTGCCTGTGAAGGAATTATTTCTTGAAAAAAAACCACACAGTATATTCATACGTGTATACATTTACATAGGATAAATAAGGTTTTTCTTATTTATTTTTCATTATAATTTAGCTGTCCACTTGTTATAAGACCAAAAAAACATCTTTCCCATTTTCGATTGAGTTTTAAGAATCTATTCTATACTGGTACATTTTTGCTAATGTTCAAATCAGAATATATTGAGAGAGACTTGGAAATACAAGTATCTCTTTATGTCTGGAGAGATGTAAGTACATATAACTGATTGTGACTTAGCTAGTAAATATAATCAACTAAACTGTTGAACCAGTGATGCTGTTTATCAAAATTATCCAGTAATTATGTTTTGCTTTATCTTCATGTATTGGCCAATTCCCTGGCCGTTCTGGTTCCCTCAAGGGACAATGTGGTACAGCAGAAGGGGCATGTCTTCATGCAAGAGTCAAGTCTGGATTTAAGCCCCTAATAGTTGTGTTACTTTCAGCAAATTATTAAATTTCTTTATGCTTCAGATTTCTCATCTTCTAAGATGGGGCAAAAATATATATTCTATAGTTATTCTAAGGTTAAAGCTGATATTGCATATGCAGTACTTAGTAATATATTTGGTACAGATATATTTTTAATAAGGTACTTAAAAAGTTAAAACTATTGTTTTTTTAATCTTGAACTTCTTTTGCACTTTTTGTAACTTTTTCTTAGATACTTATATTTTATAACAAATAATAACTACTTTCTGGGTTTTTTTATAATGACTAAATATAAATAATAAATGTAGACAGCTTAGCACCTGGTAGAGTCTCTGTGAACATTAGACCCCTTCTCTTCTCTTCTCATAATTCACATTAAAATGAATTCTAGTCATCTTCATTTTTTTCCTTATTTGTGTGTATATCTCTACCATCTATGACAATATGCTTAGCTTGTATGCAATGTGAATTTTCCAATTTTTAACCTTAATAGTAAAGGAAGAGAAAAGCCCATGCTAAATACAATCTTAACAGTGAAGAAAGAAAAGATATCATGCAAAATGTAATCGCAGCAGGACAAGAATAAACCACTTTTCAGGCAAAGAGATGATGAACTTAAAATGTAGGTTCCTTTTCAATATTTCAGGAAAACATTTTACATATGGTTCTGGGAATGTAGCCAAAATGAGAAAGCCAAGAGTTATATCCAATAGATATTATGAGAGGGTAAGAGGAGTCACAGCTATCCAATTACTTCTATAATAAAATTACAACATCTTATACCTTTCTGTCCACATCTTTGTTTTAGAAGGAAAGGCTAGGGGTGGAGGCTATGAAGTAAATCTTTAAAACTTATTTGAAAAGCTTCTCTCTTTTTCTCTCACTATTCCATTTTATAGTGCAGGCTGAAGCTAAAATGCAAGGAGAGCCCCAACACAGAAAATTTTCTTAGGAAATTTTTGGAAGCAGATTTAATAATGCACATCCATTCATTCAATACCTGGTTTGAGCACTTACTATGTGTCAGGCAGTGTTAAAGTTACTGACTATTCAATCAAGGAATTGGGGGAAACGTTCCATGTGCTCACATGGTGAAACTACCAGTACAAGTGCACCCATACCCAAACACCTTCCCTTTTTCCTGTTACAGTGAAAGAACTCTTCCAATTCCTACCCATAATCTCCTCCTTCACTTGGCTAATGTGTCCCATCCTCTGTCCTGTTCAAGGACTTCACTCTGGTGATTGTCTCCTTCTCCCTATAACATCAATTTTATTTCCTTTTGTAAACATGCTTATTATGAAATATATGCCAGTAATCTCATAGCCGTCTCCACTGCCGACCCAGCTCTCTAATCTCTTTTATGGCAAGGTCCCTTGAAAAAGTTGTGTGTATTCCACTTTCATTCCTTACAAACTTTCTTGAAACTGTTCCATTTACCCATTCAACCCTACAAAACTGCTCAGATCAAAGTTGTCAGGCACTGCCATATTGCCAAACCCAGTACTGCATTCACAGTTCTATTACTTAACTAATCAGCTGCTGCAGACCCTTGGTTTCCAGGACCCCACACTCTCCTGGTTTTTCTCCTGCCTCAGAGAGGAATCCCTATCGTCCTGCTCTGCTATTTTCTCATCATCCTCCCTAGAACTAAATGTTGGAGGGCCCTGGACTCCGTCCTCAGATCGTTACTTTGTTTATCTTCCTCATAAGTGAATCTATCCACTCTAATGATTTTAAATGCCATCTATATTCTGGTAACTTCCAAATGTATATTTCTAGCCTCAAAACTCTTTCCTTAATTCCACACTTGTTGACGTGTATAGTCAACTGCTTACTTGGCTTTTCTGTAGTTGAAGTTTTACCTATCTCAAACTGAACTCTCAATTTCTACCTCCTAAACTTTTTTTTCTCCAAGTATTTCCTAACCTGGTCAGTGCAACTCCAATCTTTAAACTTCAAATGCCATAAAAGTTGGAATCATCTTTGGTACTTTTCATTTTGTTATGACCCCATCCAATTCCTCAGCAAATTCAGTCATCTCTACTTTGAAAATTTATACAGAATCTGACATCTCTTCACCTTGGTAACAATCACTATATTTTATGTCACCAGGATCTTCCACTTAAACTAGTGCAATAGTCTCAACTCTTCTCCCTTGACCAACCCCTTCCAGGCTATTCTGTACATAATGGGAAAAGCAATCCTTTTAATACATAAGTCAGATTTTGTCACTCTCTGCTTAAAAGTAAATTGTTGTTGCCCCCTCTCCCAGGATAAAATCAAAGGTCATATTACAGCTTCATGATGCCTGACAATCCTTCAAATATCATCTCTTCCTTCTCTCCTCCTTGTTCACCATACTCTAGTTACAAAGCCTGATTGTTGTTTCATGAACATACCCAACAAGTTCTTGGTCTTTGTACTTATTGTTCCCTTTACCTAGAATTATCTTCCCTAATTATTATAGGTCAATACATGAGGGAGCCTTTCCTGATTATCTTTGATGAAATGGAATCCCAATAACTTCTCATTGCTGCAGCCTTGGTGCTCTCTTTATGCCTTTGTATTGCTATGTGGTTCATAACATCACCACCTGCATTTTTTTTTTTGGCTGTTTGTTCCTCACTGCTAGAATGCCAGTTCTTTGCTGTATCCTAGTGCCTAGAACAATGCCTGGTGCCTAGTAGGTGCTTAATGAATATTTCTGAATGCAGAAGAATACAGAAGTGGTTTCTGCCCTCACAAAATTTACTTTGTAGTAAGGACTAAAGGCAAATACAAGTGAGTAGACAAACAAATAAAATAGTATACAAATCCTGAGGAGTAATTTTAAGAAGTGCTTTAAAAGCAATGCCCAAGGCAATCAGATGGAAATTAACAGGGAAAAATAATTTAGATTGGTTAGTTGAAGGGGCTTTTATTTTTATTTTTATTTTGAGACAGAGTCTCGCTCTGTCGCCCAGGCTGGAGTGCAGTGGCGCTATCTCGGCTCACTGCAAGCCCCGCCTCCCGAGTTCACGCCATTCTCCTGCCTCAGCCTCCGGAGTAGCTGGGACTACAGGCGCCCGCCATCACGCCTGGCTAATTTTTTGTATTTTTAGTAGTGACGGGGTTTCATCGTGTTAGCCAGGATGGTCTCGATCTCCTGACCTCGTGATCTGCCCACCTCGGCCTCCCAAAGTGCTGGGATTACAGGTGTGAGCCACCGCCCCGGCCGGGGCTTTTCTAAAAAGGTGACATTTCGTGATGAAAAGGAGTGGACCATTCCTGAGTTAAAGAGAGAGTACTCTATTTCCTGCAGATGCAAAAAAAGTGTAGTTATTATGAACATCCAATCAACGACCTTCTCACAGCACATGTGCACATAGCTTTCAGTAGAAATGTGTGTAAAAAGAGAAGAGTAAAGAGCATGCTTTCCTCTCAGTGGATAGTAGAAAGAAAGAAGATTCTGTCTGGACATCAGAGAGAGGACTGCATGCATAAAGGGGAAATTGTAGCTTGAGATACACAACAATTATAAACCTTGTCTGAGCTCAAGGTGTTTATAGCCGATCTACATGTTTTGCATGCCTTTGCGAAGGAGGCTATCTGAAATTTATGTAGGGAATAGAAATAAAATCCTTCCTTTCCACTACATGACCCCCAACCCCATTGAGCATCAGAATTGTAACAGACATCCATTAAAAGAATACTTGAGATTAGGAATTAATTAGCAAAAAAGAACCAATATTAATGGCATTATTAACAGTAGCCATCATTTATTGAGTACCTAGTATGAATCTGGTACCCTACAAAACTCTTTTATTATGGTAATTCATTCGGTTATTATGTGAGTTATTATAGAGTAATTATGTGAGAGAATTCATTTAACATGCTTAGCACAGCATGCAGCACGTATTATGTACTTATTAGAGCACATCTTTTAATAGTAATAATATCAACTATAATTTATTTATTATCAGCTGCTTATTACAAATGAGAAAACTAAACTGATGTTTAAAAATGATTACAGAAGGACCCACAAAGTCATATATTTTATAATATCTAATCTGATATAAAAAAATCATATTGACCTGATTTTCAATATGTATTCATGTATTATCTTTCCCTTCCTCAGGTAATGATTTTGTCTCTCTACTTTCATTCTTTTCTGTACCTGATACTTCAGTGTAATTAATACAACATGAACTAAACCAAGCTGCCTTTTCAGAAATTTGTTACCTAGCTGGCTTTCTTAATTAAGGCCGTTTCTCCTTTCGTCCCCCTTCTCCTTCGTTCCTTTTGTCCTGCCTTCCATTTTGCTTATTTGCATCATTGCCCTGCCTCTGTTTCCAGTCTCATGTCCACACTTCAGCCATCCTTGTATACACTTCAGAAATTATTGTTTGGTACCTCCATAGAAGCTCATCTCCTTCTTTTCACAGGCAGTATTTTTCCAGCTGGCACCACTGTCTTGCAACTTGCTTCCCCCTTAGTCTTGGTGCACAAGTGCCAATCTCGACTGGCAGCTCTTTGGGCAACCATTTGGTGCCAGCCTCCTTCCAATGCATGTGGAGCGCCAGTGAGTGCCCCTGAACTATTCCCAGCTGATTTCTTGACTCCTGGGGCTTGCCAAAGTTTTCTTCAAAGCAGCTAAGTCTCTAATCTTCAGAAAATTTCTCAATTACTACAGATAGATCTTTATTCCTCATGGGATTTGTCCTTTCAGAATCACTACAAAGCAGAACTATGCGAAGAAATTAGGCTATAAAATGCTTATGAGGAGTCCAATTTGGTGTTTTGTTGTGTTTATGAAATATATTATTTAGTAGAGTTTACTTTTGAGACCGAACACCAAAGATCTGCTTTGTCTCTCTACTCACATGAAGAGGCAAGAGTGCATCCCAGATTCATAGTAACTTAAAAAGAGTCAGATTGGCCAATAGCAGATTTTTCCCAGCCTACTCAACCTTGTGATATGGGTACTACAGGATAACAGATATGATGATTTTAGATTTGAAAAGACTTAGGGTTGACTCCCAGCACCATCATAAACTAGCTGTGCTATCTTAAGAAACTACTTAAATTTTTCTTTCTAGGTTTTCTATCTGTAATAAGGGGTAGAGGAATTTCTTTTTTTGTAGTTCTGTTGTAGGAATTAATTGAGGCATCAAATATGTATTGGGTATGAATCCAGATGTATCCAGGGATCGAAGCAAACAAGCTTTCTTCATTTTCTTTAACTCATTGTAATTTCTGACTGAAATCTTCTATTAGGCTGGTAGGGATAAAATATAAAAACTCAATATAATTTGTACCTGAAATTTTATACCCACTCTCTTTGGGGAGCAGTATCTACTACTTGAGGATATTATACAGTGCTAAGATTTTGGCCGTCAGGTCTTGGTTGGGGAGAAACAAATCTGATCTGAAGTCATAAGTCAATACTGATGGCCCCTGAGATATTCACTACATCGGTGTGCATGGCCCCTTCAGATCCCAAAGATCTCTAATTTTCTCTTCTTTGCAAAGCTCGAGTGAAGAATCTTTGATGTGGTTCCCAGAGGATCATCTCTTAGGTGCCCCTTCTCCAGTTCTGTTGCCTTTGTCTCTGAAAACCAGGGGATAGGTTTTCTCTACTCTCAGGATCCATAGAATTTTCTTTCTTCTTTTGTTCCTGACTCAAGCCAAAGAAAAGCTTTTACTGTTACACATATGGAGAGAATCCTGCTTCTGCCAGATATTTATTTAGTCTATATAAAGTACAAATACCCTTTTCCCTATGTTTCTCTGTAGTATTAGTTCCTTGGTAGGTATGAAATTCTGAAAATAAATGACTCTTTCCCAAATTTTTTTGAAGAAAGCAAACAGAAATTCTGTCTTCAGTGCTGAATGGAGGTTGGGAAGAGTGGGGATTAAAAGGAGTAAAATAAAGAGAAAGAAAAGACTTAAATTAATATTTCAAAGTATTGTCCTGCATTATTAAAGCACTGTCACAATGCCTGTCCCACTATAGGTGCTCAAGAAATTGAAGTTATACTGACATTTAAATTTGACTCTTAGGCCAGATATGGTGGCTTATGCCTGTAATCCCAGCACTTTGGGAGGCCGAGGTGGGAGGATCACTTGAACCCAGCAGTTTAAGACCAGCCTGGGCAATATAGGCAGGCCTCATCTCTACAATCAATCAACTTGATTCTCTAATATTGTTCTTTTACCATTGGAAACTGGATTTTTCCAGCGTCTTTCTTTTTTTAAATGTTAGTTTATATTACTTTATTTTAAGCTCTTGGATACATGTGCAGGATGCATAGGTTTGTTACATGGTGGTTTGCTGCACCTATCAGCCCATCACCTAGGTATTAAGCCCGGCATGCATTAGCTATTTATCCTGATGCTCTCCCTCCCCCTGCCACGCCCACAAAGGCCCCAGTGTGTATTGTTCTCCTCCCTGTCTGTCCATGTGTGCTCATTGTTCAGCTTCCACTTACAAGTGAGAACATGCAGTGTTTGGTTTTCTGTTCCTGTGTTAGTTTGCTGAGAATAATGGCTTTTCCAGCATCTTTCTTCTGGAATGTCCTTTGACTCTGGGCAATCATGTTGAGATGGCTGGTTGGGGTGAGAAGAGACATCTGTAACTATGAAACTGAGAAAACTTAATTGGCCAAAGATGATAGAGGGGTGGAAAGGGATCAATCCCAGCATTTAGGTCTCCTGAGCATTATGGAATTCAGCTACCAAGAAGACACTCACGATTTCTCAAAAGACACCAGAGATGAGATCACTTTCCAAGAAAAACATAAATTACTCATATAATCACCTGCTAGTATATTTTTGCCTCTTAAACCTTGTTAGTTTGTGAAGGAGTGCTAACGGGTATGACATTTGCTTAAGTGGACAGACTAAAGATGAAGTGGTCAAAGGATAAGAAGGTGATATCTAGAAGATGTTGCAAGTGGCAGACTATTAAATGGGGCTGTAGAAAGCAATAGCTAGAGTCCTACAGAGCACAGAAGCAAGACTGTCTCCTCAGGTAAGCAGTAACAACTCATATTTGTGTGGCACATTTCAGTTTTGTAACACTTTTGTGTATTTCTTTTTTCCCTTATACCTTCACAGCACTGGTCTAAAAGCATATAGGTAGTTCTTTAATTGTTACCTTATAGATGAAAAAAAAAGAAAGCTCAGAAGGACTTACCTGAGCCCAAAGAGCTAAGAAGCAGGCCAGAACTCAGAAGAACTATGCATTTAAAAATGACACTCTATCATGTCCTGAAAGTGCCTTGAAAGGATCCCTCTGCCTCTAGTTTTTAATCTGAAATCTTAAGTTTGATAAAAATTTTACATGCAGTGTTGCCTATCTAAAATTGCCCCTTTATGGGACTTCAGAATTTCCATTATCTTTGCTCTTTATATTTGCACTTATCATTGCTCCAAGAAATTCTAAAAATTCAGATAAAAGTCCTTGCTTGATTCTTTAAGGTTGTTTGATATTTGGATCAATTTGTATGTTTGACCATAGCTGTCTGTTTTTATAATCTGATTTTTCCCCATGCATAAACTAATATCTTAACCTTGTTCTGTTTTATTGTTATCTTCTATTTTGCATAATACTTTTAAATGAGAATCAGGAAGATAAGGAATTGAAAGTTGTGGTTTTAAAAACAAACCTTGCCACAAGCAAAGGTGACTGGTTGGATTCTGCCTTTCTTATCCTCCTCCTCCCATTAAGCTCCTCAAAGACACTTAAGGAATCTCAGAGCAGATTTCTTACTTAATTTCCTTTAAATCTCTTGACTGTAAACTGAGACAACTGAGACAGCCTGATAGCCCAACATGAAAAAAGCAATCACTGAATATGGTATGCCAGGATAACCACAGACATCTTTTTAAATTCTAAAATATACTCTCATAAAGCAATGGAGCAACATAGCTTCTGCTTTCTGGAGTGTGGACAGGACCATTTGGTCAGGTCCTTCTCATTCCTTGGAAAGCAGAGGCACTAAGTAAGCACATTGCAAATTTCTCATGTACTCTATCTTGCAAGATGTCTTTTAATTGGAGTCAGAAAAATTTGGTTTGTTCTCCTCCCTCTCATATTCTATAACTCATAATGGATGATAAACTGAAGTGATAAAGTCACTCTATTAATGAAAGGTACCCTAAGGCTATTAGCAGTAAACATCTGGATTAAACTCTGCCTATTATTGTCTGGCTATAACCCCACTTCTGTTTTACAACTTTATTCTTTCCACTCAGATTCTATCTTTACCTTTGCACTTGGTGTTCAAGACTCTCAGCTCTTCCTGGAAGACCTAGACGTGCTCCCTCCATCTTCACCTCTTTCAGATGACCTGAGGTAGCAGAGCTTATGTTAGTACAAATGCCCTAAGATTCTGCTTCGATTTTGACCATTTGGCTAGCAACCAGGCCACCTACCTTATTTGGAAGAGCAATGAAAAAGATCTCATCTTACAGACAAACCTTACAGTGAGCTGAAGTAGTAGGTTTGGAATGCTTCACCTTTTGTTGGTGCCATTTTTGGACCAAAAAAAATAGAAATCCGCATGTACAATAATTTCTAGAATATGAAAGATAAAGCAGCACTAGCTAAGGTAATGTTGATATCAAACTATTATCTAAAACAGAACCATAAGCAAAGTGGGGTAATTTTGAATGATTACACTGGTTTTCTTCAATTAAATTGCTTGTCCTGCACTGTGAGTCTTCTCAGTCTTTCAACATCAGGAGAAATGGGCGTTGTTTTTATTTAATTTTATGTTTTTTTTTTTTTTTTTTTTTTACTACTTTGGCTGGTTTCTTTTCTCAGTTGTAACTTTAATAGCCTATGCTACAGAATTATTGAGATTATACATTGCTATACTCACACTCAGTTTAGTTAATAGCTTATTCATTACTACTGAGTCCCAAGGTTAGAGCAGATTTGTATCTAACGTTGAGACACAAGGCAGGGAATGCAGAAGGTAATGCAAACTCATCTTATATTCTTTAATAACAGAAACAATTCTACTGGAAAAAAGCACAAAACACTGAGACATTTATCCAAGTATCTACTAGGTAAATTTTTTCTAACACAGTCGATATAATGAAAGCTGTATATTGATTTATTTATGCATTGTAACAATAATAATGAGAAATGAAGGTGTTTGAATGAAAGCCTACAAGTCAATCTTTAGAACCATAATTATTACTAGTTCTGCTAAAGAAGTATGGTTTCCTATATTATAATATATATAAAGCATTTTTGCTTTTCAGTTAAAAAAGTAAAAAAAAAAGTCTGAACTGTCTTACACAGATAATCTGTACTATTATGAAAATCCTGATTTAGAAGTCAACTTGAGAGGCCATTATTCTCTTTCCTTGTCTTACAGTTACACTAAAACCTTTAGGAATGTCTTTATTATACAACACGCTAGTTTTGTTTTCAGCTCACGTGTAACTGAGTGGCCAATTTGTTGTCCTTGGAAGGTGCTGTATCATTCTATTTGCTACCATTGGATCAAAGTATTGTGTATCCCATTAGAATTATACACTTAATATTAACCCCTTGTGTAGGCTAGGGGCTATTTGTACCCAAATATTCTTCAATGTTTATTAAAATACAAAGTCCAGAGCTGCAAGTTTGCATTTCGATAATTACACCAGAATATTTTAGTATAAATGTTGATATTTACCAGGTAAAACTACCTGCATATGACCCCAGAAGTGGATCACATATTGCAGTTTATAATTTGCCACTTTAGTGAGTCACAGATTAGAATCATGGCACTGGATTTAGGAACTGAGTCATTAGTGAGTGTGGGTGGAAGTGTGGTTACTCTCTGAATCTCACTGTAGCATTGTCCCTTTCTACATTAACGCTGAAGAAGCTGCTGTACTACATTTAAGAGGTAAATTATATGCTTTCCTAATGCTTGAAAAGTTCTCAAGACTCTCATGAATTTCAAGATTTTGCTATTTTTGTATCCCAGACTTAAAATACTTTAAAAAAATGATTTTCTAAATTTTCATTTTTATTTTTTGGTTTTCTCCCTAATAACCTGCATGCTGTCTACAGAGATTACAATATATGTAAAGCACAGTTACCTGCACATACAGAAAGATGGCACATACTATATAGAATCACATGCTATAATTTAATAATCTACATTGAGTTATTTCATACGCAAGCCAATGACACTTTTCCAATGTTTTCTAATCTTACCTTATTGTTCTCATTCGATTCATTGTCCATTTTGTTGCCCAGTCTTTTCTTTCTTGCAACTTTCTAATTATCTCTCTACACTGTGGTAGGTTTATATTCTAAATTATTATTTTTTATGCATTACTTTGTACATTTCAACTTCATCTCATCTTGTTATTTCTTGCCCCATATGTCTAATCTTTACTTTTCCTTCTTTATGATTGCTCTTTCCTTCTTGGCACTGGTAACACTTCTAATTTAGTATGTTCTGTAGTTTAAAAAATTTCTCTTTACCTCTTCATGCATATCATTACTAAGTGCTTAAAAATAGCATACATTAATTTTCACTTCTATGACTTTTTCAGTCACTTAATATTTTGCAAGTCCTTGCTACTGTAGGCTTCTAGTCCATATATATGTATATATATAAATGGATTATATATACATAAAATTCTATGGGGCATACTTATATATTAAAAAGGCACACAGTGTGTTAATTTCTCAAGGTAGAACAAACTAGTTAAATTGGGACCAGAACATTTTCTTCAGCTCTTGAGTTTAATATACATCTAAGGAAACCAATTTAACTTGCTCAAATTTACCTATGTAGGAAATTTATGATTTGTTAATGCAATTCTTTAATTAGATTATTTAAACCCTGTAGTGTATGTGTGTGTGTATGTGTATAATACTTTTATTGATTTCTCCACCCAATACTAATTGCCATTATTATTCTTGTCCTTTTTAGAAAAGGTCATATCATTGTCAGCAAATAATAGTCAACATACATGATATATGATAGGAATTATCTATACCCAAATGTGAGAAACTACTTGACTAGTTCCAGAATTAGTAGTATTCCAAGGAGCTGTTATCAACCTGACATCCGAGATGCTGGCCTGCTTCCATTTACTCTATATAGGTATGAAATCATAGAAGTCTACAAAGACCAGGAAGTTATGAATTTGTTGGCAGTAAGTAAATAAAGTGCAGTGCATAAATCCCAATGCTCAATGAAGAATATAATTCTTCTTTTTCATTTATCCTTTTGTAATTTAATTGACATATTTAGAAAGATCTCTATGGCCAAATCAATTTAATTCATTGAACATTTACAGAGTGCCTGCTAGGTATAGAGCATTATTCTGGGTGAGAAGCAGTAAGTATTGTTCATATTAAAGATATATCAGATTTAAAAATTTTCCCCAGTAACGTACATCTCATCAAAATTGTCACATGATCAAATGTAAAATGTTACCATTCCTATTTCTACGCTCACTAATTCATGGTGTATTTCATTATGGTCTCCTCATTGCTTTCATGAGTGCCTGGAATATACTAGATGTTTACCAATTCATTGAATAAACTCATCACTTCCACTGTGTTCTATTGGTCACATGGGTGCCAGCCCACATTCAGTGTTAATTATATGTGTGTGTGAAATACAAAGAAGTGAGGGCCTATATTAGTTCTGTTCCTCTAGAGAACCCTGACTAATATAGGGTTCCGACTAATATAGCCAGTCCGAGCCCCAAAGCTGAAGAACTTGGAGTCCAGTGTTTGAGGGCAGGAACCATCTAGCACAGGAGAAAGACGTAGGCAGGGAGGTTAAGCCAGTCTAACCTTTTTATGTTCTTCTGCCTGCTTTATATTCACTGGCAGCGGATTACATGGGGCCCACCCAGATTAAGGGTGGGTCTGCCTTTCCCGGCCCGCTGACTCAAATATTAATCTTCTTTGGCAACACCTTCACAGACACATCCAGGATCAATACTTTGCTTCCTTCAATCCAATCGAGTAGACACTCGGTATTAATCATCATAAATCCACCCTTGTCAACTTGAACCCATACGCATCTCCTGAGATCATATATCATCTTCAAATAAAGACAATAATGTCATAATTACACCTAACATAACTATCCTTCCTACAACCAGAAATGAACCAAGCCCCAATCCAAATGCTATTATAAAGTTAACAACACTTAAATGCTGATATGAAGTCAATAAATCCTATGTCATGTGAGAAAGGTAAAAGGAAATAAAATGAAGCTATTTTCTTAGTACAAGTGTATACATGCACAAACATGTTTTTAACAAAAGGAGTAAATACTCATGACAATTACAGTCCTCTTTTTGCAGCTGGTTACATGGTCATAGCTAGTATTAATGACTACCCATTCTGTATTCTCTTTGCCTTCAGCAAGCACCTCAGCAGGTCATGGTTTTTTTCCTGGTGGAGTGACCCCAAACTTCATTCCTGAAGGGTGTGGGCCATCTGTAGTCCTGCCTGGATTGGGTTGTTGTAATTTCCCATTGACCGTAATCACAGGGCATGGTAATACTAAGAGATGCCCTAACGGATCTCCTGTATTCCATGCATACTCTTCCTTACCTTCATTGTGGAGTAGTAGACTGATTTCATCTTGATACTCTGGGTCAGTTACCCCAGCCAACACCATAACTCCATTCTTGGCCTGTTGACTTAATAGGAGGAGGAGCCCAAAGTGTCCAGGTGGTGATTTTAACATCCAGTTTAATGGAATTATCGTCGTCGTGTCTCCTGGTGGCAGCACTTCTCCCTGTGGAACAAAGACCTCTAGGCCAGAAGAATATAATGTCTTGGGAACAGGAAGCAAAAATTTTGCTAGTGGATTACTGGGGGTGATGGTGAATGGTGCCACTTCCACTTCCACCCCTTGATTCTTGGACCTGTGAATCCTGGCTATGGGAGAAACAGTACCATATATTGGATGCTGATTCAGAGCATACACACCCTTTTGGACAATTTTGCCCCAGCCCTGCAAAGTACTATCACCTAGTTGGTGTTGTAATTGTGACTTCAAAAGGCCATTCCACTGTTCTATCAATCCAGCTGCTTCAGGATGGTGGAGAACATAGTAAGATCAGTGAATTCCTTGAGCACAAGCCCACTTCCACACTTCTTTAGCAGTAAAGTGAGAGCCTTGGTCAGACGCAATGCTGTGTGGAATACCATGATGGTGGATAAGGCATTCTGTGAGTCCGTGGATGGTAGTCTTGGCAGAAGCATTGCATGCAGGTTAGGTAAACCCACATCCGAAGTAAGTGTCTATTCCAGTGAGGACAAACCTCATCGCTTTCCATGATAGAAGAGGTCCAATATAATCAACTTTCCACCAAGTAGCTGGCTGATCACCTTGAAGAATGGTCCCATATTGAGGGCTCAGTGTTGGTCTCTGCTGCTGGCAAATTGAGCACTCAGCAGTGGCTGTAGCCAGGTCAGCCTTGGTGAGTGGAAGTCCATGTTGCTTGAGCCCACGCATAACCTCCATCCCAGCCACCATGGCCACTTTGTTCCTGGGCCTGTTGGTCAATGACAGAGGTGGCTGGGGAAAGAGACTGAGTGCTGTCCACAGAACGGGTAATCCTATCCACTTGATTATTAAAATCTTCTTTTGCTGAGGTCACCCTTTGGTGAGCACTCACATGGGATACAAATATCTTCACAGTTTTTGACCACTCAGAGAGGTCCATCCACATACCTCTTCCCCAAATTTCTTTGTCACCGATTTTCCAGTCGTGCTTCTTCCAAGTCCCTGACCATCCAGCCAAACCATTGGCTACAGCCCATGAATCAGTATATAATCACACATCTGGCCATTTCTCCTTCCACGCAAAGTGCACAACCATGTGCACTGCTCAAAGTTCTGCCCACTGGGAAGATTTCACTTCTGTCCTTCAGAGATGCCTAGAAAGGGGCTATAGTGCTGTAGCTGTCCACTTTTGGGTGGTGCCTGCATATTGTGCAGAACCATCTGTGAACCAGGCCCTAGTCTTCTCTTCCTCTGTCAACTGATCATAGGGAACCTCTCATGAAACCATTGGTGCAGGCTGGGAGATAGAAGGCAGTGTGGCAGGAGCGGAGACCATGGGCATTTGAGCCACTTCCCTGTGTAACTTACTTGTGCCTTCACGACCTGCTCGAGCCCGATCACGTATATACCACTTCTTTTTGATGATGGAATGCTGCTGTGCATGACCCACATTATGGCTAGATACGTCAGAAAGCAACCAGTTCATGATAGGCAATTCAGGTCTCATGGTGATTTGATGACCCATAGTCAAAAGTTGAGTTTCCACCAAAGCCCAGTAACAGGCCAAGAGCTGTCTCTCAAAAGGAGAGTAGTTATTTGCAGAAGATGGCAGAGCCTTGCTCCAAAATCCTAGATACCTCTTCTATGATTCACCTATGGAGGCCTTCCAGACGCTCCAAACAGCATCCCTGTTTGCCACTGACACCTCAAGCACCATTGTATCTTTTAGGTCATATGGCCCAAGTGCAGAGCAGCTTGCACAGCAGCCTGGATCTTTTGCTTCCAAGAGCCTTCTCCTGTTCTGGACCCCATTCAAAACTGGCAGCCTTTCAGGTTACATGATAAATGGGCTGAGTGAATAATAAATGAGGAATGTGTTGCTTCCAAAATCCAAATATGCCTAGTAGGAATTGTGCCTCTTTCCTGGTTGTAGGAGGGGCCAAATGCAGCAACTTATCCTTCACCTTAGAAGGAATATCTCGACAGGCCCCACACCAGTGGCCCCTTAGAAATTTTACTGAGGTAGAAGTTCTCTCAATCTTAGCTGAACTTATCTCCCATCCTCTGACACACAAATGTCTCACTAATAAGTGCATTGTCTTTGTTACTGCTTGCTCACTGGATCTAATCAGCACAATGTCATCAATGTAATGGACCAGTGAGATATCTTGTGGAGGCAAAAAGTGATCAAGGTCTCTTCGAACAAGATTATGACACAAAGCTGGAGAATTGATATAACCCTGAGGTAGGACACTAAATGTATATTTCTAGCCTTGTCAACTGAAGGCTAATTGCATCTGGTGGGCCCTAGGGACAGGAATAGAGAAAAAGACATTTGCCAAGTCAATGGCTGCATAAAGGTACCAGGAAATGTGTTAATTTGCTCAAGCAGTGAAACCACATCTGGTACAGCAGTTGCAGTTGGAGTCACCACTTGGCTAAGCTTATGATAATCCACTGTCATTCTCCAAGATGCATCTGTCTTCCGCACAGGCCAAACTGGAGAGTTGAATGGGGATGTGATGGGAATCACCAGCCCTGTATCTTTCAAGTCCTTGATGGTGGCACTAATCTCCACAATCTCTCCAGGGATGCGATATTGTTTTTGATTTACTAGTTTTTCTAGGTAGAGGCAGCTCTAATGGTTTCCATTTGGCCTTTCCCATCATAATAGTCCTCAGCCTATCAGTCAGGGAGCCAATGTGGGGGTTCTCCCAGCTACTAAGTATGTCTGTGCCAATTATGCATTCTGGCATTGGGGAAATGACCACAGGATGAGTCCGGGGACCCACAGGACCAACTGTAAGTTGAAACTGAGGTAAAACTCCATTAATTAGCTGACCTCCATAAGCCTCTACTCTAACTGGAGGACCACAATGATGTTTTGGGTCCCCTAGAATCAACGTCAGCTCAGAACCAGTGTCCAGTAGTCCTCAAAATATCTGATCATTTCCCTTTCCACAATGCACAGTTACCCTGGTAAAAGGCTGGAGGTCTCCTTGCAGAAGGATGGGAGAAAGATTAATAGTATAAATTGTTGGTAGTTTAGTGGGGTCCTTCCTGAAGCGGACCTGGCCTCCCCTTCACTCAATGGGTTCAGGATCTGTAAACTGGCTCAAGTCTGGAAATTAATTGAGGGGCCATGACTCTTTGCCTTTATAATTCAAATTAGTCTTTTGTCCAATCGACTTGGAAGTTTTCTGCCTATATAAATTAAGTAGAAATGCAGTAGGTTTCATATCAATTTCACATCTAGGAACACTGTGATTAATTAGCCAAGGCCAGAGCTCTACATAAGTCAGATTATTCTGATTGCTGCTTTGCCTCTGCTGTCCATTATGGTAGCTACACCCACCTTGCCTTTGAAGGTTGAGTGCTACCTCAGGATCCAATTATTCCCATTGCATTTAAATTTTGTAGTTGAGTGACTGTGGTTCCCACTGTTACATCTGGCATACAGAGAAGAGCAATCACAGAGCTTTTTGAAGATGCAGGTGCTGCCCTCACAAATCTATTTTGCAAAGCACTGGTTAAGGGTATATCTTCTGGACCCTTCCAGTTGGGATGAGTAGGTCTCAAGTGACTAATTCACTCTAGCATCCCAATCTCCTCAAGCCCTTGGATGCCTTCTGCTACATTAAACCAAGGGAGATCGGGCATTTCTAACTCACTCTCAGGGGGTCATCTTTTAATCCATGTTTCAGCTAACCAAGCAACCAAGCAAATAAACTGTCGGACCCTTTTTTAACTCTCCAAGCTGCAACATTGAATGCAGAATCCCTGCTTAGTGGGCCCAAATCAATAAATTCAGCCTGATCCAACTCAATATTCCTTCTACCATTATCCCACACCCTTAGTATCCATTCCCATGCATGTTCTCTAGATTTCTCCTTATCTAAATTAGAAAACTCAAGCAGTTCTTTTTGAATGTAGCATATCTCCTAATTGGTCACACCCTGAACCTCACCTCTAGGGGCCTGCTAGGACTTTAGTCTAGTTATAGGTCTAGAAGCAAACAGAGGTCTTAGGGGTGGCTCCTGAGGAGAATCAACATTATCTTGCCTGGAAACTGCCTCAGGAGAGGCCATCACTGTTACCTCAGGCAGCACATGGTTTGTCTCCTCAGACAAAGGTGGAAACGTTGATGGTAGCATGGGTTTAGAGGGGTGTTGCCACTACTGGGAATGGGGAAGCTGTTTCTTTTGGCAAAAAAAAGGTACATCAGAGTTTACAAGCTCGGTGTCCCTAGCTTCATCAGGGTCCTCCCACGCATCCCCATTCCAAGTTGTAGGGTTCCATTCTTTTCCAATCAATGCACTCACTTTAATAGTAGACACCTGGTGAGGCTGTGCATGCACCTTTCATTGCCAGTCAGCCACTTGCACGAGAAGAACTTGTGTCTGATTTTCCACAATTTCAGCTCTTTCTCTACAGGAGATAAGATTCTCACTCAGGGCAATCTTAGCAGATTTGACACTCAGTATCTGCTTCTGAAGCCAGGAGTTAGAATCCCCGAGTTCATCATTTTCTTTCATCATGGTCCAGTGAACTTAGGAGCAACCAAACAACTTCATTATGTTCCTTGGTTCTCCACATATAGTCAAAGGTATTATGCATAGAGTCACTAAACTCCTTGCCTGTCACGAGTGGTGAATCAGGAGTGTTAAATGCATTTATTTTGCATAACTTTCTAAAGAGTTAATACCAAGGACTATCAGTGTTCTCCATACTATTAGAAGTAGAGTCCTTAGCATTTTTGGGTCTAATCATATTAGGCAGCCAACTCTAGAAACCCCTAAACCATGAAGGAACTCCACCCTTAATACTCTGTTCCTCTAGAACCACTCCTGGTACCTAAATCTGTATTAGGATTCTCTAGAGGGACAGAACTAATAGAATATACACACACACACACACACACACACACACACACACACACACACACAGATATATATGAATATATGTATATATACACATACACATATATATGTATATATACACATACACATATATATGTATATATACACATACACATATATATGTATATATACACATACACACATATATGTATATATGTATATATACACATACACTATATATGTATATATGTATATATCCACATACACATATATATGTGTGTATGTGTATATACACATATATGTGTGTATGTGGATGTATATATCCACATACACATATATATGTGTGTATATACACATACATATATATGTGTGTATATACACATACATATATATCTGTGTATATACACATACATATATATGTGTGTACACACACACGTATATATGTGTGTACACACACACGTATATATGTGTGTATGTGTGTACACACACACGTATATATGTGTGTATGTGTGTACACACACACGTATATATGTGTGTATGTGTGTACACACACACGTATATATGTGTGTATGTGTGTACACACACGTGTATATATGTGTGTATGTGTGTACACACACGTGTATATATGTGTGTATGTGTGTACACACACGTGTATATATGTGTGTATGTGTGTACACACACGTGTATATATGTGTGTATGTGTGTACACACACACACGTGTATATATGTGTGTATGTGTGTACACATACACACGTGTATATATGTGTGTATGTGTGTACACATACACACGTGTATATATGTGTGTATGTGTGTACACATACACACGTGTATATATGTGTGTATGTGTGTACACATACACACGTGTATATATGAGTGTATGTGTGTACACATACACACGTGTATATATGTGTGTATGTGTGTACACATACACATACACATATGTGTATATATGTGTATATATATGTGTATATATATATAAATATACACACACACACACACACAGAACACTGATAGTCCTTGGTATTAACTGTTTAGAAAGTTATGCAAAATAAATGCCTTTAACACTCCTGATTCACCGCTCATGAGAGGCAAGGAGTTTAGGCAGAGAGAGAGAGAGAGAGAGAGAGAGAGAGAGGAGTTTATTAAGGAACATTAACTCACATGATCACATGATCCCACAATAAATCATCTGTAAGCTGAGGAACAAGGAAGCCAGTCCAAGTCCCAAAGCTGAAGAACTTGAAGTCCAATGTTCAAGGATAGGAAGCATGAAGCACAAAAGAAAGATGTAAGCTGGGAGGCTAAGCCAGTCTGATCTTTTCATGTTCTTCTGCCTGCTTTTTACTCTGACCGTGTTGGCAGCTGGTTAGATTGTGCCCACCCAGATTAAGGGTGGGTCTGCTTTTCCCAGCCCACTGATTCAAATGTTAATCTCCTTTGGCAACACCCTCACAGACACACCCAGGATCAATACTTTGCATCCTTCAATCCAATGAAGTTGACGCTAAGTATTAGCGTCAACTAATATCTGAGATACTAATACCTGGCATAAGCAAACAAAAACTAAGCTTATGCCATTAAAAAAAAGATTCTAATAGGCTAAAAACAAACCAGGAAGCAGAAGCTCATTATGAGTCCTCCTATCCCCAAAATAGAGTGATGATCTCTACAAGTGGAGACCATCTGTTCTATAGGGTCTCAGGTATTAGATTCTCCTGCTACAGGGCCTTTGGGGATGGTGTGTAGGCTGGCCACCACAAACTGCATCTGTATACTCAGAAGATTATCTAGACCATCAGATTCTTCATATCCATCAGAAAAAGACAAGAAGGGCAGTGTATTTGGGCCAAGCTCATCCTGCTTACATATATGGTTTCCTACTTTCTCCCAGTAGGGATTCCTTGAAGCAATGAGGACATCTCAGTCAGAGCATAATGTCAACTGATAAGGGTAATTTTACACTTATAGCTGTCTTTTCTATCTCCCTTCTTCTAACCCAAATCAAACCTTCAGCTCTCAGTACACCTCCTCCTGCCCTCCATATCTATATCCTCCACATCTAGTCTACCAAGAAGTTTAAGCACATAAGCCAGCTTCCCAACTTGAATCTATCTACTTCTTTCTGTTTTTATTGTCATCTTAGATGAAGCTATCATATCTGTTTACTGAACAATGGCAGGAGCTTCATAATTCTCTCAGTAACAACTTTTATCTTTCTCCAGGTCATTCTTTAAGAATAGTCAGCACTTAAAAACGCAATTTCAGTAATGTCACTACTCTGTTTAAAGCCCTTAATTAATATAAGAAATAAAATTTTTACCAAGATCTACATGCTTTAAATTATCTGGCTTCTCTCTTTGCATCCAAGACCCTATTTTGCCTCCATGCCCCTCTTTGTTTGTGCTCCAGCCTAATACCTCTTGTGTAGTTCCTTAAACATTCCCATGTTCTTTCCTCCCTCTAGGCCTTGGTAGTTCTCTTCCTACCATTCCACCTGGTTAACTCCTCTATATCTCTCAGATATCAGCCAGTTTGTCTCTTCCTCATGGGAGTCCTTCTGGCCTTTGGATTTACTCAGGTTTTTCAGAAATACTCTCTACATTTTCTGTATTTTTTCATCATTGAATTCATTACAGTTTATAATTACACATTTATGGGATTTTGATTATTATTTGTTTCCTAAACTAAACTATAAGCTCCAGAAAGTCAGGTACATGACTATTTTTGTTTTCCATGAAATCTCCAGTATATATAATAGTTGCTTAATAATATTGAATAAATGAAAGCATGAATAAAACTCACCTCATTTTATTATCTTCTCAAAGTTTGAAAAGATTTATATTTTCTTTTTCTTTTATTTCTAATTGACAAATTATGTTGTCTGTGTTTATGGGGCACAGTATGATGTTTTGATATGTGTATATGATGTGGAATGATTAAATAAAGTCAATTAAATGTTCTTTGCCTGACCTACTTAATGCCCTTTATTTGACTTGGCTTCAGGTGTCCGATAAGACCTATATTCTTAGGGAAGCAGCAAGTAACAAGCAAAAGCTAATTAATATGTGAAATATTATAGCTGGTCAATCTCCACAACAATCTTCATCTTCTCTCATTCCTTATCTGACAGTACCTTTTTATCTATTCTTTTCAGAATGAGAGCTATTTATGATTTTCTCCTTTCTGTTTAGGAAGTCCAAACATAGTGCTAAAAGTAATCAAATTATGTTGAACATTAGGCAGCAAACTGCCTACTCCATATGTATCTTTTCCATCATATTGAAACAACTTCTTTTCAGTAATTCTGGTGTGTCAAATTTCTATTATATATCAGGGACTATTCTTTCTAAAATTTTCTTTTCATATATTTCAAAAAATGTAATAGGAATTCTTTAAGAACCGTATTGATTATTCCCAGACTGGAGTGCAGTGGAGCGATCTTGGCTCACTGCAACCTCTGCCTCCCAGGTTCAAGTGATTCTCCTGCCTCAGTCTCCTGAGTAGCTGGGATTACAGACCTGCACCACCTGGCCCAGATAATTTTTGTATTTTTAGTAGAGACAGGGTTTTGCCATGTTGGCCAGGCTGGTCTCCAACTCCTGACCTCAAGTGATCTGCCCACCTTGGCCTCCCAAAGTGCTGGGATTACAGGCATGAACCACTGTGCCTGGCCAGTTATTTCTATTTTAAAGTAAGACTCAGAAAATTAGGTAAATTCTTTGAAGTCACACTGCCTTAATGTAGGTTCCAGGATTGAAACCTAGCTCTCTCTGATTCAAAAAACAAAGACAGGACAATACTCCTTAAATTGGGCTGAATTTGGAGACCCTATAGAACACATGGTCTCCACTTGTGGAGATCATCACTCTATTTTTAGAATAGGAGGACTCATAATGGGCTTCTGCTTCCTGGTTTGTTTTTAGCCTATTAGAATCTTTTTTTTAATGGCATAAGCTTAGTTTTTGTTTGCTTATGCCAGGTATTAGTATCTCAGTAACTGATTATTTTTTTCCATGTTCACTCAGAAACTATTTGGGAAATGCAAAGAGAAAATATCAGGCAAATTTATTCTACTGGTCAATATAGCATTTACAGTCAATAAAACCTCCAGGAGCTACATATAGGTCTATGAAACTTAGGCTTCAATGTTTCTCTTTTCATGAAGATCTCACATAAAGTCACTTAGATCCTATTCGGTGGTTCTACCCTGGACATAACCACCTTTCCCTAATATTCTCAATCTCTTGTACTGCACTTAACAAGTGTCAGAGTTTTATGCCAAGATGCTTGTATGAATTTCCTTGGGCTCTATGAAACTACCTAAATCTACATTGCCAGAACGTTCTCATCTTGCAATCCCACCAACTTGTGTCCTCCATTTTAAATTATTAACAGTGAATTCCTCTTTCCAACCAAAATTATCTTTCAAATCAGCGGCTTCAAGTGATGAGATTACTGGGAGTTACTTCCTAGGTCCCAGGAATTTCTAAACAATATCTTCATTACTGAAGTCTCTAAGTGCTGTTAAACCTTTTGCACCAGTTCATTTAACTGCTTTTTTTCTTTTATGAAGAACTAAATATATTTAACATATATGACACTGTGGAAAGGGCTGGGACCTGTGGTCATGATCTCAATATTTAATAGATTTTTCCCCCTAACAAGCTAATAATGGGAGACTGAGAGAAGTCACTTAACTTCTCCAGTGTCACAGTTTCTTTATGTGTAAATCAAATGGTTTAAAGATTCTTTCAGCTCTAATGAATTCTGCTCTGTCTCTTTTCCCAGTGACTCAGGTCATACAGCTCATAGCTACTAGGCAGTCATGAGAAATAACTAATAGAGTTTTGAAATGATAAAACAAAACAACCAAAACACTCAACATCATTTATCTAGCACAAAAGAGAATTTTTATAGCCTCTAGCAATTCTTCTTGTAGTTGAAATTTTAGTACCATGCTTTTTCAGGAAATCATACTGGAGGATGAAATAAGGGGGTTTTCTCCCCTAACCTTATTGATCAACAGGATGTCTAGTTAGTCCAAAGCGCAGAAACACACATGTAATGTGGCTCTACAAATGTAAAGTATAAACACTTTGATAAAACTAATGAGAATTTATTTTCCCTTGGCATGGTATCCATGTAAGATATTCATTTGCAATTTTTGAGGAAGCTAAAGAATAAGAGTAAAATCAACTAACTTATTTTTTAGCTTTTCCCTCTATGAGCCTGCAGAACTCAGCAGTCAAGATGCCATTCTAGACTTCTCTCACTCACCAAGAAGAGTGGTACCTTGGGAACAGACATAGACCTCAGCTCTTACATTTCAATGTTCAGATCCTGTCTGTGCTACTTAGTCCTTAAAGCCCTTGAAAATTTAAATCACTTCTTTATTCTTAATTTCTTTTCTGACTCCTTTTCAAGATTGTTACCTGATTCAAGTTATATAGGTACACATGTTATAAACACATATTTATTTGCCCATTTTTCCTTCAAGTCTCTAAATCCATGAAAAAATTATAATGTCATTCTATGCACCATTACACTTAAAGGGTCTTTTACAGTGGCTGGAAATAGTATACAGTCAATAAATGTTTGTTGAATAAGTAGTATTTTTAAGAGCTTAACATGGTGTATGGTGCTTAGCAGATATTTGAAAAAATGAGTCATTTTTACCTTTTGAATTTTTCCCTCACACATAAACTCATCAAAAAAATTCAAATTATATCTAGATTAGGCATGTCAGTTATTTTCCTATTGTCTGAATTCCAAACCAACACTTCTAGACTGCTTTATGATGCTGTGGCTGGAACTCTGAAAGCGACATTTCTTAGACTTCCTTGCCCAGTGGCTTCTGTTTTTTGAGTTCTGTCAATAAGAGACACTAGAGGAAGATTGAAAGACAGGAGTGAGGCAGAAAGGACATTTCTTTTTTAGATTCCTGCTTTTTCAGGATTCCCAGTGCCAGCACCAAATGTCCCCTCAAAGGTAGCAGGAGCAGCTAAGTGATATTTCCACCTCAGAGATCTGAGAATAGTTCTGTCTATAGAATTTGTTCTTTGAGCTTCTAAATTTTGGTGATTTTACTTCTTCTCTTTAGTTACCCAAATAATACAGATGATAGCTATTATCTTCAATTGCTATCTTGGAATTTACTCAGTATTTCCTTTAGGCTCTTTGAGCTTTCCAATGCCTGTGTAACCAATTCTCAATATTAAATTCTTTCTGTTGAAATGGCTGGTAAGGTTTCAGTTTTCTTGAATGGGCCCTGATGGATGCAATATCTACTTACTTTTTCTAAGCATACCTACCCTTATACATTTTTTTTCATTTCCTTGAAATATTTTTTCTTAAGTAACTTTGTTAAGATTATATAGCCAATTATATGAGATTATATCAACCACATTATGGTAAGCAATTTTTTTAACTTCGCTGGGCCTCATGTTCTTCAGTTTGAGGTAGATAAAATAATACCATGTACTTTGCAAATTTGTTCTAAATTTAGCAGTGTCCACAGAATAGTACATGTGCTCATTAAAATTTAGTTATCATTTTTACTAATTAAATAATTTATTATTCAACAAATATATTTTGAATGCTAACCATATGTCTGGCAACTATGTTATGCTCAGAGATATAAAGATGAATAAGGTACAGCCTCTATTCATAAGGAAGTAAGAGAGAGGCTAGCAGGAAAGAAAAAAATCTGTTCAAATTACTTTACCACAATAAAATTAGATGTACATACAGATGTATTAACGAAGTACTATGGGCATACAAAAGGTGAAAAAATTATTGAAATCTTGGTGGATAAAGAAGAAATATCTATTACAAATTTGAAGGACTAGGTGGAGAGTCTTTAAAGAATCTTAAGGATAGAATAGAATTTACAGAAAACATGGAAGTGTATATGACAGCATAGATAGATTTCTTAAATAATATTTCTATTTTCTTGGGAAAGGGAGAAATAATCTTCAATAAAGTTAAAATATTAAGGCTTGAAATGCTTCCTTTAAATGAAGAAATTAGACAAACTCTCATTCTTTTAAGTGCTTCCTTGTCTTGCTTCAGTGCTTATAAACTCTGTTTCACTAAGACTGAGATATCTATCTTGATAATAAACTAGTCTTAGGAGTGGATAAACTGATTCTAAATAAGTTATGACTTCTGTACCATAACTGAATAAGAAGGACCAATAACAAGAAAAGCCTCTTTATATAGACAGAGGCACACACAAAGAAACTTAATCAATTGAGCAATAATCATAAGCTTGGCCTGAGAAATGTATATCCTACTTTTTAATTTCATGCTCTGAAACTCAGCTCAGCCCCTTGGACCAGCTGTGATAGACAGAGGCTAAGCAATAGTCAAGGCATTGTCAAAGAGAAGTCACTAATGTTATATTCTCTGACAACTGGAGTCTCCCACACGATGGGAGTATTTTGATTTTGAATCCAAGTTGGGAGATTAGACAGTATGTCTCCTAACAAATAAGCTTCCACTTTTAAACACCTGAATATACAGAGTGGCAAGTTTAGCTTGCCTGCACCAAGGTAAATTTGGTCAGTGATATAAGGAAAAAGCTGTTTCTGCTACTTAAGCCATTAACTCACATGAGTTCAGCTTTTGGTCTAAGGATATATACTATACTATGTAAGTTGAGAGGGTGAGCTTTGGTGTCTTAAGCCCCTCCAAAAGAAACTGATGATAAGGTAACACTGTAACACTCTCCATGCCCCTTGCTTCCATCAACAATGCTTAAGACTCAGTATCATAAGGGGTATGTATGAGTTTTCCAGGGTCTTTGAGGGATAATGGCTCATACTAAAACTCCTCCATTACTCTGGTTAATTTGGTGTAATTAAGAACACCAAAACCATGAAACACTGTTTATTTGTGAAACTTTATTTGTATATACATTATTATGTTTAATGCATAGAATATATTTGAGTCAGTGATGGAAGGAAATGTAATGAAGAGGTAAGTAAAGACCAAATCTTTAAGGATATTGCAGGCCAAGCTAAGGCTTGTGAATTTTATCCTTAGGCTGTGGATACAATGGCCATACATTTCAGTTTGACTAGAGCAGTTCCAATCTATGCCATTTGTTATAGAGTAACTTTTAATATCACCACTTTTCATTCAAAAAATTACTGATTTGGAGGATCCTAGGGGTATGGTGGTAGTAGCAAAACAGATTTTGAGCGACTTCAAATCCTCATGTAAAAATAGACAGATCAATCAGATATTAAGACCAACAATGGGTGAAAAACATTTGCAACACAATTAGGTGAGAAAGTATCCTTGTGAATCACAGATTACAAGACATAAGGAATAAAACACTACTGGCTACGTGATTCTTGTCATATTAGAGTCTGTGCAGGACTTGAGAACAGGAGATTTGTAAAAGGATCAACAGATATTCCATGGAAATCCTCATTGGTGAATCTGAGGCCAGAGTCTTAGGAAATCTTATCAGATCTTGGGTAATTTGGGATGAATTTTGTCCAATCCCATATAGGGTGGTTACATGGGACACTGAAGAGATTTGAAGGGGCTAAAGCATACCAGACCCTATGATTCCTAAACCTTAACCAGCCTGGTTTCTCTTACATGATGTAGGACCACACTGAGGAGTAGTTGCTGAAATGGTATCAAAATTAAGTAGAATAGGGAGAGGACAGATGAAGGAAAGAGAACAACCAAGTAAAACTGAAGTAGGGTTACAAAGGTAGGAAATTTTAGAAGGCCAAAAAGCAAGGAGTTTTGTTTGTTTGTTTCTTTGTTTTAACACTGTGAAAACAGCAGAAAATGGAGCTTTGTGAAAGTGGAAAAGGTATCCTTAACAAATCACCACTTAAAAGTTCAGGAAACACATTGAACGATAGGAAAGTATTGAAGTAAAATTTCCTTTGAAGTCATCATAAGGAAAAATAAAATTAAGAGTAAAATGGCATTTCTTCCATGAAAGTACTACAAAAAGCAGAGAGGCACACCCAAAATGAATCCATACTGTAGCCTATCATTTGCTAAGTTACCTAAAAGATATTAGGAAAATAACACAAAACATGAAAGACCAACATCAACCAGAAAAATCCTCAGAAATGAGATAATGAAAGTCTATAAATAATTAGAAATGAAATAAAAGTTTTTAATAAGTGGGTACTAAACTAGAGAAAACACATGACCAAATAAATAGAACAGAGAGTGACTTAAGAGAAATAGAATGTGAAAAGGTGGAAATTTCTAAAAAATAAAGAGAAATCGGATAGATAACTTCTTCTACCCAAGATGGACTAACAAGAATTGAACTTACATTCTTACATTCTTAGTATAAAAAATAGATAGAAAATAAAATAAGATACATTAAAAATTCATTTTAGATATTAGAAAGCAGGAAAAAGAAAACTATGATTCCTGAGAAAAGAAAAAAACAAACAAGGTAGCCATACAGTTGACTTGGATTCCTGCCTAAGGTACGTTCTAGACCATGGTGCATGAAGGGGTATCCTAAACAGAGCACAGCAGTTTTACTCAGTTGAGGAAACAGAGATCAAACTTTAAGAAGTTGAACTGGCTAAATATTTTAGATCAGAGTTTCAGAAAAGAAGGAGCTACAACATTAAAACAAAACCAAAACCAAAAAATGACCTAAAAATTTGCACTGGGACATCTTGGGACTAAGACTCAGGAATGAATAGCATGAAATGCCACAAGGTTGGACAAAAATCGACACGGCAGCTATAAGTTTAATAATTTTCAACTCTTATTGCAAAACATGGAATTAATGTAATCTTAGAGCTTCAGTAAGTCAGGATCTACAATCCTCACTGATTGACTAGGGTTTGTGACAGATTCCCAGAATCATCATGCCCTATTTTAGGACTGCAACTAGATTTAAAGTAGAGCATAGTCTAAACTCTACAACAAAGACTAAGAACAAACATTAAATTAATAAATATGAGCTGCAAGTAGTTTAACTGCTTCTGAGATCAAAGCCAAACACATTATAAGAGTAGAAAACAAAATTGATACACTCTATAATGTAATATTTGCAATGCTTAACACTCACCAATCAAATATTGACTAATCAAAACTATTTTTGACAAAACTGATAATTTTGCCAAAAAGTGGGAGAATGTTACCCCCAACTGGGAGAGATATAAATCATGCCTCAGATGTAACAGAAATGATGGAATTTCAGACAAGAATTTTATTTTATTTATTATTATTATTATTTATTTGTTTTCAGGTAGGGTCTTGCCCTGTCACCTAGGACAGTGGCACAAACTTGGCTCACTGCAACCTCTACCTCTGGGGCTCAAGCCATCCTCCCACCTCTATGTCCTTAGTGGCTGGGACTATATGTGCACACCACCATGCCCAGCTAATTTTTGTATTTTTGGTAGATGGGGCTTTTGGCATGTTGCCCAGGTTGGTCTTCAACTCCTGAGCTCAAGTGATCTACTCACCTTGGCCTCCCCAAGTGCTGGGATTACAGGCATGAGCCACTGATTCCAGCCCAGGCAATAATTTTAAAACAGTAGTTATAAATATAATCAATATCCTCCAAATTAAATATGAATATAATGAAAAGCCAAATGGAACTGCAAAATAAAAGAAAATAGAGCCGTTAGAGATGAAAATACAATATTTATAATAAAAATCCCTGCATGAGACTGAAACAATAATACACAATGAAAAAATAAATCAGTGCATTTTAAAATATAAGCAAATAAGCTATCTAAAATAAAGTACACAGAGGAAAATTAAGAACAACAAAAAGCAACATCTCAGTGACCAGTGGGAAAATTATCAAATAATCCAAAATTCAGGTAATTGGGATCTCAGAAGGGGAAGAACTATGGGTTCCTCTAGCTTTCCTAGTTCTACCAAGCATAAAAAATAATACTGATTTCACACAAACTCTTCCAAAACATAGAAAAGAAGGGACCAATTCCCATGTCATTTTATGAAGACAGCATTACCCTGATACTAAAAATAGATTTAAAACATCAAAAGGAAAGAAACCATATATCATTTTTGCTCCAAGCATAGAACTAAAATTTGTTAACAAAATATTACCAAATTGCAGCAGTATATATTTAAAAAATCACACCATGCTCAAGTGGAGTTTACCTCCAACATCAAAAGTTAGCCTTATTTTAAATGAAAAATCAATGCAATTATCATATTAACTGAAAAAGCAATAAAAAGTTCATCTCAATAAAGACAGGAAAAGTGTTTGAAAAACTTAATATCCATAAATGAGGAAAGCTTTCCTTATGCTAGGAATAGAAGAGAAATTCCTCAATCCGATAAAGAGAATCTACAGAACATCTACAGCTAACATCATCTTTAATAGTAAAAAAGGAATGTTTTCCTCCTAATATCATAAACAAGGTAAGTATGTATTCTCTCATTTTTCTATTGAGCATTACACTGAGCATCCTAGCCCACTAAGAATTGGAAGGGGAGTTAGTAAAAAGCAAACCATTTTGAAATAAAATAATTTTCGAAAATTTTTAGGTGACATAATCATACATGCATATGTGCTAAAAAGTCTGCCAAAAAACTACAAGAATTAAAAAATTAATTTACTGAGCTCATGGTGTACAAGGTCAATGAGAGAAAGTCCAGTTGTATTTCTTTATGCTGGCAATGAATAAATAGAAATTAAAATTTTCAGATACCAGTTTCAATGGAATAAAACTGAAATAATTAGGCATAAATTTAGCAAATTATTTAAAAGGTCTTAAAACTATAGAATTTTGCTCAAAAAAATTTAAAAAAGACCTAAATCAATTGAGACTTACCATATTCAGGTAAGATTTGGTAATTTATAAATAAAAAAGGTTTAGTTAACTCACACTTTTGCATAACTTGGAAGGCCTCAGGAAACTTAAAATCATGGTGGAAGACAAAGCAGAAGCAAGCACCTTCTTCACAAGGCGGCAGAAGAGAGAGAGCAGGAGCAGGGGCAAGCACTAGACTTTTATCAAAAAAAAAAGAAACACAAAAACAAAAACCAAAAAACCGGATCTTGTGAGAACTCCCTTACTATCACAGAACAGCATGAGGGAAATTGCCCTCAAGATCCAATCACCTCCCAGCAGGTCCCTCCCTAGACACGTGGGGAATTACAATTTGAGATTAGATTTGGGTGGGGGTCACAGAGCCAAACCATATCAGATGTTAAATTATTCTATAGATACAACACAATTTCTATAAACATACTAGCAAGCCTTCTTGAAGATATTTATTTATGAACTTATTTTGAAATCTGTATGAAAATACAAGTCACCTAGGATAGTGAAAACACTTCTGGGAAAAGAAGAACATAGTTGCCAGCTTACATTAATATTTGGCTTAAGGATTCAAGAGGAGATAGGTCTGAAATAAGCTCAAACATATTGGGTACATTGATTTTGTTTTGTTTTGTTTTTTAATTTTTACAAATAGACAAGGAGTAGAGAAAATGGCAATTATTGAATATATGTGCTAAGAAGACCCTTCATACGCATAATAGATGTATCAGAAGAAAAAGTACAATAAAAAACTAAAATGTCATTTGATATATATATAAACTTTTGATGTATATATACACACACACACAAACATATACATACGTATGAAAAAACATACTCCATACCTGAGAATATTGCCCCAGAATGACCAACATCAAGAGATGTTCTGTGAATAACTAGTGAAATAACTGGAAAAAATATCCTTTGGATATCTAGGCAAAAAGAAAAGGTGACTTATAAGAAAATGAAAATTTAGTAACTTTTAGTCTTGTTAACAGTAATAATTCCAGATGACATGGAACCAACACATTTAAAATACTCAAAGAAAAAAATGTGAGCCAAGGATTTTATATTTAGCAAAATCTATAGTATAGTAGGATCAAAAAATTATTAAAGTAAAATGAAATAGGGAATACTTTCCCAATGAACTCTTCCTCAGGAATCTACTAGATAAGAAGCTTCAGACAACCAAAATAATAGACAGAGATAGACTTATGAATAGGTCATGAATGTCAACTATATGGTTACTTATAAAACTATGAATAAATGAAAGTTCAATTAATAGAGATAGAGTACAGTATGTGATGGCTATTTTTTTATGATATAGATATCATGCTATATTTACAAATGGGGGAAGAAGAAGGTATACAAAAATGTAACTAGTTTCAGGTATTATAAAAGATATAGTAATATTAATATTGAACTTTCATATCTGTTTTTTGGTATTACAGAATGTGTTAGTTTGCTAGAGCTGCCAAAACAAAATACCACAAACTGGTTAGCTTAAACAACAGAAATTCATTGCCTCACATTTCTTCAGTCTAGAAGCCTGAAATCTAGGTGTCAGCATGATTGGTTCCTTCTCAAGTCTCTGAGGAAGACTCTGTTCCATGGTTTCTCTTAGCCTCTGGCTAGCCCCAGGTTTTCTTTGGCTATTAGATGGGGTTCTTCCTGTGTCTTCACATTGTCTTCTCTCTCTGTTTCTCTGTCTTTGTGTCCAAATTTCATATTTTTATAAGGACACAGTCGTATTTGATTAGGGCCCACTCTAATGACCTCATCTTAACTTCATCATCTGCAGAGACCCTATTTCCAAATAAGGCCACATTCACAGGTATTGGCAGTTATGACTTCAACATCTTTTGGGAGGCACAATTCAACTCATAAAATGAAATAAAGCAAATTATTAATCACAGGAAATTTTAATCTATGGTAACTTTAACCTAGAAAAACAGGATTGTCAGTGTGCAAAAACGAGATATAGATCTAACATAGATTATTAATCATGGGAAATTTTAATCTATTCTAACTTTAGCCTAGAAAACCAGGATTCTCAGTGTGGAAAAAAGGAGATATAGATCTAATATAGTTGTAAAGCTTATTGTCCCAATTTTGTATCAGTTTAATCTCAAGTAGGTGTGTGTCCATAGCCCTAGCACACAGAGCATATTTAGCATTACATTTACCTCCTGAAGCATATGTACCTTTGCAAATTATCCAGTTATTAATAAAATTTAGTAGTGAACACTGTGGCGCAAGTGAATGCAGAAGATTGTCTGATAGTCGCTGTCTATTTTGCAAACTCCTTTGATTGGGCTCCTTAGCTTTATAGTACTTTTCTCATGTATCACATACATCAGTCCATTTTAAATATCTTAATTTAGTAAAGGCTGAAAAAGAAGACTTTAATGGATGCATGGATCAGTATCAGGGACAGAACTGAAAACTTTCAGGGCCTGAGACTTGCATTTCACTGGTCTATGGTAATGAATTCATGAGTTTGGATCTAAAGTATTGATTTTATGATTAAAGTTTTCTTCCCCCAATGCTATCCAAATAATAATAGAAAGCATAGGAAACGGAATTTAAAAATGTGCAAAAAAAGTGAGTGTGTCTTACAGTAGATCTGTAAAATATAGCATGGATTTTTCTTCACAGAGTAACTTTTGAGAATAAATGGGTGTAAACTTTGAACTGTGAGTCGCTCAACTCAAGCACTTAAAAAAAAAAGTTTGATTTTGGCTGCATCTATACACAAAGTTTGATGATTTGACCAATTGTTTGCTATTTCCAACAATCTACAGCACAATTGGTCACTAATATGTAGAGAAATTCATGAATAACAAAATAGGAATACATCTTTGCTGTGATATGGAATGAGGATAGTGCTAGAATAGGCATAGTTCCTTATCGCCATGATGAGCAAGTTATTTAGCATGTTAGAGAAACAATATTAGCAAACTTTGCTCACCAAACACTAAGTTGCCTCATCCCAGCATACCTCAATAAGAAACCCAAAGAAGATACTTTGGGAAATGTATTCAAGAGGAAAATTTAGTCTTTTAATATTAACTAATACTAATTATGGGTATCTCAAGTTATCATGTTTGGAGATAGAAACTCTAGTTACTGATTATTGATTACTATAGTCTTTTCTTATCTTTAAATCCTCACTGCAATTCCTTTGTCCTTCTCTTTTTGTACATTTAATATTTTCTCTTAAATATATTTATACATTAATTTTATGATTGTTATTGCTATCTATCATTTTTTGTGTATTATGTATTCGATTTTCTTTTAAAATAATTTATATATATTCTTAAATAGCACCCCAAACACTCCTCTGATATGGGTACTATTTTATTCTCATTTTAAGTTGATGAAACTGTGGCATTGAAAATATAGGTAATTTGCTGAAGTTCACAAACAGACAGACTGATATCATTTTGAGAGCATAATTAGAGTTTTACCTATTTTCGTATACCCTATATTACATTTTTGTATACCCTTGCTCTAAGTTGTTACTTCAAGATCAACACCCAGGAAATGTTCTGGGTAGGCTGATTCTTGATGAATAAGTAGATGTTTTCCAGGTTGACAGAGTGGGAAAAGACTTTCCAGGCAGAAGCAATCACAGAGTCCAGCAGATGAAAACCGTCAACTGCTTTATTCTAGTGATATAGATGTATACCTGATGCATGCCTATTATTACATATGGGAAAGGAAATACTTATTTATGAAAGTTTTGACATGAAACAGTAGTATTATGATAACTATATAAATTTGTGTCTACTCTCTACTTGGAAAAGACATAGAGGAGAGTTGTAATCTCTTTCAGTCTATGAATATAGTACACTGAATTTAGACTATTTAGATTACAGTTGATATGGGATAGAGATGGAATTACATTAAGATTTTTATAATCATAATGGTTGTGCACTGACTATATATTTCATAATGTAATGAATATAATAACATTTATCCTAACAATAGAACACATATGAAATATCATGGTATGTACTTAATACAGAGAATATTAGTTTAGCTCAAAATATCTGATAAGGACATATTAATTCATGATGTAATTAAGAAAGTTATTCAAGTATAATGATTTCAACTTTCTAAACATTCTGAAATAGAAATATAACATCCCAAGCTATTTAAAATGTAATTTAGAGAATTATTGTGTCTTTTTCTCAGTAAGGAAATACACATACACATTTATTATTCATCTTCAAGAAGGTCAATTGACATGTCTGAACTTGTAAGTCATTCAATGAAAGACAATATAATAAAGTAACTTTTTTATATTGGGCTATGATCAAGTCTTAAAATTAATTCCTATTTTTTCCATAGATAGAACATCATGGGAATTCTTGAAGGATGCCAGAACTAATAACCATTCTGGTAATTCATGAAACAAAAGCAATATATGATTTTATTCTCATTAAATCTTGTACTAGAGTAATTGAAATGACATTGAGCAGCAATTAGCCCAATAGCTCCTAGGAATACCTAAAGAAAAGATGCAGAGTAAATGTTCTTCAGGCATGAAGGGTAAGTGGGAAGGCTAAAAGTGGCAGTAGATATTTCAGAAATGAAAAAAAGTTTAAAGTTTTGGCTCAAGGGCAGTTTGAAGTTATAATGAGTCATAAAAAGTCTGATGCCATGTGTATACAAGTATTTTTTCATATAATAACTGTGTTGGTGTTGGAAGAATTTCTTAGACATTTTCAGCATATAATCGTGATGTTCAAACTGTAGCTTACACTATTTTAACTCATAGATTTTAGTAGACACATTTGACTTAAGAAGGTAATGAAATTACATTCCATTTGGTGGTTTTGGTCTTAATTTACTAAGTGAGACCCTACCAGATTAAGAGTTAACGTTGCTTCTTTCTTCTAAAATAGATTCTAAAACTTGTTAAATGGGGGCCAGTAGTAAGGACAAAATAGAGAAACAGAAAATCCTAGCTTCTTAATATTGTTCTTCCTCTTATTTAACCCAAGCACTCCATTAAACACTTTCAGATCTTCTGCATCCTTATTTTTTCTGTCCCTGAAATCTTTACTAAAACCTGCTTTCTGGAATAAATCAGATAGTAGTGATTTAAAGCAGTGTCTGCATGAAGACAAACTGGGTACAAGGTAGTAACATTTACGTATCCTTTCGGAATCCATCCAAATACGCTTTTATATGTCTATGCATTAAATGTCAGTAGAAAATTAAGTCCTTGTGTTTTCTGCCAAAGAATATTTGTATTTCATTATGCCTGCTGAATAAAAAGTTTTATTCTTTATAGAAAGAAATTTATTGACCATTAATGAAAGCAGTCCAGTATTTGCTTCCTGTTACTCACAAAGTTAGACCAAATGTTGACGCTCTTCACTTGTGCTTTTTTATCTAATCTAAGTTTCTTCTATCAGCAAATAAAGTACAGATTTTTGTTGCCCCCTCTTTTCTTCTTTCATAAACTATAGGAGAGTTTATAAAACTCTTATCTTTTTCCATATTCTATCAAAGACATAAAGACTCATTTATTGCCTTAAACTGTGGTAGATAGGGCATTGAAAATTGATGCCGAGGCAGTGGATGAATTTTGCAGCATGAATGGAGTATTTTGGGCAGACTCTGGTAATCCAACCAATATTTTAAGTGAAAACATTGGTTATCATAGGAAAGATATAGCTGTATTGATTTACTTTATAGGACAGTATGGTCAGAGCCACAAAACCATATACCCATCTTTAGAGCAAACATACATTCTGTTTATTCCTCTTCATTGCTGTTATTGGAAGGATTGTTCTGTGGTCTTGATATATTTTTCACATTTAATCTTTCTAACTGGTTTACATAATGGTTATCCTCTGCTTCACTGCACTTTAGTGTTTTGGTTTTACTATAGGGTATATAGCTTTATTGAAGAAGACATGGAAGGTTTAATAATTAAAAAGGAGATTAAAACAAAATGGAAGAAAACTTTTCATTGAATTTCTGAGTAGTTTATGGAACCCATGTTATGGAAGATTATGAATGGCATTTCATTCTCCATGAGCGCTAATTATTCTACCTTCAGATAATTTTTTTGTGCTTTCTCACTTTCCAGGAATCCTTAAAATAAACCATTGTCATCTAAGATAGTATGAGCCCCCTGTTTCCTTGTAATCTGACAGACAGAACTAAATGCAATGATGCTTCCTTCATACTTATTTTCTGTCAACTTCCCCTCCCACTGGACAAAAGTTATCTACCTTCAATTGTAAATTGTCAATTGTATATTCACGAACCTGAAAATTTTCTGTATTCAGAAAACTGGGTTATGTTATTTGAAGGCAATGGGTACAAGTATATGCTTCCTTGGATGCTTCGATGACACTGAATATTCTGCATCTTTCTGAGACTTCTATGTTCATTTTTTTTCCTTTTTCTTTTTTTTTTTTTTTTTTTTTTGAGATGGAGTCTTATTCTATCATCCAGGCTGGAGTGCAGTGGTGCAATTACAGCTCACTACAGCCTCAACCTCCCAGGCTCAGGTAGTCCCAAGTAGTTGGGACTGCAGGTAGGCACCACCACAACCAGCTAATTCTTTGTTTTTGTTTTGCTTTTTGTAGCAAAGAGGTTTCACCATTTGCCAGAGCTGGTCTCAAACTCCTGGGCCCAAGCTATCTACCACCTCAGCCTCCCAAAGTGCTAGGATTAAGGGTTTGAGCCACCCTGCCTGACCTTCTTTGTTAATTACTCAGTATCTTGAAAACGTAGGGTTAAACAACTTGAGTTGTCACCCTCTTATCATATCTTTGATATTGTCTTCTAGCTGCTACTTGAATGCCTCTAGTGAGGGAAGATCACTTTTTAAGAGGTAGATGATGATAATTTGTTTCCTTCACTAGTTCTGGGCACTCTAGAAACTGAAAAGAAATCCACTCCCTCTTTGACATGGAGAGCCTCAACTATTTGGAAAATGTTTTCAGTTTATCTGAAGTGTTTTTTAAAGCAATGTCTTCAGTTCTTTTCATTAATTTCACTTAAGAATATGTGAATACTGATTTATTTTTAATGGCATTTATTTGTATTTCGATGTCTTCTTGTCTGTTAATAGTCCTGTTAAATGTGGTACCTGGTTTGATATCTTTAAAGACAGAAAGGAAGCTAACACTGAGTTCCAATGACACATCAAGCATTGTATGCTTTATATACGTCATTTTATGAACTCTTTTTTTTTTAAATAGGGGACGCACCATGGTTCATGGGGGTACAACTTACATTTAGTAAAATGCATTAATCTAAAATGTGCAGCTCAATAAATTTTTACATCCTGGTAATCACTACCCAGATCCAAATATAGACTATTTCCAGCCTATCTGAAATTTCCTAGTGCTTCCTCCCAATCAAGGCCCATCACCCCAAAGGTAACAATAATTCTGATCTTGATCACCAGAGTAAGCGTTGTCTATTTTTGAACTTCATATAAAAGAATCATACAGTATGGACCCTTTAGTGTATTTTTTATTATTATTTTTATCAGTTTTTTTAATAATGTACTTTTGCTGGCAGCACATGCTTTAACCTTTGGCTTAGGTGAAAATTCTTTCCATCAGCTCATTTGAAAGATAATTAGGTTGTATATAGAATTATGGGTTTGTAGAAACCTGTATCTATTAAATGATCTCATTGTTTTCTGTTCTTTATAGTTTCTTATGAGAAGTTAGCTGTAATTAATATTATCATGTGTCTTTTTCCTCTGGCCATTTTCAAGATCTTTTGAATAATTTTTGGTTTCCTACCTATTGACCTTAATGCATCTGGGGATGCTTATCCTTATTGTTATCCTACTTGGGGTTTGCTGAATTTCCTTGATATGCAGTTTGTGTTTCATCCAATTTGATACATGTTTATCCATTCTTTTTAAAAATATATTTTCTGTCTCATTTGCACTTTATATATCTTTGTGGAATTACAATTCCACGTATATTATTTAGTTTAATGTTGTCCTATAGGTCACTGAAGTTCTGTTCTCTTTGTATTTTTATTTATTTTCCTCTCTGCTCTTCAGATAGGATGATTTATGTTTACATGTCTTCAGGTTCACTGAGCATCTTTTCTGTTGTCTCCAAGTTTTTACGAATTTAATTCAGAAATTTATCTATTTCAGATATTATCCTTTTAAATACTAGAATTTGAGTTGTGTTCTTTTTTATTATTTTGTTTTAGAATATAAATTCTCTTGAGATTTGTTTGTGTTGATTGCTTTTTCTCTTGACTGTGGTATATGTAGTTTCCATCAGTAAAACTCTAAGGTAATATCCAAGCCACTCTAACTTGGTGATATGCAAGTTCCAGACAAAGTCTTCTGTAATGGATGACAACTGAAGCTTATGTCCAGATTCAACTGGGGTCCTTAGATTCTTTTTCCACATATAATTCAAGGGTCTTTCAATTATTTGAGGGATTTCTAGGAGAGTTAGGCTTGCTCCCCAACTCTCAGATCACTCTTCCTAGAATTTAATACCTCAATTGCTAGCTTCTTTTGTGGCCTGAACTCAGTACTTTGACCTCTCAAGTCAATAAGACTGTAAGTTTCCTTTTGAGTGCAAAGGACCCCTTATTATGTAGTTTGTTGAGTGCTTTAAAGAGAAAGGCTGAATTAGTGTAGCTCTCACCTTGTGCAATTTACTTCTAGGAAAGACTGAATTTCCTGTACTTTCTCCCTGATATTCTTTGCTTCCCAGTGCCTTTAAAGAGTTATACATGTGTTAATATTTGTCCAGAGTTTACAATCACTATTTGTTAGTGGATTTGTCCAACATCAGCTACATTGAATTTAGAACCAGAATCTTAAGATGTGGAGTTTTAATTATCTTGGGTAAGTAAAACCAGACTTTGGGCCTATGAGATAGGCCTAGACTTTCCCCACAGCATCTGAAACTGCCCTATTGTGCTGTAGGCATCAATAAATGTTGGCTGATTTAAAGTTAATTAAATCTGAGCAATTGAGCAATATTGGAGAAAATGATACCACAAAGCAGATTGATAATCACTATAAATTGATGATCACTTGCTTCAAGTATGTCCAAAACATTGCCTGACAATTTCACTATACTTCTTGTTTTCAATTCATTCTCTCATTTTTATAATAATAATTTCAAACTTTCCCATGCTCCTTAGGTCTCTAGCAATCTTTCCCTATAAAGCCCACTGTCCCCATCACTATTACTATATAACTTTGCTTTTTGCTGTATAGCGATTAATAATATCATCAGAAATAAGTGCTTTCAGCTTTTTGGCAGCAACCCTACAACTTACATGTATCTGTCTGCAACACAAAAGGTGATTGGAACAGTGATTGGCACATAATAAGCATTAAGTAATAGCAGTCGTCTTTACCATACCATCATGGTAGCATTATTATATGTATCAATGTTTTCATTATTGTATATATTTTATATTGTTATCTAACATCTTTTTCTCAATTCCTTCACTTGTATCTCCAACCGTATTCTCTCTTGAGTGCTCAGACATTTTATATTATCATTTGACCTTCTCCTCTCTCTTATGTTCAATTGGATTGTTATAATCTGTATATGTATGTATGTAAGTATTATCATGTATCATCTCTTCAAACAAGTTTATTCTATTAAAAAAAAAAACCCTTTCTTCTCTATGCACATCTTTTCAACCTAGGTCCTTTTTTTCCCTCTTCAGTGTTTCCCAAGGAAAATTCCTCAGTAAATTATCTGTACTTGAAGTCTATATTTTCTCACAGCTTACTCCCTCCATAACCCGATCTACTAAACTGACACTATCAAAACTTCTCTCCCTATGCCGACACATGACCTAAATTAATCATAGTCAATAAATATTTTATAGTTGTAGTATACTGTAAGAGACATATCATGGCTCTAAGATTAATGATAGTCATGAGGACAACCCAAGTGTCTCACTGGATTGACACTACATGTCACTTACAGTATCGTGCAACCCGTCCCTGGGATTTCCAACCCTGGCATGGGGATTTCAGGAGACCAGGCCACTTCAGGACAGGTGCAACTTTCATAAACCTTAAAAAGTTTACCCTTACAAGAAATGCTTAAATTCCATTTATGAAAGAAACACCTGGTAATGGACCCAGACTGAATACAGGTGTAAGAAAAGGGGACGAATCCCATAAACTCTTAGAATGGTCTCCAGATGGAGACACTTCAGTCACTGGGTCATCTGACCCCCTGACTGCATTCGGCTCATGCCACTGACCTGCTGCCGCTATTCATCTTGTGAAAGTGCTGCCAAAACAAACTGAACATGAGATGGTGCTTACATCACATCTTTGGCACAAATGAGATTGAAGGGGGGAAGTTGCTCCTGGGAAATCTGGTCAACTAGGACCACTGGAGACCCCTGAACATTACAAGTCTTTACCTTACTTGATCTCACAAAAAGCTTGGCCAGGCACGGTTGCTGGCGCCTGTAATCCCAGCACTTTGGGAGGCCGAGGCAGACAGATCATGAGGTCAGGAGATTGAGATCATCCTGGCCAATGTGGTGAAACTGCGTCTCTACTAAAAATACAAAAATTAGCTGGGTGTGGTGGTGCATGCCTCTAATCCCAGCTACTCGGGAGACTGAGGCCTAAGAATCGCCTGAACCAAGGAGGCAGAGGTTGCAGTGAGCCAAGATCATGCCACTGCACTCCAGCCTGGCGACAGAGCGAGACTCCGTCTCAAAAAAAAAAAACAAAAACACTTGACACAGGGAAGCACTCTACCTCTGAAAACCTAGTTTTCTCTTGGGTTCTGAAACATGAAACTTCTCTCTTCTTTCGTATTTATCTACGAATGCTTCTTATTTATTTTTCTTTCACACTAATAACATGTTAAATTCCTCCAGGTCCTCTTACTTTAAACCTGCTGCCTAGGCAATTTCATCTACACTATAGGCATTACCTGTCATCTACTTCACAATGATCTCTCCCCAGTTCTTTTCACTATTTCACTATATATATATACACACACACACACACATATACACACACACGTGTATTCACTATATATGTATATATATACATGTGTATATATGTGTGTATATATACATGTGTATATGTGTGTGTATATATACATGTGTATATATGGTGTATATATGTGTATATACATATATGTATATGTATATATACACGTGTATATTATATATGTATATATACACGTGTATATATGTATACACGTGTATATATGTATGTATGCACGTGTATATATGTATATATACACGTGTGTGTATATATACACACATATATACATATGTATATATATACATATATAGTGAATACACACACTATTTCACTGTATAGTGAATACACACACAATTTCACTACACATACACACACTACTCACACATAAACACTATACTACACATACACACACAATTTCACTATATAGTGAATACACATACACATTATATATATGTAGTGAAATAGTGAAAGGACTATATATATATGTGTGTGTGTGTGTGTGTGTGTGTGTATTCAACTTATTTAATCAAACCTCAACTGTGGGTTCCTGATACGGTTACCTAATTGCACACTCAACATCTCTATAAAGAAGTTTAAAACAAAACTTCAACATGTCCAAAAGTGACCTCATAACATTTTCCCCCCAAAATATTTTTCAGTTACTTCTGACTTATTTTTCATCCTAATGACCAAAATCAATCTACCATTGTCTTCTGTTAAATGTGTATTCCAAACAAATTCTCAAGTTTATACAGTTCTCTTCATCACCACCATTACCCCCATGGTTGTTAATACTACTTCATCTCTCTAACTATTGCAATAGTCCACTTAACTGAATTTCTGCATTTCTCACCGCCAGCCATCATATATGCTATAGCCAGAGTGATATAAAAGTGCACCAATAATTAAAGAATTTAATATCCTTCCACTTCGCTGAAGATTATGATGAAAATCCCTAATGGTCTAGTCTCTGCATACATTTCTAGTCTTATCAAAGATCCTTCAACCATATTTCTCTCAGTTTCTCACATGTCCCATTTTCTTTTCCATTACTTTGTATATATTGTTCACTATCAAAACCTACTTTTTCTCTTTCTCAAACTATTATAAAATATTTCAATATACAATGGCTAGTTTACTGGAGCTATGCTTAGAATATCAATATCTGGTGGCTCAATTTTTATAAACAGAAGTGTTGTTGTGGCATCTATTAATATTTATTCTTTAATTTTCAATATAAGTGACACTTCCTCTGAGAAGCCATCATTTACACTTACCAGTTAGGATCTGTTCTTGAGTGGTCACAGCTCACTGCAGCCTTGACCTCCTGGACTCAAGGGATCCTTCCACCTTAGCCCCTGGAGTAGCTGGAGTTACAGATGTGTGCCACGATGCCTAGCTAATTTTTTAATTTTTTGTAGAAATGGGGTTTCACTATGTTGCCCAGGCTAGTCTCAAACTCCTGGGCCCAAACAATCCTCCCACTTTGGTCTCTCAAAGTGCTGTAATTGCAGGCGTGAGTAATGCATCTGGCAAGATCAATTCTTTTCTGATGCAGTCTTCTAAAACAATATTTATTTTCAGCTTATATAAGTGTGATTATTTGATTAATGTCTGTCTACCTCACTAGGCTAAAGTCTTCATTAGAACACGAACCCCAACTAGTTTTGCTCATAAATTTATCCCTAGAACCTAGTGTTCCTGTTGCAAATATGCTCAATAAATATTTTTCAAATGAATGGTTGAGTGAACTAAAGAATAGCACTTAATCAAGACATAGTCCTGAAAGCAGATTAAGATAGAAATAAGAAGGAGATTAAGTGAGATGAAAAAAACCCATGAATTGAATAACTTGTTTTCATCAACATTGATAACTGCCTCACTTAAATGAGAGTTAGAAATTATGCCTATAATGGGCATTTACCATTTAGGTTAAAATTTTTTATTTTTTCTATTTTTTTGAGTGGAAAAAGTCAATTTCATATGATTAAACCTTGATAAACTAAATAAGTTGAGTACACACACACACACACACGCCTTTTAAGTGATCCTACAAATATTCATTAGTTTACACACACACACAGACACACACATATTCCTATTAAGTGATCCTACAAATATTCATTAATTATTATACTCCAAGTATTATGCTGAGTACCTGGGATAAGGATAAATAAATGCTGGGCCCTGGTCTTATATCTCTGAGTCTTAGAGATAAAAGAAAATATGCACAAGAAGACCGTGATGACCACAGAGTTCAGAATGATAGATTCTTGCACTCCATGTGCTTAAAAGCAGAATGAAGGGACAACAATTATACTTATTAATTGTGATATTTAACCTAGCAGGAAATATCTTGACATTCTGGCATAACTAGATGTAGTAACTAAATGATTAGTTTGAAACTTCTAATTTAGCATTTAATACCAACGAAGAATAATAAATAAGAATCAAGAGCAGTGTGTCTGAGATTGTGGAAAATGTAAGTAAACAGTGGGAAAGTAATTGGTAGCTTAGTTGACTGATCAGGGCCTTATTTTCTTACTGATTCTTGGGTTTGGTTAAATAACAGATACTTGTTAAAGTCTTATAAAGGTAGAAAACGGTATGATTTGAAGTCAGCTATATCAGATCAACTGTTTATCCCTACAAACTGTACAATTTCAGACATGGAAAGGGCATTAGAGGTCACCCAGTATCTAATCTACCCAGTATCTAATCTAGTTAAATTGTACATGAAAAATAGCTCCATTAATAAACCCAATATTACATAATTTGATAAATTCTAAAACAGGCAAAAATGCAACTTTATCCTTTATTTCACATGTCATTTTAAAGACAATGCTTGATTTAGATGAACAAAAAAAGAATAAAATAATTTAACTCACATCTGTTGGAAGCATACTATGTGCCAGGCACTGTGCTGAGTGCTATGTATGTATTATCTCACTTACATCTCTTGATTATGTGAGATTTGTACTATTATCATGGTCATTTGGCACCTTAGGAAACCGAAGTTTATAAATATTAAGTTACTTGCCCAAGATCAATCAGCTAGCATGAGACTGAGGCTGAAAGATAAATTTGTCATATGTAAAGCTGTCACTCTCATTATCTAAACTCTGTATCCACAAACCTATTGTGGTTTTATCTACATAATGTTTCAACTCACAAACATGCCATCTTTTCTTGCATCATTTATATAGTGTTCACAATTTCATGGGGCACAAGCTGTGTGTGTGCAATGAATCAGCGTTTGGAAACTGTATCATGATCAATGTAGTGAAACGGTCTTCCCTTGTCAAAACGAAAATGATAGGTAATGCCAGAATAAAAGCAGCTGGGTTTGATTATAGTCTTTACCTCTGTGATACACACTTTAGAGCCCACAGGATTCCCATGAAATTATAGCTCTCCATGTTTCAGTGTTTCTGTCTAATATGTTCTTTATTTTTACATTGGCAGCATGTCTTATGTAAGACAGTTTTGTATTGATGTAGCTTTGCCTAAGTGGGTCCCAGAGCGTTTTTCCACCTCTCATTATATTGGTAACACATAAATCTCAGATCACAAACTAAAGTTGACAAGAAATGTCACTTTCTTTGTTTCCTCAATAAGAATGCAATTTTTTTCTTGGGCTTCTTGTTTAGTCTAATGGGAAAATATTTAATCTTAGTCATTCTGGGATAAATTCATTCATTTAATTAAGAGCTTTTCAGGGGTGGGGCCAAAATGTCAACTAGAAGCAGCCGTGTTTGGAGGCTCCCATCGAAAAAAACCATAATAAGCCTGTGAATCCTTCACCGGCAATCAAGGTATCCAGGTTCTCATAAAAATTAACAAGAAGGCTGGTGTGACCTATTGAGAGAAGGAACAGTGTGGTGCGGCAGCCCACCTGCGAGACACAAAGGGAGGGAGAACCCTATTCCCCGAGCCAAGAAAGGCAGCGAGTGAGCACGCTACCCAGCTGGGGAAACTGTGCTTTTTCCATGGAACTGTGCAACCCACGGATTGGAAGATCCCATTGAACCCATGCCACTGGGGCCTAGCATCCCAACCCCAGAATGTGCAGATTCTTACAGCCTCTCAGATGGAATCTGATTAAGCCTACAGAACTCTGGGCGGGGAGGGGTGACCAGCACTGGCTGCAGCTGCCTGCTAGCTAAGCTATTGAGCTCCTTGGGGGCAGGGCACCAGCCAGCACTGGGACTCCCAACTGCATAACATGTTAAGCTCCCTGGACTGGGGAAGGGTAGCACCCATTTCTATAGCTCCAGGCTGCGCTTTTCCCCTGCTGGAGCCAGGAGGCTGGACGGCTCTGTCCCAAGACTTGTCCCCACAGCCCAACACACTGGCTGTGGCAGTCTGCGGCCAGAGTGCCTCTTTAGGCCTAACCCTGACTCATCCTGCCTCAGTGAGTGGTGCTTCCCTGCAGGATCTCCAGTAACTCCAGCCAGAGGCTCAGGGACAAAATTCAGATCTCCCTGGGCCTGAGCCCCTACAAGGAGGGGTGGCCTCAGTCTCTGTGGACCAGCAGATTTAGCCTCTCCTCCTGGTAGTTCTGAGGACTTCCAGGCAGCCCAGATGAGTGGTTTTCCCCCCAGCAAAATACACCCTCTCCACTAAGGGACAAAGTGCTTCATTAAATGCGTCCTGCTCCCTGTGCCACCCAACTGGGTAAGATCCCCCAACAGGGATTGTCAGATACCCTCTACAGGAACAATTCTACTGGCATCAGGTTGGTGCCCCTTGAGGTCAGAGGTCCCAGAAGAAGGAGGAGGCACCCATCTTTACTGCTCTCCAGACTCCTTGAGTAACATTTCCAGGCACGGGAGCAAATCAGATGAATAGGGCCTAAAGTGAATCCCCAGCAAACTGCAGCAGCCCTACAGAAGAGGGACCTGACTATTGAAAGAAAAAGAAGCAGAAAGTGACAACAACAGCATCAAAAACAGCAACAACAAAAAAGGCCCCCCACAAAAACCTCATCCAAGGGTCAGCAGTGTTGAAGACTGAAACTAGACAGACTCATGAAGATGAGAAAGAATCAATGAAAACATGCGGAAAACCCAAAAGGCCAGAGTGCCTCTTCTCCTTCAAATGACTGCAGCATCTCTCCATCAAGAGCACAGAACTGAATGGTGTATCAGGTGGACAAATTGACTGAAGTAGGCTTCAGAAGATGGGTAATAAAAAACTACAATGAGCTAGAGGAGCATGTTCTAACCCAGAGCAAATAAGCTAAGAGCCTTGATAAAAGGACAGAGGCATTGCTAACTAGAATAACCAGTTTAGAGAGGAACATAAATGATGGAGCTGAAAAACCCAGCACAAGTACTTCATGAAGTATACACAAGTATCAACAGCGGAATTGACCAAGTGGAAAAAAGGATATCAGAGTTTGCAGACCACTTTACTGAAATAAGACATGCAGACAAGAATAGAGAAAAAAGAATGAAAAGGAATAATGAAAGCCTCTGAGAAATATGGGACTTCATAAAAAGACTGAACCTACAGTTGATTGGAGTACCATAAGGAGACAGGGAGACTGCAACAAGCTGGAAAGCATATTTCAGGATATTATACAGGAGACCTTCACAAAGCTAGGAAGACAGGCCAATATGCAAATTCAGGAAATACAGAGAGCACCCATTAAGATGCTCCATGAGAAGATCAACCCCAAGACACATAATCATCAGATTCTCCAAAGTCGAAATGAAGGAAAAACTGTAAAGTGGAGCCAGAGAGAAAGGCCAGGTCACCTACAAAGGGAAGCCTATCAGACTAACAGCAGATCTCTCAGCAGAAACTCTATTAGGCCAGAAGACGTTGGGGGCCAATATTCAACATTCTTAAAGAATTTTCAACCCAGAATTTTATATCCAGCCAAACTAAGCTTCATAAGTGAAAGAGAAATAAATTCCTTTACAGGCAAACAAATGCTGAGGGATTTTGTTACCACCAGACCTGCCCTGCAAGAGCTCCTGAAATGAGCACTAAATATGGAAAGGAAAAACCTGTACCAGTCACTGCAAAAACATACAAAAATATAAAGACCAATGACACTATGAAGAAATTGCATCAACTGATGTGGAAAATAACCAAATAGCATCATGATGACAGGATCAAATTCACACATAACAATACTAACTTTAAATGTAAATGGGCTAAATGCCCCAATTAAAAGAACCAGACTGGCAAATTGGATAAGGAGTCAAGACCCATTGGTGTGCTATATTCAGGAGACCCATCTCAGGTGCAAAGACACAAGCAGGCTCAAAATAAAGGGATGGAGGAAAACTTACAAGCAAATGGAAAACAAAAAAAGCTGAGGTTGTAATCCTGGTCTCTGACAAAACAGATTTTAAGCCAACAAAGATCAAAAAGGACAAATAAGGCATTACATAATGGTGAAGAGAACAATTCAACAAGAAGAGCTAACTATTCTAAATATATATGCACCCAATACAGGAGCACCCATCTTCATAAAAGAAGTTCTTAGAGACTTACAAAGAGAATTAGATTCCCACACAATAATAGTGGGAGACTTTAATGCCCCTCCAGTATTAGACAGATCAATGAGACAGAAAATTATCAAGGATATTCAGGACTCGAACTCAGCTCTGGATCAAGTAGACCTAGTAGATGTCTACAGAACTCTTCACCCCAAATCAACAGAATATACATTCTTCTCAGTGCCACATGGCAGTTATTCTAAAATCGACCACATAATTGGAAGTAAAATACTACTCAGCAAATGCAAAACAACTGAAATCATAACAAACATTCTCTCAGACCACACTGCAATCAAATTAGAACTCAGGATTAAGAAACTCACTCAAAACCACACAATTTCATGGAAATTGAACCACCTGCTCCTAAATGACTCCTGGGTAAATAATGAAATTAAGGCAGAAATCAAGAAGTTCTTTGAAACCAATGAGAACAAAGAGACAATGTACCAGAATCTCTGAGACACAGCTAAAGCAGTGTTAAGAGGGAAATTTATAGCACTAAATTCCCAGATCAGGAAGCTAGAAAGATCTCAAATCAGTACCCTAAGCTCACAGTTAAAAGAGCTAGAGAGGCAAGAGCAAACAAATCCAAAAGCTAGCAGAAGACAAAAAATGACTAAGATCAGAGAAGAATTGAAAGACATACAGACATGAAAAATCCTCCAAAAAAAAATCAATGAATCCAGGAGCTGTTTTTTTGAAAAAAAAAATATATAGATAGATAGATAGATAGATAGATAGATAGATAGATAGCTAAACTAATACGAGAGAAAAGAATCAAATAGACACAATAAAAAATGAGGACGGGGATATCACCACTGACCCCACAGCAATATGAACTCCCATCAGAGAATACTATAAACACCTCTGTGCAAATAAACTAGAAAATCTAGAAGAAATGAATAAATTCCTGGGTGCCTACACCCTACCAAGACTAAAGGAAGAAGTTGAATCCCTGAGTAGACCAATAACAAGCTCTGAAATTGAGGCATAATTAATAGCCTACCAACCAAAAGAAGCCCAGGACCAGACAGATTCACAGCTGAATTCTACCAGAAATACAAAGAGTAGATGGTGCCATTCCTTCCAAAACTATTTTAAAGAATTGAAAAATTCTTTAAATTTTTCCCTAAATGACTCCCTAAGTCATTTTATGAAGCCAGCATTATCCTGATACCAAAACCGGAGGAGACACAACAAGAAAAGAAAACTTCAGGTCAATATCCCTGATGAACATAGATGCAAACTCCTCAGAAATACTGGCAAACCAAATCCAGCAGCACATCAAAAAACTTATCCACCATGATCAGCTTCATCCCTAGGATAAAAGGCTGGTTCAACATATGCAAATCAATAAGTGTAATCTATCACATAAACAGAACCAAAGACAAAAAGCACATGATTATCTCAATAGATGCAGAAAAGGCCTTCAATAAAATTCAACATCGTTCGTGTTAAAAACTCCAAATAAACTGGGTATTGATGGAACATATGTCAAAATAATAAGAGCTACTTATGACAAGCCCACAGCCAATATCATATTGAATGGGCAAAAACTGGAAGCATTCCCTTTGAAAACTGGTACAAGACAAGGATGCCCTCTCTCACTCTGATTCAACATAGTATTGGAAGTTCTGGACAGGGCAATCAGGAAAGAGAAAGAAATAAAGGTATTCAAATAGGAAGAGAGGAAGTCAAGTTGTTTCTGTTTGAAGATGTCACGGTTTTATATTTAGAAACCTCCATCACCTCAGCCCAAACACTTCTTGGACTGATAAGTTGCTTCAACAAAGTCTCAGGATACAACATCAGTGTGCAAAAATCACAAGCATTTCTTTACACCAACAATAGGCAAGCAGAGAGCAAAATCATGAATGAACTCCCATTCACAATTGCAACAAAGGGAATAAAATATCTAGAAATACAGCTAACAAGGAATGTGAAGGATCTCTTTAAGGAGAACTACAAACCACTGCTCAAGGAAGTAAGAGAGGACACAAACAAATGGGAAAAGCATTCCATCCTCATGGATAGGAAGGATAAATATCATGAAAATTCCCATACTGCCCAAAGTAATTTATAGATTCAATGCTATTCCTGTCAAACTACCATTGACATTCTTCAAAGAATTAGAAAAAAATTTTAAATTTCATATGGAATCAAAGAAGACACTATGTATCCAAGACAATCCTAAGCAAAAAGAATAAAGCTGGAGGTATCATGCTACCCAAATTCAAACTACACTACAAGGCTACAGTAACCAAAACAGCATGGTACTGGTACCAAAATAGACACATAGACCAAGGGAGCAGAACAGAGACCTCAGAAATAACACCACACCTCTATACCCATCTGATCTTTAACAAACCTGACAAAAAGAAGCAATGCAGAAAGAATGTCCTATTCAGTAAATACTTTTGGGAATAGTGGCTAGCCATATGCAGAAAACTGAAACTGAACCCCTTCTTTACACCTTACACAGAAATTAACTCAAGATGGATTGAAGACTTAAATGTAAAACACAGAACCATAAAAACCCTAGAAGAAAAGCTAGGCAATACCATTCAGGACATAGGCATGGGCAAATACTTCATGACTAAAACACCAAAAGCAATGGCAACAAAAGCCAAAATTGACAAATGAGATCTAAGTAAAATAAAGAGCTTCTGCACAGCAAAAGGAACTATCATCAATGTGAACAGGCAACCTACAGAATGGGAAAAAATTTTTATAATCTACCCTCTGACAAAGGTCTAATATCCAGAATTTACAAGGAATTTAAATAAATTTACATGAAAAAAACAATCCCATCAAAAAGTGGGCAAAGGATATGAACAGACACTTGTCAAAAGAAGACATTTATGTGGCCAACAAACATATAAAAAAAAGCTCAACATCACTGATCATCAGATAAATGCAATCATAACCACAATGAGATACCATCTCATGTCAGTCAGAATGGCGATTATTAAAAAGTCAGGAAACAACTGATGCTGGAGAGGATGTGGATAGATAGGAATGCTTTTACACTGTTGGTGGGAATGTAAATTAGTTCAACCATTGTGGAAGATAGTGTGACGATTCCTCAAGGATCTAGAACCAGAAATACTGTTTTACCCAGCAATCCCATTAGTGGGTATACACCCAAAGGATTGTAAATCATTCTACTATGAAGATAGATGCACATGTATGTTTATTGCAGCACTATTTACAATAGCAAAGACATGGAACCAACCCAAATGCCCATCAATGATAGACTGGATAGAGAAAATATGGCACATATACACCACGGAATACTATGCAGCCATAAAAAAAGAATGATATCATGTCCTTTGCAGGGACATGGATGAAGCTGGAAACCATCATTCTCAGCAAACTAACACAGGAACAGGAAACCAAACACTGCATGTTCTCACTTATAAGTGGGAACACTGAGAACACATGGACACAGAGAAGGGAACAACACACACCATGGCCTATTGGGGGGTGGTGAGTGAGGGAGGGAACTTAGAGGATGAGTCAATAGGTACAGCAAATCACAGTGGCACACATAGACCTGTGTAACAAACCTGCACGTTCTGCACATGTATCCAGTTTTTTTTTTTAGAAGAAATAAAAAAAAGAAAGCTTTTTCTCTCTAGGGACCATATAAGATCTACTTTGTAGAGGGCTTCGAGTATCATGAAGGCATTAAGATAAATTAAGTATAGCGGAATCTAATAATTCTTAGTTAACTTCCACACTGATATTCTCTTAAATTTACATTATCCCATCTTATCTGTGGGCCTCATTGTCTCTGTGCTTTAATCTGCTGAGAAATTCATGTTCTCAAATGGTCTTTGGGCGCATAAATGACAGCCGCATATACTTTATCCTGTTAATGAGTGCTTACTAGTTCCAAACCTGTCTGTTGCTATTTCCATATTACTGTTGAGGTGGGGTACAGAAATAATTGTTTTCAAGTCTTCCTCTGGCCTACAAAAACTCTCTTCAGGTTTGAAAGGACATTTGTATAAACATATAGGACAAACATTTTTATTCTATGACCCTGTAATTATATTCCCCACAAAAGATATAAGTCTCAGACCCTGCCTGGTATCTGTGAGTGTCATCTGATTTGGAAATAGTGTCTTCATAGATGTAATCCAATTAAGATGAGGTCATTAGAATTGGCCTTAATCCAATATAACTAGTGTCTTTATAAGAAGATGATGTAAAGACAGAGACACACAGGTGGATGACAGCCATGTGATGACAGAGGTAGCTGTTGGAGTGATGAATCTACAAAGACAAGAAGCACCGAGGATGCTGGCCGCTGCCAGATGCTAAGAAGAGGCAAGAAAGCATTCTACTCAGAATCTCAGAGATAGCATGGCCATGCTAACACTTTGATTTTGGACTTTTAGCCTCCAAAACTGTGATATAATAACCTTCTATTGCTTTAAGTCACCGAGTTTGTGGTATTTTGACAGAACAGTTCTAGGAAGCCATTATAGGTCTCTACACCATGCTGGCAGAAGGATGCTTATCAAGACTTTAAAAGTCTCAGAAATTCACCCAGGTTGAAGTTCAGTTGCTCCTTGAGTTCTTGGATCCTAAAATTCAATTAGAAGTCTCATTGCCCACATCACACTGGGAATCAGTTTAGGGAAGACATGAATAAAAAGACACAGTGCAAGTACTTTTCTTTGGGCATACACAAAGATCTAATTTCTTCCCTTTGGCTCTGTCTAAATTCTAATTCTTCATTTAGCACGAGTTCATGCAAAAAACACTATCAGACTGATCACTTATTCTTCCATGTCTATCGCTTTTGTATAGACTTTATGCTTTGAATCTGTCAGGATTCTGGTCTTTTTATTCAAAGCTAAGTTTCTTACAAATTAAGAGCTTTTTTCCTTCAAAAATTTGTCTCTGTCATGTATTTCAAACTCATATTTTGAAATTCAAAGGCTAAGAATTTATCTCGTCAATTTGTTGACTGACGATTGTCAATTGTCGATTGATGATTAAGTCTTCTACTTAATCATCACTCTTCCAAATGGTATGGACTAAATAGATGACAATAAAGAGTAACAGATAATTAGCAGAAAAAGAATCACTTTAATTTTCAAAACATTATGTCATTTTTGGAAATTATTTTGATGTTGGATCAGCCTATTTGGAGGTTTGGTTTATTATGGTCTACACAGGTTCACCAGCCTTTTTCCTTTGTGTCATTATAAGAGAGAATATCTTCAGCCAGTATTCCCTGAGTGGTGAAACTGTAATTGGCTCAGTAGGAAAATGTTAAAGGAAATGAAAACATTTCACTTTCTTCCTTAAAGCTGAGAAAGCCTAAGGGAAAGCCTGGATTTAGGAGTAAAGTTTTAGGCTATGCCTTATGTTTCACAAGGGGTTTTTGTGTATGTTAGTTCTATTTAGGGCTATAAGTTGGTATTAGTCCTGGGATCAAGGATTACCTGATTCTTGATATTGAGCCACTTCTACAAGGGCTCTGAAGAGAAGATATGTGAGAGAGACTTTGCACAAATGAACATTAATACTCAAAGTTCTGACCTCAAACCACAAGTGAAATTCTAATGAGCTGGGCTGTACCATGCAGAGGAATCTATGTGTATGACATACATCCCTTGGCTTTTGTGCCAGACTTTCTATTGGCATCTTGGCACAATTCCAGCTGTCTTCTATACCATTTTTTGTATTGTAGAGTATGGAGCTGAGATACTATAGTTAGACTTCTTGCTAGTTTAGTTTCTAGCAAGGAGAAATATAATTGGCTCAGGGAACCTATGCTGAACTTTTATTTTTTGTGTTACTAAAAGTGCTTCAACCTATCTTCCTTACTGAGATTGTTTGGATGTGTGTCTGCTCCAAAGCTCATGTTGAAAGGTAATCTCCAATGTTGGAGTGGGGCCTAGTGGGGTGTGTTTGGGTCATGGGGGCAGATCCCTCATGAATGAATGGCTTAGTACCCTTCTCACAGTAACAGGTGAGCTCTTACTCGAGTCCACTTGAGATCTGGTTGTTTAAAAGAGTGTGGCACCCCACTTTCTTTCTCACTCCCCCTTTTGCCATGTGATGCTCCTGCTCCTCCTTTACCTTGCACCATAATTGTAAACTTCCTGAGACCCTCACCAAAAGCAGATGCCAGTGCCACACTTTTTGTACAGTCTATAGAATTGTGAGCCAAAAAAACATGTTTTCTTTATAAATTACCCAGCCTCAAGTACTCCTTTTTAGTAATGTAAATAGACTAAAATACTTTCATATACCTGGAGAAAGAATATCTTTAAAAATATAAAACTATACATGATAGGACTATGATCTTAGAATAAAGAGTATCTAATTGGCCTTAATTTTTTCATTAATTTACTGTTAAGTTGGGTATGACATGACATATACCCTCTCTGGGCTTCCATGTCTGTAAAATGAAAGGGTCAAGAAAATTGACTTAGAACTTACCCAGAATGTTCTTTAAACTGTCCCAAAGGTTCTGATACAGGAAGAAAAAGATCTTTACATTTCAACAGGCAGACTTCACATTTTAGAGTGCTCAGGTCATGGCTAGGAACTGTAACATTCATGGGCACTACACCTTGTGAAACCTTGGAAGTGCCACCTGCTAAGATTGAGGCCTGAAATAACTTCTTGGCCCTGGTCAAAGAGGAACACTGTCATTGCAGAAAGAGTTGGCAAGAAAAGGAGGAACGATGAGTTCCCCATCACCTCTTCTCCATGTCTCATTTAATTATCTCTACAGTGCTATAAAGTGATCAGTTATTTCCGGTTCATAGATAATGAAATAAAGTGAAAGTGCCTTGCCCAAGTTCTGGTCTTTGCATGTGGGAAAACCGCACTTAAATCTAAGTTTTCTACTTCCAACTTTCTGTCTTCCATACTCCAGCTGACTTGCCTATGTACTGGCATCTCTACACGCAAAAGTAAAATAAAATAAAATAAAATAAAGTAAAATAAAATAAAGTAAAATAAAATAAAATAAAATAAAATAAAAAGGCATACTCTATTCATCACCTTCTGAGTCTGTTCTTAAGTGTTACTGATTTGATTATACACTTAAACTGCTTCACCTTTCAGGCACTGTGTTCCTTTATTCACAAAATGGGGATAATTACCGCTGGCTCTTAGACACTTCACAAGAATACTTTTGGGTTTAATTAGAAAATGAGCAATAGTTTTAGAAAGCTCAGTGCATCCTTGGTTATTAATGGACAGAACTATTTTTAGTCAGTTAATAAGACAGTCTTTTTCTATTCCCATTCAAATCTTCAATCATATCTTTAATTGTATACCTCACACCACTCCCTTTTACGTAACCCTATACAGACTCTCCTCTACTTTTCATCTACACTTCGTTTTTGGAAAAGAAGTTGACTCAATCATTTCTACCTTTATTTGAATTTCTCAGTGAGCTATATCCTCTAGGATAGTATCTATTTCATGTAAAATCAAGACTGTTGAGTTTACCCACTAAAGGGAATTTAGATGTTATTGAGGAAACATTTGAAGAAGTAAAATGGTTTTCTTTATGTCCTTGAAATTAAGGCATGTTTCTACAAATGGCTATCTATAGTAATTTTTCCCATTTACCATATCAAAAAGGAAAAATAATATTCAATAACAAACACAAACACTTTATATCCATTCTCTCCCCCAATTATAATTTCCAAATCATAAGGAGATAGTAGGATATAGGATATTTTATAAGCAATTCTGTTTGGTATATGTTTAGTTTTATTCTCCTAGAGGTCCACAGCTAGGATTGCAATTAGTCACTTCACAAAGCTCCAAGAACACCTGACAGTGTTGTTTATTTTGCACATTTTACCTCACCTCTTGCTGAAACAGACTCTATCTCCACTTGCTACAGGGGGTGTGTAGCTTAAGTTGAGCCATTTATAAGATCACAGTTCTGACTTCTGTGATTGGTCCAGGCAGTAAACATATGATCAAAGTAGACCAATCAGAATAATTTGCATTTTTTGTTAAATACTGAAGCTAGGAAAGAGAAGTTCTATTTTTTTTCCTGTTAACTAGTTATAAGACTATGACAAGAATTGCCAGCAGGCTTATTCGCTGTAATGTGGATAATCCTGAAGATAAGAAATAACTGCTAGTGGAGGGGAGAGAGAAAGAGAAAGATTTTAAAACCATAGGTTTTTGAGTTATTTAGTACCTATTGATTTTCCTTTGTCAGGCCACTGCAATGTCATTTCAATAAACACCTTAACCCCTTTTATTCTTAGGTAATTCAAGTTGATTATCTGTCATTTGGAGCTAAGAATGATGAGCTTAACATTATGGCATAACATTATAGAATAAAGTAATGCTGTAAATTGCAATCAGGGGGTAGATAAGGAAGTGAGAAAATGCAGCTTGCAATGGAAAAAACCCAGGAGCCACTAGAAATGAGTTAAATACATAATAAAAATGTGTTTATTGTAATTTTTTATATATATTTTAGATGCTTGAAAATACAAGCTGTTAAGGGGATTGTGTTAAAGAAAGAATGAACATCTCTTGAAAAATTAGTTATCTCCAGGAACTTATCATCTAGTTTTGTCTTTAACCTTATGGAATTATTTTTGTTTCCATTTTACAGTAAAAAAAAAAAATCTGAAAATTTAGGAGAATAAGTGTTTTGGTCAAGATCACACCGCTGGGAAGTGCTATGGTACAAGAAAACCTAGATTGCAGGTATATATGACAAGCCGAAGTTTTGTCCAATAAATATACCACAAAATTTACATGGAATTAATGAAGGAGGTGATCAATAATGTTCCTGAGTGAAATTATTCTCAGTGTAATCTTGGCCAGAATCATGACATCAGAAAATGTTAAATACAGAAAGAATATGTAAAATGATTTAGCCTGGTTCTCTCCTTTCATAGTTCAAGAAACACAACTCAGAAGGGCTAGTGAACTTACCTCAGGTCCAATACCCCTTTATTTGGAGTGTGTTCATGCATGAGTGGTCTCTCAAATTCTCTGCCAATCTGGAGAGTCTCTGTGTTCTTCTGATTTCACAGCATGAGAATGCCTTATGTCTTCCACATAGAGCAATGCCAGTGAAACTGCAAGAAGGGATACTTTTAAAATGAACCTTTTAAATTTAATTCTTTAGTATTTGTATGAGCAGAATGCAAATGGTGTCAACTCTATTATTTTCTGCACAAAATGTTCCTTGCTCAGGGCCAAATCAGGGGTAGGAAATATGGAACTGTGCCCCAAGCACCTCAAGGGCAGCTGGCCACTTCTATTTCTAGATCCCAAACACCTGCATTTCTCAAAAGCTGGTGCTGTTTCAGAAGAGACGTTTGGAAGTCATCAACATACTGCTTACTTACTGTGGATTTGAAAACCTTGAAATGTCAAGTTTTAGCTTGAGGCCAAGCTGAATTTTTGAGCCCTCATACTGATGGGTGATGAGATCATTTACATTGGATTATACCTCTGGTGTGTGAGCAATTCAGTAAATGATGAATACAGTGGGAATTACTGCAGTACATCTGCTGGACACTTTTATAGAATAGCTCTCTCATCTCACCTCCTAGGTGTGCAATCTTCAATCAGGAAACGTATTTGAAGCAGGAAATCAGTTCTCTAGGGCTATATCATCTGCTTTCGTCTCTTTTTTTTGTGGAGTGTAATTTTGTCCACTGCTATGTCGCAAAGTAGACAACCATAGGACAATGATTCATGGCTAGAAAATAATGCAATTTTAAAAATGCCACCAAAGTTACAGCAGATCATTTTCTGACTGTTGTTGGGAAATAATGAATAACATTTTGTGAAAGAAAAATAAAAGAGACAGAGGAATTAATTTTTTAAAAAATAAAGAAGTTAGGCACTGACTGAGCTAAATGCTGGGAATTCAGTCAGTTGTAACACGAATGTGTCCCTGGTTCTTACCAAGCTTTCAACCCAGCTGTAATGTTAGTTGATTTTAATAGGCAATTTTAATGTGATAATTGCTGCTGAAAGTTAAATAAACAGTATTAAAGCAATAAATAGTAAAATAATTTAACTTAGTTAAGATGACCTTGCAATTTGTCCCTGAATAAGCTATATTTAAGCTGATTCCTGCATTAGGTGAATATTGAGGATGGTAATATTGAATGTTTTCAAAGAGAAATGCAAATGTGTGGGATTAGTATTGAAATAAAACCAAGACAGTAGGGGCAATCCAAACAGGACAGTAAAAGTGGAAGCATTTATTCAGGCAACCATTATATTGAGTCCTGTGCTTCTACCTTTGCTGGCTGTGTAATGTGGGTTATTTTGGGTGGCTTCTATTTGCTTTTTATGAACACATTAATTTCTCCATGCATTCAGTAATCCTGTATTGATTGTTTCATATGTTTCTAGCGCTGTGATAGTCACTAGTCCTTTGAGCTGGAAGCTAGATTTTATCTAAATTTTTGTTACTTTAAAGTCAAACATTTTATGAACTTGGAGTTATATTTTCATGCTAATAAAAGATATGTGATTACAATGGCTTAAACATTTTCTGGTAGATGTCTAGATGTAGCCTGTTGTGGAGAAATAAAAGCTCTCTGTATTCCTCAGTACTCTTATATAATGTCCTAGCTTCCTGACTCATAGACATTTTACAGTATATACAATGTTTTCCCTTTCCCTAGGAATATTTTACTCTTCACTTATGAGAATTAGATCTGTGGCCATTTATCTGCTTGATTGCTCTGATCTGAGAGTGCCAAATGGTTATAGTTTGGACTAGGTTTTTACATTAAGACTCAAGGTGTCAGGGAGACTAGAACAATATCTCCTTAAAGTATTTCCATTTTAGGAAAGATGAAGCCCAGACCTCGAAGACATCTTTGTGTCTTAGAAGTTTAAAAGATACCCAGTGATTTGTCTAGCACCCAGAAGGATGTATTTACATTTCAAAAGGTTAGAGTGAGAAGTCAGGATCTTTTCTATCTAATCTCAAAGGGATCATTATTCCATCCACAAAATTTTTTTCTCTTCTTTCAGGAGGAATGTGATGGCTGCCTTTTTTCTGAACATAAATGGAGAAAAAAATGTCTGTTTCTCACCTATGGAATATCCAGCTGCTAGCATAGAACATTTGACCTGGCTTTTGCCAAGTCACTCCCAGAATAAGGTCTAGGGTCAAGGGGAGTGAGGTGATAAACTTATTTACTATGAGGTAATTTATAAGAACTCAGTCTGTGATCCACAGTACCTTGTGTTCACAGTTAAAATAAAATTAATAAACATGAATATTAAAAATTAAACATCAGTTCAGAACTGGTATGATAATATCAAGAAACGATTAAGAAGCCAAGTTTCATCTATTGTTGCTTAGTCTTCAGGGTTCCTATCTTCAGGGTCGTGATATGGTTTCTGGAGCATCAATGTTTACAATCATGTTCTATGCAAGAAATAGGGAGAATGCAAAGAGGCAAAATAAGATGTTTGGATGTCCCTCCGTAAACCACTTAGATTTAACTGATTATCCCTATCTGCAGGAGAGGCTGAAGAATATAGTTTTACTTTCATTTGAACACAGTATAGAGGGGCTATGAACAAAGATTCAAATGGAGAGTATCAGTCTCTCTTTCAACCATACCGTTTAAAAAAGATGAAAACTTATGGAAAATTGAAATTATTTTAGAGCAAACCCCTTGTTTTCCTGTGTATTCTAAGGCCACATATAGCTAGAGTGATTTGATCAAGAACATAGGTAATTTGATGAATGACTGCCTTCCCAACTGACTCCCTCTGCATAGGTCTTCCTGCTTTATTTGCAAAACTCTATGTGTTCAAATATTTGATAGTTTAGCAGAAAAGGTAATGTTTCCATAAGATTATGTACAGACTCTGTGCATGTAATTCAATATGCTAATACACGTAATAAAAAATTTAAAAATAGGGCATTTGTCAGGAGTTTCTGGTTTACTGTTTTTGGAAAAGTTATGATTCCTAACATAGTTTCTCCTGAATCACTTGTTATTCCAATGTTGGAAAATGTATTAAGAACGACATTTTAACATCATTGAAGCATGTGTTTGGCCAGGTTGTAGATGAAGTTAGAAAGTTTCATTTAATATGTTTTTTGAACTATATTCATTAATTATTTCATTCAGTAAGTATCTGAGACCTATGTTTTGTCAGGCATTGAACTAGACACCTGCTTTATACTAAGTAACCTGTAACTATTGTCAGTGAAGGTAAAGGCAGATGCTCATAAATCCTTTATTCTTCAGAAAGGTAGAATTATTTATTGACTAAATATTCAAGCATCTCTGGAATGAATTGTTTTACTAAGTTATGAATAAAATCTCAAATAGAGAGTTTGTATTTTCAATATTCATTAATAAGCCATGTACCCTTAATATTGTACTGATGTTTCTGTTCCGGCATTTGAATTAGGATCTTGGCAAGCTATTCTTGTAATAACCATGCTATTAAAAAGCGAAGTAGCACTTTTGTATTGTATTTTTGTAAATATCTATTTAAAAGTGAAAACACAACAATCTGGCTTGATCATGGGTAACATACATTATTATTAACAGTCCATTCTTCATTCTTTCTACTAATATTGATCTAAATACAAACTCAACATTAAGTGGTATATAAAGAAAAACATAAGATGAACTTAGTTTGAAATCCCAGCTCTACCACTTGTAAGCTATGCAATAACTGAATGTTATTTGATCTGCCTGATCTTTTGTTCTTCAACAAAGACAGAAAAGGAGGTTGGGGGAAGAGGGAGGAGATATCCTTCCCTTGGGATTATAATTAAGAATTAATTTGTTTAGTACATGGCTTTTTGAGAATTAAAAATAATAGATGGACAATGTTTAGCAGGATGTTTAGTATATAGTAGGTCCTCAGTAAACAGTAGAAATTATTCCAACACATTCTAATTCTCTCCCTCGCGCTCTTTTGTTTCCTCCCCACCGCTTTTTCCTCCTTTAAATATACTACAAATGTAGTTTCATAATGTCTTTTCTCTCTTAATGGAATTATCGATGTGTAATATCAAAATCTAAACCAAAAGGGCATTTGTGAGGACAGAGGAAATTAGTAAATTAGAGCAGAACTTGTAGAAACAATGCCAAAATATTGAATGAAACCCCTCTTCCATCTTTGTGCACATATAGTCAACCTCCTATAACTGTTCTCATTTCTTTTACTTCCTTACTCTACTACTTTTATCCCCCCTCTCTCTCTCCATTTTTCTTAGTTGCAACAACTCTTTCTTTCAAAGGCATGCCATTCATCACTGCTTTATTAGTGGTGAAGATATGAACAAAGGAAGCAGTAAAAGTTGAGTAGTTCGTATGTATTACATTGAAAACCTTTGTGCTATCTGCCACGGCTGAACAATCCTAACTGATCTTAATCTGGAAATCAAACTGCCTCCCATTCCTACTGATTGTGCTGAAGTATTGTCTTTGGCATGGTTTGTGGTCTCACTGAAATCTTTAGAACCAAATAAAAGTGACTTCAGGCAGGCAATTATCTGTTATCCCTGTCTTTTTCAGACTCTATCTTGTGTCTTTGGGTAAGTCTACACAGTCTGACGATTAGTCAGATATTTTTGTGGAAAAAGTAATATGATTTTGTGCTCTCTTGGAAGGATTACTGGAAAACAATTTAGGGATTTGGCTGTACCCTTGCTCGCCCTTCCCAATTTTGCCTTGTAACCTCAGCAAAAGCATTTAACTTTTTGTCTTCACCTTTCCTTGTCAGTGGAGAGTGAATAACAAAGGCTGGCAGGGTTGTTACAAGAAATATATCACCTTATTTTTGATAAGTGCTTTAAAAGCTTAATAAAAGCAAGGCAAGAGAGTTAAGTTGACTGACTTTTACAGTTGCTCTGGGAAAAAAAGTTCATTATCCCCAGTGATACATTTGAGCTACTAGAATACATATTTCAAGTGATTCTCTTTTTGAAAAACCTGAACATTTAAAATTAGGCTACTTTCATACATATTCTTTTAGTGCAAGAACATTTTTAAATGATTAATAATTCTACTTCCCCTTTCTGCAAAAATTTGAATTTGATAATGAAGGTAAGTCTCCTAATTTGCTGTTTTGTGGGCAGAGAAATTCTTAGACTGAAACAAACCCCAGAGCACCAAATTCTGCTTTCCTTGGCACAGGTGCTCATGTTCAGGTAGGAATATCTTGGAAAAATTGGATAAAATAGTTTTTTCTTCGCCTATATGGGCAAAGGGAAGGTAAAAGTCAAATACAAAAATAGACTATGTTGCCAAAGAATATATTTATTTAAAAAAAGGTAGTGATGTTTGCCTCACTATGTTAGGTGACTTTCTTATATTTGAGTTCTGTTAGTAACGTCTCAAATCTTTATCTTGTATATTACTCAACAGCCCTTTTCACTTGAACAGCCTATGCTAATTTGAAGGCCTTTACACTGGTGGTAGGGCAGATGTTGAGATTTGAATTCAGCTTTTATACATATGATGAGTTTCCACTTCAAGTCTCTTCTTTCTACTTATTTATACGTCTTGGCTCTTTAAACCGAACTAAATTCATTGAAATGTTTTGCAAGATAATAATGATATAATGTGACAAGCCAAGGTCTTGCATTTGATGCCTCAGGCTTACTTAGTTAATGGGAAAGGGCCCCCTAAATCCATTCACTTTGTCGCATTTATTGGAAACTTTTGAAAATCTTTCTCAGCAACCCTGGAAAGAAGAAATTCACTTCCCTTTTTAAAGGCTCTTGGGGCTAACAGTCTATTTAAGGAGGTGCCTCTAAGTAACAGCTCTCCCATCATAATATTATAATCATGCACCAGATGGTGATTTTTCTAATAATGTATTACTCAAAATGTTGTACTAGCCAGGATATCAGCAAGGGAGATCATAAAATTTTATTTAACCTTTTGTTAATTTAAAGGCTCCAACACTCTCTAATTTATTTATTATGTATGGGAAGAGGGGAAATGACAGTAACCTCAAAGGCTATAAGGCCTGCATACTATTTCATTCACTGTGTTCAGAAAATATCCATCACCAATGGGGCAAGGAAAAGATTTAAAAGCCCCAATTAAAAAGGCTTGTAAGCCTTACAAGAGCAGACATACTAAATAGAGACCAATGTAGAATGTATCTGAGATGAAAAAAACAAACACTGCCAGCCTGCAGATAAGAGAAAAACTCAACAAATATGATTCTAATATTTTTAATAAAAGACTTTTAGAATAACAGAGTGGGTTTTCATCTACATGTCTGTAAATCAAAAATAAAATTCTAAGCCCCCCAACTGATTGAATGGAAGCCCCTCTTGGCCAAGGGGACCCCCCCCCTCCAAAAAACTGAAAAACTAGTTCAGGCCATGACAGCAAAAGTGAGGGATCAGACCTGCTTCATTCTACCCTCCTTCATTTGGAATTTAGACACAACTGACCAGCATTAACATTGAAACAGAGATCTTGAGACTGACAAGATAGACCCTCTGTAACAGTAAGATACCAAATTCCAGCCAGACTCCAGTATAATATCACATGACAGACACCAGGCCCTGAAAGAAATAAAGTATTTTGCCCCAAAATAAGTTTCTTTGACATATTTTGAAATGGTCCTGAAAAGCTGTCTCTTGTGGGGGAAATTTATGTTCTGTAGAGAATCTCCTTCCCTTACTTGGTCTTTTCCAGAAAGTCTGACACCATTTTAGGTTTAATAAATGACATTCACATCTATTCTCTCTGCAGCCTGATACCTGAATGCTTCATCTACATGACAAGAATTTTGGCTTCCACAACCCCTACCACCCCTGCCCCTTACCTTAACTCAAGTTGATTTCAATTCTTCAGGCAGAGCTTAACTCTTTCAACCAATTATCAACCCGAAAATATTTGAATCCACCTATGACCTGGAAGCCCATCACTTTGAAGTGTCCTACCTTTCTGGTTCAAATCAATGTATACGTTAACCTGTATTGATTTATGTCCTTGCCTGTACTTTCTGTCTCCCTGAAATATATAAAATTGAGCTGTAACTCAATTACCTTGGACACATGTTCTCGAGACGTCCTGAAGCTGTCCCCCTGGCCATGGTCCTTAACCTTGGCAAAATAAACCTCTAAATTGATTGAGATGCGCCTCAGAAACTTTTTGGTTTGCATATCAATGGAAAAAACCAGTTTTTAATTCCAGAATGATTCCCAGGCACTATCGCACCAATTATCCATAGTCTCCATCATGGTTTCATCATAGAATCATGAGCACTCAAGCCCAAGGCTGTATTCATCCATCTGTACATCTCTGATAATGAAGTGATCAAATTGTAACATCTCCTTTATGGTGGTTTCTGTGTATGTGATAATCCATATAAAGCTTTTAATATGATGCTTGCCGCATAGTAGTAACTCTTTAATAATGTTAACTATTATTTTTTGTTAACTTGATATTTAATGTTAAGCTAAATCATAAATGGCATTTTATAATAATATATTTGTTAGACAAAACATTACTTTTAAACATTAATTTAGGGTTTAGTGCAAATACAGCAAGTCTCTTCTGATTAGTAAGAATTCTTTTACAGTATCTAACTGTAAAATTTAAATGGAGGCTTATGACACTCAATTATTCCATAAAATTCCCTAAATTAGTTAACTCAAGCTTTGTAAAACAGATCCAAGTCATAGGAATTTGAAATGTCTTAACTCTTAGACAATATTTAAGTTTTCTTTGTTTTAAAATCACTGTAGAGAATGGTTTTAGAGATCTATACGGTGACCCTAATAAGGAGGTTATTTTTGTTGTTCTCCTTTTACCCATGTGATAGGAAAATACTGGAAAAGAAAAATGTGTGGACTTGGCAATTTCTAGATAAGGAAAATCCCTTTTAGATACTTGCATAATAAATTTATCACTGTCTAGATGGCTCTCAAATGATTAGAAGAATAATAGAAGGAATCTCTGTGTAATAGTAGTCAAAGTTTAATTAATATCTGGGTGGTCTAGGAGATTTTTCTAGGTTGTAACAAGTCATGTGAGTCATCAGAGAGTCTGGTTGCTGCCTTTGCTTCAACTGGCTCAACTTGAGGAATTAAGTCTTACACACATATCCTGGCATGCTGGGGCACTATAGGAATTCATAATAATTGACTCCTCTCTGTTGAGCTCAAGACAATGTGCCTTGGCCTCTTCAGGATACAATTCGAGAGTTCAGGTGATTGACTCATTTGCTTACCTCTCTAGCTAGAAAAACACCTTTTCTACCTTTTATTTCCATCCCACTAAACCAAATTTAGTGTTCATTAAACCAAAATTCTTAAATCAGAGGCTATTTTTCTTTTAAAAAAAATTATTACAGGGCCTGAGGACAAAACAAAACAAAACAAAGCAAATTGGCACTTGTTCTATATTCATTTTTAAGTTACTCATCTTAATCTGAAGGTGGGAGGCTACCATGGTGTCAGGATGGATGTGGCTAGGGATGAAAATAATGCTAGTCATGCCTTGGACCACAGCCTCTTTGAGTCACAGTGTTTCTGCTGTTGAGCATCTTTATATGATAAATGTTTAAGAACAACAACAAAAAGTGAGTGAGGGTCTTCAGGTCTCAGAATATCATCTGGATGAACAAGAATATTTCAATAGTCCTGGTCCAGAAACAGTCTTACCTTGCTTCATTTAAATTGCTTTTTCTGGGCGGAGGAGAAAGTAAAAGTAATCCTAGAACTGACTTCTTAGAAGTAGGGACCTCTTTTTATATTTGCTCAGTTGCATTATCTATTTTAGGAAATTAAACTTTTAGCAAAATTTAAAAAAGATAAAAAGCAGTACCTACCGATGAGAATGAGAATGTAGGTAGCTCCTGTAATTTTCAAGAGTATATGACAAATAAAAATGGTCTTCATTTCTCATAACTTCATTTTTCTTATGCCTCATGTGAGATCATCTAAACAGTATTTATTACAAAACTTCATTTTCAATAAATATCCAGTAATAGTTTTGATTTTAGTTTTGGTTATGCTTTTAACTGTCTAAATGACCCTAGAACAGTCATTTAGTCTATTGTTTTCTGTTTGAACATTTTTAAAGTAGAAGAATCCTCGCAATGCTGAGATTCCCAATGTTTGAAGCAAGCTTCCATTTTATATCCAGCCTAATTTGACAGTTCAGTTTGAGGGGGGCACAGGATCTGATTTCAGCTGGATGTCTGGAGTGTTACCAGGAGACCCCAAGAGGCAGCATGTCATAGGGAAGTTAGTTCCTCTACAGCAATAAGTAAATCTCAATGATTGTGTCATAGCCATTTTCTTCATAATGCCCACGATATTGTATTCGATCTCTGAGCAAGACTTTTTCAGTTTATAAAGAACCTAATGTAAGACCAATTTATCATGGATAGATTGGAAACTCTCTCCGGCAGCTGACATTTGGGGCCACTAAAGTCCCAGCTTTCCCACTGCCGAGAGCTAATTTTCTTTTATATATACCAAAGCTCTCTGGCTTAAACAACACATGTCACAGTTTGCCAAGCAGGGCTCTAGCCACTGATGCTCCTTTTACGGCAGAATTAACAGATGCTTTTTCTGAAGAAGAGCTCAGCCTGGGAAGCTGGTGTAGCCAGCTGGCTCTCTGAAGTCTCCCAGACTCCCATTCCTGTAAAATTTTGATTTAACCAAAAGTATTTCCTCTCCTATGGACACTGAAGTAAGACTTAATTTGAAATCAGTCTAATATTGTATAACCAACTCTTTTGATTAATTGTGGGTATTATTTGGGACTTAGAATTTATTATGGTGCTAGAATAAAGCACATTTTAACAGGGATAATAAAAATAAAGCTTCCACATGGTTACAGTTTAAATGAAAAGCACTTGATTTTTAGTTGCAGGAAATATCTCAACACAACTTAAGACAATTTAACACAAGCAGTGCCTCTCATTTGGTGGAAATTCAAGAGATAACTCTTAAAACTTTGAGTACTTAAACTCCTGATTTCCTAAAACATATCCCCGTTCCTTTTGCTTTTTAGTACCTTTGCAACACTGCAAAAGCCTAGTCTCTGCTCACAACCCCCACGTTTCTTCAGTTTACACTAAAAATAAGATCTTTATCTCTATATTAGAAATAGTGAGATACCCATCTCTCTTGGCTTGGCTATTTCATCTTTCTGGAGGAAAAGCAACCACCCAATTATACGCAGCCCTAAATTAACTTGACAAGTGGCATCCTGGAATCGCCACTCTAGTCTGAACTTTTTAAATTGTTCTTACATTCAGAGTTTCTTCTTTAGCAAGGAGAATTACATGCCCCAGTGGAAACTGTTTTATTTTTGTTTTCAGACTTACCAACAATACACTCTGTGCAGCAGGTTTAGCAGTTCCATAGTTCCTTTTCTTGGTGGACTTATTATGCAAAAGATATTGCCTATGCTCCTTCTTATAAACACATCCCCAGCAAGGAGACTGAGTTCACCAGTGTCCCATTCATCATCCTCTGCAGAAAGCTGGGGTACTCAAGTCTTACAGCTGACAAACTTCACAGGTTTAGAATTTGGAAATGTCCCCCACCCCTTCTCCCAAGATGCTGCCCTTTCACTGAGAATAGTATTCTGGCCTCTGTTGTGATATACACAGAAGTCACTCAGGGAATGTAACCTATAAATTAAGTGATAATCTTATATATCTGAGGGAAAGTGAAAACATGATTGCCTTTGAGTGTACCCCTAGCTATGTTAGGCTTATTGTTTACTTGCACTCCTAATTAACGCAAAATGGAGCATACAATATGTTTACACTTACTTTACAGTAAGAATTTGCATTCACAATGTTATACACATAATGAGATAGATTTTAAAATAAACTAAAGTGAATTTTTATGCTTCTTGTATGTTCAGAAATACCAGTTCTATTACCCACCTTTAACTTCTCTCACTCCAGTATCTTCCTTAATGTTTGTTCCAGTGGCTGCTAAAATGGCCTCTTGAATGGGAAAGGTGAAAAGAAAAGCCACTGTGTGATATCCGGAAGGATTAATTTTTGTTTCTCCTATTTTCCACCCCAACTCTATACTTAGAGACAGCAGTTTCTTTTTTCCATTTGAATGGGCTTTACAGTGGGTAAAAGGACAACTTTCCTTCTTAGCCCTCATGAGACTGTGTGAAGTGGTGAGAAATGCTCTCAGAACTCCTTTGCCCTGCTATGAGAGACCAACAGCATGTCCAATATACCCTTCCCTTCTCTTCCTCTTCCTTCCTCTGCTCAATTAAAAATACTTTCTCCTTTCCTGACACACTAATACATCACCATTGCCTCTTGCTTCGTATTCTTCTCCTCTCTATCTCATTCTCAATACTGCAAATTTTTTTTTTTTTTTTGGACTCATTCTACTTTTTCTACTCTCCTGTCACCATGGCGCAAATATGTCAAGGTCTTTAGCAAAGCCACATGCAATAGAAGTACATGGTCTGTAGAAAATATCCCAACCCACACAGCATGAATATGAAATAGTTTAGCAATGACTGTTAGGCTAATTTCAAACCCTGTATCAATAGGAATGTGTTTTACCTAAAGGAAGTTTTGATAAATTATTTAGGAACACTTGATTCTTGCCTTCCAGATACTGAAAAAAAAGGGTAAATTTTAGCTTTTTTCCCTTCCTAAATTAAGATCTTCTGTTGTGTCAAAGTATCTCAAATTATTGTCTATGACTCATCTCCCTTCCCATTGCCTGGTTTTTTCCCTCTTAAATATTTGTGCCTGGTGGAGGAAAAGTTTGTTTCTTGGTACATTGTAACTTCCTGGATTACTAAAGTGTAGTTGGCATCAAATTATTGGTAATTCTTCAACTCTGAGTCCAAAATAAACAGATATGCACCTGCCTACATTTAAACTACAACTATCATTCAATTAGTATTTCTTTGGAGAAGGAAATTATGCTTTAAAATAAAGCAGCCACAGGATAGCTTTCTTAGGGCAGCTCTGCTTGCTTTCCCAGACACAGGTCAAGACAGCCCAGTGTAGGGCCTCTGCAGGCACTGGCTTAGTTGGATGCACACAGATTGAGCTCAGGTGAATGTGGGGTCCGTTCATGAAGGACTCCTCACCTTTGTTGTCCTAGGTCTACCTACTACTCTAAACTCCTGATACCTCCGGCTCTCCTCACTCCAACTCCCCTATCAAAATAGGAAAATGACCAATACCATTCCTTTACCTTTGATTGATTGGTTACATTTTATCTGAAACTTACTCGCATTAAAATTTTCACCCCCCACCCCACCCACCAGACATATGCATTTTCTTTTATTGGCCTCTTCTCTCTAATTTTAGACCACATGCTGCCTCACCCCCACCTTGTCAAATGAATTTCAAGCATTAGCAAATAGTTGTGTTTTTTTTCCTTCGCTTAAAGACAGTGCAAAGGGGAAAAGGAAAAAAGGGTCCCTGAAATCACTCAACAGCTAGCTCTGCAGAATCATCTAATTTTTTCTTTGTAGAATTTTCTAGATGGTGATGAATGAGTTAAAGGAGCCGGTCCTTGGTCTCTCTGATCAAATATCTCCAGAATCCTGGAGGGATGGTGAAGATGGAGGTGGAGGGATCCAGGGAAATGACTCAACAGGAGGACTGGGCTAAGGCCGCTGGTAAAACTGACCCTGAATACCCGGAGGAAGTGTTTATCTCTGATACCTTGATAAATATGTGATATAAGTCAGTGGCTGTACAAGTCACAGACCTGCCTCTTCACTTCTTTTGGCAGACTCAGGCCCTACCTCTTCTTGCTCTTTTTAAAAATCCTACCCCTTATCATCTTGATATTTCTTCCTGACTGAAAACAATATATATTAGCTGCAGTTCTAAAATACATGTGTATCCATTCTCTATAATTAGTACCTGTGGTAAAAAATGCTTCCAACAAGGAGAAGTTTTATTATAACATTGGCTAATCATAACAATAACATTTAAAGTAATAATTGTTATATTAGTTACTCTTTACTGAAAGCTTATTATAGGCCAGGTACTCTACTAAGTACTTAATATATACTATTCCTGTCTCACAAGTAATTGTATGAATTAAATATGACATGTAAAGTACTTTAGCTCAGAATTGGGCATGTAGTAATGCTAAAAATGTTAGTTCATACATTATCATTTTATATATCATTATTAAGTTAGTAATTACAATCAGTATTGTTTATTCATTTGGCCTTTACACCATCCCTATGCAGAAGGAATTAGTATTACTCCATTTTAGAGATGAGGATTCAGGAATATCCGTCAGTGAAGGGAGCAAAAATTGAACCTGAACAGTCTGACCTCAGAGCCTGTATTTGCACAAATCTAGTCATCAATATTGTATGTATATACTTTTTTCATATCCTTGTTTTTACATCATATTTAGATATTTTCCTATATATGCTCTTTCATTTCTATCTCTACAAGTAAAGCTTCTGAAAATTATAACATGCTATTGAAATACCTACTTAAAAATTTTTAAATGTTCTGTTACAATTCTGCTCAGTTCAAGTCAGAGGTCGCTTTATACTGGCATTGCTAGAAATGTTCCTACGGAACACAGTACAGCGTAAAGTTTATTTTCATGTGTTCCCCTTTCCCTCTGCCTAGTCAGCTTTTTTGCCTTCTTTACTCTCTTCAAGAGAGAAAAACCATAAAAGCAATAAAGGCAAATTTTCTCCAGAAAGCAGTCAGAGCAGGAAAAGAACTTCAAGCCCAGGGGTGTTTTCATGGCAAGGAGAGTTGACATGTTGGGGGCAGGTTATAAAAGACTAAATAAGCTGGCCCAGGAGAGAGAGAAGGCTATGGGACAGAGGTGGGATGAGTGAGAGAGGTCCATTACATTAGGGCAGAGGGTGGGAAGACTCTTGGGAGTTTTGAGGGACAAGTGAATTGCTAAGAGCTAGCTTAGTTCTTGTATTACTTTAAATGTTTGAGGAAACCGTGAAAAGAGAATACAATCCTGGTTGGGCCATAAACTTTTAAATATGGCCCAGGAGAACACAGGAAGGGGTTCATAATGAATATGTATGTGGGGGAGTTTGGGGAGGTGTCATAGATTTACAGTCATTATAGACATTAAAACAAAAACATAATATATTCAGCAATGTAGATGAAAAGTCATTTAGGAATATTGTGTATCAAACGTCTTGTTTTGCAAAACTATAGGTAGTTCAGTTATTTCATCTTGATGCTTGTAATATAAAGTAAGAAAGGGGAGTGGTTAAATCACAGTGGGGGGTTCTACTCAATAAGATTTTTGTGTACGCTTAAAGAACTAATGTATATATAAAATACCTAACACAGTGCCTAGCATATAGTATGTGCTAAATAATATTAACTTCTACTGTTTATTGTTATATAGTGCATTATAGGCATGCAATATATTTTTTCAATAAAAAGTTTAAATTTTGGAGCGTGATGTTTATTAGTGATATTTAACTAATACTTCACTTCACTTTCCACCACTCAATGTCCTCTAAATTTCTGGTTTTTCCATAGATCCCAGGAGCAAACATAGTGCTCTACACACTCAGCTCTTGCAGTCCAGGGTTGAACACTTATCTACATGTATTTAATACTTTAAAGTTCACAGAATCCTTCCTATAGAAATATTTTTTAGAACAGAGTTCCTAAAGTTTCACCCTGGGAATTTTTTTGACCTTTAGAATGGTTCTGTCAAAAGAGAATTAAGACCTAGGTTAAGAGATGTTTAACTTGTCCCATTGATCAAGAAACACCTGTGGAAAATTACCATCAAGAAACTGAGGCAGGCATGCAGCTCTTCTTTAGCCCCCTGATGTTCTCTAGGGGTGAGGGAAACATGGGTAGGAGCATTGAGACCTGCTCAGGACTCACCCTGTTGGAGAGCAAAATTAGGCACAAGGCTGAGCCTCATGATATTCAACATTCTTCACATGAGATGGTTTCCATGATGCATTGCCAAGTTCAGAGTTTTAATCAATTGGCTTCACTTAGACTGACTTCATCATTTGGCTACCCAATACATTTTGGGGGATCTTGTTATTCTTTTCTAATATATTCTTGGTAGGAGATCTTCAGAGATTCTTCTGTTTGTTCCTGGGATCTATGGAGAAACAATCTTTCTTGAACTTTACTTGTGTACCACCACTCTTGGATATCTACCTAACATGGTGTATGAAAATTAGCTTTTCATAGATCTTTGGTCAAATATGTCTGTTTCAATGATGTATAATGGGAAGGAGATACTGAAGTATCATTTGCAAATGTCAACTTAGACATTCAGAGTTTTAAACAAGAGATGTTAATTATCTTTCAAAATGTTACATTCCTTGCAGTGGGGACTACCTAGAATATATCCACATTCAATTTAAATACTTTTGGTTAGATAATGGCTTATAGTATGATCATATCGGTCATGTTTAAAATGATCAGTAAACTTACTGACCTCTTTGATAAATCAATACTTACCTATTATAGGCAGTTAAATTCATATATGTTTGATTCTATTGAGAAAGGGCATTTACAATAAATTAAATCTAACATAACAAGGAAAATTTCTTAATAAGAAAATTAATTGCAAGTAACAAAACTCTTTCACAGCAGCTTAAGAAAGAGAGGCCTGGGACAGGAAAACAGGAATATATCTAAGTCTCAAAAAAGTTAGAAGCCATTGGGATCTCATGTAATTTTTTTCTCTCACTCTCTCTACACATTAAGCATTTTTTTCTACTCTCTCTCTTTCTGTCTACTGGCTTAGCTTATATATGCATTCAGTAGCTTTCTGGTTTACATTTCTCAATTTATGAGACGATCCCAGAGTTATCCTATCTTATCCTCACTTCTAAATTTTCAAGAAAGAGAACTAGCTATTCCAATATGGCCAACTGTCCACCCTAATCAAATCAGCTATGCAGGATCCCTGCCATTGTGCAGCTCCAAGATCACTGTTCATAATGGAGTCTCTGTAAATGCAGTCTATATAACTCTATTCCTTAAAAAATAGCACCTCTTGGAACATGACAAAAACTGCAATGGAAATGCTCCTTGGGATTGTACAAAGTGAAAGCCCTGCAGCTATGGCCAAGGGCAAAGAGGCGAATAGAAGAAATGTGGAAACATGGGACCCATTCCGGCCGTAGAAATAAAAGGATAGCAAAAGACCCCAAGCTTTGTATACTACAATGGAAAACAAACAAATAATAACTTCAACAACCAAAAACAAAGAACCCAAAGATTCTGTTCTAACTTTACAAAGCATGGATAGATATAAGTAGGTCAGAACAATTTTAAAAGACAATCTAGCTCATATCCTGATAACTGATTTGGACATTTTGCATTTGTAAGAAAGAGGTAATAAATCATTGCCCATTAGAGGTAGAAGGAGACTTAAAAATATTCTAGTCTATTTCCCTTATTTGACAAAAGAGATAAGTAAGGTGCAATTAGATAGAGGACATGCCCATGTTCACACAGCTCATTAGCTGCAAAGTTAGAATTAAAAGCTGGTTCTCCTGAATTCTGGAGAATGTAAGTATATTGCTGCCTTTGAAACATTGGCCCAGAAGACTGGTATCACATTTATTTGCCTGGTTTGCTTTCTGGAGATGATCCAGACATGGTTATAAACAGGAATTGCTATTTAATTGGACTGTTCTGATTTAAGACTATTGCCTTTAAAAATAGTCTGCCTTTCTGAGTTTCCTGGCAGTCTCTTGCTAGAAACACCCTTACTTTACAGCCTCCACGTTTGATATCATGATGTGTAATACTGTGTTGAATAGTTTTTCCCCCAAATTTAGTTCTATCCAGAATCTGTGAATATGATCTTGCTTGGAAATAAGTTCTTTGCAGATGTAACCAAGTTAAGATGAGGTTATGCTGGATGAGAGTGGGCCCTAAATCCAATATAGCTGATGTCCTTAAAAGGAGAGGGAAATTTAGACAAAGGCACAGACATCCAGCGAGAATATCACGTGACAATGGAGACAGAGATCGGAGTAGTATGTCTACAAGCCAAGGGACAAATGGCAAGGAGTGCTGGCAACCACCAGAGACTAGGATAGAGACAGGAAACCGAATTTTTCTTAGAGCCTCTAGAAGGAACCAACCCTGGTCAGATTTCTGAATTTTATTTTAGTCCTGAAAGAATAAACATCTGTTTTCAGGTACATTGTTTGAGATAGTTTGTTATAGCAGCTATAGGAAACTGAGAAACATTGTATGTGTAACTTCCCTATAGACTGATATTTGAAATTTGTGCAAAATAAACAATAGAATCATTTAACACTAACTGTAGATGTATACAAGGCAGTCCTCTGGATTTTCTTAAGCAGCAATCCTAAACAAGACATGAGCAGATCTTTTTACTCTTTTTCAGCCCTTTGTTTAGAACAAAAGGAAATAATGTGAAAAACTTTGAAATGGACCAAAAAGATTACTGTGTGCCGTCAGCAGAAAACTGAGCATTATCTAGGTCACTTTTCCGAGTTATCACTTCCTTTTATTTTACAACTGTGTAAGTTGTAGAATATTGATACTAATGCAAATGATTCTTTTTCATAGAAATGCAAATAAATTCTGTGCAGGGAGTGCAATTGTCTAGTTTTCTATCATTTATTTGTAAATTTGTTCAGCATTTTTTGATGACCAATATATTTGTGATTCTTTGACTCCTTTAAACTAGTTGTAACATCTTATTGTTGCCCCTGTTAATTAATGAGTGAAGTAAAATCTTTGATTTATACTCATTTTGTATTTGCATAAAAGTCATGACTTTACTCTTTGTAAAGATATGGGCTTTAAAGAGAATCTAGAATGAATTCTCCATTTAATTCTTAATTTTAGTAACATTTCTCAGAACTTTTTAAAGGAAAGAATCACAAGGGCAAACTTTTCATTTCTTTTTACCTTATGTTGAAGACTTTTCTTTTTTATTATTATTATTATACTTTAAGTTTTAGGGTGCATGTGCACAACGTGCAGGTTTGTTACATATGTATACGCGTGCCATGCTGGTGTGCTGCACCCATTAACTCATCATTTAGCATTAGGTATATCTCCTAACGCTATCCCTCCCCACTCCCCACCACCCCACAACAGGCCCCGCTGTGTGATGTTCCCCTTCCTGTGTCCATGTGTTGTCATTGTTCAGTTCCCACCTATGAGCGAGAACATGTGGTGTTTGGTTTTTTGTCCGTGCGATAGTTTGCTGAGAATGATGGTTTCCAGCTTTATCCGTGTCCCTACAAAGGACATGAACTCATCATTTTTTATGGCTGCATAGTATTCCATGGTGTATATGTGCCACATTTTCTTAATCCAGTCTATCATTGATGGACATTTGGGTTGGTTCCAAGTCTTTGCTATTGTGAATAGTGCCACAATAAACATAAGTGTGCATGTGTCTTTATAGCAGCATGATTTATAATCCTTTGGGTATATACCCAGTAATGGGATGGCTGGGTCAAATGGTATTTCTAGTTCTAGATCCCTGAGGAATCCCACACTGACTTCCACAATAGTTGAACTAGTTTACAGTCCCACCAACAGTGTAAAAGTGTTCCTATTTCTCCACATCCTCTCCAGCACCTGTTGTTTCCTGACTTTTTAATGATCGCCATTCTAACTGGTGTGAGATGGTATCTCATTGTGGTTTTGATTTGCATTTCTCTGATGGCCAGTGATGATGAGCATTTTTTCATGTGTCTGTTGGCTGCATAAATGTCTTCTTTTCAGAAGTGTCTGTTCATATCCTTCGCCCACTTTTTGATGGGGTTGTTTGTTTTCTTCTTGTAAATTTGTTTGAGTTCATTGTAGATTCTGGATATTAGCCCTTCGTCAGATGAGTAGGTTGCAAAACTTTTCTCCCATTCTGTAGGTTGCCTGTTCTCTCTGATGGTAGTTTCTTTTGCTGTGCAGAAGCTCTTTAGTTTAATGAGATCCCATTTGTCAATTTTGGCTTTTGTTGCCATTGCTTTTGGTGTTTTAGACATGAAGTCCTTGCCCATGCCTATGTCCTGAATGGTATTGCCTCAGTTTTCTTCTAGGGTTTTTATGGTTTTAGGTCTAACATGTAAGTCTTTAATCCATCTTGAATTAATTTTTGTATAAGGTGCAAGGAAGGGATCCAGTTTCAGCTTTCTACATGTGGCTAGCCAGTTTTCCCAGCACCATTTATTAAATAGGGAATCCTTTCCCCATTGCTTGTTTTTCTCAGGTTTGTCAAAGATCATATAGTTGTAGATATGCAGCGTTATTTCTGAGGGCTCTGTTCTGTTCCATTGATCTATATCTCTGTTTTGGTACCAGTACCATGCTGTTTTGGTTACTGTGGCCTTGTAGTATAGTTTGAAGTCAGGTAGCGTGATGCTTCCAGCTTCATTCTTTTGGCTTAGGATTAACTTGGCAATGTGGGCTCTTTTTGGTTTCATATAAACTTTAAAGTAGTTTTTTTCCAATTCTGTGAAGAAAGTCATTGGTAGCTTGATGGGGATGGCATTGAATCTATAAATTACCTTGGGCAGTATGGCCATTTTCACGATATTGATTCTTCCTACCCATGAGCATGGAATGTTCTTCCATTTGTTTGTATCCTCTTTTATTTCGTTGAGCAGTGGTTTGTAGTTCTCCTTGAAGAGGTCCTTCACGTCCCTTGTAAGTTGGATTCCTAGGTATTTTATTCTCTTTGAAGCAATTGTGAATGGGAGTTCACTCGTGATTTGGCTCTCTGTCTGTTATTGGTATATAAGAATGCTTGTGATTTTTGTACATTGATTTTGTATCCTGAGACTTTGCTGAAGTTGCTTATTAGCTTAAGGAGATTTTGGGCTGAGATGATGGGGTTTTCTAGATATACAATCATGTCATCTGCAAACAGGGACAATTCGACTTCGTCTTTTCCTAATTGAATACCCTTTATTTCCTTCTCCTGCCTGATTGCCCTGGCCAGAACTTCCAACACTATGTTGAATAGGAGTGGTAAGAGAGGGCATCCCTGTCTTGTGCCAGTTTTCAAAGGGAATGCTTCCAGTTTTTGTCCATTCTGTATGATACTGGCTGTGGGTTTGTCATAGATAGCTCTTATTATTTTGAGATACATCCCATCAATACCTAATTTATTGAGAGTTTTTAGCATGAAGGGTTGTTGAATTTTGTCAAAGGCCTTTTCTGCATCTATTGAGATAATCATGTGGTTTTTGTCTTTGGTTCTGTTTATATGCTGGATTGCGTTTATTGATTTGCGTATAAGGAAGCAGCCTTGCATCCCAGGGATGAAGCCCACTTGATCATGGTGGATAAGCTTTTTGATGTGCTGCTGGATTCAGTTTGCCAGTATTTTATTGAGGATTTTTGCATCAATGTTCATCAGGGATATTGGTCTAAAATTCTCTTTTTTGGTTGTGTCTCTGCCCGGCTTTGGTATCAGGATGATGCTGGCCTCATAAAATGAGTCATGGAGGATTACCTCTTTTTCTATTGATTGGAATAGTTTCAGAAGGAATTGTGCCAGCTCCTCTTTGTACCTCTGGTAGAATTCGGCTGTAAATCCATCTGGTACTGGACTTTTATTGGTTGGTAGGCGATTAATTATTGCCTCAATTTCACAGCCTGTTATTTGTCTATTTAGAGATTCAACTTCTTCCTGGTTTAGTCTTGGGAGAGTGTATGTGTACAGGAATTTATCCATTTCTTCTAAATTGACTAGTTGATTTGCTTAGCAATGTTTATAGTATTCTCTGATGGTGGCTTGTGTGTCTGTGGGATCGGTGGTGATATCCCCTTTATCATTTTTTATTGTGTATATTTGATTCTTTTCTGTTTTCTTCTTTATTAGTCTTGCTAGCAGTCTATCAATTTTGTTGATCTTTTCAAAAAACCAGCTGCTAGATTCACTGATATTTGGAAGGGTTTTTTTGCGTTTCTATCTCCTTGAGTTCTGCTCTTACATTAGTTATTTTTTCCTGTTGCTAGCTTTTGAATTTGTTTGCTCTTGCTTTTCTAGTTCTTTTAATTGTTATGTTAGGATGTTGATTTTTAGATCTTTCCTGCTTTCTCTTGTGGGCATTTAGTGCTACAAATTTTCCTCTACACACTGCTTTAAATGTGTCCCAGAGATTCTGGTATGTTGTGTCTTTGTTCTTGTTGGTTTCAAAGAACTCTTTATTTCTGCCTTCATTTCTTCGTTATGTACCCAGTAGTCATTCAGGAGCAGGTTGTTCAGTTTCCATGTAGTTGAGCGGTTTTGAGTGAGTTTCTTAATCCTGAGCTCTAGTTTGATTGCACGGTGATCTGAGAGACAGTTTGTTATAATTTCTGTTCTTTTACATTTGCTGAGGAGTGCTTTACATCCAACTATGTGGTCAATTTTGGAGTAGGTGTGGTGTGGTGCTGAAAAGAATGTATATTCTGTTGATTTGGGGTGGAGAGTTCTGTATATGTGTATTATGTCCGCTTGGTGCAGAGCTGAGTTCAATTCCTGGATATCCTTGTTAACTTTCTGTCTCATTGATGTGTCTAATGTTGACAGTGGGGTGTTAAAGTCTCCCATTATTATTGTGTGGGAGTCTAAGTCTCTTTGTAGGTCACTAAGGACTTGCTTTATGAATCTGGGTGCTCCTGTATTGAGTGCATATATATTTAGCATAGTTAGTTCTTCTTGTTGAATTGATCCCTTTACCATTATGTAATGGCCTTCTTTGTCTCTTTTGATCTTTGTTGGCTTGAAGTCTGTTTTATCTGAGACTAGGATGGCAACCCCTGCCTTTTTTTATTTTTCATTTGCTTGGCAGATCTTCCTCCATCCCTTTATTTTGAGCCTATGTGTGTCTCTGCCTGTGAGATGGGTTTCCTGAATACAGCACGCTGATGGGTCTTGACTCTTTATCCAATTTGCCAGTCTGTGCCTTTTAATTGGAGCATTTGGTCCATTTACATTTAAGGTTAGTATTGTTATGTGTGCATTTGATCCTGTCATTATGATGTTAGCTGTTTATTTTGCTCGTTAGTTGATGTAGTTTCTTCCTAGCATTGATGGTCTTTACAATGTTGAAGACTTCTATTTCCAAAAGCATTTCTATAGGATTCCTAGCTCCTGACTACTTTAACAATTATTATCTATTATGGATGACAAAAAGAACAGAAAAAAATTGTAAGGTAAGTAGTCTGGAATATTAGTCAAAACAGTCATTGATCTCTGGAGCAGTGCCAATCTAGAGAACAAAGTTCAATGTTATTCTTTGCTTTCCATCAATACCTTGGCCAAAAACCAGCTTCGGAGACCTAACATAGCTCCAAGATAAGTTGACAATGGGAACTTAAATCTAATTTTCAAAGCTTCTCCAGTGATGTGAAACAGCTTTGAAAGGATAATTGATATTGCCCTTTAAATTCTTAAAAGGTGGGATGAGGATCACACTAGCATGAAAAGTGATGCAGTGATCATGTTGTATTTGTGTGACAATCTCATGTCCAACTGGGACAAGAGAAATAGGAGTATTTAGAGGGCATGGGGGAAAGGCAGCACACCAGATGTGTCCTGGGCAAAATGGAGTCTATTTTGCAGAACATAAGGAGATGTAATGACTCATAAAAACTCCTGGTTACTGCTCTAACACAAGAGGGGACTGGGAAAGAGACATAGTACATTTCCTTGCAGCCTGGGCCTACCCCAGAGTTTTATGTGTCTTTATAGTTTCTTCACATGCTGAGCTACGGCATCAAGAGTCTGGCTTGGAAATTGACTCAGTTATTAGGCCCTGTATATGTTTAGTGCTTAAGTTTCTTTCTATTCTCCTTATGTAATTTGTCTTCTTTCAATACAACAGACCGAGGGCATAAGCATAATGACTTGGAAAGGCTAATACCCCAACCTTGTATAGCTATTTTTCTAACATGCTTGAGTTTATTTTCACTTCTTATGCCTTTCAGTCCCTGCTGACTTTGTTACTCAGTTCAAAGTGCACTATCTCTTTACTGACATGAGGGCCTAGAATATTTGCAGTTCCTCTGGAGACTCCTGCCTGCTCACATATCCTCAGCTAGCACCATCTTTGTCTTTCACAGCTCCTCAGGTGGCTGAAATTTTCACAGCTTGTTAGGTGACTCTGGCTTTCACAGTCTGTGGGCCTGAATGACTGCTAGGGGAACAGCATTCTCACTCTCTCCCAAAGCCAAGCTTCACAGTGGAAATATGTGAGTTGTGCCAGTAGCCTCCCAGAAATCCTGCGGTCATGGCAGATGCAAGCTAACTCAGCATGGTGATGAGATTTCTTCCAGATTGGGAATTGATGTCCCAAACAGAAAGTGAATTGTACTGACTTCATTCTCAAGTAAGTTGTTGTGACAAGTGAAAATCAGAGCAACACCACATAAAGTGGCTGGCAAAATAAACAGCAAGGAGCATTATGTGTACAATATTGGTCCCTGTATGCCTTCTTTTCTTTTAATAGCTGTTAATATGACCAAAATGGCAAAGTGTATTTAATAGAGGCTTCCTTTGATATTGCACTATTTTTAGGAGCCAGGGAAAAGCAGCATTTTATCAGGAAGAAGGTAATAAGCAGGAATTGAAATGTTTTCATTTGGATCCTAAGTGGTGCCTAAGGAAAAATTGCACAATGTTAAAGCAACAATAATTGGTTCCTCCTGGCTTTTCCCATTGAAGGAAATTGAAATTCAATTGACTTTCAATGGAATAGCCATGGAGTTCCAATTGTCATTGCTCCGACTTTGTGCTTGTCTATCGGAAGAATGGTATGGGAGCCAAAAAAAGAAAAAGTCTTGAAACAGCTGGGAAAAATAGTGCAATTATTTTAGGACAGATTGGAGGGGACTGGGATATTCCAAATACATAAATAAATTTCAATGTACTTCAGAGCCCATAATTGATACATTGCTAATGGCAATATCAATTTGGAAGTGGTTGGAAGTGGAGTGCAATTTTTGCCATTTAGTTATTGATAGTAAAGTAAAATTTAATAAAAATAAATTATGACAGTCTAGGTTTGGATGCAAAATGAGAGATCTAAATTTTATGATTTTAGATAATTTTATGGATTTAGATAATTTTAAGTAGTGTTTCTAGGATTCAAGGTACCATCAGAAAATGATTGCAATAATTAATACTTATTTTTAGATACCCTGTCAGATATTTTGCAGTTTACCTTATTTATTCCTTACAAAAACTTAGTGAGGCTAGTACTGGTCGATTTATAGGTGAAGAATTTCGGGCTTAGAAAAATTAAGTACTTGGCTCAAGATAATATAGCCAGAAAATGGTTGAGCCAGGGTTTAGACCAAGGAAGACTGACCCTTTAACGTCTATTAGACCCTGGCCCTAAGAAAGGTTATTCACTACAGAAAAATAAAAATTAAAAAAAAAACCCCTGGGACTACAGATATACTATTAATAGGAACAGAAATAAGGGACTGGAGTTATTAAAGCAATGGTTGAACAAACTAGTTGGAGAAATAACTGAAAGGGAGCCATTAATTATTTGATAAAAATTCTACTTAAATGCCTATTTCGTTTAATGTACTAGATTTGACATGAGCTAAAGACACATATTTTAAAACACTTTGTTGTGAGACATTTTAAGCAAATGCTAAAGTAAGTAGACTGGTATTATGAATCTGTATATATCATTCACTTACCTTAAACAATTATCAGCTCACTGCAAATCATGTTTCATGTTATCCTTAATTGCTTCCCCACCACCAACATTACTAGGAAGCAAATCCAGGTTCTTACTGTTTTATTCATAAATATGTCAATATATCATATTCTAATAAAGACTTTTTATTTTAGAAATAACCACAGTATATTTTAAATAAATTATAGCTCTTTAAATATTAATCACTATTCAATTTCCTAAAATATCTAAGAATTTTTTAAAAATATGCTTTATTTAGATATAGCTTACATTAAATAAAAACAATCTATTTCATGTGTAGATTTCAATGATTTTTAACATATATACATCTGTGCAACTACTACCAAAGTCAAGATATAGAACATTTTCCTCATCTCCAACATTTCCTTCTTACTTTCTTCATTTCTGCTCCTTTCAACATCAGCTCCAATAATCCACTAATCTTTCTATCATTATGAGTTATTATTTTCCATTTGATTTCTGGCTTTGATCTTTAATATTTCCTTTCTTTTACTTATTTTGACTTAATTTTCTTTTTCTAGCTTCTTAAGTAAAACTTTGATAATAAACTTGAATCTTTTCTCCTAATACAAGTTTTTAAGTCTATACATTTTTCTCTAAACACTACTTTAGCTGTATTCCATACATTTGATACATGGCCATTTTATCTTCATTTTAGTCAAAATATTTTCTAATTTCCCTTTGATTTCTTGTAACTCATAGATTGTTTAGAAGTTTGTTGTTTAAAAATATTTGGTGATTTTTGCAGAAATCTTAATGTAACTGATTTCTAATTTAATTCTGTTTTGCTCAGAGAATATACTTCCTGTGATTTCAATCATTTTAACTTAGTTGTGACTCATTTTGTTGTTCTGCAGTCTATCTTGGTGAGTGTTCCATGAGTGCTTGAAAAGAATGCTTATTCTGTTGCTGGTGGCTCTAAGTAATGCCGATTAAATCAAGTTGATTGTAGTGTTATTCAATCTTTTCTATCTTTACAGATTCTTTCTACTTATTCTATCAATTAATGACAGAATAAAAGAAAATATCCAACCGTGTTTGTATATCTGTCTATTTCTGTCAATCATTGCTTCATATATCATGAAGATCTTTTATTGCGTGTATATCCACTTAAAATCACAATGCCCTTGAATGATTAATATGTTTATCTTTTGTTCTTTTTTTTGACATTCACGTTGCCTCATAGTTGTTTAGCTATTCCCGCTTTTTATATTTATTGTTTGCATGATATATCTTTTCCCATTCTTTAATTTTTAGCAAACTTCATACATATTATAGTGGTTGTCTTGTAGAAAACTTACAATTTGGTCATGTTCATATCCAGCTTGACAATTCCTGATTTTTAATTGAAGTGTTTAGAACATTTACGTTTAATATAACTGTGAAAATCTTTGAATTTAAGTCTGCCACCATCTTATCTGTATTCTGTTTTTCCCATCTAGTCTTTGTGTCTATTTTCTTTTGCTGTGTTATTGTACATAAGTTATTTTTATAATTCTATTTATCTCATTGTTTTATACTTTTAATTATTACTCTAGGATTTAAAATATTCACCTTTAATTTATTACAGCTTATCTTCAAATAATGCTATATCACTTTACATAAAAAACCCTTACACCTTTACACTTGTATACTTTAATTTCTCCAATCTTCTCTCTTGTACTTTTGTTGCCGTGTATTTTACTGCTACATACGTTATAATGCACAAACTGATACATTGTTAATATTTTCCCTTTAATCAATTAATTATATTTAACAAAAGTTTAATTTAAAAAGTAGTTATGGTCATATGTGTATATATGTATATGTGTGTTTGTATGTGTATATGCTTCCTGTGTGAAAGTTATAATCATTCATTTCTCTGAGGAATACTAGATTGTTTCAGTGAGAAATTAAGATTCTGCAGTCTGAGTGGTAGGGTACTCACTGTTACTAAATTGGTCATTATTTGTAAAACACCTAAAAATAATGAGATGTATTTAGTGACAATTTTCTCCTCGTTCATAAACAATTAATCACAAACTTAGCAGCTTAAAAAAAACACACATTTTATATATTTATCCTTTTCATTACTTTTAATTTTTTGCAGGAACATAGTTGTCAGTTTTGTACTTTCTTTTCTGTTTAAAAAACTTCCATTAAAATTATTGTAATGTAGGTTTCATGAGATGAATTCTCTAAGATTCTGTTTGTCTCTAAAAGTCCTTTATTGCTTGCATTTTTGAAAGATATAGTCTTTGGATAGATAACTCTGCTTTTCATTTTTTTTCCTTTGGCACAGAAAAGTGCCATTCCATTTTCTTTTAGCTTGCATAATTTCAGAAAAGAAGTCTTAATTTATCTTACTTTTGCTGCTCTGTGGGCAATATGTCTTATTTCTCTAGGTACTCTTAAGAGTTTCTCTTTTTCATTGGTTTTCAGCAATATGTTAGTAATACATGTCTTGAGGCATCTTAATTGCATGTCTTTTTGATTTTTAAAGCAAAATAGATCATAAGTTCATACTAATACTTCTTATTCAAATTCAGGCATGCAAGATTTTTGCTTTATCTCACATGTCTTATACTGGTACCTTCTTTCTCCTATGTCCAAAATTCCAATTCTCAACAACATACTTTCTAGCTGTCCTCATATCAAAATACAGATGTCTGAGAACAATACCAGCCATATCATGTTTGAAAATAGCTTAAATTTTGTTTCTGCATTGTTTAAAGCTAGAATATGCCACTAGTTATATTTGCCAAATCACTATTTTTTAAAGCTCCTTGAAATAATTCCTACAAGTGTGTATACAAATAAGCTTTTTTTGATTTCATTTTATTTTAACTCTTAAGATCTACTTTAAATTTCTCATTTTATTTTATAAATACATTAAATTTCCATGACTCAAGTGTCAAGTCTATAAAATATAGGACATTGAATGAAGAATAGAAGATTCTATTCCTTGCCTATCCACTGTTAGCGGTTACTCTCATTTAACTCCAGCCCCTTGGCCCTAGTCAACAAAGAGTAAACTTTCTGTCTCTAAGGATTTGTTTATTCTGGACATTTTATACAATTAGAACCATAAATATGTGGCTTTTCATATCTGGCTTTTTTTCCTTTGTCATAATGTTTTAAAGGTACGTCCATGTTGTAGCATATTTCAGTACTTCATTTTTAGGGCTGAATAATATTCACTGTATGGCTATTACACATTACACTTTTTTATTTATCAGTTGATGGACATTTGGGATATTTCCAGTATTTTATGAATAATGCTATAAACATTAGTATATAAATTCTTACAGAGGTATCTTTTCATTTTTCTTGGATAAATGCATAGGAGTGGAATTTCTGGGTCACATGGTAACTCTAGGTTTAAACTTTTGAGGACTTTTGAGACTGTTTTGCAAAGTGGTTGCATCATTTTTACATTCCCACCAGCAGTATATAAGTATTTTAATTTCTCCACATTTTTCCAACACCTGTTATTATCTGCATTTTTTATTACGTTCATCTTAGCAGTTATGAAGCAGCATCTCATATTTTTAATTTGCATTTCTTTGATGGCTAATGTCGTTGAGTATGTTTTCATGTGCTTATTATCTATACATAGCTTCTTTAGAGAAATGTCTATTCGATTCTTGGCCCACTTTCTTCTGTCTTTTTTTTTTTTTTGCACACTCTCTGTAACCATTTAAGAAAACTCATGTTTATTTTTTATTATTTTTAAGGTAAGCAATTATACATAAATGAATATGTCCTCTACCCTCATAGATAAATGACAGCTTGTGATATACAGTTGCTTTCTTCACTTGTTTTTGGTCATGCTGATTCTTCCATAATTACATAAAGAGAAAGTATTCCTTTTTTAATCAACGTACTACTGTACTGTGGAGGCGTGTCATACTTTAGTTCATAGTACAAATGTGCCATGCTTTATTTAGTTGGTTCCCTGGTTGTTGAACATTTGGAGTGTTTACAATTTGTGTATCATTTCAAATAATACAGATGCATAGAATAAGCTTCTGTATCCAATTGTACAATTGTGTAATATATCTCTGCAATTGATTACTAAAATCAGTATTTGTAGATCAAATGATAAATAAATATATACTTTTTGTAGATATTTCCAAATCTCTTTTCCTAGGGATTGAACCATTTTAAGTTCTCGCTGGCAAGGTATGAGTATTCTTGTGTTTCATCCAAAATTATGTTGTCGAAGATTTGATGTTTCCAGTTTGACTGGAGAGAAACAGCAAGTCCGTGCGCTATTAATTAGCATTTTCTTATGGTTAAGAGTCGTATGCAATTAATTATCTATGAAAGTTCTGTTCACATTTCTAGCCTGCTTTTTTTTTTTTTTGGTCTGAATCACAGATTGTTTTTCTGTTGTTTTTATTTTCTTCTTCTTCTCTATTTTTTTTAACAAAATGATAAAATACCTCACACATAATGGAATTTTTTCTGTGAGTGTGTGTGTGTGTGTGTGTGTGTGTGTGTGCCCTGCCATTTAGGGCTCTTTAATGACCACTCACCATCACTGTCTAAGGGGAAGCTTCATGAGAAAATTATACTTTTTTTTTCACATTATAAACATTGGCATCTGTGCCTGTAAAAAACATTTGTCTCTCTCTTAGATCCCTGGGTATAATTATGGACTTTCATTGGTTAACATCAGTATGCTTCTCTGAGTCCTACACTATACCCCTTTAAATTTATATAATTTATATTTCCTTTACCTAGGTGTATCTTTATGGGTCTTTTGTGGATGAACCAATTCTTTATTATTGCAAAGGGCCAAATAGTTTCACCTGGGAAGTCTTTTTTTTTTTTTTTTTCATATAATTACTAAGCTACTCTACACACAACCTAGAGTTTTGTCACTATTAATATCACAAAACTATGGTTTGCGTATTATTTCTCTTACTTGAATTGATCTAGGTAAGATATGCAGAATGGCAGAAAATGTCTATAAGTTTTGCTAATGGCCAAAGTAAGTTTTGAATGAAATTTAGTGAGATGATGAAAATGATCTTTACTAACAATCCTTTGTTAATAATTATAAATATATTTTAAGAGATTGTTTCAGTTTGAGCTTGCTGCTGTAGTATACTTTCTCCTAGAAAGCATTGTTTGTTTTTTTTCATGAGATCAATTAAATGGATGTTCCTATACGTGAATATTGGGATCTTTTTCCTTAAAGGGCTAATCTCAGGAGGGGTTTGTATTACTAAGAGAGCAGTCAATTAAACACCTAAAATCTCAGTGGTTTAGTACAATGTTTATTCTTCTATAAGGTATACCTAGTATGTGTTCATTTCTCTTCTCTATTTTGTAATATACAGCTGAAACACATATCCTCAAAGTCAGAGAAAATAAAGATAAAAAAGACATACTGGTTTTTAAATCCTGTGACCTAAAAGTGAAGCATCACTTCAGCTCATAGCGAACTGGCTAAAAGTAGTTACACAGGCTCAATCTAACCGCAAGGGAGACTGTGATATAATGGAGTGCATGGATCTTTGGTGTGCTGACTATAGTTTGAATATCTGTCTCTTTCAAAAACATATTGAAATTTAATCCCCAATGTGGCAGTATTGAGAAATGGGGTCTTTAAGGGGTGACTGGATCATGAGGGCTCTTCCCTTATGAACAAATTAATTTATTCATGGATTAATGGGTAAATGTATTAATGGGTTATTATGGGAGTGGAATTGGTGACTTTATAAGGAGAAGAAGAGAGATCTGAGCTGGTACACTTAGCCCTGTCACCATGTGATGCCCTGTACTGCCTCAAGACTCTGCAGAAAGCTTCCACCAGCAAGAAGGCCCTCACCAGATGTAACCCCTCGACATTGGACCTTGGAATTTTAAGCCTCCATAAGTGTGGAAAATAAATTGTTTATCTTTATAAATTACCCAGACTTGGGTATTCAGTTATAAGGAAAAAAAAAGTCTTATACAGTTTTCATAGGGATGTATCAGAAGGAAAGACGTTTCGCACTGAAGGGTGTATTCTGAGAATTGTGCCATAGCACTTTGAGAAGAAATGGGTTAGGAAGACCTGGAGAAGAGAAATATGGAAGTGACCAGAGAAAAGAAAGAGACACAACAGAATGGCAGCAAGCTAATTCGTATGAAGTCACATAGCAGATAAGAAATTCCCTATAATGGGGATTGAGTGATACATTTCTAGGAGCACTTATGTCTGGCATTAGTTTTGAAGTTGTGTTTTTCTTTATGCTATAATTATGTTTTTTTGTATACTGTGGTAAGTACAACTAACGTGAAATCTGCCCTGTTAATTTTTTAAGTGTGCAATATAGTATTGTTCACTCTAGGCACAATGTTATACAGCAGATCTCTAGAACTTAATCGTATTGCATAAGCAAACTTTGTATCTATTGGATAGCAACCCTCTCCACTCACTCCCTGGCAACCATGCTCTGCTTCTGTGTGTGTAACTATTTTATGTACCTCACATACATGGTATCATGCATTGCACTCCCATGTTCATTGTAATTACTTTTCATTATCCACACATAGTAAGTGAAGATACTACAGAGAATAGCCTTGTGTTATTGGTAGATGATTATTTAGGGGGAACTTGGAAAATGAGATTCTTTGAAGTAGAGCATTAAATGTGGTAGATAGAGAAAATTCTCAGATATAGAGAAAAGCAAGGAAAAATAATTAAAATCAAGCTGTCACTAGAAGTTAGGGTAAGAGATTCCAGGAGCTCATAAACAAGCCCCTCCTCTACTCCTGAATTCTGGCAGAAAAGTCTTGAGTAGAGCACTGCAACTTCCACCCCACAGCAAACATGATGTGGTTCTAACCATTTAGAGGAAAGAGTGGCCCTGTAAAGTTGTAGGATTCAGGATTTTCTTTGTTGAACAAATAATACTCCATTTATTGACTTGTTAGTATTTAGTAGAAATTATGCTATAAAATTTATACATTTTATCTAACACAATAGATATTAGCTTACTTATTTTACAGATTAGATAACTCTGGCTCTGAGAGTTTAAATCACTTGCCATGCATGCGTGTGTGTGTGTGCGTGTGTGTGTGTGTGTGTGTGTGTGCCTGTAATGGAAATAAATGCCTTAGATTCCATTCTTCTCCTATCTTAAACTATATACTGATTTGCTAAGTTTTGCCATCGGTTACATCAGAATTTACTGGAACTTACCGGAACATGATATTTGTACATAACAGATATCAATGGCATGCACTCATTTTGTCTAAGAAATGCAAAGGAATACTACTATACTGCCCAAGGTGTTGATGAGATAATGTCCAGATTTTTTTTTTTTTTTTTTGAGAAACTGCGTGGAGGTTCGACATAGCATTTTCTTGGCTAAATAAGTTTTAACTGCAGCTACACACATCTCAGATTCATGGTGCATCTAATTAGGCCAAAACAACATCTACTTGTTGAGGAGAGGAATTAAGTGTTGTATTGGAATAAAACATATTTAATGGCTTAAGCTAGAATAATGTAGTAGAATGCTAGTGCCCAGGCTTTAGGAGCCATATCCTCCTAATTCTTTGCCTATGGAATTCATGCTTGAAAAGTTAACCTGTGGAGAAATCCTTTTACAAATTGCTTGATTCTTACCAGCTACCAGTGGAATAAGCAATCTGTTCCTACATTAATAGGCTGCTACCTAGAGGAAACATTTAGGCAAAACTGCAAGCTGTCTTAAAATTCTGGAAAGCAAAAATGTCAAAGATGCCCAATTTTACCAAGCTGGTCTCTGAATCCTAAACTGCTTATTAAGACTTGCATGTTTGGAACACATGTGGAACACAGTCACCGATTTATCCCATGTAGGACAAGTAGCCAAAACCAAAACCTAAACTAAATATTTGGTCCTTTGGTTGGAAAACGGTTATTTCTAAGTTGTCTTATTTAGTGGACTCTATTATGCTTGAATGAGCAAGTGTTTTGTTTGTTTATTTTTGCTGACTGCCCTGCATTGAATGCTAGCCTCTGCTTAAAGTAAGAATGCCTCTAAAAAGATATATAAGTTTACATATCAAGACATGCTTGCTGAAATCATGGTCAGCACCATTCTGTTTTATAGTTCATCACCTGGTGCTTACCAAAACTTGCCCTTCTAAACTACATTTCATTTTTCAGTAGCTATATGTTCATTAAAAAAAAAAAAGATCTGGAATAATTCAATCCCCAAAACATATGTGGTTATCTTACACTTCCAGTAATGCATGCTCTCTAACACATAAGAAAAGATGCTGTTTTGATTACTTTATAGAAACTACAAAATGCTCTCTTAACTTATGCAATATAGTGGTAAAACTATCCTTTTCCTTCCCCGAGAAGGAATAAAAGTTATATGTAAGCAATATTAAGCGTGTGGCTAAATGTTAGTAAAAACATGTCAATCATAAAAAGGTAGGGCTGAGCAATCAATTTATATCTGCTTCAGAGCATGTTACAAATACCAAGAGATTTCAAAGTGTTAAAAATGAATCACAGCAGCATTCACGACTGAGCAGCAACAGGGAGTGATATGAAATAAGTTCCCATCTTGGGGTTTTCTGTAGATTTCTCCCATTGCTATGCAATCAATCATGTGCGGTATTGCATTCTTTCCATTTCTGCATTCATCATTGTGTTGGCAATTTCACTGGGGAAATTGGACAGAGTAGAGGAGAAAAGGAATCTGGCTGGACTCTAGTGACACAGATGTCAGGTCTTTTCCTTTGAATTTGAGGTTGGGAGTTCTATTTGATTTAGAGATGCATTTACGGACATAGAAAATTGTAGAAAACTCAGAATTTGTTGGTGAATATCAGAGCATAAACACTTAATATGAGGATTCTGTTATGGAAAGCAAACTTTGAACAAAAATGCACTGCTTAAGAACCTTTGTATGTAGGAGCTAGAACAACTCTATCAAAATGTAGAAATGGTAGACCCAGTTTATTTAGCATCCACCCTATGCAATGCTCTGTTCTCAGTGTTTGGAGAGACAGAAAATCTTGTCTTATTTCAGGAGTGGAAAAGCTTGTGATTCAACTGAGTATATAGCAAGGGCTAGATGAAGAATTTAGAAGAAAGAAAAAGATGTCGATCATTGAAAGAAGCATTTGAAATAGGGAATATTTTACGGGAAGCATAAGAACGGGGGTTGGAAAAAAGTACAGGGCAAAGAAATAGAGGCAGGAGTGGGCAATCCTCCTGCATGGAACAGGGCATGGGTCAACCTTATCTGGAATGGGAGCCAGTCAGAATCATGCTTTGTGAGTATCTTACAGGTCATGGGAACCAGAGGAACACAATTAATTGCATGCAATACAGAAGTACTTTTATCTTTTGAAAAAGTGTAAGAAAAAATGGTAAAAGTTTTTTCGTTTCAAAAAAATCTTTTTTTTAAAAAAATTTGGTTTTCCACCTAAGAGGTAGTCAGTATTCTGGTAGTTCCTCATGTTCAGCATATGATGTAAGGCTAGAGAGAGCCTGGACTTTAGGTCTATTATTCACCCATACATAAAATGTTTGCTTGTGTTTATTTGCTTGTGAGAAATTAAGCTTTCCAGCAATTTAATGTTCACTTTAGAATGATAGTGTTATGCATTTAATGTTTGTGTCCCTCCCTCCCAAATTTATATGTTGAAGCCTTAACCCCTAGTGGGATGGTATTTGGAGATGGAGCCTTTGGGAGGCAATTATGATTAGATTAGCTCATGAGGACGGGGCCCTCATGATGGGATTATTGGCCTTATAAGAAAAGGAAGAGAGAGATTCTCTTTTCTCAAGGTACTTAAGGAAAAAAAAACATTTTATTCCAAAATATATTTCTTTGATATATTTTGAGATGGGTGCCAAATGGCTGGCAGACTGAAGTAGCCCTGCAAAGTTGTCTTTGTGGGGGAAATCTGTGTCTGTAAATCCATAGAAAATATGTATTACTGTGGCTTGCCCTTAACTTTGTCAGGATCTAGAAAAGGTTAACTGAGAATCTGACACCTTCAAGGGTCCGAAAGAAACATTTACCATAGATTCTCTCTGAGGGCTGTTCCCATAAGGTTTCATCTATATAATGAGACTATCTTTGCTAGCCAAGCCTCTCTTCTTTCCTTCCCGTAACCTGTGTTGCCACTAACTCCTGATTTACTACTATATCCTCTTTTTGCCCATGCTCTGAGCCTGCACTCTTTCTGTAACCTTAAGATGGTACTTAAGTTTCTGTACCCCACTGTGGGAGTTGGGCCTTCATTCTGAAGTCTCTCGTGTACACATATTAGGTAAGTGTGGATGCCTTTTCTCCTACGAATTAATCTGCTTTTGTGAGTTGTTTTCTTAGTGAACCTTCAGAGGGTCAAGGGGGAAGTTCCTCCTTGACCCCTAAAGCATGCATACACACACACACACACACACACACACACACACACACACACACTGAGGAAAGGTCACATGAAAACATAGTGAGGAATCGGCCATCTGCAACCCAAGGAGAGAGATCTTTCACCAGGAACTGAATAGCCAGCACCTTGGTTTTGAACTTCCCAGCCTCCAGATCTGTAAGAAAATAAATTTCTGTTGTTTAGACCAACTACTATCTGGTATTTTGTTGTGGTGGCCCAAACAGGCTATATAGACAATTTTTTGAAAGTTGTTTGGTATAGGAAATTATTTTTCTTTGTAAAGGATATTTGGGGAATCAGTGGCTCAGGATGTCTCTAAAATCTAACTGAGGTTGAAATTTGAAACTTCCTTTGAAAGTCCAATTGAGTCTTAGTTACTGACTTTGATTCAAGTAATGACTGTAGTCTTCCCTGTGAAATCTGTTCCTAGATTTTAAACCTGGGCTCTATTGGAAGTATCCGGATGTGGTGGTTCTTGCTGTAACTCAAAGAGCCCACTTATATTTTGCTCTCTGAGAACAAAAAACTTACACTCCTTCAAACAACTTATGACCATGAAGTTCCAGAAAGATTTTCTGCCATTTTCTTGTTTTTAGGAATGAGGCATCTTAAACAGAAAAATAGCATTTCCTTAAATATACTCAAAATATATTATGCCTGGCTTTTTCAGGTCCTGGGTTTCTCACATAGGTACATCATAATTAGAGGCTTAGTTACTTTAAACAAACCCTTCTAGACCAAACTGGTATTAAGGAATTTTCATTTATTTCTTATTCATCAATAACAGAAAGTAGACTATTGGCTGGAGAAGCAGTCAATTTTGTTTCATGCAGATGCTGCCTGCCAGATACGATTTTATTCCTTAGTTATTATTCAATTGTGCTAATGAACACTGTATTATAAAAATTTTCTTTACATTAAAGTACATGTATTTAGCTCCTCTGTGACTAAAAGAACCATTATATATTTTAAAAATAAACTAACAATATTAAATACATGCTTTCATAATCTCAAAAAATAAGAAGGCTTTATTCAATTCTGTATTATATTTGAATGTATCTAAAGTGACATTAGAATTTCATTGATATGACTATGATACAGAAATGTATCTTAGAGAAAGGTAAGTGAGAAAAATTCCACGTGGTAATCATAGGTTATTCCTCTCGGTTAAATAGCACGGGAGCTTATTCTGAATTTCAGAGAGACTCGGGAGTAATCAAAGAGATAAAGAATATTGTGACATAAAAATATTCTACAAAATAGATATTTAACAAGAAATAAAAGGTGTATGAGTAATCTGTAAAGTGTTACTCAGTGTTTGATTTCTTCAAGATCTAACTATTGTTAAGAAAGATTCCTAGAACACTTACATGCAAAAGTTAGAAGTAAAATACGTTTTTAGAGAATCAACTACTACTACTATTTGAGTTATATTCTGGTTGAGTGAAGTTTTTGTTTCCAGTATCATTAGTTTAAGGAAAATTTACATATGTAGATTGAAGTGAAGAATTAGGCAGTTTTAGAGGCAATTTAGGCCAAATTGTTACTTTTTGGGCGATTACATAGACAATTGTTTATATTCTCACTGTCATTCTGGAGCAGAAGTTCCCAAATAATGTCTCTAGGATATCCTTTCCATAAGAAATGTGCAATACCACGGGAGTTAAAAAAAAATCCATCACTAAATATTTCAGAACACAGTGTTATATACTTAAAGAGCTTTTTTTGTGTAAGACTTTCAATATACTTTATTTAATATATGCAAGTAGTTTGGGACTCCCTGAGCTGGAGACATTACATATTAGAAATAATAGTAAGTTTTGATAGCATTAGGAAGGTATTATGGCCAGGAGGCCCAGGAGCTTCCTAACTTGGCTTGTACTAATCACATTTTCTCTTCATGTGGTCTCCAGAGGAAGCGGTATACAGAAGAAGCAATAACAATAATAAATAGGAACTCAGAGTACCATTTTAATATTAATAATGTGAATGCCTGATACTCCTCCAGTGAAGTCTCTTAAGTATGCTGGTAAGATGTGCAGAAATAAATGATATCTGTTCACTGACCCAAACTTACCAATGTGATTCCATTTATTCAAAGACCAATATGGCCAGCTGAAATAAGCTGGAAGCCAGTTTACTATATATTTAAATGAAAATAAGAAGATATTAGACCTACTCTGAGTAAATACTAGCATAATTCTCAAATCATTCTATAAATGAAATGCATAAAAGAACAAAAAGGAGAAAATCAAGATAGCTAGATTGCACTTGTCACCAAACTGCATAGCAGGCAGTGCTGGAGGAAAACAACACACAGAAAGAAAAAGAAAAGCCAGAGGGCTGGGTCCAAAGAAGAGGCTCAGTTTAGTTAACCTGTGCAGCTGCAACCAAAACAGGTGTTTAAGGGGACAATGCCATAAATGCGTGTTCTAAAGCATTATTTACCCCACCCAATAATAAATTGGGCTAAAATAAATGTTCTGAAGTCTGTCCAATCAGAATAATAAATCCTCCTCTTTGAGGAAAGGAGAGATAAGAGATTAAGAAAAAGGAGCATGCCCCATCCCTACAGATGCATAGTTTGCCAAATGTATTGACCACAGAGTCTTTCTTTTTTTTTCAGGAGGATTTAAGGATCAGTTTTTAGTGAAAATACCTTAGAAAATGGTGCATTACTCTGTACCCGTATTCTTAAAACCATTGCCTAGAATAAATAACTCTAAGTGAGTGATAAAATACCATAAAACCTGTCCTTTCTTACAGCATTTTAACATAATACATTTATATTATACATTTAAACTGTGCAATTTCTGAGACCTGGAATATGAAGTGAAATCTATCTAGAGATGTTTTAGATCAGGAAAATTCCCCATCTTTCTGGGAAAGTGTAGCAGAATAACCTTTCCTGTATCTGTGACTTTGATGCTGGGTATGTGGAGGATATATGGAGCTGGAGGTATGGAGGAAAGCTTCAGCATCTGGCCACAACTGTTACCATGAAAACTATTGAAGTTAACTTGAATAGGAAAGGATTCATGTGTTGCCTGGTTTGGGCTAGATTACTTGTCTACGAGTCTCTCTCTCTCTTTTTTTTTTAATTAGCAATTTTAATTGCTTCTGTTTATAGTCTACCAGTTTTTCTAGCTTCTGCAATGTATTTAATGTTCTGAGTGTCCTAATAGGCTAAAGAAAATTTGGCCTCATAAAGCCATCATCCCTTCCTTTGTTACTTATTTGCTGTTTTTACTATTTATAGTAAAGAGGTAACTAGTATTAATTTTCAGACAACTCTTAATTTTCTTAGAGAATTGAAAAAAAAGCTACCATACACACACTAGTTTTTATGTACCAAGAGGCAGGTTCACATTGTGAGTATTTTGTTTGCATGGTTTTCCATTTCTTTGCAGTTCTGGATAACTTCCATCAGCATATTCCTTGAAATTAGCTTGAAGTATTTGTTCTATATTTTATGTTGAAATTGGGCTCCTGTCTTCTGCAGACAAATGACTCGTTAACATATTGTTTTTGAAGCACAGTTTGCATTTCTGTGAACCAGGGATTAGGCATTGTGTGTAGATTAGGAATAATTTATGTCTAATTAATAATTGATGTTTTTCCCTATTCTGACCGAGATTTTGTTATGCATAATATGAGAAGAGCAGAGTACTCTCCAGTGATGACAAGAGAAAACATTTTTCAAGAGCAAATCACACTAAAACTTTGAAATCAGCTGCAGTGGGGCTTTTAACCACTTCACTGCTAAATAATTGAGCCAGAATTTTTTTTCCCACTATTCTTGTCTTCCGAAATGAGGAAATGTGTGAATACAATAATGTTCTGTGTATTGAAAACTCAAAAACTTTGTGACCTCACATATCTAGAGGGCACTGATAAATCGAAAAGGACACCCAAAAGACCTCTAGGCAATAAAAATAGAGGCCATAAAGCTCATACATTAATGCTCACTAATTTTTGTCAGGGGAAGGTCCCTCAGGTGTTCACTTAAAGCAGAATTAATCTACATATAATTTTTAAAATACCTTTTTAAATATCTAAGGTTTATTTTAATAAATTCTAATAATAAAGAAGTATTTACAGTAAAAAGTAATTCTCTCCACTCCCACTCAATTTCCGAGCAGTGATAAATATTAATTATTTCCAGTTTCCTTAAAATTCAGCAAGCCTGACTATTTTATTTCTCAGATTAAAATAGCTAATTTAGAAAAGCTGAGAAAGGCATGTGGAGGGAGTTAGAAGCCTTAAGAGTCTATCTGTATGTTGAGAAACAAAAATAAAAAGAAACAAAGAATGAACACACACACACACACACACACACACACACACACACAAAAGTCACAAATACTCCAAAATCCTGACAATACAGGACATTTAGTTTACACCAGGTTTCAAACAGTGCTTTTAAATGAAGTATTGCAAGAATGTGTTCAAGTAAGGGAAAAGTAATCTGGCAGCGTTTCTCACAATGTGAGGATTAGAGCTAGAGTTACATGAAATACTGTATGTTTGGCACAAAGCTAGCACTGAAAAAGGCTCTCATTAGTGTTATCTACCCTCAGTTTTTCTTCCTTGGTTTTAATACCTTAACCAAGGTTACTGATACTTTCATATCAGTAACCCATATTCATAATGAAGCCAAAATATTCTCATCCCAAAATGTTAACTTGCAATATGAAAATACATAAACATTTACCACCATCTCATGTATATGCTCCTTTCTCAGTTCTTCACATGCTCTATACTTTGTCCTTAGACCTCATAATACATCCCTTTCAATCCATCACCTGTCTGCTGGTTTCCCCAGTTTCTGCCACTTAGGCTTGACTCCACTGTGTATCATTTTAGTCATTTTCTTCCCATTGACTAAGAGGACCTTGACATTCCCCTCATTTTGACTACATTTTAGAGAGGTTTCTTCTTGACTCTAGGCCTCCGAGCTCCCTATTCTTCAGGAATTTACATTAAAAAATTGTAATTTGTAATTTAAAATTCTTTCTGTGCCCCTTTGAGATGTAAATTTTTTGAAATGCTTCTTGCCAGTTTTGCAGCCCAGGTGTAGAATTTCTCAAGGACCTGGGCATCATTCTTTTGAAATGTAATCATCAAGGAAGATAGCACCCTTACCTGCCAGTCTCTGTGGGAGAGAAGGAGGCTAATTTTAGTGGGCACCTTGCTCCAAGTTGTAGATCTATCTTTTGTTATGAGGATAAAGAAAGTTTACTTTTCCTTTTGGTACACCCAATTAGCAAATACAGTTAGCCCAAGATCTCCCCTGTCTCAGTGGAGTTAAGTTCACGCTGAGCTCTGGTCCTTCTCCTTTATTGCAAATGCCTTGTATAATGTCTCTACTACCTGTTCAACTTTGGTGTATTTTTGCTTCAATGCACTCAATGTATTGGTCCACCTTACCTTCTGCTTTTCCAACTCCAAATCTCATATCGAATCAATATTAACATTTTCTACTATTAATTACATCACAACCGCTCTGTATGACTATAGGAAATCAGATAATGATGTGAATTATTGTTAGTGCAAATAGTGAACTCACTTCTCTCATTTGCATGGAATTTCACCACTCTCCTTAACCCAATTAGGTGTCAGCTGTGCTAATCCTAGATACTTCCACTGGAGGGGTGGCAGAACTTTATGAATTTTGTAACTTATATTTTAAATCAATTTCATTTGTTTCTTCCTTTATATTGTTGTCATATGATTTCAAAAAATGACTATAATATTCCTCTATTAAGACTTTTAAATGATTCTCATTGCCTTTAGAGTAATTCTAATTTAGAGAAAACATTCTATCATTCACCCTTGCCTATATATCACAAGCTTTACCTTTCATCATGCCCTACAGTGTAGTCTGTGCTATAGCCATAGTGAATTGGTTTATAACATATTCATGTCTCAGAGTATTTTATATTTCCCATCTTTTACTGACACAGTTCCATTTCCTCATGCATATACTCATTCCTTCAGCTGCCTTTATTAAGCATGCATTGTAGGCCTGTCCACCAACTTTCCTTCTTACATCTACTTGTGCCTGATAACACTGTCTCCTTTTCAAGATTCAGCTTAGTGCCTATTTAATAAAGCATTTTTAACTCTTCCTAGGGGGTAAAGTTAGCCTCCTCTTCTATTTTTTCCCGACTCTGTTACATTCCTCTATCATGGAACATGTAACACTTTTGGAACTTGTTTGTATATTTCATGACTAAAGAACCAGAACCTATTTTTGATAGGTAGAGGAACAAAAATGCCCATTTTGGCTGAATTTGAATGATTTTTCTCTTTTGAATTAAATCCACTAATTTATTTGTCTCTACCTATTGCTTTAGTACCGCATACACAACATCTCTGACATATAATACTCTTGTAGGCTTTGTTTCAATGCTTGGTTAGTGACCTTATTGACTGGTCTGTCCCTTAAACAAAAACATGATACATACACCTCAGAAGACAGTCTGTTGAAAAAAATGTCCTCAAACCTGTTTAGTTTTTGAAAAAAATTACACTTTACAAAAATAATTACAGAAACATCTTGTCTAACAATAGCTCTCAGTGCATGAATCATTCTGAATAAACGAGTTTTATCAGTAGCTAAATATTTTAAATACTCTGACTATAAACTATTATTTTATTTTATCTTATTTTATTTTATTCCATTTGTTTTTTATGTCTTGAGATGGGGTCCTGCTATGTTGCCCAGGCTGGTCTTGAACTCCTAGGCTCAAGTAATCTGCCTGCCTCAGCATCCCAGTGTGCTGGAATTACAGGCATGAGACACTGTGCCAGCCTAAAAACATTCTGGTCAAAGAAAATATTTTTGATATTTATTATATGTGCCATTGATTTTTAATTAGAATATATGAAATAGAATTTTCTGCCTTTTAATATCTTGTTTCTCATATCGGATCATCAGTTGAACAGCCTGTGATATAAACCTAGGGTGCTCTCAGGAGCAGCTCAGTATGTCACAACTGTGAGCCCACTGGCTGGTGTCTGCATTTCTCTTACAGACCTTCTCTATTATATATTGCTTTTTGGAAGTCTGAAAATCATACACTTTAACTTGTGAAAGTTTTGTGTAAAACAATAGCAAGAATATACTAAGTCTAGGCCTGAGGGGCCTGTTTTCAAAAAGACATAACACTTTTACCAATAGAATCTGCGATGATGTGTTTGCCTGGTCAAAGTTAAAACTGAAAATTTATTTCAAGGAAATAAGGAAACAAGGAAAAACCTTATCTTATTAGTTTAGATTCCAGATGGTTTTGTTTCCTGGCAGTTGAGCACTAGATAGACAAATTTTATTGATGGGCTCTGATATTTAGATATTAACAACAAAATTTTTTTTTATTATACAGATGTTTCATTACAGCTAATTAAGGTTAGAAACCCTTTTAAGGCATTTTGAATCAAACCAGGTACACTGTATATTTATATTAGAGAATAGTTATTATGCATGCAATTGGGATGATCATAAAGGAATATTTTTTTTAAAAAAAAACTCTTGCACTTAATCACCCCTTACCTTGTTAATTAAATGAAATTAAAAGCTGAACATCAGTTTCCTTATTGCACATAGGTCTTGTCAAACTTGACTGTGGCTAATTTGATATCTTAAAAAAATGCAGTTTTGTCTCAATAAAACTATGTTAGCTTGCAATGTTGGATATTCTACACAACCACAACTTCTTATTGACTGTAATATATTCAACATATCTAGTTTGGTGGAAACGATGGTGTAGTGAGTAGGGTGGTAAACTTCATCTATTCCCAAATGTAAAACAAGCATAAAAAAGAATTGTTTGTTTTCTGACACTTCATGAATTAGTTGTGTAAAACGGTAAGAAGGAAATCCAACAACCAGCATTCTTTTTTAGGGATGCAGTTACTTAATGAGATTGTTTTCTGAGAACATATATTTGGGTAAGGTGAGAGTGATATGGAAGTTGGGGCTTGGAGATATTCTGTAGAAGCTTCTATAGATAGGTTCTGTGCATGTCATGAACACATCTAAATTAGAGGAGTGCACTTGAAAAAAAAGAATCTTCCTACGTGAAGAACTTAATTGACAAGAGTCCCTAGAGATAAGCAAACTTTTGACTTGCTATTGCTGAAGGAAATAGAGTATTTGAATTTAAAAATTAAGTATGAATTCATAGGAGGATGGGATCAAAATGGTAGTGAGAACCACTAATCTCTGTCTTCTTTCTAATCCAAACACTAGAAATGACAGATGATATTGGTATGATCACACACACAAACACACACACACACCCACACACCCTCATAAGAATGAAGATATAGCTATAAATACCATGATTGGAAAACAGTTATACTATTAATGGAACTTCTCTTAAGAAACCTCATACTCAAACAAATTTACAAGAAAAAAAAACAGCCCCATCAAAAAGTGAGCAAAGGATATGAACAGACACTGCTCAAAAGAAGACATTTATGCAGCCAACAAACATGAAAAAATGCTCATCATCACTGGTCATTAGAGAAATGCAAATTAAAACCACAATAAGATACTATCTCACACCAGCTAGAATGACGATCATTAAAAAGTCACGTAACAACAGATGCTGGAGAGGATGTGGAAAATTGGAACGCTTTTACACTGTTGGTGGGAGTGTAAATTAGTTCAACCATTGTGGAAGACAGTGTGGCGATTCCTCAAGGATCTATACTAGAAATACCATTTGACCCAGCCATCCCATTACTGGGTATACACCAAAAGGATTGTAAATCATGCTGCTATAAAGACACATGCACACGTATGTTTGTTGCAGTACTATTCACAATAGCAAAGACTTGGAACCAACCCAAATGTCCATCAATGATAGACTGCATAAAGAAAATGTGGCACATATACACCATGGAATACTATGCAGCCATAAAAAAAGATGAGTTCATGTCCTTTGCAGGGACATGGATGAAGCTGTAAACCATCATTCTCAGCAAACAATCACAAGAACACAAGACCAAACACCGCACATTCTCACTCATAAGTGGGAGTTGAATAATGAGAATACATGGACACGGAGGGGAACATCACACACTGCGGCCTGTTTGGGGGTGGGGAGCTAGGGAAGGGATAGCATTAGGAGAAATACCTAATGTAGATGACGGGTTGATGGGTGCAGCAAACCACCATGGCACGTGTATACCTATGTAACAAACCTGCACGTGCTGCACATGTACCCCATAACTTAAAGTATAAAAACCAAAAAGAAACATCATACTCATAAGCTGTCACTCTCCATTTTCCCCCATTCCCTGCACCACCTCCAGACTTAAGCAATCACTAATCTACTTTCTGTCTCCAGTTAGCCTACTCTGAACATTTCACATAATCTCTAAACTATTTTTGCAACCCTTTTGGAAGTTTAAAATTGTCTCAAAAAGCTGTATTTACTTTTCTGTTCTTTTTGGAAATATATTTTTGTGAATAATTCGTTCTTGTGTTTAACAAAATATTTAAAATGTTACATAACTAATGTAAAAACAGAATAGTTTGCATGTGATATTTTTTGACTCAGGAGCCAGCATCTTCAATATCATACTGTATTGTCACACAATGCACAAGTCTTAACTTATTTCTTTCTACATCTGCTCCTGTGTATAAGAGAGTTTATGGCCTATATTAGGTATTTAGTAGATTTTTGTTGAATGAATACCAACATATATGTATATATAGATAAATGAATATGTGAATGAATCATTTCACATTATATAGGCATAAAATTGGTTTAAGTAGGCTTTCAAAATCAGTTCATTTTATGAATTTTTAAAAATAATTTCAGCATCATTCATTCTTTATTTACAATCAGAACATTTTAAATTTTAATGCTGGCTCTGCTCTTTTTAACTTTTTTGATCAAATGATCTAATCTTATAGGTAAGCCTCACTTAATTTACCTAAAAGTAACAATGATAATATATTCCTACACCAACTCATGTCATTGTTGTACAGATCTTGTGAAATGATGTACTTTCTAAAGACTCGTATAGAAAATTATTATAATATATGAAGAGCTGTAACTTGGGAGATATATTTTCATATGATGATATGAACTATTTTCTAACATCGTTAATGCATTCCTATGTGAATCTGCTCAGAGTATACAACAGTAATAAATAGTTAAGTTTCCTTGAGTAATATAAAACCATTGTCAGACTTATCTGGCTGGTCCAGATGGATGTTAAAGAAGATTCTTTCCATAGAAGAGTTTTCATTTACACATGTGAGTTCCCATTGATGTCAAAGCAAATATCAACCAAGAAAAGAAGCTCTTAAAACTAACTTCTCAGATGTCTAGCACAGGGACTCACAAGAAAGAAGGATAAAATAAAATATAAAAATAAGTCTCACAGTGCCTTAGAAACAAGTAGACTTAAGTAAAAAACATTTTAGGAAAAATGGTCTCTGCCATAAATCAGAATTAAAGGTATAAGGAAAGTTAAATTCAACAACAAAGACAAATCAATTTAACTCCAACTGCTATCTAAAACATACATGAGGAGTAGAATATGAAGCTCTTGCTTAGTTTCAATCACACAACAAAGCAAGGCTTATTAAGGCTTCCCAGAAAGTGTCAGGGTTATTATGGCTTCTCAGAAAGCAATGGCAAGGCAGACTTCAAAGAAGATGGCCTAGGTCGCCAAGCAACTATCCATATAAAAATGGCATAACAATGAAAAGACCAAAAATTATTATGGGCCTAACATAGTCTCAGTGTATCCTGAATGAGAACCTGGATTAGGCAAAAATAAGGAAGAATAAAAGGAAGTAATATTTTTAGTATTGTATAAAGTTATTATATAATGTTTTAAAGCCATATGTTCAAACTTGAAAACTTTTCAGGCACTTCAAATCGGTTGTTTTCCTCATTGAGTAAGTCATTTTTGGCCATAAATCATGTATTTACAAATTCACATTATTTTGCTGAAAAGAGGGAGGGGGACTTTGGATTTTATTTAATTGAATGTATCACAGAATTCTGAGCTCCTGTGAAAACAAAACGATTAAGCTATTAAGCATCAAGAGATACAGATAAAGAGAAATAAATTTCTACTAGTGATGATTTCAAAATATCTGTATAGAAGTGGCTTGGATGAAGCAGCCTCTAGTTGGGAATATTTGTTTAGGGAGGAATTTAGGGACCTTGTCTTGAAACCCTATTTGCATAGTAATCACAATGTCTTTATTTAAATTGGATGCCTATTTTGTGGTGAGTTTTGGCAACTGATTTAGACATAGAGGCCTTCAACTCTCATTACCACCAAGACAATTATTGCTGTTTTCAATACAAAATATTTAGAAGAAATAGCAACAGAAAATAATAACTGTAAAAGGCAGTGTAGAAGGGAGTAGTAGATAATTGAATATAAATGTTCTGAACAAAAAAGGAATTGAGAGATAAGAGATATCTGGGTTAGGGCAATCTGGCAGGCTTAATAAAGGAGGTAGGTAGAACTTCAATTAGGTGTTGAAACATAGGTTGTTTTGGAAGAAGACAGAAGAGGAAGGGCTTCTTGGGCACCAGCATTTGGAGAAGTACTTTTTTGAGAGAAGAAAGTCCCCCCAGACTGCCAGGTAATGAAAAATGTACCATCTATCCAGATATAAGTTTATACTCAAGTCTTTCAATTCCAGAGATATGCATCCATGGTGCTTAGATGTTGCTCTAATTCCAATCAGGATGGATCTTATGGGTGGAATCTCTTTAACAGTTTAAAAATGTGTGTGTGTGTGTGTGTGTGTGTGTGTGTGTGTGCATGCATGTATGTGTGTTTGATTGTATTCCTAGCATGCATAGTTGATGGAGCAATGATGCCTTTTATTTCACATGTCAGATATAGTCCAGTAGATTTCTAGTGACTTAGTGGAGAATTATCTGAGACACAGCTTAGTTCAGCAAGGGATATGTGCCTGGATATGTCATTAATTTTTTCCCTGAGGACAGGTAAAGACAGTGGACAACTATCCTATATATCCCCGAATCTAGGTGTAACACAGTGAAACTGGCACTTTAACATGAGGTATTGGATTGAAAGTGCTACCTTCATCACTATCACTTGTGTGACTCTGGGTAAGCTATTCATTTATATTCCACCAAAGATTCTGCATCAGTGAAATCACGTTACTATTTACATTATAGAAATTTTGTAAAACTTAGGCCCCAAGTATTGAGCCTTGACTAACACCTAAAATACAGCAGCAATATATTTTGCATATGTATATATACTTTCTTCCTAATTTTTACTCAAATACTTTACATATGCTGTTAAGGAAAACATTAAACTCTCTGTTCTAAGATGTGGCATATGTAAACTACAGTGAATTCTAATCAAATAAGCACTATGAGAAATAGCTACCATTGTGTCCCACAAAATATTCTGTTACATTTATCAGAGATAAGTTACTGGGAAGGTATACCATTCATCCAATCTAGCATAATTTTTTTATGATCTTTAGAGACATACAGATCAATTTCAGGGCTGGTCAGTTTACCATAAGTCTAATATAATATTGCAGAAACATCCCAACACGTTTTCATTTGGACATATTCCACATTTTATGCTTTTTATCCACCTTAGAGTTCTAAAATTCATTAAATATTATCATTTTTCTCAGTCTTCTGAAGAGCTATTTAAGTTTTATATAAGTTAAGATGTCAATCGAGTCAAAGCTCTGTTCTTCTCGTGTTAAATGATTGGCCTTGATCAACACACTTCATACACATGAGTTTGACTTTCCTGCCTGAATATGGTATTCATATTTGCCCACCAAAGCATTAAACTGGTAAAAGATTAATAGCCTAAGATACCTTTAGAATATGCTGAGCTGCTCCTTTGTCACTGATGTTACCTTCTTTGGGGGTTGATATGGTTAGTCTGTGTCCCACCCAAATCTCTTCTTGAATTCCCATATATTGTGGGTGGGAGAGACCCAGTGGGAGATAATTGATTCATGGGGGCAGGTCTTTCTCATGCTGTTCTTGTGATAGTGAATAAGTCTCATGAGATCTGATGGTTTTTAAAAAGGGATTTCCCTGCACAAGCTCTATTCTCTTGACTGCCACCATGTGAGATGTGCCTTTCACCTTCCGCCATGATTGTGAGGCCTCCCCAGCCACGTGGAACTGTAAGTCCAATAAGCCTCTTTCTTTTGAAAATTGCCCAGTCTCGGGTATGTGTTTATCAGCAACATGAAAACAAACTAATACAGTAAATTGGTACCAGTAGAGTGGGGCATTGCTGTAGAAACCTGAAAATGTGGAAGTGACTTTAGAACTGGGTAATAGGCAGTTGTTGGAACAGTTTGCAGAGCACAGAAGAAGACAGGAAAATGTGGGAAAGTCTGGAACTTCCTAGAGACTTGTTGAATGCCTTTGACTAAAATGCTGATAATGATATGGGCAATGAAATCCAGGCAAAGGTGGTCTCAATGGAGATGAGGAACGTATTGGGAACTGGAGCAAAGGTGACTCTTGTTATGTTTTAGCAAGTAGACTGGTGGCATTTTGCTCCTGCCTTAGAGATTTGAGGAACTTTGAACTTGAGAGAGATGATTTAAGGTATCTGGTGGAAGAAATTTTGAAGGAGCAAAGTATTCAAGAAGTGACATGGGTGCTGTTGAAGGCATTTGGTTTTATAAGGAAGCAGAGCATGAAAGTTTGGAAAATCTGTAGCCTGACAATGTGATAGAAAAGAAAATTGCATTTTCTGAGGAGAAATACAAGTTAGCTGCAGAAATTTCCATAAGTAACAAGGAGCTGAATGTTAACCACATTCAAGACAATGGAGAGAATGTCTCCAGAGCACATAAGATGCCTTAACGGCAGCCCCTTCCATCGCAGGACCAGGGGCTGAGGAGGAAAAAGTGGTTTCATGGGCCAGGCCCAGAGCCCCCTTACTGTGTGTAGCCTAGGGAATTGGTACCCAGTGTCCTAGCTGGGTAGGGGCCAACATAGAGCTCAGGCTGTGGCTTCAAGTCCCAAGTCTTGGCAGCTTCCATGTGCAGTTGAGCCTGCAAGTACACAAAAGTCAAGAGTTGAGATTTGGGAACCTCTGCTTAGATTTCAGAAGATGTATAGACATGCCTGGATGCCCAGGCAGAAGTTTGCTGCAGGGGTGGGGCTCTCATGGAGAACATCTGCTAGGGCACTGCAAAAGGGAAATGTAGAGTCAGAGCCCCACACAGAGTCCCTACTGGGGTACTGCCTAGTGGAGCTGTGAGAGGAGGGCCACCATCCTCCAGACCCCAGAATGGTAGATCTACTGACAGCTTGCACTACGCACCTGGAAAAGCCACAGACACTCAATGCCAGCCCATGAAAACAGTCAGGAGGGAGGCTGTACTGTGTAAAGCCACGGGGCAGAGGTGCCCAAGACAGTGGGAACCCACTGCTTGCATCAGTGTGACCTGGATGCAAGACATGGAGTCAAAGGAGATCATTTTGGAGTTTTAAGATTTGACTGCCCTGCAGGATTGTGGACTTGTGTTGGGCCTGTAGCCCCTTTGTTTTGGCCAATTTCTCCCATTTAGAATGGCTGTATTTACCCAATGCCTGTATCCTCATTGTATCTTGGAAGTAACTAATTTGCTTTTGATTTTACAAGCTCATAGGCTGAAGGGACTTGCCTTGTCTCAGATGAGACTTTCGACTGTAGACTTTTGGATTAATGCTGAAATGAATTAAGACTTTGGGGGACTGTTGGAAAGGCATGATTGGTTTTGAAATGTGAGGACATGAGATTTGGGAGGGGCTGAGATGCAATGATGTGGTTTGGCTGTGTCCCCACCCAAATCTCATCTTGAATTTCCACATGTTGTGCGAGGGACCCAGTGGGAAGTAATTGAATCATGGGGGCAGGTATCTTCTGTGCTGTTCTTGTGATAGTGAATACATCTCATGAGATCTGAAAGTTTTAAAGAGGGGAGTTTCCCTGCACAAATTCTCTTCTTTGGTCTGCCACTATGTGAGACATGCCTTTCACCTTCTGTCATGATTGTGAGGCCTCCCAGCCATGTGGAACTGTAAGTCCAATAAACCTCTTTCTTTTGTAAATTGCCCAGTCTCAGGTATGTGTTTATCAGCAGTGTGAAAACAGACTAATACAGGGGTCTTACAATTTCATTTTACTAGATTGATTGCAATGCTTATTATTAACACCCAGTTAATTAAAATGTTTTTTAAAAATAAACAAATATCTAAAACAAAATTCTGAAATGTCTGCAATACTGTCGAGCTAATATAAATAAAACTAAGCAAACCAATTTGTTTTCATTTTTCTTTTTTCTTTAAATACACTACAAATATATCATTGTTTTTGGTCTTATGAAACTTGGAATTCTAACAATAGTATGATAAGCTATCTAATATTAGATAGTGAGTTTTGAATGTTCCTTAATTTTACCCGTATTCTCTGGAGAAGCTAAGTGACCTCCTGGTAATTATGACTTAAATAGTTTAAAGCCTAAATCAGACAAGATATAATGAAGAAAGCCAGAGGAAGGGAGAAATATATGGATTGGCTCAACTATGAAAAACATCCTAATTCTTGTGTAAGATGGGACATGGATCATACTTCTAGCTTGCATGACTTCTATTATATGAAAAAAGAGGGAGAATATTTCTTCTGGTGGCTGAAGTGACTGTTTTTGGAAGAAAAGCAATAGGAGGCAATTTGGTAGATACAAGTTTGTGATCCAGTAGAAATTAGAAACTTTGTTTTTGGTAAAATTAAATGGTATTATTTTTTATCATCTGTGAATCAAAATAAGATATGATGATTGTTGTGAAGTCAGCCTTTTTTGAGAGCCCTATAGATGCCACAAGGGCAGACAGTAGAATATGCAAGACTTTAAGAGTTGAAGCCTAATCATCTGGAAGTCTTATGACTTGTGATAAATTCAAATGGAAAGCACCTGAACAGTGTCATCTACTATGAGAAAATGCAGGATATTCAGTGAAGATATATTTAATGTACAAACCATTGAATTTCCAGCCTATTATACTTCTTAATATAGCCTGATGTCAAAAATGACTGGCAAGGTATAGTGATCAGGGCAAGAGAACTACCTTATTTAGCTTAATGGCTATCTCTCAGGTATAACTCAAAGCAAACGAAGTAGAATGTTAGTAAAATTCATATAATTTGTATCTATACGTATGTGTGTGTAACTTCAACAGTCATCAAAGATGCTATATTCAAATAAGTTCTCTGATGTTTTCAGAGGCAATTTGGTTTTCTGGGTGCTAGTGTGTTGATTTCCAGAAGGTACAAACCATGATTCCCATGCTTCTGCGTTTTCTTGATGCCACAGTGCTGGATGTGTCATGGTTGATGCTCAATAAATTCTGTCATTGATGGATTAATTCTCCATTCTCTTTAATCTAAGCCTATATTTTCCTCTTTGTTATGATACAGGTACTTCACTCCCAGCCTCTTCTTTAGATATGTCATTTTAGACTTTATCTGGGAATGGAGAAATGTTTTAGAAGAGAAAATTTCTATACTTTCGCCATATGGGCTATGCAGGAACTGGAGCAGTTAAAAATAATGTGGGGTACATAATAATTGGATATTTGAATGGGATAGTATTCATCGGATCATGAAGCACTACTTCCTTGTTTTAAAGATAAGGAAACTGAGGCTACGGAGATTAGGGGACTTGTGGCAGATAGGCATAAAGGCTTAAAATTTTTTAGTGCTTTGTTTTAGCAGTGATTTCTCCTTTGGGAATTCTGTCTTCAATTCTGGAGTGATTTTAGGCTCACAAGATCATAATTAGTCAAAATTTAAAGCTACTTAAGCTTTGTCAGCACTCCAGTACCCTGTTTAAAAGAAGAAAAACCGACAAAATCCCTTCACCAGTTGGAATCACTAGTTGAAAATGTGAAACATCCTTATTACACCAAAAGCGAAGCACAAGTGCTTTCTTCTAAGTGTTTAAGCAGGCTTTGGAGGGGGTGCACGTTCTTCAAAACCAATAGTGTGTCTTTGTAAATGGGCATCCCACTGAATCAAAGAATGTGCGGACGCAGTGTAAGGAAAGCCTCTTTCAATTTCCTCTGGTGCTGTCAACTATTTAGTCTGAGGCTGTTTATACTTTCTGGGATATAAATGATTTTATCTCCATTGCTGACAATGTTGAATTCAACGTCCTTCTTTTTGATACAGTATTTGCTGAAGAAATTGTATTGATTTACAGACTCTCTCTTCTGTAATTCCCCTAACATCTCAAGGCCTTTTAGGTTAACCAGTTTCTTTCAAACACCCTTCAAGACAAAAACATATTGGTTTTCAAAATCTCAGTAGGCTCTGGCAATATGGAATCAGTGCTGGCCCTAGTAATTAATAATTTATGTCTCTATAGCTCTCTTTACAAATTCAAGTTCTAGCAGCATTTAACATTTTATGCTTCAATTGTTTTTTATCCACCAATAGTTCTGATTTTTTGTGATGTATTTTCTTCAGATGTATAGGCGAAAGCAATGATTTGTTTGCACGAGGTAAGGAAGAAGCAAGGAAAATTAACTCCCTCCACCCACTCCCCCTTTAGACAATCAATAATTCCTGTTCTCATCCAGGCTTTAATCATTGCCTGTCTGGATGACTGCAGACTTCCTCTTGGTCTTCCTATGTATGACCTCCCTCCTCACTAGAGACTTCAAAAACTTTAGCTAAATTCATCTTCTTCTCCCTGAAACCATGTTACTAGTCTTCAAGCGTCTCTTTTGCTTTCAGAGTTAAATTTGAATTTCTTGATTGTGGTCAACTTAGTGGAAACCAATTTAATTTTCTTCTATCTTAAAGTCAGACTGATTTTTAGTTCATCCATTTTCTTTAAGTTGTCAAAAGTTCTTTTAAGAAAGTTTTCTAGATGATTTGTAGAATGTGAGAAGTGACTTTTAAATCATATTCTGTTGATAAAATGTGACTCTTTAGTGTAAGTTTAGGCCAGAAACTACATAATATCTTTTCAGTGTGCACATACTGCAAGTGACTCCCAGTAAACATCTTATTAGTGTTGTAGGATGCTTTTTCACATTTATCACTCAAATTGGCATAACTCATATGGTTATGATGACAGCTTACTGTCTATATTTGTTAAAGCTGCATTGTTTTGAATGTAAGCTTCTTTCCTCAAGTTCTGTGCTCTTTTAGGAATATTTTTGCATATAATAACTTCACTGCAAAACAAGGGGAAGGGATGTAGGTGACTAGAAAGATGAATTAGGAAAGGCAAAATGAAATAAAGGGCAGAAGTGATGAGTCATACACTGAAGACACAGAGGCTATCCCTCTTGGGTGAGAGACTATCAACCACAATCTTAAAGACTACACTAGGCTTGTCCTGTGCTATTTGACCTATATTCACTGCTATTTCTCCTAATTTTTATTGATGGATCTACCCTTTATGTTGTCCTTATTCAATTTATGTATTCAACAGATATGTAGTGAGAGAATACAATGCTCCTGGCATTGTTTTGAAAACTGGGTTTAGAGCAGTAAAAAAGCAGACAAACCCATGTCTAATATATACACAATGATTCAGATTCTACTAAGTGCAAGGAAGAAAATTATTTTAAAAAGGAGGATGAGGCATCATGGAGTGACAGGAGAGAACTCCCTTAGGTTATGTAGACAGAGGTGACCTCTGTGAATAGGAGAAATGTAAGCGGAAACTTGGGTGATGAATCATCTGCTATGTGAAAATCTAAAGGAAAAGCATCTCAGAGGAAGAAGAAAGCAGAAGAGCCCAAACCAGCCTTGTGTGCAAAGAACAGAAGAAAGCCGTCATGGCCGGAGCAGGTTGATTGAGAGAGAGAATTGTAGGAAAATGAAGCTCAGACATGTGGGCCACAGAAACTAGTCTGGCTCTTATTTTAGATGCAATTGGAGGAAGTTCAACAGAAAATCAGGGTGACCTGATTTACTTTTTGAAGAGATTACCATGGCAAATGTGTGGTGAACGAATTATGGGAGAGCAAAAATAAAATCAGTTAGGGTCTTTCCTAATCCATTTCTAAAATCTGAACCTTTCCTAGACTATTAAATGGACCCACCCCAAATTAGCAAGAATTAACTCCTTTGACTTCACATATTTTCAGGATATTTTATAGTTTCTCCCCATGTGAATGACAGTGATTTTCAGTAATTTTCCATGAGTGTTTGCTAAGTGAGGGTCAAAAGGCCAATAGAGAAGTCTTGAAGACTTCTTGTTCTTGTCTATTATATTTACTAATGCTTTGCTTCTGCCTTTGGTGTAGGTACAAAGACGTATGTCACTAAAATATGTTTGAAACTACTGGTCTTTAGGATATTGTCTATGGCATCATCCCTAAGTATTTTTTAAATCTCATATTTTGTCATTCTCTCCCTGGCACCTCATAGTCAATTCCTACACTCTGTATCCAACTATATGTACAACTAGACAGAGTTCTTGGAATATAACTTCCTCCTCAATGCTTCTCAGCTTCATACATTCTGTTCCAGCTGCTTGGAATGTCTTCTCATTGACAAACGCCTTTACAGGCATTACAACTGGAAGAACACCTTTATTTTTTCATTTGTGTTTTTCAACCTAACACTTTGAAAGAACCATTGTACTAGAACTTACACTTCCAAATCCAGTATTTATTTTATTGTTTAATATTTATTTTACAATTTTGTTAAGTTCTCTGAAGCCCAAACCCATGTCTTTTTCACTTTTCCATTTCTAGTGCCTAAAGAGTGTCTAACATGTAAGAATTTAAAAGTGTCATTGAATTAAATAATAATTTGATTAGTGTGTAAGTAAATAAAGGTTCTAGTCATTTAAATGTGTTTAAGCCATTTGCTGATTTTATGCCACAAAACTAATAATACCTGATAACACTGGAACACCTCTTTTTAAATTCTGTGACCATAGAAGAAGAGAAATAATAGAGACTTCAGTCAGGCTAAACTTTGAAGCAACAGCGAAAATTATTGATAAAAGTACAAGTAGTCGAAATTTAAAGATTTGGGTTTGTATTGGCAGTCCTGATAAAGCTTTCTGTCTTAGTCTAAATGGATGTATTAAAATAAATGAATAACAGGGAGTTAGGATTGGCTTTTAATTGTGTCTTTTGTACTTATCACTGTACCTACTGCATCTGCTAAGCTTGATAAATATTCGTTGAATATTAAATTTAATCAGGTATGTGTAAGACTTGTACACTGAAAATTATAAAACATTACTGAAAGAAATTAATGACCTAAAGAAGTGGAAAGATATCCTTTAATCACGAACTGAAAAAATTAACATTGTTAAAATGGCAATATTTCTCAAATTGATATGCAGATTCAATGCAATCCCTATCAAAAACATAAGGAACAAAAAGAGATAAATTTGATTTGATCAAGTTTAAGATATTTGGGCATCAAGTGAAATTATCAAGTGAAAAACAATCCACAGAATGGAAAAAAATTTGCAAACCATATATCTAATAAGGGTTTAATATTCAGAATATGTAAAGATTTCCTACAAGTCAACAACAAAAAAAACACAATTTAAAAATCAGCCAAAACTTGAATAGACATTTGTCAAAATAACATATACAAAGTAAAAAACCAACAAAAAGATGCTCAATATTTACTCACTGAAAAAACGCAAACCAAAACCTCAATGAGATACCAATTCATACTCACTTAGATGGCTATAATTTATCAAAAGGAAAGAAAAATAAGTTTGGAGAACAATATCATGTGGATACATTTCTAGTGAGAATGTCAAATGGTGTACTTGCTCTAGAAAACAGTTCGATGGTTCCTCAAAAAGTTAAGCGCAGAATCGTCATATGACCCAGCAATCCTAGGTATATACCCAAAAGAATTAAAAACAGATGTTCAAACAAAATGTGCACATGAATATTCATGGAGATTATTCGTAAGAGCCAAAAAGTAAAAATAACCCAAATGTCCATCAACTGAAGAATGAGTAAACAAAATGTGGTATATCTATACAATGTCATTTTAGCCTTAAAAAGGAATGAAATACTAATTCATGCTACAATATGGATGGACCCTGTAAACGTTATGCCAAGTGATAAAAGCTACACAAAAATCCATACATATTGTTTGATTCTATTTATGTGAAATGTCCAGAATAAACAAATTCTTGGAAACAAGAAGCACATTAGTGGTTTCCAAGGGCTGAAGGGAAGGAGAGAATGAGAAACTAGTGCTTAATTGGGTACAAGATGTCTTTTTGGAAGGATAGAAATGTGCTGAAATGAGATAGTGGTTATGGTTACATAATATTGTGAAGGTACTAAAAGCCACTGTATTATACACTTCAGCTAAAATGGTGAATTTTATATCAATTTTCCCTCAACCAAATAACCAGATTTAAACAATTAATCTAATAAAAATTAACATTATTATTTATTAGCGTGTTTATGTATTAAATGATAAACTGAGCAGCTTGTTCTAAGCTCTACATTAAGTCATGGATAAATGTATAGCTGGATAGGTGGATGGATGACGGATGAAATGAAAAGAAAGATGGATTAACTGATGAATGAATGAATGAATGAATGAATGTGTTACCTGCTCAAAATCAAAGGGTTAATAAGTAACAATGCTTTACTCACTTTGTTATATCTGGTTCCTTTCCTTAATACATTTGGCCTCCCCAAATTCATGATCTGACCAATTTAGAGGTTCCTATCTGTGGCTTTTAAATGTTTGTATTTATTTGTATAAGGCATTTTCTGAAGAAAACACCTTACTCTAAACTACATCTTCTTGATATTCCACACAGTTTACTACTTACTTGATTACCTATCAGAAATCAGATATCTATAAACAAATATCTATAAATATATATTTATTTACATATATCTTATATATGCATACAAATGATAGGGCAACAAATAGGGATATGTCTGCTGATAGATATAAATCTATGAAAAGCAGGAAATTTTTCGAATTTTAAGACAACTTTGTTTAATCTTTAAGATTATCAGTCTTACAGATTGATCAATATTTCACTATGTTTGGATTTTGCTGTGCTAGATATTCTTAACTGAAGACATAATTGAAATAAATTTATGGACAGAGCAAAGGGAAAATAACTTGGGAATTTAAAAATTGTAATTATTTTAAAACAATTATAAAGTTTTTAAAATTGAATTTAGTGATCCAGTGTTTTCACTTAGGGAAAGAAAAAAAAAGAGAAAAGAAATCAAAACTGCAGATAAAACATAATGAGGCTGATTCTAACAATCATATGCGACTGAGATGTTTACTTTTTGGAGGGCCATTAACTCTTTCAATCGTTAGAGTCTCATTTAGTGCATTGAGGCTGACAGATAATAAACACAATTTGAACACAGGAGTGGTGATGGTTTTCCCAGTGATTGGTGGGCCCCAGCTGGTTTCCAAGACTGCGAGAGCTCAGAGAAGAGGGGCAAGCCAGTCTGATTCCAGCTCTGCGAAGAGATTCTCCCTGTCTGACTGTGGTTGGGCAGATGTAACCCACTCAAGCAAGAGCATATTTGCATATATATAAGGATTGCATATGATGGTTGAGGCTAGTTAATATTACAATAAAAAGTTAGCAATATGTAAGCTCTCTATTATCAGTTTTTTTGGTATTGTTTTGTTTAAACAATAGTTTTGACACCATTCCCATTCTATTCAAATAGTGTTGTTTAAATATATAATATCACTTTGTTTTCACTTGACAAACATAATTTGAGTACTTACTGTGTGAAAGCACTGTGCTGCAACACTTTTTTGAATGTAAAGATTAATGTTTTAACATCGTTTTACTCAAGAAGTTTTAAATGTATTTGAAGCAATAAGCCATTATACCAATAATTGTAATACAATGCAATATATATTGATAACTGTTAAATAGAATCCAGAGATGTTTCCAAAGTAGGGGTAGAACTCATAGAACTGCTAAAAAGGGAAGCATTGATAAGAAGCAGAAGCACCTGTATTTCTGATCAAGATAAAAAGATGGGACTTGCTGAGAAATGTCAGTTGAAATTATAGAGCAAAGAAAATACAACTTTCTCTTTTCCCTTTAGGTAACTATTATATCTCAGGGGCTAATATCAAAATAACCCCAAAACCAAATAGTTTTCTGAGGATTAGTTATATATGTAATATTATTTCTAGAAGAATAGGAGGTGATGGCCTCAGCTTAGACCTCTGAAATGAGTGACAGAAGAAGAAATACAGCCCCTGCAGCCATATTATAGGAGTGAAAACAATCTACAAATAGGGAATTTGATACAATGTGTTATTTTTTAAACTCTGTGAAAATTCTGGGTCATCATTTTTGCATGTTATTTCAAAACATTAATTTTTTATTCTAGAAACATTTCGTATTTACAAAATCTCCAAGGGGTAGCAAAGAAGGTAATTAAGCCAAGATGACAAAATTCCATTAAACAATGATCTGAAATATTAAAGAAATATGTGGCAAAATGGCTGCTACATTTGTAGGAAACACACAAAAACAATGAAGCGAGGTCCAGAAGCCCTGCCATCTCATGAGACTGGAGGCAGAATGCAGAAAGTCTTACTTCTGTTAAGAGTGCGTCTATTTAACTTTGTCTAGCCCTAAAATTACTTACTTTCTCTTCTATACTTAGTAAATCTTTGGAAAGGTGATATCTTAGTTCATTTTCTGTTGCTTATAATAGAATATGTGAAACTGGATAATATATAAAGAATAGGAATTTATTTCTTATAGTTATGGAGTCTAAGAAGTACAAGGTTGAGAGGTTGCATCTGGTGAAGGTCTTCTTGCTGGTGAGGACTCTGCAGAGTCCCAAGGTGGCACAGGGTATTTTCTGGTGAGGAGGGCTGAACTTGCTAGCTCAAGTATCTTTTCCTCTTTTTATAAAGCCACCAGTCCCACTCCCATAATCATCTATTGTTCTATGAACAGATTAATTCATTTATGAAGGCAGAGCCCTCCTAACCCAATCACCTCTTAAAGGCTCCACTTATCAATACTACCACATTGAGGATTAAGCTTCAACATGAATTTTGGAGGGGACAAACATTAAAACCATAACAAGTAGTTGCAGCATCTCTCAACATTTGAAAATAACACTTGTAGGAGTTTACACAGAGAGATGGGTTGGATATGAGTTTTATGAATGTTTTTCACCCACTGTGGGATTTTGAAGACCTGATATTCTTCTCTCCCTCTCTGAGGTAATGGAGTTCCCATGTAGCATTAGACAAATAACAAACATTCAGTTTTCTTTTTCCCCTAATCCATAGTTATGTGGTACTGTCAGTATCTACAGTCATTTAGAAAAACTTAATGTACTGAGAGAACATTGATATTCTTGGATTAAAGGCCCTATGTATGGAAAGAAGAAAGTAATGAAAAGATAATTATTTTTCTTCATAATTTGATAATTGAAAAAAGCCATTTAAACATTAAAATACATTTGGATAAGCTGTATTTGTGTTTGTTTCTACAGCATTGTTTATGCCAAATAATTTTTCCTCTTAGTAAAAGTGTTATCATAAAAATAATTCTGAGATGGGAGCCATGCCTAGGAGAAAATTAATTCATTGTCCTATCCAATGGGCTTACTTAGCTTTTACAGCTAGGAATGTCACTAAGGACTTCACAGAGGAGCTGATATTGAGCTGAGTCTAGAGGATGAATGACAGACCTGAAAATCCAAGCAGAGTAGAAGGGCCAGAGATATGACAGGATGTGGAATATGAGAAATTGTGTTCAAAATTGCTAAAATATGTTGGTAAATGGAAACAGATTAGATCGTGGAAATACAAAGCAGATTAATAACCAATATTAAAAGTCTTACATGCCTTCTTAAAACACAGGGAGTTGGTTTTATAGGCACCTGGGACACAACAGAAATAGCTAGGAATATGGTCAGGTATTTATATGCAAATCTGAGGAATAGTGTCAGTAAAATAGGTAGATTGAAATGCCCACTCCAGAAAGACATTAGGAGGCTAGTGCTGCACTCAGATATGGGTGGATAATGATGCTTTGAATTAGCAAAGAGTGAGTCCTGACAAAAGAGAAACTAGAGATATTTATAAATACCCAGAACAGATTAGACTGGGTGACCTTTTGAATCTAGAGGTGAAAAGACGGCAACTTTGAGAATGTAACGGTGGGATTACTAAGATCATTGCTACATATTTTTATCAAATTCTGTTATCTAGATATGAAAATGTTAATAAGAGCTAGAGAGACATGTGGCTCATGTCTGTTGCCAACAGAATATCAACAAACAATACAGTTGGACCAGATGTAAAATCAACTGGAAATAAATCTGGGAAGCTACTTGTGGTTATTATCATATTTTCCTAGTTCTCTTTCTTCTTTTCACACATCTGTCATTTTGTACTGTTGTCAAACAAAGAAAGAAAAGAAAGACAACAATTTCTAGTAGGATTAAAAGCCAGTGCAATTTTTGCCTTTTCCAATAACTTCAGTGGTGGAAAAAAAGGTTTTCTCCTAATAAAGTGAAGCATTTCTCAGTTATTCCCATAATTAAAAACAAATTATTAATTAAAAGCAAATGATTAACTCATTTTCTCCAATAACCATAGAAAAGGAAAGGCAAGTGGGGAAGAGGTGGGAAGTAGAAAACATTATACCGAACTCTCTTTTATCTCATTTATCTCTTTTATCTTTTGACTTCATATGTCCAGTAATATTATTTTATTCCTTCTAGCCTAAATATTTATAAAGTATTATTATCTGCTTTTCAATCTACCTTTATATTATTTCAATTTTTTTGTGAAAACCTTATAATGTACAGAAGGAAGGTAGAAGCCCCTTTTCCAAGGCAAAAAGGGGCACAGAAAAAAAGAAGTGACTTAAAAAGACTTGGAAGAAGAACATCTATGAAGACTCCTAGACCCAGTGACTTTTAAATAATAATACCTGAGTTAGAGAGATAATGTACACTTTGCAGTGGATGAGTCCATTTAACTTTACCAACATTTGGTATATTTAAAGAATAAGAGAACCAGAGGATGAGTTTTACTTTTCCCTCTTTCTTTAGGTTTTGTTTGATCATAGAGTCATTCCAATGCCGTCTCAGTCATGAAGGTGTCAGTAGCATGTAACAATGTTTCCTAAAATTTTCTGCTAAAAATCACTAATGGCATTAGAGAGTCATGTTAGTCACCTTGATCTTGTATTAGCCTGTTCTTATGTTGCCAATAGAGACATTCCGAAGACTGGGTAATTTATAAAGAAAAAGAGGTTTAATGGACTCAGTTCCACATGGCTGGGGAGGCCACACTATCATGGTGGAAGCTGAATGAGGAGCAAAGTCATATCCTAACACGGCAGACAAGAGAAGAGGACTTGTGCAGGGAAATTCCTCTTTATAAAGTTATCAGATCTCATGAGACTTTTTCACTATCACGAGAACAGCACAGGAAAGACCCATGCCCATGATTCGATTACCTCCCACTGAGTCCCTCCCAGGACATGTGAGAATTATGGGAGCTACAACTCAAGATGAGATTTGGATGGGGACACAGCCAAACCACATCAGTCTAATGAGGAGGTAGATAAATTGATCATTTATATAACAAACGCTTTACATTGTTTTATTTAATTTTTGAAATCTATGATAATTTAAATTCTACTCTGTAATCTACTTATACTATTTAAATATACAATGAATAAATTTAACTGAACTTTAAATAAAATTAAAGCTCCAGAGATATGGGCATATTTTTTCTGTAGTTTCATATATTCTCTGGGAAACTCAAGGTTGCAGTCTATAAACTTCAGTTTGAAAATTATGATAATAATGTTTCATGACATGCAGTGTTTAGTAAACCACTCAGAAGCAGGACATTAGGCTAAATAGTTTACTGTGGGGATCTGACAAACACCGTCCAACCACTGCTGTGTTAACCTGTCCAGATTAACCTGCATGTACAATTATGTATTTCTGGGATTCAGGCTATGATTTTACCCATTTCAAACCAACTTACAAAGTGATAACATGATTATATTGGTCTTTACTGACACACCAGGAAACAAAATAAAGAACAACAACCAAAAAAAAGTGTCTCTCCACAGAAAGCAGAAGATGAAAACAAAATAAGTAAAACATAGCAACCCTTTAAGTGGTTGCCCAATATTTGAAGAGCGTTATATAAACTCACTGACTTTGTCCCACTAGACATCCTACTGTTATCCCTTTGAGGAACTCAATGAGGAGGTGAGTCCTATTTAGTGAGCATCTTGAAGAGGTTTGAACTATCCTGGAAGCTAATATTACCTGGTATATGTTTATGAGTGGCTCTCCAATTAAAGCAGTCAAGATCAAATTCTCTTGATTAAGTAGCGATAGAAATCACAAGAATGGAATTGAACATAGTTCCTGATTGTGTCAGACACAACTCTGACTGATGCCACTGGGGCTTACCATTCAACCACACTAAAATTTCAAGAATAAATTAAGTTTCATGTTTCTGTCTTCATAGCACAAAGACAATCCTGAAAGTAAAGAAATTATAAGTACCGTGTTTGCAGGTTACTACCTTGTCTTTTTAACTTAAGATGTCTAGACAAGCCAGAAAATGAACGAATGTGCCTTGAAAGGGATAGCAGGCCATTTTTGTTTCAGAATGGGATAACTCTTTTGGCATTTGAAAAATATATACAGTCGTGGCTCTCAGTTTTCTGATAAAGACAATTGACAAGTCTTAGGCTTAGGCATCTCAGTATTTGGAAATGATAGTCTGTCTCACAAGGGACATCTATATATTTTCTTAACATGAGATAAACAGAGAAGCTATAATTGTGTAGACCAGAGGTCAGCAAACTATAGCCTGTATGTCAAACCTGACCACTATGTTTCTTTAATGGTCTGTGAGTTAAATTTCTTTTTCTATTTGGAAATATGGAATAAATCATGACAAGAATAATATTTTTTGAAATGTAAAAATTATATGAAATTTAAAATCAATGTCATAAATAAAGTTTTATTGGAACTGAACCATGTCCATTCACATATTGTCTATGCCTGCTTTTGATGTGACAGAGTTTAGTAGTTGTAACAGAGACCTATGGCTCACAAACCCTAAAATATTTACTCTTTAGCCCTTTCCAGAGAAAGTTTGCTGACCCCTGGAGTCAGCAATGGAAGAAGAATGGGAGGGCAGTGTGATGCCATTGAATTGTGAGAACATCAGAGTAGAATTCAAAAGATCTTCTAGATACTTGAAGAAACAACTTGTAAATACAACATAACAATGATCTCCTAAAGAGATCCAGTTATCTCCCAGGATTTTAAAGGGCCTTGTCAGTAATAGCAGTGTGCCATCTCCTCTGAGATAAATGAAAGTTCCACATTTGACAGGTAAGTTTCTTTCCTCCCTCTCCCATGCCGTGGAGCTGGTACATTATTTGTCTCCTCGGCATCCAAATACAAGTGCAAAACAAAAATATAAAGCCTATCAATGGGTGACTTTCTTAAAAGTGGTGGGAGTGAGGGTGCATAGGAAACCTCAATTTAGCATCCACAGCTGTCTTTACCAAAAATGATGTCCCATCAAATGTGACAGTTGTTGAGTCTGACATTGCTATTTTCATCTGTGCACATACAGCAAGAATATGCTGCTGATAAGGCATACAAGGAATTGTGCCAGTACAGACTGTGCTGAAAAATATGTTGGGTTTAATGACCCTAGGTAACATTGTTAGAATAGGCTAAACTACAGGCAAGATGTTATTGTGACAATAAGATATTCCATTTACAAGTTGTTTTAGTAAATGTAGTACAACTATCACCAAGCTAAGAAAACTGATTGCTTAGAATTGTTATTTGGTACCACGTAAACCAAAATGTTGAAATAGACTTTCTACTTTTTCAATTTTTTTAATTTCAATAGATTTTTGAAGAACAGGTGGTGTTTGGTTATGTGAATAGTTCTTTAGTGGTGATTTCTGAGATTTTGGCGTGCCAATCACCTGAGCAGTGTACACTGTTACCCAATTTGCAGTATTTTATCCCTAACCTCCCTTCCACCCTTTTCCCTAAGTCCCCAAAGTCCATTGTATCGTTCTTATGCCTTTGAATCCTCATAGCTCCTACTTATAAGTAAGAACAATGTTTGGTTTTTCCATTCCTGAGTTACTTCACTTAGAATAATGGTCTCCAAAATTGACAAATTAGATCTAAATAAACTAAAGAGCTTCTGCACAGCAAAAGGAACTATCAGAGTGAACAGGCAGCCTAGAGAATGGGAGAGAACTTTTGAAATCTACCCATCTGAAAAAGGTCTAATATCCAGAATTTATAAGGAACTTAAACAAATTTACAAGAAAAAAACAAACAACCCCATCAAAAAGTGGGCAAAAGATATGAACAGACATTTCTCAAAATAAGACATTTACATGGCCAACAAACATGAAAGAAACCTCAATATCACTAATCATTAGAGAAATGCAAATTAAAACCACGATGAGATACCATCTCACACCAGTCAGAATGGTGATTATTAGAAAGTCAAGAAACAATAACTGCTGGCAAGGCTGTGGGGAAATAGGAACACTTTTACAACGTTGGTGGGAATGTCCATTAGTTCAACCATTGTAGAAGGCAGTGTGGCAATTCCTCAAGGATCTAGAACCAGAAATGATAGACTGTATAAAGAAAACGTGGTACATATACATGATGGAATACTATGCGCTATAAAAAGCAATGAGATCATGTCCTTTGCAGGAACATGGATGAAGCTGGAAGCCATCATCCTCAGCAAACTACACAGGAGCATAAAACCAAACACCTCATGTTCTCACTCATAAATGGGAGTTGAACAATGAGAACACATAGACACAGGGAGGGGAAAACACACACTGGAGCCAGTCAGGGGATGGGGAGCAAGGGGAGGGACAGCATTAGGACAAAGAGCTAATGCATCCAGGCTTAAAACCTACATGGTGGGTTGATAGGTGCAGCAAACCACTATGACACATGTATACCTATATAACAAACCTACACTTTCTGCACTTGTATCCCAGAACTTAAAGTAAAATATCTAAAAAAAAAAGAAAAAAAAGAATTGTCTCCAATTACATTCAGGTTGCTGTGAATACCATTTCATTATTTTTATGGCTGAGAAGTATTTCAAGGTATATATGTCTTTGTCTATGTATGTATGTATGTATCTAGATAGATAGATAGATAGATATCACATTTTCTTTATCCACTCATTGATTGTGGGCATTTGGACTGGTTCCATATTTTTGCAATTGCAAATTATGCTACTATAAACATGCATGTGCAAGTATCTATTTCATATAATGACTTCTATTCTTCTAGGTAGATAGCTAGCAGTGGGATTGCTAGATGAAATGGGAGATCTACTTTTAGTTCTTTAAGGAATCTCCACACTGTTTTCCATAGTGATTGTACTACTTTACATTTCCACCAACAGTGTAAAAGTGTTCCCTTTTCACCACATCCACCCCATCTATTATTTTTTGATATTTTGATTATGGCCATTCTTACAGGAATTAGGTGCTATTGCCTTGTGGTTTTGATTTTCATTTCCCTGATAATTAGTGATGTTTAGCATTTTTTTCATATTTTTGTTGGCCATTGTTATATTTTCTTTTGCGAATTGTCTATTCATGTCTTTAGCTCACTTTTTGACAGCATTGTTTATTTTTTTCTTGCTGATTTGTTTGAGTTCCTCATAGATTCTGGATATTAGTCCTTTGTCAGGTGTATAAATTGAGAAGATTTTCTCCCACTCTATGGGTTTTCTGTTTACTCTGCTGATTATTTCTTTTGCTGTGCAGAAGCTTTTTAATTTAATTAAATCCCATGTATTTATCTCTGTTTTTGTTGCATTTGCTTTTGGGTTCTTGGTCATAAAATCTTTTCTAAGCCAATATCTAGAAGGGTTTTTCCAATGTTATCCTCTCTAATTTGTATGGTATTATGTCTTAGATTTGAGTAATTAATCCATCTTGAGTTGATTTTTGTATAAGGTGAGAGATGAGGATTCAGTTTCCTTCTTCTACATGTGGCTTGCCAATTATTCCAGCACCATTTGTTGAATATGGTGTCTTTTCCTCACTTTATGTTTTTGTTTGCTTTGTCAAAGATCAGTTGGTTGTAAGTATTTTGGTTTATTTCTGTGTTCTCTATTCTGTTCCTTTGTTCTATGTGCCTATTTTTACATCAATACATGTTGTTTTGCTGACTATGGGCTTATAGTATATTAAAAAGTCAGGTAATGTAATGCCTCCAGATTTGTTCTTTTTGCTTAGTCTTTCTTTGGCTATGCAGGCACTTTTTTGGTTGCATGTGAATTTTAAGATTTTTTTTCTAGTGCTGTGAAGAATGATGGTGGTATTTTGATGGGAATTGCATTGAATTTGTAGATCATTTTTGGCAGTATGGTCATTTTCACAATATTGATTCTACCCATCCATGAGCATGGGATGTGTTTCCATTTGTTTGTGACATCTATGATTTTTTTCAGCAGTGTTTTGTAGTTTTCCATGTAGAGGTCTTTTACCTTCCCAATTAAGTGCATTCCTAAGTATTTTATTTTATTGCAATTATTGTAAATGGGGTTGAGTTCTTGATTTGATTCTCAGCTTGGTCGCCGTTGGTGTATAGCCGTTGGACTAGTCCTTTTTGTTATGCATGCATTTAATTGAAGAGACAGTCTGAACAGGCCAAGTGTAAGCAACAAGGCTGTTTATTCACTCAGGCAAGAGCAGACTGACTCAGAAAAGGGAGTCAGCAGCAGGTGATGGGATTGGAGTGGTTTTATAGGTTAGGGTTAGGCAGTGGAAAGTCACAGTTAGGGGCCGGTTTTTGTGGGCAGTGGAAGAATGTCATAAGGTACATTATCACACAGTTACAGAGCAGTGTCACAAGGTTGATTGATCAGTTAGGGTAGAGCCTGTTACAATGGTAGAATGTCGCAAGTTTGGCTAATCAGCTAAGACAGGAACTAGCCTTTTTTCTTCTTTTGTGTTTTTTGTGTTGTGCCAGACTTTCTGGCTCCAGGAGACCTTCTGGATGTGTACATGTGGGTCACAGGGGTCACGATGGCTTGACCATGGCGCAGCCTGCTCAGAGGACCTTGCATTCCTGTCTTTATATGTTAAAAATGAAAAAATTAAAACAAAACAAGAAAGAGTAGTGAAGTGTTGGGGTGGTGAAAATTTTAGGTGTGGTATGGAAAGATGATGGGCAATGTTTCTCAGGGCTTCTTAAAGCGGGATTAGGGGTGGCGTGGGAACCTAAAGTGATAGAGATTAAACAGAAGAAAGATCTTGGGGTAAGGGGTGATATTGTGGGGTTGTTACAAGGAGCATTTGTCATACTGACTGGTTAGTAATAGCTTGGATGCTATTTTGTGTGAACTGAGAGATGAGTCTGAAAAGACAAGTCCCAAATAAGAGGAGGAGAAGGATGAGCGCGAAGGGGCCTATCAGTGGAGGGAGCCATGAAGCTAAGCTAGAGAAAGGCCAGGTATTTCCAATTTAACTACTTGCCTGATTAGCGAGTTTTTGGGCTCTGTCTTTAAGTTTTTTGATGTTGTCATATACCAGGCTTGATTGATTTAAGTAAAAGCAGCATTATTCATTTAAGAATAGGCAGAGTCCTCCTTTTCCAGCAGTAAGCAGATCAAGGCCTTGGTGATTTTGAAGGAAAACTGCAGCTAAGGAATCGACCTGGGCTTGGAGGACATAAAGTGTTTGAGTTATATCGGTAAGGCTAGTGGAGAAGTCATTGGAGAGACTGTGATATGTGGTGATGGTAGTTGTAAGGCTTTCTACTTCTGTTCCAACTGCAGCAGTAGAGACTCCTAATCCTACAAAAAAGGGGATTAGTGGGATGACTCTTTTTTGTCATGTTGGAGTTATAACGGAAACAGGGAGTTGTTCGCTCTCATTTGCAAACTGGATATTGGGAATAAGGAAGACTAAAATGCAGGTGCCTGTCCAGTTGGCAGGGAGGCACATGTAGGTGAAAGAGCCACAGAGAAAAAAGAGTCCTTGAAGCAGGCGAAACTGGAAGTGTAAAGTAAAATGATGAAAGTGTGTTCTGGAGGCAGAATCCTGCATCCAGACTCCCAGAGATGCAGCAAGGGTAGCGGCTGTTAGAGGTTGTGGTGGGGTCTGGTAGGGTAACTGTGTAAAGGGAGAGGTTTTATTTTCATAATGTAAAGGAAAGCGCTTTGCTTGGTATTTACAAGTAGCTATTCACTGTTATTTATAAGACCAGGTATAAGCAGGCAGGAAGAAGGTCTTGGAGGGGAATCTGTCTAACAGGGGGAGGGTGGCCAAGGATGGAGAGAGAGGCAGGGTAAGTGTCTTCCTAGGCAAAAGTTGCTACTGATGTTTTTAAGACTGTTAGTCATGATGGAGTGTTTTTCTGTAATATGAAGCTGGAATGCTCCAATATTTTGCTTAATTAGGGTGGCAGGGCCTTGGAGGTGAAGAGTAAAGGAACATAGGGAAGATGGGAGGTTACCTAAGGGAATTCCAGCAGGTAATTGTTGGGAGATGCATAAGGGAGAAGCAATGGGGATAGTTGTCTGTGTAATGAGGGGTCCAAGAACAGGGGGTGTGGAATTGACATAGGGAGATATATTTCATAGGTAGGTACAGAGAAGAGTAGCAGCTTTTTGGTATGTGATATCAGGGGAGTTTTTGCTGAATTTTTCTAGGAAGTAAAGAAGTTGTTTGGGAGGGATGTAAGGGGATGGTAAAGAAGGCATCTTTGAGGTCAATAACAGAATAGTGAGTTGTGGAAGGGAGTATTGAGGATAGGAGAGTACAAGGACTTGGCACAACAGGATGGATGGGGAGGACAATCTGATTAATAAGATGAAGGTCTTGGACTAGCCTGTAGGACTTATCTGGTTTTTGGACAGGTAGGATGGGAGAGTTGTAAAGGGAGTTGGTAGAAACTAAGAGGCCATGCTGTACTAGATGGGTAATAACAGGCTTTAGGCCCCTTAAAGCCTGTTGTGGGATTGGGTATTGGCGTTGAGCAGGATAGGGGTGGTTATGTTTTAATGGGATGATAAGGGGTGAATGGTCAGTTGCAAGTGAAGGAGTGAAAGTATCCCATACTTTAGGGTTGAGGTGGGGAGATGAAAGGGGAGGTTGCAAGGGAGGATTGGAATTGGATAGAGGAGTAGCTATGAGATGTGGCTGCATTCCAGGAATAGTCAGGGAGGTGGATAATTTAGTTAAAATATCTTGGCCTAATAAGGGGACTGGGCAGGTGGGGATAACCAGGAAGGAGTGTGTAAAGGAATGTTGCCTGATTTGACACCAGAGTTGGGGAGTTTTAAGGGGTTTAGAAGCTTGACCATCAATACCCACAACAGTTATGGGGGCAAGGGAAACATGCCCTTGGAGAGAAGGTGATGTGGAGTGGGTAGCCCCTATATCAAGTAAGAAGGGGACAGACTTACCTTCCATCATAAGATTTACCTGAAGCTCGGCATCTGTGATGGTCCAGGGGGCCTCCAAGACATTCGGGCAGCGTCAGTCTTCAGCCACCAAACAGAGGAGATCTGGGAAGGAGTCAGTTGGGGAGTTTCAGTTTTGAGCTCTAGGAGCTCCAAGAGTGGCAATAAGAGTCAGACAGTCCAACATCCAGTGACAGCCTGCACAGGTGGGGCATGGCATAGGGGGAATCCTGGGCTGTGGGCATTCCTTGGCCCGGTGGCCAGGTTTTCGACACTTGAAGCAAGGCCCTGGAGGGGCGGTTAGACACTGCAGTTTGGATGCCTTGAAGTTCTTGGAGGTAGGTTTGTCTTACGGTGGAGGCAAGCATCTGTAGTTCTGAAATGTGCTGCCTCCAGGCAGCCTCTTCCCTATAATTGAACACCTTAAGGCAAGGTTGATTAATTCCCATTGTGGGGTTTGAGGGCCAGACTCTAATTTTTGAAGCTTCTTTCTAATGTCAGGAGCTGACTGGGTGATAAAATGCATGTTAAGAATAAGGCAGCTCCCCAGCCCTTCAGGGTCTAATGCTGTATGCCACCTGAGGGTGGCAGCTAGGTGGGCCATAAACTGAGCTGGATTCTCATCTTTATTCTGAGTGGTCTCTTTTAGTTTCTCATAATTGACAGCTTTGTATGCTACCTTTGAAGCCCTTGAACTAGGCAAGAGATCATGTAGTCCTGCCTGGCTATGCCTTGGCCCCCTGCTTGGTAGGTCCACTGGGGGTCTTCCTGGGGTACTGCCCCTAGCACCTTCTTGGAGGCCAGGCTCAAGGTGCCAGCCGTCATGGGCATAAGCTCGAGCTAGGGTCCAAACCTGCTCTCGCTCCTCAGGAGTGAGAGTAGAGATGAGGATGACATTGAAGTCATTCCAAGTAAGATTATAGGACTGGGTTAAGAATTGGAATTCCTGTATGTATTTGGTGGGGTTTGATGAAAAAGAGCCTAGACACTGACTGATTTGGGAAAGGTCGGACAGATAGAAAGGGACGTGAACCCGGACTATTCCTTCAGCTCCGGCCACCTCTCGAAGGGGAAATTGTTGAGTGGGGACAGGGAAGCTGGCTGTGGGACCAAATTGTAAGCCATATCAGGTGTGAGGAGGGGTGGTGATGAGAGGGGCATAAGGATGTGGGTTGTGGGTAGAAGAGGAACTAGGTTCTGGGGGAGAGTTAGGGCTGGGTTCAGGTAGGTTGTGGGGAGAAAGATCGGAGAGGTCAACAGACAAGGAGGAATCAGCACTGCCAGTGTAAGATAGAGGGGTGGACGGAAGGGAGATAAGGAAAATTTGGGATGGATCACATTGGGAGTAGAGGCGAGGGAGGGATAATAGTGTAATAAATCCCCTGGCATAGGGTACCTCAGACCATTTACCCATTTTGTGATAGAAGTTGTCTAAGTCCCACAAGATAGAGAAATCACAAGTGCTGCTTTCTGGCCACTGAAGAGCCGTTGTCTAATTTGTGTTGGGGCCAGACCATGTAACAGAAAAAAATTAGACATTTAGGCTTTAGATCAGGTGAAAGCTGAAGAGTTTTGAGGCTTTTGAGGACACAAGCCAGAGGGGAAGAAGGAGGGATGGGGGGGCGGGAGGTTGCCCATGGTAGACAGGTGAAGTTTTGAGGACAAAGATGGAGACAAGAAAAAGAGCAACCTCTAGGCTCCTCGGGGGGCGGGGGGCGGATGGGGGCTGAAGTTTTGAGGACAAAGAGGGAGACAAGGAAAAGAGCAACCACTAGGCTCCTCAGTGGGCATGCCCAACAGAGGTCTTGGGTTATGTGGCTGGCAAATGGCCAAGGTGGGCATCCCCGGCATTGACCAAACAGCGAGGGGAGACTGTCTTCCCAAGAAGAGTCCGTGACCAACGTTGGATTTCTGAAACAAAGATAAAGAGAGTTTCCTTGTCTCAATCTGGAAAGGAGGGATATAAGAAGGGATGTAAGAAGAAGTGAGAGGCAGCTTATCTGATCCATAGACAGAAGCAGGAGCATTCGTGGGGCTGGTCTGAGGTCCTGCAGTTGAGGGGAGTCTCTACGATGGAAGAATGTGGGTGCGGGGAGGATAGGGGAGAGGACTCCTGGAGGAGTTCCCCTATCCCGGGTTCTTGGCACCAAATGTTATGTGAGCATTTAATTGAAGAGACAACCAGAACAGGCCAAATGTAAGCAACAAGGCGTTTATTCACTTGGGTGTGAACAGGCTGAGTCTGAAAAGGGAGTCAGCAGCAGGTGGTGGGATTGGAGTGGTTTTATAGGTTAGGGTTAGGCAGTGGAAAGTTACAGTTAGGGGCCAGTTTTTGCAGGCAGTGGAAGAATGTCACAAGGTACATTATCACACATTTACAGAGCTGAGTGTCACGAGGTTGATTGATCAGTTAGGGTAGAGCCTGTTACGATGGTAGAATGTCGCAAGTTTGGCTAATCAGCTAAGACAGGAACTAGCTGTTTTTCTTCTGTTGTGGTTTTCCTGTTGTGCCAGACTTTCTGGCTCCAGGAGACCTTCTGGATGTGTACGTGTGGGTCACAGGGGTCATGACGGCTTGACCATGGCGCAGCCTGCTGAGAGGACCTTACACTTTTATCATTATATAATGTCCCTCTTTGTGTTTTTAAACTGCTGTTACTTTAAAGTTTGTTTTATCTGATGTAAGAACAGCTACTCCTGCTTGCTTTTGGTGTCCATTTGTATGGAGTATCATTTTCCACCCTTTACCTTAAGTTTATGTGAGTCCTTATGTGTCAGATGAGTCTCTTGAAGACAGCAGGTAGTTGGTTAGTGAGTTCTTATCCATTCTGCCATTTAGTATATTTTAAATGAAGCATTTAGGCCATTTACATTCAACATTAGCATTTTGAGATGCAATCTACTATTTTATTTATTGTGCTATTTGTTTCCTGCATACATTTTTTTCATTGTGTTATTGTTTTATAGGTCCTGTGACATTTATGCTTATGGGAGATCCTATTTTGGTGTGTTTCAAGGATTTCTTTCAAGATTTAGAGCTCGTTTTAGCAGGTTTTGTAGTGCTGGCCTGGAAGTGGCAAATTCTCTCAGCATTTGGTTGTCTGAAAAAGACCGTATCTTTGCCTAATTTATGAAGCTTAGTTTTGCTGAAGACAAAATTCTTGGCTGACAGTTGTTTTGTTTAAGGAGGCTAAAGATAGGATCCCAATCTTTTTTAGCTTGTAGGGTTTCTGCTGAGAAATCTGCTGTTCATCTGATTGATAGGTTTTCCTTTATAGGTTATCTCATGGTTTTGCCTCACAACTCTTAAGATTCTTTCCTTTGTCTTGACTTTACATAACTTGACGACTATGTGCCTAGGTGATGATCTTTTTGTGATGAATTTCCCAGTTACTCTTTGAGCTTCTGGTATTTGATGGTCTAGATCTTTAGCAAGGCCAGAAAAGTTTTCCTTGATTATTCTCTCAACTATGTTTTCAAAACGTTTAGATTTCTCTTCTTCCTCTGGAACACCAATTATTCTTAGGTTTGGTTGTTTAATATAACCCCAAACTTCTTGGAGGGTTTGTTCTTTTTTTAATTCTTTTTTTTTTTTTTGTATTGGGTTAATTGGAAAGCCTTGTCTTCAAGCTCTAAAGATTTTTTTCTACTTATTCAATTCTATTGTTAGAATTTCTAGAGCATTTTGCATTTCTCTATGTGTGTCCTTGATTTCCAGAAGTTGTGATTGTTTTTTATTTATGCGATCTATTTCACTGGAGATATTTCCACTCATATCCTGTATGTCTTTTATTTCTTTAAGCTGGACTTCACCTTTCTCTGGTGCCTTCTTGATTGACTTTATAGTCAACCTTCTGAATTCTTTTTGTGGCAATTCAGAGATTTGGTCTTGGTTTGTATCCACTGCTGGTGAGCTAGTGTGATATTTTGAGGATGTTAACGAACCGTGCTTCGTCATATTACCAGAATTATTTTTCTTGTTTCTTCTCATTTGAGTATTCTATGTCAGAAGGAAGATCTGGGCATCAAGGGCTGCTGTTCAGAATTTTTTCTTCCATGGGGTCTTCCTTGATGTGGTGCTCTCCCCTTTACCCTAGGGATGGGCTTCCTGAGAGTCAAACTGCAGTGATTTTTCTTCCTCTTCTGGATCTTGCCACCCAGTGTACCTACCAGGCTCTGGCTGGTACTGGGGAGTGTCTGCAAAGGATCCTGTGACTTGATCCATCTTCAGGTCTCTCAGCCTTGGATACCAGCAGCTACTCTGGTGGAGGTAGCAGGGGAGTGCAGTGAACTCTGTGAGGTTCCTTGGTTGTGTTTTTGTTACGTGTACTGGTTTTGTGTTAGTTGGCCTCCAGCCAGGAGGTGGTGCTTTGAAGAGCACATCAGCTCTGGTAGTATAGGAAGGATCAGGGAGTGGACAGGGCCATAGAGCTCCGAAGTGATTATGTCTTTTGACTTCAGCTACCAGGACTGGTAGAGAAAGTCCATCAGGTGGGGGTAGGGTTAGGCATGTCTGAGCCTTGGGTGGGGCCTGCTGCAGCTGCTGTGGGGAATGGGTATGTGGTTCCCAGGGCCAATGGAATTATGTTACCAGGGGTATTGTACCTGTCTCCGCTGCATCACACAAGTCACCAGGGAAGTAGGGGAAAGCTGGAAGCCACAGGCCTCACCCAGTTCCCATGCAGCTCAGAGCCAGAAAGTCCAGTCTCACTCCTACTATGCTTCCCCAACAACACTCGAGTTTATTTCCAGGCAGCTGGTGAGCAGAGCTGAGAATTTGACCAGGCTACAGGCCTCTCAGGTGAGAAAGCACAGAAAGTTCCTCAGTTGTTCCACAGAGCCTGCAGTGGCAAGCCACCTCCTTCAAAGGGTCTGTGGATTCTTTCAGCTTTCTTGGTATATTCCTGCAGTAGTTCTTAAAGCACATGTTCATGATGTGAGTGTCCACAAACTGCTCTGTTCATCCAAGTCGGAGCTGCAAGTTAGTCCTGCCTTCTATCTGCCATTTTTTTCCTCAACTCCCAGATTTTCTACTTTTAACTAACCATCAATTTGTCCATTCAACGTTTGCTTTTAAGTATATAGAGATGTTAAAGAGAGGAAAGTGGCCGAGAGAAAGTGGATAGAATTTTATGGAGTAAGTGGAACTCTTGCTAAGCCTTGAAGAATGTTTATAGATTTATTGGAGGAGATGGTTCCAGCCTCAAGGAAAACAATAAATACTATCAGAGCAGGAGGACCTAGGTGTATTTAGAGGGTAATGAAGCAGTTTAAGTGGTACAAAGCCAGTTTGCCAAGACAACCAGAAAAAAAATCTGGGATTCAAAAGTATATTGTCAGGTAATAAAAGGCCTGGAAGTCATCAGAGGAACTAAAAAATGTTTGAAATTATAATAGAAAATAATTATAGACATCTGAACAAAAGCAAATCTGATAAAAGTAGTGTTTTAAGTCAGCAGGATGTGAAGAAAGGGAGCACCCTGCATTAAAGATGGTGAAGGAGATTTTAACATTGGAAAGAGCTAACATTTTGGAGTCACGTGTGATTGTGTTATCCATTTTACATTCATTTGCTAAGTTTAGGAATCACAGGCAACAGAATCAAACCCACAATTAAGTGACTTAAAAAGCCCATTTTTTTCTACCTAATCGCTTTGCCAGGTGATATGGTTTGGCTATGTCCCCACCCAAATCTCATCTTAAATTCCCACATGTTGTGGGAGGGATCTGGTGGGAGGTAATTGAATCATGGTAGTTCTTTCCCATGCTGTTCTCATGATAGTGAATAAGCCTCATGGTCTGATGGCTTGCTTTATCAGGGGTAGTTCCCCTGCACAAGCTCTTTTCTCTAGTCTGCCACCATGTGAAACATACCTTTCACCTTCTGCCATGATTGTGAGGCCACCTCAGCCATGTGGAACTGTGAGTCCATTAAATCTCTTTCTTTTGTTAGTTGCCTAGTTTTGGGTATGTCTCTATCAGCAGTGTATAAATGGACTAATATAGTAAATTGGTACCAGCACAGTGGGACACTGCTGAAAAGATACCCAAAAATGTGGAAGCAACTTTGGAACTGGGTAACAGGTAGAGTTTGGAGGTCTCAGAAGAAGGCAGAAAAATGTGGGAAAGTTTGGAACTTCCTAGAGATTTGTTGAATGGCTTTGACCAAAATGCTGATAGCAATGTGGACAATAAAGTCCAGGCTGAGGTGGTCTCAGATGGAGATGAGGAGCTTGTTGGGAATTGGAGAAAAGGTGACTCTTGTTATGTTTCAGCAGAGAATGGTGGCATTTTGCCCCTGCCCTAGAGATTTATGGAACTTTGAACTTGAGAGAGATGATTTAGGGTATCTGGTGGAAGAAATTTCTAAGCAGCAAAGAGTTCAAGGGGTGACATGAGTGCTGTTAAAGGCATTCAGTTTTATAAGGGGAGCAGAGCATAAAAGTTTGGAAAATTTGCAGCCTGACAATGTGATAGAAAAGAAAATCCCATTTTCTAAGGAGAAATCTAAGCTGGTTGCAGAAATTTGCATACCTAAGAAGGAGCCTAATGTTAATTCTTAAGACATTGGGGAAAATGTCTTCAGGGCATGTCAGAGGACTTCATGGCAGCCCCTCCTATCACAGGCCCTGAGGCCTAGGAGGAAACAGTGGTTTTGTGGTCCAGTCCCTGGGTTCCCCTGCTGTATGCAGCCTAGGGTTTTGGTGCCCTGTGTCCCAGCTGCTACAGCCGTGGCTGAAAGGGGCCAATGTAGAACTCAGGCCATGGCTTCACAGGGTGAAAGCCCCAAGCCTTGAGAGTTTCCACATGGTTTTGAGCCTGCAAGTGCACAGAAGTCAAAAATTGTGGTTTGGGAACCTCCACCCAGATTTTAGAGGTTGTATGGAAATGCATGGATGTCCAAGAAAAAGTTTGCTTCAGGGGCAAGGCCCTCATGGAGAACCCCTGCTAGGGATATGCAGAGGGAAAATGTGGGACTGGAGCTCCCACAGAGTCCCCATTGGGGAACTGCCTTGTGGAGCTGTAAGAAGAGGGCCACCATTCTCTAGACCTCAGAATGGTAGATCCACGACAGCTTGCACTATGTGCCTGAAAAAGCCATGGACACTCAACAGCAGCCCATTAAAGCATTCGGGTGGGAGTCTGTACCCTGCAAAGCCACAGGGGCAGAGCTACCCAAGACAATAGGAACGCACCTCTTGCATCAGAATGACCTGGATGTGAGACATGGATTCAAAGGAGATCATTTTGGAGCTTTAAGATTTGACTGCCCCTCTAAATTTTGGACTTGCATGGGACTCATAGTCCCTTTGTTTTGGCCAATTGCTCCCAGTAGGAATGGGTATATTTACCCAATGCCTGTACCTCCATTTTATCTAGGAAATAATTAACTTGTTTTTGATTGTATGGGCTTATAGGTGAAAGGGACTTGCCTTGTCTTCAGATGAGACTTTAGACTGTGGACTTTTGAGTTAATGATGAAATGAGTTAAGACTTTGGGGAACTGTTGGGAGGGCATGATTGGTTTTGAAATGTGAGGACATGTGATTTGGGAGGGGCTAGGTGCAGAGTGATATGGTTTGGCTGTGTCCCCACCCAAATCTCATTTTGAATTCCCACATGTTGTGGGAGGGACCCAGTGGGAGGTAACTGAATCATGGGAGCAGGTCTTTTCTGTGCTTTTCTCATAACAGTGAATAAGTCTCATGAGATCTGACGGTTTCAGAAAGGGGAGTTCCCCCACACAAGCTCTCTCCTCTTGTCTGCTGCCTTGTGAAATGTGCCTTTCACCTTCCTTCATGATTGTGAGGCCTCCCCAGCCACGTGGAGCTGTGAGTCCATTAAATTTCTTTCTTTTGTAAATTGCCCAGTCTCAGATGTGTCTTTATTAGCAGCATGAAAATGGACTAATATACCAGGTTTGGCTCTGAATGTCAGTGATTCCCTCTACAAGTCTGGATGTTCTCCTGCCCTTTGTATCAGTAAACATAGTTGTGACTTAGTCTCTCTCTTCCTATCCCTATATAGTTCCTCACTTTTGCAATCTTCAAAAGTGTCTTAGAGAATGTATTTGTCTAAACTCTGTTTTGAGTTGTGATCTGGTTGGCTTTTGAAATAGCCCAGAAGAATTCCTAGGAATCCTGGGCTAAACTAGTTATAATTAGGGTCAAGTAAAGGGTGAGTTCTATAGACATTTCAGAGGCATGTCCAAGAAGACTTGCAGAGAGATGGGACTTTAAAGCAAAAATGAATGCATAAAATGAAGTAAGAGATGTCTGAAAAGACTGACTGGACGTTTGAGGTTCCGTTGGCAGAAGAACTAGTACATTTAGGAAAGATTCTAAGGAAGAAAAAGGGTAGTTTATTCGGGGAACTCTTGTGACAGAGAAGGAAACCATCTAAATAGAGACATTTCCTATGTAATATAGCCATGGATTTATTGATTCGGTGACAACTGTCAAAATCTCAATTACATGATGACTTTAAGATTATTATGATTTTTATTTTTTATTATACATTAAGTTCTAATGCACATGTGCACAACGTGCAGGTTTGATGCATAGGTATACATGTGCCATTTGGTTTGCTGCACACATCAATTCATCATTTACATTAGGTATATCTCCTAATGCTATCCCTCCCCCAGCCCCCCACCCCCTGACAGGCCCTGATGTGTGATGTTCCCCTTCCTGTGTCCAAGTGATCTCATTGTTCAATTTCCACCTATGAGTGAGAACATGCGGTGTTTGGTTTTCTGTCCTTGTGATAGTTTGCTGAGAATGATGGTTTCCAGCTTCATCCATGTCCCTGCAAAAGACATGAACTCATACTTTTTATGGCTGCATAGTATTCCATGGTGTATATGTGCCACATTTTCTTAATCCAGTCTATCATCGATGGACTTCTGGGTTGGTTCAACTCTTTGCTATTGTGGATAGTGCTGCAATAAAACATATGTGTGCACTTGTCTTTATAGTAGCATGATTTATAATCCTTTGAGTATATACTCAGTAATGGGATTACTGGGTCAAATTGTATTTCTAGTTCTAGATCCTTGAGGAATTGCCACATTGTCTTCCACAATGGTTGAACTAATTTACATTCCCACCAACATTGTAAAAGCGTTCCTATTTCTCCATATCCTCTCTAGCATCTGTGGTTTCCTGACTTTTTAATGATTGCCATTCTAACTGGTGTGAGATGGTATCTCATTGTGGTTTTGATTTGCATTTCTCTGATGAACAGTGATGACGAGCATTTTTTCATGTGTCTGTTGGCTGCATAGATGTCTTCTTTTGAGAAGTGTCTGTTCATATCCTTTGCCCACTTTTTGATGGGGTTGTTTGTTTTTTTCTTGTAAATTTGTTTGAGTTCTTTGTAGATTCTGGATATTAGCCCTTTGTCAAATGGGTAGATTGCAAAAATTTTCTCCCATTCTGTAGGTTGCCTGTTCACTCTGATGGTAGTTTCTTTTGCCATGCAGTAGCTCTTTAGTTTAATTAGATCCCATTTGTCAATTTTGGCCTTTGTTGCCATTACTTTTGGTGTTTTAGTCATGAAGTCCTTGCCCATGCCTATGTCCTGAATGGTATTGCCTAGGTTTTCTTCTAGGGTTTTTATGGTTTTAGGTCTAACATGTAAGTCTTTAATCCATCTTGAATTAATTTTTGTATAAGGTGTAAGGAACAGATCCAGTTTCAGCTTTCTACATATGACTAGCTAGTTTTCCCAGCACCATTTATTAAATAGGGAATTCTTTCCCCATTTCTTGTTTTTGTCAAGTTTGTCAAAGATCAGATGGTTGTAGATGTGTGGTGTTATTTCTGAGGCGTCTGTTCTGTTCCTTTGGTCTATATCTCTGTTTTGGTACCAGTACCATGCTGTTTTGGTTACTGTAGCCTTATAGTATAGTTTGAAGTCAGGTAACGTGATGCCTCCAGCTTTGTTCTTTTTGCTTAGGATTCTCTTGGCAGTGTGGGCTCTTTTTGATTCCATATGAACTTTAAAGTAGTTTTTTTTTTCTAATTCTGTGAAGAAAGTCATTGGTAGCTTGATGGGGATGGCACTGAATCTATAAATTATCTTGGGCAGTATGGGCATTTTCACGATATTGATTTTTCCTATCCATGACCATGGAATATTCTTCCATTTGTTTTTGTCCTCTTTTATTTCAGTGGGCAGTGGATTGTAGTTTGCCTTAAAGAGGTCCTTCACATCCCTTGTAAGTTGGATTCCTAGGTATTTTATTCTCTTTATAGCAATTGTGAATGGGAGTTCACTCATGATTTGGCTCTCTGTTTGTCTGCTAGTGATGTCTAGAAATGCTTGTGATTTTTGCACATTGATTTTGTATCCTGAGACTGCTGAAGTTGCTTATCAGCTTAAGGAGATTTTGGGCTGAGACAATGGGGTTTTCTAAATATACAATCATGTCATCTGCAAACAGGGACAATTTGACTTCCTCATTTTCTAATTGAATACCCTTTATTTCTTTCTCTTGCCTGATTGCCCTAGCCAGAACTTCCAACACTATGTTGAATAGGAGTGGTGAGAGAGGGCATCCTTGTCTTGTGCTGGTTTTCACAGGGAATGCTTACAGTTTTTGTGCATTAGTTTTTGCCCATTCAGTATGATATTGGCTGTGGGTTTGTCATAAATAGCTCTTATTATTTTGAGATACGTTACATCAATACCTACTTTATTGAGAGTTTTTAGCATGAAGAGCACTTTGTCAAAGGCTTTTATGCATCTATTGAGATAATCATGTGATTTTTGTTGTTGGTTCTGTTTGTGTGATGGATTACATTTATTGATTTCCATATATTGAACCAGCCTTGCATTCCAGGGATGAAGCCCACTTGATGGTGGTGGATAAGCTTTTTGATGTGCTGCTGGATTTGGTTTGCTAGTATTTTATTGAGGATTTTTGCATAGAAGTTCATCAGGGATATTGGTCTAAAATTCTCTTTTTTTTGTTGTTGTGTCTCTGCCAGTCTTTGGTATCAGGATGATGCTGGCCTCATAAAATGAGTTAGGGAGGATTTCCTCTTTTTCTATTGATTGGAATAGTTTCAGAAGGAATGGTACCAGCTCCTCTTTGTACCCCTGGTAGAATTCGGCTGTGAATCCATCTGGTCCTAGACTTTTTTTGGTTGGTAGGCTATTAATTATTGCCTCAATTTCAGAGCCTGTTATTGGTCTATTCATGGATTCAACTTCTTCCTGGTTTAGTCTTGGGAGGGTGCATGTGTCCAGGAATTTATCCATTTCTTCTAGATTTTCTAATTCCTTTGCATAGACGTGTTTATAGTATTCTCTGATGGTAGTTTGTATTTCTGTGGGATTGGTGGTGATATCCCCTTTATCATTTTTTATTATATCTATTTGATTCTTCTCTTTTTTCTTCTTTATTATTCTTGCTAGTGGTCTATCAATTTTGTTGATCTTTTCAAATACCAGCTCCTGGATTCATTGATTTTTTTGAAGATTTTTTGTTTCTCTCTCTCTTTCATTTCTACTCTGATCTTAGTTATTTCTTGCCTTCTGCTTGCTTTTGAATGTGTTTGCTCTTGCTTCTCTAGTTCTTTTAATTGTGATGTTAGGTTGTCAGTTTTAGATCTTTCCTGTTTTCTCTTGTGGGCATTTAGTGCTATAAATTTCCCTCTACACACTGCTTTATATTGTCCCAGAGATTCTGGTACATTGTGTCTTTGTTATCATTGGTTTTAAAGAACATCTTTATGTCTGCCTTCATTTCGTTATTTACCCAGTATTCATTCAGGAGCAAGTTGTTCAGTTTCCATGTAGTTGTGTGGTTTTGAGTATTTTCTTAATCTTGAGTTCTAATTTGACTGTATTGTGGTCTGAAAGATAGTTTGTTGTGATTTCTGTTCTTTTACATTTGTTGAGGAGTGCTTTACTTCCAATTATGTGGTCAATTTTAGAATAAGTGTGATGCATTGCTGACAATAATGTATATTCTGTTGATTTGGGGTGGAGAGTTCTGTAGATGTCTTTTAGGTCTGCTTGTTGCAGATCTGAGTTCAAGTCCTGGATATCCTCGTTAACCTCTGTCTCATTGTTTTGTCTAATATTGACAGTTGGGTGCTAAATTATCCCATTATTATTGTGTGGGAGTCTAAGTCTCTTTGCAGGTCTCTAAGGACTTGCTTTATGAATATTGGTGCTCCTGTATTGGGTGCATATACATTTAACATAGTTAGCTCTTCTTGTTGAATTGATCCCTTTACCATTATGTAATGGCCTTCTTTGTCTCTTTTGATCTTTGTTGGTTTAAAGTCTGTTTTATCAGAGAGTAGGATTGCAACCCCTGCTTTTTTTTTTTTTTTTTTATTTCCATTTGCTTGGTAGATCTTCCTCCATCCCTTTATTTTGGGCCTATGTGCATCTTTGCACATGAGATGGGTCTCCTGAATATAGCACACTGATGGGTCTTGACTCTTTATCCAATTTGCCAGTCTGTGTCTTTTAATTGAAGCCTTTAGCCCATTTACATTTAAGGTTAATATTGTTACATGTGAATTTGATCCTTTCATTAAGAGGTTTGCTGATTATTTTGCCCGTTAATTGATGCGGTTTCTTCATAACATCCATGGTCTTTACAATTTGACATGTTTTTGCAGTGGCTGGTACCGCTTGTTTCTTTCCATGTTTAGTGCTTCCTTCAGGAGCTCTTGTAAGGCAGGCCTTGTGGTGACAAAATCTCTCAGCATTTGCTTGTCTGTAAAGGATTTTATTGCTCCTTCACTTATGAAGCTTAGTTTGGCTGGATATGAAATTCTGGATTGCAAATTCTTTTCTTTAAGAATGCTGAATATAGATCCCCACTCTCTTCTAGCTTTTAGGGTTTCTGCCAAGAGATCCGTTGTTAGTCTCATGGGCTTCTCTTTGTGGGTAACTCGACCTTTCTCTCTGGCTGCCCTTTACACTTTTTCGTTCATTTCAACCTTGGTGAATCTTACAATTGTGTGTCTTGGGGTTGCTCTTCTCGAGGAGTATCTTTGTGGTGGTGTCTGTATTTCCTGAATTTGAATGTTGGCCTGCCTTGCTAGGTTGGGGAAGTTCTCCTGGATAATAGCCTCAAGAGTGTTTTTCATCTTGGTTCCATTCTCCCCATCACTTTCAGGCACACCAATCAATTGTAGATTTGGTTGTTTCACATAGTCCCATATTTCTTGGAGGCTTTGTTAGTTTCTTTTTACCGTTTTTCTCTAACCTTGTTTTCTCGCTTTATTTCATTAATTTGGTCTTAAATCACTGATGCCCTTTCTTCCACTTGATCTCATTGTCTATTGAAAGTTGTGCATGCGTCACAAAGTTCTCATGCTATGGTTTTCAGCTCCATCAGGTCATTTAAGCACTTCTCTACACTGTTTATTCTGGTTAGCCATTCATCTAATCTTTTTTCAAGGTTTTAACTTCTCAATGGGTTTGAACATCCTCCTTTAGCTCAAAGAAGTTTCTTATTATTGACCTTCTGAAGCCTACTTCTGTCAACTTGTCAAATTCATTGTCCACCCAGCTTTGTTCCATTGCTGGTGAGGAGCTGCGATCCTTTGGAGAAGAGGTGCTCTGATTTTTAGAATTTTCACCTTTTCTGCTCTGGTTTCTCCCCATCTTTGTCATTTTATCTACCTTTGTTCTTTGATGTTGGTTACCTACAGGTGGGGTTTTGGTGTACATGATCTTTTTTTGATGTTGATGCTATTCCTTTCTGTTTGTTAGTTTTCCTTCTATCAGTCAGGTCTCTCAGCTGCAGGTCTGTTGGAGTTTCCTGGAGGTCCACTCCAGACTATTTGCCTGGGTATCACCAGTGGAGGCTGCAGAACAGCAAATATTGCAGAACAGCAAATATTGCTGCCTAATCCTTCCTCTGGAAGCTTCGTCCCAGAGGGGCAGCCACCTATATGAGATGTCTGTCAGGCCCTACTGGGAGGTGTCTCCCAGTTAGGCTACACAGGGGCCAGGGACCCACTTGAGGAGTCAGTCTCTCTGTTCTCAGAACTCAAACGCCATGCTGGGATAACCACTGCTCTTTTCAGAGCTGTCAGACAGTGACATTTAAGTCTTCAGAAGTTGTCTGCTGCCTTTTGTTCAGCTATGCCCTGCCCACAGAGGTGGAGTCTAGAGGCAGTGGGCCTTCTTGAGCTGCAGTGGGCTCTGCCTAGTTCGAGCTTCCCAGCCACTTCATTTACCTACTCAAGCTTCAGCAATGGCAGATGCCTCTCCCCCAGTCAGGCTGCTGCCTTGTGGTTCAATCTCAGGTTGCTCCACTAGCAGTGAGCAAGGCTTCATAGGCATGGGACCTGCTGATTCAGGCATGGGAGGGAATCTCCTTGTCTGCCAGTTGCTAAGACCTTGGGAAAAGCACATTATTTGGGTGGAAGTGTCCCGTTTTTCCAGGTAGTCTGTCATGGCTTCCCTTGGCTAGGAAAGGGAAATCCCCAGATCCCTTGTGCTTCCGGTGAGGCAATGCCCTGCCCTGCTTCAGCTTGCCATGCCCCGCCTCAGCTTGCCATGCCCCGCCCTGCTTCAGCTTGCCCTGCATGGACTGCCCCCACTGTCCAACCATTGCCAATGAGATAAAGCAGGTACCTTAGTTGGTTGCAGAAATCACTCATCTTCTGCGTCCTTCACGCTAGGAGCTGCAGACCAGAGCTGTTCCTATTCAGCCATCTTGGAATGCCCCCCAAGATTATTATGATTTCTAAGTGGCAGATGATAATGTGGAAAATTCTGAAGGGGAAAATCATCTAGAGAATCAGTCTAGGAAAAAGAAAAAGTAATCAGAGAAGGAAAGAGAAAAGGAGTGATCATAGATGTAAAGAGGGGTTTCAAGGATAGCGTTTATTGATTTACTTGGTAATAGGTAGATGGATATAAACTTTTTAAAAAATACAGAAATAAACATATTGTGGATCAAAGACATTTGTGGTGTCCTTATTGACATTTACATTTTTTTTGAATACTTGGCAGATTGGTCATGAAAGCTTCCATTTGTTTAAATCCTTACCAAGGAGAAAATAGTAACAGTTCATGTTAATGTATTCTTACCAATTTATAAAGACTTGAATTTATTTTATACTGTTAGTGTGCATAAGAACTCTGTCATATAAGTGTTATGGTCAACATTGTAGAAATGAGGAAAATGAAATATGAAATGAGATTTAAAAATGTACATGTGGGGGTAAATATTTTCCGATGCTCAAATCCAATCTTAAAATCAGAAGAAGGACAGAATGTAGTATATAAGGGCATGACACAAGCCAGTAATATTTTCAAAACTTACTAACAAAACTAGAAGTTACTTGCTTTAGTGGCTCTATTGAATCATCCTCCAGATATTTCTATTTGCAAAGTAACTCATTTGCAAACATCTTTGAAATAGAATAAGCCAATCTTCCATTTTCAAACAGCTCCATAAAGATATGCCTATGTCCTTGTTTAGTTGTTGTGGCTAAGACTCCTTGGATAATTTCACGATTTTATTGCCTAGCCTATTGCTTTCATTCAGTATTTTAACAGCCTCCAGATATCTGTATGAAGTATATCTCTAAAAGGTAAACTGTCATCTTTCTTATTTTTTGATTTTTGCTCTTCTTTGAACAAAAGGCTTATTTTATGGTCTAATCAATTAGAAATCTTTGAGTATGAAACTTATCTCACTGACATGCACATAAAAGATATTATGGAAATATTCACTGATTCTATTACAGCTGCTTAGAGAACAGAAATTAAATTAGAACTGTAATGAATATTTTTGTAAGCATGTGCTAACCATAGTTTTCATTAGTTTAAATTGTGAATTGATTTTGACCTGTTACAGAATTATGGTTTTCATCTTACAGGTTTATGTTATTTCTGCCTTTTTTTTTTTTTTACTTTCTCAGAGGTAATTTTTGTGCATTCAAAACATTCATTTTTGTTCTCTTTGTTCATATGTGTATGTGTGTGTGTTTTTGTAGTTTTCATTCAAGGAATTATGAAAAATCGAAAAGAAAGTGCAACTCTGAATTATATCATCATGAAATCTTAGGATTGAAATGAGTTTTAAAAACTTTGTTGGCCTAGGCCAGGTGCGGTGGCTCATGCCTGTAATCCCAGCACTTTGGGAGGCCAAGGCAGGCAGATCATGAGGTCAGATGATTGAGACCATCCTGGCCAATGTGGTAAAACCCCATCTCTACTAAAAAACACAAAAAATTAGCTAGGCATGGTGGTGCACACCTGTAGTCCCAGCTACTTGGGAGGCTGAGGCAGAGGAGTTGCTTGAACCAGGGAGGCGGAAGTTGTAGTGAGCCGAGATTGCACCACTGCACTCTAGCCTGGTGACAGAGTGAGACTCTATCTTAAAAAAAAAAAAAGAAAAGTATGTTGGACAAATTGCTTCTTTTACAAATGATACTATGAAGACATGGAAGTATAGGGAAGGTATGTTCATTAAACCAATAGCCAAGCTTGGACACAACCTCAGCTTCTAATTTCCAGCTAACCACTTTTTTTTTTTCACAAAAAAATATTTTCTAACCATTTTAATTGCCATTTATTCCCTATTGAGATATTTGGAAAGACAGATTTTTTTTCCAGCCTTTCTTTTTTTCTTTCTGTTTTCTGGTTACTTTTTATGCAAAGCATTTTCTCTTACTGTGTGGGGTTTAGAGTCAACTCTTTAGTTTGTCTCTCTTTTCATTTTGATTTATGTTATTTTGGATATAAGTAAAATTATCCCCCAAATTATGGTGTACTATGGCTTATGATTTGGCCTTGAGTGTTTTGAGCTATTTATTTTATTATTTGCCCCATACTTTATAAGTTACTCAAAATAGATAAATTGCATGAAAACAGTGTACTTGTTTTAACAAACAATTTGATAAATCCACAAAGTAAATGGATTCCCTTTATCGGGGACTCTTCACTTCTCTGGTTGTTGTCATGTTACTTAGAATAAATACTTTCAGTTATTCTTCATATATCCCATTAGCTCTTTTATTTTTCTATTATGTAATCAAAGGTAAAAAAAAAAAACTGTTATAGCTTTATGCATTTATCTCCTCAATAAGAGCCAGATACATTTGGGTTGAAATAAGACATCCTTTCCAAGTAATATGAAATACATTTTTTTCTTCTATAGATAAAATATATTTTTAAAGTTAACTTTCTATACTCAAGGGCTTCCCCTCTGATAATGACAAATTAAATAATGTGGACATAAATTCCTGCAGAAGTAAACTTTGAAAAGCTAGAATCTACTAATAAAAATATAAAAATAGTCTGGGCACAGTGGGTCACACCTGTAATCCCAGCACTTTGGGAGGCCAAGGCTGGTAGATCACCTGAGGTCAGGAGTTTGAGACTAGCCTGAGCAGCATGGTGCAACCCCATCTTTACTAAAAGTACAAAAATTAGCTGGGTGTGGTGGTGTGTACCTGTAATTCCAGCTATTTAGGAGGCTGAGGCAGGATAATCACTTGAACCTGGGAGGTGAAGGTTTCAGTGAACTGAGATAGTGCCATTGCACTCTAGCCTGGGCGACAGAGTGAGACTCCATCTCAATAAATAAATAAAATAAAAATAACATAAGCAATATTAAATTTTTAAAAACAGTAGTAATAATTGCAAGATTAAGATCCAGAAAATGGTAGTCATCCAGAAAACCTAGCCTTTGTGAGGAATTGTTTTTGTTCCAGTGGTATTCATAGATGAAAAAAAAAAAAGAGAAATCAGCTGATAGGCTTGCCTCTTGCAATTAAGGAACCCCAGGACAGAGTGGAGGGTGTTGAATGTAGGAGCATGTTAAATTACCTCATGGTTTTCGTTGGACTCTAGTAGTAAGAAGGAACAAGACGGGAACTAGGCTTTGAACAAACTTCGTACCTGCTTCATAGCTTTTGGGTGGTCAAGAAAATTTCAGTCCTTGAGTTTGGATCAAGATGATTTAGAAATTTTTGTGACCTAGATGCCTTGGAAAACAGTAGAAGATCCTTTCTGGAGGATGATAACATCATCTTTCTTTGCAAATTATTTCTGTAAATAATTTCTCAAACACAGTATCTAGAATAAAATAAAGATGAGCAGAATTTGAGTAGACAAGTCTCTATGATTAAGAACCGGCAGAAGTAATAGACAATACAAAGAGATTCACAACAACCCTAGATACTGGAATTATCAGACACAGACTGTAAGATAGCTATATTCACCTAATTTAGGGAGATAAATCACGTGCTTGCCATAAGCGTGGAACTTATGGCAAGGACTGAAATATTAAAATGCCCTAGCAAATTAGAAATTAAATAAAGTAGAAACTCAAAAACTAAAAAAATACAAAAAATAACACGTAGAATTCAATAGCTGGGTTTAATAGCTGAGGAGAAATTAATCAACGAGAAAATATACCAGAAAAAATAGCTCAAGTAAAGCAGGGAGAGATGAAAAATGGAGAGAATATAGGAGCATAGAGAAAAAAGGGGGCAGATCCAAATTGATTAGTTGGAATCTCAAAAAGAGAAAAGAGAAAGAATGGGGAAGATGAAATATTGAAATCTATTAGGAATCAGAATTTTTCAGAATTGATGAAAAACATCTACCCAATAAGCCCCAAGGTGTATAAAATAAATAATTTGTATCCATGGTATAACTATAAAACTGTGGAATATCAAATATCTGGCAAGCAGCCAGTAAAAAAAAAAAAAAAAGCATGTGACATTTAAACAACAAAGACTTAAATTAGCAGCTGAGTTCCCAAAAGAAACAATGAACACCAGTGACGGTGGAGCATCAATGGGTTGAAAGAAAATAAACTTGAGCATAAACTTTATATTTAGTTAAAATACACTTTAGAAATGAAGTTGAAACAAATTTATATATTTTACATAAATCCATACTAAAAGAGTTCGCTACCAGAAGATCAGCAGAGAGAAAAATTTCGTAAGTGAATTGGAGAGCCAGGAACAAATGAGGAATATCTTATACATCCTTTTTCGTTCATTATTTTCATATTCTAGTTCACAAACTTAGTTTAAATGTTAACTACTTTAACTTGATATATAGAATATTTGTCTGTTGTTTTTGGCATAGAAAATGCATATTTATCTGAAAAAGTTAACAAAAAATAAAAACTGTGTTTATGATTGAGCAAATCAATTTGTATTTTCATTAAAAATGTGGCCGGGCGCGGTGGCTCACGCCTGTAGTCCCAGCACTTTGGGAGGCCGAGGCGGGTGGATCATGAGGTCAGGAGATCGAGACCATCCTGGCTAACACGGTGAAACCCCGTCTCTACTAAAAATACAAAAAATTAGCCGGGCGCGGTGGCGGGCGCCTGTAGTCCCAGCTACTGGGGAGGCTGAGGCAGGAGAATGGCGTGAACCCGGGAAGCGGAGCTTGCAGTGAGCCGAGATTGCGCCACTGCAGTCCGCAGTCCGGCCTGGGCGACAGAGCGAGACTCCGTCTCAAAAAAAAAAAAAAAAAAAAAAAAATGTAAATGAATTATAAAAAATTCTTATTCATAGTTGTAGGACAGAGAGGTTTCAGAATTTACTTTTCACTTTACTACATCATTACATGTTCTTAGTTTTAAAATTTCTTGAAATGTATCTGACCAAAATGTAAAGCTGATTTATTTTATGCAATTTACAACTCTTTAGTTTGAGTTTCAACAGTTAACATAAAACTGCATGTGTATATTTTATGTGTCAATAGGCATGAAAATTATTTCAGTGGATAGAAGGCATTTTTTCATATTTGGATCACCTACGGAATGGGGGTTTCTAAGCTAAGCTAAATTCATATCAATCTGAACAGCTAAAAATTCAGGTAATTCAGGAGATTCCATTATGTATGTGAATTTAGAATACCAAAAAATTTAAACTGTTGCTCATTCAGCAAATATTACAAAATATTGGCATGCAATGTTTTCTTTTTTATAAACTACATACCTTTATTTTTTCTGTAGATATAGCCTTAAAATGACTATTTATGAATGAACTATTTGAAAATATAAATACTCAAAATGAAAATCAGTTTGGCCCATTAGGTCAAACAATATATTAAAGAAAAATAATATCCAGAAGCTGTTATTGGTTATTTTGTTGATAGAATAGATAGATAATACTTAGTTGATACATAGATAAAAGAAGGAATATATGTAAAATACACATACACATATATAGAAAGAATATTCAGGATATATTTATACTAAAAATTATTCATTGTCATCTAAAAGTCAGTCTTAACTGTGCAATCTACACTTTCTGTAATAACCTTATTTTTCAGTCTCTTGAAATCCGTGGAACTGATTTGATAAAGCTAACTTTTGACAATCAGGAGCCTCTAGAAAACGGCACCAAATTTGACTACAGTAAAATAGCATTTGTTTACAACTTTTTGTATTTCTGCAGAGGCATCAAAACATTTCAGATCTACAGACTCTGATTTCATTTGTCTAAGTAGATAAATCTTTGGTATTGTCTCCATCAGCATGACAGCACTTCTCCCTAATTTGACTTGCAGTTTCCCTCCCAATTCAAAGGAAAACAAATGTTTAAATAGAATACATAGAAAGATAATTTAGGTCATTTTTTTATTTTAATAAGAACTTCCAGAACAAAGTTTGGCAAAAATATTGCCCTAACCTTACCATTTTCTCTCTTCACTCATGCATTGATTTGACTTGACTTCTGGTGACTTTGAAATATTAAAGGAATGTTATTTTACATGAGAACTCAATAGTAGCATTATTTTATTTAATACATTCTTTCTTGAATAATACTTAATTTTTTGCCTTTTGTTTTAATCATTCCCATAAAATACCTTAACAGAGTCTTAGAAAGAGACATTATTGAAAAGGATCAATAAGTACTGGCCATACCTATATTGATAGAGTGACACAAACCAATTAATTTGATCATTACCATTTGCCTCAAATTAGTACTATTAGTATACCTGAAAAAAATCTGTACTAATTGGAATTTTTTGGTTTAATTAAAGTCAACACTGAGTTAGAAACCAAAGATTGAACCCTTTGGTTGTAGGTTTCCACAGCCTATAGTTGAAACTAATGTCAAATAGTTGTTAGCATTTAGGCAAATTGTCTTAGGGATACAATATAGAGGAGTAAGAAGGAGGATGAGAACAAAAAGGAGAAGGGGAAGCAGAAGGTGAAGGGGAAGAAGCTTATTTTGATGTTGGACACTAACATCACCATGTTGAGCCCTTACTAGGGGCTTCAATAGTACTGTCTTAGCACTTTAAATATATTTTCTTTATTGTCATAAAAGCAGTAAAAAGTTAGGGATTATTACTGACTATTTTACAAATGAGGAAGTGAGACTCTGCAAAGCTAAGCATCTCAGCCAAACTGATAACCTTTGTGATTATCTGCCCTAAGTTACCTTCTAACTTAAAATACTAAGGAATTACTCATTTGATACAAATAAACTAAAGTCACTATTTGCCCCTGTGCTCTTGGCTTCTATTTATTTCTTCGCTATATATTTTTCAACATTGAGTTTATAATCCTTTACATGATTATGCACAAATTAGGAAAATAAGCATTGAAGTAAAAATAACAGAACTAATGGGTAATAAATGTTCCCAAACAAAGGTCCTAAATAAAGATTACTCCTAATTTACATATGAATTGGTTACATGCAAATTAGTGTTCCTAAGGCACTTGGAGATTGTCCTTTTAAGTAGGTTAACCACGCCTTCATGTTTCTCTTACTTTGCCTAGTTCACATTTTCTGCCTTGATGATACAAATATAACTTCTGAAGAGCACTGGAGCAGCTTCCCAATGCTCTGCTGCTCACAGTTGGATCTTGGGCTTTCCAATGAATCTCTTATGCTCTGGAGCTTTCCCTTATCTCATTTCATCAGAAAAATGAAATAATTCCTAAAGTGTTTCAATTTTTTTAAAATTTTCAGTTTGTATGGATGCATAACAGTTGCATACTCTAAATGCTTTTAAAACTATGGTGATATTTGTTTAAATATAATTTTAGGAAAATACTTCAACACATAGAACAGATTAAAGACAACTGTTTTCATAAAAGAGTGCATGGAGCAGGCCTGTTCCTGAGGTCCCCTGGGAGTCCCTCTACACACACACACACACACACACACACACACACACACACACGCACACACACACACACTGTCTCTGTCTCTCTCTCTGTTAAAGAAAAATTGTACCAGACAGAATAAAACAGGCAAGAAAAGCTTTAAGATTATTTGAATAGGGGCTAAGGATATGTCAATAGGGGAAAGAGATTGAACTCAACTCTGCTGAAACAAAAGGCTAGAGACATTTTAAGCCCTGGGACAAGCTAGTGGCAAAATACTGGAGGACATCAGGGAGAAGATTGGTCAATGTGATTAGACCATCTCTATTTACTAACTGGTGCTTATAAAATTAGACTCCTACCCTCCTACAGGGACTGGGAGATAAAATCACTGTGTTTCTTGTGATTACATTTTAAAGGGGTGGCTCCTAGGTCCTTGAGGGAAACATTGATTGTAGATTTCTGTCTCCAAGGGGCTAAGAAATAATTTACAATTCCAAGTTTTCTAAAGTAAATGCTCTTAGAAAAAGGAAATCAGGGGCATATAGTTAGCAAGAAACCTGTCTAAAATTTAGTCAAGTTCAAGGGAGTGTTAAGGCCATGTTGGTCAGCATACACACACACACATCCACAGCATAGTTGGCAAACCTCCAGCCTTATGTTATCAAAGACTTCTTCCTTTGCCAATTGCCTGTGAGTTTCCTCATCTACATTATAATACATTCTAAGTTAATGTGTCAAAACTAGTAGGTTGATATGCCCTTTATACTTAGACTACCTATAATTCCATGTATAGTTACACTGATGGGCTTTGTATGCATTATATGAAACTTACGAGCCATTATTTAAGTTTGTAACTGATTATTCCTTTAATTAAATTATCTAGATGATTTAAATAAAATATCATTAACTGTTTGTTGCTAATATTACTTCTTCACTCATCCTATGGTACCTGGACGGCTTCATATGACTTCAGTGTTTCAGAGCAATTTAAATTCTAAGCAGTAAGAAGTTCCAAATCTATGGTTCCCATGCCAATTATAATTTAGTCTCTTGGCATATCTGGTTGTAGTATTTTCTATTATTATATAGACTCTAATATTTATGCCTTAATATATATTTGCCTTACAGCCCAGTTATGATTCCTATGAGGACTATAACTTTACATTCCATCATGCTTGTTTTAAAAATCTCGGCTATAAAATCACATTAATATGTTTTCTGTTGCTCTTTCTTCCCTTTGTTTTTAAGAATATGTAATAGTTATGTGTTTGTCTTTTCCCTTTGCATACCACAATGCATTTCAGAATGTGATTCAGGACTATATTTGAAATTCTCACCTTCATAAGTAAATACATGTGATTAATCCTGAGCGACATGAGGGCCAACCTGCAAGAATAATTTTACATAGGTCACCTATAGGGCAACACTTTCATTCACTCAGAAAATCTGTTGTCAGAGCAAATATTTACAAAGTAAAAAAAGTCCTTCCCCTCTAAGTGCTGCTGTGTGGGCAAGGTATTGTAAATGATCAAAACCCATGCAAGCAAATGGTAAGAAAAAGGTTATTATTTGGGGAGGCGGGATTTAAGCTATGCTTCTTCAAACCTTAATGTGCTTGTGTATCCCTTTAAGATCTTGCTAAAATGTATCTTCTGATTCAGTAGGTCTGGGTGGGGCCTGAGACTCCACTTTCAAAATAAGTCTGGGCAAATACTCTCAAATCTACCACAGCCCCCAACACTCCTTGGTGTATTACAACTGGCTAGCTAAACTCATGTATTTGTCTACCTGGCTTTGGTCATTGGAGTTTGATGGTTCTGCTAACATTTTTAGGTAATCTACATTTTATCCCATTTCAATACCCAGTCTACTGCACGTACACGCCCTCTTCCTCTCTGTCATATCTGCACCTTCTCTCCTGTTCAAGAACCAGTACTCCTTCCTCCAACAATGCATCTCACCCTGACTTTCCTACCTCACTGTCAGGGACCATCTCTGTCTTATAAAGTGCCTCCACATAGTCCATCCTGTGAGGGCTGACCAAGACAACCTTAACACTTCCCTCACCCTGACTAAACATTAGATAGGCTTCTTTCTAGCTATAAGCCTCTGAACTCTCTTTTCTCAGTGCATTTACTTTCGATGACTTTCAGTTGAAAATATTTTCCCTACACCTCGGAAATGTAAATCTTCTACAACTTAGGAATGTCTTTCTCAGGAACCTGAGAATCATCCCTTTTAAATGTAGTCATCAAGAAAGATAGGGGAACTGTCTCCCAGTCTCTGTGGGAGGGTAGAAGCCTCCCTTCCACAAGCACCTAAATGGTCTGCAAAGGCAGATTGCCTCCAAAATTAAAATGGCCCATTATCACACCCCTGTGGACATATTTACAGTCTTGCACATTCTGCTTCTTCTTTCATCCTGGCCCTCTCATTCATAGTGATGCAGGATGTTTTCTTGACCTCTTCATGGGACTCGCAAAAGGGATGTCCAGTTTACTCAGCCTGCCAGACTCAACCCTTCATGGGATGCAATGCAGGAACAGGAGCAAACAAGTGCAAGACCAAGTTGGCCATTTCAGTGCCAACAGGAGCAAATTTAGTTCACCTGAGTTCACTGTGCTCCAGCCCTTGTAGGAGGAAGCAGGTAGGTGAGCAAGTGCAGGAATCTGCCAGCCGCTTTGGCACTGGCTGGAGCAAACTCCGTGCAGGTCCCATAGCAGCATCCAGGTGGGGGTGCCTGTGACCCCAAGGGCCCAGAAGGTGTGTTACAATGCTCTCTTAGCTCCACTGTCCACAGACAGCAGTGTGTTATCAGCTCATTGGGCCCTTTGCCTCATCATGTGGGGTGGCTACCTTCCACCAGCAAGGGCAAAGGGCCAGGGTGACAGCCTTTTTGGTTACTTGTACATTGTGCATCCTGAATTCTTGTCTGGTGCCCAAGAGGAATGAGGTCACATGGATGAATTGAAGGATGGTGAATGCATAGAATTTTATTGGTGATGAAAGTTTCTCTCAGTGGATAGGGGAGCTGGAAAGGGGATGAAAAGGGAAGGTCACTCTCCCCTGAAGTCAAGCTGCCTCTCTTCCTCTCTCTTCTGAAGTCTTGTCTCTCCCTGACATCCGGCCACTTCTCATCTCTACCAGCTGAATCTGGGGTCTTTATAGGCTCAGGATGGAAAACAGGGAGAGCCGTAGGTAGTTTTGGAAAAGGCAGCATTCAGTTGGTAAAAAGACATTATTCAGAAAGAACCAATTGGGAGAGAACGGGCACATAGGGATGGAAGTTGTCACTTTGGGCTGTGGATTTCAGGCTTTTCATCTTGAAGGTGGAGTTTTTCCAGGGACCGACCCCTGTCTGCCTAGAATTTCTCTGCCTCTTGCCTCTATGAATACCATAGATGGTGAAAGGAGGAGAATCCAGGAACAACGTTGGCTGAGAAAACAGAGGCAGAAGGGTAGATAGGAAGTGAAGAGGTAGTTTGAATATACTGAATGTTAACTTTTGCCAGTTAACCAATTCTGTGACTGCTGTAAGTCTTTCAGTGGCACAAAAACCTCAAGGTTGACAAAATTGATAATCTGTCTTACTCTACATTTAACATCTTTAGAAAATATGGTAGACAATTTTATGTATAAGATTGCACAGAGCTCTTGAAACTCCCCTGGATTATTCTTACTTGTAGATGTAAAGGAAATGCTCAGAGGAATCATTACCTAACATCTTTAGTATTCTTTAGTATTCTAATCCAAGACTCTCTGTGTCTGACTCTATGGCATTAAAGATTTCAATTGCATGCTAAATATTTATACATGTCAATAATGATGATGAAGATAATGTAGCTATAATTTTGGAGTGTCTACCATATTATATACTAGACCTGCATGGTCTGATGTGGTAGCCACAAGCTGCATGTGAATATTGAGCACTTCAAATGTGGCTAGTCCAAATTGAAATGTGTTCTAAGTAGGAAATATGCACTGGATTTTGAAGATGAATATGAAAAGAAAATGTAAGATATTTTATTAATGAAATATTGATTACACATTATATTTATAATGCTTTAGATATAATGAATTAAAATATACAATTTAACTTTTTTTTTTACTTTGCAAGTGGCTAGTAGCAAATTTAAAATTACACATATGACTTATGCATTTAAATTGGAGAGTGAAATGCTTGGCAATTTAATCTTTCAGATTATAATGATCTATGTCTACTGGGAATTGTAATTTTAGGTAATTAATACATAACTAAATTCATTTTATTTATTAAGGTATACTTTATTATTTTAAAAATCTATTATGAATTTCTAGTATAGACAGTGGAATAAAGCAATTTTGTTTTTATCTCTCCTGCTAAAACCACATACACCCACACCCACCCCAACACATACAAAAGAGAAAAAAAGAAATTTAATAGAAATAAATAAATAAATGTCCTGTCTTAGTACGTTTGGGCTGATAAAAAAAAATACAGTAGGTAGCTTATAAACAACAGAAATTTATTTCTCTCTGTTCTGGAAGCTGGAAAGTCCAAGATTAAATGCCAGTAATTTGATGTCTGGCGAGGGCAGCACTTTATCATAGATGGTGCTTTCTCACGCTGTCCTCACTTAGTGGAAGGGGCATGTGAGCTCCCTTGGGCCTCTTTTATAAGAGCACTAACCCCATTTCTGATGGCTCTGCCCTCATAATCTCATCACTTCCCAGAGGTCCCACATGTGTATTTATGTGTTTATTCACACACATATAATCACAATCAATTATATATACATATGTGTATGTGCATGTATGTATGTGTCTACACATAGACTTTGGAGTGTCAATAATTTTTTAGTGAAACATTTTTAAGACCAGCATTTGTGTTAAAAATGACATAGATGTTATAATAAGAAAAAATATAAACTTTCCCTTCAGTAAATCTCTATATTTCTGCTTTACCTTAGGTCCTAAATTATTGATATTTCATGGCCATTTATCTCAGTAAATTGCTTACTTATTCATAAAAAGATTCATTCACATTCAAGTTGGAAATCAGCATACCTAAAATTGCTACCCTCTAGCCTAGGCGTTGGGTCTGTAGGGACAATTGTTGTGAAATGACAAATTATTTGAAAATTTCATTCCTGCATCCTAATATGTAAATGTAGATTCTACTTTCACCATTTATCTCCTGCTCTCCAAAATATAAACAAAGGGGAATTTCTCAGATCCCAGGTCTAGAAAACCCTGTGACATCTACTTTGTCTTGTTTCAGATTTGACCTCTGTCTTCCCAGTTTGGCTCTCTCCTGAGTATCTTGAATTTTCATCACTACTAATCTCTCTGGTGACCTGGTTTGCATATCCATGAATCCTCTTGTTTCTATTCCAGTCAGGTTTTGCCACTCTTTTCTCTTCTAAATCATAGTAGATAAGGTCCTACTATATTGTTAGGTCTTAGAGAGACTTTATTTTCTCTCTAATTTAAGTTTCAATTATTTGAAAGCATAGCATTTCTGGGGTACAATCATAATTATACTACTACTACTACTAATTATTATTATTATAGTCAATGTAGTAGTATTTTGTTAACCTAAGTAATAATTCTCTCATAAAAACTCCAAAATATTCCTTACATATCTGGTATAATTCTAGGATGGAATATTTAAGCTTGAACAAAAATATACCAAATAGAACTACTTAAAAAAAAGTAAAAACCCAGTAAGAACCTCTTTCCTTTGAAGAGAGTTCAAAGTCCTGATGAAGGTGATATGTGATGATTCTAATTGCCAGATGTGATTCTATTGCTTCACATGCTGGCTACTAAAGGCCTTTGAAGTCTTCTCCAATCTAAGAAACAAAAATATCTACAAAATTTTTATTAATTGAATTATGATACATTCATTTGCATCTACATTTATTTTTATTTAAGTAAAATCTCATCTCAGATAAGTTATGACAGCTTTATCTTCCACAGGGAACAATTCAACCTATATGTGAATCAGTGTAACTTTTGTAACTTCTCTTAATAGTAATTCCTATCCAAATATTGTTATCTGAAAACATATCTTCTCAAAATAGATATGCAGAAATCATTGGGATTATGTGTCATACATTTCTTAAAAAATTAATAAAGTTCTAAATGTTTATAATTCATGAAATTTCTATAAAATTTATAGATTTATAAAATTGTATAAAGGTAAATAAGATACCAGATGCCTGACATAAAATACTTTGCCAAATACAATTCCATAAACTACCCTCTAATTATGGATACACAAAATGCCCGGTTGAATTGAATGATTTTAGAGTATTAGTAACAACAAACCAGATATTTAAAAGAGTTCTTGTGCTTTTTGAAACACCTGACTGGTCAATAAATCAGTTCTTGGACTAATGATGAAATAGATATCAAAAAAGCTATAGCATGACAATATTCCTGTGTCCAGGAGCCTGAAACAGCATGAACTGGTATGGAACCTTGACTCAAAAACACTGTCAGACCGGATTCACACCTGTAATCCCAGCACTTTGAAAGGCCAAGGCAGGTAGATTGCTTGAGCCCAGGAGTTCAAAGACCAGCTTGAGAGACCACATCTCTACAAAAAATATAAAAATTAGCTGGGTGTGGTGATGCACACCTGTAGTCCCAGGTACTTGGGAGGGTGGCAGAGCTTGCAGTGAACAGGTGTTGTGCCACTGAACTTCAACCTGGGCAATAGGGTCAGACTGTCTCAAAAAAAAAAAAAAATTCTATCAGTTTGATTTTGTAGCAGTTTAGAGCTTAGGTTGTAGTTAAACAGATAAGAGTTTAAAATATGACTCTTGTACTTCCGAACTAGGTACTATGTGACTAAGAAAAGTTTCTCATCTTTTTTAGGTGTCGCCCTAAAAGAGTTATTATGAGCAAATACTTTATGTGGTTGATTGAATTATTTTTACAATATTCCAATGCTCTTCCTGTGCCCTTTGCCTTATGACTTTATGCTGCTACCCACTGATGGTGAGTTTGGACAGAGAATGTGGGCGGTAGTGATAATGTGTTCGTTATGAGCTAAAGCCTTAGGTGACCTTATGCTTTTTCACTCATTCTCTTGCATTCCTGTTATTTGCTTTAAGAAAAACATACCCCAGGTAACTTTTGGTTCATGTAGAATGGAAGTGTTATAGAATAGATCTAAACCCAATCTTCATACTTGAGCCCCAAATATAAAATACAGCCTATCTCTGCAGAGTTGTTGTCAACCCACAAATCTTAGTCAGTTAAATGCTTATTGTTTTAAGTCAGTGAATTTAGGTACTGTTTATTACACAACATTTTTGTGGTAATAGCCGACTGATACATTTTCAAAGTGCACATACATTATTTAACATAGTCTCTGGTACATACTAAGAGCTCAGTAAATACCAATTATTTTAATTAATATTCTCTTTTGCCTGGTTTATAATAGTAAATAAAACTTGAAATCAGAAAATGGCCAGTTATTTCATTGGCTTACTGAGGATTAATACTTGCAGATTATTTTTTTAAAACTCATTTTCATTCCATGCTGTCAATATCTTAAAATATGTGTAATTGTCACTTGATACAAGTTTAAATCTACTTATTATCCACATGACCTTATATATTTGATCATTAAGCTATTGACAGACCACTTATTATATTTCTTTTCCTTTTGGACTTTTAGCTTCCTCTTATGTAAAAGAAGAATAAAGATAAACACTTTACAGAGTTGACAGGAGATTCATCACAAAGTAGATAAAGAACGTAGCATAGTACTTGGCACTTAAAAAAGTGCTGCATTTATGGTAGTTGCTATTGTTAGGCAATCTATAATTATTTCTTTTTGTGCATACATATGTGAGTTAGTTGATATGGTTGCTAAAAGACAGTTCATTTTTATCTACTATCAAGGTAAAATCATCCCTTATTTTTCTTGTGTCACGTTTAATTTGCAACAAGTTGTAAAGAGATAATTTGATGACCTTTTTTATTTTCTTGAAAACAGAATGGCAAAAATTTAAGATGATTTTACTTTCATAAAACTGTAATATTTAAAATTATATCAATAATATGGGAGCCTGAATTTTCACAGCAAAAGACCTGGGCTTCAGTTTCTGATGTTTACAATATCTTGATTTTGGTCTATTGTTGAATGGCTTAAGGTAGGATTTCTCAATTGAATCTTCATAAGACAAGTTTTACGTTCATCCCTGTATAGTTGAAACTAGACTTTATTGATTTATTCACACACACACACACACACACGCACACACACATGTACACACACACACAAATGAATCTCCAGGAACAGACTCACTTTTATTTAATTCATATGAGACAGATTGTAGCAGAGGTTAGATACATTCTCAAACTTGCTTCTCTTCTCAGACACACAGGAAGACCCAGATTCCTTAGTAATCAGGTTGGTCCTATATGGTTGGTTTCTGACCAACATAATTGGGGGTATGCTATCCTGAGGACTGGCTCATAAAACTCCCCATGCGGCCAGGCGTGGTGGCTCACACCTGTAATCCCAGCACTTTGGGAGGCCGAGGCGGGTGGATCACGAGGTCAGGAGATCGAGACCACGGTGAAACCCCGTCTCTACTAAAAATAAAAAAAAAAAATTAGCCGGGCGTGGTGGCGGGCGCCTGTAGTCCCAGCTACTCGGAGAGGCTGAGGCAGGAGAATGGCGTGAACCTGGGAGGCGGAGCTTGCAGTGAGCCAAGACTGCGTCACTGCACTCCAGCCTGGGTGACAGAGCGAGACTCCATCTCAAAAAAAAAAAAAAAAAAAAAAAAGAGTCAATTTATTCCTATGTATTTTATTTTATTTTTATATTTGTAAATAAGATTGCCTTTGTGATTTATTTCTTAGCTAGTTCATTATTGGTGTATAGAAATGCTACTGATTTTTGTATGTTTTTTTAATCATAAAACTTTACTGAAGTTTCTTATCAGATCAAAGAGTTTTTTTGGTGGAGTCTTTAGGTTTTTCTAGATTTAAGATTATGTCATCTGCAAAGAAGGACGATTTGACTTCCCATTTTCCAATTTGGATGCCTTTCATTTCTTTCTCTTGCCTGATTGCTCTGGCTAGTTTTTCCAGTGCAATGTTGCATAGGAGAGGTGAAAGTGGTCATTCTTTTCCTGCTCCAGTTCTTAGAGAAAAGGCTTTCAGCTTTTTGATGTTTAGTATGTTGTTAGCTATAGGTTTGTCATGTATAGCCTTTATTATGTTGAGGTATGTTTCTTCAGTGCCTAGTTAAGAACTTTTATTATGAAGCAATGTTGAATTGAATCAATTTTTTGTGTGTGTGTCTATCAGTATAATTATATGGTTTTTGTCCTTCATTCTGTTGATGTGACAGATCACATTTACGGATTTGGTTATGTTAAAACATACTTGAATCTGAGAGATAAATCCAATTTGATCATGGTGATACAGGAGTTAAGAAGGAATTACTTAGGCAGATAGCAAGGGCATTGGAGTCCTTGGTAAGCCTATTGTTTTTAATGTTTACTAGCCCCAAATCACTTTCTAATAAAGAGCAGCCTGCAAGCTGCGATTTTGCATGGGTGAATGCTGGCAGAAACTAAGGACTAGACATTTTAAAGATGGCAACTCCATCTTCCCTTCTCTGGCAGCCACATGTGCTGTAAGGAACAGACAAGATGGCACCAATCAATTGGGAAGCTTATTTGCATAATAAGATTAGGCTTGGGAGACCAGCCTTCCCTGCATGCTATGTAAACATCATATCTGATTGAAGTAATCTGTGAGTCCTGTGTAAATCAGACGCTTGCCTTCTTAACCTGGACTATAAAACTCGGCGCATTTGCCATCAGCTGGTCCTTTCCACTCGGAGACCCCCTTCCTTTATAGAGGAAGCTGTTTCTCTTACTCTTCTCTTCTACCTATTAAACCTCTGCTCATAAACTCCTAATGTGTGTCTGCGTCCTAAATTTTCCTGGCGTGTGACAACAAACCCCAGGGCACATACCGCAGACAATTTAGCTGCTTCATGATGAGGACCTCGTCTGGGATACCAAGGTACAACATTCATCAGAATGGTGAGTAGAGTAGTGGAGTGGACTCCAGCTCTGTCCTTTCATTCTGAGGCTCTTGGCCTCCATTTTAGAACCAAATCAAACCAAATACTGGGCCCCCTTCAGCCATTTGAAAACGATTAGCATGGCTCCCAGCCTTACAAGACTTGGGGGACCCGCATGCTGGGGAGAACATGGAGAATCACCCAGTACCCATGGGTTTCTGTCATATTGGCCATGTTTAAACCAACTTCCTTTCATGGAAGACTTAGCCGTTGTGTGGGACTGGAAGAAGTCCTGGGGAAGCTGAAGATTTCTGGCCAGGGCTACCCCCCAGTGTCATCCAAAGGCTATTGGACTGACCCCAACCTCTGACCACCCCAGTGGGTGTCAGCAACAGGATCTCCAACTTTCCTATAGTAAATTCCTCCTTTCCTGTCTATGACCATCATATCGTTTATCTTCTCTGTGTATGCAACCCATGGGAAGTTTTACAGTTCAGGGAAGTAATCTTGTTTGTCAAGATCAGGGAATGTCATAGTAACCAGGGACATAGCTCAAGGGAAGGTGTCTTTGTGATTTTCTAGGAACAGAGGTTTCCCCCCCAACGGTGAGTGTCTCTCTCTTCTCTTGGTCTGGAGAGCACATGGCATTTCCAGGTCTCTCTCTGCCTTTGGTCTGGAAAGCACATGGCATGTTAACGTCACTCTCCCCTTGGTCTAGACAGCACATGGTGTTTCAAGGTCAACAGCACCACCTAGTGGAATAGGAATCCTCTCCATGAGGCACATTATCAGTCCTTCAGCAAAATACCTTAGCCTCCCAATTCTCTTCCCTTTTTGCACCTCTCTGCTAGAAATCAGGCTTCACGCTGCTTCTGTAAGTGAGAAAATCCTGCCTTCAACTTTTAGGGGTATAATATCCTATAAAACCAAATTTTAGTCTCAATACTGTCTCATCAACAGAAAAATAGCCATTCGGTCCCTATGTTCTTTTAAGTCACCTATTCTACCACCAGTTAGAGTGGCAATTAATTAGTAAGGGGATTTTAACTTTAGTAGTTAACCAGAACCATTCTCTAAGGGTAAACAATTCAGCATGGGCCATAATAGCAGGATATAGGGTTCAGTCTAGCATGCGCCCTCCATTAAAGTGGCTTTGGCCAACTATTATATAGTGTGTGTGTGTGTGTGTGTGTGTGTGTGTGTGTGTGGCTTTTTTTTTTTTTTAGATACATTTTTTGGGGGAGCCAGGCAGGTCACAGAAGTCTAGAAAGTCCAAGGAAAATCCCACACAGAGGACTAGAGCCACTTGGGTGAGTGTGACTAGCCCCAATCATTTAGTTCCTCTGGTTCCATGGTTGGGGGTCATGCTTGCAACCATGGGTGGCACATTCAACAAGGTGCTGGGACCCAGGAACCACAGAGGGAAAACAGCAGGGAGGATGCCCCCACTGTCTTCCTCTCCACTCTGGGTCACACCAAAGGGGAGGAGACTAAAGGGATGCCTTTTTCTCACTTCTCTTTATTATCTTTGGCGTGCACTCCTCTGGAGTGCATTCTGAAGCACAGGGACTCCTTTGACCCTGAGACTTTAAAGAAAAAGCGTCTCATTTGATTTTGGGTAAGGTTATGGCCTTTTTATTAGATCTTCTACAGCCATTACAAAATATACCCAGTTCTTTCAGCAATCATATCAGGCAGGCACAAAGAGAATAATTCCCCCAAATTAGAAAAGAAACTTCCAGGGGAACCATCTGAGGATCTTACTTCTCTGGGGCCCCTACAAGTTCCCTTCTCATTGCGGAACCTTAGGCAAATAAAGGGAGACTTAGGCCAATTTTCTGATGACCTTGATAGGTATATAAAAGCTTTCCAAAATTTAACTCAGGTATTTGACCTGTCATGGAGGAATGTTATACTGCTCCTAAACCAAATCCTAACCACAGCTGAGAAGCAGGCAGCCCTGTAGGAAGGAGAGAAACTTGCAGATGAGCAGTATGTCTCCATATTAGGCATAAAAGGAAAAGAGAAAATAGGAAAGGCAAAAAAAAGAGAAGGGAAACACCATTACCAATAGGAAGAGAGGCAATACCTTTTGACAGCCCTAACTGAAACACCTGGACTTTTCTATGATGTTTTCCCTCCTTTCACAGTTTAAAATGGCTCTTTTATAAAGTTCTTCTAAGCTGGCAAAAGTTAATTTCCCCAAACCTTAAAATACTTGGCTTAGAGTTGAGCTAGGGGGAAGGGAACCTAGAAGTCTGACATGTTGGCAAAAGGGTAAAACCTTCTTACCAGTCAGGCTTTTGGCTTCTCTCTCCCTGTGCAACGCAGTAAAACAGACAATAAGGATCATTGTTTATGTTCTCTGTAAAGTTTTAATTAATAAAAATGGATTTGTGATATTGGTCTTAAGCTGTAGCCAATCTGGTGTGTTTTGTGTGTCTTTTTGTATAGTTCTGTAAAAGAAAGGGTATCTTAGGTTTGGATGCAGGCCTAGGACCTCATAAGCCTGCTGTTCAAGCCAGCCCAACAAAATAGTCAGTAACAAACTTGGCTACAGGCTTCCATCTTGTTTCATGTCCTTGGGAACATGACCTGTAACCATGTGGCAATACCTTGTTTTAGTCTCTGCCATTTTACAGTGGTACCTGTCTTCTTGTGCTAAGTCAGTTCCTGGGTGAGGACCACAGAATCAGATAGGCCAGTTTGTCAATCTGGGTGGTGCCAGCTGATCCATCAAGGGCAGCATTTACAAAATATCTTAAGCACCTAGGGAGGGTCAAAATCTTGCAACCTCCAGCCTTGTGACTCCTAGGCCATGGTTTCTAATCTTATGTCTAGTTTCTTGGTCTCATCACCGGGCAAGAGATAAATATATTTTAAGAAGGGGCTATTACATCTTTGTTTTAGACTATAAACTGTAAACCAGGCTCCTCCCAAAGTTGGATCCGCCTATGTCCAGGGGTGGGCAAGGACAACTTTGGACTGGAAACAAAATGAAATGGTTGGGTTCCATCTCTTTTACGATCTCAGTCACAGTTTTGCAATGATTGTTTCAAAAGTTTACTATCACCCCTTTGAAAATACCTTGTACACTCACGGTTAAGTCCTAACTTAATTAAGGCTTGTTGGTTCACCTGTGAGGTTACTTTTTGTAAATTTCAAAAAGTTGAAAACCTTAACTGCTTGGCATGGCTAAAGTCGAGTAACAAGGGATTTAAAAGGATTTTTCTAAAGAGCACTCAGCTTAATTAAAAGTGGATATTCAAGTTATAGGTATAATTAAAAGGCCTTTGTTTTTCTCTTCTTGGGTCTTGTTTTTCTAGAAAAATGTTTTCTTCTCAGTCAACTGAATTATTTTTTTCCATTTTTTGTCTTGCCACTCTTAATGCATGCATGAGAGGCCCTAAGATAACTTCTGGTAGCATAGGACTCCTTGGGAAAAACAGAAGAGGTGTCATGGACCCTGTTTTGAGAAAAGAAAACCCTCTGTTTTCATCACGAAACCCAAGGAATTAAAAGCAGATAGTTCCCTATCAAAATCAAAGGCTTTGTTCCATTTTGCATTGTGTTATCTCACTGTTTTGAATTTAGGGGTAGCAAGACCTTAAGAGAAAATGATCACCCAACTCACAGGTATTTGAGGATAAAAACCCATGGTTGGGCTCAGCTTTAAGAGATCTTATCTGAGATTCCTTGTGGAACAGAGTTCCTTCAAAGCCAATCCAAAAGGCCTATGTAGAAATAATTATTCTTGCTGCACTTTATGCAAATAATCAGGCCAAGTATAAGACTAAAGTTTTATCTACAAACAACACAGTCCTATCTTATTTTTTTTAACCAAAAATGAGGACTGGGGAGAGAAACTGTACTCCAAAGATTATCATACATTTGTCACTAAATCCTAGTCTCATTAATTTTTTTAGCTTTCTGCCTACATTTTATACTAACCCTGCTTATTCCTGTGAATCAAGTGGTGATCTCCTACAGCTTTGAAGAAACAAAAAGGGATGAGTAATGCAAAAATCTGGATCAATATGCTAGTTCTGGGAAATTATCCTGCAAATTCTGCCAGGTAATAAAAGTGAGTAGGGCACCCATAACCCAGAGGTTTCTTTGTTTGGCAAAATAATACCAAGGAACTTCATAGACCCCCAAAAGGAAATTCCATAGTTTGGCATATAAAATTTTAAATGGAAATTATCCACTTCACCACATTTGCAGAAATTGCTATACTCACTCTACTGTTTGCAGTAGGGTTGTACACAGTAGCACCTTCTAACTGAAATATTGGACAGAGAGTTTCCATTGCTGTAGTATTTTGCTTAATTATTATCCTTAAAGCAGGAATGATAGCTACCAACAAAAACAAGCATGAAAGTTTTACTATCACTGAGTTTGCTAGAACTTCTTATTGGATTTGGTAATATGTCCCACCCTAGCTATGCAAAGAAGGTTACAAAGGAAAGATATTTTTTGTGGAAGTCATGAAGGGACTGATCATTGCAGGAAAGAGCTAGCCAAGGTTAACACTGAATTTACTCTAGCCACCCAAATTCAATGTCACTTATCCTAAAAGGAATGCTGCTATTATATTAATGTTTCAGCAACATCTGATAAACGCAAACCACTGCTACAACTCATCAGAATAGCTGACAGCAGTTAAACTCCAAATGGTGCTGCAGACCGAACCATGCAACATGCCTTTCTTCTGAGGACACTTAGATCAACCCCAGGAGGAGCCCTAGCTGGTGTTCCCTACGTGAAGCCCCTTTTCAGCAGGAAGCAGCTAGAAAGAGTCATCACCCAACACCCACTAACAGCAGTTGGAGTTACCACTACAGAGGGGGGAACTATATGGGAGTTAGGAAGGAATTACTTAGGCAGATAGCAAGTGCATGACAGTCCTCTGTAAGGCTTTTGTTTTTAATGAAAAACAGCCCAAATCATTTTCTAACAAAGAGCAGCCTGCAAGCTGGGAGCTTGCGTGGGTGAATGCCAGCAGAAACTAATGACTGAACATTTTCAAGATGGTGACTCCATCTTCCCTTCTCTGGCAGCTACATGTGCTGTAAGGAACAGACAAGATGGCACCGATCAACTGGAAAGCCCATTTGCATAAGAAAATTAGGGTGGGGCCACCAGCCTTCCCTACATGCTATGTAAACATTACACCTGACTGAACCAATCTATGAGCCCTATGTAAATCAGACACTACCTCCTCAAACTGAACTATAAAACTCCGCGAATTTGCCGCCAGCTGGTCTTAGGAGACCCCTCCCTCTATAGAGGAAGCTGTTTCTCTTTCTCTTCTCTTCTACCTATTAAACCTCTGCTCCTAAACTCCTCCTGTGTGTCTGTGTCCTAACTTTTCATGGTACTTGACAACAAACCCAAGTGTATCTACCCCAGACAATGTAGCTTCTTCAATGGTGTATTATCTTTTTGATATGCTATTAAATTTTGTTTGCCAATCTTATGTGGAGGATTTTTGCATCTATATTCAAAAGGAATATTGGCCTATAGTTTTGTGTGTGTGTGTGTGTGTCCTCATCTGGTTTTGGTATCAGGGTAATGCTGGCCTCATAGAATGAATTAGGAAGAATTCTCTCATCTTCAATTTTTTGGAATCACTTGGGGAGAACGAGTGGTAGTTCTTTGAAGTTTAGTAGAATTTGGAATTGAAGCCCTCTGGTCCTGGACTTTTTTCTTTGGGGGAGTTTTTATTAGTGAGTCAGTCTTGCTACTTGTTATTGGTCTGTTCAGGTTTTCCCTTTCTTTCTAATTCAATTTAGGCTGGTTGTATGTGTCCAGGAATTCATCTGTTTCCTCTGGGTTTTCCAGTTTGTCAGCATATAGTTGTTCTTAATAGTCTCTGATGATCTTTTGCATTTCTGTAGTATCAGTTGTAAGGTCTCTTTTTTCATTTCTAATTTTGTTTATTTGGGTCTTCTCTCTTTTTTCTTAGTTTGTCTAGACAGTGGTTTATCAATTTTATTTATCTTTTTGGAAAACAATTTTACATTTTGTTGATTATTTGTATTGTTTTTTAAGTCTATTTTGTTTAGATCTGCTCTGATCTTTATGATTTCTTACCTTCTACTAACTTTGCATTTGGTTTGTTATTGCTTTTCTAGTTCCTGGAGGTGCATTGTTAGATTATTTATTTCAAATCTTTCTACTTTTTTGATATAGGTATTTATTGCCATAAACTGCCCTGTTAACACTGCTTTTTCTGTATCCCACAGATTTTAACTTGTGTTTCCATTTTCATTTGTTTCAAGACTTTTTTATTTCCTCTCTAATTTCTTCCTTGACCCAGTGGTCATTCAGAATATGTTTAATTTCATTGTGTTTGTAGTTTCCAAACTTCCTCTTGTTATTGATTTCTAGTTTTATTTCATTGTCGTCTGAGACAGATAGTTGACATAATTTTGATTTTTAAAAATTTGTTGAGATGTGTTTTGTGTCTTAACATATGGTTTATCCTGGAGAATGTTCCACGTACTGATGAGAGGAATGTGTATTCTGCAACTACTGGATGAAATGATCTATAAATGTCTGTTAGGTCCATTTGTACTAATATGGAATTTAAATCCAATGTTTCTTTGTTAATTTTCTGTCTAGATAATCTGTCTAATACTGAGAGTTGGCTATAGAAGTCACCAACTATTATTGTGTTGGAGTCTATCTCTTCCTTTAGATCTAATAATATTTGCTGAATATATCTGGGTGCTCCAGTGTTGGGTTTATATTTGTTTAGAATTATTATGTCCTCTTGCTGATTTTTTAAATTATTAAATATTGCCATTCTTTGCCTGATTTTACTGTTTTTTTTTAAACTTAAAGTCTTTATCTAAGTATAGCTTCTCCAGCTCATTTTGGTTTCCGTTTACATAGAATATTGTTTTCCATCCTTTTACTTTTAGCCTATATGTGTCTTTATAGGTAAAATGAATTTCTTGTAGGTACCACATAGTAGATCTTTTTTAAAAAACCCATTTGGCCAGTCCATATCTTTTAAGTGGAAAGTTTAAATCATGTACACTAAAGGTTCATATTGATATGGTTTATTCCTGTCATTTTATTAATTGATTTCTGGTTTTCTGTCTTCTCTCTCTCTTTCTCTCTTTCTTTTATCATTATGATTTGTTTGTTTTCTGTCGTGGTAATATTTGGAATCTTTTTCCTTATTTGTGTATTTGTTCTACCTGTAGGTTTTCCACTTTCGTGTATTTTTATGATGGTAGATGATACGGTTTGGCTCTGTGTTCCCACCCAAATCTCATCTCGAATTGTGCTGATGGAGGGACCTGTAATCCCCACATGTCGAGGGAGAGAGGTGATTGGATCGTTGCAGCAGTTCCCCCACACTGTTCTCGTGATAGTGAGTGAGTTCTCATGAGATCTGATGGTTTTATAAGCATCTGGCATTTTCCCTGCTTGGGCTTCTCTCTCCTATCACCATGTAAAGAAGGTTCTTGCTTCCCCTTTGCCTTCCACCAATTTCCTAAGGCCTCCCCATCCATGTAGAACTGTGAGTTATTTAAATCTCTTTCCTTTACAAATTAGTCTTGGATGCTATCTTTATAGCTGTGTGGGGATTAACTAATATAGTAGATATTGTCCTTTTCACTTCTAGGTATAAGACTCCTCTAAGCATTCCTTGTAGGACGAGTCTAGTGGTAATGAAGTCCCTCAGCTTTTGGTTGTCTTGGAAAGATTTTATTTGTAACTTTCTTTTACATTTTCTGTAAAGGATGTTTCAATGATCTTAGATCTAACTTTATCTCTACAACATCCTAGTTCCTAGGACAATTACTCAAGATTCATAGTGTCATTGACGTCCATAGCTATAGCCTCATCCCCTTTCCCATGGAAAAGACTTGGGAAAGAATTGGAAGAATGACTGCTCCAGGTTTCAAGAATACAGGCAGTAGAAATGTGTCAAGCTCTATTTTTAAAAGTTTACCTGTCCTTGAATAAATCCACTTCATATATTTTTTAACTTTGTGTTCATCTTTTTTATTATCAATATTTTCCTGGTGTCCGTAATGAGGTTTCATAAAATGGATTATTAAAAATCTCTGTGAAATTTGCCTGGAGGCAAGCTCCCAATTCAAGAATAATTAAAGTGACAGTTTAAGAGCAAATTATGCGAGCCAGAGATGTACAGTGAGTATATTGTCACGCTCATCTCTGTACTCTGCAAAAAGAAAGTGATTCAGCTTAATTTTTCATCAAGTAGTATCTTCCCAGGAGGCATTATGGAAGAGTGGAGTATGAAAGCGTATATCAGCTTTCACAAAGTGATGGCGTAAATAACATGTGGTATTCATATTTGTGTGTGTGTTGAAAAAAGAATGGTCAGAGCTAATTTTTATTTCTATTTTGACATAATTAAAAAAAACGCACTGGCTGTGCTAACTTAAGTATAATGTGTTTGTTAAATAAACTAGTTTTTCTTTCTGTTTGATTAAGAGCTTTTTAAAATCAGTCTCTTAAAAATTATAAACTTTAGCCATATTTACAATGTGATGGGTAGACTGAGACAGCTTTTTTAAAAAACTAACCTATTGTCACATCCCCAGCTATTTCAGATCTTCTGAAAAGTTATTGTAATTGAATTACATACCCCCAAATAATATTTTATTAAAAACTCACCCACAGAAATTTAAAAAGAGATCATTGCTGTTTCCCTGAAAACATCGTATGAATATTCTATTTTAATAAAAAGGCCATGACCGTAATTTATTGTTAGTCTAAACATTCCAATACGATTATCTTCATGATGATGATGGTCAGTCTTGATTAGTACAGATTTGATATGTAATGATAATTTTTTTTCCCATTCCATACTCTTCACATATCCAGAGGCTGGGCTATAATTATACTATCAGTCAAAGACCATGACTCTCTTCAGTCACAGATGACCCCTCATAGTTGAACTTGATAATTATAATAAAAGATAACATCTGTTAGTGTCAAGTACTGTACTAATTATTGTATTTGCAATCACTCTTTGAATTCCAACAACTATATAAAGTTAATAGAATTATTATTCCTATTTTACAGATGAGGAAACTGAAGAAAAAGAATAGGTATATTTTCCATGGTTCTGTAGCTGGTGACTCTGAAATTCAAACTTTTTTTTTCTAACTCTAGAATCTTAGTCATAAAAATATGTATGTAGTATAAATTTTTCTGGAGAAGTAGACCTAATTCTTTTTTTCAATTTCTCCTCAAATTACAAATTTGGATTTTTACAAACATTGTTTCATAAGACATTTTGGGAAAAATATTTGCTATGTTAGTGTTACTGCTTTATTCTGACATCCTTTTGAATCTGGCTATAAACACACCAGCTAGTTTGACAGTTTTGAGTATCTTGATCTGTATAATATATAAACACAGTATGAATATCAAAGTAATAGGTACTAGGGACATGAATGAGTTTCCCATCTCCACTTGTCTTACTGTCTTCATTATCTTATCAGTCATCAATACCTAGACACATTCATCTGGAGAGAGAGAACAGACCTAGGCAATTACTTAACAAGAAAATTGCTATTAAAATAGGAATAAGCTAAAAGGATATGTGGAGGCTACATATAATTAGTCAGTTTTAATAGTAAATTTCCCTGTATTTGTGCTAAACCTACAATTTTCTTGTCTTCAAATTACCTCCATTTATCTTTTTAGACAGCTCAAAGAATAGAAAGAAAAAAATTTAAATGTAGACTTTTGTGGACTTCCTAAAAATTGAAAAATTGTGCTCTCAATAGGAGAGATAAAAGTTTATCTCATTTTAGAAAATAATTATTTTCTAAGTATCATTTAGGTGAGATTAGAATTTGGGAAGAGTATGCTGCAGGATGGGTTGGATTTAAAAGTTGCATCTTAAAAAAATTATGATACAGTAGAAAGTTTCTGTCTAAATAGAACTTATGGGAAAAATACTCAAGCGCAATCAACAACACTTTTCTCAGAGTGTTATTTAATTTCACAGATGGTCGCAGGGTCATAAATGCAGCATGCTATATATTTTTTCAATGTTATAACTTGAATCAATGTGAAGACTAGGACTTTAGTGAACTTGCTTTTTTTTCCCCTCAAGTGGAAAAGGGGGCATCTCTATAACATATGAGGAATAATGAACTAATTTCTCCTTTTTTTTAGGAGACTGAAGCTTGGCTAATGGTGACAGTGATGTAGAGGCAGAATCTTCTTACTCTGTGCCTGATATTTTATGTTCATTACCCTTACAACAACCTTAAGAGATATACACATTTTTTCCATTTTCCATGGGAGCTAGAATAGAAAGAAACTAAGTAATTTGCTAAATTTCATACAATAGTACGTGGAGAATTTTTATTCAGATCAGTCTCCAAATTCCAATTTTTTACCTGTATGACTTTTTCGTCTTCCTGCGTAGGGCAATGCTTGGCACAAAGCTGTAGCTAAATAAAACCTTAGCAGGTTATCTACCTTAACACTTGATGTGTTATCAGGAAGTAATTTAAGCAAGCTCAAAATGAACTTGCTGCTTCACTTTGAATTGTGGCTTAGAACAAAAAAATGGTAATTGCTCAATGCAACCCAACACCTGGAAACAGTATCAGAGTCACCATAATACAAATGCAAGACAACTCATTAATTTGATCATAACAAGGAGCATATGTGTTCAAACTGAATAAATCCATGGGATTTATTTTAACTTATTTACATGTTCTAGCTCCTTTGGGTGCATATGCATAACCATTGTACAAAAACAAATTAGTGATTCAGAGACTATCAATAGCAATGTCCTGAGCCTTTTTATTTTAGAGGCCCTATTGACTCTACTAAGTCAGATTATTTCTGGAAAAGTGTTGACCTTTTTAGAGAAATCATTAGCTCCTTGCACTCTAATTCCCAACATGTCTCCTGCCTTTGCAATCCAAAATAATACTATTATCATTGTTTCTCATTAAGGCATGTGGGAAGGATCAGAAAGGCAAATTGTGCATGGAGATAATATTTGTACATGCCTTTTACTCCTAGAACTCTATGACAGGCCTGAAAGGATCTAGTGTGGTCTTGTCAGATAATCTTGGACAATTAATTTGCCTCCCATGGCTTTGATTTTCTCATTTAGGAATGAAAGACATACTCTCAATGATATCTCAGATCCTTCCAGCTCTAACTTAGTATGATGAACAGAATTTATATCCATATGTGCAAGAGACTTGACTCATAATTTATTTTGAAGCCATATAGTACTCTAAAATTGAGAAATTATATTTTTCCTAAAACACAAATGATAGCGGCTGCTTTTTAAACATGGGGATGCTATAAGTAATAGTTCCAAGATTTATAAAATAGCAGTTTCAGGTACAAAAATCCCATGAGAATATGGAGTGTTCTTTTGAAAATGTTTTTAAAGCCGTGTTTGCATAATAAGAGTGTAGATTTAAATTTATAGTACTGAGCATCAGGTCCAGGTTTTGTGGGGCTCACAGTTATATAAATTTTGAAATTTTTTTTAGGAAAAAGAACAAAATTAGAATTACAAAATTAAGCAGAGGGCTTAGAAGGACTACATGCAGGTGAAGTTCAGGCTTCATGAGCTTCATGAAATTTTTTTTTCTGCTTATAATATGCAGTTATTTGTGATGAATTGGGAGATTGTGATAGAGCTAGTGATGGAGATACTTGGCTAAAGCCTCCACATTCTACCTATTTTACTATATTCTATGAGTTGGATATATTACTAACACAGAGAAGAAAATGAAAGCATAAACTGTGTGAAAAATAATGCCGGGAAGATGCGGTATATTCCTTTATAGGAAGCTCCATTTAAGTACCTGTTGTTATTACTGTCACTTTCACAGCTGGCTATGTAGATCTGACCATATTCCTGTGAAGCATGTGGTTCCATTTATCCCTGTCTATCTTGGGAAGAGTTGGAGTAGTCCTCTGCCTTAGTGAAATAAATCTCACCAAACTGAAAAGGTGCTGCTTTGTGGTTATCTTCATTTAGGCAAAGAATAGAGAAAGGGTGTGTTTGTAGAAGAAAATGACCCTGAGTGGAGAGCTAATAACCTGACATAACCTTACTTAAAATGTTATTGACCTATCCATGCATATTCACTTATTTGTGCTAGTCTTGTCCTGTAAATATTTATGACCAAGATAAATGTATACAGTAATGAAGGGAAGATCAGAAAGGGAGGCTGGCAGCTTCATTTTGTAATAATATATTTTCCAGCAAAGCCTGTTTCCCATGGATTTTTCTCATACCATATGTATCTGTTAATGGCAACTGTGTGTGGTCTTTGAACAGGTCATCTGATAAATGCTTTACGGTCTCTAGGTGAGGTCATGAGTACCTTTGTTTTATAAAGTTAGAAAGAGTTCATGCACCATGTAATATTTCCATTCATCAGATAATCAAAGATCAAAAACATAACATTTAGCATCAGTCAAGGTGTGAATAATAAGATTTGCAAACCATTGGCCTGTTGATGGAATTAAATTTGATCAAAGGTTTTGAGCATTCATCTGGCAGTATATATTTAAAAGTTTGAATAGTTGATACTCTTCAGCTTCGTAAAATTCTCTAAAAGTTTTTCCTAAGTAAATAGTCAAATATACTGCAAATATTTTATACCTGAAGATGTTCCTTAAACATTTTAATAATTATGAAAAACATTGTAAATATCCCAATTCTCTAGCTATTTATAATTGGTCAAATAAAATTTACTTATATACTGAAAAAGCTGTAGGAAAACTCAAAAATAAATATTAATGGGAGGAAGTGGAGCAAGATGGCAGAATAGGAGTCTCCACTGATCATCCCCCTGGTGAGGACACCAAGTTAACAACTATCTACACAGAAAAAAGCACTTCCATAAGAACCAAAAATCAGGTGAGCACTCATAGTACCTGGCTGTAACTTCATGTTACTAAAAGAGATACTGAAGAGATAGAAAAAACAGCCCTGAATCCCTGATGCCACCCCTTACCCACCCCCTGCAGAGGTGGCCTGTTGTAGAGAGCATGTCTGGCTGCTGGCAGAGGGAGAGCACAGCAATTATGAGGCACTGAACTCAGTGCTGTCCTGTTAGAAAAGAAAGAAAAAACAGACCAAACTCAGCTGGCACCTGCCCACAGAAGGAGCATTTAAACCAGCTTTAGCTAGAGAGGAATCACCTATCCCAGCAGTCCAACTTGAGTGCTTACAAGCCTCACCAACAAGGGCTATAGTGCTCTGTTTCAGGTAAATTTGAAATGCAGTCTAGGCCATAAGGAATGCAGCTCTTAGGTGAGTCCTAGTGCTGCACTAGGCCCAGAGACAGTGGAATGAGGGTGGGCATATGACACAATAAGACATCAACTGGAAAAGCAAAGGGAGTAATACCAGCACTGGTATCACTGCTGGTATCACCCCCAACCCCAACACCAGGCTTGCAGCTCCAAAAGAGACCCCGTCTTTTTTCCAGAGTTGAGGAGAGGAAAGAGTGGGGAGGACTTTGTCTTTCATCTGGGATACCAGCTCAGCTACAGCAGGATAGGGAAATGGTTAGAGTCACAAGGCCCCTATTCCAAATCCTAGCTCCCAGACAATATTTCTAGGTACACCCTAGGCCAGAAGGTAACCTGCTGCCCTGAAAGAAAGGACCCAGTCCTGGCAGCATTCATCACCTGCTAGCTGAAGAGCCCTTTGGCTCATTCCAGCAGCAATTCCCAGGTATACATTGAAGGCCTTGAGTGAGCCTCTGAGACTTGCTGGCTTCAGGTGAGACTCAGCACATTACCAGTTGTCATAGCTATGGAATAAAACTCCTGCTTGAGAAAGCAGAAGGAAAAGTAAAGAGGACTTTGTCTTGTACCTCAGGTACCAACATGGTCCCATTGGAGTAGAGCACCAAGTGTGGCTCCTGAAGTCCCTGATCTCAAGACTTGACTCTTGGATCACATTTCTGGATGTGCCCTGGGCCACAGGGGAGCACTGTTCCCTGAAGGATGAGCCCCAGGCCAGGCAGCATGTACCAACAAGCTAACTTAAGAGACCTTGGGCCCTAAGGGAACATTGGCACTAGTCTGGCAGTACTTCTTACGACCTGGATTGGTGGTGGCTATGGGCTGAGGCTCCTCTGCCTTTGTAAAGGGGAGGGAAGAGTGGGAAGGACTGTGCCTTGTGGTTTGAATGCCAGCTCAGCCATAGTACAATAGAATACCAGCTAGGCTTCTAATGCTTTTGACTCTAGTCACTGACTCCTGGATGGCACTTCTGGACTGACCTGAGACCTGGGGAACCCCACTACCCTGTAGGGAAGGACACAGGCCTAGCTTGCTTTGCCACTTTCTGATTGTGGAGCCCCATGGCCTTGAGCAAACGTAGGCAGTAACCAGGGAGTGGTTATAGCAGGACTTGGGTGAGACCTAGCACTGTGCTGGCCTTAGGTCTGACCCAGCACAGTTATAGTGGTGGTGGCCACAGGGGTGCTTGTGTCACTCTGCCCCCAGTTTAGGTGGCTCAGAACAGAGAGAGAGAGAGAGAGAGAGACTCTATATGTTCGGGAGAAAATAAGAAAAAAGCAAGAGTCTCTGGCTGGTAATCCAAAGAATTATCCTGGTTCTTGTCCAAGACCACTCATAGAGGTGGTACCTCTATGAGTCTGCAAGAACCACAGCATTACTGGACTTGGGCTGCCCCTTAAAGCAAATACAGCTTAGATCACAACACCCAAGTCCTTTCAAATATCTGTAAAGCCTTCCCAAGAAGGATGGCTACAAATAAGCCAAGACACTAAAGACTTTAATAAACACCTAACTCTTTTATGCCCAGACACTGAATAACATCTACTAGCCTTAAAACCATCCAGAAAAATGTGACTTTGCCAAGTAAACTAAATAAGGCATCACAGATCAATCCTGGAGAAAGAGAGATATGTGGCCTTTCAGACAGATAATTCAAAACAGCTGCATTTAGGAAACTTAAAGAAATACAAGATAATACAGAGAAAGGGTTCAGAATTCTATCAGATAAATTTAGTAAAAAAATTGAAGTAATTAAAAGAATCAAGGATAAAATCTGGACCTGAAAAATGCAATTGACATACTGAAGAATGCATCAGAGTCCTTTAATAGCAGAATTGATCAAACAGAAGAATTAGTGAGCTTGAAGATGGACTATTTGAAAATACACAACCAGAGGAGACAAAAGAAAAAAGAATAAAAAAACAATGAAACACACCTACAGAATCTATAAAAATAGTCTCAAAATGGCAAATCTAAGAGTTATTGGCCTTAAAGAGAAGAAAAAGAAAAAGGGGTAGAGAGTTTATTCAAAAGAAGAATTATTTAGAACTTTATAAACCTAGAGAATGATATTAATATCCAAGTATAAGGTTATAGATCACCAAGCAGATTTAACCCAAAGAGGACTATCTCTAGGCATTTAATAATCAAACTCCCAAAGGTCAAATATAAAGAAAGGATTCTAAAAGGAGCAAGAGGAAAAAAAAAATGAAGTTTCAATACATCTGGCAGAAGACTTTTCAGTAGAAACCTTACAGGCCAGGAGAGAGTGGCATGATACATTTAGAGTGCTAAAGGAAGCAAACTTTTACCCTAGAATAGTATATTGGGTGAAAATATTCTTCAAACATAAAGGAGAGAAAAAAAAGACTTTCCTAGAAAAACCAAAGCTGAGGGATTTCCTAAACACCAGCTCTGCCCTACAAGAAGTGCTACAGGGAGTACTTCAAACAGAAAGAAAATTACATGAATGCACAATAAATAATCACTTGAAGGTGCAAAACTCACTGGTAATAGTGAGTAAACAGAAAAACACAGAATATTATAACACTGTAACAGTGGTGTTTAAACTACCCTTATCTTAAGCAGAAAGACTAAATGATGAACCAATCAAAAATAATAACTATAACTTTTCAAGACATAGTACAATAAGATATAAATACAAACAATAAAAAGTTAAAAATCAGAGGGACAAAGTTAAGGATTAGAGTTTTGATTAGTTTTATTTTTGCTTGTCTGTTTATGCAAATAGTGTTAAATCATTATCAGGGTAAACTAATGGGTTTTAAGATAGTATTTGCAAGCTGCATGTTAACCTGAAACTGAAAAACATACGATAGATACATAAAAAATGAAAAACAAGATACTAAACCATATCCAGATCAAATCACCTTCACTAGACGAAGGCAGGAAGGAAACAAAGAAGGAAGAGAAGACCATAAAACAACCAGAAAACAAAAAACAAAATGGCAAAAGTAACTCTTTACTTATGAATAGTAACATTAAATGTAGAAGAACTAAAAGTCCCAATCAAAAGACTGGCTGAATTGATTAAAACAAAAACAAACAAACAAAAAAAACAAGTCCAGATGATTTGTTGCCTACAAGAAACACCCTTCACCTATAAAAACAAAGATTGAAAATAAAGTGATGGAAAAAGATATTCCATGCCAATGAAAACTAAAAAAGAGCAAGAATCACTATACTTATATCAGACAAAATAGATTTCAAGACAAAGACTACAAAAAGAGACAAAAAACTCACTATATATTGATAAAGGGGTCAATTCAGCAAGAAGATATAACAACTTTATATATTTATCCAACACTGCAGCAGAAAATGAAATATTTATTAGAGCTAACAAAAAGATATGCTCCAATATAATCATAGCTAGAGACATCAACACCCCCCTTTCAGCACTGGACAGATCATCCAGACAAAATCAACAAAAAAAACCCATCAGACTTATTCTGTACTGTAGACCAAATTGATCTATTAAATATTTAGAGAACATTTCATCCAAGAACTGCAGTATACACATTCCTTTCAAAGCACATGAATTATTCTCAAGGATAGACAATATGTTACATCACAAAACAAGTCTTAAAACATTAAAGGAAAACTTGAAATAATTTAAACATCTTCTCTGACAACAATGGAATAAAACTCAACATAAATAAGAAAAATTTTGGAATCTATACAAGTACATGGAAATGAAACAATATTCTCCTGAATGACCAGTGATTCAATAAAAAAATTAAGAAGAAAATAGAAAAATTTCTTGAAACAACTGTTAACAGAAACACAACATACCAAAATCTATGGGATATAGTGAGAGCAGTACTAACAGAAAAGTTAATAGCTAGAACTGCCTACATCAAAAAGAGAAAAAAAACTTTAAATGAATAATCTAATGAGGCATCTGAAAGAACTAGAAAAGCAAGAGAAAGCCAAACCCAAAATTAGGAGAAAATATAAGAAGTATCGAGAAGAAATAAATAAAATTGAAATTAAAAAATACAATACAAAAGATAATTAAACAAAAAGCTGTTTTTTTAAAAGTTAAAAATTGACAAACCTTTAGCCAGACTAAGATAAAAGGAGAGAAGATGCAAATGAATAAAATTAGAAATGTAAAAGGAGACCTTACAACGGATACAGCAGAAATTAAAAGGATCACTATTGGCTACTATAAGCAGCTATATGCCAATGAATTGGAAACTCTAGAAGAAATGGGCAAATTCCTAGATGCATGCAACCTTGACCAAGATTGAACCAGGAAGAAATCGAAAACCTGAACAGCACAATAACAAGTAACAAGTTGGAATCCATAATAAAATGTCTCTCAGTAAAGAAAAGTTTGAGACCTATGGCTTCACTGCTGAATTCTACAAAACATTTGAAGAATAACTAATACCAGTCCTACTGAAACTATTCTGAAAATAGAGGAGGAGAAAATACTTCCCAACTCATTTTATGAGACCAGTATTACCTTGATACCAAAATCAAACCAAGACACATCAAATAAAGAAAACTACAAACCAATGTCTTGGATGAATATTGATGAAAAAAATCCTAGACAAAACACAAGCAAACTGAATTCAACAATACATTAGAAAGGTTTTTCATCATGACCAAGTGGGATTTCCTCCTGGGATGCAAAGACAGTTCAACATACAGAAATCGATCAATGTGATACATCTTATCAACAGAATGAAGGATAAAAACCATATGATTATTTCAACTGATGCTGAAAAAACGTGATAAAATTCAACGTCTTTTCATAATAAAAAGCCCTTAAAAACTGGGCATAGAAGGAACATATCTCAACGTAATAAAAGCCATATACTACAGATCCACAGCTAGTATCATACTGAATGGGGAAAAACTGAAAGCCTTTCTGTGCAGATCTGGAACACGACAAGAATGTCCACTGTCACCACTGTTATTCAACATAGTACTGGAAGTCCTAGCTAGAGCAATCAGACAAGAGAAAGATACAAAGGGCATCCAAATTGTAAAGGAATAAGTCCAATTATTCTTGTTTGTAGATAATATGATCTTATATTGGGAAAAACCTAAAGACTCCACAAGAAAACTATTAGAATTCATAAACAAATTCAGTAAAGCTGCAGAATACAAAATCAACACACAAAAATCAGTAGCGTTTCTATATGCCAACAATGAACAACGTGAAAGGAAATAAAAAAGTAATTTTACTTACAGTAGGCGTAAATAAAATTAAATACCTAGGAATTAAGAACAAAAAGTGAAAGATCTGTGCCATGAAAACTATGAATCACTGACGAAAGAAATTGAAGAGGACACCAGAAAATAGAAAACTATTTCTTGTTCATGGATTGGAATAATCAATATTGTTGAGATGTCCATACTACCCAAAGCAATCTACAGATTCAGTGCAATCCCTACCAAAATAACAATGACAAGAAATAGAAAAAATCAATCCTAATATGTACCTGGAACCGCAAAAGAGCCAGAATAGCCAAAGCTATCCTACCTAAGAAAAACAAAAACCAACCAACGAACCAACCAACCAACCAAACAAACAAACAAAAAACTGGAGCAATCACATTACCTGATTTCAAGTTATACTGCAGGGCTCTATTAACGAAAGCCAGCATGGTACTGGCATAAAAACAGACACATAGACCAATGGAACATAATAGAGTACCCAGAAACAAATTCACACTCCTTCAGCGAACTCATTTTCTACAAAGGTGCCAAGAACTCATTTTCTACATTTTCTACAAAAGTGCCAAGAGCTTTCTGGGGAAAAGACAGTCTCCTCAATAAATGGTGCTGCAAACTGGATATTCATATGCAGAAGAACAACCTGGGTCTCTATCACTCACCATGTACAAAAATAAAATCAAAATGGATTAAAGACTTACATTCAAGATCTCAAACTATAAAACTGCTACAAGAAAACATTGGAGAAAGTTTCTGGGACATTGATTTGGGCAAAAATGTCTTGAGTAATACCCCAGAAGTACAAGCAACCAAGGCAAACATTAACAAGTGGAATCACACCAAGTTAAAAAGCTTCTGCACAGCAAGAGAGACAATCAACAAAGTGAAGAGAGAGTCCACAGAATGGGAGAAAATATTTGGAGTCTACCCATCTATCAAGGGATTAATAACCAGAATATATAGGGAGCTCAAACAACTCTATAGGAAAAAATCTAATAATGTGATTAAAAATGAGCAAAAGACCTGAATAGGCTTTTCTCAAAAGAAGACATACAAATGGTAAACAGGCATATGAAAAAAATGCTCACCATTATTGATTATCACAGAAATGCAAATCAAAACTACAACAAGATATCATCTCACCCCAGTTAAAATGGTTTATAGCCAAAAGATAGGCAATAACTAATACTGGCAAGAACGTGGAGAAAATGAGACCCATGTACACCGTTGGGAATGTAAATTAGTACGACAATGGAGAACCATTTGGAGGTTCCTCAAAAAACTTAAAACGGAGCTACCATATGATCCGGCAATCTTACTGCTGGGTATATACCCCCCAAAAAGGAAATCAGTTTATTGAAGAGATATCTGAATTCCTATGTTTGTTACAGCACTGTTTACATTAGCTGAGATTTGGAAGCAACCTAAGTGTCCATCAAAGGAGGAATGGATAAAGAAAATGTGGTGCATATACACAATGGAGTACTATTCAGCCATAAAAAAGAATGTCATTTCTAACAACATGGATGGAACTGGGGGTCATTATGTTAAGTAAAAGAGGCCAGGCACAGAAAGACAGACATCTCATGTTTTCACTCATCTGTAGGATCTAAATATCAAAACAGTTGAACTCATGGACATAGCGAGTAGAAAGATGGTTACCAGAGGCTAGGAAGGGTAGTGAGGAGCTTGGGTGGAGGTGGAGATAGTTAATGGGTTTAAAAAAGTAGAATGGCAGGGCGCGGTGGCTCACACGTGTAATCCCAGCACTTTGGGAGGCAGAAGCGGGTGGATCAGGAGGTCAGGAGATTGAGAACATCCTGGCTAACACAGTGAAACCCCATCTCTACTAAAATTACAAAAAATTAGCCAGGCGCAGTGGCGGGCGCCTATAGTCCCAGCTATTCGGGAGGCTGAGGCAGGAGAATGGCGCGAACCCAGGAGGCGGAGCTTGCAGTGAGCCAAGATCGCACCACTGCACTCTAGCCTGGGTGATGAGGCAGGCAGATCACGAGGTCAGGAGATTGAGACCATCCTGGCTAACACAGTGAAACCCAATCTCTACTAAAAAAAATACAAAAAATTAGCTGAGCGTGGTGGCGGGCACCTGTAGTCCCAGCTACTCTGGAGGCTGAGGTGGGAGAATGGCGTGAACCCGGGAGGGGGAGCTTGCAGTGAACCGAGATCACGCCACTGCACTCCAGGCTGGGCAACAGAGCGAGACTCCGTCTCAAAAACAAAAACAAAAACAAAAAAAAAAAAAAAAAGAAAACAAAAAAAAAATTAGAATGAATATGAATGAGCACGGCCTACTATTTGATAGCACAATAGGAGTACTATAGTCAATAATAACTCAATCGTATATTTTAAAATAAAGCATGTAATTGGATTGTTTGTAACTCAAAGGATAAATGCTTGAGGGGATTGATACCTCATTCTCCATGAAGTGCTTATTTCACATTGCATGTCTGTATCAAAACATCTTATGTACCCCATAAATATATACATCTACTCTGTGCCCACAGAAATAAAAAAATGAGTCTTCGAATCCAGAAACAGTGTAATTGTCCATATATTTAGGCCTTTGCTTTCTACTGATAGTGTTTGCTGTTTTAAGTAGAAGTAGGTGTTTCACATCCTTCATTACAATTTTCCAATAATACTTTCTATTTTTACTGTAAATGACATTGTTTAATTTTAATCTCCATTTTTCTTGATAGCATAGATAAATATAATTGGTATTTCACATTAACTTTTTATTCTGTGACTTTGTAAAATTCACTTATTTAATCTGGTATTTGATTTCTGAAATCCTTAGTATTTTCTATATATTGAATCCCATTATGTACAAACAGAGCAATTTTGATTCTTTCCTATCTATTGCTTCTAATGTTTTGTTTTTGCCTTATTGAATAGGTTAGAACAGTGTTGAATAAAAGTGGGAGAATAGATATCCTTGGCCTATTCCTAATCTTGGGTAAAAAGCATTCAGCTCTTCATAATTAAGGTTTGTTTAAAAAGATTTTTTTTAATCATGTAAGTTTTTCTCCATTCCTAGTTTGCTAAAAGTTTTTATCATGAGCAGGTGTTAAATTTTGTCAGCTATTTTTCATCTGTTCCCATTGAAATGGTCTTACAGTATTCTCTTTCATATTATTAACACAGTAAATTACACTGACAGGTTTTCATAAGTTTAAACTCAATTAGTTGTGATTTTATTATTCCTTTTACAAATTGCTAAATTTGTTTTGATCGTATATTGTGAAAGATTTTTGTGTTTCTCTTTGTGAAGTTAGTTGTAATTTTTGTGTTATCCTTGTCTGTTTTTCTTTTTTTAAGCATCAGGGTAATATTGGTCTCATAAAATGAGTTGAAAATGTTTTTCTCCCCTATTTCATGAAAGAGTTTGTGTAAGATTGACATTATTTCTTCTTTAAATGTTTGATATAAATAAATAACCAACGAAGACATATGTGTCTGCAATTATTTTCATGAAAGGTTTTTTACTATCAGTTGAATGGAATGTCTTTCAATGAATATTCAGTGCGTATGAATACAAAATATTAGGATATTCAGATTTTCTATTTCACATGTGTCAATCTGGTGTTTTGTAAATTATTTTTGTCTAGTATTAATATAGGTACTTTAACTTTCTTATACGTACTGTTTTCATGGTGTATCATTTTCTGTCTTTTTACCTTTACCTTATTTGTGTCTTTATGTTTAGATTCTTGTAAACATAATACAGTGGAATCTTGCTTTTTATCCAGTCTGCTTTTTAATTATAGTTCTATAGTGTTTAATACATTTACTTTCAATGTAATAATTGATATGGTTACCATTGGCTCTACCATTTTACTGTGTTTTCTCTTTAAAATATCTCTTATTTGTCCTCTTTCCCTTGATTTTTTATTAAGGATTTTTGTTCAATTCTATCTCTTCTTCTTTTTTGCCTTTTTAGTAAGCAAAATTTAAAAAACATTGAATAATTGTCTTAGGAGATTATAATATGCTTCAAAAGCTTACTTTAGTCTACTTTGAATTAGTATGATTCTATTTCAAGTATCATGGAAAAGCCATATAATAATATACTTACTTTTACTCCTTCCCATCATTTGTGTTATTGCTGTCATATATTTTACATCCATATATGTATTAAGCCCTGTAATACATATTATTATTTTCTCTTTAAATAGTCAAATTTTGTTACTTAGAATTTTTTTTATATTTATTAAAATAGTTCTTCAAACATTTTTGTCACATTTCATTCTTGTGAAAACATGAGAAGAAAATGTAAGTAAAATAAATTGGTTGAGGAATCTAATGTAATAACTACATCCCAACTGCCATCTGGTTGACAGTGATCTTAAAGACCATTCTGATTTCAAAGATGTTAAAATGTGAAATAACTGGGTGTGATGCCTTGTACCTGTAATCTCAGCTACTTGGGAGGATTGCTAAAGCTCAGTAGTTCAAGACCACCCTGGGCAAAATGACAAGACATTGTTTCAAAAAGGAAGTAAAATAATATAAACATAAACTCCTGTGTACCCATCATCTTGCTTAAAAAATAGAACAATTCTCAATACTATCAAAGTTCCTATATATTCCTCCCTGATCACATCTCTTTCCTTTCAGTCAAGAGAAAACCACTAGCTAGATTTTGTATATACCATTCTCTTGCATTTTTCTATAATTTTAATAAATATGTACTCAAAAATATAATTGGTGTTGTTCTTGACTTATTTTATGATATGACTATAACGTGTTTGGTGATTTGCTTTTTGTAAATTCAATATTATATGAGAATCATCTACACTAATATCCATTTTTATTATTCATTTTCACATTTGTATAGTATTTCACCATATGCATATGTCTAAATTCATCTATGCTTCTTTTGATGGACATTAAGGAATGTTTATAGTATTTTGTCATTACAGATTATTTTGCTGTAAAGATTGTTGTCTCCTAGAACATATTTGAGAGTTTCTCTATATTATAACCAATGGGTGGGATTGCTAGGCCTAGATGATAAGAGTTGTCAACTCTGATTGCCATCAAAATCTGCTGCATCCTTCTCTCTCCCCTGAATATTTTTGCTTGGTTTATAGCCTTGGCTAAATATCTATGTTCAGGAACCTTTAATAAAAAGAAAGAAAAGGAGAGGAAAATGAAAAGAAAGAGGTAATGGTTCCTTCTAGCCTGAAATCTGGACTTTTTTCAGACATAGTTTTGAGAGACCAAAGCCAGAAAGAGAATAAGACAAAGAAAATCATTGATATTGTCTCTGTTGGGTATAGGTGTGAGGTGGGGCTGCACTTGGAGATTAGAGACTCAGGCTACAGCATAGTTGAAATCACAGAAGCTACTAAGAAATCACTACTAGATTTGGGGACATAAAAATTCAAACAGAAGAGAGCATTTCATTTTTATGAAATTTAAATTGTGTCAAGAAAGCTGAAATCGGCTGTCTTAAAATACTTCCCTGAACCCTAGTCACTATTAGAACTTCCTGCTCGTTTTCCTATTTAACAGGCTTCAAAGGTAACGATCTTCTTGGTCTAAGTTATCATAGCACCAGGGACCTCAGCCTTTCACTCTTTTTTCTTCACGATGACTTCCATATTGTTCCTTTAACAATCTTAGACATGTCCATCTCTCCACTTTGTGTTGCAATGACTGATTTTGTAGTACGATTGGCTTTAAATTTTCTCAAGAAAGATTTTTTTGTACTAGGGCTCTTGAAGAATCTGAACTAGTTGTAGATTGGCTCTTCTCCACTACCTCAGATGTGTTATACTGCTTTGCAGTGGGTCTTTGCAGTGGGTGCTTTTGTAGGGATAGGAGCAGTGTCTGCTGGCCCTGTACTGCAGTACCTTTTTCCTTGTAGTCTTCTCTAGTAGTTCCATGGTGTATTAGTCAGGGTTCTCTAGAGGGACAGAACTAATAGGATATATATATATATATATATATATATATATATATATATATATGAGTTATATAGGACATATATGATATATATATGAGTTATATAGGATTTATATATAGGAGATTATATATAGGAGTATATGTGTGTATATGTATATACATCTATATATACACATATATATGTATGTATATATAGTATGTATATAGTATGCATATGTATGTGTATATATAGTATGTATATATAGTATGTGTATATGTATATATATGTATATAGTATGTATATATGTATATAGTATGTATATATATAAATACATGCTCCTATATAGATACATATATATACTCCTATATGTATATATAAACTCCTAGATATATATATATATATAAACTCCTGTATATATAGGAGTCCTATGTGTGTGTGTGTGTGTGTGTGTGTGTGTATATATATATATATATATATATATATATATGGGTTCAATAAGGAGTGTTAACTTACACAATCACAAGGTCCCACAATTCGTTGTCTGCAAGCTGAGGGGCAAGGAAGCCAGTCCAAGTCCCAAAGCTGAAGAACTTGGAATCCCGTGTTTGAGGGCAGAAAGCAACCAGCATGGGAGAACGATGTAGGCTGGGAGGCTAAGGCAGTCTAGCCTTTTCACATTTTTCTGCCTGCTTTATATTCAGGCCCTGGTGGCAGCTGATTATATGGTGTTCACCCAGATTAAGGGTGGGTCTGCCTTTCCCAGCCTAGTGACTCAAATGTTAATCTTCTTTGGCAACATCCTCACAGACACACCCAGAATCAATATTTTGCCTCCTTCAATTCAATCAAGTTGACACTCAGTATTAACCACCACACATGGCTAGCTAAGGTTGAGTGTGAGAATGATTTTCAAATTGACTTTTCTTCCCCTCTCCTGCAGTGGCTTTAACCCCTCCTATGGGGAAGGGAATTCCTCCTGCTGGGAATTTTTTATTCTTTTTTTCTGTTATGGACTACATTGTCACACTTCCCCATTCCCATGCCAAAGCCTTAACTTCCACTGTGAATTGAATGTATTTGGAGACAAGGATCCGGAGGCCAGTAAGGTTAAATGAGGTCAAAAAATGGAGTCCTAGTCAGATAAAATTGGTGCACATCCATCAAGTAAGGGCCCTGTTAAGATGTCACCAGAAGGTGGGCTTCTGCAAGCCAGGAAGGGAGCTTTCACCAGAAACTGAATCAGCTGGAAACTTGTTTTTGTACTTCTCAGCATCCAGAACTCTGAGAACATAAATTTCTTTTGTTTAAGCAAGTTTGTCTATGGTATTTTGTCATGGCAACACAAGCAGACTAATACAACTCATTTCTTCCAGATTTCAGCATTGAGCTGGGATTCTTTCTGGCTCCCACTCATTTAATTATGTAGTCTTTACTACAACTGTTGCAAGGTTGCAACAGTTGATTCTGTTATTTTTTGTTTGTTTGCAATCGCAGTTATGCTGTGTGATTAAAGAGACAGCTCTGCCAACATGCTGAAAGCATCCATTAAGATATGCTTGCAGCACCTTCCATGACCATACAAAGACCCACTGGGGACATGTTGACAACACATGCAAGGACCATGCTGGGTCGATTTCTTCTGGCATGCTCAGTGACTGGTCCTGCCATGGTTCCTTCTGTCTGTCTTGAGCCTGCTGACTGGGTTGCTGTCTGTAGTACCTGCATTTCCCTGTTGCTACCACCTTTGCTGCTCCTGTTGTTGTACTTCTCTCTTCCTAATGCTGCTGCTGTTGCTCTCCCCTCTTCCCAAGAATGAGGGAATGTAGAGTTTATAATTAGGAGAAACTTTATATGATCAAGTCTAATCTACCATTTGATGCAGAAATCCCTCTAGAGTACTCCTGTCAAACAATAATTTCTGTTTTGCATGAACAGTTTCAGTGCCAGGGAAAGTACTTCTACAGTAAGTACACTTGTACTTTTATATTTTGCATACTTGCACGGATATTTTTGTAGAAAAATGTCTAGAAGTAAGACTGGGTTTAAGACATATGCACACTTCACATTTTGATGGCTACTAACAAATTTTACATGTGTATACATGTGTTACTACTGATTTGCTCTCTCAAAGCATCTGACATCATATTCCCAAGTCAGTACTGAAGCTTATTGCTGCTACACACTTGGTCATCTCCATTTGGTGTGCAGCTAGGATGGCTTGAGTATATCTCTAACCCTTCGCTGTGGCCTCAGAGATAAATCATTTTTTCCCAAATGGGCAAATAGTCTTTCCCATGCTCATGAAATGCAACACAGCTGCAGGTAAAATGTATGACCGGTGCCAACCTACAGGCATAATTGCTACTTCTTATGAACATAAACAGAGTTCCTTACAAAATTAAAGCAAAGATGCCTTGCTAGCTTTAAGGTCATTGTAGGCTTGTGGGTTCTTTTTTTGGTGACCCAGCAATGTCTAGCATGCTTTTTACAGCCTGTAGTTGTTTGGGCCAGCAGCAGGACACTAGATAGTGGAAGGAGAGGCTAGTAAATGCAACATCCACAGTAACCATTTGGACAGGGTTATGTACATCAGTCCCTTTCCCTTTTTGCCAACTTGAATAAAGGTGGTTTCAAACACTTGTGCTTTCTTGAATATATTATTTTTCTCCTTGTATAGTTATTACTACAGGTCCACTGTTAAGGTATTGAACATGTCCACTGAATCATTGCTTTGGGCAATGTAGTTCAGTAACACAGGTTGATTGCTCATGGCTATCTTTTATTAAGACAGTTCTACTTCTGCTTTTTGATGCAATAAACCACAGATTGTAATGGTAGAGAGTGACTTCAAGTGCTTACTTACTGCCCTCATGGGTTGGTTTTTGTGTTCTACTGCTCTGTGTTAACTGCTGCCATCATGTAGTTCACTGTCCTTTCTTCAGCAGACATCCCTTCAGGGTAGGGCCAACATCTGCCTCCGCAGGACACAGGTAGACCCTGCTGGAGATGGGCAAGAATGAGGCATGCATGTGTCTAGTTAGTAGTTTTATGAAGAAATTAAGAAATAACAAGTAGAGCATTCTCTACTTGTTACTCACATATTTACCTTTTTTGCTTTTCTTCATTCTTTTGTGTAGTTTTAAGTTTTATTTGATATCATTTGCCTTCAGACAAACACTATCTTGGGAATTTCTTGTGGTTGAAGTGATTTGGGTTTACTGATGATGAATTCTTTCAGCTCCTATTTATTTGAAAATGTGTTTATTTTGCCTTTATTCCTGATGAATATTTTTTGTAGGATATAGAATTCCAAGTGATATTTTTCAGTACTTAATTTTTTTTACTCTCATCATCTAATTTACATTGTTTCTGATATAAAGTCAGTGATAATATTTACATTTGTTACCCTATATGTAAAGTGTCTTTTCATTTGACTTAAGATTTTTTTCCTTAGCTTTGATTTTCAGCAATTTGACTAGAATAATCTTACATGTGGTTTTATCACTGTTTATTTTGCTTAACATTTGTTGATTTTCTTGGGTCTGAGGGTTGATATGTTTTCATTAAATTTGAAAATTTTTTTAGCAATTATTTCTTCAACTTTTTTTCCTGGACTAGTCTTTTTTCTTCACTTCTGGGTTCCACTTACATGTACGTTAGATCAGTTGTCCCCAACATTTATGGCATGTGGTGGAGGGGGAAATGTGGGGGGATGGTTTCAGACTGAAACTGTTCCACCTCAGATCATCAGGCATTAGATTCTCACAAGGAGCATGCAACCGAGCTCCCTTGCATGTGCAGTTCACAACAGGGTTCGCACTCCTTTGAGAATCTAATGCTGCTGCTGATCTGACAGGAGGCAGAACACAGGCAGTAACACTCGCTTGCTGTGTTAGACTACACATTATCACAAAGATTACAGAACCTGTGCTGTTTCCATTATTGCTTGTCTGTTTAATTCTATTTTTTCTCTGTGTGCTTTAGTTTGGTTATTTTCCATACCAATTCAAGTTCATTGCTTTTCATCAGTCTGCTGTTAAACTCATTCAATAAATATCAGATATTGTATTTTTTACTTTAGAATTTCTTTCAGTTCTCTTTTATAGTTTTTTACCTGTTAAATCCCCCGCATCTGTTTACTGATAATATTTGCCTATTCTTTTAGAGTCTTAAATATATTTATGATACAATTTTTATTGTCATTTTCTCCTAAGTCCCAAATCTGTGTCTTCTCTTGATCTGTTTCTGGTTAGTATTTTGTCCTGCTGGTTATGAGTCACATTTTTCTATTTTTTTGCAACATTTTAAAATGTATACTGGATATTATGGATGCTACAAAGTCTACATTTTCTTGTTTTCCTTTAAAGGATATTGAATCTTGTTCTGGAGGGCAGTTAATTTTGTTTGTAGGCTTTGTGGCCTTTCTGGGATGTTAACTAAATGCCTGGGATTTTCAGCATTTTTGGCTGATTCTATTTCTGACATGCTGTAGCACTATATTCCCTCCAGAATCTTACTTCAGCTCACAGTCTCCATTAGCTGTTTGCTGCTAAGCCTCATGGAGGTTTGTGTGGCTTAATATTTGGTCAAACGCTCAAGGTAATTCCTATACAAATTTCTATCATTCTTTTACTGGTTAGCTCTTTCCTCTCTAGTACCCTAACATGTAACTTTCAACGATCTCAGCATCCCCGTATTCTGATGTCAGTTTCCTCTGCCTAGTGATAGTCTGTTCTGTTTTTTCCCTGCTTCCCTGTGCTGCTGCTTGGAAAGTGCCCCAAAGCCGATGTGAATGTAACACTCACTGTATGGTTCTTTTCTCTCAAGGATCGCAGCCCTGCACTGGTTGTGGTTCCATGCCTGAAGACAGTTGTTATAAATATGTTGTTATAATCATGTCATATTATCAAACCTGATTTTGAATCCAAACCACAATTTTTTGGTATTGTGACTCTGGAGAAGCTTCTGAAATTCTTGGTGTCTTGGTTTTCTTATCTCTTAGAAGAAAATAGTTCCCAATTAACTATAATGTAAAATGTAACATAGGCCTGCCACTGTAGTTCATTAACAAGTGTTATTTTCATGTCCTTTACCATCTCTATTTTACTTTCATCTTGGCAGAAGAGCACAGTACTTGCTCCAAATAACTAACCCTTTCAGTTTTCTCTGCATTTTTAAGGACAAGGTATGAAGAAAATAACGAGGCTCCTTGGGGAAGAGCACTCTTGAGAAGAACTATTTGTTCTGAGTCCTGAAGTGCTTGAAATCCCATGAACACGTCACCATGCACACTAATGCTGAGGTGTTCTTACCACTCATAATCTTCCTCTATGTGTATAGAGAGTTATTATCCTCCTGTAGCTTTCAGAATAACTAATAGCATGCTCTAGGCTTAAAGGGAGATTTTTGCCCAAATGTGGTTCTATGTGTAAGTCTTTAAAAGAGGTAAAAAATTGTTCAGTGGAGAAATGCAGAGATGGTTTTAAAACTTTAAAAACTCTTATCCAGACTCCATGAGCCTTGACAATTGTTTTATTTTAAGGTATTTTTAAAATTTTAAGAACTGTTCTGAAGAATGAACATATTTAGAAACACTATATATAGGCTACATTAACGCACTATAGAAATACTTTATGAAGGATTTATGGTATATTTTTAAGTGATGTACAGTTACAATATAGCAACAACTATTGCGATACATTTACTTTAATTTGCCCCATTGATTATAAATAGCTCGCTGAAAATGTTAAACAGTTTTATTGACATGTGACATTCTTTCTGAACAACAAAAAGAGGATATAGTTCTTGTTTTTGTTAACAATCTCCTATTCTGTAAATACATTGTTCTTGGTGTTCATAAATTGTTATATACTATACATAGTGAGAAAACATCAAGGAAAATTATCAACTTTTTTTTAGAATAGTTGCAGGACTTGCGAAAAAAAATCCAAAGTTTTATTCTCAATAATATAACAACCAGAGTTTGCTTTTCCCGCAGCTCTAATGATCCCCCAAATAGTCTGTGTTGTTTATTCATCTATCCACTCTCCCCCTCCTTACCTATCCATGCCATTATTAGTATTATTTAAATAAGAAATGTTTATTGGGCTACTTCATCCAAGGAAGAAATATGCTAAGGGTCCTCCAGTCTGCGAGAATAGCATATGAACAAGCCTGGAGACAGGACAATATGGCCAGATTAAGAAAGACACTTGCAAGGTCAGCTATATAAAATGTCATATAAAAAGTGGTAAATGCTAAGCCTAGAGATACAGATATGGATGAGGCTTGGGAATACTTTTAAGAAGTGTGTGCTTAATTCTAAAAGCAATATATGGAGATGCTGAAGCTTTTTAAGCACTAAAGGAATTGATGCCATCTGATTTTAAAGTGGCATTGTCTTATTCTGACAATACTGACATCTTCCATCTCCTATACTGATGCAGAGTTAAAAAAATATGGAGATACATCTTCACCCAGTTGAAGTTGAACTTAATAATGTCCATTCTCATGGGGGGAACAAAACTGTAATCTGTTTTATGATTTTAAGCCTTCTACTAAGTCAGAGCAATGATTTAGTTGGTGCCATGTTCTTAGGTTATCGGGCCTCCTGTCAACATGGCAGGGGTTCTTCCTTGATTTCCAGTTACCCTTCTGTTTTCCCTCTTCCAAACCATCAATTTCAGCCTCCTTGAACGGAATTCTTATAGTCTTCTTGTTCCTCATGTTTTTCTAGCTCTTTTCCTTTGGTGTATGGGATGTTTTTCTTTATTCTATATTACTGGCTAGGGCTTTGAGCAAAACTAGATGGTCTCTAAAAAAACTGCAGTGCATAGCACACCACTATTCGGATCTGGATTTCTTATATGTGTCTCATATTTTTGGTTTCTCACACTCTCAAGCTACTCAGAATACTTTCTTATTTTCTTCTGTGGATTCATACCAGTCAAACTAATTTTACTAATCCTGATTTTCTGGAGATTTTTTAAAGCATAGCTATATTGAACATATACTTTTTCAGACTATGGATGGCTCTCTCTCTTCCCACCTTGCTGATTGTGATATTTTCCCAAATGAGTGCTCTACTTTTCTTTTCATATGCATACCCCAGAGACTCATGGCATATGTACTAAAAACAAGTATGATTCTGTTGAATATTTATTTTAGCCAGGTCATGGCCAAATTTATTACAACTTTTTGAATACTAAAATCTGGACTGTTAACACACCAAAACTGCAAAAGCCTATAAGTCCTTAGTCTTTATATAATCTAACCCTGGATTTTTTTTCTTTTGTTGTGGCACATGCTGCTTCAAATGTAAAGTTCACTCAGATATTGAACTGTGAGCTCAGACACAGATTAAAAAAGTTCTTTTAGCAGCAATGATGTTTGACAAAGTTCAAAAGGTTTATTTCATGGGGAATTAAAAACACCTTAAAGCACTCATTAGGTTCTCACAATTTTGTGTCAAAATAAAGTAGCAGATTGCAAACAATGGCACATACTAGTAAGACAGAAAAACTAACAGTTACCAACAAAGGAAGAAGTCGAGTTTACCTAATACAGGCCCAGAAACTATAAAGCACTTGATAAAACAGACTTTAAACCAACAAAGATCAAAAGAGACAAAGAAGGCCATTACATAATGGCAAAGGGATCAATTCAACAAGAAGTGCTAACTATCCTAAATATATATGCACCCAATACAGGAGCACCCAGATTCATAAGGCAAGTCCTTAGAGACCTACAAAAAGACTTAGACTCCCACACAATAATAATGGGAGATTTTAACACCCCACTGTCAACATTAGACAGATCAGTGAGACAGAAAATTAACAAGGATATCCAGGAATTGAACTCAGCTCTGCACCAAGTGGACCTAATGGACATCTACAGAACACTCCACCCCAAATCAACAGAATATACATTGTGCTGAGCACCACATCACACTTACTCCAAAACTGACCACATAGTTGGAAGTAAAGCACTCCTCAGCAAATGTAAAAGAACAGAAATTATAACAAACTGTCTCTCAGATCACAGTGCAATCAAACTAGAGCTCAGGATTAAGAAACTCACTCAAAACCGCTCAACTACATGGAAACTGAACAAACTGCTCCTGAATGACTACTGGGTACATAATGAAATGAAGGCAGAAATAAAGATGTTCTTTGAAACCAACAAGAACAAAGACACAACATACCAGAATCTCTGGGACACATTTAAAGGAGTGTATAGAGGGAAAATTATAGCACTAAATGCCCACAAGAGAAAGCAGGAAAGATCTAAAATTGACACCCTAACATCACAATTAAAAGAACTAGAGAAGCCAGAGCAAACATTCAAAAGCTAGCAGAAGGCAAGAAATAACAAAAATCAGAGCAGAAGGAGATAGAGACACAAAAAAACCTTCAAAAAATCAGTGAATCCAGGAGCTTGTTTTTTGAAAAGATCAACAAAATGGATAGACCACTGGCAAGACTAATAAAGAATAAAAGAGAGAAGAATCAAATAGATGCAATAAAAATGATAAAGGGGATATCACCACCGATCCCACAGAAATACAAACTACCATCAGAGAATACTATGAACACCTGTACACAAATAAACTAGAAAATCTAGAAGAAATGGATAAATTCCTCAACACATACACCCTCCCAAGACTAAACCAGGAAGAAGCTGAATCTCTGAATAGACCAATAACAGACTCTGAAATTGAGGCAATAATTAATAGCTTACCAACCAAAAAAAGTCCAGGACCAGACGGATTCACAGCCGAATTCTACCAGAGGTACAAGGAGGAGCTGGTACCATTCCTTCTGAAACTATTCCAATCAATAGAAAAAGAGGGAATCCTCCCTAACTCCTTTTATGAGGCCAGCATCATCCTGATACCAAAGCCTGGCAGAGACACAACAAAAAAAAGAGAATTTTGGACCAATATCCCTGATGAACATGGATGCAAAAATCCTCAATAAAATACTGGCAAACTGAATCCAGCAGCACATCAAAAAGCTTATCCACCATGATCAAGTGGGCTTCATCACTGGGATGCAAGGCTGGTTCAATATATGCAAATCAATAAACGTAATCCAGCATATAAACAGAACCAAAGACAGAAACCACATGATTATCTCAATAGATGCAGAAAAGGCCTTTGACAAAATTCAACAGCCCTTCATGCTAAAAACTCTCAATAAATTAGGTACTTATGGGATGTCTCAAAATAATAAGAGCTATTTATGACAAACCCATAGCCAATATCATACTGAATGGGCAAAAACTGGAAGCATTCCCTTTGAAAACTGGCATAAGACAGGGATGCCATCTCTCACCACTTCTATTCAACATAGTGTTGAAAGTTCTGGCCAGGGCAATCAGGCAGGAGAAAGAAATAAAGGGTATTCAATCAGGAAAAGAGGAAGTCAAATTGTCCCTGTTTGCAGATGACATGATTGTATATCTAGAAAACCCCATCATCTCAGCCCAAAATCTCCGTAAGCTGATAAGCAACTTCAGCAAAGTCTCAGGATACAAAATCGATGTGCAAAAAGCACAAGCATTCTTATACACCAATAACAGACAAACAGAGAGCCAAATCACGAGTGAACTCCCATTCACAATTGCTTCAAAGAGAATAAAATATCTAGGAATCCAACTTGCAAGGGACATGCAGGACCTTTTCAAGGAGAACTACAAACCACTGCTCAATGAAATAAAAGAGCACACAAACAAATGGAAGAACATTCCATGCTCATAGATAGGAAGAATCAATATCGTGAAAATGGCCATACTGTCCAAAGTAATTTATAGATTCAATGCCATCCCCATCGAGCTACCAATGACTTTCTTCACAGAATTGGAAAAAACTACTTTAAAGTTCTTATGGAACCAAAATAGAGCTCACATTGCCAAGTCAATCCTAAGCCAAAAGAACAAAGCTGGAGGCATCATGCTACCTGACTTCAAACTATACTACAAGGCTACAGTAACCAGAACAGCATGGTACTGGTACCAAAACAGAGATATAGACCAATGGAACAGAACAGAGCCCTCAGAAACAATACCACACATCTACAACTACCTGATCTTTGACAAATATCTGATCTTATGACAAAAACAAGAAATGGGGAAAGGATTCCCTATTTAATAAATGGTGCTGGGAAAACTGGCTAGCCATATGTAGAAAGCTGAAACTGGATCCGTTCCTTACACCTTATACAAAAATTAATTCAAGATGGATTAAAGACTTACATGTTAGACCTAAAACCATAAAAACCCTAGAAGAAAACCTAGGCAATACCATTCAGGACATAGGCATGGTCAAGTGCTTCATGTCTAAAACACCAAAAGCAATGGCAACAAAAGCCAAAATTGACAAATGGGATCTAATTAAACTAAAGAGCTTCTGCACAGCAAAAGAAACTACCATCAGAGTGAACAGGCAACCTACAGAATGGGAGAAAATTTTTGCAATCTACTCACCTGACAAAGGGCTAATATCCAGAATCTACAAAGAACTCAAACAAATTTACAAGAAAAAAACAACCCAACAAGTGGGCAAAGGATATGAACAGACACGTCTCAAAAGAAGACATTTATGCAGCCAACAGACACATGAAAAAATGCTCATCATCACTGACCATCAGAGAAATGCAAATCAAAACCACAGTGAGATACCATCTCACACCAGTTAGAATGGCAATCATTAAAAAGTCAGGAAACAACAGGTGCTGGAGAGGATGTGGAGAAAAAGGAACACTTTTACACTGTTGGTGGGACTGTAAACTAGTTCAACCATTGTGGAAGTCAGTGTGGTGATTCCTCAGGGATCTAGAACTAGAAATACCATTTGACCCAGCCATCCCATTACTGGGTATATACCCAAAGGGTTATAAATCATGCTGCTATAAAGACACATGCACACGTATGTTTATAGCGGCACTATTCACAATAGCAAAGACTTGGAACCAACCCAAATGTCCATCAATGATAGACTGGATTAAGAAAATGTGGCACATATACACCATGGAATACTATGCAGACATAAAAAAGGATGAATTCATGTCCTTTGTAGGGACATGGATGAAGCTGGAAACCATCATTCTCAGCAAACTATCCCAAGGACAAAAAACCAAACACCACATGTTCTCACTCATAGGTGGGAATTGAACAATAACACATGAACACAGGAAGGGGAACATCACACACTGGGGCCTGTTGTGGGGTGGGGGAGTGGGGAGGGATAGCATTAGGAGATATGCCTAGTGTAAATGACGAGTTAATGGGTGCAGCACACCAACATGGCACATGTATACATATGTAACAAACCTGCACGTTGTGCACATGTACCCTAGAACTTAAAGTATAATAATAAAAAAACAAACTTATGCAAAGAAAAAAATACATATATAAAGCAAAACTCTTATGAAATTTAATCATACATATTAATCATGAGAAATGGTTATATTTTGAGTTACATACTCTGTTGAAATTGTAGGAATGTTGGTGCACTTTAAAATGATTTCTACCATAAGTGGCTAGAATATAAATATATAGTACTTAAAGTATTAGAAATAATGGAATGGAAAATGCATTTGTTTTTAGGACTTGGTGTCTTGAATGGCAGCAGTCTGCTAAGCTCAATGCTCTGTTTCTCATGTTTCGAATGTGGTGAATAAGTCACAAGTTAGTGGGATGATAATAGCCATAGACTTATAGTCAATAGACTTGGGTATTCTGATTCAGTTCCTTGTCAGTTGAGAGGTTTCTGTCAAGATATTTATCCAGATCCTCAATTACCTCATTGGTAAAATGAGAGTAATAAAAATCCCTTTGCAGTATTGCTCTGATGATTAAACATTTTAGAGTGCCAAGTGTAATACCTGATATATGGCTGCAGAATAAATAATTATCATTAAAAGTGATAAAAATTATAGAAGGTTATAATTATTCTTCAGATAGTTTCACCCATCAGTAGACTCATTGCACAGATATTAAAACAAGTTTTGTATAAATACCCAAAGATGTCTCCTGAGTATTGAGTATCAGTTTCTCTACATGTGTAATGATGCCAAATATTACATATTAGAGGCTTTCTCATGTAAAAGGAGTTTGTGCATTCTGTAAATAAAAACGATAAGGTCTGGGAATAATAAGAGCCTTGCCTGAGATCATGCCGGTGATAGCATGTTTATATCTCCAGCATAGAATGCTTACTAAGCCTCCAGCCCTTGGAATTTCCTTTTGGCATCTTAAGTATCTTGCTGAGCATTTCCAAGTTGTATTCTTCCATCACTGAAATTAGAACAGAGATGGTTCTCTAATTTGTATGAGTGTGGCTTAGAGGGGTTGATGGGGCAGTTGATGGGGATATACAAGGAAAATAATTTGTCACCGCATTTAAAAACCAGTCATATGATTTACTTAGATTAGGTGTGAAGTTAGTTTTTCAGTAGGTAGAATGTGGATCGGTGCTAAACTCTACCCCAAGCTACCCTAAACAATGCTACTTAATTTAGCCATTGTTTTTGTCAAAATCAATCATCTCAAGTCCTCCTCATTCCTTTCAGTAACTTGTCACACTTTCACATTGACTTGAAATTTGAGCTATTATTTCTTCATTCATTTTCTAACTGTCTACATCCATTTAACTTTACGTTTGTTGATGCTGCTTTGAAAACATCTCTCATGTCTATTTCTCTTTTCATTCTTACCAATATGGCTTTACTCCAGCTGCTATGTGTTTGCCAATTAGACTGATGCCAAAATATTTCAATTGGTGCCTTGTCCCACATTTCTCTCCTTTCTCATCAAGTCATAAACTGTAGACTAAATCATGTGAAAACACCACTTTCCATTTATCACCACCTTATTTAGAGCCCTTCACTGGAACTTCCAGATCTGTGAAATGAAACACAGATTCTCTGGCCCAGTATGCATCCATTTATCCGTTTGTCTGATTTCTTTTGATCTTTTGTTTATTGTTATTTTCTAATATCTTAAGGTAAAGACCAAGTTCCCCCATTTTTTTACACAAATAAAAGATGTTTCTAAGAGTGCCTGTTGTGCTTGTGAATAAGAACATTGTTATTTGAGTGAAAGAATATTTTTATTCAAATATGTTTATTCAAATAACATTGTTATTTGAGCCAGAGAGTATTTTCACCACACTGTGGTTATAGAAAATGCTATGTGAAGACATATGTATAAAACATGATTCTAAGATTGCTAGTTTTTCATTGCTTCAGGGTAGAATTATCTTTTTATTATTGTGGTAAAAAAATCCTCTAATATGAGATTTACACTTTTAACAAATTTTAAGTGCACAGTACAGTATTTTAACTATGAACACAATGTTGTACAGAAGATCTCTACAACTTTGCATCTTGCATGACTGACACTTTTCGTCCATTGAACAGCAGCTCCCCATTTCCTCCTTCCCTAAGGCCCACCATTCTACTTTCTCTTTCTAAGGGTTTGAGTACTTTAGATACCTCAGATAAGTGGAATCATGCAGTATTTGTCCTTCAGTGACTGGAGTATTTCACTTAACATATTTTCAAGTTTCATCCATGTTGTAGCATATGAAAATACTTCCTTCATTTTTTTGTCTGAGTAATACCCCATTGTATGTTTTGTAGTTTTCTAATCCATTCATTGATTGATAGATATGTATGTATTTTAAAATCTCTTGGCTTTCTGAGTAATGTTTCAAAGAGCATGGGAGTGAAAACATCTCAAGATTCTGATTTCAGTTCTTTTGAGTAAATACCTAAAAGCAGGATTGCTACATCATGTGGCAGTTCTTTTTTTAACTTTTTGAGGGACCTCCATACTGTTTTCCACAGCAATTATAGCATTTTACAACCCCACTAACAGTGCATGAAGGTTCCAGTTTCTCACAGTCTTACCAATGCTTGATCTTTTCTGTTTTTTTTTTATTATTAAATTTTTAATTTTGGGGGTAATGAACATCCTAACAGGTGTGAGTTGTTCCCTCATTATGATACTGATTTGCAATTTAGTAATGATTAGTGATGTTGAGCATCTTTTCATATACCTGTTGTTATTTGTATGTCTTCTTTGGAAAAATGTCTACTCAGATCTTTTACCCACCCCCCTTTTTTTTTTTTTTTTTTTTTTTTTTTTGGAGACAGATTCACACTCCATCACCCAGGCTGGAGCACGGTGGCACCATCTCAGCTCACTGCAGCCTCCATCTCCTGGGTTCAAGTGACTCTGGTGTCTCAGCCTCATGAGTAGCTGGGATTACAGGTGCCCGCCACCACACTCAGCTAATTTTTGTATTTTTAATAGAGACAGGGTTTTGCCATGTTAACCATGTTGGTCTCGAACTCCTGACCTCAAATGATTTGCCCGACTCAGCCTCCCAAAATGCTGGGATTACACGCATGAGCCACTGTGCCTGGCCTACTCAGATCTTTTTCCACCTTTTAATTGGGTTATTGGTTGGTTTGTTTATTTATTTATTATTTTGATTTGTAGGATCAAATAGGATTATTTTGATTTGTAGATATTTTGGTTACCAACTTCTTATCAGATATATGAGTAGTAAATGTTTTCTCCAATTTGTAGGTTGAATTTTCACTCTGTTAATTATTTCTTTTGCTGTGCATAGGCTATTTAGTTTGGTGTAATCTCCCTTCACTTTGCTTTTGTTGCATTGTGTTTTTCATGTCATAGCCAAAAAAATCATTACCAAGACCAATGTTCAAAGCTTTCCTTCTAAGTTTCCTTTCAGGAGATTTATAACTTTAGGTCTTACATTTAACTTTTTAATCCATTTTGAGTTAATTTGTGGGTAAGGTATAGTAAAAGGTTCTAATTTTATTCTTTTTCGTATGGATATCCAGTTGTCCAAACACCATTAGCTGAACAGGTTTACCTTTCTCCATTTGTGATCTTGGCACTCTTGTTGAAGATTACTTTACTGTATCTGCATGGGTTTACTTCTGAACTCTCTATTCTGTTCCTTGGTCCATGTACCTGTCTTTATGCCGGTACCATACTGTTTTGATTTATGTGGATTTGTAAAATATTTTGAAATCAGAAATTGTGAGGACTCCAGGTTTGTTCTTTCTCAAGATTGTTTTTGTTTTTTCGGATCCTTTGTAGTTCTATATGAATTTTAAGAGTTTTTCTTTTCTTCAAAAACCTACCATTGAGATTAAGATAGAAATTATGTTTTAATCTGTAGAACACCTTGGATAGTATGAACATTTTAATAGTAAGCCTTCCAGTTCATGAAAATGGGATGTCTTCCCATTTGCTTGTGTCTTCTTTAGATTTTTTTTTCTTTTAGCAATATTTTATGGCTTTATTATGTACAAATTCTTTGCCTCCTTGGTTAGGTTTATTTCAAAGTATTTTGTTATTTTTATGCTATTATAAATAAGATTATTTTGTTAATGTACTTGTTAGTTTTTTTGTTATTACTATATGGGAAAACAACTTGTTTTTGTATACTGACATTATATCTTGCAACTTTGCTAAATTTGTTTATAATTTGTAACTGTTTTGTGTAATCCTTATAGTCTTCTACCTATAAGATCATTTCATCTGTGAATAGTAATAATTATACATCTTCTTTTTCTATTTGTGTGTATTTTATTTCTTTTTCTTACCTAATTTCTCTGGCTAATACTTACTGTACTATGTTAAATAAGGTGGTGAGATTGGACATCTTCATCTTGTGCCTTATCTTGGAGGAATATTTCATGATTGAGTAGGAAGTTTGTTGTGAGCTTTTATATATTTCCTTTATTATGTTGAGATAATTTCCTTTCATTTCTTGTTTTGTGAGTGTTTTCATCATAAAAGAGTGTTGAATTTTATCAAATGCTTTTTCGACTTCTATCAAAATGATCATGTGATTTTTGTGCTTTCATTTGTTAGTATGGTATATCACATTGATTGGTTTTTATATCTTAAACCCTTCTGGCATATCAGGAATAAATTCCACTTTGTCATAATGTATAATCCTTTTAATGTGGTGTTAAAATTTGATTTGCTAGTATTTTGCTGAGCATTTGTACGTTTATATTTATCAGGAATATTGGTGTTCATTTTTTTGTAGTGTCTCTTTCCCTGGCCTTGGTATCAAGATAATGTTGACCTCATAATGTTAGTTAGAAAGTGTTCTTCATTCTTAATTTCTTTGGGAGAATTTGAGGAGGACTCGTGTTAATTCTTTAAATGTTTGGTAAAATTTACCAGTGAAGCCATCTGATCCAGGGGTTTTCTCTATTGGAAGGTTTTTGATTACTGATTTGACCTTCTTAGTAGATATAGGACTGTTCAGATTTTCTATTTCTTCATGGCTCTGTCTTGGTTAAGTTGTATGTTCCTAGGAATTTATTCATTTCTTCTAGGGTATCCAATTTGTTGGCATCTGATTATTTAGTCTCTATGACATCATCCTTTTAATTTCTGTGGCATCAGTTGTACTATCTCTTCTTTCATTTGAATTTCATTTATTTGAGACTTCTCTCTTCTTTTCTTAGCTGACCAGCCTAAAGGCTTGTCAATTTTGTTGATCTCTTCAAAATACCAACTCTTAGTTTTATTGATTTGTTCTGTTTTTCTATTCTGTATTTTATTTTTTCTGCTTTATTCTTTTTTTCTTCGTTATACTAAATGTGAACTAATTTATTATTTTTTTTTCTAGTTCCTTGAGGTACTAGGTTAAATTTTCATATGAAATCTTTCTTCTTTTTTATGTGTAGGGATTTCTCTCTATGAACTTTCCTCTTACTATTACTTTTGCTGTATCCCTAAAATTTGGTATGTTGTGTTTTCATTTCCATTTGTTTTAAGATATTTTCCAATATCCCTTTTAGTTTCTTCTTTGACTCATTGGTTAAGAATGCATTGTTTGCTTTATTTATAATTATACATTTTCCAGTTTTCCCCCTGCCATTAATTCTAAGTTTCATTCTACTGTGGTTGGAAAATGTACTCAGTATGACTTCAGTCTTATTAAATCTTCTGGCTTATTTTGTGACCTAACATGTGATCTATCTTGGAGGATGTTTTGTGTGCTTAAGATGAGTGTGTATTATGCTGGTCTTGGGTGAAATGTTCTGTGTATATTTGTTAGGTCCATTTGGTCTATAGCAGGGGTGTTCAGTATTTTGGCTTGAAGAACCAAAATTGGAAGAAGAATTTTCTTGGGCCACACATAAAATAAGCTAACACTAATGATAGCTGATGAGCTAAAAAAAAATAGCAAAAAAATGCTCATAATACTTTAAGAACGTTTATGAATTTGTGTCGGGCCACATTCAAAGCGGTCCTGAGTTGCATACGGCCCACTGGCCATGGTTGAATGGGCTTGGTCTATAGTGTTGTTCGGGTACTGTATTTTCTTATTGATTTCCTGTCTGGATGTTCTATTACTGAAAGTATTGGAATTCTCTGCTATTATTGTGTTGCTATTTCTCCCTTCAGTTCTCTTGATATTTGCTTTATATATTTGGGTGCTCTGCTTTTGGGTGTGTATCTATTTATAATTGTATGTCTTTCTGGTGAATTGACCCTTTTCAAATTATATATATTTTTTAAATTTCTTGACAGTTTTTGACTTAAAGTCTATATTATCTGATATATTCATGGCCACCACTAATCTCTTTTTGGTTACCATCTGTATAGAATATATTTTTCCGTTGTTTTATGTTTAGCCTATTGTATCATTAGAGCCAAACTGACTTTCTCTAGATTGGATCATTTTCTTGATACATCTATCAATTGCTGACTTTTGAATGGGAAGTTTAATTTATTTAAATTTAAAGTAATTACTGATAAGGAGAGACCTCTGTCGTTTTGTCATTTATTTTGTATAAGCATTAAAAGTTTTTTTGTTTCTCTTTTTCTCTTGTGCTATTTTTCTTTGTGTTTTGCTATTTTATTTTGCAATCACAAGAGTGATTTCTTTCTCATTATTTTGATTTACATCTTCTATAAAAATTTTCTTCATAGTTATCATGGGGCTTACATAAATGCCTTATAGTTATAACAATTTATTTTAAGTTAATAAAAAATTGGCCGGGTGCGGTGGTTCACGCCTGTAATGACAGCACTTTGGGAGGCCGAGGCAGGCGGATCACGAGGTCAGGAGATCGAGACCATCCCGGCTAACATGGTGGAACCCTGTCTCTACTAAAAATACAACAAAAATTAGCCGGGCGTGGTGGCGGGCGCCTGTAGTCCAAGCTACTGGGGAGGCTGAGGCAGGAGAATGGCGTGAACCTGGGAGGCGGAGCTTGCAGTGAGCCCAGATCGCACAACTGCACTCCAGCCTGGGCGACAGAGCAAGATTCTGTCTTAAAAAAAAAAAAAAAAAAAAGTTTAATTGCATACGAGTAACTGACACTTTTACTTTTCTCTCACACATACTTTGTTACTGATGTTACAGTTTCTCAAAAATTTTTGTATTCATAATATGTTTTATAGTTACAGTTATTTTTATACTTTTATCCTTTAACTTCTATGTCTGAATTAAAAGTAATTTATGCTGTTACAGTTTATATTTTTCTTTATAGTTACCTGTACCAGTGAGTTTTATATATTCATATGGTTTTGTGTTGCTGTTTAGCATCCTTTCTTTCAACTTAAAGGACACCCTTTAACATTTCTAAGGCCAAGGTTGTGGTGATGAACCCCCAGCCTTTTTTTTTATTTGAGAAAGTTCATATTTATATTTCATTTTTGAATGATAGGTTAGTCAGATACAGTATTTTTGTTGTCAAGTTTTTTTTTTCTTTCAGCACTTTAAATATATTTTCCCATCCCCTTTCGCTTGCAAAAATTCTGTTGAGAAATCTATTAATAGTCTCATAGTCATTCCCTTGTATTTGGTATACGACTTTTCTTGCTGATTTCAAAATTCTCTCCTTTGACTTCTAATAATTTGATTATAATGTGACTTTTGACAATTACAATGTGTCAATGTGGATTTTGTTGTTTTCCTGATAGTTGGAGTCCATTGGACTTCTTGTATCTGAATGTACATTTTTCTTTCCTAGATTTGGGAAATTTTCAGCCATTACTTTTTAAATAAGCTTTTTACCCCTTTCTCTCCCTTCTTCTTTTTTTGGAACTCTCATATGCATACATTTGTCTGCCCGATGGAATCTCATACAATCTTTAGACTTCCTTCACTCATTTTCATTATTTTCTTCTTTATGTTACTCTGAATATAAACTTCAAATGATCTGTCTTCAAGTTCACTGATTCTTTCATCTTCTTGATTAAATGTGCTATAAAAGCACACTAATACATTTTTAAGTTTAGTTATTGTGCATTCTTTATCTCCAGAACTTCTGTTTGGTTCTTTTTAAAAATTGTCTTTTTTTTTGTTGAAATTCTTATTTTGTTCACGCAAAATTTTCTTCAGTTTATAGAGTATTTTTTATCATGATTATTTTGAATTATTTTTGAGTTTGTTTCTATACGTCCATTTCTTTAGGGCCAGTTACTGGATGTTTACTTTGATCCTTGATCCTTGTATTGGGCCATGTTTCCTATTTTTATTTATGTCTCATAACTTTTTGTTCATGCATTTAGAAAAAACCCACCTCTCTTAGTTTTTATGAACTGAGTTTGTAGAGAAGAAGACACTCAGCCTTATGAGAGATTATGAAAGCCTCTATAGTCCTTTTTTAAGGGGGAACCCATCAACTCTGGGCCTCTGCGTTTGATTTCTCAATCCAAGAGGCTTGCTGCTTTCTTTTTCAGGAGCTTATAAACTCTTTCTCTGTCTGGTGTCTACTTGCGGCACTGAAGGTTCTCTAGTTCTATAGCAGAAAATTGCCTTGATCTTCCTTGTTCTCAGCTGCTACTAAGTATCTACACCTTGCCAGCCTTCTGTTAGCTTCCAATTTCGGCAAGATTTATACCAATCCTTTGATCAGTCTTCTGAAAATTCGAATGTCAGATGCATACTCCTCAGCTCTCCCTCCCTCTTGAGGAAGAATCTCAAGTTGTGTGCTAAACTGTGCCCAATACAGGAAGCTTCCACCAACCCGCATTATTCTTTGTTCTCAGTGGCCCCTAAGCATCCAAACTATGCTGCCTTCGTCATTGTTCCACTTTTCTTCATTGCTCCACTTTTCTTTCCCCCAAAAAGAAGTCCTAGGAAGGGTTATCTCTCTGGGCACTGAGCTGTGCCCAGAGGCAGGGGTGGAAGTGGATATGTGAAATTGCTCTTTTTACCAATTTCAAGGCAACAGTTTTCATCTTTGCACCTGCCTGGGGAATTATAACTTCTTAACTGAATTCTGGAATTCTCACAAAGGTGTTTTGGCTGAATATTATTAAATCAGTGTTTCTCTGGGGGGTACCAGAGCTAGAACTTCCTATTCTGCCATCTTACTGGTGTTGCTCACCTTTAATTTGTAGCCGCCTTCTTTAATGGGTAGGGTATTTAAGACTTCACGTTTTCTTCTTATCAGTGCTTTCACTTTGACCCCTTAGATTTGTGATAGGTATTCTCAGCTTCCTTAATTTCTAAATACTAATTTTACTGAAAATTTTTCTTTTATTAAGATGTATCTGAGATCTATATCATAATTTTTAAATATTCACCTAAATTTGATCATTAATTATTTTAAATTACTTTTCAATGGAATTAAGATCAGAGAACATAGCCTATAAAATCTCAACTATTAAAATGTATGAAGGTTTTTTGCGACCAGATATGTGATTATTTTTTGTAAGCACTTCATAAATATAGGAAAAATCCATAGTCTCTATCCAAGGAATTTAAAGGTATTTCTATATGTCTATGATACCAAATGTACTGACTGTATTATGAATTTCCTTTGTCCCTTATTTTTTCTACTAATTTGTCCAATTATTAGAAATACATATTTTAAAAATTGTACTATGATTTAAGTTTTCACCAAATTGTCTTTGTAAATCTATTAGTTTTTATTTTTGTATTTAGATATTGGTTGTTGTATATGGGTTTATAACTTGGCATATCTTCCTCGTCACTTGTACTTTATCTGATTTTTTATACTCCCTTTATATTTTACTTAGTATTTTAACAAAAATTCTACCATTTTTGATGAGAACATTGTAATCCTGATTTTTTTCTCTTCCTCCACCCCCCGCTTTTTAAAAGAAATTTCATTTGCCTGTCTCCCTACTTTCAACCTTTCTATTTCACATTTCTGTTACATGTGTATTTGTTAACAAGGTATGGCTGGGGCTTATATTTTAACTCACCTGTTCACTAGATGGTCTGTTTTATAGAAAAAGTCAGTCCTTTCATATGTATTGTATAGATTGATATAATTTATTTCACTGTGTAGTTTAATTATGTCTTTTACTTTTTAGAAGTGTTTTGTATTTTTTTAATCAACTTATTTCCTTTTGCATTTTTTTAAGTCAAGTTTCTTCCCGGTTTTCTTTTACAGCTGTCTAGCTATTGGTATTTAAATAAAAAAATTTGTTAAAATGAATATTAATAGCAACCTGGAAAGGAAAAAGGATACAAAAAGCAGTGTTAGGAGGTTGTTTATATGTAAGAAATAGTAACCTAAGCCACTTGATTTCAGTAATTGAGAAAGTGCTATATATTTTGCATAGCGGCTTTAGGTCTTATTTAGAATCTAATGACAATTTCCCCCTGTTCCCATATAAGCTGCTTCTAGGATTTCTGCTGAACGAGTCAGTATGTTGTGCACAAAGTGCAGAGTCTGGTATCAGGACCATTCCATGGTCATGAGCCCAGTGAATTCTATAACAATTGAAGTAAACTCCCTCTATGTACTTCCTACCTCAGAAAGTTTGGAGCTCTATCTATAAGGAGCTTTGTCTTTCCTACAACAATTGAGAGTGATGTATCCTATACACCTTTCTGAAATTTGAATGAGAAAATCAGGAAAAAAATATTTAGCAATGTGCATTTACTCAATTATTCTAAAGATTTTTCACCTTTATTACTTTTCTTCCAGCTTCTTCCATTTCCTTTTATTGTGTGGAAACACTCCCAGCTCCATGGAGCATACCGCACTAGAACCAGAACATGGATTTTACTATAAGCCTTGGGCAGCAAAATGAAGTGAAGAGCTGAAAATTTGAAAGTGAATTCACTCTGTATTTGTAGGAAAACAAAACAAGTATGAAAAATTGTGCTTTGAAAATAGATTTTAATGCAGTAGATATCTTTAGCATATTTTGCTGAATAGTATATTTTGATTTCCAAATTTGTTTTATTTACACATTTATGGAATACATTTATGATAGTAAGTATTAAGGGCTTGTCTTGTTCTCCCCAAACCCAGCTATACATCACAGTCTCCTGGCCAGGTTATTTTTAAACACAAATTTTTAGACTGTACTCCAGAGAGTCTCACTTAGTTGATTTATGTGGGGCTCATGAATCTCTATTTTGGAATTTCTTCTTGGATGATTAATCTATAGAAACTCTGAGGAACTGCCAAGCAAAATGCAGAACTCAATTTGCTGAGTTTTGCTTTAAGATTTTTATCATAACATCTTTACACAAAAAATGTTAGACTCTTCCAGATAAGCTGTCCAGATAGTGTGAATAGGTTAAGTCTATGTAAGCAAATAATTGTGCAATCAAGGCATCAATAAAGCCATTGTGAAAGTTATTGGAAGCATTTACAATTAGCTGTCCACACAGAGTTAGCCTAAAGGAGCAATTTCACTATTGAAAGTTAATTAATCATAGAAGATTTAAGACAATGAACTTATTGTTCAGATAATATACTCAAATAAAATATAACACCAAGAATGTAACAAACAAAGAGCTACACACAACAGAAGTACCACCTCATGTTTTACTATGTAATATCACAATCCAGCAAGAACAGAAGCATGTGACTTTGACTCTGATTCATACATGTTATTGCCTCTAGGGCAATACACTGATTCTAGTCTTTCACATGCCAAAATGCTGTGACCTCTTTTAAATGAACTGGTGATAATAGAAATTGTCTACGTGTAAGGCCAGTAAAAACATGGAAATACAGGCTAAGGTAGATTATTGCTTACTTATAAGGGAGCTATTTATTCATTCCGTTTTGATCTCAGATTTGTAGACAAAAAATATATTTTTTTCTGAAAAACCAGTATAGTATTAAGGATTAATGCTTGAAACTGGATTTGAGCCTGCAACTTTATTTTAATATTATAGCAGATATTCAGGCTCATTTGCATTTTGTAGTATACTGACACATTAATGGAATAACCCAAATTGAAATGAGGTGCAATATAAAACATCTTGTCATCCAAATTGTGTCTTTGATTTGGTTTAAGATGTGAATTTGCAACACTCCCTTTATACTCTACCCCAGACCTGTGTCAAGGACAGTTAGAATGTTTAGAAGGGAGAAACACAACAATTAAGTCAGAATAATAATAATTATTATCAAAGAAGGAAAACTAATCAAGCTGTTTGGAGGACTTGTACTGAAAAAATTTTTATTATTGTTCAATACATCCCCACCCCTCTTAACAAGTGAAGTGTTGCACATCCATAAAATGAGCTATCTTAGGGGTCTTGAATACCATTTTTAGTGTTTAATACACAGGGAAGCAACTTCATAACTTATCTTCTTCATCATTCACTTCTATAAAGTGATGATACCCTTAATTCTCTCAGGGTATCTTACAGGTAAATTAATTTAAAAAGAATATTATTAATATACTATATATTGCTCTGCAGCTTTTTTATAGTGCAGTTGCTTCTTTGGAAAATGTGAAGTACCTTGGATGATACATTGATATTTTAATCCACATGAGTTTCATGGAATGTGTTACACATTAAGAAGAAGACATACTAGTCCAACTTTTAAAAATCATGATAAAAGATACAATAAAATGATGCTTATTTATACATATATCTTTGTAGGATTATATAAGTATAAAGAACAATAGGAAAAAAACAGGTATAGTAGACTGTTGCTTATGCTTTGGCTCAGAAACCAATACCCTAAAATACAGCACTTCGATGTGCTGAACTGAAGAAGCCTCAGGTCTCTTTGACCTTACTCCCCACCTCCTGTTTCCCAATCCTCTGTCCCTCCCAAAGCACAAGATGTTGTTCTCTTAAGTTCCCTTATATGCCTGAAGTCTGGATTTGCCAAAGAAAAGAAAAATTACCTCTGGTCCTTTCTCTGAGTTTTCATCATCTGAAGTCATATTGCAGGAGGAAAGACGGGTCTGTTAACATAGTGGAGAGACTTTTTTCACAAACCATTATCTGCTCTGCCGGCCCAACAGACTTTGTCCTGGACAATTGTATGTTTCTCAAGCTCACTGAATTCTTCTAAAAATCATTTACAACCCCCTCCCTGCCCGCCACCAAATCATCCATACTTCTTCATGTCCCTTTCCCTCAAGACGGAGGGTATAAAACCATTTGTATCCTATTTCATGGTCAGGTGTCTCTCTCTGATTCTCCCCTGTGTACGTTAATAAGCTTGTATGACTTTTCTCCCATCAATCTTTTACTAGTTAATTTTGAGCAATAGTTTATGGTGAAAGGAAACTTTTCCCTTGGCCTTTTATACTTAACCTGAGTAGGCAGGGGTGGAGGATGAAATATTGATAGAGGAAAAGAAGAGTGCAAGTTTATTTTCTTCATATACATATATGAAAATATCAAAAACTTAAAAAGTAAGTCAACTCATCTATGGGAAGGAGGTAGAGATTATAGGGAAAATAGTCAACTAATCACAAAGGTACATTGATTCACAACTGGGCCTGCTTTAGAGGGTTAACCATAAATCCCAATTTATCCTGGCACAGCTCTGCAAAATATCCTGAAGACCATGAAATGTAGGTATTGGAGAGAAGCTACAGGAAAAGATATTTTAGCCTTCATGGGTTTTCCCCATATGATGTCTCTCAAGAGTTTCTATATAATATCAATATCCTATTTAATACTAATATATATTTAATATATTTGATAATCTATTTAATATCAATTTTGAATTTCACTTCTTAAAGAATATTTCTTTCTTGTTCTGTACTTAGTAAAATCTAGAAACCAGCTGTTCATTCTCAAATCACATACTATCCCACTCTAACTTTTTAAAAAGTCACTTTTTAATGCTCTGTATTCCATTCTTTTGTCTTTTAAAAACATAAAATTTACCCACGGTCTTCTTTTAGAAGAAGCAATAAATAATGTCTTTACCTCCATCTTAGAGGAATGAAAAAGGTTTTCCAAACTAGCACTCTGTAGTCTCTGACAAAATTCTGACAGCATACATTGTTCTGGGACATTTGAAGAATGCAAATGCCACATTCCCAGGGCATACCCACATAGATTATTTTCTACATTATTGAATATTTTCTTGTTTAGTCATTTTGATATACCTCTTTCTGAAATTCGCATAGTAAAGAAAGACAAATCAGTTTTAATTTTCATAGATTTACATAGCTTTACCATTTTATGGCCAATGCCAACCATTTGGATTTGATGAGATTTATGTTTGATATGGTAATTATTTTAGACTTTCCAGAATAATAATAAACCTTAATTAAGTTATAGAACTGTTATAGAACAATTGTTATATAATTACAATAATAATTGTAGAAAGAAACAACTATAATTACATAATTGGTTATCATAATTTGTATCTCATGGTTAAAAAAAGGCACCTGTTCTAAAAATATTTGACAATTATCAACTAATCCTAATAGCATTATTGAGAAATAGACTGCTTAGTGCCAAGAATTTTGGTCACTTCAGTAAATTCAAAAAAGTTTCTATAAAAACAGTTTACTTAGTAGCATGTACCTTGCCAGCTCCATTGTTGCTTGACTGAGGCTTTGTCTTATAACATTAATGCTGAGGGTATTTGAATACGTACTAATAAGAAAAGTAATTTTTTAAACTCTTTGGTTCACTACTGCATACAGAAGCTACAGCAATGTCCAGCACATAATAGGCACTCGATAAATTGTTTTCAAGGAAATAAAATGAAAATTTAGAAAAAACTGAGAAGCAAATGTGAAAATAAGTTTAGAGTGGGGTTTAAATAAGACAGACTCTGTTGAATCTGCTGTTTTCTGACTTGGGTGATTTAGTGTGTCGGTAAGGCCTTTTGTAAAGTGATCTTTAGATGGCTTGAGATAGTATCTCACCTTCCAAATTAGAGAGTTGGTAACCTTTTCTTTAAATTTGGTAAAATATACATAATACAAAATTTACCATTTTAACCATTTTTAAGTATACAGTTCAGTGGCATTAAGTATATTCACATTGTTCTTCAACCATTACCACTATCCATATCTAGACTTTTATATCACCCTAAATAGAAACTGTGTCCATTAAATGACTCCCCATTCTTCCCTCCTGCCAGCCCTGATATCCACCGTTGTACTTCCAATTTTGAGTACTTCATGAGTAGAGCCATATAATATTTGTTCTTTTGTATCTGGCTTATTTCACTTAGTAAAACACTCTCTTCTAAACCTAGACCGTATGCACATTAGGTAATTTGTACCAACTGAAGAGTAGTTCATCATTTTGATCAGCAGAACTTCTTAGCCATTCTTGGAGCTTTCCATCAGGCCCGAGTTAAGTGGGGACTAGAACTGGAACTTCTTTATTGGAGTTTATGATAAACACCTAATTCCTGCCTGAATTGTAGCACAGTAATGACTCACACCCCGAGGGCAATATTTGAATGTTACTATTACTAGAACAAGACATTCTAGATTTGTTTGTCATGTCAAGAAATTGTTTACTATGTTTAAGGATGGAAAGTTTGTCAGACCTACTGACCTTTTGGAGTATTTCTCAATAAGAAAAAGTTGCTCACATTTCTTGGTAGCATTAATGTAAATTTAATTACTTGGTATGCCGGTGGTATAATTTTTCTTCCCTGCAAAGGTAGGTCAGCGCATTAGAACGGTTAAGAATCTCATTCTAATTGGAGCCACAAAATATCGTTAATTAAATCCCCACAGGAGTCCCTCCGGATTGAACTACATATATTGAACTCATAGAAGATTAAATAGTGTAATCCTTTTACTTCTCTAAAGGAGAATAGCATATTTTCTTTTTCAGTTATGATCTTTAAATGGCACACTTGCATCCTTTCTCTAGCTGACTATAAAATTTGTAAGTTTCTTTCACAGGAAAAATGTCCTTTCAAATGTATATCCCATTAATAATATTAATACTACTAATAGACCATGTAACGCCTTTCACCGGAAACCAAGATGCCTTGTGTTTAGATTCTCATTTTCTGTCTTTCAGTGTGAGAAAATCATAACCAGGTTATCTGTATATCTTTCAAGTCCCTTTACAATGAATGCTTGTATAGACTATTGTAAAAGGATTTCAGGGTCCCATCAGAGAAATTAACTGGTCCATTCCTGTTTCTTCTGGCAAAATTGTACTCGTAATGCAGTATACCCAATTTCCCAAGTGTACTTTGAAACATTTTTACTCTAGGTAAATTCAAAGTATAATTTTACCTTTCTTTATAGCTCCATTTGCCCTCTGGTGATCCATATGAAGTCAGGCAATTCTACATAGTTCTTTTAAAGTTTATGGGGTTTTCCCAGGAAAGAGTTAGATGTGACTATAACCGTTGACTGTTGAATTTTTTTTTACTGTAAATTGTAAGACAATGTCTTCTCTAGAATTCCCTACTATTGCTGCCCACCTATCCAAACCTGCTTGGTATGACTAATAAAGCTGTTGAAGACTTTTTCAGAACTAGTCGCACTTTTCCCTATGGGTTCTGACCTGAGTAGTAAATATCGGCCTTTTTGGTTAGAGGAGAGGGAAGTGCTTGAAAATTTGTATTAGAGAAAATGGCTTCAATTTCTGATAAGACTTGTCTTTCTATTTTTTTCCATCTCTCAGTCATCCGATTGCTGAGCAGAGAAAGCCTGTTCCCAATCTCTGAAGTCCACCTATTTCTTCTTCACGGTCAGAAAGCAGAACATAGGTATTGAGCACCCTAGATAGGTTGAGAATAAGAAAAGAACAGCCCCTTCGGAATACTCGAAGCATTAATTCTGACCCGAAGAGAAATACAGGACAGGGGATGCCAAACTTGCTCCTGCTCACCAATCAGATAAAGGATTAGATGAGAATTAGTTATAAGGAGGGTTAGCTAAAAATGGTATTCCCCAATACCTCCTAGAAGGTAGCACTTGCTATTTTATGTGCCTACTATAATTCAGGAAGAGGGAAATGATGGTGACCCTTAAAGAGAGGCCACCAATAAACTTGTTTTGGTTGCTTCTCTTTCTAATATTGTATTGCTTCTCCTCCTACAACACCTTATACTAACTTATGTTATGAAATATCTCTAGGGTACATGCATTTTCCTATGCCTAGAATGTGTCTTCTTTCTTTGCCTGCTAAGCTATTTATTACTTATCTCTTAGGAGCCACTTCAAGCATCAGTTCCATCAATAAGAGTTTTTTGACTCCATCAGATTACCTCACTAGACTCACTAAACTGTGCTGAAATTATTTTTTTTAATGTGTCTGTCTCCTTACCAGGGTGTAAAAACATAGGAAATATCTGGCATATAATGTGTTTGTGAGTGAATGAATGAATGAATGAATGAATGAATGAATGCAGAGTTGGAAACCAAAAGACAGGAGTTCTGATACTAGTTTTGTCACTAACTTTGTTATATCCATTATTTCATTTAATGAATGATGAATAACAAAACCATTCTATAACTTCAAATTCCATGCCTTAGATAAAGTAATTTATTTAATCTGATTAACACATAGTCATTGGATGCCTATTTTGTGTGCATTGTGCCTGAAGTTGGGTAAAGAGTAGTTAAGGAGGCAAGCACGGTCCCTACCCATAGAAGCTTATGTATTAGCAATAAAGAATTCTTCTCTGTTTGTCTGTTATTGGTGTATAAGAACGCTTGTGATTTTTGCACATTGATTTTGTATCCTGAGACTTTGCTGAAGTTGCTTATCAGCTTAAGGAGATTTTGGCCTGAGACGATGGGGTTTTCTAGATATATAATCATGTCGTCCACGCTCATGGGTAGGAAGAATCAATATCATGAAAATGGCCATACTGCCCAAGGTAATTTATAGATTCAATGCCATCCCCATCAAACTACCAATGACTTTCTTCACAGAATTGGAAAAAACTACTTTAAAGTTCATATGGAACCAAAAAAGAGCCTGCATTGCCAAGTCAATCCTAAGCCAAAAGAACAAAGCTCGAGGCATCATGCTACCTGACTTCAAACTATACTACAAGGCTACAGTAACCAAAACAGCATGGTACTGGTACCAAAACAGAGATATAGACCAATGGAACAGAACAGAGCCCACAGAAATAATGCCACACATCTACAACTATCTGATCTTTGACAAACCTGACAAAAACAAGCAATGGGGAAAGGATTCCCTATTTAATAAATGGTGCTGGGAAAACTGGCTAGCCATATGTAGAAAGCTGAAACTGGATCCCTTCCTTACATCTTATGTAAAAATTAATTCAAGATGGATTGAAGACTTACATGTTAGACCTAAAGCCATAAAAACGCTAGAAGAAAACCTAGGCAATACTATTCGGGACATAGGCATGGGCAAGGACTTCATGTCTAAAACACCAAAAGCAATGGCAACAAAAGCCAAAATTGACAAATGGGATCTAATTAAACTAAAGAGCTTCTGCACAGCAAAAGAAACTACCATCAGAGTGAACAGGCAACCTACAGAATGGGAGAAGATTTTTGCAATCTACTCACCTGACAAAGGGCTAATGTCCAGAATCTACAAAGAACTCAAACAAATTTACAAGAAAAAAAGAAACAACCCCATCAACAAGTGGGCGAAGGATATGAACAGACACTTCTCAAAAGAAGACATTTATGTTTATGCAGCCAACAGACACATGAAAAAATGCTCATCATCACTGGCCATCAGGGAAATGCAAATCAAAACCACAATGAGATACCATCTCACACCAGTTAGAATGGCGATCATTAAAAAGTCAGAAAACAATAGGTGCTGGAGAGGACGTGGAGAAATAGGAACACGTTTACACTGTTGGTGGGACTGTAAACCAGTTCAACCATTGTGGAAGTCAGTGTGGTGATTCCTCAGGGATCTAGAACTAGAAATACCATTTGACCTAGCCATCCCATTACTGGGTATATAACCAAAGGATTATAAATCATGCTGCTATAAAAACACATGCACAAGTATGTTTATTGCGGCACTATTCACAATAGCAAAGACTTGGAACCACGCCAAATGTCCAACAATGATAGACTGGATTAAGAAAATGTGGCACATATACACCATGGAATACTATGCAGCCATAAAAAAGGATGAATTCATGTCCTTTGTAGGGACATGGATGAAGCTGGAAACCATCATTCTCAGCAAACTATTGCAAGGACAAAAAACCAAGCACCGCATGTTCTCACTCATAGGTGGGAACTGAACAATGAGAACACTTGGACACAGGAAGGGGAACATCACACCCCAGGGCCTGTTGTGGGGTGGGGAGAGGGCCAAAGGATAGCATTAGGAGATATACCTGATGTAAATGATGAGTTAATGGGTGCAGCACACCAACATGTCACGTGTATACATATGTAACAAACCTGCACGTTGTGCACATGTACCCTAAAACTTAAAGTATAATAAAAAAAATAAAGAATGCTAAGAAAACAAGGATATTTTATTAGGATATAAATATAATTGTGGTGAGCACTGAACTGAAGGTGGAAGAATGTTGCACATTAACATGTGTTAGAGTCCCAAAGTGGGAGAAACTATGGCCTGACTGTGACACAGTCTGGCAGGAATGTAGATCTTCTAGGAGGTAAGTTATAATAGCTAGAACTTAATGTGTGCTATGTGCTAGGCAGTGATTTAAGTACTTGCAAGTTAACTCATATAATGGTCACAACTATCCCATTGCACAGATGAGAACATAGATGTAAGATGAGGCTGCAGGTAAAAGGAGGTAACAGGTCATGCATAACCTTGTAACCTAAGTTATGAGCTTGAATTTTATCTTTGATAGTGGGAAATCATTGTCGAACTTTTAAGCATTATCAGATTTGTGTTTTAGAAAGATTGGTAACTGCCATGAGGAAAATGCATTAGGCAGGAGAGGGCAAGGCCTTAGTAATCTAGGGGAGATGATGTCAAATTTTGTAGTAGTCATTTTTAATAAAGTACAGAGTACTGGTATGAGAGTAGTAAAAAATCAAAGAGACAATATGGGAGAAATGTCAGGTTAGATGACTCACTGGATATCTGGTTGGAAAAATTAAAGGCAGCATAACAACTAATGGGATAACTTCAGGAGACAAATGCCCTTATTCACTAGGGAGTACTTTCAATAGGAAATATGGATGATGAGAAGGTTTGAGTGGGGGATGCATAGGTTTTAGACATGTTGAAATTGAGGTATCAGCGCATAACAAGCGCAGTTATACAAATCAGTGCATAATAAGTGGGAATTACACAAATCCAATTTGTATTTCTTTTCATAGGCCTAGAAATACAGGTGAAGAGAGACAGTATTGTGAATACCGGGGAAGGAGTACTATGGCAGCTTATAGAATCTCTGATGGTTGGTGGTCGTGGAAGGCTTTCCAGAGAGCATGGTCATGAGTGATTTACAGAACATCTCTTAGCAGTAATTTTGCAAATCAAAATGAAGCACTTAAACTTTAACCTTCTCACAAGTTTTATGATACCACAATAGGCATTCTTCAAGAATGTAGTAAATATTGACATCTGTTGGTCAGTGAAAATGACCTTGAAATTTTACAGTAACCTTGATGCCTTCTAAAATATACAAAAAAATCAATACATGTTTAGCATAGTTTAACATAATTAAATGTATTTCAATATTATAGAGACTGAAATCTAATTTCTGGCAAATATTAGAACTGTTCATCAAAATGTGTAATAGGAATTATGATAGCTAATGTTTATTGAGCACTCACTATGTGCCAACTAGTTACATAAGTTCTGTACATGCATTAACTCATGTAATACTTATAATAATCTTCTTTAATGAATGAGAAAGATGAGGCACGTAAAGATTAAGGGTGAAGCGCAAGATATCTCAACAGAACCATGGCAGGTTGGCTATAGGACCTGCACTGCTATTGAGGATCCTGTGGCATGTCCTTGTCCTGTCTTTCCAAATGGAAAGCGATAGCACCCTTAGCTACATTGTGCACTGATAAAATTATATTAATAGTAAAATGTGAAGGTATTAATTTTTAAATGTGAGATTATTCAACCAAAAAATTGGGATATTTTTCAATCTTCATTCAGCACTTCTAAAATAACTGCACAATTCTAAGGATTTTGTGTTCTGTTGTGTTAGAGTCTGAAAGCTGAGCTTTTGGCATCTTTGATCATAGCTAGGATAACATATACCAGGAAAGCTAAAGCAAATGTAAAGAAAATTAAAACCCAATACTTATTTTTCTTCTCAGTTCAAAGGTTTTATCAGCAAATCAGATTATTTTAGTGTGCAATCATGAAGATAAAAAAGAAAGAGACTTCCTGGATGATAAACACCCTAACTGCAACAAACACATCCCTACATATATAGTGTTAGATCGAGCACATTTTTTCTTCCTTGTCTTGTTCCAGAAAGCCACAAGACTATCCAGAGTTATCTCTTTCTAGAATTATGAAATCCAAGGTTACTTATCCACTGTCTTCTTTTATAGCCTTCCAAGTACAGAAGGCAAACACAATATAACCTTCTCCTCTCAGTTAATTTGACATAAGACAACTAGTTTTTCACACATACACACATCCAGTCTTTCACTCGTCTTTCTTATTTTCTTAACTTTCTTGAGGTTACCTTATGAACAAATTATCACTTCCTGCTTTCTTTGTCTTCCATTCTTTGTTGTGAGAATTAAAAAGTTGATGCACATCATGGCATACAAACACAAAAATAATGCTACAAATGGTTACAGCTATACCAAGGAAAAGCAATGCCCTGTGTTTCAAAACGAAATAAGACAATAACCAAAGCTACTAATATCTAAAACCCTTGCCATTTCTTAGCAGTCCCTTACTAGTCCACTCTACTTCCTCATCCTCTTTTAATTAAAACCGTGCCTTTATAAGCAGTAGCACTCAAGAGAAATCAGCTACTATTTTTCTAATTCAAGTTTATATGTTCTTCTGTTTTGTTTCATTACTAGTTGCAAGAGAATTATTTTTCTTCAGCACATGTGCTGAGTTTCAGCTCCATTATGGGCTCAATAAGCTTTTATGTGTTGGCCATGGGACACTCCCCTCCCCTCCTACCACTGCCATTTATAACACTTTTTATGGGAGAAAATGTTGTGAATTCCACGCAATCAATGTTTAAATGAACTACTAGAGCATCACCTGCTCATCAATCGGGAACTGGCTTTAGGAATCTGACTGCTCTGTCCCTGCTGGTCCGGGATCTGTAATGGAAGTTCTGTGTGTTCAGCTGAACTCTCAGCCTCAGTTCAGATAATGCAGTTTCTCTCTCCTCCCTCAGAATATCATACCTAAACCTCTGACCCCAACAGGAGTCTGAAGACCCTTTGCACATGACTTTCACAACAGCAGTGTGGAATTGAATATACAAACTTGACTTCTAGTCTTTTAGTAAATAAATATTTTCCATGACCCACCCAAATTTATCTTCTTACTTCACCAAGATCTCTAGGAACTTGTTTGGCATTTAATAGTCTCTCTCCCTTCCTTCCTTCCTTCCTTCCTTCCTTCCTTCCTTCCCCCCTTCCTTTCTTCCTTCCTTCCCTCCTTCCTTTCTTTTTTCTTTCCTCCTACCTGTATCATCTATGTGTTTGTGTATGCATCATTTATGTGTGTATATATACATATACACATAATATATATACATATACCTTTTTTTAACCACTTTAATTTCAGAATATAGATATTTCTAAATTATCCAATAAGGCTTTTCTTGGAAAGAGCCACAAATGGGTTTTAATTTGATTATTCAATGTATTAGACCATATGCAAGTGTGCTAATAGAAAAAGCCAGGATAAATTCATCCATTTGCATTAATACACGCATTTAAGATATTTTTTCTGGTATAGTGAGCACACTATAGGGAAGCAAGGATGGAAACAACAAAAACTGAAAGAAGGATGTTTAGCAATAATCCACATGGAAGATGTGGGTAGGTTGAATGAGAATGGAAGTGGTCAAAATGATAAGAAGCAGTTGGATTCTAAGTAGATTCTGCAGGCAAGAGTGCAAGGATAAGAAGTGTGAGAGAAGAGAGGAGTCAAGAATGACTCAGAAGTTTTTGTTTGACTAACTGGAAAAATCAAGTTGCTGAAAGTCTTCCTGAAGAATAAGTAGGCTGAGACTGAATACCAAGAATTCACTGTACATATGCTGAGAGAGTACTAAGAGCCTTCCAGGTGCAATATTGAGTCAGAAATGGGGTATACGAATGTTAAAAATTCAGCATCAAATGGCCAAAGTAGCAGACTTTCAAGACAAAGCCTATCTCTGGGAATGAAGAACGTATAGTTTTCTAGAACATATGTAAGTCTCAAAAACAGTGGGAGGTTGCTGAGCAGCGTATCCTAGCAACAGAAAAGAGGGATATTACAAAAATATGTTCCACTGGCATTCACTAAATTATCGAATTAATGAATTAAAGAATAAATAAGTAAATATTTAGATTACATTTATAGTTTTTTCTAGAATTTATGAAATGCAAAAATAATGCCTGCCATACAGTAGGTGCTCAATGACATTTGGTAAATGAACTAAAATGGGAAGGAGGAGAGTCAAATTACTCCTCAATAATAATAATATTTACTAATTACTGATGATATAATATAAGCTAGGCATTCTAGTAAAGCAAGACATTTATACTTAGTCCTCACTGCAGTCTCAAACACCAAATGCAATTAAATTGTTCACATTACTGATGAGGTAACTGACATTTGCAGAGGTTAAATCAGTAGACTAATGTCACACAGAATGGCAAAGTAAAGATTAAGCTGAGATCTGAAGAGCTTGTCAGCCAGTACTTACCTACCACACTTAGGTGCCTCATGAACCTTGGCTGTTTTAATCTTTCTCCAGTGAAAGGCACTATTTTGTGAAGCATTTTCTTTCTTTTTTGAGATGGAGTCTCACTCTATTGCCCAGGCTGGAGTGCAGTGGTGCGATCTTGGCTCACTGTGGTCTCCACCTCCCGGGTTCAAGCGATTCTCCTGCCTCAGCCTCCCAAGTAGCTGGGATTATAGGCACGCACCACCACACCTGGCAAATTTTTGTATTTTTGGTAGAGATTGGATTTCATCATGTTGGCCAGGCTGGTCTTGAACTCCTGACCTCAGGTGATCCATCTGCCTCGGCCTCCCGAAGTGCTGGGATTACAGGCTGAGCCACTGCACCTGGCCAGCATTTTCAATCACAGCGAACACACATGCTTACCCAACTCATCATGCTATTTTTTTTCTCTTGTGACAGCATGGGTTCAATAAATACATGGTGTTATTTTCAGGATACCCTTTCTCCCTGTATTTAACCTATCTCCCGGATTCCCTTTCCAGCATAAACATACAAAATAATTGCTTTATTTTCTTACCCAGTACTATGGAAATGAATTGTCCCCACTCTCCCCTCATTTCACATGTTGAAGCCATAATCTCCAATGTGATGGTATTTAGAGATGGAGACTTTGGGAGATAACTAGTTTAGATAAGGTCGTAAGGCTGGAATGCTCATGCTGGGATTAGTGCCCTTATAAGAAGAAACACCAGAGAGCTTACACACTCTTTCTCTTTCTGTCATGTGAGGACACAGCAAGAAGGTGGCCATCTCTAAGCCAGGAAGAAATCCTTTACCAGAACCCACCCATGCTGGCACCCTGGCTTCTCAGACTTCTAGCCTCCAGAACTGTGAAAAAATGAATTTCTATTATTGAAGCCACCCAGTCTGTGGTATTTTGTTATATCAGTGTAAGCTAATACACCCAGAAAACTATATAGGGGGCTGCCAGTGCTCGTCTAGGTACTTTGCTATGCTGTGGATATAATCCCTCACATAGAGAGCACTTAGAAGTTTTCAAAGCACTTTTCACATCTTTTCCTGGCATATTTAATCATGATAACAAACAACTTTGTGCAGTGTATGTGGAGCACGAATCACAGATGTCTTAGTAGGAAAAGAACTATACTTGTTCTTGTCCTCACCCTTGTTAGTGGTGGGGGTGGATGGGGAATCAAATCCAGCTTTTTCAATTTCAATCCTCTTGCTCCTTCCATGACCACAGGAGCAAGGCATTATTACTTACTATCAGGCAGTGACTTGGAAGACAGATAGCAAGAACAGTGGTTAACAACACAGCCTCTGGAGCCACACACTGGACTTAAATCCTGCCTCTACTACTTTCTACCTTTGTGACATTGGAAAATTGTTAAAGGTGATTATGTGTTTCAGCTTTCTTCTTTAGAAAACGGGATAATAAAAATATCACATAAATTGTGGGGATTAAATAAGTTAATTCACGCAAAACACTTCAAATAATGCTTAGTACATAGAAAGCACTCTATGAACGCTGGCAATAATATGACTTTTCTTTTGATGCATTTCTAAAAGCTGTGTGTAGTGCCCTGATTGAGTTCTTAATACTAAAAATCAAGAAATCACTAGATAACTTTCTGTTTCTCATCTGTTTTGTTCCATATTGACTGTTACATATGGTATTTATCATCATCAATTTTACTATAACTCCAAAGATTAATTCCCCATAATTCCTCTTATGTCCAGCGTGAGAGATACTAGTAATCAATTATAGTCTCCTCTAATCATCCTCATTATGAACTGCTTGGCAAAAAGCAACTAATCTCTCTCTCTCAACCTTTGCCCTCTTTCTCTCTCTAGATACATTTTTCTATTGCTTACCATCTAATCATCATAAAATAAATCCTTTTCTCATTTAAAAAAACAAAATTTCACCTCCTCTAGAGACCATTATTTACTGTTAGTAGCTTTCCACTAATGAAGCCAATCCTTTCACTGATTTGCTTTTACCTCCCTATTTTATTCTATGGAATGTTCCCAGAAACATTAAAAATTACTCTTATTCCCATTTTTCAATTGAGCAATGTGTTTTATTTGTGTTATCTACAGCATGCTAAAGTTAGAATTTTTCTAATTTCAAAACCAGCCTTTTTCTACTCTTTTTACGCCAATCATTTTTTAAGTGTGTCATGTTGGAAAATTTTGATGAAAGATAGAAAAAGATAGTGTCCTATTTCTGGCCTTAATAGATACATCTCAATGGAATTCCAATTTTGCAATAAACTTTTGTCATAGTAGAATGTAAAGAAGTCATTAAAAACATACTGTTAATAACTTTAATGCAGCACCTAAGAATGTACCTTCTTTGTGACTATGAGCTTCAGGGACAGTGTGGTGGAAAGGAGAACAAGCTCTGTAGTGAGCCTACCTGAACTTTTATCTGACCCTGCCATGACCTACCTCTGTAACCTTTAACTTCTCTGGACCTCTCTTTCCTCATCTGACAGTCATAAGACTGTTGGGAGCATTAGTTGAGCTAGTATGTGTTACCAGTCAGGATATGTTAGAGAATGCTGAGAAGCAATCCAACATCTCTATGGCTTAGCACAACAAAGGTTTGCTTCTCATTTACACAAAGTCATCTGTGGGTTGGGAAAGGACTCCTCAGCAACTGACCTCCATGCAGCTGCTCAGCAATCTAGGCTGCTTGAAACCTGTGGCTCAGCCACCTGGACAAAAGTCCTTGACTGTTCTGCAGCAGGGAAACAGTGTCAGGAGGATTGGCATGGGCTTTTCCCTGCCACAGCCCAGAAATAACACACACTGCTATGCTAGTCTCTGGCTAACTGAAAGAAGGTCCATAATGAAGAGAGAAAAAGGAATGCTTACTGAGCATCATGGGCTCTGCCTCAGGATGCAAAGCACTTACAACAATTCTGACCACAGAGTGACAATCCAATCCATGTTAGCTGTTAATATCCACAGAAGAACAGAGTATGATGCTACGAAGTCAAGAACCAGGCTGAGGCCAAAGGCTCTTGTGAGATTGCTATGAAAGGGGATTAGGAAATGAATTGGCATATTTAGAGCAAGTGTCACGGGAAAATCTTGCAGGCCTTCCCCTATTTCCAATTTAATTAATCTTTCCCAATTCTGCTACCTAAAAATCTTCTATCTTTAGACCAGCCTTCTAACCTTTCCATGACTCAGTTATCTCACCTTTAAAATTGAAATCATTATAGTTGTTTCTTCAGAGAATGAGTATTAGCAGATAATTGATCTAATGATTTAGGTCCCATATAGCAAGAACTTGTTTCATTTTAGCTGTTATTACCTAGAACTTTGGATATATTCTTGGTCAATTTTGTTCTCAGTTTCAGCATCTGTATCTCAAAGACATGATTGATATTATATCTAAGAATGCCTTCATATATTCTTATGAACCAATGAGTAATCATTTGTCTGTACTTGAGAGTCCCTAGGCAGCAGAGTTTGTTTCTAATAACTTTGAGATTAAGCTCACAATATTCCCAGCCTCATGTATTTTCCTTTACACTGTGCAAATTCTCCAATTTTCAGGATCAAACCTGCCTTATGAAATATTTTATTACCTCTAGCCCCCACTTTATGGAGCTCCACATCAAGTTACCCTAGTATTCATTCCATCCTTATCCATTGTGTTAATTATGATTACCGACACTTTTTCTGAGTGTGCACCCCCGTATGTCCCATGATTTATCACTCAGAAGCCCATCCCCTATTCCAAAGGCTGAACCCTTCCTTCCTCTGTAGCCCCTTTCACCAGTCCAGAAGCTGAAACTCAGTCCAGTGGCCAGAGCCTGCTCCTCACTGATGGCCACCATTATGCCAGAAATAGTTGCCTGTATTTCTAGAAATCTGAAAATTACTCTGAATTCCTTACACATAAGATTAGCACATTAGTTGAGAGATTCTGACACTTCACTCACCAACTAGTGACCTGGCCCATGGCAACAATTGTATGTCTACCAGAGTTTGCCAGGCAATTCTACCAGAGTTAACTGGGGCTATGGTTCAGGGCTAGGGTCCAGGTTGTATCTGTCCTGGTCCTCTTTTTGTGATAAAGCATTCATGCTGTACTGAATGTCATAAAGTCACATGCATAATCTTTACGAGAGTATCCTTGGCAAAAAGTTGCCTTAATAAGTATATTTTTGCACTCCTCACCCCATGATGAGATGTACTGATGCTCACTAAGCAGAAGATACCTAAGAGGCAACACATCAAAGCAGCATTCAGAAATGACCTATAGAAGAAATTTACCTGATGATTAGTGCTGATGAACATTTCTTCATATGTTTGTTGGCTGCTTATGTCTTCTTTTTTAGAGAAGTGTCTGTTCTTTGTGAATTTTTAATGGGGTTATTTGTTTTGTGCTTGTTGATTTGTTGAAGTTCCTTTCAGATTCTGGATATTAGACCCTTGTCAGGTGCATAGTTTGCAAATATTTTCTCCCATTCTATAAGTCGTATGTTTACTCTGTTGTCAGTTTATTTTGCTGCAGAAGCTCAAGTTTAATTAGGTCCCGCTTGTCAAATTGTTTTTATTGCAATTGCTTTTAGAGATTTAGCCAAAAGTTATTTGCCAAGGCTGATGTTGAGAAGAGTATTTCCTAGGTTTTCTTCTAGGATTTTTATAGTTTGAGGTGTTACATTTAAATCTTTAATCCATCTTGGGCTAATTTTTGTATATGGCAAATTAGGGGTCTAGTTTCATTCCTCTGCATATGGCTAGCCAGTTTCCCAGCATCATTTATTGAATAGCGAGTTCTTTCCCCACCGTTTGTTTTTGTCAGCTTTGTCAAAGATCAGATGGCTGTAGGCATGTGGTTTTATTTCTGGCTTCTCTTTCTGTCCTCTTGGTGTATGTTGTTTTGGTATTAGTTACTACAGCCCTATAGTACAGTTTGAAGTCAAGTAGTATGATGCCTCCAGCCTTGTTCCTTTTGTTTAGGATTTCTATGTCTATTTTGACCCCTTTTTTGTTTCATATAAATTTTAGAATAGCTTTTCCTAATTCTGTGAGAAATTACATTGGTAGTTTAATAGGAATAGTGTTGAAACTGTAAATTGCTTCAGATAGAATGACCATTTTAACAGTATTGATTCTGCCAATACAGAAGCATGGCATGTTTTTCCATTTGTTTGTATCATCTCTGGTTTCTTGTTGTGATATTTTGTCATTCTCCTTGTTTCACCTTTTTGGTTAGCTATAGTCCTAGATACCATCTCACACCAGTTGGAAAAGCTATCATTAAAAAGTCAAATAATAACAGATGCTGGTGAGGCAACACTTAGACACTGTTGGTGGGAATGTAAATTAGTTCAGCCACTGTGGAAAGTAGTTTGGAGATTTCTAAAAGAGCTTAAAACAGAGCTGCAATTCAACTCAGCAATCCTATTACTGTATCTATACCCAAAAGAAAATAAATTGTTCTACCAGAAAGACATATGCACTCACATGTTCATTGCAGTGCTATTCACAGTAGCAAAGACATGGAATCAACGTAGGTGATCATTAATAGTGAATTAGATAAATAAAATTTGGTATATAGATATATACACCATGAAATGCTATGCAATCATAAAAAAAGAGAAATAAGATTCTTTGCAGCAACGTGGATGCAGCTATAAGCCATAATTCTTACGGAATGGATGCAGGAACAGAAAAGCAAACACCACATGTTCTCAATTGTAAGTGGGAGCTAAACATTGAGTACTCATGACGTAAAGATGGGAACAATAGACATGGTGGACTGCTAGAGAGGAGCAAGAGAGAGACGGCCATGGATAGTTTCATCGCTACCTGGGTGATGAGATTCATACCCCAAATATCAGCATCACACAATATATCCATGTAACAAAGTGCACAAACACCCTCTAAATCTACAATAAAAGTTGAAATCATATCCCCAAAAAGTGCTTTTTTTTTTTTATTTTTGAGATGGAGTCTTGCTCTGTCACCCAGGCTGGAGTGCAGTGGTGCAATCTCGGCTCACTGCAAGCTCCGCCTCTCGGGTTCATGCCATTCTCCTGTCTCAGCCTCCCGAGTAGCTGGGACTACAGGCGCCCGCCACCATGTGCGGGTAATTTTTTGTATTTTTAGTAGAGACGGGGTTTCACCACATTAGCCAGATGGTCTCGATCTCCTAACCTTGTGATCTGCCCACCTCGGCCTCCCAAAGTGCTGGGATTACAGGCTTGAGCCACCGCACTCAGCCAAAAGTGATTTCTTTTAAGGACGACTTCCAGAGGTAGCACACAAAAAGAACATTCGAATAGAGCTCAGTTCAATTCCTGGCTTTACTACCAACTCTTTAAGCCATCTTCAAGCAGCATTTTGATCCTTTGGTCCTCTATTTTGTCCATAAAGTGAAAGTAATAATGTTAACAAGCTATTATAGTTGTGAAAAACAAACAAAATACTTTTAATAATCCACACTTGTATAGCTTTTTGACTTTGGAGAGATCACACAGACTTTCTGGGCCTCAATTTCCTCATTTGACAATGGGAGATAATAAGAGTGCCTACTCCATAGGATTACTGTGAGGATTAAATAGCATAATATGTGTGTGTGCTTAGAAATGCATCTTATACATAGGAAGCATTGAGAATATATTAGTTATTATTAGTTGTTACTATACAAGTTTCCTAGGTTCTTTCACAGTGCCATGAAATATTATATGAGTGTTATGACTTAGGAAGCAGGTTCTGACTCAGGGGTGCTGTTAGGTTGCAATGAAAAGAAGCCAAAGAAACAGTCACTTGGAAACTTTTGTTTAACAATGGTAATTTGAGTTGCAATTACCAAATTTTCATGGGCTCAACTGCTAGCAAAATAAAACTATTAATTCTTATAAAAATATTTGGATCGCTGAGCCTCTCCCCTCTGCCTGGGTGGTCTTGAGTAGGGGAATACCCAAGCCTCAACAAGCTTACATTTAATAGAGAGTTGACATGGTTTGGATATGTGTCCCCACCCAAATTTCATGTTCAACTGTAACCCCCAGTGTTGGAGGTGGGTCCTGGTAGGAGGTGATTACATCATGGGGGTGGGTTCCTCATAATGGTTTGGCACCATCCCCTTGATACTGTCCTCACAACAGTCAGTGAGTTCTCGTGAGATCTCATTTCTTAAAAGTGCAGCACCTCTACTCTCTCTTCCTCCTGCTGTGGCCATTTGAAGTGCCAGTTCCTCCTTCACCTTCTGCCATGATTGTAAGTTTCCTGAGGCCTCCTCAGAAGCCGGGCAGGTTCCAGCATTATGCTTCCTATATGCCTGAGGAACTGTGAGCCAATTAAACATCTTTTCTTTATAAATTACCCAGTTTTAGTTATTTCTTTATAGCAGTCTGAGAATAGACTAAAAAGCGTATTGGATGAGTTAATTTCTAAATTTCATGTAGCTATAAAATTACTGAATTTCCAGCACATACAAGCCGGTATCTCATTATTTGTCATATGTTGTGAGAAGCAATTTTTAAAGCCATAGTTTTGAAAATGTTTTAAAGTAAAAAAAATTAGCCTAGATCCTTGCAAATTAAATATTTATATGTATAAACACATGGTAGATAGGAAAAAAATTGGATCCATTTGTTACTGTATTATTATCTCAATTTCTATCATGCAGAGGTATTTATTAATTTCACATTTTAGCCTTGTTTATTCTTTTCTATTTTAAATATTTTTCTCTCTTTTATGCTCTTTTTTCAATGTGAACTCCCTTTCACCTTTTTTCCTTCTCTGTACCTAAAACAGATGCTCTAATATTCATGTAAAAAGCTATGTTGCTTGATGAAGGTGGAGAAGAGAAGAAGAAAACAGCAGGAATCCTGAGTTGCCTCATTGTGTTATTAGAAAATTTTGAACCATTATTTGGGTTGCCTCCTGAAAAGGATGGTCCAGATCAAGTATTATTTACTTTCTGCTTTCTTTGTGAAATTGAAATTCAGTCAGATTCTTCAAAAACGACTCTTGGCTTACTATTTCTGTTTTTGTCTTTGAAAGTTTCTCAGAAGTGAGACAAAGTCCCTGAAAATCTAAATGGGACAGAGTGAAATTACATATTTTAAAGCCCAGTGCTACTATTATGCTAATGTACTTGAGCTTCATGAATATAGTATGAAAATCAAATTGTCAAGAACTATACCAAATAGAATTGTTCTTAAAGATAGAACAAATTGGTTCTGAAATTCTTACAAAGATCACAGTTTCATTAATTCCTAAGCAGAATATCATTGTTCAGTGGTAAAAGTGCTTTAAACATATCTTTCATATTTAGATAATTTGCATATTTTCTTCTTGGAAGTGACACATTTTGACATAAAGAAGTGAGAAATTAAAATGAAATTCTAAGCCTTCCAACCAACTGAATAGCTCCCCTCTTGGCCAATGGGTGCCAGAGTTACCTTGAAATCTGAGTTCTAGGCCATATACAGGATGGGAGAACAGAAATGATTCCTTAAACCTCATTCCTTGCTAACCACCCCTGGGCCTGCTTTGGCCCAGAAACCTGTCTAGTTGTCTGCTGTGACCCCCTCTTCTGCTGGTTACCTATTTGACTGTACAGTGTCTAGCCCTTCAGAGAACTACCCAGAACAGAGTCATGAAGAAAATAAATATGAACAGAAGGACTGAGGTTTTTTATTTGTGGTGTTTTACATTTTAGGATTATAAAATTAAATTTACTTGAGAAAAATAGAGAAACTGAAGGAAACAAGGGGAAAAAACCCAATCCTGTAATTCCATCACCAAGAAATCAACTTTGATAACATTTTAGTATTCTGTTCACATCTTTTGTTACTTTTAAAATGCATTGCAGACATTTCTCTTTATAAAACTTTGTATTTTTCTCTTTTTTAACTGAAAATAATGTCATATATATTTTCCCATGTTATTCAGCATTATTTTTAACATCGGCATACTATTCCACCATATGGGAGTAGCTTGGTTTATGCAAATACTCCCCCAGTGTTGGACAGAGGGTATGAAATTGGTACTGATGAACTACTCATAGGGTTCAAATTTGTATATGGCAAAGACTAAAGAAGGCAAGTGAGAAATCAACTTAAAACTTTTTTCCTTTTATTCAACAAAGTGGAATATTCTTTGAGATGACTTCATCCAGAAAATTTTAATGTAAAAGTATATCTTTAGGCAGACCAAAAATTGTATTATAATAGGTACAATCTATGCTTCCTAATAATATTTAATAAAATTCTGGATTTCACTTTGAGAAGAAAAATAAAACTCATTATTAACAAAATTATCTTCTCAACCAAAAGTCATGATTGATTTATGGCAGTGGGCAGTGTTTGAATTGGTTACTCTATATTAGCTTAATTAAATAAATGGATGTGCTGGCATGGAGCTTATATTGATACATTTCTGCCAGATGATCATTGGGTTGCATATATTGGCGTCTCTTCCCCAACCTTCAGTTCTGAAAAAAAAAAAAAAATGTTTTTAGGATAAGCCACACACTAGCTAGGGGTCTGGACCCATTAATAGTTGTCTAACCTTTGTGTAAGAAGATAATGCTTTAAATGGTGATTCCTTTGTGATGTAGCACCTTTTTTTTTTTTTTTTTTGAGAATGAGTTTCGCTCTTGTCCCCCAGGCTGGAGTGTAGTGGTGCCTGAGTGGTGCAATCTCTTGGCTCACTGCAACCTCTGCTTCCCGGGTTCAAGTGATTCTCCTGCCTCAGCCTCCCAAGTAGCTGGGATTACAGGTGCCTACTAAAATGCCCAGCTAATTTTTGTATTTTTAGTAAAGACGGGGTTTCACCATATTGGCCAGGCTGGTCTTGAACTCCTCACCTCAGGTGATCCTCTTGCCTCGACCTCCCAAAGTGCTGAGCTTACAGGCGTGAGCCACTGCACCTAGCTGATGTAGCATCTTTTTTATCATGAGTTCCCAGAGGCCTCTCTTCAAAGGTTTCTATTAAAACTTTTACTTTAGTTTACTTTAGGCAATTTGTGAATGATAATCATAGAAGAGTTTCTTTTCAAAAGGGACTAAGTATAATACTGAGAGCCGTAAATGCTACCAGTGTCATTTTTGTCATAGCCTGCAGATGGGGATGTGGGAGGCAGGTAACCTTAGGCAAATTGTATTTCTTCCTTTCCCTGAGATCTCCATCCCTAATTTTTACTCCTGGTTACCTGTCTTATACAGCTGATATTGTTTGGCCATGTCCCCACCCAAATCTCATCTTGAATTGTAACTTCCACAATTCCTATGTGTCATGGGAGGAACCCTGTGGGAGGTGACTGAATTATGGGGTGGGTCTTTCCTGAGCTGTTCTCATGATAGTGAATGAGTCTCATGAGATCTGATAGTTTTAACAATGGGAGTTTTTCTACAGAAGCTCTCTTTGTCTGCTGCCATCCATGTAAAATGTGACTTGCTTCTTCTTGCCTTCTGCCATTATTGTGAGGCCTCCCCAGCCATGTGAAACTGTGAGCCCAGTTAAACCTCTTTCTTTTGTAAATTGCCCAGTCTCAGGTATGTCTTTATCAGCAGTGTAAAAATGGACTAATACAGTAAATTGGTACCAGTAGAGTGGGGCACTGCTGAAAACATACTCGAAAATGTGGAAGTGACTTTGGAACTGTGTAACAGGCAGAGTTTGGAACAGTTTGAAGGGCTCAGAAGAAGACAGAAAAATGTGAGAGGGTTTGGAACTTCCTAGAAGCTTGTTGAATGGTTTTTCCCAAAATGCTGATAGCAATGTGGACAATAAAGTACAGTCCAGGCTGAGGTGATCTCATATGAAAATGAGGAATTTGTTGGGAACTGGAGCAAAGGTGACTCTTGTTATGTTTTAGCAAAGAGGCTGGTGACATTTTGCCCCTGCCCTAGAGATTCGTGGAACTTTGAACTTGCGAAAAATGATTTAGAGCATCTGGCAGAAGAAATATCTAAACAGCAAAGCATTCAAGAGGTGACTTGGGTGCTGTTAAAGGCATTCAGTTTTATAAAGGAAGCAGAGCATAAATGTTTGGAAAATTTGCAGCCTAATAATGTGATAGAAAAGAAAATCCTGTTTTTCTGAGGAGAAATTCAAGCCACTGCAGAAATTTGCATAACTGACAAGGAGCTGAATGTTAATCCCCATGACAATGGGGAAAATATCTCCAGGGCATATCAGAGGTCTTCAGGGCAACCCCTCCCATCACAGGCCAGGAGGTTTAGAAGGAAAAAAATGGTTTTGTGGGCTGGGTCCAGAGTCCCTCTGCTGTATGCATTCTAGGGACTTGGTGCACTGCATTCCAGCCACTCCAGCCGTGGGTACAAGCCCCAAGCCTTGGCAGTTTCCATGTGGTATTGAGCCTGTGGGTGCATAAAAGTCAAGAACTGAGGTTTGGGAACCCTCACCTAGGTTTCAGAAGATGTATGGAAATGCCTGACTGCCCAGGCAGAAGTTTGCTGCAGGGGTGGGGCCCTCATGGAGAACCTCTGCTGGGACAGTGGGGAAGGGAAATGTGGGGTTGGGGCTCCCACACAGAGTCCCTAGTGGGGCGTCACCTAGTGGAATCATGAGAAGAGGGTCACTGTCCTTCAGAGTCCAGAATGGTAGATCCACTGACACCTTGTACTGTGCACTTGGAAAAGCCACAGACACTTAAGGCCAGCCTGTGAAAGCAGCCAGGAGGGAGACTGTACTCTGCAAAGCCTCAGGGGCAGAGCTGCCCAAGACCATGGCAACCCATCTCTTGCATCAGTGTGACCTGGATGTGAGACATGGAGTCAAAGAAGATCATTTTGGAGCTTTAAGATTTGACTGTCCTGCTGGTTTTCAGACTTGCACAGGGCCTGTAGCCCCTTTGTTTCAGCCAATTTCTCCCATTTGGAATGGCTGTCTTTACCCAATGCCTGTACTCCCTTTGTATCTAGGAAGTAACTAACTTGCTTTTGATTTTACAGGCTCATAGGTGGGAGGAACTTGCCTTATCTCAGATGAGACTTTGGATTGTGGACTTTTGAGTTAATGCTGAAATGAGTTAAGACTTTGGCGGACTATTGGGAAGGCATGATTTGTTTGGAAATACGAGGACATGTGATTTGGGAGGGGAGGTGCTAGGGGTGGGTTAATATGGTTTGGCTGTGTCTTCACCCAAATCTCATCTTGAATTGTAACTCCCACAATTCTCATGTCCCATGGGAGGAACCTGGTGGGAGGTGATTGAATAATGGAGGGTGGGTCTTTCCTGGGTTGTTCTCCTGATAGTGAATGAGTCTCACAAGATCTGATGGTTTTTAAAATGAGTTTTTCGCACAAGCTCTCTTCACCTGCTGCCATCCACATTAGGTGTGACTTGCTCCTTCTTACCTTCTGCCATAATTGTGAGGCCTCCCCAGCCACGTGGAACTGTTAGTTCAATTAAACTTCTTTCTTTTGTAAATTGCCCAGTCTTGGGTATGTCTTTGTCAGCAGTGTGAAAATGGACGAATACAGTAGCCAATTGCCTGCTGCACATTTACTCTCTGAAACCTAAAAGCCAGCTCTCCCAAACTGAAATGTATCATCATTGCCACCCAAGGCACCTCTTGATTGCTTTTTTTTCATCTCAGTTTGTGGTCTCACCATCTTGTCAATCACCTTAGAGAGAAAGTTGGTTGTCACATAGGTTCCTCCTACTCCCTTACTCCTTATACTTAATCAGCTAGAAAATCCTGACATTTCCATCCACTACATTTTTCTTAAGCCTGTGCTCTCTGAATGGTCTATTTCAGACTTGTCTCATCACTTGATTACATAATTTTAACAGGCTCTTAACTAGTTCTATATTTCTTAGCTTTTCCACGTAAAATCAACAGCTCCACAGTGACTTTCTCAAAAGCAAATCTCATTTCTCTGGATAAACCCCTTCCACCCTGCCTACAATTGCGCCATATTTGTCACAGCGTGGTCTTCCAACCACCTGCTTAATAACCTGGGGGGCAGAAGGGGATGGTGTAAAAATGCAGAAGGCTATACCACAGGCCTCAGAATCAGAATCTAGTGGGGGCAGAGTTCAGGATCTGAATCAAGAAACAACATCTCAAGGTCATATTTTACACCCAAATCTTTGGAACCACTGATCCAGCTACAGAATAGAATTCAAATTTTTACATCTGTTTCTTGTCTACTTATCTGCCCTTGTAAGAGTGTACTGCTTTCAGCTCTCTCATGATCCTAGTGGCTCACAGGTGCTTGCTTTTGCTCAGCACTTTCTTATTGAAGTAGCTTTTCCCAGCTTCTTTGCCTGACTCCTCACAAGAAAGTCAGGCATGGTGATCTCTGCTCTCTTTGACATTCAGGGTGTGGCCCTCAGGCCAGCAGCTTCCATATCACATGAGGACTTGTTAGAAATATGGGATCTCAGATCCTACCTGAGATGTACAGAATAAGAATGTTCATATTGACAAGATTCTCACGTGACCTCTATGCACAAATCTGTCTGATAAGCACTGCTTTGGGAAAACTTACCAGATCTCTACAGTTGGACAAAGGTTGGCTCTTTGCAGAACACTCTAAGAACACCCTGTACACATCTGTTTTGACCACTAAACTGTGGGCTGCTGGAGGGCAAGAAATCTATCTTATCATCTCCAAATTTTCAGCCCCTCCTATGGTCCCTGGCACATGGAGCGATTCAGCAAATGTTTGTTTATTTAAACTGAACTGACCTACAGGTCAGCCTGGAACTGAAATGCTGCATCCCTGGTGAAATATTCTTTTGCACAGATTGGTCGCACTTTCATTTTTGGATGCTCTTGCTTTTGGCTAAGCTGATGCTGTTTTTGCCTCTTCTTTCTAAATTCACAGATGGTCTCGAGCATTTACTCATGGAGAGTGGATTGCTGCCCGATGTGGATTGCTATGGGCCAGGCAGCTGGGCTTCCCTACTGGTTACCAGCCAAGGCCTGCTGATTGAAGCTTCCTTCAGGGACTGCAGTAAATAAGGCTCCTGGAGCAGCCTTATTTGAGGTAAGGTGTGAGTGTGGAGGGGAGGGAGCTTCTTGTTTATCAGGAAGTTGTCTGACACCACACATGTCTAGGTTACTAAAGTTGCTTATGCTCTTTCAATTTAAAACTTTCGCATGAAACTTCCATGACTTTGCTCCAAAATAGCTTGCTAGTCATTCTCCATCCTCTCCCTCATGTACCATTAGACTGCAAACTACATAAAAGCAGTGTGTCTATTTATGCTTCACATTATATTTCCTAACCTCTAGCACAGCACCTGGAATATGTGTGGAAGGAATGAATGAATGACATCTCAAATTGTACTGTGGGGTAGAGTTTCAGGTATTTTCTCCCATATGGTCTTTTCATTCTTCTGTATTTACGTACTTATTTGTCTATAAAAAGCATAATCTTTTTGAAGTATATTACACTTTAGAAGAGTCTGATTCTAATATTTTAACACCAGCAGTTTTTATAATGCTTTTTAATCTAAGAATTGTTTTTCTTAATTTAGATTTCCCCAAATATTAATTAATTCAGTCACTGACTTAACATGGTTTGAAGCCCTAAAGAAAAATTGTAGTATGCAAATGCTATGATATGAAAAACTATGGATTGAATTTGGCTCTCATATGCTTTTTTTTGGTCTTACATAATTTGTATTTGAATGCTTTGAATAGGGCATGTACTCAGTAGTTTGCCACAGGATTCAATATTCCTGATTGTCTAACATGCAGCATGCTTCACTCAGTATCTTTCTGTGCTCTTAGTATCTTTTGGGCTGTTTGCAACTCGTGAGGTAGAGGAAAACACATTGGCTTTGGCGTCAGACCATCTGTGCTCCAACCTTAGCCCTAGCATTTACTAGTTTTAAGTTCTGAGGTAAATCATTGATAATTTTTTTATATGTAAGACAGATATAATATCAGTAATTATCTAACAGGGTTAAGAAATTAATGAATTTATCTTATTACCAACCACATACAACACCTTGACATTCCACAAATAGTTTCTCTGCTCCACTTATTCTTCTGATTTTATAAAAATTGAATGTATCTACATGAAATGTTCTTATTACCTTTTTTATGAGGCCTTCTTACATCCCCAGAGTCAGAATTTGTCAATCATATATCTGTCCTCCCAATGCATGGTGTCTACTCCTTGTCTTAGAAATTGTCATGTTCTAACCCTGACTATAGGTAAGTAAATATCCGTCTGTTTTCTCTGTTGTACTTTGAGCAACATGAGGGCATGTCCTGTGTCGTGTCCATCTATTGGCCCTACAACACTGAAAATGCCTTGCACAAAATCATATATAAACTTTGTATATAGAATTGAAAAACATGTTGGTTAAAAGCTGGGGTTTACTACTGCCTCCCTCACTCATTGGCTGTGGGATGTTGGACATCTTAAGTAATATCTCTAAGTTTAGGTTTTCTATTTGTGAAACTGTGAAGTGGGACCATAATAAAATCCTTCTCTGAAAGAGGTGTTAGCATTAAATAAATTACAAGACTACTATATTTTATATATTCATTTTTATATTCATTTTTATCTTCGTATTTTCTCCTTATATGGTTACCAGCTGCCAAATAAGCCACGATTGAGAAACTTGGCATTGCTAATCCTCTCTAACCATTCAATTTCAGTAAAGCTTGTAACTGATGCTCAAGAAAAATAGCTGTTGAAGGCAAAGCTTTAACTCAAAAACCATAAAAACATTTTTTGATGGGGAGTTTAAGATGCAGGAGGTAGCTTTACCATCATGGTATTTTGGCTGCAGTTCATGACAAATAAACCTGTAATGGGTAATTTATGTTGAAGCTGTTGATGTCACATGGAAGAGGGCTCAATCTGCAAAGCACATACTTCTTTATTACCAGATGATTCATTGAAAATCCCAATTTGTGATGATCTGCCTAGTGGAAGGGTTGTTGGTTGTAAAAACATCACAGAGGAAAATTCAACGATGAATATTATTTATGCCAAAGACATACATTTGTATTAGCTACACATATCCCAGTGTGTGTGCATTAAAATTATGTCAGCACTGACAATTCAAATAAGACCTGAGGAAGGGTGAACGTCAGCATTTCTGATAAGCTGTACAAGATAGCAGTTTTTGATACAAAAATGAGTTCAGCAACTCATAGGCCAAAAGATACCTTTCTTAATAATAAGACCACATATTCTTAGACACTGTGATTAGCAAGGAAATAAGAGAGGTAAAAGGAAAGGCAAAAACTAAAGAAATGCTTTCTATACCAGGTATCTCCAACTTCCTGAATTATTTCCCTGTAGTTTCACACACATAGGAAGCAAATTAACTCACTCATGTCCCATGAGTACCATCTAGTGCCTCTAAAAGCGATGGTGTTGAAAAGATTATAATGCTTGTTACTGATAGTGTTTACTTTGCAATTAGGTAGCTTTATAAAATGTCCTCTGTAAATACAAATTTTTCTTTTTTAAATTTGAAAAAATATTTATTTTAATATGCAACATTTTCTCCTTGCACATTTTACTTTTTTATCATAGTTTCAAGTTCTTCATACATCTGAGCAGAATTAGACCGATCATAACTTGTCCTAATGTGCTGAAGTGGATACTAGTGTGGTGGAAGAAAATGAGAGTTTCGTGAGAGACAAATATATCCCAATTTACTTGATATGACATATCTCTTTATTCATTCATCACTTTGTTTCCTGTGGATACAATATGAAGTTCTGCCAAAACATTGCAGATTCACAGTGGCTTAATTGTATATGTTGTCATTATATGGCAATTTTCATTAATTTGTGACATATGTGATTATGTGAATATAGAATAACAAAACATAAACTGAATCAAGAAACAATTGTTATTTATAGTATTTAGTATTTGTTTCTTACTGATGTGCTAGTTTAAAGCTTGTTGTTATTATCTTATTTAATCCCCAAAACAATCCCATAAAACAAACTTTCTTTTCTTTTTTCTCTTTTCTTAAAAAACTTTTAAGTTCAGGAGTACAAGCGCAGGTTTGCTATATAGGTAAACTTGTGTCATGAGGGTTATTGTACAGATTTTTTCATCACCCAAGTATTAAGCCTCATGCTCATTAGTTATTTTTCCTGATCCTTTCCCTTCTCTCACCCTCCACCATCTGAGAGGCCCCAGTGAGTGTTCTTTCCCTCTATGTGTCCGTGTGTTCTCATCATTTAGCTCCCACTTGTAAGTGAGCACGTGTGATATTTGGGGTTCTGTTCCCGTGTTAGTTTGCGAAGGATAATGGCCTCCAGCACCATCCATGTCCCTGCAAAGGACATGATCTCATTCTTTTCTATGGCTGCATAGTATTCCATGCTGTACATGTACCACGTTTTCTTTATCCAGTCTGTCATTGATGGGCATTTAGGTTGATTCCATGTCTTTGCTATTGTGAATACTATCGCAATGAACATACACATGCAAATGTCTTCATAATAGAATGATTTATATTCCTTTGGGTATATACCCAGTAATGGGATTGCTGGGTCAAATGGTATTTCTGTCTTTAGGTCTTTGAGGAATCGATACGTTGTCTTCCACAATGGCTGATCTAATTTAAACTCCCACCAACAGTACATAAGCCTTTTTTTCCCCACAACCTCGCCAGCATCTTAAAACAGACTTATATTTTATATAAGTCTGTTATATAATACATATAATATAATAGATTATATATTATATATAATTACATATATAATATATGATATATGTATATATAAATATATATTATTACATATAACATATTTGTATATAAATATATATTATTACATATAATATATATTTGTATATAAATATATTACATATAATATATATTTGTATATAAATATATTACATATATAATATATATTTGTATATAAATATATATTATTACATATATAATATATATTATATAAATATATATTATTACATATATAATATATATTATATAAATATATATTATTACATATATAATATATATTAAATATATATTATTACATATATAATATATATTATATAAATATATATTATTACATATATAATATATATTATATAAATATATATACTTTTTTTTCTTTTACCAAGAACACATTGCAAAAACAAAAATACAGGCCAGGTGCAGTGTCTGTTCCTTGTAATCCCAGCACTTTGAGAAACTGAGGTAGGAGTAATGCTTGAGCCCAGGAATTCAAGACCAGCCTGAGCAACAGAGTGAAACCTCATCTCTACAAAAAATGTAAAAATTAGCCGAACATAGTGGTGTGCACCTGTGGTTCCAGCTACTTATGAGGCTGAGGTGGGAGTATCACTTGAACCTAGGAGGCTGAGGCTGCCGTGAGCCATGATTGTACCACTGCACTCAGGGTGACAGAGTGAGACCCTGTCTGAAAAGAAGAAAAATACAAAAACATATAAAGTGTGCTTACCTCTCCCTTCATTTCTGTTCTCTGATATCCCAGATATAATTAAAACTAACATTTTGGTGTATGAGTGCTTCCAGGCCCTTTTGTTAATGCATAGGTATGAGTTTTCAAATAAATATTAAATGTTCTGTGATGTGCCTTTTTATTTAGTAGTAAATCATGGATTTTTTTTCTTTTTTTTTTTTTTTTTTGAGACGGAGTCTCGCTCTGTCGCCCAGGCTGGAGTGCAGTGGCGCAATCTCGGCTCACTGCAAGCTCTGCCTCCCAGGTTCACGCCATGCTCCTGCCTCAGCCTCCCGAGTAGCTGGGACTATAGGCGCTCGCCACCAAGCCCGGCTATTTTTTTTGTTTTTTTTAGTAGAGACGTGGTTTCACCGTGTTAGCCAGGATGGTCTCGATCTCCTGACCTTGTGATCCGCCCGCCTTGGCCTCCCGAAGTGCTAGGATTACAGGCGTGAGCCACTGCGCCCGGTTCATGGAAGTCTTTTTATGCTGGAATACACGTAAGTGTTATATACCTTTAGTATTATTCCAGTGTTACAGATAGAAAACTGGTGCTTTAAAAGAATAAGTAAATTTTTCAGTAAACAGTTTAGCTGAAATTTTAGCTTTCGCAAGTCTTAGTTTAGAGCCTATAGTTATACTTTAATGAGAAATTTTACTGAATTAAAAAAATAATAATAATTTACTGTAAACCTCTTCCGAGCAAATTCTAGACATTCAAAGAGTGGAATAGGTAAATGTGCACAAAACTATTCAAGATATTGATTTTTTTCCTTTTTTTCATACTTGTAACAATTATATATCTGCTTCTCTGAATATATTGTGAACATTTAATTGCAGATATTCTGAGAAGTAAAAAATTATTTTTCAAAATTTTGTGTAATTTCATGTTTCCTGCCTTCTTAAATTCAAGAAAGTTATCTGTGGTTCAAAATATACAACTTCAGTCTAAATTATTTATAGTGCTCTAATGAACTTCTTTAAAAATGACATTAATGTCCTCAGGACAAAACAGACATGCTTTATCCATCTTAAGAACTGCTTCTCTTTTGGAAAAACTTTTTCATAACAGCCTATTTTATAATCAAAATTATGATGCTTAGGCAATAGGAACATTCCATTTGGTGAAACAGTTCTAGTCTTTCTTTATACTTTGTCTCAATTGGATGGCGAGGAGATTGACATAGAAGCCTTTAGAAGATTTTGTTAAGCACTAATGGAATATTCATTCATCCAATGGTATTCATTGAACATTTTCCTGTTTTTTAGGCACTGAGCTAGTCTTAAGCAATTAATCTGAGAACAGTGAGGAGAGTCCTGGAGCCCACATTCTACTTGACAATTAAATTCTAATGGGAATAGTTGGAGATTGGCTAAAAGTTTTTTCCAGCTCATTTTGAAAAGAGATTGCTATAAAATTACAATTAAATTATGTAAATACAAACTTTGTCTGGCATAAACTATTTTTTCTTCAATTTTTTGTTGTTTTTGCCAGCTACTAAAAGTCTTCAAGGGTATCTTTCTCTAATAGATCAAATACGTTTTTAAATACCCTGAACAGTTTCTCTTTATTTGTGCCAGTGAAGTAACTAAAACCCTCCACTAACCTAATTCTTAATTTGGTATCACTATCGTTCTAAGAAAGACCAGTCTTTTTGGCTTAATTTCCAAAAGGAAGGCCAGTATAGCTTCATTATTATTCTCGTTCCTTTTAAATTTCCACTTTGGAAACAAAGTGATTGAGAGGTGCATTCTAAGAGAAACTCATCAGTGTGAGCTCAGCCTCTTTGATGATGATTTGGAAGTTGATGTTATTTTTTGGGTCAGATTAAAACCTGGCATTTTGCTGAGCCAATTCCTCTGTTTAATTATAGAGGTGAGATAACTGCCAGGAGAGTAGTTCAGTTAATAATTATAGAAATCCCAATTTAGCTAGAAAAACAGGATAGAACAAAAGCTGATTTCAGCCAAACTGACTGTGAAAAATGTGGGCATTACAAATTATTTATCTATTGGAATCAAATAGAGTTGCCCAATATTAATGGCAATGCTACTAAGAAAATTCCTCAGTCAATCTTTCCTTTTGTATTAAGACTGAGTTTGATTTTTAAAGTAGCTGTAAAAATCTGGACAGGAGCAAAACTATAATGTTTTCTTTATAATAAGTTTTTTTTAATAATAAAGGTGGGCCGTTTTTACTGATTAAAAAACCTGAAATAATAATTTAGTATAAACATCTTCTGAGCAAATTCTAAATACCCAAAGAAGAAAAAGGCAAGTGTGCACAAATCTATTCAAGATATTGATTTTCTTTTTCCTTTTTTCCATCAAATTAAACAGTTAATTAGTGTACAGGCTTTATTTGAGGAATGCACTGCTTTAGCTAACTTATATTATAATTAGTAATACCATGAGGATTGTTATTAATATCACGCCTATCACATGCAATTTGTTTTATAAAAACTTTGTGATTTAAATCAGTTAATTCTTTGTAGAGCTGACCAAATTACTTTTCAGGGTTCATGTTTTTATTTAAATAGTCAATGCTCTTAAACTCTTTGCAGTTATACTACATGACAGTATATTTGTTAAGCTCCATTAAACCTAAATTCTCTGTCTAGTGCAATGGTTACTAAATGTATAGCTTTAAAAAATAACACAATTGCATTTAAATAGAAATACACACATTTCTACTTACAATACTTTTAAGAAATGTGTTACTGACTGTTCTCTCAAAGAAGTTAAAACTTCTTAAAAAATAAACAGAATTACATGGTTTTCTTATTTTTAGGTACCAATTAATTGTAGCAAGTTTTCCTCCAACTTGCGAATTAGGAAAGACACTACATGGCTTTAAATTTTTGTTACATTATTTGAATATTTTTGAAAGTGCAAAGTCATATTAAAAGAATTATATTACATAACTGCCTATGATGCAGACAAAGAAGTATCCATTTTAAAAAGAAGTTAAAGCTGAAGCCAGAAAAAGATATATTCTTTTTCTAAAATATTGTATGAAATATTAAGGATGCTATATGAAGGGAAGAATGCAGTTTTGCTAATACCTAGTTTGATTTTATAATAATATTTTTTTCCTCCTTTCTTAAAATACAAACCTCTCCTTGCCATTCCTCTTCAAAATTCTCTAGGAGCTACACATTTCCTTAGGATATTGGAAATGTTTGTAATATGCCTTAGGACACTTTTGTGATGAACCCTGTGTGACTTGCCCACAACCACTTCCTAATGAATCATTTTAATTATGACGTTTCAGTTATTGAATATACCTTGCTTTCTCCCATTTTCAAATGGTCAGATCATCTGGTTGAAATGCCTATTTTTGTGGAAAACTAATTTCTACATATTCTTCAGAGGTGTGCATTATTGACTTTGTCAGTACTTTAGTGTATCCTTTTCTGAAATCGTATCCTCTTCTTTTCTGCCACTTTGCCTAAAGGAATAAAATAGCAATTAAAAATGGATACTATCCAAAGAAACACATATAAACAGCAGAAAAAGAAATAACCCAATTTTTTTTAATTGGCAAAAGACAGGAATAAACATTTTTCTAATGACAACATAAAAATAGCCAACAGCTGTATTAAACATCACTCATACCTCAACATCACTAATCATCAGGATAATACAAATTAACACCACAATGAGATGTCACTTCACACCTGTTAGAATGGCTATTGTCAAAAAACCATGTGATAAGTGTTGGCAGAGCATGGAGAAAAGGGGACCCTTGTACACTGTTGATGAGAATGTAAAATAGTACAACCATTAGGAAAGTGGTATGGAGGTTCCTTAAATAATTAAAGGTAGAACTACCATATGACTCAATAATCCCTAGTGTTGGTTACTTACTTACATACCTAAAGGAAATAAAACCAGCACCTCATAGAGATATCTACACTCCCATGTTCATTGTAGTATTATCTATAACAGCTAAAAATATTAAAACAACCTTAGTGTCAAATGACAGATGAATGGATAAAAAAATTGTGATATATATATGTATAGCCATATATACACATACAAGTGTATATATATATATATATATATATATATATATATACACACACATATAATGAAATATTAAGCCTTCAAAAATGAGATATTGCTATTTATGACAACATGGATGAACATTATGCTAAATGAAATAGGACAGACAGAGAAAGAAAAATACTGTATGATCTAAGTTATATGCAGAATCTAAAAACTAATGTCAAATAAATAGAAACAGAGTAGAACGGTGGCTAACAGAGATAGGGAGGGTGAGGAAATGGGGAGAAGTAGGTCAAAAGCTGGCAAATTTGCAGTTAGATAGGATCAATAAGTCTGGACCTCTAATGTAAAGCATAAGGACTACAGCTATTAATATTTTATTGTACATTGAAAATTTTCTAAACAAAGGTTTTAGGTGCTCTCAACACATAAACACAGAAAGGTAACTATAGAAGGTGATGAATATGTAAATTTAACTACAGTAATCATTTCAAATATATATATATATATAAACATCCTGTATACTTTATACAATAAAATAAATTTTTAAAAACTGGTTAGGCAGTCTTATTTGGAACTGTCATTGCATGCAGTACTTATTAATATAGACTCGTGTTAAAATTTTCAGTAATTATTCCTTTAATGACCTACCTTCCTTGGTATAGACAATCACTACAATTTATAATTCTCAAGAGAGTCAATACTTATTTAGTTTTCAGTGTATCCTGAATGCCTTGCACAGTGCCTGACACGTAATGGGTGATCAAAAATATTTTGTAAATGGTGTTGACTAGGTCTTGTTCATAAATATATAATAATTAGAGGGAATAATGCTTACCTCAAAGAATACTTTGAAGAGTAAAATAAACGATGCCTGTTACACCATCTAACATTCAAAAATGCAATTTTTATAGTTTTTCATTTCTTCATGGACAAAATTGTTCAGATATTTCAAGTCCAGAGATCAGTAAGCTAATGTGGCCAACATAGGTCTCTGACAAATGTTATATGCCTTCTGTGAAAAAAATGGAATGTTTAACTTTTACTTTAAGCATACTTAGAATTTTGGATCTTGGTAGCTAAAAGCAGATGATAGGGCCTTCACAGCAAAAAAAGAGGATGTCTCAGACAAGTTTTACACATTACTGTGTACTGGAAGCTCTAGCCAGGCAATAAGATATGAAAAAAATAATAAAAGGCATTGGAAACTGGAAAGGATCAAATTAAATTGTCTGTTTACAGATGACATCCTGTGTAGAAAATCCCCAAGGAATAAAACAAATAAAAATACCTAAAAGTAGTAAGTGAGTCCAGCAAAGGCAAAGGATACAAGATCAAATACAAACAGCAATTGCATAGTCATAAAAGGACAGCACAAGGGATCTTTATAGTGTTGTTATTATTTCTTATGTATTGTTTCCTCTGGTTCTCACTATTGTCTCTCTCCTTGCTTTTTTTTTGAGTTACTTGAATTTTTTTAATATTGCATCTTGATTTATTTACAGTACATTTGATTGTATTATGAATCACGTTGTGTAGTTTTGGTTGTGGTGGCTATGGGCATTTATATATATGACTTGTACAGTCTATCAATATTAACATTTCATGAATTTGTGTGAAGTTTAGAATACTTACTTTAATTTACTATTATCTACCTTCATCACTTGTAAGTACCTTTGTCTTCAGTATTGTAGTGCTAAAACTCATGAAGAAACAATAGTCAATGGTACGTAGCCACAGTTCTTTCTGTTGTTTTATATTTTTCCTGATACTGCAAGATTCTTTATATCATTTTCGTACTGTTTCATAAAATTATTTTAGCCAATTTTTAAGAATAGATCTGCCAGCTACCAATTTTGTTAGATTTTCTTTGTCTGAAAATATTTATTTTTTATTACTTTCTAGAAGATAGTTTTGCCAGATATAAAATTTACCTTTAACAGTTTTTTTCCTGTTAGCACTTGCAAATTATTATTATTATTATTATTTTGAGATGGGGTCTCACTCTGTCACCCAGGCTGGAGTGCAGTGGCACAATCTCCACTCACTGCAACCACTGCTTCCAGGCTCAAGCGATACTCCTACCTCACTAGTTGGGACCACAGGCACAAGCCACTATGCCTGGCTAACTTTTTGTATTTTTGGCAGAGATGGGTTTTCGCCATGTTTCCCAGGCTGGTCTTAAACTCCTGAGCTCAAGTGATCCACCACCCTTGGCCTTTCAAAGTGCTGGGATTATAGGTGTGAGCCACTGCATCTGGCCAGCAATTGTAAAACATTATAACACTTCCTTTGGACCTCCATGATTTCAGATGAGAAATCTATTATTTGGTGTTCCTTAAAGATAATGAACTGTTTCTCTCTGGATGCTTTCCATGTGTTTTCTTATCTTTATTTTTCAGAAGTTTAATTATGATGTGTCTTAGTGTATGTTTGGGGCGGGGCGGGGGGCTTATCTTGTTTTGAGGTTGATGAGCTTCTTGAATCTGTAGGTTTGTGCCTTTCATCAAATTTGGAAGTCTATTGCATTAATTTTTTGATTACTCTTTCATTCTATTCTTTCGTCTCTCCTTCTGAGATTATAATAATATGACTTTTGGATCTCTTGTTACTGTCGCACAGATATCGGAGACTCTGTTACTATCACACAGATAACTAAGGCTCTGATTATTTATTTCATTTCAATTTTCTTTCCATTATTCAGGTTGTATTAATTCTATTTACTTTTCTCAAGTTAACCAATCTGTTCTCTTTCATCTTCACTCTACTATTGCGTCTACCAAGGAATTTTTTATTTCCGTATTTCAATTATCTAATATCTATTTGGTTTTTTAATAACTTCTTTTTTTACTGAAAGTTTTCTGTTTTGTCCTTTGTATGAGAATTTGTAATTGATTGTTGAAGCATTTGTATGACAGCTTCTTTAAAATCCTTGTCAGATAATTAGAACATCTGGTGCATCAGTGTTCATATCAATTGATTGTCTTTTTATAATGCAAGTTGTGATTTTCTTGGTTCTTTGTATGACAGGTGATTTTCTATTGTATCTTAGATATTTTGTCTATTATGTTAGGAAATTTTGAGATGTATTTAAATCTTTTATTTTAGCGGGCACTTATTCTTTTTTATTTTATTTTTTATTTTTTTTGAGATGGAGCTCTGTAGCTCAGGCTGAAGTGCAGTGGCACAATCTCAGCTCACTGCAAACTCCACCTCCCAGATTCAAGTGATTCTCCTGCCTCAGCCTCCCAAGTAGCTGGGACTACAGGTATATGCCACCACACCCAGCTAATTTTTGTATTTTTAATAGAGACAGGGTTTCACCACGTTGGCCAGGCTGGTCTTGAACTCCTGACCTCAGGTGACACACCCCCCTCAACCTCCCAAATTGCTGAGATTACAGGCATGAGCCACCGCGTCCAGCCCATTTATTCTATTTAGTTTTAGCAACAGGTTCTGGCCTAAGTCCATAGGCTGTGGTTCCAATGACATTTTAATTTTTTGAGAATTTATGTTATTATTTTGGTTTGGTTTGTTTCTCTGGTGCCACAGGAACTTTCACTGGTCCCTGCTGATATAGCCTGAGTGATAAAAGTGATTTCCCCAGGAAGGGCCACAGATGTCTTTCAGGAAAGTCTCAGGCCTGTGGGGACATGTAGCTTTCTGGGACTGACTACCTGTTGTGGCTGGGTTTCTCTTGATGGTTCTGCGTGCCAGCCTCTGTATCTCTCTGGGAGGATGGGATGTTTCAGGCTTTGACCATTTATCATTGACTGGGCTACACATTCGTTCCCTTTACCAGTGGTGGCAGGCTAGCCTGATGTCAGAGGAGCTTCCATTCCATCCAGGAGAGGAATAAGCCTACCTGGGATGACTTCTTTTGCTGGGTTGGAGGCCAGAGAAGGTTTCTAGATCTGGGTCACTTTCTTCTGTTGGGTTGGGAACTTAATACACTCTCCTGCTGTGTTATTTTTTCAGCTGGGGTCAAAACAGTTTCGCCTTTTCTTAGCACCTCTCATAGTTCTCCTTTGGTTGTCTCTTGCTCTGTTTCCAGAGTTTATAGTTGTTCTCAGAAGTAAGGAGAAAAGATAAATGAGTCTACACTGTCTTGTCCTGGCTGCAAGTTTTGCCCTGTGTTCTTAATTTTTATTTGCAAAATATGGCAACCCTAACTAGGCCACGAGTAATTTGTGGCATGAATAGCCAACTGCAATATGTAATTTTCTTACATTTTTTTAAACTTGTGCTTCACAGTGAAGAGCTTTAGTGGATTAAAGACAACCAATAGTGTAGGGAAGAAGTAGGAAAACTATGCCCTGCTCCCTTCCCCTATTGCCCTACCTGAGCTAAATTTACTTCATAGTCTCTTTTAATATGGCCCTAGAGCTAAGAGGGGCTTTACAGTTTTAAAGAGCTTAAAGGAAAACCAAGAATATGTGACAGAAACCCTATGCACCCAGCTAGGCCTAAACAATTTACTATCAAACCCTATATAGAAATAGTTTGCTGATCCCTGGTCTAGGGACATGAAAACAGACAAACAAAAAACCAAAACAAAACTAAAAATACCCACTAAACTTGAGTTTAGAAAAAGAAGCTTTGATTCTTAGCTTTAAAACTTATAAGCTGTGTGATTTGGGGCAAATCACAAAACTTTCAGGCTATGTTTTACTCTTTGTAAAGTAAAGCTTTCAATCAAATAATCCCTGAAATTCCTCCAGCATGAAATTCTAGATCAGCCTATCATAAAACTGCAGTAGTTGAATAACTTTTTAAATTAAGCTTATTTCCAACCCCCTGCCACCCCACCAATTTTCTATTTTAAAGAAAAATAGGCTGGGTGCAGTGGCTCACACCTGTAATCCCAGGCTCACTTTGGGAGGCCAAGGTGGGTGGCTCACGATGTCAGGAGATCAAGACCATCCTGGCCAACATGGTGAAACCCCATCTCTACTAAAATACAAAAAAATTAGCCAGGTGTAGTGGCACGTGCCTGTAATCACCGCTACTCGGGAGGCTGAGGCGGGGGAATCGCTTGAACCCAGGAGGCGAAGGTTGCAGTGAACCAAGATTGCGCCACTGCACTCCAGCCTCGTGACCGAGCAAGACACCATCTCAAAAAAAAAAAAAAAAAAAAGAAAGAAAAGAAAAAGAAAATCTACAGAAAAGTTGAACAAATAGTATAATAAATAAATATCCATGTAGCCCTTACAAATAATCACTGATTGTTAATATTTTGCCACATTTGTTTTATCTTATTTTTGGTGTGTATATGTGTGTATCTATTCATATGTAATTTTTTTCTGAAACATTTAAAAGTACATTGCAGCCATCATACCATTTTGCTCCCAAATACCTCTATATGAATCACCTGACAGCAACTGGAAAGGAGGCATCTTTTGAAGGCTTAGTAGTATAAGGAGAGAAGAAAGCAGGTTTTAACTCATAGTCCTATAGAAATAAAGAGTATCAGAATGCAAAGAATATAAAGCAACATCCAAGGAAATTTTCTAGAATTAAGAATGGAATCTACATACTGAAATTTACAAAATACCATACATAAGAGAAAACTGACATAGAATTGACAACTCCAAGATACATATCCTAGCTAAACAATTAGACTTTATAGAGGTAAACAAAAAAGCTTCGGGACTTCTATCCAAGAAGACTAAACCCATTACAACATAAAGGAAATTTTAAAATTTCAGGTTTCTCAACAACCACATACAGAGCCAAACAACAGTGAAGCAACATTTTTTTTTATAAGTCAAGGAAAGAATGTGAGTTGAAGATTTTATATCCAGTCAAGCTATGTTTCAAGTATCTATAGACTATGAAGAAAAAACGGACAAATAATTTTAAACATATACACATTTGGGGTTGGTGTATTATTTACTCACTTCATTATTTTACATTTCTTTGTAGATAAAATTTTAAGGGACTTTGATAAGAGAGGAAAATGCTAATATTTATTGAGTATTTTTTTGAGCTAGAGGCACATGACAATTTTGAATTAGGCCTCATTATCTTTGTTTTGCAGTAAAGAAAGTGCTGCTCAGAGAAATTGTTTGACCAATGTTACTCAGAATGTATCAAAGCCAGGATTCAGATCCTATTTTCTTTCACTCTAAAACTTTGATCTCTCTTCTCTATCATGCTCACTGTGGATTCTCCATATTCATTGCTTGCTCTATAAATACAACTGTAGTTTCGTGGTGTTGTTGTTGTTGTTTTTAATTAACAGAAATAAATGATGCTGCTTACTACTTTATTTAATACTGTTTTGCTAACTAGTAGGCCTATTTATAATCCTGCTCAGCTGATGAGTTGTTCCACTATTTTTCGGTAGTTTGAGCTTAGAACACTACAAAAAGCATACTGATTTAATTAAAGGCTTGAAAACAATCAATTTGAAAATACGATGGTTTTACATGCTCAAATTTCCTCCCTCAAAACTGGTCAGATCTGATAGTAAAGATAAGAACCGAAAATCTTAAAACTTAGCTTGCAAGCATTCATTGCGTCTGTTTTTGAATACATGTAAAATAAGCAACTCTTTTAATATGAGTACTATCCCCAAGAGGAAATTAGCAGAGCATATTAGATTACAAATTTTAATAAACTTGTATTAGCATTATCACTTTTGAGCAGGGGACAGAGAGATCACTTGGTGTTATTTCTGAGTCTCTATAGTGTCTTCTTATCAGCTTCTGGGACAAACTATTCTCTGGTATCTCCTGCCCATGCTAATTAGTTTACAGCCTAGCAGCCATGTGTCTACACAGAAGATAACAGAGCTATTCAAAAATGTTTCTCTTTCTCATAAAAGTCAAATATATGCAATTTTCATTCAATGTAGTTGCGAATGCAGAGAAACATAATGGTGTCTGGCTTCTAGAAAACAAGGGAAATATATTACCTAATTAAATCCTACACATTGTTTGAAAATATGTATAAATCGTTGTGCCTATCTTCAGAGTTTCCAAAACACAGCCTCATCTTACAAATCAAATAAATGGGGGAAAACAATTTCTGAGTGTAGAATTGAAATGCTTCAAAATGTTTCAGTCAGTTGCAGTTTCTGCACCAGTAACACCATAGCATGACCTAGCTTTGTCAATATATATTTTAGCTGAACTGCTATTTCCATTACTGGACCAAATTTTTGAGCAGTTTTTAATTTAGGACATTTTAATTTTCACCATCCTGAAACTTGACAGAAATTGTCAGGCCAAATGCATTTTGAAAAAAACAACAGATCCACTTTGACTCGTAGAAGATCTTAAAATACAACAGTTGCTAGGTTTTTTACTTTGGTTTTGTTTTGTTTACCAGATCTCTACTCCAAAAACAAAGGCAAGGGTTTTATATGATTTAAGTACTACATTTAATTCTTTAATCTGAGTTCCACTATTTATTGTATCACTTTCTCCTTTAGTTTTGGCAAAACATCAAACTTGCCTTGGTAAAATGAAGTAATTTGAAAAGATAGTGATGCCAACTTCATAGTTTTGTTTTAAAAATCAGTGCAGATAACATAGGGCAGGTACCCAGAACAGGGTCTGGCAATTCCCAAGCACTTCATTCATATGAGCTTTTTATTTCTGCCTGTGAAAAATGGAATGCCATTGCCAATAGTTATTTTTTCTAAGCAAAAGGCAACAAAGTAAACTCATATTTCAAAGGAACCCAAATTTAATGTAGTGTCTGGTGAAGGTACTGTCACATTTTGGTTAAATTAGAAAAAATATAGAATAATTTAAAGAGGAGAAAATCCTAATGGACTAGACACTAACTTTCAGTTATTCCTTTAATAAAATTACTAATTTTATTTAAATAAATAATAACATTACTAAAATTACTCGGTATGGTTTGCTTCCTGTGAAATAACCAGCCAAAGATAGGGAATAGCTAACAGAAGCAATCACAAAGTAAAAACAAATGTAATAAAAAGGAGCCATAATTTCCTAGGATATAAATATCTCAAGTGCTGTAAGGGATGTAGATTAACTCTTTTGCCTCATTATGGTATAGCTCTGCCTGATATAGTAGCAAAATAATAGATAGTATCCTGCCCAAAAATGGTGTATGTACCTTGCAGACATGCGTCTATAAGCAGTAAATAATATAGGCTCTGAGAGATCCTGATCTAGTGTTCATAGACAGACAAATGCACAGAATGAAAAGACCCATTGTCATTTCTCACTAGATATAGAAAGAATGATACATTATTTATAGTTCTAGCTAGAACAATCAGACGAGAAAGAAATAAAGGCCATCCAAATTGGAAAGGAATAAGTCAAATTATCCTTTTTTGCAGGTAATATGATCTTATATTTGGAAAAACCTAAAAACTGTACCAAAATAAAAAAACCTAGTAGAACTGATAAACAAATTCAGTAAACAAAATGAACATACAAAAATCAGTAGCATTTCTATATGCCAACAGTGGATAATCTGAAAAAGAAATAAAAAAAATCCCATTTATAATTGCCACACATAAAATAGCTAGGAAATAAATAAGAAACAAAATATTTCTACAATAAAAACTATAAAACATCAATGATAGAAATTGAAGAGGACACCAAGGAATGGAAAGATGTTCCATGTTCATGGATTGAAAGAATCGGTACTGTCAAAACATTCATACTACAAGGAAATCTATAGATCCAATGCAATCCCTATCAAAATACCAATGATATTCTTTACACAAATAGAAAAAACAATCCTAAAATTTATATGAAACCACAGAAGACCCAGAATAGCCAAAGCTGTTCTTAGCAAAAAGAACAAAACTAAAGCAATCACATTAACTGACTTCAAATTATACTACAGAGCTATAGTAACCCAAACAACATGGTACTGGCATTAAAACGGACACACGGACCAATGGACCAGAATAGAGAACCCAGAAACAAATCTACACATTTATAGTGAACTCATCATTGACAAAGGTGCCAAGCAAATACATTGAGGAAAAGATGGTCTTTTCAATAAATGGTGCTAGGATATTCACAGTTGCAAAGATGTGATACCAACCTATGTGCCCATAAATCAATGAGTGAATAAAGAAAATGTGGTATATACACACCATGGAATACCACTCAGCCATAAAAAGAAATGAAATAATGTCTTTTGTAGCAACTTGGATGGAACTAGAGGCCATTATTCTAAGTGAAGTAACTCAGTAATCGAAAATCAAATATTATATATTCTCACTTATAAGTGGGATCTAAGCTATGATGATGCAAAGGCACAATAATGACATAATGGACTTTGGGGACTTGGGGAATATTGGGAGGAAGATGAGGGATAAAAGACTACATATTGGGTACAGTGTACACTTCTCTTGTGATGGATATACTAAAATCTCAGAAATCATCACTAAAAACTTATCCATGCAATCAAAAACCACCTGTACATGAAAAACTATTAACATAAAAATAAAAATAAAATAAATTATGCTGGGAAAACTGGATATCCATTTGCAGAAGAAAGAAACAAGACCCCTCTCTCTCAACATATGCAAACATAAAATTTTAAAATGGATTAAAGACTTAAATCTCATACCTCCAACTATGAAACTACCACAAGAAAATGCTGTGGAAACTCTTCAGGATATTAGTCTGAGCAAAAATGTCTTGAGTAAAACCCCACAAGCACAGGCAACCAAAACAAAAATGAACAAATGGGAATACGTCAAGTTAAAAATCCTCTGCACAGAAAACAGGAACTAATGTAGAGAGACAACCCACAGAATGAGTGAAAATATTTGTAAACTACCAATCTGACAAAGGATTAATAACCAGAATATATAAGGAGCTCAAACAACTCTATAAAAAATAACAATCTGATTTAAAAATGGGCAAAAGATTTGAATACACATTTCTCAAAAGAATACTTACAAATGGTAAACAGGTATATGAAAAGGTGCTCAACATCATTAAAAATCAGAGAAATGCAAATCATTAGTTACAATGATATATCATCACCCCAGTTAAAATGGCTTATATCCAAAGATAAGCAATAATAAATGCTGGCGAGGATGTGGAGGAAAGTGAATACTTGTACACTGTTGGTATGAATGTAAATTAGTACAACCAGTATAGAGAGCAGTTTGGAGGTTCCTCAAAAAACTAAAAATAGAACTAGCATATGATCCAGCAATCCCACTGCTGGGTATACACAGCAAAGAAAGGAAATCAGTATATTAAAGAGATATCTGCATTCCCATGTTTGTTACAGCACTGTTTACAATAGCTAAGGTTTGGAAGTAACCTAAGTGTTTACTAACAGATGAATGGATAAGGAAAATGTGATCCATATACACAATGGGGTTTTATTTAAGCACAAAAAAGAATGGGATCCTGTTATATGCAATAACATGGATGGAACTGGAGGGCATTATGCTAAGGGAAATAAGCCAGGTACAGAAAGACAAATACTGCATGTTCTCACTTATTTGTGGGATCTAAAAATCAAAAGGATGGAACTCATGGAGATGGAGAGTAGAAGGATGGTTACCAGAAGATGGGAAGGGCAGTGGGGATGGGGAGGAAGGGAGAGGCATAGATGGTTAATGGATATAAAAAATATTTAAAAAGAATGAATAAGACCTAGTATTTGATAGCACCACAGGGTGACTGTGGTCAATAATGATTTAATTTTACATTTTAAAATAACTGAAAGGGTATAATTGGATTATCTATAATGTATATATATACAAAGGATAAATGCTTGAAGGAATGGATATCCCATTTTTCATGATGTGATTATTACACATTGCATGCCTTTATCAAAATATCTCAGGTATCTCATAAATATACAAACCTACTATATACCCACAAAAATTAAAAATTAAAACAAAGAGGGAATAGGAGGGAATTAGGAGAGGCAGCAATAAGAAGAGGTTTTAAAAATTCGAATGTTACTAATAAAGGGAATATTTAACCATGGATATCAGTTCTGTTTACTTTTGTGACCTTTGAAATGTGATTTTATTAGCCAATTTTCAAGAGTCTGGAGGGAAGAGGGTTGGGAGTGTTTTGAGACACAGAGAGGGCAGAACAGCTAGAGAGAGGGTAAGGACAGGATCAAAAGTACAGTTTTTTCTTCACCCCTACCATTCTCATTACCATTTAGGGCACACAGGGTTGCAAATCTAGTCACATTGTAGCAAATGGAGGCTTGAGCATGCATTAGAATGACAGGTCTGAGTACAGTTTTCCATGCCTGTAAAAACAACAAAAAAGACAACAACAACAAAAAATAGGTATTGGTACAGATGTGGTGAAAAGGGAATGGTAATACACTGCTGATGGAAATGTAAGTTAGCCTAACCTTTATGAAAAACAGTGTAGTGATTTCTCAAAGAACTTAAAGCAGATACACCATTTGATCTAGCAATCCCAATACTGGCTACCTACCCAAAAGAAAAGAAACCATATAAAAAGATATATGCAGGTGTATATCTACTCCAGCACAATTTATAATTGTAAATATATGGAAATAACCTACATGTCCATCAACCAGAAAGTGGATAAAGAAAATGTGGTATATTTTTGTGTATACACACACAAACACAATGGAATATTACTCAGCTATAAAATAGGAAAAATAATGTTTCTGTTTTTTTTATAGCAACTTTGATGGAACCAAAAGCCATTATTCTAAGTAAATCAGGACTGAAACCACAAATTAGCATGTTCTTATTTTTAAGTGGAAGCTAAGTTATGCGTACGTGATATGGTTTGGCTCCGTGTTTCCACTCAGGTCTCATGTCAAATTGTAATTCCAGTGTTGGAGGAGGGGCCTGGTGGGAGATGATTGATGCAAGGTGGAAGACTTCCTCTTGCTGTTCTCATGTCAGAGTTCTCATGATATCTGGTTCTTTGAAAGTGAGTAGCACTTCCTCCTTCATTCTTTCTTTCTCTTTTGCTGGCCATGTGAAGATGTGCCTGCTTCCCCTTTGCCTTCCACCATGGTTGTGAGTTTCCTAAAGCATCTCCAGCCATGCTTCCCATATAGCCTGGAGAACTGTGAGTTAATTAAGCCTATTTTCTTCATAAATTACCCAGTCTCAGGTATGTCTTCATGGCAGTGAGAGAACACACTAACACAGAAAATTGGTACCAGAGAATTAGGCATTGCTATAAAGATAGCTGAAAAAGTGGAAGCAACTTTAGAACTGGGTAATGGGCAGAAGTTAGAAGAGTTTGGATGGCTCAGAAGACAGGAAGATGTGGGAAAGCTTGGAACTTCATAGAGAATTATTAAACAGTTTTGCCCAAAATGCAGATAGTGATATGGAAAATGAAGTCCAGGCTGAGGTGGTCTCAGATGGAGATGAGTAACTTATTGGGAACTAGAGTAAAGGTCACTCTTTCTATGCTTTAGTAAAAAGACTGGCAGCTTTGTTCCCCTGGTCTAGGGATCTGTAGAACTTTGAACTTAACAGAGATGATTTAGGGTATCTGGCGGAAGAAATTTCTAAACATCAAAGTGTTCAAGAATGGCCTGGCTGCTTCTAACAGCATAAACTTATATTCATGAGCAAGGAAATTATCTGAAACTGGAACTTATATTTAAATAAGAAACAGAGCATCAGAGTTTGAAAATTTTGCAGCTTAGCCATGAGGTAGAAAAAAAAATTGTAGCTTGGCCGTGTCGTAGAAAAGAAAATTACAAATTTTCTGGGGTGGAATTCAAGCTAGCTGCAGAAATGTGCAAAAGATGAACTGAATGTTAATAGCCAAGACAATGGGGAAAATGCCCCTAAGGCATTTCAGAGACCTTTAAAGCAGCCTCTCCCATCACAGGTGTGGAGGTTGAGGAGGGGAAAATGGCTTCCTGAGCCAGGCTCAGGGCCCTGCTGCTCTGTGCTGCCTCAGGACATGGTGCCCTGCATTGTAGCTACTCCAGCTCTAGCCATGGCTAAGAGGCCAAGGTACAGATCAGGCTGTTGCTTCAGAGGGTATAAGCTCAAAGCCTTGGTGGCTTCCATGTGTGGTGTTAATCTTGTGGATATGCATAGGGCAAGAGTAGAGGCTTGGGAGCCTCTGCCTAGGTTTCAGAGGATGTATGGAAATGCCTGAATGTCCAGACAGTAGTCTGTTGCAGGGGCAGAGACCTCATGGAGAACCTCTACTAGGGCAATGTGGAGGGGAAATGTAGGGTTGGAGCCCCCACACAAATTTTCCACTGGGACACTGCCTAGTGGAGCTGTGAGAAGAGGGCCACTCTTCTCCAGATCCCAGAATGGTAGCTCCACCAACAGCTCGCACCATGTGCCTGGAAAAGCCACAGGCACTCAATACCAGCCTGTGACAGAAGCCACAGGGGCTGTACTCTACAGATCCACAGGGGCAGAGATGTCCAAGTGCTTTAGAGCCCACCTCTTGCATCAGTTTGGCCTGGATATGAGACATGGAGATAAAGGCGGTTTTTCTGGAGCTTCAAGATGTAATGACTGCCCTGCTAGGTTTCAGACTTGCGTGGGGCCAGTAGCCCCTTTGTTTTGGCTGTTTTCTTCCTCTTGTAGTGGGTCTGTTTACCCAATGCCTGTAACTATTGTGTCTTGGAGGTAACTAACTTATTTTTTATTTTACATGATCATAGGCAGAAGGGACTTGCCTTATCTCAGATGACACTTTGGACTTGGACTTTTAAGTTCATGCTGGAATGAGTTAAGACTTTGGGAGACTATTGGGAAGGCATGATTGTGTTTTGAAATATCAGAAGGACATGGGATTTTGGAGAGGCCAGGTCCAGAATGATACGGTTTGGTTCTGTATCTACACCCAAATCTCATGTTAAATTGTAATTCTCAGTGTTGGAGGAGTGCATGGTGGGAGATGATTAAATCATAGTGGCAGACTTCGTCCTTGCTGTTCTTGTGATAGAGTTCTCATGAAATCTGGCTATTAGAAATTGTGTAGTACTTCATCCTTCACTCTCCTGCCATCCATGTTAAAGATATGCCTGCTTCCCCTTCACCTTCTGCTATAATTGTCAGTTTCCTAAGGCCTCCCCAGCCATGCTTCCTGCACAGCCTGTGAATCAATTAAACCTCTTTTCTTCACAAAACACCCAGTCCCAGGTATGTCTTTATAGCAGCATGAGAAAAGCCTAATACAAAGCCATACAGAGTGGTCTAATGAACGTGAAGACTCAGAAAGGAGGAGGGTTTGAGGTGAGTGAACTACTACCTCTCGAGTACAATGTACCCTAATGGGGAATGAGTACATTAAAAGCCCAGATTTCACCACTGTACAATTCATCCATGTAACCAAGATCCACTTGTATCACTAAAGCTATTGGAATTAAAAATAAATATATAAACAAAAAAGGAAACAGAAAATAAAAATAAATAAATCAGATTCTGAAAAGTATAAATAAAGAAAGAAAGATACATTATTTTTCTGGGGCCTCTCAGCAGAAGAAAAGTGAGAAAAATATGACCCTATTAAAATTGGCTGCTACTGCCTAAATTCAGCCCCATCTTGGCAGAAGGCAGATTAATTAATTTTTTGTGGAAAATAAGGAATTTTACTAATCTTCAATTATCAATGGAGAATTAACCAAAGTTGACTCCATTTTCAGACCTCAAATAGAGCCCAACATGAAAAAATATCATTTTCTATGATTGTACCTGTCATTGTACAAAGTAAAGTGAAAAACCGAAATGAGTCATGGAATATAAACTCAATATCTTTTTTTTGGCCTCAGTTTGTCTATTTTAAATCAAAAGATTAAAGTGTAAAAACCTCATGGATATTAGTAATGCTTCCCTTCTAATTAGGTGGAATTTTATATTGAGTAGGGAGAAGAATTAGGATGTAACGGGGACTGCCCTAATTCTGTGCAGTCAAGAAGATACTAATACAAGCCCCTAAAAAGAGTAAACAGATCATCTGGGTGCGGTGGCTCACACCTGTAATCCCAGCACTTTGGGAGGCCGAGGCGGGCTGATTACGAGGTCAGGTGATCGAGACCAGTCTGGCTAACATGGTGAAATCCCGTCTGTACTAAAAATACAGCTACTTGGGAGGCTGAGGCAGGAGAATTTCTTGAACTTGGGAGGCAGAGGTTGCAGTGAGCCGAGATCGCGCTACTGCACTCCAGCCTGGCAACAGAGCGAGACTTCATCACAAAAAAAAAAGTAGAAAGATCAATGAATAGGATGTTCTGTCTATATACTTCTAAGCAAGTGATAATGATTGATGATTTAACTGCAGGTCAAGTAGTAATGTTTTAGCCTATAGCTATAGCCATAGACAAATTGTGTGCATCTTGTAGAGATCAGAAAAATGAACTAGAAACACTTTTAAGGATTCTATGAATCAGATCAATCTTTTCCCAATTATGAAAGAAGGATCTCATAAAGGTGGGAATATATCAAAATAAGTGGAGTATGGTTGCATGAGGAAACAGAAAAAGGAGTTTCATAAATATGCTTAATTTTAAAAATGCATTTAATATCCTCTTAAAACCACTGTGCTATATATTACTATTTAAAAAAATACTTGAGACTATCTTTATTACATTTGCAGCTTTCTGTAAAGACTACCTCCATGTGACATAAAATGAAATTTTTTAAAAGACAGAGCTTCATATTTACATAAATCCAACAAATAACAGTTCATGAAATTATAGTGATGGTGGAATTTTATTATTTCCTTTTAATAACTTTAGATGAGCTGTAAGAAGTTCTAAAAAGAGCATTGAGGAGACATTTAGATATTAAATAACTTGTTCTGAATCTGGTCTACACTTTAGCACATAGACCAACCCTGACAGTTCAGAAGGTAAAGCATTTAATTTTCCTGGCCTTCTGTTTGCTTATTTTTCTTTGTTTGGTCTGTGAATATTTTAGTGAGGATTTACCTTAAAAGCAATCATGGTCCTTGTTGTTGCTTTGCAGTGTTTGAGAAAATGACTAGAGGAGTTTTAATGCTGTCTTGTTCATCACTGTGAATCAGATAAAAGATTAAAAACGATACCTGGAGCGTAGTTCTCAACTTGGGTTTCTGTCTGCTGAATTTTAATTCCATGGTAAGATTCTTGTTCAGACAGAAGGCAAATAAATAAGTAAGTTCATAAATTCTACTGATTTCAGCAGGCTCTGTCACTGGGGATGCTTTATTTTTAAGCCAAAATATCATCAGTGTTTTACATGATTGTGTTAGAGGCTCCAGCCCCTATTATTCCTCTTCCAAGATCAGCAACACCTGTTTACTGAACAAAGGCTTTGAACATGAACAAGAGAAGCAAAGCGGAAAGTCATTGCGCAGCCTCTATAGATAATAGCTAAGAGTATGACATGGCAAGATTTGCTGTCTCAGGCCTTGCAGACATTTTGCTTGGTACCACTGATTTCCACCTCCTCCTCTTCTATTTTGTTTTCTACTTTGTGGAACAAAACAATGAACGTTAAGATTAAAACATAGGTCACAGAATGTGAAAACTTATGCAGTCTTTGGTCAGCAAGTGCCAACATTTTTGCCTCTAAAGTGTGGAGAAATTTGTGAAGTGACTTCAGTTACTCCTCACCTGGATGTGGAGGAAAAGAGTGTGGCACTAACGTGTGTCTAGAAAATCACAGGTGCAAGCAATTATTGGGGTGGGGGGCATTAAGGAGAAATAATTATTCACATTTTCATTCTAATTTAATAATATCCCCAGGTTTCTGGATCCTTGCTAGGCCAATTGCCTGAGTGGGAAAAACTGAGGCACGTGAGTTTTAAGAGTAAAGGCACTCTTGTTTCAAGCTTGTTGTGTTGCTCAATGCAAACGGAATACACAGTAAAGAATATAGCTTCCTTAGAAGCATATTTCATAAATTTTACTACAAAAGCTTAATTTTTAAATGGTAACTATTCACATTTACAGCCTTTAGTTCGTGCTATCAAATTTTGTTCATATATTCAAGATTTATTTATTCAGTTTACAAAGATTTACTGGATGTCTCAGTGTCACAAATTCAACTGTGAATAAAAGAAACATGACTCCTCTCATGGAGCTTATAGTCTGGAAAGGAATGAATCTATACACTAATGTTATGTGTTAGATAACAGCCATGAAGATGTCATTGGATTAGGCAATTTCAGTCATAATTTTGGTTTTGGGAAAAAGTATCAGGAAAATATGTCCTAAAGAAATGGCTTTTCAAAATGAAGATAGGGCCAGGTATGCTGGTTCCTATCTGTAATCTCAGTGCTTTTTCGGGAAGCAGAGGCAAGAGGATAGCTGGAGACCAGGAGGTTGAGACTAGCCTGGATAACATAACAAGATCTCATCTCTATAAAAACAAACAAAAAACACAGTGAAAATTAAAGCCGAGGCCAGGCACAGTGGCTCATGCCTGTAATCCCAGCACTTTGGGAGGCCGAGGCGGGTGGATCATGAGGTCAGGAGATCGAGACCATCCTGGCTAACGTGGTTAAACCCCGTCTCTACTAAAAATATGACAAATTAGCTGGGCATGGTGGTGCACACCTGTAGTCCCAGCTACTCAGGAGGCTAAGGCAGGAGAATGGCCTGAATCCTGGAGGCGGAGTTTGCAGTGAGCCGAGATGGTGCCGCTACACTCCAGCCTGGGCCACAGAGCGAGACTCCGTCTAAAAAAAAAAAAGAAAATTAAATCCAAGTGAAGTGGTATGCACTTGGAGTCCAGTTACTTGAGAGACTGAGGCAGGAGGATCAGTTGAGTCAAGAGTTCAAGGTAAGCCTGGGCAGCATAGCAAGAACCCATCTTTTAAAAAAAAAATGGGTTGGCCAGGATATTAATATTATTGATATTGACATTATTGATAAAGGATATTAAGGCATAGGCAATAGCATGTACAAATGACCCCAGATAAATAGAAACTTGTCACATAGGAGAAGATGAAGGAAGGTAAATTAGAAATAAGAATAAAGGACAGGGAGGTTGGATCAACAGGAAGCTAGAGATGAGGAGCTGGGCTCCTCACCTCTGGAAGGACAAGGGAACAAAGATGATAAGAAGCTGGGTTTGATTCTGAGATAATGGCTAGCTGCTCAGAGGTTTAAGCATATAAGTTTTAAAAATAATTTGATGCATTATCAAAACTGAGTACATACTGGGTACCAGTCATTATGCTTGTGATTGGAATACAAGGCACATGTGAAATGCTTTCTGTCCTTCAAGGAGCTCACTACCTTAAAAGGGAAACACATGAGAAAATCTCATATTTACAGTAAAAGGATTAAAGCACCTAGGTTTGAACAGAGCATGGACCAAGTGTTATGAAAGTTAAGAGAAGCAGCCCAGAAAAGGGTCTTTAACTCAGTCTTTGAGTGGATTTCAAGGGTATGTCTAAGGGGAGGTAGTATTGAAGTCAAGTCTGGAAGAACTTGCAGAAGCTGACCAAATGGTCCAATGTTCAGGAAAAACTTCCACATAATCCAAAAAGCATGCCCAGAGACATATTTGTCACATTGAGAGGATTTCCTGCAGATTAGAATAGCTAGAGAAAAGGTTATGAGTAAGAGAGAGGCAGGAAATGTGGCTGGAAAGATTTATGTAGCGTACCTTTGTCCTGTTAAGGAATGAGGAATATTAAAGGGTTTGTGTGTTATATCACCTTCCACTTTTTAGTGAATATTCACCAAAGGAAATTCTAAACTTTGCCTTTGCAGAGAAAAAGAGCTATTGAATTGGCTAGTTCTCAGTAATACAAGTTACTGTCTTAACCATCTCTGTCACTTTTCAAAAGTCCACAAGAATTTATACCTATTCAATAAAATGTTAATTTATGCTTCAGGAAAAAGAATAGAGGAATATATATCTTAAGGTGCTCTTTTTCATTTTGGATTTGAGTTTGCATCAACCTAAAAAATGGAATAAATTTTCAAAAAAGACATCAAATACTCAACAGAGAGGAAGAAAAAGGTCCCTATTTATCATGTTCCTGCAATAGTGGCTGAGTGATATATTGTGATTACAACTTTTTTTTTAATTGGCAGGTTTCTGGGGTGCTATGGGAATTGGTGACAAGACGATGGATCAGTTTCTCCATATTGGCTCGTTGATCCAACAAACCTAAAGCAGATATTGACATTTGTCATTCAGCATTGGAGCCTTACAGACTCCTCTGCTGATTAGTCAAACACTTCAACTCCCTTTAATTAATGTTTTAAGAGCAGAGCTTCACAGAGATGCTCAAGGGAGCAAAGTTTTACAATATAATGGAAAAGAGGAGTTATATAGTACTGGTTGAATAAGAAGTGAGCATAGGGGAAATGGAAGAAATCAATAACAATGTTTGAACAGCTTAACCCTGATGGCCCATGTATGTTAATAGATTATTTATGCATCACTTTGCCAGCGAGAAGAAATTAGTATGATTAACATTTTTTGTTTATTGACTGCTCATCACAAATTGGGAAAATGTTTACATGTATTTTTCTTTATTACCTTGAAAAATCCTTGACAAGAAAGGGCAAGACAAGAATTCATCCTCTCATATAAACTCAAAGAATTTTATCTTAAAAAATATATAAATAAGCAGAAATATATTTCTCACTGTTTTGTGAAGAAAAGGGAAACTATTTTATTTCTAGAGAAAAGCTTTTTAGAATAGGTGGTTAGAAAGAAGCTTTGAAGTTTGACATGAGTCTAATCTTGTTCTTTAGCTAATAGCCAAGGATTTTCAAAGAGTTCTTATGATGTTGGCAGAAATTGTTCACCCCTTCTGTGTTTCCCCCAACCCTGATCATTTCCAAGTTTTCCTCACTATACAACTTCAATTATGCCATGTTTTGGAAGAGAGCTGCAAGCTAATCCTATAATATAGAAAGTGAAACAGAGATGCTTCAGGAAGCATCCAAAAATTGTTTAGATTTCTACTTTAGGTACTCTAAAAATGTACAGATATAGGTTATGTATTAAAATGAATGTTAGGGTCTAAATCTTATGAATAATGAATTCATAAATATCCGTGCTATATTTAGCAACTATATGAGCAGGGACAAAATGCAAGGTGCCAGACCTGGGACGGATTCCGAATTGTCCTTAGTTTTGGCTAGCTGATGAAAATGTAGACTTTGGAGAAAGATATTTCAATTTGAATTTCAGATCCCTTAATTTCCAGTAAGCAACCTTGGGCACAGCTTAGAAAATTAAGGCATCCTAGGATGTTGTAAGGTCTAATTTAAAACAAACAAACAAACAAACAAACAAAAAACTCTCTGTCTTTGACTCTTTCTCTCTCTCCCTATCTGAACAAATAGTAATAGCCCTTCCCTTCCCCTTCCTGTCCCCTAGTCCTTCTACCTGCCTATTGATTGTTTAAATGAAACTGACAGAAGAGAGGAGGATTATAATACTTCCTATTGTTGCTAATTAAGCCTCTTAACTTTTGAGGAATATAACTATTTATTCTTATTGAAACAACCACTGGATTCAATAAAAGATTATGGATTTGGAAGTCACATTGTTGAACAATCAGTGTTTAGGAATCACATGACTGAATAAAGGCACCATTACCTATAAGGAAAATACACAGGAAAAGTTCTTGTGATATAAAATCTCATTTGCTTCCTAGGAAAAAAAAAACGAAATGTCTTTTCTACTTCTAGTATGCTCTTCTGAAATCTAGTTTTGCTCATCAGTAGGAATTCAAATGTTTGACATCTATGGTTCCTGAGCTTAGAGAGGAGAGAGCAAAAACAAAAATTGTGCTGCTAAGCCAATTTGGAAAGAAAAGTCAACATGAGCAAAGGTTTACACATTGACCTCATAATTTTAAACATCCTGAAAATATCTCTAAAACCACTTATATTTAATTTATGTAAATTAAATTTTCATTTCATCAAATAAATATACACATATACTTTCTTTTCTTTTCTTTACTTTTTTTTGCGGGGGGGAGGTTACAGGGTCTCAGTGACATAACCTTGGCCCACCGTGACCTCCGCCTGTCACGCTCAAGCAATCCTCCCACATCAACTTCTCGAGAAGCCGGGACTACAGGTGTGTGCCACCATGCCTGGCTCAATTTTTGTATTTTTTTGTAGAGATGGGGTTTTGCCGTGTTGCCCAGATTGGTCCTAAACTCCTGAGCTCAAGCGATCCACCCACCTCGGCCTCCCAAAGTGCTGGGATTATAGGCGTGAGCCATCGTGTCCGCCCTACCTATATTTTTAAGTCAGATAATACTACAAAGTTTATAGTAAAAATAATTAAAGCTAATACCATTTTCAAAGACATCTACTTTCAACTTTAAAAAAATTTTCCCCCATATTGCTAAATAACATCATGATAGTGCTATTTCTTTACATTTATTTTTTAATTTCTATAGTAAATTTAGGGAGTACCAGTGTAGGTCTGTTACATGAAATTTCACATAATAGTGAAGTCTGGGCGTTTAGTGTGCCCATCACCCAAACAGTGTATATTGTACCAAATAGATAATCATTTTATTCCTCACCCTTCCACATTTTAGAATCTAAAATATCTATTATTCTTCCCTGTACGCCCATGTGTACTCATTGTTTAACTCCCACTTATAAATGAAAACATATGGTATTTGGCTTTCTGTTTCTTGGTTATTTCACTTAAGATAATAGCCTCCAGTTGTGTCTGTGTTGCTCAATAGTGCTATTTCTAGATTTTCAATTTTAGCCATTGTTTTTTGGTTTTCTACTATAGAGGATCAGAATTTAGATTTTTCACTGCACCTATACACATTTACATGCATCCCCTTTGCCAATTCTACCAAAATAAGTGTATCACAATTTATAGCTCAATCAATATTCAGTGTTTGCCTCATTATAACTATGGAAATTTTATACACAGATGACACTATATTATGATTATATATATAATTTTGTACCACATTTTGTCTTCCTTGAAGTTAACTATTGTCTACACACACATATATACAAAAACACACTTAGTTTTCTATATCGTTGCCACTGATCTGGCAACTCTATCTCTTACCTGACTTTCAAGAGCCATCTAAAATAGAGTAACTAGCTTTTTCTTCATACAGGACATTTCAGGTGTCAATTAATAAAAACCAAAAGACTCATGCTAGCTTAAACACTCTCTGGAAATATATTCTTATATTTAATATTATATTTCACAGTGATGGCATCAAATACAGTCTTGAGGTCATGTGAGAGCTGTCTTAGCCCATTTCCTTGTGCTATAAGAGAATTCTTGAGCCTGGGTAATTTATAAATAAAAGAGGTTTATTTTGAATCACAATTCTGAAGGCTGGGAAGTCCAAGATTGTACAACGGTATCTGACTGGCTTCTGGTGAGAGCCTCATGATGTGCCATAACATGATGGAGAAGCAGAAGGGAAAGCAGGCAGGTGTGAAAGAAAGAGAACATGAGGGGTGACCCCACTTTATAACAAGCTGCTGTCACAGTAACTAATCCAGTCCAGCAAGTGTGAAAACCTACTCACTCTTGAGAGACTGCATTAATCCTTTTTTGAAGGTGGATTCCTCATGACCCAAATGCTTCTTGAAAGTAACACCACCTTTCAACACCATTACACTGGGGACCAAGCTTCCATATAAGTTTTGGTGGGGACCATCGACATTCAAGCCATAACAAGAGCTTCCCCTATCTTGACCAATTCCTTCCCTCTTCCTTGATATAGAAAACTTATAGTGTCCTTCCTTTTAGTATTAATGTAGAAATCTATGGAATATAATTAACAACACTGTCCTTCATTGATCCACCTCCTCAAAACAGATGGTTATTCTTAAGTTCTGACTATAAAGAAATTCCAAAACTCCCACTGATACTTCATGGTTTGAATGTAGCCTATTTCTTTTTGCTATCTTCCTAGCTCTTGAGACTTGAGTATGAGACAGTAATTTTCTGTGGCAATGTAAAGACAGAAAAAAAAGAGAAAGATCCATTTGCTTTTTGTTAGTCTTTTGATTAAAAAGATTGTTATTTATTTACAAAGCCACACAGAATAACATTTAAAATTAAATGAAAATCCTGCAAGTGTAAGTGCAAAGTAATAATGTAGGATCTCCAATGCATGTTTCCCAGGTTTGGTTAATGTTGCTTTTATAATTGTAATTACAGAGACTTAACTTACCAAATAACAATAACTTTGTGTTTTATGTCCTATGCACCAAGGAATTGTCAAAAGGTTTTGGTGAAATACAGCTTAGTTTCATTAATAAACCAAATTTCTCATTGAATTTAACAGTTGTGTTCCTGTAATACTGCATATATAAATTTTATAAAAATACTTTTAAGCTTATGTCCCAGTCTTATTCAGTAAAATTACTTGTGTTGTTATTATTGTTGTTGAGAATTACAGAAGGCTGGGAGATGGCATGCAGGCTTTGAAACAACTAGCCAATTCTCTCTTTACTACAGTTGTAAACATACCAGAAAATGAAGTCCCACTACAAGGTTAATGAACTGATTAGTCTTATGAAGGAATAAGACATATTTACTGAACATGTATTACCAACAGGATACTCTAATTATGTTACTTTATTTAATCCTCTTGGCAATGTTATGAAATGAATATTTCCACCCCTGTTTTCTAGAAGTGAAATGAGTACTTAGAAGTTAAGCAACTTGCCCCATATCACGGCTGACAAGCCCTAGAGCCCAGGATTCAAATTCAGAACTGTAAGAGCCCAGAATTTTAAAATGAGATTATGATATGCTTTTCATCATTTTTTTCCATTCACATCTCACACCGTCATCTCATATCTGTACTGATTTTCTAAGGACACATGAGCCTATAATACAAACTAGGCTGAAACTGAAGATGCTAGGAAGATTGTATAGATGTCAGATCATGGCTGTTCTCTTCATTTCACAATATAAGTAAGCATATAGGGCAAGAGTTTGTCCTATACATGATAGTAAATATTTTAGACTTTATGGTACCTATGGTCTCTGTGCAATTACTTAACTCTGTCATTGTACTATGAGTGCAGGCATAGACCATACATGTGTGCATGTGTGTGCGTTTGTGTGTGTGTCATGTGCATGCACAACTACATTCCAATATGTTTCAACAGAATGTTATTTACAAAAAGAGAAAGCAGCCTGGATTTGGCTTATCCATTCCAATCTGTGGACCTCTCACATAGGGGATTTACAGTGACTTTGGGGCATGCCTACTTTCTTTTTCTGCTGTAATTTCAAGTTTGGTTCAAGAAACAGTTAAGTCCAATCAACAATTATCTAACACCTATTATGTGCTTTGCTGAACTAAAAATATGTATGAAAAAATACAATACCTGCTCCCAAGAAGCTCACATTTATTTCTTTTTCATATTCCTTCCAGAGTATACTTTCTCCGCATTCTTTTCCTTTGCAATTTTGATGCAAGACTGTATTTAGCTGCATTGTTGTCTTTTATTAATAGTTATATACTAATAGCTTTTATTTTTACATATAGTATCTTTTGTACACACTCTTTAAATATTACATATCATTAAATAAAAATATGTATTAAAGAAAATAGTATGTTTTAATGAAGACAAAGTAACTGCAGAGATTACTTCCCTTTGCTCTAGTTTTAATTGTGCCTTGTGAATTGTGATAAAATGAACTGAACTGAATTATTTCTATACATGAATTCATCTACAATTCAACCTGGTGGTTTGGTATTATCAAAGTCTTCTTTAAAAGTCTTAGTTAATACATATGTATGATCTCTCCAAGGACAATTCTATTTGATTAATCCTGCAGCCAGCTCCTATTGCATATGTAACTTCAATAAGCTTCAGAGAATAATGAGGTGGTGTGGTCCACTGGGCAGAGCAATTACTGAGCTTCATGAACTTGCTAATTCTTTCAGAAGTTCCAGGAAAATTCTCCCCGGGTCTATGGGCATGGATGACAGTGTTGTGCCATCCTCTAAGTATTCAGTAAATTGGAACTCCATGGTGATTCCCTAGTATGTAGCCAGGGCCTAGCTCAAAGCCTTTGCAGAATTCTGGAGGTGGTCTACCTGCAAAGTCCTTTAAAGATTTTTGCTTTTAATATGTCCATCAAACTATTTCTAAAAGCAAAGACAAACAATAAAGGTATCCATTTCCATTTAGTATTTCTGCTCCTTTGCTTCTTGTTAGCCTTTGATTAAAACAGATGAATCAAAAACCACAAAGCTTTTTTATTTTTCCTGGAGTTTTATTTTTTATAGGATTCACAACAATAAACACCACCCAAATTCCCTCCATAGTCTTATAAATGATAAGGCTTCAGTCATGTAATAAGGAGTTTGCACCACAAACCAATATAAAGTTGAATAATCTGTTATCACTTTTGTTCATCCGCATAAGTGAGATTTTCTTTACTGTGTGGGAATTGATAAAATGGTCCTTCACTTGGCTAATTAAAAATGTGATTTTTGAACTGTTTAAGAAAGATGGACATTTTTTAAAAGTGGTTGAAGAGAGACAAATGAGAGATAGCTGAATATGTTTTAAAGACATGCATATCTGGTTCAGAGTAAGTGTTACATTAGCATAACCTGCTACCAATAGATATTGATTTTTAATTACATCATTAGTAAACGTCCTAAAAAGCATATTCTTTAATAACATTTGCTAATGAAGTTATTAGTATTGCTAAGATCTGGGCTACAACTGTTTTGCTATAGCAATAATGTAAATACATTTTGTGCCCTGTAGAATTTTAAATTTTAGGAAGGGAGACAGACATATAAATATGATATGAAAGACCTGCAAAAATGTTCAGTATAGGAGTTGCATGGGGTTTTCAAGTAAGGACATGGGAAGGGTGTTTAATCTAGCTGTGGGTAGGAGTTAAAAGAAGCTTGCAGGAAGTGGTCACATCTAAATTGAGAACAGAAGTATGGCTAGAAAGTAACGTGATGAGGTAAGGGAAGAAATATCCTCTAGGCAAAGGGAACTGCATATGCTGGGGGAATTTTGCTCATTCTAGCAAAGCAAATATTTCATCTTGACCAGATGAAGAGTGGGAGGAGGGGGCTGATACTAGCTTTATCCAGAGGGGAACACAGAAAAACATCAAGGTTCTTGATGCTGAACTAAGAAGTGTGGTATGTATCTCGAGAGCAGTGGAAGTTTCAACCAAGGGGATTCTCTACTGTAAGGTATACCCATTTTTACAGGTGAGAAAGCCAAAGTTCAGAGATGATATATAATATTAGAAAGTTAACAGAGGATTCTATTCTATCACTGTGTCATGATTCTACCTGAAAGCCTGTTTTCTGCATCTATGGTAATTTAGAAAGGGCAGAATATAGGCAAGCTAGAGTTGTACTGTTTATTTGATAAGAACACAGTCCAGAAGAATAAATGAACTTAAAATAATTATGGGAGATGGTTTCTCCTATGCAAATCTTTTTCCAAATTATTGTTTCTTTTCTAGACCAGAAATGGTCCATGCAAAATGAAAGGCTCAAACAACCTTGCATACAATTCACTTCCTTTAGCCTGTTACCAGTTTATCTGCTGTGGAAGCAGCATAAAAAATGTTTGCACACTATCTTTTCCAGATTGTTAGGATATATTTTGGGGATTTTTGTTTGTCTTTTACTCTGGGGGAAGATAAAAAATGTAGCCATGTCTAAGATTTCATGCAAGTTTCTAGTGAATGCAAAAAGAACCTGATCAACCAAACTCTACACTCTACAATGGCTTTTCCTGGCTTTATTTACAGGGAAGAGAAAAAATCATTAATGGAAGAAGATGATCGAATGCTTACAATGTTTCTGGTTACATATAGGTGTTTTATGTATTGTAGTTATCTCATTTAAACCTACCATTAATGTTGCCCTTTAAGAGATATTCAGAAAAAAAGAAACGATAAAGCAAACACTTATAGGAGTACATCTTTATGTGGCCTAGTAGTGTCCCAGCCTTCTGATAGGTAAATTAAAAAAGCAAAAGTGATGGAGATTTGCTGGTATATAGATAACTAGCCATGAGGAGCAGTGAAACTGTTTTTTAAGCCCACGTCGTAGCAACTGGATGACTCCAAATGATCTTGTTTCTTTGGCATCTACACCAAAGACAATTCAAGAGAGAATGGCTCTGGTACTTAGGCAGGCACCCAGCCCTGAGTTGTCATCCGTAAATAAGGGATATTACCACTTTATCATATGGAAGATCAAATGAACAATGTTAAAACATAGGACTGTCTGGTTTATATTCCTGAGGATCCCAAGGGAATATATTTTAAAAATACAAAAATCCATATGAAATTTAAAGTAGTTTTTTATAATTCTGTGAAGACAGTCAATGATAGTTTGATGGGATAGCATTGAATCTATAAATTACTTTGGGCAGTATGGCCATTTTCACGATATTGATTCTTCCTATCCATGAGCATAGAATGTTCTTCCATTTGTTTGTGTCCTCTCTTATTTCCTTGAGCAGTGGTTTGTAGTTCTCCTTGAAGAGGTCCTTCACATCCCTTGTAAGTTGTATTCTTAGGTATTTTATTCTCTTTGTAGCAATTGTGAATGGGTGTTCACTCATCCGTCATTCTCAGCAAACTAACCCAGGAACAGAAAACCAAACACCGAATGTTCTCACTCATAACTGGGAGTTGAACAATGAAAACAGATGGACACAGGGAGGGGAATCACACACCGGGGCCTGTCGGGGGGTGGGGGGCTAGGGGAGTGATAGCATCAGGAAAAATATATAATGTAGATGATGGGTTGATGGATGCACCAAACCACCATGGCGCATGTATACCTATGTAACTAGCCTACACGTACTGCACATGTATCCCAGAACTTAAAGTATAGTAAAAAAAAAATTGCAAAAACTTATTTATGTTAACTTGGAAAATTTTATTGTTCTTATATCAAGAAACTCCTCCTTGGAGGAAAACAAATGTAATTTTTTGAGCTCACCTCAAAAGAGCACCGTGGATCTACATGTACATAGATTATAGAAATTTACCTTCTATTATTGTTGAGGTGTCATTTTACTGGTAGTCTGTCTATTTTCTTTGGTGAATTTTAAAATCTCTTTGTCTTTGGTGATCTACGGGTTCAAGTCTGCATGTATTTATTTGTATTTATCCCCTTTGAAATTTGCAAGGCTGGGTGCTGTGGCTCATGCCTGTAATCCCAGCACTTTTGGAGGTCGAGGCAGGAAAACTGCTTGGGCTCAAGAGTTCGAGACCGGCCTGGGCAACATAACAGGACTTAGTCTCTACTAAAATTAAAAAAGAAACAGTAGCTGGGCATGGTAGCATGCTCCTATAGTCCCACCTCTTCTGGGGGTGGGAGAGGGGGCTGAGGTGAGAGGATTGCTTGAGCCTTGGAGGTCAAGGCTGCAGTTAGCCCTAATCATGCCACTATACTTCAGCCTGGGCAATAGAGCAAGACCTTATCTTAAAAAAGAATACCAAACAAAACAATAACAAAATAAAAAATTTGCTATGTGAGTTGAGTCTGAAGATTAATATATATTGCATTAATTATGGAAAATTATCACCTGCTATCTTTTCTAATATTGTTTCTCCCTATGCATTCTTCTTTAATTCCAATTAGGTATGTGTTAGATCTTCTTATTCATCCTTAATGTCTCTTTCATTGTTTTCATCTTATTGTATCACGGAGGTACATAGTTTGTGAACTTCTTCTGACCTGTATTGGAGTCCAGTACTTAGCTTTTCAGTTCTGGGAACCCAAAAAATCTGAGGCAGGTCTCAGTTAATTTAGAAGGTTTATTTTGCCAAGGCTGAGGACATGTGCCCGTGACACAGCCTCAGGAGGTCCTGAAAACATGTGCCCAAGGTGGTCAGAACACAGTTTTGTTTTATACATTTTAGGGAAACATGAGACATCAATCACCATATGTAAGATGAACATTGGTCCAGTCTGGAAAGGTGGGACAGCTGAAAGCAGGAAAAGGGCTTCCAGGTCATAGGTAGATAAGAAACAAATGACTGCATTCTTTTGAGTTTCTGATTACCCTCTCCAAAGGAGATATGCATTTATCTCAGTGAGCAGAGGGGTGACTGAGTAGAATGGGAGGCAGATTTGTCCTAAGCAGTTCCCAGCTTGACTTTTCCTTTAGCTTAGTGATTTTGGGGGCCCAAGAATTTTTTTCCACATTTCCCCCTTTTTCTTTCTTAAAATCTTTGGGAGAAAGCATTTTAGAAGAAAATGAGTCTCTGGTCTCAGGTTTCATCTGATCTTTCATGGCTAGGGGGAGGAAGGGAGAAAAACAAAAACAAACAAAAGAACAATCCTGGAAAAATCAATATAGGCCACATTACTCTGAGGTCCATGTATCATTAGGCAGGTATGAAAGTGGCTTACGTATGTAAATAAGTTGCTGTTATTTTCTTCTGAAGTTTAAGTTGTCTAGCTTCAGTTTGCAGGCCATCTGAAAGCATAGCTTAGCTTTCAGTGACTCTAAATTAGGAGAAGTGGGGGTAAAAAGAAGGGAAAAAATGAAAACAGTATTTTGAAGACTTGTAGCCAAGAAAAATCAGAATCTGGTTCACACTGTAGAAAATAATAAAAATTGAAAAACATTAGGCAAGAGTAGAATTTAACAACAGGTATACTATAGTTTTTGAAACGTAATTTTTCTTTTTCCAGTTTCCCATTTTTACTAAAGACAAATCATGGTAGGACTGGTTTGCTTTATTTTACTTGGCCTCATTACTTGTATACAGTGCAGCAAGAATAATTATTTTTTACATGGGCTTTTAAATTGGCTTTGATGGAACTTTGTTCCATGAAAGGAATCTCAGATAATACTTTTTAAAAGCTGAGCTCAGCCATGTATTTATACCATCAAACACCTATGAGTTGGGTTAATTGTTTTCTTGAGGTTCCAGGATAAACTAGGGGCTCCTGGGCCTGTCAGAAAGTGTCACTCCTTATTTACCACAGGTCAGGAACACAGTACAGGGACTGTGTAGACAAAGGTATGAAGCCAGTTTTTTACAAGGGGCTTTTATTGGCTCCATATGTCAAGTTTGATTCCTTAAAGAAAAACACACCATTCCAGTCAAAGCCTTGGTAGAATAACCAGTTTCTCCAATCGTGTACTGTTACAAATGAAAACAAATTCTTATTGCACTTATGCAAATAACTGTATTGTCATAAGTTAAGAATACTCACAAATAGTTTCCAAATTTTGTAGAAATCAGGTAGAGAGAAACAAATATGCATCAAATTTTGTTCATAGGACTAATATACTCACTTGTTAAAAGCTGTAAATAGATTAAAAGTTTTCTTGACTCTGAAAAATGAAACAAGGAATCAGCAACATTTTAAGCAAAAAAGTTAAAAAGATTACTTCAGACTTTTATTAATTTAGTCCATGCGGTTAATTCCTGTTCTGTTTGTTATCCATGAACATTTCAGCTCACGTTTCAGCTCTCCGGGAACCCTGAAAGTTTTTCCTCTATTCTGATGTCATAGTCTCCACAGTTATGAGAAACCTGCATTCAAGAGCACCTGATAGAGTTTACAGCTGATTATAAAACCACCTTCTAAAGAGGATTAAAACAAGACAACAATTGTCCATGGATGACAAAAAGTTTTGGGGTAGGCATAGTCAAAGACACAATTGACAAGCAAATTTGTTACCTCTATGACCCACAATAATTTAGCGTAACAATTATTACTGATAACACACATTGTTACATCAGAATTATAGGAGTTTCTCATAATTTTGGAATACATACCAATGACATATTTATACAAATACAGTTCGAAGAAAACCAAACACCATTTTATATTTGACAATGCTTCCTGTATAATTTTTATACCAAATAAGCCAAATATGTCATTTTCAGACTTTAGGGAGCTTATTAATAATATATTAAAGGATTAATTAGGTCCAAAAAAGACATAATGTATAATTTGATTTTGAAATGTTAGTCAAATATTAAAGGTTTAGAACACTTGATTTTACAAAATTAGATCACAAGTCATTGTAAAATAAGTCATTCGTTTAACCAAAGTGATAACTCAAAGATTTAAAAAAAGGCAAAAACCTTCATTCTTTGAGAGAGATTTAATTTTGCAAACAATAAGCCCTAATAAAAGCAGCATGCAGACTATTAAATTTATTTTCCAAAATTTTATAAAGCATCTATAAAATTTTCATCTTGATCATAAGATATAACTTCCACAAGCCTTTACAACTTTTATAATCTTTATTAAGGAGTTAGTTAATGCTTCAAGAAAACCTTGTTAATCTGAAACAGGGGCCCATATGCTGGTCTTGCATCAGTGTGTCTTTGACATTAATGATTAGTTTATAGAGAAACTGAATTTATTTTATCTCTCAAAGTCAGCCCTTACAATCGCACATGCTCACCTCTTCTGCGATAGTCCCTGCACCTTGAGTAGTTGAGCGGCTTTGATTTCTGGCCCTATGTCTCAGGAATGCAGTTTATTTTGATAGCATTTTCTACTGGGCCTGAAGATGAGGCTATAATTGCTGTCTGTGTTTAAGATTTAGCAGGACTTAGTGTTCTTTTTAGACTCAGTAGTCAAAGACCTGTAACTTAATGTCACAAGGACTTTAAAAAGCACATAGAGGAGAATACAAGTCTGTAATAACCTCAATTAAAAAAATTAATCTCAGTTTTTCCTAAAGAAACCAAACTTAATAATAATGGCATAGGAATTATTTCGATAAAATGTAAAATCTGTTAGGCCAGTTACCAAAATGCAAAAGAAAAGACCTGCAGTACACAGAATATTATGTTGGAAGAAATCATTTCCTTTAGAGCTTTAATAAAACATTATTAGCATCAGCTGACAAAAAAACAGAGCCTGAAAAGGAAAAAAAAACTTATATGAGCTGAAAATGAGTTGAAGGGGAATGTTACTATTTTGCACCTTTTTAAAGGAGAGAGAAAACTGAAACTGGTGAGATGCAATAAAAGTTGAAGTTTGATTAAAAAAATTAAAATCTTTTAATTTTAATAAACTATAATTAAAAGTAAATCAACCTCATAAGAAAACTTCATTGTTCTAATCTATTCTTTCCTGTGTAAGTGTTTTATTTTTAATATCAAATCCAATCTCTAAAAAGAACATTATAATTTCCTTTAATCATTTCCCTTTAATGATAGACAACTCGATCATGTGCAAGTTTTTTTTCTAAATAAATCTGCTTATTGTGACTTACACAGACCATTCATGGCATGCTTGTACTTTCTGGTTTCTTTTTTAAACAACCAATCATTTTACTCTAGGACTACTTTTGCCATACACAATTCTTTCTCATATGAAATTATTTCTCTTTAAGATTTCTTACAAAAAAAACCCCAAAAACTCTTTATTCTTACAACTTTCTTTACATCTCTTTTATTTCCTCGTTCCTTTTACCTTGTTACACATGACCTTTAAACAAGCTTTGACTTAGACTACTGTTCACCTTTTTTAAAAGGATACTTTTTGTTAGATAGAATGTTTTCCTACAAATATATACTTTTAAAAAATACCCAAATTATGTAATATCTATAATTTAATATAACTTTGGATTCTAAATTATAATGGGTTTGTCTATGATTATTTATTCTATTGTATTTATTTATTTAATTATTTTATGTTAATCATTTACCTCGATTATTTTAAAAACTGTGATTGTCATTATTTAAAGTTATGGAACCACCATTACAAAATTATAATGAAGACAATGAAAAAGATTTGACCTAACTGACTCCATCATGCTTCTAACCTTCAAGCTCTCTTTGTTCTTTTTTGGCATTGGCTGAAGAAACTTTGGGAGGAACTTAGTTTATAGTTTAGCTTTGAAGCAAAGATGATAACCATCCTTTCCCAAAACAAAATTTACTGCCTGTAGACTAGACTGCTTGAAGCCACAAGATTAGAAGTTATGGTAATCAAATTCAAGATGTAGCTATTTTTATTAAACCAATATCAATGTCTTATTTATTAAAAATTACATAGGTAAAGATTATTCTGTCTTGGGCTAGGTTTACAGTTTGCAACACCTATGCCAACTTTTGACACCTTGAAGTATTTGGCAGGGATAAGTATGAAATTGCTTGATTAATAAATGCAAATAAAAATGTATGCTGACAATTCTTAAAACATTTCTAGTGTTACTTTACCAGTAATTGTAAAGTTAGCTTATGTATAAAAGATTTTACTTAAGTTATGTAAACTTGAAAAAGCATTTGCCTAGTCTTTTCTGTTTTCCTGATGAAGTTTTTGATCCAAATGCTTTTATTTTCTTAAGCTAATTAATTAGAACTCTTCTTATATTTTCAGTAGTGAATCATTGTGTACATAACACATATATAGATAGACATATTAGGCATGCCAATAGAAGTACATCTTGTAGATTTATAAAAACATTTTTTTTTCCTAGCTTAGACTTTCAGATTCTTGATAATCTGTTTTACAACCCTAGGCAGTTCTCAGCTAAATAGCCTTAAATTTCCATATTAACACAGTTGTTTCCTAACAACTCCAGTGAAAATCAGATAGCAAAATTTACATCATAAGGTACAGAGAGAAAAGTCTGGTGGTTCCAAAAGGAGATTAAAGATGGAATGGATTCTAAATCAAACATAAAATTATATAAATCTTTCATAGGATTGTATAAGGAGACCAATCTTATTTAGATAGGGACTGCCTATCTTTTAAACTGGATCTCTGATCTCTGGCAGAGCCCACAATGAATCCTAACTCTCCAAAAATGGAGAATTATTATGATGTTAGACCATATGATACTTTTACAGTGCACTTAAAAAATGTTTGTTAAATAAAGACATTTTGAAGTGTCTAAAGCAACTGTTCCTTAAAAACCCAAGAGTAACCTCTGTTGCAATAACTATTTTAGTCAACTTAAAAAAAAAAAGAAAAACAGACAATGCAATACAAAAGTAAGCAGTTTAAGAACTGAGACAAACTTTTCTGTTTACATTTTTGGGGTTCCATAAGGAAAAACAGATTTCTTCCTCAAAGGGAGGCTGGCACCTTCTCCATTTTCTTTAAGAAACCCCAGGCTATTAGAAAATATTTTAGGTCCCCTATGCAGCAGGGAGTGTAAGAGAAAGGAGAGACAGAAGAAGTAAATGAAGAGAACAGAATTCAGTCAACTGAGAAGAAAAAAACTTTTGCTCAAAAAAACAAGATCCTAGGAGAAAAACAAAAACATGAAGGCCTTTTAAATACAAAAACACACATATGCACACATATGTACACACGTCTTGGATATTAGCTTTTAATTAAGCTGACTTTTAACCATTGAGCTCCTTTAAAAAAATCTTTTTAAATCTTATTACCATATTTCAGCTAGGACAAATTGCTGCTATTTCAGAAGTACAGCCATTGCTCTTTCAGTTTGGCCTGGCTAGCAAAAAGATGGCCTTGTTATGTAAATAACAACCCTTAGTAGTGAAAGTCAAAAATGTTTTCTCTTTTTTTTTTTCCTTTTTCTGGCTATTTCTCCCCACACAACACTACCTTTTGTGTGTGTGTGTGGGGTTGGGGGGTGGGGGGCGACTTTAGCCACTTCAGAGGCCTGTTCCTCATGATTTGGAATGTCTTTTGGATTTGATCAAGTCAGATAGAATTGATCAAACCCAATGGGAAAAAGACCAAAACAACAACAAAAACAGAAACAAACATCAACAACAAAAAACAGTTAAGCAAAACAAATGATTGCACAACTTACATGATTACTGAATTCTCTAATGGTAAGGAGAAATTAAGACTAGCTGGTTGTAAATCTTAACTTTAGCCGAGAAACCCCAATTCATTTACTTACCTAGGGATGGGTCTCAGGTTGAAGACTGCTCTCTACCATCTTAGAAGCCTGAAAAAAACAAAAAAACCCTAAAACAAAAAAAATCCTTATCTTTCCTGTTGGAGGCAAGCTCAAACTCCATAAAGGAGTCACTGCCTTCCATCATTAAGGAAGCAGGAAAAACTTGCCCTCCTTGTGTTGGAAGCAGGTAAAACTCCAAAAAAAAAAAAAAAAAAAAAAAGTTGTACAGCAAAATAACCTTTAGATCTCAACCAAACTTGGGGAGATCCGGAATTCTCTGGATGGGGTCCTTCCAGGCCTCAGCAAATTTTCCTATTGGTTTCAGCCATAAAGATAACTCAAGCTGGTATCAAGCATCGAGAGGAGATTCGTCAAAGGTCAGGGGCACCTTTGGCACTTCTGAGGGTCAAAGGTCAGAATTCCTCCGTGGTTACCATAATGTGAACCCAAAAAATCTGAGACAGGTCTCAGTTAATTTAGAAAGTTTATTTTGCCAAGGTTGAGGACGTGAGCCTGTGACACAGCCTCAGGAAGTCCTGATGATATGGACCCAAGGTGGTCAGAGCACAGTATGGTTTTATACATTTTAGGGCGACATGAGACATCAATCAACATATGTAAGATGAATATCGGTCTGGTCTGGAAAAGCAGGGCAGCTGAAAGTGGAGAGGAGGCTTCCAGGTCATAGGTAAATGAGAGAAAAATGGTTGCATTTTTTGAGTTTCTGACTAGCCTTTCAAAAGAACGCAATCAGATATGCATTTATCTCAGTGAGCAGAGGGGCGACTTTGAATAGAATGGAAGGCACCTTTGCCCTAAGCAGTTCCCAGCTTGACTTTTCCCTTTAGCTTAGTGATTTTGAGGGCCCAAAATATTTTCTTTTCACAAATCTAATGTATCCATTAGAATTTTATTTTATGTGTCATATTTTACTTCTACAATTTCAATTTTATTTTCTCCATATTTACCTTGTTTTATTTTCAACATTTTATTCCTCTTTCAAGTTTTGATCACTTATTATATTTACCCAAACATTTAAAATATATGTAGTTTGTATGCTATAGCTGATTATTTTTTATCTGGATTTCCATAACATGTGATTGTAATCTTTATTTTTCTCCTTATCCTACTTGAGGTGGCTTCGTTCTTACTGTGTTTGTTTGCTTGTTTATTTTGGCGTATTGAAAGTTCATCCATGGTGTAAATTTATCTGTGGGAACCAAGAAAGGTCTAAACTTAGGGTGGGCTCTGTAAAGATAATTTTCATTTGTTTCTTCCAGATGCCCTCAAGGTACTGCCAACCAAGAATTAACTTGCGTTACTTTTCAATGTTGAGGTTTCCAGGCATATTTAAGCCGGACTTGCATCTGGAAAATTCTCTAATACTGAATTCTTTTATTTTTCTTAGCAGATTGCATAAATTTTCTTGTCAACTGTTTCCTTTTCTTATGGATGGTTTTCAGTCTACCTTTCAGTGAGGGCATAGTGCTTCTCAGTTGCGGCCCTTTTTAAGTGGGCTCTATTCTCACACATTATCTTGTTTGGGCTCAAGGTCATGTCTAAGGTTCTAGGCACAGCCGCTTAAATCTAAACTTCTTGGTTGCTGAAATTGAGACACTCCCCTCGGGCATCCATAGCTTTAGCATCAGCCTGCCATTCTGATTTCTATTACTCTTGAATTCTGGCCTCTGGAGACTATCCTTACTTCCTAGTGAGTTTAGTTATACATTTAAAAAATATTTGTTATATTTTGGCTAACGTTTCTTGGTGTTTTGCACTGAGAAGTTTTTAAGAATCTGGTTTAAAACATTGCCAAAAATAAACTTAGAAAGCAAGAATTGTAGGGTTTTGTTGACCTCTGTTCTGGAATCTGTGGCATTCATAATAAGCAGTACTTCTAGATATTTGCCAACCAGCTCAGATTTGGGGAGCTAGAACTAGCATAGCTCTTTTTAATGTCTCAGTTCATATAAATTTCACAGATCGGAGGGACCACAGGAGGAATACTGGTTACTGGCAATATTTAATTTATCACAATTACCTAGTTAACCGAAGTTAACCAAAGTAGTAAAATAACTCTAGAGGCAGAACGCAAAGCAATCAAGATTTTTAGCCTTAAGGTAATTATTTCCTTAGAGAAAATGGGGAAGAATTCTAAAGTGTTTCTGCTTGCCTGCATATTTTATTATATTTTAATATTTTTATAGATTAATATTTATTAATGGTGGGAATATTGATGAGGAAGTTTGCATACAGGGAGAGAAGGGGAAGAGGAAGATGTGAAGAAATGACAGGGCTTCATGTAGTGAAAGCGGTGGTGTTCTCTTGTCTTATTCTCCTCCAATTAGGAATCTCAGGCTGTAGTATGAATATGGCAGAGTCAGCATATTTTTACTCCATCAATTAGTATAGTGAACACTATTTTTATTAATAAGATATTAACAAATACAAATACCTTAAAATATTATTACATGTACAAGAATTAATAGCTTATAAAAGTAAGAATGTAAATATGGGTTCATTTGTAAAATAATAATATCTTCACAGAGAACTTACCCAGACTGACAAGCACTGACCATCCAACCAGATAGGACAGTTCTTTGGAACTTATCCTTCAAGGTAGCAAAACAAGTGCAATTATGTTATATGATTTCACTGAGTGTCTTCTCTATTTCAATATAAGTCACCTGGCCCAAGTCAGGCTTCCTGTTTTCTTGGTTAACTTCTGCTAAACCAGAGAATCAGATAGGCAAATAGTAAATTAGGCTGAATCAAAATATGTTAATTCCTACTTATGTGATTATAGAATACTCAATGTTTTCTCTTTCTACATCTAGATTATAACCAATATAATTAGCTTCACAAATCAGCATTTGGCTGACATATTGCACAAATCAATGGGGATTATTCTTATCTGCAAAACCTGCACAACTGTGTAGTCTATGGTGTTCCTGTCTGAGAAAATGATAAGGTTATGGCTATTACTCGCACTTTTTCCATTACAGGAAAACCTCAGAGTTCTTCCTTCTGTCATTATCCTGAAGAGCTGGCCTGTCTTTCTTCCTCCCTCCCTTCCTTTTTTCTCTTTCTTCCTTTTTCTTTCGTTTTTTTTTTTTTTTTTTTGGCCACAATAGACCTAGACAGAGTGCTTGTCCAGCTGTTGTCAAATTCAAGCCTGTACACTGTGGACTCAGAGATTCGGCCACTACCATCTGAAAGCTGATCACATGCTACCAAGATAGAGTGTTGCTGCTGAAGCTTAAGGCAGATACAGGCTGGAGTATCAGAGGGCGTGCCTGGCCCTCTGATGCTGTTGTAGCTACTACCCTCTCAACTATCACTGCTGGTTCTCCACAGCCTGGTCATACTCAAGGCAAATCCTCATTGTTCCATGTGGCTTGTTCTGGGTCTCATGTATATGTTCTGGATGCAGAGACCCTCCAGACCCTGCTGAAGCTTAAGGCAGGTACAGCCTGGAGTATCAGAGGGCATGCCTTACCCTCTGATGCTGTTGCAGCTACTACCTTCTCAGCTACCACTGCTGGTTCTCCACAGCCTGGTCATGCTCACAGCAAATCCTCATTGTTCCATGTGGCTTGTTCTGGGTCTCAAGTACGTCTTCTGGATGCAGAGACCCTCCTGTCACTCTAAGCTGGGAGTTCTTCAGTGTCTGACATATGCAAAGGACAATCCTTAGCCAATACCTTATGGAGGGAGACTGCCACTACTGCTGCTGCTCTGGCTAATTTAAGGTTTGCTCAACTTTATGCTGCCACTTTTTTTTTTTTTGCTGTAGAAATTTTGAAGGAACATTAACATTGCTGCTCAATATTTAAAGAAGAAGCAGAAAGAGCCCTCTCTCCCAGTGTTATTTTAGATAGAGTCACCTCTTACATCCATTAGAGTAGGAGTCCATGAATGCAATTTTTTCTTTTACTTTTATGTGCTTAGTCACTATTTTCAAAATATGCATGGTGCTAGAGCACTTGGGTTTGAAGAAAAGTCTTGTCTCTGCTGCATATTAAGTTAAAGGTGTGCGTCCTCACTCTTCTTATCATGAGTACCTTCTTGAAGATACCAGCTTCCCTTGGACATTGTCTCATTTCATCAGAGATATTCATACTACAAAAGAAAAAAAAATGGACCTTTTTCCCTTTTTCTTCAAGATAATGAGTGCAAACTTGACTAATACATTTTAAAGCCCTAAAGGAGGAGTAAAAAAAAAGTTTGTTTCCAATACTTTTTTACTCAGAGCATTGAATATCTACTTGCACTACAGTGTCATAGATTCACTCAGATCAATTTCCACACACACAAAAGAAAGAAAATCTGCTCTTAGTAACTTATACACAGGACTGCTTGGCATAGATATGGCTGGCAACTTTTGTATAGTACTTTATCTGTGAAAGAAAGAGAGAAAGACAACAAAAACTGAAAAAGAAAGAATTCTGCCTTACTAAATACCTTGTGGGAGGACGGTATTATAGCGGCTAAGCTACTTACTAATTCTCTTTACCAGAGAGATGCTTTCAGGAGAAAGAAAAACACAGGTGATTGGGTCTAATCCCCTTGTCATTTGTATCTCTTAGTAAATAAACTAACACAATTTGCTGTAAGAAGGGGTCTTATCTATATAAGGGCCTAGTGGGTGTATATGCTTAAATAGTAACTTATAGTAAATAAACACATATTCTATGACACATAGCTCCTTTGAGAATGTCACTTAAGCTATATAATTCTCTAGGTATGAAATTGAGATTTTTCTTTTTTTTAACTTTTAATTGACAGGTAATAATTGCACATATTTATGGAAATATAGAATGATATTTTGATATACATTCAAGGTATAATAATCAAATCATGGTAATTAGTATATTCCTCACTTCAACTATTTACCTCTTTTTTGTATTGGGAACATACAAAATCCTCTCTTCTAGCCTTTTGAAAATATACAATAAATTATTGTTCACTGTATTCATCCTATAATGCTTCAGAACACCGGAACTTATACCTCCTATCTAGCTATAATTTTGTATTCATTAACCAAGTTCTTCCTATCCTTCCTTCCCACAACCCTTTCTAGTCTCTAATAACTGCAATTCTCTTCTCTACTTTTATGAGCTCAACATTTTTTAGCTCCCATATATGAGTGAGAACATGTAGTATTTGCTGTGCTGTGCCTGACTTATTTCACTTAACAATGTCCTCCAGGTTCATCCATGTTGCCAGGAATGGCAGGATTAAATGGAGATTTTTCGTAACTTAAATGTTCTCTATTGTGGAAGAAACCTCAGAAAACCTCACTAGGAGAACTCAGCCATTATTGTGTGCCCAAGAGTGTGTGTCCAATGGAGAAAGAAAGGCCCTGGGGAACCAACCTGGATGTCCCCAGACCTCTGCCTGCTTTGTGTGTTCCTCTTGATTGCCTGTATCCTTGAGTTTATTACTGAAGTTTATATTTAGTAAAGTCACTGATTGATTTAGCCTGACTTGACAATCTGAATGTTCCTGTGTGCTCACTAGCTTGCTTAGGAACATAAAGAATCCATGAAAACAAAAGAAATTCATGTATAGATAGATAAAGAGAGTGTTTTTAGTAAAAGGATGCTATGATCATAAAAGCGTTATTCAAATGGCAATTTTTATTTTATACATTTATATATTCTGCTTTATTACCTCCTTATTCCAAATTTATACGTACACTAAATAATCTAGAATTCCAGGATAATTTGGCTAAGCACAAGATAAATCAAACTTTGGAATGCTAATTAAAATTGGCTTTCAGCTATAGGACATTATTTTTAAAGACTCAAAATAAATATAACATTAATTTTGATTTATGAAATGGAAGAATGTCATATACATGTTTGAAGCAAATATTTTTACTAAATTTGAAATGCTGTTCCAATAGAACCTAGGTTCCATATAAGTAAATGATGACACATGCTATACAGTAGTTTAAAATATTATGTTGACACTTTGATTTGATTAAGTTTCATGTGACGATTCTGAGAAATCACTTAAGAGTGAAAAAGCTAGATAGATTAAAATAATCTTCCACACTTCATGACTTTTAGTGAGTGCCCTGAAAAAGATCTCTTTGAATTTCATTCCAGGCATGAGTTCAACACCTGCATAACTTTGGTAGAAAACAGAAAATGAATAGTACTTAAAAAAACAATGACTTTGGAGATGGGCATTCTTAGTTAAATTCTCAACTCTAGATCTTACTAGCTGGGTACCATTTAAAAAAAAAACACTTTTCTTCACAGAATTTTCTCAGTAAAATTTGGAGATAATAATCTTTCAAAAAAGAAGAGAGTGAGATAATACATGCATATAGCTATTTCAGTTGGCCTCTAAATTAGTTTAAAAATTAAACGTAAGAGAAAATGTTAGGTTTTAATCCACTGAACATTCTTCATAGTAATTGGGCATTTTTAAATACAAGATAATAACAAAAGTCTGTTGATGGGTTGGATACAATCAGCCATCTTCCCAGTGACCACCTCCAAGTCTCTCCTAGTATCTTTTCCAGTCTCAGCACTTTCTCAAGATAGAAAAGCTTTGCAATAGGCGTAATGTTACTGACCCCTCTGTGGAATGGAGATGCTGTGCATATGTGGGGTACTCAACTCTAGATTAGTGTGAATGGTGCTCCCCTAGAGTTATGCACTGCATAATCTGTAGAACATTACATGATGGACCTTGTTGCTAGGTCCATCATGTAGGTCCATCATGCTAGGACCTTGTTGCTAGGAAACAAATAGGTTCCCCAACAAACCTATTTGTTTCAAGGACAGCCAAGACAAAAAGTCACATCTCAGGACTTTTTCTGAACATGTAGGAGTTCAGTTCTACAGTGCCACCCTGTGATGACAGCTCAGCCTTCCAGCATTTTTCTCTCTGTTCCTATCACTAGACGCTAGACCTATTTCTAACTGGTCTACTTCCATTAAGACTGAGATACCAGAAGCTGGGATTTAGTGTAATTTATATTTGTTTTTCCCTAAGGCCAACTCAGTAGTTGTAGGAGCCTATTTTTATTGACTTTAAGATTGGGAGTGCAAAGTTTAGTCACACTGTAGTGAAAACAGTCTTGCTTTCAATGACTATTTACCAGAATTAGGTAGCTACTTTTGTTTTATTATTATAACCTTAGTGTGAGTGAATGGACTTGGTATTTGTTATTGTTTACTTGTATCTCATGGTGGAATAATCATGAAACTTTTCAAAATCCTATAATGCCTTACACATATAATATTATTATATTATTACTATCATGAATAATCACTGATATAAAAAAGAAACTAGATTCACTAAGACAAAGCTAAAGGATTTGAGTAAATATGTGTCTAGAGATGTTCTTGAGGAAATTGTTTTTCTAGGAGTTGGCTGGGAGTCTGTTGGGGCTTGGGGTTGTAGGGATTTAAGTATTCTGAGATAGGTTTGGATATCAGTACACAGTGGGCATTTTCCTCATCCTGAGGCTTTCAGGAAGTCCTATGGAACCTTTTGGAAAGATTTAAAAGAAAAATAATTCTAAAGTCTCTGAAAATAAAGTTGGGTGAAACAAATACACTTGGAGACCCCCTTTTCCACATCAACTCCTTCAATAGCTTGTGAGTTATAAGTGTAGTGGGACATGAAAATTGTTTTGATGCAATAAATTAATTATAAAAGTATATATGATTGATATGAATGGAAACCACCCTAATTAGATGATGATGAGAATTGCATGAAGGATAATTCATGACAAGTGTACCATTGTGAGGTTGTATTTCTGTTAAGGGAATTAAGTAATTCATGCTTGTTATTTATAAGATATGAAAAAGCCCCAAGGTAAAAATACAGCTGTATGTTCATGCATTTCTCCTGAATTATCTTCTGAAACATATTTTGTAGAATTTTTAAGATGTATAACATGTATTATGTTGAACTCCAATATGTGCCTGGATGAGATAATTACATTGGTTAGTTAGCTGTCAGAAGTGCTCTTTTCAAAATGAGGTAAAATATAGGTTATATAGATAAATAGAGAGATGGTAGATAAATGGCCATGTGATCTATTACTACAGGGCACCTTGATTTCACTGAAATCATTGAATAAAATAACTTCAAATTTCAGAAAATCTAGGAGTCTGAATTTAAACTGTTTTATGTTTTATAGGTTTTAACTTGTAGCATATCTTAAAGTTACTAAAATCTTTATTTTATATTTATGATGTTATCACAAATTGCCTATGATAGGGTGATGTCTCCTAGGTAAGATCCACTCATTTCAAGAAAAGTTTATTTTTTACTTCATAAAATAGAGCAGTTTTTCTAGCAAGGAATGGCAGCTCAAATCATGAACTCCACACACAATTTCATTCAACAACTAAGTGAGTTACAGCAAGATTTCAAGATTAACCCAAAGATGTTGTCTGAATAGTACACATGACCAGAGACCAGAAAACCTGCATACTAATCTTCCCTGTGCTGTTGCTGATGAATGAGAGTTCTCTGCTGTGAAGGAAGGGATCAACGTAAAAGTTAGCAGCCTGATTTGTTAACCTGACACTGGATGGTCAAATGCTTGCAAACCCATGGAGGGAAACTTCCTCAAGGGTTGGCATTGGGATAGAATACTCAGATTCTGTCTTCTGATCATTAAAAGGACACGGAAATTTTGTTCTTGGTGAATAAAAACCACCTTGTTCACTAAATTATTGATGGGATAGGGCTAGAAAAAAATTGTTCATGCTAAGGTCAAGAATAGAATAAGGCATTACAGCAACAATATATGAGCCAAGGCAGATTGCAGGAGTGGCCACTACAGGATATTTGTCTCCTTAAAAGACATCTTTGGATGCTGTGACCTCCCAAGATCTCTTACAAGTCTATTATTCTAAGCATTTTATTTTCCCTACCACATTAATACTGCCCTAGGTCTGCTTTACTTACTAGTTTATTTTCTTCTGCTTTTTTCATTTTCTTAGATGCATTTTGATTTCTATCTTCACTTTCTTTGGGAAATCAATAGCTTGTTAACGAAGACAGTGGCACCTGAAAGGGCAGGCCTAATGGTCCTACTCAAGAAATCATTGTGCTAACTGGGCTTATAAACCATGTCCAGGCTCAAGTCTCCCTTTCTGAGACAGCCAAGGATCACAGTGAATGATATAAAGAAAAATATTTTGGTTGGTGGAGGAGGGACAGGAGAGGGAAGAAGAAAATACAGCAGTTTAAAAAATACTGGAAGATTTTTTAGGCAATGAAAAAAGCTGATTGTTATTTTTTGGTTTTATTTTTAAGATAGAGAATGGAAACATTATAATATAGTATTATTTAATAAAAAACATAGCCTTCTAAAATAAGGAACACTGACTGGGATAAAGTTGCTCATGAAGACTTTGAAAATGCCTCCTTTGGCGGCAACTGTATTTCTGAGGAGATGTTGCTTTCAGAACTAGGGGTATAAAATTATGTGACATGAAAATAACAGTATTGTATTTTTGATTGATTATTAATCAAGGTAACAGTAGAAAACTAAGGAAAATAATCAGATCAGCAGAAGCATCTTTTTTCCGAGACAACTGTTGGAATACTATTTTCCCCTGGATGAATAACTAACCAGGTAAATAGAAAGAGGACAGATATTTTGATCACTACTTGTATTTCTTTGTAAATTTTTATTTTTTCACTTAATAAATCATGAATGCTTTCCATATCTTAAATATGATTCCACAAAATGATTGTAAATCCTGCATTTTACTTGTGCTGCACTAACATTTATGTGCCTACTTCTTCATTAATTGCAGAAAGAGGGAAATAAAGGTAGGGAAGGAGTGTAGGAACCAGAATGAATGAAAAAGAGAGTGACGAGAAGACGAGACAGGTAGATGGTAGAGTGCAGAAGCAGAGAGAATAGTGAGACGGTAAGCTCTATTGATTTGGGGTTTGGGTCTCAGTTTACTAGCTCTCCTGATGCAGACCACCTCTATTTGTTATCTGATTTCAAATTGTACATCGTCTACTTGAATCTCTCAATGTACAGATTAAGACCCTAGCAAATTAGAAAATTATCTGACCTTGAAACCAAAGAGATTGGTATGCAATTTCGCAGTAGTTTTCTGTCTTGGACCACTTTGGTCTTTGGCTCAGCAGATTGGAGAAACAAATTTATCTTGTGGGGTGCTTGTAAGTTTTCATTCAATTAGGTAGTGTATGTAAAGTCTTTAAGACCGTGACGTGTCCTGGGTAAGCACTCAGCAAATATTAAATTAAACCGTATGACATGGTCATTTTTACAGATCACAAAAGGCAATGTAGTTCAATCAAACTTTAATATTTTCCTTTTCTTTTAATGTGCTGGAGAACCAGAGACTAGCACCCCCAGACACCTGTGCTCAGATACTGCCCTTATTCTATTGCCCACGAGCAATACCTAGCATTGGACTTCCTCTCCACAATGTAAATTATCACCTGCTAATTACTCTGGCTGGAGGCCTAAAGGACTTCACCTATGTATGTTTCCTTCCAAGATGATGAGGTCTCTCATTGAGCTCTGGGTTTTGGGCAACCTTCTATTGAACCCACTATACCGTTAATGGAGCTATGGCTATAACTTTCCACTTGGTGGTTGAATAAATTTCGTTTTACTCAAACTTTATTTAAACTATCATGGGTTAGGAGAATTGTGCTCTCAGGAAACAAATAATCTAACTTTCACTTTTTTTCTGGTAATAAACCTAAAATGACCATTGCTTAACTGGAGCTTGTACTTATGTCATAGCAAAGATCTTACAGTTCTTTAACTGAGCAGGCTGTTTCTAGGCTTTTGCATATGCCCATTCCTGTGCTGACATCTTTTATTTTTTGTTTCCTAGACACTTGCAAACTCCTACTTCTCCTGCAAGAGACAATTCTTATATTCTGTGTCATAAAGCTTTCTCTGACTCCCCTAGTAAGACATAACTACACTGCCCCCAGGCTTCCACTGAACCCTCTACACACAGCCATATTGGCAATTATAATCCTGTATTTGGACCTGTCTGTCCCCCATTGAATTGTGAACTGCTTGAGACCAGGAACAGCATCTTTACACTGAAGTATTCTCAACATTTTGCATAATAACTGAAACACAGTAGATACCCCCAAATAGTTCCTGAACAAATTAACAAATGAATGAATCAACCTCTTTTAAGGGCTCAACAACAGATTATCTGCTTTTTGGGGATGGGAGTGGGTATTAGCTATCTATTTTTATCTTCCCTTCCTTCCTCTTTCCTTCAATCCTGTAATTCCTTTCTTTTCAATTGAAGGTTTAAAAAATTCCAGTTTATCTCCCTGTTTAGAAGTGTATGGGAGTTTTGAAGATGCTGATTTGCATAGGTATATAGAATGAACAAGTAAATCACACATATAAATGAATACACTCCTTGGCATCTTTCAACTGATTACTATATTATCTCCCTTAATAAGATGCCTTAGAGTCTGCACATTTTCCTGATAAGAATAACTGCCGTCATATTTTTTGTCTTAATTTGAACATTTTAAAGGCATTTGCTGTTAGCACTAATTAGATGTATAAGAGCCTTCCTGAGCAAAGAAGATAGTCACAGCTAATTCATAAAGAATTAATGATAGTAGCTAAATTGCCTTATAGATTTGCACTTTGGGTAAGGTTAAATTACCAAATAATGTGAAAATAGTTTAAAATTAATTTAATATTTAATATGTCATAGTTTAATTACATTTGTAATAATTTTGAAATTTGTTCAATACTGCTCCAAATGAGCATCTATATAAAATCACTTTAAAGTAAATAAGCTAATAATATAACACCAGTAGAGGGAATAGTAACATTAGTCATTTACAGAATACTTTTTAGTATTATTGTTACCATTACTATTATTATTACATTTTTGGTCTTCTGCCATTTGTCTAGGTGTTGTATACACAGTTTAAACCAGGTTCCTTCCATGCAGATGTTAGACATTTGAGACAATTTAAATTGAGTCATTAGATTTCCTAGTAGCCTTAAAGTGGTTTGCATATGTAAGTATATATGTATGTGTGTTTCTCAAAAGTTATACAGTTTCCCCTTAAAGTGGTTTATACACTAAGAGAATTCTTAATTATGTTGTTAACTCTTGTTAGATAGAAGTTACGTTACTGTCTAATTTGTTTAAAAGAAACATCTGAGAGGTGGTTTTATTTTATTTTATTTATTTATTTTTTTGAGACAGAGTCTCGCTCTGTCACCCAGGCTGGAGTGCAGTGGCGTGATCTCGACTCTGCAAGCTCCGCCTCCCGGGTTCATGCCAGTCTCCTGCCTCAGCCTCTTGAGTAGCTGGGACTACAAGCCCCTGCCACCACGCCCGGCTAATTTTTGTTTATTTTTAGTAGAGACGGGGTTTCATCGTGTTAGCCACGGTGGTCTCTATCTCCTGACCTCGTGATCCACCCGCCTTGGCCTCCCAAAGTGCTGGGATTACAGGCGTGAGCCACTGCGCCCAGCCAGAGAGGTGGTTTTAAAGCAAGAGTGACATCTAGTCAAGCTGCCTACTGAAACAGAACTCAAAGAGAAAGAACAGCATTTTAGGAGCTCCTTTGCAAATTTTCAATCTGCACTACAGATGATTTCATGACTTAAAGAATTCAAACATTTTAGGAAAAAAACACACACCTAAGTGTATTTTTGCACACTGAGTCTACTTTTCTGCAGATATGTAAAACCAGGGAACAGAATGGAATGGATGTGAATTCACGTACTTTGTCTACCTACTGGAAGCCAAATTTTGCACCAGTACTTTATATATGTTATTGTTTATATCTCAAAATTAGGTACCTATTGAGGGGGGTAAGGGGATATCTAAGAGTACTCTTATTTCCTTCTTTGATTCGTACAGTTTTAATAACGAAAACTCTTTATTCTAGCTGGTTGAATTTTTTTTTAGCCTGCCTTTGGATCCAGAACATCCCATAGACAGAAGGAAATAGAAAAAAAAAGCTACAGGGCAATCCACCTGGCCTGAGGATCAGTTTGTCTCTTGTACTCACTGTACTGAGGCACACAGCAGAACCTGGAACACAATTAGTGCTTAACTGTGGTTCATTGAGTGAAAGAATAAATGAATGTTACCCCATAGAGATTCACTTACCATGGTTCACCCCAAAAGTCTGATTTCCTTTTTAGCTTGCTGCATTAAGTGCTTGGCACCTTGCCTTCCTTTGGCACCTCCTCTCATAAATATGGCCTTCTAACTATCAGCAAGGCAGCTTTCCAGACTTGTTTCCTACATACATTTGGTTTTGTTCTAGAAAACTGATTCTCAGCCCAACTAGCTGTAGTCCTGGCCTTCTGGCTTTTACATCACTAGTTTTACTCTTTGAGACCACAGACATTTAATGTAAATGTCAACTGTGTCTACCCAAAATGTTGTTCTCTACCTATTCTCTTCGCATCTTCCAAGAGACTCATTTGTAGATGTTGCTAGGCATGACCAATAATCTGTGTTCCAATAATTTGAGGTTTGTTTTGTTTCATTTTTCAGCATTTCCAGATTATATTCCATTAGGAGTAATGAATGTTGGTTTCTTTGGCTTGAATATGTGGTAATGGTGGGGGTAAGGAAAATGATGAGGGCAGACATTTAGAGGGCATCTATTTAAATAGCATTTAAAGAACGCAAGGAAAAAACTGTCCTTGCTACTAATCTGCAATCTCAGGCCATGCCTCCTTATGTCACATAATTACCTGTACCTATTGTTCAGTAGTATCTTTTTTTCTTCTCTTTCCTTCAAAAACTTCGTAAATATTAACTCTTGCTTTAATTATATGAGTTCCTTCAATAGAAAATATAAGTTTCTAATAAAAACTAAGTTATTTCTATTTGTTTTTACATTTCAGTAACAATTTGAAATTTGTTAATAAATTGGGAAAAAATTCCAAATCTATCTGAACTACATAAATTTATTTAGGCAAATTTTTATGGTGAGAAGAAACTGCCTTGAATAGCCATGTACAAAACAGACAAGCATTGAATTAACTGGAAAAGAAGTGGAGTGCCTTTTGTTTTCATTTTTAGGATACATATCATCTTAAGACACTCACTATTCTTATAAAATAAACCCTGGAAGCTTTGCTAGGGTTGGGAGAAAAGAAGAAATGAGAATGGCTTGCAGGAGGAGAATCTAGCACTATCATTGACTTAGCAAAGGTGGTTTTATCTACTTGGTTATCAACAGGTAGCAACTATATAATTGCTTTATTAAGACACCTGCACACTAGAATGTGAGAGAGAAACAGCATGAAAAATCAAAGACTGACACTTTAGTAAGTTTCTAGTAGACTATTGAACAGGGGCTTGTCAATGTCATCTCAAAAATTTTCAAAAAAATTCTTTCTTTTTATATCATCTACCACCAACATAAAGGCACAAAACCTAGCAGGTCTGTCTGTATTTCAAAGGCAATATATGCTATATTTGGGTTTGTTCCTTCAACCATTTTATAAAATAACTCATAATTCTGTAGTTTTAACTGAGGTCAGTTTTGAGTGGGTCTCAGAACAGAACAAGGCTTTGCAACCAGTCTAATTTGTTATTAAAGTTTCCCATTTGGGCAGTATCATCCAATAGATTCAATAGTGCTTGAAGTTCCCTATCCCTGGTACTTGCTTATAAATGCAGATTGGAACTTCTGGTTGGTCCTAATGCAATCACAGCACAATGCAGTTCCCTAGAGTTTTGGAAAAAAGTTATGTTCTCTTATGCAGAAAAATATTCTCCTTTAGAGAAACAGTTCCTGGCTTGCTACTGAACCCTACTGTGGACTGAATTTCTAAAAATGGAAAACATATGACCCAACGTGCTTGTAATTTAGCAGGTGAATCTAAGGCATAAATTCAGGAATGCAAAGTAGCAATTATCAATTGAAAGTTATATATAGGTGTATGTATATATATAATATTTATAACTTTATATCATATATATAATTTTATAGTTACATATATGGAGAGAGGTGACCCTTGGACAACACAGGTTGGAATTGCATGGGTCAACTTATATGTGAATATTTTTCAACAAATATATTTAAAACTTTTTGGAGGTTTGAGACAATTTCATAAAACTTGCAGATGAACTGCATCGCTGAGAAATATATATATAAGATTTAGACATGTCACACGTGCATAAAATATATGTAGTTACTAGGAAATTTTGTAATTTACTACCATGAAATATACATATATCTATTGTAAAGAGTCAAAATTTATCAAAGCTTACAAACACACTTATAGACCATACACTATGCCACTCACAGTCCAGAAAAATGTAAACAAACATGAATATGTCATACTAAATTATAACTACATAAAATTAACTGTAGTACATATGGTACTACTGTAATAATTTTGTAGTGACATCCTGTTGCTATTGTGGTGACCTCAAGTGTTGTGAATATCTGCTTAAAATGCTGTCTGACATTAATCATGTCTGTGTGGAGCAGATCCTGTCTCTAGAAAATCACATATCACACAATGAAGTAAAGACTAAGATCTCATGGCTGTCACATATTTTTCATTGTGTTTGGTGCAATATCATAAACCCTGAATAACAAGGTGACACCCTTACGAAATACTGTTAGTGATGCTACAAGTGGTCCCAAGAAGCAAAGTCATGGCATTATTTAAAAATGTTGAATTGCTTAATATGTATTGTAGATTGAGGTTTGCAGCGGTAGTGGCCCACCATTTTAAGATAAATAAATCCAGCCTAAGGACCATTAAAAAGAAAAAGAGAACATTTATGAAGCCATAGCTGTAACTACACCAGCAAGTGCAAAAACATTGTATATTTGTGATTACCTTTTTATTTTGCATTGAAAATACAACCTTTACGTTGGTGAAAAATTGCTATAGGAAAGGCATACCTATAGAATGTAATATGTTTTGAAAAGAAGTGAAGTCATTATATGACAATTTAAAGCAAAAGGAAAGTAAAGAATCTAAGCTGAAGAATTTAACAACAGCAAAGGATAGTTTGATAATTTTAGAAAGAGATTTGGATTAAAAAATGTCAAAATAACAGAAGAAGCAGTTTCTGCTGACCAAGAGGCAGCAGATAACTTCCCAAATGAAAAAAATCACTGAGGAGAAAGGAGATCTGCATGGATGGATTTTTAATACAGATGAAAATGTCCTGTTTTGGAAACCAATACCACAAAGGACATTTATTAGTAAGGAAGGGAAACAAGCACCAGAATTTAAGGCAGGAAGGGATAGGCCAACTCTACTGTTTTGTGCAAATGCAGTTGGGTTTATGATCAGGACTGCCCTTATCTAACACCAGCTACCAATATTTTGATTGTAAAACAAGAAAGCCTGGAAAATAAGAATAATCTGTTTCCTGGATTAGTTCTATTGATGCTTTGTCCTTGAAGTCAGGAAGGACCTTACCAGTGAGGGTCTGTATTTTTAAGTTATTTTCATGTTGAGGAATGCCTGTGACCACCCAGAACTCCGTAAGTTCAGCACTGAAGGCATTAAAGTAATCTACTTGACCCTTTATACAACATCTTTAATTCAGCCTCCAGGTCAGGGATCCATGACATTTAAGGCTCATTACACATGGTACTCTACGGAAAAGATTATCAATGCTATGGAAGAGATATCTCATTGAGAGAACATCATAAAAGTCTAGAAGGATTGCACCACTGAAATTGCCATTGTTATAGAAAAAGCTGTGAAAATCACCAAGCCTGACACAATAAATTTCTGCTGGAGGAAACTGTGTCCAGATGTGGTGCATGACTTTCCAGGATTTACAACAGAGCAAGTCAAGGAAATCATGAAAGAAACTGTGAAAATGGCAACAACAAAATGAGGGTGGTGGAGAGTTTTAAGACATGAGCCTTGGAGAAAATTCAAGAGCTAATAAAAACCACACCAGAGAAATTAACAGAGGATGACTTGATAGAGATGAGTGCTTCTGATCCAGTGCCAAATGGTGAGGAAGATGTAGAAAAAGCAGTGACAGAAAACAAATTGACATTAGACAATTTGGAAGAAGTGTTTTGATTAGTCAAGATTGCTTTAGACTTATTTTATGGCATGGACCCTTCTATGATACAGGCACTGAAATGAAAGCAAACAGTGGATGAAAGATTGGCACCATATAGAAACATTTTTACAGAAATGAAAAGTCAAAAAAAAAAAGAAAAGAAAGCCAGACAGAAATTATGTCTTTCTGTAAAGTTACATCAAGTGTGTGCCTGTCTCTCCTGCCTCCCCTTCCACCTCCTCCACCTCTTGTACTGTTGTCACCCCCAGAAAGCAAGACTAACCCCTCCTCTTCTTCTTCCTCCTCAGCCTACTCAACATGAAGATAAGGATAAAGGCTTTTAAAATGATTCACTTCCACTTAATGAAGTAAATACATTTTCTCTTTCTTAACAGTTTCTTTTATCTAGCTTACTATATTGTAAGAATATAGTATATAATGCATGTAACATACCAAATATTTGTTGACTTTGTGTTATTGGTAAAGTTTCCAGTCAACAGTTAGCTATTGGTAAATTTGGGGGGTGTTAAAAGTTACACATGGATTTTTCAATTGTGTTGGGGGGATCAGTACCCCTAAACTCCTATTTGTTCAAGGGCCAAGTGTGATGTGTGTGTGTGTAAGTGTGATTCAAGTTGTACATAAGCCCTTAAGTAAGTTTTAAAACACATAGCTTAATCTTCCATAGCACATACTACTACATTAACATGTCTCCATGTACCTCCACATTATGGCCTCACCTCCATAGCACTATTTGAATGTGAAAGAGGACAAAATGGCCTGTTTGGCAGATAGCCATGAATGATATGCTGACACAGCATTAAATTAGAGAATTGCAGTAAAAAAGCTTCACTCAAGTATGGAAAAAGCAATGAAATAAAAATTCAAATGGGCAGAATCGTGCCATACGTCTATTCATTCACTTACATAATCCAACATATGGCGAAAAATATCGTCGAAAATCAATTTGTGGTTAAAAAAAAGGAAGAAAGCTGGGCGCAGTGGCTCACGCCTTTAATCCCAGAATTTTGGGAGCCTAAGGAGGGTGAGTCACTTGAAGTCAGGAGTTTGCAACCAGCCTGGCCAACATGGTTAAACCCCATCTCTACTAAAAACACAAAGTATTAGCTGGGCGTGATAGTGGGTGCCTGTAATCCCAGTGACTCAGGAGGCTGAGGCAGCATAATCACTTGAACCTGTGTAGTGGAGGTCGCAATGAGCTGAGATTGCACCATTGCATCCAACCTGGGTGACAGAATGAGACTCCATCTCAAAAAATAAGGAAGAAGACACAAGTAAATGAAAACATATTCCATGTTCCTGAATTGTGAAAATTGTTAAAATGTTCATAATACCCAAAGTGACCTACATATTTAATGCAATTCCTATCAAATTTTCAGGAACATTTTTCAGAGAAATAGAAAAATCAATTCAAAAATTTATATAAAACTGTAAAAGACCCCAAATAGCCAAAGAAAGCTGAGCCAAAATAAACCTGGAAGCACCAAACTACTTAATTTTAAAATATAATACAAAGCTATGGTAGTAAAAACAGCATGGTATTGGCATAAAAACAGACACATGGACTAACGGAACAGAGTAGAAAGCCTGGAAATAAACCTACATATGTACTGTTAATTTATCTTTGACAAAGGTGCCAAGAATACACAATGGAAAGGGAACAGTCTTTTCAATAAGTCATGCTGGGAAAGAAAAAATATTGGACCATATCTGTTACCACATACAAAAATCAACTCAAAATGGTTTAAGAACTTAAATATAAGACCTAAAAGTATAAAACTACTAAAAGAAGTCATGAGAAATTGCCTTAATTCATTAGGCTGGGTAAGGGATTTGGGGATATTACTCTAAAAGCACAGCCAAAAAACAAAAACAAAAACAAAAAAACAGATAGGCAAAGGGATTGCATCAAACTGAAAAATTTCTACACAGCAAAGGAGACAATCAACAGAGGTAAGAGACAACCTACAGGATGGGAGAAAATATTTTCAAAATGTACATCTGATACGGGGTTAATATCCAACGTATATAAGAAGCTCAAGCAATAGCAAAACAAAAGCCAATTTAAAAAATGGGATAGGATCTGAATAGAAATTGCTCAAAAGAAGACATTCAAATGGCTAAAAAGTATATTAAAAATGTTCAGCATTATTAATCATTAGGAAATGTAAACTAAAACCACAGTGATACATCACCTCACACATGTTAAAATGGCTATTATCAAAAAGACAAAAGATAAGTGTTGGCAAGGATGTGGAGAAAGAGGAACCCTCGTATACTGTTGTTGGAAATGTAAAGGGATGCTGTCATTATGGAAAACAATACAGAGGTTCCTCAAAGAATAAAAAGTGGGACTACCATATGATTCAAGAAACCCATTTATGGATATATATCCAAAATAAATGAAGTCAGTTTGTCAAAGAGATGTTTGCACTCCCATGTTTATTGCAGCATTGTTCACAGTAGCCAAGACATGGAATTGACTTAAGTGTCCACTGATGGACACATGGATAAAGAAAATGTGGTTTTATATACATTGAAGATTTTAAACACAATGGAGGGGTGGAGCAAGCTGGTGGAATAGAAGCCCACACCATTGTACACACCCCCAGACCTCACTGTGGCAACACCAGATTTTAACAACTATGCACACAGAAAAGCACCATCACAAGAACAAAAATCAGGCAAGCAATCACAGTACCTCATTTTTGACTTCATATCACTACAAGAAGCATTGAAGAGGAATGGAAAGACAGCCTTGAATCTCCAACACCACCTCTCCCTTATGAGCAGCTGCCATGTGGCATGGAGAGAGAATCTGTGCACTTTGGGGAGGGAGAGACCAGTGATTGAGTACTTTACATTGAACTCAGTGCTGCTGTGTCACAGCAGAGAATAAAGCTGTGCTGAGGTCAGCCAGCACCCATGAACAGAGAAAGCATTTGGACCAGCCCTAGCCAGAAGGGAATCGCTCACAGCAATGGTTGGAACTTGAGTTTCTCAGTAAGCCTTGCCACTGTGGACTGAAGTGATCTGGGTTCTCAGGTAAACTTGAAGCCTAGGACACATGGATTGCAATTTCTAGGCAATTCCGCATGCTAGACTGGGCTTAGAGCCAGTGGACTAGAGTGGCACATGACCTAGCGAGACACCAGCTGCCATGGCTTAAGGGAGTGTGGGGCCATCACTCTCCCAACCCCAGGCAGTACAGCTTGCAGCAATGAAAGTGACTCCTTACTTCTGCTTAAGGAGAGGGGAGTGAAGAGTAAAGAGGACCTTGACTTGGATCTTGAATACCAGCTCAGCCACAGTAGGATAGGGCACTGGGCTGAGCCGTGAGGCCTCTATTCCAGGCACTAACTCCTTTATGACATTTCTGTACTCACTCTGGGCCAAAAAAAAAAAAAAAACAAAGATAAAATCCACTGCCTTGAAGGGAAGAACCCAGTCCTGGCAGGATTCATCACCTGCTGACTTAAGAGCCCTTGGGCCCTGAATAATTAACAGCAATTCCCAGGAAGTATGCTGTAGGCCTTGGGCTCTGAGACATGCTGGCTTCGTGGGTGATCCAGCACATTCCCAGCTGTGGTGGCTATGGTGAAAAACTCTTGCTTAAGAAAAGTGGAGAGAAAAGTAAAGGGAACTTTGTCTTGAACCTTAAAAACCAGCTTGGCCACAGTAAGGTGGAGCAATAGTCATGATCTTGGAGTACCCACATTCAGGCCTAGGATCTTGAACAGCAGTTCTGAACCTTACCTGGGCCAGAAGGGATCCCACTACCCTTACAGGTGAGTTCCAGGCCTTGCAGCATTGACCACAAGCTGACAGAAGAGCCCTTGGGCTTTAAGCGAACATCATGGTGGCCTGGCAAAAACCAGTCACCACCATGGACCAGTGGTGGTGGTGGCCACAGGGGGAGGCCTCTCTGCCTGTGGAGAGGAGAGAGAAGAGTAGGAAGGACTTTGTATTGTGGTGTGGGTGCCAGCTTAGCTGCAGTAGAATACATCAGGTAAACTGCTAAGGCTTTTGGCTCTAAGTCTTTGCTCCCAGACAGCATCTCTGGACATGCCAAAGGGCCTGGGGGAACTTGCCATCCTGAAGGCAAGGGCCTTGGGCAAGACCCAGTGCTACTGTGGCTTCAAGTCTGACCCAGCACAGTCCCGGTGGTGGTGACTACAGAAGAGCTTGCATCATAACACTCCCAGCTCTAGGTAGATGAGCACAGAGAGAGAGACAGCATTTGTCTGGGAAAAAGTAAGGAAAAAGAAAATGTAAGGGAAAAAGAAAATGGTAATCTCTGGATCAGCTTCCTGGTAATCCAGAGATTATTCTGGATCTTCTCTAAGACCACCAAGGGGGTACCTCCTTGAGTCTGCAAAAAACACCACATCATTGATGGGCTTGAGGCCCAAGTGCCTTTGAATACCTGCAAAGCCTTCCCAAGAAGGACAGGTACAAATAAGCCTAGACTGTGAAGACTGCAATAAATGTATAACTCTTCAATGCCCAGACACCAACCAACATCTACAAGCATGAACACCACCCAGAAAAATATGGCCTCATCAAATGAACTATATAAGACAACAGGGAATAATCCTGGAGAAAGAGATATATGACCTTTCAGACAGAGAATTCAAAATAGCCATGTTGAGGAAACTCAAGGAAATTCAAGATAACACAGAGAAATAATTCAGAATTCTATCTGATAAATTTAACAAAAAGATTCAGGAACCAAGCAGAAATCCTAGAGTTAGAAAATGCAATGGACATATTGAAGAAAGGATCAGAGTCTCCTAATAACAGAATCAATCAAACAGAAGAAGAAGTTAGTGAGCTTGAAGACAGGCTATTTAAAAATACACAGTCACAGGAGATAAAAGAAAAAAAATACAATGAATACACTTATAAGAAAAAACCTCAAAAGAGCAAACTAAGAGGAGGTAGATAATGAGGTAGGGGTAGATCTTTTTATTTTGTTTGAGTCTTGCTCTGTCGCACAGGCTAGAGTGTGTTGGCACAATCTTGGCTCACTGCAACCTGTGCCTCCTGGGTTCGATTCTCCTGCCTCAGCCTTCTGAGTAGCTGGGATTACAGGCGCCCACGACCATGCCCAGCTAATGTTTGTATTTTTAGTAGACACAAGGTTTCACCATGTTGGCCAGGCTGGTCTCAAACTCCTGACCTCAGGTGATCCACCCGCCTCAACATCCCAAAGTGCTGAGATTACAGGTGTGAGCCACTGCACCCAGCAGAAGTTTTTTTAAAGGGCTTCTCAAATCTATAGAGAGATATCAATATTCAAGTACAAAAGGGTTGTGGAACACTAAGCAAATTTAACCCGAAGTAGACTACCTCAAGACATTTAATAATCAAACTTCCAAAGGCTAGGGACAAAGAAAGGATCCTAAAAGCATCAAGTGAAAAGTAAGAAATAACATACAATGGAGCTCCAATGCATCTGGCAGCACACTTTTCAGTGGAAATCTTACAGGCCAGGAGAGAGCGACATGGCATATTTAAAGTGCTAAAGGAAAAAAAAAAAACTTGAATAGTATATCTAGTGAAATATGTTCCATTCGTGAAGGACAAACAAAAGCTAAGGGATTTCATCAATACCAGACTTGTCCTATAAGAAATGCCAAAAAGAGTTATTCAATCTGAAATAAAAAGAGGTTAATGAGCAAGAAGAAATCATCTGAAGGTTGAAAACTCACTGATAATAGTAAACATAGAAAAACACAGAATAGTATAACACGGCAATGATGGTATGTAAACCACTCTTGTCTTAAGTAGAAAGACTAAATGATGACCCATTCATAAACAATAACTACAATGACTTTTCAAGGCATGGACAATGAAACATAAACAGTAAAATGTTAAAAAGCAGGGGATGACGTTAAAGTTTAGAGTTTTTATTAGTTTTCTTTCTGTGTGTCTGCTTGCTTGTTTCTATATGCAATCAGAGTTAAGTTTTGTCATCACTTTAAAATTATGAGTTGTAACATAGTATTTGCAAACCTCTTGGTAACCTCAAATCAGAAAACATGCAATGGATACACAAAAAATAAAAATCAAGAAGCTAAAATATACTAATCAAGAAAATCATCCTCACCCTCACTAAAAGATACATAGGAGGGAAGAAAGAAGGAAGAGAAGACTGCAAAACAACCAGAAAGCAAATAACAAAATAGCAGGAGTAAGCCCCTACTTATGAATTTTAACAACGTTGAATGTAAGTGAACTAAACTCTCCAATCAAAAGATGTAGAGTAACTGAAGGGATCAAAAACCAAGACCCATTGATCTGTTACCTACAAGAAACACACATCACCTATAAAGATATATATAGACTAAAAATAAAGGGATCCAAAAAATATATTTCATGATGTTACCGAAGAAGAGCAAGAGTAACTATACTTACATCAGACAAAATAGATTTTAAGCCACAAACTGCCAGAAGAGACAAAGAAAGTCATTATAAAATGATATAGGGGTCAACTCAGCAAGAGAATGTAATGATTATAAACATACATCACCCAACACTGGAGCACCCAGATAAATAAAGCAAATATTATTAGAGGTAAAGGGAGACATAGACCTCAATACAATTATAGCCAGAGACTTCAACACCCAGCTTTCATCGTTGGACCGATCTCTCAGACAGAAAATCAACAAACATCAGATTTAATTTACACTACAGATGAAATGGACGTAATCAATATTTACAGAAAATTTCATCCAACAGCTGCAGAATACACATTCTTCTCAGCACATGGTTCATTCTCAAGGATAGATCATATGTTAGGTCATGAAACACACCCTAAACCTTCAAAAAATTAAAATAATATCAGACATCTTCTCTGATAACAATAAAATAAAACTACAACTCAATAACAAAAGGAATTTTGGAGACCATAAAAAAACATGGAAATTAAACAATGTGCTCCTGAATGACCAGTGGGTCAATGAAGAAATTAAGAAGAAAATTGAAAAATTGCTTTGCTATCGTGAATAATGCTGCAGTGAACATAGTGTGAATGTGTCTTTATAGTAGAATGATTTATATTTCTTTGGGTATATACCCAGTAATGGGATTGCTGGGTTGCATGGTATTTAGACACATGCAAGCATATTTTCACGCAGCAGAATGCACAATAGCGAAGACATAGAATCAGCCTAAATTCTCATCAATGATAGACTGGATAAATAAAGAAAATGTGGTACATATACACCATGGAATACTATGCAGCCATAAAGAAGAACAAGACAATATCCTTTGCAAAGACATGGATGGAGCCGAAGTCCATTCATTATCCTTAGCAAACGAACCCAGGAACAGAAAACCAAATACCACATATTTTCACCTATAAGTGGGAGCTAAAAGATCCACATAGAGGGGACCAACACACGTTGGGGCCTTTTGAAGGACAAAAGATGGGAAGGGGGAGAGCATTAAGAAAAATAAGTAATGCGTATTAGGCTTAATACTTGGATGATGAGATAATCTGTATAACAAACCTCTATGACACAAGTTTACCTGTGTAACAAACCTACACTTGTATCCCCAAACTTAAAATAAAAGTTAAAATAAAGAAGGAAACAAATACAGTATTTCTTATCTAAAAAAGGAAAATTTCTTGAAATAAATGAAACTGAAAACACAACATACCGAAACCTATGAGATACAGTGAAAGCAGCACTAAGAAAAGTTTACAGCTATAAGTACCCTTATTGAAAAAAAGAAAATCTTCAAATAAATAACCTAGTGATGCATATTAAAGAACTAGAAAAGAAAGAGCAAATAAAACTTAAAATCAGAAGAAGAATATAAGTAAGAATCAGAGAAGAGATAAATGAAATTGAAATAAAAAAACAAATTCACACACACCTACAGCGAACTCATTTATGACAAAAATGCCAAGAACATACAATGAGGAGAAAACAATATCTTCAATAAATGGTTCTGGAAAAACTGGATATCCCGTATGCAGAAGAATGAAACTAGATTCTTGTCTCTCACCATACACACACAAAAATATCAAAATGGATTAAAGACTTAAATCTCATACCTCCAACTATGAAACTACTGCAAGAAAACAGTGTGGAAACTCTCCAGAACGTTGATCTGGGAAAAAAAAAAATGTCTTAAGTAATACCCCACAAGCACAAGCAACCAAAGCAAAAACTGAGAAATAAGATCACACCTGGTTAAAAAGCTTCTGCACGGCAAAGGAAACAATTATCATTGAAGAGACAACACACACAATGGGAGAAAAATATTTGCAAACTTTTCATTTGACAAGGGGTTAATAACTAAAGTATATAAGGAGCTCAAACAACTCTATAGAAAAAAACTAATAATCCGATTCAAAAAATAGACAAAATGTTTGCATCGATGTTTTTCAAAAGAATAGAGGCAGACAGGCATATGAAAAGATGCTCAACATCACTGAAACTCAGAGAAATGCAAATCAAAACTACAATGAGATATCATCTCACCCCAGTTAAAATGTTTTATATCCAAAAGACAGGCAATAACAAATGCTGACGAGGATGTGGAGAAAAGGAAACCATTGTACACTATAACCACCAGGGAGAACAATTTGGAGGTTCCTCAAAAATCTAAAAATAGAGCTACCCTGTGATCCAGCAATCCCACTGCTGGGTATATACCGATAAAAAAGGAAATCGGTATTTCAAAGAGATATCTGCATTCCCATGTTTGTTGCAGCACTATTTGTAATAACCAAGATTTGGGAGCAATCTAAATGTTCATGAACAGATGAATGGATATAGAAAATGTGGTATATATACACAATGGAATACTAGTCAGCCATAAAAAAGAATGAAATTCTCTCATTTGCAACAACATGGATGGAACTGGAGGTCATTATGTTAAATTAAGTAAGCCATGCACAGAAAGACATAACATTACATGTTCTCACTTATTTGTGGTGTCTGAAAAGCAAAATAATTGAACTCATGGAGACAGGGAATGGAAGGATAGTTAACAGAGCTGGGAAGGGTAGTAGAAGGACTGAGGAGGGGAAGGTGGAGATGGTTATTTGGTATTTAAAAAAAAAGGAATGAACAGCACCTAGTATTTGACAGTACAATAGGGAGACTGTAGCCAATAATAATTTAATTGTACATTTTAAAATGCTAAAAAATGTATAATTGGGTTGCTTGTAACACAAAAATAAATGCTTGAGGGGATGGATACCCAATTTTCTATGATGTGATTATTAGGCATTGAATGTCTATACCAAAATATCTCATGTACCCCATAAATATATATACTGACGGTGTACCCACAAAAATTAAAAATTAAAAAAACACAATGGGATGCCATTAAGGCCTAAAAAAAAGATGGAAATCCTGTCATCTAGGACAACATGAGTAAACCTGGAGGACATTATGCTAAGATGTGCACAGAAAGATCAATACCGCATGATCTCACTTATACATGGAATTTTAAAAAATTGACCTTATATAAACTGAGAGTCTAATGGGGGTTACAAGGGTACTGGGGAGATGTTGGTCAAAAGATAAAAAGTTTCAATTAAAAGCAGTAAGTTCTGGAGAGCTATTGTACCCATGATGACTACAGTTACTACATTCTTGAAATTATCAAGAGAGTAGACCTTAAATATTCTCACTATAACAAATTTATAAGTCTTAGGTGATAGATATATTATTTTTTCTTTATCATTTCATTTCACAATGTATACATATATCAAAACATCACACTGTGCACCATAAATATAGGCAATTTTTATTTGTTAAATTTACCTTAATAAAGCTGGGAAAGATAATTAATTTTAAAAAAGAATAAGGAAGAAGAAAGACCAACCTGAAGTCACAAAAATAAACTTCATTTATTTTTTTATTTATGGGCAATAGTATGCATTTTAAAGAAACATAATTTGAATACTGGTGAAGACAGATGTCAATGTACCTGTCAGGGGAAGCGAGAATAAAGATACCTGTCTCTTACGTGAATTTTTTCCACAAAACGTTCTCTGTCAATGTGGAAAAAAACGTCCAGCTTGTGTATGTTTAATGCATTCATGCACAAAGTGACTGTGATGGCAGGGATGGAGTTTTTTTTCATAACAAACTTACCTTGATACGAATTTTCTAGCTACCACTACAGTTGCATTGCCCACCTGCCAATAGCAGAAACCAAGACTAGACTCCTGATATAGATTTAATCCCCATGGCAGTTAAGGACCAACCACATGAGAACAAGTCAATTACATTGGACCTCTTCAATCACGGACATAGCAGCAATTTGTCCTTACTGGAATGGATTCTTATTCTGTATGTAGATTAGCCTTCTCTGTCTCAAATGCCACTACCAGCATTTACTGAATGCTTTGTTACAATCAAGGTATTCCACAAAACACTGCTTTTGAACAATGTACTCATTTAACAACAAAAGAAATAAGATAATGCACTTACACCGCTGGAATTCATTCACTGACTTTATCACATCTAAAACAGTGGCCTAGTGGAAGCAGGCAAGACAGTGTATTGAAGGTTTAGTTATGGCAATACCTGAGTAACCACCTGAGATGAAGTATTCTGCTACAAGATGAGGCATACTTTCTCAACTTCTGACTAATGTTTAAATGGTGACATTTTTCCCACTGTCAGAATACACAGGATCTGGAACAAAGGTGTGGAACTGGAAGTGGCTTCTCTCTTTATTTCCCCTTATAACTCAGTCACAATATTTTCGCTTCTTGTCCCCAAACCTTCAGTTTCTACCTGCATAAAGGACTTAATAACAATGATGCTTTCATCTGGAGACAGAACAATTGTTCCACTGAATTGGAAGCTGAGAATTCCACCTGGTCATTGAATTTTTTCTGCCACCAAACTAATAGGCAAAGTAGTGGATTACTATTCTGACTTGAATAATTGATTCTGATTATCTACAAAACAGAGGCATGGAGGAGATGGTGTGGAGGTCAGAGGTTTCCTCAAGACACTTCATGGTATTGTTATGTCCAGTAATAACATTTAATAGAACATTAAATACAAAAACCCATTTTAGGCAAGAACACTAACACAATCGTGTATTGTTTAACAACAGGGATGCATTCTGAGAAATTCATTATTAGGTGTTTTTGTCATTGTGTCAGCATCATAGAATGTACTTATACAAACCTAGATGGTATAGCCTACTATACACCTAGGCTATATGGTATAGCCTATTGCTCTTGGGCTACAAACCTATACAGCATACTACTGTACTTAATACTGTAGGCAACTGTAATGCAATGGTAGCAATGGTATGTATTTATGTATCTAATCATAGAAAAGGTACATTAAAATACAGTATTACAATTTTATGGGACAACCCTCACATATGTGGTCCATCATGGACAGAAATATCATTCTACAGTGCATGACTGTACTTCAGATCTTTCTTGAATGGTTATTTGGGTCACCATATAAAGAACCCCGATACATTGAGGTACTAGCTCAGGACAAAGGGAACATGGAGTGGGCAGTAGTGGAAGAAATTATGACATGTTACCACATGAAAAATAGGGATTGTGGTGGGAAATAACAGGGTATTTTTCTTGCTTATTTGGTTATGTGCATATTTTTATATCAACCATTTTCCCACTTTCTCTTTCCCATACTATTACAAGGTTTGTTAAAGATGTTAACAGCAATTAATACTGTAAATTTAATCTTTAAATTAAAGGATATCAAAGAGAAATTATTACTGAGATAAAAAAAGCAGAAAATTATCCAAAGAAGAATACATAATAGGCATCATGGAATCTGCATCTCTAATTTTTGAGAAGAGGTAGGCATGTTTTTGGTTGATTAAAGCATAATCACACCATGCTGGATAGAATCAGAGTGTTGTTTTAATCACTGCAATCTGGAAGCCTACAAACAGCTACAAAGGTAAATATAAATGCTAAGTGGAAAAGGTGCACTGAAGAAGAGAAGTTGAGAACTATATTTCCCAGAACCTACTTTCCTGTGAAATGCAGATTCTGGTCTGTTAAAGAGAGGTATCGGAATCAGAGTTAGAAGAAAGAAGAGCAACATCTCCAGAAAGGCGAGATAGATGTTTGGGTAGATCTTGAGCTGGTGTGAGGTTCAAAGCAGCTGTATTATATACCCAGAATACACAGAATGACTTCTGTTTTCCTGACTGAAAACTGGACTGATTCAGTGAGAAAATAAAAATCTCCTCCTCCCAATTAAGAATAAAATGCTTATTCTTCATCAACTTTCCTCCAGTCTTAACTCTGGAGGCATTTTAGTTTGTGATGCTGGAAAGCAGGGTCGTTTCACGGTGGATGATAAAAATAGCTCTAAACAATTACTTTGCCCTTAAGCAGCTTTGAAAACAGAACATACACCTTAAGAGAAAATAAAAATATAAAGTACCATGACCTAAAAGTCAAATGAAGGTATGAAGGAACTCTGTCCAAAATTTCAGAGACATAGCACAGATCTGTCTCTTGCTACAGGATTCTTGCATGCACCTTCTCCACTGCCTGGAAATGTCTCCATGTGGCCAGTTCTTTTGTACACTTCAGGTCTCAGCTTAAATGTTAATTCTTTATAGATTGAGCATCCAATCTAAATTTTAAGTTTCGATTTTTTAATTCTTTTTCAGAGAACCCAATTTCTTTGTCTTCACTGCATTAATTGCTATTTGAAGTTATTTCTTTATCTCCATATATATGCACTTAGCATCTATCTCCTCTATTATACTGTAAACTCCAAGAGTGCTAAGCCCATGTCTTTCTTTATAAACTGCTTTATAGGCAGTGCCTAGAAAAGAATATGTGTTTAATAAATAGCTGTTGAATGAAAAATTAATGAAAAAGTGATTAGTGAAAGCAGAGGCAGTAAGTGATGGGTAGAAACATGTTTTTTAAAAAAAGACATTGGTACTGATCCAGAGATATTTCAATAATGTGAACTAATGATAAGAGTTTGGTTCCTTTGTTTGTTGAGTTGCAAAAAAGCAGAATGGTGGCATTCTAAGAGTCACTAAAAGACAGAAGGTGGGAGATGGGGAAGAAAAATGTCTTAACTTCCCACAAATTCTTAGATTTCTATTAAGTTTCAGTTCCAACTGATTGTGTTCACAGTCCTTCATTTTTATATCATAACAATAAAATTAACGTATTTTATATGGCATTTATAAAACAAAAGTTCTAAGGTGCCATTAAAATAAATATATCTTATGTAGCTACACATGGAATTATTTAGCAGCAATTACTGTTCTGCAGAAGATTTTTCAATAGAAATTTTTGCTTAATGAATTAAAAATCCACGGTAAAATGGACAATGTTTTGATAATTTTGAGACATACTGTAAACACTATGAAAAGACCTGCCTCCTTATTTGAAGCTACACTGATCAATGCATTGACCTCTGTCTGGAACTGCATTAACCTTTTTCTACAGTGAAGAAATTTGAGAGCTCTGCTATTTTTCTTCTTTAGAAACTTACACTGAGACGCAAAGCATTATTTTTTTTTTTGGCAGGTTGCGTTATTTCCAGGCTTGTGCTGAGAAGAGAGAGTCATGTCTACATCTGCGTGTAATATATAAAGCTACAGTTTGTGTAACCCAAAATATAATATGAAAGAAGGACCATTTAAAATATTTAGACCCAAAGCAAATTTCCATGATTTTCTCAAATAAGGCTTGTGAATTAGTAAGGTGTATCATTGCATTGTTGTAGTAAACTGGATACATTTAATATTTAGAGAGGGAAACTTACACTTACTTTTTATCCCCCAAATGCACTCTCTCAAGAAAATGTGTAAATATTTTGATAGAATCAAATTGAAGAATATGAATATGTAAGTTTTGAAGCCCTCTATAATTACTGAATTCCAGTGGTCTTCTCCTTTTAAATCTAGACATTTCTCTTTAAAATAGTGTGATAGTATTTCTGTTACCCAAAAAACTGAAACGATAATAAAAATCAGTTAAATTAGCTATTATATATTTGGTTGACAACATTAAATCTATAGTTTTAAAATTATTTTTATTTTCTTTTGTAGATTGAATTAAGTTACCTTTCTATTACTGTCATTTAAGGAGTTTAAAGTTTCCATAATTTGCGAGGTGGGCGGATCACCTGAGGTCAGGAGTTCGAGACCAGCCTGGCCAACATGGTGAAACTCTGTCTCTACTAAAAATACAAAAATTAGCTGGACATGGTGGTGTGTGCCTGTAATCCTAGCTACTTGGGAGGCTGAAGCAGGAGAATTGCTTGAACCTGGGAGGCGGGGATTGCAGTGAGTCACGATGACACCACTGCACTCCAGCCTGGGCGACAGAGTGATACTCTGTCTTAAATAAATAAATAAATAAATAAGATAAAGTTTACAAAATTTGAACAGAGAGCAAAACTGGCAGGATTACATCAGGAAGAAAATAAGGTCATTTGGATCACTACCATACCACTTCTAATTAATTCCTTCCAAAAAAGCCACCTCTATTGTATCTGTCAACTATTGCCAGAAATTTTGTGTAACAAGCAAATGCAAAATCTTAGAGTCATTTGACAATAAGAATTCATCTCTCTCACTTGTAAGTGTGCCGGGTCTGCTCATGTAGGCTGGATTTGCCTGGGCAGCTCAACTATGGCTGTGGGGCTGACTGGGTTTGCTAAGGCAGCTCTTCTCCATGTGTGCTCAGTCTGGCGGCCATGATGAAGACAGAGGAAGTTGTTTCCATGGCAGTGACAGGAGCATGAGAAGCAGATTGGAAGCAAGTGAGGCCTCTCAAAAGCTAAACTTGGAACTGGCACACTGTCCCTATGCCCACATGCCTTTGACCGAAGCAAGTGTGTGGCTGAGATCAAAGGTCAAGTATGTACAAACTGTATTTTTGTGAGAGGACCACAAAGTTGCATGGAAAAGAAAATGAGAAGAGACAATAATAGCTAGCAGCCACAGTGTCCAAGGCAGTTTTCCATTAAAATCATGGCTATCCAAGGTTCTTCGGGTACAATGGCAGGAGCAGCAGCAGTGACAAGATGATATAAGATTCACTGTATAAAAAATAATTCAAATGTTAAAATTAATAATGGCTTAACCAAAAATTTAGAAATCAGTTAGCAAAATGCCTAAGATAGTATTAACTATTGTTCGTCAATGGGTGTGTTTCTATTAAATGGAGACGACTGGGCCCAGAAGAAATAATGCTTACTTTTATTCCCTTGGTCAGCTCGAAATGTCTAGTAACCAGCAAAGTCCTGCAAGAGAAATGCTTCATGTTGGACACTAAAATGTATTCAATTGCACAGAAATATTTAAAGGGCGAGTATGGTTTTTATTACTTTATTTAAAGGTATTTCTAAGTTATTTTCACCTGTTTATAGCTTATTTGTTTATCCTTTCACAGCTGTATAATCAGATATAAAATGTTTTTAAAGATATTTTTAATAGTAAGTTAGATCTAATAAAGGTTTTTTAGGATATTACTAATGATGTAGGACTTTCTGTTTGCATCATTTAAGGAAATACACTGACACAGATTCTCATAGTTTTTGCCCCACTAATGGACTTTCCCAAGAAGTGGTGTTCATTTGCCTGAGAGTATAGGTTAGTTTCAACAACATTTCTCAGTGCATCTCACTGCAGACATTTGGAATATTCTCTCCTTCTTCTTCCTCTTCCCATGTAGTTGCCAACTATCTCAAATGCAGCATTATTGTACTACTTGCTTATCAAAGAAGATCATGACAAAGTGACCTGACTTTTGTTGAATGAGCAAAGTAGTATACTAATATATTTATTCTCAAAATGTGAAACTCATTTTAAAAGACCAAATTCTATTTATTTTTTAAAAATTCTTCAGTGAATATTATCTTTAAAAATACATGTGACGTTATCTTTAAAAACACTTGCAACATAGGGAAGGGTGGGGTGGCTCCTGCCTAAAATCCCAGCACTTTGGGAGGCCAAGGCAGGAGGATCACTTGAGCCCAGGAGTGTGAAACCAGCCTGGGCAACATGGCGAAACCCTGTCTCTACGAAAAATCCAAAAATTCTCCGGGTGTGGTGGCGTGTGCCTGTAGTCTCAGCTAATCAGGAGGCTGAGGCAGAAGGATCACTTGAACCAGTAGGTCGAGTCTGCAGTGAGCTGTGATTGCACCACTGCACTCCAGCCTGGGTGACAGAGTGAGATTCTGTCTCAAAAGTAAATAAAAAAAAAAAAATACATACAACATAAGAAACTAACAATGAAAGCAACTTATTTATAAGTTTCTAGTATCCAATACAGAATTTTTCATCTCTGAGGAATCTGAGGTTATGTAGCTAAAACCACTAGCTGTCTTTTCAGCTGTGTTATATTCTTAGTACTAATATGACCAGTCTCTTTGTGAGAAACTAAATACATATTCCCACAGAATGCACAAATTCTTCCACATTTTTTTTTCTGGTAGGAATTCTGGAGCAAAATGCTTGTTCATAAGGTCAGAATTCTGTCTTGCGATTATTAATTTGTTCAGGCAGTCAGTGCTTACATTCAGCCATCCTGCAGTGATAAGACCACACCCCCTATTAAAATAGAAAAAGACTGTCCTGAGCCCTTGAGAATCCTGCTTTCCTCTCCATGGTTCCCTCAGGACCCTTCAGTTCTGAGACTGAATGCCAACCCGTGGCATTTCAGTGTCTTCTGGCACCTTTTCCTGTACTAAGATATAAGGGATCTATGCTGATTGTTCAACCCTTATGCCACACCAATTCTATTTATTTATTTTGAGACGGAGTCTCGCTGTCACCCAGCCTGGAGTGCAGTAGCGTGATATTGGCTCACTGCAAGCTCCGCCTCCCGGGTTCACGCCATTCTCCTGCCTCAGCCTCCCGAGTGGCTGGGACTACAGGCGCCCGCCACCACGCCCAGCTAATTTTTTGTATTTTTAGTAGAGACGGGGTTTCACCCATGCCACACCAATTCTTACCTGTCTTTAATAGCATATTTGCAGACATGGGGAGAAAATGTTTAGTAATCAATGTGGTCTTAAAAAGGAAATAGGAAGAGATAGATTCAATTTCAGGAAGAAGCAAAGTGGAAGTGAGAAAAAGCACAGTGAATATGAGAACTCCCATTGAAGTCAGTGTTCAGTTCACATCTAGGCTCTGTCACTGGGTAGTTGTGTGTTATTGGTAAGAACTTAACCACACACTGAGCCTCAATTTTCTCATCTTTAAAACCAGCATGAGAATACCCATTTTGCATAGGGTAATATTTAAAACAGGAGGTAATATTTAAAGTATCTGGCCCTATTTTAAACATTTAAGAAATAATACCATCTATAATTATAGCTGTGCTCAATATAAAGGAGCAAGTAGAATTAGCATCTCCAGACTTTGTTCACTTCTTTTTAGTTATTCCTCTGAATACAGCTGCTATAATAAGCACTGATAGCATAGGGGGCTCTGGTTCAGTGCTGAAGAACTGAGCATCCAAGGTTGAACATAAAGAATATCCTATTTATTTCTTCTAACTTGCTACAGGGTGTTGGCACTCTAGTTGTCTGTGGATAAACTTAATATCTTGATTAGTTCTCCTGAGAATGCCTCTGGAAACTGTTATATGAAGTGGAAGGTGGAAGGCTGGCTAATACCTATGGTGGCTTCAAAATAGTCTGCCGAGGTCTGGTAGCTTGGAATTGTCAGACGTTTGTTACCTTGACAACCACAGACAGCACAAGCCTGGGTTTTGAGTGACTTTAGATTCCTTTGCAATTCCTTCTGGGGATGAATGATTTGTATGTCTAATCAATGAATGGCAAAGACATGTTATTTAATAAGATTAATAAAGCTCACATAAAGCATTCTGTACACTAAGTCCAATGGCATGGCTTCCTAAGAAATGTAGTTAATATTCCTTAGAATTGCAGTTGACATTTCTGGAATGTAGGCCCCAGGGAGAACCAAAGCCTCCTTTAATACTAGGTGAAATTCTAGTCAGGGGTTACAATGCTACTTTCAGTTGACTCTGCTATATAGTCTCAGAATATGTCCTCAGCCCTATGAGGAAGAACTTTTTCCCCCATTTTCCTTTTATTCTCTTAATTGCTGATGATCTGGATAACACTGGGATGACTTCTAGACCTAGAACTTCCTTGTAATAAATCAATCCTGACCCTGTGATTTACAAGAGCTTAGGAAACAATGAAAATAAGTGTGGGTCTTTTTTTTTTTTTTGGTATTTTTGTTCTGTTTAAAGAAATTCTGGAAAATATTTTTTCTTTCTATAATGTTTTTCACATTCTTCTCTCTTCCTGTCACAGTGTGGCCTCATCTTCTAACCTCGGGTTCATGTTTATTCCTTTCAATAGGACTGTAATGAACACAAATCTCAGCCTATAAACAGAGATCTACTCTTCATATGTATTTATCATAGAAATTTATTGCTTGGATGTTGTATTTATGATTTATTGCTGTGTAACACACTACCCCAAAACTTAGCAGTTTAATACAACTGGGGGTGATTATTTCACACAACTTTTGAGAGTAGGGAATCTGGGAGTGTCTTATTGGGTGGTCTGGTTCAGCGTCTCTTATGAAGTTACAGTCACACTATCAGTTGGAGCCACAGTCCATAAGATTTGACCAGGACTAGATGAGCCACTTCTAGGTTCACTCATGAGGTTGTTGGCAGAAGTCACTTCTTTGTTCCATGGCCCTTTCCATAGGACTGTTTTCTTAATATGGCAGCTGGTTTCCCCTAGAATGAGCTGTGGGAGTGACAGCAAGAAGGTTTTTCTTTACAATCTGACCTTAGAAATGACTATTACTTATGCTTTATTCTGTTCACACAGACCAATCCTGATACAATATAAGAGGGGACTACACAAGAGTGTAAATAGGAAAGATAGGTCATGGAGAGGACACATGTATTTTCCCTTCTCAGTTTGCCAAAGTGTGGAAACATAATTACAATGAATGTAAGGTTTTCCTCAACACTCATTCCTGGAGCTGTGTGTGAATCCTTATGTAGTACCAAGTCCAGGTTTGGTTGTTGTTTTCTTGTTTTGTTTCGTTTTGGAAGAGAGAGGATGTCTAAAAGGGCACGTATATCTGATTTTGGGCATTATTATATAGCCACCTTGAAAACTGATGACAAATTCTCATGGACATTGTCAGTACATCTCTCGCTTAATGTCCAGCAGGAATGCCATCTTTCATTCCCCCAAAGTATTAAGATACTCATAAGTTCCCCATATTTCAGATGGAGAGTGAGATGGACCCAGGTCTTCACTGTCCAATATGATAGCTACTAGCCTTACATGGCTATTGAGTAATAGAAATGCAGTAGTCAGAATTGAAATGTGCTGTTAAGTGTAAAATACACATCTATTTTAAAGGCTTTGCAGGAAAAAAGTAAAATATCTAATTAGTATTTCTGTATTGATTACATATTGAAACAGTGTTTTAGTTATGTTGGATTAAATAAAATGTAGTGTTAAGTTACTTTAATGTTAGCTGTTTTGTATTTATTTTTTAAAAAAATCTATTGGAAAAAATACTTAAATAGCTTGCATTGGTGGCTTACATTTCTATTAGACAGTGCTTCTTGAATGGAAAGTAGCAATATAGAGGAAAAGCCTCCCTATCCAATACAGGAGTGTGAAGTGCCCTTCCACAGGTGATATTTGGTGAAAGTGAATAATAAAGATTGACTTCAGGAAAAATCACAGGTAAATATCATAGAGTCTGAGAACAATGGTGTGCATAGCAGAAACTTTCAATAACTTCCCCATATTTCCTCTCATTCATTATTCAGTAAACACTGCCTGCTTCCTCCTGAAAACACTCAGACAGTTCCTCAAGATTATTCTAATAGCAAGAGTATCTCCAACCCAGCAGGACAGAAGATGAAGGGGCCTGGATATTATTGTCTCAAAGAATAGCCTTTAACTGAAATAAGAGAGAACCCAAACAAATGGAAAAACATTTCATGCTCATGGACAGAAATAATCAATATCATGAAAATGGCCATACAACCCAAAGTAATTTATAGATTCAATGCTATTCCCATCAAGCTGCCATTGACTTTCTTCACAGAATTGGAAAAAAACTACTTTAAGTTTTATATGGAACAAAAAAAAAGAGCCCCTATAGCCAAGACAATCCTAAGAAAAAAAAGACAAAGCAGGAGGCATCACGGTATCTGACTTCAAACTATACTACAAGGCTACAGTAACCTAAACAGCATGGTACTGGTACCAAAACAGATATATAGACCAATGAAACAGAACAGAGGCCTCAGAAATAACACCATCTGATCTACAACCATCTGATCTTTGACAAACCTGACAAAAACAAGCAATGGGGAAAGCATACCCTATTTAATAAATGGTGTTGGGAAAACTGGCTACGAATATGCAGAAAACTGAAACTGGGCCCCTTCCTTACACCTTATACAAAAATCAACTCAAGGACCGGGTGCGTTGGCTCACACCTATAATCCCAGCACTTTGGGAGGCCAAGGCAGGCAGATCATGAGGTCAAGAGATCGAGACCATCCTGGCTAACACAGTGAAACCCCATCTCTACTAAAAATACAAAGAATTAGCCGGGCATGGTGGCAGGTGCCTGTAGTCCCAGCTACTTGGGAGGCTGAAGCAGGAGAATGGCGGGAACCCGGGAAGAAGAGCTTGCAGTGAGCAGAGATCATGCCACTGCACTCCATCCTGGGTGACAGAGGGAGACTCCGTCTTAAAAAAAAAAAAAAAATCAACTCAAGATGGATTAAGGATTTAAGCGTAAGACCTAAGACAAAAAACCCTAGAAGAAAACCTAGGCAATATCATTCAGGACATAGGCATGGGCAAAGACTTCATTAATAAAACGCTAAAAGCAATTTCAACAAAATCCAAAATTGTCAAATGGATCTAATTAAACTAAAGAGCTTCTGCACAGCAAAAGAAACTACCATTAGAGTGAACTGGCAACCTACAGAATGGGAGAAAATTTTTGCAATCTATCCATCTGACAAAGGGCTAATATCCAGAATCTACAAGGAACTTAAACAGATTTACAAGAAAAAACCAAACAACCCCATCAAAAAGTGGGAGAAGGATATGAACAGACACTTTTCAAAAAAAAAAAAAGACATTTATGCGGCCAACAAACATATGAAAGAAAAGCTCATCATCACTGGTTGTTAGAGAAATACAAATCAAAACCACAATGAGATACTATCTCATGCCAGTTAAAATGGTGATTATTAAAAAGTCAGGAAACAACATGCTAGAGAGGATGTGGAGAAATAGGAACATTTTTACACCGTTGGTGGGAGTTTAAATTAGTTCAACCATTGTGGAAGACAGTGTGGTGATTCCTCAAGGATGTAGAACTAGAAATACCATTTCACCCAGCAATCCCATTACTGGATATATACCCAAAGGGTTATAAATCATCCTATTATAAAGACACATCCACACATATGTTTATCACAGCACTATTCACAATAGCAAAGACTTGGAACCAACCCAAATGTCCATCAATGTTAGACTGGGTAAAGAAAATGTGACACATATACACCATGGAATATTATGCAGCCATAAAAAAGAATGAGTTCATGTCCTTTGCAGGGACATAGATGATGCTGGAAACCATCATTCTCAGCAAACTAACACAGGAATGGAAAACCAAACACTGCATGTTCTCACTTATAAGTGGAAATTGAACAATGAGAACATATGGGCACAAGGAGGGGAATATCACACACTGGGGCTTGTTGAGGGGTGGGGGGCAAGGGGAGGGATAGCATTAGGAGAAATATCTAATGTAGATGATGGATTGATGGGTGCAGCAAACCACCATGGCCCATGTAACAAATCTTCATGTTCTGTACATGTATCCCAGAACTTAAAGTATAATAAAAATGAAAAAAAAAAAAAAAGGATAGCCTTTAACCAAAGATAAATAGAAATCGATAAATAAATGTCCTGGTTTCTTTGCCCCTCATGTAGGATTATATGTGTGTTTTGCACTTTTGTCCAGAGGTGTGCAAGATATGGAGTCCCTGCCAGAAATAGAGTCTGAGTTGCCTGCAGCAGTGACCAGCCGACAAACATATCTTGATTAGGTTTTCTTGTCTTCCTACTCCACTACTGGTAATTTCTAGGACCACTTTCCAGATAAACTTCTTTTACATGATTCTACTTACAGGACCTCCTTCTAGAGAAATCTAATTTAGGGCAGAATGCATGAGTGCATGTATCTGCAAGCAGGAGTGTGGACACACAAAGACAGAGAAGTAGCCCTATGTATTTCCAGTTAGTATAAGTATTCATGGGTTAACTTAACATAATGATTTGACAACCAAAATTGTTTTCTCTGTATATCTGCTTTCTTGTCCTCTGGTCCTGCATTTGCGTATCACCATTCTATCCTGGTAATATCTTACCTCCTTCCCTCTAAACAGCATCCTCTGGATGGCTGTGTTCACAAAGCCTTGCAGTAGCCAAATTGGGCCAGGTTCTAGAAATACAGGCCATAAGTGACAGCCTGAAAGTTTTCCTTTTGACATTTTTTGAAAGGAAAATCAGTTTTCTTCCTGAGAAAAGCATGAGAATGACACTTTACTTTCCAGCCTCCTCCTATTGTGACAGGTTGATAAGCACTGTATTTTCATCCTCCTATTTTCTTCATCATAAATAGGTCTCAATTTATAACCCACGTTTGCAGTTTCATTGAGAAGCAGGGCAGAAGGCACACTGCCCTATTTTAGCTCAGCAGGGCAAGAGCATTAAGAACAATGAAAGTTCAGAGTTACCTATCACAAATATATCTGAATGATAGCATCAACAAAATCAGAATGAGTTTTTCCAGGAAACAGTGACCTTGTGACATAAAAGCCACGCTACTGAGAGGTGAAGCCGGTTGGGCTTCTGGGTTGGGTGGGGACTTGGAGAACTTTTCTGTCTAGCTAAAGGATTGTAAATGCACCAATCAATGCTCTGTGTCTAGCTAAAGGTTTGTAAATGCACCAATCAGCACTCTGTGTCTAGCTAATCGGGTAGGGGACTTGGAGAACTTTTGTGTATAGCTAAAGGATTGTAAATGCATCAATCAGTGCTCTGTGTCTAGCTAAAGGTTTGTAAACGCACCAATCAGCACTCTGTAAAAACGGACCAATCAGCCCTCTGTAAAACGGACCAATCAGTACTCTGTAAAATGGACCAATCAGCAGGATGCGTGTGGGGCCAAATAAGGGAATAAAAACAGGCCACGGAGCCAGCAGGGGCAACTTGCTGGGGTCCCCTTCCACGATGTGGAAGCTTTGTTCTTTTGCTCTTCACAATAAATCTTGCTGCCCACTCTTCAGGTCAACACTACCTTTATGAGCTGCAACACTCACCATGAAGGTCTGCAGCTGCACTCTTGAAGCCAGAAAGACCACGAACCCACACGGAGGAACAAACAACTCCAGACGTGCCACCTTTAAGAGCTGTAACACTCACTGTGAAGGTCTGCAGCTTCACTCCTGAAGTCAGCGAGACCACGAACCCAGCAAGAGGAATGAGCAACTCTGGATGGGCCACCTTTAAGAGCTGTGTAACACTCACTGCAAGGGTATGCAGCTTCACTCCTGAAGTCAGCGAGGCCACAAACATTTGAAGGAACCAACTCCGCACACACCATCTTTAAGAACTGTAACACTCACTGCAAGGGTCTGCAGCTTCATTCGTGAGGTCAGTGAGACCAAGAACCCACCGGAAGGAACCAATTCTGGACACACTACCACAGTGTCTAGGTTACATTAAAACAAGCACAGTAATAATAACAATAGCAAACAATAGCACCACTTCTCGTAAGTAAAGTGCTTTCTGGTTTGTAAAACACTTTCATAGATATCTTCTCCTTTGATTCTTTCAACAGCACTATAAGAGAAGCAACAGTTGTGGATACGCTGGCAAATTATTTGGCATTGCAATCCTACCCATCTGTACTCTTGCACTTGCTAATTTCTATAATCTAGTTTCATGGCTTTAAGGAAACATCCAGGCCTAGAGCAATCAATAAAACTGTGTACAAAAATCGTTTGATGCATGAACACTCAATCTTTGCAACATTAATTTCAAACGGGCACTTGGCCAAGTCACATGTATTATCTTAGCTCACTCCACCCCAATGTCTATTTTCTTTATCTTTCTCCCATCCACAAATCATCCATACATGATCCACTTGCTTAATTTCTCCATCAATACATTATTCCTTCCTACTAGCCTGGAGCTTGATTTTAACAGCACTCTTGGTAATGGGCCCATTTGGTTTGGTCCCAGGATTGCCTCCTGGGTATTGTCAATAGTTGGCATCCTTTGTGGATGTAGCATAGATTTTTAGTGTGAGCCGAGAACTGATATGCAAATTTCTTTTGTCACTGTGTTGTTTTACCCACTTCGTTGGAAACAGTATTGATAAAGATGCATTGGGAAAGCAGCACTGTCAGAAGATTAAGTTTTATGACAGGAAGTGCTAAATAAATGGTCTGTTAAAAGATTGAGTAAGTAAAAAAATAGAGACATTGATATGTCAAGCAAGGTAGAAGTTAGTATATCATAAAATGATGTCATGCTACCAAGCAGGGTGAGTTCATGAAACTTACCAGAGAATCCAGGCATTGGTCAGCATTTCTAGTGGAAGTGTTTGGTTTATGTTTATGGCAAAGAATTATCCTAGAATGTAAGCTTCATAAGAGCGTGGCTTTGTCCTTCTATCCCACTATGTCACCAGATCCTAATACAGTGTCTGGTACAAAGAGAGCATGCACAGTTTTTAAATAAATGGATACCACAATGATTAAATAAATTTGTCATCTAGTCTATAATAATCTCACTCCTATTCTGAAGCCACTGGTATCATAGGGTGCCCTAGAAATAGGCATATTTTAAGGAAGACATTTGAACAGTCCCTTTAAATTTTCTCAAGCTTCCTTTAATGAAGCAAAGAAAAATTCAGTTGCATTTTGTATTTCTCAGTTAGGAATGGTCTGGCCACGGGGCACAGTGATATTTTTAAATGCAGGGAAAATAATCCACCAGTTTAATCTGCACAATGTTTAACACAAATATCTTCTCCATTAACAATATGGTGCGAGAGAGAGTCGGGGGGTCATTAGAGGACCTGAAAACACCCTGCAATGTGTTTGTACAAGATTAGCCCTTCATCGAAAAGATGTATTCATTCTCGATATGGCCTTATGTCAGGGTTGCTGACCTTAATGTGTGGAACTTTTCCAGTTCATCAAGGCTAACGTGCCCAGAGCTATTTTCTGGGTTTGAAATAAAGAGCAAGCTGTGGTAAGCTGGAAACCTTTGTTACTATTTGTATTCCTCTCTCTTCTCTCCATTTCCTGCTCTCTCTTTTTTAATCCACCTGCTTTTTCCTTTGCTTAGTAAACAGAGTTGCCCATCTGACAAATTGTGAAAATACCCCTCAACCCGTCACTCACACATTTGGCCTTGGTTTTAATACCAAAGAGTTTCAAATACCAAAACATAGGCAGCCATTCTTCTTGGCTGCTTATAAGCTCAATTCAGCTATTTCCTCAACAATCTGAAGGAACCTTTCCTGTCCTGTCCTATCTCTTTCTGGTCTTGAATTTATTTTCCTATCAATCTAAATCTTTGCCTTTTGTGATAAAAATCTGTGTTTAAATTGAACATTTTTACAGATTTTTGGTTTAGATTTGACACTGTATATTTTATAAGTGAGTTTGAAGAGAAAGGCAAGGAAATCCTGTACATCCAAGGTATCTAGTTAGTATGGGATATGTTATGCTACAAAGGCAAGTTACACAAACATCTGAAAACATAAAGGTTTAGCTCATGCTACATGCCCATTGCTGGTTGGCAGGGAGTCCTGCCCACCATAGTCACTCAGAGTTCCAGGCCAAGAAATCAGCTACCACCTCAAATATTGCTGGCCATAGTACAAGGGAAAGCTAGAACTCTAGGGAAAGCTAGGACTCTAGGGAAAGGCTTCTCACATTTTAACTTGCATGAGGTCACCTGGGGATCTTATGAAAATGTTGATTCTGATTCAGTACATCAGGGCAGACCCTGAAAAATCTACATTTCTAAGAAGAGTTCAATTGATGGTGCTGCTGCTGCACTGCCTAGTGTATGTTCAGTAGCTCAGGCCTAACTAAACTAGCAATTAAGTATTCTGCCCCAGAAGCACAATTTCATTAGACACACTGCTCCTCTCAACAACAAGACAGCTGGGAAGTACAATCCAATCAGATACCCAGAAGACAGAACTGAAAATATTTGGTGAACATCCAGAAACATTAACATGGCTATTTATATAGCACAGAAGCAAAACAAATACTTCTTAAATCATTTTTAAGCTAAACTGATCAATGTGTTAAAATGTTAATAAAAACAAATTGGGCAGAGATTCTCAATCCCAGGCTATATATCACAATCAATAGTGGGGATGTTTTTAATCACAGACACCTGACACTTTAGAGTGGCTATATGGTAGGGTTTGAATGTATTTTTCTTTTTTCTTTTTTTTTTTTTTTAACTACTTAGGCAGTTCTTTAGCCGGGATTTAAAAAGTACTGACGTAGGAATTCCTAAGCATTTTATTGAAGGTGTAAAAGTACAATTTAAAGAATGCACTTGTAGGAGTGAAAGAAAATTCTCTTCTACCCCCTGAAAGTTAGATTTCTGGAATAAACTTGACAGTAGACAGATTAAGAGGTAAAAAGGCAAACAAATTCTTTATGTCCACATGCATGGGCATCCCATAAAATGTGAGACTCAAAGAAAGACTCGATGATTAAGGATTTTATACCTTTATGCCCTCAAATGACTGAAGTTTTATATCCTAGAGAAAGAATAGGGTCTGGGGGCTTTTCAGGGGGAGATGGTGACAAGCCATGGGAGGGTCAGGGGAGAAACTGCACTGGGAACAAGGCTGTCTTACTATGCAGATAAAGTTTCTCAGAAGCAACCCTCAGAGGAATTGATGGTAGCTGTGGTTAAAGTCTCTCAATGGAGGTGTCAGACTTGTAGTCTCTTTTCCTGATTTAACCTTCCCTGATTGATAATTGTATGTCTTCTGGAGGAACTTACCTTAGTCGGTTAAGGGTAGATCAGAGAAAGCCCTTTCCCTGCCTTTGCTGCTCTTCAGCTGCTCTGTTTGAAGTCCAAAGTGACAAATTTCGAGGTATTCTTTTCTGAACATCAATATATTTGATTATCAATGCCCTCTACCACAAATTTATGAAATATATAAGTAGTTGTATTTTAATTGAAATTTAGTATAAATTTACACCTGTGACAGAAAATATTTTTAATTTGTTTCCATTTATAAAAATTTATTTTTTTCTCTTTTTAAAATTACTGTAAAAGCCCAAGGGAAGGCCTTCCATTTAAGAAGTCAACTATATTACATTATTCACGTTGCTCAAATGTAAAAGTGCTTAACTACATAACTACTAAACGTTGATTTATTCAAGATTGTGAGATAATTGAAAAAAAGGTAGTCAAGGTAAATTGGAAGGCAGAAAAAAAAATGAAGAAAAGAAAGAAGCATAGGAGTGAAGAGGGAAGACTTCCCCTTTGCAGTCAAGATTTGCTGAAAATAAACTGACAAAAGTCACATTAACAGGAGAAAAAGGCATACAAATTTATTTTAATATGCGTGGGTAAAAAAAAAAAATCACCGTAGAATGATTATCCAAAACCAAATGAAGTGCATATACTTTTAAAACCTTCTTCACAGGGGAAGGGAGATTAGGAAATCTAGAGTAAACAATGTTAGGGGAAATGAATAGGCCCAATGCTCAGACAATGGTTCCTAACCAATGGTTAGTTTCTTTGGAAACTGAATGGGTCTAGGGGAATAGACAGTGGCTCCTGATGAAATAAATTTGTCCATGTGTAGTTACATTCCCCACTCCCTACAATATGAGTTTACTTAATGAAAACTCAGGGAAGGGACAGAAGGTAATTGTTTTCTTTTTGGGTGTGCCCAGTCCCTCTGCAGATAGGGGAAAAGCCTCTCCTAGCACCTGCTGATCTCCAAGGGCCTTCATTTCAAAATACTTAAGCATACTAGGGTGCCATATTTTGGGATGACATTCTGCGGTCTCCTTCAGAAAGAAAAGAGGGAAGAAGCTGACATACTGCCCAGAACCAGAGCAGTAGAGGGTAGCCCTTGAGCACAGCCACGGGAATGAGCTAATGCAAATTCAATTCCAGATTGAAACTGTAATAACTATGAATATTGCTAAAGTGACTTCTCCTTGTGCAAGTTACTTAGCTTCTCTAAAACTCAGGTTTCTCACTTTTAAAATGGAGAACATTGCTATCTCTCTAGATCCTAGGTCAGCTAAATGAAAAAAGTTATGCAAATCTCTTAGCACAGAGGCTAACATGTTATCCATCAAAAAAGGTAGTTACCATTATTTTATTTGTTGACTTGATAGAAGGGAGCTGCCTACAACATGACTCTGATAACACTGATAGTAAAACATGCCAATCCTGTTTCCTTGGGAGCCATCCAGTACATATAGAGAATTTATATCCTCCTTAATAACCTTTGTCCCTGAACTGTGGTAATGTTTGGGGTTAAGAGTTGTTATTAACATGCCCATAATTAATGAAATGTAAACTAGATTTGTTAGACTGCCCCATTGAATTAATTTGGATAAATGCAACATAAGGATAAATAAAAAGGGCATAAAAGAGGAAAAGGATGTCACAATTAGGTCTACTTCATCTCTGTAACACAATGGTTAGGAAAATAGACTCTTGAATCTCACAGAGACCTGTCACTTCCAGCTAGGTCATTAGGGTCAAGTTACTTACCCTTTCTAAGTAAGGATTTCTTCTTCTGTAAAGAAGGTGAGAAAATATAACTACCAAAGGAGTGTTATATTGTTGTTATTCCAAATATGGACTGAGGAAAAAAGAGAGACAGAGTTTCTATATGGGATCCCACAGGTTTTGTGTACATTGTGACCAAGAAGGCCTTAATGTTACCCTCAGCTTGACTAAACATTAAATAGGTTTCTTCTTGATATTAGGGGCCCTGACATCCTAATTTACCTTAGACAATTTTTTTTTAATTTATTTATTTTTGAGATGGAGTCTTGCTCTGTCACCCAGACTGGAGTTCAGTGGCGCGGTCTTGGCTAACTGCCACCTCCACCTCCAGAGTAGCTGGGATTACAGGCTCCTGCCACCACACCCACCTAATTTTGTATTTTTAGTAGAAATGGGGTTTCATCATGTTGGCCAGGCTGGACTAGAACTCCTGACCTCAAGTGATCTACCTGCCACGGCCTCCCAAAGTGCTGGGATTACAGGAGTGAGCCACTGCTCCCAGCCTACCTCAGACAATTTTTTATTGTAAATAATTTCCTGACTTTTTGAGATGTAAATCTTCTCCCAACCTCTTTCCAGTTTTACAATCTAGGCATTTCTTTTTCAAGGACCTGGGAACTATTCCTTTGAAATGTAATCATCAAAGAAGATAGGACTCCTATCTCCCAGTCTAGATGGGAGGCTAGGAACCTAACTTCCATAAGCACCAATTAGCAAACACAGTGGACCACATCAGCCTATAGTTCTCTGGTTCTTTTTCATTAGCTCATCCCAGTGCTTAAAAACTCTCCTGCCTTTTGTTTCATTGGGATTGAGTTCAATCTGTCTTCCCTACTGCAGTCGTCTTGAATAAAGTCTTCTTGTTTAACTCTGTCCAGTGCAATTTTTCTTTTACATTTATAGCCTCTTCAAATCAAAGACCATCAGCACTTTTCTATACTTAATCTTGATTCTTTAGGCTCAATTGTAAATTAAAGTAAGAGAGTAGATTTAACATTAAGGTTTAGGCTGGGGGCGGTAGCTTGCACCTGTAATACCACCAGTTTGGGAGGCAAAGGCAGGCAGATCGTTGGAGCTCAGGAGTTTGAGGCCAGCCTGGGCAACATAGCAAGACCCTGTCTCTATAAAAAATTCAAAAATTAGCTGGGTGTGGTGGCATGTGCCTATAGTCCCACCTACTTGAGAAGCTGAAGTGGGAGAATCACTTGAGCCTGGAAGGTGGAGGTTGCAGTCAGCTGAGATCGTGCCATTGCACTCCAGCCTGGGTGACAGAGCAAGACCCTGTCTCAAAAAAAAAAAAAAAAAAAGAAGAAGAAAGAAATTAAGGTTTAGACATTTTCCATTTATCATGGCTTAAATAGGCATCTGAAAATCATGTTAACTCCACAGTAGCTAGAAGTTACCTGTAGTCCATCATTTATCTATAAATATTAAACTGAGATTTGCTAAATTTAAATTGGAGGAAAACTAGAATAGGAGGTCATAATCTTCATGTACTGTCTACCTTCTTATTCTTTGTAGGAGAAATGCCAAGTACTCAACGCATTTTATTAATATGCATTGAAAATATTAGAAATATAAGGCTAAATAATGAAATATGCATGTCAAAACATTAACCCTTTTTAATTTTCATTGACTAGCATTTCATATGTTAAATAAAGCTAATCAGGTGCTCTAAAATTAAAGAACTCTTATTTATTACAATTAACCCAACATTAAGAAATTTTAACCTAATATACTTCTTGTCCTTTTGTAAATTATAGTAACTAGCAGAACAGATTAAGCTTCTCTACGTATTCTTACACTAATTTAACTAATATTTCCAGTTCTCAATTATTACATTGGTGGAAGAAGAAAATGTGAAATATTCGTATATATCCTGTCCCCAGAATTTCTTTCTACTATAACCTCTGTAACATAACACCCCTGCACCCCCCCACAAAAAAGAAAAAAAAATGCAACAGTTGATAGGATAGTTTGAACATTGTTATAATTTCCAAGAAAATTTAATATTAGATTCAGCACTTTGATCAAGGTCTCTTTACTAAATAAAAAAAGTATTTTTAATCTGTTCATTTGTTTATTCTTGTTTTCAGTCACTAAATATTTAGATTTAGCTAACATTTATTATATATTAGGTACTAAGTGACATGTCAGAGTCATACTTTCACTTCTGGCTCTGATGCAGCAGCTCATGGCAGACCAGTACTTCAGTCAATACATTTAGAAAAGCTGGATAAAATGTTTAAAAATCAAATTGAAAAGACCATATTGCTGCTAAGGCAAATGAGGAAGCAGAAAATCAAAAACAGAGGATAAGAAGACATTTTCCCCTCAGGGAATCTGCCAGGTTATGGTCTTGGGAAAGTGAGAATCTGAAAAACAGGACAAAGGACCATAACCAAAACAGATAAGCTGAGCAGGTTTTGGTAATTGCATGGGGCTGGCGAATAATTTTTGTTTAGGACACAAGAAGTAAGACTTGGGGACAATGGTCTCAGAGTTTTCAGAGATGGGGAAAAGGGAACACTCTGGGTATTTTCTTTTGAGGAATATCCTAATACTTTAAGGTGAACATGGAAAGAGGCTAAGAAGCAAAACAGAAAGCTGCTGCTAGTGAGAGAAGAGTTTCAGCATACACAAGTATCTGATCAAACAATAACGGTAGTTAGGTCTCCAGCTAGAGACCCTGCAGAGCTATGCCTTAGGAGTGGAGGCAAATTAAAAAGCATCTGAGCCTTATGACCCCAATAAACCAACCGTAAATCTGATTGGTCTTGATTGCATTAAGGTAATCTGTTTCATACTCCAGCTGCCTCCTAGAGGAAGATGAATCATTGGTGGTAGAAGAGAATATGGCCCAGAGATAACAATTATATATGTATAATTTCTGTCATTCAGGCGATAATTACCAGGTACAGTAAGACACATGAAAGGGGAGGGCAACAAATAACAGAAACTCCTATGGACAAAATTGGGACCTCCTGCCAACCCCCTCACCGGATTTATATGTTGATGCTCTAACCCCTAATTTGACTACTTTTTGGAGACAGGGCCTATAAGTTTTAAAGGTGGAGCCTTGATCCTATTAGATTAAGTGCCCTTCTAAGAAGAGATATCAGAGAGCTTTTTTCTCTCTCCCCCACACGTACACAAAGTTGAGGTCATATGAGTATACAGTGAAAATATGGCCATCTACAAACCAGGAAAAGAGCCCTGGAACCAAATCAGTAAGTACCTTGATCTTGGACTTCCCAGTTTCCAAATCTGTGAGTAACCAATTTCTGTTGTCCAAGCCAACGGTCCCCAACTTTTTTGGCACCAGGGACCAGCTTTGCGGAAGACAATTTTTTTCATGGAGGGGACTGTGGAGGACGGTTTTTGGATGCGACTATTCCACCTCAGATCATCAGGCATTAGATTCTCATAAGGAAAATGCAGTCTAGATCCCTTGCAAGTACAGTTAGCAATAGGGTTTGTGCTCCTATGAGAATCTAATGCCACCGCTGATCTGATAGGAGGCGGAGCTCAGGCTGTAATGCTTGCTTGGCCACTCACCTCCTGCTACGTGGCCTGATTCCTAACAGGCCACTGACCCGTACCGATCCATTGCCAGGGTTTGAGGATCCCTGGTTTAAGTCACCCAGTCTGCGACATCTTGTTGTAGAAGGCTGAGCAGACTATTACAGAAACATATCCACGTTGGCCCATGGGAAAACTTTCCCTTTTGCCTTCTGAAGGTTTGCTGAAAATCAAACTGAAAAAAAGGAAGATTGATAGGAGAAAAGACATACAAAGTTACTAATGTACCTGGGGGAGAATCACAGAGTGATTACTATGCAATGGGATACGAATGGTTACATGCTCTCCTTCTTAGGGAAAAGTGAGATGGGGAAGTGTGGATGATTTTCGCGGGGTAGTAAATGATTGTTAGGGAAATTCAATGAGCTTGAAGAACATACGATGGCTGGAGGGAAGTCTTTTGGGCTCACAGAAGAGACAGTGGTTAGTGACAAAAGTGTGCCCAGGTATGTGGCCAGACTTCAGTCTCTCATCCTGTGATAAGAGTTCAGTTAATGAAAATTTAGGAAAGTGACCAGAGGTCATTGTTTTCTTCTGTGACAGGTCCAGACTTTAGGTAGTTAAGGAGACTCTGGAGAACAACTTCATTCTATGCTTTGGGAGAGACAGAAGCACCATATTTTGGGGTGTTGGCCATATCCACATATAATGCAGCAACATTGTTGATGCACAGCTTAGTATTTGACAACAGAGTACAGGGGATCTTTGCTCACATTTTTAGAGTTCTTTGTGTGGCAGTCTCCTCTCTGGTATTACATTCCACAGTTTCCAGCTGCTTCAGCCTAACCAAATTCTGCTCTCAGGCTCTAACTGAATGTAACCGCCTTATTCTCCTTCAGTTTCCCCTCCTTGCACTGGAGACTGGAAATTGCCACCATGAAGAAAGCTGAAAATTCAATAGGGACCATCTAATTTGTTTCCCGTTTATGAGGAATCACAGCCCAACACTACTTGTCTCAATAGCTAAAAACAGTCATTTCATATATTTTGACCAGCTTTTAATTTGTTTAGTGTGGATATATAACTTCTGTACCAGATACTTATGATTAGAAGGTTAATCCTTCCTATTCATGTTAAAAACTGTTATTAAACCAGAAATCGTAGTCTAAAAAAATCCGATAAAGCATATATGCAAAAATCCTCCAGCAAAAGTCACATTAGCAATAAAATATTGAACGACAGAGGTTGGGAAAGAGAGCAGGACAAGGATTCCAGCTATAATTGCTTCAATTTATTATCATTTGGAGTTTTTTGCAAGTTCAATAAGGCAAGTAAAAGAAATAAAAACAATTCTGGCTGGGCGCAGTGGCTCACGCCTGTAATCCCAGCACTTTGGGAGGCTGAGGCGGGCGGATCATGAGGTCAGGAGATCAAGACCATCCTGGCTAAGACGGTGAAACCCCGTCTCCACTAAAAATACAAAAGACTAGCCGGGCGTGGTGGCGGGCGCCTGTAGTCCCAGCTACTCGGGAGGCTGAGGCAGGAGAATGGCGTGAACCCGGGAGGCGGAGCTTGCAGTGAGCCGAGATCGCGCCACTGCACTCCAGCCTGGGCAACAGAGCGAGACTCCGTCTCAAAAAAAAACAAAACAAAAACAAAAACAAAACAACAATTCTAAGGAAAAGAGGTGCAAAACCTCAACGTAGAAAACTACAAGATAATTATGACAAAAAATGTAAGAAGACCTAAACAAATGAAGGGATATACTATTTCCATAAATTAGAAAACTCAGAATTTTAACAATGCCAGATGTTCCTAAGTTAATCTGTAATAAATAGTTCCATGTACTTATAACAGTTATATTGTTTTTAATCTATTGACAAGAATGGTAGAGAAAATTAAGAAATAAAAAAATGGAAGATTTACCCTATCAGACTTTCAGATTTATTATAAAGCTATAGTTATTGAAACAGTGTGATGTTTGGCATAAAAACAGGCAAAGAAAATGATTAAACAGAATGGAGAGCTCAGAAATAGATCCACATATATACAGTCATCTGTGATGCAAGTGGAGAATTTTTTTCTTTTTACTTTGCAAAGCAGAGTATCTGGACTTACACGCACACTATTACCAGAAATTCTACACTCAGATATATACTCAGTGGAAATGTATCTAATGTGCTCCCAAAACTCTTGTATAAGAATGTTTATAGCAACATTATTTATAATAGTGAAAAACTGGAAGCAAACCAAATGTTTACCAATAAACATAAAAGTTATGTTTGAATAAAATAAATGTATGGATAAAAATTATGGTACATTCACACAAAATACTATATTCATGAAATGGAACAAACTACATTCATATGAACAACATGAATATAGCTCATAAACACAAGAAGCCAAACACAAAAGAATCCATAACAAATGATAACACTTACATATAGTTCAAGAACAGGCAATACTAATATATGATGATGGAAATCAGGGGAGTGATTACCTTTCACAGGGGATGGTCACTGGGAAGAAACATTAGAAAGGATTCTGGATATACTGGTTTTGTTCTATATCTTCATTTAAGTGGGAGTTATATAACAGTATTCATGTGCCTAAATATTCATCAGATTCTATATTTGTGATTTTTATAGTTTCTGTATATATATTACAATACATATATTGCATTACCTCTTTGTGTTTTACACCGCAACAAAATTCAGAAAAGCACAGACAGTATCCCAAATATAGTAGAGTAGAAAAGCCTTGTACTTAGAAACCTATAATATTCAGCAGCATTTATAAGTTATTAGGAAATCACAAATAAGTTACTGTTTCATAGTTCAGAGTAGGAGAATATTGTTTCCACTTTGGTGGAGGTAGATTAAATTGAGGAGTAAAGAAAGGTTTTCTGGGGGAGATAAAATGTGAGATGGAACTGAAAAGAGAAACAAGTGATTGCTAGGCACAAATGAGGAGTGGTCAGTCATTTCAGCAAAATAATTAGTATCCCCTCCCCAAAGTTGGTAAGCTGTGTAAGAAAAAGTGACAGCCATTTGTTTGGATTATAATCAATAATGTGAAATTAGATTGAAAAGAAATATTAAGGGTAGATTTTGAATGATTTCAAATAATGGAGTAACAAATTTGGATTTCTGTAGACTCTGGGGAGCCATTTAACATACATAAACAGGAAAAAAGGCATGATCAAAATTATGATCTGGAAAAATAAATTGACCTCAAGATTACAGGAAAGAGAAGGAAATTTATGTAGCAAGAAAACATAAATGAGTATTATAAAAATTTTATTCATTTTCATTTGATAAATAGTTATTAAAGGTCTACTGACTAGCTCTGGCAAAAATTAGTGAGCAACAAATTTAGATCACTCGAGTGGGAGGGTGACAAGTAACATACATGACATCTTGATTAAAGAACAATTTGAAAAATTATTTATTGAGTACTACTAATGAAAAGGTATGAAAGTGCATAAGTTAAGAACGCATTCAGCTGCCATAAACTGAAACCCCAACTAATACTTTTCTAAATATATGGTTGTTCATCTCTTTTACATGGTAAGAAGACCATAGCAGATATTGCTAGTGCTGGTTCAGCTTCTTAAAAATGACATAACATCAGTATTTTGTTTTGAGCTTTATTGAGGTATAATTGACAAATAAAAATTGCATATATTCAATGTGTACAACATGATTTTTTCATATACATATTCATTGTGAAATGTTATCCATAATCAAGCTAATTAACATATCTGTCACATCACATAATTTTCTTTTATGCATATGTGATAAGAGTACTTAAAATCTACTCTCTTGACAAATTTCAAGTATACAATATATTATTATTAACTATCGTCACCTTACTGTACATTAGATTCCCAGAACTTAACTCCTCTTATAACTGGAAGTTTATACCCTTTGACATCTCCCCATTTCCTCTACCCACTGACATCTGGGATCTTGAACTTTTCTCCAACATTCTGAGGCTGTTGGCTTCCATCTTGGGTAATGTCTCACAGTCACAAAATATATGTCATATCTTTGACGTGGCCTCTTAATCAATGAAGGTAGGGGAAAAGGCAGTGCCTGACAATTCTGTGAACTTTTTATAAGAAAGAAAAAGTTTTTTAGAAATCCTCTCATCAGATTTTCTCTGTCATCATTGGCAAAAACTGGACCACATGTCCAGCCCCAGCTGAAATGAAGGCTATGAATATAGAGAATGAGGACACAATATACATGATACACTGCCCTGGCCTCTGTGCATTGCCACTCACAAAACCTACTTCACCAAATCATGATCAAGTCTCTTCGTTAACAAAGAGAAAGTGGAAAACTGATGTTGGTCCTAATAGAGTTTTTCACAGGTCACACAAAAATATACACGCATATATAATGGGTGGTGCTTGCTCTTAAAGGGCATAAGTAATACACTCTGTGAATGTTGTAGGTGGCCACTACACTTAATATGGAAATAACTGCCCTTCATATGGAATTAAGAAATAAACTACACTTAATATGGAATGGAGAATTTCTACCTAATATGTGGAATGTATTTTCAACGTGTTTGCACATCTTTAATAAAGTTTGCTATGCTTTGCTTCTTCCAAAAACTGTCTTTGCAAGTTTGAAACCACATACAGTAAAGAAGGTAACCTAAAAATGGACAATATAAAATCACAACAAAAAATAGGAGTAGAGAAATAAAGGTGATCCGATGAGATAATTATGTACAACGAGTTCTGCACTTTATGTGACTTAATAAGAAATAGGACTAGTAAAGGATTTCTCGTCATTTGACTTTTTTAAAGTAAACGGTTGTATTTGGAGAAATAAAGTCATCATCATTGCCAATAAGAAGGAATTATATGAACTTTTCAGTCTTTTTCAGAGTAAATATTAGTATCAGGAAGATAAAAGATAAATTATGTCCTTAAAAAGAATAGCTTCCGATAGGCTAAGTTTTTAGGTGTAATGAATTTCCCATTATTTTATTCAGGCTTCATTACCTATAATTGATTATTTTACAATTTTTCAAACGGTCTTAAAGCTTTAATATGGCTATGTCTTTAATTGTAATTTTCCCAAGCTTTCTTTAGTATATTTTTCTTCGAGATGGGGATTATGTCTGCCTGGTTTCCCGTCATATTTCTATTATACATGGAAGTCAATCAATAAATATTTATTAAATTAGTCTGTGGGATAAAAATAAGAACTATTTTGCTTTTTTTCTCAACATCGATTATAAAATACATGTTAATTAATAGTATTAATTAATACTGATTTTTAAAAATACACAAATATTCTATGTATGAAAATTTTTGCTATTAACCCTCTCTAAGAGTTGCAGTCAGAAAATGCCATCTTAAATGGTTTGTGTTTCCTTTTCCTGTGATATTCCAAAGTACCCAAAATAGTATCTCCCGCATTTTGCATCATTCAGTGCATAATTGATGTTCTCATGAACAAAGAGATTCCTAAGAACAGTTGAGGCAATATTACTCTAGTACCTTATTTCTGGTTATCTAAATGTCAGGATATAATTTATTGAACCTAGAGAATTAAAAGATTTACATGCCTATTAAGCTATCTTTCTTAAGTATTAGATGTTCCAAGCAGTCTTTGAGAAATGCTGGGTCACAGCTTATTCATAATTCTATTCTGAAATTAGTGACTGAGTGCTGTATTATTGATTAACAAGGGATTTATATGTTTTAGAAACAAGCTGAACAAGAAGTTGCATTGGGCATTTTACTGTCAAAGTTGACAGGCTGATTTTCTTTCTTGCCCAGACCGAGGGCAGTCACCCTTTTTCACAGAGGTAGCCTCCAAGGATATTTGCAACCAATCCACAGTTTTCTCCACAACAGAGTTTTCAATCTGTTAAAGTTTTTGAAGAGTAAACAAATTGAAACCCCAGATTTCTGTATAGCACTTTATGAAAAATATCATTTTGGCATGAAAAACTTTAATGGTAGGTGGTTACCACTCAACTTCCTAGACCATGGGTGGGTCCAAGCCTGGTGCCTGAGTAATGTAACTGCATCATAAGTTTTTTACACTTTTTTTAGTGTCTTGTATTGTACTCAAAAATGTAATGTATTCCACCACATTAAAAACAAAATGGAGGCCAGGCGCGGTGGCTCACACCTGCAATCCCAGCACTTTGGGAAGTCGAGGCGGGCAGATCAGCTGAGGTCAGGAGTTTGAGACTAGCCTGGCCAATGTGGCGAAACCCTGTCTCTACTTGGGAGGCTGAGGCAGGAGAATCGCTAGAACCTGGGAGGCAGAGGTTGCAGTGAGCTGAGATCACACCACTGCACTCCAGCCTGGGCAACAGAGTGAGACTCCATCTCAATAAATAAATAATAAAATAAAAAGTAGTGAGAAGGGAGATGTGGCTAATGAAAGAGAATTAATAGTATAACTGTAAAATATTGAGCCCAGGCATAAGTGGAATGATGCTTTTGACAGAAATAGTAACCTTTAATCCATTTCAGGATTACCTACCTGTATTGAAGTAAGAAATTTTTGTTTTGAAATTGCTTGAAACATGAATTAAACAGGCATCTATTTAAGAAGTGGAAGAGAGTGTGCACCAGATCCTAAGTAAAGCATTTTGTCAAAACCAGTCATCAAGGTGGAGTTCTGGGAAGGTGAGAGGAGTGGTCCAGGTCAGTTCACCTAATCTTGGGCTGGCTCAGCTTGGTCCTACTTAACTCTTCGTCTACCCCCATTTCCTGTCTTCATTTGCCTTCATATTTTATTTCTAATCTTGAACTTATATCCCTGTACCTGACAGCCAATTTAACATTTCTGGCCTCGTAGACCTTGTCTCAGCACTATGCTCCCCTTATAAGTGTCTGATCCAGCCCATCTAGGGAGAAGTTAGACAGGTAATATCTATCTTTTACTTTTGAGAAAGAAGAAAGTGTGGTATTTAATAATACCTTTACAGGCAGGCCATATTTATTCCAAAATAGCACTTTCTTAGGGCTATAAATGCAATTAATCATGCTCTACTTTTATGGTATGCAAATGCGTACTACCTAAATGGAAGAGATTACTTAGAACACTAGCTATGAATCACTGAGCCCCTGTGACACTCTTCAAAATGCACCAAGGGAACGGTCAGTGCTTTTGAAATAATACAAATTATATTTGCTAGTATTCGTTAAATACTTATCATGTATTAGGCATGTGTTAAGCTCTTGTAGGAAAAGTTAGAGTAGTAAAAATATCTGGAAAATTGAATTTCTGATTTGTCCATAGTCTCAAAGTAAATATAGGGTTAGAAATTGAATAATTATTACTTCAATTTACACATTTCAACCGTACAAACATTTGTAAAATTGGGATTTTTTAAACATTGTATTTTGACATTGTATTTTGAAACATTGTATTTTCTAGAAAGCTCAGATAAAATTTTTAGGAGGAAAAGGATTTTCACTGAATTCCCTGATTAGAAACTGACACTTAGGGATGCTCAGAGTGCCTCTTTCAATTAAAAAAGATTATATAAATTACTCTAAATAGTGAGGGATTGATGTGAATGCCATTTAGACCCAATGCCTTTTCACGGGTTGCTCCTCTGACATAGAATGTCCTTTCTCTATTCCTCATCTAGAAACATCTGCTTTTTTTGAGACCTGGCAGCTAAGATGACAGTACAGTAATCCACAAAGTACTCTCTAGCATTTATTGGCAAAATGGGTGGCTCTCAAACTTAAGTTTATCAGATTTATCCAGAGGGTTTATTTAAAAAGATGGCTGGCCCCACTCCTGAAACTTCTGATTCAGTAGGCCTGAGGTAGAGTCACAAATTTGCATTATTAACAAATTTCCAGGTGGTAATGCTGCTGATCCAGAGGCCACACTTTGAAAAAATACTGAACCATGGTACAACAACGACATAAAAAGTCAGAGTGTCCTTTTTCTGCCAGTCCTATCGATTAGACTCCTTCAGTTAAATAACACACAGTTATGTGTGTGTTAAATTGCTTGTTTGCATTATTAAGATAATTTATATTCCCATCACTAATCTATGCTCTGAAACTAGACGCATATATTCAACTACCTATTCTGTAGCATCATTCATATGTCTAACAAGCACCTAAAGCTTAAGACATCCAAAATTGAACTCTTAATTTCTGTCACCTCTCTGGTTCTAGACTGTTTACTGCTCTAGTCCTATAGAGCAAATCTTAAAAGCAAGGTCCAAATGGATGAGGTATTTTACAAGTAACTTAACTGTGTCCCAGAGAATACAAAAACCAAAACAAAAAAATCAATGATGTTATAAAAACACAAAAATATCTAGGCACAACAAAATAAAATTTATAATGCTTAATATCCAAGCAAAAATTACCAGGCTTACAAATAAGCAGGAGAATACAGAATATAATTATGAAAATAATCAATTGAAACCATCTCAGAGAGGACACATGCCTTAGAATTAATAGTCAAGACTTAAACATAGCAATTATAATTGTATTACATACATTCAAAAAGTTAGAGACATGGAAGATATTTAAAACCCCATTCAAACTTCTAGGAATACAACTACAACATGTGAGACATACACTGGTTGTAATTAACAGATTTCACATGGTAGAAGAAAAGAGTAGTTAACTTGAAGATATAGCAGCAGCAATAGTTGGAAATGAAATTCAGAGAGAAAATAGACTAAAAAAAATTAACAGAGCATCAGCGAGCTGCAGGACCGCATCGCAGTCTGAATATGCACGTAATGAGAATCCCTCAATGAGAGAGAGGATGGGCACAAAATAATAGCTAAGGTGGTAGATAGAATTCTAATATGGCCCCAACATTTTTCAGCCCCTGGTGTATTCACCCTATATAATCCCCAGGACAGTGAATACAGTAGATTTTACTTTCTTGATTCGGTTATAAGGCACAACTATCCTTTAAATGGGAAGATTATTTGTGTGGGCCTCGCCTAATCACATAAAGTGTTGGAAAGAAGAGAGCTTTCTCTAGCCAGTTGCAGAAGAGAAAGTCAGAGATCTGATGCATAAGAAAGCTTCAGCATATCAATGCTGGCCCAAGGATAGAAGGGGCCAAGTGTCATGGAAAGCAGGCAGCATCGAGGAAAAGCACCTCCTGGCTTATAGCCAGCAGGAAATGGGGAAAGCAGTCCTAAAATCATAAGGAACTAAATTCTGCCAACAAAAAGGATTTTAGAAGATTTTGTTCCCAGAGCCTCCAAAAGAAAGAGGAAAAAAAAGAGAACCCAGTCAGACACAACAGTTTAAGCAGAAGACCTCTCTATGCCTTATTGGATTTCTGACCTATAGAGCTGTGAACAAATAAAGGGTTGCCACTTTAAATGCCAAGTTTGTGGTATCTTCTTTAAACTACATACAAAAGAAGTCAAGCAAAGAAATAATGTCCAACATATTTTCAAATTTCAGAGAAGACTATAAACTCAAAGAACAAAGAGATTAAGCAAAACCCAAGTATTGGAAACGTGAAGAAAACTGTAACAGTGCATATTGTAAGTTGCTCAAAACTTGTGCTAATGCAAAAAAAGAAAAATCTTAAATGCAGACACAGAAGACCTACTCACCTACATTAGGGAGTCAAATACAAAATCTTCATGAATCTTTCAAATAAAATATGAGGTTGCAAAGAAATACCAGGATTGATTTAGACTATTTTCTTCACCCATCAGACTCTACCAATTCTATCTTTAGGGGATACTGTAAAAGAAGACTTTAGTAATTCCCTCATTTGAATATCTTATAGATCTTTTGAAGGGAAATATAATTATCATTTTGTAAAAAATTTAGGAACTGAGGTCTATTTGAACGTACTTAGTTAAGTTTAAAAATAAACAGTACCAAGAGGGGCAATTATACAATATTCCATGTGAAAGAAAATGCTTTCTTTTCTTCTTTTTCTTCTTTCTCTTACCTTTTCTAAATGTGGAATCATGTTTCCTCTGAATTCCAAAAAAAAAAAATTGGTTTTGGATAAAGAAATAAAGGATACAATTGATTTTATATATATATATTCATATTTAATGAAATATATATTTCAAATTACTGATACACTAAGCTGACTTGGAACCTGCTGGGACTTAACTGACATAGGTAAGTGGATAAAGAGAGAATGTTAATATTCTCTCATTAACATTAGGCAAAACTAGGGAGAGAACAGGTTGACTACCAAGGTGAGGTTATCAGTGGTATCATGTCTTCCTGAGGAACATCATAAGCACAAATTTGAAATGGACTGATGTTTCTGTTGTATTGACTTCAAGTATTGGTTGAAAATAAGAAATAATTTCCAGCCTTTTTGAGGGTAAGACATTACTAAGAGCATCAGCTAATCACATTGGAGTTGAGAGCACAGCCCCAGTGGGTGATAAGAAGCTGAAGCTGAAACTCACAGTGAAGGTTGGGAATGTACAGGCAAGCACTGTGGCTTCAGCATACTCTGAGTTCTCATCATCTCACCCATGCTCTAGGTATATTGCAACAAAACAAGTTGTCAACTGCATTACTGTGGGGTTAAAACTTTCTACTTTGATCTGCATTCACTGAAGAACTTAGGCGGAGCCTGGCTCTGTGAATAAAGTCGTCATTACAAGAAATGTAATGACCACCATCAGCTGGCAATTTGGAGACAAATAATATAGGAGAAAAGAAGAGATTCTTGCTTTTACTAATCAATTGTTCTTTAGTTCCCAGATATTCCTTTCTCGGATAAAAAGGGGAAAGTTTAGAAATGGGAAACATTGAGAAAAGTCACAGACTAAATATTTTTAGAATATCCATTTATTTCTTATTATCACAATTCAAGGAAATGATGTACCACTTTTTCACTTTTGAGAGAGAAACCGTTAATAAAATTGATAGTTAATGCTGAAGACTGTCATGAATTAGTCACTAGATAGAGGCATGTTTAAATTGCAAATTACTTTGAAAGTCATTAACCACCCCAAACTTAATAAAGTGAAATCTTCACACTATTAAAGAGAGTAACAGATGTTGTTTTTGATGTTTAATGAAAAATATTTATCTGCTGCTGTAATCCAGTCCCGTCTCCCTGACCCCCTTTTTTTTTTTCCTGCTCTCCAGTTAGGTTTGTTATGTTTCATTTGAAAGCTCTTTTGCAAGATGATGAGTGCACTAATTTTTACAATTGTGAAGGCTCAATCTTAGATAAATGTTATTTCTCAAGGAGTTCTGCATACTGCATATTTGAGAGCAAAAGTCAGTTTCTAGAAATCTGTGTGAGTAAAATGGAGAGAAGGCATTTTTTTTTGTCTCCAGCCAATATGGCAGATGAAGATATGTAACCACAGAAAAGCATTCTAATCGGTGCAGCTTCAAGCCTTGAAAGATACTGCATGGTAACTGTGCTTTCTCTTAGATGATCTTTTTTCTTCTTGGATTATTTAAGGGGCACTAATTTTTCGAAACCCTAGGCAACACGATCACAAGCAGTAAACAAAGTTTGTATCAAGAAAATAATGGTATTTCAATGTTAGGGAAAAACAATGTCATAGCCAGGAGGGAAGCAAGCAATCAGAACTTAAACTGCTGCAATCTGGAAGCTTCTCTGCAGGACCTGTTTACAGCTGGTTCACTGTTCTCCCAAGCAGTATAATGTGCCAAACAAGTGGCAGGTGGGAAGGTTATGTAAAAAACTGTCTGCATGACTTAGTTGACTGCTGAGGTACAAAAAGAAATTGTAGAGACATTGAGCCTTCTGAAATAAAAAATGAAAATTATGATAATCCCCTCAACCAAGAGACAGAACTGGTCTCTATCTAAACAGACCTAAAGAGAATAGTATTGTCTAGTGCAGATAGAGCCCCTTCTGATTAAAAATTTGTCACAGCTTCCTTAATTTTGTGTGATAGTATGAAGAATATATCCTTGATTTCACCTTCTAGACTTGCAACTTTCTCCTAATTCTTTGCGTTCCAGGTTCAAGGAAGAAAAACAGCAATCATGAAGAGAGAGAGAGAGCAGCATAACAGATCATTACATTTATAGTAATGATTTGATTCTTAGAGCTAGGCTTAGCCCGAGTTGTTTAGTGAATGCAAATCAAGGTAGAAAGTTTCAGCCCCAGCGTGAGTGGAGTTGATAATTTGTTTTGTTGCAATATAGTTACAGGATATATATATATATATATATATATATATATATATATATATATATACACACATACATACACACACACACACACACACATATACACATATATATACACATATATATACACACATATATACACACATATATACACACATATATATACACACATATATACACATATATACATATATACACACACATATATACATACATATATATATATGTGTATATATATATATATATATATATATACACATATATATATAGTAGTCTCCCTGGAACATTCACTCCGATAAGAAAGGAACCATTTTTTCCGTCTATTAGGCAGATCTTGCAGAATGAAATATTAAACAATTAAAGTTTGCTGTTATGTTATACTGTGATGAAGTACCGCAAATAATCTTATCCTTGACCATAGATTAAAAGATCATAGCCTTCTGAGGAACTGCAGAATGACCTCAAAAATTGTTTGGAATATAAAGATATTGCCGTCAAAAATGGCTGTAAGTATCATTCCATTGTACAAATATTTACAGACTATGGTACCTAATATAGGCCAGGAGCTATGCCAAGTACTTTAGATGGAAATACAAAGATGGCAAGCATAGCCCCTGACTTAAGGAAACTTCATGTTTAAGAGAAAGAGTAGGACAAGCACACAAACTGGAATAGGCACCAAAAAAAGTTCATTCAGGCCGGGTGTGGTGGCTCATGCCTGTAATCCCAGCACTTTGGGAGGCTGAGGCAGGCGGACCACAAGGTCAGGAGTTTGAGAGCAGCCTGGCCAACATGGTGAAACCCCACCTCTACTAAAAAAATACAAAAATTAGCCAGGCATGGTGGCGTGTGCCTGTAATCCTAGCTACTCAGGAGGCTGAGGCAGGAGAATTGCTTGAACCTGGGAGGCAGATGTTGCAGTGAGCTGAGATTGCAGCACTGCACTTCAGCCTGGGTGAAGGAGCAAGACTCTGTCTCAAAAAAAAAAAAAGTTCATTTAGAGATAATCAAAGATGTAAAGATGTTCAGATCAAGAGCTCTTAAGTTCAGAGAAATATTATATGGGCTTTGTGGCTTGAACTTGGTTTCTCCAGGGGAGAGAAAAGGTAGATCATCCAAGCTGGGGGAACAAAATGAACCAAAGCATCAAATTTGAAATATTAGGATATTTGGATTTGGCAAATTGTTCATTGACGTGTGGAGTATGCTGGTTGGGATGTCAAATGTGAGAGCTGTTGACAAGAAAATTGTCCTGCCATGTATTTCTTCGATATATTACATTCATGACCTGTGTGTTTATTTATTTTGAACTCTTTCAAATGAAAGATGACATATGAATGGTCATTCTCTGTAACTTGGTAAAATTTCCCCAAAGTGATAAAATCCCAGTAACCAGCATCTAGATCAAAGAATCATATTACCGTCATCCAGAGGCCCCCCAACCTCCATAGCCTCTTTTAGTCACACACACCCCATAAAAATCATTATCCATTTTTATATGTACCATTGTATCACAGTATAGTAGTTTTTTTGTTTGGAACTTAATATAAATAAAATATTAGATAAACTTGTGTTTGACTTCTTTTACTGAAGATCCTTATTTAGTGTAACTATAGCTTCTTCTTTTTATTGTTTATTAGTATTCAATTGTATAGAATTGTAAGAATGATCCATTGCTGATGTACATTTGGGTTTTTAATTTGTTTTAATCTTAACTTTTCAATCAAATAAATGTATTAAAAACAACTGAATTTCAAAATGGTTAAATGAATGCAGTGACTGATTAACTTAAATGTATACATAATCACCTACATACCATATTCAAGTATGAACAATAATCAGCAATTTTCCTTATTAGTGATGAGTCCTAACTCCAGTTTGAGGACTGGGAAGTAATTGGGTCACTTCTGTGTCCTGTTTCTCTTCTATGGTCACCTGACTAGCTCAGTTGGTAGAGCATGAGACTCATAACCCCTTCTGGTTTGCTTCGTACTCTAGTCTGTGTTGACCTCTTTGAGTTCTGTGCTGTTATTCCTGATTGGAAAGGTCCTCGGATGCCTTGTAAACATTGTATTCTTGTGTTAGAGGATGTTTTGCCTCAACTGCAAAACATCAGGTATTTCTACTATGTTGTGTAAGCAAACAAACAAACAACAACAACAACAAACTCCTTGCACACATTTTGTTTTCCAATTCCGGAATAACTCTGTTGAAAACTTACCTCGCTCGCTCTGATGAAAGAGGGTGTTATCTTTCTCTTGAGAAAGCTCTGTGTTTTGAGAAGGAACAGCTAACTTTCAGATTGCCATCTGGAAGGTTTCTCACTCAGGAAACTTATCCAAATTCCCCCTCTATTGTCCTCAAAAGGATCGTCCATCCATGGATCTGTGACTCTCACTGTGTCTTGCACTGTTAATGTTTGTCTGGGGGAAAGTAACATTTCTTAGGATCATAGGCAGTGCTTCCCACCTCAGTTACCAATCATGATCATTACCTCCCTCAATCCCTGATATCTGCTTTTATATACTTTTGAGGGGAATGGAAAGGAAAGACCAAGAAAATGCAGAAAGTGGAGGGTAGTGCTTTCACTGTGCATTGCATGTATCTTCAGAGATTCAATAAGGGGATGAAAGGCTGCTGGGCAAGCCACTCCATGGGAGCTCCAAACCCTACTTGTACTTGAAGAAAACGATTAATTTTTTAGTTTCAAATTTCACAGATTAAAAAAAGGAGGGCAGAGTGAGACTCTTCCCTTTTTATTCATTCTTGCTATTGTGCAACTATGAGTTTCTGAGAAGTTATAAGGTTGATTTCATATCGTCCATCCCAGTTACAATTCCACTGTGGGTAAACACACTTAATGGATTGTATGACTATTGTATAAAAAGATGTATTAATTGCTTGGGTGGGACTTGCAGTTGTTCTGGAACTTAAATGGCATGAATAATATTTCCAATATAATATATGACTGTATGTCCTCTGGGTGTAGGACAAACATCTTAAGGATAAATAGTGTTATCATTCTTAATACATAGCAGAAGTTTTAAACGGAATTTTACTGTAATAAACAGCTTATTACAGAAAAACACTTTCTCTGAATAAAATGTATCTTACTATAACACTCAGTATAACATCAGGGTTTTTTTTATTATTTCCAAATAACAGAGAAGAAGTTGGATTTAATCTAATAAGTAAGAATTACAACGCAGTTTCTGTAGTCAGTAGCTCAGTAATGGGCATTCAAATTCACATGAATTCATGTGAAATTGAATGCCCATTGCTGAGCTACTTACTTTAATTCTAAAAATGTTTATTGAGTGTTAAGTATATGAGGTGTCAGATCATGAAAATATAAAGCAAATTAAGTCAATTGTCCTATATTTCAAGGAATTTACGGTATAACCTAGTAGTCAGTGAAAAACATAAAATCATCATGGTGACATTTCATGATGGAGATACATAGCTTCCATGGGAAACCAGAGAGGAGGATTTTTGTTGGCTTGTTATATATATGTGTGTATGTGTGTATGTGTGTGTGTGTGTGTGTGTGTGTGTTTTTACAGATATATGCTTATAAAATCAAACTTTTGTGGCAAAAGCCTGAGATGTATGGATTTGGAAAACAGGGTTTTAGGAAGTAGAGATTGGAGGGGAGAGGCAGTCAAGAGATAAACTTGATCTTATTAATCTTCAGAGAAGTCCTAACTTTTAGACATTATTAACCATATTTCACAGAAGTCATGGTACTGATTCCTGGCCAAATCTGCTATATACAAAAACCTATTCAATCTTTTACTCTATACAACTGAGATATTAAATTGGAAGTTACTTATTTTAATAACATAATTTTTCTATATAATGCTTCACAATTCCAAAGCATCCTCACATAAATTGCCTTATTTTAAACTCATAACCACATTGTGAAGCAGAAGATAAGCATATTTATTCCCATTTACATATGAGGGAACAAAGGCTTAGTGTAATAAGAACTGGCCCAAGATTACCACAGATTTATGGAGTAAAATCTAAGTCATTTTAATTCCCAAGTTTGCATACTTTTGTTCTCTATTTCTTAGTATCACAGTTACTGTAATAAAATGGGCAGTCACAACTGTGTATTTATTCTTACATAGAATTTATGACATTTGCTTTTAAAAGAGTATAATTAATAAAATTTTTAAAACCAGGACTTGAACTGGGTGAATTCAGAGGATAGAGGACAAGCTGGCACACATACTGAAAAATGTAGAATGCAAGAAAAGCCCCAAGTGCTTCGAATGCATGGGGATAGCTTAAAAAATTGTCACACAGAGTTTAGCTTGTAAGTGGGAAAGCAACTTTTTCAAATGGCTTCATGAACCATCTCCTGTACATAAGCAGAACAGAATATACCAAATGTCTAAACACGCATGCCTGTTTGAGTCCTTTGATAACACTGTTACTAGTTGTTTCCTCTACAAGGTTAGGTTGGATTTGGCCAGTTAATTGAAACTGAAGAAAATAAAATGTAAACACATTACATGGAGCTCAAATTTGAAGGAGGGATGCTTTTAGGGAACATGCATTCAACTAGCCAATGTTAATATGCAGGACCACGTTACACACAGGAGAAATAATCCCACACAATTTTCAGTACTGTCAGCTGTAGCTAAGGAGTTATGGTGAATACTATAAAGTTGGGTCAGTCACCTATATATTGAGACTGACAGTTATCAGGGAGAGCTAATGAATTGATCCAAGTGATATTTTAAAACCACAGTTAGATTAGCTTAGATGAGGTTGTAATTCTCATTTTCATCATGAATTTTATTTTCCTTTGTCAAAGATGTAATAATACTGAATAAACTTTAAATGATTTAAAGCCCCATAATAATTTCACTGGTCATATCTCATTAATTACTTAACGTTGTAATGATGGCCTACCTCATAAATAGAAATACAAAGATAGGCCACAATGATAGAATATAGCCCTTGCTTTTTCCTGAGATACATTGGAAGAGATCACAATATTGAAGATATTTCAATACTTAACATGCAAAGAAAAGAAAAACTTGCAAAAATTAAATTCAGTCCTTTTTACATGATTAAAATAATGATAATTTTGCAAAGCATTGTAGAATATTTTTCTCTCAGGTCTACTTTTTTCTGGCATGTCTTTCAATTGTGCTAAAAGCAAATACAGTACATCCTATGTTTTATTATGTAGGGTATCATATTGTCTCTTTCTTAGCATTGCTGTAAATACATGAGGAGAAGGAAAATAAAAGTAGCAAATAGTGTGTATGTGTTTGAGTGTGTGTGTGTTTACCACAAAGTTAATATAAGTTTAAGTACTGTAACTACTACAGAACTCTAATTCTCAAACTGGATTTTATATCAGATTAGTCTTAGAAGTTGTCAAGATGTAGGTTTTGTGGCCCTACTTTTTTCCTACCAAATCATAACATCAGTGTTGGGGTACCCATAAACCTACATTTGTAATACTCTCCATGGTGATTCTGATGCACAGCTGGATTTGAGGACCACTGATAAGATATTCATATCTAATATTAAATATGTGTACATATTTGCTACTGAAAATACATGTGATGTTTCTTTGAAATTGTAAAATATCTAAAATAATGGTTTTATAAGTAACTCCCTGCCCAACATCACCATGGTAAATGCTACGAAGTATTAAATACCTAGCATAGTGCCTCTTAACAGCTTACTGTGTTGGCTTGGGGTCATGGGTGATAGTTAGCAAGAAGATTATCAAATGTGAACTGGATTAACAAATGCAAACTTGATGAACTCTTCTGTACTGAAGGAAAAGGGGCACAGTGACTTCAGGGGTAAAGAGTATATGTCATCAGCTCAGCAGTAGCCTAAAGAGCCCCTTCAGTGTTTTCCACGTCCCTTCATGTAATTATGGTAATTATCATTGATTATACTCAAAGTTTTTTGTAGGTAGTCTTTTAAACGTTTGCATAGATTATTTAACATAATTCTCACCAAAAATATTATATGTTATTAAATCCATGTTACAATCTAGAAAACTGAGGGTTTCACAGAGACCTATATTTTTTAACTACTAAGATAATACAGTAACAACAATATACAGTTACTACAGATAATACACTTACTACAAAAATACAGTAACTCTACAGGTAACAATGATAACAAAAGGTTGTCTTCAAAAATATAGATAACACAACTAACAGCAAAATAGCAGACTTACTTTCCTCATTGCCAGAGTACAAGGACTCCTTCCCCCATACTTCTTCCCATGGCTCTGAAGTGCTTGGTTCAATGAAGGTTAGCCTACTTTAGTTTGGGACCACATCAATCAGGTACTGCAGGGCCAGCAGGCAGTAGAGACCTTCTATTAAGTTTTCTTATGAGTCACTAGTGAAGCATAGGAATTCCCTGCCTCTGGCACTCTATAGGAAAAAAAAAAAAAAGGAATAAAAGAAAACAGGCAATTTGCCCCTGTCACATAGATTAATCAAGAAAGCCATAACCTTTGTATCTTTAGTTTGTCCCTGTTAAGGGGAAAGGGGCATTATGATAGATACAGACAGGAATCACTTCAATCATCTTTAAGTGTCTTAGGACATAAGGCAAGGGGCTTAACGCTTTCATTTAAAACATGTATTCTTTTTCTCTTGAAGTTTCTGTAATTATTACCTGTGCTCCTTCTATCATGCTGTATTGTGAAAACTTCAGAGAAAAGAAGCAAGTTCTGTAGATCAAAGAAAAAATTGACTGGAAGAAAAAAGGATTGTCTTTCTACTAAACACACACACATATTCTGTCGTTATGGCAACATAAGATCTAAGAATGGCACACCAAATAATATGGTACCAAGGCATATTATTATATTATCATCAAGTGTCACAATAAATGTGCTTCAGCTCCTCAATATAACATACAGTATTGTTTTCTGTTCTTCTCAGTACTTTCACTTGAGGTCAAAGCAACTTTTTTGAATGAAGACCAAATATCAACCATCGCCCTTCTTAGTGGATCTTTCTTGCACGAAGACATCCCACTAATTTCACTTAAAATATATGCAGTAGATTGAAAATTGGGCTATTTCTTCTGTTTCCTAAAGGAACAACTGTTTATCCTTCAAAACCCATTACACTATATCTATATAGCAATATGCTTAGCTGAGGAATTCGTTTGTGTGTGTGTGTGTGTATTTTATATATATATGTGTGTGTGTTTGTGTATGTATAAATAACTTTGACAAAAAATTGGCTATAAATATGTAGACAAAGTAAATCATACTGATTTAGATGAAACAGATTGGTTTAGTTTATCTTCCCACATGCTTTTAATCTTTAAAAATATATTTATGTAAGACAGCAGTGGTGGAAATTTTACCACTTTTTGGATGGTGCTGCAAATTTGTACAGTTGCTTTATTCTTCATATTTTCTCTGATATCCTGATATGCATATGTATGTTAAAGTTCCTTTATGGTATTGACTCACAACTATACCATGTGACTTTGCCAATGGAAAGACAAAAAAAAAGGGGAAGAATGGGTTGCAAGTCAGCAGCAATGTTCTGGAGAGATTGCAATAACAGTGAAAAGGCGAGATATCTAGGAGGTTTTAGAAATGATGGGAAAAGATCACACATTTTAAACAATCATGAAGTACTGAGAACTAACATGAGGAGGGGCTGAAATTGGCTTTAGGGACTGTTTCATCTTTCACATAGGAGAAGAAGAGGAATAAAAAGGAAAGGCTAGATTAAAGTAGAATGTGAGGTTTCAAAGATGTGTCCTTGGGTGTATGTCACCCCCATGCCCTACTGCCCTTCCAACCCTGATATTTCACTCTAATTCTGCACCTAGATGTTTTTATTTTTAAACCAAGAATTTGTCACCAAAATATAGAAAAATGCAGATGACCTCCAACTTACTATTATTTGGCTCACAATTTTTTTACTGCAATAGTGTGGAAGCAATACCCATTCATTAGAAGCCACACTTGGAGTACCCATACAACCATTCTGCTTTTCACTTTCAGCTCACCGTCCAATAAATTACAAGAGATATTCAACACTGTATTGTAAAATAGGCTCTGTGTTAGATTATTTTGCCCAACTGTGGGCTACAGTAACTGTTCTGATCACTTTTAAGGTAGGCTAGGCTAAGCTATGATGTTCAATAGGTTAGGGGCATTACACGCATTTTTAACTTAGGGTCTTTTCAAGTTATGATGTGTTTATCAGGATGCACCCTCATCATAAGTGAAGGAGCTTCTGTAGATTTCTGAATTGTACCAGTCCATTTCCAGACTCTTCTACATTTATCGCTAGGAGCTCATTTCAACAGAAAAATAAATCCTTAAAATTGCCATTCAGTTAGTGTCAGCTAATTCTGCTACTCTGGTCCCTGTTTATTTGAAAAATGTGCTATCCCACAACACAGTATATTTGTGACTGAACTAAATTAAGGGTGATAATACTGAACCTACTAATTTAAAATATATTCTGGGGCTCTTAGCTTAGTCAAACATATTTAATGTTTCTCTTCTCAGTATTATTCTCTCCAACTACCCATTTCAAGAAATAATTTAACACTGAGTGGAAAGCTGTACACTGATAAAAGAGGTCTATTGTCCCCAAAGCATTTACTATCAGTTTACTCAGACTATCTTAAAATGCCAAAGAAAATCAAATACCAACCCAGTAATTTAGCCATGTGCTAAATGTATTTTCTGATGAGATTGCTGCATATTACTGAAGTCCAAATTAGAAAGTCGGTGAAAATTGATTGGGAAATCTAAGGGCTGCATTAAAAAGACAAAGGCATTAACAGAAATAACATGGACTTCAGTGAATGTTTGAAACAACATTTCAGAATTTTATTTTTATTTAGTAGTACAGGTTGCTATGCAGCACCAAGTATGTTCAAGCTACCCATAGAAATCTGGCAGGGGGACATGAAACCATTTTTGAAAACACCCATAAACATCTTGACAACTGTAGTTTATCTATCACTCATAAATACTTTGATGCAGGAAAGTTCCCAGGCACCCAGCTAGAGAGCATGTTAAATTTTGAAGCATATTTATGAAATAGTTATGGGACTTTGGCTTAGCACCAGATGTCAAAATCTCCATCAACTTTTGAAAGATTTTTCTCTCCTATGGAAAGACAAAGGAGGAAAAAGCAACACTCTTCTCATTTTTCATTTTTAGGTAGTACTGGCACAGGTGTGCTGTTGTTCCCTGTGGTTTTACTGTTTAGCGATCACGAAGAACCTTAGATTTGAAAACACTCTCCCTCATTAATCATCAGTTCCTCACACTGTGATGTAGGCTCTACAATGAGTTCCTCCTAACAGGGCTGGAAAGGAAGGTGAGGAGAGACAGCACCACACACTCGCAAGCACAACTGTGCACAAGCACACACAGAATTGATTTTGTCGTTTCTTACATTCATTTATTGGCCTGCTCTATATGTTCAATAAGTGACTAAGTACCATCAGAATTGACACTAATGTGTAATTACATGTAATTGTAAAAGCGGGTGATTATATTTATGGGTAATGTTCTTAGTTTATTTAATTACTTGAATACCTATGACTTATAGTAGAATAAGAATTTTAAGAACATTTGTTTGCTTCTACAATAATTGCTTGGAAATATTAATCCTGTTGATGTTCAGATATCCCCCTACTGTCTTTTATATTCATCCACTTTCATTTTTCTTCTCATTCCGTTTTCTTTCTCTCTTAAATTGACTTACTGTATCCCGGGCCTTCTCACTTTCATTCTTCCTCTCTCAGTCTGTCTCCTCTGTGTGTTTCCCTTGCATTCCAATATTATCAGTCTTTTCTAACCATCTTTTCTACTGTCTGTACCGTTCGGTTACATTACCTCTTGCATTCCAATATTATCAGTTTTCTAACCATCTTTTCTACTGTCTGTACCGTTCGGTTACATTACCTCTTGCCTATCACTTTTTTATTGCCTTTATATTTATCTTTATCCTCTCATTTTTTTACTCAGTTATTTTTCTCCCTTCTATGATAAGTTTCTGTTTCTCCTATAATGGACATTGTTCCTTTCCTCATATTTGAATGTTTCTCTTTCTTTTTTTCCCCGTGATTAATATTTTCATCTCCCACATTTTTCTCAGTTGCTAATTTTGCTTTTACTTTCTTTGTTTTCTTGTTCATTTACCTTACCTTTATTGCTCTCTATTCTTATGAAAAAATATCCTCTTTATCATCATTTCCTGCTTTTTCATTCATTGGCTCTACACTATGGTCCCCTTCATAGATATTGCAGGTGGCACTACTGATCTCTCAGTCCTTAAAAGGTCATTTTCCTTAATCAAGTGTCCTAGGGTTGATTTTATATGTCATCATAAGTCCTGCCTTATTGGTCTGCTCTGTTTGTTGAATAAATTATTAACTATAGTGAGAATTAACACTAATAAGTAATTACCTGTAATTATAAAAGGGTGATAATCATTTTGAGAGTTCATATACTTGGTTTATTTGATTGCATAAATACCTATTAACTCCAGTAGAATAAAATCATTGATATTGATTTAAAGCTAATCAAAGGTATTGCCCTACCTTTGAGACTCTACATTAGATGGGAATGACTAAATACTTATATATTTTCTTATCTTCAAATAGAGGTTGATCAAATTCATGACAATTTTTTCTTTACCACACTGCCTTTATTTTGCCAACAAAAAAGTAACGTGCAATAATTCAGAAATTAACTTGGCATACAATAAATGCAGAAACACACACAGGTACACACATTTAAACATCTCTTTTACTTCATCTTTTGTTGACTATTTTCACTACATAATGAAGGGTCTCTGTTACGGGCTACCTGTGCTATTCATTAACTGATACTTTACCAAACCTATAAACTAACTTAGGAATAATTAACATTTATGTTCTATCTCATCATTTAATAAATATTCATAACAATTTTTGAGGGCTAACCTCTACAGAAGTCCTGAAGAAAAACACTGAGCCAAAGAGAGATTTTCATGTCATCCATTGGAGAAAATAATAATAAAAGAACAAGCAATATAAAGATATAATTTTAATATCATAATTGATAAAACGAAAGAGGTATGTTAAGCACCAGGAGCATATAGAGACTGACTTCAATCTAATAAAATTTAGGGAAGGCGTCTCTGATGAAATGAAGCTTGAGAGGTTGTAGGAGGAGTATGTGGTACTGAAAGAGGAAATGCCGCATGCATTTAAACATACGGACCCAATGTATTTTTTGTTAGCTTGTTTTAGGTTTTTAGAATTATCTTATTACTACCAAGAAATGAGTCCATTTTCGAGCTTATTTTTTTATACCTGTGTATACATGTATATATACATTAATTTATATTAGTTCAAATAGTCTTCACTTAATTACCACAGAATTTTCCTTAGATAAATATGCTTTCTTTTGTGTAATACCACAATGGTGATATTTTGCAGTCTGTTTCAGTTTTCTCTTTCTGCATAACAAATTACCACAGAATAGCAACTTAAAACAACAGGCAATTATTATCTCATGGTTTCAATAGGTCATAAATCCTATTGCTCAGACTCGCCAGGTTAATACCCCTTTTTATTAACCCAAGGTCAACTGATTAGTAAACTAATCATGGGAGTGATATTTCATCATTTTCATAAATTAGATCTGTACTCAATGGAAGGGGATTATACAAGAGATTTTGTGTGTGTGTGTGTGTGTGTGTGTGTGTGTGTGTACTGGGTGTAGCGGGGGCATGAAACTTGAAGGCCATTGTAGAATTCTGACTGCCAGGGACACTCAACTCATTGTAATTTTAATAAGAAAGCAACAGTAAGTTTATAATATAAATTCTTGGCTTAAATTTAATATCCTTTACTATGTTGGGAAATATCCATATTTATATTCATCTATTTTCTGAAGGATTTTGTTAAACAAAACATTGTTTGTATTTTATTATGTTCATTTGGGGAACTTTTGAGATGACAGCATTGTTTTTTCTCATTTGACATTTTAATTTTATGTATCGTATTAATAGATTTTAAAAGTAAGTGAACTTTTTTGACCATGTGGCCAAAAGGAAACTATGTGGTCACACGCAGTGTTACTTTGGGAAGCCATGTAAGTTTATATGGTAAAGGGATAGGATATAGGCTGGATTAAAATTTTTGATGCCACAAATGCCATTTATCTTTTACAGTATACATTTAATGATAATAATAGAAGCTTAGCTTCAAACATGTATAAGAACAGCTAAAATGGATACTAACTTTTATTTAGTCACTGAATATTTTTATTAGAACGTGTAGTGAACTCAGAAAAAAGGAATTCCTTTTGAGCTTTTACTGCCCTACTCAAAATCCTCATTAGTTTTTTATGTCACTTATAGTAAAAGCCAAAGTCCCTTTAATGGCCCCCGAGAAGTTTTTTACACTTTGTTTCCCTATCATCTATCTTACTTAACTTCTACTTTTCCCTACTCACATCGTACATAGGTCAAACTTCTCTTCTTTTAATTCTCCAAAAATACAAAACCTGTAGCACTTTATGGCTTTTGCACTTGCTGTTGACTCTTTTGGGAGTACTCTTCCCTCACTATCAAGTTTGGGTTTTACTCAAATGCCAACTTTTCAGGAACATTTTCCACCTCTCCTGCTTTAGTTTTCTCCATAAATTTTATAACAATTCAATATGCTATATATTTTGCTGATTTTTTTCATTGTGCCTCTACTACTATTGAGGCAGGACAGGTAGTCAAGGAAGTGACCATGTCGTTGGGACATGGCAACCGTGGGACCCTACAATCAACACAGTGAGCCTCAGCATTCTCATCGTAGTTATGTGCATTCAAGCAAAGCTATCTTCAGTAGGGAATTTCCCCTGTAGACAGCATGCACACTTTGATTTTACCTGTCCTCAGACTGACCCTTTGCTCATCATGATGGTAAAAAACACACCCCTGGGTGGAGATTTAAGATGCTAATGAGACATGCAATGTATAAACAAGCATGTACAGCTACTGCGCATGTGCACCCACCTCTTCCCACCTCCTTATGATTAATCATGTAAGACTTCCACAAAAGGAGTCTCCCTAGTGCCAGTCTTTGCTGTCTCATCCTTACGAGTAGCCCACCCTGAACTCTCTCGGGGTGTACTGTCTACTCTGCACTTAACTTTCAAAGTACTCTTTTTCTTTCACGATAAGTTATGTTGCATCTGCTTTGCCATGTATCTCTTAATTAAGTTCTTTTAAGCTTAGGAGACAAGAACCGAGGTCTCACAACAGCTGTCAACACCGTTACTATATAAGCTTCACTAGAAAAAGGATGTCTCACTGTTTTGTTCATCGCTATAACTAAAACATGCATGAGTGCCAGAAACATAGGTGTTCAATATGTATATATTTTTGAATGAACACATATGTCTACAACAAATAAATCTAAGTTCCTGTAACTTTGTTCAAAGTTTATAAAACTTTATGCTTCTCTTACATAAGTGGTCCTACCTCAAATCCTGGCAGTAATTATTAAACAAAGAATAAAGTTGAGCAATTTTAGAAAGAGTATAAAATGTTTTGCAAATGAAAGACTCATGTAAATATTATCATATTTCCCTGAACATGGGATCCTTTACCAAATACAGCCTATGTTGTGTTTTCATATACTGTCTAAATAACTCTGCAGATGCCAGATTCTTATTGCACAAATTTGGTGAATTAAAATTACTAAATTGGTATTGTGACCCTCAATTATGTTAAATCATGAAGGCATTAAGGCCTTCAAGCAACAGCAATTGAATTACATTCCAAGCACTCTGCTTGGAAGTGGGAATTTAAAAATGAACAAAACATATTTTCCACCCTTGGGTCTAAATCCTATTACAGGTTTTTTTTTAAATATAATTTCATCTCGTGTTTAAAAACAAATATATAAAAGCTCATTAAGGTTATTATTAAGATATTATTTTACTTATTTTATTATATTTTTATCTTCCATAGTAATTATGACCTGTTGGTTATTCACATTTATTATGTCCATTTCATTATGTTAAGGAATTTTGCTCCTTTTTTCAAGTTTATATTTATTCTTTTCCCTCTTCGTTGTTCATTGTCATCAACCTCAAGTTTCATTTGTCTCAGTGTTCATTCGAACATTGTTCTAGTACATTTTTACCTTTTCTTCCAACTTCTTTCAAAACTCTTCAACAATTCTACTCCCTTTTATACTCTTTAAACCTTTACACTTTGACTTTAAATCACATGTGTTTATCTCTGCTTCCTCTCAAATGGCCACTAAATTGACAATAAAGAATATAAAATGGTAAAACCCACGTGGACAAAGATTATGGAAGTGGAGACAATGGGAGATCAGTTGGAAACCAAATGGAAAAGTTATAACAAATCCAACTGGCTGGAAAGAACTGAAACGTTAAGTGCATGGTGAGGAGAATGCTGATAATGAGCCAAACCATTTCATGGCAGGGGACTTTTTAAAAGTTCAGAGATTGGAGATACTCTTCCCAGTTAGGAAGAGTAGTGAGTGCATAACCAGAAATGGGGTAATTATTTGTGCATCTATATATAAAAGACTTAAATCCAGATTGTTCCATAATGCCACCTAACCAGGTGAATGCTCCCAGGCAGAACAAAGGTTTACTCTCTGAGGAAACTTAGTAGAAGAAGCTGGAAACTATAGACTCATGTATGTTGAAAAACAGGAGCAAGATGTGTAACTAAAATAAGATATTTTATTGAAGGCCTGCTCACTTAGTCCTCTTTGCTTCTGGAACAACTATGGCCAGGCAAAATTACATGAAGCAGGAGTCAAGGATTCCTTTCTAAAGAAACTGGATAATCATAGGGGGAAAATACCCTATGTACTAACTTGTGCATTCTCCACTGTTAAATACGTGACTCCTCATTCAGTGACTACACAGTGAAGCTAACCTATCAGCTCTAAGTTGTGCCTGCAAAGCCGATGATCAAATATGAACAGGCACTGAGTGTAGTATATTTTATTATTGGCAAAATATTCACTGGCCCTCCCCACCAGACCCATTCCTGGTGGGAGGATGGTTAATTTCACCTCATTGACATAAACCCTGATTATGTGATTTGCTTTGACTAATGAAATATGAACAGAAGGGATGGGTGTATTCCCCCTTTGAGCACAAGTTTTAAGAGTTCTTATTGGTTTTATCATTCCTATTTGCCATCTGTAATTACACTAATGATGTCTTGCACAGAGGATTGAGAAAACAGAGGAGAAAAGGTAGCATAAGGAAATTTTGATAATTAAAGTGCATAAAATGCTATATTGAAAATGCTCCTCCAATGCTGAAGAAGTGAATAAAAGTAAACTCACACAGAGACACATTATCATCACATTTCAGAAAAACATAAATTAAAAGATAATCCTGTTAGATTCTAGATAAAAACAAATGATCGCCACCACCATCACAAGCAGTTATAGCATTGGAAAGCAGGACAGAGTTAAATTTTTCCGCAGCAATAGCTCGGGTCCGAAGACTATGGTAAACTGCCTTCAAATGTATAAACTTGTCTTAATCAGGGTTATCCAGAGAAACAGAAATAATAGAATATAGATATGTGTGAATAGATATAAATAGAGAGGGGGAAGAGAGAGAGATTTATTATAAAATATTGGTTGCTACGTTATTCAATTTGTTGGCATAAAATTGCTCATAGTAGTCTTTTATGATCCTTTGCATTTCCGTAGTATTATTTGTAGTGTCTCCACTTTCATTTATACTTTACTTGAGACATAGCTTTTTTCTTTAGCTAATATTTTATCCATTTTTAGCTTTCCAGAAAGCAAACTCTTAGTTCTGTTTATCTTTTTCTATTCGCGATTTCATTTATTTCTGCTCTAATATTTATTATTTTTTTCCTTTGGGAAAGAAGTTTGGGCTAACTTTGGGCTTAGTTTGTTTGGGCTTAGTTTGTTCTTTTTCTAGTTTCTTGAGGTATAAACCTCCCTCTTAGAACTGCTTTTGCTGCATCTCACACATTTTGGTATATTGCATTTCCATTTTCATTTGACTCAATATACTTTTTCATTTCCTGTTTGATATTTTTCTTTTGTCTGTTGCTTGTGCAGGAGTGTATTCTTTAAGTTCCACATATTTGTAAATTTTCCTCTTGTTACTGATTTCTACTTTCAAAGCTTAGTGGATAGAAAAGATGTTTGATACAATTTTCATCTTACTACATTTGTTATGACTTGCTTAGTGGCCTAAAGTATGACCTATCCTAGAGTATTTCATGTGTGCTTGAGAAGAATATGCATGTGGCTGCTGTTAGAAGAAATATTTAATATTTGTCTGTTAGGTCCATCTGATTTAAATTACAGTTCAAATCTAATGTTTCTTTTTCTGACTTTTTGTCTGGACGATGTAACCACTGTTGAAAGTGGAGTATTGAAGTCCCCTACTATTATCATGTTGCTATATCTCTCTTCTGCTTCATATATTTAGGCACTCCATTTTGGGGTGCGTATATATTTATAATTATTATGTCTTCTTGATAGATTGACCCATTTATCCTTATGGAGTAATCTTCTTTTTCTCTTGGTACACTTTTTGACTGACTTCTATTTTATCTGACATAAGTTTATATACCCCCTTCTCTCTTTTGTTTTCTACTTGTATGAAATGTATATTTCCATCCTTTCACTTTCAGCCCATTACTGTTTTTGAAGCTAAGGTAAATCCTTTATAGGCAGCATAGAGTTGGCTTTTTCTTTTTTCTTTTTTTTTTACTTTAAGTTCTGGAATAGCATTGAATCTATACACGTGCAGAAAGTGCAGGACTGTTATGTAGGTAAATGTGTGCCATGGTGGTTTGCACCTATCAACCTGTCACCTAGGTTTTAAGCACTGCGTGCATTAGCTGTTTGTCCTGATGATCTCCCTCCCCTCGTTCCTGCCTACCAAGGGGCCCCGATGTGTGTTGTTCCCATCCCTGTGTCCATGTGTTCTCATTGTTCAACTCCCACTTATGAGTGAGAACATGTGGTGTTTGGTTTTCTGTTCCTGTGTTAGTTTGCTGAGGATGATGGCTTCCAGCTTAATCTGTGCCTCTGCAAAGGACATGATCTCATTCCTTTTTATGGCTGCGTAGATTTCCATGGTGTATATGTGCCTCATTTTTTTTTAATCCAGTCTACCATCGATGGACATTTGGGTTGATTCCATGTCTTTGCTATTGTGAATAGTGCTGCAATAAATATACGTGTGCATGTATCTTTATAATAGAATTATTTATATTCCTTTGGTTATCCCAAGGAATCCCAGTGATTGGGATTGCTGGGTCAAATAGTATTTCTGGTTCTAGATCCTTGAGGAATAGCCACACTGTCTTCCACAATGGTTGAACAAATTTACTTTCCCACAAACAGTGTAGTGTTCCCATTTCTCCACAGCCTCGCCAGCATCTATTGTTTCTTGACTTTTTAATAATCGCCATTCTGACTGGCATGAGATGGTATCTCATTGTGGTTTCAATTTGCATTTCTCTAATGATCACTGATGTTGAGCTTTTTTTCATAAGTTTGTTGGCCACATAAATGTCTCCTTTTAAGAAGTGTCCATTCATATCCTTTGCCCACTTTTTGGTGGGGTTGTTTGGTTTTTTTTTTTTGTACATTTCTTTAAGTTCCTTGTAAATTCCAGATATTAGACTTGTCAGATGGGTAGATTGCAAAAATGTTCTGCTATTCTGTAGGTTGCCTGTTCACTCTGATGATAGTTTCTTTTGCTGTGCAGAAACTCTTTAGTTTAATGAGATTTCATTTGTCAATTTTAGCTTTTGTTGTAATTGCTTTTGGCAATTTCATCATAAAATCTTTGCCATGCCTGTGTCCTGAATGGTATTGTCTAAGTTTTCTTCTAGGGTTTTTATAGTTTTCAATTTTACATTTAAGTCTTTAATCCATCTTGAGTTAATTTTTGTATAAGGTATAAAGAGGGGTCCAGTTTCAGTTTTCTCCGTATGGCTAGCCAGTTCTCCCAGCACCATTTATTAAATAAGGAATCCTTTCCCCATTGGTTGCTTTTGTCAGGATTTTCAAAGATCAGATAGTTGTAAGTGTGTGGTCTTATGTCTGAGGTCTCTATTCTGTTCCATTGGTCCATATGTCTGTTTTTGGTACCAGTATTATGCTGTTTTGGTTACTGTAGCCTTGTAGTACAGTTTGAAGTCAGATCACATGGTGCCTCCAGGTTTCTTCTTTTTCCTTAGGATTGTCTTGGCTCTGTGGGCTCTTTTTTGGTTCCATATAAATTTTAAAGTAGTTTTCTCTAATTCTTTGAAGAATGTCTATGGTAGTTTTATGGGAATAGCATTTAATCTATAAATTACTTTGAGCAGTATGGCCATTTTCATGATATTGATTCTTTGTATCCAAGAGGATGGGATGTTTTTCCATTTGTCTGTTTCCTCTCTTATTTCCTTTAGCAGTGGTTTGCAGCTCTCCTTGAAGAGGTTCTTCATGTCCCTTGTTAGCTGTATTCCTAGGTATTTTATTCTCTTTGTAACAATTGTGAATGGGAGTTCATTCATGATTTGGCTTTCTGCTTGTCTATTGTTGGTATATAGAAGTGCTTGTGAATTTTGCACATTTATTTTGTATCCTGAGACTTTGCTGAAGTTGCTCATCAGCTTAAGGAGTTTTGGGGCTGAGACAATGAGGTTTTCTAAATATAGTATCATGTTGTCTGCAAACAGAGACAGTTTGACTTCCTATCTTCTTATTTGAATACCCTTTATTTCTTTCTGTTGCCTGATTGCCCTGGCCAGGACTTCCAACACTCTGTTGAATAGAAGTGGTGAAAGAGGGCCTCTTTGTTCTGTGCTGGTTTTCAAAGGGAATGCTTCCAGCTTTTGCTCATTCAGTAGGGTATTTACTGTGGGTTTATCATAAATAGCTCTTATTATTTTGAGATATGTTCCATCAATACCTAGTTTATTGAGAGTTTTTAACAAGAAGTGATGTTGAATTTTCTCAAAGGCCTTTGCTGCATCTATTGAGATAATCATATGGTTTTAGTCATTGGTTCTCTTTATGTGATGTATCACATGTATTGATTTGCATATGTTGAACCAGCCTTGCATCCCAGCGATGAAACCGACTTGATCGTGGTGGATGAGCTTTTTGATGTGCTGCTGGATTCGGTTTGCCAGTATTTTATTGAGGACTTTTGCATCAAAGTTCATCAGGGATATTGGTCTGAAGTTTTATTTTTTTGTTGTGTTTCTGTGAGGTTTTGGTATCAGGGTAATGCTGGCATCATAAAATGAGTTAAGGAGGAGTTCCTCCTTTTCAATTGTTTGAAATAGTTGTGAAGCAATGGTACCAGCTCCTCCTTCTACCTCTGGTAGAATTTGGCTGTGGATCTGTCTGGTCCTGAGCCTTTTTTGGTTGGTAGGCTATTTATCACTGCCTCAATTTCAGAACTTGTTATTGGGATACTCAGGGATTTGACTTTCTTCTGGTTTAGTCTTGGGAGGTTGTATGTGTCCAGGAATTTATCCATTTCTTCCTGATTGTCTAGTTTATTTGTGTCGAGGTGTTTATAGTCTTCTCTGATGGTAGTTGTATTTCTGTGGGATCTGTGGTGATATCCTCTTTATCATTTCTTATTGTGTCTATTTGATTCTTCTCTCTTTTCTTCTTTTTTAGTCTGGCTAGTGGCCTATTTTATTAATTTTTTCAAAAAAACAGCTCCTAGATTCATTGATTTTTTGAAGGGTTTTGTGTGTCTCTATCTCCTTCAGTTCTGCTCTGATCTTAGTTATTTCTTGTTTCTGCTAGCTTTTGGATTTGTTTGCTCTTGCTTCTCTCGTTCTTTTAATTGTGATGTTAAGGTGTCTATTTGAGATCTTTCTAGCTTTCTGATGTGGGCATTTAGTGCTATAAGTTTCCCCCTTAACACTGCTTTAGCTGAATCCCAGAGATTCTTGTACATTGTTTCTTTGTTTTCATTGGTTTCAAAGAACTTTTTGATTTCTTCCTTAATTTCATTATTTACCTAGGAGCCATTCAGGACCAGGTTGTTCAATTTCCATATAGTTGTGTAGTTTTGCGTGAGATTCTTAATCCGGATTCTAATTTGTTTGCACTGTGGTCTGAGAGACTGTTTTTTATGATTTCAGTTCTTTTGCATTTGCTGAGGTGTGTTTCACTTCTAATTATGTGGTCGATTTTAAAGTAAGTGTCATGTGACACTGAGAAAAATGTATATTCTGTTGTTTTGGGGTGGAGAGTTCTGTAGATATCTGTTAAGTCTACTTGATCCAGAGCTAAGTTCAAGTCCTCAATATCCTTGTTAATTTTCTGTCTTGTTGATCTGTCTAGTATTAACAGTGGGGTGTTAAAGTCTCCCACTATTACTGCGTGGGAATCTAAGTCTCTTTGTAAGTCTCTAAAACTTGCTTTATGAATCTGGGTGCTCCTGTATTGGGTGCTTACATATTTAGGATAGTTAGATCTTCTTGTTGAATTGATCCTTTTACCTGTGTAATGCTCTTTTTTGTCTTTTTTGATCTTTGTTGGTTTAAAGGCTCTTTTTTCAGAGTCTAGGATTGCAACCTTTGTTTTTTTTTCTTTCCATTTGCTTAATAAATTTTCCTCCATCCCTTTATTTTGAGCCTATGTATGTCTGTGCACATGAGATGGATCTCTTGAATACAGCACATCAGTGGATCTTGACTCTATCCAATTTGCCAGTCTGTCTCTTTTAATTGGGACATTTAGCCTATTTACATTTAAGGATACTATTATTATGTGTGAATTTGACCCTGTCAACATGATGTTATATCATGATTTTGCACACTAGTTAATGCCATTTCTTCATAGCGTCATTGGTCTTTATATTTTTGTGTGTTTTGCTGTGGTGGTACCAGTTTTCCCTTTCCATATTTAGTACTGCCTTCAGTAGCTCTTGCAAGGTAGGCCTGGTAGTGATGAATTCCCTCAGCATTTGCTTGTCTGAAAATGATTTTATTTCTCCTTTGCTTATGAGGCTTAGTTTGGCCAGATACAAAATTCTGGGCTGAAAATGATTTTATTTAAAAATGTTGATGATTGGCCTCCACTCTTTTCTGGCTTGTTGGGTTTTTTTTTTTTTTTTCAGGCATAAAAACACATTTATTGGTCAAAACTTTTACAAATGGAAAGCTTTTAAAAAACATACCGCAACGAATCCCATATGGAAAATATACAAATTTCACAGTCTCCTATAAAGATTTTAACAAGTAATAAACAGTGTTATTCCATAGTTTTGAATGATAGAAAGGAGGAAACTTCTGAGATAAATTCCACCTATTTTTGTTTAGGGAATTAAATTATTTCTCAGAAACACATGACTAAATATTATTGTGATCCTGGAGAAATTCCAGTAGCAATTTGTTGGGTTTTTGCTGAGAGATCCACTGTTAGTCTGATGGGCTTCCCTGTGTAGGTGACCTGGCCTTTCTCTCTGGCTGCCTTTAATATTTTTTCCTTCATTTTGACTTTGGTGAACTGATGATCATGTGTCTTTGGGTTGATCTCTCATGGAGTATCTTAGTGGGGTTCTCTGTATTTCCTGAATTTGAATGTTGGTCTGTCTTCCTATATTGGGGAAGTTAATATCCTGAAGTGTGTTTTCCAACTTGGTTCTATTCTCCCCATCTCTTTCAGGTACTCCAATCAGTCTTTTTATATAGTCACATATTTCTTGGAGGTTTTGTTCATTCGTTTTCATTCTGTTTTCTCTAATCTTGTCTGCCTGCCTTATTTCAGCAAGACAGTCTTCCATCTCTGATATTCTTTCTTCTACCTGATTGATTCAGCTATTGATACTTGTGTATGCTTCATGAAGTTATCTGATTCAGTTATTGATACTTGTGTATGCTTCATAAAGTTCTTATGCTGCATTTTTCAGCTTCATCAGGTCATTTCTGTTCCTCTCTAAACCGTTATTCTAGTCAGCAACTCCTGTAACCTTTTATCAAGGTTCTTAGTTTCTTTGCATTAGGTTAGAACATGCTCCTTTACCTCAGCAAAATTTGTTATTGCCCACCTTCTGAAGCCTACGTCTGTCAGTTCATCCATCTCATCCTCCGTCTAGTTCTGCCCTTGTTGGAGAAGGGTTGCAAACATTTGTAGGAGAACAGGCACTCTGGCCTTTTGGGTTTTCAGTGTTTTTTCATTGACTCTTTCTCATCTTCATGAATTTGTCTAGTTTTGATCTTTGAGGCTGCTGACTTTTGGATGAGGTTTTCATGGGTACATTTTTCGTTGATGCTGTTGCTGTTGCTTTGTGTTTCTTTTTATTTCAATAGTCAAGTCCCTCTTCTCTGGGGCTGCTGTGGTTTGCTGTGGGTTCACTTCAGGCCCTATTCATCTGGTTCACTTCCACGCCTGGAGATGTCACTCGAGGAGGTTGGAGAAGAGCAAAGATGGGTGACTGCTCTTTCCTCTCATACCTCTGACCTCAAGGGTCACTGATCTGATGCCAGTAGGGACGCTCCTATATAGGATGTCTGACAACCCCTGTTGAGGGGTCTCACCCAGTTGGGTGGCATGGGAAGCAGGACCCATTTAATGAAGAACTTTGGCTGCCCCTTGGTGGAGGGGGTGTGCTGGCTGCACTGAGGGGAAACCCCCTCATCTGGGCTGCCCAGATTCCTCAGAGCTACCAGGAGGAAAGACTAAGTCTGCTGGTCCATGGAGACTATGGCCACCCCTCCCTATAGTGGCTCAGGCCCAGGGAGATCACAGTTCTATCCCTGAGCCCTTGGCTGGAGTTACAGTTCCTGCAGGGAGGCCCTGCAGCCTCAATGTTTGCTGCTGCACCTCCCCCAAGGAGCTCAGAAGGCTTAGACAGCAGGCAGCCGCAGCAGTGGTGATGGCCGCTCCTCCCCCTGGGAACTCAACTGGCTTAGGCCAATTCTAGCTGAGTGAGAATCTGCAGGGCTTCGTGGTTGGGACTTAAGGCCCTGGTGGCGTGGGCTTACGAGTGGGATCTTCCGATCTTGGATTGCACAATTCCGTGGGAAAAGCATGGTTTCCCAGGCTTGGTAGCATGCTCACTCACTGCCTCCCTTGTCTGGGGTTGGGGGCTCCCCTGACCTTTGTGGCTCTCAGGTGGGCTGCCACATGACACTGCTCTTCCTTCTTCTCCCTGGGTCATGCCAGCCACCTACTCAGTCCTAATGACAGAACCTGCATACCTCGGTTGCTGGTGCAGGATTCACACACTGTTTTGGATCTTTTCCATGGGAGCCTCAGATCACCGCTGCTTCTAGTCTGCCATCTTGGCCCTGCTGCCCCAGTTGACTCCTTAAAAATAAAAAAAATTCATTCTGCCACTGTATGTATTTTGGTTGGAGAATTTAATTAATTTACTTAAATGTTATTATTAATTGCTATTTTGTTAATTTTTTTCTGACTTTTTAATAATTCTTTTGTTCCCTTCTTTTTCTCTTGCTGTCTTCCCTTTTGATGATGTTTTGTAATGGTATGTTTTAATTCTTTACTTTTCATATTTTCTATATCAGTTATAGGGTTTTACTTTGTAGTAACCTTAAAAAAGGCTTAAATAAAATATGTTATAGTTGTAACATTCTACTTTAAGTTGATAACGTCTTAAATTTAATCACATACAAAGTTCTACACTTTTACTCATACCCTTCCACACATTTAATATTGTTGATGTCACAGTTTAAATCTTTTCGTATTGTATATCCATTGAGAAAATACTGTAGCTGTGGCTCTTTTGGGCTCTTTTGTCTTTTAACCTTTATATGAGATAGTTAAAGGTGGATTACAGACCACTATTACAATAGTAGAGTACTCTGTATTTGAGTATATATCCACCTTTACCAGTGAAATTAATGCTTTCATATAACATGATTTTATGTTACTAATTAACACCCTTTCATTTTGACTTGAATAACTAACTCCCTTTAGCATTTTCTGTAAGCAGGTTTAGTGGTGATGACCTCCTTCAGCTTTTATTTGTCTGAAAAAATCTTTATCTTTCCTTCGTTTCTGAAGGACACCTTTGCCAGATAAAGTATTCTTGCTTAGCAGTTTTTTCTTTCAGCTCTTTCAATGTATCACCTCACTCTGTCCTGGCCTGAAAGGTTTCTGCTGATAAATGTGCTAATAGCCTTATGTAGGTTACCTTGCATGTGACCTGTTAATTTTTGCTTACTGTTTACAAAATTGTCTTTTTCTTTGATTTTTGAAAATTTAATTATCGTGTGTCTCAGTGAAGCCCTCTTTAGAGTGAATCTGTTTTGGAACTTTAAACTTCATGAATGTGGATATTTTCATCTTTCCCAAGATTTGGACACTCTTCAGCCATTATTTCTTTAAATAAGCTTTCTGTTCCTTTCTCTATATTTTCTTCTGGATTTCAGTAGTACCTGTATTGATTCACTTAATGGTATCCCATAACTTCTGTAGACTTTCTTCGTTCTTTTTTCAAAATTCTTGATTTTCTCCTCTGACGGGATAATTTCAAAACATCTGTCTTAAAGTTTCACAGATTCTTTCTTCTGCCTGATTGAGTCATCTATTGAAGTTCTTTATTGAATATTCATTTCATTTATTGTACACTGCAACTCCAGAATTTATATTTGGTTCTTTCTTTTTATGATTTGTATTTCTTTGTTGAACTTTGCATTTCGTTCATGTAGTGCTTTCATGAGTTCCTTGAGTTGTTTATTAGTGTTCTCTTATATCTCACTGAGATAGTTTTAAATGATTATTTTAAATTGGGGAGGGGGGTAACTCTTTGATCTTTACATCTTTTAGGTCGGTTTTTGGAAAATTGTTGTGTTTCTTTGGTGCGATCATGTTTTCTTCCACTTTTGTGTTTCTTGTAGCCTTGCATTGATGTCTGTGCATTTGAGGGAGTAGTCACTTCTTCCAGCCTATCAAACTGGTTTCAATGGAGAAAGACTTCACCTGCAGGCAGTTGCAAGGGCATTGCCTGGTTGGGGTGCTGCATTTCCAATTCTGAAAGAGCACAACAGTGTGGTCTCTGCGAAACTCTGTCAGCTGAGGTCAACATTGGTAAAGACTGTAGGAATATTCAGAAACTAAGGCTATGAGTGTCTGTGGCAGTGGTGGCTACTAGGGCTGTTAGTATCCTTGGTGGTAAAGTCTACTGTGGTCCTAGCACTTGTCTTTTTCCCCAGTGGGGGAAGTTCTGGCCAGGGAGAATTCTCTTTGTATCATGTCTATTATACTGTCCTCCATGGAGTGGGAATGCACAGGGATCCAAGACACAGGTACTCCTGTGGCTCTTTCTATTGAGAGAACACTCCAGCATGGATTTTGGACAGCTCTGTCAGCTGGCCTCAGCATTGGGAAAGACTGCAGAGGTCCTTGGTGGCTAAAGCTGCAGATGACTGTAGCAGCGAGAAAGATTGCTGGGGTTCACCCGCTCTCTTTTATTTTCCTTCAGGGAAAACCCCTTTGGAGAAATTTCTCTCAGTTTTGAGCTCTCTGGAATGAAGCATGGGATGATGCAACAGATGCTTTTACTCTTTTCTGTGTGGCCATCCTAAGTTCTTGTGCTCCACAAGATTTCTGAGCTTCTTGGTTGTAGCGTGAACATTTCCCAGAGCTATTTTTGTTTGTATGTAGTTGTTTATTCATTGTTTGGCGAAAGAGCTGCGAGTTGGTACCTCCTAGTCTGTCATCCTGCTGATGCCACTGTCCCTATGGTTGCATTGAATTAATATTAATTTTTCTTTGATAGCTTGGTATAACTCTCTAGTAAGACCATTTGGCATGAAGTTTTCTTTTTTGGCATGTTTTAAATTATTAATTTTATTTCTTTAATAATTATAGGACTATTCAAATAGCATTTTATTTGGGGTAAGTTATAGTAGTTTGTGTGTGTGTGTGTGTGTGTGTGTGTGTGTGTGTCTGTGTGTATTTAAAAAATTAGGCCAGAAACAGTGACTTATGCCTGTAGTCCCGGCACTTTGGGAGGCCAAGGCAGGCTGATGGCTTGAGCCCAGGAGTTCAACACCAGCCTTGGTAACATATAACATAGCGAGTCCTTGTCTCTACAAAAAATAAAAATTAGCCAGGCTTGGTAGCATGTAGTCCCAGCTACCCAGAAGGCTTGAGGTGGTAGGATCACTTGAGCCCTGGAGACAGAGGTTTCAGCGAACTGAGGTCCTGCAACTCTGCTCCAGCCCAGATGACAGAGTGAGACCCTACCCTGTCTCAAAGAAAAAAAAAAAAAGTTCATTTTATCCAAGATTCAAACTTTTGTGTACAAAGTCGTGCATAGTATTTTCTTATAATTTTGATGTCTATAAGGTCTGTAGAGATAATCCTTATTTTGTTCCTAATGTTGGTAATTTGTGTATTTTCTCTCTTTTATTTTTGTCAAATCTTTTTATGTATTTTTTAATTTTATTGATCTTTTCAAAGAAATAATTTTTGATTGTATTGATTTTTCTGTTTTCAGTTTTATTAATTTGTACTCCAATAATTGTTCTCTTATTTCTTCTCTAGGTTGGTATGTATTTTTTATTTTTTTCTGGATTCTTAGGGTAAGACATTAGATTATTGACATGAGATGTCCTCTTTTCTAATGTAATCATTGAATGACATAATTTTTTTCTCAGCACAGCTTTAGCTGTGTCATAATTCTCTTGCTGTGTTGTATTGTACTTTTTATTCAGTTCACTAAGTACTCCCTAGAGACTTCAACTCTTTAAAGTTCTTGAGGTTTGTTTTATGACCCAGACTATTACCCATTTTAGGCTATATTCATATCAGATGAAGTAGTAAAGTTGACTTTTTTCTGCTTGATTTTATTAATGTTTGTAGGATATATATTTTTCTATTTATTTACTTTAACCTACCTATATCATTTTATATGAAGTGAGATTCTTATATTCGAGTCATATTTGCTTTTTAATTCACTCTCCTAATATCTGCCTTTTAAGTGATGTAATTAAACTATTTATGTTTAATGTAATTATTGTTATGTTTGGGATTAATTCTTCCACTTAATTTTGTATTCCCTGTTCTCTTTGTTTTTATTTTTCTCTTTCTTTCTGTCTTACTGTGAATAACATGGACATTTTTTAGAACTCTATTGCGGTTTATCTGCAGTGTTTTGAGTATATATCTTTGCATACCTTCTTATTTTTTTGATTGCTCTAGGTATTATACATAACTTACCAGAATCCATGAGTGTCAGCAATTTATCAGTTCAAGTATAAAATTTTAATTCTCTTTAAATCCCTTTAATTCCCCTCTTTATAATCATTTCAAATATATCCTCCACATTTATTTAGAACCATATATTTACCCACAACACAGAATGCTCTAATTTTTGCTTCAACTATTATACATAACTTAGAAAACTGAAGGGAAAAGTAAAATATATTGTATCGACCCACATTTTTACTCTGTTCTTGCTTTTTATTCATTGCTGATACTACAAAAATCCTTTTATTATTTTGTTTGTGTTTAGATAACTCCCTTTGAAAATTCTGTTAAGGTATACTGGCTGGGGACAAATTCTTTTAGGTTTTCTTTATTTGAGAATGTTATCATTTCCCCTTCATTTCTGAAAGCTATTTTCATTGCCTACAGAAATCTGAGTTGGCAATTCTTTCCCTTCAGCTCTTGAAAAATATTGTGCCACTAACTTTTGACCTTCATTATTTTTATCAGATGTCTATTATTAAAATTATTTTCCTATATAGGTAGCATTTTTCTCTTGCTATTTTTGATATATTTTTGTTATCTTCTTTAGTCTTCTGAAGTTTGACTGTGATATGCCTTTATGTAGATACTCTGGGTTTATCTTGTCTTAAGTTCACTCAGCTTGTTGATGCTGTTGATTTATCTCTCTAGCCAAATTTGAAAAGTCTTCAACCATTATTTTTCAAAATTTTTCATGCCTACCTTTTCTCTTCTTCCAGGGCTCTTTTGATTTGTAGTTAGATCTTCCACTGTGATCCTACAGGTCCTTGAGTGCCTGTTTATTTCATTTCCAGTCTATTTTTCACTCTGTTGTTCAGATTGAATAATTTCTATTGTTTCTTCAAGTTCACTGATTGTTCCTTTTTTGTCCCGTATTATGTTATTGGGCTCTCACAGTGAATTTGTTTATTTTGTTGTATTTTTATCTCTTAATTCTTAATTTGGTTTTTCTTTATATTTTCTATTTCTTTATTGAGATTTTAGATTTTTGTCAATTATCTTTGTAATTGATTTTAGAAACACTTTTAGGATGGCTGCTTTAAAATATTTATCAGGTGGTACTAACCTCTGTACTCTCCGAGTTAGTGTCCATTTTTTGTCTTTTGTCATTTAATTTGACATTTTCTTTGTTCATTGTATGATGAGTGATTTTCTGTTTAAAAATGACCATTTTAGGTATTAAGTTACAAGACTTTGGATGTTATTTGAACTTCAGTTTCACTTGACTTCCTCTGATACCGCTATGGCGGAGTAAAGAGGAATACTGCCTCATTAATGTCAGGTTGGGATAGAGGATGGAAGTCAATGTTCTACACTTGGTCACTGTTGACACCAGAGGAAGGAAGGGCTTCTCATTACTGCTTGGTGAGTGTAGGAATACTGGCTCCCTATAGGCCTCTGATAAAACTGCCTTGTCTGGAAAGGGTAGTATTTCCTTGATATTGTTCCCCATATGACATCCACTGATATCACTGTGGTGTGGCCTTGCCTATCATTGGGTGGTGGCTAGTGGCCTAACTATTCACTTGGCCTCTTCTGATACGACCCAACTAGGAAGAACTAGAGATGACTTGATACAGCTAGAAAGAAATGTCCTTGTTACAACCTGATGAAGGTGGAAGTGTATGTTCCCACCTGCCTTTGCTGGTGGGGACAGGGTGGAACCAGATTTTTCTGTGGTATTTGGCTAGAGTGTGGCAGTTATCTAAAAGGTTTTTTTAAATATATTTAGAAAGGGACCAGACTACACCTCTCCTGGTCCTTTAGCTATAGGACCCCTCTCCTGGTCCTTTAGCTATAGAAAGTAAGCTTTTGTTGGGTCATTTCTGTCTGCATCCACTGGCATTCCTAGGTTGTCAACTTTTCCATATTGATTCTTTTACCCCAAGATCCCTAGCCACTCTGCCTTCCTATCTCCACCTTTCAGACTGTGTTAGTCAGCCATAACAAACTACCACAGACTATCTTAAAGGACAGAAATTTATTTCTCATAGTTCTGGAGATTGGATGTCCTAGATCAAAGTGTCAAAAGGTCTGGTTTCTCCTGTTTCTCCTTTGCTTGCAGGAGGCCACCTTCTCCCTGCATTCTCTCTTGGCCTTTTCTCTGAGTGTGTATATCCCTAGTATTTCTTCCTTTTCTTATAAGGACACTAGTCGTATTGGATTAGGATCCCAACCTTGTAACATCATTTAATATTAATTTTCTCTTTAAAGGCCCTATCTTCATACATAGTCACATTGGGGGTTAAGGCTTCAAGGTAGGAATTTGTGACAGAAACAGTTCAATTCATATCACTTTACCTTCTGTACCCCCAAAATTCATATCCTTTTCACATTCAAATGCATTAATACCCATTCCAACAGCCCTCAAAATCTTAACGCATTCCAAATACCACAGAAGAAGTCTGGTTCCACCCCATTCCCACCAGTAAAGACAGGTGGGCTTATAGGCTTCCACTTTCAACAGACAGTAATACAACTGAGTATGAAGACAGGACATTCCTTTCTAGCTATAATAAATCATCTCTAGTCCTCCCTAGTAGGGGGATATCAGAGGAGGCCAAGTGCACAGTTAGGCCACTAACCACCACCTAATGGTAGCAAGGCCACACCACAATGATATCAATGGATGTCATGTGAGGAGCAATACCAAGGAACTACTAACCTTTTCCAGCATAAACTCTTAATCAAAGTTTCATCTAAATATTATTGAAATCAGGTAGAGGTGAAACTTGAGGTATGATTTATCTTGTTTGAAATCAAACAAGTATGTGCTTCCAAAATACAATGATGGCACAGGCATAAGATAAACATTCCCAGCTAAAAGGAGAAATTAGAAAGAAGAAAGGGCTCGTAAGTTCCTAGAAAGTCCAAACCTAGCAAGGCAAATTTTATTATATTTTAAGGCTAAAGAATGTAATTCTCTTTGGCTCTATGCTCTTTCCTCTGGACCCAGTGGGATAGCAGCACAGCCTTCTGTATCCCTTGTGATTGAATAGAAATGGATGTTTAATAAAAATATATTCGATGGATGTTGTTCCTGTTGTTTGGAACACCCCACATTCTCCCAAGGGAAGGCCATGGAGAAACTTGAAGATATAGAGAGGATGTGACATCTTTATGAATAAAAAAAAAAGGGTGAAAAAAGGAAAGAAAAGAGGGGAAAGAAAGAAAGAAAAAGAAAGAAGGAAAAAGAAAGAAAGAGAAAGAAGCAAGCTATTATAATTTTTGATGTCTCTTTTTATTGCATAAAGGAAAAGCGGTATGAACCAAACCATAACCTTGGTTCATGCTGCAGACAGCCTTAGCAAAATTTTATAATCCTGCACATCAACATTTGGATCTGTCCTGTATTTCTGGGTGAAAATCTGTTCATGTTTAAAGAATAAAGAAAGAGACTTGTAGTTTAAATCTTAGTCATTTTTCTTCTGCACAGCTAGTCCAAGAACATGCTTTGGAAATGTGTTGTTTTCTTTCTTGAGAGAGTGTTTAGAAAGCTCAAATTTTCAATATGTTGAAGCATTTCTAAATCCTATTTTTTTAAGTGTAAGGAATTAAATATGCCTGGGTTATAGATTTTACAGTGTATATAAATGAAGGATTTTCTCTCTAAGTGAGTTCTAGTTACACAACTTAATTCAGCTTCCTAAAAATTATGTTTGCATACTATCCCCTGTGACTCTTCACTTTTTCATATGACAACTTATTTCCATGGCCCTGCTGGCATACCTTCTCCTCATTTCTCCAATAGTGTATTTTCTTCCACAACTTAGAATCTGATAAGTCTTATAAAAGGACATAAGTGAAGCCTTCTGATATGAAATCAAGAATTCACTCATACACAATATGACATCTTACCTACTGTGTCAGATGTGACTCACTTCTTGTTTGTTTCCAAATCTATTAGTATTGATTCCAAGACAATATGACCTCAGAACGTTGATGGCACTATATTCTTCTGAACATATTTTCATAGCTCTTTTTTTTAGACTTACATGACTTCTGGTGGCTACTATAGAGATAACTGATTTTTAAATATACTTAGAGAAATTGACACTGATGGAGCTCTCTAATTAATTAGTGCTATGCCTGGGTCAGCCTTTCCTATTGTAGCCTAAATAGACAATGTATGGCTTGGACATTTATCTTTCAGTGGAAGAGTAGGAGAAGGAAGAAGTGTAAAATTCTGCTGATTTTTGAACTTGCTTAGTAGCTATCACATATACAACTCTACACCTCGGGGTTTATTTCTTGAGTTGTTATTTTGGTAAAATCGTCATACTTTCAGTTCAATATTAGAACCCCGAAAAGGTCAGAAACTCACTTTCATCAATGTTATTGTTTTGTTTATCTTTACGGAGAATTGTAATTCCTGGGGCTATTCCTATCCCTAGTATCTCTATTTTATTCATTTCTCTACTCTTGAAAATACCAAATATGATTGTGCTTTGAAAGTGTTAAACATGATTTATATATGCATACCTGCTGTAATTTTACCCCGTAAACCCATTAGAGATTTAAGCTATTGCTCAGTTCTGATTCCCTCCTCTTGTAGCCCAATCTAACGTTCAGCAAGGCAGGCAGAGACAGTGCTACTTATGTTAATAGCTGGGGTTCATCAGCATAAATTATTTTTGGGTGCTCCTCCGTGTACTTCATGCTGTATTTGATGTTATGATTTGTAACAAACAACAGAGGCACTCAACGATTTAGCTGCCTGTGCTTGGTTATTGCCGCAAGGGAGCTGAGGGTCTTTTAAATAAACTATGTATGATTTCCTCACATGAGATGCTGTTTAAGTGCTACACATGACAGGCAAGTGCATTTAAGGAAAGCTCAAATGCATCAGTTGAGATTTCCAGAGCCAACCTTAGAATCAGCTCCATGGCTCAACCTTCCGAAGCAGTGCTGGACTCCAAGAAGTCATTGAATGAACTGGGGATGGAGGAGGGCAGAGGGACAAAAACAAATGTGTGACGGCTGCAAAAATTCACAAGGATTGTGGTGGTAGGCACAAGATGAGACAAGAAGCAGTTAAGGATCTTGTAGGAGAGAATGTGAATGTTACATGATACAAAGTGAGCTATAAATTCCAAACCACACTGAGACGTAGCCTTCACGTTTAACATATGAAAACTGAAATAAAACTATAACTAGCCAATGGCAAAATTCTTATTAATAGCCATAAAGATATTGATTCCATCAAGAAAAAGAAAAGCAGAACACTTGTATTAAAGGCATCAACATTTGCACATGTGTCTGTGTTTTACACAGAGTAGTTGCTTAAAAAATGCTTAAAAATATATGTTCCACTAAGAGTTTTTAAAATTTAAGGACCAAAGTAACAATAGAATATTAATTGAATGTTTATGCTCTTTCTTTTCATCTAAGTTAAATTTTTGCATTTTCATAATCAAACTGCCAGACCACTTTTATAGTTGTATTACAATCTTAAGCTTTTGCTGGACATAGTGTTCTTGTACTATGCCATTTTCTTCATACTTCTTGACTTATTTTCACTTACGAGATATTGATGGGTAGAGGGTTAAGCTTACTCGTTCAATTTCTTCAAGTTTTAAATAAAATACCCACCCCAACACCCACATACGATGTCTTACTTTACCTTGTTTCTTAGTAGTGTAGCTCTTTTTATAAACATGTTCATTTTGCTCTGTGAATTACATTCTTTTGTGCACCCAATAAAAGAATAGAGTTAAAAGTTACAGTCATTCAATTTATATGTATGTATTTTAGCAATTGACACTCTATTTATCTATCTTTCTTCTCACTATACAGTAAGTTCCTTGAGTCGTGGACCTTATCTTTGCATCCCTAGAGCCTAGCACAGTGCCTAATATATAATAGCTACTCAAAGAAAAGACTGTTACATTTTGAAATTGTGGCTTAGTAAATATTTTCACATTTAAATTTTAGCACTTTAATTCAATTCCAACTGCGTGTAAGGTGCTGTACGTCCGTGAACTTGGGCTCCCAGTACATGACACAGTTTAAGTTAGAAATATTCTCCTGAGCTTCAGTTGTTGGGGGTGAGAACAGAAGGGAGAAAGAGAGGTAATGGTATTTGATGGCATATATTTCTGTCCAATATGGAAAACCCATTTTCAGCCTGGACCCCAATTAAAATTCTTTCTATCCAAAGTATTTTCAATTTTCCTGACTTCAGTTCGTTAGATGATACCGAAGACACTCAGAAATCAGCATATAAAGTAATCAGAAAGCAAAAAGGTTGCAAGACTCAGAATTACAATCAATCAATCAGAAAAAGCCATTCCTTGGGTAATATGCAAAGCGGGCATCCAGGATTTTCTACAGAGAATTGGAAGGAAAAAGTCTATATTGATTTAGTGAGAAAATTTTAAAGTGGATTTTGAGCAGTCACATAAACAAATACAACAATAAAACCTGCACCTACAAGCAAATATCCACAAACTAACAAACTATATAAACAGCCCAGGGCACCCAAAATAGGACGAACACAGATTAGACAACGCTAGAAAATAATGCCCACTATTTAACTGGAGAAGGGACTCACCAATTTTTAGGCAGAGGTTACCCCACTGAATATATATTTTTTTAATAAATATCTCTGCTTGCTTAAGAAAACTCCTTCATGAATACTGGTCATCTTTATTTTAGAGTCTTGATTGAGCCATTATCATCAGAACGTTGTTATCTTTGTAAGGTTCTACTTTGTAAAACCTTCTTAAGAAGTATTAGAGATAACTGTTAGACTATTTTGGCCGTAGTTCCAGATTACAGGATGTTTAATACAGGGTAAGCATCCTCATCCATGAAGAAAGTTCCTTTAACAAAACAAAACAGATGAGACTTCAATGCTCTTTGCATACATGACATCGCTCAGAGACTGCGTGAAGCCCTACAGTCGCAATGTTTTTCTTTCGTATTTACTGGAGAGGTATTGTGCCTTGCACACACTTTATTGGCCAGTGAGCTGCAGGATTAAAAAAAAATACAATTCCTGCCAAGCTGCTGCAAACACAAGGCACTGTAGTTTAAGGGATCTCTTGAGGACTTACAAATCATTGCACTTAATGGCCTGACTGTACAAACAGTCACTGAATGGTGTTTATTTCTGGATCCAAGGCCATAAGATTTGTCAGTGGTCCTCCATGCGGGAATAGCCTGTGAGGACATTTCATTTTGCGGTCTAACTCCTTCTATTTCCAGGGCTTCATATGAAAATGAGCCTAGCAGTTTGTAAATGGCGGGAAGCCGCCTGAGTCTAACATTCAACAACGATTTTATTTTCTGCATTTACATTTTTGAGGAATAGCACAGCTCTGTGGTATGTTTATTATATTATAATCAGACAAAAAAGAGAAGAGGACAAAGCAGCAGAGGGGAAGAGAAGTGGAAAAAGAAAAAATATGTGGACTAACGTTAGCAAATATATTAAAATTTAGCAAATTGGTAAAGCGACTGGTATCATTCAACTGAGCATAAAACCAGACCACTTATCTGATTTGGCTCTCAATGAACATTTTTCTTACTGAGATTTCAAAAGCAGTTTTATAATGCAATATGTTTTCTAAATTTTAGAAATCAAGCAGCCTAGGATTTTGCTTTCTCTCTGAAATGTTGTGACTAGAGTTGGACCTACATGGATCAAATTAAGCTTGTCTTCTAGAGAATATTTTGAAGCTGCTACTATGACATATTTAAAACATGTTGTGGGTAAATTGCTCAGATAATTAAACTTCGGTGATCAGTCTTATATATTTACTCATTTGACTCCAGTGAGACTTAGAATCAGTGGCCACAAATTTATATGACTTCACTATCAAAAATCCTAAACTACTGTCCCTATGTGGACAATTGATACCCTTTAAAACCAGTCAATAACAACATTATGACACCTTCATCATTTACCTCTGATCACTATCCTTCAACCCAGTTGGTCTGCTGATGACTACCTGTGTAACTTAGTTTCTCATCTATCAAATAGGCACAACAATAATTACTTCATAGAGACATTATGAAAATTAAATGAACTAATACAGAGCCCTGTATAGTATAAAGACTCAGTAAGTGTTAGTTTCCTTTCCCACTTGTGCTTCCGCATAAACATTCCGTTTCCTCTTGTTTGGATTATTTATTGCTGTAATGTAGTTTTTTGTTTGAATAGAGGACACGTCAGTGCTAACCAGAAGGGAGCAAAGCAGACAGACTTGACAGGTATTGTGACAACATAATCAGGATTTGGTAACTATTGAAGATGGTGAGTGAATGAGAGAGAAGCAAGGATGTATCAAAATTGAATTCTGTTATCAAATTGTCTCTGTTCAAATCCCAGCTCTGTTACTTAATAGCTGTGTAAACTTGGAAAAATATTTAGCACGTCCATGTTTTGGTCTTACATTGAATAATATGAATACGTGACTTGTCAGGTTCATAAGAGGATTAAATGAGCTAATGCAGAAAATGCACAGAGCCTATGAGGAACAAATCTGAAGTTAGGACTTTCAGTTTCTGACTTCAGTGATGTGGAGGAAGTCAGTTCCTTTCAGCAAGTCAGGAAATATAAAATAAAAAACAAGGTTTCAAGATGACCATGATTATCTCAATTTTTGATATATGAAGTTGAAAGTATCTATAGAAGTTCAGGTGGAAGAACTTTAGTAATAATGTATGTTTGATGTTGTTTTCTGGATATACCACTTCTAGAACATTTTAATGGTAGTTTATAAGCCAAGAATGTTAGATGGCAGAATGAGAAATCCAGATCATAAACGGTTTAAAAAATAGATTATTTTTATTTTATTTTTACATAACAAACTACTCGGGAGTAGTTAAATGCTGTTTTAGGGCCCAAGGATGTCAGGGTCCAAGTCTCTGCAATTCTTTTGATCTTTCTCTCAAGGCAACAAGATGGTTATCATAGTAGCTTCCTCCATTACATCAGTATTTGAGGTAGAGATGAGGCACTTATCCTTTTTTTGTTAGGAAAGAACATGCTTTCCCAGAAGCCTCTAAGAGACTTCTGCTTATTTATTTATCTTTTAAACTAGACATGTATGATATGGCCAATCTAAACTAAAAGGTTGATGGTGAAGATTTAATTAGGCATATTTGCAACCTTGATAAAGCTCAAGATTTTCTTAGTGAGGAAGGTATCCAGATATTGGATAGAGGGTTTGCTATAGACAGAATGTGCAGTCATCTTTATGTAATGATGTAAAGGGATTTTGCTACTGGGAGACTTAGGAGTGACTAGATGATCTCTGAAGTAATTCTTCAGTTATTGGATTCTACGATTTAATCTAGCTAATCTTCAAGAGCATCATTTTGTAGTTAATTCAACATTGTCATTTGGGCAATAACATTTTATTAGCAAACAAATCAGCAAAATAATAAATAGAAAGTAACTGCATTTCAGACATCTGCTGGTTAACTGTTATAAGATGGTTTAGCACACATGTAAGCACTTACTAACACAATATTTTATTCTAATTTTTCTTTCCCTTACCTTTACTCCTCCCCACCCTCAAATAACGTAAGTACCTATGTCGTGCCATGTAGTTTTTTGGTTCATTTACTTGCAAATTATTCAAAGGCGTTAATGCATTATGATTCATTTTCTGTGTGAATTGCAAGTATAGCTACTTCACAATACTATTTTCCTCTGGTATAATAGCCATGTGTTAGGATGTTTTTTGTTAAGATGTCAGACCATTTTGTAATATGTACTATTATTGCTTATTATATTGTACCATATAATTTATGTATTACAGAAGTGATTATTACAAATTGAATTTGTATTAACTCGGTAGATTGCTATGCACGATAGTTAGAAACGAAGAGCTTTAACTTATTATTGTATTTTAAAATAATAATTAATATTTATCATTTAGTAAAAATTAAAAACACTGCTCAAAATTCTTTCTACTGTATTTCTTCCCTCATTCAGTATGCTTCTGAATGAAAGTTTTTTAAATAAAAAGGAAACCTTTCAGAATAAATCCTTTTAAAAATGAGTGGAAAATAAATAGTTGAAGTCCAGCTGAGAACTTCCAGCAGACAAATAATTTCTCCAAACCTTTGTTTGACAAAGAGTCAACATGTAGAATAAATTAATATTAATATGAATTTAAACAATGTATTTGGATCATATTTTACTGTTACACACTGGCTGGAAACATTTGCCATGTTGGTAACAAGTACATTCCTGGTGATAGCTATAATTTTATCTGAAGCAAACCTGATAATGCAACAAAGAAACTGCTTATCTAATGCAGTGTAATGATTTTTCAGTTTCCCCATTTTAACTGAGTGATCATCCTCACACACATGAGGGAAAGATAGTAAGCTCTTTCTCCTACATAGTTTATTCCACTGGAGACCTTGAAAAACAATAGAAGAGAGGCAATCCTAAGAGGGAAATCAATAGGAAGCCTTGAAGGAGAAAAACTGGAGGACGGACTTGTTTTTCCAGAGGAACTGGAAGAGGAAACTGGTATCATTGTGAGTGAGTAGTGAAGCATGGAAGTTTTACTTGCCAAACTCCTTAGGGATCTCTTGGGAGAAGTGTGGTTTGGTAAAAATTATACATACATAATCAATGAGAAATGAAGACCAACATATTTTCACTTTGATCTAATTGGTTGAAATGTAGAGTGTTTCTACTTTACAATAAATTTTTGGTTGGAAAGAATATTATCAGACTAGACTTAACATGTATGAAGGCATTTGAGCAAGAATTGGACCACAAATCCTGAACAAAAGCATAAAGTCAACGATATCTAAAATCAAAACCAGCGTGCTTCAACGCTTAGATAGTGATTATTTCCATCTTTTCCGAGGAAGCACACACAAAGTGATTATATTGAAAAATAATAATACTTAAAAGATCAATTAATTCTTGAAAGTTTATATGAGTGAAATTTTTATGTTTTACATTTTCTTATTTTGTTTCTTTTTAATTAGGTAGCTCATCTATACTTGCAACTCCCATGTTGAAATATCCTATGAGAAGAGGGGAAACCTTTAGGAAAGTTTTGTAAGCAGATAGGTAGGGTCTTCAGGGATTATAATCATTCAACCGGACTGAACAATCTGTCTTTTTTAAAGCTTCCTATGTTACAGTTTTTTTTTTTTTTCAAGCCCTATGTGGTATATGGCCACCTACTTGGCTGAAACCAACTCCTGACAGACCTTGGCAACTTACAGATGAACCCCAGTGAACTTTTCCCATTAACATGCTAAAGTATCCACCCTGGGAGGACCTATAGCTTCATTATAACAGCTTCATTATAACATTATAATAGCTTCATTGTAACAACCTATGTGGTGGCGTGATGACCCTGTGTCTGCGCCTCTAGGACCCCCCAACTACATGCCATGATGCACGTGCTACCCTTTCCATTACCCAGTAAAACCCTCCTGTTGCTTTCCCTTTGGGAGCACAGCTTTGGAGAATAGTCCCAGGGCTTTCCTTACTTGTGACAAGTAATAAAACTCCTATTGATCAAAACTTGTATTCTTGTGGAGAGTCTTTTGTTGCTCACAGGAAAATGAACATACCTATGAAAAAATCAACCAAAATATATCCTAGACTTTCATGGAGAAAATTAGAAAATTTTATTTAAAATATTAAAAATACCACAATAAGCTGAGAGACAGATGACATCATGAATAGAAAACCTGAATATTACAAAGTTTTCAATTCTTCTCAAATTGAAATTGCATATGGAATGTAATTCCAATCAAAATACTCTCTTTGAAATTTTATTTTATGTTTTGTTCAATTAACATCTCTATTACAAAGTTTATATGGATAAACAATGAGGCAAAAAACCATAGCTGGCATGCTCCTGAAGTAGAATGGATAGGGAGGGATCTCACTGTATCAGATATACAAAGCAATAGTAATTAAACTATAGTATATAAGACATTTCACTTTAGTGCAAGAATAAACAGATATAAGTTTCAAAAGTGTAGAGGTCAGACAGATACACATATGAAGAGACTTGTTATTTCACAAAATCAAGATAGTTCAATTAAGTGACGAAAAGATAAAGTATTTAAGACATGGTTGATATGGCTTGGCTCTGCTTCCCCACCCAAATTTCATCTTGCAGCTCCCACAATTCCCATCTGTTGTGTGAGTGACCTGGTGGGAAACAATTAAATCACGGGGGCGGATCTTTGCCATGCTGTTTGGTGATAGTGAATAGGTCTCACGAGATCTGATGGTTTTAAAAACGGGAATTTTCCTGCACAAGCTCTCTCTTGGCTTGCTGCCATCCACATAGATGTGACTGTCTCCTCCGTGCCTTCCGCCATGACTGTGAGGCCTCCCCAGCCGTGTGGAAATGGAAATTCAGTAAACCTCTGTCTTTTGTAAATTGCCCAGTCTCTGCTATGTATTTATCAGCAGCCTGAAAATGGACTAATACAATAATTATGGGGGGAGTTGATTAACTATACTGAAGAGTAAATAAATAAATCTTCTCATTCTGGTCTGCAGGACTGCTGTAACAAAGTGTCCCAAACTGAGTGGCTTAAACAACAAAAAATGCATTGTCTCGCACTTCTGGAGGTTAGAAGTACAATATTAAGGTGCCATCAGGTTTGGTTCTTTCTGTGACAATCTCTTCCATGCCTCTTGTGTAGCTTTTGCCGCTTTCCCAGCAATCTTTGGCATTCCATGTTTTGTAGGAGCATCAGCCCGATCTCTGCTCTCATCATCACATGGCATTCTCCCTGTATGCCGTGTCTGTCTTCAAATTTTATTTTTATAAGGACATAAATCATATTGGATTAGGGACCATTCTAATATACTTATTTTAACATGATTACCTCTGTAAAGATCCTGCCTCCAAATAAAGATACATTATGACCAACTAGAGGTTAGAACTTAAACATATGAATTTAGGGGAGACATATTTCAACCCATAGCACTCCCTCACACCATTCCTAACAATCATTTCAGGACAAGTCAAAGACTTAAATTTAGAAGATCACTTTAAAATAGTTAGAAGGAAATATATGAAATAAATATATGACTTTAACAATTTAAAAAATATAAACCATAAAAAATACTGATAGAAGTGACACATTAAAAAGTTTAAACTTCTTGCCGTCTGAGTGCTAAGACAGACTACAAATCGACAGAATGTGTACACATTTGCAAACCATGTAACTGACAACAAATTAGTATCTATATCATATAAAATTACATATAAATCAATAAGTAAAAGACAAATAGCCCATCAAATAAATAGACACAGTATTTTTACAGATGATTCATATAAGAGAAAAGCCACATAGCCAAAAGTGCAATAAAAGCTGCTCAACCTCACTAATACTAAAAGAAATGAAGATGAATACCATGACAAGATATGTTCTTCTTGGCTGGCTGCGGTGGCTCACACCTGTAATCCCAGCACTTTGGGAGGCTGAGACGGGGGGATCATGAGGTCAGGAGTTTGAGACCAGCCTGGCCAACATGGTGAAACCCCGTCTCCACTAAAAATAAAAAAATTAGCTGGGTGTGGTGGCACACGCCTGTAATCCCAGCTACTCGGGAGGTTGAGGCAGGAGAATTGCTTGAACCCGGGAGGCGGAGGTTGCACTGAGCCAAGATCAAGCCACTGCACTCCAGCCTGGTCGACAGAGCAAGATTCTGTCTCAAAACATAAAAATAAAAATAAATAAATAAATAAATAAATGAAGTTCTTCTCACACATACATTGAAAAAAAAGTGGGAAAGTTGATAGTGTAAAGTATTGGCAAATATATGGGCAATGGGGACTCTCATATTGTGCTGGTGGCTACATAAATTGTTGTACCCACTAGTCTTCACAATATGTCATAAAGTTGGGTGCATATCCCTCATGACCAAGCATCTCCTAGGTATGCTCTTTAGGAACATCCTCACATGCTCCCACAAATATATATATTATATGTATTATATGGCACACGTATGATGTGTGTGTGTATAATATGTGTGTATACATATTATATATGTGTGTATATGTGTGTGTGTATATATATCTATATAACATAGGAACATTATTTGAAATAAAGAAAAAAGAAAAAAACCAATTTCAACCAGTAGAAGAATGGATAAATTACAATGTACTTGTGAAACAGGATATTATTAGACCCTTAAATAGAGTTCTATGTATTCAGTATAACTGAATCTTATATACACAATACTGACAAATTTAAGTTACATGATAATACATGTCATAAGGCTTTACCTATATAAATATTAAAATTATGCCCAATAATCTAATCCACTGTTTATAGATATATACACCCGCAGTAAAAATGTGAAGATTTTTTGGAAAGATAAACATCAAATGCAGGGTAGTCTTTGGCTCTGGAGGGTAGAAAAGATAGTCAATTGAGGTGGGGGGCATTGACTTCATCTTAATGTTTTTATTTATCCTTGGCAGTGGATACACGGGTGCTTTTAACATTATATTTTACGTATTTTTATGTGACTGAAATATTTCATATTAAAGACATCCATATTGAAAAACTAAACAGAAAACATAAATTAAATGGAAAATGAATCAACACATAAAAATAGCCACAGTATGAAATGGAAGAAGAACAATCTGAATAAAACTAGACAAAGATAAATGAGGGTAGAGAATAAAATATATTGGAACGTATTTCAAAGTCGTTCACAGAAACAATTCAGTGTTATTGGAAATGTAGACAACAAACAAAAAACAGTGACAAGAATCAGAGTGCTTTACCAAGAGAAAAGGGGGTGGGGGAATGTTGGCAAAATATATCCAAAATATGATGCACTTCCTGGGCTGTAAATCAAAGTTATCAATTTGGCTGGTCATTTACCTTGAATTATTGCTATAGGGGTAAGATGTTAATATACTTGTACTTTACAGTGACATTGGGCAATTTCCTTCTCCCCTTTCCTGAAGTCTCAAGTAACCAGGAATTCTCTGATTTTTGCACTGAAAGTCCCACTTCCTGGGAAATCCCTCTGGCCCAGCCTGACTGGAATGCCTGGTTACTTTAGTAGATGGACTTGGACAGCACAGTAGTTTTTACAAAATTCAAACTGCTATTCCTAGAATAACTTCCTACTATCTTCAGATATACAAATTTCAGCATCTTTGGAATAGGTGTGGTGTGGTGCTGAAAAAAATATACAGACACTTCTCAAAAGAAGACATTTATGCAGCCAAGAAATACATGAAAAAATGCTCACCATCACTGGCCATCAGAGAAATGCAAATCAAAACCACAATGAGATACCATCTCACACCAGTTAGAATGGCGATCATTAAAAAGTCAGGAAACAACAGGTGCTGGAGAGGATGTGGAGAAATAGGAACACTTTTACACTGTTGGTGGGACTGTAAACTAGTTCAACCATTGTGGAAGTCAGTGTGGCGATTCCTCAGGGATCTAGAACTAGAAATACCATTTGACCCAGCCATCCCATTACTGGGTATATACCCAAAGGATTATAAATCGTGCTGCTATAAAGACACATGCACAAGTATGTTTATTGCGGCACTATTCACAATAGCGAAGACTTGGAACCAACCCAAATGTCCATCAATGATAGACTGGATTAAGAAAATGTGGCACATATACACCATGGAATACTATGCAGCCATAAAAAATGATGAGTTCACGTCCTTTGTAGGGACATGGATGAAATTGGAAATCATCATTCTCAGTAAACTATCACAAGGACAAAAAACCAAACACCCCATGTTCTCACTCATAGATGGGAAGTGAACAATGAGAACACATGGACACAGGAAGGGGAACATCACACTCTGGGGACTGTTGTGGGGTGGGGGGAGGGGGGAGGGATAGCATTAGGAGATATACCTAATGCTAAATGATGAGTTAATGGGTGCAGCACACCAGCATGGCACATGTATACATACGTAACTAACCTGCACATTGTGCACATGTACCCTAAAACTTAAAGTATAATAATAATTAAAAAAAAGAAAAAAAAAAACAAATTTCAGCATCTTTCAGCCAAACCCAATACTAATGATGTTAATTATGTATTAATTCACCTCTAATAACTTGTGTGATGAGTCTAGAGAGACCCCCCCCGCCCCCAGTCTAATAATTGCATTCCTAAGGTTGTGGTAACATGCTTCTTAACATTCTTTCAGCCTTGCTTTCTTATGAGCATTTTATCTTTAAATTGAACTGCATTTTGCATCTTTCAAAAATGAGCTTTTATGATGCTTTCTCCCAACTGTAGAAATAACTTCCTACCTACCACGAAAAAAAGTAAGGTTCAGGTATTGGTATTGTATAAAAGTAGTCCTGGTAATTCTAATGGGCCAGGGGTAAGAACTGCAACCTTAGAGGATGAAGGAACGATTTTAATAGATGATCACATCTTAAGGGCTTCTTTAGTTTTCTTCATGTTTATTAGGTGAAAATAACTTTCTTATTCGAAAAAATGTGTTTAGATATTGGTTTGGAGATAATAATTACTGTGTGTGTTGGCTTGGGAATAATAATATGTATTTATGTATATACGTGGGTCTTCACTGACATAAGAATGTTCTATAAATTATTTAAGTATTTAATCTAAGAATTTTATATTTGATTTCTAGAATTAGAATTTCATAGTATTGGATTATATTAATGATTAACTGACAATGTTATTTGATTATAAACCTCATGGGCCATTCTAAAACAAAAACAGTTTTTGATTAATATATATTTAATATCTCTTTTACCAGAATTACATCAGAGACTATATAAGAATTTATTATTTTCATTTAACAAAATCAATGAGATACAGAAACCTTATCCCTTATTCTTTCTTTTATATTCTATAGTACCCAATAAAACTAGCTATGCTAAATGATTAATTCCTAAATTTAAAATGGAATGCCTACTACAAAACTAAATCATGGCCAGTAAGACTGCATGGCATAAATCCTTCACAGGGTGCTATAACCTTTATCGTTTTTGAAATGTACCCCATCAAAGAGCCCTCGGGCAAATGTACAAGGGACCCGTGTGACATTTACATAGCCATTGTGTCAGATTAGACTTTGTGATCCTCCCACATCATTAGTCAAAGCCTGAATGGAGAAGATGCATGACAGATTGCCCAATGCCTGACACATAGCAAGTAAATAGAGAAACAATGGGGCTTTATTCAGACTTGGGCCCCATGTCCAGAGGGTCCCCTGACAGGAGGCAATCTTTAAGTTCAAGCCCTTCAAGCTAAAAGGTACAGGACATGAATTCAGTACCAGTTCTTTTCAGTAGCACATAATTAACCATTAACAGCATGATTTTCTTCTACTACCCAGGGCTAAATAGCAGGCTGCAAATATTTTGCAGCTGGCATATTCCTGGGTAACTGAAAGAGTCTAGTGAGGTTTGTTTGTCTGATTACTGATTGATTTCCTTATGGTGAAAGAAATTATGCTGCCCCTAGTCCCAAGCAGCCGAACTTTATTTACTTATATTACAAAAAAAAAAAAAAATACACAGTGTTTGATGTTGTCAGTATATCATCCTAAAAGAATAATACACAATAGTGTAGAAGGATGTAAATTGAAAATATTTTAGTTGCTTTTAGATAAAAGACAGTCAACATTGTGAGAGAATTTGTCTACTTTTTTTGGTGGGATTTGGCCTTTCCATCTGTGTTTAAAAATTGTTCATGAATTGCAATGACTTCTTAAGAGGTAAAGTATTATAGCAAGAACCCAGGTGCAGTGACTAGAACCCCAGGAAGAATCAGCAGGTCTGAATTCTGGGCCTGAAGGCAGAGCTAAATAAATTATTCAGAATTGAGGAAACCCCTTAATTTTCTACATCTTATTTGCCATGCATACAGAATGACTATGTCATTTTTCATACAAACCAGGGTAAGTTTGAAAATAAACAAGGCTGCTAATAATAATTATATCAGGATCTAAACCTGGGCTATACTACATAAACTAGAGTTTGTGGTCATTTTGTGCTGTGGTTTCAATGTGCAGTAATACATCAGAGATATTTTGGTTCCAGACTACAGCAGTAAAGCAAATACTGCAACAAAGTGAGTTAAAATTTTTTTGATTTCCCAGTGCATATGAAAGTTATGTTTACATTTTATTGTAGTATATTGTGGGCAACAGCATCATGTTAAAAAAAAAAAAAAGTACATGCCTTAATTTAAAAATACTTTATTCTTAAAAAATACTGATATAGACATGAAATGAGCACATGTTATTGGAAAAATGGTGGTAATAGACTTGCTCAACACAAGGTTGCCACAAAACTTTAATTTGTGTAAAATACAATATCTGCAAAGTACAACCAAGCAAAGCACAACAAAGAAAAGCACAATAAAGAAGATATGCTTATATGTATCCCTTCACAATTCATAAGTTGAAAGCTAATCACCAAGGTGATAATATTGGAAGGTGGGGCCTCTGAGATGAGATTAGGTCATGAGAGCTCTGCCATAGTGAATAGGATTAATGCCCTTTGTAAAAGGAGCTTCTGAGTGCTACCCCCTCCTCTTTTGCCCTTTCATCTTTTCTGCCATGTGAGGGCATAGCAGTCACCGCCTTTGATCTTTTCATTTTTCTCTCCTTGTAGGATGCAGCAAGAAGGCCCTCATCAGACACTGAATGATAGCACCTTGATCTTGGAATTCCCAGCCTCCAGAACTGTCAGAAGTAAATGTCTTAGCCTTATAAATTACCCAGCCTAAGACATTTTGTTAGAGCAGCAGGAATAGATTAAGACATTTTGTTTATCTGTGAAATAAAATTTCACATTAAATGATCTTCGATATTTAGCTTTAAATGGCTATGATTTTAAGTCCACCTCTCTTTAATAATATAGTATTAGAAGGGATGGAATTTAAGAGTAAAGAAGGGTCAATGAGTTGAGTCTCCAAAAGTCAAGCCAGAAAACGAGACTTCCTTTTGCATCCTTATGCCTTCCAACTGTTTACCATCAGAAAGGAGAGAGGATAGATTTCTTATCAGCCTCTTAAAAAATACTGTATTACTTCATAAATAATCATTTTAGCCATAAGATCTTCACAATTTATTGAAACTCTGCTGAATTTTCTGATAATCAATTTAGGGACTGTAAAGTTGTTTTTTAATTCTCCTTTTTCCCCTTAGGTATTGCACTTTCAAGACAATATCTGCATAATTTCCCCCTCTCCACTCCATACACACACACAAACACACACACACACACACACACACACACGATCTAGGAGTGGAAAAAGTAAGTAGAAAAGTACTGTAATTTCTGAGATGGCAGTTCCCAAGAGGAGTTGAGGATAAAGGGGAAGTTTAGGAAAAAGCAGAAAGATTTAAAATATTTAACTTAAATGAAGTGAGTGGAGTGGGAGAGAAGTAAATTCAAGAACCTAGAATATTTATGTTTTAGTTCTAGGTATTTCTATTTCCCAATAGAGAGTTTGGCATTGGAATAGCCTCCCAAAAAGTGCACTTCAAGGCTCTGAAGGAATTAAATTTGGATAGAAAACTTTATCCTACATCAAGGCTTAAAGGAAAAATATGTAACCCTGAAGAAAACATCTTTATCATAAGTAAACAAATCAAATTAATTATTCTTTATATACTTGAATTCTGTTTTACAACTTACATGGCACATTCACATACGTTATCTTACTAATAGCCTCAACAACTCTATTAATACTAATAATTATTATCCCTTTTATATTCAAGAAAGCTGAAATCTGGGGAGGTTAAGTGACTTGTCCAAACACATATAATAAGTAAATAAAAACTTACTTAATATTTGATCTCAAATCTTCTTAGAATAAAAAAAATGGAATTTCTGGAGACCTTGGGAAAAAATATTACTCAAGAATATAAGAATACTCCTGTGTGTAAATGCAGGGTAACAGAAAAGTTGACTCCAGGAAGTTAATGGCGAAACTTAAAGCATTGCATTTTAAGATCACAACTTTCCCCCTAGGCCAAATAGCTTATTCAGGAATAAAGAACTCAGGTCTTCCAAACTTGTAATTACTATAGCAAAAGATTGCAAAATACTCTGCTCATGTGTAGGAACATGGTTCCTTCTCTGTCTTCTCAGTTCTGGTGCAACCAAACCTTCCTGATCTCTTTAATCTGTGTAATTAGACAATTTCTAATGAGGATTTGGTTTCTTGAGAGGCCTCACTACAGTCCACCAACTGTCTCCTACAAGAAGTGAAAACATTTGCAAAGAGGTGCAAGTAAGATAAAATAGAACTAGAACGTCGTTTAGCTTCTACATTCAACAGATACATAGCAGAGTTATGATTTTTCTTTTAAAATAATATGGCAAAACCTTACTTAAGAAAAATGGTCAGATTATACATTTTTTAATTTCTTTAAGCTACTTTTATGATTCAATTCTTAGAAGAAATGCTCCTAAATATAATTTATACAATTTTCTGCAACAGAAAGTAGAATATCTAGAAAATAACTGCAGTTTTTTTCTTTGATGACTATAGATATTATTGTGCCTTAGGGTCACCTTTTATAACTTTTTTTTTTTATTTCATAAGACCCTTGATGTAGATATTTTAAATAGCTGGCCTCAGGACAGCCTGGAAGTTTATTTTAGAAAAGAAAGCTCAAATATTAGCTTCTTTGTATTTCCTTTACTCAAAAAAAGTAAAATAATTCCAGATTCTGATTTATTTGTTCTTATTGGGTCTTGTCGTTATGAATAATCTGATTCTGAAATCACTTCTGCTTAAGACAGTATGTAAAGAGATCATGGAGTTGAACATTCATTGCCATCACATTTACAAGTTTTATCATATCCCAACAATTTCCTATACTAGAAACACAGAGAATTGTTACCAGCTGACCAAGATGGCCTTAATGATTTCCTCAGTTTGAACAAACTTTAGGTGGGCTTTTTCCTGACTCAAGGCCTTGACTTGCCTTTTGTTAGAGCTTTACTTTAGAAAACTTGTACTACAAATGTAAATTCTTTCTCTAACTTTTTTTGATGTAAGCCTTTTTAGAAAGTCTCTTGCCAGCTGTAGAACCCAGAAATGTCACTTCATGTGCTGGGAAACATCTCTGAGAAATGCAGTCTTCAGGAACGATAGCACCAACTATCTCCCAGTCTCTGTAAGAGCAGGAACCTAGTTTTTATGGGGACTTTGCTTCATGTTGAATGTGAATCACGGTGTATGAATAAACCCCAAGCAAGAGTTTTGTTCATCTTTTTAGCTACTTTTAATTCTACCTACTGATAGTCTTTTTTGATAGAAGTAGGTTTAGGCTATCCTGAAAAAGGATTTACAACTTATGCAAAGCAGAGTAACAACAAATACTTGGAGCTCTCTGAACAAAGATCCTTATGGGAATTTGGCTCTTTAGAATTGATCTGTGAGGCTGAAATATACCCTCGACACATGTGTCACTATTTGCTGTTTCAAACTCCATCTCAATAGCAGGAGCTTAATTTCAATCCTCTAGTTTTTAGAGTAAACTAATAACCAGGTGAGTCTTTCTGTTGTATTTTATCCACTTGCTAAATGGTATAATGTAAGAATTGAAAGTGGTAAGTGGAGGAGAATTAAAAAAAGTAGTTGTTTGTAACAGTGTAGATGGTTATTGTTTATTTCTTTAAGTTAAAGAGAACTAGGAAAATAAATTGTGAACAGGTAGTAGAAGAGTGAAAAGGGAATATGAAGAAATCAAGTCGCCTCTTCTGAAGGAGAGTCAATATAATCCATTCTTTAACCTTATGTCTGGCTCTATAGCCCCTTTGAGAGTAATGAAAATACAAAATATATCCAAGTAAGTAACAACAAGTGCTAAGGTTCCTTAGCCTCATGCAATTTAGATGTTACTGGAAATAAATATAACTCATACAATATTGAACCAAAAGTGGTTAATGGCCATTGCCAGCTATTTTGGGGAATGTTTAATAAATTATATAAAAAATTAGTGTTATTTCAAAGCAGAAAATGACCTAGTCTGCTGAAGAAGTTTTAAAGTAGTACTTCCATTACTACAATTCACAAGAGAATGTTAATCCCATAGGGGGTACATGTCTACTGAAGAAAATATAAGAAAAGAAGACTCAGATCTATCTACAGAGATGAATAGACATTATCATCCTGCAATCATTTTTCTTAATAAGTAATGCAGTGACTCTTACTTTGTCGGCTGAAATTTTACATATATAACTCGACCCAAGTCTGGCTGCTCACCACTTGAAAGCCAGACAAAAGAGGTGAGGGTTGATGGGAGGAAAAGCAGGTTTACTTAGAGAGCTAGAAAACCAAGAAGATGGCAATTACCATCTAAAGTACCATCTTAAATTTTAAAATTTACCATAGGATTTTTAAAGGGAAATTTGGCATGGGCAACATGTGGTAGTGGTACAGGGTGCAGGATCTGTGTGTCTTGTTGTGATGGCTATTTGGATAATCACCCATCTGGAGGTGTGCTTGGCATTATCTTGACTTCAGCTCAATGGTGGCAGACTAGTTGTTCATGACTCAGCCTTAAGCGGGAGGATTCTGAAATCACAGCTCCATGCTTGGTTTATTCAAGATTAGCCTCTGAAATTTCTTAAGCAAGATAATAGTTAGATAAGCATGCGTTACTGGAGGGGGGTGCCTAGAAGGGAAGGAATGAAGAGGTGAAAAGGAGGGAAAGAAGAAAAAGAAAGTGGATGATTTTAAAAACTGAGGTCCCTGGTTACATATATACACATATGCATGCAGGAATAGATAGATAGATATTTTAAAGAATGCATTTTGTGGAAGGATAGTTGGAAAAATTTTAATTACCTGTGATTAAAAATATGGGCCCTGTGAAATGGCAGACATCTTTACACCAACAGTAAAAGAGAATAAAATAATCCAGATGTAATCTGAACTTCCCTCCCCCTCTACATCCCCCCACACAAATTAATACAATCAAGGTGTTTTTCAAAGACAGATCCTCAGAACGCTTGAAGCAAAATCCTATGGGAAACTTCTTGAAATTCCTGGCTCCATTTCCAACCTGTTGAAATATAATCTCTAGAGGCTGGGTCTATACACTTAGATGAGCTTTACGTCAATCAAGATGTGAGTGTACTGGAAACTTTGCCTACCATGCTTTTTAGTTTCCCCCTGTATGGGGCAAAAGGAATTTTCCTTCCTTCTCTCCCTTTCTCAAGGTTTGATAATTGAATCTGTAAAGCAAACCAACTATAGACAGATTAACAAGAGAGAAGGAATGCTAATGTAGTACATGCACATGTGCGTGAGAGCCACACAAATTATGAGCCTCAAAGAAAGGCCAGATGACTACTTTTTATACTGTACAGAAAGGAATAGAGGCTTGGAGTTGCTGAGGGGAGGTGGAGACCAGGTTGCAGGATGGTGAGGGGAGAAAATGCATAGTGTTATGTTATATAGATGAAGTCTCCCAGGTTGGAGCCCTCAGAAAGAATAACTAGAAGTCTTGGGTAGAATTTCTTCTGTGAGACTTTAAAAGTTTCAGACATTTAGCCTCCTCTTTCTGTGAGTTAATCTTTCCTACATTTGGATAAGGAAACCTCAGAGAAACCCTCTTCCTGCATCCCTTGCTTTACTAAGGTAGACAGATATAAGTTTCTTCTACAAAAAGATAGCTTTTTAGAGCTAGTCCTGTGTCTGAAGCCCCTCTGAATAGTCATCTCAAAATATGCCAAAGAAGGACACATTGAGGTGGTATATTTTAATCTCCATATCAGATAGTCTTCTGTATTCATTTTTCTCTAGAGTTCTTAGTGAGAAGACAGAAAAATATACTTTATTTTTTTCTTTCCCTGTTTATTTTTTCTCCCGTTTTTCCTTCTTAACCCTCCCTTTCTCCTTCCTTCCTTTCTTCTCTCCTTTGTTCCTTCTTTCCTCCCTTTCTTCCTTTCATCTTGTTTTAGTGATTTATGAAAGATTATCAACATGTGTAAGAAACAATTAAAAGACTATATAGCTTTTATAGTTTGTTTATCGAATATACCTTCAAATGTTATTTAATAAATGCTGTAAATACAGACCATAAATTTTAATAATGTTTATTAGTGCATAAAATTTCTTCTTCAGATGAAGAAACCACTTATAGGAAAGCAGAGTTTTATTTTCTGTTGCCACATAGCAGAACACTATATAATTCTAAAATGGCATTTTGTAAGGGAAAGTTAGTGTACATTTCTTACTTTGCTTTACATTACTATACTGCTTATAAGCTTATAGGCTTTGTTGCCATTTGTTGATAGTACCAGATCACGCCCTTTTCAATAGAAGTTTTTCTCTGACATTTCTTCAAGTAAACGAAGTCTCCAGGTTTTAGTTTATACATTGTTTGAAAAGAGTTTGAGGAAAGGCTGCCTGTAAATTGATAAGATTTTCTGTATTGCATGGGTCGTATACATTATTTGGCTGTATTTGCTCACAAAAGGGCAGGGTCTAGGATCAGAGGTGATATTCCTAGATACATGAATCTACCTATTACTAACTTATAAAAGCAGAATTGATGAACTTCCAAAAGAGATTTTTGTATTATTATAAAGTTAAAAGATCTTAGAGTAAAAAATTTATGTTTGTCTCAAATTTTTAGCTAATTTGAAATTTTAATTTCTTCCTTCCTCTTTGCCAAAGATTAGATTATATGCATAGTGAAGTTTCTCAGCAAGTTATTGTACCTTGTAGAGCTCTTTAATGGCGCTTTTAGTAAAATGAGCATCTCTAGCAATAAAAAGATAGTTTGGAGGTTCCCAAGAAGCATGCATAAAAGTGATTACTTTTAGCCACTTCAGAGCTATAACTCTACAGAAAGGAAAAGATTTGACCCTCACTGAACACAAACATGCCTCAACCAGAACATAGTCATACTCCATTGAAAGGGAGTCTTTATATAAAGTTCACTTGAAATTATTCAAGTAGGCCTAAGGATTTGACTGCATTCATGTCCTTTCTTTACAGTTTTGTCAAGATTTTGTTTTAGGCAGATGAGAAATACATTAGAGACATGTTCTTGTGGATTTGACTTACCTCATTTGGATTTTACTTTATTTCCACTTGAGATCGTTTGACACTATGAGGTACCCTCCTAGGAAGCCTGAGATTATCTTCATGTAATTAACATCAGATCTTTCCTAATATTTTTTTCTGATGTCAGGAAAAAAATTTTTGTATATAATGACTTCTGTGAACTTATTGCAGAGACATAAAAGACTGAGACGGTGCAAAAAATTTGCAGATACGGGCAAATTTTTTGTTTGTTTGTTTTTGAGATGGAGTCTCGCCCTGTCGCCCAGGCTAGAGTGCAGTGGTGCCATCTCGGCTCACTGCAAGCTCCTCCTCCCGGGTTCACGCCATTCTCCTGCCTCAGCCTCCTGAGTAGCTGGGACTACAGGCGCCCGCCACCGCTCCCGGCTAATTTTTTTGTATTTTTAGTAGAGACGGGGTTTCACCGTGTTAGCCAGGATGGTCTCGATCTCCTGACCTCGTGATCCGCCTGCCTTGGCCTCCGAAAGTGCTGGGATTACAGGCGTGAGCCACCGCACCCGGCCGGGGCAAAAATTTTATAAGGACCATCTGTTTGGCATAATGATTAGCTAGGACATTTCTACTTCCCTTAGTTTCTAGGTCACTTTTTCTTTTATTTTTATTTCTTAGTGAGTTTCTGCCTTCACAATAGCTACTTCCTTTAGCAACATTAAGGCACTTGGCATTTTCTTGACCTGTTGTTCAGGTGTTGCTGCTGAGGTTAGAAAGCCTTGCCTTTTCGCAAGTGTCGCTCATCAGTGGGGACCTAATCTCAGTGTAAACATTAACAGTCTGGCAAGTTGGCAGGCTCTCCTAAGGTCAGTAAGTTCTGCTTATTTGCCTCCTGCCCTCCCTAAGTAAAAGAAGTTATATTTCAAGGTCAAACTAAAGATCTTTTATGGCATAGACAGCCTAATAATTTCTCATTTCTGATGACTCATAAACAAAAAGACTCGATTTTTAATTATCCAAAGAAGCCTCTAATAAATATTCCTGAAGTCATGGCAATCCTTAGAGGTTGAACTGCCATGAGTTTCCTTTTTTTTTTCTGGCTACTGAGGCTTGTGCATTCGTCACGTAGTCCTCGTGCCATGGTTTTCAGCTCCATCAGGTCCTTGAAGGACTTCTCTGCATTGGTTATTCTAGTTAGCCATTCGTCTAATTTTCTTTCAAGGTTTTTAACTTCTTTGCCATGGGTTCAGACTTCCTCCTTTAGCTCAGAGTAGTTTGATTGTCTGAAGTCTTCTTCTCTCAACTCGTCAAAATCATTCTCCTTCCAGCTTTGTTCCCTTGCTGGTGAGGAGCTGCATTCCTTTAGAGGAGGAGAGGCGCTCTGATTTTTAGAGTTTCTAGTTTTTCTGCTATGTTTTTTCCCCATCTTTGTGGTTTTATCTACCTTTGGTCTTTGATGATGGTGACGTACAGATGGGGTTTTGGTGTGGATGTCCTTTCTCTTTGTTAGTTTTCCTTCTAACAGTCAGGACCCTCAGCTGCAGGTCTGTCGGAGTTTGCTGGAGGTCCACTCCAGACCCTGTTTGCCTGGGTATCAGCAGCAGAGGCTGCAGAACAGCGGATATTGGTGAACAGCAAATGTTGCTGCCTGATCGTTCCTCTGGAAGTTTTGTCTCAGAGGAGTACCTGGGCATGTGAGGTGTCAGTCTGCCCCTACTGGGGTGTGCCTCCCAGTTAGGCTACTCGGGGGTCAGGGACCCACTTAAGGAGGCAGTCTCTCTGTTCTCAGAGCTCCAGCTGTGTGCTGGGAGAACCACTACTCTCTTCAAAGCTGTCAGACAGGGACATTTAAGTCTGCAGAGATTTTGCTGCCTTTTGTTTGGCTATGCCTTGTTGTCCCAGAGGTGGAATCTACAGAGGCAGGCAGGCCTCCTTGAGCTGCGGTGGGCTCCACCCAGTTCGAGCTTCCTGTCCGCTTCGTTTACCTACTCAAGCCTTGGCAATGGCAGGCGCCCCCTCCCCTAGCCTGGCTGCCACCTTGCAGTATGATCTCAGACTGCTGTGCTAGCAATGAGCAAGGCTCCATGGGCGTAGGACCCACTGAGCCAGGCGCAGGATATAATCTCCTGGTGTGCCATTTGCTGACCATTGGAAAAGTGCAGTATTAGGGTGGGAGTGACCCGATTTTCCAGGTGCCGTCTGTCACCCCTTTCTTTGACTAGGAAAGGGAATTCCCTGACCCCTTGTGCTTCCCTGGTCAGGCGATGCCTCGCCCTGCTTCGGCTGGTGCTCGGTGCGCTGCACCCACTGTCCTGCACCCTCTGTCCGACACTCCCCATTGAGATGAACCTGGTACCTCAGTTGGAAATGCAGAAATCACCCATCCTCTGTGTCGCTCACGCTGGGAGCTGTAGACTGGAGCTGTTCCTATTTGGACATCTTGGCTCCTGTAAATTTTTAATTGTGTTGTGTTCAGTGAATAAAACTCCTATGACATCATACTTTGTGATTCATTACTTTGTGATTTAGTATATGGTTTTTTTTTAATGTTTCGTGTGTATTTCAGAAGTGTCTTCATTGTCTTCATTCTCCGTATTTTTTTAATAGGAGCTACACAAACCATATAGACTGCTGAGAATGCATACATTCACATGTATATCATACATATACACATGATCAACTTTCTTTTTTTTTTTTTTGACGGAGTCTCACTCTGTCACCAGACAGTGGTGTGATCTCAGCTTACTGCAACCTTCGCCTCCCGGGTTCAAGTGATTCTCCTGCCTCAGCCTCCGAGTAGCTGGGATTACAAGCGCATGCCACCACACTCAGCTAATTTTTGTATTTTCAGTAGACACAGGGTTTCACCATGTTGGCCAGACTGGTCTTCAACTCCTCACCTTGTGATCTGCCAGCCTCGGCCTCCCAAAGTGCTGGGATTACAGGCGTGAGCCACCTCATCCTTTTAAATGACTTATGGTTGAGACTCTCCAAAGCAGGTCACATCAGTTTCTCCCCTTGACCAATAAAATGAGGCAGAAGCAACACTGTGGCAATTCTAGGCCTAACCTGTGGTAGGCTTGACAGCTTCTACTTATACTCAGAGAAATAGCAAATACCTTCAACAAATTTGGGCTAAATCAGTGATTGAGAAGACAACATGTGAAAACAGAGGGGAAGCTCTAGTAAAGGTGCACTGAGATGTACAGCATGTGATGATGTCTTCTTGCACCTTCTTCTCTAGCCAAGCCTTTACATGAAGTGGATTTGTGAGTGCTCCCAGTGATACTTCATTGACCTGAAGAGCAGGCATTCTCTTGAGGTCCATGGAAGAGAAGGAAGAGATTTAGCCAATCCCTTCCCAAGTTCCTGACCCTCAAAACTATGAGAAATAATAAATCTCTTTTGCTTTTAGCCATTATATAACCATAGATAACTAAAACAAATTTAATAATCTATAACTTCTTTTGTCTTCGTATCTATTGTTTGATCAAGAATCCAGGTAATAACACTGTACTTTGACTAGGAATTTACCAGTTCCTATTTAAAAGTATATTATTGCCTGCTTTTCATTTTTAAGATAATATTGTTATTAATAGCTGCAAAAATAACATACTGATGATTAATAGTTATAGAGATAGAGTGCTTAGATTGGACCTGACACTCTTTTAAGTGCTTTACATACACATTTAATTGTCACAGCAACTCTGTGAGTAGCTAATTTTACCATGACTTTGTAAGTAGAAAAAAATGAAGCAGAGAAAAGTTCTCTAATTTGTTCAAGTCACACACTAAGAAGAAAGCACAGCCGGGATTTGAGTCCACACAACCTGAAGGTCTCCCTAGGTTTTCTCTCTATTGTTGGCATTTTAAGTTTTCACTGATTTTTCTTCTTTATACAACTCTATGTTCTATCTTTTGGAGAATCATACAATTTCTGATCCACCAAGAATGTTTCTTATGTTCTATCATAGCTACAATTTTTCTATTTTAAGAACTTTTTAATTATGCCTAAAAAGTTCAAAATCAGATTCCAAGAGGAATTTTAGCACTCCAACCAGAAATCCCTCTATTCAGGTTCATGCTTAATTTTTTCTTCTCTATTTTTACAGGCAATATCCCTTCCACCCTAGTTAATCTATTTGATAATGCATAAGACTCTGTTTTACTAATAGCACTGAACAGCTAGACTTTAGGTATTTGCCAGGGAGTAAAATCTTGACATTATTATTTTTCAATAACTTTCAGAAGATTGGCTAAGATAAACAATAATTATGCAGTATTTTTGGAATATAGACAAAGTAGTCGCTCATCTTAGTTCACCAAAACAGAATTTGCAACTGATGGCCAAACCTGGTCTTCATTTCCAGGCCTGCTTTCTTGGGTCTCCACAGGTTATTATTGTTACAAATTATATTTAAATCTCTTTAGTTTAGATAGGCTCTCACAGATATTTAATTTCTACTTATCTTGCCCTAATTTCTCTTACTTGCCTGAACTTTTGCATAAATGTTATTTTGAGGTCTTCACTTTAAAACTTCTTTTTTTGTGAAGCTGGACAGAAAGATATCACATGTAGAGAGCACATTAAGTTGATCCCTCTACTGAAGTAATTTTACTGATTTTAACTGTGTCATAATACTATTAAGCTATATTGAATACCATATTAAAAATAGCTCCATAACAGTCAACGTTGTATTTACTATCAGTCTGTCGTTAATTATGTTATTATATAATATGGAATCCTCTCTAGGAAAACCTATAAGGTAAATGCATTTTACCATTTACTGGAATAATTGTCTTTCTTAAACAATTGGCTTGTTTCTACACTATAGGTGCTGTGGCTGGCGTTATTGATTTTATTTTCTTCTGTCACATCTAGAGAACTTAGAATTAATTTTATGTCTTCCTTGAGCAAGGATGCAGGGCCTTGTTTTCTATGTTTTGTGTGTTCAACACATTACTGCCTCTATCTTGCTTTTCTGAATTTACTTTTATTCCCATTTTATTTACCTATTTATGCAGCTATATAAGTCTTCATAAATCCTGTTCATATACAGTAATATGCCTCTGCAAATCGATAAGAAAATGTTATATTGTTCCCATTACATATTATGAATTCCATCTTTACATGCTTTTGAGTTAATATTCTATTGTTATATGTTTATACCTGGAAATAGTGGACCTCAGTTTTCCATCAGAATCAAGAATCTACTACCCAGATTGGGCAAAACCTGTAAACAGAATGCCTACAAAATTTGATTTTGAGAAATTTCTTTATGTTTAAATATGCTGCACATTACGATAGCAAGAGAACTTGAGTCAGATCATTTTTTATTTTAGTCTAAATTTCTTTTTCAAGTCTCTGTCTCTTTTTAGATTCCAGGTATCTGAATGTGACAGCCTAGATGGAAATCTGCATGATTATTTAGTTCTATATGTCCTTCTTTTTAAAATAAATATTTTTGTTGTTTTAATGTTCTCAATGACTATGTAATAATATATATGAGTCCATAAGCTTTCTAGACATAGATGATCTTGATCAAATTGATCAAATAAATAATTTAATCAATTCAGCAAAATTACTAACTTAAAGTGTTCAGTCTTTGTTTTCTTTATCCACCAAACTGGCCTACAGTTTCATTTACTTCACTGACCTTACTAGTTGCTTGAGCCTCAGATTGACAGCCTAATGTACACACCAATAAATTCAAATTATTTTTTGTATACTTTGTACTTTTGTCTGTCTTGCCTGTTGTGAACACATATAAACTCAGGTACATACATCACAATAGTAAAATTAATCAGTATTTTTGTGTACTAAAGAAATTAAACATAAGCCAAGTGCACTACGTTTCAGGGCCTGCAATGTTTGCATATTCCAAGAATATGTACAGATACAGAACTTCACAGAAATACAAAGAAGTTGTAATCATAGTATCACATAGTGATAATGTAGGCCCAAGTTCTCATTTTCCAAATAAGAGAAAGCAATGATTTATCTCTACCTTTCAGTGGATTAAAATTAATAATTAGAGAAATCCAGAACTGATGCCTTATCAAATTCCAGAAACTGTGCACACTGCAAGAGGCACAGAGGTGAGATACATACAGTGGTTGAGGACTTACTGTTAGGAGGGGGGATAAGTGGAGGATCACAATAAAAGTGGAAAAAATGCTAAAACCAAGGGATATTTAACTGTCATTGAAATAGAAGCAGCATGAAGCAGGAGCACCTATCTCATCATTGAAATATTAGGGAATGCTGAGTTTGTTTGTTTGTTTTGAGACGGAGCGTTGCTCTCTCACCCAGGCTGGAGGGCAGTGGTGCGATCTGGCTCACAGCAACCTCCACCTCTTGGATTCACACGATTCTCTGGCCTCAGTTTCCCCAGTAGCTGGGACTACAGGCACGCAGCACCACACTCAGCTATTTTTTTTTTTGTTGTTATTTTTAGTAGAGACAGGGTTTTACCATGTTGGCCAGGCTAGTCTCAAATTCCTGGCCTCAAGTGATCCAACTGCCTCAGCCTCCCAGTGTGCTGGGATTACAGGCGTGAGCCACCACACCCGGCCTCTAGGGAGTGCTTTTGAGAAGGGATGACTCTGGAGCTGTGTCTTGAATGCAGTGAAGTGGATATGTGAGGAAGAATATTCCAGCAAGAGAAAGGCCTTGCTTAAATCACGTAAGTGTGAAAGAGCACTATGCTTTGAAGACTTAGCAGTAGATTCACAGGACTGGTAAAAATAATGCATGTACCCTCACAGGAGGACCATAGGAGAACCTCCTAATTATATGAGTTCAAGCAAGTTTCCCAGAGACTCTGGGCCTCTATTTCCTTTCTTAAATGTGTGGTAGTGCTTAATGCCTACCTTGCGGCATTATCTCCACAGCAGGAGAAGAAGCTGGAAGGCAGGCAGGGTAGAGAAAAATCCTGGTCCAACCAGATGAGAAAGTCTAAACTTATCCTAAATGCAAGTGGGAGCAACTGGTAGACTTTAAGCTCGAAAAAGTTTGTGTTTAAAAAAAAAAAAATCATTCCAAAAGCAGTGTGAAGATAGATTTAGGGGAGGAAGTAGATAAAGGTCAAAGCCATTGCAGATATCAACTTCCAAAATAATAAGGACCTCACTGAGGCAATGGAAGTGCGAATATAGAGGAGGCATATTTGAGATACATTTAGGTGTAGAACTAACAGACACTGATAACTGAGTAGCTGTGAAAAATGAAGAAAAGTGATGAGTTAAGAAGAAAACAATGACATTATTGACTTGGGGGACTGGGTAGATAGCAGTAGAATCAACTAAGAAAAAGAGAACATGAGGAGAAGCAGCTTTCAAGGGAAGAGGTTAAAAGAGATTAAAGGAACTGACTTTGTACAAGAGGTATTTTATTGTGCTGATTTACAGCTTAGGAGAAAGGTCTGGACAGAGGTGATTTCCATCACATCTACATCAGATGAAGAAATAAATCAGAATAAGATCATTTAGAAGTTTGTGTAAAATGAGAATAGTAGAAAGCCAAGGAAAACAAAACATAAAAGTCAAAGTGTAAAAATGCAGTTTGAAAGGAGTGGAAATTTTAGGAATAAGACCAAGGAAATTCATCATAGAAGCAGTGGAAAAGGGAGCTGTCGAAAAAAAAAATCATCTCCAGGGTCCAACGATGGAGAAATGTCCAGAAAGACCAGATTTGATATACATGGTATGTACAGAGGTTACTGATGATTTTTTTCTGGAGCAAATTCAGTGTGATGTTAAAAGCAGAATCCAGTTTCAGAAGGAATTTAATTCCATTAAACAAAAAGATTACTGTATTGTAAACAATACTTTCAAGAATCTTGGCTGAGGAGAGAAGAAGAGAAAATAAGTTAAGGATGTTATATGGTCGATGAAAGGTTTTCTATGATAAAGACTTGAGCTACTGCATATGACAATGACCAAGAATAAAGAGTAAGAATAGTGAAAGATGCAGAAGAATGAAAGGAAAATTGGTGCAACATGAGCCAAGAGAAAATCAGAGAATGTGATCCAGGGCACAGGCTAAAGGGTTAACTGTAGACAAGAAGAATGACATCCTGGCAAAAAGAAAGAAAGACGTAATGATGGGATTGTTGCAGATAAGCTTATAGGTGGGGTGGGAGAAGCTGAAGAAGTGTATATTGTCAAAAAATAAGCTGTAAGATAACTATAGGAGAAAATAGTAATAAATATTTATATTGTATTTTTGCTTTAAAATAGCCTTTATTAAGTGATAAACATAGTTCCTCAACTTCATAGTCCCAACATTTTAAAAATATGTTGAGAAAATTCTCATGTATCTATCCACACTCTTCAAGAGGCTTACTCTTTTCTATTGGTTTTGGAGACATTTAGTCAAAAAATTCAAATGCAGCTCCTTACCTCCACATTTACTGTGGTAATTAAAAAGATGCAATCTGTTATATTTCAAAATTGAAAGAAAATTTTATATTTCACAGAAAATTGGAAGGTAATGTTGTATGGCAAAATTACAATAAGTTACATTCTTTTGATTTTTCTTTTCTCAGAATATATTGCATTTCAAGAAATTACAACTGTAACTTAGATCAGTTTTTAAAAATAAGTTGATCTGTTACAGAAAGATGAGCAATGATCTTAAAACAAATACACAGAGAAATAAGCTACTATAAATGGGAAGTCTTTGTATTTCTATAAAATACAGTGAGCTCATTTCTGCAGAGTGTCTGTGATATAAAAGCTCTGAAAAGCTTTTAATCCCTCATTATATTTAGTTGAATTGAGAAAGGGTGGGAAAAGAAGAGGAATAGAGTCACATTTAGACCAGATTTATGCCTATTTAGCACCAGAGAGGATCTGGAAGAACCAAACTGCTCCTTAGACTTCCATGTGCTATAAGGTAGATATTAACCACGCTTCTTGATTTGCTAATGATAATTGGTTTTAATCCCATATTTCTAGGTAGGATCCATCAATTAATTTATTTTTATGCATTCCTTGGAAAGCTTATTCAACCTGGGAAGAGCAGTATTTCCCTTAAAAAGGAAAGCCTGATTTATAGGCCAGAGACATGAGGAGGTAACTTTGGGCAAATTACCTAATGACTCTGGACTTTTATTTCCTTGTCTGTAAATTATAGATAATACTTAATGCCTACCTTGCAGCATTATTCTTGAGATTCAAAATAATGAATGCATAGTATCCAACACATATGCCACAATAAAAAAGGTTCAGTGATTACTGTCTCAGAAAATGTGTTCAGATCCTTTGGCTTGGAGGAATAATTGTGGTATTTAGACCCAGAAAATCTTCTGATGTTAAATTGCTGCCCCTTAAAGTGACTGCAGCATTGCAAAGACTACTGAGTAGGTTATAGGCCTGTTAGAATAACATACCCCTTGACTGAACTTAGAATAACATATCCCTTGACTGAATATTTAACATTGAAGTTGTATAAGTTATGGATGCTATAAATATTTCTATTAACTTATTTCCATAAAGTTACATGCTACTTTATTTTTAAAAGAAATGAAATCTCATTCTTTTGCTCAGCCTGGAGTACAGTGGCAGAATCATAGCTCACTGCAGCCTGGATCTGCTTGGCTCAAGCCATCCTCTCACGTCAGCCTCCTGAGTAGCTGGGACTACAGGCATGTGCCACCACCAAATATGACATGGCTCACCCAGCTATAAAAGCCATATTTTTTGTTAATGTCTAAATCTTAAAATATATTTTAATTTATCTTGGAAATATATACTCTATCTATGGTTATCATGAAGAGCAAAATAATACACACTTTAAAAAATTATGTGTATTTTAAAGAGCTACTCAAATACAGATAGTCTTAATTTTTCTCAGTTTGATACGCATGAATTCAGTCACCACAGTTTAGTTACACAACACAAGTCTTCAAAGATAATGGTGAAAATTTCAGTTGCCATGGTATATTAACTGTGAGTAATTGCATAAGGTATTTTGCTGCTAGCTATTCCACCCACAAGTCACTACATAAATAACCAACGTGCATCATGAGCAGTGGCAAATCACATCACTACTTTAAAAGTCTATTGGTGATTGGTCATGGTGCATCTGCTATTCACTTCACGCAGAGGTAGCAAAATGTGCAGTTGTGGTGCTTCCTTGTCTCCCAAAGATAAATTCATGTGACATTTTATGAAAATGGATAATCAAAAGAGGAAGCTCACCCAAAAATGAAAGTAACAAAGAAACAAAAAATAATAAACACTGAACGTGAAATTTAAATTGAATGTAAATGGAGTTACAAAAGAAATAGCTAGCCATCAGAATGTTAATAATGCTGCATTTATGAGAGATTCTAGGTATGCAGCTAGAGAAGTGAGTATAGGTGAACTTTACTGGCATAAACGAGGAAAGCGGTTGTGTTGGAAAAGATGAAGCTGTCCGAGGTGAAGTGATGTCAGCCAAAACTCGCATTAAAGAAATCTTTGGAGATACTTCACAATATTGAAAGTGCAAAGGATAAATTGTTAAAAACTGATCCAAAGATAAAAATGAGCATGACAATTTGCCAAGGCATAAAAAGGATTCTCAGTCTATACTGTAAGTTACTTGATGAGAAGAAGAAGGCAAACACTGTTTAAACTAATTTGTGTAAGTTTTTGCAACGAAATAAAATACTTTGAATTCTCAGTGTTGGCAGTATTTTAAGTAATATTATGCTAAAGAAATAATTCATTTTATTATTATTTTTTCATTTCTTCATACATGTTTAACTGACAGGGTTTTTAATTTTTGAAAAAAATTTCCTTAAAGCCATGAAAAAATCATAATTTTTTCCATTGATTATTGAGAATTATTTGTGTTTTTTCAGCTTTCTTGATCATTTTAATAGTATTGCACTACCATACAATGCAAGAGCTGTTTGTGCCTACCGATTAAATACTGAATATGATGGCCCATCTTTTTTTTTTTTTTTTTTTTGACACGGAGTCTCGCTCCGTTGCCCAGGCTGGAGCGCAGTGGCGCCAATCTCGGCTCACTGCAAGCTCCGCCTCCCGGGTTCACGCCATTCTCCTGTCTCAGCCTCCCTAGTAGCTGGGACTACAGGGGCCTGCCACCTCGCCCGGCTAATTTTTTGTATTTTTAGTAGAGACGGGGTTTCACCGTGTTAGCCAGGATGGTCTCGATCTCCTGACCTCATGATCCTCCCACCTCTGCCTCCCAAAGTTCTGCGATTACAGGCGTGAGCTACGGCGCCCGGCTGGTGGCCCATCATTTTGTAGGTTCTTTGCATTTCATGAAATATTTACATACATATGGAAAGTGTGAAGTATTTTCTTACTATTTTTCCAAAAGACGAGAAGCTTGTTAACCATAGAGTCTGCATGTGAGTAATCAGAAAATTGGAATAAATTGTATGCCTTGAGTCAGAAAGCAGAGCTCTAAATGGTTGAGCTGATAGTTGAACACAAATATTTGAAATCTAGAAATACTCACCTTATATATATGCTGGCTCTACTTCTCACTAGCTGTGTGAGCACAACCAAATTATTTCAGGTTAATCAATATATTGGAGGATAGCAAAGATAGATTATCTTGTCGTCTTGGCAACACACTCAACCTCTCTAAACATCAGATTTTTCATGGAAAAAGTCAAGAGAATGTTACCTATGTTACATGGTTGTTGAAAGGATTAAGTGTAAGTTTTGTGCTTAATACATAATGTGATAAATGTTAGTAATCGATGCCCTTTCTATCTGTAATTCTAAATATTGAAGGCAATCAATTTATTGTTACTGCCACATTTATTACTGTGTAATAGCACACAATTTATACATTTAAAAAGAATGAGTGATATTAAAATTAGTCTAAGAATAGAGAACTCAGTGAACCAATATTAAAGCAATATTTCCATTTAATGAAAATCATCAGTGCTCAAAAATAGAAAATTTGTGCACAGAGACTGAAAATGATATAAAAAAGGGTATTTCATAGGCGGACTATAAAAGGAATATGGACGTAATGCACATTATTTTCTCTCCACCTTAGCTACTGACTTGGAGATTGTGATTCCCATGAGGTTCAAAAAGAAAGATGTTTATAATAAATATGAAATGCATCAATGAGATTACATTATGGCTAGAAAATCAGGATTAATTTTATTCAGTTTCTAGAGAAGACAGGAGAATCTTTAACAGGAGGAAAGTTGTAAGTGTATTTATTAATTTAGTTGTAATCAAGTAAACGTAGCTCATAGGAAATATTCAAAAAAATTACGATGCATTTAGAAATGTAATACTATTTCTAATTGTGAGCATTTCGTGAGGAATACAGTTTGCCAAAAGTGTAAATACTTTCCTTCAAACTATGTTAATCAACGCATTGTTTAAAATTCTGATCTCTTAAAAGTTTCTTCCTTCTTTCCTTTCTTTCTTCCCTTTTTTATTTTAAATAGAAACTGAATGGATTAACTGTAGCTAGAATTTTCTGGGGGGGTTCAATAAAACTGCTAATGCTGAAATAAACTACAGGTGTTATATATCATGTTTTTTATTGCATGTTTTTACGTTTTAGGTGATATCTTTTAACCATGGAAACCCAAATCTATCTTTTAACCATGGTAAACTCAAATATATATAATAACAAAATGTGTTTTATTGAGACCTACTTAAATTACTTAAATTTTTAAAATTGTCCTTTTTAAAAATATTTTTCAAACAAGCCACAAGACAGTGTATAATATAGAGAAAAAAGCAGTTTATGATAGCAATATGAAGTGTGGAACTTTTACAATTAAAGCATGAAGAAAAGATACACAAAAGAATTGCAGAGACATAGAATAAAATAGTTCCACAAAAGTTCTAGAGAAAGTCCCTTAGGTTTTTAATAGAGTGAAAAACAAAAGAAAGGAAAACTATATTAACTACCTACTAAACACCAAATATTTTCTAAACGTTATCTCATACCAGGAATGGGTCTTATTCTTCCCACTTAACTAATGAGTCAGAAAAGACTTATGCCTTGCTCTAGGCCCTCCAGTAAGTAAGTGGGAATTCATACCCTTGTTAAATATCAGGATTCTAAAACCCATGTTCTTTCCACTGTTCATACTGTTTATTAATAAATATCAATAGTGCAGTTTGATAATTATGTTTTTCATAATCTAAAAATAAGGCAGCTTAGAAAAATAAAAAATACATATTTGGGCAAATTGACTAGTATAAAAAGTGTTATTGTTGGTTACAGATATACTTGCTAAGTAGGAGGAGATGAGTAAAAAGTTATTTTTAGAGTTCAAACAAAGATTTGTAGCTTTTTTCCAAATGATTCAAAATTGTGCATAAGATAATGTTGTGTCATGTTTCACTTCCAAGTATTTTGAAACTAAATGAATGTCAAAACATTTGAGTATTCTCTTCTTGACTTGTATACCTTCTTTATGAAAGCTAATTCACAACTCCAAATTTTATGATTTTTTTAAAGTCTTATCCTAAAAGCCATTTTTTTTTTTACTGGAACAATGGGTCTCTACTACATAATTTCATCACTAAATACCACTTATATGGAGGCGTCTTAAGTTACATTTCACTGAAGGAAAAAGATGCAATTTTATGTTCTTATTAGAAGACAGTGGAGGAAGAAAACAAAAATTCCAACAAAAACTCAGTGAAGACAAATGAAACCCTTAACTCAATAATATGATGCTAATGAGTCAATCATATTGAGAATACTTTTTAAAGGTGTGTTTTATCTTTTTTCCTAAGCTAACTATTAGCTGAAGAAAACTGAAAATAAGCTGTCATTATTGTGGCAATATACGAACACTAACAATATTCATATATATCTTTGACCTGAGGCCAATGATTTTCCAAATTATTTATCTATCAAAGCTTATTCCAAAGGAATAAGTAAAATAATCACTAGATTTGCATTTTCTTTTTCCCTTCTATGGTTTTCACTATCTTTTAAATTCATTACTCAATAAGAATTTGTGAAGCTGAAATTACAGGAAAGATGTATATTCATATACATAGTGCTGCTCATGTTTCATTGGTGAAAGTGTCAAAGAATAACAAATCCAGGATTTTCTCTTCAAGTCAGAAAAAGCTAATGGGGAAAAATAGTGTTGAATCCCAGCAGATTACATAACATCCTAAGGATTGTAGCTGTCAGTGGTGTAATGTCCTAATTAGTTTTGTTGTAGGAGGAACAGCATGAGAGAGCTTGATCTTTATTGAAAGCTGTAGCTAACTTACTTCGAGTGTAAAATTTATATTGTCTTAGGTAATAGCATCAAGCAGTAATATGAACACTGGATGTAATTTGTGTTACCATTTAGAAGCTATGTGTATTCTGTGAAAGTCATATTAACAACATTCTAGTCATTCTTACATGACAGGTCTTGTGTATATTAATAATCACATCCTAGGCACATTATTTTTTTTCATATCTCTCCCTAGCTACAGCTTACAGAAATTCAGTAGATAAAGTAAAGTTATGGCTTTAGCAATATATTGGCTTTCAGTATTAAATGATAGGAAAATCAAAGGTTACAGAAATTGAGATTTCTACTGAAGCTATCAATTCACTCTTACAGGAGACTTTCCCTGCAATGCAGGAAAAAAACCATAAAATATAAACATATTTAAAATTGTACTTGTGTATTTCTATACGTATTTAGCCATATAATATATATAACCACAAATATGCAAATTTCTAGACATCTCCGACGTGGCACTGCTAGTTCACGTGCTAGATGAAAGAGAGAGAGAGGTATAAAGACCAAATTAAATTTTAATACATTTTCAAACAAAAAATGAGTTTCCTTAGGGAGCCAATTACTTTTTATTTCATTTTATTTTACTTTAGTTCAAAAGACATTTTTTCAGTGCCTATGTACTGTGTTAGGTTTTAGGCATTCCGAAGTGAATGAGGCAGGATCTTAATTCTCAAGGAATGTAACATGTAATTAAGAGAAATGTTAGGGCAGGCATGGTAACAACGGTAACCCCAGCACTTTAGGAGGCTGAGGAGAGATCACTTGAGGCCAGGAGTTTGAGACCAACCTGGGCAACATAGCAAGTCCATGTCACTAAAAAAACATAAGAAATTATCCGGGTGTGGTGTCATGTGCCTGTAGTCACAGCTACTTGTACTTGGGAGGCTGAGAAGGGGGGATTGAATGAATCCAGAAGTTTGAGTCTGTAGTGAGCTATGATCCCACTACTGCAGTCTATCCTGGGTGACAGAGCAAGACCCTATCTCCATCGAGAGAGAGAGAGAGGGAGGGAGAGAGAGAGACAGAGAGTGAGAAATTATAAAAATAGCCCTATAGAATTTCTTCAGAATAACGATAGTGGCATATAAGACCATGGTAATTTTTTTCAGCGTATTTTGCTGCTTTTTAAGTGGTTCATCATCGTCACTTGGCATTTTATAAAATAAATCATCCTTAGGAAGTTTTAATATCTTAATTTTTTCTCTTTTCTCTCTACCACTTATTCAATAGAAGAATTGACATGTTTTAGCCAGGATGAAACAACAGAAAACAGAGTGGCTGGTTTGTATGCAAAGATATGCATGCAAAGGTACGCAGGAGAGACTGGGAGGCAGAGTGAACACACTGGAAGAGCAATGGCTGCCTATGAGGAGAAAAGCTGAGAGAGAATAGATGCCGCATAAAGGAGGGGATGACGTACTTTCTTCTCATCCCTTTCTTCTCCTTGTATTCTTTGCTTCTTCCCATTGATGTGATAAGTTTTTATATGGCATTAGCTTCTAGGAAGAACAAATGGACAGCATCAATCTTCCTTAAGATAGAATGACTTCCATGTAAAGTTCTGATTTTTTTTCATCTGACCGATAGTTTATGAGAAATAGAATAACCGATCTAATGACTTGAACTTTTCTTTTTTTTTCTTTTATTGAAAAGATCACTTACTATCTGAATGGAATCCCCCCAAATGGATGACAGCTACTAGAGTCCCATTAAGTCCAAGTTAACATATTTCTTTTTACCCTACATGCTATTCTTAGGAAAGAAACAGAACAAAAAACTAGGCCTAAATACTGACCACACATAACTAGAGCGTACTTATCATTCAAAATAATCCAGGTTATGTCGCAGTAACAAATTGAAAATCTTGGTTGCTTATAACTCCAGAGGTCAATTTCTTGCTTGTATACATGCTATTTCATGTTTGCTGAAGTTCAGTTCCACATCTCCTGTCCTTTGAGAACCAGCCTGATAGAGCTGTTTATCCTGGAAAAGGGAAAAGGGAACAATGTGCTAGCTATTAATACTTCTTATATGATGTATGCTTACATTTCATGGACACATTGCCACCTGTGATGTCAATAAGAAAGAAAGTAAAATTATCCTCCAGGGAAAGTTAGAAGATCATAGCAAACTCTACAGTCTATTGCAATGGAGATCTTCATGAGGCTCTGCCTAAACAGGTTTCCCCTTTTGTTTTTCTCATATCATTTCCCACTACTCTCTCCCGGGTTTCTGATGCTCCTGCTATGTTACATTCTTCACTCTTCCTCCTCTGCCACAGGGCCTATGTACATGCTGCTCCTCCAACGTGAAATATGTTTCCCCAAATCTCTGCATGGCTTAATCTTTTGATTCCTTCAGGTCTTCACTCCAATGTCACCTTTTCCGTGAGGCCTTTTCTGGCAACTCTACAGAGAAATCCAACCACTTTGGTATTTCTTACCTTCCTTTCTTGCTTTAATTTTCTATACTCAATAATGTACTATAAAGTTGTCTCTCAGTTTCTTTGGAAGATTGGTTCAAGGCCCTTTCCTTGGATACCAAAATCCTCAGATATAAAATGGCTAGTATTTGTTTATAACCTATAAACATTCTTTCATATACTTTAAATCATCTCTAGATTACTTATAATAACTAATGCAATGTAAATACTATATAGATAATCGTTATATTGTGTGCTTTTTATTTGTATTTTCATTGTTGTGTTATTTTTTATTTTTGTTTCTGAAAATTTTCAGTCTTTTGGTTGAATCCACAGATGTGGAACATGCAGATAGGGATGGTGGACTGTATACGCTATTTATGTTATATATTGTCTGTCTCACTTGCTGAATTGTTAACTGCATGAAAACAGTAATTTTTATTCACTTCTGAACTGCCATCATCTAAAATAATGTCTGGAATTAGGTAGGCTGCAATAATTATTTCTTGAGTGAATTGATTTATAAATGAATGAGGCATTCAATTCTATCAGTTTAGCTGTTTCTCTGGTCAGCTTAGCCCTCTCTTGCTGAAGGCTGTGGTTTTGTGGTCCTCCTCCCTTCCAATCTAAACTTCTCCTTTCCCCTAAATTTGGTGTCTCCTCATCGACCTGAGATATTTTAGAGGTAGGAGGAAAAAGTGCTAAACTGGATATTTTTGGCGGGGTTTGTTTTTGTCACTGAAATAGTATGTGATTATAGATGAGTTATTTCAATTGTTTGGGTCTCAAGAAATGAGATATAATAAGATATATGATGTTTATAATCAAGATATCCAAATCTAAGTCCAGGCAACACCACGTACCAGCTACATATATTACCTTAGCAAGATATTTTGCTTAGATTTTTTAGATTTTTGTTTTTGTTTTTGTTTTTATGCTTAATTTTTTAAATATTAGGCCAAGAAAATGATCTACCTATTCTTGTTACTAAGTTCTTGGCCTTAATGTCCAAACCCTCTTTGTTAGTGTTTTCATATTGCTATACTACCTGAGACTGGGTAATTTATAAACAAAAGAGGTTTAATTAACTCACAGTTCCACATGGCTGGGGAGGCCTCTGGAAACTTGCAATCATGGAAGAAGGTGAAGGGAAAGCAGGCAACATCTCACAAGGCAGCAGGAGAGAGAGAGAGAGAGAGCAGGCAGCGGAAACTGCCACTTTTAAAGCCATCAGATCTCTTGAGAACCCCCTCACTATCACGAGAATAGCAGGGGGAAAACCATCCCCATGGGGATTACAATTTGAGATGAGATTTGGGTGGGGACACAAAGCCAAACGATACGACCCTTGTCTGTACACTTGGCTCTGAGATACTGGACTTGGGATATGTACATCACATTTCTGCTTTGCTGGCTGGCTACTCTTCAGTTCTCCTCTAGCAAACACTAGAGGGAGTCTCCCAGTATGGAGGGAGAAGCAGAGACTAGCTTTTTCCTGTCTGCTTCCTATGGGCTTCTTATTTGCTGGCAGTTCCTAGGAGTCACGCCTGCAGGGCTTCTTTTCCTGGCAGCAGCCTCTGAATCCTGTTTGCCATTTTCCCAGCACTTGCAGAACCAGCTTTCTGCTGCCTTTCTCTTCTCCAGTCACCAGCACTAGTTGTGGGGTACCTGGTCGGGTCCTTAGGGGTCTGAATTTCAGCTCTACAGGATCTCTCCTCTAAGTCCCTGAATTTTAACGACTGCAATCTATTCCCTTTGTTTCCTCAGCACTAAGGGTTCTAGCTGTTTCTGAAATAGCTACCTTTGTGAAACTTTGGAGCTCTCTTTTTGCCCCTTTCAATAGTTAACAACTTTACACCTGGTTAAATCTCCACATTAAATTCTCTCTTGGTTTCTCTCCCCTGACATAAAGCAGACTGATACATTACCTTTCCTATCAAAGTCATGGGGTTATTGTGAAGATAAGATGAGATCATGTCTGGGAAAACTCTGCGTGCAACTCAGGATTGTCTGAACACTGAAATGACTGGATTGGTGTCAGCCATGTGAGGTGGGCTTCATGCACCTCTAATAGCTTCCCCAAAATGATATATAATATCAAGTCCAGAAGTTAAAAACGAAATTACCAAATCCAAAAGTTGAAAATATTTATGTCAGCAAATAATGACCCCACTCACTCATCTGTGTTCATCAGAGGAAACAAACAAACAAGACTGACGGTTTTGCTTCTGTTCTTGAAGAGCGGACAAAGCAGACAAGTTATACCTGTGGGAGGAAGAATGTGTGAGTTCCAAAGTAGAGGGCACATTGTTGAACAGAACACATTAATCAGTGTCTGGATTTTAAAAAGGTAAAAATAGGTCTATAGCTAAGTTTCACACTGGAGCTACAAAGAGCTAAATTGTGGAATCAATTCCTCTGGATTTGCTGGGTGAAGGTGCAAGAGCAGTAGGAAAAACACTCAGAATTTGGGGTCAAAAAATGTATATTCCTTTTTTAATCATCTTTATGATCTTGGGAATGATTCTAAACTTTCCTATGCTAAATTTTCTTATTTTTCAAGTGATAAATTCTACTATTTACAGTCAGTATAGCACCGTAGTTGAAAGATAGAAATTAGACCAAGACAGCTAGGTTTCTTCTCCTGCTTCAGTCACTACTATCAATGTGACCTTAAGTAAGATAAGCTTTGAGCCTTATTTTCCTGAACAGCAGTGTGTTGATGATGAAAATAGAAACCCTCCATTTAGCTTTCTTGGTGCATATTTAATGAGTTTGTGTGTGTAGATCTCTTCAAATAGTTCCTGAAACACAGTAAGCATGACATAAATAGTAGTCATTACCAGTATTAGTATTACATCAAAGAATTGTTACCTAGAGTAAATATATGAATGCATGTGAAATGCCTAGTGTCATGCCTAGTGGTCATTTAATAAAGGTTAAAACATGAAATTTATGGTTGGATTTTAGAGATATAATTTGAAAGGATTCTTGACTTATTTGTGCACTTACAGCCTAGTCCACAGTTGTGTGGGATACTTGATGAGATTCATGAGGACTCCCATTTTGAACCTCAGAAGGGATGGCCCTCTGGCGTTCTTTGCAGAGTGGGAACCTTTGCGGAGACAGTATGCACTCCAGTTCCTATTTGTGTTGTAGGTGGGAACCTCAGACAGAGCAGCTGCCTCTGCCTTGACTGGAAGAGACAGAGATCTCACTTGGTAGTATTTATAACCTGCAAGACAATACTCTCATTGACTCCACTCAGCTGAGTACTGTGTCCAGGATCGGAAGACCTAGAATGCTTTGCCTTTCTTTGGGCTAGGTATATTCCTTTCTGCCCAACTCTGGGTAAGTGAACCAGGAAAAGGAGTGAAGAAGTTTGCTTTTATTTTCCTCAGAGCTGGCAAGTCTGTTTCTTTTCTGTTTTACTGCTCCCTCAATTAGAGAAAAACTAATCTTTTCATTCTAAATTTAGAACTATAATTAAAAAATAGGTTGCATCTTAAACCCCTGTCTTTGAGGTCCTCTCCTATAACGATATATACCTTTAAGAATTATTGTAAGGGCAAAATAACTTACATATAATTAAAGTGCCCTCAAAACTGTTTCTCTTTATTTTTTTATTTGTGCAATGAGAGAAGAGGAAGAAGGAAGAAAACCATTAGTGCTCCTAGGCATAGATATAGATTATGATTTGTTAAGTGTGCCTTTGAAAAAGAAATAAAGAAAAAAATTAAAAAACAGTACTTGTAATATGGTTGCATTTTGTTTGTATACTTGCAAGAAGGGATGACTCTAGTTGGAGAAGGTGTTAAAAAAATAACCTCAAGCTGAAAAAGAAACTCTCACAAGGAGCATCTTGCATTTTTCTAAAGGAAGCTGGAAACAAGAGAATGTACACTGAGTACTGGCTGCTGCGTTCTTTGGAGGGAAACCCAAGGAATGTCTGTTTTATCAGAATTCAGAACACTTGCCATGGAGAGCTATATTTGAGCTTTTTACGCTCTTTCCTCACATAAGTGGCTAAAAGTGGTGCCATGGAGTAATCATGGCAAATAGTCATGAATGACAGAGCAACAGATGATAGAGGATGTCTCCATGGGGTTTTTTAATTTTATTTTATTTTTATTTTTTATTTATTTTGTTTTTGAGATGGAGTCTTGTTCTTTGCCCAGGCTGCAGTGCAGTGAGGCAATCTCGGCTCACTGCAAACTCCGCCTCCTGAGTTCACGCCATTCTTCTGCCCCAGCCTCCTGAGTAGCTGGGACTATAGGCACCCGCCACCACACCGGCTAATTTTTCGTACTTTTAGTAGAGATGGGGTTTCACCGTGTTAACCAGGATGGCCTCGATCTCCTGACCTCATGATCCGCCTGCCTCGGCCTCCCAAAGTGCTGGCATTACAGGCGTGAGCCACCGCGCCCGGCCCTCCATGGGGTTTTGACTGCTGACCCATGACCTCCAGGGCTTGGACCAGGTGAATTACCAATTATAAAATTTAAACTTGGTTGTCTTATATAATTTTAAGTGGAATCTTAAGTACATCATGCCTTCCATAGTACTCTTCTTATGTTTAGTTAACAAATATTTATGAGTATTTTAATGTTTTCCCTTATCTGTCCTTACTATTAGTCAAAGAATATTAGGATCAATTGAAAAACATGTTTCAGTATTGCATTACTTAAATTCATATTTAAAATAAAGGCAAGAGATACAGGCAAACCTTGAGTGTTTTCTGTAGCTTGAAATATTTCAGAGCTCATACTGAAGCTGAAAAAAAGTATTTCCATTAAAAAATAATAGTTAATATTATTTTTATTATTAATTATTGCTGTCTTATGTAGTAACAAGTCTTAGATCACCTGTGCACATCATTATTTTATAAAAATATCATGATTATTAAACTATTTTAAGATACTTTGTTTCATCCTATCTTTTAAGTACATTATTATAAATAATTCCACTGAATAATCCATAATATTTTTGAGGGTTTTTATATTCTAAAAAGAGCTAAGCAATTTGCAATAATCTTTGCTTGTAAAGAGCAAATAAAACAGAAAGCATTCTGAAAGATTTTCTTCTCTCCAGACTGGTAAATTTGAATCAACCATCTCCTTTCCCTACCTTCTCTCATTTAATTTCATGTCATCTCTATTTATGTATGAGAAAACTAAGCCTACGCCTGAGGGATTTATCCATACCTGTAGCCTTAAAATTAGTGGCACCTAAACTGAGCTTCAAGTGTGCAAAGGTACTGACCCAAAACTGCTCCACTAGAGGAGGTGACACGTGCAGCTTGAACTTGGACTTCCCAGCTTCCAGAACTATGAAAAATAAATTTCTGTTCTTCATAAATGACCCAGTCTGTGGTATTCTGTTATAGCAGCATAAAAGGAATTGAGACATTACTCATATAAATTTTCAAAAAGCATGATTCTGTTTAAACACATTCCTATATACCTCTTGGGTGTAAATCTTCCTGTTTACTTTTAATAATTACTCTTTAATGTAAATTGTTTTTATTGAACATAACTTTCCTCCCCCTTCAATCATAAGTGCATGGCTTGATAAATTTTTATGTGATACATCCATATTACTATTCTCAAATAAATAAATACAACATAATCAGCACTCCAGAAGAACTCTTCTATATCCTCCCTTGCTGCCTGTGACACAAATAACCACTATTCTGACATCTAGAATCACAGATTAGGTTTACCTGTTTTCGAACTTTATGTAAATAGATTCATAAAATATGCACTCCTTTTGTCTGATTTTTTTAGCTTAATACCACATATGTGAGATTCACTTACATTTTTGCAAATTGTACTACTTTCATTTTCATTACTGTATAACTTTTTTTGTATTAATATGCCACAATTTTTATACTCATTCTATGACTGATGAACATTTTGGCAGTTTTCAGTTAAAGCTATTACTATTGATACTGTTAGGAATATTCTTTTACATATCTTTTGGTGTTAGAATGAAGTTCTAATAGTTATATACCTAGAGCAATAAATGCTGTGTCATAGACTTGTTTTTCAGCTTTAGTAGATACTGCCAAACACTTTTTCCAAAATGTTGTACTAATTTACAAATAGCTTGGCTGAAATTTGGAATACCTATCTTTTTCAGTTTAGACATCAGGATACTACTAATAAATCCTCAAATTATACTAGCCATTTGTTATTATCAATGACATTATCAAATTTTTGTTATAATTGGCATGTCATTGATGACCAATGCAGTTTCTCACTTACTCATATGATTATTGGTCATTTGGATATCTTCTTTTGTGAGGTACCTGTGTAAGTCTTTGCCATTTTTCGGTTTCATTGTTTATGAATTTCTAATATATTCTTGATAATGCTTTATATTTTATGGCTATTTTTAGGTTGGTTGCATTTTTTAAATAAGCATCTGAATGAAATAAAAAGTAAAGACATTTTGAGTGCATTTGTAAAGCAGAGAAAAGCTATGACTTAAATGAAAGCAAATGACTGTGTTTTGTGATATAACCTAGAAGAGTGTTTGCATTCCCAAATCTTTGAAGAGCTAGCTTTTCTCATTTTTGTTTGCAATCATTTGAAAATGTATAGATCTTAAAGATTATACATAATGCCATCTAAAGACCTTACTCCTAAAATATTGGGGGTTGTATATGTTGCCATTTTCTAAGTCCCCAAATGCTTTGAAAGAAGTTAATTATAAACACACTATTCTTTTCTGAAAAACACATGGAAGATTTTATTTTAAAAAAATACAGTCTTCTTACTCCACCCACATTTTTTAATGGGTTTCCTTTATTTGGTTAGATCTGAAAGAAATTTTTAATATGATATTTGAAATATCTATTATGTTTGCAAATTTAATAAAATTCCAAACCTAAAACATATTCCAGATTTAATTATTTTTTTCCATGCCTTTTATAAGATCTTATTTTTCTTCTAAATGATAGCTCTACACTGCTTAAAAATATTCATTCCATCAATTATCTCACTTGACTTAATCAAAAGTGAAAGAAGATATATTAAATTTACTTCTCTAGGGGTAGAGTAACCCAAACAAGCTATCCTCAAAAGCAGAGCCTGAGCAGAGTGTAGGAGAAAATACACTCATTTAGAGCCCAACTCTCTTAAAAATTACAAAGGGGAAAAATTGTTAAGACATAGCCATAAATGATAATATTGTTTTATTTTCACAAATTTAAAATTCACACCATTTGTCACATCCAAGTATCTCAAAAACAATTTCCAGCTAGATATAGTGGAACCCACACTGAGAATATAAATCAAATTTAAGCCAGGATTCTGGGAATCACAGCTTTCTTTTATGTAGAAAGTTGCATTCCTGGTTTCTTATCTTGTAGCTTTATACAAAAGAGGAAGAAAAAGAATAAGAACAAAGGCTACAGACGATGTAAAGATATGGCGATTGAAGTTAAATTTTGTCTCACATACGAGGAGCACTATAACAAAAAACATCTAGAACCATAAATTGTTAAAATTTAGATTCTATATTCCTTTTTTTTACTTAAGCTCGTTTGTAAGAAGCTCAAAAGTAAAAGGCTTTTGTTAGCTGGAATTGTCCTAGACTTTGAAAATGTGTTTTAAATAGAGAATGAATCATTATGGATGAGCATATTGGATTTGCAAGTATTTGACTGTTTTGATACTTTCTGCCTGAATGTTTTCCAACTCTCTGTACCATAGATGCTTCCCACACATTGAAATGTCTTGCAGTTGTTCAGAGTAAAGGAAACTAGGCAAGGAAGTCTATCTTCCAAAGACAGTCCCTCTATATATAGCATTCATTTGGCTGTCAAAACAGAAAAAGGCTGTCTGACAAATGTCTAAATATCACAATGTTCATGTAGGCTCATTGTCTGAGGTTTGTGTTTTACATTTACATTTAAACATGTTTACTATATTTATTGCTCATATATACAGTTTCTCATTTCAGTTTCAAATGATGTGTACACTATTTTTTTGCAGTTATGAAAAGTCACATTTTATGTGGTAGATAAATTAGTAGTTTTTAGCAAAATGGAATTTTATATATTGAAGAGACAGAAAAATACAAAAGAAAACAGTTTTTATTTTATTTGGCTCATAGCCATTATTAAAACTTGATTAAAAAATCCAAATACTGCCAAACGTTATTTCTCTTTTTCAGATCATTATCATGAATAGAGTCATTAAAGGTCTGTCTTCCTCTGCCCCAAATAAAATGAAATATTGTGGGTTTTAAGTCTATAAACTTGCTTGGTATAGAATTGGAGCTTCAAAGACATGTTACAATCTTCTAAAGACTTCAGGTGAATTCATATTCTGCACATATACAAATTCAGGGAACAATATCTAAGATAAGGAACAATTTTGGAGTCTTCTTATCTCTCTTTAATTGCACTTTTCACTCTTTTTCTAGCATTCCTTATTTTCTGGATGCCTGGTAATCTATTCTTATGTTAGTTCCTTTCTTCCTTGAAGGACGGCTATGTAATTAGTCAACTATTTCAAATAAAAAAAAATTATGTTTTTTCATCGTTGAGATTCCTTGTGCTATTTTGATTTAAATAGAAATTTCTCGGACATCGTGGTGCTTAACCCAAAGAAATAAATGTGGATGTCTAGACTGACTTCCTTCCCTTCCTTCTTTCTCCTTTCTAAAGTCGGAGAAAATAGGGTTCTTGCGTGGGATAGGGGCACAGAGTGTATACAGAAGGGTCTTAGTGAAGGCTAAGTAAAAAGCATTAAACACGAAGGAAGCAAGAACTTGGTTTTGCAACTATGGCTCAAGCCTGGACAAGTAAGAAATATAAAAAAGAGGTTAGAATTTGCATACAGATTCAAAATACAGTTTCCAGAAGACTTAAAGACCCCAGTTAAAGAATGAACATTGCAAAGTTCTCTTGTCCCTAGGCTAGTAGTACTCAGAAATAGTCTGCTGTTATATAGTCCTAGACAAATGCTTTAGAGAGTGACAGAATTAAAACCTGCATCACAACTCTGGGTTCGGGCCACATAGGGTGACCAACTTCTCCTTTTACCTTTAAGAGATCTGGAATATACTTTGGTTCTTCAGAAATTTCATCTCTTCTGGAACCCAGGGAACTTTAAAGAGAGACAAAAAAGTCCTCCTGACCTGTCTTTAGAGTTAATATCTGTCAGTGATGGTCAGGAACCTAATCAAAGGTCTGGGTACCTTTCGCTTTAAAATAAAGCATCCATTTTTTAATAGAAAGGTTTTCCTGTTGCAACTTATGAATGTATTTATTTGCTTGTTAGTTTGTTCATTTGTTCATATATTAAAGTAATAGTTATTTCATTTGTACCTTAGGTGATAGGATAAAATGATAAATAAGACTAGTTTGGGCTGGGCACAGTGGCTCATGCCTGTAATCCCAGCACTTTGGGAGGCTGAGGCGGGTGGATCACAAGGTCAGGAGATTGAGACCATCCTGGCTAACATGGTGAAACCCCATCTTTACTAAAAATACAAAAAATTAGCCAGACGTGGTGGCACGCACCTGTAGTCCCAGCTACTCAGGAGGCTGAGGCAGGAGAATCGCTGGGAGCCCGGAGGAGGAGGTTGCAGTGAGCGGAGGTCACACCACTGCATTCCAGCCTGGGCTATAGAGTGAGACTCTGTCTCCAAAAAAAAAGACAAATGAGGTGCAAGACAAATGAGGTGCCTATTCTCTTAGAGAGATCTGAATGAGACAAATAAGTACTTTTATACTACAGAGTTCTAACTTTTAATGAAAAGTCCTTATTTCAATAGACTTGTTTGTTGATAACTGGGACCTACGCTTTGTGACAGGGCATATTCCAGGATAATCTATTCTGAAATATTCAATAATATTTTATAATTTATAATAATAGGTACATCAAAAGTTACAGAGACAGCTCAATAAATACCTGCAGTTTTAGGAAAGATCAAAGGAAATCATCCTGATTATGTAGCCCTTGTTTAATGCAATCAGATATAATTATTAAGAATTTGCATCTGTATTTAGATACCTGAGTTTAGAATTCAAGATTAAAGGAAACATTTTGACTTTACAATTTTTTTTTATTTTTACAAAGACAGCTAAATATCTGGAAATTTTATCTCTTCATTTGGTTATATTTACAAATAAAGGATTTTTGTAACATCCGGCATTAAAAGGCATATCTCAAAGTAGCTTCAAAGAAATTCCAAGTCGCTTGTAAACCCAGATAGATCTTTTCATAAACATGGTGGCAAGTCATGGCAATACAGATTTTCAGTGTGGGATACTTTCCTATTTTATCAAACAGATGAGTTTCTTTAAGAAAAAGAAAGCTACTCCAAATATCCATATGTGACACAATTATGCAATGATGCCCTAAACCTTGATATTTTAAAACATTTTTAGAAAGTCTACTGTACAGAATGCCTTTTTCTACTCTGTATGTCTATAGCCTTCAAGATCAATCTCAAATTTCATTTCTGACAGTAGTCTAAGCAAGCAACTTTTTGAAACAGATCAAACACTTGATCTATTATATTAATCTCGAGACAGAATTGTTGAAATTCCCTAATTACTATAGAAATTTATCAATTTAGCTTTTAGCTTATTTTTTCTATGTATATTGCTACAGTTTGAATTTATGTGTTCCTCTAAAATTCACATGTTGAAATTTAAAGTCCAAGGTGATATTCTTAAGAGGAGAGGACTTTGGAGAAGTAGTGAAATCACGAGGGGGCTCTGCCCATGTGAATGGGATTAATATCCTTATAAAAGAGGCTTTTGAGAACTGCCTAACCCTTTTTCCCCTTCTTCCATATGAGGATGTGGTGTTGGTACCCTCCGGAGGCTGCAGTAATAAGGCTCCATCTTGGAAGCAGAGAGCAAGCCCTAACCAGAAAACAAACGTTCCAGAGCCTTGGTCATGGACCTCTTCTCAGCCTCCCTAACTATGATAAAAACAGTTTTTATTATTCATAAATTACCATTATCAGATATTTGTTATATAGCAGCAAAAACAAAGTAGGACATATGTTACAAAGCTATGTTGACAGGCACATACAGATTCATAAATGTTATATCTTCTTAGTGAGTTTTTCATTTTATCATTAAGTAACAGTCTTTTCAAATCAAAACATTTTTTCCTTTAAGTAGATTTTGTATGACAACAATGCTTGCTATGACGGGGCATTAAGCCAGACATTTTTCTTATCACCAAAGTGAAAAGGCACACAAGTCCCCAACATTATTTAGCCACATTGGGTACATTCTGTGGAATATTGTGCCTGAAAAGTCTAAAAGGGGAAAATTGCTCCAATGGAAGTAATGTTTTCATGTTGGTGAAGTTGTCAGATAAATGGTTAGAGTTTAGGAAAACATTCACTAAACCAAAGATTTTGCCAATTAATGGATAATGTAGTGAAACTCCTGATGTGGTAGGTCAATGAGTGGAAAAGTTTAATTAAATACTACATTTAATACAAATGGTTTTCTGCTATACTACTTGGGCTGTTCATGCTATGGATGCCTATCATCTTCTGGCTTCTTATTTGAAAAATAGCTTTAGACATTAAAATATTAGAAAAATAATACAAAGTGCTTGTAAACCCTAAATGTAGCTTTCCCTATTGAAAATATCTCACATAAACTTAATTATATAAATACAGAAATGTCACTGATACAGTAGTGTTAACTGCTCTCTCTACCTTATTAGAAGTTTTCAAATGTTCCCATTAGTGTCCTTTTCCTGATCCAGGATCCAACTCCAGACCCTACTTTGCATTTAGTTGTCAGGACTTTTAATTATCTTACGGTTTGTGATGGTTACTCAGTTTTCTTTGTCTTACATGACCCTGACAGATTTGAAGAGTACTATTTATTTAGTTTTTAGCATTTTCCTAAAGTTGGGGATATTTTTTTCAGGGTCAGATTCAGATTATGCATATGTGACAGGTATACTCAAAACGGTATTATGCCCTTCTCAATGTATCATTTGAAGATGAACATGATGATGATATGTCTTACTTTTAATGAGGTAAACTTGATAATTTTTGCCAAGTTTCCCTATTATAACATTTCTATTTTTCCTTTTGAAATTAATAAGTTTTTTGTGGGAAGATAACTATAGACTGTGCAAATATCTTGTTTCTAATTATAACTTTTCCACTAATTTTAGCATTCACTGATGACTCCTGACTGCAATAAGTATGACTAAATTGTTTACCAAGTGGTGAATTTTTATTGCTTCTCTTATATTTATTAATTTGAATTCTACTCTAAGAAAGAGATGTTTCTTTTATTCCATTTATTTGTATATGCACTCAATTATTTATTTCTGTCAATACAGACTCATTTATTTTATTTGATGGGCCAAAATTCATAGCTATCACTATTTAATTTTTTCCCCAAATTAACCCAGTTTGGGCTATTGAGAGATTCTTTAAACCGGCTCCTGTGAACCCTCATCTTTTTTAAAAAATTGTTTCTTCACTTTCTTCTTTTCTGGCATTCTAAGATATTCTGGACTCATCTTGGACTTCCTCAGCAATTGCCCAACCCTGGAATCAGCCATTTTTCTCAAGGATTCTTGTTTGTTTTTATTAGAAAATTGCATTTAGAAACCAAAATCTAGACATTTGGTGTTCTCACTACTACTAGGATGTTATTGCTGTTATGCCTTCTCTGTAAACAAAACTTGAAAGTATTTGTGTATATAGTAACACATACGTACACACGTCTACATCTATTTCTTATTTATTCACATTACTTATAATAAAAGCCAAGAGTTTTGATAAATATTTTCAGTTCCAACCCAACATCACAGAGTTCATTCTAGCCTTCCACTTTCCTTATTTGTAACTCCTTTCTCTGATAGTGAGAAACTTGTGTTGTTACCCACAGTCTATTTCTGTAAGACACAATTACATAATATATTTTCAGAATTACTAATACATATACCAGTAAAGCAAAATTTAGCTAGAGTATTATTCGTATACAATTATTTTTATCTTTATCCTTACGTATCTTGTCAAAATAATCTTTTGGAATCTACTTCATCTTGTTATTTTTCCCTGACCCCTTCAGTAGGGCTATGTTATTAATCTGTAATAGAGTTAGGCTTATTCATTATGGTTTTATTCCATTTTTGGTTCCCCTTAAGACATCCAGCTTGAGTTTATCAATATATTGGTTCTGTTTGTGAAATGTTGCTATGATCCTTAGCTGCAGAAGTATACTTAAAGGTATACCTAGAGTAATGTCTCTCTCTCCCCTTTTCTTCTAACCCCCATTCCCTTTTTCTTTTCACTCCATTCTCATTATTTCTCATTCATTTTTTATTTTTACTACTTGAATTACTTTATTCACAAATGAGCAGATGTGTTCATTATTTTCTTATTTACTCTTTTTTTCTTATATAAAAGGCAATGCACTATAGGTATTCAGGTATTCTTTTGCATTTTAGTATTTACACTTGAAAATACATCCTGAAAATCACTCCATATCAGTTAATAGAAATCTTTTTTATTCATTTTTATAGCTGCAAATGGAGTACGAAATATTCTTAAATGTCTATACATACAAACTGATAACTATTTTTATTCATTAATTTTGATGACTACTTACATTCAAATCAAAATAAAATGCCACACCACTTGCTGCCTGAATTTTTATCCCTTTCCTGGCTTCATGAATCAGGCAAACACACATGTCTTGACTCATGTACATGTTCTAGCTGTTACTTATCACCCTCTTCCTGTTACTTCTTGCTTGAGTTGGCTTCTGCTTCATCTTGTGATCTCATATTTGAATCTGAGTCTGCGAGTCTCTGATTCTCCCCTCCTCTTTCTAGCTCTGGGCACCTTTCATCAGTATTGGTCCCACCTTGGCAGCAACATGACTCCCAGTCTGTGTGTCAGTTTCTTGGTGAACTCCTCCAGCCGTAGTGGTCTTACTTTTACAGTAGGCCTAGTCTACTTGGGTCCAATCCAGCTGATTCTACTCCAGCTTCTATCTTTTCTCTCTGACTTCTCTGCAGCACTCACATACTCTAAACAAGATACCTGGGATACTGTCCAAGTTGCAGAATAAAACTGTGCTTTAAAATTTAGCACTTTTTTTTTCTAAAAAAAGAGGGTTACTTCTTTTTGACTATATCTGTGCTATGCTTTTACTCTGACTATTCATTTAGGACACTGTTGAAGCAGCTCCCTGACAAAATTTATCCATTTATAGTAAATGTTTCACTTCATGGAAACCTGCTGAAATGGAAAGTATTTTGGAAATAAATTAAACATAGACTATTTTTGAAAACTATGCATAGGCAGATTCAGCAAATGTTGATAGCTTGGAAATTCCTGATACTTTAAAGGGAAGAGGAAAAAAAAAAAACTATACTTCTTTGGTAAAAAGTTTTTAGTTTCCCACATCTTACCTCATTTTTACAGATGCAGTGATTAAGACCCTGATCAGGTGTCCCAAGGAGTCTAATACATCTGAAAAGAAAACTTCTTAGTTATTCATATAACCTTGAACAGCACAAATCAAAATGCAGAAATAATATATCTACATTTAACTCTCTTATTACTAAAATATTATGAGATCTTCTTTATTTCCTTTTTCTGTCAACACATGTAACAATTTAGACATCAAATTTGAGCTATATGAAGAGCAGGGGGCAGCCATTAGAAGAAATAAGTAGAAAACATATGCAACAAATATTTGTGATAAAGCAAGCCATTTCATTATCCACATGCAGTTTGAGCCTCTTTACTACATTCTCATTTTTGGCAGAAATCAATTTGCCTCTTTTTCACATCAATGGAACATCTCCTAGATGAAGCCCTGAGGTGGGTATATAAAGGGTATCTGACTTTTTCATTAATGCAAAGCTATTAAAGCCATAAATAGGAATTAACAGCATTCAACATTCACTGCAGAAGGACTCCTCTAGCAAATAGTCCATAGAAAAAAAAACAGAACAATTTTTCATTTAAGTCTGGCATTTATAGGTTGGAGGTGATCTAAAAATTGCAGCATAGAAACGTAAGTTCTAAAGGTGAAAATGGCGCAATAGTGGTCAGAGCTGAATAATTCACTTTTCTCAGATCAGGTTTAATTTTACTTGTACTATAAATGCATAGACAGATATTTGCTACTCTAAAAATACACTGTGTATATTTACTTGCTACAGATGTCTGATGAGTCACTGCACAATATGTTTCGGATAGGTGAAAATGATTTGAATATCTAACAGAATTGCAACTAAAATAAATATAGTATTTAAAAATAAACTACAGAGGTTAAACATGCTGAGACATTTTAAGGTTAGCATTGCCTACTTGATGAACAGAGGATTCATGATCATCTCTCTGTTTCCCTCTGCATTTCTCATTGTTTGACATGCTCGTCTCAAACAGAGCAGATGTTGGCTGGTTCTTATAAGTAGTTTCTGAGAGACCCCATCTTCCTTGCAGTTGTCAACCATCAGGAGCTGGGGATCCTGTTCACTATTAGTAGGTAGTCCCCTACATTATACTTAGAAATCAGGAAATTTTGTGTCAAAAATGAAGTTCTAAAGTGGGAGAGGGGAATGTAAATTGTGGAATTCAATTACATGGAGAATATGAACAGTCATCCAACTCAAAAGCATTTAACTCAGAGAAGAAATCTCACTACAACCCCCAGATGGATGAAATGACCAACTTACAACTTACCATTTTCACTTACTTACAAAGCAATGCATTCTACTATTCCATTGTTGGACATTCTGAGCCATTAAAAAGTTCTTTAATTTTAGCTAGTATGTCTCTTTGCAATTTCTTATGTTAATCTTATATTTGCCCTCTGGTGCCACTAAACTAAACCTAATACCTGTTTTTGCAGGTTAGACTGCAACTACTTGTTTAAAATATCCAGTCATTAACAGTTCTTCATGTAATGTAACTATAAGATTCTCTCTTCCTTTTCCAAGTTTTTGCAGCTATTTGGAGAAAAAGTGACTAAACAGGCCACTTAACATCCTTAACAGCTCCCATTTAAAATACTGGCATTGCCCACACTTTTGTCCAGGAAATCTATAATCTGCCTTCAACGGGCCCTTCTGCCTTAGTTCCAGATCCTTTACCCACCAGTTCACTTCTTGAATACTTCCTGTCCTTTAACCCAACGTGCTTCCCAAAGCCACCGCTTCTGAAGCATCAAGTTCACTTTATCTCACAAAAGCCAGTTCTGACAAATCCTATCCCTAATCCAGCTCCCAAGAAGTCCAGCTTTGACAAGGATTCTAATTTCAGGAGTGGTGGCTAGCCTAAATTTATGTAGACAGCCTAAATTAACACTGAGTTCTTAAGACTCCATAAGCCGTACTCAACAAAATTGATCAAGTTAATTTGTTTTGTTTTGCTTTTTACTGGCTGAGAACACTTTTGAGGCACCAAATTTGCCTTAAAAGCAAATATATATTTTTTTAAAAAAGCAAGACTAGGCTGGGCGCGGTGGCTCATGCCTCTAATCTCAGCACTTTGGGAGGCTGGGGTGGGTGGATCATGAGGTCAGGAGTTTGAGACCAGCCTGGCCAACATAGGGAACCCCGTCTCTACTAAAAATACAAAAATTAGCTGGGCATGGTGGTATGTGCCTGTAGTCCCACCTACTCAGGAGGCTGAGGCAGGAGAATCGCTTGAACCCAGGAGGCAGAGGTTGTGGTGAGCAGAGATCATGCCACTGCACTCCAGGCTGGGTGACAGAGCAAGACTCCATCTCAAAAAAAAACAAAAGCAAGACTGTCTCCCTACCAGAGCCTTTATCATCACCATGACTCATGACTATACAAAGACGTTACTATTTTGAGATCTAGTATTATAAACCCAAGAATAACTCACATTTAAAAAAATACCCAAATTTGAATGTAAAACTTCGTTTGTGTTCAATTTATTGGGAGATAAGAGAGTCAACAAATTTCTGATCTCAAGGAGTTTATAATCTAATTAAAGAAATAAAGTGACAATTACAGTGCTATTTGATCAGTGCTTTGACAGAAATAGCTGTTCTGTGCTAAAAGTAAATAAAAAGGGACCCAATTAGAAGGAGTGGAGGCATTTATCTTAGAGGATATGAAACATGAGCTGAGTTGTGATTTACAGATAGGAGTGAGCCAGAAAAAGGTGATAAGAAGCATACACAAGGCAGATGCAACAAATGAACCTTGTTGTAAACCTGGGAGAGGGACTTTTGTACCCTGAGAATTATTTGTGATGGTGAAATATGTAATGAGAGCCTGTGAACTATGAGAGGTCTGGAAGGTATGCAGGCATCACACAATAAAACACCTTACAAAACAATGCAAATACATCAGTATTTACTCTGAAGGAAAGAAAAATCACTCAAACCAAGAGGAAGTATACTGTCAAATTTAGGAGACTGATGTGGAGATTGAACTTGAGAAGTATGAAACTAAAGGTGGGGAGACCAGTGAAAGGCCTTTGAAGTGAAGGACTGCCAGAGTAATTCTGCAGAGAAATAAATAAAGCTTTGAACAATGGGAAATATAGAATGTCAACTCCTTGAAGGCAAGGGTTTCTAGCTCTTTTGTTCATTTCTAAGTCCTAAGAACCTAGAATTGTGCCTGATACATAGGAAGTTTATAAATATTTGAAGAAAGGAGATGGAAGGATAGAAAGAAGGAAGGATAGAAGGAAGGAAGGACAATTGAAGACATATCAGAAGAATTCATTGACAGATCTTGTAGACTCATTCATTAGAGTATTACTCCATGTTTCTGCTTTGGTTACTTGGGTACTCAGTTGTTCCTTTCACTGAAACAAAAAGTATAGGAAAAGTAACAGGTTAGTGTGAGAAATGTATGGCCGTATTGAACATATTGACTGACTACTAAAAGCCAGACATTATGCTAAGTACTGGAAATACAATAATAAACAAAGCATTGTCCTTGCTCTTAATAGAACTTATAATCTTGTGTAGCCAAAATAAACAAATAAGTACATAAAATATATACAGCTTATTAAATGAGGGACATCATTAGGAGGCCAAGAAGATAGTTAGTTGAGCTAGTGGTCAACTACTACAGGTAGGTAGGTAGTCATGAAAAATGTTTCCAGTGTAAAAACTGATGTTAGGACTTGAAATGTTGGGAAGAAATCATATGAAAGCTAGTAGAAGAATGCTCTGCGTATAAAACAGAGTTTGTCATGTTCAAGAATCTGAAAGGAGGCTAATGTGTCTAGAGTATATACAGTACAAGGAAGTTCAGGCCGAACATTTTTAAAATGGGGAGGAATTTGTGGTTCTCAGTGAATAAAATATAAGAATAAAGTAGATGGCATCTGGAAAAATAGAAGTTAGTTGTCAGAGATTGGAAGAGCAGAATTTAGGTTTTCAGATGTGTAGCAGCTCCAGATGATGGCCAAGTTCAGGATGTGACCTTGAGGATCCACATCTAGAGTGGAGACATTGTGAAAGTTATCAAAAATGCGGAAGTCAAGGCATGTTAAAGACAGGTGTTAAGTGGATAGATGTTAAGTGGATTGTCCTCAGGGTCTTTGAGTTAGGTTAGGTATCATAGAAAGCAAAACTGCACTCTGTGATTGAACAACTTTACTAATTTCTAAATGGGCAAAAAAAAAATTGCTTATTGAAAACATTGAAAATTTTTGGTTTTTTTCACATATACATGGGATAGTAAGAAATGTGTTATACTTTACCTGAAACTGTCATTTTTGCCAACAGCAACAAATACTCCATATTGTAGCAGAAACAAATAATCCAGTCATTAAAATAGTCAGAAGCAGTGATTCCTAAAATTGCTTCAGTATAAAAATCCTCTAGGATGCTTGTTAAAAATGCACACTCTTGGGTCTAATTCCAGATTTACTGAATCACAATCTCCAGGAGCAGTGCTTGGAAATTTTTATTTCCAAAAACGTGTCCTAAACAGTTCTAAAAATCAGGCAAGACTGGGAAATGTTGATGTAGTAGAAATATATCATACTATGTGTCAGGAAACACGATCCCAGGCCCATTTCTCTGCTAATCAGCTTTAGGCTTTAGGTTCAATTGTACAGTCTTCTTTAAGACTCAGTTTCCCCTTATACAAAATAATTTTTTGAGGTTTTTTCCATATACAACTTTCCTGTTGCTATCACTTCTATGGATATTTATGTAGGAATTTTCCCATATACCTCAAATCAGGTTATAATGTTTTAACATAAGGCAACATAAAAAACAAATGAACAACAACTTACAAATACTTTGCTGAAGATTTCTTGAAATTGATGATGGCCCTTTTCTTTATTTCTCATATTTTCACTTTACCAGTTTACCCTACCATTGTGGAAATAATCTAAGAGATTTTAAAACCCTCTTATTTTGGGTGTCTTTAAAAATTTCAAATAAAATAGCTAATCAAAAGAAAAACAAACTCAGTTAAAATGAGTATTTTTATATTTAAATTATTTCTATTCAAAGGAAACCCCAGTAGGCTGCAAAAGAAATTTAATTTTTAACAATAACATTTTCTATTAAAATATTTTATATTTTTTATTTCAAAGCCATGTTTGCAATTAGTTATATGATACAGTACGACATCTTCAGTAATATATGTATTACTATCTGCTGTACTATAAAAGCATTAATTAGCTTGGAATATAAAATAAGACCTGTGAATACTGTGCATGTAAACATAAAAAAAGAATTTAGCTCAGGCTACAATGAAATATAAGTACTAACTGAATGATCTCTGTACAATCCTGTTTACAAGTACCCACTTCATCCAGTTTGTGTAGCGCCTCCAGATATTCAGGTAAGAAGACCAATTAGCATTAATGCCTGGAAGCAGAATTGAAATGAAGCACATACGCCAGTGTCACAAGTGAAAGATTAACCCTATTCAAAGTCATACTCAGTGCTGTGTTTGCTACCTACATTATAGCCAGATTTGAAATGTCAAATCTATTTACTGTAAACATCTTGAGGAAAGAGAACATGAGTTTCTGTTAAAGACAAAAATCAGTTTATTTTAATTGGCATAGAGAAAACCTGGGGATTTCAACTGTGTTTACTAATTTTCTTCAGCAAACCATGACGTTCAAAAGAGGAATTCACTAGAATATAGCATATTTGGGTGTTTACGAATTTGAGGAAAATCTTTATTTAGTTGAAAAAAGACTTGGCTTTTTTGCCATGTCTTTTCTCAGAATCTGACACAAGCAGCTCTATGTCAGATCCAGAACACAGGACAAAAAAGCAAGTTGATGGGCCTCTAGTGATAATATGGAATTTGAAGTTCTAAGAACTAGATGTTCATTGAAAAACTGAACTGCAATTTGCCAAGGTCAGAGAGTGACATTTTCATAAATTAATGCTATCAGAAGCTGCTGGAATATTCACAATTGTCTCATTTGAAACCAGCAGAAATTCCAACAGAGGTCATGCTTATTATGCTGGGAGCAAATCCCAATGTATGTAAGAATTTTCTTTGAAAAAACAGTGATAACACTCAAATAGACTTTTTTTTTTTTTGTATACTAAAAGGAAACATACATATATTTGTATGTTTAGTGTCTCTTTACTTACTCTAAAATATGTTTTTCTTTTTAAGTACTTAAGCTTACATACAATTTTTCAGTATTTATATAGAAGTAACAAAAAAACCTTAAAATAGAAGTTCCAATTTGATGGATATAGATTTGAATTGAAATTTGGTATTGGAATAAGAAATAATAAAAACACAACGAGGCAGTGTCAGAAGCTAAAGGAAAGAGTCGAACTAATTTTCTACTTACTTCCAATACATGTTAAGTTCAGAAAAGTTTATAGCTAGGTGAGCCCCAAGCACAGGAATTGATTGGAAATTATTAAATATTTATTTGGCTTTTATCATTTGCCATTAGGTCACACATAAAGAATATTCTGAAACCATAATAAAGAATATTATCATTTCAGGATATTCATTAAAACACTTCATTGCATTAAAAAAAAGATGGGAATGGGAATGGAAAAATGACAACTGCTGTGAGACAAGACACGTAACTGGGAAATAATAATAGGGAATTTTAAGTTGGCTGTAATTTCCCTAATTATATCTTTATCTACCAGTATTTATATCATATCATTTAACTCCCTTCTTTGCACTTTCACCCTCTGGAAAAAAAAATGGTTGTTATCAAATCAAGCCCATCTTTCCCACTGCACAGTATGCCAATTACTGAGATGACTAGTTTCGCAGCAAAGGGTTTGTTCATGGGGCAGCAAGGCAAGGAGATGGGAGAACAAGTCTCAACTCTGCCTCCCTGAAGATGGGGTTTAGAGATATTTATGGGATAGAGAAGCAGGGTGATCTGAGGCATGGAAAATGTGATTGGTGATAAGATAAAGTGAGGTAATCCATGTTCTGCACAAATGTGGTTAAGCTTCAGGGCTCTTCATAGGATGCATATTTGAAAATTTGCAGCATTAGAATGATATGAGGGTGGAGCTGTTGGGTTGATGTCTAAAGGGCACCCATTGGACATTCGCACAGGCTCATTTGAAGGGTTGGCAGTCTCACCCGGTTTGAACTGGAGAAGAGTTGACTCTAAATTTCTGAAAAACAACTTAGGCAGCTATTACCATTATGACCCATACATCAGCTATATTATCTATATTGAGGCAGAAGAGTCTTTTTTGAGAAAAACAACTACAAGCAAGCAAAGCAGGTTCAAGTTTGAAGAGCCCAGTCAGGTTTGCTTTTGACTTCATGGTTAGTCCCAGTTCATTAACACTAATTAGAGAGCTAAAGTTTCCCCAGCAAGGGGTTCCAGGCCAGGAGTCTCCAATCCTTTTTAACTGCAAGCCTACTATTCATTTCCCTAAGATACAAAGCAATACAGGGAAGAAGAAATTAGAGTTGTACTTACTAACAGTGTAAGGTTCAGCTTGGATAGGAACCAGTGTCTTCTAACAGGGCAGAGGAAACATGCCTGTGGGTGGCTCCCAACCTTGCCCCACACCTGGCCAGAAAGGGCTGGCAGCCTCAGAGTGTCTTGCCACAAAGGCCCTCAGTCCTGCTAGAGGCCATGAACATGCCTTCCACTTTCTTGGGCAGTAGTACTCAATGTACAATAAAATAGGAAAGAACAGATGGAAATGGTAACCACCAAGCTGTCACAAAATAAATTTAAAAATAAGCAAACAAACAAATCAAGCAGTACATTCCCTGAGAAAGAAATGTGAAGCACGTTTGCACTTGCAGATACCCCCCAGTGAGTCCTGTTATCCCCGTTAGCATATAGAATGTCTGTCCCTAGTCTTCATGCTAAGGACTTCAATTATTTTATTTTTCTCAGTATGAATAGTCTTTTCCCTTAAGTCACATTCTGATGGATAGCTTTGTCTGACACCCCTTTTTCTTATCCCTAGACAGATCTCTCTTGCTTGTGTGGTGGCTGAGAAAAAAAAAATCTTTTTTCAAGTGAGAGCTGTTAAAAGCAGAAAGTGTTCCTTCTCTTGGACTCTCCCCTGAAACCTCTAAATCTCTAAGCAACAATAGGCTCAGCTGACAGTCCTGATCTGAGACATTTAAGATGATTTTAGAAAAGATTTGGCTTTTGTTTGTTGTTTGTTGATATCTGGAATAAGGAAAGCGTATTTATTTCCAGACTTTCAAACAAAAGGTTTCAGAGCTCGCTTTGAGACTAGGACTGGTGATTGGGATGCTTCCATCTCATCCCACTCGTTGGATCATCATTAATGTTATGTTACAGAGCTTGCCAAATTGTGGTATATCTCTCAGTACCAAGTAAATAAAGGGAAGTAAATGACCAACAATTTATCCTGTACTTGTTATAAGTCACTCAAATTACCTTGAACAAACAAATGTGTTTCTATTACTATTATATGTCATAAAAAGATAAAGGTATATTGAAATAATTACTTTTAAATGTATACATAAGTGCTTTCATGTTTCATATACATAACATTTCATCCCACTGAAAAACAGTAACAGGCCAGGAGCAGTGGCTCACGCCTGTCATCTAGCACTTTGGGAGATCAAGGCATGTGGATCACTTGAGGTCAGGAGTTCGACACCAGCCTGGCCAACATGGTGAAATCCCATCTCTAGTAAAAATACAAAAAATTAGCCGGGCATGGTGGCATGCACCTGTAGTCCCAGCTACTTGGGAGGCTGAGGCAGGAGAATCGCTTGAACTTAGGAGGTAGAGGTTGCAGTGAGCCAAGATCATGCCACTGCACTCCAGCCTGGGTGACAGAGCAAGACTCTGTCTCAAAAAAATAAAGTAAATAAAAATAAAAACGAAACAGATCTAAAAGTTAAACGTCTCATACAGGGGTTAAAAGATAAAGTTACAACACATTTAGTTATAGATCCAATTAAATGAGACTTCCCATTGAGCAACTGCAGAACAGTGGGTTTTGAAAGGTGGAAACAAACGAAATAATTTTTTAAGCTTATTAGTAAACATCAGGTTACATTTTTGTAAGGATTAAAGCAAAGGGGACTTATTATGTTGATTCAGGTAGACTGGAGTCTTCTGTTTTCAGGAAAAAACTGGTCTGTTTTGGAATCTGCTTCCTTAAAGTTTCAGTTTGATAATACGGCATTTAGCATGAGTGGCTCCATTTGGTTTGGTCTGGTCTGTTGGGGCCTAGTGCAGGAGCTCAATCCAAAACAGTGACCTCTCATAATTTTTATTTTACAGAGTTTGAAGGGGTTCACAAAATTATAAATGTGGGAAAATATAACCAATGGTTTCATAAAAAGTTAGTTGAAATTTTCACCTCAAGAAGTATTGTAATCTCTTTCTGCTAGTTTCAGTTAAAATACTGTGTAACAACACTCAAGCACCATAATTTCAAAGTATACAAACAGCACTGCCTTTGAAGGGCCAGGCCCAGCCTCTACTCTGCTTTCCCAGTTACTTGTGGAAGAAACTGAAATTAGATCTCCCACACATTAGTAGGGAGCTTTACCTCCCACACATTAGTGGGGGCTGCTTGGTCTCTCACACATTAGTGGGGGCTGCTTGGTCTCCCACACATTAGTGGGGGCTGCTTGGTCTCTCACACATTAGTGGGGACTGCTTGGTCTCCCACACATTAGTGGGAGCTGCTTTTTCTCTCACACATTAGTGGGGGCTGCTTGGTCTCCCACACATTAGTAGAGGAGCTTGATCTCCCACACATTAATGGGAGCTGCTTTTTCTCTCACACATTAGTGGGGGCTGCTTGGTCTCCCACACATTAGTAGAGGAGCTTGATCTCCCACACATAGTGGGGACTGCTTGGTCTCTCACACATTAGTGGGGGCCGCTTGGTCTCCCACACATTAGTTGGGACTGCTTGGTCTCTCACACATTAGTGGGGGCTGCTTGGTCTCCCACACATTAGTGGGGGCTCTTGGTCTCTCACACATTAGTGGGGGCTGCTTGGTCTCTCACACATTAGTGGGGACTGCTTGGTCTCTCACACATTAGTGGGGACTGCTTGGTCTCCCACACATTAGTGGGGGCTGCTTGGTCTCCCACACATTAGTAGAGGAGCTTGATCTCCCACACATAGTGGGGACTGCTTGGTCTCTCACACATTAGTGGGGGCTGCTTGGTCTCCCACACATTAGTAGGGGAGCTTGATCTCCCATACGTTAGTGGGGGATGCTTGATCTCCCACACGTTAGTGGGGGTGCCTGAAACACTGTGTTGAGGTTTTAAAAATGGAATTCAATGCCTAGCCTTGCAGAAACACATAGCATGGACAATCACTTATATTTGTGTAGGTACTGGAAAGGGAGGTAACAATAGTCCTTGTGGCACGTGTTTGCCATCTCTAGTGTAACCATTGCTATTCATTTTATCATTCGGCTCTCTATCATTCTGTTTTAAAATGGTTTATTGACCTCCAACTATATGAACTTCTGGGTTATATCCCAGAAAATCAAAATCTATATGTCTAGTCAAAAAGTATTAGAGAAACATTAAAACCTAATAGTATACAGTTCCAACTTCTCACCTGTATGTCCTCACTTGACATGCATTTGTTTTTAGATATCCTCTCTCCACTCTATTACTTTCTTTTTCAGGAACATGTCCCTATACCACTTCTTACCCTGCTTCTTCTATGTAATGTTTTTTTTCTTTTCTTTTTTTTTTTTTTTTTTTTTGAGACGGAGTCTCGCTCTGTCACCCATGCTGGAGTGCAGTGGCACTATCTCGGCTCACTGCAAGCTTCACCTCCCGGGTTCACGCCATTCTCCTGCCTCAGCCTCCCGAGTAGCTGGGACTACAGGCGCCCACCACCACGCCAGGCTAATTTTTTGTATTTTTAGTAGAGACGGGGTTTCACCGTGTTAGCCAGGATGGTCTTGATCTCCTGAGCTCACGATCCGCCCACCTCGGCCTCCCAAAGTGCTGGGATTACAGGCGTGAGCCACCGCGCCCCGCCTATGATCTCATGCAAATATCTTTCTCTTAGTTTGTAAGTAATTACTGGTAAACTCTTCCATATGGTTTTTCTTTAACTGTAAAGTGGTCACTCAGTTACTGTATCTCCCCAGTGTCCTCACAGACACTTAAGTAATTAACTCCACCTATTACACTTGCCACATTTTCATCTACTTCTCAATCCCCAGATTTTTGTTTAGTTTGTTTTTTAAATTTTCCTAATTGCTTCCTCATCAAATGCCTGTTGGCCAAAATTTCCCCCATCTGCTATCTTAGGTTTTATCATGGGAAGAATCCAATGAATACAGGATATGATTAGAAAAATATATAAAAATTTTTGTTTTGGTTTGTTTTGCTTAAGACTGAAGTTGCTTTTGAACTAGAAAAACACCACATAGAATCAGTTCCCTATGCTCAAACATTTACTAAACAGCTTAGTCATCTCCATCGTATTTTCTTCCGAGCCTTGCCATTTCATCATAAACAAGATTCTGCTAATATGTGAATGGTTATCTCTTCGTGGTCAGTCTGTCTCTAAATCTGGGTATTTCCTATAGATATGATTAAACTAAGTCAGTATTTATGAACACTTGAACTCCAAAGTCCTCTTGTTTTCCTAATGTTTAAAAAAATTAAGCTTGGAGGCTTGGTGTGGTGGCTCACGCCTGTAATCCCAGCATTTTGGGAGGCCGAAGCGGGCGGATGGCTTGAGGTCAGGAGTTCAAGATCAGCATGGCCAACATGGTGAAACCTCATCTCTACTAAAAATACAAAAAATTAGCCAGGCGTGGTGGCAAGTACCTGTAATCCCAACTACTCGGGAGGCTGAGGCCAGAGAGTCTCTTGAACCTAGGAGGTGGAGGTTGCAGTGAGCTGAAATCCCACCATTGCCCTCCAGCCTGGGTGACAAGAGTGAAACTCCATTTCAAAAAAAAAGAAAAGAAAGAAACATTAAGCTTGGCAAAGATTCAGTAAAAACTTTATTTTTAATAAGCAAGGATTTTTAAACATTAATAGCTGAAAACAAAGTGATTGGTTACCCCAGAATTCATTTATTCAGTGAATATTTATTGGGCATCTATATTGTCCTAGATAGTATAAAGAGATAAACAAACCAAATATGGTCTCTGTTTCATGTAACTTACAGACTAGTAGAAGAGACCAATAGGACATCATGTTGAAATGAAACTCACAAATTAATAAAACAAATAATAAAAAATATAATTATAAATAATTTTTAACATTCTGAAGTAAATGAACAGAGTGAAGGAATAGATAATGAAATGGTTAAGTCATCAAGGAAGAGAAAGATGAAAACAATGTTTAAACTGAGATCTATAGGATTGAAAAAAACATAATAATAAGCCAGACACAGAGTGGAGGAAGAATATGTTCCAATTAGATGGAAAAGAATGCTCAAAAATCTTCAACATGGGAAACAATTTGATGAGCTGTAAGAATTAAAAGAAATCAGCATGGCTAGAGTACAGAGAGTATACAGACAACAAAATAGATGAGTGTTAAGAAGTAGACAAGAGTCAGAAGTCAGAAATTATTCAGGAATTTGTAGGCCAAGATAAAGCCATGATAAGATTTCTGATTTTATTAGAAGTATAATTGGAAGCCTTTGAAGAGTTTGAAGCAGGCTTCTTCAAGGGCAGGAACAGGGACAAAAAGTCACACTGGACAATCTGTGTACCATGGATTTGACAGGGTAATGATTAAGATCAATAAAGCAGTTACTGCATAAACCAGGTGGTAGATGGTAATAGTTTGGGTTAATATGTTGTCAGAGGAGATGCTGAGAAAAATCAAGATAATATGAGAGGAAGAAATGAATGCCTTGAGATGGGTTGAGTGTTAGGTATGGGAATGATAAGGAAAAAGGAGGAATTAAAGATGACAGCTGGCTTAAACAACAAGATGTATGGTGGGATTAGTGTTGAGATGCAGAAGTCTGGGAAAAGAACAGGATAGGGAGGCAGTGTTTTAAGATGTTTATTTTGAAAATATTATGTGAAACACCTGTGAGAGAGTCAAGGAGTCATGTCGTGTGAGATTTGACATATGAAGCTGGAACTCGAGTAAAATTTTTCGATTGAGATTCACATTTAGAAATCATTAACATAGAAAACATATTTAAGGTCATTGCATTGAATGAAATATTTGGTGAAAATGTAGAGAAGAGAGAATACAGGAAACCCACACAACCTGAAAGTTTGCAAATTTAGAGTTTACAATTGTATGGTTGATACATGTTATTATGCTCCTCAAATGTGCTGGGTACTTTATGTATTTTAAATATTTCAATAGGGTGTGGATGGTCATGGAAGTGAGGAGATTTCATCTCTATTACACAGATGAAGTCCAACCTCTTACGGTAAGGATGGGGTAGGGGAGGAGGCTTATTTGATGGGGTTATATGTTTGGCTCCAAAGACCATACTGTTTTAGCTACCAGTAAAAAAAAATTGCTATCCTATAAGAGCAATGTGCATATCTATTTTTTTCTCACCACTGTATACCTAGGTTCTGATTAGTATCTGGTTAACAGTTGAATTTCAATGAATACTACTTGAATGAATGTATGTGCAGGCTTCCCTAAGAGAGACATTATTTTATGTTTAAAATGTGATAGAACTTTTCCTCATCTCAGCTGAAGTGACAAAGCTAGAGATACAGATTATAGGTGCTAATTTTTTTTTCTTTTTTCTTTTTTTTTTTTTTAAGAAGTCTTTTTCTGTTGCCCAGGCTGGAGAGCAGTGGCATGATCTCGGCTCACTGCAACCTCCGCCTCCTGGGTTGAAGCAATTCTCCTGCCTCAGCCTCCCAAGTAGCTGGGATTACAGGCATGTTCCACCACGCCCAGCTAATTTTTGTATTTTTAATAAAGATGTGGTTTTGCCATGTTGGCCAGGCTGGTCTCGAACTCCTGACCTCAGGTGATCCCCCCACCTCGGCCTCTCAAGGTGCTGGGATTACAGGCATGAGCCACCGTGCCCGGCCAGGTGCTACTTTTTCTAAAAGGGGCTAAATCATACCCAGAACTGAAACAGAAACTACGTTTTTTGGCATATAATTCCACAAGGTGGAGTGAGATGAAAGTGGTCTTGAAACAAAGCCTAGATAAATCTAGAGATTAAAGGTTAGCTGAGGCTGACTGATAACAGAGCAAAATGACAAGGCCGTAGTCACAGCCACTTATGCTTCCTGAGTTTGCACTAAAGTGGGAAGCAAGGAATGTAACTGGCTTTAATATTTTCTAAAAGATCATGCCTAAAAGGATTACCTGTGGAACGTGAAGCAACCGCACAGAAAGAGGCTGTGCAGAGTATACCACCAGAGCAAGGATTGAAAAGGACTCATTACCGGAGAAGAAAAGGGAATGGTCTCTGTCAGAAGACCAGTGTGGGATGGCCAAAGAACCACGAAGGTACCTTTAGAGAGCAAAAGCCTGAAGACAGGATCTGCCATTAGGGCCTCAGTGAAAGAAAATTGTAGCCCCAGCAATGATTTTTCCTCTTTTCCTTTAATTCCACTTTGACTTTGTCCTTGTTCCTGCCCTAGAAGGAGCTAGAAATAGCAGTTAGCAGAGAGTAAAGAGGTGAAGTGTGGAAGAAAATAAACATCAGTTTCCCCTTCTTTTGAATTCCAAGCTGGTTAATTCCTATCTAAGGTATGGAGAGTGGTACTGCCCTGAGGAAGGGAGAAAGCATGAATTGAATGAGAACTTGAGGTTTTGAATTATATTGCAGCAGACCTTTAATATCTAAAAATAAGGATTATTCATTAATGCCCAGAAGTAACTGTATATTAATGGTTCTTTTTGAGATATTATCTAGGGAAATGGAAGAGAGAGCTGACACAATGGGTTTAAGGAATAGTGGTAAGAGAAAAATTAAATTACTTGTTTTTTGTACCATTTTGAAATTAGCTCATGAATAACTTAGTTTTAATTAAAAATTATTCTACAACTCTTATTACTACCTTCATGATATGAATGTAACTTTAGAAATCAGATTAAGACAAATCACTACTGTATGTTACACATACTTAAGAATAAGATGACCCTATATGTAGAAGGTTGTTGAAAGAACTGTTTCATTGACATGAAATCATGCATAAGAAAATGCTGAAAATATACAGAAATATCTATTTTATTTTATTTTCATTATTAATTTCAACATGGCTTTTTGAAGGCTGAGAACAATAACTAGAATGTGGAGTGGGATATACAAATTTTCCCAATGCAGTCCAATAGATCTTTCTGTTATAATTGAAATGCTCTGTATCTGTGCCATCCAGCACCCTAGCCACTAAGCCACATGTGACTAGTGACTGCTTGAAATGTGGCCACTGCAACTGAAGAACTAGTTTTTAAATTATATTTAATTTTAATTAAATTTAAATAGACACACATGGTTAGTGGACAGCACAGGTCCAGACTCCTTAAAGAATAATGCTAATCAATGAGAACACTTGGACACAGAGTGGGGAACATCACACACTGGGGCCTGTCGTGGGGTGTGGGGAGGGGGGAGGGATAGCCTTAGGAGATATACCTAATGTAAATGATGAGTTAACGGGTGCAGCACACCAACATGGCACATGTATACATATATAACAAACCTGCACATTGTGCACATGTACCCTAGAACTTACAGTATAATAAAAATAAATAAGTAAATAATAAAAAGAAATGATAAAAAAATGCTAATCTACAAACATGTATCATAAAACAGCACTATTGTAGAACTAACGAAAACATTTCCCACATTAAAAAGTCTGTTTTAGAATCTTCTTTTGGCCAAGCATCCTGTGTGGATACCTTTTGCTTTAAGCTACATTACTTTCTGTTAATGTATAATGCACATGCTCTCTTTCATTTCTCTGGCTAGTGCTTTTATAATGAAGGAAGGTGGGCATATCCCTTACTGTACAAAGTATTCTAATTAAGATAGATAAGTCATGCTGCTTTTGTTTATGTCACAATTTTCCCTGTAGCTAGAATTAAATGATGCTGTCAAAGGACAATGCTAGTGTTTGATGGCTTTTAATATTTTTGTCCATATCAAAAGACTAAATAAATGCAATCAATATTCCCAATTCCTAGCTCTCTAGTAATTATTCTAATAAAGAGATATTCATGCTACCAAGCATCAATACGTGCTCTTCATAGCCATAATAAATCTGCTCCCAGAAAATAAACCACGTACTGCTGTGGCTTTAGAGAGAATGTTAGCAAACACAAAGATCAGAATGTGATTAACCAACTCTTCAGCACATGGGACTAACAAAATATGGATTTTAAAACTCAAATACTTAATGAAAGTTACCAAGAAATAAGAATCAAATTCTTAAAGGGGCCATGTACTGTATTTGGGGTAGCTCCTCAGGCAAATAACTCAAGTTGGGATTTTAAATAGCAGTGGCTATTCAAAAGAACTCATCCTATAAATGTCTACCTTATAAAATAAAAACAACTACAAAATAATAATAGTTCATAGTCCATTTAGTTTTATTATAAAGGAATACCTGAGACTGGATAATTTATAAAGAAAATTGGTTTATAAGGCTATACAAGAAGCATGGCACTAACATCTGCTTCTGGTGAGGACATCAGGCTGCTTCCACTCGTGGTGGAAGGTGTAGGGGGGCCAGTGTGTGCAGAGATCATGTGGCAGGAGGTGAAGCAAGAGAAAGTGGGAAGGTGCGATGCTCCTTTTATCTACCATCTCTCTCAGGAACCAGTAAAGTTGGAATTCACTCATTTACCTTGAGGATGGCACCAAGCCATTCATGGGGGTTCTGCTGCATGATGCCAACACCTTCCATTAAGTCACCTCCAATACTGGTTCCATTAAGTCTCACCTCCAACACTGGGGATCAAATTTCAACATGAGATTTGGAGGGGTCAAACAAACCAAACTGTAGCACAAGAGTTATTGAGTATTTTAATATATACCCAAATGCTCACAAAAATCCCATGAAGTGGATACTGCTTTTATTTCCATTTGACAAATGAGGAAACTATGGCTTCAGGAGGATGTCCAAGGTCATATATCTGGGGTAAAGAGAGTGTGGTATTTGTCACATCCAGGTATGTCTGACTCCAAAACACATCTTATTTATTAATTTTTAAAAAGTATCCACTGTATCTTAAAACAAGTCATTAACAAGGTTTACTATTATTAAGGCAGTGCTACCTCCTATTTCACTATAATTCAGCATTCTGCAAACCTTTCTTGGTGAGTTTCAATTAGCTAGGCCTGTTGGATAGTCTAACTTTGACTATTAAGTGGTTAATAGTTTTACTTGGTAAAATCTTCCTTTAAGATTATGTAAGAAAAGGAAGAATAAATAATTTCAACATCCTAGTTATCCAAGAGCCATTTGTATTACACCACACACACACACACACACACACACACACACACGGACACACACACACTACAAACTGTTCCTTTAAGTCCAAAAGTTCACACCCTATTTGCAGATGCATTTGCACAAGAAATGTTAACATAGGGAAGGACTTCAGCATCAAATTATCAAATTACTGGTAAGGCATTATTTTATCAATGTTTTATTTTTTCTTCAGCTTTATTGATAATACGGTATATACATCAATGTGATATTCTGTGATATGTGATATCACATATACAATGTGATATTTTGGTATACTTATACAATGTGAAAAGATTACCACAATCAAGCTAACTGTAATAACATACCCATCATATCAGTGTTTAAAAGAGGGGAAAAGCACCTTGAGGTGAAGAGAACCAAGACAGATTTATGAAATGTTAACATAGGGAAGGACTTCAGCATCAAAGTATCAAATTACTGGTAAGGCATTATTTTATCAATGTTAATTTTTTTCTTCAACTTTACTGATGTATGATTGACAAAAGTTGTAAACTTTTATTTGTATAACCTGCATATACTATGTGATATTTTGTTATACTTATACAATGTGAAAAGATTACCACAATCAAGCTAACTATAATAACATACCCATCATATCAATGTTTAAAAGAGGGGAAAACTCCCTTGAGATGAAGAGAACTAAGACAGATTTATGAAATGGTGGGGTATAACTCTGCCTTGATGAATTCTTTACAATCCAGATAATTGAGGAAAAAAAGCGAAAGGTACTATATTAGTCATATTGGGCTGCTGTAACAACATATCGCAGACTGGGTGGCTTAAACAACATAAATTTATTCTTTATAGTTCTGGAGGCTGAGAAGTCCAGGATCAAGGTACTGGCTAATTCAATTCCCTGGTGAAGTTATCTTGCTGGCTTGCAGATGCTACCTTCTTGGTTTTTTTCGCACATGGAAGAGAGGAGAGCGAGAGCAAGCAAGAGAGAGAGAGACTGGGAGATAAACAGGGAGAGTGCTCTGGTGCCTTTTCTCGTAAAGACACTAATCCAGTCATAAAGGCTCTACCCTCAAGATTTCATCTAAACTTATTTATTAATACTTCCTGTATTAGGTCGTTCTTGCATTGCTATAAATACCTGAAACTAGGTAATTTAAAAGAAAAGTTATTTAATTGGCTCACAGTTGTGCAGGCTGCACAGGAAGCAGAGTGCTAGCATCTGCTTCTGGGGAGGTCTCAGGAAGCTTTTACTCATGGTGGAAGGCAAAGGGGGAGTAGGCAATTCACATGGCAAAAGCAGGAGCAAGAGGTGGGGGGGAGGTACTACACACTTTTCAACAGCCAGATCTCACGAGAACTCACACTTGTGAGAACAAAATCAAAAGGGTGTTACTAAACCATTCATTATAAATCCACCCACCCTCATGATCCAATCACCTCTCACCAGGCCCTGTTTTCAATAGTGGGGATTATAATTCCAACATGAGATTTGGCAGGGACATAAATACAAACTATATCATTCCAGCACTGGCCTCTAAAATTCATGTTCTTCTCACACTGCAAACTACAACATGCCTTCCCAAGAGTCCCCCATAGTCTTAACTTATTCCAGCACTAACTCAAAATCTGAAGTCTCATCTGAGACAAGGCAAATCCCTTCCATCTGTGAGCCTGTAAAATCCAAAACAAGCTAATTACTTCCATAACACAATAGAGGAATAGGCATTGAGTAAGCATGACCAATCTGCAAGAGAGAAATCTGCCAAAAGAAAGGGGCTACAGGCCCCATGCTTGTTTGAAACCTAGCAGGGCAGTCATTAAATCTTAAAGCTTCAAAATAATCTCCTCTGACTCCATGTCTCACATCCAGGGCACACTGGTGCAAGGCTCAAAAGGCCTTGGGCAGCTCTGCCCCCATGGCACTGCAGGGTACAATCTCCGTAGCTGCTCTCCCAGGTTGTTCAGTGCCTGCAGGTTTTCCACACTGATGGTGCAAGTTGCCAGTGGATCTACCATTCCAGTCCTGGAGGATGGTGTCCCTCTTTCTGCAGCTCCACTAATCAGTGCCTCAGTGGGGACTCTGTGTGGGGCCTCCAGCTCCATATTTCCCTTCCACACTGCCCTAGTAGAGGTCCCCTGTGAGAGTTCTGCCCCTGCTTATACATCCTCTGAAATCCAGGTGGAGGCTGCAAAGCCTCCTTAACTGTTGCATTCTGTGTGCCTGCAGGCCTAACACCATATGGAAACCACCAAGGCTTACAGCTTGCACCTGTTGGAGTGGCAGCCTGAGCTGCACCTGGGGCCCTTTGAGTCAAGGCTGGAGCTGCAGCAGCCACAATATGCAGAGTAGTGTCTTGAGGTTGCACAGGGCAGTGGGGCCGTTCTTTGTAGGAGGAAGGAAACCATTCTTTCCTCCTAGGCTTCTGGGCCCATGATGGGAGGGGCTGCTGGGAAGGTCTCTGAAATGCTTTCTAGACCTTTTCCCCATTTTCTTGAATATTAGCCCTTGTTTTCTTTTCAGTTATGCATGTTTTTCCAGCAAGTGGTTGCTTCACATCCCAGCTGAATTCATCTCCTGAAAAAGCTTTTTCTTTCTCTGCCATATGGCCAGGCCGCAAATCTTCCAAACTGTGCTTCCATTTTAATATATATTCCAACTTACTCCTTTACTTTACTTGCTCCTGCATCCTATACTTTACTTGTTCCTGCATCTGAGTATAGGTCATTAGAAGCAGTCAGGCCACATCTTGAATGCTTTGCTCCTTAGAAATTTCTTCCACCAGATACACTAAATCTTCATTCTCATATTCAAACTTCCTCAGATACCTTGGGCAAGGGCATAATGCAACCAAGTTCTCTGCTAAGGCATAACACACGTGATATTTGCTTCAGTTCTCAGTAAGATCCTCATTTCCATCTGAGACCTTCTCAGCCTGGATTCCTCGTCCATATCACTATCAGAATTTTAGTTACAACCATTTTAACCAGTCTCTAAGAAGTTCCAAAGTTTCCCTCATCTTCCTCTCTTCTTCTGAGCCCTCCAAAGTCTTCCACCCTCTGCCTGTTCCCCAGTTCCAAAGCTCTTTCCATATTTTTAGGTATCTTTTTAGCAATGTCCCACTCCTTGGTACCAATTTTCTGTATAAGGCCATTTTTGCATTGCTATAAAAAAAAAATACCAGAGACTGGGTAATTTTGAAGAAAAGAAGCTGGCTCACAGTTCTGCAAGCTGTACAGGTAACACAGTGCTGGCATTTGCTTACGGGAGGTCTCAGGAAGCTTTTAGTAGTGGTGGAAGGCAAAGAGGGAGTAGGCACTCACATGGCAAAAACAGGAGCAAGAAAGAGACGGGGAAGGTGCTACACACTTTTAAACAACTAGATCTCACAAGAACTCACTCACAATTGCAAAGATAGCACCAAGGGGATGGTCCTAAGCCATTCATGAGAAATCTGCCCCCATGATCCATTCACCTCCCACTAGGCCCCACATCCAAATTTGGGGATTAGAATTCAACGTGAGATTTGGTGGGGACATGTATCCAAACTTTATCACTTTCCAAAGCTCCATCTCCAAATACCAACACATTGGTGGTCAGGGGTTCAACTCATGAATTTTGGACCTACAGTAGTCAGTCTATAGTAATACATTACAACCAAACTCCTAGACAAAAGAATGTGAGGACTCTTGGTAGGAGAGTGAACAGACCAGCAGGAAAGTAATGGAAGGTAAGCACAGAGATACTCAGGTCATCCACATTGTGTATAGCCCTAAATGCCAGACTACTGAGTATAACACTGTTATTTATTGAACTTGATCAAACTTGTTTTCCAGAATTCATTTGGTGCAATATTATACAATGTTATAAAGAGAAAAGCAACAAAGAGAAATTGAATGTGAGATGACGTGTTCAGTGTGAAATGTGCCACAGATTACCTTAACGTTTGACTTACTTTATAAGAAATATGATTCAAAATGGGCAAACGAGAGTTAAATGAACATGATAATAAAATATTAGAAATCAACTAAGAAGACAAGAAACAACCTATAGGTCCTCTTAAGCCAACATCTAGAAATATGTAACAGCTACAGTATCTGGAAAGAACAACTTGTTTGAGGGATACAAGGAAGGGGCAATAAATTCAACAGCTATTATTCAAAGATGGTTGTAAGAAATACTAAATATCTGCATGAAGTGCAAGGCAGAAAACAGTCCCGGCTCCAATTTGCTGGCAGCTTTTTTTAACAGCCGTATTCTCAAAAATGTTGGTTTGAGGCATTATTTTAAGAAGCATGATGATTGTAAACTTATGTTTTTATTTTTTATTTTACCTAAGATAGGAGGCAGATCAATTTTAGAATAAGATACTTAAGTTGTCAGATAATTAGAGAAGGGCATTGGTTTTGTGTTAGAAGGCATGGAGACTAAATACTTACAAAAATGTCCCTTTTCAAAAAGAAAAAAAGGGTTGTTTTGGGGAAATAGAAAAACTAAGCATTCCAAATTACTTAACAGTAGTCTCCCCCTTATCTGAGGTTTCTCTTTCCACGGTTCAAGTTACTTGCAGTCATCCCTGGCCAAAAATATTAAATGGAAAGTCCCAGGAAAGAAAAACATTTCGTAAGTTTTAAAGTGTGCACTATTCTGAGTAATGTAATGAAGTCTCTCACCATTTCCATCCTGATAGGAATGTGAATCATCTTTGTCCACTGCATCTATGCTGTTGACCCTACTCACCCATCGGTCACTCAGCGGCTATGTCAGTTATCAACTGGAAAAAAAACATGGTACAATTGTCCCTCAGCATCCTTGGGGGATTGGATCCAGGACTCTTGATAATATGCTCAAGGACCTTATATAAAATGTCATAGTATTTGCATACAACCTACACACATCCTCCCATATACTTTAAATCCTCTCTAGATTACTAACCAAAGCCCTGTAAATTCTATGTAAATAGTTGTTACACTGTATTTTTGTTTTTTTAATTGTATTTTTATTTAAAAATATTTTTGATCTGTGGTTGATTGTCTACCAGTGTGGAACCCACCAATACAGAAGGAAGACTGTATGTGTATACAGGGTTCATTACCATCCAAGGTTTCAGGCATTCACTGAGGATCTTGGAATGTATCCCTACAAATAAGAGGGGCTGCTGTACTTGCATTTTTCTGTTCTTTTACTTCAAACTTCGTAACCTTAGTCAGGAAATAATCTTTGGTCTTAGAGTTTCCTAAATGCAAAGTGCAAGTAGTCCTTTTCTTTTTAGTTTTAAAACTGTTTAAACAGAATTCTTTTTATAGCAGAATTCTTTTTCTTGAGCAAGAGTAGCTTAAGGAACAATGATGAACCAGTTGTCAGAAAAGAGTGACCTATGTCCTTTAAGACTTTCTTCTATTTAGCAAGCAAGCAATTTTACTGTTCAGAAGCCCCCAGTCTTAAAAAGCAGCACAGGTATCTATCTACCTTTTATTTTTCTAATCAAGCACTTATATACTTATTCTATATGTTTTAAGTATTATTGTAGTCTTGCATTTCTTTTAAATTTGATCAGTTCCGTATATTTTCCAAATTTTTTCCATTTTATTTTCATATATAGGTACATATTATTTGCCCAGTAATATTTTTATATGTAGACCATTAACAAACTACAGTGTGGAGAAGCATTTTTACTCTTTGTGCTACCATCCTCAGAAAAGCTGTAATTTTCATCTTCGAGTATATGATTCTTGACATATTATTCTAGGTAAATTAAAATAAATACAAGTATATACTTTTAGTACTAATCATTTTAATCACTCTGTTGTCTCAACTCCACTTTCAACTTAGAAATGACATTGTCTCTATGTCGTATTTGAAAGATTGGTGGACTCTCCATTAACAAATCATAAGACAAATGTTCACTGCTACATAAGACAGTCTTTATGAGTCTTAATACCTTTTTGTTGGATCGATTTTTTCCACATTTTTTTCTTTCCTTTTCTTCCAAACTTCCCTTTCTCCCTCTCTTCATCCCTTCCCCCTTCCTTATTTTTTGAGATAGGTCTCCTTTTGTCGCCCAGGATGGAGTACAATGGTGTGATCATAGCTCACAGCAGTCTTGCAGCCTCAACCTTAATGTAAATTAAGAATGATACAGTCCTTCTTGAGTCTCTTGAACCCGGAAGGTGGTGGTGGCAGTGAGCAGAGATGGCGCCATTGCACTCCAGCCTAGGCAACAAGAGCGAAACTCCCATCTCAAGAATGATATGCTCCTTTTTTTTTTTTTTTTTTTTTTTGAAAAGGAGCCTTGCTCTGTCGCCCAGGCTGGAGTGCAATGACGCAATCTCAGCTCACTGCAAACTCTGCCTCCCGGGTTCAAGTGATTCTCCTGCCTCAGCCTCCCGAGTAGCTGAGACTACAGGCCCGTGCCACCACGCCCGGCTAATTTTTGTATTTTTAGTAGAGACGGGGTTTCATTGTGTTAGCCAGGATGGTCTTGATCTCCTGACCTTGTGATCCTCCCGCCTCGGCCTCCCAAAGTGCTAGGATTACAGGCGTGAGCCACCACGCCCGGCCTGGAATGTGGTCCTTCTTAAAACTAAATTTATATTTTTTGAAATTCCAAAATTATATCTTTCATGTGATAAAATGAGATAATTGAGAACACATTTGGTGTTGTGGTCTCTTAAGATCTTGCCTAACAAAATAAAAGTACAAAAAAATTGAGCAAATATTTTCCCCTTATTTGTACTTGTCAATGAAGACCCCATGTATGTACTTATATGTTTTTCTTGTTCGTTACTTGCTCCAGTGGTTTGGAAATTTTGGTTATCCTGAGAATTCTCTGGGACCCTGTTAGACATGTAGATTCTTGCTAGGGCATACTTGCTTAAGAGATTCTGGCGTCAGTACCTAATCCTTAAATTACTTTGCAATCATCCAGTTACTATGTAGGTTGAGACCCTACAAGAAGGAATGATTCATTCAATGAGATGTACATCCTTGATCCCAGAAACTTTGGAACTAAGTATTCAGTTTCTTCAATAAACAGAGCACTTCTTGTTTCATAGCTTTTGGGGGTTGGCCTGAACAAATCAACTAAGTATGACCTAGTTTCTATAGCGTTCTGAACAATTTACAGAGTGAATTCCTGGCTGTTCACAAATTGGGAATTGACTGCATTCTTTGGAGAGCCAGGTGTTTCCACCGGGAAACCCCATGACAGGTACTCAGCCCAATTCTGTTTAATGTTTTATTAAACATAGGGGTGGGTTAAACCACTGGGTTTTAAATGAAGCACTTAGAGCTTTTCAACTTGCCCCATAGCTTTGTCTCAGAACCGATCATTCTATTATCATTAGTTTTGAGAATGCCGTGTAAAGAGCAAAGTAACCACTGGTGGTTGCACTCCGGAGCGGGCGAGGACGGCTAGTTCCTGCAGTGCCCAGGCCTGCACGGAAGCGCCCTGGCACAACTCAGCTGAGGATACACGCTTTTTCCCGCGCAGCCGGAGGGCTGAACAGCAAAGCACTCCCCGGGGGAACTGTGTGTCAGCGCAGCCTGGAGAGAGCAGGCCCAGGGGGCAGCTCCACCACAGGAGACAGGACACGCCTCAGTCTGGGCAAATTCCCGGCCTCCTTTGGCTCTAAGCCAGCAGCCGCCGCCCGCGACCTCCTCTCCTCCTCCGTCGTCACCCCGGCCGCCCTGCCAGCCCCGAACTTGCCCGCGCCTGGCCGCGCGGCCCCTCAGCCCACGGGGCTGGCGGCGCGGTTGGGATGGGACCGATGTGGCGCATGCGTGGTGGCGCCACTAGGCGCGGGAGTTGCTGCGGCGGGGACGGTGCTGCGGACGGCCGAGGGCCAGGCCGCTCCGGCCGGGCTCGTGGTGGGGGCAGCCCCAGCGGCGGCGGCGGCGGCGTGGGCTGGCGAGGCCGCGCGGACGGCGCCCGACAGCAGCTGGAGGAGCGGTTTGCCGACCTGGCGGCGAGCCACTTGGAGGCCATCCGTGCGCGGGACGAGTGGGACCGGCAGAACGCGCGGCTGCGTCAGGAGAACGCCCGGCTGCGGCTCGAGAACCGGCGGCTGAAGCGCGAGAACCGCAGCCTCTTCCGTCAGGCTTTGCGGCTCCCCGGCGAAGGCGGCAACGGGACGCCCGCGGAGGCACGCCGGGTCCCTGAAGAGGCCAGCACGAACCGGAGGGCTAGAGACAGCGGCCGAGAGGACGAGCCGGGCAGCCCCAGGGCCCTGAGGGCCCGACTTGAGAAGCTGGAAGCCATGTACCGCCGGGCCCTGCTGCAGCTGCACCTCGAGCAGCGGGGACCACGTCCGAGCGGGGACAAGGAGGAGCAGCCTCTACAGGAACCCGACTCCGGCCTCCGCTCCCGGGACTCGGAGCCCTCTGGGCCCTGGCTGTAGCCGAGGCCGCAGCCGGTGAGAGGCGGAGCCTCGAGCGGGCCCCTCCTCCTCCGTTCCCAGCTACCCCCGACCTCGCGCACGCCCTGGCCCGCTCCCTGCCCGCGGATACCTTGGACTACGGTGCCTTCCCGCCCCCACCAGTGGACACTTCCGGGTGGCGCTTGGCCATCCGCTTGGTGGAGGTCGAGTGGGTGCAAGGGCCCTCAGGACCTCCCACATGTACAGTTCCCCTGCCTCTTGCCCCGGCTAGTTTCCCTGGAGAGAGGCCTAGCCAACAACGAAGGGACGGATTTTAAAACAGCGAGAACTGGGTGCCAAGAAACACTTCATATTCCCTGAACTTTTCTGGATGTTGTGCGAACCTGTTGTATTTTTTTTTTTCCTGTATTTTGGTTCTGAGGGATGAGTAATGTGTTTTTAGTTGGTTGAGTTTATCCATTCTTCAATCCCCTAAAGCCTTCAGCTATTCTTTCATATGTGGCCAACATTTTAAGTACAGTGTTTGCTTTTATAAGTCGGTGTTACTTGGATGTCCTATAAAATACCCACTTTTTATAAAGATGATATTTATAACCTAGGAACTCATGCCTGTCTTGGCTGCAGTCCCTGTACATCTAATATATACTGATTTGTTTGCCCCCAGAGAATTTTTAAGGTATCTGCCTATATCGTGATCTTTTGAAATGGTAAATAAATCTGGTGCATTAAAAATTATCTGAAAGGTTGCGGCGAGTATTATTTGAAGTGTGTTACATTTTTATATTTTTAAAAAGATACCTTTATGAATATACTAATTTAAATCTGGTTTTAGTTGTCCTTAGTAAACTATCATGTTCTTTTAGCTTCATGTAACAGTGATCTTTTAAAATAATCTAAAGATTAGGTAGTCTAAAAGTTATTTTAATCTTTAATGTTCAATTAGCTTAATTAGTACGTAGATAATTTGCCTTATTTTGACTAAGGACTTTTAAGAAATTATAAATTACTTGTATATCAAAAGTTCCCCTAACAAAGTAATTTAAGTCTCAGTTGTTATTTCAATGGCACAAAAAAGTGACTAGTTTAGCAATAAATGTCCTAAAATTACTTTTATTGCGCTTCGTTAATAACACTTTTGCCAACTAAGTAATGAAGAGGATACCATTGTGCCTGATAAAAAAATCATAGGTCCAAGAGTGTTTCAATGATGGAAAACATTTCAGGGGAAAAAATCATGAATAGAATTGTCAAGGGAATAAAATATACTAGTTATGGCATAGTCCAAAAGTATTAAATATTATATATTACAAAACAATGTTTCAGTCGTGTCCGTGTGAAGAGACCACCAAACAGGCTTTTTGTGAGCAACAAGGCTGTTTATTTCACCTGGGTGCAGGCGGGCTGAGTCCGAAAAGAGTCAGTGAAGGGAGATAGGGGTGGGGCCGTTTTATAAGTTTTGGGTAGGTAAAGGAAAATTACAGTCAAAGGGGGGTTGTTCTCTGGCAGGCAGGAGTGGGGGGGTCACGAGGTGCTCAGCAGGGGAGCTTTTGAGCCAGGATGAGCCAGGAGAAGGAATTTCACAAGATAATGTCATCAGTTAAGGCAGGAACAGGCCATTTTTCACTTGTTGTGTGGTGGAATGTCGTCAGTTAAGGAAAGAACCAGCCATCTGGATGTGTACATGTGGGTCACAGGGGACATGATGGCTTAGCTTGGGCTCAGAGGCCTGACACAATGTACCAGGAAAACAAGTTTTGTGATTTTTCAAGTTCTGGGTTATGAAGACACTATATTTTGCTTAAAGGTAATTGATATTCAGATGTGAATATTAGAATCTTCCCCTATGGCCAAAAAATATAAGGAACTTGTTGAGAAGAGGTAGGTATATGAAAATAAATTATATTCCCCTTCACTTCATTTTCTAAGAATGAAAGAAATACAGTGATGTACTGCCTAACCAACATTTCAGTCAGGAATGCGCTGCTTATATGATGATGGTCCCGTAAGATTATAATACTGTTATTTTTATTGTAGCTTTTCTATGTGTAGACACGTTTAAATACACAACTACCATTGCGTTGTAATTGCCGGCAGTATTCAGTAGAATGACATGTTTCCAAATTTGTAGCCTAGTAGGAATAGGCTCTACCATATAGCCTAGGTATGTAGTAAGCTATACCTTCTAAGTTTGTGTAGGTACACTGTAATGTTCACATAACAAAGAAATTGCCTAGTGATGCATTTCTCAGGGCATGTCCCATTGTTAAGAGGCCCATGTCTGTAAAACATGTTTAGGAGGCAGTAGGAATTGGAGAACGGAAAAAACGTTTGTCCACCTTCCTGCTATTAAATTGTAACTTCAGGCTTAAATTGGTTAAGCTCTCCACATCTTAGTATTCTCATTTGTAAAATGAACGTAAGATCTACCTCAACATGTTATAAAAATGTTATTGAGATAATACAGCAAAATGCCTGCTTCAAAGTTTTCATGCACGTCCGTGTGAAGAGACCACCCAACAGGCTTTGTGTGAGCAGCAAGGCTGTTTATTTCACCTGGGTGCAGGTGGGCTGAGTCCAAAAAGAGAGTCAGTGAGGGGAGATAGGGGTGGGGCTGTTTTATAGGATTTGGGTAGGTAAAGGAAAAAGGGGGGTTATTCTCTGGCAGGCAGGGGTGGGGGTCACAAGGTGGTCAGTAGGGGAGCTTTTGAGCCAGGATGAGCCAGGAGACGGAATTTCACCAGATAATGTCATCAGTTAAGGCAGGAACAGGCCATTTTCACTTGTTTTGTGGTGGAATGTCATCAGTTAAGGCAGGAACAGGCCATTTTCACTTGTTTTGTGGTGGAATGTCATCAGTTAAGGCAGGAACTGGCCATCTGGATGTGTACCTGCAGGTCACAGGGGATATGATGGCTTAGCTTGGGCTCAGAGGCCTGACATTCCTGACTTCTTATATTAATAAGAAAAATAAAATGAAATTGTGGTAAAGTGTTGGGACAGTGAAAATTTTTAGGGGTGGTATGGAGAGATAATGGGCGATGTTTCTCAGGGCTACTTCCAGCGGGATTAGAGGTGGCGTGGGAACCTAGAGTGGGAGAGATTAAGCTGAAGGAAGATTTTGTGGTAAGGGGTGATATTGTGGGGTTGTTAGAAGAAACATTTGTCATTTAGAATTATTGGTGATGGCCTGGATACGGTTTTGTATGAATTGAAAAATGGAATAAGAGAAGGAGAAAACCAGGTATTAAAGGTCTAAGAATTGGGAGGACCTAGGACATTTAATTAGAGAGTGCGAAGGAGATTCAGCATAGTCCTGCCAGCAAAGATTATTTATTTACTTTAAGAGTTAAGAGTGGCAGTTTGCGGATAGCACCAGGGGATATCAGCTGTGATGGCTTGGAGGAACAGTGTAAACTGGCAGTGTAAACAAGAGCAGGGCATGTATGAGTAGTTGAAAACGGTGAATAGGTGTATGACTAGACAGAAGATAGTAGGGATGACAAGTTTTTTGGGGCACAGTCTAAGTTGGCCTGGTGCCTGGAATGAGACTGGGGCCAAATAAAAAGGAGCGTCTATACAGGAGCTCAAATGGGCTGTACCTTGTAGCATTCCGAGGACAGGCCTGAATTCTGAGAAGGCAAAGTGGTAAAAGTATTGTCCAGTCCTTTTTAAGTTGGTGGCTGAGCTTGGTGAGGTGTGTTTTTAAAAGACTATTAGTCCGTTCTACCTTTCCTGAAGACTGAGGACCGTAAGGGATATAAAGGTTTCACTGAATACCAAGAGCCTGAAAAAATGCTTGGCTGATTTGACTAATAAAGGCCAGTCTGCTATCGGACTGTATAGAGGTGGGAAGGCCAAACCGAGGAATTATGTCTGACAGAAGGGAAGAAATGACAGCGATGGCCTTCTCAGACCCTGTGGGAAAGGCCTCTACCCACCCAGTGAAAGTGTCTACCTAGACTAAGAGGTATTTTAGTTTTCCGACTCAGGGCATGTGAGTAAAGTCAATTTGCTAGTCCTGGGCAGGGACAAATCCCTGAGCTTGATGTGTAGGAAAGGGAGGAGGCCTGAACAATCCCTGAGGGGTAGTAGAATAGCAGATGGAACACTGAGAAGTAATTTCCTTGAGGATAGATTTCCAGGATGGAAAGGAAATGAGAGGTTCTAAGAGACAGGCTAGCGGCTTGTAACCTACATGAGAGGTTATGAAATGACACCAGAATAGAACGGGCCTGTGAGGCTGGAAGGAGATATTTTCCTTGGTCTAAGAACCATTTGCCTTGTGTGGAAAAGAGATTGATAGGTGGAAGTTTCAGCGGGGGAGTAGGTGGGAGTGACTGATACGAAGGAGGAAAACTGGCCGTGAAGGACAGAAGTTGGAAATCTAGCTGCTTGTCTAGCCACCTTATCAGCATAATCGTTGCCTAGAGCAATGGGATCTGACGCCTTTTGATGGCCTTTGCAGTGAATGACTGCAGCTTCCTTTGGAAGTAAAGCCGCCTTGAGCAGAGTTTTTATTAAAGAGGCATTAATGATGGAGGACCCTTGCGTAGTGAGGAAACCTCCTTCAGCCTATATAACAGCATGATGGTGCAGAATATGAAAGGCATATTTAGAGTCAGTGTAAATATTGACGCGTAGTCCTTTTTCAAGAGTGAGGACTTGAGTTAAGGCAACTAATTTGGCTTGCTGAGAGGTAGTGGAGGGGGGCAAAGCGGTAGCCTCAATGATAGATGTGGAAGATACTATAGCATAGCCTGCCTTTGCTGGTGAGTGGCGATTAGGCCTGGTGGAACTGCCACCAATAAACTAAATGTGATCAGGGTGAGAAAAAGGAAAGAAGGAAATATGGGGAAATGAGGTGAATGTCAGGTGGATCAGAGAGATACAATCATGAGGGTCAGGTGTGGTATCCAGAATAATGTGGGAGACCAGATTGAAGTCCGTGCCAGGAACAATGGTAATTGTGGGAGACTCAACAAAGAGTGAGTACAGCTGAAGGAGCCGGGGAGCAGAAAGTATACGTGTCAGGTATGAGGAAGAGAAGAGATTTTGGAAGTTATGAGAAATGTAGAGTGAGTTGAGCACAGTTTGTGATTTTTAGGGCCTCTAAAATTATTAAAGCAGCGGCAGCCACTGCACACAGACATGAGGGCTAGGCTAAAACAGTAAGGTCAAAGTTGTTTGGACAGAAAGGCTACAGGGTGCGGTCCCGGCTCTTGTGAAAGAATTCTGACTGCGCTAACCATGCCTAGGAAGGAAAGGAGTTGTTGTTTTATAAGGGATTGAGGTTTGGGAGATTACTCGGACATGATCAGCAGGGAGAGCATGTGTGTTTTTATGAGAATTATGCTGAGATAGGAAACTGATGAGGAAGAAATTTGGGCTTGACTGAAGTAAAGGGGGCTGTCTGTGAAGCCTTGCGGCAGTACAGCTCAGGTAATCTGCTGAGCCTAATGGGTGTCAGGGTCAGTCCAAGTGAAAGCGAAGAGAGGCTGGGATGAAGGGTGCAAAGGAATAGTAAAGAAAGCATGTCTGAAATCCAGAACAGAATAATGGGTTGTAGAGAGAGGTATTGAGGATAGGAGAGTATATGCGTTTGGCACCACGGGGTGGATAGGCAAAACAGTTTGGTTGATAAGGCGCAGATCCTGAACTAACCTGTAAGGCTTGTCTGGTTTTAGGACAGGTGAAATGGAATTGTAAGGGGAGTTTACAGGCTTTAAAAGGCCATGCTGTAGCACACGAGTGGTAACAGGCTTTAATCCTTTTAAAGCATGCTGTGGGATGGGATATTGGCATTGAGCAGGGTAAGGGTGATTAGGTTTTAATGGGATGGTAAGGGGTGCATGATGGTCGCTAAGGAGGGAGTAGAGGGTCATATACTTGTGGGTTAAGGTGGGGAGATACAAGGGGAGGATGTGAAGGAGGCTTTGAACTGGGGGAAAAGGTGGCAATGAGGTGTGGCTGTAGCCCAGGAGTAGTCAGGGAAGCAGATAATTTAGTTAAAGTGTCTCGGCCTAATAAGGGAACTGGGCAGGTGGGGATAATTAAAAAAGAGTGCAAAAAGAGTGTCTTCTAAGTTGGCACCAGAGTTGGGGAGTTTTTAAGAGGTTTAGAAGCCTGGCCGTCAATACCCACAACAGTTATGGAGGCAAGGGAAACAGGCCCTTGAAAAGAAGGTAATATGGAGTGGGTAGCCTCGGTATTGATTTAGAAGGGGACAGACTTACCTTCCACTGTGAGAGTTACCTAGAGCGTCTGTGATGGTCCTGTAGGCTTCCGAGGCAATCGGGCAGTGTCAGTCTTCAGCTGCTAAGCTGAGAAGATCTGGGAAGGAGTCAGTCAGAGAGCCTTGGGCCAGAGTTCCAGGGGTTCTGGGAGCGGCTGCCAGGTGAGTTGAACAGTCTGATTTTCAGTGGGTTCCTGCACAGATGGGACGCGGCTTAGGAGGAATCCCGGGCTGTGGGCATTCCTTGGCCAATTGGCCAGATTTCTCACACTTATAGCAAGCTCTTGAGGGTGGAGGTTCTGGAGGAACCCCTTGCAGCTGCGGTTTGGGCATTTGGAGTTCTTGTGTGCTGGAGATGTGGCTGGGGTTTGTCTCACAGTGGAGGTAAGGAATTGCAACTCAGAAATACATTGCTACTTGGCTGCCTCTACTCTATTATTGTACACCTTGAAGGTGAGGTTAATTAAGTCCTGTTGTGGGATTTGAGGGCCGGAATTTAATTTTTGGAGTTTTATTTAATGTCGGGAGCAGATTGGGTAATAAAATATATATTAAGAATAAGACGGCCTTTTGACCTTTTAGGGCCTAGGGCTGTAAAGCATCTCAGGGTTGCTGCCAAACGATCCATGAACTGGGCTGGGTTTTTATATTTGATGAAAAAGAGCCTAAACGCTATCTGATTTGGGATAAAGAAAAAGGAGCATTAACCTTGACTATGCCTCTAGCTCCAGCCACCTTTTTAAGAGGAAATTGCTGGGCAGGTGGGGGAGGGATAGTCACGGAAGGAAACTGTAAGCCGGACCAGGTTTCAGGAGGGGAGGTGATAAAAGGATTGTAGGGTGGAGGAGCAGAGGCTGAGGAAGAATTGGGACTTAGCTCGGCCTGGCGAGGAGGGGAGAAGTCAGATGGGTCTGTAGAAAAGGAAGATTAGAAAGACTCAGCGATGCTTGGGGTTGGGACTGAGGGGACAGGTGGGAGGGAAAGAAGGAAGATTTGGGATAAGTTGCATTGGGAACAGAGACTAGGGAGGGACCGATGTGTAAAAGAATGCCTGGACGTCAGGCATCTCAGACCGTTTGCCTATTTTATGACAAGAATTATTTAGATCTCGTAGGATGGAAAAATTGAAAGTGCCATTTTCTGGCTATTTGGAACCACTGTCGAGTTTGTATTGGGGTCAAGCGGCATTGCAGAAGAAAATTCGGCATTTAGGTTTTAGGTCAGGTGTGAGTTGAAGAGGTTTTAAGTTCTTAAGAACACAGGCTAAGGGAGAAGGAGGAGGAATGGAGGGTGGAAGGTTGCCCATAGCGAAGGAGGCAAGCCCAGAGAAAAGAGAGAGTAGAGACACGGAGGGAAGGGGTTCGGGGGTTCTTACCCTCCAGAAAAGCAGGAAAGGGGTTGGGCACAGAGATAAGAGGTCGAGGCGTAGAAATAAGGGATCGGGGTGCAGAGATAAGAGGTCGGGGCGTGGAAATTATGGATCCAGGGGTTCTTGCCCCCAGAAAATCAGAGAAGGGGTAGAGACATGGAGAGAAGGGGTTGGGGGGTTTTTGCCCCCTAGAAAAGCGGTACTTGCCACTAAGGGTGAAGGAGAAGGGGTTGGAGGTTCTTGCCCTCCAGAAAAGTGGAAAAGGGGTAGAGACATGGAGAGAAGGGGTTGGGGGGTTCTTGCCCCCCAGAAAAGCAGTACTTGCCACTAAGGGTGAAGGACCAAGGCAGGCGTCCTTGGGTGGTCAGACATCTCTGAAACATAGGTGAATAATCAGAGGCGTCCCTGCAATGATTAAACACCAAGGGAAGGCTGCCTTCCTGAGTCCGTGACTGGCGCCAGAGTTTTGGGTCCACGGATAAAACGTGTCTCCTTTGTCTCTACTAGAAAATGAAAGGAAATTAAGAGAAAGGAGAGATTGAAGGGTAGCATCAAGATTGAAAGGAGAAAGTGGTTGAGGGATAGTGAGAGAGGTTGGAGAAGAGAGTAAGAAGAGGCCGCTTACCCGATTTAAAATTGGTGAGATGTTCCTTGGGCTGGTGGGTCTGAGGACCCGAGGTCGTAGGTGGATCTTTTTCATGGAGCAAAGAGCAGGAGGACAGGGGATTGATCTCCCAAGGGAGGTCCCCCTATCCGAGTCACAGCACCAACTTTCATGCGCTTCGGTGTGAAGAGACCACCAAAAAGGCTTTGTGTGAGCAGCAAGGCTGTTTATTTCACCTGGGTGCAGGCAGGCTGAGTCCGAAAAGAGAATCATTGAAGGGAGATACGGGTGGGGCCGTTTTATAGGATTTGGGTAGGTAAAGGAAAAAGGGGGATTGTTCTCTGGCAGGCAGGAGTGGGGTCACAAGGAGCTCAGTAGGGGAGCTTTTGAGCCAGGATGAGCCAGGAGAAGGAATTTCACAAGATAATGTCATCAGTTAAGGCAGGAACAGGCCATTTTCACCTGTTTTGTGGTGGAATGTCATCAGTTGAGGCAGGAACTGGCCATCTGGATGTGTACGTGCAGGTCACAGGGGATATGATGGCTTAGCTTGGGCTCAGAGGCCTGACAAAAGTAAGTTCAATATCTGTGAGAATTATAATCCAAAGTGTGAGAATTGTAGATGCATATTTTTCTTACACTTTTCCCTTGCTTTCTGTATCTTGCTTCTATATGACTTTACATGTATTAGCAAAGATAAATAAATTTGGAATAAATTGACACTTTTTACTACTTAGAAGCAAATAGGAGAGAAAAACCTATATAATAAGAATAATGAAATATAAGTTAAAAAATAATTACCACTTGTCGCAAAATTGGGGATATTTAACAACCAACCATATTATTTAGTTTACATAGTTCTTAAACACTTTTTGTCTTAAAATATGTACATATGAATGAATGCTAAAAATTGTAAATGTTACTGGTGAAAACATTTTTATAATAGGATGTAAGTGCACACACACACACACACACACACACACACACAAATGAGGGTAACTTTTGAGCATAATTCCTAAAAGGCATTGCAAATTCTGAAAATAAAATGCTCATAGGTTGGGTTAAAGCTAATGTCTATTTCAAGCTTGATGAAGTTCTCTGCTGGTAACTGATAAAGCATCATGTAGTAATGTGAAAGGTTTCGTTATATCACAATATGTAGCAATTAAAGAAATGGGTAAAGTTGATTTTTAGAAAAGCCTCTCGTAGAGGAGGCTTTAAAATCTGCAGTTGATTTTAGAAAGGATATACGATGATCTCCTCTTCATTACTTAGTTGTCAAGTGTTATTCATTAACGAAGGGCAATAAAAGTTACCAGGATATTTATCGCTAATCTAGAAATTTTAGTTTGATCTAGGATCCAGTTTGATCTAAAATAAACAAAAACTGCCATGTACCATACCTTATTACAATGACATTTTCTTTTCATTCTTTCAGATTACTTGTCCAATGAAAACAGGGCTTACAGTTTATAGAAATAAGTGACAAAAATGTATATCTTCTTAGCAAACGAATTTAGTGAGGGGGTATTGGCATGTTTTTAATAAACATTTTTTATGGCTGCTACTCACAAAAGTACACTTTATCATATCTAGTACAAAAAAATTAGGAAATGAAAGCAATATAAAAGGAGTACTTACGTAGATCGTAGAATAAGCTTTTTTGCTAAACATCTTGAATATTATGAATATTTGAAAAATACTTGAAAACATTTTTTGTCGTGTTTAAATATTCTTAGACATAGTTTTGTCAATTCACAAATATTGCCATGATAAAGATAATATCAAGGTATTTACTAAACTAAATTAACAGTATATACTGAAAAATTATCAGTAGCATGCCCTTGATCCCAGTGCCAAAAGACCATTTTCTCTTTTGCTAGATTTTTAGGAAAGGGATAGATTTTTACTGAGAATTTGTCACAAAATGTTTGGAAAATCTTCATGAATGGCAAAATTTGTTTATATTTCTATTTACTGATGAATTGATAAATTAAAAATCCTATTTTTGTCTACTATAAACTTAATTTTTGAGTATCTATCTTGTGTAACGTCAGATATGCAAGTAGTATGTAATATATTTATGCAATGTAAATATTAAAAATCAAGGAAACAGACTACACTCACATCTGACTTTCTAAGAATTATGATCAAATTTCAAATTTTAATCCTTAAACTAAGATAATTATAATACCTCAGTTATCAGAATTAAATTACACTGTGTTTAATCCAAAGCAGATAATGCTTAGTATAAAATTCATACTGAGAATCTATTTAGTTGCCAGTGTAGTCTTTGTGTATTTCATGAAAATGTGTTGGTAAGGAAGTATGTTTTTAAATCAACATTCTCAAACATCTGTTGTGCTTGAGAGACAGTTTGAGAAAAAGAACCGTGAATTTGTTGGTCCTTGATTCTTGTCTGAATGATAAGCATTCTACCCTAAAAATCTGAGTTATTTGAGGGAGGAACTCTGACAACAACCTATCTCATATTCACCAGGGGCTTTATAGCATTTTCTTTTTTTTTTCTATTTGTAATGGATTCCTGAAATATCAGTTAGAAAAATACTCAGATGTAAAATCAAAAGACATATGTATGTGTGCATACACACACACACACATGAATTTTCAATGCGTAGTATCCTTTTCCATTGGTGTAAAAGTGATAATATATATTGAAAAGCTTAAAAAAGTCGTTTTATTGTGGTATTTAGTAAGCTAATCTTATTCCTGATAATTGGGTAAAGCCTAACATTTTTCTTAAATCATTTAATTCTCTTATCCAATCCATTATTTGCCCCTATTAGAAGTGATACACAGTTTCCTTGGCCTTACGTTTTTCTGTATTTTCTTTAACTCTAATTTGTATCATTTTAACTGTGCAACCTCTATTGTATTTTAAACTTAATGGCTTTGCCATTAGTTATGGTGAAGACTCTGTTGCTATAAAAAGAAACCCAACAATTCAGTAGCTGTAAAAAACAACTATTTTTTCTCTAACAAAATACTCTAATTAGGGTGCTTCAGGGTGTCAGGAAGCTGTGCCCATATGATTATTTGGGGTCTCAGACTCCTTTTATGGTGTGCCTCTGCCTTGCCATTGCTTCATCTACATGGTAGAAACAGATTACCATACCCAGGTTTCAGTTTATGAGAAAAGTAACTATAAGTGGGAGGCAGCATACCCAGATCTGAAAATGGCATAAATCTCTCCCCTCACGTTCTGTCAGTACAACATCATTACATCACCATTTAACTTTAAAGGAGGCTAAAAAATGTAGTTAAGTTGTGTAATCTTTGGTCCAGCTATAATTTCATTGTAATGGAAGAATGGGAGAACAGATTTTTATGGACAACCACCTTAAATGGAGGCTGTCATCTATTTAGAATTTTAAAATATTTTATGTCTTAGTATAGTATTTTTGAAACTACATAATGTAGTTAAAAATAGAAATATAATGATTGCTTTGTAGATTGAAAAAAAATCTGACTTTTTTTATTCACCTATGCACCATTCTTATGAATACAAAACGTCAGATATTGCTCTATATTTAAAATAAGTAAGGAAATACAGCTAGTAAATTTTGTATAGGACATTCCTATAAGTATGAACTATCTGTTAAAAATTGTATACTATAAAAATATGGGGTTTAGAGCCTATAAGTAGTAAGCATTATTCTGTGTGTAAATCTAAATGTAAAACTTGAGGGAAAATGTATTTTGTTCATCTTATCTATTACCTACCACAATTCTACAACTTTTGGAGCTGAAAGAGACCTTACAGGGTTTTAGCCCAGCATCCTTTAGGCCTTTTTTGTCAACAACTTAATTTTGAAGAAACTCACATTTTACATAGCACGCTAGTTGAGTATTCTTCATTCATTTATCAAGAATAGTTAACCAGGCCGAGCACGATGGCTCACGCCTGTAATCCCAGCACTTTGGGAGGCGGAGGCAGGCGGATCACGAGGTCAGGAGATCGAGATCATCTTGGTTAACACGGTGAAACCCCATCTCTACTAAAAATACAAAAAATTAGCCGGGTGCGGTGGCGGGCGCCTGTAGTCCCAGCTACTCCGGAGGCTGAGGCAGGAGAATGACGTGAACCTGGGAGGCGGAGCTTGCAGTGAGCCGAGAAAGCCCAGGGCAGTCTGGCCTGGGGGAAAAAGCGAGACTCCGTCTCAAAAAAAAAAAAAACAAAAAAAAAAAAACAAAATTGAATGTGAATGTGTAATAATTAAAAGTCTAATAGAACCATTTAACTCTAAAACTTAAACATTTGGCCTGTGAGGGAATGAAAATCAAAATATTGGTCAACCCTAAACAAAATTTAAATTTTACTAAATATTGTGCTATAAAGAAGGCTTTGACCTCTTCAGTTGCCCTCTTGAATATATACGTATGTAGGGATGCTTCAGTTTTTCAGAGTATAATTAGAACACTTAAGTATACTTGTATGATAAAACAATGTAGTTTATACCTATTTACTTTTGCTATCCTTCTCAGTATCAGTCTGTTAATTACAATTTCTTTAAACATAACTGATTTCTGTGTGTTAACTTTCACTGTGCTACATTTCCGGATTCAACTAATTCCAAGATTAAACTTGGTCTTCAAAAGTTCTGGAGGCTTTATTGGTGAATAGCAGAATACTATTATAATTCTATTATATTTAAAATTTTTCAATATTTTAAATAAATTGTAATGATCACATATTAATGTTAGTGATACTAAGTTTTATTAATATGTCCTTTGCTGATTCTTCACATTTCTAAGTATGTTGTTTAAAATAACATACAAAAAAAGAAGGCATGTGCTTAGAAATAGAATGAGCACAGAAACAAATAGTTGAAGAAGGCTGGTTCAAAACCGGAAGGAGATAATATAGGACAACAAAATAGGATATCTTAATTAGATGGGGCTGCTATAACAAAATATCACAAACTGGGTGGCTTATAAACAAGAGAAATTTATTTCTCACTGTTTTGGATGCTGGAAGTATGAGATGAGCATGCCAGTAGACTAGGGTTCCAGTAAGGGCCTTCTTCCGGGTTGCAGACGCTGACTTCTTTTATCCTTAAATGTCTGAAAGAGAGAGCTGTGGTCTCGTCTTTCCATATATGGTCATTCATCTCATTCTTAGGGCTCTACTCTCATGACCTAATTATCTCCTAAGGGCTACACCTCCAAATACCATCACATTGGGAATAGAGTTTCAACATACGAACTTTGGTGGCAACATAAACACTTAGTCCACTGCATAACGTAATGCTGAGCAAAGGTACTAGGGTTTTCTTTACTCCAAAATATGTTCATTGAAATGCTATCTTAATTTTCCCATTAAGATAACAACATATATGCAATACAATTGCACTATCTTATATGGCTAAAGGAAGAAAATATTAAAATCTATCTCAGCAACTATCTGAAAATCTATATACCCATATCTTTAAACCTGCACCGTAAATGAATGTTCTTGGATAGTGGCCAGAACTAACATATCTGCAGTTGTCCAAGCCAGATAGCTGGGACTATCGATACCACTATCTTATATATTCTTTTAAAAATTATATGTGTTTCTGTATGTGTGCATGCATGAATACAAGTGCTTGCATGTGCAAACAAACAAAAGAATTTATACACACTCTGTAGATTCCCCACACACCCATGAGCAGAAAATATTACTTGGACATCATTCCAAATCAAGACCGTCCTAGGTACCTCATTCCTCTTATTGATTTGGATTAGCTTTTGCTCTTAGTAGAAATGCTACATTACATATATATGTATGTTTCTTATTTCATATGTGTACACATGTCTCTGTAATAAATTAATGTAAATGTGTTTTTATTTTTTAAAGCTTGCAGATTTTTAATGCAAAAGAGTCTATCAGTTGCTCTCTGCAGAGTTTGTACCAATTACATTTCACCCAAAATCTTTGAGACTGCCTGTTTTCCGATATTCTTGCCACATGGTGTAATACCAAATGTTCATTTTGCCTATATAACAGATGGAAAACTTAATCACATTTTAAGTTTTAAATTACATGCCTCCTATTACAACTGAGATTAAGCTAGGATCACCATTTGGTAAAATTCTAGAAGTTGAGATTCATGCAGACTATACTTAAGGAAATTTATATTTCCTTTAATGTGAACTTATTTTTTTGTAGGAGTGATATGTAAGTATTTTTTTCTGAAATCTTCTGAATTTATGCTGCTTTTAATCTTTTAATGTCAATGTGGTCATATTTTCAGTCTTTTATTATTTGTGGATTTGTGTAATAGTTATAGTTACATATACACATATATATATCTCTTTAAATATCTGATTTATCTGAAATTATTTTGATGCTAATTTTGGTATAGAGATCCAAAAGTATTTTTATATAAAAGGGGTATCTGTTGATCATCACTGACTAATTTATCCTTTCCTTAATAAAATGTAATGTTGCCTTAATCATATACTAATTTTCTGGGTATAATTGTTTATTATTTCTGTTTATTATTATTTATTTTGTTCTATGAATCTATTCATGTAGCTGTACCATATTGCTTAATCACTATAACTTTATAAAATATTTCAATCTATAGTAATGTTAATGCCCCTCAGTACTCTTTGTTAGTAAAAGTTTTCTTAATTTTGCATGTTTTTAGATGAAAGCTTTAAAATAGTCTAAAACAAAATGTCTTAGGCTGGGTGTGGTAGTGCATGCCTATCATCTCAATGCTTCGAGAGGCCAAAGCAAGAGCGTTGCTTGACCCCAGAAGTCTGAGACCAGCCTGGGCAACATAGGGAGACCCTGTCTCTACAAAAATATTTAAAAATTAGCTGGGCATGGTGGTATGCACCTGTGGTCTTAGCTATTCAGGAGGCTGAGTTGGGAGGATTGTTTGAGCCTGGGAGGCTGAGGCTGCAGTGAGCTGTGATGGCACCACTGTACTCCAGCCTGGGTGACAGAGTGAAACACTTTCTCAAACAAACAAACAACTCCAACATGTGTTGTTGATATTTTTATCTGGATCCAATTAAATGTAAAGATTTAGAGAGAACTGACATTGATAATAGTGAATGTATCCATCCAAAAACAGGTTTTGTCTCTTTATTTGTTCAAATCTTCTTTTCTTTCTCACTCGCAAGCTTGTGAAATTTTCTTCATATGGATCATGAGCATTTTAATTAATTTTATTACTAAATATTCTAGCTTTCTTGTTGCTAATACAAATGGTATCTTTTCTATATTATACCTTCTAATTCATTGTTTAAATTTAGCACTATAGAAGAAAACTATTTTAAAGATTTACATTCAGTCAAATTGCTGAATTATCTTATTGTTTAAGCTAATTTTTTAAGTTATATTTAAATTTTTTCAGGCCTACAATTATAACTTTTTCCAGCATAAATGTTTCACTTTATTTTTTTTCCAATTTTTAGACATTTCTCTTCTGTAATCTTAGGATTGTCATTTTCAATGTCACTGGCTAACACATCCAGAAAAAAATAAAATTAAGTAATAGTGGTGAATAACCAAAAAATTTTCTGACATTAATAGGAATGTTTTTTGCTTTCTCTATTAAGAATGATGTGATTGCTCTGTTATTTCCTAATTTTGTAGTCTTTATCATAACTATGGTTATATACTTATTCCATAAAAGTTTTTTTTTTCACTTTTGTTACAGAACAGTTTAAATAGTAATGGAGTATATATTTTGGTAAATTTCACATGTGGGGCTTTTTGGGATAGATAGATAGATTATTTTGGGAGGCACAGAGTAGTAGATCTTTCAAAATTTGCCTACTTATTTGATGGAAATGTATCTCTTTACAAACTTGGCTCAAGTTGACTAAAGAGAGCAATGTACAGGTAGGCCCTCTTTATCTGCAGGTTGCACATCCATGTATTTAAAAAACAAACTGAATATTTGGAAAAAACAATAAAAATAACAATACAACAATAAAAGTAATACAAATAAAAACAATACAGTACACTAACTATTTACATACCATTTATATTGTATTAAGTATTATAAGTAATGTAGAGATGATTTAAAGTATACAGGAGGATGCGTGTAGGTTACATGCAAATACTATGGCATTTTATATAAGACATTTGAGCATCTGCAGATTTTGGTATCCTGGCATGAGGGTGGGTGGGGAGGTCCTGCAACCAATCCCCTGTGGATGCTGAGGGACAACTGTATGCTCTTTGGTTAAGAGAGAAGTTCTCCCTCTCTGTTGCTGAACTCAGTAGTGCCCTGGCAGTTTTCATATGATCTTAGGAATGGTAGCACGGGGAGATGGAAGAAAACTTATTTCTTAAAAATGTCATTGCAGCTTTGTTTGTGTCTGGAGTTTATTCTACTTCTGGGCTTCCAGTTATGTGAGAAAATACATTTCCTTATTGTTTAAGCCAGTTTGAGTTAGGGAATTTTCTTAATATATGTCAAAATGGAATATTATATAGCAGTGAGAATGAACACTACAATGACACACAAAAATACACGTGTATCACAAACATAAAGTTGAAGAAAAGAAGCCAGACACAAAAAAAACATATATTGTGTTATTCAATTTATAGAGTACAAAACAGTTAACACTTATCTATGATATGAGAAATCAGGATAGTGGATGTTCTTTGGTAGGCAGAGACACTGACAGGAAGGGTACATAAGAATGACTTCAAAAAAAATTAGAACCTATGGAAGAAAAAAAATATTTCTGAGCTGTGTCTTATTATAACCTATTTATAACCATTCAGTATCTTTTGGTGCAGGGCTAGGTGAGAAGACCAGAGGAATGGGATGGAGAACTCAGAACTATGCCCACATATATTTGAAAACTTAATTTATGAAAGAATTACCTTTGAGGTTTAGTGGAATCAAGATGGACTTGTCAATAGAAGTGCTGTAAAAATAGATTATCCCTATGGAAAAATTATTTTTGCCCTTTACCTCACATCAAATACATAATTTTTAACTTATAAAGTCTTAAATTTGAAAGATAATGTTTGATAAAATTCTAGGAAACAATATTGGAGAATATCTTTATGATCCATAATGATAAAACATTCCTTAAACAACACATACCTGAAACCAAGAGGTTATGAATTCAACCAATAAAAATAAATTATTTTCTCAAAAGCCAGCATAAACTAAGTGGAATGTGAACTGGATGAAAATAATTGAAAAATATAAAATGGGTAAAAAATCTAATATCTAGAAATGTTGAGAAGGAATGTAAGTCAAATAAGAAATAGAAAGTCATCCCCATACAGAAAAAGACAAAAGACTTAACGAGTCTTTTATATTAGAGAATAAGTGAGGAGCCAGTAAGCCTATGGAAAGAGTTTCAAATTAATATTCATATAAAACTAAACTTAGGTATCCCATCTCTTGTAGTCAATAACTTAAATACTCAGCATTTGCCTAATGACTGAAGATAAAACAAAACCTAGAAGTCATTCTGTTATGGTTTGGCAGTGTCCCCATCCAAATCTCATTTTGAATTGTAACTCCCACAATTCCCATGTGTCACAGGAGGGGCCCAGTAGAAGGTAATTGAATCATGGCGGCGGGTCTTTCTCATGCTGTTCTTGCATAGTGAATAAGTCTCAGGAGACCTGATGATTTTAAAAAGAGGAGTTCCCCCCTGCACAAACTCTTTCTTTTTGCCTACCACCATCCATGTAACACGTGACTTGCTCCTCCTTGCCTTCCACCATGATTGTGAGGCCTCCGCAGCCATGTGGAATTGTAAATCCATTAAAAAACTTTTTTTCTTCCCAGTCTCAGGTATGTCTTTATTAGCAGTGTGAAAATGGACTAACACACATTCTGGAAATCTTCTCTAATCATTCTTATATTTAAATGGTTATCAAATCCTATAATTTTTGACTCAAAAATGTCTTTTACAGTTTTTCCTTCATCATTTTGGAACTATGTTATCTTTAAGGACTTTTGAGTTTTATTTCCTATAAGGTGAGCATTGAGAAAGACCAGTTTATTTTAGTTCAGAGGATAAACTGAGGTATATGCTACAGACCAATAGTTTTCCAAGTAGGGCAGACAGGCTCTGCTACAGTGGCTCATGCCCTTAACCCCAGCACTTTGGGAGGCAGAGGTGGGAGGACTGCTTGAGCTCAGGAATTCAAGACTAGCCTGGGCAACATAGGGAGATCCTGTCTCTACAAAATATTTAAAAATTATCTTCGTGTGGTTGTGCACACCTGTAGTCTCAGCTACTGAAGATGCTGAGGTGGAAGGATTGTTTGAGCCTGGCAGGTCGAGGCTGCAGTGAGCAGTGATCACACCATTGCACTCTGGCCTGGGTGACCCAGCGAGACCCTATCTCAAAAGTTAAAAAAAAAAACAAAAAACAGGAGGGCAGTCATGTATGTTGGGGCAGAGGTGAAAAAATTTAGATCTTCTATTTATATTTATTTTTCTTATTTTTTAAATGTATTCTTTTTGTTTATGTTCTTAGTATAGCAAATGATATACACATTTTGATATTGTCACCCACACAACAGGTTTTGGTCACTTGGTGGGTCACAGCCCGATGATCACAACCAAGGAGGATTTAGCAAGGGGATTTTATTATTCGCAACAAGTAAGAAAACACCAGGGAGAGCTTGCAAATCAGTGCCTCCCAGGGCAGTGGGGGTGAGTCAAGTTTTATAAGCATAGGGTAATGAGGCATGATCTGACTGGATCTTGCAATGGGGTGATTCTGGTAGGCATGATCTGACTGGATCCTGCTAGGGTTTGATGCCATCTGATTGGATCCTGAATCCTACCCTACAGTGTCTGCTTCTTAACTCAATTATTAATTCAGTTCCTGCTCCTTGGTCAGAGCACTTAGGTTCTTCCTCCACTCCACCCCCTGCCTATGTTCTTGCATGCTGGGTTCATCTGGCCATGCTCACCTTACAAATCTTCAGCCTGAGGGTCTATAGCAACAGAGAAACAGTCCTCAGCTTTGTTACCTAAAAGCTAAATAAGATTGGTCTGATGTAGCTACAGCATGTGCTCACAAATATTTCATAGAGTCAAAAGAACACTACACTGGGAGTCAGAAAGCTCAGTTGATGTGTTTGTCATTTATTAGGTTTAGACCTTAGGAATGTTATTTAATCTCTCTATAAAGTTTTTCAAGTATAAAAATTGGAAAACAATGTATCCCAAATGTATATACAATTAGGTTTGTTATGAGACTTAAATTAGGTATTATATCTGTACTTGCACTTTAGTTTTTAAAGTATAATACCAAGGAAAGAAAATTATTATTTCTAGGGGATAATTTCTTCATGTCCCTTGGTTTTTAGGACAGAAAGTATTAGTCATTACAGTTACGTTGGACTTTTTATTTGATTTGTCCTCTTGACTGCTTCTTAAGGTTGAGAAAGAATTTCTTAGAATTTTTGGGTGTATATTTCTTTGCTCAGCCTTTTATATATTTCAGGTGAGAACCTAGGGCAAGTTTGTGTCTGTCAAGTACAAGAAGGCTACCAAATTAACTTGCAAATCTCAAAGGTTATATTATTGAATCTATGTGCTTCACAACATTTTCTGAGAAGAATAAAAGCACTTTTATGCTTTTAATAAGGCACATCAGTAATACTAATAATTCTAAGACTTGAAAACATCTGACTGTGAAGTTGATTATGTACTCAAGCAGAAAGCTGTAATCAAAAAGGTTTCTGAATCCACTTTCTTCTACAGTGTTTTTAAAAATATTATTGATGCAGATGTTGAATTTCTTTAAAAAAATGCAAAATAATTGGATCTGAAAACTCCCTTTAACTAAAAAGAAGTTTCACACTTTTACAAAACCAATATCTTTTTTGATAAAATAAATTCTTATAAATTATTCTTCTGAAGCTGAGGTTCAGCAGCCTAAAAGCAAAGCCAAATGAAAAAAAAAAAATGTCGAAGACATAACTACCAGATATCAAATCTTTGCCTTCCATATTCAGTCTCCATTCTCTTTACCCTAGTCTGCATTTATATATTACTGCCCCCCCTTGCTTCTTGGGTTGCAGGGCAAGGTTGGCTTCTGGTTAGTTTAGGCCATTAGGAAAAACTAACAGGAGAAGATGTAATGGCCCAGTGGGTTCGCCTTGCCTGCTGCCTAGACAACCGATTTATCAAGACAGGGAAATTGCAATGGAGAAAAGAGTAATTCACGCAGAGCCAGCTGTGTGGGAGACTGGACTTTTATTATTTATTACTCAAGTAAGTCTCCCTGAGTATTTGGGGATCAGATTTTAAAGATTATTTGGTGGGTAGGGGCTTGGAAAGCGGGAGTGCTGATTGGTCAGGTTGCAGAGGGAATCATAGGGGGTTGAAGTTAGGTGTTCTTTTTATTTATTTTATTTTATTTTATTTTATTTTTTGAGACGTAGTCTTGCTCTGTCACCCAGGCTGGAGGGCAGTGGCACGATCTTGGCTCACTGTAACCTCCACCTCTCGGGTTCAAGTGATTCTTCTGCCTCAGCCTCCCAAGTAGCTGAGACTACAGGCATGTGCCACCACGCCAGGCTAATTTTTGTATTTTTAGTAGAGATGGGGCTTCACCATGTTGGCCAGGCTTGTCTCAAACTCCTGACCTTGTGATCTGCCCACCTTGGTCTCCCCAAGTGCTGCGGTTACAGGCGTGAGCTACTGCGCGCCGCCCGAAGTTAGTTTTTTTTTTTTTTTAATGTCTTCTGTTCCTGGGTGGGATGGCAGAACTGATTGGGTCATATTATCAGTCTGGGTAGTGTCAGCTGATCCATGGAGTGCAGGGTCTGCAAAATATCTCAAGCACAGATATTAAATTTAACAATAGTGATGTTACCCCCAGGAGCAATTTGGGGAGGTTCAGACTGTTGAAGCCAGAGGCTGCATGACCCCTAAACTGTAATTTCTAATCTTGTAGCTAATTTGTTAGCCCTGCAAAGGCAGACTGGACCCTAGGCAAGAAGGAGGTCTTTTTGGGAAAGGGCTGTTATCAATTTTGTTTCAAACCATGAACCGCATTTGTTCCCGTAGTTCAGCCTACACCCAGGAATGAACAAGGACAGCTTAAAGGTTAGAAGCAAGATAGAGTCGGTTAGGTCTGACTTCTTTCGCTGTCATAATTTCCTCAGTTACAATTTTACAAAGGCAGTTTCAAAGAGAGGGAGGAAAGAATGTTAGGCTGGGTTTGCCCTGGGTTGGCCATATTCTTCTACCAAAGGACCCAGCTCTTGCAAATCTGCCTTGTCTATGGAACCCTCTGTCTCTGGATTCTGATAAAGACTACCCCCTTAACATTTCAGGCCGAAGAGTTGTGAAGTTCTTCATTGCAGGTAATATTGACTTTGGGATACTGCTCTATCTCTTCTGCTTTCCCTAACCCTACTCAATTCTTTGTAAATAGCTCTTTATTAAGCTATTTTAAAATAGTTCACTTTGAGTGTGCCATCTGCTTCCTGTAGGGGTCTTGATTGATGCAATATATAAATAGTGATGATTGTTAGTGACATTTGTTGGTATGCTTTAATTTATATTATATTTAATGCATTTGGAAGATTTCATTGAACAAAAGGATACATCTCAAACTTTGATCTCCTTAAAAATAATCTAGCTTTATGCTTTTTTGATTTAACTAACTCAAAATGTACATAGGTAAACTTAGGTTTTGACAATTGGAAATATACTAAGATATTACTTCTTAAGTTAAGAAAGTATATTTAAAATGATTCAATAAAAAGTTATTCCACAGCTATTTTTTTCATTTTTTAATCATTTCAACCTTTTTTTTGATTCCGGGGTGCATGTGCAGGTTTGTTACTTGGCTATATTGTGTTATGCTGAGGCTTGGGGTATGACTGATCCCATCACCCAGGCACTGAGCATAACCCAATAGTGTTTTAACCTTTATCTTCCTCCGTGTCTCTCTCCTTTTGTAGTAGTTCCCAGTTTTTTATTGCTTATTATTTTAATAAATTAGGCATAAAATCCCTGACCATTGGTAATGCCATCTATGAGACCATTTATTTCCTTGAAGTGTTTGACATTCAATGCAGAGATACAGACATATAATAGAAAATGGGAAATCAGGGAGAAAATACTAACTTTCCTAACTAGGAAGAAATGTTATTTGAGATGAGTCTTAAAAGACAGAAAGAGGATCAAGTAGGTGGGCCCCATCGAATGTTTATTCAAGCCTAAGGGAACATGAGTAAGAGATATGAGTAGAGATGTATAGGGATGCTCTAGGATTAAAGAGACTGTTATATGACTGAAATAAAAGATATATAGGATTTTATATAAGTTGGATAAAGTAGGCAGGATCAAATAGTAGAAAGCCTTGAATTCCAAAATTCAATCATTCAATGGAGAAAAATCAAAGTTTTTTGAGCAGGTGATTAACTTAGAATTATATGGTAGACATAGGTGCCATGATCAGATGTAGTTTTAAGAAAGGTTACACAGGCAGGCCAGATAAAAATAACTCAAGATGACCAAAGTAAGTAATTTAAAACATTTGTTTAAAGAGATTGAAATAATACCTTGAGTGTTAAATGTGTGAAAAGAAAAGAAATCTTGGGACCTCAAAATCACTAAGCCAAAGAAAAAAGTCAAGCTGGGAACTGCATCAGGCAAACCTGCTTCCCATTTTGTTTCTAAATAAGATAGCTACAAAGATAAAAAGCTACATTCTTTCCTCACAATTTGTCCACAAGGAAATTCCTTGTGGGCCTCAGATCTTTACCTTAAAACCCTTCTGTTGGATTTTACCCTGGCAATGTAAATTGATAGCTTATCTTCACAGATGCTGGACAAAGGACAGAATTCAAAGTCATCCTTCTGCTCACCTGAGACAAATGCATATCTGATTGCTTCCACTGCCCTACTGCTTATGTAAAAATGAAGATTTGCTGAGTCAGACTAAGGCATAAGTGACTATTCCTCCACCTTCCTCACACATGTAAATTGTGTATTCAGCCAAAGGCTGATCAAAGGCTCAAAATAATGCAACCGTTTGTCTCTTATCTACCTATGACCTGGAAGCCTCCGCTTGGTTCCATCTAGAAAGGATTTGTCTTGACTTTCTAGGCTGAAACAATGTACACCTTACATATATTGATAGATGTCTCATATCTCCCCAAAATGTATAAAACCCAGCTATGCCCAACTACCTTAGGCACATGTCACCAGGACCGCATGAGGCTGTATCAGCGATGCATCCTTAACCTTGGCAGAATAAACTTTCTAAATTGATTGAGACTTGTCTCAAATACTTTGGGTTCACACAGGTTATAAAATTTGTGGATATATTCTTTCATTGTATGTATTCAACATTCACAGAATTAAATTCAAGTAACTCCACCAGCTCTACATCAGAGGAAAGGAGAAAGAAGCTGGAGATGGAAATACCAGGAAACGAATTAGAGCAATAGTTCAGTTAAGAGGTAATAAGGCCTGAACACATTTCAAACTGTTGGAGAACGATAGGTTTCTTAATTCATTTTCTCTGAAAGCAGAGCCTGAAGCAAGGGGGTAGGAAAAGATGACACAATCATGGGGTAAACATGCTCAGTTATAAGAGATAAAAGCCAATAATGAATTAGAGAAAAATATATATTTAAAGAACAAACCCAAGTAAGGACATTGGAAAGAGCAGGCTAGAAATATAAGGAAAAATCCAGGAAATTGTAATTCTTAAAGACCTAGGGAAGATAGATTTGACGAAAGAATGAAAAGTTTAGTACTACAAAGAGGTTAAGAAAATGTGATAGGATCCAAGTAAGAAAATGGTCCAATTCTTCATCCATCCCTATATCCATTGTCTTTGTAAAGTAATTTTGCAATTCCATCTGTAAAGAGGTGAAGCCTTTTTCCCTACTCCTTGTTGTTACTTGCTTCCACCAAATGCAGTGGAAATGATGATGTCCCAGTTGGTGTCTAAGACTCAAGAGACCATGCACACTTCCAGTCTTCCTTGGAGTCCTGTCATCACCATATGAACAGGCTTATATGGCTAGCATGCTGGATGAAAGAAGTGTAAACTGATCACTTCTGTTGCCCCAGCCAATAACCAACCAACTGTCCTCAACCAGCCAGTACCCAGACAACCAGTCAGTTGATCACATAGATAGGAGCAAGCCCTGCAGAGGTCAGCTCAGTAAGGCACTACTCAGAAGAACTCACAGTTGATAATTAACCTTGTAGCATGTTTATTTGAAGTCATGTTTTGGTGATGCTTATTATGTAGCAATATATAAATGATACAGGGAGGGTTGTTTTCAAGGGCAGGTTCAAATAAATGATGTAAGGTGTAAGGCAAGCTAATACATATAAATTCTTAAGGAATTACCAGAAATGGTCTTTACAATTTGGCATGTTTTTGCAGTGGCTGGTACTGGTTGTTCCTTTCCATGTTTAGTGCTTCCTTCAGGAGCTCTTTTAGGGCAGGCCTGGTGGTGACAAAATCTCTCAGCATTTGCTTGTCTGTAAAGGATTTTATTTCTCCTTCACTTATGGAGCTGATAATTTAGAGGAAAAAATGAGTTTAAGGGAGGTAGACTGGGTAAAGTCATTTCTCCTCAATAAAGGAGTGAAATCATGAATTAAATTAACTGATTTGCTGTCTTAAAAGTGCAAGTATTAATGAAAATTATTTAAAATGTAGTCAACTGGGGGATAAATAAAAGGATGGCCCAATAATCCTGAAAGCTCAGGTTAGTCTGGAAAGAAAAAAACAAACATTACAAAGAGAAAAAATTATATTGGGCCTGAGGATATAAAGCATGCGAAAGACAACCCTGAAAAAACAATTCTCTCTCTTTTTATATCGGGCTTAACATCAGGATTGTTAAATTGATGAGAAGGAATTGTGGGTTTTCTGTAGAGATGGCAAACTATCCCTATGTCTGCAAGATGCTGATCAGAGAGGGTGTACACTTACGCAAAGAAAGACTGGATTTTTATGAATCTCAGGATTTCCTCTTTCCTGGAGTAGGAAAAATCAGCTAAACTTAATAACTTTGCTTATAGCATAGTAACATCAACTCACAGTATTGTTGAGAAAATCAAATGAGATGCATGAACGTGAAGGTGCACTGAAAATCTACAACTCCATAAAAATGAAAAGGATTTGCTAAAGCTAAGGGAAGCAATATTTAAGATAACTTTTATTAAAACTGATTTTTAAATTATACCAGAAATAAGCCTTATCTTATTGATTCAAAATAACTGGTTCTATCTCAAGATGATCAAAGCAATTAATCTAAAACACTACTCTAAAGAGATTAAAATAATATCTGAGTGTTATATGTTATAAAATTTGTGGATATACTCTTTAATTGTAGGTATTCAACATTCACCAAAGAAAACTAAATTCAATTACTTCTAAGTCCACCAGACCTACATATCTTACTGCTTCTATCATGTACAATTTATATGAACTACTTTTCTTATTACTTTTTGTGCCAGTTGAAAGTAAGTCTTTCATAATGAGAATTATTTGCTCGATTGGTCTACGTGGATATTGATGAAGCATAAAGCCCAGCTGACACATAATTTTTGAACATGGATGTGTTCCTCCTGCTGTCTTAAGCAGGAAAAGAAATAAAATAGTTCGCCTTAACAGGTTGTAGTCTAGTATTATGGAGAACAGGTCTCAACGAACATACATATGATAAGAGATTGAAAATATTTTAAAATATCCATTATTTTATTAACAAAACAAGCAATCATTCATTTGTGAAATGTATGTTGAGCACCTGTCCTGGGAAAAGCATTGTGCTTAGTGCCAGTTAATATCCCAAAAATAGTCTGTCACTGCCTTGGAAAGCCCAGAAATAATTGAATGAAGGTAAACTGTATATAGATAGATAGATATTTAGATCCATATATATATATATATATATATATGTGTGTGTGTGTGTGTGTGTGTGTGTGTATACACTATTTATTTAAATCCAGCATAATTTACTGTTTTTTTGTTTAGTTTTGTTTTATAAAATGTCTTTTCAGATTCTGGCATAGGTTAATTAATTGGGATGATGAAAAGAAATAAGAAGGCTACACTTAAAGAGGCAATGGAGTCATAGTATAGGCATGCCGCTGTGAGACACTGCTTTTGAGCCTTTCTAGTTTACATGCACAAAACTCTTCCTCTATTTAATTCTCCTGATGTATACAAATTTTCACCAACTCATTTAATATTAGAGACAATGTAAAAGTGAAGATTCACAAATTCAACTCTAAATGAAAACATTACTTTTCTCTTCTTCCAAAAATGTATTTTGAAAGGAAAGAGATGAGTTTTTCTAGAGATGTGTCTAATTGTTTGGCAATAATCTGTGGTCCTTCAAAAATAGGACTAATTATCATCATGAAGGCAGGGAGGCTTAGATGGCAATTTGTAATTTTTAGCTGGTTTTTACTTGCAGCATTTTAAAGTTGTTGCAGCAGGAGGTAAAGTACAAAGTCATGTTTATTTGAATAAAAATATTTAAAATGCTATATTGTGAAATCACTAGAATTCAGAGGAAATGAATACATGTGTTTTCAGTTTTTATTATTTAAACTTTCCATGTATTTCACATCATGGTAATCTGTGGTTTGCTTCCTCTATGATCCTTTTAAATGTACCCATGACTTAGATTGTTATGTACTTACAGATATTGTCTAATACTACACTGACCAACATGGTAGCCACTAGCCAGATGTGGCTTTTAAGTATTTGAAATATAGCTAGTCTGAATTCAGGTGTGCTGTAAGTGCAAAATACACACAGGATTTAAAATACTTAGGAAGAAAAAGTAAAATATCACATTAACCATGTAATATTAATTACATGTTGAAATGATAACCTTTTGGGATATGGTGGATTAAATAAAATATATTAATATAATTAAGTTTTTCCATTTTACTTTCTTAATGTGGCTACAAGAATATTTAGAAATATACATGTGGGCTGCTTTATGTTTCCATTGAACAGTGCTTTCTAATAAGTACAGAATACATTGGGATTTTCTCCTCTTAAAACACCATTTTCTATTAACAGAGCTTTAGATTAAAATAGTTTTTTTAAAAAAAATCACACAGCGTAGGTATACATTGAACTTTTCATTTACTAAAACCATGAGCTCCATTTTAACAGAGCTGCTGATAAGCAGCCCAACACTGTCCTGCAGTTTACTTTATATACTAAAAATGTGTATATCCCACTTACTTGCAAAAGTATTTACAAAGATTGCCATAAATATAATTAAATGCAGCAGTTACCAAAATGTCAAATAGAAACAAAACAAGATAGAGGGAAAATAGGTATCATTATGAAATAAAATGTTTATTGTAATTGATCAGTCATTTAGTTCTTATAAGGAGAAAATGCAGCCATAAACATCATCTTGGTTTATGGTACAGTAAAACAAAAATTTGGATTCACCCATTATTGGAAACTGTAGTTCTTATAAAGTTTTCCATAAATTTTTATGTATAGTAGAAAAAAAATGGCAGAGATATCCTGGAGAGGTGATGAAAATCAGGATACCTGAAGAACATACTGCTGCTATATCTACTTATCTCACTGACATGTCTGCATGGTCTCCACAGAAGATTTTAATCTTTGATCTAAAATAATCATGATATGAAAAGTAGTAATAAAAATCCCCTTCATGCTGGATGTGGTGGCTCACGCCTGTAATCCCAGCACTTTGGGAGGTAGAGGCAGGAGGATTGTTTGAGCCCAGGAACTTGAAACCAGCCTGGGCAACCTAATAAGATCTTTTCTCCATAAAAAGAATTTTTAAAAAAAGAAAACAGAACCCCATTCATCAAATTCCAGAAATATTGGAAGAATCAGTGATGATAATTTGCAACAATATTACGAGCGATAAAAAAATAAAATATAGCAATTAAGTTAATACAAATTAATTAAAAATTAAAAATGGGCAATTAAAAATGTGCAGTTTTAAGGAAAATCTGAAGGATCCGTGAAATGTATCAGTATAAGAAATTTAAAAAATTATGTGCTGCTTTTCATCAAATCTGAAAAAGATAGAAAATTGTAGTGAGCAGAGGGAAGAAAAAAATGTGCTGGAAATGATGTAGGAGAAGTAGCTGAGAACCAGATCTGCCTTGTAAACTGTAAGAAGTTTTTATCTTACTCTAATGTGACATCAAGCCATTGGTTTTGAGCACTGGAAATACATAATGTAATTTCACATTCTAAAACATCAATCTGACTGCTCTGTGGCAAATAAGCAGCAGAGGACCAAGGGAAAAAATCAAGATAATGCTTTTAGACATAGACATGGAGATATATCCTGCTACTTGGATACAGGAGTTTGAGGCTCAGGAATAGATAAGGGTAGATAAGCAAATTTGTGCATCAGCACATAGAGGGTAGGATAAATCTGGGGAGTAAATATAAATGTAAAAGAGAAGGGGCCCTGAACTTCCAAATATTTTCATTTTGTCTAGAGATGCCAAAGCCCGAAAAGTTAGAAGGTACGTCTCGTGAGATAGAACAAAACTAGGAGTGTGATACTTCGTGAATGTCAAGATCCTACAAGAGGAATGGGGGATTATCAAGTGTGTCAGATACTGTGGAGAGGCTGAGTAAGAAGAGAACATAGAAGCAACCATGATATGTCATCGCAGGGGTCGTTGGTGACATTGACAAAAAATGATCTCAGTGGTTCAGGTGAAAAGAAAGATTGGAAAGTGTGACAATGGACCCTGGATGCCACAATTATGAACAACTTTTTAAAGACTTTTCTTTAAAATGACCACCTAAGCAACAACAACAACAACAACAACAAAATATCATTTTGTGAGTGGATAGTCAAGGGAAACTTACTTTTGTTTTGTTTTTTAAATGATGAGAATGATACAATGGAGAGGGGCAGATTGATGATCTTGAAGGAAGAGCTCATGAATAGAAGACTAAAGTTCTCCAAAAGAGGACATTGGAAAAAGAGCATGGAAACCTGTGTATGGAGTGGATTGGGCTTAGGAGGAAGCAGGGACATTTCAGTCTTTGACCTAAAAAGGAGAGCAGGTAGTATGTAACGAGATACAAGTGGGAAGGCAGATTTATTGGAGGGACTCTGAAGGTCTTCATTTCTTCCCCTATTTTCTTGACAAAGTGTGAAGAAAAAAATCATCAGCTGAGATGGAAGGAAGTGGTTTCTCTCATTACAAAAACAATGAAGTCATTGACTTTAATAAAGAGCAGAGGTCTGACTGTTTTTAAGGTCGAACACTACATTTTCCTTCCAAGTAAACTTGAAACTGTATACATGATTCTAAATGATTGAAGGATTATCTTCAACCCAGATGCTTGATAGTTTTGTGTCACTTCCTACTGTAGGATTTACGGTGGTTTGTGGAAGCAGGAATATACACCAAGTGACTTCACTCACACTTTTCTTATTTTTTGAATCATTGGTATTCATAGCAAATTTGGAGAACAGTCAAGAGATAGTTCATATAAAGGTAGGCTGAGGTTTAAAATAAAAGAGGTTAATATTTATGTTTTCCTGAAACAATGTTTATGTACAAATTGAACAAAGAATCTATTTCTGTTCTTAGACATAAAAGATTTTTTTAAAAGTTACAACTAGAATAGGCTAGATTCTTGGCATCTATTTTATTTCCTTGCAACTACAGAAAATCTGATTTCCAAAGACAAAGATGAACATTGGTACTTGAACTGTGATGATTATATCTTAATGCATTTATTTTTAAGGATAGTTTCACTTTGATATGACAATTTCAGACTGAATTACGAGCCTATGTACTAGAATGGTCATTTCTTACCTGCTGGAAATTAAAGCAGTATTAAATTCTTGTCTTGAGGACACTGATCATTCTTTAAACATCAGTGCTATCTGAGGAAAACTACAAATAGTACTGTAAAAAAACAAAAAGCTAAATGTTATTATCTTTTGCAATATCTCATATTGTTCAATTTGGTACATTGGTATTAAAGATCTGTTCTTGGCCGGGCACGGTGGCTCACGCCTGTAATCCCAGCACTTTGGGAGGCTGAGGCAGGCGGATTGCCTGAGCTCAGGAGTTCTCAACCAGCCTGGGCAACACGGTGAAATCCTGTCTCTACTAAAATGCAAAAAATTAGTCGGGGGTGGCAGCACGTGCCTGTATTCTCAGCTACTCGGGAGGCTGAGGCAGGAGAATCACTTGAACCCAGGAGGTGGAGGTTGCAGTGAGCTGAGATTGAGCCACTGCACTCCAGCCTGGGCGACAGAGTGAGACTCAGTCTTAAAAAAAAAAAAAAAATCTGTTCTTTATTATTTGTTGACTACATAAAATTTTTAGATGTGCAATTTAACTGTGTTTTGGTTCAATCCCTTTGGAACTTCATAATGTTGAGGGCTTTCTTAAAAGGTATTCCTATAATAAATTTATAATATGTCCAATTTGGATGAGACAACTGATCCCTGGAAATCTGTGGAGGTTACTAGGTGTAATGTGATAAATCTTGGCCTCTAGAGTTAGGCAACTTTGAATTCCAGTTCTGCTGTCTTCACTTACTTGATTGGCAATCGTGGGTAAATCACTTTGCCTCTCTTAAAATAAGTTTTCTCATGTGCAATATGGGGAAAGTGGGGAAAATAATACCACCTCTAGAGTTGTGAGGATAAATTGAGGAAGTGAATATTAAACTCTTCTGCAAAGTATCAAACATGCCTTTTCAGTGGCAGCAAGTGCAGTACCATATGTGGAAAGCATGCAGCTTTTTCACAGGGTAGGAGTCGTTCTCAGATATTTAATTTCCTCACCTCTCTTGTTGGACTTTTCATTTTTGATTATTAAAAGCAAATTTTTTGTAAGGTGTTGCAATTTACATTTTATTTCCTAGTATTGCATGAGTGTGTATTTTATCTATCTATCTATCTATCTATCTATGCTAGATATGAACCATAATAGTAAAATTGACACCTGTGAATTTATCACCCAATTAATAAACTGGGATATAGCAAACACTGCTTCATCAGCTAGGTGTCTGTTGCTATTCCATCTGGTATTGTTTGAATATTTGTCCCCCACCACAATTTATTTCAAAACTTAATTCTCAATGCAGCAGTATTGAGAGGTGGCCCTTCTAAGCGGTGATTGAATTATGAGGGCTTTGTCCTCATGGATAGGTTATTCATAGGTTAATGGGTTAATGAATGAATGGGTTATTATGAAAGGAGACCTGGTGGCTTTATAAGAAAAAAGAGACCTGAATTAGCACATGAGCACGCTCAGCATCTTTCCCATGTGATACCCTGAGACACCTGGGGACTCTTCAGAGAGATCCCAGCAGCAAGAAAGCTCTCACTATATGCACTCCTTTATGGTCTTGCCTGCCTCCAGACGAGAACTGTAATAAATAAATTCCTTTTAAAATTACTCAGTTTCAGGTATTATGTTACAAAGAACAGAAAATGAACTAATACACCATCTTTCTGCCTCATGGTCGGGGGTGTCTTAATTTGAAGTTTGAATTTATCATTCTCCCTTTAAAAATAAGCTTTCATCATATATAAAAGTTTCCCTAAAATACTTTATTTTGCTTTTGTGAAATGTATACAAACAATATTTTATTCTTGAATATTTTACATTATTTTTGCTCAATATATTTCTAAAATGTGTCCATGAGTTTGCATGTTTTGTGTTTATTGTTACTGTTATAAGATATTCCATTATGTAAATATAATAAAATCTGGTAGCTTTTTGTGGCTTATTTTCAGCTGTTTGTCTACTGGGAACTCTGCTGTATCTTGTACTATTCAGAACAATTAGTACAAGTTTACCTCAAAAACATATAATTACAGGGTTTGTGGTTTCAATTTTATAAGATCGTGTTATATTGTATTTCAAAATGATCATACCATTTCACTTGATTGTTATGTAAGATTTCTTGGTAATCTGTAAGCTTACCATCTTTTTTTTGAGACGGTCTCACTCTATCATCCAGGCTGGAGTTGCAGTGGCTCACTGTAGCCTTGAACTCCTGGACTCAAGTGATCCTCTTGCCTCAGCCTCCCAAGTTGCTGGGACTACAGGTGCACACCACTGGGTCCAGCTATTTTTTTTTTTTTTTTTTTTTTTGGTCACCATGGGGTCTTGCTATGAGGCTGATCTCAAACTCCTGGCCTCAAGAGATCCTCTCATCTCCAGCTCCCAAAGTTCTAGAAACTTACCATCACTTAAAATATATACTTAATTGGTTGATCACCAATCTCCAATCTATCTATCCCTCTATCCATCAATTCATCTTATTTTCAATTGCTCTGACTAAATTGAGGATATCAGTACTTTTTGACACCAGATACTTCAGATTAATATTTGAGTTCAATATGTATTTAAGTAAGCTTTTCTAGGTAAAAATTTGCAGTGAATGCACAAACCATATGTGTACCATTTCATGAGTTTTAATATATGCATACACCTGTTGCACGACTCAAATGGCTGTCAACTTACAGAACATCACCATCCTTCCAGAAAGTTCTCTAATGCCTCCCCCCATGTCAATTTGTGCACCATTCCATGAGGCAGCCAATGTTCTAATTTTTTCACCATGGATTAACTTTCATGTAGATAAAATATTTTGTGTAAGTCTCTTTTTGGGCCTTTTTTAAGGTATAAATTACAGAATTAACTTGTCAGTTTCTAAAAATATTTAACTTTGATTCATATATTGAATCTATATATAAATTTGTAGATCTCATAGTCCATGAGAGTGATCTATCCTTTGAGACATTTTAAATATATTTCAATAAAATTTTATATTTTTTACATAGCATTTACATATGTTTTCTTAGAAATTTCTTAAGTGCTTTACATTTGATAGCAATGATACATGATAGATATGATGATGATGATGATGAATGATGATTACTATATTCTGTGTTTCCTACTGGTGCACAGAATTTAATTTTATTGTAGTATATTGATGCCATGTATTCAGGCATATTGTTAAACTTATTATTTCTACACTTTTTTCTGTAATGCTTTTGATGTTTCAAAGTAGTAATTACAGCATCTGTGAATAATAATTTTTATATTGTTTACAATTCTAATAATCTTATTTTTTCCCTTTCTTTACCATGGTAAGACTTCCAAAAGCATGTGAAATAGAAGCAATTATAATGTACATCTTTACCATATTTTGTTTTTAAAAGGTCTGTTTTTAGGAAGATAACACTTTTTCTAGCTCTTTTTCATTTTTGCTAGTTTACACTTTGTGAAAACTTTCATAATGAATGTATTGAATTTTATTTTCTATAAAGATTGAGATGATCATACAGTATTCTCCTTTAATTTGCCAAGAAGCTAAAAAACCCACACATATTAAACCGCCCTTGTATTACTGGATTGACCTGGATTGATCATGGTGTACTATATTTCCTATGTAATGAATTTAGCTCTCTAAAACCTTGACATTTGCATCTATGCTCATGAGTAAGCTTGGCTTGTAGTCTATTACTTAAATGAAATTTATCATTTTATATTAAAATCTGCTTTTACTTTCTCACACTCCCTTCATACTCCACTTAAACTGCTCCCCTAATTTCAGTTAGTTTATACTTGCCAGCACTTCAGAGTTAAATAAATAATCCTTCGATTTTATCGATTTAACCCATCATAATGGATTTGGATTCTTTTCAGTTAGTTTGACCTTTTTCTTAGAAATAATGGCATTTTGTGGATACTGACGAAACCTAGAATAGACAAAGGCAAAGCTTTCTCATTTACTTGGGGAATTTTAGCAAATTTGATATAGGACCTATAAGACATTGGAGGACTCTATAGGAAACACAACTTGGCTCCTTACCCAATTTCAACACAGGTACTGTTTGACTAAGATTTGTTTAAATACAACACAAAAACAAACAACACTTTTTCTATAATTTATAGTAGGGTAAGAGGTTTATATGTTCATCTTTTCTAATGTCTTATTTTTATTCAGGTGTCTGAGGCCAACAGAATGGCTAAGATGCATTCTGGTGTTTCTAATTATATCTCTGTTCTATCACAACTATTATTTTTGCTAGGAATATAATTTTACTCCTCTTCCCTGCCCCCAAATTAAATATATTAACTTTAATTTTGCTTTGTTAGTTGTGAAAAAGAATGATAGGAAACATTTTTCTTTATGATTCCTGACTATTGACTCTTTCCTCCACTGCATTATTTTTTTCATTAAGATTATTTGAGGGTAGTAAAATAGTGCTATATATATATATAGTGTATATATGTATTACTGACAAACTAATAAATAAAAATTTTATTTTTTATCAATCCATGCATTTTCATTGCAGGATTGACTATGAAATAGGAAGCCACTTATATTTCTAAGGAGAATTTTGCCTCATAATTACCAGTCATGAAAATATTACTTCTATTATATAGATAACTATACCAATTTTAAAGGTTCATTTTAGAAGGCATTATTAATTGCCATTAGTGTTTAGCTGACTTCTGTTAAAAATGAAGATTATAAATTTCATTTAAGCTTTCATAATTCTGACAGATTTTCTGAAATAATGTTCTGTTTTTCCCACAAAATTAGTCCTGGGTTTCCTTACCTTGGTGATATTTCAGTAGCATTGCTTCAGCATTGTTATAGATAGGTATATGTCATTGCAATATTATTTGTTTGTTTTGTTTCCATGTGAAACTTTACTGTCTCTATGAAAAAAAAAAAAAACTATAAAATTCAGGACAAAATCTTGTCTTCTTTTTTTTATTATTCCAAACTCCTCATACTATACATGTGACTTATAGGAATTAAAGTGTGAACTCAATATATTGTGTCTGTGCGGTTAAATTTTCTACTATGAAAGTTAAATCTGGTAATCAGTTAAATATAATTATTTCATCAATGTGCCAGGTACTGTGTTAGGTATTAGGAGTGTTGCTATCAATAAACCAACCAGTTGCTACTAGTAATATATTTACAAAATGTGTTTGTATTCGTTTCTTCTTCCTGCTGTAACAAATTACCACCGACGTGGTCACTTAAAATAACACAAATTTATCTTACAGTTCTTGATGTTGCGAGTATGAAATTGGTCTCAATGGACTAAAATAGAGGGAATGGCAGGAATATGTTTTTTCTGAAGGCTCTAGGGCAGGGGTCCCCAACTCTGGCCACTGATAGGTACAGATCTGTGGCCTGTTAGGAACCTGGCCGCATACAAGAAGTGAGTGGCAGGCCAGCCAGCATTACTGCCTGAGCTCTAGCTCCTGTCAGATCAGTGGCGGCATTAGATTCTCAAAGGAGCACGAACCCTATTGTGAACTGCACATGTGAGGTATCTAGGATGCACACTCCTTATAATAATCTAAGTAATGGCTGATGATCTGAGGTGGAAACGTTTCTACCAGAAACCGTCCCCCCATCCCCCATTTGTGGAAAAATTGTCTTCCATGAATCTTGCCCCTGGTGCCAAAAAGTCTGGAGACTGCTGCTGCAGGGAATAATTTATTTCTTTGACTTTTCCAGCATCCAGAGGCAGCTCAGTTTCTTGGATCATGGTGATGATCCAAGAGCTCAATAGCAGCTCAATAGCTAGTGGAGTCATTCTTATGCTGTAGCACTTTGACGTTGATTCTCCTGCTTTTCTCTTTCACATATATAAGGACCCTTGATTTTACATTGAGTCAGAATAATCTCCTTAGTTATTACCAGAATAAGGTCCTTATTTTAAGGTCATCTGATTAGTAACCTAATTCCAGCTGCAGCCTTAATTTCCCCTTGCTATGTAACATAATGTATTTATAGGTTCCAGGGATTAAAATATGGACATCTGCAGGGGTCCATTATTCTGCCTACCATCGTACTCAATTCTAAGCACTATACCAAGTTTCAGAGCTTTAAAATAAAGAACTGAAAGTATTACCTATACATTTTTTTGTCTAAAATTTTTTTTCACTTACTCATTACATAAAAGTGTTGAAAACTGATTTTGGTTTATTTGGATAGTTACATAGTTCTGTTGATTTTGCAAAAGTTAAAATAACACAGATTTAAACTCTTAGGCAAACATAAGAGTTCCAGTTTTAGAATTGTGTTAATTTTAGAAACAAAGGACAGAAAGAGATGTTTATGAATATTAATTAAGTAGGTTCTAAAATGAATTATAAGTGAATACAATTTCAGAACCTAATGATTCAGCTTCTGTGTATGACATATTAAAAATGACAGCAAGGTTTGACACTACTATGTTTACTTTAATTCTTTATGACCTTATTTATTTAACTTTTCAGGGGCAACAGAAAGAATTAGGTATGTGAATTTTTAACTTGAAGGTTTCTGACTCCAACTCTGTCAAGACCGCCTGACCTTTCAGCTTGAAGTGATTTGATTTGGTCGGCAGACATGATGGTCATTGTTTCATGTATAAACAAAAGTCATTTTTTTGGTCTTTCAAGCTAGATTTTAAATTTATTGATATGATAAAAATAGAATTAGATTGAATATCATGAAATGATTAACATTATATTTGTGTTGTGATAAAAACTATCATTTTCATTGATGCTTAGCCAAGATAGCTTGCAACATGAGTTCCCCAAAGGTCTTAGGATTTCCATGTTGTTTGTCTTCAATATCTCTGAATATATTTTGCGTAACTCATTGGTTTGGGGGACGTCTTACATGAGATGTGAATGCATAAAGGCATAGGTCAATGACTTATGATACGTAAAAGAGTTTTTATTTTATGTTGGACATAAATTTGGAGCAAGAGTAATTATAGTAAAAGGTTACTGTTTAAATTCTTAAGCAAATAAGGAAGCTTTAGAACATCAGGATTTCACATGCTTCTTAAAGCTATATTTGTTGCCATTGCTGCTATTTCTGATATGACACTAAATTGACATTTGTCACTTCTTCCTATATCATGAAATTTTAGGTAGCCTCTTTTAATTGAAATTGCATGGCTAACTACTGAATCTCAAACACCTGTTACTATATAGATTTTGTGTACTCAATTAACATTTGATTACTGAGAGACAACTCTTTATCTGTTTTGAAATGGATGTATTTGGTCATCATATTAAACCTCCATCTTATGTGTTTAATCCAAACATTGCAAAGAGGTTAAAAAGCCCAAGATTTTATTATGTTGTGCTTTAATTGCATAAATGGATTTTTACATTTTATTTTTTTGGAGAAGGAGTTTCACTCTTGTCACCCAGGCTGGAGTGCAATGGCGTGATCTCAGCTCACTGCAACCTCTGCCTCCCGGGGTTCAAGCAATTCTCCTGCCTCAGCCTCCTGAGTAGCTAGGATTACAAGCATGTGCCACCACTCCCAGCTAATTTTTTGTATCTTTAGTAGATATGGGTTTTCACCATGTTGGCTAGGCTGGTCTCAAACTCCTGACCTCAAGTGATCTGCCCTACTGGGCCCCCCAAAGTGCTTGGATTACAGGTGTGAGCTACCGCACCTGGCCTACGTTTTAATTTTTATGTTAGTTTTAATTTTGTTTTGCTTAACATTTGGATTCTTTGGTCACTGAGGATTTAGAGAGGATTAAAAACTAAACTTGAATTTGAATGTAGCTCCAGATTTTTAAAATTTTTGATTTTTTAATTTCCTTGGATAAATAGAAAACAATAACATCTATCTTTCTAAATGGTAAAGATTAAAAGATATAACATTAACACAGTGTCTTATTTGTACTGTACTTATTTGACTGTACTTTTATGCATGAGCATTTTTTTTACTAACACAGGATCAGTGGGGTATTTGAGGGCTAAAAAAAGAGGTTATAAGGAGAGTTTTACTCTTTTCATATTATTATACCTCAATTAGTATACCTTCATCTTAGGTGACTTGTTAAAGAAGGAAATTTAGAAGAGAAAAATCTTATATACCTCAAGGAGTATTGGTAAAGAATTACTGAAAATTAAGCCATATGTTTGCAAATCCTATCAGAAAGCCCATAAGCATATGTTTTTCAGTTCTTGTTTTTATGAAATTTAAACACCTTAAGTTCAGGAAACATTTTATTATTACGTATTTCTAAGTACCTCAGGCTATTCTTTATCCTCTTAAAAATTAATAATCTGATTGAAAATGTTGTGTTACCCTTTTCAACAAGCATTTGAAAATTCTTTGAAAATGAAAGACTTATGAACAAACAAATGAAAGGTTTATGAGAATAAAGATGACTATGATGACGATGATGATGGTGGTGGTGGTGATGATTATGATTATGAAGAAGACAATGATAAGATAAAAAGAATTTAGTGTTCACTGTTTGGTGTTACTGTGGTAGACACTCAGATGAAGAAGGTGCCATTATTATTTCCAGAAGAATAAAACTTAAGAATATAATACTTGAAGACAGATAACAATAAGGGATCTTGTTTGGTGAGGTTTAGAGGAAAGAAAAGGCATCTTCTGGTAGAGAAAGAGGACCTGAAATTTTAAAGAAGGTATCCAACCAGATGATTTTTCAGGTGAAAGGCTATATATTTGTTTTGTTTTTTGTTTTTTTTTGGTGGAGTCTCACTCTGTTACTCAGGCTGGAGTGCAGTGGAGTGATCTCGGCTCACTGCAATCTCTGCCTCCCGGGTTCAAACGATTCTCCTGCCTCGGCCTCCCTAGTAGATTGGACTATAGGCGCATGCCACCACGCCTGGCTAGTTTTTTGTATTTTTAGTGGAGACAGGGTTTTAAAAATATCTTTGTATTTTTTATACACATTTGTCCATGTCATTTGTGGTTATTTCAGGGAAAATCCAGAGCATATGTGCCCCTTTTAAGTTTATGTATCTTTGTAGACACTTTCTCAACTGACTTGTATACAATTTTATATTCTATTATAAACGCCGTTGTTCTTTGCACAAAAGACGTGCTAACAAGAGCTTTGATTTCTCAAATGAACCCAAACATTTCTAATTAAATGAGTGTATAGCATCGTTTAGAGAAAAATTCCTAAGGCTTCCAATAAAATTAGTAAGTAGTACATGTCTACAATAATAGACTTTGGTAACATTAATATTTGAATGGAAGGCTACTTTTGTGAACTAAATAAGAAAGTCTTGCAGAATTCTTGTGCTTCAATTTTTTAATACTATTTTCAGTGGTTTGTTAAACTTAATGATTAAGACAATTCTTTTCATAGCTATGAAGAAGAAGTCAGGAACAAAGTTTGCCTCTAATTTAAAGTAGTTGGTTTGTGCTGCTTTTAAATACTTTAGCTGATTCCCTAGTTGCTTCAGTACATATATCTCATTTACCCAATTAACAATAAGATTATTGAGGACAGAGACCTTTTTTAAAAAAGAAAAAATTAGCCATGTCGCTGCCTAATATCTTACAAATGAGATATGATAATAAACTGAATTTTGTTTATACACACAATGTTAAATGGATGCAAAAGAATCCTCAGCATATATGTACCCTTCTATTTATGTTAATTCTCTGTCACTGAAGCATAATTCACAATTCATCACAACTCATTTTATATAACATTTGGTCAGAAAAATCTCAGAAATGGCTGTATTATAGAAGGCCTAAAAGGAAAGTTTTTAGCGTGTTATAAACTATATAAATATTTTGAACTCAAAAGTATGGAAATTAGATACAAATAGAGTGCTACAAGTGAGAACAAAACTTGGTACAGAGTGAATGCATTCCAAATAAAAAAGAAGTAAAAGGTCAAGACATAGAAAATAAGAGTAGAATATGGGAGCACTTCTTATTTTTTGTTTGTTTTTCATAACTAGCAAATAACTCATTGTTTTTACCTTTGACAGTAACATTTGTACATAAAGGCCATTTTCATTAACCTTAGGTTTATAATTTCCAGGCTCCTCGCCCAAAGGCATTGCTGTTATTTACAATTTTTCTTAGTCCTATGCAAAACGAAACAACCATCAGTGTAAGGCTAATATATGTTAAGTGCCTCAGGCACATTTCAATTAAGTATTAACACAGATTGGAAAATTTCCAAAACATTTAGTGAATATTACTTTCAATCATTTTCATTAAAATTAATAGCAAGTGTTAAATACTAATATACCAGGGAGCTGGGGGAATTGAATTCTTAGCATTTAAAGGACTGCTTGTACTAACGTAGAAGAAATTTTACTACAATTCGGCCACATATTACCTAGTACTGTTTCTGTATTTTGTGTGGATAGAAGGATGGGAGTTATGTGTAAATTAATTTTAATACTTTTACATTGTGACTTCAAAATTGGATGAGTATATTTACTAGATACCAAAAATAAAGGGCTGCCATATGAATAAACTTAAAACCTCAAACTGTACGCATCCATCATTTACCAAATGTTCCGGAGGTACTTAGACATGTTTGAGAAACTAGTTTATAGAAATAAGACAAAGAACTGTCCGAAGTAGAGATTACTATGCCAATATACAAATACTAAAATCGTTATAAGAGAAATCAGTGACTCAAAATTGTGTCTATGAAAAATTGTAAGTAGAAATAAGAAATAGAATGAAATAAAATATGTTGCTGAAATATCAAAATAAGAAATCATAATGGTCAAAATTCACCTCTCAAAATAGTATTATATAGAATATGACCTTTAAAATGAAATGAAAATCACTGGCTTTCCTCACTTAATAACTCTTTATCTTCTTAACAATAAAAAGGTCTCTATCTGTAAACCAATTTACAATGTTTTTGGTACTATTAACAGCATTTTTTAAATGTGGTATTTTATCAGTTTCGGTCTATGATGTACATACATACATATATGTGCATGGATATATATATATGCATATAACATAATATATACACATTATTTCCACTTTTAGTGATTTTTTAAATCTTTTAAAGATATTACACATGAACACTGATTTTTCTTCATTTCAAGTCAATGTCATATAAACTCCATAAAATGGAATATGAACAAGTTAAGGACTTGTTAGTTTGCTTCTGTAACAGAAGCACCATTTTTGATGTTAGTAAGTTTTGTTTTAAAGTTTGACTACTTGTTCTAAGTTTCCTTCAAATGTAAGAGAAGTAAAATGATATTATACAAGGCCATAAAAGACCATAAACATAAAACTCTTTTCTTTGCCATAGGAGTGGCCTTTCAATTGTCAATTTGCTAGATGCCCACCTTTGCAAAAAGCCACTGAATGCGATTGTCACTCTAAGAGGGTGGGATCCTACAGCCAGAAGAATAATTAGCTGAGAAAAAGTGGGAAGGATAATTGTCTCATACTCCTTGAGTTAGGTGTGGTGGTCAAGGTGAGGCATCATTGGCCATGAGTCCAGAGTCCAGAGTCCAGAGTGGGAACTGACTGCTGCTTTGTGGAATTAGAAGGGTTGGCAAGACCACGAAGTAGCTTAGTAACTTGGATAGCCATTGAAGGACTAAAGGTGAGGGCTCTGAGACAGCTCCTTAGGAGAGAGTGGCTATGAGAGAACAGTCATGAGAAACTACCAAAAAATATGGCACAAGAATATAATTCAAGTTTATGTTTCCCACGGATTAACATTGCTTGTGAGTACCAAAATACACGTGGTACAAATAGGAGGGATTCAGACTGAAAATGTTATTTCCCATCTCTGGGATAACTTCTTTCTCATCCCCTTTGTCTACCCTGGAAACTCTTTGTTTTTAAAATCTGATATTTAAATCTGAAGTAAAATGTTTTGCTTTAACGTTTTTCATTCCCAATTTTAAACTAGAGTCATTCCTTCCTTTGGCTTCCATAGACTTCACACACACACACACACACAAACACACACACACACACTCTCTCTCTCTCTCACCCATACCTCTCTGTCTCTGTCTCCTTTTAACCATAGATTAAGCATCTCAAGGAAAGGGTCTGTATTTAATTTAACTTTATATGTTTGGCTCCTAGAACACGGACTGACACATAACAGGTGCTCAAATGTATTTAATGAACAAATTAACAATTTTAACCTTGTAGACAAATAGAGTAAGATAAAGGGTAACACATTCAGTACAATATCAGGAGTTTTTATGGCAAATGCTTCCCACACAATTTTAAAAGCTTCTGGATTCACTGTATTTCAAGGAGTATTATTACAAACAGAAAAAAGATGATTGACTCATATGAGGCCAAGTGGGGAACACATAGAATTGGTATTTTCCTACATTTATTACTATTTTACTAACATTTAGTTGGAAGGAGTTGGTAAAGGCATACAAATTGCACTTGTGCTAATATAATGCAATTAGTTATAAATTCATATAAGTTATAGTTTGGTAAATTATTATAAAACTCTTCCATAGTAGTTTGGTTATTCTAAATTAAATTGTTTCCACTGCTCCAAATTGAGAAAGTCATATTTTTAGGCTTGTCGTGGTGCCTGTAATCTCAGCACTCTGAGAGGCCGAGGCGAGTGGATATCTTGAGGTCAGGAGTTTGAGACCAGCCTGGCCAACATGGTGAAACCTGTCTCTACTCAAAATACAAAAATTAGCTTGGTGTGATGGTGAGTGCCTGTAATCCCAGCTACTCCAGAGGCTGAGGCCAGAGAATCATTTTAACCCAGGAAGTGGAGGTTGCTGTGAGCCAAGATTGTGCCATTGCACTCCAGCCTGGGTGACAAGAGCAAAACTCTATCTCAAGAAAAAAAAAAAAAAAAAGAAAAAGAAAAAAATTATGTTTTTAGAACCATTTATCTGATTATAAACCTTATCTCTTGATAAACTCTAGAGTAACTGAGTCTGCCAACATGATTCATTTCCCTATGGATTACTGAAGAGAGGTAGTTTCCAATTGGATTGTTTCCAGAGACTCATATCCTATGACATGTTGTATATGTTTTTTTTAAATATTTAAAATGGAGAAACAATGTAAGTTTGCAATACTAGAAGGTTATTAGTAAATAAATAGTATAGTATAGTATCAGTTAAATATCATAGTAAAAGTTAAATATCTTCCATCTGAGGTTGTATATTGATGACAGGTTAAGTAAAACTATTCGTCTTTATATAAATAGACAGTGAGAGCTTGGCCATTGTTGTTTTTTTCTATTCTTGTCTCTATTTGATCTCCCTAAGGCTTTGGCCACTATTTCAATGAAAACTGTTTGCTATGTTATATTAGGCAATTTTTACTGATAAATAGAAAACCCCTGTAATATTTCTTTTTCTTGAAACTAGCATCAAATTGTCAACTTCTTTCTAGTGACCTTCAAAGTATAATGTTAATACATCATTACTAATCTATATTGGAGTTGAACTTGTAACCTTTAGATCAATAATTGTATATTAGAAATCTATATTTACAATTCCTGTATCTTAGTAGAACACTTACCTCTTGGGTTATCTGTGAGTAGACATGGGGAATTCATATGAACATAGCTGTAGGTGGTTAAATCTTTAGGGAAAAAATTATAAGCAATTCAATTATTTTAAGATTGATGATGCCCACAAGAAAATGTGACACACATATTGCACAGAAATGGTCTCTAGCTCTTTATTGAGTAATTATGGTGTATGACCCATCAGCAGCTAACTCTTCATTTGAAATTTTATTTTTACATTTGATTCTTTTTAATCTAAATAAACTAGGTAAACACCTATAGTCCTTGTGGAAAAGGATTATCTATAGTCCACTTAGCAATATTTTGGATTAGTAATGGCTTAAAAATTGAAAATACAAAGTAGATAACATAGCCTTAAGTTCCTTTTGCCTTTATAAGTAAAACCTAACTACTACGTGAATAAGCTGCTGTAGAAGGACATATCAAAATGCCATAATAATCTCTTCCACACTTCTGGTATATTTTGGGAAACTCAAGCCCACCAATTTCAAAAAAAATCTACCAGAAAAACAATTTCAATTCTCTGCCTCTCTAACCTCTTCACTAGATTATTATGTATTGTGTTACAGATGCACAGAACACTTCCTGGAAGTTAGTAAGCATTGCATAAATAGATGTTGAAGAAACTGCAAAAAAGGATCCATTAGATCTGAAAATAAGAGGCCATTAGTGACCATTACTAGAATATTTTATTATGAGAGTAAAAACGCAGGGTTGCAGTGGGGTAATGAGTGTATGGGAAATGAGAAGTCATTCTGATTTTATAGGGTTTTGCTATATATCTCCAGAATAAGCTTTCCCACAGGCTTTGAGTTTCTGAGTCCTATGCAAGGTCATCATAGTGGCTTCTCCTTTATCCTGCTGACTTATTACCTCTATGTTAAATGACAGATCCGGAAACACTTTCCAAACATGCCTCTGGTGATGTCTCCCAAATAGGGAAACAGCTATTCTCACTGGTAATACCTCCTACATACCTGTACTACCTCATTCTTTCTCCAGTGTTTACTCCTCTTTCCAATCTGCAAGGAAATGACTTTCTGTTATGGTGTTGAGCTCCTTTGAAAGGGTGTACAACATTAGAAGGCCAGTGCCGCTAGTTACACAGGTCTTTAAGTTGTATCACATATCTCTCTTCTTCCTAGGATGTCTAGGTGTTCCCTGGGGACTGAGTTGGAGAGCTTTCAAATATTGCTCATACTTTACCTAGAATCCACTCCTCTCCAGTACCTCCAAGGCTGGGCAGCTGTGACTGGCTCATTACACAAGTGTACTTCCCAACTTAGCCAGAGTTTTCCTTGGGGACCCAGTGCTCTTTCCTATGATCTGACTTCTTTTAGGAGACACTACATATCAAATATGTATAAACTTCATCCAGTTTATCGTGTATATATATATATATGTATGCATTTTTTTTTCTCATGAGACTCCTGGTCACTGAACAAAATCCTTTTTGCTTTTTTTCCTGTTAGGTGTCCTTGAGCATTATACTAATTTCAGAATCACCATCTGCCTGGAGCACAGAGAAGGCCACTATAGAGTTGTCACATAATAATAACCCTTTCTTCAATCAGTCATGTGTCTCAGCATTGATCCATGCAAGACTCCCTCTTGGACTTTAATATATTTGCTTGTAATGTACCTCTTCGGCAAAGAATTTTAGCTAGCTTGTAATAAAAGACATATTTAATAAACTAGTAAAATATGTGACATCAGAACCAAGTAAAGAGATTTCAAAGTAGGTCAACACAAGAAATGCTATTCATATTTTTCTCTAAGCTTTCAGGAAGCCAGAATCAAAGGGAAGCAAAACTAATTTAAATTATTAGAAAGTAGAAATACTAACTACACTTTAGGATAAACAGATATATAAATAATTATAAACTCAATTGTATATAGGATGCTCTGGGTGACAAAAATTCTCAACAAGATGTTTACACAATATAACAATTTATTGAGATGCTTAAGAAGCACATTGGTCTAAGTTTTTTTTAGAATTGTTTAGCATTATTGTAAATTCAGAAATATTGTTTTGCCAAAATTAACTAGCCTATAAAGGTTTTATAGCTCCTCATCATTATGTGATACATTGGTTAATTTAAATTAAATAAATATTTCCAGGATGCTTATTACTAGTTTAGAACTCTGTTATATGCTATGAAACCGGGTAAACAGCTTAAGTTGGGGATTTAGCATATATGGAGGTTTCAACTTTATTTAATATTACGTTCTCGGTAATAGAAAGGAACATTTGTGTATTCTTTTTTTGACTAGGGATTAGTGGTGTAGGCAATGAAGAGTTAGTTCAAAATTTTATTTTTTGTATTTTGAAGGTTTGATTACTGTAAGATTGAAGTAAGAAAAAAAATAATCAAGAATGGTGCCATGATTTTGGCCTTAGCCCCTGGAAGAATACTAGTGCCATCTACTGAGATTGGGAAAGTGGCTGGAAAAATCACAAACATCTCTTTTGGACAGTTAAATTAGAAATGCCTGGTAGACATGCACATCGTAAACTTTGTAGTATTTGATGATGTCTAGTGCCTAATCACTTCAAAAGCTATTCTTTTCTTGACTTCTTCTTTTCCTTCTCTAATTATTGTTTCTCAGTATTTTTTTCTCCTCATCACTAAAATGCTGCTTTTCTCTTATTTTCCTATGTTCTCACAATACAAGATTTCAACAACTGTCTATATGGTAATGGCTCCAAAATCTGTCTGTTTAGCGTAGACCTCTCTCTGGAATTCTAGAGACCTATTGATTCAAGTGAACCTCATCCTACACATGCCTCAAATTCTACTCACCAACTTTTCCCCTATCCTTGTTCCTCTTTTCTCAGTGAATAGTATGTAACATTTATTGAGAGTTAACTGTGTATCATGCAATCTACTATGCACTTAATTATTTATTCCTCTCAACAACTTACTGAAGTAGGCATTATCCCACTATAAATATGAAGAAATTGAAACACTTAAGTGGCAAAGCTGGGGTCCAAACTCAGGTAGTCTCCAGAATCTGGGCTTAACCTCTATGCTATATAGCACCTTTGCTATCACTTTCTTTTCAGTCAATTAACTCAGAAACCTTGGAGTCATTTTGGCCTTCTTCCTCTTCTTATATATCCAATATGTTCCCACATCCTCTTAACAGATCTTGAATCAGTCTCCTTAGTTCTATCCCCACTGCTAATGTATTATTTCAGATCTTCAATATTTCTAACCAGGACTACTTCCAAAGCTTATTAAATGGTTACTGTCTGTTTAATCTCTTCTCTCTTCCACAGTACTGCAAACAAGTTTTTTATAATATGCAATACTGATCATATTCTTTCTCTATCTAAATCTATCAATTGTCTTCTCATGGATAGGAAATATGAGCCTAGTGGTTACAAATTCGGACTGATTAATATGAGGATAAATCCTACTGTGCTACATACTTATCTTAATTATATATACATTATTTAACATCCCTAGCCTTAAGAACCACACTGAAAATGGGGATAATGGTAATACTGAAAATGGGGTAATGGTAATATCACCCGGAGCATCCTATTTACAACTGAGTCACGTCATAAGGTAACATTACATGAGAAAAGTTACCAAAACCATTTGGGAGAATGCCTAGCTCATAGGAAAAACATTATAAATATTGGTTATAATTTATTATCATTACCATTACCATTATTATTATTTTAATGTTTAAAGCAATATTTAAACTCAGCCTCACACACAGAGCTTCCCCTGACCCTCATCTACTTCTCCAGTTTTATTTCATACTACTCAATTCCTACATCACACTTGCCAGGTTCGATGAAATAATGCATCTTCTATAATTCTGTGCTTTTATTCTGCTCTCCTTTCTGCCTGGGATCCTGTTTCTTAGCCTAGAGACTTTGCAAAATGTTCCTCGTATACTAAGACTTGATTTAAGGATATCATGTATAAAGTCCATCCTGAGTCCTCCCATTCACTCCACTTAAGACCAAGTATTTCCTTTCTGTCATCCCTCCTATGCACCACAGACTTCTCTCATAGTGCCCCTGCTATTTAAATGTATTATTTGTTTATAGATCTATTTCCCTCTTTCAGTCTCTAAATTCTTCAAGGTCAAATAGTTTTATTGATCTTTATATTCCAAGCACAGAGCTCAATGCCTAGAATATAATAGTTACTAAAGATGTGAGAAACACATGGCGAGGAGCCCTGCCACTGCAGATGAGGCCATCCTAGACCCCCAGACCATCAGCTCATCAAAGACAGATGAGCAGGCCCACTCCAGAACAACAGCTCCGTCAAGCTAAACCACAGATTTGTGAGAAATAATTAATGGCCACTTGGTATTTTAAGGACTAAATTTGGGGTGCTTTTCTCATGACAATACCTAACTGATATAAATACATCAATTAAACACTAGGAAAAATAGCAATTTAATTTCAATTCTAGATTTTCCATCAGAATAATACAAAAGGGGACCCTGGAGGGGAGTTTGTTTGTTTTTTTCCATTGGAGAATAAAAATATTTCATGAAGGAATTAAAAACCCACAAGATTAGGGGCTTTTTCATTCCAATTATAAAAGTCCTAGCTCCAGCTCATCACTCCCTCCTACTCCGTTTTCTTAGCAGGCTATTGATGAGAGTCATCAGAGACTCCGAGGTATCCAGTTATTTTGTAATAGTGGAGAGCAACTGTGTGTGATGAGTGTCTGGGGCACAATGGAAGTCAGTATAGCTCCATGTTCAATGTCAGGATTTTTCACAACGCTTCCCAATTAACTTCCAGAGAGCCTGACTACAATATCACCAGCTGCTCACTCAATCAATTTCTACACATTTTCCTGAGCTAAATGGGGCTTGCATGACTGAATTTGCATAGGAGTTTTCTCCAGTTGCAATGTCATAACTAGTGGGTAAAGTATTTGGAAATGACTTCTTTTTTTCTTTTGCTTTGTGGGACATTCTATTTGATTATATATCTTCCCTGTCTCATTCTCCAACATTGCTTTCCATCTATAAGATTTGTAATTGGAATGTGAGTCAAAAACCAGAGATGAGCGTAGTAAGGTAGAACTCACATCTTTCCATAATTTATTCATGTATTCTTTCTTTTTTAAAACCAGATACTGATTGTTTATTATTTGTAGAGCACTATGCTAGGTCCTGGGGATATAATAAAAATAAGGAACAGTTTCTGAAATCATGGAAATAACATTTTAGGCAAGAATCTGGAAATACACAAGTAAACCATAGAAAATGATAGAGAGGCTCTAATTTAGGGGGCTAGTCAGAGAAATCTTCTGTAAGAAGATGCAATTTAATCTCAGGCCTGAGAACAAGAAAGAGTCAGCACTGGAATAACTTTGGGGAAGAAAATTTCAGAACGATAGAAAAACAATGGCAAATGATGTTTTGTGAGAAAAAGCTCATTGGGTACAGAACTGGCAGGCACCCCCTGAGAATGTATGTGCATGAGTGATAAGAGATCATATGGGAGATCTAAGCAGAGAGTAGTTCAGGCAGGGCCCTGAAGACTATGATGAGAATTTCAATTTTATATGAACTGGGCATTCAGATAACTCTGTCTGCAGTATAGAGATGAGATCAGAATGTGCAAGAGAGGAATAGGAGAGACCAATGACTGCGGTGATACAGGTACAGGTTATAGAACCTGGGCTAGAGAACGGTAGTGTAGGTAGAAGGAAATGGAGAGATCATGCTGTATTTTGCAGGTGGAGCTGGGTGAACTAAGTAAATTGATGTTTTAGAGTTTCTGCATGTTCAAATTATGACTATAAGCCCTAGTTTTGGCTAAAGTACTTTATCAGCATTAAACCAAAAGGATGCTCCCATCCTGTGAAGGGTATCACATCTTGCCAAGAAGAACAATTTAGGTTGCCTAATTTGCATATGGGTGAAACTATAGCTGGATAGGTAAGGTTTTAGAATGAGCTCATGGAAAAGAACTATTTAGATGTATAAGAATGGCAAAGAGGCGAAAATTGAAACATTTCTCTGGATATAAAAATTTCCCTAAATCATCATTCCTTCAAGTGCTCCGTGTTTTACAGACATGTATAAGAAAACAAGAATTAAACTTTATAGATATATTGTTGTTAAATACAGCTGCTTTATTCTTACATGTGATGCAAAATACAATGAACAGTTAATAGTTTATACGAAGTGACTTACAGAGTGACAAGGAGACCAGTTCACATTCAGTGGCAAAATAAGAGGAAATCAAATAAATATCAAGACAATAGAAAATTATTTATTGAAACTAGAAAAAAAATACCCTAACAGTCACTATTCAGCAACCCATAGAGTTGAGACAAATGCATAGATGGAACTAAACTCTCATGCTGTATTAGCCTGGTTTCTCTAGAGGGACATATATATACATATACATATATATATATATATCTCCTGGTGTATGTAGGATATGCAGTGTGTGTGTATATATATATCCTAGTACATGTATATATATATATATCCTAGTACATGTACATAAAGGGGAGTTTATTAAGTATTAATTCACATGATTACAAGGTCCCACAATAGGCCATCTGCAAGCTGAGGAGCAAGGAAAGCCAGTCCAAGTTCCAAAACCGAAGAACTTGGAGTTTGATGTTTGAGGCAGGAAGCATCCAGCACAGGAGAAAGATGTAGGCTGGGAGGTTAGGCCAGTCTAGTCTTTTCACATTTTTCTGCCTGCTTTATATTCTAGCCTTGATGGCAGCTGATTAGATGGTGCCCGCCCAGATTAAGGGTGAGTCTACCTTTCACAGCCCACTAACTCAAATGTTAATCTCCTTTGGCAACACCCTCACAGACACACCCAGGATCAATACTTTGCATTTTTCAATCAAATCAAGTTGACACTCAGTATTAACCATTACAAGTTGACCCCTTGTCAACTTGAACCCATATACATCTCCTGGGATCATACATAATCTTCAAATAAAGACAATAATAAGGATATAGTTACACCAAACATAATACAACTATCCTTCATACAACCAGAAACGTACCAATCCCCAACCCAAATACTATTACATTAAGTTAGCAATACTTAAATGCTGATGTGAAGTCAATAAATCTTATGTCACATGATAAAGAAAATAAAATGAAGCTATTTTCTTAGTACATGTATACATGCACAAACATGTTTTAAACAAAAGAATGAGGAAATACTCATGACAATTACAGTCCTCATTTCTGCAGCTGGTCATGTGATCATAGCTGGTATTGATGACTGCCTTCTTCGACTACCCATTCTGTATTCCCTTTGCCTTCAGCAAACACCCCATTAGGTTGTGATTTTCTTCCTGGTGGAGTGATCCAAACCTTCATTCCTGAAGGGTCTGAACCATTTGTAGTACTGCCTGGATTGGGCTGTTGTAGTTTCCCATTTACCTTAATCACAGGGCATGGTAAAACTAAGAGACACCCCAAGAGATCTCCTGTATTCCATGCGTACTTTTCCTACCTCTGTTGTGGAGTAGTAGACTGATTTCATCTTGATAGTCCAGGTCGATCATCCAGCCAACACTGTAACTCTCTTCTTAGTCTGTTGAGTTAAAGGTAGGAGGAGCCCAAAGCGTCCATGTGGCAATCTTAACTTCCAGTTTAATGGAATTGTTGTGTTTCCTGGTGGCAGTGTTCCTCCCTCTGGAACTTAGACCTCTAGGCCAGCAGAATGTAATGTCTTGGGAACAGGAAGCAAGGCTACAGTAACCAAAACAGCATGGTACTGGAACAAAAACAGACACATAGACCAAACGAACAGAATACAGAGCCCAGAAATAGGGCCACACCCCTACAACTATCTGATCTTCAACAAAGCTGACAAAAGTAAGCAATGCAGAAAGGAATCCCTGTTCAATAAATGGTTCTGGGATAACTGGTTAGCCATATGAAGGAGATTGAAACTGGACTTCTGTTCCTTACACCATATACAAAAATCAACTCAAGAATGATTAAAGACTTAAATGTAAAACTCAAAGCTATAAAAACCCTGAAAGACAATCTAGGCAATAAAATTCTGGACATGGGCCCTGGGGAAGATTTCATGACAAAGACTCCAAAAACAATAGCAACAAAAACAAAAATTGACAAATAGGATCTAATAAACTAAAGTTCTTCTGCACAGCAAAATAAACCATTGACAGAGTAAACAGACAACCTACAGAATGGGAGAAAGTTTTCGCAAACTATGCATCTGACAAAGATCTAATATCCAGCATTTATAAGGAACTTGAACAAATTTACAAGAAAAAAAACACAAACAATCCCATTAAAAAGTGGACAAAGGATGTGAACAGACACTCTTCATAAACAGATATAAGTATATGAACAAGTTTCAGTATCACTGATTAGTAGAGAAATGCAAATCAGAACCACAATGAGATACAGTCTCACACCAGTCAGAATGGTTATTACTAAAAAGTAAAAAAATAACAGATGTTGGTGAAGTTTCAGCAAAAAGAGAATGCCTATACATTGTCGGTGGGAGTGTAAACTAGTTCAACCATTGTGTAAGACAGTGTGCCAATTCCTCAAAGAGCTAAAAAAGGAACTACCATTTGACCCAGCTATCCCATTACTTGGAACATATCTGAAGGAATATAAATCATTCTATTATAAAGACATATGCACATGTATGTTCATTACATCACTATTCACAATAGCAAAGACATGGAATCAACCAAAATGCCCATCAATAGTGGACTGTATAAAGAAATTGTGGTATATATACACCATGGAATACTAAACATCCATAAAAAAAAAATGAAATTATGTCTTCTACAGGAACATGGATGGAGCTAGAGGCATTATCCTTGGCAAACTAATGGAGAAACAGAAAACCAAATGCCACATGTTCTCACTTATAAGTGGGAGCTAAATGATGAGAACACATGCACATGAACACAAAGAGGGGAACACCACACACTGGCTCCTACCAGAGGGTGAATGAAGGTTAGGAGGAGGGAGAGGAGCAGAAAAAAAATAATTGTTGAGTACTATGATTATTAACTGGGTGATGAAATAATTTGTACAACGAACCCCCATGACATGAGTTTACCTATATAACAAACCTGCATATGTACCCCTGAACCTAAAATAAAAGATAAAAATTAATTAATAAAGGCATGTAAAAATATTGAATCTATTGGAAAGGATTGTGGATTCTATACAGTATGGTATCTCAATTATAAATAAAAAGTATTCAAGGAAAACTTTCAATGTTCAAAGAAGAAACAAAGCATTTAATTGAAGTAGCTAAAAGTTCACACCTAGATATTAGACTGGATTATTATCTAATAGAAAACTATTAAAAAGTCTACATTGACCAAGACATCTACAATGCTTTTATGTTCTATAACTCACCCTAAGTATAGTCAAAGATACCAAGCACTTCAGTCCATGGTCATCAGTGACTACTAACTGAAAAGTTCCACATAGTCAGGTCACAAGAGAAGACTAGAATGAAGGTCTAAGACCACATAAAGTTACATGGAAACAGAGGATTCAAAGAAATTAAAAAACAAACAAAAAAACAGGGCAATGAAACCACTAAAATATGGAATTAACACAGTACAACTTATATCATATTGATATTTATATTGACTGAGAGTTATCCCAAGAACAACATATTCAAATTTTCTTTGAATGGGATCATGGTTTTCAAAGCACACATCTGGAATAGTACAGAGTTTGAAGTGTGACACTGGCTGAAGTAATACTTTTCTGTATCCAAGGAGAATATAATAATCAAAGGATAAACTAAATGGGAATCTCACAGAGACCATGGAGCAACACTATCACTAACATTACCCTATGGAACATTAGCTTGACCTTGCTGACAAGTGATTTCAAAGTCTTAACAAATTAGAAACTATGCCTGTAAAGTCCACATAAAATGTATAATACCTCAAAAGATTGAAGGAAAGCTAGATTAGCAATGGAGGCCTGGACAATCGCTGAAGTACATAAAAGAGATCTACATGGAGAGTTAGGAAATGACTTAGACTGATGGAAACTGAAGATACAGCATGTGAAGATTGAACCTGGAAAATACAAAAAACAAACGAACAAAAAAACAGGCTGGGCACGGTGGCTCATGCTTTTGGGAATCCAACGTGGGTGGATCACTTGAGGTCAGCAGTTCAAGACCAGCCTGGCCAACATGGTGAAACCCCATCTGTACTAAAAATACAAAAAATTAGCCAGGCGTGGTGGAACATGCCTGTAGTCCCAGCTACTCAGGAGGCTGAGACAGGAGAATTGTTTGAACCCAGGAGATGGAGGATGCAGTGAGTTGAGATCATGCCATTGCACTCTAGCCTGAGTGACTGAGCAAGACTCCATCTCAAAAAAATAAAATAAGTAAAATTAAATTAAACATAGAAAGCATGAGAGCCATGTACAATGATTAGTAATACCAGTAAAGGTGTTGCCAAAATTGTGGACAAATTAATGGAAAAAACTAAAGTTTAGAAGGACAAAATGCAAAGAGATTAAATGTAATAAATGATTGCACATTAAATTTAAAATTTTAAAATCTAAAAGAATCAATCTCAGATATAATTCCAATAGATATGAATGAAGTACAGAAGTAATGTTGCATTTACCTATAGTCTATGTAGGCCAGACAGTAGGAAGAATTAAAATGAGCATTTAGAAATATTGCCTTTAATGTCCTTTAATTCTTCTAAGGAGATCCATGAATTAAAGTACATGAAAGAGGGTAAAAAATAGCATCATCAAAAGGCTTCATAAGTCATTATGAAGACAGAAGAATGAACAAAACAGACCCATATAAGGATCTTATAAATGACCATTGGGGCTAAATATTATCTTGGCAAACAAAAGAGATATAGGAAATATTTCAAACAAAATGCATTTGGTAGAATTATATATAAATTATATGAATGGAGTTACATTTGTTTGGAAGTACTAAATGCTGAGGACCCCTTTGGGAATTCTTTTTATATTCTGAGTGACTGGACAGAGCGGAACGTTGTCAAGATATTTAAAGAATATACCTTGTTCACAGTGATTATGATTATATATATGTGGATACATTACAAAGCTTAGTAAATTAGAGTGAGTGAAAATTAAGGTGTGTATTTTAGTGTTTACATGTGTGTGAATTATGACTCTAAGCCCTGGCTCTATGAAGAGCACTTTATTAGCTCCAACCAGTCAGAAATGTCTACATCCAGTGAATGACAAGACACCTTTCAGGACCAACACATTAAGGTTACTTTATTTCTACATATAGTCATTTGCACATAAGGATATTTCAGTCAACAATGGGCCACATAAACTAGTGTGGTCCTATAAAATAATACGGGGCCAAGCACGATGACTCATGCCTATAGTCTCAGTGCTTTGGGAGGCCAAAGCAGGCCTTGAAGCCATTAGTTCCAGGCCAGCCTGGCAACATAGCAAGACCTTGTCTCTACAAAATAATTTAAAATTAGCCAAGTGTGATGGTATATATCTATGTTCCTAGCTACTACAGAGCCTGAGGCAGGAGGATAGCTTGAGCTCAGGAACTTCAGGGTGCAGTGAGCCATGATTGCACCCCTGTACTCCAGCCTGGGTGACAGAGTAAGACCTGTCTCCATCCTCACTGCTCACCAAAATAATATTTTATACAGTATTTTCACTGTACATTTTCTACATTTAGATGCACAAATACTTACCTTTGTGTTACAATTGCCTGCACTATTCAGCACAGTAAGATGCTTACACATTTGCAGCCTAACAGCCATAGGTTATGTCATGCAGCCTAAGTGTGTGGTAAGCTATACTTTCTGGGTTTGTGTAAGTGCTCTCTATGATGTTGCCTATGAAATTGCCTATGAATGCATTTCTCACAAGGTCGAAATTGCCTATGAATGCATTTCTCAGAATGTATCCCCATTGTTAAGCAACTTATGACCATAGGTAAAACTATAGCAATCATGGTATATATATATATATATATATATATATATATATATATATATATATATATATATATATATATGTATTCATTAAGTATAAAAAATTCTGAGCTTTCATGACTCAAAAATGCCTTTTTTTCTCCTTCAGAGGAGTATGGTATCCCTCCACTCTCTTAACAAAGGAAATTTGGGTATTGGCCCATATGCTCTTGACTCCATCAAAAGATGTGGAAAAGAGGAAGAGGAACCCTGCTGTGCCAGAGACCAGTAGGTCTTTCTGTGCTTTCTTCCATTCAGCTTTCACAACAACTTTTCTAGGTAGACATGTTAAGCCCATTTGACAGGTAAGAAAACTAAATTTTAAGTGAATTTTAAAAATGTGATCATTAATTAGATGGAGCCAACACAAAAACACCAATCTCCCTACTCAACATTTGTTTATTTTCTCTCAGAAATTTTATGTGAAGTTAATACCCAAATGCTACCATTCACTCTCCCTTTCTTTGTTTTGTTTTATGGAAATAATTCATTGAATAATAACTAAGTGCAAACTAATAATTCCCTTTCCCATCTTTCACCCCATTCCTCCATCACCCAATGCAGGCTGTCTGGTGAAAACTGTTTTACAAAACTTGGTTTCAGCTCAAAATATAACTATGCAAGTCTTTCACACCCTTTTCTCTGATTTTACACTGTCAAACATTGCAAAGGAGATCCAGCCTAATCTGTCTTCAGTAAAAGGCATGGAAAGCTTGGAACAGATGTGGAAATAGTACATGGATCTGTATCACTGTGGCAAAATATAGCCAATGAGTGGCCTGGGCCATGAACTATTTTATATATAGAGTCACATACATGTACAATAGATCATAAATGTATAGTTTACGCATATGTGTGTGTATCTATATATAATCTTTAGTGTGTGATATGGTTTGGCTCTGTGTCCCCACACAAATCTCACCTTGAATTGTAATAATCCCCATGTGTTGTGGGAGGGACTCAGTGGGGAGTAATAGAATCATGCAGGTGAGTTTTTCCCTGTGCTGTTTTCATGATAGTGTATAAATCTCATAGGATCTGATGGGTTTATAAAAGGGCGGTTACTCTGTACACACCCTCTTGCCTGCCACCATGTAAGATGTGACTTGCTCTTCCTTGCCTTCCTCCGTGATTGTGAGGCCTCCCCAGTCATGTGAAACTGTGAGTCAATTAAACCTCTTTCCTTTATAATTACCCAGTCTCAGATATGTCTTTATTAGCAGCAAGAGAATAGACTAATACAGTAAATTTGTACCAGGTGTAGTGGGGCACTTATGTAAAGATACTTGAAAACGTGGAAGCAACTTTGAAACTGGGTAACAGGTAGAGGTTGGAACAGTTTGGAGGGCTCAGAAGAAGATAGAAAAATGTGGGACAGTTTGGAACTTCCTAGAAACTTGGAGGGCTCAGAAAATAGGAAGATGTGGGAAAGTTTGGAACTTCCTAGAGACTTATTATTATTGAAAGGCTTTGACCAAAAGTCCGACAGCAATATGGACAATAAGTTCCAGGCTGAGGTGGACTTAGATGATGAGGAACTTTTTGGGAACTGGAGTAAAGGTCACTCTTGTTCTACAAAGAGACTGGTGCCATTTTGCCCCTGCCCTAGAGATCTGTGGAACTTTGAACTTGAGAGAGATGATTTAGGGTATCTGGTAGAAGAAATTTCTAAGTAGCAAAGCATTCAAGAGGTGACAGAGCATAAAAATTTGGAAAATTGTCAGCCTAATAATGCAATAGAAAAGAAAAACCCATTTTCTGGGTAGAAGTTCAAACTGGCCACAAAAATTTGCAAAAGTAATGAAGAGCCAAATGTTAATCACCAAGACAATGGAGATAATGTCTCCAGGGCATGTCAAAGACCTTCCCGACAGCCCTTCCCATCACAGGCCTGGAGGCCTAGGAGGAAAAAATTAATGGTTCATGGTTCAATGGGCCCAGAGCCCCCCTGCTGTGTGGCCTAGGGAATTGGTGCCCTGCATCCCAGCTGCTCCAGCTGTGGCTATAAGGGGCCAACATACAGCTCAGGTTGTGGTTTCAGAGGGTGCAAGCCCCAAGCCTTGGCAGCTTCCATGTGCTGTTGAGCCTGTGGGTGCCCAGAAGTCAAGAATTGAGGTTTGGGAACCTTCACTTAGATTTCAGATGATGTATGAGAAAACTTGGATGTCCAGGCAGACGTGTGCTGCAGGGGCAGAGCCCTCATGGAGACCCTCTGCTAGGGCAGTGCAAGAGAGAAATATGGGGTGGGAGCCCCACACAGAGTCCTCAATGGGGCACTATCTAGTGGAGCTATGAGAAGAGGGCCACCATCATCCTCCAGACCCCAGAATGGTAGATCTAACATGCATGCACCATGCACCTGTAAAAGCCACAGATACTAAATGTCATCCTGTGAAATGCAGCCAGGAGTGGGGCTGTACCCTGCAAAGCCACAGGGGTGTAGCCACCCAAGGCCATGGGACCCTACATCTTGCCTCAGCGTAACTTGGATGTGAGACATGGAGTCAAAGGAGATCATTTTGGAGCCAAGTGTAACTTGGATGTGAGACATGGAGTCAAAGGAGATCATTTTGGGGCTTTAAGATTTGACTGCCCCACTGGATTTAAGACTTGCATGGGGCCTGTAGTCTCTTCATTTTGCCCAATTTGTCCCATTTGGAACAGGTGTATTTACTCAGTGCCTGTACTCCCATTGTATCTAGGAAGTAACTAACATGTTTTGTTTCTACAGGCTCATAGGTGGAAGGGACTTGTCTTGTCTCAGATGAGAATTTGGACTGTGTGTGGACTTTTGAGTTAATGCTGAAATGAGTTAAGACTTTGGGGGACTGTTGGGAAGGCATGATTGTGTTTTAAAATGTGAAAGGGAAACCAGATTTGAGAGGGGCCAGGGGCAGAATTACATGGTTTGGCTCTGTGTCCCCATCCAAAACTCACCTTGAATTGTAATAACCCCTATGTGTCGTGGGAGGGACCCTGTGGTAGGTAATTGAATCACGGGGGCAGGTTTTTTTCTTGTACTAAGTCTCACGAGATCTGATGGTTTTCTAAAAGGGCAGTTCCCCTGCACTCACCCTCTTGCCTACTGCCATGTAAGATGCTATTTGCTCTTCCTTGCCTTCCACCATGATTGTGAGGCCTCCCCAGTCATGTGGAACTGTGAGTCAATTAAACATCTTTTCTTTATAATTACTCAGTCTTATTAGTCTGTTCTCAGGCTGCTAATAAAGACATACCTGAGACTGGGTATGTCTTTATTAGCAGCTTGAGAACAGAAAAATACAGGGTGTTTTAAATACATTTGAAAGAGAAATTTTCTAAACATTCAAATATGCACTAAAATCAAGCACCATAATTGTTGAACGTGGTTACCTGTGTGTTGTTTAATTTTGCTTTTAGAATATTATGCAGTGGTTTCATGATTTGGTCCCCCAAAAGGGAATTAAATAGTAGCTTTAAATCTTTGAAGAAAGAATTTCTAATGGAGAATTTCAGACAAATCTTTTATAGGTCACATTATCCCCACTGCAACTATAGCTTGCACAACTAACAGTGTGAAATAATAACTCTTTTCAAGACAATTACAAGATTTTCTATTTTCCCTAGTTCTTTCCAATTTCAGTCTTTTTCTGAAATAAAATGCTGAAATAATACCTGCATATTTTCCAAGAAATGGGGAGAAAGAAAGGGGGCCCTTCATCAACAGCTACCAGCAACAACAGTACAGATATCCCAAAGCCAGGGCAAGCATCTGATTAATAAAATTGAATCACTTGTAAATCAGTAGTGAAGTGTCAGGTCCTCAAATAGGTTGGAGGATTTATTCTAATGAAAGAATGGCCGTAAAGAAGCATTTACAACTGAAATGGGGATGGAAGTAATTAAGAGCTAGTTTGAAAACAGAAGAATAAATGAAGGAGTTAGGTAGGGCTAGAATGTTAATAGGAGCGGGGGTTAAGAAACCCAGATGCAGATAATTTGTCTTCTTGATAGGCTAACTTATGTATTTTTTTAAGGCAGCATTCTGTTCAAAATACTACAGTAAACATAAATATTTCTTCAAATGACATGATAATGAATTCTGGAATCAGATGTCAAATATAAAAGTAAGATCACATTTAAAAGTTAACAGAAAATAGAAAATTTTATAGTGCCAGACTGAATATAATCTTTTTGAAATTTTTAAATGCTACAGTACAGAAACAAAGTATGTCAGGTTGTTTAGCAATAAAACATCAAAATTACAAAAATTGAAATGTTTGAGGGGTGATTTAAAGTTCCATTGGCTTGCATTTTAATAGTTTGTTACTTTAGCTTAAATTTGACTATCTTTTCTGGCCTAAATAAAATTATTGCTTTAAACACCTTTAACAGTTGCCACAATTCTTTATTTGTGGTTATAAATTGTATTGTGCTTTTTGTTCACTTTTAATTTTATATAGTTCATATTCCAGAATAGATGTTAACTCCTATGGGAATAAAAGAAATAGGTAAAATTTCCAGATTTTTGTAACCGTGGGGGAAGCATCAGTTAGGAATCTTCAAGTGACCAAAAGACAGATCCAAGCATACCTAAACAGAAAAACAAAAAGAAAAGAAAAGTGTGTTGGCTCACTTAAACCATTCAAACAAACAGATTTTTTTTTTTTTTTTTTCAGATGACACAGGATTTAGGGCTTAAAATACTTTGATCGAAACTCAATTTTTCTCTTCCTATTTTTTTTTGAGACGGAGTCTCACTCTGTCAGCTAGGCTGGAGTACAGTGGCGCAAACTCGGTTCACTGAAACCTCCACCTTCTGGGTTCAAGTGATTCTCCTGCCTCAGCCTCCCGAGTAGCTGGGACTAAAGACGCATGCCACCACACCCAGCTAATTTTTGTATTTTTAGTAGAGACGGGTTTTCACCATATTGGTCAGGCTGGTCTTGAACTCCTGACTTCGTGATCCACCCGCCTCGGCCTCCCAAAGTGCTGGGATTACAGGCTTGAGCCACCGCGCCTGGCCTCTCTCCCCATTTTTAAGTTTAGCATATCTCACTGGTGACGTTTAAGCTGGTTCTCAGCTCATGATTGCAGAACTATAGGCTTTACTTTTCAGTTTCAGAAGAAATAGCTAGAATATATTTTCCATAGATAACAACAACAAACAAAACCCCTCTTTGCTTCTCGCTGCTCTTACTGTGATCTTCTTCCTGTCTCTAAACTAATTATTTTAGCCAGGAGATGTAGAATAAGAGAACTGGCAGATCTAGTTCACGGGTACTATACCTGAGCTAAGCAAGTAGACTACCTAGCCTCAAACACAAGTGCTAAGAATGGTGAGACAGGGTGGCCCCATAGAGATGCTAGGTTCAGTTACCAAAAAAGAGTGAGTAGATTCTGTATGCATAGAAAATTTGTCTTCTGCAGAAAAAATATAATATTATATAATTGCTTATGTATTATATGATTAGATATGCATTATGTAATTATGTATATAATTAAATTTAACATATATAAATCTGTGTATGACTGTGTGTGTGTGTGTGTGTGTGTGTGTGTGTGTGTGTGTATTCTGAACTAAGGCAGCTTGGGGAAGAATTCCAAAATGTGCATGATAGTGTGTGTGTTTGTTTGATAAGAGAAATTAAGGTTGAGATAGTAGGCTTGGCTCAGATTGTGGACAGGCTTGAATGCTAGGCTGAAGATTTGAAACATGATCTTTTCGTTGGACAACAATAAATGAGGATTGCTCAAAAGAGTATCTTGTACATTAGACACTTCTTCCTAATTCTTATTAAGATATATAGCAATAAAGATGCTATGTAAATGTGGCAGCTACTCTGTGCCTGGGGAATGTTTCGTATGTGATTTTTTTTTTCAACCTAGTGAGGTGAATTAGAATAGTCACTTTAAAGGAAACTGAGTCTCAAGAGAAATTACATAATTTGCTTAGTTCATGTGAATAGAGAAATTAGCCATTCCTTACTCTGTGTTCCCAAAGCACCTTGAAGGGATTCCCAATTGAGTGCCTATAAATTTTAACTGATATATCAGAATATACTTTAAGGCATAAGAGACAGATTAATCAGGATACTTTTCCTAGGGAAACAAACACATAAAATCAACTCCTGGACATCTAAGAACATGTTTAACATGGCATTGTTAGGACAAAATCTTCACACATACTGGGAATATTTTCTACGCTTTCTCCCCAAAACACAGGGCTGTATACTATCGGTTCTGTCTATCAATCAGGTCTTAAAAACAGCAGAAACTTTTAACCTGAGCTGGTTAGCCTCCTCATGATTAGAGAGGGATGCAGCTAGAGGCACAGATACATAGAGACTGTTCCCTAAATATTTCCCAGGTTGAATTACAAGCTGCTTCTATGCTTCCATTTATTTTATTGTCCTTTCTGCTGGCAACCCAATTCATTTATTTGATAATTATAATCAATAATTCTGTTGTATTATAGTGTATTATACTCATTGCGCATGTCATAGTACTCTGCTTTCTTTTCTTATTTGGTTGCAATTTCTAGTGGTCAGTAAATGTTTATTGCACGCACTTCTGACTGTTGAAGAAATCTTTCATTCTACAGTGCCTCGGCTAACTTTCACTTTAGTTTTTAACTTGGAGTTGGGGACTAACATAAACAAAATTTTGCTGATAATTTAATAAAATCCATATAAACATGTTTACTTCTTAATTACATAGAGTTTTACTTCATTCATTCTTTTTAAGAGCTCAATTGGGTTGAACCAAGTTTTCACTTAAGTTACATACAGAAACATCATGTATAGGTTCTTGAAAACTGTCATGTTAAGTAAAATGATCTATGATGAAACCATTTCCTTTTCTCATCAACATGATAACAAAGCAATGTTGAACAAAATGTTATTAGAGGACCTGCTGTATGTAATTTCACTTAGTCATAGTTTCCAAGAAGCTATCATTAAGTGAGGACTTACTGTAGGAGTAACTGTGTTGTAACTTACTGTATTGTAAGGTTTGTTAAGTGAGAACTTGTTGTATCATCTTGCATTCTTTAACCTAATGAGATTACCGGAAAGCCATTTATTTCTTTGTTTTTTAAGTTTTAGAGTCCATACCTAGTTGTAAAGTTTTAAGCACAAAAAATTGAAGTTGAAAGTATGGTTTTGCTAATCAAATATGAGTATTAACATATGTTGAATGGAATTTAAGCCTTAGTTTCTTGAAACTTAAAATATGGATAACAACACTTTTGCTATAGATTTGCAATAAATTTTAGTATAATGTTTTTATAGTACTTAATTTAGATTTGGTATATGGTAGATAATCCTCAAATGGGAGGTATTAATTTTGTATTACTTAAGGCAAAACAAACAATCAAAAGTTAAAGAATCATGAAAATGGGAATTACCTATTTATCATAAATAGGAATTACCTATTTATCATAAATAGGAATTACCTATTTATCATAAATAGGAATTACCTATTTTAATAATGTACAAAGACTTCATATATTTCTTTAAAAAGTTACTTTCTCCAGGTTTTCATTAACTATATGAAATAATTAGAGCCCATTTCATCAGACCTGTGTTAAAAATCTTTACTCATTTAAATTTATTATTTTCATTTTAATATTCATTCGAGTATTTACTGAGGCATTGCTATAAATGCTGAGGAAATGAATGTTCTGTATCTGGAGCTTTCATTCTAGTTTGAAGAGAAAAAGCATGAAGTTAATTCAATAAATAAGCATATTATATATTAAGTTAGGAGGTGATAACTACAGTACAGTGACATAAAGCAGGATAAGGGAGATGGAGTGTGCCATCTTCAGAATCTGTTGAATCAGACCAAGTCTATTTTTTCATTTTCTAATGGGGTTCTACTCCTTAGAATGTGAAGTTTTGTTTCCTCTATCCTAAATTGGTGATACTATGTTTCCTATTACTTATATTCTGAGATGCAAAATCTGGACATTCTACCAACCGGCATAACTTTCTTTTGCTCTTGCTTATGGTCCTGGCTTGCACTAAAGCAGAGTGAATAGGGCAGAGACTATGTCCACTCTCTGCCAGTTTGGCATTGCTGATGGCCATTGTAGCTCTCAGGATGCTAGAGAGGGTACAAAACCTCAGTTATAGCATGTGCCCATAACTAGCTCTCTGAAGAGCTAATAAAAACATCTAATGTTCCTTGAGACATTTTCTTTGTAACAGCACTTCCTACACGCTTTATAAACTCATTCAATTATGAATAAGACAATCACATTTATAATCACAGTTTAACAGATGTGGAAACAGAGATACACAGAGTTACAACGTGGCATGCCCAGGCCACACACCTACCAAACAGGTCCAGTAAGAATTGGAATTGAGGAATTCTGACTCCAGAATTCACTAAGGTTGAAGTAGGTTATTTCTCAGAATTCTTCAAAAGTACAGATCAGAATATTCTCTTGGCTTACCCAAGTCGATCACAATAGGTCACACTTCAGTCCCCTAACATTTGGTCTTCTGCCTTAAACATCCTTAGCTGTGGTATGTATTGTGATTTCAGGTAAAGTATCTTCTTTTAGAAAATCGTCTCAAGGTTGTAAGGGTCAGTCTTCAAAGTTGCCTTCCTTTTTCATGACTAAACACAGCCTTTAATATCTCAGTTTGCAGCATTAGCATTCAGAAATGACTCTCCTCATCCATTTGAAGGAACAAGCAGAATGGATTTGCCTTTGTAGTTAAGTGGCCCCTCCAGGTGAATTTCCAAAACCAGTGGCAATCCCTGGGTCTAAAAACAATAATTTTCCAAAAATGCCAGAGTAAAGTCCTTTGCTAAAAAGATACACAAACAAGCATGTAAGCAAAAATAAATATTTTTCTTACCGGTAAACCACTCCCCCATATGCACATGTAAGAAAATAAAAACAACTTTCAACCTTGGTATAATACTGGTGTAAGACATTACAGATTAAGAGAAATTTAAGGGGCAGAAACACTTTTGTTCCTTCTGATTTGTATTATCTGGAGTCAGATTGAATAATATTCTTTAGTGTAATTGCAAAATTTTGTTTTATCTGAGAAATTTTGCTAAATGGAACATTACTGAATTTCTAAATGCATGTCAAAAACCTTCTTCATGAGAAAAAAAAAATGATATATATGATACTACAGAAATGTATACAAAAAGAAAATGATTAATATCATTAGTTTTCTTGGGTTGACAACATCAATACATTTACAATATGAGACAAGTTTAGCTTAAAATAGTTTAAAATATGAAATAACACATGACCAAAAGGTGAAATTCCAAAGCTTGTGAATATGGCTCCAATTTGGTAACTGACTATCACGCTCTGGGAATTCCATTTTCTCCTTAAACTTTTAGAACGTTGGCTTTCCTGTATGCATTTCTCATTCTAGGGCCAACCTGCAAAAACAGCTAAGAGACAGGTGTTTTGTATTGTGCCAATTTAATAACAGGTAAAATAATCAGATAATGCAAATATTCAAGTAGTAACAGTGAAAGGAAGTGTGAACAATCAACAAGATAACTGCTGTCACTCTTGACATTTCCAATTCTTAGACTCAAGGGGGCACCAATTAATACCTGAAGATAAAATTTAAAAACCCACTTAAAGGATATTATATGGTAATGAAAAGACTTGTTATAGAGCTGGGAGTACCAGTAGCCTCATGACCCAAAACAAGATGACTGCCATTATCCTGAGATTGTACCTCATGCAATTAGCAGAAGTACCAATTAGTCCCTAGAAATGGCAGATCAGGTATACTTTCAGTTTTTAAATAGCTGAATGAATTGGAAAAGACAGAGAAAGAACTGACATATTGCAGTATAAAGCTGCACAAAGCAGATTTAGACATAAAACAGATTCTTATTACAATTTCAGAAAATGAGAAACAGCTTAAAAATAACTGATTTAACGAGTTTTTTTTTAAGTCTCTAGTAAACTATGATCCTACATTTCTATGACTTCCTTTTCCATGTAAATTTTGGCCTCATTTTATAAAATGACATTTACTTCCTGTTATGTGATTTTGGCTTCAGTTTACGAGTTCTAATACCACACTCTATGGTGGAGTAATTATATTCTGAAACTAAAAGAACGGCAAAACATGGTAAGACATTATTACATTATATTATAATTCTACTAGATTATTATTTGGTGAGGGTATATAAATCAAGATAGGTCAGTTGCTCTAAAATCAATCACAAATTTTAATAGCTTAATATAATAAAAGTTGATTTCTCTGCTGGGCAAAGTGGCCCATACCTGTAATCCCAGTACTTCAGGAGGCCAAGGAGGGTAGATCACTTGAGCCCAGGAGTTTGAGATCAGCCTGGGAAACATGGCGAAACCTCATCTCTACAAAAAATTTTAAAATTAGCCAGGTGTGGTGGCACACACCTGTAGTCTCAGCTACTCAGGAGGCTGAGGTGGGAGGATGGCTTGAGCCTAGGGGGGATGGTGGCAGCAGTGAGCCAAGACCACAACACTGTACTCCAGCCTGGGCAACAGAGGCAGACCTTACCTCAAAAAAAAAAAAAAAAAATTTAGTTTATTTCTCATTCATATCATAGTCCAAAATAGTCCACATCAAGATACTTTTTTTTTTTTTTAACATAGAAAGAATTGTTTTGTTCATACGGAAGGCAAAGGAATCTAGGATAACTGCAATTTTTAGACTCAATCAACTTGGGGGTTGGTGGTATCAATTGGTGAGGTAAGGAATATTGAAAGGGGCAAAGGATTTAGACTTGTGCCCCTTGGCATTTGGATGAGATAGTTACAGATTTAACAAAAAGACTTCACCAGGGGGTACCCAAGATGACACTGGCCATAACCATTAAAATACCCAAAGGTAGAAAGGCTGATGGAGGAATTTCTTTTTAATGGTGGGCTTAAATCTTGTAATTATAAAAAGGAATGGCTTATTAAGGAGCTTCTCAATGGAGTTGCATGATCCTTGGTATAGTGAAAAGTAACCCTTCTATAGCTCTTTCTTTAGGCATGAGGGATAGTTCTACTTCATGATCAAAGCTTGCAGTCTCCTGTCTTACGGAGAGCTCCAATTTAGCAGAAGAGACATGTGTTATTAACCAACAATGTGGACAGTGACAAAACTGAAGGAAGTAATAAATTCAAAAAAGTTGAATTGGATACCTTCATTACAAAAATGACATTTGACTTGGGAATTCAATAGGAGTTCATTTGGGAGGGACAGAGTAGATAATATTAATTAATACTTTAATAGGTAAAATTTTATAAATATAAATATTATACAATTTTTAAAAATTACTCTATCCTGTTAATAACATTTGCTGCTTTTCTTTGAAATCTCTTTGTTTTCCTCACCATTTAAAATAATAATCTTATTGCTTTATTTAGTAGTCTGAGAGTTGTCCATGTATGTGGGTAGATTAACAGTATATTATTGATAAGAGTTTGCTCTTGTGAATATGTCACAGTGTCACACAAGCTTTTATAATGCTGGCATATGTAAATAGTGATAGCATATGATATTTTATTAAATTTAACATTTATAAATTTATTTTGCAAAGCGATTTGCAGAGAAGGTGAAGTGTCAAGAGGGAGTGATAGAGTACTAAACCTTACTTTTTAGGTACCATGACTTTCATAGTTTGCTTATTTTCTCCCTCTGTGCTGCATTTTTAATTTTTTTCAGATCTATATTTCAGTTTATTACTTATCTTGAGGATTCTTTGATACATTGTTTAATACTGTGGTATATTTATAATTTTAGTTATGTTTTTCATATCTTGAAGTAGTATATAGATATCTTTCAAGTTTGGCTGAACATTTTTATGGCCTCTTTCTCCATTATCCAACTGTTGTTTTCCATTTCTATATTTTTATACAATTGAATATTATTTATAAATATTCTGAATCTGATAATTCCAATACTTGAAGTCTTATATTGAGCTGATACGGTTTTCAGTTGTTTCTATTTCATTTGTGGGGCCTTATTTCCTTCTGCTTTTATAATTTTGACCCTACGAGCTGATGTTTTTGAGGCATGAGTTTAGTGTGTGAATTTCTCCAAAGAGGATTTGTGTTTTCTTCTGCTAGGGGCCAAGGGACACTATCAATCAGTGTAGTACTGCTTTAAAATAAATTTTCCATTTTGAATTATTTCAGTGTAAGCAACAAATGTAAATTTTAGGCTGTAGACCCTTATAAGGATCAGATTGTGAGCACGAATTCTGAAAACAGATTATTTGAGGTGTGCATTTTTTCTTTCTTTCTTCTTCTTCTCTTCCTCTTGTTTATTCTTCCCCTCATTTTCCTCCTTCTTCTATCTCCAGGTATGAAAAGAACAGGATTATTTCCAGCTCCCTTGGTGAGATTTTATGCCTGTGTCTCCTATTATTCTCCCTATATTAATTAACTCTAGGTTTTCTCTTATCCCTGCTAGGTGGTGCTTGGAAAACCAAATTTAAAGTTACAGGGCATTGGAAAATGCCTTCAAAATGATAAGTAGCTTCAGAAACACTCTTATCTCTCTTGGTTCCTGTTCTCAGTTTGTTTGTTTGTTTGTTTTGTTTTGTTTTTTCAGCTATAAAAATTCCTTACTATGTTGCCTGCTTGGCAATTAATTTTCAGAAGAAAATCTTATATTTTAACCAGAATTTTTAGATGTTTTCTACAGGAAGAGCAGTCAGAATATATTGATTATATAGTCTATTACAAAAAAGAAAATGTGAAAGACAAAAACTTGAATTTCACTTATTTATTTATTTATTTGAGATGGAGTCTCACTCTGTCCCCCAGGTTGCAGTGCAGTGGCGCGATCTTGCCTCACTGCAACCTCTACCTCCTGGGTTCAAGCTATTCTCTGCCTCAGCTTTCTCAGTAGCTGGGATTGCAGGCGCCTGCCACCACGCCTGGCTAATTCTTGTATTTTTAGTAGAGACGGGGTTTCACCATCTTGGCCAGGCTGGTCTTGAACTCCTGACCTCGTGATCCACCCGCCTCGGCCTCCCAAAGTTCTGGGATTACAGGCATGATTGAATTTCTTTTTCTTTTTAAACCAGAAATTTTAAAGTATAGAAATTTCTCTATTTCGAGTTTCAGAATTCTTAAAAAGTGGAAGACACTACATTTCATTGAAAAAATAATTAACAAGCTAAATACATATAGAGGAGGTGGAAAAAGAAGAGAATTCATGTAGCTAAAAACAAAATAAACCTCAACTGAGATCCAGAGGAGCTTTCTAATATAAAATTAGCCCACTGCTCTGTTTTGTTGTTGTTTTTGTTTCTTTGTTGTTATTTAACTAGAAAAAAAGCAGGACCAGCAGCTTGAAGCATTATCAATTAAATTTTCTCATTAGCTATATTTGGTTCCTTAACTGGCCTTTGTGACTATGTAATTTCAAGTGATAATTATCTGTGGCACTAGCCTATTCCTATATCAACGTTATCTCTTAATTAATTTAAGAAATTGACTTAACATTTTTTTCCATCTTCTGACACAGAAGTAATTTGTGAGTTACCATTCCTTAGCACCGTCAGCAGTGTTCTGAAAAATGACAGTAAGTCAGTCCAATCTCACAGTCTTAAACCACAATAGCACGGATAATAATCTTGGAGAAGCCCCGCTAAGGAAAAAAAAAATGTACATATTTGCTGTGAAACTGAAGAAACATGAGATTGTAGTCCAGAGGATTAGAGAAAGAGGCAAAATAACAGAGAAAATATTAATTCATTTTAAAGACAGAAATCTTCAAACTCAAGAAACACACAATTGTAATAGGCTAAAGCATTGTGTTTATGCTAAATATTTTGGTTTAAACAGAAAGCAAGCAGGGATTGCTTTACACTCAGGTATTTCTCATTGAATTCCTCAGGGAAACACAAGGAAAGAAGCAATGTTTCGGCGTTCAATAATTTTTCAAACCTCAGAAGGGATTTCCACTCCTTAAAGTAAGAATGAACCATTAAGGAGAAAACATGTGGTCACCCAGGGAGTGAAGGTAGGAAATTGCAGCTCAGTTAGCATAACTTTGGATCCTAAACTCAGAAGTCATTTCCTTTACCAAAAGGAGGCACGTTTCTAAGGCCAAAAGGACTGTTTTCCCTTTTCCTCACTCTTTCCCGATTCATAACCATCACTTCCTTTCTTAAATCTGCTCTTTGAGTACCTTCACAGGCAATACTATCAAGGGCAGACATGTTTATGTAGTTGCTACGTTGGCAATAGAAAGAGAAGAGCCTAGAAGTTTCCTTGCAGCAATGTCTTAGGAATAACTGTTGCAGAGTTACTTTGGTAAAGGAAGAATCCCTGACTACTGCAAACTATCCATTTACTATATCCACTATACTAAAAAAAAAAAATCTCCTCAGAGCATATGACGAATGAAGATATCAGGTTCCCTTCTCAGGCTAGCAAATCTATAATATATGATAATAAATGAGAAAAAAATTCATGATAAACTTAATGTAAGTCTCAAACTCTAACATAATGTATAAAAGTGATACTACAGACAAAATTTTCACAGAATCAATAATATGATCAATATTGGACACCAAGCTGGAAGATATATAAAAATAATGTATGCTTACTGGAAAGCAAAGATCAAGCCTATCTGTATTTAACAGTTCAGATAATTTTATACCGAGAACAATGCAATAGAATTAATAGAAAAATATTAATATAGAGTTTAACAAGGGTGGTGTTATTAAATAGCAAAACAAAAATAAAATATAAGTAGCTGGTATATATGTTCATCACAGCCAGTCAGATTATTTCATTCCTATGAACCAATTTTTACAAGAAATGTGAAGGACTAATAGGACGAAGACTTGACAAAATGAAAATAAATGCTATGTTTTGGTTTTAAAATTGAATTATGTCATCATTTTAATTCTTTACATATTAATGTATAAGTTGAATTCAATTTTAATCAGTGGAATTTTCTTTTTTTTTATTTTGAATCTGATTGATTCAATTATAATGTTTAGCCTGAATCACAGATAGTGCATAACAGCTAATTATAATTTGAAAAAAAAATTAGTAAGTATTTTTAAGTTAAATCTAAACAGATACCTTTTTAATCACTTAGCTATATGGAAAGAAATAGAACAAGAATATATAAATTGGTCAAGAAAATAAATAACCACTATATACATAGTTAACATAAACATATTCACATATGTTAATGCATCATTACTTCAACAGAAAATCAATGGTTCTAAGACACAAACCAATTAAAAATGAAAAAAGGATAATTTTTTTTAGTGCTCAGACTTAGTATTAATTAAATAAATGCATATTCAAATAATTAAATACTGCTTTTTGCTAATTAAATTGACAAAATATTTAATTAAGTACAGGCATGCCTCAGAGATATTGAAGGTTTGGTTCCAGACCACCTCAATAAAGCCAATATTGCAATACAGTGAGCCACAAGATATTTTTGGTTGTCCTATGGATATAAAAGTTATATTTACACTATAGTCTATTAAGTGTGCAATAGCATTATGTCTAAAAAATAATGTGCGTATCTTAATTTGAAAATACTTTATTGCTAGAAAATACTGTCACCTGAACCTTCAGAGAGTCATAATCTTTTTGCCAATTGAATGTTTTGCCCTGACATTGATGTCTGCCGACTGATTAGAGTGATGGTTGCTGAAGGTTGGGGCGGTTGTGTAAATTTCTTAAAATAAGACAGTAATGAGGTTTGCTGCATCAATTGACTTTTTTTCATGAAAGATTTGTCTGTAGCATGCAATGCTGTTTGATAGCATTTTACTCACAGCAGAACTTCTTCCAAACTTGCAGTAAATCCTCTCAAACTCTGCCAATGCTTTATCAACTAAGTTTGTGTATTATTCTAAATTCATTGTTGTCATTTCAACAATGTTCACAGCATCTTGACCAGGAGTAGATTCCATCTCAAGAAGCCATATTCCCAACACAGAGAAATGATCAATGTTTGAGGTGATGGATATCCTAATTACCCTGATTTAATCAGTACACATTGTTATGCATATCTCAAAATATCACATGAATATCATAAATATGAACAATTATTACCTATCAATAAGCCAGGCAGAGGAAGACAAATATTGCATGTTTTTCACTTGTATGCTGGAGCTTAGCAAATTATCTCACGGGGATAGAGAGTACGCATGTATAGAAATATCATATATATCCCATAAATATGTACAACTGTTCTGATAAAATCTTTCTCATTAAAAAATTTTTTGAGCTGGGCGCAGTGGCTCACACCTGTAATCCTAGTACTTTGGAAGGCCGAGGTGGACGGATCACGAGGTCAGGAGATCAAGACCATCCTGGCTAACACGGTGAAATCCCGCCTCTACTAAAAATAAATAAATAAATAAATAAATAAAAATTAGCTGGGCGTGGTGGCACTTACCTGTATTCCCAGCTACTCGGGAGGCTGAGGCAGGAGAATCATTTGAACCTGGGAAGTGGAGGTTGCAATGAGCCGAGATCGTGCCACTGCACTCCAGCCTGGGCGACAGAGGGAGACTCCGTCTCTAAATAAATAAATAAATAAATAAATAGTTTCTAACAAAAAAGAAACCACTCTCTTTGGACATCTATAAGAAGCAACTCCTTATCCATTAGAGTATTACCGTAAGATAATACCAATTCAGTCACATCTTCAGGCTCCACATCTAATTCTTGCTCTCTGGCTATTTCTTAGAAAATGTATTTCTTAAATAAGACTTGAAAGTTGAAATTACACCTTCATCCATGAGTTATGGAATTGATGTTGGGTTAGCAGGCATGAAAACAACATTAATCTCTTTGTACAGCTCCATCAAAACTCTTGGGTGACCAGGTGTGTTGTCAATGAGTAGTAATATTTTGAAAAATACAGTTTTTTCTGAACAGTCAAGTCTCAAAATATTGGCTTAAAATTTTCTGTAAATCATACTATAAACAGATGTGCTGTCATGCAGGCTTTGTTGTTCCATTTGTACGTATAGGCAAGGTAGATTTAGCATAATTCTTAAGGACCCTAGGGCCTTCTGAAGGGTAAATGAACATTGGCTTCAACTTAAGTCACCAGCTGCATTAGCCTCTAATGTAAGAGTCAGGCTATCCTTTGAAGCTTTAAAAGGCAAACACTGGCTGCTTCTCTCTAGCTGTCAAAGTCCTAGATGGCATTTTCTTCCAATATAAGGCTGTTTTTCAACATTAAAAATCTGTTGTTTAGGGTACCCACTTTCTTCAGTTCTCTTAAGCTAGGGCTTCTGGATAACTTGCTGCAGCTGCTACATCAGCTCTTGCTGCTTCACCTTGCACCTTTATGTTTTGGAGGTAGCTTGCTTCCTCAACCCTCATGAATCAACCTTTGCTAGCTTCAAACTTTTCTTCTGCAGCTTCTTTACCTTTCTCTGATTTCATGGATTTGAAGAGAGTTAGGTCCTTGCTCTGGAATAAGCTTTAGATTAAGGGGATGTTGTGGCTGGTGTGGCCTTCTATCTAGACCATTAAAACATTCTTCATATCAGCAATAAAGCTGTTTTACTTTCTTATCATTTGTGTGGTCACTGGAGTAGCAGTTTTAATTCTCTTTAAGGTTCTTTTTTTTTTTTTTTCATTCCCAACTGTTTGGCACAACAGGCCTAGCTTTCAGCCTATCTTTGCTTCCAACGTGCCTTCCTCACTAAGCTTAATCTTTCCTAGCTTTTGATTTAAAGCAAAAGACATGCGACTCTTCCTTTCAATTGAACACTCAGAGGCCAGTCTGTGGAAAAGTCAGAATACGCATTTATCAATTAAGTTCATCATCTTCTGTAGGCCTGGATTGTGTTGCTCCCAAATGATTACAGTAGTAACATCAAAAATCACTGATCCTAGAACACCGTAACAATATAACGATAATGAAAAAGTTTGAAATATTGTGGAAATTAACAAAATTGTGACGCAGAGACATGAAGCGAGCACGTGCTGTTGGAGAAATGGTGCCAACACACTTGGTCAACACAGGGTTGCCATAAACCTTCCATCTGTAAAAAAATGCAATATCTGTGAAGTGGAACGAAGTGAATCACAATAAAACGAAGTATCCCTGCAATAACTTCAATATTGTTGAAAATAAAGATATGTAGGTACATTGCTATTGGAATTAAAATTTGGTACAACTTTTCTTAAAGCAATTTTGACAGTATGAACAGTATGAAAGGGCTTAAAACATATAGGACCTTCTAGCTTTGAATACTCATTTTGCTATTTATAAATTGTGTGAAGGGAAATTACTTCATCTTTCTTTGCCTTGTTTCCTGTTATGTACAACCTTGAAAATTAGGATGAAATGAGTTAATACAGGTAAAGTGCTTACACCAGTGCCCATAATCATCATTGCTATACTTATTTTTACTATGTTTTCTACAATAATTTGGCTTTTCCAATAAGCATTTTTGATAAACCTAGCGTTTTGCTGATTGTGTTTGCGTCTTTAATTATAAACATTAATTTTCTTAGAGCAACCACCAACGTGATAAAATTTCAGACTTACTACAGTGCTTATTCTAAAACTGAAATTCACAGACTTTCTAAAGACATGTTTATCTGGATTAGCTGTCTTTTCCAAAAGGGTTAACACTACACAATGACCTGTGTCTCTGTCATTAATGCAGAGAGAAAGGTTAATTCTGGATGACTATGTAGGAAGCTAATGCAAGCCTTCCCTTAAATACTTTTACATATTTGAATGTCCTAATAGGTTTGGCTGTCAGAAGTGTCAAATGTAAAGTTGTATGGGGAGGTTGTTTCAAATAGATAAAATTCCATCAGTTGTGTATGTCTTAGTGTATGTGCAAAACAAAAGATGGTAGCATCAAGGTCTTAAATAGCCATTGACAAAAGCTTTTTGATTCTTCATCTCCTGAGGCTATATTGATACCCTGAGGAAGAGGTCAGGCAGACATCTGATTTTAAGGAATTTCAGGCAAAATAGGTATGTGAGGCATGAGGGAAAGGACTTAGGGTTTTGTTTTGTGTTTGTGTTTGTTTTTGTTGGGGAGGTAGGAAGAGTGTGCTGGAGGAAGAGGACTTTACCTAATCCTTATTTAGCTTGCCATTTAATTGTAGAGAAGGGTTCAATTACTCAAAGTTTTTCCTAAAACGCGAGGGTAATAATTTTAGGTTGAAATTAGCCATTAAATGAGATGACAATAATTATAAACATTTCTATAGAGACCATAAACATAGGCTTGTAAAATATAAAATAAGCAAGAGACCTGAGACTATCACCAAGACCGAGTTTTTCCAAGTCTTTCATTTCATAGATGAGGTAATAACTTTAATTTTTCGAAGTCTCCTAACTAGTAAGTCCCTGGGCAGAGATGCAGCTTGTATTCAGATCTCCTGGCTTCCACTACAGAACTCTCTCTACCAGAGGTGGTTACGTTTTTCGAAAGCTAAATATCAGCTGTAAATGTGAACAAAGATTAAGGTACACACAAATAAGTACTTCACTGTTAGTGTTTTCCGGTTGATTTTTTTTTTAATTGTTGTTGCTTTAATTGCCATAGAAAGACCCTGAATCTTTGTATTCTAGGAAACACCTCACCTTCTTTCAACTTACAGACCAAACTGGTCTTACTGGTTCCTCTCAGCTTGACTAGACCTTAGGCCTACTTCTTCCTGAGTCTAGGCTTCTGCTCTTTATCTTAGAGTGTTTACTTGAGGAAGCTAGTTAATTTTTTCTCAGCCCGGTTGAGATGCAAATCATTTTAAAAGCTTCTTGCCAGTTTTACACCCAGGGCTGTCTTCCTCTAGGGCCTGGAAGCCATCCCTTTAAAATCATGAAGGAAGATAGCACCCCAGTCTCCCAGTCACTGTGGGAGGGTGGGAGCCTAAGTGGGTATCTTGCTTCAAGCTGTAAAAGTATCTCATGATGAAGACAAGAGAAAGTTTTCTTTTTGCTTCTGTAAAGCCAGTTAACACACAGATGGACTCAGATCTGTCATCCTGCTCTTCGTTTCAGCAGAGTTGAGATCAGATGAGTTTTATGTCTCTATTGCAAGAACCTTGAAAAAAGTCTTCCCTGCCTGTTTATCTGGTATAATTTGCTTTGACAGTATCATAGCACTTCTTATTTCTACAAAACGTCCAGCTTATTTTACATAAATTATTAAACCTACTTCATTTGATCTCACTTTGATATTTTAAATCGAAAAGTAGTTGTTGCCACTTAACAATATTTCTTCTTTGTTTCTGTTATCATTAGTCTTCCTCTTGCTTCTTACAAGAGTTCTCTAAACCCTGCTGGTGTTGCTGCTTGCAAAGGCTAAATAGAATTTGATTTGGAAAATTTTGCATCTGAAAAATCACTGTCAAATTATTTAACAGATTATTGTATCCTTTTCCTTGTTTTTCTTTGTTAAAGGTCTGCACAATTTCAGACTTTCAGAGCCTTAATATTCCTCTCTGACTCGGATGTGAGGAAAAGTAGTATGAAATTAGTGGGCCAACATCCTGAAAGATTAGTCCAGCCACTCTATGCACATAATTAGAACTAATTGAATTAGTTCCACTCCTAGCAAAGAAGTAAAATCAATATTAATAATTAAAACTGCATTTTTGTATAATTGGATTTTCAAATGAAACCTGAACAAGGGGAAGGAGTGAAGAGTGTTTCTTATGTGTAGATGTAATTAATATGTGTATTAAGTTTATATCTTTAAAATAATCCTGCAGGAATTTGTAGCAATATCCTCCATTTCATTAGCCAGAGCTGATTGCAGGAGTTCCTCACTCTAATCCTTAAAGAAACCATCCATACAACAAACCTATCTGTTGCCACTGAGCTGTCTAGCCAACTGGCTTACTTCTTTCCTATCTCAAATATGTCACTCAGATTCAGCATGAGGGTTTTCAGAAACCGTTTTATTCTGTGTGTTTGTTAAAAAGTTTTGAACAGGACTGGGCAGCCCAACAGTTGACCTTCTAGTGCTTCCCTAGAACTCACTGATATTCCTTCAAGTACTTTTTGCCACAATTCCATATAGAGATGGAATTTCTTCATATAGAGTGATGTTAGAAAAGACTTATAATTTATTCAAAAATAGTGACATGATTGGGGCCACATGAAGAGCACCATTTGACATGGTTCTTCTCTCAAAATTCAGCAATTTTGGAAAGTTGAATAGATTAACATTTGCAGAGTCACTTTATGTCAGAAAGACAGTTAGGTCCTGTGTTGGGAGAGAGGAGAACACATCTATAAATTAGATGTAGTCTCAGAAAGTTCTCTTCAATTAGGAAAAGCATACATTATAGAAACAAAAAGTGAAAAATAAAACAAGACAGTGTAGGTCATATGCCAAATGAGTGGCATAGATGGGTAAATAATATAGAGGTGTGATTAAGTGGAAACATTCTTGTGAAAAGTTAGAAGACCTGATTCAAGTCATATATATATACACATACAGTTTCATAACTATGATCCTTGGGCATGTAAGTCAGTTGACCCAGCTAGGCTACAATTTTCTCATTTCTAAACTGAAAATGTTGAAATAGATTAGAATGTTCCTTCCAATTTTGAAGTTCATTGAAATTCCGAGGAGGGAGATCATACTTAGGGATGATGTGCTCATGGATGATTACATGAGACCCATGAAAAATGAGCTAAACATTGAAAAAAAAAAAAGAGGATGTGTGTTTTTAGATAAGGGATAAAAGAGGGACAATACAGAAGCAAAGGAAAATAAATAACATGTCTGTTTTGTTCAGTTTGTGTCGTTGGGGCTAGCCACAGTTCCTGACACACAGAAGCAGTATATACTACACTTAAGAAATGAACAAATTGGGACATGCCCCTATTGCTTACAAATGGGATGTCATCTAAAAAGTCACTTTCTGTATTCACTTAAAGATTCTCGAGCAAAAATGCTAAACAACCACAAATAAAAATTTGTGTGAAAACTTTCTTCAGTGTCTTTTATTGGATGAAAATAAGCACTTTCTATGTTAAGTTTCTTTCTCTAGTTTGTGTGCCAAAAGCTTATTTAAAAATTCCCAAGGTTACACAGTTAATAAATGGCAAAATTCAAAACCAATCTATAAAATTTTCTCGTTGTTGTCAGTTTTTAATTCAGGGAGAATTCCCTAAGCTGCTTTTGAACAAGACCTGAAACATGCACATGATTCTCCCCTGTTTTCTGCCATATTCTCGACTTGAGTTCTGCATTTTCATTGCAGTTTTTCAGTTTTTCAAAACAAATCCTCATCTGAAATTAGGCGTGCACCTTCCTCTGAAATGCCTCCAGTGCCCAGATATTTTTCCGTCTACTTACATATAACCCTTAAAACTCTTGTGCTCATTTTATTTTCTTTTCTCCTCTGATGATTCTTTCATGTGCTCTTAACCAGTTATCTCCAGGATTAATTTTGGATGCTGGAGGAAGGGACGAATAGTTTTGATCTCCCCTGAGCTTGCTAACATTCTAATGCCTAAAATAGAAGCGCCCTGAGAGGACATCTTTGCTTGCATATCACTTCTTGGCAACAGATAAATTGTTTATCTATAGGTTTCTCTTTGAATTTTGTGTTGGATCAGTTTTTAACTTGGAGATCATTCTCTTTTGAGTAATACTTTTTCAATGTGTCACATCTTAAGATTTATTGCACTAATACATCATCAGAATGGCAGCTGGCTCTGATGATGTATAGCTTAATACATCATCAAAGCAATTTCTCATTCAGGTTACATAGTACACAGAAGTGTTAGTGCTTGTGTGTGTATATATATATAGTGCTTGCAACAAATAAAAGAAGCTTTCAGAGAGTTTGCGAAAGTCTTGGATCTGTCCCAAATCCAGATGAGCAATAAAATTAGCATTGGGTCCCAGTAATAATGAGTGCTAACCCTTCTTTGCGTAGCTACTGATAGCTTCTTCTTAAATTTTATTTTTTTAACATGAAATATGTACATTGATAAAGAATCAAAAATCCAAAAGCTAATACAATGAAGACTACATTTTCCTTCTGTCCATATTTGGGAGCTATACAGTACCTTTCTCCAGAGGGAAAACCTTAGCAACTCTTTTAGAGATAATGTAAATATACACAAATGTTTACGTATGTGCCTGTTTGGTGTTTTTTTTTTTTTAAATCTTTATATAAAATCAGCAACATAGCCTTCTGCATATTTTTCCCTCCAGTTATTGGTATAAATTTTAAATTGCTTTATGCAAATATATAGTTATTGCTATTATTTGGGTGATAGCATACTATTATATTTAATAGATGACATATACTTTAAATATTTCTTTAGTTTCTAGTATATTACCACTGTGAACATTGCTAAAATTAAAAGATTCTCACATTAGTACTGTATTACACATATGGGATTATATATATAAATATTTCAAAATGTGGAATTGCTAAGGTAAATGTTTTGTGCATGCTAATTCATATAATTATTGCTGCAATTGATCCTATAGTAGTTTAAGGAGTTTACACTCTTCCAGAAAGATACAAACGTTCTTTACCTGTGTATAATTAAACACTGTTATCCTAAAATTATGAGAAGTCGTATTCATAAAGGCAAAATTTCTACAAGAATTTGAATTCTTGCTTGTATTTGCTATTTCTTTTCTGCAATGTTTCCTTGATGTTGTCCAAGTACCAGTGCCATATAATTTTAATTGCTATAGCATTCAAAATATTTTCATATTTGGGTAACCATTCTTTAATACTCTTTTTTTCCAGAGTTTTTCTAGTAAGATTTCATTCAATACTTTTTTTCCATGTATATATTAAAATCTATTTGTCTATTTATAAAATATGCTTTTAATTTGGGTCATGTGAAATTTATAGAATAACTTAGGAAAAGTTGACATGTTCATACAGTAATAATAATTCCATTTAAGATTTAGCTATATTTTTAAAGTCCACTTTTTTGCTCTCAGAAGTTTTAAAAAAATTTAAATATAGATTCTGCATATTGTTAAACTTAATTTCTTGGAAATAATTTTTTCATAGTTAAAATTTTCAAGGGGTTTTTCTTTTTAATATATTTCCAGCTGGATATTGCTTTTAAATATAAAGACTACTTAGTATGTATTAATTTTGTAATCACTCAACTTATTGAAAGAACGCGATGTTTATAATTATACTGAAATTCCTTGAGTTTTCCTAATATAATCATGTCATATGCAAAAAAGGCCATTTTATTTCTTCCATCCAATTTTTATGTCTTCTATTTTTTGTCTTTCTTCAATTGTTTGAATGGTACCGAATAAACATCATTAAAGAATAGCATTAAATATGCTTGTTGTGTTGTCAGAATGCTTCTAATTTTTCACCGCTAAGTATGATGCTGGCTTTGGATTGACATGTCCTGCTACCATTCTCTTATTATTATCTATCTCTCTGTTATAAAGAAAAAATATCACCCTTTTGTAAAATATCCACTTTTCCTTTTTATTTAATGGACAATCTCAAAACTAGAACAAGAAAATAAAATAATGGCTGGAAAGAAAATGGAGGTCCTTTTTTTTTCCTTCATTGTATGATACAGAGCTATCTCATTTTTTTATGACAGCACACTACACTGATTTCTTGTATGATCTAGACTGAAGGAGAACTCATTTTAATTAATGAGGATTTCAAAATTGTTTAAATGAAACAATTATGTGAATCTTACCAAATATGTTACAAATATATACATTTTATTTTAGGGATTAATCAAAACTGGGGAGAGAGAAGAATAAAAATATAGAGAAATTGAAGTGTGATTAAAAGTGTACTACAAATAGAATAAAGGAGAAAAATCACATGATCTTCTAGGTAAATGCAGAAAAAGCACTTGATAAAATCCAACCCTTTTATAATAAGATCTCTCAACAAATTAGATATAAAGGAAACTTACCTCAGTAAAACAAAGGTAACGTATGAAAAACTCATCACTAACATTATGTAACAACTTGTAGTTAGGCAAGAAAATAAAATAAAATACACTAAATTGAAAAAAAATGAAGTAAAATTATCTGTTTGTAGATGACATAATTTTATATATAGAAAACCCTGAAGTCTCCACAGACAAAAAAACTGTTAGAACTAAAAATGAATTCAGTAAACTTGCAAGGGTATAAAATTAACATACAAATATCAGTTGCCTTTCTATACTTTAATAATGAAAAATAAATTAATAAAATGACCTCATTTACAATGATGTCAAAAAATAATAAAATACTTAGAAATAAATGTAACCAAAAAGGCAAAGACTTGTACATGGAAAATTATATAATATTGGTAAATAACATTCAGGCAGACATGAATAATATAGAGAGGCATCCTGTGTTTATGAATTGGAAGAATTAAGATTGTTAAAATGTCCATACTTTCTTAAGCACTCTACAGATTCAATACAATTTCTATCAAATTCCCAATGACATTTTTCATACAAATAGAGAAAACATTTTGGACCAAAAAAAAGACCTTGAATAGCCAAAACAATTGTGAGCAAAAATAAAGCTTGAAGCATTATATTTCCTGATTTCAAAACATATTACAAAGCAATAGTAATCAAAACAGCATAGTACTGGCATGAAGACACCCATATAGACCAATGGAATAGAATAGACAGCTCAGAAACAAACTCAGGCACATATGATTAGTTGAGCACCAACAAAGATGCCAAGAATAAACAATAGAGAAAGAACACTTTCTTCAACAGATAGTGTTGGGGAAACTGGCTGTCCATATGCAAAAGAATGGAATTGGATCCATATCTTATACCATACACAAAAGTCAACTTAAAGGGCATTAACGACTTAAATGTAAAACATGAATAAAAATCCTAGAAGAAAACATAGGGGAAAACCTTCTTGAAATTGCTCTTTGCAATGATTCCTTGAATATGACCCCAAAAGCCTAGGCAACAAAAGCAAAAATAGGGAAGTAGGATTATACCAAACTGAAAAGCTTCTGTACAGCAAAACAATCAATGAAATGAAAAATTAACCTATGAAATTGGAAAAATTGGAAATCATGTATCTGTTAAGAGGTTAATACTCAAAATATATATGGAGCTTATTCAACTCTTTAGCATATAATAATGATAATAATAATAGTCTGATTAAAAAATGGGCAAAGAAACTAAACTGACATTTCTCCAAAGAAGACATACAAATGACCAACTGATATGTAAACAGATGCTCAACATCATTAATCATCAGGGAAATGAAAAATCAAGACCACAATAAGATATCACTTCATATCTGTTAGGATGGCTATTATAAAACTAAAACAAAAAACAAAAACAAGAGTTTGCAAGGATGTGGAAAAGAAGGGAACCCCTTTACACTGTTGGCAGAAATGTAAATGGTGCAGCTGCTATGAAAAACAGAATGGAGTTTCCTTAAGAAATTAAAATTAGGCTGGGTGTGGTGGCTGACGCCTGTAATCCCAGCACTTTTGGAGGCCGAGGAGGGCGGATCACGAGGTCAGGAGATCAAGACTATCCTCACTAACATGGTGAAACTTCATCTCTACTAAAAATATAAAAAAAATTGGCCAGGCGTGGTGGCATACGCCTGTAGTCCCAGCTACTTGGAAGGCTGATGCAGAATAATCGCTTAAACTCAGGAGGTGGAGGTTGCAGTGAGCCAAGATCGCACCACTGCACTCCAGCCTGGGCGATAGAGGGAGACCCCGGCTCAAAAAAAAAAAAAAAAAAAAAGCCCAAAGAAAGGTATATATCCAAAATAATTGAAATCAGGCTCTCTAAGGGATATGTGAACTCCAATGTTTATTGCAGCATTACTTACTATATCCCTGATATTAAAGCAACTTAAATGTCTATTAATGAATGAATGAACGAAAGAATGGGTATATGCATACAAGGGAATATTACTCAGCTTTAAAATGAAAGAAATCCTGGCATTTCTTTACATCAACATTAGATAAACCTGGAGGACACGTAAAGTGAAATAAGCCAGACACAGAAAGACAAATACTGCATGTTCCCACTTATACAAAAAATCTTCAGTAGTCAAGCTCATAGAAGCAGACAGTACAAAGTTGGTTGCCAGGCTTATGGGGGTAGAAAATAGGGATGTGACAGTCAAAGGGTACAAAGTCTCAGTTTTATGAGATAAGTTCTGGAGGTCGACTGTTCGGTATAGTACCTATAGTTAACAATATTGCAATGTATACTTAACAAATTAATGACAGGTTAGATCTTATGTTGTGTTCTTTACCACCCCCACGACCCAAAATAAAAACTAAGAATAACATAAAGAGGGCAGGAGGAAACTTTTGATGGTGATGGGTATGTTTAGGGCCTTGATTGTGGTGATGGTTTTATGGATTTATACTTATCTCCAAATTCATCAGCTTCTGTATATTAAATCTATACAGCTATCTGTATGTCAATCATACCTCAATAAAGTGATTTTTAAAAGATTATAATACACTTTAAATAATAATCAGTGACAATCATTAACAGAAATGTTCCATCATTACATCACATTCATTACCTTCAATTTCATGCGCTTACTTAAAAATTTTAGCTATTGTTTGTGTCATGTTTCCCTATAATGGTCAGATTAACCATTATAGGGAAAACCAAATTTTTCGTATTCTCTCAAATGAGGAAAAGTAATGAGGAACAAAAAAAAATTCAATATGGAAAGTCTCAGTCTTTAATACACGTTATAAAGTAAGTTACAATTAAAGGCAATATATAGAGTAGCTTAAAAAGAATAATACTTTTTTCAAGGGCATAGTATTTTTTGTGGCCATCATTATTATTATTATTATTATTATTATTATTATTATTTTTTTTTTTTTTTTTTTTTTTTTTTTTTTTTTTGAGACGGAGTCTCGCTCTGTCGCCCAGGCCGGACTGCGGACTGCAGTGGCGCAATCTCGGCTCACTGCAAGCTCTGCTTCCCGGGTTCACGCCATTCTCCTGCCTCAGCCTCCCGAGTAGCTGGGACTACAGGCGCCCGCCACCGCGCCCGGCTAATTTTTTGTATTTTTAGTAGAGACGGGGTTTCACCGCGTTAGCCAGGATGGTCTCGATCTCCTGACCTCGTGATCCACCCGCCTCGGCCTCCCAAAGTGCTGGGATTACAGGCGTGAGCCACCGCACCCGGCCCATCATTATTATTAAAAGCAAGTCGGGTCTTCTCCTCAATCCTTCTTTTATGCCTTGATGACCTCAATGAGTTATTTTATGTTATTATCTACTATAAATTCATCAGTATCTTCCTTTAATATTGGTCTAGTCTCTTCCTTTGACACGTAAATATAAACCTAAGTCCACAAACAGCAGCTACTTTGTGTAGCAAGAATTTTATTCTTTTTGCAAAAAAATTTTATTTCCGCATTCACTGGCCTCCTTAACAAAATTATTAACGTGGAAGTGTACAGATATTTAACCAGAGCATCATTTTCTTTGCAAATTTCCCAAAGAGAAGAAATCTATCAAATATTGCTACTGGGAAACTTACATAATTGTATTTGTGTGTGTGTGTGTATGTGTGTGTACACTTTTTACAACCCTCAATTCCCTTTCCTAGAACATCGGCATTGTTCTAGGGAGGATACATTTCTGATTAAATGCTTACAAAAACCTGGAGGGATGATGGGAAGAATTTAGTCTGAGAGAATGGGAGAACATGGGAAAGAAAACATTTCATCTAAAGAGTGGAATTCTTGAGAGTAGAAGATGTTAATAAAGGCTGAGGAATAAGATAAAAGAACTTGACACAAGGTTTCTGAGAAAAAAGAGGGCAGTCAGGAAGATAATTTGGAGAATGTGATAAATAGCGGTCACTGGCCATTTGATGACACCCTGTAATCCTTACCTTTTAATAACTTTTACTAAAATCTATTTAAGAGTCACTGCTTTTAGAGTGGAATCTATTTGAGTTATTATTCTGGTTATACGGTGGAATGAGTTAAGATTAAGAGCAGCCATTAAGGCCTAGCTCTAAAGAACTGCTTTTGAAAATAAACATTTTGTATCACAGAATTAACTATTGCTTTAAGAAGCCAAGATCTATTCCTCCCTAATATAATCAGATAATCCTCAAAAACAGAAAGTGTGAGAGCTTAGTGACCATATTTCCCCACCTGTGATTTTGTAACGTCAAACAATTAATAGACAAGCTGGAGTAGTAGAGCAGAATGGTTAATAACACCGGTTCTGGGATTCAAACTCCAGTACCAACACTTAATAGCTTTGGCAAATTATCTAATCCTAATTAATTCCAGTTTTCTTATCTATTTTTTACCCAAATTCCTAGTGTTTTAAGGACCAAGTGAAGTACTAAGTTAATAAATAGGTTTTTAAATTCACTTAATTTCTTAATCAGACTTAAAGGGTTTTTTGCACTTTGGAAATTAATAGTTGGTCAAGTAGAAAGATGCCAGCTGGATAGAAGAGCTAATTTTGAGCTCGGTTTATAAAGTCTCAAGGGGCAGTACCACACAGAGAGGAAAACAGTTCTGAACCAGGTTGAATAGACTCTGAGAAACAGACATTTTGCTTAATACACCTGCCTATCGTGCGGTTGTGCATGCACTGGTTTTATTGACAAATACTGGGCTCAGATATTTTGTCAAGTGACTTGAGAGAGAACATTAATATCGAGTGTTGTATCCTGACTTTTCTTCTATAGTCTACAATTCAATTGTTTGTAAAAAGTTTGGTTTGATTTACTAATGTATCTCACTTTGCTTTGAAAACATAACCATGAAAATGAGGTAACACATGAGCAATACTTTATATACTTTATGTCAAAAAAAGGACAAGCAATGCCATTAAAAAATCATTCTCTGACACATTGATCAAGACATTATCATAGGTTATATGTAATTTTAATTCATCCATAGTTTGAATTTAGGCATTAATGAAATTCTATAATATAAATCCTAGATATTTCTTAACACAATTAAAATAGAAGCATATCTATTTGTAATAAAAAGATTAAAAAAATTCATTTTCCACATTTCATCTGAACATGAGAAAATATTTCGAAGAATTAATACAAATAAATGCTATTTTGGAGGCAGAAGACATTTTATTCTGTATATTTTATTCGCTTTATTTACCTTTTGCTTTTATTATTCTATATGTTACCTAATTCTATGTGTTTTATGATTCTATGTATGTGTTACCACATTTTAAAATGTGCCTATCATAATTCAGCAAGCCATATAAATTGACTTAGCATTCATTTAATTAACTGTACTCACTCATCTGTTTTTATTAATGCTTATCCATTAAAAATCTGAGAGGAAACACTGTGAATAAGTCTCTGGAATCTATTCACTTTCTTGGTCATCTATGAATGTTAAAAATACCAAAGTGTTATACAACAATAATGACTTTTATTGTTAATACTATTTAATTGCTAGACACAGTTTTCAGTGCTTTATTTGTTACTGTAATCCCTCCAATATTGCTTTTCTTAAATTATACTTTAAGTTCTAGGGTACATGTGCACAACCTACAGGTTACATAGGTATACATGTGCCATGTTGGTTTGCTGCACCCATCAACTCGTCATTTACATTAGGTATTTCTCCTAACGCTATCCCTCCCCCAGCCCCCCGCCCCGCAAAAGGCCCCGGTGTGTGATGTTCCCTGCCCTGTGTTCAAGTATTCTCATTGTTCAATTCCCACCTATGAGTGAGAACATGCAGTGTTTGGTTTTCTGTCCTTGTGATAGTTTGCTCAGAATCGTGGTTTCCAGCTTCATCCATGTCCCTGCAAAGGACATAAACTCATCCTTTTTATGGCTGCATAGTATTCCACGGTGTATATGTGCCACGTCAGGGTCTGGCTCTGCTGCCCAGGCTACCGTGCAGTGGAGCAATCTCGGCTCACTGCATCCTCCACCTCCCAGGCTCAAGCCATCCTCCCACCTCAGCCTCCTGAGCAGCTATGACTACAGGTGTGCAACACCACACTGACTAATTTTTTGTATTTTTTATAGAGACAGGCATTCACCACGTTGCTCAGATTGGTCTCAAAGTCCTGAACTCAAGTGATCTGGCTGCCCATCTCAGCCTCCCAAAGTGCTAGGATTACAGGCGTGAGCCACTGTGCCTAGCCTTAGTGCATATGGTTGTACACGAGGAAAAGAGAAGTTATGTAGTTAGTAGGTGACATTGCCTGGGACTCAAAATGACATATCTGTATCATAAAGTCTTGCAATTAATTAACTACAAAACTTTACCACAGGGGTGTCCAATATTTTGGGCCACTTTGGAAAAAGAGGAATTGTGTTGGGCCACACATAAAATAGACTAACACTAATGATAGCTGATAAACTAAAAAAAAAATCACAAAAGTCTCATAATGTTTTCAGAAAGTTTGTGAATTTGTGTTGGGCCGCATTCAAAGCTGTCCTGGTCCGCTTGCAGCTCGTGGGCTGCAGGTTGGATAAGCTTACTCTACCATCTCAGTATATATTTTAATATGTCAGATATATGATAGAATTTACTTTGAAGTAATTATGGGATACCATATTTAATAATGTCCATGATTTTTTTCCATCTGTTAAAAAAATTGCTAGGTTGTTTGGAACACTAAAATAAATAAAATTTTCTAAATACTTAAAAAAATTTGCTTAAATTGTGTTAAATATTTCTGCTCATTAGAAGAATAAAATAAACTTTTCGGTGACTCATCATCTCTGTTTCAGTTTCATTCTTGTCTAAAGAAAAAATAGAATGAACAAGAATAATTGTTTTGTACAATCGCTATAAATTCTAAATATGTTTGAAATGTCACTGCACACTGCTTACTAACATGGTGGTACTAAGTGAAGTCAGAAATATTAATGAGAGACCTTTGGCAACAAATGCTAGGGATAGTGAACAATACCTTTTCATAAGTACAACTCATGTAAGATGACAAATGTCTTACAATGCTGGGACAAACGGTGACAATAAGGAATATGGTGGTAAAGAACTCTGCTTCAGCACATTTGAAAGATAGAATTCTGGGAAAGGAAGAAAAAGATAAAAAATAGAGAAGACAGATTGAGGAGAGAAAACACGATTACAAAATTAAATGGTAAAGTAGGAAAAATACAAAAAAAATAGGATTAGTTCAAGGAAAACAACTTACAGGTTAAGAAACAACTAAAGAGGGCCAGACACGGTGGCTCATGCCTGTAATCCCAGCATTTTGGGAGGCCGAGGTGGGCAGATCACCTGAGGTCAGGAGTTCAAAACCACCCTGGCCAACATGGTGAAACCCCGTCTCTACTAAAAATACAAAAAAATTAGCTGGACGTGGTGGCAGGTGCCTGTAATCCCAGCTACTCAGGAGGCCAAGGGAGGAGAACCGCTTGAACCTAGGAGGCGGAGGTTGCAGTGAGCCGAGATCGTGCTACTGCACTCCAGCTTGGGTGACATTCCATCTCAAAAAAAAAAAAAAAATTCAATTATTCTCATAGCTTTCTACACCCTCTCTACCCCTGCATGTCCTTGTAACCCTCCACCCCAGCTTGAATTTGTTGACCATCATTAAACCATGCCGTGATACACACATGCAACTTCTTTACCACCCTCTCACTTTACATACTTGACAAAACATCAACCCTGGAAAAGTATAACTGTTATTATTTAGTTATTTTGAGATGGAGTCTCACTCATTCTGTCACCCAGGCTGGAGTGCAGTGGCACAATCTCGGCTTGCAACCTCCGCCTCCCAGGTTCAAGGGATTCTCCTGCTTCAGCCTCCTGAGTAGCTGGGCATAGGGCCACCATGCCCATCTAATTTTTTTTTTTTTTGTATTTTTAGTATAGATGGGGTTTTATCATTTTGGCCAGGTTGGTCTCGATCTCCTGACCTCAAATTATCCACCCGCCTCAGCATCTCAGAGTGCTGGGATTATAGGTGTGAGCCACCGTGCCTGGCCTGTACTGTTTCCTGCACACATTTGCATTCATGCAGTTGACTATGGCTAGAGAAATATCTAGAAACATGCTGATTATTCTCATCTAAAATTACTATCCACTAACTTTAAATGAATCTAAATACTTCTAGCATCATACAATTTCCAGCTTATTTATTATCCCAATGTCTTATTAAACATTTCCCTTTCTTAAATTTATGCCTATTCTTAGTCAATGACTGTACTTCCCAATTCACTTAGAAAATTGAAAGTTGCAAGAAAAATACTACAAACTTTCTTCATAAATCCTCCATCTGCATCTGTTTGCATGTGTCCTCTCTCTCTGTTGTTCCCAGGGATGAACTCACCATGCCTGTATCTAAGGCCCACCTGTTTACTGATATAATAGATTCATCTTTTCTTGCCTACTCAAAAACATCACTCTCTGTCCTCTATCACCAAATTTCCCTTTTCTACTCTATCAGTCTCATCACAGTGCTGTTCCCCAAAATTGTATGCTTCTATTTTTAAAAAAATTATTCATCTCTACTACCCTCCAGGTATCACACCATTTTTTTGCTCATCCTTGTAGCAAAATTCCTCAAAACAGTTGTTTACGCTTTCTGCCTCCAATTCTTTTCCCCATTCTCTCAGCAACCTTCGCCTCTCTACTAAAACTACTTCTGGCATGGTTACCAATGACATCACAATGCTAAATCTAATGGTCAAGTTTTGATTCTCATGACTTGATTTATCATTCACATAGGACATAGCTGAAGATTCCTTTCTCCTTAAATTGCTTTCTTCACTTGACTTTTTGACACCACATTTCTTCTGATTTTCTTTTTTCTTTGTCATCTTCACTATATTAATCTTTTTAATGGTTTTATCCTCATCTTCTTGATCTCTTAATGTTGGACTTTGTCAGTTGCTTTGACCTTTTTTCTATCTATGCTGTCTTGGGATTCTTATTTGGCTTTGTGCTTTAAATACCATCTGATGACTGACAGCATTTTCTTTCTAGTGTGGACCTCACCCCTGGATTATAGACAACTTTACTGTGATACCTGAAAAATGTCTAAACTTAACAGGTGCAAGCTAGAGCTCTTGATTTTCTTCTGTCACACAGATCAGGTCCTGGTACAATTGTTCCCACCTCAGTTAGTGGTAATTTCACTTTTAATTGCTCAGGACAAAATATCCCGCATTCCCCCAAGGGTTTTGTTAGTTTTTGTATATTGTCTCTGTTTCTTGTTTCAAAACTTACAACAGAAAATTCTGTTGTCCCTATCATTAAAATATATCTGAATTTTCCCATTTTTCAGTACCTTTTCTATAATCGTCCTGGTTCTATCTGCAAACACCCTGCTGTAGATTTTTACAATAGTTTCCTGACTGATCTTTCTGTTTTCATCTTATCCCTCTGAAGTCTGTTCTCAGCAAAGCATTCTGAGTAGATCTGCCAAAGCATGCATCAGCAGAAGTCATTTCTCTGCTTAAAAACTCTCCAGTGAATTCAGATTTTACTTGGAATAAAAGCCAATGTCTTTAAAATGGCCTAAAAACCCTACATGATTTGTCTTCCCACCTTTTATTATATTTCTCACTTCCTCTCCTACTACTTCCTATCCTTCCCACTTTTCATCAGCCATACAGATCTTCACAAATGTTAGGTAGACTCCCACCTCTGCAATCTCGCATTTGTTTATACCCTCCTTCCTATGATGCTATACCCCAATCTATCTACAGAGTGAATTTCCTCACCTCCTTCAAGTCTTTGCTTAACTGCCATCTTCTTGAGAGTTCTTCTCTGAGCCCTCTATTTAACTTATATCCCAATCCCCAACTAGGCCTCCTGGTTCTCCTCTGCAGCTTTATTTCCTCAGTAACACCTTGAATCTTACTCTATAGATTTATCAACTTTTACATGGTCTTTCCCACAGAAACTTCATGAAGGCAGAGATTTTTGACTATTTTATTTACTGATATAACCTCTATACCTATAAAAGTGCCTGGTATGTAATGAGTATTTAAGATATATTTTTGGTTGTCGAGTAAATGAGTGAGTAAATGAATAAATACTATTAACTGCAAGTTGCCTTAAATAAGAATATATGCTATACTGATCCTTTTTTTTTCTAAATTCAACTGTGCTTTTATATTTAAAAATTCTTTAAAATACATTTATTTACATTTTTTTTTTAACTTTTATTTCAGGTTCGGGGGTACATGTGCAGGTTTGTTATGTAGGTAAATTGCGTGTCACAGGGTTTGGTGTACAGATTATTTCATCATCACCCAGGTAATAAGCATGGTACCTGATAGGTAGTTTTTCTATCCTCACCCTCTTCTCACGCTCCACCCACATGTAGGCCCCAGTGTAACTGTTGTTCCCTTCTTTGAGTCCATCTGTAGTCAATGTTTAGTTTCCACTTAGGTATGAAAACATATGGCATTTGGTTTTTGTTCTTGCATTAGTTTGCTTAGGATAATGGCTCCACCTCCATCCATGTTGCTGCAAAGGACATAATCTCATTCTTTTTTACGGCTGTGTGATATTTTATGATATTCTTTTTTATGGCTGTGTGATATTTTATGGTGTATTTATATCGCATTTTCTTTATCCAGACTGGATAAAGTCTATCCAGTCTTTATCCAGCCTATCCATGTTATTGTTGATGTGCATGTTAGGTTGATTCTATGTCTTTGCTATTGTGAATAGGATTGTGATAAACATATGCATGCTTGTGTCTTTATGGTAGAATGATGTGTATTCCTAATTCCTTTGAGTATACACCCAATAATGGGATTGCTGGGTCAAAGGGTAATTCTGTTTTAAGTTCCTTTAGAAATTGCCAAACTGCTTTCCACAATGGCAGAACTAATTATACATTCCCACCAGCAGTGTATAAGCATTCCCTTTGCTCTGCAACCCACCAACATATGTTATTTTTTGACTTTATAATAATAAGCATTCTGACAGGTTGTGAGATGGCAAATCAATGTGGTTTTGATTTGCACTTCCCTAATGATCAGTGATTTTAAGCTTTCTTTCATATTATCATTGGCCACATGTATGTCTTCTTTTGAGAGGTGCCTGTTCATGTCTTTTGCCCATGTTTTAATGGGGCTGTTTGTTTTTTTCCTGTAAATTTGGTTAATTCCTTATAGATGCCAGATAGTAGACCTCTGTCGAATGAATAGTTTGCAAAAATTTTCTCCCATTCTGGAGGTTGTCTGTTTACTCTGTTGATAGCTTCTTTTGTTGTTGTTGTGCAGAAGCTTTTTAATTCGATCCCATTTGTCAATTTTGGCCTTTGTTGCAATTGCTTTTGGCATTTTCGTCATTAACTCTTTGTTTGTGCTTATGTCATGAATGGTATTTCCTAAGTTGTCTTCCAGAGTTTTTAGAGTTTTGGGTTTTACGTTTAAGTCTTTAATCCATCTTGAGTTGATTTTTGTGTATGGTATAAGGAAGGGGTCCAGTGTCAATCTTCTGCATAGTGCTAGCCAGTTATCCCAGAACCATTTACTAAATAGGGAGTCCTTTCCCCATTGCTTGTTTTTGTCAGCTTTGTCAAAGATCAGATGGTTGTAGTTGTGCAGCATTATTTCTGGGTTCTCTATCCCATTTCCTTGGTCTATGTGTCTGTTTTTGTACCAGTACTATGCTGTTTCGGTTACTATAGCCCTGTTGTATAGTTTGAATTTGGGTAGCATGATGCCTCCAGCTTTGTTCTTTGGGCTTAGGATTGTCTTGGCTATTTGAGCTCTTTTTTTGGTTTAACATGAATTCTAAAGTAGATTTTTTACAATTCTGTGAAAAATGTCAATGGTATATTCATAGGTATAGCATTGAATTTGTAAATTGCTTTGGGCAATATGGCTACTTTAACAATATTGATTCTTCCCATCCATGGGCATGGCATGTTTTCCATTGTTTGTGTCATGTCATCTCTGACTTTTTTGAGCAGTGTTTTGTAATTCTCACTGTGGAGATTTTTCATCTCTGTGGTTAGCTGCATTACTAGTTTTTTTTTTTTTGGTGTGGCAATTGTAAATGGGATTGCATTCTTGATTTGGCTCTCACCTTGGATATTGTTTGTGTACTTATTTTTGTACATTGATTTTGTATCCTGAAACATGACTAAAACTGTTTATCACATCAGGGAGCTTTTGAGTCGAGACTATGGGATTTCCTAGACATAGAATCATATCATCTATAAACAGTGATAGTTTGACTTCCTCTCTTTCTATTTGGATGCCTTTTATTTCTTTCTCTTGCCTTAATGCTCTGGTTATGACTATGTTGAATAGGAGTGGTGAGAGAGGGCATGCTTGTCTTGTGCTGGTTTTTAAGGGGCATTCTGCCAGCTTTTTCCTATTCAGTGATGTTAGTTGTGGGTTTGTCATAGATGGCTCTTATTATTTTAAAGTATGTTTCTTCAATGCCTAGTTTGTTGAGAGTTTTTAGCATGAAGGGACGTTGAATTTTATCAAAGCCTTTTCTGTATCTTGAAATGATCATGTGGTTTTTGTTTTTAGTTCTGGTTATGTGATTTGAGTCTGTTGAATTGAACTTGCATCCCAGGGATAAAAGCCTACTTGATTGTGATGGATTCGTTTTTGATATGCTGCTGAATTGGATTTGCTAGTATTTTGTTGAGGATTTTTGCATCTATGTTCATCAAGAGTATTAGTCTGAAGTTTTTTGTTGTGTCTCTGCCATGTTTTGGTATCAGGATGATGGTGGCCTCATAGAATGAGTTATGGAGGAGCCCCTCCTCCTCAGTTTATTGGACTAGTTATAGTGGCAATGGTACCAGCTCTTCATTATACATTTGGTAGGATTTGGCTATGGTCCTTGCCATTTTTTTCTTTCTTTTTTTTTTTTTTTTGTTGGTTGGTAGGCTTTTTATTACTGATTCAATTTTGGAGCTCATTATTGGGCTCTTCAGGGATACAATATTTTGAGGAGTTCAATCTTGGGAGGTTGTGTTTCCAGGAATTTATCCATTTCTTCTAAGTTTTTTAGCTGTGTGCATAGTGGTGTCCCTAGTAGTCTCTGAGGGACTTTTTTTTTTTTTTTTACTTCTTTGGGGTCAGTGGTAACATTCCCTTTGTTATATCTGATTGTTTTTATTTGGATCTTCTTTTTTCTTTATTAGTCCACTTAGGGGTCTATCTATCTATGTTATTCTTTCAAAAAAAAAACCTCCTGGATTCATTGATTTTTTTTTGTATGGTTTTTCACATATCAGTTTTTTCAGTTCAGCTCTGATTTCATCTTTTCCTTGTCTTCTGCTAGTTTTAGAGCTGATTTGCCCTTGTTTCTTTCATTCTTTTAGGTATGTTAAGTTGTTAATTTGAGATCTTTCTAACTTGTTGATTAAGCATTTAGCTTCGTAAACTTCCCTCTTAACACTGCTTTAGCTATTTTTCAGACTCTGGGATGTTGATCCTTCATTTTGAATGTATGTCTCCTGGCATTCTACATGAAACATTATAGACCATTGCTTTTACCTAGTTGCCTAACTACTTGTGCTCTCTGAGGCTTTGGATAATGTATGTTTTCAGAAACTAAAACTTTAGATTAAGAATCACTCTGTACATTATAAATACCGATTTAGGAGAGGTTTCCCAGTCTACTCACATCATAACATTATTTGAAATGGAGTTTGAACTCAATGACAAAACATAATGGTGCTATTCATAGACACACACACACACTCATACACACACAGTGGAATTCTTCTTTTAACTCATTTTTATCTATGTTTTGGAGGTTCATAGCATTATTTACTATTACTCTTTTTTACTTGTTAGTGCACTTGAATACAGGTTATTATGATACCTAATGGTAGCAATTTATTTTATTTCTTTGTATTTCTCTTCTTCCTGTACTTCAGATTTCTCAAATTCACTTAAAGCATGGCTTTTTAATATAGACATTTTTCAGTGTTACATAAGGTCTTGAGGTTAGGCCATCTTTTTAATTTTTTTGTAAAACAGGATTTTTGAGAATTTCAAATTTTTTCCTCACATTAGAAAATGTAGGAACCAAAAATGACAAATAGCATGGAAGAGAGCTAGGAGGAAAATTAAAATATGTCTGGACAGACTGAACACAGGCTCTCAAGTCAGAAAATCTGTGATACATACATGAGAGGTTCAGTCCACATCTAATCAATCACTGTTGCTGAGAGGGAAATAACTTTTTGAAGAGTTTCATGCTGAAGGAGGAAAGCTGGTTACTTCTGGTGCCATTAAAAGTTCAATGGTAGAGACAAATCACTGTTTGAGGACTATTTACTGGACTTGTTAATCTGTCCAGGATTCTGATTGTCAGAAGCCTAATTATTTCTTGAGTCCTTGATCATGATGTTAATGATCCTGATATATTTCCTGAATATTTAACCATTTTCCCCTCATCAGTTATTCTGAGAAGAGTCCTAAGCCCTTTCCACTGTTTTATATACTCAGTTTCATCTAGTTTGCAGTATTTTTGACTATTATAACATATGCCTATAAACACATTTAATTTTTAAATGACTTTACAGCACTTGACCATTATTTGAAAGCCCATTGCTTATACAAAGTGGCTCCTATGCTTGGCTTATAATTTAATGATTGAGTAAGCATCTTTTTTGGGTTCAAAATCTGGTCTTAAATGACATTAAAAATTTAATATAATTAACTGTTCACAGAGATTTGCATTTCTTCAAGCAAAAAGAGTGTTGCAAGAGAGACTTGGTGGCTTGGTAGGAAAAGCTGCATGTAAGCTAATGGCTCAAATGCAGGTAGGGGGAGTATTTTTAAACTTCTATTGTGATATTTTTTGCCAAAGTATTTGCCAAATCCCTGTCCTTGATGGAAGTATAATGGTGAATAGGGAAGCAGTTTTCAGTTATTATGTAATGTTCTCTGCAAAACTTTGCCAATTGGATTTTAATTTATTCTATATCTAAAACAAAAAAACAAAAAGGTAAAATGAAATATAACCCTTTATTTACATAAAAATGCACTGTAAGAATAAATTAAACTATTTCTATCCATAATATTACTGAGTTTTTGGACAAATGGTGCTGTATAAATGCAAAGTGCTATTGCTGTTACTTTTACCAGGACTGAAAATAGTGTGCAGAATAATGAGAACTGGAGGCAAATAAAATGTTTATGTAGTTTTATTCCTGAAGAAACACGCATTGGAAATATGTAAGCTTAATCACACCTAGTTTTTCCTCCTCATAATTCAGAACACATTTATCTTTGTTCCCCCACAAAACAAAATAGTTATTTCTAGCATTTGCTCAAGATCTTGATCTGAAGCTCATGAAAATGCTTCAGCTCTCTGCACCAACAGAAGGAGCCATTTGACAAATTGAGCATTTGAGTTATCACAATCTTATGTGATCTCCCCACAATGCTGTACACCTCTTATCTGATTCCAATAGTTCAGGGACAACTTAACACATTGCATTTATCTTTATTGTGATTTAATTTTGAGCAGTCAGGATCCTGAGTGGAAGGAGAAACTGCTAGAATTTAGAAATCAGGTTGTCCAGCCTGCAAATTGCTTCCTCTGTTAAATACTTGGAAAGACATCCATCACGACATTTTGACGCTCAATCCATTAATATCCCTTTTCAGTATTCCTGACCTCAACTGAGGATGCTGCATTCTTTGCCCTGTTTCTTCTCTCAAGTGATGCCAGCCCTTAGAAGAAAGAACCCAACATGACATAAGAGTCTTCTAAGCTGAGAGTAGCAAATGGCTGTGGAAATAACCCCACTTGATTCCTCATGATCCTTTGTGCTGTCTACTGCAGGCTGTCACCTCAATTTCTATTTCTTCCATAACTGAGGTAAAGAAGAGTTAAGAATTTTTGTGTGTAGCTATTGACAGTCACTTCACAGATTAAAGGATGTCCTTAATATAAAGTAAAGCTAAATATCAGAGACGACAAAAGGTCCATTTATTGAAGTTGAAGGTATGCTCTAGTAACAAGTGGTAGAAAGTACAGCAAGCTGAAACTCAATAGATGACTTCTGATAGTGATACCACCATTGGAGTTGGGTAATCTTCAATAAACTGGAGTGCTTTTTTTGTCCTCCAGAATCCTTGCCGTATATGGAGATGGACAAGAGATAATTTCTGAGGTAGTTGTATTTTATGCCTTTTAGACAATAAAAAATACGCGTTTGTTGCCAAGAAGTTGTAAATCATATGAAAGTTTAATGATCAAAATAAACCATTTTACTTTAATTCACTCAAAGACAAATGAATTTATATCTTATTCAGGCTTACAGTTGGAAGTTATAAATTTAAAGGTGATAAATGCACATACCCTAAACTTAAAATCTTTCAGCTTTTATAATATTTAATGCATGCTCTTATTATAAAATTATTACATACTAGATCATAACTTTTTAAAGTTATTTTCCCATTAAGAGCATCTTTACAATACTTACACAAGATATTTAACTTTTCAAAAGGTAAACACATATTTTGAAAGTTCTGTTTTGATTATTGTATTAATTAGGGAATTTAGTTGAGAAAATGACAGCTGATTATTTACATGGTGTGCAGTGATTACGTGGGATTAATTGTCCTTGTGTGCCCCATTGCTAGCCTGAAGATTCTGATTTTAGCAGAGAAGATGAAGATGGAAGGGTAGGATTTTTGAGGGCTTTAAAGTAATTGAGAGATATGCAAGTTCACGATTTTATAGAAAAAGGCTACAAACTAAATTTCATGTATAGATTTATTAGTATCTCCTTGTATGACATTGAGCAAATCACTTCAACTTTTTGAGTTTCGTTTTCCCATTTGTAAACTAAAGGAGTAGGATTTGCTGATTACATATTTTCTTTAGCTCTAAAGTCCTATGAATACGTGCATCTTTGAGCCAGACATGAATTTCCCATCACTAATAACTATGTGGTTAAATTCCCATAGGAAAACTCTGTTCACTCTCTTTTACTTTCATCATTTGTTGTTCTGCCAAAAAAAAGAGATCTATATTAAGCCTCAAAGAATGCACTCATTTTGATTTTTAGAAAAATCCCTTAAATTAAAATAAAACTACATTTTCCAATTTTACTCTTTCTGTTCATAAATTTATGGCAATAACCATCCAATTTTTTTTATACCAGTGTGGCCATTTAAAATTATGAAATGCAGTTGATCAGTGCTTTACCTACTTAGTTAAAGGAAGATTTTTAACAGGTTAACTCACTTAGAGATTAAGTGTCATGACAAAGATTTGTGAATGTATTTCTTTGGAGAGAACTGTTTCTCTTCAGTGGGTCTCTACCCACCAAAACTTCCATACTACACAACTCTAGCAGGTGCTATATGTAGCTTAGTCTAGCTGTATTACGCTCTTTCTATTTTTCTTCTATCTATCTTTTCCAAAGGGCAACTTATTGTGGTAATCGTCATTACTTGATGATGTGAGGCTGAATTTTGAAAGATAAGATCATTATATGCTTACCTTTTTTGATAATTATTTAAACATATATGTCTTAAGTCTTGAAAAGCTTATGTATTATTTTCAATACACACAAACATATACCAATCTATTAGTGATGTATATTTTTTCTCAAGATTAAATTCACTAGAGGATGGGAAACTATAAAAATATTTAATAGCAGTGGCATTTAATAAAATATGGCTTTTTAAATTGGTTCAGTCTTACGCTTATTTTTATTCTTTGATTTCCCGTGGTTGCTCATCCTTTGATCCAACACAGGGAAGCGTTTAATAACAAGTAGGTTCCTCAAGTGGACTATGCATGTTCTTCTGAGTTTAGAAATATATTCTAATTTTAGTAAGCATGTACCTCAATCGCTAAGAATAATAGTAGATACTAGCAAATAATTCCAAGTGTATCACAAGCATAAGAAAGAAGGTTCCAGTGGGAACTGTTACTTTTGTATATATTCCTTTAGAACTGAATATACTTGCTCATTTTAAAATACGAAGTTCAGGTACAAACATCATTAGCTTTAGTTTAGTGGCAGTCATGAATTGACATAAACTGCAAAACATAAATTATGCTTTTGAGTTAAGCCAACTGATTTAATATTACTTTGATATTGCCTTATTATGTTCTGCAAAGAGTAAGAGATATTGGAGTCAGATTTGGCATTAGCATAGCAAAGTTATCTAACAAACAGGGTTTCTGGCTTTGTATTAAGGATCATAGGAAATAGGAGACAGATTGGGGAAAATGATGAAGCATCTAATATTTGCCTGTGATATGCCTGCGAATTTGCTATTGGGGGTAAAAAAAAAAAAAACCCAATAGTTTTCTAATATTTCCCAAAGGAAAACAATTAATTAGGGGTTGTTGGTACATTTAGGGTGTTTTGGTCAAATTTTTTGTAGTTGCAAGTGAGACAGAGAGCTAACCCAAACTATCTTGGGAGAAAGAAAAAAACAGAATGTGATTTCTCATGTAACAAGCAAGTTTGGTGATATATTTGTCTCGTGAGACTCAGCTATGTCCAGGAACTCAAAAAATATTCTTTCTTGGCTCTGACTCCCTCTGTACATTGACTTCATTCTGCAGACAAACTTTCTTCATGTGGAGATAAATATGGTGCCCTCATCTCCTCTAGATTCATATTTTTCCTTCTTAAGAAAGCTATGGAGGAGAAAAATTGGTTCTATTAAAAATATCCTGTGGAAAAAAGTGCTTTGGCCTGATTTGGGGAGTTTTTTGCCCACTTTTATTTTCTGACAGAAGACAGGCCACTGATACATGAAAAAAAAAAGAAAAATTCTCCAAAAGGATGAAAAAAAAAGAGAGTGGAAAGCTGTTTCTGGGCAGACAAAAACTAGTTATCTTGGCTATTATGTTTGAACTCAGGTTACATGTTGGCGTCACTGAAACTCTGTTACCTGGATTATCACTGATTCAAGAAAATTAGTCAATATTATGTGGGGAAAAACAGTTTTGGTAATAAAACAATTTTGGAAAATATTTGGTTAACAAGACATTACAATTTTTTTTCTACCTTATTATTTACTAAGATGCAAACATAATAGATATCAGGTCTTAAAGGGAGAGGGATACAGAGTTCCATATGAAAATTTAACATCGTAAGAAATGTACAAGAGCAAGTTTCATGACTTTTGCACCCTCTGACTCAGCTACAGAATACAGTCAGCCCTCCCTATGCGTGGGTTTCATATCCTTGGACTCAGCCAGCCACCAAATAAAATATTCAGGAAAAAAAAAAGATTTTATGCAGTTCCAAAAAGCAAAACTTAAATTAGCTAGGTGGCTCACATCTGTAATCCCAGCACTTTGGGTGGTCAAGGTGGGTGGATCGCTTGAGCTCAGGAGTTGAAGACCAGCCTGCATAACGTGGAGAAACCCCATCTCTAAGAAAAATACAAACATTAGCTGGGTGTGGTGGCACACACATGTAGTCCCAGCTAACCTGGGTGACAGAGACCCCATCTAAAAAAGAAAAAAATTAAAAAAAGAAAGAAAAGAAAAGCTTAAGTTAAATTAGCAGCTTACAGAGTACTAGGTTGAATCTACACGAATGAAGTGATGTGTAGGCATTGTGTTAGGTACTATAAGTAATTTATAGACGATTTCAAGTATATGGAAGGATATATGTAGGTTATATGCAAATACTATGCCATTTTATATAAGGGACTTGAGCGTTCTCAGATTTTGTTATCCATGAGGGTCGCGAAATCAATCCCCAATGGATACTGAAGGATGACTATATAAACCACAGAAAGAAACAGGTGATTTGTGAATACGTAACTTTGGCGAGAGCAATTGCTATGCTGTAAGTCTCAACTGTCAAAGCTTTCATGCTATACAACTTCCGAGGGTGCGATACTTTCTGTGAAGTACACCCTTTTTTTCCCAGCTGTCGGTCATTCACATAAACTGCATGCTGTATCACTTCCTGTAGTCATGAAATACACTGCCTCTCCTACACTTACACTCACTGCTGAGGGCAGTGGGGTATGCGACCTTGCCAACAAGCCTAGTGAAGAGGGCTTTCATGGAACTCCCAGAGTTTAAAATATGCTCCCTGCCATCTGGAGACCCTGAAGATGGCTTCCTGACCCATTTTCAAGAAAACCAAAGTGGCATTGACAGCAGCGTAGAGAAGACTATATTGGGATTAACTAGCATACTCAGAGTTTATCAGGGCAAGGGATGTATGAATGTTTCCTGTAAATGGATGTGATCACAAAGGACAGAGGTCAGGGTGGAGCAGTCTTGACTCCTGGCTAGGAAAGTTACCTAGTTGGGCACAGGGATGCTAGCAGTAAGAAGCTGGACATGATTATGGGTTAGCTAGCAACGACAGAAGAAGTCTCAAGTGACTACATGGAATTTAGTGGGTCAAATAAACGTTTACAGAGATTCCCACTAACAAAAAAATGCTCATAACCAAGAACTGTAAACTTGACCAGACTCGAAAACTATGAATTGATTTTTCATTAAGTCCTTTACTATGCCCTTATTACTCTTCCACCCATCCCTGAATCATCAGAGGGGTCAGAATCCGGGGGAAAGGAGAGGCATGAGAACATTAAGTTTAAGGCTATAAACTGTATCTTTTCATTCAGTGTAAAACAGGCTTTGACTGGAGTTAGAATGAAGACTTATATCTTGGCATAGATAATCTAATTTATGTATTGAAACTGTTTTTTCACTAAAGTACCTCTAGGGCAATCAAATCATCATTTAACAGTAATTAATAGATGGGCCTGCTAAAGTTTTCATTTATGAGTCAGATTAGGTTAATTCCATTGAATACATTTTTGAAGGGACAAACAACACTATAATTGTACTGTGATTGTATCACGAATGATGAGTTAAACAAACAAGATTTTAGTTTTTATTTGCTTTTAATCACAGTATTTTTCAGGGCTATTCACATGCTATTTAGTTTGGGAATTTACCAAAAAGTGCTATAGTTGATGGTGTTTCCCCAATTTATTGATCATGGGGCCACATATAAATATATTTTACAACATAAATACTTAAATATCAAAAATATAATAGTGCATAGCACCATACTTGGGGAACTCTATTGCATGTTAATATATAAAACATGAGTAATAAGCACAAAAGATCTGAGTTTCTAGAAAAAAATGGTGAATAACCTCTTTTAGCATTCTCCAAAACTCAGTAGGATAGAATAAGAATACAATAATGTGCAATACATGCATCTTTTGATTGAAAATGTATTTATTTGCTCTCTTTTTTATTATTAATTTTGCTTGCTATAGAATTCTAGGTTCAAAACACATGTAAGCAAAGTCATTCAGAAGAGTTGAAGGTCAAGGATATATAGTAGGTATGTGAAAAAAGGGAGGATGCATAAATTGGTATAACAAGGTATAATTCAGCCACGAAACTGTTAAACAGGCAAGAGATGGAAGTTATAATTCTAAAGGTTACAACTTATGTTGATGACATGACAGTTATGAATATTTATCCACCAAACAGCATAGCAGAAGCTGTCATAAAACAGAAGCTATAAGAGATATGAGGCAAAATAGGCAGAAACACAAATATAATAGGATACTTTAATACCTTCTCTCTGCTAAAGATAGATCAACTAGTCAAAAAAGCAAGAATATAAAATATCTAAACAAAATAAGTTATAAAGTAGATCTTACAGGTAAATAAAAAATTTTGTACTCCCCAAATTAGAATAATTAATAAATTATTGGAAAATAGAAATCTTAAGCTAGAAAACATGTAACTAATAAAAGTAGTTTCATTAAAACAAAATAAATAAAAGAATAACTAGGAATATCCTAATCAAGTAAGTAATGGAGAGTATACAAAATAATTAGTAAAAGGAGGGATATATCCAAGATAGTAAAAACTTTAAATATTTTGAAAAATTTTATGCTATATATTTGATATTTTTAAGAAAACATAATTTACCAAAACTGACCCCAGAATAAATATAAAGTTTCATTCTGTTAACACAATAAAGAAAATGTACAAAAGGCTATCTTTCAGAAATGTACCAAGTCCAGCTGTTTCCGCAAAATAATTCTACATATCTTTAAAAAACTTATGACCCCGGGCGCGGTGGCTCACGCCTGTAATCCCAGCACTTTGGGAAGCTGAGGCGGGCAGATCACGAGGTCAGGAGATCGAGACCATCCTGGCTAACACGGTGAAACCCCGTCTCTACTGAAAATACAAAAAATTAGCCGGGCATGGTGGCGGGCGCCTGTAGTCCCAACTACTCAGGAGGCTGAGGCAGGAGAATGGCGTGAACCTGTGAGGCGGAGCTTGCAGTGAGCGAAGATCGCGCCACTGCACTCCAGCCTGGGGGACAGAGTGAGACTCGGTCTCAAAAAAAAAAAAAAAAGAAAACCTTATCACAACTTATCATAATGTTACTTAAATGTTTCAGTGCATATTTAATGAAAGAGAGCATCCACTTTTTCTAGAGAAACGAAATAGAACATTTATAATACATTCTCACGAATACTGCACAAAAATAAAAACTAAAGACCATCTCATTTTTCCACAGATCTATATACCCAGTCTATGTAAAACACTAGCAGAGCTCAGTATCCCCTTCCTCATATTAAAACAATAAGAGGCTAAAGTTTTATTTGAATATGCGAAGATGAGACTAGTCTCAGCTGGCATGCAGAGCAGAAGCATTTGCCATCAATTAACATATGCAGGCGGAAATTAATGGATCTATGAGTGCTGGAGACGAGACAGTGATAAAGATAATATTGATAATATTTTAAGTAAGAGGCTATTAGGAGAGATTATCAGTAATGTAATTTATACTTTTTGAATAAAGTAGATGATTTGCAATATTATTTTTTGTATTATTATTACAAAAGCAGTAAATGTATAATTTAGAAATTAAGAATAAGATACCATATTCCTACTACCCATAGATTGCTGCTATATATATTTTATGTCTGTCTTTCCAGATCTCTTCCAATGTGTGTGCATGTGCGTATGTTTCTTTGTGTTGTGTGTAGGCTAAAACCTGTCTAAACCATTTTACTTGGAATTGTCGGTTTCACTTGGAATTTGTCAGTATATAGCAGACTTCTGGTACACCTGTTGTCTCCAATATGGACACTTCTCCAACTGATCACCAATCCTATCACCGACACTGACATTCACATATCGAACTCTTCTTAAAAACAATGCTAATGTGCCATTTAAAAAATACACTCTGTTTCTCTTTTACTTATAAAATAAATTCACATTAAATAAAAAGATCTGGCTATTCAAGTCAACAAACTTCTCTGCCCAAAGCATCTCTCCTGTCCTATCCAGCAGATAGCAGTATCTTCCCCTCAGTAATCAGAAAATTTATGTGTGAATTGGTAAGTTGAGAGATACCTTAATATACAGATCTTAAAATCAGAAAGAAAATTACTGGTATAGGCTATTTTTGATTGTTTGTGTCTATGTTTTGTTTAATTTACTGACCATAACTTTAACGTCTGTGTGCCAAAGGAATAAGGGTTACAGCTTCCTTGAAAGCCCCCTGGAATTCATTTCAAAGGCTTGTATTGGCCAAACATGCATATTGACCCATTCTTTGCCTTATTTCCTATTTTAATTGAGTGTCAAAGGTTACATGTTGCTATTAGAGTAAGACATGACTGGCAGCAGAGGTCAGGGACTCTGTGGCATTCTATTAGAGCAATAAAAACAAAACAGAATGATAATTTCACCTGCTGTAACCTCAATCTTTCCAGGATGGGACAGATATTGACCTCATTGTTTGTCAGCCATTGGCTCTATCAACCTCAGCTACCCTAATTTTGCTTACTAAACAATAAAAGCGCTTTCACAACAAGGATGAAAGATAAAACAGTGGAATATACTCAGAGATGACTCAAAGGAGAGGCATACGCAGGTGACAGAAAAGATAAAATAACATCTTCTTCATTCCTGAGTCACATCCCTCATTTGGCTAGTTTACGACAATAACGGTTTCCGCCAACAACCTTCAATTTTATCTTCTTTTTTAGAAAACCTTATAACTTCCTTTATGTGAACAAGTACAAGCAATAAATCTAACAAATTGCTCATTCTACCTAAAACCCATTTGTGGTACTTGAAGGGTTTAAGAATTTCTGTGAAAGTTTTCCCCGCCTTCCACAACACCCTTTAAACTTTTTGGCTGGAATGTAGGTAGATATTTAAAGGAATAGTTAATATTTTTCTTACTTCTTTTCCAAGAAGGCAAAAACGGCAGTAAAGAAAACATATGTTAAATGTTAAATGTGTTTGTTTGAAAACATTTAGAAACTTATTTTAAAAAATGAAATAAAGGTTAGAATCTGAAAAAAAAAATTTCCTTCACTTTCAGAGTCTGATATATCGTTTCTTTGGATGGGTAGCTAATTAAAGTTTTAAAACTTGGAGCTTTTGATAATAATGAATATTTGTGGTGGTTCCCCAAATTTAAAGAGAAATAATTTAAATAGTAATATTAAATAGGAAAGTAAAATTTTGTCATGAAAGATGATGACTATTTTTCAAAGGCCATCTGAACATCTCACAAGTCATGCCCTTGTCCTCAAATTAAGACAGGTAATTTTGTTTCTCTTAATCTCACCATTGTTTTGAAGTTCTAATTTGGGAATTTATATTAAACTTTTGGTTATCAGAATAATAGTCAGCTTTTTAACATGAACTTGCATTTTTTAGTCTTTTCATTACCAAGATGAAAAGAAAAAAAAATTGAAAAACACATAAGTTTCTGGTGGAAAGGATTGATGTTTATGTTAAGCTTATAAATGCCAATCCATAAATTAATGAGATGCCGTAGAGTTTCTAGGTCACTTCTTAGAAATTATATGTACATTTCTAGGGATGTACTTCTTGTACAGTAATGTTAATACTTACAGAAACATTAGTATTATTTTAATTCCTTAGTTTCTCTTAAACACTAACTGAAATGATTTAACACATATTTAACTTAAGGAGACCAGATTATTAGCAAATAAGGATTAAATTTTTCTTATTTCACAAACTGAAATAAAATTTTTCACAAATGAATATTTCAGCTTATTAAAAAACTAAAATCACATAACATGAGAAAATATATTTCAGCCTGTATTTATTTGACCAGAAATCAATGTAAGGGGATCAAAAGCTCATTAACTACATTGCATTTCCTTAAAACCATGTGGAGTCAGCTGAATTTCTGATCAACTTGATCAGTGGTATCTTTAACAGAAGACTGATTTCCCTCTCCAGAGGGAATAGAATAGACTGATTCCCTCTATTGATGTGTTATTAAATAACTGATGCTGGTGACCTAAATTTGGAAAATTTGTCCAAGTTGAAGTTGTTTCTATATGAAAAAGTTAGCTCAATTACTTATTTTCATAATTCTATTTTCAATTTTGGTGTTCTGTCTCCTTGTTCCATGTGAGGGATTCCTGCACCATAGATTTATGACAAATGACTCAGATATTTCGTGACTGTTTTCTCAAGACTGGGGACATTCACTGGCAATGTCTTTTACCTCTATGAACAGGTGGTGGTACAGCTCTTTCGTGAGTTCTCCAGATAAAGTCATTATTCTCTTCATTATATAAGTTGCACTGACAAGCCATATTGCCTGACACATGATAGACTCAACAAATGAATTGATTTGGTTTCATTTCACATTCAATTAGGTCTTGGCAAAGAGAGTTTGACATATTTTAACCATAATATTCCAAAAATGTGTAATTCTAGGGCATAATGTATACTTTGAATAAATTCATCCAAAATACAAGAGAGCAGGGGGAGGTGGGACTTTGTAGTTCTGTTCTGATACAACTTCAAATTCACACTATTTAAGGAAGGTTCTAAGTTTGACAAATTCTGTATCACTTAAAAGAAAGTGATGGTATCTCTTATTAATGTGTATTCTCTGAAATCATATATAAGAGTCATAACAAAATTCACACTCAATGAAGTCTTAGAAATTAACTAAACCCTTATTCACATACAAAAACCTAGGTGTTTGAATCTACACATTTAAAAAGGTATTAATTACCAACCATTGGCAATGCTTCCTAAACAAGAAGCTAGCCACAAGAGGGTGAATAAAAGGAGTGACACGATCTAGGTCTTAGGAATATTTGGAGCAACAATGAGCCTGAAAAGAGGACAATCCTTTTTCATTCCCACTAATGTCCGTATCCATGGAAACTCCCTTTTAATAGCATCCGCATCACACTGGACAAACAGGTATGCTACCTTTTGAAAGTGAGTGCATGAAAAGAATCCAGCCCTTTGCTAAGAAGGTCAGCTCTTGAAAGCCTTCAAGAGCTTTGGTAGCTGAGAAAGCTGGAGGGCTGTAAATCCTTCGTTTCGTTGCTAAGAAGCTTGGCTCCTGAGAATCACATCAGTGCTCTCTAACACAGAAAGCGGAATGTGAATCCTTTGTTCCCTGTCTATGATGTTACACTCCTGAGTACTTGTTTCCTTAGCTAAGAGAACATGCAGGAGAGGCCTATTACGTGAACCTAGAGATTAATTATGAATAGACACAAACTGAGAAAGGCAAAAAGATGTACGGTGTGTGAAGAAAGAAGACTTATTCACAAGAATGCCAGATGGCAAATGCCATTACACTAGAAATATATGCACTGAAATAATATTCACATGGTAACATTTTAAAATATTTTGTAGTTTCAGCATTTTTTTTTACTATGATAAATATCTGTCAAGGAAAATGCCTTCCCCATTGGATTATTCAATGCTCTTACTGAAAGCAAAGAGAAAAACATGAAAGGTCATTGTGCCTTTAAATCAAACTGTGACATATTAGAACTACTCTTCTTTTATTATATAGTCATAGAAACACGTTAAACAACTAGATAAGACATAATTGTTATTGTTCAATAAAATATAAGTACAGTATGTTTTGGATACGCATATAAGGCAAAGTATCTTTTTTTATTTGCACAATTAGATACACACAAATATATTGGTTATGTGACAATTTTTACATTGGCGTATCATAATGAATATCTAAATATTATGATACAGGTGAAAATTGATGTAATAATTTCTGTACATGTTAAGGTAGAGAAATCCATATGGTTACAATACCATCATTAGAATGGCTGAACAATAAAAATTATTGAGTTAATAATAATGTTAGTAATAATAACAATGCCATATATTGACTTACTATGTAGTTCAGGCACTATTATAGGCATCATACATTCATTTATTGTATCATAATCCGCAGTAAAATATCATGAGTTTGGTACTACTATGGATTTCATTTTACAGAACTGACACAGAGAGTTTGAGTAATTTGTTCATGATCAAACATAAGGTAAGTGGCGGAGCTGAGATCTGAATCCTTGCCACCATCAAAAATATTATTTAGAGAGAGTACAACCAGGCTGTTGGCATTCTATGAGTAGTGGCTTAGACATAGAAAACAGTGATAGTCATTCTATTTGTCATTTCTATATATCTTATAAAACAATGTTCCATTCTTTAATTGTTTTGATCTTCATAACTCTTTTGTAAGTGAAGATAGTATATTATATAGCTGAAAACACTAATGTTCAGGGGCAATAAGTGATTTTTCCAATATCATATGTTTAGTGAGTGGCATAGTATGAACCAGAACCAGCTTCTACTATTTGTCTCACTTTAATAGCTTATTTTTTTCTTTTTATAAACAATACAATATTGCAAAAAGCTATCAACCCAAGTGATGATAGAATGCCACAATAATAGCTAATAAATATAAGTATTAATAAGCAATGAATTTACTTGCTCAACGACTATTCCTTCCTAGTGACTACTGGCAACAGAAACAGCATTTTTTTCTGACTCAGAAATTTGCAGCCATTTTCACTCTCTCCCTAAACCCAGTTAGTAAATTGTGATTGTTCTTTAATGTGTAATTTAAATCAGTTATTTTTCTTTCAGTTTCTACTATTAGTAAAATAGCTACTCATAAACCTCATGCCTGGATAACTGCAAAATCCTCCTACCTATTTTCACTGGGTCTCTCCATTACAGCCAAACCTCAAAATTATAATTAATCTCTAATTCAAGACAAAGAAAAAATAACCCAGTCGGGTAACTATGGTTAACTCTTAAACTCTCTGCACCTTACAGTTCTCTTTGAAATAATGGTACTCACTCATGGGTCCTTATAGTGTCTAAATGAATTGTTACATGTAAAATAATAGAAAGAGTGTCTCACACATAATAAGCACTCAATATATGTTACTTTTTATTATTATTAGATTCATTGATTTTGTTCATTTACATCTTAAAATAACTAGATTTGAAATGTTCCCAACATAAAGAAATAATAAGTGTCCAAAGTGATGAGTATTCTAAATTCTGATTTAATCATTACACATTGTGTACATGTATGAAATATCACATATACCCCACAAATATGTACAAATACTATGTATGAATAACGAAAAGAATATATCTTGAAGATTCTTGCTGTTCCATTTTCAAAAGCTTGGATATAAAAAAAAAAAAACATTATTTGAAGATTAGGCAGTCAAGAACCTGAACTCTAACTCTGCTCTTACCAGCCATGTGGCATTGAGCAAGTAAGTGCTGCTTAAACGCTCTGCAGCATTTTTATAATTCTCTTTCAAATACTGGTACTTACTCATAGGTCCTTATACTGTCTAAATGAATTGTTACATGTAAGATAATAGGAAGAGTGTCTCACACATAATAGGCACTCAATAAATGTTGCTTGTTATTATTATCAGATCCACTAATTTTGTTCATTTATAAAATACTTAGAGGAGCTGTACGGTTAGATGCATCTTCCTGCCTGCCAGTCTTAGGTTTGAGTTCTGCCTGCCTCTTTTGGCAGCTGTGTGACCTTGAAAAATTTGCTTGATGTCTCCAAATCCCTGGTTCTTTATCTTTAAAGTAAATTTTAATTAAAATATCTCCTGTGAAAATTAAATAAGGTAGTAAATATATAGCATTTAGCACTAGATGTGGCTGATGATACATGGTCAATACTTGTTAACTATTTCATTATTTTTATTGATGCTGTGTGATGAAGAGGTTGTTATAAGAAACAACCATATGCCATATTCTACGTAATCATTACCAGGAAAATTTTTCAATGCATCATGGTATCTGACAAATTGAAAGCCACCTGAGAATTTTTTTTCACGAAACATAATACCAAGAAAAACTACGCTACTTCTCCTTTAAAGAAAATCTTATAAACATAACCAGTTTTATAAATAATCATATTTCCCTTTAACTTTGTTTGCTCTAACTTAAGCAAACAAAAAGCCAAATAAATGTGGAATCTGAATTCAGCAAATGAACAAAATCTGTTAAAATACATTTGTTTTCTAAACTTATTATTGGCTTATTGGCTTCTTTCTACTTTTCTACCTTAATATGTGTTTTTCTCAAACCTGTTTGTCTATTGATAAAATGAGGGTACACGATTTTACTCTTGTATTTCTCCTTAAACTACAATTAGATCAGAATACACTTTTTGTTTGCAAATAGATTAAATTCCAAAAGTTCTTTACAAATTTAAAATAAATTTTTTTCCATCTATTCAGTTGGAAGTAATAATGATTTTCCCCATATGGAAAAGTTTCATGGGCTGATTTCTGCACCCCTTGTCCCCTTGGCAAGTTCAAAAAAACTCATTTAATACACGTTGTACAAATGTGATACGTGATGCTTTCGCAATGGAAATAGTGGAAGCCAATGTGGAGAGGGCTGTGGTGCTGCTGAAGTGAAAAATGATTGCCCTGTGCAGCCTGGTGTCACTGGCTTTATGAGTATTAATGCCATTTTCTCCAATATCTGGTAGCAAAATTCCTGTTTTTCCTAAGATGGCTCATCATAGACTATAGACATATGCTAAGTTCTGGGACTCCAATGTGAATGAGAAAATTTTTTTTAAAAGAATTTGACAGAAACGAAAGTTAACCTATCAAGTAAGGACTCACTTTTTTGTTGTTTCTTTTTCGTTTTGAATGAGAGAATATTATTTATATTGAAAACTCAGAAATCAGCTCCAAGAAAATCTGTTTTCTCTTGGCAAGTGAGAAATTGGGCTCACGTTGTTTATTTAAAGATAAAATTTGTTTTTATTTCTTGTAATTAACTTGATTGATTATGCTTTCTATTTATTACAACATAGCCACCATATAATCTTTTCCATTTTATGACTTCAGCCAGTTCTAGGGAAAAATGATTGTTATTTGAGATCACTTTCTCTGCCATTGCATTCTGGTCTGTCTCTTATTAAAAGCCAAATATTTTCGTTCACGGTAATGGGAACTATTACTGCTGATAGTTTCCTTTGTTTTTTTGATTGTTATCATTAAATGAAAAACTTGAACTTTTACACTCTGTAGAAAAAAATATAAACACCTACCTAGTTATTGCACAGTTACTTTTCACTTAATGGAATGGATAAACTCCAGTAAGCCTAGTTGAAATACTTCCCACTGATTCTCATCATAAATCAGAAACTTATTCCCATGCTGGGGGAGAAAAGCACCAAATTCTACCCAGTTCAAATCAGCAAATATTTATTGAGCACTTACTTCACCTAAGATATTGTGCTGAGCACTGCATGGCATACACAGAAGAAGACGACCTTGGCACTGCTCTCAAGTTATTAATCATCACCCTAGAAGGAATAGTTAGTATGCAAATATGTCTAATTCAAGAGGAATACAAAGGTGTTAAAAGATATAAACAATATATTATGTGACTTCAGATAAAAGTGATATCATACCCTGCTTTAGGAAAACAAAAAAGGCTTTGTGGCTTTTTGACTATTGGAGGAGAGCAGAGGGGGTTCTAGACAGAGTAAAACATCTAAGAAAAGACAGGGAGTTAGGAACGCATGGGTCTCTTTATGGACTAAGCTCACATTGAACAAAACATGGTATATGTGTATAGGAATACTAGGACATAGAGATTTGCAGATATTTCCATCTTAAATGATGAGTTAAGATAAATTGTATCTGGTTCAATAAGTATTTGGGACCAAAGAAGGCTTTTGAGCTAAAGAATAAAATAAACCGAGACTGCTGAAGTCATACAAAATGGTTCAGGTAAGAGAACACTCAGACAGGGTTTTATTATTGCAAACTGCCAATTTCTTCTCCTTTAGCACAGGTAATACTCTGGGATTACCTCCTGACATCCCTGGTAAGTAATTATTAAAAGATGATAGCAGAAGAATTTCTCTGAATGTTGATAAAAGAACATAGCAGAATACAATATGTTCAGTGGTGGTGGGCCGTAGGGGGAGACAAAGTGAAATGAACAAAAATGCCACAATAAATACACATTTGATTTCCAAGACATATTATTAAGTAAAAAATCATGGTGTAGAACAATCCATGTACTTTCCTCCCATTTATGTAACAAACAACCCCTCCCTCCCCAAAATTAAAACCTGAAAAGTGAAGCTTATACAGATATTGAAAAAATTGGGGGAAAGGTTTTACTTTACAAAACCATCCTAGTTGTTATATTTCAGGAGAAGTAGGCTGAGATTCTCAGGTAGGAGGGAGCCATATATGAATTACTACCACGTATCATCAAAATTGGGTTAAAAATAAAGAGTATCTTTGACTTGATGAAAAGCGGGGTATTTTAATTTGGATTGACCCTGTGCATTTATTTCTCAGTAAAGAGAACCATACTAGCTAATGAATAAGGAAATATTGTAGGCTTTTGCTAGAAGCCAAGACTATCAAGATGACTTCTTCAGGAGTAGGTTTATGACCAATATATAGAAAATCTAGATCTGTTTTGTTCATTTGAAATATCAATTGAAGAGTTAGATATTTAGCCATACTTACTTTATTTTTCTGTCAGAATTAAGCAAATTAAAATGTATAATGAGACATGGAAAGGAAGAAGGAGAGTAGAGGAGAAGGAGGGAGAAACAGAAATGTAGCAGTAGTCAAATGACGACTTCAAACTCTAACAGCATGGGCCTCAAAGGCCGTGAAAGAAGGCTAATACAGTGGGCCCCAGAACTTTGCTCCTGTACATCATGACTTGAACGTGGAAGATGGTAACTCAGCCTTTGGGATTATTTTAGAGTTCATCAGTAAGGCCAATGCTAAAAGTATTTAGCATGCAAGGGAGTAGTTCACAATACCTAAAATATAATATTAATATAATGAATAAAAATAATGTTGAGAACTTCAGGTTGAATTATTAAACCTGTGTACAACAGATGAAATTCAATTTACCTAATTTTAAAATCATAACTATACTTTGTGGGGGCGAGGGCTGTTATTATTCCATCTGATTAACGAGAAGAATAAATTTGAGAGATACTCTTAAGGTCCCAGATTTGACTGGCTTCAAATACATTAAGCTCTAAGCAGACAGAAAAGATAGTTAGGTTTCAATAAAACCTATTTTTGAGGAAAGGAGGTAGAAATGTGAATGCCTGTGGGACTGAATAGGTAAAGCTCTTTTAGGTGCTTTGCAGTGGACTAATGGACCCAATGTAGGAAGCAGCTCTTCAGGCAACAGTAATAGAAGGGAAGAAAGAATGACATTCTCAAGAACTGAGGATACATCATGTTAATGTACAAAGTATACCACTGCCAGTTAGGATTAAGTGGGTTATACAATTATTTTTTTCTTATGTTGTGCTTGAATCAAACTGACTTACAGTGTTAAAGGAACAGGTTACATCTTTGAGTGTTCTGTTTTTCTAGGCTGAAGCAACTGGAAGTCATTGCCTTTCAAGTTACCCCAGGGTTCCTGGCACTGTCACATGTCTGGCTCTAGGTTATAGGAGAATAATCTGTTAACAATACCTAGCCAGCAATAGTCCCTGGAATCAACAATGATAGTAGTTCAGAGTTCTCTTTCAGTATCCCATTAGTCAATTTGAGTATCAAGATGGGAAGTATCATGGGACATAGTAATAACGAGGTAATGAGGATAATAACGTGGCTCTCTCCCACAAATCTTCCCTGTCCTCTGTTGATGTCACTCATTGCATGGATAATCATTCCATTCTTATCCAGCTTCTCCTTTTTGGGAAGATGGGTATAAAATATCAGGGGAAAAGGATAAATAGGTGTATAATCCACATCCTGGAACAGAAATTTTCCTATGCCTTCCAGTGGTCCTCTAATATGTGAAATTTCCCCCCCCCAAAAAAGTCTAGAATTATCCTTCCTAACAAGAACAGATGCTTCAGCAGGAAAGTGTAAGCTCTTTCTATTAAACTGTTCAGGACCTATATTTCTGACCAAGACAGGAATAACAGGGATTGGGTATATTCTCCCTCAGGAAACAACCAAAATCAGCAACAAAGCTGTGAAACAGTCGTTTTCAAGAAACTGCACTACAGACAATAAAGGACAGTGGTCCCGGCAAGATGTAAAACAGAGGAGGCAACCTCCATGACTGCATTAGCTTAGTGCCTTGAGAGTTTCCAGGCACTAAGCTGATGCAATGTGCAATGTTCCTGCTGATTAGGGAGGGGTATCGAGGTGAAGCTTGAAGGACTCCCTGAATTGAGGTAGAGGTGAGCGCTGTGGGAGATCCAGGTGGCTAGAGTTTGGAGGACAGGAGACTGCACAAAAAGAGAATATATAGATCTGTAGACAGTCGCCAATAAGCCTTCAGCAGAGTACTGACCAGTGCGCGGACATGAAGAAACTATATGGGGTCGAGGGGAAATAAAACACATCCAAAATGATTGGAGGGAACTTTGTCTGGAGTTTACACAGGGCCAAGAGTAGTGCCTGTTCTTACCAGCCAAACTGAAAGACCTCATTAGTCACTGGTCATTGGTAGAATCATCAGAAGGGGTCTGCCTTAGTAGAGAGGAATTATTATTTTTGAACGTACCTAAGGAATTTTCACAGCAAGACCCAAAAGGATAAAACTGTTTTCAAATGATTTATCTTGAGAAAAAGCTCAAGAAGATTTACAGGAATACAAAATATCCAGCATCCAAAAGAGTAAAATTTTTGTTTAAACAGCCAATTATCTTTTAAACACATTTAAATAATAATTTAAAAATCTTATGCATTTATCCAAGTAGTTACCGTTTCTTCATTATGTCATGTTCATTTATTGCTTAAGCTTCGTATTCCTTTATTGAGAATTTTTATTATATGTTGAATGTCATTTTTGACCAACTAATATATTTTATCAACAAAACCTTATTGAAGTATAATTGACATACAAAGAGTTCTACATATTTAACACATAGAACTTGATGAATTTGGAGATAAGTATCCATAAAATCATCACCACAGTCTGTGCCATTAACATATCTTTTAACCCTAAAAGTTTCTTCCACCCTATTTAATAAATATCATTATTTGACACTTACATAAGATTTACCCTCTTAGAAAGTTTTTAGGTATACAAAATGGTTAACTACAAGCATTATGCTGTAGAATAGATCTCCAGATCTTATTTACCTTGCATAACTGAAGCCCTGTACCCTTTGACTACTACCTCCCCATTTCCCTCTTCCCCTTCCGCTGGAAGCCACCTTTCTACTCTCTGCTTCTAAGAGTTCCAATATTTAAAATTCTTCATATAATTGTCAAATAATTCCTCATATTTGTCCTTCTGTATCTGGCTTATTTTATGTAGCATAATATCCTCCACATTCACCATGTTGTTTCAAATGGCAGAATTTCCTTCTTTTTAAAGGCTGAATAACATTCCATTGTTTGTATATGCTACATTTTCTTTGTCCATTTATCTATCAATGGACATTTAAGGACATTTAAGGTTAATGTGAATGATGCTTCAATGAAAATGGGAGTGTAGAAACTTTTTGAGATGCTGGTTTTAGTTTTTTTGGATTGTGAAAGGAGAGTAAACCTTGGGACTGAAAAATCACCAAGCCAAAGGGAAAAGTTAAGCTGGGAACTTCATTGGGCAAACCTGCCTCTCATTCCATTCCTAAATAAGATAGCTACAAAGATAAAACTGCTACATACCTCCCTCACAATTTGCCCACAAGGAAATTCCTTGTGGGTGAAGGACAGACAGAACTCAAAGTGATCTCTCTGCACACGAGACAAATGCATATCTGATTGCTTCTTTTGCCCTATTGTTTCACTAAGCCAGACTGAGTGATAAGTGACTATGCCGGTAAATTGCATATTCAATGAAAGGCTAACCAGAAACTCAAAAGAATGCAACCATTTGTCTCTTATCTACCTATGACCTGGAAGCCCCCTCCCCACTTAGGGTTGTCTCACCTTTCCAGACCAAATTAATGTACATCTTACATATATTGATTGATGTCTCATGCCTCCCTAAAATGTATAAAACCAAGATGTGCCCCAACCACCTTGGGCACATGTCGTCAGGACTTCCTGAGGCTGTGTCGTGAGTGTGTCCATGCGCTCCTTGGCAAAATGCACTTTCTACATTGACTGAGACCTGTCTCAGATATTTGGGGTTCACAGGATACATATTCAGAAGTGGGACTGGATCATATAGAAGTTCTATTTTTAATTTTTGGAGGATCCCTCATACTGTTTTCCAGAGTGACTGCACTAATTTACATTCCCATCAACATGTACAAGTGTTTCTTTTTCTCGACATCCTTGCCAACTCTTGTTATCTTTTGGGTTTATTTATTTTTGTTTTTATTTTTGTTGTTGTTGTTGTTGTTGAGAGGGAGTGTCGCTCGTGTTGCCCAGGCTGGAGTGCAGTGGCTTGAACTCGGCTCATTGCAACCTCTGCCTCCTGGGTTCAAATGATTCCCTGCCTCAGCCTCCCGAGTAGCTGGGATAATAGGCGCCCACCACCGTGCCCAGCTAATTTTTTTGCATTTTTAGTAGAGATGAGGTTTCACCGTGTTGGCCAGGCTTGTCTTGAACTCCTGACCTCAGGTAATCTACCCACCTGCGCTTCCCAAAGTACTGGGATTACAGGCATGAGGCACCACACCCAGCCATTTATTTTCTCTTATACTGGCCATCCTAACAGATATGAGGTGGTATCTCATTGTTGTTTTGATATACATTTCCCTGATGATAATGATATTGATGCCTTTTCATAAGCTTGTTGGTCATTGGTATGTCTTGTTTTGGAAAATGTCTATACAATTATTTTGCCCATTTTAAAATTGAGATTTATTGCTTTTGAGATGTAGGAGTTCCTTATATTTCTGAATATTAACCCTTTACCAGACACATAGTTTGCAAATATTTTCTTTTATTTCATAGGTCGACTTTTTATTATGTGGATTGTTTCTTCCACTCTCCAGAAACATTTTAATTGAATGCAATCCTGCTTGATTATTTTTGCTTTGTTGCCTTTGCTTTAAGCATCATATCCAAACAATTATTCCTAAGACCAATGTCAAGAAGATTTTCCTCTATGTTTCCTTTTAGGAGCTTTATAATTTCAGGTCCTGTGTTTAATCTTTAACCATTATGAGTTAATTTTTGTGTACCATGAAAGACAAGAGTTCGTTTTTTTTTTTTCTTTTTTGCATGTAGATATCCAGTTTTCCCAATACTTCTTGTTGAAGAAAGTATCCTTTCTCTATTGTATATTCTTGGCAACCTTGTTTAAGATCAACTGACCATATATCCCTAGTTTTGTTTCTGGGCTCACTTGTTTTGTCTATCTTTATGCCAGTACCACAGAGTTTTCATTACTGTAGTTTTCTAATGTATTTTGAAAGTAGTACATGGATTCCTCCAGCTTTGTTCTTGATCAAACTTTCTTTTGACTGTTTGAGGTCTTTTGTGGTTTGCAATTAATTTTATGATTTTCTCTTTTTTGTAAAAAATGCCAAAAGGATTTTGATAGAGATTGCATTAAATCTGTAGACCAGTTTGGGTAGTATGAATATTTAATTAACAATACTAATTTTTTTCGAACCCTAACCATGAGATTCCTATTTTATTTGTGTCTGCTTGAATTTCTTTCATGAACGTTTTATAGGTGTCAGTGTACAAAACTCTTTCAGCTCCTCGGTTAAGTTTATTCCTAAGCATTTTATTATTTTAGGTGCTATGGTAAATGGGATGGTTTTCTAAATTTTTTTCAGATATTTTGCTGTTAGTGTATAGAAACACTGCTCATTTTTATATGCTGATTTTGTGTACTCCAACTTTACTGAATTTGTTTATTAATTCTAATAGGTTTTTTTGCATGGAGTCTTGTGAGTTTTCTACATCTAAGTTCATGTCATCTGAAAACAAAGATAATTTTACTTCTTATTTTCTGATTTGGATGCCTTTTATTTCTTTTTCTTGCCTAATTTATCTGGCAAAGACATCACACCAACAGAACAAAGGATTCAAAAATCATATGACCATCATAATAGATGCCGGAAAGCATTTGGTGAAATTCAACAACATTTCATAATAAAAGCTCAAAAATTCTTAGATATAGAGTGAAATTTTGTCAATACAATAAAGACCATCTATATGAAAAGTCCACAGTTAAACATCATATTCAGTAGTGAAAATAAAAAACTTTTAGTTTAAGATCTGGAGCAAGGCAAGGATGCTCTCCATCTCTTGCTATTTCTATTCAATGTAGAGCTCATTTCTTTGCAGTGTTTAATTGCATCAATCCTTTCCACAATATTTTTGCATATAGACATTGGAGTTTTCATATTTATAAGAAGTTCTATTTTTATATTTTTATATCTTTGTTGTCTCTACTCAACTTTTTGAATGTACAAAATGCACTTACAGTGACAATACCATTTACAAAGACAATCTGAAATAACTAGGAATAAATCTGACAAAGTTTTTTTTTCAGTTTTCAATGCACATTTAAACACTTATTTATAACCAAATAACCTACTAAAAATTTAGCAAAATATTTGAACATTTTACCAAAGAATGTATGCCCATTGAAAATAAGCACATGAAAGATGCTCTACATCATTAGTTATCAGGTAAATTCAAATTAAAACCACAATGAAATACTGCTACACTTCTTCTAGATGATATACTTAAATAGATCGACAATATCAAATGCTATTGAGAATGTGAAAGAGCTACAATTTTCACGTACTGCTGATAGAAATGTAAAATAATACAAACACTTTGGGGAAAAAAATTAGAAGTTTCAAAAATATTAGGCACATATATACCATATAAATTATCAATTCCAGTCCTAATTATTTACCCAAAGGAAAATAAAGCCTATATCCATAGAAAAATTTATACCTAAATGCTCATAGCTTCTTTGTTTAGAATAGTCAAAAATGAAAACAACCCAAATGTCCATCAATAAATGAATGGGTAAACAAATTGGTATATTTAAATAACAGAATACTACTCAGCAATAAGAAGGATTGAACTCAATATATGCAACAACATGAATGAATCTCACAACATGTATAGAGTCAAAGAACTAGATATAAAAGAGTACATAATATGTACTTGTATTTATGTAAATCTCCAGATTGATATATGTACATAGGTATATCAGTGTAATCCAATTGATAGTGACAGAAAACAAATCGGTAGTTACTTGGGATAGGGAGTTGGGGGAGATCACAAAGGGACATGGGAAACTTCTAGGAGTTATGGATACGTTCACTATCTTGAATGTAATGTTCATTTTGCAGTTATATACCTATGTCAAACTTATTAAATTGAATTGCACATGTAAATTTCAATTATATCTCCAAATATATTAAACAAAGTCAATAAAACTTAAAAATAAATGTTTTTAAGATTCCAAAGTCAAATCTTGAAGAAAAGTATCTTCCAGTGATTTTTATTGTGGTCTACTACTCAACATTTGTGGAGATACGGAAGGTAACCCTTGTCCATACTGGTTTGCCTGCTTTTGTTCCGACTACTCCCTGCTTTTGACATATCCTCCTTTTATCCTCAGCTTATTGTCAAAATCACGGTTTTCTATAACCCATTTCAAAGGCTGCTTCTTCCATGAAGCTTTCATTGTTCTCCCAAACTAGAAATTATGTATTTTGCTTATGAATCTTCGTAAGCCTCTAGTATGTATCTCTCTGATTATATTTATATTTTATCCCTTCTTCACAGTCTTAAAAGTCACTTTTTTTGTAGCTAAGACCCTTTGAATCACTGAGATAATTTGAAATGCATAGTTTAGCTTATATAAACTGGGTATTTTTTTTTATCTTGATACTGAGAACCCTGGGGAGTAAGCTTGTAATATTTCTGGCTTTTAAAGTATGACTTCTGACTTAGGTATTTTCCACAGTACATTCCCTTCCCGATTTTAGCGTTCTCTGAACATCACATGAGAGGAAGTAGAAAGTACATATAATGGAAACTTTATGCTACTTTAACCATTGCCATGAATTCTAAGATAGTTATTTTCAGATAGTCCTTCTAATTTATTTCCTCTAAGCTATTTGCACTGTGTGACACACTCTCATTAAATCCTCTCCCCAATCACAACGGTGGTTACTAATATGATCAGTAATATGATTTCATCTCACAAATGATGAGAATGTAGCATCTGGGGTTTTTTAAGTAACCTGGCCAAGTTACCTAACTACCAAGTGAGGAAGCTAGCACTGGTTGCTATTTACCTCTGACTTCAACTCAGTAATGTTATGTCAGTTTTCTGGCATATAAAATGAAACAGAAAAGGCCAAATACTCTAAGGTTAAGGAAATTAGAGTGCTCGTGTGTGTGTGTGTATGTGTGTGTGCATGCGTGCACGTGAGCGTGCCCGCGTAGGGGTGCAGGAGTAATCTATTTTAATCAACATCAAAATGCAAAAGTATCACCTAATAATTTTACTCAGGTTACTGGTGATTTTAATGGAGAATCCAAACCAGGCTTGCCAGTTCAAGTTAATTATTTTCATTTAAAAACAAAATTAGACCACATAATTTTTCCCTGCAATATCATCTAATACCTCATCTGTGCTCACTTTTTCTGAATTGTTTTAAAGTTATCTTCTTATAGTTGGTTTGTTCAGATTAGGATATAAACAAATTCCACACATATTGTTGATGTCTAAGTGTCTTCTAATGATCATAACAGTTCCTCCATTTTCATGACATTTATTTTTAAGAAAATGAGTCATTGATTATTATCTTTTTAAAGTCTCCGCAATACCTCTTAAATTATGTAACAGGGCTATTATATCACATATACATTATGGGCAAAGGCTAGTCTTATATAACGTTGAACATATCTTAGGACTCAACTAAGAGTTTTGCACGTAGTAAGTACCCAAATTACTGAAGTGAATTGAATTGGGGTCTAAAGAATCACTGACAATTAGTCCTTAAAATCAAAGTGTGGACACACCTATTTCTACCTTCACCTAAACATGAAGCCATGGACACTATGCTCTAGTGTTCACTTGAAAGAACTCTTGTTACACCCAATGCCTGTTGTTCATTTCAATGTCAACATTCTTAGGAGGCCTGAGAATTTTCTGTGTTTCTAATGCAGATATGCACACGCACACATATACATTCTTGCACAATACACACAGACAAAAACAAAATCCTGAGCCACTGCATATTACATTTTCACTTCACTGAAGTTCATAACTGATTGACTCTCTCCATCTGTGAGAGAGAATTTAATTTCCTTTTAATTTATTTTTCCCTTGGTCAGCACTTTCCAATTTCAGTGCATGTAATAGCAAATGCTGCTTTGACTGAATGAGAGACTAAGAATTAGATGTGGTCTGTGATACATAAACCAGTTTCTTTTATCCCAAAGGAAACTAAAAGTACTAATGTTTCTCAACCAGTTGGTAGGGACTGTTATTTAAATTCAAATTAAAGAAAAACAAGTTTTCTGTACATTGCAAGCAATTCAGATCAGAGAGGATACTGAAGCAGATCTCTGACTACCATGTCGTTGGGTGCCTTTCAGAGAGCAAAGATGTAGTTAATGTGGTAGCCTCCGCTTTTCCAATAATGAAGCATATCAGCTTTGTCTGGAGATTGACTTCCTAATTACTCAGGCCCTAAATAATGCAAGCCATGTTCTCTTTTATTAGCTAATATCTTTCAGAGGCTGGAAAGATGGTTATAAAGCCAATTAAAGATATAGTTTTCTGGCATGCTGGACCAATTCATAACATGCACAATATGAAATGCCATGTGAGAAAGTCATTATCAGAATATTCTGCCCTAGTTTATATTAGTTTTTAATTTTTTCCTTCCCTTTGTATCACATTTGATACAAAGCCTTTGATGGTGATGTTGTAACTCTTGTTCAATAACGAGAAATTCTAATTCCATAAAATTCCTTGATACCACATTAACCTTGCATCAGATAAACAAGTACATTGGGAACTGTGGCTAATACGACTGAATATGAATATAATGCATTGTATTTGAATAGAAACAGAAGAAAGTGAGTACAGAAGCAGCTTAAGTAATAGATATCCTTGTTACATAAAAATGTATTCGTTTAATACATCTGTTCCATTAACAAGTGTTTACTGGAGAAAAATCTGTTGTTTTATGTACATAGAGATGCTATGCTGCTTTAAACAATTCTGGTTTATTAATACTGACATTAATTTAGTAATTTATGTTTTTCAGTATTTTGGAAGATATTTTTTCATTTAGTAGATAAGACTAAATAACAATATTTCTATTATAATTCCAAAACTGTAACAGTGATTTAGAAGACTGTATTTAATTTCATTAAAACTTTCCAAGGTAACTTTTCTATTCATGTACTTTTAGAGTTAATGTGAATACAAGTAAAATACACATGGCAGATTAAATAATGACCCTACAAATATATTCATGCTCTAGTCCTTGGAATCTGTAAATATTATTTTATATTAGAAAAGGAACTTTGTAGATGCTGTTCAAGTATGATTTGGGGATGGGAAGATTAACCTGTACTATCCAGGTGGGCCCAGTATCTTCACAGTGGTCCTTATAAGAGGGAGGTAGGGGGTGTCAGAGTCAGAGAAGAAGGCAATGTGATACCAAATTAGAGAATACAGTGAGATACTTTTTGAAAACTGATTATAAGCCAAAGAATACGGGCAGTCACTAGAAGCTGAAAAAAGCAACGAAACAGATTTCCCCCTCAGCGCCTTGAGAAGGAACTAGACCTGCTGACACCTTGACTTAAGCTCAGCAGAAATGATGTTGGACTTCTGACATTCAAAACTGTAAGAGATTAAATTTGTGTTGTTTTAATCCACCACATTTGTGGCCAATTGTGAAAACAATAATAGAAAACTAATACAATTCATTTTAAAATTTGTGATAAAATTTCTGAGGCATGTAAGCACTTTGGAAGTTGTCATAGTTTTACCATGTCTCAGGCAAAGTAAGGTTTTTACAGCCAGGAGTGTCTGTTTTAGAATCAGGCACTATTGCTTAGTAGGCCTGCAATAGAAGGGGAGTTATTAAGCTCTTTGAGTCTTATTTTTTCTGTATTTAAAAACTGGAAAAAGAAATAGAATCTACCTCTTAAAACAATTATAAAGATAAAATGAGAAAATACATGTAAAAGCTCTTAGTATAGGGCCTGAACGCATAGTAAGCAATTAAAACGTTTTTGCCATTGTTATATTTTAGACACATGTTAATCTCTGTTGCTTTATGTAACATACGTTAGTGCAGAAAAACCTGTAATGAACCAGTTAATAAGATCTTGCTCTTTTTATCACCAAGGGATAAAGCCAGTAGGGTTGTCAAAAGACTGAGATACATCTGGAACCAGGAAGCCACAGGAATTGAAGGGACACAGAAAACCAGGGCGAGACATTAGCATTAGAAAGAGAACTCATATTTGTTGAGTATCTTCTCTATCTTTGCTGAACTCTTTATATATGTTCAGTAAGAACAATGGTGCTATAGGAAATATATTATTATCTGAATTTTGTCAGTGAAAACAATGAACAGGCAGAAAATTAAGTTGTCCAGGATCAGAAACTTAGCAAACGGCAGTAAACATTTGAATTAAATTTGACGCATGTTACAGCTTAAGCACTTCAACACACCAGTAACAGCGAAAGTCTGGCATTAAGTGAGCCATATTCTATGTGCAGGACAGGAATCTATTCCAGACTGGTGACTCAGGATGCTCAGTTGGAATCTGGTTTCAGGCATTTTAACACCCAAGAACACAGGAATTATACCTTTTATTTTTGTATGTGCAGTGAAGAGCTTAATTTTTAGTTTATAATGGAAATTTTTATTTGTTAAAATATTCCTCTGGTATATCCCTAGATAAAGCAAACTCTCTCTCCCTACATTATCATTTTTGCTCAATACATTTTTTTATTTATTAGGAATATTCCAGAGAAAGTTTGATCATATTCTTTGCTAGGGTAATCCATATTATAAGTATAGCACACCAAAGTGGAATAATAAATTTAACTCAATGATGCTGGGCTCTATGTGTCTAAGCATGGCTGTTTTGAAGAGAAGGGATTCTACAGTTAGACAGAGATATGCCTATAAGGTATGCCTTCAACCCTCCACTAGGACAATTCCCTGTCCATGGTGTGTTTCCTACTCTACCAGTAGCTTGATTCTGTGCTGGTTCAAGTGGTATTTTGACATTCCCATGGGCTAGTTAGTAATATACAAGGCAAGTTGACCATATTTGAATCACGGAAATGAGATGAATTTTTGTCATTTAGTTATTTTAACATTTTATGGGGAAAAAAACAAAAAAAGTGACAAACTTTTCATCTGTTTGCCCATTTGATATCCTAGTGGTTTATCAGTTATGAATCCTACATCTACTAGAGATTTGCATGATTCTATTGATATATTATCTTTCCTGCATTTGATTTAGGTGACAATAATTTTCATGATATTTTTATCTGTCTTTTCCAAAAATCAGAGCATCTACCCTCGGACCTTGAGGCGAACAAATAAAGCCATAACAGTGTTTATATTTCTTTCTTGTATAGTAAGGCCATTTTTCCCCATTTCCTGGGAGAAGAAACTTTAGGGTCAATTTTGACATTTGCTTCTATTCTTATCCACATTCGTTAGTCTTATAATTTTCTTTAAACTATGTCTTGAATTCCTTGTCCTGCCACATTTTTGACAGAGTCTTTCTCTGCTAATAATGAGAATGACAATTACATATGTTAGTTGGGCCCTTCATATATACCAGAAACTTTTTAGGTGGCTTACGTGCATTAAAACATTTAATGTTCATAACACCCTAATAATTTACATGCTATTATTTGTTTTATGTGAAAGGAAATGCAGTCAGAAGGTTTAGCTTGCTCATGACCTTACAGTTGCAAAGTTGAGAAGTATTACAGTATTTTTTTGATATTTTGTGTTGTTGTTTTACATTTCTCTTTCTTTCCTCCATCCAATCTATATCAAATGCATTGACAGGCAACCCTTCCCTATAAATATCACTGTTAATAACACCTACTCAATGCCTCCCGCATTAATTTCTATTATTAACCAATTTTTAAGGGGCTATGTAATCAGCTTCATTTTGCACCATACACTCTGGTCTCCTCAACATCTTAGTTCTTCTTCTCAATCCTCAACACAAATAAAGTATCATAATCGTTTACTCAGAATGCTTGGGTAATCCATATTATAAGTATGGCACACCAAAGTGGAAGAATAAATTTAACCCAATGATGCTGGGCTCTATGTGTCTAAACATGGCTGTTTAGGGATCAGATGTAGAAAAGATTTCAGAAATCTTTAGATCTTGGAAAGATACTAATGGAGGCATATCTGTAAACTATGTAGCAATCCTAGTTAGATCCAAGGCAGCATCCTTAAATAAACATATTAATATTTTTCAGCTAAATAGGTAAAGACTCACACTAATTGTGATACATATAGACTATTAAAATCTTTACATCAGTTCAGGTCCTATTTTATCAATAAGTGTGTTACAAAAACTTTCATTTTTCAGAACTTTGTGGATTTCAGGGCTGAATATTAGGAATTGAGGAATTAATAACACTTTCATTATCTTAAGGTCATCATGTTATCTAAAATGTAAACTTATTCCCACACTCACAAATAGAAACCTTATAATTGCTTTAATACACAGCTTAAGTCAAACCCTGCAACCCCCACAGTGAAACTTGGGTCGCAGAAACACAACCCAATGTATCTTTCTTCCGCACTTAAAAGCCACACAATTTAACATTAGATGGGGATAGGTCTGTAAGTGTTCTACGTTTTTTCACCCTTCTCAACTAAACCTTAAGCATATAGTGATTAGAAATCATGTCTTATTTCTATCAACCCATAACAAGATGGAGTCATGTAAGAGTTTAAATTACTATGTACATCTTTGTCTAAGTGTTCCAGGAAATTACTGGATTGGCTATGTTTAACAAGGTGAATCAAGTTTATGTGGAATATTGATAAAGATAAGAAAGTTACTTAAATGATTAGTTATGTTTTCTTTTCTCATAATGTGTTAGAACAACTTTTATTATTTTCTTTATTATATGTAGAGATGCGAACTGTTGACACATTATTAATTACTGGCACATTTAAGAAGGCTGCTGTGGTATAGTCATGTGTCACTTAATGACAGGTATACATTTGGAGAAACGTTTCCTCAGGCAATTTCATTTTGTGCAAACATCATAGAGTGTACTTACGCAAATGTAGATGGTACAGCCTTCTATCTACGTAGGCTATTTGGTGTATCCTAGTGCCCTTAGGCTAAAAACCTGTCCCCAGCATTCAGTACTATAATCTTGTGGGACCTCTGTTATATATGTGGTCCATTGTTGATTAAAATGTCTTTATATGGTGAATGACTATTTATACAAAGATCTTGAGTTTTGAAAATGGATAGGCCATTTTCAAATAGGTTTGACTACTGATAAATAAACAAACCTTTCTGAGCCTGTGCTTTTCCATCTGTAAAACAGATAGCTAATACTTCCCACACGCAAGAATTTTACTGAAGACACATATTAAATGCTACTGACCCCCCTCCCCGCCCCATTTGTCAAATAAAAGAAAAAGGTGCCCAAAGTTTCAGCCTTTCGACCTGCTAACGTTGTCCTGTAACCTTGTAGAAATCACTTACTAGTTTTTATGGCTACTAATTCTTCTCTAAAGAGGGGGAAATAACTGTTTCACCTAACTTAAATTGAAAAAGTGAATCTTTTAAGGGCTTTCAATCTGTGAATTCACCTTACTACTTAGCGTATGGTGTGTATTCTTTTGTCAAAATTTAATGTAAAGAACTGAGGTGGTGTTTGGCTTTCAAGATCACTCACATTAACAATAGAGTAATTTTTCCCAAAGTGTGTTTTTCTTCCATATAATAAAATTCTGCAACTTTCAGTACATTAGCCCGTTTCATGTCTTTGGCAGGAAATACAGTAGCCAAGGAAAATTAAAGTCCAAACCTGAGACTGAAAAAACCCTGAGGTAATGCATAGACCCTGGGGTCATGTTCTGGTAGTATTTTAAGAGTAAAAAGCAAGAGAAATTCTGAAAGAGAGGTTATAGTCAAAGGAACCTGGTAGCAAGTAGTTGGGGGTGGCACTTCATGTTAGAATATTATGTCTAAAATTGTCTGGTTAAATTATAAGTTCTTTGAGAGCTAAATTTAATACAATAAACTATGTAAAATTCCTGCAGAAACTCCAGAACCGAACAATAGATGCTCTGGCAAACATGTGTTTGACGCTGAAGAGGCTAGAAGGCTCTCAGTTGTGCTATTTAATTTGAGGGAAGATGAGTTTAGCTGAAATACCATAAAACTTCTTACAGTTTTTTTTTCTTCTTGATACCAACATTTTATCTTTTTCTCCCCAATTCTGTCTGTTTTAAACAGTGTAATAATCTTATGTGTGTGGGTTTTGAAGAGGAGCAACAGTTACCTGGTCAAAGATTTAACTTCCTCATCTATAAAATGGTAATGATAATAATAGTTCATATTGCATAGATGAGGATTAAATATGGTAATAGGTGTAAAGTGCTTTAACTAACTCCGTAAAAGCTAACTAGAATGAAGATGATTCTGTATGGTGCATGTTGAGAGTTCTTTTGAGGATGAAAATATGAGGCAAAGAAAGAGTAAGAAGATGAAGAAAAGAATTAGGTAAACAGCAGGAGGTGTGGCAGTAGAAATAAAATGAGAACAAGCATGGAACACAGCCCCAGTTCTTTCCCAAGTTCAAAGTATTTTTCTCTCATAAGACCATGTTCTATAGAGATATAAATGCCAGTTGTACCAAACCCCCATATATAGCCACACAATTAGCTGTATAAAGCAATATGATTTAAAAGTTACGAGCATGGGATTTGTAATTGCAAAACCAATAGTTTAAATCCTCATTTCAAAACATATCAGTTTTATGACCTGGAGAAATGACTTAAGTACTTTGAATTTTAGTTACATTTGATAAAAGGAGGCTATTAATAGCTCCTACTTTGTGGATTGTTGAGAACACTGAACAAGATAAAGACTGGGCACAGGATTAGCATAATTCTTGAGATATAGTATGTGTTGTATAAATAGGTGGTTTGCATTTATATTTATTGTATTATACTCTCTTAAAAATTTTACTTACACAGAAGCTTTAAAAACTCTTGCATAATTAATATGCCTTGTGTGTGTATATGAGTGTGTGTATGTAAGAGAGAGAAAGAATGAGAGAGAGATAGTAAAGGACAGGGGTGAAAGAGCTGGATGGGCAAACACTGAACACACTCCATAAGGCCATGTTGTTTGTTAACTGATGAATGGGAAATTTGCTACTTTGTCTCCCTGTGATCTTGTTGTACTTTTGTGTGTACATGATTGGTGAAAACTACCTGATGGTGAAGTTTCAACTCTTTTATTAGTATGTTGCCTTGACTTGAACTTTTAGCTATGAAATTATTTCTTCTTCTTGAATGTGAATGTGCAATGATTCCTGAATAAAACAGAAACGTTCAGAAAGTAATCAGAGTGGCTCAATTCTTGCAGTAAGTAGAATGAAAGTGATCTGCTAACAGTGATATTTGAGGAACACAGGAAACCTTAATTTGTGAATATTTTCATGAACTTATAACTAGAACAGAAAACTTTCAGCAAATTTGTAGGTAAAATGAGCTAACCCGTGCTCTGAACTATTGTGCTGATTTCTACCAATTTATTTCTAATTTATAGGCATTTTAAAATTATATCCAGGGCCTCTTTTTTTATACTGTCTAGCATGAAAAATATTGTTAAGATTAAATGAGCAGCATTTTTCTCAGTTCTGTTCAAACCACAGATGCTACGTTTGATTTTGTTTCTAACAGTGAGATTGAAATTCTATTTTAATATGCAGAACTGCAGCCCAGGGAGTAATAAAATACAGAGTGTTTTCATTAGATGATGGCCCTGCACCTCTAGTTAACAGGAAAGCTGATTCATCAAACAGCAACCATCAAGACAGCATTAACTAAGACCTGGAATGAAAACACGAGATTGGGGTGAAAATTACCTGTTTTGCATCACGTAATTGTAACTTTGGAGAAATTCCTGGTTTGTGGCATAAAACTGTTTCCAGGGATGCAGAAGTGTTTGCTGTAAATTTGCTACAGATGGTCTAGAGATTGAATGTTTTCTGCATTTAACAGGGATCTTAAAGTTTATACCAGTCGCCCCTAATTTATAGGAATGAACATTCACCTTTACGCTTTCTGCTCCCCACCAGAAAAAGAAATAATCAGAACTAATTCTGCTTTTCAATGTACCTCTCAAATATTTACATACACAAAATATGGAGTTGGATTTTTAGGCCATTTTATTCTAGTGGAATTCACAGGTAAGGGATTCTATCTCCAGTCAAAATGTCCCCGTGGACTCTAGGCAATAAATTGACATGATTCTTCTCATCATATAATTGCCCATAGAAAAAGGGATAGCTTTTCTTCTCCTAATGAATTCTAACGCACTTTAAAAGCAAAACAAGTAACAACAATAAAAATAACAAAACACTCAAGCTTTGTGATACATGTAGTTATTGCAGCTTGATATAAAATGTTAAAGCTAGAAGAAATTTTAAAGATCATCTAGTTTCACTGGTTTTAAGCTGTTCCATGAAGTTGCCTTGCGGGTAGCTTTAAGTGGAAAGCCTGGGAACTGAGACAAGGGGAGATTTACATGCTTCTTTGGAGGCCCTCACATTTCCTTTCAAGTTTCAGCCAGATCGCATTCACTTTACCTGTTTAATCTAATGGGTTCTATTGAAGGATTTCTTTGGAAAATGGATACAACTGTTTAGACGTATTTGAAAACTACGTCAACCTAGTCATATTACCAATGATCCAAAACTTTGTCACCAAGTAGAAAAACCAAGACTAGAATCCTGATTCTTAATGTAGGGTTTGCTGGGTTTTTTTAAACCACATTTTGAAATTTAGTTATTGCAGTTAGGTCAGTGTTTGTATCCCCATGATGCACATCCCTTTTGTACATTAATCAGTTGATGTTACATTTAAAAGTCAATAGCTAAAGAACATTTATATAATATCTATGACAGGTTTCCTGAACACAATGCCCTATTTAAAATACTCTGATCTTTTATGGGAAAAACAGCATTAACAAAAATAAAAACCAAATTTTATACTGTGGGTAGAACTGAAAATAACTCCCTAAATATATAATTCGGTGATGAAATATCAAATGTAAGTACTTAAGGTAACAGAGAAGAAAAGGTAAAAGAAACAAAGTAATTATTTTTATTTGTTGACTAGTCATTTAAATTGAACACTACCAGAATACTATTAAGGCCAAGTTATTTGACTAAATGATGGACTTGGTACAGAAAAATCATATTTGTGCATATGTGACACATATACAATTTGAATAATCGGCAAATAAATGAAGGAGACAAAATAATTAATTATTAAAGCCACCACTGTCTTAGTCTGTTTTCTGTTGCTATAACAGAATACCTGAGACTGGGCAATTTATACTTAACATAAATTTATTTCTTACAGTTCTAGAGGCAGGAAAGTCCAAGGTCAGGAGCCTCATCTTGTTAGGGCCTTTTTGCTGTGTCATAACATGTCAGATGCCATCACATGGCCAGAGTGCTAGAGTACATCAGCTCAGGTCTTTCTCTTCTTATAAAGCCACCAGTCCCATGATGGAAATCCCATTCTGATTACTTTATATAATCCTAATTACCTCTTAAAGACCCCACCTCCAAATACTATCAACACATGAATTGGGTGATGAAGTTTCCAACACATGAAATTTGGGGGACACATTAAGATAACAACCAGTAATACTCTGTGCACTAGATTCAGTATGAAACAAGGTTTAGATATATTAATTCATGTAGGAATAGGAAAAATGTTCAAGACCAGCACTGAAAAAGGAATGGGATGAGAATGAGTGATGTGCAAAGGAGTGGAATATAATAAATTTTTTATTTCAAAAACTTACTACGTATCTATAACTTTTTGGAATCTGGGATAGATAAATAAGCAAATTGATAGAGATTGTAGTTTAAGGTGTCAACATAATAGGTAAATAAGTTATCCAACAGAAATGTAGAACTGCAAATAGTGATAAATACCATGCACAGGCTGGGCACGGTGTCTCATGCCTGTAATTCCAGCACTTTGGGAGACCGAGGCGTGCAAATTGCCTGAGCTCAGGAGTTCATGACCATCCTGGGCAACATGGTGAAATCTCATCTCTACTAAAATACAAAAAAAGTAGCCAGGCGTGGTGGCATGTGCCTGTAGTCCCAACTACTCAGGAGGCCGAGGGAGGAGAATTGCTTGAATGTGAGAGACAGAGGTTGCAGTGAGCCGAGATCATGCCACTGGACTCCAGCCTGGGAAACAGAGCAAAACTCTGTCTCAAAAAAAAAAAAAAAAAAAAATACAATGCACAATGAAAGTTAGTTTCAATAAAAATTTGGGGATGAAGGCAGGTAGTCCATGTGAAAGAAGAACATAGTCTGAAGTTAGAAGATGTGATAAAATTTAGCAAACTGAGGAACTGAGCCATGGTGGAACTATTTGTTTTGTTTATACTCAGGATACAAGAATGCATTAATCTTATCTACTCAATTTCATGATTGATACCATTACTTTATTTTTTCTCATTGAAACTGTAGCTTAGTTTTAGTAAAGAGGAAGAACAAATACTCCTTTCAATAATATGGAAATAATGCATTCATTTTCACTAAAAATACTACTCACTAATGGTGTTTGTTAAAATATAACTGTGATATTGTGAAATACATATTTGGTCTTTATCCCAATTTCCTGACATATAGCTCCTAAAATCCTTGGAGTAAGTAGAATGGAGAGTATCTGTTATATGTTAATGAGATGACTAGTGACTAGCAGCCCCTAGGTAGCTTCAGGATGGAGGCTGGTTACCAGAAAGACCAAGGCTTTGTTAGAGGGTTGGGATTTTTAACCCCTCCCCTCCTACCTCTGGAGGAAGGTAAGGGCTAAAAGTTAAGGTGGTCACCAATGGCCAATGACTTAATCAATCATGACTACATAATAAGACTTCCATGAAAACCCAAAAGAATTGGGGTCAGTAGCTTCCAGATAGCTAAACAAGTGGAGGTTCCTGGAGGGTGGTGTGTGCTGAGAGGGTATGGAATCTTGGTGCTCCCTTCTCCCACGCTTTGCCTTATGTGTCTCTTCCATCTGGCTGTTCATCTTTATCCTTTGTAATATCCTTTATACTGAACTGGTAAATGTAAGTACGTGTTCCCCTGAGTTTTTTGAGCCTCTTTAGCTAATTAATGCAACACAGGAAGGGGGTCATGGGAACGCAAATTTATAGCCAGTTGGTCAGAAACACAGGTAAAACAACCTGGGACCTGTGATTGCCATTGGAAGTGCAGAGCAGTCCTGTGGGACTGAGCCCTCAGTCTGTGGGATGTGATACTGTCTTCAGGTGGATAATGTCAAAACTGAATTGAAATAGAGAACGTCTAGCTGGTATTCACTACAGGATCTCCTGCAGAATCATCTGCAGAATTGCTTGCTTACTCCCCCCACATACATTTGGTCACAGAAGTGTTTTTGTTGTGAGAGTATAGTATGAAAAACTGAGTTTACTTTTTGTTATATCTACAATACCCATTCCGGCATTAAAAACTGCTGAACATGGTAAAGATATGATTGAATCTGATGACATTTACATAGTGTATTATTTTTAGGCAGCATTATCTTTCCATCAGGGCAAAAAAAAAAAAGATAAAACTTTTCCCCGGATATCAATTTTGAATCAAATGTGTATATATGTTTTTACACAGATAAATTAGTCTTTATTTGTTCCATATATTCTCATGCATTCGACAGAAATAAACAGCTGTCTTAACCATGGTAATATTTGCAATTATTTTCTTTAGCAGTGCAAGACTTACACAGTCCAGCTTCAGCATTTCCCTGCAGCCATTTATAAGTGATTATTGCATAATTATTCCCAGAGGATAAGCCAATTTCAGAGAGTAACAGCTACACGACATCATTTCAAGAGCTTTTGAAGTGAAGAAGCAAGGGCCCCTGTCCTTTATTTCTTGGTGAATTTGCTTAGAATGCTGAATAACTAGAATGTTGAATAACTATTATTGTTATTTTCAATTTCAAAACAGCAGCTACTGCAGCCATACAAACCTTGGTTCATTTCTCCATAGTAGACATGTGACTTTGAACAAATTATTTCTTCTCTATTATTCTCCCTTTCCACTTGTATAAAATAAATATAATTATAGGACCTATTTCAGAGTGTTTCTTTGAAGACCAAGGATAAATTCTTTGGAACATAGTTATAGCATAATAAGTGGAATTATTAATCTATCTTCAAAACCAAAGTCTATCAGTTCAATGAAAGAGTAAAGGATCCCAAGAAAAGATTTATTAGATTGTGCTCTGGTGAAAAATAGGCTGAAACCATCAGGGGCTTAATGGAATATTTTCTGGTTTTATGTACCCTGGTGGGTATGGCTTAACAAAGATTAAAGAGTTGAGAGAGAGAAAGAGAAAATACCAGATCTGTCTAAGAGAACTTCTCTTAGTCTCATAAGTGAGATTATTGCAACACAGGGCTCATTTCCCCAAAGGTCTTATTCACCTTCTACCTCCATAATCAACATATCCTTCCTGAATTTGCTTTTTTTTTTTTAGGTCTACCTTTATGTGTGGCTGAAAAAAGGATGAGGAAACAACTACTATTTATTAAACAATTTCTAGGTTGTAGTGTTTTATATACATGGTCATTTAATCCTCATAACAAGCCAGTGAAGAAGAAATTTGTGATCTCATGCTACTAATTCGGGTCTGGGATTTACAGAAATCACATTATTTTCAAGGTCATACAGCTTACACATAGTAGACCAAAGATTCAAATTCAGGTCACAGCTGTTCAGGGAATCACTTTCATTTTGTGACTTCGAAAGTCAGCTATTTATCTGCTCCTCTCTACTACCATGTCCAATTCAAGATCGAATATCTTGGTCCTAGCCCATACCAAGTACATAAGAGAAAATACTATATACTCGCTGATTGGATGAATAGTTATTCATCAAGCCCTCAAAACCACTGCAACACGGGCAAACAGCGGAGTAAAGGAGTATCGGATGGTCCCTCTAGGAAGGAGATAAGCCACAACTTTCTTGGTACATTTCACAGTTCCTAAGACACTGGAGAATATATTAAGTTGGTGCAAAAGTAATTGTGGTTTTTGCCATTAAATGTATTGGCAAGACTGGGAGAGGTGGCTCATGCCTGTAATCCCAGCACTTTGGGAGGCCGAGGCAGGCGGATCACGAGGTCAGGAGGTCGAGACCATCCTGGCTAACAAGGTGAAACCCCATCTCTATTAAAAAAAAAAAAAAAAAAAAAAAAAAAAATTAGCCGGGCGCCTGTAGTCCCAGCTACTCGGGAGGCTGAGGCAGGAGAATGGTGTGAACCCGGGAGGCGGAGCTTGCAGTGAGCCAAGATCGGGCCACTGCCGTCCAGCCTGGACAACAGAGTGAGACTCTGCCTCTAAAAATAAAATAAAATAACATAAAATAAAATAAAATAAAATAAAATAAAATAAAATAAAATAAAATAAAATAAAATAAAACAAAATAAAATAAAAAATAATAAAAATAAAAAAGTGCACTGGCAAAAACACAATTACTTTTGCACCAACCTAATATAAAGTCCAACCATTGTTGGCTGAATAAGTCTATTGTCTTTATTTCAAAACTGAGTACTCAGAATCCAGATATCTTTTTACTTATATTTCTCTTTGAAATAAAATTTTAGAAAATAGGTTTTGTTAAAACTTATGCTGAAGAAATTCCTGGTAGGAGAACTACAAAGCAAATTCTGGATTCAAAACAATTTGCAATCAAACATCATGTGGTAAAGCAATATGCCTACCAAAAGAAATTAATGAAATTAATGAAACCAAGGCTAAATATTTGAAGGTAATAGTATTCTGAGATTTAATTATAGGGGGCAAAAGAAAATGGCTGCTGAGTGTATTTTTATTTATGCAAGCCTTCTCAGAAAGACAGAAAGGAAAAATATTACCTATTAACTTCTTACTTAGTGCATTAACATCTCTTTTCCCCACCTGCAAAATGAATACTTCAAAGTATGAGCACTCTGATTTCTTTTTCTCTTTCTGTTTTTTATTTTTATTTTTATTTTTTGACAGTCTGGCTTGCCACCCAAGCTGCAGTGCAGTGGTGTGATCTCAGCTCATTGTAACTTCCACTTCCAAGGCTCAAGCGATCCTTCTGTGCCTCAGCCTCCTGATTAGCTGGGACAGGCGCATGCCATGACGCCTGGCTAATTTTTGCACTTTTGTAGAGATGGGGTTTCGTCATGTTGCCTAAGCTGGTCTGGAACTCCTGGACTCAAGCAACCTTCCCACCTTGGCCTCACAAAGTGCTGAGAATACAGCTGTGAGCCACTGCGCCTGGCTAACGCACTGATTTTTATCAGCGAGGAAAAGACCAGTGACATACCGGCCCCTACATAGAGAGCCTGTTTATAACATATTGTAAAATCTTAGTAGTCTTGCCCTCACCAGCTTCTTCCCTATGCTGCATCTTGTTCCACAGATGATTATCATCTGCTCATGTGCAGGCAAAGGTAAATTCCTTGCAATGTATGAGAGAAAAGAGCTCATTACCTCTGAATTAGCAACTCCTGCAAAGATTGCATGGCAGAAGGGACAATATTTTGAAATCAGTTATACTTGCTTATGTATCCTAAATGCTGCTTTTTTTCCTGACAGATAATATCAAATATCATACTAACTTCATATAGTAAATTTTTATATTTTGTCAGTAAAAATTCATAAAATAATATGGTTGAATTCTGCATTCTGACTGTTTTCACCCTTGAGTAAACTCTTTAATATCTTTTTTTTAGGTTTTTATATCTGTTACATATGTATAATTTGTTCTCAGACATTGCTGTGAAGACTAAATAAAATGCCATATGTGGAGGTCACAATGTAATACCTAACACCAGGTAACTGTTTAATAGTTAGATATTTTTATTGGTATCCTAGATGCTACCTTCCAAATCTAAATGTTCTTGTCCTTCTGAGAAACTATCAATAAATTATTTTTACTCCACATCCTGGAGCAAATAGAATTGAGAACTAGTCTTTTTGCTATTGGTTCTTTCGAAAGGGAGAGCCCTTCTCTAGCTTTCTCCATGTTCCTGCCTCTACTCATTGAAAGGAGATGCCATTAGTGCAAGATCCCTTTTCTCACTGAGGGCAGTTTTGGAGAAAATACTGTAGGTGTATTTGTATTCACTTGGTCACATTTTGCTAGTGGATAGGGTAAATATATTTTAAAAATTTGAACCTGTATCCATATGTCCTTTCTAGTTGTGTTGCTCAGGGATTGTAGTCACTCATGCACTGCCTGCTTTCCTATACTAAACACACCTGAGATCTTCTAGTCTCAGTGAGGTTCACTATTCTCTCCCAGTTTTGTCACTTACATCTGATGGATGCTACACTGTGAGCCCAAGTGGTTTTGATTAGAGATAAATAGGAAGCAGGAGGGAGTCGAAGGGTCTGTGGTGACACCACGTCTAAGATTACACGTTACTATAAATCTTGTGTCTTGGCATTTGTAAAGTGCTTGCTTATCTAGTATAGCTGTAAAGGCATACTTTCCCTGTTGGCTTGTGAGCCTTATTAGCCAGAAGTTGATAAGAGTGGGAAATGATAAGGTTGGGATGGGAAATCGGGTGAATTGCATCTAAAAAATATTGTAACATGAAGATTATAAAGAAATAGTTAAGTTTGGCCATTCTGCAAAAAGACTTATTCTGTATTATTATTGCTTGTGGCTCATAAACGAAGCGAGACCTGGATGTGACTTTTGCACACGTATCTCAATATTTGCATAGGACGTTAACTGATTCCTACAAACCTCTTGTGAACTCTCATTTATTTTAGAATTCTTTTGTGCTTGCAAAACATCCATCTGTTCTTAATCACTTCCTCAATATTCTTGCCACATTTTTTTCATATAGATTTTTCCCTCATTTACCATGTGCTAAGTATTTTGAGGATGGCATTATGATGAGAAAGAATATACTAAAAAGAATGGAAAAATAGCATATTTCCTAGCATCAACTTGCTAGACATTCCAGATAATTTGAAGAAGATGCTTGTCTTTTAAAATAATTTAAGGTTTCCTGCATAACAAATATGTTAAAATGGTACAGCTACAGAAGAATTATAATTTATTTCTTGCTCTGTTTGTTTGTTGCCAGGCCCTTGGTCCATTATGCCAGCTCAAATTACCTACGAATCATACACCCACTGGTCTTGGATACCAGCAAGGATTAGAGACAATTGATCACTGGAGACAGTATAATAGAATGGCTCAGAGCTTCCAATTCTTGATTTAGACATTCCTGAGTTCAAATACAGAGTCTTCCAACTATTTTCTAGTTGAGTGTCCTTGGGGAAAATATTTTGCTATTACTTAATTTTCCTCCTCTAGAAAATAATTATACATATTGTTCAACACACATACAAAGTGTTATAAGAATTAACTAAGATAGTTTAGGTAAAAACCTTATAATACTAGCATAATGTAAGTGCTCAAAAATATTAACTATTTTTTATTATTACTCAAAATCACCATACCCTTTAAAGCCTGATTCCTTATTTGTATCAATCCATTTCTAAGCTCTTGCATTTATTACTTTGTCTTTGATTCCTTCCTCTATCTTGCTTGGTCTTCATATATTTTCTCATGATATAAGAATATTCTCCCTAACTCTCTCTCTCTCTCTCTCTCTCTCTCTCTCTCTCTCTCGGACTTTAATTGCCTCTCAGGCCTAGAATTTCCTTTTATTTCATGTGGTAGCTCAATGTTCAAGTATCAAGCAGCCTAAAACCTATTTTAAGTTAGTCCTTCACCAAAGTCTACTGTGGCAATTAAAATTTTTATTTATGTATTTTTATTACTTAGACACAATAAGGCACTCAGACCATTAATGAAAAACAAAAAAATTGCCTGCTCTCCACTGACCACACAGGGGAAATGTGGATTTATAGTTCTTATCCATATATCTACAGCTAATCTTCATGTTGCTTAAATAGTTTGATCGTTAGCTATCAGCATCTGAAGACATTGCAGCAGCCATCCTCTCACTACAACAGAGGAGAGTTATAAATAAAGCTTCTCCTTCCTTTACTTTCTTTCATCAATCATGGGAATTCAAGATATAAATATTCTTTTGAAATGTGAAATAAAATTTGAGCATACATAAACTTGAACAGAATCCTAAAATCGCTTCACTTTTAACACATTTCCAATTCTTCAGCCCATAAATTATAGGCTACATATCCTATGAATTTTAACAGAGATAAGATGGAAGATAAATAAAATTAAAACCAAAGATGTCTTTATCCTGATTTCCAAGATAATGCCTATATGGCATTGTAGATTTAAGAAAAGGCTGCTAAATAAAGGGTCAAGGATTTAGATGTCAGCCCCAGCCCAGTCCCCAAGTTGCTAATTCAACTTGGGTTCATCACTTAGCCTATGTCGACTGCTGCATCTTCCTCTGTACAACAGAGTCGGATAAATTATTTATTGAAGGATTTACAACTTGTCTATTCAAGGAACCAAAATACCTAGTAATATTCATATACCTATGAGTCTTGTGTGCTAGTATTTTTATAAATAAGCTACAGCTAAATGTATATACACATACACACACATATATGGTCTTGATTTGGCAAGTCGAAGTGGAAATGACGTTACTGTTTCCTTTCTTTCACATTTCTACACAAAACAATGGTGGCACACCAAGCACCATATCCTTTATCACCGTGAGGTTAATTTTCCTAAAATAATTTTAAGCACTTTGATTTGTGGTCACAGTTTTTTAAAAAACAGCATAGTTCCTTAATTTTTTTTCACTCATTTTTGGTTTCCTTCACAAAAGGAAAGAATGAAGGAATTATTTAAAATATCCTCATTAAAAATCTAATAACTGTAGTCTTGCACAGCAGGAGATATTTTAATTTACATTATGGCTATTATTTATTGATCTTTCATTATTAATTAACATCTGCAATAGATTATGAACGTAAATTTTTTATAAAACTTCAAAAATATATTAATACTATAAGATCATCTATTTATTAAATAACCCTATTGTTACTAAACACTGGACATTTATTTTGAGAATATCTGGAATAGTTTTTCAAGTGACACTAAATTTTCTTGCATACAGATTTTTAAAATGCCATTTTAAAAGAATAATCCATGTTTTCTTGCTTATTAGAGAGCAAATGAAGGAAACTACGAACAAAGTCAAACCAATATAAGCCTTCTCTGGGCTTTGATCAAAGCTTAAACATTAGCTACAATAGTTACTCTGTTCATTGCAAAGATTAGAGGGAGGCAGTGGCTTCAAACAATTTAGATGGAAAAAGAGCAATCAGAGGAATGGTTGTGTGCCTTGGATCCATACAATCCCAAACTTATAAAGCACCCATAAAAATGCACCCATCAGTAATTACAAATAAAAAAAAAATCATCCGAACATAAAGTTTTCGCCTCAAGGGAAAACAACAAGAACCAAAGGATGGGAGAGGGAGTAGGGAAGGAGCTAATGCAAAAGAGAAAAAGAAAGCACAACTATTGCTGTTCAAACCATGTAAGACTTGGAAGGAGCAAGAGAAGCAGCTAAATCAAACACTTAGCTGGAAAGGAGAAACTGAAAGCAAACAAAAAAGAATCCAATTACTTTATGTTTGTTTTTGTAAATGGTTTTCTGTAAGAGGAACAAAAACTATTTTGACTTGTTTTCCTCTGTACTATACTGTTAATAGCAAACCGTACCTTATGAGTAAGTCCAAGCAACTGCTGATACTTCTGCTAATGCTAATTAACCTCCTGCTACAAATATCAACAAACCCACATCTGAGCTTTGTCTGCACATCATTCCACCCTCCCTTTTATAATTCAAATTACAGTAGTCACCATTGGTTGCTACTTATTGAGCAGAATCACTCCAGCAGTTGAAAAACAAGATGACAGCCGGGGTCACACTGTCTGTTATTTCCCAGACAGAAAAAGAACAAAGGCTTAAAATGGCTTCAAGAAGTCAAAATATAATTTCTATAAGGAAAGATAGATGAGGGACTCATGATTGAGGTGTGAGGGTTGAGAGTTTTTCTGGAGGTATTTGGACATGCTTAGAATCCCATTTTGTATCAGGAATATCAAGGTCATTGGAAATCCTTACATCTGGATTATTACAAATGCAATGTACGCAATTTTCAAAAGCATGGTAAGGGCTCTCTCAACATCTAGTATTTTTGCACAAATGCTCTTTAATTCTTTGTGCAGTTCAGATCAATGAGACTATATAGGCCAAAAATAAGAGGAGAAATTTTCATTCCTTCCTCCTCTTAACTACTCTCCAAAGTTGAAACAAAATTAGCATCTACAATAGCTGCTTAAAACCAAGGATAATTGGCAGAAATGATCCCGACATTAAACTCTGCCACTTGATCTTGATTTTCTCTCAAATATGCTTCCTCTATTTTGTTTCCTCTATTTTCCTTAAATTTTCAGTATATTTTTAGGCATATGAGTTTTAGCCTAGGAATCTAGAAATCATTGCAGTGAGCCAACAAAAAAGATGCTTTCTACTGGGGAAAATGCTTCAGAGCTCCTGAGTTTGAATTCACATTTGCCTGCCCTCAATGTCCTATACTATTCTCATGATCACCCTGCCTTTAATGTTTTTTCAAATGATTGAGACTTACCTATAGAACACGAAGCTTGTTTTTTCAAGATAGCTATGTGACATACACCATGCACACCATGTTCTTCTGGCAAATGCTCATTTGAGATTTCAGTATTCTCTCTTTTTATACACCTTTCTTTCAGATAATTGAGTTTCTAGTCATAAGCATGTGCTGTTACCATAGGGGGTTTGATGATAATTAAGAAGTTCTTGGTTAAACAGCATTGCTTAAAACACATAATATGGATAACACCACTCCCAGGAAGATGGAGCCTTGGTCTCAGACTGATAGTTTCCCATTGCCGATATGATGTAAATTATTACAGTATCAACAGCATTGATTTTCCAAGGTAAGAGGTGGTTTTCTCTGTTTAATCACCTGCTGTCTCCGCAACCTTGAGAACTGGTGAGCCCAGTTTCCTCATCTAACAAATAGGGATAATGATGTCCACTCTGCCTAACATGTAAGGTGGATATGAGGACTCAATAATAGGAAACTCATCAATGGCTTTGAACCTTTTAAAGATCACAAAAAACACTGAGATACCTGTTATTATTTTTAACCTTATAAAGGAATCACAAATCCCAGACTCAGTCCAGATTGGATCCAGCATCAAGTTAGTGTAGAAAAACCCAGAACTGTTTTCCCACTAGTCTGTGTCAAAACTCCACCCACTCCTTAAGACTTGTCTTTAAAGTTGTTTTTTGTTTGTTTGTTTTTTTCTGAAAAGTGTTCTGGTTCCTTCAAATGTACACATAGTCTTCCTCCATTTAATTTCTATTATGGTCTCCCTTTTTGTTAAGCGTTTTTGTTTGTTTGTTTGTTTGTTTGTTTTTCACTTCTATTCACCCGGCTAGACTGTAAGTCCCTGGAGGGCAAATGAGTTCTTTGTCCCATCTCTGCGTTCCAACGACATCTAGAACCATAGTAAAAATGTAATAACACTCACTGAAACTTTGTTTATCTAAATTACCCTGATTCAAGGGAAATCTAATAAAACAGTATTATTAGATAAAAACAAAATTAGAAAATTTAGTAATGATAGTGATAAAGGGATGAGCTAAAAAAAACAGGTAGTTTAGGGGCTAATATGAATTCAAAATACAAAATGAATTCGTATTATTCTTTCATTTATTCATTCACTTGTTCAACAAATATTCACTAAGCCCTTCAGATGTGAAGGGAATGTTTTAAGAACTGTTACAGAAAATAAAATTTTCCAAAGTGCCTTTATAAAGTAAGGAAACTATACTATATTCTAATTCATGAAATGAAAAGCTGAGATGGAGTTTAACACTAGTTATGTTTGGAAGTCTCCTTTTATTTTAGCTCTTGGATAATTGCACAAAAACCACTGTTTCGGCAGACATGAGGTCATATGAAATGTCAGACCTGATAGGAACCCACAAAATAGCTGGTCCAGGCCCCTCCTTTTATCCAAGAGGAAAAGATCTCAGTTAATTGCCCAACATGGTCAGTGGCCATAGTGTTTGATTTCTTCTTGTTCTCCCCCTTACCCAGAACTTCTGCAATTATAGGCAGCAATTATTACACGTATGTAGACTATAAAACTATGTATTATACAGAATATAACAATTATCTGATATTTGCCCACGTGTTTGATAAACTTATAACTTTTTCTAAAGGAACTTGATGCAGCAAATAAATATGTGGTTCATCAGAAAGAAGCAGAATCAAGTCAAATGGGATTTTATGCAACAACATTGGACATACTTCATTTAAATGCTTTCATTTAAAAAGGTATTTCTACTATCTATGCCCAAGTAAGAGAGCAGTAACTTGAGCTGCAAAGAATTAAAAAAAAAACCCTGTCCTGTCAAAATTCTTTATTATTTTCTTGCATATCCACCATCATTAAAACAACGTGTGTGTGTGTGTGTGTGTGTGTGTGTGTGTGTGTGTTTTGTTTAGTTTCTTTTTTTCCAGGATCTAATCAGATCTAATTTCATTCTAGCCCAGTGTCCACAAAAAAATAGATCAGGTCATAAATAAGAATCTATTTCAAGGTTGTAGTGATCAAAGTTAAAAAACCTGGCCTTTATTTTCTGCAGTTTCACAGGATTTGTGCTTCTCATGTGTAATGAGAAACTTAAAAATATAGCAAAATTGAAATAAAAATCCGTGCAATTCTTTCAGGAGCTTTGATAACTTGTATTGTTACAATTCTTAACATAAAGAACGGAGAGAAGCTTGGAGACTTACTTTCCCCTCCTACTGTCCTTCTTTCCCAGATTCCCTGTGGTCTGATGGTAATTATTTTGGGGTTGTTTGTATTCTTGTGCCTATAAATGGCAGATCTTTACAGGGAGTAGATTTGCAGCAATTAAGAGCTAGACTTTTGAAAGCTCACTCATTCCACGTCTGTTCGCATTTCCACTCCCCTCAGTGGGATGAAAATCAGAGGGGTGTAATTAGGGACTTCAGCTCTAACACCGGCCAGTACTCTGCTTGGGAGTAAGTTTCTCCCTGAGATGAACTTCAGTTTCCTTATCTGTAAGATCAACGTGTTCATACTTACTTTCAAAATTTGGCATGAAGACTAAATGCAATAGTAAATGTAAAAGAGGAACTCAGTGTTTAACAAACAGCAGGCACATAACTGATGGTGAACTCCTTCTTTTGTTATCTCTATCCTTCTACCAGTTTTCAGAGAATGAGGATAAGATTCTGTTAGCCGACAGAACCAAGCCAGAGGAAGGGAGTGCAGATCTACTCTGAGGTAATAATGTAAGCAGTTCAGAACTCTTCTCCAAAATCTGGCAGATGCTGCATTAAGAATGCTCTCTTTGGAGTCATGTTAAAAGGCTCCATAACAGCCATTGAGGAAATCATACCACACCACACTAAGTTCTTGAACCACTTTTGTATCATCAGGACGATGCTATTCAAGGAACAGAGGGATGTATTAGTCTGTTCTCACGCTGCTAATAAAAACATACCTGAGACTGGTATAGTAATTTATAAAGGAAAGAGGTTTAATTGACTCACAGTTCCACATGACTGGGGAGACCTCACAATCACGGCTGAAGGTGAATGAGGAGCAAAGTCACCTCTTGTATGGCAGCAGGCAGGAGACGCTTCTGCAGGGGAACTCCCATTTATAAAACCATCAGATTTCGTGAGACTTGTTCACTACCACGAGAACAGTATGGGGGAAAACGGCCCCATGATTCAACGATCTCCACCTGGTCCTGCCCTTTACAGGTGGGGGTTATTACAATTCAAAGTAAGATTTGGGTGCGGACACAGCCAGAGCATATCAAGAGATATACAGATGAATAACAGAGTCCTTGTTGTTTTCATAAAAGTTAATGGAATCAGCTGGGCACAGTGGCTCATGCCCATAATCCCAGCACTTTGGGAGGCTGAGGTGGGAGGATCACTTGAGGCCGGGAGTTTGAGACCAGCCTGGCTAACATGGTGAAAACCTGTGTCTACTGAAAATATAAAAAACTTAGCCCAGAGTGGTGGCACATGCCTGTAATCCCAGCAACTCAGGTGTCTGAGGCATGGGAATCACTTGAACCCAGGAGGCAGAGGCTACAGTGAGCCATGATGATGACACTGCACTCCAGCCTGGGTGACAGCGTGAGACCCTGTCTCAAAAAAAAAAAAAAGTTAAAGAAATCCACAACCACACATTTTTGATACCTTTAAAATGTGAACTAGGCTTTAGGGTATGGGAGACAGAGAAGAGGAACAGAGGATGAAAGAATAGAATCTAAAGGTTTTAAGCAGAAGAGGGCTTATGCTGCCCAAGGAGGCCAGGTGGGCTTCCAGGTCTAGGATGTTCACTGTGTCCAGCTACTGTAGACTTCCTAGGACTTATCCTTTCTCTCTAGAGGTCTCTTCCTGACCTCAATTTTCAGGAACAAACAAACTGGTGGCAAGGGAAAAAACTCTAACATTTTGCAATTCCAAAGGGACCTTCATTAACATATAATCCAACACTGTGGTTTATCCCTGAATTCTCTTTACAACTGTATGGCAAGATAACTCTAAATCTTGTGCTTGGGGATTCACTGATTTCTAAGTTGGAAGGTCTAGATTTTGTAAAACTTTGTCTTATGTTGATCAAAAATGCACCTTCCCGTTACTTCCATTTTGTTCCCCTAGTTTTACTCTTAAGAGAATTGAATAACTTTCTAATTGCTCTTTTCAAAACAGTATTTTAGACACAATTTTTTTTTCCAAGCCAAATATCTGTACCTTCTTCAAGCATTCTCGAAAAATATGGGATTCTTCACCAAACTGTTTACCTTTCCCTAACAATGTCTGTGGTGTTTATAATGCCCTTCAAAAGTACAATTACGAATAAACATTAAAAACTGTGGTTTGACAAAAGCAGAATAGAATGGAGCTATATTTTTCTTCATTGTAGATACTGTCTGATTTTCTCTCTACCACCTGTGCAAGGATCATCTTTAGTGATGGCCACAGCCAAGTGGTGATTCACACAGACCTGAAGTCTCTAAAGCATTCCCACAGATGCTGCTTTTCTTCCACATCTATAATGTGAAGATTTAAGGAAAGTTCAGGATGTTTTTTTTGTTGTTGTTTTTTCTCATTTAATGTCATCTGTTGATATTCAGCTCTTTCCTGCAGTTTATCAAGATATTTTTAGTTCAGGCATTCAAAGCATTTGCTGTCTTTTCCAGTTTCATCTGAAGTCTGATGATTTTGTTTTGCAGATATAAACACAGTCACTAATAAATATGCTTAACTGTTGAGAACAGCCTTATGGCCAACAACACATTTCCCTCCAGGTTAGCAATGGATCCTCAAATCTTGAGTCTGGGAACAAATCTACCTGATTTAATGAGTATTCAGGATACACTTTTCCATCTCAATAAGAGATAAAAACATCTCAGCCAGGCGCGGTGGCTCATGCCTGTAATCCCAGCACTTTGGGAGGCCGAGGCAGGCGGATCACAAGGTCAGGAGGTCGAGACAATCCTGGCTACCATGGTGAAACCACGTCTCTACTAAAAATACAAAATATTGGCCAGGCGTGGTGGCGGGCACCTGTAGTCCCAGCTACTCGGGAGGTTGAGGCTAGAGAATGGTGTGAACCTGGGAGGCGGAGCTTGCAGTGAGCCAAGATCCCACCACTGCACTCCAGCCTGGGCGACAGAGCAAGACTCCGTCTTAAATAAATAAATAACAACATCTCCTAACATATCTCACTAAATGCTTTGTAGACATACTACCACATTTTCTGAATTACTAGGTTGGCAACACTATCAAAAGTAAAACTGAAGAACAAGTGAAATGTAGTGGCTAAGAGTTTAGATTCAGAAGCCAAGTCACTTAGATTTGAATCGTGACTCTGCCACTTTCTCACTATGAGAGCTTGTGGGACATGTATGAACTCTCGATGCCTTAGTGTCCTATTTGATAAAAAGAAATAATTGCACTGACCTTAAATGGTTGTTGTAAGGTTTAAACAAACACAAACATATTTGGAGTGCCTAGCATACTTAGTAACAAATAGAATTATTAATGATAATATTAATATATTGGCATTAATAGAGATGCATAAAGATATTCCATAACTCAAAGCTTCTTTGCTAGTTATAAATTTGCTTGATTCACAACTAAGTTATCAAAGAATGAAAACATTTTTAACAATTAAAAAAAACGGTACATAGAGTGGATCTACCCCATAGAGCTGTTCTAGTAAACAGAAGAGGCCTGATGTCCAAGCAGTCTGGAAATCTCCACTGACTATGGTAATTGGAGATCTAGTGCAAAAAACTAATCTGGGAACCACAGGCCTCAGTCAGCAGTCACTGGTCATATGAGTGGTCCATGCATAAACAATGAACTCCCAGTTATCAAGCTGAAGTTCAGGTAGAGAGATTCAGTCCTTCAGACCGAATGACAACCAAGGGCAGCCTATGGATGACCAAAACTCCAAATATCTGTTAGTCTAATGGGCATCATTGGTCTCTCTATGGATTGGCTCTCCAAGGGAACTCTTACATCTGAAGCATAGATAACTACTAATAGCCATGCTATATTTTGCAAGAAGATTTTGCTCTTTGAAATGTGTGCCTATTGCAGACAGACGCTTCCTCAGAATGTCAGTCCTATTACTCACATAGTGTGATTATTCAGCGTTTGAGGAGAGCTAGTCAAAGACCACTCAAAGGAGCTATAATGTAAAATAAATGATTATCTGTTACTTATTGTAATAAATGGAATTTCACATTTTTTCTTTAAATTACAGATGATTTTGTTGCCCTCCACCAAATATTTTAATTTTACTTGTTTATGACTGTTATTTTACTTATTTGATAACAAAGGTAAAAAGTGATCCCAACTCCTATGTTAATGATATGTTTATTCTTTTATGCCACATTTATAGACAGATCAAGATATCCCAACATTGTGATTATGTCATCAAATATATTTCAAGTTTTCAGTCAAGATCTAGATTGAGTGTTTGCAGGTAAAAACTTGAATTCCTTTATGTCTATTTACCTGGGTATATTATTAAATATTATCATTGCCTGTAATCTAAACTCATATGAGTTCTTACTGATTATGTTATATCAGGAAACACCAATCATAGCTAATTCAAATATGACAAAGCTAATGACCTCTATTAATTTATCTGCCCTTACTTAAAGTGTCTTCCTTCACAATTTTTAAGGACAGAGAGAACCTTCTGTTAACTAGCATTTTCCAGACAAATGTATAGAATTCTGTTTACGGCTAGAAGCCAAAAAATAAAAGACCTAGTATTAACTGGAATTATTTATGTATTTATTTCCCTCTATTAAACCTCTAGTGTTTTAAAATACTGAAATAAAATAGTCACAGTGTTCTGGGAACAGTGTACTCTCTTTAAGTTAGATAACATAAATTTGTGATGGGAAAACTTTGAACTGAAATTTCAGTCTCCCTTAAGCAACTTTCAACAGCTTACATCAAGTACAATAAACTAAGAGCATGTAAAGTCAGTTTCTTAAATCAATCCATGTTATTCATCCACAAAAGTGTGTTCAATGATTGGGTCTGTTCCACAAAAGAATGAAAGCAAGTGAATTATGGAGAAGTTCAACATTTCTATAAAAGACTTAAGTTTGTAAAATTTATACTTACTTAAATGGCTTTCATTATGAGATATTCAAGGAAATCTGACAGAGATTGGATGATGAGTGGATCTATTTTTTCTTTGCTTTCTTCCTTTTTTTTTTTTTTTTGACAATGTCTCACTCTGTTGCAGAGGCTAAGTGCATTGGTATGATCATAGCTCACTGCAGCCTCTACCTCCTGGGCTCAAGGGATTCTTTCGCAGTAGCCTTCCAGTACCTGGAACTGCAGGAGCCACCATGCCTGGCTATTTTTTTTCACTTTTTGTAGATATGGCGTCTGACTATGTTCACAGGCTATTCTTGAGCATCTGGTCTTTAGCTATCCTCCTATGTCAGCCACCCAAAGTGCTGGGATTACTATAGGCAATCCACCGTGCCCAGCAGATCTATTTTTTTCTAGGCTAAATTGCCCAATCTGGAAGGTAAAGACAATTCTTCCCAGCAGAACATGAAAGTAGAATGAAACAGTAGGAAAAGTGGACAATTTAAAGAGAGAATGCCAGCTTAATATGCTGCAGTTGAACTCATTAATTTGGATTATAAATGCAGACTCAATTCCAGAAATGACCCACGAACTGGAAATTTCAGGTTCCTACAGAATATTATGGTCAAATACAGAAAAGGATAGAATAATTCCTTTATTTGGACCCTCAGCTGAGCTGAGATCCTAAGAGCCAATGAAATTTAGGGGTTAAGATTTTAGGCTTCAAATTGACAGGCTTGGTCTTGTCTGCGCTCTATCACTGGCTAACAGTTATTGCTGGTCAAGTTATTGAACATCTCTAAGAACCTGTTTTCTTATCTATAAAAGCAGGCTAGTACTGGAATGTAGGAAATGGTGAATGAACATTTGTTAAGTGAAAAAAATATTTTAGAATCATCTATTTTATTTAGTTTTCTCTTTTGTGGGAAATGTAACACAAGTTACAGAATAAGAAACAGATAATTGTGCCTCTCCCACCAATTTAATCACTCTCCTCCTAAACTCATGAAAGCAAGTGTACGGGTTGCCTTTACGTCTTCTTTCTTTTTATTTATTTTTTTAATGTAGCTCATGATATTTTCTCATGGGTGAAGTAATTAGAAAGATGGTATTTAAAAGTATCAGCGATGGGATTCAAAATCTCAAATTCCATAGCATTTGAGCTTTGAATATATAATTATAGTCTGAAAGTGTTGGGTATGAATTTTTCTCTGATATCATGTTTTATATCTCTGGCAACATCTGACAATAGCCTGTTTAGAAATATATATTTTTCTGTAAATGTATGAGTGATTATGTTTGACTACCTAACCTAAAAAATTAAGGTAAATATTTGGAAGGAAACAAGCGTTCTAAAACTGAAAGGTAGAAAAGTATAAGCAGAGATAGCCATAAACATTATAGGAAATAGCAATTTCAGTAAGCCAGATGAAATAATGTGATCTGAAAAAGTCAAAACTAAAATACCTATTAAGAGTAATGGCCAAGCCATGCTTGTTTCAATCTTTTCTTTTGTTTATGATTTTAAAATATTTGCCAACTATATGATATGCATTGTGGAGAAAGGAATACAATCCTTTAAAATACAAAACAGGTTTATGTTTTGGACCAATATAAAAAAATGCATGCTAAAATGTGAAGTCTAATAAGGCTTTTTTTTTTCTCAATCTGGAAATAAAAAGGAGAAAAGAAATGTGATCAAAAACATTATCAGTAGTTCACCTCACTACAATGAGAGTACACTCAAAGACTGATTTGTTAGGTATATTCATTTCTTCTTTTTACCAACAATCAGCTAATTTTTCATGTAATGACTTACTGGTCTATCACAATATAATGGTTGATTTTGCTTCATTTTTAAAAATAGAGAAATAAACTTACTTTTCTGTATCTTTTTCATAATCCAAAGGAGTCATTTTTATATTGAAGACAGTTTTCTCCCACCTGAAGTCAATGGAGCTGATAAAACTTTCACTTATTGCTTTGTACCCCAACTCTCCAATCCACAGTACCTGTCAGTAGTTACCAAGCAACAGTGACAAACGTGTGCCTCCTATACATTGGCATTCACTGCCGTTATGCTGTATTGTACGGTGAGTATGTTTAAATAAGAATACAACTGTAGATGAGAATGAGACTCTTACAGTAAACAAGGATAAGTGGAGACAAATGAACCCTTTACTAACCATCTGTCTTTGACATTAGGCAATTTACAGGCCTTTTTACTCTTATCCTTTATGTGTAAAGATGTAAAGATTCCAAGAGCAATTGATCTTTTTATGAAACTTAGAAAAATGTATATTCATAGTCATATTCAACTTAATGGGTATATGTATAGTTATATTTGAGTAGCTTGAGGATGAAGGATTTTGAAGGATAGTGAATATGTAGGTAGGTGTTCTGAGACAGGGTTGTCAAGTTATAGGTATAAAGATAAGGATCTGTAGATTCTCTTCCCTGACACGCATTTTGTTTCAAGTTTGTTCACTAGCTCTTCAGTAGCCATTCTCATCATAAATTTAGGAAGAAAATAGTTACAGTGTAAAGATGCTGAAAGTCGATCTGTTTGGAATCAGCAGTGTGGGCCAGGAGTCATTGTTCTATGTGCCATTTTTTTAAAGGGATATTGTGAAATACGGAGAAAAAGATATCTGAGAAACAGAATTGTTTTGTTTGTTTATGAGAACAGTCATTTGAGTAGCATTATACAAAAAACACGGTCTTTTCACATAAAGCTGTAAAAGTTATCAAAAAGGCTTTTCCACTGGAGTATGATATCAAATTAGTTAGCCACGATTGAACCAGGAACATGATTGAACTAGGTTTTGAAAGAACATACCTCAAAATAATAAGAGCCATATACAACAAACCCACAGCCAACATGATCCTAAATGGGAAAATCTGGAAGCTTTTCCACTGGCGTATGATACCAAATTAGTTAGCCACAATTGAACCAGGAAGAAATTGAATCCCTGAACAGACCAGTAATGAGCTCTGAAATTGAGGCATTAATAAATAGCCTACCAATAAAAAAAAAAAAAAGCCCAGGACCAGACAGATTTACAGCTGAATTTTACCAGATGTACAAATAAGAGTTGGTGCCATTCCTACTGAAACTAATCTAAAAACTTGAAAAGGAGGGACTCCTCCCTAATTTATTCTATAAGGCCAGCATCATCCTGACAGCAGAACCTGGCAGAGACATGACAAAAAAAGAAAACTTCAGGCCAATATCCTTGATGATCGTTGATATAAAAATCCTCAACAAAACACTGGCAAACAGAATTCAGCAGCACATCAAAAACTTACCCACCATAATCATGTATTCTTGGGATGCAAGGTTAGTTCAACGTATGTTTCATATGATTCATCACATAAACAGAACTGAAGACAAAAACCACACGATTATCTCAATAACTGCAGGAAAGGCTTTTGATAAAATTCAACATCTTTTCATGCTAAAAAGTCTCAATAAACTAGGTTTTGAAAGAACATGCCTCAAAATAATAAGAGCCATATACGACAAACCCACAGCCAACATAATCCTAAATGGGCAAAATCTGGAAGCATTCCACTTGAAAACTGGCACAAAAAAAGGATGCCTTCTCTCACCACTCCTATTTGACATAGTACTGGAGGTCCTAGTCAGGGCAGTCAGGCAAGACAAAGAAATAAAGGGCATCTAAGTAGGAAGACAGGAAGTGAAACGATCCCTGTTTCCAGATAACATGATTCTATATCTAGAAAACTTCATAGTCAAACAATCCCTGTTTCCAGATGACATGATTCTATATCTAGAAAACTTCACAATCTCAGCCCAAAAGCTTCTTAATCTGATAAACAACTTCAACAAAGCCTCAGCATACAAAATCAATGTGCAAAAATCACTAGAATTTTTATACATCATCAACAGTCAAGATGAGAGCCAAATCAAGAACATACTCCCATTCATGACTGCCACAAAAAGAATAAAATTCCTAGGAATACAGCTAACTAGGGAGGTGAAAGATCTCTACAAAACACTGTAGAACTACAAAGGAGAACTACAAAACACTGCTCAAAGGAATCAGAGATGACAAAAACAAATGGAAAAACATTCCATGTTCATGGACAGAGAGAATTGACATTGTTTAAATGGCCATGCTGCCCAAAGCAATTTATAGAATCAATCTTATTCCTATTAAACTACCATTGAGATTCTTCACAGAACTAGAAAAAAACTATTTTAAAATTCATACAGAACCAAAAAAGAGCCTGAATACCAAGGCAATCCTAAGCAAAAAGAGCAAAGCTGGAGGCATCATGCCACCTGACTTCAAACTATACTACAGAGCTACAGGTCTACAGCGCTATGGGCTACAGGGCTACAGTAACAAAAACAGCAAGGTACTGGTAGATGCATAGACAAATGGAACAGAATAGAGACCCCCAAAATAAGTCCACACACCTACAACTATCTGATCTTTGAAAAAACATAACAAAAACAAACAATGGGAAAAGGACTCCCTATTCAATAAATGGTGCTGAGAGAACTGGCTAGCCATATGCAAAAGATTAAAAGTGGACCCCTTACTTACACCATTCACAAACATCAACTCAAGATGGAATAAAGACTTAAATGTAAAACCCAAGCACAAAGATTTCATAATGAAGATGCCAAAAGCAATTGCAACAAAAGCAAAATTTGACAAATGTGATCAATAAAAGAGCTTCTGCACAGCAAGAAAACTATCAACAGAGTAAACAACCTCCAGAATGGGAGAAAATTTTTGCAAACTATGCATCCGACAAAGGTTCCATATCCAGCATCTATAAGGAACTTAAACAAATTTATAAGAAAAAAGAACAAACAACTCCATTAAAAAGTGGGCAAAGGACATGAACAGACACTTCTCAAAATATATGCAGCACGATCATGTGAAAAAAAGATCAAAATCACTGATCATTAGAAAAATGTGAATCCAAGTCATAATGAGATACCATCTCACACCAACGAGAATGGCTACTATTAAAAGTCAAAAAATAACTGATGCTGGCAAGGTCGTGGAGAGAAAGAAATTCATACACATCGTTGGTGGGAGGGTAAATTAGTTCAGTCATTGTGGAAGACAGTATGGCAATTCCTCAAAGACCTAAAGCCAGAAATACCATTTGACCCAGCAATCTCATTACTGGGTAGAATACCCAGAGAAATATAAATCATTTTATTATAAAGACACATGTATGGGTATGTTCATTGCAGCACTATTCACATTAGCAAAGACATGGAATCAACCTAAGTGCCCATCAATGATAGACCAAACAAAGAAAATGTGGTACATATACATCATGGAATACTATGCAACCATATAAAGGAATGAGATCATGTGCTTTGCAGGGACATGGGTGGAGCTGGAGGCCATTATCCTTAGCAAACTAATGCAGGAACAGAAAACCAAGTCCTGCATGTTCTCACTTATATGTGGAAACTAAATCATTAGAACACATAGAGGGGAACAACACATACTGGGGCATATCAGAGGGTGGAGGGTGGGAGTAAGGAGAGGATCAGGAAAAATAACGAATGAGTACTAGGCTTAATACTTGCGTGATTAAATAATCTGTACAACAACCCCCATTACACAAGTTTACCTATGTAACAAACCTGCACTTGTACCCCTCAACTTAAAAGTAAAAAAAAAAATAGCCACTCCCACCAAAACCTGTGACAATGTGTGACCACTTGAGTCATCACTCAGTTTGATCTTTGTAATCCCAAAACTAGAGAGTACTCTTCTATATTCACTTATTTTGATGAGTATATCTTTTCATGGTTTATCTGTTAAGTTTATTTGTATTAAATAATCAGATAGTTTCTGAAACTTCATTTAAATCTATTTTAAAAGCTATTACAATACTTGGAAGAAATATTTACTCTCTAAGTGTACAACTATGTTCAGTGAGCAAACACTACAGGAATAAAGATATTTGCTCATGCTTGTTCTCATAGATATCCTATAATGGAGGACAGTAAGATAAACACAATGAGTGTTTTTCAAGAAGATTATTATTTACAGTATATATCTATCCTACTACTATAATAGAGATGACTTAGTCTATGTTTATGTGTGTATGTATTTAACATAAAATTTATTTTAATTATAATCTATTTTCTTTATTCACATAGACCTATATAATTTATCTTCTTTGTACACATAGACCTATATAATTTATTTTAACATTAATTTATCTTTATATGAGTTAATATCCTATTAAAACTTTGATATAAGGTTGTTTTAAAGTATCTGTCCTTCATGTATTCATTTTGTAAAAAAGCAATTTTTTGAAAAACTTAGGTACATAGTGGTACAGATCATAAAAAGATAAGAGGAAAATCCCTAAGTGCTACGCAAATGATTAGAGATTGTCACGTTAATGAACAAAAGGATCTTGATAGTTCCTTACACATTTTAAATTCTGTAATTCTCTGAATGGCATTTAAATCTTACGTAAACTGGGCCTTCGAACCAACTCATCATCAGAAATTTTAATGTCAGAGGAAACGTAAAAGAGGTTAAGACAATTTTTCTGAGACTTGGCACTTTTTATAGCCATGGTATCCCCTTCAGGATATGTACCAAAAAGGATGTACACATACTAATTATATCAACCTGAACCTCAAAGTACTGGACGGATGGCTAAGCATACAAGAATAATTGGGACCTTTTCTTCACATTAACAAAATGAAATATGAAACATCTATTGAATATTCCAAAAGGGAAATATTTCTCAAATAAATAGTTATAGATGCTGTATTCGTATCAATGAATGTAAAGTAATCATATTTGTTCTTATTTTGTTTTGTGATTAGTAATAAGTTTTAAATATATTTTTGAGTCTGGGTATAGTTTTATATGGCAGGGATTACTTGAGATTTCATATATGTCAGATATTGCTTACTAAAACTCTACATTTTCTTTTGCAATTTACTTTATTTAACCATCACATTAAACTCCATGAAAAACCTAATTAGGAAAATATATTGTACTAGAGAACAATAAATCGATATTTTAATAACCATATGCTTAATCTTCCATCTGTTTACAGATTGTAAGTGCATTTTGTTGCTATCAAATATGAAAGTTTAGTGCCTGAATAAACAATACAAATGTACGGTTATTTAAAATATGTCCACAAATATTTTTTCTTATTTTTTAATACAAGGGTCTGACTTTATTTGTAAGAGTCAAGATTAAAGTTATAAATATAACTACTTTAAAACAGATTGTTCATGAGGTTAAAAATTAGGTCAATTGTCCAAACTATGACATTTTTGAGGAACTTAGGTCTACCAATTGGTGGGTGAAAGCAAAGGATGAGTCAACAGGGAGGGCAATAATAAATTTCAGAGAAAGAAAAAAAGAATAAACCCCTTCCTCTTAAATTCTGAAACGAGAGAGAAAAGGAGTTAGGTATATTAAAATCGCATTTTAAAAGCTTTACTGCTAGTGTTAGCAAAGTAAGATTGGGTGGCTTCATATGTGTTAAATGGAGACAAGGAAGCAGAGACAGGCCAAGAATAGTAATGCAGTGGCCCTTCTTCTATTATAAGTACTGTAAATCAGCTGTGAGTGCAAAGTAACCTGTGTTTCATAGTGCTTCTTCTTGATAAAAATACATTTAAAGGTTATCTAATTTTATCATCAAAATAACACTTAAAAACACCTAGATCAATGGTATTAACCAAATACAACAGAAGAGGAAACCAAAGCGTAGATTATGGGAATGTAATTCACAAAAGTTCATACAGCTCATTAGCAGCAGCAGGAGGAACAGAGTTTGGAGGCTGGTATAAAACATGTCTGCAACAAAATGGCTAGTTTCCATAACCTCTCTGAACCTATTTCCCATCTTTGAAAGTGGACTACAACTTTGTCTCTAGGATGTTGGAGGGATTAAATTGAATTAGATAATATTTGTAAAAGTGCTTCTCATGTGGTGCATTATTGAAGAAATGTTAGTCCCTATTCCCTCTTCCTACCCCTATGTCTTTATTCCCAATCCTGAGCTTTTCCATTATTCTACAGTGTCTTTTTCAAAACTATTTTAACTTGTAATGGATGAGAAACGTAATGTGTAATAGATACAAAGAGAAATATAAATATTGGCTCAGGGAGAGAATTCAGTTTTCTAATTAATAGTAGCAGGTGTGGTATGGTGCCACATAGTTTCGCAGAAATGTTTTTCAGTCCTGCCCTGCAATACCTGCTGCCTCAGTTGTCCATCACAACACTTGTTCTGTTTCTGCCTATGGCATGTTTTGTAAATATGTTTCGACACCTGGGCCTTTGTGGGATTTTATAGAAGAAATAGCAAGATACTCTTTTACTTATGTTTTCATTAAAAATTTCCAACTTCCAAAAGTGATTTTCTTTTCCTTGGAAATGATAAACGTTTTGTCCTGGAAACTAACAATAAACAGGATATTGGAAGCCACTTTTGTTCTGCCATGCAAAGCTTTATGACACCAAATTACTCAGGCTAGCATTGCCAATTGGTATTATTATGCTCTTGGGGCAGTAATGTTAAATAAACACTTCACAAGAGTTCATCATAATCCTCCCATATTTCTACTGTGTAAATTTCAAGAGTGGCCACGATTTCACTATTTGAGCCCAAATAAAAACTTATTCATAGAAGTAAAACAGGTAAGTCAATACTTTAACATTCACTCACTACTATAAAGCTCAATGTTTCATTCACAAAGAAAGAATGGCAAAGATGTTTCCATGTGCATAGTACATGCATGGTACTTACAGGAGAGTAGTCAGAAAGAAAATGGCTCAGCTTTAGTCTTGAGTTCATCAATTCAAGTATTCAGCATTTACTGTATGTAATTATATGCAAGCATCTCTTCTGTTATAGGCATAGTTCTATATCTTGGCTTATTTAAAAAAATGACACAGTCTCTGGCTGGACCTATTATCATGGTCTAATAGGAAGAAAGATAGGTTAAAAAATAGTACTTTAATATGTTGCTTGGGAATGGCCAGTTCTTATTAAACTATCAACTTTGAAAAATTAATAATGATGCATATAATTCAGTTCTTACAAGTATTCAAAAGACACATTTTCTGTTATTAGGTTCATAAAGTTGTGATGAAAATTCAAGAGCTAATCTTTGAGCTCATTTTTTTTTTTTTTTTGCCACAACTAGGAAACTGGGATGATCAGTGTTCATACAGTAGAAGAATAACAATTTTAAGGATTGTCATGTTTTTTGTTTTTTTTGGTCTATATTTCTTAACATTGACCTAAATCAGCAGGCTTTATTCAAAAAACTCTCAGCGACTCAATGACATTTATACAGTATTTCAGCATGTTACCAATGTCTATTGACTTTTCTGACTTAGAACTCATCTTAACAATTTGCAATTTACTTTAAAAATGTTATTGTTGCCTCTTAGAATACTATGCTTGATTATTTCTCTTCAATCCTTTCAGAAAATTAGTTCCATTCTGATACTTTATTCTTCCTGTGTTAAATAAAAAAAGATTATTAGCTCTAAGAGTGTGGACTTGATATCTTAGCTTGTCCTAAACTCTCAAGCACCTCAGAGAAGCCTTAGGAGACATTTATTGATCTGGATTCCCTGCCATGTGTTACTCAGGAAAATATAAGAAATATTAGTAAACACTGATTATTCCCTACAGTAGTTTGTAATCTGGAAATATGTGAAAGCTCATGATTCATGGATTAACATAGATATCAGTGATAAAAGGTTATAAACTATTTCAACTATTGACAAAAAGCCAAGCTCTGTACAATATTTAATGGCATTTATCCTGAGACTCATATTTGAGTGACCAAGGCCTGTGACACAGCCCCAGGAGGTCCTGAGAACAGGTGCCCAAGGTGGTTGTGTTACAGCTTGGTTTTATTAGGAAGACAGAAGTTACAGATGAAGACATAAATTAATACAGGCAAGGTAGACATTGGTTCAGCCTGGAAAGACGGGACATCTCAAAAGAGAGGGGGTGCTTCCAGGTCATAGGTGGAGACAAAGATTTCTTGATTCACTATTGTTAAAAGAGTTAAGCTTTGCCTGAAGAGTTGAAGTCAGCATAAAGAAATGCTTGAGTTAAGATTAGGGGGACTGTGGAAGCTAAGGTTCTTGTTATGTAGCTGAAGCCTCTAAGTAACAAGCTTTAGAGAGAATAGATGGTAAATGTCTCTTATTTAACCTTCAAAGGTGTCAGGTTCTCGGGGAAAGATCTAGTAAGGGAAGGAGATTCTTCGCAGAATGCAAATTTCCCCCATAACAGAGAGCTTTGCAGGGCTACTTCAAATTGTGTCAAAGGTAATATTAGTTTGAGATAAAATGCTTTGATTTCCTTAAGGACTTGCTATCTGTTGTGTGATGCTATACCAGAGTTGGGTTGGAGTTGAGTATCTTATTGCTACAAAGAGTCTGTTTTGTTAGTCTTATGATTTCTACTGTAATGTCAATGTTGGTCATAACAAGGTATGTCTGACCTCCTCTTCCTTCATGGTCTGAACCAGTTTTTCAGGTTTCTTTTAGATTGCCTTGGGCAAGAGATGGTTACATTCAGTTGGCTGGGGGTGTTTAGAATTTCATTTTTGGTTTACACTACTTGTAACACTTCTGATTCCAATAACACGGGATTGTTTTCACACCAAGAACAAATTCTCTAACCTCCAAACACCAATTCAATTCAATTCTAATACTACCTCCCCAGAGTTAGCTTCAGACGCTACAGGTTAAGGGCTCAGTGCCACAGGATTTCTCCCACTTCCCACACCAATTGCAAGTACTGGACTTCCTGTACTTCCAGCCAACTAGCTATAATTTGGAGGTTCCCATAAATCCTCCCTTGGGTTCATTAATTTTGCTAGAATGGCTCATAAAACTTAGAGAAAGCAGTTTACCTACTATTATCAGTTTATTGTAAATGATATTACAAAGAATAGAAATAAAGAAGGGTAAGATCTGGATGGGTCCTGAGCACAGGAGCTCCTGTCCTGGGAGCTAGGGGTTGAGGTGTCCTGCTCTTAAGCACATGGGTGCATTTACCAACCCAGAAGCTCTCAGAATCCTGTAGGTTAATGGTTTTTATGGTGGTTTCACTACATGGGCATGAGTGACTACATTAGTTTTGGTGATTATGACATTTTGATTTAAAATAAGATATATATTTATATTGCCAATGGAAGAGATCCGAGTTACCCCGAGAGTTACCAGCAGCGTATCTGTACAGGTCTGTAGCAAATTCAGTCCTTGCTTCTTCAGAAGAAAGAATTCGACTGGGGGCGTAAAGCAGAAAATGAGACTTAGGCAAGTTCCAGAGCAGGAACAGAAGTTTATTTAAAAAGGCTTTAGAACAGGAAAGAAAGGAAAATTTGCTTTGAAGAGATCCAAGTGGGGACCTGAAGGTCAAAGAGAGAAAAAGAGAAGAAAGAAAAAGCCCCTTTAACCTTGACTCTAGGACTTTACAAAGTCTCCTCTCTTGCATGATTCTTCCCTTAGGGTGGGCTTCCTGCATGCACAGTGTTTTCCTTACCCTATGGAACTGAGCACGGGCAGTGTGTTTAGGGAGTTATACACATGTCCGTCTGAGGCTTTCTTCCCTTTTCTGGTGGTGTGTGCCCTGGGAAGATCATACTTTGCCATTTTTGTTTATTAACATACATGATCAGGAGGCTGCTTCTCCTTGGGGCCTACATTCAATGAACCGTTTTAATGTTTTAACAGATATAGACCATCAGGAGATTTTTCTCTCCAGGCTGCTGAATTATCATTCTTAGAGAAGCAATGTGATAATTGCCGAACCATCACCATCTAGCGGGTTGGGGAGGAGCTCTCTCCTGCCCTTCTCCTGTTTAACTACCTGTAACATTTATATATATGTATATGTATATATATACATGTATATATATGTGTGTGTGTATATATATACACATATATATATGTGTGTGTGTGTATATATATTCATGTATATATATATATGAAATTCATCCCAGTTTCCTGGCACAACACTTTCAAAACCCTTGGAATCTCCAAAATGATAAGTATCTTTTCATGTGCTAGTGAGATGACTGATGGCGCTCCTATATAGCCTCAGGAGGGAGGTTGGTTGCCAAGGAAATCAACCTTGTGATTAGAGGGTTGGAACTTTTTGTCTTCCCGACCCACCTACAGGGAGCAGAGTGGAGTTTGTTTGTTTTTGTTTGTTTGTTTGTTTGTTTGAGACAAAGTCTCCCTCTGTCACCCAGGCTGGAGTGCAGAAGCATGATCACAGTTCACTTAGCTTTGACCTCCTGGGCTCAAGCCATCCTCCCACCTCAGCCTCCTGAGTAGCAGGGTCTACAGGCATGTGCCACCATGGCCAGAAAAATTTTTATTTTTTATAGAGATGAAGTCTCACTATGTTACCCAGGTTGGTCTGAGATTCCTGGGCTCAAGTGATTCTCCCTCCTCAGCCTCCCAAGGTGCTGGGATAACAGTCATGAACCACTGTGCCCCAGTGTAACAATCATTTTTAATCCCCATGAAGCTCTTTGAATAGTGCAGCTTTCTGAAAATCCTAGTCAGCTTTCTATATATTTGATTGCAGTAAACTCTATATGGTTGGGCATACCTTAATCAATTAAAAAATTTCTAAGAATTTTTTTTGAAGCCTGAGTTCTTGATTCAGACCAGAAATGGACTCTAATTAGTTTATCTAGTATTACAAATTTTCTGTCTTCTCTATTCTGATTGCCTTAGCTTGAATTATGAGTTTATGAGATTTTTGCATTTCTATCACTGATATTTGGCAAGGGAAGGACATGGAAAGAACCCACCAGATTGTAAACTTTCTTCTTTCCCTGCTTAACGCTTTCTCCTTTCCAACAGTACAGGAAAGCTTTACCTAGTTTTACAAGTTTGAAGTAATGTTAATGAGGAACACTGATTCTGAATAGTCACATCATCTTCCAAAATTTCTTATTTTATGCCTGATACAGAAGTTAAAAAGTGAATTTTTGTGTGTTCTTTGCTATTATCCTCTTCTTGAGAGAAGTATGGTGGATTTCTTACTTTTCCAAATATGACAGGAAGGAGAAAATGGCATAAAAACCTAAGAAAAAATACAATGGTTGCTATTTCTAAGTATTATTCTCCTGCAGATGATCTGATTAAATTTTCTTTCTTTCCTCTGTTACTATTGCACATTTCCTTTGCTAGAGAGCCAAGTCAGAAACTCTTCTGATAAAGTTAGGTATGCCATAACTATGACATTCTCTACAAAAAACATTTTTGTGCAAGATCTAAATATTAAAAGTTTTTTGCAGTGGAAGGCCAGAGGCTGTATAAGCACACTAAAGTTTGGCTTTTTATCCACTTGGATGTTCTCTAAAGACATAGTTTGGAATGTTGTAAGATTAGCTCCATTGGTGGAACATATGTAACAAGTTCCTTTATCTTTGTATACAGCTTTTTAAATACCATATCTGTCTATTATACCAACTGGTTAATTTTGGTTAATTTATTTAAACATGGAAAAAACCATACACTTACATTTGAACAGGAGAATATATTTATGAGCTTCTGAGATATTTTAGGGAGCTATGTTTTTCAATTGTGTATAACATAGATAAATGTTAGGCAATGTTGTATTTATCAGTCATTGTTTTGTTTAATATATATTTATTAATCACTTATTATGAACCAGCCAGAGACGTATGGGAAGATAGGCCTTGAAATGAGCTTATAATACAAAATGATGTGTGAATTGAGAGAATAAAAAATGTCTTATGGTAAGTTATTAAATTATTAGATGTGAATGAGCGTGGGTCCAATTGGGAAAGAAAAAAATATACAGTAATATGAACAGGAAAACCTGACTAATAAACAGGATTTAGTTTAAGGATTGCTGATAATGTTTGCCAAAAGCAGAAAACCAAGAGTTTTAGATTTTATGGGCTGTTTATGAAAAGCGACAATGCAAGTGAAAGGTGCAAATCAGACTGTCATATTTAGCTTTGACCCTCAAGGAAAAAATATAAGCCAGAAAAAAATCTGTCCTAACACAGGGATGTGAAAATAGATTTAGGGCTTAAATTTGTTTTAGTGAGGTGTATTGGTCAGGATTCTCCAGAGGAAAAATAAAAAACAGATATCTATCTATCTGTCTATCTATCTATCTATTATCTATCTATCTATCTATATATAAAGTAGAGATTTATTATAAGAATTGACTCACATGATTATGGAGGCTGAGAAATCCCATGATATGCCATCTGCAAGTTAGAGAATCAGGAAAGCTGGTGGTGTAAGTTTCAGAGTATAGCATCTCAACAATCAGAGGCTTTATGTCCAAAGTGGAGATGATAGATGTCCCAGTCCGAAAAAGGAGGAAGTATGAACTCTTCCTTCACCTTTTTGTTCTATTTGGGCCCTCAACAGATGAGATGATTCTCATCCACATTGGCAAAAGTGAAACTTCTTTACTCAGTCTATCAATTCAAATGTGATAAAATTCAAATATAATATTGTTGGGAAACAACCTCACAGCTACACACAGAAATAATGCTGCCTGAGCATTGCTCAGCCCAGTCAAATTGACACATAAAATTAAGCAACAGTCAATGAATATAAAAAAAACTAAATCCAGTAATATACTAAGATATTATGAAGATAGTAGCTCCTTGGGCACATGATATGAAGAAATGCACATATTCTCTGGAGGGACTCATCATCAACATGATCCTGAGCATTTTCTCAAAATTAAAAATTAAAAGCATACAAGAAGGAGGGACTCATCATCAACATGATCCTGAGCATTTTCTCAAAATTAAAAATTAAAAGCATACAAGAAAGTCATGTTTATAAGAGATAATCATCAGACAAATATAAACTAATCTTCCTTAAATCCCAAAGACATAGATGATGTGTAAAATATTTAGAGATAAAAGAGACAATTGAAAACACAGATAACAAAGAATAAAAAATAAAAAAAAAACAAAAGATGAAGCATAAAAATAAACTTCTAAAATAAAAAAGTCTGATCACTAAGATTAAAAATTTAGTGGAAAATTAAAAAGCATCTGAGGCATGCTTGATGAGCAAACCAATAAACTGATATATAAATATGAAGAAGTTATTACCTATAGCATAGAAAAACAAATCAATCTAAATATAAATGATAAAGACATAGAATCAACCTAGGTGTCCATCAGTGGTGAATTGGATAACAAAAATGTGGTACATATACATCATGGAAGACTATGCAGCCCTAAAAAGAATAAAATCATGTCCTTTTTAGCAACATGGATGCAGCTGAACACCATTATCCTAAGTGAATTAATGAAGGAACAGAAACCAAATACAAAGATTAGAAGATGTAAATTAAGTCTATAGTTACAGATGAAAAATTAGAGACTGTAGGCAAAGAAATATTGAAAAAATAAGGGAGGAGAGATTAACTAGGCAAAAGACAGGTTAGAGTTGGGGTTGGTGTGGGAGATGGTTGTAAGAAAACATCCTAGGAAATAAAATGTTATGTGCAAAATTTCAGAGAGTATGTTAACTGAAAGTTTAGTCTTGGTTATATCGTAGAGTCAGAGTATGTTAACTGAAAGTTTAGTCTTGGTTATATCGGAGAGTCAGAGAATGTCAGGGAAGCAATGAATCTGGAATTCTAAGCAGTGACCAAATCATGAAGAGCCTTGTCATCTATACTACCATCAATTTTGTCCAAAGGGCAAGAGGAGACTTTAAAGTATTTTTAGACATAGGCACCAGTTTAGGTAATATTGAATTGCAGCTTTTGGGTAAATAGTACATTAAAACTAATTAGCAATGGTTTAAAAAAGTTGCTGGATGTCAGTAGGGTCATGGACTAGAAAGCTCCAGGCCCTCCTTTCCCCACAGAGATAATATGTTAACAATATATGGACCAGAATGTCTCTGTGAAAACTTTAGTGACCAGTTGAGAAGCCACAGCACCCAAATCAATGTAAAATCAAGAAGAGTTTCCAGTGAAAGGGGAAGAAAAATTGTGGCATCTTGTACGCATCCTCGACCCTTCTGTGTGACATAACACGTATAACAAGAAAAAAATATCCTATATTTGACATTCTTTTTTTAAAACAGAAACAAAGAGTGGTTCATGCATTCCACATTCTAGGTCATCTGGTAGTTGCCTGAGGGAAAGAATTTGGTCTTACCTAACTCAAAGCACTGGCAGGCTAGTGCTAATGTGTTCTGTTTTCAACTGCAGAATTTGGAAGCCTGCTGAAAACAGGTTAACACTGTGACACATTAGAGTTCCTGTTCCATGAATAGAAACTAAGAAGAGAAAGATATCAGAAAAGATATGAGAGACCCTAGAATTTCTAGCTGAAGTGAAAGTGAAAACTGAAGGTGAAAGTCTTCTCCTGCAAGAAGCCAATACACAAAGCCAGAGGAAAGAGACTGTTTCTGGAATGCTGACATCCCAGCAAAAGATTACAAGGCATAAAAGACAAGAAAATACAGCCCAATAAAAAAAATCTCATGGAAAAGACCTTAAATAAATGTCCACCTATGGGTTGCCTAAGAAAACATTTAGGAAACTGTCATAAAGATGTTCAATGATATACATCTGTCATAAAGATGCACAGGGAGCTGAAAGATAATACAGTTAAGCAAAATCAAGAAAACACAATTGGAAAAACAAAACAAAAATGTCAACAAAAAGAAACTGCAAAAAGAAACAAACAGAAATTTTGAAATTCAAGAGTACAGTAGCTGAGTACAATAGAATGAAATAATTATGATTCATGAAAAAGATTCAACAGCAGACCTGATCATGCAGAAAGGCAAATGTGTAAACTTGAAGACAAGTCATTTGAAATCATCAAGTCAGAGGAATGAAAAGGAAAAAAAAATCTAAAGAAAAATGAAGAAAACCTAAGGGACTGTGGAACACTGTAAGTGAGCCAATATATGCATTTTGGAAATTTCAGGAAGAGAAGAGATAAGAAAGGAGCAGAGAAGAGAGCTTATTTGAGGAAATAATGACCCCAAACTTCTCAAATCTGATGAAAGAAACAGATATGCAAATTCAAGAAGCTCAAAAAAGAACTAGGAAAAAGCTAAAAAAAATCACACTGATATATTAACAAAACTGACTGAAGTCAAAGACAAAGAATCTTGAAAGAAGAAAGAATAAAGCAAGTTATTTCATACAAGGAACGTTTCATAAGACTATTCTCAGCAGAAATCTTGCAGGCCAGAAGAGTGGAATTATATGTGCAAAATCCTAAAAGAAGAGCCGTCAACCAGGACACTATATTTGGGAAAATTTTTCTTTAAAAATGAAGGAGAAATTAAGACTTTCCTAGATAAACAAAAGTTGAGGAAGTTCATTACCACTAAGCCTTCTGTACAAGAAATGCTGAAGGAAGTCTTCCAGGTTGAAACAAATGTATAACATAAATGGAAATATAAGGTTCTTCAGTAAACGTAAATACATGAACAACTAGAGTAGCTTGGATTACTGTAATTATGGTGCATATACATTAAATTAAAAAACCTGGTATAAAACTATGTTAATCGGTATATAATATTTAAAAGTGTAATTTTTGACATCAATAATTAAAAAGGGGGGGAGTGGCACTATAAAGAGTAGAATATTTATATACAATCAAGGTTATCTTGTTATCACTTTAAAGTGGAATGTTATAATTTTATGATGTTTTATGTAATTGCTATGGTAACTACAAAGAAAATATGTATAGAATATACTTATAAGGAAATGAAAAGGGAATCAAAAATTGCTACTACAACAAAACACAAGTAAAGGCAGTGATAGAGAAACAAAGGTACAAAAAAAGCTACAAAGAATACAGTAAATAAATTAAAAAATTGGCAATAGTAACTCTTTCCTGATCAGCAAGTACCTTACATGATAATGGCCTGAGCTCCTCAGTCAAAAGCCATAGATTGAGACTAAACTGATTTTTAAAAAAATAGTTACTTATATTCTATGTACAAGAGACTCACTTTAGATGACACAAATAGGCTGAAACATGAAAAGACGGAAAAACCTATTTCATGCAAATGGTAAACAAAAGAGATCACTGTAGCTATATTAATACCAGATAAAATAGACTAAGTCAAAAACTGTCACAAGAGACAGAAGACATTATAATGATAAAAGGGTCAATTATTCAAGAAGATATAACAATTATAAATATTTATGCCCTAAACCTCACGGTTCCTAAATATAGGAAGAAAACATTGACAGAACTGAAGGGCAAAATAAAGAGCAACATAATAGCAATAGGAGACTTTAATACCCCACTTTCAGTAATGGATAGAACAATCAGAACATGAGATCACTAAGTACAAAGGACTTAATGCTGCTTACAAACTGGACCTAACAGACATATACAGAACATTCCACCCAATAAAGGCAGAATATACATTTTTCTTAAGCACACTTGGAACATTCTTCAGGATAGACTATATGTTAAGACACAAAACACATCTTAATAAAAGTAAAGAATATTGTAATTATACCAAATGTCTTTTATGATCAGAATGAAATGAAACTAGAAATCAATAGCATATTTGTTACGAAAATGTAGAAAATTAAATGATACACACTTAAGTCACCAATGGGTTAAAGAAGAGGTCAAAAAGGAAATTAGAAATTATCTTCAGGCAAATAAAAATAAAAGCAGAATATCCCAAAACTTGTAAGGTCTAAAAAAAGCAGTGCAAAGAGGAAAGTTTGTAACTCTAAATGTGAACATTAAAAAAATAAAAAATCTTAAATCAACAACCTAACTTTATACCACAAGAAAGAGGAAAAAGAACAAACGAAATGCAAAGTTAGCAGAAGGACTGAAATAATAAATATTAGAACAAATTTTTAAAAATAGACAATATAAAAAGAAAAAATCAGCAAAACTAAATAAGTTGACAAAATTGACAAAACTTTAGTTGGAATAATTAAAGAACAGAGAGAGAGAAGAATCAAATAACTAAATTTTGAAATGAAAAATGGGACATTTCAAGTGACACCACAGAAATAAAAAGGATTATAAAAGAATACTATGAACAATTTTACGCAAGCAATTTGGATAACTTATAGAAAATGGACAAATTCATGGAAATGAGCAGGCTACCAAGACTGACCCACGGAAAAATAAAAAATCTGAACAGACTAATAATGAGTAAGGAGAGTGAATCAGTAATCAAAAACATCAACCCCTCTCCAAAAAGCCCAGAACCAGATGCTACACTGGAGAATTCTACAAACATTTATAGTAGAATTAACCCCAATCCTCCTTACACTCATCCAAAATATTGAGGTGGAAATAATACTTTTAAATTCATTCCTGGAATTTTTGACTATATGGGAGACTAGGATCTATTCTTCAAAATGTGTACCAAAAGGAATGTTTATGAGGTCATTTGTATGATATGATTTCCTCACATTTAGCTATTAATGAAACTGTTATTTTAAGGGGGATGAACTTAATTCAAAAAAGGCATATGTTTAAGATAAATAATTTTTTTTTCAAAAATAAACACAGTTTCCCTTTTGGCAGAATAATTTTTGTTGTTGTTAGCACTGTATGTTCACACTGCAAACCTCAGGTCAAATACCTCCGCTACACCAACAGTTATGTGAACACAAATATAAACAAACATATTACATAATAAGGAATATACTCTAAGTATAAGATGTAGCATTTATATTAGAGCATGTAAAAGCTTCATTCTGGCACAAAGTTTCACTTTGATTTCTTCATCTTCTTTGTTATAATTCAGAATGCCTTATTCATTGCTTAGAATAAAATTCTGGCACCTCATTTTCCTTATTGCCATTGGTTGTCCAATGCCCCTCTCTACTCGCCTGTGGCTGTGTGAACTTTCTAATGCACTGATGAGGAGATCAGCCCCTTGAAAATCAAAGGATCTTCCTGTCATATATTTTAACAATTAAACTAACAAAAAAGTCCTTAAAGTTTTACTTGCTAGGAAAAACACTCGGAAGTCTTTAGACATCTTTGTTTTTCTGTTGGACAAACACTGTGGAAGTTTCAAATGGATGTCAACTCAGTTTCCCGTTTCAAATGCCCTTCTACTGTTTTCTAACTTATGTCCAGATTCATCACAGCCTTTCCTACTGAGTGGCACTAGGTTTCATCTACCATATCTGAAGTCAACTTGGCCGCTCCTCTATTGCTGACCACCAAGCAATTCTTTGGGGAGTGCTGGGTTCTATGCATTTGTATTAAAGCCAATCAAACTCATAATGTGATTTGTTGAGGAAACTGGGGTATGCTAATGCCAGCCTTTGGCTTAGGTTGCTGCATTATCATCCTTCCTTTCTGCAATGTCACTATGCTGTCCTTTAAAGTAATTGTCTTTCTTCTCTTTCATTTTTAAAATTCTAAGTCTATAGTCTTTATTTCAACAACCACTTTCCTCAGAGCTTACTACTTCTCAGCTTAAGAGCTTTGAATAATTTTAAACATCTAATAGATCAAATCTAAATTCCTTGAAAAGATGTTTTAGGGCTTTCATAATAAACCATGAATACCATTTCTAGACTCGTCACTACAGGTTCCCAAATATCTTAGATCTCATGTTCCAGAACAATTTATCAAATTGTATGTTATCATTCATTTGCAGTGTTTTTACCTAAATTAAAAGTGTATATTCAAAAGTAAAATTGCATATGTTCAAATTCCACCTTTTCCATTCACCAGCTGTGTGTTCTGGACATGTTTCTTACCTCTATGGTTGTCAGTTTTTTGACGTAGGTAAAATATCTATTGGGAGCTCAATAAATGTTAGTTACTATGTTTCTTAAATTGGCTTTTTCCTGATTCTCTATTTGATTTCCGAATCTCAATTTAAATATCACTTTCTCTATGAAACTTCTTGGATTTCCTCCAGATAAAAATCATCAGTTTTTCCTTTGTATTTCAAAAGCATTTTCTATAAAGCTTTGCTAAACAGACTTTACTATCTATTATCTACCCCCTGTTCCTTTATCTATTTTCACTGGTTTATAAGTCATCTCAAGTAGAACAAAGACCAGCTTGAAAGTAGTACCATGTGTTATTCCTTTTTGTCCTTCCCATATCTAGAGCACAAATAGCAGCTTAATAAATGTGTGTTGAATAAATAGATGCAGAAAAATAGAAATGGATTAAATTATCAAATTAGATGATGTAAATGATTATGTATACTTAGTAAATTTTAAAACAATTAATCCCAGAAACATAGAACATTGACAAAAATAAGTAATCTTTCAGTACTCTAATTTTTAAGGGTTTAGTTCATATTACCCTGAGAGAAAAATGTAGACACATCAGCTATATTAATAAAATGTAAGTGTTAGCAAACCAAAAGGATAACAGCAGACTAAAAATTCTTGCTGCTTAATTATAAAGATGCAATACAATTAGCTCTGGTTTCTTCCAAGTTTAATTTAGTTTATCCCCTTAGGAGTGATCCATTCACTGTTTAATTTAGTTGTAACTTATTGTAATAAATATTTTCCAAAAATCAAATTGTGATGCGCTGAAGACATGCATCAGAAATTTTAGATTTCTCTATAAAAATGCTTTGTTTTATTGTATTAATAATACTGAGAAAAATTTAACTTCCTAAAGCAATTCTACTTAAGAATGTCATTAAAAATACTTCAAGGTTTGGATGCCAACAAACCAAATTGAGATAAGATTTAGAATTCTGTTGGAAATTTAAGTTTTTCCCAATCTGAATAACAGAAAAAAAATGTAATGACAGAGAAGGAAGAAAAGAAGAAAGGAGGGAGGGAGGAAAAGGAATGAAGGGGAAGAGGAGGAAAGGGAAGAAAAGGAAAGAATCCCACACTTACATATGCTTGATCAAAATGGGAGAGTAAGTAGAACATTGGGTTATTATTATTCAACACAAGTCATAAAGTCTTTTTTGACTGAAATGCCCCAATTTAAAATCTGTTTTATATGATAATTACAATTTTTCAGTTAACATTTAACATTTGGTTTTTAACCTACATCCAAAGAGGAAAATGTGTAAGCTTAATCTCTGAAAAACTATTAGGGACATAGCCATTTAAGAAACATTCTGACTCAGGTTACATTCCATATGTTACTGTCACCAGTATATCAGCCATGTTTTGGAGCCTGCCCCTAAAGCTGGATATTAAATACACTCCTTAACTGGGGGTGTCTCATTGCCTTAAGATAGCTTGTAATACCTTTGAAAACTGAGCAGAGTTCTTTATCTTTACTCTTCATAAAAATTCAACCATTTTGGAAAGCTTCAGAAATAATTGCACAGCCATGAAGCTTCATCCTTGTCTATGAATCTATGATTTCAAACCAATACTGACTGTAATCCTAATCTGAAGGGACTCTACCAAAGAATGTTGTGTGAATTTTAATATTCATTCTTATTTTCCTGTCTCCCATGTGATTTACATCTAGTTAAGCTGCTGGTTTTCCACGCTCTGGTGATATCTACACTGGAGACCTTGAAATCCTGCTGTGATATTTTCCCTTCTTTATTATTATTGATGCATTTTTTACAATGAAAGCGAGATTGACAACTTATGAGATGGCAAAACAGAATCCTTCTCTCTAAGTATGGATGATGAAATAGAATGATGAAATATTCATACTATTGTTTTAGCAGTGTTTAAAGCAGTACAAACTTCATTTTGAGAAGAAACTAAAACAATAAGACATTATGATTTTAAAACACCAAGGAGGCCAGGTGCAGTGGCTCACACCTGCAATCACAGCACTTTGGGAGGCTGATGTGGACAGATCACAAGGTCAGGGGTTCGAGACCAGCCTGGACAATATGGTGAAACCCCATCTGTACTAAAAATACAAAAATTAGCCAGGTGTGTTGGCATGCGCCTGTAGCCCCAGCTACTTGGAAGGCTGAGCCAGAAGAATTGCTTGAACCCGGGAGGCAGAGGTTGCAGTGAGCTGAGATCATGCCACTGCACTCCAGCCTGGGTGATAGAGCAAGACTCCATCTCAAAAAAAAAAAAAAAAAAAAAAAAAAAAAAGAAAAAGAAGTAAAAAAGACATCTAGAAAGAAGACAGCTTAAAAGGAAAAAGTCACTCTTCTGGTCTCATATATGTGAGGTGAAGGGTTGATACAATTTGGGTCTGTGTTCCTGCCCAAATCTCATGTCAAATTGTAATCTCCAAGGTTGGAAGAGGGGCCTGGTGGGAAGTAATTGGATAATGGGGGCGGATTTCCTCCTTGCTATTCTCCTAATAGTGAGTCAGTTCTTACAAGATCTGGTTGTTTAAAAGTGTGTAGCACCTCCCCACCCTTTCTCTTTCTTCTTCTCCATCCAAGTAAGCTTTGCCTGCTTCCTCTTTGCCTTCTGCCATGATTGTTAGTTATGTGAGGCCTCCTCACCCATGCTTCCTGTACAGCCTATGGAACTATGAGACAATTAGACCACTTTTTAAAAATAAATTACCCAGTCTTGGGTAGTTCTTTATGGGAATGTGAGAACAGACTAATACAGAAAATTGGCATCAGGAGTGGGGGCATCTCTATAAAGATATCTGAAAAAGTGAAAGCAACTTTGGAACTGGGTAAAAGAGGTTGGAACCGTTTGAAAGGCTCAGAAGAAGACAGAAAGATGAGGGAAAGTTTGGAACTTTCTAGAGACTTGTTAAATTGTAGTGACCAAAATGCTAATAGGGATATGGACAATGCGTTACAGGCTGAGATGATCTCAGATGGAGATGAGGAATTTATTGAGAACTGGAGTAGTTACTCTTGCTATGCTTTAGCAAAGAGACTGGGAGCATTGTGCCTCTGCTCTAGGGATCTGTGGAACTTTGAACTGGAGTGATGATTTGGAGTATCTGGCAGAACAAATTTCTAAGCAGCAAAGCATTCAAGATGTAGCCTGGCTGCTTCTAATAGCATATGGTCATATGTGTGAGCAAAGAGATTATCTGAAACTGGAGCTTTTATATAAAGGGAAGCAGAATACAAAAGTTTAAAATATTTGCAGCCTGATCATGTGGTAGAAAAGAAAACCTCACTTTCTGGGGAGAGATTCAAGCCAGCTGTAGGAATTTGCATAAGTAAAGAGGAGCTGAATGTTTATAGGAATGACAATGGGGAAAATACCTCCAAGGCATTTCAGAGATGGTCACAGTAGCTCCTCCCATCACAGGTCCAGAGGCCTGGGAAGGAAGAATGGTTTCGTGGGTTGGGCTCAGGAACCCACTGCCCTACACAACCTCAGGAAATTAGTCCCTACATCCCAGCCACTCCACCTCCAGCTGTGGCCAAAAGGTCCCCAGATATGTCTCAGGTCACTGCTCCAGAGCTTGAAAGTCACAATCCTTGGTGGCTTCCATGTGGTGTTAAGCCTATGGGTGCACAGAGGGCAAGAGTTGAGGCTTGGGCACCTCTGCCTAGATTTCAGAGGATGTATGGAACCACATGAATGTCCAAACAGAAGTCTTCTGCAGGGGCAGAGCCCTCATGGAGAGCCTCTATTAGGCAATGCAGAGAGGAAATGTGGGGTTGGAGCCACTACACAGATTCCCCAGTGATGCACTGCCTAGTGGAGCTGTGAGAAGAGGCCACCATTTTCCAGACCCCAGAATGATAGATCCACTGACAGCTCGCACTGTGCACCTGGCAAAGCTGCAGGCACTCAGTGCCAGCCCTTGAGAGCAGCCTTAGGAATCTAGCCCCACAGAACCACAGGGGTGGAGCTGCCCAGGGCCTTGCAAGCCTATCCCTTGCATTACTGTGGCCTGGATGTAAGACATAGAGTCAAAGGATATATTTTGGAGATTTAAGATTTAACCACTGCCCTGGTGGGTTTTGGACTTGCATGGGGTCTGCAGCCCCTTTGTTTTGGTTGATATCTCCCTTTTGGAAAGGCAGTATTTACCCAATGCCTAAACCACCATTGTATTTTGGAAGTAACTAACTTGTTTTTAATTTTAATGGCTCATAGGTGGAAGGAAGTAGCTTTGTCTCAGATGAGACTTTGGACTTTGAGTTACTGCTGGAATGAGTTAAGACTTTGAGGGACTGTTGGGAATGCATGATTGTGTTCTGAAATGTGAGAAGGACATGAGATTTGGAAGAGGCCAGGGGCAGAATGATGTGGTTTTGGTCTGTGTTCTTGCCCAAATCTTGTGTCAAATTATAATCCCCAATGTTAGATGAGGAACCTGGTGGGATGTGATTGGATCATGGGGGTGGATTTTCTCCTTTTTCTTGTAATAGTGAGTTCTCACAAGATCTGCTTTTTCAAAAGTATGTAGTACCTCACCCCTCTCTCTCTTCCTCCTTCTCTGACCATGTAAGATGTGCCTGCTTCCTCTTTACCTTTTGCCATGATTGCCAATTTCCTTACGGCTTCATAGCCACACTTCCTATACAGGCTGTGGAATCATGAGCCAATTAAAATGTTTGTTTTTTAAAATAAATTACCCAGTCTCAGGTAGTTCTTTATAGTAATGCAAAAATGGACTAATACAAGGGTAAATCTTGATATGATTGAATTTGACATTCAGATTCCAGAATGAGAGTGATTAGCACTTGTTTTGAAAAGTGAGACAGGACCAAAGACATATAAGTGCTTTCATTATGATTACAGGTCAGCAGAAAAAAAAGAAAGGAGTATGATAGAGAGAAAAATATACTTTTAAAAATATTAGCACTGAAGCACTAATTTGGCAAATATCACAGCAATGATAAAGTATGAACCCCAGTGGATTCTAAACAAATAGACAAAAACTCTGAGGTTTTAATTTTGTAACCATTTTATGTACTCCTTGGAAAAGAGCACTTGTCACTTGCAAAGGTAAATGTCAGTGGTTTTTCTTTGACAATGTCATGTCAGGTGAAACTAGATTGTTGGCTACTCATAATATTTAAGTGCAGTGAAAGAGCAGAATAAACCTCAACAGAATAAAGAAATTATAGTAAATCTGATGGGGATTGTAACTATCTCTTGCAAAAAATTTGAACACTGGGTGATATGAGGGGAAATACACAAATTTTTGGAGGCAGATACATGGGGCTTTGAATTTGGGCTCTGTTACTGATTACACAGCCTTCAGAATCAGTAATTAATATCAAAACACCTATTATGGGCTAGAACATTAAGATGACATCCCTGATACTTTTGATAACCCTTAAGGTTTTCAGTAACCTTAGCCACATTTTTCCATAGAGGAAGCATTTGATATGCATTATTACTTTTCTTTTTCCTTGTAGCAAACTAAATAGGCCACTAGCTTAGCAACTATATCTATATCTGCACAAGTGGAAATAAAAATGAAAAAGTCAGCACAGATGTGTATATATTGGTAAGATTCTACAAATAAACAGGTGCTAACTCATGTAAAATAATTGTCTTTGCCTCACCTTTTCTTCCTAGTCACTGAAATTATTTTCTCAGCTTAAACAAGGGTTTTAGCTTTAAGGTTCCATATCACCCTTTATGACTTTAAGTATTGCATATACCACATTTGGCATTATTTCAAATTCTAAACTCTAAACTAGAATATTTGTAAGGATAGTCACTTCTGTGGGGAATGAGATACAAAGTCAACATGAAACCTGAGTTTACAGCTCACCTCGAAGACAGAACTAAAGTACATGATGGAATTATGAGAAAATAAATGACTTGGTTTCTAAGCGAGTCAAATGCAGTAAGGTTTCATAATAAAAATAGTTGAAAGTATAAAATTGTAGTTTATAAAGAAATACTAATTCTATAAATAGGGATTAGCAACGTATGAGGCACATCTGCTTGGCATGATATTTTCTTAGCCTAAGTCCTTTATTATACCTTGCTGCAAATACTAAACAGCACAACACATGCAAAACAGTGAATACAGTGTTTTGCACATTATTGATATTCAATGTATGCAGCATTATTATTTTATTATCTATGTGAAGTATAAAAGTAGGAAAAATCCTGATGGAAAATGTATCAGTCCATTTTCACAGTGCTATAAATAACTCTTTGAGACTGGGTAATTTTTAAAGGAAGGTTTAATTGACTCACAGTTTAACATGGCTGGGGAGGCCTCAGGAAGCTTGCAATTATGGCAGAAGGTGAAGGGGAAGCAATACACTTTCTTCACAAGGCAGCAGGAAGGAGGAGTTTCAGGAGAAGCAGGGAAGACCCCCTTATAAAACCATCAGATATTGTGAGAACTCACTCACTAACATGAGAACAGCAAGAGGGAAATCACTCTCACGATTCAATTACCTTCACCTGGTCCCCCCCCTTGACACATGAGGATTATGGGGATTACAATTCTGGATGAGATTCGGGTGGGAACACAAAGCCTAACCATGTCATTCTGCCACTAGCCCCTCCCAAATCTCATGTCCCTTTCACATTTCAAAACCAATAATGCCTTCCCAACAGTCTCCCAAAGTCTTAATTAATTCCAGGATTAACCAAAAGGTCCAAGTCCAAAGACTCATCTGAAACAAGGCAAGTGCTTTCCACCTATGAACCCGTAAAATCAAAAGTGAGCTAGTGACTTCCAAAATACAATGGGGATTCAGGCATTGGGTAAATAAACTCATTCCAAATGGGAGAAATTGGCCAAAACGAAGGGGCTTCAAGCCCTATGCAAGTCCAAAACCCAGCAGTGCAGTCAAGTATTAAAGCTCCAAAATAATCTCCTTTGACTCCTCATCTGACATCCAGGTCATGCTGATGCAAGATGGGGGCTCCCATGGCATTGGATAGACCCCCTGCCAGCTGCTTTCGTGAACTGGCATTGAGTGTCTGTGGCTTTTCCTGGTGCACAGGGCAAGCTGTTGGTGGATCTACCATTCTGGGGTCTGGAGGACGGTGGCCCTCTTATCACAACTCCACTAGGCAGTGCCCCAGTGGGGACCCTCTGTGGAGGCTCCAACCCCACATTTTCCTTCTGCACTGTCCTAGCAGAGATTCTCCATGAAAGCTCCACCCATGCAGCAAACTTGCCTGGACAACCAGGCATTTCCATAAATCCTCTGAAATCTAGGCTAGGTTCCCAAACCTCAATTCTTGACTTCCGTACCTCAATTCTTGACTTCTGTGCATCTGCAGGCCCAACATCACATGTAAGCTGCCAAGGCTTGGGGCTTGACGGCCCCTTCTGAAGCAACAACCTGAGCTATATGTTGGTTCCTTTTGGCCATGGCTAGGATGCACGGCACAAAATCCTGAGACTGCACAAAACAGCAATGTCCTTGGCCCAGCCTATAAAACCATTTTTTTTTCCTCCGAGGCCTCCGAACCTGTGATGGGAGGGGCTGCCGTGAAAACCTCTCACATACCCTGGAGACGTTTTCCCTATTGTCTTGGTTATTAACACTTAGCTTCTCATTTCTCAAGCAAATTTCTGCAGCTGACTTGAATTTCTCCTCAGATAATGGGGTTTTCTTTTCTGTTGCATCATCAGGTGCCAAATTTTCTAAACTTTTATGCTCTGCTTCACTTTTAAACATATGTTTCAATTCCAAATCATCTCTTTGTGAATGCATAAAACTGAGTGCTTCTAAGAGCATCCAAGTCACCTCTTGAATGCTTTGATGCTTAGAAAGTTCTTCCACCAGATATCCTAAATTGTCACCCTCAAGTCCAAAGTTTCATAGATCTCTGTAGCAGGGGCAAAATGCTGCCAATGTCTTTGCTATAAAGCATAGCAAGGTTCACCTTTGCTCCAAGTGCCAAGAAGTTGCTCATCTCCATCTGAGACAACCTCAGCCTGGACTTCATTGTCTGTATCACTAGCAGTGTTGTGGTCAAAACCATTCAAAAATTATCTAGGAATTTCCAAACATTCCCACATCTTCCTATCTTCTTCTGAGCCCTCCACACTGTTCCAACCGCTGTCCATTACCCAGTTCCAAAGTTGCTTTCACATCTTCAGGCATCTTTAGAGCACTGCCCCACTACCTTGGTACCAATTTACTGTATTAGTCTGTTTTTATACTGCTATAATGAACTGCCTGAGACTGGATAATTTGTAAAGGAATGAGGTTTAATTGACTCAAGTTCAGCATGGCTGGGGAGGCCTCAGGAAACTTACAATCATGGCAGAAGGTGAAAGGGAAGCAAGGTACCTTCTTCACAAGGCAGCAGGAAGGAGAAGTGCAGAGAGAAGGAGGAAGAGCCCATTACAAAATCATCAGATCTTGTGAGAACTCACTCACTATTGTGAGAACAGCATAGAAGAAACCACCCTCATGATTCAAGTACCTCCACCTGGTCTCTCCCTAGACACATGAGGATTATGGGGATTACAATTCAAGATGAGATTTGGGTGGGGACACCAAGCCTAACCATACCAATAAAATATGACTTGAATTGGATCACTGAAGATTTGATAGGATTTTAAGATGTAATCTAAGTATGGTAATCGAAGGAGAAGTATTCCAAATGGAAAGAGAAAAATAAAGGCTTGGAAGCAGGAATGCAAATTGCTTCTTTAGGAGATAACAGAGAAAAACTTCCCAATTAGAGCAAAAGTTTCTGGGAGAGAATCAAAAATTTCACAACTAATTTGGCTTTTAAATAGACCACCTAGTAAAATTCATGTAAAATAATTTAAAAATTTTTTCAAATTATAGAAATCTTTTGTTAAACACAACACTATTCATGGAGTGAATAATCCTAGATAAAGGCCCTGCAATAAATTACACTTTTACTGTCATCCATTATAATACTTGTGTTGAAATAACAAATTACCCCAAATCTCAGTAGCTTAACACAAGTTTGCTTCTACTAGCAGTTCCAGTCTAACTTGAATGAGAAGAGGTTTTGGAATATCATGGCCACTCAGGGACGTAAAATCCATGAAGACTCAGTCTCTACACGTGCTTCCATTAATGCTAAGGCAGAAAAAATGGGCATGGTAGATCACACACTGATCTACCATGGCACATCTACCAGGCACATAGTTATATCCTGAAGCTGGAGCATGTTTTTTATGCTACAGTTTATTGGTCAAATTAAGACACATGACTTCTGGATTCAAAGGGAGTGGATAAGTATAATCCTAATCAAAGAGAGAACAGAATATTTTAGAACAAGCATTAATAACTCCATAATAGTCAGAATTCACTTTGAGCTCAGACGTGGTGGCTCACATGTATAATCCCAGCACTTTGGGAGGCTGAGATGGGAGGATTATTTGAGCCCAGGAGCCAGAGACCAGCCTGGGCAACACAACTAGACCCTGTATCTACAAAAAATAAAAAATTAGCTAGGTGTGGTGGCATGCACCTGTGGTCCTAGCTACTTTGGTGGCTTGGGTAGAATGATTGCCTGAGCCCTGGAGTTCAAGGTTGCAGTGAGTTATGATCACACTACTGCATTCCAGCCCGAGCAACAGAGACCCCATCTCAAAAAAAGAAATCATTTCGAATCACCAATGCCTGATATATTAAAAGCAAATACAGAATTTTAACAATATATTCTTACCTGAAAAAAAGTTGATATCTATTCATACTGGATGTTATCTATACTCTTTTTGAATCGCTTTTTTAGTGGTTTCTCTGGATGTAACAATTTATAAAAGTCTAGTTCAGATTAATACTACCATAATTAGAACATTACACAACCATATTGCTCTTATGTGTCTCCCTTCCTCAGTCCTTTGTGATATTATAATCACAAATTACATATTTGTACATTCTATGCACCTTAGCACAGTTTTATATGTATTACCTTCTGCAGGTTTTTAAAAAATCATTCAGCAAAAAGAAAAATTATAAACAAAAATGCATGTATACCTTATATCTTCATGTGGAATCAAATTATTATTTAGTAGACCTTCATGTCAACTTGAAGGACTCTGTTTGTTATTTCAGGAAGGGAGGTTTGCTACTAACAAATTTGCTTAGTCTTTGTTTATCTGGGTACATTTTAATTTCTCTTTCATTTTTGAAGGATGATTTTGCTAGACATAAAATTCTTGGTTGGTATTATTTTTCTTTCAGCACTTTAAATATGTAATTCTACTTCCTTCTGATCTCCATGGCTTCTAATGATAAATCATCTGATCATCTGTTAACGTTATTGAGGGTCATATGTATGTGAATTGTCACCTCTCTCTTAGTGCTTTCAAGATTTTCTCTTTGTCTTTCCATGGTGTGGATCTCTGAGTTTTTTCTTCCTAGAGTTGTTGGGCTTTTTCAATGTAGATAAATATTTTTCATATTACTTAAAATGTTATTTCTGTCTCTTCTCTCCCTGTGCCTCCACCCCACCACCATTTATCTTTTATGAGTATGTTGGTATATATGCTTGACAATGTCCCACATTTTTCTGAGTCTCTACTTTTATTTTATTTTCTTTCTGTTTCTCAGAATGGACAATCTCAATTGACTCATCTGCAGGTTCTCTGATTCTTTCTTCAGCCAGTTCAAATCTGCTATTGAGCCCCTTTAATAATTTCCTATTTCAGCCTTTCTAATCTGTTACTCCAGAATTTCTATTTGCTTCTTTTTTTAAATAACATTTTTGTCTCTTTACTGATATTCTCTATTTAGTGAGTAGTAATTCTCATGCTTTTCTTTATTTCTTTAGATATTGGAGCTTTTGTGTTTTACTTCTTTGAATATATTTATAATTAAGTCTTTGTCATGTAAATCTAAGCCTGGGTTACCTCAGGTACAGTTTTTATTAACTTTTTTTTCTGGTTTATACTTTCATGTGTCTCTACATATCTCATTTTTTTTGAAAACAGGATATTTTAAATAAAATAATCTGGTGATTCTGGAAAGTGGATGCTTTCTTTTCTATTCCTTAGGGTTTGTTTTTGTTGCTGTTTTCGGGTTGTTGGTTTCTTATTGACTTTCCTGAACTAATTTTGCCAATTCCATATGCTTTGTCAATTATAATTACTGAAATGTCCACTTAATGAGCTAATAATTGGACAGAAATTTCCTCAAATGCCTTGAACCAATACATTTTCTAGTTTTTACGAGAGACTGCACATGCATGATGTGCTGTGCCTCTGACACTCCATCATTTACAACATTGCCTTAGCCTTTACTTCCTGAGTGCAAAGAAACTCAAAGTAAGCTAGAAAGATGAGATTCGAGTATTAATTATTTTCTGAAAATGCACACAGGCTTGTACATTTATGTGACAAGAAATATGTCAGAGGTTTTCAAAATCCTCTATCTACTTCTAATTCTCATTTTTAGGCATTTTCTTTCTAACTTCTTTGGTTACACTAATTGGTCCCAACTATTGTTCCCTTCTTTGGTAGCTCTGATGTTAAGAAAGTAATGATCATTGTTTTCAACCAAAAGACTGTTCTTACTAAATGAACCTTGAGTCAGGTCAAATAAAGAGAAGTCCTAAGAGAGGAGGATTACCAGGAGTTGACAGACAAGTCAAATAACGACAAATATTTGAAAAATGGTCCTTTGGGGAGCTAAAAACATGTTCTACTCCCTCAGTGGCTGCTAGGCTGCTTATTTTCCAGCTACCGTGATTATGTGGCTTTTGGTTTACAAGATTACCACAGAGCTAGGAAGTTTGGACTGATATAAGGGCAAATTATAATGCCACAAAGTTTGCTTTTCTTAAGCAGATGTAGTCATTTTAGTGAATAAATGCTTCTCAGATTGTTGCAAGACTTTTATTAATTTTCAAAGTCATGAAAAGGTTGATTTTGACAGTGTTTGCAAGTCTTCTCATTGTTTTTATGGAGATTTCTGGTGGTCTTTATTATGTCATTCTGAAGATACTTTTCCTATGTGCATTCTTAGATTTTCCAATTATTTAAATATATTTGTTTTCATTTTTTAAAACCAGAATTTTTAAGACATTGTTATTTCTACATATTTAAAAATGGTTTAAATCCAATTTTTATGTTATCTACAGAGCCTAATAAACTACTTAGCACATAGTAGAAATCTGTATGTCTAATGCTAAATCCAGCACTTAGTAGAGCAGAAGTCCCTTAATAGTTGTCCAGTATTTCTTGCAAGAATCAATGCACAAATGAATGTTTTCTGAGTGACTTGTGACTTTCTTCTAGCTCCCTATGTGTCTTATGTAACCTCTTTTATTCTAAACTCTTGACCTGACATCATAATTTTCTGTAAACCATTCCAAAGATGAAATAAGAAGAAAATTATTCAGGAGAAAAAAAACATTGCTGAGCCAGAGGTTATACAGCCTCAGTTCCAATCCCAAATCTACCCTCCTCTGTCCCATGACGCTGATAAGTCACTTTTAGGTCTCTGAGCCTCTTTTCTTTACTTACTTAAAATAAACTAGCAAACAATTCTCGGGTCACAAAACTGCAATAAGGCTAAATAACATTACGGATAAGAACTTTGTAAAATACAAAGTGGACACAATTGAAGTATGTTACTGACCCTGATACCACTAGTTTTGCAGTTTCTGGTGAAACTTTGATGATTTCACAGCAAGCATTAACTGATAGGTTACCTACTCACTTTTGTGGATAGGCAAACAGCATTTTCACATTGGACCACTGGTAAATTGAATTCTATATAGATAATACTGATACTCATGAAGAATTTAGGCTTGCTGAAGTGTGGTGTTATATAAAATAAAATTGCATTAATAAAATTATTTCTATGCTTTAATCTTCAAAAGCAGCTCCTAGAGGAACTGCTTTGTACTGTGCAACTGGAATAAAATTGGACCATGATAGCTCAGCACAGCCGGAAAGAAAGGCTATGTGTAATAAAATAAAATGTCTTCAATGTGCAGACTAAAGGAGGTGACTTTCTTTAACAAGATAACTCCCATTAGATGAAATTTTGTATGGATTATACTGGTAATGCTAAGCATTTCAAAATTTCATCCATGTTAATGTGAGGTTTTTAAAAAATGAATCCACTAATTGTAAGGGTAATTCAGATCAACTAATGACACATTTTTATGTTTTTAAATCATGATTCCCTTTGAGGTATTTTGGCACTCAGTCTTTTTATTAGTCTTACTCATCTGTTTTCATTCTTAAATTTTCACCCTTTCTACTGTTAGCTCTTTATTAAGCCAATTTATTGTGCATCTGACACTCACAGATTGTCTGTTTGTAATGGGCTAGGAACTGAGAATGTAGAATTGAACAAGATATAGTCTCCATCTTCTCCGTGCATTGGGGCTAATAAGCATGTGAGAAATTATCAGAAGGGTTTTGAGAGATGCTATTACGCTATTATACAAATTGGTATAAAACACTAATGGTACACATAAACTAGGTGACTAACATATTCTTTAGCCCTAGAGAAGTCTTCAGAGAGGGAGAAACACTAAATTGTTCTTAAACGTCTCATGGCATTTCACCAAGAAAAAGAGATTGAAGTTGGCTCTCCACGCAAAAATTCAAAAACAAAGAAGTGTGAGAAGATGACATTGAGAGAAATGGAGAGACACTCTGGGTAACCAGATCATATTGCACATGAAAGAACAGTGAAGATGTTACTTAAAAAGAGGGTGACACGACTGGCATGGTGGCTCCCGCCTGTAATCCCAGCACATTGGGAGGCCGAGGCAGGTGGATCAAGAGATCAAGGGATTGAGACCATCCCGGTCAATATGGTGAAACCCCTCTCTACTAAAAATACAAAAATTAGCTGGGCCTGGTGGCGTGGTGGCATGTGCCTGTAGTCCCAGATACTCGGAAGGCTGAGGCAGGAAAATCGCTTGAACCTGGGAGGCAGAGGTTGCAGTGAGCCCAGATCACAGTGCACCACTGCATTCCAGCCTGGTGAGAGAGTGAGACTCCATCTCAAAAAAAAAAAAAAAAAAAAAAAAAAAAAAAAGGGTGACACCACGTTGTTAGGAGTTGTTTATGTCATGTAATAGAATTTGAGGAAACTTTGAGTTTTTAAATGGAGAATTTTTACCTGAATTGTGTAAAAATAACAGTAATAATAATTTTTTTTAACTAAGTCAAGCCTCTTTCTATTCCTTTCTCTGACAACTTTCAAAGTGTATGGCGGGGCGGGGTGGTGTCCATGTCCATGTGACATGTGGTTGAGATGCTACCTTTCCTTCTGAGTTTATTTGATATTTCCATTGTCTATATATTATTTCTTCCAGATCTTTCATTTATTTATTTTTATAATGTGGTATGCATGAATCTTTGTAAGTTACCTTAATTCCTATTTCGAAGGAGGTTTAATATGAATGAATAAACAAAATGGAATATACATTGTAGCAAGAAGATAATGATATGGATTAATTAATTTTACATAAAGGAAAACAAGGTTACATCAGACAGAATTTGTCTATATCTATGGTTATGTGTCTCACAAATTCAGATGACTCTGAACAAAATGGAAAAATACAGATAACTCAGTGGAACCTATTATTACTATGAGAGACACAGCCTGCAATTAATCTAATTTGTATATCTTTTTCTGTGGCCATAACATACTATATTTAACATGCATGAATTTTTGGCATTATTCTTGTATTCTAAGTTTCTTTTTATCTATATCATCAGTAGTCTTATAAAACGTTACACACATTCACACAAATAGACTCTTTTAGAAGTAAGGGTATAAACATAACCCTTTAGGGTGATGTGCACTGTGGCCAAAACCCCTCAGATATTTGCATGAAAAATGGGTGATCTTAACTTGAAAATGTATTGTAATTTTGAAGTCTATTCCTTAGCAGTCAACTTCTTCATATTTTGAATATTTGAAATATTTGATTTTTTTTATAATTAGGCTGCAACAAAGCATCTGAATACCTAGAAAATCATATTGACTATTCGGTCCTCATAAACTTGCTGCTCCCCTAGTGTTAAATCAACTTGAATATTTGGAGGAAATTAAATGTTAGCCTTCAAAGAGATTTATTCAAAATACATATGAATTATCAGAGTAAAATTTGAAAAGAATATCTATGAATATTCTTTCTTGTACAGATGAAATAAATGTGTTCATAAGTGCTGATGGGCAACGCAGTGTGTATTAATCACTACTGGTTTTATTTGTTATAGTCTCCTTTTACACTTTCTGTAAATATGACGTTTATGTCAACCTTTCTGTTTTTAAGTACCTATTGTGACAAAAACTAAGTGCCTTAAATACTTCAGTTAGAACAAAGATGGCATTTTACAAATATTTTATTTTTCTGGTCTTTATTCATAGCATGGATTACTTTGTGTTTAACTATCTTAGTTGAGTTCAGGCAAGAGCTGACGTTCTTTGAATGATACAAATCTTGGTCAGTTTATTGTAGAAAAACTTAATGTAAATAGTCCCTTTGAAGAGTTTTCATTAAGAAAGAGGGCTGCGTGGTACAAAGGAAAGAGTCTTGGACTGACAGTCAATAGGGAAATAACTACTTGAAACTATTTGTTTCACTCACTATTTTAAAGCTGAACTCCCAAATTCTCTTTTCCACTGCCCATCAAAGTCCTAACGTCTTTTTTTCCTGAATTGTTGTCTCATTACCTTCATTTCCTAATTATCTTTCTCCCTCTTTCAATAACTGGCTATATGCCAGGTGCAGTGACATTTTTACAGTTTTAATAAAATTTAACTATGAATCTAACTCTAATAATCAAGCATCTCAGGCTTTTTAAATTGAAAGTTAAACAATCCAACAATGTATACATCTAGAAAGAATGGCACAACTTTTATTTCTAAAAGGAGCTATGTAAAATTAGCTTTAAAAGAGACATATATTATTTAATCACTGATTTATTTATAACATAAACATTTAAAAGAGTTTTGCTGTTTTTGAACATGTTTTGTGCAGGGTAAAAACACAAGTTGTCACCCTAATACACTACCCAAAACAAGTTGTCGTGCTAACACACTGTAAAAAAGACGTTTAGGTTCCAGGCATTATGGATCAACAGGGACAAAATTTACCTCCCACTTCATAAAACAGAAAAACAGACACTATATAAGGAATATTAGTTTTGAGAAATGGGATAGCAAACAGAACAGGACATTTATTCCTGAAAAGAGCGACAGAAACAAGATGAGCTCTACCACTGCCCTAGCTGACTGCTTGGAGGCAGTTTGCAGGCAATGTCATAGTGGAGAAACAGAGTCCAGATTTCTCATGAAGTTGAGGAGACAGAGCTTAGAGGTTAAGCAGCGCAAGAACCTATAATTTGCAAAGCTAAATACTAGAGAGGAGACGCCTTTATAAGGAGAAAGTCTTCAGATCTTGAGATGGAAGAGAGGTCTCTTTAAGCCCGTAGTTGGGCGCTAATCTGTTCATGTGTGATAGGGAACTATCTGAGGCCATGGAAAGAACCACTGAAAAGAAGGAGGTCAGAGAATTCCCGAAGCTCAAAGAGGGCTGGTGTTGCCATCTGATAGTTACTTGGAATCAGTTTGATTCTTTTGAAGTTTGTTTTAAAGCTCTTTTAAGAGCAGGTTTAGAATAGCCTTTAGTAGAACTGTTTTAGTCCTACTACTGAGGTGATACCCTTCTGAAGAGTCTACATGGTGCCTTTATTACAAGCTGTTTCTACTCACTAGAAAGACTGCAAAAATAAACTTTGACCTCTGTCTCATATCATATATAAACATTTACATGAAATAGATCATTGATTTAAATATAAGATCTAAAACTATTTTTTAAAAATCATAAAAGAAAATACTTGTGAACTTAGTTGAGGTAAACATTTTTTGAATAAGGCACGAAAAGCGTGAACCATTAAAAAGTTGTTAAATTTGATTTTATTAAATTTAAAAATGTTTGTGCTTCACAACCAGTATTAAGAAAATGAAAAATTAAGACACAAATTGGATGAAAATATTTGCAAACATATTCCTAATATAAAACTTATATTTAGAGTATATAAAGAACTGTTACCATATAATAATAATAGGACAACTAACTTTATATTAAAATAGGATAAACCAGAAAGTAAGGAAGTATGCAAAAACAAAAGATTTTGGCCATATCAAAAGGACACAGGAACCAACCTGAAAGAGTTTTCATTGGCCAAAGCTGGAACAATTCGACTAACAAAATAAATAAAGTACCATATAACTATAACCAAAGTACAAAACATTAATCCTGACATTAGTTATCGAGTAAATAAATGTGGGGAAAGGGACAACTCTTCATTACAGAACAATTTCAAATCTTACATGGAAATACTCCTTCCACTAGGAGGTAAGTCACAAATTTCATATTATGTTTACTAAACCTTTTTTGTGAAGGGAGGATGAGAAAGCTTTATGTTATCTAGATTGAGATTTTCCATTCTTGACTTACTATAGTTTAAGATTGGCTTTAGAAAATCAAAATGATAAAAACCTGTAAGTAGAAGCAGAATACTATCCTCTAAATAACCTGAGATGATGAAAACAACCAAACCATCATTGATACAGCAAAAGAAATGTTGACGAATGTAAGCAACAGAAACATTAACAAGAATAAAATTAACATGGCTTCTTAAATATATATTAATAAAGTGATAATGTTAAGCAAAGTGGAATTCAAAACAGAGAAAGAGGGGCATCATAAATAAGAGATAAATTATAATGAGTATATGATAGTTTATAAATGTACACGCCAAGTATTGTAGCAAAATACTTGGAGAAAAGTGATTAGAACAAGGAAAATAATTGAACATAAGTAAAATTAGAGTGATAACACTGAACGTACTTTACAGCCTTTCATAGAAAAAAAATAAATGTCAAAAAAGATATAAATAACTTAAATAATATAATTAATCAGATTAAGTGAATAGGCACAAGGAACATAACTTTTTAAGTGTGCCGAGAAGGCAAAAATTTATAGCATGCTAATCTGTTACACACATTCACAGAATTTAGATATGTGTAGCCAATTTATATGCCAATTTATTTGATCATTTAAAATACAATTGTTACCAGAAACAAAAATACTGTTTCCTTTTTTTAAAAACAAAAATCTCTCCTAAATGAATTCTATGTAACAGAAGAAATAAAAACTTTAAATAAAATAATTTTTCATAATGAAAATATATTTTATCAAATCTTGTAAGACATGAACAAAGTAACATAAAATGAAATATGTAAATAAAACATAGTCTATATTTTTTTTGAAAAAAGTAATATCTTTCTTTCCCATCACAAGGCTCATGGCTGAGGTACCTGTAACAGAAGACAAATTAACAAGTAAAAAGCTAGCAAATGGCCAGGCATGGTGGCTCATGCCTGTAATCTCAGCACTTTGGGAGGCCGAGATGGGCGGATCACGAGGTCAGGAGTTCAAGACCAGCTTGGCCCACCTGGTGAAACCCTGTCTCTACTAAAAATACAAAAATTAGCTGGGGATGATGGCAGGCGCCTGTAATCTCAGCGACCGGAGAGGAGGTAGGAAGATCGTTTGAACCCGAGTGGCGGAGGTTTCAGTGAGGCGAGATCGCGCCATTGCACTCCAGCCTGGGCAACAGGGCGAGACTGTCTCAAAAAAAAAAAAAAGAAAAGAAAAAAAAAAGAAAAAACTAGCAAATTTACTTACTATGAGGTATATGTGACACCAGTGACTTTAGAAATGAAGGTAGAAAGAAACAGGGAAATCTATATATTTTTACACTTAGGTTTGATAAAGAGCGGACAGTTGTGGGGAAGTATCATTAGACAAAATAGGGTAACAAACTGGAGGGAATTAGCAAGGTCTGTTTATTCAGATTCTTCTCTATGTCCCTGGATCTATAGAGATAGGAACATTTCTTTCCTGTGAGGATAGGGTGGGCACCCCTGGAATGAAGTCTATGACTGTTTAAGAAAGAAAGGCAAAGGGAAAGTGAGAGTGACCTTGTTGCTTATTCTGTTTTCTCACATTATAACCTGCCATATTTTTAGTTAGCTTTTCCTGACCCACATCAATATAAAAACAACAATACAAAAAAAAATAAACATAAAGGAGGCACACAAAAAATGTTGTGAAAAAATACTACAGAAGAGAGATTAAGCATCTCAACAATAATAGTGTTGAACACCCCTGTTAAAATAAAATAAATATTTTCAGATTTTATTTAAAAAATCCAACTGTGTATTGTTAGCAAATGATAAAATCCAGGTCTGATGAGACCCAGAGCTTGTAAAATTGTGTGACTCTCTTTAAGAAACTGAAAGTATCATTATAAATACAATCTGACGCACAACTTTGGAAGGTTCCTAAAATGGATATCTTATTAGTTTGATGTTCAAGCTGCCTCCAGTTGCACAATTTCCATATACAACAAAATAAATAGAAAAGCTAAAAATAAAGATCACCGAAGGTAAACCAAAACAAAAAGAATAATGCTAATAGATGAATAAAATTTAATACAAAAATAGGAAATAAGAAATAGAGGATCAGTTCATGTTTATAAAATTTCCCAAAATATATTACAATTATGAAGAGTTCTGTAATAAATGAAACAAAATGCATTTAGGTAAATATTTTTTAAATAAAGAGGTTTGTGAGAAAAAATTTTAATAAAGAAGCATACATCTATTGAAATTTAAGTAGATTACATATAATTAAGAGCTTATAAGTGGAATATGATATAATTTGATTTGTATATATTATGGGATGATATATGAAATATAGATATTGAAATTTTTAAATTTGAATATAATTTTAAGTATACATAAATCAAATATATCATCAAACAAAACAGAATTGTGTTGTGAAACATTATTTATACTTTTATTTTATGTATAATTATATTTTAATTCTCCATAGGACATTTACTGGGCAAAATTTAATGCTAGGAATGTTTCAGAAGAATTATCTGCTAAAACCTCATTAAAATATTTTCACAAGGACTTATTCTCAAAAATATTTAAAGAGCCATTTATTTTATCTATAGATAGTGGTTATCTACTTTATTCTTCTTTTATTTGGCTCTCTTTTACACTTTTAGATTCCTTCAAACTTTGTAGGAAACATTTTTCAGTGTCCTTTTGTGATGGATTAGAGATGATTTCTGCCCCTTTTCAATTTTGGGTTACTACAGAGTGACTTTCCCTACTACCAAATACTGGCTATAAACAAAGTTCTTTATTTGGCAGAAGTCTGGAGATGTATGGCCTTGGGTATCTGCGAATTGAATGCAATAGTACCTGTACAGACTAACAGAAAAACACTTAAGAGGCTATATTGTGAGTGTTCGAGAATTTTATCCATTCGGAAGTCCTATTCAAAGTTAAGAATCTATGACTGTAATTGTTTCTATTTCATTCATTGCTATCATACTCATCTTTTCTTCATATACATTACATAGAAAAGTTCTTCATTTTTTTTCCTGATTAGTACATAAAACCATACATTTCTAACCAGTATAACCCATGACATCTGCTTGGCCCAAAAATGAAGTCACATCCAATTTCAAAATTTAAATCCCGTTATTAAACACTCACTGGCTTCCAAAATCTCTCTCTCAGTCCCATTTCCCCATCAAAAATTGTTCTGGAATTCTGGGGAGTTATCCATTACAAAGAGGTATTCTTATTTCCAAATACCTCCTTTTTGGAAAAATTGGAATAACTTGAATAGTTCAAAAGAGAAACCCACATTTTCTGCTATAGTTATCTTCATTTGTGCCAAATAGTGTCCCTCTTGAAAACAGATATACTAACAGGAACATACATTGACTGCTGAGATAATTCTAATACTGATGTAGATTTTTAGAAAGTTATGGTGGAAAGTTCTTTTAAGAGAGAATTATCTGAATCTTCTGAGTTATACTCCTAGGCTCCTTGCAATTGTTCTTATTGCCTCCCCAGGGGCTAGCCCAGGAAACTAATTGATATTGAGAAGGACAAAACTCTTCAATACACAGAAAAGATTTTATTTCACCCTGACTTTAGGGAAATGAGTGTGAATTTGCCTTAAAGTTGCAAAACTAAAGACGCCAAAAAGAAGCATTTCTGAAAATAAAGAAGCTGAAATGGTATTTGGCAGCTTCTTTCCCTGAAATGTTAATTTCTATTTAACAACACACTACCAGTTCAGATTCTGTGCAACTAGGCATTGAACTAGTTGAGCTCCTTTGAAAGATACCTTGATTATTTGGCTCCACTACTTATCTGGACAAAATAGCAAAACTATTCAAAAATGTGTAGATTTATCAAGTCATAAATAATCTATTGCATTAAGTTTCCTTTTACTTTCATTAATCATAGAAGAGGGGCATATAATAGTGCTCAACATTAAATAAATGAACTAATAGCCACAGATCTTTTGATTAGTAATATATAGAGCTTTTAGTTATTTTGTATAACTGCAGTAAGGGTAATGATCTAAATAAAACATCTAGTCCAGGACTGGTACAGATATTTAATTTTATAATTAATATAGGGATAATTTTCCAGATCCTAATATAGTCAGAAGCTTAATTATACATAACATATACATGGAACTTCAAAACAATTCCATGAGTTAGGTGTAGTTATTCATAAGTTGAGAAATTAAAGCTGAAAAAATTAGATTAACAGCTCAAAGTCAAAAAGGTAAAAGGTAGTCAATACAGAATTTGAACTTTGGCCTCTTGACTCCAAGTCTAACACACTTTACCCCATGTGTACCTAAGCCAACATGACAGAAACTGATGAGATGTTCCCTGTGTTTCCATCTGGTGGACTGAGAGAGTAAACTGAAACAAAGAAAACAAAAACAACACATAAACATCACCTTGGTCAAACACGTAAGCCATCTTGGATATATATCAGTGATATAGCTACTTTATCTGTAAAGATGTTTGAAATATTCATTCTTGGCCTATATATATAAACACACTGCTTTTATTCAAACTTCTAGCCTAGGTACTAAAGAGAATGTAAAGATGAGTAAAAACAAAATTCCTGACTTCAAATTACTTGTTTGAGGACCTAGGGTTCCCAAACACATTTTAGGTATTCCTGCATCATCACATTTAATCCTCAAAACTACTTAATTGGTTTGGTGACTCCTTTGGTCTAGTTTTCCCAGGCTAACTACCGCATAGTAAAAATTTAATAATATGGTAAAAGTTTGTGCGGGATCATAGTGGGCAGAGGGAATAAGAGGGTGTTATGTTGAATGATGAATATTCAGCATGTAACTGCAAAATACCCAAATTATCCAACCTTCTTCAGAGTCTCCCTCAGACAGGCGCGGTGGCTCACACCTATAGTACCAGCACTTTGGGAGGCCGACAGGGATGGATTATGAGGTCAGGAGATAAAGACCATCCTGGCCAACATGGTGAAACCCCGTCTCCACTAAAAATACAAAAATTAGCTGGGCGTGGTGGCACACTACTTGGGAGGCTGAGGCAGGAGAATCACTTGAACCCAGGACGCGGACGTTGCAGTGAGCCCAAATCACGCCACTGCACTCCAGCCTGGGCGACAAAGCAAGACTCCATCTCAAAAAAAAAAAAAAAAAATCTCCCTCATCAACTTCCTCTTCTCCCTTTTTCTATCACATCTTGAGGTAACTCCACATCTCTCTTTCTGAGTACAATATTTTTTCTTAAAAAGTGAAAAAAGGATGATTTATCTGCACTCAGGAAACAAACAAACAAACAACAGCAACAAACTCTAAAAGCAAGTACCAGGCTCAGAATACGACGCTCCCAGATATGGCGCTTTGGCATAAGAGAAAGGTCACTCTGATCTTTTCCCACCTTTTCTGTCTTAAAGCCATAAAAAGAATTCACTCTTTCTTCTCCCCTGGAAACCCACATGTAGCAGGTATCCTCTCCTATACCCAGAAGAAAGTAATACAAAGAGACACAGAGAAACATCTGAACAAATAGGCCTTGCTAAGTTTTCCTCAATTGGTTACCATTAGATGATACTCCTTTAGCCCAAACCTACTTCTATATTACTGTTTATTCTTCATCAAACCTAAGCATTAAAAATACAGTTTTCCCTGGGCCTTTGTGTTTTCATTCCTAAAGGCTCCATGTCACATAAAACTTGAATAAATACATTTGCTATGCTTTTTTCTTCTAATCTGTCTTTTGTTATAGGGATGTCAGCCATTAACGGTGTGATGGGCAAGGAAAAGATATTACCTTTTCTCCCCTACATGAGCAAGAGTCACTACCCTCCTTAGGAGTAGGGGTGGAGACAGGCTAGATTATAAACGACACTTGTCTTGATAACCAGAATACTTGCTGGCTTACTTAGAAATAGAACCAGGATTCAGATGATGACTAGTTAGAATCTAAACTAGCATTTTTCCATGAAATCATTCTACCTTTCCCATAAACCACTATAAAATATGATTATGCATAAAAAAAACTAAAAGATCACCAGAATTATCTTTTCCACTTAATTTGAATAAAATGTATTTATTTAGAAAAAAAACAATGAAGGTTTGTTGTCCAAGGCTGACTAGAATTTCCCATCTAGCTCAATTTTTTTTTCAATATTCTACATTCTAGAATGGTTTTAGCCTGCTAATTAACACTTAGCTCAGACTTCACTGATATAACCAAAGGGAAATTTCTTTCTAAGTTAAATTTTCAGTAGAAACAAACCAACAAACAAATACCCAAATAAAGAAATAAAATCTTATTCTTGAGGTTTTAGGTTGTTAATTATTATTTGGGGCAGTAGAGTCCTGTTATATTTTTAAAAATAGCATTAATTTTTAAAATACTGTTAACAATTCTTTTTTTGTTTTATTATTATTATACTTTAAGTTTTAGGGTACATGTGCACAATGTGCAGGTTAGTTACATATGTATACATGTGCCATGCTGGTGTGCTGCACCCACTAACTCGTCATCTAGCATTAGGCATATCTCCTAATGCTATCCCTCCCCCCTCCCCCCATCCCACAACAGTCCCCAGAGTGTGATGTTCCCCTTCCTGTGTCCATGTGTTCTCATTGTTCAATTCCCACCTATGAGTGAGAACATGTGGTGTTTGGTTTTTTGTCCTTGTGATAGTTTACTGAGAATGATGATTTCCAATTTCATCCATGTCCCTACAAAGGACATGAACTCATCATTTTTTATGGCTGCATAGTATTCCATGGTGTATATGTGCCACATTTTCTTAATCCAGTCTATCATTGTTGGACATTTGGGTTGGTTCCAAGTCTTCGCTATTGTGAATAGTGCTGCAATAAATATACGTGTGCATGTGTCCTTATAGCAGCATGATTTATAGTCCTTTGGGTATATACCCAGTAATGGGATGGCTGGGTCAAATGGTATTTCTAGTTCTAGATCCCTGAGGAATCGCCACACTGACTTCCACAATGGTTGAACTAGTTTACAGTCCCACCAACAGTGTAAAAGTGTTCCTATTTCTCCACATCCTCTCCAGCACCTGTTGTTTCCTGACTTTTTAATGACTGCCATTCTAACTGGTGTGAGATGGTATCTCATTGTGGTTTTGATTTGCATTTCTCTGATGGCCAGTGATGATGAGCATTTTTTCATGTGTTTTTTGGCTGCATAAATGTCTTCTTTTGAGAAGTGTCTGTTCATGTCCTTCTTAATATGAGTTGAGAACTGCAATGTGCATGATATATCCCCCAGTACTTTATTCATATTATTTTATTAAATTCCCTCAAAAATTGATTAAGCTATCTTATTCAATTTATACATTACACAACAAATATAAGGTACAAGGCTGTGATAATGCAGCAGTTAAAATTCATGCGTATCTAATGTCAGTAGCCAGTTTTGAACACTTAAAACAGAAGTCTCAAGCGCAAAACCTTACCAAGAAACAGACAGATGATATCAATAAGTGGAACAGTTAAAAAGGAGTTAAGTTAGGTAGTGGTGGAGACCGTGAGATGCTACAAAGCACAAGCATTGTTGTCTAAAGCATTCATTCTCAACCCAGCTTATATCAACACCAAGGGATAAATATTGGTTCTTGGAGGGTATGAGGAAGAAAATCTTACTATATTAACATATAAAGCCTTGATATACATACAACAAATATACATCTATATGTAGTATTACAGTTTCATGCGATAAGGAGGGGTGATGATGAAAAAGAATGTTAAGAAAAAAAGCAAAGACCACTGTTCTTGCCAGATTTTGCCATGGTACAATGTTAGATCATTATTGCTAGGACTTTCACAATTTTCAAGAAAATCGTATATTCTATTTTTTTAAATGACATTTCTAATTTCAAAAATACTATATAAGCCAAACTAAATATATCTATATGGCAGATTTGGTCCAGGGAAAAGGTCAAAGCAAAAATTGCACTGGACAAATATACATGGGAGAGGAAGGCTCATTCCAGGCTATTGCATTACGGGAATAAAACTAGAGCTCATTCAAAACTCAGCTTTGCTGAAACAAAATTCTGTGTTAAGTTTGTAGTATGTAAACTAGAAATCGAACCTGAATATTGAACTTCAAATAGGTACAAAATTTTAAAAAATTATCTCTCTTTAATTTTGACTCCCTTAACATTGCCATTGATATTTATTTTGGTTTTAGGTATATTTGACCCAAACATGTACTTAGGAATTGCCAAAAAGAGAAAAATACTCACAAAGAACCATATATTCTGCTTGTCTAGTAGCTAAAACCTTTTGTAAACTTATAAATCAGTGTTGTTAATGAGCAAACAATAGACTTTAAAAGTGCCGGTTTTTATTTACAAAATTTCAGATGGGCCAAAAATTAGATCGTAATAAAGGTAAATTTCATCAAATTTATTAGAATGGCAAGCAGAACTATTTTCAAGGAAAGGTTATTAATGATTGTTCAGAATATATAAAAAGCAAAACATTTTACCACCATTTAATATGTGTACTGATCTAAAATATTCAAATAGTGAATTCATATAAAACAATAATAAAATATAATGAGAAAGAATATGGTTGATTTTTTACAGTGAGCCATATTTTAGTTTTATATGAATCATAACTAAGCTTTATATATTTCTATGTACAAATAAGCATAAATGGCCTCAGCTTTGCTTTTGTTAAAACTGGTTGAACCTGATCCAAACTGTTTACCTGGAAATATTTGCAGTGAATTTCAAGCCTCTATAAAAAGAATTTAGAGCCAAGGAATTAAAAACTAAACTTGATTAGCAGTATAGATCTTAAAGCTATTATTCTAGTAGACAAAAGTGGGTTTCAGTCCAACTTTGCCACTTACTTGCTATGTGACATTGGAGAACATGAGGACACAGCCTTGAAGCTTTCCAATCACTGTGGCCTTCCTCTGCCTCTGCACCCCCTCTCTTATTCCCCTCCCCTCTCACCTCCCCATTGCTCTACTTATTCTCTTCTTTCTCTTAATCTTTTCTTCTTCCTTATTTTTATTATATGGAATTAATTTAGTAGCCATCTCTATTTGAAATAAAAATTTTGAACTCAGTGCAAGTAGGATTGTTCATATATTTTAATAGATTTAAGACTATAAGCATTCAGAACTTAAGAATGTAACTTTCATAGTAACTACCCAAAATAAATCACACTTGATAAGAGTGATTTGTCCTCAGCTTTATATTAGAAATTGAGGCATTGCTTCAACTCTAATACAAAGTGGACTTGTTATTGCTCTTAAGTTTGCTTCCTGCTTTGTAATTTGACTGAGATAACTATCCTCTGTTGGCATATTGAAAGTTCTTTCTGAGGTATCACGTTACCATGAGGAGCTGTAAGGACTTGTTGAGATCCTATTACATGCACAGTGCTGCAAATCTGTATTAATTTATACTGACCAGTATTGTATGAGAGTGGAAATAGTTTCTTTTTATCCCCAATGTTTTTATAAAATTTTCTGCCACAGAAGATTTCAAAGATACAGAAGATTACAAAGATGTAGCAGTTATTGCTTATGAGAAAGGGAAGGACCATGAACTCAGGAGTGTGGCTGTAAGGAGACTAAGGAACTGAGGTAAATGTATCGGATGGTTATGGATGCCACTATGAATATACGCTGGAAAGGACATGAACAGAAATATATTAAATCAGGTGCTTAACTCATCCATGAATGAAAGGAAGTTACTGATAGAGGAAAGGGAAGGCTGATAGATTATAGCAATATGGAGAGAGTGGGAAACAGACTTAACGACATACTTGTCAAAAAAGTTGGGGTATTTGAAGATCAAGGCAGACACCATTTCAAAGTGGTAATGGTGGGTCAAAAGAGCTCCTATCTGGAACTTGGTGGAAGGACAGACTGCAGGGGAAAGATGACATCATGGAAAAGGTAGATTTTACAAGGGGCAAAAATTTGAACAATTTGAAGATCTAGGGATTTGCTTTTATTGACTATGGATTCTAATGGGGGAAAATAAGTAGGACAAATGAATAAAAATAACATTAAGGGGATAAGTTTTAGGTGAATAACTGGTTTCTGGTGCTGATGAGGGGTCAGGCATGGTGGGATTAGGTCTGATAATCACTTAGGTAAGACAGTTGGACATTTTAAACTGGGTAGGTATAGACCTATTAGGCAACTGCTCTCTCCTGCTTGTCCTGGTACTGTGGAGATCAAAGAAATGTAAATGCCTCCCCAGGGAACAATTATCCTAGGTAGCTCAAACACAGATCTCTGAGCAGTTTCCCTCTAGTGAGGATGTGGCTAAAGTAGTAACTATCTCAGTTACAGCAGGTTTCTAGGAATTACATCTTCTTCACGATTGTAAGATGCTTCCCTTATTGGAGCAGAAAATGAATAGATGCTCCCTCTTCATTTATTAAAAGGTGTTGTAGTGGCTTAAGAACACTATACAGGGAGTAGCGTGCTCCTTCACTATAGCAGTGTGGTTTTGTAGCGTCTACAATTCACAGCCTGTAGGTGCTGTCTATTTTTCCTATGGTGCCTAATGCAAAATACATAGACATTCAGGTTTGACATGGTTAAACCCAAAGACCTTTCAAAGGCAAATTCAATATTGCCCCACAAAGAAATCGTGAAAACTCAAGACATGCTGGACTCCAATAGTAATTTACTGTTTCTGTAATCAACTAACAGTCAATAAAACATAAAAAATAATAAATAAAATCCTCAAACTCCAAAAATAAAAACAAAACATCAAGTCTGGAGCTGGATAAGTGAAAACTAATCTACACATACTTACATTGTAATTGAATTGCACATAATCAAAGATAGAGGGGAGATATTAAAACAAACTAGTAAAAGAGAAAAGACATTATTTACAGAAGCATAGAAGTCAGGCAAATAGCAGATTTTCAGTGGCTAAAATAGGCTCTAGAAGCACACCCACCCAGATTCTACTGCCAAAAATTATTATCTTCAGTGCTTAGGATAAAATAACCATATCAAAATTCCATTTCCAAGTAAACAAACCATTGAAAATGAGGTTGAAAGCAGGACAGTGTTAGAGATGTAAAGACTAAGAGTGTTTACTAGTTGCAAACTCAGCCCAGTGTAAAGGATATTCCTCAATACAATCAAACGTGAAACTTAAGGAAAAAGTAGGATCCCAAAAGATGATGAGCAAAGAAATCAGTAAAGCATGCTGATGAATCTAAATGAGAGTTGACATGAAAAAAAAATTGTTATTGGAGATTTTAAAAATGCCTTGGAACTGATGTATTTAAAAACAATACATATATATTTTAAATCTTTTATAACATCATATAGCTTGGGAAGAAAAATTGAAATACTGATTAATCTTAGAGTTTATTAAGATAAACATGCATTGTCAAAATTTATGGGCAAGCACTAAAATAACAGATATAATAAAAATAAATTTCAAAGTAGTAAAGGGTGGAAAAAGAGTAAACTCAGTAAAGCAAACAGGTAACGTGTAAGAAGGGATTTAAAGAGCTCAATTTTAATAAGTAGCAAAATAAAAAGACAATACAAAAGCATGGTGAAAAATTAAAAAGAAGAAAAGAAGCCTAAATATGTCTGTAATCGAAATAAATAGAAAACTAGAGATAGGGCTTTCATTTCTGGCAATATGTTGAATTACATGCATTGAAAAATTACTTGCTTCAAAACACTGAATATGTTTTTAAAATGTAACGAACATCAATTAAGATGCCCAGTTTACTTAAAAATTGAGAATCCACAGAGAAAAAAAAAACAAACAGAAACCCAATATGGTAAGAATATTATGTTTTCATTTCCTGGGGTACTTATTAATATCAATAACAAACAGTGCTGAGGTTTAACCATCCAGAGACAGAGGTTAAAGTATGAGGTATACAAATTCATAGAGTTAGAACTGAGGTATAGAACTAAATATGGTACTTTTAAAAGACTATAGCTTCTATTGAAAAGTAGACTACTTAAAATCTATCCTTTTGCAAATGAAGACCTTAGAGAAGTTTCTAAGCCTATGCCTGAGATCTGAATTAAAAATTAAAATTTTTTTTGAGAATTCCAGCTTTAGGTCTGCCTCATGTGAGTTTTGGGATTGAATTTACATTACTTTTTTGACATGGAAAATTAATGTAAAAGTAGTTCCTATCTGAGGCACCTGAAAAAAACAGATATAAAAACTTTCTGGAGAAATTTTCAAAATAAACATTGTTCAAAATTGAGCTTACAAGCTAAAATTTGGCAATATAATAGAAAGTAATTTATTTTGATCAAGACTGATCAGGAACCACAGAGACACACAGAGACACACACACACACACACACACGAATACAAATCCTTGAAAAATGAACTTCCTTAAACTTTTAATGGATGTTAACAAAAAGAGGAACTAACACACTTAATAGGGAAATTATAGAATTGCCCTTATAATCAACACCAAGACAAATGTTCTACTGTTACCCTTAATATTTCTACCGAAGTATAACCAAAATAATAAGTTCATAAAAGACATAGTAATAATATAGATAAAAGATAAATAAAAACTTGTCATTGGTTTCATAGAAAATTTAAGAAATTTGTTTTAGAATTAAATAGATAAATCAAGTTTACCAGATACAAATATCAGCGATCTTCTCATATTCTTGCAATGATCAATCTAAACTAAAATAAATATGTAAATAAAAGCAATTCAAAAACTTAAAACAGGTTGCAACAAGAATCATACAGCACCTACAAATAAATGTGACAAAATTATGAAAAAAACTATAAACATTTTTTGAATGATATAAGGTAAAACTGGTTTTAAGTAAGTGGAGACAGATATCTTCCCAGATCAAAAACTAAATATCATAAAGATAAAGAACTTTCCAAATTAATCTGCAAGCATAATACAAACCAACAAGATAATTTATAGAGCATGACAAATTAATTTTAAAATACATTTGGAATGAATTGTGTCACAACTCTTAAAAAGAAGTAGTAGAAGGAAATTGCCCTACCATATACAAGAATTTTTTTACGATGTAACAGCAATGAAAATCATGTAGAATATGAAGAAATAAATCATTTGATCTAAGCAGGAGACTTGAGAGCCCAAGAAGTGATACATACGTGAAATGGGTAAGTTAAAAAGTTAGAAAATGTATTTTAAAGTTTGACTTGTTCCTTATGCCCTAAATAAAGTTAAATCCACTTTGGTTTTAAAATATTACCAAAGAAGACATTGACAGTTTTGAGAGAAAGAATCTTAGTAGCAGAAAAGTCTAAATAAGACCAAAATAAGGTGCTAACCACAAATAAAAAGACTGATATATTTAATAAAATAAAGATTAATAAATCTTTTTGGAAAAGATACCAAAAATAATGTAGAATGTCAAACATCAAACAGATATAAAAAGACATATAATCTATTTTTCTTTAGATATTGCTGCGTATGTTTACAATGTTGGCCGGAATTTGGAAGCTGGTGAAGTGATTTCACGTTGTCAGGGGTGCTTGCCATACACTGATGATGGCAAAGGAAAAGATGCAAGAAATGTGAGTTATTAATGATGTTGTTGAGCTGCTGGATAAAGCAATTTGTGAGACTCATTATCTTGGACTCTGTTATTGAGTGATATAGTTTCCTATTGCTGTTGTAACAAATTACCACAAATTCAGTGGTTTAACACAACAAAAACTTATCATACAGTTCTGGAAATCAGAACTCCAAAATGGGTTTTAATGGACTGAAATCAAGGTGTTAGCAAGCCTATATCAATTTCTAAAGGTTTTAGAAGATAATCTGTTTTCTCACCTTTTTCAATTTTGAGAGTCTGTTCATGTTCTTTGGCTCATTGTCCTCTTTTAAACTTCAAAGTCAGCAATCACATCACTCCAACCTATACTTCCATTTACACTTCTCTTTGACTCCTACTCACCTGCTTTCTTTTTTACTTAAAAATATCCTTGTAATTATATTGGTCCTATCTGGATAATCAAGGATAATATCATCATCTCAAGGCCAGCTGATTAGCAACCTTAATTCCATCTGTAACCTTAATTCTTCTTTGCCATGTAAGTAACAAATCCATAGTTCCTAGGATTAAAACACAGACACCTTTGGGAAGCCATTATGCTGCCTATCACAAGTGAGACTAAATTTCCTATTGCTTTAAGCTAGATAGTTACCGTTTTCTATTATGTACACTTAAGTCATCTTGATGCATTAGTCTTTAATTGCTTGTAGCTGCTACTACTAATTGGTATCGCTTGCTGAGTCCTTATATTCTGGGAGTAAGCATCTTAACACACTTAATTCTTACAAGAACCCTATACATTAGTTATTATTGACATCATTCTTTTACAGAGGGAAAAGTGAGGGACAGACAGACTGAGCAACTTGTGGAAGGTCCCCAGAATTTAGGTTTTTAACTACTATGCTACATTGCTCTTCTATAAGTTTGAAATGTCCATAAATAAAAAGAAACAGAAATGATGTTTAGAAACCTAAAATATAAGTTTAAAAACTTAAAAAAAGTATAACCTCAGCCTTATGAATCACTCTCACCATTTTAAAAACGTAGCCTGGACTTATCATCATAGGAGTCCATATCTGCACACTGTGGTGTTAACATACCTGTCATGGGGTTCCCTTTGTTTTTTTCTGCATTGTCAAAATAGACTGCTCTAAATTGCCAGTGAACTTTTTGAGAGGAGTTCTTGTTTGAAGATCCTGTTCCTTTGCATTTTCAGTGTGCTGCTGTGGTTCTGCTTGTCTGGCCATCCTGACGGATGTTATGCTTTGCATTTAGTTAACAGTATGTTTCATTTGCTAGGTGTCAACTACAGTCCCTTAAAAAATCCATTTTTTCTCAACCTGCACTTGCTTCTTAATCTCTTCAATTATTTCCTCATTTTATCTTTTTAATCTATTCTCAGCAATCAGTTATTTAATTAAGATATTAGGAGAGGTGGAAATTCATAATTGGATGTCTCTTGATTATTAATAGAAAACCATTAGCAGTCAAGAAAAAATGTAAATAATGATTTAAGATTAGAAAACATTACTAAATATACTAGGCATTTCCATTTTTATAACAAAATGTCATTGGAATCCATTTTATGTAAAGCATTGTGTTAATATATTTTGTAAATTAAAAATAGGCTGGGTGCAGTGGCTCACACCTGTAATCACAGCAGTTTGGAAGGCTGAGGTGGGCAGATCAGTTGAGCCCAGAAGTTTGAGACCAGCCTGGGCAATGTGATGAAAGCCTGTCTCTACAAAAAAATACATAAAATTAGCTGGGTGAGGTGGCACACACTTGTAGTCCCATCTACTCGGGAGGCTGAGATGAGAGGATCAATTGAGCCCAGGAGGTAGAGGTTGCAGTGAGCTGAGATCCATCCACTGCACTACAGCCTGAGTGACAGAGTGAGACCCTGCCTCAAAAATAATTAATCAATAAAGGAGAAAGAAAGAAAGAAAGACCGAAAGAAAAAGAAAGAAAGGAAGAGAAAGAAGGAAAGAAAGAAACTCTATTTCAAACTTTTCTTTAAAGCAAGTTGCAGCTCTCTCACCTATTTGAATGTGAAGCCGTGATTGTGCAGAGTATATGTAATGCCTCAACCCAACAAACATTTATTATTTGCAAAGCACTACTGTGCTCTACTATGATGAATTCAAAATTTGGGCAAAGCAAGTTTCTAACTCTCAAGGGTATATGGTTTTATAGTACAGTTAGACTTTACACAAAAATATGTATTTTAAGGCAGAATTTTAAAAGCATTCTGAAGAAGTTACAAAACAATGGGAAAGACTATTACTTAGCAGAGTTTATAGGAGATATCCTGCAATTCAACATTTCCCCAACATGCCTGATCACGAGACTCATCTAGAGTGCTTACTAAAAATACAAAATCCTTGTATTTCCTTGGATGTTCTGATTTGGTACCTTCACGAGGACCTGAGGATTTATTTTTTTTTTCACAAGAAACTTTTATAACTTTTATGCTCAGTCAAGTTAGGGAATTGCAAATATAGAAGAAAATCTTTGCACTGATTTTGAAAGATGGGCAGTTATTTAAAGAGGTTATTGAGGGGGAAAGCATTTCAAGCACAAAACCTTTTGAACAAATGAGGCCAAAATGGCAGAATGGCTTCAGGTAATATTCATTCATTCACCCATCCATTTATTCACCAAGCAATACGGGGTAGAGAGAATAAAAATATCAATAAGACACAAAAACTGCCCTCTAAGAATCCTTTGTAAAGATTGAAAAAATATATTATATATACATGAATAGGTATGCAAATATTCATTCAAGTATATAGACATCTATGAAAGAGCTAAATGATTTCCTAGATTTGGAGAATGAGAGACTAAGTGATCAATAAAGTTTTGTTCATGAACTTCAAGGCAAGGTATATTTTGCAGATTGTCAGATTTCCAAGAAAAGCTGCCTGTGGTAGTGAAACGGCAGTTCAAAGAGGAAGACTTGAGAATTCTGCATACGATGAAAACTGAAACATACACATCTCACAACCACTGCTGCACACTCCAATAGAAATGACTATTGGAATATAAAAATAGCTATATGTGGGAGAAGAGGGAAAAGGCAAATGTAAAAGCAAATGAAGACATTTCTACATTCTTGATGGCTGCAGTTGGTGTTGAGTTCTCTGATGCTAGGTAAGAAATGTGACAACTGCAGTTTGAAGAGGAAACAAATACTCCTCTTTTTAGAAAACTGCTTTGATGAGCATTTAGGTTATGAAAAGTAAACTAGCCTTGTTCTGGAATGGAAGGAGAAAGTTAAGACATAAGGAGTAGTTACATAAATGGTGTTGATAAACAATGGTAATGTGGGATGAGTTTTTGTATTCTAAATGTAGTTTCCAGATAGGACTTTGTTGGGAATTCTGGGACAGAAAAAGACAAATATTTCTTCTGTGAGTGCTCGCTACTTTGTTTCCCTGTTCACCAGGATTCCAAATAATACAATTGGTAATGTAACTTTTCATCACCAGATCTTCCAAAGAAATGCCAAAGTATCAAAGAAATACCAGAGCACCTAGATTACAGCCACTTGTCAGAGGTTCCTTTAATGTGGTTTCAATGTGGGGGCCTTTTAATAAATCAAAAAATGCTCTATCAGTTTCTTAATATAATGAAAAAGGAGAACAAAAGCAATTGTAGGATCCAGTTTATAGAGTTATTGAGAAGACTGTTACCAAAACACCAAGGATTCAGTCTAGATTCTGCTGCTTACCACACAGAAAGCCAATCACTGAGACAACAAATGTTGTCAGGGAAGAAGAGTTTAATTGGGTGCTGCAGCTGTGGACATGGGAGATGAGTCTCACATCCGTCTAGCTGACCAAGTTAGGGATTTACATAGTGGGGAAGAAATGTAATTACATGTGGGTAAACAGGAATTAGGGAGGGGTAAAGAAGAGGAGTTGTTCAACAGGAAGCGGGTGGTGAAAAAGGAAATCATGGTGGGTAAGAGGTCTGGCATCTCATTGTCCAGATGCAGTGATCTGGTAAGTTTTTGCTGGTTGGTACTATCTGGAAGGGCTGATGGGAAATAAACCATGAACATCAGTTCTATGGGACAATTGGGCTGGTGTCAAGATGAAATGAGTGTATCATGTAATGTATTTAGAAAATTGACTGTTGCTTTGGAAAATAAAAAGAGAGGACACATGATAAGTCTACCCCAGGTCCATAAAACAATATGGCAGATGTCAACAAAAAGAGTTAAACTCTGTAAAATATTTGAAGAGATTTATTCTGAGCCAAATATGAGTGATCACAGCCCGTGACACAGATCTCAGTAAGTCCTGAGAACATGTGCCCAAGGTGGTTGGGGTGCACCTTGGTTTTATACATTTTAGGGAGGCATGAGACATCAATCAAATACACTTAAGAAATACAATGGTTTGGCCCAGAAAAGCAGGACAACTCAAAGTGGGGGCTTCCAGGCTATGGGTAAATTCAAGCATTTTCTGGTTGACAATTGGTTGAGTTTGTCTAAAGACCTGGGATTGATATGAAGGAAATGTTTAGGTTAAGATAAAAAATTGTGGAGACCAAGGTTCTTTTGAAGTCTCATAGTTTCTGCCCTTAGAGACAATAGATGACAAATTGTTTCCTATTTAAATCTTTAAAAGGCGCTAGACTTTTAGTTAATCTCTTTAGGATTGGGAGGGCCTAGAAGAAAAGGATCTAGTTATGTTAATAAAGATTCTTTATAGATAAAAATTTTCCCCCACAAAGGACAGCTTTGTAGGGCCATTTCAAGATGTGGCAAAGAAACACGTTTTGGGGTAAAAATTTTGATTTTCTTCCTTGTCTCATAATGTTATTCCAGAGTTAGGTTGGAAAACAAGTCACAACATATAGGCTTATGTAAAACCCATCTGATGAGAATTTATGGTTTGTAGGGCATGACTCCCAGACCCCTTAGATAGAAATGTGGGCAAGATAAAAAAAAAAAAAATCAGAGCTTAGTCCTCACAGACTACACTGACACAGGAAGCTCTCTCTAACTCTAAACATGTATAAATCCTAATTGTTTTTTTCTTTTTATCCCATGGTATAAATATATTTTTTAATCGCTTAAAATATATAGCCAAAAAGATGGCTGATTAGAAGAGGCTGCAGTTCACAGCATTCACAAAGAGGAACAAAAAGAGCAAGTGAATAGAGCACCTTCAACTGAAATATCCAGGTAGTCACATTGGGACTGATCAGGGAAACAATTTGACCCATGGAGAATGAAGAAAAGCAGGGTGGGGCAATGGCCCACAAAGGAATGATATGGAGTCAAAGGAATCCCCACCCCCAGCCAAGGGAAATGGTGAGTGCTTGCACAACCCCAAAAAACCATGCTTCTCCCATGGATCTTTGCAACTTGCTGATAAGGAGATCCCCTGGTGAGTCCATGCCACCAGGGCCTGAAGTCAGACACACAGAGCTATGTGGAGTCTTGACAGAGCCTGCTCATGCTCACACAGAGACACAGGAGTTTTACATATTCTGGCCCTGGGATCCACAACAAACGTGTCTGCAACTCAAGCAAGGTGGGAAGCCCGCACATACCCTAGGAAGGGGACAGAATCCAGGGAGCTGAGCAGCGTAGTTCTGTGAGCCCCACTTCTATGGCACCTTATTGGCTTGAAATTTCAGCCATCCTCTGGCAACAGGGTGGAGCCTTCCTGAGATGGGAAAGAGCCCTAGGGAGGAGGGGCAGATGCCATCTCTGCTGTTTGGTCAACTCAGCCATTCCAGCCTGTGGGCTTTGTAAAGTCCAAATGGTCTGGACAAGGATCCCCCCAGCAGCACAGCACAGCAGCTTTGCCAGATTGTGGCCAGTTTCTTTAAGCGTGCCCCTGATCCATTCCTCCTCACTGCACGAGACCTCCCAGCCATGCCCATCTGCACGTAGTACTACAGACAGAGCTCTGATCTCTCCCTGGGCTAGAGTGCCACAGGGAAGGGAGGGCCAACACCTGGGCTGGTTGGATGACTCAGCCATTTCAGACTGTGGGCTTTGGAGAGTCAAAGCCAACGGGGCAGACTATGACCCAACATGTCATAGATGTTTTGTTGAAGCATGACCAGACAGCTTCTTTAAGTGGGACCCTGATCCACTCCTTCTCACAGGGCAGATCTGTCCAGCCAGGTCCTCCCAGCCAGGGCCTCTGGTCACTCTGCCCATGCTTTGTGGGTCCAACACAGCTCAACTTTCTCCCTGGGATGGGTACCTGAGGGGCAGTGCAAGTTGCCTCCTTGGCCATTTTGGATTCTTAGCCAGTCCAGTCTGTGGGCTTTGGAGAGCCCAAATCAATATGGAGCTGAAGGGATCCCCAACACAGCATAGCTGCTCTATCAAATAGCAGCCAGATGGCTCCTTTATGTGATCCCATTCCTTCTGAACTTGTAACAGGGGTCCCTAGCCAGCTCCTACAGGTGTGTTCTGGCTGGCAAGAGGTCAGCACACTCATGGGACAGAGCTGACAGAAGAAGGGGCAGGCTGCCATCTTTGATGTTTTGCAGCATTCACTGGTGATAACTCCAGGTATGGGAAGAATCAACGCAACCAGAGTTTAGAGCAGATCCCCAGCAAACTGCAACAGCCCTATGAAAGACTGGCAGGACTGTTAGGAAAAACAAAAGCAAACAAACAGAAAACAACTAAAACAACAACAATAACAACAAAACCACAAAAAACCCATCATAAGGTTAGCAATCTCAAAAATTGAAGTTAGATAAGCACACAAAAATGAGAAAGAATCAATGCAAAAATGCTAAAGACTCAAAGAACCAGAGTGCCCTTATTCCTCCAAATGACTACAATACCTCTCCAGCAAGGGTCCACAACTGGGCTGAGGCTGAGATGGCTGAAATGACAGAAGTAGGCTTCAGAATATGGATAACAACAAACTTTGCTGAGCTATAGAAACTTGTTGTAACCCAGGGCAAAGAAGCTAAGAATCACGATAAAACAATGCAGGAGCTGAGAGCTAAAATAGCCAGTTTAAAGAGGAACATATCTGACCTATTAGAGCTGAGAAACACACTATAAGAAATTCACAATGCAATCACAAGTATGAATAGCAGAATAGACCATGTGGAGGAAAGAATCTCAGAACTGGAAGACTGGTTTTCTAGATTAAAACAGGCAGACAAAAATAAAGAAAAAAGAATGAAAAGAAATGAACAAAAACCTCAGAGAAATATGAGATTATGTGAAGAGACTGAATCTATGACTAATTGAGGTACCTGAAAGAGACGGGGAGAATAGAACCAAGGTGGAAAACATTCTTCAGAATATCATCCAGGAGAACTTCTCCAACCTAGGAAGACAGACAATCATTCAAATTCAGAAAATGCAGAGAACCCCAGTGAGATACTCAATAAGAAGATCATCCACAAGGCACATAAACATCAGATTCTCCAAAGTCAAAATGAAAGGAAAAATGTGAAGGGTGGCCAGAAAGAAAGGTCAGGTTACCTACAAAGAGAAGCCCATCAGACTAATCATGGACCTCTCAGTAGAATCCCTAGAAGCCAGAAGAGATTGGGGGAATGTTGAATATTGATTCAACATTCTTAAAGAAAAGATTTTCCAGCCCAGAATTATATATCCAGCCAAACTAAGCTTCATAAGCAAAAGAGAAAAAAGATCCTTTTCGTACAAGCAAATGCTGAGACAATTTGTTACCACCAGAACTGCCTTGCAAGAACTCCTGAAGGAAGTACTAAATATGGACAGGAAAAATTGTTACCAGACAATACAAAAACACACTGAAGTAGACAGATCAGCAAAACAGTGAAGAAAGCACATAAACAAGTCTGCAAAATAAGCAGCTAGTGTTATAATGACAGGATCTAATTCAAACATAATAATACTAACCTTAAATGTAAATGGACTAAATGCCCCAGTTAAAAGACACAGTATGGTAACCAGGATTAAGAACAATGACCCATCAGTGTGCTGTCTTCAAGAGACCCATCTCACATGCAAAGATACAAATAGGCTCAAAATAAAGGGATGGAGGAAAATTTATCAAGCAAATGGAAAACAGAAAAAAGTAGGAGTTGCAATCCTAGTTTCTGACAAAACAGACTTTAACAAAAATTTAAAAAGTCAAAGAAGGGCATTACATAATGGTAAAGGGATCAATTCAACATGAAGAGCTAACTATTCTAAATACATGTGCACCCAGCCAGGCACCGTGGCTCACGCCTGTAATCCCAGCACTTTGGGAGGCCGAGGTGGGTGGATCGCCTGAGGTCAGGAGTTTGAGACCAGCCTGACCAACATGGTGAAACCCTGCCTCTATAAAAAATACAAAAAATTAGCTGGGCGTGGTGCTGGGCTCCTGTAATCCCAGCTACTCAGGAGGCTGAGGCATGAGACTCACTTGAACCCAGGAGGCAGAGGTTGCAGTGAGCTGAGATCGCGCCACTGCACTCCAGTCTTGGCGACAAGAGTGAAACTCCATCTCAAAAAGAAAAAGTATATCTATATATACACACAAATATGTACACACACACACATATACACACACAAATGTATACACATTATATATATATACACACACACACACACACCCAATACAAGAGCACTCAGGTTCATAAAGCAAGTTCTTAGAGACCTCCAAAGAGACTTCGACTCCCACACAATAATAGTGGAAGATTTTAATGCTCCACTAACAAGATTAGACAGATCATAAAGACAGAAAATTAACAAAGATATTCAGGACCTGAATTCAACTCTGGATGAAGTGGACCTGATAGATATCTACAAAACTCTCCACCCCACAAAAAACAAAATTTACATTCTTTTCATCATTGAACAGCACTTACTCTAAAATTGATCACATAATTATAAGTAAAACACTTCTCAGGAAATGCAAAGGAATTGAAATAATAACAGTTTCTCAGACCACATAAAACAACCAAATTAGAACTCAAGATTAAGAAATTCACCCCAAACCACACAACTACATGGAAATTGAACAACCTGCTTCTGAATGACTGTTGGGTAAATAAATTAAGGCAGAAATAAAGTTCTTTGAAACTAATGAGAAAAAGAAACAATATACCAGAATCTCTGGAATGCAGCAAAAGCAGCTTTAAGAGGGAAATATATAGCACTAAATGTCCAAATCAAAAAGTTAGAAAGATCACAAGTTAACAATCTAACATCACAACTAAAGGACTAGAGAACCAAGAGCAAGCAGACCCCAAAGCTAACAGAAGACAAGAAATAACAAAAATTAGAGCTGAACTGAGAAAGATAGATACATGGTAAACCCTCCAAAAAAATCAGTAAGTCCAAACTTTTTTTTTGAAAAAAAATAATAAAACAGACTGCTAACTACACTAATAAAGAAGAAAAGAGAGAAGATTCAAATAAACACAATCAGAAATAATAAGGGGGATAACACCACTGACTCCACAGAAGTACAACCAACCATCACATAATACTACAAACACCTCTATGCACGTAAACTAGAAAATCTAGAAGACATAGATAAATTCCTGGACATATACACCCTCCTAAGACTCAACCAGGGAAAAACTGAATTCCTGAATAGACCAGTAATGAGTACTGAAATTGAGGCAGTAATAAATAAACTACCAATGAAAAAAAGCCCAGGACCAGATGGATTCAGAGCAAAATTCTACCAAAGGTACAAAGAAGAGCTGGTACCATTCCTACTGAAACTATTCCAAAATATTGAGAAGGAGGGACTCCTCTCTAACTCATTCTATGAGGCCAGCATCATCCTGACACCAAAACCTGGGTGAAATACAACAACAAAAAGAAAAATTTAGGCCAGTATCATTGATGATTATTGATGCCAAAATTCTCAACAAAATACTGGCAAACTGAATCCAGCAGCACATTATAAAGCTTATCCATCACAATCAAGTATACTTTAGCACCGGGATGGAAGGTTAGTTCAATATATGCAAATCAATAAATGTGATTCATCACATAAACAGAACCAAAGACAAAAACCACATGATTACCTCAATAGATGCAGAAAAACCCTCCAATAAAGTTCAACATCCCTTCATGTTAAAAACTCTCAATAAACTAGAAAATACCTCAAAACAATAAAAGCCATATCTGACAAACTCACACACTGAATGAGCAAAAACTGAAAGCATTCCACTTGAAAACTAGCACAAGACAAGGATGCCCTCTCTTACCACTCCTATTCAACATAGTATTGGAGGTTATGGCCAAGGAAATCAGGCTAGAGAAAGAAATGAAGCATATTCAAATAGGAAGAGAGGAAGTAAAACTATCTTTGCTTGCAGATGACATGATCCTAAATTTAGAAAACCCCATTATCTCAGTCCAAAAGCTTCTTAAGCTGGTAAGTAATTCTAGCAAAGTCTCAGGATACAAAATCAATGTGTAAAAATCACTAGCCTTTTTATACACCAACAACAGGCCAGCTGAGAGCCAAATCAAATAAACTCTTATTCACAATTGCCGTTAAAATAATAAAGTACTTAGGAATACAGCTAACAAGGGAAGTGAAGAACCTCTTCAAGGAGAACTACAAAACACTGCTCAAAGAAATCGGAGATGATACAAAGAAATGTAAAAACATTCCATGATTATGGATATGAAGAATCAATATTGTAAAAATGGCCATACTGCCCAAAGCAATGTATAGATTCAGTGCTGTTCCCATTAAACTACCACTGACATTTTTCACATAATTAAAAAAAAAACTATTTTAAAATTTATATGGAAGCAAAAAAGATCCCGAATAGCCAAACAACCTTAAGCCAAAAGAACAAAGCTGGAGCTCTCATTCTACCTGACTTCAAACCATAACACAAGGCTACAGTAACCAAAACAGCATGGTACTGGTACAAGAATAGACACATAGACCAATAGAACAGAATAGAACCCAGAAATAAAACTATACACCTACAACACTCTGATCTTCAACAAACCTGACAAAAACAAGCAATGGGGAAAGGATTCCTTATTTAATAAATGGTGCTGGGAGAACCGGCTAGCCATATGCAGAAAATTGAAACTGGACCCCTCCCTTGCACCATATACAAAAATCAACTCAAGATGGGTTAAATACTTAAATGTAAAACCCAAAACTATATAAACCATAGAAGAAAACCTAGGCAATACCATTCAGGACATAAGCATGAACAAAGATTTCATGACAGAGATGCCAAAAGCAATTGTAACAAAAGCAAAAATTGACAAATGGGATCTAATGAAATGAAAGAGCTTCCGCACAACAAAAGAAACTATCATCAGAGTAAACAGACAACCTACAAAATGGGAGAAAATATTTGTAGTCTATCCATCTGACAAAGGTTTAATAACTAGCATCTACAAAGAACTTAAACACATTTACAAGAAAACCAAACAACCCCATTAAAAAGTAGGCAAAGGCCACGAACAGACACTTCACTTAAAAGAGGACATACATGTGGCCAACAGACATATAAAAAAAAGCTCAACATCACTGATCATTAGAGAAATGCAAATCAAAACCACAATGGGATACCATCTCACACCAGTTAGAATGGCTATTATTAAAAAGTGTAAAAACAACAGACACTGGCAAGGTTATGGAGAAAAAGGAACAGTTTTACACTTTTGATGGGAGTGTAAGTTAGTTCAACCATTGTGGAAGACAGTGTAGCAATTCTTCAAAGACTTAGAGGGAGAAACAACACTTGACCCAGCAATCCCATTACTGGGTATATACCCAAAGGAACATAAATCATTCTATTATAAAGATACATGTACACATATGTTCATTGCAGCAATATTCACAATAACAAAGACATAGAATCAACCTAAATGTCCATCAATGACAGACCGGATAAAGAAAATGTGGTGGGTATACACCATGGAATACTATGCAGCCATAAAAAGAAACAAAATCCTGTCCTTTGCAGGTTCATAGATGGAGCTGAAAGCCATTATCTTCAGCAAGCAAAAGCAAGAAGAGAAAATCAAATTCCTCATATTCTCACTTATATTAATAATTAGGAACTGAATTATGAGAACAAATGGACACATAGGAGGGAGCAAGGGGGGTGAGAAGAGGGAGAGCATCAGGAACAATAGCTAATAGATGCTGTGCTTAATACATAGGTAGTGAAATGATCTGTGCAGCAAACCACTGAGGCAAACGTTTACCTGTGTAACAAATCTGCACATCCTGCACGTGTACTCTGAACCTAAAATAAAAGTTGGAAATTAAAAAAAGAAAAAGAAAAATCAACTCAAGCTATTTAGAGGCAAAGAGAAAGCATCTATGCTTTCTATAGCTATTTTTCTGCATTTAAAGGTAACTAACAGAAAGAAATAAGAGTTAATAAATGATTGTGCAACATGAAATAAGCATATGATCTTAGTAATGCAAGAGCCCAGTAAAGAAAACATCTTTGTGTAAAAAGTTTTACAATAAAAAACCAAAGTAAATTTTGGACATTATGCTTACTACTCTCAAGGACGTTTAAAACAAAAACAAAATAGGATGTGATGTTGGGTAAGAAAGGTAAAATGACATGACAATTGGCTCATCAAAAGGAGTAAACAAAGTCAAAGAACATGAGGAAACAAAAGCAGAACAGTCATGAAAACACTTTTCAATGAATAAAGAACAGAAATGATGGTGTTGAGCAGGAGCTTCAAAGCTTAAGCAGAAACCATATGGAGTAGTAGAAAATGCAATTGGATAATACTGACCTGGACTGCAGATAGACTTCTAAGCTGGATAGCAAAGTCAATAACTTTGCAGAAAGAAAATCCAAGTTTAGCTGGATAACACTGAAAGGTGTTTAGTATAAAAGAAAAGTAATTAAAAGGCAAAACACCTGGGAAACATGATCTTATTTTGTATGAAGTTAATGTTTCTTGGCATGTTACTAAAAATCTCTAAGCAAATTTACAGTCCCAGCAATCAAATTACATTATTTGTTTATACAGATTCATTTTATTGCACGGTGTATCACATGAAAAGATAAAACATTTACTAGCTTAAGTTTCCTAGGACTGCTGTAACAAATTACCATAAACTTTGTGGCTTATAAACAAAGGGAATTTATTTTCTTACAATTTTGGAGGCCAAATGTCTGAATTCAAGGTGACATCCAGGCCATACTACTGAAATCTCTAGGGGAAAATTCCACCTTATCTTTTCCCGCTTCTGGTGGCTTCAGGCACCACCTGCCACGTTGGCTTGTGGCTGCTTAACTCTTAATTTCTCACTCCTTTGCCTTCATACGGCCTTCTCCTTTTTCTCCCTATCTCTCCTTTGTCTCTTATTCAGACATTTATCATTATATTTAGAGCTTGCCCAGATATCCAGAATCATCTCATCTACAGATCCTTCATTTAATCAACAAAGGCTCTCTTTAAAAAATGAGGTCATATTCACAGATACAGTTGTTAATCTTTCTAGCTACTGACATGCTTTGGCTCTGTGTCCCCATCCAAATTGCACCTCAAATTTTAATCCTCACATTTTGAGAGAGGGACCTGGTGGGTGATTTGCTGATGAGGGTGGTTTCCCCTATGCTGTTCTCATGATAGTGAGGGAGTTCTCGTGAGATCTGCTGGTTTAGAAGTGGCAATTTCCTCTGTCCTCTCCCCTGCTGCCTTGTGAAAAAGGTACCTTCTCTTCTTTTGCCTTCTGCCATGATTGCAAGTTTCCTGAGACCTCCCCAGAATGCAGAATGGTGAGTCAATTAAACCTTTTTTGTTTATATATTACCCAGTCTCAGGCAGTTCTTTATAGTAGTGTGATAACAGACTAGTACAGGAAATTGGTACTGGGAGTGGGGCACTGCTATAAAGATACTTGAAAATGTGGAAGCAACTTTGGAACTGGGTAATGGAGAGAGGTTGGAATAGTCTGAAGGGCTCAGATGACAGGAAGATGTGGGAAAGTTTGGAACTTTCTAGAGATTTGTTGAATGGTTTTGACCAAAATGCTGATAGTGATTTGAATAATGAAGTCCAGGCTGAGGTGGTCTCAGACGGAGATGAGGAACTTATTGGGAACTGGAGTAAAAATCAATCTTGTTGGGCTTTAGCAAAAAGACTGGCAGCATTTTGTTCATGCTCTAGACATCTGTGGAACACTGAACTTGAGAGAGACGATTTAGGATATCCAGCAGAAGAAATTTCTAAGTAGCCAAGCATTCAAGATGTGTGTTGGCTTTTTCTAAAAGTGTACAGTCATATGCCTTCAAAGAGATTATCTGATATTAGAGCTTATATTTAAAAGAGAAGTAGAGCATAAAAGTTTGGAAAATTTTCAGCCTGACCATGAGGTAGAAAACAAAAACCCATTTTCTGGGGAGAAATTCAAGCTGACTGTAGAAATTTGCATAAGTAATGAGGAGCTGAATGTTAAGTCAAGACAATGGGGAAAATGTCTCCAGGGCATGTAAGAAAAATTTGCAGCAGCCTCTCCCATCACAGACCCAGAGGGAGGGAAAAAATGGTTTCCTGGGCTGGCCCAGGGTCTTGCTGCTCTGTGCAGCCTCAGGACTTGGTGCTCTGCATTCCAGCTGCTCCTGCTCCAGCCATAGCTAAAAGGGGCCAAGGTACAGCACAGGCCATTGCTTCAGAGGGTGCAAGCCCCAAGTCTTGGCAGCTTCCACCTGATGTTAAGCCTGTGGGTGTGCAGAAGACAAGAGTTGAGCTTTGGGAACCTTAGCCTAGATTTTAGAGGTTGTATGGACATGCCTGGATGTCCAGCAGAGGTCTGCTGCAGGGGCACAGCTCTTGTGGAGAACCTCTACTAGGGCAATGCAGAGGGGAAATGTGGGGTTGTAGGCCCCACTGGGGCATTGCCTAGTGGAGCTATGAGAAGAGTGCCACTGGCCTTCAGACCCCAGAATGGTAGACCCATCGACAACTTGCACTGTGTGCCTCAAAAAGCCACAGGCACTCAATGCCAGCCTGTGAAAACAGCCATGGGGTCTGCACCCTGCAGAACCACACTGGCATAGCTGCCCAAGGCTGTGGGAGCCTACCTCTTGCATCAGCATGGCCTAGATGTGAGACATGGAATAAAAGGAGATTTTGGAGTTTTAAGATTTAATGACTGCCCAGTCAGGTTTTGGACTTGGCCAATATCTCCTATTTGGAATGGAAACATTTACCTAGTGCCTGTACCCCTGTTGTTTCTTGGAAGTAACTAACTTGTTTTTGATTTTACAGGATCATAGGTGGAAGAGACTTGCCTTGTCTCAGATGAGACTTTGGACTTGGACTTTTGATGCTCATTCCAGTTAATGCTGGAATGAGTTAAGACTTTCGGGGACTGTCAGGAAGGCATGATTGGTTTTGAAATGTGGAAAGCACATGAAATTTGGGAGGGGCCAGGTGCAGAATCATATGGTTTGGCTCTGTGTTCTCACCCATATCTCATCTTGAATTGTAATCCCTACCTGTCAAGGGAGGAACCTGGTGAGAGGTGATTGGCTGATGGGGGCAGTTTCCCCCATGCCGTTCTCATGATAGTGAGGGAGTTCTCATGAGATATGATGCTTTAAATGTGGCAGTTTCCCCTGTGCCCTCTTTCTTTCCTGCTGCCTTGTGAAGAAGGTACTTGCTTCTCATTCACCTTCTGCCATGATTGTAAGTTTCCTGAGGCTTCCCCAGCCACACGAACTGTGAGTCAATTAAACCTCTTTTGTTTATAAATTACCCAGTCTCATACAGTTATTTACAGCAGTGTGAAAACAGGCTAATACAGCTACCATTCAACTCACTACACCAGCTTCACTCTCTTAAACATCTAGGGTAAATATTCTATCCCATACTGTTATTTATCCAACTAGAGGTAATTTTTTTATTATGATAGGTTATGCTATATAGTAAAAGGACCCTGAGGTTTTGAACCCTAAGCTTAGAGTATTCTCCTTTTTTCTTTGTTGTCTAGGTAACTAAAATTTATTCTGAATGTCTGTATGTGTGTGTGTGTATGTGTGTGCATTTTTTTTTTTTGTAGTGGGGAGAAAGGTAGGAGTATTAGTTCTATTATATTTTATAATTCAAAATTACTTCCAGTAAAGGAGAATTGTTAACTGTTTGCCTGCGACATTCATGTTACTCTATGAGTCTCCTTGTGTACTAGCATTTGTAATAAATCACAGCTAGATTACTTTATTCATGCAGAAAATTTAACGCAATATTGTACTGGTAAGAAATTTTCTTTATGAATGTTTCCTCCAAAATATACATATTTTAGTGTTTAAAATCTCATTCTTGCTCTGAGGATCACATTGTTTACATGCTAGTCTATGTTCTATATCTCATATCTATGTCCAATAATTAGACCCTGATGTCAAAAGCAATAAAATCTGACTTCATCTGTGTTAATAACATAGTACAAAATAATATTTATTGAATGTATGACAAATGAATGAATTATTTATTATAGGTTTGGGTAAATAATCAAAAAAGTCCAGGTAAGGGGTGCTTCAAAGAAGATCCAAATTTTCCACTCCCAGAGGAGAAACAAAGCAGATTCTAGTGTAGACTTTAAAAAGCTCAGAAATTCTAACACAATTATGATTATAAGAAGAAAAATGTCAGTGACAAGTCAGAACAACATTGTTGCAAGAGTCCTATGGTGAGCTGCTTAGTCATTTTGGAAACTTCTAGGAATTGCCCTGCAGATGCTCCTCTCAGGTGTTGCAAGGGCTTTTTTTCTATATAAACTCTCAAATTCTATACTTCTATCCTCTCTACCTTCAACAGTCTTTAGGCAAAAACAGAAAATGTTTATTATATCACCTGTCTCCAGGAAAGAAGTCCATTTTGTTTAGAAAGGGAAGTAAACACAGATAAATTAAGTGTTAGTCAAAGCCGCACAGCAGGCTGGCACTGAATTATGACTCCAAACTATATCTTGTAGTTTCCAATAATTTCTACCGAAAATAATAGTGAAACCAACCATAAATGCAATGTGAATTTGTGCCTAATGATAACTGCTGCTGTACTGAAAATTTCCTTTCTCCCATAATGCACAGAATTGGCAAATGTACAGTCAGACCACAAAATATATTAAGGCCAGCGATTCATTAAGTGATGCCGTAGACTGAAGGAAAGATTATATTAAAGTTTATGAGAGGCTTAGGTCCAAGAAGATGCACACATCTAAATTCTGATGGTGCTCAAATGTTTCAGTGCCTTATTAATCTGCTCAGTCTATACTGTCTTTGAGACTGCAGCAAAGAAAAAATATGATTGATTGTCCCGCAAGATACGTGCTTTTTGCATTTCTGTTAACTATAAAACAAGCACCATTTTAATTAAGCTTCTTCCAAGCAATTCAGGTGCTCTATAAAAATATAATGAAGCAATTAAGATGTGTTAAAAGTGACTGAGATATCTTTTTCACTTGAAAATGTGCAAGTGGAAGTCAAGCGGGCCTTTTTTTTTTTGTCTTCCTCTACCCTCAAAGCAAGGCCATTTAACCTCAAGAAAAGGAACACTGGATTTAAGTAAAATGTAGGTTGATTTAATATATTAACCCTTCCTAAATTTAGTGTAAATCTAAATACAAAATAACTTTTTATTATTATTCAAGGTTTGAAGATGTGTAGGTGCTGCAAATTACGTTAGGGCTATGAAAACACCCTTATAAAATTTTTATAGAAATATTGTGGTGCCTAAATAGAGAATCGTGAAATTTTAAAAAATCATGTATAAGAATTAAATTGAGACAATGACCCAGAGATTCTATTGACTTGAAAACTTAAGATAGTGAAGAAAACAGATGGGTTGAGATGTTTCTTATCTGATCCATTAATTTATTTGGGTGCGTCAGTATGACCTATGTATAGGATGATGTACTCTCTGCTTCCACAAAAACACATGAGCTTTCTGTTTCCATTGTAAAACTATTATTTATTAGGTCTTTCCTAATTTCATGTATTATGTCTGCCTCTCATTCATTCAGTCAGTGGGCATCTGTTGTGCCAGATATGACGTTAGGTTCTAGGGATATAAAGGTGGTCAAAAAGCACTAAAATTGCCAATAGGAGGCTTATATTCTAGTGTGCAAGAACTACTAAAAGCAACAAAAAAGTGAAACAATTAAATAAAATAATAACACATTATGGTAACTATTGAAAAAAAAAATCATGGGCCTGTCACGGTGGCTCAATCCTGTAATCCCAGCACTCCGGGAGGCCAAGGTGGGAGCATCACTTGAGGTCAGAAGTTTGAGACCAGCCTGTCCAACATGGTGAAAACCTGTCTCCACTAAAAATACAAAAATTAGCTGGGCGTGGTGGCACATGCCTGCAGTCCCAGCTACTTAGGAGGCTAAGACATGGGAATTGCTTGAACCTGGGAGGCGGAGGTTGCACGAGCCAAAATCATGCCACTGCACTTCAGTCTGGGCAACAGAGTGAGACTCTGTCTCAAAAAAAAAAATAGTAATAACGATAAAAACATCAATACTGACCCTAGGATGCTAGTCAGGGAGGTCACGCTGAGGAGCGGATATTATATAGTCCTGGAAGAAATATCTTTATAGAGAAACTAGAAGAAAGATCAGGAAAAGTTGATATTTAAAATGATATGCAATGAAAAATGTATAATATGTGAAAAAAATCCTTACTTCATTTTGAAAATGTCACTATTATCAAACTCACCTATTTCCCTAGACTAAATGTATTATGCTGCAGGTTTAGGCTATTTCCATCTCAATGGAACTAGATAATTTTGCGTGATTTCCAAAGTATGCCATTTTTGTTGTAAGTCAGAGGAAATGAAGACTGAAACAAATACTGGGAACAATGTAAAGCCGGAAATTAGAAACACTACCACTGGTACAACAGATATCGTTCTTACAGATAAAAATATAGAAAGTGGTAAATTTAATTGAATTTTGTATTTTTTCAATGGTAGAAAGTAGCAGAATCAAGACAGAAAACTCCAGGTAACTGACTACAAATCTTAGGTAGGGTGATATGAAGGTAGTTGGATAGATAGATAAACAGGTAGATTGACATTCAGTAGTTATATTGCCCTCTCTCATTCTTGTTATTTTTCTATTAGTGGCCCAGCATGAATGATAGCTCTAAAAACTAGAGTTGTTAATTACTGTTGTTCTATAATGCTTTACTTATAATTAATGTGCTAATTTTTTGGTTTATTCCCTGGGCATTTTTATAATGGGTGCAATTTTATAAAGCAACCGAATAACTAAATATATGTTAAAGCTGCCTTCTAGCTAGCAGGCTGGTTCAGACAGAATTGAATATCATGTTCCTGAGTAACTTCTATGTGCCCAATGACAAGAACCTAAGCAAAGGCAGACTGAGATTTTAGTAACTTCATTTCAAGAATCCCCTAAAGGACCATTAGCTATGAAGATGACAAAGGCAGAGTAATGGCCAGTGGAGAGCAACACATCGGTTATTCTCCTGAAGAGGTCAAATGTGTAAACTCATAAGGCTTGAATGTTCTATCCTGGATGAATAAGAGCCCTGTAGAATGGACTGCTGAAGGGGGCATTATGAATTGTGTAGGATGCTGGTGCTCTATTATTTAAATTCTACTACTATGGATTTTTTCCTCTAGCTGAGTTAAATTTTAACTATTGGATGAGAGGAACCAAAGAAAGAAGAAAAGTCATTGGCAAAGTGTGCGTGTGTGTGTGTGTGTGTGTGTGTTTGTAACAGAGAGAGGCTGCGAAGACCAAGAATAGGCTTCACCAAGAATTCAAGAATAATGGAAAAGAAGAGTAATATTATGCTGCCTTGCTCTATTAGTACTGTAGAAAACAGGAAAAATTGAGATTTTCCTTTATAGGTTCCTGTTTCCTACCTTCCTGTGCTACACTCTTTCATGCTGATCTCCTTTGTTGCTTATTATTGTTTATTTATTGTGTACATAGAACTATGTTAGTGTAAATATATTTATATAAGCTACCTCTTAAAATGAGCAAGAGCCAATTGTTAAAACATTAAGAAATTTTGCAAGGTAGTTATTAAACTGCTGGTAGCTTGAAATTGTCCAGGGAAGAGTATTTACACCACTAAAATAGTCCAACCACTCAAATAGTCAAACACACACACACAAAATCACTACTCTTTCTGTCTTTGTTTTTTTTGTGTGGGGGGCGGAGCCAGTCCCCTAGCACACCACATGTATATGTACTCATGCAAGAGTGAGAGTGTGATGAGGGGAGCAGAGCATATAGGAGCTTCAAAAGTTCATGGAAGATGCATATTGTGGAAAAATTATGCATACATTTCAAATTTTTTTCCACCAAAATAAACTTGAACTAACTTGTTATGACATGTCTGCAAAGGGCCTAGCTTGAGGCACTAAGAAAGATAAGACATAAGTTTGAAAAGAGTCCCTGTTAGAGCAACATGAATTCTGCTAAAATTGAAACAATAACAAACATCAAATTTATGGTGAAGCTTAGATGGAAAAATGGTGAAATCACTGATGATTTAGGAAAAGTTTATGGGGTCAAATTGCTTCAAATAAAATAGCAATTTACAATTGAATAACTTGTTTTGAGAAGGGACAAAATGATGTTGAAGATGAAGCCTGGAGAGGCAAACTATCCACACCAGTCTGTGAGGAAAAAATTTACCTTGTTTGTGCCCTAACTGAAGAAAACTGATGATTAACAATACAAACAATAGCTGATGCCACAGGTACCTCAGTTGGTTCAGCTTACACAATTTCGACGGGAAAACTTGAGCAAACTTCCCATTTGGTGACTGCCCAAACCATTGCACCCAGATCAAATTCAGACAAGGGCAGAGTTTTCAATGGAAATTGTACACAAGTGAGATAAATATCCTGAAGTATTCCTATGAAGAACTGTAACAAAAGATAAAACATAGCTTTACCAGTATACTCCTGAAGACAAAGCACATTCAAAACAATGGCAACCAGGAGGCAACCAGGAGGTGAAACTGGTCCAGTCAAAGCAAAAGTTAACTGGTCAAGATCAAAGCTCATAATAATAGTGTGTTGGTACACTTAATGTATTTTACTTGTTGACTTTCTGGAGGGCTCAAGCATATTAACTTTGCTTATTATGATAGTATTTGGAGAAACTTGGTTAAATCTTTAGCAGAAAAAAAGCCAGGAAAGCTTCAATAGAGTTTTTCTTCACCATTACAAAGTTTCTGTTCATTCTTCTCATCAAACAAGAACAATTTTGTGAGAGGTTTTTTTTTTTTTTTTTTTGAAAGTCATTTGGCACCCACCTTACAGTCCTAATTTGGCTCCTTCTGAATTATTTTTGTTTCCTAATCTTAAAAACTATTGTAGAGGGCACCCATTTTTTTAGGTCGTAATGTAAAATGACTACATTGGCATGGTTAAATTACCAAGACTCTCAGTTCTTTAGGGATGGATTAAATGGTTGGTTTCATTGCTTACAAAAATGTCTTGAACCTGATGAAGCTTATGTTGAAATGTAAAGTTTATATTTTTTATTTTTATCTTTTAATTCAATTTTTTTCTTGAATTTTTTTAAGTTTCCACATATTTCCTTTACATTTGGATAGTTATAACCTAGGAAGTAAACTAAGTTGAGATTAAGGAGAACTACAGTATAAGACTGTGTAAGGTAACTTCTGTTTAGGGGTAAACTGTGAGTAAGGGAATGTAGCACATGGAGAATTTACATTCATTTGGTAAACAGGATATTAGAGAGTAGCTAATCGCTGAATTTGACCCTTTAGGACTAGTAGGATTTCAGTCTGTGGAGGCTTAGGAAGGAAGAAGCAGTGGGAGCAGTGGCTGTCCACCAGGGTAAGAACAAATGAACAGAGTCCCTGAGGCAGGAAAAGAACCATTGAATTGGCTATTCATTTGGCTGGAGCATACATGATAAAGAGGGGATTTATGGTAGGATAGAGAGGTAGTTGGAGGGACTTAACTCATAATAGCTATGTAACAAGGTGATAATATTTTATAGTATTGGCTAAATCATTCATCTCAAAAAAAAGCAAAGTGGAAATCCATGACTCCACTAGATGGCTGATCCCCGTCACTATTTTTTTAAACTTCAGAGTCTGTATCTTCAGGTGTAAAACATTGATTACTTGTCTTATAGTTTTCCTAAAGAGTTACAAAGAAAATCCTAGCTTTAGTTTGGAAAGTAAGTTTCAAGCTTTAAATGCCATGATGTAGAAATAACTATGGCATTTATTGAGCACTCTCTGGGTTCCTCTAACTCTCAAGAAGGAACCATGTGCAAACGTTAACAGTATAGAGAAGACCTGGTTTCTGTATTTATTTAGGGTATGGGATGACCTTAAGAAATATTATGGTCACTAGTTCAAATCTCTAACCCTTCCAAAATAAAACGATAATACACATGTGTGACAGAGTGTGTGTGGATTTTTTATATTTTGAGGAGCGGGGAAAGATAGGTAATCAGTAGAAATGCTGTTATTCAACAATTTAGAAAGAAGAAAAATATTCATTTTGTAAGGTTTCATTACTTCACATAAGTTTGATGCTTTCCTTCTGATGTAATGTTATTTGGATTTATATAGACAGTCCAATTAAATAAAGAGGTTCATGAACTAGTAAATACTGTTAAATGAGGAAATGCCTAATGCAGGAAATCAGCTTTAATCTTAGCACTAAAACTATAAGTGATGTAGTTTGGAAGATAGAATGTGCAAAGAATTAACTGTTGATAAAGTCAGTGATGTAGGAACGATATTCCTTGAAGTGAAGTTACTCCCATTGACTCAAATTGGTTTTGGCAAGGAGTTGAAACTTCTTGTAATTTATATAGTGCCATTATGGATCTAGATTAGAGCTAAGTGTAAAAATGCCCTCATAAATGTGCAAAGACCATCTAGTAAACTTAATTTTGGATGTCTTCATCAGAATAAACTTGTGAGTGTGCTTCCTGAGGGCAGGAAGAGGCAATAAGATAATTGCTCAAAGAACAGTCGCTGGAATCAGACTCTGGCTTCAATACATGATTGGCTATTATCAGACAAGATGTTGGAAGAGTAATTTAACATATTTTTGCATTAATTTCCTCATATGAAAAATAGTATCTACCACTAGGGACATCTTAAAAGTTCCATGAGAATATGCAAGTGGAACACACAGTAAGTGCTATTCCACAAATGTTTACTGAACTCCTCTTATGTTTCAGGTGCATCTTAGTCACTTGGAGCACACATGTGAATTAAGATAGATCTCTACCCTAGTGGATCTTGTATTATACCACATTTTAGTTTATATTGTCATTATTTCTATTGCTATCCTTATTTTTATAAAACCTAGCACAGAGCCTGATTAGTAGATGCTAAAAAAATTTGCTTGAATGAATATTCAACTAAAACTGTGCTGATGATAAACAGCACCTGTGAGTGAACAGAATAAGGGTAAATGCTTTGGAAAGTTAGAAAATTCTACAAAAGAGACTAAACACAGGCAGAGCAGAGTTCTTCACTGTGAAGTACACCAGAAGAATCTGTTAGAATGAAAATTCTAGTTGTCGCTATAGGCAAATCCTACCTTCAAATCTTTCTTTTCTTAATGGTAAAAAATCTGACTAAAGGAAATTTCACATTGTTTATGAATAATTGTAGAAATATGTTGTTCTTTTAGCTTTATTGGTCTTTGAAATTTATCCAAACCATTCAAGAGTCACAGTTAGTAATTCCAATATCCGATACAGTAACAAATGAGACATTGGTTTATTTTTCACTAAACCACAGCTGATAGAAGCAGCTAAATAGATAAAACCCTAAATTTAAAAATATATTGGTATTAGTCATGTCAAAGCAGATATTTCAGGATGAATTAAGAAACTGTAGCTCATAGAGTTAAGTATGTCTAATACTATTAGGCAAAAGAGAGAAGCACTGCTTAATGGATCAATTCCATTAAGGAAAAGAAAAGCAAAAATTGCAAGTGATTTCAGTTTAGAAAGATAACTATAAAAGTCAGTTACCTGACCACTGAAGTTCTTTTCTCCTCTTCAAATGCCATTTCTGTTCTGTCAGCATTGTCAGTTTATGCAGCTACTGTACTGTGGAAAGTAATTATATTATATGGCAGATAAAACAAGGAGGTATGCATCAGATTATAAATAACTTAATTTTGCAAAGGAATTTTACATCTTAATCTGCTGGACTATCACTTTCACTTAGGCTCTGAAACCAAATTATGTTATTGTGTTCTGTGATATAATTTAATAACTCACCCATAAGGAAATGTCAGGTCGCATTTGCAACAATCCAGGGGCCATTAAGCCAGATGGAAGGTCATGCTGTTTGAGGATTGTAAATGAACCTGTCCAACAAAGTTTTGGTTAGGAACAGCCAAGGACTCATTATGTAGTCAATTTACCCAACTGCTTGCAAGAACCACGCCAACGCCAAGGCTGTTCTGTCCTTTGAAGTTTGAAATGAATTTGAACATACAGGGATTTTTTACTTTCATCAAGCCAGAAAGAAAATTGCTTTTATAAAAGGCAGTCATTTCCATATATTGCTTAGAACATTAGAATAAAAATTAAATGTATTGTTGAAATATCACTGTGAAATTTTTGTTTCTTTCTGATTCATTTTCCTCTTTACCTTCTAAATTCTGCCTTTCCTTGGTAGTGAAAGACACACACACACATCCACATACACACACATTAATAAAAAATAAACCACTCAAACAAGATAACAAAAAAGAAATTTATGCTTCTGAAAATAAAAATATTCACTTAAAATAATAATGTCTTCATTTAATGTTTTAGTTCCTTTAGTTTACAATGAAGTTAACAACTTTTGATTATCCATACTATGTGATTTAATATGAATACTCCAAAGTGGATAATTAAATGTCAGCTTTATTTAGTTTAAAAAAATGCAGTTTGAAGATCTGGATCCTTCTAATGATGTTTAAGTTATTCTCTAGAGCAGAGAATCAAAACTGCTTATTCTAGTAAAGCATTATTTTACAGTTAGTATGTTTTCATTTTAGAAAATATCAGGTAGTTAACACATTTATTCATAACCCCATATTTATTATAAATTTTGACATTTCTGTCTATTTACATCTTTCAAAGCATGATATTTTACTAATTTGAATTTACTGACTTGTGTTTACTGACCATATATACAACTGATCCTCATTATTTGCAGATTCTATATTTGTGAATTTGCCTACTTGCTAAAATTTATTTATAATGTCAAAATCAATACTAGCAGTGCTTTTGCAGTCATTTGTGGACATGCACAGAAACAGAGAAACATTTGAGTCAGCTATTGGGCAAGTTCCAGCTAAGGAGGAACATGGCCTTCTTGTCTCAGCTTTCATATAAAGATGACAAGAGGATGGAGAAGGTCACGGGTGGTGCAGTGTAGTGCACAAAGCTCTGGTCTCGGACCAGTTGGTCAGTGTTTAGATCCCCACTCTGGCACCTGTTAAGGGGCATGGTTTTATGCAAGTCACTTCATACTTTTGAATCTTGTTTTCTCCTTTGTAAAATAAAGAAAATAAACTATTCCAATTTTTTTTTTTTGAGGCAGAGTTTCGCTGTTCTTATTGCCCAGGCTGGTGTGCAATAGTGCAATCTCGGCTCACTGCAACCTCCGCCTCCCGGGTTCAGGTGACTCTCCTGCCTCAGCCTCCCAAATAGCTAGGATTACAAGTATGCACTACCCTGCCTGGCTACTTTCGTAGAGATGGGGTTTCACCATGTTGGCCAGGCTGGTCTTGAACTCCTGACCTCATGTGATCTGCCCGCCTCGGCCTCCCAAAGTGTTGGCATTTCAGGCATGAGCCACCATGCCTGGCCGGGATTTGTTGTTTTTAAGATTTAAGATGATAATCTATGAGAAATGAGTGTGTATATACATACATACATGTATATATATATATGCAGATATATATATATATATATATACACATACAATTTCTCCTAGGAACAAAAATTTAGTATTTAATTTAGTGTTCATAATGGCTTTATAAAACATGATTACTATGAATAATGAAGATCAGCTGTATATGTGTATTTATATATATATATATAAATTACCAATCTAAATTGTGATAAATATCCATATGCTTAAATTATTGCATTTTTAAACTCATTTGAAGAAGCAAACGTTTTACTCTGTTGGATATATCATAATTATTTAGTAGGTTAGATGATATAATCATAGTATTTTTCTATTTCCAAATTTATGAACACTGTTTTTAGGCATATTTTCCCTGCAGATCAGGAAGAAGGTAACATGATTCTTCTTTTGGTACGGAACCAGAGTTCAGCTGGAGTCCAGTGTAATAATGCAAGGAGAACCTTGGGATTTTATCTAGAACAACTGTGTGTGTGTGTGTGTGTGTGTGTGTGTGTGTGTGTGTGTGCGCCTTGTATCAGAGAACGGAAAAAACAAGAAATGCAGAGGCTTTCCAATCTGGTCTAAGAAGAGCAGCAAGGATGGATGAGGAAAGCTCCTCCCTACTTTGGGAATTTGGAGCTCTGCTGCAAACTAGCTAATGGGGATCTTTACTATGACATACTTATTCATACACCTGTAAGGGATTGGTCTTAGAAAATCAACTAGAGTTAATGCTTGCATAGGATGCAGGCCAGTCATTTCACACTCTCAGAACCTGGAACAGCACCTAGGAGGTAGGCACATCAGCTAGATGCCCTAGTAAAAGGAAACCCAACATTGTATTGTAGCCCAAAAACTGGCCAGTTAGTCCTGGGTTCTGGTCCTAATTCTGAAAATTGCTAATTGGCTGAAGTTGAGCTGAATGACTGAATATTTGGATTTAATGTTAATTTTAGAGATTCCCTTTATGTTATTTTTTAAAAGTATATTTCTTTGTAAAGTGTGAGATAATGCACTTCTTTAATCGAAAAGGGCTTAAAACAAAATTTATCTCAATGTGAGTTAGTCAACTATTTTATCTTGTTTTCTTATTTCATTTATCCCTTACACCATGAAACAAAGAGCAGTATCTTGATGTCAAAGCAGCTAAGGTTAATATGCCCTCTTACTATGTAGCTCGCTGCATTTTTTTCCCCTGGTTCCCAACTTAGCCATTTGAGAGAGGTCACTAAATCGTCCTGGATCAAATACTTCCTGCGGAGTCTGTACAGTGGAGTCAAATAAAATAAGATAATTAATAGATTGATAATGTCACAAGGACCTTGAAAGCATGGTTTGTAGTTACCATGCCTGCAGAAAATGGAAATATAAGTATATAATCAAATTAGTATTTAGCTCTATTATGTGATTTATAGTGTTCAATACATAAATTGACAATTCCCTCCTAAATTATGAAATGAAACAATAAACCTGCACTATTAGAATGTAAACAATAACAAAATAATTATCTTTCTGATTAATGATAGATAATATTTTGTAACAGAAACAAGCAATGTGTTAAATATATGTTGAAACTTAGATACTAACTCCATCTAGGATTTGAAACTATGATATTGAAAGATGCATTTATTGAAAAATAGTTGATGGGTTAACAGGCTGTATGTTGTTGTTAATGCTATTGCCTTTGTTATATATATGATAACAAAGATACCTCTTGACTAGAAATCTTTCTTAACAATGCTTATATTTGTCAGTGTTTGATTGGAGAAGCAGAATTAGTAGGATGGATATATCTATCTATCTCTGCATATTTACCCAAACATATATATTTTGGGGTAAATATGTGAGGATATATACATGTAAACAAATCTGAAATCTTTAGAGCAGACAACCGAGAAGGGAAATTACAAGTGGGATGGAGTCCCAATCTAAAATGTGTTGTTTACAGGCAGTGTTCTCTTAACTCAGAGAAGGCCTAAACCCTCTTTTAAAGACTGCACAACTGATTAACTTATAGTTAATTGATCAGATACTTTAATCACATCTGCAAAACTCTCTTTAAAGTAGCAACTAGTTTATTGTTTTATTGAATAACTAGAAGAAGGTATACGCATGCTACAAAATGACGGCTTCCTTCCAATATTCAACTTTTGCAAGAGAACATCCCTTGAAGCTCAGTTTAACTGTAAAAGTAGTAGAAAGGGAACTCTGGAAACTATAGTATAGAAGAGCAAATTTGATACATCAAAAGCCACTGCAGTTCACCTGTTCTCAACTTGACATCTATAAACATATCTTAAAACCTCACTGAATCTCCAAATACAGACAGTAACAGAGTTATACTTCTGCATAATATGATACAACTATCTCATGTTCAGTCAAAAATAGGCTAAGCTGTTCTCCAGAAAAGTATATGAAGTCTTTGAGTGGTTACTACTCTTCTCCTTTGATATCCTGTAAATTAAATACTGAGATAAATAATAAGAAAATCAGAGAGGTGATAAAACAACAATATTTTGTGTATATATATATATATACACACACACGTATATACATATAAACATATTCATGTCAAAACAAACAAAAAATACTCATGACTATTACAGTCCTCTTTCCTGAAACTGGTCACATGGTTGCACCTTGTAAATAACTATCTTCTTTCAATCTATTTCATATTTCCTTCACACTCAGCACACACCTCAGCTGGTTGTGGTTCTTTGCTCAGTGGAATGACTCAAACATTCATTCCTGAAGGGTCTGAGTCGTTAGTACTGCTGAACATGTAGGAGAATGAAGAGCACTCACATTTCTTTCCTTGGGAGATACTCTTCCCTCGTGAATATTTTGTCACTATATAACCTGTAGTGATAATCTGCATATTTATTTATTTTCACATAAATAAGAACTTAGACCAGGTCTATACTATTGTAGGAAAATAAATACTGAAAACAATTGAGCTGATTATACTTCCTAATACCCGGTTTTATTTCTTATTTTCACAAACTTAAAACATGACTAATTACACAAACGACGATAGGAGTTACCATTAATTCTACTATGTAGTATACAGTATAATTTAGTATATAAACTATTTAGTATATTGCCTCCTAATTTTTGTATGAACTTGTATATATATCTTTTCATAACTAAAACCATATAAATATAAATGTTTTATATACTAATTTTTCTCACATGAAATATTGGTGGGGTCATATGAAATTAACGTTTGGCCACATACTGAAATTCTAAATAACTTTTACAGAATAACCTGTTGTTCTCTGTAAAGTTTATGAAGGTAAGACATATGATAGAGAAAAGTGACCAGCAAAAGCACAGTCTTTATTCCTACGAGGCTGTTGGCCTCAAGACTGTGTGAACTCATTTGGGCCAGGCAGAGATTGCCCTTTGCCAAGCTAATGATAGAGCAGTAGTCAGACAATATAAATTGCAAAAAATGTACCACAGCATATGTATATTTATTAACATGTTCTTTAAAGATATACTATTGTACTGACATTAAAAATGCTAAAGCATTTAATAACAGAAATTTAAATGTAACAATGAAATACTATTTTAAAATTTTTGTCTCTACAAAATTGTTTTTAATATATTATAAATTATAACAGTACCATTAAATAGCAATGAAATTATTGCTTCAATATTTTGTGATATAGCAATCTGCTTCTAAGTTGTTTATTTAACTACATTGTTTGAATGGCTATCATAGCCAAAATAGGTATTTTACAAAGAAATATGGATCCAGAAGGGAGGCTTGCATCACTGACTGCATTTCTAAATCATAACACTCACTACTCAAATCCATTGTCCAGTTATTCAATTGTTCAGGCATACTGTACAGTTTTTTTAAAAAATATTAATTGTTTGTGCTTTTAAATAAATCTGAAAGTGTCATGTTTTTATATGTGATGAACAAGTTCATGACTCCATAAAATCATTTAATTTAAAGGATACTAAAATTTCAAAAATCATATTTCCTATTTCTAATGTACAGATATGACTATATAAGGCTAGTCTATTAGTTTGAACAGCAAATCATATAATGGAAGAAAAACTTCAAAATGCTAGTCTTCAAAATGTACAGTCCATAATATGATATTCTTTCAAAAACAATTACTACTTGCTTACTATTAAAATATTGCCTTTATCTGTTAAGTGGCTAGCATATTACTGGCAGTGCTTGTCATCAGAGAAAAGTAATTTTGAAACACTTGATTTTTGAAAAAGAACACATACCTTATTCTAAAGATCAGCAACTCTTTTAAGATCTCTGCTGTTTGAATAGATCTGTTTTGATAATTATGTTGTTGATCTGTTTTGATAATTATGTTGAATTTTGATAATTATGTTGAATTTTATAATACACTTATTTAAAGAGTTAACTACATTTAAAGCACCTTATTTTGATTAAAGAATTAAAACTAATGATAGTTTGTAGCACTTTATATTTCTGGCTTAAAATCTCTGCTATGAAAGTTTTCCTGGGCATGATACAGTGAATGAATTCAACTGAAGTGCTAACTCTACAACATATCACAATGGTTTTCTTTTATTTTTAGTCATATAAAAGCAGCTACAGCACAGTTTTACTATTGTTTTCATTAAGCTATTTCTTAGGGAAATAGTATCTTTCTTTGAGTGCTCATAAAGAGTAGTTTATTTATGTTATAATTGAAAAAAATAATATCTAGCGTAATTCAAAGTGTGTAGAAACTTCCTTACTTTGATCCTGCTGTACTGCAAACCTTTCACCCTACATAATTCGCTGTAAGACTGGTTTCTTTAAATCTTCAGCAATAAGGCTTCCACCTCTTTCAACATTATTTACTGACAAAGAACACATCACAATACACCACCATATTGTTTTCCATACATTATTTTAGCCATTTTCAGCATACCAAGATGGATGAATATTTCTCACATGGTATGTGGCTTTAGCCTTCTGCTTTCATAAACCCTCACAAAGTCTTTTAAAAACTTAATCAACTTCAATGTTATTTATAAAGTACTTGATTAAATTTTAGATGACTTAAAACATTAATTAAAACATTGAAGAGGTTTCACTTCACGAATGCTTGGCAAGGCATATAATACAGTAACCACTAATTTACAATTTTGATTAGTTTTTACTTATTTCTTTTAAAGCGTGGTTAGTTTTTGCTGCTATGTTAATTGTTAATAAACAGATTTTTTTCTGTTGTTTTTACTAAGATTGCAAACTTTTTATATTCCTTGAAAACATTGTTTTTAATAACTGGATAATGTTCATTTTAGTGAACATACCATTATTTACTTTGCTGTTGTAATTTTTTTAACATTTAAATATTTTATTTAAAATAGAAACAGAATAAAATTGGAATAAATGCCTCATACTTAAATTTTAGTGCAATATTTTTTAGTACATCTTTAGGATAAAGGCAAGATTTCTGTAGAGTTATGGATAGTCTTGTCAAATTATATCCCAGACAATTTATGCCAACTTGTATTTCCACCAACGGTGAATAAATGGAGTGTTTTGTTTGATGTTTTCTAATAATATACATTTGTTATTTAAAAAAATTTACTGAATTAATGTTTGAAAATGATATTTCATGGTTAAAATTATCATTCATTTGGTTATTAGTGAGGTTGATTTTTTTGTGTTATTTTCCTTTTGTTTTGACTATTCTTTTCTTATAATCTTATTTTTAATCTGTTGGTTTTAATTTTTTGTACAGTAAGGCTATTAATTTCTTATTATATTTGTCACATATAGTTCTCCCAGACTTATGTCTTTTTCTCTTTGGATATTTTTGATTAAAAGAAATTTTTTACTTTTTATGAATGCAAATGCAACAATTTATGTTTTCTTTGTATGATGAGATAAGCCTCATTGGCTTTATTATTAAATTAAAATTGCTCTTTTAAAATGTCAAAAAGTAAAAAAATAGAAATGACCAAAAACAACTAGTAGCAATTTGACATATCCTTGAGTATATCTTCTATGTAATATTTACCAATTTGAAAGTATATTAATAATTTCATATCCTATCCCATTCACAAAATATTATGACCACATCGTATGTCTGTAAGAAGTCTTTGAACCTCTTTGTTTATATGATGAGGAGAGAGTATAATTTATAAAACAAACCATCTTACAAAGTTGTGAATTTTAAAAAATCTATACAGTAGAAGCATGTTTGGATATGCCTTTGTTACATATCAGACTGTTTATTTTTAAAAAGTTTTCAAATTACATTTTTTGTCTCAAGATATGAAAAATAATTTTTAATGATTAAAAATTAAAAAAATTAAAGTTTTTCCTCTGTTAAAATTTATTGCTATGATAAGTCATCCTACTGACTTTTTTTTTTTTTTTTTTGAGACGGAGTTTCACTCTTGTTGCCCAGGCCAGAGTGCAATGGCGTGATCTCAGCTCACCGCAACCTCTGCCTCCCGGGTTCAAGCGATTCTTCTGCCTCAGCCTCCTGAGTAGATGGGATTACAGGCACGGGCCACCACGCCCGGCTAATTTTGTATTTTTGGTAGAGACGGGGTTTCTCCATGTTGGTCAGGCTGGTCTCGAACTCCTGACCTGAGGTGATCCCCCAGCCTCGGCCTCCCAAAGTTCTGGGATTACAGGCGTGAGCCACCACGCCCAGCAATCCTACTTACTTTTAAGAACTAATAATATTTATAAATTAAATTGTTTTAGACTTAGTTGGATTTTGTTTTTGTTTAAGTTATCCCTTTCAAACAGATCACACTCTTCACACACTTAATCATGAGTTGTTCAAGAAAAAGTCTTCTCTTCTTTCATCGATCTTTACATTCTAGTTTGTATGGTATATGAAAACTAACAAGAAAACTTAATTTAATTCAGTTCTAATTTTAACCCTAATATTATTGAGTTGCAAATTCAGTGACATAAATTATTTTCCATACCTCAGCCTGATTGCGTCTTTATGTCATCTTGACAAATCATTAAGTTTAAAATGTAAAGCAAGTAATCTCCTATTACAACTTTCTTTCCATCCACAAGTATGTCATATTCAAACTCTGCCTCTGAAATACTAAAATTTTGAATAATTTTTGTTCCAAACACTTTCTAATTATTGCTTAGTGTTACAGTTATCTATAATTGCACAGAAAAATCCCACAGCAGTTCTTAAAATTGTACACCACTTAAGCTTATATTATGTCTAGATTCTAGATCTGTGCTTTCCAATGGTCATTACTCAGTACATGTGGTATTAAGCATTGAAATGATACCAGTTCACACTAAGATATGCTGTAAGTCTAAAATACCTGTCTGATTCTTTTCACTTTTTTGAAACATGGCTACTAAAAATTTTTAAATTACATATGTGGTTCATATTATATTTTTATTGGATGACACTGCTGTAGGTGAAAAATTTATTTGACAATTGCTCCTAACTACCATGTTCATCTTAGTTTTTAAAATGTTCAATTTTGTCTAGAAGATTAAGTTAAATCCTATTTATACATACAGTTTAAATATATATGCTATAAATCTTTCTTTCCAGTTTTCTGATTTTTCAATATAGAATAAAAGGTTGAGAACAGATGTAAAGTATAAATAACAAGGCAAATTTTAACTGGATAAGCTAATTAATAAATTAGGTCTCTTTGTCAATACACACAACCTGAAGCAGCACCCTGGAAGTCAGGTGTTTGGGTCCTAGTATCTTAACAAAAATTCAAGGCAAGACCTATCACAGAAATACTTAAGGCAGCTGCTGACTCTAGATGCATGCACTTACTTCTCAGAGCAGCTATAAAAAGTCCTAGTTGACAATTTTCCCTGGAAGTTTCTGACAAATAGCACACACTGTTGTTTACATTTTTGTGATTTAACATTTCACTTAAATTACACAGGTGCACGTAAATGTGTTCATTTGATCACAGTAATTCTACTGCCACTCACATTAGTAAGTAACTCAATATCAGAAACAAGCTAGTATTAAATTTATTACTCTTCTCCACGGCTAATGTACTTAAATAAAGCTACAGTGATTGGCAGTTACAGTTAATATCACATTTCAGTCTTGGAAGGAAGAAGAACTGTACAATGCTTAAGTGGTTTCCTTTTATTTTTTGTTTTATTAATTTTGTTCAGTTCTTTTTCTCCCTACATCTTTCTCATATTTTTACACTAAGTGCATTCCTAAATAGCTACATTCAGTAGTTATGCATCTTTTTCCCCCTTTTTTACAACATACCAACAGATGCCATATAATTTATGTTTTAAAATCATCGGCAATGATATCCTTTCATATGCACATCAAACATTCACTAATAAGAGAAGAGATATGATACTGAATGTTTAAAACCATTTTGGGGAAAATACGTAAAAGCATTAATCAAGAACCCCATACCCTGGTGTCTTTTGCTTATATGTATATATTAATATATAAAAATACTAGTGCTTTATTGTAGCACTGTGAAATTAAAAAAAAAACACCATAAACAGGTGTTTCTAAGCCATAAATTCATGGAATATCAGTTACTGAAATACTAAAATAAAATCATATATGAAAATTTTACCCACAGAGATGTAGCACCTCAAGGCAAGATGGAATACTAAGAAGGAAGGAAGGAAGGAAGGAAGGAAGGAAGGAAGGAAGGAAGGAAGGAAGGAAGGAAGGAAGAAGGGAGGGAGGGAGGGAGGGAGGGAGGGAGGGAGGAAAGAAGGGAGGGAGGGAGGAAAAGAAGGAGAGAGGGAGGGAGGGAGGAAGGAAGGAAGGGAGGGAGGAAGGAAGGAAGGAGGGAAGGAAGGGAGGGAGGAAGGAAGGAAGGAGGGAAGGAAGGAAAGAAGGTCACCTGAAGTTGTGATCACCATGAGTATTTATTGGACTCACTGCTATGTTTAACTCTCATAATATCTCATTATATTCATTTTACATATAGGAAGAGTAAAGCTAACTGGAAGAGGTGAAGTAACTGGACTATGTTTCCATGGTTAGCACTATAAAGACTTGGCTACCAGGCATTCAAGTACTCTTTTGTGGTCCGTTATCAAGGTGGCAGTTTGAGAAGCGATCCTAAAACAAACACATATATTAAAAAAATTATATGCTGAAGCAAGAAGATCCCTGATGACAAAGCCACAAAACTATAACTGGTTAAAAGCATTGCTGAGAAGAACATGGAAAAAGATAGAGCATCTGTAATATTAATTACAGATTAGATAGTCCATATGTGCTTCATTTATTTCATCCTCCTAAAAATCCTGTGACATTGATATTATTATCACCAATTTACTCATGCTCCTAAAATTTGAATAGTTTACTCAAATGCAAACAAGTGGTAAATGTTAAAGCAAGGAATTTCTGACTCTCAAATTAGTTCTATAAACTACTATGCTATGCTGTTTCCGAATTAGTTTGTTGTTATCATAAAAAATAACAAGAATAAACCCAAAGAATTACACAGAGGTGAAATATTTCTTGGCTGCCTTAGTCTAGAAATTCAAAGAAAATACTATGTGTATGGGAGTGGAAACTATAAACATTAATAAGATGTATTTCCTGAAAAACAAATACTGAATCAGGGTTTAACTGCTGATTATATTTTATAGAGGTTCACTCCCAGCCCAGCAAAAATGAAGAAAAGTAGGAGGGTAAGGTATGGAAAAACAGCAAGCAAAGCCAGAAGCTATATTACTATACAAGTCAATGATTTACAACGAGCCACAAGGAGACACAGCCAGAACCATTCCTTAAGCAGTCTACCAGGAGGAGTGACAGGAAATTTACCTACGTGGATCTCATTCATTCTGCCCCTGCCCCTCCACCGTTTTTAAAAGTTTGTCCCACAAACTTTGAAAACTGCTCTGCATTTTAGAGTTGCCTCGTCCATTGTAGCACTTCACTAGAGTCCAGAAGTGACAGAAAAAGGGACCAGGGACTTTGGAAAGTGACTGACTGAGCTCAAAACATTCATGTAGTTGATTGGCTGTGGCTGCAGTGGAGTCAGAGCATGTAGTTGAAGATTTGAGCAGTTGAGACTGAGAAAACTTGTGGAGTAGGACAAGTGGTCTGACACGTGATGTGTCTAAGAAAATTAAACAGATCTGGGCATGGTGGCTCACGCCTGTAATCCCAGCATTTTGGGAGGCCGAGGCGGATGGATCACCTGAGGTCACGAGTTCGAGACCAACCTAACGAATATGGTGAAACCCTGTCTCTACTAAAAATACAAAAATTAGAAAATTAGCCAGGCGTGGTGGTGCACGCCTGTAATCCCAGCTACTCGGGAGGCTGAGACAGAAGAATTGCTTGAACCCGGGAGATGGAGGTTGCAGTGAGCTGAGATTGCAACCCTGCACTCCTGCCTGGGCAACAGAGCAAGACTGTGTCTCAAAAAAAAAAGGAGAGAAAAGAAGATGGAGAGGGTAAGAAGGGAGAAATTAAGGTAAGGGAAAGGCATCCAGAGAATGGAAATTATAAGGCCAGGGATAATATAATTCATTTTATTCTGTATTTTAAAATTAATCTTCATTTTGAGATTATTGTAGATTCACATGTAGTTGTAAAAAATAATGAAGAGAGATCCCATGGTACCCTTTAGTTTCTTGTAATTATAAAATCTTGCAAAAGTGTTGTATAAGAGCACAATGAGGATATTAACATTGATAAAGTCAAGTTATAGAACATTGTCATCACCATAAGGATCCCTCATGTTGTCTTTCTATAGTCACACTCCCGTCCTTCCCCCTTCATTCCATTCTTAATGTTTGGTAACTGCTATTTTTTTCTTCATTTTATAACTTTTGTCATCTCAATAATATTATATAAGTGGAATCATGCAGTATATAACCTTTCAGTATTGGATTTTTTATTCAGTATGATTCTCTTGTTGTGTGTATGCATCATTAGTTTGTTTTCTTTTTTATTTCTGAGTACTACTCCATGGTAAGTAGGTACCAGGAATTTTTTACTCCTTCATCTGTAGAAGGACATCCAGGTTGTTTCTAATCATTGACTATGATGAATAAAGGTGCTATAAACTGTCACATACAGATTTTTGTGTGAATATAAATTTTCATTTTTTTCTGCATTAAATGCCCAAGAGTACAATTGCCGATTCATAGGGTAGTTGCAAGTTCTTTCTTTTTTAAGAAATCGTTTCTTGTCCAGAGTGCCTGAACCATTTACAATCTCACCAGCAATGTATGAGTGATCCAGTATTCCCCCGTCATCACTATCATTTGGTGTTCTCCATATTATTTCTTTTTGCCATTATGATAGGTATGTAATTATATTGCATTGTGATGTTGATCATCTTTTCATGTGCTTATTTGGCATCTGTATATCCACTTCAGTGAAATGACTGTTCATATCTTTTGCCCATTTTCAAGTTGGCTCGCTCTCTCTTTTTAAATTATTGAAGTTTGGGATTGCTTTCTATATTCTGGATACTATCCCTTTCTTGCATATTTAATTCGCAAATATTTTCTCTAAGTCTTCAGCTTGTCTTTGATTCTATTACAAGATATTTCAAGCAACAAAGTTTTTTATTTCGATGACCTTCTATTTACCAATATTTCCTTACATAGGTTATACTTTTGGTGTCAAGCATAAGAATTCTGTTTGGTTCTAAATTCTGATTTTTTTTTACATTTTCTTCTATCCATTTTATAGTTTTTTATATCACATTTAAGTCAATGATCCATTTTGGGCTAATTTTTGTAAAACCTATGAGATTTCGGATGATGTTCAGTGTTTGGCTTATGGATATCCAATTAATTGCCTGATTGCCATTTGCTTAAATGGCATTCTTCCATTCATTTAACTGATTTTGCACCTTTGTCAAACATTACTTGTGCACATTTGTGTAGGAATGGGAATATCTCAGGTTGCCCTATTCTGTTTCATTGATACATGTCTATCTCTCCTCCAACACTACAGAGTATTAATTACTGTAATTATAAGTCTTGAAATCAGGTAGACTAATTCCTCTCACTCTCTTCTTTTTATAAAAAATGTTTTAGCTAATATAGTTCCTTTGTGTTTCCATACAAACTTTAGAAAACTCTTGTATTAATATAAAATTTTTGCTGTATTTTGGTAAAAATTGTGTTAAACTTTATGTCAATTTGGGGAGAATTGACATCTTTGAGTCTTCCAATCCACAAAAACAATATGTCTCTCCATTTATTTCAATCTTCTTTGATTTATCACCAGATTATGGATATCAGCATGTAAGACGATAGAAACTTTATTAGACTTACACCTAATTAGTTTACATTTTTGAGCAATTATAAATGCTATTGCATTTAATTTCTGTGTCTATGTGTTTCTTGCTAGTTTGTAGAAATACAATTTATTTCTGTATGTTTATATTTCATTCTGTGACATTGTTTTACTCATCCATTCATTTTAGGAGATTTATTTTTAGATTCCATGTAGTTTTCTACACAGAATATTATGTCATCTGCAAATAAGAACAGTTTAATTTTTTACACTCTGATCTGTATGCCTTTATTCAGATACTTTCTTATTGTACTTGCTAGAATTTCCAGCACTGTGTTGAATAAGAGTGCTGAGAACAGGCAAACTTGCATTGATCCTGCTTTTAAATGGTCATTCACCATTAACAATCATGTTAATTGAGATGTATTGTACATATCCTTTATAAAGCTGAGGAAGTTCTCCTTTACTTCCACTTTTCTGAGAGTATCTAACATAAATAGGTGTTCATTTTTTAACAGTTTTCTGCACTGATTTATATAATCAGATGATTTTTCTTCTTTAGTTACTCAATATGGTAAACAATACTGATTAATTTTCAAAAATTGAATCAGCTCCAATTTTTGGAATACACTCAATTTTGTCATAGTATATCCTTGTTTTTATTTGCTACTGAATTCTCTTTGATCATATTTAAAAAAAATATTTGCATGTATATTTATAAAGGATGTTGCTTTGTAGTTTTCTTTTGTTGTTTCATTTATTTCTAGTTTTGGTTTCAAGATAATACCAGCTTCATAAAATAAAATGGGAAATTCTCCCTCCTCTTCTATTTTCTGGAAGAGATAATAAAAAATTTGCAATGGTTAATATTGAGTGTCAATTTGATTGGAATGAAGGATGCAAAATGTTGTTCCTATATGTGTCTGTGAGGGTGTTGCCAGAGGAGATTAACATTAACATTTGAGTCCGTGGACTAGGAGAGGCAGACCCACCCTCAATATGGGTGGGCATCATCTAATTAGCTACCAGCGTGGCTAGAATAAAGCAGGCAGGAGAAGATGGAAGAGCAGACTTGCTGAGGCTTCTGGCCTTCATCTTTCTCCCACACTGGATGCTTCTTGCCCTCGAACATCAGACTCCAAATTATTCAGCTTTTGGACTCCTGAACTTACACCAGTGGTTTGCCAGGGGCTCCAGGGCCTTTGGCCACAGACTGAAGGCTTCAGTTGGCTTCCCTACTTTTGAGGTTTTGGGACTCTGACTGGTCTACCACTGGCTTCCTTGCAAACGGCCTATCGTGGGACTTTACTTTGTGTGAGTCAATTCTCCATAATAAACTCACTTTCATATTTCCATATATCCTATTATTCTGTCCCTCTAGAGAACCCTAATACAGAATTGATATTAACAGTTCTTTAGAACAAAGGTTCTTCAAACCTTTGTTAGAATTCTCCAGTAAAGCCATCTGTGCTTATAGAGCTTCATTTAGGAAATTTTATATTATGAATTCAAATTTAATTAATAGTTATATAGCTATTTAAATGGTCTATTTCACATTGGATGCTTTGTGGAGTGTGTTCTTCCTGAAGTTGGTTCTTTTCATCTAACTTTTCAAATTTCTGTGTGCAGAATTCTTCGTAGTATTCCATTTTTATTCTTTAGGTAACTGCAGGGTCTGTAGTGATAGTCGCTATTTTCTTCCTGATGCCAAAATGTTGTATATTCTCTCTTTTATTCTTTTTCAGTCTTAGTAGACATTTGTCAATTTTATGGATATTTTCAAAGAGGTAGCTTTTTATTTCATTGTTTTTTCTCTAATATCTATTTTCATCTTCACATGTTTCTTCTCATCTTTATTATTCCATTCAAGTAGATTTGTGTTTATTTTACTCTTCTTTTTCTAGATGTTTGAAGAGAAAACTTATATTATTTGGACTTTTCCTTTTTTTTCTAATGTAAACATTTAGTGGTTTAAATTTCTCTCACAAAACTGCCTTAACACTATCTCACAAATTTTGATATGCTATGATTTCATTTTTATTTAGTGCCATGCATTTTTTGTTCCCCTTCAGATTTTCTTTTTGATCCAAGAATTATTTAGAAATGTGTTATGAGTTTCTAATTATTTGAAAATTTTTCTGTTATCTTTTTGTTACTGCTTTTTAGGTTAATTCCACTGTGGCCAGAGAGCAAACTTTGTATGATTTCAGGTTTTTGGGGGATTTGTTGAGGTGAGTTTTATGCTCAGGATTTCATCCTTCTATCTTGGTATATGTTACACGTGCAGTCAGAGACTCTGTTCTGTTGTTGGGTGCCATGTTATATTAATATTGATGAATATTATTTTCTTTTGTTGTTTCATTTATTTCTAGTTTTGGTTTCAAGATAATAACAAGATATTTGGTTTCAAAATAATACTTTCATCTGAGATTGTCATGATGTTCCTTTATTACTGAAGCATACTTTCAGTGGATATATCAGTGGATATAGTATTGTTGAGTTCTACATTCTTGTTGATTTCTGTCTAGTTCTATCTGTTGTTGAGAGAGGGATGTTGAATTCTTCAAGTTTAATAGTACGTTTGTCTAATTCTCTTTTCATTATCATCAGTGTCTGCTTCACATAATATGCAGCTCTTTTGTCTGGTGTTTAAACATTTAGGATTGCAATGACTTCTTAGGGGGTTGATCATTTTATCAATATATCCTGTTTTTCTGTGTATCCAGTAATTTTATTTGCTCTGAAGTCTATTTTATCTAATATTAATACAGGCACTTCTCTTTTCTTTGGATTAATGATTGTGCGATATATCTTTTTCCATCCTTTAACTCTCAATCTGCTTGTATGGTTTTATTTGCTGTGAGTTTCTAGTAAATAGCATATAATTGGGTACTATTTTTAAAACTAATCTCTCAATCCCTGTCTTTTAATGGATGGGATTAGACAACCTCCATGTACATTAATTATTGATATGTTGGATCTTAAGCCTACAATTTTAACTTTTGCTTTCTGTTTTGCTCTTTTTCCTTTTTGTTTCTGTGTTTTCTTTTCCTGCCTTCCTGTGGGCTTCTTAAATATATTTGATAATTACATTTTCATTTACCTATAGTTTTTTTATAATTTTCTTCTTAGATTTTTAATTGACAAGTAAAAATGTATATATTTATTATGTATAATATGATGTTTTGAAATACGTATACATTGTGGAATGGTTCAATTTATATAGTAATTAATATACACATTACCTCATATACTTATTTTTTGTGGTGAGAATACTTAAAATCTACTCTCCTGGTAATTTTCAAGTATACTATACATCATTATTAACTATAGTCGCCATGTTGTATAAGAGATCTCTTGAGCTTATTCTTTTTGTGTAACTGAAATTTCGTGTTCTTTGACCAATATCTTCCCAATTCATCTCCTCCCATCAGCCCCTGGCAACCACCATTCTAGTCTGTTTTTATTAGTTGAGTTTTTTTGGATTTCATATCAAAGTGAGATCATGAGGTATTTGTCTTTTCATGCCTGGCTTTTTTCACTTTATGTAATGTCCTCCAAGTACAACCATGTTGCTGCCAATGACAGGACTTTTTTTTTCTTTTCTTAAGGCTAAATAGCATTCCATTGTGTATTTGAGTATATTTGATGGTCGCTGTAACTATTATGTTACATCTACATAACTTATCACAGTCTACTGGTGTTATTGTTTTGCTATTTTGAGTAAAGTGTGGAAATCTTACCTCCATTTTCTTCCTTTTATCCTCCTTCTATTGTAACATAATCATCTTAAATATTTCCTTCATATAAAGAACACATTAAACAGTGTGATATTTGTTGCTTTAATTATGAAGCAGAGCATTAGAAACATTAGAGGAAAAGGTATTATATTTATCATATTTTTCTCTTATCTTTGGTCCTTCCTGATGTTCCATGAATCCTTCTTTTATCTTTTCAGTTTAGAAAAATTTTTCTAGCCATTTTTTAGGTATTTTGACAACAAGTTATCTTGGTCCTCCTTCATCTGAGATGGTCATGAAGTTCCTTTATTACTGAAGCATATTTTCAGTGGATATATCCTTCAGAAGGATATAGGGTTCTGAGCTAACAGTTATTTTCTTTCAACACTTGAAAAATATTGTGCCATTATCTTCTGGTCATTATAGTTGCTAATAAAATATTTGCTACCTTTAGAATTATTTTTCTTTCTATAGATAATATTTTGTTTCCTTCTCATTTCTTTTAAGATGTTTTTTATTTTTGTCTTTATTTTTGAGAAATTTATGATGTATCTTGGTGGGAAATTCTTTGAGTTCAGTCTGCTGTTTGCTCAACTGTAGGTTTATGTTTTTGACAAACTGGACAAATCTAATATTCTCTGTCTTTCACTCTTTCTCTTCTCCTTGTGGAATTCCAATGACATGGATATAGATTTATTTTTAATAGTTTCACAGGTCCCTGAGACTCTGTTCCTTTTTCCAATCTAATTTTTCAGTCTTACTCATATTGGCAAGTTTTTATTGCTCTATATTCAAGTTTATAGGTTCTTCTTTCTGATCTCTGCATTCAGATGTTGAGCACATCCATCAATTTTTTTTTAAGTTGGCTAATATAATTTTTGGTTCTAAATTTTCCATCCTTTATATATTTTATATTTTTGCTAAGGTTTTTGATGTGGTCTCGCTCTGTGTCCCCACCCAAATCTCATCTTGAACTGTAATCTGAATTGCAATCCCCATGTGTTGGGGGAGGGACCTCGTGGGAGGTGATTGGATCATGGGGGCGGTTCCTCTATGCTGTTCTCATGATGGTGAGTGAGTTCTTACAAGATCTGATGATTTTATAAGGGGCTCTGCCCCCTTCACTCTGCACTTGTCCCTCCTGCTGCCTGTGAAGAAGGACGTGCTTCCTTCCTCTTCCAACATGATTGTACGTTTCCTGAGGCCTCCCCAGCCATGCAGAACAGTGAGTCAATTAAATCTCTTTCATTTATAAATTACCCAGTCTCGGGTAGTTGTTTAGAGCGGTGTGCAAACAGACTAATATAGTTAGTTCTCTATTTGTTAATGCTTTTTTTTTTCATTTCTTCAAGTGCATTAATGATTGTTTCTCAAAACATTTTTATAATGACTAAGTTAAAATCCTTTTCAGAAAATTCTAATACCTCTGTTATGTTAGTGTTAGAATCTATTAAATATTATATTTTTATTTTATTTACTTACATGTCTTTCTTTTTTAAAATAAAACTTGTTATTCTGAGCACTATGCTATGAGATTCTGGGTTTTATTTAAGCCTTCTGTTTTAGCTAGCTTCCTCTGACACCGCTCCAGCAAGAGAAAGTGGTGGTATAGAAGTACAGGTTCCCTGCCTGGCCTCTGTTGACATCTGAGATGAGGGTGCCTTGTTACCCTTGAGTGAGGATATTAATTCTAGTTCTCCTCCACTAGGCCGCTACTAGTACCTTCCTTTCTGGTGAGAGTAGGAATATCCCATTATTGTCCACATTTGACCTTCACTGACAGTAGAAGAAAGTTTGGAGTGAAAAAAAAAATGATGTCTTCATTATCACTGCGTGGTGGTCAAAAGTCTGAATCTCCTTAGGATCTTCTCAAGTACCTCCCTCATAAGGTACAGAAGGGGCACCTCATTACTACTGGATGGCAGTACTGAATAGACATCAAGTCTCACTATGTAGCCTCACTGACACTGCAGGTCTGGGGGCCTAATTACTACCCAGTAAGGTTGAAAGTTTCAGTTTCCTTCTAGGTTTTCTCTGACATGAGACCAGTTGTTAGTGGGGTGGGCCTGAGGGGGAAAGTGTTCAAAGTATCTTATTGGACTTTGTACAAATTAAAGTCCAGTATCCCTTCCTGGTTCTCAATGGTGTGGGTGTGGGTATGGGCGCCTTTTTGTGTATGTAATGTTTGGATGGAGAAAACCAGTGTAGTATGGACTGAATGCGAGAAAAACAGTTTAGTATGGACTGAATGCTTACACCTTCCTAAAATTTATTAGTTGAAGCCATAACCCCCAATGGGTTGATATTTAGAGACACAGCCTTTTTGAGGTAATTAGCTTAGACTAGGTAATGAGGGTTTGATATTATTTGGCTCTGTGCTCCCTCTCAAATTCCAACTCCAGTTGCAATCCCTATGTGTCAAGGGAGGGACTTGATGAGAAGTGATTGGATCATAGGGGCAGTTTTCACCATGCTGTTCTCATGATAGTGAGTTATCATGAGATCTGATAGTTAAAAAGTGGCAGTTTTCCTGATCTCTATCTCTCTCCTGTTGCCCTGTAAGACATGCTTTTCTTGTCCTTCACCTTCTGCCATGATTGTAAATTTCCTGAGGACTCCCCCAGCCATGCAGAACTGTGAGTCAATTAAACCCTTTTGTTAACAAATTATCCAGTCTTAGTTAATATCTTTATAGTAGTGTGAGAATGGACTAATACAGAGAATTGGTACTGAGAGTGCGGTACTGATACAAAGATACCTAACAATGTGGAAGCAAATTTGGAACTGGGTAACAGGCAGAGGTTGAAACAGTTTGGAGGTATCAGAAAAAAACATGAAGGTGTGGGAAAATTTAGAACTTCCTAGAGACTTGTTGAATGGTTTTGACCCAAATACTGATAGTGATATGGACAATGAAATCCAGGCTGAGGTGGGTCTCAGATGGAGATGAGGAACTTACAGGAACTGGAGTATAGGTCACTCATACTATGTGTTAACAAAGAGACAGGTGGCATTTTGCTTCTGCCCTAGAGATCTGTGGAATTTTGAACTTGAGAAAGATGGTCTAGGGTATCTTGTGGAAGAAATTACTAAGAAATAAAGCTTTCAAGAGGTAACCTGGCTGATTCTGGAAGCATTCAGTTGCATTCATTGACAAAGAGATTATCTGAAACTGGAACTTTTAGTTAAAATCAAAATAGAGCACAAAAGTTTGGAAAATTTGCAACCTGACCATGATGTAGAAAAAGAAAAAAAAAAATTGGGGGGAGAAATTCAAGCTGGCTGCAGAAATATGCATAAGTAAAGAGGAGTTGAAAGTTAATAGCCAAGACAAAGGGGAAAATGTCTCCATGTCACATAGAGATTTTTGAGGCAGCCCTGCCCATCACAGGCCTGAAGGCGTAGGAGAGAAAAATGGTTTCTTGGGACACGCTCGGGACCCTGCAGCTCAGTGCAGCCTTGGGACTTGGTGTTCTGTGTCCCAGCCACTCCAGCTCCAGCTGTGGCTAAAAGGGTCCAAGGAATGGTTTGGGCCATTGTTTCAGAGGTTGCAAGCCCCAAGCTTTGGTGGCTTCCATGTGGTGTCGGGACTGCAGGTCTGCAGTAGACAAAAGTTGAGCTTTGGGAGCCTCCATCTAGAATTCAGAGGATGTATGGAAATGCATGCATGTCCAGAAAGAAATCTGCCACAGAGGCAGAGCCCTCATAGAGAAACTTTACTCAGGCAATGAAGAGGGGAAATGTGGGGTTGGATCGCTGACAGAGTCCCCACTAGGGTACTGCCTAGTGTAACTGTGAGAAAACGGCAACTGTTCTACAGACCCTAGAATGGTAGATCCACTGACAGTTTGCACCATGCACCTGGAAATGCTGCAGGCACTCAATGCCAGACCATGAAAGTAGCTGCAGGGGCTGTATCCTGCAGATCCACAGGGGCAGAGCTGCCCAAGGCCTTGGGAGCCCACCTCTTGCACAGGGATGCCCTGGATGTAAGACATAGAGTCAAAGGAGATTATTTTGGAATTTTAAGATTTGATGGTTGCCCTGTTGGCTTTTGGACTTCCATGGGGCCTACAGCTTCCTTGTTTTGGCCAATTTTTCCCACTTGGAATGGGACTGTTATAGTTCTCTTTGTAGAGCTCTTTTACCTCCCTGGTTAGTTGTATTCTTAGGTATTGTATTCGTTTTGTGGTAATTGTGATTAGGATTGAGTTCCTGATTTGGCTTTTGGCTTGACTATTGTTGTGTGTACAGGAATGCTAGTAATTTTTTTAATGTTGCTTTGGTGTTGTGAGACTTTGCTGAAGTTATTAGCTAAAGGAACTTTTGGATAGAGACTATGGGGTTTTCTAGATACAGAATTATGTCATCTGCAACAGGGATAGTTGAACTTCCTCTCTTCCTATTTGAATGCCTTTTTTTTTTTTTCATGCCTGGTTGCCCTGGCCAGTACTTCTAATTCTGTGTTGAATAGGATGAGAGAGGGCATTCTTGTCTTGTGCCGATTTTCAAGGGGAAATGCTTCCAGTTTTTCCCATTCAGTATGATGTTGGCTGTGGGTTTGTCATATATGGCTCTTATTATTTTGAGGTATGTTCCTTCAATGCCTACATTATTGAGCATTTTCAACATTAAGGGGTGTCTTAAATTTTATTGAAAGCCTTTTCTGCATCTATTGAGATAATCACGTGGTTTTTGACCTCAGGTCTGTTTATGTGATGGGTCACATTTATTGATTTGCATATGTTGAACTAACCTGCATCCCAGGGATAAAGCTTACTTGATCATGGTGGATAAACTTTTTGATTTGCTGCTGGATTTTGTTTGCCAGATGTTTTTATGAGGATTTTTGCATCAATCTTCAATAAGGATATTGGCCTGAAATTTTCTTTTTTTGTTGTTGTGTCTCTGCCAGATTTTGGTATCAGGATGATGCTGGCCTCATAAAATAAGTTAGGGAGGAGTCCCCCTCCTCAATTTTTTGAAATGGTTTCAGTAGGAATGGTATCATCTCTTCTTTATACATCTGGTAGAATTCAGCTTTGAATCCTTCCATCAGGGCTTTTTTTTTTTTTTTTTTTTTTTTTTTTTGATTAGTAGGCTATTTATTACTGCTTCCATTTTAGAGCTCATTACTGTCTGTTGAAGGGTTCAATTTCTTCCAGGTTCAGTTTTGGGAGGGTGTATGTGTCCAGAAATTTATCCATTTCTTCTAGAGTTTATAGTTTGTGTATATACAGGTATTCATAATAGTTTCTGATAATTATTTGTATTCCTGTAGGGTCAGTGGTAATATCCCCCTCTACATATCTGGTTATTCTTATTTGGATCTTCTTTCTTCCTTTTTAGCCTAGCTAGCAATCTATCCTTTTTATTAATTTTTTTCAAAAAAACCACCTCCTGGCTGGGGTGTATATATCCATTTCTTCTAGATTTTCTAGTTTCTAGTGAGCACAGTGATGTTCACAATATTCTAGTTTCTAGTGAGCATAGTGATGTTCATAATATCCATTTCATCTAGATTTTCTAGCGTTTAGTGAGCACAGTGATGTTCATAATATTCTCTGATGGTTATTTGTATTTCTGTGGGGCCAGTGGCAATGTATCTTTTGTCATTTCCAGTTGTGTTTATCTGGATCTTCTCTTCTCCTTTTTATTAGTCTAGCTAGCAGCCTCTTTATTAGTTTATTCAAAAAAAAAAAAACAACTCCTGATTTTGTGGATCTTTTGAATGTTTTTCCATGTCTCAACCTCCTTCAGTTCAGCTCTGATTTTGATTACTTCTTGTCTTCTGCTAGCTTTGGGACTGGTTTGCTCTTGGTTCTCTAGTTCTTTTTGTTATGATATTGGATGGTTAAATTGAGATCTTTCTAATGTTTGATGTGGATATTTAGTGCTATACATATTCCTCTTAACACTGCCTTCCCTGTGTCCCAGAGATTCTGGTATGTTGCATCTTTGTTCTCACTAGTTTCAAAAAACTTCTTAATTTCTGCTCTACTTTCATTATTTATCCCAAAGTCATTCAGAAACAGCTTATTTAATTTTCATTTAATCGTATGGTTTTCTGTGATTTTCTTGGTCTTGATTTCTAATTGTATTGTGCTATAGTCTTAGAGTGCTTGTTATGATATTAGCTCTTTTCGTTTGCTGTAGATTGTTTTATGTCCAATTCTGTGGTCAATTTTAGAGTATGTGCCATGTGGTGATGAGAACAATGTATATTCTGATTTTGAGGTGGAGAGTTCTGTAGATGTTTATCAGGTTTATTTAATCCAGTGCTGAGTTCAGTTCCTGAATATATTTATTAATTTTCTGCCTTGATAGTCTGTCTAATATTGTCAATAAGGTTTGAGTCTCCCACAATTGTTGTGTGGGAATCTAAGTCCCTTTGAAAGATCCTAAGAACTTGTTTTATTAATCTGGGTGCTCCTGTGTTGGGTGTATATATATTTAAGAAAATAAGGTCTTGTTGAATTGAAACCTTTACCATTATGTAATGCCCTTCTTTGTCCTTTCTGACCTTGGTTGGTTTAAAGTCTTTTTTGTCTGAAATTGGGATTGCAACCCCTGCCTTTTTCTGTTTTCTATTTGCTTGTTAGATTTTTCTTCATCCCTTTATTTTGAGCCTATGGTTGTCATTTCATCTGAGGTGGGCCTCTTGAAGAGAGCATACTGTTAGGTCTCAGTTCTTTCTTCAGTTTGCCACTCTGTGCTTTTTAATTTGGGCATTTAGCCTTTTTATATTCAAGGTTATTATTGATATTTGTGGATTTGATCCTGTCATCATTATGTTAACTGGTTATTATGCAGACTTGTTTATATGGTTGCTTTAAAGTGTCACTGATCTGTGTACTTCTGTGTGTTTTTGTAGTTGCTGGTAACAGTCTTTCCTTCCCATATTTACTTCTTCTTTCAGGGGCTCTTGTAAGGAAGGTCTGCTAGTAACAAATTACCTCAGCATTTGCTTGTCTAAAAAGGATCTTATTTCTCCTTTGCTTATAAATCATAGTTTGACAGAATATGACATTCTTGATTGGGATTTCTTTTCTTGAAGAATGTTGAATATATGCCTTCAATCTCTGTTGGCTTGTAGGGTTTCTTATGAGAGGTCTGTTGGTCTGATGGACTTCCCTTTGTAGGTGACTGAATCTTTCCCTCTAGCTGTGTCTGCATTTTTTCTTTCATTTCAACCTTGGAGAAACTGATCATTATGTTTCTTGGGGATGATTTTCTTGTGAAGTATCTCTCTGGGGTTCTCTGAATTTTCTGAATTTGAATATTGGCCTTTCTAGCTTGGTTGGGGAAGTTCGCATGGGCGATACCCTGAAATATGCTTTCCACGTTATTTCCATTCTCCTCATCTTTTTCAGGGATACTGATATGTCATAGATTTGGTCTCTTTACATTGTCCCGTATTTCTCAGAGGTTTTCCTCATTCCTTTTCCTTCTTTTTTCTCTATTTTTGCCTGGCTTTCTTATTTCTGAAAGCCAGTCTTCAAGCTCTGAGATTCTTTCCTCAGCTTGCTTTATTCTGCTATTAAAAGTTCTAATTGTATTACGAAATTTTTTTAGTGTCAGCTCTGTATGGTTGGTTATATTCTTTTCTATACTGGCTATTTTGTCTGTCAACTCTTCTATCATTACATTGTGATTCTTAGCTTCCTTGGATTGGGTTTCAATGTACTCCAGCATCTCTATGATCTTTGTTTCTGTCCATATTCTGAATTCTATTTCTGTCATTTCAGCCATCTCAGCCTGGTTCAAAACACTTGCTGGAGAACTAGTGCAGTCATTTAGAGGAAAGATGGCACTCTGGCTTTTTGAGTTGTCAAGGTTCTTGTGCTGGTTCTTTATCATATTTGTGGGCTGATGATTCTTCAATCTTTTAAGTTGCTGTCCTTTAGATGGGATTTATTTTTTAATCCTATTTGATGACCTTGAGCATTGATTGTAGTATAAGGTGGGTTCAGTCAACTGACTGAGGATTTCTGGAGGATTTTAGGGGGACATGGCTCAGCTCACAATTCCTGGACTACATTCTCTAAATCTGGGTGACTGTTATCGGACCCCAGCTTTGTTCTCTGCCTCCTAGAGGTTAGGAACCAACCGTGCTGGGTTGGGGGCTGAGCTGTTCCTAGACTGCTGGTCACAGCACTCTGATGAGTGGTATTATCCGGAGCATTTCATGGGATCTATCCTTGTTTTCACATGCTAGCAGAAGTGGCAGTGGCAGCACAGTGGGGTGCATGCTCATCAGCTGCTAGCTGGTGCCAGGGTGCTGGCCTCCATGCAGGTGTTCACAGCAGCTGCAGAGGCAGCATAGCTGGGGTTCACAGCAGCTGCAGAGGCAGCATAGCTGGGGGGATGGGCGGTCCCTTCTGATGTCTGTGCATATGGTTGCCCTGGTAGTGGTGTTAGCATGGGGGCAGAGTGCTGGTGGGCCGAGGACCGTATGCTTCCTCTGTGTACATTTATGCAAGCAGAAGTGGCCACTCAGGGCAGGGGAGGTTCTGCTGTTCTCCATGCCTAGTTTCACTCCAGCATCAGTGTTGGTGCAGGGGCAGGGAGCTGGCAGGGGCTTGACTGGTAAGTTCTGTATTCTCTGTGCTCATAAAGACTCCCTCTGCAATGGCAGGTAGAAGGGGAAGGGTGGGGGGGTAGAGTACACTTGCATCCGCAGCAGTGGCAGGGCAGGGGGCATGTGCACACATGCATTGCTGAGGCAGGGAAGGCAAAATCCTCCCATGGACACACATGCCAGTAAAGCAATGTAGGTGGTGACCATGGGCCCATGGGAAGGGGAGAGAAGGGCAGACTGGTGTGTGGTCATCAGGGCCAACCCACTGCAGTTCTCTATTGGTCATATGTCCTCCACCAGTGCAGAAGCTATGATGCAGACCCTCAGTACTCCTAATGGTATATTGCAAGCAGGCACGGCAGAGGCTGGGGCCCCAGGGAAAGACAGGAGATCAAGGGATGCTCAGGTCAGACGGGCCCCATCTGATGGACAAGACCACCCTGCTGAGCTCAGCTCCAATAGTTCCCCTAGGACTAAAGTCTCTTACGAGAGCAAGTCAAGCCTAGGCGGATAGGTGTTCCTGGCCATGCTCCTCTATGACACTCTCACACCAAACCCTCTGGACTTTACACTGGCTGGCATGCTGTCTCTACCATTTCTTTAAGCAGATTTCCTTGCTAACTCAAGTATCCATGTGGTTGAGGGGTCTCATTCTGCCTGGGATTCCAGAAGCCTGTGGAGAGAATTGCTTTTTGTTAGTTCAACTCATCCTTTTTCCTAGAATCACTGTGGGCCAGGAATGAGTCCCAGTATGAAGTAGCCCCATACAGGGTTCCCAGCTTTCTCCCCCTTCATCCCAGCTTGTGTGTCTTCCCTCTGTCCACACTCAGTGCCTTCCCTCTAAAGATCTGTTAATAATGTGCCAATCATCTTAGTTCATTAGTTCCAGCTCTTTCACCTGGCTATCTCTAGTCAGCCTTCTTGCCCAGTTCCTGTTTTGTTTTGCGTTGTTTTGTTTTAATGTCTCTCTCATTGATGTTTCCAGCTTGCTGGCTTCTTCAGCCCCATTTATAGGTATTTGAGGCAAAAAAAAAAAAAAAAAGTAAACCAGGAGGAAGCTCATCATTATGTAGTGTATTAATCAATTTTTGCATTACTAAAAGAAATGCCTGAGGCTTGGTTATTTGGCTCACGGTTCTGTAGGGTATATGTGAAATGTTATGCCAGTATCTGCTTTTGGTCAGGGCTTTAGGAAGCTGACAATCATGGCAGAAGGCAAAGGAGAGCCAACACATTACATGGTGAGATCAGGAGCAGCAAAAAAGGAGGAGGTGCCACACTCGTTTCAATAACCAGATCTCATGAGAACGCAACCACCATCTTGAGGACACCACCAAGACATTTATGAGGGATCTGTCTCTATGCCACAAACATCTCACATTGGGGATTGCATTTTAACATAAGATTTAGAGGGGACAAACATTCACACCATATTATTCTGCCTCTGTGCCCTCAAATCTCACGTCATTCTCACATTGTAAAATACAATCACACCCTGCCAATAGTTCCCCAAAGGCTTAACTTTTTCCAGCCTCAAGTCTAACATCCAAAGTTTTAACTGGAGATGAGTTTCTTCCACCTGTGAGTTAAAGAACTGAGTTATTTACTTCTAAGACACAATGCCTATATAGGCATTGGTTAAATATTATCATCCCACAAGGAAGAACTTGGTCAAAAGAAAGGGATAACAGACCCCAGGCAAGTCTGAAGTCCAGCAGAAAATTAATTAAATATGAAAGCTCCAAAATACTCATTATGTCCCTCATCCAAGGCACACTGGTGCAAGGGGTGGGCTCCCAAGATCTTCAGCAGCTCTGCTTCTGTGGATTTGCAGGGTACAGCTCCCATGGCTGCTGTCACAAGTTTGAGTTGAGTGCCTGCAGCTTTATCAGATGCAGGGAACAAACTACTGCTGAATCTACCCTTCTGGTGTCTGTAGGGTGGCAGCTGCCTTCCCATAGCTCCACGAGGCAGTGCACAAATGGGGACTTTGTGTAGGGACTCCAACTCCACATTTCCCTTTGGGATTGCCTTACTAGAGGTTCTCTATGAGGGCTCCACCCCTCTAACAGGCTTCTGCCTGTGCATCCAAGCTTTTCCATACATTCTCTAAAATATAAGTGGAAGCCACGAAGCCTCCTTCATGTTTGCATTCTGAGCATTTATAGATTTAACACCATGTGGAAGCCACCAAGGCTTATTGCTCACAACCTCTGGAGTGGTGGCCCAAGCTGTACTTAGTCCCCTTTTGAGCCAAGGCTGAACCCTGAGTTACCAAGATGTAGGAAGCAGTGTCCTGAGGCTGCACTAGGCAGCAAGGCCCTGGCCCTTGCCCCAGAAACCCCTTCTTTCCTCTGGGGCCTCTGAAACTGTGATGGGAGGGGCTATCTCAAAGACTTCTTAAATGCTTTTCAGGTATTTTTTTTTTCATTGTGTTGGATATAAGTACTTGGCTCCCTTTTAGACATGCTGATCTCTCCAGTGGGTGGTTTCTCCAAAGTTTCTCCAAAGTCTGTTTGGATTGTTTCTCTGCCATATGGCCAGGGTATATATTTTCCAAACTTTTATGCTCTGCTTCCCTTTAAGTTCCAACTTAAAGTCAATTATTTGCTCCCACATCTAAGCACAGGTTGATAGAGCAGCCAGTCCACAACTTGAATGCTTTGCTGCTTAGAAATTTCTTCCACCAGATACTTTAGCTAATCACTCTTAAGTTCAAACTTGTACAAAAGCCTAAGGCATGGACACAATACAGCCAAGTTTTTCACTAGGGTGTAATACAGGTAATTATTACTCCAATTTCTAATAACCTCCTTATTTCCATCTGAGACCTCATCAGCCTAGACTTCACCGTCTATGTCTCTATCAGCATTTTTGTCACAAACATTTAACTAGTTTCTAAGAAGCTCCAAACTTACCCCTTTTTCCTGTCTTCTTCTGAGATCTACAAAATCTTCTAACTTCTGCCCATTATCCAGTCCCAAACTTGCTTCTACATATTCAAGTATCTTTACATCAACTCCCTACTCCTGGTACCAATTTTCTATATTAGTCAGTTTTCACATTACTATAAATAAATACTGGAAGTGAGTTAATTTGTAAAGAAAAATTTTTAATTGGCTCACAGTTCTTCAGGTTGTACACGAAGTATAGTGTCAGCATCTGCTTATGGAGAGGGATTCAGGAAACTTACCATCATGGCAAAAGGCAAATGAGGAGCCAGCACATCACATGACTAAATAAGGAGCAGGAGAGAGAGAAGGGGGAGGTGACAAGCTTTCTTAAACAACCAGGTCTTATGAGAACTCACTCACTATCACAAGGACAGCACCAATCCATTCATGAGGAATCATCTTTATGACCTAAACATCTTTCACCAGGCCCCACCTCCAACACTGGGGATTACATTTTAATGTAAGATTTGGAGAAGACAAACATTCAAACTATATCATGAGGTTTCTTGAATTCCAAAGTCCCTAACTGGTATGACTTTTTCTCTCTCTGTTTTAGTATTCTTACTTTTGTTTCATATAACTTTCATGGTTTTTAGTTGTACTTGCAGGGAGAAATAGGGAAAAGTACATCTATTCAATCTTCCCTGAAGTCATCTTCAGTATTCTAATTTTCAGATAATTATAATTTGACAAATAAAATATAACTGTTGACTAGAGTATATATTTAACCAGAATATTCCATTTACCATACTAGGTAATGAGTTTATTAAGTAATGGAAGCATCGCCATACTGAATAACAAGGTAATATTAACTAATATTTAATGAGTGTTCCTTGCATGTTAGGTATTCTGATACTTTTTTTACGTGAATTATTTAATTTATAGTATTTTATAATAACCCTATATGGTAGAAACCTTCGTTTTTCTTATTTTAAAGATAAGAAATCTAAGGCTTATGGAGGGTATGTAGCCTTCTTAAGGTATTTCATCTAATCTAGAAAAAGGGACAAACACCCTTTGAACCCAAAGAATCTAACTTCAGAGCTGGTGTTTCAAACCATTATGTTTGTTTACATGTGTTTCCTCTGCCAAGCAAGTTTGATTCCCTTTTCTCCACTTTAAAATCTCATCCTTAAATGATTTCCTTTTAAAACTCAGCCCAAATGTTGTGTTCCTTATGAAATCTTTCTTAAATTCTACCTGGTTCTTTTATCCTTTGTTCTCCTACAACTCTTTATCTACATCATTTCTATGTTCAGACATTTTCATTATACGTTTGGTCTGTTTGCCTGTTTCTCCCATTTTACTAGGATTCCTTGATGGGAGGCATTGTAGCTCATTCATGTTTATGCCCTCATTATCTGACAGTATTGTAGTAGGCACTCAATGACAATTTGAATAAATAAACAAGCCATACATTTATCAAACAAAACTTAGCAAAGTGCACAATAGTCTTGTGTTATAGAAAAGGGACCTATGACTAGTGAATTCTGCTCTGACAGTAGAATATAATAATTTGCATAAATGTACAATAAAGATTTACATTGCATATTAAGCACTTTGAAAATTGAAATAATGTGTAATATAAAGTATACTCTGTTCAATGAGTCTGAGATCTGTATGAAAAGCATGGTATAGTCGAAAACAATCGAAACCTTTGAAATCAGATATTCCTTGGTTTCAAATTCTTACTCTTTCATACTCTAGCTCTGTAAACTTGGCACAGTCATTGAAAATCTATGAGCCCCAGCTTCTTCATATGGAAAAATAGGAATATTTTCTTTCTCAATTTAATTATAAGGATTAAATGAGTTCATTGTGTGAGAAATCATTCTTTCAAAGCAACTTGTCATCTGTTTTCCCACTGACGGTTTTGCAGCCCTAAATTTGTAAGCCAAAGGGCATTTGCTCCAGAAGAATTTTCTATGAAATCTGATAACAACATCAGTAGCAACAACAATTTTCAGTTATAGTAGTTGTACTAGTTGTAGTATTGCATTCTCCAGTGAGGAGACCTAATGAGACTTAATTGGGCTCATTACTCATCTCAACTTGGTAAGTGGTCCTCTCATTTTTAATCACTTTGAATTGGATCACATCCAAATGGTAACTTGTGAGTTCAACAGTTTTGTATTCCACATATAAGTGAGGGTACGTAGTATTTGTCTTTCTATGACTGTTTTATTTCACTTCACATAATAAATTGCTATTTTTTCTTTTTTTTTTTCAGAGTTTTTTTCTTGGAGTCTTCCAGGTTTTCAGGATTACACCTATAGAAAGATGGAAACTGAGAAGGCTAAAAGACAGGTAGAGAGCAGAGCAAACAACTCTTTGTATTCTTCTGGCTCCTACTTACAAACGTGATACCCTAAGCTCTGCAATACTAATCGGCATTTATGGTTCAAGCATCTCTGTTGACAGAGAGAAATGGCAAAAATGCTATTACACACTGTTTGCTTTTGATGTTGTATTGGTTTCAGGAAGTCTCTTATTTCTACAGGTTCCTGACTAGATAATTGCCACAGGAGATACAAAAGAATAGAGGTCAGACTTTAAGACATTTTATTAGCATTATTTCTCTCTAAAACAAAATTAAATTGCTTTGAGTGAGTTAGTAACCTATGCTTGCATGCTAGCAAATGCCAGAAGGGTCAAGAATAAAATAACAGGTAGCTCATAAGTAAACAGAAATACATTTCCTAGAGCAATTTCCAGGACTGAAAACCAAATGAATTCAACCACTCTGATAGTACTATTACCCTCTAAGGAATTTATGTCCTGTGGTTTACATTACTCTTTTAAGAAATAAATATAATGTAAAAATAAGAATTTCTTCCAGATACCAACTATCATGAAGCATTTCAAATAAAATCTGTACAAAATCAAACATATTTTTTACATACCTATTTCTTCTCCAGGAATCCTCACATGCTATGGATTGAATATTTGTGTTCCTCCCAAAAATTTGTATGTTAAAATCCTAACCACTAAGGTAATGTGATTAGGAAGTGGGATCTTTGAGAGGTGGTTAGGTCATGAGAGTGGGACCCTAAAGAATGGGATTAGTGTCCTTGTAAACACAACCTAACTTCTTTGTCCACATTATGCCCTAGAAGATTGCCATCAATAAGGAAGCTAGCTCTAATCAGACACCAAATCACCTGGCATCATGATGTTGATCTTTCCAGCCTTCAGAACTGTGAAAGACAAATTTCTTTTGTGTATGAGTCACTCAGTCTATGGTATTTTGTTATAGCAGCCCTAACAGACTAAGACATTATCTCGCCTAATGACCTTGTCATAAAATCACTTTCAAGTCAAAATCTCAAATTAGATGTGTTTTTTAATCATCCTGTAGATCTAATTGTTCACCAAATCTGGCTGATTTCCTTTGTAAACCTTGCTTAAATTTACATGCTATCCTCTACCTGTAGAAACAGCAATTGAGATCAGGAATATAGCAAACCTCACCTGGACTAGTCTCTGAGTGAGAATCAAATAGTTGTCCTCAATATCATTTTTTTTTCTTTCTCCCTCAGCAACAGAAACTGAATTTTAGCTGGGTATGTAGCCACACAAAATAAAATGTTCATTTTCTAGCTTCGCTGACAGCTAGATGAAGCCAAATTCTTGAAGCCAAATTCTTGACAAAAAAAGATATAATTAGAAATGGTGTAAGCAAATTTTGGGACATGTCCTTAAAGGGGAGGTGACATACTTTTCTCATTCTTTCTTTCTACTGGCTAGAATACACATATGATGGATGGAAATGGAACAACAATCTTGGATCATAACATAAATGACAAGTGTTGAGGATGGTAATCTAATGATACAGAAAAAGTCTAAGTCTTCGTTGGTTGAGGAACCACTTTGATAACCCTAGACTAAAAATGTTTAAACTTCTTTTTGTTTCAATTACTGTTTATATTTAATCTTTTTCATTGGTAGCTAAACAAAGTTGTAAAAATCAGAGCCCCTTGACAGTTTTCTCTGCGTCACTCTTATTTCTCTCCTGAAGAGAGAAATGCTGCCATAGCCTGTGATTTCTGAAATATAAATGTGATCATGCTACTCTTAGGTTTAACATGTATCACCTGCAAAAAAGTCCACAATTATTATCAAAGAGATAAAGGTCCACTGTAACATAGTTCCTATCTCTTTTGCCAATCTCACTCCCACTACAGCACACTCATACCCTTCCCTTGGCCACTCTTTGTTTTCTAAACATACTATGCTCTTTCTTTATTCCCACCTTTTCTTAACCCTGCAGCAAGATAATCCTGTTGAAACTTAACTTAGATTCTGTCACTCTTGAGTTCAAAATGTCCAGCGTCCTCCCATCTCACTTAGAGTAAAAGTAAAAGTACTTGCAAAGGCCCTCACCTTAAGCCTTCTCTAATTTAGGAGTCCATTATATCTTCTTCAGCTTGTTTGCCTACTCTCTTCTAGGTGCTCTTTGCCATCTTTCTGTTCTTTGAACATGCAAGATACTCTCCAACTCCAGGGTCTTTGTACTGCTAGTTCTTTCATCTAGAATGCTCTTTCTTAGATATGTTTCCTGTCATATCACCTGTTAAGCAAGGTTTTCCCTGGCTACCTTATCTGAAATTATGATCTCCCTTCCCTTAACCAACTCAAGTACTCCTTATCTCACTTCATTATTTCCAGCACATATCACTTTATCATCCCATGTAATTTACATTGTTCATGATCTAACTCTTTCAACCCTTCCAAATATAAGCCTCATTATAAAAACAGATTTTGCCTCTTTTGTTCTGTGCTGCTTCTTCTAGAAAAATGTCTGCCACATAGTAAGTGCTCAATAAATATTCATTACTATTGACTAACTTTCCCATATTTATGATGAATTCTTGCCTTGAATATTGAATAACTCTATGAAGACTACTCATAACTATGTCCCACTTCGACAAAAATTCATAAACACAGTGCTTCCATAACACTTGGTATGTATTCAATATATATTTTAGCAAAAACAGATTATCAGATGATAAGTGAAATTTAAAATCATATACAATTTCTAACAGAATACTTATTATTTTTCTCAACAGAGATCTGTGAGAATTAATTCATCTTTCTATGTAATAATCTCCTATGCAGATGCTGAGTACCCTCATGTTCATTGAGGGTAATGTTTTTGTATTCATTGCCACTTCTGCTTCTGAAAGCCATTGAATGTGCATTTCATGTCTGATACTGGGCAAGCTATGGTCTGAAATTCTCCTGAATAGTGGCTTCTTTCATGTTCTGCCTGCAGTAGGAACAATGTGATAGGTGAGTGTTGGTTGTATGAGGGTGGAAAACATCTTCAATGACATTTATCTTATTGTTTTTCTAATTATGTATGTATCTTTATGTGATTTTTATATGTGTATATAATAAAATATATCAATTTTATCTGTGTAATAATGTATATATCTATTTGTTCCCTTATAGTATAAGCTCCTCGGGAGCAGAAATTTTGTTTTTTCTGAATATCTGCAATACACAGCAAAAATCATGTGCATTTAGGATCCATTTAACAACAAATGGCAGAAAACATAGCTACAAATTGGCTTAACTAATAAAAGGTAAGATGGATTCCAGACATGTGATGCTCTGCAAATAAGTGGGCTAAGTGGTGTCATCTAAGATCCAGCATTTTTCCATCTATATATATTTTCTTATGTTTGGAACAGCTTTATACTGAAGCTGACTCATCTAGTAGTTGCAACACAACTGCCAGTAACATTCAGATTACTAAGATTCCTTGTCCCTCTCCTCTAGGAGAGAGAGCTAGATATGCTCATAGATGAAGAAAAGAACATTCAGAGAGAAAATAATACTCTCCTCACCCAGCAAAGAAAATCAACCCATCCCTTCACTCTGATTGGTAAACTTAAATTACAATCTGAGCCCTAGACCAAAGGGAATGACAACATATTTTTTGTCATATGTCAAACATATGACAATATGTTTGATCAACATATTTTCTACAAATGGACAAGGCATAAACATCTGAAAAATTGGTGCTCTTGAAAGAAAAGAACAATGATAAATGTCGGAAAAATCAACATTAATTAAGCAATCAGGAGTGCTCACTAAGCACATAGGGGAATTCAGTTCTATTTGTTAGATGAATGCTCATTGAATACTGCTTGCTCTCAACTTGTAAATATTTAAGGGCTTTGTGGAAATTTCTCAAACAAATAATACTGATATTATATAACAGCATATTTCAAAATTATCTCTGATTTTCTTATATGTCCATTTATTTTAATATTCTTTTGAAACCATCATAGGTTATTTTAATACTGTGTTACCTCTTTCTGATTACTTTTATATAGAATACACCACATCACATCTTCAAATTAATGTTTAACCTATAAAATGTATATTTATAATTTTGTCTTTTTTCTTTGTAGAAAACTAAATAATGAAATCCATTTGAAACTTCTGTCTTCCCTAATGTCTTAACATGAATTCTAAACAGTATCCCCAGTTTTCAGTAACTCTTCACATTTGAGCCACTGAAGCTCTTACAATGCCATTGTTGGGTTATTTTGCAACATCAAATCTTTTCACATAGAACCTATTTCATCCTTGGCAAAGCCTCACCGTCTTGAAGATTCCAGTACCTGCTATAGCTGACTTGCTTGTTTTTAAGCTATTCATACATAAACTTAGGAACATACTGCCCTCTTACCCAGGAACTATAATGCGTTTTGCATGTTCCATGTTTACATGGTTACGTGGTTGTTGCTGCCTTACCTGTCCTGAATCCACATCTCAAGACAATATCAGACTCCACTTAACCCTATGTTATTAGGACTTCATCTTGACTCCGTTTACCTAGAGAATCCATATGGTGCTATCTTTCCTTGGAATTGAACTATGAAATGATTAATCCTTTTTTTTAGTAATATCTACAATTAAAAATAACTGTTGCAGTCAAGTAAAATGATCCCATAAAGATCCATATCACATACAAAGGACATAAAACAAACTTTTTTTTCCTTTTATGCATACAGAAATAACCTCTAATTTACCTATCAAAAATAACTGTGTGGGGGAATATTATACCTGAACAATCAATATTACTAAGCAAAGCATCACTATAATTCAATATTAGAATACGGAATGATAAAATAAAAGACATAGATGTATGAGACAAAAAAAGCCTAGGTTTAAATCCAGGTGATGACTCCTGTAGTTATATGTCCTCACGACTTATTTCACCTTCAGGAGTTCTTATATTAAAGTAGGAATAAAGTTATTCTACTGAATGGCTGTGGTAAAGGTTAGAAATATGTCTTTTGGAGGACATAAAATGGGTCCTGACACAGAGTAGGGAGAATCAAAGAATTTAGAAACCTCAGCTATCACCATAGTTATTATGATCAAGGTTATATCAAGCTCTTTTGAGAATTTACCTAAGTATTATTGATACAGTAGAGAAGCTTCTCTAGCATAATCCTTTAGATTTCTATCATAGATATCTTCCCATGATAAATCACATAATTTGTACCTTATGAAAAAATTATAACACAAATTATTTTACTTTGAATGAAAACACCATGACATTCACAATGCTAAGTACTACTAAAGTATTTTTAAAGTTTTAGAAGATAAAGTTTGAAATAAATGTAATAAAAAATAAAAATAAACCAGAAACATCATATGTGGGGAAAATTTAAGACTAAAGGTATACCAGTAACAAGTCATAATTTTTCATTGAAATAGTGATTAATTATCAATAAGGAGTTCAATGTTTCAGACTAAAGCTGGGAATAAAATAACAATTTCTTAATGAGTAAGACTCAAAATAATTCAGTTTAGAAATAATGATGGCAATATTGCCTGTTTCTTGGGATCCATGTACATGCCAATGGCATTTTACTGAGTCTTTCATGTTCATCACTTTCATAGTGCAACTATGAGACAGGTGCTGTCATCACCAGTGTACAGAAGACCGTGAGTCTTGGGAAATTTAAGTGACTTGTAAGGTCTAACAAGTGGTTGGTGTTTGGTTGGAAATCAGGAAAACGTGATTACTTTTAGTTACTGCACTTCACCTTTTCAGGTCAAATAACTGAACCAGTCATAGGTGGTTAACATAGGTAGGTTAGGATGCTTGGACAAGCTACCAAGCCAGATCAAATTTTTTATACATTATTTATATGAGGTAAATAATATGTGCATATGTGCATAGTCTCTCTCTTTGAAATGCCTATATGCTCTCTAAAGACATATTTTATAATTAAAAGTAGGCTGTCTTATCTTAGGCCAAATATAGGGATAAAACAATAATTACTAATTAATATAATTTTCTAATAGAATTTTTTACGTTGTTTGCCCATGAGTTGTGTGATATGTGTTTGCAAGTTTTGCCTGGATATAAAAGCATATGAGTGGAGAAGTGGTAGGATGGCTTGCAGGGAATCAGAATCAAGGATACTTTATTTCTAGTGGATCTAAGTTTGTTCAAAGGAAGTTATGGACAAACAATTGAGGAGAAAAGAAAACTAGTTAAAAATACATTATTTATAATCCACAAAGGAACAAAGCTAGACAAAAACAAAACAAAACAAATACAACATGGGCATAAGCAGGAAGAATTAAAAGTCTTTTCATTTTTTCCTTTTCTCTCCTCATACTACTATTAAGCAGTGAGTTTCTGTTCAAATTCAACACTCTTTCAAAAAACAAATGGTGTATTTCAGGTTTGCTCTTTATTCTTCTTTTTTCATTAAAATAGCACACATTCATTGAATGTCTTTTTTTTTTTTTTTCAAACTTCCTGGAATCAAGGCCAAGGGTTGACATTTACAGCGATAAGTGATCCAAGTGCTACATTAGCATCTATTTATTAAAGATGATCTTTCCTGTACAGTACAGCTAGGACATTTGGCCTAATTTACTATACTAACATTTCCAATTTGGCTTTGAGTAGGGAGTTGTGCCAACAGAGCTCTGTCCTATGGTGAAATAGTGCCTAATCAGTATTTATGAATAGGGTTTTAGAAGTCACTAAAGAGCACAGGAAGAGATTTTACCTTCTTAAAGCACAAATAATGCTGAGCTCTGGGAATCTGTATAGCACATTAGGATGGAATAGCTTTCTTTTAAAAAAAATGCAGTTAAAATGTGTAATGTAATACTGTCAGTGATTTAAATGGAGTGCACCTCTTTCTTTCAGACATTAATGCTATTTGTTAAACTTTGTAATTATTATGCAAATGAAGTGCTGTACTTAAAAAATGGCAGTGCCAAGAGTACAACAGAGAAAAACAGTTTGAAATTCAAACTAATACAAAATAACTTTCAAGCCTTGTAGAACTCAAATATTGTAATTTTTTCCTCCTTTGAATGCAGCATTTGGGTGAAAGCAATGAGGACTTGTCTTTGTTCTTAATACGTAGATAACAAAAGGCTTAGAGCCAGATATTTGAAAGCTCTGAGACATATTAGCTCCCTGATCTTCACAACAGGTGGCTGATATTTTTATCCCTCTTTTAAAGATAAAAAAGCCAAGTCCCAGAGATGCTTAACTCATTTGCTTGGGGTCACTTAAGCAAGCCAGTGACAGCCAGGGAAGGATCTGACTACTCCCCAACTTCAGGCTGCTATGAGAATCCCCAGACAGCAATCACTTGAAAGAAACAGCATTTATGGCTAAAATTATGATTTCAGAATATTAAACACTGAAGTAGTGCAATCTAGTTTCATTTTATGTCAGGTAGATATTTTTGGAAGAAAAGGAGTTTGGTTTCCGGAGAATTAGCTCCTGACAGGTAAATGTCTGTGAGCTGCTGAGCAGCCTATACATGAAGAAAGCAAACGTTATGAAGAAAGTGAGCAATTTTACACATATTTTTATCTCCAGCACCTGTTTCTATGCCTGACAGCATACGCAGTCAAAAATATTTGTTGAATCAAGGATTGAATGAATGCATGGCCATTTGTAACTTACTTTCCACTCACATTGTCTCATTTTCCTTTCAGTTACTTTCTCCACCACGACTTCCCAGGTCTGCAAAACAGATAATTGAACAACAAAAACAGTTTTACCTTCCTCTAGAAATTATTCTTTTCCCAGACTATTTTCTTACACTTAAACCTGAACCAACTTTTTTTTTTTTATATTTCATCTTTAGAGCTTTGATTTTTGCTTGAGATAATCTTACAAAGAAACTAAGGATTTGGCCTGTTGATAGCAGTGTGTTGTCCTCTTTAGGTGATTCTCTTTGCATTTTAAAAGGAAACCTATATGTTCTTAATCCAAAAGAGTAAGAAACAAAAACTCAAATGCATTGTTGACATTTCTCAGAGACAGTGGGAGAACTGGTAATGACCAGCATTTTTGAGCTTTGGTGAAAGACAATGACAGTCAATATATGACAATAGAAGCTGAAAATGTCAGCATCTTGATATCCCAGTGCTCATTGTGGCTAGAGTATGGATGTGTGACATTGGTTCAACAAGACACTCCTTACCCCACTTTAACGTCAACTTAGGAAATATGAAGCAAAGAATCAGAGACACTGAGAGGCTCATATTAGTGGAAGGCTGCAGTTGAAGAGGCAGCTATCTGAGTTTTCAGGGTAGCAGTGGCCAAAAGCAAAGACAGCGTTCAATGCCAGTGGTCATGGTAGGGATGCAAGCTCCGTCATCAAGTGGTTGATGATAGCAGCAATGTTATCTTCACAGGACTAGTTCTGTGGCATAATTGTGCCTAGGGTCTTGGGAGCTGTTTTTGTTCCTGCTGTTTTTCCATGGCTCAATCTGCAGCCTTGCTAACGATTCTTTGAGGTATCTCATATCCTTTAAAATAAATTTAATTAGTCAGTTTCTGCTGCTTACAATCAAGAATCTGCGCACCATATCAAAGCCAGCAGGGAAGTGAGGTATGGGCTGTATTATTGTGTTTGAGATACTCTGGGGGAAGATCAGGAATATTGATGCATTTGCAAAAGACTTTAAATGTTGGTTTCAGATTCTTGACGCTGCCAATTTACCACTAGTGTGATCTTGTTGAGAAAGTTACTAAACCTTACCCTTCTCACAGATGCAAATGGAAATAATACTATCTATAGTGAAGGCCAGTTGTAAAGACTGAGAAAATGTGTAACGTGATCCAGAACCAGGGCTGGCATATGGGGGACAACGAAGAATCTATTTTATCTTTATTATTTCATCATATATGTAAATTGCCTATACTCTCCCACCTACGACGTGAGCTTTCTGGCCTAGACGCTACGAGATATAAAGACAAAAGGAGTATACAGAAATTAACTCCACATGTTTCTAAAAAGGCAAATAGAAAGAAACCAAATATATGCACATGGGACGTTGGGTTACAGGCTAAACTTATGATTATGGACATTTACTGCTCACATTAGCTATAAGATGAGGTATTACACAATAAAATCCAGAGACGAGGTCTTAAACATGATACGGTTTACTTCATCTCAGGAGTATTATTTCAGTTGTTTAAAGAAAAAAAATAGGAGGCCAACACTTGCTAGTTTGATTAGGAAAGCTTGTATTCTCAAAAGGTATCTAACTGACAAATAGCAGCAGCTTAAAATAAAGGCCCTGAACTATTGTTTCATGTCCATTATTGCTCCAATGGCATGATTGTGACTTTCCTGATATGGAAGAGAAGAGTATTTTGTTTGGTTCTTTTGCTGGATTTTCTGCATAACCCTAGTTACACTGTCTTCTGAGACCGCACAGAATTGTTGAAGGCTTAGGCATCACCAGTGTGTCACTGGGAAAGTAATTAACTCTTTCAGGACTCCATTCTTTTCACTGCTAAAATGGGCATTATGTTTTCTCTCTCGGGTTATCATGAGAATTAAATGAGATCATGCATACAAAGTTCTGGGTATGTCTGGCACACTTTTTAAAAAACAGCTGCACTCACAAAGTGAGATGCTCCCTTCACTTTTAGTCCAATAAAATGCATATTCATAGAGAATCAGGTCACATTATTTCTGCATGACAGGTTTCTGCAGGGACATGGGTTTGCCAAATTCACCAGCTGTCTTCACATCTTCCCATTCCCATGAGATTTCTGCACATTTTTCCTGTCCTTTTAGTGGCTCCCCAGAGACAGGCTTCCTTAGGGAGGAATCAGGGTGTAGGCGAATGCTCCATTAATTTTCTTGTTGGCATTTTACAGCCAGTGGTGTGGATGACCCAAGAGCAGCCAGGATGGGAGACAGCTAGACAGAGCCTGCAAGCCCCTCTGGAATACTTTCACTATCAGAACACAATGAATGACAAACCTTTAAAAACTCCTATGAGTTACAGAGAAAGCTTCCAGTGAAGATGGTAGTATTGGCTGAGTCTAGGAAATGGAAGAAAGGAAAAACAGAACAGCAGGAGCAAAAAAATAAAGGCAACATTCTAGCATGTTAACTATGTGTGTCCTTATTTCTTTCATCTTAAAATTCTAATTTTAAAATGTTAAAATGATAAATACTATATAACATTATCGGATGTTTAAGAAATGTAATAAATAAATATCACGCACCTCACTACCAAAACACATCATTCATTTTAATTTTGCATATCTCTTCAAGTATTCATTCTTCTACTTTTTTTTTTTTTTTTTTTTTTTTTTTTTTTAGACAGAGTATTGCTCTGTCGCCCAGGCTGGAGTGCAGTGGCACAGTCTCGGCTCACTGCAACCTCTGCCTCTGGGTTCAAGTGATTCTCCTGCCTCAGCCTCCCCAAGTAGCTGGGACTACAGGAACACACCACCATGCCTGGCTAACTTTTTTATTTTTAGTAGAGACGGGGTTTCTCCATGTTGGCCAGGCTGGTCTCGAACTACTGACCTCAGGTGATCTGCCCACCTTGGCCCCCCAAAGTGCTGGGATTACAGGTGTGAGCCACTGCGCCAGGCCCTAATATTCATTCTTATAGAACACATAATTTGGGTATTAGTTAATAGTGTTCATTTTTACTTTATGTAATACTAAGTAATTTTCAATGATGTCACCTTAATTTTATTATCATTACTTTTAATAGTTCACAACTGTGTATCAATTAAACATATTTCTATTATTTATATATCAAATATCATAGGCAGCTTGCTTTCATGTGTTTTATTGTAAATTATTCTTAAAAGAATATCTTTGTTCACTGACTATAGTACATTCTATCTTTTGGATAATTCCTTTAAGACAAATTGCTTAGGATGGTATTAGTCAATCTGAGGATAGGAATATTTTTAATCTATATGGAATATGACATGACGAGATTATTCTGATTTCCTACATGTTCAATTTTCTTTTGAAATGCTTTAGAAGTATGAATAAATTTTACAAGTCTCTAAGGTACTCTTGGGAGATAAAGACATAGCAGGTATATAATTTCTGCCTTGTACAAATGGAGAGATTAAAGTATAGAATGTTTAAGTGATTTGCTTGAAGTAACACCTCCAAGGCACTCCGTGTAATGTCCCAGGGCTATGCCAAGCATCCAGTAGTTGCAGATCACTTCATTTGCCTTGATCCCAAAGACAGCTTTGCAAACAACTTAATTTCACTGCTCAGAAGTCATCCACAGGATGCTCATTGCTGCCCCATCATACACTGCAACATCCAAACCCTACAGTGGTCCTTACCCTGGAAATACTTTTAATGGATCTTTGTGAAAGAAAAACACCACATTTTCTTCATGCTTAACTAACAAATAAATAGAATGCCTAGGAAAATTAGTTCAAAAGTGACTGCTATTTAGCAGCCCACATCTGGTTAGCAAATTCACATTGGTTTCTACTGCAAAGTAAACTGTATCTTCTTGTCAATGTATTAACTCAAATTTGCAAAATGAGAAAAACAATTAAGGAATTAATAAGAAAACATGTTTTTATTTGGCATGCTCCCAATTTGATCAATGTCACTGAGATTATATAAACGGTAACTGTTTCAGTTAACATTTTGTTTTTTATTATCTGATAGAGATATGCAAATTATTACAGATTTTAGTCCTTTACGACCTCCAGCAACTCCTTGTGCTGACTGTGATTCAGTTTCTTTCTAAAATTTGTTGCTGAAGGTATTTTTAACATGAGAGGAGGACTCATTCTTAAATATAGGGCAGTTCTTTACAGAACTTTCTCTGTTATGCAAACGCTTCTGTCTCAGAAAGGTAGAACCTTTCAACTGGGCATGATTTGCAGCTGTAAACTCTTGCTAAGTAATTTCTTATGATTTCAAATTCTGGGTGATTTGTTATTAATTTGCAGATAGAGTCTCAGGGAACTCTTCTGGAATACAAAAGTTACTTTGACTTATGCTTTCAGCACAGCATTGAACACCCAATGCCTGGAGAGGTTTTACCTTGAGATAGCATGACAGTGCTTTCCATGTAAGACAGAAAACCTATTGATGACTTAGAGTAAGTGCGTGTACTGTTTTTCCTGGGCATAAAGGGAGGGTATGTTGTTCAAATCAGAACCTATGTTTTCATTTCTACAACTGTTACAGCCAAAATATTAAACTTATTTTACCTAATCGCCATCCTTTTATTGGCATATGCAATGCAGGAGATTCAGTGACATCTAGGCTAACAAACTGTCCTTTGTGGAATCCCTTTATGCTGCTCTTGGTGTGGTAGGCCTGAAAATGGTCACCAAAGATATCCAAATCCTAGACCCTGTAAATATATCACTTTACATGGCAAAAGCAGCCTTGTAGACGTGATTTAAATTAAAGATCTTGAATTGAGGAGATTATTCTAGATTAGTTGGGTGGGCCTAATGTAATCACATGGGTCCTTGTAAGAGGGTGGAAGGAGAAACAAAAGAGGAAAAGGCAATATGACAATGGAAGAAGAGACTAAAGTTCTACAGCCACAAGCCAAGCTATCCTAGCAGCCTCTAGAAGATGGAAGAGGCAAGGAATGGTCTCTTCTCTAAAGGCTTCATGAGAAACCAGCTCTGCTGACATCTTGATTGCTTGATTATAGCCTCATAAGACTCTTTTGGCATTCTGACCTCCAGGTCTGTAAGACAATACATTTGTGTGTGTTCATCCAAGGATGTGATTTTTTTACAGCAGCAATAGGAAACTAATATGATAGCTTTTGAAAAGTCTGGTCAATAACTACATGGTACTGTCCCATCATGTACTACAAAATTCAAACCTAAATGTGGTGCTTACTCTGAAATACTCTTAATGGATCTCTGTAAGTATCACTTGTTCTCTGCAGTCGTAAATGTAACACATTTTAAATTGTGTAGCATTGTACAAGTATAAGGTTTTTATTGTTAGGGAAGAAATAATTATGAAAAATTAAGAACACAGACTTAAAAATCAATTTTCCAAATTTCAAATCTCAGCTATTACATATATAGTCCTGTGACCTGAGTATGTTACTAAACCTCTCAATACCCCAGTTTTACTCATGTTATATACTGATTAGAAGTGCTTCCTAGAAATACAAATTTATTAGCGATATCCTGGGCTGAAAAATTAAACTTTTCACGACAAAGGTCATGGAAGCTGTATATTTCATAAGTACTCAAGTAATTCCTATTATCAAAGAAGTTGGGGAAAACACCAGTGCTGATTTTAACCTTTGCTACACATATTACATCGTTAGCTTCAAAAAAGTTACACAGAAGAGAGAGGCCAGTGATTCTCTCTTACTTCAATGATTGAACAGAGCACTCTGTTGACAATTGTTATATTCCACAGCTCATTTATTTTATTTAGATATTTATTCACTCATTAATTAACATATCCTTTTCTTCATTCATTTCGTTTTCAAGTGATTTATTAACCATCTACTATACACTAGACTCTGTACTAAATGTATGGGATGTAAAGATGAATAAAGTAGTCCTGTCCTCAGAGAAGGTGCTAAGGGAAGTAGGCAAACAAGTTAATATAAGATTACAATTCACTGCTGGATATAAAATGCCAGAGGAGGATAAAGAGTGACAGATAAGAGACAAAAAGAAGAGATAGTAGAAGTGAAGAACACAAAAACAACTTGCCAGGTGTAACTGCGGATAATGCTAAATTGTTTCCCAAGTATTCCATATTCACATTCTCCCAACACAACTATAATATAAATATCAACTCTCATTTTGCAAATGAGGAAACCAACATCAGGGGGCATAGAGATGCCAAAATTCACATCGAGAATCAAATAAATGTGAGTGTTGGCATTGGAAACACATTCTAACTTCAGAAATCTTTCCATTATACCATGTTGCTTGTCATAGAATTATTTCTTTAGAAAATATGCTTAGCCATGTAGGGTTATGAGAAGGCAGAGGTATGTCACATATTCTAGAAACCATGGTGGTTTCTAGACTTTATTGAGACTTAATTCCTTTTACAAAGGTGCCTCAAGTGTCTATACACTATTCATCTTTGGATCTTTAAAACCAGCACGGGATTTTGCATAAAGTGTCAGCACAACATATGCCACAATATGAATGGGATTGCTGTTTATTCATTCTTTCAAAAATTTTTATCGTACATCTTCATTGTATCAGGGGTAAGAATATCATGTCCTTGGGGATTTAGAAATATAAAAAAGAAAGAAACTTAAGAAAAAATCTAATATATTATTCTCTTCTAGACTAAATATTCTTTTGGAAGCTCTCCAGTGATTATGAAATTGTTTCACTCTGATATTTAGGAGAAGCTATCCACCCATCTGTGGGTTACTCTTACTCACAAATCCAAGAAACAAGTGAATTAGAAAACATTAACCAAGTTAAAATATTGGATTGCACAGCAGTAAGTTTGTATGAATATATACCTTTGTTATTTATTGTGCTAACTCTATTATCATCATTTTCTTAACAACATAAAGTTTTTACAGTATTGCCATTTGATCTATATTTTATTTCTTCATTTAACAAATGTCATAAAACAACTACCACATGCCAAAACCTAGACCCTATTGAATTCTATATCTCTAATGTCCATCACAACACCTAACATTAAAATTCAATTCAGTTTCTTGTTTTCTTCAAAGTGTAGAAAGTAGACATACATTGAATGCCCACTCCTCAAAATGATTGACAGAAAAACTTATCAAGGAAAGCAAAGTCTCTCTGACTAGCTACAGTAAGAAAGAATACTATCCTGATAGGGTCTTAATAATGTGCGAGAGGAAGGAAGTCAGTGGAGAATATTGATAGGGCTTTAGGACCTGAGTTGGATGATTTCAAGGTGTGTACTGCAAAAGGGGAGTTAGCTGAGATTGGGAAGTGTCTATGACATAATAGCTTTAATAGCTTGTATTTGTGGACACAAGAAAGTAAAGATCTTGAAGTCACTTTTAGCAGTGAGCTCTTAATTTTGATAAATAAGATCTTGTATTTCATTAACAATCACATTTCTCAGGCACACGTATTTTCTGGGACAAGTAACAAAGTGACTTTTGCTTTCCTGTATTATTTAACTTAGGAACAGGAAAGTTCAGGCATAACTCAGAGATATTGTGAGTTCAGTTCAGACTGCCATGATAAAGCAAGTCACACTAACTTTTTGTTTTTTCAGTGCATATAAAAATGATTTTTACACTATACTGTAGTATATTATGTATGCAATAACATTATGTCTAAAAACAATGTACAGATCTTAATTTTAAACTACTTTGTTGCTGGAAAATTCTAATGATCATTTGAGTCTTCAATAAGTCATAATCTTCTAGCTGGTGGAAGGTCTTGCCTGGATGTTGATGACTGCTGACTAATGGGGTGGTGGTTTCTGAAAGTTGGGGTGGCTATAGCAGTATTTAAAAATAAGACAACAATGAAGTTTGCTGCATAAATTGACTTTTTTTTTCTTTTTTTTTTGAAACAAGGTCTTACTCTGTCACCAAGGCTGGAGTGCAGTGGAGCAATCACAACTCACTGCAGCCTTGACCTCCTGAGCTCACGTGCTCCTCCCACCTCAGCCTCCTGAATACTTGGGACTACAAGCACACCACCACACTTGGCTACATATATATATATACACACACGTATATATATATATATATATATATATATATATATATATATATATATATATATATATACGTGTATATATATATATATATTTTTTTTTTTTGTAGGAACGGACTCTTGCCATGGTGCCCAGGCTGGTCTGAAACTCCTGAGCTCAAGCGATCCTCCCACGTTGGCTTCCCAAAGTGTGGGATTACAAATGTGAGCCACCACACCCAGCCCACTCTTCTTTTCATGAAAGGTTTCTCTCTAGCATGTGATGCTGTTTGATAGCATTTACCCACAGTAGAACTTCCATAATTGGAGCTGATCCTCTTACATACTGCCACTGCATTGTTAACTAAGTTTATGTAATATTCTAAATTATTTGTTGTCTTTTCAACAATGTTCACGGTATCTTCACCAGGAGTAGACTTTCTTTCAAGAAGCCACTTTCTTTGCTTATCCATAAGAAGCAAAAGTTTTAAATATTATGAAAATTAACAAAATGTGACACAGAGACAAACAGTGAGCACGTGCTGTTGGAAAAATGGAGCCAAGAGACTTACTAAACACAGGATTGTCACAAAATTTCAACTTATAAAAAATACAGTTAATTTGCTAAGTGCAATAAAGCAAAGCACATTAAAATGAAGTATGCCCATATATCTAAACACACGAAAATTAAATTATGTTTGTTTCATTTCTCAGATGAAAGGTCAGGCTCACATCATGTGATTTGCATTGGCCAATGACATGTGACTCATGGTGACACCTATCACTTCTGAGTAGAAGCTTTAAGAGACATGCATGCCTGACCATATTACCTTTCCATTCTACCACAACATCTAGCATGTTGTAGCTATAGTGACTGCTTTATCAGCCTGGATCCCAAAGGGAAGGTGGCATGACACTGAGCAGAGATCATAATCATCCTGTTACCAATACGAAAAGTGTATAGGAAATATGCCTTTTGTGTTGTTTTAAGTCAATAAGATAAGTGTTATTTGTTCCGGCAGAAAGATCTAGTCTATTCTGAACAAAAGACATGGTAGGTGTATATCTGGTAAATACATAATAGATAAATGAATTAATGTTTATTAGGTAATGCATTATAGACAAACTTCTCAGATTTTCTATTTACATCTCATACAAATGTGCTGCATTTTAAATAAAATTTGAGAATTCTGAACTTAAAATTAAATAAGGGCATGATTATTTATTTACACTATAAAACATCCCTCCCCACTTGAATTCTTTTAAAATAATAAATCCTTGACCTTTCATTCACATGCTTATGACATACAGCAAAGCACATTTACATCCAAATTTGTGTCCTCTCTTTTCTTCGTCAGAATTACGCTGCAAATATCTGCTACAATTACTTGTTTAGAAATAACTTTATGCAGCAATTGTTATTGCTATGTAGGTTGTGGTATTTTCTAGATAACTTCTATAGGTAGACTTTTTGGATAGCAATTGAGGTGACTAATTCATTGATGATGAAGTTTAGAATAAGATAAATTTCTATCTTTCCTCTTTTGTAATAGCAATCCTAACATTTATTTGACATTATAATATTACAGAAAATTACTACCATAATTATGCACCATGCTAATGTCTGTATAATTCTAGAATGAATTAATAGTAATACTGCACTAGAAGATTGAGTGAAAAATTCTGAGCGTTATTCGTGTCTCTGCCAGCATATTCTTCAGCTAATCATGACAGAACTAGTACAATAGTTTGTCATCTGTAATTGTTTGCTGAATAGTAGGCACACCTCATAATGAAAAAAAAATGTAGAGGAAAAGAAAAAGTACAGAAAGAGTAAAAGAAAGCAAGCCCTCAGTGTCATCTTTCATTGTGCTCAGTACACACATTGCTTAGCAGACTTGTGTGGGCCGATATTACTATGAAAGAATGAGATGCGTGGCTATATTTTTCTCTATAGTTTTATATTTATGATTTTCAAAAGTTATGACTTCTACATGAGTTTAATTTAATTCGTAGTGAGAAATGGTTATCAAGTAAACCAAATTACACATCTATTATATAACACAGCCATTATGCCACCCTGCCCCTTACCTCATCTCTATACTGAGCACCCACAAATCACACATTTTTATAACATTTTCCTGCGCTAGTAAAGATGGTAGTTAAAGACCTTGAAGAAGTGGAGCCTATATCTTATTGCATACAAATGTGAGTTGCAGATTTTATTACAGCCAAAATAAATTATAAAAAAGTAAAGACTTCCTGTAATATCAACATATACGCATGCTATGCAAAATTCCTGATTTAAAGCCTTAAATACTCATAAGAAATTTGCCATATGTGAAATGTAGACTTGGTAAATTTACTGTGAGGAGCTTACCTTTTGCAGTACCCTCACATCCACATTTAAGCACACCGCATTAACTGTGTGAGATGTTGTAATTAACCTCTTTGTTTGTAATTTGCTTTGAATTATAAATAAGGCAAAACCCATTATGAGGTATGTGAAGTCATGTGATTATGTATACATCCACTGACCTGATTTTCCTACATACTTCATTGATTTTGAATAAAATGCATTTCAAGAGAGGTAAGAGCTGGGAAATTAACTCAACTCATTTATTTAGCATCAGTTTTATAGGTTAAAAAACAGAGATCTAGAGAGACAATTACTTAAAGTTACAAAGTGAGGTTTTGTTTTTTTAATACTCCACTGAGTTGCCTTTAATTAAAAACATATTTGAGAAATCCAAGTTTCCTTTATATTCCTCAGGGGGCTATCATCAAGTCTCAAAGGTAGGGTCATATGCCAAATATCATACCCATCCTGAGATGAACTTTTGGTTGTTTGCCAAACAGTCAGTTATTTTGCATAAAGCCCTCACTAGTGAAATCACTTACCATGTTGTACCCTGCTTCTCTGTATTATAGCCAATGTATGTCCTAAAACCTGGCCAAAGAATGTCTTATACTTAACAAACTATGTTTCCGTTGGGCAGGTCAGCCAGACGGATAATAAGGAGATGGGTGCCGTCTCTTTCTAGAGAACTATTCACTAAGTCCCATCTTCTTTCACAGTTTTCACATGGTTTAATCAGTGCATTTCTTTTACCATTAGACAAGTATTCCTGAAAAGTAGAAAGACTGGAGCCTTTGACTACATCTTATCAACCTACTCCATTCCATCCCATTGTGTGATGATGATGGTAATAGGGATGTGAGGAAGGTTGTATAAAGCCTTCAAATAAGTACTCCATGTAAATGGATCAGACAACTCCTTTTTCTAAATACTTGTCATTTGCTTCCTGTAGTCACTTTTAAACCACCTGAGTAAGTAATGAGGGCATATATTCTTGGCAACTGAAAAAGCTAGCCATATCTGAGAGTAGAAAAAGGAACTAAGAGAGAAAAATTAGTTAAATCCCATATTGGGGTTTGCTCACTCATTAAAATTGCATTGTGGAAGGCATCAAATAGCTCATGAAATTGAACAAATTAAGGTGGGAGTCATAATTCTATCCCACGCTTTTTACTGGCCCATGCTTCATTATATAAAAACTGTAGCAGGAAAATCCTGCAAAATCAGAATTTTTGGCCTGAGAGAGGTAGGAAAAGCAAAAAGTTGAGAGGCTTTTATCTGTTTAATAAACACTTTGAATTCACATAAATAAATAAAACCTAGAAAGAGAATTGATTGACTGCACTTTTCAGGGGCATGAACATAATATTTCCTATGTTTTCTGATACCTTGACCTCTGGGGTTTTATCTGTCTATGTATGTATGTATGTATGTATGTATGTATGTATGTATCTATCTATCCATCCATCTATCTGGCATATGGTTATTCATATTTCTAAGCCCAGCAACAACATTCTTACCTTTTTAAAGAAACAAATTTACTTTAGTGTGATCACTATTTCTGAGTTTCACTTTAAACCTGGAACTGGAGCACTCATGAATACTAGGGTGATGAGAGAGAAAGAGAGAACACAAGGAACAAAATTTTAAAAATAGATAAAGTGGACAACATCAAAATTTAAAACTTCTACACATCAAATGATACAATCAACTGAAGGAAAGGCAACCTATAGAATGGGTGAACACTCTGAAAACCATATGTTTGTTAAGGGTTGATATCTGAACATATGAATAACTCTTATACATCAACAACTAAACAAATGACTCGATTTAAATATGAGCAAAGGACTTGAATAGACATTTCTCCAAAGAAGATATGCAAATGAACAATATGCACATAAAATAATGTTTAGCATTACTAATCATTAGGGAAGCAGAAATCAAAACCATGAGATACCAACTTGCACTCATTAGGATATCTGCTATACAAAATCAGAAAATCACAAATATTGGCAAAGATGTGGAGAAATTACAACTCTTGTGCACTGATGATGGGAATGTAAAACTGTGTGTCCACTGTGAAAAACATTATGTCAGTTTCTTGACAAATTAAAAATACAATGAACTTATGATCCAGCAATTCCACTTCTGTATATGTATCCAAAATAATTGAAATCCAGGTTTCAAAGAAATATTCGTATACTCATATCACAGCAGCATTATTCACATAGCTAAAATGTGGAAGCAACTCAAGTATCTGTTAAAAGATAAATAGATAAACAAAATGTAGTATATACATAACACTGAAATACTATTCAGCTTTAAAATGGAAGAAAATCCTATCACACTCTACAACATGGATAAACCTTGAGGACATTATGCTAATTACATAAGCCAATCACAATAAGATAAATACTGTATGATTCACTTATATAGGTACCTGGAGTAGTCTAATTCAAAGACAAAATGTAGAATAACGGATGCTAGGAACTGGGGGCAAAATGGAATGTGTAGTTTTTTAGTGGGTATAGAGCTCTTAGCTTTGCAAAATATAAAGATTTTTGAATGTACTTAACACCACTGAACTATACACTTAAAAATGGTTAAGATGGTAAACACTGACTACAATTTTAGCTAAATTAAAAATAAAAATATTTTTAAAAGAGAAAAAAATGAACTAGGGAAATCATTAACTTCTTTGGATAACAAATTTGACAGGAATTTTTTCCCTTTTATTGTTATTATTATTATTTTGAATTTGGAGCTGGAGCCTAACTTCACATAATTACTAGCTATAAAATGAACCTTCTTAGCAGTGCTAGTAAGTTACCTGAAAAAAGGGATTAGTAATCTTGGAACCTAAAAACACTTGTATTCCAAAGACATCTCTACCTTTACCAAGATATTCTTACTCTGTGAAGGACTGATGGATCTCCTTGTATTAGTTTTCTATGCTGTACAACAAATCATCATAGACCGAGTGACTTAGAACACCTCCTTATTATCTTTAGCCAGGAGAGCAAGTTGGCCAGCAAGACAAAGTCTTACACAGCATGAGTTATTCATGGAATGATACATCCTCTCACCTTTACTGTTCTCTGTTGTTAGAAGCAAGTCATGAGTCTCAGATACAATAAAGGGAAGAAGATTGTGCAAGAGAACATCAGAAATTAGGGACTGTTGAAGCCTGTTTAACTCCTCTACCTATATTTTCATCTCATTCACATTTTTTATATAAACATGGAGTACTCCCATGAATAACACCCCTTGGTTAAACTGAAAGATGTTTACAATTAATCTCTTACCGATGTTGGGGATCTAAACATGTCCATTTTATTGCTTCTACTTCCAGTGTACAACTTTATAAAACTCTCCTCAAGTTTTGGGCCTTTGAATAATCCATAAAGCTGCTGTTTATTTTATTTACCAGTGGATATTAAGCCCAGGACACTAGTTGCCAGAAAATCAGTATTCTATTGTCCTCACTTTCAGCTTTTCACATCGGATCACAGAGTTTAATTTTAATATAAATTTACATCAATTATTAGGCTGTACTCAAATGTATTCTTTGAAATAATATGTGATTTTTCAAAATCTTAGTTTAGAAACTTTATTGTTGTAACACATCATGGGTACTTCAATACCTTGAAATAGATTGGCACTCAAAGATCTAGCAAGTTTTGTTTTGTTTTAAATTCTGCCTGTCCAGTGCTTCTGGTGACCCCTTTCTAATGAAGGTAAGCCCTTCTTCCATCATAGTCATATGCGTTAGGGAGTTGCCCTGGTTTTTTGACTTTTCATCTACTTAATCCTGTGCTAAAATCTCTAAAACTTTCTTATGAAAACCTTTTTCTTTCCTGTGGAAAACTGTTCCACTGGGCTTGGTTTCTCTTATGATGATGATGATGATAATATATTATTGGAGACATGGTCCCACTCTGTCACCCAGGCTGGAGTGCAGTGGCGTGATCACTGCTCACTGCAACCTCCATCTCATGGGGCCAAACAATCTTGCCACCTCAGCCTCCCAAGTAGCTGGGACTACAGGCACACATCACCACACACGGCTATTTTTTAAGTGTTTTGTAGAGATGGGGTCTCACCATGTTGCCCAGGCTTGTCTTGAACTCCTGGGTTCAAGCAATCCTCCCTCCTCAGCCTCCCAAAGTGCTAGGATTATAGCACCATGCCTGGCTATCTCCTATTAATTCCTTCTTTATAGGTTTCTAAACAAATGCAATCTATGTTGCCATTCAAAAAATGTGTATTTATGACAACTCTTTGTTAAGCTCAATGAGGGTCTTCCCTTGTTTCCTCAAATACTCTCAATCAGTTTTCTGGGCAAAATTCAGGGCTTTACTTTTCTTCTGTCCTACATATTTACTACAAGCTTCTACTTGCTAGACATTTATGGACCATTTTAAACGCAATCGTTTACGTAGTTTTCTATGAACCCTCCTGTGGCTCTAACTAAAGAAAAAAATATCTGGTTCTGATATATTTGCTCTCTAAAACAGAGTACCTTTTTAATAAAAGGATTGTATCTCTTTCTAGTTAGAAGGTCACCAGAAACAATTTCTTTTTTATCACCTTCAAACAAAATGTAATAGGATTTTATTATTTGTGGTGTCTGTTGCCCAGGCTAGAGTGCAGTGGCGCGATCTCGGCTCACGGCAAGCTCCGCCTCCCGGGTTCACGCCATTCTCCGCCTCAGCCTCCCAAGTAGCTGAGACTACAGGCACCCACCACCACGGCCGGCTAATTTTTTGTATTTTTAGTGGAGATGGGGTTTCACCGTGTTAGCCAGGATGGTCTCGATCTCCTGACCTTGTGATCCGCCCGTCTCAGAATAACCAAATGAAAATTTTGTCAATTTCTGATTTCTCTCTGTTTCTTATTTTCATAAGATATCTTATAAATTTTCACACGAAGCTTCAGCATGTTTGGTCAGTGCTATGGTTTGAATGTCCCTTCCAAAATTCATGTTGAAATTAAACTGCCAATGTAAGGTATTAAGATGTGGGACATTTGACAGGTGTTTAGGTCATGACAGCTCTACCGTCATGAATGGATGAATGCTGCTATAGCAGAAGTGGGTTTATTATCTTGAGAGTGAGCTCCTAATAAAAGGATAAGTTTGGTCCCCTTTTTCTCTCTGTCTTGTATGCTTTCTCACTTCTCACCATGTGATACTTTCTGCCACATTAAAAGCCAAAAGAAGACCCTCACCAGATATAGCTCCTCGATCTTGGACTTCCCAGCCTCTTGAACTATAAGCTAAATAAATTTCTGTAGTATTCTGTTACAGAGTAGAAAACAAGCTGAGACACTCGGGTTTTAATACAGTATTTTTTTAAGTAGGTGAGTCTATAAAGATAATATTATTTTCCTTAGTGACTAATAAAGGTTGGTCATGCTATATACCACAGACATTTGTTGTTTCATTTATCCAGGAGAGGATATGGATTTCATTAAAATTTGTTTATATTTATTTAATAGGTAATAAAAGGAGGCTGTAAGATATTGGAAAATTATACAAATTTTTATGCTGATTTAAAGAGTTGAGCTGGAACTTGAATCCAGATCTATCTAAACTTATACTCAAGCTTTTGTCATGGAAAATCATAATGCTGCCTTAAAATGAGGCTTTTTTCTTTCTGTAATATGCAAATCTTAAGCATTAGAATTAGATTCCACTCTCTTCAAACAAGTGTATATATGGAGTATTAAAGCCATTTTTCCCATCTAAATGGCTGTAGTGACTACTCTTTTCATGCAAATTTAATTCAAATTAAATTGAATTAAAAAATAAAACTATTAAATTATTAAATTAGTTTTTAATATGTGAAAGACATGGCAGAAGATAAATTTTTTAACAATGTAATCTTTAGTTGCAAACTTTACTTTCTCTTTTTTTATAACTTTAAATTTTTAGAAAGTAGGAAATTTTCTCAACAACTTCATTTGTTTAGTTTATTGGTAAATATAAGTTTTTTTAAAAAAACATGTCTTTATAGAGGTTACAGTCATTTGATTTCTACACTATCCTTTATGGAATCTAATATTAATTCTATTAATCTAGAATGTCAAAATTAAAGCAAGTGACTATGTAACTACCAAGTTGCTTTGGAAATTATCATAGCTCTTCTTTGACTTAAATTCATTTCCAGTTACATAAAATCTAACATCACTTGTTTTACATCTTGTATTTCTAGTTTTCTAAATTGAGGGAAAAATTCACTAGCAATATAGCTACCTTCAGTGATTGAGAAAATGAAATCCATTTATGGACAGCTGCATGGGAAATCTGCATGAAAATTACAGTGCAGCTGAATGTCCAGGAAGAAAAGGTTGCAGGTCTGGTTCACATAGCAGATTTTACCATAAACACCTAGAAAGTACTCGGGATTTTACATAATTCATGCAAAGAAAATAATTAGAATACTTATACACATTATTTCACTTAATTCTCAAAAAAAACTCTGTCCCTATTTTACAAATAAGAACAAATTGAAGCTTAGGGGTGGTTAAATGAATTGCTCAAACATCAGAGAAAGTAGAGGTAAAGTTACAATTCAAATCCAATGTTTTAAAGTCCCAAAGCTCACTTCTTTTTCTCTTTCTTATTGTGCTTAAGACAAAAGCTGCCATTGTCACAATTGTGACTAGGACAAATCTCATATTCAGGCTATTTACATACTCCTAAGGCTTGGAATCTATTCTCAGGCATCCAGAAAAAAAAAAAAAAAAAAAAAATGAGGACCTGCACAGGGTTTAGCTTGAGGCATGGATTTGGTGTGTCATCAATTGCAGAGAAGGATAGAACAATTATAGGAAATTAAGGAAGGAAGTAAATAATTTTGTAAAGAATGTTGCTCATATATGATCTATGACTTGATAAAGGAAAGAATATATATGGCATAGGGTCAAAGGGGTTAGACATCCTTATAAGCTTACATAGCATGTAGACAAGTCTTTACTCAGCAGTTCTCAAAAAATGTTGTGGTATTGATACACAATGAAGGCAGAGCCTAAGTTGAGATAAACTCAGATATAGTGAGTAATAGATTGGGAGGACAGAGCAGTAGAAAGGAGAATGTGAAAGTGGAACGAGGTAGGATCCCAGGGCTCTTCCAACAGAAAATACATCATCTCAAAGTTATCAACTTGTTGATGAAAAGAGTCAAAATCTGAAAATATTTGCAGACATTTGTTCTGAGCCAATTATGAGTGACCAATGGCATGCAATACAGCCCCCAGAGATTCTGAGAACCTGTGGCCAAGGTAGCTGGGCTACAGCTTGGTTTTATACATTTTAGGGAGACATAAGACATTAATCAATACATGTAAGATGTAAATTGGTTCGGTCCAGAAAGGCAGGACAACTGGAAGCAGGAGCTTCCAGGTCACAGGTGGATTCAAAGACTTTCTGATTGGCAATTGGTTATTAACTGAAGACCTGGAATCAATAGAAAGGAATGTCTGAGTTATGATAAAAGGTTGTGGAAATCAAGGTTTTATCATGCAGATGTAGCCTCCAGGTAGCAGATTTAAGAGAGAATAGATTGTAAACTTAACAGACTTAAAGAGTCTGTTCTATCAGTCTTAAGGCCTTTGTTTTAATGTTAATGCTATCAGCTGTGCCTGAATTCCAAAAGGAGAAGGGTATAATGAAGCCTGTCTGATCTCCACTTCCCATCATGGGCTGAGCTAGTTTTTCAGGCTAACTTTGGAATGCCCTTAGCCAAGGGGTGTGTCCATCAGTCAGTTAGAATTTTATTTTTGGCTACAAACTCATTTTGGGTAGATTACTAGTCATTTCTTGGATAACACTGCATGAGCTCAGTATTACACCTACCCTCCTCACCCCATGTCCAACTTAAATGTGGCAACTGGCCACACAAAATTCAAGGAAAGCAATCTGGATACATACCCAATAGATAAGGTTTTAACGAATTCAGACCAGCTTCCACCCTTACACTTTATGACTGAATTTAAAGCCTACTTATTTGAAAATTACTTGCCAATTTAAGTTAATCTAATTTTCTTATACCTTGATCTAACAGCTAATCAACATTCTACCAAGCCACTATGGTGAATGAGAAAGGCAGCCATCAAATAGAACAACTAATTCTGATATGTTGACTAGCACTATGTGAAGGACAGACTGGACAATAAATCAATGGAATTGGGTGCTTTTTGTCCTAAGCCCACAAATTCATTTACAAATTCCAACTTCATATTTCATGTCTGATAAACAATTCCTTATGCATTGAGAAAACATGTCTGTGAGTATTCATAGGGGGAGAGGCGTGAAATTCAATTGTTGAGATTTTACCATTCAAGAAAAACTTTACATATACCATAGCAATTAATTTCACACTAACTGTACAAGGCTTTAATATCAGCTCCACTTTACAGAAAATGATTCTGATGTTCAGGGAAGTTAAATACACTTTCCAGGACACAGAGGTGGTAAGTGGCATGTCAGATTCCAGAATCTGTACCCTTTTTCTTACAGGTATTAGCCAATTGTGGTGATCATATTTGCAATATTCTCTCAAGTATTTTTATGTTCTCAGATTTCTAAAGCAAGTTTCTTTAAACATACCAATTGATATTGAAAATTAAATGTATCTTTATAAGGACATGCTATTTTAGATCTACGATTCAGTATACAATTTTAACCTAATTAAAAGATGTTGTTATGCAAGCAGAATATTTTAAATTATTTATTAACAATTAATACTTAAATGTTTACTTTCTCTCTCTTGGGTATTCTGTTGCTTAGTGTGTAAAAGTTAAAGTTTTAAAAATATAGATGATTTTAAGAGATACATATTTTAAACTGGAACTCCCTAAATAACTTGAAGCTTATCCAGTGAGGACAAATACCACCCCCAGGTTATCCACCCATTTCAGACAGATCACTGGTCACTTCATAGACATAACTGCATATATCCAGCATCACACTCACCCTCCCCACAGTTAAGATATTTGGGTGAGATGAAGGAAATTAACATAATTTACCCCAAAATATATTTGTTTGACGTATTTTGAAATGGCTGCTACTTGGCCGTCCTGATAAAAATGGCCTTGCATAGCTGTCTTAAGTGGGGAAAATCTGCATCTGTAGATAATCTCTATTAATTCAGCCATGACCCAGGATCTGAGAGAGTAAGAGTCACGTACCTTTAAAAGTCTGAAAAGAAATACAATCTGTTTCTTCTGAGGGAGGCTTCATCTACATAGCAAGGCCATCTTTGCTAGCCAAGCCTCTTTCCCCCCTCCTATAACCTGTACTACCAGAATTTAAGCCCTCATTCTTTCAGTAATCTCAAAATGGTATATAAGTTTCTGTAACTCATAAGGAAGTTAGATCATTGTGAAGTCTCCTGTGTATACATGTTAAATAAATTTGTATGCCTTTTTTCCTATTAATCAATCTGCCTCATGTCAGTGGTTTTTAGAAAACCTTTACAAGGCCAAGAGCCTGTGGCCCCCACAGACATTTTCATGGTTGCCACAGCTATGATCTTCATTTTGGGTACTCTGTGTCCCCATATGAAAAATACCCTATTACTCTCCAAAATATACCCAGAGTCCCATCTTATCATTGCATCAGGCTTGATCAGATCTATATCCTGTGCCCCTAAATCAGAAGAGCTAAGATATATTACCTGCAACCCTCTTATCTCATACATTCAACATACGATGGTGGAACAGGGACAGGATAACCACAGTAAACACTTCTATTGCAAGTGCAAAGAAGGGTAGGCCTACAGCTATTATTGATCTTTAGTAACTCTGAGATCCGATTGAGCAAATATTGCCCACTTTCCTTACTCTGAGGATAGAAAATGTTCCTTGATTGGACCTCATTTCAACTCAGTCTATTGTTCTCTGCAGCTCTAGACTTGACTCTGGGAATTTCCACTTTTCATAACTCTCCCTGACCACTTTTGAAAAGGTCATTGACCATATTTCTTCTTCAGCTTCTTAATGAATTTCTTTTGTGCCTCATATTTTTTACTACAGGCAGGTGGCACCTTTGCCAGTACAGGTCTTTTGAAATATTTTGAGTTTCCATGTATTTGATTCCAGCCAAATCTGTGTGCCAGAGTCGCTTCTAAAATGCTTTTAAAAATCATCTCTCTTTATCCTTAATTACTGAAAGTTTGGCTACTTCAAGATTCCATGGGCTCATGCTCCTGCATTTCCTAGGAGCCTTATTGTCTGACTTAAAAGATCCATTACATGCACCTTCAACTTTCCATTGGTTTTAACAAGAAGTGTCACAGCCACAGACTGGATTTGGTCTTTGTTCTGAGGTCACAGCTTACTGTAGTGCTCAGAGCACCGTTGGCTCTCCATATCCACAGGTTCCGCATCTGTAGATTCAACCAACTGTGGATCAAAGACGATCTAGCACAGCTACTTTTGTTTTTGTTTTTTAAGTTTCAATTCCTAAATAAGAAAAAAATGTTCTGTTTCACAGAGCTGAAATAGAATATTATCATATACGTGAAACATCTAATAAAGACAGTGACGTATACAGAAATTGCTTCCTTGTTTTCATGCTATGTTAAGTGCCATCCATTGAGTGAATAAAATGGAGACTTTTTTCGTAAATTTATATATATAATTTTTTTCTTTAACTTATCTCCCTTTTCCCTTTCATATTATGGTTCAAATTAGAAAATTTTTCACACATATTTTTTATTCTCAAAGAATGTATAAAAGTCATAGAGGTTAACAAAATTGTATTAGAACATTTTTTAGATATTCTAATTCTATTCTGAGTCAATTCCAACCTAAGATCCAGAATGGGACATTTTTCTTACAGGATCATATTTTGCAGGGTTGCTGGAGAAGAGGCTTTTTTGGGTCCAGGTGTCAGGACAATGTTAATGATTATTCCCAGTAATAATTAATCCCTGATTCACAGCATTAGAAAGGTTATGATTCCTCACTTGGCACAATTTTATCACTTGAACTTCATCTGTTATGAATTTAGCATAAGAAAACCTAGGGTAATTTTAGGCGGTTAAGCATAGGGCCAGTTTCTTCTGTTTAATATTCCCTCCCTTCTCTGCCTCATTCAATTTGTATCTGCTATCTCACAGGTGTTTTCAGGACTATTCCCTTGGCTTTTAGAATGTGTGATTTTCAACATGACTATCTGCCCTTCCTAGACAGAAAATTCTAAAGGAGAAAAAGGTGAAAATGCATTTGTCTGTTTATAACTGTTTTTCATTTGTTTAAGAAGGCTCTATCTGGCAACGTTAGGTGCATGACTTGTTGTCATTCAAGAATAATTTTCTTCAAATAGCAAATGATTTATTTGAAATTAAAATGAAAATAAATGTGTTAATAATTGCTTTAGATTCTGCTGTCTTAATCAGTTTTTAAGTATACATAAACATGTCACTAAATTCATAAATATGTAACTAAAAATATAAAGCAGTAAAAAAAGATAAGAGAGTATGGGCTTTGGAGTCAGACTTAAGCAGGGCTTGAGTTTCAGATGTGTGACTCTGGAAATTATACATTCTATGTAAATTCCAGTATTTGTATATTTTAAATGTGGTTAATTCTAGCACATTCCTCGCATGATTAACTCAAGGATTAAGTGAAATAACAGATATTGAATATATTATGTGGCCAAAAAATGGGTATAAAACATGGATAGTATATGACAATTAGTGAGGACTCAAAACATACATATGCATATTTATACTATTGTAGAGGAGGAAAAAGCATTTGCCTCTCCCCTTCCAAATTCTCAGCTGGACCCCTGTAACAAAAGGCAGGTTAACAGGAGAAAAACAAGCAAAAGTTTAACATGTGTATCATGCATGTAAAATGGGACTAACAAGAGATGAGTGACTTGAAAAAGTGGCTTAAAACTCGGGATTATACAGCAGCATTGACAAAGAGTAATAAATCTAGAGAAATGAAAGGAAAGCAGTGGTAGGCTTCCAAGGGCAAGAAATTGTAAGAAAGTAGATATGTTGTAGGAAGGAAACCAATGACAGATAAAGGCTAGTTAGTAATGCTTGTTACATAGACTTATCTGGTATAGTCTCTGGACTGATAAGGGTATAAAAGTGTCTCCAATGATTAACTTTTGCCATTTGTGGTGGAGAGGAGAGGAGGGACATCTTTGACAATATATTTCCTGTTTTTAGGCAAATGGCGTAGGGTGCAGACCTTTTCTTGTAACTCTTTAATTGCTTTCAAAATAATCCTTATGCCAAAGTGGCATAAGGAGTGGCACGTCCATTAATATTCTTCAAACAGGTAAAAATCATAAATCTTTAGATAAAACAGGCATTGACAAACTTGTCTGTAAAAACACAAATAGTACATATTTTAAGCTTTGTGGGACATAAGATCTCTGTTACAACTTTTCAACCTTGCTGTTGTAGCAGCCTAGAACCAGAGACCATTTATAAATGGATGAGTTGTGGCTGTATTTTAATAAAATTTATTTATGGGCACTGAAATTTGAATTTCATCTACTTTTCACGTGTCATAAAATATTAATGTACCTTATAATTTTTCAACCATTTAAAAGTGTAAGAAACTTCTTTAGCTCAATAACTTTATAAAAATTGGTAGGGGGCCAGATTTGGCCTGAGAAATACAGTTTGCCTACTTTTGAATTAAAATATTGTGCCAGTGTTGACACTTCTCTTCTACCTCTTATATGTATTTTATTTTATTTAATTTTTATTTTGTTTAATTTTTGCCTTTTTTTGTTTAATCATATTACTATAGAATTTCTCACATAAAAAACTATATTTATCCTATTATTAAATGGATATCACCTAGGGGTACCATTTTCCAATAAGTTAATGTAAAAAATATCCATTCGATATGGGCAGAATTTATTTGTTGGATTTAAAAAATAGTTATTTTACAATTATATATGCTGATATGGTTTGGCTGTGTCCCCATCCAAATCTCATCTTGAATGGTAGCTCTCATAATCCCCATGTGTCATGGGAGAGACCCGGTGGGAGGTAATTGAATCTGGAGACAGGTTTTTCCCATGTTGTTCTCATAATAGTGAATATATTTCACGAGATCTGATGGTTTTATAAAGGGGAGTTCCCCTGCACAAGCTGTCTTGCTTGCCACCATGTAAGACATGCCTTTGCTTCTCCTTAGCTTTCCATCATGATTGTGAGGCCTCCCCAGCCACGTGAAATTGTGAGTTCATTAAACCTCTTTTTCTTTATAAATTATCCAGTCTTGGGTATGTCTTTATAACATGAGAAGGAACTAATACATATGCATTCATGCTTTTATTTGATAAACTTTCCTATTATTCCTAATATAGTTTCCAGTTTTCAATTTTTTACTACCATGTTATTTTTGAGTGAATAAGAAGAGGTGTATTGTCACTAAAATAAGACACTTAAGTAGCAATAAGTGGAACACAGATCAAAAACCTCAGAAACAAAACAAAATTACTGTAAAAACTGCTTTAAATGTTTATTTGCATTACTTCTAATTATATTATGGTCTAATCATTATTTAAGAAGCTTACTGAGGTCTAAGAATTTAGTAGTGGTGTTTCTTTTACTTAAAATACCAAGTTAATACTCTAATGGTCAACCTAACCTTAGCCTAAAAAAATAAAAAATAAAAAGCACAGCTCCACAAGTTTTGCCATGGTTCACAGAAAATCAAAGGCATCAATTAGCCTTTTGCAATTCACATGTAGTTTTTTTTTTTTTTTCTTTTTGGCTTCTGTGGAACTTCTTTCTATTCTCCAAGAGTCTTCTTCCTGAAGATAACCATTTTCACCTGTGTGGAAAATAATCTTACCCTGAGTAACACAAAATGATTTGTCATTTGCACTGCAACAGAAAACCCACAGATTGATCCTTTTAACATTAAGCATTATGGCAACATTTATGAAATTTAGTGTTCAGAAAGATTATTTGATAAGGTTGCTAAAATATAGATTCCCTGGACATAAAAGAAGTAAGAGAATCTTAATATTTAGCAAGAACACTCAGTGTTTATGATGCAGATATTTCTGGGAGCATATGGAGAAATATTATATAGTAGTATGTCATTCTATATACCTTGGGCTTAGAAGGTGTAACCTCTTGAGGTATTTCCTGACTTTCTTATATATGTGGAATCTTTTGCTGTTTTTGAAACCTGTACTTTATTTGTTAATTTGTAATTTTACAACTATTTAGTGGTTCACTTGTTTATTTGATATTTTCCAGACTACATTGTAATCTTTATAAATATGGACCACTTCATTGTTTCTAATAATTTGTATCCAATATCTAGCATTTAATGTAGTACAAACTAGCCTCTCAATAAGTATTTGTTCAGTAACTATATAACAAGATTCCAAGAAATGCCCAGTTCTTACTGATTTCCAGGCAATCTTCCTTCTTCTCATGTGTTTTGCCAAGGAGATCTGTATCTAAAATCCTTAAAACAGGGCCTGGCATGGTGGGTTACACCTGTAATCCTAGCACTTTGGGAGGCAAAGGTGGCCAAATTGCCTGAGGTCAGGAGTTCGAGACCACCCTGGCCAACATGGTGAAACCCTGTCTCTACTAAAAATACAGAAATTAGCTGGGTGTGGTGGTGGGCACCTGTAGTCCCAGCTACTCGGGAGGCTGAAGTGGAAGAATCACTTGAACCCAGGAGGTGGAGGTTACAGTGAGCAGAGATCGCGCCACTGCACTCTAGCCTGGGAGACAGAGTGAGACTCCTTCTCAATAAAATAAAATAAAATAAAATAAAATAAAATAAAATAAAATAAAATAAAATAAAAGTAAAATGCCTAAAACAGTGTCAGGCTATGTTCATATTATTCTGAAGTTAAAAAAAAAGCAATATCAGGCACCAAGAAGATATTAATTAAATATATGTTTAATGGATCAATCTATGCTGAAGACAAATGAAACCAATACTTACACCTCATCATGAGTTCTCTAGAGACCCAGATGATCATACACCTCTATTTGTTGTGTACTTTTAAAAGTTATATGTATTAGGCATAATGATGCCTGTACCCCAGAATTATCATGCATTAGTACCTAGACTGCGAATATATTGTATTACAAAGTAAAAGAGGAGTAAGCTTGCAGGTGGATTTGAGGTTGCTAATCAGTTTACATTAACAAGATTATCTTAGATTATTCTGGCAGGCCCAATGTATTCACAAAGTATCCTCAAATGGGGATGAAACAGGCCTAAGAGCCAAAACCAGAGGAGTAGAATCATGAGAAAGGGCCTACTGACTACTCTTGACTTTGAAGATTATAGGGGTCAGGTGTCAAGTAATGTGGGCAACTGCTAGTGGCTAGAAAAGGCAAAAACTAGATTCTCCTCTAGAATCTCTAGAAAGGAGCATAGCCCTGCCAACCCCTTGATTTCTACTTCAGTGAACTATAAGATAATATATTTGTAGTGTTTTAAACTACTATATTTGTGGAAATTTGTTGCAATAGCAATAGAAAAATGGAAACACTGCTTAATGACTTTAAAGACATATAGAATATATAAGGGAAAATAAGAAGAATAAAAAATGAAGAATAAAATATGCTAACCACAAGGATTAATATAATTAACATGAATCTTTCTGGCAGGCAAGTAAAAAGAAAATTGCTTAATATACTTAGATTTATCATAAAAAACCCAGCTACTTTTAATTCAGTTATTTCAAAATAAATTTTAAAATTCCAAGTAGTAAATTATTTAAAAATCCCAATATTTTTCATTCTCAATGCACCTGAAAGCTACAGTATTATGACTATATCTGTAGACACCAAGACGTTAATTCCTGGGTTTAGGGAAAAAGAAAATAAAGGTGCCAAATCTGAATCTCTAGCAATAGGATATAATTTGAAAACAAAACACAACAACAACAAATAAATCAAAAGCAACCAGTAGTTGTATAGGTAAATCTGACATATCTTCCTCTATAGTTGTGAATCAATGATATGGAAGACATTGAATGATAGAGGTGGTGCTTTTTTATATTAGTTTTACAAAAAATAAGTTATTTTACCTCACATTAAAAAAATAAACTGTGATTTCATTAAGATGAATCTTTAAGTGGCTATGTTAATATAGTCCAAGAATAGGGCCTCATGGTGGTTAAATTATATTCAATGATAGAAGATTAAATATCGAGGTGATACAAAAATTAATGAACTGTTTGTCATCTTGATGGTCTTGATGATCTTGGCTAATATTATTTCTTTTAATTAGGTATTTAATAAAAGAGAGTATATAGTTATATTCTGTGATATATTATTGGGTTAAGTTTTACTTTCTCAGTTCTTAAACGTCACAACTGTTTACTCTTGAACAACACAAGCTTGAACTGCAGAGATCCCATTATACACAGAATTTCTTATACCTCTGCCACCCCAAAAACAACAAGACTAACCTCTCTTCTTCCCCTTCCTCCTCAGCCTACGCAATGTGAAGACAAGAGCAAGACCTTTATGAGGATCCACTTCTACTTATTAAATAACAAATAAATTATCTCTTTCTTATGATCTTCTTAATAACATTCTCTTTTCTCTAGCTTACTTCACTATAAGAATATAATATACAATATATATAACATATAAAATATAGGTTAATTGACAGTTTATGTTATCAGTAAGCTTCCAGTCAACAGTATGCTATTACTAGTGACATTTTTGGAAAGTCAAAAGTTGCCCATGGATTTTTTGACTGCATGGGGGTTGGTGTCTCTAATCTTTGCTTTGTTCCATGGTCAACTGTATTTATGCCTCTTTTATAGTACAGATTGTAAGTACATGCATACATGTCTGATTTCTTCACAAAGGCACCCAGTTCCTTGAGTAGAGGATCTTGCCTCTTATCTTTGTATCTAATGGTATTACTGGGCTTAATAAATTTGAAGTGAGGGACTGAATGAATCCAATTTCATCAAAGAATTGTATTGTAAAACTTAATTCATAGAATCTCTCATAAAGAAGGAATATGACATTATATGCTGACAGTGTTTTTCGTTATTTTGTTGTTGTTTAATCAACACATACGATATTTTGTATCTAAGAATTAGATAGACTTATTCAACAAAATTTTTTGAGTGATAAAGCTGTAACATTTAATGTATTTTTTTCTCACGGTTTATTATGTGTAGATTATTAGCTCTTATGACACACTGTGTATCTACCCTTTTAGAAAAGTCCCCAGAATTTTCTTTTCATTCTAATTCTGATTTAGCCAATTATTACTAAATTAGATGCCATTTTTTTCAATATGTCTCAGTGGAAACTAGAAATATTTTCACCATTGGCTTAAAGTCTTAGTGAATCAGGACTTTAAAAGGGCAGGAAATTCACAGATGCACAATAAAAATTTACAGAAAAAAACCTGACATTTTTGGAATACCCTTAGTGAATATTAAGTAGAATCCCAAAGCTAGTATTACCTCTCATGTTTACTGCTTCCTTCTCTGTTGTGACTGGTGAGTCCACAGAACTTTGAGGCTTTTCTATTCTGAGCAGTGCTGTAATGTGATATTATGGACATCTACTCTTCACGTTTACTCTTTAAATTGCTCCAGATATTTTAAAGACTGAACAGAATTATCCATGCAGCAATTTCACTGCTGTATACTCTTGCATATCCAAGGACGCAAAGCACAGGCATATAAAGCACATTTGAAAAATGTTGTGTTTGATCTCATAAATTGAATGGAAAGTGAGGTGAGAGAAAAGTTGAGGGAATTAAACAAATTATACAGAAATTTTCATCATATCCAATCTGAAATATTCTTTAAATTGACACTAAAATACCCAGAATAAAAGTCAGGTAAAGTACGGTTAAGCGTTTATGGCCTTCTTTTGTCTAAAACATTTCATAAAATCTGGGAATTTGAACACATGATGCCCATAGCTTTCTTTCATAAATTATGAAAACATCTTTGTGTGTTTCCTCTACAGACTTCAATATTGCTTTAGGAACAACCCTTCGAATTTGTTTTCACATAAAGACATTTTGAATATATTATTTTTAACTGATCCTTCTGTTTCCAGTATGGAGACCCTTGAGAAAAATTTCTCTGTTTCTTGAATCAGGAACACAAATGTATTTTTAACATTTGTATTTATATACTTTTATCTAGTGGATCAAGGTATGGTCTTATGGCGCCTATAAATTATGTTAGAGTGTGTTTTATGCTTTTTCATGCTTGCTGCCAGAAAGCCCAGAGCAAAATCTGTGGTTCATCTCTATTAAGTATACTGGCTCTCATAGGATGATGCCTTTCTGCTTTCCTTTCCTAAGAAAATATTTTAGGAAATACAGATCTAAACTGGTCAAGTTATTTATTTATTTTTTCCTAAGCTGTACACTTACCAATAGAGATGAAAAAGCAGGCTCTGTCTAACCAATGAAGGTATATCCCTAAAAGTGCCTTTGGCAGATGCTTACTAAGGCTCTATGTGGACATTTCCCGTGGTGAGAAAGTAAAAAACATAGAATAAAACCCTTTCATTTTAGTATGAAGAAAACTTTAACTCTTTTTAGTCCTTAAGCCAAAATTGATTTCTGTGCCTCTTTTGAAAACTGAAGGCCTGTCATGTTTGAGTCTTTGGATTTACTTTTCTTTTCTTTTTTTCGGTTAATCAAGTGTGAATACTTTCCAAATTTATGTGTTGATTTCTAAAGATAGGCCTTAATGAGTTGCGCTGCAAGTTTTTGGACATATGAACATCCAAAAAGTTAAATAAAGGAGGAAGAAGTAAAAATTAATATACTTAGGAAATTTTTTGATGAATTATCATTTTCAAAAGAAAAAAAATATAGACCATAGGAGTATATCCTACAAACAAAATAAAATACAAAAGACTGCTACAAATCGAAGCATAGTGGAAAACAAAAGCTAACGTATAAACTATTGTTTTTTTAAAATAGAGCTTTAGGAGACACCTATTGTATAGTATATAATGGATGCATTGAAGAGAGTTGGGATTAGCTGTATTTCTTGGCTAAAATAAAAATATTCACTGGTAGATGCTACATTTCAACATAGGCATGTGTGGTTTGCAAAACTGGGTTAAGGTGTTATCCTGTAGTTTTTAAAACTTTATTTCATAGAGTTAAAATTTTTGAAAAAACTTGGCCTTCAATCCTAAACAGGTTGACTATGTGTAGCATACATAGATTTTTTTCAGATGTTCACATTTGCATACAATGGCATCTATATTTGCTTCAAATAGAAAATGTTACCAGCTAATGTTCATGCTACTTACAGGACATGGTGGTGGACTCTGGTTTAAGTAGTATGCTTTGGATTTATTTTCAAAATTAACATCTTGACATTTCTATTTATAATGGTGATAAAGTTAAAAAATTGATATATCATGATTTACAAATATTAGAATATCAAAGTGTATATTTTTAAAAGTGTTTTTTACACAGCTGAAGTCTGTGGTTTACGTCTGAAGATTGATGACTTCTGTCAGAGATGGTCAAGTTTTATGCAAAGGAAGTTTGCCTAATCCTTGATGGTTATTGACATCTGTACTCCAAGGGACTGGCACATGGCAGGAGACTTGCTGAGCAAGACATAGGAATCAAGGAATTGTTTATAAGTGATAGCTATTACTAAGTCCTAGAGTGGATATTCTAAAAAAAAGAAATTTAAAGGAACAATCATTATGGCTTTAACTGAGGTTGTGTGCTGTTTATCTCAACTTCTTGTTTATACTTAATTTGCGTTGAATTTTGTCATTGGATCATCGAGTTAGCCCTCTTTGCAGTTATGTGCCCTCATTGGGGAAAACTGATGTAACACGAAGGGATTTTAAAATAAGCTGGGCTGGAAAGGAAGAGAGAAGGCATACTAAACATCACCAATGTGAAACTAAGACCATAATTAAAATATGTAAATAAAATAAATTTTAAAAATTTATAAAGCTTATTTTTTGTCCATGGAGGATTAAAAAATAAATAAAAATTTTAAAAGCTTGTTTTTTTGTCCACAGAGGATAAAAAAGTAGGAGTGTTTTAGGACACTCTGTCAACATGAAGTGAAAAGCAGAAGTGCGAAATGTTGGAGTTCCTAAAAACACTAATCCATGAATTTTACTCTTTCTTTACCCTCTGTTGTCAGGTGGTCTTCAGTCCCATGGCTCTCAATATTTTCTGTTCCTTTAACTCCCTGGCATGATCCTCTACTGAGAGTACCAGGCTGGCTTTGCAAGCTGGATATTTAAAATGTTTCTTAAATTTAGCATATTCAAAACTGTACTATTTCTTCCCCCAGTTCTGTCATCAGCTCTACATTACTCCTTCTTCCTCTAGTTTTTATAATCACAGTAAATTGTATAATCAGACACATACTGTTCAAGCCAGGATATTGTAGTCATACTCAATCCTTTCCACGTCCTTAAATAGGACAATAATATTTGTCCTAGTTCCGATTTGGTCTCTTTTTCCTAGTTGAGACCAGCATCAACCCTGATTTGACTGTTACAAAATCCCAATAACTGTTTTACTTATTTTCTCCCTTGCTTCTCTTAAGTTTATTCTCCATACAGTAGCCAGAATGGCTTTAAAAATAAACAAAGACAAACAAGCAAACAAATAATGAATTTGATTATGCTGCTATCTTGGTAAAATTTTTTTTTTATTTCCACTGGAATATTAAAAAATTTCCACTTTATTTTTATTTCAACTAGAATGAAACTAATTGTTAGGACATGTTAAACCGATTCTAAGAGGATGAAAATCTTTGTTTTGTCATGCTTGGTTTACCAATTTCCTGTGTCAAAACTCACTGATTTCAAGCAATCAACATGATACCACTGGAAGGAGATGTGTAGTAGCATACCATTGTATTGTATTTCCACCCTACAGACACAATAGATGTCAAGTGTCTATTGTGGTAATAGAAAACTGCAGCAAAATAATTTTGGAAGTGGTGAGTTTTGAGTACTGATGTTTTTAAAATTAGATTTATTTATTGTAAGCTTAAATAATTTGGCTAATTTAACTTTTTAAAGGTGATCTTGGCTAAAATCCAACTCACAAAATTCCTGAAAGACTAACACTCAGCTCTCACAAAGCTAGTTTGAGCAACTCTATCACATCACTGGATAAAATCCACGACCTTTTCTCTGGCTAACAAAGCTCTTCATAATCAACTGCTACTGCTTTCTCCGTGAGCACATAAAGTCTGATTTCTTGTTCTCCAGCTTACTTGGCTATAGCAAATCACTGGAACACTTGTATAAGGCAATTACTATGAATGGAGCTTGCAGGTCTAGAAGTTCCTCTGGGTGGGTTAGTGAGTGGTGAATGTGAAGCCTTAGGACATTATTGTACGCTACTGTGGACGTTATAGGCACTGTACACTTAGGCTATATTAAATTTATTAAGGAATATCTTTTCTTTAGCAATAAACTAACCTGAGCTTACTGTAACTTTTTTACTTTATAAAGTCTTTAATTTAACTTTTTGATTCCTTAATAATAGCGCATAAATATAAATACATTGTACAGCTGTACAAAAATATTTTCTTTCTTTATATCCTTATTTCATTAGCATTTTTCTATCTTTGTTAAATTTTTTAACTTTTAAAACTTTTTTGTTAAAAATTAAGACACAAAAAGACACATGAGCCTAGGTCTTCATAGAGCCAAGATCAGGATCATCACTATCAGGTCAGTCAGATGCCACCCCGCTATTTCCTTCTTCATTTTTATAGATGCCCAGACCATTCAGGTCTAGAATTTGTTGGCACTTTTTCTCCATCCACTTGTAGTTTGGAGTTCCTGGGTACATCTTGTTGCCTAATTTTGTTGTGAATTGTCATGTGTATTCTTTGTTGTTGCTTACTAGGCAAGAAAATGTATCTTAGAAATGTTTCAATGAGAGAATAATTAAAAGAGTGGTTTGTTGAGCCTTCACTACAATAGCCAGCACAATGTCTTTTTTTGAACATTCTGACTTAACTGAGATATAGGATCATTGGATTTCCATGGTTTTTTTTGTTGTTGTTCTCACTAACTAGTTATTCTGTCCATTTTTATGTTGGTATTCAGAGAGACTGGAATAGTATGATGTTCCTAATGTGTCCATCTTCTGAGAATCTTGGAAATAGCATTTAGAAGCCAAAATGTGAACACAAGGTAAATTCATTGCTACTGGGATATTCTCACTTTTAGGCCTTTTCTAAGATTACACATAGAAACACACACATATGCATACACTCGTATTTTTCTTTCTGCCATCAAGAACCCTGGTTCCTAACAATATCAATACATGAATTCACATTTACTCAACTTAAAAATATATACAAATGAGTGTAAGAATTGTTATACTCACTATATTCCTAACTTTCTAATATTATGAAAGTTGGCTTTCCTATATTCCAAAAATATTCACTGAGAATCAACAATGTACCAGGAAACATCTTAGGTCCTGTAATTATTTTCTCTCCTATGAATTACAAAACCATCTTGTGCCTTGAAGAGTCCGTATTATTATCCCAGGTTTCTAGATGAACGAATTGAGTCTCAGAGAGTCTAATAAACACTCCAATGAAAAACGGTAACCCAAGAGTCAAACTTAAATTTTGCTAATTCTAAATTATTTCCCTTAAATTACTTAATTAACCCCTTTCCTTAAAATAATTAATTTGAGTATAATCTTTAATTCCACTTATTTTAATTTAAACTAGCATTGATCATATTTTAAAAATTTATAAAACCACAAAACTTACATAATAAATATAAATAAGTAAGTATGTGTGCACTGACCATGTTTCTCTTATAGGGAAAAGATCCCACAGGGGGTGATGTTGCATAGTCCACAGGGAGAGCTTTAACTTCTTAGATCATGAACACAGATGGGTTTCAAAAGTTGAGAATACCTAGTACGTAAAGAAACAAATTTTAAACAAAATTAGTCCTAATCTTTCCATTCTAATCACCAATTTGCAAATTTTTTCATATTTTATTTTAATATATGCTTCAAAAAATTTGGCAACTACACTGTGACATGAATGCATTTAAAACAGATTATTTTTAGGGTTTAAAAATGAAACAAGTGTAAATATTTAATATACCTTTGAGCAGCTCTTATGTCATGGTTGTCAGCCAAGTATGCACGTACTAAAAAATTAGGAAATCTTGCTGAGATGCAATAAATAGAGTATGTGTTAGGAGAGAATTAAATATGGCAGAATATTAACAAGTCAAAGACAAACATATTTTCAGTGCCAAAATGATTGTGAAAGTCAGTGAGTTGGCAACTGTAGCTTCTCTCTTACTACTATTTTTGTAATCTAAAGTTCACAATCTAATTTCTTCAGTTTTAGTAAGGAAATGGTCCTTTGGCTGTGCTTTTTTTTTTCTTAACAAAGATGACAAATTAGCTATTCTAATTAGATCTAAACAATAATACATTTTTACATTTATGAGGCAGTTAATATTAGAGGAAGGGGCAAAGAAAGCAGGAAATTAATGTTACAGATTCGTTGGGCTTATCATATGCATTATTATCAGATTTTTATAATAAAACTGAAAGAAATGCTACCCAATTATCAATCTTGTTTCTTACTTTTTCTAGACATTCAGTTAGTTTACATTTTCCAGGCTTAATTGGCATTAGGATTAGTCATGTAGCCTATTGATGAGCAAAGGATTCTGGGTCTCTTCCAAGCCTGGCTCATAAGAGACTCAAAAGCTGAGTTGTACATTCTTTTCCCTAGGCCCACTTGACCTAGGTAAGTTAAACAACCTTGGAAGCCGTGTATTAAAAATAGAAAAGGCCCATGATGGAAAGAGTCAAGATCCCTCAATCTTAGCAGTGGATAACTCCCCGCCATTTTAAACATAATGTTGTATAATAAATCAATTTCTATTTTACTCAGTCTCCTAAATTTGGGGACTTAATTATTATAGCAGTTAGTGTTGCCCTAAAGATACCATAATCCCCATTTTAACAGCTATGGAAAATTGAAAACTAGATCACAGATAATTTTCCTGTCCTGATATTTAACAGATTCTACTAGACTTTCTCTTTAGACTAAAGAGTAAGAAAATGTTCTTTGATAGACACTCTCCCGTCACTTCAAGCTTGTGTGTGTGTGTATACGCATATATTGCGTGGTTATTTATTTATTTTGGTTAGTGTAGATGTACACAAATCATAATACAGATAGTCATTATCTACAACCAAACATTAGTTTTCTTTGCATATTTTCACTTGCTTCTTTGATTTTTATCAGTGATAGTCCACTTTGTATGTTTTGCCCTTTCACCTTTATCAACAGACTCTCTGATTATTTACAGTTTTATTTCCTACGACATCCTAATTCTTTGTCTACCATTTCAATTTTCTTTAATGATTGCCAGTAACCTTTGCTAACAGATTATGAATTTTTATCATTGGAAAAAATAAAAGGCTTAAAACCATTATTGGGATGGATTTTATGCTGGGGACTCTGGTAAAGAAGGGACAAAAAACAAAGAAATAAGGCAATGCACAGGTCACAAAGGCTGATGGTTTTATTTGTCATTGATAGACTAATAGATTGCAAACAATTATAGAAAGTATATAAAGGAAATGCCTTCATAAAATTACATAACTTGGCAATAATTTAGAATTGAAGCATAATGAAACCACATATTCTCAATTTGTTTATTGATAAAATTTTCCCCATCAGCATCTTTCTCTTTCTATATTCCATCAGTGGCATAGCGACTTCCTGAGTCAGAAAACCATAATGGATCTCTATATCATACAGAGTTTGGAGGACTTACTCATTTTTCCTGCAAAAGTTAAATAAAGTGCAAAACTTTCAGCCCATCAATCCTTTACCAAGCTGTCCAAGGTGACATTTCATTAGCACATTTTGTCAGTGGATAAATCGTACAGCATGCTCTGAAGGGAAGGTGGAAAACATCTAGTCCTTTTTCATTAGATCCATCTGAACTTAAACCACTAGAGATTACATACAAAAAGCACATGAGACAGAGGAAGCGCTATCCTGTCTATAAACTGCATTAATCATTCATTCCCTTCAGAGTGTCTTAAGTCAGTGCCATGTCTCTGGTTCAGCCCCAAACTGACTATTCAATTTTGAGTTGCATGACAGATGCATTTCAAGGAAAATCAGAGACATAACGACTGCTGCCAGGCTTGATAAAGTCTTCATTCATCAATTAAGAGGTTCCAATAACCTCAGATAGATACAGAAAAATAAGGGAAATTACATGATAACACTGCTGATTTTGTCTCTTCTAAGTTTTACTGAATTCCTGGCCATAGGTGCTACAAAGCCTTGCTGAAAAGCCTAGAATCAGAGGGAAACCCTATGATCTGAGGGAAGAGCTTTCCTTTCTTACTCTGGCTGAATTAGGTTCTATCTGGAATCAGGTGGTATGGAAAAGTTTTGCGGACACCTTATAAATCTCAAGTTAAGAGGTTTTAATTTACGTAAAAAAGTTCTCTATCTCTTTTTGTTGTTGTTTGCACATAAAAGTCTGTGGATACAGAGATTATCTCCTAGTCTAATGTTTTCAATTTTGTTGGATCCAGTGCTAGGAATGTTTCCCAGTTTTAAGCAGCTACTGTGTCAAAATGTTTCTGAAACATATGTTCAGATATAAATTTTTATTCTATAATACTATCCAGGGTATATTTCAAACCAAGAAATTTTTTGCATATATTAAATGGAGAGAAAATATCTTTATAGAATATAGAGCATTTTCATTAGGCAAATTATCAGAATGAATGAAAACTGACTGTAAATGGAAACTGATGAAACAAAACAATCAATATGATATCTAGTAAGTTTCTCAGTGTATTGTGAGGAATAGCCGGTACCAATAAAGAGTATTGGACATCACCAGGACTAGAACTTCCAGAAATGAATACTAAATCAATAAAAACTTTGAAAAAAGAAAATACAATTAGTATTGCCTATTTATATAGATACATAGAGCTAATCAATGAAAAGATATATTCAGGATCTCATTGTCGCAAAGGCAATATTTGTCAGTTTTTTCAAATCGCATCCTGATTCAACTTTAATTCAAATTATTTCAAAGTGTGTTGTTTTTAATAAATGAATAATTTTCAAACTATGCCCCTAAGGGCATCGTGTGCCTTCCCTTCAGGTGTTTCTGGAACAAAGGACATGGGTGGGTGTTTGTGGGAAGCCCTCCAACATCAACTGAAGCAACTGTATTTTTGTGTGTTTAACATAAAGGACTTTACAGTAAAATTTTCTTTGAACCAAAATTCTCCAGCTAAGAAATATTGAAAACCTCTAAAATAATTAAAGTTGCTGATATCTTTTTCCTATCACTGTCACAAGATACAATTTATGTAAAAAACAGAATCAGAAATTTCCATATCTGAATCTTAGCCAACCACTGGCTCAGCAAATTTGGATAAAATGTCTTTATTGTATTGATGGAATTACTGAAATTGGTTTGATGATTAGCAGCATAGCCAACACCAGCCCATTAATTAAATGACTAGCTCAGTTTGAGTCAGATATCCAGATGAGGACATCAGGTTAGCTAGGACTGGTGGAGGTGATACAATGATAGAGGCAGGAGGCAGAAAAATTCTAGGCAGAAAAGTAGCAGGTCCCCAGCAAAATCCCACCCTCAAGCCGAAAAGCCTGAAACCCCGGCTCAAAGTGAGAACTTCTATCCTTGTCTTCCTGCTTTTTACCCATGGCCTACCCCATCCCCCATCCTGTGCCTATAAACACTACAGACTCAGCTGGCAGAGGAGAAGCAGTTGGATGATGGAAACTATGGCTGGACGTGGAAGAGAAGTGGATTAACTTCAGAGGGACAGTTTGATGGCGTAATTTCGGAGAATCCGGTAGAGATGGCCAGATTCCAGGGGAAGATTACCTACCTGCCCCATTCCCTTTACAGCTCCCCATCCTGCTCAGAGCCACTTTCATTGGCAACAAGATCCCCTGCATTTATCATCCTTCAATTAGTTTGTGCGACATTTTTCCTGGATGCCGGACAAGAGCTTGTGAGCCACGAGTGTGGATATAAAAGGCTGTCACGCTAGTCCTTTGCCCCCGCTGGCAGACGGCAGCTGCCTCGTGCAAAAGGGCAGAGGGCCCACTGAGCTGTTAACACTTAAGCCTGCCATGGATGGCAGAGCTAAAAGAGCACTGTAACATGCCCCTTGAGGCTTCAGGAGTCACAAGCACCCCGCCTGGACACTGCTGGGGGCCTGCACAGAGTTTGCTCCTGCCGGCAACCAAAACTGCTCACACTGGCTCCTGCACCCACCCACTCACCTGTGTGTTCCCTCCCATGAGGGGTGGAGTGCAGCAGGTCCGAATGAGTGGAGTTTGATCCTGCAGGCACCAAAGCAGTTGGCCAATTCCAGTGCTCGTGCACTCCAGTTCCCGCCTCAGTCGCTTGCGCACTCCCTCCCACGAGAAGTTCAAAGTGGTGAGCTGAGTAAATGAGGCACCCCTGTCGGGAGTCCCATGCAGGGGTGGGGGAAATATCCTGCTTCCGAGGGGTGGGGCTCAATTTTGCAACCACTAATACAGTTGTGAACATATCCTCTTTCAGCTGAGTGTGTGGGTGGGTGCAGGGACTGGGGGACAGAGAGCAGCACTAAAAGAAAGATACGTGGTCCTTGGCTAGGTAAACTGACCAATTTTCTAAAAAGCCCACAGACACCAAAACCTCCTTGATTTATTTAGAAGAACAAACATGTAAACACATACTTGCTCCCTTCATGTAAACTTGCTCTTCCTTATTGTCATCCACATTTCCTAAGGTGTTCGCACTGTGGTAGTGACAGAGAAAAGTACATGGCAAATTGGAACACAGGCTAGTGGAAAATCAGGCTTATAATGAGAAAATCACAACAAATTTGGATAAACTTTGTAATAAAGTTAACCACGGGGTTCTACTGAGGCCTGAGGAGAACTGACTGAAATAGGGAAGTTGAAACAAGGTTTCCAAAGCAAAGATTCTTGAGCCTTCCTTGAGCTAAACACACAACCTAACAGCAAAGTAAAAAAACCCAGTTGTTGGGTATTAAATAAATTAGTTCAGCATTACTTTCAACTGGATAAGCTTTAATGAAAACCAAATGTTTGGGCTTTAGTAAATCCATGGTAACCACAGAATTAACACAATTCTTATTGTGGAGTTGAGGAATTGCCATAGGTGACTAAAACTATCACTGACTGCTCATATATCCACAGAATTAATGTCTTAATCTGTAAACCTGAATCATAATTCTTTAAGTTTATTTTTACTGCATAATTATATTTTGCTTATACACGTTGCAATAAAATTGTGGCAACTCTGCAGATGCCATTTCCCTGCACTCCTCTTTTGCTTCAATCAGATTATTATGGCTGGGGTTTGGAAAGATGTATTATAATTGTAAATATGAATAAACTACAGTGGAGTTTTATGGAAGTATCTGTATTTTCACAATAATTTACTCTAAGAACTATACATACCACTAAAATATAATAATAAAAAGTATAGTAAAACATAGTTTGTGTTCTTCTCTTAAGAGTAGATATATCGCATATCATATGTATATGATGTAAACTGAGACTTCATTTCCCGACTCACTAAATTAAAAGACTGTGTTAAAGGTGAAGTTTATATTTAAAGTGGACTTTACATAAAATGTTTTTGAGCTACTAGGACAAGTGTTGGTAGAAAAAGTCTGTTCAAAGAGGAAGAAAATACTATTCATCTTTCAGTTAACCCATGCATATTGAGAGCTCACATGTATCTACCATTGTAGCACATTCTACCATTGCATAACTCTAATTTACAATGTTTGCCCTTTATTCTCCTCTCCTATAATATCTACACATCACCTAAGGTGCGTCTGAGTCTGTTCCTGCTGCTATAATAAAATACCACAGACTGGGTAATTTATAAATAATATATATTTATTTCTCAAAGTTCTGGAGGCTGAGATGTCCAAGATTAAGGTGCAGGCAGATTTGGTGCCTAGTGAGGTCTGCTCTCTGCTTCCAGGATGGTGTCATGTTTCTGTGTCCTTTGGAGAGGATAAATCCTGTGTCCTCACATGGCAGAAAGGGTAAAAGTGTAAAAAGGGGCTAGGGCTTTCCTTCCAGTCATGTATCCCTTTCATGAGGGTGGAGTCCTCTTACCAAAAACCTCATCTTTTAATACTACTTATACACATGAATTTTGGAGGGACACATATATTCAAACCATAGCATTTCATCTCTGGCTCCTCAAATTTGTATCCTTCTTACATGCAAAATACATTCATGCCATCCCAATAGCCCTAAAAGTCTTACCATGTTCTGGCACCAGTTCAAAAGTTTAAAGTACAGAGTCTTATCAAAATATCATCTAAATCAGATGTAGGTGAGACCCAAAGGTGTGTTTCATTCTGAGGCAAACTCCCCTCTGTCTGTGAACTATCAAACCAGACAAGTTATGTGCTTCCAAAACACAGTAGTAGAATGGACACAGGGTAGATATTCCCATTCCAAAAGGAAGAAATAGGAAGTAAAGAAGTAACAGCTCCCAAGTATCTCCAAGCCCCAACAAGGAAAACAGTATTAAATTTTGAGTATAAAGAATCATCTTCTTTGAGTCCATGTCCCAATATAACAGACATACTGGGGTGGGGGTTGGGTCCCAAAATCTCTAGGCAGCCTCACTCCCATGACTTTGTCAAAAAAAAAATCATTTTGGAGCTTTAAGATTTGACTGCCCTGCTGGTTTTCAGACTTGCATGGGGCCCGTAGCTTTTTGGTTTTGGCCAATTTCTCCCATTTGGAACAATTTTATTTACACAACGTCTGTACCCCCATTGTATCTAGGAAATAACTAGCTTGCTTTTGATTTGACAGGCTCATAGGCAGAAGGGACTTGCCTTGTCTCAGATGATATTTTAGACTGTGGACTTTTGAGTTAATGCTAAAATGAGTTAAGACTTTGGAGGACTGCTGGGAAGGCATGGTTGGTTTTGAAAAGTGAAGATATGAGATTTGGGAGGGGCTGGGGCGGAAACATATGGTTTGGTTGTGTCCCCACCCAGATCTCATCTTGAATTGTGCTCCCATCATTACTGTGTTTTGTGGGAGGAGCCCAGTGGGAGATGATTAAATCATGGGAATGGTTATCTCCATGCTATTCCTGTGGTAGTGACTGGGTCTGGTGAGATCTGATGGTTTTATGAGGGGTTTCTGCTTTTGCATCTTCCTCATTCTCTCTCTGCCTGTTGCCATCCATTTAAGATGGAACTTGCTCCTCCTTGCCTTCCATCATAATTGTGAGGCTTCCCCAGCCACATGGAACTGTAAGTCCGACTAAAGCTCTTTCTTTCGTAAATTTCCCAGTCTCGAGTATGTCTTTACTACCAATGTGAAAATGAACTAATACACTGTTTTTACGTTTATGAATAGCAATCTGGATTCCTTCTATCCATACTAACCTCCTTATCAAACGGTCATTTGACCATACTCTTGGGGTTTTCTCCTAAATACATTTTCTCATTTTTTATAAACAGAAAATTTTCTAACTAATTCTTTATATTATGTTTGTTTGCCTTTTTTTTTGGAGATGAAGTCTCACTCTGTCACTATCTCAGCTCACTGCAGCCTCCTCTGCCTCCCAGACTCAAGTGATTCTCTTGCCTCGCCCTCTTAAGTACTGGGATTACAGGTGCCTGCCACCATGCCTGACTAATTTTTTTAAAATATTATTTATTTATTAGTAGAGATGGGGTTTCACTATGTTAGCTAGACTGGTCTTGAACTCTGGGCCTCAAGTGATCTGCCCGCCTTGGCCTCTCAAAGCAGTGGGATCACAGGCATGAGCCACCGTGCCCAGCTCTGTTTGCCTTTTAATTATAAACGTTATCTTTAATTAGTTTCACTCTTCTCACTTAAAACTTTTGCTATAAGTAGTCAAGAGAGGCCATGGTCTACCTTCAACACTTTGCTTGGAGATTTCTTCTACAAGACATCCTACTTTATCACCCACAAGTTCAATCTTCCACTAAACACTAGGACTGAACACAACTCAGGCAAGTTCTTTGCCATTTAACAATAAGGGTGGCCTTTCTTTCCATTGCCAGTACTATGTTTCTGATTTCCCTCTGAAACCTCATCAGAATGACCTTTACTGTGCATATTTCTACCAGCATTCTGGTCATGGCCATTTAAGTAATCTCTAAGAAGACTGAGGCTTTCTCTACAGCTCTCCAATTCTGAGCCCTCACCAGAACATTTCTTTAAGATTCATCCTCTATTACCCAGTTCTAAAGCCATCTCCACATTTTTAGGTATTTGTCATTTTTTCTTAGTCATTTTTCCCTGTTTTTCATTTTGAATAGTTTGCATTGCTATGCCTTTCTGTTCACTGATCTTTTCTTCTGCAGTGTCTCTTCTGCCATTAATTCCATTTAATGTATTTTTCATCTCAGACATTGTAGCTTTTCTCTCTACAAATTTGATTTTTTCAACAAATTTTGTGTCTCAGCATGCTTGATATTGCCGCTCACATTTTAAACCTTTTGAACGTAGTTATAACAGCCATTGTAATGTCTTTCTATGTTTATTCTTAACATTTGTGTCAGTTCAGGATTGGTTTCAATGGAGTGATTTTTTTTTCTCCTTATAACAAGTTTTATTTTCTTGCGTCTTTACATGTCTGGTAAATTTTTATTTAATGCTAGATATTGTGAATTTTTTTTCTTTTTAGGGGCTTCATTTTTTTTTGTTCCCTTGAATATTCTTGAGCTTTGTTTTCAGATGCAGTTAAATTACATGAAAACAGTTCGATAATTTTGGATTTTGTTTTTAAGATTTGTTAGATAGAGCAAAAAGTGATGTTTAGTCTAGGGTTAATTATTTTCTCTTCTGAGATAAGACCCTTTTAAGTGTTCGACTGAACTCCCGTGAATTATGACATTTCTCAATCTCACCAATGGCAACGGTCATTATTCTCGCTTTTGTGTGATCTCTGTGTACTACTTCCTCTAATTCTTATAGGTAGCCTTATCTTGGTCTCAGATAGTTTCCTTTGTTTGTTTGTTTTTTGAGCTGGAGTCTTGCTCTATCACCCAGGCTGGAGTGTAGTGGCGCAATCTTGGTTCACTGCAACCTCCACCTCCCAGATTCAAGCTATTCTCCTGCTTCAGCCTCCCAAGTAGCTGGGATTACAGGTGCCTGCCACCACGTCCCACCTTTTTATTTTTAGTAGAGACTGGGTTTCACCATGTTGGCCTGACTTGTCTCGAACTCCTGACCTTAAGTGAGCCACCTGCCTTGGCCTCCCAAATTGCTGGGATTACAGCAGTGAGCCTCCTTGCCTGCCTCAGAGAGTTTCCTCATAGCCATGCACTCATCACTCTTCTACTGAATACCCAAGGGGGAAATTCTGTGGATCTTTAGAGTTCTGTTGCATTACTCTGCCCTGCAAACTTTAGCTGCCTTTGTTTTTCTGAACTCTTCTCCCTACCTCTTCAATTTAAGGAGTCTACCAGGCTCTGCTTAGGTTTCCCTTCCTTGTCCCCCGTCCTAATGTGATGGTTAACTTTACTTGTCAACTTGGATTAAGGGATAACCAGCTGGTAAAACATTATTTCTGGGTGTGAATTTGAGGTCTGTTTCAAGAAGACATTAGCATTTGAATTAGCATACTTAGTAAAGAAGATCCACTTTCACCAACGTGAGGAGATATCATCCCAATCCCTTTAGGGCCCAGATAGAACAATAAGGTATAGACAAAACAAATCCCCTCTTTCTTCTGGAGTTAGGACATCATCTTCCCCTGCCTCAAACATTAGAGCTCCAGATTCTTAGGCCTTTGGACTTCAGGGACTCCACAAGTTCTCCCCATCCCCCCCACCCCAAGGTTCTCATGGGTTTGGTCTTGGACTGAGTAGTACACCGTTGGCTTTTCTTGTGCCAACGGTCCTTTGGATTCAGACTGAATTACACTACCAGCTTTCCTGATTCTTTTAAATTTATTTAAAATTCTTCTAAATTTATTTTTTTGTGGCTCAGCATACATGATGTATCTTCATGAATATGCCATGTGTGCTTCAAAAAAACCTGTAATGTTCTGGGTACATTCTGTAACATTTGTTTGATGTAATGTTCTATAAATATTGATTAGCTTATGGTGGTTAATACTGTTGTTTAGATTCTCTAAATTTCTACTGTGTCTAATTATTCTATTAATTGCAAAAGGAATAGGTTTTTCTAGAATGATTATTGAATTATCTATTTATTTATTATTGCCATTTTAGCCTACATTTTGAAATTATCCTATTAAGCAGATACAAATTGTCTCGACTTTCTGATAAATTGGTCTTTTAATCATTATGACACACCTTCTTTGGCTTTAATAATATAATATACTTTGTCTTGAAGTCTATTTTAGTTGATATTAATATAGCCATTGCAATCTTCTTATGCTTATAATTTCTATGCTGTATCTTTTCCCATAAGTGTATTTTCAGTTTCTATGTGTCTTTATGTTGACAGTGCATTTTTGTAGACAACATATAGTTAGATATTTCATTTTAATCTAGTCTGGTAATTTCTGTTTTTATTGGTCTGCTCATTCCATTAATATTTAATGTAATATTGATATGGTTTGATTTAGTCCTATAAACTTTTGTTTTGTTTGTTCCCTCTGCTTATTGTTTCTCTTTCTCTTCCCTCTTCCCTACCTTCTTTTTTATTACTTGAATACTTTAGAAATGTAACTTATTTATCTATTGGCTTTTAGTTACATTTCTTTACATTCATGTTTTAGTGCTTTCTGTAGGAAATATGCTATGCATTGTTAACTCTTCACAGTCTGTTTAGAGTTAATATTGTAGAACTTCACATAAAATATAAAAACCTTGCAATTTTGTAGCTCCATTTACCCCATTCCACACTTCGTGCTTACATTTGTCATATATATATCACATCCACATAAATTCTAAGCCTCTCGAGTTAATGCTTTAAGTTTTTCTTAAACCAGTCATGTGTATTTTAAAGAAATTAAGATGTATTCCTACTATTTCCTATATACTTCCCATTTCCAATGGCCTTCGTTCACTGCAAAAGATTTGAACATCCATTTACCATTATTTTCATCCAGCCTAATAAAATTATCATTCCTTGAAGTCCAGATATGCTAGCAACAAATCCTTAGTTTTCCTTTATCTGAAAATGTCTACCTTTATTTTGAAGAATACAGTGATATTCCACATAATGACATTTTGGTCAACGATGAACTACATATATGACAGTGGTCCCACAAGATTATAATGGGTCTGAAAAATTCCTATCGCCTAGTGACATCATAGCACAAAGTATCACTCATGTGTTTGTGGTGATGCTGGCATAAAGAAACCTACTGTGCTTCCAGTCATATAAAAGTATAGCATATACAATTATGCACAGTACATAATACTTGATCATAATATGGTATGAGACCACCACTTCTCCTGTTGTCCTTCCCAGTTTCTCCCCAGCCTCCCCTTTTCCCTAGTTTATAAGACAGGAGAAAAGGGAGAAAGCAAAAAGTTGGAAAGAAACAGAAGTAAGATAAATAGCTAGATGACCTTGGCGCCGCCACCTGGCCCTGGTGGTTAAAATAATAATATTAACCCCTGACCAAAACTACTGGTGTTATCTGTAAATTCCAGACATTATATGAGAAAGCACTGTAAAACTTTTTGTTCCGTTAGCTGATGTATGTAGCCCCCAGTCACGTTCCTCACGCTTACTTGATCTATTATGACTCTTTCACGCAGACCCCTTAGAGTTGTAAGCCCTTAAAAGGGCTAGGAATTTCTTTTTCGGGGAGCTCAGCTCTTAAGACGTGAGTCTGCGGACGCTCTCGGCTGAACACAAAAACCTCTTCCTTCTTTAATCCGGTGTCTGAGGAGTTTTGTCTGCGACTTGTCCTGCTACAATAAATGACTATGTTACCGGTGTATGTACTTACTATACTATTTATTATTATTTTAGAGTGTACTCGTTCTACTTATATTAAAAAAAAAAAAAAAAACTGTTAAACAGCCTCATTCAGGTCCTTCAGGATGTATTCCAGAAAAGGCATTGTCATCATAGGAGATAACAGCTCTATGCATGCTATGCCCTTGAAGACCTTCCAGTGGGACAAGTGTGGAGGTGAAAGACAGTGATAGTGATGATCCTGACCCTGCATAAGCCTAGGCTATTGCACGTTTGTGTCTTAGGTTTTAACAAGAAGTTTAAAAAGTAAAAAAAAAGAAAAGAAAAATGAAAAATAGAAAAAAGCTTATAGAATAAGGATATAAAGAAATAATATTTTTGTACAGCTGTATGATATGTGTTTTAAGAAGTTTTATTAGGAGTCAAAACAGTTTAAAAAAAGGAAAATGTTTATCAAGTTAAAATGTCATAAACTAAGATTAATTTATGACTAAAGAAAAAAAATTTTTAAATATAGATTGTGCAGCCTGAGTGTATATAAAGTTAATATACCTTACACTAGTGTAAAGTAATGTTCTAGGCTTTCACATTCACTCACCAGTCACTCACTGGCTCACCAAGAGCAAATTCCAGTTCTGCAAGCTCCATTCACAGTAAGTGCCCTACATAGGTATGCCATTTTTTATCTTCTTATACTGTATCTTTACAGTATCTTTTTATGTTTAGATATGTTAAATTCACAAATACTTATCATTGTGTTACAATTGCCTAGCGTATTCAGTACAGTAACATGTACAAGTTTGTAGCCTAGGAACAATAGGCTATACCATATAGCCTATGTGTGTAGTAGACTATACCATTTAGGTTTGTGTAAGTACACTCTGTGATGTACACAAGGGCAGAATCACCTAACAATAAATTTCTCAGAACGTATCCCTGTCCTTAAGCAACACATGACTGCATTTTCACTTCATGTGAAATTCTATATTGACTGTTTATGGGCCTCCTTTGTGTCAGATGAGAAATCAGTGATATACAAACAACATATTTAATGACTAATTTTGTGTCAAGTACCATATTTACATAAGCCACTTCAAGTCAGTAAGTAATCAGAAGGGGAGACAGTGATTTAAAATAGTGATAAGAGGATAAAAACTTCTAGAATAGTAGAATAAAGAACTCCACAGATGCTCCTCATAGCAAAACATCAATTTAACTGGTGAAAATTATGTGTATAGAAAAAACCAATCATTCGAAATATCTAAAAATTGTCCTAATGGCATACAGAAATAAAGGTTTATTCAAGAAAATCTACTAAATCTTGGTGAGAAAAGGAAGAATATATAGTATTTGGACCACTCTCTCTCCTCACCTTTCTGTGTTTAAGAAGTTCTACTACCAGTGTGTATTGCCAAGAAGACAAGGGCTCCCTTTCTCCTTAGCTCTTCCTCTGGGGCTGGGTTTTACTAATAGGGCCAAAGCTCTACTCTAGGCTCAACAGGCCAATATTACTAGAGAAAATGGAAGCCTCATCCACTGCTGGTGGGATTTGAAAATGGTGCGGCAGCTTTGGCAAACAGTCTAGGCTTTCCTCAACCAGGGTTACTGTATGACCCAGCAACTGCACACCTAAGTATATACCAAAGAGAAATGAAAACAAGGATCTATGTAAAAACTCGTATGTGAATGTTCATAGCAGCATTGTTTATAATAGCCAAAAAGTGAAGACAACTGCAGAGTCTATCAAATGATGGATGGATAAGTACAATACGGTATATCCATACAGTGGAATGCTGTTTTGCAATAAAAATAAATAATACATGATTTAATAGAGATGAACATTGAAAATATGCTAAGTAACAGAAGGCATTCAGAAGGACCATCTATTTTATGATTCCATTCACATGAAATAGTCAAAATAAGGAAATTTATACAGACGGAGATATATTAGTGGTTGCTTAGGACTGGCAGGGGCAGGACATGGGGCAAAATCAGGATTGACTATTACTGGGTATGGTATTTATTTCTCGTGAAACAAATGTTTGAAAATTAGATTGTGGTGATTGCTGTGAATAGAAAATAAAACACTGAACTGCATACTTTAAATGGGTGAATTGAGTTGTAGGTGAATTATTTCTAAATAAAATTGTTATGGAATTGATGAAAGCCCCACTGCCTTCAAGCCAAATAAAGAAATAGAAAGAAGAAAGCTGAGCGACATTTTATATCACAATTTTCAAGATATTCAGTTTCAGAGCAAACTTGTAATTGTTAATACAGGGTGCCAAATATTAATCAGCGAGTGTCTATTGAGTGTTCAATCTTATGTAAGCAGTGTAGAGGATATAGGGAAATCTAGATGAAACCCAAAAATCTCATCCAACTATATGTTTTATCCACATGATTGAAAATATCCAGATGGTGAAAGCTACTTCTGAAAATATAAATGCTTATATAAAATCATTCTCCCTTTAAATCTCTCCCTCCATTCTGTTCTCTGTCTGTCAACATTTCACACTGACGTCCAATTAACTGTGCTGCAAAGTCCCATTTGGTAAGCAAGAATGTTGACTTCATTATGTTTTCATTACATTTCCAATAGTTTCTTCTGCAATGGAAATTTAGTTTATAGTATGATCAAAGATGTTAACACACCACCTGTTCTATGTCATAATACTTACCCTGTTTAATGGAATAAAGGCTATGGTGGGAATTCCTTTAAACAACCAAGAGAAGAAATGCATATTATGTTGCAGATTTTGAGACACCTTTACTGCACGCTAAAATTTTTGTCTCTCTTATCTTTTTGCTTCTATTTAGCGATTTACTCTATGGATTTTTTTCACCAAAACAAATGTTATTTAAACCATTATTGTGGTGAAAAGATTTAATTGAAAATTTATTCTTAAATGTTGCTTAAGAGAATATTGTAAAACTTTTAAAATGTGTTAAAATCATGAAAATTCCTAAATCCTTCAAATTTGGTTGAATATTTCAAATATCTTGAAGGTGTTATATAGCAAATTTGAGAAAATTATTGAAACCTAGGATAGTTATATATATATATATATATATATATATATATATATATATATACAAAATTAAGTGAGAATCTTATATAAGCCCTAGTTGATCTTGAAATATATATATATTTTTGAAATATATACATAATTTTGAAATATATATATACATTTCAAGATCAACTAGGGCTTATGTAAGATTCTCATTTAATTGTGTTTTTTAAATTAAATAAATGAGTTCCAATGCAGATTATTGCTGGGTCTGGCATTTTAAAGAACAAATAATTTGTACTGAGGATAAACTATATGGAGATGATATCTTATAGGGGTTCAGCAATGATTAGATTAGTTAATGATTTAAAAAAAGATTCCTTAGCACAGCACCTGGCACATAGAAAGTATGGAATAAATATGGGTTAGTGTTTACTGTCTTCATATTAATTAATAACATTTTAGCAGCAGTTGCTAAAATTTATAATTAATAAAGTTGGGCTTCCTGGAGTTACAAATCCTACTGGAGTTGACAGTTCTTGTACCACCACTCTCCCCTCTCACATCTATAATGAATATCACTGATGGATCATAGCACTTTGTCTTTAAGTGTGTCTTAATGTCAGGTTGTTACCAAAATCTTTCTCAACACTGCCAGGAGTAGCCACTAACAATAGATCTAATTTGACACATAAGATGAACATTACTTGCCATTCCCACTTTCAGTTGTAAGTAAAGACTTTCAAGCAGTGTGGCAAGCTTGAGGTGGCAGGGGATTTAGTCATAACAGCAGTTTCATGGAGTCACAAACATTTTCCTATCTGAAACTATTTCCACAGTTTTAGGTAACTTTCTCTTTAACAACATTCTCACAATGACTACTGTGGACAATTTAAAAAGTGAACATTTTCCAATTCTATTACAGTTGACCTAATAGATGCAGAGTCAGTTTCACCCACAGTTGACCTAAGAACCTTAAGGTTGTAAAAGAGTAAAACAGACTGTGGGTGGATGGAGGAGATCTTCAAGTTCTATTGACAATTTGGTAAAACTCCATCTGTTTTGATATCCAGAGTAAAAGATGACTCTTCACTGTCTTCCAAGAGAATAAAAATAAACTGAAATGGATCTAATCTTAAAGTGTTCTGGCAAATATGGGACTTCCAATCCTGTTTTCCGGCCAAAAGATTGACATTTGGCTAATAAGATAGAGCAAATAAACTATATGAGGTGGCATTAAAAATATAAATTGGAAGTTAATATCCAAAGTCATCACAATTAAACTTTAAAAGTATACTCACATCCTTAAAATCTCTAATGTATTCTAGAAGAAAGACTGTATTTTGTTTCTCAGATCCAGGCTGACCAAATAGACTCTGGAGCACAAGTCTCAGGGTGTAAGTTGACAAGGAATATCTAAAAACCTCATATTTCCTAGGAGACTCTCCTTATATTATTAGCTTAAAAAATCAATGTTACTTGCCCCAAAGTTTATAAATGAAAGTCAAATAAAAGCACCTTGAGGAATATTACTTGTATATGTGTGTAAATAGTACAATCATAAGGTTCTAAAATAACAATATTGTATAAAATGATTTATATTAAATTGTCTAATTCCCATATCTGCCTCCTGTTCACTCTTTCATTCCCTTACCTTTGCTTCCTATGGGTAACTACTTTAAATATTTTCTTATTATTTAGTCAGGATTTTCCAGAGAAACAGACTGATATATATGTATGTATGTATATATATATAAATTTGTGAAAAGTAATATTCAGAAAATTAGTAAGTGATCATTTGTGTACAATAAGGGGAAAATAAGAATTCATTGCTTTCCTTATATTATTATATGTCTAATAATAATATAATAATATACCTAATGTATATTTCCATATATATCTATGTAGAGAGAGGGGCAGAGACAAATGGAGAGAGAGATAGAAATGAGAAGGGACTTATTAGAGGAATTGGCTCACTCAATTATGGAAATTGAGAAGTCCCACAATAGGCCATATGCAAGCTGGAGAACCAGGAAAGCTGGTAGCATGGCTCAATCCAAGAACAAAGGTCTTAGAATCAAGGAAGCTCATGTTGTATCTCTCAGTTGGAGGCTGAAGGCCTGAAGCCCAGGGGACTGCTGGTGTGAGTATCAGAGTCCAAAGGGCAAAGAACCTGGAGTTCTGATGACTAAGGGCAGGAGAGAAAGGGGGGCTCTGGCTTTGGAAAAGAGAGCCTGAATTCAACCTTTCTCCACCTCTTTGTTTCATCTGGGCCCCCAGCTTACTAGATGCTTCCCATCGACATTGAAGGCAGACCTTCCCCATTCAGTTCACTGAATCAAATGTCAATCTTCCCAGGAAACATCCTCACAGACACACCTGAGGAATGCCAAACCACTTGGTTTCCCTTTTAGCAGAAGAAAGATGGGCTCAATGCCTACAGGAGCATTGAAAAGAGTCAGTGCTTCACCAGCTATTTGGGTATCCCTTAATCCAATCAAGCGGATGGTTAACACCCAAAATCAACCATCACAGATATCTTCTCAAGATTCTTTATGCTAATACAACTAAACATAGAAACAAATTCTTATTCTTCCCTTATTGTACACAAATAGTCACTTACTGTATAATTTTCTGGATAATACAAAATAATATATCCTGGATATCTTTTTCCTTTGTCCTGTATCAGCAATCAGAAGCATATTATTTCTTTTAACAAGTGTACAGTATTTCATGGTGTGAACGTATATACTATATTAAACCAAACATCTATTGATTGACATTTGTCTACGAAGTAATAGACTCAGACATTGGAACACTAGACATTCAGTCAAAAAAGAATTCTTACAGACTTCTGTTTTCTGGTATGTAAAAAGCTTGAAAGTCATCACTCCAATTCTTAAAATGAGAAAAAAGGTGAACAAACTAAAAATCAATGATTTCCTTTTATCCTTCAGAGAATTGAGGTCGTAGGGCAAACTGACTCCTCTTAATCTGGAAAGAGAGGCAAATACAGAGAAATGAAGCTGAGATCAATTTTCCTGAAGCAGAAGCCACAGAGCCATAAACTGGTGGGAACACTTAAATGATAATTTTGACAAACTACTCGAGGCTGTGGACTGGCTTCAGAATGAGAAACTCCTAAGGACCATTCTTCTTCTTCTTTTTTTTTTTTTTTTTTTTTTTGAGACTGAGTCTTGCTCTGTAGCCCAGGCTGGAGTGCAGTGGCGCAAATCTCGGCTCACTGCAAGCTCCACCTCCAGGGTTCACGCCATTCTCCTGCCTCAGCCTCCCGAGTCGCTGGGACTACAGGAGCCCGCCACCACGCCCAGCTAATTTTTTGTATTTTTAGTAGAGACGGGGTTTCACCGTGTTAGCCAGATGGTCTCGATCTCCTGACCTCATGATCCGCCCGCCTCGGCCTCCCAAAGTGTTGGGATTACAGGTGTGAGCCACCGCACCCGGCCAGGACCATTCTTAAGAGAAACTCCTGACTTTCATGAGCTTTAATTTAAGAAATACCACCACGTTCTCCCAGGAAAGAGTCGAGAAAAATCTGCGTGTGTTTCTAACAGGATAAGAGAAAAGTAACTGTTTGAAATACCTCGAGAGAGAAGTAACAAAGGACTCCCTTGCAAGGGAAAAGACTGCACCATAGACTTACCCAAACTGATGGAAAGGCAATTACCCAACTCCAGCCCTTTTTAGCCTTTCTGTCTCACTTAAGGTGGGCAAGCATATGGCTCAGAAACATTTGTGAAGAACATTGATCAACTGAAAGAGTAAGATTGGATTGTAAGATTATAGAATGCTCCCCTCCCCTACACTTTACCACAGTAGCATCAGGGCTCTGGTATAATAACAGTGGATTGATAATTAAAAAACAAAACAAAACAAAAAAAAACCTGTTAGAAACAGGTTCTATTTTGAAAACCCAAAGATAACAGAGGAGACAAAAACAAAGACCCTAGAAGAAATCTCCATCATCTGCAGCTGCAGTTAACATTAAATAGATCACAACTTCTAGCCAGAATAACATCAAATTCTACACTCAAGGCCTATTTATATCAGTTTCTATTACACAATACAACGCATCTGGCTTGGTCTTTAAACAGAATAAATAAATAAAAAATCTATTGTCAGCGATATTACATTTAAACCACAGAAAACTAAAGGCAAAGAAAAAATCTTGAAAGAAGACAGGAATAAAGCATGTTACCCACCCTGCACTTTTCATCAAAAACCATATAGGCAAAAATAAACTGAAATATAATTTTTAAGGTGTGGAAAGAAAAAGAAACACTACCAAATGTGAACTCTATATAGAGTGAAATTGTCCTTCAAAAGTGAAAGAGAAATATTTTCTCAGACAAACAAAAATTAAAGGAATTCATCACCAGGACACCTGACTTGAAAGAATGTTTAAAAAATTTCTTTAAAAAGAAAAATAATGTACATCAGAAACTCATGTCTATATAAAGAAAGGAAGATGATCAAAGAATAAACAAGGAAGTATAAAAATGAAATGTTTTATTTTTACTATTCTTAATTGTTGTAAGACTTTTTTTCAAAGAAATAATAGCAGCAATGTATTGAGTGATTATAACATAGGGATAAAAATAAATGCTGACAATGATATAAGAGGTAGGAGAAAGGAATTAGAAAAAGCCTTCTAAGTACCTGCATTACACATGAAATGGTATAGTAATATTTGAAAATGAACTTAGATTAGTTGAAAATGTATATTGCAAACTCTAGGAATGCCACTAAAATTTTCTAAAAAGAAGTATAATTGTTTTACTAAGGGAGAAGAGAAAATGCAATCATCTAAAATGTTCTTTTAAAATCAGAGAAGGCAGAAAAGAAAAAAAGCTATTAACAAAAAAAGTACAATGATTTGAACAGTTATAAACATGGTAAATGTTAATGTAACCATATAAATAATCATTTTAAATGTGAATAATCTAAATACATAAATTAAAAGACAGAGACACTTTTATGTTAAAAGACACATTTATGTGAAAAGTAAAGGGACTGAGAAAGATACACAATGCTAACACTAATCAAAAGAACTTGAGAGACATTTTATTAATTTAAGAAAGAGAAGACTTCAACCCCCAAAAAAATTATCAGTGATAAGAGAAGCATTACATCATTATAAAGGAGTCAATTTTCCAATCAGACATAACAATCTTTAATGTGCATATACCTAACACCAGAGAGCCAAAATACAGGAGATAAAATTGATAGTACTAGAAGGAGAAATAGACAAAGCTACTGTTACAGTTGGAGACTTCCTCAACCCTCTTTTAGTGGTTGATGTATTCAGTAGGCGTAAGACATAAAAAGATATAGTTGACTTTCAATCAACTTGATCTAATTGACATTTATAGAATATTAAATCTAACAATACTGGAATACATACTTCTTCCAAACTCACATAGAATAATCTCCATGATAGACCCTATTCTGGGTCAAAAGAACATATCACATCAAATTTAAAACCATAGAAATCATACAAATTACTTCTTCAAGCCACAAAGGAATTAAGCAAGAAATCAAAAACAGAAAGATAGTGATAATATTGCTAAATATTTTGAGATTAAACAATATAATTTTAAATAACATATGAGTCAAAAAAGAAGTCTTATGGTAATTTAAGAAAATAAACTAAATGAAAACAGAAATACAACCTATCAAAACTTGTGGGATGCAGCAAAGGCAGTTACTAGAGAAAAATTTATAGCATCCAATTCATTTATTAGGCAAGAAGAAAGATCTAAAATCTATAGCTTAAGCTTCCATCTTAGAACAGAATAAAAATACTAAGACTAAAGCAAACAGAAGAAAGAAATAATGCAAATTAGAAAAGAAAAAATAAAATTAAAAACAGGCAAATTATAGAAAAAGTCGATAAGATAAAAAACAGTTTACCTGAAAAGATAAATAGAATGGATAAACCACTAATTCAAGATAATCAGCAAAAAAGAGAGAAGACAAAAATTATTAATATTAAAATAGAAAAAGGGTCATAACTGCTACTTATCCCATGGACATTAAAATGGACAATAAAGGGATATTATAAACAATTCTATGATCACAAATTTGATAACTATGATGAAAGGGACTGATTCTTTGAAAGATATGAAGTACCAAAACTCAAATAAAGAGAAACAGAAGAATTAAATAGCCATATAGATCTATCAAAAAGTTGAATCAACAATTAGTAACCCGCCAAAAGGAAACCACTAGGCCCAGATGGTTGCATTGATTAATTCTACCAAAAATTTAAGGAAGAAATTTTACCAATTATTTGCAATATCTTCCAGAAGATAGAAGCAGAAAGAACACTTGCTAACTCATTTTATGAGGCCAACATTAATAACAAAATTAATTAAATCACAATAATAAAAACCATACACCAATATCTCTAATGAATATAGATGCAAAAATCTTGAATAAAATATAAGCAAATTTATTCTGACAACGTATAAAAATAATTGTATACCACCACAAAGTGGAACGTATTCATTTAACATAATCAAGCACATCAGCAGGCTAAGTAAAAGTTATAGAATCATTTTAATTGATGCATAAAAAGATGACAAAATCCAACACTCCCTCATTATAAAAACTTTCAGTAAAGTAGTAATAGAGTGGAACTTCTCAACTCGATATCTACCTCCTTCCCCGAAAATCTACAACTAATTTACACTTAATGATAAGAAACTAAATGTTTTCTCTCTAACATCGGGGAAAATACACGGGTGTCCCTGCTCTCTACTCCTATTCAACATCATAATGTAAAACCTAGTTAGTGCAAAAGATAAGAGAAGGAAATAAAAATATGTATATAAAGATTGAAAAGTAAGAAAGAAAACTCTCTATTCAAAGATAATATAATTGTCTATATAGAAAACTCCAAAGAATCCACACACAAAATTCCTCAAACTAATAAACTATTCTATGGCTTACAGTAAGTACAAGGTTAAAATAGAAATGTCAATTGCTTTCTGTATTATAGTAATAAATAATTGTAATTTGAAATTTAAATCACAATGCCATTTATAATAGCACCAATAATAAAAGACTGAAGTATAAATTTAACAAAGTACATACAGAATCTACAAAATGTACAGAATAGTACAAAACTGATGAAAGAAATAAAAGAAAATCTAAGTAAATGGAGCGATATTCCATGTTAATGGATTGAAAGATACAATATTTCTAATATGTCCATTCTTCTTAACCTGACTCTATAGACTCCACACAATCTCAGTCTAAATTTCAGGAAGCTATTTGGTGGGTATATGAAATAAAGCACTAAAACTAACTAACTAACTAAATAAATAAATAAATAACAACATTGATGCTGTTTATTAAAGGAGCTAATGAGCAGACAGAAAGAAATCCCAGTTTCCAAACCTGAGACAATTTGAGCAACCAAAAATAGTAGTAAGAGCCCAAGGTATAAAATAAATATCCATGAGTCTATACTGATATAATTAAATTAATAAACGGAGAAGAAGAAACAAATCTCTTTCATAGAAAAATTCTAAATAATGTATGTTGATGTTTGTCCTTGATATGGTTCAGCTCTATGTCCCCAACCAAATCTCATCTTGAATTGTAATCCCCATTTGTCCAGGGAGGAACCGGGTTGGAGGTAATTGGATCATGGGGGTGGTTTCCCCCATGCTGTTCTCGTGATAGTGAGGGAGTTCTCATGAGATCTGATGGTTTAAAAGTGGCAGTTTCCCCTGATCTCTCTCTCTCTCTCTCTCTCTCTCTCTCTCTCTCTCTCTCCCCCCTATTGCCATGTAAGATGTGTATTGCTTCCCCTTTGCCTTCTGCCATGATTGTAAGTTCCCTGAGGATTTACCAGACATGAAGAACTGTGAGTCAATTAAACCTCTTTTGTTTATAAGTTACTTAGTCTCTGGTAGTATCTTTATAGCAGTGTGAGAACAGACTAATACTGAAAATTGGTACCAAGTGTTGGGTACTACTATAAAGATACCTAAAAAGGTGGAAGTGACGTTGGAATTGGGTAACTGGCAGAAGTTGGAACAGTTTGGAGAGCTCAGAAAAAGACAGGAAGATGTGGGAAAGTTTAGAACTTCCTAGAGACCTGTTGAATGGTTTTGGCCCAAACACTAATTGTGATATAAACAATGAAGTCCAGGCTGAGGTGGTCTCAGACAGAGAAAAAGAACTGATTGGGAACTGGAGTAAAGGTCATGCTTGCTATGCTTTGGCAAAGAGACTAGTAGCATTTTACTCCTGCCCTAGAGATCTATGGAACTTTGAACTTGAGAGAGATGATTTAGGGTATCTGATGGAAGAAATTTCTAAGCAGCAAAACATTTAGGAGGTGACCTGGCTGATTCTGAAAGTATTCAGGCATCTGCATTCACAAAGAGATTATCTGAAACTGGAACTTTTATTTAAAAGCAAAGCAGAGCACAAAAGTTTGGGAAATTTGCAGGCTAACCATGAGGTAGAAAAGAAAAATGCATTTTCTGGGAAAAAATTTAAGCCAGCTGCAGAAATTTGCATAAGTAAACAGGAGCCAAATGTTAATAGCCAAGATAATAGGGAAAACATTCCCAGGGCATTTCAGAGATCTTCAAGGAAGCCACTCCCATCACTGGACTGGAGGTCTAGGGGGATAAGTTGTTTTATGGGTCAGACCCAGGGCTCTGCTACTCTTTGCAGCCTCAGGATATGGCACCCTGTGTCCCAGCCACTCCAGCTCCAGCCATGGCTAAAAGGGGCCAATGTACAGCTTGGGTTGTGGCTTCAGACAGTGCCAGCCCCAAGCCTTGGCAGCTTCCACATGGTATCAGGCCAGTGGGTGCACAGAAGACAAAAGTTGAGGTTTGAGAACCTCAGCCTAGATTTCACTGGATGTATGGAAATGTCTGGATGTTCAGGCAGAAGTCTGCTGCAGGGGTGGAGCCCTCATGAAGAACTTCTACTAGGGCAATGCAGAGAAGAAATGTGGTGTTGGAGGCCCCACACAGAATCCCCACTGGGGCATGGCCAAGTGGAGCTGTGAGGAGAGGGCCACTATGTTGCAGACCCTGCAATAGCAGATCCATTGACAGTTTGCACTGTGCACTTGGAAAAGTTGCAGGCATTCAATGCCACCACATCAAAGCAGCTGCAGGAGCTGTACCCTGTAGAGCCATAGGGTTGGAGCTGACTAAGGCCTTGGGGGTCCACATCTTGCATCAGTGTGCTCTGGATGTGAGACACAGAGTCAAAGGAGATTATCCTGGAGCTTTAAAATTTAATGACTGCCCTGCTGGATTTCCAACTTATATGGGCCCTATAGACTCTTTGTTTTGGCTAATATCTCCTATTTGGAATGGGATCATTTACCCAATGCCTGTAACCCATTGTATCTTGGAAGCAACTAACTTGCTTTTGGTTTTACAGACTCATAGGCAGAAGAGACTTGCCTTGTCTCAGATGAAACTTTGGACTTGGACTGTTGGGTTAATGCTAGAATGAGTTAAGACTTGGGAGGACAGTTGGGAAGGGATAATTGTATTTTGCAATGTGAGAAGGACATGAGATTTGGGAGGGGTCAGGGTGGAATTATATAATTTGGTTCTGTACCCCAACTCAAATATCATCTCAAATTGCAATCCCAACATGTTGAGAGAGGGACCTAGTGGGAGTTAATTGGATCATGGGGGCAGTTTCTCCCATGTTGTTCTCATAATAGTTAATTCTCGTGAGATCTGATGGTTTAAAATGACAGTTTCCCCTGATCTCGCTCTCTCTCTCCTGTCACCAGGTAAGACATGCTTGCTTCCCCTTTGTCTTCTCCCATGATTATAAGTTTCTCAATGCCTCCCTAGCCAAGCAGAACTGTGAGTCAATTAAACCTCATTTGTTTATAAATTATTCAGTCTCAGGTAGTATCTTTATAGCACTGTGACAATTGACTAATACAGCCCTAAAACAGGGGGATATAACTCCCCACCTCTTATATGTATGTAGTGATACCTTCAAAAAATTACAATATGGAAAGGGGGAAAATAAAAGCACCTTTACAATGGAGAAACACAACCAATACCACAGGTAATTAAGGTCAATATCATCAGTCATAAATCCTTTTGATGGTGTGTACTCTTGAAATGATGTGCTAATAATGGCACTATCTCTGTGATCATCTTTCTAAAGACTCTTAACCTCTGTCAAATCATGAGAAAAACATCAGATAATTCCAACAGAGAGACATCCTGCAATATATCTGGCAAGAATTCCTCAAGACTGTGCACATCATCTAAAACAAGGAAAGTCTGAAAGACTGTCACAGTCAAGATAAGCCTTAAAGAGATGACGACTAAATGGAATGTGTCATCCTGGATGGGACCTTGCAACAGGTTGAGAGCATTAGGTCAAACTCAGGAAATTTGAATAAATTATGACTTTTAGTTAATAATAATGTATCAATATTGATACATTTTCCTTAACAAATCTGTCATACTAATGTTAAGATGCTGATAATAGAGAAAATTGTATGCCAAACATATTGGGAATATATTTACAACTATTTGTTAATCTAAACCTGTTCTAAAAATGAAGTCTAACCAGAAAAAATTCCAGATAATTGAATAGTAAATTTTAAACTTGAGACAGTCTTATAAATGAAGGACAAATGGGTTTTAGTGATAATTCTTCCATTACTTGTAAGCTTTGTCATAGTGTTAAATAATCTAGTTGGAATAGCATATGGTGTTTTTCTGTGTTTATTAACCTTTCTTTCATCTTACATTATTTGGATAGAAATAAGCCATAGGCTAAATTGTGGGAACCCAATATTGACCCCTCCTAATGATTCTTTCCTAAAACCTACAACATGTGAATCTTCAATAGAATGATAGCTTAAATGAAACAGTAACAAACTATAGCGGGTGTATAAAAAGGATGACTTATGAGCAATTCTCACCTTTGTTAAATTTTGTCACAGTGACTTGATATCACTGTTTCACTTATTTGCAAGGAGTCCGATAAAGAAAAATATCGGCATTTTTTTCTTCTTTATAAGACATGGTTATATTATTTCCACTAGTGTAGATTGATTTGTCTAATTACTACCAGAAGAAGGACTATAGATCATTGGTTATAAAACTAATCATGATTTTTGGCAGACATTCCCCAAATTTTGACTGCTTTATGGCTAATAATCTTCATATTTATAGAGCAAACAGAAGAATAAAAAAGCACAGTAGGCTGGGACAAAGAGTCATATGCACTTGATTGACCCTTGAGGCTGTAACTCTAACACAGTATAACAAATGAGCCTCATAATAATAATAATCACAGAGTGTGCAATTAAAAATTGGAAGGGAGCTAAGGAATTGTAGAACCCAAGTACTGACAAATAACCAACCTACATTCCCAACACACGTGAAGTGTTGAACAGCATTTTGAGGCTCCTTCTCAGCAAGCTGCTTCCTTTGCAGTAGATCAGATATTTCTGCTAGAGGCTCTAGAAGGAGCAGCAAAGCCACAGATTTCTATCATGCCCTCATTGATATTACCTAATACCTCATTTTACTATTTAGGAATCTGGGAAGATCGACTGTGAGTATTGTCTAAAATCAGAGAGCCAGCAGAATCCTTCTACAGAACCTAGCAGTTGTTATTTCAGATTCATCTGATAAATACTGAAGGCCGAGTTCTCTGATGTTTTAAAACACACTGTCTCACATCCAAGGTCAGGTCCAAGTGGTACTTTAAAAAGCTCTGACTAGGTAAAAACTGAATGCACAAGTCCCAAATCCCTGAATTGTCCAGATTGTCTTTTGGTTTCTCCAATTGCTAGAAAGGACCCCTATTCAGGGGCCCTTTAAAAGCAGAGGGAGCTAGCATTTAGTATTTTAAAGCTGCACGATTCTGGTTGTAGGCCAGGCATGACACACAGGTCTTATATATCCCTCACAAAGCCGTTGGAGAATAGTAACATTATTCACTCCTTGAAGATTAAAAAAAAAAAATCCGAAGCATGATACACTTAAGTAACTTGCACAAAGTCTCACAGATAGAAAATTCTAAAATTAGATTTGGACTCTGGAGAGTTAAATTCAAAGATTGTATCTTTTTTGCTCCATCCTAGTGCCACCTTGACAATGGGCAGAAAAACTCTCCTGATTGTTTTTGAGAATGATGTAAGAAAGTAAAAGTTGTGTACTTAACCTGCTGCTTTCAAAACTTTAATAAATGGGAGCGATTTGGGGAAAGTAACAGAACAAAGATCAATGAGAGAAAGGGACAGCTATAAGGAAACTAGCACTTTCATAATTCTATACAACTAAGATATAAATATATGAAAGCACTATTCTTATTCATAAGAGACACCAGCTTAGAAACAAGAAAGAAAAAACTTATACTCTTCCTCAGAGTTTTGGAGGGATCAATAACATTAATATTTATTTTTCAGATAAAGGGATATTTAATCAATCTTTAATCTAAAATCTTTAGACAATGTAAAACTTCCAAAACATTGAACTTGGAAGATTTAATTCAGTAAAGGGTATATGTTTTTGTTATGACACCATCAGCTGAGTAATAGCAGTGGAAATGCAACAAATCACTCGACACAATTTCTTATCAGTTGTGATTTGAGTGAACTTCTGTTGCTCAAAAGCATGTCAATTAGTCACACAAGAAACAAAAGGTGATGATCTTTTGGCTACTTACATGGTATGAAAACACTGTCTAAAGATCAGGATAAACATATCAGAAATATCTACTGCTACATCTCATAACTTTGAAACTGATGCTTATACTGTAGTTCTGGGTGAAATAAGCTGATACACCAAAGTTCTTGTTTAGTTTCTGGACATGTATTTCTTAGAAAAGCTTTATGTTTGCCTATTTACCACCTTGACAGCATGTTAAATAGAGGAAGTACTGCGGATATAGCCTCATATTTTTCCTCCTGATACTTTCTTTCATTTTTTGTTGTCTATTTTTCAACTTTTTAAAATCTATTTTCTCCTTTTCTATATATTTGATAGATTGTAACGTATCTTTTTATAAGCTTCCCATTCTAACCGTTCCGAGATTCCCTCCAGAGATATGCCCTTGGTTGATCCTTTTTGATTCTTGGTTTCTATATAAGTAAAATGGGATAAAATATTTCCTCTTTAATGTTTACATTTAATGTTTAAATGAAAATTTTATCTCTAGCACATAGTAAGCATGCAAAATGGCTTACCATTATGAGATCCTAGAGATAAAGATCATGTTTTACTTCTCTTTCAGCTCAGTGTTTGGAATGTAGAACTTACTAAATAATATTTCTTGAATGGGTAGGGATGCAGAAAATTTAAAATAAACAAAAGCATAAACAAATGTCTGGACTTCCTGGACTTTAAACCAAAAAAAGTAAAGGAAATATATGTAGTCGAATAACTTCAATCCAGAAATATGAACAATATAAAATATATATTAAAGATCTATAGAGATGCAGTCATATAAAGGATTACAATAAATTACATTTGCAGTATTTCTTCATTAGGAATCTCCTATGCAGCAATGCATGCACAATGGCGACACGTCCTTTGAAGATCTGCATATGCTTACACAGCCTGATATTCTCACAGGGCAAGCCATCAGTAAGGTGTGAGTCTGTGTGTTTGTGGAGAGTTAGGGGGATGTGGGAATCTTACTCAGGCTGTACTCTGCCTATTATGCTCCCCATACTTCATCATAATCCCTCTGGTTAACTGCATCGAGAAGTCCATGTGCATCGTTTACATTCTTCCAAAAATGAAATTAGGCAACTGGTTAAGGAAGAAGAGAGAGGAAGGTTAATTTATCTCTTCCTTGGATGGCCTTTCTCTAACCAAAGGCAGAGACATCTGCTAAGAATGGTAAATTAAATCCTTATTTGTTCTAAGCATCTTCCTTGAATTTCTCAAGTGTCTTTTTAGAGGAAACACAATGGAGCCACCGTAAAATATGGAACAGTATATCTTCTCTTTTAGGACTTGGCTGTAAAACCCTTAGTTCCAGGGAAGACTGGGGCTTTAAAAACCATTTCCTCTTATGCTTTTAAAATACATTTCCCTTTCTGGAATAGTCATGATGAGATGGTAAGACTTGGGACTTGGTAAAATGTTGGCTTCTAAGTGCTATTGTTCTCTAAATACCAAAAAACGGACATGACCTAGGGAAAACAGAAATATAAGGGATGCTAAGGGGCTAAATGTAGTTCTAGACTTTGAAGAAAGAAGGCTAGAAGACCTAACAGAGATTCAGAATTGTAATTTTGTTAGAAATATGGAGTACACATTCTGCTGCTGTATCCCCTTGCAATTTAGTTTCAGAGATCATAGTGTGAGTATTGGTTTTGATGGGAAAATGATTTGGCTGGGGTAAGAGAAGCTAACAGAGTATGTTTACCACTGCTTTGAAGACCCATCTCCACAAACCACTAGGGACCCATGAGACATCTGACCACCAGAACTTTAGAGACTCTGTGCTTCTAGACTTCCTTGTCCAAAAGATGGCACAGATGGATGCAGACTCTGAAGAACTAGGTGTTTATTGCCAGAAACAAAAATAGAAAGTGTCAATGAGATTGATGAAAGATAGGCAGAAGCAGCTCCCAGAACAAAGAACTTCATGAGCCAGTTTCCTGCATTGATACTTTGCACTGCCTTTTTAAAGCATAAAATAAACTTTATTTTTAGAACAGTTTTAGGTTCACAGCAAAATGGAGTGGAAAGTACAGAGAGTTTTCATAATACCCCAGTCCTTTTTCTAATGTAGTGTTTGCTACTAAGAGGAGGGAGGAAGGAGAAAATATTCTAAATAATTCACCACTGGAATTTTTGGCTTTTTCTCTGTGCTTATACTATGCTAACTTCCCACAGCATCAGTCAGATAAGGAATCAGAAGGACAGAAGAAAATAGAAGGAAACATAATAAGTATTTACATTGTTCAAATAACACAATACATATATTATCGTCTTTAATCATTATGGCAAAAATGCAAAATTGATACAATCATTTCAATTTTCAAAATAGAAAACTGTAACTCAGAAATAAGTAACTGAGCTAAAAGCCAAAATTCAAAACCTGGGGCCGGCGTGGTGGCTCACACCTGTAATCCCGGCACTTTGGGAGGCCAAGGTGGGCGGATCACGAGGTCACGATTTCAAGACCAGCCTGACCGACATAGTGAAACCCCGTCTCTACTAAAAATACAAAAAATTTAGCTGGCGTGGTGGCAGGGGCCTATAATCTCAGCTACTACGGAGGCTGAGGGAGGAGAATTGCTTGAATCTGGGAGGTAGGGTTGCAGTGAGCCAAGGTCATACCACTGCACTCCAGTCTGGGCAACAGAGCGAGACTCTGTCTCAAAAAAAAAAAAAAATTAAAACCTGGATTCTGACTCTAAGTGTTGAAATTTAGCACTCTCAGATACTCAAGATACATAAGCATCTTGAGGATGAGAGACTCTCAAGATATAAACTCTATAAAAATGTAATTTGAGATACAGAATTTTACCTTACTTAATTTACATTACTTAATTTACCTTACTGAAATTACATTATATTACATTACTGGACCTAGTTTACACTAGGTCCTCCCAGTTTCATCTCTAACCTGGATGCCTCTCTTCAGCCCAAATAGCTCCAACCTGTGGGTTATTATTCTGTTTCTGGTAGACAATTATTTTTAATCCACATGTTCCATATCAGAGCTATTCTTCTAAATTCCTCAATGAAGTCATCACAAGTAGAAACTCCAATACTGCTTGCTGTTCCTTGCTATCTCTACTCCAAAAGTGTTTTTATTCCTTCTGTCTTTACAGATTCACCAAAATCTAAATTCACTAGAATCAGCATGGCTGCTTCTCTCCTTAGGCAATCAACTAGAACTATAATTTATGTCTTATAGAAAGTGGTATTGGATTATTTGAATTTTATTTGATTGTAGCCCAACACTCTTTCAGGCATACTCCACTTTAAAAATGCCTCCACATATGAGTATTCTTGCTAAGTAAAAGACAAGAGAAGTCCTTGCCTGTGTAGAGCCAGGTTAAGATTCCCATCGTTGCCTCTTAGTTTTCTTAACTGAGCTGTTTAGTCACAACTCTCAGTCTATTTCTTTCTTCTGTTCTAATTCTAATGATAAAGCTCAGTTTAATAAACAGGGGCCATACTACAACTCAAACTGCAATGTTATAGGGCCTTGGAGTATTCAGTTAATGTTAGTTTATATTGATTTTAATATATCTAAATGTGTAACTCTTTAAACATAAACATCAAGTGTGGCTTGTGTTTTGTATGACTAGCATTTTTTTCACAATAAATGATGATTATTGTAACAAGCTGTTGCCCTAGGGGTATTTTTCTTTTGTAACATATGTTAACAGCAGAGGGCGCAGAAAATATGCATAAATGAATGCGGATGACAAAAAATGTGAGCAAACAATAAAGGAGAGTTCCATACATGCTCCTATTTCTATTACTGCTTCTAGCTCAACAAATGATGATAATTTGACCCATTTTTTTTTTGTCCTCATAATAAATAGTATTTGCCACTGCATTTTGAAAGAGTAAGATTTGGGAACCAGGGTGCATGTGGAATTGCCATGGAAACTGCAGCCACAATCAGCCAATAAAAAGCTTCCTACATGCTCCTTCAACTTCACTTTACTTCCAAATTTAGTGATTTAAAACACCTGTTCTCTAGCACATGATTACGGTGATTTAATAGTGGCTTTTTAGAGCTGTAAATAGGATTTTTTTTATAAAGGTGTTGAATATTGGTGTGCATATCTATTTTTAATAAGGATAAAAATTCTCTCCAACTATTTCCACATCTATACAATTCTTATTCTCTTAAGTTAGATAACTTGAAAGGGTAGAATGGGCAGAGGACTGCATCCTTGATCTTGTTGATAAATAAATTTCCTATTTCACTACTACATTTTATCTTAATATATGTATTTATAATGAATCTCAAGTACACCCAGTGCATTAGATATCAACCCGGCCAAAAGGTACACAGAAGAAAGCTCATCTAAAGTCACCTGTTACTATGTCCACTACCTATCTCTAATCTATACTCCTGTCCAGTGGCTAGGGATGTACGTCTTGCATATACATTTTAAAACAGAAGCTGTAGCATGCATTTTCTCTTGTGAAATGCAAGAAATATTTTCACTTTGGTAATTTATTATTTTTTAATTTCAATGCTAAAGTTGTTTTGCAAAGGCCAGTTAATTGTTGCAGCTGTCTACCGTATTATACTACTGAACTCTCTCTCTCTAATATATACATATATGTTTGTGTACACACACACATACATATGTAATAGTAAGATTACATGATATATATACATTTATTTTTATAAAATATTTTTAATTAAAAGTAACCATTCTATGCAATAGAAAGGGTTCAGAGATCTAATATATAAAACATTATAAAATGAACAAATTTTATTTAAGCTATAAGATGTTGGAAATATGTGCAGAAACAATCCCTAATGATATGTGATATTCATGGATACTAAAACAAGTTTTGCTCTAATGTTACCAAGAAGTACACAATTATTGTGATTCCTCCAAAATCTAGGAAAAAACTGATTAAATTACAAATTAAAAAAATTTGTAATGTTACAGAAAATTGGAAAATAAGTTTTATATATTAAGAATGTAATAACAATGATTGCATTTACAATAGGATTGTTGGCATTGAAAAATGAATGTTGGCCCGGCGCAGTGGCTCATGCCTGTAATCCCAGCACTTTGGGAGGCCAAGGTGGGCGGATCACCTGAGGTCAGGAGTTCAAGACCAGCCTGACCAACATGGTGAAACCCCATCTCTATTAAAAATACAAAATTAGCCGGATGTGGTGGCACATACCTGTAATCCCAGCTACTCGGGATGCTGAGGCAGGAGAATTGATTGAACCCAGGAATTGGAGGTTGCAGTGAGCCAATATCACACCATTGCACTCCAGCCTGGGCAAGAAGAGTGAAACTCAGTCTCAAAAAAAGAAAAGAAAAGAAAAGAAAAATGAATGTTGTTCATGCGTATGTTAATTATCCACCTAGCTATATAAAATGGGGCTGTTCTTTGACACTATCTCATTGGGAAATTATAGTATATAACTAGTTCCTTTTTATCTTTTGTAGAGACTAGGACTTAGATGTTTATGAAAAGTAAATAAGTTAAAACAATTAATTGCACTTATAAGGTTTATGGAGTGTGTGACCAAGATTTAGTCTATTGAGATTTTCTGGATGCTAAGCTAATGGCATTTCACGAATAAGAACATTATCCAAAATATTGTTTCTGTATTTTTAGATGGCATATTAAAACATACAGTAAGTCTTGCAAACCCTTACAAACACTTTCACTGAAACTCTCTTCACAGTCTAATTACTGACTAGAAGGAGCATGAAACTCACTACATTTTCTATTACAATTATTTCCTTCTTAAATAAAATAGTCCATTTATTTCCTTGAAATTGGCATTCTCTATCAACTGATTTAATGTCTCCATTTATGGCCTATATTCTAGAAGCCCATTCCTAAGTTATTTCTGTACCCTGTTTGTAAGAATGTATGTTTTAGAAACTTTGCCAAGCATCCAACTAGCATCTCCATATCTCCCACAAATATGTTTTTAATGGGTGCTATGTGCTTATTAATTCTTTGGATGTAAAGATGAATAAGAAAGCAAGCCTGCAAGCAGTTCAGGAGAAATTGCTTTTAATATAATTCTAACAAAGAATCCTTAGAAAACTCTTGGCATTCTTCTCTAAGCGACTAATTGTATTTATTTTGGAGTGCAATCTTGTCCTTATGCAGCTATTTTTAATTATCGAAGAATTAAGAGTTGATGAGGGTTGTTGAAAGAATGTATCCATTGTACATGGAAGATGTAATTCAGGATGAAATTAGTATTGCATATCTTTATATTGTGTTATACATTCTATGATTCTTTTGTTCCCAAGCTCTAAACTGAGAAAAGAGAAGATTGGATTATTGATGACCCTTTTATGCTACCACACTACATTGTGACCTTTTTTTTTTTCCTTTTACTTTACTAGCATGCAGTCTTAATAGAGAAAAACTGTGCTGAAGTTTAGAAAGGCATAGTTTACATATGTTGAGATATATATTGCTGTTCGTAGGGATAAACAAATCTGATGGCCACACTGAATTATAGAAGGCAATGTGATATAGTGGAAATGGACCTTGTCTATAAGTTGAGCCACTTCATTAACTTTTTTACTTTGCACTCCTCACTTTAAGACATCGCATTGCTTATTTGGAAAGTGAAAAAGTCTTCAGGGATTCTATAGTCATTGTTTTTTCTTTCTTTTTTTTTTTTTTAACATTTCCCAATATTTTATTTTCTGTCCTTTTGGTTTTACATGAGTACTACAGTTGAGCAGTAGAGGCAGGCGAATTAATCATTGACAGCCATCATAACTAAAAACTCCTGCAAACATATATATAGAAAAAAGCTACTTACATATCATGCAACACAAAACCAAGTGACTTTGTATTACAAGGTTTGGTTCAATTTACTCTGCAGTTTGTACAATTTTGAAGTCTCGGGCTCCTCATTTGATTTTCTTGATTCGTTTTTTCCTGCCATGAAGACCATCCTTAAAAACATTAGTTGGGTAGACTAGTGATTGAGAAATGGGATTCTGGAAACCTTTCTGTAAATTAGCACTAGGGCCAGTTCATTTTACATTCATTCCACGTTTTGTAGCATTTGAAATATAAAAAGAAAATGCAAAATATATAAAATATAAGAGAAAAAAAAGGAAATGTATTTTCGGAGGAAATCCATGACCATATATGAGGAAAACTGAACATTAGTCTGTATTGTATTGCCTAAGCCACCAGGTGCTAACTTTTATGGGTTTTAAATATTATACATAGTAAGAAATACATTTTACAACACAATACATACACATGTCTATATATATGTGTGCACAAAAAAATATCAATATGTATATAAATATAAACATAATCAGTAACCAATTTGTTGAAATAATGTTTGCTCTTACTAATTATGATAAACCTAGACATTTTCTAATCTGGATTATTATAACTAATCAAAAGACACTTAGTGAAACCTACTAAACCATGTTAATGATCCAGTAAAGACTTACAGTTTGAAAAACATTGGCCTACAGTGTTACTGTTAATGGTCTCTTTTACTACAAATTGCCGGTGCAAGAAACCCTGAGTGTTTCTCAGCCTTTAGGCCATGCCATCACCCTGGAAGAATTGTACCATGTGAATATTGCCAGATTAAATTTAGGGAATCAATTTCAGACCCTGAAATTTCATATTATTCTCCTCTAATTTTAATTTGCCTGATAATCAGCATAAGAATGGGCCTTATTTTCCTTTCTAAAATTCTCTTTCACCATATTTTTTAAAAGATAACATCCCTTATTCTGAATTTCACTGTGATGCCTTGACCAGAGTAAAAGATAATCCTGCTCCCAAATACACACGCACACAAACAGATACATCAAAATATATTGGTTTCAGAGAGGTTTCCTTTAATGACTTCAATTTAGATTTATTGTAAATCAGGTAGTGGGATCACTTATTGTCAAATAATGGCATGCTCTTGAGGGAAGTTTCACAAAACTAAGAAAATGTTTCAAAACCAAAATATTGGTAGAAATATTAATATTCAATTGATAAACTCACTTAAGGCCTTGCCACAATATCCATCATTCGATCCTAAATCTCTGAAACAATGTTATATACATTTATTTTAAAATTTACTTATGATGCAAGACACTAAGTATTAAAATAAAATTCTTATAGCTTAGATTACCATTTTATTTACTAAGTACAACCAATGAATCTAAATAACTGTAAATATATCATAAAGTTTGATACATAATTATTAAATCAAAAAGGTAATCTTGAAAAAAATGACTTTCTTTTTTTTGAGACAGGGTCTCAAAAAACTGGGATTGTGGCACGATCTCAGTTCACTATAGCCTCTAACTCTTGGGCTCAAGCCATCCTCCTGCCTCAACTTTTGGAGTAGCTGAGACTAAAGGGGGTGCCACTATGCATGGTTAATTTTTGTATTTTTTGTGGAGACAGGGTTTTCCCATGTTGCCAAGGCTGGTCTCAAACTCCTGGCCTCAAGCTATCTGCCTGCCTCAGCCTCCCGAAGTGCGGTACTACAGGCATGAGCCACTGCGCCTGGCCGAAAAATGACTTTTCAATAAGTTATGCTGAATTTATATTTTCATTATTTATTAATTTATCAATATTATTTATTGCTAGAATCAAATAGGACTCGAATCAATTCTATTCCACTTTCTCATTTTAATAAATATTAGCATTAGGTGAATTTGTTTTACTAAAAAAGTAGATTAAAATACTTAAAAATGTGGAAGGAGACTATTTTTATAATTACAAAGTTGCTTAGATTTTGAAAACTATCTGAATTACATGACAAAATCCATGCAATATGTTATAAAAATGATTTTTAATGACATTCTACTTGATGACTGTATTAGGAAACAATTTTAAATTTTTGGAAGCAATGAATTAGAAACCAACTGAGTTATTAAGTTCATTCACTTTCTTAATTTTGGGAGACTATTCTAAAAAGGATTTATGATTCTGACCGTTGGGAAAATATTAACTAATTTTAATACATTTTCCATTAAAATATTTTAATGTGATACTTTAAGTCATCCTATAATGCTTTTCAAAATTTCAGCTGGAATAATCAGTCCTTATTGTAAAAACATCACTTAAATCACACTTACTTTCTATTAGAAAAACATCTAACCATATTTTTTATGTATTAATACATGTTTTGGAGAATATTTATTAAAAACTACTGAAAATAAAGTTTGGAATATTCCAAAATAAAGATCTAAATATGGTTTATTTAATGTAACTATAATTATATTAACATTTAAAAGACAGGCACTTTTTAGCTGATTAATTTGTAATGCTATAAATTTATTATCAGCTGTAATCCAATCTTTATATTTTGTATTTTTATTTTTGATTTCAATTTATTCTTAAATGCCCATTGTCGTATAATGTTATTCAAGAGTGATTTTGAGAAATATTTCTAAATTTCTAAACATAATGGAGATTCTCTATGTTTATTTATGTTGTTGATTTTTAGTTTAGTTGCATTGTCATCAGAAATATACTCTTGTTTCAAACCTTTAGAATTTCCTGAGGCTGGTTTTATGGTCCAGCATACAGTCAATTACAAAAAAAAAAAAAAAAAAAAATCTATGTGTGCTTTGCTTTAATGTGTTTTCTGTGTCAGCTATGTATAATATTCTGCATAGGTCAATTCAAGCATATTTCTGGCTGCGTGCAGTGACTCACGCCTGTAATTCCAGCACTTTGGGAGACCAAGGCAGGCGGATCACCTGAGGTCAGGAGTTCAAGATCAGCCTGGCCAACATGGTGAAACCCCATCTCTACTAAAAATACAAAAATTAGTGGGCATGGTGGTACATACCTGTAATCCCAGCTACTCAGGAGGCTGAGGAAGGAGAATCACTTGGACCTGAGAGGCAGTGGTTGTAGTGAGCGAAGATCGTGCCACTGCACTCAGTGAGAACTTGTCTCAAAAATATATGTGTGTGTGTGTATATATATGTATATAATGTATATATATACACATAATGTATATATATATACACATAATGTATATATATATACACATAATGTATATATATATACACATACGTATTCAACTATGATTCTGAATTATATTTTCTCTTTTGGCTTAGATAGTTTTGTTGTAAATTTTTTAAGGCTACTTTTTGAATTTTTATTTGTATAAATTTATGGCATACATGTGAAATTTTGTTAACATGTATATAATGCATAATGATCAAGTCAGGGCATTTAGAGTGTCTATCACCCACATGGAATACCTTTGTTTAAACTGTATAGTCACCTTACTCTGCTATCAAACATTTGAGTTTATTCTTTTTTCTAATTATATGTTTGTACTCTTTAACCCACTTGTCTTCTTCCTCCTCCATCCCCGCAACTCATCCTTCCCAGTCTCTGCTATTTTCTCACTCTCTACCTTCATGTGATTCAGTTTTGCTCTCTACATATAAGTGAGAACAGGTTACATTTGTCTTTTTATGCCTGGCTATTTCAGTTAAGACAATGATCTCCAGTTCAATCCATTTTGCTGCAAATAATATGATTTTATCACTTTTTGTGGACAAATATTCCATCGTGTATATAGACAATATTTTCTCTATCCATACATTGATGGACACTTAAGTTGATTTCATATCTCTGCTATTATGAACAGTGCTGCAATGAACATATAAATGCATGTATTTCTTTAATATATTTATTTCTATAATTTGGGGTTTATACTCTGTACTGGTTGCTAGATTGAGTGATGATTATATTTTTAGTTTTTAAAGAAATTTCCATACTCTTTCCAGTAGTGGCTGTACTAGTTTACATTCACACTAGCAGTGTACAAGGATGGATGGCTTTTCACATCCTCACCAACATCTATTATTTTTTGTCTTTTTATTAATAGCCATTTTGACAGGAGTAACATGCTATCTTTGTGGTTTTGATTTGCACTTCTCTGATGATTAGTGGTGTTGAGCATTTTTTTTCATTGCCCATTTATATGTCTTCTTTTGAGAACTGCCTGTTGATGTCATTTGCCCACTTTTTAATGGGATTATGTTTTTTTCCAGTTGTTATTGTGTTCCTTGTATTAGTCTGTATATTAGTCTCATGTCGGATGAATAATTTGGAAATATTTTTTTCTACCCGCCAGGTTGTGTCTTCACTCTATTGGTTATTTCTTTTGCTATGAAGAAACTTTGTAGTTTATCGAAGTCCCATTTGTCTATTTTTGTATTAGTTGCATACAGTTGTTCATAATTATCTCTTGATTTTTTTGTATTTCCGTGGCATCAGTTTTAATGTCTCCTTTCTCAGTTTTTATTTTGTTTATTTGGGTCTTCTCTGTTTTTTTCTTGGTGAATTCAGCTAGCAGTTTATCCATCTTGTTTATCTTTTTGGAGAACGAATTTTTCATTTTGTTGATTCTTTATATACATTTTTTTCTATTTCATTTAGCTCTGCTCTGATCTTTATTAATTATTTCCTTCTGTTAATTTTGGGTTTGATTTCTTTTTCCTTTTCTTGTTCACTGAGGTGCACTGTTAGATTGTTAATTTGTAATCTTTCTACTTTTAACGTAAGCATTTATTGATGTAAACTTCTCTGTTAGCAATGCTTTTGCTATATTTCACAGGTTTTGTTATATCGTGATTTCATTTTCATTTGTTTCAATAATTTTTTAAATTTACATTTTAATTTCTTCATTGATCCAATGGTCATTCAGAAGCATTTGTTTAATTTTCATATATTCACATAGTTTCCAAAGTTCCTCTTGGTATTGATTTCTAGTTTTATTCTACGGAGTTCTGAGAAGGTATTCAATATGATTTTGTTTTTTTTACATTTATGATGACATGTTTTGTGACTTTCTTTGTAGATTTTATTGTCCAGATAATATGTCTAATGCTTACTGTGAGACGTTGAAGCCACCCACTTTCATTATGTTGCAGTCTATCACTTTCTTTAAATCTAGTATTATTTACTTTATTAATCTGGGTGCTCTTTATTAATCTGGGTACTTTATTAATCTTGGATGTATTTATACTTAGAATTGTTATATCCTGCTGCTGGTTTGATCCCTAAAATCCCTTTATCATTATATAATGGCTTTCTTTGTCTTTTCTTTTTACTTTTTTGATTTAAAATTTGTTTTTTTTATATAAATATAGCTACTTCTGCTTGTGTTTGGTTTCAATTTGCATGAAATATCTCTTTTAACTTCCCAACGTTCAGTCTGTATATGTCTTTACTGGTAAGGTGAGTTTCTTATAAGCAGCCTGTAGTTGTATTATGCTTTGTTTATCCATCCAGCTAGTTTATATCTTTTAAGTGGGTAATTCAGTCTATTTATGTTCAAGATTATTATCATTATGTGAGGCTTTGTTCCTATCATATAGTTAATTGCTTTCTACTGTTTCATATGTTTTTCATTCCTTTCTTTTTCTCTTATTCTTTGTCATTGTGGTCTGATGGATTTCTGTAGTGATACTCTTTTGAATCTTTTCTGTTCTTCCATTGTGTGATTGCTATATCAGTGAGTTTTATAATTTGGTGTGTTTTCATGAAAATGAATATCATTCTTCCACTTCCAGATTTAGTACTCCCTTGAGTATTTCCTCTAGGTTCCTGTCTAGTGGTAGCAATTTACCTCAGCATTTGTTTGTTTGGGAAAGACTTTATTTTTCCTTATTTATGAAGAATAATTTTGCTGGATTTAGTATTCTTGGCTGACAGTTTTTTTTCATCACTTTGAATACATCACCCCATTCTGTACTGCCCTGTGAGGTTTCTGCTGGCAAATCTGCTTTTAGTCTGATGTGGTTTCCTTTATAGGGGACTAGATGCTTTACTCGTTTTGTTATTAAAATTTGCTCTTAGTCTTTGACTTCATTGACTATAATGTGCCAAGGAGAAGACTTTTTTCATGGTATATTTCTGAGAATATCTGAATTTCTTGTATCTGAATGTCTAAATTTCTTGCTAGATATGAGGAGTTTTCATCTATTATTTCATTACATAGGTTATTTAATCCTTTTATTTTTTAACCCTTGGGGATACCAATAATTTGAGTATTCAGTCATTTCATGTTGTCTCAAATGTCATAAAGGCCTTGCTTTTTGCTTTCTATTCTTTTATTTTTTATTTTTGTCTGACTGGATTATTTCAAAAACCTGTCTTCAAGTTCTGAGATTCATTCTTATGTGTGAACTATTGTATTTTTGAAGCTTTCAAATGTATTTTGTATTTCCTGTAATAAATTCTTCAGTTCCAGAATTTCTATTATGTTCTTTTAAAAAATATCTATCTCTGGTAAATCTCTCATTCATATATTGAATTGTGTGCTTTTTTCTTATTATTTTTATATTTGTTCAGTATTCTCTTATGTTTCACTGAGCTTCCTTAAAATAAATATTTTGAATTCTTTAAGTGAATTCTTCACGTGGGATTTTGAAAAAAAAAAAAATCCGTTCCTGGAGAATTGTGTTCCTTTAGAGGTGTCATATTTCCCTGCTTTTCTATGTTTCCTATGTAACTACATTGATATTTTCACATCTGGTATAATAGTTGCTTCTTCCTATTTTTAAAATTTACTTGCATTGGGGAGGACCTCCTGAAGATTTATCTATAAAGTCGGGTGGGTAGGGCATTTTACTTTGAATCTGGGTGCATACAGTAATGTAGTCTTTGTATGATTTCTGTGGGTGTATACAGCATTAGTGGTATTTGTGATTTCCTCAGGAGGTTAGGGTGCATTTATTAGTAGAAGCTGTGGTAAAGTTGTGCTGGGTACTAGGATGCCACATGTGCCAGTCTTCAGGCCCTAATGTTGGCATTAGTAAACTAAGTGTGTCTATTTTTGTGCATCAGGACACTTTATGTTGCCACTGGTATTGACAGTTACTAAGAGGTTATTTGTCCTCCAGGTGGCTTGCTCAGATGCCAGTAGTGGCAGTGGTGAATTGGGAATGTCAGTAGGTTATCAGTCACCTGGGAAGCTGGCATGGCATGGGCAACAGCAGAAGCAGTAGAGGGATGATTTTTTGGGTCCTGAATGGTGTGTGTGTATTGATGTTGCCAGTGGCTGTGATGGGCTAGGTGGGCCAGTCTCCAGGCCTGCAGGTGGTACTTCCAGATAAATGCCAACTGTGGTGATAATCGCTAAGACTTTAGGCCCAACCTCGGTCTCCCAGGGGGAGTGCTCAGATACCCAAGGTGGTGAATTGTGTTGGGCCATGCCCAGTACATCAGGTTATATACTCTGTCTTAAGGGGTAGGAGTCAGGGAAGAAGTTGGTCTTAGCAATCTTGTTCTCAGGTTCCCCAATGGCAAGAGAAGGCACTAGCCATGGTAGGCAGGAGCAAGGTATTCTTCAGATCCCATGTAGAGTGCTTGAATGAGGGGTGGCAGCAGCTATTCTAAAGCCCCACCACTTGAAAGGGTGAGACCTAACTGGGTGGCCACAGCCATGGTGAGCAGATGGGAAATGTGTGTCCCTCTCACACCCCAGTCCTGGTAGAGCTTGCATCCAGCCCTGGCAGTGGTAGCCTGTGCCTAGCTCATGCCTAAGCCCCAGTTGCAGGAATCTTTGCCCAGTTCATGATTAAGTTTCTGTGGCAACTCACACACTGTTCCCACCCCACTTTCCATCCCAGAAGCACTCACTTTCCAGTGGTGGCAGCTGCAGCCCAAGCCTTGCTCACTTTCATCCATGACTTCAGGAGTTCTCCCAGAATGTGCCCCAGTCTTAGCAGTGACGGCCCAAATTTCCCTAACACCTCAGTCCCAGCACTGCTGGGCCACAGGAGAGCGTGCAGCCTGACAAAGTCTAGGTTTGAAAATGGTTCCTTGTTGTAGCTATTTAGGTCTCAGAAAGGGTATGGAACCAGCCTGAACTCCCTCTCTGGAGCAGTTCCATGCTATGGTCTTCTGGCAGCTCTCTGTGTTAATTTCATGACTTGACATGGGCAAGGGTCTCTTACGTATTCAGGATTGCATGATTCCATGGTAGGGATGTGGGACACTGAAAATCTCTCATTACCCTTTCTCTACATTGGGAAGTCACTCCTTGCCAATACTGGCCAAGCAGGCTTCTTCTGTCCCTTTTTCTACCTTGCTCTTAGTTATCCTGTTACTTTTCTGTTAAATTCCAGTGTTCTGTCTTGGATAATGTATTCTAAGTGCAGTTGTCTATACACTATTTAGGTTTTTCTAAGTACAGGAGGTGGGCATAAAATGCTTCTAGTCAGCCATCTTAAAATCCCTCTAAGACTATTTTAATAAATGTATGTATATTTACATTTAGTATCGTCCTGGTTAATTAAAGCATTTTTCATCATGATTCATTTATAGTTATAATAGTTATCTAGTTATAGTTATTACAGTTATTTAGTTATAATTTTGCTTTAACATCTATTTTGTATTACTAATGTAATTATGTAAGCTTTGCTCTGGTTAGTGTTCACCTGGTTTATCTATCTACTACCTTCTAATTTTGATATGATCGATGATCTTTTATTTATTTTTATTCCCTTTATTAGTTTGATAGTTAAATACTTTTTTAGTTATAGACATTAAAATTTAATCCTTGATTTATCGAATTCTAATGTTAATTGGTAATTTTGCCCTTCTCTCAAAGTAAAATGCAGGGATATTTGAAAAGTTTAATTTTATTTTTCTGCTTACAACTTATAAGATATTATTATTACTGTTATAAAACATGAAATGTGATTTTTATTTTTAACAATTCATTCTCACTTAAAGTTATGCACATAATTTTTGTATTTTTATTTATTTATTCCTGTGTGCATTTTCTTTGCCTTCCTATATATTCCAGGCTGTGTATCCTTTCCCATTTGAATGTATTTTCCTTCTGATTAAACTGAACCTTTAGTATTTATATTTTTGTAAGTTTCTTTTTGTTTCACTGAATGTATATTTCATTTATCATGATTCTTGTATATTTTCAGTTAGTGTAACTCTAAATTGGCAGATATTTTCTTATTTTTGTTTCTTTTCTTTTATATAGCCTTTTTTTAAAGAGCAGTTTTAGGTTCACAGTAAAATTGAGTGAAAGATACAGAGATAGTCCATATACTCCCTTTCCCCACAAATGCACCGCCCTCCTCCATGACCAACATCCCGCACCAAAGTGGTACATTTGTTACAGCTGATGAACCTACAGTGACACCAACTTTATCACCCAGAGCCCATAGTTTTCATTAGGGTTGACTCTTGGTGTTGTACATTCTATAGGTTTAGACAAATGTATAATGACATGTATCTGCTATTATGTGGTATCATACAGAGTAGTTCACAGCTCTACAAATTCTCTGTGTTCTGCCTACTTTTCCTCTTTTTTCCCCAACCCCTGGCAACTGCTGATCATCTTACTGTCTCCATAGTTTTGCCTTTTCCAGAAGGTCATATAGTTGGAATCATATGTAGCCATTTCAGAATGGCTTCTTTTGCTTAGTAATACGCATTTAAGTTTCCTCCATGTCTTTTCGTGGCTTAATAGCTCATGTCTGTTTTAAAGCTGAACAATACTACATTGTATAGATGTACCACAGTTTACTTATCTACTCACATATGGAAGGACATCTTGGTGGCTTCCAAGTTTGGGCAATTATGAATAAAACTGTTATGTATATCCCTGTGCAGATTTTGTGTAGATATGCTTCAATTCGTTTGAGTAAATACCAAGGAATGCCATTGCTGGATCATACAGTACAGGCAGGTTTAGTTTTGCAAGAAATTTATAAAATGGCAGATATTTTATTTGCCTTTTATGGTTAAAGGTGAAAAACCACTTAAAAGTGTAACCTGGTGATCCTTAAAGAGAATCTTTTTAATATTTGGCTGATTTAAAGGTTTTCACCTTTACCCCTCACTCCTTAATGCCTTTGTTTTTAGCACGTTCACTATAATGTTTGTAGGTAGAAATATTTTATTTAAATTTCTTGAAAATTATTGAGGCTTTTGAATCTCTGAATGATAGCATCCATCAGTTTTGGAAGATTCTTAACCCTTGTGTCTTCATGTTAACCTCTGCCCCATTTCTCCTTTTTAATATTTCTGAGTCACTAATTAAATTAAGCTTAGGTTTACCTGGTCTATTTTCTCTTATTCTCTCTTACATTTCTTCTCCATGCTTTGTGTGGGATAGTTTCTTTCATCTAATCTGCTGTGTAATCCACCCATTGGGTTCTTAATTTGGATTGTTACATTTTTTTAAGTTTTAGAATTTTTAAATTATTTTTATTTTAAAATTCTGAATAGTACCTTATATAATTTCCAATTTCCTGCCGATATTTTCAATATCAGCTATTATTTCCCTAAGTATATTAAGTATACCTATTTCACTATCTATAATAGTAATTCCACTATTTGTAATATCTGATGTCTCTTTTTATTATATGTTGTTTGTGCTGGTTCTCATTTACCTTGTTTTATTTCTTTATAGCCTTGGTTATATTTGAGAGGGTAGGACAATGCGTTTGAAAATACAAATGTAAATAATTTGAAGGTTAGGGTGATGTTATCGTCCCTCATATAGATGCATATCAAATTTGTTTTATTCCACATACATCTGGGAGCACTGGCAATCTGGAATCATCACATTTGAAGGCTTGAGATTATTCTAGGCCATCCAAATGATTCAAAGACCAGTCAAGTTAATGTGAATATTGATTAGCTTTCAATTCACATTAACTTCTTTAGCCTTTCAAGTTCCCAATACCAAGTTGGATCTATTTAACTAGGGCCCTCATTTTTTGCAAGCTCTAGATGCTTTCCAGAGCAAGGCTCCCAGGGATTTGCTAAGTCTCTAAGCCACTTTGTCTCAATCAGAAAATCTTCTTTCTAATAATAATTTTTGCCTGCTTGCCTGTCTAATTTTTCATCTCGTAGATAGTGGCACAATATTTTCATACATTCCTAGTATCTGAATCAGTTAGGCTGCTTTGACAAAATATCGTAGACGGATAGGCTTAAGCAACCTGGAAATTTGTTTTCCATAGTTCTGGAGGCTAACAAGTCTAAAATCAAAGTGCTGACAGATGTGGTGTCTAAGGGAGGGCTCCAATTTCATGACCTCATCTGAACCTAATCACTTCCCCAAATCTCCACCTCCAAATATCATCCCATGGGGGCTAGGGACTCAACGTATAAACTTTGGGGAGGCACAATTCAGTTCATAGCACCCAGTAACTATTTTATGCTTCTAGGAAGATGTGTTTATATTTTATATAACTTACCTGGTTTCCGTGCTTCATGGAGCATGAAGGTTAGTCGAAATAACTAAGTTTATCATTACTATGAAAAGAAGTCTCCCCTCATTCTTTTCACATTTCTTGGGTGTAAGGAATCATTTTATCTTACTTATATGTCTCTCAAGATGCCTGTAAGAATGTATTTTATTATATTAATTTATTCAAAATTAATATAGTACATTTTATAAGAAGACTTCTAAAAATATGGATAAAAGTGAAAATAAAAACACTTGCCAACACACTACCAAGTAACAGTTATTATCATATTGTAATTTATTATGATAGCATTTTCTGCATGAATATATATACATTTCTTCCTTTCAAGAATAGATTTTTACTCATGAATCCCTTTTCACTTAAAACATCATGACTTTTTAATGTCATTAATATTATCTTATAATCTGCATTAGAATAACTATATATCATTCTATGAATGCACCATTAATTGACTCCAGTTGTTCATTTAGACGTTTAGAGACTTTTAATGAGTATTCCTTATCATTGTGTGTATGTGTTATTTCTCTGTTTAAAATGGGGGGTTTGCTTCTGAATTTCTTTGGGAACTTAATTTAATAGTATATTACTAGTAGGGTTTCAACTTTTTAATTTACTCATATATTACAATTTCAAATTTCAAGAAACAATAGGAGTTAGGTTTTGGTTGTGTGAGCATAATAAAAGAAGGTACACCACGAACTCCTCACATTCTTACTAACTTATAGTCCTTTGCATTTATTTTGCATATGTTTTTAAACAGAAAAGAAAATGAGTTTCTTTCTTATTGTCAAGTGAATATATTACACCGTATCTTCAAAATAAAATACTTTTGATCAGCCACATAATATAATATGTCCACTATGATCATTTTCAACAACAAAGCATTTTGTTCAGCTCAGCAAATATGACTACAAGAAATGTGTGGCTTTATGGAAAAAGCTTATTTAAAGCTCCTTTGACTATAAAAAGATATCCTGATCACCACCACCTCGTTTCAAATCAATAAGTCCTGAGATGCAAATAGAAGAGTTATTAAAAATTTTAGGTGATTATGACCTCGTTCTGCTTGGCTTTACAGTTCTGATCCTTTTCTCCACTTTTGGACTTTGCCAAATTTACCTCATCGGTATTGACTTTTCCCTTCGTCCAGCTCTCCCTGTTCTGAATGATCCTGCTAACTACATTTGCATTAACCCACATTCATACTTGTGAACCCCGCCAGGCCATTAGCTTACATGCGTGGCATTCCTTCCAGGATTGCTTCAACCTGTGTAGAAATCTATTTTAAGAATGAAATTGCTTACAACAGAATTTAATTAAGAGACTGGACCCATACTTAGTTATCACTACCAACAATAACTTGGTAAAATAGTTATTCAGAGTATGCTTCAATTAAGAAAAATATTGCAGCAATCACTGACAATTCTACATGGATGCCCAAACAAGCCAAATGTTCCAATTCAATCATCTGTGACATTTACACTGTGTTTTACGAACTTTTTCTTTCTGAAGTTAGAAAATCACTAGTCTGAGACAGCTGAAGAAATTCACTATAAGCACATTTTAAAGAATGCTTTTAGTCTTTCCTTCGATTATGAGTCCAATCAGTATAGTGGACACCTTTTGATAACTTTATATGAATGTAATTTGTTTATTTAACAATCAAACTTTGTAGAGTACAAGAAAAAAACAACAACATCATTCTTACAATCTCTGTGTTTTTCTTCCCTGACTCTCACACACTCCATAGCTTTTCTAATTGTTTTGTTTTAAAGGACCACTCTCATTGTTTAAGTTTCTAGAAGTCAACTCAATCTTACATCAAAGCTTCAGTCTCTTATTCAGTTTAAAGCTTCTCCTCATTCAGAGACTGATGCAGACTGTAGAAGAGAATGGGTGTTGGATGTGTGATTGTCTTTTTTTTTCACTATTTTATCATAATTGAAATAATGAGTAGTTTAAAAATGTTTGCTTTTCTTGTGTTTTTTCACTTGGTTCAAGCCTCCTTCCCTATTCAATATTTGGTCTGTGGATTGCTTGTGTCTTGAGATGAGTGCTTATTTGAGGAGGGTGAGAATTAGGAGAAGAAAAGATCTTACTTCACTGCTGTAGTCATAATCTGGCATTGATATACCTTAGGTGTGAATGAAGGCTAATTTTTTTCTCTCTTTCTTTCTTTGTAATATTCTTTTATGATTTTTCTGGTGGAGAAATAATGCATGTATGCAACAACCATCAATACCTATTAAAACCACTATGTGATGGTTAATTCAGAATTTATCATAACAACATCCAAATCACAGATCCAACTTAACAAAATCCAAATCAGAAAAAAACCAAAGCATTTTATGCCTTTTAGTATGCTAGAATAGAAAATATACAGTATCATCTATGCAGTAGCCTTGAAAAACAAAATCAGACTTGAAATTAATTCAGCTCTTGCTTAATTTACTTTTTTAAACAGTAGAATCTCTATAACCATAAAATTCACTATTTTGGCACATATTCTCGTTCATTATTTTATTCTGGAAATTATTAGATCCTTTTACACTAAATCTTTTCTTAAAATATACATTATGATTCAATGTGTCATACAGTTAGCCCAGGAATCTGCATTTTAAGAGATTTAAAGGTATTTCTGATGCATTTGTATAACAGACCTGATTTTGGGAAATGTAGCCTTAAGCACTATCTGTTAAATTAACTGTATTTGGCTAAATTGCTTTCCATTTTGTCTATTACATTTTTTGCTTGTTGAATTTGTCCACTTTGTTTTAATACTCATCTCAGCATGTTCTCATCTTTCTGTTACCCAAATACCAGAACACCTAATACATATTTCAGCTGATATTTCTCTGTGGTCTTTTAGAATTAGTCTATCATCAATTTGCTCATTAATATAATGCTTCTTAATACATAGTGTAATATTATTCTGTCCCAAAAGGAAAGTCAATCTATAGATTCAGATGGTATTTGATGTTCAGTATTTTGGATTTCATCCTAAATGACTGTTCTTTATGTTTCACTTTATTGAGGATATTTGCATTTCCCATTATTGGTCTCCCGATGCATGAGTATGCAGTTTTCCGAGCTAGGTTTTTTTTAAAGGGCTCAAGATGTATAGAGAAAGACTTTACTCATACCATTAGCAACACTGATCACATGAAACTGTATATAGGTGCTGTTCTTGTAGTTTTAAAATGTTTACATTTTGTGTTTTTTTTTGTCTGCAATCGATAATTGATCCTTAACAACCAGATTAATCAAAATAGTGTAACAGTTGATGATGATCTTAAATGCTTCACTGATTATATTCTAAAATTCTTTTAAGCATTTTTTCAATTTAATATTTGAAGCTCAGTGAACAAGACAGATACAAAGACATTTAGAAGGCTTCATTTAAAAAATATATATCGGCCAGGTGTAGTGCCTCACGCCTGTAATCCCAGCAATTTGGGAGGCCGAGGCGGGAGGATCACCTGAGGTCAGGAGTTTGAGACTAGCCTGGCCAAAATAGCGAAACCCTGTCTCTACTAAAAATAGAAAAAATTAGCCGGGCGTGGTGGCGGGCGCTTGTAATCCCAGCTACTCGGGAGGCTGAGACAAGACAATTGCTTGAACCCAGGAGGTGGAGTTTGCAGTGAGCTGAGATCATGCCACAGCCTGGGCAACAGAGCAAGACTCCACCTCAGAAAAAAAAATACATATATATATATATGTATTCACTAGTGAATTTCCCAACATATCATTTATACTGACAAAAAACAAATATTTGAAATTGCATTATTTTAGTTTTTTACAATATTTCCCATATGTATTTAATTACGTATATATAATTAAAATATTTAAACAAAATTTACTATACATTCATTGTTGATTTTTCATTATGATCAGAAGTTTTACTTTGAGTGGAATTAAATAATTCTCAGATAATGTCCCACTATAAATATGTTTTTTACTCAAGACGATAAGTTGTATTCGGTACATTCAAATACAAAAGCTCAAAGACTAGTTGAGCCACAGCCTTGATCTGAGAAATTGCTAATATTTATGTGCCCCTTACAGGGAACATTTAGAATTCTTTGATTTATTGAACAATGAATAAACATTTGAACACATGAAAATTCAATCAGATTTATTTCTTATGGCACTTGATATCAATGAGACTATATTGGCTTTCCAAGGGATTCTTAGCCAATTTGTTTTTTAGCCTCTAATTATTTTAGTTGCAGACTTAAAAAATTAAATTTTGTTAATGAGGTTGATCTACTTTCATATCACATAAGTGTCTGCATTAAGAAAATTTCTTCCTTAATTGATTCTGTTTTTGATTTTCAAACCTGGATCTGCATTCCTCATTTTATTTCCCCTTATGCATTTTGCTTTCTAAATTTTACTCTAATGTCACTAGTAGTCATGATATAAACCAGGCACCACAGTGCTCTATTAAAATCTTTCCTTTACACAATCTTTCCCTATGGATAGCAGAGACAACTCATGTGTAGGAAGTGGCAAAACTGTGAATTATTAGGTTAATGATTGTGAATTTCTCAACATGTCATTTGTACTGACAGAAATCAAATATTTGAAATTGTATTATTTTAGTTTTTTAAAAATTTTTCCTGTATGTATTCTAATAACATGAAAGGATAATAAAACTGAATAGGAAAATATAATCTGTGTGCATGTCTAGCAAAAAGTTGGTGCGCAGTAAATACGTTTTGAATAAATTTTCAAATTCTTTAGAACCATTATCATGAATAACCATGAGTATAAACACTGATGACTTCAGAAAATTTATTATTTTCCTACAATTAATTCATATATGTATTAATTCAAGGAGTATTTATTGACCTTTTTATGAGCTAAGACACAGTTCAAAATGTTGGTGAACAAATAAACTTCCAAGTCTCTAGTTTTCATGTTAGAACCCAGCATTGGTTATGTCTTATAAACTAGATTTATCTCATTCCTGTCCTCTTGGAACTTAGGTTCTAAACATACCAGAAATCATGTAGCAAGATGTTACCCCTAATCACATGATTCACATTTTAATAAGGTTACCTATTACATTTAATGGTTAGGCTAACTGTGTGTTGGCCATTGTAATGCTAATTTAATATGTGGCCCATTTTCCAGATAATTTCAGTCAAATAAAATGTTCCACTTACCCACTTAATGATAGTCTACTTCCATTTCTTATATTAATGTTGAGAGAAAACATTTTGAGTTACTGTAATTATGAGTTGGTAAGGTAACATTAGGGGTCTCTTCCATTTCAGCTAGAATCTAATTGCAAAGTGTGATTCAGTGACCTCTGGTGTCTATTTACTCCACATAGGTTATAGTATGTATGTATGTATGTATGTATGTATGTATGTATGTATTTATATTTTTAGAGACGGAGTCTCACTATGCTGCCCAGGCTGGTCTCAAACTCTTGGCCTCAAACGATTCTCCTGCCTCAGGCTTCCAAGTAGCTGGGATTACATGTGTGAGCAACCACACCTGGTGATAGTCTAATTTCAATTAGTATTTCTCATAGAAATATTTCGTCATGTAACTACTGGAGAACAGTTTATCTACCATTTTTATTCATTACAAATGAGATGTCATAGAGTGGCTTTTTTGGTCAAAGTATTGTGTGAGTGTGTCTCTTAGGTGAATGTGGATATTTTTAGTAGTCCATAGCTTAAAAAGAAAATGAGAAAATAGCTTACCAACAAATCTATTAATGTATACAATCACTTGGCTCTAATTCTCTCCTTTAATGGGTTTAATATATATCAACATATCAGAAGTACTTTTGTTCTACAGACAATTTGTTTCTCATTATAGGTATGCTTTCATTTCAACACATTATTTCTTTTTTCTTGCTTTAAATGCAGCATGGATAGCAGTATAAGGAATAAGGCCAGGTGCAGTGGCTCCTGCCTGTAATCCCAGCCCTTTAGGAGACCACGGCAGAGAGATCACTTGAGCCCAGGAGTTTGAGACCAGCCTGGGCAACATGGTGAAACCCCGTCTGTACAAAAAGTTTAAAAATTAGCTGGGCACGGTGGCGCACGCCTGTAGTCTCACACACTCAGGGGGTTGAGGTGGGAGGAGTGCTGGAGATTGGGAGTCTTTAGTGAGCTGGGATTGTGCCACTGTACGTCAGCCTGGGTAACTCTGTCTTAAAAACAAAGGAAAACAAAATGAAACAAAAAAAAGTAAGAAATAAAAGGAAGCTTTATTGTCTTTATTCACTGTTTCTCTGCAAGACTCAATTTTTTAAAGAATGATATTATATATTTTTTCTTCTCTCCATATTACTTATCCTTTAAACATTCATGTTGACTTCTGAAAAAGCCTTTCAATACAATCTTCCAGCTCAGTAATTCATTCTTTGACTGCATTCATTTAGAATATTTATATATATAATTTATATATATAATATATATTTATACATATAAAATATATATTTAATATATATTTATATTTATATAATATATATTCTATTTATATATTATATATTTATATATTATATATAAATATGTAATATATATTAATATAATATATAAATATAATATATATTATATAATATATATTTTACATAATATATATTATATATTATATAAAATATATTATATATTATATATATATATAAATTTTATATATATATATAAATAAATATATATCAATTTATATATATATTATATAATATATAAATTTTATATATATTTATATATATCAATATAATATATATTGATATATGTATCAATATAATGATACATACAATCAATATATTTATATATATATATTTATATATAATATATATATTATATAATATATATGTAATATATATAAATATATATTATATATAAATTCATATATATATAAATATATTCATTTAGAATATTTCTACTTTAAAAAGTCTTATTTCTGTTTTGAGGATCGTCATTAAGCCTGTTTTAAAATTGCGGTCTGCCTCTATCAATAATTCTGTTGCATGTGGCATATATTGTTCAGATTTTTCTGCTTGTTAGTTTGTTAAACAGGGATTTCTGTCCTCTGGTATATAAACTAAAGTTTACCTGGGAGAATTCAACTTCCATTGCACAACATACATTAAGTAAGGGTTGAAAGTTAAGCTCCAGTTTGCACTCCTACATGTGACATTAAGAAGAGATGTGGGGAGGATCCCCACATGAAGAGGCTTGCGCAAAACTGAAGCACTGTTTATTACCCTTGCATATTAACCACTGTCAGGTATTTACCTTAAATCCTTCACCTGTGAGAAGCTTAAATGTTTATGAAACAGTAGTATTGTGTAGAGCCAATATTTTCAAGATGTAATCAACAAGTCATGGAGGGTGAAGGGCAAGAAGATAGAAGGGTAAACAAACATCTGAGGGAGGTTGTTGTCTTCACCTATTATAATCAGCTTCTCTCAACAGCAAGACTTTAATATGTTCTAATATTGTACCAGGGACACACTTCAGTCTGAACTGCTTTCTGTTTCTGCTGCAAAGGGGCAGCCTTCAATCATTGCAAAGAATTCACAGGAAAGATAAGAACAAAGTATAAAAGTTTTTCCCTGATAGAGACTGAATGTCTGTGTCCCATCAAAATTCGTGTGTTGAAACCCTAACTTCCAATATGACTACAGTTGGAGATAGATCCTTTACAGAAGTAACTAAGAGTAAATGAAGTCAAAAGGGTAGGGTCCTGATCACATAAGATTAGTGTCCTTATAAAAAGAGACATTGTTCGCAATAGCAAAGTCTTGGAACCAACCCAAATGTCTATCAGTGATAGACTGGATTAAGAAAATGTGGCACATATACACCATGGAATACTATGCAGCCATAAAAAGATGAGTTCATGTCCTTTGCAGGGAGATGGATGAAGCTGGAAACCATCATTCTCAGCAAACTAGCACAAGAACATAAAACCAAACACCACATGTTCTCACTCACAAGTGGGAGTTGAACAAGGAGAACACATGGACACAGGGAGGGGAACAACACACACCAGGGCCTGTAGTGGGTAGTGGGGTGGGGGTTAGGGGAGGGATAGCATTAGGACAAATACCTAATGTAGATGACGGGTTGATGGTTGCAGCAAACCACCATGGCACGTGTATACCTATGTAACAAACCTGCACATTCTGCACATGTACCCCAGAACTTAAAGTATAATAATAAAAATAGTATGTGTAATAGGGAATCAAAGTTAACACTAAAGAAAGAGACATTATATATGTATTTTTCTCCCTTTCTCTGTCCAAACCTACCAAAATAAGAAGTCATGTGAGCACACAGCAAGAAGAAGGCCATCTGCAAGCCAGGGAGAAAGCTGTCACCAGGAACTGAATCAGCCAGCACCTTGATCTTGGACTTCCCAGCCTCCAAAACTGTGAGAAATAAATTGCTGTTGCTTAAATCACCCAGTCTGTGGTATTTTGTTATGGCAGCCCAAGATGGCTGATACACTCCCCTACCTGTCTTCCAATCCAGGCTACCGCCAATATCATCCCCTAAATGCCTTTGCTCTTCTCAGTGGCTTTTTATTTTTTATGTTCCTTTCGTGCTTGCATTTATAGCAAGCTGCTATAGGAAAGAGAGCCAGCCGCATAGGCTAGTTCTCCATCTTGTCAGTGTCCTTTGCTTTCAAAGCAACAGTGCCCTGTGCTTTCTCCACATGTATAATGGTGGAGATCGCATGGTCCTAATAAATTATTGAGCGTAGTGATTAAATATGCTTTCATTCCTGTCAGAAGCAAACATTTCAGCAACCCATGGACTTCAGCGTGCTCTTAAAAGCTCTGGCCAGCATGATTCTTGTACTTATTCTTGTTATTATCTTAATTAGGAGGGTAGTTGGTTTTTATTTTCCTGAGAAAGACCACCTTATTTAAGAACCACCTGTGAAAAACACTCTGAAAAAATATAAATTATTCCTCAAGTGTTTTGTGTACAAAGGGACAATATGACTTTTATAACATAATTGCCACACATACAATTGAGAAATGGAAAGTTGTAATTTTAAATATAAACTCCTTATGTTTCATTTGGGGATCAAATTCAACCATAATAAGTTGTCATTTATGTGGGAAATATATCACTCCTCCAGAGTTCTAATTCACAATGCCTTTGCATAATGGTCACTTGAGGGAGAGTATTCTTTTTTGATTTTTAAGGCCATATTCTCATTTTTGTATATTCTTAAGCATATGTCAATGTACTCTTACCTTCTTTAGATTGCAAATATGAGTCCTTATCTGGGGTTACGTGATATGAATATGTAAGCCAATATTATAAAGACTGCATGCACTGATACATGTAATGGAATTCAAATTTTGCCTAACACATAGTAAATGCTTAAAATATAATTCCTCTAATGTATCTTTTATATTTAAAATCCTAAAGACTGATGCTACTCTTCTCCCTTTGTCTTGCAGATTCTGAACTTTTGCTCAGAAGCTAAAGTTTGCTCTCCAAGGCAGAGACTCTTGTATGTTTCAGGAAGCGCATTTCTCTAACTGCTCTGTTAGGCTTCCTGTCTGTCCTCGATCTGAACTGATCACGGCCAGGCTCAAATGTGTGGTAGGTGTAACTTTCAGATCTGAACATTATCTTCCTGATAGAGGAAATCTTTGCTTTTTCTGGCAAAACCAATTTTTATCCTTGAGTAAGTGGCTAGATATATCTGAAAGTCTTCTCTAATCTTTAAGGGGAGGGAGATTTGCTTCTCAAACTTCACAATCTCAGAACAGCTCACATTCATCTCTCATCCTGGGTGGCTGAAGAGAGACCAGGTTACTCTTCCTGCTTCCTCAGGGCTCAACATCTGCAAATACCAGGTGAATTGCTATCTGTTTATATTTTTCCTTCTGGTAGAACGGATTAGGTACAGGCTCACAGTGCTTATGCTAGGTATCTATAAGAATTCTTGCCTCACCCCCTCATCTGAGTAACCACTTTATTCGAACAGTGCACAAGGATCCAGTTATTCCTGTCATCTGCTTCCTAGTGTTTATCATCCTGGTCAATCAAAAGTTCAAAAACTGCAGTAAGTTATTTATTTACTTTCTCTCTCCTCATACTATGCCCTCTAAAGACCTTCTGTGTTGGGGGGCTGGGGGAGGAGGTTGTGAGAATGTCTAGGTTAAAATTCCCTAACTTCACCTCTATAGATCTAAGGCTCTACCTTTCACTCTGTGTATCTATTACAACCTGTTTATTGGTGAATGCTATAGAAACAATTCTTACTACTCTCCTCTACCAATAACCATTCCAATCCTACATTCATTCACTAACTTCCATTAATAGATAAGAAAATAGTTAGGTAACGAGCTTGCTCGCTAAACACAGAGATTATCTATCTATCTATCTATCTATCAATCTATCTATCTATCTATCCGCCTTTAACGTGACTTTATGATGAACATAGTTTACATACTTTGCTCTTGATAATGTAATACTTGAATTTTTCCATAACAACAAATAGAAATCTACATTGTCATTTTCATTATTGAGTCATATTCATTGATACGATTATACATTTGCAATTTTGTAGGCAATCTGGTTTTGTTGTGAATTGGTTTTCAATATTAAACTATTCAAAGAGCCTAACCAAAAATATTTTTCCACATATCTTCTTATACATTTCAAATCATTTATTTAAGGTATATTAAAATATTAATAATGTGAAATATTGTGGTTTGTAATGTCAAATTGCCTCTAAAATGTGTGTACCAAGCTATATTCCCAACAGTAATGAGTGTTATCAATATTTTAAATTTTAGAAAGATTGGAATATTTTAAAATTCAAGCAAGGAGCTTTACTGAACAATTAAAAGAAAAATAGGTAGATAGATAAATATAGCTGTAGATATAGATAATATGTATATCTGTAACCTCTCAAAGTGCTTAGGTTGGTTCAAGAACTTAAAATTTACTGAATCAAATATTTTACATATCCATAAAAAAGAAAATTATTTGACAATAAAAGGTAGAAATTGTTAATAAATGTAAGATGGACAAACTTTGAAAACATTATGCCAAGTGATAAAATATAGTTCTAATAGCATATTGAATGATTCTATTGTGCAGCATAGCAGCAGCTACAGAGATAGAAAGAACAATGGTTGCTATGGGTAAGTACGGGTCAATGGGGAGTAAAAAAATGTTCTAAAATTAGATTTTGGTCATGTGGACACAAATTTGTGAATATAATAAACAGCATTGATTTGCACATTTTAGACAGGCGAACTCTACGTTATATAAATTATATCACAACAAAGCTGTGAGTAATATTTTGCTTTGGACAGATTATTTATCACCCCAAGTTGTACTTAAAAAAAATCTTTTGTCTTTCTCCATTTAGAATGCAATGCATTTGAAAGCAGAAACCACATTGATCCTGATCGTTTTAGTATCTCCAGCATCCAGTACAATTTTGGCATGTAGTATGAGCTTCATGAAATTAGTTGAATGAATCTGTTGAGTGAATGTCATTAAAAAAAAAAGAAAAGGATACCACTAACCAGTAGGAAAGTGAGAAGGTGGACGAGGTTGTCAGTGGAGAGTCAGTAAGTTAAGATTTAAACATATTGTGTTTACAGTGTCTATTGTAACTCATCTATGTCTACATCTAGGTGAGTTGTTCAATGGAAATTGTAATTATGAATCTACATTTCAAGACAGTATTAAGAACAGTGGCTTCTTTACATAATGACTATTTGAGGTTACAAAACTTAGGCATAGGTAACAGAGAAAAGAGGCATATTATGACTCAATGCAGTATTATTTTATGAAAAAACATAACTATTTTGCAATCTGCACTCTTAACTAGATCATCCAAAGGCATATCATAAAAGATTAAATCATCATGATTGAGGCATTAAATTACTGATATTGTATTGTCATGGTCATGAATGATATCCTATTTAAAATATTTCAGTTTTGTTGAGCTTATAAGATGAAGAGATTTAATCCTGGAACACTAACTGATTTAAGGCAGACCAACTTTTATAAGTTGCCTAACCCTGCGTGGAAGTGATAGTTACATTGGTGAAAGGCAATAATATTCACATGGAGTACTTGCCTCAAAGTTTGGCCTGAAATCATTTTAGCACCTTTGTGCAATCTGTTTATTCTTTGAATCAACAGCAGTAAAGCCAAAAAAGTCTTAACCACGTCTTATACATTTCTATTCTTTAATCCCATCTACCTTCTTTAGTGAATGCCTTTCAAATTAAAATGGCTTGTGTCTGCATAATTTGGAGCAAAGTCTTAAAAGTGCTACATTCCTAAGTAAGGTTCTTTACTTGGTCTATGGAAAAAGAACTTACAGTTTGAATAAAGTGAGTGTATTTCCATGGGAAATGAAGTACTTGGAGATATGTATACACACACATATATATATATCAAATTAGCTTCAAATATTTAAAGTGAATAAAACACACACAAAAGCAGATTCTTAGTAAATGTCGTTATGGGCTTACCACATGCTTTGAATTATGCTAAATACTTTACAAACGTTATTGTATTTAATCCCATTAGACCCCAGTAAATTATTTATTTTTAGATAAGAGAATGCGAAAACAGAAATGGTAGGGGAACTATAATATCACACACTTATTAAGTGTTGCTTCTAAGAACCAAACACAGGTCTCATGATTTCAAAGTCAACACCTTGCCAACAATTCACCAAAAAGTTGGCTAGAAGGGTTTCTTGAATTTGATGGAGGTTTGGAGGTTTCAAACCTACAGACCTAAAAATATTATTGTCCTTTGGATGAAACCAGATGGTGGACATTATTGAGGCAAAATTCCATTGAAGAATATAGAGTTGTGACAAAACAAGAAAAATATGTTTGCTTTTATATGTATATAAATGTGTGTATATGTATTATACATATTTTTAAATAATTGGCTTTTATTTAACTTCATTTATAAAAGAATTTTCATAAATATAGTTTCAAATGATACTCTACATTTGTTATGAAACAGAGAGTTAGTATTTTCATAAATTCCCAACCCCCAGAAGGCTCATGTTATTCCAAGTGCTCAGACTCCTGTACCTTCCCTAAATAAGGCTAGCAAACCCGGGATGGCAGGGAGCAGAGCACCTTGGTAGTTTTGCACAGATTTTTTAAAAGCCAGTAACTTCCTTCTGGCCTTTCTAAAAGACAAACACTTTGGAGAAAAGTTGTGCAGTAAGGGAAACCATCAAAAATCATTCTCGTAGAACAGTGAGGCAGTGAGGCAAACACGATCTCCCTCGTGATTTTACAGTCTGTAATAGAAATTAACAGTGCCATCTGCAGCCCGATTACGCACTTTAAGATCCCTGCATGGTTTATAGCATGCATTATGGTATACAGCAGCAATTTTTGCAAAGCTAGTCACAATTATATTCGTTTCCAGAAAATTAAAATATCCTAAGGACATAAAAAATAATAAGACAGAGGTGCGCGGAAAGGCCATGTGAGCATTAGAAAACCTTCTTTATCTGAGTATCTGACATTCTCTAAGACACTGGCATCAATTCTCTCTAATTCTTTCCTGCTATCTTCACCCTCTTTTAGAAACAAATTTTGTGTTGCTAAACTAAATTTTATTATCTGCTCCAATGGACTAAGTTAGCAGCTTATTCCATATGTTCATCATCTTTGTGTGAAATAAGTCTCTAAATTTTCTACTTGCTGTTAAACTCACTAATTATTGAAGATAGCCCAAAACTCAGCATAGCTAGAATAGGGGAAAAACACTCAGCGGCTCTGTAAAAGATTCACATCATGATCCATAGATAGAAAAACCAACCAACAAACAAACCAAAAAAAACCCAAGAAATTTTCTTTCAAACTTAGTTAAAAAATAATTAACTAGTTAATTTATTTTACCAATTTTGCCAGAAGTTTTTTGATCATGAATGTTCATTTAGGATATGAAGTAATATAGTTATTTAAGAATTAAAGCATAAACAGGTGTGTTAGAGTACAGCATTACCTGTATTCCATGCTCATATCATAAAATTTACACTGTAGAGAAGATTTTGCTCAACATTTTGTGCTCAAAATCAAAATATATATTATAAAGCATATCTATATGAAACAATCTGCTTTACTGAGAATGGGAGAAAATTAACTTATTGGACTCCCACTCTATAAGCACTTGACAGGTATTTTCACATTTATTTAGTTTAAAACGCATAGTAATTCTCTTAGGTAAAATTATTAACCTCCACTTTCCAAATGAAGAAAATGGAGACCCCACTAGCTTGCTGTAATATTCTTCACCACGTTGCTCATCAGTGTGGTTTCAATTTCTGTGTCCCCACTTACCTTTCTGTATTTTAACTTTCTGAAGTTTCAAACCTAGTGAAAGGGGACCATCTTCTTTGATGAGCTTTGATGAAAGCTGTAACACACAGCTTATACCTTTATTTATATACTCCTTAGACAAGAGTACATAATAATGAAATACTCTTTAGACAAGAGTATATAAATGAAGGTATAAGCTGTGTGTTACAGCTTTCAAATAATTTACCTAAGATTACGGCGCTAGCAAGGACTGGCCAAGATTGGGTGGCAATTGTAACCTTGATCAGAAACTACAGTAATCAGAATGATCTTGAAGCCATACAGTAAAGAAAACAGAATTTTCTTCTATACTTTCAAAGAAAAATCAAAATTATGCTTGAAATCTTGCAAATGCAGAGAATGAAGTAGCTGGAGATATTACAGTAATGGCAAGTCTCCAATATCAAGTTATGAATTCATAATCAAGTTATGAATTATGAATGAAGTTATGATATTATATTAATGGCAAGTTTCAATAATCAAGTTACGAATTTCTACCTTAACTTTCCAAATTCCAAACACCACTAATATTTGTCTTTTGTTCTGTTTTGCTTTTTTTTCACACTGTCTCATACTGTACCTAGGTTGGAGAGCAGTAGCGTGAGTGATCTCTGCTCACTGTAACCTCTGAATCCCAGGTTCAAGCCATCTTCCCACCTCAGCCTTCGGAGTAGCTGGGACTACAGGTGCCTGCCACCACACCCAGCTAATTTTTGTGTGTTTTTGCAGAGATGGGATTTCCTCATGTTGGCCAGGCTAGTCTCAAACTCCTGAGCTCAGGTGATCCACCTGCCTCGGCTTCCCAATGTGCTGGGATTACAAGTGTAAGCCATCATACCTGGCTGCATTTGTGTCTTAATAGCTACTCTGCAGCAGTTAAATGCTAAATTGAGAGAACATTGGTTTCCAAATATATCATATTTATAGTTGCTGCTATGTAATATCGTGATATAAAAGTGATTTTTAAATGCACAATAACCTACCTTCATTAATATTAATACTTAAAAAATTTTAAGTAAGAAGACAGATTCATAAGCAGTAAATAAATTTCTCAGGGGAATATGGAGAGTAAATGGTAAACCTTGGATTTGAATCCAGGTAGGTTTGCTTCTAAAAACAATTTGTCTTTTTATTACACATGTAATTCCTTTGCTTATTACTGAGTGAAATTTTACTAATTTTGCCTGTGTAAATTTCCCCTTAATTTGCTCAGAAGAATGAGAGTTAAATACTCTGGAAGAATGAGAATCATACATCATGTTTTTTAAGTATCCAATTCTGCTTTGTTGCAATATTAATTCAAAAATGTGAGATATGTTAACTATTTAACCATAAAAAGAAATGAGATCATGTCCTTTGCAAGGACATGGATGAAGCCGGAAGCCGTTATCCTCAGCAAACTACTATAAGAACAGAAAACCAAACATGAGTGTTCTCACTCATAAGTGGGAGCTGAACAATGAGATCACATGAACACAGGGAGGGAAACAACACACACTGGGGCCTGTCAGGGGGGTGGGGGGAGGGAGAGCATCAGGATAAATAGTTAATGCATGTGGGGCTTAACATCTAGGTGATGGGTTGATAGGTGCAGCAAACCACCATGGCACACATATACCTATGTGACTAACCTGCACGTTACACATATGTATCCCGGAACTTAAAAATAAATTATTATTTTTTGTTTGTTTTTCTTTTTTTTAATTATACTTTAAGTTTTAGGGTACATGTGCACAACATGAAGGTTTGTTACATATGTATACATGTGCCATGTTGGTATGCTGCACCCATTAACTTGTCATTTACATTAGGTATATCTCCTAATGCTATCCCTCCCCATGCCCCACAACAGGCCCCAGTGTGTGATGTTCCCCTTCCTGTGTCCAAGTGTTCTCATTCTTCAATTCCCACCTATGAGTGAGAACATGCAGTGTTTGGTTTTTAGTCCTTGCGATAGTTTGCTGAGAATGATGGTTTCCAGCTTCATCCATGTCCCTACAAAGGACATGAACTCATCATATTTTTATGGCTGCATAGTATTCCATGGTGTATATGTGCCACATTCTCTTAATCTAGTCTATCATTGTTGGACATTTGGGTTGGTTCCAAGTCTTTGCTATTGTGAATAGTGCCACAATAAACATACGTGTGTGTGTGTCTTTATAGCAGCATGATTTATAATCCTTTGGGTATATACCCAGTAATGGGATTGCTGGGTCAAATGGTATTTCTAGTTCTAGATCCCTGAGGAATCGCCACACTGACTTCCACAATGGTTGAACTAGTTTACGGTCCCACCAACAGTGTAAAAGTGTTCCTGTTTCTCCACATCCTCTCCAGCACCTGTTGTTCCCTGACTTTTTAATGATCACCATTCTAAATGGTGTGAGATGGTATCTCACTGTGGTTTTGATTTGCATTTTCTGATGGCCAGTGATGATGAACATTTCTTCATGTGTTTTTTGGCTGCATAAATGTCTTCTTTTGAGAAGTGTCTGTTCATAACCTTCACCCACTTTTTGATGGGGTTGTTTGTTTTTTTCTTGTAAATTTGGTTGAGTTCATTGTAGATTCTGGATATTAGCCCTTTGTCAGATGAGTAGATTGAAAAAATTTTCTCTCATTCTGTAGGTTGCCTGTTCACTCTGATGGTAGTTTATTTTGCTGTGCAGACGCTCTTTAGTTTAATTAGATCCCATTTGTCAATTTTGGCTTTTGTTGCCATTGCTTTTGGTGTTTTAGACATGAAGTCCTTGCCCATGCCTATGTCCTGAATGGTATTGCCTAGGTTTTCTTCTAGGGTTTTTATGGTTTTAGGTCTAAGATTTAAGTCTCTAATCCATCTTGAATTAATTTTTGTATAAGGTGTAAGGAAGTGATCCAGTTTCAGCTTTCTACATATGGCTAGCCAGTTTTTCCAACACCATTTATTAAATAGGGAATCGTTTCCCCATTTCTTGTTTTTGTCAGGTTTGTCAAAGATCAGTTAGTTGTAGATAAAACCACAAAGATGGGGAAAAAACAGAGCAGAAAAACTGAAAATTCTAAAAATCAGAGCGCCTCTCCTCCTCCAGAGGAACGCAGCTCCTCACCAGCAACGGAACAAAGCTGGATGGAGAATGACTTTGACGAGTTGAGAGAAGAAGGCTTCAGATGATCAAACTTCTCTGAGCTAAAGGAGGAAGCTTGAACCCATGGCAAAGAAGTTAAAAACCTTGAAAAAAGATTAGATGAATGGCTAGCTAGAATAACCAATGCAGAGAAGTCCTTAAAGGACCTGATGGAGCTGAAAACCAAGGCACGAGAACTACGTGACAAATGCACAAGCTTCAGTAGCCGATTCGATCACCTGGAAGAAAGGTTATCAGTGATGGAAGGTCAAATGAATGAAATGAAGCAAGAAGAGAAGTTCAGAGAAAAAAGAATAAAAAGAAATGAACAAAGCCTCCACGAAATATGGGACTATGTGAAAAGACCAAATCTACGTCTGATTGGTGTACCTGAAAGTGACAGGGAGAATGGAACCAAGTTGGAAAACACTCTGCAGGATATTATCCAGGAGAACTTCCCCAATCTAGCAAGGCAGGCAAACATTCAAATTCAGGAAATACAGAGAAGCCACAAAGATACTCCTTGAGAAGAGCAACTCCAAGACACATAATTGTCAGATTCACCAAAGTTGAAATGAAGGAAAAAATGTTAAGGACAGCCAGAGAGAAAGGTCAGGTTACCCACAAAGGGAAGCCCATCAGACTAACAGCTGATCTCTTGGCAGAAACTCTACAAGCCAGAAGAGAGTGGGGGCCAATATTCAACATTCTTAAAGAAAAGAATTTTCAACCCTGAATTTCATATCCAGCCAAACTAAGCTTCATAAGTGAAGGAGAAATAAAATCCTTTATAGACAAGCAAATGCTGAGAGACTTTGTCACCACCAGGCCTGCCCTCCATGAGCTCCTCCTAAAGGAAGCAGTAAACATGGAAAGGAAAAACTGGTACCGGCCTCTGCAAAAACATGCCAAATTGTAAAGACCATTGAGGCTAGGAAGAAACTGCATCAACTAATGAGCAAAATAACCAGCTAACATCATAATGACAGGATCTAATTCACACATAACAATATTAACTTTAAATGTAAATGGGCTAAATGCTCCGATTAAAAGACACAGACTGGCAAATTGGATAAAGAGTCAAGACCCATCAGTGTGCTGTATTCAGGAAACCCATCTCACGTGCAGAGACACACATAGGCTCAAAATAAAGGGATGGAGGAAGATCTACCAAGCAAATGGAAAACCAAAAAAGGCAGGGGTTGCAATCCTAGTCTCTGATAAAACAGACTTTAAACCAACAAAGATCAAAAGAGACAAAGAAGGCCATTACATAATGGTAAAGGGATCAATTCAACAAGAAGAGCTGACTATCCTAAATATATGTGCCCCCAATACAGGAGCACCCAGATTCATAAAGGAAGTCCTTAGAGACCTACAAAGAGACTTAGACTCCCACACAACAATAATGGGGGAATTTAACACCTCACTGTCAATATTAGACAGATCAACGAGACAGAAAGTTAACAAGGATATCCAGGAATTGAACTCAGCTCTGCACCAAGCAGACCTAATAGACATTTACAGAACTCTCCACCCCAAATCAACAGAATATACATTCTTCTCAGCACCACACCACACTTATTCCAAAATTGACCACATAGTTGGAAGTAAAGCACTCCTCAGCAAATGTAAAAGAACAGAAATTATAACAAACTGTTTCTCAGACCACAGTGCAATCAAACTAAATTTTAAAATACATATATATGAGAGGTGTTTTATAATTTGGCTTTTGATGTTTTCAAATGACTGTTAATAAAATAATGTAATAAATACATTTTTTCCTCTAAAGCTTTCCAATCATTAATACAAGAAAAAATGTTAATTAGAACAAACTGTTAGTTATTTATCTTCTATTTCTTACCCTATGTTTCCACCTCTTTTTAAAATTAAGATATATTTTACATTCAACAAAATGTAGAGATATTAAGAGTCTAGTTGGGTTAGTTTTAAAAATTTTATGTACACAAAATAATATAAACAGTTCAATAACCCACAAAGTTTCCTTCATTTATTTTTCTAGAAATTTTGACTATAATTCACCCGTTATCCAACCACCTTTCTGATTTCTATCACCTCAGACTAGTTTAGCCTATTTTTCATGTAAATATGAATCATACAATGTGTTGTGTCCAGCTTCTCTTGCTTAATCTAATATTTTGAGTAATTTTATGTGTCAATAAGTTGTTACTTTTTATTGTTGAGTAATTTTCCATTGTATGAATGGGATGTACCATAATTTACCTATTCTATTGCTGTTAACAGATTTTGGCTATTATGAATCAGTCTTATATAGATAATTGTATAGAAGTCATTTTGTGGCTATAGCTGTGAATTTCTCAAGTAAATACCTAGGAATGAAATTGTTATAGAATATGTGTCTATTTAGCTTTAATAGAAACCTCTGAATAATTCATCACAATAGTTTTACTGTTTTACTTTCCCATCATTAATTTATGAGAGTTCTAATTGCACCATATATTTGATAATTTGCCAACATTTGTTATTTTCAATATCATTTTTTCATTTTGAAAAATCTAGTAAACATTTACTGGCATTTTATTGTTATTTAAATTGACTTTTTTTTTGGTCACGTGTAATCTTGAGAAGTTGAAGACTTTTTTTTTCTTTTCTTAAAATTATACTTTAAGTTCAAGGGTACATGTGCACAACGTGCAGGTTTGTTAAGTATGTATACATGTGCCATGTTGGTGTGCTGCACCCATTAACTCGTCATTTACATTAGGTATATCTCCTAATGCTATCCCTCCCGCCTCCCCCCACCCCACGACAGGCCCTGGTGTGTGATGTTCCCCTTCCTGTGTCTAAGTGTTCTCATTGTTCAATTCCCACCTATGAGTGAGAAGTTGAAGATTTTATGTGCTTATTGGTCACTTGTCTGTCTCTATTTTTCTATTGGACTGTTGTATTTTCATTAAAGATTTGTAGATATTCTTTGCATTTTCTATAAACACATGCACTGAAATATATATGTATTGTGCCTTATATGTATTTCTCACAGTGTATTACGTGATTATACAACTTCTTAATCATGCTTTTTTTTTGCAGAAATTTTAAATTTTGATGCAATCCAATTTATAATTTTTTTATTGTAAGTGCCTTCTGGACTGTAAGGAATCCCTATCTACTACAAAATCACGTATGTTTTTCATTATAAGCTATCAATTTCTAATGAGCCATTTAGGTATGTGATGAATTTCAAATTTATATTCATATATGGAGTAAAATAAAAATAAAGATTATTTTTCTTTCCACAGAGATATCCAGTTTATTCAAAGCCATTTGTAAAATAGGTTTTTCCCCTTTTACTTTGCACTTGAAAATAAAAAGATTATATATGTATGAATCAATTTCAATATTCTCTATTCTGACATATCAATATATTGGTCTATCCTTCATACAATACTACACTGTTTTGGTTACTATAGCTTTATAGAAAGTCTTGGAATCAGGTGGTATAAGTCCTCTAACTTTGTTCTTATTAAAACTTGTTTAGTGCTTTCTTGATTTTTGCATTTTTATATACATTTTAGAATGATTGCATGAATTTCTTCACAAAGGCCTGCTACGATGATATCAAATCTATAACATGGATATATACAGTATCTTGAGTCTTCCAATCTTTTGATGTTTTATTATTTCATTTATTTTAATTTTAAGACAAGTTGTTTCTGCAATATTTCAGAATTTTCAAGGTGAAAACCCATTTTTATTTGATTTATTTCTAGAAGTGTCAGGCTTGGATACAATTTTAAATTGATTTATTTTTAATTTCAAGTATTTCTTGTTCATCACCAGTATATAAAAACCTAAGTGCTTGTTATATATTGACATTGTATCCTTCAATTTTGCTATAATTTTTTATTGTTTCTAATATTTTTTCTGGAAGGCCTCCCATACGGCCTTCTATGTACAACCTCATGTCTTCTGTGAATAGCAGCAATTTTATTTCTTCCTTTCTTTATTTTTTCTTCTTTTATTGCACTAGCTACAACTTTCAGTATATGTTTGTTAACATATATGAAATAGATATTTTTAAATTTTTTTCCATTTATTTATATAATCATGATTTTAAAAAATTGATCCCTTTTATATAGTGAGTTACATTTTTTGCTATTTTTGAATACTATACCTTACATTACTAGAATAAACTCTATTTTTTTGTAGTATCATTTTTATATATTCTGGATGTGGAATCCTTTTGTATATTGCTGGATGTGATTTACTAATATTTTTATTCAGAATTTTGCATGTATGTCCATGAAAGCTATTGATCTATAGTCTTCTTTTCTTATAATATTTCTTATGATCACCAAGTCTAGTAAAAAATTAGATTATTATATATGAGTGAATCTCAGATTTATATGTGAATAATTCATCTATGTTTACTTAGGTAATTTCCCTTACTAATCCTAAAATAATACTTGAGGTAGCAGGAGATAACCAACTTTAAAATTCTGTATCTGCATTATGATTTCCATTTCTTATATAAAATATTTAAATATAGACATCTGAGATGCAGTCTTGCTCTGTCGCCCAAGACGGAGTGCATTGGCATGATCTCTGCTCACTGCAACCTCCACTCCCTGGATTCAAGCAATCCTCCTGCTTCAACCTCCTTAGTAGCTGGGATTACAGGTAGGTGACATAACACTTGGCTATTTTTGTATTTCAGTAGAGATGGGGTTTCACTATGCTGGCCAGGCTGGGACTACAGGCTCACACCACCATGCCTGGCTAATTTTTGTACTTTTAGTAGAGATGGGGTTTCACCATATTGGTTAGGCTGGTCTGGAACACTTGACCTCAGCTGACCCACCTGCCTCGGCCTATGAAAGTGCTGGGATTACAGGTGTGAGCCACCATGCCAGGCTACAAAAATGTAAAATATATTTTTAAAAAGCAAGACTTGATAATCATTTAAGCAATGCTGTAACAGCTGCTCACATCATTAGCTCTTTGTTGTTGGTATTTTTGTTATTTTGATGACTAATATCTGCCTAATTATTAGGATATATTGTACAGCTGACATGACTTGGATGAAAAAATGCCAAAATATTACCTTGTTTTAAATGACTCTTGCTTTATAGTCATAGCCTGCACATAGCATGAACTAGTCACCAGTATTCACTTCAAAAATCCATGTCAACACGAGACATAAAAATCAATAAATGGAACATAGAATTGAAAAAAAATAAGTTTAATCTCTTACATATTTTCTAACTTTGTTTTGATAATCTGCTCTGGGTGAATGCTGACACTGTCCAGCTTGTTTTGAGTTTGCTTGATGTGCCAGACTTTGGTTAAGTGGTTTTCAAGCACTAATTAATTTAAACCAACAAATTCATGAGCTTGGTGCTACTGTTATCCCCATTCCTCACGACAAAACTTAATATCAGAGAGCTTATATACCTGAACCAAGGTCACACAATAAGTAGAAGAACAGGAATTCAAACCCAGGTCTTTCTGAAATCAAGTCTGTGCTTGAAATGTCCCTAAAAATTACTAAGTGATCATATTGATCTTATGATTTAGAAGGTCTAGAGTGCAGCATGAATTTCTTTGTTTGTATCAAGCTCTCATGTGATGTTGATGCTGCTAGTTTTTAGGCATTTAAAAAAAATGTTTGACCTTCTCTCTCTGTCTCTCATCTCCCACCCTAAGTGTTTTGTTCACCCAGTTTTATTGAGGTATAATTCTTTTTTTTATGCCTCAGACTACATTTGGGGTAGTAAGGCTCTAAATGTACATACTATTTCCACATTTCTGTTACATGTATCAACACGAAAACAACTGGCTTTTCTAGATGAAAGTAAAATTAATAAGAATTCCCTTTTTATACACTTGCTTTTACTCCAATACGCCAACAAGCCCCTCCCCATCACCACCCGCCTCATATGTCCACCTTTAATCACTGAGGAACCTAATATCCCTACATTATCATGCTTTGGTTTTTTAATTTGTGGTTTTCATTTTGTTTTGCTGACAGTATCCATTGCCTCTCCTCTGCAAAGACTTAATCTCTCTGGTCATCTTTGTATCTTGAAAAAACAATTGATTAATACCTCAACTTCATCAAAAAACCCTTGTTTACCATTGGAAAACTGAAATTTTTAGCAAGAAGAAAAAACTGAATATAAATCTATTCATTTTAATTACAATAAGCAGAAATAGAATTAATAAGTTAATTCTATAAGTTATGTTAGCATTTGTAAAAGGAGGCTTAAAACTGAGTCTCATGAGATTTGTCCTTGTTGGAGTTGTAGGAGATGAGGTTAATCCACTAATTCTTAACGTACATCATGTGAAGTACCACGTGGGTCAACCCTGATCAGGCTTTATCCACAGAAACAGATTTTCCTAAAACTGAACCAGAAAAGAAGTAATAGAGGGAGAGTTTAATCCAGACTTTCAAGTTTTTGACTGGTGGATATAAGCTAATCTGTTCGACTTCAATAAGATTCTGCTTACCTGACTTGTTTTTTGTAGATTTCAAAAACTCTATTTGTTATTTGGCCTCTAAAGCATCACTGGACCTTTTTCTTTCTTTTTTTTTTTTTTTCAATACAGATAGACTTTAATAAAATGCCCTAAGTAATATTCTTTATCCTTTTCCTCTTAGTTGCTTGATATGTTCTTCCTGTGTCATTTTCTCTTTTGATGGATTCTGCATATACCACGTTTCTGATAAGCATTCTCTAAATCACTTTGTCCTCTCTCACAGTTGGCATTTTTTTTGAAGTCTGAAAATTTTCTGTTGCTTCCCTTAGAACTTGGTCTCATGAGCATTTTAAATCTAATGATGTTATGATCACTCGATCTTAGATGTTCCCAGTGTGAAGCTTATTTAACATACTTGGCACTCTTTCAGGGACGAAGTCCAGAATTCAATGGAGTCATGTTGGCTGCTCAACAGACTATAGAGAAAAGTAATCCTGATATACAGGCCCTGAGGAAACATGGAGTCTCTTCTTTCTCTATTGCTGCCAAAGCTAGTTTCTCTAATAATACACCAGCAATGGAAATTCTCATGTGGATCCTATTTTTAGCATGAATCTTGGAATATAACCCAGTTATCTTGATCTAAAATCTTGGGTGGGATTCCAATGAGGAAGCCAGTCCTCTGCATCTGTTTCTTTATAACCATCTGTTGTTCTGGCTGGCCCTGTGTCTTTGATCTTCTTTTTAGTTCTCTTTGCTTTTCAGAATCAACACTCCTGCACTTGAAACAGCTTTTCATGCCCCTTGAACTCTTAAACGGCCAATGGCATGGGTTTTCAAAAGTGGGTTTGAGGAAAATATGCACGCAATAGTTATATTGACTCCATTATTTTCCCACAAATTCCAATGAACACATGTTCTCAATAGAAATCCAGACTCCAGTCCTTGTACTTGAACATTTAATTGTTTGAAAGTAACACATTTTATTATGAAGAAAAATAATCTATATTCAAAATTTAGCAAGTATACCCTGGCAAAAAAATATATAAAGTTGTTTTCAAATTTTCCCATTCAAGAATGGTGATATTTAAATATATTTTCTCCTTGACTTTTTCCCGTATCTATTAATTATATTAATTAATATATTAATACCATATTATTACATATTATATCATGTTATAATAACATATCTTATAATCCCCATGCCTTTAAAAATGTCTTATTGTTCTGTCACTCAAACAGTTATTTTGGACTCTCATTTGCTGTTTTGACTTCTAATGTTGCAAAATCTTCTTGAGCCAATAACATTTATAATTAAGGGAGCAGAGTTCTTAAAATTGAAAATGAAACCTGTTTGGTTATGAAATATCAGAGAGTTACAACTTTTTCCTTAAATAGATGTGAGTTGACTTTCATTAAAGGGGGAATAAAAGAAAGAACAAACATTTTAAGCAAACGTTCTAAACAAAGGTTGCAAAATCTTACTATCTAAGGCATGGCTCCTCAATTGGATCTTACTGAGATTTACTGATAGGTCATAAAGGTCAGGACATATTTGAAGAACTTCCTGACATATAGATAATATATTACGTATAATTTAATACTGGATGATATAATAAAGATATTTCAAAATGTTAGTAGCTTGACACAAAAAAGTAAGTTTATCGTATTAAAAAAATGTGGACTTCCACAATTAGACAAGTTGGAACAAAAAAGGATAGATTCTTTGGTGATCACCATTCTAACTGGCGTGAGATGGTATCTCATTGTGGTTTTGATTTGCATTTCTCTGATGGCCAGTGATGATGAGCATTAAAAAGTCAGGAAACAGCAGGTCCTGGAGAGGATGTGGAGAAATAGGAACACTTTTACACTGTTGGTGGGACTGTAAACTAGTTCAACCATTGTGGAAGACAGTGTGGCGATTACCCAAGGATCTACAACTAGAAATACCGTTTGACCCAACCATCCCATTACTGGCTATATACCCAAAGGATTATAAATCATGCTGCTATAAAGACACATGCACACGTACATTTATTCTGGCACTATTCACGATAGCAAAGACTTGGAACCAAGCCAAATGCCCATCAATGATAGACTGGATTAAGAAAATGTAGCACATATACACCATGGAATACTATGCAGCCATAAAAATGATGAGTGAGTTCATGACCTTTGTAGGGACATGGATGAAGCTGGAAACCATCATTCTCAGCAAACTATCACAAGGACAAAAAACCAAACACCACATGTTCTCACTCATAGGTGGGAACTAAATAGTGAGAACACTTGGACACAGCAAGGGGTACATCACACACTGGGGCCTGTTGTGGGGTGGGTTGAGTGGGGAGGGATAGCATTAGGAGATATACCTAATGTAAATGACGAGTTAATGGGTGCAGCACACCAACATGGCACATGTATACATATGTAACAAACCTGCACGTTGTGCACATGTACCCTAGAAATTAAAGTATAATAATAATAATAAAAGAATAGATTCTTTGGGAGGCTGAGGCAGGCAGATCACAAGGTCAGGAGATCGAGACCATCCTGGCTAACACAGTGAAACCCCGTCTCTCCTAAAAATACAAAAAAATTAGCCGGGCTATGGTGGCGGGTGCCTGTAGTCCCAGCTACTCGGGAAGCTGAGGCAGGAGAATGATGTGAACCCAGGAGGTGGAGCTTGCAGTGAGCCGAGATCGTGCCACTGCACTCCAGCCTGGGCGACAGAGCAAGACTGTGTCTCAAAAAAAAAAAAAAAAATATATAGATTTATTTTACTATCTTAAATAAACAGACAAGAAAAAAAAAACATATAAAACAGTGGTTGTTCAGATCTGAGCCATCAGGCAGTACAGACAAATGACCTCTGAGTGGGGGAAACCAACAAATCTCACAATCCTCAAATTTGCTTCTCTATAGAAATATTCCAGATGGCAGTGAAGTGAGATAAAGCCCAGACTCAGTGAGTTATCTATGTTAAGAAGATAGAGCTGATAGCTTAGGAAGGCTAAAAGGCTAGAATTCATAGAGCACGGTATTGGAGAACAACTTAGAGTGATAGTCCCAGAAATCTGCAGAGCATTCTCCTTGAGTCATCAGCTAAATACAGTTAAGTGTGTGCATGTGAGACAACTATTTGAAGCTAGAAAAGAAATGACAGAAAGGGAGCAGGATGAACAATATATGCAGCTTACACAGTGCCGAATATATTTCACTTTTCTGACTACTAGAGCAAAGAAATCTCATAATAATAAGCTATTCAATAGAGTAGTCAGGATCTTACTTCCTCAATTTTGGGACCAAAAAGACCCACAATTAAAGGTTGCTCTGGTACCATGCAAAAATAATTTAAAGCAAATTTTCAAAAAATAAATTTCCTTACAATTAAGTTAACTTAGACATAGGGAGAAAGCTCAACAACACTTATAGTAAAAAGATATCTAGAGAAAAACAAAGTAAATTCAGTGTTTAGCATCCAATCAAAGAATATCAGAAACATATAGAAGAAAAAAATAAAATGAATGAGGAAGAAAAAAAGAGATCAATCAAAACCAATGGAAATCTAACATAGATGATCAAATTGGTAGATGAGGATATAAAAACAACTAAAATGAATGCGTTTCATATTTTATTATGTTAGAAAATCATGAGCCGGTTAAGAAAAGACATGGCAGATATTTTTTATAAAAGGAAATTCTAGAGATAAAAACTGTAATGTCAGAGATAAAAAGATAAAATGGATATGGTAAATAGCAAAAGAAATGCTGCAGAAAAATTAGTGAAATTGAGAACATTGCACTATATATAATCTAAAACGAAAGAGAGAAGAAAAGACCAAAAAAGTCATAACCTCAGAAAACTATAGAAATCTTAAATAACAATATGTTTACATGTAATTTAAATTTCCAGAGAAGAAAATGGACCAAACAATTGAAATAAAAAGTAACCACAATTTTCCAAGTGTGTTGAAAATGATAAATATATAGATTTGAGAAGCTCAACCAACCCCCAAGTCAAAGAAACATGAAGAAAACTATACCAAGGAGCATTATAAATAGATTAAAAGCAGGCATAAAAAGAAAAATGTTGAAGTATTCAGAGTTAAAAGAAATATTTTATACAGAACAACACAGATAAAAATGACAGCTGACTTTTTCTTTGAAACAATGAAAGCCAAAAGGCAAAACAGAAACATCATTAAAGTACTGAAATAATATTTTTTAAAAAACTCTGTCAACTTAGAATTCTGTTTTCAGTGAAATTGTCTTTCAAAGACAAAGGCATCCTAAAAATACAGGCAAGGCCATATCAAAATCACAATCACACACTACTACCCAACTACAAGAAAGAATAAAATTTAAAAGACCAACAAAGGATGATTGACAAGAATGTGGGACAACTAGAACTCTCATTCACTGCCCCTAACAATCTAAAATGATAAAACTACTTTTGAAAACAGTTTGAAAGTTTCTTAAAATGTTGACCACATATCTCCCATTGGGTCCATTCATTCCACTTCTAGATATTTACCCAAAAGAAATGAAAGCAAATGGAGCCTAAAAGTTGTAGATAAATGTTTACAGGAGCATTATATATAAAAGCCAAAACAGGCAATGGCCCACATCAACGTGGAAATGGCTAAACAAATTATGACATATACATACAATGAAATTGACTCAACAATGTAAACAAATATCCAACAGTATAAGAAAAGTGCCATTTTCTTCTTATCTTTCATCATATGCTTCAAGGATGCATATTATCAATATGTATTAGTGTTTATGTCAACCTTTGTCACCTGAGAGACAGAATTCCTCATTGTAACATTACCCTTTCCCTCCATTTCCTCTTTTTTTGTACTATGCTTGTTGGAAGAAAGTCACGATGCATAGCTCATATTTAAGGAGTAAGGAGTTATGCTTCACCTCCTTAAAGGCAAAAATTTTTACTTTATGAAGTTATATTTAAGTTATGGATTTCTTCTGCATGGAAGATTAGTACACTCTCTTGCATGTATTTTTTATTCAATAATTCATATCAGTATGGACTCATGCATATGTATTTTATACCCAATACATTTTACTTCCTTTGTTGCTAAGATTTTTTCCAGTTTTGGCCATGGGAGCTCTTCCATTGCCTTTTGTAGCTCTTTGATATACCACAATCATTGTGGGTATATTGATGTATTCATTTATTGGCTGAACTTTTCTGAGCACTTCTTTATTGTTTAGCACAAGACACTCCAGGATCATCTTCTATATTTCCTGTTCCAGTCCTAAAATCAGCCAGTTCTCCAAGTAGCTTTGGTTTCTTCTTATTAGAGAAAGTTATTAGAAACCAAAATTTAGGCATTAGGTAGACTCATTCCACTGGAGTGTGATTGCTTCTAGGGCCTCTCAGCTGACAGAAAAAAGACATATATGTGTGTATACTAATCTGCATATTCACACACAAACACACACACTAATTATATATGTGTGTGTATATATTATATATAATCAATCTTTATTATACAAAACATGAGTTCACAATGATGCCTCCAACTGTAACCCATTACTACGTAGATTATTTCAGTTGTCTCCCCTTGTTTATCTGAAAACTCCTATTCTAGAAGTGAGAAACATGCCTCCTACCATCTGATATACATGCACTTAATTGTTTAATTCCAGTATACATGTATAGTATTATCAGCACTATTAACTCTACTCACATGGGAAACAACTTTATCAATTAGCACCCAGTACACCTTTCTCCCATGATTCTTGTCAATGAGGTTGATACATATAATTGTAACAAAGTCAGTTATGTCACGTTGTGCATTCTATGCTAGGATCTCCTGACCTCCTAAGTGAATTTATTTTTAATTTACATAAAGTTTATGTTTCCTGATTTAAAGTTCTATTGGCTTGACAAATGAATGATACCATGAACCTTTCGTTACAATATCATACCGATTGTTGCACCACCCTAGTTAATTCCCTGTGCTGCACCTAGTCACTGTAACCACCCACACACCCCCACACGTACACACACATTGAACTCCTGACAATCACTGATCTATTTACCATTTCTATAGTTTGACTTTTCCACATCATAGCACATGCAATCATTTCCACTGGCTTATTTTTTAATCATTATGCACTTAAGTTCTCTCCACATATTTTTGTGAGTTGATATTTTATTTTTTTAGATTATAGAATAAATAAGTCATGGTGTCAATGTACCATAGTTTTGCTTATCCGTTACCTATTGAAGGATACCTTGGTTGCTTTCAATATTTCATGATTATAACTAAGCCTGTTATACATATTTATGCACTAGTTTTTGTTTGGACTTATGTTTTAAAAAATGTTAGGAAAATATCTAAGATTGCTCGTTAGATATTATACTATTAGTGTTGCAATAAACTGTCAAACTGTCATCAAAACTGACTGTGACATTTTGCATTCCCACCAGCAATGAATGAATATTCTTGTTTTTCTGCACGCTTGCCAGCAAGGGGAAGTGGCATTTTATTTTAATTCTAATAGATGTGAATTGTATCGTATTGTTGATAATATCTTTTACTTATTTTTTATTAGGTGGTTTGTTTTCTTATTGCTAATTCTTAAGGATTGTTTCTATATTTTGGATATGAGCCATTTATCAGGTATGCATTTTTAAAGTATGTTCTCTTAGTCTTTGGCTTGTGTTTTCATTTCTTAATAGTGTCTTTGATAGAAAAGAGATTTTCAATTTTAATAAAGTTCGAATTATCATTTCATAGATTGTGTTTTGGTGTTTTATCTAAAAACTCATTGCCAAACCTAAGGTCACTAAGGTTTTCTTCTGTTTTCTTTTAGAAGTGTTATAGTTTTGTATTTTACATTTACGTCTATGATCCACTTTGAGTCAAGTCTTGTGTAAGGTGTAAGGTCTGTGTTTACGTTCATCTTTTTGCATATCAATATTCAAATATTTTCAGTGCCATTGGTGAAAAAAACTTTCCTTTATTCATTGATTTTTCTATGTTCCTTTGTCAAAAATCAGTTGCCTAAAAAGGATACATAACACAAATGTCCTTACTAGAGTTTTCTCATTTCTTGTCATCACATTTTAGAGTGGTAATATTTAAGAAAAATAAGTGACATATAATGATTGATATTTTGAAAAAATCATTTTCTGGACTCTAAATTATATGGGTAGTGCCATTAGAAAAAAATGATTTCCTTACCTAATTGGTATTGCATTGTATTACCATAATTTCACACTTTAAAAAAATAATTTTGACATATTTTCAATTCAGGGGTACATTTGCAGGTTTATTACATAGTATATTGTGTGATGCTGAGGTTTGGGGTACAATTGATCCCATCACCCAGGTAGTGAGCATGGCATCTAATAGTTAAGTTTTCCAACCCCTTCCCTCTCTCCTTCCCCATCTGGTAGTGCTAACACATCATAGGCATAAACATTTCTTTAGGACCTAGTATAGCCTGTATATGATTAGATGTTAATTACAGAGTACAGAGATCTAATTATCTATTGTTATATTTATGGAAAAGGTAGCATCTTATAGAAATGTGGTAGATGTTAGGAAATTATAACAATAGTGAATAATTTTTATATGCAACACAAGGTAAAAAATACTTATATTGTGAAATTTTCAGAGACTGCAGAAAATCTACTTTCCAAAACAATCGTGAGTATACAAAATGAAGTGAGGATTGCTGTATCTTTTCTCATAACTAGAGAGTCAACCATCCTGTAACAAATATAGTAAAAATCCATTTACTGAACACAGATAGAAAATGATAGTGACTCTATTTTTCCACCAGGAATCAATGGAAAAGCAGAAGTTTAGGAAGTACTTTGTCAATGAAATAATATCAAGGTTGAAGTTGAACTGCTTGAAGGAAAAAGCTGTCACTTTGAGACATGTACATTGAGGAAAGCTGTTTCAAAAATGATATATATAAAGTAAAAATTACATGTTCAGGAAAAAAATGAAGCTGAAATACAATGTGAAGAATTTATCAGATCTGAGATATTGATCCTGATAACACACATTTTGGGAAAATATTTTCCAAATTATCTTTTGGCATATCTAGATAGATAGATAGATACATACATACATATTTGGAATCTCTATCTACCTATTTATCTATCTATCTATCTATCTATCTATCTATCTATCTATCTATTTACATAAAGAGAGGGAGTGGATCCAAAGAGAAATTTCAAATAAATATTCAGATGTTACTGCTTTTATTTATTTATTTATTGCTCAAGCTAGATCAAAAGTTTGAAATTTGTTTAGTATTATTTTGCATGAAAATTGTTGCAGATCTAAAATTCCAACACTTCTGAATAAGAATTTTACTTTCCATGTACTTATTACAATTATTTTTTCCACAATACAAATCGATTCAGTTATCTCTCTTGCTTAAAAATCATCTATGCTTACTTAATGCTGATGAGAATTATATCCTTAGTATAGCCATAAACGCTCTTTAGATCTTGGCTGTAGTTGATCTTTGAGGAATAAATTCCAGTCATTTTCAGTCACAATCAAATATGCTCTAGATCATAGATTCTTTACTTCTCTGGATATGTGGCACACTCCCAAAATCAAGGGCTCTTGGTAGGACATTCAAATAAATGAAACATATTTAAAACAACACTAACATCAGCAATAATTATAGTTCAATCTTCAATGTAGTATAAAGATGTCTCAAACACTCTATAAAAACTTTCACTGTCATGACACAAGTTATTTTTTTCACTTTTAGCAACAAGCTGACCCACTGTGCTACTTAAACTTCTAGAGGTAGAGCTTGTCCTACTTAGATATGCCACTTTTTTTTTGTCAGTGCTCGATAGCATACAGATTTACAACTCTTGCTTCCAGAAAGCTTTATCTTACCCTTTAGTGAAATAAAATCTGGAGATATGACACCCTGCCAGAACACACTTAGTGAGAACTATTCCAGACAAATTGAACTGCTTAGTTTGGCTTAAAAATATATTATGTTCTTTCTCTGCCTTGAGCTATTGCTTGAATCAATGTCCAGTCTTTTATATCCTCATCCAATTAACAGAGACCTGTGGTTTGAATGAATAAATGAATGACTAATGATAGTACTTTGAGTGAAACACATATTGAAGCAGTGAGGTAAGAAAAAAATTAAAAGACAAAAAGTTGATCAAAAACATTGTCCTGAAAGCTAAAATGTAGTTAATTTAAAGTAGTGATTGAGTGATTGTCACTGCTTTATCAGGTTGAATAATTTAATGACTTAGAAAATACTTACGGTTTTTCTAACAAAATGATCACTGATCGTGACCAAAGAATAGTGTTCATCAAATAGTGAGAGGAAAATTAGATTTCAAGGGATCTGGAAGGAGTATCCTGAGCATGAAAAGGAAAAATAATTCTCCACTGCTAAGGTTCACATAAGAGAATTCCACTGGGAATGTTTAGAATTATTCTAATTTATTCTGCTACAGAGTCAGATACAGCTTGCTGGTGTCTTGCCTCAATTTAGGAATTCATAGACTTTTGATTTTGTATACATTTTTCTTCTCAAACACTACATATTCTTTCCACAAACTATTCCCCCACGAAGCACTAAAGATTCTGTATACCATCATTACTGAATGATAATAGTCTATAAAATTTGTGGGAATGGCATGTTTTCTCCAGATTGCCTTTTCTCAACATGTGCTTTGATCTTTCTTTTTCATTACACCTTCAGATTATTTTAGGCATTTCCTCAAGGCTCTCTGCTACTTTCTGTGGAAGCTTTGTTCCTTTTCAAATTACTTCCAAGACAAGAAGCGAAGAAGATCAAGCCAATGACCTACCTACTAGCATGCATTTTTAGGATAAAAAATAAGTTGCAGCTTACTTGAGGTAATATTCTAAGTCAACCAAAAAATGGAGGAAACAAGCCTATGATCAAATTACCCTTGAAAAATCCCTTATGTAGCAAAAGAAATATGGAGACTTAGTTTTGTATAGACAATCTTATAAAAGAATATGTTAATATGTTTTAAACACATCAAGCACTCATTAAAAGTGTGTGACCTTAAAGTTATAGCTAAACACCACATTCTTCAATTTTTCCATATGCAAAATCAGGTTAATAATAATAATATATATCTCATAAGAAAATTGTGGAGATAAATTAGTTAATGGGTATAAAAACACCTACAGCAATGCTTAGCACATAGTACATGCTCAACCTATTATTTAAAAATATATAATAAAGAGTATCTAATGTAAAATGTAAAAAAAATTACACAGTATTTTTATCACATGTAAATGACATAGTTAAGCCCATATGTTGGAATTTTTGTAGGCTAATACAAACCTAACGTGTTGTTAGTTGGTAGGTTAATAGAAACCTAATATGTTGCAAAAATAGTGTCTTCTTAACAAATTATTCTTTTCTGAGATGGATTTTCAAGAGAAAGAATTGAAATTTATCAGCTTAGAACTATCTGTCTCTAGGCCTGTGACTTTCTCATTGTTAGCTTTATGCGTACAGAGCACAAAAGTCCAAATTACAGCTCAGGTTAGTGAAGGAACTAGAAAGTCTATGATTTGATGCTTTTTAAAACTACATTGAAGTTGCATTTTTTTCTATCTTGTGGGTCCTCTTCTTTTGACTTTCATAATTTTTGCATATGTCCAATTCCCTATGCTTTAATCACACATAATTTATCAGTGTTTTCAGTGCACGAAGGGCAGAAGCAGCTTCTTGATGAAGTGCATGGGGTTAATTGTCTCTGCTATGAATTATTTTCTTTATCAGAAGAAAAATAACTCAATGATCTATTTAACATTTAGTAATAATGAAAAACAGAGTTCTCCATGCCTCTTTCAGAACTCCTTCTAGGAGGAGATCAATGGCAAAGGGGAAAAAGAGGATTTTTATCCTAGGACATGTTTGTCAACTCTTGAGAAGATTTCTAGCTTAGTGTACATACTGCTAAAATTCTAAGAAAAACTTTGGTGTAATGGTCTTCTCTTTTACTCTTTGCTTATCTTTTGTGGAATTATATGCCATTATATATACCAGAGTTGAGCTGTTCTTACTATTTGTAGTATTAGAGTACTAGCTATAAGTAGATGTCATGCACAAATTAGGATAAGTTGAAGAAAATATTACATTTAATAAAGGAAATTTTGCAGTTTTAAAAGATGTGAGCAGAAATAGCAAAAGCACTAGTAATGGTGCAGTTCCCAAAGACTTATAACAATGGGACTCTGCTGTCATCGTTAGCCTGAAGGAGAAGAAGAATCATTACCACAACCGACAGACAGAGAAATACAAGTGGAGGAGGACTCTGAACAGGAGTAGCCTCTCTGGCAAGGGACCCAGTCAGCCTAAGGCCGTCCTGCACAGAGGGAGCCAGGAGCTGGACTAACCAAGTAATTTGTGGGTGCAAAATGAAAATGAGGGGCTCCTTGTTAAAAACTATAAAGAATTTTAAGATGGTACCAGCAGAGAATTAAACCAAGCAAGGAGCCCTTCTGAGTGTGAGGAGGCCCTGAAAGACTGCACAATTCTAACAAACCCATGAAGCCAGGCTTGGGCCAGAGAAGAAAACAAACAAACAAACAAAAACCAAAAAATAACACACCCAAAGCTTCACTTTCTTCTCTCAGAATCCTTTCTGTTGTTCCAACTTGCTGAATGGAGTGAGGATCCAGGAGGCAAGTTAACCCATTTATGTAGGCAGGCCAACATGCTGAGACAGAGTGGGAAGCGGGGATCCAGAGGGACAGAGATGACATTCAATACATCCAGTCTTTTCAATCAGCGAAAGCTGTTTATCAAATACCAGTTTAAAAAATTTCACAATCCCATTGCAAGTGGTGAAGAATTGACTTCTGTAGATCTGCTTGAAATAAATGGAAACGAAATAACATGGCTGAAGCAAAATGCAAATTAAATGTTGACAAGAGAGATAGACAGAAGCTCATCCTGCTAAGAACAAGCTGTACATGTTCATCCATTCATTGTGGCATCATAACTTCATGTTTTACAACCTCTTGTTTGTATACAATAGAATCTTTACTAACTTTGTTGTTTTCATTGTGTTGTATGGAACACTAAATAATCCTTTAATATAGACACATTTATTTTGTGATCGCCTCTAACAGAGTAAGGATTAGAGAATTAAATGGTGAATTTATATTTTCAAAACCATAAAATGACGGAAAATCAAACTTGCATACGATAAAAAATAATCCACATGAAAACTGATCACTACCATACTGATTTGTCTTTGTACATTTCAATGTTAGCTTAATGGTTAAGTTAGTTAAACCCATTAACATAAACTCTGTAGGAAATAATCCTTTTTATTTCACAGATTACATTTTTCTGGAATTATGTGTTCCTGCACAGGTACCTAAAAATCTATATTTATGTGCAGATTCAGAAATACCTACTGAAAATTTAGCCTAGTGTGTAATGTCTATAGCTCTTCTATCATCCTGTTGTACATATAAACTTATTATAAAATAAATGTATTTTATATAGGGTTGAGAGGTTACCAAATATACACTTGGGGATAAGGCAGGAATGGTATATTTAAAATGTTGGGAAATGTCTATGGTCCTGAAGCTGCCATTCATTCATTTATTCAGTTATTCAACAATTATTTATTGGATGCTTACTATGGGCAAGGCACTGTGAAAATAAATGAAGGAAAAGAAGAATAAAATTGTCCCTACCCTGTATGAAAAGAATTATCCTTCAGTGATATTAATAGAAATGTGAAAGCAAAACAAGACAAAACACTACAAGAATGGTGAAAAATTAATAGAAACATATATATTAATTTGTTATTTGTTGAATACCTCCACTGCTAGAATTTAAGTTTCAGAAGAGTAGAACATTTTCATTTTATGCAGTGCTGAATCTCCTGTGGATCAAATGGTATCTGGTACATACAAGGCCCTCAATAAATCGTTGAATTTTTTAAAAAGTGAATGAATAAATGAAAGAGAATGTGAGATCACAGAAAGTAAGGGTTAACTACCAATGAGACAGAGCCTAAATAATAAAATCATAAGAATGATAAAAATAATGACAAGTAAAATTTATTGTTTATGCCAGAGTGTGAAGTATTTTACATGCAGTTATTGATTAACCTATATCATTGTCTCATAATAGAGTACTATTTGTTTTTTTACTTTATAAGTTAAAAAAAAAAGGAAGAAGAGAGGGAATAAGAAATCTGCCCAAGGTCAGATAAGGGACAGAGTCTTGTCCCAAGTAGACTATACATTGTTTGGTCTAAACCACAAGATCAACTTGTTACTGACAGAATTATCAGAGCATCGGAGAATTTATTATTAAAGGATGAGTGGTAGTAGATCTGGCAGACGGGGAAATTGTTGACTCTTTTAGAGAACCACAAATGTATTAGGATACTGGAGACAGCATGCTTTTAAGAAGGCATGAGGATAAGTGTGAAAGTATAGCTTAGACAGATTACAAAACAAATGAGGGTTATCCTAAAGAATCTGTATGTTATCCCAAAAGAGATAGAGTCATCAAAATATGTATTAAGGAAAAAACAGAAGGAATGGTGCATGTTTACTGATTATCCATTCTTTCTAAGTTCCTCCAAATATTATACTTCAAATAATATGTCAAAAATCTGGAAAAACAGACCTTAACTTATTTAGAAACAAATTTACCTGAGTGCAAATTTATTTGTTACTCTAAATACAAATTTATTTGTCTCCCTTAACTTACTTAAACACTAACTTACTTAGTATAATATGTTATATCATCAGATATATTGCCACAAAATTTGCACATATTTCTAAAAGGCAGAGATAACACAAGTTAAATAATTTCTCATATTAGAATGAGAAGAACAAAGCTTAGAGAAACATGGCTGAATACATGTTTACATTACATATTTCAGATGGGAAATTCGTTGGTGACATTTGATAGCACATTAAATTGAAACCTATCAAGTTTTTAAAATTTACATTCATTGAAACACACTACTTATCCTCAGAGAAGGAGCAGATATTTTGTAATAATATTTCATAAAACTATCAAGAAAGCTTTTGTGCTATTTACTGCACAGGAAATATCATCTGGTGAACAGAAAATAATTGTACCAATATTAAATAACCCATGATTCTGTCTAACAGCCAGCCTATTACATTCTGTAGCATCTCGCTTGCACTATAGCAGAATTTATATATATAATAATGGGATACAGCAAGAATGATCTATCTATCTATCTATCTATCTATCTATCTATCTAATCATTTTTCCATCCATCAATCATCAACACTTCAATAAGACAAATACACTTTCAGTAAACTTTTTTATTTTGTAATGCTATGGCTGTTTTTGTTGAAAAGTGAGAAATGTTTGGAACTACTAATTTTAACTAAAAATTACTGTATCAATTTTGTTAAGCTATAAAGATGTTTTCCAGAGCCCCCTTCCCTGAATTTTTGCAGCTTAGAGCTGGAGGCACAAGGGACACTTGTGAGATTTGGGAGGCAGAAATAAAGCAACAGTCCTTGTTCTCTGGAGGAAATGGTAACTAGTTGTGATGACACACAGAACCAGAAGTGCAGGCAGATTTTGGTTCATGTTTATTTTCCTCCTCTTTGTTCTAGCTTTTCTTGAGGACCACTGACCTTGCTGGCCAGTAACAGGCCCAGGCCCATTACAAGATGCTTTTGTGCATATCAACAGACTCATGCCTTAAATTTCTCCACCACTTCCCCCTTTACGTTCTCAAGTGACCTCTCAGACTTACTGACTGGTGGCTACTTTGATATTCCTCCTACACCCTGCACAATTTGACTTCCCTAGCTTCTTTGTACATATGTGAAAAACTCAATTTCTATAAAAAGAAATTATATATACTTCTCTGAATGAACATAGACTGATACTACAAATTTTTTTCCAACTAAGAAGTTAGAAAAAAATAGGGTGGTAAACATAAGAATTACTGAAAATAAATATATAAAGATGAAATATCGCTATTAGTTCATCAAATCTGTCCTGTTTAAGCCTCTCACACCTCAGCATACACTCTGGAATTTTTATCAAATTGAATAGGAAGACTGGTAATTTTATTGTTTCCCTTCAATGTTGGATTTACAGTGTGTATACGTCATCATTAGGAAATTGTTATGAAAATTCAACTAAGATTTTATTTGCACGGTTTTTATCTCATTAGCCTTTTTGACATCCTATTTGATCCACCTTTGTATATCCACCTTTATTCTCAAATATTTATATTCTTTTAATGAATTCCCTCCACAAATATCCAGTTGATTGGAAAAGGGGAAAGAATCAAATAATTAATTTTCCATATATAGCAATATAAATGTTGATTTCTATAAACCACAAATCTAATTCAGAAAAAAACTTTCATCTTTTTGTAAATGGGTTAATGATTCAAATTTCATACCTTAACTATAAGTTTTAAAGCACTAAAACTCGTAGCATTTTTTTGACATTGGCAATGATATTCTTTTAAACATCTCTTACAGTCTTATGGTTAAATAGATGCTCTTTGAACAACTCTACAGATGGTACCATGGGTAGGACATGCATGCTGGAGTGTTACTGTCTCTTAAATGGTAGAGAAGATCTGTAAAGACTATTATCTTTCCTTTTCCCCCCAAACTTTTCTGGTGGTAGAGGTTTGGTTGTCAGTAAGGGTAGGATTTCCTCAGAGGAAAATGCTAACAGCAGAAGTGCATTCATATATTAATTATTGGATTAGCTACAAAACAGAAAAGCTAACTCTGGAACCCAACACTGATGCACACATTTTGAAGGAGCCTGAAGTACTTTCAGGTCAGAAAAGGCCCCTGTCTATTGGTAGAAGTAAAATCAAATGCTCTCTAGAATGTGGTTTCCTTCCTTTAATCTCACAGTATTGAGCAAGACTAAGGTCAAGCAATGAGTTCACAATCAAAGCCAACAAGCACACCAGAAAGCAAGCATCTTGTGTCAGAGGCAATATAAAAACCCATAAAAACCACAGAAGAAAATGTAGGCAATATCATTCAGGACATAGGCAAGGGAAAAATTTTATGATGAAATCGCCAAAAACAATTGCAACAAAAGCTAAAATTGACAAATGGAGTCCAATTAAACTAAAGAGCTTCTGCACAGCAAAAGAAGCTATCATCAAAGCAAATAGGCAACCTACAGAATGGGTGAAAATTTTTGCAGTCTATCCATCTGACAAAGGTCTAATATCCAGAATTTACAAGGAAGACATTTATGTGGCTAAAATCATGAAAAAAGCTCAACATTACTGATCAACAGAGAAATGCAAAGCAAAACCACAGTGAGATATCATCTCATACCAGCTAGAATGGTAATTATTAAAAAGTAAAGAAACAATAGATTCTGGCAAGGCTGTGGAGAAGTAGGAGAAATAAGAATACTTTTTCACTGTTGGTGGGAATGTAAATTAGTTCAACCATTGTGAAAAACAGTGTGGCGATTCCTCAAGGATCTTGAACCAGAAATACCATTTGACCCAGCAATCCCATTAATGGGTATAGACCCAAAAGAGTATAAATCATTGTATTGTAAAGATACATGCACATGTATGTTTATTGCAGCATTATTCACAATAGCAAAGATATGGAACCAACCCAAATGCCCATCAATGATAGACTAGATAAAGAAAATGTATATTTTCAGAGAAATAGCAACAGAAGCTCAACACAATTGCATAAGAATATTTTAAAAATAAATTGTATGCTAACAAATAAATATTTTCTAGATGAAAAATAAAATCATTAGAAAAAATCTCAATGGCTGTTTTAACTTGTAGACTAAAAAAAAAAACTGAAGAAACAATTAGAAAATTAGAAAATTGCCTCTAAGGAAATAACCCAGATTTGAGCCTCTCCCAGATAAGGACATGAAAATCAGGAAAGAATTTTGAGAGATATGGATGACAGAATAAAAATGAATACTATTAATTTAGTTGCTGTTTTAGGGTGAACAAATACAAAAATGAATTGGGGAAAGATGGCTGCAAATGTTCCAGTAGTGACAGCAATGGTAATACTAATAGAAATGTTTAAATCTGTATTATAAGTAGGAAAAATGAGAAGTAATTCAGACCCAAATGCACTATATTGAAACTTCAAAACACATAGTAAAAGAAGCTTAAAAATGGACATAGAGAAAATCCAGATCAATTATAAGAGAACAATGATTAGAAAGCATATTAATTTAGCATCAGCAGTTGATAATGGAAGAAACTAGAGAAACATTCTCGCAGTATTAGAAAAATAAATGTCATGGAACTGTTTACCTACTAAAAGTGTTTTACAAAAATGTATGTGAAATAAACAAGACATCATTTTACATCCACTAAATTGTCCATAATTAGGAAGTCTGACAATGCCAATATTGGAGAGAATGTACATGAACAAGAATTTACTGATTTGGGTGAATCATACAATTTCTTTGGAAGACGTTAGTATTGCTGCACAATATTACATATTCACATATCCGTTTGCCTATAAAGTGTACATGGACACAAAAAGATAAGTACAAAATATTTATAGCAGCCTGCTAATTTTTTTAAATAGAAAAATCCCTAAGAACCATCTTTCATGCGCATCCATGTGAAGAGACCACCAAACAGGCTTTGTGTGAGCAACAAGGCTGTTTATTTCACCTGGGTGCAGGTGGGCTGAGTCCAAAAAGAGTCAGCGAAGGGAGATAGGGGTGGGGCCGTTTTATAGGATTTGGGTAGGTAAAGGAAAATTACAGTCAAAGGGGGGTTGTTCTCTGGTGGGCAGGAGTGGCGGGGTCACAAGGTGCTCAGTAGGGGAGCTTTTGAGCCAGGATGAGCCAAGAGAAGGAATTTCACAAGATGTCATCAGTTAAGGCAGGAATAGGCCATCTGGATGTGTACATGCAGGTCACAGGGGATATGATGGCTTAGCTTGGGCTCAGAGGCCTGACATTCCTGTCTTCTTATATTAATAAGAAAAATAAAACGAAATAGTGGTAAAGTGCTGGGACGGCGAAAATTTTGGGGGATGGTATGGAGAGATAATTGGCGATGTTTCTCAGGGCTACTTCCAGCGGAATTAGGGGTGGTGTGGGAACCTAGAGTGGGAGAGATTAAGCTGAAGGAAGATTTTGTGGTAAGGGGTGATATTGTGGGGTTGTTAGAAGAAACATTTGTCATTTAGAATTATTGGTGATGGCCTGGATATTGTTTTGTATGAATTGAAAAACTAAATGGAATAAGAGAAGGAGAAAAACAGGTATTAAAGATCTAAGAATTAGGAGGACCCAGGACATCTAATTAGAGAGTGCCTAATGAGATTCAGCATAGTCCTGCCAGCAAAGATTATTTATTTACTTCAAGAGTTAAGAGTTGCAGTCCGGAGGTAGCACCAGGAGATACCAGCTGTGATGGCTTGGAGAAACAGTGTAAACCGGCAGTGTAAGCAAGAGCAGAGCATGTATGAGTAGTTGAGAATGGTGAATAGGAGTATGACTAGACAGAAGATAGCAGGGATGACAAGTTTTTTGGGGCACAGTGCAAGTTGGTCTGGTGTCTGGAATGAGACTGGGGCTTAATAAAAAGGAGCGTCCATAGAGGAGCTCAAATGGGCTGTACCTTGTAGCATTCTGAGGACAGGCCTGAATTCTGAGAAGGCAAAGTGGTAAAAGTATTATCCAGTCTTTTTTAAGTTGGTGGCTGAGCTTGTTGAGGTGTGTTTTTAAAAGACCATTAGTCCATTCTAGCTTTCCTGAAGACTGAGGACCATAAGGGGTATAAAGGTTTCACTGAATACCAAGAGCCTGAGAAAATGCTTGGCTGATTTGACTAATAAAGGCTGGCCCGTTATCAGACTGTATAGAGGTGGGAAGGCCAAACCGAGGAATTATGTCTGACAGAAGGGAAGAAATGACAGCGATGGCCTTCTCAGACCCTGTGGGAAAGGCCTCTACCCATCCAGTGAAAGTGTCTACCTAGACTAAGATATATTTTAGTTTTCTGACTCGGGGCATGTGAGTAAAGTCAATTTGCCAGTCCTGGGCAGGGACAAATCCCCGAGCTTGATGTGTAGGAAAGGGAGGAGGCCTGAACAATCCCTGAGGGGTAGTAGAATAGCAGATGGAACACTGAGAAGTAATCTCCTTGAGGATAGATTTCCATGATGGAAAGGAAATGAGAGGTTCTAAGAGATGGGCTAGCGGCTTGTAACCTACATGGAAGAGGTTATGAAATGACGACAGAATAGAATGGGCCTGTGAGGCTGGAAGGAGATATTTTCCTTGGTCTAAGAACCATTTGCCTTGTGTGGGAAGAGATTTATAGGTGGTAGTTTCAGCGGAGGAGTAGGTGGGAGTGACCCATGTGAAGGAGGAAAACTGGCCATGAGGGGCAGAAGTTGGAAATCTAGGTGCTTGTCTAGCCACCTTATCAGCATAAGCATTGCCTAGAGCAATGGGATCTGACGCCTTTTGATGGCCTTTGCAGCGAATGACTCCAGCTTCCTTTGGAAGTAAAACGGCCTTGAGCAGAGTTTTTATCAAAGAGGCATTAATGCTGGAGGATCTTCGCATAGTGAGGAAACCTCCTTCAGCCTATATAACAGCATGATGGTGCAGAATATGAAAGGCATATTTAGAGTCAGTATAAATATTGACACGTAGTCTTTTCGCAAGAGTGAGGGCTTGAGTTAAGGCAACTAATTCGGCTTGCTGAGAGGTACTGGAAGGGGGCAGAGCGGTATCCTCAATGATAGATGTGGAAGATACTATTGCATAGCCTGCCTTTGCTGGTGAGTGGCGATTAGGCCTGGTGGAACTGCCATCAATAAACTAAATGTGATCAGGGTGAGGAACAGGAAAGAAGGAAATATGGGGAAATGGGGTGAATGTCAGGTGGATCAGAGAGATACAGTCATGAGGGTCAGGTGTGTTAACCAGAATAATGTGGGAGACCAGATTGAAGTCCGTGCCAGGAACAATGGTAATTGTGAGAGACTTAACAAAGAATGAGTACAGCTGAAGGAGCCAGGGAGCAGACAGTATATGCGTCAGGTGTGAGGAAGAAAACAGATTTTGGAAGTTATGAGAACTGTAGAGAGTGAGTTGAGCATAGTTTGTGATTTTTAGGGCCTCTAAAAGTATTAGGGTGGCAGCGGCTGCTGCACGGAGACTTGAGGGCTAGGCAAAACAGTAAGGTCAAGTTGTTTGGATATAAAGGCTACAGGGTGTGGTCCTGGTTCTTGTGTAAGAATTCTGACTGCACAGCCCTGCACTTCAGCTGTGGGTAACGAAAAGGGTTGGGATAAGTCAGGGAGAGCTAGGGTGGGGACAGTCTCTAAAGCTGTCTTCAATGAACGGAAAGAGGAGTGGGGAAAGGATTTAGGATCTATGGGGTCAGCTAGGTTTCCTTTTGTGAGTTTATATAATGGCTTTGTTAGGATGGCAAAACCAGGTATCTAAAGTCAAAAGTATCTAACCATGCCTAGGATGGAAAGGAGTTGTTGTTTTGTAGAGGTGCTGGGGTTTGAGAGATCAGTTGAACACGATCAGCAGGGAGAGCACGTGTGTTTTTATGAGAATTATGCTGAGATAGGTAACAGATGAGGAAGAAATTTGGGCTTGACTGAAGTATTGACTGAAGTAATGGGGGCTGTCTGTGAAGTCTTGCGGCAGTACAGCTCAGGTAATTTGCTGAGCCTAATGGGTGTCAGGGTCAGTCCAAGTGAAAGCGAAGAGAGGCTGGGATGAAGGGTGCAAAGGAATAGTAAAGAAAGCATGTTTGAGATCCAGAACAGAATAATGGGTTGTAGAGGGAGGTATTGAGGATAGGAGTCTATATGGGTTTTGGCACCAAGGGGTGGATAGGCAAAACAATTTGGTTGATAAGGCGCAGATCCTGAACTTATCTGTAAGTCTTGTCTGGTTTCAGGACAGGTAAAATAGGGGCATTGTAAGGAGAGTTTATAGGCTTTAAAAGGCCATGCTGTAACAGGCGAGTGATAACAGGCTTTAATCTTTTTAAACTATGCTGTGGGATGGGATATTGGCATTGAGCAGGGGAAGAGTGATTAGGTTGTAATGGGATGGTAAAGGGTGCATGATCGGTCGCTAAGGAGGGAGTAGAGGTGTCTTATACTTGTGGGTTAAGGTGGGGAGATAGAAGGGGAGGATGTGAAGCAGGCTTTGAACTGGGGGAAAAGGTGGCAATGAGGTGTGGCTGTTGCCCAGGAATAGTCAGGGAAGCAGATAATTTAGTTAGTGCCTTGGCCTAATAAGGGAACTGGGCAGGTGGAATAAATAAAAAGGAGTGCTTAAAAGAGTATGTCTAAATCGGCACCAGAGTTGGGGAGTTTTAAGAGGTTTAGAAGCCTGGCCATCAATACCCACAACAGTTATGGAGGCAAGGGAAACAGGCCCTTGAAAAGAAGGTAATGTGGAGTGAGTAGCCTCCGTATTGATTAAGAAGGGGACGGACTTACCCTCCATTGTGAGTGTTACCAGAAGATCGGCATTCGTGATAGTCTCGGGGGCTTCTGAGGAGACTGGGCAGCGTCCGTCTTCAGCCGCTAAGCCAAGAAGATCTGGGAAGGAGTCAGAGAGCCTTGGGCCAGAGTTCCAGGGGCTCTGGGAGTGGCTGCCTGGTGAGTTGAAAAGTCTGATTTTCAGTGGGGTCCCACACAGATGGGACGTGGATGAGGAGGAATTCTGGGCTGTGGGCATTCCTTGGCCCAGTGGCCAGATTTCCAGCACTTGTAGCAAGCTCCTGGGGGAGGTGGGCCCGGAGAAATAACTGGCCACTGTGGTTTAGGTGTTTGGAAGTTCTTGTGTGCTGGAGATGTGGCTGGGGTTCGTCTCACAGTGGAGGCAAGGAATTGCAACTTTTTTCTGCTATTGTACACCTTGAAGGCGAGGTTAATTAAGTCCTATTGTGGGGTTTGAGGGCCGGAATTTAATTTTTGGAGTTTTATTTAATGTCGGGAGTGGATTGGGTAATAAAATGTATATTGAGAATAAGATGGCCTTTTGACTTTTTAGGGTCTAGGTCTGTAAAGCATCTCAGAGTTGCTGCCAAACGATCCATGAACTGGGCTGGGTTTTTATGTTTGATGAAAAAGAGCCTAAATGCTATCTGATTTGGAATAAAGAAAAAGGAGCACTAACCTTGATTATGCCTTTAGCTCCAGCCACCTTATTAAGAGGAAATTGCTGGGCAAGTTGGGGAGGGCTAGTCGCGGAGTGAAACTGTAAGCCAGACCAGGTGTGAGGAGGGGAGGTGATAAAAGGATTATAGGTTGGAGGAGCGGAGGCTGAGGAAGAATTGGGACCTAGCTCAGCCTGGCGAGGAGGGGAGAGGTCAGATGGGTCTGTAGAAAAGGAAGATTAGAAAGACTCAGCGATGCTTGGGGTTGGGACTGGGGCGACAGGTGGGAGGGAAAGAAGGAATATTGGGGATGAGTTGCATTTGGAACAGAGACTAGGGAGGGACTGATGTGTAAAAGAATGCCTGGACGTCAGGCACCTTAGACCGTTTGTCTATTTTACGACAAGAATTATTTAGATCTTGTAGGATGGAAAAATTGAAAGTGCCGTTTTCTGGCTATTTGGAACTACTGTCGAGTTTGTACTGGGGTCAAGCAGCATTGCAGAAGAAAATAAGGCATTTAGGTTTTAGGTCTGGTGTGAGTTGAAGAGGTTTTAAGTTCTTGAGAACACAGGCTAAGGGAGAAGAAGGAGGAATGGAGGGTGGAAGTTTGCCCATAGTGAAGGAAGCAAGCCTAGAGAAAAGAGAGAGTAGAGACACGGAGGGAAGGGGTTTGGGGGTTCTTACCCTCCAGAAAAGCGGGAAAGGGGTAGGGGTATGGAAGTAAGGGGTTGGGGTGGTGCCAAGATTGAAACGAGAAAGTGGTTGAGGGATAGTGAGAGAGGTTGGAGAAGAGAGTAAGAAGAGGCCGCTTACCGGATTGAAAATTGATGAGATGTTCCTTGGGCTGGTGGGTCTGAGGACTCGAGGTCATAGGTGGATCTTTTTCACGGAGCAAAGAGCAGGAGGACAGGGGATTGATCTTCCAAGGGAGGTCCCTCGATCCGAGTCACGGCACCAAATTTCATGCGTGTCCATGTGAAGAGACCACCAAACAGGCTTTGTGTGAGCAACAAGGCTGTTTATTTCACCTGGGGGAAGGCGGGCTGAGTCCGAAAAGAGAGTCAGCGAAGGGAAATAGGGGTGGGGCCGTTTTATAGGATTTGGGTAGGTAAAGGAAAATTACAGTCAAAGGGGTGTTGTTCTCTGGCAGGCAGGAGTAGGGGGGGTCACAAGGTGCTCAGTAGGGGAGGGTTTGAGCCACCAGGATGAGCCAGGAGAAGGAATTTCACAAGATAATGTTATCAGTTAAGGCAGGAACAGGCCATTTTCATTTCTTTTGTGGTGGAATGTCATCAGTTAAGGCAGGAACCTGCCATCTGGATGTGTACATGCAAGTCACAAGGGATATGATGGCTTAGCTTGGGCTCAGACGCCTGAAACCATCCACAAGAGAATAAATAGTGATGAGCCACAATACACTAGTACACAAGAGTGCAAACAACTGAACTACAGTTACAGACAACAAGACAAACATGTAAAATATAACAGTGAGGGGAAAATGCAAGTGCCAACAACTGTATAAAATTTGATACCATGTTTATAAAGCCCTCAAACAGGAACTATTCCACAATAGATTGTTTATACTTACATGTATGAGTGCTAAAACTAAAGCAAAAGCAAGAACAGAAACACAGAAAGCAAAATTTAAAATACGATATAGTTGTTTCCTCTAAAGGGCAAACATGGAGGTAGTACAAGCAAAGAGAACAGGAGTAGGCCCAAGTTATAGGTAATTTTCTCATTCTTAAACTGAGTTAGTATGCATTCATTCAATTATTAATTATTATATCTATATCCTGACACAAGGGAGCTAAACTAAGACACGTGATTCTTAGGGATCTACTTCAAACTCCCTCCCTTAATGTACAGCAGGTACATTTTAGAATGATGTTTATATCTAGTAAATAGATTAGTATTCATAAATACTATTTCATAATGAGCTGGGATGTAGCAAGAGCAACTAAAAGTTTGAATGATCACAGTTGGCAATATAAGTTGAAATCATTTTCTGTTCTTGTCTTAAAACTGAGATTGCATCCAGGCCTGCGATGCTATCTACTTATTTCTGTCTTGAACTCCAGTTGGGTCTGAGAAACCTTCCAGAAATGAACACATTTGCTATGTTGAATATACAGATACTCCCTTTTAATATTCTGAGGATAAAGGGAACAGGAATGAATTAGCAACAAGATTTATAATTTACCCATTGATATAATTAAAGTCAAATACTCTTGGTTCTGTAAAAAGTCTCTAAGTTTTATTTTTCTGTGGTAACTCCTTTCTGTGTGTCCTTTACATTTTCTCTGTGTTAGAAGGTGAATACAGGTAAATGCAGAACATGATGTATCTCTATAATTGAGTGTAGGTCAATTCACTAATAGCTTAGGTGACACTTGAAGCTTGGTAGAGAAGGGTTAAAACTTCCATAAGTCCTTATGTGTATAAGTGTGGGCATAAAGCTACTCTAGTGACAACAAATCTGGGGTGTGAGAAATGTCAAAAGTGGGTCAAAAATGGGGTGTAAAGAACACAGGGAGACTACATGAAGTATTTGGAACCTATTCATTCAGTGACAAAACAGCATACCCATTCACTTTGAGTTTTAAAATGGCTTTTATGGTTGTTGTATTGTAGATACAGGTATCTGAATCTACACAGAATAAAAGGAAAACAATAGCTAACCCACCTTCTCAGTGAGAAGTAGCATTCCTGTCTTGGCCCTTTTACCAAATATATATTTATTAAAATCCATATAATGATAAGAGTTCCCAGCCCTAACTTTACCTTAATTAGACAACATTGGAGCATCAGGACAATTTTTTTTCTCATTTATAAAATGGTAATAAAATACCTTCCCTGTCAATGTAATTGGAATGTGATGAGGTTTTAAGTGAGCTCCTCAATAAAATATAAAGCTTTGTATGGCATAATTTATGACCAGTAGTGAGTCTTTATCAGTTTGGGCTGGAAGAACTCAAATTTTTGACAACCTGATAGCATATATATTTTTATGTGCTTCTTCATATCTGAACTAAGAACATGCTAAACATGCTCATTATTTGAGATCATTATTTGAGAATTGGGATGGAAATATAACAAGGTCAAAATTATAAGACTACTTCAGGAAACTAGGTTCAAATTTATAAATAAATAGTCTTCCAGATCTCTTTGATTTCTTTAAGTAAAAAAGAAACTCTGTGGCTGCGGTCTCAACCAGGTATCTATCATTGATTCTCTTAGATGAAAAATGATTTTATGGTTGAGAAAGCTTTAGCCAATGACTATTGGACTGACTTATGCCAAACTATAGAATATCTGTCTATCTATTCTGTCTAAATAGATTAAATAGATAGATTAAATAGATAAAATAGATTAGATAGATATATAGGGTATCTATTATCTATCTAGATAGAATATCTATTATCTATCTATCTAGATAGGGTATCTATTATCTATCTAGATAGATAGGATATCTATTATCTATCTAGATAGATAGGATATCTATTATCTGTCTAGATAGATAGGATATCTATTATCTGTCTAGATAGATAGGATATCTATTATCTGTCTAGATAGATAGGATATCTATTATCTGTCTAGATAGATAGGATATCTATTATCTGTCTAGATAGATAGGATATCTATTATCTGTCTAGATAGATAGGATATCTATTATCTGTCTAGATAGGTAGGATATCTATTATCTGTCTAGATAGGTAGGATATCTATTATCTGTCTAGATAGGTAGGATATCTATTATCTGTCTAGATAGGTAGGATATCTATTATCTGTCTAGATAGGTAGGATATCTATTATCTGTCTAGATAGATAGGATATCTATTATCTGTCTAGATAGATAGGATATCTATTATCTGTCTAGATAGATAGGATATCTATTATCTGTCTAGATAGATAGGATATCTATTATCTGTCTAGATAGGATATCTATTATCTGTCTAGATAGATAGGATATCTATTATCTGTCTAGATAGATAGGATATCTATTATCTGTCTAGATAGATAGGATATCTATTATCTATCTAGATAGATAGGATATCTGTTATCTAGATAGATATCTACAATATATATCTAATCTATTTAATCTATTTAGATAGAATAGATAGATAGATAGATAGACAGATAAAATAATAAACTATCGAAAAAGGCCAGGGCAGGGATTATTCTCAAATGTTAGATATTCCCATGAAACTCAAGAAAGCAATAAGTGTACAGCATAAGGGTTTCAGAAGAAGAAATTCCCTGGGTTCAAATTTGAGGTTCATTTTTTACAATTTTGAGAATTTGGGCCAGGTGTTAAAACTCTGCTTTTTTATGGTCTTCATCTGTTAAAGCCTGGATAAGAACCATGCCACCTTTTAGGGTTGCTGTGAGGGTAAATAAGAAACTATAAGTAATATTATTAATTCAGTGCTTGGAATGCCATAGTTTAATGGAACAGACACAGAGTTTGAAGCCAGATGGTCTTTGTTGGAATCCTGGCATTGGCACTTATCAGATTTGTGGCCCTTGGCAGTTTGCTTAACATCTCTTTGGTCCAATTACTTAAACTGTAAAAATGGCAAGGGTAATTATTGTACCTACTTCATGAGGATTAAACTAGTTAATATTTTAAACTGCTTAAAACAGGACCTAGTACTATAGCACATAGTAAGTACTAGAATAAGCTATTTTTAAATAAAATAAAAATTTCTCACTATTAGCAAAACTATGCAAATGCATTTTGTATATTTTCACTGGTTCTTGGGACCAATAGTTGAGAATGATTTGCTGATGGAATAGTTGCTATCAAGAAAATCAAATTGTTCAGTTAATATTCTCTGAGAAATCAAGGGAAGAAGTTTCCACAAAGCTGAAACCAAAGGCTATGGTCTATCTGTGAATAATCCCAGCTGGCTTGCCTTAAAAGGTTAGAGGATTAAAATGTTAATAATTTTGCATTTCTTAAGCAAATATGTTCAAACATGTAATGAACAGCTGTTTCCATGGACAAATGAGCCAGTGACAAGTTTTATCTTCTAAAAGAAAAGCTATTTTTGGTCAAATGACGGTGCAAAAAAGTATTTTTAAAATGCTTTTTAATGACAGGAAACATAAATATCTTTTGCAGCTCTTTAATTCAGAAAACAGCTTGAATAATTTTTTTGAACTTGAGAAGAATAGATAGAAAGCTGTTCTCAAATCCTGATTATCAATTCTTAGGGACTTTTTTTTTGTAAAGAAAAAACAGTTTGTAGCATGATAGAAGCTGAAGTCAATACATGTAGGAGTAATCTTGGTTTGTTTATAGCAGAATTTCTCAATTATTTTTTCCCTTTTCTTTATCACCATCCCCTAATAGCCTTTTAAGACTTTTTTTCTAGTTGATACTCTCATGAAATTTTGATACCATAGATACACTGTACATGTATTTATGTACTGTGTGGATATTCATGTTTCATATAGACAAAGGTAGGACTTTTTTCATCCGCAGGAACCAATTGTCTTCTCAGTGGCAGCAGTATCACCCACCTTCTTTGAGAATGCTTGGTTTAAAGTGAGAATTTGCAAAGGACGTGTCTTGGTTTCTGGATTTGGTATAGGCCAAAGTGCCATTAGCTTCAAATAATTATATTCGCTAGGTTTCTTCATTAAGAATGGTTCTATTTCCTTTGCTTGTTTTATTTTTTAGTTTCAAGAAACCTACTTCAGGCTTTCTAGCCATAAGTATAGAAAGTCTGTGTTTAATTGAGCATGGAGAAAAGTTTTTAATGTTTTCAAACACTTTATTATACTTTAGATAATTTTTGTTCAGTTGCCATATACGAAAGAGGCATAAGGTATTAGTAAGTTATATGACCTCTTTAGGCCTCAGTCTTCTCATCTATGAAATGGGGATAATAATAAATAATACTTCATAGGGGTTGCAAAGTTTAAATGAGTTAATACATATGAAGCTCTTCGAAAAATACCTGGTAACTAGTAAGCAGTACATCTTTTATTCATTTTTATTTTTTATGAAAACTAGCTTTGGACCATATAATATCTTATAAAGCTACATGTTTAGCTCATAATAACAATTAGGAGCAGAGTCAAGACACACAGGAGTGGAGCCAAAAAAAAAAAAATTAGTTAGAAACTAAGGCAGGTCCTCTTTTGGGTGCCCACAGGGTCTCTCTCACATCTGATTCTTTTTTTAATGGACAGATTATCTTAGTTTCTCTATTCACAAAACTGGCTTCTTAACATGTACGAGTCTTTATATCTACTGTTTCCAATTTAATTTCAAATTTCTTTCAGAGTGTCTGATTGACCCAGCTCATTGGACTATCCTTTCTTCATCTAAACTTCTGTTGGTTAATGGGGTTGAGAAATGTAGAGAAAACTTGGTAGAGATCCAGATTTTGAGGACAAGTGACAATGAGATAGAGTTTCCTGGCATGAACAAATACCCAAAGTTATCTGCTACAGTTGAGTAAGAGATAACAGCCATCAAATTAACATTGATGAGGTGTTAATGTCAAAAATTTTTCTCAATAAATATTCTCAAGTGTAGGGTAAATTAATAATGACAAAGGAAATTGAAATGTACTAGCAAACAGTTGGAATATTTGTTAGGAAATCTTTCACACAGGTCAACACTGATAGTTTAACTACACAATGATCCCGATATCACAAAAGAATATTGCCTCTTTTGTACAAAGCAACTGAACAATAAAAATATCAAATCCATAATAAACTGATACTTTAAACACATTTAAAAAACTTTTTCCATGCTTAGTTAAACATAAAGTGAGCCCCCAGAAATATCATGGCTCTCTTTAAATATCAGGATCTTATTTTATTTTAGTGGCTGGCAAGTTGTGAGCTAGCTGTATGTGTCTTCTTTAATTTTTAAAATATCCTGCATAAAATATCTACTGTGGAAATAATTTTAGGAAAAATGTGACTGAATGCTACTTGATATTTTGCATCAATTAAACATGTTTACTCTTGTTGTGGTGAAAGGATTTTACACTTGTGTTAGAATAACAACATACTGTGAAAGTTCAAAATGGTAATATCTCAGAAACATATTGCCAGATAATGTTTTAAAATAGTCTCAAGAAATAGAAGATCTTGAAAATAAAATCTTGTTTGGGAAGACAGTGCTTCTCTTATTCACATATACTGGGCATCAAGCATCATGATATAGAAAATGTAGTTAACATCTGAACAAAATCAAGGATTGTATTGCTATTTTGTGAACTTGAGTGCTCAAACACTGTTGGTATCAGGGTAGATTGTATGACTTCATGGGAAAAGTACTTAACTTTTAACCACCCCAGTTTACTATCATAATAGCTTAATGAAAAACAAATAGGTTTTTATCATCCTGTACACGCAGTCAAGTTTATTTTTTTCCAGTTGGGAGTATGTCTAGTGTAGAATTCCGTTAAAGACAGAAGGTCTTTCTGTTTATAAATAAGATTGCCAGGCTAGTGGGTTTCAAGGTTACTCGATTGCTAATATAAAATATTTATGCAAAATTTTACTGGTATTCTTAGACAAATGGATTGCAATAAATACAAATAATATAAACTCTATCAATTGTCAAAACATACGCCTAAAATATTCATGAAAATATTCGTCATGAAAATCGGATCACTACAGTCTGTATAATTACAGAGATAATTCATATAACAAAACTAATCCGTTTGATGATTATTTTATTCATTTAAGAAACAGCATTTTGTCAAAGTGGTGATATAGATATGTGATCTTTTTTTGCAATTAACATGTTAAAGTTCTTTCAGACTAACACTTCATGTTCTTACACGTTTTGTTTAAAAAAAATAAAAAGGTGGTTTGCTGACAACTTATATCCTGATGTTCATTGATCCAAAACTAGCCCTTAAATGTATAATGCACTGCTTGTACAAACTCTGATAAAAATAATTTAATAATTGAAAAATCTCTGATCATCTAAAAAAGGTCTATTCACACAGATGATAGGGCTATAATATTCATATTCCACATATTTTCAAGAAACAGTATTTTAGAAGTAGATGATATTTTTAGTCATTATCTTATAAAATTCATTTTTGTGGAAAAAGAAGCAACTTGAAGATGTTAAGGGTTCTTTCCCAAGAATAGACAGTTATTAGCAGAGCTCCAAGGATACCACCGACTTCTAATTACTAGAACAATGTTGACCACCACACATTTTATCTTTCTTTCATTCCATATCAAGTTTCAAACTACATGAAAATCACCTTCTTAAACTTTCTCAATTCAAATAAACATATTTCTACATTATCTCCTCATCTCTGATTTAATAGCAGGTCTTCTTTCAACTTTCATTTTTCAAAATGTGAAAAATTGGCAAGAAAGTAAAGCCAATTTTGCTTCTACTTACTGCTGTGAAAACTTTTTTATATTTTCTAGAAAAATTGAAGTAGGCTTTGAAGTAAGATATTTCTCAATTTTATCTGAGAAAGTTAATCTTAATGAGCATGTCTGTGCCTAAGTAAAAGAAACCCCTTAAGCATAAGTGTTCAGCAGCTAAAAAATGATTCATGACTAAAATCCACATCGTATCTTACTTTTTTGAAGTTGTTCCTCGTACTGTGTGAAACTCTAGATGGACATTTTAGCAACTTTACTGAGGGCATAATTGACATATGGTAAACTGCACGTATTTAAGTTGTACTAATTAAGTTTTGACGTATGTCTATGTCTATGATGCTATCACAACAATTGAGATAATAAATATATCATCTCCCAAAGTTTCTCTGTGGCCCTTGTAATCCCTCCTCCTTTCCCCATCCCCAGCTCTCCCCTCTGGTCCTCATGCAACCAGTGAGTTGCATGTTTTTTGTCAATATAAATTGGTTTGAATTTTCTAGAATTTTATACAGATGGAGACATAGCGTATGCTCTCTTTTGTTGACTGGCTTTTTTCACTCAGCATAATTATTTTGAAATGCATCCATATTCTTACCTGTATCAGTAATTCCTTTTTATGACTAGTAGTATTACATTGTATGGATACACCATGATTTATTTGTACATTCACATACTGATGCAAACCCGGATTGTTTGCAATTCTAGGCTATGAAGAAGAAAGCTCCTATCCACGAGTTTACATGGTTCACATGTTAACAAATATAAAGCTGTACACTTTTGTATCAACATAGGCTTATATTGTCTTGGGTAAATACCTAGCAGTGAAATGGCTGTATTCATATGATATGCACATATTTCAATTTTTTTTTTTTTTTTGAGTCGGAGTCTCGCTCTGTAGCCCAGGCTACAGTGCAGTGGCGCAGTCTCGGCTCACTGCAAGCTCCGCTTCCCGGGTTCACGCCATTCTCCTGCCTCAGCCTTCCGAGTAGCTGGGACTACAGGCACCCGCCACCACGCCTGGCTAATTTTTTTTTTTTTTTTTTTTCGTATTTTTAGTAGAGAAGGGGTTTCACCGTGTTAGCCAGGATGGTCTCTATCTCCTGACCTCGTGATCCGCCCGCCTTGGCCTCCCAAGCACATGTTTAAGTTTTTGCGAAAGTGCCAAACTATTTTCCAAGGTAGTTGTAGCTTTTTATATTCCCACTAGCAATGCATGAAGTTTTCAATTTCTCCATGTTCTTTATTTGGTACTATCTGTCTTTTGAGTATAGCCATTCTAGCAAATATTAAGTGATCTTATTGGGGTTTTAATTTGTATTTTCTTAATGACTAATAATATTCAGTATCATTGTATGTGCTTATTACTCGTTTTTATACGTTCTTTGGTGCAATAACGGTTCAGATTATTTCCCCATATTTCAATTGGGTTGTTTCCTTATTATTATATTGTGAAAGTTCTTTATATGTTCTGCCTACAAATTATTTATCAAAAGAATGATTTGCAGTTATTTTGTCCCAGATTATGTCATTTTTCTTTATGGCTTTGTGAAGCACAGAAGTGTGTGTGTGTGCATTTATATATTATATATGTTGATATTCAATTGCCTCAGAAAGATTTGTTAAAAAGACTTTTTTTTGCATTAAATGGTTTTGTACTTTTACAAAAATCAATTGATCAAAAATGTAAATACGCTTCTATACTCTCAATTTTCTTCCATTGATCTATATGCCTATTTTTCACCAATACCACACTGTATTGATTACTGTGGCTTCACAGTAAGTTTTGAAATAATATAGTATAAATTCTGCAACTTTATTTTTCTTTCTCAAATTTGTTTTAATGATTCTTGGTCTGTTGCATTTCCATATGCATTTCAAAATCAGCTCGTCAAATTCTGCAAAAGTCCTGCTGGAGTTTGGCAGAGATTGTAATGCATTTGTAATGAATTGCCTTTCTAACAATATTATTTCTTCTGATTCATGAAAATGAAAAGTTTCTTCATTCATTTAGATATTCTTTAATTTCTCTTGGGAATGCTTTGCATTTTTTAATGTTCAAATCTTACTGGCACTTTTTTGTCAAACTTATTCTTAAATACTTTATTGTTTTTAGTGTTCTTATGAATAGAATTGTTTTTCTAATTTGTTTTTTAGATTCTTTATTGCTAGCATGCAGAAAATCAAAGGATTTTTGTGTCTTGATGTTGTAGCCTGTGAACTTGCTAAAGCTGTATGTTAACTCTAGTGGTTTGGTTTTGTTAAGGTTTCTTAGAGTTTTCTATATATAAGAGTATGTTATCTTAAAATAAAAAGACTTTTATTTTTCCCTTACTAATCTGGTTGTTTTTAATTTTCTCTGAATTTTTATTTAAATTATCTAGAATTTTCAGCACAATTTTGAATAAAAATAGTAGAAGCAGACATCGTTGCCTTGCTCTTGATATTAGAGAGAAGGAATTCAGTCCTTTACTCTTAAGTATGATTTCAGATTTGGATTTTTCCTAGACTATATTTATGAGATATATAAAATTTCCTTTTTACTTTTGTTGATAGGTTTTATTACAATGGGTGTCAGGCTTTGTTAGATAAATTTGCTGCATCCATTGAAATTATCATGTGGTTTTTGTTCTTCATTCTACTCATGGTATGTATTACGTTGGTTATAATGTTATAATGTTAATCTTACCTCAGCTTCTGGCAAAAATCTCCCTTGGATATGTCATATGACCCTTTTTATGCATTTCTAGATTTGGGTTGCTTATATTTGGTTGAGTATTTTTGTATTTATCTTCACGTATGGGTCTGTAATGTTCTTTTTGTGAAGTCTTTGGCTGTTATATCAGTCTAATACTGCTCTCCATAATCTGAGCTTGCTAAGGATTAGTATTAGTATTATTTCTTTATCATCATTAGTATAATTTATTTTTTAAACGTTTGACAGAATTCATCAGTAAATGATGGACTCCTATGTATGGGAAGAGTTTTAATTAGTAATTTTTTGTTTTTACTTATTTTAGTTCTACTCATTTTTATCATCTGAAACAAGTTTTGGTAATTGGTATCAATCAATGGATTTGCCTGTTTTATCAAATTGTCCAATATGATCTGCAAAATTATGCATCATAATTCCGTATAACTTTTCCATTTGTAGGATTTGTAGTAATGTAGACTCTTTCATTCTTGATTTTGATAATTCGTGTCTTTCTGTTTTATTGTTGCTTAGTTTAGCTAAATACTTGTCAATTTTGTTGATCTTTTCAAATAATCAGCTTTTGGTTTAATTGATTTTCTCTAGTGTTTGGTTTTATATTTCACTGATGTCTGCTATAATTTTTGTTATTTTTTTTCTGCTTGCTTTGGGTTTAATTTAATGTTATCTTTCTACTTTTTAAAGTGAAAGTATAGGTTATATATTAGAAATCTTTTATCTTTTCTGGTATAGACAGTCAATGTTGCACATATTTTTTTCTAATCACTGCTTTAGCTGCATCTCATGGGTTTTGATCTGTTGTTTTTTTTCATTTCAAAAAGTTAAAAATTTTTTTATTGTTTCTTATTTGACCTATAGATTACTTAGAAGTGTGTTTAATTTCTAAATATGTAAAGATTTTCAAAAAGTTTTCTATTATTTCTTCCTAATTGAATTCCATTATAGGCTGAGGACATACTTTGCATGATTTATATCTTCTAAATTTATTTAAACTTGTTTTATGGCCTCATATGTGTTTCATGCAAGCTTGAAAATATTTTTGTTTTGTGGTTGAGTGGAGTGTGCTACATATCATTCACATGGAATTGGTTAATAATGTCTTTTGAGTTTTCCATATATCTTCCAATTTTCTTCCAACTATAATTGTTGAATTGTCTTTTTCTCCTTTCATTGTTTTCAGTTTTTCATCATATATTTTGGGGCTCTGATTTTAGGTATATATGAATTTATAATTGATTTAACTTTCCAATAAGTTGACTCTTATCATTATAAAATGCTTATTTTGGTCTCTAATAAAATTATCATCTTAGTTAATTTGTGGCATACTAATTAAATTAACTTGTTGATTTTATTTTTAGTACATTTTTGAGTTATTTTCTTAGGCATGATATATTAAGGTGCATCTGATCACAAACTAATGTTGACAACAATTATTTATATTTGGTAAAATGTAGAAAATTTGCATAAGTGTACCTCAGTTTCTTGTAACATGCTTTGTGCTATCATCATCATACATATTAAATTTTTATATGTTAGAATTCCAAAAACACAGTATTCAAATTATTGTTTGGTATAATCTTGTGTCTATTAAATAAGTAAAGAGAATAAATTTTTTAACTTTATGTAACTATTGAGTCTATTGTGTCTTCTATATTAAATCATATTTTATACATATGATTTAATTAATTAAAGATTTACGATACCCTTTATTTTTTGATTGAATAATCACCTGTTCTCATTTCTTTGAGAGATTTGGATTTCCTTTATTAATTATTGTAGGCAGGCCTGGCAACAATGAATTATCTCATTCTTTAATGTTTTGGGAATCTTTTTTATTTCTCTTTCACTTGAGAAGGATAATTGAATATAGAACTATTGGTTGACTTTTCTTTTCCCGTACAATATTTTGAATATGTCATTTCTCTCTTGTTTCTGGCCTCCTTGATTATGATGAGAGCCAGATGTTAATCTTATTGTGACTTCTTTGAACATAATTTGTCCTTTTTTCTTTTGAGAATTTCACATTTTTTATTTGTCTTTCAACTCTTTGTTTCAGATATATGTATCAGTAGATATCATTTTATTGATTATAACTTTTCTACACCTTCTTGGATGTGTACATGAATATTTTGTATCAGATTTAAGAAGAGTTCATCCCTTATTTCTTCAATTTTTTTTTTCTGCTCCTTTTCCTCTCTCCTCTACGTCTTGGCTCCAGTTGCATACATGTTGGTATACATAATGGTGTCAAACAAATTTCTGAGTCTCTGCTCATTTTAAATAATTTTCCAAATCTATTATACATATCAGATTACATAATTTCTAATGATCCATTGACAGTGCCACCATTTGTATCACCCACTGCCTGAAATTTAGTGAATATGCTTCAGACTTGACAGAGAATGTGCTATTCTTTATGGCCTATCCCAGCATAGTAAACTTCCTTCCCTACCTTACTGGGGAAAACATGGGTGCAGCTTCAGAAAATGATACAGAGTCTCACTGTTCTTACCTCAAGTTCAGAAACCTTACAAATAATTCTTCTTATATTGTTTTCCACCTCGCCTGATGTTCAGAATGTCAAATGGTAATTTTTGTCAATTTTGTAGAGTTTTAATATTTGTATTGAGGGAGAGGATTTGTTTTCTAAAAGTCCTGCCTCTAGTTAACTTTTTGAACATAACTATGGTCATTTATAATAGTTTTAATGTTCTCATCTGCTCATTTTAATGGCTATGCCAGTTTCAATTGATTAAAATTTCTCATTATTTTACTGCTTCTTTTGATTTCTGCTAATTTTTGTTTATATATCAGACTTAATGAATTTTACCTATTTGAGAGATGGGTATCTTTTCATTTTATTAATATAGTTGAGCCTTGTATTTGAAGTACATATAGTACTTATTTGAAGTACTTATTTGAAAAGAGTTTGATCCTTCCGGGTCTTCGTTTCAGTATTTGTTATAATATGCTTCTGAGTAATATACCTGATCCATATGAATCCGGTTAGTTTCCAGTCTGACAGGTGAGAATATGTAGGCATTATTTCTAGCCCAATGCAAGTGCCTGGCACTATTACTTCATCATTTCAAATTTTGGGTTTTGTTTTTTGTTTTGTTTTTTCCAGGTCTCAGGTAATTTCCTCATATAGGTTTGCTGATGATCACCACTCTGCTGAATACTTGAGGCTATCCTCTGCAGATATCTAGATGTATTTCTTTGTACTCTCTCTTTTCCAGGACTCCTTCCTGTGATCTCTACCCTCTTTGTTTTCTCAGGCTCTCAGGTTTGTCTCCTTAACTTAGAAAATCTGCTGAACTCCCTCTAAGCTTCTCCTCCTTGTACCTTGGCCTGGAAACTCTATCTAGGCAGTAAGTTGGGGGCAACTGTAGATTTCATATCATTTACTTTTCATTAGGGAGCTGACTTTGTTGCCTAATGCCCAGTTTATGGAAAAGTGTTGCTTATGTATTTGGTATAGTATTTTGTTTGTTTCAGACATAAGGATAAATTTGGTTCCTCTTACCCCATCATGAATGGAAGAGTGGAAATCCCTAACTAGTTTTTTTTTTTTTTTCAAAGGAAAATAAAAATCCCTTATTCGCTTGAACAAGTTTACATTGAAGAAGAAGACAACCCCCACCATTGTGGCCAGGGTGTGAAATTAGAATTTAAAGCGTGATCCCCATTACATTTGATACCAATGAGCAAAAAAGAAATCAGCAGAGTAGCAGATGGTATTGTTTGCAGCTCTGGGAGAGACTTGAGGCTCATAGTTATCATCTGCCTGCACGGCATTTTCTCAAACTTAGTATTTAGCAAAGTTTATTGCTGCTAAGCTTATAAGCATTATGAGACAGATTACCAAAGTCCTTCATTCTACCATGTTTTAATTAAAAGAAATGTATATCATGTGTTAGATAGTTATAGAAGCTATGTGAAATATAACTACAATTGCCTATTACTCTTCTTAATAGTCTCTGGGTTTTTTTTTTAAGTTGAATACTTTCTTTTTCAAAAAGAAACGTAAGTTATACAACACACTTTTAAGAGGTCTCTGGGATCCATTGTCAGGCTTCGTGCAAATTCTTACATAAATTCTACCCCTGAACACCTTTATTAAACCTAACTCTTCATGGTTAGTGAAGTTCTCATGAGTGCAGTTGGTGTTTTCTTTTATAGGTCGTAAAATGCTGATGGTTATATATTTTATATTCCCAGAAACACGTTTAGTTAATTTGAGAGCGTTCATTGGCTAAAAGCATCGTAACTACACATACTGAAGTTGAATCAATTGTTAGAGAAATGTCGTGAAATATAGTAAGGGATAATTAATCTCCGCTTTAGATAGAGTTGCAAATAGCACATCTAAATCTATGGATGTATTCCACAACTTGCATAATTCCTATTCAGCGTATCAGGTTGAAACATAAGAAGGTGCCATTCTGTGGGTTAAAACTTGTCAAATTGCAACCTTATACAGTTCAAACTTAGACTCAGGATGACTGTGATTACCACCTTGGCCAACACTGAGATGATGCTCTGCTGATGATCTCCAGAAAAAGAAAACATAGGTATTTCTTTACCATTATTGCTTTTAATATAAAAATGCACAGTGACTACCTTAGTAACTAATACTTCGTTTCCATAATATTTCTGATTATAAAAAACTTAATGTGAACTGAATAAAATATCTCATGAATTCCAACTAAATCTGTAGGCTCAAAAATGTATTTCAAGTGATTTGTAAATTCATACATAGGAATAAAAATATTAGAATAACGAAGATAATTTGGAAAATATTAAGGACAGGGTCTTTGCCCTAGTTCAAAGCTATAATTAAAGTTGTTCATGTAACATAATGAGGAGGAGATTGCCAATGTTTTTTAATAGGTTTGCTATGAAATATCGATGTGTTGTGCTAGGCATAATTCTTCACATTTTTGTGTTTTGGAAATTTTTTAAATCAATAAATTGAAGATAACATTAGTGCTTATTTCTAAAAGATGTTGTAAGGGTTAAATTAGTCTCAATGCATGTAAAATATTTCAAAATCTGTTAGACATATTGAAAGCTTAATAAATGTTGGTTGTTGTTGTCACTATTGTTATTTTAGGTGAATATTTAGTATTTAGGAGTCCTACTGCATGGATGTATATCCTGGCTTGGTAATCTTTTCTCTGTGTCTCAGTTGTCTCATTAGAAAAATGCAGATAAAAGTATTACTTATTTCACAGAGCTGCTGTATCAGTCTGTTTGCAATGCTATAACGGAATACCTTAAGGCAGGTAATTTACAAAGAAAAAAGGTTTCATTGGTTCACGGTTCTGCAGGCTGTATAAGGGTGGCTGTAGCATCTGCTCTTGGTGAGGGCCTTAGGAAGCTTCCAGTCATGGCAGAGGTAAAGGGGTGGGGGGCAAGCATGTCACATGGCAATGCAGAAGCAAGATAGATAGAAGGGTGTGGGGGTATCCCAGAATCTTAACCAGATCACACAATAACTAACTGAGCAATAACTCACTTATCACCAAGGGCATGGTGGTAACCAATCCACGAGGGACCCACCCCCATAATCCAATCACCTCCCACCAGACCCAGCTTCCAACATTGAGAATCACGTTTCAACATGAGATTTGGAGGGGACAAACATCCAAATCATATCAGTTGCTATGGGGATCAAAAGAGTTACTAATATAAATTACTGAAGGAAGTGACTTAGTAAAAACCTCACTAATTCTTAGCTCTAATTGTTACTATTTTCTTTATCATTGTTATCTCTTAACATGGTGTAGGTAAATATTAATGAAACAATAGAAAGAGATGAAGCAAACACATTTATATATGATATTATTATAGGATGACATAATTTGAAGTCAATGGAAAAAAGATAATGGCCAGAAAAGTGAACAACAATCACAGGAAAATAATCAGCATCATTATTAATCCAAGAAATGTTTAAAAGCCAGTGCCATATGTTTCATAATAAAATTGGCAAAAAAGAAAATATATATTATACCCAGTGTATTAGTTTGCTTGGGCTTTCATAACAATCTGCCACAGACTGTATGAGCTAAACAACAGAAACATTTTTCTCACTATTCTGGAGGCTAAAAGTTTGAGATTGAGATGTTGGAAGGGCTGGTTCCTTCTGTGGGCCATGAGGGAAGGCTGTGTTCCAGTTGTTTCTCCTTGGCTTATACATTGCTATCTTCTTCTTGTGTCTTTGTATTATTTTCCCTCTATACATGTGTGTATCCAAATTTTCTAATCTTATAAAGACACCTATCATATTGAATTAGAGTCCATCCTAATGCCTCATTTTAACTTAAATACCTCTTTAAAGATTCTATCTCCAAATATGGTCACATTAGGAGTACTGGGGGGTTAGTGCTTTAACATATTAATTTTGTGGGTGGACAAGATCCAACTAATAATACCCAGCTTTTGACATGGTGAGAAATGAATATTTTCATACCCTGGAAGTCTAAGTTACTACAAGCTTTAAAAATAATAATTTGGAAATTTGCATCAAGAATATTATAATGCGCTCACTTTGGCCATACAATTTTATTGCTAATAATTTGTACTAGAAAAATTTAGTAACAAGATGTCATTGCTGTATAATTCATATTGGCAAAAATGGAAATAAAATCAGTGTCTAAAATATGGATTTTTTTTTCAAAATTATGACCTGTCCACACAATAGGATAATTTATGAGCATTAAATTGAAAATGAGTATTCAGTGATACAGACTGATGTGGGCAGTATCTAGGTAAAGGGGAAATATGTTAAGAGTGGTATTTACTTTTGATAGTATAAATATAATTCAAGTGAGGTGTACATAAATGCAAACTCATGAAATGTCACAGAAAGATTTACAGAAAATATAACATGAGAAGACATACTTTTAAGGAATTGTCTTGATTATATAGGATAAGTGGAAGTTATGAATGCCTTTGAATTTGAAGACTGCAACAATAAGAATCTCTGACAACTGGGTGGGGGGCATCATACTTGTTCTGCAAATGAGACTAGCCACATAGATATCTCTGAGAATTTGGAAGTAAGGGCTGTAGCCTTTGAGACTTCTTCACAAAGATGGGCAAAAAAGATATCCTATTGTTGCTTTATTTGTGACTTTTCTGATAACCAGTGAAAGAAGTACCTCTTCATATAACTACTGGCATTTTGTTGCCCATCTGTGTTAATTGCTTCTTTATATCCACAGCCAAATTCTTTTTGATTCCCCGTTATTTCTTATAACCTAAATAATAATCTCTTGTATTTATTAATTCTTTGAGGTTCTCAACAGTCAGTTATTACTATTTTTCATCTGGGGTCTTTGAGCAGAATTTCCTAATTCTTAATTAATCAAATCTGCATTTGATATGTTTCTAAATCTTTACTTATGTAGCAATACAGAAAAACATTTTTTTGAGGAGAGCAACATTTTATTGTTTATTTGAAAACTGTATCTGAAATGTAGTTTTTGTCATTGCATGCAACAACGTGAGCCAGAAAGAAGGCATGGTAGCCATACCATTCTACTCTACGTAAAATGGACCCTTATAAAATGAATAAAATGACTTGAACATGCTGTGAGAGTGTGGAAAAACTCAGACTTGGGCAACGCAGCCTGTTACATCTAATGTCATAGAGGACTTCTCTGTCATTCTAATATCCTGATTTGTTCTTCCTTATTTTCATCTTTTGAGTTCTTTGCTCTTTTGGACATGTTATAGAACTCCTCAGGGAAGGATATAACAAGATTATAAACTTTGTTTTAGTTGATAACTACAGAGATACTAATATATATAATTCATGTTCTTTCATATTACTGTAGGTGTTCCTTACTCTAAAGAGACAGACTTGCTATCCTCAGATTACCTCTTCCTTTGTCAGAGCCATTTGTCCTAGAGTCTCACCCAAGTCTATTAATAGAAAAATTCAAAATTATACTTTTTCTCTGTATCTCCTAATCAAAACTCTTGAATTCCCAGAACTCTCTATTGAAAAAGTAATGTAATAAAATAATTTTATGATGTTATTTTAGACTAACAGAAGATTAATATTTTAGTACTCTTAAGGTAATTTATATTTATGTTGAACTTATAATTGACAGATTAATTTGAGTAAACATCTTTTAAAAGAAAAAAAGCATTTTGTGAAATCATGAAACCTAAATTGTTTTTATTTAAATAACACTTAAATATGCACAGACATGACCTGGACATAAAGTTTTACTGCTGAGCTTCAAATTTAACTTATACATTAAATATAAGCCAAACTGCAAACCAATGGAAATTTAAATTTAAAATATTATTAAATTACTTAATAAATAATTTAGTTTTCTAGAAATTAAGTTAATGCCCACAATATGGGCAACTGTGCTTCTGCATCATAGGCTCTTGGGTTTGGTTATAACAATAGTGTTCAATAGTATTATTTATGATTGTGGAATCATATCTCCCATCACTTTCCTGAATGTGAACTTCTATAATATCTGTTTGTACTATTTGCTATGTGTTCATTAATTCATTCTCTCTTCTTTTGATTAGCCCATAGCAAGTATAATTGTATAACTTGGCATCAATGTAATTGTAGATAAAGACATAGAGTTATTAAAATTTCTTACCAGTACTTGATGATTATTGAGATAATCTAGGTGGCATGTATATTACTTTTTAAATTGTCAATATAAAAACATAAAAAATTCTCTCAAAGAGCTGGAAGACCTCTATAAATATATTTGCTGGTTTGTAGAATCAGTGACTAACTAAATCACAAAGCACATTTTCCTTACTCTGGAGGTATAGATTAATGGTGGGTCAGACGTTAGACAAAGGTCCCCTCTTCTCCAATTTGCTTGGGATTCATAGAAGATGAATAAAAATATTGAGATACTGATATAAAATGTCAATTTCTTATTCAGCTGAGAAACAAACACTCAAATTGGCCTTTTTTGCCAAATACAATTTATGAACAAGAGACATTTCTACATTAGAAGATTTGCATTTTTAAAAATTGCATAATCTTTCTAGAAAAGACATCTGGCATTCTCACACTCTGTCTCTGTCTCTGTGTGTGTGTGTGTCTTTCTCTGTTTTCATATGTCTATATGGATTTATATATTTTTCAATGTTTATATTTTCTTATTTCACCAAAGCACAGTGAAAAATTTGTCACAGATTAGCATTAGTCTTTGAGACCTATTAATAGACATATTATTCTTCTACCTGTATTTAACTTACACATATTTTAAGGAAATTATTGTAATTCAGGACCATGGAAGACTGTATAACTTAATCACCCCATCGTCAGTCATAAGAAGGTTTGGACACAAGTATCCAAAAATCAATACATTCTTCATTTCTCAAATCTCTAGGACAAATATGAACCAAAACTACCATATTTACTCATTGAACATAGCAGTTGTTTTGGAGGTTGTGGGGCTAAATGCGTAGAAACACACAGTAGCAAAAAAAAAGATTGTTTAAGAAAAATTTAAGTATTTCTTATTCCCATATTGTATCTGCTGCTTTTCAGAGACCATCCAGGTCTAATGACTAGTGAGTCTGGCCCCTCTTTGGACTCAGACGCAAATCCTTGACAATGTCATTCTTTATGTTCTGTGTATAATCTTCCTGATTCCACTAGAAATATTCGGCAGGCTGTACCCTGTTTTTATATCATGGTAACATTCCCCAAGGGAAGAATGGGGCAACAATTGGAGTAAAAAAGAGAGATAGTAAATGTCAGTGAGGCCAAAAAGGGGCAGCATCACCATTTTTTGGATGATCAAAAGTATAATTCACCTCAATTTTTAGTACAAGTCATGATTTTTATGAAAACAAGTGATGATCATTTTTAATATTTTATTGGTCGCATTTTCTACACCGAAGGTAGTTAGATAACCAAGCTGATGTTTTATTTTCAGTGAATAAATATTATACACATTTTCCCCTTTATTTAATTTTTGAATAAATATTAATCTGAACTTTCATATAATACCTGTAAGTATATGAGCTAAGGCAGCCTGGTTAAGAAAAAATTACTTGTTTTAGACAGTAGGCAATTTTATTATCTGTTTTACAGAATATACAACTGCATCTATTTTCTAGATAAAGCAATCAGGGTCTTAGCTGCTACACTAAATATATAATACAATACCTTATTTTAAAATGAAATTAAGAAATTTTATTTGCTTCCTGTGCAAAATCAGCACCATTCTTGCCTTAAAGATGTACTTAAAATATTTTAGAACTAACGCTATAAATCTGAGAACAAATACTTTAAAGGAAACATAAGGCCATTTCAGTTAAGTCAAGCTAAAAATATTCATTCTTTGTAAAGTAATATTTATGATTTATTTTGTTTCCTCTTCCACATAATAACCTTTAGGAAGCCATGATAATCCGTTTCTCTGGTAATTTTAATTCCTTCAGTAGATCTGCTCCCATTATTTTAGACATAATGTAAGTATTTGCATATTGCTATTACTCTTCTCACGTACACAAAGAAATAAACGTGAAATAACAATATACACTCCAGATTTCTATGCCACTAAAGTTCTATATGTTTGAATAAATACTTTTTAGGCGCAGTACAGATATGCAAAGATTTTCAAGCATATTTTTGTGTGAACTCTGATCTATGGATTTCTGAGTTAGGAATGAGAGTGAGAAGTTTGCCCAGTCTTTCTGGTGTCCCAAATATTGCTCTTTTGACATGTTTTCAATATTCAAAGGTTATATTCAAAGAGAAAGAAGAAGAGTGGTGGTGATTACAGAAGCTGCAAGTAAGAAAATAAATAAATATACCTTAACCTAGTATTTTTACTCGAGGAATTTATCCTACCAAGGCAGTCAGAGATATGAACAAAGGAGTCTTTGGGAGATATTCCAGCTTTACTTACACTTGCAAATAATTAGAACAATGTATAATGTGTGTAAATAGCCATGAGGAATTTAAAAAATTATAACATCTATGTTAGAATACTAAAAATAATCGTGTGTAAGTGTATAGTTAGGCATTTATAACTGAAAAAAAAGCAGAGACAAAGTGGTTTGGGTAATGGATGCTAAGAGACATGGAGAGAAACCCAGAGACACAGAGAATATCAAACTTGTTCAGAAAGAAATGTTAACAATAGTCATTCCTCTGTGTGGTGGAATTATGTATGACTTTTCTTTTTCCTTTTTGCTCTCTGTATTATGTTTAGGAATGTAGATAATCCTTTAAAAATTCTCTTATAGAGAAAGATAGGTAACTGCTATCAGTTAGCCACATAGATCAACTACAATAAACTTGATGTATTGCCACCATCAAACATTTGCTGAGAGCTCTTAATATGTAACACATTTAACTAGATGTTCATAATTGCTCAATCTTTGTGTTTCTGTACTTGAATACCTAATGAAAGAGAAATCAGGACATAACATGGAATGGCATATTTTATTTTTGTCTCTGCCTCCCTCCCTCTCTCTCTCTACCCCTCCCTCTCTCTCTCTCACACACACATGCACACACACACACACACACACACACACAGGGCTAAATGATCATTCCTCTAAATAAAAATATCTTACAATAAACTACCATTTTAAATGTAAACTTAGGACAAATGTGAAAACTCTACCAAGAAGCTACTGTTAGTGTCCAGTTAATTGATCTCTGACAAACATATGGCTAAGGTAACTTATAGAGAAGATACAGCAATTGAACCCAGTTTGATCATGCTGACTGAAATCATTAGGTTACCACCCTATGGTTTTAGCAGGCTGAATGCTGAAATCCTTTAAATTGAATGAAGCAAGTTTATTCTGAATAATCCAAATAGAAATCGTCTATTTTTACAAACACTAAAAGTAGAGTTGATCTCAGAAGTTTTGTTAAAAGAGGCTGAATTCATCTTGAGTGTACAGCATTTATATTCCAAATCATACCCTCATTTAAAATTGTCTTCTTCTATAAAGTAAAGCCATTCTTAATTATAGTATGGCTTTGTTTTCCCAAATTGTGTAAATTCCTGAATTGCAATGGCTCATCAAGCATTTTCTGTAAAAGGATAGATAGTAAATGTTTTAGGCTTTGTAGGCCATATGGTCTCTACTGCAATTATTCAACTTGCCACAGCAGCACAGAAGCACCATAGATAATATATGAGTATCTGTCTATACAGTCATGCTCAGTATTACATACATGAGTGTGGACTGCATTCCAATAAAATTTTATTGATAAAGTGGACAGCAAGCTAAATTTGACCTGTGGGCTAAAGATTGCAAACCCAATCTAGATACTTGATTTAATTATCTACCTTAGGACATTTGCTTTTATTTAGTTTTGTAATAATAGTACAGGTGCCTAAATAAACAACTGGTGGGAGGTTATGAACATTAAAGAGCAAAATCAAGAGTTACACAGTTTTATATAAATATCGATGTTCATTCAAAATCCTTCTTAATTTGACAGAGATTAGAATAATGAATTAGCCATAATTTGCTGAAGACTTTGATCCATCCTCAAGCCAATCTCAACACATTTACTGTGTAGTCTGAAAGAAGGTTGTTTAATTTTTATCATGTGTCAGAGGTATTATCTCATTTGTAATCTTTACACCAGTGCTGGCATATATATTTTTATTGTTCTCATCTAAATTGAGATTCATCAAAGTTAAGTAATTCATAAAATGGAAAAGAAAATATTGGATCTACACTATAAATAAATGCTTTTCATTGTGGTTGTATTGGAGAGTCAGTTCTTGAATTAAATCTGTGGGCCCTCTGACTTTGGTACATGTAATTTACAGTTTTATACAGTTGGACAAATAATAGTAAGTTGGAATACGTCACACATTACTTTAATTAATGGAGTGTTAAAAACCTTTTGCTCTTCAGACCATTGTATTAGTCAGGGTTCTCTTAGAGGGACAGAACTAATCGGATATATATACATATATATGTGTGTGTGTATATATATATCCTATTATGATATATATATCCTATATATATATATCCTCTTATCCTATATCCTCCCTCTATATATCCTATTAGTTCTATATCCTATATGTATATATATATATCCTATTAGTTCTGTCCTTCTAAGAGAACCCTGACTAATACTACGGTCTAAAGAGCAAAAGGTTTTTAACACTTCATTAATTAATATAATATATACATACATATATATCCACACATATATAATATATATATCAAAGGAGTTTATTAAGTATTAACTTACATGATCGCAAGGTCTCACAATAGGCTGTCTACAAGCCAAGGGGCAAGGAGAGCCAGTCCAAGTCCCAAAACTGAAGAAGTTGGAGTCTGATGTTCGAGGGCAGGCAGCATCCAGCATGCGTGAAAGATGTAGACTGAGAGGCTGGGCCTGTCTCTCTCTCCTTTTCACCTTTTTCTGCCTGCTTTATATTCACTGGAAGCTGATTAAATTGTGTCCACCAAATTAAGGTTGGATCTGCCTTTCCCAGCCCACTGACTCATATGTTAATCTCTTTTGGCAACACCCACACAGACACACCCGGGATTAATACTTTGTATCCCTCAATCCAATCAAGTTGACACTCAGTATTAACCATCAAAACCCTGTTTATTATTAAATAATCAAAACTGGAACTTGTCTGGCTAACTCATTCATTAGCTGATGTCTGCAAGTTACTTTGTGAACAACTTGCACTGCAAGTTTATTCTTCTAAAATATTCATATATTTCACATGTATGTAAGAATGTTATTTGAGCTAAGAATAACAGGTTTCTCTTCTTAGAAAAACTATTAAGCTGAATTTCATAAAATAAATTAGTAATATCTATGTGGTGTTTCTAAACTTTTTGGATTGGGGATGTTTGCCATTCTAAAGCCTTTACTCAGCTCTCTTCCCAAGTAAACTAGCTAGAAAATGCAAATGGCATGAAACCTAAATGTTAGAATGAGTGTGCGCTTATTCTGCTTCATTAACAGCATAGCAGAACTGTATTTCTGTGAAATTCTGTTTTAATTAAGTTTTAGTAAACATCTCCTGGAAAAGCTAAATGCCATTGATAACATTTCTGTTTTTAGTAAATGCAATATACTGAGCTCTTATATCAGCCTTGACTCTTATTTATTTATTCAACATGATTACCAAGTCCCTTATCTCAGCTAGGCACTATGTATTAATCTATTTTCACATAATAACATGGTAAGTTCAATAACAGAAATTTTGAAAGGATGAAACAGAAGGCAGAAAGAAGACTTTAATTTAGACTGGGGTATCAGGGACAGATTTCTAGATGAAGTGCTGCCAGAGTTCTCTGAATCAATGAGTATATTGGCTAGGTGTGATAAGAAGTGATAAATTAGGAAAGGCAATAGCAAAGGGAGCAGAATGAGCCAGAGTTTAGCAAGAGTTTCCACTCATTCCCTGAGAAAAGAAATGTGGGCCCTGAGGAAGGGTCTCTGGGAAATGGTACATTTAGGGATAGAACTGTTGGGTGGGATAACAAGGTGGGGTGACGATTCTGTAATAGCCACAAAGATAGACCGAGGTTCTGGTGGCAAAATGGACAGGATGTTGAAAGGAACGTCTTTTCTTTTGTCAGGAGTGTAGGAAATTCTAGAAAAATATGAACTCCATGGTTGAGGCCATTGCTTTCTATGCAGATTACGAATGCCAGAGTTCAAGTCAGCTTCCATTGAAGAGTCAAGTAATTTTGTCCTGAAAGCAGGAAAAGCTGCGTAATGTAGCCTTCTCAATTTTTCTTTGTTATAAATATTTATAATTTACCTATTTTGTTTAAAGATATACTTTATCACTGAGACCATCTTCATGAAGAATTTCTGTTTAGTTTTCAGATGTAATACAAATTTACTGACACTAAATCTTCCTATAATGACTAAATTGGCAGGGGAGGTAAAGCAGCAAAAGATATTTAAGGTATGAATGTAATCCCATCTACAATATTTGGGTATGAATTTTGTATATGGCATTCTACATTACATTACATCTACATCTGCATTACATTACATCTACATCACACTACATCTACATTACATTACATTAATTAACGTAATCCTAATAGGAACCAAATGAGGCAGAAAAAATTATACCCACTTTACATATAAGGAAACTGAGACTTAGGTTAACTCAATTCTCTAGCCTTATATAGCTAATAGATGATTAAGCAACATTTAAACTCTTTTACCTTTTGTCGTACTTTAATATCTTAGTAGAGATAAATTCCAGAGCAATAATATGAGTCACAGAAGATTACAGGTACCTCTCTTAAAGCCACGATATAATTTATCTATGTTAATATTCGGAGGTAGAATCCTTAGAAACACTGTTTCAAGAGTCCCTAAGCTGTTCCATATATATCAATTAGAAAAATCCTACCACGTGACAGATTGGATAATTCAGAAATGAAAAAAAAATCACTGTGCCCACTGACTATTTTAGAGTAAGTTTAAAATCCCAAACAAAGTAGCAGGAAAAAAGACACACTGATGCAAACAAATCAAAACCGAAAAGGGGGATATGGTTATATTTCAGTAAAGTAGTCATTATGCAAATTGTTCATAAAATGACTTGGTTAATGTGAATTTAGTTTGTTTTGGCTAAACTGGAATCCAGCCAGGACTCAGGATAGGACTCCAGTGGATGAGCAGCTAGAGAAGAAAACAAGATTAGAAAAGGGAAGGAAGGGAACGTAGAGGACCAACGAGGATTAGGGGCCTCCTACCGACCCTATGTATTTTGTGTTCAATGGGACTGTGTTAATTTTCTGTGGCTGCTGTATCAAGTAACCATCAATGTGGTGGCTTAAACAATGGAAATGTATTCTCTCTCAGTTCTGGAGACCAGAACTTCAAAATCAGTATCACTGGGCTGAAATCAAATGTCAGCAGGGCCTCACTCCTTCCAGACACTCTAGGGGATTATTTGTTCTTGTATCTTCCTGTTTCTTCTCACTGCTGAAATTCCTCAGCTTGTGACCACATCACTTCAACAACTGTGATTGTGGTGTTCTCCTTTTCTATGTGGTCCAATCACCTCACACCTTCCTCTTAAAAGGATAAATTTGATTTTGTTTAGGATCCATCCAAATAATAGAGGATATATTTTGTCATATGGGCAACAGATTCCAGGTATTAGGTTGTGGATATCTTTTGGGGGCTGTTATTCAGCATATCACAAGGACATCGTTTAGAATACTACTTATATCTACATCTGGGTTCTCTGAGATCTAAATATCAAACACTAATTTCTCAATTAGGAAAAAGAATAGGTAGTGAAAGAATACTAATATGGTTTATTGACTGGGAAAAAAGAAAAAATTGACTGTTTTTGGAAATAACCAAGGATTCTTGGGCAAGTCAGGTACCACTAAGCTTCTCAGCTTTCAATGCTACTGCTACTTCCTTTGAGTGATGGTTTTATTCTCCAAAACATTTTCTAGATATCATAGACTGGGTTCCCTTAGAAGCCGACCTACTTACATAGTAGTTTATTTGTACTGCATGTGGATTTTTGGGAATACTTTTCCAGGAGGCTCTTGTAGGAGACTGAAGGGAGGAAATAACAAAACAAAACACTTAAAAAAAAAAACAGGGAAGAAAGTAAATTTTAAAAAGGGTATATAACTAAGTTTCACTAGAGATCTAGAAGGTGATATAGAATCTATGTCATTATGTTATCTCAAACAAAGAGTGAAGAAGTTAGGGCCAGCTCCCGTTAGTTCCTAGTGAGGACTGCTTTCATAGAGGGTTAACTATTCATCATTTTTAACCTGCTATGCATGGGCACAGAGAGGGCTCTAGTGGACAAAAAAAATATACAGGCAAAGAAGCCCAGTGTTATCAAATGGAGGATGGGCCAGTGTGCAGGGAAATAGTAATTGCTAAGCAGAGGTTGGCGCAACATTGACATTATCTACAATACTATATCTACGGCTATTGCCAGCTTTGGGTGTCACATTACTTGTACTTTCACCATCTAAGTGAAAATGGCTCGTACTCCAATTCAAATTTTAAAAATCTAAGAAAAGAGTCTATTAGAGCTGACATTTGTCAATACTTGAATAAATTCCCATGAGTTAGGGAAATGGGTTCTTGAAGAGACAACTCCATCAGGCTACATGTTCTGGACTTGGGAGAAGCAGTTTATAACTAAAGGTATATGATGTTATCAGAAGAGAACCATTTTGCTTTTGTCTGTTTTGTTTACAGGCAATAAAAAGGTCAATGTAGTGAATGGGGCCCAAAATTCAGGTAAGTTAGTCTTCATGGGTAAACCTCACAACTCACTGTGATTTATCTAGCTTAATACTAGTTTGCAGGTAGCACTTGAGCACATATAAAATGGGCTATAAGAGAAGAGTAAGATGAGGACTAGTCATGGTGTGAGGATTCTAGGAAAATAGCTGGCGTCAATTGAGTTTCAGTTAAACTGAAGTACAATCATAATTTTAGCCACATGTCTAGTTACAATGAGTAGGCAAACATGGCACTCCTGTAAACCCTTACTACAACTGAGTGAATGTGATACTGACATAGACTCACCACATACATACCATATAGTGGAGTAAGAACAGATTTGATAGTTTCAAGTACTACCACTTCTGATGAGAAAGCTTATGTTGTTCTAGTTAGGTGAAAATTATTTTAAGTCCTTGCCCATAATTTGGAGGCCTCAGTTTCTCCAGCTATAAAAACTTAGAAGAAGCAAGAATTAATATTCCCTACAACAATGAGGCTAAAGTATCATCTTTCTACTATATTTTTATTAGAGAATTATTTATAATAAGTTCAATTTCAAAACTATTGTGACCTTAACATTCATTTTAAATAGGCTGCTATGCACTCCAAAATCTGAGAAGATAGTTGTAGGTACTACAACACCCCTAATCTAGTTTTAATTATTTTGGACAGAAGGAAAAAAGGACCCGAATGAGTTTTCATTTATCCTTTTGTAACTGCACATATGCAGTCTGTATAAGGACAATTTTATAAAGTTTTGCTTTTCTGTAGAAATATTAAGATCTGCTACTTTTACATTTTATTTTCATGCTTCTAGGGTTTGCTATAGAACTTTAATGTTCATGCCTTGGTTTCACAGGATTAAATATTAAACAATATCACTAACTAGATATGGTACATTTACTTTCCAAGTAATTGGATTGTGGATGAACCTGCTGCTCTTGTTCATTAGTCTGTAACTTCATAAGACTTTAACTCTATTCTCCTTTTACAACACTGCAATTTGGAAAGTTTCCATAGAGCTGAGAGCGGCTGAAAATAGTTGGATATGGCATTACATTGCTTTTGGAATGCTGGTATCAAGTTCATCAACAAAGGTGTCATACTATCAGTGTGGAACTGTTACATATAGCATGCAAAATCATTCAAAATTTCCCACCAAAACATTCATGTTACCATTAGTAATTTATACTAGTTTTACTTTATTTTAAAAATTAGTTTCCACCTTATTGTTAAAGTGATATATGTTTATTGCAGAAGATGTGAAAAATTGAAGAAAATAAAATTATCTTTATTTAGAGATTATCATTGCTAATAGTCTCTTGTTTATATGTATATTTTAATGAAGTTCTTATAATTTTATAAATATAAAATACATTCTGTATTCCTTTTAACAGTATATTATGAGCATTTTCTATACTTTAAAATTCTTCGTAAGTGTATTTTATAATAGTGCTTACTCTTTATGTTTATAGATGCACCATGATGTAATCATTCATTGCAGGACATTTGGCTTGCTTCCAACTGTTTGCTGCCATAAATAATGGCATGATAAAATCTCTGTACATTAATCTTTGTCCCCATTTCTGATAATTTCTTTAGGAGAGATTCCCAGAAATGGAATTGCTGGGTCAAAGAGAATGAATATGTTTAAGATCTTTGATATATTTCCAAATTTGCTTCCATAAGTCTTTGTGAATTTGTATAACCACCATGAGTTTATAACCAGGCCTGTCTTACTCACTAAGTTCTGTCAGATTTGTATGTTAAAAAGTGTTTTAATTAACTGCCCAATACTACTGTGATATTTGATTAAGTTACGATACCATCACTAGATGGAATAATATGCATTTCATTACAATTAAAATTATTGCAACATTAAACTTACTGATGATACACTATTAAGTAAAACACATGAGATGAAATGGACTATACTCTAGCATTGCAAATATTCAAGTAGGTAGGCATATAGAAATTACTGGACAAAGATGATGACCAATAAAAATAAAACTTAGTAATAATAGATTACCTTAATAACTGACAGCTTACTGTGTAGTTAATGTACAACAGTATAATGTTAAGTGCTTAAAATTCATGATTATATTCTATTTTATAATAGCTATATGAAGGGAGTCCTGATGCTCGAAGATTCTATACAAAGGTCTCATAATCATACAGGATTTCAGTATGGTTCTGGAATTTATACCCAGGTTGCTGGCTTCAACCTCAATTAGGGTAGTAAACTTTCATTTAAATCTCTTAAACATTTTTCTGTTTTCTAAACCTTGTAAAATGCTGCTGAATTTTCTTTATAGCAGAGTAATGTAAAATGGTACATTTAAGAGAAACCACAATGAAAAAGCTTCTTATAATATCTTAGAAAAGAAAGAAGTCACTAAAAACCAAATAAAGGAACTACATATACATTAAACTAAATAGAAAATATAATATTTGGAAAAACGTGAAATAATAATATTTGACCTAACCATTACTCAGTGAAATCCAAGCAAAGCAATAAAATAGCATTCGTTCAAGCTAATCTGAGGATGAAGAATCACTAAACTTTGCCCAGGATTCACTCTTCATATTTTATTATTAAGACAGTAGCATAAATAATTATTTTAATATAACAAATTCTCTATCCTTATTGCTATAAGTAAAGATGCATTATAGTAAATAACTAGGCCAATTCTTAATATAATTCAGGAATTTGTTTTCTTAAATATTCAGTACATTTAACATTTTCTATTGAAATGATAAAAATTATTCTTTAATTCATTCAAAAGTTATTTACTGGCTGTTTACCAGGTGCTAGGCATTATTGCTGAAGCTCTGGATATATGACCACATTTAATGAACAAAATTACCTGCCCTCAGCTATCTTATATTCTAATATGAAATACAGAAAATAAGCACAATAAATATGCAAATGTGAAATATATGCACATATGTGTATATATAGCATGCAAAGTTTCAATTGAGGGCAATAGAGGGCATAGCTTATGTTCTCTTCTTTACTCTGAAATTCAAAGAGCCAATCTTCCTGCAACTCACCAATCCAAATCACCAAAGCCAGTCTTGCCTATCGTATTCTATTTTGCTATATGCTAACAATAAGGCATAGAAGAGCAATATAACAAATAGGAGAGGAAATATTGAACTTTGAGATAAAATAGCTAAAGAAAGCATAACTGAGAAAGTGATCTGAAAGTATATAGCTCAAAGAAGTAAGTAAGTGCTCTATAAGAAAATATGTGGGTAGAGCGTTTAGGACAGGGGCAAGTAATCCCTGAAAAGACCCTATGATGGAGGATTATTGGATTGCTCAAAGAAGGGCAGAAAGACTGGTGTAAGTGCAACAGCATAATTAGGGGAGGGGAACAGGAAATCAGAGAAGTAATGAGGTCCACAAGTGATTTTGGAATCAATGACCATATACCCCATGTTTAAGCCTATTTTTTTGGTGTGATTGTCAATAACACTATTTTCACTCTCAAGTGTTCCAGTTTGGATGATATGTCTCCATGACTGTATTAATGGAGTTTGACATTTATCTTTTATTTATTTATTTATTTATTATTATTATACTTTAAGTTTTAGGGTACATGTGCACAATGTGCAGGTTAGTTACATATGTATACATGTGCCATGCTGGTGCGCTGCACCCACTAACTCGTCATCTAGCATTAGTTATATCTCCCAATGTTATCCCTCCCCTCTCCCCCCACCCCACAACAGTCCCCAGAGTGTGATGTTCCCCTTCCTGTGTCCATGTGTTCTCATTGTTCAATTCCCACCTATGAGTGAGAATATGCGGTGTTTAGTTTTTTGTTCTTGCGATAGTTTACTGAGAATGATGATTTCCAGTTTCATCCATGTCCCTACAAAGGACATGAACTCATCATTTTTTATGGCTGCATAGTATTCCATGGTGTATATGTGCCACATTTTCTTAATCCAGTCTATCATTGTTGGACATTTGTGTTGGTTCCAAGTCTTTGCTATTGTGAATAATGCCACAATTAACATACGTGTGCATTGTGTCTTTATAGCAGCATGATTTATAGTCCTTTGGGTATATACCCAGTAATGGGATGGCTGGGTCAAATGGTATTTCTAGTTCTAGATCCCTGAGGAATCGCCACACTGACTTCCACAATGGGTGAACTAGTTTACAGTCCCACCAACAGTGTAAAAGTGTTCCTATTTCTCCACATCCTCTCCAGCACCTGTTGTTTCCTGACTTTTTAATGATTGCCATTCTAACTGGTGTGAGATGGTATCTCATTGTGGTTTTGATTTGCATTTCTCTGATGGCCAGTGATGATGAGCATTTTTTCATGTGTTTTTCGGCTGCATAAATGTCTTCTTTTGAGAAGTGTCTGTTCATGTCCTTCGCTCACTTTTTGATGGGGTTGTTTGTTTTTTTCTTGTAAATTTGTTTGAGTTCACTGTAGATTCTGGATATTAGCCCTTTGTCAGATGAGTGGGTTGTGAAAATTTTCTCCCATTTATCTTAATAGGGTTTGCCATTGGATGGTTTGAGCAGACGGATGACATGGTCTGTCATATGCTTTACCTGAGTAAGTCTGATGTCTTTGTTCAGAGTAGACTGAAGAAGGGCAAGAGATGAAATAGAAAGACTGTTTAGGAAGCTACTGAAATAATCCAAGGAAGATGGCCTGAACCAAAGGGATAGAGGTGGGGGTGGTGGCAAGAGGTTAAATTCTAGATTTACTTAGAAAGAGGAGTAGAACATGTATGCTGGCAAATTAGTCATGAAAGGAGAATCCAGGATTATACTAAGGTATGTTTTAGTAAACTTTTTTTGAAATAATTTTAGATTTACTGAAAGCTTTACAGATTTACAGAAAGCTTTCAAAAATAATAAAAAGAATTCCAATATACTCTTTATTTGGACTCACCAAATACTAAACTTTTATCATATTTGTTCTATCAATCTCTTTATATATAGGTGTGTATGTGTGTGTAATTAATATCACTATTTGTATTAATAACTATCTGAGAGGAAGCTGCAGACAGTTATTCCTATACATATTGAATTTGAACAATATGTGTTTTCTGAAAGAAAAAAGAAATCATGTTACCATACCACAACATAATTATATAATCAAAACAGGACATTCAACTTGATATGATGGTATTATCTTACCTACAGAAATTATTATTTAAATTTATCCAAAGGTAACACTATGTTTTGAAGCATTTTTTAAGAGGCTGCCCAGATTATATCACATTTAGTTGTCATGCATTTTTCATCATTTAAAATTTGGAATAATTCCTGTCTCATCCTTTGTCTTTCATGAACTTGCTGTTTTAAGAGTACAGGTTAGTTATTTTGTGGAATGTACCCCAAGTTGGATTTTTATAATATTTTATCTTGTTTACATTGTAAGTGATATTACTAGCAGTAACAAATCTGTATGGGCCTTCTGCACCCTCAGTTCTTCCTCCTCAGAGAAAGAATTCGACCGAGGGGCATAAGGCAGAAGGAGAGACCAAGGCACCATTTAGAGCAGGAGTGAAAGCTTATTAAGAAAGTTTTAGAGCAGGATTCTGAAGTACACTTGGAAGAGGGCCAAGTGGGTGACTTGAGAGGTTCAAGTAAACATTTTGACCTTTGACTTAGGGTTTTATATTTTGGCTTACTTCTGGGGCCTTGTGTTCCTTCTGCTGACTCTTCCCTTGGGGTGGGCTGTCCACATGCACAGTGGCCTGCTAGACTTTGGCACGGGCGCACGCGCAGTGTGTTTACTGGCATTGTACACATGTCCACTTGAGGTATTTTTCCCTTATCAGTACAGTGTTCCTAGAGGAAGGTCATCAGCCATTCTGCCTCTTAGTGCACATGCCTGAGTCCACTTGCTCAACTCCTGAGATCTTACCGGGAAGCTGCTGATCACCAGTTTCAGGTGCTTTTGTCTCTTGAAAGACTTCCTTTCCCTGGTGCTGGCTGTGGCCAATTACTATTATTCCTTTAGAGAGACAGTGTAACAACTGCCTAACCATCACCTGATGGTTGCCTGACATTCCTGGTGGTGGTGGCGGCGGGGGGGGGGGGCGTTGGGGGGGCGTTGGGGGGGCACTTCCTGCCCTGCTCATGTCTGCCTAGTAACCTACTATAACAACATTGTGTTATTCTCAGTACTTCCTGTCAGGATGTCATGATGTCAAGTTGTCCCATTGCTGATTATGTTAACCTTGGCCACTGGGTTAAGATGGTATCTGCCAAATTTTCAATTGTAAAGTTAAAACTTAAATTTTGTCCTTAAGTATCTTCTTTCCCAATTATTTTGGCATCCATTGATTAGCTTTGCCTTAATTGATTATTACTAGTATGGCTTTCAAATGATTTTATAATTCTGTCAATCTTTTTACATCCATTAGGGTGCATTGCATTGTAAGGAAAAGCTTTTTAGTCTTTTCCACGTTTTTATTCATCTACAGCACTATGAATGCATAGACTTACATTCTAATAAAAAAGGTATAAAGATCTACGTTCTTTTTTTTGTTCACATAATTTCTGATTTGGCCAGTGAAAACTCCTTCAAAATGTGTCCTTTTGACTAATCCCCAACATTCTTTAACACTTCTTTACACTTTGAGAATACAAGATGTTACAAGTTTCACAATGTAATTTCCCAGGCAGTGACCATGGGTAGACGCGCACACACACACACACACACACACACACACACACACACACACACAGTCACACTGTCAACAAATATTGGAAGCCATTGAATTTTAGAATCAAAATAGAGAGGGGTATGGTTACCTTGGAGATTGAACATGATGCACATGAATAGGCTGCTTTATATACATAGAGACTGAAATGGCATCCCTCAGTATATGTGAAAAGAGAAAAAATGCAGTCATTGATTTGGATGTTTGGGGTCTCATTCTGCCAAACGTCTGGCTCTTTGGAGGCACACTTGGAGGCTTGTGCCAAACAAAAAGTGCTGCTTGCTTCATTCATCTCTGGTTCCAGGCCAAGAAAGACAGATTTGAGTCTCAAAATCATAATCAGGAGCTGTGTTTTATGTGTTTTTTTCTTTCTTTGGCATGAAGATTTTCTCATCACTCTCTGCTCTTCTTTAAGTCCTTTCTCTGTTCCCCCAAACGCTTCCCTTTAAAAGATTCTCAGAACTCTTGAGGCCCAACTCTGATATGTGGCTTCCTATTTTACATAAGCGACTTTTGAACAGATGCTATTTCTAAGTGGGGAAGGAAACATACTGGCATATTATTTTTGAGGGAAAAGTTAAAGATTATTAATATTGCTAACTATATTTAGCAAAAAGTATTACTTTCTTCTATAGGTTTGCTAACTCGTTTTTGCTATTCTAGGACCAGCAACTATGAACACATTATCTTACTTTCTATGAACAACAGAAAAAAAAGCAAACACAGTTTGACTTGTAAGTCATTGCAAAGAAACAGACCATATGTTTCACATTGTGCCAAAGCTTCACAATGAAAAATTTTAAGACAGAATGAAAATGTAGATGAAAAAGAAAGGAAGGAAGAAGTGGAAGGAGAGAGGGAGGTAGGTAAGAAGAAAGGAGGAAAGGGAGAGTTCATTCATTTTCTCTTCCTGAATGATAACTAATAACAAATAGTCTTTTCAAGTCATGTCTTCATCTTTACTTTTCTTCCTTTAAATATGATATATTTCTACCCCCTTCTTATTTCTTGCAGTAAATCCATGAATAAAAAAGCCATGTTGATCTGTATTAGCTCTCAATATGACATTATAATGTGACAGAAATTGGGATGATGATAGTAAAATGATATCAAAGCAGATGACCCAAACTAAAGTTATTTTTTCTATCTCCAGTTTGATAAATGAATAAAAAGCACTGCAAGTTTATCTCCAAATTTTCCTTAAAATTAAAATACATAATTCTTGACTGTGTTTAAGCAATACACTTCTGATTTATTTACACTACTTTATGTTAAAATGATTTTTACTCTCCTTGACAAATTTAAGAAGTATTTTGTCTCAACAAGTCACTTTAAGATTTTGTCAGAAGGCTACAATCCAAGTCATAACTTAAAACCTGTAATTTTCAGGCATTCAGTTAGGTTCAAACCATTTAGAAAGTTGTTATTTTTTTCCCCTACATCACACAGGTGATTACAACATTTGCCATAAGGGGTGATTACCAGTGGTTTTAAACAGGTTGAAATAACAAAAAAATTAAAAAATTAAGGTCAAAATAAATTGGAGCAGAAAATAATTTATACTTTTGTAACCAAAATGTTTCTTTCTTAGCAATAGTAAAAATTGCTTTTTCCCTTGTTGGTTTCCTCAAAATTTTAAACTGTGATTTTTCTGTCCATCAAATCTAAATTTGAATAACTAATCACATTGTTTTTAGATTTGTGGAAGCATACTTAATTTGTAAATTCCCAAGGCATAAGAAGTTAGCTTATAGGTCACATTACTTCTGATTTTTTTAAAAGTATGTATGCCTGGAAAATAAATATTTACATTTGGACAGAAAACACATCATACTGAAACCAAGAATGAAGGATTGGAAAGGTGCATTTAGGAGCACAGACTAAAAAATAATTAGGAGTTGAATAAAGCTCCTTGTAACTTTAATGAAAAATTAATTTAAAAGGGAGCCATATTCAAGAAATATCAAGAGTGATTCCTTCAATGTTCATACACCAAAACCATCACCAGAGCAATAAATTACGCATTATAAATGATAATGCAAGTTTCTGTTGATACTTAAAAGAGATTTTTGCATTGTGATGAAACCCTGGCTAGATACAAAGTATATATATCTAAATATATACAGATGTGTGTGTGTATATACAGATGTATATGTATATGTATTTTTGTATGTTTGTATATTAATATATTCATATGCATTTTAATATATGTACTTATTTGATTATAAATACCCATATGTATACATAAGTGTGCTTATATGTATATATGTATTCATATATACATGGAAGCATGTGAATATATGCATACATATACACATAGATATGAATTTATATGAAATATTATTAATGCATATGAAAATAACCTAACAATCCTCCTGTTTCTAAAAAATGAAATCATCTCTGCTTTACACCTTAAAATCATGTCAGCATCCTAATATCACATTGTGTAATGCACAGTGATTACAATGAATAACTGTATTAATTTTTCAATCTAAAAAATATGTTTTGGCACAACCGGGAAATTAAGAAAGGATGTGCAGGACAGGTCAAATATAAAAATGATCTATTTTCTCCACTATTTGCTGATCTATTAATCTGTCATGACACTGCCTATGATATTTATGTCTGCCTGGAAACAATAAAAGTTCACTTTTTGTTTTTCCAAAAAGTTGTTATGTTATGTTGACATTTTCACCCTGGAGGAAAGCCACACTGCACTGAACATATGTTGCAAATTGCTTCATCCATGTTAAATCTGCTTAAATAAGCTACCTGCAGTGTTCAAAAATAGAATCACAGGAATATATTTTGAGCATATATATGACCGTCCAAAAGAGTTCAAATGGAAATTTAATTTAAATAAAATCCATTTAATTTGTTGATATAATTAAAAACATGTATCTAAATTTCATTCTCGACATTTTAAGTTTAGAAAAAGTTATGGGAAGAAACGGAGCTAAGTTGTTTTTTAGCCTTGTATATTTGTAAACCTGTGAGCCTGGACCATGTTGGGCCTTCAACAAATATCTGTTGCACTGAAATGTTGAAAATTTTAAAGCCTCAAATATAAAACCATCTTAAATACTATTTAAGGTATGTACTCTTTTAAGCAACATATAGATAATTTTCTTTCTGTATAATTGAGTCTGATTATTGTTGCTTAATTGGGGTAATTACTAATAAATATCAATTTAAATGTGCCATTTACTGTAAGTTTTCTCTTTATACAACCTGTTCTATATTTCTTTCCTTGTTCTTTTCTTTTTATTGCTTTTAAATTAATTGATTTAATTATCCACTTACCCCTCTTGTAGCTTATTATGTACTCATTCTTTTCCATCCATGTAAGGTTTACCCTATATATTACAATGTGGAATTTTAACCTATTACAATTTAACATAAATAAGTAATTGTAATCACTCAATAGTTAACGGGAAGATCTTACAAATACTGAACACATTTAACCTCCTCTAAACTGATGTAATAATATTGGCTTATTTTTAGTTGTGTTTTTCTGTCTGTAGTGTAATATGATAAAATGTAAAGATCTAAAATTACAAATGTATCATAGCTTCTGTTTTAGGCAGATAATCTTATTTAAATTTCATCACATAATTGCCATTTTCACAGCTCTTTATTTCTCCTTCATTTTTGACCTGGAATCTACAGTCAGTTTTCCCCTACCTGAGGCACTCCTTTTGATAATTCTATAAGTACAAGTTTGCCGGTAAAAATTTTTGCTCAGATTTTGACTTTTTGAAAATGTTTTCATTTGCCTCCTTTTTTTGAATAACACATTTTTATTGGGGTAAAACGCACATCACATAAAATTTACCCTAGTAACTATTTTTAAGTATACACTTCAGTTGTATTAATACATTCATGTTGTTGTGTGACCATCACCATCAACCATCTCCAGAACTCTTTTCATTTTACAAAAAGACTGGAAAGTTTAATCCATTTACATTTAAGCAATTACTGATAAAAGGGGTCTTGTGTCATTTTTCTGTTTATTTTGTATATGCCTTACAGTATTTTCATACCTAATTTTCTACATTATTCTTTTCTTTTGTGTCTAGATATTTTTTGGCAATGAACTGTTTTAATCCCTTTTGTCTAAATTTAATATTATTTTCTTGTGTAGGCACAATGATAATTACATGTAATGTCTCAATGTTTGATTCCAACGTGAATTTACTCTAGTTTAACTTCAAGAATATACAAAAACTCTGTTTCTATACAGCTCTGTCCCCACCAACTTTCAGTTATTGATGTTACAAAATTACATCTTTATACATTGTGTATCTAAATACATACAGTAATGATTGTCCTTCAATACACTAATCTCTTAAATTACATAGAAAAAAAGTGCAGCTACCAACTGAAGTTACAATAATTCTAATTTTTAAACTAAAAGTAGTTTTTTAAAAAACTATTGGCCTGTTACATCATGTAGAAAACAAAGGTGTAATTATAAACCAATATTAAATTAATACTTGATTTTATAACTGTCAATGTATTTATCTTTACTCACATCTATGTTTATTCATATGGCTTTAAGTTACTGTCTAAAGTCAGGGATTCAGTCCAGGTCCATTTGGTCACTGAACAGAAAGCCAATCACTGAGAGAATGAGTGTTGCCAGTGAAGAAGGCTTTAATCAACTACTTCAATCAAGGAGATGGAAAATCAATCTAAAATCAATCTGCCTGACCAACTAAAATTGAGGATTTATACAGCAGGAAATAAATTTAACCATGTGTGGGGAAAGCAGGAATCAGGGAGGGGTAAGGAAGAGAAATTGGTCAACCAGAGCAGGTAGTTGGTTAGGCAGTCATGATGAGGTGTCTAGTGCCTCATTGTCCAGATGTGGCGATCTGCTAAGTTTCTGTTCCTTCACACTGGCTGGGAGGCCTGATGGTTGGTTTCCTGAGAAAGGAACTCAGATAAGACAAATGTAACTTTATAAAGTTTTAAGATGAGGGGAGTCCATTTCTATGTTTATTTAAAAAAAACCCATAAAAATCAGTTTTATAGGACAATTGAGCTAGGTTCTCTAAGTTCCTTTCATGACAGTCTTTTAGATTTCTTGCAGGGGATGTATAATGCTAAAAAAATTCCCTCAGCTTTTGTTTATCTGGAAATATTTTCATTTCTCCCTCACCTTTGAAAAACAGTTTTGCCAAATGTAGGATTCTTGGCGGATCCCTTTATTTTTTTTTTCTTTCAGCATTTTGAATTATCAGCCCATTGACTTCTGGCCTGCAAAAATTCTGATGAGAAATCTGTTGACAATCTTGTTGATGGTCCCTTGTTATGTGATGAGCCACTATTGACTTGCTCCTTCAAATATTCTCTCTCTGTCTTTGTCTTTTGATAATTTGATTACAATGCCTTGGTATTGGTTTGTTTGAATTCATCATCTTGGAGTTCACTGAGTCTCTTGGATGATTATATTCATCTTTCACCAACTTTGGGAAGTTTTTGTCTATTATTTCTTTAACTAGTTCTTCTGTTCCTTTTTCTGTATTTTTTCTTCTGGGAATCCCAGAATGTGTATGTTGGTCTGCTTGATGGTGTCCTACAGGCACCTTAGATTCTGTTCACTTTTCTTCAATCATTTTTGTTCTTTATACTCCTTAATTTCAATTGTCTTATATTCAAGTTCACTAATTCTTCTGTCTGCCTAAATATGCCTTTGAATTCCTTTAGGGAGTATTTCATTTCAGTTATTGCACTTTTCAGCTCCAGAAATTTTTGGTTGCTTTTTAAGTTTCTTATTTCTTTATTTATATTTACATTTTGTAAGTGTACATTTACAAATGTATGAACAAATTTATATTTGTTCCTACACTGTTTTCTTGACTTTCTCCACAGGGTCTTTCAGTTTTTAAGGATGTCTTAAACTACATCTTTAAGACAGTAGTTCTGTATAATAGTATTTGTCTAGAAGACCACCACATGGCCTTTCTTAGAGAAAGTTTTGTGTCCAGAATTGATGGGTTCTTGGTCTTGCTGACTTCAAGAATGAAGCCACGGACTCTCGCAGTGAGTGTTACAGTTCTTAAAGATGGTGCATCCGGAGTTTGTTCCTTCTGATGTTCAGACATGTCCAGAGTTTCTTCCTTCTGGTGGGATCGTGGTCTCATTGACTTCAGGAGTGAAGCTGTAGACCTTCGCAGTGAGTGTTACAGTTCATAAAGATGGCACGTCTGGAGTTGTAGATTCCTCCCGGTGGGTTCGTGGTCTCGCTGACTTCAGGAGTGAAGCTGCAGACCTTCACGGTGCATGTTACAGCTCTTAAAGGCAGTGCGTCTGGAGTTGTTTGTTCCTCCCAGCGGGTTGGTGGTCTTGCTGACTTCAGGAGTGAAGCTGCAGACCTTTGTGGTGAGTGTTACAGCTCATAAAGGTGGCTCAGACCCAAAGAGTGAGCAGCAGCAAGATTTATTGTGAAGGGCAAAAGAACAAGGCTTCCACAGTGTGGAAGTGGACCCAAGCAGGTTGCTGCTGCTGGCTTGGGTGGCCTGCTTTTATTCCCTTATTTGGCCCCACCCATATCCTGCTGATTGGTCCATTTTACAGAGTGCTGATTGGTCCATTCTACAGAGTGCCGATTGGTCCGTTTTACAGAGTACTGATTGGTCTGTTTTACAGAGTGCTGATTGGTGCATTTACAATCCTTTAGCTAGACAGAAAAGTTCTCCAGGTCCCCACCAGATTAGCTAGACACAGAGTGCTGATTGGTGTGTTTACAAACCTTTAGCTAGACACAGAGTGCTGATCGGTGCTTTTACAATCCTTTAGCTAGACAGAACATTTCTCCAATCCCCACCTGATTAGCTCGACACAGAGCGCTGATTGGTGCATTTACAGTCCTTTAGCTAGACAGAAAAGTCCTCCAAGTCCCCACCCAATTAGCTAGACACACAGTGCTGATTGGTGCATTTACAACCCTTTGTCTTAGCTAGACAGAAAAGTTCTCCAAGTCCCCACATGACCCAGAAGCCCAGCCAGCTTCACCTCTCAATTCCCCCTCTAAACACGACACCCCAACTGCTGTTGGGAATTTGGCCGATGACCGCTCTAGTTACTTCCTGCTGGATAGGGGCAAAGAAGGGGCCCTGCAGTTGTAGTGTCCTCCAGAGGGGAACTCTTTAGACCAGTGGAAGGGCCAGTGGGTCAGTCCAGGGGCTGTCAGTAGAAGTTGTTAGTTGAACTCATTTGGGGTTCCATTTGTAAGACCACCTGTAGCTTGATGGCCTCGATTCTAGAGGAAACAAATTTGACAAGAAGGTTAAAAATACAGGGCCCAAAGGTGAGTAACAGCAAGATGGCTGCCATGGTACCTAGAAAGGGGAAAAGCCATGTTGCCCAACTCCAGAGGTTGGTATAAGAGTTTGAAAGGCATTGTCTGATTTCAGAAGCCTTTTCCTGTAAATGCTGGGCGGCTTCTCCTACTATCCCTGACTGGTTAGTGTGAAAACAACACTCTTCCCCTAAGAAGGTGCAGAGTCCTCCTTTCTCAGCAGTGAGGAGGTCTAGGCCTCGGCGGTTTTGGAGAGTCACTGCTGCCAGAGTCTATTTGGGATTGTAAAGTAAGGATAGATTTCGTTATTTCCTACAAATTGTCTGAGAAATCCTTTGAGAGTGTGTGGTAGTAGGATAATGAAGTAGATAAACCAGCAATCTTATTACCAGTTGTATACCCAAAGGAATATAAATGGTTCTACCATAAAGATACATGAGTGCATATGTTCATCAAAGCACTATTCACAATAGCAAAGCCATAGAATCAAGCTACTTGCTCATCAGTGGTGGAGTGGGTAAAGAAAATGTGGTACATATATACTATGGAATACTGTGCAGCCATAAAAAAACAAAATCATATTCTTTGCAGCAACATGGATGTAGCTGGAGGTCATTATCTTAAATGAATTAACACAGAAACAGAAAATCAAATACAGCATGTTTTCACTTATAAGTGGGAGCTAATCATTGGGCAATGTGGACGTAAAGCTGGCAGTGATAGAAGCTGGGGACTTCTAGAGGGGGGAGAGAGAAAGGAGGGCAAGGGTTGAAAAACTAACTCTCGGGTACTATGCTCACTAACTGGGTGATGAAACCATTTGTACACCAAACTCCCGTGACACACAATTTACCCAAGTGACAAACCTTTTTTTTTTTTTTCTTTCTAGCCCTGGGAGACTGGTGAAAGCTGTAATTAATCTCTTAGCCTTCACCTACAAATTGAGGAGAAATGTGGTATTGAATATGGGGCTCTTAGCTTGGATCATCCAAGAATCAGACAAAAAGACAAGATCAGGCACTGAACGAATACATTGGCTAGAATGTTTGCGAAGCAAGGGGGTGGGTACTGAAGAAGGTGGAGGGATCCTTTGGATCTAACTCCTGTGAGAAAGAAAGGGAAGGGTGGAGAGCTGTGTAGGAAGGAGCTCAGGCTATACCACAGTTATAAAAATATTTCGTGTAGTCTGATGTGGAGTCCTCAAGACTTACACTAATTGGCCTGAATTAATATCTCTGCCATGTTCAGTAATTGGCTGAAATTGGCCTATTATATGAGTGTCTTCAGCATAAATGCCATGATAAATTGATAAAAGCAGAAGTTAGAATGATCAGTTATTCTCCCTTTAGCAAAAAATCTCAGAGGGGCATTTTTATAATCACCAACAGGCTCCTATGCTAGCTATGTTTCTTTTCTCTCCACATGGTCATCTTGTCCTTTAAATCCTCTTTGCTTTTATATAGATTTGTGTGTATATACGTAAATGTGTGTATATATGTGTGTGTTTGTGTATATATATGAACACACATCTGTATACACAAACACACACAAAGAGAAAGAAAGACGGAGAGATATATTCTGAATTTTTACTTTTTCTTAGAATAAAATTGATTTAATAAAACTGGTTCATAATAGCTGAAGAGTATAATACCATTTTGAATTTGTTTTTATAATTTCATCTTCAGTTTATTTAAAATGTAATTTAAAATGTGATGTTCTTTGTGTATGGCAATTCAATATGTTATCTGAGCTGAATTCACAAATAATCCACTGAAAAACTATAGAAAATAATGAAAGATATTAAGTTTGGAAAGGACACATTTCCAAATATTTCAAGGATGTCATCTGAGGGTAATTAGAATTTTTTAGCTCAAAATAAAACAAGGATGAAAAGTCACATTAAGATATAGTTTTAGTCAAAATAAGGCTTAACTCGCTAAAATGTCAGTAACTAAAATTTTCCAATCTTGTCATATATAGCTGAATGACTAATTAGTTTAAACAGAAACTAAACGATAATTTATAAAGATCATGGCAATGATTCCTGCTTTGCTGAGAACCTGAATGTGAAATCAGAGGTCATTTAGGAACCAAGAGACCTTCCAATTGTGTTTCTTAGATCTACTCCCTTCTAAGAATTTATTATAAGATGTTTTGTGGGCTGGGCATGGTGTTTCAAGCCTGTAATCCCAGTGCTTTGAGTGCATGAGACAGGAAGATTGTTTAAGGTCAGGAGTTCCGGACAGCCTGGGCAACTTTTATGAAGACCCGGTTGCTACAAAAAATTAAAAGAGAAAAAAAAAAGCCAGGTGTGGTGGCACATTTGTAACACTATCTACATTGGAGGCCAAGGCAGGAGAATCACTTAAACCCAGGAATTCAAGACTGCAGTGAGTGATAATCATGCTACTGTACTCCAGCCTGGGTGACAGAGCAAGACCCTATCTCAAAAAACAAAACAAAAACCAAACAAACAATAGATATTTTGTGGTCCTCCTTCAATAAGCAACCGAACAGGCCCTGACATTGTGATGGTTACTCTATAGTTTACTAAAAATATGTAGTTATAGTTTACTTAAAATCTCAGCAAATGTTCCTGGCTACGGAGAGTTTAAAATCCCCAATCTTGGTTAAATTTCTCCTATGTTTCCTTTGTCTTATTTTTTTGTACTCCTTCATTTCCTCCATTTTCTACCTGTCATATATAATATGAACATAACTACAGTTGTGTTCATATTATAGTAGGTTCTGTTTGTGGAAACAGCATTTTGTATTCTGTCTGTACCATTAAGAAGTCCTTGAGAAAACGCATGTATGAAAAAACAAACCAAGGGCAAAACTTCTGAACTGTTCTGATACTACAGAATAATCTATCAGAATCATCAAAGTGTATGTATTCTAAGCCCCTTCTCTGATATATGGTTTTCAAATGAATATATTCGGTGTTTTGTTAATGATAGAGGTCTAGAAAGATTTCAGTCTCCTTGCCATCCTCCACATTTAAATAATTGACATTTTGTGATTTGTGCTTGAATTCTTAACTTTTTTGTTTTATATTCTTGCTTAATTATAATAAAATTTAGCTGACAGTTTGTATAGTTTTTATTGCCTGCTTGAAGTAATTTTCAGACTTTTAATTTTTAAATGAGTGGCTTTTTGTTGATAATTTTTTTGTGTTGAAGCAAACTAATTTAGCTCTTCTCTTAGTATAGCTTTCAATTTTACAATAAAATACTTCCTGGTACATTGTTTTACCACTTTTTTGAGAATCCTCAATTTCAATTTTAATAATATTTCCCTTGGCAGTAATAAATTATTTATTGGTAGAATCTTTATCAGTTTTATTTTTAATACTTAACTGCAGACTAATAATTCAGTTAGTAAAAAACTACAATTTCTATTTTTCAATTATCTTCTTAGAGCAAAATATTTCTAATCTTAATAATTTAATAATAATTTAATATTTAATGCATTTCAGTATTAAAAAAATAATTCTCATAGAAGTAACTCTTCCTACACCTGGCATGTAGTTGACACACAGCAGTCACTTGATATTACCAAATAATGGTTACCTGGTCTGTTGAATGCTCGAATATTCCTCCAATATTAATATTAACCTTTGATTAAGAGCTCTGACCATTTACTTTTTAAACAATGACTGTGGGCCAGATATGGTGGCTCACACCTGTAATCCCAGCACTTTGGGAGCCCAAGGCAGGAGGATCGCTTGAGGTAGGTGTAGGTGTTTGAGAATAGCCTAGGCAACATAGCAAGAACTAGTCTCCACTACTACTACTAATAATAATAATTAGCTGGAAACGGTGGGGCATGCCTGTGGTCCTAACTACTCAGGATGCTGAAGTGAAAGGATCGCTTGAGCTGGAAGGCCAATGTTGCAGTGAGCTGTGTTGGCGCCACTGCATGCCAGCATGAGCAACGGAGAGACAATCTGTCTCAAAAAAAAAAAAAAAAAAAGAAAAAGAAAGAAAGAAAAAAAATGAAAGAAAAGAAAAAAAGGCTTGTTAAGCATTTATTTTTAGCCATGATACATCTTTTTGTTTTAACTTTTTATGAGTTCCTCGAGAGTACTAAAAATATCTTCATGTGTTTTTAACTAACAACCTTAACTTCTGTGGAAACATTTCTATTCAAAGGAAAGAAGAACCTTACTAATCTACGTGTTGGTGAAATGAAAATCATATATCTGTTCACAATCCTCCAATTATATGCTAGGGAAGGCACTTTAAAAGCTTTCAGAGAGGAATTTCTATTAGATTTACCAAGACTAAGGAATTACATTCATGCAAGATTAATTAGGTGAGAGGTTAATTTTGAGGTTACACCTCCCTTCTTTACCCTTGCTATACCTCCCAGCTTTTGTGTGGTACAATATGTATCATTAGTTTTGATGCCTGCATTTATTAGGTTGGTGCAAAAATAATTGCAGTTTTTGCCATGAAAAGTAATGCCAGGCTGGGCATGGTGGCTCACGCCTATAATCCCAGCACTTTGGGAGGCTGAGGCAGGTGGATCATGAGGTCAGGAGATCAAGACCATCCTGGCCAACATGGTGAAACCCTGTCTCTACTAAAAATACAAAAATTAGTTGGGCATGGTGCCATGCGCCTGTATTCCCAGCTACTCAGGAGGCTGAGGCAGGAGAATTGCTTGAACCCGGGAGGCAGAGGTTGCAGTAAGCCAAGATTGTGCCACTGCACTCCAGGCTGGTGACAGAGTGAGACTCTGCCAAAAAAAGAAAAAGAAGAAAGAAAAGAAAAGTAATGGCAATACTTTCTATTCTTCAACTAGTCAAGGTGCCATCTACAGTATGCAACTGTTCTTGTGTATTTGCAGGCTGTGTTGTAGAGGAATAAGATTTCTTCTCTGTAGTGACCCAAGGGCTTTCCGATGACTTATCTTTCTTCTTTGAGCCTTTTCTCGCATGGCGTTGTGCCAGCCTTCATAATACAGCCTGTAATTGGAGTCACCGAAGCTATGTCCAACTTTCCGAGTAATGCCATCACAAGGATATCAGAATTCTCCTTCTGTTTCACTGTTTTTATCATATAACAGTTCTCTGGATCACAAAAATGCACTTTCACAGTTTGCTTGGGAGAGTTAATAATAATAAATCCAACTCTAGAATTATGAACAATTGTTTCTCCATGTATATTTGCATCTTTTTTTTCTTTGTCACTTTTATTGTGGAAGAATAGACTCTTAGGGAAAAGGCAAAAACCACAACTTTCAACCGTGTGACTGATTTTCAATGTCCATTCAGTACTACGCTATAACTTATAGAAACATTCTGGACTAGTCTGTTTTTTCTTAGTATTACATTTATGATGTTTTGATATCAACAGTAGAGACCTGGTGTCATCACAAAGAATGATTACGTGGCCTTTCACATGCAGTCACTTTAAATCTTCATGACGAATAAAATACAAAAAAGACAAACTTTGTGAATGTGGAAGAAAGGCCACTTACAGTGTGACAGGTAGGTAGCTCGTGGAAACAGACTGACAGAGTCAGATGCACTCACCAAGTGTAAACTGCCAACAAACTGTCAACTGCCAAAATGAATCAGGCTCTCACACTAAGGAGGCCACAATCTTAAATGTTTAAACATTCAGAAACTTCACTAAGACATCTAGCTGTGCTGTGTTTCCATGAATGTCCTTGCCACAAATTTAGTGCTGTCTAAAAGTAAGAAAAATAAAGACATATTCTTTATGTTACATGAATATTTTGTCAGTATGCTTCTGATATCAAGAGAGATTCCTTGGAAGATTGTCATGTGCTATATAACTATATCCACATTCATTTTATTCATATTTTTCTATATTTTCCAACATTTTTATTTTTTAAGTTGTATGCATCTTTTGTTTCCAATACTATTAGCATAATACATATACTACATACACCTAAATGCAGTTATCACTTTGGGTTATTTATGAACCTGATAATTAAAGATATGGATTTGACTCTTAGAATATTTTTCCTTCCTTTCCTCCCTCTTGGCCACAGTCATACCTCTGTTACTTAGTAATAATAATAATGCCTTAGGTTCTCCAAATACTTGACATTTCTTTCTTACTATATCTTCCTATTCATCTTCTTATATTTTCTTTCTCTCTTTTATTGCTGTACATGTATTGAGGGCATCTATGCGTCAGCTGGGGAATGAGAAAGTTTAGGAAACACTTATTTGTGGCCTGACCAAATGGTCTACATCTTCTTCCTCTATTGAAAATCAGCTAATTTGACTAATTAGTAAAAATAGCCTCATAGTTTTATTTTTAAAAATAAGAAACATCAGTTGTGGTCTCTTGTCAAACGTCTGGTGAAAAAAAATGATGCTCATAAGCTTAACATGGTTCTTTTGTGATGGCTGAAATTAATATAAATAATATATACTCTTGTACCTGTCACTTAAATGTTGTGACACTCACTGACTCCCATTTCCACTGGTGCTACAGGGATATTCTATTACGTAAAGCACTGGAAAAGGTTAGGTCTTTTTCTCTGCCACACATTTGGGCCGCACATTTGGGTTATTCATGGAGCAATTTTATTTCTCGTTAGTGCTTTCTTTTGTCATAAAGAATATGTTGCACTATTGTTTAGTACTTGAACTTGCTATAATATTTTGAATTCCACCAGCCTTATAACTATTTAGAGGAATTATATTAAAGAAGTTATGAAATAACAAAACGTTAAAATTCTAAGTACAGAATTAGTTTAACCAAGCACATCCCAAAATTTTAACATATTGTTGTGTTTCTTTTCATTATTTTTGGTGGTGGACTTCTTAATTTATAGATAATTTTTATAATTGAATCCTTCCCTTTGGTTCTCACTAGAGGTCTGTGAATCTTGTCTTTATTCCCTTTAATCAACATGACTATAGTGACGTACTTCCAACTAGAATAATGTCTTTCTTTCAGTATTATTCAAAACAACTAGACACTCACACTGTCTTTCTCCAGAGTTATGTAACTTGTAATTATAACCTTGTAAGCTTATGTTTCACTGTCCCTCCCTAGACTATAGGCTTTTTGAAGATAGAAACAATATCTATTTATTCTCTAATATAGGTAAATTCTGTGAGTGCTACTTAGAGGTGCTCAATAAATATTTGATTATTGCATGAATAGATGGTTGGATGAATATTTTTTAGCTTATACTTGGCTTAACTGCATTGTCTATTGGCATCTACAGAACTTTAGGCTATTGAGAAGGCTTGGGTCAATCAATCCTGCATCTTCAATCAGCCTGCTAACAAACTGTAAAATGAGGCCAGTTGCTGTGGCTCACATGTGTGATTCTAGCACTTTGGGAGGCCGAGGCAGGCAGATCACTTGAAGTCAGGAGTTCAAGAACAGCCAGGTCAACAGGGTGAAACCCCGTCTATACTACAATTACAAAAAATTAACTGGGTATGGTGGCACGCACCTGTAATTCCAGTTAATTGTGAAGATGATTCAGGAGAATTGCTTGAACCCAGGAGGCAGAGGTTGCAGTGTGCCGAGATTGTGCCACTGCACTCTAGCCTGAGTGACAGAGCAAGACTCCGTCACTCCAAAAAAAAAAAAAAAAAAAAAAAAAGAAAATTGAAAATTGTAAAATAAGTGCAAAATGAGTGATTGGTGTTATTCCTGGCACAAAATAAGGGCTCAATAAGTATTTTTCCTTTTAAATACACAGCTGAGAAGTGCTCTGTAATGTAAAGAAAAAAATCAGAAAAAATTAAGAGATAGCTAGTGATATAAGCAAAAGAGTAAAAATGCCATTACCCTTTAAGAAAAATAGTAAAAAAATTTTTACCACTTAAGATTTGCATTAGATGAGTTTTGTTGTTTTTAGGAAAGAAAATATCATATTACTCTAGAGAGAACCAGCCATCTCTGTGAGGTCTGTAGATTCTAGGACAGAGGGAAACGGTGATGAACACACAGTCCCACTTAATTAAATTAGATAATCACTATCAGTGATCCTATATAGTATCAGGTTTACTAAATAATTTCCAGCATATACAGAAGTCCAGTTGACAAGCACCTAAGTAGATTAAGTTAGGTCATCTACCTTGTTTTCTTACCCCAGTGGTGGCACATTCATCTTCTTCATTCCTTTTGTGTTTGTTTTCCGGAACAACCCGCTGTCCAAATCAGTGCTTGTCAAAGCAGATAGGAGAGAGGTAGAAATACACATTTAACTCAGTTTTTCAGAGATAACTAGCAGAGTTAGATACACAACAACCAACCAAACAAAAGATCTCTCTGCAATATGTGTTCACTTCTACCCTCAACATTAGATTTCCAACTAAGAAGAAACTATCAGATGCTGAGGGGAGACATGGGCAAAGGATTTGTCATATTTTACAGCAAAGTGTCCCAAGAGATGACATACTCACATCAATGACATTGGGTGCTCCAGCTTATTTCCTCACACTCCTTGCCGTCCAAGCAAAAGACATATTGAATAGATGCTAAACAGTCAAAACCCAGCTTTTCAACTAATTTTGATAGAAACATCCACAGCTAGACAGAGAACAGAGCAAAAATGAATATACACAGAATTCTAAAGTAAAGAGAAAAAAATTGACTTCTGAAAAAATGAGAATGAGGGCTCTAAATGCAAACTACTGATGATTACTACACTGTAGTATTTGTCAAAAACTTGAGAGAATACTTTAGATATGAACCTCTCTGCACATGCAAAATAAGAGATCATCACTACGGAAGTAAGAAATGAAAGAATAGATGTGTCAATATGTAGCAATGAAAGGAAAAGCAGGTGTCACTTCAAAGACTGTAAAACAATGTAAATATTGGAAAATCTATTAATGGAATACATCAAACTTAAAGGCCAAAGAGAATAACACATGATTGTAGGTTTGATGTTGACATGGCATTTGATTAATTCAAACATCTATGCCTTACTACTCACTTAATAGCATGCAATTAAATATATTTTACTATCTAACAAAGGAATAAATAGAAGGTAGAATATAATATTATAACAAGTAGACTAATTGTATATTTGGAAACTTTAAGAATTTTAGTGAGAAAACTGTAAGAAAATGTAAAAAATATTTTGGGGACTCATTGAAAATAATATAAAATTCAATATTTTTTCTAGAGACAGATGATAGTAAGTTTATTGCTATGATTTTAAAAGACCAGATAAATTTTACGGAAAACAAAATAGTAAAATACCTAGGAGAAATGTAGAAGAAATATTTATGACATATATAAAGAGAATATTAAATACTGCTGAGTTACATACATGAAAAATTCATAAAAAGTGAAAGACATAAGTTTTTCTCAGGTAACTCAATAGTATAAATATATTTGTTCTTCTAAATCCATCAACTTAATGCAACTTGAAGGAAAAAATTCAAATTTTTTTGGACCTTAAGAAAATAATTTTAAACTTTAGAAAAACCCACAAGTGGACATAGCCAATAAAATTATAAAATAAATGATAAATGGGGAAGTAGTTGCATAAATACTAGTGTATGTTATACATTCAGAGTAGTTATATATATAATTATATATAATATATATAATTACATATATATGTTAATGTATATATATAAATTACATATTAATTGCATATATATTAATATATAATTATATATATGTAATTACATATATGTATATATACATATATATAAATAACATATATAACATATATATATATGTTATTTACTGGTATAAGAAAAGCAAACCATATATATAATTTAAAAGTAATGAAAATCCAGACTTTGAGCAACTAGTTGAACTGAAGTAAAAAAAAATTAGATCGTTAACTTTGTCCTTACACACATATATGTAATATAAAAAGTGAGATACATGTATATCAACTAGTTAAATGTAAAACATGAATGATGAATTAGAATAAAATATGGCTAAATATATTTTTGAGTTTAGAATTGAAATCTTTCAAAACAATAGCATAAAATCAGTAATCCTTAAGGAAATATGAACAAAGTTATATATAAACAAATTAAAACTTATTTAAGGCTTACAAGTGGAGGAATAAAAAGCAAAAAAAGAAAATTTTTGCTGTGTATGTTAACAACCGATCGTTAACATTCATAGCATACCAAGAGTCTTTCTTAAAAAGTTTAAGAATGGGTAACATTTGCTAAGTGTTTGCTATCTAATTTAGTTATAATATTAATGTGTTAAAAATAATTTTTTCATTTTATACATGAAGATAACTTAAGTTTTGGTTAATTAAAAAACATTACTAAAGTTATACAGTAAGTAATAAATTGAGAATATACTAACAGAGAAAATACAATAACTCAGCAGAAAAATACTATAAAACACGCTAACAAAGAAATCCATGTAGATATTAAACATTTAAAAACTTAGTCAAAACTAGAAATAATTAAAGCAATATGAAATAAAATGGTAGTCTTCTTTTCCTTCTTTAAAAGAGTGGACAGATGAGAAACATAAAATGCCAATTTGCTTTTAGCCCATAGAAGCAGTCAGTCCAATTTATTGCTAGATAATTGAATTGAACACTCTAATTTATTGTTAGATAATAAGAATATCTTATTTTTGAGATAACTATAATAGTGAAAATATGGATGTAGTCTTAATATCCATCAAAAAGGAATTAGATAAAATTGTATAGTGTATTTATACAACAGAGTTTTATGAAGCTTTTCAAAGGAACATTATGAATCCACATAAAGTGACATATAAAGGTTCTAACACCTGTTAACTGAGGAAGGCGCCAAACTGAAGAATTCATAGTACAATCCCTTTCTGGGAAACATAATTATTACATCATTCTGTATTCCACAAAGCATTTATTCTATATCCCCCTGCTCCAATTTAATGAATTGGGATATATTTAAAACTTACTTTGAAGAGATTTGCTATGGTCCAGCAGATCAGTGGTGAATTATTTCTAATTACTTTAACACACACAGATTTAGCTATCTTATATTTTATAGCATATATGGTTATATTTTAACTTAGATTTGAAAAGTTTTTTCCACTTAAAAGTGCCTGAAAAAGTTCCACTATGTTCATTGCGAACATTGCCATGAAACTGTTTCCCTAAAATACAGCAGACAATGAAATTTAAGTCAGTATACATTACCATACATGTATCTTTATAAAGGTTATAGAATTTCCAACATTGAGAAATGTTGGGATGAGTGTCATTGATACTATTTGTCAAAAGTTTCTGTCTGACTTCTAGCTATGATGAAATGATTGATAATGGACTAGCCTTCTACTTATAAGTGACCATAATCCTGGGCAAAATATATGAGGCAAAAAAGTTTCCTGACATTGGACAAGAGGCATTAGAATACTACTGTTTCTCAGAGGAAGGAAACTTTGAGTGATCTCCATAATTGCCCTTATTATCTGGCTGGGCACAATTTTTCAATGATGGCACCGAAAGTTGAAATCTGAGGAGAGCAGAGCATTTGTGCTGAGCTGAGGAGGAAGAATTCAGAATTTGAAGCACCAGAAGGGGTTAGACACAGCAGCAAAGATGTGAGGTGCATGGAGAGGTGCCAGAGGTGGAGAGGTGCCAGAGGTGTGAAGGTGCCGGAGGTGTGAAAGTGCTAGAGGTGTCAGAGGTGCCAGAGGTGTGAAGCTCCCCTAAAATTCCCTGTATTATGGATGGGCTGCAAGCATGCAGAATGAGTTTACACAAAGCCTTCCAAAAACCAGCTGCTACAGAGTTGAAAATGGAACAGAGACATAAGATGCCAAGCAGTAGTGGGGGCATTGGAGGATTAGCACAGTTAACATGAAGAGACATACTTGGCTTCTCATTAATGCCTCAGGCATTTATCTGAGACAGAAAAGCTGAGCTTTAGGAATGAAGATTATATTGTAGAATAAAGTTTATTCTGGGCCAGGCGCGGTGGCTCACGCCTGTAATCCCAGCACTTTGGGACGCCGAGGCAGGCGGATCGCGAGGTCAGGAGATGGAGACCATCCTGGCTAACATGGTAAAACCCCGTCTCTACTAAAAATACAAAAAATTAGCCAGGCATGGTGGCTGTAGTCCCAGCTACTCGGGAGGCTGAGGCAGGAGAATGGCGTGAATCTGGGACGCGGAGCTTGTAGTGAGCCGAGATCGCGCCACTGCACTCCAGCCTGAGCGACACAGGGAGACCCTGTCTCAAAATAAATAAATAAACAAACAAACTGATTAAAACATAAACAAAAGATATGAATATATATCCCTTTATAGAAGATATACAGAAGACCAATAAGCACATTAATGGGTGTCAACAACCTTAGCCATTAGAAAAATGCAGATCAGGCCTGGCTGGGTGGCTCATGCCTGTAATCCCAGCACTTTGGAAGGCTGAGGCGGGTGGAACATGAGGTCAGGAGATGGAGACAATCCTGACTAACATGGTGAAACACGTCTCTACTAAAAATACAAAAAATTAGCTGGGCTTGGTGGCACGCGCCAGTGGTTCCAGCTACTCGGGAGGCTGAGGTAGGAGAATTACTTGAACCCAGGTGGCGGAGGTTGCAGTGAGCCAAGATCATGCCACTGTACTCCAGCCTGGGCAACAGAGCGAGACTCCATCTCAAAATAAATAAATTAATTAATTAATTAAAAAAAGTAAAAATGCCAATCAAATTTACAAATTTACAATAATATACCACTTCACACCGACTAGACTTGATCTTGGCCAAAAGGTCGAGAAGTGATACAAACCCACTAGGATGAGTATTATCAGAGACAGACAATAAACGAGTGTTTGTAAGAATGTGGAGAAATTAGAAACCTCATAATTTACAGGTGGGAGTGTGAAATGAAGCAGCCACTTTAAAAAACAGGCAGTTCCTAAAAAGTTAAATAAAGGGTTACCATATGACCCAGTGAGGTAGGGAGAATAATGTGTCCTCCTCCAAACATACACATGTTCTAATCTCCATAATCTGTAAGTGTTATCTTGCATGGCAAACGGGACTCTGCAGTTACGATTTAGTTGAGGAATTTAAGATGAGGTGATTATCTGAGTGGGCACAATGTAGTCATAAGGGTTCTTACAAATGAAGTAAGGAAGGAAAAGTGTCAGAGAGGGATTTAAGCATGTTACTCAACTGGTTTTGAAGATGGAAAAAGAGAAAGAACACAAGCTTAGAAATACAGGTGGTCTCCAAAACCTAGAAAAAGCAAGGGTAATGGATTCTCTGCTAGAACATCCAGAGCACCCAGTACAGCTCTGCTAACATCTTACATTTATTCTAGTGATACCCATTTTGAATTTATGACCAAACTGTAATAAAGTAAATTTGCATTGATTTAAGCAAGTAAATTTGTCATAGTTACAGCAGCAATAGGGAACCATTACACCCAGCAATTCCACTCCTAAGTGTATATGCAAGAGAAAAGAACAAAAATATATCTATGCAAAAACTTGTACAAAAATGTTTATAGTAGTAGTATTTGCAAACAGTGGAAACAACCCAAATGTCCCTTAACTGATGAATAGCTAAATAAGATATGAAATGTGAGTATAATAGAATAGTATTTGTCAATAAAAAAGTGTTAATATTTGCTATAATGAGGCAAAGTGAAAGGAGGCAGTCATATAAGACCAAATACTACATAATCACATTTATGTTAAATGTACAGAATAGGCAAATTCATAGACAAGAAAATGGATTAGTGGTTGCCTGTGAAGTAGTGTTAAAAAACGGAGAGTAATTGACAATAAATACGGGGTTTCTTTTATGGAGATGTAAATGCTCTAAACTTAGACTGTGACAATGATTTCTCAGTGCTGTGAATGTAAAATGGTTAAAAAGTTAAACTTAAAAGTATTAAAAAACTAAAGTAAGTACAGTCTTAATGAGTAACCACTTGGGGAAGTTGAGCAGATAAAATAACAAAATAAAAATTCTAAAAGAAAATGAAATTAAAAATTCACTGTATGGCTTTAACAGTATATTTGAGTAGGCGGAAGATTTCGGTGAACTTGAAAATGTATTACAAAAGTGTTTCCTGGAATACTATTCAGCAATAAAAAAAGAGTGAAATCATGTATTTTATATATGTATACTTTTTTTTATTATATTTTAAGTTGTAGGGTACATGTGCACAACATGCAGGTTTGTTACATATGTATACATGTGCCATGTTGGTGTGCTGCACCTAATGACTCATCATTTATGTTAGGTATATCTCCTAATGCTATCCCTCCCCCCTCCCCCCACCCCACGACAGGCCCCAGTGTGTGATGTTCCCCTTCCTGCATCCAGATGTTCTCATTGTTCAATTCCCACCTATGAGTCAGAACATGCGGTGTTTGGTTTTTTGTCCTTGTGATAGTTTGCTGAGAATGATGGTTTCCAGCTTCATCCATGTCCCTACAAAGGACATGAACTCATCCTTTTTTACGGCTGCATAGTATTCCATGGTGTATATGTGCCACATTTTCTTAATCCAGTCTATCATTGTTGGAGAGGATGTGGAGAAATAGGAACACTTTTACACTGTTGGTGGGACTGTAAACTAGTTCAACCATTGTGGAAGTCAGTGTGGCGATTCCTCACAGATCTAGAACTAGAAATACCATTTGACCCAGCCACCCCATTACTGAGTATATACCCAAAGGACTATAAATCATGCTGCTATAAAGACACATGTACACGTATGTTTACTGTGGCACTACTCACAATAGAAATCATGTATTTTGGAGTGACATAAATGAAGCTCGAGGCCAATATCTTTACTGAGACAAGTCTGTTACAGAAAGACAAATGCTGCAAGTTCTCACCTATAAGTGGGAGCTAAATAATGTCTACACATGGACATAGAGTGTGGAATGATAGACATTGAAGACTCAGAAGGTTGAGAAGGTAGGAGTGGGGTAGATGATAAGAAATTACTTAACATGTACAATGCACATTATTTAGGTGATGGATATACTAACAGCCCTGACTTCACTACTAAGCAATCTATGCATATAAAAATTACTCTCTTACCCCATACATTTATACATTTATACACATAAAAAAGATTTTAAAAATCAATGAAAATCAAGCATTCCTGTGACTGACCTCAAAAAATTATTCATTTTTAAAAACTGATGAAAGAGAAAAAGATATGAAGATACTCAGATACATAGAATTTTAAGTAATTTGACATATATCTAATAGGAATCCCAGAAGAAGATGAGATTAAGGATGCAGCAGGGAAGTATTTGTTAAAATAGAGATTGAAATGTGCTTAAATTTTCTGAAATCCATCGACTTTCATATGCATAATGCTCAGCAAACGTCAAGAAGGATCAACAAAAAAAAACTAGAAATATTATGGCAAAATTATTGAATAAGAAACATACAGAAAAATATTTGAAAGCAGCTAGATAAAAGACAAGATATATACCTGAAACATAGAAGGAATAACTGTTATTCTTTTTTACCAAAAAAATTGGAAGAGCAGCTTTTAAGAACTGTTTAAATTATTTAAATAAAACAAAACAAAAAACCCTTGTCATTCCTAGCATTCTACATCGTTATTCTATCATTGAATACATCCTTACATACAAACATAAAATAAAAATATGCATATTAGTTTTCTAGGGCTGCCATAACAAATTGCCACAAACTCGGTGGCTTAAACATTAGAAATTTATTGTTTTACAGTTCTGGACAAAAGTCTGAGATTAACATGCCTGAAGGATGGCTTCTTACTGAAAGTTATGGCAGAAAATTTGCTCCATACCTCTTGCTTATGTCTGGTGGTTTGCTGGAAATCTCTAGCATTACTTTGTTTGTAGAAGAATCACTCCAATTTCTGCTTTCATCTTTACATGGTGTTTTCCTTTTGTGAGTATCTATATGTCTTCTCATGGTTTATTGTCACAACACCAGTCATATATTGAATTAGAAGCCCACCCTATACCAGTATGACCTCATCTTAACTAATTACATCTGAAAATATCCTCTTTCCAAATAAGTTCACATTCTGAGGTACTGGGAATTAGGACTTCAACATATGAATTTTTGGGGACACCATTCCATAACAACACATGAAGAGAAGCAAAAGCTGAGTGCATTTGCCACCAGCAGAACTGAACTACAATTCCCTTTGAAAACTGGCACAAGACAGTGATGCCCTCTCTCATCACTCTTATTCAACATAGTATTTGAAGTTCTGGCCAGGGAAATCAGGCAAGAGAAAGACATAAAGTGTATTCAAATAGGAAAAGGGGAAGTCAATTTGTCTGTGTTTGCAGATGACATAACTGTATGTTTAGAAAACCCTATCATCTCAGCCCCAAATATCCTTAAGCTGATAAGCAACTTCAGCAAAGTCTCAGGATACAAAATCAATGTGCATAAATCACAAGCATTCCTATACACCAATAATAGACAAACAGAGAGCCAAATCATGAGTGATCTGCCATTCACAATTGCTACCAAGAGAATAAAATAACTAGGAATACAACTTACAAGGGATGTGAAGGAACTCTTCAAGGAGAACTACAAACCACTGCTCAAGGAAATAAGAGAGGACACAAACAAATGAAAAAACATTCCATACTCATGGATAGGAAGAATCAATATCATGAAAATGGCCGTACTGCCCAAAGTAATTTATAGATTCAATGCTATCCCCACCAAGCTACCATTGACTTTTTTCACAGAATTAGAAAAAACTACTTTAAATTTCATATGGAGCCAAAAAAGAGTCCACATAGCCAAAACAACCCTAAGCAAAAAGATCAAAGCTGGAGGCATCAAGCTACCTGACTTTAAACTATACTTCAAGGCTACAGTAACCAAAACAGCATGGTGCTGGTAACAAAACAGATATATAGATCAATGGAACAGAACAGAGGCCTCAGAAATAACACCACACATCTACAACTATCTGATCTTTAACAAACTTGACACAAACAAGCAATGGGGAAAGGATTCTCTATTTAATAAACAGTATTGAAAAACTGGCTATCCATATGCAGAAAACTGAAACTGGACCCCTTCCTTATACCTTATACAAAAGTTCACTCAGGATGGATTAAAGACTTAAGCATAAGACCTGAAACCATAAAAACCCTAGAAGAAAACCTAGGCAATACCATTCAGGACATAGGCATAGGGAAAGACTTCATGACTAAAACACCAAAAGCAATGGCAACAAAAGCCAAAATTGACAAATGGGATCTAATTACACTAAAGAGCTTCTACACAGCAAAAGAAACTACCATCAGAGTGAACAGGCATCCTACAGAATGGGAAAAAATTTTTGGAATCTATCCATCTGACAAAGGGCTAATATCCAGAATCTACAAAAAAATTCAACAAATTTACAAGAAGAAAACAAACAACTGCATCAAAAAGTGGGCGAAAGATATGAACAGACACTTCTCAACAGAAGACATTTAGTGGCCAACAAACACGTGAAAAAGGCTCATTATCATCATTCATTAGAGAAATGCAAATCAAAACCACAATGAGATACCATCTCACGCCAGTTAGAATGGTGATCATTAAAAAGTCAGGAAACAACAGATGCTGGAGAGGATGTGGAGAAATAGGAACACTTTTACACTGTGGTGGGAGTGCAAATTAGTTCAACCATTGTGGAAGACAGTGTGGCGATTCCTCAAAGATCTTGAACCAGAAATACTATTTGACCCAGCAATCCCATTACTGGGTATATACCAAAGGATTATAAGTCATTCTACTATAAAGACACATGTGCACATATGTTTATTGCAGCACTATTCACAATAGCAAAGACTTGGAACCAACCCAAATGCCCATCAATGACAGACTGGATAAAGAAAATGTGGCACATACACAACATGGAAGAATATGTGGCCATAAAAAAGGATGAGTTCGTGTCCTTTGCAGGGACGTGGAAGAAGCTGGAAATCGTCATTCTCAGCAAACTAACACAGGAACAGAAAACCAAACACCACATGTTCTCACTCATAAGTGGGAGTTGAACAATGATAACAGTTGGACACATGGAGGGGAATATCACATACTGGGGCCTGTCAGAGGGTGGGGAGCTAGGGGAGGGATAGCATTAGGAGAAATATTTAATGTAGATGACTGGTTGATGGGTGCAGCAAACCACCATGGCACTTTTATACCTATGTAACAAGCCTGCACGTTCTGCACATGTATCCCAGAACATAAGTATTATTTTAAAAAAAATAATTTAAAACTAAAAAAAGAAATGTTAAAGGGTGTTCTTTTGACTAAAGTGAAACAATAGCATATGGAAATGAAAAGAAAGAAAAATACCAGAAAAGTTTTTTAAAAATGTAGATACATCTATAATAATATTTTTCTTATAATTTTTAGAAACACAAATGACTGTTTAAAGAAAAATAAAGTGACATAAAAATGCACTTGTGAAATATGTGACAATAAAGGAATGGTGTGGTAAATGGAAGTTTATGATTGTCAAGTTATTCTATTTGTGAAATGTGAAGTGGACTATATGAAGTGGTAACTTTTAAGTGTGAGATGTTGTATCCATCTCAGTTCTTTTAACTGTTAGGCTCTTGAAACCTTTCTTTCTTTTTTTTTCTTTTAGAACTTTATTATTATACCTCTAAATGATCTGTATAGGCTTTAGGATTAGATTGTTACAATCAAATCATTTGTCTACCACTGATAAATTGTCTGGTTTCAGACAAGTTTATTAAGTCTTTTTCATTATTTTCTTCTGTGAAGTGGGGAAAAATGTAGCTCGTTCATATAAGGTGATGATGAGGTTGAAATGAGAAATTTCCATTATATAATTTTCTCTTTGTAATAAATGTTTCATAAATAATTGTCCACTCTTGTTACCTAATATTAGCACAGGCATTCATGTTTTTGTTTGAGATTATGTAAGTATTGTCTTCCTATTTGTGAGGAAAATAAAAACAGACATTTTTGATCAGTTACTATATTTTAGAGAATTTAAGTGCTTTAAATAGATTATTTTATTTACCATCAAAAACTTTAGAATCAGAATTGTATTTAAATATAGTATGAATTAGATATAGTATTTTGTTTAGATCAGGATATTGAAATATTAAAATGTTTCCTTACCCATTTAGTAAATAGGATAGGATTAAAATCTGAATCTCCTTGACTATAAAAAATCATTATACATTTTACTCACAAGAACAAATCATTGTATTTTCTATTCAAAAACAAACTGTAGTAATATACAATTACTATATATTGAACCACAGAAAAATCAGTCAACTTGAACCTAACATCTGCCTAAATAATTTTGCATCTCCTGAGCAATACCTGTTTAGTATTTTTTCTAAACATCTCAGATTCTGAAATTTTTATGACAGTTTGATATAAACATTTTCTTTCTATTGGCCTCACAAATCATAAACCTGAAAAACCCAATATTTAAACTTATAAACATGATCTAATATAAACTCTCTTTTACTAAAATGTAGCCAAAATCCAAATCACAACAACAGTCATATCAAGTTTGATATTCATGTTTTGAGTTACAACATCTATCTACTGTGTTCATGGCTCCTCTTCAGAAGAAAGATACATAACTTGGAGCCAAATACTGAAGTCAAATATTTTTGGAATGTTCAGAAGATACAAAGCAAAAAGACTACATGAATTCCAAGTGCGGTATCACATCCCTTAAGCCAAAACTCCTGTGGAACAGACCTGGCAGGACAGTGGAGGGAAGGTCAGCTCAGGCCTTTGTTGTATGCGCATAAACTCTCCTTTCTTTCTTCAAGGAACAATGCCCTCAAACTCCATAGTGTTCGCATTTCCTGAGGACTTGTAGGAAGCAATAAACTTTCAATAAAATTTGAGTTTAATAAAGTCATATGAGATTTGCTGATAACCTGGTCATTCCAGAAATCCGCTTTCCCCAAACATTGGACACATCAAGTTGGTTTTAGTCAATAATCCTCTGAAAGCGAATGAAAACATCTAAGACAGGATTTAAGGATTTATTCAGCATAAAAATGACACTAATTGATAGCTGCAGGAGGCAGACAAATTCCTAAGCAGATAGGGGTGTCCCCAGTGATATGCGACCTTCAAGCCAAAGACAGCTTGAAGCCTGAAAACCCGGCTGCCAGTTCCAGGTAGAATCCACCACCCAGAGTGAGAACTTCCTTGATGTCTTTCAGCCGATCAAATGGTGCTTTTTCCAGGCCTGCCCATGAACCAACCAGCAGACAGTTCTCCCACCCATGGACCAATCAACACACACTTTCCCCATTCTTAGCCCATGAAAGCCCCATCTCAGCCACATGTTGGGACTACCCAGTTGCAGGTAGGAAATACTGACTTTTGGTCTCCTCTCTGCTGAGCGCTCTTCTGTCACTAAATGAAACTCTTCTCTTCCAGTTGTCCACCGTAAGCTCATTCTTCCTGGATGTGGGACAAGAACTTGGGACTTGATGAACAGTGGATGTGAAAAGGGCTGTAACACATTACTGGCTGGCTGGCCAAGTTACGAGTGGTGACAAACTCCCCTTTGTCGGACTGCAGAAGTGAAGAGCTGCTACCAATCTGGGGGCCCAGACTTTAGATTCTCCTAGCAAGAACAGTAACACTGTAGCCTTCCTGCCCTCTGCCAGTGTCGAGCGGCCATCCTATATGACAGAAAGCGGTGCTGGCGCCAGGCCAGCCCAGGACCTGCAGGCTGGAGAGAGGTGGCAGGACTGATCAAGCTGAAACACATCCCCTACCCTGTTCCCCGAGCTGCAGGCAGCAGTAGTGAGAGAGCTGTAGCATACTCCCTCCACCCTTTGGGACTCCAGAGTTACTGGCCTTTCCGAGTTTTTGGGCGCCACTGCATTCCCCTCATCCAGATGCTGGAGCCTGCAGCAGAAGCCACCTGTGGTACAACTGGTCCAGCCGCAGCCTTGCATGAAGTAGGCGCCTATGCCAACGCCAGGAGCTGCCCACCCCGCCACAGCAGTCAGTGCACCTGGGTGTGTGCAGTGGCCAGACCCTGCGCTTGCTCGCTCACAGACCCCTCGCCACTCTGCACCTGGCTCACCCTCAGTGGGCGTGGGATCTGGGCCAGTAGCATGAGATGAGCACAGCTGGTGGGCCTAGTTGTTGTAATGAGCCCAGAGGATGCAAGCGAAACTCAAGCAGAGGCGCCACTAGCCACAGAGGTTTCCAGCTGGCGAAGCAACACCTGAAGGATACTGTGACATAATGAAATCCTAAAACCTGTTATTTTAATAACTTAAAAGTTTGTATTTTTTGTCAGATAAATGAAGGATGAAGTTCACTTTCAGTACAGTAGCATTACTCCTTGCAGCCTACCTCTTTACCTAGTAATCTAAATGCAATTTCAGGTTTCCTCACAGTTTTGAAAAAATAGAAATTAGGAAGCATCACGTAAAGATAACTTTAAACGAGATATAGAATGTATTTTTAAAAGTAACTTATTTTTAATAAGGTGGCCATTATTTGTAATAAAATCATTATCACTCTTCTCAGGAATGATAATGATGCATCAATGTGTTTTGGATCTTGCAGTTAACAAAGAAGGCTTATTCCGTTTCATCATCTTATCTTCCTAAGCCTTAAACATATCTATATTTTTCCCTTTCAATATGCAACAAAAACAAAAAGGCTGATTGGAACGGGGTCAGAGAAAATGATTTATGGCCATATAAGAGTATATACCTATTGAACCATGTTGTCACTGGCTTTCCATATCTATCACCTTTAAATTCTAAGAAACAATGTGGTTAAAGTGAAAGATTGTAGACAGAATAGAAATCAAGTAAATATCAATGGTTTATCAGTTTTAATCAATTACTTTCCAATAACTTTTGGAAGTTAAAATTGAGACTGTGTCTTGCACCATTTTTGGCACCCTGTGCTCATGGTCAGTCCAGCACAGCCAATTGTGTGCCATTTACATGGTATTACTTCAGAGCTTTTATCATCACGTTTTCATATTTTATGGACGTATCTTTCTAACTGTGGATCAGACATAAACATGCAGCTGCTGTGCACAGCTAGTTGGCTGCATTGCCTCAGCAAATCATAAGCCTTCAAATTAGGCATTCTGGAACATAAGCAGAAATAACAGAGGGAATTTGTTTTTCAAATATAAATTTTCAAACAGCCTTTTTTTTTTTTTTTTTTAACAGAGTCTCATTCTGTCACCCAGGCTGGAGTTCAGTGGCATGATCTTGGTTCACTGCAACCTCTGCCTCCCAGATTCAAGCAATTCTCCTGCCTCAGCCTCCTGAGTATCTGGGATTACAGGCATGTGCCACCATACCTGGCAAATTTTTGTGTTTTTAGTAGAGACAAGGTTTTGCTCTGTTACTTAGGCTGGTCTCAAACTCCTGGCCTCAAGTGATCTGCCCGTCTTGGCCTCTCAAAGCACTGTAATGACAGGCCTGAGCCAGTGTGCCTAGCTCCAAACAGCCTCTTTTAACGGCCACATTTTGTTCTTTGATTCCAGGAAGGTGAAAAGGAAGTTGGTCACTCTTTGGATAGCAAAGGAACTTTTTAAATTTACTTCTAAATTGACATTTTTGAAATTATGGGAATAAACCGGTTCTTGGGAGAAGAAAAACATCAAATGTCTCCACCTCATTCTTGTTAAGGGTTTACCTCAATTCATCACCCTATTCCCAAGACCTTGTCCTATATTCTTTCCCTGTAATACCCATTGTCACCATCAGGACTTATAAAGAACTCTCATGCTGTCCAGAGTCTGTCAGACAGAATCTCTGCATGTCAGGATCATTCATTTACCAAGTCAACATTTATTGGAGACTTTCTTTATGTCAGTTAGTACTAAATGCTGGGGTTAAAAGATCCAGTGGAATAGTTCCTTGCTTTCAAGAAACCCGCCATCTGATAAACAAAATTTTATTCTGTGGTTAATGTGAGAAAGGCAAGAAATTATGGTGCTACTTTTTTTAAATTCAGAAGAAAAACTTAAACAAAATATAAATTTTTAAAATATATTTGTATATATAGATCAAATTTCCAAACATATATGATTGAAACATATATTTTATGTATATATATATACATGAAATATATATATATAGTAAAGATATGGGGTTTGCTTGGTTTTGCAAGTAACATAGGCATGGAGAAGCTGCGTTAAATGTCAGTGATGAATCTATTGGTAATAAAAGTGTAGTTTGGCCTCACATGGACCTATGAGAAAAAGTAAGTTACAAAGGAAGGTACTTTTTTGTAGCTCTCAAGGTAACATGGTCTTTTATCTTTGTTTCTGTCTGTGTTATTCTTAATTATGTATGCTTACTACTAGTTCTTCTGCTTCACTATATACTTGGTAGAAATTATTTGTCTTAGATCAGGAAATATATTATTTTCCATTTTCAGCAAAAACAAACAAACATTTCTATTCTTAAACCCCATTCAGAAGTTTCTAACACAGATAAGATGGTTAGCTTTAGGGGCCACACTTTCCCCATTCTTGATGATGACAGAAATGGGGTATGGTTTGAAGGCAGAGTCGTGGGGTACAGACTTGCCTACAGGTGTGGACTGAGTACAAACTACTCAGTACCATGAGGATAGATCTTGGTAGAGAAAATCTAGCATGAATCACAGGAAAGACTGGCCTTGTTTCTATGCTAATCCTTTCTAAGAGCACAGCAGAGAACTCTAACAATATTATATATCTGTAATACTTTCTTCCTTTCGTGAGAGAAATTCTTAGGCTAAGAAGTAGTGACAAAGATACGAACAGATCAATACGATGCCATGGAATAAGTGCTATAAAAGAGGTAGATAACAAGGACAACCGTTAGAGTGAGAAACCACATCACACAGCAAAGGTACACACACTTCTGAGGCTTTATTCTTTTGTTTTATTTTTGCTTTATTAATATCTTATTGTGGGTGATTTAACATAGAAAGTATCCTTATTTTCCAGTGTTTTTAGAACCCTTACTGGATTACAGAAAAAAATCACAAAGAATATCTGTACAGCTTGATGAGGTTTAGGAATGAGTAAGTATAAACTAAACAAACCAGCACCTTGGAAGCCTTTCTCATGTCTCCTCCTTGTCATTACTCCCCAGTCACTGCCTAAAGGGAACCACTTTCTGTCTTTTATCTTCAGCGATTAGTGATGCCTCTTTTTAAACTTCATATAAATGAATTCATGCAGTACACCCTTTTTTATGTTTGACTTTGTTTTGCTTAACATTATAATTGTGAGAATCACCCTTGTTGTTTTGTGTAGCAGTAGTTTGTGCATTTTTATTACCATATAGAATTTTATTGAATGAATATGCCGCAATACATTTATCCATTATACTGTTGAGGGCTATTTGGATTGTTTTTAGTTTGGAGCTAGTATGATAAGTGCAGCTATTAGTATTCTTGTACAAGTTTCTTTTAATAAATGCATGCAGGATTTTTAGCTAATTTTTGTCATTCTGCTGGGCATTTAGTTGTAAGCGGTGGTTGTTTTAATTTGTGTTTCCTGATGACTTATGATGTTGAGCATATGTTGACAGGTTTATGGATTATTTGGTTGTCCGTTTTGATGAGGTAAAAACTTAGGTTTTCTTTTTTCCTAACTGAATTATTTTTTCTCCTTCTGCCTTTAAATGGACTTCATTAAATTGTTAAAAATTCTGTTTGCCAAACAACACAATTGAGACATTGTAAAGAAAAACACTTTACTTATAAAAATACAGAATTTCTTTTACCAAAATTTGATTCTTACTTAAATCTTTAGAAATGTGTCTGTTACATGAATTAAAAATGGCTGTATTAATAAACATGAAACTTCACAATGTGCTAATAATGTTCTATAAAGGAAGATTTGACTCAAAGACTTTTGACTTCCTTTTAATTTGCACAAAAGACCCATATTAGAAAAAGCAACCCACACATTAGTAGTTACATATTTTACGTTGGATCTCAGTGGTCAAAATCTATAAAAAAAATTCTCTGTCTTCCTCTTATCGCTTATCTTCTTGGTAACTCACAGGAGAAGCTTTTCTCTTGTCTCAGAATCAGAAAAATCTATGCTGGGCAACCGACTTGGTTTTCTCCTATGGCCACTGTGGCTTTGTGGGAGACTGTTGACATTTCCCTACCTTTCTCTCCCAACAAGTGGTTATTCCATATTCATAAATTAGAAAGGACTCTATGTGTACATTTCTCCACTCTAATCTTATCGGTGCTTTTGTTTTGCTATTTCTCTGAGATACTTATTTTTATATAAAATATATAATCAATATACAAGTACAAAATAAATATAACAAATAACATATTTGTGTCTAAATATATATGGTATACATATCCTAAACTAAATAAAATATATATAATAAACTTAATATATAAATAGGTGTGTGTGTGTGTGTGTGCATGTATAATATACACATACACATATAGGACAAATAAGTTTATGTTTCTGCTCTGCCTTAAATGCATTTATATTGTAAGGATAAAATACATATTAATCTTATAGTTAATGGCCTTATGTAATGTTTTTACTCATATGTCTTGTGGCATAATATTATTTTTCTCCCATCTTTGGTCATATGCTTTCTTAACTTTAGTTTCATGCTACACAGTACAGATTAGCACTGGGATTGAAGCTGCCTAAAGTATTCTGTGCAGCATCTTATTTGTTTGCAAAGTTCTTGAACTATGAATAAGGATAAAATTTCAAAGCCAAAGTATGGAAAAAAGGACTGGAGAAAAGCATTTTTATGCTAATGGCCATAGCAATGATTATAAAGCAGAGTGCATACAGAATGCACCATGGAGATGCTAAATAATATTTATGGAGCATATGGGCCTTGCAAAGCAGAAGTAAAAATGTTCTTTTCTTCAAATTCTGTTTTCCAAATTACTTTGGACATTAAGGAAAGTGTTGAAGTTTCATTTTAACTGTGGACCAAAAACCCTGACCAAAAAGAGTGCTGGGATATGTGTGCTGTCATTTTATTCACCACAATGTTAAATAGAACTGTGACATGCTAGACTGATTCTGGATAAATTGTCTTTTACTGGCTTGATAAAAGGATGCTCTGAAGGAAAAATTGTGAGACAAGGAATAACTTTCAGAAAAGTCTGAATAAAGAAGTTTCTCTAATTCTTAATAGAGTCAGTATAATTCCAAGGGCTAAACAAATGCTACTTTTATGCAAATTTATTGCTTCAAATGTTATTGTAATAATGTGGCACATCAATTGATATTTTGAGGATCTGGAAACTTTTTTTAATTTGAAAAATGTATAGCTATATCCTTGGTCATCCCTTATGCCTCAAAATGGTAAACATTCATGGGTTCCCTGGTAAGTCTCTAGTAGTCTGCATTTTATTTTCTCTGATAATCATAACCATGGACTTGGTAAGTGTCAGGTGCTATGCAAAGCTTTTTACCTCTATTATTGAAAGACACATTTTATTTTCTTAGTTGTATGTTGAGAAATTTGAGATTCAGGAAGTCTAGGGAGCTTGTCAAAAGTCACAATTAGTACTAAAGCTGGGATTCAGTTATGCCTGACCAAAAGTGTTCTGTCCTTTTTAATATACAACTACCTTATAAAAAAAAAAAACACACAGATCAGTCTCACCAAAACTACCAAATGCTATAGCAGAGACATTCTCAAATTCGAATTCTGTTCATAGGAGAAACTTATGAAGGTAATTTTAAAATGATTAAAATCATTACATAAATATTTTGAGGATTTCTGAAGACGCCCTTTATCTGTTTCAAACTGAATATATTGTGGAACTGGAAGGTTACTTCCCTTGGTTGGAAGTTTAAAGTCCTGATGAGTTTGAATGACTTTTGTGGAGAAAGACAGATCCTCTGGCCTAAACAAATCAGCCTATCTATAAACTGGCTCTTATATTAATATGGGAGTTTGAATACTTGGAAAATAAAACATTGACACTCGGAAGAATTTATATGTTTCCACAATGTAACTTCCAAACTTGCAGGAGAAAACTCCCATCCTCTCATTCCACCTGAAGCTGAGGCAGAATTATATTTCCCACAGGAAAAAATAATAATAATAACATGTAGCAGTAAATGAAATATATCCTGGGTCTATAAGCTGCACCCTCTGGCTGATTGAGTAAATAAAAGTGTGAAAAACTCATGTAGAAAAGAACATTTTTGCCAAGCTATTCTTTTTATCCATGACGATGTTTTATTTAGTTTCATTGAATTAATTATTTTAGAATTCACTCCTACTCTCTGCAAAATTTAAGTCCATTATTTCTGCCAGCATAAAATATTGGGGTAAAATCTGTTTGAAGTCAATCTTTTCTTGATAATATATTTAAAAATAACTAAGGAGTCAATATTTCTTTTACTAACAATTTAATATGCTCATATGAAACATATTTTCTCACAGCTTATTTTTTGCCCTACATATTGAAAATTTCGTAAGATAAATATGTTTTCCCTAACATAGTTCCTCTCTTTGTTGCTATCAGGTGAATGCAAACATAATTTACTTGGGAAAAGATATCTAGATTGGTTTTTTCCAAAGATGTTCTCATTTTTTAAATTTGTTTTTTTAAAATGGATGTGGGGGTACAAGTGTTATTGTGTTATATGGATATATTGCATAGTAGAGAAGTGCGAGCTTTTAGTGTACCCATCACCCAAATAGTGTACATTGTACCCGATAAGTAGTATTTTATGCCTTACCCGCTCCACTGTCCTACCTCTGGAGCTTCCACTGTTTTTTATGTATACCCATTGTTTAGCTTTCAGGTATAAATATTATACCTAGTAACATTTTATACCAAACTTGTATCCTTTCTATAAATGTGTTTCTAGTAAAGTAAAATACAAACCCAAGAAGTTCATCATTGTAGTAAAAGTTTCATATTGAACTGAAATAATGCATACATGTAGTTGAAGCAGATATTTTTGTAGAAATAAAACAAAAGAACACATCTTTACCAAGTTTAAATAAGAAGATAAATGAGTCATTTTTGTTTGATACTGAAATATTCACCCTTTGTAGGCAATGGCAACAGAGAACTCCCAGGTAGGACCAACGAGGGGAGAAGAAAGACTTCATTTAGCCCCAGGAGCTACCTCTTTTACTTTTTAAGACTGGAACTATGCAGGAGGACAAGAACAAATCTAAACAGGATGCAGGCAGCAATTACTATAGCAATATTTTTCAACATTTTCTATTTTTTCATCTCCCTTATGCCTATGTGCATATCTAAATTTATGAACTTTTCTTCTTTTGGTACTATTTCTATAGTGCATTCAACAGAGTAGACTCATGTTTTAAAATTTATTTCTGGAAACTTAAAATACAAGAGCAACTCAACAGTGATAGAGTAAACAACTAAACAACTAAAATGGTGATATCTAATACTGATAACTGTTTATAGGAAATTACAGTTATAGCATCTGAACATTTATATGTTCATTTTATATTCACAATTACACCATAGATGAAGTCAAGGGTGTAATAGAGTTAAAGGAAAAGAAGGGCAATTAAGACCTACTTAATATTTGTTGTAAACGAGGACTTGTACCTGGTAATTTAGACACCTTTTAAATTTAATCCTGATTAAATCCATTGAATTTGATATAATTTTCTTCACTTTGGAGAGGAGTAAACCGAGGTTCTAAGAATAAGCTACTAAACTTCACAAAGTAATTCAGGAAGATACCTTTTTTCCCATCCTAAAAGGCAAGGCATTTTAATTTCTTATAATTTATATTTGGAGGACATCATTTCTGGGAATTGCCATTAGATTACACAATTCCCAGACTATCTACCTTACAAAAACATATAAAGAGATAAATCTTAAGCATGTTTAAGCACTGTGCCAAACTAATTAGTGGGGGAGGGTTTAGTACAGATCTAATAATGGAAACATAGAAAGATCCAGACAAAAAAAGTATTCTCTTGTCATATTTTGGCAATATCATTTAGAAGAATATAAAATATTTTTAATTGCAACTTCTGAAATAAAGTTTTGGGAGTCCTCAACTAGTCTTTCAATTATTCAATAGATAGAGATCAAGTACATGTCTTTAACACCTTAAACCAACAAGACAAATGTTTATCCTTTGCTGCCATAATTATATGGTCTCAAACCTCAATTTTTTTTTTTAACATAAATCAATAACATATTGGTTACGATCATTATCAAATAAACTATTATGTACTACTCATAATTGTAAGTGCTGTATTTTTATGTGTCTGGCAGCATAGTAGGTTTTGCTTACATCAGTCTCACCACAGAAGTAAAGTATTGTGCTAAGATGTTTACAATGGGTAGGAGTCAATTTGTTTTTAAGAAAATAATTTATTTAATATTTTCTTCTCAACTGATTTCATTCCTGTATCTGAAAGTAGGCAGATTAAACCTATATGTGTCTATAAAAGTAACAGTAATATCCAATTGTATGATAAACACCAACACTCTGTGTGGATAATTGTAATCAAATGACGTATAATTCAGGCTTTAACATCAGCCTACTTGAGTTTGAATTCCTGTTTCAATAATTTCTGATTAGGTTTAGTAACCTCTCTCTGTCCACGTGTCTTCCTCTTTAAACTTGGGCTATTAATTACACCAGCCTCATCAAATGTTATGAAACTTATCAGAAGTAATACTGTGATATAAATTAAATTAGAATGTTTATTGGCTTACAATAAACATTCAATAAATATTGACTACTATTAATTTTAGTAGTATTATTACTTAATCACTTTTTTTTTTTTTTGAGATGGAGTCTCGCTCTGTGGCCCAGACTGGAGTGCAGTGGTGCAATCTCAGCTCACTGCAAATTCTGCCTCCTGGGTTCAAGTGATTCTCCTGTCTCAGCCTCCTGAAGCTACTCAGCTGGGACTACAGGCGGGTGCCACTACCCCAGCTAATTTCATAATTTTAGTAGAGACAGGGGTTTCACAATGTTGGCCAGGCTGGTCTTGAACTCTTGACCTCAGGTGATCCACCTGCCTGGGCCTCCCAAAGTGCTTGGATTACAGGCATGAGCCACTGCTCCTGGCCCATATTTTTAAATAAAATGTATTGATATTCTGAGACACACAGAAGCCCAGAAACCCATGTAGCTGTATTCTAACATCCTAATTCAGCATTTGGATCTTACCAGCCCACCCCTGAGCTTTCCTTAAATACTTCCACTAACATGATCCTCAGCATCTCCAAAATTGGTCCAATATATTTTCAGTGTTTAAGTTTTGTATTTTTTTTTTTCCTAGACAGAGTCTTGCTCTGTCACCTAGGCTGGAGTGTAGTGGCCCCATCTCGGCTCACTGCAAACTTTATCTCCCGGGTTTAAGGGATTATCCTGCTTCAGCCTCCTGAGTAACTGGGATTGCAGGCACATGCCACCATGCCTGGCTAATTTTTGTGTTTTTAGTAGAGACAGGGTTTTGACATGTTGGCCAGGCGGCCTTTAACTCCTGACCTCAGGTGATGAACCCACCTCAGCCTTCCAAAGTGCTGGGATTACAGGTGTGAGCCACCGCACCCAGCGAACGTTTAGGTTCTAAGAGGCTTGTCACTCATCTTCAGCCCCAAACTGCTTTCTTGTAATATGGCTGAGTTTTGCCCCTTGAGAGTACATGGAATATATCTAATTCCACTTATGAAAGAAAATATTTCAGCTAGTTGAAAGCAGACGGCAAGTTATTCACTAGATTCCATTACTTTAAGCTGAACATCTTTTGTTCTTTTGTTTTCCTACCAATTGACAAGTTTGACTCCCTTAATTGCTCTTCTTCATTATACTGGAAGATTTTGTATCATTATATTAAAAGAGTGAGCAAAGTATAGAGTGGCTCTCAACCCTATCTGCACATTAGAATATTTGAAGAGCTTTAACAATACCAATGGAAGGGTTCCATATCCAGAGATTCTGATTTAATTAATTGGTTTGGGATGCAGCCAGGTTGAAAAAACACCTTGATGTAGAAGAAAAAACATGGAATTTATAGTTAGAAACATCTCTTGCTTATGTGATTTTGAGCAATTACTCTGTTTCATATTCCTTTGTTCATTTAATCAGGAAATATTATTAAATGTTTACCAGGGGTCAGACCTTTTGCTTAGCAGAGGCAATACACAGAAATAAGACATACTTGCTGCTTTCTAGTGTCAAGATAGTAATGATCAAATAATGACAAGAATGGAAGTGTATTATACATTTAGATGAGTGCTAGAAAAAGGATCATGGTTCTTTGAAATTCAACAAAAACAAATCTGGCATAGTTTATATTATAGAGGGGAAAGCATTTGTCTTAAGCCCAGAAACCAAATGGAATTTTGACAACAACAACAAAAAAGCTTTTACGATTGATTGAATCACAGATTTTTACAAGAGGTAAAAGACACTTTCTTATCCTCTTCATAGAAAATAACTACTTTTTACTACTTTAAAGATTTGAAATGTGTGGCAGTGAAAGGTCTTAGGGACAAAGATTTGAAATAAAAGCACTTGAGGTGAAGAGTGATGGAGTTGGCAGCTTTCTTCCTCTCCCCAAGGAAACTTCCAAATGCAAACCCCAGAGCAGGAAACTTGCCAGGCATGGAGCTAGAGCAGCACCTGGGACATCACCTTATTTGCTGGCCCAGGGGACAATGAGATGGAGGTAATACTTCTTGTGGGGAAAAAGAAAAAGTTCTCCAGGCTAAGGATATTTTTCATAAAATCCAATAGTATGGGACGTTGATTAGTGGCTATTTTGGCCTAACTTTGGGAGAATAAGATTTTTAAAGTCATAAAGAGTCCAAACAAATGTCTCACCAACTTCAAAGTGTATAAATATCTGTATCCATCTTGTTAAGAAGATTGTAATTTAGTAGTTAAAGGGTGGGGCTGGAGATTGTGCACTTCTAACACATTATCAGGTGATGCCAATGTTGCTCCTCAGCGGACCATAGTTGGAATAGCAAGGATCTAGTCACTGAATACTCGATCTCATTTTGGCCATCACAAAGTATGTGTTTGATACAATTATTCTAAGTGTCAACTACAAGAATAAGCTAGTTTCTGCCTGGATTTAATTTGAATGCCTTTCCTGCAAATCTTTGAAGTATTAACATGTGAATCTGAATTCCCTCAGCTAGAAATGCCTGCACATTCCTCCTATATGCTCTTTTCACCTTAATCATTTCATTTATTGGTTCAACGGCAATACAATATTCTAGGGATACCAACTGCTTTCAGATTTCTTGACACTTTTTCTGCCCACCATCTTGCTGCATGTCTTGATCATTGACTGAATATACTTACCCTACCAGTGATCACCAGTTATTCAATGCACTCTGAAAACTGCATTGATTAAAGTGTCTAAACAATCAAATTACTTAGCCAAAAATCAATATGACATTTTTAATATTCCACAGAAGACTGCTTACTCCTCACCTCTGGAGGGAAAGGCAATTAAAGGAACTATATTTCTGTCTCTGAAATTTGTGCCATATGCAGAGCAATGCATACATTAGAATAATATTTTTAATCTGAGTGCTCATATAGTCGCTATTCTTTCTTTCTTAGAAGTACAGTAGCTTACTCGAATTGCAGAAGTAGTCCTTTTGGGCTAGAAGTGCTCTTTACTTTAATTGGCATGGATGCAATTACATAATATTAGGACCAGAACTACCACAGAAAGTTTGTAGCTGGATCCATAGTTTGTAATTCTGATATGAAGGCAATAGAAAAAAGAATTTCTATGACCCCACCAGTGTATTAATAACAGAACAGCTGTAACCATCAATTCCTAGACATAGTCTTCTGGTGACTAGAAATCCTGGTACCAGGGTTCTGGTTATAGGTTTGTACAAAACCATAGGACTTTGGGGGTCTTGTTTTTTTCTCACCTGCGATTTAAACTACAATTTCTCTAGCACACAATTTAGGTTAATATACCCTGAATCCAAGAAAAATTAATATTAAAATATGCATATAGCATTTTTTGCTAACTCAATTTTACTTTCGAACACAAATCATTCAACCCAAATAAATAATATTCATGAGTAACGAAATGCTAACATGGGTTACTAGGATGAATAAATTGTTATTTGCATGTCACTGAATTAGTTTTCAATTTATAATCAGTGGTTCAATTGAAAATGACACTCAATTTTAATATTAACATAAATAATATCAGCGCTTACCAGAGACAATGAGTAGTAAATTTCACATGATAAGCTAAAAATAGAATGAAGTATTTCAGTTCAGATTAATAAGGTGCAGAAGCTCTATTTCTATATACCTTAAATAATTAAAACATGTTCTATAAAAATTGTGAGCTATATGATAGCTATAATAATCTTTATGATACAACAGCTCTAGGTTTCTCTTGCCTTTTTAGTGCACTATTGTTAGCTCTACATTTATACAGAATTGTATATGTGTGTGTGTTTGTGTGTGTGTGTGTGTGTGTGTATGTGTTTGAAGCATAGTTTAAGAAGGCACCTACTTTTGTTGTTTGCAAATTCTATTTTGTATTAAATAAACACAATGAAAAATTTTCCAAGATACCAATAATATATTTTACCCCAAATAAAACATTTAGGCAACAGAGACACAGAGAATATGTTTTTCCCTGGATTTGTGTGTGTGTGTGTGTGTGTGTGTGTGAGGTGTAGAAGCTTAAGAAAATGAGTACCATCGAGTATAAGTCCCCAGGCCTGTAAACTGCACAAACGAGAAGAATAGATATTTCTTTTTTTCCCTTGGATTGCTTCTTCAGCCTACACTAGGGAAGAATTGGTCTTCTTGGAGCCATAAAAACAGTATGGTGCCTAGTTATCATCCCAGAAGGGAGTCAGGGATTATTAACCAAGGAGCATATCTGAACAATTTTTAACATCCCCAAGTTTGTAATTCCTTATATATCTGTCTGTTTCCCCATAAAGAAAAATCCTGAGTGTTTGGTTCCATGGCCATCAAGGGAGGGACGAGAAACACTGTCTCTATATACAGCTAAACATGAAGAATAACTCACAAGGGATATGAGGGCGGTGAGAACAACAAAGTGAAGAGGAAAGGCAGCTGGAATTTTAGGGCTTGCAGGAAAAGAGCTGACTGTGTGGCTTCATAAAATTTACACACCATATTTTATTCAAAACTGAGTAACTGAAATTAATTCAGAGTTGTTTCAGGAAGCGAAGAGGCTTTGAGTCTGGGATTACTGCTTACCTGTCCAGATTCACTAGAGAATTTCCACCCACCACTTAACCTTGCATCAACAGAGCATTCTTAAAAAGCAGCTATGTCCTATCTAATCAGTCTGGCATTAACAGTTCAACTTGATCAGTTGTAGAATGGTGATAAAAGTGTTCTACTAGGAAAGGGGTGAAGGAAATCCCACCACTGTCTGATGGCATCATCTGTTAGATAAAAGCCCCAGTTTGAAAAGAAACCTAGTAGTCTGCCTTTGCACATCTACAAAGTAGAGACAATTTACAAAACCTTACAACTTGCAGAGATGAAAGGTATGTCAATGCTCAGAATACTTTGTTGTTATCATTGCTTTATTGTTGTTTCTGTGTTGTTGTGACACTAAGAATTATGATCATCAAGGGAGCTGACCTAATCAGGAGGAGAGACCTCAGCTTGCTAGAGTGAAGTAGATACCAGCTGTCAAAGCCTGAGTGGTGGAGAAACGCACATCGTTTATATGGAGGCTGCCTGCTGTTTGATAATTGTACGGTTCTTTCCAGTTTAGTCACCATTCTGCTCTCATTCCCTAGTTAGCCCCCCTTTTCAAAACACAATCAAAGGACGTTATTTATCAAAACACTTGAAGATTCCGGATGAAGGCTGTGTGGTGTGTTTTGCATACTGATTCAAAAGAGATTGCCATGTTAATCAACAAAGGATTTTCAATAAGTATGATCCCCATGGGATTCCAAGTGAAAAAGAAGTCATACTCCATAGATTGTATTTTTTTCCCAGAGTTTTCCGTTTTGACAATTAGATTGCTGTCTTTAGTCTTTTTGTGTGTGCAGGTCTGTTTGTGCCTGTAAATTGACTCAGTTTCTTACCTTCTTATTCTTATACCACAGTTGGCAAAGTAGTTATAAAATAATAGAATTATTATTAAGAGCAAGTAACAAAGGATGAAAAAATTGCCTAAAACACTGTCACACAGTAGAAACCACAGCTAATCTTTATAACTTTGTACTTTTTGTTTAGATATTTTACTATAATTTTTCATGCATATTTTGAAGGTAAGTAACATGACGTATGCATGATTTTGTTTTTGTATTATTTCAGTTTAGCATGAGCTAAACATTTATTAGACAAAATAACATAAATCTAAGTTATAAAGAAACTGATAATTATGATTATATTAAAATATAAATGCTACATATATCACACCAATAAAAATAAACACACATTATTGTCTAAAATATTTAAAACACATGTAAACAACAAATGATTACTATATAGAAGAGTCCACAAAATCGAGAGCAAGACAACGCAATGGAAAAACAAGCAAATGACATTCAGATAAGAGTAAATTTGAATAGTCAGTAAAGATAATTCAAAATGCTAAAATTAGACTAGAATAAAAATATTTAAAAGCACACAATGAAAATCATTTCACACAATAATATTTACAAAAATATTAAACTCTGAAAATGCCATGTATTGGTTTTTGGTGAAGATGTGGTGTGAAGTCTTAAATATAGCTGTTAGAAGTGAAAATTATACTACCACATTAAAAAATAATTTGTTAATATATAGGAAAGTAAAATAAGTAGATATTCTAAGACTCAGCATTTCATTCCTATTGTATATACACTATAGGAAATTTGAGGCATGAGAAGAGACAAAATATCACATGTACCCCATAAATATTTATTATGTATCAACAAATACAAATTTAAAAAATTATATAGAATATTTATAATAGCAGTGTCTTCATAGCAACAAATTAAAATTAACGTAAATGTTTAACATGAAAAACAATTATTAAATTATAACATTGAGAGAAAAAGTGAATTACCAAAGAATACATGCAGTGTAGTGAGATTTAAAGATTTAAAATATGCCCATTGATATATGAACTGCTTGAATCTATCTTTCTACCTATATCTATACATCTGTATATATAGATACATATCTACACACATATATGTCATTAATATGTGTTTATATATAGACATACATGTCAACTATCATTCTTATGAATATATGTTAATATCTATAGTATATATAGATACATAAATCTATATCTGTAGTATATATAGCTATATAATTATATATGGTATATATAGATATATGGATGTATAAATATATAGTATATATACATATATAAATCTATATATAGATATATAAACCTATATATATAGATTTATAAATCTATATATAGATATATAAATATAGAATTCTATAGAATGCCTGAAGCTCCTCCACACCAGCCCCTCCCATTCATTGCTCACTGAAATCTGTAGATATCTGAGACGTGTTCTGTGAGGAGGTGTCAGAAGCAGAAGCATTGAGAGAGATGGCAATTTTATTCTCTTCCTTTGGGCATACATTGAAAAAGAGCAGATGAGGGAAACATTCCTTTCTATTTTGCGAAGACTAGGGGACAGTGAGAAAAATAAACTCAGGGTCAGAGGTTGCAAGAATATTTCTCCTTGTCTTTTGTTTCAACTGCATATACTAAAAATCATCCGATTATACCACCACTGTTGTGACACACAATTTACTTAAATGTTTACTAAGTTGCTTATTATAATTTCTTTATTTGGCTTTCATGTGTGTACTGCCAGTCAGATATCTTTACTTTCATATAAACGTGATGCTGTATGAGTCTTTTGCTGCAATGTATAATGTCAATTGAGTGTTCAGGAAAATTAAAGCATTTTTGAGATTTGCATAAGAAGGGAATGCATGTGCTTGCATACAAATGCTCTTTTTTTTTCTTTTAGGAAACATTTTCTAAATAGCAAAAATGTGTTTTGCTGATTTATTCTAGAAATTAGAATTAATTCTTTACAACCACTGGCATGATCTTTCATTTATACCATTATTAAAGATTTTTAATGCTGAAAATGATTTCATTTTTTCCAATTAAAGAATGGAGTTAAATAAAAAAAGCTACATCTCATATTTAACATTTATGACTATTCAAGCAAATGAATTATTAGCAATATTTTAATTGCATGCATAGTATATACAAAAAAAGTTTCTAGACATTACTTAAATGCTTTCCATCTTTTTTGTGATTCTGCCAAAATGACCATTGTCTGGTTGAAGATCTTAATGTTGAATATGGAACTACAGTATTTAAGCGAGCATATATGCTAGATTTAGGGACAGGCTTGAAATTTGTATCATCAGACTCTGATAGTACCAAAAATCATTGAAAGAAGCTAGTAGTTTTCAAGGAGATCCTTTCCTAAGAGATTGTTTGGCTGCTTTCCTAATAAGACCAAAGTGATTTCTAGAACTCACGACATAGGGCAGGACCAAAACTTTTTTCCGCTTGCATGCATCCTGTTAGTTTGCTATTGGCCCCTGATACACTCCAATGAAGAATTTTGCATGCCTGGGTCACAATGCTGTGATGGATATGAAACATTTGTCATGACCACTGCAATAAGAGTTGAGACATTTATGATACATATTTGTTATGTCTCAATAAAGCATCCACTGACTCATCAAAGAGATTTTTTTAGGTGATAATCCTTTTCACAACATGAAGGCACAGGCTTACCCGCTAGAATCTAGTCATAGGATAAAAAGTCCGAATCTATCAGTGCCTGGAGGAATTAGCAGCTCACTCAAATATTCATTCTGCTTATCAGCTGTAACCCTAAGTAGTGAATATGGATAATAAGCACTGTCATAATTGTGACACCTCTGTTAGGGTTTTTCTTTGCTATTTTTTAAAGAATCTATCAAGCAAAGTATGACTTCCCTTTGGGAAGTGCATGTCCTTAAATGCCAGTTCAACTATTCTGCTTTGTAAGAGTAGGCATACATCCTGATTAATGATTGACATTGATTTAGGAATTTGTGATTTTGGTTAGTAAGTGTCAGCTTACCAACGTGGACCACCTCAGAAGTTTCAATGGATACTGGGCATAAATCTATTTCTGTGATACTTTCATTAGGGTCATATATTAAATCTTAGTGTTCTTTTTCCTCCTTTTGCCTTCTCCTAACTACAGCAGATTAATTATTTTTTCAAGACAACAGATTACTTCATCAAGGTAATCAACATAATCACACACAAAATAAGCAGGGCTGAATGCTTCCTATTGATCAAATTCAGTTAATAAGCCGTAAGTGATTATACAAATTTAAATCGATCAGAAAACTTTCGATGTGTTATGATACCAAATAAACAAAATGAATAGACTGTGATATATCAAAATAAGTTATTTCTGTAAAAGTATCTGTCACCATTTCATGTAACAGAGGACTCCTAAATGCACTACCTGTCTTTAACTCATTATATATTTCTCATGAGTGTTTGGTCATGCATGTGTTTATCTGAACTTTTGTTCTTTTGTTTGGAATATTGATATTCACAAGTATCAATTTTTACCCTTAGAGACTTATAATAATTCTGTTAAGGACTCTTCTTTGTCTACCCTAACCCCCTGGAGGCATTTGAGAAGCAAAATTCTGTGACTAGAAGCTGCTATGCTTTAATTTGCACCAACACATTGTATCAAAGATCATGAAAGCAATGTTTTCATTCAATTAAACTTGCTAGAAGCTAATGAAAACTGCCCAGAGAATTTCTCTCTGTAAATTAAAGATACACAACAAAGATTGTCACCCGACATGTTTTCAATTGACTTTGTATGGCATTAATAATTTTGGTTAGCAATAGCTGTAAGGAGTTTGCATCTGTGAAGATCAAACCACAGAGGACATAGAGATTAGGCAGAATTTGGCTAAGTTGCTACCAAAGTTTTAGTGTTTAATCCAATAATCTTCAAACTCATTAGGTCTGCAATTGAGTTGCAGATCTCTGGAGCTCATTCTTTATTAAGAGATGGCTGAAACTTCCCTTTTCCAGTTGGGTGGAAGCCCTGAGAGGACTCCATATTCTTCCCCGGGAGGATGTTAGCACATCTGCCAGTAGCATAAGCCAGAACCAAGAAGTACATCTGAGTGTGAAAGAATGTATTATTAAAAATATTAGTTTTGGACTGATGATCTTGGACATTTTAATCTGCCTGTATGCTAACTTCAACCATCTCTCATTTACAAGAACTATTTAGGAAAAATATTGAATCCACCTGGCTGAGGCTCCTTTTGTACACAAATGCCAAAGGTTTTCCAGTATCTGACATTTTCCATTTATCCCATTGTTCCCCATCAATGAGCACATCTTTCAGCACTGGTACATATATTGGGACAGACAGCCACTAGAAAGAGGTGTTTTTTTTTTTTTTTTTTTTTGCTTCACATATTTTGGCCTTCAGAGGATTAAGACTAACAAAGAGGTTCAAAGAAATACTAGCTTCTTATATCTTGGCTTCAGAGGGTTAAGACAGGCAGAGAGGTCCAGCAAATACTAGATTGGGAGGACAGAGTCCCTGAAGCAGCCAGGCTTAGAGCCATGGAGCCCAAGCCCGAGGCAGGTCGGATGCCAGGATTTCAAAGGTCATGTAAAGATCAGCCAAGAACAAATTCCAATTGAAGCCAGTTCAGGTGTCAGCAGATTTTTCACGGAGAGAACTGGGAATGCTTTGTTCCAGTACTTGTCCGTGTCAGACTTATTCACATGAAAGGCCAAAAAATACACTATCGCTCATGTACTAGAAGAAATATAAAAGCATTTTTTAAAGCCTTATTTTATAATAGTGGGGAAAAAGATAAGACTCTATATAATTTCCCAAAAAGAAAAAAACTGAAACATTTACCTTGAAGATAAAAATAACTTATAATAAAATAGTTATACACTGTTCCATTTACATAGTATCTTATCTATGAACATGTGTTCTGGCTGATGATGTTAATATAATTTCAGAATTTTTTTTCTAATTTGGGAATTTGGATTATTTAAATCAATATTCATTTTAAAGAAATTCTGCTTCAATGAAGAAAAGTTTATAGCCTATAGAATTTTCTGTAATTGTTTTAATCTACATTTCCCAAACCTCCATATCCTAGATACATGGATATCTTAAACTGTAAAAGCTACCAGTGGGCCTAAATAATGGCATACACAAAGTGTAGGGAGAAAAATACACTAAAATAAGAAAGAAAGAAAAAAAAGACAAACAACAAAACAAAACAGTGAAGTAAACTGGGATGAGAAAAGTATAGAGATAACCCAATTAGTATGTGACCTTGTGCAAAGATAGCATAAACTATCTCAGTTTCTCCAGTTATTTCAAGGAAAACTTCCATAGTTTTAAATGGTTTAGATTTGTTTGTCAATATTGCTGTTTTCATAGGGAGGAACTGGGGAAAAAAAAAAAAAAAAGAAGGTCTGCTTCTTTACCCCTAATTTTATTTTCCTAAAATTTCCTATTTCAAACATTGGCCACTGGCATAATGTCATTACAATGAATAGTACAGGGCTAATATTGTCTGTGTTTCAGTAGATGTTAACATACATGGGAATTTCTTAGACGTGATTAAGCTTGCCCTTTAGTGAAACAGGTTACATATCATGTATCTTGGAATCTTTAAATTTTCTTTATATTCAGTGATCTCAGACCTTATTTAGTACAGCTCTGTTGCAACACTTCGATAATATTTTTTATTAGTGAAGACCAATAGCAACTTAATTATATAATTAAAAATCTGACAAGTACAAATAATAATTAATGGCAAAAAAATGAACTCATTTGCCAAAGGCGTAAACAGACAGAGACGTGTGCCTTAGGACAAGAAAACAAAAGCCATTAATGAATATTCTATACAAAACAAATTATAATTTGCACAAGGTATGCAGAGAACTCTTATTCTTTATCTCCTGACAGCAGAGTGGAGCAGAAAGAGTTCTGCTAGGCTGGAGTTCTGCCACTGCCTGGCTCAACCCTGGTCTTGTTGCATCCGTTCCCAATAAACAGTTTCTTTATCACGATCATGGGGATTGTGAATCTAATTCATATTTTTGGGCTGTCCTCTGTGGAAAGAGGTAAATGCCAGGAGGCTCTTATCAAACCTTGAAAATATATATATATTTTTAAACATTTAGTCTCTACAAGACATTCATGATTAACCTGATATTTTATGTAAAATCTTGAATTTAATGTATATGAGCCTTTTTTTAATATAACAGGCAGATTGCTTTCATTTGATTTCAAAGTAGTTAATACCCTCAAAATATCAAGAGCCATCACCCTACAGAAGATAAAAAGAGGTGTGTGAGAGGAAAGTGGAATTTGCATTTAGAATAATTCTGTTGTAGGCATTTTATGTGTATCACTCCTACAAACCATGACAATAATTATATAAAGTAGATATTTGTTATCGTGCTACAAGTGATAAAACGGAAGCTTCTGGGACAGTTCAATACATAGCAAAATGTCCCACACCTAGGAAGCTGCAGATACAGTTTCAGTCCAAGTCAAAGCCAAATTACATTGTTTTTCTAGGAGCATGATATACTGAAAAGCCAAAAACAATTCCCAAACATTTGTAGTAATGACAACAGGGAACATCCTTTTCGGCAACCTTAGTTAAAGATCTTTAAACAAACGTTAAATTTCCAACAGCAGGTCTTTGGGATCTGGCCTTTATTATTCAAACACAATTAACTCTTAAGTCCTAATTACCAGAACAAAGCCAGCTGGAGGAGAGAAGAGATTTAACTTATTCAAAATCAATAAATATGTAGGAGTAAGCAATTCACTCCTGGTTCATCTCTCTTTCTCTCTCCCCCTCTCTCTCTCTCTCTTTCTTCTTTCTCCTTCTCTCCCATGTTTTTTTTGCAAAGTTACATAAATGAATATGTAAGAGGTTTACCATAGAAGCATTTGTGCAAACAGCAACAATAGTAAGATAAGTGGTCATATTTTCAATATTGAAAGCAGTTAAACAAACTAGATAGAAACACAACAACACGGAGAGATTTTAAAAGCATAACACCGAGTAAATTATGTAAAACAAAAGTGTGTATGTAAATTAAGCTATACATCCTCAAAGCCTCACTATATACTTACAAGAATGCATCCTAATTCAAGGACTCATATCCACATACCTCAGCCATTGTCTGTAGGGATATAGAAAGGAGTGAAAGATGTGGATAAAGGAAAATAAATGAATAAAACATGAAAGAGGCCCCACACAGACCCATATTGTTGGGATCCTATATGTTAAAAGAAAAAACATCAGCCAAATTAAATTTAAAGGAGTTTAGTTAAACAATGAATGATTCACAAATTGGGCAGCCCCCAGAATCACAGCAGATTCACAGAGACTGTGAATCTGCTGAATCAGACAACCACGTGGTAGAAGAAAATTTATGGACAGTAAAAGGAAAATGATGTACAGAAAAAGGAAGTGAGGTACAAAAACAACTTGATTGGTTCCAACTCAGCATTTGTGGTATATGAACAGGCTTCAAACAGTAGGCTACATTTGATTGGCCAAAACTCAGTGATTGACACAGGTGTGGGCTATGGTCGGTTTACCCCTCTACTTGTTATAGTTCACGATGTACAGAAACATCCTTTAGGCCAAACTTAAATATGTAGGAGGCAGCTTTAGGCTAAACTTGATTTAATAATTCCCAGCTTTTGGTCATTTTCTCAATTTTGAGAGATTGACCAAAACTTTAGTTATTGATGTCAGTATCACTATTGGTCTTGAAGCCCACTGGGAAACAGTCGACCAGTGGGTTTTGCAAAGGTAGGAATGAGGACTGAGTAGGGGGTACCTCCTTATGCGGGAACGTCCTACTTGCAGGAGAAAAACAAAACCTGGTTTGTTCTAGGATTTATATGTTTCCTGAAAATCTTAGTTTGATGACATCATATTTAGCAAAAGTGACTCCATTTTTGTTTGGTTTGGTCTGTTGGGGCCTAATGCATGAGCTCAGTCCAAAATGATGGCCTCCATAATTTTGTTTAAAAATTCCGCCTTTTAAATTTAAGTGAAAGTGTGTGAACAAAACTTTGGGCCTTAGCTCCACTCTCAGTTACCATCATTTTGGGTTTCCATCTTAGCATATCATTCATAGTTTATGGAGTCCCCATGGTTGCACATTTTTCTCAGCTCTCGTCATTCCAGTAGAAGAGAGACCATTTGACATTCTAGAGAAGGCTGCATTCAAACATTTAAAACATTTGAGAGAAGACAGCACACCAGGGAAATGATTATTATGTCTATTGGGAGCATAATACCAAGAGTTTGGAGTATGCTCCTTACCCAGGGTCCCTGATATGGTTTGGCTGTGTCCCCAAGAAATCTCATCTTGAATTGTACCTCCATAATTCCCATGTGTTGTGGGAGGGACCTGGTGGGAGATAATTGAATCATGGGGGCAGTTTCCTCTATACTATTCTTATAGTAGTGAATAAATCTCACTGGATCTGATGGTTTTATAAGGGGTTTCTCTTTTCTCTTGGCTCTCATTCTGTCTTTCCTGTTGTCATGTAAGATGTGCCTTTCACCTTCCACCATGATTGTGAGGCCTCCTTAGCCATGAAGAACTGTGAGTCATTAAACCTCTTTTTCTTTATAAATGGCCCAGTCTTGGGCATGTTATTATCAGCAGTGTGAAAATGGACTAATGCAGTAAATTGGTACAGAGAATAGGGTGCTGCTGAAAAGATACCAAAAATGTAGAAGGGACTTTGGTACTGGGTAACAGACAGAGGTTGAAACAGTTTGGGCGCCTAAGAAGAAGACAGAAAAATATGGGAACATTTGGAACTTTCTAGAGACTTGTTGAATGATTTGGACGAAAATGCTGATATTGATATGGACAATGAAATCCAGGTTGGGATGGTCTCAGGTGGAGATGAGGAACTTGTTTGGGAACTGGAATAAAGGTGACTCTTGCTATGTTTTAGCAAAGAGACTGGCAGCATTTTGCCCCTGCCCTAGGGATCTGTGGAACTTTGAACTTGAGGGAGATGATTTAGGGTATCTGGTGGAAAAAATTTCTAAGCAGCAAAGCATTCAAGCAGTGACTTGGATGCTGTTAAAGACATTCAGTTTTAAAAGGAAAACAGAGCATTAGAAGTTTACAAAATTTGCAACCTGACAATGCAATAGAAAAGAAAAACCCATTTTCTGATGAAAAATTCAAGCTGGCTACAGAAATTTACATAAGTAATGAGGAGCCAAATGTTAATCACGAAGACAATGGGGAAAATGTCTTCAGGACATGTCAGAGACCTCCGCAGCAGCCCCTCCAATCACAGGCCTGGAGGCCTAAGAGGAAAATATAGTTTTGAGTGCCAGGCCCAGGCTCCATCTGCTGTATGCAGCCTGGGGACTTGGTGCCCTGTGTCCCAGCTGCTCTAGCCATGGCTAAGAGGGGCCAAGGTACAGTTCAGGCCATGGCTTCAGAGGATGCAAGCCCAAAGCCTTGACAGCTTCCATGTGATATTGAGCACACAGGTGCACAGAAGTCAAGAATTGAGGTTTGGGGACCTTTGCCTAGATTTCAGAGGATATATGGAAATGCCTAGATGTCCAGAAAGAAGTTTGTTGCAGGAGTAGGTCTCTGAGGCAGAACCTCTTCTAGTGCAGTGCAGAAGGGAAATGTGGGGTTGAAGCCCCCACACGGAGTCCCCACTTGGGCACTGCCTAGCAGAGCTATGAGAAGTGGGCCACCATCTTCCAGGCCCCAGAAAGGCAGATCGACTGAAAGCTTGTACCAGGTGCCTGGAAAAGCCACAGACACTCAATACCAGCCTGTGAAAGCAGTTGGGGGAGAGGCTGTGCCCTGTAAAGCCATAGGGGCAGAGCTGCCCAAGGCAATGGGAACCCACCCCTTGCATTAGTGAGACCTGGATGTGACACATGGAGTCAAAGGAGATAATTTTGGAGCTTTAAGATTTGACTGCCCTGCTGGATGTTAAACATGCATGGGGCCTTTAGCCTCTTTGTTGTGGCCAATTTCTCCCATTTGGAATGAGTGTATTTATCCAATGCCTGTACCCCATTGTGTCTAGGAAGTAACTAACTTGCTTTTGATTTTACAGGCTTATAGGCAAAAGGGACTTGCCTTGCCTTAGATGGGACTTTGGACTGTGGACTTCCAAGTTAATGCTGAAATGAGTTAAGACTTTGGGGAATTGTTGGAAGGCATAACTGGATTTAAATGTGAGGACATGAGATTTTAGAGGGGTCAGGGGTGGCGTGATATGGTTTGGCTGTGTCCCCACCCAAATCTCACTTTTAATTGTAGCTCCCATAATTCCCACATGTTGTGGGAGGAACCCAGTGGGAGACAATTGAATCATGGGGGGCAGTTCCCCCCATACAGTAATCGTAGTAGTCAATAAGTTTCATGGGATATGATGGTTTGATAAGGGGTTTTCCCTTCTGCTTGGCTCTCATTCTGTCTTGTCTGCTACCATGTAAGATGTGTCTTTCACTGTATGCCACCTTAACTTGAGATCCTTAACTTGAGATCCTAAAACTATTCTCCAATGTTTCCTATAAGTTGTAAAATCACCATTTCTGTATTTAAGTTCTTGATTCATCTGGCCATGATTTCTGTTCATGGTGGGTTATAGAGATCTATTGTATTATTTTTTTCTCTAAGTGAAAAAAGTATTCTTCCTATTGTTTTTCTTTGATTCCTTTTTAATTCATGTTTCTTTGTTTCTTTTCATATTTAGTGTTTCTATTTTTCTGTTGTGCTAATTGAATGTTTCTTTCATTTTTTCCTCCTTTGGAATTTATGATTTGTTTTTCTACTCTTTCCTGTTGTGACTGTAAAATATGGAAAATATTCATTTACCCAACAGTCTAAAATTGATCATTAGCTTTATTCTCCTATATTTTGAATGCATTAGTGCCAGTTATCCATTCTGTGATTCATGATCTTATTTTATCATCAATGATTTTAGTTATATTTAGTTATACCATAAATTGTACATTATTTCCACTACCTTTCAGATGGTCTTTTGTCTTCATAACTCTTGCATTTCTGATCATTCTTCTGTAAATATTTTTCTTCTTGATGAAGTAAATCCCTCTAATCTGCATCTATCGATTGATGTCTTCTTACTAGATTCTTTCTTCTTTAATGTTTCTTATTTTGTCTCAATCTTGAATATGATGTTGCTAAATATAGAATTCTGGTTGACCATTCTTTGCTGTTAGGTCTTTCAAGATGAAATTTAACTGTCTTGTGGCTTGTTATAATTGCAAATAAGTTTTTAGTTTAATTGACATTTCTTTGTAAATAATGGGCACTTGGCTGGCTGCTTTTGATGTTTTATTTTTAACATTTTCTAGTTTCAATCTCATGAATACGTATTCTACAAATATTTATTCGATTTCTGACCTTGTAGAATGCTTTTCTTAATACATATTGGAATTTTTCAGCCATTATCTTCTCAATATTTTCTTTATTCTTCCTCTCATCACCTCTGGAATTCCTGGCTTCTTCATTTTACCCTCATGTTTTTGGATGTTTCAGTATCTCCAACTTTTTATCTCTCTAAAGCATCTTCTACGTATTTTTTTCAGATATATCTTCCATATTAGTTTGCTCTTGAATTACATATGCTTTGTTATCTAATACATGTTGTGTTTCAAAGTTTAATGTATATATATATTATTTTTCAGAATTTCTGTTATATTTTTAAATATTTCTGCTTTTTAAATAAATTGTTCATGCTTTATTATGTTTTAAAATGCTGCTTTAATTTGTTTAAATATCTTAAATTTAACTTTTCATAAACTTTCTGTTCCTCATATTCCAACACTTGTGAATTCAGAAGTTCTAATTTTTAAGTTTTATTTTCCTTTTGACTCATGTTGGCTCATTTTTCTTATGATTTTAGTGAGTTTTGAATGTCAACAGTATTTTTTTAAACTTCCTCTGTGGAGATCATTTGAGAACTGAGTTTAAAGTAAACTCCTTCTCAGTGGGTTTGTGGTTCCTTTGCCGTACTCCTGGAAATACTAGCAATCAGAGACCAGCTTTTTACTCACCTTTACTCTCCTTTGTGCAACATTCTAATTCGAATTCTCATGACAAGCCTTGACGAAGAGGACTATGTATCTACACAGTCTCCCTTCATAGATTTCACAAGCTCTAGGTGTATGTGGATGTGCTAAATTTAAAAAAATAGAAAATAAATTTTAAAAACTGATTTCATAAGGGTGTGTGTGTGTGTGTGTGTGTGTCTGTGTATTCTTTGACAGACAGTGGTGTCTCTTGGGGGTCCTCGGTCCTGGCCTCATGAGTCTAGTGTTTTCACATCGATCATTATGATGCAGTTAAAGATTCTGTTTTGTCCCTGTTTTCTAGAAGCAGCTTTAATTACACTCAAGTTCTAATCTACTAAAGCTACCAGAAACCTTTAGGGCAAACACAAGATACAATACTTATTTTCTTTCTTGCCACCTAAAACTTCCTTAGTAGTCAACATATCAGCCATATATTACAAGAATGTTTTTACTATTTTTTATCCAGCATTTTAGGTAGTCCTCTCAAATGGATGAAAATGGAATTATAGCTGCAGTGAATATCATTCCATAACTATTTGTTGTAAAAATAGCTACCTAGCACTACTTATTAATATGGTTTATACTTTAAGATTCATTAAGGAAGCATCTTTTTTTCAGATTGAATTGATATGGGAAACTGTATTTTTTCTAAATAGATTCAATATTTATAACATATTTTACCAAGGGATTGTAAAATAGTCAGTACTCTGGGGTTATCTGCTAAATGAATGGTTTGCCTCTGATAAAGGCAATTTATGTTTAATGTGAGCATTTACATTGCATCAGCATTTTAGAATATAACATTAAATGACCAACCGCCTATTACTAATGAACACAAATTGAGTCATTTATTTTAGTCCTGAAAATAAATTATGACATTTTATATTCTTAAATATTTTTTGAGGTGGGAAAAATCTTTTGTAAACTCTTAAGATTACTGTTTTTAATTTTTCTTGTATTATTGATGTACTTTATATATAAAACAGTCACAAAATATAATTATTTTGATTGGCATATTAGGCAAAATACGTGATCAAACCCACTCAAATCTTAATACTAGAATCTGAGCACATTCAAGATGACATTGTCATTAACCAACAATTAATAGTAGTAACTACCATGTATTAAGTGTTAAAATATGCCATTGTGCTAGACTCTTTTATAGACACTTAATAATCACAACATCTTTTGCAATAGAAACATTTCTATTTTACATGTGGGAAAACTTATGGTCAGCAAATTAAGCAGCTTAGCCCGTCATGCAATACTTACAAATTATATAATTACAAGGCAAAAACAATTTGCTGAAAGAATTGATTGATAAGTATACTAAAACATATTAAAAGATAAATCTTTGTTTATATGTTAAAAATTTGTTCCTTTCATAATTGGTAGTTAAATATTTCTTATTTATTTCATCTCAATTTTTAGGCTAAAATTATTTCTTTTTTATTGACAGAAATGTAGTGTAACGTCATGGTTTCACATATTAGTTTTATACTAAGATTGCCTGAGATTAAACCGTGACAACATCATTTACCGCTGTGTGACTTGAGGTAAATTATAACACCTTTCTGTGCCTCAGGTTTATAATCTATAAAATGGAAAGAAATAATTATGTCATGCTGAAGATGTAAAAAGTTAATGCATGTAAAACACTGCCGACAATACACACTAAATAGTGCTCACTAAGTGTTTATATATGGGTGTTATAATATCATCTGTCTCCAGCAGTCATTTCTATACTATAACTTTTAATGTTGTCTAAACTGGAAATCCATATTTTGTCTGTTAGCCTGGATATTAATGTATAGCTTTTATGACACTGGTTTATGTGACTAGAGGGATATTTTCCTATTTCTGTTATTCTTGTTCTTTTTCTCATAGTGTCTGAATAACTGAAAATGACAGATGTGTGGGTTCTAGGTGAGTAAAGTAATTGTATATTGTAATTTTTGTCTTTAAAAAATACCATTTTATGGCCAGGCGCGGTGGCTCACACCTGTAATCCCAGCACTTTGGGAGGCCGAGGCGGGTGGATGACGAGGTCTGGAGATCGAGACCATCCTGGCTTACATGGTGAAACCCCGTCTCTACTAAAAATACAAAAAATTAGCAGGGAGTGGTGGCGGGCACCTGTAGTCCCAGCTACTCAGGAGGCTGAGGCAGGAGAATGGCGCGAACCCGGGAGGCAGAGTTTGCAGTGAGAGGAGATCGCACTACTGTACTCCAGCCTGGGAGACAGAGCGAGACTCTCAAAAAAAAAAAAAAAAAAAATTATTTCCGTAAAGTGAAGAATTCACAAAACTGTAATGAAGGCTGGTTTGCCAACATTTTTTTGCTGCATAACTCCATGCCTTTAGGAGCTGTAGAAAGTAGAGCTTTCCCACTTAGACCGGGAAAAGAGAGGACGACAACTCGATCAGTCTGTTTTCACACTCTGATAATTGAAGTCAGTGACTCAACATATTGGTTGTGTAATTCAAAAGATGTCAACATTCACAGATTTAGTGACTTTATTTGTTTCATACAGAAGGACAAACTTTCTCACTCTTGCAAAAAACTCCAGTGAGATTCCTTTCTAGTGCTATTACAGTAACACACTTGAATGACAGCAACTGAGAATCCATATATAGTCATATACCTTATAACATTTCAGTCAATGACAGACTGAATATACAATGGCTGTGTTTCTATAAGATTGAAATACCGTATTTTTTACTGTACCTTTTCTATGTTTAGACAAATACCATTATTTACAATTGCCTATAGTATTCAGTACAGTAACATGCTGTACGGTTTTGTAGCCTAGAAGCAATGGGTTATATCACACAGCCTACATGTGTAGTAGCTTATACCATCTAGGTTTGTGTAAGTATGCTCTGTGATGTTTGCACAATGATGAAATCACCTAAGGACACGTTGCTTAGGACATATTCTCATCATTAAGTGACACATGACTGTAAGTCTATGTATCTTTAAATAACTTGCTCCTTCAATATATATAAATTTGTATTTTCAAAGAACTCTTAAGACAAAGTGTACTAACCTCTCTTTGATTATAGTGTAAAATATCAGTGTTATTCTGGGAAAAATTATCCAAAAAATAAATTGCATTTCCCTATTTCAAAAATATTCATGAGAAATTAACACTGACTTGTTCAATTTTGATTAAGACTTAGGAAAAATGAGTTTATTTTTCTTTTTCTTATGTGATACCATGCACTACTTTAAATTAAATGGATATTAGAAGAAATGGAATCCAATCCCCTTTATTTTACAGATGGAGAAGTTGAAGCTCAGAGATACCCATATATATGCGGCTCAATACAACAGCTACATAAACGGTTCCACTCACTTCATTGCACTCCCAATATGTCCTTTATGAAGTCATTTTCAATTGTTTTATCCTTTTTCCTCTTATGCTTTTTTAAATTTTATTACATGAAGGACTAATGAGTTAGTTAATCCTGTGGACAATATAACTAAAGATTGTCTAGTATGGATTTGGCGATATTGAATAAATTAGAAAAAGCAAAAACCACTTTTATGTAATAATTCTACTTACTTTTCAAGTCCCTATGGTGGAATATTATGAGTTCAAGTCCTTATGGTGGAATATTATCAGGTAGGCACACTGATTAAAACACAATGTGAAATTTATGGTGAGATTTTTTTTGTCCTCCGTTTTGCAATTACAAAATGATTTGTAGTGAAGGATAGAGATTAGGGAATCACAGGAGGCAAAGTGAGTGGTCCTATGTATGTCTCTCTTCTTTGTTTTCAAGAACTAAATGTAGGGGTACATAGCTTATTTCCCATGGCTGTGTCTGTGATCTTCAGTGAGATAATACATAACAAGTGCTTAGAATGATGCCTGAGACATAGTAAGCACTTGATAAATGTTATCAACTCACAGCTTTATTTTGCTAATTGATGGTGTTAGAAAACTTAATTGAATAATTTGAACATTCCTAAAACTTGTTTCCTTTTGGATTCCATTGGCCTTGGATTTTTGCTGATTCATAAGAAGGGGTGAAATTGTATATCTCAAAGCACATAAAGTATAACCCCTTTAGGATAAACCTATTTAGAGAGGGAAGTCCTACTAGCAGGTTCTTCCCCTCTAAATTAAGAGACTGCGAATCCTCAGTGTGTAGAAAAAAATTAAACCAAGTACTACTAGTAATAGAAAAGCAACCAGTGCATACTGAATTATAGAATATTTGTATACAGCAAACTTAATTCCAGCAAATACTTACTGAAAAGTGGTGGTATTTTGTATTCTAATCCTTGCAATGTCTGTGCTCATTTGTAGGAAATTAAATTATTTCATAATATTTCTGAATTACATTTAAAATCATCCATGGAGCTGTGAACAATTCTTATGTGAGATTCTAGCATGTTAATCTTGCAGACTCATCCAGAGCACCTAAAGATCCATGCTGGGAGAAGAGATAAGCATGTTAATTTCATTTATTTTTCTATCCGTTACCACTTAGAGGGAAAGTGAATTGTTTTCTAAAAAAGTTAATGTTTGTACTTTATTTTTATGGCTGATAACTATTTTCAGGACTGAATTGTTCTAGCAAGCAAAAGCTAAACATTAATTCTATCCAAAGAGGTAACTACTCTCAGAGGCACCCGCAATATAAATTTTTTCAGGTAAGGAGCTGAGGAAATACAGTGCCTTAGAGAAATTTGTCTATTTTAAAATCAGTCTTCTAATACCATTTATTCAACAAATACTTATCAGACACCTACCATGTACCAGGAATGGTGGATATAACACTGCATGAAAATCTTCCCCTCTTCAAGGATTTCACTGTACATATGATGCAATATTTGACCTGAAATAATGTTAACTCTGAAAGAGTAAAATTTAAAGCAAAATATAAGAATTGGCATAAGAAAAGTACAGAAAGAGATGTTCTCAAACATCAGGGAAAGGAAAAGCAGTTTTATTGGGCGAGGTAAGGAAATTCTTATTATAGAGAGGACATTTGATACGAACACTGAACAAAAGTAATATTTTCACAGGTAGAGGTGACAGGTCTGAGGTAGAGAATTTCAGATATTTGAGGAAGGCATGAGCAAAGCATAAGGCATACACTTAGAAATAATCCTGGAAACAAAGTAGTAATCAGAGAACTTGAAAGAGGTAAAATATTGAGAGTTAGGGGGGTTGAGGTAAACAGAGCCCCACTGAAGTACAAAATGGCAAATGTAACTAGTTTTCTCCCTTAATATTGAGTTAAGCTGAAATTGATAGACTCATATTGTCATACTACTTTCAATTTTTTATGAATTAAGAAATACAAATATGAGGACAGTAATATGTTAGCCCTAGGTTCACCTTTAAGAATTAGTATACTTTAGATTTTAAATAGCTTTAAGTTACTGAATTTAAAGTGGATTATGGAATATAGACACAGTATCTTACTTAGCATGCCCAGTGATCACTTTTTCCAAGGCAAGTTACTTCAGTAACTCAACTGAACTTTCAAGAGTGTTAGTTTTTTTTGTTGTTGTTCAAATTACCATTCCGGCATCCCTACCATGTTGGTTTTTCTCCACCTATGGGACTCCTGACTATAAGTTGTACTGTTATCTCCAGAAATCTAACTTTATAACAAAATTACTCAAAGACAACAAGATGGTAAGAATAGCATCTTGTCTTCATATACCTTTTAAAAAGAGAGAAACTTACCTTAAAGCCACAAAGAAGGTTTTCCACTACATCTCCTTTGAATTTTTCTGCGATGCCATGAATTTTGAGGCATGAAAGATAGAGGGGAAAGCTAGTCCATTATCTTACACACAATTATTGACTAGAAGTGATTTTTTTTTTTACTTTCTAGTCAAAATGAATATTATACAGTCTTCTACTTCAACGAAAACTTTCCCACATATTCTTGTAAAAATATTTTTAAAATATCTATACACGGAAGAAAGTAGACTGTAAAGATGAACAGATTAAGAATGAGGGGAAGTACCTGGATCCAGAAATTGTACCAGGGGCCAACTGGACTGATGAGATAAAACAGTTGCAGGAGTATAGTAAAAGGGGATATTACAGTAAGTTATAAATGCTGAGCCCAGGCTAAAAAGTGGGAAGGCAGGTATAGCCTTTCATGAAGTCTTAAATTTGACATTGAACAAAATATGAGAATTCTTTTTGGTTGAGGGAGAAGTCTTAGGAATATTTCATGTTGCCACATAAGTTTCCCATACCTAAAACTATTATTGAAAGCACAAAAAATCCCTACATCAAATTTTAATCAAAATCTATTTTCCATTTTGACAAATACCAATGAAACGAGATAATACTGTTGATGGGTCATCTGGGAAAGAAACCTGCATTGTACAGCTTGATTGAAACTGAGGTGTGTCAGCTCTAAAGCTGCTATGAATGGCTTGAAAAGAAGAAAAGAGAAGAAAAATAAATTGGGAAAAAGGTGAGGCTGAGCTATAGAGTGATGAAAATAAATACTGTGGCCATAAACATTCAATTTAACTGCTTCTTAAACTAACTTTGCACTTAATATTACAGTCACATCAACCAATAATTGCCTCTTGAAGCTACTTTTGGTCTGAATTTTATGCCACTTTCCAGTTAGGACCAAATTCCTAACTGATATATCAACTGATCTTATTGATGCCAAAAGTTCAACATTAACATTTAATTCTTATGGAGAATTACTGAACTCTTTCTGCTCTTCTTTTTCTGAAGTAGTAACTTTTATGTAAAGTCACTAACATAGCAACTTCAATGGGATTATAGATCACTATTCATGAGAACTGGAGGATCTGCTGCATCAGAAAAACAGTGGGGGCCTGAGGTGAATGATACTGCTGTATCATTTGTTGTACTGTTATAGCAAGAAAAGTTAGAGAAATAAAATTACTTTTTTTTTTTGGTGGGTTAGGGATAAGGAAGACTTTTAGTTTTCTGAAGAAATATTTTAGGTTTTATTTATTTCCCTTCAAAGTATGCTCAAACTTATTTAAACAAATGATATTTAAGTTCTATAAGTTGATGGAAACATTCGAATTAACAAATATGATTTGTTCTCTGAAAAATTATTATCTAAATATTCACTTTAGAAAATATCGTCACCGTCTGAACACCTTATCTTGACATTTAATTCACTCATTGCAGCAGTAAATGCAGAAATCTGCTAATTCATCTTCTTTATGATTTTCCTTCTAATGTACTCTACTTCAGCCAAACTTACAGCCCATGGTTTCCTGGACAGACAATAGATATTTCCACCATCATAACTTTAATCTAATGGAGTATGCCTAGTTCTTCATTTTACAATCCCAATATTTTCCAAATATTGCCAATGTTTTAAGAACAAGGTAAAATTTTATTTCTATTACAAACTTTTCCTTCATTATTTTATTTAGAAATAATTTCCTAGTTTTCTGAACATCTAAATATTTTCACTTATACTTTTTTTGCATTAGTCCCAATATATTTGTACTTTTTTTTTTTTTTTTTTTTTTTTTGAGACGGAGTCTCGCGCTGTCGCCCAGGCTGGAGTGCAGTGGCGGGATCTCGGCTCACTGCAAGCTCCGCCTCCCGGGTTCACGCCATTCTCCTGCCTCAGCCTCCCAAGTAGCTGGGACTACAGGCGCCCGCCACTACGCCCGGCTAATTTTTTGTATTTTTAGTAGAGACGGGGTTTCACCGTTTTAGCCGGGATGGTCTCGATCTCCTGACCTCGTGATCCGCCCGCCTCGGCCTCCCAAAGTGCTGGGATTACAGGCGTGAGCCACCGCGCCCGGCCATATTTGTACTTTTTGATGGTTTTATTTGCATATACTTTACCCTTTGGATTGACAAGTTAAGTTTCTATGCACTTTTAATCTTTAAATATGATTCAGCATCCAGAGGAGTGGCATTTATATAATGAAAGGAAAAATATGTGTATAATGTGACTAATATATTTATTGAGATAATCAATAAATTTGCTTACTTTGTTAGATAGTTGACATTACTGTGGCTGAGGTAAGGTATTTAGTGTCCAAATCTTCATTATTTATACAAGCACAGACAATACTAGGAGAGCCTCCTGGGTTAATTTTACATTAAAAACTCTTGGAAGATTATTATTACTATGCAATTTACCCTTGGACAACATGGAAGTTAGGGGAGTGATACCTGTGCAGTCAAAAATCCATATATAAATTTTGACTCTCCCAAAACTTAAGAACTAAAAGCAACTGTTGACAAGAAGCCTTACTAACAAAATAAAGTCAATTTAAATATCTTTTGTGTGTGTGTGTGTGTGTGTATATATATATATATATATATATTACATTCTGCATTCTTCCAATAAAATAAGCTAAAAAAGTTATCAAAAATCATAAGAAACAGAAAATGTATTTCCTGTTCATCAAGTGGAAGTGGATCATCACAAAGGTCTTCATCTTTCTTGTCTTCATGTTGAGTTGGCTGAGGATGATGAGGAGGAAGGGTTGGTTTTGCTGTCTCAGGTGTGGCAGAGGCAGAAGAGGTGAAGGACATATTAATAGAAGGGAAAGCAGGAGTTACGTACTCAGTGTAACTTTGGTTGAAAAAAGCCTGTGTTTAAGTGTACCTGCACAGTTAAAACCAGTATTGTTCAAGGGTCGACCATATAATAATATTTTATAAAACCTGTGATAAAGACTATAAAATTTTATACTCTGAAAATTGATTTTATGTAAATATCATTTAGTGTTTCTAATTCAGGTTTAGCCATTTTTATTAAGAATTTACTATGCATAACCTCTATACATTCTGTTAATTCAGTTAGTCCATGTTCAACCGTGAAGTACAGAAATGAACAAATGATTTCTACCTTGAGGATCTTCCATTATAGTTTTAACAAAATTTAAATTTTATTCTTTGAAAAAAGAATAACGTAAGAGTTATATAGATGTATCTAAAATATACAATTAAAGTAGACATCTGGCCTAGCTAATTTAGACTTTAAAATTTACTTTTGGCTAAAATTATTCAGATAACATTTTGATTCTTTAATTCATTTAATCTGTATGGTCATAGCCTAAATGATTTGCCCTAAGCATACTTAACTAGGCATTAAATTGAAGTTTAATAGGATCATTATGGAGGTTAGATACTTTAATGATTTCTTAAAAGACATTTATGAGTGTATACAGCAATATATCCATTATATACTTGCAAATCCTCAAAAATACCTTATATTAATAATATACTATTTAATCAATATAATTAAATTTCATAAATATCTAGTTATAGTGACACGGTCTAACATTAAATGATCATTGCTAAAACACATGTTGGGGGACTGAGCTGGGTAGCAGCTAAATACCAACATACTTATTGATTACTTGTTCATCATGAATGTTATTGGAACTTCAGTTAAAAATTATATGAACTTTAATTCTATTAAAAATATTATGTAAATTTGATTAAACGATTTTTTGTGTTATCTTCTTACATTTATATCATCTATTATATATGGTTTACACGGATTTCTTACTGGGTTTTGAATTATTCTGCTATATCATCGTATATAAGTTAGGACATATCTTCAGGGATAAACTGTTTTGAAAATGATACCACAAATAAATGAAGAGCACTGATAAATGTGTGAATAGATATATGAGATATAAGATACCAATACCAGAAAGATCTCTGGAAAATTTCCAAATATTCAGAAACTAAATTAAACACATTAAATAATGAGTGTCTCAAGGAAGGAATCAAAAAGGAAATTAGGGAGCATATTGAATTAAATGAAAATACAAATGCAACATATAATTTATGAGATGTAGCTTCAGTTTTAAATGATAAGAAGTTTATTAATATTTGAGAAACATTTTTAAAAGAGTAAGTGGATATTTTAAAAAAGAAAATCTCATATTTCATCTTACAACACTATAGAAAGAACAAATTTAATTTAAACAGATAAATTATAATAATAAAAATGAGATCAGGAATCAATGAAACAGAAAACACAAAATAGAGAAAACAGGTTAAATTGAAACCTAGTTGGGGGGCTGTTCCAAGATGGCTGAATAGGAACAGCTCCAGTCTACAGCTCCCAGCATGAGCAACACAGAAGATGGACGATTTCTGCATTTCCAACTGAGGTACTGGGTTCATCTCACTGGGGCTTGTTGGACAGTGGGTGCAGGACAGTGGGTGCAGCGCACCGAGCGTGAGCCGAAGCAGGGCGAGGCATTGCCTCACCTGCTCACCTGGGAAGCACAATGGGTTAGAGAATTCCTTTTCCTAGCCAAGGGAAGCTGTGACAGACGGCACCTGGAAAATCGGGTCACTCCCACCCTAATACTGCGCTTTTCCAACAGTCTTAGTAAATGGCACACCAGGAGATTATATCCTGCGCCTGGCTTGGAGGTTCCTGTGCCCACAGAGCCTTGCACATTGCTAGCACAGCAGTCTGAGATCAAACTGTAAGGCGGCAGCGAGGCTGGGGGAAGGGTGCCAGCCATTGAGAAGATCAATAAAATTGATAAATCTGTAGTCAAACTGGTCAAAAAACAGAAAGTTCATAAATTACCAAAATCAGAAATAAGAGAGATGATTTAATTACACAATCTAGAAATATTAAAGAGGTAATAAGGGAATCTTATGGTGACTGAAAGCTGATCTGTGGTTCCCTGAAAATCAGTGTATGGAGTGGGAAGGTTAATAAGAGAGCCCAATGAAGCCTGTGAAACTTTGGAGTTGATGATTGTGTTTATTATCTTGTGTGTCATGATTTTTCAGTTTTATTCATATGTTAAAATGTATTTGATGGTATATTTTAAGTATGGATGGTTATCTTGTGTCAATTCTACTTTAATAAATCTGTTTAAAACATTAAGAGATGACAATGTGAGATCATAAAGAAATTTGAATGGTATTTGGGATGAAGTTGCATTCAGAAAGGAAAAGTTGTATAAAATAAGGATATAGAGACAAAAAATAAGGAGTGAAAGAACAATGTGAGGCTATAGGTAACAAATGTAGTGATCATGGTAGATTTTTTTGTGTTGGTGAAAATAAATGGGTAATTTTTCTAAAAAAAATAACTTTTAAAGGGTCATAATTATGTCTGGAAAATCCAGGAATAGTTTACATTTCTTTATTGATCATAGCTTGTGAAAATAGAACGATTATAGCACACATTTGAATACTCTTCATTTGACTTATGTAACCTGCAGGATAAAGGACTTTAAACAGTATGCCAGTTATCAATTCAAATTTTTCCTTCAATTAATGCCCTGCCATAATGGACAGAATCCCTTTAAAGCATCCTCCTTTATGGTGAGCACCATGTGATACTTCTCAGTAGAGAGGGCTAGAGGGAACTTGGGGGAGAAAGAGGCTCTCTTGCTGTTTCCTGCTGCTGCCCAGTGGGTTACCAGTGGTGTAGAACTGAGAACATCAATGTTGCAGACAAGGTCCTGCCTGGCAATAAGCTTCCAGTGGCCCGGTTCATGGAAGTAAGGCTAAAAGACTTCCCACCTTCACCTGCATCGGGATTCCTTCTGCAGGCCCTGTGCAGCAGTTTTATAGAGTTCTCAGCAAGCTGCGTCTCCCTCTGCACACTGACACTGCTTATTTGCCCACTGACTGCAGACCAGTTCTGAATTAGGCAGACCAGTTCTGGATTAGGCAAACCAGTAAACTCCTCTGCTATCAGTCGGCTGAACTAAATCTCCAACAAAATCTGGACTCTTTCCAAGTTTGTCCTTCCTTCAGTACTATCTCTCATTCTTCGAGCACCATACAGAGTTTCCTTATACTTATAGTCACTCCTTTAGCAGAGTTGCATAATCTTCATGTCTCACTTTCCCTGTTTAATCTGCTGTGTGATATTTACCCATTGATTGGATTCAGATGGATTTAAATGTATACATACTAAAACCCCTGCAAAGAGTACCAGGAAAGATACTTACTAAATTCCAATAAATAAATGTTTTGCTTTTTTTTTCTATCCAGAGATTAAATAACCCCCCTCTTTCTATCAGGTACTCCAGAAAAATCTTAGCCAATAGAAAAACACAGAGATAATGCCACAGAGAATTCAGACAATGTGATAATTCCATTGATTAAAGGACCTATTATGAATAGTTTTAAAAACTGCTTATTTCCAATTGTTCATTCCTAGTACACATAAATATTCTTTTGTGTGTATGTGTGTATTTACTTTGTATTCAGTGCTCTTGATAAACTCACTAGTTCTATAATTTTTTTTGTAGATTTCCTGGGATTGTGTAATATGCTACATAATCATTTCATCTGATTTTAGGGAGTATTGTTTTTTTTTCTTTCCAGTCTGTATGACTTTCTTTTTTCTCTCCTTGTGGCACTAGCTAAAATTTCTAGTACAATGATGAATAGAGTAGTGAAAGCAGATATTTTTACTTTGATACCAAACTTATAAAACATTCATTCTTTTACCATTAAGTATGGCACAAGCTGCAGGTTTTTGTGTATGTCCTGTATCAAGTTGAAGACTTCTTTTCTATTCTTTCATGAGAGATTTTCATCATGATAAATGTTGAGTTTTGCCAAATGCTTCCTCTATGCCTTAGTCACATGTCACAGTTTTACTTAAAAGAAAAAAATATTGTGGCCAGGAGCAGTGGCTCACGCCTGTGATCCCAGCACTTTGGGAGGCTGAGGCGGGCAGATCACCTGAGGTCAGGAGGTAGAGACTGGCCTGGCCAACATGGTGAAACACCGTCTCTACTAAAAATATAACAAATTAGCTGGGCCTAGTGGTGCACGCCTGTAGTCCCAGCTACTCGGGCGGCTGAGGCAGGAGAACCGCTTGAACCGGGGAGGTGGAGGTTGCAGTGAGCCGAGATAGTGCCACTGCATTCCAGCCTGGGTGACAGAGTAAGACTCAGTCTCAAAAAAAAAAAAAAAAAAAAAAAAGTGGTAAATTTCGTGAATTACCTGGATTAATACTTGGATGTAAAGGCAACTTTTTATTCCCATGATAAATTTCACATTCAAAATGTATTATATAGTTTTAGTATAGTGTTAGATTTCTTTGCTAGATTTTTATTTAGAGTTTTTTTTTAATCTATGTTAGTGAGAAATGTTGGTCCATAGTTGTCTTCTTCCTTTATAGTATTTTTCTGGTTGTAATATCAGGATAATACTGCCTTCACAGAATAAATTAGGATTTTCCTTCTCTTCAAGTTTCTAGTCAAATTTTTTAGAATTGCCATTTCGTGTTTTTTAAATGTTTAGTAGAATTAACCAGTGAAGTCATTAGCATCTGGAGGTTTGTTTTTGTTGAAAGAGTTTGACTTACAAATTCAATTTCATATATATATATATATATATATATATATATGTGTATATATATATATGTGTATATATATATATGTGTATATATATATGTGTATATATATATGTGTATATATATATGTGTATATATATATATGTGTATATATATATATGTGTATATATATATATGTTATCTGTTTTTTATTGTGCTATGAGTTTGTCTCTCAAAAACTTCTACATTTTAACTAAGTCTTCAGAAATATTGGCATAAAGTTGTATATAACATTTATTACATTACACTTTTATTTCCAGTAGAATATGTAGTGATGTAATCTCTTTTATTCATGATTTTGGAAATTTGTTTTTTTCCCATCTCCTATTTCACTGATTTCATGTTTTCATTCAGAACTTTTTAAATTTATTTGCATTTAATTCTCACTTTTCTTTACAGTGTGTTAAGATGAAAACTGTGGCCATTGACTTTAGATCTTTTTTTCTCTCTGGTATAGCCTTTTTGTCATAAATGTCCTTTGTAAATGTTATAAATGTGCTATTTTAACAGCTCCACACGAATTCCAATATGTTGCAGTTTCATTTTGCTTCAGCTCAAAATTACAACTAATTTTCACTTTTATTCCTTCATATGTCTTGGGATTTTCCAGAGGTTTTTTTTTATTGATTTCTCTTTTAGTTTAATTGATTGAAAAGTCCAGAGAATGTATCTTCTATGCCTTGAATCCTTAAAACAATTTAGATTTGTCTTCTGTTCCAGAATATCATCTATCTTGGCAAATGTCTCATGTTTCCTTAAAAAGAATGGTGTTCTGCTGTTGATGGTGTGTAATCTATAAATATCAAATTGGTAAATTTTGTTTGTAAAATTTGTCAGATCATCTATATTACCAATGATCTTCTATCTACCTGTTCTTTCTATTATTGAGAAAAGGGTGTTAAGATCTTTGCTTGTAATTGTAGATTTGCTTTTTCTCCTTTCAGTTCAATCAGTTTTCACTTTGGGTATTTCGCAGTTCTGTGATTATTTGTATAAATCTTTAGGACTATTGAAATTTGAAGAGTGATTGATCTCTTACTCTTCAAAATAACCTGTTTATCTCTGGTAATCTTTTTTTCTTTGTAATCTATTTTGTCTGATGTTAATATGTTACACCAGCCCTTTTATGATTGGTGTTAGCATGTCATATCTTTTTTCAAACATATTATTTCTGTGTTCATAATTAGAGTGCATCTTTATAGGCAGCATATAAGTAGACCTTGGTGTTTTAATCAATATCATGGTCTCTCACATTTAAATGAAGCATTTAGAGTACTTACATTTAATGTGATTATTGGCATCTTTATCTTCAAAATTATTACTCTAATTATCCCTTATACATAATGCAATTTTATGAAATTAAATCATGTATTATGGACTTTTCTCAAACATGTAGTCTACCATAATTAAGCCATGTGCCCATCATGCAGTTTAAATAGTGATCAATATTCAGCCTGATTCATTTACACTCCCACATACTTGTTGCAGGGTAACTTAATGCAAATCCTGGACATAATTTCACCTATAAATGCCTCAGAAATTCTTATTTATTCTTGTGACTTATGGTTGCTGCCATGTCATTATTTCCTGAATCTGTTTCAATAAATCTGGTTTTCATGATCATCCGATAACTTATAAAAATTATTTTATAAATTGTCTCAACCACTCAGAATTGGACATAGTTAATTCTTAATTTTTCTTTTATTTTTGTAGCAACAAATATGACTTGATATTTAAAAAGCTTACACAAATTGACTAAAAACATTAGAATGTTAGGCAAGAAATGAATAAAGCACAAGAATACACAGTTAATATAAGAAATAAAAAGACTATCAAGCACATGTATAAAACCATATGATTCAAATTTAGTAACATATTACATGTTATAAACTCAAATTTGCACTTAACGAACAAAAATATTACACTTCACTGCTGTTCATACTCTCACTGCTTTACCTTTTTTTATTGTGGTAAAAAACATATAACATAAAATTTACCATCTTATTTCTAAATGTACAATTGAGTAGTGTTAAGCATGTTCACATGGTTGTGCAACCAATCTTCAGAACTTTTCATCTTGCAAAACTGAAACTCTACATATTAAGTGATAGCTCCGCTTTTCTCCTTCCTCCCAGCCCCTGGCAACTACCATTATGCTTTCTATTTCTATGAGTTTGATTACACAAGATACCTCATATCAAGTGAATCCTACAGTAAATGTCATTTAGTTGTGACTTATTTCATTTAGCATAATGTCCACAAAGTTTATTCATATTGTGGTATGAGTCCAAATTTTCTTCCTTTATAAAGTCAATTAATAACTTATTTTATGTATATACCACGTTTTCTTTATCCATTCATCGACAGGTAAATAAATAAACAAAAACTTGGGTTGCTTCTATCAAATCTTTAAATTGTAAACACAAATAAAAAATTCAAATAGTCACATAAAATAACAATATTGAACCATTTTATAGATTCTCTTTTCATTTGTTTTCTTTGTCGGGCAGAAGCCTTTTGGTTTGATGTAGTCACAGTTTTTTTTTTTTTTTTCCTGGCTCTTGTTTTCACATTCATGAAATCATTGCCAGGACCAATGCCTTGAGGCTTTCCCCTATGTTTTATTTTATTTACCATTTCATATGTTATATTTAAGTATTTAATCCATTTTATGTTGATTTCTGTATGGTATAAGATAAGGTTTTAGTTTCATTCTTTTGCATGTGGATAGCCAGTTTTCCAAATACACTTATTGGAAAGACTACTCAATCCCCATTCTTGGCACCTTTGTCAAAGATCAGATGACAGTATGTGCATAGGTTTATTTCTGTGATTTACATTCTGTTCAGTTAGTCTATATGTCTATCTTTATGCTAATACTTCACTATTTTAACTAATATAATTTTATAATATATTTAAGGTCAAAAAGTGTGATGCTATAGTTCTTTGTTCTTTTTTCAAGATTATTTTGGCTATTTGATAAGTTTTGTTGTCCATAACAATTTTAGAGATTCTCTCTGTTTCTGTAAAAAATAATGCTATTGGAATTTAAGGATTGCATTGAATCTGTAGTTCACTTCAGGTAGTGTGGGCACTTTAAGAATATTGTCTTTTTTTTTTCTTTTTTTTTTCAAGACATAGTCTTGATCTGTCACGCAGGCAAGAGTGCAGTGCACAATCTTGGCTTGGCTCACTGCAACCTCCCCTTCCCAGGATCAAGTGATTCTCTGGCCTCAGCCTCCCCAGCAGCTGGCACTATAGGCACATGCCACCATACCAGACTAATTTTTGCATTTCTTGTAGAGACGGGTTTTCACCATGTTGCCCAGGCTAGTCTCAAACTCCAGGGCTCAAGTGATCTGCCTGCCTTACCCTTCCCAAAATACTCAGATCACTGGCATAAGCCACTGCACCAGTCCAAAAATATTGCCTTTTAATCCAAGATCATGGACTGTCTTTCCATTTGTTTGTATCTTCTCTATTTTCATCAATTTTTTTTTAGTTTTCAATGTATAAGATTTTCCCTTCCTTACTTAAGTTTATGCCTAAGTATTTAATTTTTTATGCTCTTATAAATGGAACCATTTTTCTAATTTCTTTTTCAAACGGTTTGTTATTATTGTGTAGAAAACCAACTGATTTTTATTAATTTTATGCAAATTTACTTAATTTCTTTATTAGTTCTAGCAAGGTTTTTTTGTTGCTTGTTTGTGGCATCATTACGGTTTTCTTTATATAAAATCATGTCATCTGCAAACAGAAACAACTTAATTTCTTCTTTCAAACTTGGATAACTTTTATTATTTTTTTTCTGGTGTGATTTCTCTGGCTAGGACTTCCAATACTATGTTGAATAGAAGTTTCAAGAATAGACATCCTTTCTTTGTCTTGACCTCACTGGAAAAGCTTTCAGTTTTTCACTGTTGAGTATAATATTAGCTGTAGGCTTTTCATATATGGCCTTTATTATATTATGGTAATTTTTCTCTATTCCTATTTTGTTGAAATTTTTCATTATGAAAGGCATAAAAGGGTGTTAGAGTTTATTAAGTGCTTTTCTTATTTTTTTTCCTTGTGGAAGGATTTTTATTTATTTAACAGTTACAAGACTGTTCAAACTTTCTATTTCTTCTTTGTTATACAAGCAAACTGAATATATTTTATTTGCTTTTTTTCAACTTTTATTATTGGTTCATGGGGTACATGTTCAGGTTTGTTACAAAGGTATATTGTATGATGCTGAGGTTTGAAGTGTGAATGAATCCATCTTCCAGGAATGTTCAGTATTTGATTTTCTGTTTCTGTGTCTGTTCACATAGGGTAAGCACCTCCAGCTGCATCCATGTTGCTGCAAATGACGTTATTTCATTCATTTTTATGGAGGTGTTGTATTCCACACATTCTTTATCCAATCCAGTGTTGATGGGCACTAGTGACTATTGTGACTAGTGCTGTGTTGAGCATGTAGATATATGTGTCTTTTTAATGGAATGACATATTTTCCTTTGGGTATATATCCAGTAATGGAATTGCTGGATCAAGTGGTAGTTCAACTCTTAGTTCCTTGAGAAATCTTCAAACTGCTCTCCACAGTGGCTGGACTCATATATATTCTCACCAGTAATATATAAGCATCCCCTTTTCTCCACAGCCTCACCAGCATCTGCTGTTTTTAGACTTTTAAACAAAGGCCATTCTGACTGGTGTGAAATTGTATCTCATTATAGTTTTGGGCTTGCATTTCTCTGATAATGAATTATATTGAACTTTTTTTTATATGTTTGTTGGCTCTTTTTATACCTTCTTTTGAGAAGTATCTATGTTCTTCACTCTCTTTTTAATGGAATTATTTGTGTTTGGCTTGTTGATTTAAGTTCCTTATGGATTTTAGAGATTAGGACTATTTACATGCTTTCTCTGCATCTATTGAGATGATTATGTGATTTTTTTTATCCTTTATTATGTTAACATAGTAAATTATATGAATTGATTTTTGTGTATTGAACTAGTGCTGAGGCCCCCAGATAAATCTTACTTGCTCATGGTATATGATCCTTTTAATGTGCTGTTGAATTCAGTTTGCTAGTACTTTGTTGAGGAGTTTTGCATCTGTATTTATCAGGGATGTTCACCTGTATTTTTATTTTCTTGTGGTATCTTTCTCTTGCTCTGGTATCAGGGTAATGCTGGCTTCATAAAATGAGTTTGGTCGTGTTTCCTCCCCTTCAGTGATGTCATAAGAGTTTGAGAAGAATTGGTTTTTAACATTGTTAAATGGTAGAATTCACCTGTAAAGCCATCTAGTCCTGAACTTTTGTCAGAAGTTTTTTGATTATTGATCCAATCTTCTTACTCAATATTAATTTGTTTATACTTTGTACTTTTTACTGATTCAGTCACCATAGGTGTATACTTTTGCCTATGTCTTGTGAGTTATCCAATTTGTTGGCATATAATTATTTATACCAGTATCTTTTGATCCTTTTTATATCTGTGGCATTCAGTTGTAATGTCACCTCCTTCATTTTTAATTTTTAAAGTTTTATGTTGTCTCTTTTCCTTCTTAGTCTAGCTAAGGGTTGATCTATTTTGTCTTTTCAATAAGCCAACTCTTATTCTGTTGTTTTTCTAGTTTCTCTTTCATTTATTACTTTATCCTTTTGAAACTTTTACTTCTTTTTCTTTTTCTTGAGTTCTTTGAGGTCTAAAGTTAGGTTGTTTATTTGAGATCTTTCTTCTTGTTTAATTTAGGTGTTTATCACACATCTGTGTACTTCTTTTGGTGTATTCCGTGAGTTTTTCTGTGTTGTGTTTTAATTTTTAGTTTTCATAAGATATTTTCTTATTTCTTTTTTGACCCATTAGTTGTTCAGAAGTGTTTTATTAAATATCTACTTTTTTTTGGTTTTCCAATTTTCCTTACGTTATTAATTTCTAGTTTCTTACATTTGTAGTCAGGAAAGATACTTGAGATGCTTTTATTCTTCTTAATTTTGTTAGGACTCATTTTAAGCCCAAAATATGCTCTATCATGGAGAATGTTCCATGTGCACTTGAGAAGAATGTTAATCCTGAAGCCATTAGATGGGATGTTCTGGATATGTCTGTTAGGTTTATTTTATCTACAGTGTTTTTCAAAACTGTTGTTGCCTTATTAATGTTCTGTTTGGGGGTCCTATTTGTTGTTGAAAGTGGGTCATTGAAGTTTCCTACTATTATTGAATTGCTGTCCCTTTGTCCCTTTATTTATATGTTAATATTTGCTGTATTAGTTACATCTTCCTGAAAATTTCTCCTTTTATCTTAATATAGTATCCTTTTTTTGTCTCTGGGAATCAATTGTAACTGAAATACCATTCTGTCTAAGTATAGTTACCCCTGCTCTCTTTGTTATACTATTTTCGATAAATATCTTTTTCCATCCCTACAATTCCACTCTATGTGTCCTTAAACCTTAAATATAAAGTGAGTCTCTTTTGGTAGTATCTAGTTGGGTGTTTTTTATTTTTTTCTTAATCAACTTAGTGACTATGTATTTTAAGTGAGGATTTTAATCCACTTAATTATTGGGAAATAAGGACTTCTTATTGACATTTTGTTGATTGTTTACTGTCTTTCTTATAGTTCTTTCTTTTCTTTTTTCTCATCTTACTGTCTTTTGTGTTTTCTTGATTTTTTTAGTGATTTTTTTCACTCCTTTCTCTTTTGTGTTTCTTCCATATATATTAATTTTTATGGTTGCCACGAGGCTTACATAAAATATCTTATACATATAATAGGCCAATTTAAATTGGTAATATATTTCCTTCATTCACATCTATACTTTTACTCCCCAACCTGCGCTTCATGTTTTATGGATAACACAGTTTATATTGTTTAAGATTATGGATTCAATAACATATTTATACTTATATTTATTCTTAATGCTTTTGACTTTTAATTTTATATAAAAATTATGAATGACTTCCATATTATCATTATAGCAAAACAGTATACTATATTGTCTTTATAGTTAGCTTTATAAAGTGAGTCATATTTTCATATGCTTTTGTGTTGTTGTCTATATTTCTTTTATTTCATCTTCAAGAACTTCCTTTGCATTTTTGTAAGGAGTGTGTGCTGGTAACAAGTTCCTTCAGCTTTTGTCTGGAAATGACTTTATTTCTCCTTCCTTTTTAGTAGACATTTTTGTTGGGTATACAATCACTGGTTAGCCATTACTTTTTATTTCCCTCTCCCTTCTGCTGTGAAAGATTTCTGCTGAGAAATCTGCTGATAGTTTTAGAGGGGATTTATTTTACATGATGGTTTAGTTTTTCTTTGCTGCTTTCAAAATTATTTGTTTGTCTCCAAATTTTGCCAATTTGATAATAATATGTCTTGGTGTAGACTTCTTTGAGTTTTTCCCAGTTGGAGTCTTCTGGGCTTCAAAAATCTGGATGTCCAAATTTTCTTTCCAGATATAGGAAATACATGATTTTTACCTGTTTTAAAATATGCTTTCTTTCTCTCTCTGTTTTCTCTTCAGAGTCCCCCATAATATTTGTGTTGGTTAACTTTATGATATCCCTTATGTTCCTTATTTTTCCTTCATTTTTTATTATTCTTTTTCATTTCTCTGACTGGATAATACCTATGACCTGTCTTTAAATTCACTGATTCATTTTACTAGTTGGTTAAGTCTCCTGCTGAAGCTTTCTATTGCATTGTTCTATTCAATTATTATATTCTTCAGCTTCAGAATTCTTTTTGGTTTCTTTCTGTGGTTGCTATTTTTTGGTTAATATTCTGATTTTGCTCATGTATCATTTTTCTCATTTTGTTTATACATCTATCCTCTTGTATATCATTGAACTTCTTTGAGATTATTATTTTGAATTCTGTGAAGGCAATTCACTGTTCTCCAGTTATTTGTAGTCTGTTACTGAAGGTTTATTTTGTTCCTTTTACAGTGTCATGTTTTCCTGATTCTTCGTGTTCCTTGTAGCTTTGCATTGTTTTGTAAATCTGTGTATTTACAGGAACAATGACCTCTTCTAGTCTTTATGACTGGCTTCAGCAGTTATGCACATCCATAAAACAGATTTCAGACTTCAAGAATTTCTAGCTGAGTTTTTCCCTTCACTCAACCCAGCTAGAGATTCTTGAAGTCTCTCAAATCTGTTTTATGAATGTGCATGTTTCTGTACTCTCCCTCTCTTTTGGGAGAAATCTCAGAATCATGAGCCTTCTTCCAGATCTGCAAAACTGAGCTGGGTGCTAAAAGTCATCCACTCCTTTTCCCTAGGATAGTATACTAAAAAGCTGAGATGCTGGCACAAGTTTCACTTTTTTCCCTCCTTCCTGAAAACTGAAAAATCAGAATAGTGCATCTTTTCCCAATCCCGTTGATCCACACCAGGTACTGAGAGTCACTCTCTCTTTTCTCCTAGGATTGTGAACTGAGAGGCCAGAACATCAGGTGAAACTCTTCTTCTCTCCTTCCCTTTCTCCTGAGGGAGAAGTGCCAGAATTGTGTGCCTTCTCTGAATTCCGCAGAGCCTAGCCAGTTACTGAGAGTCACAGCCACTGTTGAGATCCTGGATGACTGCTGAGATCCGTAGTCTGCTAAATATCATGCCATCTGCAGTGATCCTCATTATCTACTGAGATTCTCACCGGCTGCCGTAATCCAGGTGAGTGGCAGCTATCTGCACCAACTGTTGAGCTCTGACAGCTGTTAGGTCTGTACCAGTTACTGAGAGCTATGGTGCTAACTGGGAGCTGCACAATGTGCTGGAGGCCTCACAGCTGCAGCAATCTGCACTGGCTGCTATGATCTATGCTGACAGCTTCAATCTGAGCTGTGTGCTTGGAATCCATGGCTTCTTGGGGCTACATTGACTGCTGAGAGCTATCTGCTCCTCCTCTCTGTTCCTAGTTGTCTCTAAGTCTTCCAACTATGCTGTATCCCTCAGTACTTTGGGTGAGGTGAGACAGGAGCAGGTATCTCAGGGAGTGCTCTGAAAGGTGGTGGACATTGGGAACATCCATCTCCTTTTTTTTTCCCTTGTGGTAGAAATAATAGGCTAAGAGGATCTCTCTCTTGGTTCTGAGGTGTGCCAACTTCAGGGAGGGGAAGATGAAAAAAAAATATCATAGTGAAGCCATTCTTCATACCCAATTAAATGAGGCCATTATTAGTCCTGTGCTCTTCTAGGGTGCTGCAAGTTCTTTGCTAGATTCTGGGGTCCTTGCAAAGACCATATATGATGCTTAAATTGGTGTTTTTCTAGGGGGATGAAATATAGAACCTCCTATTCCACCACCCTGCTAATATAACTCCTACACTTACCTATCATTGTCTGTGTGTGTGTGTGTGTGTGTGTGTGTGTGTGTGTGTGATTTTACTTCATCTCCTTTGTTGGTTTATTTTTATAACTCTATTTTGTTATTTAGTGGTTTCTGTAGGATTTATAATATACCATTGAATTCATCATAATCTACCAATAAGTGATTTTATTCTGCTCCATGTATATTATAAGAAATTTGCAATACTATGCCTTTATTTCTGCCCCTTCAACCTTTGTGCTATAGTTGTCATACATTTTACCCTAAAATATATTATAGCACTCATGCTGAATTTTTATTGTTTTATTTTTCCCTTGTTCCTATAATAAATTGCCACAAATTGGTGACATAAAATAACATAAATTAATTATTTTTGTTTTTTTTAAGTCAGCCGTCTGACACAGGTCTCAGTGGGCTAAGCAATTTACATCATGTTTGAATTACAGAATAAACAGATTACTCTGGACAAGAAAATAGGTGATTTAGTCATGCTTAAGCCTCTTACATCTATTTATCGATTAAAATTTGTTTTCATTTAGTTGTATATTAGTTTTAAATGTAAAAAAATTTATATGCTACAAATGAATGTATGCATGTACATTTAATATATAGAAGTAACAATTATTTAAGGTAGATATTTCATTATTTGTCATCTGAAATCTGCTTTGGATTAAGTCAAGATATTAATATATTTCAAAATTGATTAGAAATATTTTCTGTTAAAAGAGTTATTCAAAACAAAAATGCATTGTTTTGTGGTAACATATAGGTTTAAATGTAATAACATACTAATTTAAAAATGGAAACTAAATTTTGATTTTTCTTAGGACAATCTTTTGTCTTTCTATGTACCTGTAGGTAAGAAATTTTGAATTTGTTGCAATTGAATTAAATTGCAAAAAATGTATTAGTTATTTTATCTTAATTGAATATATAGTAAATATTATCTATAAGTTCATATGTGGAAGCACTCTATGTAATATGGTTCACTTGAAAGTTTCTATTACTTATCTCAATGTTGATAGCTGCTTTTAAACTAAAGAAGTTCTCATTCACTCTAGTCCCTGAAATGGTGTGATATAGCAATTAAACTTTGCAAAGAACATATATTTTTAGTAATATATAATTCAGCTATGCACTCTCCATTACATAGTATTCAAAAGTGGCACCGAAATGTATTAAATATAAACCATGAACTATATATTCTGGATTAGGAATTTGTATGTCCAATATTTGCTGCCTCTACACCATCCTCTATTTGTTAGAACTCATTGAAAATAATGAGAACCTTTAGAATAATAAGAAGAGGAGGTAAAGGAAGCAGAGAATGAGGAAGAGAAGGAAAAAAACATAAGGCTTGTGAATCATGCTATTTCTCATCTTTGAACATATCACTAGCCATTGCTGTTGGACACTGGCTGATCACTTTAGACATGAATGCATTTACTTCCTCCCCATAAGTAGTCTATGTGGTGTCATTTGTATTCACCTCGGGCAGACACAGAGCCTCTGCTCATTTCATCAAAGGACTATTTATGAGGCTGTAAAAAAGATGAGTTTCTCCGAATAGTCTCCAAATTAAACTTTTTAAAGTTTAATGTTGGCACACAAGAATAATTACAGTTATAAACCATTAAACATTTAGAAGAAATTTATAGGATTGGAGCGAGAAAATTTACAGCTGTGGCCTAATACAATAAATTTCCTCTGTAAAAGCAGAACCACAGAAACATTTCTATTCAGGACTCCAGAAAAAGAAAATGCTTTATTAACATTACCCAAACATGCAGACACTATATTCGGACATTATTTATATAGAAACATGAATACGTTTGTAAGATACAGTTAATTAACCTTAGAAGCAAAAGTCAATATTTGTTGTTTTTAACATGAGTAAATAGAGTGCACTAAATGTATTTTTTAAATTAGGCAAAATATACTCTCTTATCCTAGAGCACAGTCCAGTGCCTTGGAATACTTTTATTTCTTCTAGGATTATGATACATCACTTATTATACTCCTGTGTGGATTGATGGTAGTAGGGGGATATCTCTATGAATTTCTATTATGATGTTTAAGACAAACAAACAAATACCCAGCCCTCCAATTACAGTTCATTTTCTGAGTAAACTTCTTCATCTGAAATGTAAATACTCCTTCATAGTACAGTATATATGCTAGGTTTTGATTGTTTACCATAAAAGGAACTGTATTTTCATCACCCATTATTGTGATGAAATATCTGTTTGGTGACAGATTGCTCTCAGGCAACTGCTCAGTCTTTGCAAGAGAGTATCTGGTCACCAAACAGATTGACTATGCAGTTAACTAATCACCTACTGCTTAGAACCTAGTTCTACCTCATGCAACTTTAGCCAAGAACAACCATGGCTTTATGCTTTATGTTTGTTCAAGTCTTCCTTTGTCACCTTAAGTAGCATGTGAAATTGTTTTTCCTATAGATCTTGCACATTTCCTCTTGATTCTTAAGTCTTTCAATTTTTTTGCTTATATAAATAGATCTGTTTCATTAATTTTATTTATTCACTGGTTGTTGTTGCCCAGCTCCTTATTGAATTATCATACTACTTGTAATTTTAATTATCTTGGATTTTCAAGGTAAATACTAAAATCATCTACAAATAAGGATAATTTTACTTCCTCCATTTAAGTTTTACTCTCATTTATTTTCATAGCCTTAGAAGATTTGTAAATGTTTTTGGTGATAAAGGAGGTCTTTATCTTGTTCTTTGCCTTTTCTAGAGAAAGTTTCATTGTTTTCTCATGAAATATGATGTTAACTTTTATGTCAGTTAAAAAAATAGGTAAATAAATCAATGAAGTAAATTATTTTTATAAAATAATTTTTGAGGTAGTGTTTTAATGAGACTTTTAGAATGTGTCTTACCACTGAGTTTTTACAATCCACAGAGATAATCATATACATTTTTTGCTCTATTTCTGTGACAAATTGTATTTACTGAGAGAGTAATAATAAGGAATCTTTATATCTTTAGAATAAATCCCACTTGATTATGTTATATTATTGGTCATCAAGCAAAAAGATAAAGGCAAGAAAAAAATCTTAACAGGGACATCAGAGACATCAAACTACAGTGAAAATGAATTTCACAGAAATAGTTCAATTGAGTCACTAAACAAACAAATGACCAACCAAAGAACTACAACATTAATTCTCTATATGTGTATGTGTGGATGTTATTCAGTCTTTATAGTTTCATCATTATATTATCTTTTCTTTTAAATGGTAAAATGGCTTTTCTTTTATCTTTGCTTTTTCAGCTTTATTGAAGTATAATTAAAAAATAAAATTTGTATTTATTTAAAGTATACATCTTGATGCTTTGATATATATGTACAGTGTGAAATGATTAGCACAATGAAGCTTATTAACATGTCCATCACCTCACAGCAACATATTATTTTAAAATACAGTTTTGAAGATAGACTTTAGAGTTTATCAATCTAAAAAAGATAGAAAAAAGTAAATTAAATGATATGAACAGAGCCTTAGAAAAATGTGAGGCATCATTAAGAACCCCAACATATGCATAATAGGAGTACAAAAAGTGAAGAATATAGAAAAGGAGGCAGAACAAATATTTGAAAATGTAATAGCTAAACACATTTCAAAGATGATGAACAATATGAATCTATCTTTCCAAGACACACATTAAACTCCAAGTAGGACAAACACAAAGAAATCCACACTCAGACAAGTCTTCATCACATATTGAAAGCCAAAGACAAGAAGAAGATCATGAAGGCAGTTAAACAAAATAAAACAAAAAAACTCATCACATATGAGGGAAACCTAATACTGTTAATTGACTTCTCAACAGAAACAGTGGAGGAAGAAAGCAGTGGGTGACATAATCAAAGTTCTAAATTTTTAAAAAATTAATATTTCAAATCCTTCACCCACTTTTTGATAGGGTTGTTTGTTTTTTTCTTGTAAATTTGTTTGAGTTCTTTATAGATTCTGGATATTAGCCCTTTGTCAGATGAGTAGCTTGCAATAATTTTCTCCCATTCTGTAGGTTGCCTGTTCACTCTGATGGTAGTTTCTTTTGCTGTGCAGAAGCTCTTTAGTTTAATTAGATCCCATTTGTCAATTTTGGCTTTTGTTGCCATTGCTTTTTTAGGCGAAGGATATAAACAGACACTTCTCAAAAGAAGACATTTATGCAGCCAACAGACACATGAAAAAATGCTCATCATCACTGGCCATCAGAGAAATGCAAATCAAAACCACAATGAGATACCATCTCACACCAGTTAGATTGGCGATCATTAAAAAGTCAGGAAACAACAGGTGCTGGAGAGGATATGGAGAAATAGGAACACTTTTACACTGTTGGTGGGACTGTAAACTAGTTCAACCATTGTGGAAGACAGTGTGGCGATTCCTTGAGGATCTAGAACTAGAAATACTATTTGACCCAGCCATCCCATTACTGGGTATATACCCAAAGGATTATAAATCATGCTGCTATAAAGACACATGCACACGTATGTTTGTTGCGGCACTATTCACAATGGCAAAGACTTGGAACCAACCCAAATGTCCAACAGTGATAGACTGGATTAAGAAAATGTGGCACATATACACCATGGAATACTATGCAGCCATAAAACATTATGAGTTCATGTCCTTTGTAGGGACATGGATGAAGATGGAAACCTCATTTTCAGCAAACTATCGCAAGAACAAAAAACCAAACACTGCATGTTCTCACTTACAGGTGAGAATTGAACAATGAGAACACTTGGACACAGGAAGGGGAACACCACACACCGGGGCCTGTTGTAGGGTGGGGGGAGGGGGGAGGGAAAGCATTAGGAGATATGCCCAATGTAAATGACAAGTTAATGGGTGCAGCACACCAACATGGCACATGTATACATATGTAACAAACCTGCACATTGTGCACATGTAACCTAGAACTTAAAGTATAATAAAAAAAGAATAAAAAAGAAATATCACTTTGTATCCTACAAATATATACAATTATGTGTCACTAAAAATAAAAGGAAAAATGGCAAAAAAATTAATATTTCAAAAATAAAGATGAAATAAAATTTGTTGCTATCAGATCTGTTACACACAAAAAATAAGTTCTTCAAATTTCAAAGCAACTGAAAGCAGACATTAATTTAAAGCCAAATTTAAAAAACCAGAGTGGTGCTAAAGGGAATTATGTAGAAAATTGTAAACAACAATATATTTATATATTTTGTCTTTCTTTTGCTAAATTATTTTAAAAATTTGAATAAAGTTATATGTATGCAACTATACAACTGGGCTTGTAGCGTGTATGTGTGTGTATCAGAGAGAGAGGGAGAGAGAGAGGAGAGAGAGAGAGGAGAAACAGATTGTACAATGGCAACCTAAAGGAGTCAGGTGGGAATAAAACTATGTTCATGTAAAAGAGTGGAAGCCAATGGCAGCACCAATGTACAGGAAGAAATTAAAAGAATAAAAACTAGTGTGATGAAAATATTCTTGATTAGATTTTGGTCATGGTTAGTTGCCCAGATCTGTAAATCTGCTAAGAAATAGTTGAAATACACACTTTTAATGGGTTCCTTGAGGAAATGTTATTTGAAATATCTTATTAGGAGATAAAAATCTGGTGGAGAGAACACCATGCATAAGACATGAAATATTACACTTAAAATCTAGGGATATTCAGACATAATACGTGGAGTTCGTCATCAGAAAAATAGATAAGCAAGAATAATCCAATAGAAGATTCTGTATTGCATGCTAAACACTGGGATTTTTTGTCTAATTAAATCGTGACTTGAAAAACAGTATCGTGTAATAGTTGATTGGGCATAAATATGCATTCACTAGTGTATTCTACAAATATTTTCAATATTGGCTAAAAGCACTTGCTTAGTGTTGGACTTTGTAAGTTTGCTTAGCTTGTCCGAAAGGATAAAAAGAATACTAACACTAAGGTTAAACCTGTGACATAATAAAATGTTTGAGGCTGAATTGTCTACTGCAAATGTCTAGAAATTAATTATCAGAGTAGCCCTCAATATAAAATTGGTGAGCCATAATATACAGCTTAAGAGATAAGACATGAAACAGTAGCATTGAGAAAGAAATCCTATCAATTTACCCTATACTCTGAAAATACTTAGTCTTCCAGTAAGGGGAAAATATAGCTTGGTCAAAGTAAAATACAAAACAAAGGGGAGGATGAAAATAGCAAGTATGTTTCTATTCGAAATCATATTCGGAATAATATTTAGTAACAACATCACTTTACATGGAACTAGGATTTTTAAGAAGATCCTTGTTGATTTAGTTCTTAAGAAGTAGCGTATTGGTGGACACTTTAAAAAATCAGTTATTTTTATGATTCTGTTTGTATATTAGACGGTTTTCAAAAATAGAAGAAAGATGGGAAAGTATTAGGATGGTGAGAATCGAAGAAAAAAAACCCAAACGTCTTTAGCATACGAGGTTGGTGTTGTTCCTTATTTCACTGTCTTCCTGCCCAGGATTTGTTGACTGGTGTAATCAAGTGAAGGAGCTGTGGTGATGGATGTCAGATGATTATAATTTCTGTGTTGTTGTTCCAGCCATCACAAGTCTGAAATATTTTCAGAATTGCTGCAGCTGCAACTGATGCCATTTCTGAGCAATGATCATAACAATTTGCAAATATACATGGATTAACGTGGTGCTAATGTGAGCCTTGGAAACCAGTATACCGTGCAGCTGTTCATTTATGTTGTATAAATGTCCAGTCTTATGGGAACAGTGCCTTTATATCAGAATGAAGCTATCCAGTGGCTTTCAGAATTGCACAGGTATAAATTACAAATTAACCTCATACCTGGAAAGTATATCGTTATTTAATTTTTCCCTCAATTATATTTTATATAAATTTCTTCCTCTCTTAATATAAAAATTGATGCTTAGGAGAACAAAATGATATACACTGAACTTAAGTATATCAAAAAATGATATACATTTTTTGAAAACATGTCTATTTTTAATTATTTAAAATTAATTTGTTCTTTAACAATTAAAGTATTTCACCCTAAAAAGGAGACTTCAAAGCACAGCACTATGAGGTAATTAGGAGGGTTGTTATTAGTGTTTCCTATTTTATGTGTGTGTGATATTTTAAATGTTATCAATTGAGAAAACGTGAAAATCGAAGTACATATACTTTTGCTAATAATGTCTTGTTATTTAGTCTGAAGACTCTAAAAATGTTTAATAAATATTGCAAAATGCTTTTCTCTTTGAAGCTCATCAACATCAAAATAACATGAGAAGTAAGCTTTGCGTGTTAGCAATCTAGAAACTCAGTTGCCCCATCTGTGGTGTGCATAAAATCAGTGAGGCTCTTATTGAAGACCTTTTCTGCGTCTGATAATCATGTGTTTTTTTTTCATTGGTTCTGTTTATGTGACGGATTATGTTTATTGATTTGCGTATGTTGAACCAGTCTTGTATCCCAGGGATGAAGCCAACTTGATCATGGTGGATAAGCTTTTTGATGTGCTGCTGGATTCAGTTTGCCAGTATTTTATTGAGGATTTTCACATCGATGTTCATCAGGGATATTGGCCTGAAATTCTCTTTCTTTGTTGTGTCTCTGCCAGGTTTTGGCATCAGGACGATGTTAGCCTCATAAAATAAGTTAGGGAAGAGCCCCTCTTTTTCTATTGTTTGGAATAGTTTCAGAAGGAATGAACCTCTTTGTACCTCTGGTAGAATTCGGCTGTGAATCCATCTGGTCCTGGGCTTTTTTATTGGTTGGTAGGCTATTAATTACTGCCTCAATCTCAGAACATGTTATTGGTCTGTTCAGGGATTTGACTTCTTCCTGGTTTAGACTTATGAGGGTGTGTGTGTCCAGGAATGTATCCGTTTTTTCTAGATTTTCTAGTTTATTTGCATAAAGGTGTTTATAGTATTCTCTGATGGTAGTTTGTATTTCTGTGGGATCAGTGATGATATCCCCTTTATCATTTTTATTGCATCTATTTGATTTTTCCCTCTTTTCTTCTTTATTAGTCTGGCTAGAGGTCTATCTATTTTGTTAATCTTTTCAAAAACCAGCTCCTGGATTTGTTGATTTCTTGAAGGGTTTTTTTGTGTCTCTGTCTCCTTCAGTTCTGTTCTATTCTTAGTTATTTCTTGTCTTCTGCTAGCTTTTGAATCTGTTTGCTCTTGCTTCTCTAGTACTTTTAATTGTGATGTTAGGGTGTCGATTTTATATCTTTCCTGCTTTCTCCCATGTGCATTTAATGCTATAAATTTCCCTCTAAACACTGCTTTAGCTGTGTACCAGATATTCTGGTACATTGTGTCTTTTTCTCATTGGTTTCAAAAAAGTTATTTATTTCTGCCTTAATTTCGTTATTTACCCAGTTGTTATTCAGGAACAGATTGTTCAGTTTCCATGTAGTTTTGTGGTTTTGAGTGAGTTTATTAATCCTGAGTTCTAATTTGATTATAATGTGGTCTGAGAGACTGTTTGTTATGATTTCCATTCTTTTACATTTGCTGAGGAGTGTTTTACTTCCAATTATGTGGTCATTTTTAGAATAAGTGCAATGTGTTACTGAGAAGAATGTATATTCTGTTGATTTGGGGTGGAGAGTTCTGTAGAGGCCTTTTAGGTCTGCTTGGTCTAGAGCTGAGTTCAAGTTCTGAAGATCCTTGTTAATTTTCTGTCTCATTGATCTAATATTGACAGTGGGTTGTTAAAGTCTCCCACTATTATTGTGTGGGAGTCTAAGTCCTTTTGTAGGTCTCTAAGAACTTGCTTTATTAATCTGGGTGCGCCTGTATTTGGTGCATGTATATTTAGGATAGTTCACTCTTATTGTTGCATTGATCCCTTTACCATTATGTGATGCCCTTCTTTGTCTTTTTTGATCTTTGTTGGTTTAAAGTCTATTTTGTCTGAAATTATGACATAGAGACACAAAAAACCCTTAAAATGAGTGAATCCAGGAGCTTTTTTTAAAAAAAAATTAACAAAATAGAAAGACTACTAGCTAGACTAATAAGAAAAGAGAGAAGACTCAAATAGACACGAAAGAAAAATGATAAAGGGGATATCACCACTGATCCCACAGAAATACAAAGTACCATCAGAGAATACTGTAAGCACCTCTATGAAATAACTAGAAAATCTAGAAAAATGGATGAACTCCTGGACACATATACCCTCCCAAGAATAAACCATGAAGAAGTCGAATCCCTGAATAGATCAATAATAAGTACTGAAATTGAGGCAGTAATTAAGCCTAACAACCGAAAAAAGCCCAGGACTAGAAAAATTCACAGCCAAATTCTACCAGAGGTACAAAGAGGAGCTGGTACCATTCCTTCTGAAACAATTCCAAACAGTTGAAAAGGAGGGACTCTTCCCTAAGTCATTTATGAGGCCAGAATCATCCTGATACCAAAACCTGGCAGAGACACGAAAACAACAAAAAAACCTGAGGCCAAAATCCCTGATGAACATTGATGTGAAAATCCTAATTAAATACTGGCAAACCAAATCCAGCAGCACATCAAAAAGCTTATCCACCACATCAAGTTGGCTTCATTCCTGGGAGGCAAGGCTGGTTCAACATATGCAAGTCAAAAAACATAATTCATCACATAAGCAGAACTAATGACAAAAAGCACATGATTATATCAATAGATGACGAATAGGCCTTCGATAAAATTCAACGCCCTTCATGCTAAAAACTCCCAATTAAAGAGGTATTGATGGAATGTAATTCAAACTAGTACAAGATATTTATGACAAACCCACAGCCAATATAATACTGAATGGGCAAAAGCCAGAAGCATTTCCTTTGAAAACTGCCAGAAGACAAGTATGACCTCTCTCACCACTCCTGTTCAACATAGTATTGGAAGTTGTGACCAGGGCAATCAGGCAAGAGAAAGAAATACAGGGTATTCAAAAGGGAAGAGAGGAAGTCAAGTTGTCTCTGTTTGCATTTGAAATGATTGTATATTTAGAAAACCCAATCGTCTCAGCCCAAAAACTCCATAAGCTGATAAGCAACTTCAGAAAAGTCTCAGGATACAAAATCAGTGTGCAAAAATCACAAGTATTCTTATAAACCAATAACAGACAAACAGAGAGGCAAATCATGAGTGAATTCCTATTCACAAATGCTAAAAAGAGAATAAAATACCTAGGAATACAACTTACAAGGGATGTGAAGGAACTTTTCAAGGAGAACTACAAACCACTGCTCAAGGAAATAAGAGAGGACACAAACAAATGGAAAAACATTCCATGCTCATGGATAGGAAGAATCAACATTGTGAAATAGGCCATACTGCCTAAACTAATTTATAGATTCAATGCTATCCCATCAAGCTACCATTGACTTTCTTCACATAATTAGAAAAAGCTACTTTAAATTTCATATGGAACCAAAAAAGGGCCTGCATAGCCAAGACAATCCTAAGCAAAAACAACAAAGTTGGAGGCATCATGCTACTTGACTTCAAGCTATACTACAAGTGTACAATAACCAAAACATCATGGTACTGGTACCAAAACGGATACACAGACCAATGGAACAGAACAGAGGCCTCGGAAACAACACCACACATCTACAACCATCTGATCTTTGACAAACCTGACAAAAACAAGAAATGGGAAAAGGATTCCCTATTTAATAAAATGTGTTAGGAAAACTGACTAGCTATATGCAGAAAAGTGAAACTGGACCTCTTCCTTACACCTTATACAAAAATTAACTTAAGATGGATTAAAGACTTAAACGTAAGACATAAAACCATAAAAACCCTAGAAGAAAAGCTAGGCATTACTATTCAGGACATAGGTATGGGCAAGGACTTCATGACTAAAACACCAAAAACAATGGCAACAAAAGCCAAAATTGACAAATGGGATCTAATTAAACTAAAGATCTTCTGCACAGCAAAATCTCATCAGAGTGAACAGGGATCCTACAGAATGGGAGGAAATTTTTGCAATCTATCCATCTGACAAAAGGTTAATACCCAGAATCTATAAGGAACTTAAACAAATTTACAAGAAAAAAACAAACAACCCCATCAAAAAGTGGGTGAAGGATATAACAAGCACTTCTTAAAAGAAGACATTTATGTGGCAAACAAATATATGAAAAAAAAAGCTAATCATCACTGGTCATTAGAGAAATGCAAATCAAAACCACAATGAGATATCATCTCACCAGCCAGTTAGAATGGCGATCATTAAAAAGGAAACAACAGATGGTGGAGAGGATGTGGGGAAATAGGAACACTTTTATACTGTTGGTGGGAGTGTACATTAGTTCAACCATTGTGGAAGACAGTGTGGTGATTCCTCAAGGATCTAGAACCAGAAATACCATTTGACCCAGCAATCCCATTACTGGGTATATACCCAAGGGATTATAAGTCATTCTACTATAAAGAAACATGCACACTTATGTTTATTGCAGCACTATTCACAATTGCAAAGACTTGGAACCAACCCAAATGCCCCTCAATTATAGAATGAATAAAGAAAATGTGGCACATATACACCATGGAATACTATGCAGCCATAAAAAAGGATGAGTTCCTATCTTTGCTGGGACGTGGATGAAGCGGGAAACCATCATTCTCAGCAAACTAACACAGGAACAGAAAACCAAACACCATGTGTTCTCACTCATAAGTGGCAGCTGAACAATGAGAACACACGGACACAGGGAGGGGAACATCACACACAGGGGCCTGTCGGGGAATGGGGGCTAGTGAAGGGATAGTGTCAGGAGAAATACCTAATGTAGGTGACAGGTTGATTGGTGCAGCAAACCACCATGGCACATGTATACCTATGTAACAAACCTGCACATTCTGCACATGTATCCCAGAACTTAAAGTATATTAAAAAAAAAAAAATAAGTGAGCCTCTTTTTAAAAATTCCTGGGGCTCATTTCATTGTTCACAGATCTGGGGTAGGCGAGAGAAATCTATTTCAACAAGTTTCTTGGGAATTATCTGTCTTTCAGCAATAAGTCACAGAACAAAAACCACTGCACTAGTAGAGGATTCAAATATTAATTAAATTAAATGATATTTAGCACTTACTGTATGTACAATGTAACTCTTGGAGCTGTTAAAGATAAAGTGGACCAGAAGCTATGGGGTTAATATGAAGAAGGTATTGATGTACTCTGGAAAAAATTAAAAATATACAAACAAGTAGATAATGCAACAGAGGTAATCAACTAAATAATATTTACTGAAGTACGTTAATATTGAGGGAAATCAGTGAGAGCCACAGTTGCCTGATAATGTGTCATAAAGAAGATAAAATGTAAGACTTTTTTTTTAAAATGAGAACAATTTGAATACTCAGAATAAGTAGGGAAAGTCATCTTTTTCAATGCTGTGGATTTGTAATTTATGAAGGTATTATGAAATTAGAATACTACATGTATATTGAGAAGAATTGAGAAAGTGAATCAAATAAGTAGTGTGGCATCAAATTATGAAGGAATTTGAAACCCATGCCGAGTAGCAGATTCTACTATGTTATGCTGAAATGTTGTTTCTTAAATGGTCATAATAGTCAGATTATTTCTGTGATCCAAGAGTTGCTCTGATAAAATTTGAGTTAATATATAAATAAAACATTGTCTTATAAAATCAAGAATGGAAATATGGAAGAAGTGATTGCTACTGATTTAACAGTATGTTCTAATCTTAATACACTATGTAGAAGAGAATAATCAATATTTTAATTTATTAAAATAACCTAGTATTAGAAAAGGCACAAAAGCTTTTTAATCCAGTTACCTTAATTTCCAGCGTACAAGTTTGAGGACAGTTATCGTAATCCCCATTTCTAGTCTCTTTTTTTCTTACATCATGATGCAATATGTTGAAAAGACTAATATTATGTATTATTATCTCTAGGGTGTTGAGTTATGATTACTGTATTTACTTCTGGGCTCTTTATTCTGTTTCATTGAAATATTTGTTTAATCTTCCATTATTATACCACTGTCTTTAGTATTGTAGTTTTATATTAGTCTTGTAGTATTAGTCATATTAGTTTTCTGACTTTGTTCTTCTCCTTAAATATTATCTTGGCTATCTGTGTTTTTTGCCTTTCTCTATAATCTTGAGAATAAGTTTGTTGATATGCACAAAATAACAACTTGTAGAAATCTTGATTGGGGCTATGTTGATTCTATAGGTCAAGTTGAGACAAATTTTCACCTTTACAATATTGAGATTTCAAATTCATTTACGTGAAATATCTCTTCATCTGTTTATGTATTTTTTAATGTGTTCTTGATCTTAGCAGGAAAGCAGGCATTCCTCACTATTAAACGTTATATTAGCTGTAAATATTTTCATAGCTATTCTTTATTAATCTGAGGAAGTTAAATTCTAATCCTAGTTTGCTGAAAGTATTTATGATTAATGGATGATGAATTTTGCCAACATTTTTTCTGTATCTGTTAATATGATCATATGACTTTTTTTCCTTAGCCTGTTAACATAATGGATTTCATGGTTTTCAAATGCTAGACCAGCCTTGCATAAGTGTAATAAACTCCACATGATATAGATTTCTTCTAATACGTTATTGGCAATTTGCTAATGTTTGGTTGAGGATTTTTGAATCTATATTCATAAGAGTTATTGGTCTGTAGTAGTGTTTTCTTGTATTTTTCTGATTTGATATTAAGGTAATGCTGGCCTTACAGAAAGATTTAGCAAGTATTTGCTCTGATTCTATTTTCTAGGACAGATTGTAGAAAATTAATTGGTTAATTTATCTTTAAATGTTTGCTAGAACTCACCAGTGAACTAATCTGGGTTCTTTTTTCCTTTTTTTTGTCTAATCGTATTAGCTATGCCTTCCAGTATGATGTTGAATAGGAGTAGTGAGAGTGAACATCCTTGCTGTGTTCCTCATCTTAGATATTCTTTATTAATCTGAGGAAGTTAAATTCTACAATTATAAATACTAAATGTAATTATATAATTGTTTTTATAAGCCTAAGTAAATTTTCTTGAATTGAAAAATGTTCAAATATTTAAAAACTCTGTTATACATCTGGTCTATACACTTAATGAAATTATAAAATCCTATAAAATTTGTTCATTTGTGTAAATTTGCAACCTCATTCTAAAGTATACATGCCAATCAAAAGTCCAGAATGGTCAAGGAAAACTTGTGGAAGAAACACAAAGCTGGAGAAATTACAGAATTAAGTATCAAAATCCATGTCATGATTTAGAGGTTGTGTTATTTGTTCTAAGAACAGACAATAACCAATGGAACATATATAAGCAGTCTTTTGATTAATGTCTTCAGCCCAAAAAGATGAAAATTACATTTTCAATAAATGGTTTTAGTTAAATTGGATACCCTCATTTTTATAAGGGAATAATGTCCCTTGATTAGTATCATATACAAAACTCAATTATAGATGTATCATGGATTTAAAAAAGAGCAGAAAAACAATGACGCTTTTACATGAAAACTTACCTATTCACAATCAGTGAACTTTTCTTAAACGGAATACTATGTGGATTGGTGTTTGATATGTTAACCTCTATTTAGACCTGGTATTAATTAAAATGTACCATTAAGATGGTGAAATTCAACCCAAACAGTGTGAGAAGACGTCTGCAATGCCTGTATCAAGCAATACTTGTAGCCAGATCACATAAAATGAATCCCCACAAATAAAAAGACAGAAAGGCCAATGAAAAAGGGATAAAGGCTTGTACAGGATCTTCTCAAATGAGGATTTTTAAATATCTATATGCATGTTAATAGACATTCAAATGCTTATTTATCGGATTAAAAAATTAAATATAAATTAAATGCCACTACACAGCCAAAAGAATGGGGCTAGTAAAAATGACACAATAGCAAGATTTATTGAGAATGTAGATCAATGAAAATCCTCATGCACATCTGTGGGGAGTTGAAATTGGTAAAAAAAGAACTTTAGGAAATGGTGCTGCAATATCTGCTAACATGAAACATACATCCATTGACCCAGTCCTACCTCTTTACTCCAGAAATGCTTGCATATGAACATGGATAAGAATATTTTTAGAAGCCTTATTTATTATAACAAAACACTGGAAACAATAAAAACATCTTCAAACAATAGAAAGAATAAACTAATATATTTATCAAGCATTGAAAAACTACATAACATACAAAAATGATAAAACTTCAAGTAAAATTTGAATAAAGCTAGAGATGAGTACATATGAATCTACATAAAGATTTTTGAAAAAGGAAATACAAAATTTTAATGTTGCAAAATGCATAACTGGTAAAACTATACTAAAAAAAAGAAACAAAACTAGAAAGCACTTATTTACTATGGCTACTAAAACAGTGGTTGTATCCAGTGAGGAGGAAAGTAATTTTAATTGCAAAAAATCATGCAAGACCTCCCAAAATGCTAGCAGTGTTATTTCTTGACCTAGAGGGTATTATGCAGGCATTCCTTCAGAAAAATTTGTAGAATGGTATATACCTTTTGAGTTATATATATATATATATATATTAAACTATTTTCTGAGATGTTATATATATTTTTATGAGATGTTATATATATTATATATAATATATAATGTATAATATATATTATATATAATATATAATGTATAATATATATTATATATAATATATAATGTATAATATATATTATATATAATATATATAATATATAAAATATATATAATGTATAATATATAATATATAATATATATCATATATAACATCTCAAAAAAGTTTAAAATTAAAAATATACATGTGATTCATTAAGATATGTTTCAGAGCATTCTTGTTATTACAGGAAGATTCACAGATGATGAGAGAATATAACACGTTGTGTCATAATATGTAAATTATGTCAATTTTAGTTCAGAAAATTTTATTTCTAAGTTAAATCATTTAAAGAGATATTACCAAGGAAAACAGTTGAGTTTATAAGAACCACAAAATCTAAATGTCAGTTATAATAAATAAAATATTTATATAGTAGTTAAAATTGAATTCAAAGACAGATTTCCAAAAGTGGATACCTCAGATACAGGGATAGTACTCTCTGTTTTATTATTATTTGCTTATTTTGTCATTGATTTATAATTTAAAATATATTTCTATACATTGGCTATATCACAGTTTCTCTGAATATTATTTATTTAAACATAGCTTAACTTTAAAAACTATTTTCTTGTTGAAAAGAAGTTTGTATTTTAATGTGATATCAGCCTGTTCAAATGTTTATAATATCTGAGAACCTTCTGACAGCCAAATATTGAAGAATCCTTTTTTTTTTTTTTTTGGCCGGGATGTGTTATTATTTAAGTAAACAAGAAATGAGGACTTTTTTTTTTAATAACACTTGATGTTTAATTTCTTGTAATGTCACAGATTTACCTAAAAGGAACACACTCAACTTAGTTTCATAAATTAATCAGAAAAACACTGACATTTTTAGTACTAATTTTCACACATTTCGTATCTTATAACTAAAACTCTCAGAACTAAGGTGGTCCAAGGAACACTTCCTCAAGTACATTTTTTAGTTTCAAAGTAATTCTAACAGAGCATTTCTGTGTTCTAGTTTGTTGATAACTTAGTATGATATGATTTGAAAGTTCCAGGCTTAAATTCTGTTTGACAAACTTGTATAGATTTCTTTTCTGCAGGTTTTCTCAGAGTCTTTCATAAATGAATGCATACCTATGCATTCAAAGAAAAGGTTTTCAAATATATATAACTGTAGTATCCTTTCAAGTAAGTTCTTATGGGCCAAGATGTGCACACTATGCATTGGTAAAATTGAACTTATTTCAGGAGAAATCAATCATTTCTCTTAGTATAAGACAATGTCACAAATTAAGGGTATTTTACCTATCACTTTTGGTGGTTTTCCTGATCTACTTTCTTTAATTTTTTTCTAATGTAATAATTTATTTTTTACAAAGGTTTTGGCTTTTTTGTTAGTATACTTCTTAAACATTTTATATCATTTTGGGAACTGGGAATTATGAATGAAAGAACTGAATGGTGAGTATTTAGAATTAATATGGATGGAATGTGTATTTTACACTAGTTAAGACATCTATCACCTTCAATGTACTTGCTAGGACTAGATGATTAAGACTAAAACAGATAAGCTAGAATTTACATAGATATATCTTAGACAGTCAGCTATATGTTTCAAAGCAGGTATTCTAAGTCATGGATCCATGTCAGAGACATAGAACAGCTATAGAAGAGCCATATTTCGTGTTTTGCTGTAGACATAAATTGTCTCACAGGTTTAATTATTTTTTTTAATTTTAAGATTATAACATTGGGTACTACAAAGAGAGAGAGGGTTTGTAAGATTGTTTAGCTCTTGAGAACATGTTTATTTGGCTTTATAAACTAGTGTATGTCCATTATGCATCAATTTACAGGATAATATTGAAGTTTATTGTGAGATATTCTGTGTAATCAATTTAAAATTATAGGACACTAATATAATTAGATTTTTACCACATAAAAATCATAGAGATTTTTACACACTTAATCAGAATTTTAAAAGCCAGTGATAACAAGTTAATAATTGTGACAACTAATAGAGTATCTAAATAAATGTCACTATTTTTATTAATTGATATTTAATTTGCTGTAGTCTGCCTCAGTAAATGTTAATTAAATGCCAGAAAATTCCTTATAATCTTAACATATTTATAATCTTATAATTATGCCTTTATTGCTTACATAATTATAAGTTAATTACAGAGCTACTAGATTTACTGTACCTTTTATAGAGAGCTCAAGAATATCCATTTTTCTCCACAGTTCAATAAATTTGATTGCCTGGTAATTACTGTCGGTCATAGAACCTCAAAAGCTTTTTTGACAAATATACATTTCCACACAAAAGAGTAAACATTACATATCAAAATAGAAAAATAAAATAATTGAAATATGCCATTATTCTTTTATTAATTTATCATCACTTACCTTAGAAAATATGTGACAATTTAGGAGAACATAGACAAATTGTTTCTCTTTCACAGACATTTGTAAAATGATGCGTATTAAGAGTGTTTTGTTTTTTTCAAAGTGCTTTTATATGTAAAGTCTAATTTTATATTTACGATGACCTTAGAAAATGCAATTATCCTCATTTTACTGATGAGGAAATTGGTTTAAAGATGATGTAACTTTCCCAGTAGGATCCAATTTTGCTTTTCCTTACACACATACTGATCTTTTGTCTTATGTCTTGTATTTTCACCCCACATCCTCCCAATTTACCTACCAAGGCTATGTAAATTGTCACTAACCTTTGTCTATATTTCTGGCAGATAATATTATACAATGAAAAAATGTAGATATGTTAATTTATTCTTCAACAAACACATTTTTTATTCAATTTTTCACCCATTGTGGTCTAGCATGTTGATGAATAAGCTGTGCCTTATTCACCTTTGTATTCATCTTTGTATGCCTTATTCATCATGTAATTTGTCACAAAACATGTAGTATTATACAAAAAAAATAGAATTCAGTAAGTTTTCTGGTTAAAAAATGTACATACATTTTTAATAGATATCCAAAATTCTATCTATTGATCAATGATCAATAGATAGCCTATATGTCTATTAAAAAATAAAATAAGAAAAATTACCAATCTCACTTATCAAATTATAAACTACATATGCTAGAGTGGTATTTAATATTAAAAGATTATTTAATAAAATAAAAAATACTACAAAGGAAGATAAAATATAATTAATGGAGGAGAAACACCATGTGTCTGTTTAGGTACTTAAATATCAAATTTTATGTAATTTCAAGGAAAGCTCGTTGGATGTTAATTATGAAAATTATAAGGATGCAAATTGTATTTGGAAGAATAAATTTGAGACTAGGTAATAAAAATTATGATTCGATTCATGCCGGTATGGCATGTAAAATAGCCAAATAATACCATTTCTTTGGATTGATTCATAAATCCTTAGTGTTTGATAAATGTTAAAAGGAGTTATGTGAATGAAAATTTATGTTTTCTGAGAAATGTAGATCTTAAATGCAGTCTTTTTTTAAATTCAAAGCATTGTGGATGGGGATGGGTATGGAGGTGGAGGGCAAGACCTATTTACTATGTTCTATCTAGAATTTTCCACAGCTAATAAGGGTTGTGTTACTGTTTTTATGAAAAACGTTATACTATCCTGAAGAATCTTGCCTAATAGTTTGGACAGGATGAAAAAAGTACGTAACAAAATAGTGTTAAAAAGTTGTCTGAGTAGATGGATAGTCAATGAAGTTAATATTTCTTTAAAAATACAATGACCTTAAGAATGCCATAATTCTAAAGACCTTCTTTCATTTCATATATTTATTTTCATTTAGATTCTATTTCAGTTTTGTTAATGAACTTCCAAAATTATTCACTGACACTTTTTATTATTTTATTGTTTATTTAAATCACTGGTTTCTGGAACTCTTTTTCTATATTATCTCCCTACTCTCTGGAATTATTCTGCCCCCAAACTCCCAGGCATCTCAACCTCCCCACATTACTATCTACATCTCAGTTCACCATGCCAGCTCTGCTGTGTAAGTTCCCTCCCTGGGTCTACTGCCCAGAAGTAATCGGCTCCAGCCTGAAAGCCTGGGCTGCTGAAGTATTCGTTTTGTTTGTTTCCCTTCCACAAATATCATAGTCTTGTTTTGCTTGTCTAATGTCTGAAAACAGTTGTTTTACGTATTTTATCTGATTTTTCAAATGTTCACAATAGGTAATTAAGTTAAGGTCTTGTTACACCATTGTAGCCTGAGGAGCACTTTCTTTATAATTATTTATATTAAATCTTGCCAGAAAGATGGCACTTTAAAATTTTATATAGCTGGTGTATGTAGATTTACTTAATCCACATGACTTGCAGCAATGTCAGTAGTTCCTAAGAATAAATATATTTTGAAGAAAGCAATGCAAAACATTTAATTTATTAAAGCATATGTGTATTTTACATTTATTATGACTTTAAGTAATTTGATGTATTTTGATTCATAAAACATAGTATGGAGTATGGAGGTTTGAATAAGTAAAAACAAAAATAAAAACAAATGTTAAAATTAACATAATAAATTATAGGAAAAAGGAATCAAACTAAATCTGAGAATAAGAATGTATTGGATAAAATAAAATATAATACTTTCAAGATGAAATTTATTAACCCAAACAAATGATCATATCCAAGAATTCACCCCAAATGGAAATATCCTATCAGCTTTAACTTTTATATGATTTGGTATTTATTTACTATAAAGTTTTAAAAATAAGATTATTTATTGGTAGCCTAATATTTAGTTGCATTTTTTTTCTTACCTGTGCATCTGCCATAGATATTACAGCTTACTTTTTCTTGACTGGTATTTTCAATGAGACTTTTTTTTTCTTAAAGGGCCAAGATTTTTTCTTAAAGGGCCAAGATATTTAAGTCATTTGAGATAAGAAGTTCAATTTCTTCTTTTTATAAGAATTGTCTCATATTTAAAATATAAGTACTTATTTATTTTTATAAGTCAATTAGAACAATAATGCGTTCAAATTTAAGAGTTTTTGTAATCTGAGTTATCAGTTTTTCCTGGATGTAAACAAAGACATAGCAATCTTTTCAGAAACATTTCACTCTCATGACAAAATAATTGTAGCAAATTCACAGGAAAGTAATGAGACTTGGGCTTGCCTTTTTCTGAAGAGCATAGCCAATATTTCTGAACTTGACTATCAAAGAGTGTTCTTAGTCTTGGAAATTCTTCCTATTTGATTTGTGCCATTTTCTGTAGTGCCTGAATTCGTCATATTTGAGTAAAGCTAGAAGCTCAGGTTCAATATTTAACAGAGTGTAATTGGTCCACTAAGCTTTTTCTCATTTCTGGACATGACATCTTTTTGCATTTCTGTAGGGAGTCTCAACTTCTTGAGACAGAAATATTCAAATTGATGCACTCATCCTTTCAGATTTCTTGTGTAGTCATTCAGAAGTTATGGAGTACAAACTCAAGTCACCTAATATTTCCATACAAGTGTTATTACACAAGCCAAACAACCTTTGTACTCTATAATTTAATCAATACTTGATTAACTTTTTACCTCAGTCTATACATTTCCTTTCCCTTGACGGTAGATCTGTCTGTTTTAATTAAACACAAGCATGATGTATATTGGCAAATACCTACAATCCATGCATATCCAAAGGGCCTACGTGAAGGGCTAAACTTAAAAACACATCATTATAACATCTAATTATGTTTTGTCTGGTACAATAATGAGACTTCCTTCACTTACAGATATAGAGAAAACTAACGTCAGGTAACGTCAGGTAACATCAACCACAAGTTAAAAGGAAATACCGACACAGGTACATATGAGAAAAACTACTGCAAGAATAACAGACACAGATAAGACAATTGGATTATTCCTTTTACAGCCAAATGAAAATAGTATTAGTCATTAGAACTGTTGGCTTGATGACCTGGTTATGAGGAAGAAGTACTCAGTTGCTGAAAATTTTGCAGAATATGGTAAACATGCCAAGTTTTTTTTTGTTGTTGTCATTTTTTTTTTTAGTCAAAGACAGGTACGTACCATCACTCAACTCTTTTTTTTTTTTTTTTTTTGAGACGGAGTTTTGCTCTTGTCACCCAGGCTGGAGTGCAATGAATGGCGCGATCTCGGATCACTGCAACTTCCGCCTCCCGGGTTCAAGCAATTCTCCTGCCTCAGCCTCCCGAGTAGCCAGAATTACAGGCGCCCACCACCACTCCTGGCTAATTTTTGTATTTTTAGTAGAGATGGGGTTTCGCCATGTTGGTCAGGCTGGTCTTAAACTCCCGACGTCAGGTGATCCGCCCACCTTGGCCTCCCAAAGTGCTGGGATTACAGGCATGAGCCACCAAGCCCGGCCTCAGCTCTTTTACTAGTTAAGAAGACCAGGAGGCTGTTAAAACAGAATTAATACAGATTGGTCATGAAATACAGATAAATGAGAAACACAATCTGCAAAAGCAGTGATCCTTAATACTGAAGCCAAAGAAAATAGGCCTAAGTGTAGGGAGTCTTTGTGGCAGAGTTCTCAGGCAATTAAGCATATTCAACCAAAGTGTGTGATCCCTGTAGACCACATGGAGTTACCTCCATAATAATAATAATAATTTAAAAAAAAAGAAATTTGTGATTGCTGATTTTTTTTTCTTTTTCTTTGAATGAAGCATATTGATTGAATAGTAGTCAAGCTTTTAGAATAACCAATTGGCTGAAATTTTATGGTAAAGTTTTATTATGACAGTCAATCATTTTCATTGAATTATGTTTTGTACATTTTGATTAAAATTTTAATTATGATAAAACAATTAACCAAAGCAAATAATAACCCAAAACACACATATATACATAAATACACAAAAATAAAGAAAAACAGAAAAACCCAAGCTCCTGGCTTGTCGTCTGATGTCAACACAAAACTTAAATCTTCTGGTCATGTGTATAATCTGCTCCATGGAAGACTAGCAACTAGGTTAAAGTTAATTAAAGACTAAGTGTTAGTTTTACCTTTGTATTTCATAATGGCTTTGGGTAACCCATTTTGTTTTTGGATGTCTAAGTAAAACAGGCCTTTGATTAAGTTTTATTATAGTTTTCTATTTGTTGGTTTTAACACTGCAGATCTTATATATTTGACATACATGGCCATGGAAGCTCAGGCTTAAAATATGATTTTTTTTTTCAGGAGAAATACCACTCACATCCTTGGTCCATGTACAGAGAAGTATTAGTGTGTTCTAATTGTATTAGTAGGATGCCTTTTTAACTCTGTTTCAAATTACTGCTAGGAACTCTAGTTTTATAAATCTGTCATGTTCCATCTTCTTAAGTCCAAGTCTGGTCTACATTCCCCAGATGGACATGAGTGTGAACAAATTTAGCTTACTAGGATTGAAACAACATCTGGTACAAGGGATTTCCTTTTATTTATCTTATGTCAATGCAGAAAATGGAGGATTTATATTAGGTTAATGACATTTCATTTGTCAAATTTAAGTATATGATTCAGAAGATGCTAGATTTAGGTAGGAATGGTTTGGGATCCTGTGTTATAAATCTTTGTATTTACATTTGAATAGACATGAGAAATATCTAGGTTTCAACATAAGTGATAAAGTACTTCTTAGATGCTTTAACATAGATAATGAACTGTTAATTGGAAGCTATCAGCAAGTTGACCACTTTTCTAACTGCTAACTTTTATAGTAATTTCACAGGTTCTTCTCTAGCAACATTTAATCCATTTAGTATTGTAAAACAGGAGAATGATTAAGTGTTCAGGTTTCAAGGGACTTTTGTGTATACAAAGTAAACCATGCAAGTATAGTTATAAATAAGTAAGTGTTGATCTAGCTATCAATAAGGATGTTAAAGGAGGCATCAAATCCATAAAGCAGTGAAATTGCCAATAGATAGGAAAGTGATTTTTCTAGATTAAGCAGGGATTGATCATGAGATCAATAATGAACTAGGCTTCTGTTACTTTCCAGCTATTTCTAATATTTAGAAATTAATATTTATACCTTAGTCAACTGAGGTATTCACAATTTCTGAACTCCTTTTGATTAAAATCTCAACCTACTAATGCTACAAAGATGTTCTTTTTTTTTTTTTTTTCCCCAAGGGCCTGTTAGTGTGATTCTCGTTCTAAGTAAACACATAATTATTTTTAAAAATACTGTGACTATTTGCAAAACTAGAATCATAAAAATATCCATGTTTCCTGCAATTGGATTGAGCTGGTGGGTGGGCCTTAGAAGTGGTAGTTATTCATTCACTGTGACCATTTAAAATTATGCACTGTATTAAATACTTGTCATAACAATAGGTTTATTGATGTCTGATAATTTATTATGAATATATAACAGATGAATATTTTCTACTATGATAAAAACTCCTTTATATTATCTATATCAATTATTCATTAAGATTTGGATATGATAGGTAATCACTAGGGAGAGAATTATTTGTTTAGCTTAATCCCATAAACCACAAACAACTTTGTTATTCTAGACATGCCTCATTAGAGAAATTTTTTAAAAAATCTCTCTTTCTTACAATATATCAAAATCCTGTGACCTGTACCAGATAAACAACTGCTTTGATGCATAATGCAAATTGAAAACTAACACAAAAACTGACCTTTTCGAAATGGTTTGATAACCAACTAACTTGAAGTTGATCTAAAAATCAATCGGTGTTCATTGTGTGTAAGCAATGACTCCATCTCCTAAATATTTAAGCATTCTTTTTAGGAGTTGGTCCAGAACGCACAACGTTTTTCATATTTTGAGAATTGAGCCTGCATTTTGTCACAGAAGTGTATTCTTAAAAATGTGTCACATATACACCATGGGATACTATGCAGCCATAAAAAAGAATGAGTTCATGTCCTTTGCAGGGACATGAATGAAGCTGGAAGCTGTCATTCTCAGCAAACTAACAGAGGAAAAGAAAACCGAACACTGTATGTTCTCACTAGTAAGCAGGAGTTGAACAATGGTAAAGTATGGACACAGGGAGGGGAATATCACACACTGGGGCTGATCAGGGGTTTGGGAGGAAGGGGAGGGAAAGCATTAGGACAAATACCTAATGCAGGTGGGGGTTAAAACCTAGATGACAGGTTGATAGGTGCAGCAAACCACCATGGCACATATATACCTATTTAACAAACCTGCACGTTCTGCACATGTATCCCAGAATTTAAAGTACAATTAAAAAAAATAAATTACTAACAAGGACATATTAATTATTGTCAATATCTTGTCTGAAATTAAATTCTTACTTTAGGTACTATGTGTTTTAACCTAATGCAAGAATAAACCTAATGCAAGAATAAGTTGCTGTTATTTTCATTCAGTAATGGTTTTATATTGGGGAGAGGTCCAGAGTCCTTTTATATCTTGGAGATCTTTCTTAAATAACCGTATGTCAAGATGTCTCAGGATTATTGTATATTTTATGCCCCGCAATGAGAATCAATTGTTGTTCCATGAAGCTCTGGTTTCTTCTAATAGGAAATAACATATCAGGTCCATTATTGGTGTTATGGAAGCCAAATGCTTCTGCACTGGTCATTGTTTCTAGGACAATTTTAATGAATGAAACTAGGCATATATACTAGCTTGGAAATCTCTCTCTCTCTCTCTGTGTGTGTGTGTGTGTGTGTGTGTGTGTGTGTGTGTGTGTGTGTGTGTGTGTATTTAATGGCAAAATATCTCATGTTTTCATGCTGCTCTTTCTATTCCATATGTGGCAGCATCACAAGGATTTTACTTAATCTCTCCCATATTACAACTGAATCTTCTTAATTCCACACTGAGAATTCTGGTTTTCAATAAAAATAGGTGATGATAGGATTAATATAACTGATAATTACATATTTTCAGTATCTTCTTTACATAAACAGTTATAGATTAACTATATTAATACTTCTATTTATCACCAATTATTATTATTGAACATGCCTTATAATGTTGATATATGCTAACCTCGTTATCTTCTCATTTGGTAATAGTTGCAATATAACTGAATTATCAGATCAGATAGCCATTACATACTCTTTTCTCCCCATTTTAATTCTCACTGAATTTTGATCCTATAGAAACAATTAGTGCTCACACCACCTCTTATGCCTAAATCTCTCTGGTTGTCTTGCTTTCCTGAAGCCTGCTCTGAGTAAAATCTTTAGGAAGAACTCCTGGGAACTACATTCCCTGAGTTTTTGCCACTTGATAACAGTTTGACTCTATCCTTCACATTTGAAGCTCAAATTTCCTAAATCTAAAATCCATGGTTCACATGTTCTTTCCTTGAATATCTTAGTTATATTACTCTATCGTCACATGAAAATTGCTTTTGAAAGTCTGATAAGATTCTAGTTTCATTTTCCTTCCAAGTCATATGTTTAATTTTTTATCTTCATTGAAGTGCAATAGTTTTACTAGGATAGATTTTTACCATTATAGTCAATATTCTCAGATGCACAGCGCATCCATTAATGTGAAATTTAAACTTTTTAAAAGAAAATTTACCTTGAAAGGAACATATTAATGATTATTTTCTCTGATACTTTCCTTAGGTTCTTCAGGAACTGTAGTGTCTATATGTTCAATCCTCTTTATCAATCCTCAATACTCATTACTTTCTCTCTAATATGTTTCATTCCATCCTTTGTTATTGTATATTTTTAAAATGTTCTTTTGTTGATCTGTTTCTCTTAAGAAATTTTTGTTGTGCGTATTAAACCATGTGTTTCTCCTAGTTTAGTCTTCATTAAAATAAATACTCCTTTCATATTATTTCCTTTCATATTAATTCATCTGTTTGAATTGTCATCTATTTCTGAGTTGTTATAATTCTGTTTATGTTGTTCTTTCAAATTTTTGTGCATAATAATGTCTTTCAACTTGTTTTGAAATAATATATTATGAATTGCTTCCTTTAGTATTATTATTATTATTTTCTTTTTAGTATACTTAAAATGTTTATCAGGATGTTATAAGACTCCTTATTCTGAATTATTTTTAAAATAATTTTCTACGGAATTTAACTTCAATACTTGCCCCTTGTTTATTCTTATTTTAATTTGTTTTTACAAACATAAAGAAAAAAGTTTGACTCAAAGCGTTTATAGCTTTCCACAACTTCAACTTCTGTCATTTTAGGGTAGCGTTAAAAACTACGGTAGCTTGCTTTGTCAGATTTCCTGCTTCTGTTTCCCTCCTCCAATTTTAGACTTTTTTATGGTTTTTTTTTTTCTACTTTAAGTTCTGGTGTACATGTGCAGAAAGCACAGGTTTGTTACATAGGTATACACGTGCCGTGGTGGTTTGCTGCACCCATCGACCCGTCACCTACATTAGGTATTTCTCCTAATGCTATCCCTCTCCTAGCTGCCCACCCCACGACAGGCTCCAGTGTGTGATGTTCCTCTCCCTGTGTCCATGTGTTCTTATTGTTCAACTCCCACTTACGAGGGAGAACATGTGGTGTTTGGTTTTCTGTTCTTGTGATAGTTTGCTGAGAATGACTTTTATGTGGAACTTGACTTGCCTGCCTAAGGTTTCTCTCTTGCTTAAATTTGGCACCAACGCTAAAGTTGTTCTTCAGTGAGAAGGGAGTCCTCAGAAGCTCAGTGGGGCCAGATTGCTTCAGATCTTTTAGGCCTTATTGCTGGCCAAGACAGTTAAAATTTTGCAGCATAAAATAATTCTGTTGTTTGGGTAAGACTGAATCAGAATGATGTTGGCCATACTGGTAGTTTATTATTATTCTTTGACCAATTTTATAGGTTAAGAATAAAACATTTCTATATGAAAATGTACTTACAGGAAAAAGGTTGAGGTGTTTTGTTTTTTGTTTTTTTTTCCTCTTGAATTAAAAGCAGAATGTGAAAGCCCAGATTTGTTTATTTCACTATACATTTTTCTTTACTTCAGCTTTCACTTTTTTAGGGCAATTTTCTCAAAAGTAAACAAGAAATAAAACAAATGTTACAGAAGATTATAAGCAAAGATCACAATGTTGATTTAGACATTTGATCCTATTCAAGGAGGTCAGAAGTAGATGAATTGGTACTGTTGCCTAATACTGGAATAGAAAGAAAAAAAAACAATATTCAGAGATCATCAGATCATCTTTCATAATTATACACTAAGAAGTCTAAATTCCTAGAGAGCATGAAGTTAATTTCTTATCAGTGGTTAGAATGTTTTTGAAATATATTCTTGTAGTTGTGACATTTGGAATAAAAATAAACAATTCAGCAGTGGTGAATGAAAGGACAGTACATCCATATAGCATTTCTGCTGGAAAAAAACCATAATTTATATAAATATCATTATTGTAAATAAGTTTGTCAGTTATAAAACTGATACTGTGTTTCTCATATAGACATATAGCATATACATGTTATATTTCTCATATATATACACAAGATTCCTAATGTATATATTATCCCCTAATGAACACTTTTTTTGTAACTTTATTTTTCAAGTTACAAATAAAGACACTATTTTTGAAACCACTGTACTGATGTATTATGTTTTATCTGAATATTTCATGCCATTTGATTATGCAGCATGTACATATTGCAAAATGTCAAAATGTGTATCAAAATGCAAATGCTTGGAGCAAAGTCTGAATAACATGGAAGTGAGATTATAATTGCAGTGCTTTAGGACAGATTTTCAATTAAGTAACCATTTGTTTACAAACCAGGGGAGCAAATTTTCATGTTTTATTCAAAATTGTTATCTCCTTAAGGAAATTCTTAAAGATTATGGAATTTTGCTCTTACTTCATAGTGTCCTTTCCTATGGATTTGTCAGTCTTAGTGATAAAAATTCAGTAGTTGAAGTTTTTATTAGTAACCATAACCATCAGAAATATTCTGGAAGATTGTTCACTTAGTGGGCACTAATTCTACAATAAATTAGAAAGAATAAATGTTATTCAGGAAATAGAATGTTCACTTATATAAAGATAAACAATTATTTCAGGATTCCAAATGTCATTCAAAGACATACATGCTGTACTTTTTACTTTCTCTCACAAATAAATATATGCATTTAAGTACTTTTACTCACACACGAATATATAAATATATTACTAATTATACATAAAATGTAAGTAATATGAAATAGATACTAATTTAATAACTGTATTATATAATTCAAATATATACAATTCACCTATTTGAAGTGTATAACTCTGTGGGTTTTAGTATATTCACAGGGCTGTGCATTATCACCCTCATCAATTTTAGAATATTTTCATCACTCCAGAAGGAAACCCCAAACACAATAGCAGTAACCCTCCATTTCTCCTTAACTCCTCCCTCTCTCACCTCCCCAATTCCCCCCAAGTGCTAGGCAACCAGTAATATTCTTTCTATTTGCCTATTCTGTAGATTTAATATAAATAAAATAATGTGATGGGATATTTGTGACTGGATTATCACACGTAGAAAATGTTTTCAAATATTATTATTATTATTATTATTTTTTCTGAGACAGAGTCTCACTCTGTCGCCCAGGCTGGAGTGCAGTGGTGCGATTTCAGCTCACTGCAAGCTACGCCTCCCGGGTTCACGCCATTCTCCTGCCTCAGCCTCCCGAGTAGCTGGGACTACAGGCGCCCGCCACCATGCACGGCTAATTTTTTTTTTTTTTTTTTGTATTTTTAGCGGAGACGGGGTTTCACCGTGTTAGCCACGATGGTCTCGATCTCCTGACCTCGTGATCCGCCTGTCTCCGCCTCCCAAAGTGCTAGGATTACAGGCGTGAGCCACCGTGCCCAGCCTATTATTCATTTTATAGCATCTATCAGTATTTCATGTGATTCCTTTATTTTATTTTAAATAGTAGTCTAATGAATATACCTTGCTTTGTTTATCCATTTAACAATTTACGGACATTTTGGTTGTTTCTACTTTCTAGTTGTAAAGAATATTCGTGTATATATTGTTGTGTGGACATATATTTTCACTTATTTTGGATATATATCTATGAGTAGAATTGCTGGGTCTTATGACAACTCTATGTTTTACCTTTTGAGGATCTTCCAGAATATTTCCCAAAGGGAGAAACCACTTAACAGTCTCAACAGCCATGCTTGAGGGTTCTGATTTCTCCACATTCTTATCAACAGTCATCATGTCTTTTTTATTATATTCATCTGCATAAGTGTAAATCAATGTCTTGTGTCTGCCAAAAATGTTGAAGATACAAATTTGTTTATCTTTTTTGAATACTGTTTGTCCATTTTTTTGTTGGGTTATTTGTCTTTTTATTACTACGTTGTAAGAGTTCTTTACATATTCCAGATACAAGCCTTTTATCAGATATGTAACATGTGAATACTTTCTCCCTCTTCCTGGGTTGTCTTTGTTCTTTATGGTATTATTGGAAGTAAAAAAGTTTTTACTTTGATCAAGTTTAATTTATACAGTTTTTCTTTCTGGTGCTTGTGATTTTGGTGTCAAGAAATCATTTTCACAAGTTTAGAACCTTTAACTCATATTTAGAGACTTATTCCATTTTGAGTTAATTTTTGATATGGTATAGAGATTATATTTAATTTTTTTGCATACAGCTATCCACTTGCTCCAGCATCATTTGTTAAAAAACAACAACTATCTTTTATCATTGAATTATTTTAACATCCTTGTTGAAAATCTATTGGCCATAATTATCAGGATTTATTTCTGGACTCTCAATTATATTCCATCGATTTTTATGTCTCTCCTTATGATAGTACCACACTGTCTTAATTGCAGTATCAAGACAAAGATATTGCAATAAATTTTGAAATTGGGAAGGCTGAGTCTTCCAACTTTGTTATTTTTCAAGATTGCTTTGTCTATTCTGAGCACTTGAATTTCCCTATGACTTTTAGTATAAGCTTGGAAATTCTTCAAATAAACCATATAGAATTTAGATAAGAATTGGATATGGCATTTAATTTGTATATCAATTTACAGAATAGTGCCATCTTAGTGATACTAAGTCTTCCAATTAATGAATATGGGACATATTTCCATTTCCTTAGTTCTTCTTTTACTGTTTACAATGTTTTGTAATTTTGCAATGTAAGTTTTATGCTTCTTTCGTTGTTTCTATTTTAAATTTTATTATTTTACTTTTATAATTAGTATTGTTTTTCATACTATTTTTCTGGGTTATTGATTGCTAGCATACAGAGAAAATAATTTGCTTTAAAAATATATTTATTTGTATCCTGCAACTTATTGGAACTTGTTCATTAGTCCTCATAGTATAATTTAGTGGATTCTTAAAGGTTTTCTTATATAGATAATGCATCTACAAATACGATAGTTTTATTTTTTTATCATCTAAATGCCTTTTAATTTATTGTTAAATTGCCCTGACTAGAACTTCCAATAAAATGTTAAAAAGAAATTGTGAAAAGCAACATATTTGTCATGTTCCTGATCTAAGGGACAAACAATTCACTCTTCCCCCATGTATTTTGATGTTAGCTGAATTTTTTTGTAGATGCCTTTTTTCAAATTGAGGAAGTTCTTTTCTAAGTGTGTTGAATATTTTTGTAATGAAGGATCAGTATATTTTGTTAAATGGCACTTCTATATCTATTGAGATGATCAGATGGCTTTTATTCTTTATTGTATAATATATAGTGTATTATGTTAATTAATCTTCAGATGTAAAACAAAGTTGCATTCCTATGCACCATGAAGAAATCTCAATTGTTCAAATCTCAATTGTTCATGGTGCATAATTCTTTTTTATATGTTGCTTAATTTAGTTTTTTTATACTTCATTGAGGATTTTTGTATCTATACTCATTTGAATAATTGGACAGTAATTTCCTTCTTATGACTTTGTTGGCTTTAAAATTGAATTATACAAGCCTCATAAAATGAATTGAGTAATATTTCCTCCTCTTCTACATTTTGAATAATTTGTGAAAAAATGGTATTAAATATCCTTTAAATATTTGGTAGAGCTCACCAGTGAAGTCATTTATTCCTGAACTTTTCTTTTGAGAAATTTTTGATTACTAAATCCATCTTTTTACTTGTTATAATTTTATTCTAATTTTCTAATTCTTCTTGAGTCAGTTTTATTACTCTGTGATTTTCTAGGATTTGTCAGTTTCATCAAAGTTAACTAATTTATTTGCAACTTTAATTGCATTCCATAAGTTTAATGTGAATTTTCTGTTTAATTACAAAAACATATTTTCTAATTTATTTTGGAATCTCTTGTTTAACCTATTGGCTATTTAGGAATATGTTGTTTCTTTTTTGCATATTAATTACTCAAATTTCCTATTGGTGTATATTTTTAATTTAATTCCATTGTTATCAGAGAATATTGTTTATATAATTTTAATACTTTTAAATGTATTGATTCTGGGCTTATGGGCTAGCATATTATCTTTCACAGGGAATATTCTATGTGCACTTGAGAAAAATGTTTATTCTACTGTTGTTGAGTGGAGTGTGCTATAGATGTCTGTTAGTTCTATTTATTTTATAATGTTGTCCAAACCATCTATTTCTTTTTTCATCTTCTGCTTAGTAATTTTATACATTATTAAAAGTAGCATATTGAAGTGTGAAACTATTATTGTTGAGTTATTTATTTCTCTTCAATTTTTAAAGTTTGTGTTGTATGTAATTTAAGGCTCTGTTGTTAGGTGCACATGTGTTTAAAGTTGTAATATCTTCCAGATGGGTTAACTCTTTTATCCTTATAAAATATTCAATTTTAACGGTAGTGATTATTTTGTTGTTTTAAAATCTGTGTGTCTGATGTTAAATTTGAGATATGGACCCTCTCCCAAGAAATTTCTGTTGCCTTATTTTTTCCTATACTGTCCTGTGTGTTTATGTCTCTTGTAATTTTCTGTGGAAAAGTAGACATTTAGACAATATAGTGTAATAACTCTAAATACGGATTCCCACCCCACCTCAGGGCTTTTCTTATTTTCCCACTTATTTACATAGTGATTTGGCAGGTTTATTTTTGTAAAATCTATTTTCTCCCTCAGTGTGAAGCTTGATATTTTGCTTTTTAGAGGCACAGCCCTAGGCATATGCCATTACCTTTGGATGACAATGGTTTTATCAAAGTTCTCTTCGTCTTTTCCCTTAATCTCTCTATTAAGCTGTCTTCCGATGCTGATGTCATATACAGCTGTTAGACTCGCTAATGACAGCTGACTAATCTATAATTTTCAGTGATGCTTTGGAGCACACATTACTTCACCATTTGATCTAGTAAAATTTAGACCTACTATAATTTAAACGTTTGCCCTCTCCAAAACTCAAGTTGAAATTTAATTGCCATTGTAACAGTATGAAGGGGTGGAGGCTTTAAGAGGTTATAAGGCTATGAGAATTATCTCATATATGAGATGAATAGTGTTATAAAAGGGTGAGTTTGGCTTCCTTTTGCCTTTTGGCCTTTTTGCTTTCTGCCATGTGAGAATCCGAATTTTCCTGTCTAAAGTACACAGAATGCAAGATGCCATCTTGCACTATTTTGAGTAGTTTTAGATTAATCAGTCTTTTACTTGTTATAGTTTTATTCTGATTTTCTATTTCTTCTTTAGTCAGTTTTGTTAGAGAAAGAAGAAAATCACCTATTGGCACCTTGACTTTAAACTTAAAGCCTTTGGAACTGTGAGCCAAAAAATTTCTGTTTATAAACTACCTAGTCTCAGGTATTGTATTATGGCATTGCTAAATAGATTCAGACAGGCCCCTTTGCAGGGATAGTTTTTGAGGCAATTCTGTAAGATTTGTTTTGGCATCAGGAGGGCCTTTCTTAGCTATAGATTTCTCTGAATAAATGTGACTTTTTATTTTTACTTAAACCCTTAAGACAATTTCAACAGGTATTATGTGATTTTTTAAAGTAATTTTCACCAGTTTCATTTGTTTTGCTGGGAAGTTATTCTATGAAGTTTGTCACACTGAAAATTTGAAAGTGGAGGTTGGATATTAATTTTTATGAGTGCCTTCTCAATTTTTGGCTCTTTGGAAGGTATAAACAAGTTCAGCATCAAGTCTGTTTGCTTTGCGGGTTCTTTTTGTACGTTATTATGAACTCATATAGAAATATTCACACACATTAATGCCTAAAGTTTCCAGATATCTAAGTATCTAACAAAGTTTTCGACTCCATGGTGTTAACTTCCCCCAGAATGCCCCATTGTCAAACTCTATCTATTTACTTCATCTCTCTTGTCTTCACTTATGATCTTCCCCCAACCAACAACACATACTATTTTAAGTCCATACACGGGATAAAAATTGTAAGGATTGAGGTAGAAAAACATTAACAAAGAGGTAATGAGGCACTATGCCCTCTGATTTTTTTCCCAGGCCATTGATTTGCTCTTCAAAAGTATGATATTGTAATGAAAATACTACATATAAACACCCAGCAACAGATTATACGACTGTTAGAACAATGTCAAATACAGAGAGATAACCAATGAGAAATTTCAACAAGTTTGACACTAAGAGAATCAACTTAAGGAGTGTTAAGTATAGGTACAAAAGGAGAAAGCCACAGTTTAAGTTAGATACAGGTAATGAGATATTCAAAATGCCTTGGAGGATACCAGAAAGTCTACATAATATATGTATGAAACAGCAGAAAGAGATATATTGGTCCCAAGATCAGAGAATATTGGTCCAAAAAATGGGGTTGATTAAAATCCTGGATATGGAAAAATTACTTGCCAACCTCGCCTCTTATTTTTCTAGGCCACTAAATGTTCCTGGTCTCCCAAACAATTCGTTCCATCTTTAGAGAAAAACACTTGGATTGTTTTCTGGGATAGAAACACCTAGTTTTACAATAAAAAACTATGATATCTTTCTTTTTCACTTACTCAATATTGTTTTAAATTATTTTAAGTAGAAATGTTCCTTTCACCCTAGTAGGTAAACTTAGGCATTTGAGTCAAATTCTAGCCACAACCCATCGATGATCCTCTCAAATTGTTTTGAGCTTGTCTGTCTTGGTATCTGTGTGCTTTAAGTGGCGATAACAGTAGCATATGATTATGGATAAATCTTATAATAAACATAAAGCATAACCATTATTAATTTTATTATTCTCACTATAATTAATTTTTAAAATTGGGTTGCTATTTATTTACATATTTTGATGTATTTTCATAATACAGTGTTACAAATCAGGCCCTTTTTTTATACATGTGTCTTTAAATTTATTATATACATTTAAGTTGTATAACGTGATGTTTTTATATAGATATACATATTAAAATAATTACTTCGGTCTAATACCTCCTCACATATTTACCTTTTCTCTGTCTCTCTTTCTCTCTCTCTCTATCTCCCCTCCACTCTGTGTGTATGTGTGTGTGTGTGTGTGTGTGTGTGTGTGTTTGGTAATAGCACCTGAAATATATTTCTCTTGACAAATTTTCAGTATACAATACAATATTATAAACTATAGTCATCACACTTTACATTAGATTTTTAGACTTACTCATCCGACATAACTCCAAACTTGTACCCTTTGACCATCATCCCTTATCTGCTCCCCTGAACCTGTCATTCACAGTAACCACCTTTTGACTTTTTCTGAGTTAGACTTTTAAAAATTCCACACATAAGTGAGATCATGCAATACGTTTCTTTCTGTGTCTGGCATGTTCACGTAGCATAACATCCTGCAGGCTCATCTATGTTGTCACAGGTGGCTGAATAGTGTGAGTATATATCTCACAATTTATTTAGCCATTCATCCATTGATGGATACTTAGGTTGTTTTCCTATCTTGGCCTTTGTAAATAATGCTGCACCAAAGAAGACAGAAATAACATGTCTAAGTGTTACTGATTTTGTTCCCATTTGCTATATACCCAGAAGTGAGAGTGCTGGATTGTATGATAGTGCTGTGTATTTTTATTTTTTTGTGAAACCTCCATACTGTTTTCCATAATGGCTTCATCAATTTAAATTCCCACTGAAAGTGTATCAGGGTTCCCTTTTCACCACGCCTTTGCCAACACTTATCTTTTGTCTCTTTGAGAATAGCAATGCTGATAGGCATGAGAAGATAGCTCATTGCATTATGATTTGTATTCCCCTGATGACTAATAATGTTGAACAGCTTTTCATATACGTGTTGGCCATTTGTCTGTCTTCTTTGGAAAATGTCTATTCGGTTCATTTGCTCACTTCATAATCATTTATTTTTAATTTTTTTTTTTTTTTGGCATTGAGTTGTGTAAGATCCTTGTAAGTTTTGGAGATTAACTCGTTATCAGATGTGTGGTTTGCAAATATTTTATCCCAATCCATACATAACTTTTTCACTTTGTGGATTGTCTCTTCTGTTGTATAGAAGCTTTTACAAAATGTTTATTTTCGCTTTTGTTGCCTGAGCTTTTGGTGTTGTAACCAAAACAACAACAATAACAAAAACTGCTGTTGTCAATATCAAGGGGCTTTTTCCCTGTGCTTTCTTTTAGAAGTTTTATGGTTTTAGGACTTAGTTTAAGTCTTTGATAAATTTTTAGTTGACTCTTATGAATGGTGTACAATAATGTTCTAATTTCATTTTTTTGTATGAGAATATTCAGTTTTCCAACATCAGTCATTGAAGAGATATCCTTTCTTAATTATATATTCTTGATGTCCTTGTCAAAAATTACTTGACCCTATTTGCTTGAGTTTTGTTTTCTGGTCTCTCTAGTCTGTTCCATTGTCCTACTTGTCTATTTTTATGCCAGTACTATAGTATTTTTATTACTATATTTCATAATATAATTTGAAGCCAGGAAGTATGGTCCTTCCAACTTCATTCTTCTTTCTCAAGGTTGCTTTGGCTATTCAGGGTCTTTTGTGGTTCCATGTGAATTTGAGAATTGTTTTTTGAAAAATGCTATTGGAATTTTGTTAGACATTTTGTTGAATTTGTATATCTGCATATCAGTTTGGATAGTACAGATATTTTTTTTCCTTTTATTTTTAGTTGACATTTAATAATTGTACATATTTATCAGATACAAAGTGATATTTTGGCACACGTATAGAATATGTAATGATCAAATCAGGGTAACAGGCATACACATCATCTCAAACGTTTATTTTTTGTGGGTATTGGGAACATTCAAAATCCTCTCTTCTGTTGAAAAATATGTAGTTTATTATTATTAACTATAGTCACTCTGTAGTGTGATAGAACACTAGAACTTATTCATCCTATCTTGCTGTAAATTTGTATTTATTAACCAACATTTCTATCCTTCCCTCTTCCCTCCCCTTCTCAGTCTCTAATAACAATTCTATTTTTAACTTCTATGAGCTCATCTTTTTTTTTACCTTTCATATATTAGTGAAAACATACAGTATTTATCTTTCTGTGCCTGGCTTACTTCACTTAATATAATGTCCTCCAGGCTCATCCATATTACCACAGATGACAGGATTTCATAGTTTTTATGGCTGAATAGTATTCCATTGTGTCTATATACCACATTTTCTTTAACCATTCATAGGTTGGTGAACATTTAGGTTGGTTCTATATCTTGGGTATTTTGAAAAGTGCTCTAATAAATATGAAGGTGGCTGGGTGTGTTGGCTCACGCCTGCAATTCCAGCATTTTGGGAGGCTGAGGTGGGTGGATCACCTGAGGTCAGGAGTTCGAGACCAGCCTGGTCAATATGGTGAAACCCCATCTGCACTAAAAATTAAAAAAATTAGCCAGGAGTGGTGGCACGCACCTGTAATCCTAGCTACTCAGAAGGCTGAGGCAGGAGAATTGTTTGAACCTGGGAGGCAGAGGTTGAAGTGAGGCGAGATCGCGTCATTGCACTCCAGCCTGGGCGACAAGAGTGACTCTCTATCTCAAAAATAAATAAATAAACAAATAAACATGAAGGTGTAGCTATTTCTTTGATATAGTACTTCCTTTCCTCTGGATAAATACCAAGTAGTGGGATAGCTACTTGCTGGGATCATATGAAAGTTTTATTTTTAGTTTTTTTGAGAAATGTCCATACTGTTTGCCATAATGCCTTTAATAATTTGCATTTCCATCAACAGTGTATAAGAGTTCTTTTTCTCTGCATCCTCACCAAATTTTGTTATTTCCTGTCTTTTTGATAACAGCCATTTTAAGTGGGGTGATAAAATATCTCATTGTGGTTTTGATTGCATTTCCTTGATGATTAGCAATGTTTAGCATTTTTTTCATATACTTGTTGACCATTTGTATGCCTTCAGTAGAGAAATGTTTATTTAATTTTTTGCCTAGTTTTAAATGGATTATTATTATTACTGTTTAGTTGTTTGAGTTCCTTGTAAATACTGGGTAATAGTTCCTGTTAGATGAATAGATTGTGAATATTTTCTTTCATTCTACCAGGTAATCTGTTTACCCTGTGGATTGTTTCCTTTGTTTTACAGAAGCTTTTTAGTTTGATATAGTTTGTTTTCCTATTTTTGCTTTTGTTGCTATTGTTCAAAGTCTTATCCATAAAATCTTTTCCTAGACCAATATCCTGAAGCATTTTACCTATGTTTTCTTCTGAAGCATTTTACCTTGTTTTCTTCTAATAGTTTTATAGTTTTGGGCCTGACTTTAAGTCTTTAATCCATTTTAAGTTGATTTTTGTATATGGTGAGAGTTGGGGATCTAGATATTTTTTTCTGCATATAAGTATCCAGTTTTCCTTGCTTCATTTATGGAAGGAGGGTGTCTTTTCCAGATGTATGATTTTAGTGCTCTTGTCAGAAATCAGTTGGCTGTAAATATATGGATTTATTTATTGGGTTTCTATTATGTTCCATTGACATAACTTTCGTTTTTATACCAATACCATGCTGTTTGGGTTACATAGCTTTGCCATATATTTTGAAGCCAGGTAGTGTGATGCATCCAACTTTGTTCTTTTGGTCATTATTGCTCTGGCTATTCAAGATATTTTGTGGTTTCACATGAAATTTAGGATTAGTTTTTTTTTTAATTTCTGTGAAGAATATCATTGGTATTTTGGTAGGGATTGTGTTAAATCTACAGATTTCTCTAGATTTAAATGACCTTGGTCATTTAAAAAATATTAATTTTTCCAATGCATGAGCATAAAATGCCTTTCCATTTTTTTTCCTCTTTTATTTATTTGATCAATGTTTTATAGTTTGCATTGTAAACTATAAAATATATTTTTTACCTTTTTGGTTAAATTTATTCCTAGACTTTTAAATTTTTTGTAGCTATTGTAAATAGGATGACTTTCTTAATTTGTTTTTCATTAGTTTTTTATTGATGTACAGAAATGCTACCTATTTGTGTATATTCATTTTGTATTCTATAAATTTACTGAATTTTTAAAACAGACCTAAGAGTGTTTTGGTAGTAACTTTAAGTTTTCTCATATAAAAATTATGTCACCTAGAGAGAAGTACAATTAAACTTCCTCTTTTCCAACTTTGATGCCCTTTATTTCTTTCTCTTGCTTAATTGTTGTGCTATATTTATAGTACTATGTTGAATAAAAGTGGTGAAAGTTGGAATCTTTTCTGTGTTCAATGTGATGTTAGTTGTGGGTTTGTCTTACTGCCTTTATTTTGTTGAGGTATGTTTCTTCCACATAAATTTGTTGAGATTTTTCATCATGAAGGGATGTTCAATTTTATCAAGTGCTTTATCTGTGTCAACACAATGATTATGGTTTTGTATTCTTCAATCTGTCGACATGATTCATTACATTTATTAATTTGCATATGCCAAGCCATTCTTACATCCCTGGGATAAATCTCATTTGATGATAGGGTACGATTTTATTTTTTTGATGTGCATTTGGATTTGGTTTGGTACTATTTTCTTAAAAATGTATCTGTCTTTGTACATCAGTTATATTTACCTGTAGTTTCTTTTTTGTTCTCATGTTCCTGATTGGTTTTGGTGTTAGAATTATGCTGGATTTATAGAATGAGTTAGAAAAAATTTCTTCCTCTCCAAATTTTTGGAATAATTTGGGAAAATGATGTTAGTTCTTAAGTGTTTTGTAGAATTTAGTAGTGAAGACATTGATCCTGGAATTTACTTTGTTGGAAGACTTTTTATTACTGATTTAATTTTGTTAAATGTTATTGTTGTGTTTACATTTTCTGTTTCCTCCTGGTTCAATCTTGGTAGGTTATATGTGTCTAGGACTTAACCATTTTCTAAGTTTTCCAATTTGTTAGTGTATATTTGTTGATGATAATCTCAAATGATCCTTTGTATTTCTATGATATTGTTTGTAAATATCTTCTTTTTTGTTTGTGATTTTATTTACTTGAGTTATCTCTCTTTTTTTGGTTACTGTAGCTAATGGTTTGTCAATTTTTTTATCTTTTCAGAAAAGTCAACTTTTCATTTTATTGATCTTTTGTATTTCTTGGTGGAGGGAGTCTCTACCTGTGTTCTCTTGTACCTCACTGAATTTCTTTAAGGCCATTATTTTAATTTTCTTTTTAGGTATTCCATAGATTTTCTTTTCTTTGGAGTCTGTTGCTGGAAAATTGTGTTTCTTTGGAAGTGTTATATTTCTTTGCTTTTTCATGTTTTTTTGTGTCCTTACATTGATATATGTGCATCTGGTGTAACAGTCACTCCTTCCAATTTTATGGAGTAGTTTTCATGGAAAAAGATTTTTCCTTAGACGTGTCTATCATGTTGGTAGGGTGACAGTCTTTGCCTTTGGTTGTGGGTGTGTACAGTAGTTTATTTACACAAAGGGAAGCAATGAGATAGCACTAAAAGGAATAAGTAGGCATAAATAGAAACTTTTAGACATATAGACAAGTCCTCCTCAATATATGATGGGGTGATATCCCAACAAACCCAATGTAAATGGAAAATATTTTAAGTTGATAATGCCCTTAATACATCTACTTCCAAACATTATAGCTTAGCCCAGCCTACCTTAGTCTCAGAACACATTCATTAGCCTATAGTTGAGCAAAATCAACTAACATAAAACTTACTTTATATTAAATTGTTGAATATGTCATTACTGACTACTGTACTGAAAGTGGAAAATATAATAGTTGTATGAGTAATTTAAGTACAGTTTCTACTGAATGTATATTGTTCTCACAACATCCTAAAGTCAAAAAATCATAAGTCATGCCATCTTAAGTTTGGGACTGTCTGTATTAAATTTGCAAACAGTAATCAGAAAAAAATTTATACTATTTATTAATAATTTGTGTTTCTGTTTACACAAATAGAATGTTTTTAAGCCAAAAAATTATGTGTTTCTATATTAAATGACAGTAACAGGCATATTTTCCCATGTTATAAAACATTGAGGAAAGTCAAAAATAACTGAACGAATTGCTGTAGAAAATACTTGTTCCTGGAAGACAGGATCATGAGCCAATTAAAACACTGTACATATCAAGGCTAGCAGCTTGTTTATTGAGAATTCTTCATAATTGTTGACTCTCTACGCACACCTATCTTAAGCCATTATGTCATATATTCTAACCACACTCAACCAGTACTCTATCTTGCAATATCCATCTTAAAACAATTAAGACCAGTCTTAAAGCTCTGTAAATATTTCCCTCTAATGCTCCCATTGTAAAAAACTGTTGAGACTCTTCTATGGTGGGCTGTCCTTCAGTGACTAGGTCTAATATATTTAACTTTTGGTCAATGGATTTTTTGGGTGGTCTCATGAAGAGTAAAAACTTCATATCTTTTCCAAATACAACTGTGCACATTTGTGAAACTCACGCTGATTGAAAAATATAGAAGAAAACTAATTCATTTGATAATTTGGTTTTAAAAATGTTATTTAATTTTCAAACACTTTTAAGATTTTTAAAACTATCCATTTTCAAAATTGTTAGTCACTTATGTAATTTAAAGTTAGGTATTATAACTCTTTAATAACGAAAAAGGAAATTTTACTTTAGCAAAAGTAGAGTTTTATTAGCCATACAACCATATAAATTTATAACTGCAACATGGAATTTGCAATAAAATTTTAGCTACCTTTTAAAGATTTCTCCCATGACTACATGGGGAATCTGCTGAAGTTTAACACCCTACCTTCAACGTATCTATGCCTACATATTTCTACCTGATAATTAGGGTTGTAAAAATATTTTTAATATACATTTCCAAGTGACAGTTGATAAATGTTTTCAAATATCACATAGACATTTAAATTACCATCTTCTGCTTTCATAAAATTCTTAATTTTCTATTTCAACGTTCATAAATGTTATGCTACAGTTTTTTCTCCTTCCAAGTTCTGTAGTTCTTCTCCCAAATAGCGTAACAATATTATATGATCTGAAATTTTGGTGCAGATTAATAATATATAACTGAAGAATTTATCTATTTTTTAAAAAACAGAACATTCAAGAATGCATTGTTAATGACTGATTAGAAGCAGAAATCACAATAAAGATATGGAAGAGAGACATTTTTACATGTGGTTTCAATAATACTAAGTTTATGAAAACATTGAAATTAAACTAATTATTGGCAGATAGGGATTCTTCATTAATTTTCTATTCTCTATAAAGCATGATTTGATCATTATATGTCATTGTGTGTATTATAAATCTTATTATACAAATTTCTTAGCAGAATCTTTATTTAGTACTATGCATTTCATTAAAAATTCTAAATTATATGAGGTCCACATTAAAGAGATTTCTCTAACTTTTACATAAATTGGAGCAAACAAGTTACTAGAACACAAAAAATAAACACAGTGATTTTCAAAGGTATTTTTCAAAATCAAAAGGTCTGCAACTTTGGTTTTATTTTCCTGCTATTAAAAAATCATTAAACCAACAAGTGAATAAGAGTTATTCTTTATTCTCTTTCTGGGATAACAATAAACTCCAACCCATACAAAGGGGTAATTTTTTAATTGTTACTTTATTCTTATTCTTCTTGGAAAGTGAGGTTAGTTTCTTTACATATCAGTGTTGTCCCTGGTTTCATAAGCTTCTACCAAAAAGAGAATATCAAAAGTTCTGAGGTTTGATATGAAGTGATTATTATAGCCGCATATATGTGGAAATGCTATTTCAAGGCTATTTTATTTCCTGTTTGCCACACTTCATACCACAGAGTAGTACCTAAAACTTAAATGCATTTTCTTGAAATGAGCCACATGATAAAACAGTGCATAAGAAAATGGCAATAGGGTGCAGTGCAAGTTTGCTGTGAAAATGAGTAAACCAGATGTCAGCAATGCTTGAGATCAGTTGTGGATGTGTTAATTTTCCCCTAGATCTGCTCAGGAAGCTGGCAGGCAGAATCCCTTGCCTCACAGATTAGGGAAATAGCTCAGAGAAGGCTCAGAGGCAGAAAATGCAATTGACAGGGGAAATTCATTGAAGCTTATTTTTTAAAAGGAAGTGAGATTGAGATTGTTTTTACTAGGTTTTTTGTTTGTTTGTTAAAAAGCAGACTTTACTAATAATAACTTTGAGATATAAAATGTAGTGAAACAGAAGAGAATAGGGTTTCTTGAACTCCAGGATATCTGAGTGAGCTGATCAATCTTTACTCTCTATTAGATAGATCAAGAAGAAGAATGAGAGGTTAAGTGACTGTGAGTCTATGGCAAAACAAATATTTTACTGTATATGTTCAGTTTTTATATACAGTGTATTTTCTTCTAAATTAAAAGTGAAGTATTCCAATGAATATTCAACATTCATTATTAAAATAGTTTGTTAAGAATGAAAAACAGCTATGGCTAGACCATCATCATTATATCTCCATATAATGAATATTTTGCTCTTGCATGAATTTGCTTTGCAATTCATGGAATCAAAACTGAAGTAAAAATTAGTTTTTTTTAATGTAGTTTTACTGCAAATATTTATCGAGAAATATACCAAGTCTACTAATTGTTCACCAATATTTATTTTTCTTATTTTCTGTAATAATATAACTGTAAAATTTTAGCCATATCTGCTCAGAATACTCTCTTTTGCAAACTCCTTGACAGTTCAGTTTGGTTGTATGACTAATTAATATTCAATATGATATACTGGAAGTAATGTGTGCAAACTTTGCAAAGTGTCCTTACATGGGGATGTGGGGGTGGCCTTCTTTTCTTTTCTTCTTTATGCGGGCTAGAATACAGATAGGGGTCTGGAGGTCTGGAATTGAAGCTGACACATGAAAGTTAAGGCTTGAAATGAAGAAACCCACAATCCTGATAGTGGGAGCATGATGCCAGTCCTGGAAAACCTATAGGGAACTTTTACAAGAGAATGTAACAAACTTCTGTTTTGTTTAAGCCATTGTCACTTTGGATTTTACAATTGTTAGCCAAACCTCATTCTAACTCATTCAAGTCCCTGCCATGTGACTGTGACTGTTGTAGGCATTTAAAAAAAATCCTTCCTCTCATGGAATTTATATTCTGGTTTAGGCTAACTAAAAAGGGTTAAAAGATGGAAGACGAAGGATGGAGGATTTCTTTTTCTTTTATATAATGGGGACATCAATGTTCTCTAATAAGGTGATATTTGACTAGAAACCTGAAGGACATGTAGAAATAAATCATTCAGAAAACTGGAGAACAAAAATTAAAAATCCTGAGCAGGAGCTTACTTCCTTTGGAAGATTGGAGGGTCAGAGAGCAGACCAGTGTGCCAGGAGCAGAATGAGTGGTGGAGAGAATGGTGGAGAATGCAAGGCCTAGGAGGGCATTAAAAGATGGGCTTTGTCTTTGACTGTAATGAAAAGCTGTTGGAAAGGATCTTGTAAAGAGAAGTAACATGATGAGGTGCATTTACAAGGGTGGGTCTGATAACTCTGTTAACCTGATCAAAAGGAAGTTACGGGCTTGCCAAATGTTGAAAGGAATTTTAAAAATACATGATCTTGTAAAACTTGCTCAAGACCAGAAAATGTGATGACATTTTCTGAATATAATCCATGATTTATAGATATGAATTGTTACAATCCATATGCAGAGATTTTACACTCAACAATATGTGTGCCATTTACATCTCATCTTCACAGCAACCCTAAGAGATATTTTGAATCATTTTATATATGAGAACCAAATGAATCAAAGTTTTTCCAATCACATATGTAGTAATTAGTAGAGCTAGTTTTAAGACAGAAAATCTGTGTCCAGTCCCACCTGTCTTTTTGGGTACTCTCCTAACAATTATGCAATAATGCCTTCCAATTAGATTATACTGAAGCAAATTTATATTATACTGCAGCAAGATTGCAACAATCACCTGTGGAGTGACTTTTCAATCAAGGAAAGAAATTGTATCATGCAATAAATAGAACATATAAGAAAACCCCATGTTAATCACAAGTCTACACTAATATATTTTGTGTGACCAGAATAGATATAGGTATAAATTGCTATTTAATTTTATTTAAACTGGTGATAAGTAAATGGGGTAGTCCAAAAAGGGTTAAATTTTCTAAATAAAAGGTAATTAATAAAAGCTCTTTTGAGTTTTATTTATTTCTAACTGGTAGAGAATTAATTTGTCATGCTCCAGAGGATACCAAGCTCCAATTAACACCCTATGGGTGGTTAACACATTTGTAATGGATTGGCTGTACAGTATGCTAGAACCAAGACGCTCAGGCCCCAGTACAAGCAAATAATGGGTCCACAGTTTCTGGGCCTTAAGTTAAGCTAGGAGTAGATATAGAGAACCTAGCTAGCTCATTAGTTATTTACTGAAAGCTGAAACACCACTTTGACCATTCTTTTATTTGTTAGATGCTCCAAAAAGTACATTGGTTTTTAGATGACCTCTAGGATGCTGCCCTGGTGATAGGTGGTAGGTAATACTTTTTTTTTTTTTTTCTGAAAACTTAAGGGACCTCAATTTCATAAGGAGAAGAGTTAATGATATCAATGCTTACACAAAATAGTATTGCTAATTTCATCCAACTACTCGACAGTTTACTAAATAAACAACCCAATTACAACCAGCTATTTCTCATGAGGCAGTCATAGTTTTTTTTTTATTATACTCTAAGTTTTAGGGTACATGTGCACAACATGCAGGTTTGTTACATATGTATACATGTGCCATGCTGGTGTGCTGCACCCATTAACTCGTCATTTACATTAGGTATATCTCCTAATGCTATCCCTCCCCACTGCCCTCACCCCACAACAGGCCCCAGTGTGTGGTGTTCCCCTTCCTGTATCCATGTGTTCTCATTGTTCGATTCCCACCTATGAGTGAGAACAGGTGGTGTTTGGTTTTTTGTCCTTGTGATAGTTTGCTGAGAATGATGGTTTCCAGTTTCATCCATGTCCCTTCAAAGGACATGAACTCATCCTTTTTTATGGCTGCATAGTATTCCATTGTGTATATGTGCCACATTTTCTTAATCCAGTCCATCATGTTGGACATTTGGGTTGGTTCCAAGTCTTTGCTATTGTGAGTAGTGCCGCAGTAAACATACGTGTGCATGTGTCTTTATAGCAGCATGATTTATAATCCTTTGGGTATATACCCAGTAATGGGATGGCTGGGTCAAATGGTATTTCTAGTTCTAGATCCCTGAGGAATCGCCACACCAACTTCCAGAATGGTTGAACTAGTTTACAGTCCCACCAACAGTGTAAAGAGGCAGTCGTAGTTTTTAAATCATGTTTTGATTTAGCCTCTTTTTTAACCAGTATATATTCATATACTGATCAAAGAAACATTTTAATTGTTTCTCAAAAATAATTTAAAAATACATTCCAGTGTTGATTATTTTAATAATAATTTTGACTTATTCTGTGGAAAGATAGTTTTTCAGTTTTCAACCAGTGCCTTATTCATGCAGTAGAAATCTTTTATAATTGCACAGGTATTTCAGTAAATTTTAAGGTCCCGTATCCTCCACATTTAATATCACAATGCTTGTAACCTAGAGTAAATTTTCTTAAAATGATGGAGAAATAACTGTAAGTGTAGTAAAGTGAGGAATTAATAAGATAAAGTAAAATGGTGAAAAAGAAGGGGGAAATGCAGTGATGTAATTGAAACATTAATAAAATGAAGTAGAACTCTGCCAAGTATAAGAGTTACCAGTCATTTCATGACACAGTTCTCCTTTAATGTTAATTTCATTCCAGTTGATTTTCTTCAGGAATATGGGGATGGGAGTGGCAAACTAGTACACTGCATTCATTTATGGAGGTCGTATTTCATTTAATATATGAACATAAATGTGAACATATTTTAGAGAATTTGGAATTTTAGTGAATGTGCCAAAAGATACCATTAAAAATTGAGAATAAATTCATATCTTAAAATATTGAGTTTTATTTTATTCATTACCTGATTCCACCAGTGTCTTAGATGGTCATACCTACTGACCAGCAGTTTTTTATTTTCTGTATCTCATGCTTCTTCCCATAAGTGCCTATTCTGGCCCTGTATTTACAATATAGCCTTTGAGTTATTGCCTTTCTCCTTGGATCCATTTTTTGAAAGGAATACCTGAAGGGAAACAATAAGAATAGAATCCCCTCTTCCTTGTCTGCTGAAGTACACAGTTCTATTTTTAGGAGCTTAGAAAAGACATTTATTGTTCCAGCTACCATGGTTCATTGTTTATGAAGAATATTGGTAAGTGGCAGGGCAGAAAGAGAAAAGACTAAGAAAGAAAGCAGATGGAGAAACTGAAAGTACGCAAGGGTTTTTCTCCATTCAGACCATTAAATGATGCTGCCTTACTTATGATGTCAATGAAGCAAGTGGTCACCTTTGTTGTTCTTTTATCTTTGTGTCTTTTAAAAAGGTAAGGATACATATGGAAGTTTTTCTTCTTAAAAGCCCACATTACAGAAAGCAGTATCATGCTAACAGCAAGGCCTTAAACCTTTTATTGAATAATGAAAGAAGGATAATATCAATATGTTTTTTATTTGGCCAAGAAATTTCTCCATAACAGTCTTTGGGTGCCCAGAGTTATAATGGGTTTATGACTACTAATGGCTTTTTAATCTCATCGTCTGTAATGCTAGAGTTTTAAATCTATTTACTTCAATTTCCTGACATGCATCAGAGACAAAGAGGTTATTTACTGGCTTTGTGGGCTTTGTCTTACATTTTTTATTACATTAGATGCTGACTTTTGCATCAGCAACTTGACTACATCATTTTGGGGAAAGGGAAAAGAAAAAGAATAAAGTCATCGATTATACAGTTTCAGAACCACCACCTCAAATGATATAAAGGTTTATGTTAGACTCACAGTGTATACGTGGTTTTGTATTCCAAGCAAATCAAATTTTGCTGAATTTTTTTTTTTTTTTGAGACAGAGTCTCACTCTGTGACCCAGGCCAGAGTGCAGTAGTGCAATCTTGGCTCACTACAACCTCCACCTCCCAGGTTCAAGCGATTCTCCTGCCTCAGCCTCCCGAGTAGCTGGGACTACAGGTGCCCAAAAACACGGCTGCTAATTTTTTTATTTTTAGTAGAGATTGGGTTTCACCATGTTAGCCAAGCCGACCTCAGGCGATCCGCCCACCTCTGCCTCCCAAAGTGCTGGGATTACAGGCGTCAGCCACCGCGCCTGGCCAGCCTGTTAATTTTGAATAGGCCAGACAGAAACATGGCTCTTGTCTATGATATTTACATTAGACTATATTTACATTATCATCTGCTTTTCATAATCCTTCATGGGGGATCTGGTTTTTTGTTTGTTTGTTTTTGGATTGGTTGATGTCCTATATCTATAGCTAATATATTTTTATTTTCTCCTAGGAGAGTAACGGTAAGGCGAATCACTTGGGTCAACTTGAACAATTCACCTCGTTTCTCTTGTTCTGACTTTCCTCGGATGTTGAAAGGTAAAAATAAGTGTTTTTCTGGCCGGGCGGTGGCTCACACCTGTAATCCCAGCACTTTGGGAGGCAGAGGCAGGCGGATCACGAGGTCAGGAGATTGAGACTATCTTGGCTAACGCAGTGGAACCCCATCTCTACTAAAAAATACAAAAAATTAGCCGGGCGTGGTGGCACGTGCTTGTAGTCCCAGCTACTCAGGAGGCTGAGGCAGGAGAATCGCTTAAACCCGGGAGGCAGAGGTTGCAGTGAGCTGAAATCGCCACTGCACTCCAGCCTGGGCGACAGAGCGAGACTCCACTTAAAAAAAAAAAAAGTGTTTTTCTTCTCTGAAAACTTTTTACAAGTAAAATATGTACCTCTTTATTAATTTCCACATTTTAGGTAGAACCAAAGCATGGTCTACACTGGGGAAAAGACAAAGAAGGGAAATTAAAGCAAATAAAATAATTATAAATGCCAAATAATAGATTATTAATTTTCTATTCACTTAACTTTATTCACCACTATCTTCTCTTTCAAAATACCATAAAACAAATTCTTGAACATGTATAATTTATCTATAAAACATATTTTAAAAAGTCTACTTTTCATAGAGATGAACAAAACTAATGTAAACTCAACTGAGAGTTTTTTAAAATTTTTTAAATATTCAAATATTACTAAATTATTGTGACACAGCTAACAAATTTATCCTTCTCTTTCACTACACTTTGTTTATGCTTCTCTTATGTTGCTTAATATGTTGTTGCCTTTTTTTTTTTTTTAAGATGGAGTTTCACTCTTGTTGCTCAGGCAGGAGTGCAATGGTGCGATCTCAGCTCACTGCAAACTTCTGGGTTCAAGAGATTCTCCTGCCCCAGGCTCCCAATTAGCTGGGATTACAGGCATGCGCCACCATGCCCGGCTAATTTCTTGTATTTATTAGAGATGGGGTTTCACCATGTTAGTCAGGCCAGTCTCGAACTCCTGACCTCAGGTGATCCACCGGCCTTGGTCTCCCAAAGTGCTGGAATTACAGGCGTGTGTCACCATGCCAGGCCATTATTGCTTTTTAAAAACAATTATTGTATAATATAATCAAATCCTGTGACTTATTTTTTCAAGTCCAGCACTAAACACTAGTGCTTGGTATAAATTCGTGTCTCAGTTATTTTAATTCAACTGAGTCACTAAGCCATGAACTCAGTGCTATTTCAGATCATAAATGATCAAATATAAAATGATATATTTTGTATTTAAATGAGACAGTGAATGTATTTGCACAAGCTTTCTTACATCAAGTACTGAAAACAAGTGTCATTTCTCATTCTTTCATTAAACAAAAATGTATTTTTTTAACTTTTATTTTAAGTTCAGGGGTACAATTGCAGGTTTGTTACATAGGTAGACTTGTGTCATGTGGGTTTGTTGTTTTATCACCCAGGTATTAAGCCTAGTATCCATTAGTTATTTTTCCAGATCCTGTTCCCTCTTCCCATCCTCCCCACTCTGAAAGACCCCAGTGTATGTTCTTTCCTTCTATGTGTCCCGGTGTTCTCATCATTTAGCTCCCACTTATAAGTGAGAATATGCAGTATTTGGTTTTCTAAACAGAAATTTAATTATAATATCTAGCTCTATCAGTACCTTTGATAACTGAGATTCTTACTCCATTTTATTTAGAAGAAAAAAATATTGTGATGGTTAATACTGAGTTTCAACTTTATTGGATTGTAGGATACAAAGTATTGATCTTGTGAGTTGTGTCTCTGAGGGTGTTGCCAAAGGAGATTAACATTTGAGTCAGTGGGCATGGAAAGGCAGACTCACCCTTAATCTGGATGGGCGCAATCTAATCAGCTGACAGCATGCCTAAAATATAAGCAGGCAGAAAAATGTGAAAAGAGAGAGGGGCCTAGACTCCCAGCCTATATCTTTTTCCTGTGCTGCATACTTCCTGCCCTCGAACGTTTGACTCCAAGTTCTTCAGTTTTGGAACTCAGACTTGCTCTCCTTGCTCCTCAGCCTGCAGATGGTCTATTGTGGGACCTTGTGATTGTGTGAGTTTATAGTTAATAAACTATTAGTTCTGTCCCTCTAGAGAACCCTGACTAATACATATTTTGGTACCAGGAGTGGTTCTAGAGGAACAGAATATTAAGGATGGAGTTCTTTCATTGGTTTTGGGGTTTCTGCGGTTGGCTGCTTAATATGATTAGACCCCAAAATGCTAAGACTCTACTTCTAATAGTATGGAGAACACTGATAGTCTTTGGTGTGAACTGTGTAGAGAGTTATGCAAAATAAATGCGTTTGACACTCCTGATTCATTGCTCATGAGAGACAAGGAGTTTAGTAACTCTACACGTAATACCTTTGACCATATGTAGAGAACCAAGGAACATAATGAAGCTGGTTGGTTGCTCCTAAGTTCAGTGGATGTAGTGATGAAAGAAAATGATTAACTCAGGGAGTCTGTCTCCCAGCTTCAGAAGCAGATACTGAGCCTCAAATCTCCTAAGTTTGCCTGAGTGAGTCTTATCTCCTGTTGAGAAAGAGCTGAAATTGTGGAAAAACAGACACAAGCTCTTATCACGCAAATGGCGGATGTGCAATGGAAAGGTGCCTGCCTCACAAGATGTCTATTGTTAAAGTGACGGCATTGATTGGAAAAGAGTGGGACCCTGAACCTTGGAATGGGGACGTGTGGGAGTACCCTGATGAAGACGGGGACATCGAGTTTGTAAACTGTGATGAAACTTTTTTGCCAGAAGAAATAGCTTCCCCATTCCCAGTAGTGGCAACAACCCCTCCCCGACCCATGCTGCCATCAGCCTTTTCACATTTGTCTGAGGAGATAAACCCTACACTGCCTGAGGCAACAGTGATGGCCTCCCCTGAGGCATTTGCCAGGCAAGATAATGTTGATTCTTCTCAGGAGCCACTCCCAACACCCCTGTTTGCTTCTAGACCCATGACTAGACTAAAGTCCCAGCAGGCCCCTAGAGGTGAGGTTGAGAGTGTGACCTATGAGGAGGTCCACTACACTCAAAAATAATTGCTTGAGTTTTCTAATTTATATAAACAGAAATCTGGAGAACGGGCATGGGAATGGATATTAAGGGTGTGGGATAATGGTGGAAGTAATGTAGAGTTGGAGCAGGCTGAATTTAGGAAAATGGCTTGAGCCCAGGAGGTCGAGGCTGCAGTTAGCCATGATCATACCATTGCACTCTAGCCTGGTCAACAAAGTGAGACTCTGTCAAAAAAGAAAAAAAAAAAGAAAAAGAAATGAAAAACAAAAAAAAAAATTGAAATTTGAAATTTATAGATTTATAGTTATTAGTGCCTGACATACAAAAAAAGTGTTTACAAAACAACTAAATTTTTTAATGTTATTTGTATTAATTCTTGGCATATTCTAAATGGTTTTAATGAGAAATTTAAAAAATTAAGGGAATATGGGGCTATTATAAAAACAAACCAACTGATAAAATAATAAAGTATCAAAAAAACATTTTAATTGAAGGGCTGGCTGTCCTATCTGTTGAAGATCATGACAGTTTCAGTGGTGTTGGCTCAGGGTGTCCAAGACTCTCTTTTACCAGCTCACCCTCACCGAATCCTGTTTTTAGAGGCCTTACATTTTTGTGCAAGTTGTAGACTCGGATTCAACTGAACGTATTCAAAGTCGAGTCATAAGTCAAAAAGAACTATGCGTAGATACCAAAATTTTTTTAAATTAAAAAATAAAAAATACTAAACTAGCAAGCAGATAATAAATATGCAACAGATTAAGAATTTCAAAGCAATCATAACAGACTTAAGACAGATATCTTGCTATTTCCTCAAAGAAAGTAAAGCAAAAAAAAAAAAAAAAAAATGCCTGGAAAAAACAAAAAGGGAGATACAGTGATTTAAAAAAAGAAAGGATAAGACAACAGAAATAGTTGTAAAATTGGAAGAATTCGTGAAATAAATAGGAGTTACACAGGAAGTGTATTATGGAAGTGCAGTAAAAGCAATAGAAAAAAATGCAGAAAATAGAGTTAGTAATAGGAAGAAAAATCTTTAGAAAAATCACCCTAAACAGAAAAAGGTAAAAGTGGTAGAAGAGAATATGATAGTTAGATAATACACAGGATATTGGATGCATAGTTAGTACTCCTTAAAAAGAGAAAAAAAACTCGAAGATGTTAATAGAATACACCTAAATTGAAGGAAAGGCCTGAATCTTTTAAAATATGTATTGTTATGACACACTGTCTAAATATTTTATTGTATTTGAAGACATCCATTTTTAATCTTTCTTTATATCTTTTGTTTTGGCATAAATTGGATGACTGTGTGCAAGTATATTTATCTCAATTTTTAAGGTCCTTTCTGGGTTTAGTTGTTCAAATGCTTATTTGGATAAGCATAAATTATAAATAAGAATCTATTTCTAGCTTTTCCAAATTTTAGACGCTATGTAAGCAACTAATTGGGAATGAGAAAGAAATTAGGACAAAATATACACTAAAACTGCCTCTGTAATGCAGAGATTCATAAAGATTAAAAATAAAATGATGAGCAAAAGAACAAAAGTACATAAGCAAAGCAAACAAAAATAGGATTGAGGGGTTAGTTTGTTATGAACCAGTCCCCCTGCAAATGATAGTTAGGAACTCTGGAAAAAAAAATAAAAATATTTTAAAATTAAAAAAAAGCAGGACATTTGAAGAAAAGAGTGAAAATTTATGGAAAGTTGGAAGTTATCTATCCTAGTGGCTTCTCCATTATTCAAACTTTCACCCTGAAGAGCACAATAGTTTCAATAGTGGCAGCTCAGTGTGTTTAAAACTCCTATAATACACCATGCTGTCTTTCTAAAACAAGTGCAAAAAGCTCTGGATCACCAGAGATGCCAAAAGGTAAGTGGAGAACTCCAGAAAATACTGTGAAAATGGCCATACTGACCAAAGTAATTTATAGATTCAGTGCTATATCCATCAAGCTACCATGGACTTTCTTCACAGAATTAGAAAAAACTACTTCAAATTTCATATGGAACCAAAAAAGAGCCGGTATAGCCAAGACAATCCTAAGAAAAAAGAGCAAAGTGGGAGGCATCAAGCTACCTGACTTCAAACAATACTACAAGGCAACAGTAACCAAAACAACATGGTACTGGTACCAAGACAGATACATAGACCAAAGGAATAGATCAGAGGCCTCATAAATAACGCCAAACATCTACAACCATCTGATCTTTGAAAAACCTGACAAAAACAAGAAATGAGGAAAGGATTTCATAGTTAATACCTAGTGTTGGGAAAACTGGCTAGCCATATGCAGAAAACAGAAACTGGACCCCTTCTTTACACCTCGTACAAAAATTTACTCAAGATGAATTAAAGATTTAAACATAAGGCATAAAAGCCATAAAAACCCTAGAAGAAAACCTAGGCAATACCATTCAGGCATAGTCATGGGCAAAGACTTCACGACTAAAACACCAAAAGCAAGGGCAACAAAAGCCATAATTGACAAACAGGATCTAATTAAACTATAGAGCTTCTGCACAGCAAAAGAAGCTATCAGCAAAGTGAATGGGAAACCGACAAAATAGGAGAAAATTTTTGCAATCTATCCATCTGACAAAGGGCTAATATCCAGAATCTACAAAGAACTTCAACAATTTTACAAGAGAAAATCAAACAACCCCATCAAAAGTAGGTGAAGGGTATGAACAGACACTTCTCAAAAGAAGACATTTATGTGGCCATCAAACATATGAAAAAAAGCTCATCATCACTGGTCATAAGAGAAATGCAAATCAAAATCACAATCAGATACCATCTCATGCCAGTTAGAATGGCAATCATTAAAAAGTCAGGAAACAACAGATGGTGGAGAGGATGTAGAGAAATAGGAACACTTTTACACTGTTGGTGGGAGTGTAAATTAGTTCAAACATTGTAGAAGACAGTGTGGCAATTCCTCAAGGATCTAGAACCAGAAATACCATTTGACCCAGCAATCCCATTACTAGGTATATACCCAAAGGATTATAAATCATTCTTCTATAAAGACACATGCACATTTATGTTTATTGCAGCACTATTCACAATAGCAAAGACTTGGAGCCAACCCAAATGTCCCTCAATGATCGACTGGGTAAAGAAAATGTGGCACATATACACCATGGAATACTATGCAGCCATAAAAAAGAATGAGTTCATGTCCCTTGCAGGGACATGGATAAAGCTGGTAGCCATCATTGTCAGCAAATTAACACAGGAACAGAAAACAAAACACCACATATTCTCATTCACAAGTGGGTGTTGAGCAATGAGAACACATGGACACAGGGAGGGGAACATCACACACTGTGGCCTGTTGGGGTGGGGGACGAGGGGAGGGATAGCATTAGGAGAAATACCTAATGTAGATGATGGGTTGATGGGTACAGCAAACCACCGTGGCATGCGTATACCTATGTAACAAACCTGCATGTTCTGCACATGTATCCCAGAACTTAAAGTATAATAATTAAAAAAAAGACAGAAAAAAAAGTCACAGAAGGAAAACCCTAATTCTTTGTATATACCCAGCTGAATTGTTGGCTAATCCATGAACCATACCAGCAAAGGTTGGAACTAAAAGCAGTTAAAGGACTGAAGTGAGACAGCACTCAACTGCAGGCTTTGTAAAGACTGTGGTGTGAGTATAACATAGTTAATTGACTACTAAAATAAAAGCAGCAACACATGTCTAAACAATGTAACTGAATCACAAATTTACACATTAGCATACACATTGTCTAGAATAAAGTGAAAATTATGAGAAAATGAACACATTGTAACTCATGGTGACTAGATGTAGGACAGACAATGACTATAAAGGAGCTATGAGAACAATACTCAGTGAAGCTGAAAAAGACACTCTTAATAATGAAAAGTTATAAATTCAGCATGGAAAAATAGAAAACATAAAAAGATCCAATGGATTTTCAGGATTTAAAAATATCTGAAATACTTCTTTCACAAGCCATTCACTTGTTGCCTTAGTAGCAAAACAGAGATGATTAAAGAGTGAATGAACTTGAAGACAGATTAACAGAAATTACCCAAGAGAAAGGTGACGCATAAAAATTCACAAAATGAATGGAGCCTAGGGAAGCTATGGCATGCTATTGAAATGTCTGACATATGGATTATTAAAGTTCTATCAGATAAGAGAATAACAATTCCAAAACAAATAAGCAAACAATTGCCCCAAACTTTTCAAATTTGATGAAATATGTAAATGTACCGTTTTCAGAAGCAAAAGAACTACAAACATGATATATTGAAATAGAACAATGCCTAGGAACATAGTATTAAAATTAGTTAAAATTAAAGACAAATAATACATTTGAAGTAGCCAATGAAACATGTCATACTGCATACAGGGCAACATAATGTGAATAGCAATGGGCTTCTCTTCTGAAACCATAAAGGCTAGAAGAAAGGGGAGCAATACTATTTAAATGCAGACAGAAACAATATTTCAGAATTTAAAATAACTCTTACAATTCAATTAACAGAAAAAAACCCCACTGATTTAAAATTGTTCAGAAATTTTGGATAACCAAAGCGGTATGCTTATGGCAATAAACAGAAAAATCAGCTCAACATTATTACTTTTTGGGAAAATACGTGGAAAACACAATGGGATACCAGTGCTCACCCATTAAAGTAGCTCAAATTAAAGAATGACCTTTAACAAGTTCCGGCCTGAAAGTGGAGAAACTGACACTTTGATTTACTACTTCTTAACCCCTTTATTAAAAGACTGTAAGGTTTGAGAAGTAGGTCAGAAATCCGTTTGTGGAAGATAACCTAAAATGGCATCAAAATACATAGACAAACCAGTAGAAAACATGATGGAAAAATTAATATGAATATGATAATATTGGGAAATTTTAACTTATCTCTTAGTAGATGAAAGAAGGAAGAAAATAGAATATTTGAGCATTTTATTTATAAAAGTGATCATATGTATCTATATCTATATCTATATGTCTATATATCTATATCTATCTATCTATCTATCTATCTATCTATCCTGGACAGTATACTCTGGAGCAGAAAATACTTTTCTCTTTTCAATTAGCCATGAACCTCTTTTAAAAATATATTAAGCTATAAAATAAACTAACATTAATTTCAAACAAGCAGAACACGTTTTCAGGAAACAATGCAAAATTCCTGTAAATGTGTATGTGTGGGTGTATTCATTTATTTATCTTTAAAAATGTACATTTTAAAGTGTTATTTTGTGTAGGCCCTAGCCCAATGAAGTATGGACTACTTATTAAAATTGCTTTAAATTACAAGGTTGAGTTCTAAATAATACTGTCTAAAATAAGAGAAAAATAAGTATATTCTACTAGCACTCATTCTGTTAATCCAGCCCTTCCATTTTCATATATTTCCCACATGTGATTCTTCACTGTGATTAATATAAATTCTCATGCCTGTCTTCCTCATTGCATTCCACTTCTGCCTAGGCCCTGGAGATTCAGTAAATAGCTCCTCTGGTCTTTGTAAGGCAGCAACTTATTAGAAGAGGGATAGTTAGTAATTAACATAGAAACACGATTATTAAGAAATTATAAGTACTACATTTGCTGGTTGTGTATTAATAATAAGTTACTTACATCCTCATTGCTATAACTTTGGAACATTCTTATAGATCTCATTTACATTAGAGAGAAATGGAATTTGGGGGAAGGTGACAATAATTTGTGTTTTATTCATTTTTTTCAACTTTTATTTTGGATTCTGAGGGTACATGTGCAGATTTGTTAAATGGGTATAATGTGTCATGCTAACATTTGGGGTAATAATGATCCCATCACCCAGGTAGTAAGCATAGCAACCAATAGATACATTTTCAGCCCATGCCGCCCTTTCTTCCTCCTCCCTCTAGTAGTCCCCAGTTGATAATTTTTCTTTCATAATTTTTGACTTATTTTTTCATGATGACTGATTTTCCAGTGGAGATAAAAATAGTTTTCATTTTTAGCACTCTTGTGTTAGTCTTCCATACTTATTTTGAGCACACTGTCAGAAATACTCAGTTTAGATTTGAGAGAGTTCAGCTTAGATTTGAGATTCATTCACATTGTAGCTTTGGGAGCTTGATAAAATAGCAGTTACCTTGAGTTTTATGTTTCTCATCTGTGGAATTAAAATCTTAGTACATACATTGGGGTACATAGTAGAAGCTAAGTAAACAGTAGTCATTACTATGACTAACCACCATATGTCTAATAGTCATAGGCCAAAATAATCACTTCCAGTCCCAGTCCATTTGACCAATTTAAAATCAATAATTTTAATGCATGCAGTAGCAATGGAAATGGTCTGTATTCTATCATTTGCATGCCTGCTGTTTTCCACCCTGCTAATAATAACCCTCATGGCTCAATATGTTTGAACTTTAATGACTATTAAAATATAAGTTATTTAGTCTTCTTGATTTTTGTCACAGTGTATATGATTTTATTTCCAACATCTTAGTACAATAATATATTGGGGCAAATTACCTAAACAAAAGAGATAGCAATTTTAAAGTGTTACAATAGAACTAATCCGAAAACTTTATATGAACCCTGGAAACTTGGCTTAGAGGCAAAGCCTTGGATTAGAGCCAGCCCTTAACGAAGCTGTCCCTAAAGAACAGTTGACAGTGTTTTAAATGAATTTCATCAGTTTCTTCTTAAAATTCAGTTAAAATTATAACAACAAAAGAAGTGTGCTCTTTTCACAAAGATAAGAAGCAGAAAAGTTTCTGATGAAAATGATCACCTGTTCGTTTGTACATTGTTTTTACTGATTCTCATTTAACATGAAATATTTTTGTCTCTATTAAATATTCAGTAATAACAATCTGTTAATAATCAGCAGGATAGGGAAACTTAGAAAATCTGGGTGAATTGTTACAAAGGTGCATTGCTGTGGCTCTCTGCTTTGAAATGCCTCGGATGTAGTATATTTTTAAGCCTTGCTATTTTTTTAACCAACCCTATAGTTAGATATTAAGCACAGTTCTTTAGATGGATATTACACATTTTCAGGGATTCCTGCACGATGCTTTTGATATAAATTCTTTAACTTCGCACAACCATTTTTTGGAGGCCGATTCGGCATATCACTAGATAGAAATGCCAAGGCTTAACTGATATGGCCTTGTAGTTCTCTGGCTGAGTGATAAGCTAACTTTCAGGCACTTTTGTTAGTTGTTCAATAAATTCTCCATCGAATGTTGAGGACAAGTATGTTTAAAATCCTCTCGAAAATGACTTACCATATCCAGTTCACTTTGCCATAATTTGGAGTATCTGAATCAAAGACACTTCTATGGTTTGTAAAATAACACAGGGCTTTAAAATAAAATTTAAAACAGTAAAATAAAGCATTTTCTTAGAAAAGAGTGAACAGAATAGTGACAAAATTAGCAACGGAGTAGTGCAGTGAAGTATCTATATTCTTGAAATCTATTTGGATATTTTTGAGCATTTACCATGCATTAGACACTCTTCTGTGTTCTTGCAGATACAATGGAAAACAAGAAATGAAACCTCTGCTGTCAAGAAATTTTCACTCAAATTAATTAGTATGGGACTGGAATTAACATTTCATTTTGTACATAATTTTACAACAGTCCATTTTTAGTTCAGTGTTGTATTTAAAGAAATGGGAGTCAAAAGATTTACACTAATGGAGCTATCAACTGAAACAGTTATTTCTAAGGCTTTTCTACCATTAAGTCTTGAAAAATCCATATAATCCTTTTATCTCCTTACAGAAAAAAAAATGCATATTGTTGGTTTTGCCTTTATACACTGTATTGAAGTATTGTGGGGAACTTAAGAGTGGGATTATTTTTCAGCTTATTGAGGACAAATAACAAGCCACCATTTAGCATTTGGAAGCCAAAAAAAGAAAGATGATTGAGGTCAGAACAGATTAACACAAACACTGAACAGTTTCCAGCTGAAGGGGTGTATTGTGAAACACAGGCTAGTTTTATCAATAACATTTTTCTACTTCATTAGCTTTATTTAGCCAGGAGGCTGCAAAGAGGGACCACAGACCTCTTCACCATTACTTTGCTTCTGTCAAGCTGTGAGGAAAATGGCAGTAAAACCTCATTGAGCCCTAAAGGGCAACCATGAATAGATCTACTTCCTTTCCCTGCCTTTACTTCCAGAACTCTCTGATGATGTTTAATGCACATTAATTAAAGCATGCACTTTAATTAATAGAAATATTCACTTGCTCTCCTATTACATCTCTAGGAATCATGCAAATTGCCTCTTGGAATCAAGTAGAAGAAAATTAGGGTTTGTGTCTAATCAGAGGCAACTAGATCAGGTTATTTTTAATATAAAGAATATCTAGTTTATATCACCTGGACCCTCAATGAATCCATAGATTCAGAGAATTTTGGTGCTTTAGACACAAAAATACTAACACAAACTTTACTTGATCTTCTTAGAACGATGTAGTAGAGGGAGGAATCATACGTGTCCAGCATAATTCTTTAACACTTTTTCACTACATAGGAATAGCCTGAGTTTCCCATGGTAACTTCAAAAAGAAAAATAGTAGACACTTAATCCTTAGTTGCATCAACTTCTTTTTTATACTTCCTGGTTGAGTCTGTCTTAATAGGTAGACTTATTTCTCAGTCTCTGGTGTACTTGCTTTACTTTTGTTAATTTCTGCCAAAGCTGCATTGTTAAAAAAAAAAAAAAAGTCATCATCATTGTCATCACTTTCATATTTAATTTTTCTTCTATCCTTACCACCCATTTCAAATACGACATTACTTCCAAGGTTAACTCTAAAAATTAAAGAAATCTTCATGGGGTTGTCTGAGATTAGATCTTTACATAGAACCTGAAATGGGCTCCTTAAGATATTATAGCATTGACCCACCTGCTCTAAAAACACTTCAGTGAAGGTAAGTGAGAATAAGAAATCCCAATTGTCCAACTGCAATGCTGAGCACTGATATTAATAATTCATTGATAGTTGCCTAGTACTTCATCAGCCATTACACTTTTAAAAGAGTAATCACATCATTTTTCTTTTGCAGCCCTTCAGAAATGCTAAAATTCTCTGCTCAGTTCTTTTCCTAGAATGGCAATAGGCTAGAAAGTTCCCATGGTTGAAAGCTTCCTTTTATTTTACGTAGTAGTGACAGCACTTTGGGAGAAGGAGGACATGTTTACGGTTTCAGTATCTTTTCAAATAATCTTGCCTGGCTTCCCCTGCTCCATAACTACGTAAAATCCTAAAAGGGCACTCAGTGAAATCAACTTGCAGTTTCAAATATTTGGGCTGTTTTCAAGTCGATTTTGTTTTACAAAGAACTTAAATATGGAATTTGTCATTTGAAAAATTTAAGTTCTTCCATGACAAATAGCCCAAGAGTAGTCCCAGAATTTCTTGAGTGCTGAGAGAATGAGGTAGCCAGGTGTGCAGAGAACCTCAATGCAATGCAACTTTATTTTTTTAATTTGTATTCAACAAACTTTTATTAAGCATCTATTAAACACCAGGCATAATGAAAAAATAAGTTAAATGAAATACTGAAGCCCATAATCCAGTGAAAATTATTACAAATATGCAAATAGCTGTAATACATTATAATTGCCACTGTACGGTTGGATTAAATGGGTATTAGTAAAAAAAACTTTAATTTGCATGAAGGCTGGGGAAGCCTCCACAATATGAGTTTTTTTGTGTATGTGTTTTAGTTTTTTAATGAATTATTAATTTTTTAAACTTCTATTTTAGTTTCAGGGGTATGTGTGCATTTTTTGTTTGTTAGTTTTTTTTTTTCTTTTTCTTTTTTTTTGGAGCCGGAGTCTTGCTCTGTCGCCCAGGCTGGAGTGCAGTGGCGTGATCTTGGCTCACTGCAAGCTCAGCTCCGCCTCCCAGGTTCAGGCCATTCTCCTGCCTCAGCCTCCCAAGTAGCTGGGACTACAGGCACCCGCCACCACGCCCGGCTAATTTTTTTGTATTTTTAGTAGAGATGGGGTTTCACCATGTTGGCCAGGATGGTCTCGATCTCTTGACCTCGTGATCCACCCGCCCTGGCCTCCCAAAGTGCTGGGATTACAGGCGTGAGCCACCACACCTGGCACATGTGCACTTTTTTATATAGGTAAATTGTGTGTCACAGGGGTTTAGCACATGGATTATTTTGTCACTCAGTAATAAGCATAGTACCTAATAGATAGTTTTTCTATCCTCTCCCTCCTCCCATCCTTCACCCTCAAGTAGGCTCCAGTGTCCTTTGTGTCCATGTGTAGTCAACATTTAGCTCCCACTTATAAGTGAGAACATGTGGTATTTGGTTTTCTGCATTAGTTCACCTAGAATTACGGCGTCCAGTTTCATTCATGTTGCTGAAAAGGACATGATCTTGTTTTTTTCTATGGCAATGTATTCTTGAGGGTTAGGATACTGTTATTCTAAAGCATTCTGTAAGTAAGCAAGCATCAAAAGCTACTAGATCAGCTATCTGCTTCATACAAAACAATGTGCATTACAGCATTTCACAAACAGCAGATCAGCCTTCAAATTTATCTTCCCATTTAAACAAGTTATTTTAAGAACCTTGTCAAAGGATCTAGTTTGATAATGTTCAGACAACATCAAGGTATTAGCAATGGCTGGCAGAGACTGAGGAAAAATTAGGAGGAGGTGGAAGATAGAGGTTAGGAGGCCAACAGGGCAAGAGTAAAGTGGCAAGGTGGGAGGACCAACCCAATGTGGAAATATTTCAAAGAAAGTGCATCCAAATAAAGTGGGTATATTAAAACTAAAACATTTCAGGTGATTCTTGAAATGTTTGTTTTTGCCCACCCATTCAGTTATGATTTTAAGAAGCATTTACATATCACTTGCATCTGTAGATGTTGTACTGAATACTTACGGAAAAGCACAACAAAGAAATGTAATCACCCTCCCTCCAAGGCTCCTATAATAATGTGGAAGAGACAAATTCTCTCTCTCTCTCTTTATCTCTCTCTCTCTGTCATCAGTCTATTCAGAAAAGGCTCAAAACTGAAATTTGCACAGACTGAGGAAGAATTGGTAGATTGCGAGGGAGGGTGCACTTAATTGAGGAGATGAGGTATTTATAGAGATTTTGAAGTAGTGTCTTAATAGAGAGGATGTGTGGTGAGAAGGACAATCCAATCAGAGAAAATAACCATAGTCACAAAATATAGCCATGTGGCAGGCAAAATGTATTCTGCAAATGGTATAAGGTAATAGTAATACAGTATGCACAGGAACGTGGTAGAAAAGAAAGGTTAAAAGGCAACATGAGATCAGACTGTGGCTATGTTTATTTGTTACATTAAATACATTTATTTACTATCTTAGTAATAACATGATATCAAAGATTTTTGATATGAGTGTATACAAAAAATTGACTATGTTGTGTATAATATATTAGAAGAGGAGAGATTACAGTAAAAATTTAAAAAGTTAATTGGCAACTACAGTAACAGAAGAGAGAACCAGTACAAAAGAAATGGAGAGGAGGTAACAGATCAGAGCATTGTCTCCTCAGATTTGCCAAATGTAAAACACTTGCTTGAAATGCTTTATTAAATATACATTATTTTATGAACCTATCTTGAGATATAGAGATTTTATGTAGTGGAACTGACATGGAGCTTGGGAATTTGTTTTCAGAAATACCTCAGGTAATTTTTATCCCCAGGAACACTTGGAAAAAAAACTAAGGTAGAGTATGTGTAATCAGGGTTGCTTATGAGGAAACTCATAGATAAAGGGACTCTGCTAAGGAGTTTCCAGGGAATGCTAAGTAGGCTTAATTATTTGGATGCAGATAAAAAGAGATGCTTGTATTAATAGCATATTGCATAATCAAAGTATAAAGAAGTCAAATCCAATAGTTGGATGCTGAATGGATTGATTTCGTTGCCTGTAAACTTGGACAAATAAAGTAGTAAAGAGAGCAAAGGAGCAAGTAGACAGTGGGTCTGGAGATAGAACTTAAAAATTGTAAAATCGCATAATATGGTTTTTCTAATGGCATTATTTCTTCTAATACAAAGATTATGTACAGTACTACCTTAATTTTTTAACCATGTATGGCCTAGACAAAAGAGTGTGTTTCTGTCAAAGACATTGGAGAATAATCACTTTTAATAATAATTTTAAACAAATCACTGTCAGATATGCTACTAGCATCCGCTTCTGCATATACAGTGCCTTTCTCATGTTAGGGTTGCACATACAGAAGACAAGGTAAATATTTCAAAAGTTTCTTAGGAAAAAAGTTAATGAAAGCCCCAGATTGAATATTTATATGTCAAGATACCTCTCTTTTCTTGACAGAAAACTTTAACATTAAAAATAAATAAATTTTAGTTTGATGCAGATATTTGCTTTCTTTCCTTGTCTAAATGGCCCCTTTCCTCTGAATTAGCAAGATGCCCAGGAAATAGGATCTTATCCAATTTTTTAACTATCTTGTGGTAGGAGGGGGGCAGTTATTTTATCTCATGCTGTTCCTTTACCCTTGTAATTGAAGATTCAGTCTGGCCGCTTGATAAAATACCAACATTTTTTGATTAAAGCTAAAAATTACCTTAAAATTTAACATTACTACGTATTTTAGCTATCCTTGACCAGGGAAGAGATGATTGCACATGCATATGAAGTCTTCTTTTTAAACCATATCTACTTTAAATTTTTTATTATTCTTTATCCTTGGGTTTAAACCATAATTTTGACTTGCTATGTGGGTTTTTTTTTTTTTGTTGTTGTTTTTTTTTGTTTTTTTTGTTTTTTTTTGAGACAGAGTCTGGCTCTGTCGCCCAGGCTGGAGTGCAGTGGCGCGATCTCGGCTCACTGCAAGCTCCACCTCCCGGGTTCACGCCATTCTCCTGCCTCAGCCTCCCAAGTAGCTGGGACTACAGGCACCCGCCACCATGCCCTGCTAATTTTTTTTTTGTATTTTTAGTAGAGATGGGGTTTCACCGTGTTAACCAGGATGGTATCAGTCTCCTGACCTCGTGATCCGCCCGCCTCGCCTCCCAAAGTGCTGGGATTACAGGCGTGAGCCACCGCGCCCGGCCTTTTTTTGTATTTTTACATTTATTTATAAATGTATTCATTGGAAATAAATAGAAGTGGGTTTATTAATTTTTTACTGAGGTGGTGGTAACTTTGTAACAAAGAGCTCAATGTCCACATGTTTTGTCATCTTTAGAGGAGTCCCGTGGACCTATAAGTCACAGCAATGTACTGGTGAAGGAAAGGCAAGTGATTCAGCCACTGGATACTTTCACCCTCCCAACACTCAATGGCCAAATGCCCTGCACTTCCAAAATATGTCACATGGGTACTTCAGGCAGCTGCTGAGGCAGGCACAGTCTTTCTTTGCAAGTCAAGTTCAGCCAGTGTTCAGGCATCCAAATAAGGGCTTATGGACATTGTCTCCACAAATGAAGTAACACCCTTGTTCTTTAATAATCTGGTATTTAGTAATGCCTGATTAAATGATATAAAATTCATTCTCAAATATGACACAAGTTCGACCTTGGTCTCACCATCAGTTGGTCTAATCCTATCACTATGCTTATGGAACTTACATAAATAAACCATATTATGAAAATATTGCTACCTCCGCAAAAGTATTTGTTTCTGATTTTTGAGGAGTTAGTAAGAATTGAGTATCATTAACATGTTTTATTTAATTTTGGAAGAGTATAATTTATTAAATCAGGAGTTAGAGATAAATAAAAGTAATGGTTTACTCATATGTCTATCAGAAAAGAGAACATTAAACAATGCCAACAATTTCAACAAAGAAAACACACTAGAATTTCCTTCATCAGTTTATTCAGTCCTGAATGACCAATGTTGTTCCTCTAGATCTCAGGTTGGCAGTTTACTTTCATTAATTATATTTGTTTCTGATCTAAAAAGAGTTCTGATAATCCTCAGTCTCCTGGTATTGTCTGAAAATTTTCTAAGCAGCGCAATGCCAGTACAGATCCCAATACTCTAGTCTTTGAAGCATCAACTTTTAGGAGTACCAGGTACAGAACTTTCCCTGAGGATCTGTGATGGATTTTTACTGGAGGTCAGTTTTCACTTCATAACTTATAAAGAACTTTCAGACAAACATGAGAGGAAAGCAGAAACTATTTTAATGGTAAAATTGAAACGCTGTGATTATTACGGTAACTAATAATATCAGAATGGAAGACAGTAAAATTATTTACTGGGATACAATAAAAAGTCTTTTGTAAAGACTTGATCAGTTGTTCCCTTGAGGATATAAAATGTGTTCAAGAGTAAAACATTGATAAATCTCTAGTGCTGTTCTCTAAAGTGTACAACCTTTAAAATATATCTACATTAATAATAGTTTGCCTGAATATAAATAGATGTCACTTACTGTATCTATTATTTTATTTCCAGATTGCCTGTAAGTTTGAATGTGAGAAATACTGGAAGATAATCTTTCCCAATGACTGAAAGTAATCACATCTTCACTGCTTCTCACAATGCTCTATAGGCTATGATAGGATTCATTACAAGGAATCACATCCATCCTTAGCCTTTACTATAGAATGTAATTCTTCTATTTCTTCAGGAGTGCATACAAACAATATCTAAATAAGCTCAAATGAATTTAGTTTATTGTGTATTAATTGGAACTCATTTTTTCTCACAATATTTCATTAGGATGAGCAAGAGAGGTTAAATCGTGCTTATATTTCTCTACTATACCCGTATTCTTTATAGTAGACATATCTTTGGATTGTCTACCTGGGACCTCAATCCCTTAGGACCTCCCTCTTTCCATCCCATTCACATAACCATCACGAAGAATGACATATTTTTGCATGTACCTACCCTTGGTTGTGTTTTATTAGGCTAGACATTGGCACTTGGCTTCAGCCAGGCCAGTGATTCTCTTCCCTAGAATTTTTGAACATGTATCAGTGTTGGGAACAGACTTTTCTAGTGGCAGATTATGTAGTGTGTAAAATTTGCTATTATGATCATCTATCCTGCCATGTGAATAAAGCCTATAAGCAATAAGATAAAATGCAATCTAGGTGGACAGAGAGACTAAAATGAAGCACTTACAAAAGCATAGGGTTCAAAATTTTTATATCAGTGTTTGCTGAGGTAATGCAGGTGTTCTAGACAAGGGCACACAGCTAGTAAGTAGAAGAAGCAGTTCTAAAACACAGACGTTCTCAGTCCTTTTTCCACTATTCCACTCATAAAAATTCCAGGAGAGCAGAGATGTTCATCTTGTCTGATTATTACTCTATCTTCAGTGAGTGGAATATTATAAGCATCCAATAAATATTTTTAAAATAAATATCTATGGAACACCCTACTTGGATTATTAACCACACTTAAGTTTTCTCATCCAGACAAAGGGTTGGGAGTAGCAATAAAAGCTGGCATAGACACATGTGGGTTTTCTTTGCATAAAAATACAAAATCATCATGCTTAATATACTGTACTTTTTATTAGTGAGTATATGGTGGCATTACTGGAAGCAAAATACATGTATAATTATTCCTTATGTAAAATGATTCATATTTACTTTTTAAAACCCATTTTCATGTAATGGCAATATCTAAGAATAATGACACTTAAACACTTGCTCTGACATTTAATGGGCGATGGAGAGATATGGTCTTATTACTACAGGTACACATGCACATTCAAAGATGTACTTTGCAAGAACTTACATTTTTATTCATTTATTGGTCTTATTATTACCACTTTCTATTTTAATATGTATTAATTGTATGAAAGGTGGTGACTCAATTGATGGTCTTTTCAGGAAATCTCATATAATAAAAGGGGTAACCTAAAAACCTGCATCATTTGTGCATTCTATTGATATAAAAACATAATTGCTATATCTTAATACAATTTCTGCAAAATGTATAATATGCATTATGCCCTAACAACATATTTTGAAAATGTAGATTTAAAAATGTCACAAAAAATAGCCAACACATTTTAAAATTTTTTTAAAAAAGATAGCCAACACATTTTAGAACCTGAAAAAAAGGCAGATTTTCCTGTTTTGTTGCACTTATTGAAAGCAAAACTGATGTGAATGGCCTTATTAATTCCAGGAGAAGAAAACAGAGGAAGATGAGTCAAGTAAGAAACTGGATCTGTCCACTGAAGGAAGAGGATGTGAATAACATGAAAAACTTATGGGAGCTGAAAGGAACCTTGCCCATCCAGTAGATGACAATCTAAAATGTGTGGCAGCATTATGGGAAGGTCCCCCAAAGGAATGGATAGTCCAAGAGAAAGTAAAGTAAAACAGAAAGAAAGGCATTCACCAAGTTCATTAGCAAGAAAACTTGGTTCTGTCCTAGTGATCACATCTCAGAGCAGGACTTAAGTTCCTCAGTTCCAATAAACAAGAAAGAGGTCACTCCTCAGAACCGGGGATGCGATACCAAAATTAGAATCCAATAAGCAAAACGGGGGCATACAGTGATTATTAGAAATAAGGCAGAATCCCACTTAGGAGATCTAGGATACAAGGTTGGAGCAAGAATACAAGAAAGGGAATTTGATGCTGACATGCAAAGAGGTAGTCTAGAGCTCTTCAAACATTTCTGCTTCTGGCCTGGATGGTCCTACACAGGTATCAAATGGTGACAGATATGAGGGATAGGAAGAATGCAGGCCAGGGATTCAGAATCGGTATATTATAAATTTTTCTTAAATAGAACAAACAGGGACAGGTTGGGAGGACAATCGAGGCAAAAATGAGGCAATTTAATATACTTTTTTATCATTGAGCAGATTAATTTTAATTTTGACCTTGCTTCTCATTAACTGTATTTGGCCTTCCCTAAAATAGGAATATGTCTGGAGTGTAGGAAGAATAGTAATCAAGGCAGTGTTTGTGGATCGGATTGAGTGAACAGTTAAGTGGCAAGGTCAGAGAAGTAGAAGATGGAAGAAACATCACGTCACTCTAAACCGCCTGGTTTGTATTTTCCTGAAATATTGGAATCTTTGGAAAATTTGAAACAGAGGAATTATACCCAACTGACTTGCACTTCTAGAGGATAATGTGGGCTATTGTGTTGAAAATAAGATAGGAGATAATGATGGGAGATGGGTGAGCAGTTAGTGGTTATTGTACTTTATGGTGACTGGAATTGAGATGCTTACAGTAGAACTGGGAGAAGAAATTGTATTCCACATTCTAGACTCAGATATACAAATACTTTGGCCTTTGAAAATAAGGAAACTAAAGCTCATTTCAAGGACAAAGCTATGAAAAGAATTCTTGATTCTACATCAATTATTATTCTTACTGATTCTTCTGATCAAAAGTGGTATAGTTGCATAGTACAGCAGATTAAATTGGCTATTAGCATATGATTTATTAGAAGTACGAAATTCTAAATTTTTTAGTAGAGAAGTTTCACTGTATGATTTGTTAATTTTGCAAAATGTGTGCAATAGTTTGACTAATATGTACATTATCCTGCCAGTACACTGTCATAGTTAAGTATTAAAGCAATCAACAATGTAAAAATAAATCTAATTTATTTGGGGTCATATTATTTGTTCACTTATATAATATAATACACTGCACTGAATAGAAAGTCACTGTGATACAGCAGATGAAAACTGTCGAGAACTTTTTTTTTATTATTATACTCTAAGTTCTAGGGTACATGTGCACAACGTGCAGGTTTGTTACATATATATATATATATATATATATATATATATATATATATACACACACACATACATGTGCCATTTTGGTGTGCTGCACCCATTAACTCGTCATTTACATTGTGTGTATCTCCTAATGCTATCCCTCCCCCCTCCCCCCACCCCACAACAGGTGTGGTGTGTGATGTTCCCCTTCCTGTGTCCAAGTGTTCTCATTGTTCAATTCCCACCTATGAGTGAGAAAATGCGGTGTTTGGTTTTTTGTCCTTGTGACAGTTTGCTGAGAATGATGGTTTCCAGCTTCATCCATGTCCCTACAAAGGACATGAACTCGTAATGTTTTATGGCTGCATAGTATTCAATGGTGTATATGTGCCACATTTTCTTAATCCAGTCTATCATTGTTGGACAGACATTTTGCTTGGTTCCAAGTCTTTGCTATTGTGAATAGTGCTGCAGTGAACATACATGTGCATGTGTCTTTATAGCAGCATGATTTATAGTCCTTTGGGTATATACCCAGTAATGGGATGGCTGGGTCAAGTGGTATTTCTAGTCCTAGATCCTTGAGAAATCGCCACACTGTCTTCCACAATGGTTGAACTAGTTTATAGTCCCACCAACAGTGTAAAAGTGTTCCTATTTCTCCACATCCTCTCCAGCACCTGTTGTTTCCTGACTTTTTAATGATCGCCATTCTAACTGGTGTGAGATGGTATCTCACTGTGGTTATGATTTGCATTTCTCTGACGGCCAGTGATGATGAGCATTTTTTCATGTATCTGTTGGCCGCATAAATGTCTTCTTTTGAGAAGTGTCTATTCATATGCTTCGCCCACTTGTTGATGGGGTGGTTTTTTTCTTGTATATTTGTTTGAGTTCTTTGCAGATTCTGGATATTAGCCCTTTGTCAGATGAGTAGCTTGCAAAAATTTTCTCCCATTCTGTAGGTTGCCTGTTCACTCTGATGGTCGTTTCTTTTGCTGTGCAGAAGCTCTTTAGTTTAATTAGATCCCATTTGTCAATTTTGGCTTTTGTTGTCATTGTTTTTGGTGTTTTAGACATGAAGTCCTTGCCCATGCCTGTGTCTTGAATGGTATTGCCTAGGTTTTCTTCTAGGGTTTTTATGGTTTTAGGTCTAACATTTAAGTCTTTAATCCATCTTGAATTAATTTTTGTATAAGGTGTAAGGAAGGGATCTAGTTTCAACCTTCTACATATGGCTAGCCAGTTTTCCCAGCACCATTTGTTAAATAGGGAATCCTTTCCCCATTTCTTATTTTTGTCAGGTTTGTCAAAGATCAGATAGTTGTAGATGTGTGGCATTATTTCTGAGGGCTCTGTTCTGTTCCATTTGTCTATATCTCTGTTTTGGTACCAGTACCATGCTGTTTTGGTTACTGTAGCCTTGTAGTATAGTTTGAAGTCAGGTAGTGTGATGCCTCCAGCTTTGTTCTTTTGGCTTAGGATTGACTTGGCAATGCAGGCTCTTTTTTGCTTCCATATGAACTTTAAAGTAGTTTTTCCCAATTCTGTGAAGAAAGTCATTAGTAGTTTGATGGGGATGGCATTGAATCTATAAATTACCTTGGGCAGTATGGCCATTTTCATGATATTGATTCTTCCTATCCATGAGCATGGAATGTTCTTCCATTTGTTTGTATCCTCTTTTATTTTGTTGAGCAGTGGTTTGTAGTTCTACCTGAAGAGGTCCTTCAAATCCCTGGCAAGTTTGAATCCTAGGTATTTTATTCTCTTTGAAGCAATTGTGAATGGGAGTTCACTCATGATATGGCCCTCTGTTTGTCTGTTATTGGTGTATAAGAATGCTTGTGATTTTTGCACATTAATTTTGTATCCTGAGACTTTGCTGAAGTTGCTTATCAGCTTGAGGAGATTTTGGGCTGAGACAGTGGGGTTTTCTAGATATACAATCATGTCATCTGCAAACAGGGACAATTTGACTTCCTCTTTTCCTAATTGAATACCCTTTATTTCCTTCTCCTGCCTAATAGCCCTGGCCAGAACTTCCAACACTATGTTGAATTGGAGTGGTGAATAAAACTGTCTTGTGCCAGTTTTCAAAGGGAATGCTTCCAGTTTTTGCCCATTCAATATGATATTGGCTGTGGGCTTGTAATAAACGGCTCTTATTATTTTGAGATATGTCCCATCAATACCTAATTTATTGAGGGTTTTTAGCATGAAGTGTTGTTGAATTTTGTCAAAGGCCTTTTCTGCATCTATTGAGATAATCATGAGGTTTTTGTCGTTGGTTCTGTTTATATGCTGGATTATGTTTATTGATTTGTGTATGTTGACCCAGCCTTGCATCCCAGGGATGAAGCCCAGTTGATCATGATGTATAAGCTTTTTGATGTGTTGCTGGATTTGGTTTGCCATTATTTTTTTTGAGGATTTTTGCATCGATGTGCATCAGGGATATTGGTCTAAAATTCTCTTTTTTTGTTGTGTCTCTGCCAGGCTTTGGTATCAGGATGATGCTGGCCTCATGAAATGAGTTAGGGAGGATTCCCACTTGTTCTATTGATTGGAATAGTTTCAGAAGGAATGGTACCAGCTCCTCCTTGTGCCTCTGGTAGAATTCGGCTGAGAATCCGTCTGGTCCTGGACTTTTTTTTGTTGGTAAGCTATTAATTATTGCCTAAATTTCAGAGCCTGTTATTGGTCTATTCGGAGATTCAACGTCTTCCTGGTTTAGTCTTGGGAGGGTGTATGTGTCGAGGAATTTATCAGTTTCTCCTAGATTTTCTAGTTTATTTGTGTAGAGGTGTTTATAGTATTCTCTGATGGTAGTTTGTATTTCTGTGGGATTGTTGGTGATATCCCCTTTATCATTTTTTATTGCATCTATTTGATTCTTCTCTCTTTTCTTCTTTATCAGTCTCGCTAGCAGTCTATCAATTTTGTTGATCTTTTCAAAAAACCAGCTCCTGGATTCATTGATTTTTTGAAGGGTTTTTTGTGTCTCCATCTCCTTCAGTTCTGCTCTGATCTTAGTTATTTCTTGCCTTCTGCTAGCTTTTGAATGTGTTTGCTCTTGCTTCTCTAGTTCTTTTAATTGTGATGTTAGGGTGTCAATTTTAGATCTTTTCTGCTTTCTCTTGTGGGCATTTAGTGCTATAAATTTCCCTCTACGCGCTGCTTTGAATGTGTCCCAGAGATTCTGGTATGTTGTGTCTTTGTTCTCGTTGGTTTCAAAGAACATCTTTATTTCTGCCTTCATTTCGTTATGTACCCAGTAGTCATTCAGGAGCAGGTTGTTCAGTTTCTATGTAGTTGTGTGGTTTTGAGTGAGTTTCTTAATCCTGAGTTCTAGTTTGATTGCACTGTGGTCTGAGAGATAGTTTGTTATAATTTCTGTTCTTTTACATTTGCTGACGAGTGCTTTACTTCCAACTATGTGGTCAATTTTGGAATAAGTGTAGTGTGGTGCTGAGAAGAATGTCTATTCTGTTGATTTGGGGTGGAAAGTTCTGTAGATGTCTATTAGGTCCGCTTGGTGCAGAGCTGAGTTCAAGTCCTGGATTTCCTTGTTAACTTTCTGTCTCATTGATCTGATGTTGACAGTGGGGTGTTAAAGTCTCCCATTATTATTGTGTGGGAGTCTAATTCTCTTTGTAGGTCTCTAAGGACTTGCTTTATGAATCTGGGTGCTCCTGTATTGGGTGCATATATATTTAGGATAGTTAGCTCTTCTTGTTGAATTGATCCCTTTACCATTATGTAATGGTCTTCTTTATCTCTTTTGATCTTTGTTGGTTTAAAGTCTGTTTTATCCGAGACTAGGATTGCAACCCCTGCCTTTTTTTGTTTTCCATTTGCTTGGTAGATCTTCCTCCATCCCTTTATTTTGAGCTTGTGTGTGTCTCTGCACGTGACATGGGTTTCCTGAATATAGTCCACGGATGGATACTGACTCTTTATCCAATATGCCAGTCTGTGTCTTTTAATTGGAGCATTTAGCCCATGTACATTTAAGGTTAATATTGTTATGTGTGAATTTGATCCTGTCATTATGATGTTAGCTGGTTATTTTGCCCGTTAGTTGATGTAGTTTCTTCCTAGCCTCGATGGTCTTTACAATTTGTCATGTTTTTGCAGTGGCTGGTACTGGTTGTTCCTTTCCATGTTTAGTGCTTCCTTCAGGAGCTCTTGTAGGGCAGGTCTGGTGGTGACAAAATCTCTCAGCATTTGCTTGTCTGTAAAGGATTTTATTTCTCCTTCACTTATGAAGGTTAGTTTGGCCGGATATGAAATTCTGGGTTGAAAATTCTTTTCTTTAAGAATGTTGAATATTGGCCCCCAATCTCTTCTGGCTTGTAGAGTTTCTGTGGAGAGATCAGCTGTTAGTCTGATGGGCTTCCCTTTGTGGGTAACCCAACCTTTCTCTCTGGCTGCCCTTAACATTTTTTCCTTCATTTCAACTTTGGTGAATCTGACAATTATGTGTCTTGGAGTTGCTCTTCTCGAGGAGTATCTTCGTGGCATTCTCTGTATTTCCTGAATCTGAATGTGGGCCTGCCTTGCTAGATTGGGGAAGTTCTCCTGGATAATATCCTGCAGAGTGCTTTCCAACTTGGTTCCATTCTCCCCGTCACTTTCAGGTACACCGATCAGACGTAGATTTGTTCTTTTCACAGAGTCCCATATTTCTTGGAGGCTTTGTTTGTTTCTTTCTATTCTTTTTTCTCTAAACTTCTCTTCTCGCTTCATTTCATTCATTTGATCTTCCATCACTGATACCCTTTCTTCCAGTTGATTGAATCAGCTACTGAGGCTTCTGCATTTGTCACGTAGTTCTCGTGCCACGGTTTTCCGCTCCATCAGGTCCTTTAAGGACTTCTCTGCATGGGTTATTCTAGTTAGCCATTCATCTAACCTTTTTTCAAGGTTTTTAACTCCTTTGCCATGGGTTCGAACTTCCTCCTTTAGCTTGGAGTAGTTTGTTCATCTGAAGCCTTCTTCTCTCAACTAGTCAAATTCATTCTCTGTCACGCTTTGTTCCGTTGCTGGTGAGGAGCTGTGTTCCTTTGGAGGAGGTGAGGCACTCTGATTTTTAGAATTTGCAGTTTTTCTGCTCTGTTTTTTCCCCATCTTTGTGGTTTTATCTACCTTTGGTCTTTGATGATGGTGACGTTCAGATGGGGCTTTGGTTTTGATGTCCTTTCTGTTTGTTAGTTTTCCTTCTAACAGTCAGGACCCTCAGCTGCAGGTCTGTTGGAGTTTACTGGAGGTCCACTCCAGACCCTCTTTGCCTGGGTATCAGCAGCAGAGGCTGCAGAACAGCGAATATTGGTGAACAGCAAGTGTTGCTGCCTAATCGTTCCTCTGGAAGTTTTGTCTCAGAGGGGTACCTGGCCGTGTGAGGTGTCAGTCTGCCCCTACTGGGGTGGTGCCTCCCAGTTAGGCTACTCGGGGGTCAGGGACCCACTTGAGGAAGCAGTTTGTCTGTTCTCAGATCTCCAGTTCCGTGCTGGGAGAACCACTACCGTCTTCGAAGCTGTCAGACAGGGACATTTAAGTCTGCAGAGGTTTCTGCAGTCTTTTGTTTGGCTATGCCCTGCCCCCAGAGGTGGAGTGTACAGAGACAGGCAGGCCTCCTTGAGCTGTGGTGGCCACGACCCAGTTCGAGCTTCCTGGCTAGCCACTTTGTTTACCTACTCAAGCCTCAGCAATGGCAGGCACCCCTCCCCCAGCCTCGCCACCTCCTTGAAGTTCAATCTCAGACTGCTGTGCTAGCAATGAGTGAGGCTCCATGGGCATAGGACCCTCCAAGCCAGGCGCGGGATATAATCTCCTGGTGTGCCTTTTGCTAAGACCATTGGAAAAGCACAGTATTAGGGTGGCAGTGACTCGATTTTCCAGATGCCGTCTGTCACCGCTTTCCTTGGCTAGGAAAAGGGAATTCCCTGATCCCTTGCACTTCCCAGGTGAGGCGATGCCTCGCCCTGCTTTGGCTCAAGCTTGGTGCGCTGCACCCACTGTCGTGCACCCACTGTTCGACAGTCCCCAGTGAGATGAATCTGGTACCTCAGTTGGAAATGCGGAAATCATCCGTCTTCTGGGTTGCTCACGCTGGGAGCTGTAGACTGGAACTGTTCCTATTTGGCCATCTTTTATGTCCAGAATTTTTAACATTAAAAAACACTAATTCTTCAGACAGAATTGTTACAAGTTAGTCATGTACAATTTTGCAAGAAAATTATTTTTAGTTGTTTTCATTATAAATACTGTGTTATGCATAATAATGCCCCCACCCCCGTATGTTCATATCCTAATCCCCAAACCTGTGAATATGTAAGGTCACTTGATTAAAAAGAATAAAGTGGGTAGATGGAATAAAGCTTACCTTAAAGGAATTAGCTGAACTTGGTACAAGATAGTATTCTGTAATATCCAGATGGGTCCAATCTAATCACAATAGTCCTTATAGGAAGAAGGCAGGTGAGTCAACATCAGAGAGGTTGTGATGACAGAGCAAGACAGCGGTGATGTGAAGACTCAACGTGCCATTCTTGGCTTTCAAGAGGGAAGAGCCAAAAGTTTGAAGGGCCCTAGGAGCTAGAAAGTATAGAAACAATTATCCCCTAGAGCCTCCATCCATGAATGCTTTCTTTCCAGCACCTTGCTTTGAGACCAATGAAACCAGTTTCAGACTTCTGAATTCTAGAACTGTATGATAATAAATTCATGTTGTCTTAAGCCACTAGGTTTATGGTAATTTGTTATAGCAGCCATAAAAACTACTTAAAATATAAATTTAATGTTTATCAGATTGATCTATACTTACAGTTGTAACTATTTTAGCTAATACTTCTGCAAGATTTTATTCTTGGAAACTGGCTTGAGTAAAAGAAACCGGACATACCTTCTAGCAATGGGAGATTACAAAATATCCTATTAGACATTGTCTCAGCTCTGATTATTAAAAATACCCCCTCCTCCTAACACAAAAATATACCAATCTGAAAATGTGTAGTTATATTCTGTCTTTATATAATAAATTTCAGGTTTAAATTTTATAATCTATGTGGTCACTGAAACCACCACGTAAAAATTTAATCTAAAATTGTCTTTATTTGAAAGTGTCATGAGGCACCTCACAGAAACAAATGCAAATTCTTTCCCTAAAAGTATTTTACCTGATACCCCTCAGAATGTCCACAGATTTAGACAAGATTACTAATGTAAGCATAAAAACTAATAAATAGATGTGGAAAGACACCATCATGAAAAGTTAGCGGAAATAGCCAATAGAATAAAATTCCAACAACTTCAAATATGGAATTTACAACTACAGAATATAAAATGAGTATACATAAATGTAGATATAATTTAAGGACTAAAAATTCAAAGATCAAAAGATTATAAAAGTGCTCTACGATATTTTTAAAGAACAAAATAGAAGTTCAAAAAATGAACTCACAGTTATATAAAAATTCAATACACAGGTCTAATAGCATATTGAACAAAACTGAAGAGATGAAAAACAGCAAAATCAAGAAAAAAAACTTTAGAAAAATCAAAGAGAAAAAGCAGATTATCTGTCATTGAACCACAGTTATTTTGACAGTAAATTGCTCATGAACATTAAGAGAAACCTGAATATGGTAAGGTTCTTTCTTTAAAGTTCTGAGAAATAATAACTATAAGTTTTGGACTATGTATTAAATGATCATTTGGGAATGAAGTAAAATTAAAGATATTTTCACCAACAGATGTGTAATTTATAAGAAAACAAAATGATCAATGATAAATAAATTTAATATATTAGATAACCTAGGATTGAGAAGTAAATAGAGTATATGCAAAATACCTTAAATTTGTATTTGTAATATTTTCCTAAACTAGTTATTGTATATCAGTCATTACTTTGTAATACTCTACAGCTTTTTTAACTGACTTTATTATAATTAAAAAATTATATAGAAATACTGTAATAGCAAATGCACAGTGTTAAAGGACAATTTGGGAATACTCTCTTAGAATTCAAAGAAAAAATAAAGAAGAAAATGTAACAAGTTCAATTAAATGGTACAGTTTCAGTTGATAATCAGCATTTGGAATTTTGAAAATAAATAAATAGAAAACAAGCAAAGGCACAAGAGAATAATAAACTGAGCTGAAAACCATAGTCCCATTAAGAAATTCACATGCAGAGTTAATCTTCCATTGTTCTAGATCAAATGAATGCAAAGAAGACAGCAGATGGACGTAATGTGTGTATATGTATATGTATGTATATATATACACACACATATATACACATATATACGTATATGTGTGTATATACATATATACACACATATACGTATATATGTGTATATACGTATATACACACACACATATATATATACATGTATATATATTTATATATACATATATATATGTATATATGTTCTGGTTACCATCCAACAAGAAAAGTCTGTTGCCTATTTAACAACAGTAACAACAACAACAAAATCAAAGGATCCTTTTTTCTTTTATTATTAATTTTTAATATAATGAACACTTGTAATACAATAGTACCATACATATCCGAATACCTGTATTAAAAAATTATAGGTTGTTTTGGGAGATATTTAAATACTCATCTCTTAAACATTAATAAAACTAGTAAACAAAAATATAAAAAAAGATTGGTGAATATAATTGGTGTGGTTGAAGTAACTGATACATTAGTATCAATTACATCAAGAGTATAAACTACACCTTATATTCAAGGTTTTGTAAAACATGAACGTAACTCTTTATTAGCCATCCATCTCTCTCTTCCTATCATCATTTTATATTCACAATTACATAAAGTATAGATAAATCAGTTTATATATTATACAAATACATATAATATATATTTACTTATTTATTTATGACCATTGTATTGCCCACAAACTAAGGGAAATACGCACTCAAGGACAAAAATCAAGCTAAAACAAAAATTCAAGGAGGTGGAGTTGAAGTTTATGACTAGCTGAAAATATATTTTATTCTCTGGTCTTTAGCTTTTTTTTCTTGGTCATGCAGGACCCATTGAAACAGACACAAAATTAGGACCCACTCTAATGGAGTTACCCTACACAAAGCTAACTCCCTAATTTTGTTCAGCATGAACTAGGAATAAAACAATCCTCTATAATATAATAAGCAGCATGGAAACTTGTAGGTTTTAACATTGGGTAGAAGAAAGGAAAAAAACATTATCAAGACAAAATTTTCACTACAAGTAGGCTTTCATGCAGAACTGTGTTCCACAGTAAATCTAAAGCTGAAAATTACTCCTCAGTGCCCAGTAGAAGTAAATGCTAGTCTATTCTAGAACATACTCAACAAAGCTCAAAAATTTTTAACAGAAAAAAATCCCAAGAAAAAATGAACTAACCATCAAAAATTACAAGACAGCTCAGAAGACAAAGTACCATGCGTATGAGCCTGTAGAAATAATAATAGTCTTCCAAAGACTTCAGGGAAAGACACCAGGATAATAAAAGTAGGAGCACTTTTTAATCTATGGTAGAGTTTGCTTTCAGTATGGGAATAGTGGAAAATTAGTGAGGGTCCCATTATAAGTTTAAATACTGTCTATATTTTAACTTTTGATTACATAAGAATACATTAAATTAAATGTTTGGATCCTTCTTAAATGTGTTTTATGCAGTGCATTGAAAGGTCCTAAAGATGACACAGGAGAATTTGAGAATGATCTCCCATGTGTAGTTCTCATTCCTTTGGCAGTTCAGTAGGTCTAGCCCCTGAACGACTTAATGTTGCCACTTTAGGAGTTTCTATCTCCATTTCAAGGTTAAGGATTTGAGCTGTTACTGTCTTGTTAGAAAAGGAGCTTTAAGTAATCCAGGAATATAACTCCGGAGTTATTACATTTAATTACAAGATAAAGTATTACATGGGTTTATCCTAGTTCCCATTTCCTAGTTAGTGAACTTGCTATTAATAGATTATTTTACAACATGACAAACAATAAAAGGATATAATTTTGATTAGCATGGCACCTTCCTAGGTAGCATTTGCATTTCCCCTTCCAAGGGCTGCTACCTATACACACACACTGAAAAGGAAGAATGCGTGGGTGTAATAGACACTGCTGGTGCTCTACACAGATACCCTCTAATGGAGCAGTGTACCCTCAAGTTCTGAGAGTGTTAGCTGCTAATGGCTCACAGTTTTCCCCTTCTGAGAATGACCCAGGACTCAGAGGAGCTTCTTTGCCAAGAAATGCCTAGGAATTTATGTTCTCTCACAAGAAGCAGCAACAGCTAATGGCTGATTGAGTTGGAAGTACAAATGGCTGACCTTTGTCTTAAGGTGTGACAACTTTGTGGTGGTATTTATTTCCCAGAGTTCTCTACAGCCTTCAGTTGAACTCAAACTTCTGCTTGGCTTCATTCCTTTTCCCACTTCCTTCACCCTCTTACAGGTTTCATCTGGCATCACTCAAGCACTAAATCCTTTGCATAAGAATCAATATCTATGGTTCTTTATGTAGGAAAGTCATGCTAAGAAAAAAATATGTGGAATTGTTATAGATTTTTTGTTATGGTAAGTCATACACAGTCAAACATTTGGGAACTCCTCCTATAGAACCCAGAAAATAAGGTATTGTTTGCTCCTCCTTCTTATGACAGTCCATTGTGATAAGTGAATGTTGTTTATGGCATGAATGTATGTATGTGCATTTATAAAATCTGCATGTAAATATTTTTACATGTATGTATTAATGTACCAAATGTATTCATTTTGTGTGAAACTTGAAATATTTTGAGATCTCTAGGTAATGTTACTTACTTTCAGCCAAAATACAATTTGAAATGTTTATAGGGCAAAATTTAGTAAAAATTGTGTGTGTGCATGTGCACATGTGTGCATGTGTGTGTGTTGTCTTCAGGTAAAGGTGAGTTATTTAGAGAAAAGGGTATCCAGGGTTGTTTCAGGATGTTGGTATTGGTTAGCCCATTATGTGATGAACTCACCTATTAGAAAAGACATTATTGTGATAAAAACAAAAAACACAGATTAATTTTATAAGGTTGCAGTTATACCAGAGTGAACATTTTTTAAAAGGAAAGATTTTTAAGTAGAAAAATCCTTCAGTTATAATTAACCACAGCATAAAAGACTTTAAAAAGACTTTTTTCTTTAAAAAAAAAAAAACAAAAAAAACAAACCCTATTTTGTTCCCTCGTTCTTCTTTCTGAAGTGCTTGCACATTGTTTATACTGCTTTTATAACTTTGCAAATGATACCACTAGTTTCTTTTAACCATTACATCTGATTTTAATGCTCAAGAAAAAACTTTCTTGAATGAATTCCCCCAGTGCTTTCATCAAAGAGTTACATGGTTTCAGGCCTCATCCTTAGCACTGGCTTGGGCTCTAGGAAGACAGACAGTAGAGTGGAGAAATAAAGATGTCTTGGGCCAAATAATTGCATTTACTAAGCTAATGAGACTTATATTCTAGCTAGTTAGCCTTTTATGCATACATTCATATACCTCCAATAAACATTTCTTGAACATTTAATATGTGTGGAGAATGATATGAGAATCTCAGTATATTAGAACAGGTGAGGCACTTTTTATGTGCTAAAGGAATTTCAAGTATAGAATTGGAAGCCATGAATGCAATAATATATCACTAAGCGTCATTTGCTAAGAGTCACAGAAGCAGTGTAAGCAAGGCCCAAGCACTCAAGAAGTGGGAACAAGGCAAAAAAAAAAAAAGAGAGATTTTTTTTTTTAAAGGAGATTCTTAATTGTCCATGCCCCAATTCATCATAAATGAGAAAATCTCTTACTTAAAAAATAATAGAGATGACACCATAAAATCATACACCGAGATAGACACACACACATTAAAATATTAATTCACATATTTTCATAACCACAAATATGGAAAGGTAAATCCCGAGGGGAGGAAAAGCCAATTTTGTTCAGTTAAAAAGAAATAAAACGACGTAGCTTAGCGATTTTTACAGGCCATCAAATTTCTATATCTTGTAATACTTCGAAGCAGCCATGTCAAATGTAGAACAAATGCTATCAGAATTCTCTTCAATTCCATTTCAAAGCTTTCAAAATGAATTTTTGACTAGACTTGAAAGCATTTAATAATGTTCATCTAATATGCTACTCTTCTGCCCTGGGACTAAGGGTATAGGATTCAGAAACAAAAGATTCTCAGTTGGCAAAAGCCTAATTTTTCCCTTCTAGCACATGCCCAATATATTCTTTGGATACCTGGTTTAGTATTTTTTTCCTTGAAAGTCTTAGGAATTTTTTTCAATTGTAGGAAACACAGACTATATATATAGAAAGAGTATTTGCAAATGAGATGTTAATCTCAAAATATATTATTTATATAAATAAAATAGAGCATAGAATTCTCCAAGTGACTATTATTGGTGTTTCTATATTTTATAAGTGATTTTTGCCTACCTGATCTATCAATTATTAAAATATGTATGTAACATCTCTAAATAGGATGTTAGATTAGTCTCTTTTTTCTTTGCAGCCCTATCAAGTTTTAATTTATTTTGTGGCAATATTGTTAGATTTCTACAAATTTAAAACTTATATCTTCCTAGTGGATTGAAATGTTTATAATCACAAATTGACCCTCTTTTCCTCAGCAAAGTTTTATGTCTTCAAATATATTTTATGTTAAAATTAGCATAGCAATGCCAGCTCCCCTTTGCCTAATATCTCTCTGGTCTATACTTTTAATTTTTTATTAATTTTATTTATTCTAATAATTTTAATTTTTTTTTTTTTTTTACTTTCAAACTTTCTGCAGCCTTATGTTTACCTGTTGTGTCTCTTGTGTACAGCACCTTTTAATTGTTTTATTCAACCCTTTGCCTTTTCCTTCTGGAAGGGTTCTGTTTGCTTCTGCCATGAAACTGGGGGCTTTACTCACGGCTTGTTTAAATTCTGAGTTTGAGGTGTTTGGAACTACACAGGTAATATGAATTTTCTCTGCTAATCATTCTGAAGGCCAGATTAGGGTAACAGATTCTTAGGGATAATTTAACCTTTATATTCAGCATCAAGATTTCGGACTGAAAATTTTTCTTGCATTTCCTGGAAAATTTGGGTATCTTTTAACTTTACTCTCTCTCTGAGATCTCATTTTTATGTGGAGTCTCATTTTTATGTAGATGTTTGGGAGACGTTAAAAATAAAGAGATATATACCTCATTGGTTTTTTTCAAAATCATGCGTCCATATTATGCTGTTAGAATTAAAATTTTTTGTTTTCAAACACTTATTAAGTACTTAATAGATTTCTATGCAATGCAAGATAACTGTGCCAAACCCTCAACAGGCTTTCTACCTAGCTGATTGACTCAGTCATTTCACTACAAATGCAAGTGATGTAAGTGATTCACAGCCTTGTCATTCATTCATGGCGTCCTCCTGCTACTTGCCTGTTTGTTTATAGAGCACAGTGAAGGGAATGAAATAATGGAAAGGACAATGTTGTCTTCTTGATGCCCGATAAAATCAAGACCTTCCATCAATTCTTGGCACATGTATTCTAATCATATATCTGAAGGATCCAGCTATTCTGCTCACTTCCCTCATGTTCTGCACTCTTCTTACTGAGTTCAGTATTGGTTTTCTGCTTTTACCAACTCCATAGCATCTCTCATCAAAATTTATTTCCATAATAGCATATCTCAGGTTTCAAATTGTATTCAGATTAGTCACCTTGAAATATACAAACATCCTTGAATATACAAAATTTAAAGTGAGTTCACTTTAAATTCAACATTTCTGAATCTTTATTTGTGATTTTCCCTCTAAATTCATCTGACTCATGATCACATGGTGCTCTGAAGATAGAAAGATTTCCTGCTGGAGTATGTTAAGTGTACATTTTTACAAGGCACTGTATGCAGTAGACATTCACAAAATGGGGGAGATGAGGAAAACTGTCAATACTAAACCTCTTCAATGCTCTCAATTCTTTTTTCTTTATAATTTTCCACTATCCTTTTAATGTTGGAGTATAAAATGATATTAATTTAATCTTGAATTTTAACGGAGTTAATGTTATAAAATCCCCCTGCCCCCTCCTCACCAAATGTCAGAAAATACTCTGACATAATCCAATTACCTGGTTATTCATGTAGTCTATTCCTAAAACTTCCCTTAATAAGGAAGTCATCTAATTAGGAGACAATCACTCTCATTGCTACCTAGCTCTGTTACCATTTTAAAATTAAACAAAATTTAGGCTATATCTTCTTTCTCTCTCTCAATCTTAATTCTAGCCTGATACCCTGAAATTTCACTATGACTAGTGACATTTTACTCAAATTCTTCACAACTACCAATTAAGGTTAGAATATAATTTTCATGAAACCACCCACTTACTGTACAAACAAGATGATGGGGTCTTCATGCATATTTGGTTACATTTCAGCTCTCATCCATTCAGGATTATTATGTCAATGAATCCCAATTTATGATGATAGAATGTTCTCATCAGCCATTCTCAAACCAGTCTGTATTCTTTTGATTACTTAGGAGTCATTTCACAATATCCATCCTTGGACACAACCACATAGAAATTAAATTAGGATCTCAGCAAGGAGACCGGGATGGGCACTTTAGAAATTCCTTAGGTGATTCTACAATGCAGTCATGTTTGAAAACTCACAATTAAGTTCTTATAAAGCCTTCAAGTTCCATCATAATTTCTCAAGTTTTTACTACTTTATAAGGCTACTTCTTATATTCCAGTCAACACAAATTTCCCCCTAAGGATAAAACTTAATATGTAATAATTTTATCAGAAAGAATCTTCCTTATTGGAAAATAATAAAGTACTTCAACAGCCTGCTGTGCCTTTACAAGACACAATTTTCTTTGTGCTCCCATTTTCCTCTCTCATCTTTTATCAAGTAGTGAAAGCTCTACTTTCTGATCTCTAGTTCCAATATAATAAAAATTATTAATTATCAATTGTTTCCCTCTTAATTAGCATTTTATTAAATCAATGTGTTTATGCCCTGAAATCTTTCATTATCCATTATGGATTGACTCTCTCTCCCCCTTCTCTCGTTGTCTCTCTTTCAATACATATTAGTTTTTGGTTCAACCCATGAGTAGCTATACATAAGTTGGATAATACTAGGAGGTAGAAAGAATTTTTTTAAACCATTGGGATTCTTTTCACATGGAAATAGCTTTTAGTTGTCCTGTTAATGTTTTTCACTGTCTCTCCTTTTTATAGAGTTAATATCACACTTCATGTATTTTGCAACCTGCTTTGTTCACCTAGCAATGTTATATGAACAGTTTTCCATGCCAAGTATTGTAAATATACATTTTATTCTTCTATGGCATTCCATTTTATATTTTATTCATTCCCTTAGAGTTGTTTTTAAACTGTTTATTATGAATAACCTCACAATAAACATTTATATATATAAAGATTTTACTATAATTCTGAATATTTTTTCATTAGGTTTTTTTTTTTCTTTTCTGCCTTCCAAATGAATTTCAAGCAGGAGCATATTATCAGACTTGCAATATCAGTGCCTAATGCTACCTAGGTAGAAATAATTCTGGGAATTTCTGCCTATATACTATTTAAATTGACTCTAGTGTATGCTGCCTTGTATTTATCTTTTTGGATGCCTACTCCCATTTAAATTTAATTTTTTGTATATATACAAATTTATTTCTGAAAAAAATTATGCAGCTTCTTTGAGAACAGCATATTTTCTTACTTTATTTTACAGACCTGAAAGTATAAAACAGATGTTTAATGAATTAAAATAAAGGGAAAACAAATATTTTCTTGATTTATCACTTTTCTTATGATGTTTTTAAAATTGCGACCATGTTTAACAGACAAAAAATTAGTATACATAGCATGTCCCTTGTGAATATGCTTGTGGGCATATGGGATATGATTATTGAAACTAGAGATTTAGACTGTCACACAAAATTAGGGATGCTTATTTTATGTCAGTGACATCTCTCTCATTATTATATCTATCTTCACTTACAAACGAACATAGTAAAATAGCTAAATATAATATATTCACTCTTATCTTCACATTTGAACATCCCACATAAAAAGAAGAGCTTCTGCTTTAGTGACCAAAATACTATTTCTCATAGTAATATAACTCAAGCCTATACCCGAGTCAAAGATGCAATGCAGGCTATTAAAGCCATGTTTTTCCAAAGTTTGTATAAAATTAATTTACCTGGAAATGTGAAACCTCAGAGAAAATAGCATAAACTGAAACTTAAATCATAAACAAACAAAAAATGTGCAAAAGGAGAATATATTTTCATTTCCGATTTGTAAATAACTCACATGTTAATAATGCCTGTATTGCTGCCTTCCCCTGGATTATTTCCAGTGAAGATTTAGTCTGGTTTAAATTAGATAGCCTAATGAGCACTATGTATAGTCTGGTTTAAATTACATAGCCTAATGATAGTATAACTACACTTTTTTTATTTGTTTGGAAAGTATAAGAGAATGTAACTACTTTGGAAATGTATGCTGGCAATTCTAACAGTAATAGATTCCTATAGCTCAGATGAGTTTTTTCCTCATAATTTGAGATTTTTTACATTTTTTTTCTGTGTCAACATAACCTCAATCCTAGTAAATATTTCATTTTAATATTTATCTCAAATATTGATCCTAAGCACCAATGGAACTGCCCCTAATTATCTCACCAATTATTAAGATAATCCAATCAGTTGATTTATGTGAATCTGTTTTCAGTTGTTACATCAGGCCAGATATATGTTCAGTATAATATTTTTTTCTTAAAAACAGGCTATAACTTACTTAGAATAAGCAATCCAAAACAAGCGTTTAAAAATATTTACAATATACCCTATTTACTAGTCTATTTATTAGATAATCTGGTCCTAAATTCTAGCCTGTCCATAAATATGATAATTTTAACATTTGCCATCTATTTCCTTCCCAGAAGTAATACTCTCAGCAGGCTCACCACTTCTGACATTTTCTTTCGTTTTACAGAGATAAGTGGCATCCTGGAAGCACCTTCTCTACTCCCCATTGCATTAGCATTCATAATATTAATTGCCAAAAATTACCAGCTGCAAGAAGTTTTATCTAACAAAGCTGCTCTATGGCTTTCTCAAGACAATTTAGTAGCATTTATGTCCCAAGCAAACACTTAGGTATGTAAATAAGAAGAAGCCCACCATATAATTAATATTTAAAAGGTAAAATGTCAGACTCAGCTAAGCAATTTTAAACATTCCTCATCCCCTCCCCCTTTGCTTTAACCACATGTTCTTCCTAGAGATGAGCTCTGGGATTTTACTGAGAAAGCTACAATTGATCTCAGCTAAGTGTTTTGCTATAAAGTGCCAACAATTACCCAGGCATGCAGTGCTGAATTCAGGTTTGGGAGTGAATATATTTAACTCTGAAACTTTTCTTGCTCATTTGAATACTTACTTCCACTGAAATAATGTATTTAACCAAAGAAAGTAAATTCCTTGAATTAACTTAGTACAACATGATATAAATCAGGGTCATGCAACTCAGAAGCTTTTGACAGGAAGAAACTCTTCACAATGTTATATATATTGATTAATCACCTGCCAATAAAAAGCCATATATTGCATTCATCTCAAAAGTACAACGAATTCAAATTACTTCTATTAACCAAGAGGTCTTCTTTATTCAGATGTGTTCGTGATTTGTGGGAGACATATCAATTTCTGTCACTCTTAAGGGAACTCACTGGAGTTAAAGAATCTCTTCCTTTAAATTAAGAAGATAATTTATAACAAGAAATAAAACATGTAGATATCTGAAATATTTGCTAATTATAAAAGTGGGGGCATTGTGATTTGCTTGGAATTCTAATTTCTAAATCAAAGTCCCAAGTTCCTTTTTGAAATACTATCTATCTAGCTCTCTTACCAAGTTAGGAAATTAAACAAAAGGGGACAGTGTTATTATGTAAATGGAAACAGCAACTTGGAACCAGAAAAAAATACAGAAAGAATAATTTGATAAAATCAACTCCTTCAAAAAAATACAACAAAAGTGTCTGTATATTGGCAAATGGCAACGAACTACACAGTGTGAGTAGGACTGAGCTATGACTAACAATAAAGCATTAATCACATATCCTAGGACTAGAATGTGAGAAAACAGAGCATTCGAATGGGAGCGCATCATAATTCCAAGACATACAAATAAATAAATGCAAATGATTTGCAAAAGTGAAGATGTGTGAGATATCTTGGACATTTCCAAAATATATTTCTTTAAATCTCTGCTTACACATAAACCTGTGCTATTTTATTCCATAATAAGATATTTTTGCTGTGTTGTTGTTTGTTTTAACACATTTCTTTACTTCAAAGTTAGTTTCTCAATTTTCTTAAGCATCATTCTCTTATTGTAGCAGGAAAATTATTCCAATGCAGCAGAAAGGCTTTCTCCTATGTTACAATATAGTCACAGGTTTATCTGACATTGTCAGAAAAGTAGCTGTAGCGTATAAGGAATTTTTCCAGAAATGTTAACTATGACTTAGTTTCTTCTCACCACCACATATTAACTATAAAACAATGTCTTGATTATGTGTAAATGTCTCCAAGATAATTTATACACACTATTAAACAGAATATTAAACCTAATGGTACTTTCAATGTTTAACTTTGATAATTTGCAAAATGCATTATTGGTCCACAGTATATTACTACTGAATATATCACATATTGATTTCTAAATGGACTCACTGCTTGCTTTAAAAAAAAAAAACAGAATTCTTGTATCTTCTACCTTATTTTCCTCTAAAGAATTATCAGTAATTTTTTCTTGTAACAAGCATTGAATCTGTCTTTAGCAGTCTCTAACTCAATTCAAATTTCTTGATTGTAAATTAAGAGTTAAAAACACAAATTGTTAGACGTATTTGTCAATTAAAGAGGATGTGAGGGCGATCCGGCTGTGACATCTGTCACCCCATTGATCGCCAGGGTTGATTTGGCTTATCTGGCTGGCTAGGCAGCTGTCGGCTTCCTCCTTCACCATTCCAGGTGTGTCCCTCCGGAAGTTGTGTTCTGGGTAAGGGGACGACCATCCCCCATAGAGAAGGACCAGTATTTCGTCAAGGGTATATCAATAGCTGTACTCCCCTGCTAGAACCTCCAAACAAGCTCTCAAGAGTAAATAACCCCTAACTGCTGGTCTGAGGGGATTATGGATTTAAATGTGCACATGTGTGTATGTATAATATATGTACATAAAATGTGTGTGTGTGTGTACTTGTGTTGCCTTCTCAAGCACCTTTAAAATTAGCTAGTTGAAGCAAATTTCTGAAGTTCTAGTTAGCTGAGTTTGCTTCTTTATTAAGTAAGGTGTGATTGGATTTACTATTTCTTTTAGATGTAGCCTTTTAAGATTTCTTAGATAGGCCAGGCGCGGTGGCTCACACCTGTAATCCCAGCACTTTGGGAGGCCGAGGTGGGTAGATCACAAGGTCAAGAGATCGAGACCATCCTGGCCAACATGGTGAAACCCCGTCTCTACTTAAAATACAAAAAGTAGCTGGGCACGTGTCTGTAGTCCCAGCTACTCAGGAGGCTAAAGCAGGAGAATCACTTGAACCCAGGAGGCGGAGGTTGCAGTGTGCCAAGATGGTGCCACTGCACTCCAGCCTGGGCGACAGAGCAAGACTCCATCTCAAAAAAAAAAAAAAAATCAATCAATAAATAAAGGATTCTTAGATAATCAATAATAAATGAATGAAATGAATGGTGGTGGTTTCATTACAATCTTCAGTCTTGGCTAAGTCATCTATTTGGTCACCAATAGCCCAAATGAGGCATAAATAACCATACAGAACCACCTTAAGTATAGTAAATCCAGAGAAATTAAGATTATGCTTAAAAAAGTAAATGATCAAGAATAAGAAAACAAGCAACCTAATTAAGAATTTGGGGGAAAAGACTTCAACAGACAATTAACTAAAGAAAGTAATGGATGACAAAAAGTCATCAACATGATTAGATACAATGAAACGCTATTTAAAACCACACAGAATATTATTTGACCAAAGTATGTCATCGTCATCAAGTGATGCATCGAGATACAAATCAAGGTCATGCAAATTAGCTGCAGTTGGCAGGAAGGAAACTCTTCCTAATTTGATAATTATTCATCCATTACCTGCCACCCCCAGATAATATATATTTTACTCATTTCAAATTTAAATTTTTACTATTGCTATTAACTGAAATATTTTATTCATAAAAATTAAAATGACAATATCAAGTGCTGTTGAGCATGTGGAGCAATTGTAACACACACATATTACAGTGGGAATGAAAAAAGCTATAGCCTCTTTGGAAAATAGTATAGCAGTTTCTCATAAAGTTAATTCTTCACTTATCATATTACCAAACGACCCTACTTCTTTGTCCAAGAGAAATAAAAACCTTTATGCCACTGTTTATAGTATTACTCATAATTGCCAAAAATTGGAAACAATCCAAATATCCTTCAGCTAGTGAATAGATAAACTGTGAAACATGCATATAATGGAATACTACTTAACACTCAAAAGGTAAGAAATAAACATATATAGATATATATCACCCAGATGACAAACACAAAAGTTATCAACATGATTAGATATTAGGAAAGGCTATTTAAAACCACACAGCATATCATATATATATATATGATCATATATATCTCATATATGATCATTTATATATGATCATGTATATCTCATATATATATCAACACAGATAAATTGCTAATGCATTCTTCTGAATGAAAAAAGTCAGAGCCAAACGCTATACATTTATAATTCATTTTTATAATATTCTATAAAATGCAAACCCTAGGAATGGGGCTAAATAAATAGTTCTCAGGATTTAGAGAGGTGAGAGGAGTTGACCATGAGCAGACAACAGAAAGGAATTTGATGAGGGTGATGATGGAACTGTTCTGAATCTTGATTTTCATAGTAAATGTATGACTGTATGTATTTTTCAACATGAAGAAAACTGTATACAACAAAGCATAAATTTTATTGCTTGTAAATTTTTAAAAATTAAAAATGAAGAGATGAGAAATGCCTCTGTATCCAAAATAACAGCTATATAAAATGATATCAGAATATTTTAATAGATATTAGGCCTATCAAAATTTGTTCTTTGTGTTTTATTAGAAAAGGAGTGATACAAGGAGGGAGGCAAGGTTGTGAGGGCAGTTAAGAAAACAATAATTTTTCAAGGTCAAATATGTAATATTGAAACACACACATATTTTTGTGTATACACGTTTTCACATGTAAACAGGAAAACAGAGAACCAAGTGTAGATACAGATAACATACAGGTTTTCTTCCATTTGCCAACCTCAATAGTATGCCAGTGTCCAGGCTAAGGCAGCATGTTGAGTAGAATTACTACAATGATTGATTGCTGGTGCAAAGGAGAAGTAACAGCATACATATTTGCTATTTCTGTCTAAGGAGATTAGAGGGGTAGGTGAAATAAATTAATCCATCAGGGCAGCACAAGATAATAGAATTAGAAGATTTGATCCAACAGCAGAATCTTCCTTTTCCTAATATAAATTTGGAGACATAACTTCTCCCTAGTGAACCCGAATTCCACTCTAGTGGAATTAACAATTAAAAGAGAGGATTGTTTGTAAAAATCTATGAAATACTACAGAAATAATATTCCAGAGAACGCAATTTGGAAACTCTGCTGTAAAGTCATAAATGTTCAAGATGATACTTACTCTCACTGACACTACTAGAGCAGAAACCAACAAAGAATAAATACCAAGAAAACTGCTCTACATAGGTAACAGGAAGGAACAACATTTGTTGAAATATTAACTTTTAAAATTTAATGTGTTTCCAAATATATCTATAAATAAAAGCATCACTATTTACAATGACAGTGAATTTATTTTTATAATACTAGTAAATGATTTTAAATTTTGCTCATAATAAAAAGTTAGAATAGATGAGACCTTTTTGAAAAAAGGAATGTTCAGTAGGCAAACTGGAAAAGTTAAGGAATCAAGAAAACATAATGAAAATACAGGGAAAAGACTTGTATATGTAAGTCTATAAATAGCTGTCTATAAAACTGTCTATTCCCTGTCTATAAATAACTGCTGTCCCCCAATCATGCCATTTCTGCCTATTTCCTAACAGTGCATTTTGCACATGCCATTTCCTGTGCACCATGCTCTCTTCTCATTTATAGCATTTTAGGCATCACGTATAAATTGTACATGATCACATTTGTCAGAGTTTTAATGGTGTTTGCTCATCATTCCACCCACAAATCTACTGCAGAAACTATTATGTAATAGGTTTCTATTAAATATTTAATAAACTAATCAGTAAGCAAATTATATTTAAATCATTGATTCTATCATATTCCTACCAGAAACTATTGCAAGAGATAAGGTTTCATCGTTTATAAATGTTCTGGAGATCATGATAGTTTTGGAGCAGATCAGAAGGATTAGAAAGCAGATTTGGCAATAGGCCAAACATACTAAAGCAAGGACACACCTTTTAGGATAGCATCATCTTGAACTTAAACATTTTCTTCTTCATAGGAATCATACATAATCCTCTGTTACACAAGGTATTGAAATGTATTTACTCTCTACTTGTGAAACATGACTTTGCATTATGCATCACATTCGGATAGTTTCTCATTTAAATAATAAATAGCAGGCTTTGGATGGTCCCTATGAATGGCTGCTGTATCTAAAAGGAAAGCACTTGTCAAGGGTTTGGTGTTATCCTCTTTGTGTTTTTCAGGATTTGACATTCCATGCACCAAATCTATGTGCACTCTGCATTAGTCTACTCACCAACATTTTCACAAACTCCTGTGGGTAGACCTTTTTCTTTATCTCTCCATGCCATTTCCAAAATAATTAGCTTATCAATGGATTCAATGTTGGTATCAAACCTTTACTTCCCTAAAATTTTATTTATTGTATATGTATCCCTCAGGATGAATTCAAATGAACTAATAATCAGGATCTACCCCACCAATCCTTTATAAAAAGCTTTCCTAAAAATCTTCCTGGAAGAGATCCTCTTACCCTCTCCCAAAGAGAGAGTTCAATAGTTCTCTATGTGCTGTCCTAGAGCTTTTAGAAAAAAACTAAAGGCTGCACATGTGTCCCAGAACTTAAAGTATAATAATAATTACAATAATAATAGAAAAAAACTAAAGGCAAATCTATTATTCCTTCTACTTTTTAATGTTTCCTATATTTTTACATTTTATTTAGTGTAACTATATCACAATATAAAAATTAAATAAAAATTAGTGAAAACAAACCTACCACTTCATCACTCTTACAAATCAGCTATTTCAGTCGACTTATAATACTTGTTCGCATTTGAACATATTTTATGGTATTCAGTGAAAAATTAAAGTGTTGTATTTCTTGATTTATTAAATCCTAAGAATATTTCTGTGTTAAGATTTGTCTCATAGTGTTATATTTTACCCCATATTTATCAATTTTCCTTAGAGAGAATCGCATTTCAACAAAGGCAGTTTTGATGTGATGTTTGTGCTTTAATTACTTTACAACCTGTTTCCAGAGGTGATGATCTTAGGAAACTAATAGAATGTATTCTTAATCAATATTGACTTTTAAAACTTTGCATTTGTGTATTGAAATGAAGATTTTTAAGCACTAATATCGTAGGTCATTGATTATAATATGAAAATTTTATCACATCTTATTATTTCTGGAATTGTAGCGCACCTTCGAATTGGTGACATCTATAATTGCTGTTTTCTGCTCTTTGTTTATTATGATGTAGTTGCCATTGTCTGTACAAGAACAAATGAAACAGCAATACCATTGGCATTACAGAGTTCATTTCTGTGGCTAGGAAGAACATCTTGGATACAGTGAAGTATATGTTTAACCTTTAGACACTAAAGAGGTAAATGTTGGAGCGAATGGGAGTTTTGAATTACATGTGGTCACCTTTTCTCTTCAAGAAAAATAATATGATTATACCAATAGATGCAGAAGAAAATTAACACAATCCATCACTAATTTATAATAAAAACTATCAGAAAACTAAATAGAGATGGGAAATTTTTCAATCTAATAAGAGACAAATATGAAAATCCTACTGCTAAAACCACGCCTAATGGTGAGAAATGAGATGCTTTCCATCTAGTAAGATTAGGAACAAGTCAAGGATATTCTCTCTCATTACTCCCATTTAACATTGTAGTGGAATTCTTTTTTTAGTCAACAAGATGAGAAAAGGAAATAAACAGGTGTACAGATGGGATACAAAGAAATAAAATTGTCTTTGTTCACAAATTATGTGATTTTTCTATGTAAAAAACCCCAAAGAATAAATGACCAAAAATACCTCTTAGAAGTCTTAAGTAATTCTGCCAAGGTTGCAGGGTACAGAGTTAATATACAAAATTCCCTTGATTTTTTCAAATATAAAAGCAACAAACAATTGGAATTTGAAATTAGAAATCTAAAACTATTTACATTAGTACAACAAATGAAATACTTAGTATAAATTGAACAAAATATGTACAAGGTCATATAAGAAATCTCTGATGAGAGATACATTTTCATGGATAGAAAACTCAATATTGTCAAGATATCAATTCAGTTTTCTTTCATCTTGATCTATAGATTCAATTGTAACAAAAATCCCAGCAAGTTATTTTGTGGATATCAACAAACTAATACTAAAATGCATATGAAAAGGTAAAAGACCAAGAATAACCAACACAATACTGAAGGAAAAGAATAAAGTTTGAAGACTGACATCACCTAAGTTTAAGACTTACTGTAAAATTGCAATTAAAACAGTGTGGCATTGCCAAAAGAACAAATAGATCAATGGAATAGGATAGAGAGAGAGCCCAGAAATAGTCCCAGAAATGACATAAATATAGCCAACTAATCTTTGACAAAGGAGCAAAGACAATGAATGAGGCAAAGTGGCCTTTTTGACAAATGGCATTGTAACAACTGCACATCCACATGTAAAAAATGAATCTAGACACAGACATTACATCCTTCCTCAAGTTAACTCAAAATAAGTTACAGTCCTAAATGGAAAACATAAAACTATTAAACCATTAAAAGCTAATATAGGAGAAAACCTAGATGACCTAGAGTATAGCAATGGCATTTTACATGCAACACCAGAAGCATAATCCATAAAATTATTGATAAACTGACTTCATTATATTAAATAATTCTGCTCTGTGAAAGATATAATCAGGATAATAAGACAAGTCACAGACTGGTAGAAAATATTTCCAGAAGATACATCTGATAAAGAACAGTTACTCAACATACAAAGAGCTCTTTAAACTCAACAATAAGAAAACAACCCAAGTTAAAAATAAGCAAAAGAACTGAACAGACATGTTGCCAAATGGCAGTTTAGCACATGGAAAATAAAAAATTTAAAATATTCAACACCATATGTTACCAGGGGAGTGCAATTAATATCTTTCATTAATTAAAACAAGATACTACTACACACCTACTGGATGGCTAAAATATAAAACACTGACAACACCACATGCTGGCAAGAATATGGAGCAATAAAAACTCTCATTCATTTCTGATGCAAATGCAAAGCAGTAGAGCCACTTTGAAAGACAGTTTGACAATTTCTTAGAAAGTTAAACATATACTTATCATAGCATTCTGCAATCATTTTCCTTGGTATTTACCCACTTTAGTTGAAAGTTTTGTATACAACAATACCTGCACCTGGATGTTGAGAGCAGATTTATTCATTATTGCCAAGAGTTGCGTGTAACCAAGATGTGCTTCAATAAGTTAATGGTAAACACACTGTGATATATTCATAACATGGAATCTCATATATTGACTAAAAAGAAATGTGATATCATCAATGTATGAAGACACAGAGAAACCTTAAATGCATATTGCTATGTGAAAAAAAGCCTCTCTGAAAATGCTACATTCTTTATAATTCCAACTATTTGACATTCTGGAAAAGTCACAACTATAGTGACTGTAACAAAGATCACTGGTTGACAAGCGTTTGCGTGAGGAGAGGAAGGGATGAGTTGGTACAGCATAGGGAATTTTTAAGGCAGTGGAACTATTCTGTATGGCACTGTAAGGTTGAATTCTTGTCAATATATATATATGTCAAAACCCATAGAAAGTACACTATGAAGAGTGAACTCTGATGTAAATTTGGACTTTAGATAATAATAATTGAGTAATATCAATAACATCAATGTTGATCTATCAAATGTACATATTTGTGTTAATAAAAGGAGAAAATAGGAGTAGAGGAGTGAGAGTTTATGGCAACTTTCTATACTTTCTGCTTAATTTAGCTGTAAATCTAAACTGCTTTAAAACTGTAGTCTAATATTTTTTTAAAGACAGTGTTGCAAAATGGATAGAAAAACAGAGAAACAAACAAACAAACAAACAAAAAACAAGTATAGTTGTGGTGTAGCAAGCCCAGGGGAGGTATGGTGCAAGACGATGTTTAGTAGTTGGGATTACAGTCGTGTATGTTTAACAACGGGGCTACATTCTGAGAAATGTATCCTTGGGCAATTTTCTTGTTGTGTGATCATCATACAGTGTACATACAGAAACCTAGATGTTACAGCCTAGTATACATCTAGGCTATATGGTATAGCTTATTGCTCCTAGGCAACAAACTTGCACAACACGCTGCCCCACTGAATATTGTAGACAACTGTAACACAATGGTAAGTATTTGTGTATTTAAACATAGAAAAGTACAGTAAGATATGGTATAATTTTTTAAAGGTACACCTGTATAGGTCCCTTAAAAATTAAAGGATCTTGCAGGATTAGATGCTTTTCTGGGTGAGTCAATGACTGAGTGATGAGGGAATGTAAAGGCATAGGACATTACTGTACATTGCTAGTATAATTTACAAACACTGTGTGCAATTAGGCTGCACTTAATCTATTTAAAAAGCTCTTCTTAGATAAGAAATTAACTTTAGCTTACCGTAACTTCTTTTAACTTTATAAACTTTTTGTTTTATAAACATTTTTAAAGTTTTAGAAGTTTTTGAATTTTTATTTTTTTTTTTACTTTTTAAACTTTTTTATTAAAAACTAAGACACAAACACAAACATTAGCCTAGACCTACACAGGATCAGCATAATCAATATCACTTTCACCTCCACATCTTATTCCACTGGAAGGTCTTCAGTGGCAATAACATGCATGGAGCTGTAACCTCCTATAATAATGGAAGGAATACTTTCTCCAGGATGTGGCTGAAACTGTTTTACATTTAACTTATATGTAACATTAAGCTGTTTTACATTAACTTAAATGTAAACATGAGGTGTTTTACACAAAAAACTTCTTTTTATATAAGTAGAAGTACACTCTGCAATAATAATAAAAAGTATAGTGTAGTAAATACATTAAGCAGTAACATAGTTTAATATCATTTCAAGTATTCTGTATTGTACATAATTGTATGTGCTATACTTTCATATGACTGGTAGAAGAATAAGTTTGTTTACACCAGCATCATCGCAAACACATGAGTAATGCATTGCACTATGACATTGTGACATCTAGGTCATCATTATGCAATATAAATTTTTCAGCTCCATTATTATAATCTTATAGGACCACCATCATATATGTGGCCATCACAGACCAAAACATTGTTATGCAGCCCATAAGTATATATCTAATAAGCCTATGTACATGTCCAAAGAGTTTGTATTTTATCAAAATGTCATGGGAAGTCATTAAAATACAAGTGACGACATGATGGAATCACCCTAAGACAGACAGTGCTTTGGAGGATAAATTAGGTGGGAAGAGATTGATGGCAAGGGTGAGGATGGGCAAATACAGCATTAATGTAGCATAAAAAAGTTAAAACTAAGGCAAGGTAGAAAAGGTAGAGGAATCTTTATAGAAATTCAATGAAATGTAAGCTCTCTAAGCCATCTCATCTCTATCAATAAAATGAGAGTTCTATGTATTTCTTAAGGAGTAAGGAAGAACACCATGAACTGCTTTTAAGAACAAAGGTACAATCTCTGAAAAAAAAAAAAAAAGAAATAGCAAGTTTGATCCCAGCCTATAGGGACAAGGACTTGACAATGCACCCTGGATTCTAGACATAGATGCCTTAGCCTTTGGCCCTGTTCAGGGTCATAGAGAATAATAATAACGCAGAACATCAAAAAGAGAAAAAATAAAATCCTGTTACAATTACAGCAATAAATCAATAAAGCTACCACAAATGTGCAAGTGGGTAGTATTTAAGGGAGTACTTTTGCATAACTATCATTTGAAGGTTGACTTCAGCAGAAAAAGTTTTTGAAAAACCAAATCATGGCAAACTGAGAAGACATGAGTTCTTGGCCTAAGGACTTCATGTTTTAGAGCCCTCAAATTGAGCCTTTAGGTTAAAATCTGTTAACAGAGGGAGAAATCACTGTCAATTTTCATTTAAGATAAGTGGTCAAATTTATGTTATTTTTATCCATAGCAATAATTTTTATTTTTAAGCCATCTTGCACTCAATGTTTATATTAGATTGACTGTCCTTGACAATTTAAATAATACTGTAGAGAAGTTTCCAGTTTTAGATTGATCATTTTTGAATTCTTTACACATTTTGCAGGAGACTGCAGCAACCCTAATAGTCAGTGTTTTTCAATAAACTAGGAAGGCATCCAGGGAATTGGATTTTAGAATAATTGGAGCCCAAAGACCTCCAGTAAGGAAAAGAAGGGTGCATCTCAATGAACCTCATTTCCAGACAGAGACCTTGTAAGTCATATGAAGACATGTCATCTCAAACAATAAAGAAACTGGGAGAAATGGAGAGAAACTGGTGGGTGTAAGGGGAGATGAAGGCAGACATCGTATATGTCAAAGGTGAAAGAGTTAAAGTTTGGCAGAGGGCAGTCACTCACACCTGTAATCCCAGTGCTTTGGGAGGCTGAGGTGGGAGGACTGGGAGCCCAGGAGTTAAAAAGCAGCCTGGGCAATACAGCAAGACCTTGTCTTTATCAAATATATATATATATATATATATATATATATATATATTATATATAAATATATATATATTTTATAAATATATAATATATATTATATATATATATCTGGGTGTTGTGTTTTATGCCTGTAATTTCAGCTACTTGGGAGGGTGAGGCAGGAGGATTGCTTGAGCCTAGGAGTTTAAGGCTTCAGTGAGCTATGATCTTGCCAGTGCACTCCAGCCCCAACAACAAAGGGAGACACTGTCTCTTAACAAACAAACAACAACAACAAAAATAGTTAAAGTTTACTTAGATAATCCTCATAAGAACTTGATGAAGGCATTATTTTGTTATTCCTGTTATATTTTGCTGAAGGGATAATTAAGGCATAGAGTTAAGGATTCTATCCAAAGTCAAACAGATAGTAAAAGATAAAGCTGAGATAAAAACAATTTAAAAAACTAGTTAATTTATTAACTCATCAGATATTAGCCCAAAGTGAATAAACAGGTGTATAAACAGTACAGTTTTTTACTTTCAGAATATCAAAGGAAATGCCCATCGTTGCTGCATGTATGATGACAGCTATCGAAAGTTATTTCTCTGGTTGTGTCACTGAACAGTCGCTGCCTAGAGGAAATGGAGTAACCTCTACTGGAGGTCATTCTGATGAAGGGTTTTGGAAATCAGAACTTTAGCCAAACTACTGAAGTGAGGATTGCAGATAGAAATGAATGTGTTCTGGTAGTTTGGTTTCACTCTTTGAAGTAAGTTGATAACACATTTCTTTGACAGGAAACCTACATGTTCATAAAGTATGAAGGCAGGATTTCTTTTCAATTCAACTGCTTTCAGAGGCAATGGAGATATTGCAATTGAACTAAAATATGCTGTTAAAGTCAGTCTAATGATTCAATTTGTACAGCTTTTGATAATAGATTTTCAGGTCAAATGAAGATAGAATGAAGGAAGCAGTACACAGAAGAACTGTCTCAATTTAAGTTTAATATGACAGTGTACAGATGGAAAAACTGAATTATCATTAAAAACATAGAAAATATGGGGAACAAAATATATGGATGCAATACATCTGTATATGTGCATGTATAATATAGGCAGAAAGAAATTATGGCCTTTGTTAAAAGTATGATTTTCAAATTACAACCACATTGGTTTAGGAAAAATTAAAATTAACTCTTGAGTATCCATGAATTCAAATAAAATTATATAATAAAAGCTATAACACCAATTAATACAAATATGTATTTAAAATTAAAAATTGTCTGACATTAATCTACATATTTTACATACGTTATCACACTGAAGCAACAGCAAAATCCTATGAGGTCAATACTTATCAAGTTACTTTTCTTACTAGAGAAAATGTGTGACATAATGAATAAGAGTGAACTCCTGAAATTCAAATCCCCATTCCTCTGCTAATTAGTTATATAAACTTGGGCAAGTCACCATTTCTTTATCTACAAATGGACTCCCATTGTAGTCATACTTAGCACATCAGCTTGCTGGAACGTTTAAATGAGAAGTCATAGGAGCTCTTTAGGCTCTAGGGTCTGGCCCAAGTAAATGCCTGATGAAAATGAGCTTTTTACTCAACGTCATCATTAATAGAGGCAGAAGTGACAAAAAAGAAACTTGTGTAATATCACAGCATTGGAAAGTAACAAAGCTGAGATACTGATGTCTAGAGAAACAGCATATGATCTCTGAAGTGTCATATACAAACATTAAAATGTGTTTTTATCCCGTTCTGATTATCATTCAAAAATCTTCTCAACATCAGTAACTACTTTAATAAATGAATAGTCAATCTAGTAGATTAATATTAAGCAGTTTTTAAAATAAACATTAAGGATCAAATCAAGCCAATTTACCCCTTCCTCAAAATACTTTTCTCGTTTACGTAGTCTATAAAACACACACAAAAAAACAAAACTGTTCTGACGTCTGAAAACTATGATGAAATCATTTGGTTTATACAAAATTGATCTCCAAATTACTGTCCAAACTCCTTCCTTTTCTTTAAAACTGAACTTCAGGGAGGAGCCAAGATGGCCAAATAGGAACAGCTCCAGTCTACAGCTCCTAGCATGAGCGACACAGAAGAGGGGTGATTTCTGCATTTCCATCTGAGGTACTGGGTTCATCTTACTAGGGAGTGCCAGACAGTGGGCGCAGGTCAGTGGGTGTGTGCACCGTGCAAGAGCCAAAGCACGGCGAGGCATTGCCTCACTCGGGAAGCACAAGGGGTCAGGGAGTTCCCTTTCCTAGTCAAAGAAAGGGGTGACAGACGGCACCTGGAAAATCGGGTCACTCCCACCCGAATACTGCACTTTTCTGACGGGCTTAAAAAACGGCGCACCAGGAGATTATATCCCGCACCTGGCTCGGAGGGTCCTACGCCCACGGAGTCTCGCTGATTGCTAGCACAGCAGTCTGAGATCAAACTGCAAGGCAGCAGCGAGGCTGGGGGAGGGGTGCCCGCCATTTCCCAGGCTTGCTTAGGTAAACAAAGCAGCCGGGAAGCTAGAACTGGGTGGAGCCCAACACAGCTCAAGGAGGCCTGCCTACCTCTGTAGGCTCCACCTCTGGGGGCAGGGCACAGACAAACAAAAAGACAGCAGTAACCTCTGCAGACTTAAATGTCCCTGTCTGACAGCTTTGAAGAGAGCAGTGGTTCTCCCAGCATGCAGCCAGAGATCTGAGAATGGGCAGATTGCCTCCTCAAGTGGGTCCCTGACCCCTGACCCCTAAGCAGCCTAACTGGGAGGCACCCCCCAGCAGGGGCAGACTGACACTTCACATGGCCGGGTACTCCAACAGACCTGCAGCTGAGGGTCCTGTCTGTTAGAAGGAAAACTAACAAACAGAAAGGACATCCACACAAAATCCCATCTGTACATCACCATCATCAAAGACCAAAAGTAGATAAAACCACAAAGATGGGGAAAAAACAGAGCAGAAAAACTGGAAACTCTAAAAAGCAGAGCACCTCTCCTCCTCCAAAGGAACACAGTTCCTCACCAGCAACGGAACAAAGCTGGATGGAGAATGACTTTGACGAACTGAGAGAAGGAGGCTTCAGACAATCAAATTACTCCAAGATATGGGAGGACATTCAAACCAAAGGCAAAGAAGTTGAAAACTTTGAAAAGAATTTAGAAGAATGTATAACTAGAATAACCAATACAGAGAAGTGCTTAAAGGAGCTGATGGAGCTGAAAACCAAGGCTCGAGAACTACGTGAAGAATGCAGAAGCCTCAGGAGCCGATGTGATCAACTGGAAGAAAGGGTATCAGTGATGGAAGATGAAATGAATGAAATGAAGCGAGAAGGGAAGTTTAGAGAAAAAAGAATAAAAAGAAATGAGCAAAGCCTCCAAGAAATATGGGACTATGTGAAAAGACCAAATCTACGTCTGATTGGTGTACCTGAAAGTGACGGGGAGAATGGAACCAAGGTGGAAAACACTCTGCAGGATATTATCCAGGAGAACTTCCCCAATCTAGCAAGGCAGGCCAACATTCAGATTCAGAAAATACAGAGAATGCCACAAAGATACTCCTCGAGAAGAGCAACTCCAAGACACATAATTGTCAGATTCACCAAAGTTGAAATGAAGGAAAAAATGTTAAGGGCAGCCAGAGACAAAGGTCGGGTTACCCTCAAAGGGAAGCCCATCAGACTAACAGTGGATCTCTCGGGAGAAACTCTACAAGCCAGAAGAGAGTGGGGGCCAATATTCAACGTTCTTAAAGAAAAGAATTTTCAACCCAGAATTTCATATCCAGCCAAACTAAGCTTCATAAGTGAAGGAGAAATAAAATCCTTTACAGACAAGCAAATGCTGACAGATTTTGTCACCACCAGGCCTGCCCTAAAAGAGCTCCTGAAGGAAGCGCTAAACATGGTAAGGAACAACCGTTACCAGCCGCTGCAAAACCATGCCAAAATGTAAAGACCATCGAGACTAGGAAGAAACTGCATCAACATCAACTAACGAGCAAAATAACCAGCTAACATAATGACAGGATCAAATTCACACATAACAATATTAACTTTAAATGTAAATGGACTAAATGCTCCAATTAAAAGACACAGACTGGCCAATTGGATAAAGAGTTAAGACCCATCAGTGTGCTGTATTCAGGAAACCCATCTCATGTGCAGAGACACACATAGGCTCAAAATAAAGGGATGGAGGAAGATCTACCAAGCAAATGGAAAACAAAAAAAGGCAGGGGTTGCAATCCCAGTCTCTGATAAAACAGACTTTAAACCAACAAAGATCAAAAGAGACAAAGAAGGCCATTACATAATGGTAAAGGGATCAATTCAACAAGAAGAGCTAACTATCCTAAATATATATGCACCCAATACAGGAGCACCCAGATTCATAAAGCAAGTCCTGAGTGACCTACAAAGAGACTTAGACTCCCACACATTAATAATGGGAGACTTTAACACCCCACTGTCAACATTAGACAGATCAACCAGACAGAAAGTCAACAAGGATACCCAGGAATTGAACTCAGCTCTGCACCAAGCGGACCTAATAGACATCTACAGAACTCTCCACCCCAAATCAACAGAATATGCATTTTTTTCAGCACCACACCACACCTATTCCAAAATTGACCACATACTTGGAAGTAAAGCTCTCCTCAGCAAACGTAAAAGAACAGAAATTATAACAAACTATCTCTCAGACCACAGTGCAATCAAACTAGAACTTAGGATTAAGAATCTCACTCAAAACCACTCAACTACGTGGAAACTGAACAACCTGCTCCTGAATGACTACTGGGTACATAACGAAATGAAGGCAGAAATAGAGATGTTCTTTGAAACCAACAAGAACAAAGACACAACATACAAGAATCTCTGGGACACATTCAAAGCAGTGTGTAGAGGGAAATTTATAGCACTAAATGCCCACAAGAGAAAGCAGGAAAGATCCAAAATTGACACCCTAACATCACAATTATAAGAACTAGAAAAGCAAGAGCAAACACATTCAAAAGCTAGCAGAAGGCAAGAAATAACTAAAATCAGAGCAGAACTGAAGGAAATAGAGACACAAAAAACCCTTCAAAAAATTAATGAATCCAGGAGCTGGTTTTTTGAAAGGATCAACAAAATTGATAGACCGCTAGCAAGACTAATAAAGAAAAAAAGAGAGAAGAATCAAATAGATGCAATAAAAAATGATAAAGGGGATATCACCACCAATCCCACAGAAATACAAACTACCATCAGAGAATACTACAAACACCTCTACGCAAATAAACTAGAAAATCTAGAAGAAATGGATAAATTCCTCGACACATACTCTCCCAAGACTAAACCAGGAAGAAGTTGAATCTCTGAATAGACCAATAACAGGATCTGAAATTGTGGCAATAATCAATAGCTTACCAACCAAAAAGAGTCCAGGACCAGATGGATTCACAGCCGAATTCTACCAGAGGTACAAGGAGGAACTGGTACCATTCCTTCTGAAACTATTCCAATCAATAGAAAAAGAGGGAATCTTCCCTAACTCATTTTATGAGGCCAGCATCATCCTGATACCAAAGCCGGGCAGAGACACAATCAAAAAAGAGAATTTTAGATCAATATCCTTGATGAACATTGATGCAAATATCCTCAATAAAATACTGGCAAACCAAATGCAGCAGCACATCAAAAAGCTTATCCACCACGATCAAGTGGGCTTCATCCCTGGGATGCAAGGCTGGTTCAATATACGCAAATCAATAAATGTAATCCAGCATATAAACAGAACCAATGACAAAAACCACATGATTATCTCAATAGATGCAGAAAAGGCCTTTGACAAAATTCAACAACCCTTTATGCTAAAAACTCTCAATAAATTAGGTATTGATGGGACGTATTTCAAAATAATAAGAGCTATCTATGACAAACCCACAGCCAATATCATACTGAATGGGCAAAAACTGGAAGCATTCTCTTTGAAAACTGGCAGAAGACAGGGATGCCCTCTCTCACCACTCCTATTCAACATAGTGTTGGAAGTTCTGGCCAGGGCAATTAGGCAGAAGGAAAAAAAGGGTATTCAGTTAGGAAAAGAGGAAGTCAAATTGTCCCTGTTTGCAGATGATGACATGATTGTATATCTAGAAAACCCCATTGTTTCAGCCCAAAATCTCCTTAAGCTGATAAGCAACTTCAGCAAAGTCTCAGGACACAAAATCAATGTGCAAAAATCACAAGCATTCTTATACACCAAAAACAGACAAACAGAGAGCCAAATCATGAGTGAACTCCCATTCACAATTGCTTCAAAGAGAATAAAATACCTCGGAATCCAACTTACAAGGGATGTGAAGGACCTCTTCAAGGAGAACTACAAACCACTGCTCAATGAAATAAAAGAGGATACAAACAAATGGAAGAACATTCCATGCTCATGGGTAGGAATAATCAATATCGTGAAAATGGCCATACTGCCCAAGGTAATCTACAGACTCAATGGTATCCCCATCAAGCTACCAATGACTTTCTTCACAGAATTGGAAAAAACTACTTTAAAGTTCATATGGAACCAAAAAAGAGCCCGCATCACCAAGTCAATCCTAAGCCAAAAGAGCAAAGCTGGAGGCATCACACTACCTGACTTCAAACTATACTACAAGGCTACAGTAACCAAAACAGCATGGTACTGGTACCAAAACAGAGATATACATCAATGGAACAGAACAGAGCTCTGAGAAATAACGCCGCATATCTACAACTATCTGATCTTTGACAAACCTGAGAAAAACAAGCAATGGGGAAAGGATTCCCTATTTAATAAATGGTGCTGGGAAAACTGGCTAGCCATATGTAGAAAGCTGAAACTGGATCCCTTCCTTACACCTTATACAAAAATTAATTCAAGATGGATTAAAGACTTAAACGTTAGACTTAAAACCATAAAAACCCTAGAAGAAAACCTAGGCATTACCATTCAGGACATAGGCATGGGCAAGGACTTCATGTCTAAAACACCAAAAGCAATGGCAACAAAAGCCAAAATTGACAAATGGGATCTAATTAAACTAAAGAGCTTCTGTACAGCAAAAGAAACTACCATCAGAGTGAACAGGCAACCTACAAAATGGGAGAAAATTTTCGCAACCTACTCATCTGACAAAGGGCTAATATCCACAATCTACAATTAACTCAAGCAAATTTAAAAGAAAAAAACAAGCCCATCAAAAAGTGGGCAAAGGACATGAACAGACACTTCTCAAAAAGACATTTATGCAGCCAAAAAACACATGAAAAAATGCTCACCATCACTGGCCATCAGAGAAATGCAAATCAAAACCACAATGAGATACCATCTCACACCAGTTAGAATGGCAATCATTAAAAAGTCAGGAAACAACAGGTGCTGGAGAGGATGTGGAGAAATAGGAACACTTTTACACTGTTGGTGGGACTGTAAACTAGTTCAACCATTGTGGAAGTCAGTATGGCCATTTCTCAGGGATCTAGAGCTAGAAATACCATTTGACCTAGCCATCCCATTACTGGGTATATACCCAAAGGACTATAAATCATGCTGCTATAAAGACACATGCACACGTATGTTTATTGCAGCATTATTCACAATAGCAAAGACTTGGAACCAACCCAAATGTCCAACAATGATAGACTGGATTAAGAAAATGTGGCACATATACACCATGGAATACTATGCAGCCATAAAAATGATGAGTTCATGTCCTTTGTAGGGTCATGGATGAAATTGGAAATCATCATTCTCAGTAAACTATCGCAAGAACAACAAACCAAACACCACATATTCTCACTTATAGGTGGGAATTGAACAATGAGAACCCATGGACACAGGAAGGGGAACATCACGCTCTGGGGACTGTTGTGGGGTGGGGTGAGGGGGAGGGATAGCATTGGGAGATATACCTAATGCTAGATGACGAGTTAGTAGGTGCAGCGCACCAGCATGTCACATGTATACATATGTAACTAACCTGCACATTGTGCACATGTACCCTAAAACTTAAAGTATAATAAAACTGAACTTCAAAAATAAGATAATATTGACAATTCCAAATTCAATTTATTCCATAATTCATTTGCTTCATCCACATCCATCACATCTTGGTCTCCCTTGTATGTAGTTTATTGGACTAGCTCAATTGTCAAATTTTCTTGTGTTTGTTTTCAGTGGTTTCTGTCCCTGTTTTCTCTTTCCATATTTTCTTCCAAAAGAATGGTATCGGAGCCCAAGGTTTCAAATGTTACTTATATGCTGATAAATTTAAATGTGTATTTCAAGACCCCAAAACTCCCAGCTCCCAACCTCACTTCTGACTGAACACTAGATTTTCCTAGCTTAAAGTTTTACATACATTCTAGCTTAACTTGTTAATAATTGACTTCTGAGTATTTCCAAAATTCTGCTTTTTTATTTCTATTTTGCCATACACCTGTTCATTCATGTTACAAACCTTTAGAGTTACATTTAACTCATACGTATCTCTCATTCTTCATATGTAATTAATCTCTAAGTACCATTGATTCCTTCAAAGAATTATCACACAAATATGGCTTTACTGGTTCATTTAAACTAAAGCTGCCTGCATTCAGATTCAAAATAATAGCTTATTATTTTAATATTTTAAAATCTCTGATATTAGTGTTCTCCAGAGAAACAGAACTTATTGAATATATATTTGAGATTTTATATATATGTAATATAAATATATCTATATAAATATATAATATATGTCATATAAATATAGCTATATTTATATGTCATATAAATATAGCTATATAAATATATCATATATGTCATATAAATATATCTATATAAATATATAATATATGTCATATAAATATATCTATATAAATATATAATATATGTCATATAAATATATCTATATAAATATATATGTAATATACATATATCTATATAAAAATATAATATATGTAATATACATACATCTATATAAATATATAATATATGTAATATACATACAGCTATATAAATATATAATATATGTAATATACATACAGCTATATAAATATATATGTAATATACATACAGCTATATAAATATATAATATATGTAATATAAATATAGCTATATAAATATGTAATATATGTAATATAAATATAGCTATATAAATATGTAATATATGTAATATAAATATAGCTATATAAATATGTAATATATGTAATATAAATATAGCTATATAAATATGTAATATATTTATATGTATCTATATAAATATGTACTATATTTATATAAATATATAAAAATATATTATATATACTATATTTATATAAATATAGTATATATTATATAATATATAATATAATATATAATATATTATATTTATATAAATATATATTTATATTAATATATTATATATTTATACAAAGATAGTATATTTTTATAAATATATATTTATATTAATATATTATATATTTATATAAATATCTTTATATCACATATGTTATATATATAGATATATAAATATATATTTATATTTTTATAAATATATGGATATATAATATATAAAAATATATAAATATATGGATATATAAAATATATGGATAAATGGATAAATATATGGATATATAAAAATATATATGGAGAGTATATACATATATATGAATTATATACATATATATATGAATATAAAACTGTTAATACCTTTCAGGAACACCCTCACAGAAACATAAAGAAATAGTGTGCTTTACTAGATAGCTGGGAATTCCTTGGCCTAGCCAAGTTGACACAACAAATAATCATCACAAGTCTTTACTGTGCTCAAATTTCAATGTGTGTGGCAGAGTTATCCATGAAGAAACTAAACGTGCCACACATCTACCTGGACACATATGTTGTATTCCCTACTGACTGAAGTATTAACCACAAATACATCACCTTGTCATATTGAAAAATATGCCATCAGAATTAGTCATAGTTAATAACTGAAAATGAGAACTGTGTTCACATCCCAGTTTTGTCACTTACTAGGTATAAATTTATTCAATCTTTCAATTCTGTTTTTTAATTTTAATTGGTCACCTATCCCGTAAAATTAAAGGTATAATGCAAATGAAAAGGATAACCTGGTTATAGGCAATTAAAATATACATAAATAAGTTAGAATTTCTATGACTTTGTTACTATATCACACATTAGGGGATTATTAGATTTTCACTAGATTTGGAAGTAAATGTTTGATTTAAAATAGAGTCTACATTCTGGGTTTTAAGTTTACTGAAGGCTTTGGGGAACACTCAAAGTAAATAATTATTCGGAACAACTGAAACTGGATAAAATAAAATGCCCATGACACGGTTGATGGATAGAAACATGCTATCTGGTACAATGTTTTGGATGGAGAACAAACCGAAGCAAACCAAAACAATGCAAAGAAGACTCTGACCTTCAGAAACTGATTCATAATAGTTACCTTTTACATGGAGAACTATACATAGATGCCCTGGGATGAAGAGGAGCAGTTCTCCCTTACAATTTTAGGCCAGCTAATGCCCAACCAGTGTTAGAAATGTGCTGTTTGATACTGTAAACTTTGGTCTCTGGGGACAGCCTGCCTAAGATGGCATCCTGACTGCGCACCTTACTAACTATGCAATCTTGGGCCTTTCTGTTTCTTCATCTGTAAGTGGAAATAATAATATCTCCCATTTCATAGAGACGTAAAAATTAAGTTAGCTTGTTTATGCAGGATCCTTTTAAAGGCAGGCGGATCACGAGGTCAGGAAATCGAGACCATCCTGGCTAACACGGTGAAACCCCGTCTCTATTAAAAATATAAAAAATTAGCCAGGCGTGGTGGCGGGCGCCTGTAGTCCCAGCTACTCGGGAGGCTGAGGCAGGAGAATGGCGTGAACCCGGCAGGCGGAGCTTGCAGTGAGCCAAGATCGCACCACTGCACTCCAGCCTGGGCAACAGAGCGAGACTCCGTCTCAAAAAAAAAAAAAAAAATAGATATACAATATGTGTCAGCAGTTTTTATACCTATTTCATAATTTTACTTAAGTTATTTCTCTTTCACTCCACATTATCTCATCATCATAACAGCAGTATCTATATCATGACTATGTATGTTTCCCTTATAATATCAGGACGTTCTGGTCTTCCTTCTGCTAGAAATCTATCATCCATGTCTTCAATTGGGGAAGAAAAGTATTATTTAGTACTCAGATCATGCTAGAAAAGTCTCTTTTATAAAAAAGATTTATATAGAACCCTGGAAAAGAGTTGATGCTTGTCATTAGTGTTTCCTCAAAAGTTTATTCACAAAAAGATAAAGTTTGTAATGGGGCTTAGCGAGGGCTGATGGGGCATGGAATAGCCTTAATGGGAATAGGTGAGACCTACATGACAAGAAAAAAATTTTACTAAAACAACTAGAGGTAAACTGGTAATGAAGGATCTGACTAGAGTTCCTTTTCCTTGTGTTTTCTTATCATGGTAGTAAAGTAATGAAAAACTTCAGAAAATAAATTATCTGGTGCAAAAGTTACCTACAGGAATAGTGGTATTTTGGAGACGTATCTTGCATTGACTGTTATGTAAATATATACCATTGTTTCTAATTTCTCCTAACACCATACTAAAAGGAGAAAAATTATTGTGCTAGTACACAACAGTAATTAAAAGCACAAGCACTGAAGATAAATTTTTGGATTCTATCATTGGCTTTGCCATCTACTAGCTATGTAGTCTTTGGCAATTTGCTTAATTTCTTAGGTCATGTAAAAGGAGCTCAATAATTATTAGCTAGTCTTATAAAGTTGGGGTTATGTGAAATGTAACAGTAAAAATAGAATAAAGTTATAGGTAAAAGGAGCATACAAAATACACTTAATATGATCCTCATATTTGGGAAGGTAGACAAATTTATTCTTGGTGATCTGGTAGTCAACTCTAGACACTCTATATCTCATTCTCCTTTAGACTTATAGCTTTATAATGTGTCAAATAGAATAAAAGATAATTGCTAAGTATCATTAAGTACAAGATCAACACCTGAATATGAAGCATGCTTTTCAATACCAGCATCAGAGAGTTAGGAAATGTAATGTAAAATAATGACGTTTGCAATAGTACATGAGATACAAAGAACCTAAGCAAAAATCTAACAAAGTAAGTGAAGATAATAAAACCTTATTGAAGGATTTTAATACTTCATAGTCAGAGAAATATATCTGTCTATGGTTAGAAAGCCTCTTTGCCCTAAATATGCTAACTTTTTAAAAAAATAACCTGTTGGCCTGGTGTGGTGGCTCACGCCTGTAATCCCAGCACTTTGGGAGGCTGAGGCAGGCAGATCACAAGGTCAAGAGATCGAGACCATCCTGGCCAACACGGTTGAAACCCCGTCTCTACTAAAAATACAAAAATTAGCTGGGCATGGGGGCGCGTGAACTGTAGTCCCAGCTACTCAGGAGGCTGAGGCAGGAGAATCACTTGAACCTAGGAGGTGGAGGTTGCAGTGAGCCGAGATTGTGCCACTGCACTCCAGCCTGGCAACAGAATGAGACTCTGTCTCAAAAAAAAAAAAAAAATTAACCTATAAATTCCATATAATCCCAATATTTAATTTCATAGAAATCAATAACTTGATGACAACTTTATAAGCAGATTAGTAAAGGTTATTTTGTAGTAAAAGAAGATCAGGAATTTACCCTTCCAGATACCGAAACATAATAAAAAGCTAGTGGCAGTGAAGCAGAGGTATACAAATTAAACGAGGAAACAGGATATAGATTCTTCCAATAAACTGACTCATACATGAAAATTTCATGGGTATGGATTTTTATGGCACATCACCAGAGAAAGAATGAAATACTAAGGAAAAGGCATAGAAAATTATGTAAGAAAGTTTGAGAAAAATTATGAAAGGATGGTGATATGGGTTTGTCCTTGTGTCTCACCCAAATCTCATGTGGATTTGCAATCCCTGGTGTTGGAGGAGAGGTCTGATGGGAAGTGATTGAATCAAGGGGGTGGTTTCTATTGGTTTAGCAACATATCCCTAGTGCCTTCTCATGATAAAGTCATCACAAGAGATCTGATTGTTTGAAAATGTATAGCACTTCCTCCTTCACTCTCTCTCTTTTGCTCGTTCTCTCTCTCTCTCCTGCTGCCCTTTTGAAGATTTGCCTGCTTTCTCTTCACCTTCTGCCATGATTGTAAGTCTCCTGAGGCCTCCGAGAAGCAGAAGCCTGTACAATCTGCAGAACTGATTAAATTTCTCTCTTCATTTTTTTTTTTTTTTTTTGCTAATAAATTACCCAGGCTCTTGTAAGTCTTTAAAGCAGTGTGAGAATGCTATAATACAGATAGTACTCACAGACTGGAAGAATTCAGATTGTAAAGATATCAACTCTCCCCGAATTTATTTACAGATTTCCTATTCAATCGAATTCCTATCAACATACGAGCAACATTTTAAAGACATAGATACACTTATTATTGAATGTATAGGGAAAGGCACAAGCCCAAGAATAACTGACAATCCCTTTAAAAAAAAAAAAAGAGAGAGAACAAAGTGAGAAGAATCACTATACTTAACAATAAAGCTTTTTATCTAACTATAGTAATCAAAACTATCTGCCATTGGCAAGGAATAGACAAAAAAATAAACAGAACTGAATAGAGAACCCAAAAATAACTGCACACAAGTACAGTTAACTGATTCTTGACAGAGTGCAAAGCAATTTAATGAAAGAAGGACAGTCTTTTCAGAAAACGGTGCTGGAACAACTGGATATCCATAGGCAAAAAAAAAAAAAAAAAAAAATTGAACCTCAGCGTAAACCTCATACCTTCTATATTAATTAACTCAAAATGGATCATAAATTTCTATATAAATCATAAGACACTAAGACATAGAAGTAAGCTTAGGGAGCTAAGGCTCAGTCAAGAATTCTTACACATTGCACCAAATCATGGACTATAAAATAATTTTTAAAAATAATGAATTCAGCTTTATCAAAATTAATAACTTTGCTCTGTTAAATGACCTGTAAATAAAGGGTTAAAAAACAACCTACAGAATAGGAAGAAATACTTGCAAATCACATATCTGACAAAGGACTTGCATTTACAAAATATAAAGAACTCTCAAAACTCAACAGTAAATATATAATGTATATTTTTTATGTAATATACACATATATATTTTATTTATCTATCTATATGGCAAAATATATAGAGAGACATTTTATTGAGGTAGATATAAAGATGAGAAGCATATAAAAAATGTTCAAATCGATAGCCCTCAGAAAAATGCAAATTAAGATTATGATGTAATATCTCCACAAAATTAGCAGAACATCTAAAAAGGAAATAGAAAAAAATATTAAAGTCTGTCAAAGATGTGGAGAAACTGAGTCTGGTGCACTGCCAGTAGGAATGTGAAGTGGTGCAGTCACTCTGGAAATACAAAGAATGTAGGCATAAACCTAAGAAAGTAGATGAAATACTTAGGAATACAAGTAACTATGGAGGTGAAAGATCTCTACAAGGAGAACTACAAAACACTACTCAAGAAAATCAGAGATGACACAAACAAATGGAAAACATTCCATACTCATGGATAGGAAAAATCAGTATTGTTAAAATGGCCATACTGCCCAAAGCAATTTAGAGATTCAATGCTATGCCTATAAAACTACCACTGACATTCTTAACAGAACTACAAAAAACTATTTTAAAATTCATACAGAACAGAAAGGGAGCCCAAATAGCCAAGGCAATCTTAAGCAAAAAGAACAAAGCTGGAGGCATCAAGCTACCCAACTTCAAACTATGCTACAGGGCTACAGTAACCAAACAGCATGGTTCTGGTAATAAATAAATAAATAAATAAATAAATAAATAAATAAATAAAATTAAAAACAATAATCAGGGACATGGACCAGTGAAACACAATAGAGAACCCAGAAATAAGATCACACAACTACAGCTATCTGAACTTTGACAAACCTGAAAAAAAAACAAGCAATGGGGAAAGGATCTTCTATTCAATAAATGGTGCTGGGATAGCTGGCTAGCCATATGCAGGAGATTAAAAATGGACCCGTTCCTTACACCATATAGAAAAATTAACTCAAGATAGACTGAGACTTAAATGTAAAATCAAAAACTATTAAAACCCTGAAAGACAACATAGGCTAGGCAATACCATTCTGGACATAGGTGTGGGCAAAGATTTCATGATGAAGATGCCAAAAGCAATCGCAACAAAAGCAAAAATTGACAAATGGGATCTAATCAAACTAAAGAGATTCTGCACAGCAAAATAAATTATCAACAGAGTACACAGACAACTTACACAATGGGAGAAAATTTCTGCATTATACAGTTCTAATATCCAGAATCTATAAGGAACTTAAACAAATTTGCAAGAAAAAATAACCCCATAAAAAAAAAGTGGGCCAAGGACATGAACAGACACTTTTCAAAAGAAGACATACATGCAGCCAACAATCACATATATAAAAAAGAAACCTCAACATCACTGATTATTAGAGAAATTCAAATCAAAACCACAATGAGATACCATCTCACACTGGTCAGAATGGCTATTATTAAAAAGTCAAAAAATAGCAGATGCCCGTTAGGTTGCAGAGGAAAAGGGATGCTAATACACTGTTGGTGGGAGTATAAATTAGTTCAATATCCATTGTGGAACACAGTGTAGCAATTCCTCAAAGAACTAAAGACAGAAATATCTTTCAACAGCAATCCCATTACTGGGTATATACCCAAAGGAATATAAAGCAATCATTCTATTATAAAGATACATGCACATGTATGTTCATTGTAGCACTAGTCACAATAGCAAAGACATCGAATCAACCTAAATGCCCATCAATGACAGACTGGATAAATAAAATATGGTATATATACACCACGGAGTACTATGCAGCTATACAAAAGAATAATACTATGTCCTTTGCAGGGACATGGATGGAGCTGGAGGTCATTATCCTTAGCAAACTAATGCAGGAGCATGAAACCAAATACTGCAGGTTCTCACTTATAAGTGGGAGCTAACCGATGAGATCCCATGGACATGTAGAAGAGATGGACACATAGAGGAGAACAACACAAACTGGGGCCTATCAGAGGGTGAGAGGAGGGAGAAGATCAGGAAAAATAACTAATTGGTGCTAGGCTTAATACCTGGGTGATGAAAGAACCTGGACAACAAACCCACATGACACAAATTTACCTATGTAACAAATCTGCTCATGCACCCCTGAAGTTAAAATGAAGGGTTTTGTAAAAGAAAAATTACTAGACATATGCCTGCTATAGGACCCAGTAATCAGTCACACTCCCTAGCACTTATAGAAATAAAAACATATTTTCAACATAAACTTCTACATGATCATTCACAGTTTTATTTCTAATGATCAAAAATACTGGAAACAGTCAAATTGCCCTAGAATTGGTGATGGTTAAACAAATTGCTACATTCATAGCCAGATACATATCTCAGCAATAAAAAGGAACAAATTATTGATAGATGCAACAAAGTCGATGGATTTATGTTGAGTGAGGAAAAACACAATTGGAGTCATCTCACATACCATAAGATTCTGTCTATATGGCATTCTCAATATGGCACAACTATACACATAGAGAACAAATTAGTGGTTTCCTGGAGTTAAGATGGTAGGGGAAAGGAAGTGGGTGTGAATATGAAGGTGCAGCATGAGGGAGATTTGGTGTAAAAAAATATTCCTGTATCTTGATTTTATTGGTGGTTCCATGAATTTACACATGTGATAAAATAACAGAATATTCACATGCAGTGTACTATTGCTGATTTCCAGCTGTTGTTCTTGTATTGTTGTTGTGTAATAAGTGACCCATGGAGGAAACTGGGTGAAGTAGGGGAAAGGTACTGGGGACTTCTCGGTACTATCTTTGCAACTTTCTATGAATTTATAATTATTTCAAAATAAATAGTTTAAAAATTAAATGAAAATCAGGAAGAATGTGATTTCAGGGCAGAAAACCCTTTTTAAAGAGAAACAAATAGCACAAACTATAAAGGGAAGGATTGAGCAATAATTCTAAACTAAAACAATTTCGGTTAATGAAAATATAAGAAAGTAAAAAGCCAATCTATACATTGAGAAGATACAGTTTTAAAAATAATCCCATGTATGGCTCCCAGGCAAAATGACTGAATAGGAACAGCTCCATTCTGTGGCTCCCAGTGAGACCAACACAGAAGGCTGGTTATTTCTGCATTTCCAACTGAGGTACCTGGTTTATCTCACTGGGACTGGTTAGACAGTGGGTGCAGCCCAGGAGGGCGAGCTGAAGCAGGGTGGGCTGTCGCCTCCCCTGGGAAGTGCAAGGGGTGGGGGAACTCCCTCCCCTAGCCAAGGGAAGCCTTGAGGGACTCTGCCGGGAGAGACGGTGCTATCGGGCCCAGATACTACGCTTTTCCCATGGTCTTCGCAACCCACAGACCAGGAGATTTCCCCTCGTCCCTACACCACAAGGGCCCTAGGTTTCAAGCACAAAATTGGGCAGGTGTTTGGGCAGACAGCAAGCAAGCTGCAGGAGTTTTTTGTTTGTTTGTTTGTTTGTTTGTTTGGCACCCCAGTGATGCCTGGAACGTCAGTGAGACAGAACCGTTCACTCCCCTGGAAAGGGGGCTGAAGCCAGGGAGCCAAGTGGTCTTATTCAGCGGATCCCACCCCCAAGGAGCCCAGCAAGCTAAGATCCACTGGCTTGAAATTCTTGCTGCCAGCACAGCAGTCTGAAGTTGACCTGGGACACTCAAGCTTGGCGGAGGGAGGGGTGTCCACCATTACGAGGCTTGAGTAGGCGGTTTTCCCCTCACAGCGTATGCAAAGCCACCTGGAAGTTCTGACTGGGTAGAGCCCACCTCAGTGCCACAGAGCCACTGTAGCCAGACTGCCTCTCTAGATTCCTCCTCTCTGGGCAAGCCATCTCTGAAAGAAAGGCAGCAGCCCCAGTCAGAGGCTTATAGATAAAACTCTCATCTCCCTGTGACAGAGCACCTGGGTGAAAGGGTGGCTGTGGGTGCAGCTTCAACAGATTTAAAGGTTTCTGCCTGCTGGCTCTGAACGGAGCAGCAGATCTCTGAGCACAGCGCTCAAGCTCAGATAAGGGACAGACTGCCTTCTTAAGTGGGTCACTGACCCCCATGCCTCCTGATGGGAAGACACCTCCCAACAGGGGTTGACAGACACTTCATACTGGAGATCTCCGGCTGGCTTCTGGCAGGTGCCCCTCTGTGATGAGTTTCCAAAGGAAGGAGCAGGCAGCAATCTTTGCTGTTCTGCAGCCTCTGCTGGTGATACCCAGGCCAACAGGGTCTAGAGTAAAGAAAATTTCAGGCCAATATCCCCGATGAACATCAATGCAAAAATCCTCAATGAAATACTGGCAAACTGAATCCAGCAGCACATTAAAAAGCTTACCCACCACAATCAAGTCGGCTTCATCCCTGGGATGCAAGGCTGTTTCAACATACATAAATCAATAAACATAATCCATCACATAAACAGAACCAATGACAAAAACCACATGATTTTCTCAACAGATGCAGAAAAGGCCTTCGATAAAATTCAACAACGCTTCATGCTAAAAACACTCAATAAACTAGGTATTGATGGAACATATAAAAAAAGTTATTTATGACAAACCCACAGCTAATATCATACTGAATGGGCAAAAGCTGGAAGCATTCCCTTTGAAAACTGGCATAAGAAAAGGATGCCAACTCTCACCACTCCTATTCAACATAGTATTGGAAGTCCTGGCCAAGGCAATCAGGCAAGAGAAAAAAATAAAGGGTATTTAGGAAGCGAGGAAGTCAAATTATCTCTGTCTGCAGACGACATGATTGTATATATAGAAAACCCCATTGTTTCAGCCCCAAAACTCTTTAAGGTGATAAGCAATTTCAGCAAAGTCTCAGGATACAAAATTAATGTGCAAAAATCACAAGCATTCCTATACACCAATAATAGACAAACAGAGAGCCAAATCATGAGTGAACTTCCATTCACAATTGCTACAAAGGGAATAAAATACCAAGGAATACAACTTAAAGGGATGTGAAGAACTTCTTCAAGGAGAAATACAAACCACTGCTCAAGGAAATAAGAGAGGACACAAACAAATGAAAAAACATTCCATGCTCATGAATGGGAAGAATAATTATCATGAAAATGGCAATACTGCCCAAAGTAATTTATAAGTTCAATGCAATCCCCATCAAGCTACCATTGGCTTTTTTCACAGAATTAGAAAAAAGCTACTGTAAATTTCATATGGAACCAAAAAAGAGCCCATATAGCCAAGACAATCCTAAGCAAAAGGAACAAAGCTGGAGGCATCATGCTACATGACTTCAAACTATAGTACAAGGCTACAGTAACCAAAACAGCATGATAGTGGTACCAAAACAGGTATATAGGCCAATGGAACAGAACAGAGGCCTCAGAAATAACACCACACATCTACAACCATCTGATCTTTGACAAACCTGACAAAAACAATTAATGGGGAAAGGATTCCCTAGTTAATAAATGGTGCTGGGAAAACTGGCTAGACATATGCAGAAAACCGAAACTGGACCCATTCCTTATACCTTATACAAAAATTAACTCTAGATGGATTAAAAATTTAGGCATAAGACCTAAAACCATAAAAACTCTAGAAGAAAACCTAGGCAATACCATTCAGGACATAGGCATGGGCAAAGACTTCATGACTAAAACACCAAAAGCAATTGCAACAAAAGCCAGAAGTGACAAATGGGATCTAATTAAACTAAAGAGCTTCTGCATGGCAAAAGAAATCATCATCAGAGTGAACAGGCAACCTACAGAATGGGAGAAAATTTCTGCAGTCTATCCATCTGACAAAGGGCTAATATCCAGAATCTATAAGGTACTTCAACAAATTTACAAGAAAAAAAACAAACAACCCCATCAAAAAGTGGGTGAAGGATATGAACAGACACTTTTTAAAAGAAGACATTTATGTGGCTAAGAAACATATGAAAAAAAAGTTCGTCATCACTGGTCATTAGAGAACTGCAAATTAAAGCCACAATGAGATACCATCTCATGCTACATAGAATGGTAATCATTAAAAAGTGAGGAAACAACAGATGGTGGAGAGGATGTGGAGAAATTGGAATGCTTTTACACTGTTGTTGGGAGTTTAAATTAGTTCAGCCATTGTGCAAGACAGTGCGGTGATTCCTCAAGGATATAGAACTAGAGGTACCATTTGACCCATCAATCCCATTACTGGGTATATACCCAAAGGATTATAAATCATTCTACTATAAAGACACATGCACATGTATGTTTATTGCAGCACTATTTACAATAGCAAAGACTTGGAACCAACCCAAATGCCCATCAATGATAGACCAGGTAAAGAAAATGTGGCACATATACACCATGGAATACCATGCAGCCATAAAAAAGAATGAGTGCATGTCCTTTGCAGGGACATGGATGAAGCTGGAAACATCATTCTCAGCAAACAAACACAGGAAGAGAAAACCAAACCCTGCATGTTCTCGCTCATAAGTGGGAGTTGAACAATGAGAACATATGGGCACGGCGAGGTGAACATCACACACCGGGTCCTGTCAGGGGATGGGGGGCAAGCGGAGGGATAGCATTGGGAGAAATACTTAATGTAGATGACAGATTGATGGATGCAGCAAACCACCATGTCACGTTTATACCTATGTAACAAACCTGCACGTTCTGCACATGTATCCCAGAACTTAAAGTATAATAACAAAAACTTGGGCATATATATATATATATATATATATGGCTAAAAGAAAAAATGGGTAAACTAAAGGAAAAATAGATCTAATGTATTAAGAACTTAACAAAAAAGGGAAACAGAATGGTTGATAAATAAATAAAAAGTTTTTTCATCTTATTAGTAATCAAAGAAATGACAATGAAAATGTCAGATAAAATTCTTTTTTTTTTTTTTTTTGTCTCTGATCAGCAGTTTCTTTCTAGCAGTGAGGCTAGTTTGGTTTTCTCTTTTCTCTTCATGGGTGCTTTAATTACATTTGCTTGAATGCTCATGGAATTCTCTGCCTTCAACATCTAGCCTCTTGTCAGTCTGTCTCAATGTTTCTCTCTGACTTTTATGAAATACGGTAGCCCCTTCCATGATATAAATTCTTGTAATTTATAAGATATGTTTTGCAAGACTTCCTTTGTGATAATATTTTATATTTTTACATTTTTATCTGATACTTTTATTTAGTTCTCATTTGGGGGGATATAAATACAAATTTTTTTATAAACTTTACATATGTTATGTTGTGATAATTTTCTTTCTTTCTCTCTTCTGCTTTTGTTTATCTTGCTTTCACTTATTCCTATCTTTCATGTAGCTTATTGTCTATTCAACTGTGTCTGTTCTCCTTTGGACTGTTTCCAACGTTTTCTATAATTCTTAGACAGTATTACCTTCAACTCCTTTCTATGGGCCCTGCCAGAGATGTTTTGTCTCTTTCTGTATTTTCCCAGAGTTGTGGCATTTCAACTTGGAGTCAATTTATTTTGGCTGATTTTTGAAATTCTTTGAGTTTTTGTAATGTTTGGAAATGAATTTTATTTGCTCAATAGTGTCTCTTTTTTCTATCAAATGTCCATTTATAGCTTTTAAAAACTAATTCATTTCTTTTTTGTATATGTGTATCTTTTTATAGATTTCATACTCCTTTCTACTTTGAAAATGCTTATGTTGGGAAAGGTCATGCTAATGTTCTTTTCAGAAGACATTCTTTCTGACTCAGAAAATGTATGAAAATATGTTTTTGTTTGGGTTTTTTTCTATGAATGTCCTTGTACTAGGGTATGTGCTTGTTTTCATTTTTGTGTCAGAGTTATTTTAGCTTTTATCTTTCCACAGCCAATAGAGATTCCCAGCTTTAGGGATGCTAGCTGTGTAGAGTGAATCTCCACCCCACTGTTTGATTTCTCGTTCAGTTGAAGCACAACCACTACTCTATGGTATCACAGTGCATCCCAGAATCTCTTATTATAAGACTAATGCAACTTTCTCTGCATGCTCAAACAAGAAAATTACAGTTTCCTTTACAGAATGAGTGTCTCTTTTATAGAATAAAATCTGCTATATTTGCCACAAATCAAATTCAAGCATCTTTCAGTATCTCAATTTAACATTTTGGGCATTTACTAAATGCAGGCATTTAGGGTATTCCTTCATACACTGTTGTTCCAATATTTTACCTCAAAATAACATGTGCTTTCCTTTTAATATAATTATTCATGATTTCTGAAATAAGAATAAAAACACTGTCTTTTTCTGCTATTTTAAAGCCTTGTGTATCATCTATCATTATAATAATAGGAATATTTTTTCCTGTGTATTCAGATGATTTTCAATAGGCAAAAGGTTTTAAAATTTAAAATCAAAAATTGCTCATTTGTTTTACTGTAGTTTATACAAAGTTTCCATAGAACAGTATAACTTGTAGTATCACATTTCCTGTGTATTTTAAACAACGACAAAATATGTTTTTATTTTTTAAAAATTAACAAAATGGTGCTTGCTGTTGTTTGGCTGTGTCCCTACCCAAATCTCATCTTGAATTGTAACTCCCACAATTCCCATGACACATGGGAGAAACCTGGTGGAGGGTGATTGAATTATGGGGGTGGGTCTTTCTTGTGCTTTTCTTGTGATAGTGGATGAGTCCCACAAGATCTGATGGTTTTAAACATGAAAGTATCCCTGCATGAAAGTACCTGTGTTCTTTATTAAAGCTCTCTCTTTGCATGCTGCCATCCATGTAAGACATGACTTGCTCCTCTTTGCCTTCCACCATGATTGTCAGGCATCCCCAGCCATGTGAAACTCTGAATTCCTTAATCCTCTTTCTTTTGTAAATTGTCCAGTTTCAGGTATGTCTTTGTTAGCAGCATTAAAACGAACTAATACAATGCTCTACAGGACAAAGGGCAAAGGTGGTAAAATGGCTGTGATAGGACCTGTTAATCTCTGTCTTATAAAACCACCACACAACAAAGATTGAAAACAAAATATAACTTCATGTCTTCTTGCATTATCTGGGAAGGGTAATAAATTATATAAAAGTAGAAATCTCAGCAGTTTTGCAATTTTTCATGATCAGGGAGAGTGTATCAATAGAGTTTTGTCACCAGGAGGGACTACACTGTTTGGGAAGATGGATGTAATCAGTATCATGCACTGTAATCAATCCAACAGTCAATACAGATTAAATATTGACAGAAATTCCTCTACTACTGCTAAACTGAACAATCCCTAGGAGGTCCAGGAAAAATTATCATTATACAGTAAAATTTGTGTGATAATTCTGATACACTGGTGTTACTTATTATATCTTATGAGGCTCTGAAGATAGGTTTTCAAGTGGAACATTTTGGTTTTAAAAAAGCCTAAGGTGAATGGGTGAAAACTTATATTGGATTTAGTAGCAGCATTAAACAGAGCTCCTTAATAAGCTGATTCATAGACTATTAACATATCTTACATCAAGAAACATTACAGTAGATTGTGTATATCTAGAAAACAGAATCTTTCTTGGCTTTTGACTTAGGATTCTTGTGAATAGTTTGGATCATCCACATTTTAATTTATTTTTAAAAAAAGAGGGAAAGGAAGAATGAGAGAGAGAGACATCTAGCTCTTGAGGACTTAGGACAGTGTTTGAGATTTTGTAACAGTCATTGGATTTTCATGATTATAAAAACATTTAGATTGAGTTTTACTTCATCAGAACAAATGGACATGTGATTGTAGCTCTTTCAGTAAATATATATATACATATATATATATATTCAGTAAATATATGTAACTTTTCAGAATACACACACACACATATATATATACATATATATGGTTTTATATATATATATATATATATATATATATATATATATATATATCTCAAACCATAGCCAAAAAATATATTTGGGGAATAGATAAATACCCTAATTCAATCCCCTTCACACTATCTTTAATCAGAATTTCACTTTACCTCTGTAGACATACAAATTAAATTAAATTTTAAAACCCTGTACAAATTAAAACCAGATTTAATATTAAGTCCCTTGTTCTCTGAAATTTGGACAAAATGGAGAAACTAATAGTAGCATTTAATGAGTTAGTAAATATGCATTATCCATTACTGCAAGCTAATTAATTCCATGACAGAGTCAGATCCTTGATGATTTTGTTCACTACTATTTTCTTGGAATTTCAGAATCATACCTGAGACTTAAAAGATGATACATTTTATTGGCTCAATGAATAATAGTAACAGACTTTAAAAATAATATGCAAGCATTAATTTAATTAATAAATATAGAAATCATTTAAAAAACAAAAACAAAAAAGCAAGTCATTATTCTTAGTGTTATGGTAAATCTAGAACTTCTTTGTTCTGAGTATATGTTGGAAATTATAATATGAGTAAATATATAAGACCTGTAACACACAGTTTTAGCGTCTACGGGAATGTGTACCCATAATGGACATGCTTGATAATTTTTACATGTTAAACCAGCAAATGCTTATCCCACACAATCATATGTCTTTTGTATGTTGCCTTATTCTAAAGAGCTTAAAATTCAGGATGTGTGGTTTCCAGGTTGGTGCTCTATAAGCGTACCACTTACATTCTCTGTGGAAGTTTCTGGCGCCTGAAGAAGAATGTCAATGCCTTCCCACATGGAACTGGAGCCACAGAAATTTCTCAGGCAGATTTATGGTGAAGGTGTGCCCTCTAGGTTCTTCCTTTTTTCTTCATATGGAGGAAAACAAATGCTTCTCTCCTTTGGATAAGTTCAAGCTGAGGGTGCAGAGGCTGCTACATCAGCAGTTCAAATACAGCTAGGGAATGCCATTTTGTGTAAATCTAGTCTGATTTCCTGTGCTCCTTATCAGGAAAGGCTGTGCCTACCTATATACAGTGGAGAGAGGACTTCAACTGCATGTACAGTTTTGTTAAACAATGCAGAAAAAAATGGTGTAAATGCAAATACAATGAGTCTATAGCATAAAACATCCAACAAATTTACATATCCATAAAGTGTACTGGTGCCTATATTACTGAGCTGATTAATTGCTTACTAAAACTGAGGAAAGAAGCGTTACACATTTATATGAGTTTTATTATTATTATTTTTCTGAAGGGAGAAAGGGGAGAAAGCCCATCTCTCTCCTCACCTAATTTGTCTACAGTTATTCCTAATTTCTCTAGAGGAATTTTCAGAGAATCTTTAAATTCCCAGACCCCTTTATCAAGCTCAATCTATTATTTGTTATTGAAGGAAATATGCATTTTATTTCCTGCTCAAAAAAGACACTTTCATACTTTTTTTTTTCTCCAAAAGGAGATATCACTAGTCTGTTCCCTAGAGAATAAGATGTTTTACCCTCATAGTATGCAGTGAATGGATTGTATCTAATAATAACATCAGCTGGGTTTTATTGCTCACAAAAACGACAGGTCCCCCTGGAATTAAGTTGACCTGAGAATTCAGAAATGGCAGAGCTTTAGGGTCCTTTATTTCACTGGATTGAGTTTTAGATGTCACCCTTTCTACCAGGCATAATATATTTGAATTTTTATTTGTGACTCCTTTCCAAACAGACAATATATTCAGTGTCTCATCAGTTATCACATACATCTGCTGCTCATGTTCCATTTCTCCCTGTGGTGACTAGTAAACATGATTTCAGCATAGAGAGATTTCTGTAAATAGAGTTATTCCTATTTTGTGTCTCAACTTATTCTTACCAATCTCTCCCACTCCAGACTTCCTTATTATTTTTTCATTGTTAATACTAGACGCCATAAAATATTGTAAGTTAGAACTTTTTAAATGATACTTATTGGAAAATGTTCTCATATATAAAAGCTCTATGAATCTAAAATTTGAATATTTAAATAGGATATTTTATCAAATTCAACATCAAACCGACAACATCCTCTGCAACAACAATTTGCCAAATGGAGAAATGTCAAACTCTGAATGAGCATTATCCTTCATGCTGAGAGGTGAAATTAATGAATTAATTAAAAACCCATAAAAAGAAAATGAAGAGTGTCAGAAGGCACCAACAAGATGGAAAACAAAATATTTCGGCACGGTAATGTGATTGCCCCCCCACAAAAAAATACATTTTGCCATTCTCAAGAAAGAGAATGAAGCTTCATTCACAGAGCTGAAAAATTTTACATGTAGTTAGCTTATTTTCTTTAATGTTCAACAGCCAATCATGTCACAATGGAATATTGTCCCCATGCTTTGTCAAGATAAAAAAGCTAACCAGGCACCACATATAATACATTTCTTAAAAAATGGATAATTTGGGCATATTTTCTATGACGCATCCAATGACTTTGTTACATAACAATTTAGTGACACCAGCAGATGAGGAAGCACAAGATGCCTAGGATAGCAAATGTCATTGTAAGTAGTATTTCATTTTTTTGAACTAGAAAATTCTCATAAAAAGCACATTTGTTGGTTTATAGCATTTCCCCATTTGTTATGCTTAGATATTGTTTCCTCATCTTTTTCAGTGTTAGTGCCTATTAGAAAAATAAGAAATGGGGCCGGGAGCCATGGCTTATGCCTGTAATCCCAGCACTTTGGGAGGCCGAGGTGGGTGGATCACAAGGTCAGGAGATCGAGACCATCCTGACTAACACAGTGAAACCCCGTCTCTACTAAAAATACAAAAAAATTAGCCAGGCGTGGTGGTGGGTGCCTGTAGGCCCAGCTACTCAGGAGGCTGAGGCAGGAGAATGGCGTGAACCCAGGAGGCAGAGCTTGCAGTGAGCAGAGATCGCGCCACTGCACTCCAGCCTGGGCAACAGAGCGAGACTCCATCTCAACCAAAAAAAAAAAAAAAAGGAGAGAAAAATAAGAAATGAATATAAGGAATAACCAGATTTATGTGTTGCGATTCTTTAGAGACAGAAGATAACACTATTAAGAAAACTTTCAACTGAACAATCCCCCCCAAAATGTAATACTTTTGAATATTTGATTTGTTCAAAATTCAGACTTATTCTGTCATGAACATGATATATAATGAGAAGAAACCTCTTTTATAATAAAGGACTCTTGTTTGTCTATGGTGTCTGATACGGTTTGGCTGTATCCCCACCCAGACCTCATCTTGAATTGCAGCTCCCATAATTCCCACATGTTGTGGGAGGGAGTCGGTGGGAGATAATTAAATCATGGGGGCGGTTTCCCCCATACTATTCTCATGGTAGTGAATAAGCCTCATGACATCTGATGGTTTTATAAGGGGAAACTCCTTTCAATTGGCTCTCATGTTCTTCTGTCTGCTGCCAAGTAAGATGTGACCTTTCGCCTTCCACCTTGATTGTGAGGCATCTCCAGCCACCTGGAACTGTGAGTCCATTAAACCTCTTTTTCTTTATAAATTACCCAGTCTTGGGTATGTCTTTATCAGCAGCATAAAAATGGACAAATACTGTGTCCTCATGTAAATCTGAAGGAAGAATAGTAGTTCCCTGGCCTTTCAAACTGAAAACAAAGGAGAAAAAGTAATAGGAATCCTTTTATCCCAATTACACTCTTACATGCATTTGCCTTTTGCCAATCTTCTCTAGTTTACACCCTATTGAGACCAATTACTGCTTTCCACTGATAGGTCGCACAAACCACATCTATACCATGGAACACTTTTGTTTCCCTTATTTTAGGTTTAAATATTATTTTTGAGTCCATACTTGCAGCTTAATAAGTACAAAAAAGAGGGAATTATTAGATGCTGCAGGTGGCCAACATTTTAGGAGGGAATGTTGAAACACTAATGCCCACTAATTGCAATTATGACTATTAGACAAAGAAGTAGCAGTTGTTACCAAGGATATAAATCTCCATTCTGTTCCACTGTGGAATAGGAAATTATTGTTCTTTTCTATAGCAGTGATGTGACTCAATCTGGGAAATAATACACAGTATACTAGATTTGAACTTTCTGTTAACGATAAATGAAACAACCTCTTCTGCATCTACTGCCTTGGCAGATTTACTCATCTTTAAAAAAAAAACCTAATGAAAAATTATTCTTATTTATTCTTTTTACACATACATGCACACATACAGACACACACACATGCTTAGTTGACAGGTATGAGGATAGAGCACCAAAATGTTCTTTGTTGTTTTGTTGAAGCATGGTTGTACTGAGGTATTTGAGCAAGGCCTAACTCAGCATCTGTTGCAAAATGAAGAACTCCAGCCATCTCTTGAGAAACAAGGCATATTGAAGCTCTGAGCAGACAGTAAATAAGAATGCTGAGGACTCCAGTACTTCTGAACTAATGAACCAGCAAAAAATCAGCAGAATAAATGTGTGAAAGTCACTGTATACATATCTTGAGGGACTGAGAATGTTTAAAGCATCATACAGGGAAAAACATTCCAGAAAATCGACATGGTTGGTGATTGATGTACCATACAGATCCCCTTTCAGTAATGAAGGACTTATTCTTCCCTGGTAGCTGACAAGACTGTTCTCCTTGTCAAGGATTCTGCATCCAATGACTGACCATTGCAGGCATGTAAATAACTAATCATGTGACCCCAACATAAGACAGGTAGATCTTTTTTTATAGGGTCAACTGATGCTTCCCATGAAAGAAGTTGCTGCTCAACCCACTGCCTGGTCTAGTCTCCTTCTCATCCTATTTATTCACCCACCTCTTCCCCTCCCCTTCATTCTCCTCTCTTTCCTTCATCTGAAATTGATTTTAAGAGACCTCATAATAAATTTCCTGCATGCTGATCTGCTTATTGGGAAGCCCAGCCTCATACTTCCAGGTAACTGGGGCCTCAAAAAGATGATGCTTCCAGGGCAAGGATTGCTTGCCCTTTTCATATTTTCCTACTACTTGGGGTGACCCTAATTCTGTGACTGTATGTTAAAGACCAAAGGAAGGTGAAGAAAAGGACAGGCATAAATGCTCGTAATTGATCCAGGACAGAGATGCTTGGACTCCCCAGATTTTCTCACATATTTTCAGCTGAGAATTATAACGGTTCTTTTTTTTTCATAGTTAAAAGGATAAGAATTATTCCAGCAATATGTGTCAGTAACTCCTGCTTTCTCAGCCAACTGACAAAAAAATGTACTCTGTAATAAGTTACAACACTTACACAGCAGTCTTACGTGAACAGATCTGTAAACCTGGGTAATATATGAGGTAAAGGGAGTAAATGTCATTTATTGGGTACCTACTGTAAGCCTGAAGCAGTCCTAGGCACCTTACAAATGCCAGCACTGTTCTAACAAGAATACTGTGCAGTTGACATTCTATAATCTTTCTCCAAGTAAAGTAACTATTTACATGTTTGCTCAAGGTCAGGAAATTGGAAAAAGCATTTAAATAACCATCCAATACCTACATCCATGTTCTTCACCTATGTTATACTTCCAAAGACTAAAAGAAAATGGGAAGGTTTTTAAATCATATTACATTTTGAGAATGTATATTTTATAAATTAAAGAGTTTGGTTGAAACAAATCATAGTGTCTATCCCGGGCTAGATTGTGGAAAAAATAAATTACTGTTACCCATTTAATACATTCATGGATTTGCTAAGGAATATTCTGACTTTATTCACTTGTGCTCTCCCCACTGATATTAAGGCTTATTTAGTAAAAGATTTATTGTAGTCAAATCAACCCTGAAAATACATAAAATTTTATGTGCAAAAGTTATTTCTTGCAAAAAGTACTTATGCATAACAAAGGTCATGTCTTGAAATGCAATCTGGACATTTGTATTATTATGAGCCAGAAAATCCTTTGCCCTGATATTCCAAAATGTGAATTGCTTGCTCTTCAAATTACACTTTTACTCATCTCATAGTGCAGTGCTGTAATCTACTGACATTACCAAGTTTCTTGACTACAGTTTTTCACTGAAGATGTGTTTTGTGTAATCAATTTATTTTAATAACTGCCATACATGGAAAAGCATTAAACATTTGATAACTATATTTTTTATTTGAATTTTGTTTAAGATTATATCAAAAAACTAACATTATAATGAAAAGGAACTAAGAGCAGCTTTTCAGTTCACCTTATAATTTATCTAAAATTTCTAAATAACAAATGTAATAATTAAGCCAAATTAAAGGAATGGAGTAATATTGTTTGCATACTTTTAACTAATCACATCAGCTGATTAGGTCAGCTTGTAATTCCCTGGACAGTGAATCAAGATGCCAACTTGACCACTGCCATGTGTCAAAGAGATCGCCTATAGAACCTAACTGGTCACTCAGACTGAGTGAAAGCAAGACATCATGCTTATTATTAGTAATGTGTAATTGATTATGGAGTGGGAAGAAGGGGACAATCTTAGAACTATGATGAGCTTTTGCTTTTCTTAGGGTCTGGAGCTCAGCCAAAGAAGAAACAAATAGGATGACTCATGAGCATTAGATTTTGTCCTTTGCTCCCACCATCCTTCTAGAATCAAAAGTTATGAGTGATGAAAGTGGAAACTTACTTCTTTCTGGCTAATGGACAATGGACAGTAATTGTCTCAGGAAGATGTATTAGAATTATCTCTATGAACCTCTACTTGTATCATTATAAGACAATTAAACTTACACTGGACTGTATAATAGACCTAGAAGTCTATGAATAACTGTAATTGAATACAGTTCATTTTAATCTCAAGTAATTTAAAGCAGAGTTTGTTATTCTGCAGTAAAATTTAGGAGCTTGTTGTTTTTATCTAGCCTATTTATAATTTGAAACAAATCATAGATCAGTATTCTAAAAAGTAAGATTTATTACACAGACATATAAATTTGAATCAATCAACCTATGCACATCTATCAAGCAAGTATTAAGTATAAGACAATACCTAGCTGGGAATATATAAATATATATATATATATATATATATATATATATATACACATACATATATGTATATGCATACACATATGTATGTATATTTTATGACACTGTTTTTATAGATCTTAGAGTTGAGAAAAATATAACATAACAAGTTAATGTTACAGAATTTTATGAGTGCAAAAACAATACCAACTCTACTAACAACAACAAAATGAAAAACCCACACTTAGCAATGAAAAAGTTTCCAATATACATTTATTTTTGTTTATTCACAATAGCATTCCTTTTTTGATAAAAGCCTAAGCAAAACAAAGTCTATGTTGCTCTATAATGTGCTGACAAGAACCAAAATGTTTTAATCATATATATCATTTATTGGTATATTCCACCAATGAACTCTTTGAACATGGAATCTTTGAGCCAGTTTATATTTTATTAATCTTATTATTAAATTTTCTAATTAGGTGTCCAGTTATGATATGTTTTCAATGAGAGATAAGTAACACAATATCTAAAATGGTACACTTGGCATGTATGAATTACAGAATATGCTTCAAAGTTCATATAAAGTAAATAATTTTTCTGAATTTGAAGCTAAATTTAGAACATCTCACTTTACAATAGAAGTCCAGAGAGACACTAAGTCTTGTCCATGGTAGTTTAGCTGGTTGACAACAAAAGTTGTGCTACTGGTCAAGGTCTCTTTACCCAAAAGCCAGCATCCTTTTTGTCTTGCCATCTTTAAATAGAGCTTTACACAGCAAGAGAGTATTTATACACTTCACATTATTACATTTTTACTCAATCTATTATTACATTTGACCATCATAACACTCCCTTGAAGTACTGTGTGGTGTTGTGTTAGGGAAAGAGTTTGATATTAATGAGAGAATGCTGCAGGTATTTTTCTAGGCACTTAATTGTTCAGAAAATTTGCTTGACAAATATACGGCATACAGGTATTTGAGTGTGGTTTCTTTCCCTTAGCATTATGCATTTGTATTGATCCATGTTTTTGTATGTATCAGTAGTTTGTTCTGTTTTATTGTCAAGTGATTTTTCCAGTGTTTGTTAAGAATCTAATAAATACATGCATTACACTTATGTAAAAATGATTAATAACGAATGGCTCAATGCGGCTTTATCAAAAGCACAAAGTAATTAATTAAAATCTCTTTTAAATCACAAAAAAGAAAAAGAATCTACCACATTTTGTTTATTCATTCACCAGTTTGCAGTTTGGGCCAATTATACATAAAACAACTACACATATCCACATATTTGTGTGTGTGAACATAAATTTTTATTTCTTCTAGTTAAAGATCTAGTTGTGCAAATGCTGGATTATGTAGTAAATGCATGTTTGTTTTAGAAGAAATTTACAAACTATTTTTTTCCACTATTTTATATCCTGGTGAGCAGTGTTTAAGAATTCTGATTGTTTTACATACTCATTAGCACATAGTATTCTCATTTTTTTCTTCACTTCTACCATTCTAATTTTTGTTGTAATATCTCATTGTGCTTTTTGTGTTGTTATAAGGAATAATAATATTGAGGATTTTTTATGTGTTTTCATGCCATCTGTATATTTTTTTTTAGTGAACTGCCCCTTCACATCTTTTGCCCATTTTAAATTATTTTTATTCTTATTTTTGAGGATTCTTTATATTTCCTGGATACAAATCTGTTATCATATCCATGTTCAGCAATTAAGTTCTCTGAGTGGATGAGTTTTTCATTTTCTTAATAGTGTCTTTAAAAGAACAAAAATTATATCTTTTAAAATATGTCTGTCTTGATAACGAATTGGATTTGATGTTCTTCCATTGAATTAAGGAGGGAGGGAACGTAACAGGCCTGGTTTGTCTCTTAAGAACCAACAATAGGAAGAGGTGGAGCCAAGATGGCCGAATAGGAACAGCTCCAGTCTACAGCTCCCAGCATGAGTGATGCAGAAGATGAATGATTTCTGCATTTCCAACTGAGGTACCAGGTGCATCTCACTGGGGACTGTCGGAAGTGGGTGCAGAACAGTGGGTGCAGTGCACCCAGCCTGAGCTGAAGCAGGGTGAGGCATTGCCTCACCCAGGAAGCACAAGGGGTCGGGGAATTCCCTTTCCTAGCCAAGGAAAGGGGTGACAGATGGCACCTGGATAATTGGGTCACTCCCACACTAATACTGCGCTTTTCCAACAGTCTTAGCAAACGGCACACCAGAAGATTATATCCCGTGCCTGGCTCAGAGGATCCTACGCCCACAGAGCCTCACTCAGTGCTAGCACAGCAGTCTGAGATCAAACTGCAAGGCAGCAACCAGGCTGGAGACAGGCGCCCGCCATTGCCAGGGTGTGAGTAGGTAAACAAAGTGGCTGGGAAGCTCGAACTGGGTGGAGCCCACCACAGCTGAAGGAGGCCTGCCTGCCTCTGTAGACTCCACCTCTAGGGGCAGGGCATAGCCAAACAAAAGGCAGCAGAAACGTCTGCAGACTTAAATGTCCCTGTCTGACAGCTTTGAAGAGAGTAGTGGTTCTCCCAGCATGCAGCTTGAGATCTGAGAATGGACAGACTGCCTCCTCAAGTAACCTAACTGGGAGGCACCCCCAAGTAGGGGCAGACTGACACCTCACATGGCCGGGTACTCCTCTGAGACAAAACTTCCAGAGGAACGATCAGGCAGCAACACTTGCTGTTCACCAATATCTGCTGTTCTGCAGCCTCCACTGCTGATATCCAGGCAAACAGGGTAGGAGAGGACCTCCGGAAAACTCCAACAGACCTGCAGCTGTTCCCTTCTAACCCTGACTGTTAGAAGGAAAACTAACAAACAGAAGGGACATTGACACAAAAACCCCATCTGTACGTCACCATCATCAAAGACCAAAGGTAGATAAAAAACACAAAGAAGATGGGGAAAAAACAGAGCAGAAACACTGAAAAATCTAAAAATCAGAGTGCCTCTCCTCCTCCAAAGGAACACAGCTCCTCACCAGCAACTGAACAAAGCTGGAGGGAGAATGACTTTGACAAGTTGAGAGAAGAAGGCTTCAGACGATCAAACTACTCCGACCTAAAGGAGGAAGTTCCAACCCACGGCAAAGAAGTTAAAAACCTTGAAAAAAGATTAGATGAATGGCTAGCTAGAATAACCAATGCAGAGAAGTCCTTAAAGGCCTGATGGAGCTGAAAACCATGGCATGAGAACTACGTGATGAATGCACAAACCTCAGTAGCTGATTCGATCAATGGGAAGAAAGGGTATAAGTGATGGAAGTTCAAATAAATGAAATGAAGGGAGAAGAGAAGATTAGAGAAGAAAGAATAACAAGAAACAAACAAAGCCTCCAAGAAACAGGGGACTATGTGAAAGGACCAAATCTACATCTAATTGGTGTACCTGAAAGTGACGGGGAGAATGGGACCAAGTTGAAAAACACTCTGCAGGATATTATCAAGGAGAACTTCCCCAATCTAGCAAGGCAGGCCAACATTCAAATTCAGGAAATACAGAGAACGCCACAAGGATACTCCTCAAGAAGAGCAACTCCAAGACACATAACTGTCAGATTCACCAAAGTTGAAATGACAGAAAAAATGTTAAGGACGGCCAGAGAGAAAGGTCAGGTTACCCACAAAGGGAAGCCCATCAGACTAACAGCTGATCTCTCAGCAGAAACCATACAAGCCAGAAGAGAGTGGGGGCCAATATTCAACGTTCTTAAAGAAAATAATTTTCAACCCAGAATTTCCTATCCAGCCAAACTAAGCTTCATAAGTGAAGGAGAAATAAAATACTTTACAGACAAGCAAATGCTGAGAGATTTTGTCACCACCAGGCCTGCCCTACAAGAGCTCCTGAAGGAAGCACTAAACATGGAAAGGAACAACCAGTACCAGCCACTGCAAAAACATGCCAGATTGTAAAGACCATCACGGCTAGGAAGAAACCGCATCAACTAACGAGCAAAATAACTAGCTAACATCATAATGACAGGATCAAATTCACACATAACAATATTATCCTTAAATGTAGATGGGATAAATGCTCCAATTAAAAGACACAGACTGGCAAATTGGATAAAGAGTCAAGACCCATCAGTGTGCTGTATTCAGGAAACCCATCTCATGTACACAGACACACACAGGCTCAAAATAAAGGGATGGAGGAAGATCTACCAAGCAAATGGAAAACAAAAAAGGCAGGGGTTGCAATCCTAGTCTCTGATAAAACAGACTTTAAACCAACAAAGATCAAAAGAGACAAGGCCATTACATAATGGTAAAGGGGTCAATTCAACAAGAAGAGCTGACTATCCTAAATATATATGCACCCAATGCAGGAGCACCCAGATTCATAAAGCAAGTCCTTAGAGACCTACAAAGAGAATTAGACTCCCACACAATAATAATGGGAGACTTTAACACCCCACTGTCAACATTAGACAGATCAATGAGACAGAAAGTTAACAAGGATATCCAGGAATTGAACTCAGCTCTGCACCAAGCAGACCTAATAGACACCTACACAACTCTCCACCCCAAATCAACAGAATATACATTCTTTTCAGAACCACACCACACCTATTCCAAAATTGACCACATAGTTGGAAGTAAAGCCCTCCTCAGCAAATGTAAAAGAACAGATATTATAACAAACTGTCTCTCAGACCACTGTGCAATGAAACTAGAACTGAGGATTAAGAAACTCACTCAAAACTGATCAACTACATGGAAACTGAACAACCTGCTCCTGAATGACTACTGGGTACATAATGAAATGAAGGCAGAAATAAAGATGTTCTTTGAAACCAACGAGACCAAAGACACAACATACCAGAATCTCTGGGTCACATTCAAAGCAGTGTGTAGAGGGAAGTTTATAGCACGAAATGCCCACAAGAGAAAGCAGGAAAGATATAAAACTGACACCCTAACATCACAGTGAAAAGAACTAGAGAAGCAAGAGCAAACACATTCAAAAGCTAGCAGAAGGCAAGAAATAACTAAGATTAGAGCAGAACTGAAGGACGTAGAGACACAAAAAACCCTTCAAAAATCAATGAATCCAAGAGCTGGTTTTTTGAACAGATCAACAAAATTGATAGACTGCTAGCAAGACTAATAAAGAAGAAAAGAGAGAAGAATCAAGTATACGCAATAAAAAATGATGAAGGGTATATCACCACCGATGCCACAGAAATACAAACTACCATCAGAGAATACTATAAACCCCTCTATGCGAATAAACTAGAAAATCTGGAAGAAATGGATAAATTCCTCAACACATACACTCTCCCAAGAGTAAACCACGAAGAAGCTGAATCTCTGAATAGACCAATAACAGGCTCTGAAATTAAGGCAATAATTAATAGCTTACCAACCAAAAAAAGTCCAGGACCAGATGGATTCACAGCCGAATTCTACCAGAGGTACAAGGAGGAGCTGGTACCATTCCATCTGAAACTATTTCAATCAATAGGAAAAGAGGGAGTCCTCCCTAACTCATTTTATGAGGCCAGCATCATCCTGATACCAAAGTCTGGCAGAGACACAATTAAAAAAAGAGTATTTTAGACTAATAACCCTGATGAACATTGATGCAAAAATCCTCAATAAAATACTGGCAAAGTGAATCCAGCGACACACCTAAAAGCTTATCCTCCATGATCAAGTGGGTTTCATCCCTGGGATGCAAGGCTGCTTCAACATATGCAAATCAATAAATGTAATCCAGCATATAAACAGAACCAATGACAAAAACCACATGATTATCTCGATTGATGCAGAAAAGGCCTTTGACAAAATTCAACAGCACTTCATGCTAAAAACTCTCAATAAATTAGGTATTGATGGGAGGTATCTCAAAATAATAAGAGCTATTTATGACAAACCCACAGCCAATATCATACTGAATAGGCAAAAAACTGGAAGCATTTCCTTTGAAAACTGGCACAAGACAGGGATGCCCTCTCTCACCACTGCTATTCAACATAGTGTTGGAAGTTCTGGCCAGGGCTATCAGGCAGGAGAAAGAAATAAAGGGTATTCAATAGGAAAAGAGGAAGTCAAATTGTCCCTGTTTGCAGATGATGTGATTGTATATCTAGAAAACCCCATCATCTCAGCCCAAAATCTCCTTAAGCTGATAAGCAACTTCAGCAAAGTCTCAGGATACAAAATCAATGTGCAAAAATCACAAGCATTCTTATACACCAATAACAGACAAACAGAGAGCCAAATAATGAGTGAACTCCCACTCAAAATTGCTTCAAAGAGAATAAAATACCTAGGAATCCAACTTACAAGGGATGTGAAGCACCTCTTCAAGGAGAAATAAAACCACTGCTCAATGAAATAAAAGAGGATACAAACAAACGGAAGAACATTCCATGCTCATGGGTAGGAAGAATCAATATCCTCAAAATGGCCATACTGCCCAAGGTAATTTATAGATTCAATGCCATCCCCATCAAGCTACCAATGACTTTTTTCACAGAATAAGAAAAAACTACTTTAAAGTTCATATGGAACCAAAATAGAGCTCACATTGCCAAGTCAATCCTAAGTGAAAAGAACAAAGCTGGAGACATCACGCTACCTGACTTCAAGCTAGACTACAAGGCTACAGTAACCAAAACAGCATGGTACTGGTACCAAAACAGAGATATAGACCAATGGAAGAGAACAGAGCCCTCAAAAATAATGCCACATAACTACAACTATCTGATCTTTGACAAACCTGAGAAAAACAAGAAATGGGGAAAGGATTCCCTATTTAATAAATGGTGCTGGGAAAACTGGCTAGCCATATGTAGAAAGCTGAAACTGGGTCCCTTCCTTACACCTTATACAAAAATTAATTCAAGATGGATTAAAGACTTAAACATTAGACCTAAAACCATAAAAACCCTAGAAGAAAACCTAGGCAATACCATTCAGGACATAGGCATGGGCAAGGACTTCATGTCTAAAACACCAAAAGCAATGGCAACAAAAGCCAAAATTGACAAATGGGATCTAATTAAACTAAAGAGCTTCTGTACAGCAAAAGAAACTACCATCAGAGTGAACAGGCAACCTACAGAATGGGAGAAAATTTTTGCAATCTACTCATCTGACAAAGGGCTAACATCCAGAATCTACAATGAACTCAAACAAATTTGCAAGAAAAAAGAAACCCATCAACAAGTGGGCAAAGGATATGAACAGACACTTCTCAAAAGAAGACATTTATGCAGCCAAAAGACACATGAAAAAATGCTCATCATCACTGGCCATCAGAGAAATGCAAATCAAAACCACAATGAGATACCCTCTCACACCAGTTAGAATGGTGATCATTAAAAAGTCAGGAAACAACAGGTGCTGGAGAGGATGTGGAGAAATAGGAACACTTTTACACTGTTGGTGGGACTGTAAATTAGTTCAACCATTGTGGAAGTCAGTGTGGTGCTTCCTTAGGGATCTAGAACTAGAAATACCATTTGACCCAGCCACACCATTACTGGCTATATACCCAAAGGACTATAAATCATACTGCTATAGAGACACATGCACATGTATGTTTATTGCGACACTATTCACAATAGCAAAGACTTGGAACCAACCCAAATGTCCAACAACGATAGACTGGATTAAGAAAATGTGGCACATATACACCATGGAATATTATGCAGCCATAAAAAATGATGAGTTCATGTCCTTTGTAGGGACATGGATGAAGCTGGAAACCATCATTCTCAGCAAACTATCGCAAGGACTAAAAACCAAACACTGCATGTTCTCACTCATAGGTGGGAATCGAACAATGAGAACACATGCACACAGGAAGGGGACCATCCCACACTGGGGCCTTTTGTGGGGTGTGGGGAGCGGAGAGGGATAGCATTAGGAGATATACCTAATGTTAAATGATGAGTTAATGGGTGCAGCACACCAACATGGCACATGTATACATATGTAACAAACCTGCACGTTGTGCACATGTACCTTTGAACTTAAAGTATAATAAAAAATAAAAAAAATAAAAAAATAAAATCAGAAATGAAAAAAAAAAAGAACCAATAATATTTTCCACCCAGAATGGAAAAAAGTTTTTACTTGTGCTATTTATGATACATGTGTTGCGGTTTAGGATATTGGGAAGTTTGGGGCTGGGTCCAGTCTCGGGAGAAAATAATTCTGTTTGATTACCACATTCAGTTAAAAAACTGGAAGGGAACAATACCACCAAGTTGATGGCATTGTCTTAATGCTTAAGTTTATTTCTTCATCACCAAAAGATCTATTGGATTATCATTAATTTATCTGATTTGTACACTCTATTTAGCATAGTGATTCAGTGTTCCAATTATAATTGTTTTGCACATATAAAATTAAGCCAAATATATAATGATTACATTATATCTTTAAAAGTATTCACTTTTCCTCCAAAGCTACTCTGATTTGACCAATAATGTTCTATTTATAAATGTATTTTTATTATATGCGTGTATATAGACATACATATATATACACATAGATATATATATACAGATATATGTGTGTATATAGACATAGATATATATACATAGATATATATACACAGATATATAAGCAGTTCATTTTTATAACTCTTTGAAGTGCATATTAGTCAGCTGCTTTCACAATAATTCCAGGTAACAAATCATCCCCAAATGTAATGAGTTATTACAATAAGCCTGGCTTTTCATGCATGTGAGTTTTCAGGTCATTAAGCGAGGCCAACTCAGCTGGTCTGGTCTGCTTTAGGTTGGTGAGGCTAGACTAGAGTTTGGGATCAGGTTTGCTGTACGTGCCCCTCATGATTCTAGGATTGATACTTTTCCTAGCATATTCTTCCAGTAATTACAGAGTACAATAGAGCAAACAGAAGCATGCAATGATATTTTAGGTTGTGGCCTGGAACTGGCACCTTATCTTTCTTTCATGCCCGAATTACACTGGCCAAAGAAAGTGATGCAGTCTAGTTCAATATTAACTTGAAGGGAATATACTGCTTTCACTATTATGAAGGAACATAATAATTCACATAGCACAGGCACAGAGTTTAATTCTAACATGTGGGGAGACTAAAGAATTGAGAAAAATGATTGAGAAAATTGAGATATAAAAAGACTAAATAACTCACATGCAAAGTCTTACTCATGGCTGTGTCTGCCCATACCAACTGCTTCTTAACCAAAGGAAAGGATCATTAAAGTGATAGTTTATGCATTTTTAAAGTTCTGGGTGCATAGTATGTATATAATTAATATATAATACAATGTAATATATATAAAATTACACACACAAATTTAAAAATATATATATAATGTGTGTGTGTGTGTGTGTGTGTGTGTGTGCAGTCAGCTGTTTGGGGAAATAATGGTGGCAGTGCTAGTAAATGACAGTAATGAAGAAATGAAAGATGTAGCTGGTGAACTGTATGGTCTTGAATAAGATGTCTGGACCTTCTCTTTCTTCACTCAGCAACATCTTACATATTGGAAGGAAATGAAAACAATACTTACAGAAATGTTCTCAAGACTTTGGAGAGTAAATTTTAGAATAAAATCTTAGGGATAAATATGTTCCAGAATTTCAAAACAGGAAAAATTTAGTTAGATTTTTTAAAATAAATATATTTGTTGTCCTGAATAGATGTAACCTAAATTAAACCTCAGGATAGCATGTTTTGTATATAGTGAGCATTTGGCAAATTATTTTCTCCCATTCTATAAACTTTTGGAAAAAATAAATGCTGAGTGCGTAATTAATGAGTTTTATACAGGCTTGTAAAATCTGCTGCACTGCCCTGCTCAGGGACTGGTTTATGGAACAAGGCTCTTTTGAGGCCTACCTATTATTCTGTTTCTCCATTTCACGTTTCTCCTTCATCTTTCTACACTTTGAGGTTTTTATCTTACTCTATGCTCTCACTTTTCATTTCTTGTCCCGTTTTTTGTTTATGTATACTATTTATGAGTTTCTTTCTCTGACCTACTACATTATTAGCTATTCAAGGACACAACGTATATCTTAGTGTCTTATTCATTTATATTTCCTCAGACCTGGTAAGTTTAAAGGAACTCCTGGAAGTAAGCAAGTTATCTAAAAACCACAGTGTAATAATAGCACTCCTTTACCTAATTTTTAATAATGTTCAGATGCATATTCCCCTACTTTAAAGATGTTTTCTTACAGTATAGTGAGGGGGCACCCCACAAATTAGTGACACTGTCAGTGGTCCAAAGCATCTTGAAGAAACCAAGAATCTGTCGAAACACTTGGGTTGTTTCACCAAACTCTAAACTGTTTCTAAACTGTTTCTAAACAGTTTAGAGTCTTAATTTTCAAAAAACTAACTCTTAGCCAAAGTGTTTTTATAATTTATAATTCTTTGCAAATTAAAACTGAGGAAAACATATTCCAGTTAAAAAAAACAAACACAAACTTCCAGCCCAGACAAGATGGCATAGGCTTATCTCTACCTGTTCCTTTCCACTAATGATGATGATATGGTTTGGATCTCTGTTCCCACTCAAATCACATGTTGAAATGTAATCTGCAATGTTGGAGGAGCAGCCTGGGGGTAGGTGATTGGATCGTGAGGGCTGTTTCTGATGGTTTAGCACCATCACCCTAGTGCTGTCTTGTGATAGAGTTCTCACGTGATCTGGTTGTTTAAAAGTGTGTGGCACCTCCGTACTCTCTCTCAGTCCTGCTCCTGCTTTGCCTGCCATCATGAGTAAAAGTTCCCTGAGGCCTCCCCAGAAGCAGATGCTGCCTTGCTTCCTGTACAGCCTGTGGAACTGTGAACAAATTAAACCTCTTTTCTTGTAAATTACTCTGTCTCAGGTATTTGTTTATAGCAATGCAAGAATGGACTAACATAGATGACTATAAATCCTGTAAATGTTCAAGTGGCCCACAGAGGAGAGTTCTGAAGATGGAATAAAGGAAGCTGAGGATTGAGGTTAGGGATGAAGAACTGAAGGCACAGCATAATAACAGGGCACCTTACTATCCTCTTCCTTAACAGAAGGTGTGAATCCAGACCGTAAACCTCCTGGCCCCCAAATTAACAACAGAAGTGGGAGTAGGTAGACACACTCTTCAATCTAACAGTGGCTCTGCCCATAAAATGCCAGCCTGGCAAAACAGGCAAGAGGGGATCATGGGAACTCCTGCTGAAGATAAGCACCCAGGGAAAATCTAAACTTCTGCCATGGAGCCTGAGGCTTCACACCTAACCTAAGACACTACGTGACTGGGAGCACAGGTGACAGGGATCTCCCCACATCAAGCGAGCATCAGGGAAAGAGCTCTCCATTCCCCACAGGAAGGAGAATCTGCCACAAGTTATCAAAACAGGAGGTACTCTTCCTCTCAACGGGACACCCCTTCCCAACAAAACGCAGCTTTCAGCCAGTGACTAGTGGAAGTTGGTGAAGCTCTCTGTATTAATTTGTCCTCACACTGCAATAAAGAACTAGCTGAGACTGGTTAATTTATGGAGAAAATTGGTTTATTTGACTCACAGTTCCACAGGCTCTAAAGAGACAAGGTTGGGGAGGTCTCAGGAAACATACAATCATAGTGGAAAGCTAAAGGGAAACAGGCACAATCTTCACAGGGAAGAGAAGGAGAGAGAGAGAGAGAGAGCAAAAGGGGAAGTGCTAAACACTTAACCAGATCTCCTGAGAACTCACTCACTATCATGAGAACAACAAAAGGAAAATCCAACCCCATGGTCCAATCACCTTCCACCAGGTCCTTCCCCCAACATTGGGGATTGGAATATAACATAAAATTCGGGTGGGGACACAGAGCCAAACCATATCACTGTCTCACTCCTTGGAAGAAAAATTTGGAGGCACGTGTTTTCCACTGGCTCACAGAATTCCTCAGAAGGCATAAGCATCAGTTTCCCACAGGTAACATGCTTGATAATACACTCCTTACTGGCTGTCTTTCTTCTCCTTTCTTACCTCCCCACAACCTTACTGATATTTCCTAAAAAAGCTTTCTACCTCTTAATCAGATCATTATTTTAGAAATTTATTGAATAACTTTGTCTACACATTACCAATTTCTTCAAGGGGCCCTTCTTATAGCTTAGATGTTTCCTTTAAAATATTCCCTCTTTTCCCAATGTACATCCTATAGTAGTTTTTATTGTCGTTGTTGTTGTTGTTGTTTTTAATGAGAGTCTGGTGATGGTAAACAATGCCCTTGTTTGGGCAGGATTTTTGGGTTGCATTAAATTTTAAAGTTTGTATTGTTAACATCATTTTTACATGACCAATCATAATTATACTCATTTTGAGGGGTACATGTGGTGCTTTGATATATGAATACAATGCAGAATGACTAAATCAAACTAGTTAACATATCTATCACCTCAATTATCATTTTTTGCAGTGAGACATTTGAAATTTACTCTTTATTTTGAAATATAGAATATATTCTTATTGACTACAGTCACCCTTCTGTGCAATAGGTCTCAAAGTTTATTTATTCCTCCTATCTATCTGAAACCTTGTACCCTTTGACTTTCTATTCCATCTCTATATACCTGCCCACCTCACCCCTCAAGCCTCTGGCAACCATCTTTCTAATCTATATTTCTATGAGTTCAACTTTTTTAGAAACCAGTTCCAACAGATGTGAGGTGATATCTAACTGTGGTTTTAATTTGCATTTCCCTAATGATTAGTGATGTTAAGCATTTTTTAACACCACTAACAAGGGATCTGTTAGTCCTTTTTATGTATTGTTTTGAGAAGTGTGTTTAAGTCCTTTGCCCATTTTAAATTGGGTTATTTGTTTTCTTCCTGTTGAGCTCTTTGAGTTCCTTATATATCTTGGATATTAACCACTATCAAATCTACGGTTTGCAAATATATTTCCCATTTTATAAGTCACGTCTTCACTTTGTTAAGGATTTCTTTTGCTGTGCAGAAACGTTATAGTTTGATGCAGTTCCATTTGTCTATTTTTGCTTTTGTTGCCCATGCTTTTGGCATCATATCCAAAACATCATTACTCAGAACAATGTTGCGGAGATTTATCCTCTGTTATATTCTAGTAGTTTTACAATTTTAGGTCTTGTGCTTAAGTCTTTGTTCCATTTTGAGTTGATTTTTATGTTGTAAGATAATCTAATTTCATCCTTCTGTATGTGGATAGCCAGTACCCTAACACCATCATTGATAAGACCACCCTTTCACCATTGTGTGTCCTTGACAAAAATATAAATGTCATTTATATCACTGTCAAAAACATAAGTGTATTGGTTTATTTCTGAAATTTCTGTTATGTTCAATTGGTTGATGTATCTGTTTTTATGTCAATACCATGCTGTTTTTATTCAAATACTTTTATATTTTGAAACCAAAAAGTGTGATACCTCCAGCTTTTTATTTCTCAAATTTGTTCAGGCTATTTGGGGTTATTTGTGGTTTCATACACATTTAAGAATTCTTTTATTCTGCTCCTGTGAAAAATATCATTGGCATTTCAATAGGTATTGCATTGAATCTACAGATTGCTTTTGGTAGTATGGACGTTTTAACAATTTATTTTTTGTCTGTTTTATACATTTTAGTATACAGGTCTTTTACCTCCTGGGTGAAATTTACACTTAAATATTTTATTCTTTTTGATATTATTGTAAATAGGATTGTTTTCTTAATTTCCATTGTTGATAATTTGTTATTAGCGTATTGAAACTGCTGATTTTTGCACTTTGATTTTGTGAACCACAACTTTTCTGAATTTGTTTATCAGTTCTAACAGTTTTAAGGTGGATCGTTCAGGGTTTTCTATATGTAAGATTATGTTATCAAGAAACAGATAATTTTATTTTTTCCCTGTTAGGATTCCTTTTTTTATTGCCCTTACCTAACAGCACTGGCTTTGTACTGTCCCGGATCTTAGAAGAAAAACTTTTCTATTTTTATGTTTGAGTATGATGTTAGCTCTGGGATTGTGATTTATGCCCTTTATTGTTTTGAAGTACATTCCCTCTATATCTAATCTGTTGAGAGTTTTTATCCTAAAACAGTGTTGAATTTTGTCAAATATTTCTTCTGCTTCTATTGAGATAATTGTGTTTTGTTTATTCTTTATTTCTTTATTTTGTCAACGTGGTATATTACATTTCTTGCATATATTGAATCGTCCTTGCATCCAGGGGGTAAATCTCCGTTTATCACGGTGAATGATTCCTTTATGTGTTTTTCAATTTGGTTTGCTGGTATATTGTTGAGGATTTCTGAATCTATGATCATCAGGGATATTGACCAGTAATTTTCTTTTCTTGTAGTGCTCATGTCTGGTTTTGGCATCAGAGTAATACTGGCCTTGGCACAATGAGTTTAGAAGTATTTCCTTTTGGAAGAGTTTGAGAAGGATTGTTATTAGTTCTTTAAATGTTGGTAGACTTCAGCTTTGAAGCCACCAGGTCCTGCGCTTTTGATAGGGGACATGTTATTATTGATTCAGTATTCTTATTTATTATTGATCTGTTCACATTTTCTATTTCTTCATGATTGTTTTGGTAGGTTGTATGTGTCTAAAAATCAATCCATTTTTTCTGGAATATCCAAAGTGCATTGTAGTTTCTTCAGATTCTTTGTATTTTTTGCTTTAAAAAAGTTCTTAAATTTTACCTCTTTCTCATTTCCCTGGATGTATTTTCCTAGTTTTATAATTACCCTTTGCCCCTTGTTATTATAATTATTTAGAAGTCTGTTTCTTGCCAATTAATATTCCTGTGTTTAACAATCATTCTTTTCTGTCTGAGATCTTTCCTCTAACATCTTTTCATTGCTTTTGAGTCCTGCCTTTCATGATGATGTAACCAAGTTTTACATTTTTATCCTGTTTGGGACTCACTGTATTTCTGTGGTCTGAGGATATATGTCTTTCATAAATTCTGGAATATGCTCAGTTATTATCCTTTGTCTATTGCTGTACTCTTTTCTTCTAGAATTGTTATTAGACAACTTATAGGTCTTCCTAATTTATCCTCAGCATTTCTTAACCTCCTCTTCAGTTCTGTCTAATCTTCAGTTTGGCCCACACACTAAGTTTTTAATTTAAATGTTTTGGTTTGATCGTAAAAAGTTATTTTACCAATAGAGGACTGCTATTAAACAGTTACACTTGAAGAATTAATACATTTACACTATTCTTACAATATCACAATTTTAAAAAATTATTTACAAAATATGCTTCCATGCCTGCAGAATGTCGGACACACTGTTTCACTTCTCTTTACCCAATGGCCAATAGAATCAATAGCTTATCATTTTGCTATACAATTAACTAGATTTTGTTAATTTAGGACATATTGGAAAAGAGAAGAAACAGTCAAATGTAATCCCAAATATGATTTTGTGTTTTTATAATTTCGTTGAGCTATAGTTACAGCACATTGAATTTCACTTTTTGAAAGTACAAGTTGGTACTGCTTTGACATATATGTGCTTTTGTGAAACTGATACCACAATCAAAATACAAGTATTTCCATCAGCCTCCAAAAGTTTCCTTTATGCCACATCCTAAACCATCCCTTTTCAACTCCTGACTCCAAGAAACAGGAGTTTCTTGGTGTTAGTTTCTTGATTTAAACAGTTATATTGAGTTGTAGTTCACAAACCCATAAATTTAATATATCCACCAGTTATAAAGCGTATATTTCAAGGATTATTTGGAAAAATTTCGTAAGTTTATGGAGCTGTGCAATAATTACCATAACCTGTATTTAAGAACATATCTGCTACTCTAAAAACATAGCCTCATACCTATTTGTTGTCACTCTCAGCCTCAGAAAATTGCCGATTTGCATTATTCCTATATAGATCTCCCTTTTCTAAAAAAGGGACATTATTTCATTTCAATATAAATGAAATAATACTCTACATTGTACATACTCTACATTGTACATATTCTACATTATTGCTGATTAGTATTTAACTATATAATTATATCATGTTTAGCTTATACTTTCACCAGCTGATGACTATTTCAACACTTCCCTTTTAGGGGCTATTATAATAACACTGATATGAACATTTTGCACAGTCTTTGTGTATACATATGTTTTCATATATCCTAGGTTGTTACCTATCCCGTTGAATTTCTCAGTTGTACAGTAAATGTATGTTTAACATTTTAATAAACTACTAAACTATTCTCCCAAGTACTTGATTTATTTTGTGTTTTCCTCAACAATATATGAGAGTGCCAGTTTCTCCAAATACTCAATGATACTTACTAAATTTATTTAATGGTTATGATAGCTTTTTTGTAAATTCCTTGGAATCATCTATATGAATGGCCAGGTTATATGCAAATAAAAACAATTTGTTCATTATTTTTCTCTATATTATTTATTTAGTCTTATCAAAATGGCTAGAATGTCCAGAGTATGATTAAGTAGGAATGGTGAAAGCAGCCATCCTTAGTTTCCTGATTTCAAGGGTGAAGTATTGAAGTATTCAGTATTTTATCATTAAATAAAACATTACATGTAAGTTTTTTATAAATGACTTTTATTAGGTTTAGGACTTTATTTTTTCTATTTGCTTCACACTGTGAATAATACACTGCTAACTGCCTAGATTTTGTTGTCTTTCTTTTAAAAAAATTAGTTGTTTTGAAGACTGTTAATTGTAGAGCAGCTTGAACCCTTTGAAGTTTGTTTTTAAGCATTGTTAGGGTCTGTCTTGAGTTTATAGGGTTAGTTTAGTTCTACTAAAAGTCATAACCTTCCCAGATCCTATACTGAATGTTCAGGATACAACAAAGTCTACTGCAGCTAATTAGGATTGAATATTTTCTAACATTTTATATTTTTGAGCCATTTTATTTCATAACATTCTCAATTCTTTGCTTTGCCTTGCTGTTTTATATGTGTGCTATTTCACAACAGACTCAAATGGACACCTATGCAGATTTCTAAAGCTTTTATTTTGCAGGACTTCCTCCTCTACATAATCTTCCCTACAAATTCCAGTGTCTCACACTTGATGAACCGTGAAGTCAGTATTCTCAACTCAGCACAACTACTATGTTCTGCTTGTTTTTTCCCCTCTGTGTGGCAGGCTTCTGAAAGTACTTCCAGGCAAAAAGCTAGGATAATAATAGGAATAATCTCTTTCACTTCCATTCCTCACCTGTTGTCCAATATCTGCATATAGCTGTTTCACATAATTTTTAAAAATATTGTAGTTGTTTTCACTGGGAGGACAAAGCCTTCACTAATTAAGTCACGATGAATGAGAGCAAAAGTCCCTTTTGTCTTTTTTATAAAATGTAAAATTTTGCTAAATGATTCCTCTCCCACTTTCTTTCATTAAGTAGTTTTATTTTTCTACTACAATTTTTAAAAGCTCATGACAGAAGTTGGCCATTATCATTGTATAGACTGCCATCTTGAATGAAAAATCTTAATGTAATATTGTGCTAGAGTAATTACAAAAATATCTCCTGAGAAAAAGGCTACTATTTATGTTAATTGCAAAAGAAGTTGGTTAACAAGAAGTATCTGGGAAATTTCTGGATAGTATCTGGAATTATGAAGTGCATTCTCCTCCATAGCTCCTGGTGTAGTCATTTTCAAATAGCAGATAACAATATAGACATAGATACTAACATCCTAGGCATATGATAAACATGACCCCATCCCATATGTGTGTAAAATAAACATTTGTATTTCAACATTAGTCATATCATTGACTAATATTTTACAAATTCATTAGATTCATAGGATGCAAAGAAAATTCAAAGAAGTGGGTGGCCCTCTTAAGCTCAACTTTTGCCTATAAATCCCAGACAAAAAATAGACCTGACTTGGTTTGCTCTGTTTCTCTCATTAAGCCACAGAAAGATTTTATCAATCCATTTGTCAGTTTCTGAATATCACTGCTTATAAGTCACAGGAGAGTTCTATAAATGGAAGTATTCTAACATATTTAAGAGATTAATCCTACAGAATAGAATGTTTTGACAGGACTCTGATCTCGCGCAGGCAAAGCTCCAGAGACATTTTCTTTCAAAGTGGCAAACCATTATCTTGTCTCAGTATTCTAGTACTAATGCCAATTTTTTTGTCATTTCAAACCATTGAAAAGTAAATATGGCAAAGAAAGGAGCACTCTGGGCTGGCCAACTAGATGACTGTAATCACTAGGAGGCAAGGTCAGGGAAAAGGAAGAGATTCTGTGCTTTTGTTTCAAAGACTCTTAATTCCTGCAAAAAATTATGGGATTTCCTAAAAACGGACTACTCCCTCACAAAAGTGAAATTACTTTTTTCCCAGACAGGAGGTTATCAGGTTCTGGATTCCATCACAATCTGTCTAATGTTATTGAGATATATTATAGATATTTATGAAACATGGGGGCTTATGAGTCTGATCCATGTAACATTATTTCACCCACTGTTTAGGCGAGTATTCACATGGATATAAATGTGCAAATCCCATTGAAGAAACGTATTCAATTTCCTCATTCAGAGGCATGGTTTGTTTCTGGGTTTTTCTGTACTGGAAATCTTCCAAAATGACAAATTGTATTAAATTCCACTAAGAAAAGTGAATATGTGAATATCTGGGAAACTTTCTTGAGGGTTCCCTTCCTACACTCCCTGCACCAATTCTCTATTGGTTTAGGTATGATGTTCTGACACTTACAGTGCCAAAGATTAGCGATAGTACTTGCATACACAAATACATTCTTGTACTTGATTTTAAGTTCTTTGGATACGGGGGCTACACCTTCACTGTTGTTTTATTCTAAATGCTTAGCAGAGTGTTTTGCACATAGCTAAAAATACAAATATTAGTTAGATTATTTCATCCCTAAAAAAGGTCATAACTTCTATCTGGTGAACAAGTTCTCAGTGAATATTTCTAGCGTATATTACACTAGGTACCATATGAAGATTTAAAAGGCAACTGACAAGGTATTTTAAAGGGCCTCTAGAAAAGAGTGTGACGACACCATTAAGACTTGTTCAACAAAAATTGTCAGAAAGTCTTGGTAGAGACAGAGAAAAAGTTACTATTGCCATGAGCTAATCAAGAATAGCAGATCTCCTCTTTCTTGGATAGTACATTTTTATTAGTATTATTATATATCATTTTGCTATTCATATATTTAGGTAATAAGATTAAATACACAAGACATAATAAAACAATCACTATGCTATAAAATAGAACTTCATCATCCTCATTTTAATATCTGCTAAGATGAGTTTTCTTAACCTTTGTTGATTCTTTTTGCAAAAACCAAATGTCAGACTTTGTTATTACTGAAAGATGATGAATATAATATAAAAGTGAAAAAAATAATTTTTTAAAAGGTGAATAACATCTAATTTGCTTGAAATTATTATTTTGTTGATTTTGTGAACAATACTGAAGTCCTAGAAGACTTGAAAGTCTCCAATAAATTATTTATATAACAAAAGGTGACAATTCAAACCATCCAAGAGAAATTTGACGTTGGGGGTTGAGAATCAAATGAAAAATCTGAGTCAAGTATTTTCAGGAAAATAGCTTCTTAATATACAATTCTTTTCTATATTAATATTGATAATGATAACCAATAGTCCTCAAGTTCTAATCATGTACCAGGAATTATGACAAGTGCTTCACATGCTTTAATGCATTGGAGAGTGACAGCCTTATGAAATAAGTTTCATTATTCTTCCTATTACAGAAATGAACAAACTTATGCTCAGACAGATTTATGTTTTTGCCTATCTTCACACACTTAATAAATGACAGAGCTTACACATTAACTCAGTCTGTTTGAGTTTAATACCCACGACCTTAACCCTGATACAATCTTGCCTCATCTAAATTTCTCTTTGGAAAAAAAAGAGATCATTTTGAACTTGAAATCAAAACAAAAATACGTTAGTAAACTACACATTGTATAATACATGCATTCAATTTTCATGGTGCATTTATGCACAGATAAAATGATTCTTAAAGTTAGAAATCCCTAGGCTTGCAAAAGATCAGTGCTTTCAACTAATATAAGCTTTTCATTTTATAAACTGGGGAAGTAAAAATTAATTATTATAAGTAATTCAAGGAAGTCAACTAGAAACTAGGTGTTTGATTGTCAAGTTAACCAAGTCTAGTTTTCATAAGTGAGCCCTACCATTTTCCTGCAAATGTCCAGATAGAGGCTGCCTCACATTGCAAAACTACTTGGGTCTTGCAGAAAAACTAACAATTAATAATTTAATAGGTAAGGCATGGTGGCTCATACCTGTAATCCCAGCACTTTAGGAGGCCAAGGCAGGCAGGTCAAGAGGTTAGGAGTTTGAGACCAGTCTGGCCAACACAGTGAAACCCCGTCTCCACTAAAAATACAAAAATTAACTAGGTGTGGTGGTGTGCACTTATAATCTCAGCTACTGGGGAGGCTCAGGTAGGAGAATCACATGAACCAGGGAGGCAGAGGTTGCAGTGAGCTGGGATCGCGCCATTACACTCCAGCACAGGTGGCAGTGTGAGAATCCATCTCAGTAATAATGATAATCATAATAAATTTATTGAGCATGGCCAACATCAGTAAATATGAGTGTACCGAATAAAAGTTTTCCATTCATTCATCCACGTATTCATTGCAACACATCTATTACTAATGGTTCATTATTTGCTAAATCCTCCAGTATGCTTTAGGGAAAAGGATGATGCCTGGCATCATAAAAAATTCTCAGGCCGGGCGCGGTGGCTGACGCCTGTAATCCCAGCACTTTGGGAGGCCGAGGCGGGCGGATCACGAGGTCAGGAGATCGAGACCATCCTGGCTAACACGGTGAAACCCCGTCTCTACTAAAAATACAAAAAATTAGCCGGGCGTGGTAGCGGGCGCCTGTAGTCCCAGCTACTCGGGAGGCTGAGGCAGGAGAATGGCGTGAACCCGGGAGGCGGAGCTTTCAGTGAGCCGAGATCGCGCCACTGCACTCCAGCCTGGGCGACAGAGCGAGACTCCGTCTCAAAAAAAAAAAAAAAAAAAAAAAAAAAAAAAAAAAAATTCTCAGTGAATATGAAATGGTTGTAAAATGAATCAAAGAAAGGATTTCTGCCTTTAAGAATATCCAAGCAAATCTGTAAACTTATAACAGGAACACAATAAATTATATGTGAATAAATGAAAATAAAAATGTTATTGAATTAGAGAAAAATAAAACTTGAATGTGAACAGGTTAGAATCAACAAAAGAGGGGAGGTTAGTAAAAAGAGTATTAACACCAAAGTAGAAATTGCTAGTAAAGGATTGTCATGCATTCAATAAAAATAGTATAGCATGCACATTTTTTTTTTTTTTTTTGCAAAAGCTACAAGGCATAAAACACTCGAGAAAAATAATCCCAATCTCTTTAGATGGCAGGATAACAATATAGACACAAAATGAAATAATGTGAAGTGATTTGTAATAAATGTTACATTCAAAGGAATGATAAATGTTTGGACTCACATAACTTAGAAAGGCTTCACTAAACAAAATTAAGCAGTAGCTTCATAGAAAGAGTGATCTTATGAATGAGTTTAGGAGATGGCTAATTCATGAGAAAGAGAAATGCATGACAAAGGCAAAGAGGGATGATATATCAAGACTTATTGAATGAAAAGTTGAGGATCTGGCAAGATGGCTGAATAGGAACAGCTCAGGTCAGCAGCTCCCAGCGAGACCAATGTAGAAGGCAAGTGATTTCTGAATTTCCAACTGAGATACCCAGTTCATCTCACTGGGACTGCTTACGCAGTGGGTGCAGCCCACGGAGGGTGAGCAGAAGCAGGGTGGGGCATCACATTACCCGAGAAGGAGCCTGGGGACCTCCCTTCCCCAGCCAAAGGAAGCCATGAGGGACTGTGCTACCCAGCCTGGATACTACATTTTTCCCACGGGTTTTGCAATCCACAGATCAGAAGATTTCCTCATGTGCCTACACCAGCAGGGTCCTGGATTTCAAAGCACGAAACTGGGAGGCTGTTTTGGGCAGACACCGAGCTAGCTGCATGAGTTTTCTTCACACCCCAGTGGCGCCAGGAACCCCAGCAAGACAGATCCATTCACTCCCCTGGCAAGTGGACTAAAGTAAGGGAGCCAAGTGGTCTCACTCTGCGGGTCCCATGCCCACGGAGCCCAACAAGCTAAGAACCACTGGCTTGAAATTTTCACTGCCAGCACAGCAGTCTGAAGTCAACGCGGGACGATCAGGCTTGATGAGGGGAGGGACATCCACTATTACTGAGGCTTTAGTAAGTGGTTTTCCCCTGACAGTGCTACGGAGGCCGGGAGGTTTGGACTAGGTGCAATTCACCACAGCCTGGCAAAGCAGCTGTGGCCAGACTGCCTCTCTAGATTCCTCCTCACTGAGCAGGGCATCTCTGAAAGAAAGGCAGCAGCCCCAGACAGAGGCTTATAGATAAAGTTCCCACCTCCCTGGGACAGAGCACCTGGGGGAAGGGGCATCTGTGGGCACAGTTTCAGTGGGCATAAAGTTTCCTGCCTGCAGGCTCTGAAGAGAGCAGTTGATTCTGACAAGGAGGATTCTCCTGGCACAGCATTCGAGCTCTGCTAAGAAACAGACTGCCTTCTCAAGTGAGTCCCCGACGCCCGTGCCTTCTGACTGGGAGAGACCTCCCAACAAGGGTCAACAGACACCTCATACAGGAGAGCTCTGGCTGGCATCAGGCAGGTGCCCCTCTGGGACGAATCTTCCAGAGGAAAGAAGAGGAAGCAATCTTTGCTGTTCTGTAGGCTCTGCTACAACCAATGGCTGTGGGGTGGTCATAAATAGCTTTTAATATTTTGAGATATGTTCCATCAATACCTAGTTTATTGAGAGCTTTTAGCATGAAGGGGTGTTGAATTTTATCGAAGGCCTTTTCTGCATCTATTGAGATAATCAGGTGTTTTTTTTTCATTGGTTCTGTTTATGTGATGGATTACATTTAGTGATTTTTATATGTTGAACCAGGCTTGCATCCCAGGGATGAAGCCAACTTGATCGTGGCTTCTTGAGGCAAGAGCAGGCGGCAGTCTTTGCTATTCTGCGGTCTCCACTGGTGATTCGCAGTCGAACACGTTCTGGCGTGCATCCCCAGTGAACTGCAGCAGACCTGCAGAAGAGAGGCCTGACTGTTTGAAGAAAAACTAGCAAACAGAAAGCAACAACATCAACATCAACAGAAAGGACCCCCACACAAAAACCCCATCCAAAGGTCATCGGACTCAAAGATCAAAGATAGGTAAATCCACAAAGATTAGGAAACACCAATGCAAAAGACTAAAAATTCCAAAAACCAGAATGCCTCTTCTCCACCATGATCACAACTCCTCTCCAGCAAGGGTACAAAACTGGACAGAGAATGAGATTGATGAAATGACAGAAGTAGGCTTCAAAGGTGGGTAATAACAAACTCCTCTGTGCTAAAGGAGCATGTTCTAATGCAATGCATGGAAGCTAAGAACCTGATAAAAGGTTACAAGAAGTGCTAACTAGAATAACCAGTTTACAGAGGAAAATAAATGACTTGATGGAGCTGAAAAACACAGCACAAGAACTTCTGAAGCATACACAAGTATCAATAGCTGAATCGATCAAGTGGAAGAAGGGATATCAGAGATTGAAGATCAACTTACTGAAATAAGGTGTAAAGACAAGATTAGAAAAAAAAAAGAATGAAAATGAATGAACAAGGCCTCCAAGAAATATGGCACTATGTGAAAAGACCAAACCTATGATTGGCTGGTGTATCTGAAATTGATGAGGAGAATGCAACCAAGTTGGAATACACATTTCAGGATATTATCCAGGAGAACTTCCCCACCCTAGCAAGACAGGCCAACATAGAAATTCAGGAAATACAGAGAACACCACTAAGATAATCCTTGAGAAGAGCAACCCTAAGACACATAATCATCTGATTCTCCAAAGTTGAAATGAAGGAAGCAATGTTAAGGGCAGCCAGAGAGAAAGCTCAGGTTACCCGCAAGGGGAAGCCCATCAGACTAACAGCGGATCTCTCTGCAGAAACCCTATAAGTCAAAGAGAGTTAGGACCAATATTCAACATTCTTAAAAGAATTTTCCACCCAGATTTCATACCCGTCAAACTAAGCTTCAAAAGCGAAGGAGAAATAAAATCCTTTCAAGACAAGCAAATGCTGAGGGATTTTTGTCACCACGAGGCTCCTGAAGGAAGAGCTCCTGAAGGAAGCACTAAATATGGAAAGGAACCACCAGTACCAGCCACTGCAAAAACACACCAAAATATATAAGACCAATGACACTATGAAGAAACTGCTTCAACTAATGTGGAAAATAAGCAGCTAGCGTAATGAGGACAAGATCAAATTCAAATTCACACATAACAATATTAACCTTAAATATAAATGGCCTAAATACCCCAATTAATAGGCATAGACTGGCAAATTGGATAGAATCAAGACACATCGGTGTGCTGTATTCAGGAGACACATCTCATACGCAAAGACACACATAGGCTAAAAATAAAGGGATGGAGGAATATTTACCAAACAAATTGAAAGCAAAAAAAAAAAAATAAGAAAAAGCAGGCATTGCAAAACTAGTCTGATAAAACAAACTTTAAACCAACAAAGATCAAAAAAGATAACGAAGGGCATTACATAATGGTAAAGGGATTAATGCAACAAGAAGACTTAACAATCCTAAATAAATATATATGCACCCAATACAGGAGAACCCAGATTCATAAAACTAGTTCTTAGAGACCTACAAAGAGACTTAGACTCCCACACAATAATAGTGGGAGACTTTAGCACCCTCCTGTCAATATTAGACAGATCGAGACAGAAAATTAACAAGGATATTCAGAACTTGAACTCAGCTCTGAACCAAGCAGACCTAATAGACATCTATAGAACTCTCCACCCCAAATCAACAGAATATACATTCTTCTCAGCACCACATAACACTTATTCTAAAATCGACCACAAAATTGGAAGTAAAACACTCCTCAGGAAATGCAAAAGAACAGAAGTCAGAAGAAACAGTCTCTGAGACCACAGTGCAATCAAATTAGAACTCAGGATTAAGAAACTAACTTAAAACTGCACAATTACATAGAAACTGAACAACCTGCTGCTGAATGATGACTGGGTAAATAACAAAATTAAGGCAGAAATAAAGAAGCTCTTTGAAACCAATGAGAACAAAGACACAATGTACTAGAATCTCTGGGGCACAGCTAAAACAGTGTTAAGAGGGAAATTTACAGCAGTAATTACCCACATCAAAAAGCTGGAAAGATCTACAATCAACACCTGAACATCACAATTAAAAGAACTAGAGAAGCAAGAGCAAACAAATTCAAAAGCTAGCAGAAGAAAAGTAATGACTAAGATGAGAGCAGAAATGAAGGAGAAAGACACACAAAAATCCCTTAAAAAAATCAATGAATCCAGGAGCTGGTTTTTCAAAAAGATTAACAAAATAGATAGACCACTAGCCAGACTAGTAAAGAAAAAAAGAGAGAAGAATCAATTTGACACAATAAAAAATGATAAAGGGGAGAGCACCACTGATCCCACAAAAATACAAACTCCATCAGAGAATACTGTAAACACCTTTACGAAAATAACTAGAAAATCTAGAAGAAATGGATAAATTCCTGGACCCATGTACCCTCCCAAGTCTAAACCAGGAAGCAGTCGAATCCCTGAGTCACAGCCAAATTCTACCAGAGGTACAAAGAAGAACCGGTACCATACCTTCTGAAACTATTGCAAACAATACAAAAAGAAAGACTCCTCCCTAACTCAGTTCATGAGGCCAGTATCAACCTGATATCAAAACCTGGCAGAGACACAACAAAAAAAGAAAACTTCAGGCCAAAACCTCTGATGAACATCGATATGAAAATCCTAATTAAATACTGGCAAACCAAATCCAGCAGCACATCAAGAAGCTTATCCACCACGATCAAGTTGGCTTCATCCCTGGGATGCAAGCCTGGTTCAACATACAAAAATCACTAAATGTAATCCATCACATAAACAGAACCAATGAAAAAAAAACACACCTGATTATCTCAATAGATTCAGAATAGGCCTTCGATAAAATTCAACACAGCTTCATGCTAAAAGCACTCAATAAACTAGGTACTGATGGAACATATCTCAAAATATTAAAAGCTATTTATGACCACCCCACAGCCAATATCATACTGAAAGGGCAAAAGCTGGAAGCATTCCCTTTGAAAACTGGCACAAGATAAGGATGCACTGTCTCACTACTCCTATTCAACATAGTATGGGAAGTTCTGGCCAGGGCAATCAGGCAAGAGAAAGAAATAAAGGGTATTCAAACAGGAAGAAAGGAAGCCAAATTGTCTCTGTTTGCATATGACATGATTGTATATTTAGAAAACCCCATTGTCTCAGACCAAAACTCCTTAAGCTGATGAGCAAAGTCAGCCAAGTCTTAGGATACAAAATCAATGTGCAGAAGTCACAAGCATTCCTATATGCCAACAGTAGACAAGACTAGAATCATCACGAGTTAACTCACGTTCACAATTGCTACAGAGAGAATAAAATACCTAGGAACACAACTTACAAGGGATGTGAAAGACCTCTTCAAGGGGAACTACAAAGCACTGCTCAAGGAAATAGGAGAGGACACAAACAAATGGAAAAACATTCCATGCTCATGGATAGAAAGAAAAAACATTCCATGCTCATGGATAGGAAGGAAAAATATTCCATGCTCATGGATCATGAAAATGGTCATAATACCCAAAGTAATGTATTGATTCAATGCTATTCCCATCAACCTACCATTGATTTTCTTCACAGAATTAGAAAAAAAAAACTACTTTAAATTTCATAGGGAACCAAAAAAGAGCCCCTACAGCCAAGATAATCCTAAGCAAAAAGAACAAAGCTGGAGGTATCATGCTACCTGACTTCAAAATATACTGCAAGGCTACAGTAACCAAAACAGCATGGTACTGGTACCAAAACAGATACATAGATGAATGGAGCAGAGCAAAGGCCTCAGAAAAAATACCACACATCTACAATCATCTGATCTTTGACAAACCTGACAAAAACAATCAATGGGGAAAGGATTCCCTATTTAATAAATGGTGTTGGGAAAACTGGCCAGACATATGCAGAAAACTGAAACTGGACCCTTCCTTATACCTTATATGAAAATTAAATGAAGACGGATTGAAGACTTAAATGTAAAACCTAAAACCATAAAAACCCTAGAAGAAAACCTAGTCAATACCATTCAGGACATAGGCATGGACAAAGACTTCATGACTAAAACACCAAAAGCAATGGCAACAAAAGCCAAAATTGACAAATGAGATCTAATTAAACTAAAGAGTTTCTACAGAGCAAAAGAAATTATCATCAGAATAAATGGGCAACCTACAAAATGGAAGAAAATTTTTGCAATCTATCCATCTGACAAAGGGCTCATATGCAGAATCTACAAGGAACTTAAACAAATTTACAAGGAAAAAACAACCCCATCAAAAAGTGGGCAAAGTATATCAACAGAAACTTCTCAAAAGAAGATATTTATGCAGCTAACAAACAAAAGATAAAAAAATCTCATCATCACCGGTCATTAGAGAAATGCAAATCAAAACCACAATGAAATACCATTTCACGCCAGTCAGAATGGTGATCATTAAAAAGTCAGGAAACAACAGATGCTGGAGAGAATGTGGAGAAATAGGAACGTTTTTACGCTAGTGGTGAAAATGTAAATTAATTCAACCATTGTGGAAGACAGTGTGGCGATTCCTCAAGGATCTAGAACCAGAAATACCATTTAGCCCAGCAATCCCAGTACTAGGTATATACCCAAAGGATTATGAATCATTCTACTATAAAGACACATGCACACATATGTTTATTGCAGCACTATTTACAAGAGCAAAGACTTGGAACCAACTCAAATGCCCATCAATGATAGACTGGATACAGAAAATGTGGCACATATACACAATGGAATACTATGCAGCCATAAAAAATAATGAACTCATGTCTTTTTCAGGGACACGGATGCAGCTGGAAACCAACATTCTCAGCAAACACAGGAACAGAAAACCAAACATCGCATGTTCTCGCTCATATATGGGAGTTGAACAGTGAGATCACATGGACAGAGGGAGAGGAACATCACACACTGGGGCCTGTCAGGGAGTGGGGGGCAAGGGGAGGGAGAACAGTAGGAGAAATATTAATGCATGCGGGGCGTAAAACCTAGATGATGGGTTGATAGGTTCAGCAAACCACCATGGCACATGTATAACTATGTGACAAACCTGCACGTTCTGCACATGTCTCCCAGAACTTAGAGTAAAATTTTAAAAATTTAAAAAATTAAAATTAAATACATAAATACATAAATAAATGAAAAGTCAATATTATATCCATACAATTATGTTGTTTAACTGGGATTTGGACCTGTTAATAACTTTGCCACACAATCATGTACCTCTATGTAAATATAGGTTCTTTTAGTAAAAGCAAATGTAAATTGGTACAAATATACTTTTCTCAAAGGGGTAGATCAAAAGATGATCAATCTATGTAACATATAGGAACTATTTGCAATTTGCAAATGAATATATTTGAATTTTCTTAGTTTTCATCTGTCCAAAGTGACCATTTTTTATGTAACTGTTCTTCTTTCATTAATACAAATAAAGTTCATTAATAATTAATATGTTTGAGTTTTAACTGCCTTCCATTCCATATAAGACCCTTAGGCTTAGTCAACACTTTCTCTTAATTAGCATGCTTATTCTTTAATAACAGTATAAACAAAATTTAGATTTGAAAATTTGATAAATTAATAGTGATGTTTGATGATTTCATCAGTGTATACTTATTTCCAAACACATAAAATTGTGTACATTAAATATCTGTAGTTTTTTGTATGTTAATCACACTTTGATATAGTGGTTAAAAATAATTTAACTTTTCTTCTCTGCTACATATATCAAATTCTATTTAGCTACTAGCCATAAATACATAATAGAAATTAAAAACATACATAAACAGCATGTTTATAAAAGAGCATGTTAACTCACACATATATATACATGTATATATGTATACATGTATGTATATGAATATATGCATATATGTTTTATATGTATATATGTATACTTATGTATACATATATATTTTATATGTAAATATGTACACATATATAAGTATATAAATATATGCATGAATTTATGTTAATATATTTTATGTATATATGTGTATACATATATATTTTCCAAAACCCTCCTTAATAGTTATTTAAGCATTAAAATGTCAATCATGAAATCACTTCAAGGGGGTCTTCTTGATGCTAATATCATGTTGATATAAGAATAGGTGCTTAATAAAGTCTCACTATTAACTTAAAGTTACAATTGAAAACTGGATAATGTTTATGTCAATTGATAAATTACTGAAATTGAAAGTCCAAACTCCTGAAGACGAAATGACACTATAAGGTGGAATTGCTGTTCCTAATAAAGCACACATGAAGCAGGTTGCCATAAACCCCACTGGGGAAGGCAAATCTCATTTCTACTCATTGATGAAGTATGAATGTTGTATAAAAGATTGAAACACTACCACTATTAGGGATAAAATAGCAGTTGTTAACAAAAAATACGTTCAGATCAGGGTATTCAACACTGGCATGCAAGCACAATAGAAATATATATTTATTTCCTGTGGAATTATTTTCCAGAATGTTGAATGGTTTTGTAAATGAGAAGATATGGAGTTAATGCCACATATGCTAGAGTAGACAAGTTTGAATAAGTTGAATGTGTTCAGCTGTATTCTGTAGAAGTTGGATATGAATTTTCTTAAGTTGAATATATTCATATGTTTCTTATTACATTAATACTTATCACTGTGTCTCTTAAAGCAAAAACTAACATAAATAAATAAATAAATAAATAAATAAATAAATAAATAAAAAGACCTGTCTCTAAGAGGTTGAATTTAATTTTCTCCGTAGATGTTTAAGCTCCTTGGCTTCCAGAATAGTTCTTTTGGTTTTACTTGCTAGTTTTATTTTTTACATGTTAGAGTTAACTATACTTTTTATTTGCTGATGTTAATAGGTGAGAATTATTGCTTGGCTTCAGTTAATTGCATATCTTATGCACTTTATCCAGTGGTCTACAACTAAGTAAAAAGCAGAAGTTTTAATTTCTAATAAGTTCCCGGGTGCTGCTGCTGCTATTGGTCTGTGGACCACAGAATAGTAAGTAGTAGTAAGAGCGAGCTTGTTGGATGTTTAAATTGTTATATCTTCCAGTTTCCTGTGTGAAACCAGAAGCAAAAATTCATTCGTTTATTAAGACATCTTAATGGATTTTAAATGTTGACATTCCATAGAAAGAACCAGAGAGAGAAGGAAGGAAGGGAGGGAGGGAGGGAGGGAGGGAGGGAGGGAGGGAGGGAAAAGAAAGGAAAGAAAACATTTGGAGGAAAAACAAAAGCTTAGCTGATTTGGCCTACAGGCTGTTAAGTTACTGACTTCTGAGTTATGAGCTCCAGACAAATGATTATATGCCATTCAGGTATGAGAAGGGGGAGGTGAAGGGCATTACAGTGTTCCATGTTATTTTATTATGATTTATTGTTCATAATAAACAATTACTATTAATAGTGATAAAATATTCTTTGTTGCTGTGACAAAATAAGTAAAATTGTGTCTTGTCACCCAAATATCTTACTAGTCTTGATTTCTTGTTACAATGCCTCAGGTACCAATTTGACTTCAAAATCTTTTACTAAATCATAAAGAAAAATAAGTTTAATCTCATCATATTTCTTCAGATATTATCTTCTACCACCCATCACTGGGCATTCCTTACTCCTTGGCATTCTTCACCTAAACTTAATTGAAAAGAAAAAACAAAATATTCTATTTCCTTATTAATATGGCTCAAGCCTGAATTATATATAAATATACACAAACACATACACACACACACACATACACACATACACACACATCCCAATTATTTGTGTATTTAATCAGTTACTTATGAATTTGTGAATATTTATTTTAGACTTTGAGTTAAAATCCAAAACTACTTTATTCTGTCTCAGATTGTTTCAGTTTTGGCCATTGGGAGTGCTTTTGATTGTATCTTGTGTTCCTTTGACACTGGGGAGAGTGGTTTGTTCGAAGTTTTATTGTGCAATTCCTTTTGATTAGGTAACGTTTCTTCGTGTCTCTCTCTCTCTCTCTTTCTCTTTCTCTCTCTCTCTCTCTCTCTGTGTGTGTGTGTGTGTGTGTGTGTGTGTGTGTGTGTGTGTCTTAGCTCATTCGAGATGCTATAACAAATATATTAATCTGGGAAATTTATGGACAGCAGAAATATACTCCTTACAGTTCTGGAGGCTGGGAAATCCAAGATCAAGATGCTGACATATTCAGCATCTGGTATGAGCTTGCTCTCTGCCTCAAAGAGACACCTTGTAGCTGTGTCCTTACCCTGTGGAAGGAGAGAACAGCTCATTGCACCTCTTTTATAAGGCCACTAATCCCATGAAGGCTCTGCCTTCATGACTTAATCACCCACTAAAGGCCCACCTCTTAATAGCAGCACATCAGCAATTAACTTTCAACATGAATTTGGAGAGGATACATACAGGTCATAACAGTGTGTGTTTTATTAGTACTTTATTACTTTCTATTATGCAAGATGATTCAAGATTATCTTTTATATTTTCTCCCTCATTCCTAGAATAGTCTAGACAAGGATCTCTAGTTCCTATTACTGGAGAATTACATTAGAAACTAAGATCTAGGTGCTAGGTTTGCTCATTGCTATGAGATGTCATTGAATCTAGAACTTCTGAGCTGACAGTACAAGGAAATGCATGTGCATATCCTAACCTATATACTTACACCAATCTATAATACATACCTATAACACATATATAAATATCTGTAAGACTATATTTACATCAAGCTAAACATGAATTCTTACTGATGTCACTGTATCAAAAATATCACTATTTCCCTTGATTAGATATATGACCTTAACACTTCAACAGTGAGAAACTTGTTTCCTGTCATCAAACATATATTTATTTAATTATTCAATTCTAGTACATGAATAAAAGTATTGGAATTGTTGAAGCCTAACCATGTGCAAAAAAACATTATAAATTAGAGTGCAGCGTCTATGTTTGTTTTGCTTTGCCTTTAGTCTTATAGACTCCTCTCATTTTCAAATTTAGTTGTTAGAAACTTGCTCCCCCAACCCCCTTAAGAGAGGTTGGTCATACATTTATAATGCAGTTAGATTCTCTTGTCATAGTCTGCATTCCGTCATCACATCTGACACCCTCCTGTTTCCTTTTTATGAATAAATAATATACCGTTATATGGATATACCACAATACATTTATCAGTTCTTCTACTGAAGGAAATTTTGTGTGCTTCCAGTTTTGGATGATTATGAATAAAGTTGCTGTAAACCTTCACACGCAGATTTGTATGTGGAAATAACATTACAAATTAGTTGAGTAAATACCCAGAAGTGCAGTTGCTGGTCATATGGTAAAACTATGTATATCATTGTAAAAATCTGCCAAATAGTCTTCCAAGTGGCAGTATTATTTTGCATCCCTACTAGCAATGAATGAGTGTTATTACTGCTTGATATATCTCCCAGAAAATGACATTAACATTTCTTGCCATTCTCAAAGTAATGTTACTCATTTTTTGTGTCAACTAATTTATAATAACAAATGACTGAACATCTTTTTTATATGCTTATTTGCCCTCTTTCTGTCTTTTCTGGTGAGGTGTCTGTTTTAAAATATGTCCATATTTAATTGGTTGGGTGGTTTGTTTTCTTAAGAAGTGTTTAAAAGTTGTGTTTTTTTTTCACTTTTTCAAAAATTTTAGATACAAGTCTTTTACCAAATACGTGTTTCACATATATTCTCTTCCAGTGTGTGGCTTACTATATCATTCTCTTTGTATTCTTTTTAACAGAGAAGTTTTAAATTCAATAAACTCCTACGCATCCATTTTTTTATGGATTGTGTTTTGATGTTGTATATAAAACTCATTATCAAAGGTAAATATGGTATGTGTTTTTCCTATGTTATCCTTAGAGAAGTTTTATGTCTTTGTTTTTTTACTTTTAGATCTGTGATCCATATTGAGGATCTAAGGTTTGTGTGCAGGTTTATTTTTTTACATGTGGTCAGTCTGATTGTTCCAACAGCATATGTGGAAAAGTTTATTCCTTCTTCACTGAATTGCTCTTGCTCCTTTGTTAGATTACCTGATGATATTTGTGCAAATCTATTTCTGGGCTCTCCTTTCTATTCCATTAATGTATATAAAATAATAACATTTATTACTGTGATTTTGTATTAAGTTTTGAAATTGGGTAGTGTGAGTTCTCCAGCTTTATTCTTCAATGTCATGTTGGCTATTCTAGGGCTTTTGCTTTTTCCCATAAACATTAGAATCAAGTTGTCAGTATCTACAAAACAGCTTGCTAGAAGTTAATTGGGATTGTATTAAAACTATAAATCACACTGAGAAAATTTAACAGCTTAAAATATTGAGTTCTAAATTCTATGAACATGGAATATCTTTCTATTTATTTGAATTTCATTGATTTTCTTACTCAGCTTTGTAGTTTTACACGCTTAGATTCTTTATATATTTTGTTAAATTTATACCTATTTATTTTTTAGGTGCTGTTGTAAATGGCATTTTTTAAATTCCAAGTTTCAGTACTTCATAGGAAAGCAAATGACTTTTGTCAAGTTTATTGATTGTCTTTATTGTTTACTTATTTTCAATTTAATTGATTTTTGCTTTATTGTTTTATTTCTTTCCCCTCCTTGTTTGGGAGTAAGCTACTCTTTTTCTCAAGTGTCCTATGGTGGAAATTTAGGTTATTGATATTAGATCATTCTTATTATCAGGTTTTTTATTTTGCATAACAGAAGAAGGGAGATATACAGTGAGAAAAGGGGAGAAAGATGAAGGGCTGTAGAGAGATAGAGAAAACTTCTTTTATAATATACCCATCTAATGCTATAAGTTTCCCTTTAAATTTAGTGTTGCTTTTGGTGCATCCCACAAATATTAATTTTCATTTTGTCTTAGTTTTTGTTTTTTATTGAGATGCTTTCCTTCACCCACATATTATTTAGAAGTATGTTGTTCATTTTCAATATTTGGGAGATTTCTAGCTTTCTTTCCTGTATGTATTTCTAATTTATGCCAATTTTCATCTTAGAGCATACTTTCTATCATTTTTTGTTTGAATTTGTTCATGTGTGCTTTTTGGTACATAATGTGCTCTGTCTTGGTGAATATTTCATGTGAGCTGGAGAATAATATGTGTTCTGCTGTTTTATGATGTTTATTCTATAAATGTAAATTAAATTGATTAGATTGATTTTACTATTCAGCTCATTCACATCCTTCTTGAGTTTCTGGCTGCTTGATCTTTCAATTACTAAAAAAGGGTTATTGCATTCTCCAATTGTAATAATGTATTTGTGTATTGCTCCTTAAAGTTTTCTCAAGTTCTATATCATTTTTAAGGTGATGTTGTTAGGCACATGCATGTTAAGGACTGTTATGCCTTCTTGAAGAATTAACCCCTTCTTCATTATAAAAGTCTCTGTTTATTCCTGATAATTTTCTTTGTCCTGAAGTTAGTTTTGTCTGAAATTAACAGTTATTCTAGCTTTCTTTTCATTGAAGTTATCAGTCTATATTTCTCCATCTCTTTATTTTAACCTATCCAAGTCTTCATATTTAGAGTGGGCTTTTGTGTACACAGCATATTTCTAGGTGGTGTTATTTATCCACTCAATCTTTGTCTTTAATTCATGTATTTAACACATTTATACTCATTATAAATACAGTTGGATTCATATGTACTGTGTTTTAACATTTTTATGTTTGTTGAATTTATTCTTTTATATCCCTGCTTTTCTGACTTCTCTTTTTTTAAATGAGTACTTTGTGATTTTGTTTTATAAATCTCTCTTAGCATATCAATAGCATTTTTTAAAACAGTGTTTTCCCTAGGGTTTACATAACACAATTTAACTTCACTTACAAATTGCACAATATTGTATAATGCACATTATGCACACATTATTAAAGAGTATTTCCAGTTCTACCTATTTAATTTATTCCTTACCCAATACTCTGCCTTTTTTAATGTAGATACAAGTTTCTGACCTATATAATTCTACTTTGCCTGAATAACATCTAACATTTCTTTTGAAGCAGTTCTGCTGGTGATGAACTCTCTCAGTTTTTGTTTGTATAAGAATATTTTTCATTTCTCTTTTACTTTTGAAGGATAACTTCTCTGCATATGGAATTTTGCGTTTTTTAAAAAGGATTTTCTTTCAACATTTCACATATTTTATTTCACTCTTATTTTTGCTTGGTTTTGATAAAAAGTCCACAGTAATTCTTATTATTTTTGTTCTATAATATGGTGGTTTTTTCCTCTGGCTTCTTTTAAAATTTTATCTTTGCTTTTAGTTTTCTTCAGTTTGGATATGATATACATAGGTTTAGATATTTTGTTATTTATCCTGCTTTGTGGTCTGTGAGCTTCCTGAATTTGTAGTTAGATGTCTATCATTAATTTTGGAAAATTCTTGTCCATTATTATTTTTACTTCAAGTATTTTTTTCTTTTTGCTGTTTCTTCTCTTGCTATTTTTCTAGTTATACATGTATTGTGCCTTTTGAAATTACTGCAAAGTTCTTAAACATTTTCTTTATAAAATTCTTTTTTCTAAATTTGCACTTAAGTTTATAAAGTTTCTGTTGATCTCTTTCAAGCTAACTTATTTTTTGTTTGCCATGGCTAGTCTGCTGATGAGCCAATCAGAAGGATTTTTTAATTTTCTTTACATTATTTTTAGCATTTCCTTTTGAGTATTTATTAGGGTTTTCTCTCTCTGCTTATATTACTCATCTCTTCTACCATATTATCTACTTTTTTTTTTCCTTTGGAGCCTTTAACATACTAATCGTAATTGCTTTAAATCTCTCCTGATAATTCCAACATATTTGATTTGGTGTATGATTCTTTCTCTGTCTCTTCAGATTTTATCTTTCTATTTTTATGTTTATAAAAAAAGTTTTTGTCTTTTAACATGTCTCATAAATTTTTGTTGAAAGCCTGGTATTTTGTACGAAGTAAATAGGTGTTTGTGTGAAGGTTTATGTTAACCTGGCTAAGAGGTCAGTTTATTGTTTTCTATTACTGTAGGTATAAAAGGTTTCAAATTTCTTAATTTCATTTTGGTCTCCACTCTTGACTTTGTGTTTCCGAAAGTACTACACTTCAGAGAGAATCTCTGTCTGACAGGTCTTTCTTTTATAATCTTTTGTTACTATACTGAATCCCCATTGATATCACGGTAAATTGTGACTGAGAAACAGTTTTCTATAATCTTATGATTAAATGTCACTCTTTTAGTGGGTCTGTCTCAAAGTTGTGCCCTAAACCAACATTCTCCAGTGGTTTAATTTTTGTTTGCCTTAGGTGAGACAAAATATTTTAATTAGTCTAATGTGAGAGGAATCCATCCTCCCCACATTCTATGACATAACTCTCTGTTCAAATATTTTACCATAGGGAATGGGAGCTATCTGTTCTCAGCTTGTCTCTATTTCTACCTCTGGGGAAAATCTCTGAACTACTGGTCGGGTTCTAGGAGCAAAACCTTGGTGCCCTTCTTTGGAGGTGGAATTCCCACTTTATAAACTGAGCTCTTGGTGAATTTAAAGCATAACAAACTCAGATCTCCCTGATTTGCCTTTCTGTTATAGAAACCCCATTCTTTGAGCCCAAGCAAGACAATCAGACCCCAATATATTCGGCAAGCCTCTATCTCACAAATGGGAATAGGGTAGAAGAAGAGAGCCCTCACCTCTTGGCTTTACTAACCTAGAACTTAGCCTCAGCAGCAGAAAGTTGGGGGAAAGATGAAAAACACTGACATGTTGCCTATATCAGGAAAATGTTCCTCTTACTTGGACTGGGGGAAAAGTAGTCTTGTGCCTTGGCTGTTCTACCCTTGAATGAACTTTCTGTGTTGCTGAGGTGAGAAGGCAAAGGGAGAGCATGGATATTAGTTCAGACACCACTGGGTCTCTCTCATCTTAAAAATGTTTAGATTTTTTTCCATAAAATTCAATAAACCTTAAATGACTTATATTTTTAGTAATTTTTAGCAGTTTCATTGGGGAGGGGTTCCACAGAGGTCCTCATACACTCATACCAGAAGTAGGACTTCCTACAGAAGCTTTTCTAATTTAGTAATTCAACTTCTGAATTATCAGAAATAAAACAAATCACTACTCCACAGCACAATGCATCAGTTTTGCTTTCAAACAATGTGTAGCATACCAGGATTCATAATCTAGAATCAATGATGTCATTGTTGAGACATTTACTATATGTGCTTAGTTTTGAGGAATTTCACAAACATTATTAACTTCATTGTATCTAATAAATTCAGTGGTAGCTGTAAATGCTAGTAAAAAATAGACATAGAATGATTATAAAAATGAAACAATATAATTAAAAAAGTAAAAGAAGTGAGAGGGCAGTGCGTAAGGCATATTGGCATGTATAATGTATTCAGTATTAGCAACCTCTTTGAAGAACAACCTATTAATCATACAATATGTAAAATGCTGTGGTGTTACGTGTCTACATAACTGTAATTCATCAAAGAAAAAGTAAAGGCAATGTTGCACTTTCAGTAACATGTAATGATGTCAGCCCATTTCAATTTTATTACTTGAAAGGCTTAATATTATTACTAGAAAATCAACATCAATGTTGTTTTTTCTCAAGTTAATTCATGAGAAGGCCATCAATTTGTTGAAAAATATTAA